>NC_000015.10:68276874-73276874 GCF_000001405.40 Homo sapiens
CAGGACTTTTATATTAGCTGTCCCCTTTGCCTAGAATACCGTCTGTTCTTGTCACTTGTCATAGAGGTCTTGTCTGATCACCCAAACTAAATGAGTGCCCCCATCATTCTATTTCATTTGCTTCAGAGCAAATGGTAATGATACCAGTTCAACTGATCTTGTCTATCATTTGTTGACTTATTTGTTCCATTACTGAATCCCTAGTGCTAAGCAGAGCCTGGCACGTAGTCGACCTCTAATATTCATTGGATAAACGATCGTTTCAAATCCTAACAACAATCTTGTGATGTCTGTGAGAAAACGGAGGTTCTGCCGGCTCAGGATGAGATTCCTGCTCTGTCTGAACGCGGGACTCGCTTTCCTTCCCAGGATACCTCGCTCCTTCCACCGCGAGCGCAGCTCCCCTTCGCTCCCATCTTTCTCTCACACTTAACCCCTTTCTCCGGGAAAGTCAGGCCGTACTTCCAGTCCCTTCTCAGAGCCTGGTGTTGTGGCTCTCAAGCCCTCCCACATTTCGGGAACTCAGAAACGCCGCCCTTTTCCTGAAATGGACCCTCCGAGTACGCGCAACCCCTTCCCTAACCCCGGCTCAGGGGCAGAAGCAGGACCCGCACCGTCTATAGTAAAATAGGGTGGTCTCCTTAGCCCATCAGCTTAGCGCCCTCACTCCGCCCCCACTCCCTGGCTGGAGACCCTCAGGGCCGTTTAGGGGCCAGGAGGAGGTTCCAGGAGTCAAGGACATTGAGGACATCCAGGCCCAAACGGGATGGGCCAACTACGCGCAGCAGAACCTTTCTCTACCGGGCCCGCGTGTGCCCGCCGGTCGGCTTAGGCGGAGACACCCCACTTAGCGTCCCTCCCGCTCCCGCCCTCTCCTCCCGGCCCTGTCTGCGAAAGCTCGTCTTCCTCCCCGCCCAAGTTCCGGCGCCGCTCTTGCGGGAGCGTTCCGCATCGCCCCGGGGGCCCCTACGCGAGGATCTCCGGGGCCGTTGGCAGCGCCTGGCACTTCTGAGCTCGGCGGACGAGAGCCTGCAGGTTTCCTCCAGTCAGGGACGGCGAAGGGCGGAAAGCGCAGGAGGAGGCAGTGTTAGGCCTTAGGCCGGGTGGGCCGGGTCAGGAGAGACGCGCCCATCTTTCGCCATCCGGGGTGCGCGAGGTCCTCTCGGGACCCGGCCGGCGACCCGTAGCTCGGGCACGCGCCTGTCGCATCCCGCAGGAAGGAGGGGTCCGGCCTGAGGCCCGGGGCGGCGTCCGCCATGGAGATCCCCTCGGTCCAGGGCCGGCGCCTGGGACCTGGCGGGCGGCCCTGACCGCCTTCCTCCCTGCGCGGGCTGGGTCGCGGACGTGCCCTTCGCGGCACTCGGCCTCCTCTGCGTCTCCGCCTTCCCTGGGCCGCACTGCTGCCTGGGCGCGGCGGCGGCGACGGCGCCCTGTTGAATGGGCTGTGAGGGCCCAGGTTTAAAGCGCTGGCGAACGCGGCCTCCGGGGGCGCACGGCAGCTGCAGCGGTGGCGACCAAACGGGTGTTGGAGTTGGCGGCGGCCATGGAGGGCCTGGCTGGCTATGTATACAAGGCGGCCAGCGAGGGCAAGGTGCTGACTCTGGCCGCCTTGCTTCTCAACCGGTCTGAAAGCGACATCCGCTATCTGCTTGGCTATGTCAGCCAGCAGGGAGGGCAGCGCTCCACGCCCCTCATCATCGCAGCCCGCAATGGACACGCAAAGGTGGTACGCTTGCTCTTAGAACATTACCGGGTGCAGACTCAGCAGACTGGCACCGTCCGCTTCGACGGGTAGGTACATCCCAAGCCAGCCTCTCTCCGACGCGCGCGGACTCGTTAATTCACGGGCCCTCCCCTCCCTCACCCTCTCTTACCCTCTCTTCATGTAGGTACTCACTTCTCCCCTTTTTGTACCACCTCCTGCCCCACTAATGCCCACTTCATCTTCCAGGGCTAATAATCCATCCCATGTTTTGCTGCCCGTCCTCATCAGCCCCTACCCCTCATTCCCTCTGTGGGAAGATAACCACACCCTCGGCCTTGAAATCTAATAGTCGTCTTCTCTACTAGATAGTCTGTGAACAAGCCATTTGGAGGAGGTGGCTGCCTTTCCAGGTTTTACTTTTAGTGGAACTGGTGATGTAACTGATCAGAAATTAAGGAGGTCAGCGGTTAACATTGAAGAACTCCGAAAGAGTTATTTGGGCATCCATTTTTACTCCCTTCAAGTGAGTGGTTCCGTAAAACCTTCAGTGGGCTGCTGGGCTTTAATGTCAAAATAAGCACCTAGAACCAGCAGCAGCTGCAGCATCATGAGGGATTGTCACGCAGCCAGACATCTCAAGACATGATTCTGATTCCTCCACGTTGCTCGGTGTAGATATATTGGCTACTAAGATGGCATTGGACCTGATGTGGGAGATGATGCCATTCTTAAATTACATCTTATCCCGTGATGTTGTGGGGAAGCTTGATCATTTACTGTTAGTTGAGGTGGGAAGTTTAAAAATGCACATTGTTATGCCTAAGATTTGCCCTTTGAGTTTAATTGTACGAATTTTTGGGTATTTGACCAGAATTGTCAGGTTTGACATTATCCTCTTTTCTATGCTGGAGGATTATAACACGTTTTACAGATTACAACTGTATAACGATTTTGCTACATATGTTTTGGTTGACTTGTGGTAGTACATAAGCTATTTTAGCATTTTTTTTTTCTTTTGAAGTCAGTAGGGTCTGAGCATAAAAATATATATCTTTAGTTTTTGGTGATTAGAAACTGCCTGGCTAAAACTCGACTGAAAAAAACATTTCTTCTTTAAGATGACTAGGGAAATGTTCTGTTTCGGTTGATTCTTTTTTAGGTTTAAACAATAAAAGCTTTTTCTTCTATTTTAGATGAGTGGAAAATATTCATAGCATTACATCTTAATGAAATGGTAGCCCATGGGCAATGGCTTATATCACGGGTATCACCATTATACACATTAAGGAGATGTTTTTTTTCATGTTGACCAAAGATGGCAACCTGATTCATGTTTGCTTTTCCTTACTGGCTTTCGTGTCTTCTCTGTAACTCCTTGCATTCCCGCACCTAGAGAAGGAGTGAAGCACAGTGACCTCTGAACCTCCAGTACCGTTCCACCTGTATAGGCATATGAAGTCATTGAGATATGAATTTCTGTAATAACAGCTGCTTGGGAATACTGCTGCTGAGGCAATGTGCATAAGGGAGAATAGTGGGGAGAAAAAAGAGTTAAGAATTTCGAAAGGTTTTGCTTATTGCCATCTTTTTCAGTCGTCAAAGAGATGTTTTGAGGTGGCAATTAAAAGAACCTGAAATGACTAGAAATGTAGCATTGAGCCTGTGTAGTGGCTTATCTTGCCCAATGTTCTGTACTGGCCAGAGAAATTAATGAGTTCGGTAAGTAAACATTTATTGAACACCTACTGCGTGCTAGGTTCTGTGGTAGGGATTGGATATGCAGAGATGAATAACATACTCTTTTGTCTTGGAGGATGTCAGTCTGGGTGGGGGGAGAGAAATTAATAACACAAATGAGTATTTGCAGATGCCATGCCATTTAGGGTTGTAGAAATCATTTGGACTACTGAGAGAAAACAGGGAAAGGAAGTGCTGTTTTATCCGGGGGGAATCTAGAAAGGCTTCACAGAGGAGGTGACGTTCGAGCTGTGTTTTAAAGAATAGTAGTAGGACATGAAGAAGAGGGGCAGCAGCTTGGTGCCCTTGCAGTGACTAGTGTTTCAGTGCTGTTGCAAGAAGGGATTCAAGTTGGGGCAATTAAGAAAGAGATTGTGGGAGACTGGAGAGAGCTGGAGCCCAGATTTTGGTGATCCCTGTATAAAGTACTAAGAGTAAGACTGGTTAAACTGCAATCTCAAATGTTTCCATCATTTAAGATTTCATCTCCTTGATTCTGTATATCAGTTTAGCTTATGGATTATTACAATTATGAATTTATTAGCTGCTATGTAAAAATAGTCCTTATTAAATGCTTGTGATGGGCCTAGCCTGTGTCATGTTCTGGAGGAAATGTAAGGTACAGGAAATCTAAGGTTTCTACTTTTGAGAAGCTTACAAATTAATTAATAAAAGAGATATTGAAGTTCCTGGTACTCTCTGTGCATTCACACCTTCTGTGAGATTATTTTGCAGTTTATCCCAGTCATTTTAGGATTTTAGAACCAAAAAAGAGTGTGATGATTTCACTTTGCATTTGTTTCAGACATTGTGAAAATGTTAGCCTGAGTACATTAACAATAGAAAGCTGACTTGACCCTTGGGGGCTGACCTTTGAAAAACACATAGCCAGCACTTGAGACACATGGCCATATAGGGATTAACAGCTGTGTGCTGAAGTAGATTAGTGTTTCTAATTTTTAGTCATTCACGTGCTAGCTTCATAATTTTTGGCCAAATTGTTCACTAACCTGCTGTTTACTTAATAAATATCTTTTCTTTAAATTGTCTGTTATTTGCTTGATAGTTGTCTTCAGAATGTTTTACTTCTTAGCTTCATCCCATGTAATTATGGGTTTGCTGTGTGTTTTGTGTGTGTGCGTGAGAAAGACATACATTAAAATAAATATTACAAAAGTTTTAAAAAGTCTATTCTACCTAAAACCTTCTATAATACCTTAGGAAACTAAAGTGGATTCATGATAGAGCCTCGAGGGGAAAGGGACCACCCACCTAGATTAAGCCATTGATATTTGAGTTCTTGTTCACTTTTTTTTTTTGAGACGGAGTCTCGCTCTGTCGCCGGGGCTGGAGTGCAGTGGCGCGATCTCGGCTCACTGCAAGCTCTGCCTTCCGGGTTCATGCCATTCTCCTGCCTCAGCCTCCCGAGTAGCTGGGACTACAGGTGCCCACAACCATGCCTGGCTATTTTTTGTATTTTTAGTAGAGACGGTTTCACCGTGTTAGCCAGGATGGTCTCGATCTCCTGACCTCGTGATCCGCATGCCTCGGCCTCCCTAAGTGCTGGGATTACAGGCTTGAGCCACTGTGCGCGGCCTCTTGTTCACATTTTTAGGAGTAACATTTGAGATTATTTTACTTGTGGCGTGACATGTGAATACCATGTTGATATAGATGAGTGGACAAGAAGAAAAGTCACATGAGTGGGAATGAAAGAAGATCCCTTAGTTGAATAATGGGAAGCTGTTTGTTAAGAATGTTATAAAAAGGGAACAGAACAAGGGGGAGGTGTCATATGACCATGAAACATTGTGCTGGCCTGAGTTCTGAGGGTCTGACTGCTCTCTGCCAGAGTTTGTGGAGACCACCTGTCCTTGAAGGGGTTTGCTGATGTGGATGGGGAGAATAGGACCTCCGAGAATTTTGAGGCTTTTTGTTGAGTGTTGTTCTTTTAAAGTCAGTGCTAGTACTAATACTTCTGATAAATGTTGAGGCGGAGGAAAGGCATGAGGGGCATGCCAGTATTTGACTTCATTTAGAAAGTCGTTGGCAATATATATTTCAAGGGATTACATTTCATGTAATACATGATTTTTAAGGACTTTGGTTAAAATAAAGTGTGGATCATTTATATTTAATGAATTTTTATTTCCCTTTCAAATGCTTGAACCAGGCATTTCTATTTCAGATTGAACCAGGTAATAGATGAGCTCAGCCTTGTGATCAGAAATGTTATCTCTTATTGTGAAAAGTTTCCATCATCTGATGGATACTATTTGTTTGAAAAGGTGAATATCAGATTATAGTTTCTTGATTTGAAGATGAATACATAATAGAGAACTTGCATTGTAATTTTGGACTGGGCCTAGAAAGATCATTGCTTTATAGTGCTTCTCCTTTAGGAACTTAGTAAATACTGCATTAATTTTATTTTATCTTTAATTTCTGTTAAATGTATTTGGTATTTTGTTTTGAGGCAGTATAGTCTTACAATTTTAGCTAGATTTTATAGATGGAGGAATGTCATAAATGTTAGTATTGTAATTCTCTTTAATCTGTTTAATATTTTGATTTAGATGTAGAAATTCTAAATTTACCAAGGCTAATGTTTCTGAAGGACCAGTCTTGTGAAACATTCTGCATTGAATTCTTTTGTCATAGAATATCTTTAAAATTTTTAATTGCCTCAATAGAAATAGGTAATTGGAACTTTTTTGAGGCTCCTGTCAAATGACTGTAGCTCAAGGGAAAAAAATGGAAATTATTAGACTATACCAGGAAAAATATTAAACTGACCAAGTAGTTTCCATTATAAAAACCAAGTGAATACTTGTAATTTAATTTTTACTCTTACATCATAGATTCTGAGAAGTTTGAGATCAGAAAAATATTTTAATCACTTTTTGTCTCTTTTCATCTCTAAAATGAGGGTAATGCTTTTCCTATAGGTTTATTGCTAGGGTTAAAGATAATGTGACTGCCTATTTTAATCTAACATTTCTTGAGTTTGAAGTAGTTTAGATTCCTGTTTCCTGGCATATAATAATTATATGTTTTAAAAACCAGGCCAGTTGCAGTGGCTCACACCTGTAATCCCAGCACTTTGGGAGGCCTAGGTGGGGATATCATTTGAGCTCAGGAATTTGAGACCATCCTGGGCAACATAGTGAGACCTCATCTCTACCTAAAAAAAAAAAAAAAAAAAAAAAAAAAAAAGGTAGTATGCAGGAGGCTGAGGTGGATGGATCCCTTGAGCCTGGGAGATCTAGGCAGCAGTGAGCAGTGGTTGTGCCACTGCCATGAGCAGTGATTGTGCCACTGTACTTAGCCGGTACAACAGAGCAAGACCCTGTTTCAAAACAAAACAAAACAAATCCAGTGGAAGGAAACATTGTAACTATGTAATTGTTACTATGTATTAACTTTGTATTTTTTTATTATATTAATCAGTTTGGAAACGTTCTTTAAATTGAAACAAATGTTTGAACAATGATGTGTACTATGTTTCCTTACGTTTGATGCATTTTATGGTATTCCAAGTACTTTTGTATTTTTAATCTCACGTAAACTTTTTTTTTTTTTTTTTGAGATGGAGTCTCACTCTTGTTGCCGAGGCTAAAGTGCAATGGCGTGATCTTGGCTCACCGCAAACTCTGCCTCCCAGGTTCAAGCAATTCTTCTGCCTCAGCCTCCCGAGTAGCTGGGATTACAGACATGCGCCACCACACCTGGCTAATTTTGTATTTTTAGTAGAGATGGGGTTTTTCCGTGTTGGTCAGGCTGGTCTTGAACTACCCACCTCAGGTGATCCACCCACCTTGGCCTCCCAAAGTGTTGGGATTACAGACGTGAGCCACTGTGCCCAGCCCTCATATAAACTTTTTAGTTATTTATCTGCATAATAGTTAATATTATAACTATAATATAATAGTATAATAGGGCATAATAATAGTACCTACCTCACAGGATTATTGTGAAGATTAAGTGAGATATTTTGCATATTCAGCAGTGAATACAGTGCTTGGCACTGTATTTGGTATAAATTACCAAAGTAATTTGGTATAAATTACTTGAATTGAAATTACTTGAAATTGAAATTACTTGAAATGAAAGTATTTGGTATAAATTACTCGTATTCATTTAAACTATTTTTCTTTGAAGTCATTTGTGCCTATTTTTGTTTTTAATTATATCTGTTTTTTTAGTGGAGGTATATCATATCTAGTAAAGTACATGAATCTTGTGTACAATACTGTACAATGAATTTTTAATATGTTTACATCCATCTAGTCACTCTCTAGATCAATGTGTAGAACACTTTATCACTCTAAAAGTTTCCCTTGTGCCCCTTCTCAGTTTCCTCCCTTTCCTTGCCAGAGGTAATGATTATTTTGACTTCTGATAGGGTTTGGCTATGTCCCACCCAAATCTTATCTTGAATTCCCACGTGTTGTGGGAGGGACCTGGTGGGAGGCAACTGAATCATGGAAGCAGGTCTTTCCCGTGCTGTTCTCTTGATAGTAAGTGTCACGGGATCTGATGATTGTAAGGGGGAGATTCCCTGCACAAGCTCACTTTGCCTGCTGCCATCCATGTAAGATGTGACTTGCTGCTCCTTGCCTTCTGCCATGATTGTGAAGCCTCCCCACCCATGTGGAACTGTAAGTCCAGTAAACCTCTTTCTTTTGTAAGTTGCCCAGTTTCGGGTATGCCTTTATCAGCAGCGTGAAAATGGACTAATACAGCTTCTGTCACCACAGATTAGTTTTGCCTGTACTTGAACTTCCTATAAGCAGAATTATGTAGTATGTACTCTTTTTGTTTGGCTTTTTTCGCTTAACACAGTGTCTTTGAGATTCATCCATGTACTTGCATGTATCAGTAGTTTCTTTTTTTAATGATGTGTGGTATTCCGTTGCATAAATATACTACAGTTTATCCATTTCCTATTAATTAATATTTTGGTTGTTTCCAGTGTTTGACTGTTATGAATAAAACTGCAGTGAACATTTGTGTATGTTGTTTGGTGGACATTTGCATTTAGTTATCTGGTATATATCAAGGAGTGGAATTGCTGGGTCATCAGGTAGGTGTATGTTTAACTAACAGATATTGCCAAATAGTTTCCCCAAAGTTCAACAACCAAATTACATTCCTACTTGCAGTTTCCACCAGCAATGAGAATGTCAGTTGCCACATCTTGCTCAACACTTATTATTGCCCTGTCAGTCTTGTTAAATTTAGCTATTCTGCTGGGTGTGTATATTGGTAAACTGGTTTTAATTTGCATTTCCCTGTTAACTAATTATCTTGAGCATCTTTTCATATGCTTATGGGCCATTTGGATATCTTTTGTGAAGTATACTTGTTCAGTCTTTTTTTTTTTTTCTTAAATTGAGTAGAGACAGGATCTTGCTGTGTCGCGCAGGCTGGTCTTGAACTCTTAGGTTCAAACAGTCCTCTTCTTAGCCCCCCCGCAGTGCTGGGATTACAGGTGTGAGCCACTGCACCTGGCCACTTAATCGCTTTGTTTATAATGTTTTTTGATGAATGGAAGTTCTGGTTTTAATGAAATCCAATAAATACTTTCTTTTTCTTTAACGGTTAATGCTTTTTTTTTTTTTTGGTATTCTGTTCCAGAAATTGTGATCAACACTAAATTCATTAAGAATAGTCTATGGCTTTTTTTTTATTTTGAGAAGCTTTTCACACTATAGGTCTATACTGTGTCTCTAATTTTTGTATGTACTGTGAGGTAGGAATCAAGGTTAATTATTTTCCATATAGATTATCTTGTTGCTCCATAACTATTTATTAAAAAGACCATGTTTTCTACCTGAATTTCACTGGAGCCTTTGTCAGAAATCAAGGGATTCTGTATGTGTGAATCTATTTCTGGAGTTTTTTTTTTTTTTGGTCTGTTGATAATATTATTCTGTCCCCGTGCCAGCACTTATTTTAATTACTGTAGTTTGTCCTCTAACTTTATTTTTCTTGAAGATTATCTTGGTTGTTTGCATTTCCATATTCTTTTTTGAATTGGCCTGTCAGTTCTTTCTTTCTCTCCTTCCCATTTTAGAGAGAGGTTCTCGCACTGTTGCTCAGGCAAGAGTGCAGTGGCCTGATCATGGCTCATTGTAGCCTCGACCTCTTGGACTCACACACACACACACACACACACATATACCACACAACCTGCTAGGATTTTCATTTGGTTTATATCGAATCTATAGATCATTTTGAGGGAGAATCGACATCTTAACATTATAGAGTCTTCTGGATCATGAACATGGAATATTTTCCCATTTATTTAGATTTACTTATCTCAGGAGTGTTTTGTAGTTTTCAGTGTAGAAGTCTTGTGCATTTTTCATTAGATTTATTACTATTTATTGGTATTTTCTGATGCTGTTGCAAGTGTTATTTTTTGACAATAAATAAATGTTTATTGAACTTTACATAATCATGACAATAAAAACATAACAAAAAAATAACAAAAGTGAATTTTAATTAAACTGAATTGTTTGCAAAACATATAGTTGGCATCACTGATGTAGTGTCTTATTTTCTTGATTCATTCTTTTTTTTGAGATGGAGTTTTGCTCTTGTCACCCAGGCTGGATTGCAATGGTGCAATCTCAGCTCACTGCAACCTCTGCCTCCTGGGTTCAAGTGATTCTCCTGCCTCAGCCTCCTGCGTAGCTGGGATTACAAGCATGTGCCACCACCACTCCTGGCTAATTTTTGTATTATTGGTAGAGACGGGGTTTCACCATGTTGGCCAGGTTGGTCTCGAACTCCTGACCTCCGGTGATCCGCCTGCTTTGGCCTCCCAAAGTGCTGGGATTACAGGCATAAGCCACCGCACCCGGCCTGATTCATTCTTTAGTTAAAAAAAATCAATTAACAAATGCATTTTTAAAAATAAAAATTTGAAAAATAATTTTAGGAGGCTTCTGATCTTTTCTGAGGTATGTCTTACATACAGTAAAATGCAGAGGTCTTAAGTATGCAGTTTGGTGAGTTTTTTCCCTAAATATCCATGTGGCTGCTACCCAGATGAAAATGTAGGACATTTCCAGTACCTTCAAGTCTCTTCCCAGCCAGTCCTAGCCTCTTCTCTGTAGGTAGCCACTGTTACTGAGAGGGCTTTTGTTTATAAACATTTTGTGTCATTATTTGAAACTGAAGAAGTAATTGCTTAAATTATTATAAAATGAGTATTTTCAGTAGAAGTGATAAAGGGTATTGTTTTTTGTGGTGATGTTAACTGGGGTTAAACCATGATATTTATATGTCTTAGTCTGTTCTGTGGTGTTATAACAAAATACCTGACACTGTAATTTATGAACAGAAATTTATTTCTCATATTTCTGGAAGCTGGAATGTTCAAGATCAAGGTGCCAGTAGGTTCAGTTGTCTGGTGAGGGCCGCATCCTCCAGAGGGGAGGAATCCTGTGTCCTCACATGGTGGAAGGTGAAAAGGCAAGCCAGCGGAACGTTGCTAACGTCTCTTTTTTTTTTTTTTTTTTTTTTGAGATGAAGTTTTGCTCTGTTGCCCAGGCTGAGTGCAGTGGCACGATGTCAGCTCACGGCAACCTCTGCCTCCCAGGTTCAAGCAATTCTCTTGCCTCAGGCTCCTATCTGGGATTATAGGCGTGTGCCACCATGCCCGGCTAATTTCTGTATTTTTGGTAGAGATGGGGTTTCACCATGTTGGCCAGGCTCGTCTTGAACTCCTGACCTCAAGTGATCTGCCCACTTCAGCCTCCCAAAGTACTGAGATGATAGGCGTGAGCCACCATGCCAGGCCTAACGCCTCTTGTGTGTGGTCCTTAATTTCATTCACAAGTGGAGGAGCCCTCATGACCTAATCACCTCTTCAAGACATCACCTCTTAATGCTATTCACGTTTGGCAACACCTGAATTTTGGTGGGAACACATTCAAACTATAGCACCAGGAGCATTATTCTCTTTTCCACTTCATGGGGGATATAATTTGACCAGTGTTATAAGGTTGTATAGTGAGAAGCTCACTAGTGTGGTTTTTGGTGTGTATATTTAATTGCCCTAGTGAATATTCCTTTGATCAACCTTTCTTCTTAACACTTCCAAATGTACTTATTGCTTCTAGCACAGTAGACTGTCTCCAGCAAAAATCTACTTATCAGGTCTTTTGGTTAGTGGTAAGAAATTTAGAAATTAAGGTTGGGGAAAAATTGACAGTAGAAAGGTGGGAAAGATCAGACTCTAGCAATAGTCTAATTTTGTATGTTAAGTAGTGAATCTAGCACATATCAGATGTTTAGTAAGTAAGTGATAAGTATGAAGCCACAAGTCCAGTCATGTCAGAGAAGATATCTGCTTGGTTTTCCAAAAGTGCTAATTATTTCCTGCTGTTAGTATTTTTTTCCTGTAGTGGTTGATTGAGGAACACACAGACAAGCAGTATATGCACACACATATACATATACATTTTAAAACTTTTAAATTGGAGCATAACGTAACTTAGAGAAAAATGCACTAATTATAAATATATAAAAATTTCACAAAGTGAACATATTTGTTTACTAGAGTCCCCTTTGTGCTTTCTCCCATTTCACTACCTCTCCCCAAAAGTAACCAGTATCCTCACTTCTAACACTGCAGATAGGTATGTAAATGTAATAATATAATATGTGCTGTGTTCATCTGACTTCTTTTCTCAGCATCAGGTTTATGTTATCTGTTCATATTGTGTGTGGAGCAGTAATTATTTCATTCTCATTGCTGTAGTATAGTACTCAATTAGCTTAGGGGAAACTTACCTGCTTTATTTTTTTCTTCTTAAAGCAGTGTCTAACACAGCTTTAATGTAGGGTTGGGGTGGCTTTCATAATTGTCAGAAACTGCTTGCTACCTGGAGGCTACTGGGAAGGAGGAACATGCTGTTCTCCTAGTAACCAGTGAATCAACTTGGTGATGAAGAAGCTACCTCCACGCATTTCCTCTGTGCCTTCTGAAGTGTCTTTACTTTTGCTAGTAGAAAGTTCGTGATTTTTCAGGTTTGTTTTTTAGGGTTATATACTCTAGTAGTAACAGTAATAGCTAGCATATATTGAGCTTTATATTAGGTACAAGTACTATGCAAAGTGCTTTCCTTAAATTACCTGTTTTTATTTTCATGAGAACTGATGTTTTATTAATGTTCTGGAGAGTGAGGTCTTGGTCGGTGGGAGTGAATACATCCCTTAAACATATGTTAGGCTGTGGCCTCTGTTATCTAACTGCTTATTCTTTTCATGTGTAGGTATGTCATTGATGGTGCCACTGCTCTTTGGTGTGCAGCTGGAGCAGGACATTTTGAAGTTGTTAAACTTCTAGTCAGCCATGGAGCCAACGTGAACCATACCACAGTAACTAATTCAACCCCCCTGCGGGCAGCATGCTTTGATGGCAGACTGGACATTGTGAAATACTTGGTTGAAAATAATGCCAACATCAGCATTGCCAACAAATATGACAACACCTGCCTAATGATTGCGGCATATAAGGGACACACTGATGTGGTCAGATACCTTTTAGAACAACGTGCTGATCCCAATGCCAAAGCACATTGTGGAGCCACAGCATTGCACTTTGCAGCTGAAGCTGGGCACATAGATATTGTGAAAGAGCTGATAAAATGGCGTGCTGCTATAGTAGTGAATGGCCATGGGATGACGCCATTGAAAGTAGCTGCCGAAAGCTGTAAAGCTGATGTCGTAGAACTGTTACTCTCTCATGCTGATTGCGACCGAAGAAGTCGGATTGAAGCTTTGGAACTCTTGGGTGCCTCCTTTGCAAATGACCGTGAGAACTATGACATCATAAAGACATACCACTATCTATATTTAGCCATGTTAGAGAGGTTCCAAGATGGTGATAACATTCTCGAAAAAGAGGTTCTTCCACCAATCCATGCTTATGGGAATAGAACTGAATGTAGAAATCCTCAGGAACTGGAGTCCATTCGGCAAGACAGAGATGCTCTTCATATGGAAGGCCTTATAGTTCGGGAACGGATTTTAGGTGCTGACAATATTGATGTTTCTCATCCCATCATTTACAGAGGAGCTGTTTATGCGGATAATATGGAATTTGAGCAGTGTATCAAGTTGTGGCTTCATGCCCTGCACCTCAGACAAAAAGGTAACAGGAACACCCACAAGGATCTTCTTCGATTTGCTCAAGTTTTCTCACAAATGATACATTTGAATGAAACTGTGAAGGCCCCAGACATAGAATGTGTTTTGAGATGCAGTGTTTTGGAAATAGAACAAAGTATGAACAGAGTGAAAAATATTTCAGATGCTGATGTCCACAATGCTATGGACAATTATGAATGTAATCTCTATACCTTTCTGTATTTAGTGTGCATCTCTACCAAAACACAGTGCAGCGAAGAAGATCAGTGCAAAATTAACAAGCAGATCTACAACCTGATTCACCTTGATCCCAGAACTCGTGAAGGTTTCACCTTGCTGCATCTGGCTGTCAATTCCAATACTCCAGTTGATGATTTCCACACCAATGACGTCTGCAGCTTTCCAAATGCACTTGTCACAAAGCTCCTGCTGGACTGTGGTGCTGAGGTGAATGCCGTGGACAATGAGGGAAACAGTGCCCTTCATATTATCGTTCAGTACAACAGGCCCATCAGTGATTTTTTGACCTTGCACTCCATCATCATTAGCCTAGTTGAAGCCGGAGCTCACACTGACATGACGAATAAACAGAATAAGACTCCGCTAGACAAAAGTACAACTGGGGTATCTGAAATACTGCTTAAAACTCAAATGAAGATGAGTCTCAAGTGCCTGGCTGCCCGAGCAGTTCGGGCTAATGACATTAACTACCAAGACCAGATCCCCAGAACTCTTGAAGAGTTTGTTGGATTTCATTAAGTGACTGGATATGTAAAGTCGTTTAATGTGGTGCTAAAAAGTAAAGGACTTTTAATCACAGACAGTAGAATTATGTGTTCATAAATTCTGCTTTTCTTTCCACTACCCTTCCTCCCATCCCATCCTTCCTTAGTTCTGTATTTGTTTTTCTTGCCTCATGGTAATTGATTTCAGACAGACTTTAACAAAACCACATTGTTTTGGTGTAACTATAAGGTATTTGCATATTGGTTACCTATTTGTCTTTCTTTTTTTTAAAGGAACAGATATAAAATGTTTTGTTTATGTAACAAGGGACATTTATAATTTCAAGTTGATAATGTTTTAAACAGCTGCTTACAAAAGTATTTCTGTTAAGCCTATGTCAGCATGTTATCCATGCAGCAGTTTTGAGGATTTTATGAAGAAAAAGAGCTAAAAAGGAACATTAAGAGGAATGGGATATCCAGGTGTTCTGCACATGCCAAACTGCTGTAGATAGTTTACACTCTTCCATTATTTATACGGAGTGATGCAGCACATTTTAGCATTCAGGAGGATTTTTAAAAAATAGCTGCAGATTAATCTGGAAAATGTGCTAATTTAATAATAGTTACAAATTTATAAATTTAAATCCATTTGAAATTGTTGCATTATGCTGGGTAGTATATACAAAATGGTTATCATCTTAAACCAACTTTTCAGAGAATCTTGATGGACTCTGCCTTTAGGCTTGAATTCTTCAAAGTCTATTTTAATGAAATTTATCTAAATTGCAGCAGTCTATTTGATTCAGCTCATAGACATGTAAAAATTATGAATGCTGTTTTCTTATGAAACAAATTGTCACAGTGTAGTTATACATTCTATTTTTGTCCCCTTTTCCCTTTTTCTCCTGTATCTTTTAAAATTTGGAAACTACTTTTCCAGAAGGCATTATTTATGCCTCCCTAATAAGGTATTTTACTTATGACAGATGAAAAGGAACCAGGATATGTTTGAATTTTTTCACTTTCTTAGTCTGTGACAAGAAGTAGAAATATCACTAGTGTGGTATAGGAACTTACATGTTTTTTATGATGAAAATAATTCTCAATGCCACTTGAAAGGTAATTGTGTCTGAGAGCTGCAAATTTTTCAACCACAAAATGTCACTTATTCCTACAGGCTATACAGAGGTCTTTATGGTTTTTTTGTTTTGTTTTAATGGCAACATTGTAACTGTCAAACTAAAAGGGTATTCTGTGATTATCTTTTAAGCATTACAGAAATTCAAGTGAAAGTTATATGCTTATTTCTATTGATGTTAAAAATGATAATGAAAGCAAAATTAGCTGTATCTGTAATTTTCTCTCTAGTGCCAAATGAATGCCTTAGCTACTCATAGTGCATGGTACTGTAAGTGAAGACCTGTAGCTTTTTTTTTTTCTTTAATGAAAAGCATTATAATGATGTAGCAGCATCAGATATAAACTTAAAAAAAAAGGTTTCAATTAACATTTTATATATGGATAATGCTTTGTAAAGTGTAAGAGAAAGGTTGCAGTTGGATCAGTATAAAACAATGACCAAGCCAAAATCAGCACCCTAGGGCCTTAAATAAAATAGAGATACCCCACAAAATGAAATATTTTGAAGGATGGGAGGGGACAGAAGGGGGGACTATCCCCCAAGGATGCAAGATACTTTTTACAGTTGCTATCATTATACTTTGTCTTCTTGCTTCAGTTAGGAAGGTTTTGATGGTAAATTCTGTCATGGTAATAGATACCTATTTTCCTAACCTGAGATTTTACAAGGAAGGTTTTTAGGTTGGCTTAAATGGAGGTATTTATTTGAGTGAGCCCTAATTTGAAAATTACCAGACTTGATCCTCCTGGTATGAATCAAGGAAATACTGTACCTTGCTCTTAGCAACTCTCAGTGGCCTGAAAGAGAAAATGCACTTCTTCAAGGTGAGTGAATCATGCTTTTTCCACAGTTCAGATCAGACCCTTTATTTTTCAAACTACAAGGCCTGCTTATTGGACAGTCTAAGGAATAGCTTTGATACTTGGTATTCAGTTGGTTCCATTATTAATGTATATTATTTTTATTTAAACATCAAAACTTAAAATATCAGATAATGTTGCATGTTTTAAAAACACATTTCATCCCTTTGGCTACCCAGGACCAGCACTATTTAAGACACTGCTTATTTATAAAATGAGAATAATGATTATATGTACATATTCAGACATCAAAATTTAATGACATTCTATTTTGAGAAGGGAAGACAATGCTGAAGAAAGTAAAACTGTTGATTGAAATGCTGACAGGGTGGAGAACGAATTTGAAGACAGTGGAATAAACTATGAACTATGCTAATGGTAATTAGATTTTTTGTTTGTTTAGTATAGTGGTAAATTGTGTAGTATCTTGCTGAGAATCTAATTCTATCTTGTAAAATCAATCCAAATGTGTATTGTGAAACACCTGTATAAAATCATTTTTGAAATAAGTGATCTACATGCCTGTTTTTTTAAAATGTTTTTGGTAGAATTGTTTGAAAATATGTTTAGCCAGACCCTTCCCCAACTTAATTTTTTTTTAAAAAAGGAAAATAGGTAAGAAAATGATAGTTCTATATCTCAGCCCTCTGTGAACTCTAGGCTGTCTCCATTTTGCAGCCACTTTGGTCATTTGATGTTTACTATTGGTATACTTATGCTTTGAATTGTAAATCTTCATTGATGGTATTACAGATTCAACCAAAACTTCTCTGTCCTGTTCAGTAATTGTTATATAAATCTGGATGAGCTAGGGAGGCCCAGGTGGATGTTTTCATTCGCAAATCATGAGAAACTTAAGTGGGTTTTATGCACTTGATAGAGTTGGCAAAATTGAACTATGAAGTTAACTATTTAACTCAAGGAATGGGCGGCAAACCCATCCCCTCGATTGATAAAGAAGGGGAACATTTTTACATTAGAACTGACACTGAAAACATAGCTTTTTCAGTCCACCCTGGTTGCTCTAGTAGCCCACAGCCCAATCACGTTAAGGTTCTTTGCTGTGGGAATTTTAAATAAACCAAACCCCAAAGCAGACCATCTGTAAGCTTTGGTCTGCTTGTTTCTGAGAAGGGTTTTATTTCATTATACTAATAGTGGACTAATAATTGGTAATTGTGAGAACTTAGGTATGATAACATTGTTTGAAGTAAAATATGATTTGGGGGCAGCAGCTTTCTAAATACCAACTCTGTTTGACAAATGTTTTGAAAATTAAAATTTCAAGTGAGCAACACCCTGTTAAGAGTTTTCACTATAGTTGAGGCAGCTACTTTATGAATAAGACCACTTTGGGTTATTTAAGCAGAAGCGTTTCTTTTTTTTTTTTGGAATGGGGTGGGATGAGGAGTGAGTTGCCAGACCTTTGATTAGTTTGCTGGTTTAGAAACAGCCAGTGGCTGAATTAGTGAGTAAATGAATGAAAGTATAAAGGACTTGTTTTTTATGATAGATTTTCTGTAAGAATCTTAAATGTTCCTTTTCAAATTAGATGTGTTGATGCACACATGACTATTCTGTTTTTCTCACTGACTATATAACATTAAAAAGGGGTTAAAGAAAACAAAACTCTGCCTTTTGTGCTATGAAATATTTTTAGTCCAGAGGTTTTAAGCTGTGTGTCCATTCCTACTCTGAAAATGCATAGCTTTGTTCTGGATGTCATCTCTTGAAAGTAGAAAACTCCTATGTGTTTATCACATTGCAGGGCTTTCTTATGTATTTCTGGCAGACTTGCCCAAATCTTTAGATGGGCTGGGTTATACAGCATGCCCTCCCCCAAATAAGGGATCTGAAATAAATACTACACTATTGATAGTGGAGATATATTAATTTTTAAAACTGTAAAGTAAATGTGGTCTCTAGGTTTGTGGTGTGTACCTTTGTGTTAATGTGTAGGGAAGAGACAGTGACTTGATGGTTATGGGGAGTGTATCTTGATGTGTGTATAGGGGTAAGTATTGCTAAATTATTTACAGCTTTTATTCAGGGTGAGTCATGTGATGAATGGCCTAATCAGAAAAGTGAAGGAGCGAAGATGCAAGCTTGCCAAATGATGAAATGAACAAGATTTTGTATCTATTTTTTATCAGGTGTTGTAAAATTTGTGCATGGCTTTTTGTTGTTGTTGCTTAGTAACTGGTAGAGGAGAAAAGATGAGGAAAGAAACTCAGCTTTCCTCACAGTCTTTTCAAAGGTACACAGTTGGGGAGTAAAATCTGACTGGCCTAATCGATGGAAAAGACCCTGTCCTTTTCACCCCATCCTGCAATCCTCCGTGCAGAGGAACTACACTGTTGTATTCTAGTAATTCACTGTGATTTATAACAAACCGGTGATGTCATTCTATTGTGCACTTTTGTCAAACCATTTATGTGACTTTAATAAACATAGTAAACTTGCTGACTGCACCAGAGGTCCATTAGTGATTTATATATTGCATGACATTTTCTATTTGAGTTTGACATGTAGAGTCATTTTTAGTTTCATGGCAATTGACAGTCCTAATAACTCAGCTAATTTGAAACTAACAATCTTGCTGTGTAAAAGGAAAAAATGGTGTTTGTGTTCAGTAAATGTTTGAAAAAAACTACTTTGAGGTTTGTGTCTTTATTAATTATTCAGTGTGCCTTAGTTGCGATGTTCTTTTGTTGAGTGCCTTAAAGTTGTCAAAGTTATATATGTGCATGGGAAAAAATTCACGTAGTAAAGAAAAATTCAAATATATATTTTAAAAGTTCCCTTTTCATCTCTCCCCGCCTCCTATTTGGACTCTGCAGAGACAATCACTATTAATAGTTTTTTGAGTAGCTTCCCAGAATGTTTCTGTGCACATATGTATTATTTCTCCTTTTCAGTTTTTAAAATGCAAATGAACTTCTACCTTTGCAACGCTATTCTGTATCTTATCTTTTTCATGTAATATATCTTAGGCATTTTCCATTTCTATATGTATAGGTTTTTAAAACAACTTCATAGCAATTAATTCTGTTGATGGATTGAAAATGTATTTAACTAGATTTTATTGATGGACTTTTAGATTTTCAGTTTTTGATATTTCAAATAATGCTGCAGTCAACATCCTTAAGTACCATACTTAAAGGACAAATTCATTCCTAGTACTGGAACTTGGTTTAGTGACTACTTAAAATCTTGACAGAAGTTATCAAATTGCCTTCCATCTCTCTACATCTTTATTGACATCAGATCTAATCATTTAATTTTTGCAAAGTTGTGATTAATGAAAAATAGCATTTCATGGTTTGATTTGTATGCCTTTATTATGAGTAACATTGAACACTTTCATATATTTATTGACTATTGGTGTTTGCTTTGGGGTTGTGTGTGTTTTTTTTCTACTTGTTAGAAGTTCCTTAGAAGTTTGAGGACATTTTCTCTGTCATGTAATAGTTGTAGCTTATTTACTTTAAATATGGTACTTTTGTATCCAAAGTTTACATTTTTCTATAGTCAAATTTATCACAATTTAAAAAAATGGATTCTGAGTTTTAGATCCTGCTTGTAAGGCTGTCTCTATTCCAAGTCATACTTTTTTTTTTTTTCCCCCATGATCTATTTGAAAAAGACACTTTTATGGCTTCCCTTCCCTTCTTTCTCCTTCTCTTCTTTGGTTTAAAATGTTGATTTTCCTATAATTTGTTTGGTTTTTGTTTGTTTGTTTTTTGAGACAGGGTTTCATTCTGTCACCCAGGCTGGAGTGCAGTGGTGCCATCATGGCTTACTGTCGCCTTGATCTTCCGGGCTCAAGTGATCCTCTCACCTCAGCCTCCCAAGTAGCTGGGACTACAGGTATGTGCCACCATGCCCAGCTAATTCTTTTTATTTTGGTATTTTTTGTAGAGATGGGGTTTTGCCATGATGCCTAGGCTGGTCTTGAACTCCTGGGTTCAAGCAGTCCTCCCACCTCAGCCTCTCAAAGTGTTGGGATTACAGATGTGAGCCACCACACCTGGCCTTGGACTAGTATTTCTTCATTTGTCTTTTTTAAGTGGGGAGGTGGGAGTGGCTAACTTTTTTCATTATTACGTGTTTATTTTTCCAGATGAAGTTTGGTGTAATTTTATCATGTTAAGAGATTATTTCGTTTAGCATTGAATTAATAGATTTAGGGACATCTGTACAGTTCTGCACTTCTGAGCTTTTTTTTTTTTTTTTTTTTTATCCAAAAGAAAGCTATGTCTGGTTAGGTAAATCATACACCTGTATCCAGAGTTTTGTTTTGTTTTTTTTTTTAGGTTTTTCTTTTTAATGAAGGTCTTACAACTATTTTCCTTTTATTACCACTACGTACTTCTAAATATTAATGTTTTTACAAAAGCACTGTAATGGTTTTTTTTGTTTTTAAAGAAATAAATTTTCAGTTACTTCTTTTGGATGTCCCAGATACACTAATCGTTTGCAAGTAACAATAATATGGCATTCTCATTTCCAGCCTTCACATCTCAGGAGAGTATTAAAGGGTGGTATTGGAGCACACCCTCAGGACATGTTTGTTTTCAAATTTAGATTCTCTGTGGCCATTCCAGCCTCTATAGAGATCTGAAAAAAACATTTAGTGCCACCCTCTCATTTTATAGTTCAGGACACAAGCCCAGAAAGGCCACACAAGGACTATGTGTGTCGTAACTGAGAGTAGGCTCTGGGTCTCTTGACCCACTGAACAGTGCTCTTTCACTGTGAGATGCCAGTACTAGGGAAGCTCACCTTCAGATCTCTGCTAGGTCACTCCCTGGCTGCAATAACCTAGTGAGACTGCGGAAATCATCCAGACAGGTTTTAAAACATTTTTTTCTTTGTTTCAAGTAATGTCTGCTGTATATGACAGATCACCAAAGAAAATACTGGCAGTAGTGTATTCCTTCAGATACTTGACCTAGAAAATTTCAGTATGAGAGAGGCAAATTTTAGGTGGTTCACAAAACCTTAGCTTGTTGGCAAGTTTAGACAAAATTATATTTTCTAATTTGCCTGTGCTTTAGAAATTTGGTGTGCTCAGTCCATCAGAGGGGCGGACTGGGGTTTTGCTTTTGCCTTAATCAATGGCAAGATACTCTTGCATGTTGGCGCTTATTGAACACCTACTGTATTTCAGGCACTGCACCACAGATATGCATACAAAAATAAGAGAGACCAGTGTGGGCAACAAAGTGAGACCCCCTCTCTGCACAAAATTAAAAAAAAAATTAGCTGGGCATGGTGGTGCATGTCTGTAGTCCCAGCTACTCAAGAGGCTGAGGTGGGAGGATCACTGAAGTCCAGGAGGTCGAGGCTGCAGGGAGCTGTGATTGTGCCGCTGCACTCTAGCCTGGGTGACAGAGCAAGACCCTGTCTCAAAAATAAAAATAAGAAAGATGGACTCTGTCCTTGATAAGCTTGTTCTCCATTTAGATGCATCTATTTGAAATTTGATTTTCTGTATTTCCTCTAATTTTCCAAATAAAAAAATTTTTTGACTCTGACTTGGGCCACCTTCTGAAAACATTTCAGACACATCACTAAGTTGTTGCACATCTTTTTTAATGCAGGGCCAGGGAGATAATCCAGGAGTTTGAGACCAGCCTGGGCAACATGGCGAGACCCTGTCTCTACAAAAAATACTAAAATTAGCTGAGTGTGGTGTGTGCCTGTAGTCCCAGCTACTTGGGAAACTGAGGTGGGATTGCTTGAGCCCGGGAGGCAGAGGCTGCCGTGAGCTGTGATGGTGCCGCTGCACTCTAGCCTGGGCAACAGAGTGAGACACTGTCTCAAAACAAACCATGCAAAGCTGATTAGAAAGGGTAAGTCCCTCAAGGATAGTGCCCATCCTTTAAAAATAACTTTCTGCTTGTACTCTACTTTGGACCTGGTAAGTTTGCTAGGTACGGCTTAGCATACATCTTATTGAAAAGTTTTAGTGTCCAGGTGCAAGGCTTACAATTCCCTCCTCATGCTAAATCAGCAAGGCTCCGTTCCTGTTTCAGTTTCAGTTTTGGAACATGCTGTCCTATTTTAGCATGATGTTGAAACTAATAGAATAGACAGTGACACAAAAGCACTGTGCAGATTTTAACGTGGCCAGTTAGGCCTGGCTGTCCTTTGAGAAGAACCTAGTTGATGTTAATATTAACATAAAGATAGTAGGGGAGTTTTTTTTTTTTTTAAATTATAAGAAGGAGTGCAGGATAAAAGGCTGGAACCACATTAGCCGAAGGTAAAAGCAAAGACTGGTGTGGTGTTGAATAAAAACAGGGGACCATTCATACTAATGGCTGTATTTAAGTCACCCAAGGCACATTTGGGTGGTGAGGAGACTGCTTCGTGGTGGTGAGGCATGGGTGCAGTGAGTTGTTATGCCAGGAAAGGAGCACGATTAAGCCAGCGGTCTCCATTAGAGGCTGCTTGGCATCCTGGGATTGAAGCCAGGGGACTGACTCAAGTCTAATGTCTTATTCTCAGACAGTATTGATGCTAAAACCTTTTGAATACTGACGGAGGTAGGAATTTATCTTGTGAAGACCTCTAGGGATGGAAAGGTCCACACTGTCTCCTAGAAGCTCTTCCACATGTCCCTAGGCAGAGCTATTCCATAGTGTCTCCATTGTGTTTGCATTAGCACTTTGCCCTTTCCACCTAGATACCTGTCATGTCAAGAAACCATCACCTTCCTTAACAAAAGTAAAACCCAGAAACTCCACTGGGGTTTTTGCTGATTTTCTTTGCTGGCTGCCATCAAGATAGTCCCCAGCACAGTTGAAGGGCATCTAAAGACAGGCCTGACAGTTTAAGAAACTGACATTGAAGATTAGAGAATAGCAGAATATTATAGCTATTATGTAATATTAAATCCAGATGGCTGTTCTACAAGTTTAATGTGCTTAGAATTACCTCACAGAGCTTGGATCCATGAAGTCTGAGGAGGAACTTAGGAGTCTGTGGTCTGACTGAGGCAGTCCTGGGACCACTCTTTGAGAAGCGCAGCGCTGCAGAGATCATCTGCTTTATGAGGCACAGTGGGCTTGGGCACAACCCCCTCTTTCTTCATCTTACAGCCTGGATATTCACTTACCTGTTGATTGCAACTCTCAGCCATTAGAGTCATCTGGGGAAGTTGGAAACAAACTTGGCCCCTCTCCCAACCAATGAAATTGGGATCCATAGTGGGTAGGGCCCTTGCAGTGGTCACTTTTAAAGCTCCCGTGGTTCAAAGGTGCAGCCAGGATTGAGAAACACTGCGTTAGCATAGACTTTGCTCCCTATAAGATGCATCTTTGTTTGCTCTACCAGGCACTCTTAAGGCTCATCTTGGGTATTTATACTTCAGGGTAAATAGATTCAGAAAGGGAAACTTGATAACAAATTGAGAGGCTAAGGGCCTTGATACAACTCTCAGTTTGTCCACCTTTTGACCACTTAGTTGGTCTTGGTGTAGGTCTGGGGAAGGGTGTGAAGGACTGTGGAGTTCTGGAATAAGGGCTGCTTGCCTCTGACCGAGAGTCCAGAGGTTGCAATTCAGTGACCTCTGGGCTGCATCTGACCAGCAGGTACATTCTGTTTGGCCTGCAGTGTGGTCACAGGTGGCAGTTTTTAAAAATATGAATGCCAGCCTCTAAAAATCAGATATCCATAAGAGCATTCTCAGATCTGATGATATTTGATGGACGACTTGGTGCTAAGTCAATGAAAACTTATGAGTGTGGGTTCATTAATTCTCATTTAGCCAGGTTACCCCATTCATAAGAGTGATGACGGAAATGGAATATGATTTAGCAACATTTCCTTCTGATTCTATTAGAAGGCAATGGGTTTTGATACTCAAATTTTAGTTTCACCATTTTCACCTTTTGCTCCACATCAAGCCCTTCTAAGGCTGGGCTCGAATAACAGAATCTGGCTTGGGAAATAGCAGTCCTGGGTTTAGTTTTGGTTTTGCTGTGGGAGCCTAGGGCTCTTCCTGGTTCTGAGTGTCCTCATTTATGCAAAAACAAGATCAAATTATTTCCAAGGTTCTACTTACTGGGAATCCAAGACATGAATGGCACAAGAACAGAATGGAGACGCCTTGGCTGATGTCAGAGTGTAAGACGGTTAACAATGAAACCGGCCTGGAGAAGTCTGGGAGGCGTGAGAGGGAAGAGCTGGAACCAAGGGCAGAAGCTACAGTGAAACATTTAGGTCCTAACCGTCCACACTGGCCATAGATGGAAGGGTGATCTTGGGAGAGGGAGCGCTCCACCACTGGAGACGTCACACGGAGGCCAGGCAGCCACTAGGAGGGCATGTTGTGGGCAGCAAATGGTGGATGAGTCCCTTCTGACATGTAGAGGTAGGGGGGAGGAAGCAAGGAACTCCCTCATTCTACTTCCTCTCCTTCAAAGGGGAGTATGGCTCACTGTGATATGCTCTGCCCACAGAATGGGATGTCAGTGCTTGGTTGTTTTTAAACACTGTATTTTTAATTTTTCAAAAATACGACAGTAAAGGTCGTACTATGCACAGGGGGACTGATGCCTTTCATGTGTCCCCCTTGCATTTCTACCTCAAAACAAGACTAAGGCATAAATTACTCCACTGGGCGCCAGGCACGCCCCTTGTCCTTGGGGCATTATCACTGGTCATACCACTTGTCCTGGGGGCCGGCAGATGAGATATTTGCCACCAAGGCTGCACAGGCTCCGGGAGTCCTTGCACGTGCTTTATTCAGTGCATTCCAGAGGGGACCCCTCAACAGCGCTGGCCAAGCCCTTCCCTGTGCACTGGCGGGCATGAGGGAAGGATGGGAGGCAGTGTGTGTGTGTGTGTGTGTGTGTGTGTGTGTGTGTGTGTGTGTGTGTGTGTGTGTGTGTAGGGAGGGGGTGATACAGGGAGGGGAGGCTCCCTACCCCTACCCCTGCTGCCCAGCTGCAGCCAGGCCGGTGCGTCCATGTCTAGGGGCAGGCTGCAGCAAGAAGACGTGGGAATGCACAGCCCCAGGGATTGTGTCATCCACATGCTTCCCATGAGGTACCTGGGAACAAAAGTGACCCGGGAGGGTTGGCAGCTGAGAGCAAGGGGCTGCAGCTGGTGGGGGAATGTGTGAGTTGCGGTCAATGTGAATGCACGTGGGTGCAGAGCCCGGCTACCTCTCATCTCAGGACAGCGTCCAGTATCCTGGTCCCACTTGCCTGGCCATCAGTCTCCACATCTCAGAGTCTTTCTTCATCCCTGGCTTGCAGCTGTCACCATCAAGCCCTTGCTCTTGGGTTCATTCTTCGGGAGCCCCAGGGGCCTATCTATGGGGAAGGGAGTGGGTGTGACTTGGGAGCCAATGGAGGGGTGGGATGGGTGAGAGAAAAGGGCAGAATTCAGATCTGTTTTGTCTTGGATCCTTCTGGAACTAGAGGCCTGGAGTGTGCAGATTGGGTTCGTATTTACAGTCTTCCTCCCTGGGTTTCTCTGGAGGATGGGGATGATTACGAATTCCTAGCACCTTAGTAGCTGGGGCAGCAAATGCCCTCCACAGAGCCTGAGGGAGGCCTTGGCATGGGCCTGGGTGTGTGTAGGGGTGTCCCTTTAAATCCCTAGGGGTCTGTGTTAAAGGTGTCCCAGTCTCCCAGTAGGGCAGTTCCACTTAAAACCAGCTTGAGTTCCATTCTGGAGGGAGCAGGCGCCATTGCTCGGGAGATGAGGTCAAGTGCAAAGCCAGCTGGCTTCCTCTCCGCTCCAGCTCGGTGGGGCCACAGGCCTGGGTCTCAACACTACCTGGACTGGTGTCCTGGCCCCCATCAACTCAAAGTCTCCTCTGGAGCCTCACTCCAGCACTTTGGGGGTGGGGTCCAGACCAGGCTCCCTCCTGCGCCTGGCACTTCTAAAGAAGCCGAGCTGTGAGGAGGCAAAGGGAGACGTCTCAGAGGAGGACAGGGTGGGCAAGGCCTGCCCCAGCTTTCCCTCCACTACCTTTCCTTGGGATTCCTCCCTCAGGGCTTCCTTGAGTACCCCCAGCTCATTCTGAGCACCCCCTCCTCCAGAACTGCCTCTGTGGACTGGAACACAGTGGATGAGACCATGGGCTGCATGCAAGAAGTCATACTAGTGCCCATCTTGCTGTGTGACCAGCCCCAGCCAACATCCCTCTCTGGGCCTCCTTCATCTGTAACAGGAGGAGGCTGAGACCAGGGGTTTGTAACCAGAGCTTCAGAGACAGAGATGGACTTCGGGAGGTTTGTTAACAGCTTGACATTGTGGGAGAAATTTTGTGCAGTTGTTTGTACTTGCTTTTTTTTTTTTTCTCTAATAATAGGAACCTTAGTTTTCATCAGGTTCTCAAAGGCATCCACAAACAGGTTAGAGCCATAGTCTGAGTGCCGTCTGTTGGCCCTAACCAGTGTGTCTGCTATGGCGAGGGGTGGGGTGCCAGCTCCCCTGGAGAGGAGAACGTGGCAGCGGCCACGAAGTTCCAGGGGCTGGAGCCTGGGCCCACCAGCCAGGATGCTGCTCCTTCCCTCCCCTGCCAGGGCCCTCACCTTCCACAGTGCCAGGACCAGCAGGGCCAGCAGTAGGAGGCCCCCCAGGGTGCTGCCTACAATGATCCAGATGGGGACCTGCCAGTCCTCTTGCTTGGAGATCTCAAACACGATCTGCAAGGGGAGGGGGGCCGGGCCAACAGCATTACTCTTCTGGGGCTGGGGTGGCAGTCTGGGAGGGGCAGGAGGGTGGAGACAGCTGGCACCTGGTGGGGGAGCTGCATCCTCTTCCTCAGGGGGATACCAGAGGGATGGGTGGACAGGCCAGCCAAGGCCTCAGGACGACCACTGCCTGAACAGCCGACACTGGGTTCAGTGGCCCAAGTGATCCTGCCTCCTTGAGACACTTGCTGCCTTTGGCCTCAGGCCCCCGCCACTCCCTGGATCCTCCTCCCACCACATGGGCTACTCCTTCTCCCTTTGCTGCCTCCGCATCGCCTCCCGCACTTCTAAAGGTCAGTGTCTCCCACGGTTCAGTCCTTGCACCTCTTCTTTTTCTAGAGTCACTTCCTGGGTGAACTCAGGGCTGACTTTCCCACGAGTCACAGTAGTCATGGTGCCAAGGCCCATAACACTTTTAGGAGCCCATGAAAATGTTTACATTTCTTTTAAAATTAGAGGAAAAAATGGAATAGAATCCAGCTTGGATAACATTTTTTAATCTTTGTATCAACATGGTTATAAACCATAATTTTAAATACTTTTTTCCTATGGAGGAAGGTGTCCCAAAGGCAAAAGTGGCCAGGGCGTGAAGGTCAGAAAGTAAGCCCAGGCCAGCTCCCTCAGTCCTGTGGCTATCACCGTCTACACGCCGACTGCTCTCACATTTCTGTCGTCCGCCTGGATTCTCCGCTGAATTCCAGGCTCACACCGACTGTCTCCTGGCCTGCCTGGCAACTGTAACAGGCCCCTAACCAAGCTCTTAACACCCCAGCCCCCGAAGCCTGCTCTTTCCAGCTCTTTCTCACCTAAGCAAATGGCAGCACTATCCCTCCGCGCTGCTCAGGCCAGAAGCCATGTATCCATCACTGACCCTAACTCTCACACCCACACGGAGCCCAGCAGCAAAGTCTGTCCATTCTACCTTGGAAACACCTGGAATGTGGCCACCACTCCCACCTCCTGGGCCTGAGTGCCCTCACATCTCCTCTGGAGACTACAGCGCTGCCCGACTGCCTCCCCTCTGCAGTTTGTTCTTAGCATAGCAACTAGAGGGATCCTTCTAACGAGGAAGGCAGGCTTATGCTCTGCTCTGCTCTGCTCAAGCTCAAAGTAAAAAGTGCAGTCCTGGCCCTGGCCTGCAAGGCCCTCCCCTCTCGGGTCCCACCTGTCTTGCTGACCTCACCTCCTGCTCCCTCTTGCTTTACTCCAGCTTTCAGCCACCTGGCCTCCAGCATGCATGCCATGGCGTGCCTGCTGTAGGCATTGCTATTCCCTCTGCCTGCAAGGGTTTCCCTCACGCAGCCACGAGACACTCCTGTCTTCCTCATGGTCTCTGTCTGATGTCACTTTATTGGAGAGGCTTTTCCCAACTCCCCTGTATAAAACAGCACCCCCTGGCACTCCACCCTTAGATGTGTGCCTTTTTCTGGGTAGCCCTTATCACCAGTTGATAACGTTTATATTTATGTTTATTGCCTGCCTGGAATGTCAGCTGTAGGAGAGTGGGGGCTTTGTCTGTTTTGTCCCTGCTCTATCCTCAGAACCTGGAGCCGTGCCGGGAATGTAGCAGGAGCTCAGCTAACACGTGGAGTGAATGGACCACCTGCAACAGCAGACAGAGCCATGTGGAGTGAATGGACCACCTGCAACAGCAGACAGAGCCCTCCTTTGGCCACTGACTCACTGTTCAACTTGAGGCAAGTCACTGTCCCTCCTGCCTCATCTCACATGCCTCGGTGTGCATACCTGAGAGATGGGGGTGGGGACAGTGCCTCACAGTGTTGAGAGGTCTGTCACCATGTTCAGCACACAGCTGGGGGCCAGCAAATGGCAGGGCCCTTATGTGTGCTCTTTCTGTCCCTCAAGGCGGGCACCTGGCTCTGCCTCCCCAGCGCCAGCACCTAGCACACAGCCCAGCATACAGGGGCTTAATTTTGGGGTTGCTGGATTTCTAAAAGAGAAATGAGGCATGGCCGGGCACGGTGGCTCATGCCTGTAATCCCAGCACTTTGGGAAGCCGAGGCGGGCAGATCATGAGGTCAGGAGATCGAGACCATCCTGGCTAACACAGTGAAACCCTGTCTCTACTAAAAAAAAAAAAAAAAAATTAGCCAGGCGTAGTGGCGGGCGCCTGTAATACCTGCTACCCGGGAGGCTGAGGCAGGAGAATGGCATGAACCTGGGAGGTGGAGCTGGCAGTGAGCCGAGATCCTGCCAACGCACTCTAGCCTGGGTGACAGAGCAAGACTCCGTCTCAAAAAAAAAAAAAAGGGAGTGAGGCATCCAGAGAGTATAGAGGAATTTTTTGGGGGGTTGAGTGGGGGTGGAAGAAGGAAAAGTCACCTAAAAGACAAGCATCAATGTGAGAAGAAGGGTTCTCTCTCTCTCTCTCTGTGTGTGTGAGCAGGGTATGTGTGGGGGAGCGGGGGTGCCTGTACCACACCTCCCTCTCTTGGATGCTGGGAACATTGCAGCATCTTTCAAGATTCGGTTCAAACAGTCTCCAGAAAGCTTTCCGGGGATGTCCCTCGCTCGGAATCGCTCCCCTCCGGGCCTGTGCTCACCCCCAGACTGCACTCACCCATTTATTGTCACTGTTTCCCTGTCTGCCTAATTTATCTCTGTTTCCCCTTTGGGGCCCAAGCCGTAGGAGACACACCCAACAAATGCCAAATGAATGAACAAACAAAAAAGCTCCTTAGGTGGATCCTGATACCCCTCTGCCTGGCATCCCCCTGCCCTGGCTGTGATTGGTTTTTGTTGGATTGTTTTATAAGGGATGCTTCCTGACCCCGCCTCTTTGCTCTCCAGCATCTCCCTGGGGTGGTGTTGGGAGCTTACTCCGCCTCTGTAATAGGAATGTTTGCCTGGAGCCCAAGCTGGCATTTCTGGGGTGTGGCCAGTGGAGGGCAGCAGCGTCCCACGCCCGGCTGCCCTGTCTATTTCCACAGGACTGGGCTTTGCTTGCTTGCTTTCTTTTACAAATTTATTTCTTTTCTTTTTTCTTCCTTTGCCACTTCTTCCAGGAATGGGCTTTTCTTTAAGACCTCACTTCTCGTTGGGTCTCACAGAGTCTCACTCCTTTCCTGGACCCTGGATGAAGCCAGTGTAATCTGTAACAATCTGCTTTTACGCAACTAACAGAGGCTGATACCGAGGCATCTCCCATCCTTTGGTCTTCACAAATTCAGTTCACACCAGACCTCTGGACCTTCCCTAGTGTTGCCCCTGAGGCTTTGTCTTGCTTTTTTCCCTCTTTTCAGCGGCTGCCCTAACAGCCCACAGGTCTGCCTGATTCTCTCCTGCTGGGACATGCAGCCAGGGGTTGTAGGAAAACTCTATAGAGGAGCACGGCCAACCCTTTCCCAAGCTGTCCGGCCTAAGCCCAGTTCTGCAGGGCTCCCAGGGGCTCACCTGGCGGCTGGGATCCTCCTCACGGAAGATGAAGGGGCTGTGGAACTGCCTCTGCAAGGCTGCGTTGACCATGATTTTCATGGATTTGTACTTGAGCTGTGCAATCAGAGGGCTCGTCAGAAGCTGGCTTGGAAGCTTTTCTTCCCGTCCCCTCCCCAGGCAGCCCCAGGTGGAAGACATCCCAACAGCCGCCCCCTTTCCCTTCTTCCTTCCAGCCCAGCCCAGGGGCTCTACTTACTGCTTTTAGGGACCTCAACCACAGGTTCCCCAGTAGATGGAAATTGATTTCCTGGTTGGGGACCAGCCGTATATTGCAGTTGATGGAGACGACATCAGAGTTGCTGTGATTCTGAAAGAGAAGATGGGTCTCAGGGCTGAGCTGCTGGGCTAGGGGAGCAGGGGGCAGCAACACTGCTTGAACGACTGGGGCTCTGCTCCTGGGGGCAGGGGCAGAGGACAGGGGACAAAGAGAAAGTTGGGAGTGGGGGACATGTGCATTGCGTCTGCCAGGGGATGACTGAAGGACAAATGAAGGATGGTATATCTGATGCTCCACTTGAAGCTGTACATTGTGACCGGCCTGGATATATTCCAGGGACAGAACTTTTGTTCAACATTAGGGAATCTATAAATGTTTCCTATCACCATATAAACACATTAAGATAAAAAATTCTATGATCGCTGCAACAGATGCAGAAAAAGTATTTTAGGAAGTCCAACTTCTGTTCATGATAAAAACTCCCAGGGAACTTCCTGAATCAGATAAAAGGGGTCTTCATAAAGTTCATGGAAAATGTGTATTATGGAAAAATTATGCATGGATTCCAAAACTTTTTTTGCCCCAAAATAAACTCGTATTAACTTGTTGTAACCTATGTGAACAGGATCTAGTTTGAGGCACTAAGAAAGATAAGACATCAGTTTGAAAAGAGCCCCTATCTGAGCAACATGAATTCTGCTAAAATTGAAGCAAAAACAAACATCAAATTTATGGTGAAACTTGAGTGAAAGAACAGTGAAATCACTGATGCTTTATAAAAAGTTGATGGGGATGATATCACAAAGAAATCAGCAGTTTGCAAATGGATAACTTGTTTTAAGAAGGACTAGAGGGCTGGGCATGGTGGCTCACGCCTGTAATCTCAGCACTTTGGGAGGCCAAGGCAGGCGGATCACAAGGTCAGGAGATCGAGACCATCCTGGCTAACACAGTGAAACCCCGTCTCTATTAAAAAAATACAAAAAATTAGCCAGCCGTGGTGGCACGCGCCTGTAGTCCCAACTACTTGGGAGGCTGAGGCAGGAGAATCACTTGAACCCGGGAGGCGGAGGTCGCAGTGAGCCGAGATCGTGCCACTGCACTCCAGCTGGGTGACCGAGCCAGACTCTGTCTCAAAAGAAAAGAAAAGAAAAGAAAGAAAAGAAAAGAAAAGAAAAGGGATTAGAGGACACTGAAGATGGAGCTTGCAGCAGCAGATCATTCATATCAATTTGTGAGGAAAAAAAAAATCTTGTTCAGGCCCTCACTGAAGAAGCCTGACAATTAACAGCAGAACCATTAGCCAACACTATAGACAGCTCAGTTGGCTTAGTTTACATCATTCTGATTGAAAAATTAAAGTTGAGCAAAATTTCCGCTTGACGGGTGCCCAATCTGTTGCACCCAGATCAGCTGCAGAAAAGAGCAGAACTTTCAATGGAAATTTTAAACAAGTGACATCAAGATCCTGAAGCATTTCTTCAAATAATTATAACGGATAAAAGATGGCTTTGCCAGTACCATCCTGAAGACAAAGCACAAAAAAAGCAATGGCTACCAAGAGGTGGATGTGGTCCAGTCAAAGCAAACACAGATCAGTCAAGAGCAAAGGTTATGGTAACAGTTTTTCGGAATGCTCAGAACATTTTGCTTGTTGACTTTCTGGAGGGCCAAAGAATGAGAACATCTGGTTATTATGACAGTGTTGTGAGAAAGTTAATCAAAGCTTTAGCAGAAAAATGGCTGGGAAAATGTCACCAGAGACTCCTTCTCCACCATGACAATGCTCCTGCTCGCTCCTCTCAAAGGGACTTCAAAAAGTTTGTGGAAAAATGGAATTAAAAGGTAAAAATTAAAAATTAAATTTTACTTCTCAACATAAGCCCATCAAGTTCAAGACACTTTTGTAAGCAATGATACCAACCATGTAGTCCATTCTTAAATGACTAAGAGTCCTGGGAATGTAACCATGTCAATACAGTCCTTTTTTTTTTTTTTTTTTTTTTGAGACAGAGTCTTGCTCTGTTGCCCAGGCTGGAGTACAGTGGCGCCAACTTGGCTCATTGCAACGTCTGCCTCCCAGGTTCAAGAGATTCTCTTGCCCAGCCCGAGTCGCTGGGACTACAGACGCCCACCACCACACCCGGCTGATTTTTGTATGTTTAGTAGAGATGAGGTTTCACTATGCTGGCCAGGCTGGTCTCGAGCTCCTGACCTCAAGCTCCTGACTTCACGATCCACCTGCCTCGGCCTCCCAAAGTGCTGGGATTACAGGCATGAGCCACCGTGCACGGCCTAATGCAGTTTTGTTTACATTATTAGCTGAGGAATAATGGTTGCCCTTTAAAGATTTTTTTTAAGATTAGCAAACCAAAAGAAGTTAGAAGGAGCCAAATCAGGACTGGAAGGTGGACGCCTAATGATTTTGAAATCCCCTCATGTGTGAAGCCTAGGGCAATGATCATATTTAACAATCAAAATAAAAATAAATTCCTTTAAGTAATCATGATTAAGGTAATCCTGATTATTCTGTCATCATCATATCTATTTACCATTGCCCTGGAGGTCTTAGTTAGAGTAATACCTCAAGATCATTTATAATATAAGGATTAAGTGGAGAAACTAACGTTAATGGGAAACCCAAACAAATCTTCAAACAATTAGAATTTATTAGGTGAAAGTTACTAGTGTTGCTGCCGTGCTGCCCACCCCAACCCCAACCCAGCCTAAATCTTTGGCAAAGCCCACTACCCTCAGTAAGTGCTTTGTGGGAGGTACTTGTCTGGGGGAAGTAAAACTAAAACAGGGAAGATTGTTGTCTGGGGGAAGAACAGTGGAAGCAGGGTGAGAAACTGGTATCTGGAGGCAGAGGCAACCCTGAGAATGCAAACTGGAAATGAGCAGGTGTTTTGGGAGGGCTCTGGAAATTGAAGCTGGTCTGCATTCCATCTCTAGGGCAGGAGGCCCCAGCTGACGCAGCCAAATGTCTCCAATACAAGCCACGTGTGTGTTCTGGTGTTCTGGCTGCGTCTGTTTTCTTCCCCTTCCCTCTGCCTCTCTGTATCCTACTGGCCCGCTTGGCCCAGGTGCAAGTCCACTCTCCCCACCCCTTTCTGCTCGTTTGCCTGGCACACCACAGGCTGTGACCTTGGCTTCTCAGACACTCACTCTGTGTGTTTGTCCCACTCCCTGTGAGACGGGGGACTCACACAGGCCAAGAAGTCTTTTCCTCCTTCAGTTTTTTTCTTGGTTTGGGGCTGGGTACATACAGGTGCTCAGTAAGCTCTTATTGGCAAGCTATTGGGTCGGGAGGGAAATGGCCCGCAGAGCACCGGCGGCACGCCTCTAACCCCAACCACTGTGGCTCTCGGTCTGGGGGACACTCACCAGCTGTGGAGCACGACGCAAGTCTTCCTCCACTGGGGTGGGCCGGTACTCAGTGCTATTGCCCCAGATGTTACAGGACGTGTTCGCCTACATAAAGGACATGGACACACACACACATACACAGCCTCACAACCAGCTCTGGCAGACGCAGGATCCCAGAGAGGTTTCTTTTCTCCTCCTCTAGCCGTGGTCCTGGGAGAAGGGAGCTGGGGTCTGGGAACCTGGGGACACACGTAGGGGGAGTGTCTGTCTCCTTCTGGTCCCCTCCCCTAGCCGGCTCCCAAGGCCATCACCACCTCGTCCGTGAGGAAGTCCCTCAGCTTCAGTAGGCGGTTGCCGCTCCTGGTGGCGATGGGAATGGTGATCTTCATCATCATCCCGTGGATGGGGAACAAGCCCAAGTTCTGGATCTGTGGCCAGAGACAGGGAGGTGTCAGTACAGTCAGTTGAGGGGGGTGGAAAACAAGGTCCACAGGGGCCAACCAGCCCCTGGGGGTGGCAATTCCCCCATCAGGCCTGGGAAAAAGGCCCACTCAAGACCCCTGGTGTTTTCACCATGGAAGCTCCTAAGCTCTGTCAAATTGTGGCCGGGGACTGCATGGACAAGTGCAAGAAAGCCCTGAGAGGGGATGGGTGGCTGGAAGCTGAAGACAAGTCAGTGGGGATCCTGAGGCCGGAGAGCAGGGGCCACCTGCATTTTCAACTCTTCTTGCCTGGGGTGGGGATTTTGTTGAGGCCAGGGGTGAAGATGGTGACAGCAATGAATACATCATGAGAGGGAATCATTAATTAACAATTAATTTAATTAATTAAACTCGCTATTTATTACTAAATAAGGAGTGCATGATTGTTCACATTCTAGCAGTGCCACATTCAGTGCCAGGACAGCAGTGATTCCAAGCAGGGCTTTGGAACCAGAAAGACCAGGAATCTAATCCTGGGCCCACCACCACCTATGAGCTGTGTGACCCTGGGCAGCTTACTAGGCCTCTCTTGAACAAGCCATGCAGGGCTCAGCATGTCTGAAGTCCAGTATCCAGCTGTCAGCTTGCCCTCAGCTTTCACACAGCCTAAGAGAAGCTGATGAACTTACAGCTGTTCAGGGCTGAGGGAGCTATCGGGGCCCACTATAGCAGAGGCTGCCAAATTGCCTCCTAACTCTCATTCTCCCACTTTCCTTAGTGGCAGAACCGAGACAAAAGGCCACATTTCCCAGCCTCCCTTATGGCTCAGTCACAACATTCTGGATAAAGAGAGGTCACTGGAAGAGTAAGGAACTGCCAGGGAGGTCCCTTAATAAGGAGGGAGCATGCTCTTCTCCCCTTCCTCCTTCCTGCTGCCTGGAATGAGAAGGTGATGGCTGGAGCTGCAGCCATCTTGTACTGTGAGGTGAACTGGAGGCTGGTAAGTTCACGCTGAGGATGGTGGAATAGAAGACCCACTCCTGAATGACTTTGTGAAGCTGCCAACTCTGGGCTTCTTTTATGGGAGAGAGTAAACCCTAGTGTGTTTAAACCACTGTTTAAAAAAAATTTAAGAATTTTAGGCAACCACACCCTATCTTCACCCATACATCCCCCACTGCAGTCCAGTTGTTTTTCAAAAGAAGACTGAGAGGCCCAGAGAGGAGAAGTGACTTGACTAAAGTCGCACAGTGGGTGGGTGGCAGGGTTGAGGCTGGACTCCGGGCACTAGCGATGATTCCACATTCCTCCCCTCCAGGATGGGGGTGCTCAGATCCCGTCCTTCCCCCTCTACCCGGCTCCCCTCCAGCCTCACCCTGAAGATGCAGCTGAAGGGAGGCCCGATACCATCGTATCTCTCCAGCGAGCTGTTGGGCTTGACCTCGTAGTGGCTCAGGCTGCTGCTCCTGCGGAGACAGAGGACAGGGCTGTCGTGAGCTCAGTCAGGGCTGGCTGGATGGACAGATGAATGAAAGAGGGAGAGGGCATGTGCCGGCCTCCCCCGGGCCACGAAAAACAGGTTCCCGCTTGTGTCGGCTGGGAGTGAGTGTCATGTTGGAAGGATTCTGAGCCTTTGCAGGAATCAGCGCTGCCATGGGTGAGCAATGTCTGCCTCCTGAGTGGGTGGGCGTGAGTCAGAAGAGCCAGTTATCTCATCCCTGCCCCAGCGTCTCTGCCTAGGAGTGTAGCTACTTTTCGGAGTGACCATGCCACTGTGCTCCCTTCCACCCTCTAGGGATGGCTGGCGTGGGAGGGCCTGAGCTTCCTCTCCGCATCTGCTGTTCTGCCCTGACTTCTCCATCTGCCCATGAGCTCTCAGAGGACAGGGGCTGTTTCCTCCATCAGATTGGGGGCCAGTAGCATGCCAAGGGGGTGGGGGTGGGAGCAGTCTGTCCTTTGGGGAAGAGTCTTTTCCCACTGACATTGTTTAGATGTGCTGGCATAATATGATAACAAAAAGCAGATTGACTTACGATAGATATTATTTCTGTTTTTAAATTCTCTACAGACCATGCATCCACTTGTTGCCTATGCCAGGGGTGGACGCCTCCCACTGCCCCCACCCTCCCTTCTTGCCCCTGCTGGGAGCTCCCCAGGGCCGGGCCTGTGTCTCCTCCTTCCTCTAATTTGATATCCCCTCCCCACATTGGATGGGGGTGCTGCACTCTCTGACCCACCAGGGACACTCTTGGCTCCATCCATAGTCCCTTAGTGCTGGGGTCTGGCCCTATTAGGGCCCATCAGAGGATGCCCCCCCTTAGGCCTCCCTCCTCCCATTCCCCATGCCTTCCCTCTCCTGGGGCCCCCGGAGCCCGGCCCACCTGGTGAAGAGGACGTCAGCCTCGTATTTGAGGTGGAAGCGTAAGGGGGCCACGTTGTCTTCCTTGGTGCTGTCCCGCTCATTACTGTCACTGCAAGGAGAGCCAGGCGGCAAGGTCAGGAAGGGGCTCAGCCAGCACAGGCAGCGGGAAGGGTCTGAGGCAGACTGTGGAAGGAGCACACTGGCTTATCTGGGGCTGATGGGCACCAGACAGGCCAGACAGGGAACCTGAGGCATCTCCTAGGAGAGGAAGGGCCAGAAGCAGGGATGGATGACACTAGCTCTACCTGCTGCCCCTTTAGGTGGAGTCAGGGGAGGGCTCTGGGCTGGACCTGGGAGGCCTGTGCCTGGCCTGGCACGGACTGGACCCCAGCCTGTTTGCCTCCCTCACCCAGATGCCCCGTCTGTCAGGCGGGCCAATCCTGCTGCCTGCTGGACTCAGGGGCTGTGGGAGATGACACCTGTGGCAAAGGCTGTGCCCACGGAGGAGGGATGGTGAGGAATTCACAGTAGAGTCATTCATTTATCCCTGGACTGACCGGGGGCAGCTCCTACAGGGCGGCCAGGGGCACTCTGCTGCCACAAGAAGGCTGGGAGTGAAATTCAGAGACATCTTCCGGGGGGGTTCTGTCCAGTGTGCCTCCCTTTATATCTGAGCACCATGAACTACCGGGGCAAATCATTTTAGACATAAAAATGTACAGTTCTTGCTTGTTATATAGACTGAGTTTGATTCCCTTTGGAAGCCTTACCCCAGGATAGGGGTTTGGTTAGAAAAGGGAGACCCAACACACACAGATGTGCCTCCAGAGCCCCCTCCTACACACACCTAATTCTCAGACACCCCCCACAGCTGTGCCAGAGACACTGCTCTGCAAGCGCGCTCATTTCTCCTGTGAAGACGGGACTGGGCTTTCTTAGAGCAGGGCAGAGAGCAAGGGAGGCCTTGCCAAGTTTGCCACGTGGTGTGTGAGAATTCTACCAGGATGCACAATTCATTTAACTGTAGCTGGGACGCGAGCACGTGTCGGGTATGAGTCCCCAGCGCTTATGTGACCTCTGACCTGCACGTGTGTGTGCTGGAATGTTAGTGTTCGGTTTGCCTGGGGTATTTATTTCTTAGCTAAGGATTTTTGCCATTTATAAGGCTCCAGAGTGGACACAATCCCTCTGTCCTTCCCCACACAGAGGTAATTCTGCAAAAAAGAGAAGTGTATTTACTACTGACACAAAGTGATTCATGGGGTCAACACATAGCAAGCTACCTCTGAGAGGCCTGGGAGACAGACAGACAGATAGACAGGAAGACCCACATAGAGTAAGAAAAGGCCTCTTAAAAATAGAAAAAGGGGAGAGAGGTGACTAGGACAGGAAGAGCCCTGGATGGGGAATAGGACGAGTAGTGTTCAGCTTCCAGCTGCACAATTTACTGCTGTGTGTCCCTGGGAAATTCACTCACCCTCTCTGAGCCTCTCTTTTCTTAACTTGGAAGATGGTGTGTGGAATAACCCCTGCTTTGATGATCTTAAGGGGCCTCTGTGAGGACTGAGATTTTTGCCTGTACAATGCTTTATAACCATAGGGTTTGTGAATTACTGCTGTATACAGGGCTGTCTAAAAGTAAAGGGCTGACATTATTATTTATCATCCAAAGAATGAAGAGTGGTGGCAACACAGGGGGCAGCAGGTTGGCCCACACCTGCAACGGATGCCGGCCCACCTCCCCACCCCACTGCCTCCACTCAAGGTTGGGGCAGTGGGGGACAGGGCGTGGGGCAGCGGACTCAGTGTCGGGAGGAGCAGTTGCTAGCAGCCAGAGAGCTGGGCCCCGGAATAGCAAGCTTTGGGGAGAAGGAGCAGGCACGGCCCTGACCTGCCTGCAGCGAGCTCGATCTCCAGGTGGTGTAGGAAGATGGATTTGCTGAACTCAAAATCAAGACGGAAAGCCACCTGCAAGGAAGCAGTCGCATGTCTGGGCATTGCTGGGACCAGCCCCGCCCACTCCCCACAGCCCACTCCCCACAGCCCCCTGCTGGCTTGGGGAGAGGGAGCTTGCTGGGGGTTGGGGAGCTGCTGGCTGGGAACAGGCTGGGAAAGGGAGGACCAGGTGCTACAGAACATGAGCTGAGCTTCAGGGCTGCTGTGGGGACACAGCCAAAGACAACAGCTCCCACAATGGGGTTTCTCGGGGCTGAGCCAGCCCCCCTCCCTCTTCCTCTTCTTTTGTTTTTAGCAAAAGGCAACCAGAAAGCAGCAAGTCCAGCTCCAGACTCTGTCTGCAGGGTTTTTAGGGTAGGGGTCCTTGATGGCAGGAAGGGCCGATGGCCATCGCCATGCACCACAGGATGTGGGGGCCAGAAACGTTTGGTAGGACTGCCTTGTCCACCTCTTCTTTGTGTGTGGCAGGGAGGAGATGGCCCAGAGAGGGATGAGGGCCAGTGGCCACCCAGCAGGCCAACAAGGCATCCGCCCCTTGTCTGGCAGCGCTTCTGCCACACTGCTGACCTGGGCCCTGATACTCCCCTTGCCCTTCGCCCCGCGGTGGGGAAACATGCGACCCTCCTCGCCTCCTCCCTGCCCCACCTGGGGGCATTACTGAGGCTTTGCACAGACCCCTGATGCGCTCCCTGGTCTCACCCTCACGAGGTTTCCCAGGAGACCTCAGCGGCCCCTTCTCTGCAGGAGTGGCTGGGCGTGGGTGGGGAAGCCTGGGCTATGTCCTGCTCCATCCCCACTCCAGAGCTCCTGGGTTTGTCGGTGCCTCAACCCAGAAACCACACCTTTGACTTATATCTCACCAGGGAGGTGCTTTGCTAAGGAGCCCTCATCCCCACTCCCATTTCTTTCTCTTTCCCCAGCTGTGCAGACCCTGCTCCTGGGAGCACTGCTGCCGCCTACTGGCTCCTGCCACAGCTCCTCTCTGATTCCCAAGTCCACGCAGCTTGGCCTCAATTAGGTCTCCTACTCCAGAACCTTCTATGGCTGCCTGCTGCCCAGGGCTGATGTCCAAACACTCCCTGCAATCTGGCGTCTCCCTCCCTTTCCCAGCTACTTTGCTTCTCCCTTCACATACCCACCCTCTATTCACATGAGCTTTTAAGCACAGTTGGGTGGTAGGTACTCACGAAATGGTAGTTTCTCTCCCCATCCCTCCTCATACACAGCACAGTGGCAGAGGCCAGAAATTTGAAAAACTTGTGAGGCTGCAGAACAGTGGGACTGGCTAAGGGCAGGTGGCAGACTAGTGGCTGGGAGTGGTAGGAATTCTCTCTGAGTTAAAGGATGGGCTGCTAGCATGGGGATGGCTGGCTCATTTGGTCACTTGAATGTAATTTTGTGGGAGAAAAGACAAATAAAAGCCACCTCAGGCCTCCCATCCCTCCCTGGTCTTCTGTGTTCACTCTTGTTGCTCTTGCCGCCCTCCCCAAACTACCTGTGCCTCCCAGTGCCCACCCTGACCCTCCCCCACATTGTCCCCAGTCTCAACCTTGGCCTTGGCCCGGAAGAAGGGATAGCTGACGTTGCAGACTTGCTTCTGGAGCCTCCTCTCCTCGTTCACACACTCAATGCTACCGTCTGAGTCCTCCTGGAGGTGGGTGGCAGACATCATGGCAGCAGTTAGGTGGGGCCTGGGACCAGGTCTCGAGGCTCCCTCACCCCCAGCCTGCACCCCACTCTGCAGGGGCCGCCTCAGCCCCTGATACCCATATGAAAGCCTGGACCACAGCCCTTCTGATGTCTGAGACCCCAGAGGCCCCAGAGGCCAGGGTGTGTCTTGGTTCCTGGTACTTGGCATGACACGGGGCGGGACACACTCAGAGGCGGTGGGGAGGATGGCGGGGGCTCATGTATGCGTCTCATTTTGCTCACCTGTTAAATGGGGATGACAGTAACTACCTCATCTAGTTGTTATGAGGATTACATGACGCGATGCACATAAATGCAGCGCCTATCCCATGCCCTGCCTATTGTCATCACTCGTATGTGGCAGCTACAGTTATGATGATTATTTGTCCCTGCTGTGTTCTCTGCACTGTTGGGCATTACCTGGGCACATGGCTGTGTATGTCTCTGGGCATGCATGCACCCGTGTGGATGTGAGCATGTGTCTGTGGAGACTCTGTGTGTGTCTGCGTGTCAGTGCATGTGTGTGCATGTACCTGCTGCATGTACACAGAGCATGTGCATTTCCCAGGACAAATATGTAGGCTGCTGTGTTTTTGCATGTGTGTGCAAAAAGTGTGTGATCAGACTAACACATCTGCATTTGGCTGAGAGGGGTGCTTTCTCTACTAGAGTTCCCCTTGGCTGGATGTTGGGGAGAGAGAGGAGAGGAATGCTGACCTCACAGCCATGAGCGTTTCCTGGGTTGGGGATGGGTGGTGGCACCTGTGAAGGAGGTAGGCTCCAGGCTAACTCTGCACCCCACCTGCTATGTGTGGGGACACAGCACTTCACAGAACATGTCTCCCACTTCTCTTTACCTCCACTCATTTCCAAAAGCTCTTCTGAGCCACAGAAACTATCTCCATGATTCCCTCCCCAGGATTAGGAGCAAGCATGAGACTGGCCTTGTGAAGTCTGGGCCAGGGAAGCAGGGGAAGGCGGATGCTGGTGTGGGGCTTGATTCCCTCCGTATACCTGAAATCCAGACAGACACAAGTCCCTGGACAGGAGGGGACTTCGAGAGACCATCAGGTGGGCTCTTCATCATCAGCCTGGGCTGTCACTCTGGGCAGTGGAGAGGGAGTGGGATTGGGGCCCAGGCCTGGGCCTGACAGAAGGAACTGTGGCTGCAGATAGGCCTTGAGGTCTGTTTGAGGATGGGGGAGCCCACTGAGGAGGAAGGGGGTACCCGAGTAGGCAGCTCCTCGCTTTCCTGGGGTGGCCTCCCTCCACTCAGCTTCCCCTCCTGGCTATAGGAACTGCTCCTGTGTGTGTGGCAAGCAAGGGGGGGGCACTTGGGGAGGGGTGCTGGGCAGTGGTTCTGGGGTGGAGAGGACAGACTGGCCTGGCACCTGTCTTGCCTGGCACACTGGGTTCCACATTGACACTGAGATCCTCGAGGACAGAGGCTGTGTCTGAGGGCCCTAGGACCCCCGCAACACCCACACATGACATTGATGTCTGAGTTTACTCAACAAACTTGTCTTGAGGGCCTTCTATGTGCCCAGCTCTGGACACAGACATGGCTAAGACAGGGCTCTTGCCACCTGGGAGTCAAGGGTTTCAAGAGGCCAGCACTTGGAGACTGATGTTTCTTCAGAGCACATGAAGGGCTGTACCAGATGCTATGCGGGCTGGAGGGCCGCCTGTGGCCTTGGAGAGCTTTGGGAAAGATACCCCAGAGAGCAGGGCTGAGGACTATGCTTTGTCACATAGCGCAGGCTCAGGCGCCAGCTGTGGGGTGGGAATTCCGCTCTGCGGCTCACCAGCTGTGTGGTCCTGGGCAGGCCTTAACCCCTCCCTATGCCTCAGTTTCCTCCTCTGTAAAATGGGGACACCACCACCACCACTACCACCACTACTGCTATGTCTGAGGTTGCTGCAAGGGTTAAATGCATGCCAAGTGCTAGCACAGCGCTGGACGCCGTGAGTAGGCAATATGTGGATGGTCACCAAGTGGGAGCAGGAGCCTGTTGGGCAGAGGAGAGAGGAGTCCCAGGTGGGGGCCATGGTGGGAACCAGCAGGGCGTGCTGGGAACAAGGTGGCCCGTGGCACAGTTAGAGGAGAAGTGGCAGGAGGTGGGTGAGATGGGCCTTGAATGCCACAATGAGGAGCCTGGAGTTTGTTCTGACAGCAGCTGGGAGTGATCAGAAGTTTTAACCTGGGGAAGAACCGGTTCTGATTCTTGTCAGAAGGACCTTCCGAGCAAGCCTGCAGGGTGCACTGTTGGTAGAACGTGTGGATGGCTGGTGGCACATGCGTGGTGTGTGTGCCCCTAACCAGGGCCCAGGAGTCGGGCTGAAGGGTATTCCTCCCTGTGTTCCCAAAGGGCTCAGACTCCCCTAGTGCCGGTGGTTCTCAGCCCTGGCTGCACACTGAAGTCACTGAGGGAGCTTTAAAAGCCTCCCGATGCCAGGCCCAACCCCAGAGCAAATCAGTTAGGATCTCCAGAGGAGGAGTCTGGGGGCAGGCTTTTTAAAGCTCTCCTGTGATTTTTTTTTTTATTTAATTACTTTATATATTTTTGTAGAGATGGGGTCTCACTATGTTGCCCAGGCTGGCCTCAAACTCCTGGGCTCAAGTGATCCTCCCACCTCAGCCTCCCAAAGTGCTAGGATTACAGGCATGAGCCACTGCATCCAGCTTTCTTGTGATTCCAACATGTAGCCAGGAGCCCACCTGGCCTTCCTTTTCCTCTGTGCCAGGCAGAGGCAGTCTGGGCAGGTCGCTGAGGTCTTACCTTCTGGATCAAGCTGGCAAACTGCAGGTTTGCTGACTGCGAGATATTTAGGACCGTGCTGTAGGCGTTCTCGCCCCTGTTCTCCAGTGTGGCCTCCACCGCCACTCGCTGGCGTGTGCTCTCTATGATGAAGACTGTGGTGTCGAAGGACAGCGTGTATGCGGAGCAGTCCTGCGCAGGCTTCCTCAGCACCCTCTGGCAGTACTCCCTGAGAACAAGAGACCACCAGAGACTGGGCAGATGGAATGAGGAAAGCAGGGGTAGAGAGGAGCCCCAGGGTTGGGGCAAAAAGGTGGGTCTGGGCACTTGACTGGCCTCTGCTCATGGGAATAGCCACTGGGAGGAGAGTGGAAATGGATGGCAGGGCTGGAAAGAGCTCACCCTTCAAGACCACTTCCTATTTCAAAGGCCCTTGGTGTCCCCACCATAGAGATCATACCCTCCGCTGAACCCAGAGCTCTTATTTGACCTCACCACTCACGCATCACCACTCCGCACATCATGTTTCCCTTTTGGCCTTGGCTGCTAGGAAGCTCAGCACTAATGTAGAGATAATCCTTATTTTAGCCTAGCTGGTTAGAATATGTGCTCCATTATCCTTCTACAAGTTTTGAATGTGCTATTTCTCTTTATTATCTATGTCATGGTATATATGTTTTCTATCTAAATCATCTCATAGTTGGATCAAAGTTGAGCATAAATTATTGGAAAATATGTTACATAAATTAAGAATATGATATTGTTCATTATTTTCCCTTGTATGTTCGTTTGTCTCTTCCAGGGGATTGTAGGTCCCCTGCTCACCCTCGGCTGGTGTCCCTGGCATCTTTCCATCAGAAGGATTGGAAAGCCCAAGGTGTTCAGCCAGCGGGCCTAGAGGTCACCTCATCTGGGGGCTGAAGGACAAGCACCCAGAACTCCAGAGACTCCTGTCTCTACCTTTCATCTATTTTGTAATGTGGGCTCCGAAGAAAGGGTTTCTTTTTTTTTTTTTTTTTAACAAAATTTGAAATTAGATTAGACTAGTAGTTTCATATTACAGAAGAGACTTTCCTGAGGTTATGCAGGAGTTGGTGGCAGAGCCTGGGCTAGAACGCAGGCTCCAAGTGCAATGTTTGATCCATGCTGCCTGTGAGGAGGATGTCCAGGAAATAATCCAGGGCCCCAGGAGCCCCAGAGCCTCTGGCAGTGAAGGGGAAGGGGCGAGGGTGGGGGTGGAAGGAGCCAACTCACATGGCCGTGGGCAGGTCACTCCGGGCATCCAACACAAGGTCAGGGACACAGTGCTCATCCTCATTGCAGCCGTTCCAGAAGGGCACCTGGGCCAGGGAGAGCCAGGTGTGGGCAGCTGGGTAGGGACCCGCAGCCCCTCGCCCTCAATGTACACCAGCTCTGTCTCCACCACACTAGACATGGGCTGGCTTTCCTGCACTGTCCCCAGACACCACACTGCTCTGTCTTGTGCTTTTCCATAGATGCTTCCCTCTTTAAAACGATGCTCAAAGCTCAGCTCCTCCTGGCTCCCCTCCAGTTCATAACTGAGCTGATGGCACAGAACCCCCACCCCCACTCACCCAGCAGAGCGGTTCTGGTCAACATTTATTGATCATCTACTGTGTGTGGGCAAGGGCTTTGGTACTGGGGATACAAAACAAGAAAGATGCAGCTTCTGCCCTCAGCTCAAGGGGAAGATTGGTGTATGAACAAATCACTAGTGTAAAATGTGCAAAAAAACCGAAAAGAAATGTGCATGAGGAATAGAAGAGGCAGAGAGGAGAAACAGCTGTTTTGGCCTGTAGGAAGTCAGGGAAGCCTTCGAGGAAGTGACAGGGGATCAGAGTTCTGAAGGACGGTCAAGGTAGCTGTGTGGACCGGGATGGAGGTGGTGAAGTCCAGGAGGAAGGACGGCCTGATGCAGGGGCCCTGGGGCAGGAGCGGGACGGTGAGTCTGGGAAATGATAGGTGGGTCAGTGTTGCTGTGGTAAGAGACACAGGGGTGGGAGAGAGGAAGAGATGGTCAGGGGCCTGTGTTTACAGGGCCTTGGGGTCATTCCTTGCAACTGGTAGGAGTCGCCGAATGCCTCAGGCAGGGAATGTCCTGACAGACCTGCATGCTGAAGGCTGCCCTGGCTGCTGTGGGAGAATGGAGTGAGAAGATGGAGGCTCGAGGCAGGGAGACCATTGAGGAGGCTGCCACAACATTCGGGCAAGAGATGACGCTGGTGTCGGTGTGGTAGTGGGCATGAGAGGAGGAAATAGGTTAGTGACCCCAGAGGCGGGATCAATAGGAACCTGGAGGTTGTCGGGGCTGAGGGAGAAAGGGGTCCAGGGTGTCAGCTGAGTTTCTTTTTTAGGTGTCTAGAAGGATAATCATGGCATTTGGTAATAAAAGCAGGGGTTGGCTGGGCGTGGTGGCTCACACCTGTAATCCTAGCACTCTGGGAGGCTGAGACAGGTGGATCAACTGAGGTCAGGAGTTCAAGAACAACCAGGCCAACATGGTGAAACTTTGTCTCTGCTAAAAAATACAAAAATTAGCTGGGCGCAGTGGCTGCAGTCCCAGCTACTCGGGAGGCTGAGGCAGGAGAATTGCTTGAACTCAGGCAGAGGCTGCAGTGGGCCAAGATCGTGCCACTACACTCCAACCTGGGTGACAGAGGGAGATACCATTTCAAAAAAAAAAAAAAAGAAAGTAGGGGTTAAGTGAGAAGTTCAGTGTGCGGCATGTTGAGTTTGAAGTGCCTGTGGCCCACCCAGGGCGAGGACCTCAGCAGGCAGATGGATATTCAAGCCTGGAGCTGAGGGGCAGTAACTGTCACTACCGACAACACAGCCCAAACCAGGGGAGAGGAAACAGGTGTCACAAAGTCATGTGTATCTTAAATTCATTAACTTTTCTCGAAGGAGAGCTCTCTGGCCCTCAGTCAGATCCACACGCTCTTGCTTTAGGCATTGATCTACCCATCTCGCCCCTCAGCTCCCCACCGCAAGGTGGACCTGCCGACTGCAATGGTAGCCAGCGAAGCCATATCCAGGGGTCACCGTGGAGCCGTTTGGGAAAGGAACTTAGTTCAGGATAGGGGCTTTACGGCATTCTAGCACCAAAGTTCATCCTGGTGAGTTCAAGTCTCAAAGAAAAAACAGCCAGCTCCCACTCAGCATACTGTTTAAGAAGTTTGAGAACTATATAATGACCTTCAGAAGAATTTCTATCTGGCTGATTAAAATAAATAATTTAATGTAATAAGCAACTGTTACACTCAATAATATGGGATGGCTCACTTCCCCAACAGGCCAGATATTATGGTATTAGAACAGCGCTGGGCATTTAGTAGAGGCAAAGTAAGACTTTGTAGAATGATGGGAAGAATGTGTCTCACTTGCTGGGGGCTAGAAATCCAGATAAATCAGAGTTTTAGAAACTTAGCTGCTCTACAAAGTTTTCAGCTCTGTTTCTCACCTTTTCTTTATAAGGTGAGAAAGGGGTTTACCTGAAGCTGCATCCTGCCTTTCCTATTTCCCTGCCTTGGTGATGCTGTCAGCTCTCCCGGAATAAAAGCCCATCCTCCCTGTCTCTGCATGTCTGAATCCTGCCTAGCCTTTAAAGTCTGGCCAAAGGCTCCCTCCTCCAGGAAGGCCCTCTGACCTATCATCTGATTGCTTGATTGTACGTCCTCCAAGTGCATACTGCCTCCCACCTGACCTGTGCTGCTCATTACCACCTTGCACGGAGATCGTCGGTGTCAGAGCAGGGATTACCCTGTGTGTTAATCTGCACTGTGGGCTTCAGCATGCTTGTGGGGTGAGTGCCACGTACTCATTCATTTGCCATAGTGACTTTGTAATTACTGCGAGAGGACAAAAATGACTTAGTGCGCCCAGCTTTCCCCTTCTCCCGGCTCACTAACGATGAATCCAGCTTTGCCAGCCCAGGAGCTCAGACTTAGGAGAAAGAGGGGAGGTGTGAGGACGGAGGTTTGGCAGGGGACTGTGGGAGGCCTGGGGAGAGGGGTGTGGAGGGGCTGTGGGGGATGATGGGTGTGAATGAGAGAAGGGGAGGTTTTCAGGGGCATTGCTGTGGACTGTACGGTCCTTTCCTGGTGTTGAAGAAATGCAGGTAAGAACTTGAATAATTCTGAAACTGCTTCCTGGCTGGACTCTGTCACTCACACAGACGTTGCTCAGAGACTGGACCTCACAGAATGGCTTAAGAGCACCGTGGTGTGCTTAAAAGTTGTTTCCCAAATCCTCAAGGTTCAGGCATTAGCTATTCCATTTTATAACTTTTGCCTGCTCTTGCAGCACAGCAGCAGAATTGATCACTGCCTGACATTTTCCTTGAGTGGGATTTACATGGAGTTGCGGCTGCAGGGAGCATTTGAATGTTAGATGTCAAACATTTTGGATGCCCCAGAGCCAGGGATTAGAAAATGTGGCTGAGGGATGGGGCCGCTTCTTTTTGGAATGCTTAGGACCGCTGTCAGTCAGTTAAAACACTTCTTTTTGCAATACTTAGGAGCTCTGTGAATCAGTTAGTCACCTAACAAGCAGAACCCCAGGCTCTAAGAGTCACTCTCTGGTCTCCATTGTCCTCATCTGTAAAGGAGGGAGGTGGGTGATTAAGATCTCCGATCCCTTCTCATCCAGTGGTTCTTTGTATTTCTCCGGTGCTCACCCTGTGCTCCCCTGTGCTGGGGATACGGGGAAACTTGAACAGGAGAAGGCCTGGGCCTTGCCCTTAAGGAATTGATCTGCTAACACTCAGCACAGGCCCCGAGAGAGGCAGGAAGGAGCCACACTGTGGGTTTGCCAGGACAGGAGGTGGGAAGGTGAGATGAGGGATGGTGTCCTCTGTACCCGGCACACTCAGGCTCTGGGCTTTGGGGTTGAGGTGGAGGTGGGGGTGGGGTTCATGCCCGAGGTGCGTGCCCTGTACCGAGATGTACCGAGACTCTGAGAGTGGTGGGCCAGCCGTCGTCCAGCATGGGGCCATGGTCAGGGTCCTCCAGGGAATACTCGACTGAGAAGGTCACTGGCTTCACGTAGTCAGCAGTGTCCTGGGGGGTGGAGATGAGGGCAGCGGTGAGGGAGGAGAGAACGTCATTTTATGAGCCAGGACCGTGGATGCTGAGATAGAACTTCCACCTTCCTTAGATGGCAGGGCAGCTGCCCTGTGCCCTCAGGGTGAGTCTGCAGGTGGATGGAGGTTTCTAGCGGGTCTGTTGGTGGGAAGAGTGTGCTTCTGTGAAAGGAGCTCCAAGCTCAGCTCATGCCAACCTAGCTGCCTGGCTGTTTTGCCAAGCTCCTGCACATCCTTCGGGGCCAGACTCCCATTGCCCGGGTACCTCGGCCTCTGGGAAGCCTGGCAGTGCCCGCCTGTATCCCACCCCACCCACCACTCTCTTCAGACCAGTTACGCCTGCTGCTCATGTAGCATTTGAACCATATGACTGTGTGTCACTCTTCCTTCCCAAGCAAGGAATAGGCCTGGAGCCTCCCAGCATGGCCCTAGCACTGTGATAAGGGCTTCAGCATGTGGAATTGGTGAATGAACAAACTCGTGAGCAAGACAGGGGCGCTCAGGTTGGTTCTGAGCATAGATGGTAAGTAAAGGGGTTGCTTAGAGCAGCCTAAAAATTTCCCCTTGGAACCTGCAATCCCTGATTATATAAAGGCAGTGGCTGTCAAACCTGAGCTGGCACCAGAGTCCCCTGGGAGCTTGTTAAAACACAGGGTGCTGGCGCCAGCCCCAGCCCCAGCCCCAGAGTTTCTGAGTCAGAACAAGTGAATTTCCAAGTTTGTGGGGAGGATGAAGATGCTGCTGGTGTGGATGCGTCTCAGGGGGCCCCTTAACAGGGATGCACCTTCTCAGACCTGCTCACATCTCTGAACTCTGGCCATTGAACTACTGGGACCAGGAGGGCTCTGAGTGACCCTGCTTGCATCTCTGGGGCTGGAGCTGTGAGCTGGGTATTTGGTATCTCTGGATGGAAGTAAACCTCTCATTCTCTTCCTTAGCTATAAAATGGGGCACCAGGCCACTACCCTACTTGTGACATCACTGGCGCCCCTCTCTGTCTCACCTCCTGTTTTGTACATGCCACTGTCTCCTGGACCTGGCCTTTAATTGTTAGCTGCTGCCTGCTTATCCCTCCCTTTGGGGCTGTGCCCCCCACCAGCTGCTCCTAGTTCTCTCTGCTGGACCTACTGAGCCCACCTTCCTCCCTTCGGCATCTGAGAGTGGCAGGAGAAGAGGTTTTGGAAGGATGTCTAGTGAGGTGGTATGTAGCGTGTCTCTGGGGCATGAGGTGGGAATGTGGAGTGGCCAAGGTCAGGGTACACTGTCCCTGGCTGGCTTCCTGAGGTCTGCTGGGGGCTTAGAACCAGCCAGGCAGACTCTCTGCCTCTCCCACGGCAGATGCTCCTTCCTATAGGAGCTTGGGCTCTGCTGGTGGGGCTGCCAGCTTACCAGGACATGGAAGTTGATCCGCTCACAGAGCTCCTGGCCGGAGGAGAGCAGTACGGCTCTGTTGGTGAATCGGTCCCCGCCCTCGTCCAGGTGGGCCCTCGGTGTATACCGCCTCTCATCCATGGTGGCGTTGTATCTGATGCCTGCAGGAGGGGAGAGGGCAAGACCACAAAGGTGGAGCCACATGCCCATCCAAGACTGTCTGCCTCCTCCAGGAAGCCCCCCAGGCTGGCCAGGGGAGAGCTGTTCCTTTCCTCTCACGAGCCCCAGTGTGGGTGAGAAACTCCCACATGGAGAGCAAGTGATTGCATGAGGAAGGTAAAGGAAGGAACCAAAGAAAAGGGGGAGGAAGAGGGTGGAGAAAGAGCAGAAGGAAGAAGTGGAGGGAAAGTGAACACCGCAGATGAGGAGGGGAGACAGGATGTGGGGCCAGGGTGGTGTCATGTTGAGCCCTTGCTGCAGTCAACAACCCCCTCCGCCTCTCCCTCCACCTTCCCTGTCTTTCCCTGGGCTCTGGGATCCCCCTCAGGGCTGGTCAGAGCCTTTGCTGGGTACTTCCTCTCACACCAAGGAGGGCTGGCCAGCCCCTTCCTGCCGGATCCTCAAATCTCTGACTCTATTCTGGGGCATAAACCCTGCTGCCTCCTCCCCTTCAGTTAGGTTTTGCCAATTCCCGGAAAGGCTCAGTCCCTTCTCCTGTTCTCCAGCACGCCCGCAGGTTGCTGCTGGCTCTCATATCTGTCTCCTCTCAGGGACAGAAGTTGAAAGAGAGGGGCACAGCCCCCAGGCCCACCTTTGTCCTCATCTTCCCTTTGGTCTCTTCTTTGTCTGGTCCTGCTCCTTGGCTGAGAGACTCCCTGAGTCCCTGTTTCCTGTGCCAGCACAGACAGTCCTGGAACCCGCAGCTCACTTCCTGAGACCACCTGGGGCCAGGGCTGTCATGAGTAGGTGTCTGACTCCAGACTTAGCTGGAAGTGATGGACCCTCAGAAGGAAACTGCCCTGCTGTGGACTCACACCCACTTCTGAGCGGGGCTCCCTGCTGCTGGGGTCTCATTGACCTGGCCTCCTGGTTTCCAGCACCCCCCCTGTAGGACTCCTGGGTCTGCATCCAGGCAGACTTCTGGGCTTCCACACCCCACTTTTCTCCACTGGCATCAGTCCTGTGCTCTGATCCAAACTCTACGCCCAGACTGTTTCCTTCTTCTCCTGTCCTCCCTGTCATGATCACCCCTGCTCACTGCCACTCTCACCCTGGCATGACATCCCCTCTTTGCCCTTTGGAATGAGAGCATCAAATGGGATCCAGTAGTCATCCAAGGTGGCTCTTGGGCGACCTGGCACTTAGCACCCATTTTGGGAAAAGCCCAGGCTTTGAAATAGAGCAAGGTGCAGGGGGAGACTGGAGTCTGGGGGTGGGGAGAAAGGAGGGGCCTGCTTTACCAACAGTTGTTGTTTGGAAATGGGGTGCCAGGAAGATGGGCGTGAAGCAGAGGAAGGCGGCCAGGCAGGTGGCATCCCTGCCACTGCGCTTGCAGTCTCTGTGGAAGATGTTGATCTTGGATGGCTCAAAGTGGAGGCTGGCATTGATCTGAACCACTGGGCGGGACCTGGAGGAGAAGGGCCAGTGAGCTGGGGTGGGGCAGGGGCTCAGGCTGCCCTGCTGTGACCATGGGGAAAGACAAGAACCAGATGCGAGTGGGATCTGCAAAGCCACTGGAGGGGGTGAGGTGGAGGATGGAGGGGGCGAGGTGGAGGATGGAGGGGGCTTCGGATGTCAAAGGACTGGCAAGAGCGAGCACGGGGCGAAAGGGGCTCAGCCACCTCATGGCCCCTCCATGCAGCCCCTCAGCACTTTCCCCGAGGGGCTGTGCTCGCTGTGGATCATGCTGACTTCCCTTTGCTCCCTCATCATCTTTTATAGCAGTGGTTCCCCACCCTGGATGCACATGTGAGTCATCTGAAGAGCTTAAAAAAATCCTGGTGCCTCAGCTACACCCTAGGCAAAACCACATCAGAATCAGACCTTAGCAGGTTTTAAAGCAGTGCCTCTGAAATTTTCATATGTGTGCACGCCCCCTGGGGATCATGTTAAAATGCAGATTTTGATCCAATAGCTTGGCACTGATTTTGCATTTCTAACAAGATCCCAGGTGATGTGAACGTTCCATGGACCACACTTCGAAGAGCGAGGCGTTAAAGCACCCCAGGTGATTCCAACGTGCAGCCAGCATCCATCTAACCCCCACACTACCCCATCCAGGTAACCAAGGAAATACAAATTTACCCTTATACCGGCCTAAGTCAAATGTAATTAGGAACGGAAACCTATTGCCTCTCCCAACCATGAATGTATATAAAAAGAAATAGAAGTAGAGTGGCTTAGAGGTTTCATAGCTTCAACATGATGATCTGTGCCAATACTCTGTTCTTCTTAGCATAAAGGTGAACAGCACCTCTGCACTGTAGCGTGAAAGAGTGGATTTGAGTCTTGGCTCCACGGGCTCCTCATTGGACCTTGGCAGGTCACATGATCTTTGCAATGGGGGATTGTGAGGATCAGAGGAGGTGAGAATGTCCTTTGACAGTGTAGAGTGCTGTGTCAACATAGTGGGTTACATCTGAAGTTCTCAAACTTGACTTCCCATTGGAATCACTTGGGGAGTTTAAAAAAAATTACTGCTGCCCAGGTCCCTCCACAGAATTCTGCTTAATTGGTGTGGGTAAAGCCTGGGCAATGACATTTTAAAAGCTCCCCTGGTGATCCTAATGGGCAGTCATGTTTGAGAACTATGGGGCTTGACCATAGTCTTCCCAGAGGGCTCTCGCCCGCAATTTCATCAGTATTTAGGTAGCACATAGGTGTAGACTTCAAAAGCTAGAGCTTGATCCAATCATTTCTGTGAGACCGATTCTCTTGAGGGGTGTGTGTGCACATGTGTATCTTGCTTCCTGTAGAGAAGTTTATATGTTACTTTAAAGACCTGCTAGGTTCTGTGTACCTCCTCCCCGGGCCTTGGTCATCTGCCATGCTTTCTTGGCTGGAACCAACACAGTGGACACCTTTACACACCTTGCAAGCCCAGGCTGCTGTTGCTGCCACCACCACCACCACCAACAAGGACCTAAGAGCCCCCACATGCAGCACAGACCTTCGAAGAGACAGACCCTGCTCCTGTACACTAGCTGGGCTGCACACGCACAGGCCCTGGCTTCCCAGTGCTGCCTAGAGGGCTGGGGCACCACCGGGACTGTTGGGCAGCAGATGCTCTGGCCATGACAAATGAGGGATCTGAGGGAGCCACAAGTCTGCTGCTGCCCCTTCTTCCCCTACAATGGGCTGTTTTACGCCACACTGGAAATGCTGAGACACTGAGCAAAGAGCAGCACGCGTGGTGAGGACAGGCTGGCTCGCTCGGCATCGGTGCTCTCTTCCGGCTTCACTTCTGCTTCTAGGATTGCTCCCACTCCCAAAGCATTCACAGAGGCTTTTGCCTCAGGCTGTTTTCTAGGGAACCTGGAGGAAGACATTTCCCCCTTGGGTTGTAGTATTCTTGTGAACAGGAGCCTGTCTTTTCCTTTATTCTCCCTGTGAAGTTATATATTTCTGTTCAATGCCTTTTTAAAGTTGTAGGCAAATATGATTGCATTTATATAAAATTACAGGCAAGGGAAAAAGACTGGGAGGAGATATACCACAGCATTAATAGTGGCATTGTTAAGGTGATGGCAGGCTGAGTGATTTTTTTTTCCTTGTTTTATAAATGTTCTTTATGTTATTATATTTATGATGAAAAATATCTCATCAACATATATGAAAAAATACTCAAGGTCTTTTTTTTTTTTTGGCTCAAAAAGCAGCAAACATACGGTAAAATAAATGGGTGTTTAGGAAGCATGAAAATGAGGCCCTGAAGAAAGGAAGCAAGAAGTCAGAGCGCTTTGGAGGAAAGAAATCTCTGTACTAGATAAACATTCCTCCACGCCAGGGGAGAAGGAAAGGTCCTTCCAGATGGTAAAAACACGCTCAACTTGCCCCTGCGAGTGTTATAGCTTGAAAAGCTGAAGTGGAAGACATGCTTGAGTAGCCATAACTTTTAGGACAAATTCTAAGAGCGGGGGCTTTTGGACAGGACTTCAATTTATATTGAATTTACACTGATTCCACCAAAAGGAAATGTGTAAGCAAGATGGGATAAGAACAGGGTGGGTCTAGCTGAGGGCAGTTAAAGACAAGAGACAAAGATCCTGAAGCCTATCTTTAAAACCCCTGGATTCATTGTGACTTTCAGGAGAGCCCAGGAGGTGGGAACAGCGGGGGAACCAACCACAGAATCACAGCGTTGCCAAGGGCTCCCACTGCCAGGTCGATGAGCCCATCCTCATTGAGGTCCAATTGCCCGTGGATGCTGCAGCCAAAATACTGGAGGCCGGTAGCCAGCTCTGAGGCTGTGATTCTCTGCAGGGCGCGGGAAGAGAGGGGGAGGGCATGCACACTGTGAGTGTGGGGGCGGGCGTCCCCGAGCAGCAGGAACAATCAGGAACAATAGGGAGCCTGTGTGAAACCACCAAGAAGCTTCCCCAACCCAAAGCAATCTCCTCTCTTGGCCTATCATGGCACCTGAAATTCCTACCATTCAAGTCATTCTTTTGGATTAAAATATCGTGTCTTAAAAGAGTTCCCCATTAAGTGTAAATACATGTTACTTGGAGGCGACCCATCCCCATCTCTCACGCTGGTCTATTTTTTAGGCTATTTTACTGATAAACCGTGTGGGCAAAAGAATGATCCTCAGGGGACGGGACCCGAGACGGGTTGGTTTTGAGGTGGGCATGGTTTCTAGCATGAAGCATTTCCAGAGAAGAGTGAGCCCAGAAGGGATGCTCTACTGGTAGGCAACTGCATGTGTGCGCGTCTCGGGGGGAGTGAGGGTCAGGTGCCAGGGACTTCTTGTTGTTTGTTGTTGGGGGAGGATGAGGGTAAGCAGGGAGAGAGTGCCAAAGGGGGTGATGGGAGGGTCCTGAAGGTAAAATGTGCCCTTTTCAAAATTTCCACTTGGGGAAGCATGGCCAGGACAGATTGGCATCCGTTTCTGTGAGAGGGCCTGGAAGAAAATCCTGAACCAGATGAGGCACAGAAGCTCCTGGGACTCCTGGGACTCCTGCAGCCCCATTTGCTCCATCCGCTTCCCCAGGGAAGCCTGACCTGCTTAGGTGTCTTCAGGATGCTGCCTCGGAAGCCGTGGAAGATGTAGATGGCTCCTGCGTGGTTGTCCTCCAGGGGGGCTCCCACCACCACGTCATTGTAGGAATCCTGGTTGAGGTCTCGAACTGAGGCAATGGAGGACCCAAATCGGGCATTCTGGTAACTGTGTGAATCCTTTAGCGTTCCGTTATAAACAAACAGGTTCTGCAAAACCAGGGGCAGAAAAAGGCTGGGGAGGGTTTGGCAAAAGTCCTCAGGCTCATAATTCCCTCTGCAGGCTGCTCCGGCATCCTCTCACCACTCCATTCCCCAGAACCCCGTCTCTGGCTATATGAACCCAGCCACAGAGGAGGCTCTGATTCTCCCCAGGCCTGGCTCCAGCACTGGCCTCGCTAGTAACGCATTTCCGTCGTGGCTACCCAAGTCAAAGCAGAGGTTGGGGGCACCTGAGAAGCTGCCCAGCCCCTGCCCAGCTGTACCTGTCTCAGCTCATAGACGTACACCTTGCCTCGCTCACGGCCCTCGTTGAAGTACATGGGTGCGCCCACCAGCAGGACATCAGTCACGCCGTCGCCGTCGATGTCCACCGAGGTGATTTCACTCCCAAAGTAAGAGCCTATCTGCGGCACGTGATGGGAGAGAGGAGTGGGCTGGCTGCCCAGCTCGCACAACCCAGAGCCCTCGCCTCGCGGGCAGAGGGAAGCCAAGGTCATCCTTTGACTCAGAATTTTTGGTGAACAAATGGATCCTCCCTTCTCACGCGCTACCTCTCTCTCCTGTCCCTCAGAGTGGACTTGTCTGTTTTCAGTTTGCCCTTCTCCCCTTCCCTCTTTTCCTTCTGTCATTATCCCCTCGCCACTCTTCTTTCTTTCTGTTAATTTTGTTGGTGGCCATTTATCTTGTGTGTAAAGTGATATAATGGCAAAAAATCAGGAGACTATTTAAAAGTATGAAGAAGACATCCAAACATAACTACCACGAACGTTTTAGTGGATTTTATTCTAGTTTTTTTCCCCTGAGGCATGTTGCCTATTTGTAGGTGTGTGTATATATGCTTTTATTTTTACAAATTGGGGTAATAAGGCAAATATAGTTTATATACTGATTTTTAAATAAAACAATACATCATGAACATTTTTCTATGATGTATTATATTTTCATCTACAACATAATCACTGGTCATTCCACAGTGCTCCAAATTATGCATGTATCATAATGTGTTTAATCAGTTATTGCTGGACGGTTAGCTTTTTTTTTTTGAGGCAAGGTTTTGCTCCATCACCCAGACTGGAGTGCAATGGTGCAATCTTGGCTCACTGTAGCCTCAAACTCCTGGGTTCAAGTGATCCTCCCATCTCAGCCTCCTGAGTAGCTGGGACCACAGGCACTTACCACCGCTCCTGGCTGTTTTAAAAAATTATTTGTAGAGATGGGGTCTCACTATGTTGCCCAGGCTGGTCTGGAACTCCTACGCTTCAGTGATCCTCCCACCTCAGCCTCTCAAAGTGCTGGGATTACAGGTGTAAGCCACTGTTTTTAATTTTTGATGTTATAAATCATTCTGGCATTAGCATCGTGGATGGTGAATTATGATTTCTTTCAGTGTCTGAGCACTTGCTGTGTTCCCCTTCTGTTTGGGGTACAGTGCTCCCCACTTCAGTGAGGGCAACATCCACCCCCTCATCAGAAACCCAGAAACCCTGACTCCACCCTCCACCTCTCCCACCCGTAAACCTGCCAGCAAGTGCTACGTGGTGGGTGCCAATTCACCAACTGCTCCCCCCTGCTTCGTCCCTAGGTGAGGCGCCTTCTAAAGGGCCTTCCAGCCTCAGGCTGGCCCCTTCAGCCCACCCCCATGGCAGCTGGCGTGGCCTCTAACACCACTCCACCTCTTGCTTTTGGGATAGTATCTAAACTCTCTAGCAGGACCGTGCTGGACCAGCCTCCCTCCCCAGCCTCTGTCCCCACAAGCTCCTGCTCCCACTGCAGTGCTCCCGGGTCCTGCCAAACTGAGTTATTTCTCTTCTCCAAAGGCCCCAGGCCTTGGCTGGCTTCCAGGCTTCCCTCTGCACAAGCTTTTCTCTTGCATGCACTCCCCGCCCCTGCGTCCTCCCCAGACCATCCCCTGCCATCCCTCAAGTCTCAGCTGATGTGTCACTTCCTGTTAGAAGCTATCCTTGACCTTCTCCACTCTGCTCCCTGCCCCTTTTCCATGTGCCTTCAGCTCCATACTCCTCCCACCAGCCCCCACTCCCTCTGCTGGGAGCCTCATGAGGGCAGGCATTGAGCCTGCTGTGTTCCCTCTTGGCCAGGGTACTTTGCCTGGCACACAGAAGGTACCTAATTAATGCTTATTGGATCACTGGGTAGCTTAGGAAAGGGGAAGGCGCCCTGTTCGTGGACAAGCCCTGTGTGGGATGGTTTATAGCCTTGGGTTAGCTCATGTGAGCCCCATGCTGCTAGGAGAGAGAGTCATCCTCATTTTCAAGGGAAGGAACCAAAACTCAGAGAATTGCTTGCCCAAGGTCAGAAGGCCGGTCACCTGGTCACTGCCAAGCTGGTTGGAACTGGGGTCTGTCTGACACCCTGGCTCATGATTCTGCCTACCCCGTCCATCTCTGGCTTAGCGTGTTTTCAGGAGAAATCTATTCTCAAGGATGAAAAGCTTTTAACTGAGGAGAAGGATAAAAAATTTAGAAGAGAGGAAAGGGAAATAATACACATGGGTGGGAGAGGGAAGAGATGTGCCTACATAAAGTAACTAAGAAGCGGACAGACAGCAAGTGAGGGAGGGGGCGGGAGAAATTTGTCTAAATATGTGGCCTCAGCTATGTGGGTCACCGCGATTTGGAATTCACTTAATTTAGCTGCCTTCAGCACTGTGGTTTCTCCTTCGGATGTTGGAGGCGGAACTGGGCAGGAAAAATGTCATAAATTCATCAGCAAATTCCCTCCAGCTCTCAAGGTCTAGCCCTCGATTCCCAAAAGAGCTGGCCCTGGGTGAGTGTGGGCAGGCAGGGTGGAGGGTGAGAGCTGAGCTGCCTGGGATGGCCTGCACCCAAGAGACAGGAGGAGGAATGGCAGGAGGGTGGCGCTCTGCAGTGAGAGGGATTTAGGTTAGACTCGGTGAGGAGCGGATTCTCACAGTGACCAGCCAAGGGCAGTCAGAGACTCAGGAGACAGGACTGTTCCCAGGCTCAGGAGAGCCGGCAGGGAGCTGGGGACAACATGGAAGGGCCTGGACAGCACTCAGCTCTGGCCTAGAGAGGGCACAGATGCTGCTGGTTAGGAGGAGCCCAGGCCTGATTTTGGGGTTATTTGGGGTCAGGAGGTGGCATGATGCAGGCAGCCCCACCAAGAGGGTTCTTGGCTTGACCCAGTCATGAATTTGCCATAGAACCCTGGGAAAGCCACCTTGCTTCCCAGGAGCCCAGTTTTCCCCTGTGCTGGAAGTGACTTGGGATTGGAGCCCTGTTTTCACCACCAATGACTCTTATAGCTTTCCAATTTGCATTCATCATTGTCCACCACAGGACTCTTGGCAGCACAGTCTGGTTGCCAACCACCTCCCTGTGGGGCAATGGCATTGGCAGCCTTCCCATTCCTCATTGCTTCCATTCCAGGAAAAGGGAAGCAGCTGGCATCCTGGAGGGCCCATGGGGCCTTCTGTAGGTGGATGCGCACTCCTGCCACTCCTGGCAGCATGAAGGTGGCTGGAGGAACATGACTGCCCTTTGGGGCACCCAGTGGTCCAGGCATGCCTGTATTTACTGCCCTCCCATTTGTCTGATCTGCCCCCTCTTCCCTCCATCCCGGCCCCAGGCTCCCCCTCCATTACCTGCTGGCCCCGCATAGCCTGGTGGATGGTGAGGCTCCGGTTGTTGTGCATGGTGAACAGGATGACCTTGCCCGTGTGGTTGAACCGGGGGGCTCCGGCCACGTACACCCGCCCCTGCCTGGAGGACACGACCGATGTGACTGTGTACCCTGCCACAGGAGGAAACAGGCTGATCTTTGGCACCGTGTCCTCAGCAGGCGTTGCTTGGCCCGGTGCATGGCTTGGCAGTGCCAGAGGATGGGCCAGTGATGGGGTAGGTTCAGGGCTAGCTGAGCAGATTCAATCACGCAGGGCCATAATTCCTAGGGGCAGCTGGGGAGGCCTGGAAGAGGCAGGACCCAGGAAGGGGGTTTGGAGGGTAGGGAGAACTCACTGCACCCCAGCCCCTGCTGGAGAAAATAAAGGAAGCCAGGTGGGACTGCTAAAAGACTAACTTGAAATGCACACATCCCTCCTTCACCTGCTCATGAGCACAGCAGAGGGCAATGGGGAGTAGGGCAGACTCTAGCCTCACTTCAGTTAATACTGGGGAGACTTTGTTTTGGTTCCCCACCAATCTTCACTCTTGGAGACTAACCAGGGTTCTCTTTATTACCACAAACGCCTGCTAAGTGGCTCACTGAGGACTAGAGTGTGAGCCGTAAATGTGGAAGGAGTTGGTCTGCTTCAGATATTTACATGGGGTCTCAGGGATTCTTGCAGCCCCAAAGCTTTGCAGACTCAAAGGTGGAAGCTCCTAGGCTCTTGTCAGCCCCATACATACAGCATGCCAAAGAGAAAGAAAAGGAACCCCAGGGGCTCTTTTGGAAAGGCTGCCAATCCCCGCTCCCGGTATGGCTGTGCCTGATCACTGTGAATCTCAAGTCGCCCACCCAGTACCCAGGAAGCAAATGTGCAGCAACTTCAGGCAACTCTCCTGAAAGTGGGCTCCAGCAGGTGTGGAAAGCCGATGGCATCCTAGAATTCCACTTTCTGCCAGATAATCTTGGATCCCAGATTTTAGATGAGTGTTGGACTTTGTTGACAGTTCCTGGGCTGTTTCTGGGGAACAGATGTCCCCTGCAATGCACGTGTGTGAGTGTGTGTGTGCACATATATGCGTGTGCATCTGCGTATCTGTGTGTGTAACACTGTCACTTGGGTCTCATTGGCTGCTTCTAGAGTGGCTATAGGGTGTACAGATGAGCTGACTCAGTGCCTGGGGGTGAACTGCTCTGGTTCCAGACACAACAGTTTTCACTCTTGAGGCTGTACTTTGGGAAATGAGGCTTGACAGGTCCATAATACCAAGACCTCACAAGGGGTGGCTAACATGGCCATGTATTTAGAGCAATCATAAATATATGGGTGGGTGGGCTTAGCCTTGTGGTGTAGGGCAAAGGTTTCTTCTGAGCTGAGCCCTCAGTGGCACTACTGTAAATGTTCTCAGTTGGTCTTGGGCTTCTGGGCCTGCTTGGAAGGAGGGGCACTGAGATGCAGTTTGAGGTCCAAGTGTCCTCTGGGCAGGCATGGGTCAGCATTCAAAGTTCACAGAGCTTCCTGCCTTCCAGCTGTCTGTGGGCAGCACCTTTGGTACCCAGGCAACTCTCTGGCCAGCAGGAAGGGCCATTCTGAGGCTGGGCCAGCCTCCCTGAAGGCCTGATGAAAGGGTAGGACCATGGCCCGAAATTTATACTGCACCCCCAGTGGAGGCTGGGAGCTGGCCTCCTGGTCTCCTTCCCCTGTAGGGCTCCTCTCCCTTGAAACACAGGAGGAATCTTCCAGCAGGCATCTCTGCCCCAGCAGAGAACCCAGACACTGCTCTCACTGGATGACTCCTAGACGGAGGAGGAGGAGGAGAAAAGGCACTCCCTCAAGACCCCCACCCAAGGCAGTGACTGTGGCTAAGGCATGACAGCTGGGCCTCATGAGTGTCCATCAGCCAAGCTCTACCCTATCAGGGTCTTCTGGGAGGGGAAGCAGGGTGGCTTTGCTGGGCCAGGGGGATATTCATCCTGCTGAGCTCTCACTCAGATATGTTCAGCTCCCTGTTGCCAACATGAAAAAGCTCAAACGTCTTAATCTGGCATTCGAGGCCTCCTGCTACAGTCTATCCCAACCTTCCCTCTCCTCCATGTTCCCACTTCTGCCCCCTGCTCCAGCCACACTCATCTACTTCTTGGGTCCTGAAATAACCTGGTATTTCCCACATGTTCCTCCTTTTCTTGGCCCTTCTTGGCTTATTTGAAATGGCCCCTGCGGTGGAGACCTGGTGTAGGCTCCAGCTCCTACACAGTAGGTCCCGAGTGTACCAGCTCGCTGGACCATGGCCAACCACATCGTTTCTCTGACTCACTTGGAATTAACCTCATGGGCCCTGGGACACCCTGATGTGATCTGCCTTGCTGTTTAATGCCTCGAGGCACCTGCACCTTGCACCCCTTCTTTGGTTTCCTCACTTCCAGCACAGGGCTGTACACTTGGGAGGAAACACAATAAAACACGAGTCATTCTAGTTTCTAGTTAAAGGGTTGCTAGCCTTTGTTCTTCCAGCATCTTTCCCAGTGTTTGAGCATTTGCCAAGGCAAGGACTCCAATCTTTCTCTCCTTTATTTGTGCTTTTATCTGAGCTCCTACCTCAATTGTGTTATAATTATCTGCGCACATGTCTGTGTCTCCCACTGGCCCAGAAGCAGCTTGAGGGCAGGCGCTGTGTCCTGCTTACCACGGCACTTAACATGGCACTCTGATGGCATCAACTGCAGGTGCTATGCAATTCAGGTTTAACACCTTGCGAATTAAATGGAACGCAGGCCCTAGGGCCAGGTGCTGTTGGGAAACTTCTAGGGATCTACATTTCTGAATTTTCTAGCACAGTCCTGATTCCAGCATTTTGCCCTTTTGTCAGCTGAGGGTCCCATGGTTGGGGATAGAAAACAGGGTAACCACAGGGTGGGCAGAGTCATAGGCAGGGTATTGGCTAACGAGCTGAGGAACAAAGGTTGGGATGGGATGAAGCATCAGAAAGATGGACGCATGGACAGATTCGCTGTCCACTCTGGGTGGCCCCAAGTCCATGGAGGAGTGGGGTCCGAGGAGGCCTCAATGAGGAGTAACTTCACAGACAGTGGATTTGGTTCAGAAATTCTGAAAGACCCAGAGACAGTGGGGACCCTGAACATCACCCCCCTTGCCGCCCTCCCCTCTGGCCCTTCCTTTAGAAAGGAACAAGCCATGGCGAATGGGACATGCCTGGGGATGGCCAGGTGACTGCTCCTGCAGAGCTGGAAGGTGACTTTGGCCAGCAGGCTAAGGCCTCGCTGCTGGGACCTTCACCATCAATGATTTGTGCTTCTATCTAGATATCCACTTCCAAAGTGCTTCATGGGCAGCGACTTCTGCCTTGATTATGAACATTAAGAAATAAAAATGAATGCAGGTTCCACTCGACTTGCGTTTTGCCTTTGGGAGGCAGGCTCAGTGTACTGGAGCCCTAGGCAGCCCCAAAAGCTTTAAGGCACAACAACAGCTGACCCAGAGTCTAGAAGCACCAAATGAAACACATTGAAGGGAGTGGGGAACTGCTTGTCCTTTATTCTACCTATTTATGGAGAGCCTGTTATACGCTGGGCATGGTGCTGGGCGCGGTGGATACCAGGGTGGAGAGGAAATGCCCCCGGGGATGCTCTTCAGAGTTGGGTGCTTGAATCAGCCCAGAATATACACAGCAGGCCCCTCACTCGTGTGTGGGCTGGGGGTTGTGCAGCCCCTGGGTGCCCTCCCGGCCCACGACCCGCCAGCCTCCCCTCACTCTGCGCTCTTACCCAGGTATGCACCATGGTTCTTGAGCTCCTCGGGGAACTCTTTCAGGTAGGACTCGCGGAGAGGAATGACCTTCCCGGCACTCGTCTCCTTTAGCACAGCTCCATTCCAGTCATAGGCACCGACGGCTCCCAGCAGAACCCCATCCTGGCATTGGGGAGGGGACACACATCAGCACCTGTCCTCATGGGCCAGTTGCCAGGAGCCACATCAGGTCCTATGACCAGTGACGCCTCCACCAGCCACCTCGGGCACCTTCTCCTGGGTGCATTATTTAGCAACCTAACTTCTGGCTGGGGCTCTTGGCTTTTGAATAAGCCAAGGAGACTTTCTTGCCCCATTCCATCCTTGGCACAAAATGGGTCAAATTGATCCCAAGGACAGGAATTTAGGGAAAAAGGAATGTTCTAGAAACAAACTCTAAATCCAGGGCCAAACCTCCATCCCTCCTTGGGCTTCAAAACCCTTTAGGGACCGTCTCGCCACTGTCCACTCCTTCTGACATGTATTGAAGGAGGGAAAGGGCCCCTTGCACTTGCCCTTCTTTAATATTTCTTTGCAGTGTCTGAGTTGCTTCCCTGCACGTAAATCCTACTCCTTGGTTTCTTCAGCAAACATTCACTGAGGTCTCCTTTGTGCCAGGCATTTGTTTGGTGCCAGGGATATTGTCCCCCGTATCCCCGCCCCCAACCACCAGCAACAGAGCTTGAAGATACAAAAAAAAAAAAAATACTCAACAAACATGCAGTTGCAAACTGTGATCAACGCAATCAGGGAAAACCACAGTGAGGCTGAATCTAGATTGAGATGGGGGTCAGGAAAAGTCTTCGAGGATGTCATGTTTACCCGTGTACCTGAAAGATGGGTAGAGCCAGAGAGAAAGAAGAGCTGGAGAAAAGGGCCAGGAACAGTTTGTGCAAAGGCTCTGAGGCTGGAGAGAGCACGGAACCTTTGTTCATAAGGAACTGAACGCTGTTTGATGGGGCTGGAGCACCAAGCAAGAGGGGCAGAGAGCCTTGACATGAGGCTGGACAGATAAGCCAGGGCCACCTCCATGACAGCCAGCACCCAAGGCACTGGTGCTTCTGCTTGTTTCTCAGGGCTTGGAAGGTCTTGTTCTACCCACCAGTTGCAGGACAAGGGGAAGCTGCAATGCTTGGGCAGGAAGACAGGAAACTCTGGCTCCTTGAGGGAAAGTTTCCAGGTTACTGACCCCATGGCCCTTTCTTGAAGACTGGGTCCACTCACCCTCTCTCTCCTGTATCCCCGATCCCCTGCTTCAGCAATCGACATACCTACTGGGTACAGGCAGACAAACAGCCAGCACTTGGAAGAGGAAGGAAAATGACCAGGGACGATGACGGGCCCAAGGAAGGTGGTGGAAACAGGGAAGGGCTGCCTTCTGGGTTACCTTGGTGATTACAGGGGTGGGGGCAGACTGTCTGGATCCCAGCTTTGGGCTTTCAAAACACAGGCTGGTAAATCACCACTCTCTCCCACGGAGCCTTCCCTGAGCCCGGCTGCCTGGCTGCCTGGGTGAGCTTGAGATTCCCACCGCTTTACAGAGTCAAGCTGATCTTATCAAAGGGTTAACAAATCCTAACCCTCCAGAGGTAGAACTGACTGTTCAGACAGAATGTTTTTACAGCTATAAATAAGCTGGTCTTGGGAGAGTCAATGTGCTTGGTTATGTTTCACGTTGTACTTTCTAATTAGCCTTCTTCCTGCTACTCTGTGCTCGAGCCTCAGCCTAGGAGGCTCTGACAGTTTGTTCGGGCCACGACAGGAGCCAGGAACTCATATATTCGCTGTCCACAAAGTCACCACCAACATTCCTGCACGTGGGGTGTGCTCTATTCTTTGTGGAGTACTTTCTCATCTGGCTGCCCATTTGGGCCCAGAGGCCCTGTGAAATCAGAAGGACAGATGTTCATTATTTGCACTTGACAAATGAGCCGTTGAGGTTCAGAGGGGGAAGGGACTTGCCCAAGGTCACACAGCAAGTCAGAGGCAGGGCTGGGGCTTTGACCAGAGAGGTAAGTAGGGCAGAGAAGAAAACATCTATCTGTTTCCCCAAAGCCTGCTGTGGGTCCAGCTTTCCATTTTCCACCTGAACCCTCCTGAGGGAGGGGCGCAGTATTTGGGGTCTGACTTTCTTCCTTGCTTTCCTCCCTCTCTCTGCCTGTTGAGTCCAAGTTTGTAACTGCAGACCTGGCTTCTGTGCTTCATGGACAGGCCTTTGAAGATGAATTTCTGGCTCTGCAGATGACAGGGAGCCCCTGTGATGTACTGAGAAGGGCTGGCTTGGCCCAGGGGCGTGGGATTCAGCCGGGGAGACCCCTCACACTGATTCTCCCTATGGGAGCTTGGGGAATTCCGTCATGACTTCTGGATTTGGCAACACTTGGCCAGGCGATCGCTTACAGTCTCCCACCTCATCCCATTTTAACCCTGACAGCAGCTGCAGTCTTGGGCCTGCAGTGGGAGGCCCTTTCCTGAGAGTGAATTTGTTGTGGCCAGGGAGAGTCTTCTGAGGATGGGGACACTGTGAGGAGTAGACAGGTTAAGGCCACTGAAGCAAGCCTTAGTATGTCACAATCTCTTCCCAGCTGGGGAAGCCCAGACATTTTGAGTTTAGAAAAATCTAGAAGGGTGGGGCAAAAAAAGAGAAGGGACCAAATCCTTAATAGGGGAAGTCAGGCACGTGGGCCCAGCTGGCAAACAAACAGTGGGCATTCCCGGGAAGAGCTGTGTCCCCCGCTCTGCAGGCCTCGCACTGGCTTCCTGTTTTATAGCCTCCTTTCCTATGTGGGGCCACCTGGGCTCCCACCAGATATTACCAGGGTGTGCCTGGGTGGCCTTGCACGAGGGGACCTTCCCCACAAGCTGATTTTCCTGGCGTTCTGTGTAGACATGAGGTCTCAGGCTTGGCAGCTGTCAGAAGGTCTGAGGCCACGCTGTGCCTTCCCAAAGGACGTTGTAGCCCTAGCACCTGCAGTGTGTGTAGCTCCCTCCACCAGACCCTGCCAACTCAGCTCTCAGCTGCCCTCTGACCTGGCCTCTGAGGCAGTCTTGCCTTCCCAGCTGAGCTGCGTGCTCCCAGGGTGTGTGACCATATCTCTCAAAGCCCTGTGTTCCGGCCAGTCCATGTCCCAAGCCAGGGTTGGACCACAGCCCCGGCAGTGAAGGCAGCATGGTCTAGGGCAGTGCTGCTCAGCCGGGGCAGGTTTGTGCCCTAGGTGATATTTGCTTGTTACAGCTGGGGGTAGTGGTGGGGGTGCTACTGGTGTCTAGTGAGTCGAGGCCAGAGATGCTGCTAACCATCCTACAATGCACCAGATGGTCCCTTACGGCAGAGTTATCCAGCCCAAGATGTCACTAGGACAGAGGTGGAGGATCCCTGGCGTGGTGGTGAGAGCAGGAAGGAGTTCTGGAGTCAGAGGCTTCTGAGTTCCACTTCCAGCTCAGAGCTTCTAGCTGTGTGACCCTGGGCAAGTTCTTCTCTCTCTCTCTCTCTCTCTCTCTCTCTCTCTCTCTCTCTCTGAACCTTGAGTTCCTCAGCTGTAAAATAGTTCTGTTGTGAAAATCAGCATTTTTAATTCTTAGCAGGGCACTTGGCAGCCAGTGAGTACTTGGTACATGGTAGCTCTTCTCGTTCATGAATCCATCTGTAAGCATCTCCCCAGTGGTCGGGAGTCGAAGAATCAGGTGTCACAGTCACGTTCGTCATTGCGGTAGCATGTGAGAAGTGCTCTGATGGAGTCAGGGACCGGTTATTTTGGCAGTCCCAGGAGCAGGTGAACAACTGAGAAGAGGGGGTGAGTACATAGTAGGGTTAGGAAAGGCTTTTAAGAAAATCTTACTTGATTTATTAGTAAGTCTCAAAACGAACACTTCCAGTTCCAAGCCTTGATTCGATTTCACAAATATTCTTCAGACATCTACTAAGACAAGCTCAGACAGGTCAAATGATTTTTCTGAGCCCACATGCCAGACAGTGCTTCCCTCTTGCCCAGTAGTCACGGAATTAGGATACCAGGTGCCAGTAATTCTTCCTTCTAGCTCTTTTTGGCTTTTGTGAGGCAAGACGATGGAGCCAGGTGGAGGTAGTCGCTGGTGGTGCTGTGGGCTGGTGTGATGGGAGACCCCTAGAGGACACCGAGGCTGTCCTCCCCCGCCAAACTCCCGAGAGTCCACGTCAGAGTGGCTGTAGAGGGGTGAGGCTCTGTTCCCAGGAGCCCCTTCTAAGGCACATACACCATTTAGAGGGTGGATTATGCTTTTTCACTAATGGCTTGGAGTCTTAGAAGGCTTGTTTCAACAAGCTTGAAGTGGACCTGAGGAAGGGATGAATGGCCAGGAGGCTTAAATGGGGTGTGGGCAGGAAAGGCCCAGAAACAGCCCCTCTGCCTTTCTGTGGAGGAGGGGCCCTCACCATGTGCGGTGCTGGAATCCGGCAGCTGGGGTGAGCAGAAGGGGCCGCGGGGACCTGGGCGTGCTACACTGACTGCTCATTCCCCATCAGAGTTGGTTGCCTCCTGTCAGAGGCCCTGGGAAAGAGACCCAGGAGTGGGCACTAGGGCACAGCCTGAGGATATGGGGCCAGGCTTAGGAGGACCCGAATGAACCAGAAATGATTCCTGCCACCAGGAGACAACTCGCAAACCCTTGGGACCAGCGTGGCAGAGGACCTCAGCTGCTGTGTCCTGGACCCCTGGGGAGAGGGCCAGGAGACCATCTTGACTGCCCGCCCAGCCTGGCAGGTGAAGGAGTCTATTGTTTAGGTCTAGGGGGGCACAGGAGGGGTTTACAGCTTCCACAGGTCAACTCCTCAATTCACCATTATCCATCAGCTTCTCTCATTTTTTGTTGAATCAGATACGCAAAACCAGTTCAAATGCGAAACCCTTAGGGAAGATTACACCTCTAAAGCTTCAGCCACTAAGAACCTTAGCGAATAGCCAATACCCTTCATTGTCTAGACCTCAATCCCAGGAGGGCCTGTGGGATGGGCACAGGCTGAAGAGGCAGGAGGGTGGCTGGGGTAGCTCATCTGGGATGTTTATACCTCCAGAGGGGGACTAGACTCGAAGACTCGGTAATCCCATGGGCCTTGAGGGGAAGAAGCGGAGGGAGAAAGAGGACTACAAATAATTGATGCGCATGGGTGATGGTGCTGCAGAGGACCCTCCCACACAGGGCTCAGCTGAACTTGACCTGCTTCATAACAGAACTGAGCACTGGTCCTGTTAGGTCATCACGTGCAGGGTAAGTGACCTCACCTTTAGGTACAAGAGAAAAAGGATCTCTTCCCACCTTGGGTGAGTCACCAAGGTTTCTGCGTAGACAAGATCTACCCTGATAAAACTGCTTCCTTCTGTAAACTTTTGGAGTTAGGGCAGATTTAGGATTCCAGTGTAGGAAGGCGGATGCGAAATCCCTCCAGCTGAGCCCTCTGCACACCGTCACCCATGCCCATCAATTCTTTGTAGTCCTCTTTCTCCCTCTGCATCTTCCCCTCAAGGCCCATGGGATTACAGAGTCTTAGAGTCTAGTCCCCCTCTGGAGGTGTGAATCCCTTCTCCCAACTTTCTGGCAGATTGTTGCAGCTCCTGCTTGATTACCCAGCTTGACAGGTAGTTCACTACCTCAGCAGACAGCCAGCACTAATGGAAGCCACTCTGGCTCTTAGTGACCTTTGCGTTCATTTCCAAATGCTAATGGAAGCATTAGCTTAAAAATGTATTCTAAAGTCTGACCAGGGATCCACAGCTAGCCTTCCTGATGATAATTTTTGGAATATTTTCTTTCCCCTTTCTGCAAATCAAGACTAGGGTTTCCAGCTACCCGGGTTTTCCCAATGGCTCAGACGTTTTGCCTTCAGCCTGGAATGTAATGTTTTGGGGCCCTGGACTCTGTGGGTGTCCAGGTGATGTCTTGGGGTCTCCCCTGTACCCTGGGCTCTGGTCCCTTCTCTCTCCTGTTGTTTTTACCCTTGCTAATTCAAAGACTGATTTCCTTGCTCATTAAGACGGCAGCAAACCAAGCAAGGAGGAGCCGGGCCTTTCTTCTGCCATCTGAGAACATTCTACTAGGGATCTCTCCTTCTACCAGAACTAAACAGGCCCGGGGAAGCCCCTCAGGCTCCTTCAGTATCTCTTCAGGCAGCAGCTGTTTGAGACCATCTGTGGCGCTTCTGGCAGGGAGGAAGCCTGGGGGCTTGCCTGGGAGACAGACATGCTCAGGGCAAAGTGGAAAGGCTGGACCCAATAGCCCTGATCCCCAGAGAGGCCTAACTGACCCTGAGAGCTGAGGAGTTGGACTCCTGGGGACAGGATGGCTGTGGCCATTCATGATGGCATCAGCGGCCTGGCACTGAAAGACGTCTGTGCTCTAAAATAGCCCCCAGTGCCCGGTCACAGAGCCAGCCAGCCCATCATGCTTGCACCATTCCTGTGCATTTGAAAGGTTTTTGTTTTTGTTTTTGTTTTTAATACTAAAGAGTCTCAGATTCAAATGCGATCGTTGTCTCTCTTAAAGTCAAATTAGATGAAAATATCAGGGGTGATGGAAGAACTAGGGTATGAGGAAGAGTCAAGCTAGGTCCCTGTGTCGGGGTGATGGAAGAACTAGGGTATATGGGAGAGGCAAGCTGCATCCCTCTGCCTGGGGAACAGAGAAGTTGAGCATATGTGGAAGGGGCTGCACATGGCAGTCATGACCTTGACGTGACCGAAGTCTTGTGCTGAGGCTGTGAGCTCCTGGGTCTCCTCACTCTGGAAGCTGGGGAACCTGTTGATCCTGCAAGGACTCACCTTGCTCAACACTGAACTGCTGGAGCCATTTTCAAGGCTCAGCTCAAGCTTCCCTGAGTCCCTGAAGCCCATTTTAATGTCCTCCTCTTTTTAGATTCCCCGATTCCTAGGCAGACACAGATCATGATTTTAGAAGCAGGACAGTGAGCTGATTATTTAAGAGTCTTTCTCCCCAGCTAGGCTATGAATGGCTGTCAGCTGAAATGTTTCTTTAATGTACCTGGTACAGAGTCTGACACACATGAAGATACTCAAAAAATGGCTGTGAATGGACAAAGGAAACATTGGGACATTCATTTTCTCTTCTGTCCCCAACACCAGGGCTGACCTCTGAGCTGTGCCAGGATGTCACCCAGTGTGTGTCCATAATGCTCTCTGTTCTCCTGCTTACTGCCACCCAGGACTGCTGAAATCCGTGTCCTTTAGGGGCAGCTCGAGTGCCAAGCCCTCTCCGGATCTTTCCCTGACCACCCCTTCTTTTAGTGGAGGCCCTTCCTTCTATACTACCTTGATCACGTTGCTTTGGTTAACATTAGACATGTGCATGTCTCCCCCTATCCCCTGCATTGAGCAGGGGGTCTTCACAGGGGATCTTCGGATGAGGGGGGCCTCCAGGTATTGTACACTTTTACCTAGAAGGCATCTATAGTTTCTTTCATCCTACTCTCAAAGCTAAGAACTGCCGTTCAGGATTGTTTACAAGTTGACTCCTGGTGGCAAGAATCATTTCCGGGTCCTTTCAGCACTTTAGTGGCACTTGACAAATGCATGTAGATTTAATTAAATTGCATTTCCTTGTTGCGTTTTCTAATCAGCTCTGACGTCAGAGTCTGGAGACCAGGGCTGGTCCTGCCAGAGCACATGACTCTGCTGGCCCCCACATGAATGGATGCTCTCACCTCGCTGTGCTGGGCTCTTTACCCTCAGACTCTGAGCTCCTTGAGGGCAGGGCTCCCGCCTCTGATTCTCCTGGCATCAGGCTCAGGACCCAGCACAGAGAAGGCACTGAAAAGAGTGGCTGATCCAACCACCTAAAATGGGATAACTATCATCACCTGCCAACCTTGTAGGGCTGTTCTGGTGTGAAATGAGGTGCAGGAATTTCCTGGAGAAGTTTAAACCGCTGTGCACATGTAACAGGGCTGTTATTAGGATAGGGCAGCTATATTTACATCTTGCTGTTATTCAAGACAGTGGGCATGAAACTGTCCAGATGCAGCTCAGAAAAGTCTGAGTGTGAGTGGCATTTCCGTCCATCTGCCGGCTGCATGTCACGCACATGTCCCCCTCCCCTCCAGTTTGGAAGTTCTGACTCAGACCCCCGGAGATTCCCTCTCACGGAGCAGCTGCTTGGTGTAGAGGAAAGAGCACGAGACTAATATTTTTTCTGAAGAATTTTACTCCAGCAGGTCACTTAACCTTCTCATGCCTTGAATTCTTTATGTGTAAACTAGGAACAAGGAGTCCTGCCCTATCCACCTCACAGAGGAGTTAGGAGAGGGCAACAGGATGACAGTGACATATAACTAGGATGCACTAATGGGCCTTCTCTGGTAAATTAGGAGGAATAAGTACACTCTCATGGTGCCAGCCCAGGCAGAACACACATACACACACACACACACACACACACTTGCACACACATGCACCTGGGACACCTGTCTGTGCAAAGCACACCCACAGGAGCACGTATCGATACTGACAGATGCAGTCGGTACGTTTTCCCACATGACAATCCTGGGCAGGACTTTACAGTACATTAAGCATATTCACAGACATCGACTCTTCTGTCCCCCTTGCAGTCCTGGGAGGCTCCAGCCCCTCCTTATGAACCAGCACCAGGTGAAGCACACAGCGGGGGAGTGATGCAGAGCCCCAGATGTCACATGTTGCTTGTGACACCACACCCCTCCCTCTGTGGGCCAGCCCCACCCCAGGACCTCTGCAATCTGATGCAGCACCCACACAGTGGGGGGGGCCTATGAGTCACCTGCCAGAGCACAGCTGGAACATCTGGATACCCTCCCAACATTGACATGGGGCCTGGCATGTGCAGGCCGCCTTGGGCACTGGAGCTATCCAAAGCACGTGCCATTGGCTTTGCCACCTGCCCTAGATTTTGCACAAGGCTCTGTGGACTGAATGGGAAGGCACACCCCGCGCCTCACAGGTGAAATTATGGGATTATTGTCTGTAGTCCATTCGCTTCTAAAGAGCAAATGAACTGTGGCTATTTCTCTGCTGTCCTACAGATTGTACGTTATTTGTGGGAAGGATCACCTGGGTGTTTACTCATTGTCTGGTGGCTTAAGACAACATAAATAGGTGGAAGACCTCGACTCCCCTCTTCCAGCCCACAGAAGATGGGAGGCAGAGAGACCCCAAGAAAGAGAGAAAGTGAGGAGAAGAGCCAACCCATCTGTGAAGGTGGATGACAGATCCAGAGAGCTAGAAAGGGGAAGAGCATGCCCTCGAGAGACAGAGGCTGGGCTCTGTGCCCGTACCTCCACCACATACCTCCACCACGTGCGAGGAAAAGCCCGTCTGTGACATCTCCAGCCCAAAGGAGGTCTCGTTCTTGTTGGTGCCTGCAACAGAGTGACAGAGAGATGTCAGCTCCATGCCCAATCCCTTAGCGCCAGACAGATCTGCTGCCCAACCCACAGCTCCTGCTTCCTGGGGGCATCGTCAGGAGGTGGGGCTCTCTTTCGAGGGGGGGCTCTGAAGCTGAGGCCAGTAGTGTGCCAGCCTCCTCAGCCCTCCCCAGCACCCTGTGCAGTGGGGGGCACCACACACCTTCCAGGTGCCCATGTGGGTTGTTACTGGTAGCCCACTTACTTCTGAAAAGGGCTCGGGACAACTTATATTACAGGGCATGTATACTATGAGACTGCTAAAACTGGAGGGAAAGTAAGCAAAAGTGCACAGAAATAGTGTACGTTTTTGGCCAGAAATGGAATTTCCCACTTTGTTCATTCCTTTTATTCACTAGCTTTGGTTCCAGATGTCTTTGGATGGAACTCAAACATCAAATCCACCCTCAGAGGGAGGTCTGTCACCACTGCAGATTTGCGTAAGAAATCCCATGAGTGCTGAAAGCCTCTCCCCACAGAGGGACTCCCTGAACACATCATTGGATCGAATGTTCTCATCACTCAAGGCGACCATTTTGAGGAGAAATACAGATTTGGATATTTGAGTTCTGGAGTGGGTGTCAAAGCTCACGTTCAGACTTTATATTCATCTGCCCTTGTTTACGAGGGCCATTTTAGTCTCTTCGTGTGTCTGTGGCTTGTCATTTCCAATGCACTGCAGACTTCTCAGGCTTTATACTGCCTTCTATTTCCTTTTATAATCCTCCCATATGCCCAAAGCCCGATATTGGAAGGGCCCACTGTAGCAATTTATGGTGGAAATGAAATTTATGCAAATCAGAAATGGAGCTTAAATCACAAGGAGAGAGGCAATCTGAAGGACTCTGCCCAAAATAAAAAATGCTTTTGGTGGAGTGGAAGCAGTTGGCATATAGGGATTAAGGGTTTCAGAATACGGAGTCAGACTCTGCTAGGCACAAGCTAGGGTTGCCTGATGCAATATAGGATGCCCAATTAAAACTGAATTTCAGAGAACAAATAAGTTTTAACCTAAGCCTGCCACACCCACTGTATCTTATTTTTGCGAAATTTGGCAACCCTAGTTCAAAGCCCACCATGCTCCCAAGCTGTGAGAACTTTGGCAGGTCACTCAACTCCGTTGAGTTTCAGTTTTCCCAGCGATAAAAATGAGAACATTAGCAAAGCAACCTTTCAGCATTGTTCATAAAACGCACAGCCTCACGTCCGGCACGGAGTAATACTCAATTGTTGGCATTTATGATTTATTTATTTTTGGGGACAGGGTCTGGCTCTGTTGCCCCGGCTGGAGTGCAGTGGCATGATATCAGCTCACTGCAACCTCAACCTCCCAGGCTCAAGCGATCCTCCCACCTCAGCTTCCTAAGTAGCTAGGACTACAGGCATGTACCACCACACCTAGCTAATTTTTGTAATTTTTTTTTTAAAGAGACGAGGTTTTGCCTTGCTGACCAAACTGGTCTTGAACTCCTGAACTGAAGCAATTCGCTCACCTTGGCCTCCCAAAGTGCTGGGGTTACAGGCGTGAGTCACCATGCCTGGCCTGGCATTTATTATTACGGAAGACTCTTGTTAAGCCATTTCGTTTTGTGGGATTGGTTTGTGCTCTACGGGGTTTACCTGACATAAGCCCAGGAGAGAGTGGATCCCCTCTTAGCATGCATTGCTTACCTTCCAGGCTGAAGATTCTGTCCCCCAGGGCATCGACAATGTCCTTCAAGGCAGCCTCATCAGTGACATTGAAGAAGTGCTTGTCATCAGGGTCACTGGCGATGTATTTGATTTCATTTAGAAAAGTTTCTGGATTGATCCCCCTGCGGTTGTAGTAGCCCAGGACCTGCCAGGGAACAGGGGCAGGAACCACAAACCAGAACATAGCACAGACTTTCCCATACACCACACGGCCTAGACCCTGGGGACCCCAGGGTGGGCTGGAGCCAGGGCCGGTAGCCATGAGAGTTCCTCGCAATGCCATTTGCATTTGGAATGGACTCTCTTTTAGGGGCAAGATAAAGCCCTTGTGCTAAGTTAGGGTCTGGGAGCTGGGAGGTTTGGAGGTGTATTCTAGTTTTCTGAGGTTCCAGACCCTCCCTGGCAATGGATGGGGGGAAACACAACCCGTAGCTTTTGTGGATAGGCCAGAGCAGTGCAGAAAGATCCTCAACTTGTTGTTCAGAAGATGAAATGGGAGGCTTTTTTGAGGGCCTGGACACTTGTGATACTGCCTGGAACTAGTCCCTTGGAGTCCCCAGGGATTTGATGGTAAAGCCTCTCAGAGGCCATCAGCAGCCCTTGGGCGGGCCAGGACTTACGGCCACCGCATATCTTGTTACGTTGTCTCTTTCGCTTTGCTGGATCACCTTCTCCAGGTCTGGGCTGTCGTGGGACTCCCCATCTGTGATGACAATCATCACCTTCTTGGCTCCTTTCCTTCCACCCTTCTGGAAAGCCTCTGAGCTGGAAGCCAAGCACAGGGGCAGGGTCATGAAAGGTAAGTGGGATTGGGGCAGCCCCTGACGCTCCTGCAGAGGGGCAGCCACAGAAACCAGGACCAAGTCCTCCTTGGGCAACCCAACAGGTGCCAGGACCTCAAACCAAAGAAGTAGCTGGATTGAGATGGCCAGAGCTACTCTTTCACCAGCTGCTCAGAGGGTTCTTAGATCTGTTGTTTTTAAATGAAATGTTGAAAAGCCCCTTTGGAGTCCTGACCTTGCTGTTTTGGACAGGCCAAAGGGATGAGGTGGACCTGGGAGGGGAGTTCAGGGGCAAGTGGCAACCTTTAGAGGCATTAAGTCAGTGGTTCACAACCCCAGCTGCTCACTGACATCTCTCGGAGGGAGGCTTTAAAAACTGTTGGCCTGGCACGGTGGCTCACGCCTGTAGTCCTAGCACTGTGGGAGCCGAAGGCGGGCAGATCAACTGAGGTTGGGAGTTCGAGACTAGCCTGACTAACATGTCGAAACCCTGCCTCTACTAAAAATACAAAAATTAGCCGGGTGTGTTGGCATGCGCCTGTAATCCCAACTACTCGGGAGGCTGAGGCAGGAGAATTGCTTGAACCCGGGAGGCGGAGGTTGCAGTGAGCCAAGATCGCACCATTGCACTCCAGCCTGGGCGACAGAGTGAGACTGTCTCAAAACAAACAAACAAACAACCAAACAAACAAACAAACAAACACCATTGATGTCCAGGCCTCAGCCAGACCCCTGAAATTGGAATCTCTGGGGTGGTGGCCTGGATATTAGTTTTTTTTTTTTTTTTAATTGAGACAGAGTCTCCCTCTGTTGCCCAGGCTGGAGTGCGGTGGCACAATCTCAGCTCACTGCAACCTCTTCCTCCCGGGTTCAAGCGATTCTCGTGCCTCAGTCTCCTAAGTAGCTGGGATTAGAGAGCTCTGCCACCACGCTTGGTTAATTTTTGTATTTTTAATAGAGACGGGGTTTTGCCATGTTGGCCAGTCTGGTCTCGAACTCCTGGCCTCAAGTGATCTGCCCGCCTCTGCCTCCCAAAGTGCTGGGATTACAGCTGTGAGCCACCGTGCCGGGCTGGCATCAGTATTTTATAAGGTTCTGGTGAGCATCCAGAGTTGAGACTCACTTTCTTTAGTACTGAAAACAGGATGTGCCAGGGTGACTCAGCATCCAGACAACACTAACCCATAAAATGCGTGCGATGAGGCCTGACAGAGCTCTGACTTCCTCACAAGGACTACTTTGATTCTATTTTGGGAAACATTAAATATCAAATTCCATGACAAATATTTCTCTTTCTCACTTTTTATTTTGTTTTCAGTGCCCAGAGCATGAGCTCAGCCCACCTATCAGGCAATCCAGCCCAGGAGACAGCAGGGCTGGCACCTCGACCGTCAATTGGCAGAGAGGCTCTTGTAACAGGCCATTGGGCTACAAAGCATGAAAAACTGGCTCCCAAATCACCACTGGCTTTTGGTGTCCCTGTGGCCGGCCCTCCTTTAGACCATGAGGTTCTGAGGGGTATAGACATGGTCTCACCGAGGAGTCTGGCCCAGAAGTTATAGTCTGCCAATAAGGATCTAAAAATAAATGTTAGTCTTAGACTCTGAGGTTATTCCTCATGGGTCTGACCCACAGCAAGGCAGGACAGGCCACAGATTTAAGCTCTGTAGTGACAGGTTAAAGAGCCACACGGCTTTGGTATCAGAGGTATCTCTTCTTACGCAGCACGCTGAGGAACTGATGCATACAATTTAGGAGTTGAGGAATTTACAAAAGCTGGAATACATTAGTTTAGAACATCTTCAAACTACCAGCAAAGAGAAAAAACATCCACCATTCTCTTAGCAATTCTCCGATATGCTGGATATGTTGCCTTAAAAAACCCACTAATTTTAGTATGTGCTGTGGACTGAAACCTGCAGAGGCACGTGCCACATGACGAGAGCAGGTTTCGAGCTCAAGCGCAACCCAGTAGCAGGAGAACTCTGCTATTCTTTCCAAGGGGATTCTAGATGCTTCCATGACTGCATGGAAGGGCCAGGCCCAGGAATAAAACACCCTGCAAAAAAGCATGGCAGGAGCAAAACAGGTTTTATTATATATGGACCCAAGAAAAATGTCAGGATCATATTTCCATAGAGTGGAATAGTGTGAATGTCATATGAATCTGTAATCGTGCGAATATCAGCATGAATCATCAGATTTTAAATTCGGATTCTGCACTGGGTAAAGGGACTTGGATTTGTTCCTTTGTAAATTAGATTATACATTCCTTGAGAGCAGCAAGAGCTTTATACTCATAACAGGCTCCATGGGCCTAGAAACCAGAGTGGCCCATGGAGATTTAGGCCCCGTCACAGCTCCTTTCTGCTCAAAACCTGCACAGGTTCCTATTTCTCTCAGGGAAAGCCCAGATTCTGACAACAGCTCACTAGGCCCTCTGAAATCTGGCCCGTTTCCTCTCTTAGCCTCTGGTCCTGCTCACTCACCCCCACCCACACTGGACTCTTCAATGGTCTGGAAGGCCTCAGGCACACCAAGCCTTTCTCTGAGCTGTTCCCTCCCAGCCATCTGCTTGCCAACAACTCCCTCACCTCCTTTCAAATCTCCAATCAAAGGTCATCCGTCAGGGAAGCCTTTCCCCACCACCCTGTGCATGCTGATTCTGTACCTGCCCTCTGCACCTGCTCCACTCCCGCTACCACACTCCATTCTCCCCATAGCTTTCATCTCTTTCTAGTATGCTGTTATTTATTTATTTATTTATTGTCTGCCCCTCTCTCTAGAATGTCAGCTCACGATGGCACGGTATTTGTACCTATTTTGTTCACTGATCTAGCCTTGGTGCCTAAAATAGTGTGAGGCACATAGTAGAGGCTCAATAAAGTGTTATGTGGACAAAGGTAGAATCACACCACATTGTTCAGGGGCCCTCTCCACTTCCCTGCTGTACATAGCTGCCAGGCTCATTTTTTTTAACGTGCATATCTGATGATTACACTCCTGTACTCAAGAATCTGCAGTGGCCACCCATGCTGGTTTTAACTACAACATCATCACTCCCACCATCTTTACATGGCTCACTTCCCACCAACATGAACCCCTTGCTGTGGTCAAAAGGAGCACATCTCTGAATGCAAATGTTCCTTGACTTTCCCTCTCCTCTGCTGTTCTCAGGGTGGAATGTCTTGTGTGGCACGTCTTCTGTTCACCTCTTTTTGTTGGAATCCCAGGGTCTTCCCAGGACAGGTCCAGTGCCGCCTCCTCCTGGCAGTTCTCCTTGGCCACTCCATGGGGGCCCCTCCCTCTCTCATCCTCACCGAGTTAGGGTTAGGGTGAACACTTGTCACAGCCCTCCCATCAGTGGCCAGGACCCACAGATTACCGACATCTTTATAAGCCCTCATGTTCATGGCCTGGATCTTTGCCCTTTCATAGGTGCATAGGAAAAAACATGCATTAAGAATAAACTGAGTGAGGACAGAAAACCTTTCACCTTAAAAGGCACCAGCTGTAGTTTGGGACTTGAATTTGGAAGTTTGGGAAGATCAGAATTTGAGGTGAAGATTGCAACCTCAGCGGTGCTCATGAGTCACTGATGGTTCAAACTACCTGGTGAGTCACACACGGATAACTGAGCAGGGGTTGGTGGGTTGTAAAGTGAGGTCCAAACAGTGGGCTTTATCCCTGTATGAGTCAGTTAGCTTCACACTGAGAAAGTGAGAGCTGGTGGTTATGGGCTGCCTCCCTTACCCAAGCCATTTCACAAGGGCCTGCTGGGAGTCTCGGGTCTCACCCCGAAGAAGGCAAAACAAAAACAGAAAAATGGCCCATTCCTTATGAGGATGAGTAAGACAGCCACCTTCACATGGAGAAATGCTCATTTAGGAAAAGCTTGAGCAAGTTTTATCAGCAAACAGAAACACGCTAGTTGAGCAATGACTTAATTATAAAGAGTTATGAGGTTGGAAAAGTCTTAATCTTTTGAGCCTACGAATTCACAATACTACTAAATAGTTCTTTTTTTCTTTTTTTCTTTTTTTTTTGAGACAGGGTCTGGCTCTGTTGCCTAGGTGGAGTGCAGTGGTGTGATCTTGGCTCACCGCAGCCTCTGCCTCCTGGGCTCAAGTGATCCTCCCACCTCATCCTCCTGAATAGTTGGGACTACAAGCATGTACCACCATGCCTGGCTAATTTTTGTATTTTTTGTAGAGATGAGGTCTCATGCTTCTGCCCAGGCTGGTCTCAAACTTATGGGCTCAAGCAATCCTCCCACCTCAGCCTCCCAAACTGCTGGGATTACAGGTCTGAGCCACCGCACCTGGCCTAAATAGCTCTTACTTTGTGGATTTTTTTTTTAAAAAACACGTCAACTAACCCTACCTAAGGTGGGATTATAAGGTACCAGGTCTGTGGTCTCAACAAATGCAGCAGAATTCATATTTATAGGTGTAACACTTAGACATTTAAAATCTAAATGCCTTTGACACAGTCATCTTATGAGTTTAGGCCTCGGCTCAAGAGATCTGGGGATTGCCTTTAAAACTGGCTAATTTCAGTGGGGGGTGAGCACAATGTTTTGAGCAACAACATTACTGGAATAAGCATGTAGCCTTCTGCATAGACAACATCTAGGGATAACATTTATCTGGATGAGTGAGTTCTGGTGTGATTTTATTTTATTTTATTTTTTTGAGACGGAGTCTTGCTCTGTTCACCAGGCTGGAGTGCAGTGGCACCATCTTGGCTCATTGCAACCTCTGCATCCTGGATTCAAGCAATTCTCCTGCCTCAGCCTCCCAAGTAGCTGGGACTACAAGCGCATGCCGCCATGCCCGGCTAATTTGTTTTTTTTTTGTATTTTAGTAGAGACGGGGTTTCACCGTGTTGCCCAGGCTGGTCTCGAACTCCTGAGCTCAGGCAATCTGCCCACCTTGGCCTCCCAAAGTGCTAGGATTACAGGTGAGAGCCACCACTCCTGGCCGAGTTCTGGTGTGATTTTTAAGGAATCAGCCTCACTACTATACAGTCTCAGGTGTCAGATTTGACTGCATTCTTTCCACTCCATTGATGACTAACACTCCATAAGAAGACCCCATCCTCACAGAACCTACTTCTTATAGAGTGTCTGTGGCAGAAGCTATTTTTCAAAGTTGGCTGCAACAATATTCCCCATTCTAAATGCTCTTCTGCAAAATGACCTCGCTGTTCATCCATCAAGGGCAGAACCAAATTCCCTTCCCCTTGAATCTGGCCTGGGCTCAGTCACTTGCCCAACCAATAGAATGTGGCAGAAGTCATATTCTGGGACTTCGAGACTAGGTTATAGGCAGTCTCCCAGGTCCTGCCTGGGCCTCTTGGGATGCTCACTCTTGGGACGCTGTCTCTAAAACTCCTGTTGCCATGCCACAAGGAAATCAAGCCACATGGCTACGTGTGGGTGCTCAGGTCACCAGTCCCACCTGAGCTCTCAGCCAACAGCCAACAACAACTGACAGCCACGTGAGAACCTTCAGATGACAACAGCCCAAGGTGACACCAGACTGCAACTACCTGAGAGGACCCAAGAGAAAACCGACCAGCTGAGCCCAGTCAAACTCCAGAATTTTGAGGAATTAAGAAATTATTGTCTCAAGGTACTAAATTTTGTGGTAGTGTGTTACAAGGCAATAGATAACTACAATAGCATCTGAGATCTAAAAAAATTTTTTTTGTTCTACTTTTTTTTTACCGTGCAAATTCAATGCCAAATGCCGTCCGGGTCTCTGTTCCTCCTCTCTGCTCAATGTGGCTGGCAGCTTCCACCACATCTTTTACAGACCTGTAGTCGTTGAGGTGAAACTCATGCACCACATCTTCGCCATACTGCACAACTCCAACCTGCAAGGGAGAGGAGAGGGCAACAGAACATTTTGACCCCATGAACCCATGAACCTTAGAATTTGAGAGTGAGGATCCCCGGGAGTTGTCTCTGTGTGATAATACAGGAGGGAGGAGGGCTGAGGACCTTTCCAAGAAAGTAACCACAGCCAAAGGGAAGTGAGTTCTGCAAAGTTCTAGGAATGAATGGACAGCTTGGTGGCACAAGAAGGGGTGCATATAGAGAATGGAGACTTCGTGATTGAAAGAAAGGCCCAACAATTATGCTTCTTTCTTAGGAAAACAAAAGCAGAGCAGAGAATCAGTCTAAGTCCAAAAAATTATGAATAGTGTGGGTGGAAGGTCACAGTGTTTACCAAACTCCAAAACTGAGGTTCCTTAAAACTTGTAAGAGGTTCTTTTATCCCCATGGATGATAAAATAATGACAATATTAATAGCATCAAAATAAACAAAAAGCTTCAAGACCTATAGTAGGAATAGAACCATGAAACGTTCCTGTTGGAGGAGCCCACAGGGTTTATTTGGCACACGTGCCCTTCTAATGCTGGACTTTCACCCATGATACCCTAAAAGATGATCTTCTGGTGATGGGGAACTCATTACTTCATGAGAAAGTCCACTCCCTTTTTAACAGCCCTAATCGTTACAAATAATTTCTTAGATTGACTTGAAATCTGCCATCTAATAACTTCTAGTCATTAGTCCTCACTCAGGCAGAATAAAAGGGAATGAATCTACCTCCGCGTTAGCCAGGCAGCGTTTCAGATATATGAGCCTAGCAGCCCTTACCTCTCCTACCATCTTCCCTCCATGACCTGTATGTCTAATTCTCCCCTGTGCCCCACTCGACAGGGCTCTAGATTCCACTCAACCATTCCCACCTTCCTTGTCACTTTTTAGCTTGTCTAAGTCTTCACAGGTGGTGTCTTGTGTCTGACCCGTGAAGTGAGGCTTCCCCCAAAATGTCATTTGATGTGCTACACCAGAGAGGAGTGTCCTGAGCTGCAGTGCCCCAGTGCTGGCTGGCCCTACTACCTCTGCCCTCTTACCTACACCTCCTTCGTGCATGCAAAGATCTCTCTTAGACCTAAGGCAGCACCTGCCATGGGTTTGGGTGGCCCTGTTCAGAAGTGGAAAGAGCCCAAGAGATGCTCACCTGGATCTGCCCTGGGCCAATGTAAAACTTTTTCAGGATGTTGATGAGGAAGTGCTGAACCTCCACCCAGGGGTAGATGCTGTTGGAGCCATCCAGGACAATGACGATGTCCATGTAGGTCTGGCACCCTGGAAAGTGGGGACACAGTTATGGCTACCCAAGGAGCAGTGTCTGCGAGTCTCTGATTCTCTGGACAATTGTTCAAAGGACAAATGAATGACTCTGCTCCATATGTGTAATTCCCTGGGCTGGGAAACTGTCCTTGGGTTGGACATTTATTTGGGCAATGTGAGTGAGCCCAGGAATTCCTGGCTGTGTTCTACCACTCTGCTGGCTGTTTGAACAAAGCTTAAATTAAGCCTGATCACTTCTATTCCTAATCAGAGACTGACCACTACCAATCGGCCAACGCTTCCGAGGCAGCCAGCACTGCTCAAATCAGTACCTTGGTATTGTTTGTTTTGCTGTAATGAGCAGGCTGGCATTTACCACTTTCAGCCCAAATGAATGGATTTCTGTTTTTAGGAGGGAGATATGATGTCGTGGCTAGAAATGTGGGATGTGGCATCACACTGACTCCTGGCTTTGGCACTCCCTAGCTATGTGACCTAGGGTCAGTCACAAAACCTCTCAGCCTCAGTTTTCTCTTCTGTAAAAGAGGCACAACAATAGTAAAGAGTTGCCTAGAGTAATTAATGAGAAGATGCTTCTAAAGGGCTGAGCACAAAGCAAATGCTCAATAAATCTGAACTGATCATGGTTTCACTTTTTATTTATTTATTTATTTTTTAAGGAAACCACTGAGTTAATATGGTACTGATATCATCAGGTCAAGCTCTCGTGCCATTATCTCTGCCTCTGAATATAAAGGTTTCTTTATGCTTTTGTAATATTAATACTAAATTAGGCTGGGAGTCATGGCTCACACCCATAATCCCAGCACTTTGGGAGTCCGAAGTGGGTAGATCACCTGAGATCAGGAGTTCGAGACCAGCCTTGCCAACATGGCGAAACCCCGTCTCTACTAAAAATACAAAAATTAGCCAGGAGTCGTGATGCACACCTGTAATCCCAGCTACTCGGGAGGCTGAAGCATGAGAATTGCTTGAACCCAGGAGGCAGAGGTTGCAGTGAGCCAAGATCGGGCCACTACACTCCAGCCTGGGTGACAGAGTGAGACTCTGCCTCAAAAACAAACAAAACAAAACAAACAAATAAAAAAAAAACTAAATTAAAAGGAATAATGAAAATCAACAAAGAAAATTAAGAAAATATTGGCCATAACAAATATTAAAAAAACCCTCCTCTTTTAAAATCTAAGTAATTTATTTCTGTTTGTCAACAGTTGGAGTTACTTTGAAATAATGCATACACTCTGCGTCTGGGCATTGCTCATTTTTATTGGTGACTTTTTATGCTGTTATAAAATCTACTTTATAACAATGCTGCATGAACCTTTTGTGTGTTAACTGTTCCAGTAATTCTTGCATTTCGAAGAGGCACTATGTTGAAGTCAGTGCTGAGCAGACAGAGGAAGGTGGGGGTGGCTTTGAGTTGGGACGCCTGTTGCAGGCTTTGTGTTTAGTAGAGCATTTTAGAAGCATTTGGGCAACTTGAGTGCTCCGCCACTTCTTGTCCCACCTGCATACTGTGTACAGCATGTGATGACCTGACACTCCTGGCCTGGCAGAGCCTCATACATTTGTCCTTTTCTGGTTTAGTTCGGCTCCACACATGTGGACTGAGCACCTGCTATGTGCTGGAGCTCTGCATGGTGCAGGCAGCAGTGGGGGTGACCAAGACAGAAATTCCTTGATTTGGAGGAGTTCATAATCTTTTAACAGGTTATTTTTATTTTTATTTTTAAGCCAGCTTTATTATTATAATGCATTTATTATTGTTGATTTCTTTCTTACAATTTCACATTTTTCTTTCTAAGATACCTTGGGAACAAACTGGTTTGAGGGCTACGGTTCCTAAACATGGCTGAACACTCCCTTGGGGAGCTTAAAAACACACACACTCACACGCACGCATGCACACACACACACTTGCACATACTCCTACTGAATTAGGACCCACATGGGGTGCCCTGGAATCTGCATTTGGTAAGCTTCAGAGCAATGCTGCTGGTCAGCCAGGTGAGGAGGCCTCCACCACATGAGGTTCAGGGACCATAGGATGGTCACATCTAGGCCTGGAGGGACTAGCTCTAGGGGTGGTGACATTCCCCGGTGGGCCCCTCACGTACCCTGACCTCAGGCCTCCTCCTGTGCCCTGGCTCTGCCATTTCCTCTGTCATTTTGTGTGAATAGAATCCATGTCTCATTATCCCCCAGAAAGACGACCTTTCTGCCCCTGCTGGACTGATGCTTCCTCCTCCTCCCTTCCCCAGCCCCATCTGACTCGGCCTTGTTGTCTGGAGGGCGGCTGCAGGCAAGCCAGAGGTGCCAATTCCCGAACCCTCCATAAAACGGGCAGCAGCTGCTTGGGTGATGGTATTTAGTGCAGAGGAAATAGTGAGGCTCAGAGCCAAGAAGTCTGGGCTTGTGGGAGGCAGGGTCTGAGCAGTAATTCCCCAGGTTTTCTTCGCAGGTGGGCAATGAGCAAGAGGTTTTACGTTCCATGAGGCTCTGGACGAGCTGGACAGAACTCCCTGCTGTCCAGGAGCACTGATTTGGTGGAACTACTACCAAGGAGATTTCTGTTCTCCCTGTTCCTTCATCTACAAGGCTACTGCATTGCACAACATCAGGGGGCGCCATTCATATGTCTAAGTGAACAATTCCCCCAGAATTGTGCAGTGCACAGCTTGTCTGCTGCATGTGCTTGCCAGGTAACCTCCTATATACCCAGGGTTTCTGCAGTGAGCCTCCCTTGAGGCTGGGATTGTCTTTGAAACCTTAGCTCATTTGCTCTCCACCATCACACTTGGGAGAGGGAGGCCAGGATTATGACTCCCACAGAGGCCCAGAGAGTGGAGTGATACATTCCAGGTCATCCGGAGAGCTGGGGCAGGACAGTGCTAGAGTCCAAATACTGCTTTCTAGCCACAGGTTGTTGTGCTCAGGGCCCAAGTCTCTCTGGACTGTCCACTGCTCAGCTTGAGGTTGCAGATTTGAAGCCACTTACTTTGGAGAGCTGGGGCCACGGTCTTGGAGAACCTGAAGTTGGAGTTGACTCTTGAACACATCCCTGTGGTGTAGTAGGAGCTCCCACACTCATGAGACCAGAGGGGGCTGCAGGCCTGGGGAGGGCAGTGCAGATCCCCAGTCAGTGAGGGGACCTCAGAGAGGATCGAGGTCCAATGGCCTGAGGCCCACTCCCATCCTCCACGACCCAAGACAGACTTCTATCTGAGGGGTGAGGGGGTGAGGGATCTTCTTTGGGTCTAACTGAACTCTCTCTTGCTGCAATGTGTACTAGTTCCTTTGGTTTCAGGTCTAATGGAGAAAAACTGATCTTGGAGTCTCTTTCATTGTTTTTTCAAGGCCCTGTTCTCCATCTCATCATTTAGGAATATGATACTTCTTCACCCTACCTGCCCACCCCACTCACCCACCCACCATACGGGATCTGGGGAAGCCTTTTCACCCACGGGTGTGAACACTTCAAGGGTCACTAGAATAACTCCTCTGTCTGAGAGGTCGCCTGAAGGGCCTTACTGGGCAAACTTCTAGGACTGGGTCCCAAAAACATGCCATGGCTCATACTGGGGCAGGGGAAGATAAGAATGTCTGTATTCTTTCTGTGAAATGTTCTACCAAAAACACTGATGTCAGTCCCCATTGAAGGACTGAGTGAAGGGTTCTTCTCAGAGTCATTGTCATTAAAAATGAAAGCTCAGCTCCATGCTTCCATTGTTATCCTGCTATCAGGAAACCCAGAGCTAAATTTTGTGCTGTAATTTCCTTTGGTTTAGGGGAGTAATTATTCTACTTCCGATCCCTTTCTTTAATTACTTTCTTTTTAAGCTCAGATCTTAAAGGTTATGTTTTATCTGTGTACTTTGTTGAAGCTGCTGTACATAATGTTTGGAAGTGGCAGGGGACAGAGGGGAATAAAGAATGGATAGATGGATGGATGGATAAGTGGATGGATAGACAGATGATAGATGGATGGATAAGTGGGTGGTAGATGGATGGATGAATGATGTATAGATGGATGGATGAATGATGTATAGATGGATGATGAATGGATGGATGGATAAATGGATGGAAGATGGATGGAAGGATGATGGATAGATGTGAATGGATGGACAGATAGATGAATGGATAATGGATGGATGATGGATAGTGGACAGATGATGGATGAATGGATGATGAATGAATGGGTGAATGAATGATGGCTGGATAGATGATGGATGAATTAGTGGATGGATGATGGATGGATAGATGATCCATGTATGAATGGGTGGATGAATGATAATGGATGGATGATAGATGGTTGATGGATGAATGGGTGGATGGATGATGGATGAATGGATGATGGATGAATGGATGATGGATGAATAAGTGGATGAATGACAGATGGATGATGGATGGTTGATGGATGGATGGATGATGAATTGATGGGTGGATGAATGATAGATGATGGAGGTTGATGGATGGATGCAGGAAGGAATAAATGGAAAGATGGATGATTACATGGGAGATTGATGGTGGATCGATGTATAGACAGATGGGTAGATGAATGCATGGGTGGTTGGATAGATGAATGGAGGAATGAATTGTTGAGAGGGGAATGGACAGATGAGTGAATCAATGAACAGGTGACTATCTATAAACCAAGGATTAACCTACTCACAGAGGCCCCAGAGAATATATCACACCATTCCTCTCAGACCTTCATACCACCTTGTGAAGAAGAAATGTGATAAGGAGCCTGAGAGGGAAAAGGGAGTAGAGACAAAGCCCCTGACGGATATGTGTGTGGATAGGGCCAGGGGTCCTGCTTTGCCTCTGGTTATGGCTAATAAAGGGCTGTGGGCTGAATATACATCAAGGCACCTCATGACTTTCCCTGGCAGGGCCACTATGCACTCAAGTCCCCTTGCATCCCAGTCATCGTCTTATCTTTATGTCTTATTTGTCTTATCTAATTTGTCTTGTGATTCATGCCCCAGATGTCTCATTTGTCAGCAGAAATAGACCAGAACAAAGACTGACACAAGCACCCCATCTAAAAATGGGCAGTAATTTGTACTGGGCTTTCTGGGGTAAATTTTCTCTGAAGTCCTCTCCTGCAACTGTTTCTAGGAACCATCAGTCTCAGAAGGATCCTGTTTGAACCCCAAGCATCGCCCATACTCAACGCAGCTCACTCCAAGGTGGTGGCAAGGAGCAGGCAGTGCCAATCCATTGTGCCGCCCACACTCACTACCATGTGCAGAGTCCATATGTGCTCACCTGGGCACAGAACAGAGACCTGTAAGCAGAGCCTGCTGCTGTCTGTCCCCCAAAGTCCTATTAGACATTACTCGTTTGCTTGTCGCCTCTCTTTCCACCACAGTGTAAGCTCCAGCAGGACAGGGTCTCTATTCATTGCTGAATCCCGGTGCCCAGCACTGGGCTTAGCACATACTATGGTAAGTGCTCAGAAACATCATTGTTTAAATGAATGAATGTTTCTACCACCTCAACCCAGACATGCCCTTTTCTTCCTTGCGAAGGCCTGTCTCTTCTTTAAAAACAAAACAGAAACCTCCTCCAGCCTTCTTCATCTAATCCTGGATAGTTGAGACGGCTTGTCACTCTGTAGCCCTTCCCTCGGCTGTGGTAGTCTGTGTTTACTCATTTATGGCATCCCTTCCAAGTCTTCTTTGGGTGTGTGGTGCAGCCTGCTTCTTTTTTCAAGCCTAGAGCAGAGATTTGACCTCCAGCCCAGACAACTAGCTCCCCAAGGAAAGGGACAGTCCCCCACCAGACTTGTTGGCTATCTACATTTATTCTTGTCCCCTTTCTGGCTGTTCCTCCCTCCTTCGGGATATGCACACAAAAGGGCTCAATTGTTTCTTCTGCCTGGACTGTCCCTGCCAAAACACCCAGGGCCCTGCCACCCGGAATGGCATAAGCAGGGAGCTGGCGGGGGAGCTGCTTCCTGGAATGCACAGGGCCAGGCAGCTTGGTGGTTGGAGTGGGGGAGAGTGGGTGTACAGGATGGACATGAGGGTGTGTAAGGAGACGCTCCACCCCTCCCCACCCCCACCCCTGCCTCTCCTGACCCCAAGCAGTGGCAGGTGGCTCTTACCAGGAAGCTGTTGTCCTTGGGGTTGGTGGCGAGACTAAGGCCGAGGCGCATGTTGTCTTTCCGCTCGGACACGTTGGACAGGGTGACCCTTCCTGGGGTTGGGGGAGAAGTTCAGCTTGCAGCCCCCTCCTGCCCGCCCTCTGCCCAGAGCCTGCTGCTGGTCTGGTCACCCGAGGTGCCTCCCCGATTCTCCCTGACCCTGGGGACCTCTGGCTCTCAGGGTTTACAAAGGCCTTCCCCAGACGTACTCTCAGGACATCCTCACAACTGCCTGTGAGATGAGAAAACCGAGTCTCAGAGAGGCCAAACAACCTGCCCAAGGTCACACAGTGAGCACTCACCGAGCCTTCTATCTCCTAGCCCACAGCTTTTCCTCCTCCAGCCATCCGACTGGAGCCCCACTTCCCCGTGTGCCCCCAAGCATGCCATGGCATCCCACCTGGGCTGGCTTCCTTTGTGCAGTATCCCCGCTACGCTTTCTTCCAAGTTGACCCCCATCCACACTTAACCAGTCCTGTGCCCAACTCTTTCTGTGCCCACTTCTCTGCTCATCTGAACAATCAACATGTGACAGCTGAGAGTTTCCTCTCATGGGTAACAGAGCCAACTCAACGAGAGCCTTCCAGAGCTGCCAGGCCTTGCCCAGGAATGCCATTCTGAAGGAGGCTGCCAAGAGAGGTGCTTAGGAGCTGGGTTATCAGCCTGCTGGGAATAGGGAGAGGGTCAGCTCTGCGGCAGATTAGAATCATAAAAAAATTGCATCGCTTAAGGTTTTACCAGATCATCCTGGAGGCCACCGAAGGAAAGGAAGTGAGTCTGAATTCCCCAGAAGTGTGTTGGGGTGTGTGTGTGTGTGTGTGTGTGTGTGCACGTGTACAGGAAGAGGGAGTGGGAGAGGCTGGGGAGCTAGAGTGTGCAAGCCCTAATATGCAGTGTGGACAGCTCTGGGTGGCTTCCCTGCCTGGGGAAGGAGTAATTTCTTTTCTTTTCTCTTTTCTTTTTTTTTAATTTTCCCTTCCCTCCCCTCCCTTTTCTTTTCTTTTTTTTGAGGCAGGGTCTCACTGTGTCACCCAGGCTAGAGTGGAGTGGCACCATCGTGGCTCACTGCAATCTCCAACTCCCAGGTTCGAGCAATGGGAGGAATAATTTCTAAGGAGGCCTTGAGCAAGAATGGGTTGCATTGCACTGTGTCGGTGACTGGAAGTGTGAAGAGTCGGCCTGGCTCCCAGGGCACACAGGTCAGGAAGGCCAGCTGGTGCAGGAGTCTGGGGGTGGGCCGCTGGCAGAGCCCAGCTTGTCAGACACAGACTGTTTTGTGGACTGGAGGGTAGGGGCAGCTGTGTTTGTTGTTTTTTCCTTTTTGGTTTTCCTCAGTTTGAAGCAAGGCTCCTTTTGAAATCTGCCCTTCTTGGCTGTGCTAAGAATGACTGGGCTCGATTTCTCTTTTGTCTGCCCAAACAAGCTGGAGAGAAAATAACAGTAAAGCCCCGGTGTTTCTGAGATGCCTTATCATCTACAAAGCACCGCGCACACCTGCCCTTTCAGGACCCCTCACGGTCCTGGGAGACCCAGGGGTCATCATTTCCATTTTACAGATGAGAACATTGAGGTGTAGAGAGGGTTAGTGACTGCCACAAGGTTACCTGCTGGGAAATTAAAGAGCAAGATCTTTAGCCCAGACCGTGTGACGTTTCATCCCGAGTTCTGTGTTTTCTCCCATCTGATGGCATCACGGTGGCAGTGGGAACTAGAGGGGCGGCTCCATGCTCCACTGGGCTGGGTAACCCTCGCCCCCTTCTGGCTAGAATTCTGCCCTCCGTTTATTTAAGGAACGCAGACCTCACCACCCTGCCCCTCTCCTTCCTCCCTCTCCCCTGGGACTGATGTTTGTAGTGAAACTGTGCAGCTGGCTGAGACAGAGGGGCAGGGGAGGAAAAATCCCTGTGTTGGAGTTAGACAGACTCAGGTTCAAGTCTTTGCCCAACCCCTCTGTGAGCGGGAGAGACTCACGCCTTCCTCAGCAGGTCTGGGTGAGGGTCCCGGGCCCAGATATCTCCCTACACAGGCCCTGGCTTTGAGAATCACATCACCTCCCCCAGCCCCTGCCCCTCATTGAAAACCCTGACTTTATCCAGGTGTTGGAAGGACAGTGCCAGTGGTAGAGTCTTTCCCACAGAGGTGTGAATGGCTGACACCCACTTAGCCTTCCCTGGAGAAAAAGGAAAGAACATTCCTGGCATCGTGCTGCCCAGTGCCTGGAACGGCCGTAGGAAAACCCAGGACTCAGGTTTCCCAGCCTTGCATTTTCCACTGTGGGGCAAAACTGACAGATGTTCTTTCTGCCATGCATTTTCTTCTCAGTGGGAGAGAGAGAACCACACCTCAAATGAAGAGTAATTTTCCTCCATCCCAACTCACTTTGCTACCCACTGCCTCCTAGGCTTGTGCCCCAGCTCAGAAATGCTTTCCAGGGTCTCATGGCTTTATGTCTCCTCCTCCCTCTGGAGAGAAATGGGGTCCACATTGCAACAGAGAAAAAAAAAGATTGGTTCACGAATCCACGTCCCTGCCTGGACCAGGAGCTTCTCTTGGTGGCTGAAGCCCTGAGAAGACTGCCCACTCTTCCACCACACCCCAACCTCATTGCCTCTGTCCCAACCACATGGCCTTTCTTTATCTTCTCCAACAGGGCAGACTTGTTCCTACCTTAGGGCGTTTGCACTTGCTCCTCCTTTGTCTGGAGTGCTCCGCCCCCACCTGTAACCTTCTCAAAAACTACCTGCTCAGAGAAGCCTTCCCTGATCACCTTCTATGGTAGAAATCCCTCTCCACTTCCATCACCCCCTAGCCACTCTTATTACAGCACCTGGTTTATTGCACAGCATTGATCCCTGCCTAAAACTATCCTGCTTCTTAATTTGCCTACCCGATTACTGTCCCCTTCCTTGGCCTCTTGTTCCCCACCATATCCCCAATAAATAGTACAGTGTTTGGTACACTCTAGGTGCGCATTAAAGGTTCGGAAACAGATTAGACCTGGAATGGATCCTAAGGGTTGTCGAGTCCAGCCTCCTTGCTTTACACACGAGTAAACTGAGGCTCAGAGAGAGGATGTGAACTCCGCATGGACACACAGCAAAGAATTTGTACAGCTGGAAGGGGACTCCAGGTTGGCCAGTTTCAGAAGCCTGTGTTCTCAGGGTGCTGATGACCTGGAACCATATGCCACCAACCAGGCACCCTCTTCCCTTAGACGATTTCCTCACTGAAGTTTGGGCCCCGGCTATGCTGGGTTTTGAACTTCCCACCCATGGTGCTGATGCAGATGTGGACAGCGGGAGCCTCCGGGACCATGTGACAGACAGCTGGCTGCCCTGGGGAGTTCTTTGGGCTTTCTTTTGGATGCTGACCTTTTCATCCATCAGCTTATCTCTTGAACCTCTGCCATTCCCGCCCAGTGAGACCCTGCTGCCCTTCCCATCCCCCATCTCCCAGGGAGACCCACCCCACTGCTCTGGGGTGGAGACCCCGCTCCTCGAAGGAGGGAGGCCCAGGGTCCTGGCCCTAGGGAAGTCCAGTCCTCCAGGGCAAAGCCTAGAATTGCAGCTTGTCAGCCAAAATGGAACTTTTTCTCCCTTCTGAGAGCAGAGCAAGCAATGACCCAGCTGCTGTCTGACCTTTAGGACAAGTGGGAGCACTTTAGTGGACTGGTGTGTGTGCTTAGTGGATACACATTTGCACACACATAAGCAGATACACACATGCATGCAAACACACACGAGTAGATTTTAGGAGGGCTTCGGAGGCTGGGGGCTGTTCACAGCATCTCCCTGTTCCAGAATATGCCTGAAAGCTCTTTGGCGAGGAAAAGCTTGCATTTCCGAAGGGCAGTGCTGCATGGTGGTTAAAGGGAGGCCATAGCCTGCATGAACTGGACGCCAAGCCCTGCTCCTTGTGAGCTGAGTGACCCCGGGCAGGTCCCCTCACCTCTGTATGCTGTCATTTCCTATCTGTTAAATGGTTAAATCCCATATGGGTGTTGTGAGGATTAAATGAGTCCAAATGTGCCTCACACATGGTGAACATTATCGAAGATATCTGAATGTTAGCTATTGTTGTTATTATTTCAAAATCAGGAAAAAGACAGGAAGTCCTTTTTTTTTTTTTTTTCTCCTGGGAGAGAAAACTTTGAGTTGAAGGGCAGTGGCTGAGTCAGAAAGAGGAATGGCCTGGGACAGCTAGGGCCTGGGTTGATTCCTGGTGAGCCCCTGGCAAGCTGTGTGACTGTGGAAAAGTTGCCTCCTCTCCCTGGCCTCAGCTTCCTCATGTGTAAAGTGGGGGCAGTGATATCAGCTGGGTCATCTCATGGAGTAGCAGGAAGGAGTCAGTGTGACCATGGACATGGGCGTGCATCAGAGCCTGCCTTGTGTTAGACAACCGCTGGCCTCATTGTGAAGAGACCACCAGCCCACGTTACCCAGGTTGAGTTTGGTGCAGTTCCCGTGGATCACTGGACACTTGTACACGTCTCCCGTCTTCTGGTAGCCATTGGTTTCCAGTGGGGCGCCCACGACCAGCCTGGGAAGGAAGAGAAGATGAGCAAAGACATTGGGGGAGGTACTCTTTCCTGGCAGAGGATGGAGCCTGGTGGGCAGTGTGGAGGTGAAGTTGGGTGGGGAGGGTGGGAGGGAACCCTGGAGGTGTGACCACATGCAGACCCTCAGGCTGGGACCACTGTCTCCCTGAGGGAGGGATGCTGGGCTTTCAGCATAAAGTCATGGGACCTGTGGCCCATTCTAGGCCCTTGCCTAGGTACAGAGATGAAGACCACATGGGCTCTGCAACAAATGGGATGGAGGCAAATCCCTGGTAGAGGAGGGGGCGATGTTTGAGCTGGGTCTTAAGGGATGAATATGAGTTTGTCAAATGACGAGAGAGTGGTAATGGAAGTCATTCTGACAAAGGAATGATGTTTCTGGAGCCACAGAGTCTTGACCATCTGTCATTACCTGAAAGGGCCCTCATTCTTCATCTTACAGGGAAGCCTTAAAGCTGGTGCCCCAGAGTGGGTCAGGGTGGACAAGGCAGCCAGTGGGCGGAAGCTGCCATGCAGCTGGGGCTCCTGCCTTGAGCCAATGCCTTTGCAACCTTCTTTGGAAAAAGTGTCTTTGCAGATGTAACTAAGTTAAGGTTCTTGGGTTGAGATCATCCTGGATTATCTGGGTGGACCCTAAATTCAATGGCAAGTGTCCTGAAGAGGAAACACAGAGGAGAGACATGGGGAGAAGAGAGACACGAGAAGACAGAGGCAGAGTTAGGAGATGCTGCCCCAAGCCAAGGAGCGCCCGGGACCACCAGAAGCTGGAAGAACCAAGGAAGGATTCTCCCCCAGAGCCTGCGGAGGGAGTGCGGACCTGGTGCTGCTTCCTTTCAGGCTCGTGTCCTTCAGGACTCTGAGGGAATGCGTTTCTGTTGTTTTAAGCCACGCAGGTTGTGATCATCTGTTATGGCGGCCGTAAGGAACTAACACACCTGGCTTACTTACTTACATGTACCTAGGGAAAAGTGAGCAGCCACTCCTTCCTGGCCCGGCCAAGCCCCGGTGGCCGTGCCCTGGAGGAAAAGCCTGCGACCCTGGAGGTGCGGCTGTGGACTCACCCCCACTGATGCTGGGGAGAGTTCTACCTCAGACTGGAGGGTCCCCAGGTCCTGTCCTTAGTGCTCTCCAGGGCCCTCTACGCCTCATCTCTCACCCACCAGAGAGCAGCCCCATCACGGGGGCCCAGAGTGTCCCAGGATTCTGACCTGCCCACTGGGTCTGTGGCACGTGACTCTGGCACACCTGGGGCCCTCTAGGCCTTGGGTGCCGGTCTGGCTCTCTGCTCAGGCCACATACTAACAGTGGCTAAGAACGGTAACCCTTCCCAGGGACAGCGGTACTGTGTGTGGGAGGGGACACCACAGCCCACAAGAGCCCCGAAAGGCTTTCGATCCCGAGGGATGGAGAACAGATGATGGTGGGATCTGGGGCACAGGGACAGGTTGGACTTTCTGGAGCTCTTTAGACCTTGCTCTTCCAGCAGCTTCCCACTGCCTGGTGACATGGCCCAAAGAAGAAGCCACCACATGCCAGCGGAGTTAGATGGTTGGGAGGAGGTGGCCGGGAGGCTCGGGCTGCATGGCACTTAAGTGGCTTCTTGTGGTCCATTGCTCTCCCTGCCCCGGTCCACCTTGGCGCTGTCAGGAAGGAAAGCCAGGTCTGAAGTGGGAGTTATAGAACTCTGTTTGAAATTAAGCGTCTATGAAATAAGAGCTGAGGTTTCTCCCCTGGGGAGCCAGATGATGGCAGATTCTATATATATCCCCTTATTAAGCCCGCCTATTTTTGACCGGCAGAAATTAATTGGACCCATAACATCTGTTTGTCTAGACGAGGTGATTTTTGGCTACTTAATTCTGCAAGTGATTGTGTGGTCAAGGCTGCTCCATTCTTGAGAGAGAGAGAGAAAGTGAGAGAAAGAAAGAAAAAGGTCAGTAAGAGAACCCTGGGCTCTAAGCTTACTTCTCTGGGGCTGCTCCAGTTTTCAAGGTTAACCTGACACGTGACCAAGTCTTCCTGAGGGACACGTTCCTCCCGGGCACTGTTGCCAGATGGAGGAGCACCTCTCAGGGTGCCTCTGGGAGAATCAGGCGCAGCATGTTCTAGATTAGAAAAGCCACGGCCAGCTGGGTGCAGTGGCTCATGCCTGTAATCCCAGTACTTTGGGAGGCTGAGGTAGGTGGATCACCTGAAGTCAGGAGTTCAAGACCAGCCTGGCCAACATGGTGAAACCCCCGTCTGTACTAAAAAATACAAAAAAAAGTAGCTGGGCGTGGTGGTGGGCATCTGTAATCCCAGTTACTTGGGAGGCTGAGGCAGGAGAATTACTTGAATCTGGGAGGAGGAGGTTGCAGTGAGCCGAGATCATGCCACTGTACTCCGGCCTGGGTGACAGAGCGAGACTCTATCTCGGGGAAAAGAAAAAGAAAGAAAGGCACCGAGAAACAGAAGGGGCCATATCTAGGCAAGCTATGCGCAAAGACTGGTGGCTTCCGAAAAGTCACGTGTCCTGGCAGTGGCTGAGATGGGACAATCTGGTAGTAAATTCACTAAGTCACTGTGACCTCAAATTTGCAATGAGACCGGTTTTGTCCTTTTCAAAGAACAAGGGCCACTCCCTGGGTCCCATCTCCACTCTCCCAGACCTCATTTCTCTGGGAGTCCATAGTACTTCATGAGGTAGGAGGGCAGGGCTTACTGTCGCCATAATATAGCTGCAGAAACTGAGGCCCCAAGAGGGGAGCTGACCCAGCCCCACAGTTGGTTTGCTGCGGGGCTGGGACTGGAGTTCTCCTGGGACAGCTTCCTCTGCATTGCCCCAAATGTTTCTTTGCCATGAAGAGAGGGCCTGGGTCAGCCCTTCTCTCCATTCTTGAGTCTGGGCATTACGTGTGCCTGTTGGGCTTGAGGTTTGGAGGACATGATTCAGTCCCAGTTTGAGAGGATAACTGCCGAAGCGCAGGGAAAATGTTCACGTCACCACTGAGACCAGCCAAATTGCCTGGGGTCTGGCAGCCCCTGCCACCCCCTGCAGCCTCAGGCTTATACAGCCTTCTGCAGCCTCAGGGCCTGCTACGCCTCTCGGGGGCTTGATACCCTATACCTCCTGGCGTGGGCACCAGACGGCACAGCAAACCCCAAAGGTCGTGGCGAGCATCCGGCCCTTTCCATTGGCTGTGTGCTGTGAGTCACTGGCTGCGGGCTCCCAGCATTCTTCCTGCGGAGGCGCAGGGAGCAGGGCTTCGGTGGATGGGAAAATGGGCAACAGACATTCCAGCCACAGCCCTGTAGGACCCTTTCCCTGTTGACCAACCTCTAAGAAGGGCCTTGCCAAGAGAGGATGGTCCCTGTGGAGACTGCACTCTGGAAGGCCGGACATGGCACTCTGGAAGCCCTCTGCTGGGCTCCTTGGCTCCCTGCAGGACCCAGACTAAGACAAAGGGCCCCTGGCTCCAGTGCCCTCCCACCTGACTCTACCTCACACCCTCTCCAACAAGGCTCTTTGGGGACTCATCCTGAATTCTGCTTATCCTCAGCTCCATTCTTCCAGGCAGTTTTGGTCTCTAAACTTTTAAAATTCAATCTCCTGTAAGAAAAAAGATGATATGTACCCCTAATTATGTGTAAGTGTATATGTAAATTATACCAGCATAAACTGTCCAATTTTAATAAACTGTATATTAAATGTTAGTAATTCTATTTTTTTCAGATAAAATATAAACCTAAATAGAACTCACATTTATTTTATTTCTGTACTGCAGTATACAGTCCAGCATAGTCCCTGTGGTGTGTGTACCCCACCCTGGAGATCATCCCTTTAAAATCCAGCATAAATTCCCACCTGCTCCAGGAAGCCGTCGGTGATTACCCTGGCCTTTCTCACATAAACTGGCTTGTAATCCCTGCTGCCTGGTGTGGCCAATGTTGTAGTGTCATGATTCCTTGAGGTCTAAGATGTCCTGGACTGCCCTACTGCACCAGAGTAGGGTGGTCCTGAAGGCACTCGGCAAAGAGGTGCCCAGTGACCAACCTAACCTTCTGTGTGACAGTCTGCAGCAGGAGCAACTGTGGGGGCTTTTGGCTTTGCCTCAGGCCTAAGAGAAGCCCCTGAATTCAATCCTTGGAAAGAGGGTTGTTGAGAAATCGAGTACTTTCCATGCATAGGAGTTCAATGGAGTGACCCAGCTTCCATGCTAAAGTCAATGTTGACTGCTTCCCTGGTTTCCATTTCCTCCTTCCCAACAGTACTCATTTCTGTTTGAGGATCCAGGGATTCTGACTCTATTCCCAGTTGCAGGGATGGAGCACATAGCTCAGGTTAGGAGAGTTTATCCCCCAGCTGCAGTGATTGAGTCAGGGTGGGACAAAGACTTAAATCTCCCCAATCAAGTGAATCTCAAGACTTGTGCTTGGGATGCAGGTAGCAGGGTGGTCTCTTTTCTCTGGATGCTGTAGTGAGTGAATGCAAGGCCTGGAACTGTTGGCAGCCACCTTGTGATGATGAGGGTTATGAGCTGATGCATTGACAGTGGGAGAGCTGAGAGAAGCATGAAGAGAAGGAGCTGAAGTCCTGCTGATGCTTTGAACCCCTGGATCAAACTGTACCTGCAGCCTAACTACCACTGGGCTTTTCAGACATAGGCTCAATGACTACCTTTTACTGCATAGTAAGTCTGTGAGTTTTTAGGTACTTATAACTTAAAACATCCTAATGTTTAGAGTGTACAAGGCAAAAAAGTGCACATAGTTAAAATTACTCTTAGAAATTCCATATGTTATTATGCTATAAGAGAAACATGGCAACCAAGACCAATGAGGGAGAAGCAGATTCATATCCCCTAGCTCATGCTCCACCTGGGGCCTGGACTTACTGAGTAAGTGGTGGGTGGAATCACCAGCACCATGTATATTATTTCTCTCTTGTTGTTTAACTGAATGCATAAAACTTTCCCCTGGCCTAGCCTTGTGGCAACAGAAACCCTTTTGTCCTGTGTGCATCCCACATATAACAGCTGCTTAGACAGGGAACCCTGCATTCCAGATGTTTCTGGTTACCTGGGAACAGGCCTCGAGACATCAGAGCTGGGAGGAAACATGCAGGTTCCTTGGGCCAGCCTCAAATGTGGGATCCAAGGCCAGGGAGAGAAGTGCTGTGTCTGAGGCCTCAGACAGGCAGTGGCAGAGCTGGACTAGTACACGGTGTCCTGACTCCTAGGGTGGTGCTTCCCCCAAGCCATGGAGGGCAGAAAGCCTAGAGGCAAGGGCTGGGGCTCTAGGCCCAGTCAGGCTTTTACAGGCTGTGTCTGTTGAGGCAGGCAGGAGCAGCTTAGCTCCCCAGCAGATGAAATGAGCCAAGGCCATGAATTGAGCTCACTGGATGCTAGGGGAAGGAAGAAGGAACCTCCAAGGATGAGCTTGCCTCTGCAGGAGATCCTGAGACCAGAGGCTGGCATGGACTGCCCAGGAAGGGAAGAATGTGGGTTCAATCCCCTCCCTGATGGGCCTCACAGCCTCCCTCTGCAAGGCCTCAACCTCACATCCCGGGAAATCCAATTATCATTGGTTATCCTTTTCATTTGAATGAATCACTTTCAATGCAATTTAATTGCACTTGATTTTGATCTCCAGGACAGCTTTGGGGCTGGCAGAGCAGTTTGTGTCTGAGGCTCAGAATGTAAGTATGATGAGCCTGCAGAGAGACACTGATCAGTTTCACAGCCAGGACTCCTCGTCCTGTGCTCTTTTTTTCATTGTGAAGAAGTGGAAGGCTCAGTGCTCAGAGAGGAGTGAGGCCTGTCCTCTCTAGGGCCAGCAGGGCCTCTCCCCACAGGAGCCTCTCACCTCTCTCCTCTCTCACCCCATTCCCTTCCTCACCTGTTCCTTTCTCTCAACACAGCCCCCGCTCCCTTAAACCCACATGGTCCCTTTGTCTCTTTTTTCTCCTGGCTCCATTTTCCTTTTCTGAAATCAGATAGGGGCATCAGGGAGGGGTTTCACTGGAGGAGCCGAGAGCTCGAGGGAACAAAGGAGAGATTATTCCTTTAGTGAGGCCTTTCTCTCCCTCTCTCTCCATGGAAAATGGAATCTCCTCCAGCCCCTGTGAGTTTGGTGGCTAATGGGTTCAAGATGGGTCTGGGGAAGCGCTGAGAGCAGCAAGTCCAAATGCCTGCCCAGTGGGGACCCCGGGGCTGCCCTGGCTGGGGGTTGGGTGTAGATGGAGAATCTGGCCCAGGACCTGCCCAAGGGGAGAAGTTGGCACCTGCAGGTCTTCCTGGACTGACTGCAGGGGCTTGTGGTTCACCTTGGCTCACACATCTGGTGAGGCCTGGCCTCGTGGGGGCTAGGGAAACGAGAGCCCCTCTGTTTGCACATCCCTTACTCTCCCTCCATAAAGTCCTATCAGACACTGGAAACCTTTGTGTGCATTTTAAACAGGGACATATACATGATGATTAATTTTATGTGTCAACTTGACTGGGCCACGGGGTGCCTAGATATATGGCCAAACGTCATTCTGGGTGTTTCTGTGAGGGTGTTTTTTGCATGAGATTAACACTTAGATCTGTAGGCTAAGGAAAGCAAATCACCCTTCCTAATGTGGGTGGGCCTCATCCAATCAGTCGAAGGGCAGAACAGAACAAAATGACTGACCCTCCCTTGAGAAAGAGAATTCTCCCTGGACCCTACCCCAGACCATCAACAGAGGCTGAAACTGGGGGTGGGGCCCAGCGTCTGTGTTTTCACAAGCCCTCTAGGAGACACTGATGCATGCTTAAGTTTGAGAAGCATGAGGAGTGTTTATATGGGGGAAACAGAGGCATGGCGACTCTCACTGGGCTCAAAGCCCCAGATCCATGCCAACAAAATCCACCCTCTTCACCACGCCTTCTGAGGCTCTAGATCACCTCATTGTTCTCCTCTCTTTTTTTTTTCACCTGGGCTGCTATAAACTGTGTGCACAGCCGGGTCTTCTCAGCCATCATTTAGGGCTCATCTTCAAGGCCAGCTCCCCAAAGCGGCCTTTCCTGAAGACCTGTCACCCCCTCTCTCACCAACTTGCCTTGTATTCCTCAAGTACTTTGTAGTGTCTGATGTTGGCTTCTTTGAATAACTTTTCATTGTCCTTATTTCCCTATAGGATTTAAGCCCCAAGGGAGCTAGGATCTTGCTGGTCAGGTGGGCAGCCACAAATATCCCAGCACCCAGAACAGCATCTGGCACAGAGTAGATCCTGAAATGCAGTTTTTGTATGAGCTGGTGAATCACCTGGCTTAGTGGGATGCCTGTGACCCAGTAGGCTGCAGCTTGGGACCACTGACTGCCAGCTGCTTGCTTTTGTCTTCCAACATGGGTTGACCCAACTGGATGAATAGAGCAAGCTCTGGCAGGGGAAGGCAAGGTCATTAACTGCCTTGGGCCTCAGTGTTCTCATCTACCCAAAGGGACTGAATATTATACCTGGTCTGCTCACCCTTCAGGGTTTTGAGGGGCAGTGGTTTCCACACTTGCTGGTCATCAGGATCACCAGGGGAGGTACAAATGCAGGTTCCTGAACCCCACCTCCAGAAGGTTCTGACTCAGCCAGTGTGGGACATGACCCAGGAATCTGCAGATCCTCTGGGGTGTACAGGCAGGATGGGAAGCCCTGTTTGAAGGATCTGCTAAGGAAGCAGGTAGGAGGCCCTCTGGCCAAGTAAAGCAGCACTTCTACCCTGGGAACTTTCACTGTATCTGGGGATCATGACCACAGCCATCTCTGACCATCTAGCGCACCCAGATTGATTTTATCTATTTATTTTTGAAAAATTTGTTTTACTTCTTTCGGTCATAAGAAAATATGTAATAAATAATCCTTTAATTGGTTCAAAAAATTCACTTATTTAAAAACTGTGATTCTTTGTGTATTAAAGGTAAAATACACATTTGTTATCTAGTGTTCATGTTGCAGAACTGTGCAAACTAATACTTTTGTTTTGTTTTTTTGAGACAGAGTATCGCTCTGTTGCCCCGGCTGGAGTGCAGTGGTGGGATCTCAGCTCACTGCAACCTCCACCCCGCTGGGTTCAAGCAATTCTCCTGCCTCAGCCTCCCGAGTAGCTGGGATTACAGGCATGCGCCACAATGCCTGGCTAATTTTTGTATTATTAGTAGAGACAGGGTTTCACCATTTGGCCAGGCTGGTCTCAAACTCCTGACCTCAGGTGATCTGCCCTCCTCAGCCTCCCAAGGTGCTGGGATTACAGGCGTGAGCCACTGCGCCTGGCCCGAAGTAAAACTTGAAAGCCTTCTCCTTCCCCTTCTCAATCCAGCCTTCTATAGGAAACTACTATAGCAGCAGGGATGCAGACAATCTAGAGGACATCCAGAATTTAAAAACTGGAATCACTCTACATATGTGGTTGTGTAACATGCTTTTTCCATTTAATTATTTTGTATGTGGACATATTTCTGTGTTAATATCTATCAATGCCCCCGTTGGACTGTGTGACTAGGGCTCCTGCTCTTGGTTCCACTCCAACCCTTCTCTAGCTGTGCCCCTTCCTATGGGGTGAGGAGTCCTAGGGGTCAAGGGGACAGGACACCTGGAGCCACTGTCCTCCCACTCTGGGTGGCTGGGATGCTGGAATCTCCTGCCCAAATAGCCTAGGCCTGAGTCCAGGGCCTGTGCAGGCCTCTCCTCTAGACCTGCCTTTCTGATAGAGAAGCATACTTCTGATGGTAGTAGCCAAGGAGTGGCCATTTGCAGGGCTGTAGAGAGAGCTTGGGTGTGCAGGCTGGAGTGTCTACATGTGTAATGTCCCCCAATTATTGAGAGAGAACCAGCGGTGGGAAGAAAAGATGGCAGGCCGTGGGCCAGAGCCTCTGTTTACTTTCTTGCCTCAGGCCCCTCAGATGTTAGAGGTGGGCCTGGTATAGATAGATAATATAGTTCTGCCTCATTCTTTATAGTGGCTGCACAGTGTTATACCGTTCTCCTGTTCAGGGATACTGAAATAAATAGTTTCATCCCTTTTTCTACTGATAGACGTTCAGGTGCTTTGAACAATTTTTCTTGAAGCTGGGCATGGTGGCACATGTCTATAATCCCAGCTACTAGGGAAGGTGAGGCAGGAGCATCAATTGAGACCAGGAGTTCAAGAGCAGCCTGGGCAACATAGCAAGACCCCATCTATAAAAAAATAAAAAATTATCCAGGTATGGTGGCATGTGCCTGTAGTCCCAGCTACTCAAGAGGCTGAGGCAAGAGGGTCACTTGAGTCCAGGAGGTCAAGGCTGCAGTAAGCTATGATCATGCCACTGCACTGTAGCCTGGGTGACAGAGAGAGATCCTGTCTCCAAAATAAATAAATAAATAAATTTCTATTGCATATCTTTTATCAATACTAATAAATAAAAGGCCTCCACACATAAGTAGCTATGGGTAGTCATGAAGTCGGTAGATACAAAGCCTACAGGCTACCCTGATGGCTGGACATAGAGGCGGCCCCTTTCAGCTTGGGCACACACCTGTTGACAAGTATCATCACAAACGTCAACTTCATAATCAACATTTGGGTCTCTGGTTTGCACTTGACAACTTTTAGGTCCACCTCAGCTGACATCCAAACAGTGCTTCCTTCCTAAGTTGCAGAAGTTCTTAGAAGAGAAGAGGGAAGAGTGAGGGAAGGTGACTGCAAAGGAAGTTCTCAACCCATCTGGAGGGAAAATGAGAACCTCAGCCACTGACTATGCGGAATAAAAGTAGCCAACTTGTGCCATTTACAGTGTCTGACATTCGAGTGTCAATCTTCAGCACCCCTCCCCATCTCACACCCCAGTGCCAGTCACACGCGGCTGCTCGTCTATCCGTTTCTCAACATTGCCTGCACTCTCTCCTTCCCACCTCTGCATGAGCAGTCTCCTCATCCCAAACTCTCAGTCTATCCCCATTCCATCCACCCTTCAGTGCCTCTTCCTCCAGGAAGCCTTCCTTGATCTCTTAGCTGAAAGCTCCTTCAATTCCTATGAAGCTTTGTCTATACCTTTATTGTTTGTGTCTTTTATCTCCTCTAGATAATTTGCCTGTAGATAGCAGAGAGAGAGAGACCCTGATCCATCTTCAAATCTCCCCCCAGCGCTGGTCAAATACCTTGCACACAGTCAAGGCTCAATCACTGTTTGTTGAGTGAACACATGAATAGACAGATAGAGGAAGCTGCTCATTTTGCAAAGACAAGCTGCATCTTCACTTTGCTTCTTGGGGTGTAACTGGCAGCACAGCTGGGCCGAACTCTTCTGGGTCCCATCTGCAGGTGGACAACCAGCCTTGGTGAGCCCTTGGCCCAGCTCTCTCAGGAAGGTGGCTGTGGTCTGTTCTCCCCGCAGAGAGGCTGGACATGCAATGTAACCCCTCTCCCATCTCTTTGCAAGATGCCTGACAAACCCTTGCTTATTTTTCCAAGTCATGCTCAGAGGTTTTTTTCTTTCCACTTTATAGCAGCTTTCTCCTCCAAAAATGAAACATAAACACAGCAATAGTTTGGACAGATGTTTCTCAGCAGAATGTACAGCTTTAATTTCTGGTATGTGTAGGTCTGACAGCTTCTCAGCCATTGCATGGTAGGAAGGAAAGGGGCCTAAGCATTTCCTGCTCTCTGATCTGGGCTGGTGTGCTTGCTTTGGCTCATAAATAGGATGGTGACTCTTTAAATGTGGCCAGTGAGGTGTACACACCCAACTGTCTCCAGCAAACCATGGCCAGGCAGGTGGTCCAGCAAGGAAGATATTCCCATTAGACTGGGGAAGAAAGCAAGGCCCAGAGAATGTCAGGATTGGCCCCAAATCACGTGGTCAGGTAGAGGCTGAGGCACAACTGGTACCCTCATTCTTCCAGCTGTGTCTACCAGCCACAGGGATTTGGGTAACGCAGAAAAAGGAGATGGCCTGGAGGTGAAAGGACAGATACTCTTTTCTTGTTCGTGGGCCTGTTGACATGTTCATGGCTATCTCTAACCTATCCCCAGATGGGCTAAGTGACCCACGGTGAGTCACCTGCCATCTCTGAGCCTCAGTTTCCCCATCTGTAAAATGAGGGACTTGGACACATTCTGTTCAAAGAAATAATTAATGAGCACTTGCTATGTGCTGGGCTCTGTGAACATAAAGATGAATGAAGCACAGCCTAACCCCTAGCCCAGTGAGGGCAGGGAGACTTATACCCGATGAATTTAGTGTGGAGAACATGCCGCAAGAGGGGTCTCCAGGTGTGGCAGGGCACAGAGGAAGGGTTCTTGCTCTGCTGTCTGGGGAGCCTTCCTGGAGGGGGCAACTCCTGGACAGAGGCTTGCATAATGAATAGGTGTCACTCAGGTGAAAAAGGGCTGGGGCTCACAGGGAGGGTCCCGCATGGTGCCGGCGCTCATGTGCATTATTTCTATGCTGCCTTCCATGATGAAGGCTGGGCCTGAGGTGGGATCTGGAGGGACAGACAATTCCCTGCCTTCATGGAGCTTGTGGCAGAGTCATCCTCAACAGGTTCATCCCTGTTCCTCCCTTCTGACTTTCCAAGTCCTCTCCCTTCTTGCCTCACTTGTCCAGAGAACTCTACTTAAAGTGGTCCTAAGTACAGACAGACGGTTGGATGCCTACATGACTGACAAGCACAGCATTGTCACCCAGTCAGGTTGCCCCTACCTGCTTTCTGGGGTTCTTAACTTCTTGCCATTGGTCATCCCTCTTTGGATTCAGGCACTGAGGGCCACTCTCAGTGTAAGCCTGGAACGGAGTTAACCTATGGATCCATGGGAACTCACAGACCTCTTAGAAAAAATTAAGTCAGTGATTCCAGCACCTGGCTGGGCATTAGACTCACCTGGGGATTTTGAAAATAGGGATTACCAGGCACCACCTCTAGAGGGTCTGTCTTTGTAATTCTTGGACTTGACTGAGATATCTGTATTCTTTTTGACCTTTCACAGGTGATTCTGTTTTGTGGCCAGCTTTGGGAACCCCTGGATTATTTTATCAGGTGATCACCAGGCTTTAAGATGATGGAAAACAGATAATACGGGAATAGAGGACAGGATGCCCAACCAAGAAATAAACAGTGGGACATGTGTGCCTCTCCATTCAAAGCACTTTATATGAATAAACAAATAAATGGATGCATGAATGAATATTCTGGGGGGAGTTTATTAGGTACCAGGGATTGCGCTACAGGTATCCCTGACTTTGACCTAATCTTCTCAATCCTGAGGCAGAGACAGCATTCCAATTTTTTTTTTTTTTGAGACAGAGTCTTGCTCTGTTGCCCAGGCTGAAGTGCAGTGGCATCATCTTGGCTCACTGCAACCTCCACCTCCCGGGCTCAAGCGATTCTCCTGCCTCAGCCTCCCGAGTAGCTGGGATTATAGGCGCTCACTGCCATGCCCAACTAAATTTTGTATTTTTAGTAGAGATGGGGTTTTGCCATGTTGGCCAGGCTGGTCTTGAACTTCTGACCTCAGGTGATTTGCCCACCTTGGCCTCCCAAAGTGCTGGGATTATAGACGTGAGCCACCGCACCCAGCTACATTCCAATTTTGAAGCTGAGGAAACTACAGCACAGAGAGGCGAAGTCACCCAGCTAGTTAAGGGGCAGCTCTTCGGCCTCACTCTCCTACCCAGGCCTCGCCCCACCTCTGGGAGGTGGATGGAGTGCAGGAGCGCAGAGGACACAGAAGCCGGCCTTGGGTTGCATTAGGGAATCATTGTTTACATGGACTGCTTCGAAGTCTTTTCTGTCTGGTTCAAAGCTCAGATTTACTTTTCTCCTCTCCCTTTGTGTTGTGACAAATAGTCATTCTTATAGACTTATTCTTATTTCAAGAAGCCATAAAGAAACAAAAAGGCTGTGGGCTAGCTTCATTGGAGGGTGAAGTGTGTCATTACATTTTTGGAAATGTCCTCCTCCTGGGTTATAAAATCATTGGCTCGGCAGTTGGAAAGTGGCAGAAGAGAAATTGCAGAGAGGATCTGCTGTCACAGGGTGAGCCATCCCGGAGCTGGGCCGGGCCACCAGCCACCACTCACCTGGTCTCCTGCCTGAGTTCACTTTAGCGGGGCCCTTCCAAACTTTGCAAGGAAAATTAAAAAAAATAAGAAATCTCAACTTCTCCCATCCAGGGGCCATGGTCTCCAGACCCTTTAACACAAGGACATCCAGCTTTGGGCTTCCCCAAGATTTACCTTGGGTCACATCCAGACGTCTGGAACCATTCTCTCCCTCCCTTTCTTCTTCACCATCTGTGGGCCTATGCCAACCCCTGAAGAGGCCAAGATGAATAAAGGCAAGCCCTACCCTTGGGGGTTCACAGCCTCCCTTCCCTCTCTTCTCTCTTGTTGGCATTTTATTTTCCATCTCATCTTTCTTCTTTCCTTTTCCCATTCCAGTTTCCATTTTTCTTGATTGGCTTTTTCTACAACTCTCTTTCCATGTCTGTCTACATTATTGTCTCAAGGTGACTCATCACAGATAAACCAGGAAGAAAAGATTCAAGAGGGAAAGCAGGAATTCAACAGAAGATGACAGAAACCTTGTCAAGATGGCCTCAGGTTGATAACAAGCATCTTGCTATTGGTTATGTGTCTGAGTTTTGTGGTTGCTTGGAAGAGAAGGCACTGAAAAAGAAAAGCTATTTGAAAGAGTTTGAAATCCCAAGGAGCAGCCAGGCGTGGTGGCTCACGCCTGTAATCTCAGCACTTTTGGAGGCCGAGGCAGGCGGATCACAAGGTCAGGAGATTGAGACCATCCTGGCTAACACAGTGAAACTCCACCTCTACTAAAAATACAAAAGATTAGCCGGGCGTGGTGGCGGGCACCTGTAGTCCCAGCTAGTCGGGAGGCTGAGGGAGGAGAATGGCGTGAACTCGGGAGGCAGAGCTTACAGTGAGCCGAGATCATGCCACCGCACTCCAGCCTGGTCGACAGAGCGAGGCTCTGCCTCAAAAAAAAGAAAAAAAAAAAAAGAGAAATCCCAAGGAGCCCTTGATTCCTCATGAAGGAGTCAGAGAAAGTTAGAAAGAGGTATTTTATCCAAGCCTGCAGAAAACAAGGGTTAGATAGTGATTAATTATAGTTAAAATTAGTGAGAAAAGGCATTTATGGCACCTTCATTTGTTTTTCTAATTGTATATAACCTTAAAACATGCACATTGCACCTTGTGGTTTTCAATAAGAAATTCTGTTTTTCACATTTTATAGCCTAACTGAATGGAAGCACATGCTACCCTGAGTGATATCTACAGGAAGCCTCAATGGTTGACTAGAGGAGCCATTGGAGGGCTATCTTGCACCCCCTAGTGTCAGTTATGATCATTGCACATAAAGTGCCAAGGAGCAATTAAAAACAGTACCAGCCTTGAAAATTCAAACCTATGAAGTTATAGAAAGCCACTCTCAAGATACAGGGAATTTCAACATTTCTTTATTCTCCACCTCATGTGGAAAGCTCCCATTTCCTCTCCTTCACTGGACTTAGGAAGGATGTTGGCATCGCAGAACAAATGGTGTTGGCTGCAGAAATGGAAAGGAGGTTGTGGGGAGCCCACAGGCTGCTGTAGGGGGAGGCTGGTGGGGGAGTGGGAAGAGACGGGTGGCAAAGATGCTGAGTTGGCAAACCCCTCTGGCTTTCCTGAACTGCCCACGTTAAATTTATTTTCTTTCTTGGAAGTTAGTAACAAGGAGACTTTCTTTTCAATATTTTCACTACCGAGATTGTGCGTCTTACCTCTAAAAGCATGCAATGGCTGAACTCCTGCCTTTCCGAGTTCAGCACTAAGGACGTTCTATGGCCCTGAGGACTGGCCTTAGAGGCCTTAGAGGGTGGAGCTGAGATTAGCTCCATCTCTGGTTGACCAGTTTGTGTGTGTGTCAGAAGTTTCCTGGACCCTCACTGACATCTCTTCAATTTCTGGGACTTTCTTGTGTGGTTTGGCATTAAAAAAAAAAAAAAAGGAGACAGAATGAAAAAGCAAGGAGAGAAGAGGAAAAAAAATCACCCAAGAGATGCAAGGAACCTTAGGAGCTGTCTGCAGGCCACATCCTAAATCCACAGTGCCCCAGACTTCGCTCTTGGTTCTGGGGCTGCTGTGCTCTCCTTGGTCATTCTCACTGCTGCTTTGTGCATTTGAGGGCCTGAAGATGCCCCAGCTCCTGCCAGTGAGGACGAATGTCTGGATTTCCACTCTCCCAGCCCTCTGCAGCTCATTTTCTTCTTGTCTGTGTGTGCCTGCCAAGGTCTGCTGGGTGGCTTGGCCTGGGGCCCTGGGCCAACGTTTCCCCACGAATACAGTTTTTCCTCTCTCCCTCTCTATCTCTCCCTCTATCTCTCGTGCACTGGGTGGTTCATCCTATCCTGGGCTTCGCTTCTGTAGTGACTTATCCTTTAACCAGAATGAGTCATGATGCCGGATTTTATTTGTTCCAAGAGAAAATAGCGGAGAGCGTTTATGTGCTGTGGTGTTGGGAGCCTGTTCTGGGGGCCCAGGCCAGGAAAAGAGCAAAGGATGTTGCTCAGAAAGGCTTCCACAGCAACAACCAAGGCTGCCCCAGGCCTGGCAGCCTGCACTGTCACTGATGAAAAAGGGCAGACTTGTGTAAGATGCATCTTTCTGCTCAAACAACAAGCCCCAGAGGCCCTTTCCTCAAAACCTGTCCCTGGACACCATACCCTTTCTCCAGGGCATAGGCCAGTGTAGGGAACTCACTCATTCAGCCTCTGCCCCATGGTAGACACTTAAACACCATCTCCTATTTCTTCCTCATAAGAACCCTTTGGGATTCACATCACCATACCCATTTTACAGATGAAGAAACTGTGATCCAGAAAGTGGATGTGATGTGCTTGAGTTTCCATTGCTTGGAAAGTAGCCAAGCTGGGAAGGGAGCTCAGTTCTGTGATTTCGAAGCCTAGATTCTCCCTGTAGTGAGGAGCTACTCGGACATGCCTTTGCTGCCTCTGCTGAGGCAGAAGGCCTGTGTGTGCCCCGAGACAGCACTCTATGCCTGTGGGAAAGGACTGCAATGGGAGCTGGGAAACCTCTGGGTTGGGAGAGGAGGAAGTGGCAGTGCCAGAGGGCAACACTCTTGGGCCTAGGCTCCACGGCTGGTTTTGTGGATTTACTCTTCAGGGATTGCCTTTGCAGTCAACCCAAATTCCACCATAGTTGGCCTCTGGTTTTAGACATGGAAGACCCTAGTGAAAATGCAAATTTGTTATCTGGGAAGGTCAGTACCTAAACCCACTGTAAAAGGATGGATGCCTTAGCCCAACTAGAATTTAGTTTGGGTAAATATCATCTACAAAGTCTTGAGACATGAGATCTGCGATGGTGGGTGAACTGACCCTTGGGTAGTTTTCGCCTAAGTGCTTGTTATTCCCGGTGGAAATGCTGCAGAAATGGAAGCAACTCTGGGCTGGGGGCTGGGAGACTAGGTTTCAGTCCCGGCCCTCAAACTGACTTGCTGTGTGACCTTGGTCTGGTCTCTTTCTACCTCTGGGCCTCAGTGCCCCCATCTGTAAAATCATGAGGCTGGGGCAAATGATTTCTCAGACCCCTCCCAGGCCTGGGGAGGAGCTGCAGCTGACGGAGCAGCCCTAAAGGCCAACCCCACCCACAGGCCTGAGTGGTCCACCTGCGCCTCCTGGGCCTGTCTCCAGCCATTCTGTCCCTCCCCAGCCCACCATCATCTCTGAGAATTGGGGTCTTCTGAAGATCATGGGAATGGTGGCCCTGTCTTCAGGTTATGGGGCTCTCCCCTCTGCCTGGAGTCTCCACAAGTAGAAGACACTGTATCTATAGAGAGGTCCCCAAGGAGAGATGGGTATTAACCTGATCAACCTATGCCAGGTAGGTCCATTCCAGCCCTGGTCCACTTCAGGGGCCATGGCTGCCCATCTGCTGTGTCATGCCAAGCTTTGGGGGTGGTAGTGGTAGTGGTGATGGTGGGTGTTGGCAGGATCTGCACTTGGCCATGGTGGATGATTTGCTTCTAAGCCAGGCAAGCTGCTGGGTCTCCCTCCCTACTGCCTCGCAGTCCATCCTCAGGACACCCAATTCCACAGCCCTTTCCATGTCTGGCCACACAGTGCAGAGTTAAGTTGCTGCAAAATAATCCCAGAGGATCCTTCAAAGAGGCGGGAAGGCTGCCCAGGACCCTTTGTGACTCTGGGGAGTCAGGCCACCATGTCTGTCCCTCCATGGCTGAGGGCGATGAGAGTGAGGCTTAAAATGCTCCCTTTTTCCCAAGAGAAGCTTCTATTTCCCATTAGGACACCCCAGGATTCAGGAAACCGAGGCTCCGGTCAGTTCTGCAGGGGGCAGCCCATCTCCCAACTTCCTTTCTCTCCTGCTCCACCAGGATCCCCTTTCTCCTTTTTCTCCTGGTCCAGGGACCCTCCCTCTGGCTGCTCTTGTACCCTTCTCTGTGCACACTCTCCTTGCCCAGCCTTGGGAGTCTGCAGGCCCACTGCTGCAGGTGGGTGCTGGGAGCCTGGATGGGGCTCTTTATCCTTCCCTCCTCTCGTGGGTACAAGACAGGCTGATGAGACTAAAGACACTGGCAGCTGCTGAGAGAAGCAGGGAGAGGTGGGACAGGGCAGCCTCCCTTCGCCTTGGCCGCCCCCTCACCCCCTATCTCACCCATGTCTATCAGAGACTCAGGCGAGGGAGTAAAGAGGGGAAGGAAGAACGAGAAGGGATGGGGGAGGAGGGGATGAGGGGGAAAGGGAGGAGAATGAGGAGAAAAGATGAGAAAGTAAGGTGAGAAATCTGGCAAAGTGAAGGAACAGGGATGGAAAAGTAGAAGAAGGTAGGGGAAAGGATAAGAGGGAGAGAGGGAAGGGGCCTCTGGGTGCATTACAAGAATGAAGTGTGAGCAGATCGCCTCAAAAATAGCACCTTCTGTCCTCCCCACTTCACCTCCAGCCCCATCTCCGCTGTCTCTGGGCTCTCCCTGGCCCCACAGATGGAGGCATCTACACGGTGATTCTGCCTCTGCCTGCTGTAACCAGCTTAAGACACTGGGAATGGCAACCGCTAAGTGTGTGGTTCTCAGAGTGTGCTTCCCAGACCAGCAGCACCAGCACCACCTGGGAAGTTCTAGAAAAGCACATTCCCAGGCCTCACTCAGACCTACTGAATCAGAAACTCTGGAGGTGGGTTCCAGCAATCCGATTTAGCAAGCGTTCCAGGGATGCACGCTAAGGTTTGAGAGTCATTGCTGGACAGTAGTTCATTCCAGACTCTTTACACATGACACACATGACAGTAAAGCCTTGCAGAGACTGGAGATTTTCTGTGTGTGTTAATGTATATTATAAACATTCCCTTACATCCGCTGGGCTCCAATCCTGGTAGAGGCTGCCCAGTGCTGTGAGCTGCCCAGCCCGGCCCCTTCAGCTGCTTCTAGGAGAGGCACTCCTGGCTGCTGCTTTCCCTCCTAGAGCTGGAAGTCCTTACGATGCTGCACCCACCTTCGTCTTCCTCACAATCCTCTCCTCTTCTGCCCCCGGACACAGCACCTCCTCTGACCCTTCTCTCTCCGCCTTCTCTTTCTCCTTCCTCCTCATACCTATGGACGTTCTGCAGTCTGTCGTTCATCCCAAGCCCCGCTTCCTTCTCCCTGCTGAATGGAGCTCTCCTGATGCACATGTGGGTCTCAGCCCTAATTTCCCTGCCAAACTGAAGGCCCCCTCCCCTGCACCTGGATGGCCCTTGGATCCTCCAAACCAATGAGTCCAAAGCTCAGCTCACCTGAACTTCCAAAGCCTGCACCCTGTTGCTGGATTTTGCTTTTGTGTAAAGGATACCACAATCTTCCTAGTCAGCAAGATATGTCCTCAATCATCCTGCAGCCTCTTGCATCTCTGAACTTGCCTCCTTCTGCTCTTGCCCTAGCTCACTCTACTCCAGCCACACTTGCTGTTCCTTGAACATCTCAAGCATGCTCCTACTTCACTTGCCATTTGCACTTGTCATTCCTTCTGCCTGGAATTCCTTCTCAGATAACCATGATTCTCTCAGATTCTTCCTTTCCCTCATGTCTCTAATGACTATCATCCTGTCATGGCGGCATCCTAGACAGCCTGTATAAAGTTGAGCCCTCAATTCAACCACTGTTCCCAAGCCCACTTACCCTGCTTAATGTTTTTCCATGGCACAGATAACTATCTGACAGATGATGGACAAACTAATCATACTTTTTGCCCCTCCAGAAGAAAAACTCCATCAGAGCAGAGACCTTGCAATTCTATTCACCATTGAGTTTCCAGAACCCATTACAGGTACTCAAGAAGTATTAATGGAATGAATGAATGAATTACTGCTGCTCATAAAGCATGCCCCTTTCTCAAGCCCCCACCCCTTAGCTTGAGCATCCTCTTTGCTCACCTAGACTTCTACAGCCTTCCCACTTGACTCCTCACCTCCAGGGTCTCCTCCCTCGATTCCATCCTCCACATGGTAGCCAAATTGATCACCAAAATTATAACTCTGGTGAGCCACTCTCCTGCTCTAAAACCTCCAGTGGCTCCCTATTGCCTCCCAAGTACAGTCTCTTCACTCTGCTATTTAGGAACTCCATGGTAGGATCATCACTCTCCCAGCTTTTGGCCTTACTTCTCTGCTTTTTGTACCTTCTCCTCCAGCCACATGGGATGGCGTCCTTTCTCTAAACACAGTTTCTTCTTTTCCATCTCTGTACTCTTTCCCATGCTGTCCCCTCCATCTCTGTACTCTTTCCCATGCTGTCCCCTCCATCTGCTGTACTCCTCTCACCCATGTGTACTCTGAACATTGGAATCCTATCCACCTGGAAGCCTCCTCCTTCACAATCCGCTCTCAATTCCCTCCACCCCCACAGCCTCATGCTGTTGGAAATTAACTCTCTCTCCCATGAACACCTGAGATCCTTTTTGTGTGTCCCTCCTTTGGGATTCATCTGAGATCGGGGTTCTGTGAACATACGCCTTCTGTTCCAGGTTGGGCAGCACTTGATCTCCCACCAACCCACTTATGCAAATACACTTAGTGCTGGGCCCTGTGGACACCACAGCCTCGCTCTCATGGGGCCAGCAGCGTGTCTGGGGAGGAGCATGGCAGCCCTGGGGCAGAGGCTGCTTCTGTTCTGTGTCCCCTTGGGGCTCACCAGGCTCCTGCCCTGAGGCAGAGGGACTAGAGAGATCTGGGCTCCAGTCTTGCCTCTACCTCTGACACTTATTAATTATGTCATCATTTGGAGTCTCAGTTGCTTTGCCTGTAAAATGGGGACAAATCTACTTCCCCTACAAGTTGCTCCTGTCTGTACACCTGTACCCAGGGAATTCACCATGGTCTCTTGATCTTAAAGCTCACCATGTCCCTAGAGAGTCCCCTTTTGGAGCTCACTGGGGACTGGCAGTCTTCTGCTCCCTGGCGCCCTCATGGAGAGGAGGAGAAACGTTCTGCCTTGCTGAGAGCTGAGGCTTCTCTTCTCTCCTCTCCAGGGGTGAGAGCTTCAGTGAAAAATGGGATACTTGTGAGGCCCAGCTCTGTTTTTTCTCAGCATCAGGAGGCTTCCTGCTTCAGGGGACCAAAGGCTCAGAGAGGCCCTCTGCAAGCCCTGCATTGGAGCTGCTGGGACATCAAATGGTCTTAAAACCCACGGAATTAATAATTTCAATGTAAATGCGATAGTCATGTGGATTAAATTTCTCTGAAAATACACAAGGGCTTAAAAAGCAGGGGCAGAGAACACTCAGCCCAAGAGGAATTTGTTTTCTCTTTCCTTTTTGTGTGTCTGCGAGTGTTGTTATTGTTGCTAGAACCAGGGGATGTGGAAAACTGTTCAGGATGTCTGAAGCGTTGGTGTATGGTCAGCTTTGCTGAGTTTGAGCTCTGAGTTGTGAGTGAGGTGGGAAGAAGGAGAAATGTTAAGAAAATAAAGTGACTGCCCCACCAGGTCTGCCCTCTTATCCTCCAACTGTTTACTGCGGGCCCTTGACGTTCAAGGAGGCTTACGGCTGGTAAACGGGGCATATCTCACTGGTGCCTGAGGTGGGAGTCAGCGGTGGATTCTTCCCTGGGGGCAATGCTGGGACCTGGATTTGGGGGCCGGGGCTGGGGAGTGATGTTCTTTCTCACTGGAATCTGTCTTACATGCTCAGTGGAAACAGCGGATCCTTGGGGGGTTACAGTCTCCCTGCTAGAGTCCCCTGGGAAACTCTTTCAAACATGCAGCTTCCTGGCCTCCCCCACAGCCCCAGGAGATGCAGACCAAGGCACGCAAGCTCTGCCTGAGGTGTCGGAAGCCAGGTCCATACCACAGAGGCAGGAAGAGCCTGGGTCAGAGGGAGCCTCTCAATCAAGTCAGCAGTGGCCTGCAGTGACTCAATCCTCGTTTCCTGTTTTACTGATTACAAAATATAATCGTGTTTTGGGTATTCTTTGATCCTGCCTAGCTCCCTGGGACAGGTATGCTCATTCCTATTTTACACATGGGCAAATAGAGGTTCGGGAAGGTTGGCAGAGGTTCTCCCAAGGTTCTTCTTCCACGTGGCAGAGGCTTCGCACTTCAAACCTTTGCTCCTGTCCTTCCTTTGAGGTTCACCCTGGCACAGAGCTGAATCAATACATCCCACTGGGGTCATGCTTAATAGTCAGCCAATGTCTCCTAAATGACACTGGCATCAACCTCTCCTTTCTAGGATCAACACCCATAGGGTCCTAGGTCTGAATCAAATTCTTGGAATGCTGCCCATACGACAGAGAAGATGGGGCCAGAAGAGGAAGCAGGGAGGGGAAAGCCAAGTAGGATTTGTGGTGGGATCCACACAAGTGGGAACAGAGATTCTAGAAAGGCCCAGTGTGCTCCTGTCCATTCTGGAGGGGGCTCAGCTCTCGGGGTCCCCAAGGCCACCCTCTCTGTTTCTCTCAGCTCGGCTGTGGCAGTAACATGCTCAGGTCCAGTGGCTGCAATGGGTGGGACCCTGCCCACCTGGGGCACCATTTCTCTCCCACAATGCTCCAGGCTGCACTCAGATAAGCAAAAGCTACCAGGAGTTGGTTCTGTCATATCTTTCTGCTCTTCTATGCCCAACCTCCAAGATCATGTTCAACTGCCCTCTTCCATGGAGCATTTCCAGAGACCCCAGGCACAGTGATTTCTCCTTTCAGAGTCTGGCTGGGTTTCTGCTGTGAAGATGATGCTGTGTTGGCTGCTCTTGGGCTGCAGGGAGATGAAGCTGGTGTCCAACAGGGGAGATGGGCCATGGGCCTCAGTGACTCCAACAAAAAGTGGGAAGTGATATGTGTTATCACAGAAAAGGCTTGGGGAGGGTAAGGTCATTTTAGGCTAGGAAAAGGATTCAGAAAGCCTTCATGGAGAAAGTAGCCTCAAAGATGCATGTAATTAATACCAGGTCATATTTGACTTGCATTGGTTTTAAATTATTTCAAGGGTATTAATGTTGCCTCCCTAACTGGTCTGTGACTTATTTGAGAGTGAAACCACGTTTTACTCATACCAATATTTTGCCGAGTCTAGTAAAATTCATTAACAGATGCCTAATAAACAAATATTGGTCAAAATAAATTCTGTCTTGGAAAAGTCAGTTCAACTTAATTTTTAACCTTTCATACCATGTAAACAATATGGATGTCATGCATCTTATGTCTGGGCTGGTTGAAAGAGGCTCAAATCCTTAATTCAGTCTGTCAAAGTAAGTTCTTTGAGCACCTACTAAACACCAGGAATTATACCGCTGATTTCAGGAAGTAAGATAATGATACAGGCAATTACTATTCAATTTGATAAGTGCTATGAAAAGAGAAACACAGAATTCTATGGGGGCAGCTTATGTAGTGATGGGAAGGGATAGTCAGAGAAAGTTTCTCAGAGGAAGTGATATCTAAGTTGATAAAAAGAATATGAAAGAGGGCTTTCAATTCTAGCCATAAACAACTATGTAAACAGCACAAAATATCTAAAACAACTATTTTCAGGCACTGGACAGCAATCAAGGCAGAGCTCAATACTTGTAAGAAGGGAAATACAGAAGCTGAAACCCTGTTCACCCCAGCTTTTCCTCTGAGGGCATTTTCTTTGCTGAAGCACAGGGAAATGGATGCAGAGAGTAGAAGTCTTGCTGGATGGAGGAAATAGGGATTGGAGTTGGGGCTGCAAAGATGACTAGGATTTGGGAAGGGCAGCATACCAGAAAGGAGAGAACAACAGGAAAAGAGTCTCAAAAGCTCTGTTGAAAGTTTCCCTCAGGTTCTTGGCTGACTCCTAAGCTGTGTATGCATAGTATGATACACTGGAAAATCTATCAGAAAACAGCCAATGGGAGCAGAGATTTTAGAGGTTGCCTCCTATTCTGGGAGGAAGGTGTTGGGGTTCATACCCAGTCAGAAAGGAGAGACCTTAATGAATACTCTGGGATTTCATTTGAGACCCCAGAAAATCTATGCTCTAAGAGTAAAGACCACATCCTAGGAATAAGGGCAAAACTGTAACATCCACAATATTCACAATATTTACAAAATGAGTAAATAATCAGGAAAAAATGGATAACCATGAGATAAAATAGTCACCAGAAGCAGACCAGAGATGATCCAGATATTGGAGTTAACCAGCCAGGACTTCAAAATAATTATAATTAATGTGTTAAAGAAAATAGAACAAAAGATGGACAATTGGGATCAAGACAGATTATTGTGACAGAATTAGAATCTATAAAAAAAGAATCCAGTGGACATTCAGGAGCAAAATAAAATATCTGTAATAAAGAGTATATCGAATGGGTTTAGCTGCACAATGGATACAGCAGAAAGCTGGATTAGTGACCCTGAAGACAGATGAATAGAGGATATCTAAATTGTAGCACAGCAAGAGAAAAATGGAATAAAAAACTGAACAGAAATATGAGAAATATGGCGAGAAGGCCTAACATACACACAATTCAAGTTTAGAAAGAAAAGGAGAGAAGAAATGGGACAAAAGCTATATTTTTAAAAATGAAGGTAGAGAATTTTCCAAATCTAATTAAAAGTATCAATGCAGATTCAAGAAGCTTTGGAAACCCTATGCAGAACAAATACAACAAAACTACATTTAGATACATCATAGTCAAACTGCTGACATTAAAGGCAAATAAGAAAGCAACCACAAGAAAATGACATATTACATTCAAAAGAATGATAAAACTGATGGTTGACATCTCAACAGAAACTGTAAAGCCAATAGACAATGGAATGACATTTTAAAGTGCTAAAAGAAAAACTAGATAAGAAATACTTCAAAAATTAAGGTGAGATTAAGATCTTTTCAGACAAACGAACAAAAACAAACAGAAAACCCAACTCCCAAGGCTGAAAGAACTCTTGTTAGCAGACTTATACCACAAGAAATACTAAGTAGAGTTCTTTGGCTGAAAGAAAATTATCTCAAATGAGAGCACAGAATTATATAAAAGAGACGAAGAACACCAGAAAGGGTAGCTATGTGGATAAGTAGACATAAATATTAACAACTTAAAGCAACAATAACAATAATGTCTTGTGGAATTTATAACATGTGCAAAGGTAAAATATATGACAAAAATAACACAAAGGACAGGACAGGGGACTGGAATCAAACTGTCGTAAAGTTATTGTGTTACTTAGAAAGTGGTAAAATACTAATTGCAAATAGATTGTAAAGCTGTGTTAGAAATGAAAATGGAGATATTACGACTGACACCACAGTGGTATAAGAGACCATTCAAGACTACTATGAACATCTATGCAAACAAACTAGAAAATCTAGAGGAAACACATAAATTCTTGGAAGCATACAACCATCCTAGCTTGAATCAGTAAGAAACAGTAATTTTGAACAGACCAATAACAAGCAGTGAGATTGAATCAGTAATTTAAAATATTGCCAACAAACAACTAAGATTTTAAATTATACAGCAGCTCTCTTGACCACCATGGAATTGAATTAGAAATATAATAGAAAGACAACTAGAAAATCTCCAAATATTTGGAAATTAAAAAACACATTTCTAAATAACCCACGGTCCAAGGAAGAAATCATGATGAGAATTAGAAATTATTTTAACCTGAATGATAATGAAAACATCAAAATTTGTAGGATGCAGCTAAAGCAATGTTAGAGGAAATATATAGCCTTATATGTATATTTTAGAAAAGAAAAAGGGTCAGAAAATCAACAATTTAAGTAAGAAGCTAGAAAAAGATAAATTAAATAAAAAAATGGAAGAAATAATTAAAATGAGAATAGAAACCAATGAATGAGAAATCAGGGATTCAATAGAGAAAATCAGTAAAGCCCATAGTTGATCCTAGAACACATTAATAAAATTAATATGCCCATAGCAAGACTGATAAAAAATAAGAGGGACAACACAAATTACCAAAAAGAGAAATGAAAAAGAGGATATATAGATCTTATAGACATTGAAAAGATAATAGGAGGCTAATATGAATATTTGTGGATAAAATTTGAATGAAATGTACAAATTACTTGAAAAACCCAAGTTACTAAAATTAACACAAGAAGGAGTAGCAAATCTGAATAATCCATTATCTTTAAGAAGTTGAGATCCATTCCAAGATGGCCGAATAGGAACAGCTCCAGTCTGCAGCTCCCAGCATGATCGATGCAGAAGACGGGTGATTTCTGCATATCCAACTGAGCCTCCACTGGTGATATCCAGGCAAACAGGGTCTGGAGTGGACCTCCTGCAAACTCCAACAGACCTGCAGCTGAGGGACCCAACTATTAGAAGGAAAACTAACAAACAGAAAGGAATAGCATCCACATCAACAAAAAGGACATCTACACCAAAACCCCATCTGTAGGTCACCAACATCAAAGACCAAAGGTAGATAAAACCTCAAAGATGGGGAGAAACCAGAGCAGAAAAGCTGAAAACTCTAAAAGTCAGAGCACTTTTGTCCTCCAAAGGATCGCAGATCCTCACCAGCAATGGAACAAAGCTGGATGGAGAATGACTTTGACGAGTTGACAGAAGTAGGCTTCAGAAGGTTGGCAATAACAAACTTCTCCGAGCTAAAGGAGCATGTTCAAACCCATCATAAGGAAGCTAAAAGCCTTGAAAAAAGGTTAGATGAGAGGCTAACTAGAATAAACAGTGTAGAGAAGACTTTAAATGACCTGATGGAGCTGAAAACCATGGCACAAGAACTTAGTGATGCATGTGCAGCTTCAGTAGCTGATTCGATCAAGTGTATCAGTGATTGAAGATTAAATTCATGAAATAAAGTGAGAAGACAAGGTTAGAGAAGAAAGAGTAAAGACAAACAAAGCCTCCAAGAAATATGGGACTATGTGAAAAGACAATGAGATCACTTGGACATAGGGCGGGGAATATCACACACTGGGGCCTGTTGGGGGGTGGGGGGCTGGGGGAGGGATAACAGGAGAAATACCTAATGTAAATGACGAGTCAATGGGTGCAGCAAACCAACATGGCACATGTATACCTATATATCAAAACTGCACGTTGTGCACATGTACCCTAGAACTTAAAGTATAATAATAATAACAATAAAAAAGAAGTTGAATCTATAATGAGAAATCTTCCCACGAAACAACCCTAGATGCTGTACTAGTGGATTATCCTAAACATTTAAAGAAGCAATAATACAGATCTTATGTTCTACCAGAGAATAGAAAAAAATGAAAACATTTCTTAGCACATTTTATGAGCTCTGAATAACTGTGATACAAAAACTTGATAAGGGTATTTCCAAAAAGAAAATTTACAGGTCAATATATCTCATGAAACAAAACAGATACAAATACCCCAACAGAAACAAAATTCCTGAGAATATATACATGGGAGAATACGTGGTGACCAAATGAGGTTTATCCCAGGAATGCAAGTTGGTTTAATAGTTAAAGAAAATATCAATCCAATCAATCAATCAATCAATCAATCAATCAATGTAATTAACCATATTAACAGAATGAAGGAGAACCTTATGTCAGGTGTTGCAGAAAAATCATCTGATAAAATTCAGCACCTGTTCATAATTTTTAAAAAAACCAACCTTAGAAAGCTATGAATAGAAAAAAACTTCTTTAATCTGGAGTTATCTACAATAAATAAATGAATAAACTAGAGTTAACATCTTATTTAATTATGAAATATTGGAAAATTTCACTATCATAGCAGAAATAAGAAAAGAATGTTCAGTATCACCACTTCTTTTTGACCTTGCACTGAAGATCTTAGCCAGTGCAATTAGAAAAATAAATAAAGGTAGGAAAATTGGAAAATAATAAACAAAACTGTAATTATTTCAAATGATCTGATTGTATATGTAGAAAATCCAAAGGAATCCAAAAGGGAGTTATTAGAAATAATAAATGACTTTAGTAAAGTTGCTGGATGTATTGTAAATATACAAAAATCAATTGTATTTTTATGTACTAGTAAAAAAGATTGAAAAATGAAATAAGTATTTCATTTGTAATAGTATAAAATATAAATATATAATATGTAATAGTATAAAATATAAACACAAATATATTTATATTAAATATAACATATTTATTACAATATGATTTATTATATATTATTTATTATATAATATATAATATATTATATATTATTTATTATATAATAAATAATATATTATATATTATTTATTATATAATATATAATATATATTACTTATTATATAATATATAAATTATTTATTATATAATATATAATATATAAATTATTTATTATATAATATATAATATATAATATATTATTATTATATAATATATAAATTATTTATTATATAATAAATTATTATATATTAATTATTATTTAATATTTTAAATTTTATATATTATATAATATATTATATATTATATATTATATAATATATTATATATTATATATTATGTATTATATTATATTTTATAAAATATTATAAAAATATTAAATTAAAAATTTTAAAATAATATTATATTATTTATTATATAATATATTATATATTATTTATTATATAATATATTATATATTATTTATTATATAATATATTATATATTATTTATTATATAATATATTATATATTATTTATTATATATAAATATTAATATAATAATAAATTAATAAAATATAAAATTATTAATATTTTAAAAATATTATAAAATATTTTAAAATAAAATATTTTAAAATATATTTAAAATATTATAAAATATTTAAAATATTATATTTAAAATATTATAAAATATTTAAAATATTATATTTAAAATATTATAAAATATTTAAAATATTATATTTAAAATATTATATTTAATATATATTTAAAATATTTTAAAATATATATTATAAAATATTTAAAATATTATATTTAAAATATTATATTTAAAATATTATATTTAAAATATTATATTTAAAATATTATATTTAAAATATTATATTTAAAATATTATATTTAAAATATATTTAAAATAATATAAAATTATTAATAATAATATTATATATTATTATATAAATATTATTCTATTTATTATAACATTCTTAAAGAAAAGAATCTTCAACCCAGAATTTCATATCCAGCCAAACTAAGCTTCATAAGCGAAGGAGAAATAAAATACTTTACAGACAAGCAAATGCTGAGAGATTTTGTCACCACCAGGCCTGCCCTAAAAGAGCTCCTGAAGGAAGCACTAAACATGGAAAGGAACAACCGGTACCAGCCGCTGCAAAATCATGCCAAAATGTAAAGACCATCAAGACTAGGAAGAAACTGCATCAACTAACCAGCAAAAGAACCAGCTAACATCATAATGACAGGATCAAATTCACACATAACAATATTAACTTTAAATGTAAATGGACTAAATGCTCCAATTAAAAGACACAGACTGGCAAATTGGATAGAGTCAAGACCCATCAGTGTGCTGTATTCAGGAAACCCATCTCACGTGCAGAGACACACATAGGCTCAAAATAAAAGGATGGAGGAAGATCTACCAAGCAAATGGAAAACAGAAAAAGGCAGGGGTTGCAATCCTAGTCTCTGATAAAACAGACTTTAAACCAACAAAGATCAAAAGAGACAAAGAAGGCCATTACATGATGGTAAAGGGATCAATTCAACAATAAGAGCTAACTATCCTAAATATATATGCACCCAATACAGGAGCACCCAGATTCATAAAGGAAGTCCTGAGTGACCTACAAAGAGACTTAGACTCCCACACATTAATAATGGGAGACTTTAACATATTTATTATAATATGATTTATATTAAATATAATATAAATATAAGTATAAATATTTTTATGGTATAAAATGAATAGTATAAAATGAAATAAAAATATTTTATTTCTAATAGCATAAATGCAAATATGAAAATATATTTACATTAAATATATATTTATTATGATATAATTTATATTAACTGTAAATATAACTATATTCATAGTATAAAATGAAATGAATAGTATAAAATGAAATAAGAATAGTTTATTTTTAATAGTATAAAATATAAATATTTTATATTTTATTAATGCAATAAGAGATGTAAAACTTACACTGAATATTTCAAAGCATTATTGAGAGAAATTTTTAAAAACTGAATAAATGGTAGGATATACATGTTAGTGGATTAGAAAAAATGTTATTAAGATTTCATTTTCCCCTAAATTTATCCATAAAATTGAACGTATAAATTCAGTATAACTCCAATAAAAATCTCAGCAAATTTTGTTGGAGGAAAATTGACAAGCTGACTTAAAAATTTATATGGAAACATAAAGGATCTATCATAGCTAAAACAATCTTGCCAAAGAAAAACAACCCCATTAAAAAGAGGGCAAAGGACATGAACAGACACTTCTTAAAAGAAGACATACAAGCCGCCAAGAAACATGGAAAAATACTCCACATCACTAACCATCAGAGAAATGCAAATGAAAGCCACAGTGAGCTATCATCTCACACCAGTCAGAATGGCTATTATTAAAATGCTCCAGAGTAACAGTTGTTGGCAAGGCTGTAGAGAAAAGGAAATGCTTATACACTGTTGGTGGGAATGGTAATTAGTTCAGAGTTTGGAGATTTCTCAGAGAACTAAAAATAGAATTACTATTTGACCCAGCAATCCCAATTACTGGGTATATTACCCAAAGGAAGATAAATCATTTACCACAAACACATGCACTTGTATGTTTTATCACAGCACTATTCACAATAGCAAAGACATGGAATCAACCTAGGTGCCCATTAATGGTGGATTGGATAAAGAAACTGTGGTTCATATACACCACGGAATACTACACAACCATGAAAAAGAAAGAAATCATGTCCTTTGCAGCAACATGGATGCCATTATTCTAAGCAAATTAACACAGAAACATAAAACCTAATATGGTGTGTTCTCACTATTATAAGTGGGAGCGAAACACTGGGTACACATGGACATAAAGATGGGAACTATAGACATTGAGGACCACTAGAGTGGGGAGGGAGGGAAGGAGAGAACAAGAGTTGAAAAACTACCTATTGGGTAGCTCACTACCTGGGTGACGGGATCACTTGTACCCCAAACCTCCACACAATGCAATATACCCATGTAACAAATCTGCACATGTACTCCCTGAATCTAAAATAAAAGTTGAAATAAAAAAGAAGAGAAAACCAAATATAGAGAATTCACACTACCTGACTTCGAGACTTATTTTAAAGCTGCAGTAACCAAAGCAGCTTTTTGTTTGCTCAAGTTTAGATAAATAGACAAATGGAATAAAATAGAGTCAAGAAATAGGCCCATATATCTATGGTCACCCGATTTTCAACAAAGATGTCACTAGAATTCAATGGGGAAAATAGTCTTTAACAAATTGTGCCAGATCAACTGGCCATCCATATGAGAAAAAGAAAACAAAAACCTCTGACCTTTATCTCACACCTTACACAAACATTAACTTGGGATGAATCATTGACCTAAATGACAAAGCAAAAACATCAAACTTCTAGAAGAAAACAGAGAAGAATATCTTCATGATATGGGGAGAGGTGAAGATTTCTTAAATGGGACACACAAAAAGCACTAACCATAAAAAATATTGATAAATTAGACTTTATTAAAGTTAAGGACTTCTGTTTATCAAAAGATACCATTTAGAGAATGAAAAGGCAAGCCATAGACTGGGAACAGATATTTGCAATGCTTCTATGTCACAAAGGAAGTGTATACAGAATATATATATATAATATATATAATATATACAGAATATATATATTTTATATATTATATATTATAATATATAATATATATTATATAATAAATATTATAATATTATATATTATATAATAAATATATTATATATTATATAATAAATATTATATTATATATTATATAATAAATATTATATATTATATAATAAATATTATATATTATATAATAAATATTATAATATTATATATTATATAATAAATATTATATTATATATTATATAATAAATATTATAATATTATATATTATATAATAAATATTATATTATATATTATATAATAAATATAATATTATATATTATATAATAAATATTATAATATTATATATTATATAATAAATATTATAATATTATATATTATATAATAAATATTATAATATTATATATATTTATTTATATATTTTATATATATAAAAGGCCTTTAATCAGTAAGAAAAAGACACACAACACAATCTTTACAATGGGCAAAAGACCTGATACAGCATTTCACAAAAGGGGATACAAAAATGGCCATTAAATTTATGAAAAGTTGGTCAACATCATTAGTAAATAGAGAAATGCAAATTAAACCCACCATGAGATACCACCACACACAACTAGAATGACTAAAATTAAAATGACTGATAATGTCATGAATTAGTGAAGACATGTCACAACCAGAAGGCTCTTGTTTTACTAGAGAGAGTTTAAATTGGTAAACCACTTTGAAACAAATGCCTGGCAGGTCCTACTAAAAAGTTAAACATAACTACCCTTTAACTCAGCAATTCTATCCCGGAGTAAAAACCCAATACAAGTGAATACATATGCCCATCAAAAGACACGTACATGAATGCCAATAGCAGCGTTATTTGAAATAGCCCAAAATGGAAACAATCCAAATACAGTAAAATAAACACTAAACTGAAATACATTGTTGTAGATTAATACAATGGAATACTGCTCATCAATGGAAGCATGAAGTATGGTTCACTTAACAACAGGTTAAACCTCACAGGCGTAATGTTGAGTGAGAGGTCAGATACAAATGAGCACCTATTGCATGATTTCTCCTCTATGAAGTTCAAAACTAACCTATGGAGATAGGAGTCAGCATAGTGGGTCCCTGGAGGGGCACTGGCTGGGGCGGGGGTGAGTGGGCACCACCTTCTGGGAAGCTGGAAATGGTGGATATATCTCTGGGAGGTGATTACATAGGTGTATATCATGGAAGTTCGTTAAGTTGCACATTCAAAATGCCTATACTTTGTTGTATGTATGTTATACCTCGGTAGAAAGATAATAAGTAAGATATTTCTTTACAAAAATCAAAAAGAATACGAGAGAATTAGCCAGATGGTGGTGGGGTGAGCAGAGAAGTCAGGAGAGGGTGTCACAGAAGGGAAGAGCATGTTTGAAGAAGATCTGGGGAAACAGCAATGCTGCGATTGTGCCATGTGGCTGGAGCATTGAACACAAGTAAGGGGGTGCGGGGAGCACAAGAAGGGGGAGAGGTTGGGGAGGGTAGACAGGGGCCAGAGTGGGAAGAGGGCAGCGTAGAACATTGATCACGAGTGTTCATGTGGTCTCTTGACTATGCAAGGGCTTCTAAAAGGGCCATGCAGAGTCCTGGCCCTTTCCATCCCAGGAAGGATAGCCTTCTGCCAGCTAAAAACCAAGTGGGGAGGAGGATGACTAACCGTAAATGTGGCGAGAGATCTTACTGGGGTGATAAAAATATTCTAAAACTGATTTGTGGTGATGGCCTCACAACATGGTACATTTAAAAAAAAATCATTGACTTGGATACTTGAAATGAGTGAGTTAGATGATAAAATATGTTGAAATAAAGTTATTTTTAAAATTGGAGGTGAATCCTTTCTTCCTCCTGATTGCCCCTGCTCTGGAGGGCTCTTGGGGATCTTTCCAGCCCTCTCCCTCCACTTGGTCTGGCTCTCCCTCCCCTTTGCCCCATCGCTGCCTGGGTTTCAGCTAGAGAGCACACTCACACCCACCCTCTCAGAGACACCCCCAGCAGCTCTCCAGGTAGACATGACCAGGGGCTAACAATTGGTCCCCAGGTGCCTGCTACCCCCACTGTCACATAACCCAGAGAAGGAGGGCTCGTTCATTCCCATTTCACAGATGAGAAGATACAGGGCTTGAGAAATTGAACATTCAAGCTTTCATAGTCAGGAGCAGAGCCTGTGCAGTCTCTGACCTGCTGGGACAGAGTCAAGTCACTGGAAACGTCAGTCTCCATGTGAGGGCCAGTGGGGCAGCCACAGGGCACAGGGGCAGGATGGAGGGGGCTGGGTGTGGAATGGTACAGGGCTGGGTGTGGGCGGCCGCTCTCACTCACCACTTATTGCCACTGATGTCGTGCTGCTGCACTGTGTAGCCAAAGAAGGCGGTCCTGGAGCCAGGGATGACCCGGGGCTTCCTGGTGTCCATGTTGAAGGTGTCCGTGAACCCTGAGGCAGGGGGAGAGGAGAGGAGAAGCAGGGGAGTCAGACAGGCAGAGGTGTAGGCCCTGGGCTGTGTCAGGACCCATTGGCAGGTCATGAACCTTGGAGGGTCTTGGCTGTGGGACAAGCATGTTTCCCCATCTTGGGGAGTCCCTGTATGAGGTGGCTGATGTAGTCCTTGCCTGGTAGGGCCCACAGTCTGATGGGAGAGATTCCACCCCCGTCCTGGGGGAGCCTGATATGGTTTCAATGTGTATCCCTTCCAAATCTGACGTTGAAACAGGATTCCCAATGTTGGAGGTAGGGCATGGTGGGAGATGTTTGGGTCATGGGGGCGGATCCCTCATGAATTGCTTGGTGCCATCCCCTTGGTGATGAGTGAGTTCTCACTCTAAGTTCTCACAGGCCTGGGTGTTTAAGAGTGTGGGGCCTCCCCCCTCTCTTTCTTGCTCCCACTCTTGCATGTGACACGCTGGCTCGCCTTCACCTTCCACCATGATTGGAAGCTCCCTGAGGCCCTCATTAGAAGCAGATGCTGGCACCATGATTTCTGTACAGTCTGCAGAACTGTGAGCCAAAATAAACCTCTTTTCTTTCTTTCTTTCTTTCTTTTTTTTTTCTGTTTCCCTGACACAGAGTCTCACTCTGTGGCCCAGGCTGGAGCACAGTGGCTCGGTCTTGGCTCACTGCAACTTCCTCCTTTCAGGTTCAAGAGATTCTTGTGCCTCAGCCTCCCAAGGAGCTGAGACTGCAGGGACATACCACTGTGCCTGGTCGATTTTTATTTATTTTTTAGTAGAGACAGGGTTTCACCATGTTGGCCGGGTTCCTGTTTTCTTTATAAATTACTCAGTCTCAGGTATTCCTGTATTAGCCCCACAAAGAAAGGCCTAATACAGACCCTGTACATGGATAGGGGGGACATAAAACCTGCTCTCAAAGAGACCCAGTCTGAATGGAAGACCTGTCCTTCCCCCAGGGAACTCCCGATTCTACCAGGGAGAGACAGTTGCCCTCCTTCTCCATCACTCCTTCCTCCCATCTGCTGCTTCCAGCTTTTGTTGGTCTCCTCTTTTTTTTCCCTCTCATTTTCCTCCTCTCTCCTGCTCTCCCTTCTCTTCCCTCCTCCTCCCTTCATTACCGCCTCCCCTATCTGCTGAAGAGTCAGGCAACTGACATCCACCTTCCTCTGCAAGCCTGAGGTCCCAGTGGCCATGGGCGCCGGCACTGGGCTCCCCACTTCCCTCTGAACCAGTTGACAAAGCTCCGTCTGGCTTCGGCAGGGGCTTCTGCTTGGCCGGGGCAGCTGAAGCGAGCACAGAAAAAGCCCTATGACCCTTTCGCCCTGGCCCCAAGGGTCGCCCCTGTTTGTTTAAGTCACCTGTCAGTTAACTAATTCTTCCTGGCAGGAAGCCTGTGTTAAGCCAAATGCTTTACCCCTTTGGGCAAATCACAAGAAACAACAAAATAGCACCTCACATCTGTATAGTACTTTTGGTTTCTGGGCCTCCTCACATCTGCCATCATTTGCTGTCACAGGACCTTGGAGAATGAGTGAGCATCGTCCTCACTTGGCAGATGCACTTGGTGCAGTACCAGAGAGGTTAAGAGGATTGTCCAGGGCTGCACAGCAGGTCAGTGGTAGCATCAGAACTAGGACCTCAGACACCTACTCTGTGACGCCTCCCCACCAGAAGGCATTTTCAGGATACATCTGGCCTTGATACCCATCCACACTTGGGACGCATTAAATTTGAGGGGTGGGATCTTGCCACGAGCCAAAACTTTTGGATAAGTAAAAATGAATTGGCAGAATAGACCTTTTATCATTGTTGCCCCTTTCACATGTGGGATACTTATTTAGTTTCAAAGACCATTCACATGTATGTTATCATTCGATCTCCATGACAAGCAGCAAAGGGAAAACAGAGGGTCAGAGAGGTTAGCTGACCTTCCCAAGGACCCAAGCCCGCTGGGTAGGGCCTCTGAATTTGAGGCTTGGACCCGCACACGAGTGCGCCACTCTCCTTCCCCTGGGCACTGACCCCCTGCTCAGTATTCAACTGTGAAGCCCTGGGGCACCTACTTTAATAAGGCCTATCATACAGAAACAAGTTATTTTTCCCACTGTCTCCCTTTTTTTTTTTTTTTTGCTCAGCAAACACATAACAGTAGCCAAAATTTCCATCATTAGAGTCATAGAATTAAAGTCCCCAGAGTAAAACTGAGGGACCTTCAAGTAGGGATATTAGATACGTGTTATCTTATTGAACATGCCAATGGATCATTAGCACTTCTGGAGCACTGAGTTAGGAAAGATTTTGAGGTCAAGTCTGGGCTCAGTAGGCAAGAGGAGTGTGACTGATAGCACTACCTGCTATGGGTACAGGGGAGGACAGTGGCAGCACGTGACTATGTAGCTGCCCACTCTATCGTCACGATTCCTAATCTCCCACATGAATTTAGTGTCATGGCCCTGGAGTGGGGGTTGGGGAAGAAGAGTATATGAACCCGTTAGTGCTTTGTTTACAAATCCCATGCCATAAATGAACTTATCAGCCTGGCTAGCAGCGGGCAGCCTTGGAGAAGAGGACTCTGTTCCGGTGAGCACAGGGTCCTGAAGAACACAGGTCCCTGGCCAGTGAAGGCATGTCACAGAGGAGAGAGAGAGAGACAGCAGTGTCACATGTGCAATGTCACAGAGGAGAGAGAGAGAGACACCAGTGTCACCTGTGCAGAGCTCGGAGCTTGGTGGGCATAGGGGGGTTACTGAAGGAGTGTTGCAGTGGCAGAGAGAAACTTACCCTCTCTCCAAATCTGTCCCAGGAATGAACACACACGTATGCACACATGCACACGCACACAGATATACATGTATGCACGCACGTGCACACACACACAGACACACACATGCACAGGCCACATACACCCTGATTGTGGACGGCACTTTGCCTGGCTTCCTGGTGCCCACTAGAGACTAGGACTTCCCCTTCCTGCATCTGACCCAGCAGGAAAAGGAAAGTATGTTCTAGCTGTCAGGAAATCCAGACCACCTGCCACTTCCAGGCCTGCAGAGGGGTGAGGGCCAGTGAAGGTGAAGCCACAGATTGTGTCTTTGGGGCCTTGTCCACCCCAAGCCCTCTATCAGTGCTTGTTGTGCAACCATGGCCAGAGGGACCCTTCCAAGACCTGTGAGATCCCGTCACCCCTCAGCTCCATCCCCTGTATCAATGAGTTTTCCACCCCATCAAAGCCAAGGCCAAACTCCTCATTGCAAGGCCCTCCATAATCTCACCGCATTCACTCTGCCCCATTAATTTCTACCCTCTCCTCCTCCTCTCCTCCAGCCATACTGACCCTCTCGCTGTCCTTCCAACTTCAGACTCGTTCTCTGCTCAGCATCTTTGCCGTGGCTGTTCCCTCTTCCTGGAATGCTCTTCTTCCCATACCTGCAAGGCTCTCTCCCTCCAGTCTTAGAATCTCTGTTTCAATGCCATCTTGTCCATCACCAGGCCACCAAACACCCCAGGGATCCCTTCCTGTGCTCCATTTTTCCTCATAGCGTTTATCACAAACATATGACATTTGTTTATTGTCACATGGCTGATATTTAGAATATTCCTATAGTCTCTAAGTGCCACGGGACTCTGCTGTGTCCTCACTGCTCTATCCTCAGTGCCTTGAATGGAGGTCCAGCTCGTAGATACTGGTTGACTGAACAGTTAGAGACCAGGATCTTCATTTGTCTGGGACAGTCTCTCCCCTCAGTGAGGAAAAGGAGAAAGGAAATAATGATGAGCGCTGATATATTCCAGGCACGATCCTAGGCATCTAACCGTGAGTTTTACATTAATCAATTAAATCTCACACCAACCCCATGAGACAGATACAATCACACCTCTGGGAGATTAAATAGTTTCCCCAAATCACTCAGCTGGGGACACATTAGCTGGACACATGACCACATAGCTTGGGGTGCCGGGGTGATGTGTTCTCTTCCCTCCCTAGATCAGTTTTTCATAAGAAGGACTCACTGGGGAGAAGGGAAGATTCCTTTTAGAGAAGAGGGTCTCCGCTTCCTGCCCTAGGTCCCATTGCCTCTGCCTTTGGGTTCCAGCAGGGAGACGCAATGGGAGGGAAAGCCAGCTGCCTGCATTCCATCCTGCAGCCAAAGTGAGGTGCCCAGTGAGGGGGTGGTGGGGGCCCAGGGGAAGGTGGGACTAGTCCTAGACAGAGCCCCAACCTCACTGGGGACAGGATTAGTGAAATCTGGCCACAAGGAAGAGGCATTAAATTACAAAGTGCTGGTTTCGTCTCCAGAGACCAGTTGGCGTTTGCTTCTGACCAAACCGAACCAACCAGAGAGTGGATTTCCTAAAAATGATGTCAGTCAAGTCCATCTCTCTGACCTCGGCTCCTGACAAGATCTCTGGCCGCCTCCTTTTATGGTAGATGGGTTTCATGTTTGGGAGAAGTACTTTTCTCAGAGATTGATGACTTCCAAATACCAACATGATAAAATAAAGTTGTTTTGATGGGAATGAACAGGCTGATTGCAGAGATGTTGGGAGCCTGGTTGGGCAGCTTGCCACTGTTCTGCCCTTGATATTGATGACAGAGGGGGAAAAAAACCACAATTCCTGGGCTGCTCTCCTGTGGGCCGTGGCCAAAGTTACGTCAACTGTTGCTCCCTTTCTCAGAATCTTGTGTGTCTTTCAAAAAAAGCATCAGTCAGTCTCAAGAAGGGACGGAAACCACAGCATCAAGCCAGAGCATCACTTGGGGCTCACAGTTCTCAAAGCCACTCCACTCCCTACAGGTTAAGGTGAAGGCCAGGTAGGGCAGTCCTGGTCCCAGGTGCTGAGGGCTGCTGGCCAGTGTATGGCTAAGGCCATTCAACAGCTCAGCGGGGAGAGTTCGCTCCAGCTTAAGGAGCGTCTGCTGTGCTGTTCCATTTCCCTGCCTCTCCTCCTCCTCCCATATAGCTTCCCAGGGATCTTGGGAGAAAGTCCAAAATGTTCCATGTGGCCCCATGGCCCCTCAGCCTCTGCCTAGCCTTGTCTTGTGTGAGTTTTCCTCTAGGTCCCTTTTCTGCTCCTCCAGATGCACGTTGCTTCCTCTGCCTCAGGGCCTCTGCATGTGCCATTTCCTCTGCCTGAGCCTCTCTGATGAGCTTCCCATCACCTTTAAACCCCAGCATAAATGCAAATCCTCCCCTGGCCTCCCCTGGGAAGCTTCCCTGATACCTTGATTACATCAGATCTTGCTTAATGATCTCATCACCCCTGTGCCTTACTAATGGGTGACTGGTGACCTCTCCTTTTCTTCTCACAGTTAGTAATTCTACTCCATGGATGTGACTGTCTGATTACTCCTGTCTCCCGCATCAGGACGCAGGCTCCATGAGGGCAGGATGGGGTCTGTTTGCTACTCATTGTTGGGTCTAGCACTTAGCACAGGGGATGAGTGGAGGGCAAGACAAGAAGAGAGATGGGTCCTATCAGCTTGGGAGAGTGGCTCACGGGAAGCACGTGGAGTGCAAGTGTGCCCTGCAAGCAGATGCCATGGTTGTTAGAGAGAAGGACCCTGTGGGCTGGGTGCTCAGGAAGCTTCTGGAGGTGTGATTCTGGCCTTGAAGGGCCATGTGGAGGAATAGGTGAAGTGGCCCAAAGGTGCTAGGCAGGCTTTCCTGGTGCAAATGTGGAGCCGGGGAAAAGAAGAGAACAGCCTACCTGGGTGGAGGTGTCAGGAATTGCCTGGCTCCTCCTGCCATCCTGCCAGGCTCCTTGAGAGTCAGGCCAGACATGAAGAGAGGATGGGCTTTCAGTTCTGGGAGGACTTGGTTAGAAGCCTGGCTCTAGCACTCATTCATAAGTGGGTGACCCTGGGGAGTTACTCTCCCTTTCTGGTTTTCAGTTTACTCATCTATAAAACAGGAATAAAAATATCTATCTGGAAAAGTGGTTGGCAAGACTAAAGGGAGTAGCAAACCTCTGGCACTGCCTGGTGCAGGAAAGGTACTCAATACATCTTGGTTGAATTGAACTGGATCAAGATGCCCTGGTTCCTTGAGCTGGCCTCAGCGCTTTTGCCCATGCTGTTCACCATGCCTGGAAGGCCTTTCTTCCCTTCGTCCTACGCTTTCAAGTCCCACCTCTGATGACACCTCTGCTGCAAAGTGGTCCTTCCTCTGGGGCCTTCAGCGTGGGCTGCTCATAGCTCTGTCACTCCCTGCCTTGCATAACAGCTGCCTTCCCTTCTGCCTTGCTCTTAGGTTATATGCTATTCAAGGCCACATCCATGAATGGCTTTTATCTTTGCCCAGTGCCCAAAAGTTGCAGATAGACTTGCCTACCGGATTTCTCACCTTCTGAGAATCTGTTCTCAGAATCAGTACCTGTTGGCTCCTCCTGCCTTAGTTTACCTCCTAGCTCCCTGACTTAGGTACTGATAGTAGGTACTGATAGGTAGTACTGATACTCTACCTATCAGTACTACCTGATTAGGTAGGTACTGATAGGTAGTACTGATACTCTACCTATCAGTACTACCTGATTAGGTAGGTACTGATAGGTAGTACTGATACTCTACCTATCAGTACTACCTGATTAGGTAGGTACTGATAGTCCCCTACCACTTAGATAACAATAATAAAAATAATTGTGTACATGAACAAAGCTCTTACTATGTACCAAGCACTATTCTGAATGTATTTAATGCTTATAACCATGTTTTGCAGTAAGTATATTATCATTCTCATTTTAAAGATGAGAAAACTGAGGCACAAAGAAAGTCAGCAACTGGCCAAGGTCATACAGCTAGGAAGCGGCCAGGATGACTTTGAGGCCTCACGGGTCCCGTGCCATCCAGCCCATCACCATCAAGTCTTCCTCTGCCCTTTCAGACACCACCGACCGTCGTCAGTCACTTGAATCCTCCCTGGAGTGGCCTCAGCCAGGCTTGTCCCCTCCTACACCTCTTCTTCTTCAGACTCATCTATCCCAGTCACATGCTCTAAGATCCTGCTCAATACAGAACTGACTGTTGACTCCTTGATCACAACAAGTGGAACACAGCAGACCTGGTATACCAGAAGGATGGGGCCAGAGTCCCAAGGGTCTTGAAAGTCTGGATGAAGCACCAGGTTGGAGCTGACGGCCAGAGGAAGCCGATCTGTGGAACCTAAGCGTGAACACCTCCCAGAAGCCTCTCCGCAGCCCTGCCCCAGGCCTCCACTGGTTCTTTGGGCTCTGCTCCATGTTGCAGATGCACCTGTGTAAGCAAGAGCTTTCATTTTCCTTGGAGGGAGGGCGCTGGGATGGGGTGAGGGAGGTGGGGTTTATCACTAAGAATCTCTGGTATTATCTCACTCTTCCCAGTTTTACTTGGGCCCCAAGAATCTTCACGTCTAAAAGCAAATCACAGAGAGGGAGAGGAGGAGGGAGAAAAGACCATAAGCTGGCCTAGGCAAAAAGATATGGCAAAGTGAACCTCTTGCTGCTATGGGGGAAAAAAAACAACCCATTCAAAAGTGAAGAAGTAATGAGCTTCAGATGGCTGGCTGTTTCGTATCCTCTGCATTGCTGCCCCTTTTGCCCTGGCGAGCAGGGAACATGTGAGGGTTCTTGCTCTGCTGCCAGCCAGCCTTCCCTTCTGCCCAAGGCCATCATTTCAAAGAGGCATCTAGGAAGGCAATGCTAGATTTGGGAGCATTGCTGGAGGCCCAAGGACCCTAGTCTAGGCTCCTGTAGTAGGCACTAGTGCGATAGAGCAAGGGAGGGGTGAGGGGACGTGGTCCCTACATCAGAGAAGCTTCTAGCTAGTTGAGGGAAGAAGGCCTTCATTACAGAAGAGCTTGGGGAGCCCTCTGACTCTGGGGAGAAGCAGGGATACTGCCCTTGGGGACCTGCTGCTCTCATAGGAGACCTAGTAACTCTGCCCTCACCCTGGGAAGCCCCCAGGCTGGTGGGGAGTGTGCGGTTCCGCCCCCATGGGCAGCTGCGTGGCCAACAGGGAACTCACAGTGGACTGTGAGCATCCCATGAGCAGCAACTCTGCCTGCATTGCCACATGGAGGGTGTGGAGTGAATATTTAAGTAATAGGATTAGACATGTACACTGAGCAGAGCTGATTCCACACAATCTTCTCCCCATCTAAGACTGAGCAATGTGAGGAGAACTGGATTCTACTTATCCCTTTATCCCACCATAAGGCCTGGTGCTCAGAAAAATGTGTTGAGTTAAAGTAGAAATTTCAGCTCTGACAACCACAACAAATTATCAACAACGACAACCCTGGAGAGGCCTCACCCAGGCTTATCCCCCTCCCACACACTCCTTCTTCAAGACTCACCCATCCTGGGCCCATGCCCTCTGCTCACTACAGAACTGATTGGTGGCTCCCTGATCACAACAGGCAGAGCACAGGAGACCAGGTATGCCAGAAGGACAGAGCCAGAGTCCCAAGGGCTTAAAAGTCTGGATGAAGCAGCAGATGGGAGCCGATGGCCAGAGGAAGCCGCTCTATGGCAGAAGAGAGGAACTGGAGGCACAGCGATCCCGTAACTTGTCCCAAGTCACACATCTAGTGGGTGGCAGAGCTGGGATACAAAAACAAGTGGTCCTGCTCCAGCTTGCATCATCAGTCTCAATTCTTCACTTCTCTATATGCACACCCTTTACCATGGGACTTTGTAATTCCTGCCTCTAAAAGAGGAGAGTATATTTCCCCCAACCTTGACTTTGGGCTAGGCCATCTGAGCAGAAATAATGTGTGCCCATTCCCAGCTTGGGCCTTAGGATGCCTTGTCTATTTCTGCTTGCTGGCACTTCTGGCAGCAACATGAGACGGCTAGTCCACTGACCCCAGGAAAAGAGTGAGAGATATTCGGAGCAGAGCTGCCCCAGCTGAGTTGCCCCAGCCCAACCTAGCTGAGGTCAGCACCCCCAAACTCACAAGCAAGCCCAGTGAGCCCAGCAGAGCCACTCAGTTGAGCTTAGCTTGGACCAGTTCACTCCCCCACCCTCAGCTGACCCCAGATATGTGAACTAAACAATTATTATTGTGTGCCACTGAGATTTGGGGGGATTATTGGTTACAGGACATTATTATAGCAATTGATAATTGATGCAGCTTAGCTCTTAAGTGATGGACCATCAGGGAGGAGGAACAATTTCACAGAGTGATTGGACAAAGACAAGGAGAAGAGGAGCTGGGGATCTCTGGGGACTCGTGGTTGCTGGGGTAGTACCCCAATCATTTCCTACTCAAGATCTCATCAGGAAGACCCAACATTAGGCAGAGCTGGGCCCGGGCCTACCCTGTCAGGGAGAAGTGTGGCCTAACGAGCAAATCATGGCCTCCTCCTGCCTCAGCCATACACCGGGCCTGATGGCTGGGTTGTCCTGAATCACTCAGGGAATGACAGACGCAGACCCACAGCCAGCCAGGCACCCAACATGGATTCTGGGCTCTGGAGCAGCTCTGTGCAGAACGGAGCCTCCAGAGCATGAGGCCTCCTTCACCTCATTTTCTCTCTTTCCAGTTGCTAGGGGGCATGACACGAACTCCCCGTTAGACAAGCTACCATTGGGTCAAAGGTGGTGTGTAGCAAATATGTTATTAGGGAGGGGGAACTTATTCGCTTTTTTTTTTTTTTTTTTTTTTTTTGAGACAGAGTCTCGTTCTGTCACCCAGACTGGAGTACAATGGTGTAATCTCGGCTCACTGCAACCTCCGCCTCCCAGGTTCAAGCAATTCTCCTGCCTCAGTCTTCCAAGTAGCTGGGACTACAGGCATGTGCTACCATGCCTGGCTAATTTTTGTACTTTTAGTAGAGACAGGGTTTCATCATATTGGCCAGGCTAGTCTTGAACTCCTGACCTCAAGTGATCTACCTGCCTCGGCCTCCCAAAGTGCTGGGATTACAGGCGTGAGCCACTGGCACCCAGCCAGGACTTTATCTTTAAGAACAAGCAGGAATTTTCCAGATCAAATAATCTATTAGCCTCCAAACTTTGTTTTTCTACAGCGAATCTCACATTTTTTGAACAAAATATATACATGAAAAGTAGACACAAGAAGTGGATGTTGGGGTTAGGACTAGGGGGTAGGGAGGAATTTCCCACCCTCAGTAGCAGACATAAGATGCCTCACTGAAACCTTAGGGTTTCCTGGAACACAGTTTGAGAACTGCTCTGTCGAGTTTAAAAAGCTTGTTGCTATAAGTGAGAAGACTAAGGCCCAGAGCGGGGTAGAAATGTGTCCAAGGTCACCAGCCTCTCTTCATACTTATCTATGTTCACCACCACTCCTTCTGTGTTAGTCCCCTCTATGGCCCTTCAGTTCAATAAACCTCTATTTGGGGTCTATGGAGCTCCAGGTTCCATGGTAGGAAGTGAGGACACCAAGCTGGCTGAGACACGACTTACGGTGTTCAGAGCTTACAGCCCCACTGGGCAGGCAACAGACATGTTTATAAGTCAACAGAGCCTGAAGTGAAGCCAGGAGAAGTTTGGACTAGGGTGGGGTGATCTGAGTTCTAATCTCAGCTTTGTCATTAACTTGGCTGGATGTCCATTGAGAGCCCCGGTGCCTCTCTGGGCCTCAGCTTCCCCATCTGTAAAATGAGAGGCTCCTGCTTTGTAACATCGAAGACCCACCACGGCACATGTCAGTGAGGTTCCCTTGGGCAGACGCCAGCTGACTTCCAGTTGTCGGCACTCGAGCATCTGTCTTGAGTCTCAGCAAACAATTTAGAATTGGAAACCAGGCAGTGTGGAGGAATGCAAACTCATCTTAATGTTGGCCGGAGCCATGCGCATTTAGGAAGGGAAATCTCCAGGCAAAAACGATAATATTTTGCATTCCCAAGCCAAGGAAAGAACGAAAGAAAATCACCATCAAACGTTTGGCATTGTCCAGGGCCCAGCTCTCTCTCTCCCTTTGCCTGTACCATGGAGACTTGGCTGGGCCCTCCTGCCCTGGCTGGGGCTTCTGGACACACCCAGATGTCAGAAAGACAGAGGCCTTGGTGGGGGTCCAGGCGATGTGGTCACCTTTCCACAGAAAGCCCAGCCTAGCCCCAGAGCTGGACTATGCTGCTGAAACCTCGATGAGGAGACTTAGGGCAAGTGGGCAGGAGGGCAACATGGCTGCCATCAGACCCCCTCTTAATTCAAAACTTGCGGACACCAGGCAGGGAGCACCAGCTCCTTTGAGGCATGACTGTGGCCTTGGAATGACAGAGGCTTCTCAGTCTCCCTGAGGTCTTCTAGGAATGGTCCCTGGGGGGACGGGGCTGGAGGGCAGAATGCTAAGGTCAAAGGCCACAGGATGAACTTCTGACTTTAGGACAGCTGGTTCCAGGACTCAGCAAAGGGGACATGGGAGTATAACAGCCCCTCCTGAGTGCTGAGACCACTGTGGTGAGAACTAGTTTGGACATCAGAAGACCTGGTTTCTCGACTGGCTATGTGACCTGAAACAAATACCTTCCCTCTCTGGACCTCTGTCTCCTCTTCTAGAAAATGAGGAAGTAGGGCCAGGTGGTCTACAAACATTTCCAGTACTGAGGTTCTGAGTCTGTGTGTTCCGCCTCCTCTGGACTTATTTCCAAATCCATCTCCCCTCAGAGGGGAGGAGCAGGCAGACTGGCACCGGGGGCACTCCCGTGGGCAGGCCAACGGCCAGGGCCTCCGCAAGTATCTATCAGATTGGCTTTTGGGACTGAGGTCATTCCCTCCTTCCCCTCTAGCACTTGGGTCCAAACAAGTGTCCCTCAGCCTCAAGCCCCCCCATGAAAGTGAGCTGTAACCCCTCTCCCCACGGCTTAGCGCCCAGCCGGGCCTGCCCTGCTGCTACAGTTGCAGGCTGCCACTAGGGCTGGCCTGGTGATGCCAAGCCAGTTCTTACCACCCTGATACCCTCCTGTGCTCTAGAGAAAACTTAACCAAACTTGGGTCTTTCCAGGAGAGGGATGCATCCCTCCTCTTTACTCTTGCAAAAGACCCCCCTGTTTTCTAGCTTCTCTGATCAACTCGTCAGCATCTTACTTCTCTGCCAAATGACTACCCCTGGGTGGACTGCTTGTCTCTCTGCTAACTTGGCCTTATCCCCCTGCCTTTCTTCTGAAGGAAGCGCTATGGAGTCTCTCCTATTCCTTATTCCTCCAACTATAATATCACCGCCAGCCACTGGCCTTCCTCATCTCTGGATGTGTCTCTTGGCTTCCCCAGCCTTTGTGCAGGTCAGAACGCAGCTCACTGGAGAAGACGGGGAGGAATAATGGGACGAAGAAATTGTGTCTTCTGATGGAGTCTAGAGAAAGGGGAGGGGTTCAAGGGATGGAGGGTGCTGTCCATTTGAAGGCTGGATAGAGAGACTGGCCACAGAAGGGAAAGGAGAAGGATTTCAGCAGCACGGGGGGCTTCTGTGGAAAAGCATCATCTGTCCCCATGGTATGAGCACACCCCTCATTTCTTAGCAGAATCTCTGGGGGAGATTATCTCATTTGGGAAACAGCACGTCCCCAGTCCACACCCACTGCTGCTTCCGGCAGGGAGTGGCTCTGAGCACGCCAGTGGTTTGAGGCAAGGCCTGTGTCATGGAGCTGCAGCCACAGTGTCCACCTTCCCCGGGAGGAGGAGCCCTAGATAGGGATGTGCTCACATGCCCTCTCGAATGTTAAGCATGTGAAAAAGAACACACCAGGAAGCAGAGAGCTCATGTGTGTCATGAGGGGCTGGGAGCCATCACTAGGTGAGTTCCAGGGTCTGCGTCAGCTGAGAGTCTTGAAGATTCAGCTGGCCTTGATGTGGATGCTCAGAAAGAGTGAAGCAGGTGCTGCCTGCCACCAGGGGTGAGCTTATCAGATGAACTTGATATTCATCCAAGAAGGGCCTAAGTAGAGGGATGCAGAGCAGCCTGCCATTCACCCACTGTCCTCTGTCAATTCCACCTCCCCTTTCAGCCAGGCCCTGGCACATCCTCATCACACACACTGGGTGCCTGCAACCTTGGAGCACCCTGACCCTGGCCTGCCTCCCTCTCTTCTACTTCAGTCTTGTCATCTCATCAAAAGCCTTGCCTGTTATCTGTCCCATCCCCTCAATGTCCTGTTGTATGGTAGATAAACTAATGCTTGTTAACAAGTGACTTATCACAACAGCCTCCCCTCAGCCATCAAAAGCATTTGCAGCTCTATATGAGGAAGAATTCTCCAAATCAGAAAAAAACAATCAATCTGGGGCTGGGCAGCCTGTGGAGGAGTGAGGGTCCCTTCCCTGGGGTTGCAGAGGAGAACAAATGTCGGCTAGGGCAGGTGGCATGTAGGCTGAAACAGAGACTCACAGAAGCATCCGGAGACAGGGAGACAGAGAACGAGCAAGGGCTGGTGAGAGCCTCGGCAGTCCTTTGTATCTTTTTCTGAGAACTCAGGAGTTTGCCAATGGGCTGGTTAAGCAGATGTCAAGCTCAAGGAAAACAGGCCTAAAACTTTAAAGCAGCAAACAGCACATTGAGACTGACTGTAATTAACATTATTTTTCCTCCGAGCCCTGGACAGCCATCTCATGCCTTCAGAGAATATATGGATCATCTTCTTCAAGAACAAGGGTCATGGCTGGGTGCGGTGGCTCACACCTATAATCCTAGCACTTTGGGAGGCGGATTGCCTGAGCTCAGGAGTTCGAGACCAGCCTGGGCAACATGGTGAAACCCCGTCTCTACTAAAATACAAAAAATTAGCTGGGCCTAGTGGCAGGCATCTGTAATCCCACCTACTCGGGAGGCTGAGGTAGGAGAATTGCTTGAACCAGGGAGGCAGAGGTTGCAGTAAGCCAAGATCGCACCACTGCACTCCAAACCGGGTGACATATGGAGACCCCATCTCCGTAAAAAACAAAAACAAGGGTCACAGTTTTTTATGAAAACTAGTGTATTTTTCCATCTTACATCATTTATCATTTTCTCTGTGTAGGAAAAGTGATCAAAATGGACCTCCTCTTTTTTTTTGAGACAGAGTCTTGCTCTGTCTGAGCGAGTGTGTGGGACCTTGGCCTCAACATGGCCCGAGCTCCTGAGGACCCCATATTTCACCCCACCCAGCCCAGGCCTGCCCTTTGAGCCCCACAATCAATTTCCTGGCTGCTTATAGGACATTTCACTTGGATGTCTCATAACATCTCACATTTCACATGCTGGAAAAGGAACCCAGGTTTTCGCTTCTTAAATGGTTTTGTCCCCATTGCAGGAAATGGCATTACCACCCACCAGATGGCTCAAGCCAGAAGCTTGGAAGTCATTCCTTATGATTTTCCTTTACTTCCCATCAGCAAATCCTGCAAGTTCTAGCCCTCCATTCCTCTCCAATGTGCCCACTCCTCTCTGTCTCTTCTGCCATACTTGGACTAAGCCATCCTCTTCATTTTGTATTTAGACTTGCACTAGAGTTTTCCAACTGGTCCCTCATTCCAATTTTGCTCAGCTTCAAGCTATGCTCTTTGCAGCAGCCACAGTGATCTTTCAACGGTGTGAACTAGATCCTGGCTCTGCTTAAAGCCCCCGAGAGTTCCTCCATTGCATTTAGAATAGATTCTAGACCCTTCCCAGGGCCCACCAGGCCCTGCGGATTTGCTTTCTCACTTACTACCTTCCAGCTTCACCGTCTTCCTCTCTGTTCCTCAGATACACCAAGCTGTTTCCCACTTTGAGATCTTTGCATTTGCAGTCCCCTTTGTCTGGAACATTCTTCCCCAAGAACTTTTCTCAGCTGGCTCCTTCTCAACCTCCAGTTTTAACGCCATGGCCTCTGAGAAAGGAGAATCCATTGCTATGGAGAATCTGTTCTTCTCCCTCACAACATCTTCTTTATGTATTTTACAATTAAAAATAATTACAGGTGGTTATAAGAGCTGTTTGCCTACTTGGACACTGTCTCCTCTCCCACTGGAGTTTAAGTTCCACAAAGGAAGGGACTAATGTGTGCTGGAGTCTGCATACAAGAGCTGATTGTGTGCACTCTTCCCATTCAGTGATGTCATGTTGGCAGCTTGAAAACGACCATGGTGGGAGGATTTACATCATGGTAATTGGCAAATACTACAAATAAGAATGATAGGAATTCTTTCTATCCCATCCCAAGAGCCAGAATCAGTGTGTCTGTCTCCCCACTTTATCCTTAGCATCTAGAACAATGCCTAGCTCACAATAGGTGATCTATATACATTTGTTAAATGAGACGGAAAAAATGAATAGAAGTATTCAGGCTTCTAAGACACTAACCTTCCAATAAGGGGTTAAAGGGGAAAGTGATAGAGCCTCAGGGAGGGAAGGAACTTAGAGTACTGGATTTGGCTTCAGAAATCCTGGTTCTATTGCCAGTATGGTTTCTAAATTGCTTTGCAACTTTGGACCAGTTTCTTACTTCACATGGCCCTCAGTTGCCTTATCTGTGAAAGGCACACACAGGACTCGATGCTTTAAGTCCCTGTGTAGGATTTTTAAAAGCCCATTTATGTACACCTTTATCACTTTCTTTACCCACCCCCCCACCCCCTTCCTGAGGTCACTTTACTACACAACTGCAGAGGATGCTGTTTACATTGTAGTTGATGTAAATCATGTAGCGCACAGCCGGTACAGCTGTACGTGGCGGCCCTGCCCACACTGATTCTGGCTTCAGGCCATTTCAACTGGAGCTGAATTGGACAGTGAGTCCCTCCCTTTCCTGGCATACTGACCATCTCAAAGAGCTCAGACAGTTTGGTTTTGGTTTTCCAACTCCTAAGCTTGTCTCCTGCTTGTCATGGGTGTGTGGATCAAGAGCCCTGTGCATGTGGGATGAGCCCCAGCCCAGAGAGTGTTTGGGCAAAATAAGAGCAAGACAAGGCTCAGGATATGCAATTTGTGGCAGGGCTTTCCCTCAGACGAGAGGAAGTAGGGTGAAGAGGACTCAGAGAACTACTGGGCCAGTCTGCCCTGCTCTTTGAATGCAAACTAAAAAAAGGAATTGTGGGGGCCCTTCCCTTCTAAGCCTGCAGGGCCCGCCCTCCAGTGGATATACCCACACCCATCTGAAAAGGTCTCTGGCTGCATGGAATTTAACAGAGATCCACCAGATGCCATTGTCTAGGCTTGGTGGGGATGGCGGACTTTGGGGAGTGGAAGTGTTTTTGTTCTCTGAGGGTTATGCAGAGGTCTTTTTGGTTTTCAGTACAGGCCAATTTTTCATGGTTGCAAAACGATCTCAAATGTCTACTGCTACTTTTAGGTCCTTAAAGGAGTCAAGGGCTCATGACTCCATCTGCCTTTGCTAGAAAATGAAGGACTACCATGCAAAGTGGTGAGCCCCCATCACTGGAGGGATGCAAGCCTAGAGTGGCCATTTGTTTGGGATGTTCAGGCTCTGTTAAGGGCCCTCCCAGGCAGACCCTTGGTGCTGAGGCCTCTCAGAGAACCCCTGAGGCCCAGGACCCCTCATGAACCTGTGGATGAGGAAGGGCCAACCCCGTACTGAGTGTACCCATTGTTTGGAAATAGAGTCCCTGTTGTCAACTTCTTTCTCCTGTTACATCTGGGTTTACAATCAGGATTGAGGTTCTGGCTCAGGAAATGTTCATGGCAGCATGGAAGCATAGCCCCTAAAGGGCTTTTAGAAACATGAAGGCCAAACATTTATTTTAGAAGAGATCGAATGGAAGTCTTGAGAGGTTTGGATTCTGGCTCTCTTGTTTAGCAGCAGATGTATGACCTTGGGCAAGACACTTGACCTCTCAGAATTGCAGTCTCTCGAGTCAGACTGCCTGGCTTCAAATGCCAGGCTGTGACTTTATCATCCGGGTGATCTTGGCTAAGTTACTTAACTTCTATGTTAGCTAGTATTACTGTTGCCATTAAGTGTCGAGACCAGTGTTGAAACCTTATGTCAGTGGAACAGGCTCCTAATATGGACTTTGTTAGGCTCAGACTCAGTCTCTCCACCTGTGCAATGGGTTTCATGTCATCTCCCAAGCCACCAGGACAGATTCTGGCTTGGTGGTTCCCAGGGATTGGACTGTAATCTGGGGTCTATGTTCAGCTCCCACCATCTTTTCTGGGCACTCCCAGCTCCTTCTTGGGTGCTAAACAACATGGCCACATTCTGTGGCATATAGATGATGTCTGAATCACTACCCTTTTGTGGGAAATGAGGCATTTAAAATTTCTGCTGCATGCTCCCTGCCCCCTTGTTTCCTAGGAAGTCCCATTATATAACTAGGTTTTCACTGTGTAAAAACAAGGCCATTCCCCTGTCTCCTTGTGTCATCTCAGAGTCATAGTAAATAGTGATGAATAGCATGGGGCCAGCTGGGCTGACCTGGACTGCCTGCTGTGAGCCAATTTACTCCTTTCTAAGGTTCCCCTCCCTTCCAGAGCCCTTCCTCCCTTCAGCAACCTTCCTCGCTCTGCCCATTTGTAAGCGATGCTCAATGGCCACCAACCTCTTCTTGTCTGGAAAGAAAGCCTTTGATAACAAGTGGACAGGGAAAAGTCAGGACTGAATGTATACCTACCTAGTAGCCTGGGGTCGTAAGGAGGAGGATTGGCTTATCTAAAAGGAGTGATTGATTAGTAAATGGGATTTCTAGCAACTGTGGCAGGCGGGTGGGGAGATTTTAACTGATTGATTGATTCATTCTTGAACTATTTATCACTTGTGTACTCTGGCCAAGCACTGTTCTGGGCCCTGGGATGCGTAAGTAAACTCAACAGACAAAAATCTTTGCTCTCAGGATTACATTCCATCGGAGCAGGCAATATACAACATGAATAAATAAAACAGGTAATAATGTGAGATAATATTAAAAGCCTCGGAGAGACTAAAGCAGGGAAGGGGGATAGGAGGGGAGTTTATGCATGTGAATGCATGCAGGGGGGTTGAATTTTAGGTAGGAGCCCGAGGCAAGGCCTCAATGGGAGAAGCATGTTGGAGTAAACTGCCTGAGGTTTGGTGGGCAGGATGCCGGAGTGTGTGCTGTGAGGAATGGTAAGAACAGAACAGTGGGCTGAGGCCTCTGAGAGGAAACCGAAAGCCAACTAAGGCATTTGGATTTAGCAGATGGGAGCCATGGAAGGTTTTTGAGGGAGAGCAGTGACATGTTCTATCTGTGCTTGGAGGAGCTTCCTCAGGTGGGAGGGGGAGGCTGGATACAGCAGCCTGCAGGAAGTGAGAGAGGTTCTTGGGGAAGAGCATTCGAAGCAGAAGAAACAGCAAGTGCAAAGTCCAAGGTGCCTGATGTGTTTGAAGAACAGCCCGGAGGCCCCAGGGGTGGAGCGGAGTGAGCCAGTGGGGAAGGCACAGAGGAGGAAGTCAGAAATGCAGGAGAGCCAGATCACACGGGACCTCTTACTCAGAGTAAGCGGGGAGCCCTGGAGGGTTTGGAGCGGAGCAGGGACATGACATGATGTGACCTACATTCTGGTGGCAGTCCTCTGGCTGCTGGGTGGGAGAGCCTCAAGGTACAAGGGCGGATGCAAGGAGGCCAGTGAGGGGGCTGTGGCCACAGGCCATGGGAGCTTTTCTGTCCCCTGACCCCTCGTGTAACCTGCCTTCTGGTCTTCCTCTTTTGGGCTGAGCAGAGTGGGGAAGATAGATGGGAGATCAGAGCCTTCACACAAAGGTGATGTGGGGCCAGCCTGGGTGGGGGGTGGGGGTGAGGGGCTGGGTTTCAGATGGGCTAGAATGCAGACAGATCTACGCTGAAAAGAGAGGACATTATGTAGCCCAGAAATATGTACAATTATTATTACGTGTTTATTAAAATTTTTTTAGAAGAGAGTTAAGAGCGGTGATACTCCCAGTGGCAACCGGGACATGTTCAGGACGATGGTAGGGGCTGCTGGCAAGCCTGCTGGTGCCTTTGCCCCTGGCTGGCTTCACCATCAGCAGCAAGCACATTCCACAGCTGATGTTTGGCTTGTGGTCTGGCCTGGCCCTCTGGTTGGTTTCTTCTGTTCTAAAAGGCTTTTAAAGTCCGAATTTGAATTCTCTTTAAGTTTGGGGCATGAATCACTGCTTCTGGGCCTGAAAAGGGGTGGAGGGATAGAGGCTCTGTGCCGTGGGGCGCTCCCTCTCACTCAGGCCCGCACCACTGAGGCACGTCTGTGTGAAAGCTCCCAGTCAAACCACTCCAAGTCCGACTACTCACTTGCACGCTCCCTAGCAACATTCTCCACTGCCTGAGGGCCACCTCCACCTGCCCACGAGCACTGCAAAGTCAACGTTCAGGCCTGACTCAACTTCCCCTGTCAAACCTCTCATCCTCTCATGCCTCTCTTCAGGTTGGTGACACCGTCCTTGGTCTCCCAGACACCTTTCCTTCTCTGGTGACCAGGCCCTGTTAAATTCTATCCCCCTGGGTTCACTCCTTTTGCATCTCACCACCTCATTTCACTCTGGTGTCCCCTTGCTGGGTCGCTGCAGTAGCCATCTTATCATTCTACCTGCTCCCCATCGTAGCCCTGCTGTATCCAGCCTCCCCCTCCCACCTGAGGAAGCTCCTCCAAGCACAGATAGAACATGTCACTGCTCTCCCTCAAAAACCTTCCATGGCTCCCATCTGCTAAATCCAAATGCCTTAGTTGGCTTTCGGTTTCCTCTCAGAGGCCTCAGCCCACTGTTCTGTTCTTACCATTCCTCACAGCACACACTCCGGCATCCTGCCCACCAAACCTCAGGCAGTTTACCCAGGTGAACTCTCTCCCTAACCCTCTTGCTGCCAGACCCAGTCCTTCTTGCATTTACAAATAATCTCTCTCCCACCTCTCAAATCCCAGAGTCCTTTATCTGTAGCTGGCTCACAGTCATTACTTCCTCCCTTGCATTGTAGTTATTTATCCAAAAATCTCTCTCCTGCTAAACCACAAGCTCCTTGAAAGGCAGGAGTTATCTCTTCTCATCTTTTATCCCCCAGAGCATCTCCCAGGGCCTGATTCCAAAGGCTATTGTGCTATTACCTCCTGGAGTGCATGTGCAAAGAAATTGAAGACATCTACCCTGCCCTTAAATAGCTTTCCATTTACCTGGACAGAGAGTTCTTTGGTTCATTCAACACATCTTAACTGAGCACCTGCTATGTCTCGCGCTGTGCAAGACCCGGGGATACAGTGGCTAATTACAGATATGGTCCCTGTTCTCCTGGTGCTCCCTTTTCAGTAGGGGAGATGTCCAGGCAACTGGAATGCTGTATGGCGGGGGAAGTACAGGACACCTTGGAATCACACAAGTGGGGCCCCACCTGACTGATTGAGGAGGTCAGGGGAGGTTTTCAGGAGGAAGTGGCAAGCAGAGACCTGAAGAATAAGTTGGGGGCAGCCAGGAGAAATGAGGCAGAGGGTAGAATCAGACATAGGCAACAACAGGAGTGAAGGCCAGGGACAGCTCAGTGTGTTTAAGAAACTAAGAAGCTCAGTCTCATTGGGGCTGCTGTTGGCGTGTGCAGGTGCCCAAACGTATGGCTCTGTTAGAGGTGAGTCCTGAATGCAGGCCAGGGCTGGCCATTCCTACCTGGTCTGGTTGGCTCTGTCAAAGAGTCTGGACTCAACCCAATGGTTGTAGAGAGCTACTAAGGATTTAAGGAGGAAAGTAAGACAACTCTGTTTGTTTTTGAGCCTCACTTTGACGGCTGTGGAGAAAGCTCTGGATGAATGGGGGCAAGAGGGACAATGAAACCTGAGCTGGGGACCTCAGGGAGGTCCTAGGTGTCCCCCTGCTTGTCCCACCCCGCAGGCCGGCCTCCTCCTTCTTGTTGATGGAGTATTCCTTCCTCACCCAGCCTGGGCTTGGCGTTGTCGGTGTCCCATCCTGAGTCAGGTGCTTCCTTCACCTGAACCCTCACTTCAATTTCAGCAGGGCCCAAGATCACAGGGTTGGAATGACCCTAATGGACTTCGACTAACCCCTGCCAACATCTCTGAGAAACTCAGAGAACCCCCCGCCCCAGTGCCGGTGCATCTGTCTGTGGACAGCTCTGACTGGCATCCTCAGCCAAATCAATTTATCTATAGCTCCTCTTTGGTTTTTCTGGTCTCCCCCTTGGGGCCACACAGGGATCAAGTAGCTTATGCCTTGTAGGGGACATAGAGAGTATCACCAATGAATCACTCCACACCTACCAGCTCCAATCTGCAAAGTCCACCTTGCACTCAGCTTCTCAAACTCTCAAGCTGTGTCTCCAGCCCAACCCAGCTGTGAATCCTGTGGCACTGCAGGCTGGGCAGTTCCAGAAGGACTGAGAGTCAGGAGAACTGGTTAAATCTTGGCTTTACCACTGGTGTTGTGTGACCCTAGGCAAGTCATTTTCCTTCCCTGGAGAGTGTTTGGTTTTTTTTGCTTGACTGGGGCTGGGTTTACATTATACCAGTGATCCTCCATCTTGGATGCCCGTTAGAATTATTGGACAGCTTCAAAAAATGTCCCTGCTGGGCCCCAATGTGGAGAGTGATGATGTGTTCTGGGGTGGGGTCTGCACGACAGTTTTCTTCTACATCATCATTCTCACCCTCACCCAGGATGGAGGACCACTGGATCTGCTGGTCCCTGCCTTCCCTCCTAGTGCTGACCCTCTACAATTCCATGCCAGAATGAGATGCGAAGCCCATGTGGGCAGGTGAACAGGAGTCAACCCTTATTTAGAAGTGCTGACCCTGGAGGACTATGCCAATACAAATACTTGGGGCTGCCGAAAGGCCAGGAATTTTAAGTCCCAGCTTCTCAAGTCTGCCAAGGTGGAAGCTCCAGAGCCCAATGTTGAAGATGCAGAGATCCCCTAAAAAGGTTCCCAAAGCAGTCTTGAGGCAATAACTGGAGACAGAAGTATCTTAATTCCATGGCTTAAAAATGACCTCACAGCTCTGGCGTGTGCCTTTAGAACTGCTCCACAGACACCCCTGCCCTCTGTGTACATCAGTGTTTGGAATGAGCCCTGCAGTCTGTGGGATCTGTGGGGTGCCTTCTCCATGTTTCTTGAGGCAGAGACCGCGCTTTATCTAATTTGGAATTCCCAGAACTTGGAGGTGCCTGGGGCTTAGTGGGCGCTCAGCACATGCTGGTGAAATGGACAGGCCACTTGGTTTTTTATCATCTGTAAAGTGGGATCATGGTGTCTTCCTTGCCAAACAACAGGCCCACGGGGAGAGCCATGTGAGCAGGGCCGGTTTGATGAGCGCTTGGCCTGTACAGTGGCTGAGGGCCTCATGTTCAGAAAGGCCCTGCACTTGGTGAATGCCCTGCTGTGGCCATCTAGAAATTCTTAGTAATTTTAAAACAAGGGGTCTCACATTTTCATTTTGCACTGGGTCCTTCAGATTAAGTAACTGGTCCTGCATGTGTCATATGTGGTTTGAATAAACTCAGAGAACCCTGTCTACAAACTATTGATGGGACTTTATTATGGCCACCAATCTCTGAACGCAGGGGCTATGCATAGTGCCAGGGAGAGAGCAATTCCAGGAGATGGAGAGGGAATGGAGACTGCTTTGTACCCTTCTGCCTGGAGGAGGTGGGGCAAGGGCTTCAGTTTCTCCATCCATCTAATGGACACACCTGTCTCAGCAGGAACTCTGGCCTCACCTGGCCCGGCCTGACTGACAGAAGGAACATTGGGAGTGCTCTTTGCAGACTATCTAGAGCTACGCCCACTTGCCCATTTCACAATTTTTCCATGGCCTTCCTGAGGCCCAGTCCTCTGATCTTCAGGGAAGAAACAGGCCCTGAAAATCCGCAGGGTCAGGATTTCTGGTTGTCTGGCCCAGCTGAGTGATGCTGCTGGGGGAAGAAAGCTGTCAGCCCCAGCTGCGCAGGCAGGAACCCCTTCTCTGTGTCATCCTGTTTGGAAGCCCGGAGTGCATTGCTATAGCAACTTGCCTAATTCACCCCACATGCCACGTGGAAAAACCTCTGCCCGCTTTAGAGCTGCATCACCCAAGCCACAAGCTGGGTTCTTCTATGTTATAGAACGAGGCTGCCCATCAGCAACAAGGGCTGGGGTAGGGGGTATCTGACCAGTGATGGGGCAGGGGGCTAAGTGGTTGGACTACACCAGGTAGGTCTTCCAGCCTCACCTATTTCATCTGCTGGCTGGCCCTGGTGCCTGACATCCCACCATTAGCCCTTTATTCCTTGGGCTCAAGGCACAGCCAGTTGAAATGGAAATCCCTTTGGGTAGAACACATCACGTTGTCATCACTTATTAGTGCGGTTCAGCATGAGTTAACTCATTAGGCCTGAAGCTCAGAGCAGGTTCTGATTAGCGGAATGGGAGCAGGCGGGGCAGACAGGAGAAGATCGCCAAACCTTGACCCTGAGAATGGGCTGGAATGACAGCCCCTGGGAAGTCAGTGTTCCAGAGCACTGGGCACCTGGGGGCAGGTGGCAGAGCCTGGTGGGCCCTGAGCTGGGTGGGGAGAGGGGAGAGGGAGAGACGTTCTCACATAATGAAGCATCATAGGAGGACCACTTCTACCGAGTCAGCATCTTGTTGGAGGAGTCACTGTCTAGCTGGGCCTAGAAGCTGGTGCCCCTGTGGGGGTAGCTGTTTGCATACTGATCTCAATTCCCCAACAATTCCCCAATTCCTCCATTTCTCAGCTGTTGAAGACACCTCCTTTAACAAGGACAACTTACTGTCTTTCTGTGCCCTCAAGTTCCATTTCCTGAAGAGAGTATGGTGCATGGATTAAAAGCAGTGGCCCTTCTAATCCCAGCACTTTGGGAGGCCAAGGCAGGCAGATCACCTGAGGTTGGGAGTTCAAGACCAGCCTGGTCAACATGGCGAAAACCCATCTCTCCTAAAAATACAAAAATTAGCTGGGTATGGTAGCACAGGCCTGTAATCCCAGCTACTCAGGAAGCTGAGGCAGAAGAATCACTTGAACCTGGGAGGTGGAGGTTGCAATGAGCCGAGATCATGCCACTGCACTCCAGCCTGGGCGACAGAGCAAGACTGTCTCAAAAAAAAAAAAAAAAAAAAAAAAAAAAAGGCAGTGGCCTGGGGGTCAGACAAATCCCAACAATGCCTCTTACTCTATCGACATGACCTTGGATGAGCCTTTTAACTTCCTATGTGTAACCTGGAAATGGCAGAATTGTAGCAGTGACTTTGTGCAACTGTAGCAAGGCCTTATTGAGATGTGAGAAAGTGCTTGACACAGTGCCTGACATCAATCAAATATTAAATGATGGGAAGAGTAATAATGCTTCTGTTAGCTGAGGGCTTATTGGGTGCCAGACACTGTTCTCAGCACTTGACACAAATGAATTACATATGGACATTTAACCTGATTGTTGTCCTATGAAGTTGTTATTTTGCCCATTTTACAGTTGAGAAAACTGAGGCCTGGGGGCTTATCCCAGAGTCACCCAGGTAGAAAGGATTTGCATCCGGGCAGTCTAGGTCCTAAGCCCATGCACATGCCAATTATTTCTGCTGCTTGGTGAGTGCTTCAGTGAAGGAGGAAGTGAGAGGCAGCAGGGAGGGGGTTTGGCCTCACTGACTTTTTCCTCCAGGTGGGATTTCACACGTCGTGTGACTCAGATCTTAAGTATATAGTATGAAAACTCTCCATGGAATTTTTTTGCAGCTCACTTATTTTAGATTTACAAGATGACCAGCACCAGTCTCCTCCTCTCCTTCTCCTGTCAGTGGTAACAAACTTAATGGGCATTTGACAAAGAATTCACACAGTTAGGATCTGCATGATGGGGTTGTGGAGGGTCGCCCTTGGACCACAGCTCCTATAGAAAGCACTCCATGCTGAAGATGTGTGGGTGTCTTTGGAGCTCACAGCTGCTTAGGGAAAAGTTCCAAATGGCTATGAATCCTTGGTGGTAGCCTACATACAGTTGGTGGGGAGTGGGTGGGCCTGGAAGGGGACTTCAGTGATGAGGATCAGCAGAGATACCATTTTTGAACCATATTAGAGGATTTTTAAGGCTCATTTTGTAGCTGACCTTCCCTGAGTCAGCCAGAGCCCATCACTGCCTGGGGAGGGTTATGATGGATCCTAGAACAATGTTCGACTTTGACCCCCAAAGTAAGCTCTGGAAGCCCATGGTGAGACAATAACACCCAAAGTCAGGCATTGTGGAGAAGAAACAGGGGCTTTTAAAATTCCCCAAATTCCCTTCTGCATAGCAAGAGCAAAGCCAGCTCAGCTTAGAACATATTTTTATCCTAAGTGATAGGAGCTGGGGGTGTTGGTGGAAGGGAGGGAGAATGCAAGGGAAGGTCCCTGCTGTTAGAAGAAGGAAGAGCTCCCCACTACAGGAGGGTGGAAAAAGAGGTTCAGAGAGGGCAAGGTTGAGAGGTAAGATACTGTCTGAGTTCTTCCAGGGCTCACAGCCCTGTGTGGATGGGCTGGGAATGGTGGGAAGAGCATGGAGATAGACATCCCCTCTCTGGGGGTCCACTGTGGGGTAGAGATGGGGTCATGGTGAGTAAGCAGAAAAAGAGTGAGACTCCAGGGTCTGCTTGTGATATGGAAAGATCCAGAAGCTCCTCAGCTAATGGCAGCTGAGGGGCTTGGCTGTCAAAGTGGGCAATGGGGTGGCAAAGTGACAAACTTTCCCTTCTTCCCTGCTCTCCACTGGGAAGGAGAGGCTGGGAGCAAGTCTTGGACCTCTGGAGCCTTTGTACACCTGTGGTGTCTAGCACTGTGCTTTTCCACAGGTTGCTTTCTGTTGGGTAGGACCCCTACCCACAAGGGCCATGTTGCATGGTATGGGCCTTCTCCTTTTCCACACCACAATACACCCACATCAAGAGCATACTGACTTCAAGACAGCCCCGATGGTAAACAAACAAACAAAACAACAACCCTGAGTTCTTATTATGATCAAGAGTTTGGGCCAGGGCTTTGCGGGAGGGACTAGGAAAGTCTTCACTCATTTGGGGCCCTGGCATGTATGTCTCCTCTGATTCTTCAATGTACTTCCTCTAAACTTCTCTTGAGAACTTGAGTTTGAAAGTTATATCTCTGTGTCCTTAGATCCTGAATAGTCAATATCTTGAGTGCTACTGCTGCTGCTGATGATGTTGGAGAAGACAACCTCCTTGAGTGCTTAATACATGCCTGGCACTTTCTAAGCATTAATCTTTGTGATAACTCTAAGTTCTATTATTACCCCCACTTTGTAGGTGAGGAAACTGAGGCACAGAGCCATGGAGTAACTTGCCAAGAGCACAGAGCCCTAACCGGCAGGGGCTAGGCCAATCCCAGGCAGTGAAACTCCAGGGCCTCCACCCTTACGCTGTGTCTGATCTCACTTTGTGTCTTTATGGGGCCTGGCAGATAACAGGTGCTCAGCAAAGATTATGCTTCTAAGAATCATCACCCTTCCTACAGATAGGTTATGACTGTAAAGCTCTGGTCAATGGATCTCTCTCTTTGGACTTGATTACTTTTTTTTTAGGCTTTCCTGTTAGTTTTGTCTACCCCATCACGCTGTCCAGCCTGCAGCTGGAGCTCTGGGAGAGTAGATGCTCTGAGGTCTCACCCTCAACTTGGCCTCTGACAGGTTCCCTGCCCAGCCAAACTGCCATCACCAGTAGACAAGCTTCCTGGTAATCCTCACATTGAATTCATGTGATGCATGGATGAGGTATCAACATCAGTCCTGTCCTGGAGCCTGAGGAGTGAACCCAATGATCCCTGAGACCCTTCTAGTCTTCAAAGTCCACACTGACCAGAGTGGTTTTAAAATATTCATCATCTTCTTTAACTAGTCTCAGAAAATAATACTCCAAAATATGAACATTCCCACTTTCAGGCCCATGCACACTCTACACACTTTTCCAGGGCCAGTTCAAATGATATCTCCTCCTCCAGGAAGCCTTCCTTGCTTATCTGGCTGAAATTGAACTTCTCTTGTTTGAACACCCAGCCCTTGGTTTCCCCAAGCCATTCACTCCCTGGTGCCTCTGTTTAGCTTTCCCTGGCCTTGGCTTATTCTCAGTTACAGGCAGGACCCAGATTGCACACACGCTAGGGCCCCACCCCCAGCTCCTTGCAAGCAGATGTCATTGTTCCAACATTGATTGATATGTTTAATGAATCCCATATTTCAAGAATGCAACTGACCAGACATAACTCAGGAGTGGTTTTCGCCATATAAGCGGAGCTCTGAGTCACAAATCCTGTGTCTTCAGAGGTCCTTTAATGTCATTCTCTGCCCCCTCCTCCTTGAGTAGCAACAACATTAACAACCATTGATTAAAGCCTACTGTGCACCCAGCCCTGTGTTAAGGGCCTTTCTTACAGTGCCTTAGTGCATCCTGACAACTTTACAGGACACGGAATTTGTGTCTCCATTCTTCACATAAGGAAACCTGTTGGAAAGGTCGCATAACCAGTCCAAGATTGAACAGCTAGCAGGGTGCAGAGCCAGAAGTGGAAGCCAGGTCTGATTCCAAAGCCATTGCTCTTAGCTTCCTGAGGTCCAGGCTGTCCCTAGCCCCTAAGGCAGCCACTCCTTCCCAAGGTTCTGATGCAGCCACCTATCTGGAGTCACACAGGAGTGCGTCTCTTTTCTTGTGGCTGGATCTCCTAGTGATATGAGGACAGTTCCTGGAGAAGATTCTCCCCTCCTGTCTAAACACACCTAAATGGGCTTGGCCTCCTCCCGCAGCTGGCTTCTAGTTGCATATTGGCCTGGTGGCAGTTCTTCCCCTGCTCTCCCTTCCAAGCCCCCACAACTCAATGTATCAATGATTGTTTTAAACTGTGACTCTAGGATTCCACTAGCCAGAGGCCCTTTCAACCATGGGCCCTCTGAGAAGCTCCTCTGTAGGCCGACAGGAGGGTGGACTTGCTTCGCGTGGTACCCGGGGACTGGGGCAAGCGGCTGCGGGATAGGGGTCTCCACCTGAGCTCCCTGAGGGCACCTCTCCCACTACCACCGCATCTGACCCCCACTACTGGCCCCAGCTCGGGCCTGGAGCCCACGCAGAAGGGGAGGCAAGGTTGAGCGCCCACACCCGGCCAGTAACCGAGGCGCTGGCCCTTGCCGGAGCACTTGGCCGTCTTCCGCAGAACAGCATCACTGGCAGCCGCCCCGCGTGGAGGGTGGAGCCGGGGAGCCCGGTGTGGGACGGCCGGGGCCAGGGTACCCTAGGGCGGAGAGCTCAGGGCTGGCTTCCCGCTCCCAGCCGCGCGCCCCTCGGGCCGGAGGTTCCTGCCGCGCCCCGACACCTGGAGTGCATTAGGCGGCGGCGCGCGTCTAGGCGACGGCGGCTTTCCCCAGATTATTGAATAATTGCATAATTCCGAGCGCGGGTTGGGAGGCAATGCCGGGTCCCTACCCCGGGTGTCAGGTAACGTTTCGGGGGTCCTGCGCTGCGCGACTGTGTCCCGCCGCTGCTGGCCGGGCAGACGAGAGCTAGCCCCCGCCTACCGGCCATCGCCCCGGGGCTTTGCTCTGTCTTTGGCCGGAGGCACTCTGCGCAGCCCTCACCCCCACCCTTCAGCCCTCCGGGGCCGCCGCGCCCGGCTCTCCAAACTTTGAGATGCTTCCCCGGAGCCAGGCAGGAGGGCAGCCAGGGCACACTCTCTTGGCGCTGATTCCCTTCCCCAGCCGGGGCCGTGCGCCCTCGGCGCTCCCGGGACACCCGAGTGCCCCTGGCAGCCGTGCGGGAACCCCGGCATGGGCCTTGGAGGCACCTAAGGCGCCCAGGAGGGCCACCAGATCTGGGAGCTTTTCAACTCAAGCCTCTTCAACTCTTCCCAAACACACCAAAGAGTCCCGGCTTTCAATAGCCTTCGCACCTCCCTCTTTAGCGAAACTTGACTGAACCGCTAGACTGGGGCCAGTCCCTGGGGGACCCACGTCCCCAAGAGCAGCTGAGGTCTGACCCTGGGAGGAGGGTCGCGTCCCGATCCTGGCCGCTGGATCCAAGCCCCGAGGGCCCAGGGAGGGACTCCGAGAGGCAAGGGGAGGCAGAGGGTGGGCACCTACCTGGCCACAGGCTGAGCGCCCAGGCCACCACCAGGCCCCTGGGCAGGTCCATGGCCCGCGGCACGGCGGCTGGGTCCGGTGTGCAGCGGCGGCGGGGGGCGGCAAGCCAGAGCGGCAGCCTCCTCGGCGCGGCGCCTGCAGCCTGCACTGCGCGGGGCGCCGGGCTCCCTGACAGCTGCGGCTCATTCAGAGGAAGTGGGAGGGCTCGAGCGGAGGGGAGGGGCGCCGGACACCACTCCGGCTCGGGCTCTGGGCCAGTCTCGGCCGCTCTGCCACCTGGGCAGGCGGCGCGCTGCCTCGACGCGCCTGTGCAGCGCTCCTTCTCCGCCAACCCCACGTCAGCCTCTGGAGAAAACTCCAGAGAACCGCTCCTGGGAACCCCCTCACCAGTGTAGCACCGCACCGCCTCAGTCAGATTCTGTTCAGGAAAAGTGGTTTTTATTCCCATTTCCCAGTGAAAAGAGATTCACAAAACTCAGAGGGTACCCAAGCTGGCTCAGGAACACCTGCTGGAACGCAGGTCTCCCTTGGCCAAGTGAGTGGATGTCCCTCAAAGGTCCATTCTAAGACATCCCCGTGTCTCCCTGCACCCTGCGGCTTGAATTGTAGAGGCTAGTGTTTCTTCTGACCCTGGAATACATGCAGATTCGCCTCCACTGCCACTCCCTGAGCCTCCACACCTGAGGCATTCCAAAGCACCCAGGGACACCGTGCACCCCCTCTTAACCTAACGTGAAGCTCTTCTTTGTAACCCTGCCACCTTCTTTCCCTCTTCTAATCACTGGTAGTTAAATTCAATGCACATTTATCTCAAGAGCTTTAAATCCAGGCCCCGGACCTCCACCGCGCTTGTGGAGGCTTTTCCAGCAATGGAGGAAGCCGAGGCAGAGGGTAGGAAGGCCAAGATGCAGGGAAAGCCACAGCAGAGCGCCCTTCCCCCACTTTCTCAGGAAAGGCTTCCTTCACCCCCTCTTCCCGTCCCCACCAGGTTGAGTCCCAGACACATGCTGATATTCCCCAGCCCGCTCTCCCTCATTTCTCTTCATTGTGCTTAGTAGAGAAGCAAGGCATCAATTGGTGTGATCATTTAACTTTTCTCTCCTGTGCAGACTGAAAACACCATCAGGGTAGAAATCTCTGGTTCACAATGGAGTACTCAGCCCCTAACACCCAGGAACAAAGTAGGTGGGCGGGTGGATGGATGGGTGAGTACAGGTGGTGTGTGGGTGCACAAAGGATAGAGTTTTCTATCTGGGAGGTATTGGAAGGGCTTCCCAGAGGAGGTGATGTTCAGTCAGGGCCCCTGAAGATGAGCTGGAGTTTGAGAAGACCCAGGTTCACATAAGTGAAGTGGGCTTGTGCTCGTCTCCCAACCTCACTATCTTTCGGTTGGCTATCTGGGTTTTACTTCATCTTCACCTCACCCATTCAGCCACAGACTCGGGGAAGGTGATTCCGTCCCTGGTGTGTGTGTGTGTGTGTGTGTGTGTGTAAGGAGGCATGCGGTTCAGGCTGAAATGAATCAGTATGTTGCCCTTCCCAGCCCATCGTTTCAGAAAGGGCAATATGACAAAAGAAAAAGTTTTTTTGGGAAGCAAGCTTTCTTGCCTTTCTAAAAGAGCCCCTAGAACAAACAAACAAATGAACTAACTCTCTCTCCTCACCTCTCCCACTCCTGCCTCCTCTCCCAGCCTGGGACAAGGAACTTTGTAGGCTCAGAAGTTGACAGGGTCAGGGTAGGGAAGGAGGATCTGGCCTTGAGATGAGGTGGACACTGGATGACAGAATGGAGGATCTTGTTGAACTCCTGAATGAAGCCACCCCTTAACCCCACTCCCCTTGGGACTTATCAGTTATACGACAGTGAGTCCTCTTCACTGAGTTGAGTTTAAGCCAGCTGAGTTGAATGTAGAACACCCCTACAGCTAGGGAATGGGCTGCAGCCCACATTCCTGCCTTGCACAAATCTCCAGGTGCATCAGAACGACCTGGAGCACGTGCAAAGAATGCAAATTCCCCAAGGATCAGGGCATGCTGGTGGGTGCCCCAGGCACCTCTGACGTGTGGGTGGTCTGCAGCTTGTGCTCAGAGTCTGCATGCTGCTTGCTGAAGGGGCGCACTGTAGTGGCTGTCCTAGCTGCGCTGCTGCTGGTCTCGCTGGTAACAATTCTACCATTCATTCACCTTCACCGTCCTCACAGGTGCCTGGGGAATGGGGGTCCTGAGGATCACTCTGTGTGCTTTTGTGTAATGTGGGAGGGTGAGGGGAGAGGTGTGCCCTCATTTGTTCTTTCAACAGATCCTACAGAGTGCCTACTGTGCCCCTGTGCTCTGTAGGACACACGGAAGGAGAACCCCACACTAGGGCAGCTGGTGATGGAGCTGAGGAGACAAGACATAACCATGTATTTATTTAATCATAATCTGTTATTTATTAATCTATTTAAAACCATTTATTATTTCATCACTATTAAACATTATTTAAATCACACCCAAGGCAGCAGCATATGAGTGACAAGTGCACAATCCAGACTCTAAGGCTGGAGAACTGCAGAGAATTTGGTGAAGGGCTTTATGAAAGCTGTGATTTCTGTTGAATAATAATAATAACTCTTTACATGTACACAGTGTTTTAACTGATTTATTTATTCACATGCCATAAACTGTGCCATAGAATCCAGTAGTTGTTAGTATATTCACAAGATTGTAAAATCATCCTCACTAATTTCACAATATTTTTATCACCCCAAAAAGAAGCCCTGTAACCATGAGCAGTCACTCCCCATTCCTTCCCACCAGTCCCTGGCAACCACAAATCTATTTCTATGGATTTGCCTATTCTGGACGTTGCATATAAATGAAATCATATAATACGTGACCTTTTGAGTCTGGCTTCTTTCCCTTAGCATGATGTTTCCAAGGTTCATCCATGTTGCAACATGTATCAGTATTTCATTCCTTTTTATTGCCAAGTAACATTCCATTGTATGGATCTACCCCCTTTTGTTTATCCATTCATCAGGTGAGGCTTATTTAGGTGTTTCCACTTTAGGTTATTGTGAATAATGTGGCTATGAACACTTGTGCTGCCGGTCTTGCTGGTAGCAGTTCTACCATCCATTAACATAGCATAATGTTAGCATAATGTTCATACAAGTTTTTGTATGAATGTATGTTTTCAGTTCTCTTGGGTATACACCTAGGAGTGGAATTGCTGATCATATAGTAATTTTATGTTTAATCATTTGAGGAACTGCCAAACTATTTTCCACAGTTGCTACATCATTTTAGATTCCTACCAACAATGTACAAGTGCTATGTATAGTGTTTTACTATTTTTGAAATCCCTTTCATATCCATGATCTAATTTAATACTCATCTTGTACAAAATTGTATTTATTTTTTATAGTAAAGAGATTGTATAGTTGAAGATTCTTTCACTTGCAAGTGACAGAAATTCAACACAATCAAACTGAAGCAGAAAATAGAATGTAAAAGGTCATGTAACTAGGAAGTGCAAAGGTGTTCTGTCTGCAGGTGTGGCTGGATCAAGGGTCTCAAATCAATGTTACTGCTCTCTCTCTGTCTTCTCTTAGTTTTGCTTCACTCCATTTTCCTTTCCTGCAGCAGAAGAGTTTCTCTGACTGTCTAGCAGTCCCAAGCTTATACTTCATAGATTCTGAAGGGAGAGAGACAGCCTTCCTTTAGTAGATCCAGCAGAAAAGTCTAGGGCTTTGGTTCATGCCCACCCCTGAACCAGTCCTAGTGTCTGGAGGATATGGTGCTATAATTAGCTCAGTTTGGGACACACACCCAGCCCCATGACTTGGGAAGAGAAAGGCGCCATGACTGACAGCCCCATCAAAACCACATATTACAGGAGAGGACTTTCCTAAAGGAACCAGAAAAAGTGGGATGGCAAAGTATACTGGACAGACAAATCCATGGTTACTAAAAAATCTAAGCTCAAAGTAGCAATAGATTCACGCAAGATTCCACATCATCTATGAGGCAGAACTGAGATTGGAACCCAGCATTCTGAAAGCAGATTGAGTATTAATCCCAACATCCCAACTGGGTGGAGGGAGCGGGTATTTCAGGCCAAGACTGCATGAGCATGGTCAGCTCAGAGACAGGTCCTATTGGCAACTTCTGTGGCTCCCAAGATTTCAGTCTGAGCATGCTCCTCTGGGAGGACCTTGGCTTCTCTATGGAGGGAGAACGAGCAGTGGTCTGGAGTACTGATGACAGAGGCCTTGGCTCAGTTAGGACCAATGCTTTTTTTTTTTTTTTTTTTTTGAGATGGAGTCTTGCTCTGTCACCCAGGCTGGAGTGCAGTGGTGCAATCTCAGCTCACTGCAACCTCTTCCTCCTGGGTTCAAGTGATTCTCCTGCCTCAGCTCCCCAAGTAGCTGGGATTACAGGCGCCCGCCACCATGCCTGGCTGATTTGTGTGTGTGTGTGTGTGTGTGTCTGTATCTTTTTTTTTTTTTTAAGTAGAGATAGGGTTTCACCATGTTGGCCAGGCTGGTCTCCAACTTCTGACCTCAAGTGATCCACCTGCCTTGGCCTCCCAAAATGCTGGGATTATAGGCAGGAGCCACCATGCCTGGCCACAATGCACTCTTCTTCCAGAAAAGTTATTGGGGTGCCCTGATCTGCACTCATTTCAGAGAGGTGCCTCTCTCTTTCTACTCTTTCTCTGAGTTTTTCACCACTTTGACCTTGGGTGATCAATTGTCCTGGTTTGCCTGGGACTAAGAGGTTTTCTAGAATATAGGACTTCAGTGTCAACACTGGGGGACAATCTCTGACAAACTGGGATGAACTGGTCTCCCTGTGTCTATCTTGGGCCTTCTGTCTCACTTTCTCCAACTTTCTTTTCCAATACTCCCCACTCTCTCCCACTCTCTGGTTATTTCTCTCCACCCTTCTCTGTCCTGCTCCCAGGTACCTCCAATGCAGCCAGTCTCCATAATCAGCCTGGGGGCTCCACCTTGAGGCACTCCCTGGCTTCTAGGCTCCTTTCTGCCCTTGCGGTCCCCCTCATGGATCCCACCTCCTCTCTGTACTATCAGTTGGTTTGTGCTTAGGAAATGCAAACTTTTTTTCAAAGATAAGCGTAAGCAAGCTTACAGTTACTGAGAAGGCACATCTTCTGCCAAAAAGTGATATAATAAATCCCAAAGGGAAAAGGAAAAAAAAAAGTAAAAAAAAAAAGCCACCAGATTGCCTTGTTATCTGCTGTTTGAATGATGCATGCCACCGTTTTGGACCAATGACTTCTGTGATAGGAAGTGGCTGCATTTGTCATGCACAAGTGTGCTTAGAGGGTGTCCCTTGGTTTTTATTTGTCATGCCAGGTCTCATCCCCACCAACAAAGTGAAGCAGGTTAACTTTGAAGAAGTGTGTTTACACCAGTAGTGTATGTTTGTCCCAGCCACTTTCCGCTTCAAAGTCTAATCCGAAATGTTAGAGCCGGGTGGATGCTGCCATTCTTCCTAATCCTGTGCCTGCGGGTCAGTGACTGGAATTTCTACAAGGATCAAGCCCTGTACACAACCTATACTGAATCTAGAAAGTTATTTTGTGATCTCCATTTCTCAAGCCACAAGTATATACAGCATTTGCAGTAAAGATATCAAAGGGAAGGAGCATGGCCACAGCACAGACAGACACGCAGGATGGATAAGGAAACATCTCTTTGAAGAAAAAGTATGTCAAAGGGTATGAGAGAATAGAAATTGCTTTAAAAGTCTAGAGGTGTCAGTGGATGTTCCAGCTGAGAGGTCATTTCTGATGGGGTTTAGCTGGGCTAAACCCTTGACATTGGACCGGACTGGAAGAGCCACATCAGAATTGAATGTCACTACAGCGATGTGAAGAATACCTTTAACTGAGAAGTTAATATGGGCTAACTGCAACTCTTGCATCATTTCGTTTAGTCCTCAGCACCACCCAGGGGGTTTCCAGGACTTCCATCCTGGTCCTGGGCTGGGCTGAGATGTCTGAGAGAAGCCATGAAAGTGAAGGTCTGGATGCAGTGCACAGGGGTAAAGAGGACAGTCTTGGGAAGCAGTCATGACGTGAAACAAGACATGCAGCAGAGTGAGGAATTCCCACAGTGCATAGGGTTCACGGCCAAGGGTGCAACTTGGTAAGGGAGCAGGAGTTGAGCCATTCTATTAATGCATTTACCAGACACTCTCCTGGGGTTAGAGTGACAAACCAGATGTGTTATTGCCTCTCCACAAAGCTCCTAATCTAGGAGAGGAGACAAACATGAACGGTAATAATCAAAACAACACCTCCCATTTATTGATCACTTATGGAGCTGGATGCTTTCCTCACATTTCCTTTAATCTTCATGACAGCCCTACAAAGTGGTGCAATTATACCTGCCTTTTACAGAGGAAGAACTTGAGGATCAGAGAGGTAAGGTTTCAGAACTTGTAAAAGGAAGACCCAGGATTTGAACCTGGTCTTGCCTGATTCCAGATCCCAAGCTCCTAACCACTTGGTTTCGTTGCTTTTTGGCACTGGATGGTAAATGGGACTGTGAGAAGGGCTAAAATAGAAGTGTGAACAGAGAGCCAGAGAAGCACATAGGAGGGCCAGAGAAGGAGGTCACCTCAGAGTGGGCCTTGGTAATAGGAGTTTTTCAGAGGTGACGTGAACATTCTAAGTAGAGGAAATGCAAGCCTACCAGAGTCTGTGCAAAAGAGTCAGCATTTGAGCTGTTTCCAGGGAGTGAGGAATAGTCAGAGGTGGCAGAAGTGTGAGAACAGCGTAAACCCAAGTCTCAGGTTCCCGCCCCTTTAAGGGTAAGCTCCCTCTGGTGTATTTGGAGAAAGGGAGTTTGCCTCATGATTCCTAACTCCTGACTTCCTTGGAAGCCACTTCTTTGGTCTAAGTCTGGTCAACTATTAAGTCTCTCCATTGGCAGAGGAGGCAATGTGCACATTTGCCCCCTCTCTTTCAGTGGGCTTTCAGTGGGCATGATGGGAACACACACACACACACACACACACACACACACACACACACACGCATGCATGCATGCATGCATACATACACATGCAGCAATAATAAACAATATTCTTCAGATCCAACACAATCAAATCCATGTTAAAGAAGAGAAACATTTCCTTAAGTAAACCTCAAAGGTACAGATGACCCCGTATATTTTGAAGATACCATTTTCCATTATTTTTCAGAGCAGTGTTGGTTCTTTCTACCACTTTCAGATGTTGCCTAAAGGTTATGAGCCATTGCAGCCAGCATTGTCTCAAATGCCAGGGACAGATCCCCTGGAGGACACTCTCTGGCTATAAATAAGGTTCTGATAAAGTTTTACATTTTAATCTTTTTCTTTGGGGATGATCAAATTTTTTGCGGGGTTGGGGGGAAGGAGTGATAAAAAGACAAGAGTTGAAAAATAATTTGGAGTCACATTGTGGGGGATTTTTAATGTCATAATGAGGAGTATGGCTTTCATTTGATAGGTAATGAGAAGCCTTTGGAGATTTTTGCAGGAGGTGGGGGAGACTAGGGTAGGACTGCGTCCACGCCAGTCAGAAGGACAGAAGCCTGTGGCCTTTCTACCAGTTGAAGAAGTTTCTGTGAAGGAGGTGTCATTGCCTCATGGATCATTTTTCAGATGCCTCCTCACACTCCCTGAAGGCATCTTGTGCTTTCATAGGCATCACTTGAGCTCCCATAAAGATGACGTCTTTCCCCACCTTGGGCTCCACAGGTGCTATGTCCTCTGCTCACCCAAGCGCCCTGCATCACCCCGCAGCCCTGCTGCTCATAGGATCAAACCTGTGCCCTGCCTGCCCTTCAAGGCCCTATTTAATGGGGGCTTACTCCTGCCTTCCTTATTTTCTTTCCTAACTCTCTCCAAAACAAACCACACACTCCTCTCTGGGTAGTACCCAGCATCCCCTGAATATGAATAACAGGACCTATAACCATGACTGATGAAGTCCTGACCGTGGACCAGGCACTGTGCTGCATGCTCTACCTGACTTCATTCAATCCCTCAGCATACCGTGGGTCTTTTTATTCCCACTGAATGGATGGCATTGAGTCTCTGTCAACACTCCAATATATTCCCTTGGCATTCACCATTCCTGTGAAAGCCAGATCTTATGGCCTCCAACTATAAGCCCAAGGGTGTTCTCCAGCCCCTGGACCACCTCTCAGCAGACTGGGCATGGTGAGGCATTAATGGGAGCAGTCCTCAACCAGTGACCGATGGGAGCTGGTGGACAGGTACCCCAGCTCCCTCCCCTCCAAGGGACCACTCTGAGGTGTGTTCTCCAACAATCTCCAAAGAGTGCCCAGTGGGATTGCACCCCAGTCACCCAGAGTGGTAACCTGCTCACTGCTGCACCCTTAGCTTCCTTCCTTGTCTTATTTCTTCATTGCCTTGACAGTGCTCTCTGGGATCACTTCCTCCAAAAAACAACTTACACTTAAGCCCTTATATCAGAGTCTACTTCCAAGAAAGCCCAACCTATGGCAAACGGTTTAGAGAAGTGAAGCAACTTGCCCCAATTTTTGTAGCGAGAAAGTGGCAGTGTCAGGATTTGAACCCCAGAGTTGAGGGAGCAACACTGATAGTGCCTCCAAACCATGCTAATTATATTGCCTCCAGACTTGCCTACATCTGTCCAAGCAACTGGGATGTCTGGGAATGCCAGAAACTCTGCTGTTTGAGTTTCTGGCTCTGGGTACACCCCTTGAAAAAGAATATCCTCTTTGGGAAGTCGATTAACCTATTAAACTAATATCAACCACTCACCTGTAGTGTGAACTTATTTATCACATCCTTTTCTTCCCCAAGTTCCCTGAACAGAGGAGGAGTTTTAATAGGGAAGAGAAAAGATATGATTTTTTAGTGAGTGTGGGTCAGGAGCACCAGCTCTCGTGCAGCTCAAGGGTCCAGGAGGAGAAAGTAGACCTTCAGAAAGGCAGCTGAGGGAATGATAAAAATTAGCGTGTTATGTTTCTCCATTTAGCTGAGAGCTGGTCCTAGCCTTCTGGGCTGGTGACCTCAGTCTGGAAGGGTGTGCAGGAATTTCTGAATATCACAAGTTGCATAACTGATCTTGGAATTTGAAGAGCAGAAGATAGGGGAACACAACCCAAGACAAACCATAAAAAAGTTCCTAACAGTATGAGCACTAATGAAACCCACTAGCTAATCTCCACCTCCAGCCAGCCTTGTTAGTCAGCCTCAGTAGCCCAGTTGCCAGAAGATAAAAAAGATGCAGCCATCCTCTACTTCCCCTTCATCACAGGATTGAAGGGCTGGCCTTGTTCCTGGGATCAAATGCCGCCTAGGCTGGGGCAGCCACCAGTGGGTGCCGGCTTAGAGACTGCTCATCTACACTTACTTCTGCAAAGAGGACAAACTTCTTGCTCTTCCAGGGAAGGTTCTCCCAGACTACCCCAGCTGCTCCTGCTCATCCCCAAGCATGTCCCAGAAATAAACATATCCCAGGAAATTTGCAGCTGGGGGCAGAGGCCAAGTGGTGGTGTGGAGGAGGGGTGGAGGTATGATGTGTGTGGGTGTTTTAGTTAATGTTTGGGTAACAAATGCTTCTGTGAGCATTTTTTCTCTGCTGAGCGTTAGTGAGAAAAATGTGGGTGCAAGTGTTGGGCTTAAGGCCTCTTGGGAGTGTTCCCCTCAGAGAAGGCCAAAAATCAAGCATCATTTGGAGGATTATTGCAAGGGAAATGGAGCTAGCATTTTCCCTGGTCTTTGCAGAGCCTCAAAACAGGCTCTGCAAATGGCTGATGGCCTCTGAAGTTGCTCCTGGGGCTGCTGGCTAGGAAGTTTAGTAGTTAAACATAGGCTCTGTGGTCAGAGAGACCTGGATTAGAATCCCAGCCTGGCCCCTCAATAGCTGGGTGACTTGCCACTTACAACAATTTACTGCCTATAAAATAAAAATGATAAAACAGCAAACTCTTACAGAGTGCCAGATGCACTTCTAAGCACTTGACATACATTAACTCATCCAATAATCACAGCTCTATGAAGTTGGTGTTATTGTTATTCTCATTTTACGGATGAAGAAACCGAGGCACGAAAGGAACCTTATCTTGCTCAAGGACACTCAGCTGGTAACATGGTGGGGCCTGGAGATGGTGTCAAGCAATCTGGTTGCAGTGCCCTTGACCGCTCTGCATCTTGGGCCACTGTGAGGAAGAGATGAAACACAGCCTTGGAAGGGCTTGGCACAGTGCCTGCCACATGACAAGCTCTCAATAAATGTTAGCTGTTATTATTAACAACACATGAAACAGCATGCAACAGACTAGTTGAACTCTCTGCATCATTTTGAGATTCTTAACAATGACTGACATTTGTTTAGCTCTGTATATAATTCAAGGGGCTTTCCCAATTATGTCTCCCGTAACCCTCCCTGAAGCCCTGTGAAGGCAGTGGGCAGTTTACAATGGGCTTGAGAAGGTCAGTAACTTGCATAGGGTCCCACACCAGCTCTCCGGTCATTCCATCCTTCATTAAGTGTATTGATATCCCAGAAGCAGAATCACACAACGTGTGGGATGAAAAAAATCCCAAAGCATCATCAATATGTGACCCTTTAATGTGTTTAACTCAGATTCTATTGACACAAACATTTTGATACTCAGCTGTATAAACTGTGATGCAACAACAATTTATCAGTTATTTATATTCTAACTTTTTGCAATAGGGATCTGAAGGGATGACAACAAAAGTGGATACCACAAACATAAAATCACCTGAAAATCAAATAAAATAGGAGATCAAAAGTAAAGCAACAGAACTAACATTTTTACAGCATTTTCCAGTTTATAAACACGTGATCTCATTTCAACCTCATGACAACCCACTGCTAGACATTAATGTGCCACAAATTTGGGCTTAGAAGAGCTACTGTCATAGAGAATATAGGACTACGGCCAAACCTCCTGCCCTGATGGAGTTTTGCCTGTGTGCTTTTGCCAGTTACTAAGAGAGTAGTGTTAATGTCAGTAACACTCCAGAGCTAGAATGCTTGGTTTCAAATCTCAGCCCTGATACTTTACCAATTCTGTGACTTTGGGCAAGTTACTTAAGCTTTCCGTGCTTCAGAATTCTCACCTAGTAAGTGAGGGTGCCTACTGCATGCCACAGTTGTGAGGGTTGAATGAGCTAGCACATGTGAAGTGTGTGGAAAAGTGCTTGGCCCATAGTTAACAAAGTGCTATTTTCTTATAACAAAATAAGCAAAATTATCTCCCTCAAATATTGTAGAATTGTGTCTCTCCTTGTAGTTCTGTTGATTTTTGCTTTATAGATGCTTAGGCTAAGTAGTTAGATGTGTACAGATTTTGAATTATCATATCTTCTTAGTGATTGAACCTTATATTATTACAAGGGTCTTTATTTTTAATAATGCTTTTTGCCTTACAGTCTATTTTGTCTGATATGAACACGTTTTCACTGCCTTTTTTCAGTTAGTGTTTGCATGGACTCTCTGTCATTTCCCACTCTTTTCCTTTCAACCTTTCTATATCTGTGTTTTAGACCTATCTCATGTAAGCAGCATGTAACTGTTTTTAAATTTAAACTCTTCAACTTTTTTTAAAATTGGAGCACTTAGTTTATTTACATTTAATTTTAATGCCTCTATACTCACCTTGAAATCTACTATCATAGGATTTTTTATTTGTCCTGCTTGATTTATACTCCTTTTTCTTTGTTTCTTTCTTTTGGATAGATCATTTGTAATTATTCTATTTCCTCTCTGCTATGTTGGAAGTAATCAACTCATTTGCTATTCTTTAATGTTTCCTTGAGACTCCAGCATGTATGTTTGCTTGATAAAGCACTAATATTAATTTTATTATAATTTTTGTCCTCCTCTCAGACAATGCAGGGGCCTTGGAACATTTACCCCACAGTTGCTACCCTCCTGATTCAAAAACAATTATTTTTGTTTATTCTCTCTGTATTTTAAACCCCAGGAGATATTTTTTTTTGCAGCCAGTCAAAATTTAGATTTATCTACATATTTACCATTTTTCTGGCTTTTCTTTCATCTTCAACTTTCCATATGGGTTCATTTTTCTCCTGCCAGAAGAATATTATTTAGTGTTTCCTTTAGGACTAGAGTTTCTGATGTCAAATTCTCTCCGTTCTTGTTTGTATGAAAATGCCATTATTTCATTTTTATTTTTGAAGGATATTTTCTCTGGGCACAAAATTCTAGACTGGCATTGTTTTTTCTTTTAGCACATTGAAACTATCATTTCATTGTCTTCCAATTCTTGTTTTGGTTGAAAAGTCCATTTTCAGTTTAATCCTTGCTCCTTTGAATGTAAAATGTCTTTTTTTTCTCTATAGCTGCCTTTAAGATTTTTCTTTTTAATTTTGGTTTAGAGAAACTTTGCTATGTTGTGGGTTTATTTTTACTTATTCTCCTGAGATTAATTTGGCTTCTTTTATCTGTGGATTTAAGCCTTTCATCAGTTTAGGACAATTCTCAGTCATTATCTCTTCAAACATTGTGTCCATCTCATTTTCTCTCTCCTCTACCACTGGGACTCCAACTAAACACTTGTCAGAATTTCTAACCAAATCTTATTGTATCTCATCTTCTCCTTGCATTTTTCAATTTGTTCTTCCTATTGTTCATTCTGGATATATTCTTCTTCTCTATCTTTCAACTTATTAAGTCTTCCTCAGCTGAGTCAAAATCCATTCTTTAAGCTCTTAATTTTGATTATTTAATTTTTTAGTTTAAAATTTTCCATCTGGTTCTTTACAAATTCTCTGGTAAAATTTTAAATCTTGTCTTTTATCTACTCAAACACAGTAAAAATTATTATTTTAAAGTCTGGGTCTGAGAAACTGGAGTCCTTATGATTTATTTATATTGTATGTTGTTTCCTCTGATGTATATATATATATATATATATGTATATATATACACACACACACATACATGTATATATATGTATATATATACATACATATACATATATACATACATATATACACACATACATGTACATATATAATGTACATATATACGTGTGTGTGTGTGTGTGTGTGTGTGTATATATATATATATATATATAGTCTTGTTCCTCATGTGATTCATTATCTTTGTGCACAGGTCATTGTACTTGAAAATTGTTTGTAAAAAATAAATTGAGAACTTGAATTTTATCTTCCAAAGATAATAATTTGCTTCTGCTAGGTTCTTGACACCACTCAGATCACCTTAATCCTGTTAATAATGTTACAGAAGTTGAGACTTTTTTGGGTACCCAGGCATTTAAAGGCTGGGTTACAGTCTATGTGAGGACTGGTGTACTGACAGATCCCTCTCACTCTTAGGGCAAAGCCCTTTAGGGTTTTAAGGTGTTAAGGATTTACTGTGATCCCCACTTTGGCAGACCCTGAACTACAACTTTTTCTCCTACCCACAAATACCGTCAAAAATGTTTCCCAGTCTCAGCCACATCTTCCAGATTTGCAAATGCCTCCAGGGCAAAAGCAGCCCCAAATGCCAGGCTTACGTCTTTGAGTTTCCTTTCTCTTTCAGATCTCAGTCCAGTAATTCTTTTTACTACCTTAATAGTTTTCTCATTCTTTCAAGCTGAGTTTTGGAAAATATTTTGTCCAGTTTTTTAAGTTCCCTTTACAGGAAGAATTTACCTAGATTACTCAAGCTTCCAAACTTGGAAGTGAAAATCAAAATATGACAATGTCATTTCCTAATGATGGCCTTTGATAATATCTCATAAAACTCAGCAAGAATCTTCTGGTGAATCTTCTAGAATTTCCAATTCAAAACCACCTACTGCTGGCATAGTGATTTTATTCGGTCTTATCTAATAACAACTTGAGGACTAGGAGATTTGTTCATTCATTTATTCATCACATATTTGTTGGGTGTGTGCTATGTCCCAGGCACAGATCTAGGGAGCACAGACACCCTCCCTCTCTCAAAAAGTTTAATGTCTAGACAGAGAGAAGGACAAATTAAAAGAAAAAAAAAGCTACAACTGAAATGACATGAGAGATTGACAGGAAAATTGACAACTATCGATTGCAATAGGAAGAGGGTAAGAGTGCCAAATACAGGAAGGATTACATCAATTGTGATGCTTTGTCTTCAAGCTCCAGAAAACTGAACCCAAATGGGCTTAAATAATGAGTGAATGTATTATCCCTGAAAAAATAAGAAGTGAAGAGGTAGAGGAAATTCAAACAGAGGTTATCACAACCCTAGCTCATCTTCTGCCCTCTCATTGTCCTCGGGCTGGTCCAAGACGGCAGCTAGAGTTCCACTGAAATATATCCATCATGGTGACATCCACAGGAAAAAAGGGAAACTTCCCAGAAGCCCCTGGCACACCTCTCCTCACTTTTCACTGGGCAGAACTGGATCCCATGCCTGTACCGATCATTGGCAAAGGGAATAAAATCACCTGATGGACTTAGAATAGTCATGATCTGTTCATGGCTGGGGATGGGGCCATATTACTTTGAGTCGGCTGTAGGAGAGGCTAATTCCTTAACAAAATTTAGGCTCTGTTGGGAAGGAAGAAAGAAGGCGCAGAATGGTTTTTGGGCAGGCAGCCAGCAGTGTCCATCTCAAACGGTTGATAGGAGAAGTGGGACATCACCAAAGACCCACCCTCATTCCACAATCCTCCAGGGTCCTTTACATATGCATTCTAACATGTTCTTCAAAAATAACCATGCAAATCAATAATAATGGTCATTGAGTTGTTACATATGTTAACTCATTCAGTCCTCATTTTATAATGGCAAAACTCAATCACAGAGTGTTAAGGAGCTTGTTCAAGGTTATGTGATTGGTGAAGCCAGGATTTAACCCTAGTTAATCTGGTTCCAAAGTTAATGACTTTAACGTCTTTGACCAACTGCCTCTCGTGAGGTATAGGGAGATGAGAAATTTCAGATGAGAAAACTGAGGTTCAGAAATGTGAAGTCCATTCATCTGTTTATCCACCCAATGAAACTTCGCTTTAATGTTCCAGGTGCTGTGCTACGCCCTAGGAATGCATTATTAGCAAGGCACTGCCTGCGACCTTATGATGCCTATGGACTAGTGGGATGATAATTATTGGACTACTGTGAGCAATTTGGCACAAAGTGAAGAATGTAAGCTCTAGCATCAGATGCCTGGGTTCAAGTCCCAGCTTCCTGTCTCACTAGCGGTGTGACTTTGGGCAAATTTCTGTTTTAGTCACCTCCACTTCACCCCATTGGTGAGGGGGAGATTACCTCTCTAGGATTATGGGAATGGCTGAACACATGACACCCGACACAGGACAGGTGAGGTCCACAGCAGTTTATTAGTCACATGTCCTTACAGTCTGGGGGATGAGTCATGCCACATAGGGCCACACAGGGGCTACATTCAGAAACAGAGTGAATAGCAAGGGCTGAGGGAGGCAGGCTTTGTAGTATCAAGAGGGCGAGGTGCCTCCTGGTTCCTACAGGATAGTGTGATTGGTTTGTTTGAATAATTCCAGGGTCTGGCAGAGAACTAAAACCCACTATTTAGGGATAAGGAGAAATTCCACCTGGCCCTCTTGATAAGGAGGGTAGTTTAGCTGGGGGACATTATCCATCGGAGCATACTGGGAAGGGGAAGTGGCAATTGGGCCATTTGGGGCCTGTGTGATTTCACCACACGTCAAGACAGCACATAATACTGAACCTTAATTTCAGGTCTTATACTATGGTTTCTTAACTTTGTTGCACCTTTGTTTCTCCATCTGTAACATGGGAACAATAGTGCCTAAATCATTTGTTCCTTGTGAATTTTGAATGAGGCATTGTGGATTAAGCATTTAAGGCAAAGACTGGCACATGGTGCATGTAGCTGCTACCAAGTGCCAGACCTGGCCTAAGGGACTTGGATAAGCTCATATGGCTGGTGAGCAGTGAGCTCAGATTCAAACATACATCTTTAAAAATATATATAGTTTAGATTGAGAGGGTACATGTACAGGTTTGTTACATGGGCATATTGTGTGATGCTGAGGTTTGGGTTTCTAATGACCTTGTCACCCAAGTGGTGAATCAACATCCATCTTTTGTTTCCAGGTGCTGGGAACTTTCCACTACACTGACCTGAGATCTTGTTCATTGGGAAAGTGCTGGCTTGTTTATCCATTCATCCCTCCCTCTAAACATGAATGCATCTGTTCACTCACTTGTTCACTCATTCAACAGACATTTAATGAGTGCATCCTATGTGAATGGTGCTGGCACTGTGAAGATGGCCTTTTAAAAGCTCACGGTCTGATGGAGGAGACAGCCATGATGTGGGCACAATACAGTGTGATGGGTGCTAGACCACAAAAGGTCAGTGCCAAGGACAAACCAAGGGAAGAACCTTTGTATGTGAGGTGTGGGTTGTAAAGACTCTGGGAATATACTCCAGAGACACCAGCTGAAATATCTTCTTCCTCCCCCGTGACAGCTGGGTCTGATGACTCCTCTGTTACACACTGGAAAGGATTTCCCACTGAGATCCCTGGCTGACAAGTGACAGACTTTGAAGACTTTCTCTGAGTATGCAGAGGCTCTTTCTGGCTCCTAAGTTGTAGCTGCCACTCATGGTGGTATGATCTCAGGCAGGTCCCTTCCCCTATCTGAGCCTCAGCTGCTTCACTTATAGAGTAGTGAGGTGTTGGACTAGGAGGTTCTTTCTAGCTCTACCTAAGGCTATGTTTTGTTTTTTTTTTTCTTTGTTTTCTTTTGGAGACAGAGTCTTGCTCTGTCACCCAGGCTGGAGTGCAGTGGTGCAATCTTGGCTCACTGCAACCTCCACCCTCCCGGGTTCAAGTGATTCTCATGCCTCAGCCTCCTGAGTAGCTGGGATTACAGGAATGTGCCACCATGACCGGCTAATTTTTATATTTTTAATAGAGACAGGGTTTCACCATGTTGGTCAGGTTGGTCTTGAACTCCTGACAACAAGTGATCCACCTGCTTCAGCCTCCCAAAGTGCTGGGATGAGAGGCATGAGCCAGTGTGCCTGGCCAGTAAGGCTATGTTTTTCAACACCGTGTCTCCTGAGACCCTTACTCTATGGAACCACGGCTGTTCCTTGAATTAATGCCCACTTTTCTCTCACTCTACCCGAATATAATCTGGTCTCCACAACATACTCCTTTGGGCAGGGACCAGCCTTTTCAGAGAATTGCTTCCAGGAAGAAAGCAACAAAAACAACAACAAAAGGCCATTGCTAGCCCCTTTGTCTATCTTTGAAGGTTGACACGTTTCATTCATTTGCGCAGCCCGACTTTTTCCTAAACAGGATTCACCTTTAAATTAGACTGTGCCATGGCCTGGAGGCTCTATTTTTCAAATTCTATGCTTGGTGCTCTTCAGGATTTCAGAAAGGAGAGCCGGCTTTGCAGTTTCCTCCAGGTCCACTTGCCCAAAGAGCTTCCAAGGCTGCACAGAAAGACCGAAACCCAGCAACACTCAATGTTTCCCATGCTGGCTCTACTGCAGCCCTGTGGGGAGACAGCAGGCAGGCAGCTGGGCTGGCAGCTAAGCGAGGACTCAAAGAAGTTCGCAGGGAATTTGCCTCCTCCTCCAACTGGCTGTGCAGGAGGTATGAAGGAGAGCTTGGCAAGACCTCTCTTGCTCCTGTGTGTCTGGAGTCTGACTGGGGTCAGAGCATCCGAGGGACAGTGTTGCGGGACTCTCCCCTGACCTGTGGTCTCTTTTCTCTCTAGGGGAAAACAGTTTATTTTCATCAGTGAAAGCAACCAAGTTTATACAGGGGGGATAATTGGAAGATTTCAACTGTCCAGGCCAGACCCTTGGAAGTTACAGGGAGGGCTTCCATGCTTGCCCATTGCCCCTGGGGCATCAAGAAGAAAATCATGCAAGCCTGGCACTGCCACTGACAATTTTGTGACATTGGGCCAGTTGCTTCATCACTCTTACATGATCCAAAAGTTCATCTTGGGCTATAAAGTACCAGGGAGGGGTCAGGATCATGGGATCTGAAATTAGACAGACCTAGTTTGAGTCCCAGCACTACTTACCAATAGTGGGACCTTGAATAAGTGAGTTAACCTCTCATAACTTAAGGATTGGCATGAGAATTGGCAGAATTACTGCCTGTCATGAGTGTAGCTCAGGCCTAATGTAAAGTAAGCATTCAGTAAATAAGTTATGAGCTCTCAAGATGATGAAAGTAATAAGCCTGGGTACTCAGCTGTGTTCAACTTTCTTTGGCTTGCTCTTCCTGGGACAGAGATCAAAAAACAAGTGCACTAAATGTCAGGAGCCAATAGTGGCTCTTCACTCCCACAGCAGATATTTCTTCCCCAGGCACCCAGGCCAGCGGCCAGACATCTGGTGGCTGCTGCTGAGTGTGAGGCAGGGAGTCAGGAGAGGTCAGCTGAAAGCCAGAAAGTGCCAATGGATGGTAAGAGAAGGGGCAAGGAGCATTTTCTGGAGTGTAGCATAATTGAGAAGAAGCTCATGATTCTACTGCCAATTAGGCTGACCTTGTCTTCCTGTCGTGTTCTATGTCCTCCTCTTGTGAACCATAAGTATAACAGGGAAAGAAGGCGTGGAAGGATGGCTGGGGGACACTTGACCCTCCTTGACCATAAACCAGAGATTCTGGCTATGCTGCCCTCATTGGCCACGGTAAATAACCTTCCAGGTCAGCCATGGCCCCAGAAATCCTTCCATGAGTAGTAATCTCAGTGGACTTATCTAACTGCTGCCACAGTGTCAGCATTCATGGCTGTGAGTTGCTTTTTCTCTCTGGACCTTGGTCTCCTCTTTTGAGAAGTTATGGAGACTCCTTTTTCCTGCATTATGGCAGACTAGATACCATAAATGACCCTACCAAATGAAATAGTGGATAATTCTGTATGGAGCAGAAAAGAATATTTTTAACTGCACTAATGAGCTGGCATAAAGGTAAAGGATCACAGATGAGGGGAAACCAGAAATCCTTGGCTGGAGGTTGGTGCCAAAGCTCCCTTTTGAATTGTGCATTGCTGTCAAAATTTGGGGCATCTAAAGCTACTGACTTATGATTACAGAAGCAGGGAACAGAACAGGAAGACTACCCAAGGAAGAAAATCTAATAGGAGATCTTCTTGTATAAAGCTAGGACATCCCTGCTGCCCCACCAAAGCTTTATCTTCTGTGTAAGAATGAATAAGAAAAAAACTCTACAAAGAAGGTAAAGCTTGGAAACTGTTTATTTATTTATTTATTTATTGTGGATGGAGAGGAAAAAAAACATGAAAATTCAAAACTATAGGTTGTCTCTATGTGAGTTTGGAGTCCAGATTAATCCTATCAGCCTGACTCCAAAACCTCAAATGGAGAATTTAATTTTAAGTGGTCCTAGGATAATAAAAACAAATATAAATAATCTCTAGGGGAACTAAAACCCAGCCCTCAAATAATTCTCACAAATACATTTCCAAAGAAAATGAGCAGCTCACAATAAAAACAAAATAAAACAAAACACACAAGAAAATAAGGCACCAAAAAGGAGAGTCAGAAGAAACAACAAGCAGCTGAAACAGATCCATGAAGACTTCATATGCTGGACTTACCAGATTGAAAAACTGTTTAAATAAATAAAAAGTATCTTTAAAAAGTGGGCAAGAAACAAGCAGGTTTGAAACAGAATCAAGCAGATCCAGAATTTTAAAAGTATAATAACTGAAACAAAAAGCCCAATGGAATTGGTTAACCAGCAAATTAAACACTGAAGAGAGAGGCTGGAGAGGAAATTTATGAATTGAAAAACAGCTTTAAAAAATAGCCAGATATACTATAACAAAATAAAGAGCTAAAATGGGGTAATAGACAATGTTGTAAAGAGATACAATAATTAAAGAATACACAATATAAAAAGTTGCAAATTGTGACATCAATAACATAGAATGTGTGTGGAGGAGAACTAAAAGTGTAGTTTTTGTATGTGATTGAAGTTAAGTTGTTTTCAGTTTGAAATAGATTGTAATATATTTTGTGTCTAAGGTGTGATATGTAAGCTTTATGGTAATCACAAGGAAAAAATGTCTAGTAGATACACAAAAGATAAAAAGAAAAGAAGCAAGCATACCATTACCAAAAAAAAAAAAAAACAATAAATCACAAAGGAAGACAATAAGAGAGGATCAAAGGCTCTACAAAATCGTCAGGAAACAATTAACAAGATAGCAAGGATATGTCCTTACCTATTAATAATTAAATGTAAATGGATTAAATTCTCCAATTAAAAGACATAAAGTTGCCGAATGAATGTAAAAAAACAAGGTTCAACAATATGTTGCCTGCAAGAGGTTTATTTTAGCTTTAAAGACATGGATAAGCTAAACGTGAAAAGATGAAGAAAGACGTTGCATGTAATGTTAAACAAAAGAGAACAGGGGTGGCTACACTTAGATAAGACAAAATAAGACCTTAAGTCAAAAAATGCCACAAGAGACAAAGGAATTCATTATACAATGATAAATGGATCAACTCAAGAGGAAGCTATAACAACTATTAATATGTATGTGCCCAAATATATAAAGTGAACATTGACAGATCTGAAGGAAGAAATAGATAGCAATACAATAATGGTAGGAGGCTTTAACTGCATTATCTATAGTGGATAGATAATTCAGGCAGAAAACTAATAAGTAAAGAGGAAAACTGAACAACTCTATACACCAAATGGACCTAAGAGACATATACTGAACTTTCTACCCAGTAGTAGAATACATATTCTTTTCAAGTGCATATAGAAAGTTCTCCAGGAAAGATTACATATTAGGTCTTAAAACAGCTCTTAACAAATTCAAAAAGATTAAAATCATTCCAAGCATCTTCTCTGACCACAGTGAAATGAAACTAGAAATCATTGACAGTAAGAAAACTGGAAAATTTACAAATATGTGGAAACTAAATAACATTATTGAACAACCATTGGGTGCAAGAGAAAAATCAAAAAAGAATTTAAAAAATATCTTGAAACAAATGCAACAAAAATACAACATACCCAAACCTATGGGATACAGCAAAAACAGTACTAAGAGGGAAGTTTAGCAATAAATGCCTATATTTGAAAAGTAGAAAGATCTCAAATAAACAACCTAATTTGCCTATCAAGAAGCTAGGAAAAGAAGAAAAAAAAAACCCAAAGTAGAAAAAAGAAAATAATAAATATTGTAGCAGAAATAAATCAAATAGAGAATTAAAAAATTAAATTAAAATTAACAAAACTAGGAATTGGTTATTTGAGAAAATAAAATGGACAAACCCTTAGTTGGACTAACTAAAAAAGGGAGGATTCAAATACATAACATCAGAAATGTAAGAGGAGACATTACAATAGATATCTAAGAAGTAAAAAAGATTATAAGGGAATGTTATGAACAAATACACACCAACAAATTGCATAATCTAGAAGAAATGGATAAATTCCTAAAAACGTACAACCTGCCAAAACTGAATCAACAAGAAACAGAAAGCCTGAACAGACCCATAACAAAGAAAAAGATTAAATCAGTGATCAAAAACCTCCCAATAAAGAAAGGTCCAGGACTAGATGGCTTCACATGTAAATTTTACCAAACATTCAAAGAATTAATACCAGTTCTTCTTAAACTCCTCCAAAAATAGAAGACAGAATACTTCCAAACTCATTTATGAGTTTAGCATTAACCCAATTCCAAAGCCAGACAATGATACCACAAGAAAGGAGAACTACAGGTCAATATACCTGATGAACACAGATGCAAAATCCTCACTAAAATACCAATGAGCTGAATTTAAAAGCACGTTAAAAGGATTATACACCATGAACAAGTGGGATTTATCCTTGGGATGCATGGATAGTTCAGCATATGCAAATGAATCAATGTGATATACCACATTAACAAAATTAAAGAAAAAATATATGATCATCTCAGTAGACGCAGAAAAAGCATTTGACAAAATTCAACATCGATGCATGATTAAAGTTCTCAACAAAATAAGTACAGAAGGCCATTTGCCTCACAATAAAGGCCATAGAGCAAATGCCCACAGCTAACGTTATAAACCATGGGGGAAAACTGAATGCTTTCCCTCCAAAATCTGTTACAAGGTAAGAATGCCCATTCTCACCATTTCTACTAAACATAGTACTGGAGCAATGAGACAAGAGCAATGAGACAAGAAGAATAAATAACAAGAAATCAAATCTGAATGAGAAAAAAAGTAAAATTATCTCGTTTGCAGATGACATGATCTTATATGTAGAAAATCCTGAAGACTCAAGAACGACAACAACAACAAATCTGTTAGAACTAATAAACAAATTCAGTAAAGTTGCAGGACACCAAATCAACATACAAAAATCAGTTGTGTTTCTATACAAGCAATAAACTCTCTGAAAAGAAAATTAGGAAAGCAATCTCATTAACAAGAGCCACAAAAAGAATAAAATGCTTAGGGATTTTTAGTTAGACCTAACAAATGAGGTGAAAGACTTGTACACTGAAATTTATAAAACATTGATGAAGGAAATTAAAGAAGACACAGATAAATGGAGAGACATTCTGTGTTCTTGGACTGGAAGAATTAATATTGTTTAAATGTCCAAACTACCCAAAGTGGTGTACATTCAATGCAACCACTATCAAAATCTCAGTGGTATTCTTTACAGACACAGAAAAAAAAAAACTAAAATTCATATGCAATCACAAAAGACCCTGAATAGCCAAAACAAAGCTGGAGGCGTCACACTGCCAAATTCAAGCTATATTATAAAGCTACAGTAATTGAAGCTATATTGTACTGGCATAAAAACAGACATATAATCCAAAAAGATAAAGAAACCAAAAATAACCTTGTATCTACAGTCACCTGATCTTTAACAAGGGTGTCAAGAACAGACAGTGAGGAAAGGATAGTCTCTTTCCATAAACGGTGATGAGAAAACTGGCAATCCATATGCAGAAAAATGAAATTGAATCTTTCTCATACTATATACCAAAATCAACTCAAAACAGATTAAAGACTTAAATGTAAGACTTGAAACTATTAAATTACTAAAAGAAAACACAGGGGAAAAGCTTCTTGACATTGGTCTGGGCAATACTTTTTTGGAACATGACAACAAAAGCATAGACAACAAAAACAGAAATAGACAAGTGAGATTGTATCAAACTAAAAATCTTCTGCACAGCAAAAGAGACAATCAACAGAGTGAAAAGGCAATCTATGGAATGGGAGAAAATATCTGCTAACTATATATCTGATAAGGGGTTCATATCCAAAATATGTAAGGAACTCAAACAACTCAATAACAACCACAACAACAACAAAAAACATTAAAACATGGGCTAAGGACCTGAGTAGACACTTCTCAAAAGAAGAAGATACATACAGCCAACACGTATATGGAGAGGTGCTCAACATTACTAATCATCAGAGGGATCCAAATCAAAACCACAGAGACATACCTGTTAGAATGGCTGTTATCAAAAAGACAAGAGATAACAAGTGTTGGTGAAGATGTGGAGAAAAGGGAGTACTTGTACACTGTTGGTGGGAATGTAAATTGGTACAGCCACTCAGTATGAAAGTTCTGCAAACAATTAAAAATATAACTACAGTATGATCCATCAATCCCACTTCTGGGTATATATCCAAAGAAAATGAATTAAATACCTTGAAGAGTTATCTGCACCCTCATGTTCATGACAGCATTATTCAAAATAGTCACAACCTGTGTCTATCAATGGACAAATGGGTGAAGAAAATGTACTCTGTGTGTGTGTGTGTGTGTGTGTGTATGTATGTGTATGTGTGTGTGTGTGTATGTGAAATGGAATTATTCAGTCTTAGAAAAGAAGGAAATCCTGCCATTTGCAACAACATGGATGAGCCTGGAGGACATTATGCTAAGTGAAATTAGCCAGAACAGAAAAACAAATACTGAATGATTTCATAGGTGAAATCTAAAAAAGTCAAACTCGTACATGCAGAGAATAGAACAGTGGCTGCCAGTGGCTAGGAGGTGAAGGAAATGGGAAGTGTTTGTCAAAAAGTACAAAGGTTCACTTATGCTGGATGAATAAATTCTGAAGATCACTAGCACAGCATGGTGACTATAGTTAGTATTAATAATACTATACTATACACTTGAAATTTGCTAAGAAATTTGATGTTAAATATTCTTATCACACACACACACTCAAAAACTGTGACTATGTCGGGGGATGGATATGTTAGCCTGATTGCAGTAATCATTTCACAATGCATATGTATATCAAAAAGTCATGTTATACACTTTGAGAACATATAATTTTTTGTCCAGTGTACCTCAAGGAAGCTGAAAACCCCATAAACAAAAATAGAATCAATATTATAATTTACAATATTACCAAATGAAAATAGAAAAATAAATAATATGATCACCTTAATAGATTCAGACTGTACATTTGACAAAATTCAATATCTATTTATGATAAAATATCATATCAAACTAGAAATAGCAGGGAACATCATTACATTGTTAAAAAGTATCTTTAAAAAACCCTTACTGCAAACCTCATGCTTAGAAATAAAATATTGTATACTTTCCCCCTGGGATTAGTAGCAAGATGAGGAAGGCTGCTATCTCATCTGCTTAACATAGTACTGAAGGTCCTACCAAGTGCAATAAGGCAAGAAAAAGAAATAAAAGGCACAAGAATTAGAAAGAAAGAAAGTTGTGTTCACAGATGACATGAATGTAGAGCTAGAAAATCTGAGAAGAATGTACAAACTATTGAAATTAATAAGTGAACTCAGCTAGGCCATTGTATGCAAAATTAATAAGAAATCTATTTTCTTTCTATAGCCCAGAAACAAAGAGGAAATGGCACTTTAAAAGGACACAATTTACATTAGTATCAACAAACACCAACTACTCAGGAATAAGTCTCACAAAATATGTGCAAGATCTACTCTGAAAACTATACAATATTATTGAGAAAAAGTGTAAAAGTCCTAAATGAAGTGAGAAATATGCCATGTTCATGGATTGAAAATGGAAAGATTCATTATTACAAAAATGTCAATTTTTCTAAATTAATCTATAAATTCAATATAATTCCAATCAAAATCAGTGTGTATGTATAAGTTTGGTGAACATAAACAACTTGCTTCTAAAATTCATTTACAAAGGGAAAATATCTAAAATATTTAAAACAATCTCTAAGAACTAAACTGGAGGACTTTCACTACCAGGTAACAAGCTATCATAAAGCTATAGTAATTATAGCAGTGTGGCAGATATACAGAGTAATGAAACAGATAAGAGAGCCCATGAAGAGATTCATGCATATTCTGTTACCTGTTATGATAAAGGCCACACTATAGTGTAGCATGAGAAGGGATTGTCATTTCAATAGATGGTGCTAGGTTGATTGATTATCTACATGTAACAAAATGTATTTGGCTCACTACTTTGAATATGCACAAAGACAAATCCAGGTTGCAGATCTACATGTGAAAGGCAAAACAATAAAAAAATTAGAGGAAAATATTACAGAATATTTTTATGGTCTTGAAGTAGGCAATGATTTTTTAAACAGGGCACAAATCATGAAAGAAAAAATGATAAATCAAACCATATAAAAATTAGAACTTCTGTTTATCAAAAGGCACCATCAGGAGAGTGGAAATGTAACCCACAAAGTAGGTTATCCAACAAAGTACTCATATCCATACTACATAAAGAACATCTACAAATCCCTAAGAAAAAACAAACACTTCGATTAATAAATGGGTGAAGTATATGATGAACCAGGCACTTCAAAAACAAGTATCCAAATCGCTAATAAAAATATGAAAAGGTGCTCAAGTTAGTCATCAAAGAAATGCAAGTTAAAACCACAATGAGAATAAATTTGGATCCTTATCTCACACATACACAAAATTTAAGTTGAAGTGTATCATAGACCTAAATGTAAGAGCTAGAAATGTGTAACTCAGAAGAAAACATGGACATAAATTTTTGTGATCTTGGATCAATCAGGTATTTCTTAGATGTGACACCAAAAGCACAAATGATAAAACAGATTGTTAAGTTGGAATCTAACAAGATTGAAACCCTTGAGATTCCAAGAACATCAAGAAAGTAAAACACAATCCACAGAATGGGAGAAAATTTTTCAAATTATAAATTTGATAAGGGATTTGCATCCAGAGTACTTAAAAAAAGATCACAATTCAACTGTAATAATAGAGACATATAACCTACTTTCTTGCATGGGTTAATGATTTGAATAGCATTTCTCCAAAGGAGATATACAAATAACTAATAAGCACAGAGAAAATGTTCAACATTGATAGTCATTAGGGAAATGCCAACCAAAATCACAATGAGATATCCCTTCACATCCACTAGAATAATGATGAAAATAGATAATAACAAGTATTGGCAAGAATATGGAGAAATTGGGATTCTCATACATTGCTGCTGGGAATGGAAAATGAAAATGGTGCAGGAACTGTGCAAAACAGTTTGACAATTCCTGGTGGGTTTACCATATGATCTAACAATTCTGTTCACAGAAACTATTCAATAGAAATGAAAACATATATCCACACAAAAACTTGTACATATTATGAATAACTCTGCTATGAACACCTGCATTGCTGGTGGGAATGTCAATTGGCACAGCCACTCTGGAAAACTGTTGGGCAGTGCAGCGTCTCCTGGAGTTGGACACATAGGCAATTCCACTCCAGAATATATTCCTGAAAGATATGGACCAGAATGTTTTTAACCATACTATTTATAATAACCCCAAGCTAGAAACTACTAAGTACTTATTAACAGAAGAATGGATAAATACATTGTGGCATTTTCACACAATGTAATACTGTGTTGAAATGAGAGTGAGTGGTCTACAATAACACATAACAATAGGAGTCAATCTCACAAATATCATGCTGAGTAAAGAAGTCAGATCTCAAAGCGTATATACTATGTAATTTCATTTAAATGAAGTTCACAAACAGGTGGAATGAATTGATACTTACTTGGGTGAGAATGAGTTGGATTAGTGCTTACCCCTGGAGGCCAGTGACTGGCAAAGGGAGTGAAGGACTTACGAGATGCTATTGATGGTCTATTTCTTAATCTGGGTGCTATATAAATGGGTGCGTTCAGTTTGTAACAATTCAGTGGGCTCTTATGATATATGTATTTTACTAATGTGTATCAATTTAAAAGTTAAAAAATTACCAAATATGAAAACAGCAAAAAAAATCTAGGAATAATTTAACAGAGATGGGCTAGCCCTTTATTAACAAAATTGTAAAACGTTATAGAAAGACATTAAAGAAGACCTAAATAAATGAAGAGAGAGACCATGTTCTTGGATAGGAAGACACAATATCATCATCATGTCAGTTTTCTCTAAGTTGGTATGTAAATTTAATGTAATTCCAATTAAAATCTCAATAGTATTTTATTTTCTTTAACAAGCTGATTCTCAGATTTATATGGGAGAGCAAAAAGGTCACGAATAGCCAACACATTCAGATTTTAAAAAGAACCATCAAACCAGTGGTGGATTTACCAGACCAGGTACCACGATTTACCATAATGATATGGTAATTAAGGCAGTGTGATATTAGCATAGAAATGAAATGAAAAAGAGAGCCCAGAAATAAAGCCTCACATATGTAGAAGCTTGATATATGACAGACCAGATGCTGCAGACGTGCAGTGCTAAGACAACTGGTTATCCATATGGAAAAAAAGGGAAATTAGATTCCTACCTTATACAATACACAAAAACCAATTCCAGATGGAACAAAGGCTTAAATATAAAAGGAAAAACTATAAAACTATTGGAAGTTATATAAGAGAATATATTTATGACCTCAGGGTAGGAAACGATTCCTTAAGTAAAGCACAATAAATACAAACCATAAAGACAAAGATTGATCAATTTAACTATATTAAAATTAAGAATTTTGTCCCTTAGGAGACTCCATAAAAAGAATAAAAAGATAAGCCACAAACTAGGAGAAGAGAGTTGAAACACAAAAAACTAACAATAGATTGAGTAGCATCTAGAATATATAAATAAGAATCAATAAGAAAATGACAATTTAAAAAGGCAAAAGACATAAACAGAGATTTTATAGAAGAGGAAACATAAATGACTTACAAGTGTAGGAAAAGAGGGTCAACTTCATTAGTAATGAGGGAAATGCAAATGAAAGCCACAAGATACAAAATTACACCCTAATGAGATGGGCAAAAATTAAAAAGTCTGACAACACCAAGTATTGGTGAGGATATGGAGGCATGGAACTCTCTTCCACTGCCAATGGGAGTATAAATTGATGAAACTATTTGGAAAGTAATTTCGCATTACCTAGTAGAGTTGAACATGCAAAAACCCTATGACTCGAATTCTACTTCTAGATAAAGGCTCTTTTGCACATGTGCACCAGGGACCACTTTAAAGAGTGTTCATAGCAGAACTGTACTAGCCTTCAAAGAAAAACAATTCAAATGTCCATCAGCTGTAAAATAACTAAATTCCAGCATGTTCAAACAAGGAAATACTATACAGCGATGGAGTGAACAAACTACAGCTGTGTAAAAACACACAATAATGTCAAAACAATGCCGGGTGAAAGCAGTAAGTCACAGAATAATTCATACAGCATCATTCAATTTATTTCCATTTTTTTAAAAAAATACCCATTTTAATGTATACTTTTACGATTTTTGGCAAACACAGTCATGTAACTATTATCACAAATTAGTGTGTTTCATTATTCAACACTGATATCTGTTGCAACATATATGATCCCTGAAAAATTATGCTAAGTAAAAGAAGCCAGTCACAAAACACCACATATCATCTGATTCTGCTTATATGAGCTATCTGGAGTAGGCAGATCTATAGTGATGGAAAGCCAGATTAGTGGTTGCTGGGAGATATGGGAAGAGGGGAATGAGGAGTGACTGCTGATGAGGACAGGGTTTTTTTTGGGGGGTGATAAAAATGTTCTGCAGTTAGATAGTGGTGATGGTTGCACACTATGGGGATATACTAAACACCCCTGAATTGTTAATTGTAAAAGGGTAAATTTTATGATATGTGAATTATATCTTAATCACAATAAAAAATACATATCAAGTGGTAAAACTTATTTAATTCCTTATTTATTTATGAGATAGGGTCTTCCTCTGTCACCCAGATGGGAGTGCAGTGGCGCGATCACGGCTCACTGGAGGCTCAGCCTCCCGGACTCAAGCCATCCTCCTACCTCAGCCTCCACAGTAGCTGGGACTACAGGCACACACCACCACGTCTGGCTACTTTTTAAATTTTTTATTGTAGAGATAGTGGTCTCACTATGTTGCCCAGGCTGGTTTTGAGCTCCTGGCCTCAAGCAATCCTCCTGTCTTGGCCTTCCAAAGTGCTGGGTTTACAGGCGTGAGCCACAGTGCCCTGCTGGTAAAACTATTTTTAAAAGTAAAGACTGGTTAACTAAGAATCAAGGTATAGTTGCCTCTGGTGTGTGGAGGCTGGAAGTTACTACAGGGAATGGTGCGGGGCGGGGACAGTTCTAATACATTGGCAATATTTCTTTTCTTAGTTCAGGGGATGTGTACATGGTGACAGTATGACTCCATACACCATACGCCTGTCTCTGTGCACTCCCATTATGTATGATGTATATTATAATAAATAATTACTATAAAATGAGGGAGTTGGATTAGAATGACCTCCCAGAGTCCTCTGCCCAGATGGTCTCCTGCTCTGGGGAAGTGACAGAGGAGTGGAAGCTGGGGAGCTACAATGCGCCCATTGTTGGTGTGGACATTCCAATGGAAAGGAGCCCTGCCAGGCTGACCTCAGGGGTGGTCTCTGGGGACTGCTGGCTGGCTGTCCCCTGGAAGTCCTAAGGGGGCTGTCAGCACGTGGCCTCTCAGCCAGGCACACTCAGACACCTGTGGCCCCCACCCAGAGCCTGCACCTTGGTGTGGGTGAGGGTATTCTTGTGAATAAAGTGTGTGAATATGATGGATAAACCTAAATACTGCATTACTGACCTGCAAGGACAACTCAGCACTCATGTTGGGGTGCTCACATTCTCTCCTGGAAGGGGGACTGAGTAGGAGCCAGTATCACCAGCAGGAAGTGGCTTCGTGTGCTCAAGTGGGGCAGGGCACATCCCTGTCACACCTGGGTGACCTTGCATGAGGCTGGAATCTTCATCGTCATTGATAAAATTTCCTGCCTCTCTCTCCTCAACAGGGACGACATGTCCTTCATTTAACCAACAAATGTTTATCAAGTGCTACCGTGAAGAAGGTTCCATCCTGGGCAGTGGGGACACAGCATTGAACAGAAGAGAGCTTAAAGTCAAACCATGAAGGTGAGATATAACCAAAAAACAGCTAAAAATAAAGTTACACATTGTGATAAATGCAAGGGAAACTCATCCATGTGCCAACCACTCCTAGACCCTAGAGAAGTGCCTGGCATAGGCATGGCCAGTAATAAATGAATGATGAGAGACTGCATGAAGTGGATTTGTTACATGAATGACAATGTGGCCAGTCCACAGGCAAGGGCTGCCTCTCCACTGCCCTCCTGGGCACTGCCAGTGTTGGTCTGGGCACATCATCTTTCTCCACTCTTCTGTGATCAGCCAGCCCCTCTCCCCTCTGACCTACACATTGCCTCTTGGGACCTTTCCATGAGCACATAACTCAGTTTTGCTGATGTGGGGACCAATCTGTCTCTGAAGGTCACTTTGCTTATTACTGCCCCGGTCTAATTTCCCAGGAGAGCATGCCCCTGAGGCTGCTGACATTGACAACACTTATTTGGCTATCACAGCGCAACCAGGGGAATCATTAGAATAGCCTAATGATGAGATGGTGATCACACCCCATACATAAGTATGTATCCACTGAGGAGCAGTAATGCACCTAGGATTTAAATGACATGATCTCTTAGCACAGCGCTTAGAATGTACTAAGTCTCAATAAATGTTAGCTATAATATTATTATTATTACCATGGTTCAGAAAAGGGAGAGAGGGCTGGAGAACCTGGAACAAGCTTCATGGAGCAGGCAGAATGACTCCCTTAAAAGCAGAGTAAAAATTAGATAGGTGAGAAGGATGGCAGCAGTGGGGGAAATCGAGGCAGGGGATAGGGAGGGGTGGGTGAAGGTGGTGGCTCATTGGTGAGGAGCCCTCCAGGCCAGAGCATAAAGTTGGAGCTGAGGAGATGAGGGATGAGGAAGGATAGGTGAAGGGACCTGATGGGGTGAGGATGGGCTTTGAACCTGCATGTAAAAAGCTCTTTGCACCCCAGCAGAGACCAGGATTCCCTGCAACCTGCTGAAGGGCTTCTTGAAAGTCTCACCCTTCACCTCCTGAGATTATCCAGCCACATGTGATGAATATATGAGGCAGTTGCCATTTTGGAAAGAGCATCATGTGGAGAATAAGGAAGACTCAAGGTCTCATCCTAGCTCTGCCTCGAACTGGATAAGTGATACCATGCTGGTTCCTGTCTTCTACAGACCTCAGTTTCCTTATCCGTAAGATGGGGAGAGGGCAAGTACCTGAACTTTGAAGTTCCTGATCTCCACAAAAACAAAAAACAAACCAAAATACCCACCCAACTCTAACCTTGCTACTCGTGTTTCAAAGCTTTGGCGGCGGGGCAAAGCTTCAGGTATTTTATTGGGTTGGAGTTCATGGAGAGGTTGCCATGAGCTGACCCTGTCTTACTTTTAGGTCTGAAAATTAACAAGGCAACTGTTGTCTCTGGTTCTGAATTTCAGAACTAATATTTTTTTTAAAACCTCTTTAAATGCAAATTGGCTCCACACTAGCCCACAGGCGGCTGTGGGGTGGTGGAGGAAACTTTGGTCTTGGGATCAGTGGATGGGGGTAGAGTGCTGGCTCAGCCACTCACCATCCACTAGATCTTAATCAAGACATTTAACTTCCATGACCTCAGCTTTCTCGTCCCGACAGTAGTGTGGGAGGTCAGATGGACTGTGACCATAAGCATGTGTGACGGAAGTTAGTCATTACAGTCTTATCTTGTTTTTTGTTCAAAGTGTTGAAATTTGGTCATCACAAGTCTTGTGAGCCAGGGTGGATACTATCATCTCCATTTCCAGGTTGGGAAACTGAGGCTCAGAAAGGGGAAGTGAATTTTCTAAAGTCCCACAGCAATGGCAGAGCTAGGATTATAAAGCCACTTTTTGTCTCCTCTGCACCATGACAACACTCCTGAAAACCTGCATTTTCACAACCACCATGCATGGAGATTTTGAATTCTCCATTCTTGTCTTGCAGACACAGGTGAGGCCAGGCTGGTTTCTGCAGTGCTGAGTGGATGGAGTATTCCCTGACATCTGTGCTGCTGGGACAACCCGGCAGGGCCTCCTTGGGAGCAGCTCTCCAGCCTGGTCCATGAGAAAGAGCTCCTCCCCCAATCAGAGATGACCATGGCCCAGGAAGGCAAGGCAGGGCCATGTGGCTGTTGACCACAATCACCGGCAGGCCCCTGATTCCAGTAGCTGTCCCGGATGCTGCAACCCAGGCCTGTAATTTCTAGGCTGGGTCTGGACCAAGAGCAACCCCACTGCTGAATCAGTCACTCAATCAGTCCTATCTTATTATTTCTTGGCTCCCTGGCGGCACAGCTTTGCCTCCGGGAAGTAGTGCTCAGGAGTCTGCCTTCTGCTTGGCATGCCTGGGGTCTCCTCACTGTCTCCTGTCCTGCTCCCCAGAGCTCTCTTGCCTGGAGGAATCCATGACTCTCACTCCCTACCCTTCCCCCAGCCTCCCTCTGGCCTCTCTCATCAATTGCAAACCTTTCTGGTTCCATCCCACTGGCTGAATCATGCATTTCTTCTCCCCAGAGGGCCCCGGCTGGGGTTTCTGCCAGACAATCTGACAATCTATGCAGATAACTGCAGGGCACTTTCCCACACAAAAAAATGGGAAAATGGCGCAGAAATTAGAGAACTTGCCTCTCTTCTTCACCCTCCTCCAGTGCCCCACCGTTTCACAAAATGCCTGAGCTAAGCCAAAGAGGAGACCGTCTTAGGAGGACGACACAGGGACTTTGTACCACCTTCAGGTGCCTACTTCTTTCTTAGGTGGGCCAATAAGCTGACCATCCCTTCCTGGGCCCCAGTGCCCTGCAGAAGAGGTGGAGGACTCGGGCTGGTGAGGGAAGACCTGGTGTCCTAAAAGACCTTGGCATCTGCCACCATCGTCTCGATGGTGATGGCACTGGAGCATATAATCACTGCCCAGCAGGACTCACTGCATCCCCACTAGTCCCCCTTTATCTCTATCCCACACTGAAGCCAGAGTTTGCTTCCTGAAATGTAAATCTGTTTTGACTTGTCTCTGGTCTCCCTGTTAAAACCCATCAATGGTTCCCTACTGCTCTCGAGGAATTGTCTGTCATGATTCCAAGGCCCTGCCTTGCCTGCTCACTTAACCCCAGCTTCTTGTGGGCCATTTGCCACCCCCATGACTGCTCAGACCCCACCAGTCTTCAGCCAGTTCTCCAGGGCCACACTCCCTCCCATTGCAAGGCCCTTGTTCATGTTATTCTCTCTGCCCAGAGCACTCTTCCCCATCTGCTACCTGAACAACACCTGCTCAAACTCAGAACTTGGTCTCTGGGTCTCCAAGCCCAGTTCAGTCCCAGGCCTTCAGGCTCTGTCCCCCTCATAGCACCAAAAAACTCCTTATCACAGCAGAGTCATGGTGCAATTGCATGTTTGTCTGTGTGGTTATCTGATTGTCTGTCTCCTCCATAAGAGCAGGGAGCTTGTCTGCTTTTTCCCATTCCTATATACCCAGTACCTAGTACCCTGTGTGGCCTGGAACAAGTGTTCAATTAAGATATGTAGTGTGGGAGAAGGAAATGCTGAATCTGCCTGGTGCCAAACTCCTGCGGTCCAAGAGCTCCCAACAGAGGTCACATGATGTACCCAGAGGAAGACACAGCAGAGTTGAGAGCTGTGGTTGGTTCAGTCCCGTTGCAAGTATGCAAAAGACATGTGTGTGCATCCTCAGGAAGTGTGTGTGCTTATGTGTGTTCACATCCAGTGTATGTATGTGTAGGCATCATCCATGGCCTAAACTCCTGGCAGGCCCAAATCTCTCTACTACATACCTGACAGAGGCTCACCAGCCTTTCACTGGACATTTTCCAGCGACCAGGGAAGCTTCTTCATAGGTAGTATTTTAAAATATAGGCCCTGAGGTCAAATGGGCCTGGGCTGAAATCCCAGCTTCAGCACTGAGCATACTGTTTAAATATTTGGGGCCCCAGCCAGGCACGATGGCTCACACCTGTAATCCCAGCACTTTAGGAGACTGAGGTGGGAGGATCACTTGAGCCAACGAGACTGAGACCAGCCTGGGTAACATAACCTGGGTAACACACGGGTGTGTGTGTGTGTGTGTGTGTGTGTGTGTGTGTGTGTGTGTGTATTTATTTATATTTGAAGCTTCAGCTTTCATTCTTGAAAAAGGGGGATGATGATTTCTACCTTAGAGGATGATAGTGAAAACTAAATGTAATACTGCATTTAATGTACTTAGCACCATGTGTGGCATGCAATAAGAGCTCAATTGCTAGTGGCTATTAGCATTGCTAAAACTAATATTTGGCTCTTCTTCTAGGAGCAGTCTTTGGTTTTTTTCTCGGGTCCAACTTAATCAGCAATCAAGACTACCGTGTCCCTCAAAAGCCCAAAACATTTGTGAAAACCCTAAAGCTTAATGAAGATTTTGAGGTGAGATGAAAGCCAGGTAGTAATGTCATATACAACATAACAGTAGAGGTCCCCAGACATCTTTCTTATCCTGTTTGCTCTCCCCAAGTTTCTCCTACCTTGATACCTCAGTGATACACTTCCCCCACCCTTCCCCCATACAGCTCTTTACTACTCTGTCTGGCAGTTCAGCTCCAGCCCAAACTTGCATTCACCACTAAGGAAAAATGCCACAATTTTCCAGATCTCCCTTCCAGCAGTTATTTAACAATGGTAATCACATTTTGTTATGGAAGATTTCTTTTTGGGCATTTATTCCATTCTTAAGCCCAACTGCTGGTCATTGTTCCCCTTTCTAGCCCTGTGAATGCTATCTCAAAGAAGAAATGATGGTAAATATAATATTCTCCAACCTTCAAGTAAATCCTTTAACCCAATATATTGCAAGGTGAGTCTGTGATAAAATTCTTTCTTATGCGGAGCTGAAATCTGTTTCCCTGTAACTCATACCCCATGCGTAAATGCCCATGAAGTCCATATTCTCCTTCACAAAACAAATCCTTAAAAACTCACATCCATTTCCTTTAGAAAACTTTCTTCAGTTTATTCTGGGATTCATTCTTGGCTGTGTGTCTGCCTGTCCTTTCAGCTTTCATAATGTCCTTTTTTCAGCTGTGGCTCCTGAGAAAACCTGATGCTTGGTTTATCAACCAACTCCCCTTAGCCTCCTTCATGACAGGTCGTATCTTTGCTGAATTTTCATTTGCTCTTATAAACTCTAAGATATAGTATTTCAAATTGAGATGGGAGATTGCCAGTCGCTTCTAAATTGGATAGAGAGATTATTAAAATGCAGATTCTGGGCTTCATCCCAGATCTAGGAAAGCCAAGCCTCTGGGTACAGAGCACAGGAGTAAACAAACTCTCCAGGAATTATGATGCCCAGTCAAAACTGCAAACCAGAACTCTAAGGAAACCACAGATGTACCTGGTAAAATGGGGACTCCTTGCTCCTTGCACATTCTATTGCTCTTTCTCCCCAAGTGGATTTGGCTAAAGAAGGATGAAATTATTGATGGAGTTGGTCGTGAGAGGTGGTTTTTTTTGTTTGTTTGTTTTGTTTTTTTGGCTTTGGTGAGAAGTTGTTTAACAAGTAACAGAATGTTCCTTTCCTGGGGCTTTAGTAACGTTATTTCTGGAGCTACTGGGATTTCCAAAAATGCTCCAGAAGCTGATAAATTGAGCTAATTCCAAACCCGCTGGCCAGTTGCTCAACCATACTATGCATTTTTTGGTGTTCAATAATATTTACTGAGCACCTACTTTATGCCAGGAACTTGGGATACTTCAGTGAGCAAAACAGACATACATCCTGCCCTCATGGAGCTTCCTTGCTAGTAGAAAAGGAATAATCTCACAAGGGCAAAGAGGAAGAAAAGAGACAGCAGCAGACGAGTGATGTTCATTATTTTGGTGCAATAAGATGCAGTGAGGCCGGGCGCAGTGGCTCACACCTGTAACCCCAGCACTTTGGGAGGCTGAGGCTGGTGGATCACCTGACGTCAGGAGCTCGAGACCAGCCTGGCAAACATGGGGGAAACCCCATCTCTAGTAGAAATCGAAAAAAAAATTAGCCAGGCATGGCTATAATCCCAGCTACGCGGGAGGCTGAGGCAGGAGAATCGCTTGAAACCGGGAGGCAGAGGTTGCAGTGAGCCAAGATTGAGCCATGGTACTCCAGCCTGGGCGACAAGAGCAAGATTCCATCTAAAAAAAAAGAAAGATGCCGCCAGGCATGGTGGCTCACACCTGTAATCCCAGCACTTTGGGAGGCCAAGGCAGACAGATCACGAGGTTAGGAGTTCGAAACCACCCTGACCAACATGGTGAAACCCCGTCTCTAATAAAAATACAAAAATTAGCCGGGGGTGGTGGCGTGCGCCTGTAATCCCAGCTACTCAGGAGGCTGAGGCAGGAGAATTGCTTGAACCCGGGAGGCAGAGGTTGCAGTGAGCTGAGATTGTGCCACTGCACTCCAGCCTGGGAGACAGAGTGAGACACCATCTCAAAAAAATGAAACAAAACAAAAAAAACATACAATGAGATGCAGGGGTAAGGAATAACAGAGAGGGATGACCCATGAGGAGGTCATAAAGGAGAAATTCTAGGGTGGAGGAGGGATGGGGGGAGTGGAAGACTCTAAAGGTGATTAGGGACTATGCTGAGGAGAAGCTGCATCTTATGTGAGACTAGAGGAGGCCACCCCTGCAGTAGACTGGTGGCCTACACAGGCTGGTAGTAGCTGCAGCTTGGGTATGGGAATAAAGAGAGAGAAGTGAATGCCAAGGTGAGGACGGGGCACCTGTCCTCATTTAGGAAAGTGAGCTAAAAAGCTAGATTTCCAGGGAGACAGGATTTCTGTGTGGGTCCAGGTAACCTAGACAGCGCTGGGGAACCTCCAGGCAGATAATTTATAGGTCTGGGTATTCCTTATGGCATTCCAGGTCTACTGAACATGGTGCGTGGGTCCTTCTCTGGGCAACTGTGGTATAACAGAGTGGAGAACCTGGCTCCAGAGCTCACAGGAGGTACCAAGTGAAGCCTGGGTTCTGAACACCTTACGGGGAAAGAAGTGTCACACACATACTCACACAGGAGGACACACACACTCAGGTATATTCACACCCATAGTCACATACACACTCAAGTGCACAAGGTCACCCTCTTTCCTTGGTTGTGCTGAGATTCCTAAGGGTGGGTTGGAGGGAAGGCAGGGGACAAACACTGCTGGCAGGCTGGTTTGGGACATCTGAAGTATAGAAATGAAAGGAGGAAAGAATATTTGCAGCTTTCTGATATGTGAGCAGAGCTATGACAATCTCATTCCAGTCCAGCTCTCTACTTCTCCTAGTCTGCAATTGAACCTTTCACAGTGAATTAGTAATAATAGAATCAACAAAGGAAAGAGCTCTTCAAGTAGCACTGAATTGGCATTTAGTCCTCCTGAAAAGTGGAAAACACATTTTTGAGGCCAGATTTTTCATAGCCAGGAAGTCGTTTTAACCAAAGCAACAAGTCTAGTGACGTGTCATTTTTGACAATAAAATTTTGTATTTATTCTATTTCTGCAGTGTAATCTTTTCATCTTTGGATAAATATTTATCTTGTACTGGCTCTGTACCAGACCCTGTTCTGGATGCTAAGGATACGGTGGGGGTAAGGATGAGCCCAGCCCTCCTGGAGCTTACCCTTAGTGCAAGGTCAGGCGTGAGAGCAGAGAGGCTTTGCGTGCCCAGTAGGGCTGGGACCTTGTACTGAGCCCCTGTGGACTTTCTAGTTGTGCGGCCTCCCAGGTGATACTCCAGGAGACGCTACTGCGCCTGGCATCTGTCATCATTTGCAGAGAACGAGCCTGTAGCTGTGTGGGACTCAGGGAGGCCTCAGGACAGTGAGTAGTACAGCAGAGATCTGAATCCAGCACTGTCTGCTCGCAACCACCAGGCCATGCTCTTTCTTTCGCCCACCACCTCTCCCCCAGGAAAGAGCCAGCAGATCAGGATCTCCCTGCTACTCACACTGTGAAGACGGAAGCGAGAGAGAGCCACTTTGCGTGTGGCTGGCTTCAGAAGTCAGAACAGGCTGGGGAGGTTCCTAAGGTGAGTGCTAAAGTCCCAGTTCAACTTCCTTCATTATCATATGGCCTCCAAGTCTCCCTGTCCTGGGTTTTTCTGGTCAGCCAGCTCCATTCAACAAATGCGCTGATGTCAGCTGTGTGCTGGGCCCCAGGAATCCGGGAGTAAATGAACCAACATGTCCAGTGTGCATATGGAACAGAACACTGAGGGTTTGATAGAGTAAAAGCAGAAGCCAGAGGAGGCCTAAGGTCGGGGGACACTTAACTCTGACAGGCAAGTGTGCCCAGACTTAAACTAATGCCTTCTTCTCTTAAGGAAGCTCCCACAGGGAAGGGATTAGCCCCATCATGTCCATTGTACCTCAGTTCCCAGCACAGAAACTCGCATGTAGTAGATGCTCACCAATATTTGGGTAAATGACTCAAAAAAGCAAGGCTGGGATCACTGAACCTGCCTTCCCTCATGCTCTCAGTGACATGACCTGTAGTTCGTTTGCCCTACTTCGGGTGCCCCAGAGAGACACAGCAACCACCACCAATGCCATCACTTAGGGTCTTGTTATTAGTGACCTCAGAGGAGCAGGACCAGGCTACTCACAAGCCTGGTTCCAGAGGTGATTGGCAGCAAAGCTAATGAGGTTTCAGTTTCAGAGCCCCCCGTCTTGGGTGGGTTCTGCAAGGCTGAGGCATCCTCTGCTGAGCATGCAGGAGGAAGCAGCGGTTCAGCCATGCAGTGCGTCTGTAGCCTCTGCCCTGGTAATGCCAGCACCACCCCATATCCACAGGGCACCCTGATACCCCCCCAAGGGATGTCACTGAATGTGTGGGTCCTGCTTTTAAAGCCACAGGAAGGACTCTGAAGGAGATACTGTTATGACCCAGGCTTCACGACGTTAAATCAAGTTTAGCCTAAAGCTGTCTCCTTACATATTTTAAGTTCAACCTAAAGTTTTTTTCTGTACATCATGAACTATAACAAGTGGAGGTGTAACCAGACCGTTGCCTGTGCCAGTCACAGCATTTAGGCCAATTAAATGTAGCCAACGTTTTGAATCATGTTCAAATAAGGCAAACACCTGAGCTGTAACCAATTCAGCTATTTCTTTATCTCATTTCTGATTTCTGTATGTCACTTTCCTTTTTCTCCCCATAAATCTTCTTCCACCAGATGACTGCACTGGAGCTTCTGAGCCTACTCTGGCTTAGGAGGCTGGCTGATTCATGACTCATTAATTGCGCAGTTAGACTCCTTTAAATTTAATTTGGCTGAAGTTTTTCTTTTATCAACGGTCACCTGGCTCCAAGGGCTACCAGTCCAGCAGGTGCAGATGACAGTGGCCCTAGGCATAAAGCATCGGCTGAGCAAGAGACTGCTGAGGACATTTCAGGTGTGACATTATTAGTAACAGGTCGTGGAGCTGCTTCCTCCAAACTACCATCATGAAACACAGTTTAAAAACCCATGCCTGAGGGAAGGCCGAATTATCTTTTTCTTTTCTTTGGAAGAGTAATTTTATAAAATCATTATTACATGAAGAGGTGATCACAGAGTATGGGTCAGAAATGTTAAAATATAGGAAAAAAATGTGTCAGTATCATAGAGGTGTGTAAGACTGTCTATTGCTACTAATAATAAAAACTGTTATTCTTCTGGATTTTGTGATGATTATGTTGTCATATTTTAGAAATGTGTAATTTCTCATTCTTAATAATGATCACTTTGATATCTGATTTTGTATTTACAAAAAATACAAAAATTAGCCAGGCGTGGTGGCACATTCCTGTAGTCCCAGCTACTCGGGAGACTGAGGTGGGAGGATCACTTGAGCCTGGCAGGTTGAGGCTGCAGTGAGCCATGATCAGGCCGCTGCACTCAGGCTGGGTGAGAAAGTGAGATCCTGTGGCAAAAAATAAAAAAAAAAGAAACAATTTGCCAGTCCACAGTCTTGTAAATTTGAACAAATTTGTAATTTGTATATTTTTTTCTTAGAAGGTCTCATCTCCCCTAAATTGTCTAAGCTGCGGGATTGAGATCCACACAACCTGGATATGTCTGTATGGTTCATGGCATATGCTTATCATGGCTGTATCCATGGTCTATCTTTTCATTTATGTATGCGTCACCTTTGAACCTACCACCAACAGCAAGAAATAGAACACTGCTAACTGGCTTTTCCCATCCCATCTTCCTGCCTCCTCCTGTTGAGTTCATCATTATCCTGAATCTTGTATTCATCATTGCTTTACCTTAAAAATATGGTTACCATTATATATGAATACACACACACGTACACAAAAATATACATATATATGTGTGTGTACATGCAAAACAGTTTACCACTACACTTCTGAGGAGTAAATTGTTTAATTTGCTTTTGTTTTTATCTGTATAATCTTTATAACAATGGTATTGTGGTATCTGTTAACTTCTCTCACTTAGGCTTTTTATTCAATAGTTTACTGGTAAAATTCACCTATATTATTGTGTAGCTATAGTTCACCAATTTTGACTGCTGTAAAATATTCTACCACAATTTGTTGATTCAATCTCCATTTGATGGGCAGTACTGTGCTTTTTTTTTTTAGGTTTTTGCTATTATAACATTGCTTTGAAAATTCTTGTATGTGTCTTCCAGTTTTGGGTATAAAACTAGGAGTAGAAACGTTGAGTTCTGAAGGGTATGTGACTGTTCAAATTTATAAGACAGTGAACTGGCAAATCGTTTTTTATTTTTTTATTTTTTATTTTTATTTTCTCACCCAGACTGGAGGGCAGTGGCATGATCACGGCTCACTGCAGCCTCAACTTGCCAGGCTCAAGTGATCCTCCCACCTCAGTCTCCCGAGTAGCTGGGACTACAGGAATGTGCCATCAGGACTGGCTAGTTTTTGTATTTTTTTTGTAAAGACAGCCTATGTTGCCCAGGCTGTTCTCAAACTCCTGGGCTCAGGCAATCCTCTCGCCTTAGCCTCCCAAAGTGCCGGGATTACAGTCAAGCCACCACACCTGGCCACAAACCGTCTCTTGGAGTGGATGTGCTATTTTATACTCTCCATGGCAATTTGTGAGAGTGAGTACTACTCCACCGTAAAAAAGGGCTGGGGGAAGACCTCTATGAACTGATATGCAATTAATTCCAGAAAATATTTTTAAGTGACAATAATTTAGGTGCAAAAGGGCATATACAGTGGGCTACCTTTTGAGTAAGAAATGGAGAAATAGGAAAACATAGCCATGTCTGCTTACCTTTATATAAAAAAAAGACAGAGCAAAGATGAGCCAGAAAACAATGAAGCTGGTTACTTACAAGTGTGGAGGGATGGGGCGGGAGGAATGTGAGAGAGAGTGACACCTCTCTGAGTATACCTTTTTGTATAGTTTTGACTTTTGGAAGCATGTAAATATTTTGTGTATTCAAAAAAATTAAATAAAATTTAAAAGAACGTAAAGGGGGAAGGTTTTTTCCCCTTCCCATTCTTTTTAACACACCAAGCTCAACTGTATTTAAATGAACTCAACTGTATTTCAGAAAAGTACCATAACCACACAGAAGGGAAAAAAGAAAAAATGAATCCAAGAGGCGTATGAATACAGTACTCAACTATGTAACTTCACACTTGGGTCGGAGGCAGCAGGGGTCGGAATTGCAGCTTGCTTTGTTCTAGTGCTATGGGCGAAGCAATTCTGAAACCCTTTTAGATGAATGTAGGATTGATTAAATAAGGGGATGGTGCTAGTTGGGAGATAGAATTTTCACTGTGAAAGAAGGGGCAGCTAAATACAGACTGAGGGAAGGCAAGAAAGAATGGGGATAAATTGGAGTTGGAGGTATCAGTGTAAACTCATGATTTCTAGAATATGTCTATGTATGTGTACATGTATAGGTATGCACATGTAATGTGTATTTGTACATACGTGTGTGTGTACATATATATATATATATTATATGATTGTGTGTTTATGTTTCCTAGCTCTGTTTACTAAAAGGACCTAGAATCAAAGACACCCTGGTAGTGGTGAGCACACCCAATGCCTAGATCTTGGTCTCTACTATTATTCCCCAATGAAAGAAACCAGGGCTGCTTGAAGAAATGACTGATTCTAGGGCTGGGTCAGGATAGGTACAAGATAAGCCTAAAACATCTTAGTATGCCAGAAAGGAAAGACTCACTCAAAAAATGATGGGAGCATGTTACAAGGACATAAGAACCAACTGGAAGGGATTTCCACTGGTCAAATCTAGGATAACTTGAACACTCAAATAATTTGGAATAACAGTGAATTATAAATTACTGAAAAGGTAGAAGTTTTAGAGTCTATAGCCATGATAAATAGATAAGTAGGTAAATACAAACAAACAGACACACATGGGAGAGGAGGGAGGGCTATCGCCAAGAATGTAGAATGCTGCATGCTCTCTGGCAAATGTGGAGGGGATGTAGCCGTAAACATTGGAAGAGGCAAGTTTCAGCAATGGATACAAAAGCTTGTGGAAAATTTGGTGATGAGTAAGATATTTTCATAGTCTAACATTCTCTCTCTATGTGTTGGTTGATAATTGCAAAGAAAAAATAACTTTTCTTTTTTTTTTGAGATGGATTTTCGCTCTTGTCACTCAGGCTGGAGAGCAATGGTGCTACCTTGGCTCACTACAACCTCCGCCTCCTGGGTTCAAGTGATTCTCCTGCCTCAGCCTCCCGAATAGCTGAGATTACAGGCGCCCACCACCACACCCAGCTGATTTTTGTATTTTTAGTAGAGACAGGGTTTCACCATGTTGGCCAGGATGGTCTTGAACTCTTGACCTCAAATGATCCACCTGCCTCGGCCTCCCAAAGTGCTGGGATTACAGCCGTGAGTCACTGCACCCAGCCTGAAAAAAATAACTTTTCAATGGAGAAGTTATATGACACCTAAACCAGGTGATCAAAATTAGTATCCTCAATAAAGGGCAGGTGACATAATATGTCTCCATATGTTTCCAGATGTGATATCCTGGGAAGGACCTGACATTACTTATGTAACATTCCAGCCAGAAATGCATAACCTGAATCTACTCCTGAGGAAACAATAGGCAAGCCCTTCTGCTCCTCCTCATTCTTTCTCTTCTTCCTCCTCCTTCTCCCTCTTCTCCTCTTCTTCCTCCTCCTTCTCCCTCTTCTCCTCTTCTTCAACTTCTTCCTCATCCTCTTCTTCCTCCCCCCCTTCTTATTCTCCTCCTTCTCCTTCTGTTTCTCCTACCCTCTCTCCATCTCTGTCTCTCTTACTACACATTTTTCTACTGTATTTCTTTTTTTAAAGAATTGACTTTGTCTTTGTTGATCTCTAGGGTATTCATCTTCTATTTCATGAATTTTCACTTTTATTTTTATTAACTCCTTCCTTCTAGTCTCTTTCAGTTTATTCTTTTGTTGTTTTTCCCACTTCTTACACTGGACACTCAGCTCTAATTTTCAGCTCCTGGGTTCAAAAGTAAATCTGTAATAGAAATTTAAAAATCCTTCAAAATGAATGATAATGTATATATAATGTTTAATTATATGTAAAAATTAAATTCATAATTTAAAAAACTTCCAAGAAGAAATCTCCAGGATAGATGGTTTTACTGGAGAATTCTACCAAAACTTTAAAGAAGAATTAGCACCAATTCTTCCCAATTGTAGATCTAGACAAGATTATTTGAAAATTTATGTAGAAAGGTAAAGGAACTAGAATAGCTAAAACAATTTTGAAAAAGTAAATGGGGAGAAATCAGTCCGCCCAAGTTCAAAAAACTTACACCATAGCTACGGTAATCAAGGTTGTGTAGTATTGTTGGAGGGATAAACACATAGATTAATAAAACAGAATAGAGAACTCAGAAGTAGACCCACACAAATAGATGCAACTGATTTTTGACAAAGGTGCAAAAATTCGATAAAGAATCACGTTTTCAACAAATGATGCTGGGGTGATTGAATACCTATAGGCCAAATAAAATGAACCTTGATATAAACCTCACACCTTATACAAAAATTGCAGACTTAAATGCAAAGCATAAAATTATAGAACTTTTAGAAAAAAAGCATAGGGGGAAATCTTTGTGATCTAGGGCTAAAAAAAAGTGTCCCTAGATTTGACACCAAAAGCATGATCCATAAAAAGGAAAATGTATAATTTGTACTGACGTAGTCTGGATGTCCCCTCCAGATCTCATGTTGAGGTGTACTCCCCAGTGTTGGAGGTGGGGCCTGGTGGGGGATGTTTGGGTTGTGGGGGCAGATCCTTCATGGCTTGGTGCTGTCCTCATCATAGTGAGTGAGTTCTCATGAGATCTGGTCATGTAAGAGTGTGTGGCACCCCCTCCCTCCTTGCTCCTGGTTTCTCCATGTGAAGTGCCTGCTCCTACTTCACCTTCCACCATGAGGAAAAGCTTCCTGGACCCTCTCTGGAAACAGATGCTGGCATCATGCATCCTGTATAGCTTGCAGAATCATGAGACAATTAAACTTCTCTTCTTATAAATTATCCGTCTCAGATATTTGCATAGCAACATAAGAATGGCCTAATACATAGACCTCATCAAAATTAAAAACTTTTACTCTGAAAAATACCCTGCTAAGTGGATGAAAAACTAAAGACTGGGAGAAAATACTTGCAAACCACATAACTGACAAAGGACTAGTATCTGGAATAAAGTCCTCAAAACTCAACAGTAAAATACTCAAACAATCCAATTAGGAAAAGGGCAAAAATGTGCACAGACATTTCACCAAAGGAGACATACAGATGGCAAAGAGGCACATCATCATTAGCCATTAAGGTAACTCAGCTAAAACTACAATGAGATATCACTACTCAGCTTTCAGAATGGCTAACCTAGAAAGTGTTAGTGCTGAGAAACTGGATCATGCATACAAACCTGGTGAGAATGAAAAAATGGCACAGCCATTCTGAAAAACGGTTTGGCGGTTTCTTTAAAAATTAAGCATGCAACTACATATGACCCAGCAATTGCACTCCTGTGCATTTATCCCAGAGAAATGAAGACTTGTGTTCACATGAAAACTATACATGCATGTTTACAGCAGTTTTATATGTAATAGCTCCAAGCTGGAAACAATCCAGATGTCCTTTAACAGGTGAATGAATAGTTAAACAAACTGTGGTACATCCAGATCATGGGATACTATTCAGCAAGAAAAAGGAATGAACTATTGATACACGCAGCAACTGGCTGAATACCCAGAGAATTCACAGAGTGAAAAAAAGTCAATACCAAAAGGTGATAGACCATATGATTCCACTTATATAACACTCTTTAAATGACAAAATTATAGAAATGGAGAACATAAGATTCTCTAGTGGTTTCCAGGGGTTAAGGAAGAGGCGGGGATAGGAAAGAAGTGGGTGTGGCTCTAAAAGAGCATCATGGGAGATCCTTGTGGTGGGAAACATTTTGACTATACCAATGCCAATTTCCTGGCTGTGATCGCATACCATAGTTACCAACAGGGGAAACTGAGTAAAGGATACCTGGGCTCTCCCAGTATTGTTTCTTAGAATTGCATATGAATCTACAATCAGTCTGCATGTCTTGCAGTTTTCTGGGGATGGAGAAAAAGAGAGTGTTGGTCAAAGTGAGTTGAAAGGTTAAAGATGTCCTATAAATTTAGTGGATGTCATGGCTGCTGATGTTGACCATGGTCATTGAGATGCCCCTGGTACTGGCTAGGTGCTGTGGATCACAGCTGTGGTATAATGAAACCAACCCTCAGCATCAAGACAGAGCACCTGGGTTCAAATCTCAACTTTACCACTTACTAATTCCTTGGCCTTTGGTAAGTCACTTCTAACTCAGTGCCCTGGTCTTCCCTATTCCTCTCCTCCACTCCCTGTGATTCAGACAGGGCTGACCTGTCCTTGCTGGCCAGGTATGGGCATAGTTCTGTGGTCTGGCCATTCAGGGACTCATCAATCTAGCCAGAATAACTGATTCTGGTATCAGGATGTGATCAAGGCAAGATTAATTAGAGTCTTCCTCGAGCTGCCTCCTCCTCTTCCTCCTTCCTTCCCAAGAGCCATAAGAAAGGGCACCTTCCTTTCCTCTGGAAACACAGACCCTAAGAATTACAAGGAACTCCCTAGAATCTTCTTCCTCAGCCACCTGGAAGAAGCAGTAACTTGAAATTGTTAGAGTTCCTAACTCTATCCTCAAGGCAAAGGCCTATCCTCTATCCAGAGGCCTCAAGGCAAATACTGAAATGAATAGCCTTTTTCTACTTATTCTAATTTGAAAGAGGTTTCTGTCACTGGCACTTGAAAAAGTCATGATTATTACTTCCTTTAACCACGTTGAGTCTGTTGTGTTATCTCTAAAATAAGTGTTCTAAAATAAGTGGGGTTCTACCAGGAGTAGACCTGGAGCCAGCATTCAGGTGCCATGGATTGGCCCAGGGTGTGCTCCCATGGAGGACTGCCGAGGAAGTGGGTGAGGCAGGATCGGCTAGGGGAAGAAGCCAAGCAAGGGTTCCAGGGCAGGTGAAGTCCCGTGCTCAGCCTGTTCCCAGGGGGAGCTCTGAGATGGCAGGCATTGGCTATGGAGTTTGGGTGGATGGAGATCAATCCTTCCTATGTCCAGGTCTCCCTGTGGTGAGGCTGTTCCAGTGTCCAAGAATATTGCTCTGAAGGTCACAGTTGCTGCCATTAGCAGTAAAGCTCCAAAAAGCCAGAGGGTGAGATCTGAGGGAGTCTGGGCGGGAATTGACCATATCCACTAATGAGGTTGGATGGAACCTTGAGGCTGGGTGCATTTTCTAGGAAGGAGGAGGAGGACATTTCAGAATCCTGGACTGAAAATACTGTGGGACGGATTCACAGCTGCCCGAGCTGCCACTCTTGTGTTCTTATTTCTTATATTCCTAGCAAAACACAGATAAAAATCCAGAGCATGTTGGAATGTCACCCACCTTCCCACAACCCCCCTCGGCCCCCCACCACACACGAAAATGAAATACTTTTAGCTGTGCTCATTTGCTGTCTGTCTTTCCAGACAGGGTTGCATAAGAAGGGGCCGTTTTCCTCTCCACAGGATTGCAGGGGGACGGGTAAGCTGCACACGCGGATGGTAAAGCCATTTACGCTTGGAGAAGCAGCCAGTGTGGCTCAAAGGAGTTGGCAGGTCCCAAACCTCATAAAGGGAAAAGCTGAGGCGTGCCAGGGAGGCGAGCTGACTTCATACGGGGGCTGATTTACTGCGAGGAATAACACACGAGCCCTCCCACTGCTCCTGCCTTTTTGGAATTTTGAAATCACAAAATGTTACAGCTGCAAGAAGGCCTTTTGAGAGGAGAGCATCTGGCCCAAACTGGTCATTATAAAGATGAGAAAACTGAGGTCTTAGCATGGGGCAGGGAAAGGGACTAATATTTGTAAGGCAGAGGTACCACTAGGCCAGGGCACTGTGCTGGGCACCTCTCCCAGATTGTTCCATTCCCCACGTTGTTCCACATTAGCCCCACTGTGGGGTGCGATCATGAATGCCTTGTTTTCATAAACAAGGATACAAACTCAGAGGCATAACAGAGCTTTCCCTGAGTCACACAGCTAAGCAGGGAGCTGAGATGAGAACGCTTGTTTTTCTCAGTCTTCAGGGTGAGTTGGAGATCAACTGTCTAGCCAGCCGGGAAAGAGCCTGTGCCTGCAGCTTTCACTGACATGTCAGTGCCACAAGGGCAGGGCAATATCTCTTTGTTCCTTGCTCTATTCCAGTGCTTAGAATGGAGGCTGATACATAGTAGGTGCCCAATAAACATCTGTTGCATGAACGAAGAAACAAGCAAGCAAGCATTTATTATGCTCCACCTCCATGCAGTGACTTGTCTTCACGGAAGATGAAATAGTCCTGGTCCTTGGGGTGCTCTCACTTGAGTTGACCGGACAGGTTGTACACAGGCAAATGCTGGAAAATGGCCCCAGGTGACACAGGCACACATACGAGCCAGGGGTTGTCCAGTTGGGTCTGGGTTCAGGGCAGCTTTGAGGGGATGTATTTCACCAGTGCTCCACCCCCTCCATTCCCACTGTGCTCTGGCAGAAAGGAAACTTGGTCTTCCCAACCAGGGTCTTGACCTGAAAAAGACTTCTGATTCCCCATGTCCAGGTCTCACTAGCCTTCAACGCTTAGCTTCAGTGCCATCTCCCACAGGGATCCTTCCCTCATTCCTTCCGCTGGCAGGGATTTCTTCCACCTCTGAGCTCCTGTAACACTCGACCAGTACCTCTCTTGTGACACAGGCCTTATCTTCTTTACTGACCCTAGGGTGGGTATCTGGTTCACTGCAGTAGTCCCAAACGCCTAACAGAGAACCTTGACAAACTTGTGCTCCCCAAATGTATGAGTTGAGTGAGTGAATGGAGGAAAGGATGGAGAAGTGGGTACCAGACAGAGTTGCCTGGTGCTTTTTGGTGTGGGTGGTTGTCTTCATGATACAATTGGAGGAACACAGAAGCCCACTCCCCTGATCAAATACCCCCCAGAGTGGTGCTAACCCCTTGCACCTGCTATTAGCCATTTACTGCTTTGAGTTAAGGTAGGGGTAGAGAACCTCTGTCCCCCTGGCTAAATGAAGCCTTGCCTTAATTTCAACTCATGTATGGAGCAAGAAGCAACAAGCACATTCTTATTTGGTGCTTATAGTTGCAAAAAAGGTGACATGGCTATAAACACCTTGGTATAATGGCCTGGAAAAGTGATTTTCAAATTGTGTTCTGAGCCACCCCTGTTTATAGGGTTCCATAAACAGCTTGCTTTTATCTCCCTTATTGGTTTTATGTTTTTCCCATTCAATTTGTTTGAAGAAATTTTACAGTAAGAAGTTTATGGATTCCCAAGATGAAAACATCCCACCCTGTGTCCCCTTCTGCCTGTCTTTCTCTATGTATCTGGGTCCCCCCAGCCACCCTGGGAGCCTGGACCTGTGTAGGTGGTGAGACAGCCAGGTGGGAAGGGGTCCCCAAAGAAACTCCAGCACTGGGGTAGAGCCTCAGGAAGTTTGCACCGTTTGCAGCGGGGAGGAGCCTGGCCCCTCCTTTTCCTGTGTGGAATCTGGGATCCAAGCTGCCTGCAGGAAGCGCTCCAGCAAGGGGCTCTGGTCTAGTGAGAGTCCTTGTTTCCCCCTTTTCTTCCTTTTCACCCAATAAAACCCTGTCTTACTCACCAAATTGTCTGCAAGCCTGAATTTTCATGGCCATGGGACAAAGAACCCCGTCTTTAGCTGAACTAAGGAAAATCCTATAAGAGTAGCATTCAGGAGATAACCTCAGGCTTCATGTTGCCCTCTCACCAGATTGCAAGCTTCCAGAGGACAGGAGCCGACCTTATGCATCACACGTGCTCCAGCACTGGGCACACTGCCTGGCACCCAGTGGCTGTTGGGTGTTTCTTCTTTAGTTTTTTTTACACAAAAGGGGGAAATAGAATGGATGGATGAGATGGTTTGAGGTATTGGTGCAATTGTTGCTAGACATTTGACAGATATATCTGGAACACTGTGGAGAAATGGCTGTGGGAATTTAGAAAACCCAATCAATGGAGGCTGGTGGGGGACCGGGGGGATAGCCGTTCGGTCTAATGCTAGCCCAGCACAAGACCAAGGGCAGGCCCCTGGAGAGGCCGATCTCCATTTCTTGCCTCCTGAGGGTCCTGGTGCACATGCATGGGGACATGTCGGCTTTCATGTTCCAGTCTGTCCACACCCCTCCAGAAAGCACCCACCTCTTGGCCTCCTTTAGGGCCCAGGGATATGTGCCCTCTTTAGGAGGAGTGGTTCTGGAGAGAACTCTCTGGAAATGGGCTTGTGGACATTTGACCAGGGAATTTGGGAGTCCCAGGAACTGGAAGTGTGGCCAGAGGGGAGGGGTGGGGGCCCCAGGTAGGGACATCCCTTTGGGCCTGGGAGCACCTCAATCTCTCTGGAAAGATGCAGTCAGAGGAGGGCCAGCGTAGGAGCCATGCAGGAATCCTGAGGGCCAGGTCTAAGGGGTGAATGCCAGCGCGGAAGAAAGGGTTAAATGCCACAGGAAATAAACATAGTCACTATTTGACCCATCTGGAACCATTTCTACACATAGTAACGGAAATGTGCTTACTGATTTAATTAAAATGTGTGCTTTTGGAAATATGGGAATAAAGAAAGTGGGAGAGTCACAGGTAAAGTGTTAAATCCCAGACTACCAGGACAGGAGGTTAAGAGATTCTGTAAAAACAAGCAATTCAAGTAATAACATTATAAATACATACATATTTATTTTTAAAAACTTGGAAATCGAAACCAGAAGAAAGAGCTAAAAGAATTGAAAGTTGGTGCCATTAGGGAAGGAACCAATGATGGAGGCAGGAGATGACAGTTTTTCATGAATTTTCGTAAAAGAGAAGATATCAGCCAGGTATGGTGGCTTATGACTAGTCTCAGCTACTCAGGAGGCTGAAGTGGGAGGATTGATTAAGCCCAGGAGTTCGAGGTTTCAGTGAGCTGTGATTACTCCACTGCACTCTAGCCAAAGAGTGAGACCCCAGCTCTAAAACCAATTAAAATAGAAAAAAAAAATAGAAGAAAATATCCATGTATATCTTTACGTAGAAGTTTGGTACTCACTATTTGTTACAGCTATATTCTGATTATCTTTTGTTGTAAAACAAATTACAAAACATAGTGGCTTGAACCATTGCCTTTTAATTATATCTCATTGTTCTGTGGGCCAAGAAATTCAGGCAGAGTTCAAATCAGCAGTTCTGTGTTCGGCGTGAAGTTGGCAGAGGTTACTCAGTAGCAGTCAGCCGGGTGATGGGCTATCAGCAGGTCTAGGATGGTCTCATTCACATATGCATCTGACACCTTGGCAGGGCAAGTTGGCAGACTGGGCTCAGTTTGGACTGTTGGTCTGAGCATCTACAAATGCCCTTTCCAGTACTGGAGGTCTCAAGGACATTCAATATAGGAAGGACTTCTTCTATCATGGCTCAGGGCTCCCAGAGACAGTGAGGGCCAGGTGAAATTCTCAAGGCTTCTTATGGCTTAGCCTCAGAAGCCCCAGTCCATCACTTCTACCATGTTCTGCTCAAGCAGGTCCCTAAAGCCTGTCCAGCTGCAAGAAGAGAGGAATTTGACCCAGAGCAGTAGCAAATAATTGGTGGCATCTTTAATTTCCACATCTACCTTGCTCCTTCTAAGGATTTGAGGTAGTTTATATTATTTTTTAAGCAATAAAATAATTAAAAATGTTTTTACAATATTAGGAATTTAGAAAATGTGTTCTGGCCCCTGCATATCTTTTTGTCTGTTCTTGTTTATGTCACTGATTAAGACCTGCTGTGCAGTGATGAATAAAAGTGGCAGTGCAACCATGCTGGTCTCATTCTTGATTTCAGAGGGAAAGTGTTCCACATGGTACTCCAAGTATCACATCTGCGGTAGGATTTTTGTAGGTACCCTTTTATCAGCTTAATAAAGTTTATTTCTGGCTGGGTGTGATGGCTCATGCCTGTAATCTCAGCACTTTGGGAGGCCAAGGTGGAAGGATTGCTTGAGCCTAGGAGTTCAAGACCAGCCTGGACAATATAGTGAGACCCCATCTCTAAAAAATTTTTTTAAATTAGCCAGGCATGGTGGCACACTCCTGTGGTCCCAGCTTCTAGGAAGGCTGAGGCAGGAGGATCACTTGAGTCCAGGAAATCAATGCTACAGTGAGCTCTGATTTTATCAATGCACTCTAGCCTGGGCAACAGAGCAAGACTTTGAATAAAGAAAGAATAAAAGAAAGAGAGAGAGAAAGAAGAAAGGAGGAAAGAAAGAAAGAGAAGGAAGGGAGGAAGGAATGAAGGAAGGAAGGAAAGAAAGAAAGAGAAAGAAAGAAAGAAAGGAAAAGGAAGAAAGAGAGAAAGAAAGAGAGAGAGAAAGAGAGAAGAAGAGAGACAGGAAGAAAGAGAGAGAGGGAGGAAGGAAGGAAGGAAAGGAAGGAAGGAAGGAGAGCAACAGAGAAAAAAGAAAGTTTATTTATATTCCTAGTTTGCATTCCTGAATTTGTAGCACTATTTTTGAAAATAATGTGCTTATATGTTATTTTGGTTAAATACAAATTAAAAATGAAAGATGACTTTGGTAGCCATGTGGAGGAAGAGCACAAATGATGAGTTTAGAGGTGGGGAGGCTGGGGGAGACCAGGGGATGTCTGGGGGGAGGGCAGCAAGCCAGGGCCTGTGGAGAAGACTTTTTGGTGGGAGGGGTGCCAAGGCAGGGACTGAGTGAGGAGCTGCAGGTCTGAGTCCCCAGGAGACTCACATGTCGGGGGACTGAAGGGTCATATGAGGACAGCAACACCACAGGGCAGGAGAGGCAGGCATCCCGGGCTGGCCACGACTGAGATGTGGGGTGTGGAGGCTTAGTCCCGCCTTGGCTGCTGCTGCTGCGGTGGCCGGGTGGGCCCCTCCGGTCATCTCTCTGACCATCACTCAGGCACCTTCATGACAGCTGGGGAAGGGGCCCAGGGTTTCTGTGGCAATAGGGCACAAAATCCCAGAAGAGGAGAAAGAAAGCCACGAAATCAATTCTGGCTCTGAAATAAAAATAGCCAGTAGTTGAGAATTTTAAGAAAGGAAAAACAAAAACAGTGTTGGTATATGAGTCACACTGACTTCTCCCAATTACCAGCTTTTAGGCTCCAAATAAAGCTTTCAACGGAGGAGCCTTGGAATGTCAGTGGTGGTGAGGACGCCGAGCTCCGACCCCTCCTGCCAACCTTGCGTTTGGCGCTCTCCTATGGAAACAGTCATCCTTCCTGCTCAGAGCTGTATGCCTCCTCTGGCATATGGAGCCAGGAGACCTGGCCCAAACTACACCCCTCTTTGGGCCTCAGTTTCCCCCTTGGCAAAGCAAAGAGCCTGGACTGATTTTCATCTTTGACATGGCTGTTGTGCTCAAATATGGCTGAGTGCTCAAAGAACACTCAGTCAGGACTGAGGACAAGACAAATGGCAGGAATATTCCAGACCCTCTGTCAGTTTCAGGCCTGTGAGCATCAGGTGAGTCCACCCTGCTGAGCGCAACTGTCATGTAAAGTCACAAATGCCACGTTCCCTCATAAACACTGACCTCAGGACCCAAGTCCTGTGGGATCCCATTCCATAGAGCAATGCACAGAGACCCTGATGCACAGCAGGCTCAGGAGTTGCCAACACTTACTGATGAGGGGCACGGGCATAGTGGCTGAGAGGCTCTTGGCAGCCTGCAGCTGGACGGCCAGGGTTTGAATTCCGCCTCTAGCTCTTACCAGATGAGTGATGTTGAGCAGGGTCCCACAGGAGATGGATGTTTGAGCAGAGTTTGCAGGAGGGGCTGTTTACAGAGGTGTGTGCAGAACCCACAAAGCACGGGGCAGCCCCAGAAGGCTGTGCAACCTCTGGGACTGGAGGGGTCAGGAGCAAGGGCAAGGGGCATGTGAAGAAAGTGGTGGCAGCTAGAGCCCTGGGAGAGGGGCCGAGGGTGGGACCTGTGGCCAGGGGAAGAGGAAAGCAGCTCTGCTAAAACCAAGGCTGGTAGGAAGGAAGCTGGGCAAATACTCTGACCCCCTGTACTCCTGCCAATGCCCCTGTGGGCTGAGTCCAACTAGAAGCCAGAGGACAAGGCAGTGGGTAAAGTTGAGGGCAGAGATCAGCCCTCAGGACACAGAGCAGGGAGGAGAAAGGTGGAGGGTGGGTCTGGAGGGCAAAGACCAGCACATGTGAACTTTCTGGGCCTCCGTTTCCTGATTTGTAAAATGGTGATGATAACAACACCCATGGCATTGTACTATTGCCAGAATAAATCTCTCTCTCTCTCTCACTCTCTCTCTCTAGCTCTAGCTCTCTATCTATCCACTTATCTGTCTATCTATCCAGTACTTACAACAGTGCCTGGCACACAGGTGTAATGTATAAACGTCTGCTATTTTACCTATGTTATTACCATGCTCCTGCTCGCATTTGTTCCCTTCCTCCAGGCACCCAAGTTTTCATCTTCCCTTTTACCCCGATGTGCTTCCTGTCAGCTGGCTCTGGGGAAGAGTCTGTTAATCAGCTGCCACTAAGGTATACATAACTGATCATGGCTTCGGGAGCTACCTCTGCCTGGGAGCACTTGCATTTTACAGGAAATGCTGCATCTTCCTTAGGGCGTGAAGTTCTGATGGTGGAACCTCAGGTCTTTTGTTGCTGTTGAAATTACAGGTGAGTGGTCTCTTCTTCCTGCATTGAATAATAATAACCAGTGGGGAAGATACTGGGGAGTAGGCAGGCTTCTGGAGTGCAGAGAGTGGCCCCTGCCCAGGGACAGAGCCATGAGCCTCTGATAGGAAGAGGTGGTTAAGCCCCAGCCACTTGCCAACTTTGCCAACTTGCCAACTCTGGAGAAGCCAGCTCTGACCCTGAGCCTGGAAGAGGGGTCCTCTACCCCTCAAAACTGGGGCAGAGCCCCTTCAGGGGCCCAGATAGGGAGGTGCTCAGAGAGGGGTAACATGGCCCCAGGTTCCCCAGGAGGCTGGTGATGAGTCTGGGATTTGAACCAGGAGGCCTGACACCCAGGCCAGGGTCCTTCTTTCCCCTGCCCCCATCCCACCCTTCTCTGCTCTGGAGTACACACCCTTGAGTGGCTGGAGACATCCCTGGGCAGCTGTCTGACCTCACAGTTGGCCCTGGAGCAGCTCAGCCTTTCAGCCAGAGGGAAATGTGTGTCCCAGAGAGTGACCCATGCTGAGTGTGGATTGTTCGTGCTGCTGAAGTCCCTCCATCCTTGGTTCTGTCTGGCAGTTATGGCCTCTCTCCTTGGCCAGGTGGCTGTGGCCATGACTCTCTCCTCATTCCCATCTACGGAACTGCCCCTCAAGTGAGGTTTCAGTTGACCTCAGAATGGCCTTCTCTCCACCCCACAGCCTGAGAGTTCTCCAGGTCATTGGTCATACGCTCTGGGACACACATGTGAGCTGATTGTTTATGCAGTGTTTGCTCACAATAGCAACAAGCACCCCTTCTTCTGCAGCCCGTTGATGGCAAGATGCTGTCACACAGGAGGGACTACAAAGTAGCTGGCAGCAGAAAGCATCCACAAAACAAGCTTGGGCTAGTGAAAGCATCTGGCAAACAAGCTCAGGCTCAAGCAATCATCATAAAAAGAAAAGAAAAGAAAAGAAAAAAAAAAGCTCAGGCTCAAGCTCTTTCCTCTCAGCTCATGACTCATTTGCACACATAGGCCTTGCTCCATGGTGACAGGGTCAGCTCATCTTGGCCACTTCGCAGACTTGTGAGCCTTTGTGAACACTGACATAGCATCACTTACAACCCAGGTGCCTCAGATTCCAAGGCTGAGAAGAGGAGGCTGTGGGACATCAAGGATCTTAGAAACACAACGAAATCTCAAGACATTAAAATTGAAAGGTTCTGAATTTTGCATGAATGTGCAGTTTTCTTGTGGCCTGAGCTTCCATCAGATTCTCAAAGTGCCCTTGTATTAGTCAGGGTAGACTAGGTAATGCTGTGATAACAAGCAATCCCAAATTCTGATAACAGAATCCCAAGTGACTGATAACAAGGGTGAATCTTCAGAGAGCCACTGGATGGAGTCTCTTTCCTGTCCCTGTTTTTCCCTAACATCCAGCTGCCCATCTATGTAAGAATAAACTAAGCAACAAAAGCCAAATGTAACCAAATAGTCATATTGGTTATCCCTTGTGTGACAGATACACAAAGAACCAGGTGTTTTATGAAGCATGATCTCATTTAACCTTATGAGGCAGAGGAGGAAACTGAGGCTTGCAGAACGGAAGTGACTTTCCCTAAGTCACCTGGCTAGTTGTTTAGTCAGAAGCTGGGCTGAGATTTGAACCCAAGCCCCCCCAGTAGCTACACTGACTGAACACAACCACATGCAATGTTTCCAAACACATTGGTACTGGTTCTAGTACTTGTATTGTGCTTTTGAGTTTACATAGCATTTCCATTAGTTTGGCAAATATTTACGGAGCACCTCCTGTATTAGTCCGTTCTCATGCTGCTGATAAAGACATACCTGAGACTGGGCAATTTGCAAAAGAAAGAGGTTTAATGGACTTAAAATTCCACGTGGCTGGGGAAGCCTCACAATCATGGCAGAAGGCAAGGGGGAGCAAGTCACGTCTTAACACAGATGGCAGCAGGCAAAGAGAGAGCTTGTACAGAGAAACTCCCATTTTTAAAACCATCAGATCTCTTAAGACCCATTCACTGTCACAAGAACAGCATGGGAAAGACCTGCCCCCATGATTCAGTCATCTCCCACCAGGTCCCTCCCACATAACGTGGGAATTATGGGAGTTACAAGATGAGATATGGGTAGGGACACAGAGCCAAACCATATCACCTCCCATGTGCTGGCACTGTTCTAGATGCTAGGGTTCTAGGGGTGAATACAATTGACACAGGGCACATGGAAGGGCAGAGAATGGATTAGGGGTAGCAAGGAGAATTGTTGGACCGGTGACTGATGAGGAGTCAAAGCTTTAACTGGAAGGAATGGCACCTGCTGGGAGCTTCCGGCTCCATAGCATATTGACCAGAATCATTCATGCGCCTCCCACAGCAAACTAAGTCACTCTACCCACAAGGCAGGGGGAGCTTGCCTGAAAGGAATCTTGGAGACGTCTCCACACCACTAAGCCTGGGCTGTTTTTTAAACTGTGGAATCACATTCATCATTTTGTCCCCAGTGGCATGGGATCTGGTTCAGAGAATATGTTCGCCAAATGTTTATGGAATGAATGGATTAACAAACAAATGAACTGATGGATGGTGACTGAGGCTGGGCAATGCCCTTTTACTCTACGGGCCTCAGTTTCCTCATCTGTCCACCAAGGTGATGTCCAAGGGCCTCTTTCTCACTGACATCTGATGACTAATATGACAACAGTGTGCCTTTGTGACTGGAAACCCTGCTGGTCCTCTCTGCCCAAACAGAGCCTGTGTGTCAGTCTCCAAAGCTGACTTCTGTATTGTCTGGGTAATTTTGCCCCAGAGACAATTGTTCACACTGTGATTATGGGAATCGGTTCCAGCAGCATTGTTGTGGAGATGGTTAGGATTCTCTAGGGCCAGGGTAGCTGTGCTGAAGGACTCTGTGGCCAGGATTCATGGTTGGATGCAGACGGGTATGACTCTAGGAGCACAGACAGGAAATGTTTTTTCCCCAAATACCTCTTCTGCTGCTGCCTGAAATTCCACCATTTGTGATTTATTCCACCGGGTTCAGCATTGCCCTTTCCTTTGGTGGGTCTTCTCTATAAATACTAAAAGCCTTTGTGGAATGATGGAGCTTTTAAATAAAATTCAATTCTTTTCTTCAACTTATTTTTTAGAGATGAGGTCTCATTCTGTCACCCAGGCTGGGGTGCAGTGGCACGATCAGAACTCTAACTCACTGCAGCCTCGACTTCCTGGGCTCCAGGGATCATCCCACCTCAGCATTCCAGTAGCTGGGACTACAAGCTCACGTCATCATGCAATTTTTTTTAAGAGATGGGGTCTCGCTATATTGCCCAGGAAGGTCTCAAACTCCTGGGCTCAAGGAACCCTTCTGCCTCAACTTCCAAAAGTGCTGGGTTTACAGGTGTGAGTGACAGCACCCACCCAAATTCAATTTCTGATTGCGTTTTATGTGCCAGCCTCTGCACAGAGGGGCTGAGGTAGAATCAAAAATAATAACTATGACAGTAATATAACTATACCATTTTTTCAATTAAAAATTTTTAAATTGAGACATAATATTTGTACATGTTTTTGGGGTACATGAGATAATTTGATACATTCATATAATGTGTAAAGATCAAATCAGGGTAATTGAGATATCCATCACCTTAAACATTTATCTTTTCTTTCTGCTGCGAACATTAGAATTATTATCTTCTAGCTGAAATGTATAATAAATTAATGTTAATTATAGTCACCCTCCTTAGCTATCAAACCCCAGGTCTCATTTCTTCTATCTAAGTGTATATTGGTACCCATTAATCAACTTCTCTCCATCTCCCCGCTCCTCCCTCCTCTTCCTGGCCTCTGGTAACCACAAATCTACTCTCTACCTTCATGAGATCCACTTTTCAGCTCCCACATGAGTGAGAATATGCAATATTTATCTTCCAGTGCTTGGCTTATTTCACTGAACATAATGACCTACAGTTCCATCCATGTTACTGGCAGATGATAAGATTTCATTCTTTTCTATGGCTGAATACTATTCCTCTGTGCATATGTACCACATTTTCTTTATCCATTCATCCACTGATGGGCATTTAGGTTGATTCTATAGCCACCGTTTGTTGAGAATTTAGTATATAACACATTGGTTACATTAGCTCTTACCTCAACCGTTGGAGATATGTATGTATCTTTGGCCACATTTTACAGATGAGGAAATTGAGTCAGAGAGGCTGAGACACTTGCCCAATGTAACATAAGCGAATTTCTCCTGCTGCATAGCCACTATGCCACAGCCACCTGGCTTATGAGGGTTTATGTCTAGTGGGGAGAAAGACCTGGCAGTAGAAGAGAATCCATGCTAAACAGAGGAATAAGCAGTGAGCCATGGGGCAGCCAGATGTAGATCATCAGAAGGCTGAGATTATATGCCAGCTGGTTCTTGAAGGACAAGAAGGAATTTCGTATACTAAGAAGGAAAGAGGGAAGTCATGCCTGGGAAAGTTACAGGAGCCAAGCCCCACACTGGGCTGTCTGTATGTTGGCCTCAGGTTGGGTGAAGAATACAGTGAATGGAAGTAGAGGCATGAGTCCTGTGGGCCAGGTCATGGAAGTCAATGGGGGAGCCACCAAGGTTGTAGCAGAGTGGAAACCCATGAGTCTGCTTTGAAATACTCCCTCTCTTGAAAAACTGTCACAGGCTAGAGAGGGCTGGGCAGACATAATAACTAAACATGATAAGGCATCCTGGATGGGATCCTGGAACAGAAAAAGGACATTACGAACAAAACTGATGGTACCCAAACAGGTATGGAGTTTAGTTAATAGTAATGTACCAGTGTTGATTCATTAGTTATGGCAAATGTATCAAAGCATTTAACAATGGGGGAAACTGGGTGAAGGGTCTATGGGAACTCTCTGTATTATCTTTGCAAGTTTTCTATAAATCAAAAACTCTTCTTAAATACGTTTATTTAAATAAAAACATTTACTCCCTCTGCAGGCAGTGTGGAGGATGGAGTTGAGTGGGGAGGGTCAGGATGCAGACAGCGTGTGTGAAGGAGGCCACCACCACCCTACTGTGGCAAGGACCTGTGTCCTGTGGGGGCCAGGGGGGCTGGAAGGAAGAGGGCAGAAATGGGAAACACACTGACACTGGGGGAGGCAGAATTTGGCAACTGGTTGGATGTGAGGGCTGAGCTGGAGGCATGAGTCAAAGGTGACGTGACTCTCCTGTCCCAAGCCCAGTGACAGGCACAGAGCAGATCTCATAAAAGGAAGGATGGGATTGCCATAGACCAACCTGGGCAGCTTGGGGAGAGAGGAAACATACCAAATCCAATACCACTCAGCACTCCCGTGTTCTGATCATAATGTTGTTTATTGGGTAGCTAGATTCTTCACAATGGTGCCTCCCAAACTATTGGTGGTCAAGAACCACGTTTTGTTTTTGTTTTTGTTGTTTTTTTTTGAGATGGAGTCTTGCTCTGTTGCCCAGTGTGGAGTGCAGTGGCGCGATCTCGGCTCAATGCAACCTCCGCCTCCCGGGTTCATGCCATTCTCCTGCCTCAGCCTCCTGAGTAGCTGGGACTACAGGTGCCCGCCACCACGCTTGGCTAATTTTTTTATTTTTATTTTTAGTAGAGACGGGTTTTCACCATGTTAGCCAGGATGGTCTCGATCTCCTGAGCTTGTGATCCGCCCGCCTCGGCCTCCCAAAGTGCTGGGATTACAGGCGTGAGCCACCGCACCCGGCCGTTTTTTGTTTTTTAAATGTATTTCCAGTCCAGTGAAGAGCAATATTTTGGTCTACATCCTGTTCAATGAGATAAGTCCATGGAGCCAGTGTCTGGATGTCAGGCATTTTTAAAGTGCTGTAGAAGTTTTTGAACCCTTACTCTCCATTTCTATTTTTATCTCACTGCAGACCAGTTAAAACATTGTTTATGGACCGGCACTAGTCCACTTTAAACCTCCAACTATCCAAGGGTTAGGGACTACGAATCTCAATTTACAAATGAGAAAACTGAGACTCAAAGAGGTTTAGAAACTATCCAAGGGCTCACAAAACTGGTAAGTTGCAGAGAGTAGGGATTTGTTCTGTGATCTGTCTATCTCTAGAAGCAAAACTCCCATCTGCTGCCCGTGACCCATCAGTGTTCATGCAGTCCTGCTGCTGGCCTCTTGCCTCCTGCCCTGCAGGTTGTTTTCAAAGCTTCTCTTCACTCCTCTTCCCTGGAGGCTGAATCATGGGTTGCTTTGACTCAAGAAAAGGAGGATGTGGAGGGGAGTGTCTAAAAAACCTTTGCCAGAGGTGACCTCATAACCATCTCCCCGGGACTCAGTGGAGCGTGCAGAGAGCTCAGGCCAGTGGAGACCTCAACAGAGTGGCCAGGAGCACCGACCCTCACACTGGCATAATTCCCAGTCTCTGCTGCTGACAGACTGGGAAGGGAGGGAGGTCACACAGGGAGGAAGGTCCAAGGCTGGCCCCTTTGGTGAACTCAGGCAGCACTTAGCAGCAGCTACAAATAACAATGGAAAGGTTGGAGAACCCATCACATGCCAGACACAGGGCTAAGTGTGCAGATACCGATTTGTGTTTACTTTTGCTCTGTAGAAGAATCAGGAGGATGAGGTCTATTTGGTTTTTACTTTTCCCATCGAGTTATCTCCCACTCTGAGACTGAAGCTGGACTTTTGGGCTCCCTCTCTGTAGGGCCGTGTGCAAAGATGAGAGGGAAGTATGTTGGAAGCAATCTTCTTTTCAGGCTTCTGAGAAAGCCCAAGCTTACAGAGGACATGGTGCCAGAGAAAGGCACAGACAGTGCTTCTGGAAGGCAAGGTGGCCACGGAGAGTGGAAGATTCTCCAGCCCTCAGGAAAGGGGCTGAATATCTGTGGGTGTATGAGTTGGGGGACTCTCCTGGGGCAATGGCTATACTGTTTGCCTAGGGAGGCTTCCAGCCTGTTCAAAGATGCATTCATTCATTAAAGAGTCACCAAAACTCCACTGTGTCTAGGTCCTGGGGACACAGTGATAAACAAGACAGACTTTCAGAAAATAACCACACATTTCTTGCACATTCCATTTCACAGAGCCCGAAGCTATCCTCCAGCTCCTGGCTGGAATAGTTCCTCTTTGCTTGAATTGTCCCTTCCAGCCTCTGCTTGTTTGTCCTATTTCACAGCAGAGGACACTCTGGTGCTCAAAACCTTGATATTCAGTGGCTCCATTTTGGCAAGGATAAAGCGCAGACTCTTTGTCAGAGCGCAGGAGGTCATTAGAATAGCATGAATGGTATCACCATCACTTGCACACACTCCTTGGGTGCATGTTTCCCCCTCACCCTCTAGGACCAGGCTCAGCTGCTGCCCTTCCAGCCTCATTTCCCAGCACATGCGTTCCCCTCCTTACAGTTCACTTTCCAGTCTCTGCTCCCTTCCTCAGAATGCTTCCTCTGTTCCAACTGAGTTCTGGATTTTTCATTTCTCAGCATTTTGAAATCTTACTAATCACCCAGGGCCTAGCTCACATATCACCGCCACTGGGAAGCCTTCTGATTTCCATAGTCAGAAAGAACAATTACCTACTCTCCATTCCCAGCCAACCTGACTTACACATACTCATTATAACCTCCTCACTCCTAGCCAACACTTTGCATTTCTTCTGAAGAACACATTGCTGGTAGGCTATCTCTGTTTGACCCTCACACTCTGTTCCTGCCCATGTAGAATCTGCTTATCAAGGCAGTGTATTAATCAGGGTTCTCCAGAGAAGCAGAACCAGAAGGATGGATGGATTGATTGACTATGAGGAATTGGCTCACACAATTATGGAGGCTGACAAGTCCCACAGTCTGCTGTCTGCAAGCTGGAGACCCAGGAAAGTCAGTGGTATATTTCAGTCCAAGTCCAACAGCCTGAGAACTGGGGGAGCTGATGGTATAAATCCCAGTCCAAGGGACACAGAAGATGAGATGAGATGTCCCAGATCAACAGGTAGGCAGGAAACAAAAGGGCAAATTCTTCTTCCTTTGTCTTTTTGTTCTCAGATTGGATGATTCAGACCCACATTGGTGAGTGTGCTCTACTTTACTGAGCCCACTGGTTCAAATGCTAACCTTATCTGGAAACACACTCACAGAGGCACCCATAAATAACATTTAATCTGGCCATCCTTGGCGAGTCAAGTTGACACATAAAATTAACCATCATAGGCTGTTGTTCGCAAACCTGTTTATCTGAATTATTCTGTCATTGTTGATGACACATCTACAGAGGCTTAGCATGCAACCAGTTCAGAGGGAGCAGGGGGACAGAAAGTTTCAAAAGAAATGGCTCCAGGAAACAGGAACCTAAGCTTACATGGTGTATTTAACTCAATAGAGAAATGTTTATAGTTCTGGACAAAGGGGCTGAATTAATCATAAGTTCATAGAGAGTAAACAAATGAGAGGGAAAAGCAATTATTAGCTGAAAAAAACAAAAAGCTGTTCAAAAGAAAGAAAATATAATCATGGTACACTAGGTGGCTCAGCTGTGAACAATATTTATATAATCATAATCATGTCAATACTGAATAAGAGACAGATAAAAATTATGATACAATCATATTGAAAAGATGGGAATCTGGGAAGTGTGTGTGTCTGCATGTGTACATGTGCTTGTGTATGCACACACGTGTACTTGTGTGTATGTTAGGATTAGGGGAGAAGTATAAGAGAGCTAAGCTATCATCTTTGACATTTATGGCTAATGTCAAAAAAAAAATAAGTCAAGAATCAATGCTGATAAGATGTCAGCATTCCCATGTTCATTACAGCATTATTCACAATAGCCAAGATAGAATGTAGGGGAGAAAATATAATTTCTTTTCTTTCCCTCATAGCTTCTTATCTGAGATGCTCTCCTATAAACAAAATTCAGATTAGCAAGAGAAAAACCAGCAAAAATGTATTGGTGTGTGCTGTACCCATCACAGGGGAGAGGGAATATTTCTCTCTCAAGGCTGTGGTTTAGGGGCCTTGCTTAAACAGTATTTTTTAAAACACTCATAAATTCTATAGTGACAAGATAAAGAAGAGAGCAGCCTCAGGCTTCCACAAGGCAGCAAAATGTGGGAAGGTAAATTTATGGGAAGAGTAAAGTCTGCACCTAGATCTTCTGGCACTGCTGTCTCTAAGTTGATAAGCAAGCATTGGAAAGAAGCCCCTCATTAGGCAGGAAAAGGCAAGGAGGATGGCAGGAAGACCTGTTCCTATAAATCACCATTAGGCAAGCAGAGGGAGGGGCAGAGTATCCCCCTGTGTTTTAATCTTCTTCAGCTCGACAATCGCCAGTGTTCCAGAAAGGAATATTTTTGTTTCCTTCAATGGAATCAACTTGTATCCATCAATGGATGAATAGATGAAGAAAACATGGTGTATATACACAATGGAATACTATTCAGCCATGAAAAGGAAGGAAATCCTGATGTTTGCAACAATATGAATGAATCTGGGGGGGCATTATGTTAAGAGAAACCACCCGTGCACAGAAAGATATGATCTCACTTATATATGAAATCTAAAAAAGTCAAACTCATAGAAACAGATTGAAATTATGGTTAACAAGGGCTGGGAGTTGAGGAGATTGGGGTCATGTTGGTCAAAGAACACAAAATTTCAATTAGACTGGAGAAATAAATTTAAGAGGTTTGTGGTACATCATGGTGACTGTAACTAATAACAGCATATTGTATACTTGAAAAGTGCTGAGAGTGGGTTTTTAAGTGTTCTCACCACAAAAATGAGCATGTGAGATAATGCATATATTAAAGAGCTTGATTTAGCCATTCCACAATGTATACACATACAAAATGTCATGTTGTATACTATAAATATACATAATTTTTACTTGTCAATTAAAAATTAATGAAAGGAAAAGAGGAAAAATCAAGGGTCAGAATTATAAGCTTGTTATATAGAAATATGCGGTGAAATACTCCAAAAGGTGTTAAAAATGATTGCCTATTGGGGATGGGGAGAGGTGAATACAGAGACTGCTGTTTTTATTAAAAATTTTATGGTACTATTTGACTGATTTACTCATTTATTTATTTGAGACGAAGTATCACTCTGTCGCCCAGGCTGGAGTGCACTGGCATGATCTCAGCTCACTACAACCTCTGCCTCCCAGGTTCAAACAATTCTCTTGCCTGTGCCTTCCAAGTAGCTGGAACTATAAGCATGCACCACCACGCCCAGCTATTTTTAATAGAGATGGGGTTTCACCATGTTAGCCAGGCTGGTCTTGAACTCCTGACCTCAGGTGATCCTCCTGCCTTGGCTTCCCAAAGTGCTGGGATTACAGGTGTGAGCCACTGCACCTGGCCCTGTTTGGCTTTTTAAAACTAAGCACATTCATTGCTTTAATTAAAATCAAAATTAAAATTAAAATTAAAAATGTAAAAGTAGGTAAAAGACAAGTTAACTGCTGTCTCTCCCAAACAGCAGACCCTGAGGTCTGTGCCCAGCTGCTACTGGGGCCATTCATTCCCTAGGGAAGGGGATGTGGGGAATCTGCTCCAACACAGCTGCTGTGTCTGGTGGTGTTTTATTTTTCGTGGCTCAGAAGCACAGGGTAAACTAGCTCCTCATTAAATGACATGCTTCATGTTAGGTGTCAGCATGGGGGAAGGCATTAGGTAGAAGGATGTTTGGGAAACACTTGCAGACTGGGGTTAAGGTGTTTGTTTTTCCTCTGAGACCCAGACACTTCTGGTAACTATTGTTCCCAAGTGTGTTTTTTTGAAAATTCATTCTTTGCAAATTCCACAGGCAGCCCAGACTGATTCGTCCGTCTAGGAATTTGAGGGGCCAAGAGCAGACATAACATTTTATAGGAGAAGGGGGATCAAAGCCAACAGGCTCTTTGCAGAATCCACCCAGGCCTTGCACTTTCAGGATCACACCTCATTAACGGTGGCAGAGCCTCACCAGGTTGATTTTTAATCAGCTGCCCTTCAGTGAGCTCTGGCTCTTTGTCAGCGTTTTCCAGGCAAACTATTTGTCCTGGAGCTAGGATAAGTCCTGATGACCCCAAAGCAGGACCCAAATCCCATCATACCAGGGGGCTTGTGCCTTGTCTGCCAACATAGATGGCTCTTCTTTCTTGATGTCCTTTCCCCCTTCAAGCAATTGCTTAGATTTCTCTAAAGCTTTACAATTCATAAAGCACTTCATTCGACCTGTGTAATATCAACATGGGATGGGCAAGAATTATTGCTTCCATTTTACAGGTGGGTAAACTGAGGCTCAGAGAGGTTAAGGAACTTGCCCACTCTCACACAGCTAGAAAGGGCAGAGCTGGGAATTGAACTCTGGTTTCCCAAGGCCTCAGCCAATACTCTTTTCTCAACACTAGACACCTGAAGGTACCAGTCCCCAACCCTGAATGCAGTGGCCCATGGGTGTTCACACGGCATAGCACCTGAGCCAGCTCACCTGCCTGCTTTCCTTAGGTTATCCTTCAGTGGAGCCAACTTTCCAGGCCTTTCAAGCTCCTGCCCCTTCCCCAATCTTGACCTCTTTTCTAGAGCCTGGTTTTCAGCTCTAACCGTCAGTTGGACAGAGCCTGAAGCTAACTCACTCCAAATGGTGCATGAATGCCACTCAGGCCCTCCCAGGTCAGAGTAGACAGAACCCTGGATCTGATGTTAGCTACAGATCCCAGCTCTGCAACTCAAGAGCTGTGACCTTGGGCAAAATCCTAAGGTGGTCTGGGCCTCCATGTCCTCTTCTTTGAAATGAGGGCAGTAATTCCCATCTCAACATGGTCTTTATAGATTAGACAACTAAATGATTTGTCAGCTCTACAAAGGAAAGAGAATATTAATATCAGCAGTAATAATACCTGCCTTACACCCCATGCCTTTCCTTTTTTTTTTTTTTTTGAGACAGTCTCACTCTATCGCCCAGGCTGGAGTGCAGTGGCGCGATCTTGGCTCACTGCAACATCAGCCTTCCAGGTTCAAGCAATTCTCCTGCCTCAGCCTTCCAAGTAGCTGGGATTACAGGCCCACCACCACATCCGGCTAATTTTTGTATTTTTAGTAGAGACGGGGTTTTGCCATGTTGTCCAGGCTGGTCTCGAACTCCTGACCTCAAGTGACCCGTCTGCCTCGGCCTCCCAAAGTGCTGGGATTACAGGCGTGAGCCACTGCACCAGACCACCCCATGCCTTTCTTATGAAGGGTGTGTCATTCTCTGCACTTCACAGGTGGGGACACTCAGATAATATTTGACTTATCCAAGGCTATACAGTGAGTTGATGGGAGGTTCAGGTCTAGATCTTAGCTCTGTTTGTTCCAAGTTTAATGTTCGTCCATTAAATGGTCCATTAACATTCTCCAGAAATCACATATTTGCCTTCCTGAGGCCAGGTGCAGTGGCTAACACTGGTAATCTCAACACTTTGGGAGGCTAAGGCAGGCAGATCAGTTGAGCCAAGGAGTTCAAGACCAGCCTGGGCAACACGGTGAAATCCCGTCTCTACAAAAAGTACAAAAAATTAGCCAGGCATAGTGGTGCGCACCTGTAGTACCAGCTATTTGGGAAGCTGAGGCAGAAAGAGTGCTTGAGCCCAGGCGGTTGAGGCTGCAGAGAGCCGTGATCGCACCACTGCACTCCAGCCTGGGCAACAGAGAGAGACCAAATTTGCCTCCCCATGTAAATATCCATCGTGTACCTGGATCAGTCTGTCCCTATTGCTCAGCCTTCTTGAAAGCCTTTTAATACTTTCATTAAAAATTTATATTTTTAGGATGCTTTTGGCTGCAAGTAATATATACCTAAAACATGAGGGAAATATGTGACATCACACACAAGCAGTCCAGTCCCAAGGGTTAGTGAACTCAGGGCTCAGTGGCACCATGAGCAAGTGGCAGGATGCATGCAGCAATTCCAAGGGATTCATGCAGGCAGGATGAGTTCAGAGACGAAGCAGGGTGTTTCCTGCCGTGTGTCTCTTTATATTTATGGGAAACTTTTCCAGGAGCTAGTCCCCTTCCCCTTATGACTCATTGGCTAGAGCTGCATCACATGCCCAGATTAAACCCATCGCTGGCAAAGGGGAAGGAATGACCAAGACTGGCTTAGACTAATCAGTGTCCTCTCCTAGGGTAGGAGCCGAGCATCACCTTTCCCTCCCAAGGGAAAGAGAGGCTGATTGCAGGTAATAAACTGGTGGGTAGACGAGGGAGATAAAAAGTTCCCAGCAGGCCCAGATCAAAGAGTAGGTGAGGAAAGTCTCTGGCCCAGAACCTCAGGGGAGAAGCCTCCTGTGAGGTTGTACCCCAGGACCTACCATGGTTGCACCTAGGAGAGTGGGCAGGCCAAGGTCCTGGAGCTGCCCTTTCTGCCTTCTCCTCTCCCCCTTCCCCCCATACTCCCTTCCATTCCTTCCCACTCCCTTCTTCTCACCTCCCTCTTTCCAGCCTCCTGCCTCCTGGTTCTCAGCCCCTCTGCTTCTCCTTTCCTCTGTCTCCCTCAATTTTCTGTATCTTCCCTTCCTTGCTTGTTTCCACTCTGTTCTTCACTTCCCCGCATCCTGCCAGATTTTAAACTCTGTTCAAAAAGCTTCTCCAAACCTCTTCTCCTTCCTGAGTTTGCCAGATCCTCCCAGGCTCTCCTCCTTCACCCAGTCCCCTGCCCTAAATCCACCTCTGCTCTTTCCTGGCACTGGATGCCTACTTGGAGGAGGAGCCTTCTGGAGACACCGACCCTCGACCCCGAGTTGTGAGTCTGACTGTGGAAATCCTTGGCCCCCAGGGCAGGCCCATGCAGGGTTTGGAGGATAAATTTGGAAACGAAAAGGTTTTCTGGAGCCCCTCAAATCACACAGCGCAGGAGGAGGTAAGGAGAGCTTGGGGGCATGCTCTGGTGAGGACCAGGGGTACTAGAGGTCACCTATCTTCCCCATGCCTTTGGATTTTTGGGCAGCCCACAGGGACATGAGATGAGTCTCTGAGCCAAAGGACCTGCCATGGCTCCTAGTAACGGGAGTGGACACAGCTGGAAATTCTCCCCATCCCCTCCCATGCTGGCCTGAAGGGGTTTCAGAAGAAGGCCACAGGGAGGGCCTGAGAGCTCAGCAGTTCATCGGCCTCATCTTCTTCCTCTGTGGAAGCATCTGGGCCAGAGAGGAGAGGGACGCCCAGGCACACATGGTGAGGGCCTGGAGCTCTCTTCCCTGCTCCCAGCAGGCTGGCCTGCTGCTGTGATGCCATGGGTCCCTATGCTGGACGGCAGCTGCTCCTGACTTGAAATTGCCACTCTCTGAGGGCTTCCCAAATTTCTGAAACCTGGGAGTGGCATCAGGGCCTAATCGGCTCTTGGGAAGGAGGAATGACTTCATCAGAATTCTTTCCAGTTTCTAGCCTTCACTGTATTTTTAAGGGCAAAATGCCATCACCCAGACTCTTTCCAAAGGTCCGAATAGCTTTCAAACAGGACAGAAAGGGACTTCTGCTCTCCAGGAAAATGCTCTATCCCAAGTCATAAACAGCCCGAATAACCCTACCCCAGCATGGCCAAACTGTAAATGCTGGCTTTGTTCAGGGAAGGGTCCTGGTAGAGGGATGAAGTCTGAGTGGAGTGATTGCTTTCCCTCCTGGGTGCTGCGTGGCGGTGGATGCCAGTGATCCTGTGCCAAGCAGCACAGCCCACCCAGGTGGCAGTGGACGGACCTCTGAAGCCCATGGGCCCTGAGTTCCCAGAGATGGGGTTGGTGGTAAGCCTGGTCCAGGCTGAAGGGCTTCATCATAAACACCCTGTTCTGCTACCAGGCAGCCCACCCCTCTGAGCAAACACTTCTAAGATCCTGGGGGGGTCTCTGCTGGACATTCAGAGTTCCTCCCCTATTCCCTCCCATCTCTCTCTCCTCCCTTCTCTTATCCCAGCACTGGCCCTCCTCTGACCACATGCCAAGATCTAACACCCCCATCGGCCTTACTTACCTCTTTGCCTGTGTTTCCAATGTCTCCACCTCATCTACCTCCATGGTTCTATCAAAGTCCAAGTCAAAAGTTGCCTCTTCCTTGAAGCCCTTCCAGATCTCTGCCGAGAATTGAGCAACTTCCTTGTTTGTCTCTGATGACCTATTTGATAGGTTTATCAGAAAAAATCATGGTCTGCCTTGCTTTAGATTTCACCCTACATGTCTGTCTTCCCACCCACTTATCTCTGGGTCTGTCTCTCCTTCCTGTGCTCCCACCTGTGCCACCTGTTAGAACAGGGCACTCAGCCCCCTTGGTGAAGACTCACTCCCTTTCAAGTTTTGCAACACTGCATACTAACAGCTAGCATTTACTGAGCACTTACTATGTCCCTGGCCAGAGTCTAAGTATTTTATGGGCATTAATTCAGGTACCCTCATAATAACCCTATGAAGTGGTACCGAAGTTACCCCCATTTTACCCATGAGGAAGCTAAGGCACAAAGACGTTGAGTAACCAGCTCAGAGCCAACCAGTAGCAAAGCTTGGATTTAACTCTGGGCAGCCCGTGCCCTTTCACCTCTGCTCCCTGTCTCAAAGTGGCTGTGGACGTGGGCTCTGACTGCTGGGGATGGAATCAGGGCTGTACCTTCCCTAACTCTGTAACTTTGATGGGGTTAGTTAACTCTCTGAGCTCAAGTTTCCTTGTGTGAGACAGACGTAATAACAGTACATCCCCACATCACAGCATCGGCACGAGAACTCAGTGAAACAGCGTGGCAGAAGGCTTTGCACAGCGCTTGGTGGATAGAAAGGGCACCGTGCTTTCTATTTCTGCCGTAACACTTGGCTTCAGAACGGTCTCAGCCAGCAGCTTGCAGCCCAGGCATTGAGAGCTGATCCCAGGCAAGTGCCCGGCAGGGTCTCACATTGCAAGCTCTCAGGTAAGGGCCACCCTTGCCCAGGACGCTGGCATGGGGTGGGGGAAAGGTCCAGGTAGCACTGCCACCCAGCACCTCCCGGCCTCACTCATCCCAGCACTGCAGAAACAACCTTCCCTCATTATCCCCAAGCCATAAGGACAGAATCCCAACACTAGAAAACAAACCCCAAACACTCAACATGCAGCAATAGGGTAGCCTGAGAGGCCCAGAGTGAGAAGATTCCTTTATGTCTTTTATGAAAGGAATCAGCTGCCATCCCCAGGCTAACTATCACTTCTCAAGCTCTCTCCTGAGGCCGGTGAATTGTACTGTCATTTCTAACTACCTCAAAAGATGTGTGCGGGCAGACAAGGCCCAGAGGAAAGACCAAGAGTAAAAAGAGCTACCATGTTAGGCTGGAGGCACAATGGGGTGTGTGTGCTTCTAGAACATTATTTAATGGTGGTGTTAGATCCCCTCACCCACCCCCTGCCTTTAAAAAACACTGGGAGTAAGTGACATTGTTTCAGGCACACGTGTTCTGTTTGCCTGTGTGGCACCCGTTCACCCAGGTTACAAGATTCTCAGGTTCTGATGCCAGACCTGGCTCCCAGGTGAAGCCTGTGACCCAATCCTGGCCCTTTAAAGCATCAGGGGCCATGGGCTGTAGAGGTGGCTGGTAGGTGAGCATGTGACCCCAGGAGCCCAGCGAGACTGACTTCTGGGACCTTCCTTTACACAGTGGGGTACTGTAGGCCTTGAGCGGCTGGTGGCCACCACATGGAGAGGCCTGGCAGAGACTGAAGCCACGCCGAGGGCTGGTGAGGGGTGGCGAGAGAAGTGGACACTGGGGGTATTTTTTGAGCCTCTGGATGCAGCCTTCCTCGAAGAGAGCTCTCGACCTGGATTTTCCTCCCTCTGGGGATCAAGGACATGGGTTGTGGAGCCAGCTTGCCTTGGCCAACTCTTGCTCTACTACTTGCCAGCAGTGAGATCTGAGATGAGCCCACCCTCTACCTCCTCTTTCTCATCTGTGAAATGGAAGTAAGAATGCCTGCCTCTAGGCTGTTGTGAAGATTAAGTGAGCTCATGTACCTAAAGCAAACGCAAACACTAAGCATGTTGGTCTTCCTCAATATCTACTATCAACTTTGAGCTGGGCTCCTTCCACTGGCGACTGAAAGGGTCTTTACTGCTGCCACACAGTGCCACGGTTGGAAATGTCTTCTCAGACCAGCATGGAGGAAGACTGGGCAACTGGCCCTGCCATGAATAGGCCTGTCCACAGGGCCAGATCCTGTGGCTATCAGTCCCCTCTTTGCTTGGCCGCAGTGCTGCAGACTCCTTCACTCATAACACGGGCTGGTTCTAGGTCCTCTAGGATCCCCCCTCTCACCAGGCAAGGACTGGAACTAGCTGCCCTGCAGAGCTCAGGGGCCTGGTGAGCCTGGACACAGATGAGTCCACTGACCAGGCCATGGCTTCTTTCTTCCCTGACCCATTGGTCTCACTTGGAAGACGGCCACTGACTTACTGCCCCGGCCAACCCTGCAGTGCCCTGTGCAATGAACACCTGCCTCATGGCAGACTCACCCCTGCAGTGGACTCTAGCAATGCATGTCCAGCCTGCCCTGAACAGCTGGACCTTCCAGAACATACAAAAACCTGACACCCTCCTACCAAAGGAAATCTCAGAGGGGCCAAAACCAAGAGCATAGCACAGTCAGTTATAGTAGCAGCTGCGATGTATTGAGCATGGGACAAAGAGGGGTTCCTTAACCATGGAGTGGTGACTCAAAGCTAGACCCTGGCCAGGAAAGTGCCCCACACACTCAGCCAGGGCCCTACATCTGCAAGGGCTGCTGCCACTGCATGGGAACAAAGCCAGAGCTGCGGCTTCTTCTATCCAGTCACACCGCCAGCCCAGGAAGTAAAATCTCTCCTTCCTCCCCTCCTCCCCTTCTCTCCTGTCTAGCAGCTGAGTATGTGCTCCCTGACAAGCCCGAATCCCCCGTGTTAACTCTTTATTGCTGCATAAAAATCACCCCAAAACTCAGCAGCCTAAAACAGTGAATGTTTATTATCTCCCACAGTTTCTGAGAGACAGCAATCTGGGGGCGGCTCAGCTGGTGGCTCTGCCCCGAGCCTCTCATGAGGTCAGGCTGTCTGCGGGGCTGCAGTTCTCCCAGGGCTTCTCAGCTGTCGGGGGAGCTCCTCCAGTCTCACCTTCTGTCGGCAGGAGGCTTCAGTCCATCCTGCTCCACTGGGCTACTCAAGACATGGCAGCTGGCTTCCACCGAAGTGAGCAGTGACAGAGAGGGAGAGATATACCGAGCAGGAAGCTGTACTGTCTCATATAACTGAATCTTAGAAGCCTTCCACCTCCATGTCTGCCATCTTCTGTTGTTCACACAGAGCAACCCTGGCACTGAGGGGGAGGAGACCACGGCAGGTGTGGCTATCAGAAGGCAGGCCACTGGGGCCATCTTGGAGGATAGCTATTGCAGGGACCCAGAGGGGTTTGGGGTCAAAAAAGGGGGCAGGGGAAGGGTATGATTCAGAGAAGTTAGAACTGTGAATGGTAGTGTCATATTTCCATTAGACTGGATACACACCCCAGAAACTTAGATGTTCATAGCCTGACTGCAGAGCTCCTTGAGCTCTACAGGGACAGGGTGAAGAGGGTGCTTCTGCTCTGAGCAGGTGGAGGGTGGGGGTGTTTAGGGATTAGAAAAACAGAACCTGTAGATCTTAGAGTAATGTGGACTTGCACTGGAGAGTCCTTGGTGGAGATGGCCATGTCCAGCTTCACCGAGCTGGGCTGTGTCTATTTGCTTGTACAGTGACCCATTCAGAGTGCACCCATAGGAGGGTCTAGGGAATAAGATAGGGCTCCTTACAGAATGGGGTAGCTTTTAAGCAGAGCCTTGAAAGAAGGAAGGATTTGGTCAGAGAGAGGCAACGAGGACATAAGAGTGAAAGGAACAGTGGAAACAAAGGCTCAGAGAAATACACAGCCAGTGGCTTTCAGGACACTGCCCACCATCTTTGCTGCTATGCAGGCTCCAGTTCCCATCTGACCTACCGCCTTCATGCACCTTTCCTCTTCATTTTGCTCCACTGAATTTTATGTTTCTGTAAATTGCCAGTAGGGATTTTTCTTTGTCTTTGCCAGGTAGATGTTAACGTTCACTCTGAGCTCTGGAGCCAGTCCAGGCCATGGAGGCTGCGCCGAACCCCAATCTAGTTCACCTTCCTTGAACAGCAGCTCACCACCCCTCCTGTTCATCCTCAGCTGCCCACACCTAGCCTGGTTCTGTAGGAAACTCCATCCTCAGGGAAGAAGCAGGAGTAGGCTGCTGCAGAGCCAGCCAGCAAATTCTTGAAGCATGAACAGGTTAGTTTTCATCAAAAGATTTGAAAGTTCTGGACAGCCAGATACCTCTCTTTGGGATAACAACATTTATAGGCCCTAAGACCTGTCTTCCAGCTCCTGTGTGCACTGGCTGTCTGCCTTCCGATGCCCACGCCCACACCATCACCTCAGAGTTCCAGAATCCCCAAGCCAGGCTCTCTGAGGCCTTTTCCACCCCCTAGAGGTCTCAGGGCCTGATCCAATTCCTGTAAAGTAGGCATCCAGCCTGGAGGCACCAGGGGGCCCTAGGCTTAGTCCCCAAGCATATGCAGCCCAGCCTCAGCCCTGATTCTCCAGGTGTGGACAGCATCCCCATTTACACTCTGACTCCCATGACAGGGCATCTACTGCTTCTCCTCTTGCCAGGCTGCTCAGCAAGTTCTGCCCCTTGGAGCCAGTGATGCTTAATTTTATGTGTCAACTTGACTGGGCCATGGGATGCCCAGATGTTTCAGTCTCTTTTCTGTTGCTATAACAGAAAACCTGTGTGAAAGGAAACTCATTAAGCCAAAGGGAAAAGTTAAGCTGGGAACTGGGTCACGCAAACCAGCCTCCCCTTTTCTTGTTCCTAAATAAGATGGCTACAAGATGAAAAGCTACATGTCTCCCCCATAGTTTGCCCATAAGGAAATTCCTAGTAAGCTTCAAGATCTTTATCCTAAAGTTTTTCTGTTAAAATTTCACTATGGCAATGAAAATTGGTAGCTTACCTTTACAGGTGCAGTCACCCCCGCTCCACCCACCAGAAACAAATGCATGTCTGATTGTTCTCCTGCCCTATTTTGTCCATGTTATCTTATGTAAAAATGCAGATTCCCTGCATTTTTCCTCTGCCCCATTTGTCTATGTTATTGTCAGTCAAAAAAAAAATGTGGATTCACTGAGCCAGACAAAGGCATGAATGACTATTTTTCCCTACCTGCTCTTACATGAAAATTGTTGACTTCTCAATACCCTGCCCTTTCCCCTTTAAATTTGGAGCCCTCAAAATCATCTTCAGAGAAAGGCATAGACCTGTCTCCTGGGCACGTGTCCTTAACTTTGGCAAATAAACCTCCTAAAATGATTGAAACTTGTCTTGTCATTTTTTCTCAATTGACATCTGAATACATAAGAAAAGAATTTCTGGAGGCTGGAAGGTCCAAGAGCATGGCACAGGCATCTGGTGAGGGCCTTCCTGCTGCATCATAACATGGCAGAGGGCATCACATGGCAAGAGGTCAAGTGCCAGGGAGCCAGAGAGAGCTCACTTTGATAAGAAAGCCACTCCCAATAACAAACCCACTCCTGTGACAGCAACATTAATCCATTCACAAGGTACAGCTCCCATTAACCCATTAATTCATTCATGAGAGCAGAGGGATTAAATTTCCAACTTACGAACTTTTGGGGGACACGTACAAACCATAGCACCAGATACCTGGTTAGATGTTATTTGGGGGTGTGTCTGTAAGGGTGTTTCTGGAAGAGATTAGCATTTGAATTGTTGGGCTGAGTAAAGCAGATGGCCCTCCTCAATGTCTACATTGTTCAACCTGTTGAGGGCTTGAGTGGAACAAAAAGGTGGAGAGAGGTTGAATTATCTCTCTCTGCCTGCCTGTTCAAGCTGAGACTTGGAGCTGAGCCACTGGGCTGGAACCTACACCATTGGCCTTCCTGGTTTTCAGGCCTTCTGATTTGGACTGGAATTAACAGCACCAGCTTGCAAATAGCAGATTATGGGACTCTGCAGCCTTCGTAATGGTGTGAGCCATAATGGTGTGAGATATATAGATATATTGGTTGTTTCTCTAAAGAACCCTGACTACTACAGTGCCCCTAAAAAAGGTAAGAAGATAGAAGCTAAGAGGCCGGGCACGGTGGTTCATGCCTGTAATCCCAGCATTTTGGGAGCACGAGGCGGGCGGATCACGAGGTCAGGAGATCGAGACCATCCTGGCTAACATGGTAAAACCCCATCTCTACTAAAAATACAAAATAATTAGCCGGGCATGGTGGTGGGAGCCTGTAGTCCCAGCTGCTCCAGAGGCTGAGGCAGGAGAATGGCGTGAATCCGGGAGGTGGAGCTTGCAGTGAGCCGAGATCGCGCCACTGCACTACAGCCTGGGTGACAGAGCAAGACTACGTCTCAAAAAAAAAAAAAAAAAAAAAAGAGAAAAGAAAAGAAAATAGAAGCTAAGAGATCAGAGTTTAGTTCTACCCTTGACTTGGGACCAAGTTCTAACAAGTTATCTCACTTTCTGGCCCTCAGGGCTCCCTGTGTATAACTCCTTCCCTTCCACCTCCCAAGATTGCTGAGAAAATGAGTTGATGAGATTATGACTGACTGTGTCAGTCATTGCTGCACCAACTATTTTCAGGAGTTTGCACTTCTTTGGTTAGGGGTTCCCCCATGATACTGGTATTTGTACAAAATTCAGATCAGGCTGCCCCCTCAATACATCCCACCAAGCAGTTTGAAAGGAGTGATGCTTCCAGATCAAGAGGAATAACCAATTGCTACCTAGAGTTATCTTCGTTGACATTTACAGTGATGAAAGATGTCCAAATCCCCTCATGTGAACCCTTTTAGAAAGTTGGTGTGGGGCCAGCCAGGCTGCCTTCTCCCTTCTAAATTTCCCTTTCACTCCCCACAGGTGACATCAGTGAGAGTAACTCATGATTTCTAAACGAGAACCAGGTAAAAGTGATTTGTTTTTCCTTATTTTTCTCTCCCACCTCCTTGTGCCAACCCCACCTCTGAAGCTGGTGAGGAGTCTCTCCAATGAGCAGGTCAGATAACTGTTCAGGGGTGCTGGCGAACAGCATTTCCCCTTTGCGCTGAATAGTGAGCTCGTGCACTGGGATAACAGAAGCTGCACAGGGCTCCCGTGCACAGCTGCCTGGCAGGGCCTGCAGCATTGGCAGCAGCCTCCAAGTGAGTTTGCAGGCGGGTCGGCTTGGGAATGACCACGCGGCGTTTGCCTTTGTATCCTCTGCTCCTAGCTGGCTGCCAGTCAAGACTGGTTTGAAGTCAAAGGAGTTGGGCTCTGTGACCACTACTGTCCATCTCTTGCAAACCAAGGCCCTGTAGTTTTAAGTGGCTGTGATCTGACAGATTTGCCGGGTCTGGGCCATGAGATCCAGGCAGGTCACTAAAGCAAAAAGAAGCAGGTAGAGTAGGTACAGAGAACCATTCCCTCATTGTGTCATCATGGATTTGTTCAAAAATAATTTGTATATGCTATGTGCCAGGCCCTCGGGAGGTAATTGTGAGTGTGACTATTGCACCCCTGCTCTCACAAAGCTTACATTCTGGAGGGGGAGGTCAGCAGGTGGACCAGCAATTGCAGTAGTGTGTGACAAGTGCTGCTGTCTATGGGAGCCCATGGAAAGGGGCACTGTTATGGATCGAATTGTGCCCTCCCTTGCAAAATATGTTGAAGTCCTAACCCTTGGAACCTGTGAATGTGACCTTATTTGGAAATAGGGTCTTTGCAGAAATAATCAAATTAAGATGAGGTCCTTAGGGTGGATCCTAATCCAGTATGATGGGTTCCCTTAAACAAGAGGAGAAGAGACAGACACAGAGACACTCAGGGAGAATGTCATGTGATGAGAGAGGCAGGGATTGGAGCAACGCGCCTGCCAACCAAGGAACAGCAAGAATTGGCAGCAACGCCAGAAGCTAAGAGAAAGGAGTGGGGCAGATTCTTCTCGAAAGGCTTCAGAGAGAGCATGACCCTGCAAACACCTTGCTGTCAGACTTCTGGCCTCCGTAACTGTGACGGAATACGTTTCTGTTCTTTAAAGCCACCCAGTTTACGGTACTTTGTTACAGCAGCCCTGGAAAATTAATAACAGGCACTAAACCCAGAGTGGTCCATCAGGGAAGGCTTCTTGGAAGAAGTGACGTCTAAGGTGAGATCATAAGGGTGGTGGGCGCGGCGTGGTGGCTCATGCCTGTAATCCCAGCACTTTGGGAGGCCAAGGCAGGCAGATCACCTGAGGTCAGGAGTTTGAGACCAGCCTGACCAACATAGTGAAACGCTGTCTCTACTAAAAATACAAAAATTAACCAGGTGTGGTGGTGCATGCCTATAATCCCAGCTACTCGGGAGGCTGAGGCACGAGAATCACTTGAACCTGGGAGGCAGAGGTTGCAGTGAGCTGAGATCACACCACTGTACTGTAGCCTGGGCAACAGAGTGAGACTGTCTCAAAAAAAAAAAAAAAATTAAAAAGAAAAAAGACCAGCCTGGCCAACATGGTGAAACCTTGTCTCTACTAAAAATATAAAAATTAGCCAGGCATGATGGCAGGTGCCTGTAATTCCAGCTACTCAGAAGGCTAAGGCAGGAAAATCTCTTGAATCTGGGAGGTGGTGGTTGCAATGAGCCAAGATCACGCCACTGCACTCCAGCCTGGGTGACAGAGTGAGACTCCGTCACAAAAAATAAATAAATAAAATATTTTAAAAAGAGGGTGGTGTTCTAATCTGGGTCCTTTTGTTCACAGGAACGGTTCTTCAAATTAACTCAAACAAAAGGGTCGGTGATGAGGGTGGGGATTTAAAAGGATACAGGGCATCTCATGGAACCCAGGGCAGGAAGAGCAGCTGAATCTCATAGCATCCAAGGCCTGGGCTTAGGAATTCTGAGCCCGGCTGTGATTTCCACTGGTCAGGGGCTGTGTGAACTCCCTCACCCCTGCTTCTCTCTTTCTCTTCACTTCCTGTTTTTCTCTGTGATCAGATCCACTTTTTTCTCCCTCCCTCCCAGCTGGCTTCTTCCACTTACTTTGTAGGTCTCAGTGTACATGTCACCCCTGCAGAAGGCCTTTCATAGCCACACAAGGTAAGTGGCCCCTCATTCCTCCTTCCCATCACCTATTTACTTATAATACTTAGCACAAGTCACAGGATTGTGTTGATTTATTCGTAGTTTTGATTTTTATCTTTCTCATGAAATTAGAATTGTGCTCCACTAAGGATTCAGACTTCATCCCAAGAGTAGGGAGTGAAGTGATCTGAACTGTGTTTTCTAAAGATCCCGGGGCTGCAGGTGGAGAATGCGTCGGTGCTAGAGCAAGACCTGGTACAAGGCCTGGCCCTGAGTCAATGCTCACAGATGATGGTGGAGGGTGTGGAGTCAGGAGGCCCACAAGGAGGGCAGTCAGGAGGTGAGGGAGGCCTGGCCGTGGCAACAGCAGGGAAGATGGAGGCAAGCAGGTGACTCCTGAGACACCAGGGAGAAGAATGGAGGAGACCTGGTGCCTGATTAGATGTGGGGAAGAGGGAGAGGGAATAAAACAAAAGGGACTCCTGGGGTTCAGATACAGCAACAAGGCGGCCGGAAGAGGAGATAATGGCTGCACTCTGGGGCGTGGGAAGTTTGAGACGCCCGAGGGGCAGCCAAATGGGATGTGGGTGAACAGCTGGAACATCTGGAGTTGGCCTGGAGTTCTAGAGGGAGGGCCTATCTGGAGATACTGATTTGGAAATCTTTTGCCTGGAAAGAGTAATGGAGTCATGGAGATAGCTCCTGGGGAGCTTCTCTGTAGAGGGAAATGCAAGAATGATCTTGGACAGAAGCCTGAGGAACATAAGATTGTACAGAATGAGCAGAGGAAGAGGAGGCTGGGAGCTGCAGCTAGAAGGGGAGGGGAAACCACAGGGGACATTCATGGAAGCCCAGCAAGGAGTGCCAGGCGAGGTGGAAATGGCCAGCGGTGTCAAATGCTGCCTTGGGGCCAAGGAAGATGAGAGAAGAAATATGTCCCTGGAATGTATTGGCAAGGAGGTCGTTGGTAATCTTGGCAAAAACCATTTCATTATGAGAGCAGGGGGCATAAGTCACATTGTGGTGGAGAGTGTGGGAGTGAGCTCTGTGTGTGCAGACAGCTCTCCCAGAAACTGGGCTGGAGAGGGAAGGAGAGAGAATTCAGAGATGAGAAGAATGAGGAATGGAGGGAGGCTGGTGTGTTTGTCTTTGAGATAGAATGACGTGAATATGTTGCAGCCCCAACAGGATAGAGAGGAGAGGTTGAAAACAGGAGAGAGGGAGAAACAAAGGTGCCAGCCCTTAAGGAGAAGAGAGGGCTGGGAGGCCACACCCGCAGAGAAAAGGAGCCCACGGAAGAGGAAGGGAAAGAGGAGAGGTGGAGGCGGCAGCTCCTCTGAGAGCCGTCCATGCCCAGCAGTGGGGACAGAGCTGTGAGCAAATGATCCCTCCAAAGCAGCCCAGGGACAGCAAGAGCCTTGGGAGCACAGAGACCTTGAGAGAGGCTCGATCCCAGCAGCCCCAGCCCTGCCAAATGCCAACACATCCTTCAGAGATCTGCTCAAACTTCACAGCCTCAGGAAAGCCACGCTGTGCCTTCCAAGAGGGACACGGCTCCAATAACATACACTGTCCCAGCACACCTGCCCTCCCGACAGAGCACTGTTCTATTAACCCTGAACTACAGAGAATGAAGGAAATTACTCTCTTGGATGCCTGGGATCCCATCATTATCTATCCATGCAAGGTCCTTGTGGTAGGCAGAATAATGGCCCCCCAAATGTCTCCATGTCCAGGAACCTAGGAATGTATTAATTCATACAGCAAAACAGACTTTGCTGATGTGATTAAGTGAAGGATGGGAGATGATACTGGATTATCTGGGCGGGCCCAAGGTCATCATAAGGGTTCTTATAACGGGGAGGCCCGAGGCAGAGTCAGAGGGAGAGATGTGACAAAGCAGTACTGCTGGCTAGAGAGGGGAGGAAAGTGGTCATCTGCCAAGAAATACAGGCAGTCTCTACAAGGAAAGGCAAAGACAAGGAAGCCAGTTTTTTCTCAGAGTCTCCAGAAGGAATCAGCCCTGCTGACAGCTGACCTTAGCCCAGTGAAACTGATTTTGCATTTCTGACCTCCAGCACTTGTCAGGTAATAAATTTGTGTTGTGTTAAGCCATTAATTTTGTGGAAATTTGTTATGACCGCAATAGGAAAATACATCCCCGTCTTGTTTTGTTTTACTTTTTGCTTTTATCCCCCAAAGTAGTCTAATTCCTCTCCTCATTCAGTCCAAGCATGAACCATGTTTAATTCCAATGTATTTAATACATTTCTTTAGATATCTAATATATGTTTTTAGAGACATGGGAAATATACAGTGCTGTTATGTGTATATGTTTTTAACTGACATAAATGTTATTGTGTATTAGCTCTTACACTTCCTTCCATTTTTCTCTCAAAGCTAAGTTTCCTGATTGACATTGGGTTGTGTCATCTTGTTGATTTGCGAGTTTCTTATGTCTTTTTTCAGATCTAGTCTGTTTTATTCATTTAAAGTGTTTTCTCCCAAGTTATCATTTACCTTTGCACATTGTGTTATTTATTGAACAAAAATGCTAGTTTTGATGTAGACAAATAATCACTTTTCTCTTTTAAAGTTTATACCCTTGGGGCCTTGCAAACAAAAGCATTCCCGCAGTCGCAGATATTCTTGGATTGTCTTACTATTCTTAGTATGTCTTCTATAAGTTTTTTAGATTTACCTTTTGCCTCCAGTTAGTATTTATCTTTGTTATAAAGTTTTACAATTTGATCCACAAATGTCTTGTTAATTTTACACTTTTCTAGATGACTTGTAAATTTGCTGCTATTTTGACTAGAAGTTTATTTTCTACTTTTCTAATTTACTGCTATTTTAGAGAAGTGCTAATGAATTACCTAGGTTGATCTTCTAACCAGCTCTCTTGAAGAACTATTTATCATAGCTCTATAAGTTGTGTGGGATTGTTAGTTTTTATTTGTAGATCATGATATTATCCACAGTTGATAGTTTTAGCTCCTCCATTACGACAGTTATATTACAATCCTCATTTCTTTTTCTTATTTTATTGCATTGGCCAGGCCCTCTAGTACTACACTGAATAATAATAGTCATTCCTGTCTTGTACCTAAACATAAGAAGAATGTATCTAAAATTTTAAACATTTTCTTAGGTATATTTACTGTAGGATTTTAGTAGAGAGCCATACTCAAGTTAAAGAAGTTCTTGTCTATTTTTAGTATCTGAGAGTTTTTATCATAAAGCGATGTTGAACTTTTAAAATATTTTTTTTGTATCTGTTTAGATATCATGTGATTTTTCTCCCTTAGTTTATTAATGTGGTGAAATACACAGATAGATTTTCTGATATTGGACCATTCTTAAATTCCTGAAATAAACCCTTCTTAGTCATGATTTGCTATTTTAAAAATAATTTACTCATATTTTATGAAGGGTTGTAACTAGGGTAATAAGTGAAATCATCTATACTTTTCTTATACTCTCCTTATAATGTTTCTTGGGTCTTATAAAACATTCAGTTGTTACTGTGAAGAAAAATGGGAAAATTATTATCATTCTTCCAACTTCTTCCATTAAAATCAAACTGCCATCTGCTGCCCTCTTACCATGTCTTTCTCTGAGCATAGTACCTTTTTGTTTAAAGGTCAGATAATATATATATTTTTTTCTGGCAGCAGTTTTTTAATTTGAACACTTTCCTCTTAAGGACACGCCTTCAGTACAGTTAACAAATGGTTACATCTGAAATCTGCTGAGAGCAGAGCTCAAGATCCACAATTGCAAAGGCCACTGGCTCACACCCTCACAGATTGTATTACCTTTCAGAGCTGAGTGAGGCTGTGCTCTACATCCCAATACTTGTTACTGAGTGGACATGAGGTGCAAGTTTAGCACCTTAAAGGGAGAAAAAAAGAAATAGGTTAGTATGCAGAATGTGATTTTGTCCTCACTTCGCTTTAAGTCATCTTTTTATACTTGCCAATGTGAGTTCTGAAAGGTAGTACTACACCTACTTAGAAATGGCTGAGTGACTGTCAATTAAAAAGCCATGTTGTTGTTGTTTTTAAAAGATACTTTAAACAGTAATTGAGCTGAATACCTATGGTGCCAACCATGAAAAACTGCAGAGCTGAAGCACCAATGACATGAAAAGCCATGGACAGATTCCTACATGTACAACAACATCACAGCAACTACCAGGCCAACAGCAACTCACAAGGCTTCATTGATTATAAACACACCCTCATTACAGAAATGTTCAATTGTGCTTCTTACAATTGAAATATGGTAATATAAGGAAGGTACCAAGTATTATCAAACAGAAATGAAATGCCAAATTGCACAATTCTGGTTATATATGCATATACAGAGATGACCCTGGGTCTCCCTCCCCAACCCTCTGGGGGTCTAAGTGTTCTGAGAGAAGATGTGCTGGGCTGACCCACCTGTCCCCTCTGTCTTATATGACCAATGGCACATGCTTGAGAGCTGCTGTTCTAGGGTCAATCTGGCCAGGGTACAATAAGCCAATCTGGGGCCAGGGTTAGATGTCAGTCTGTGGTCAGGGAGTGGTTAGTTCACGGCACTGAGCTGTAGCCTTTGAGGATTGGGGTCAATATTCAAGTATGGTTCATGCTTGGAGTCAGTCTCTAGGAGGGGTAACTATAACTGGGTTTGTGGTCAGCCTGTGACTGAGGTTTGGAGCTGGTTTGTGCCTGGTTTTAGGGGTCTGTTTGTGGCCAGGGTTGAGGTCATTCCATAGCCAAGATGAGCAGCTCTCACTACACTACACTGTGCAAGGAGCCCCATGCCTGATCCCTTTGGTCAAATGGCTTTTGTTCTGGGTGTCTTTACAGTATGTGCTCTGGACAGATCCGTCTTAGCACCCCAGGCCATGGCAAACCTTGGCACTGCCTCTCATACGGGCTCTACTTAGAGCTCTGGGGCTGCCTATCACTCTGCTTCCAACACAGCAAGGTAGCCCTGCTGGGAGTCAGCCCTGCCCAGCTCATCCAGAGCTAGACATCCCCTGCTCCCACCTACCTCCCTAGAGGCTGGCCGGGGGGCTAACCTAGGAAGGGAGGAGAGGCCACGGAGGAAAATGTGTCTGTTTAGGGCAAGTCTGAAGGTGCCCCAGGGTGCTACCCAGGGGCACTGCTATGTGGAGGCAAGGGTTCTGTGTTCGAGTCCTGCTTCTCCCTCCATAGAGTGGGCAAAGTCATTTGCTCTCTTCAAACTTAGTTTTCTTGTTTATAAAATAGGAATCAGAATTTCTGTAAGAATGAAATGGGATAAAATGTTGAAATTTACTGTGAAAACTGTAAAGTGCTATTACAGAGTGGGGGATGGTGATGATGTTGATGATGATGACAATGACTACAAAAGGTGATCATTGCAGGGCTCTTGATCTTACAAGGGAGTTGGAAAATGTCATTTCTACTGTGAACCCAGGAAGCAGAAATGGTATGGGGAACACATGGCCTTGCCCCAGTCATAGAAGATATCACGATGCCCATTTTACAGATGAGAATATGGAGTCTTAAAGACTGTATGATTTACCCAAGGTCGCATGACTCCTGCTTTAGGACTTGTGCTGTGACACTGGATGCCTCTGAGTGGAGTGTTTCTGATGGCTGCTTTATCCTTCCCTTCTCCAGAATGTTCTCCTGTTGTTCTCATCACACAGCACAATGATAACAATGGTAACAACAGCTGACTGAGTGCTTTTTATTGGCCATGCACTGTGCTGAGTTATTTAGACAAATCATTTCACTTCATCTTCATGACAGCCCTTAAAAGGGAACCTATTTAGGTCCTAAGGTCCCAGGAAAAATATTACAGATGTGGAAACCAAGGCTGAGAGCGGGAGTGACTTGCCAGTAAGTGGCTGATCCCAGACCTCATCTCAGACTTTCCTGACTCTGAAGCCCACACTCACGGCACCATGTCACACTGAAACTTTGCCAGGTAGGAGTCAGACCACCTGACTTCTGGGCCTTACCTAGCCTGCCAGTGACATCTTTGTGTAACTTTGGGCTCATCAAGCATTCTCTTTTGTGGAAAATGAAAATGCCTACCAAGCCTACTTCCTGGGGTTAGTTGAGGAGCAAATGAATGGGAAAATGTGTAAAAAAAAAAAAAAAAAGTCAAGTTGTTGCATAAATAGGAGGGACTTTTGATATCCTCCAAATGCTTTCCTTTTCTCCACTCATTTTTCCTGATTTCCTCACTCTTTATCAGTAACAAAGTTAGGACAAAAGTGATGATTATTCTAAGGGGCACAAGCAGGGTCTGTCCCTTGGAAAGGCTTCTCCTCCCAGCCTCCTGCGGGTTTTTCCAGTTTTCAGGCTGTTTCCGACGACCCCAAGAAGACGGCCACTGTTTCCCCCCTGCAGTGATGGAAATAATTAGCTCCATTCTTCCTATTTGAATAGTCATGCCTAGCTGGCCTCTTAAATATGATCTTTGTGAGCAGTGCATTTTCAAACTCTCACAGGTTCTATTTTTACTTCTCTTGCTGAAGGAATGCTGTGGAAGGCGATTCCAGCACAAAGGGCCCTAATTAATTTCCCCTGCCTTTAAATATTTTTTCAAAGTATGTGTTTGAAAAGGACATTTAAAAAAAAATTCCGTGACTCTGGAGGTGGATTCCAACAGTTCTCACTGCCTTCCACTTGGAAATCCACCTTCGCCTTGCCGCCTGGTGGCCCGGCTGGAGTGCTGTGTTCTGCAGCTGGGCAGTGCTTACTGCTCCTCCTCCAGACAAAAGGGACAGCCTCCTCCATCCAGTCTCTCAGGCCACAGACCAGCTTAAGTCCTAGAGTCTGAGGGCCCAGGGAGAGGAGGATGGTCGCTAAAGGCCTGGAGAGGTGAGGAGCAAATGGGGGTCTCTGAAGGCCAGAATTGTGAAAACACAGGACTGGGACCATTGGAAAAACCATTAGGCCAGATTCTTTTGCCTTGAATCCCCATTCCCAGAACGGCCTCCGAGCCAAACCATACATGCCTGATGGTGATTTATTATTAATCTGGTTGTCCTGACTGTGAAAGGATATTCCTCAAACTGCATGTACCCTCATAAGGCCAGGGAAGGGTCTGAGCCCAAAATCCCAGGGCAAGAGAAGTTTTTGCAATCTGGAACACAGGGCTGGGGGAAGGTAGTTTTATCCTTTGAGAGTAATTCTGGTTTTCAAGGTCCTCGTTGAAAAGTTGTTTTGAAAGAGCAAAGCCTTTTGAAAACACACAAGAAAAGCTTCTCCCATTTCTAGCTCTCAGCTGCCAGTGGATAGGCTCTGGCTTCCTGGAGCGAATCCTAAGCCTAGGCAGGAAAGCTTTCCAAGGCCTCCAAGATGTGGATTGAGGGCAGGCTCCTGCATCTGAGAGCCCTGTGCCTGAAATACCATCATGAGTGCTTTATGCTGTAGGATTCCAGGCACCATCCCTGGTAAAATGCAAATCGTCTTGAGGCAGCACATGAAAGGCGTGGGTGGCAGCGATGAGGACCGAGCTCTTCCTTTCCTGCTTCCCTCTCCTTTCTTCTTCCCTCCCCTGTCCTCATTCCCTGCCTTCTGTCTTGCCCACTCCCACCCCATTTTCTGTTCCCTGCCCATTTCCATTTTCAGCCCTTCTACCTTCTCCCTACTCTCTTCTCTCCTCCTCCCTTTGGCTCTTTTCCCCCTTGCTCCCTGGGAAGCAGCATCCCGTTTCTGCCTTCCAAGGTGAGTCCAGTCAGCAGCACTGCACCCTTGCTGCCAGACTTGGGGCCTTCTGGGCATAGCTTTGGCTGTGACTGGAGAAACAGGCTTCGGGCTGATCTCTACCCTAGGGTCCCCAGGGGCTTCCTGGGAACCCTGTGATGCCCTCCCTTGCTCCTTTCTGATGGAGAGGGGGTGGGGGGCTGCTGAAGGAAAGAGGGTCCTTTTCTTGACAGCCATAAACACTGATGAGCAAGACCCAGAGCAAGTCATCTGCTCTTGGTCCCTCAGGCCCAAGGACTCCAGACCCCTGGTTCAGCACCCTGGAAGACCTCTAGTTTATGAGGAGGAGCCTGGACCGGGTCTCTGCTCTCTAGACAGTGATTTCAGATAACGTGCCCCAGTTGCCTTGTTCCAGGCCCGAACCTGTACATACAGGAGCAAAGCAGAGTATGCACGGCCCAGGACTGCCTCACACTCAGGAGCCCCTGACCCAGATGCTCAGTCCTGCACATGTGCACAGGAGCCCTTGCGGGTGGCAAAACTGTTCAGCTGCAGCTGCTCCACACCCCAGGGCAAACACATCCTGTGGGCATCTCTGGGGAAACCCAAGCCCAGTAGCCTGCAGAAAATGTGGCCAGGACAGACAAGGGCTAAGGAGAAGACCTTCAGAAAGCGTACAAATGCACACAAGCACACATGTATAAGCATGTGTGGTTGGCTGAAGTCCCAGAAAAATGAAAAAGAGGAAATAGGGCAAAAGTCATATCTGAAAAGATAATGATCAAGAATTTACCAAAACTGTCAGATAGGTTAATTCTATATTATCATAGGTAATTCTATACTATTAATTCTATTTTAAACCCCAAAGCTCTAGGCAGTCTGATTTTAGAAGGTGCACTCATACCATTCTGCTATATAACCTGTATAAATTCATTAATATTTATCTTTTCATTACTCATATTGATGATTTTTTGCTCTCCCTCTTTGTTCGTTGCTTAGTTTTTCTAGAGGTTTATCAATTTCATTAGTCTTTCCAACAACCAACTTTTGATTTTGATGATTTTCCTTTGTTGTTTATACTCTATTTCATTAATATCTGCTCTTATTTCTATTATTTCCTTCTGACTATTTTCTTTGCTATTTGTATAGCTTGCCATTCTTTTTCTAATGTCTTAGGATAGATACTTACATAAGTGGCTTTCAGCGTTTCTTCTTTTCTAATACATGAAGTTCAGGCTATACATAGCTCTCTAAGCATAGCAAGCATAGCTTTAGCTGTATCTTGAGATAAATATTAGATAAATTGATTTCAGCCTTTCACTTTTTCTAATATAAGTATTTAAAGTCATACATTTTCCACTAAGCACAGCTTTAGTTCCATAAGTTTTGATATATAATATTTATCATAGCATTCAATCCAAACTATTTTCTCATTTCTGTTGTGATTTTTTAAATCTATGTATTATATGAAGCATGATGCTTTATTTTCAATCATCTAGTAATTTTCTTGTTATTCTTTCATTATCGATTCCTAGATTTAGTCCACTGTGGTCAAAAAACAAACTTTGAATCATTTCTGCCATTTGAAATGTGTTGAAATCTGCTTTATGGGCTAGCATGTGATCAATGTTGATAAATGTTCCATGTACACTTGAATGCGTTTTCTATGGATGTTAGGGACAGCATAGCTTCTGTGTATGCAATTAGGTGAATTTTCCTAGTTACATTGTTCAGATCTATATCCTTACAGATTTTTTTGTTGTTGCTTGTTCCATCAGTTACTGAAAGAGGTATATTATAGTCTCCCCTTAAAATAGTGATTTTTGTTTATTTCTCCTGTTAATTTTTGCTCCGTGTAATTTGAAGCTATGGCGTTAAATACATAAAAATTTGGAAAAGTTGTATCTTCCTGATGGACTAGCACTTTTATCATTATGAAATGTCTCTCTTAAATGCTTAGAAATGCTTCTTGCCTTAAACTCTACTTTCTCTTGGTTACAGTTCACAGGGTATATTTTTCTATCCGTTTACTTTCAGCTTCACTATGCCCTCATCTTAGGTTGAACTATAAGAAACTGCTATTTTTATAAGTCAAATATGGTTGACTATCGGCACATTAATGTGGTTCAGCTTAATATTTAAGGACCCTTGTAAACAGCATAGCATTTAAAAATCCAGTCTTAAAAGCTTTGGCCGGGTGCAGTAGCTCATGCTTGTAATCCCAGCACTTTGGGAGGCCGAGGCGGGTGGATCACCTGAGGTCAGGAGTTTGAGACTAGCCTGGCCAACATGGCAAAACCCCATCTCCACTGAAAAAAATACAAAAATTAGCCAGCCATGATGGCGTGCACCTGTAATCCCAGCTACTTGGGAGGCTGAAGCAGGAGAATCACTTGAACCTGGGAGGTGGAGGTTGAAGTGAGCCAAGATCATGCCACTGCACTCTAGCCTGGGTGACAGAGCAAGGCTCCATCTCAAAAAAAAAAAAGTTTTGTCTTTTAAATGAAGTATTTAATTCATTTACATTTAATTGGAGTATTTAGTTCTTTGGTTGATAAGTTTGGTTTTACATCTACCATCTTTACTATTTGTTTTCTATTTTTCCTAGACCTGTTTTATGTTCCCTTTTCTTGCATTCTTTTGAATTAATAAGCTATTTTTCATTATTCCATCTCCCCCATTAGCTTGTCAGTTTTACATTCTGTTACTATTATTTTAGAGATTGCCATAGATTACTTAACTTTTTAGAATCTAATATAAAGTAGTACTTTTGTAAATTCTGGACAGTGCCACAAGCTTGGTACATTTTAACTCATTCCCCTACTTTTTGTGTTATTATTGTCTACATTTTAGTTCTATATATATTTTGAATGTCACATTACATTATTTTCTTGTAAAGTCAATGTTTATTTAGATGTACCCACATATTCACCCTTTCCGTTGTTCTTCATTCCTTCTTACATTTCCTTTTTTGCCATCTGGGGTCATTTTACTCTTGCCTGTCTAGAAATAACTTTATTTCGCATACACTTTGAAAGTTTTTACACTGGCTATAGAATCCTAGATTGTCAATTATTTTTATTTTATAAATTTGAAGATATCATTCCATTGTCTTCTGGCTTTCATCTTTTTATTGTGCTTTTGAAGGTATGTGTCTTTTCACTATATACTTCTTTTCTTTTCTTTTTTGTTTTTTTTTTTCTTTCTCACTTTATCACCCAGGCTGGAGTGCAGCAGTGGCTCACTGCAGCCTCGACCTCCCAGGCTCAAGCAAGTAGATGGGTTAGGAATTTGAGACTAGCCTGGCCAACATGGCAAAACCCCGTCTCCAATGAAAAAAATACGAAAGCCTCTCAAGTAGATGAGACTACAGACCAGGCATGTGCCACCACACCCGGCTAATTTGTAAAATTTTTTGTAGAGACAAGGTCTCCCTATGTTGCCCAGGCTGGTCTTTAACTCCTGAACTCAAGCAATCCTCCCACCTCAGTCTCCCAAAGTGCTGGGATTGCAGGCGTGACCCACCATGCCTGGCCCCATGGACTCCTTTAAAGAATATTCTCTTTACCTGTAATTTTCAAAGATTCACAATGATGTTTCTAGATGTCATTTTCTTTCTTGCTTGGACTTTGTAGTACTCTTGAATCTCTAGCTTGATGTCTTGGCATTGTTGGAAAATTCTTAGTCATTATTTCCATATCTCTTTAAATACCACTTCTTCTCCATTCTTCTCTCTTTCTCGTCTGAGACTCCAATTGTGTTAATATTCAAACTCTCCACCATGTCTCATATATCTCTTATATGCTCTTTAAGCACAACTTAACTAATCCTCTTCAGCTGTGCCAATCTATTGTTGAGCCATCTATTGAATTCTTTTTCTTTCTTTCTTTTTTTTGAGATGGAGTCTCGCTCTGTCATCCAGGCTGGAGTGCAGTGGCACAGTCTCAGCTCACTGCAACCTCTGCCTCCTGGGTTCAAGCGATTCTCCTGCCTCAGCCTCCTGAGTAGCTGGGATTACAGGTGCGTGCCACCATGCCTGGCTAATTTTTGTATTTTTAGTAGAGACGGGGTTTCACCATGATGGTCAGACTGGTTTCATCAATTATATTCCTTTTCAGTTTTGGAATTTGCTTGATTTTTAAAAATAGATTGTTGTTCTCAAGCAAAATTCTTCATCTTGTTATATCTTTTTATGAGCATATTAATCACAGTTGTTTTAGTGTCCAATAACCCTAATATGTAAGTCACATATGGGTTTATTTTTCCTGCGTGTTTTTCTTGCCTGTTTTTTCTCTTGGTCTTGTAACTTGGAATACTTACTATTTTTTATTGAATACTGGAGAGTTTATATTAAAACATGTGGAGACTTTGGATGATAACATCTTCTTCTATAGAGGGTTCATTCTATTCTCTGGCATGCAGTTAGAGTAGGGGCTGTTTGTTTACCTCCATTCAATCAAGGGCTGAACTGACTTGAAGTTGGTTTTAGTCTTTACAAATTTGTTCTTTCTCTTGTCATTTTTCCTCCAAGAGTATAGCCATCCAGGTCCAGGGGTATTTCTTGGGTCGGCCACTCATTCTTAGAAAATCCTAAATTCTTTCTTTTTCTTTTCTTTCTTTTTTCTTTTTTCTTTTTGAGACAGGGTCTCACTCTGTCACTCAGGCTGGATGGAGTGGAATGGCATAATCATGGCTCACTGCAGCCTCAACCTCCCAGGCTCAATGTGATCCTCCCACCTCAGCTTCCTAAGTAGCTAGGACCACAGGCACACGACTCCATGCCTAACTAATTTCTTAATTTTTTGTAGAGATGGGGGTCTCCCTATGTCGCCCAGGCTGGTCTTGAACTCCTGGGCTTAAGCAATCCTCCCTCCTCAGCCTCCCAAAGTGCTGGGACTATAGGCATGAGCCACTGTACCCAGCCCTAAATTCCAATTTTTGTCTCCCAGAGACCATGAAAGGTTTCCCAACTACCTTTTGTTTAGTTTCTTAGCTTCTCACCCTGCACAGCCAAGAATTGACAAATACCTCAAGTGGAAAAATGCTAACTGTCAGGTTTAGTTTTCTGTGCCTCCATTGTCTCTTGGACCTTGGCTCCTCAAGTCAGCTGCCTTGGGAGCCTAGAACTGTCCTTTTTTGTTCCTCTGCTCTATCAGATAGCCTAAAGCTCTGCTGGCTTCTCTGCTTCTTTGTGGGTAAACCCTACCAGGCCCTGCAGCCTCCCATATCCCAAGGGGAAAAGTGATGACCAGATATTGAGATCTTTCAAAGAACTTCCTTTTTTTTCTCCAAAATCTTGGCCCCTTAAATAGTGGTTGCCTTGGGTGTCCTACAATTCTTCAAAGATATTTTTAAAAATATTTTTTTCCAAGGCTGGCCTCAGTGGCTCATGCTTACAATCCAAGCACTTTGGGAGGCAAAGGTGGGAGGATTGCTTGAGCCCAGGAGTTCAAGACCAGGCTGGGCAACATAGTGAGACCTCATTTTTATAAAAAATTAAAAAATTAGCTGAGTGTGGTGGTGCATGCTTGCAGTCCCAACTACTTGGGAGGCTGAGATGAGAGGACCGCTTGAGCCCAGGAGGTGGCAGTGAACCATAATTGCACCACTGCACTCCAGCCTGGGCAACAGAGCAAAACCCTGTCTCAAAAAAAAAGAAAAGAAAAAATTCCAGCTTTTTAAGTTTATTTCACTAGAAACTTTGGTCTGACACAAGTTACTTTATTGTAACCAGAAGTAAAAGTATGACTCTTGTAGCTTTTAAAATCTTGTTTTAATGATATTAATATTAATAAAAATCTATTGTTTTCCCTAATCCCTTTTTGCTGTTCTATGAGGAAATAACTAAATCATAAATTCTTTCATGCACTTTTTGCTGAGATAAGATGGGCTTATCTCCCCAATCATACTCTAATAAATGAACTTCACCATTTTATTGCATGTACCTTTTTAAAAGCGCCATGCTAAGCATTCCCTTCTTTGAACCCTGCCTTGATACTGTGGAGAAAGTAGGGATATTTTTTCCATTTTGCAAATGAAGACATTGAAGCTCATAAAAATTTCTTTAACCAAGAAGTTAAATAAATTCTTCTAAGGCCGGTAATTAGGTAGAGGAGGCCTAACTAAAATTTAGCTCTTCCAGCTCAAAGTCTAGTCACCATTTATGCTTCTTTTCTGTTGGAGGCTCCCTGAAGCCAGAACATTTTCCTGAACACTCCACGGGACTCACTAAAGGTCTAAATACACAGTAGATGCTCTGGTATTACTTGCCGAATTGATTTATATTATGTTGCAGCAGCTGATCAGAGGCAGAGGCTCCCAGCCTGAGCCTAGCCCTTAACTGTTGCATCAGATTTTATTTAAAAAGGAACAGAGAATAATAAATTAAATTCTGGTGCCAAAAGGAACCCACAGGAATTTATGAGAAATACAACATAAATTCACTAAAACTCCTACTCAGTATTTATTCCTCTCTGTCTTATATTTAGGCACATCTGGGTATAACTAAATCAGCCAAATCTGCCACTCTCAGACAGGCAGCTTAACCCTCCTCCCATTCCCCCTAAAAAACCCCAAAAACAAAAATAAAGCAAACTGACATCATATAACAGTTAATGGGGCTTATTATGGTCTAAAATGACAGGCATGTAAATTGAAGCCAGTTCTGAAATAAGTCACTCAAAATTCAGGGGGGACGGGGGACAGATACAAACTTCATTTTCAAAGTAAATTCTGAAGCATTTTGAAAAGAAAAGAAGAGCTTTCTGTGAAACATTGCTGGAAAAGTCAGGAAGGACTACAGATGTTTTGAAGCAAATTACTAGTGAGTCTGTCAGAATTTGGAAAAGGACAGTTTCCCCTTATTCTGGGTCATGGGAGGACTCAAGAAGGCTTTGTAAGTTACCCAGCTGAAGCTAACTCGATTCTTGACAGAGCCTTTTGCAGGGTTTAGTGAAAATATTTTTCATTTGTTAAAAAGTAGAAATGTAATTTCTGTTACTTGCTCACTCAATCAAAATCTCCAGACTCTTGTCTCAAATTCAGCCTAATTCATATCTATCCCCAGAACAGAAACCAAAACCCCCAAAATGGGTCAAAATTATCAACTTTGTTTACAAAATAAGCTGCTGGGCAGAGAGTCAAACTGGGCTTGCTGGATTTTTTTAAAATAATTTTAATCAACTTTATTTACTTTATTAAATTATAACGTGTTAAAATGCACCAACTTAAAGCTGACAGTGCGATGAGTTTTTACAAATGTATACATTCATGTACAACATCAAAATCAAGATATAAAACACTTCTTCTGCCCAAAAAGTTTGCATATGTTGTGTCCCAATCAATCACTCTTACAACCAGCTTAAGGCAACCACTGATCAGCTTTTTGTCACTGGAACACAGATTTGTTATTTCTGGAGTTTCTAGAGTTTCAAATGAATGAAGTCATAAGTATGTACTCTTTCACACCCGGCTTCTCTCATTCAGCGTAATTATTCTGAGACTTATCCATGTGGTTTCATGTATCAATAGTCATTTTTTATGGTTGAGCATGATTCCATTATATGCATGTACCACAATTTATTTATCCACTCACCAGTTTATGCATGTACATTTTGGTTGGTTTTCGTTTTTGGTTTTTATTAAGATGTTATGAACACTTACAGATGGGTCTTCATATAGACACGTTTTCATTTCTCTTGAGTAAATGCCTAGGGGTACAATTGCTGGGTCATATAATAAATGTATATTTAAGTTTATAAGAAATTTCTAAAATTTTCTGAAGGGGCTATACCATTTTAGACTGTCACCAGCAATGCTCCACATCCTTCCAATTCTTGGATTGTCAGCTTTTAAATACTAACTATTCTAATGGGTGTGTAGTCATACCTCATTGTGGTTTAGGCTTTCATTTCCAGGATGACTAATGATGCTGAGCATCTTTTCACATGCTTATTGGCCATTGGTGCATCTTCTTTTGGGAACCATCTTTTTTAATCTATTGAGCATTTTTCAAATTTTTTGTTATTATTGAGTTCTAAGTGTTCTTTATAAATTCAGGATATAATGTTCACTTTACATATAGCTTTTGTCAGCTATATGAATATTTCCTCCCAGCCTGTGGCTTGTCTTTTCCTTTACTGAAGATGTTTTTCAAAGAGCAGAAGTTTTAAATGTTGAAAAAGATTTCTTTATTTACTTTATTAAAATATAGTGTCTTTGTGTATGTGTACCTAGTAAAAGGCACCAACTTAAAGTTCTGTTTTCGACAGAATCATGGTCCCCCAAAATTCCTATGTTGAAGCTCTAACCTCCAGTGTGACTGTGTTTGAAGACAGGGTCTTGAAGGTGATGATCAAGATTAAATGAGGTCATAGGGTAGGGCCCTCATACAATAGGATTGATTTCCTTACAAAAAGAGGAAGAGACACCAGAGAGGTGTGTGCAGAGAGAAAAGGCCGTGGGAGGACACAGTGAGAAGGCATCTGTTTGAAAACCAAAGACAGAGGCCTCAGTAGAAACCAAACCTGCCAGCCCCTTGATCTTGGACTTAACAGCCCCCAACAGGTACTTGTTATGTAAGTTACCCAGTCTGTGGTATTCTATTATGGCAGCCCTAACAAATTAATAGAAAAACCAAGTTATGAATTTTTTCTTTTGTGGTTTTTTAATTTTTCTTTCCCAGCTAGGCAATCCTTGCTTACCCCAAAGTTGAAAAGATTTTCTTCTATTTTTTTTTCCTATCAGTTTAACAGTTTTATCTTCCACCTTTAGATCTTTTTCCTGTTTTGGGTTCATTTTTATGTGAGGTTTATTTTTTCCTCATATGAATATCTAATTATTCCAGTGCAATTTGTTGGAAGACTCTCTTTTCCTTTATTGAAATATGTTAACAATCAATTGACCATGTATCTGTGAGTCTATTTTTGATTCTTTATTCTATTCCATTGATCTATGTGACTAATTTGATGCCAGTGCCACACTCTCTTCATTACTGTAGCTTTGTAATAAGTTCGAAAATCAGGTAATATAAGTCCTCCAACTTTGTTTTTCTTTTTCAAAATTGTTGCAGATTTTCTAAATCTTTTGCATATAAATTTTACACTAAGCTTGACAATTACTTTTAAAAGCCTCGGAAATTTTATCAGTCAATATGAAGTGGATTAACATTTTAGCAATACTCCAATCCATGAACATATTATAGCTCTCCCTTTATTTAGTTCTTTTAAAATTTCTCTCAGCAGTATTTTGTAGTTTTCAAAGTATAAATCTTACACATATTTTGTCAAATTTATCCCAAAGTGTTTCCTATTAATTGATGCTACTGTAAATGGTATTTTGTAAATTTTTATTTCTAGCTATTGTTGTTGGTAGAGAAAAACAGCTGATCTTTACTTATTAGCCTTGCATCCTGTGATCTTACTAAAGTCACCAAGTCACTTAGGAGTTCTCAAACCTTTAAAAATGTATGTTCTTTAGAACTTTCTATGTACACAATTATGTTGTCTGCTAATGAAGACAGTTTATTTCTTCCTTTCCATTCAGATGTCTTTTATTTCTTTTTCTTGCCTATTTCACTGGATAGGATCTTTAGGACAATGTTGAATAGAAGTAATAAAAGCAGATATTTTGTCTTGTTTCTGATGTTGGAAGGAAACCATATAGTCTTTAACCTTAAACTGATTCTCCTTATCAGGTCATACGTTTTTTATATATTCTCTTTATCAAGTTGAGGAAGTTTTCTTCTATTCCTAGTTTATTAGTAATTTTAATGATAAATTACCACTGAGTTTTTTCAAGTACTTTCTCTGCATCTATTGAGATGGATATATGGTTTTTATCCTTCATTCTATTAATGTGGTGAATTACAATGATTAACTTTTGGATATCAAATCAATCTTGTTTTCCTGGGATAAGTCCTGCTTTTGCATGATATATTATCCCTTAAAATATTGTTAATTCTATTTGCTTATGTTTTGTAAGGATTTATCACCATGAGTGATATTGATCTATAGTTTTCTTCCCTTTTTTGGTAATATCTGTATGTAGTTTTATTTGTATTGGGACATGATGGTCTCATAATGAGTTGGAATATGTTCCCTCCTCTTTTTTCTGAGTGTTTTTTTTTTTTTTTTGAATTGGTATTTCTTTCTTAAGTGTTTGTTGGAATTCACTAGTGAGTTCATCTGGGTCTGGACTATTTTGTGTTTTGGGGATAGGAAAGGGGCTTTTAAATTACGAATTCAATTTCTTCAAGGAATATGTGGTGCATTTAAGTTTCCAGTTTCAGTTTCAATTCCAATTTTGCTTAAATTTTAGCAGAAACAAAACTGAAAAAGCAGACAAAATGGCTTAATTAAACGTTTATAAATTCATGCATTTATTTCTTTTAAAAGCTAAATGGCTAAAGCAAACCTAAAAGGTGGAAACGGTGCAGACTAATCCTAAATTAGTCTTTCTCTTTGCCTCAACAACTACTAGATATCTTCTGATCTCTGACACTCCAATGTTTCCTGGACAAACAAAGGGAGCGAAGTACGTGGGTTGTTCAATAGGAAGTGGCTTGAAGGTGGTTTGGCAGGCTGGGGTTTTATTCCCTGACTCTCTGTGGGTACATTCTTACTGTGGCTCGTCAGGAGATAGTATTTTTTATCATATTTAATATGTTGGGAAGCATAAATCTATTTACTGCTTTTTGCTCTCTATATCCTTATCAATTTAGGAGTAAGTAGTCAGAGCATTTTATTTGCTTATGTTCTTTTCAAGTCATATCAGTCAACACAGGTCACAATAGGTAACACAAACAACTCTAAAGATGAGATATCACAACGTTCAAGAAATGTATTCATAACATGTATATGGCTATTTAGGTTTTCTATCTTTTTTAAGTTGTACCCTTTATCAATTGGCCATTTCATCTAAGTTGTTGATTTTTTTGACATAAAGTCATTCATTATATTCCCTTACTGTGTTGTTATTATCTCTAGCATCTCTAGTTATGCCTCCTCTTTCATTCATTATGTTAGCACTCATGCTCACTCTCTCTTTTTCTCAGATAAATCTTGTCGCAAATTTTTCAATTTATTGATCTTTTTAAAAGTCAGCTTTTGGTTTTGTTGAGTTTCTCAATTGTATGTAATTTGCTCTTCTGTTTCTAAAGATGAAAGCTTAGAATATTGATAAAAACCTTTTTCCATTCTAATATGAGCATTTAAAGACATATATTTCTCATTAATCACCACCATATCTATATGTCACAAATTTTGTTATGTAGAATTTTCATTTTCATTTAGTTGAAATATCTTTAAATCTCCCTGTGATTTACTCTTTGAACTAAAGGTTACTTAGAAGTGAAGTGTTTAATTTCCATACATTCTAGGATTTTTGATATTTTTCTGTTGTTGATTTGTGTTTTAATTCCATTTTGGTCAGAAAATATGCTTTGTTTCAATCCTTAAAAATATGCTGAGACGGCCGGGCACAGTGGCTCATGCCTGTAATCCCCGCACTTTGGGAGGCCGAGGCGGGTGGATCACGAGGTCAGGAGTTTGAGACCATCCTGGCTAAAACGGTGAAACCCCGTCTCTACTGAAAAATACAAAAAATTAGTTGGGCATGGTGGCAGGCGCCTGTAGTCCCAGCTACGCGGGAGGCTGAGGCAGGAGAATGGTGTGAAACCGGGAGGCGGAGCTTGCAGTGAGCCAAGATGGCGCCACCGCACTCCAACCTGGGTGACAGAGTGAGACTCTGTCTCAAAAATAATAATAATAATAATATGTATATATATGTATGCTGAAACTTTTTTATGGCACAGAAAATGACCTTTCTTAATACATGCTCCATGTATACTTGAAAATAATATGTATTCTTTTGGTGGAGGTGAGTAGATAATCAAGAAATGGCAATTAGATCAAATTGGTGATATTGCTCAAGTCTTCTTCATCTTTGTTGATTTACCTACTACTTGTACTATCAGTAATTGAGAGGGGTATGGAAATCTCCAACAATAATTATGAATGTCTGTCCTTGCAGTTATGTTAGTTTTTCTTCATCTCTCTTGAAGTTATATTAGTATGAGTTTACATATTGAGGATTTTTGTGTCTTCTTGATAAATTGTGTGCTTTATTATAATTAAATATTTCTCTTATGTCTAGTGATATTCTTTTTTCTAAACACTACTTCTTCTGATACTAATGTAGTCAAACCAGTTTTCTTATGATTATTATTTTCATGGTGTATCTGAGTTCCTCCTTTTACTTAGAAAATATGTATGCCTTTACATTTGAGGTGGATTTCTTATAGATAGCATATAGTTGAATCTGCCTCTTTATTGTTTAGACCATTTACAGTTAATGTAATTTTTGGTATAAATCTGCCATTCTATTGTTTGTTTCTTGTTTGTCTCATCTACTTTTTGCTCATTCTTTTTTGTTTTATTTTCAGGGGTTGCTCTGTGGCTTACAATATATATCTTTAGCTCATCATAGTCCAACTTTAAATAAAATTACATACTTTTACATACAATCCATGACCCTTACAACACTATACTCTCATTTCCCCCACCCATCCTTTATGCTATTATTGTCATACACTTATTCAATTGTCTTCTAAAGAACTTTCAAAATAAGGCCTGGTGTGCTGGCTCACGCCTATAATCCCAGCACTTTGGGAGGCCGAGGTGGGTGGATCACCTGAGGTCAGGAGTCTGAGACCAGCCTGGCCAACCTGGTGAAACCTCATCTCAACTAAAAATACAAAAATACAAAAAACAAAAAACAAGCCGAGTGCGGTGATGTGTGCCTGTAATCCCAGCTACTCAGGAGGCTGAGGCAGGAGAATCACTTGAACCCAGGAGATGGAAGTTGCAGTGAGCCGAGATCATGCCGCTGCACTCCAGCCTGGGCACAAGAGGGAAACTGTATCTCAAAAAAGGAAGGAAGGAAGGAAGGAAGGAAGGAAGGAAGGAAGGAAGGAAGGAAGGAAGGAAAGAAAGAGAAAGAAAGAGAAAGAAAGAGAAAGAAAGAAGGAAGGAAGGAAGGGAAGGAGAGAGAGAGAAAGAAAGAAGGAAAGAAAGAAAGAAAGAGGGAAACTCTATCTCAAAAAAGGAAAGAAAGAAAGAACTTTCAAAATAAGAAAAAATATTTTATATTTACCAACATATTTACTACTTTTAATGCTCTCTATTGTTTTAAGTAAATCCAAGTTTCCATCTAGTATCATTTTACTTCTGCCTAAAGGATTTTCTTTAGCTTTTCTCAGAGTGTAGGTCTACCAGGATTGAATTTTAGCAGCTTTGTTTTTGTCAAAGAAAAAAAAAAGTATTTAGTTTGTCTTTGTTTTTGAAGGATATTTTTACTGAATATAGAATTCTAGGTTGACAGGATTTTTTTTCTTTTAGCACCTTAAAAATGTCTTTCATTGTATTCTAATATGCATAGTTTATGATAAAAAGTCTGTGGTATTTTAATCTATTTTCCTCTGACATAGTGTCTTTTTCTCTCCAACTGCTTTTAAAAGTTTCATTACTAATTTTCAACAATTTTATCATGATGTACCTTTGGGGTTTTTTGTTTTTGTTTTGTTCTGTTTGGGACTCATTCAGGTTCTTGGATCTGTGGGTTTACATTATTCATCAAATTTGGAAAATTTTCTCCAATATTTCTTAAATATTTTTCTATCTTTTTTTCTTTCTTCTGGTACTTTAGCTACGTATGTATTAGACTGTTTGGTGCTGCCCCATAAGACATTGTGGCTATGCTTATTTATTGTTTAGCCTTTTGCATTTCTGTTTTGGTGTCAGTGGTTTCTGTTGCCGTGTCTCCAACTTCATGTTTTCTTCTCATCTGTTCTTAACCCCATCCAGTGAAATTTTCATTTCACATATTGTATTTTTTTGTCTCTAGTAATTTTAGGTTCTTTTTTATATCTTCTATTTTTCCTAATTGTGTTCCTATTTTTATTTAAGTCCTTGAACATATTGAGCAGATTTACAATAGCATTTTAAAGACCTTGTTTGCTAATCTTGTCATCTCTGTCATTTCTGTTTCTGCTTCTACTGACTGATTTTTCTACTAGTTTTGAGTCACATTATCCTGATTCTTGGCATGTCTAGTAATTTTTAATTAAACTTTAGCTTAATTGTGAATATTACGCTGTTCAGTATTTTGTTGCCTTTGTGTAAAGCATGTTGGGAAGGAGGGTAAATTGCCAAAGGATTAACTTCCTTCTTTCAAGTCTTGTTTAAATCTTTATTAGGGCAGCTCTGGTAAATGCCCTGGGCAATCAATAAGAACTTTCCACTCTGCCTAGTTGGAGCCTAAACATCTCCTTACCTGTATGAACTCTGGGAACTATTCAACTTTAAAATCCACCATTGTTCTTTGCCTGAATTCATGAAGTTTCAGCCTCCACATGGATGGCTTATAATTCAGCAAAGATCCAATGAAATCCTTTTGCACTTTTTAGAACTCTTTTTCTTCATGGTGCCTGAACATTAATCTCTGTCTTCTCAACTCAGTAAAACCTTCATGCTCTACTTGATATTCTTCCCTGCACCACAATCCAGAATGTGCCTCTAGACACAAATCCCCAGAGATCATTTGGCTTATCTTTTTGTTTCCCTTCCCCCTGAGATCATACTCCATGGTGCCTGTTAACCAATATCTGAAAAATTATTTAATATATTTCAATCTGTTTGCTAGTTTACTATGATGGAAAGGTAAGTGTGGATTCTGTTGCTGTATTATAACCAGAAGTGGAAATCTTGTGTGCTGAATTTAATTCAGAAACTTTCAACTAGGCTAGAGGGAGCAGAGATGGATTAAAAGGTTTGCAGCTTAAACAGACATGTAATATATGTGCAAAATTGTTAGCTGGACACATAAACAAATAAACAGATAAACCTGACCAAGAAGGACCTGGAATAGACTCACCAATGTTGTTGACAGACTGTGGGGCTAGATGCAGTGCAGCTGGATCACTGAGTATCAGCTGACTAGTGATAACTGCTACTCCTTTGTGGTAAAAAGAGAGAAGTCAAACCTGAGGCTGGGCCTCCTTGGGCAGGGGCCTAGAGAGAATGAGGTCAGGAAATTGAGTAGCCATTCCTCCCCAAGCATAGTTTTAAAAATCAGTGTCTTAAACATTTTCAAAGATTATTTTTGACATGACAGTTCTTAAAACAAGCATAATGAAAATGTATTAGAGCAAGAGTATAGAATATTCAACTGAAACATCTGTTCCCTAAATACAAGATCCCAGAGAAGGTAATCAAAGGGTGGGGACCTTTCTGTGGTCATTTTCCCATCACAGCCCTCACAAGCTTGTGCCCAGCCTCCTTACATCCTCATGTTCAGTGCCTCTCTGTAGCTTCCAGGACAGATCCAAACAAGACCCAGTCTGGCCCTAAACTCTCCCTGACCCCTGGCTTCCTAACATAAGCTCTATTTCTAAGATAGGACATGTGCCTCATAGTTCTCCATGCATGCTGATACTCTTTCCCCTGGACAACCTGCATAATGGTGGATCCTCTGGCTAGAAAGGCCTCCCACCACCTCTGCCAAAACCACCCCACCTAGAAGACTTCTTTCTTGCCCTTCTAGATGCAGCTTACCACCTTCATTTCCATGAAGCTTTCTTTTCCCCACCTCCTTGTGCATACACATACACACATGCATGGATGTGTACACACACCTGCACATATGTGTACACACACCTGCACATATGTGTGCACACATGCACACACTTGCATACACACATGCAGTCCTCTCCTAGCTGCACTAATGTTTTATCTTTGTTCACCTATTTCTCCTGGTAAAGTGGCACTTCTTAAAGACAAAAATTTTGCCCTAAACATCTTCATAGTGTTTTATCTCCAGATCCAGGTACACAAGAGAAGCTCAATGAGTAACTACTGGATAATGAACTCAACTTTCACTTTAGGAATTTATTTGCCAAATGGACCAGAGCACTCCTGTCAGCCAGTCCAGGAATCCCCTTTTCCCTATTTACTGCCAATTAAAGACTGCTAACTTACCCTTTGAAAACACGCTGAAGGGTACAGCTGCTTAGCCAATGCATTCATTCTTCCTACATGTTCCAACACAATGGGTTATGTTACATGAGAATGCACTGGAAGCTTCATCCTGACTAGCTGTACTAGTCCATTTTCATGCTGCTGATAAAGACATACCCAAGACTGGGTAATTTATAAAGAAAAAGAGGTTTAAAGGACTCACAGTTCCATGTGGCTGGGGAGGCCTCACAATCGTGGCGGAAGGCGAAAGACACATCTTATGTGGCAGCAGACAAAAGAGAGAATGAGAACCATGCAAAAGGGGTTTCCCTTTATAAAAGCATTAGATCTTGTGAGACTTATTCACTACCATGAGAACAGTATGGGGGAAACTGTCCCCATGATTCAGTTATCTCCCACTGGGTCCCTCCCACAGCATGTGAGAGTTATGGGAGCTACAATTCAAGATGAGATTTGGGTGGGGACACAGCCACACCATATCACCACCTTATTTAGATGTATGCCTCTCTGAGTCTCCTAGGCACCTCACCTTTTGCCCACCCCGAGGAAGGATCATTTCTTCAGATGGTTCCTTTGATCATGTTTCTGTTGGAATTTAGCAGTTTTGATCCCAAAGGTAGAGGCCTAATAAAAGAAACCCTTATCCTATGTTCTGCCTCAACGCTGGAGGCATCTCTCTGTAGCCCTGGAATCAACAACCAAGGTTATAATTTGGAATCTGCTACTTCATAGTTGTATGACCTTAGTCAATTTACCTAATCTTTCTGAGGCTGGATTTTTTAATCTATAAAATGAGAATATTGATGATAACTAATTACAAAGATAAGTCAACCACAGAGTTGCTGGGGTGGTTAAATGAGATGAAGTATGTCAGGAACTTAGTATGAGGCACATGGTAGACATTGAATAAATGTTGTTCTAATTATTATTATTATTATTAAGCTTTCATACAGTGTTGATACCACTCTGCTCCTCCTGTCTCTCGTAGGACATTTCTAGAATCTGTTGGGGTTCCTGAGAGAGAGAGAGCACCTGCCACTGGCATTGAAAAAGGTAATATTTTGTGAATCTTAATTTGGGAGGACACAGTCAACTTCAATCGCTAGCTCATTTGGGAGACTTAGGAACCAGAGACCAGGAATGTCATCTACAAGCAGTATGTAGGATTCAAGAACTCAGGTTATTTAAGAACATCGTTTGATTCTGGAAACTTGGTTTGTAAGAATTGTATGGATTTATGGAATGTTAGCCTCTAGGAATGCTGTGTGTTTCTAGATACAATGGTTGAAAGAACTTCAGGTGATTCTGGAACATTGACCTTTAAAAATGATATATGATTTGTAATTTTGGCTTTTAATAATGTTATGTCATTTATAACCTTGTGTGCTTCTGGAAACTTGATTTATAATAAACTTATATGGTTCTGAAAACTTAGTTTATTAAAACATTATGTGATTCTGAAAATTTGGCTTGAAATAGAAAATATGTTTGATTCCAGGATCATAGCTGTCAGAATAGCACTATAATCACACTGTATGGCGTCAGAAACTTGCTTTACAAGAATATTGTGTGAGTCTGGAAGCCTAGTCTACAAGAAGTTCAGTTTAATTTTGGAATCTTGATCTCCATGTACGTTGGCTGGTAGGAATCTTGCATGAGTTTGGAACTTGTTCTTTAGAAATCTCATATATTTCTGGATGCTTGATCACAAGAATTTCATGTGACTTGCAAAGGTTGGTTTATTAGGTTTTGTGATTTTGAATCTTGGCTTGTAGGAATCTTATGTGACTTTGGAATCTTGGCCTAAAAAACTGCTATTTAATTCTAGAACCTTAGCCAATGAGAATCTTAAGTGATTCAGAATCCCTGGTCTATAATAGCACAGCATTTCAGAACGTTGGCCTGTAAGAATATGATGCAACTCTGTAACACTGGCCTGTAATAACGTGATGTGGTTTCAGAATCTTAGCCTTTGCAAAGTGTGATTGTGATACTTTGGTATGTCAAAGACCACTGATAGTGTTTTAATATTTGTTTTTTCTTCCTTGGTCATAGACCACTGATTTTTAGCTGTGACATGGCCAGCTAAAAACTAAATTTCTGAATAAAAACTGAAATAAAAAGTCAATTTCTCATTCTGTCTTGCAGCTAAGTTTGTCCTTGTGACTAAGGTCTGGCCAATGACATGGAAACAGAAGTGGCAGAGACACTTTCTGGAAAATATTTGTAAATGGAGGGGCTATGCCCTTCATCAGCCCTTCCTCCTTCCTATTGGCTGGAATGTTGGCCTGCTTCCTGCAGCCACCTGGAGCCAGGAAGTGATGCTGGCAGGGAAACCACGAATGGTGGTGTATCGAGATTGAAGGAGCTCCTGCCACTGTGGAGCACCACCCCAAACCTACCTGATGTGAGGCAGAATTAAATTGCCTCACTGAAGCACTTTTATTTTGGATTTTGTGTCACTCACACACAAGCCTAATCTAGTGTTTTAATCCAAAGAACAATAGGTGATTCTGAAAAGTTGGTTTCTGTCATCCTGGCACCTTGGCCTGTAAATCTTAGGTGATTCAGACACCTTGGTATGCTGGATTACCTGTTGTCAATTTAGCATCACTGCCACCCTCTTGAAGAGGAGAAGCCAAGAACTACATTTCCCAGAGTTCCCTTCAGGGTGGTTCTGGATTAGAGTTGGCTGTGAGGACACTCACATGAGATCTGGAGGGTGAAAGAGGAGAGGCCATTATTCTCCAGAGACTACTAGGCAATAGCATGGGCACTCTGGCTGCTATGACTTAGGGCAGAGGTTAGCAAACTACAGCCCATGGCTGTAGTAGGTCAGACTAGCCCACTGCTTGTTTTTGTAAATAAAGTTTTGGGACCTTTTTGCTAATTTTTTTTAAGTTCTATGGTACATGTGCAGGGTGTGCAGGTTTGTTACGTAGGTAAATGTGTGCTATGGTGATTTGCTGCACCTGTCAACCCGTCACCTAGGTATTAAGCCCAGCATGCGTCAGCCATGTTTCCCAATGCTCTCCCTCCCCACCGCCTCCCCCACAGGCCCCAGTGTGTGTTGTTCCCCTCCCTGTGCCCACGTGTTCACATTGTTCAGCTCCCGCTTATAAGTAAGAACATGCAGTGTTTAAATAAATTTTCTTGGAACACGGCCTTGTTTACATATTGTCTATGGCTGCCTTTAAGCCACAACAGCAGACTTGAGTAGTTGCTACAGGGATCCTCTGTGGCAAAACCTAAAATATTTACTATCTGGTCTTGTACAGAAAAAGTTTGCCAACTCCTGCTATAGAATACATGGTTGGAGCTTAGTAAGTTCCATTTAATAAGTATGTGTTGAGCATCAGCTCTCTGGTGTGTGGCGGGGAGCCTTGTTCATAGAGTAGGTATCATCTAGGTGGAACAATTAAGTATATCCAAGTAGCAAAGTCACACATTTACTTACGTTACCTTTAACTATTCAGAGAAATATATAATTTTGTTTTTTTCTCTAGTAATTGATCGGATCTCCTTCAAATCACTATCCATTGGGTAACAGAAGCAAGAAACCCTACAATTTAATTGATCCCAATAATTTTTTCCCTTTCTCCTTTTTTTCTCTGCCTCCCCTGAGATTCCTGGTGTGTGTGGAGGAAGAGGGGAATAGCCACAGCTTTCCAGGAGGCCCACCTGCCCCTCAGTAACTTTTAATTGCATAAAATAATGTATATTTTCAAAGCTATGCTTGGCTTCATTCGGTAAAAATACACAGGATGTGGCAGTACAGGAGAGTTGGGGCTTTAGACTGACACAGTATGTGCCCTCTGGAACCTCTGGCCTCAGCTGCGGAGGGGCTGGTCCTGGGTGTACCCTGGGCTGGTGACTGTGAGGAGGTCCTGGGCGTTGCCCTGGCATCCACTACTGGAGTCTGCGGTGGCTTCAGCATATGAATTGCTCTCCTTTTTTCTCTGCATGGTCAGAGCTCACATTGTCCCAGCTGATTTGGCCCCATTTTGGTCCTTTCTCTTCATTATTTTGATTTAAGTCCAGTCTTCAAGTTCACTTTAAATGAAAAAGCTTTTACCTAGAGAGAAGAAACTCACAAGTTTATTAATATAACAAAAAAAACCCAGCTTTACTGTCATCTCCCAACCTCCCCAGACCTACTGGGAGAGAAGAGGATCCCTGGACCTATTAGGACTTCTCACATTCTAAAGAGGTGTCATTCCAGTAGCCTGTAGGTTCTCATGGATCTGGGTCTCACTTTATTTGATCAGGGAAGGAGATATGGCCAGGGAATCTTCATTTCTAAGAGGTCAGTTGGCTAAAGTCCTGAGGTGTTGATGGTTTGAAAAACCGTTAATCCTTTTACATTTTTATACCACAGAACAGTAATCACACTTTTACATCTCAGTTTTTGTGTCAAAATTCAAATGTTTGCATTATAATTGAAGTGTATTAAGCTATTTAATGCCCACAGGCTTCTAGAGGCATAGGAGACAGTCCAGTAACCAAAGATAAAGGCTAGCCACAAGACAGCAGAGCTGGGCTCTAGAGAAGCCACAAGCTGCAGGAGCCTGCTGAGAGAACAGTGAGGGAAAATCCCTTCCTTCTGCTATGTCTCTGTAGCGCCCTCTACTGACAACGCTTACCACTGTGCCAGCTGGCAAAAGAAAACTATTTAATGGGCCCATCTCCATTTTTGCAGAGCTGGTAGTGAAGGATAAATTTGGAACTGAGAGTCAGTAAATTGATAACTGGAACATATGAGATATGTCTATCAATAATTATCATGGCAGGTGCAGTGGCTCACACCTGTAATCCCAGCACTTTGGGAGGCCAAGGCAGGCAGATCACTTTAGCTCAGGAGCTCCAGACAAGCCCGGGCAACATGGCAAAACCCCATCTCCACTAAAAATAAAAAAAAATTAGCCGGTCGTGGCAGCGTGTGCCTGTAGTCCCAGCTACTCAGGGGGCTGAGGTGGGAAGATCGCTTGAGCCTGGGAGGCTGAGGCTGCAGTGAGCCAAGATTGAGTCTGCCAGGGTGACAGAGCAAGACCATGTCTCAAATAAATAATAGTAATAATAATATTTATCATAATAGAAAAACAGAACATTTTGAAATACTTATTAATGCATTTTTAAATAACAGCAATAAACATATTATGTATTCACATATTTTAATCAAAGTATTTGTATTGTCCCAAACAAACAAAAGTAATAGAATGAGTGACATTGTTTGGAAATCTCTTTGCTGTTTGGTTAATAGAAGATAGCTGGATTCTCCTTCCTGCTTTTGCAGTCAATCTATCGTGGTATGTTGTTTTGGTTAAAGTATATAAAGAAAATCTGGCTTTACGCAAGCGTGCAGTTGAAAAAGGGAGGAGTATTTTAACAGTTTTTGAAGATAATTGTAGATATTCTCCCTTAACCATGCACCAAAACTCAACTAGTAGGAATTTCTTAAAGATTAGTTGCAATGTGGAATTTGAAATCACATCAGTATGTTTTCATACTCTGTAACATTAAAATCCATTTGTCAACCTTGCACTTTAAATGGATTTTTGCCTGTGCATGATTTTGAAACATCATACTTTGATCACCTGGAAAATATTAGTTCACTGAATTATGTAGATCTTCCAAATATTGACACATTTAATCATACAATATTTAAAAAACAACATTACTTAACATCACGACCCATCACAATGTATTGGGAAGCTGTCAATCCCACAGTAGCAGATGCAAGTTTTCCAAAATTCTAATTTGCACTTGAAATTTTGAATTTTATAATTGGCAGCAATGATTGTCAATTATTTTCCTTGAAGTGGTGGGCTCCTTTCATTTATTTTCAAGATAATGTCTGCCAAATACACAAGTCTGATTAACTTTACCTTATCTGTTTTTCAAGCAAAACCAGTGTTCAATGAAAAATGTGCAGTTTAGCTCACAACTCAGTCTCACCAGTCCCTTTCATTTAAACAATCACCATGCTTTTGTATGCAGCAGAGCTGCTGTATACATTTTCCCATTTTGTCACACTGAGTTAGAATATTAAAATGGCAAGTACTTAAGGGTCAATATTTAATAACATGAATAATTTTAACTGCCTCATCAAGAACATTCTTAAGTAAAGTTGGCTTTTTTTTTAAACTGCAAGTGCATGGTGGTTAAAACACACACACAAACACACACACAGAGAGTCAGTGACTGTCAGTATAGTCTGCCCTAATTCACGCTAAAAGCACCAGCAGTTTTAGCCACCTTTGCTTCTGTACCATCAGTACACATTTTAATACAGTAAAAAAAGAGGATTATTATGAAAATAGTCGTGACTTTTCAGATCCTCTGCAAGGGCACAGTGACTCACACCTGTAATCCCAACACTTTGGGAGGCTGAGATGGGCAAATAGTTTGAGCTCAGCAGTTCGAGACCAGCCTGGGAAATATTGTAAAACCCCATCTCTACATAAAATATTAAAAAGTTAGCCAGGTGTTGTGGTAGTGTGTGCCTATAGTCACAGCTACTCGGGAGGATGAGGTGGGAGGGTGGCTTGAGCCTGAAAGGTGGAGGCTGCAGTGAGTCAAAATGGTGCCACTGCACTCCAGCCTGGGTGACAGAGCCAGACCCTGTCTCAAATAAAAAAAGGAAGAAAATCATTGATCTATTTAACATCTTATAACTAAGGACCATAATGTGATTTCAGGGTCATCATGTTCATTTGAGTAAGAGTCCTATTGGCACCAAGTAGTACTATTTTATTTTTAAGGACTAGCATCAGAAGGATATAGTACATAAATGAGTTCATACTCAGTGACATCAAAAATGCTATATGAACAAAGGCTTTAGAGTAGTTTGGATGGAGGAAAAGGTGATGGGGGAGTTGGATCATCATACAACACAAGGTGATAATAAGCTGAACTCGAAGGAATCTATATCACTGCAGTCAATACCATAATCACAGTGCCAGTGGTGAGTTAGTTTCAGCAAAACAACATCTAGAGCTAATCATCCCCAGCTACTAAAACAAGATCCTCCTGAGTGCTTTGTCCAGTGCCCTATGAATTATGAGTTTTTTCAGTCTGGCTGGAGAGCAGGTACTATTACTGGCCCCGCATGAGCTTCTGGTGCTGTTCCTTCTAACCCTTTCGGGTGATTCTTTCGCTGGCTCATGGGGCTTCCTCACACGCAGGTGCTGATCAAACTCTGCTAAATGCCTGAGGGAGACCCTTGGTGGCTCTTTGGAGTTCTCCGTCTGTGTGGCTCTCTTCTCTCCAGTCCTGTGCCCTGCGAACTCTGACAGCCTGGGCCTCCTTACATTCAGTTCCTTCCACCCTCTCAACCCAGGGAGTCTGTGGGACCCGCCTGTGTTCCTTCTCCCTGCACCGTGGCCTGGAAACTCTCTCAAGGCAGCAAGCTGGGACGGTCACAGGGACTGTCTCATTTGTTTGTTGCGTCTTAGGGATGACTTCATTGCCTGAGGTCTGGTGTCTTGAAAATCAGTGTTTCATATTTTTAGTTGTTTCAGGTGGGCTAGTAAATCCAGTCTCTTACTACTTCTTGGCTGGAAGCAAAAGACCCCAAAGGATCCAAATTTGATCCTATCATAAGCACTCATGTATTAGGCTGACCCATCCTTAATCAATTTCTGAACTCATCTCGTTTGCAGTACTTTGCCAAATGCAGCCAACAGCAAGCAAAACACACTACTCAATTTCTGTCTTCAAACTTCTTTCCCTACATTTCAAGTAATTACAGGTGAGAGTTTCACCAAATGTTTCTCCACTGCATGGATAGCTATCTCTCCAGCTTCCAACATCAGTTCCTTATTGCTGCCACTGAATCTCTAAGAGAATACTGCATCTTTTCATTGTTTTTTGCTTTAACAGCACTTCACTTCTAAGTACAAATTTCTGTGTTAGTCAGGATAGGCTAGGTTAAGCTGTGCTAACAACAACCACCCTTAAAATCAATAAGAGCTTATTTCTGGCTCCAATGTGGAGCAGAAGGGAGGGGCACCCTCATGGCCACCTGTGACTCCGTGGCAATACCTGCTTTCATCCCTGCAAGCAGGAAGGAGACATAGCCAACTCCACACTGGCTCTTAAAGCTTCTGCCCAAAAGGGTCATTTGTCACCTCTGCTCACATTTTTATAGGTCAGGGCAAGTCATATGGCTTCACTTAACTTCCAAAGAGAGCAGAGGTATGCAGTGCTACCATGTGCCTGGAAGGAGGGAGATGGGAACCTTCTGGAGCAGCCCTAGTGTCTGCCCATGTGGCATGTGTGCTTCCCTTTGTTATCTCTGCTCTAGCTCTGACAATCAGCAATCAATGTGTGACTTGCTGAGTGATAATCAGCTGCCGGATGTATTGAAAAGGAATGCCTTGCTCCAGGCTCCTCGGGATGCCTTGGTTTACTGCAGAACAAAGGAGACTCCTAACTACTGAGGCAATGTGAGTCCAAAAAGCATCAGGTTAGACTGACGGAGACAACTCAGGAAGGCTTCCAACAGGGATCGGGGGGTGGAGGGGCTTTGCATGGCCAGATATCTCCACAAATTGCAGTGACCCTGGCCTTCGAGACAGAAGGATGCATTTTCAAAGACTGGCTCTCACTGGCTATGTGACCTTGAACAAGTCATGTCCCCTCTGGAGCCCTCAGTTTGCTCCCCTGTCAGAGGGAGATAATGTGAGTGGAAATTTCCAGAACAGTGGTTGGCTTCCTCCCTCCCCCTGACTGGGAAATGCCTCTCTCTCCTGGACCAAAGCCTAGGGCTGATTCATAGTCACTATCAGCATCATTCTCAGCCTGGGCCAGGTCAACACATTGTTTATCTTGGTGTCTGAGCCCATTCCTGGCATTGCAGAGACAGAGGATAAGAGCATGGGGGCTGGTGGATCCCCAATCCCCATCTTTCTACCCTGTCCCCTCCTTCCTCCTCCCACCCCAGGGTCTTGTGAGAATAACTAAAAAATGCAACTCTAAGGCCAGCAAGGCCAATTTCCCAGGGGCAGAGTCCATGATTCCCATACAGACCCTCCTGCTTGCCTCCAAAGAAGGCTTCCTTTGTAATGACTCTTGAATTAATCAACTTCTATCGACTCCTATGCCTGCCTCTGATCTCAGGGTCTCCAGTCCTCCCCCAACACAGCTGCAGACGTCTCCCATCTCTCCTTCCTGCCTTAGTCCCTCCTGCCCTAGTCCCTCCCTCCACCCTCCTGACGCACACTGCGGTGACTGCCAAACTGGGCATCACCCTGTCCAGCCTTCTGCCCAGCAGCCTTTCACGCTGCCCAGGTGACAGGAAGCCCCGCCATGACTCCAGATCCTGGCCCTTACCTCTCTCAAGTCCTCTACTCAGACCAAGCAGTCTGCTGGACCAGTCACGTGTTTCTCTGCCTAGAATATCTGTCCTAGTCCTTCCTCTGATTATCTAAGGAGCATCTCAGACCCCACCTTGGTGACCACCCCAGCCCACTCATGCCTTCCTTCCCCAAGCTCTGTAGACAGACAACCATGCAGTGCAGTGATCAGAACAGAGGTGCTGATGGTCCACTGTGGATCCACATCTGGCCCTGTATCTCCTGAGCAAGCAACTATATCTCTCTCTGGCTCAGTTTCCCCATCTGTAAAAGGGAGATACTGATGATATCTTCCCCAGAGGGCTACTGGGAGGAGTAACAAGATGTAAAAACATGCAGTGTGTGTGCATGGGTGTGTGACACTGGTCATCATTTGATGTCTATTGGCCCATCCACTCTGCACACATGGACTGAGTCCCTCGTTTTTGCCAGGGTCTGAGCGACTCACTAAGATTCATCCATGCCCTCAAACAGCCCTGCTTCAACTAGGGGAGAAAACACAGTGTTTGAATACCATGTGATGGTATCCATCCTGTTCCAGGTGGAGGATGCAGAGGATGGCCCCCTGCACCTTCCAGGATAAGAAGATCCTGATGCAGTCAACTTACCACCAGGAGGCAGGTTGGTCTCCTCAAGGAAACAATGCCATTTCAGGGGTTTGATTTTGGTCTCCATTATGGACAAGTTGGACATTCAGAAGTGGCAGGAGCTAGATCAGCCTTGGGTAGGTGGAAGCCCATGTCATTGGGCCAATAGCAGCCCCAGGTCTCTGCCTTCATAGCCAATCTGCTCACAGGCTTGTCATACACATTCTTTTTTTTTTTTTTTTTTTGAGATGGACTCTCGCTCTGTCGCCCAGGCTGGAGTGCGACGGCACAATCTCGGCTCACTGCAAGCTCCGCCTCCGGGGTTCACGCCATTCTCCTGCCTCAGCCTCCCGAGTAGCTGGGACTACAGGCGCCCACCATCATGCCCGGCTAATTTTTGTATTTTTAGTACAGACGGGGTTTCACCGTGTTAGCCAGGATGGTCTCGATCTCCTGACCTCGTGATCCGCCCACCTCGCCTCCCAAAGTGCTGGGATTACAGGCTTGAGCCACCACGCCCGGCCTGCAAGGCACATTCTTGCACGGGTGGGAATCGGTGTCCATAGATTCCCATGCCCCACATGAAGGCTGCAGGGCAGGACTCCTCTGAGAGTGACACACGCTGGAGGAAAAACTGGGAGATGGTAGATTTCCCTCCTCAGAAAACCTTGCCATGGAGTCTTCACGACTTTTTCCCCTAATTTTTCAGTGTGGGTGTTTAATTCATTTATTTTCACTTTTTAATTTGTATTGCTATGGAAAGGCGTTTGGTGCTATAAATGTCAGGTCTCAAATTTGCATGACTCCACAGTTCATGGCCTTCATACTCTACCCCTCCCCCAGCTCCAGCCTCTGTCATACCCTGGTGGGAAATTCAATTCTTTGAATTGAGTTGTGTGTTGTGTGGTTGCTTGCTACATTTTAAAGTTCTTGAGATAAAGAAGGGGGTTCCCCATTGGCCTTCCCATCTTCTGGAAGCTCCCTGAGGCTAGGCCCCAATCTCCAGGATCAGTCTCAGAGCCCCTCCCTTTACACCCCTGCCTGCAACAGGAATGCGGGGGGCGGGGGGGGTAATACTGGGCGAGGGGGACTGGGCAACAGCCAGGGTGGCATTTGAAGGAGCCAAAGGGGCCTCCCCTTCCTTAGTTCCTGGCAGAATCACTCCTTGGAAAGAAAACTATCATAGTCCAATGCTGTAGGGGGAAGAGCTGGGGTAAATGAGGCATGCCTGGGAGGCTGGGGGTACCCCGGGGATGGCAGGAGCTGCCATCAGGTGGGGCATCCCCAGCCCTCAGCCTCAAAGGTGTGGCTTTGGGAAAGCAGCGGATAGCTGTGCCAGGGCCCAGGAAGACTGTCAAGGCCAATGGCACTCAGAGACTTGGCATTTCCTCCCAAAGGGACTCATTTGCTCAGCACGGGGTCTCCTAAACTCCTAGACCCCACCTCTCTCTGCCCTCCCCCTTTTGCCAACTCATGTCACTCATTGTGGAGGGCAGAAAACCAACAGTGAGCCGTCCTTGCCACCCTTAGTTGCTTGGGTAGAAAATCGACTTGGTGCTCCTTCACGCACATAAAACCACTCTCCTATTGATGGTCCATTCTATTCTAGTCCTCTCTCCTGCACATCTGCTGTCACGAGGTTGACCGGACAAGGGATTGTAGTGTCCATTTTGCAAACGAAGAAGTTCATCTCAGGGATATTGAGTAATTTGCTTCAAGGCTTCCCAGTAGTTGCTTTAAGATTCCACCATCCAGTTGCAATCTTTTCTGTTTTCTCACCTTTGCAATACCATGCATCAATTTGGGATGTGTGTGGAATGAGTGTCTGTAAATTGAATCCTGGCTTAGCTACCGCAAGGGATTCCAAGATTTCCAGGGACCTGCGGGGAGTCCTGTCAGAGTGAGAACAACCAGCCACCTCCAGCCCAGACTACCTGGCTACTGTGTGTGGGTTTTCCCCAGCTGGGTTTTGGTAATTCTAGACCCTGAGGTGTCTAGATGGGCCACCAGGAGCTGCTGTTGGCTTTCTGCCTGGCCTGCCTCCTCTGCCCAGTGCAGTACATTTCTTCTTCCCTTGCAGTCTGTCTGCCTCTGACCAGATGCTCAATAGTTACTAAATGAATGAATGAATGAGTGAATGAATAAATGAATGATGAATGTGGCCTTGTTATGCTCCTGATCCTGCCTTCTACCTGCCCCCTTCTTGTCTTATGATGACCTTTTCTTCTGCTGACCTTGACTTTGACCTTAGCTAGTATTTGCAACCCTCTGTTCACTCCATCTCCTGGCTCTTTAGAGGAGGGAATACTCCTCTAATATTAGCTAATGTTTTAAGTGAGCAATCAGGAGACTTTCACCCTCTCTTGTTGGATCGCATCTTACGTACCAATGGATTTGAAAAATAAATTAATTTATGGCCAGCTTAATTCCAGAAAAGACTCAAAGCAGTTTCTAAATTTAAATATGATACAAAATGAAGTAAATTATAAAACAAATAAATGCAGAAATCACAGCAAATAAAAAGTGAGAGTAAGAAAGAGAAGGTAAAACAAAGAATGAGGTAAATGCAAATAGGAGGTCCAGGATAATTGCTAGAGGTTTTCAGGCCAAATATCTGCAGCTGAGCTTCCTAGCAGCCAATGCAAAGAGAGCAACCCGATTAGTTATAATCTTACTTAGTGTCCATAAGATAAAGGCAAATCACATAGAGAAACTCAACTGTTCTGGAATTATGCTTCATAATAAAAAGACCCTGTAAAAATTACCTGTACCCATAATCATAGGCTCCCTAATTATAGTAATCATAAATAGAGCAAGAAAGTTTATAGCACTGCTTCCTTTATTTTAAAAATACAGAAAATACAGAGACCATCACAGGCATGCACAACTCTATCATCTACAATGATAGTTGTTAATATTTTGCCAGCACTACTCATTATGCAGAATTTTTTTATGCTAATTTTTTTGTGTTTTTAGTAGAGACGGGGTTTTACCGTGTTAGCCAGGATGGTCTCAATCTCCTGACCTCATGATCCACCTGCCTCGGTCTCCCAAAGTGTTGGGATTACAGGCGTGAGCCACCGCACCCGGCCTATACAGAATTAATAAAAGAAATAAAACACCTCAGATAAAGTCCTCTATCTCCTTCCTATAGCCCTCCTCTCCCCAAAGACAATTAGCATGACAAATTTGGTATTTATCTTCCCAGTCAATTTAAAAATTACTTTACATACAGACATATGTTCCATAAATATTAAATACTATTTTCAATCTACATAGTCATATCTTATGGACTATTTCATTCAGTCACTTGCTTTCTTAGCTTAAAAGTACGTTTTTGGCCGGGCGTGGTGGCTCACGCCTGTAGCCCTAGCACTTTGGGAGGTTGAGGCGGGTGGATCACTTGAGGTCAGGAGTTCGAGACCAACCTGGCCAACATGGTGAAACCCTGTCTCTACTAAAAATACAAAAATTAGCCTGGCATGGTGGTGCATGCCTGTAATCCCAGCTACTTGGGGGGCTGAGGCAGGAGAATTGCTGGAACCTAGGAGGCGGAGGCTGCAGTGAGCCAAGATCATGCCACTGCACTCCAGCCTGGGCAACAGAGCAGGATTCCATCTTAAAAATATATATATATATATGTGTGTGTGTGTGTGTTTTAAAAAATCAATCCATGTTGATACATACATCTAATTCTTTTCTTTTAAATTCTGTACACTATTTTATAGAATAAGAATACTACATTTTGTTCGCCTGTTCTTCTACTAATGGCCAGTCTACATTAGACTAGCCAATGCTTTTCTCTTAAAAACAAAGCTGCAAATAACCTATTTGCAGTGGTGTTCTGGCAAATGTTTAACCATCAGCTGTCTTGAAACACTCCCGCCATGACTGATTTCAAGCTGCCAACAGGACATCACTAAATGCAGAGTTGGGAAGAATTGAACACTATCAGTCTTGCAAGCTGTACAAGTCAGTTCCAGCACACCACAGCACATACATCTCCCTGTGCGTACATATGAAAGTTTCTCTAGGAATATATCTCAAAACAAAACTGCTATGTGCAGTTTCAAATTTACTACTTATTGTCAAATTTCTCCCCAAAGCGGTCTTACTAATTTACACTCCTCCCAGCAGCATATGAGAGTATTAATGTCTCCAAATCTTTCCTGATACTCAATACTTTCAGACTTTTCCATTCTTGCCAACATGATGAATGAGAAGTGGTACAACCAGTGAGGTTGAACAACTTTTCATGTGCTTATTGATGACTTAGATTTCCTCTTCTGCAAATTACCTATACATATATTCTTAGTCCATTTTTATCTTAAGTTGTATATCTTTTTCTTATCGATTGACAGGAGTTCTTTATATATCATATCACAGTCCCTTGTTGATTATATATATGGCAAATATCTTTAGCTTGTTAAATTTTTTCCTATTGGTTTATGTTTTGTTTCAGAAATTCTTTCTCCTCTTTCCCAAACCATAAAGATACTCCTCTTCTTCCTTCCTTTCTACAAATAATTTTTTTCTTATTACGTGAGCAATACAGAATCTTTGCAGAAAAATTAGAAAATATAGACTGTCAAGAAGAGGAGAAAATCACAATCCTACTACTCAGAAACAACCACTGTTCATGTATTGGTATATTACCTCTGGTCTTTCTGTTTTAACGGCCATTTACAGTAAAACTGCAGCTCACAGGCCATATTGCTATGTAGTGTGCAGCTCTTTGAGAATTTGCTTTAGCACTTTTCAATTTTGTCAGTCCTCCTTCCTGGAGTTTACACTGGGGTCTTCCATGATCTGGGATTGTTTGGGGTTTTTTTTTAATTGGTTGGTTGGTTTTTGTCTTTTTATGGATTGGCTGGTTGTTTTTATGTGTCTGTTCTCGTGGTACCAAAACCTCCTACTGTCCTGAGCATGGACTTCCAGCTCCTTCCCTCCTGCTCCCACTTTGGCCCTTGGCTAAGCCCTGACTGGTCCAGCCCAGGCCCCCTGTGAGTCAGGGTGAAGGGACCATGGGGAGGATGGAATGGGAAAGCCCTGAGCTGGAAGCTGGGTCACTACATTCTGTTCCCAGCTGCTGCATAAAATTGCTGGTGGCTGGGCACAGTGGCTCATGCCTGTAATCCCAGCACTTTGGGAGGCCGAGGTGGGCAGATCCTTTGAGGTCAGGAGTTCGAGAGCAGCCTGGCTGACATGGTGAAACCCTGTCTCTACTAAAAATACAAAACAACTATCTGGGCATTGCGGCATGTGCCTGCAATCCTGGCTACTTGGGAGGCTGAGGCAGGAGAATTGCTTGAACCTGGAAGATGGAGGTTGCAGTGAGCTGAGATTGTGCCACTGCGCTCCAGCCTGGGCAACAGAGCAAGACTATGTCTCAAAAAATAAAATAAAATAAATAAATAAATAAATAAATAAATAAAGTTGCTGGTGACCGTGGGCAAGTTACTTAGCTTCTCTCAATCTTGGCAAGTTCTTTGCTTCCTGCTTCCTGCGGGCTGCAAACCACACTTGGTAGGTTTTCCAAACCTGCGGAAGGTGGAATCAGCTGAGGGGTGGATGGAGCGTGCGGGGTCTCAGGTGTGCTGGGGGTGCTCTAAGGAGAAACCCGCTTGCCTGGGGCGAATTTGAAGCTGCTTCTTTCTTACCAGCATGAAAATACAGAGTGGGTCAGACCCCAAAGACGAGCTTAAAAGAACCCCCGGGATGTAATGCCCCAGCTAGTTGATTTAGTCTGTTTCCCACCTTTGTCATTGACTTGCCATGACGTTTTGGCAAGTAGCTCACCAGGGGCCTCAGGACCCCTTCTGAAAGCCAGGGGCCTGGTTAGTGATCTCTGGAGCTAAGGAGTCAGAATGACTGCACTGAATTTCAGCCACACCCCGACCAATTTAGGCAAGTTGTTTAACCTCTCTCAAGCTCAGTTTCATCATCTATAAAATTGAACCACGATAGCACCCATCTCTTATGGTCGATTGTAAAGATTTAATGATATGATCCAAGTATAAAGTATGGAAGATGCAATGGTACTTTTTAGGGACCGTTATTACTGTCGCCCCCGAGTTCTGGGATTCTGGGTTCACCTTAGAAGGGACAGGCGTCCTACCCAGAATGTCCAGCAGGTGGTGCTGTCTCAGAACAAATCTACCTGCAGGCGCTCTGCGGGAAGGTTTTCTCCAAGAGGCAGGTGGGTGGCTTGGGAGCCAGAACACATCTGAGATGCAGGCGGCTCTGGAGGGCTCAGCCTCTTCATTTCCCAAAGGGGGACCCCAAGACTAAAATGGCTGTACTGTGTTCCTGCAGCCATGAGAGAGCCAGGACTCGAACGCAGCCCACCTGCCTCCCAGAGGGGGACACCTGAGCCTCCCCACACCTCCAGTCTCCCTCCCACTTATGGGCTACCCCACCCACCCCCAGGATGGGCGTGGGATCCTCAGAGAGGTTGGGATGACCAGCTTTTCGCAGCACACTGGGTGTGTGTCTTGGTGGAGAGGAGGTTCCTGACTCTCTGGGGGGAAGAGGGCCCAGGCTGACCGCCCCTGGGTGACCCTGAATGGAGGTCCTCGCTCAGCCTTTCCCAGCACTCGCTTTCCAAAGTGGGCAGACAGGGGTGCCGTGGGGAGAAACTAAGGTGTGATGGAGAGAGAGGGGCCGCTCACAGGGCACGGAGCCAGGATGCTCTCGGGGGCTCATTCTGTGTGAGTGCCTGACCCCCAGCCTACCTCACCCCTAACTCTCAAAGGGCTGGGAACTAGGAGGTCCAGGTAACAACCCCCAGGGGTCCTCCCCGCAGGCCCAGGCCCAACCTGGCATGAGGGTAGCTCATCTCACCTTTGAGAGCCTTGCCTCAAAGTTCCCACTGGGCTGTGGGTGAAGAGGCGCAGCTCACCACAACTGTTCCCGGAGGCTGTCCCCAAGCTGGGCCTCCCCGGCCTCCTCTTTCCTGAGGAGTGAATCTCCTCAACACTTGGGCCCCTCCTGTGCCCACAGCCCTGGCCCTAACCAACCACCTTACTCCTCTGAAGGTCTTATGTCATTTCCTTCTCCCACGGAAGGCAGCCCAGACCCCCAGAGCCCCTGTGAGGGACCCTGGGCAGCAGGAACCAGGGCTCTTGAAGATGGACAAAGGCCTGGCGCCTTCTATCCTTTAGACTAAGGTCTATTTTTAAAATGAAAAGTGGCAAATAGAGTTACAAAAACTGCAGTTTAATTTAAATGTTTATAATGACAAATTAATACTTTTCACTTATAAAACATGACAATGACTCTTAAAACTTCTTTGATGATGAGATCTAAAGTCTATTTGGGGTTCTTCATGGAAGTGAGGCCCAGAACCGATGGCCCACCTTCCCCTCTCCTCCCATACATCAAGACCCAGACATGGCAGCAAGGATGGGTGGGTGGGGGCCGGGGGAGACCTGGCAGGGAGCACGGAGATGCCTGCTTCTTCTCTACCCCTGAGGTTCTGGAACCCAGAAGGGGCTTTGGTCATCAGCATCCCCAAAGTGTCCTCTCACAGATAGGGAAACTGAGGACCAAGGAGGGGAAGCTGCTTGCTCAAAATGCTGAGCAAGTGAGAGGCAGATTCAGGCCCTGGAACCAGGTCTCCTGATCCCAGACTGGCATTCTTCCAGGGGTACTTTAGTACAAATGGAAAAACTAAAGCACCCAGGAAAAATTAGGCCAAAACATCCTCTTGTTTTGCTCTCCCAGCCTGGGACACCTTGGCCCCCATCTCTTCTGATGCTTCATCCATGACCCTTGACCACAAGAATCACAAAAGGACCCCTGTTCATCTGCTTATCCTTGGTATTTGGACACAGAGGAAATCTGGTTCCATCTAAACACTGGTGCAATCTAGAAAGGGCATAAAACTCCCAAGGGGCAGCCATGGCCATAGGAGGACGCGGGGGGGTGGGGGGGGCAGGGCCTTGTTGCTGGGTAACCAGCTTTATCTGTTGCCTCGGTGACAACCCCATCAGAGGGAGTCTGTGTGCAGAGTGTGTGCCTACGAGTCTCCAGTCTTTTTAAAACCAGCTGGCTGGAGCCATGTCCTCCCCCATTGCAGACTGCCTCCTGCACACACTGGAGGCCCCTATACCGTGATGAAGACCTTTCCTCCCTCTTTCCCTGCCTTCTCCATCACTCCTCATCATAGAATCGCATGCTTCCTTCAGCTACCCCAAAGCATCAGCCCCTCTGATCTCAACATCGTTGATCCTGCCACCAGACCTTTCCTCAAGAAGTTCTCCCAACCTATTGGATTGCTGGGGTCACTACCTCCCAGGAGCAGACAGGAAGGAAGCAGGGAGCCTGACCAGGACACGTAGTGGTTGCAGAGAATGCCTCAGAGCTGCGCTTCCTGCTGTCAGTCTTTAGGTGGTGAAGAAGCCAGGGAGACAGACATGTGTTCATCCAACAAACATTCAGCCCATGGTGCTTATATTCCAGGCACCACGCCAGGCCCCGGAAACATGGGGCACAAAGGACAGCTCAGTCCCTGCAGCTGGGACTAGCAGGGGAGTGAGACGAGTCAAAGGACAGTCACACATGTGGATGTGTACAACAAAGAGGAAATCTCAGGGGCCATGTAAGCACAGAAGAAAGGCACCACATCCATGTTTGGGAGAAAGAGGGGTGGTCGGCTGAATGATGCTCTCAGCAAAGGTGTCCTTGTCCTAATCCCCAGAACTTGCACATGTTACCTGATGTGGCAAAAGGAACTCTACAGATATAATTAAGGATCCTGAGATAGAGAGATTATCCCAGATTATCTGGGTAGTCCTAAAGTAATCACAAGATCTTTGTAACAGGGAGGCAGGAGGGTTGGAGAGCGAGATGTGATGATGGAAGTGAAGGGCTGGAGTGATACAAGGAAGGGCCCAGAGCAAGGAATGCAAAGCCAAAAAAGGCAAGGATGAGATTCTCCCCCGAACCACCCAGGAGGAATGCAGCCATGCCAACGCCTTGGTTTTAGCCCCCATAACACTCATCTTAGTCCTATGGCCTCCAGAACTGTAGGAGAGTAAGTTTGTGCTATTTTAAACCACCACATGTGTGGCCATTTGTTACAAGTGGAAGGCTTCTTGGAGGAGGTGATGTCTAGAAGAGTTTTAAAGAACTGGGAGTGACTCCAGCAAAGGAGCAGAGGCATCAGCCTAGGCAAAGGCCATAAGCAGGACTGCCCCTGGTGCGTTTGTGCCCCGCACAGTGAAGATTTTGCTGGGGAGAGGAGATGAAGCTATCAGAGAAGAGGAAGGAGGCGAGGGCAGGGCCCAGACCGTGCAGGGCCTTACAAGCCGTGATGAAGAGTTTGGATGTGTCCCTGAGAGCAATGGGGAGCCATTGAAGGTTATGAGCAGGGGTGGCTGAACCAATCTAACTGCAATCTTAGAAAGGTCACTAGTTTTGAAAGGAGGAAGGATTACAGGGGCAAGAATGGATGGGGGAGACCATGTTGGAGGCTGAGCAGTAGTCCAGAAGGAAGATGAGCACAGCACAGCAGAGACAGGTTGGAGAGGCGGTGACAGGGCCCCCTTAGGGAGGGCTCAGCAGGTGGGCTTGTCGGGCCCTGGTACCACCTGAGTATGGGGAGACAGAGAGGAACCAAATAACAGATTTTGGCTTTGCCAGTAGGTGGCGCTATTGGTCATATTTGGGGAGGTGAGCAGCTGAAATTGAGTGGACTAGACTCACAGGTGCCCATTGTGGAAGGACCCTCCAAGGATCCCAGCCTCGGGACGTGGAGCAGGTGGACGTAATACTGAGCAGATTTCCTACCCAAGCTCTGCTGAGGGCCCAAGCAAACCCCAAAGAGGCCAGGAGATGTTTACCTGGAAAGCAGGGAATCCCACCTGGAGAACCTCCAGCTGCCAGAGTCTAAGCTGACCTTTACCTCCTCCCCCAGGCAGATCTCCAGCCCAGGCACCTTCCTTTTGCAGAACTAGTCAGAAGATGGGCACCTGAAACGCACCCATGTGAGGTCCTATGACTGCTGAACCTCGGTCTCCTCATGTGCCGAGTAACAGCCCCCGCCCCACCATCTGTTGCCCACTCCCCACATGCCAGGCTGGCACCAGGCACTTCACCCACATCATTGGTTTAATCTCATTCACTCTATGAAAAAGATGGTGTTCTCACTTCATTATACATGAGGAAACTGAGTCTCAGAGCGGCTAAGTGAGCTGTCAGGTCAGTTGCTCAAAGTCCCATGACTAGGAAGGGACGGAGCCAGGGCTCCTTCCCAGAGAGTCAAACTCCAGGGCTGCAGGAAGAGGCCCCCAGGGTGTGGGGCCAGGGTCAGAAAAGGCCACTCGACAGCCAGTGCAAGGCAGCTCTGGGATTTGAAGTCAGGCCTGTCTGACTCCAAAACTTATGACCCCAACCCCAGGGCTGTGTGAGCGCAGAAAGGAATGGATTGCACAGTGGTGGCTCTCCCAGGCCCACCCTACCACATGGCTGGGGCTGGGGTGGGCAGCCCCTTTCCCACACTGCCCAGCATCAAGGCAGGCCAACATGTAGCTCACTCTTCAGGGGCACCAACCCTCTCCTAGGGTCCCGCTGGGTGACGTCAGACTCTTGGTTTCCTCCCCTGCACTGAATGAGGAGGTGTGATGCTGTGGTTAAACCTCCTGCCCAGGTGACTGGGAAAAGTGAGTCCTGATGGAGGCATGGCCCTGCCGTCTTGTCCCCAACCAGGTGTGTTCTCCACACACAAACCCTCACTCCCTTCCTCCACGGTTCCCCTCCCACCAAGGCTAGAGGGGGCTCCAGTCCAGGTCTCTTCTTTTGCAAATGAGTAAATAGAGGGACTGAGAGAATGAGCTCCCCACTCAAGGGGACCCAAACCACTTATGTCAAAGCCATGGTCAGAGCTCACAGCCCCTGACTTGCAAACCACTGCTTACCCACCCCGAGGCTGGGGGCTGGGCAGGGGGGAGAGAAGGCTGCCTGCTCCATGGGTTGTGGCAACCTGTGGCTGGGACTCATCCCTTACTCTATGTTCCTGCCAGCAGGTGTCTGTGGGTACCAGATGCTGGGAGAGGGGCCCAGGTTACTTGAAGTGGTGGTAGGAGATTTCCGTTTCTGCATCTTGATGAACCATGTATGATATTAAGTTGTCACAGAAGAAAATGGGAAAACGACTTTGCTTTGCAGTTGATGTGGTCACATTCCCCGTGGAGAACTCGGAGAAGTCTGGGGGAAGTGGCCCCTCTCTCTGATGCTGTTTGATTCCAGGTGGCAGAGCCAGGGAGGAGGGGGACAGGCACAGGGGTCCCACAGGAGGGTCCGTGCTGAGCGCCAAACTTCAAGATGAGCAGGGCCAGCCTCAAGGGCCACAGACGGCCATCTGGCCCCTCCCTCTGTGTGATCTGTGAGTCTGTGGGAGATGGTCTGGAACTGTCAGAACTGGAAAGGTTAATCGTGGGCACACAGAGGAGCTGGGTTCAGAGAAAGAAGGAAGAGAATCCACTCATCTCTGCCCTTCGTGCAGTGCCTGGCTCAGGATAAGGTGGGGTGAGGACAGGCCCAGAGACAGGACGGGGAGCGGGCCAGGCAAAGAAAGGAGGGAAGAGCAGAGAAGGGAGAGCCACTCATCTCACCACCTTCCCACAATGCCTCGTAATCACAGGATGACAGGGATGCGTGGCAGGAAGAAAGACAGGGTGATGAGCGCTGGGGCCACCCTGGAAGGGCAGAGCCCACGCCTCTTGGAGCACCGGCCAGTGGCAGGGAGTGAGTGTGGCAGGGCTCCCCCAGGCTTCCAAAGAACAGCTGGGTGGCGTCATTGCTGGAGGCACACCTCTCCATTCTCAAGCCAGGCACAGGTCCCTACAACTCCTCACCCACATTCCCTTCGTTGACATAAATGTGAGTCTATGGAGGAGTCCCCCTTCCCAGATAGAAAGACTGCCACACTCGCAAGGTCCTTCAGTGCAAGGCTGATAACACCAGGACCTACAGCACTCAGGCCCGAGATGTGAGGGTCGAAAGGACCCCCAAAGGCAGCTCCGCAGAGCACAAGGGCTTGGTGTGTGGAGTGGCTGAAGCCCAGTCACAAACTCAGGTGTGGTTGAGTTCCCACTTTATTTCCACAAAATCTTCTTTACTCCGCAGACAGTTCCTGCACTGGTAAGAAAGTCCACTTGGTTGTTGTTCGGGGTCTTCTCCCCCTCCCAGATCTCACCAGGACCTGACTCGTGACTGTGGCTGCCGAGGGACTCACTGCCCAAGCCCACGTGACCTTGTCATGGAGCCACCTCTGCAGAGCCCTGGCCACCTCCTAGAGTTCTCCTTGTGGGATCCCTGGGCCTCTTTTCCCTTCCTAGTGAGGAGGGGACTCACGAGAATCTTCCTCCCCCATCCCAGTCTGTCTTCTTTCCTGTCATAATCAGTTCCCTTCCAGCCTCACTCAAGGACTCAGCATAACCACTCCCTTTCACAGGCTTCCAGCTTTGGGAAAAGGAAAGTCAAAAGGTAGAGATGGCTATTGCTGGCAACTTCTGCTTTGGTTTGGCCATAAATGTCCCCTCGGGTAAGAAAATGTGAAGCCTACTTGCCTCTGCCAGGAGGCCATGGGAATACACAGCTCAACAAATGACCCTGCCCTGCCTGCACTTTCCCCCAACAGAGGAAAGGGATTCATAGAGGATCACATTATAGAGCTGAATCTTGAACACAACCTTGGAAGGGTTAAGGTTCAGGGGCCAATCTATCCAAGGTCATAGCAGAGCTGAGGTTCTGGTGCCAATCTATTCAAGGTCATAGCAGAGCTGAGGTTCTGGTGCCAATCTATTCAAGGTCATAGCAGAGCTGAGGTTCAGTGGCCAATGTATTCAAGGTCATAACAAGGCTGAGGTTAAGGGGTCAATCTATCCAAAGTCATAACAAGGTCAAGGTTCAGCGGCCAGTCTATCCAAGGTCATGGCAGAGCTGAGGTTCAGGGGCCAGTCTATCCAAGGTCATACATCTGGAAAATGGCAGTGCAGGGATGGAAACCTAAGTATGCCTTGGGTATACCCAGCTTCACAAAGGGAAGGGCAGCATCCTAACCAGAGCAGCAGTGAGGCCTCACTACAGGCCAGACACTGTGCTAAGCACTTTATATGTAACCATTCCATTCATTATCCCTTTGAAGCACAGAGAGGTTAAGTAAATGCCCAAGGTCACAGAGCTGCAAGGTGGCAATGCCAGGACGTAAACCCAGGCAGCCTGACATCAGTTTGCACCACGCTAACTGGGACTCCACAGCCTTAGTCATGGTCCTTTAGGAGTTAGGGAAGAGGGGGTGCAGCAAATGACAGGCATGAGAGTTGCCAGCATTACACAGCATGAGGTCCTGGTCATAGTCCACACCTCCCAGGTAATATATTACGTCTGTCCAGTTAGACTTCGGAAGGCCACAACACACACCTTAAGGTAAATGAAGGGCACTGGGCACTGTGATAGGCCTTTGGGGCACAGTTAGGGGATCCCTTAACCCAATGGCAGGCAGGGCAGCCTGGCAGTGGAATGGCAGGGAGGGTGGGTGCGGGCAGAGAGGCTTCAGTAGGGCTGAGTCAGTGAGCTGGGCCAGCCTGGCGGAGGGCAGATAAGAAGTTGACAGGTGAGGTTGGTGTTCTGACCCGCTGCAGGACTACACAGCGGGGCTGGTGAGCCCCCAAGGCATCAAACATCTCTACATCCAAGCCCAGCTTCTCCGGAAGCTGTCTGCTGCTGCCCCTGCCTGGCAGGCCCAGGGGTCCTGCTGGAACCCTGAATGGCTGGGAAGGTGGGGTTGGAGAGGAGAGCAAAAACTCCCTTCCCCCTCACCATTTTTTTTTTAAGACAGGGTCTCGCTTTGTTAACCAGGCTGGAGTGCAGTGGCACAATCACAGCTCACTGCAGCCTCAGTGACCTCCCATGATTAAGAAATCCTCCTTCCTGCCTCAGCCTCCTGAGCAGCTGGGACCACAGGCATGCGTCACCATTCCCCCAGGTAACTTATTATTTTTTGTAGAAATGAGATCTTACGTTGTTGCTCGGGCTGGTTTCAAATTCCTGGGCTCAAGCAAGTCTCTCACCCCAGTCTCTCAAAGTGCTGGGATTACAAGCATGAGCCACCGCACTGGCCTCTCTCCCCCTTGACTCCAGACAGATGTGGTCTGCGATATAATAGGGGAGTGTGGACACGGGGTCACCCACCTCCTTTCTAGGCCTTTGTGGAGGCTGCAGGAGAGGTGCAAGGAGCCAGGTGGATCTCAGGGCAAGCCAAAGCCCTGCCTTGACTGGCTGGGTAACATTGGCCAAGTTACTTCCCCTCTCTGGCCTCAGTTCCTTCATCTCCAGGTCTTAGTACACACCGCGGGGAGGTGTTGTGAGAAATAAAATGCGATAGTGGGTGAAGAGGTGACCCACGCCGGCCACGCAGGAATGAGCGTGTCTGTCTTTCCCTACTTTACCATCTTCAGTTTTAGTCAGTAAATATGTTCGGAGATCCTACCACGCGCTAGGCGCCGTTCTTCCTGCTTGGGAGGGGTAAATACCTAGAAATGCGCGAAGTGTGGCTGGGCGTTGCCAGGAGAGCGGCCGGCACCCCACGGGGGCAGGGAGCAGACCTGACTCAGTGGCGTCAGTGCTACTTCAAAGCGGCAGCGCATTTCATTAAAAATCTGATGTAGAAATTACCCTGGGCTTTGTTTTGCAAAGAGCATTTGCATAAGAAAAAATAATCAGCCGGTTAATTCCCCCGTCCACTGGCAGGAAGAGAGACAGCCTTCAGAGAGTTTGGGACTCTCTCATTCCCGGAGAATTAAAAGCCTCCGAGACATCCATTTTAGAAGTTCTGGTCAATCGTTCTTAAAGTGCGGTCAGAAGACCCCTTGCGTCTGAATGGTTTGGAGCACTCATACAAGCAGAATCCCTGCCCCAGTCTTGAGTCTGGGAACGGAGAAGGGAGCGTCAGCGGGGTGGTGAGGGGGTAGCGGGGAGGGCGAAGTTGACCGTGCCAAGCCGGCCCGCTGGAAGAGCTGCAGGGACCAGACGGGGAGCAGACGGAACAAGCGTGCTGATGGTAAGAGGCCCCCAGACTTTTTCTTTCCCTAACCCTTTCCCTGTCTGGGCCTCCGTTTCCGGTTTTCCGGTTGGTGCAGTGCTCTCTGGGGTTCTCCCAGGGGGACTGTCGGTGAGGCTGCGGCGCCCGAGACCGCTCCACGTGCAGCTCCACGGCGTGCCCACCAGGGGGCGCGGCCCGCATCCTTCCTCGGAGCTGCGGCGCTCCAGGACCAGCAGGTCTCCCGCAAACGCGCGCGCACGGAGAGCACAAGGCGTGTGGCTCTTGGCATGTGTGCCGGTTGGGGTCCTCTGGTAAGCAGACGCTGAGATGGCGTTAGGAGTGCAAGAAGTTTGTTGGGGATTTAAACCTGTGTAAGGACGACTGGCGGGGAGAGCCTCAGACGGCAATGCAGATCTGACCAAGTCTCTGCCAGCCCAGCAGGGAGATCCCGGTGGAGACTGCCGATTTGAAGAGTCCCGCAATGGGATGACGTGGCCGGGCACTTGCACCCGTGCAGTGCTCAGGCATTGGCTGGGGGCTGCCTGGGAAGATCCGGATATTGAATGTGAAAGACAGGAGGTGCTGGAGGCTGCTAACTGTGCTCCCTACAGCTGGTCTGCAAGTTCATTCATTGTTTTCTTCCTTTCTTTCTCTTTCTTTTTTCTTTTTCGTTCTTTTTTTTCTTTTTCTTTCTTTCTTTATTTTTTTTTTTCTTCTGAGACAGGTTCTCGCTCTGTCACCCAGGCTGGAGTGCAGTGGTGCAATCATGGCTCACTGCAGCCTCAAACTCCTGGGCTCAAGCGATCCTCCCACCCCAGTGTCTGGAGTAGCTGGGACTACAGGTGCATGCCACCATGCCCAGCTAATTAAAGACAATTTTTTTTGTAGAAACGGGGTCTCAATATATTGCCCAGGCTGGTCCTGAACTCCTGGCCTCAAGTGATCTTCCTGCCTCCGTTTCCCAAAGTGTTAGGATGACAGGCCTGAGCCACCGCGCCCAGCCTGCAGGTTCTTTCTTGAAGGGAAACACCAGCAGCCGGCAGTGTGCAGCCTCCTGTCTCTCTAAGCACTGTCCTCCACATACAACCCATCTTCCTCCTCTCTGCTCCTTGCTGGTCAGGGCCGCTCTCCAGCTGTGCTCCCTAGACTCCTGCCTTTCAGGGCCAGCTTTCAGGACCTTGAGGGCAGGGTGCTAGGCATAAGCCAGTGATCTTACTAGTGGATTCTGTACGAGGGAAAAGCCTGCACAACCCGAGGGGACCAGAGGAAGCAGAACCGCAGCTCTCCTCACGATCTTGTGGGGACTTGTGCAAATTAGCACCACTCTTCTGGGTTTCCCATGGCACAGCCCGGGTAATTTTCCCTAGCGCCTCCAGGGATAGGATCCAAAATGGGAATTTAGGAGGGGCCATATTTCCCCCAAAGGAATGGCACACAGAGAGCATAGAGCTCTGGTGGTTGTTGAGGGATTTATGTTCCCTCCACCCCGCGTCCCCCAGGCTCCCAGCACAACTTTGCCTCTCAATACTGGTTGGGTCCCAGGAAAGGGAGCTTGAAGAGGGTTTTTTTCCAGAATCTGTCAGGCCTGAGGGTGCTCGGGAGATAAGGGGGAGGGGCTGGGAGAGGGCTGGGCTGGGACAGTGGAAGAGCTCCTGCATATGCCACGCTGGGCGGCCCCCCTCCCAGCTCCTCCCAGGCACGGTGATGCCCATCTGCCATTTTGGAGCGTTTGGGCAGTGCCTGCAGCTCACTCTCCCCGGTCCAGATGGTCACCCATCCCTCCCTCCCCGACTCTCCCCTGCCCTCACCCCCAGCCCCACTCAGAGCAAGCACCTGGACAAGCCAACACTGCCTCCCAGCGCCTTCCCCTTCCAGCTAACTGGGGCCCAGCGGGACAGGTAGAGGGTCCCCGGTTGTCAAGGAAACCAGGCCTGCCCCTCCTCCCTCAATCTTGCTGCAGGGAGGGAGGCAGACAGCTGGGTGGGAGGGTGGAAGATGGACAGAGATGCAGATACAAACAGTAGGAAAACATGCAGAGAAACACGCACACACCCAGAGCCTGAGAGAGGGTGGGCAGAGTGTACAGGATTTGTTGTGACTGTGCTCTGTCTGTTATCGTGTACAGGACTGAAAGAGTGTAGACAAGTATGCAAATATGTGCAGGGCCATGTGCCTGTGTGAGCGGAGCATGTTTCCGTGGGTCTGAGAGTATGAGGCCATGGTTATCCTGCTAGTGTGCTTGGTGAGCCTGTGTGCGTAGTTGTGCATGGGAATGTCAATGAGTAGTAAAGGGGTGCCTGTGAGCATGACCGTGAGTGTGTGTTGTGAGTGTGTACACATGCGTATGAATGTGGATGAGTAGGGGGAGGGCTGTAAGTGCCCTGTCCCCCCACTGGCCTTGTCCCTTCTCTACCCTAAAGGCAGGCCAACTGGGACAAGCTCCTACCCAGTGGGTACTGGGGCCCAGGGACTGAGGAGAAAGGCCTTAATGATGTTGTCCTCCAGCCACCCCTTCCCATGCCTCCATGGCGTCTGTCAGGGCAGTCCAGTCTGGAAGAAGTGGGCTGGTGAGTCCCCAGGACTACACAGAGGGGTCTTTGGGTGCTGAGCACTGGGTTGACTATGGGGTGCAGGTGGGAAAGCCTTGAAGGAAAGAGTAAAGGCCCTGGTGCAAAGGCCTGGCTACCCTAGCAATCTTGCCCTCACCTTCCAGGCAAGATTGTACTGCTCCTTCCCTTCCTCTTCTCCTGAGACTGTAGCTCCCTGCACAAGAGTTATATTTTTCCCTTGAACTGGGAGCCTCCCTAGGATGGTCCTGATTTTCCTCCCTTACATCAGATGTTCCCAGAGTATAGGGCTCATGTCTTTACATTCTTATTGGAATAGGGTTCTCAGATAAAATATGGGTGGCTCAGTTACATTTGAATTTCAGATAAAAACAAATAATTTTTAGTACAAAGGAACCCCAAGTATTGCAGTGGGAAATACATATACAAAAAAATTACTCATTGTTTCTTGAAATTCAAATATAACTGGATCACAGAAAAATCACAAGAGAAATGAGAAAATTATAAAATACTTCGAGACAATGAAAACAGGCCAGGCACGGTGGCTCATGCCTGTAATTCCAGCACTTTGGGAGGCCAAGGCAGGTGGGTCACGAGGGGTCAGGAGATCGAAACCATCCTGGCTAACACGGCGAAACCCCGTCTCTACTAAAAAATACAAAAAATTAGCCGGGCGTGGTGGCAGGCGCCGGTAGAACCAGCTACTCGGGAGGCTGAGGCAGGAGAATGGCGTGAACCCGGGAGGTGGAGCTTGCAGTGAGCCGAGATCATGCCACTGCACTCCAGCCTGGGCGACAGAGCAAGACTCCATCTCAAAGAAAAAAAAAAAAGAAAGAAAAGAAAACAAAAACGTAATATACTAAAATGCCTAGGATTCATTGAAAACAGTGGTTAGAAGGAAATATAAAGCTATAAATTCTTATAAAGGAAGAAAGATCTCAAATCAATTACCTCACTCCACACATTAAGGAACTAGAAAAAGAAGAGCAAACTAAACCCAAAGCAAGCAGAGGAAAGAAATAATAAAGATTAGAGTAGAGACTGGCCAGGCACCATGGCTCACACCTATAATCCCAGCACTTTGGGAGGCCCAGACAGGAGGATCCCTTGAGCCCAGGAGTTTGAGACCAGCTTGGGTAATATAGTGAGACTACATCCCTACAAAAAAAACACAAAAATTAGCTGGGCGTATTGGCGTGTGCCTGTAATCCCAGCTACTCGGGAGGCTGAGAATTGATCACTTGAGCCTAGGAGGTTGAGGCTGTGGTGAGCCTTGATCGTGCCACTGCACTCTAGCCTAGGCAACAGAGTGAAATTCTGTCTTTAAAAAAAAAAAAGAAAAGAAAAGAAAAAGAAAAAAAGAAGAGAAAAGAAAAAAATTAAGTGGAGATAAATAGAGAACAGAATAATAATAGAGAAAATCAATGAAAACAAAAGCTGGTTATTTGAAAAGATCAACAAAAGTGACACACCTTTAGCTAGACTGATTAAGAAAAAGGAGATAAGACTCATATCACTAATGTCAGAAATGAAATTGGGGACAATACTACCAACCTTACAGAAAGAAAAAAGATTATAAATGAATAAGAACAATTGTATGCCAAAAAACTAGATGAAATCCGCAAATTCCTAGAAAGAACTACAAAAACTGACGAAGAAACAGGAAACCTAAACAGCTATAAGAAATAAAGAGATTCAGTAAATAATCAAGAATTCCCAACAAAGAAAGGTCCAGGACCAGAAGGCTTCACTGGTGAATTCTACCAAACATTTAAAGAAGAATCAAAACCAATTCTTCTCAGATTCTTCCAAAAAAATAGAAGATGAGGGAGCTTCCTGGCTCATTCTATAAACCCAGCACTACCCTGATACGAAATCCAAACAGACATCACAAGAAAAGGAAACTGTATGCCAATATCTTTTTATAAACATTAGATGGTCTAAGTTCTAAAACTTAGACCATTGCTGTGCTTATTGTCGAATGTGTTGAGGGGGATAGCAAAATACTGCAAATTGGCACTTTTTATTACTTTAATAAATATTGTTTTCAGCATGTGAGCATTCCAATTATGCAGTGGGCTCTGGCATACCTAGACTCTGCTGTTAATGTGATTGCTTGGAGAATAATTTCATAGCAGTGAAATCTTTTTTTTTTTTTTGAAACAGGGTCTCACTCTATTGCCCAGGCTGCAGTGGGGTAGAGTGATCTTGGCTAACTACAACCTCTGCCTCTTGGGCTCAAGCGATCCTCCCCCATCAGCCTCTCGAGTAGCTGGGACTACAGGAGCGTGCCACTACAACCGGCTAATTTATTTTATTTTATTTTTTGTATTTTTAGTAGGTTTTGCCATGTTGCCCAGGCTGGTCTCAAACTCCTAGGCTCAAGCGATTGGCCTGCCTTGGCCTCCTACAGTGCCGGGATTACAGGCATGAGCCACAGTTCCTGGCCCAAAGCAGTGAAATCTTTCTTTCTTCTGGTATAGTTTGTATCTTAGCGGATTCAAAATTATCACTGATGATAGAGTCATTGTAAAGATAAAGAAATGGAACCTGAGTTACTCAGTTTGGTTGCTCCTTCTAAAGTAAACGGTCAAATCATATCAATGTTCTCCATCTTTCAGCCATTTTATCTGATTTTTGCAGAAGAAAAACTTCAGAAGGTGCTTCCCAAATAGAATGAACAAGTTTTCTGTTGAAAATATTTTATTAGAAATTTTTGGCTACAGAAACATGTGAAAACCACTATGACTGATCCTGAAGAAACAAAGCTATAAACAGTATTGAAATTTCTGGAATTTTTTTTGTGAAATGGAATTTTCAGAATCTCTATAAAACCTATCCTTATAGTTAAGATTTTCCTAATTTACATATTTGTTGCTTCATGTGAAAGTAACTTTTCGAAGTTACCATTAATTAAAAAGTGTTCTTTAATTAATTATGAGCAAAGATAGATAGACAAATATTGCTTTACTGTCTACTGAACATGAATTTAAGATTAATTTTTATGTCATCCACAGATATGCACAAGCTGTAATGTTTTTAATTGCTACTGTGACAGATTAATATATTGATATATTTTCTCCTGTTTTGAAAAACAGTAATATAATTAGAAAGTACTAATCCATTACTATTTTCCTTATTTTTCTTTTTATTTAAAAAAATTTTTATTGGCATGCATATATATATGCATATATTCATGTGCATATAGATATATTCAAGTGCATATATATATATATTCATGTGGATGTATGTTGCCTGCCCCCTCCCCTAACTCTGACTCATTTCTGCTCCACAGGCCTCTTCTGTGGTTAAGGAGCAAATATATATATTCATGTGCATGCCAATAACATTTTTTCAAATAAAAATAAATATATATATATATATTTATAAAGCTCAACAAAACATTTTCTCTGTCTGCATTTCTTTTCCAACATTTGTTTTCTTTCTTTTATTGCCAGATTCTGACTGAAAGTTAGTTCATTGTATAGTGGACGGGATGACCCTCACTCCATGTATCAGTTGCTCTAGGAGGGCCACTGGCTGGGAGAGGTATTTGTCTATAGCCCTAAGGAACCAGGCCTGCCTCATGCTCACGCCTCTCATTCCTTTCTGGAGCCTTCTGTTCTGGATAGAAATAATACCTGCTTGGGCTTTGCTGGAGCACCTCAGCCTTTGCTGATGGTTCCCCAGTTTCCCCCTCTCCCCTGGGGCCTGGCTGCTTCCTCTGCCATGTGGTTCCAGGCCCACAGCCAGCAGGGAAGCAGACCAGGGTGAGAGCAGAAGGGAGCCTTGGGGTGTTAATTGGTGCTAACGAATTCCCGCAGCCCCATCTTTCCTCCACCTCTGTGGAGAGGCAGCTGACAAATGCCATCTTTGCATTTTGCACACTGAAGTCAAGCAGTCCCCTTCCCCATGCCTGCGTGCCCTGCCTGGATGAGGAGAAGGGGTTGGGGAGAAAGAGGATCCTTTCTAAGCACTTTTCATGTATTTTGCTCATTTAACCCTCATAACATGGTAGGGTCCTGTTAGAAACCCTGTTTTACAGTGGAGATGCAGCTGATGTGTTTTGAGTCCTTACTCTGTGCCAGTTCCCCTGTGAGGTGGCTGCCGTCATTATCCCCATTTGATAGGAGAGGAAACAGGCCCAGAGAGGCTAAGTAATTCAACCAAATCCACACAGCTAGAGAGTAGGAGAAGCAGGATTTGGACTCAGGCTGGCTGGTTCTAAAGCCTTATCTTCCCGATCACCACCCAAAATATCCTCTCTGAAGGAACTCCACTTAAAATCGGGTCTCTGAGCCTGTGGGTACCAAATGAGAGGTGCCTGCAGGGATGCTGGTTCCTCCCCTTCCCTCCAGCCTCGGGACATGCCTGCTGGGAGTCAGGATACCCGGCGGACTCTTCATGGTCCCAGATGCTTTGCTTGCCTGGGCTGTTGCCTGTCCCCACACCCCTCACTCTGCCCCATTCCTGCTCCACAGGCCTCCCCTGTGGTTAAGGAGCAAATAAGGCTCCATGAGCCTGACTTCCCTTCCCTGGCCTGGAATTTGGAGACAAAAAGTCATCCTGGATGGGGAGGGAGCCTGTATATCCAGGCACCCTTGGGGTGAGCCCAGCATGAGACAGGGTTATGGAGGCCCAGGGATGGCCTCCCTTGGCATTGATTTAGTAGCTCCCAAAGCTACCAAACACAGCGTCATGTGCAACACACACATATACACAACTCGTTGGGGTTTGCCTTACAGCAGCTCAAGCACCTGAGCTTGCCAGCGAAGAGGCAGCGTGTCCAATAAATGACTCAGACTGGCTGATCCCCACTCTCCCACTTGGGTCTGAGGTTCTCTGTTCTCTGGGTTCTGTGCTTCAGTTTTCTCATCTGTGAAGTGGGTATCATAATAAGACCTATAGCACAGAGTTACTGTAAGAATTAAATGAAACAGGGTATACCATGTGCTTAGAAATAGTTCTGTCTCACAGCAAGTCTTTAGGGAGCCAAAGATCACCTCCAACCCCCCTTCGGCTCTCAGTGGGCTCTTTGCCTGGATCTAGAAACCCTGCTGACAACAGTCAGACTAACAAGAGAAAAGCACATAAATTGTATTAGTTTTACATGTACATGGGGATCTCCATAAGAGAGTGAAGTTCAAAGCGGCCAAAGCAAAAGATGCCTTTATACTTAGACAAAGAAGGATAAGTATGAGAAGAAGTGACAGGACAAAGGGGGTCTGACTAGGGGCAGTAAATTTCTAGGGAAGTCACCAGGAGATACATGGAGATGTAGAGCTAGTGGAAGATAAGGGTTACTTTGGAGAGTATTTTTATGCAGGTCCATTGCAACTCCCAATTCTGTCTCTGCTGATAAGAGCTATTTTCTCACCCTGGTATGGAGAGGAACCCCCTCCCAGAGGAATGTATAGGGCTTGCTGCCTGCAGGAAGAGACAGGTCAGCTCGCCCTTTCTGAAACTACAGTTTTTCCAATGTTTTCAACTCAAAATAATTAATACACCAATTTGGCGTATTTTCGGAAGGCATGCCCTTCACTCCTTCAAAGTCCTGTAGAAATGTTGGCTGTGAAAGGCTGGGCACGGTGGCTCATGCCTGTAATCCCAGCACTTTGGGAGGCCAAGGCAGGTGGATCACGAGGTCAGGAGTTCAAGACTAGCCTGACCAAGATAGTGAAACCCCGTCTCTACTAAAAATATAAAAATTAGTCGGGTTTGGTGGCAGGCGCCTGTAATCCCAGCTACTTGGGAGCCTGAGGCAGAGTATTGCTTGAACCCAGGAGGCGGAGGTTGCAGTGAGCTGAGATCACTCCACTGCACTCCAGCCTGGGCAACAGAGTGAGAGTCCATCTCAAAAAGAAAAGAAAAGAAAAGAAATATTGGCTATGATCATCATTTGTTATTGTGAGGCCAATCCCCAGTGATCTGGCAATGGGGCCACCCCCTGGGGTTCCTTGTAGGGTCAACCTGGGAGACACAGGGATAAAGTTGGAGGTTGAGTACAGGCCACTGAGTCTTCCGGAACCTGCTTTACCACTGACCAGCGGTATGACCCAGGACAAGTTACTTCTCCTCTCTCCCTTCCCTGCACTGCCCCCCACCCCACCCCCATCCCCACAACAATGCTTCATTTTCTCATCTGTAAAGTCGGAGCGGTTATAAGGATTAAGTGAGGTAATGTGTATAGAGTGCCTAACACAGTGCCTAGACACAAGTGCTGGCTACCATTTTCATCATCATTTCCATCATCATCACTATTGCCCTTTACCCTCTGAGAGGTTGTCAGAGGGTAGAGAAGGGAAACAAAGAACAAGTAGTATTATCTTGGTTTGTAGCTGAGGACACTGGGACCCCAAAAGTCAAAGTGATTGACCTGAACTCCCACTGTAGATTTCTGGGACATCTGGGATTTAAAAACATAATAGTACCAATCCCTTATGTCAATAAACCATCCTACCATTTACAACTTCTTTTTATAGGCATTAGCTCATTTACCGCAGCCTGAGACTTGAGTGATTTTGCCCCCATTTTTTAATAGATTTTATTTTTTAGAGCAGTTTTAAGTTCACAATAAAATTGAGCAGAAAATACAGCAAGTTGGGAGCTGAACAATGGGAACACATGGACACAGGGAGGGGAGCAACACACACTGGGGCCTGCCAGCCAGGAAGGGGAAGGAGAGCATCAGGAAGACTAGCTAATGCATACGGGGCTTAATACTTAGGTGATGGCTTGATAGGTGCAGCAAACCAACATGGTACACGTTTACCTATGTAACAAACCTGCACGTTCTGCACATGTATCCCAGAACCTAAAAGAAAATAAAAATTTTAAAAAGCACATAAAAAAAAGAAGAAAAATACACTAAGTTCCCATATGCCCCCTGCTTCCACACACACACAATCTCCCCCACTGTCAACATCCCCCACCAAAGTGGTACATTTGTTACAATCGATGAATCTACATTAGCATGTCATTATCACCCAGAGTCCAGAGTTTACATTAGGGCTCACTGTTGGTGTTGTATATTCTATGGGTTTTGACACATGTATAATAACATGCATCCACCATCACAGTATCACACAGAGTAGTTTCACTGCCCTAAAAATCCTCTGTGCTCCACCTGTTCATCCCTCCCCACTAACCCCTGGCCACCACTGATCTTTTCGCTGTCTCCATAGTTCTGCCTTTTCCACAATGTCATCTAGTTGGAATCATGCAGTCTGTAGCCTTTGGAGACTGGCTTCTCTCACTTAGTGATATGCATTTAAGGTTCCTCTATGTGTTTTCATGACTTGATAGCTCATTTCTTTTTGACACGGAATAATATTGCATTGTCTGGATGTACCACAGTTTATTTATCTGTTCACCTACTGAAGGACATCTTAGTTGTGCCCAAGTTTTGGCAATTCTGAACAAAGCTACTGAAAACATCTGTGTGCTGGTTTTCGTGTGGACATAAGATTTCAACTCCTCTGGGTAAACTCCAGGGAGAACGATTGCTGGATCATATGGTAAGAATAGGTTTCGTTTTGTAAGAAATTGCCACAGGGTCTTCCAAAGTGGCTGTACTGTTGCATTCCTACCAACAATGAATGAGAGTTCCTGTGGCTCCACATCTTCCCCAGCATTTGGTGTTGTCAGTGTTTAGAGCTTTGCCCCCAATTTGCAGATGAGGAAACCGAGGTGCAGAGAGTGAAAGGCTTGCCCAGGGAGTGGCAGAATTGCCCTCCCACTCCACCTCCTTCTCACACACATAACCCCTACAGTGCACAGGCTGATGTGTGATCTTTGGCTGAGGAGTCATTGGTCAGTGGGGTCTGTGGCCTTGGGAAAGTTCTCACCTGCAGAGAGAGGCTACTGTACTCTGGTGGGTCAGCTGGGCAAGAGGCCTTACAGAGGTGATAAGAACAACAGTGCAAACTTGCAGGGTCCACCATTTCTCTTGCCATATGTAGATGACTAGGTGGCATGGTAGGAAGAGCTAGGCTTGGAGTTGGATACGGGGTTTAATCATAGGTCTGCCACTTACTAGCTATGTGACTGCATGTAAGTCATATAGCCTCTTCCAGCCTAAATGAGTGTAACTTCATGGGATCCTCGGAAGGAGCAAGGGAGGCTCTGCATATAGAGTACTTGCATGTAAACACAGCAGTTGTTTAGAGCTTGCACCATCTATCTGCATAAGGACTATTGATCTGTGGTTTTCTTTTCTTGTGATGTCTTCGTCTGAATTTGGTAATGCTGGCCCCATAGAATGAGTTAGGGGCTACTGTGGATCTTGATCATGAAGTCGTAAGACATCGAAGGAAACTTCCGGGTGGTGACTCATAAGCTGGTGCTCTTACACTGAGGCAATATCAGAGGCTAAGATTTTCAGAAAAGCAGTGTGCCCACAAAGTGAGCTGATCAGAGGAACCCCAAATACGAAAGTTGAAGTGCTTACAAGTTGTCCTTTTGTTCTCTTGTGAAGTACAATGAAGGCTTTGGAAGCTGTGGTCTGTCCCAGTTACACTGAGGGGAATAGTCAGTGTATTTCCCTTAGGGAAGGAAAGGGTCTGTGTTCAAACAGTCAGAAGACCCCCATGGTGCAGCAGAAAGAGCCGAGGATGGACCCAGGCCCACTACACGTAGTTTTTTTTTTTTTTTTTTTTTTTTTTAGAGACTGGGTCTCACTGTATTGCCCAGGTTGGTCTCCAACTCCTGGACTCAATCCTCCAGCCTCAGCCGCCCACAGTGCTGGGATTACAGGCATGAGCCACTGTGCCCAGCTATGTTATTATTCCTAATCTTGAATTCCTATTTTTGATGATGGCACAAAGCACTTAATCAGGATTTTGTTCTTTTGGAAGAAAGTGCGAAGGAAACAGAGAGGAGGGAATGGATGATTGACATCTAAAAGCCATGCCCCAGGCTGTGGAAGAATTTGGGATAGTGATCTGGATGGTAAATATCTCTTTAAAGAGCTGCCCAAGCACATTTAAATGAGTTTCTTTGTTAGTTTCTGAGGAATTTCCCTGTAACCTTCCTTTCCCATCCTGCCCCAGCCACCTGTTCTGTACTCAGTACTCAATATTCAGTACTCAGTACATGTAAATACAGATGCAACCAGCATTAAATACACAGTAGTAGGGGACATAGGGAACTGCAGAGGCAAGGAGATTCATATTATTTTAATACAAATAGATCCCTAAGAGCCATGGCATTGTGAATAACAGCAGCATTGTCATCTTTTTCTCATGGTGGGAGATAAGAAATTAGCCAGGAATGACATTTGACAATAAAGAACACAAAGAGATGGTTCCTGGACCTGAACAAGAAAAGATAATTCTTGGACACTGCCAAAGAATCTTCACATGCACAGATTGGAAAATAAACAAATATGTTACTACCTCTTTTCTCCTCATTATTGTAAACCTTCATCAATACATCATAATACCTCATATAGGCCAAGAATTTTTAATTACATTTTAAAATCAAATTGTTTATATAGACACAGGTCCCACACACAAAAAACATTCGCCCAAGGCACTGCACAAGCTGAGTACAGCTGTAACCGGTAACCTGGGAGATAAGCCTTGTTCTTGGGAACAGGAGTTTGAAACATCTTTGATCAAGAAGAGACCCTGGCAACCAAAGCCTGCTCTTTACAAATATAACGGGCTGAAATGCAGCAATGGCAATGCCTGGAGGTATTTAGCCCCAAGGAGGTGGTAAGGGCTGGGAGCTCAGTGCAGGGAATGAAATGATGTAACCGGGGTGGTGGTGGTGGGGTCCCCACTGTAATGAGAAGGCTCTCTGCTGATCTCTGAAGGAGAGAACTCCTGAGGGGGGCAGACACAGAAGAACAGGGATAAGCAGGACCTGGGGGGCACTGCCCAGGACTGGTCTGGCCCAGGGGCATCTGGGAAGGGGCTGTGGGCTGTCAGTGGATCTCCAAGGCCTTCCTCCCAGTTCCAGAGGCCCCACTCTTGCTCTCCAAATTGAGGAGCAGCTCTTCCAGGAGGCAATCAGGGACTTGCCCTTCCAGTCACTGGCAGCAGCTGCAGGTTCAGACTTAGAGGGAAGAGTGCAGGAAGTCCAGGATGGTCCCAGGAGCCACTAAATCTGCATAGGATTTTAAATCAAAGCATGAAATGTCAATGCTACTGTCCCTTGCTGGAGCTGTTTCACGTTACCTGCCGCTTGCCTTGCTTTTGCTCCCTGCCATGCTTGTAACCTCCTTGTCTTCGGTGGAAAGATCTAAGAAGCCTCTGGCTCAGGCTGAAAATTTGGCTATGTTGTTCAGCTATGTTGCCTGAGAGATGGAAGGTGAAAACAACTCCTTCATATCTGTTTTGCATGATTTATCTGACAGGGCACTCACCACACCTTATCATGTAAATCCGTGGTTCTCAAACTGGGGCAGAAGGGGTGTCAGAATACCTCCTTGCTGCTCACCACCCCCCAGCTCCAGGTTTCTGAATCAATCTGCCTGGTATGGAGCCCCATAATTTGCATTTCAAAAAAGCTCCCAGGTGAAACTGAGGCTGGTTTGGGGCCCACACTTTGAGAACTGCTGATTAGGTGTTATCAAAATTTAGATCCTAAACGACTGGAAGGATCTGGAAAATCTGGTTCCAGAAAAGGCTGGAAATCTGGTTCCCAAGTCCCAGCTGGCTCTATACAAGGGACTGGGCTTCTTTGCCATCATGGCCCCAAGGAGATTCTAGGGGAGCAGCCCTCTGGGAGGAGGCTGCCCTGGGGTTTCCTCACTGTGCCCAGGTCTGCGGCTCCTTCTCCCTGGTTCATTTCCACACATGCACACACATGCACAGATACATACAGTCCTACACACTCATTCTCACATTCAGACACACACCCACACACACTTGCAGAGGGGGTCGGGACCAAGAGGCAGCTGCTCAGGTGAGGGCCCCCCAGCCAAGGATGCAGCCCGTAGAGGCCTCAGACCAGCCTGTGTTCAGGTGGCTCCCTCAGTGATCACCCCTCAGAGGTGAAAGACAACACCCCAGGGCAGGGCCCCCCAACCCCCAGCATCCCCCATGCCAAAGTCGGCATATGTGCATTGTACAGAGGCCACGGAGAAAAGGCAAGAGAGACAAAGAGAGAAAGAGACTAGCAGTGGGACAAAGAGAAGAGAGAGACGTCCACAGAGACAGGAGATGGAGACAACCACACAGAGAGATGAGAAGGGCAGGAGGGTGGAAATAAGCAGATCTGGTGGGGGCAGAGCTGGAGGAGAGACAGGAGGAAGAGCAAAACCATGAAGGTCAAGGGGATGGCAGCAGAGAGGTGCGCCTCTGCCAGGCCAGAGAGCAGGGAAGGGTTGTGGTGGGTAGAGGGCAGGAAGGGGAAACGGGCATCCCTGAGGAAGTGTGGGGAGGTGCAAAGCATGGAAAGGTGAATGCAGCAGAGAAGCAGGGCAGGGTGGGAGCTGAGGCATGTGGTGGGGGACAGCGGCTGGGTGACAAAACAGACAGAAAGGGAGAAATGGGAGACCCACATACAGAGAAGGAGAGACCCGAAGCTGACTGAGCACAGCACTATGTGCTGGAATTACTAAGTGAAAGAGCCAGTCCCCGTCCTCAAGCCGGGGATGCTTCATTCTCCAGGAGCTTGTCAAATACACAAACAGAAAATGTTAAAACCATCCACAGGAGCAGAGAAAACGAGGCTCAGGGAGTTGTGGAAAGCAGCACAGAGGCTGTGCAGCTAGACCATTCCAATCACAGTCTAGGAAGGCTTTCTGGAGGAGGCGATACCTAAGGAAAGACTGAAGAAGGGTCAGCTAGGTGCTGACGGGGAGAGAAGGGCCAGGTTATGGTGAGATGGGAAGCCTGGGGGATGGGGGCAGGTCTTGGAGGACCCTGTTGGACTTCAACCTGAGGACACCAGGGAGCCCCTGATGGGGTTCAAGCAGCCAGATCTGTGTGTGCAAGAGCTGCTGGGGGAGAACAGACTGAGTTGCACAAGAGAGCAGGCAAGAGGGCAAGTCCGAGTGGCCCAGCAAGGGAAAATGCTGAGCTAGGGCAGTCGCTGTGCTGACAGAGAGGTGGGAGGGAACTTGAGAGCTGCAGGAGCTTGGAAGCCTGATGAGCTGAGGGGGCCAGCATGTGGGCATGCCGCCTGGGGTGGCATAAGCGAGGCAGGCAGCAAGGGGTGGAGGAGCATCTCCCTCTTAGGGGCTCTACAGCTTTGGGAATCTCCCTGTGGCCTCTGCCACAATGCAGCACCCACTCACCCATGGTCTGGGATGGGTGCCCACAGCTGCAGGTAATCCTAAAAGACTGCAAGCCCAAGCCCTCCTCACTCTGTAGAGTAGCACTCGGTACAGGGCCTGGGCAGATGCTGGGCAAAGAAGCACATTAGGCAGGGCAGAGCCTCACACCGAGAGGTCCTCATTCCTTGCTATAGGGACCTGGACTTGAATCAGGAGGTTATTAAGGTTGAAGATAAAGGTGCCCATCACAGCCTTATTGATCAGCGAGGCAGTTATCCAGCATCTCCCAAGTGTCAGCCTTGTGATTTTAAAAAAGAGAAACAACATAATTAGAGCCCATAAAGAGACAGAAGCAAATATATTTCATTATGATTATAATACAGGGTGAATCAGGCGACCATGGATACAGCGCCAGGAGAGCTACATGCAGAGCTGACACTTGAGCTGGGCTTTGAAAGATGAATAGGAGTTCGCCATGCTGAGAAAGAGGGCTAGGGCCCCAGAGGCCCAGGAAAGAGCATGGCCTAAAGCATTGAGGCATGAAAGTGTCTAGAAGAGACCAGAACTAATACTGCAACGTCTTATTTACCCCACAATGTGTACCGTATCCCCTCAGGCTACCCCACCTCTGAGCTCACCTGCAGCTTAGAGCATCTGAAAGAGCCCAGACTTGAGCTGACAGCATCCCACCTCCATAAGAACCAGGGACTTTTTACTTTCTGCCCCAGGACATTCTCTGAAGCTGAGAGGCCTGCTCTGCCCTCCCAAAAGCATAGCCCTGAAGTGCAAGAAGGTAATGCCCTCGGGTCAGCCCTCAAACAATGGGGAAGAGGAGGGTGGATAAACACCCGCTAGGCTGACAGGCAATTCTGTATCTGATCCACGGGTCTCTGGGGAACTGAGCCTCACTCCTCTGGATGCCTCCTGCAGTGACCCTGAGAATACACCTTTTTCTTTTTTTTTTTTTTCCTCTGAGACTTCGTCTGTCACTCAGGCTGGAGTGCAGTGGCGCGATCTCAGCTCACTGCAACCTCCGCCTCCCAAGTTCAAGCAATTCTGCCTCAGCCTCCTGAGTAGCTGGGATTACAGGTGCCCACCACCGCGTCTGGCTAATTTTGGTATGTTTAGTAGAAATGGGGGTTTCACCCTCTTGGCCAGGCTGGTCTCGAACTCCTGACCTTGTGATCTGCCCCCGCCTCGGCCTCCCAAAGTGCTGGGATTACAGGTGTGAGCCAACGCGCCCAGTGAGAATACACCTTTATACTGGTGTATTCACCTTTGCTCCTTCTCAACCGCACTACTCCCCACCTCCACTGCCCCAATCTTCCACTCCTGTGATCACCTTCCAATTAAATCACCTGCATCCAACACCTCTCTCAGGCTTTGCTTTGGAGGAAACCCAAACTAAGATGGGCTATGTTACTGGAGACCCAGGATGAGTAGTGTTGTGGTGTTAACAATCGCACATATAAAATGCATGTATTGGCTGGGTGTGGTGGCTCACACCTGTAATCCCAACACTTTGGGAGGCCGAGGCGGGCAGGTCACAAGGTCAGGAGTTCGAGACCAGCCTGGCCAACATAGTGAAACCCCATCTCTACTAAAAATACAAAAATTAGTCAGGTGGGGTGGCGGGCACCTGTAGTCCCAGCTACTCAGGAGGTGGAGGTGGGAGAATCGCTTGAACCCGAGAGGCAGAAGTTGCAGTGAGCCAAGACCACGCCATTGCACTTCAGCCTGGGTGACAGAGTGAGACTACGTCGCAAAAAAAAAAAAAAAAAAAAAAAAGAAAGAAAGAAAGAAAATGCATGTATTTCTCAGTATCTCCTACATGCAGAGGCCGTGACTGGGCACAAGGGGATGTGGCATTGTCTGAGTTTGCCCTTGCTTTTCTAGACCTCCCTTCTGCCTGGGGAGATGTGACAGAAGAGGTGAGCCAGCAGCACAGGAGGGATCAGAAACATTTTCCTTCTGCCTTTGGAGAACATCACATGGGTTGGGGGCAGCAGATTGATGTTCCTAATTACATTTGGCTCAAGCTGCTATTAAGTACTTGTCTCATTCTCAGAGCCCACAACAACGGCGGATGGCGGGAAAGGTGCCAAGAGGCATGCTGGGAGCTCAGGATGACAATCTGGGATTTGAAATCTCTGTAAGATATAAAAGTGGACAGACAAGTCACAGCCATGGGTGCAGGGTGACTGGTGTCCTTGAGTTGCCCTTTAAAGGTTTCCGATGGGGTCCTAGGGCTGGAAGGGCCCTGGAAAGGTCTTGAGCTCCATCCTTCTGGCTAGAGGCTGACCTGCCCAAGACAGCTGAGACAGGGAATCTGACTCTTCCAATGCTGGACAGCTCGCTGGTGGGAAATGCTTTCATGGGCCTAATTTAAATTTCCTCTGCTGCAGGTTAAAGGTATATTTTGCTTGATTTGTTCTTGGTGGCATTAAATATTTGCTAAGCTCCTACTATGTGCCCAGGGGTACACAGTGAGAGAAGGCATGCCTCTGTGCTCAGAGGCTCATGAAAATGAGACCAGACCCTCAGAACTAAATGCAACAGGGAGAGCCATTGGGCTGGAGTTGTCAGGAGAGGTGGCAAGGAGGTGGTGCCGTGAGAGGTGGGATGCGTTTGAGTTAGTGCAGAAGAATAAGAGAGCATTCCTGGCAGGCAAGCAACGTGGGAAGATGCCTTAGGAAGGGTTTTGCACAGAGGAGACGCCTGAGGTCTGCAGCACATCTGCTACCCAAGAGATTTAGTAAGTCCCTGGAACTCCCCTGGGGAACGAATAGCTGCCTACCTATGTCCTAAGACACCTGTGAAACTCAAATAAGGCAGCAAGTAGGAATGGACCCTGCAGTTCACGGATTCAAAGCACAATGCTGAGCTTGATTTAAGAAGACTTTCATTCAAGTCCTCGCTCTGTCACTGTGTGCTCTTGGGCAATTCCCTTCCCTTCTCTAAATCCGTTTACTCATCAGCAAAATGGGGACGGTAATTCTTTCCTCACACTGTTGCATTTAGGACTCCCAAGAAAATGTGGTTAAAAATGGCAGGGCCGGGGGCGGTTGCTCATGTCTGTAATCCCAGCACTTTGGGAGGCCGAGGCGGGTGGATCACGAGGTCAGGAGTTCGAGACCAGCCTGGCCAATACGGTGAAACCCCGTCTCTAATAAAAATAAAAAATTAGCCGGGCGTGGTAGCGCGTTCCTGTAGTCCCAGATCCTCGGGGGGCTGAGGCAGAAGAATCGCTTGAATCCAGGAGGCGGAGGTTGCAGTGAGCCGAGATCGCGCCACTGCACTCCAGCCTGGGCGACAGAGTGAGACTACTCCGGTCTCAAAAAAAAAAAAAAAAAAAAAATTGCACAATGACCCACAAAGCACTTCCTGGAGGCTGGTTACTCTATTATTATTGCTCCAATCTAGACACTGGTCTCCCGGAAGGCAGGCATCCCATCTCCTCTCTGTTCCCCCAGCACTTTCCACAGAGCAGGTGCTCATATATGACGTTGCCTTCGCTGTCCAGGTGAATTGCACCGGTAATTACCGTGGAGCAGGAAGCCAGCACTTCCGGGCTTGCCAGGCTGTCCTGCTTGGAGAACCCCTCTGCTTCCACCTCTGCTAACTCCTCCCCTCCACCCTCTCCGCGGTTCTGTATCTGCGGAAACCGGTTCTGCTCAGGTGCTTGGGAGGGAGACTCCTTTCTCAAGACTTGCGAGGTCACCTTCAGGTGACTGTCCCTCAAATCTCCGCAGCAGCTCCAGGACACACTGTGCCCCGAGTCAGGATTGGATCAACACACAGGACGCACCTGTGTTATCACTCCACCAGTAGAGCGGCACTCAGTGGTAGTGTAGACAGTCCTAGGGCAGGGCAGCTTCTATAACAAGAGGTTCCTTAGGGAGCTAGCGGCCGAGTGGAAAGAGCGGGAGGAACGGCTCGGGCAGGCAGGTCCTGTGCTGTGGTCTAAGTCACTTCCCACGTCCGTCCCACTCTGATCGTCAGTTTCCTCCTCTGCAAAACTCACTAAGGCGGCCTTCGGGCAAGTCATCGCGGCGGGAATTAGATTCGAAAGAGTGCTTACACAAATCCGTCTGGCCACCCTGTGCCCCGGGCCAGCGCGAGGTGGGGGTGCGGGCAGGGCTCCCGGGCTTGCGGCTGCCACGCCCCTCCCAGCCCGCCGCGCCACACTCACGGCCCACGGGCCGACTTTGCGAGCCTCCAGGGGGCGAACCCGACCGCCTTCTTTGCCCGCGCAGCGCCTCGGCCGTCCAGCCTGTGACTTCACCAGCGTCCCCGGGCCAGCGGGACACCCGAGAGCCCGGGGCGCCGCCCGTTCTCCCAGCCGGCAGGTGCCGGGAGCCAGCCTCGCCCAGCCGCGTGGCGTCCGCAGGCCCGAAGGGGTTAAGGCCGCGGACCCGGGCGCCCGTCCGGACTCCGGGAGCAGCGGTGCCCGGCGGCCGGCGATCGAGCGGGAGGCTCGGGGCACGGCCGCTGGCGGGCTGCGCTTCCTCCTCCTCCTCCCTCCGCCTCCTCCTTTGTAGCGAGTTCCCGGCCCCTCTTCCTCCCCCCGCCCCCCAGCCCGGGCCCTCTCCCTCTCTCCCTTTCTTCCTGCCTCGCCTTCCTGCGGCGAAGGAGGCTCATCTATTATAAATGCACATTCGGGGCTGACATCAGCGACGAGCGGCGGGCGAGCGCCGACGAGCGGTCCCTGCGCGCTGCCCGCCCGGAGCGCAGCCCCCAGGCTCGGCCGAGCCGCCGGCGGGGCGCGGGGAGCGAGCCGGGAGCTGCCGGACCCCCTTCCGCCGCCGCCCCGGGCCGCCGCCGCCGCCCCCGCACGCCGCGCCCGCGCCCCCGCTCCGCCGCGGAGTTTCTGCATGACTGTCACAAAGGTAAGCGCCGCTCGCCCGCCGCGCCCGGGACCCGCCGGCGCCTGCATCCCCCGGGCTAGGCTGCGGGGGGCGCGGGGGTGTGGGTGTGGGGAGGGGGCGCCGGTGCCGGGAAGGTGCGGCGCGCGCCTCTCTTGCTGCCGGATCCGCTCGAGTCACTCCGGCCCCCAAGGACTGCGGAGGCCAGGGGGAGGATGCCGCTCTGGCAGCCCCGGCGGTTTGGCCAACATCCCTCCGCGCCCGGCCCAACCCCGGGACTGCATTTTTAACCCTTGTTTGGGATGCTGCATTTTTAACCCCTGGAGAGCTGGGCTGGGCGGCTAGCGGTGTCCCTCCAGGGAGTGCGCGGCGGGAAGCGTCGCTGGCAGGGGCTGGTGCTGAGCAGTGGGTGTGGGGATGGGCCTGCCGCCCCGAGGAGGCCAGCGGAGGGGAAACCCCACCCCACCTGCCAGCCTCTGCCGCCCATGCCGGGAGCGCTGGCTCCACTCCAAAGCCACTCTGTGCAGAAGGCGCTGCCCAGTCCCGGGAGCCGCTACCAGAGACAGGGCAGGTCCAGGTGGTTGGCTTGAAGATGTGGGGAGGGAATGTGACAGGGGAAGCAAAGGTGGGCATCTTGGCAGCCCCCATATTGGAGGATGATTGTTGGGCCTTGTCATAGGGGCCCACGTTTATTGGAGAGACTTCAGGGGCTTCCTAGTTGTAGGGAGGAAAGAGTTAAGAGGAAAGATGATGGGGCAGTGGAAAGTGCCAGGGTCAAGGGACCAGGGAGACCTGAGTTCAATCCCAGCTCTATCCCAGATCCCCTGGATGACCTTGGTCGGGGAGGGGTCCACTTTGGGCCTCAGTTTCTTCTTGTGTGCTGTGAGGGTGATAATATGGGTCCTGGGTTGTGACAGGCTGTTAAAGAACCAATAACATCAAGGGTGTGAACCCACACTCTTCAGAGAGATCTGTCTGGGTACTGAGCTCACAGTCTGGCGGTGGCCTCGGGCTTGGCCGTCCATTCAAGGGCCAGACTCCACCCTTTCCAGCTGCCCAGCTGGGTCCCAGAATTGGGGAGCTGGAGGCCAAAGTGGGACCGGCAGCCCAGAGTGGGGTCAGATGGAGGGTCAGAGCAGTGGGGCCAGATGGAGGGTTGGGGTGCAAGTGATGGAGGTGGGGTGGTTTTGGCTCCTTCTGGTAAGCCAGGGCCTACCCTTGCCCTCCTGAGGTCTGCCCCAAGACTGAATGTTTGTGCGGATTCTTGGGCCCAACTCCAAACTTTGCCATTGGCCCTGGTTCTGGGACTTGGGAGCATTGTGAGAAGATGAACTTGAGGGTGCAGGGGCTTCCTCAGCTCTGGCTACTTCTGGCAGGGCTGTTGTGGCCCACCTGGGGTAAGATGCTTAGGGTTTTGAAATGATGCAAATGCTATTCAGCTGGGAGGGATATTAAGGTTATTAATGTCAAAGATGCAAGCAGGCTGGGACAGAGGAGTAATGGATGGGCCCGGCTAGAGAGAGAAAGGGTGTGAGGTTTTAATAATAGCGCTGAGGATTAACTCAGCGCCTCCCCTGTGTCTCTTTTTGTGCGCGAGCTCATGCAGCCTTCCTTCCCTGGAGGCCTGCAAGGAAGGTGTGTTCAGTTCTCTTTAACAGTGGAAGGAACTGAGGCTCAGAGAGGTGAAATGACTTGCCTGAGGTCACACAGCATGTATGTGGCAGAGCTGGGGTTTGCCCTCAAGTCTGTCTCAATCTATGGCCAGTGATCTTTGCACTGCTCTGCATCGTTGGGCATCCTGGCTACTGGGGGACTTCCATGGTAGAGGAGCACTGCTTGGAGACCTGAACCTTGAAGCAGGGATGGGACAGGGAGTCCATGAAAGTGGGTGCTTACCTGTTAAGCCCACTGGCAGGCCTAGCTTCTTGGTATCCAGTAACTATTCAACACTCCTCCACCCCCATACCCAGCCCCCAACAAACCCTCCATGTCGCTCACCTCCTGCTCTAACCAATGTGGCTTTGGCTTAAGCAAGCTCAGGGGATTAAATAAAATCCCCACCTTAACCCTATCTTCTCTCCCCTTGCTGGCCCTTCACAGACCAGCGTGTTCTTGTGGGGAACAGAGAGCAAGAGGGATGCAGGAAAGGCACTGGGGACTGCTTTGCTGTCTACAAGCCCGCTGGTAGTAGCTCTTCCAGTACCATAGGGAAAGCCACCATGCTCTGGAAGTCTGAAGGCCTGGCCCCTAGTCCTAAATTAGCCACCAACAGGCTGTGTGACCTTGGACCAGTCACTTCCATCCTTGGGCCTCTGTTTTTCTATTTGTCAAATGTAAGACTTGGTTCCAATGATCTCTAGGGCCTCTTCTGCTGAGCCTTGGTGCAGCTTCAGTTCTGGCAAGAAAGTCACCTCTGATGGAGATTGGGAGACTCTTTGTTCTCTGAGGGGTGGTCTGTTTACAAGACAGATATGAAGGAGAACCCTAAAGAGGGTGTGAGAGGTAGGATCGCTGCTGACACACTGGGAGCGGTAGGTAGGGGAGGAAATGGGTTCGAGAGTGAGCTCCCAGGGCAGTGTCTAGGGCTCTAGCCTTCTCTGCTGCTGCTTCTCCAGGCAGAGGGTCATGGCTGGGTCCCAACTTCCTGCCCCTTGGACGAATGCCTTAGTCCTTGTATCAGGTCCCCTCAGGGCAGAGTCCTCTGGGCCAGGGTTAGGTATGGACTGCAGGAGCTCTGAGCTCAGAGAGGCCTGGCAAGTGGAGAAGAGGAAAGCAGATGGCAAGTTGCTAGATCCTCAGTAGCACTTCTGTAGAGGAGGTGAGCCTGTTTTCCATTTTCCGCCTCTCTTTCATACATCCCCTTGCCCCCTTAACCATGAGGCACAGCTGCTAAAGCTGCCGGCAAACCCTGTGGTTTCTGAAGGACTCCTGCCCTAACTAGCCTTAGGAACACAGAGCCCCGGAGAACTTCTAGCCCTGTGGCATTTCTCCTGGCTATGTTTTAAACTTTATTTGATTGTATGTAATTTAGTAAGTTACCTTACTTTCTTTATAGGATGAGAAAGAGAAGAAAGCCAGAAAAAGGGAAGAAAGAGTGGAGGGAAGGAAGGCTCTGATGCAGGGCCCTGAGCATGCACAGGAGGTCAAGGTGCTGCCTCCTCTCAGTCCAACGTGCTTCCTAGGGCAGCTCGGGGCGAGGGAGCCAAGGCTGCTTTCCCTGAGACGAGTAGCTCCAGCTGATTTTATTCTTCAGGTTCTTCTGACTGCTTTGTATAATTTTCTTGTTCTGTTCCATCTCAGTCATGTACCAGACTAGCAGTGCTTCTCCAGTTCTAAATATCTGTTTCTACATTGCTATCAACTGGAAAAGCAGAGGACAAGGTACATTAATAGAGTCGTGTGTAAAGTACAAGTTAATGGGCTATAAGAAAACCTGTGAGCTAAAGTCTAGGCCCTTGCAACCCGCTTTGTACTGCTCAGAGGCCCTTTAGGGTGATTTCCTGGCTGCTGGCTGTGATGTGACCCAGAGGTGGGTCTTCCAGGTAAGGGAGGAGGTGGCTTATAGTGACCAGGCTCCCCTATTTTGAGGTGTGCTGTGTTAAGTTAGACGCTAGTGAGCTGAATGCTTTTTACCTTCCTGAGCCTGGCTCAGGGGGGTCAGCGGTCCAGGAGCAAAGTACCCTGAGCAGCACAATTGCCTGCTGCACCTTAGAAGGCCTTAGGAGAGGGAGTGTGGGAAAAGAGAAGACCTTTCATGCCAACATGCTCCTCCCTGCTAAGCAGATAGATTGTAGGTCCGTGGGCAGCACGATCAACTGTGCCCTGGCCCCTCTTTCTGCAGGCAGCCTTCCCTCTCCTGCCTCAGCTCCAGCAGGGCACAGCCTGCTGATAAGAGCCAGTGGCTCCTGCTGAATGTGAAAGGACTGAGGATGATGTTATCCTGCCCAGGTAATAGCAGGCCTGCATTTTCCAAAGATCATGTGTCTCTAGGGCCCCTACAGAGTCACCCATAGGAGAATAAAATTTTGGAGCGGGCAAATCACCCAACCCTTTCCCTTGAGAAATGAGGGAACTGAGACGCTGGGAGCAGAAGTTGTAACTTGCCCAAAGTCATTCAGTAAGTTTGAGGCTGGAGGGGCTGGCACCTCGGTCCTGACTCATGGTCAGTGCTCTTTCCACCCGGCTGCCCTGGCAAGGGGTCCTGGGGCATTCTGAGCAGGCACAAATGTTTTGGCCCCACTCCACTTACCCCACTGCATCGCCCCTTCCTGTCCTGCTGGTGCCTGGATTTCCCTCTGTGGGACACCATCTGCCCTAGATGGAAGAAGCATTGCGGGAGTGGGAGGAGGGACAGGATGTGGGGCAGGGGAGCAAAGTCCATAGGAGCCTTGCTATACCTACAGTCAGATGGCGAGGGGGATTATGAGGCCCCTCTGCCTCCAGTTCCCTGACGCAGAATCTAGGTACCCAGGAGATACCTGAACCTCCAGACATTCTACATCCCAGCACCTCGTTCCTGTCTGGGTCTCCCTGGGAGAGGAAGTAAGAGAGCCAGCACCTCAGGAAGCCTTGGTGAAGAGGAAGCGGGGGTACCAGCACAGACCCAGCTCCCGGGTGGGAGCCCACTTGCGGGTGGGCAAGGGCTCTGCCTGCTCTGCCCACACACCCATTATGCCTCCTCTCCCTTCCCGGCCTTCTTCCAGATATCCAGCATTCTCATGCTGGGAGGTGTGCGGCTAGCAGTCATTCGTTCATTTAGCCAGCACCCTCTGAGCACCTACTCTGGGCCAGGCCCTGTGTGAGGCATTAGGAAAACAGTGGCATTAGCCACAGTCCCTGGGATCCAGGACCTTAGAGGAGAAGGACATGGAAAGGCCAAAGCCTTGAGTTCAGAGTCTCGAGGTCCAGTGGGCATGAGCCAGGAGACCTCTTGCCTTGCCTGCATACTGTAAGTGCCTAATGAATGCAGGCTCTTTCCTTCCTTACTGTCTCTCCCTCTAGGCAATGAAGCTCACTCTCCAGAAAAGCGCTGTCAGGTGCTTTCTTCTGGACTGTGCCCAGAGGCCCTGTGTTCCCCTCCCCCGAGGCACTGCCACCTTGACACCTATGGCAGTTCTTAGAGGAAGCTGGGAAGGGTTTGAGGCTCTCCAGGGCTCCCAGAATCACCCCACAGTGGCCAGCCCTGTGAGGTTGGCACACACTTGAGTTTGGCTGGTTGGGAGTGTGGGCGCTGGCTGGGCCAATGTCCTGGCAGCTCAGGGATGGAGTGAGTTTTTCCACTTCTCTCCCAGGCCAGCTAGCTGAAGCAGACACAGCCTCCGCCAGGGCCAGGGCTGGTGGAGTCTCGGCTCCTGGCACCCGGGCAGCCCTGACTCTGATTTGGATATGCCTGGCCACAGAGCTTATCTGGTGTCCAGGAGATGAGAACGTGTGCAGATTCTCTCTGCGCCCAGCCCTGTCTCCTTCCCTCTTTTCCTGATCAGCCCCATTGGGTTCCCATTCCTTCCCCTGTAGGCCCTGCAGGCTCAGGCCCAGGGTCCTGGAGCACCCTGCAGCCTGGGGAGCTTGGGGCAGCTGGCATGGGGCAGGCCTTGCCAGGGAAGGACAGATGCAAATCCAGTGGCTTCCACATGAAAAGTAGCTGTTTAGAATGAGCCTCTCCTTTGTGGGCCTGGAGTGCGGGACCAGCTGCTAAGGAGGCACAAGTGGGGTGGGGGTGGGGAGTGGGGGAGAAGCCACCACCGCCCTTCCTCATCCCTCCTTTTTGCCCCCGCAGAGGCCCCTGGAGGGACTTTGTAATTGGTTTCTGGCTGGCAACCTCCTTCCAATTAATTAATGTAGCAATGGGAGGCTCCCAGGTTTGCTCAGGCTGTCTTTCGTACAGAATACATACATGGGTTACTTCCCTGAATCCCATCAGCTCTGTCATGGTGGGGACGGTCCCCTCTATTTAGGGACGGATAAACAGAGTGTCTGAGTGGAGAGATGACCACACCCTGGTCCCAGAGCTAATGTGGGTCAGAGGCGGGATGCACGCCCAGATCTTCTGGCTTTGAGCCAGAACCTTTTCAATCCGATCACATAATGGTCCACAACCCATGAAGATTAATCACCATCATCATGATAATAACAGTTATTAAGCAGGCGTTGGGCACGCATGATCGCATTTACTCTGTACAACCATGGGGTAGATTCTATTATCCATCCCATTTTCTAGAGGAGGAGAGTGAGGCTTAGTGAGAGTAGGTGAACGGCTCAAGGTCACAGGTTGAATGAATGGGTGGGGAGCAGGGATTTGTACCTGGGCTGTCTGACTCCAGAGAACACTTTCATCTCACTTCCAGGCCTTTGGTCCTGGGGCATGATCGTACTCTGCTTCCACTCCCCACCAACCCCCCACCTACAACACAGTGGGCTATTGTCTGTTGTGTTTGTGGCCCTGCCACTGAGGATGTGCAGGACAAATGCTGGTTGCCTTGAGGGTGATGCCCATGGTTGTGTCCTGCTTAGATTTGCCTGTGGTCTTTACTGGAGCTAGGAGTCATGTAAATGATTCGGGGAAGGGTGCTGGGGGAGGAGGGTGTCCTATACATGGTGTTTGACATCAGATTGGGCTGCTTGGGTAGGGCATTCAGCCGAGGGCAGAACAAAGTATGACAGAGGCAGAGCCGCCTTCTCCATTTCCATGAGGCTAGCTTGGTTCAGAGAACGCAGGTCCCTGGTCCAGGCCTGCAGCCCTTACGAAGCAGCCTTTTCTCGAGTTAGCCCCTGATGATTTGGGGTTCCACTGGCTAGGAATGCTGGCTTTGAAGTCAAACACATGGCAGTCTGTCATTTACTTGCTGTGTATTCTTGGGCAAGTTGCCTCACCTCTCTGAACATCTGTTTCCTCATCCATTCATTGGGATTGATAATAGTAACAATCCTTTACTATTAAGGATTGTTATTAAGATAAAGTGAGCCGATCCATGTGAAGCACTTACCATATGCCTGACATGTAGTGTTAGCTGTTATTCTCAGGAAGACAGAAAATTAATGAGTGTCCTGGGGCTTATGAAATGAGCAGTACAGGGAACTCTGGGAATAGCAGGGGGCCTGACCTAGTCAGAGGGATGAGGAAGTGACTTTAAGTTGAGTCATGAAGGATGAGTAGGAGGTAGCAGGTGAAAGGAGGGGAGCTGAGGAGGGAGCAACAGGCCGGGGATGAATGGGCAAACGTCAGGAGTCAAAAGCCACGGACCTTGATCACTTCCTGCATGCTGGACATTGATGAGAGCATGGTACAAGTATCCACTCATTTAATCCTCAGAGTGACATCATGGCATAGGTTACTGTTATCATCCCTGCTTTACAGATAAGGACACAGGCACAGAGAAGCTAAGTCACCTGTAAAAGGTGGCCCAGTGAGGCAGGATGAGGCTGGTCCAGACCCGGACCTCCGGATTCTGGCCTCTTTCCTTCCCGCTGCCTGCTGCTTGGTGATAGGGAGGGTGGCCTGACCCTGGCTGCTTCTAAAACTGACCCAGGCAAGGGGGTGTGGAAGTGCCAAGTTCAGTTGCCTACCCCGATGCCTCACGGAGCCTCCTTGGGCTGTGTAAAGTGGCCAGAGGCCCTCCTGGCTCTCAGGCAGGAGGGAGAAGTCATTTATTTTTCCAAAAGGAAACTTTGCTCTGGCAGGAAATTTTCCACCTTATATTTTTAGTGGGCTCAATTATGACCATTTTTGTTCTTTAAATCTTTCTTATTATCTATATTGGGCCTTGGTCTTTAAAGTCAAACTATAGGGAGATATGTATACACACACACACACACACACACACACACACACACACACACACACACAATTTTTTTCTAAAGTGTTAAAAGTCCACACCAATAGTCCCAGCTACTCAGGAGGCTGAGGCAGGAGATCATCCTGGGCAACGTAGTGAGACCCCATCTCTAAAACAAACAAACAAAAAAAACCCCCTAAGTGTCTGCAGTTTGGTGTCTGCTCTGTCCGAGCTCAGAGAAGGTGGATGTTTTACATGGTGTTCATGCCACAGGCTTAAACTTACTGTCCCCTGTATGAGATAAGTGTCAACACCCCTGGAGGCTCTGGCTGCCCAGAGCGGTGGTGTGTGGAGGCTCACCCTGGGTAGGTGCTCATGCTAATTGCTGGGAAGCCTCCATGATCAGTATTTAACTCCGGAGATGTCTGAGGTCATCTGGGCCAGCACTCTGCCTGTACGGCACTCTACACTTTTTAGGAATATCACAATGATTCCTAATTTTAATTTAGATTCGTTTAAGAAATACCAATTTAATAGTAGTCAGTTCTCAGCCTTTCACCAGGTGCTAGGCCCCTGCTTTCAAGGGACCAACAGACAATAACAATAACAATAATAATAGAAGCGGCTAACCCTTCCGGAGCACTTAGTTTATGCCAAGCATATACAATATGTTTTATATGTATTAATTCATTTAAGCTTCATGACAGCCTATGAAGTCTGTGCTATTATTATCCCCCTTTCTATGGTTGCAGAAATGGAGGTCCAGGGAAGGAAGGGAGGTAACTTTTACAGTGTTCCCACAGCCAGTCAGGGACTCAGCCTGCCTCGCAGGCCTTCTGTCTTGCCACTTTGTCAGGCTGGTGGGAATGACCCGGAAATATGTGGTCCAGAGCATGGGACCTGGAGGCAGAAGACCCAGGCCTCGCTCTTGCCTCTGCTCCTTACTGTGTGACCTTGGGCTAGTCCCTGGATGTCTCTGAGCGTCTGTGAAAATGAAGTTAGTAGTCTATCTCTGTAGGGTGCTCTAATATTTAAGTAACATGGAAAGATGTAAATAAGGTGCTTTGTAGATGTCATGGCAGGAAATGGTTTATTGTGATGTCTAATCTGTGCCCACTCCTTTCCTCTTCCTCACCAGTATTTCAAGGCCCTCAGATTTAGGCAGTTCCTTCCAATAGCTAGCCCACTTCTCCCCTGCTGTAGTCCTTATTTCAGAATTGATTCATACTCTGTGGGTGGAAGAGAAAAGTTCATCTCTTCCAAACAGCCTCTATCTGTTTTTACTCTGTCAGGCTAGTTTGGTGCAGATGAAAAGTTGCTTTTCTCTCTTCCTGTTCTGTCTATTTTGGCTGTTTTAATATGCTTGGGACAAATAATCTGGCTATAAAAATGTGGTGTCCTGCTTTCATTTGAAAAGTGAGCCAAATAAAGCATCCAAACCTTGATCTGTATTATCCCGGCTCTCTGTAGATCAGAGCTCCCTGTGGAAGGCGAGGGAAGGTGGGTCCCAGAGCACAGTCCTACCTGGGTCCCTGGGCAGAAAGACCAGGTTCCCACTGTCAAATGACCTTGATCTTTGCTCCAGATACCTCCCGATGCCCCCAGCGCTCAGACCTGCTTTTCCTTTAGGTTTATGGAAAGGAATAGCCTCTACTAGCTTGAGGCATTTGCAGCAAATCATTTAAACACCTTGAGTTTGATTTCAGAACTAACAGTTTTATAATCTGGAATCTGGTAGAATCCAGGACGTGGAACGGCTGATGGAAAGAAAGGTGTTGGTGGAAGGGGACAAAGGGATTTAATTCCTGAGGATTTTTATTTAACTCCTGAAAAATTGCTGGTTATGCCTGCCCTGCTGACCTCCAGGTGAAAGACCAGCTTGCAAAAATGCATGGGGAAATTTGGGATTCCGAGAAATTTGGAATTCTGGGAAAGGGGATTTCTGCATACCTGAGTGGCCAACTGATAACTTTATCATCACAAATCTTTCTTCTAGAGACCCTGAGTCTGCCTTCCTGCCTTACTCATTAAAAGATCTGGGAACAAACTCAAGTTATTATGGATTGAGGCTGTTTCAGGGCTTGAGCTGTTCTGTTAAACTGACCTTTTCAGGGTTCGGATCCACATTAATTTCTCAATCCTTGGAGTTCCTGTAGCATGTGATCCCTGGTATACCAGCCAGCAGGTAAAGGCCTAATGTGCCTTGTTTGCTGATTATCTTATGAGCATGATCTTTGGCTCCCTAACTTGTGAGCTTGCTGAAGCTAGAGATTAGGTCTGATTCTTTTTAGTAGCTTTCACAGCATTCATCAAAGGGCTATGCATGCCAGTTAGAGTGTGTTGTGGATTTTTCGAATACCAGGTATAGACATATAAGATTTGGCAGGATTTGGAGCAAACCTAAAACATTCCCTGTTGCTGCTTGGACAAAATCTCTACTGTTAGAGATCTGTGGACTGCTACAGCCGGAAGGGACTTTAAAGATGTACAGTAGAAACGCCCATTTTGCAGAGGAGAAAACTAAAGCCCTAGAAAGTTTTCCCAAGGGGGTATAGGAAAGATGTGGCTGAGTGGGAACTGGGGCTCCCCCAAGTTACTGCTCAGGTTGGGTTTTCCAATTCTGTGGGTTTTTTTCTAGGCTTCTAGTAGTTGCCCGATGTTGGCAGGCCAAGGACTGATTCAAAAGTGGGGAATGGGAGAAAGTTCCAGAAAGGAGACTTTGAGAACTTAACCTAGATGGGAGGAGGCACCTGGTTGGAGAGACTTGGCTCCCCAAGTGACCAACTAGGAGCGCCCTGACCAGAGGCCTGGTTTGGCAGTGGCAGAGGCAGAGGGAGCAACTTCGGAGCCCTTTCTGCTCAACCATCAGGCTGCGGCTGCCCAGGCCTGGCAGTGCATGCCCTACATGCCTGGCTGCCCCCCTGGCCTCCACAGTGGCCCGTGACCCCCGGCTCTCCCTCCTGGAAGCTGGCCGTCCTGGCACACTGGGCTGCCAGCAATCTTTCCCTCCTTTGTTTCTCTGAAACCATGAGAAGGGCCGCTGAGTTGGGAGCCTGGGTTGCTAAGAGCTTTCCTCAGGCCAGACCATATCACCAGCTTGAGAAGTCTCCTGGCCAAGATTTCCCTGGAACTCTGGCTCAGAGGGAGGGAGAGTGGGTGGAGGGAAGGGGAGAGGGTACTCAGGAGCCACAAACAAAGCTGCCCCTCTGCACCACCGCCCCCCTCTCCCAGGACCAGAGTGTAGGAGCAGCCTGGGAGCCACAAACTCAGTGGGCCTTTGCTTTTTGAAGAGCCCTGGGAACAATGGAACAACAAAGCTCTTCGGAGGCTGCCCCCCCATGCCCAGCCCTGCACTTCTGTTCTCTCAGGTACCCCCATAACTCTGCTGTTACCCCCACTTTTCAGAGGGGGAGACAGCCTCCGAGAGGATGGCCTGCCCTGCTTCACACAGCAGGAAGGGGCAAACTGGGCCATAACCCGCTGGCTGCACCGCCCCATGCACAAGCAGGAGCTGCAGGCCAGCTGGCCTGGCAGTGGATGGCTGAGGGTGCTGCGGGGCCGCTGGTTTAGAAGGTCCTCCCCTACCACTTCGCTTAGAACCCACTATAGAATTCCCTTCCTTTGGGTCTTTTAGGTGTTCTTAAAAATACAAGTCCCCCTGAGGGGGTAATAATGCCCTAAGTGGTTGTCATTGACTGGACCGAGCCTGCTGGAAGGAAAACACTAGAGTAGGTGCAGGAGGGGTTCCTGAGAGGCAAATGAGGCAGGAGGGAGAGCTGGTTACTGTAAGTGAGCCAGTTTTGCCAGGGAAGTGAGTGTGGAGAGGAGAGGACAGCCAAGCTTATTCTGTGTTCCTCTCCACCCTGGCTGCCCTGTTCTCCTATGCAGGGCCGGCCGCCTTCCCCATCCCTACCCTTGTGCAAATAAAACGAGGACTGAGATTTATTTAAAAAAAATTTGCTGAGCCCTGTGTGCCAGGCCCTAAGCGGCATTGAGGGTGCAGGGATGAACCAAAGCAGTCTCTGTCTCCAGGGGGATCCTGGTCTGTGGGGGGACACAGGCTGCAGGACTCAGAAGGACACATGGCTGCAGGGATGTTGGGGAAGGGAGGCTGATGGGTGGAGGCGTGGAACAGCAGTGACAGGGACATGTGCACAGAACTGTGAAACTATGAGAGACGTGGCTGGGCAGGCCAAGGAAGCTCTCTGGAAGGAGAGATCTTCCCTCAGTCTTCCAGCATGAGTAGGCAGAGGCAGATGAAGAGGCAGGAAAGGCATTCCAGGTTGAGCGGGCAGCGTGAACAAAGGAATGGAAGGGGAAACATGTTTGGCTTATTCTAGGAGAGAACCAGTTGGGTGCTGCTGGGCTGGAAATGGAGGGGCTGTATGTGGCTGGACAGGCAGGCAGGGGCCATGGGGAGCTTTGGATGCCAAGCCAAGAAGCTTGAGCTTCATTGTGTGGTGTTGCTGGGAGTCCTAGAGGGGCTTTAAGCAAAGGAGTGATGTGATCCCATTCACACTTTAGGTGGTCTGTCCCTACCCACATTGCCCTAGAGGCAGAGAGGTGAGTGGACATTCTCAAAGCCTATGTGCAATGAGGCGGGGAAGGGGTTTCTGAGCCCCTAGCCCAGACCTCCTGAAGGTCTCTCCCTGTGCCTGGGAGCTGGGTGTCACATATGCCCCACCCCATACCCTAAGATGGGAGTCCTGGCCTGGACCACTCCATGGTATGGGCCTTTCCCATCTGCCTGGGCTGCCAGATGGTTCGATCTAAGGGTTGAGAACATAGGAGGGGGCAGAGGACCAGAAGTTTCCTTCTAGGAAAACGTGGTTATAGCATGGCGAGAAGAGCACTGGAATGGGATTTCAGGAGCTCCTGCCTAAACCCTAGCCCTGACCCTCCCTGGCTGTGTGATCTTGGGTTGGTCACTTCCTCCTCTGGTTGGGGACTGCCTCACCTGGTTTGAGGCTGGGTGCAGAAGTGAGCTTCTGGATGCGAGTTTATGCCCTGATGCTGCCCAGCCTTGGGCCCTGTTTTACCCTCTTCCCTTCCCCGGTGTCCCCAGACTCTGCAGCCAGTGTGTCTCCTTCTGCGCCGTGTCCTCCAACCACACATCCACTCCAGACTGCCAAGAGTTGTGACAAGTTCATGAGACTTGGAGGTTAAGGACCAGAGTTTGAGTCCTGCCAGCTTGCTTGCTTGGAGGAGGTCTCAACCTTTGTGTTCATTGTCATACATGTGGTGTAAATTCCAGCCCTTAGCACACATAAGGGAATTTTCTGAGTCAGCGTCTTTCATGTCTCTTGGATATACCCCACCTGTGCTTGTTCTGTCTATTTCATTGGGAGAGCCCTCATCTGATGGAATTCTATATCCAGTTTTTAGTGGTTACCTGGGGTGGGGATAGGGGTAGAGTATTAACTGAGATAGGGTATGAGAGAAACTTCTGGAGTGATGGCGGTTACATGAATGCATACATGTATAAAAATCTGTCAAGGCAAACACTTAAGATTTGTGCACTGTAGGCATGTTATATATATTTTACATCTCAATTAAAAATAAATAAATGAAAAAAGATTCTTCCCAGCTTTCTGGTTCAAGTCCCACCTCTCTGCATCTATTCATATATTCATTCACTCTATAAATATTTGTTTGTGCTCCAGCCAGCCCAGGCATACAGAGATGGAGAGGCTGGTCTGTGTACTGTACAGTATGTACGGAATGTACAGTATTCTGGTCTGTGTACTGTCATGGGAGCTCAGAAGCACAGAACCTTCAGGGCTCATGGGGATATTGACCATGGAGGTGGTTCTCAACCCCGGCTGCAAATCACCTGGTGAGGTTTAAATGCCTGTTTCCAGCTTCATGTATGTTTTAGTCCATTTTCTGCTTCTGTAACAGAATACCGCAGACTGGGTAGTTTATAAAGAACAGAAGTTTATTTGGCTCATGGTTCTAGAGACTAAGAAGTCCAAGAGCATTGCACCAGCATCTGGTGAGGGTCATCCCATGGCAGAGGCATCACGTCATAGTGAGTGTGTGAGACAGAGAGAGGAAATTGGGCCAAACTCATTCTTTCATCAGGAGCCCACTCCCAGGATAATCACATTAATTAATTTGTGAGGGCAGAGCTCTCATGACTTAATCCCCTCTTAAAGGCCCCATCTCTTAATACTGTTACATTGGCAATTAAATTTCAACATGAGTTTTGGCAGAGATATTCAAACCGTAGCCATGGGTGTATGACCTGTTCAACATTTGGTTTAATGTTCTGTTGTCACTGTCTTGAAATTCTTAAAAACTTTTGAAAAAGGGGACCTGCAAATGAAATAGTTGGTCCTCCCTGTCCTCCTTCCCCCAGAACAATAGAATCAGAATCTCTGAGAGGTGGGATCCAGGCAGTCACATTTCTTAAAAGCTGAGCTTCCATTCTCTAGCAGCCAGGTCTGGATGTAGCCCTACTCCTAGACATTTGCTGAAACACAATCTGGAGCCTCGTTCTCTAGACACTTGTGACTGAGCTGGAACAATAAGACTTCACACATGAGAGTGTCACAAGAGCAATTCCTGGGCAACAGTGTTAGAAAGCTACAAGGGAGCTCAGAGAGGAGGGGAAGAAGACCCTCTCTGGGTTTGTTTTTTTTTTTGCAACTCTGAAAAGAGCTATCAGTCCAGTTTGTCTGCCCCTTGATAGTATTTCCAGAAGTGGATGAGCTGTGAAGTGAGTTTGCTCTGAGGTGGCGAAGTGGGTGTAGGACGCATTGCACCATGCAAAGGTCCCATTGTGGGGTGGGAAGGTCAAGGAAGGCTTCATGGAGGAGGTGGCACATGAGCCATCCTGACCTGAGAAGGGCGAGAGAAGAGAAGAGAAGAGGAGAAAAGGCAAAAGGACAAATGCATTTAAGAAGGGGAAGGGCTCATTTGGGGGAAAGGGAGGAACTAGGCTAACTGGAGTATGACTTGAGCAGAGAGAGATGTGGTTGGGTGGCACAGGAAATGATAGTCTGAAGTCAGAATCCCGTCAGCAATGGGGAGCTGTTGAGTGTTCTGGATCCAAGAATAATGTGCTCCATAAATGTCTGAACGAATAAACAAAAGGGGTGTTTGGGGGAGACATAAAGGGGATTGGCCCTCTAAATCGCTGAGGTTTGCAGCCAGAACTCTGGTCCACCTGGCATGGAAGGCTCTGCACCCTCTTCCCCATAGGTGGTGCCTGTCTGTGCAGGAACCTGGTGTCCCCTGCAGTATGGTCCAGGGGCAGCAGTGACTGAAGCATCCCCAAGAATAGCAGACATGGAACAGACCATTTCCTCCCATTTCTAGGAACAGCAAGCTGTGGGTGGATGGGTAGGTGGAGGCGCTTTTGGTACAAGCTGAGCTGTGCTCTCCAGCTCTCACCAGGTTCCCCAGCCCAGGTGAGCAGCCCTGGCAGGAAGGTGCTATCTTGTATCTCCCATGGCCTGGTGAACACTAATTCCTTGGGCAGGGTGGTCCCTGCTTGGAATAGAGGAGCCCCGATTTCTGAATAACCAGCAGCAGATCTAAAGCAGTTCTGTTTGTTTCTGTCTCCTGAAATATTTATGCAGGAATATGAGAAAGGGGCTCTGTTTATTGAACTCATCCTCCAGGGCAGAAGCCGTGGGGAAAGAGCCACTTCCCATGTCTGCGAGCCAATGAGCAGAGGTGGAATTTCTTTGGGTTTGAAGTGAGACAGAGCCTGTGTGCTTGCAGAAGGAAGTGGGGTGGGATTCCTGGAGAGGACAGAAAGCCCTTTCAACCTCTTGCCTCCAGTCCCAGGAAAGCTTTTCAGCACATACTTTCCTGGCGAATCCAAATAATAACAATTGAAATCTCAGCCTTGGTTCTACTCTGGGCTTTGCCTCTATCATGCTGTGTGACCTTAGGCAAGTTGTTAACCTCTCTGGATTGTTTTTTTCCAATTCTGAAAAGAGTGAACTATCAGTCCAGTTCTAGCTGTCCGTGCAGTTCTAGCTATCAGTCCAGTTCTGTCTGCCCCTTGATAGTATTTTAAGAGTCAGTTGAGTTGTGCAGTGAAGTGGATTTAGGAAGCATTGTACCATGCAAAGTCCCAACTCTGCAGCATTCGAGGCCAGAGAACTGGCTGAGTGGCCAGCCAAGTGGCAGCCTCAGCTGTGACTTGTGGGGTCAGGCCAGAGAGAGTACTCTCTTGAGCTGGACCCTACCCTGCCTCAGGTTGGGACAAAGGGGCCCCCTCCCTCTTTCCTCCTCCAGCTAAGCCCTGCTGTCCTGTGTCCCTGAGAACACTGGCAGGATTTCCTCCCAGGAAGGGGGACATGGATGTCCAGTTTACATCCCTGGGAGTTGCAGACACCAGAGAAGCAAGGCAGCACTTCCCCATGACAGTGGGATACGCCTTATCGTCAGATATAGAAGCCTGTGGCTCCAGGCCCTGAGCCATGCAGCAGGGCTCAGATATCCGCTGTCCTCCTTTAGGGGACTGGGATCCCCTTCCCTCAGTTCAGCCCCTTGGGCAGGGCTTCAGGGGCTTCTCCCAGGGGTGGGTTCTGTTCTCAGCTCTGTGACTGGCTTGGTCTTCCTGTTTCCCATGGTGGACTTCATGAGTGGTAAAGTTAATAACAGTTATTATCACTAGACCAATCCAAATCTTAATACAAAATACCATCAATTAAGCACCTGCTCCATGCCAGGCTCTGTACTGGCTCAGTGGACACACAGAGGGGACCAATTTCCCCAGCCTTTAAGGAAGTTGAATTCTGCCTGGGAGGCAGACGGGCAAACAAATACGGATGAAGCCATTGGCTCAGCATTGAATGCGAGTCCTAAAGGCCGAGGGACCCTGGTGAGACGGAGCGGGCGTCTGGGAGGAGGAGGTGTTGGAGTGTGGCTCTGAACCTAGGTGAGGGAAGGAGCAGCGTGAGCAGAGGCCAGGGCAGCGACGCCGTGGGGTGCTCCCGAGCCACGAGGGTGCCCAGTGAGGTTTGAGTGTGGAGGGTCGGGGGCTGGGAAGGTGATGAGGGCTCAGGGGTGGCTTGCGGGGAGGTGGGAGTTGTGCAGGAGTGCTGTTCCTGGGCCCATGTGTATCAGTCCATCCATGAAGAGCCTTTTAGTAGTAAAGAGATGCGACGAAGTCATTAGATTCCACAACAATAAATCTTCATTAAGCATGCACTGTGCCCGTGACCCTAGGTGATGGGACAGTCCACATGGGTGAATAAAACAGGAACAGTCCCTGCCCTCAGGGACAGGCCCAGGAGGATGGGGAGACAGGACAGAACACAATCCTGACATCAGTGGTAGAAATGCTGTTAAAGAAAATACAGGGGCATGGGGGGTAGGGGGTGGGGGTTGTGAGAAGGGGATCCCCTGTGGAATGAAGGGGGGATAGAGCCCCATGGGATCTAGGGGGATCTTTCTGGCTGAGAGAGAAGCAATTTTGAGGCTCCAGCAGGAGCCTGCCTGCCACGGAAAGCACAGTGAGCAGGCCTGGTCTGGTGGGAAAGGAGATTGAAGGGGAAGGTGGGTTCTGGCTCCCATAAGGCTGGCCTGTGCTAGCTGCTCACTAATACTTCTCGACTGACTGGGAGGACAGATAGGTGAAGGATAAGGCTGGAGGCCTGGAGCCCAGCAGCCATGTTGAGGTGATGAGGATGGAGCCAGGGCAGAGGCAGCAGGCACAGGGAAGATGCATCTTCAGGCCTTGGGGATGGTGTGGGAGGAGAGGGGTACAACACAGCAGGCAGAGTCTTCCCGGAGCTCCTGGGAGAAGATCCAGATCCACAAACCCACGGGGAGAAATGGCCGCGCATCACGCAGAGCACTCCCCACGCCCCTTCCCACAGGCCACCCCAGCCACTCTGGCCTCCTGACCTGGGGCCCATGGAGCCCATCCTGTGGCTCTCCTCCTGCCTGCCTTCTGGAGGGTGCTCCAAACTGGGTCTTGTCCTCCTGCAGGGCCAGCAGGGCTCCGCAGAAGTCCTCAGGGACCGCCCTCCCCTGCCAGCCTCACCTCGAGTCCAACCTCATTAGTATTTTGAGCAGAAGCATATATATCTTTTTTTTTTTTTCCTGCAGGGAATTGGTGGCCTGCTCATTTCAAATTGCGTAAAACCAAAGAGCAATTAAGAGGCACAGCCTTCTCGGGTCAAGGAGAAATGACAGAGAGAGGTGGCTTTGCTCGCCTGGCTGCTGGCACATCTTTTCCAGGCTGGCCTGGTTTTGGGGTGACAGGGAGGGGAGATGCTGTGGGATTTTAATTCACCAGCAACAAAATACTAACGAGTAGGACAGAATCACTAATGCTTATTCAGCGCTTACCATGTTCCAGGGGCAGTCCTAATTGTTTTACACGCACCTCATATCACCCTTTCAATACCTAGGAAGCACAGGGAGATGGCTTCTACTGTTATGCCCATTCTGTGAAACTGAGGCTCCAAGGGGTTAAGCAGCATGCCCCAGGTCACACAACGGAAATGGAACCAGGGTTCTATTGCATCCCCATTGTGCCCCAGGGCCCATGCTGTTAACTGCCTGGCTGTTTGGCCTCTCAAAAGCATTGCATTTAGCCAATCACTTCTCCCTAATTTCTGTTTCCCCCCCATCAAAAAAAAAAAAATAAATAAATAAAAAATAAAAAAGACCAAACGAACAAAATCCTCCATTGCTATGGAGCTCAGAGGCTTCACCAGGGTTACTGTGGTGAACAAGGGCAGAGAGGAACCTCGGGCAAAAGTCCAGCCTGCGGTTCCCATCCTTGTCCCTCTCCCAGTGGCCTGCACAGTTAGACCCATTGCTCTTGGCTGGTGTGGAGGCATCTGACCCATTAGGGGGCCACTGTGGTGGTCCAGGCGAGAGGCCTGAGCTGACCAGGGGGATCCAGTGAGGACTGAGAGGAGGGCAGGATGCAGGGTGACGTTTTGGAAGTTGATGAGTCTGTGGGGGTGGGTATGAGTTAGAAGTCAGTGGAGAACCATGGCCACACAGTCAAGAGTGATGGAGAACCCAGGAGAAAGAGGTGGCGCTGATTTCTCCACCTTTTCTTCAGATCCAGACCCCCTCCACCACCTGGATCATCCACCTTGTTCCATAGACTTGGCTCTGAGAGCATTTTCACTGTTTCAGAGAATCGGATCCCAGAGGCTGAAGCTCAGTGCCCTGGGCTCTGTAGGCAGCCCCTGGAGAAGAGGGCGGGCAGTCTGGCTGGAATTGGGGTGTCCCGGCTCTCAGGGAACTGAGCTGGTTCCTGGCCCAGGCCATGTGGGTTTTAGGATTTTAGCATTGCTAAACCCTCCTAGAACTGCTGTGTGTGTGCACGTAAGCGTGTGCTTTGGTAGGGGGTGGAGATAAATGGGAAGTTCTGCTGTCTCTGCTTCTCTATTTTGCGTGGTCAGTGATTTTTACTAATAGTAACCTTCTGGGGAAAAAATGATCCAAGGGCAGCAGTCCAATTTTCTCTAGAGAGTAGGCCTGCTTTCTAAAAAAGGACTCAACCTGAGAGAAGCCAGAAGGAGTTCACACCCTAGACTAGAGAAGCCAGTCCCTGGTGAGCACCAGCATGCCTGTCTCCAGACTCCATTCCTGCCCTGGAGCCCGCTTGGCCTTGAACGCCCCTCTGCAGCAGCGTACTCTCCCCAGCTCCTCACTTTGGAGTTTTAATTCTACCGCAAACCTAGCTCTCCTCTGTGCCTTCCCATCTCTTTGCTGGGCACCAAGGAGCTGATCTGCTAACTGGACTTTGTTTAGAAATCTGGGGGTTTGTACAGAAACGCTGCCAAAAGAAAGTTTCTGTTCTGTCCAGACTCTCCTGAGGCCTGGAAGAGTGACTCTGCTTGCGGGAAGCTGGTGGGGATGGGAGCTGGGGCAGCCATGCTGTGAGTCTGTCCTGGGAACAGGCCCAAGCTGGGTCTGGAGCTGGTCTGGACTAGGAGAGTGAGGCTAGGGGTTAGGGGATCCACCAGCCTGTATTCCTAGAGCCTGTCGCCCCATCCTTTGGCTCGGCCCTGCCCAAACCACTTGGCTGGGCATTCAAAGCCTTCACTCTCTGGCCACCATTTACCTCCTTGGCCCCTGCCCAAACCAGACACTGGTCGGCTTGCTGCCCCCAAACTCAACCTCTGCTTTTCTGCTCCCTCTCTACTTGAAAAGTCTGATTCCTGCTTTCAAAGCCCAAAGTGCGACCTCCTCCACAGAGCCTTCTCTGATCTCTCCTTGCTCCAAACTCTATCCTTCTCATGCCACTGCTCTGATGAGATAGTTATATCTGAACATGTCTTGTCTCTCCTGCCAGAGGGCAAGCCCCATGCCCTGAGTGGGAGGGAGCGTGTCGCGCCACAGATCCCATTGGGTGCTCCTGCTGTGCCTGGCCCTATAGATGTTCAATTACAGGTTTTTGAATGATGTATTTATATTTTTTGCATGGATATAAGAATCTATTCTGTGCATGCGTCATAGCTTCAGCCATATAAGATGCATTCGTTGGCAAATTCATCAGAGGGAGCAGAATAAAGCCACCCAACTCTGTCCCCACAAGGGCCTGAGACGGATATAGGGAGCTTATTCTTCCTTTCTTCAATTGCCCCACCCCCACGCTGCCCAGACAGATCTGGGTTGCCCTTGAGGAATTCTAAAGGAGGGAATGCACTCTCCACTGCCCCTCAGACCTTCCACCCAAGAGAGGCAGTGCCCTGGTGACCTCATGACAGTAGTGTGCCCTCCCCAGGCTCTCCCCTCCCCTGGGAGGCTGCCACATGCTTTCCGGACATCCGGGTCTCATTATGCTGTGACTCAAAAATTAATCTTGTCTAATTGTGCTCGAGGCCTGAGTGAATTCAGGGACTATTAGCCAGGCTCTGTGGGCCTGGGGTCTCCATGGCAACGAGGATGCATCATAATGAACTGCGTCCTTGGAGACTGGCTAGGAGGCATGCCCCTCCCACCCCTTGGTGTGGACTGCTGCTGCTGTCCCTGCTGCTTGGGGTAGGCCCCCTCCAGAGGGGACCTGGGGCTGGCAGAGGGAGTAGAGACAGTTTCTGTGTGTAGCCTCCAGTCTGTCTCAGTGCTTCAGGGATAAAAGATACTTGCAGATGGATGATCCCACAGCCTTATTGTTGGCTGAAGATTTCTTCAACAAACAAACAAGCCTCCATCTAAAAACCACACACACAGCACATCAAATTCCAATAGCCTAAGTGCTGTTGTTTTGCAAATCTTTCTAAAATGTGAAAATTGCACTCCTCCGTGGAGGCCTGGCTCCAGTGTCACCTCCTCCAGGAAGCCTTCCTCAATGTTTGCATCTTTCCCAGCCCCATTCTGCCACTGTGCTTGGTTTGTGAGCCAGGGACATTTTTCAGCACAATCTGCCAAGGAGTGGACTTCCCTGAGTACACACTATGCTCCCTTCCCACCAGCAGACAAGCTCCTCCAGCATGGATAACCACCGCTGCCCTCCTCTCTGGGGTCCTAGACCTGGGTACCTGTAGGACTTAGTCGGAAAGACAAAGCGGTCTTTGTTAACAGCCTCTCTCTGAACTCCGTCCCACCCCCGGACCCAGGCTGGGGGGTCTTTTCTGTGGATGTGGCTTTTGGGGCCTTCAGATACCCTTGTGCCCACTATGACCATGGGTGCCGACCAGTGGGCAGACACTTTGCCTTCCCTATCTAAGGAAGAGGGAATGCCCTAAAACCAGGCCTTTGGGGAAGATGTGGAGAAGAAAAGGACATTTGAGGAAATGAAAACAGTAAATGGGACAGCCCTGGCCCAGCCTCCAGCTTCCTGGCCCTTGAGCCCCTCAGTCTGGTCCCCCACGGGGAGACAAGAAGCGTGGGAGGAAGGTGAGGAGGGAGAGATGCAAACCCAGCAATTTCCCCACAACCACAACACCACCTTCCCGGCTGTCCTGCTGATTCTCGGTTTCTAGAAATGACCGGAGAGAGAGGAATGAGTAGGGAGGAGGCTGCCTGTCTGACTTTTAATTAAAAGGGAGAGGACACCTCCTAGCCAGCCTTTAAGGCAGGGGCACTCCTGTGGTGTGTGTGCCTCCCTCGATGGGGATGGGGTGGCATGCAGGTTTTGTGGGTGTGTGAATGGTTGACAGGTAGAGGTAGCCATTGGAAAAGCTGTCCAGAAAGCCGCATTCTCTCCTCGCTCCTCCACACCCTCTCCCCTTAGTGCAGCAAACGTTTCTTGAACATTTCTTGGCTTGAGTGCCAAGCTCTGTGCCAGGCCCTGGGATGTAGAGATGGTTGAGATACTGCCGCTGGGCTCCAGGGCGGCAGGCGGGGACAGGATGGGGTTGGCAGCACTGGGAGGTTGAGGGTTCCACCCGTCCCTGGGCCTCATTCAGCCAGCATCCTCTGAGCGTTGTCAGGTGCTGTGCCTTTCGGTAGGCACCGAGGATAAAACGGTAAGTGTGGCAGAGGCCTCAGCCTGCACGGAGCTTACAGTCAAGAGTGGTGTGAGGTGGGGATTGCGGCCATGAGCGTGCAGTGCGAGGAGGGCTAGGATGAGGGTGCCTGTGGGGGCCTGGAGGAGCAGCAGCCACACAGTGTCGGGGCATCAGAAGGCCTGCCCCAGGGGTGGCCTGGAAGCAGAGATGTGAAGGAAGAGGAGGATTTGGCCAAGAGAACAGCTAGGAAGCGTGGCTGAGGTCAAGGGAATGGCTGTGTGTGCGAAGGCCGGAGAAGAAATGAGGGCTTTGAGGAGCAGAAAGAAGTTGAGTGCAGCTGGGGCTTAGTGGTGCTGGGGCAGGGCCCAGGCCTGGGAGGGCTATTGTCTTAGTCCCTCTGTGCTGCTGTAATAAAACACCTGAGCCATTTATAAAGAACAGAAATTGATTTCTCATAGCCGTGGAGCCTGGGAAGTCCAAGATCAAGTCATCAGCAAGTTCTTTTGTTTGGCAAGAGCTGCATCCTCCAGAGGGGGAGGATCACTGTGTCCCAGCATGGCGGAAGGCAGAAGGCAGAAGGCCAAACACGATGGGAAGGCTTTTTTTTTTTTTTTTTTAAATAAATGCCTTAATCCCATTCACCAGGGAGGAGCCCTCATGGCCTAATCACCTCTGAAAGGATCTGCCTCGAATACTATCACATTGGCACCGTCTGAGTTCTGGTGGAGACACATTCAAATCACAGCAGCCATCATAATCCCATTCGCAAGGACCACGGACTTGGTCCTGAAGTGGGAGTGGGGGGAACTGCTGACTGGCTTTATTCCGGGGAATGACACTAGGTTTATGTTTTAAAAGACCACTCTGACATGTATTTTTTTGATTAGTAGAAATAATTTTTTTTAAACACTCTTGGTGCTGTGGAAGGGAAGAATTGGGAGACAGGAAGGGTTTTGCCATGATTGAGATATTTGGTCCTGCCCAAATTAGGGGCTGATCACACACACACACACACACACACACACACACACACACACACACGTTTTACCTACATGTTGTAATTCACTTTGATATGGAAATTTTAGGTCACTAAGAGAGAGATGAGCAAAAAGCGCTCTTGCTGTGTCTTTAACCGCCTCTCCCTATCGTGTACTATGTTAAACAGGATCCAGCTGTAACCTCCACGGTTCCCAGGGCTCTGATCAGCCTGGCTGGTGGGAGCCCCCATAGCTCTGCCTGCTCTGGGGTTTCCCTTCCGTTTATTGCCCCCCCTTGAGGTAGGGATGATAGATGTGAGGTGTGACTGCCAGTTTCATAGTTCTCTACATCAGTGAAGGAGGTTCTGTGCAATGTGCAACACCCACTTTCTTCCTGAGAACACTAAGAAGCAATTCCTCTCTGTTTTCTAATAAAAATGTCTCGTGGAAGCAAGCCTGTTTCCTGGGAAAAGAGGGACTGCCTGTACGAATCTTGCAAGCACACGTGTTTCCCTGGTTGGGATATATATAATTTTGTTTTCTTGGGGCAGGGGGTGGACACACAGCTTTGCAATCCCTTGCCTAGAAACAGCTTCCACACTGGCTTAACACCATCTGTTTCCCCTGAGCAGGAAGGTGTCAAAGAGCCCCCTGCTCAAGGATGGGTCTGTCAACGGTCTGTTAGGATAGGAGGTGAGAGACATTGGTTGCCTGGGGTGAGAGAGTAAGACAGATGGAGAGAGAAGTGGGTAGGTTGGCTGGAATTAGGATGCAGAATTGTCCACTGTGTCTTACACGCCATGGAAGTCCCAGGGCTAACACAGTACGTGGTCGCAGTAGGTGCTTACTAAACTAGTTGCTGGATGACTGTGTTGTCAAACAAATAAATGAATTGAATGAATGAACGAGTGGATGGATGGGAGGGTATGCACAGATGAGCGAAAGTTGGCCTGTAACCTCCAAATAATTATTATCTTAAAAAAACACACTTGCTAATCATACTAGTGTGAGGCCTGAGACAGAGGAGCCTTCGTGGAGGACAAACTGCAGCAACAGTGCGAGGTCATCAGCAGATGTCAAGGAGTCCATGTGTTTAGGGCAGAGTTAGGGTGACATGGTGCTGTGGGCTGAATTGTATCCCCCTAATTCATATGTTGAAGCCCTAACCCCCAGTGTGTTTGGAGACAGGGCCTTTAAAGAGATAATTCAGGGTAAATGAGGTCATAAAGGCAGAGCCCTGGCCCAGTAGGACTGGTGTCCTTATAAGAAAATAGACACCAGAGAGCTCACTCTCTCCGCATCTGCACAGAGGACACAGCAAGAAGACGGCCGTCTGCAAACCAGGAAGAGAGGCCTCACCAGAAACCAACCCTGCTGGACCTTGATGTTGGACTTACAGCCTCCAGAACTGTACGAAATAAATATCTGTTGTTTAAGCCCCCAGCCTGTGGCATTCTGTTATGGCAGCCTGAGCAGGCTAATACATAGGGGATGCTGGATCTGAGTTTGGAGCTCAAGGGGCAGAACATGGGGAAGAGTGCCATGTTGTAGAATTCAGAAGGGCAGCTGGTCTCCTTCAGAGGCTCATACTAGAACATGTGCACCAGGAGGTTCAGCATAAGAGCCCAGGCTGTGGAGTCAAGACTGCTGGGGTCCAAATTCTTACCCCATAGAAGCGTTGTGAGCACTGAGTGTATTTCATACACAGAAAGCATTTGGCACAGAGCCCGGCACACAGTCAGCACTCCACAGGCATGAGCCGCCCCTCGTCGTTCTTATCACGTTCGCTTGTCAGTATTGTCACTCTGGGCACCCCCTTCCCTTGACGCATACTCCAGGGCTCCAGCATTGCTCAGAGTTTTTGGGACCTTCCTGAGAGCAGCTCTCAGTAGCAGCTTCTACCATCAGGAAATTGGTTCCATTCTTCATGGTCAGCCCCCACCCCCAAACCGCCTTTCCTACCACGAGCAGAACAAGTGTGTTCCTGAATGATTTGGGATTATGGCTGAGGAGAGGAACCCTATTAACAAGGGCAAAGATTGCCATCACTGAGGATAGCCCTAAGAATGCCTTGCCAGTCCTAAGCAGAATTTCATACCAGGAAATTAAAAAGGTGTGGTTTTTTTTTTAAAAGGCGACTTTATCTCAGCAGCATGGCTAGAATATGTGTGTGTCCTCCCCAGAGGACCACTCTGGAAAGGCTGGAGTCCTCTCTATGTATAAGTTGTGATTTAAAAAAAAAAACCTCCCTTCTGTGTAAATTCAGCCCCAATTCCTCATCCCAGCATTCCAACAATCAGAAATCACACCTTCTGAGAACCTATGGAAAGATGGGATTATGGGTGCGTTTGTTTACATGGTTATACTTTTCTGTTTGCCTTTCTAGATTGTGCATTTTTTACTTTAATAATTAGGAGAAAATTAAGCAAGCTGTTAAGAAGTTTTGAGGCTGGGCATGGTGGCTCACGCCTGTAATTCCAGCACTTTGGGAGGCCAAGGCGGGCTGATCACGAGGTCAGGAGTTCAAGACCAATCTGGCCAACATAGTGAAACCCTGTGTCTACTAAAAACACAAAAATTAGCCAGGCATGGTGGCACACACCTGTAATCCCAGCTACTCAGGAGACTGAGGCAGGAGAATCGCTTGAACCTGGGAGGCAGAGGTTGTGGTGAGCTGAGATCATGCCACTACACTCCAGTCTGGGCAACAGAGCGAGACTCCGTCTCAAGGAAAAAAAAAAAAAAAGAAGTTTTGAAAAGAAAAACTTCAATCTCCCAGCTGCTTAGCACTGTCCTGGGTCCTATGGCAGTGTCGTCCAAAGTTGTATAAGCCATTATCAAAGACACATAAAGTAAAGTGGGATCACCCATTTGGAGAGCAATTTGGCAACAGACACCACAAGCCATAAAAATGTCCATATCCTGTGACCTAGTAATCCCGCTTCTGGGAACCTGTCCAAAGGAAATAATCCAAAGGCGGGGAAAAACTCTATGCATCAAGATGCTCATCACGGCATTATTTATAACAATGAAACATTGGGAACAAAATAAAGGCCTAATGGTATGAGACTGGCTGAATAAATTAGGAAGCATTGATTCAATGGAATATTCTGCAGCCGTTAAAAATTATAATACCAAAATGATATGGCAGTGTGGGAAAATATTCGTGCTAAGTGAAAAAGGTGGGACATAAAGTTTTATGCATATCATGATTGTAACTGTGTAAAAATTATTTGGAAAGTACAGATGCTTCAAGACTGGAAAGTGAAGGGAGAATGGACAGGACCTAGAAGTGGGCTGGGAGGAGTCACAGAGGGCTCTTGGGTTTTTTTTTTTTTTTTTTTTTTTTTTTTTGAGATGGAGTCTCGCTGTGTCGCCCAGGCGGGAGTGCAGTGGCGCAATATCTCAGCTCACTGCAACCTCCACCTCCCGGGTTCAAGCAATTCTCCTGCCTTGGCCTCCTGAGTATCTGTGATTACAGGCACCCGCCACCACACTCAGCTAATTTTTGTATTTTTAGTAGAGACGGGGGTTTCACCATGTTGGTCAGGCAGGTCTCAAACTCCTGAACTTGTGATTCGCCCACCTTGACCTCCCAAAGTGCTGGGATTATAGCAGTGAGCCACAGCGCCCGGCCGGCTCTTGGGTTTTGAGGGTGAGCAGCTGGGTGGGTGAAGCCTCGTTTACTGAAAGTCATGGTGGCAGAGAAGCAGATTGGGGTGGGGAGAAGACCAGTAGTTTAGCTCTACCATGTTAGGTCAAAGGTGACTGCAAGAATCCAAAAGGAGGGTCCAATGGTCAAAAAAGAGGCCTAGACCAGGAGTGGGAATTTTGGAGCCATCAGCCTGTAGATAGTGTTTAAAGCCCTAAGCATGAATGACCTCAGGCAAAGGGAGTTAGGGTGGTGGGGCTTAGCCAAGCAAGCATATTAGAATCACCTGGAGATCCCTCCAGGCCAGTGAATCATGGCCTCTGGGCTGTGGTTGGGCATCAGCATTTATTCCAAGCTCCCTGGATAATTCCAGTGAATCTAGGACTGCACTCATGGTCCCTGTGTTCCCCAGCATAGGGCCTTACATGTGGGCAGCATGACTTATAGCACATGTAAGTACCGTCCTGCTACACTGAATGGTACAGTTGTTGGTCAGGCGCTTTCCTTAAAGTAAACATTTTCCATACCCCAAATTCTGGCACATGGCCTGAGAGAATTTTTGAGCTGCTTCTGAGTGGAAGAGGCTGTGTAGAAAATACAGTTTGGATACAGAAACATTGAAAGGATGAGGATATTTTGCTAGCTCATGGGTAGAGTGGGGGCAGAGTATTTGAAACTGGGACAGGCACAGAAAAATCCAGAGCATAACTGAACACGGAGTTATGTTTCCTCTGATATCTTTGGTCAGCTTCTGATGGCCCCAGATAGAGGATGAGTTTCTTGAGCATGGAGGGGTGGACATGGAAGACATTACGGGACCCCTGGAGCTGTTTCACAGGGCAGGCACTTCGTAGGTGCTCAATATATCCTCCATTGACTGTGGATTGACTCGGAACCAGGAAAGGGGCAAGCCAGCTGATCAGAGCCTTCACACCCAAAGCTGGAGGGCACTACAAGAAGGAGCCTTCTCCAAACATCTTGAGTCTCCCCTGGTTTTCTCCCTGGCTCACCAAGCTCGAGATAGATATTGGGCTTTTGAAGTAGGTGGAGGGGTTAGCAAGGGGCCTCAAGGATTTTGTGGGCCAGGCACAGAGGGGATAGTTTGTCTCTGTTCCACCATGTCTGGGGTCTCTGCTAGGAAGACCTAAATGACTAGGGTGACATCTGAGAATCATCTGGAAGTGCCTTCACACTCATGTTTGGTGCCTGGACTGGGATGACTTGAAGGCTGGACTGGGCTGGGACTGTTGACTGGAGCATCTACACATGGTGTCTCCACATGGCTTGAGCTTCCTCATGGCATGGCCGCCTCAGAGTAGTCAGATATTTTACATGATGACTTGGGGCTCCAGGAGCAAGTGTTCCAACAAACAAGGAAGAATGTAAGATCCCTTATGACCTAGCCTCAGAAGTCACATAGGGTCACTTCCACACCCAGATTCCACTGGAGAGGACATGGAACCTGCCTCAAAGTCTTTTTTGTAAAGAGCTTCTTTGGGCCAGGCACGGTGGCTCATGCCTGTGATCCCAACACTTCAGGAGACCGAGGTGGCAGGATCTCTTGAAGCCAGGAGTTTGAGACCAGCCTGGGTGACATAGCGAGAACCCATCTCTACAAAAAATTTAAAAATCAGCCAGGTGCAGTGATGCGTGCTTGTGGTCCCAGCTACTTGGGACGCTGAGGTGAGAGGATTGCTTGAGCCCAGAAATTTGAGGTTGCAGTGAGCTAAGATTGTGTTACTACACTCCAGCCTGGGTGACAGAGTGAGACCCTATCTCAAAAAAAAAAAAAAAAAAGATGCCCTCTTAGCTCTCATTTTTCACTCCTTTCTAAGAGAGGTCAGACCAGGACTCCAGGAACAGATGCCATGTGACAAGACCCCAGGGCCTTTATCATCTTCTTGTCAAAATCACATGCCCTTGGGCATAGCACCTCATGAAACAGGGCCTTGGGAGTGAATGGGAGTGAGGGGGTCTACATGGGCTCAGCTGCAGCTGCCAGACCACAGCTTTGCAGAGGCGTATGTCCTTTGACACTGGTGAAATGCCACCAACGTGAAAGAACATATCCCACCTTTCCTGCTACCTACCTCTGGGGCAAGGTTTCCTTCCCTTGCACTTAGGCAACCCAAACCAGACATGGGGGGCCTGAGCACGGCCACTGCAGGCCCACAGGCATCCTTTGTGAAGAGCTAGGCAGGGGCCCAGGGTGGCATGATCAGGGCTTGGCCTCCTGTGGCTGGCTGCGCATGGCCAGCCCAGACCCGAACATTGGTGGTTACAGTTTCCAGGCCTCCTGGGAGAAAAGCCAGCAAGGCAAGTTCTCCCTCCCCCACACTGTGGTCCCCTGGAGGACTTCGGCCTGAAGGACAACTCCCCTGGCCAGGCCAGGCAGCCCAAGCTGACCCACTGACTGGCTGGGAGCCCAGCCCTCTCCCTCAGGGAGCCCCCATCCACTTCCTGGTATTGCTCTGTGTGAGTGTGCACGCGTGCGTGTGTGTGTGTTGGGGGACATTCTGTTTTTCAAGGACTTGGCTCTGTGCAGTGAAGGGATCTGTTGGAGAATGATGAGAGACCTGTGGGTCAGGGAACATACTCCCCTCTGCTTCCCAGTTCCTCCTCTCCTAGGGAGGGAACTCCCCATGAACAAGCATTCCTGCATCCTGAATGGTTGGAGCCTCATGGCTTTGTTCTCCACCCCTCCCCTGCCCAGACTCCCGAATGCCCTTTCTCAGGCTTCCCACAGCTGGCTTTGAAGAGTTATGGGGCTCCAGGAGGGGAGTTGAAATTCCGCACTCTCATCCTCAGCATCATCATTCCCTTCCACTGTGTTTGCTATTTCAGCCTCCATCCATCCGTTCAACAAGTGCTTACCAAAACTCCCACTGGGTACTAGGAAGAGAGAGAGAGAGGAGACAGAAAGAGAATGAACACTCAAACTCAGACCCTATCCTCAAGGTGCAGCAGAGAGGAAATCAACTTGGAATTAGAAGCCACATGACTGGAGAAATGCTGAGGCCAGGGCCCCCGGGTGCCTGCACGGTGCACTGGGTTCCAGGAAGGAAGGAGCAGCATTGGAACTGGGCCTCCAGGGATGGTTGGGATTTGGGTTAGGCAGATACGCAGGGAGAGGGAAAAGGATTGCAGGTGACAAGAGCAACATGAGCATGGGGCATTGTGGTGGTGGTGGTTGGGGGGATGGTCACCTGAAAGGGACACATTTGCTGTCAAGAGAATTTGTCCTGCCCCATTCATTGTTCCCTGTCTGAGCGTTATCTAGCAAAGGAGAAGAGGATCTGGTGAACTGAGTCACACCAGGCTGTTAGTGACCATCTTATTTCTCCCAGCAGGGCCTGTATTTAAGAAGAGGGCTGTGGCTGTGCAGGCTTTGGGGCAGGGCATCAGTTTGTGGTCCACATCAAGCATCTAGGTGTGAGGAATTGAGCCTCTGTCCCAGACTTGGGTGGAGAGGAAAAGGAAGGGAAATGTCTGAGCTCCAGGGCAGGGGCCTTCCCTCCCGAATCCACATCTCTTTTGGAGTTGGGGGAGTAAATGGGGTTTTCATCTCCTCTTTGCTGCTGGTCTCCCAGCTCCTTCCACTGCCAGGCCTGAGCCCGCTGTCCCCTCCCCACTGCTCCCTCACTGCCATTCTTCTTCCAGGACATCCTGTGACTTAACCAAAGGCATGAAAGCTACTGATGGAAGGCCGTTGCTCTGGCTCTCCAGGGGTGAGCTGGGGTCAGCCCATGCCCTGGGACTGGAGGGCTGTACAGCAGCCTGTGAGCCGCGTCACTGACTGTGATGGCAGGCAGGGTGGGCTGGGGTAGGGGAGCACGAAGCGGTCTGGTTCAGTACACTAGCTTGACCTGGAATCCGCATGAATCATCCACATTGGCCAGCTAGCCCATCCCCAGGGGACCCTGTAATTGTGCAACCAGCCTCTCCCCTCTACCCACCCTCCTTCTCTTGATAAAACCTGGCCAGAAACTCAGGCATAGAGAGAAAATGGATGCGGTGACAATTCCATGTGTTATTCAGAATTAACTAGGTGAATATCGCTGAGCTCCTCTTAGGTAGTAGGCATTGAACGATGCAGAGATCTCGGGGAAATGGGCCTTATCCTCAGGGACCCTGCAGCCCTCTGGTTCCAGTGTCAGCAGCCCTCACTAAATGTCAATGGATGCGCCCAGAAGAGGAGCTAGGACTTCATAGGACGAGACAGGTTCTCTAGCGCCTCGCCTCGTTTACAAAGCAAATGGTTGAACCACTCCCTGCCCTGAAGTGCTGCACTTGCCTCAAGGCCTAGTGAAGGGCTGGGGGCTGGCTTGGGCCCTGCATGCATCCTTTTCCTGTATACCCCCCAATTTAACATCTAAGACCCCTTGCTGCCTGGCCCCAGGCTTGTCTTCCTCCCTGATCTCCAGACCCCCTTGTTCCAGGAACAACAGACCCCTTGCTCTTTCGCTCACATCCCCTCCCTCATACATCCTCTCTCCCCTCCTGTTCTCCCATCCTTCCATCACAAAGCCCCTCCTCCAGCATCCTGCGCGTTTAAATTTGTAGAAACCTAGTCCCAGACTAGATCCTATGTCTGCTTCTATACCTGAGTATATGTTACTCCCAAGGCATTGATGTGTTGATTTCACTTATTAAAATGGCTTCTCACCTTGCAGAGTAGGGTACTCTGAGGCCCAGTCAAATAATTTCTGTTTCTGTGAGGCAGGTTTGGGAGGCCAATAGGGCATCAGGCCAGTCCAGAATATTCACATAGAGAAACAGAGCATCAGCGTGGAAATGAACCTTAGACACTTCACTGTCCCTTGACTCCCACTCACAAAGATGTGAACTAACACCCAGAACTGATGGCAGGTAGCACCTTCCATTCCACACCCTCGACGCAGCCAAGGAAAGAATCCCAGGGGGAAAATGAAAGAAGTACTCTGTACAAAGCTTTGTTTGTGTTAGCAAAACAATTGGGAAACATTTCACGTACTGAACAACAGCTAAGCTAATCCAACCTCAGTTCATCAACATGAGAAAATGCGCCCCACCACTGAGCCACTGAGCATGACTCGTGGGAACCAGTTCTCTATATGTACACGCATGTTGGAGATGATGGAAAAGAAGAATGCAGAGTCTGGAGTAACACGCTCCATGATTCTCTTGTTCCATTGTATCCATTTGTATTTATTTTTAAAAAATAACAGTGTCTATTTCAGATTGTAAAAATGATACATGTTCATTCTGGAAAATTTGAAAAATCAGAAAAGTGTAAAGATGAAATTTTGAAATCATACTTTGCCCTACCCTCCCAAGGTACCACCCTTTGCATTGGGTGTTTTCCTTTCACTTGTTTGTTTGTTTTTTTTCCCCTATGACTGTATATGACAATTTCCTACCTTTTGCCTTTGATATTACAACATGGCATCAGGAGCGTTTCCCCATTGTATTATTTATACCATATTTTACTGATTGTAATATTTCAAATTTTTTTTATCTCTGTTTGGATATATCTTCAACTGAAAGCATGTCATAGTTAATTACTACATCTTTTTCCTAGATGGATGTAAAATAATGGTCAGTTCTACAATTGATTGAATTAGATTTATTAAGATATGGAATGTGCTTCAAAGTATGATTTTTATGCCTATATAATAGTTTATTTTATGAACATAAACATATTTTATTAGCCTCTTATGTTAGACATTTAGGTTTTTCCAATTTTCCACTTTTTTTCTTTTTTTTTTTTTTGAGACAAGATCTTACTCTGTCACCCAGGCTGGTGTGCAGTGGCATGATCTCAGCTCACTGCAGCCTCAACCTCCCAGGCTCAAGTGATCCTCCCACCTCAGCCTCCCAAGTAGCTGGGACTAGAGGTGTGCACCACCATGCTGGCTAATTTTTGTATTTTTCATAGAGACTGGGTCTTGCTATGTTGCCCAGACTGGTCTCAAACTCCTGGGCTCAAGCCATCCACCCACCTCCACTGCCCAAAGTGCAGAGGCTATAGGCAGGAGCCACTGCACCCGGCCTCAACTTTCTACTTTCAAGAAGCATCCCTGAACGAGAAATGTGTCCACACTGCTCATTGTTTATCGGAGTAGATTCCCAGGAATAGATAAAATGAGACAAAACAAATGAGGATCTTAGAAGCTCTGGATGCAGATGCATGTACACATTGAAAGGGTCTAAAAGTAAATATGTGAATATGGAAGGATAAAGATGGGCACTATACTTATTAAGCTCTTATTTTCTGTGGCATTCTTTGTGTATAGGCTTTGAAATGATGATCGTAAGGACAAATCAGTAGTGAATGACTGCATTTATGTGTGAGAGGAGGTGTGCGTGAGAAGGGGCAGAGAAAGGAGAGACAGAGAAAAGGAGAATGAGAAATGTCCAACACTGCAGAGGAGTCCTGGAATACTGGAATGGGTGATGTGGAAGTGAGTGCTCTGAGGTCTGGGGTAGAGCAGGAAAACTGAGAGCTGTTGGGTTGACAGGAGGTTGTTTGGTAAGATTTTTCATACCCTTGAGTTCCAGGGAGATGGCTGTTCAGCAGTTGGAGCACAAAGTCTAGAAAGAGCACTGAACTGGATGGGGCCAGGCAATCTGAGTTCACACCTTGGTCTGCTGATGATAACTTGCTCTCTAACTGACCATGAGCTCGTGACTTCACATGAAGAAACTCATGATCCTCACGCCGCAGTCTCCTCCTCTGCAAATGAGGGAATGGGGCAGGAAGATCTTTAGGATTCCACCAGCTCTGCAAATCTGTAGCTTGGGAGTTCCCAGCAGTTGGGGAGAGAAAGGTGACAGTATCTGGTTTGTAACTGACCCCAGCTCCCTTGCTCCTTGTGGCTCATTTTTCCTTAGGGCCTGGAACAACTTTCTGGAGTTCCTTTCCCAGGTCCAGGACATCAGAGCCATTCACTCCTATGGGACTGCACAGGGAATCAGTACAGCCAGGTTCAGGATGACATGGGACTCCCCTCTCTCACTTCACCAAAACTCCTGATGGCCCTTCAGAGAAACCTGCTGCTTTCTGTCTTTCTGGAGAGGTCCAGAAGAGGCATGTAATGGAAGCAGCCTTTAGTCTTACATCCAGCTTACACCCAGTTGGCCAACACTTTATCGCATGACCACATACTAGGTTGCAAAGGCACCTGGGAAATGTAGTTTTTTTCCTGATAAAAACTGAGACTATTACTATGAGAGAGAATAGAAGAACAGAATCCAGAATAGAAGAACGGGAAATGAGCAATTTCTGCAAAAAACAAATCTTCAAACCCAGAGCTTCAGGGCTTCAAAAATCCGTGTGATGGTAGAAGCGGCATATTAAAATGGCTTATCAAATTAGGGTTCATCAAAATAGATTGAACCTGACTTCTTCCCCATTTCAACCCTCTCAGAACTTCCCTTCTTTCTCTCTATGTGGCAAAGCTTGAAGGACCAGTCTTCAGTCCCCTGGTGGCTGGCAAGGTTCTCCCTGAAGGATTGAGAACAGATTTGGAATTGCAAGCACTTCCTTGGCTTGTTAAGAACCAATGACGCACAATGCCATGGACTTTTATTTTAATATACAACCAGAAGCTGCTTACAGATATCCTCCTGAATTAAACAGGGGTTATCAAACCATTGCATTTGTAAACCTAAATTAGCACATCGCTAAGAGTTTTTCAGGGCCTTGAAATCAATATTCTACTAAGAGGTCTGGCATCTTTGCAGTCCTTGGCAAAGCTCCTACTGTGTATACCTGTATAGATGGCTGAAACTCCTGAAAGTCTTAGTAAGAACACTTTGTTCTCATTGTCATCTTGACTTAGCTCCAGTGTCCAACTGCTGCTATTTTTGCTTTTCAATTATAAATTGCTGTGAGTTTAGCTTCCTTATTATAGATTTAGTTTGTTGTGGGTTGTTCAGTTAGCCACCAGTGTGTGGTACCTATCTGTATATTTGAAGCCCATAATTTTTCAATCATCACCGTGCCTTAAAGGTGTCATCAGTGGACCACCTGCATTGGAATCTCTTGGGTGCTTGTTAAAATGCGGATTCTTGGGTTCTCACACAGACCTCCCGAATCAGAATCTCTGGGAGTGGTCCCTAGAATATATGTCTCTGTGCCAGGGAGAACCTGTGAACACATCTTAATGTGTTATCAGGGTGGTTCAGAAACAAATCATCCAGATCTTTATTGTTAAATGAGTTACATGTAAGTCCCCAATTCTGCTTCTATAGAGATAGTTGCAAGTGGATTTGTTCTATTTAAATATATTGCAAAAGGAAGGTGCCGTATTATCACATAAAATTGTGCATCGCTTCTTTTACGAAGTACCTGGGAGGTGATTCATAATGTCCCTCTCTTATTCTTCTTTATTGTTTTCCCTCTAATGCATGAGTTTGGGTAGATGAGGAGCCTCCGGGCCAGCCAAGATTAGAAACCACCATTAAGACACAAAGGAGCATACCAGACCCTGCCAAGTCAGTAACTTGCTGGAGAAACTATTTTAAAGAAAAGACATGGGGACTAAGACAAGGAGAGCTCCTGAATGACTTTAGAGGGTCATGAGAGGAAAGCCCCGGAGCCCTCACGGTCAAGGATGTGTCTGGAGGCTGTGCTGGAAAGTGCCTGGGAGGATTTCAGGACTCCCGGGAGCCCTCTGGGGAAGCGGCTTCCTTTCCGTTCCTGCCTTGTGTGCTGGGGGAGGGGCTGGTTCCAGGGCTGCAGCGGGCCCTTTATCCGCTCCTCTCAGCTCTGACTGGAGCGCTTTGTGTCCTGACTGTGCCCCTCACAGCCTCTTAGTGACGGGCCTGTTGTCCAAGATGGTCCCGAGGCTGGTCCGGGCCTGCGCCCATGTATTATGCAGCAGCAGCTGGGACAAAGCTCCTGTGTGTGGAAGTCGGGTGGGGTGGGGGCTTGCTCCCCACAGAGTCCTGTTTACCAGGCACTGGGATGTGAGAGGGTGGGATGGTGGGGATGCTGTGTACAGGAGCTGGGCTTCTCAATGCTGCCTCTGAGAGGAGAGAGGTGAGGGCATTGTGGGTGCCACAGCAGGCTTTCCTGGCTGAAGCAGGAGTAATGGCTTAGTTCAGGTTCAGGACAGCCAGAGAAATGATCCTCCACCTCCCAGGGCTCCTAGGCCGGCTCAGGATGCACTGCTTGGTCATTAACTGGGTCTCTCTGACTAACCGTGACCCCAGTTAGTTAGTAATTCCCTAGGGCACCCATGAGACAGGACTAATGTCATCCTTTCTAATCAAAGTGGACAGAGAATCAGTCATTTTCCCTGGACCAGGACTCTTGAGGGGTGCTGCCAGGTCTTGCTCCTCTCTGTGTAACCCGGGGGGCCTGGTGTAGGGCAATCACACAGTGGATGTTTGTGAGATGCAAAAGGGTTTTCAAATATTTGTGATGTTTCCATTCCTGAGCCATTGGCTGTGGCTTAGGCTTAGATGAGAAGCAGAAGTGCTATGGTTGAAAAATGTTTGTGTTCTTCCAAAATCCATGTTGAAATCTTAACCCCTAAAGTTATTAAGAGGTGGAGCCCTTGGGGTGATTGGTCATTAACCAGTCACCTTTATGATAAATCATGAAGATTAAGGCCTCATGAATGGGATTAGTTCACTTATAAAAGAGACCCCTGAGAGGCCCTTGTGTCTTCCACCATGTGAGGATGCAGCTAGAAGGCCCATCAGTGAATCAGAAAGTGGGCCATCACCAGACACCAAATCCGTCAGTGCCCTGGTCTTGGACTTCCCAACCTCCAGAGCCATGAGAAATAAATTTATGTTGTTCATAAGCCACTCAGTTTATGGTATTTTGCTACAGAAGCCTGAAAGGACTGAGACAAGAAAGAAGATCATAGCCTTCCTTCCTAGATGCTTACTGCTTGATAGAGACATAAACTTTGCCCAGATGAGCAGGGTGGAGGAGGCTGCCGTTTATAGAACACCTACTGTGCGCCAGACCTGCTGGGTGGTTTACATGCAGCGGCTCGCTCCCTCCTCCCAGCAACCCTGTCCAACATGAAGCCTTTTCTCTGTTCTGTGATGGAAGAACCCAGCTCAGACTGGTTAAGTAATTGCCCAAGGACTGACTCTACGGCCTGTGCTTTTGTAGTAAACAGTATAATGATGGGCATAATTGGGTTGCTGTCGGGGATATGGCTAATCAGAATTATCACTGGAGCCTTCTCATAATAATACCCCTGCCTCTTCCCCATCACCTCAGATGCACTTATTCGGGGGAAAAAGGGTTAAGAATCTTGGGCAGGAAATGTATAGCTTTAAAAAGCTCTCTGGTCATCCTAGTTTCTTCTCAGAAAAGTATTTAGCATTATTTTTAGTCTTATTTATAGATTTTGGAACTTTACTATGACTCCAACAGAAGGGGAAGGTCTTGCTCAAGGTCACCCAGCCCCCACCAAGGTCTCTTGCTGCCCGGCCTGCTGGCTTTACTGCCATGCTCCACTCCCTTAAAAGCAGGCAGCTGCCCTGGATCCAGATTCAAACCGCCTGCTGGGTGCCGTGGGCCATTGTGCAAGTCTTCCAGGCCGCGGTCGAATGATTCTGACAAGCGGTGAGTACGGCTGTGTCAGCGCGTGGGCCCCAGCGCAAGCAGGCAATCCCATGTCATCTGCGAGATCTCCCATGGGCGAGGGCTAGCGTTATCAAGGGCCCCGAGAGCTGGGTCTTGCCTCTTGGGTGCACGTGGTCTCATGGGGGAGACAGACAGGTGTGTGCAGAGGATGGCACAGTGTGCCAAACTGGATTTGGTTCTGGAACCAAACACACACAGCCAGATTAATTCCAACTGCATGGATCTGAGAAGCCTTGCAGAATTGGAGTTTTGTTTTATTTGGAAGACATGCCTGAGGATAAAACAAAGGGTTTCAAAGGAAGAAGGGAAAGGAAGGAACTAAAGTTTACAAACACTAGGTATTTAACTTGCCTTGTCTCATTGAATTTTCCCAAGAACCAGGTATATGGAGAGTAGTAACCCTGGTTACCAGATGAGGAAGCAGGGCTCTGAGGGGTCAAAAAAATGGTCCAGGTGTTGTTGGGACTGAGACAGAGCCAGGTCTGTCAGCCTTCAAGCCCGTGCTTTCCAACAACATTGGCTTTCGTGGGCTCCAGGGAATGGGATGAGTCATATCCTGACACTGGTGGCTGTGGGGAGTGGGGGCTGGGGATGGGTGGGAAGCCAGAGGCAATGAGGAGGAGACAGGTGCATCAGCCACTGTGGCCTGTGGCCTCTTGTCTCTGCAGATCTTGGAGCTAGGCTCACACCACTTTTCACTCTTCTGTGTTTTTCAAGCACTTTTCTGTTTAATGTATCCTTTGTCCTCCCTTCACTGGTAGTCTGGGAACCAAAGGACTTGGTTCTAGTCCCAGTTGTGCTACTCACCAGCTGTGTGACCTTGAGCAGGTCACTTGCCCATACTGGACCTCCACATTCCCACCTATAAAATGAAGGGTAGTGTGCGTGTGTGTATGTGTGTGTCTGTGACTATATATGTGTGGTTGGGTGTGTGTGTGTATGCACATGTTCATTCTCAGCAAACTCAGTGTGAATAGTAGGACCAGATAAACTCTAGGTCTTTCCTTGCTGTGTTCTCTCCCTTTTGGGTGGGCAATGCTGGCATCATCACTCTCATTTTATAGAAGATGAAAGTGGAGTCTTAAGAGGGAGTCCTGGGTAAGCAGGGACTAAGCCATACTATGCTCTTCCACTCACTTCTAACAACCTCAACTTGAAATCCCCAGTGGGTGGTTGTCGTCCCAGTGGGTGAGCCCTGTGCCTGAATGGGGCCCTTAGAGATTGTGGCTGAATGTGGGGGTTTGCATTTGAATCTTAGGCTACTGGAATGCCCTAGTAACATGCCATTCTGGATTACTAGATTTTTCAATTCACTTCAGTAAATATTTATTGAGCATCTACTATGTCCCAAGCTTCCTACTAAGTGCTGGGGACAGAGTTGAACAGAGTCAGTACCTGCCCTCCAGGAACCCAGTTAGTGCTGTGGCTTTCAGACTTTTTTGCTATAGTTGCTAGTGAGAAAAATCATTTTGTTGTGACCCAATACACACACATGCATACACACACACACACACAAATACATGTTATATATACAAAACAAAACCAAAGGTCATGATATGCACTCTATTTTCTAGTCTTTTCTACTCTGCTTCATTTTTTTTAAATACTGGTAGCAGCCTACCACTTTGATTTCATAACCTACTAGTAGGAGGTGACCCTCCAGTGTGAGAAACATGGGTTGAGCGTTGCATATATTACACATGTTGTATTACATGTAAATCATGTGCTATGGAAAAGGAGCAAAAAAATGAATTAATTTGGGAAAATCACAGAAGGCTCCCAGTTCAAGTGGCACTTGAGCTGAGTCCAGATGTGTGAAAAGATTTGAGTAAACAGGAAAAGGGGAAAGGCAGCCAGATGGAAGCAACAGTGTGATCAAAGGCTGGGAGGCGTGAGTGCGCAGCTGAGGAGATAGCACTGATGTGCCTGGCACATGAGCAGTGCTCTTCCTGGGTTATCACACTTGGTTCTCAATAATCCTATAGGACAGGGACTTTTTAGCATATTTGCTGCCGAGGCGAGCACAAGGCAGGGACTTTTTATCTCTTCATGTTGCAAAAGAGGAAAATGGGACTCAGAGAAGTTATGTAACTTGCCCAAGGTCACATGGCTACTAAGTGGTAGAGCCAGGATTTGAATTCAGGCAGTTACATTGTGATCTAAATATGAGGTTCCTAGACATGTGCCCCTAAAAATACTTTGAGCTAGTTCAAGGGGATGTTCGAATACAAGCCTGAAAATTTAAAATTTCATTCTGTAGGGAAGAGGAAAACATTTTGCGATTTTGAGAAAGGGAAGTGACGTGATCAAAAATTTATCTAGGAGAGGATCACAGTGGCATCAGCATAGAAGATGGGCTCAAGGAGAGGCAAGGATACTTGTCAGAAGATGGTAACAGCATCTCCCTAGTCAGGTCAGCAGCCCCAGATACAATTACATCATATTTATCTTTGGGATGCAGTTGAGGATATTGCTCATATATCACATACTGATAGGAATGAAAGGAGAATGAATCATGTTTTCCTTTTTACTTTGACTGCTAGGAAGCCCAGAGCCCCAATCTGTGTTACTCTTCCAGGGAGCATTCAAGAGCTATTAGCCTTTTATATATTCATTTTGCCTTGCCTTAGATCACCTACCCTCACTTTCCTTTAGCCTGAATTTTATCACTTAGATTTTCATCCTGCTGCAATGTATGCATTTTAGTATGATGCCTTAGAGAAGGATGTAAATAAAATACAAATAAAACACACTGAAGCAATTGGAGAGCATTTTTTGTGTGTGCAAGATTGAAAGGTCTTAGAGGGCTGGACTGTCTTATCATCCCCTGGGGCTTCTGTCGTGGTGCTGGTGCCAGGTGCGTGCATCACATGGATGTAAACCTTGGACTGTTGGAGCTGGAAATGTTCCAAATGGCTCTCTCTCCCTCTGCTTCTCAAAAATGGACATAGACTACCAGTAGTACACAAGATAGTCCCAGCAGGGCCTGAATAAACATGGTTGGGTGTAATTGTAAATGCTGGGTGTAAATGTGTGTGTGTGTGTATATATATATGTACACATACATATGTGTACCCATACATATATGTACATGTACATATATATGAGTGCGTGCATGCGTGTGTGTGTGTGCACGTGTTCATTCTCAGCAAACTCAGTGTGAATAGTAGGACCAGATAAACTCTAGGTCTTTCCTTGCTGTGTTCTCTCCTTTTTGGGTGGACAATGCTGGCATCGTCACTCTCATTTTATAGAAGATGAAAGTGGAGTCATGTTTTTTTTATTTTTTATTTTGAGACAGAGTCTCACTCTGTCTCCCAGGCTGGAGTACAGTGGCACAGTCTTGACTCACTGCAGCCTTTGCTTCCCGGGTTCAAGCAACTCTCCTGCCTCAGCCTCCTGAGTAGCTGGGATTACAGGCGCACGCCACAACACCTGGCTAATTTTTATATTTTTAGTAGAGACGGGGTTTCACCATGTTGGCCAGGCTGGTCTCGAACTCTTGACCTCAGATGATCCACCCGCCTTGGCCTCCCAAAGTGCTGGGATTACAGGTGTGAGCCACCATGCCCGGCCTAATTGTCGTATATTTATTTAATGTGTTTTAGGAAAAAAGGTAGCTAGGACATCAAACTGTGATGTCATGGCTTAAATTGCTTAGAATGATGTTTGTACAGATATTTAAATGTTAGAAAGAGCCAATTTAAAGAAAATTTTTAAATAAACATGGTTCGGGTGATTTGTAGAAATGGCAAGAACATGTTGGCAGTGATACACAAATTATGAAGTTTGGAAAACACTGATTCCATTCAACCTCTTGTTTGACAAATGACTAAACTGAGGCCCAGAAAGGACAGAACACTTGTCCATGAGTCTGATAAGTTATTTTAAGCCACAGGAGTAAAGAGGGTCTTCCCCTTCCAACCTCATTCAAAAGTCTGCGTTTAGGGAACACCTGGTCCCGCATCTTGCTTTTGAATCAGTTTTATATTTCCAAAGTGCCTTCTCTGTTTTATTCTCTCATTCCTTTTTTTAATCTGAGTCTTATCAAGCAGCTATAGTAGGGTAATTATTTCTTTGTTTTGCAGATAAATAAACTGAGGCCCAGAGAGGGAGTGTGCCTGCCGTCACTCAGCCACTCACTCAGCCAGCTGAGGCAGGACCAGGGCTAGAAGGTTTCTAGGCCTTCCCACTGTGCGTGTCAGGCAGGGTTGGGCGGGGAGCCAGTTTCTCTGATGAAATCCCCCAACAAAGGGTAGAAAGTCTGCTGGGGTAAATGCAAGGCAGTCTGCTGGCCGAGCTCCACTTGGGAGCACAGCGAGCGGTACAGGGCCTATTATATGCTGCTCCGCTTCCGGGAAGCTATTACTTTCTGAAGGAGCCACAGATGTTCTCCTCGCCTGCTGATTAACGGGTGTGTTACTCAGCTTGGAGTGGACGGATGAGATCGGCAGTGAATATTCTCAACTGTGTGACCACCATAAACCCTGCCAGTGCAGGTGTAGGGACCCTCAAGGCCATAAGCAATGTAGCCACAGCGTCTAATGAGCAATTGAGCATCTTGGAGGTGCCAGGACCTGTGCTCATGGCTGGAATGGAGGCACAGACAAATCACACACTGCCTCCAGCCCCATGGGACTCAGTCTGCTAGGGGAAGCAGACACATAAACAGTTAGCTGGAGAACAACGCAGTGCGTGCCAGCATGGAGACCTGGAGCAAGCACGATGCAGGGAGTGCTGAGTTCTTTCTCAGGGACCAGAGAGGCTTCGCAGCGCTGGAGACATTTGAACTGTACTCGTACTATTGAATAGGGTTTGGCAGGAGGAGATGAGGAGGAGGCATTCCTGAAAGGGGACCTGCCCAGGGTTCCACACTGGCCTGAACTGGAGACCAGCACATGTGCACCTGGGATGGGAATGAACTGTGGCTCTGTCTTCATAACTCTGCCTTTCCAGATGGGTTGGTTACCAGAGCCTTGTGAGAAGAGATTGGCCTTGCTTTGGTTTGGTTGTTGGTTTGTGTTAGGGAAGCAATGTGACTTAAGAGGACAAGCTTTGGGATAATACAGACCTGGGTTCAAAGCTCAGTTCAGCTCCTTGACAGTCACGTGACATTGGGCAAGTTTCACTTCTTTTTTTTTTTTTTTTTGAGACAGGGTCTCCTAGGCTGGAGGACAGTGGTGCAATCATGGGTCACTACAGCTTTGACCTCCCAGGTTCAAGTGATCCTCCCACCTCAGCCTCCCAAGGAGCTGGGACTATAGGCACATGCCACCATGCCTGGCTAATTTTTCTGATTTTCTTATTATTTGTAGAGATAGGTTCTCACTATGTTGCCCAGGCTGGTATCAAACTCCTGGGCTCAAGTGATCCTCCCACCCCTAAGTGATCTCCCGATCCAAAGTGCTGGGATTATAAATGTGAGCCACTATTTGACCTTCTGAGTCTTGGTTTTCCATCTTTAAAATGGGGATAATCTCTTTTGCTTAGGAGTGAGAATTAAATGAGACGAAGTTGGAGAAGGACTTAACCCATAGCCAGGTTTGTAGTGGGTGCTCGGTACATTCACGACAATTGTGGCAATGCTGCTGGGTGAGTGACTGCATGTGAAAATGGAGTGTGTGGGGGCATGGGCATGTTTTGAGACTGCCCAGCTGGGTGGACTGTGTGACTGCAGTGTGAGGATGTGAGGGTTGGTTGTACATTCCCTTGAGCGTGAGCTGACTGGGGAAGACATGCCTGATGCTGTTGAAGGCCATGGGGATTTGGTATGGGGTGAGCTAGCCTATAATTCACTCTGAGTTGGAAAGGATTCTCCAGTGTCATTCAGTTCGACCTGAACCTGCTATATGAGTCCCATCCTTGACATCTGTGCTAAGTGACCTCCAGTTTCTTTAATTGCCTTCAGCAATGGGGAACTCACCACCTCCCAACACAGCAAATCCTATCGTTGGACCTCACCGACTACTCATTAGAAACAGAAGCAGCTCAGCCCTATGGAGCACCTTCAGAGTCACAAGATTCACCCCCACACCCCATTCATTCATTCATAGATATTTGCTGAGCACCCTTACTACCAGATACTATTCTGAATCCTGGGGATGCAGCAGAGGACCAAGGCAGACACAGGCTCTGTCCTCTCAGAGTTTACAGTTTTGTTGACCTTAACTCACAACACCCCTGTGAGGCAGGCAGAAGAGATTAGAATGATTCTCATTGAACAGACTGGGAAACAGGCTGGTGGTGGTGATGGTGATGGCTGATATTTATAGATACTTAGCACGTGTCTGGTGCTTTGTATACTTTAGGGAATCTAATCTTCATGTCAGCCCTAGGAGGTAAACCCCATTAATATCACCCCTCTTTTAAAGATGAGAAGCATAGCTGGGTGTGGTGGTGGGCACCTGTAATCTCAGCTACTCTGGAGACTGAGGCAGGAGAATCACTTGAACCTGGGAGGCAGAGGTTGCAGTGAGCCGAGATCACGCTACTGCACTCCAGCCTGGACAACAAAGTGAGACTCTGTCTCAATTAAAAGAAAATAAAATTTAAATTAAAAAAAGATGAGGAAGCAGAGAAGTGATATTGTTTGCTTAGGGTCACACAGCGAGGAACCGGCCCGGCTCTTTTAAGCCCGGGCCCATGCTGCCTCTTGAATCAAGTCATTGAGACTCGCCAGAGCAATAGAGCAGGGGCCTTGACTGAAGCTGCTGGATGCAGACCCTGGGTGCTTTGCACCACCATTGGAAGGTCATGTGGGAGCCCTGGCAGTGTCCATGCATGTGGAAGCCTGACGTGAGTGACAGCCAGTCTGGCCCACCCACAGCTGTGTTTACACCACCTCCTCACCCCCACCCCACCCCATCCCATCCCAAAGAGCCAGAAGTGAGTGAGGTCAGCCTCTCCCGCCCTGCATGTAAACAGAGGCTGGAGGACCAGGAGTCATCTCAGGGCAGTGCGGTTGACTCCTGGTGGGAGAAGCCAAGGGCAGCTTCAGGTTCCTTTGCTCCAGAAATCCTGTTGGGCGTCTCCATCCCAGCATCCAGGAGCCTGTTGCTCCCAGGAGCAGCAGCAGCGGGTGGGAGGGCAGGCAGGGCTGGGTGAGGATTACCGCATGCTGGATCACGGCTGCTGGGTAATCCCCGTTTGTGCCACTTGCAAAGCATGAGGTTGGAGGCGGGTGTGTTTGAGCAGCCCCAGCCCCTCCATTGTCGACACCACGGATTACAGCAGCTTCTCTCTGCAGCTGAGCGTGGGTCGCACAGACTCCTTGACTGCTGTGTTGGGAAGATGCCCTTTCTAATTCCTCCTGCTCTCTGCCCAGCCCTCCTCAGCTCAACCTCCAACAAGAAGGAGGATTTTCAGCCCTAGAGACTGGGTGATGGAAAGAGACTTGAGACAGACTTAAAGGACTGGGGTGGCGGGTCCTGCTGTCTTGAGCAGGTGACCTAACCTGTAATTCTGTCTCCTCATCCCATAAATGAGGATAAAAAATAAAGCCAGCTGCCCAGCTTAAGTCAGGTAATCCATGTCAGGGTGCTCTGTAAACTAGAGGCACCACTCTACCAATGTCGGCTATTAGAATCAGCCATGGCACAAGACTTGCAGTGGTGTGAGACTGCAGTCCCAGCTGCTCGGGAGGCTGAGGCAGGAGGATCCCTTGTGCCCAGGGAGTTTGAGGCTGCAGTAAGCTATGATCACCACTGTACTCCAGCCTGGGCAGCAGTGAGACCATGTCTCTAAAACCAATGACAACAACAAAAATGATATTAGAATCAACAGTGAGCACGACTACCAACACAAATAACAATCGTGATCAGCACCACATGAGTCTGTGAAAGGTACTGTTCACAGTGTTTCCTCCAGCCTGGAACTGATATTAGGAACTACCGTCCCTTGGGCCTAAAACTAATATATGATGTATTAGTTGTGCATTCAAATCACCTTGGGGGCTTTTTAAACATCAGACCCAAGAGTTCCTGGGGTCCATGCCCAGAGATTATAATTCACTAGATCTGGGGTGGGGCTGGGCATCTCTGTTTTTTTTTTTCTTTTCTTTTCTTTTTATTTTCTTTGAGATAGAGTCTCGCTCTGTCACCCAGGCTGGAGTGCAATGGCATGATCTCGGCTCACTGCAACCTCCATCTCCTGATTCTCTTGCCTCAGCCTCCTGAGTAGCTGGGATTACGGGTGCCTACCACCACGCCCAGCAAATTTTTGTATTTTCAGTAAAGATAGGGTTTTGCCATGTTGGCCAGGCTGGTCTCGAACTCCTGACCTCATGATACACCCACCTTGGCCTCCCAAAGTGCTGAGATTACAGGCATGAGCCACTGCACCCAGCCATGTCTCTGTTTTTAACTCCAGTGCTAGTGGTCGAAGACCACTCCTGCCCAGAGTCAAGGACACTGCAGGACAAGTGACTGTATGCCCAGGGTCCCTTCCTCTGCACCACACTCGGCTGTTCCTGAGCCTCCTTGCAATGGGCGGTCCGAGCATGCCGCTGTATGCTGGAAGGACCCCGTCTTCTCAGGTGCCACGCAGGGTTTAGGAATCTCTAAACTTGAAGCTTTTCCACAGTTTATTTTATGCAACTTTCTCTATCTAGAATGGAGACAAACGTGTCTTCAGCTAATTTTTTTTTTTAACTCGGGTTCTTCGAGGTATAATTTACATGCATTAAAAAAACATCTTTTTTAGTGTCCACTTCTATGCATTTCACAAATGCAAACAATCGTGTAACCACCATCACTATCATGATACAGAACATCTCCACTGCCTCCTGAAATTCCCTCCTGTCCCTTTGTGGTCAGGCCCTCCTCCCACCCCCAGGCCTTGCCAGCATTCATCCGTGTTCCATCTGTAGAAGTTGTTTTTTTCCAGAATATTATATCAATGGAATCATTGGGTATGCAGCCTTTGAGCCTGCTTGTGCACTCCGTTACAGGTTTTTTTCTTGTTTGTTGTTTCTTGTTTTGGGTTTTTTTGAGACAGGGTCTTGCTTTGTCTCCCAGGCTAGAGTGCAGTGGTATGAACACGGCTCACTGCAGCTTCCAACTCCTGGGCTCAAGCAATCCTCCCACCTCAGCACCCCAAGTAGCTAGGACTACAGGTGCACACCACCACACCCAGCTAACTTTTGTATTTTTTGTAGAGACGGGGTTTCACCATGTTGCCCAGGCTGGTCTCAAACTCCTGAGCTCAAGCAATCTGCCCCCCTTGGCCTCCCAAAATGCTGGGATTACAGGCATGAGCCACCACACCCAGCCCAGCTTTACTGTATTTGAGAGTCATCCGTGGTGTTGTGGGTATCAGTAGTTTGCTCCTTTTATTGCTGAGTTTGTGTTCCATCCTGTGGATGTGCCACAGCTTTTCTTCCTGGGGTAATTTAATTGTTTCTAGCTTTCATCCAGAAATGCTGTCTAGCAAGAAATGCAATTTGTTTGATTCATATGTAAATCTTTCTGCACGGGCTGCTTCAAAAGTCAAAAAGACTCACTCTTCAGCAATTTTTTAAAAATGTTCCTACTGCGTGCTGCTGTGAGGGCACACAGTTCCAGTGCTTACAGGGCTCAGATGAGAACCATAACGCAGGAGGGGGCTTGAGTGTAATTGGAGCATCCCCCTCCCCTCCTGAAGGGGCTACAGTGGGAATGTGGGTGCATAGTAGTTTCTGATTTTTGATTTTTGAAAAATCAAAGAAGTCTAGGTTTTTCTTAAAGATCCTGACTTTTAAAAAATGTTGGCAACTAATTTAGAACATGCTTAATCACTGTGCTGGCTGCTAGCTGCTGGCTAGATTGAGTCCTGTCTCACGACCTGTGGCTTATGTGGTCCTGAGTGCTAGAGATTCAGACAGGTGTTCTCCCCTGGGCCCTTTGAGGACAAGTGATGTGGACAGAAGGGAGAAGCCAGGGGCTTGGCTGACACAGATGCGGGACTCCCAGCCTTTGAGTGAGGGGAGGAGGAAGCAAGAGACTCAGAGTCTTCCCGGGAATCACTGCTTCTAGAGCAGTGGCTTTTCATTCTCACTGTGGGGAGCTCAAGAATACAGAGGCTCAGGCCCCATCATCAAGTCCATTTCGTTGGCTGGGGAGAGACCCAGGTGTCAGTACTTATGAAAAAACGTCTCCACAGGTGAAGTTAAGCAGCAAGGGCTGAGAACCGCTGCTCCAGAGAGGCCAGGAGGTCTGGTCAGAGGCTGGGGCCCCAGCCCCCAGGCACCTCTCTGTGTCAGTTTCCCTGGAGAAGTCATGAGTTTGAAGAGTAGGCAGAGGCCAGGTGTCATCACTGAGTCACTCATCAATGGCCAATGAGAGTGCAAAGGGTAGCTCTGAGCACAGGATGTGTAGCAAGACTCCTGGGTTCAGCTCCCAGTCCCACCACTGCCAAGTGGGGATCCTTAGCAAGGTACTTACCTTTTTTCTGCCTCTGTTTCTACGCCTGCAAAATGGGCACAATAATGTCAGATTCATGAGGATAATGAGGACTAAATTAGTTAATTCCTATAAGCTGCTTCTAAACGTATTACTTATAAAATTTCATTTTTACTTGTTTATTTGTTTTACTTTATGTCTGTGTATTCATTATTGTATGATTTTGTGCTGGTCTCGTATGAGGGATTCAGAAATGACTAAGACATCATCCCAACCATCAAGGAGTTTGGAGTTAGACCCGAACACAGGAAAAGCAATGCACCAGGGCAGGGCAACTTGCCCTCAGTGCCTGAGAGTGGTTTATGGACCTTCAAGTGCAGGTGGGTCCCCAGGAAGAAAGAGTGTGTTGGTGGGGGGTGGTCAGGGAAGGTGTGTGTTGGGAGAGAGATGAGTAAAATTCCAGGATGCAGAGAGAAGAGGGCGGGCATCTCTTTGGACTCTCTTGGGGTTGGGGAGGTGGAGGTAACCACGTGCCTGGGACAATAAGGAGAGCCCGGCTATAGCATAAGGAGCTCGTGGGAGAGGAGACTCTGCATCATGGTTGGGTGAGAGGCACTGTGACAAATGTGGTCTTCATCTGCAGGATGGGACGGGGAGATGTAAGCAGGAAATGGCTTCTGCCCTGACCCTCTATGATTGTATTAGGTGACTCAGTTATTTGCTGAGCTGAATCTTGCAGGGGTAGCCTCATCTCCCTCTGTCTGCTTACCCCTGCCATAGACCCTCAGGCTTATGGGTACAGCCCCCTTCCTGCCCCGCACACCCTGGTGTATCCTCATCTCCACGCCTCCCTGTATCATAGCTAACATAACTTAACTGAGCTTCTGGTGTAGAAGTTCGATGAGGCTCTGTGCTGAGGGAGTTTACTCACTCTTACTTCTGTACCCGAAATCTTCCCTCCCTGCCCCCAAACTGGAAACACAGCCTTCCATAAAGAGACCTCCTCCAACCCCACCACCACCCAAACCAGCAACATCAGTGCTGGAGAGAAGAAGAAAAGGGGAAGGGCCAGCATAATTTGGGTGGGGCTTTGCATATATTAGTAATAACAATGATAAATATTCAACAATAATGGTACATTACCATAATGACCAGATCTCCAGTGCCTTCTACGTGCCAAGCACTTTGCAGGCATGACCTCATTTAATTCTCACAGTGGTCACAGAGAAACCCCATAGCCCAGTTAAGCACACACCCTATGGAGTGGAAGGCCTGGGTTTGAATCCTTTCTCTGTCCCTTCTTGCCTGGGTGACCTTGAGCAAGTTACTGAATGCCTGTGCCTTAGTTTCATCCCCTGTGATATGGGGAAGATAATAGCGCCTGCCTCACTGGGTTGCGATGAAGACTAAGGAAGGCAGTATTTGCGAAGTGCTTTGAATAGTACCTGACACGTAGCAAGTACAACACTAAGTGTGAAATACATTAAAATATGTAACATATCTCTTTATCCATTTTGTAACAAGGGAATAGAAACAGGTGAGTCAAGGGACTTTACAATAGCTACATGTATTAAGCCCATGGTATGAGCAAAGTAATGTTACAGTTACTGTACATGTATTTTCTTTTAATCCCCACATCAGCTCCATGAGGAGGCACCATTATTATCACCACAGTTGATGGACAAATGGGGCCCCAAAAGGTAGATCCACTTGCTCATGACAGAGCAATAGAGAAAGGCCTTTTCCCAGGGCTTATCCTGCCTCCTCCGGAGTCTACATGGACTCACCCAGCCTCTCCATTCATTCCCTGAGGCTAAGCATTGCTGGGTACAAGAGGCTTTCTGCTGAGAGGGATGCCCTCAGTTTCCCATGTGATGTGGAAGATAAGGCAAGCTGGGGAAAGGGCAGGATGAGAATGTGGGAGGGAGGGACCACTGGGTCTCCTGGGACACATGTGCCATTTGCCTCCAGATGGGGCAGGGAGAAATGAATTGTAATTGGACAGCAGAGATGCTGTAACTTTATTTGGAGTTAGCAGAGGAGAGCCAGGAAGGTGAGACCAGCAAGGTCTGCTGGGGGAGCCATGGGATCATGCTGGGGAGTGCCGAATGTATCTTGCAGTTTTGCAAAGTTGTTGCCCCCTCAGTGGGGCTGCTCCACATTGGAAATTCTGCAGTAGTTCTGAATGAGTCAATGTCTGAGAAAAGCATTTAGATCAGAAGTTCAGGAGAATAATTGGAAAGGCTCCATTGCAGGTCTGCTGTGTGTGGTTGTCAGAGTTGTGCCCTGCACAAAGGCACCTGGCAGGGTGTAAGTGGGGGCTGAAATCCAGTCCACATTCCACTCACTGAGCCTGGAGCTGATTCTGTTGGAGGAAGAGGCGCCTTTCTCTATTCTCACAAACGTGCCCTGTGGACTGGAGTGGTCCTGACGCAGTGGAAGAGGTGAGGAGAGAGACTTTATCCCCAGAGGCAGATTTACAGAGGCCAGACTATGCCAGTGGTTTGGTACTCAGGCAACCAAAGCTTTGACTTTCACAGAAACCAGGAGGGCCCAAACAAAGAGCCCAGGTGCTGGGGATGAAACGATGTGCAGGGAAAGGCTATGCACTGAGCAGCTCCCAGGCCTTCTGAATGTCCTTATGAAATGGTCAGGGGACCAGCAGGAGGGTCAGTGACACGAGCAGCCTCAGTAGGGGTCAGATCAGGAGGACTTGGACGAGGCTGAGGCAGAAGCTAATTGAGAACCCTGACCTCATGACTGGGACCCAACTCGCTGTGGAGTCAGGAGCTTGGGCTCTTAACCAGCATGTGTGTGTGTGTGTGTGTCTGTGTGTGTGTGTTGTGTGCATACACACGCACTATGTCTAAGTGGACACCTTGAAGGAAAAGCACCCCAGTAGAAAGAGTCCTTTAAAAACCAGGAATCCAAAAGGATAGGTAATGCCCCTGCCAGAGGCACCCTGCCCTGGAGGAGTTGCCTGATGCCATGTTCTGTCACCCAGCATTGCCATTATGTTGGAAGGGAAAAGGGAGGGTGCTGGTGTTTGCTCAGTGCCCACCAGGCACCGTGCCAGATGTTCTGCATCCATTACCTCGTTTTCCTCTCCACCCCTCTTCCTCGTGGCTTCTGTAGCAATGACAGCATTCAGTTGAATAAAGAAAGAAAAAGAGGGAAAAAATCTCCTTTCAAGGCTCAGCAGTGTTGCTGGACCCAGGGGATGCTGTGTGGGGTGGTCGTGTGCAACGGGCAGCATGAACTTGACTATCGCTCCCTCGACCCAAGTGGTCATTGTTATCATCCCCTGAGCTGTGCAACTTTTCCGGCAACTGCATGGCAGGCACGGGCAGCCGCATCAGCACACCCCAAGGAACGGTGCTGAGGGATGAGAGAAAACCTCGAAATGAAATGTTTTTTTTTTGTTCCTGGCAGGGGCAGGCCTGCTAGGCTTGGGTGGGGCTCTGTGGTCTCTGGGCCTCCTTAAAATAGCAAAGTTCTTTGCTGTGGGGGCAGAAAGACCTCATGGGGACAGGTCACAGGCAGTGTTCAAAGACTCAGAGATCTACTACCCTGTTCCTTTTCTTCTTTATTTCCATCAGTTGGAATGCTTTAGGCTGCGAGTAACAAAGAAAGCCAACCAAGACTGACTCAAGCTCTAGGATTTTCATGGTTTTTCAAACAAGAGTTGCGGAGGAAGGAGGTCCTAGGTTTGGTCGGTGGCTCCACAGTGCCATCAAGGACCCAGGCCTCTTCTGTCCTTGTGGTCTGTCTTCTCATCATTTTGGCCTTTTGGTTGTAGGCTTGTTACCTCTTGGCCACAAAATGGGTGCCAGAGCGCCAGGATTTACATCCTCAAATGGAAGCAAAGGCGGGAAGCCGTGTGTGTGCCAGTATGCCAAGAAAGAACTTTTCTTATGTCTCTCTCCTCTTACTGAGACAAAAATCCTTCTCAGAAGCCCCCTAGTGGACTTCCTCCTAGGTCTCACTTGCCAGAACTGGGTCTTGGACCCTCTCCCAAGGGTGAGGGGTGTTCCCGTGGTGGTGCAGGGCGGTTGGGGGTAGGGGGTGCTGGGAATGGCAGGTACGAGTCCAGTCAGCAGATCTGCCTGCCTCCCTTCTCCAGGAGCTTGTCCCAGTGCTCCCAGGGAACACCTGGATGGCCGGGTTCTGCAGTGGTGCTTGACTCCCCATGTCCCCCAAAGGCCAGCCACTTGCCCGTCAGTGGGTTATGGATGGTCTCCATGTATAGGGCATTGTGAGGAAGACCAAGAGGGTGGAGACTGTCCTGAGAAGGAGGCAGTGTTGCCCCCATTTTTATAGATGAGAACTCGAGCTCCAAAAAGTTTATGAACTTGTCTAGGGCTTGTTATACATTTTGTAACATTTTACAGATGAGAACACAAGCTCCAAAAAGTTAATGAACTTGTCCAGTAGATACCTAGTAAGTGGTGGCGCTAGGATTTAAACCTGTGTCTGTCTGTGAAGCCATCCTCTGTTTGGCCCACTTTGGAACAGTGTCCTCTCTTCTTCCAGAATCTCAGCCAGGAAGTCGGCAACCTTTAGACTTCCTGTGCATTCCAGCTCTCAGAGCTGACACCAGGGCCCAGCTTACAGCCTCCGGGAGAAGTTAATCTCAACACGTGTAAAGAGAACCAACCAACCCTGAAGTACACACCAGGTGCCAGGGGGCAGGGTGGCAGCCAGGAAATGCTGCAGGTGTTCAGGGGAGGGTAGGTCCCTGGGGATGGGATGGTCAGAGACCCCGTGGGGCCAATTCGTTTACCTCTTGACATCAGTAGCTACACCAGAGAAGGTGCTGACACCTGCACAAAGACAGCCCCTCCTGAGCTGCCAGGAGGAGGTGCTCCTCGCAGTCAGTGTAAATAGGCTGCTGGAATGGCCCCAGATGGCCACCAGGGAGGGCCACATGCCATCCCTCAGCATCGCTGGAGTGGGCTCTCTCTTGGTTGCTAGCAACAGATTCTGTTGACCTTTAGTAATGAGGGAGGCAGGGCTAGAGGGTGACTAGCAGCCAGGCCTCCCAGGCTCCCAGGCCTCTCAGATGCCTGGAATTTCGGAGCTAGAAGGTAGTCAGATTCCCGTTATCTTGACTGCTGCAGCGGGGTCTCTGGGATGGTGATGTGAGTGCCTCCTGCACCCGTGGCCCCCATGTGGCATAACTCCTTGGGCGCTATTCATCCACACGGCCCATCTGTGCAGGGTACAGCCTTCATGGTCTTAGCTGGCAGCCCTGACAACTTGGATGTGCAAAGAAGATACAAGTTTGTTTCCTCTGAAGCTTGTCTGGTGTCATCCAGGAGCCCCACCTGGTAGGTAGCAGTGATAAAACGCATTCAGCTCGGTCCAGTAGAGTTGTGATGGAGTCAGCCAGACAGGACTCTTCATTTGCTAACACGGAGAGACAGAAGTTGAGAAACGTCCTCTCTCAACAATTCTGGCTCTTAAGATATTTTGTGGCTGCAGAATCCTATCTTGGATGTTGGAATGTGAATTTTTTTGAGTCCTGCTTTAACAGTCCGAACTCTCCCTGGATAATGGATGTCATTTGTTTATTTTTTAATTTTTGTGTTTTTTTGGAGACAGAGTCTTGCTCTGTCATCCAGGCTGGAGTGCAGTGGTGCTATCTTGGCTCACTGCATCCTCCACCTCCCTGGTTTAAGTGATTCTCGTACCTCAGCCTCCTGAGTAGCTGGGACTATAGGTGCGCGCTAGCACGCTTGGCTAATTTTTTGTATTTTTAGTAGAGATGGGGTTTTGCCACGTTGGTCAGGCTGGTCTCAAACTCCTGACCTCAAGTGATCTGCCCGCCTTGGTCCCCCTAAGTGCTGGGATTACAGGCGTGAGCCACCACACCCGGCCAATAAATGGATGTGAGTTAGGGGAGAGCAGGAAGGTTACACCTAGTAAATGCAGAACAGTGCACTAACATTATTTTTAAAATTACAGTGATCCCCTTTACATTCCTCTCTGACCTCTTCTCCATCTCTCTTCCCTCCGCTTATGGCTTCTGCCTCTGCCACCAACTAGTGGTGCAATGTAGCCCACATTTAAACCCTTCAAGGGGAGGAGCTGGTTGGTTTAGCTGTCACCATTGAGTGTGGGTCACTTCTATGGAGCAGAGCTGTGTGCTGGACAGTCATGCAGAATGCTACATGACCACCTAGAATGAGGCGGCCTCCCTTGTGAACTGGGGGAACAGAGGGCATTGTAGGGGAACTGTTGGCCACAGATCCCAGCAAGACTCCTCTTTCCTTGCTGGGTCCTAAATTAACTACTGGATTCTTTTTACAAGGCAGGGAGTGAGAGGTGGAGAACATCATGAGACAGTTATCACGGATGTTTTCAAACAAAAACCCATTGATTTCCTCAGTACCATTAAGTTTAATTTAAAAAAAAAGTTTCTGCTCTAGTTTCTAGACCCTCAGCTGGTGAGGCCCCTTGAATTGTTTCCAAAGTCCAAGAGGAAATGGTTACTCCAACATACACACACACACACACACACACACACACACACTCACTCCTTGGGGACAGCACAGGGTGGACAGTGCAAAGAATTTATCTCCAAGTAAGCTCTGTGCATGAGGCCTGGTATCTATTTCTTTATGGGCAAGTTGATTTACTATCCTTTTTTATACCCAAAATGATTAGCAGCAATATAAAGAACTTCAACTTCTCCTTTCTCACATTTGGGGCACTGAGAGATGGGCTTCCTTTTACTCTAACAGAGATACTACAACGGAGCCGGCAGATCGTCCTTCTCTTCCATGCCATCCCCTGGCTGTAATGTAGATAGATTATCTCTTGGGAAGGGGAAGGCCCATCACCAGTTACCACATTCCCCTGGGGACAGTTTATCAGTCCATCTTTTTCTGCATTGCCAGGTGACAGGGAGCAACGTCTTGGTCTGTGGGCCAGGGGCCAGGCCAGGCACTCTGAACACGGGATCCCGGTTATCCTGAGAGTCGGTCAGGGCATGTCACAGGCAGGGAGCCTCGGCAGTGGCAGCTATGCCTGGCATCTCCCCGGCTCAGCCTTTGGCCTGGACTATGAAACAGCCTTTTAAAAAAGTTGCTCAGCCTCACCTACCAAGAAGCCGGAGGCCATGAAGGAGGGGGTGAGGAGTAGGACCTGCTGTGGACAGAGAATAGGGCTGAAAACCAGAAGTCCTGGGTTTAACTCCACCAGCCCTTATTGAGCACTTGGTGTTTGCATGATCTTGTGCATGACAGTCTAGAAATGCAGAAGAAAGCCCTCGAGGGATGCATTAGGCCCAGCTCTTTTACTCACTCGCTGGCCGGCAGGGTGGTTGTCAGGGGCAAACCCAAAGCACTTTTGAAGGTGCAGATTGACTGATAAAATAATCTTTGTTGAGCAGTCACAGTTAGCAAAGCATGTTCACACACAGTATTATTTCACTGGATCCTCATAACTATCCTAGGAAAAATATGAATTATATCCATTTTTCTGATGGAGGAACTGGGAGGTAAAGGGACAGATGCAAAGTCACAGAGCTGAAGTTTCAGAGGGCCCAGTGCTCCTTGCAATGCCACTCAGGGACCAAAGTCTGGTTCCGGGACCAATAGCTTCAGCATCACCTGGCAACGTGTTAGGGATGCAGATTCTCGGGCCCCACCCTCGACTTCCTGAATCAGAAACTGTGGGCCTCAGCAATCTATGTTTTCACAAGCCCACCGGGTAATTGTGATGCACCTGCAAGTTTGAGAAGCACTGAGCTGGAGAGTGATACCCAACTGAATCATCTATGTGAACCACCTGGACCACCACCGTGTTCAACCATAGATTCTCATTTGAGTCAAGGGTGGGGCCTGGGATTCTCCATTTCTAACCAGCTCCCAGGTAATGCCAGTGCTATTGGTCCACAGGCAGTCCATTGAACAGCAAAGATCCCAAACAGGAAGCACCTGGTGGGCTTGGTTAAAATGCACATTTCCTAGCTCATTCCCACAGTGTGTGATTCTGCAGGCTGGAAGTGGGGCCCGGGAGCCTGCATTTCCACAAACACTTCAGGTGATTCTGAGGCAGATGACCTGGGGCTCGCACTCCAAGGATCTGTTCCCCAGAGCTCGAGCTTGCAGACCATCCACCCTGGCCTCATTTTCAAAGGTTTTCCACCTTCACTCCTCTCCCCACTGGTCTTGAACCACCCATTTGATCCCCTGCCAGACTTTGGGCTAAGGGGGTGCAAGTTGGAGGCCATCTCTGAGCCAGCAGGGCCCTCAGTTCCTCAAAATAGGTCAGGAGTCTGGCACAGACCAGCCTCAGTGGCTGCAAATAGAAACCATCTGTTGGGCCTGTGTTTTGAGCTCCACCGCCCCTCTCTGCCTGGCCAGAGAAACACAGAACTCAGAAGCCCAGTGGAGCATGGATGCTTCCCTGAGTGGGTGCTATTCTGCCACCGCCTGCCCAGACAGACTCCCATGGGATCTGCCTGCAGGGGAGGGGTGGCAGCACCAGATTCTACCACCCCCAGGGCAGGAAGCTTGCAGTGTGGACCGGTCATCCAGAGACAAGTCACTCCTCCTCTCTGGGTCTATGAAATGAGAGGCTGGATTTAGTGGACCTGTGAGTCCCTTTCTGCTCTGACAGGATACGGTTCCTTGAAAGCCTTTTTGTGTCAGGACCACATGGAGGAAAAGTTGGGCCCAGAGGAGGCAGACATTTCATTTTCCTGGCTCTCTGTGCAGAGTGAATATTGTGGGATCTGGTCCTGCAAATAGGGGGATGGACAAGGTTTGTGATCTGGAGCTCCAACGGGACTCTTGTAGGCCTTGAGGCAAAGAGTTGGGTTGCTCTTCCTTGTCTCTGCCCTCCTATTCCTTCCCTCACTCGTATATTTATCAAGATGATGTTAAGCCCAGTGGTAAGCCTGGAAAAATAAGGAGGAATGAGGTGCAGTCCCTGCCCTCAACAGCAGCCAGGATAATTGAGGAGCAGACAAGTAAAGGAGAGACCTCGGTGACAGCTCTGAATCAGATCCCAGCTCCTCCACTTCAGTGACCTGGACAAACCCAGACGCATCTGGAAATGGGAATAATAATTGTACCTATTTCTCAGGGTTATTTTAAGGATGCAGGATATAATGAATGTAGAATGCTTAGCTCATCGTAAGCACTAAACACACGTTGGCTGCTGTTAGTGTGATGAGCCAGGAGCAAGGGGAGCACAGCATGGAATCTGGGGGCCTCAGAAGACTTCCCAGTGACCATCCTAGGGGAGGTAGGAAGCTGTCTTGAAGAGAATGAGGCAGAGGTGGCTACAGCCTTCTCCTTACATGTCCGGCCTTGTTCACCAGAGCAGGAAAGGCTGCAGGGATTCAGGGCAGAGGCCTGGTATAGAATAGACCGTGTCTCTGGCTGGGCTTGCATTGGGTGGTGGATGCATGCTGCGTATCCTCCCCTCTAGAGACTGTTGAGAAGGCGCCATCCCAGCCCTGCCTGTTCCCACTTGGCTTAGATCCACTCCCTGATAGCATGAGGGAGGCAGGACAGAGCTGGGTGGCGAGGAGGAATTCCAATTTCCTGGGTGAGAAAAATGAGGGGCTTGCCCAAGGGGCCCTGTGAGTTGGTAGGAGAACTGTCCTGGAACCCAAGAATTCCATGTTTGTCAGAGATGCAGAGAAAGACAGTGGAGTGACTCCAGATCATGGCCTTCCTAAGTCCCTGTACACCCCACCCAGGAACTTCCAGGTGTGGAGGTTTGGATTGATTCTTTTCTTCCAGGATTTAGGACTTTTAGTAGCTAACTGATGACTTTTAGGAGCTAATTGATGTCTTTTCTCCCAGTGCTGTCCAATGCAACACACTGCAGTGATGGAAATGCTCTGTAATCTCTGCTGTGCCATATGGTAGCCACTAGCCACATGTGCCTATTGAGCACTTGATATGTGGTTAGTCTAACTGAGGAGGAGTTTTCAATTTAATTTTAATTAATCTGAATTTAAGCAGCTGCATGTGGCTAGTAGCTACCATACAGGACAGTGCAGTTTTAGCCTACTCTAAGGTGCACAGGCAAGAGCAGATACTCCCAAATGTTGGTTCCACAGATACATGCCTTCACGACACACTCCTCACATGATTCTGATGCATAACCAAGTTTGGAAATGGTCAGGGCAGGGGTCTGAGAGACGCTATGCTGAGAGAAATGGCACAGTCCATGCACCTCCCATTGTCTGTTTGGCTTTCTCATTTTACAAAGGAGGACACTGAAGCCTGGAGTCCACTGGGAATTACTGCCCAGGCTGGCGAGCCCCTCGGGACTGTAGGCTGGTTCCCTCTGCTCCTCCAGTATGGAAACATGTGCTGTGTTCCTCCTGTGTGTCCACCTTTCCCGGGTGGAGGGGGAACAGATGATCAGCTCTCGCTCACGACCCAGAATGCTTTGGATGAGATGGAGCAGTTGATAACGGTGTCTTTCCTTCATGACAGTGCCATACTATTTTCTCTTGTGTTCTCATGTTCCATCCTCATACAGATTCCAGGACCCAGGTCAGTTGATACCCACATATCACAGAAGAGGACACTGAGCCTGGAGAAGGAAGGCGGCTTGTCCCAGGTCACATAGCTAGAGACCAAACTAGATGGAAAGTGCCAGTCTTTCTCTGACAGCACATGACCCAGGAGAGGCTCTGCCACATATCCTGATGGGCTGCCCCATGGGAGCTACCAGGGCAGATCTGAGAGTTCTCCTGGGCTCCCCCCACATTACACAGCTGTTTCCCAGGGGGCTTCCTCCCAGCCCTTTGATGTGAATGTAGCCACATTGCCCCCTCACCTGAGTCAGAAACTAAAAAAACTGCTCTCTTACATTTTCGTGTTCCACTTAAAAGCTAAATTTTGCTCATGTCATCATCTAGAAAATGCACCCGCTGGCCACAATAAATCATTTTTGAGATCCGAGGACAGGATACAATTTGCTTCCATGTGGAGTGTACATAGTGATTATCTCAGAGGGGAGAAAAAGCCATCCTACATTTCTTGAGAGGCTATAAGGGCCATTCAGCTGCAAAATGAATACTTTTTCCTTCCGGGCCCTCCCCATCTGGGAGGGAGACCAGGATGGCCCTGGGCCCAGGGAGAGGCTGCCAGGGAGCAGGCCCAGCAGCTGTGCACATCTGGAATCCAGAACCTCTCCCTCCCTCCTCCTGACCCTCAGCCCAGCCCAGCCCGCCCTGTCCTCCTCCTCCTGGCAAAGCCTGACCTCCTCAAGTAAACATTTGATTATTTGAAGTCAGAGACTCCCTCACAGGAGAAGGAGAGAGGGTAGAGCTAGTGTTGAGCAAGCACCCATCCTGGGCCAGACACTTTGCCAAGCAATTTGTGTTTGGTCACTTCATTGTATCCAGTGAGCTGGATGACATTATTCTCATTTTACAGTTAAGGAAACTGATATTCAGACAGGTTGAGTAGGTAGTCCAAAGTCGTACAACTAACAAGTAGCAGAGCCAAGATAGAAACCACTGGATTCTTTCTGACTCCTAAAACTCTTCCTGCTACAGTTTCTTTACACTTTTGTGTAGGGCCCTGTATTTATGGAGCTACTGGGGAGGGGTAAGAGTTGAGGTGGAGAGGCTGAAGGAGGAGAAGATATGTGTTGTATTGGAAAGAGCAGTAGACTAAGAGTCAGAAGTTCTTGGCTGAAGTCTTGGCTACACCATTTTGATAGCTTGTGACTTTGGACAAGTCTCTTTTAACTCCTCCATGAGCCACACAGACACTCTATGTTGTAAATGGGATTGTAGCACCTGCCTAGTTCTGCCCGCTGGACAGCAGCGGGGCTGACAGAGGTGGTGTCTGGAGAGGATCATGACTGCGGGTGGGCTTTTCAGGGTGGTTCTGCAGGCACTGGCCCCTTGCTGATTCTGTGCTGTCAACAGCAAGGGACTCACTAGGCCTCAGCCTGACAGCAGTACTGGGTTCAGAGGTGTTGGTATTCTGGTGATGAGGAGTCTAATGGAGACAGGGCTGCGTGACCAGAAGAAAGAACATGGTAGAGGAAGGGCTCATGAGGGAGGGTAAGGACCAGACCCTCATCCTGTGGGCAGGGCAGCACATCAGCCTGAAAATAAAATGCAAAACCTCAGCAGGCTGAAGTCACAGCCTTGGGGTGAGGTTCCTGAAGGAGGCACCTCCTTGTGCTTGACCTTGGCTCTTGCCCCCCTACCATACTGAGAGATGATTCAGCCAGAGTCACTATGAGGCTCAGCTATAAGGGAGCCCTGAACCCGGCATGGAGTGGGGTGGGGCTGTGCAGGGGCCAGAAGGAGTTGGATGATCTGGTAACTTACAAACCACTAACTGGAGAAAGAAAACATGCATATCTAAAGCTTGAAATAAGTGCCAAAAGCATTAATCAGCTCTGTGGGACACCCTAAAAGGAGGTGGCTATTGCCATGTAAGAGCTGTTGTCATTCAGGGTCACAGCAACCCAACTGGGGTAGGGGAATATAAAAGAGGAAGGCCCCCAGCCAGGGTGGCAGAACCAAGGTGGTAGACCCCAAAACTCCTCTCTGTTCCAACATGATGTCTTTAATAAAGTAGAGGAACTCTATTATCTCAGGGCTGGAAGGCAATCTAATTCCATTCACTGTTCCACATCGTCCTTAATCGGAGGTCATCCACCTAAATCTTGAACCCCCCCAGGGATGGGAAGCTGACTACCTATCAAGGTAGCTTCTTTTTCCAAGTTAGGCAGCTCTAACCATTAAGAAAGTCCTTTCTTTTACAGAGTTCAAAACCAATCTTGAAAACCAATCTCAAAACCAATATGTCCCAGTCTTGCGCCTTGTGCTCATTGGTCCTAAAAGATTCAAAGAGAGTGTGTTCTGCTCTCACTAGAATCAGTCAGGGGGAATCTACCAGGATCTGGGCAGGGCTTTAAGGGTAAAGGCAAAGGGCCAGATTTTCAGGTCACCTCTTGGCCGCCCCCACCGATTTCCCTTTGAGGTCTGGGCACCTCCCCCGGTTACAGCCTCGGCAAGGCCTCCTCTCTCTGGCAGAGTAGGGAGGAGTCTTTTCTGTTCCCTGCCTGCGCACCCATGCATCTGACCTCACAGTGAGGTCAGCTCCTTAGTAATGCAGGTCCTTCTGCAGACACCCAGCTTTGGCCCACAGTGTGTACTCGTGCCTGGCCTGGCCTTCCAGCCTCTGTCCATCACCTTCCAGAACAAACCCTTGGCACTGGCCAGGTGGCCTCCTCACTGCCAACAGCCAGACCAGGTGTGTGCTCACACATTCCCCCTGCCCTCTCCTCTCCTTTCGCATGCTTTACCAAAGCCAAGTAACTGATAATGGAGACATAGTAACCTGAATCAAATCAAGGCCTTAGACCTAACTCTTAAAGTTTACAAGGGATACAGGAACAACTTTGGCATTGCCCTGAAGCATCATGAGACAAATCATTGGAATGTTTTATAAGATGACTGACAACTGACCTGGTATCTTCCAAAAGGCAATGCTATTTAAAAAAAAAAAAAAGGTGATAGGAGTATTGTAGGTTAAAGAAGGCAAAAGAGAGATCACAACCAAATGCAACACATGAACCTAGGTTTCACTGAATCCTAGGTCAGAAACTAAAATAGCTGTAAAAGGCATTGGGGGGAAATTTAAACACGGGCTGGGCATTACATGGTACTGAGGAATGGTCAGTTTTCTCAGATGCGATGATGGTGATGTGCTAAGGAAATTGCCGTCCTTTGTAGGAAATGCATGCTGAAGTAATGAGGAGGCAGGAGTCATGATTTTTGCAAGTTCTTTTCCTGTAATTCCACAGAAGTAGAAAGAAAGAGAAGGGCTGGGGTAGAGGAGGAGGAGCAACTGGTGCTTGGAGCAGCAAAGTGTCTTTCCCAAGGTCAGTAGGAGTCTGAATGGGGAGCGGAGCCAGGACTGCAGACTCCCAGCTCAGGGTTCTGTGTGAAGACTTAGCATAGGTTCACGTGGAGTGGAGCTCCACGCCCAGGGTTGTGGAGCCATCGATCAACAGCAGCCCCTGACCTCCCTTCCCCTGGCCCTTTCAAAGGCCCAGCAGAGAGAATCTCCATGGAGATCCAGTCCCAGCCTACCAGCCACTGTGGAGAGGCCAGCCCAGGCTTGCTGAGAGACAGACACTCTCCATTCTTTCCAGGAAGCAGGCCTGCCTCATTCTAGGGCCTGCCCAGGCCCATCCCCGGGGAACACGCTGAGTGGGAGAACATGCCTGCTCACCCCGAGCCTGAGCGCTGTGGTCCCCCAGGATGCAGCATCCAGCTCAGAAGTGCTAGCTGGGCTGTGGGGGCAACAGGAGATGGATAAGGAGTCACTCAAGAGACCACAAGTGTGCCCACCAGAGCCTTCACCACAGATGCCTCCTTCCTGTGTCTACACCCTGAGGACTGGGGAGCTGGGGATTTGGGGGAGAGAGGAAAGAAGGGCAGAGAGTGGGAGGAAGCAGAAGGAGCAGGGAAAAGGAGAAGGGGGAGGGTGGACGAGGAAGAGGTGAAGTCAGATGGGAAAACAGGCACAGAAACTGCGGGCCGCTGAGCGCTCCACCTGGGGAACCTGGGGTAAGTGTGGACTTTGCCGGGTGGGCTCAGGAGAGCCTATCAGGTCAGCATGTCCTGTGCTGGGCATATGACAGGCAGCTTGGCACTGGCTCCTCCCAAGCCCTTGGAGGTGATGGGGATGATTAGCCACCTTTATTTTTTATTTATTTTTTTGAGACAGAGTTCGGCACTGTCGCCCAGGTGGTAGTGCAGTGGTGCGACTCAGCCCACTGCAACCTCCACCTCCCAGGCTCAAGCCATCCTCCCACCTCAGCCTCCCAAGTAGCTGAGACTATAGGTGTGTACCACTATGCCTGGCTAACTTTGTGTGTTTTTGGTATAGAGACAGGGTTCTGCCATGTTGCTCAGGCTAGTGTCTCCAATGCCTGGGTTCAAGCGATCTGTCCGCCTCAGCCTCCCGAGGTGCTGGGATTACAAGAGTGACTCACCTAACCCGGCCTAGCCTCTTTTTTTTTTTTTTTTTTTGAGACAGAGTCTCATTCTGTTGCCCAAGCTGGAGTGCAGTGGCGCGATCTCGGCTCACTGCAACCTCTGCCGTCTGGGTTCAAGCAATTCTCCTGCTTCAGCCTCCCGACCAGCTGGGATTACAGGTGCCTGCCACCATGCCTGCTATCCTCTTTAATATGGGAGTAGATGGAAGTGGCACAGAGAGGTTAAGTGATTTGCCCAAGTCACACAGCAGGGTTGGGATTTGAATCTAGGTGTGCGTGGCTTCCAGTCCGGTTCTTGTGACCCTTCCCCTTGTACCCCAGGGAGAGCCTGCGGTGACGTCTGCACTGGGAAGAGCAGAGAACTGGGCACTCAGTCTAGAAACAGGCCTTGTGCAGACCATCCCCGGTGCCCAGCCACGGGCTGTGCTGGGGTTGGAGACAGAACTTGCCATCCCTTTGGCTCCCTGAGCCTCAGGTTCTGGTGTCATCTGTCTCCCCACTAGGCTGGGCTCCCTTCATGGATAGGCTGGGCCTGCCACGAGGCCAGTTACCCAGCAGGTCTCCCCATGGCCTCCACGACTCACCTAGGCTGCCTGGGAAAAGTGCAAACTAGTCTTCAGTCTTTCAGAAGACCCTGGTATCACTTCCTGCCATCACAGAGCAGTGCCCCACCCCCAGGATGGAAGAGGCTAGGACAAGCTCTAGACTAGGAGCCCAGGGAGAGGCGCCGGCTGTCTGCGGATTCTGAGAAGGTCACTGTGGACTATGTAGATCAGAGTGAGTCAGGCCTTAAAGGCTGAGGGTTGGCTGCACAGAGAAGACATTCCAGGCTAGAATTGCACAGCAAGGAACAGGAGGTTGGAGTGACCAAGCTCAACACCTCCTTTCTCGTCTGTGGAAACTGTGGCATCGAGAATGTTCTGCATGGAAAAGACAGAGAAATACCTGGTGTTCTCACTTCAGATTAAACTTTTGCCAGGTCCACCAACCACCCATACTGTATTTTTCATACTGTATTTTTCTTTGAATTGATTCACTTTTTAAAACTTAGCCACATTAGCAGTAGTATCTGTGAAATCATGGATTTGGCATGCAAGTTATATTTTTTCTAAAGCAATTTAAAATAAACACATGACTGGCTAAAATTAACTTCATCTCTGTAACCATGTAAAGGACCACCTGGGACCCCACTTTGGGAATAGTTGGTGTCCTGATGAGGAGCCAGTGCTTGGGGAAGGGAGAGCCTTGCCTGCAGTCACATAGTCAGCTTGGGGAGGGGAGGGGAGAGGCTGGTCTGAGGTCACACAGCCTGGGGAGGAGAGGGGAAGGCCTTGCCTGAGGTCACACAGTCAGCCTGGGGAGGGGAAAGGGCAGTGACCCACCAGCCTCCCATCCAGTGCTCCTGCCTCTCCAGCATGACTTTATCCAGACAGTCTGGAGCAGAACTCAGCAGAGAGAGACAGCAAGTGGGACAGGGACACAGCATGGGCAAAGGCAGGGAAGTAGGGAGGAGCGGAGAGCAGGGAGACTGGCCCTGTGGGATGGAGGGCAACCTTGGGAAGTGGAGAAGAGGCAGTGGAGAGGCAGGGGTTGGGGCCCAGAGAGCTGGTGGAAGAGAATTTGCTTGAAGGTGAGGAATCTTCCCTGGGATTCTCCTTCTGGATTCTGAACTTCTTCCTTCAATAAAGAGGAGTTTGTGAATTAGCTCATGGCTTGATTTAAATCAAATGCAGGCCAGGCGGCACCGTGGCTCACACCTGTAATCCCAGCGCTTTGGGAGGCCGAGTCAGATGGATCACCTGAGGTCAGGAGTTCAAGACCAGCCTGGCCAACATGGTGAAATCTGTCTCTACTAAAAATGCAAAAATTAGCTGGGCGTGGTGGTGGGCCCCTGTAATCCCAGCTACTCAGGAGGCTGAGGTGGGAGAATCACTTGAACCTGGGAGACGGAGGTTCCAGTGAGCCGAGATCGCACCATTGCACTCCAGCCTGGGTGACAGCCCCATCTCAAAAACAAACAAACAAAAAGAAAAACCAACAACAAAAAAAACCAACTACAAAGTATATCAGTTACAACAGGCTAGGATATGCTGTAATAACAAATTAACTCCAAAATCTTAGCGGCTTATAACAAAAGTTTGTCACTCATGCAAAGTCCGCTATGGATTCTGTAAGTGTTCCAAGACAGCAACGCCTCATGTAGTGACTCAGCAATCCAGATTGCTTTAATCATGTGCTTTGTCATCACATGAGACTCTCCAGTTGTGATGGAAAAGTACTGATTCCTGGGTTCCATCCTCAAAATATTGGATTCAGTAGGTCTAGATTGGGACCCAGTAATCAGCATTTCTTATAAATGACATAGGAAGATCAGAGACTTCCCCAACCCCAGATGACTTTGATACAGGTGATCTGTGGGCCACATGCTGAGAAACCTTGCTCCAAAGGGTAATCTGGCATAGGAGGAGTCTTGGATTTCCAGTCAGGAGACCTATGTTCATGGCCCTACTTAGCTGTGTAGCCTTGGACAAGTCACTTAACCTCTCTGTGCCTGATGATATGATGATAATATCCAGGACTCAGAGATTTCTGAGGGTGTACCTGTGGATTAGAAACACTAGAGAATCCGAGGGGATGACAGTGGATGGGGGGTTGCCTTCTTGCACGTGGAGAGACATCTCCCCACCCCACTCCTGCTGTGGGCCCTGTCCTCAATCTTGGTAAACACTGGCCTCTGCTGTCCGCATCTCCCATGCTGAACCGAGCACAGTTCCAGATACTCAGGAGGGAGTCTGTATGTGTTCTTGCTTCGCTCTATCACATGATAGGTTCCTGGGTAGTAAAAGGACCCTACAACCTTTCTAGAAAGTGGGGTGGGCATGTGTACCAAAAGCTCCTATGCCAATCTTTGTTTTTGTAAGACTTTATTAAAAGATGAAACCCACTAGAACGGGCTGGGCATATGAGTGTGCCCTGAATTCTTGGATGCTTCTTCCTTTCCATCTCTTCCTGACAGGGGACCCAGGGCCTGCTCACCTGCTGCACCTCTGAGCCGCAGCTTCCCTCCCCCAAGAGCCCAGCCGAGGCCCTTCATGGCACAGGGCCCAGCCTGACCCTTGTCTCTCCTGGCCCCTCACAGATGTCCTGGCGTCCGCAATACCGTAGCTCCAAGTTCCGGAATGTCTACGGGAAGGTGGCCAACCGGGAGCACTGCTTCGATGGGATCCCCATCACCAAGAATGTGCACGACAACCACTTCTGTGCCGTCAACACCCGCTTCCTGGCCATCGTCACCGAGAGCGCAGGGGGCGGCTCCTTCCTCGTCATCCCCCTGGAGCAGGTAGGTGGCCCCTACCTTCACTCCAGCTGCAGCTCCAGGGCAGAGAGGAGCCCTCCTTGGTCTCTCTTAGGCCTGTTGACCCTACTTCTCTCTGAGTTCCCACCTTTTACTTCCTCATCAAGCATCTAGTGGCTATGCCTTCTTTAGGGTTTTCCTGAGATTCAACAGAACAAGTGCAGGACCTGGATCCAGGAGACCTGAGATCTCTTTCCAGAGCTTGCCTAAAGGTATGCACTTGGACAAGCCACTCCCTTGGTGTACACAAGGTTCCATTCCCTGAGGGAGTGGAACACTCTGATCTCCAAGACCAAGTCTAGCTCTACCACTCTGTGTCCTGAGTGTCCTCTTGGTTTGGAGCCGGAAGGGATGAAGACCTAGCCATAGGTATTATACATTGAGCATCTGCAAAAATTATACAATTTTTTTTTTTTGAGATGGAGTCTTGCTCTGTCGTCCAGGCTGAAGTTCAATGGCGCGATCTCGGCTCACTGCAACCTCTGCCTCCCAGGTTCAAGCGATTCTCCTGCCTCAGCCTCCCGAGAAGCTGGGATTGCAGGCACGTGCCACCACGCCCAGCTAATTTTTGTATTTTCAGTAGAGATGGGGTTTCACCATGTTGGTCAGGCTGGTCTCGAAATCCTGACCTCAGGTGATCTGCCCACCTTGGCCTCCCAAAGTGCTGGGATTACAGGCATGAGCCACTGCACCTGGCCCACTCATTTTTTTTTTAATTGCTCTCTACTGAGAGACTGGAAATAATTTACCTTCTTCCCCATCCCCCACCTCCTATCTAAAGATTTTCCCCTTTCTGCAGCTGCTTACGTGAATATAACAGATTAAATCTGAAAAACCTAGATCATGAAATTTTTAAGCCATAGCCACTCAGGCGGAGTCCCCAGAGGCCCGTGGGAGGTCACGCGCTTCAGGGAAAGTGCTTGCTGTCAGTCCCACTTGTTTATGGCTGAGTTCCCCCTTCCCAGCCTGACTCATCCCCACTCCCACCCTCCGCCAAATCGCTCAGGGGGAGGAAGAGGTGCATGTGGAAGGAAGCCTTGGTTCTCAAAATTCACTGTCAGCTGGTGGTGGAGGATGGATTTTTCCAGTCTCTCCTACCCACAGTGGGGGAGCACAGATTTGGAAAAGGCTTAGACCAGATCTTCCTCTCCATCAGAGGGGCAGCTGCAGGGACACTGAGGACAGAGCCTGATGCACAGAGAGGTCCAAGGAGCATGCACTTGATGGCGGGAGGTCTGGGTTCTGCCCTTGCCAGACTTGGGACCGTGTGCATGTCACTTCACCTCTCTGACCCTTATTTTCCTGTAATGGTAAAAGCAGGATCAGAAATCCTCCTCTGCCTACATCTGTCATGTTGGCCTTAAGTGAGATAATAGATGTGAAGCTCCTAGTGAACCACACAACATGTTAAGGATGTTTGGTTACTTTTTTGGGGAAGTTATCCACTATGCTGGTCAACTTGGCAAAGGCTCACAGCAGCTCTAACACATTCGGAAGGATCCTCAAATGCAGCTTCCCTTCCCTCCTGAATCAGATGGCCTCCGATCACTGTTGCCTCAGGGACGCACTCAGCTCCATCCATCCAGGCCTGCAGGTCCCCAGGAACATGTGGGCTGGTTCTTACTGAGGCTCAAACCTATCGCCGGCACCCTGCCATGCTCCACTTTAGGCTCACAAGGGTCAACAAGCAATACCTCACATCATGACAAAAATTAATTCCAGATGCATTAAAGATCTAAACATTTAAAATAAGAAAAGCTACATGTGTATTAGAGGAAAATGGAGTGCATGTTTAAAATCATGCAATGAAGAAAGGCTTCCTAAGAAAGCCAGGAATCCCCCAAATCATAAAGGAAATGAATAGGTTAGAATAAATTTTTAAAAGACAGTTTCTGTATTACAATGAGGCACCTAAACAAAATGAAAACTCAAGCCACATACTTGACTACAATATTTGCAATATATAATAGACAAAGTATTCCTGTGAAGAATATATAAAGAGTTCCAGAAAAATTAACAAGAAAAAGAACCCGACCGGACACGGTGGCTCACGTCTGTAATCCTAGCACTTTGGGAGGCCAAGGCAGGCAGATCACCTGAGGTCGAGAGTTTGAGGCTAGCCTGACCAACATGGAGAAACTCCGTCTCTACTAAAAATACAAAATTAGCCAGGCGTGGTGGCACATGCCTGTAATTCCGGCTGCTCTGGAGGCTGAGGCAGGGGAATCGCTTGAACCTGGGAGGCGGGGGTTGTGGTGAGCTGAAATTGTGCCATTGCACTCCAGCCTGGGCAACAAGATCGAAACTCCATCTCAAAAAAAAAAAAAGAAAGAAAGAAAGAAGGGACTGGGGCCAGGTGCCGTGGCTCACGCCTGTAATCCCAACACTTTGGGAGGCCAAGGCAGGAAGATCACTTAACCCCAGGAGTTTGAGACCAGTCTGGGCAACATAGTGAGGCCCTGAGACCCTGTTTCTACAAATTAAAAAAAAAAAAAAGAAAAAAATTAGCCGAGCATGATGGCTTGCCCTGAAGTCCCAGCTACTTGGGAGGCTGAGGTGGGAGCATTGCTTGAACCCAGGAATTGGAGGCTGCAGTGAGCTATGATCACTCCCCTGCACTCCACCCTGGGCAACGGAGAAAGATCCTGTCTCTCAAAAAAAAAAAAAAAAAAAGAGTCTGGGCATGGTGGCTCACGCCTATAATCCCAGCACTTTGGGAGGCCGAGGTGGGTGGATCACCTGAGTTTAGGAGTTTGAAACCAGCCTGACCAATATGGTGAAACCCCGCCTCTACTAAAAATACAAAAATTAGCTGGGCATGATGGCATGTGCCTGTAGTCCCAGCTACTTGGGAGGCTGAGACAGGAGAATTGCTTGAACCCGGGAGGCAGAGGTTGCAGTGGGCGAGATTGCGCTACTGCACTCCAGCCTGGGTGACAGAACAAGATTCCAGCTAAAAAAAAAAAAAAAACGAAAGAAAGAAACAAAAGGCCGGGTGCAGTGGCTCACGCCTGTAATCCCAGCACTTTGGGAGGCAGAGGCGGGTGGATCACAAGGTCAGGAGATCAAGACCATCCTGGCTAACATGGTGAAACCCTATCTCTACTAAAAATACAAAAACAAAATTAGCCAGGTCTGGTGGCGGGCGCCTGTAGTCCCAGCTACTTGGGAGGCTGAGGTGGGAGAATGGTGTGAACCCAGGAGGTGGAGCTTGCAGTGAGCCAAGATTGCGCCAGTGCACTCCAGCCTGGGCCACAGAGCGAGACTCCGTCTCAAAAAAAAGAAAGAGAGAGAAAGAGAGAGAGAAAGGAAGAAAGGCAAAAGATATGAATAAGCAATTCACAGAAGGCAAAATATATATTTTAACCTACTAATTGGAAAAGATTTAAAAGAGTAATAATCATCAGTATTGCCAAAGGTGTGAGAGAGCAGGTGCTCAAATACACTCTTCGTAAGACGTAAATGAGGCAAGTTGGCAATTTCTACTAATATTTAAAGATGCATGTCTACTGACCTAGCAATTCCACTCTAGGAATTCATCCTACAGAAATATTCTCAAGTGTATTTAAAAAATACGTGTGCAGCATTTTTTAGTACTCGATTATTTTTACAAGCCTCAATTTTTAAATTATATTCAATAAAAATAAAGTTTCTCTGTCAAATTGCTTAAACGTTTCTAAACGCTTCCTCTCAATTTCTGTAATGGTAACAAAATGTTTTACACTGTCAGTAGCACTGGTCTGGAATATGATCACACTTTGTAAACACTTCATGGACAGCAGAAAAGAACGTGTTCTTTACAGAGTATGTCTATATATAGAAATATGCTATATATATACATATCAGGTGTATTTGATATATATCTTTTTTCAACTTTATTTGTTCACGTGCTGTAATATATTTTATTTAACTTGATTAATCATGGACTTATTGTGACCACTCACACTACCAATTGATTTCTGTTGTTTTCTCTCATTTCAAGAAGTTTTCACTTTACATGAGTACTGAGTGATTGTGTAGCAATTTTATGATAGTGAAAGGTTGGAAACAACCTGCAGGTCCATCATTAAGGAAATGGGGTAAACAAATTAGGGAAGAGCCACACAAAGGGACACTATGCAGTCATTAAAATGATGCTGTAGAGCAGTCTCGTTCTCCAGCGTTCAGTCTCAGGATCACTTTCCACTCTTGATTATTGAGGATCCCAAAGAACTTTTGTTTATATGGGTTATATCTGTCAATAGTTAGCATATTCAAAATAAAAATGAAGGAATTTTAAACTATGTATTTATTAACTTGCATAATGATAAGTCTATTTCATGTTCTCCTGAAAAACATATTTTTATTAAAAATAACTTTTTTTAAGACAAAAAAGTTAATGAGAAGAATGGCATCATTTTACACTTTTGCAAATCTCTTTAATATATGTCTGGCTTATTAGAAGACAGCTGGCTGGCTTTGCATATCACACATTATGCAGCCTTTGGAAAACCCCACTATACACTCAAGAGAGAGAATGAGAGTGAAGTGGCAGACAATGTCTTATTATTGGGAAAATACTTTTGACCCAATGGACTGCATTAAATGGTCTCGGGGATCTCCAGAGGTCCCCAGACCATACACTGAGGACCAGCGATGCAAAGTAATATTTAACAAGAGAAAACTATTTATATGATACACTGTTACGTGAAGAAATGCAATATGCGATTAATCACATTAAAAATATCTACCCCCTGTAATCCCAGCACTTTGGGAGGCCGAGGCGGGCTGATCACCCGAGGTCAGGAGTTCAAGACCAGCCTGACCAACATGGAGAAACCCCGTCTCTACTAAAAATACAAAATTAGCGGGGCATGATGGCAGGTGCCTGTAATCCCAGCTACTCAGGAAGCTGAGGCAGGAGAATTGGAGGCGGAGGTTGCGGTGAGCTGAGATCGCGCCACTGCTCTCCAGCCTGGGCAACAAGAGCGAAACTCTGTCTAAAAAAAAAAAAAAAAAAAAAAAAAAAAAAAAAAAAAAAAAAAAAAAAAATGGAGACATTCCTGGCCAACATGGTGAAACCCCCGTCTCCACTAAAAATACAAAACTTGGCTGGGCGTGATGGTGCGTGCCTGTAATCCCAGCTACTTGGGAGGCTGAGGCCGGAGAATCGCTTAAACCTGGGAGCCGGAAGTTGTAGTGAGCCGAAATCGCGCAACTGCACTCCAGCTTGGCGACAGAGTGAGACTCCGTCTCAAAAACAAAAACTATCTGTTTACCTATCTGGAAGCGACTGCAAAAATATACATCAAATGTCAAAAGTTGTTACCTCCCAAGTATTGGGACCATGAGTGCTCTTTAATTTTCTTTTCCCTTAGCTATATGATCTAAATTTCTTACAATCAGTACTTAACGTTTTGTACTTTCGAAAAAATAGAGGCAATTCGCTGATGTGAAGAGGGAGCCCCTGAAGTTTCAGAGGCCCTACAGGCCAGAGAGGGGCTCAGTGCAGGGTGTGCACTGGGTAAAGACGAGGGGCCCCATCCGCTAGGTTTGCCTGCTGCCCTCTGGTCAGATGAATGTCTTCATCTGCCTTGAACATCAGCCCTCCCTTATGTATGTTGCAAATGTTTCCTCCCAGAGTAACACCTGAATATGGGCTCGCGGTAGAAAGTTCAAACAGAACTGCAGGACCCATAGTGAAGGAATGGCGAGGGGTGGGGTGGGTTACTGACTCCGTGGGAGGGTGAGGCAGCTCCTTGATCTGCGAGGCTCAAGTAAGTAGTTTGAGGCAGGACCCCGAGTCTGGGGACTATGGGACGCAGGGTCCCGCCTCCAAAGCGGGATGACTTAGGTATTGGAGCCAGCGCCGGCTTCCCCTGCCGCCCAAGCCATGGCCGTCCCTCTACCGCCCCCTGTGGTCAGGGCTGGGCCTGCAGGCGTGGGACAGCCTCTAGGTTGGTGCAGGGGGTGCGGGGAGAGGGAGGCAGTCAGGCCCAATGCGGAACCCTTCGTTGATCTGGCAGCGGTGGAGATGTTGTTCCACACTAGCCGATTTTCTAGGAAGGAAAAGGGTCAGATTATTTTAGCTCCAGTTTTCACCCCCTCAGTTTGATAGAAATTTCCCTGAAAACAGTTTCCTGTATTCAATACAAACACAGAAAAGATTTGGACCATTTCTTGGTGACTGCAAATCATCACTTGGAGCGTTAGTTATAAGCTATTAATTCATGGTGGGACAGTCTTGTCCCTACGCTGAATGGCTCCAGATTTTTGTCTTGAGCAAACAGCAGGCCGCAGAGAATTGTCTCAGTTCTTCTCTAAGTTTTTTCCCTCCACTATCCAGCATATCCTCTCATTCCTTGCTTGCTTTTCTAAGAGATTTGGACCAGAAGAGAACAGCACCTGCCCAGGATCCCCAAATCCCTGCCCCGAGGCCACACCTCCTGAGGGAGGCTCAGAACCTTCCACAGAGCTTTTCTCTCCTTGCTCCATTTCCTTCAAAGCCAGCTTGCTTGAGATTTCCATATTTATGATTAAAAATTCTTCTGCAGAGTAGGAAGCCGTGTCTACAACAACTACAAACAACAACCGCGAAGATGCTTTGCCTTTGTACAGCACTCTCAAGTTCCAGCAAACTCTATGTTCATTGATCCTCTCAGCAGGTGGGTACAGCCATCCCCACCTCACACTTGGGGAAGCTGAGACGGCACAGCCGGGCATACAGTATGGACCCCAAGCCAGCTCACTTATTTCTGAATCCATGATTCTTTCCACCACCCATGATGCTGGTAAACAGATAAGTTCTGGCTGGCAGATCTCGAAGGAGTGGCTCTGTCTTCCCCAGGTCTCTTATTCGGGCTGCCGTTGTGAAGGCCAGTGCCTGTTTTTTCCCCTAGTTAACATTCAGCTGCCAGCTCTCTGGAGTGGAATGTTAAGCTGCAGATGGGGGAGCAATCAGCACCCTGATTGCCTGGCACAGCTGGAGGGGCCTTATGAATATTCCAGAGAGCAGGCACTGTGCCCAGCAGCCTGATTAACCACTGGGGCCTCCCCAGGGGCACCACCCCTTTCCTGCTGCACTTCACCCGGACTGCCTGCCACCTCCAGATCCAGGCCACAGGAAGAACAGGGCTAGAAACAGAGCTACCTGCTACCCCAACTGGCACCTGGCAGAAAGAGAAGAAACCCGGCCTAGATATCAAGAGTCTGGGTTCTCCCTATAACCCAGCCATTCTCAGTCCCAGCTGTACACCGGGTCTCTGGGGCTGGGATGGTGCATTCTCCTTCCCCACCACAGTAGTGTGGCCTGAGGAGCTTTTGAGGATCTAACATACCTGCTCTGTTTGAATCTCACCTCAAGTTCTATGATGAAAGTATACTCATTCTCCTCGTTTTACAGATAAAGAAACAGAGGCTCAGAAAAGTCAAGTAACTCCTTTAAGACTGCACGGCCCACAAGTAGCAGAGTCAGAATTTAGCCCAGGGCTCTCCCAGTCATGTGCCTGCCCACCTTACAGAGGTTTAGAGGGAAGCATTTCTATAAATGTGCCTTGTATTACTATTACTGCCATTTGGATGTCTTAGAGGATTTCCTTGAACATTAATTCAACCAACACTTTATTACACCTCTCTGATGAGCTGACACCCCATGTGTCCATCTCTTTTGGAAGCCGAGAGAGTAGATGTTTCCAAACTCCATACAAGTGCAGCAGATCTTGGGGAAGCTTACTCTCTGAAGGAATGAAGCAACAATTCTAGTTGGCAAGGAGAGGCAGGGGTGGGGTCCTGGAGCAGCGGTCCAGACAAGATAGCATCACTCCAGCAGTCAGGAGGCAAAATTGGCCCACCGACCCACCCATTCATCTAACAGATGGGTATTGAATGCCTGCTAGGTTTCAGTCAGAGTTCCTGGACCGAAAAGGAAGCAGTAAACAAGACCAAGTCTTGACCACCTAGAGTTTGTAGTCCAATTGGCTACCTCTCTTGGACCGAGAGCCCCCAACGGTGGGAAACTTGTCTGGTTTGCACAGGGGTGGCTCACAGTAGATCCTCAGCCAAGGGGCCATTGGGCTGACCTATGGCCAAATCACAGAGGCAGGTGCCCATCTACTCTGAGATGGGGTCTCTTCTTTGCTGATCCTGGCAGCCCATCCCCACCAGATCCTAGGGAGAATGCAGCACCATACAGGGGCTGCCCACACTGAAAGGGGCTGCATCCTCCCCTGAAAGCCCTTAGAACGATATTGCATGGCCCAGCTGGTCTTAACTCTGGAGCTGAATCTAGAAGTTGGTGGATCATTTAGCTCCATAGCTCACAGCATGTCTGAGGCCTAATATTAAAAGAAGGGTCAGGAGGAAAGGTGCCCAGCTCAGTACTGAGGACTGTAATAAAATAATATTTTGTTTGCTTACCCAAAGCCTTCGTTCCCATTCCAGATTTCTGTAACACCCCATCACTCCCCCACAATCAGCACTGAGCTCCTCAAACCTTCTCTCCCCCAGGAAAAAAAAAAAAATGCCTGAATCTTCATCACTGCTCTGCAGTGAGGTCTCCGCCCCTCCAAGGGAATTCAGAGAGCCTTTTCCAAATCCATTTTTCAGATCTTTCCTCAATCGTTCTTTGTTCTTCAAGCTGCCTTCCGCTTGGTGCAATTTGCATCTCAAAGCCCATGACAGCCTGAATGTACAGTAAGTGACTTTGGAAAAGGGAGGAGAATTGTGCTCTCAAAGAGAAAAGTCGCAACTTTATTTCATTTGTCTGAGGCTCGAGATTGACAGCTTGCTTTGTGTTTTTCCTTTTTTGGAAGAATGGCTGCTGATTTTTGAGGAAAGTGAAGGCGAGCCCTTCTGCAGAAATGGAAGTGTCGCTCTCTTATTTTATTACAAGGTTATGGGATGGGTGTTCTCTGGATTTGGAGTCCAGGGGGCCAGAGATGCAGCCTGGCTAGTGGGCATCATGGGAGGTCAAAGAATCCATCCCTCTCCCTTGGGCCTGGGTCTACAGCTGAGCTGTCTTCCTGGCTCCATTCCTCTCATTCCTTGCAGAGCCAGGGAGGCTGGAAATTATAGTAGCTGGTTCACTAGGACTCTGTGAAGTCAAGCCATGGGCCCTAACTCTGCCCAGAGGCATTGCCCTGGCCTCTGAAGCATCTGGCAGTCTGCTTGATCTGCTACCCATTTTCCTTCTAGGGCCTGGAGCCTCCCATACCTTTGGAAGTTGTAGCTCCACCCCTTAGCTGTGAAACCCTAGGCATCTAACATCTGTTTCTCAGTTTCCCTGTTTGTGAAATAATAATAGTGCATGTTTCTCAGGGTGCTGTGATGATTAAATAAGGTGCTGTAAAAAGCACTTAGCACGTAGCCTGGCCCATAGTACGTGCTAGTAAACGGGAGCCATGGTGATGCCAAGGACTGTTACCCATCTCCAGGCCACCCCATCCTAGCAATAGCCTGTTAGCTTTGGTGGGATTTGGAGCCTGTGGCCAGCAAGTGTGAGCCTTGTCTTTGGCCTTCCTGCTACTGTTGTCTGGCACAGTCCCTGAGTATGCCTAGCAGTGAGCTACCTCGAGGGGAAGGTACCCATAGGCAAGTCATTTGTGCCTAAAGGGGTACAGGGATGGTGGTGCAGGGTCTCCAGGGAGGCATGACTGAGGTGGCCATGCCAGGCTGGGTGCCTGGAGATGGGGGATTCTAGGGAGGGTCCAGGGCTGCCATGGAGCCTGGTGGTGCCCCTCTCAAGCCAGCCTGCCTGTTTATCTGGAGTTGGACTGCCTGCCAGGGTTTAATGAGGGAAGGCATGTAAAGGTTTTACCACAGTGCCTGGCGTACAGCAAGTGCTCAACAAATCTGAGCTATATTTCTTCTATTATTAAAAGATCCAGGTTGGTGGGAGAAAACGGTGCTGGAATTGAGACGGAGGCTCCTTGGAGTCTAGCTGGCTCAGATGGAGGCACAGCCCCATTGAATGAGCATGAGCTCTGTGCTCTGAGCCAGGCTGAAGCCACACAGTCCTCACAGTCCATGCCTCTCGCCGGCCCTCCTCCCCAGTGCCCCAATCCCAGTCTTACATTGACACAATGCCAGAGTCAGAGGGGACCCCAGGGATCATAGATTCCAAGCGCCTTGTTGTGCCCACGACAAGTCCTGATCCCAAAAAGGAGAAGTGTCTTATCCAAGGTTGCATGACATGCCTGGACACCCTCTGGCCCCCTTCCCCAGAATCCTTGCCCTCAGCCACTTCTCAGAGTCCACACTCACATCTCCTAAGGTGTCGATGATAACAATGGCTTTCCTTTACTAAGGGAATTTGCATTTGGTTAAGGTTAGGGTGAGATTTAAGGAGACCAAACTCTTGAGACCCAAAGGAATGTGTTGGTAATAGTGGAATTCCAGTCTGCAGGAGATCTGTCCACAAAGGGCGGCCATCCCCAAGCCCCTCAACAGGAGGCCAGGTAGAGACTTGCTGTTGTGTCTCATCTGAGCCTGTAGCTTTGGAAGCACCCTCATGTGTCAGTGACTCTCAGCACTTCAAGGAACAAAAATGATTTAGGGTGCAGGAGGGGTGTGGGGAGTGGAACTAAGGTTGCCTGGCTTGAAACAGAGCATCTCCCTGGGGGCAGTTGGGGCCCAGAGGCCTTGGCCAAGGCTCCTACCACTGGCCTTTCTCCTGGCAGCTTCCAGAACAATGGCTGCCTGTTTGCCCTGCCTGAGAAACTTCAGGCCTGATTTAGTCCTTAGGGCAGTTTGCACTTCCAGATGGCCTTCCTCATGTCCCTGACTGCTGCCCACCCCTCCCCCTCCCCCTCGCACCGTCCCCCCCGCCCCCCGACCCAACCAACCCGCTCCCATCCCAAGGCTCTTGACTTGATGGAGGGATGTGGGAGGAAGAAGGGTTGGTCCCAGCATTCACAGCCTCACGTGTCAAGAGACAGATCTGTGACATCAGCATCACATAGCACTTCTTGTCTCCCCCCTTTCCATTCCACTCAGCCAAGACCTTGATTTCAGTTGCTAAGCAACCTGTGCCTGAGTTTCCAAGTGGGTCGTCAGGTGAGCATGAGAGGTGGAAGGTATGGAGGGGTAGTGCTTAAAACTCTGCAATTTATAGATGGAGACACTGAGGCCCAGAAAGGGCAAGACACTTGGTCAAGGTTGCACAGCTAGTTAGTGCCCCATGTGTCAGATGATTGATCCTGGCAGCAAATGCTTCAGAACCATCCCATTTCCCACTCCTCCTTCCCCCACCAAGAGAAGCACCCAGACAACAGCAACACCTTAGAGACTTCCCGTGAGAGGCTTCCATCTACCTAGACAGGGAGGCAGTGTGCCCAGTGATTAGGGGTGCAGGGTCTGCATCAGCTGGCCTGGCTTTCAACCCTGACTCTACCATTTGCCAGCTATGTTCTTTGGGCAAGTTACCTAACTGATCTGTGCCTCAGTTTCCTTCGCTGTAGAATGAGAGACATGCTAGTCCTAACCCCGAGGCTGTTCTGAGGATTCAGTGAGGTGTTACATAAAGCCTGGAAGGTGCCTGGCTCAGGGCAAACCTTTCAGTGCAAGTCTGCTGGTGTGATCCTGGCTTGCTGGGCTCTGATGCACCCTCCCCACCTAGGGTCCAGTCCCCCCGATCCCCAGTTTGCTCATTTATCTCATGAGAATTCTGCCTTAATGTTATGAGGTCACAGATGGAGTACAAAAGTTTGCAAACTTTAGTTTTTAACACTGAATAATTTTATTCAAATAAAACAGATGAACTTTTGGGGGAGTCAGGGATAGATCCTTTTGGCAGTCTAGAAAAACCCATAGACCCCTTCACAGAATAAAGTTTTTAAGTATACAAAATAGGATTACGCAAGAAGCCAATTATTTTGAAACACAGGCCAGGTACAGTGGCTCACACCTGTAATCCCAGCACTTTGGGAGGCCAAGGTGGAAGGATTGCTTGAGTGCAGGAGCTTGGGACCAACCTGGGCAACATAGCAAGACACCATCTCTACGAAATACAAAAAAATTAGCCAGGTGTGGTGGCATATGCTAGTAGTCCCAGATACTCGGGAGGCTGAGGTTGGAGCATCACTTGAACCCGGGGAGGTTGAGGCTGCAGTGAGCTGTGCTCATGCCACTGCACTCTAGCTTAGGTGACAAAATGAGATCCTGTCTCAAAAAAAAAAAAAAAAAAAGGAAATACAGTTATCAAAATGTATACCAGAATTGTGCTGTAATAAGTGCTTTTCTATCAATGCATTACGCCCCATGATTGAGTGTAGGACACAGTAACGACTCTAATTTCAAAGTCATGATGTGCATACATATTTTGAGTTAATAGTAGCAGAAGTTATCTGAAAATATCTGTGATACCTGTTGATGAACACATTATAGGTTCAAGTAATCCTGTTGGGGTTTGCTGCCTACATTTATACACGAAAGAAATGTGAGGTTTCAGTTAGAGGCTAGTGAAAATATAGATGTAAGTTGTCTCCTACCCAGACTCACAAACCTCCTAACAGGGTCTGTGGCCCCACTCAGATTAAAGACCTTGGAAATAAAATCAGAGGGAAATATTATTGTATAAAATCAGGACAGGCAGAACTGCTGTGGCTGAAAGTTGGTGGGGAGGGAGCAATGCAATAGACCTGAGCACCCTTCACTCCTGTGGGGCTCCCCAAACTCCTAAGCTTCACTGGCAGTTAGGAAACCTAGCTTCTCTGCCTGGTTCTTTGTAACCTTGGGTGAGTTCCTTTGCCTTTCTAGGCCTCAGTTTCCCCATCTGTAAAATGAGATGTTGGGCCCGTTGTCCTCCAAGGTCTCGCCAGCTCTGACATTCTGAAACTCTGTGCTTCTCCTCCCCTGGAGACAAAAACCCCAGAAGCTTGGGTCGGTAGGAGCCCTGGACCAGGGAGAGGGAACAGCTGGGGCCAGGCTGGCCAGCTCCCAATTGTTCAATGGAGGAGGAGGGCGAGATGCATGGTGCTCTCCAAAGCGACAGCTGGGTGAGCCTGGCTGGGGGCCTCGTCCCCGCCTGCCATCTGTGCCTCCTTCCTGCCTTCGGCCAGTGAGGGGCCAGTGGGGGTTGTGGTTGGGGCCTAGGCCAGATAACAACCTGGGTAGAAGCGGGAGGGGCTGGCCAAGAAAATGCAGGGAAGAGTCTGGTTGCTCACTCTTGGGTGCTTAACTCTTTGCACCCACTCCCCACTTTTTCCCACCCTGATCTATAGAATTCTGGAAAGGAAGTGATACACAGCCCTAGGTCCACCCGAGCTGCTTAATGGCTCTGTGACCTTGGGCAAGTTACTTAACCTCCCTGAGCTTCATTCTTCTTTGTCCAGTAGACATCATTCCTAAGACCTACTCTTTGGGATTGGAACAAGGTGTAAATGAAACAGAGTAGATAAAGTACCCCAGCTCAGTGCTGACTCAGTGCCATGGGCCTGTCCAAAGAGAGCTTATACCTGGGACTGTGAACTGCTCCCGCTGATCAGAATGCAACATGGAGGCCTGATGAGCCCCTGTGCAGTGTTTGTGAAGTGCTGTCGCTGTCCCCAGGCACAGGCGGCTTTGCAGCCAGCTTTCTCTCCTACACGCCTTTGCCCCGGCTGTTTCTCCCTCTGGATTGCCCTCGCCCACCAATATCCACATGCATACAACTCTACCCACTTAGAATAACTTATCTATTTATAAATAAGTACTTATATTTAGGCAAAACCTTCATGCAGTTGGACAGTTTAAACTTCAGAAGCAAAGGACCTGCAGTGGACGGTCTGCCTTTCAATCCTAGCTTCCAGTTACTCAGTTCCTCCAGTAGGAGGGAATTGCTGTTAGCAGTTACTGGAGTGTCTTTCCCAAAATTATTTATATGTACATACTTAAACCTGGAAGAGTGTGAGGGATAAGGGCGCTGACCCCTGCACCATTGAAAATCCACATATAACTTTCAACTCCCCCAAAACTTAACTCTGCTGACCAGAAGCCTTACCAATAACATAAACAGTCAATTAACACATATCTTACATGTTATATGTGTATATACTAAATTCTCACAATAAGTCAGCTAGAGAAAATGTTATTAAGGAAACTGACTGGACACAGTGGCTCATGCCTGTAATCCCAGCACATTGGGAGGCCCAGGCAGGAAGATCACTTGAGGCCAAGAGTTCGAGACCAGCCCAGGCAACACAGTAAGAGCCCCTCTCTAAAAAAATTTTTTTGATTAAATTTTTAAAAAGAAAACCATAAGGAAGAGAAAATATATTTACTATTCATTAAGTGGAAGTGAATCATTATAAAAGTCTATCCTCGGCCAGACATGGTGGCTCATTCCTGTAATCCCAGCACTTTGGGAGGCCGAGGCGGACAGATCACCTGAGGTCAAGTGTTCAAGACCAGCCTGGCCAACATGGCGAAACCCCGTCTCTACTAAAAATACAAAAATTAGCCAGGTGTGGTGGTGCACGCCTGTAGTCCCAGCTACTCAGAAGGCTGAGGCAGGAGAATCACTCGAACCCGGGAGGTGGAGGTTGCAGTGAGCCAAGGCCTGGGTGACAGAGCGAGACTGTGTTTCAAAAAACAAAAAAAGTCTATCCTCATCTTCATGCTGAGTAGGCTGAAGGGGAGGAGGAAGAAGAGGGGTTGGCATTGCTGTCAGAGGTGGAAGTGGTGGTGGAGGTGGAAGGGAAGACAAGAGAGGCAGGCAGGCACCCTCAGTGTAACTTTACAGAAATATATCGTAATTTCTGTCTGGCTTTTTCATTTCTCTAAAAATGTTTCTATATGGTACCAATTCTCCTTTGACCATGTGCCTGTATCATGGGAGGGTTCATGTCATGAAAGAAGTCAAGAGCAGTCTTGAATAATTGGACCCTTCTGCCAGATTGTCTAATGTCAATTTGTTTGCTGGTGCTGCTTCTTCTATGTCTTCTTCCTCATTGTCTGGCATTGCTTCAGAAGCACTCATCTCCATCAAGTTGTCTTCTGTTCATTCCTCTAGTGTGATGTCTGTTAGCTCTTAAGCTTCTTCAAGATTCATATCTTTTTTTTGGCAGGCTCTTGCTCTGTTGCCGTGGCTGGAGTGCAGTGGCATGATCATGGCTCACTGTAGCCTCAACGTCCTGGGCTCAAGTGATGCTCTCACCTCAGCCTCCCAAGTAGCTGGGACTTCAGGTGTGCACCACCACACCTGGCTAATTTTTTTATTTTTTGTAGAGATGGGGTTTCACCATGTTGTCCAGGCTGGTCTTGAACTCCTAGGCTCAAGCAATCCACCCATCTTGGCTTCCCAAAGTGTTGGGATTACAGGTATGAGCCACTGCACCCAGCCAAGATTCATATTTTGAACCCTTCACTCCTACACACCTTTTTTACATATCCACAATCTCTTTCATTATTTCCTTGAATGGCTCTGTGGTAAATCCGGTGAGGTCATGCACAACATCTGGACACCGTTTTCTCCAGTGGGAATTTATTGCCTCAGGCTTGATGGCTTTCACAGCTTTTTCTGTAACAATGATGGTATCTTCAACTATGTAATCCTTCCAGATTTTCATGTTGTTCTCTCTATAGAGGTTCTCTTTCTTAGTGTTGACAATCTTTTCCATACAGTACCATGTGTAATGTGTAATGAGTCTTTTTTTTTTTTCTGTTTTTTGAGACAGACTTTTGCTGTCGCCCAGGCTGGAGTGCACTGGAGTGATGTCAGCTCACTGCAACCTCCATCTCCTGGGTTCAAGCGATTCTCCTGCCTCAACCTCCCCAGTGGCTGGGATTACAGGTGCCCGCCACCATGCCCAGCTAATTTTTGTATTTTTAGTAGAGACGGGGTTTCACCATGTTGGCCAGGCTGGTCTCGAACTCCTGTCCTCAAGTGATCCACCCACCTCGGCCTCCCAAAGTGCTGGGATTATAGGCGTGAGCCACCGCATCTGGTCAGTACCATGTGTAATAAGTCTTAGGAGTTCTTATGATTTCCTGATCTAGAGGCTGAATTAGAAACATTGTGTTTAGGAGCAAGTTGAACTCATGGGGTTCTGGGTGGCCAGAGATATTGTCCAATATCAAAAGAACTTTAAAAGGCAGTTTTTCAGGGACAAAACATTCAACCAATCCAGAAAAAGTGTTCTGGTTATCCAGGCCTTCTTGTACAAAGACTACCAGCTGGTGTTAATCTTTTCCCTTCAAGACTTGGGAGTTAGCAGCTTTACAGATAAGGGTAGTCCTGATCATAAACCTGACTACATTTGCACAAAACAGTAGAGTTAGCCTACCCCTTTCTGCCTTAAATCCTGATGCTTGTTTCTTTTCCTCACTAACAAGTGTTCTTAATGGCATATTTTTCCAGAACAGGGCACTTTCGTCTGCATTAAAAACCTGTTCAGGGCCTGGCGTGGTAGCTCACGCCTGTAATCCTAGCACTTTGGGAGGCCGAGGCAAGTGGATCTCTTGAAGTCAGGAGTTCAAGACCAGCCTAGCCAGCATGGCAAAACCCCATCTCTACTAAAAATACAAAAATTAGCCAGGTGTGATGGCGTGCACCTGTAATCCCAGGTACTCAGGAGGCTGAAGCAGGAGAATCACTTGAACCCAAGTGGTGGAGGTTTCAGTGAGCTGAGATCATGCCATTGCACTCCAGCCTGGGTGACAGAGTAAGACCCTGTCTCAATAAATAAATAAATAAATAAATTAATTAATTAATAAAAATCTGTTTAGGCAGATGTCCTTTCTCTTCAGTGATTTTCTTAATGGCTTCTAGGAACTCATCTGCTGCTTCCTGGTTGGCAGAAGCTGCTTTTCCTGTTATCACGACATTTTATGAGCCAATTTTCTTTCAAAATGATCAAACCACCCTTTGCTGATGTTAAATTATCTGACTTTAGATCGTTCAACTTCCTTTTGCTTTGTTTTCATATAATGATTTCACCTTTTCCGGAATCATATTAGAATCTATAGGTTATACCTTTCTTATAGTAATCCTGCACCCACATAAAAGCTGTATTTTCACAATGAGATAAGGTATTTTGAAAAGTGCAGGGTTTTCATGCCTGCTGGCATAACTCAGGAATAACTTCATGAATTTCCTTTTATTTTTTTACAATAGTCCTTAAGCTGGATTCATTTATCTTGAAATGAGGTCTGCAGTTGTCATTCAAGGTTTACACTATTGCACTAAACACGATGAAAAATACATCAAGAACCTCAAGAGATCACTTTGTATTGCCATATGCAATTTATTGGAGAGATGAATTGAATCATATACATGGAGATGATTAGCCTCACATGCATTTTAAGCAGATACTTGCAACACTTGAGCTTCCTGCAATAGCAACAAGAGCAGGCTACAAAATTATTACAGTAGTACAGTAGATGCCACAATTTGGTGCAGTTATGACTTAATACTGTGTCATTAACATTTGTTTACATTTTTCTCAACTGCAAATGACACCATGTATGATCTGAAAGTGTGTGTATGTTTTGATAAATTTCAGCTTCTTATAATAGATTTGTATATATTTTATGCCAGTAAATGATAAGACAGACTAGTATCTACAGATATTCTATGCATTTATGACATACCTTTTTCTTAATTTTTTTTTTCCTAAACAGGCTAACACAGGACTTTTTCTTAAATTTTTTAAAATATTTCTAGGCTACCTGGTTTATCGTGAGCTTTTTCAAATTGTCGCTAAACTCAAAGAAATTTCCAATTTATTGAAAAAAAATCTGTGGATAAATGGACCCAAACAATTCAAACCCGTGTTGTTCAGAGGTCAATCTTTTTTACACGAAGATCACCAACTACCTACATTGTTCTCTCTACATCTTGCTTTTTTACATGTAATTATATATCTTGGAGATCTTTTCACATCAAATATAGAAAGAGTTTCCTTGCTCATTTTTATAGCTACACAGTATTCCATTGTTTGGATGGTCATCATTTGTCCAGCCACATTTTGCCTATTGATAAGTATTTCCATTGTTTCTTAAGTTTCACTATCATAGACAGTGCTGCAGAGCATAACTGTGGACACGCTTTATTTCATGTGCATGCAGGTACGTCTGTAGAATAAATCCCTAGAATTTAAATGGATAGTTGAAGAGGTACGTGCTTTCTTCCAGGAAACACACACACATACACGCGCACACACACGCAGAAGAATTTCCTCCTGACATTGTAGTAGGAAGTTTTCTTAACAGGACACAGAAAGCAATAGCTATAAAACAATCAATAAATTGAACTTAATCAAAATTAAAAACTTTTGCTCATCGAAAGATTCATTAACAAAGTGAAAAGGCAAGCCACAGACAGAGGAGCAATATTTGCATTGCATATATCTGACAAGGGATTAGTATTCATAATATGTGACTGGATTTAAAAATGAGAAAAAAAAGTGGACAAGACTTGAATAAGCATTGCATGAAAATGGATATCCAAATAGCCAATAGGCCTGTGAAAAGGTACTACTTTCCCAGAGTAGTTTCAATTAGCATTCTTATTAAGACAGAAGTTGAAATCTCTTTATGTGTTAAGACCTACTTGCATTTATTTTTGTGTGAATTGTTTATATGCTTTGTTCATCATTACTCACCAGGAAGATGAAAATTAAAACCATGAGTTACTACTGTACATCCACCAGAAAGGCCAAAATTTAGAAAGCTGATAATATCAAGTGTTGATGAGGATGAGGAGCAGCTGGAACTCTCATACTACACTGCTGGGAGTGTACAGTGTTACAGCCACTTTGGAAAACTGGATGACAGAAGTATTCTACATTTTGATCATGGTGGTGGGTTTATGAATGTACACGTGCAAAAATTCAATGAGCCTTACAGCTAAGATCTCTGTAATTTTTTTTTTGGATACAAGTATATCTTGGTTAAAAGTTTCAGAGTTGGGGGAAAGGTGTGTGCTTCTGAAATGTTGACAAAATTGCTTTCCGTTGAGATTGCAATAATTTATATTTGAACCAGCAAAGTGTAAGTGTGCCTGTTCATTTAACCTCTTAAAAACTGAGAGTTATTGGCGGGGCATGGTGGCTCACGCTTGTAATCCCAGCACTTTGGGAGGCCAAGACAGGCGGATCACGAGGTCAGGAGATCGAGCCCATCCTGGCTAACACAGTGAAACTCCATCTCCACTAAAAATACAAAAAATTAGCCGGCCATGGTGGCAGGCACCTGTAGTTCCAGCTACTTGGGAGGCTGAGGCAGGAGAATGGCGTGAACCCGGGAGGCAGATCTTGCAGTGAGCCAAGATTGTGCCACTGTACTCCAGCCTGAGGGACAGAGCGAGACTCTGTCTCAAAAAAAAACCAAAAACCAAAAAACAAAAAAACCTGAGTGTTATCATATGTTTTAATTTTTTGCCAAGCTGATGAGTGGGAAACTTTGTCAGAGTAGTTTCAATTAACATTTTTATTAAAAATGAGGTTGAAAATATCGTCGTATGCTTACAATCTATTTGCATTTCCTTTTTGTGTGAATTGTCTGTCCATATTCTTCACCTATTTTTTATAGGGTCTTTGATTAATTTCTTATTGATGGAAGAAGTCCTTTATATGTTAGGGAAATGAGCCTTTTGGAATATGAGTTGCAAGTATACGTTTCAAATGGTACTTTTTGCAGTGCAGATTTATTTGTTTACATTTCAAGTATTTAAGTTTACCAGTCTTTTATGGCTTCTGGATCTTGGGCCATAGTTAGAAAGGCTTTCTCTGAGATTATAAAGAAGTAACCTTTTTACTAGGCCTTTCACTACTTTTAGAATTTCATTCTTATATTTAAATCTTTGGTGCATTTTGAACTTATCTTGGTGTAAAGAATGAGGTATAGATTAACTTTTTTTCCCCCAGGTATCTATCCAGTTGAAATAATTCCAGGTAATGAGTAATCCTTTCTTTCCCCTACTGATTTGAGATTCAGGCTTTGCTGCATTCTACATTTCTGAATGTATTTGGGTTTATTTTACAGACTGTCCATTATTTTCTACTTAATAGTCTTGTTATTCATGTACCAGTACCACAATGCTGTGTTACTAAGACTTCATAATATGTTTTAATATCAACAGGGATAGTCACCACTCATTGTGGTCTTTTCTCAAACGTAGTTGGCTCTTCTAGCTTATATATTTTAATATATAATTTTAGGATCTGCTTATATAGATAGAAAATATTGATATTTTATTGGGATTATGTTAAATTGATAAATTAAAGAGAATGTCAACCTTATGATGTTGAGTCTAAATATCCATGATCATAGTTTACTTTTTGTAGTCCTTTGTGTCCTTTTGTGGTGTATTAAAAGCTTCTTCACATAGCTCTTATTCATTTCTTGTTACACGTATTTACCTTTTTTATTGTATTATATATCCTTTTAAAATTATATTTGCTAATTGATGATTGTATACTAGAAAGCCATAAGTTTCTGTATGTTAATATTTTGCCATGTTACTAAATTCACAAATAGCTTATACTAATTTTCAGTGGTTTCTCTTGAGGTTTCTAGGGATACTATTTTATCATTTGCAAGTAGTGATAATTCTCCTCTTCATTTATAGCTTTTATACCTCTGGTATATCTTTCTTTTTTTAATTGCATTGGCAGGTCCTACAGGAAAATGTTAAATCATAGCAACCTCTTGTTCCTAACTTTGATGGCAATGCATCAGGTATTTACCTTTTACATATTTTGGGTTGAGAAATATTTTCCCCCCAGCATTTTATTATTAAACTTTCAAACATACTGCAAAGTTTAAATCATTTAGCAGTGAACACCACCTAGATTAATGGTATTAACAGCTTGCTGTACTTCTCAAAGCTGAGTGTCCTATTTGTTTGAGGTAGAGAAGAGGCTCGAACAGATAATTCTTTGGGAACATTCTGGGTAGCGGACATAAAACCTGGCACATGGCAAGTCAACAGATGATGCTCAGATATGCAAATACTGAAAGTGAGGCCCCAGGCAGCTAGTTCCCTTTCCAAGGTGTCACGAGGTGTCAGAAGTAGGGAAGAGCCCAGATTTAGGACATAAGGTGGGTAGGGTGATTCTCAGATGAGAGGAGGCAAAGGATGAAGGCCTCCCCCAGTCCCCAGTGTTCTGAACTCCACAGGACCCAGGGAGTGGGTGAGTGGCCTTCCAGGACACCATTCTTTCCTGACAGCTGGCGGGAATTTCCTTTCTCTTTCTTTCTGTCTACTACTCCTTCCCTGCTGGCTCCTCCTGGCAGAGCCCCAGACAAAGAAAGAGAAGTGGCCTGAGCAGGTGCTTCCCTCCTCCCCTGAATGAGCTCTTCCTGGAGAGCGAGGGTGGAGAAAGCAGGGCGGCTGTGGGCACTGGGGGTTGGGGTGTTGTGTTGGGGGATGGGCAGGGAAGGGGCCAAGGGAGTTTTGTGCCTCTCTAAGCCCATGTGCTGGACAGGGCCTTGATGTTGTCCTTTCTTATCTACACTATTGCAATCACTGCACTGAGTCCCCAAAAATGATAAAAATACACGGTTTTGTAGTCAGGCAGATTTGGGTTCAGCGAGATCAGCGTGTTCAGGGTGGTATGGCCGTAGACCAGCCAAATCTAGGCATTGCCAGAAACCTGCCGCATGCCCTTGGGTGAGATTTGGCTCTGGGCTCCTTCCTGGGCAGTGAGAGGATCTGTGGCTCAGCTGCAGCACAGGTGAGGAGCAAAGAAGACCCTCGACAAACAGGCCCTAGGCTTCCCTCTCCCCAGGCTCCCCGCTCCTGATCTCCCTTCACTCTCATGCTCCCCCACCCCTACTCTAAAAACCCCTAAGGCCTCCCTTTCTGGATGAAGTCCTGCCCCACCCTGGCTCCATGGCTTGGCCCACTCTGCCCCTTCCTGACTCACCTGCCCTCACCAGACCTTGAGCCAGCCCCGGTCTCTTCTACCTGCCTGCCCTTCTTCATGCTCCTCTCTGCACAGCTCAGGGCACCGCCTCCAGGAAGCCACCTGGAGCCATCCTGCTTCTTCCTCTGCTTTGCCAACAGACTCTCCGCTTCCTGCCATGTCCTTGCCATGTTTGAGGCAGGGGTATCGTGGTCTGTTTTCACACCTGTTCCTGCTTCTAGGCGATGGGCTCCTTGAGGCTGGGAAACACACCCATTCGTTTTTCCATTCCCAACAGCCAGAGTTCAGCCCAAATACTGGACAGGGATCTTTTCGGACAGAGAAATCTTTTGAGGCCCAGGGTGCAGATGAGTCTTGGCCAAAGCCCCACATCTGCCTGATGGCAAAGCTTTGGATTTAAAACCCTGCGTGAGGAGTGGGACGGGTGAGGCCCTGTGGATAAGCCAGGTTTGCACTGGGCCTCTCTATTCACTACCTCCCCCTTCTCAGCCTCAGTTTCCCCATCTGTGAGATGGGAGAGTGCACTGAAGATGGGCGGGGGGATGTGGAGGAATGCTGAAAGAGCTAGTTCTATGTTTTAGTGGAGGGAGTTGCTGGAAAGGAAAGAGACTTCAGACCAGTTACTTCCATCTCTGGAAATAGAATATGGGGCAGTGAAGACCATGGGCTTCGGGACCTGTAGTCCTGACCCAGCCATTTGCTAGATGAGTTATTACTCCCGAAAGCCTTGGATTTCTTATTTGTAAACGAGAGATAATAAATCCCACCTGGCAGGGTTGTCATGATGACAGTAATCACCCACACCTGTTGAACACGTACAACGGGCCAGGGACTGTTCTAAGCTCTTGAGACGCCTGGTGCCACTGAATACTCAGCAACCTTGCAGATGAGGAAACAGGTATAGCTTATACAAAGTCGCACAGCTGGGAAGTGCTGGAACTGGAATAAAATAGAGTGATGCTGGCTAAGAGTTTAGCACCATGCCTGACACACAGTGAGCCTCGGTCAGCGAGAGGGCCTAGGTCATCTGCCCCACAACGTGTTCACACTTGCAACCTGCAGGCATGGCCCAGGGCTGGGGAGGGGGGCGCTACAGGGGATCCAAGAACCTTCTGGATCATGCAGACAACACAGACAAGGTCCCTGTTCTCAGGAGTTGTGTGAGCCAGTCAGGAGACAAACAATGAACAAGGGCGCAAACAGTCGTTAAGATTACATCAGACAGTGATGGGTGCTGTGAAGAAATCCAACACAGTGATGCCGTAGAGACTTGTGATGGATATGTTAGGTAAGACAGTCCGAAGGACCTCTCTGCAAACTTGAATGGGATGGAGCCGGTCAAGTAAAGAGCATGCGGAAGAGTAGTGCCCTAGAAAGAGAGAATAGCATGTGCTGAGGCCCAGGGCGGGGAGCCCCAGGGTGGGAAGCCAATGGTAGTCAGGGGCTGGGCTACCCAGAACCTTGGAGACCACGCCAGTTTGGATTTTCTTCTAGGTGATGTGGGAAGCCATTGGAGGGTTTCAAGCTCAAGGTTAGCTCTCACTTGAGCTAAACAAAGAAATATGGTAACAACACACCCCATAGAAAGCCAAAGACAGGCCGAGCATGGTGGCTCACGCCTGTAATCCCAGCACTTTGGGAGGCCGAGGTGGGTAGATCACCTGAGGTCAGGAGTTCGAGACTAGCCTGACCAACGTGCAGAAACCCCATCTCTACTAAAAATACAAAATTAGCTGGGCGTGGTGGCATGTGCCTGTAATCCCAACTACTCGGGAGGCTGAAGCAGCAGAATTGCTTGAACCTGGGAGGCAGAGGTTGCGGTGAGCCAAGACCACACCACTGCACTCCTCCATCAGAAAGAAAGAGAGAAAGAGAGAGAGAGAGAGAGAAAGAAGGAAGGAAGGAAGGAAGGAGGGAAGGAAGGAAAGAGAAAGAAAGGAAAGAAGAAAGAAAAAGAAAAGAAAGAAAGAAAAGAAAAGAAAGAAAGGAAGCAAGCAAGCAAGCAAGCAAGCCGGAGACAGGACTCGGCCTTGAGAAGCAGGGAGCCCTGTTCACGCCCAGACCATGGCCTGTTCACTGTGCTGAGGTGAAGGCGACTTGGAGCCTTTATCTCTCAGGACACAACTGGGTGTGTGAAATCCACACGGGCATCTTGGCACCTCTGCAGTTGGGCAGATTCCCTAAAGGGAACAGGGAATCTTGCTGGCCAGGGCCAAGGTGGGAAGTGGCTGTGAAGAGTGTGGTCAGTTTTCCAGCCTGGTGGGTGGGATGTGTTCTCTGACTGAAATTGCAGTATGCTTTGCGTGAATGCATGAGTGGGCCAGGGCTAGGACAGCCAAGAAGAGCAATCTATTCCCGGGACTGACCTTGACTTTTGGCCTCACTTTCGTTGAGCTCAATGGGCAATGCTGGCTCTGAGTTAGCTGTGAGTTTCAGGAAAAAAAAATTCAACTTTCTAAAAATATCAATCCAATGGTGGGTTTTGGGCTCAACAAAGAAACCCCTGACAGTTTCCTGTTAATAAAATAAATATATTTTTCTTGGAGAAATAAACCAAATAAGAAAAAATAAATAAGGCTGGGTGTGGTGGCTCATGCCTATAATCCCAGCACTTCAGGAGGCCAAGGTGGGTGGATCACTTGAGGTCAGGACTTCGAGACCAGCCTGGCCAACATGGTGAAACCCTATCTCTACTAAAAATACAAAAATTAGCCAGGCATGATGGCGCATGCCTGTAATCCCAGCTACTCAGGAGGCTGAGGCAAGAGAATTGCTTGAACCTAGGAGACAGAGGTTGCAGTGAGCCAAGATCATGCCACTGCACTCTAGCCTGGGTGACAGAGCAAGACTCTGTCTCAGAAAAAAAAAAGGGGGGGAAAAATAAAGAAAAATTTAAAAATTTTTGAAAAATTATGTATAGATAACCAACTAGTAGAGGTCTGGATCAGAATCAAGATGGCAAAGCAGAAGTACTTAGTGGTTTGTTTTGTTTTGAGACAGGATCTGGCTTTGTTGCCCAGGCTGGAGTGCAGTGGCGTGATATTAGCTCACTGCAACCTCCACCCGCTGGGTTTAAGCTATCCTACCACCTCAGCCTCCCAAGTAGCTGGGACTTCAGGTGTGCACCACTAAGCCTGGTTAATTTTTTAATTTTTTTTGGTAGAGACAGGGTTTCACTGTGTTGTCTAGGCTGATCTCTTGAAATCCTGGGCTCAAGTGATCCTCCTGCCTCAGCCTCTCAAAGTGCTGGGATTACAGGCATGAGCCATCGCGCCCAGCCAGCAAAAATATTTAGAATCATTAGTTTCCGTAGATGGATCAGAAGTGAAAAGGGGCAATGAATGTGATAAGGAACTAATACACAGAATTAATATCTCTGATATACAAAGAGCTCTTATAAATTATTAAGAAAAAGATAAACACCAATACACCATTAGGAAATAATTGAGGACCTCATAGAATCAGAAGATTCACAAGCAAATAAATGCAAATATCTGCTAAGCAAATGAAGATATAAGCAACCTTACAAAGCATCAAAGACTTGCAAAGGAAAACAATGAGATATTTTTCATCTGAAAATAAGCAGATAAAAATATTATAATATTGGGTGCTGTCAGGGTTATAGGGAAATGGCCATTCTCTTGAGTTGCTGACAGGAGTGTAAATTAGTACAACCATTGTGAAAGGCATCTTAAAATTCATAACAAAAGCATTTTTTTAAAGTGCAGATCTATTACCTAGCATTTTCACTTACAATAATTTATCTTTTTAAAAATTCATGTGTGGAAGAATTCAGCTACTATGTTTGCCTCAGCCTTTTTAGAGTATTGGAAATTATAAAGCACTTATGGATCCAAAAGTAGGGAATTGCATAAGGTATTGTAGTACAGCCACACTGAGGAATACAACGCAGCCGTGAAAATCATGCTGTTCAAGAATGTTCAATGGCACAGGAAAAGGAACCACAACCACTCTCTCCAGCTGGGCATAAAATGGAGCTGATACTCACCACGACATAATAGGAATTATTCTTCCTCTGTATTTCCCAATTTTTCTGTTGTTGTTTTTTTTTCCTACTTTCTTAAAAAGTGAAGAGGAATCTTCTGGAATGTCAGGGACTGTGCCCACAGTTTGAGACCCAGGAAAATTGGCTCAACATCCCTGTTGGCTGTAGACCCACATATGAGCCAAAGCCTCACCCACATGGCTTACCTGCCTCAGTTTCCCATATCAAAATCTGAGATGATAATGCCTGTTCTGCCTCCCTCACAACAAATAGAAAATATAGCTGTGTTAATGTTCTGTTGTTGCATAACAAATTACCCCAAAATGTGGCTGGGTAGTTCTGGTTCAGGGTCTCATTTGGTTGCGTTAAAGCTGTCGGCCAGGGCTGCAGTCATCTGAAGGCTCGACTGGGGAATATACACTTCCAAGCTCATTCTTGCAGCTATTGGCAGGAGGCCTCACTTCCTTGCAGGCTGTTGGCCAGAGACCTCAGTCCCTCACACCTGGTCTCTCCATAGGCTAAGTGTTCTCACTCATGGCAGCTGGCCTCCTCTGAGTGGTGATCCAGGTGAGAGCAAGAGAGCCCAGGCAGAAACTGGAATCTTGTGTAACCCTGGCCACATTCTATTAGTAACACAGACCAACCCTGGTGCAATATGGGAGGGGACTACACAAGGCATGTATACTAGGAGGTGAGATTACAGGAGACCATCCCAGGGTTAAAGTGCTTAACAGGGAAAGGTGTGTTCTAAGGGGCAGTCAGGGGCTATCCATAAGCTCCCAAAGTTCTGACTGTGCCCAGCTTTTTTGGAAGCCCTTGAGAGCATGATGGGGCCCACAGGAATAGTGAACCGGGGTGAAAAGATCCCACTCCACTTGTTCGCTGAGTGCAGCATGGGGAAGATTTATATCTAAAGTAACAGCAACTATCCCTGAGCAACTTGGTAATCGGGAGGTGTGTGTGTGTGTGTGTGTGTGTGTACTTTTTTGGTGTTTTTCAAGTCATCTTCTTTGAGTATGCATAATTTTCTGGTTTTTAAAAATTTTTTGAGACAGAATCTCACTCTGTCGCCCAGGCTGGGGTGCAGTGGTACAATCATAGCTCACTGCAGCCTCAGTCTCCTGGAATCAAGTGATCCTCCCACCTCAGCCTCCCAAAGTGCTGGGATTACAGGCATGAGCCAAGTACATAGAATGTTTGTATAACAGCCGGGACATAGATGTGCACCACCATGCCTGGCTAATTTTTGTGTGTGTACAGATGGGGTCTCACTATGTTGCCCAGGCTGATCTTGAACTCCTGGACTCTAGCAATTCTCTTATCTCGGCCTTCCAAAGTGCTGGGATTACAGACGTGAGCCAAGTATAATACACATCATTTTTGAAGTTAAAACAGAAATGTCTGAGGACAGTGAATTCATCTGACTCTCAAAAGAGACTGCAAGTGATACAGTGGCTCAGCTTTGGAAGTGAAGAAATGGTGCCTCTAGAACCAGGAAGAATCCTGTTCTGGGATGGAGTGGCCTAGGGAGAGGTGGAGAGGGAGGAGATACATCAGGCAGCAAACCAGGCCCCTTAGGTTATGAGGCAGGGACCTGCCACCCCATGAGCCTGCCCCTCCCCACCCCCACCAAGTGGCCAGGGACTGCAGGTGGGATGTGAGAGCCACATAATGTGAGCTCGGCGACCTTAGAGCAGCCCCTCACATCACAGTTTGGATCAGATGCGCCTAATGGGGGGTACCAGGGTGTGGGGTATGGGTTGAAGATGAGATCAGGTGCAGGTGGATGTGAGGACATAGCAGGCAGGAGAACCCACACCCCCAGGGAAAGGGTCTACAAACAAGTTGTAGCTTACAGGGGTGGTGAATGGGGGCCACTGTGAGTGCTGGAAACCTAAGCCGGTAGGTGGGTGGTGGAAGTGCAGAGTCTGCCCTCTTCTGCCCTTCAGCAGTAACTGAAAGGGGTGTCATTTGGAATGTCAGAGTTGGAAGGAGCCTCAGAATTGATTGGGATCCATCAATCTCTTAAAGATGAGAAAGAAAGAGGAGGTCGGGCACAATGGCTCACGTCTATGATACCAGCATTTTGGAAGGCTGAGGTGGGAGGATTGCTTGAGCCCAGGAGTTCCAAACCAGCCTGGGCAACCCTGTCTCTCAAATGAAAAAAATAAAAAATTAGCCAAGCATGCCTGAGTCCGGCTACTTGGGAGGCTGAGGTAGGAGAATTGCTTGAGACTGGACAGTCGAGGCTGCAGTAAACTATGATCATGCCACTGTACTCTGGCCTGGGCACACAGAGTGAGACACTGTCTCAATAAAATAAAATTTTCTTAAAAAAGGAAAGTGTCTTGGCCGGGCTCCGTGGCACATGCCTGTAATCCCAGCACTTTAGGAGGCCAAGGCAGGCGAATCACTTAAGGTCAGGAGTTCGAGACCAGCTGGCCAACATAGTGAAACCCCGTTTCTACTAAAAATACAAAAATTAGCCAGGCGTGGTGGCATGCGCCTGTAATCCCAGCTACTCAGGAGGCTGAGGCAGGAGAATCACCTGAACGGGGGAGACAGAGTTTGCAGTGAGCCGAGATGGCGCCACTGCACTCCAGCCTGGGCAACAGAGCGAGACTCCGTCTAAAAAAAAAAAAAAAAAAAAAAAGGACAGTGTCCCGCTAAGACCCACAGCACCGTGGGTGACTAACTAGGAAAGGGACTCCAGCTCCCAAGAGCTGACAAATAAAAGAAGGGTTGACTTTTTCGGTGGACCCAGAAGCAGCAGTAGGAGCTTATGGCAAAAGTTAGAAGGAGGCGGATTTTCATCTCATTATGAAGAATTTTCTAAGTGATGGGCACAGTTGTGAGCTGGGGTTGACTGGGAGCGGGAGAGAGGCTGCGTGTGTGTCTCGGGTCCTGGTCGGCTCAGTTCCCTCCCACAGAGTCTAAGAGCTTGGATGTGGCTGAGAGTAGCGCAGCCACCGCCCTCTGCTGGTGGAATGCTGGTAGCACAGCTTTCCTGCTTGGCCACGATGCTGCCCTCTGGCTAGGCGAGGCTTTCCAGAGAAGAAGCAACCCTTTGGGGTCTGAGAGCTCCCTGCTGGGGGCTTCGGGACGGTGGGTAGTATATATTCTCTGCACACATGTGCCCGGAAGACAGACGAGGCCATCAGAATGCCCGCCAGTGTCTGTAACTCGGGACTGAAGCCAGCGAATGCCCCAGGTGATTGTGTGCCCTGGGTCTTCAGGTGACCCTGCTGCCCCTTCCTGTGAGCAAGGTCTCCAGAACTGACAGGTGGGATGGGGCACTGGCCTGGGTGTCTGCAAACCTGGGTGTGGCCTGGCACAGCCATCACCCTCTTACTCACTGGGTGACCTCAAGCAAGTGCCCTCCCCAAACTGGACTTGCACTGGCGGTGGGGTGGAAGAGTAGGGGCCCTGACCGCCAGAGAAAGGCTCGTGGGCAGTGGCTTCTCCGTGGAGCACACGCGAAGAACATCAAACTCAGCAGTGCTCCATGACCTCACCAGGCAGGGTTGGAGTAAGAGTTTGCCCTGATCCCAACTACCTTATTCCCTCTTTCTCCCTCCAGCCTTTCCACCAGTGCCCTCATGCTCTTTTCCCTCAGACCTGCCTTCAGGAATATTCTCAAAGCTTATTCAGAATGAGTCCACAGTGACCAATATTATCTCCCACTACACTCTCTTTAGGGGTATTTTTATTTTATTTTGAGAGCAGCAAGGTGGAGCACGAAAGGAATGAATCCCTAATAGTAGAACTTCAGGTATCAGTCAGCTAGAGAGTCAGAGATTCTTTTATAAGGCAAAAAGACTTAGGCAAGAAGAAAGAGGAACTCTTCCCCCTTCCTTTTGTACTGGTCAGACCACAGGCTGGAACTACAGTATTGTTCTCAGCTCCGTGAGCCACACTGAAATTGGGAAATAGAGCAGAAGGTAATCTGAAGAAGGCAGCCATGATGGCGAAAATACTTCTAGTCCAGCATGAATTGGAATGTTTGTACCCCGCTTCAGCATGCTCTGGAATTCCCCTTGCGGCAGCTGCCTCCCATTTTGCTGTCAGTCATTCATGAGGATTTCACAGTAACTTTGAGGACAGGAAACAAGCTGTGTCAATTCCCTTTCCTCGGTCAGTTCAGCCTCTGCTTGGGCCTTTGGAGCTGTCTCTTCCTCTAGCTCACCTTCCCAGGGAAAGTAAAGCCTCTGAGGGCAGGAATAGCATCTTCTAGGCAGAGGAGGGGTATCCTGTGTCTGGAAAGAAATGGGGACTTGAGGAGGTAGGAGGTGAAGTTGTAAATTCTAGTTTGAGCTTTGCCACTTAGTTGCTGCGTGATCTTGAGCAAGACCATGAACCCTTCTGAGCCTCTGTTGTCTCATCTCTGAAGTTAGGGAAATGATAACTCCTCCACAGAGGTAGTGAGACTCAAATAAGATGTTTATAGATCTATTTTTGTAAAACCAAGGTCATGGAGATCATAACAAGTTAGTACATATTTAAAGTGCTTAGAAAACATTAACACATTGTAGGTTCTCTGTAAATGTTAGCTGCAATTCCACCTCCTGGAAGAGAGAATTTATTCACTTAACAAATTTTTACTGAGCACCTTCTCTGTACCCGGCACTGTGGGAAGCACTGGGGACCCAGCAGTGAACAAAACAGACAAAAACCCCAGCCTTCATGGGGCCTACACGCTAGCGGAGGAGACAGATAATAAAGTGGATTATAGGGTATAATATAGTATAATAATAGAACAGAAATGGAATAGAATATAGAATAGAATAGAATAATGCTAGGAGGAGAAATTGATTAGGGAAGGGGACAGGGGTGTGGGCAGGTGGAGGGGTGGCTGAATTTAAATACAGTGGTCAGGGAATCTGATAGGCTCAGCTTGAGTTAGACGCTCATCCTGGCCCAATCAGCTGTGTGTTTGTGTGTGCAAGGGCACAGTGTGGGCAGATAAGGATATCTGATTGGCTCAGCTTGAATTAGATGCCCATTATGATCCAATCAGTTTAGCGTGTGTGTGCTGGCAGTGGCCCACACTTGTGGTGCTAACATGACTGCTAGCGTCCGCATCTGTGGGTGAGGGACATAGGAGTCATGATGAGCTGCACAAACCCTCCAGAGGATTCTGAATTGAAGCAGGACTTCTGCCTCCTGGCCCACCTTAGCCTTTAATTTCCGGGGGCCAATCTAGCTTCAGGTCACCTTCCTCAGCTGTCAGGACTGAGGTGCCAGAGGGTAAGGGGTCTGCAAGGATAACCACCGCTGCCTAAACCCGTCAAATGCCAGACACCTCCATACACTGTCCCTGTTCCCCTGTGACATGGGGCTGCTATTCTCAGAAAGCTGCAGAGGCAGGACTTGAACTAGAGTCCATGAGACTCTCAAGCTGGAGTGCAGGTCTCAGCCGTGTTTCCCAAGTCCTGCTGTCACCTCTGTGCTAGCATGCGCACACCGCAGCCACCTGAGGAGAGTGTTTAAAATGCTTGTTCCCAGAGGCCTTGACCTGACTCAGGAGGTCTAGAGGTGGCCCAAGATCTGTGTTTTTTGTTTCTTCTGGATTATTTTTTTTTTTAAGACAGAGTCATGCTCTGTCACCCAGGGTGGAGTACAGTGGCACCATCACGACTCACTGCAGTCTCTACTTCCTGGATCAATGGACCCTCCCACATCAGCCTCCCCAAGTAGCTGGGACCAGAGGTGTGCACCACCATGCCTGGCTAATTTTTTTTCTTTTTTTTGTAGAGACAGGTTTCACTGTGCTGCCCAGGCTGGTCTTGAACTCCTGTGTTCAAGTGATCCTCCCATTTCAGCCTCCCAAAATGCTGGGATTACAGGCATGAGCCACGGTGCCCAGTCCAAGACCTGTTTTTGCAGCACTTTCGGGACTGTGCTCCCCGCCAGGCCTGGAGCCCCGGAGGCACACCCTCCCTCTCCTCCAAGCCATCTGTCAGTGCTCCCTCTTCCTCTCCAAAGCTTGCTCCTCTGCCCTTCCTGCAAAGCTCCCAATTGAACCCCAAGCCCCATCACTATATTTGCAGGGTGCACTGCTGGTCATTCCCACTGGGCCTGAGCAGAGACTGCAAGTAAGAAAATTCCAGAACCTCAAAGGTCACCCCGCACAAAGCCCCATTGTACAGATGATACAGATGAGGCCCAGACAGGGATAGGGCTAGCTGAAGGCCACACAGCAGAGGGTGGAGCTGAGACCCTCTCCCTGTCATGCAATGGCTAAGGACAAGGGCCCCTCTCTGCCACAGAGAAAGCATTTCCTTGGGCAGCTGGGAGGCAGCTTTTCTGGGAAAGGCCAGATGGTGGCGGGGGGATGCTGAGGCTGTGCTCCAGGGGTTTTCAGGGATTTGCTTGGAGAGGCAAAGGTTACTTGGGAGCGGACCTTCAAAACCTCCATGGGCAGGAAGAAAATAGCTGTCTTTGTCATAGGCCTTGGTGACTTCGTGTTGGGAAATTGTCCACCCTGTGCCAGCCCCTGTCCATTCTGCAGATAAAACAACCCTACCAGGTTGGAGGGTTCCTCACCCACTGCCCAGCCCCATTCTGTGTGTCTCCTGCCTCCCCTCTCCTGATATGTCTGTTCCTGCCTTCACCCTCTCCTTCACCATAGCTGGGTGGCCAAGTCCCCTCTACTGTGTCAAGAACAGGTCCTGATCCCCTGGTTCAGCCAGCCACAGGCTCTCTGCAGCCATGGAAAAACATGAACGTTGGCTGGATTGAGGGTTTCCTGTTATTTCATGAAAATCTCCTGCCTCTCGGAGGCCTGGTGGGGCCCAGCCCCCTGGCCCAGGAGGCTGCCTTGCCCCTCCATAATTAACAGGAGCTCTCCTTTCCCCTGCAAGGTCTGTTGCTTCCTGACAAAGGCCTAACATGCACTTGACTTTCCCCCCAGATGACTTGTACAGCACCCGTGCCACTGGCTGCTGGCTGTTCCTACAACACTGGCGGGGTTAGGACCTTTCCCACTGAGTCTGGGAGGACAGCAGACCCAGGTCCTGTTGTCAGAGAAGGAGTCAGGCAGAACAGCCTAGCACTCCATAGTAAGAGCAGGGGGAGGAGGAGGAGGAATTCCCCAATTTCTGTGTCAGTGTGAGCCCTTTCTCCCCTCCCTCACACTGAGCCCCCAGAAGGGTGCCCCAGGCCTGTCGGGCAATAACAGAGAAAAGACAGCAGGCGGTGGTTCACACCTGTAATCCCAACACTTTGGGAGGCCGACTTGGGCAGATCACCTGAGGTCAGGAGTTCAAGACCAGCCTGGCCAACATGGTGAAACCCCATCTCTACTAAAAATACAAAAATTAGCCAGGTGAGGTGGTGGGTGCCTGTTATCCCAGCTACTCAGTGGACTGAGGCAGGAGAATCATTTGAACCCAGGAGACAGAGGTTGCAGTGAGCTGAGATTGTGCCACTGTACTCCAGCCTGGGCAAAAGAGCGAGACTCCACTTCAAAAAAGAAAAAAGAAAACAAAAGAAGGCAGCTGAGCGTGTCCAGGGATCAGCAGGTGGCATAGCCAGCACCAGGCTCAGAAGAGCTGCCCACACCATGTCCCCTGGGAGCCCCAAACTCAGGCACCACACACCCAAACTCCAGCCTTCATTGCCGGTCCTCCAGTGCTCAGATAGGGAAGAACTAGAGTAGAAAATGTAGCCCCAGGTTACTGGACAGATAGTGGATCTGGCTAGAGGCCAGGGGACCGCTGTACTCAGGGTGTGTTCCCCTCCCTGCCCCTCCAGCAGCCCAACTTGGCTTGACAGTAGGACCCAGTCCCTGACCTGGCCCTCCGAGCTGGTCAGGCAGAGTGAGGGCCTTCCCAGAAATATCACCTGCTTCTCACTCGTGGATGAGTTCAGTAGATATTTATTGAGACTCTACTATGGGCCTGGCACCGTGCTGGGTGTTGGGATACAGTAGTGACTAAAACAGACAGAATGTGGTGGAAGTGACATCCAAGGGAATCATCCCATCTTATTCATCTCTAGGTGGCCAGCTCCAGGCCCAGGGAGGGTTCTTGTCTGTGTTTGGTGAGCTGGGTGGAGATTCAACATATAACCCCAGACTGGCAGAGCTGGAAGGGCCCTGATGGTTCAGGTCCACTGTGCAGACACTTTCTGAGCACATGCACCGGGGCAGCTGGCCATGCTAGGCCTGTACAAAGATGGGTTAGACACATACCCCACCCATGGAAAGCTCACCCTTGGTGAGGGTGACAGCCATGACAGCCATTAAGCACAGTACAAAGGAGGGTCTGGTCCGAGGGGCTGTGCAGAGCACAGAGGCAGAGGGAGGAAGCTAACCTGCATTTTGCAGATGATAATAATAACTACCATTTATCGAGTGCTTCTGTGGTGCCAGGCCCCGTGCCCAGTGAGTTTGTATTTATTGGCTCATGTGGAAACTGAAGCCCTGGGAGGAAGGAACTTGCTCAGTCAGTCATTAGCGTGAGCTGAGCCAAAGTAGACCCTGACTTCTAGGGGTTCGGAGTGCAATATGTTCCTTCTCCCACTACCCCAGCCCCTGAGGATCAACCAACCTCCACAGATGCAGCAGAGAGAAAGCTTGGGATGGGGAGGGACTGGTCATCTCAGCATGGGGCTGTTCACTTACAATGTAAAGGACATTTTCAAGGCCATAGATTCCCAGGGTCATTACCTCGGAGGTGGTGCATCTCCTTCTCTGGCCCCTTACATATCCCTGATGGAGCAAGGCTGAAGTTCTGAGCCAGAGGTCCCCTGCCCTGCCCACAGATTCCATGACTTCCATGGGGACAGTGATGGCCCAGGGCTGAGTCTCTATGGTGTCTGGGCAGGGAAGATGGTGGGCACTGGGCCCCCGCAGAGTGTGCACGCTCTTGGTGGATGGCGGTTCTCTCGGTGGCTATCCCTAAGAGGCAAGGCAGAGTGGCCCAGCCTGGGAGCATGTGGATGGTGCCATGTGACTCACTCCCACTTCAATGACAACAGTATCTTTGCAGCTGGCAGCATGTGGCTGGGGGAGTCATTTGATCCTGAATATAGACTGGCATTGTGTTTGAGACCAGAGGGTGTAAGAAGCATGTCTGTACCACTGAGGTTTCATTCATGTCTCACACTCTGCTGGAAACCCTCCATGATTATCTCATTTAAGATGAAAGTGTGGATAATCTCTTGGGAGGGCAACAAACACCCGTGAAATAAAGCAAACAACGCAAGACAATGCTAAATGGAGAAGCAGGACAGTGTCATGGTTAGGCCCAGAGCACAACAGAAGGCTCTGCACCATGCAAATGGTACCCCCTTGAGTTGTGCAGTGTACAGTCCATGCAACTGTACAGGGGATCCTGATTAGGTCCACCGTCTATGGCATCATTAATTCAACACAATTTGGTGAGAGCTTACCATTTGTGTCCAGCACGATTCCAGACACTGGGGTTATAGCAGAGGACAAGACAGAGCACCACCCTGCATGGAGCTTACATTCTAATTTGAAGGTCAGAAAGACTAAGGGTTGCATCCTGGCTTTGCCGCTGTGTTAGTTAATCTCACTAAGCTTCAGTTTCCTCATCTGCAAAATGGACACAATGACCTGTACTTCGTAAGGTTATTGTGCTAAAAAATTGAAATAACACTTGGCTTCAGGTCTGACCCATGGGAAGCCCTCAGTAAATGACAGCCAGCATGATCACAAATGCTGTGGGAAGAAGGGCTTAGAAAAGCTTAGGGAAAAGGGGCCGGGCGCGGTGGCTCACGCCTGTAATACCAGCACTTTGGGAGGCTGAGGTAGGCAGATCGCCTGAGGTCAAGAGTTCTAGACCAGCCTGGCCAACATGGTGAAACCCTGTCTCTACAAAAATACAAAAATTAGCCGGGCATGATGGCAGGTGCCTGTAATCCCAGCTACTCGCGAACCTGAGGCAGGAGAATCGCTTGAACCCAGAAGGAGGAGGTTGCAGTGAGCTGAGATCGTGCCATTGCACTCTAGCCTGGGCGAGAGAGCAAGATCTCCCTCCATCTCAAAAAAAAATTTTTTTTTGGAAAGAAAAGCTGAGGGAAAAGGAAGACCACAAGATGTGAAGTGCACTAAATCGTCTCAGTGGGAGCAGGAGTTGGGGCGTCTCTTGAGGGGTGCAGAAGCCCAGAGGAGCAGGCCTTTCTAAAGACCGTGTCACAAGGAATGCAGGGAGGGGGCCAGTGAGGAGCCCCCTGATTTGGGGGCCATATTTTCCCAAACCAAGGGTTAGGACACCCATGATCTGGCAGAGAAGTTCTGTGTTTCTGTCAGAGAAGAAGTCTGGGAAAAGGTGGTCATCCAAATATTGGGATTGGGGGAGATAATCACCATTTTCATAGGACCTGAGACATCACATTTAAAATTGGGTCTGTCACACTTGAGAAGTGTGACCCCTGTAGGGTTGAGCAAACCAAAGAATAAGGTTAGAGGGCAGTTGGGGGTGGGAACAGGGTGTGCGTGCCCCTCGAGGGCCAGGCAGGTAAGTCAGATCTGATAAGACAGAGAAAGGGGAGCTGACTAAGTCAGGATTCCTGCTGCACACTGGCTGAGTGGCCCAAATCTCTGTCTCTAGGTCTCAGTTTCTGTCTCTGAAAAGCGGAGACATTGTTGAGGAGCAGAGATAACACAGATGTAGTTATCTGTTGCTAGCAACAGAAATCACCCCCAACCCCAGTCCTCTTATGCAGAAAGGGTTTAGGGGCTTCATAGATTTAAAGGGCTAGAGCTGGGACAGTGGAGAGCCAGACTTGGAACCAGATCAGCACCAAGACAGCTCCGGAGGGCCCAGTCCCAGCCCACCCTGGGTAGGAGTCTGATTGGCCAAACCCAGTCCCATGCCCCGTCCCTGGATAGCAGAGGACCCTGGGTAGGAGGAACCCCTGCTTCAGCTTTCATGGTAGGGCACTGCATCCCACCAGGACAGCCCACAGAGGGAGAGTCCTCCAAATCAGGAAGGGGGCTTGGATGCCCAACTGCCAAAAAATCCTGCAGATAGTTATGTATGCCATGGAAGATTCTGGAAGAGTTGCACAAGGAAAGTAATAATTATAGAAAGCCAATCTTGCTCTGGAGTTCGAGAAGAGACCAGCACCGTGGAGACCAATTAGAAGACTGGAGTGCCTCAGGAAGGCTATGGGCAGGGTGCACCTGGAGAGGAAGGAGCAGATGTAAAGGCGTTTGTGGGGATTAACCCATCAGAGGCCTCTGGGAATCCTCTCTGACTACAGAGAGGTACAGGGAGTCTCAGAGGCTTAGCAAGGGGCTCAGGATGTTTACAGCTGTCAGGGCTCTAAGAGATCACATGGCCGCAGATTGACATTCTCTGATCGACTGGTAGGGACTCCCTAGATGCTGTGCTGAGGACTGCTGGGCTCAGGCAGGACTCAGTGAGCGATTGGTAATGCCTGTTATAGATAGAGAAACCCCAGGAGGGGCAAGGATACCATGTTTATTATCCCTGCCCCCCAAAAATGCCTCACTTTTCGGAGGGAGAGACTGAGACCTAGAGAGACAGAGATTCAGGCCACTCAGCCAGTGTGCAGCAGAGCTGAGATGAAAACCCAGGTCCCCTGAATCCCAGAGTGCTGCCCTGCTGCTGTAGCAGTGCTTTAGTAATGCTCCCCAAATCCCAGGTGGGCTGGGCAAAAATCACAACTCAAAATGAGTTTCCTTTCACACTACAGGAGAGGTGTGTGGAATTGGGGTGTTACAGGAAGGGCACCTGGTGGGAGAGTCCTCTTTTCCCTCCTCGTTCCTTGGGCCAAATGGCGAACAGAAGGAGGGGTTTTTATAATTTTGGCAGCGGCCCATGCACACAGGAGAAGTTCTGGTGGGTCCTCTATTGAGAGGGCCCCTGGTATGGCAGAAACCCAGGCCTCTGGGCCAAAAAGCGAAGGGCAGACTTAGGAACCTGCTCCTGACCTTGACGGAGCTCCACCCGCCCAGGGTCCTCCATGCCTATATCTCTCTCTAGGCCACCCCCAGTTGGGATAGATTCCTCTAGGGAGGGGTTCCTGATGTTCAGGAAGGCCTCTGGTGGGGAGCCTGAAGGACGAAGGCCTGTTTGGGGTCCAGCCATGGGAAGATACTGAAGACCCCAGAGCTGACTCTCTTGTTGGTCCAGACCCCGCGTCCCCAGCACTCCCACCTGCTTGGAGAGCATGGCTCTGTGGCGGGGGAGGAGAAAGCCAATGCTAGTGATGACAGCCTCGAGATGGTGCAAGCACTGTCCTTTTCTTTTGATTTTCTGCCTAAACCAGAAATGTGCTTTTTCCACAATTTGCATAGATGCTGTCATGTAACTTTTTTTTGCCACTGCTCGCATTTCCAACAGTTACAGTTTTGGTGCACCACCCCTCCCCCCACTGTAGGATATTGAGACATCATGGTGGGACTGGATATTGGGAGCCTCACCTTCCCTCTGCAGTATCCCTACCCATCACATTTAAGGCCTCGAATGCTGGGAAGCAGGGATGTCACCATCTCAGGACACACCTGCCTCACCTCCCTCCCTGCAGAGCATGTTCTACCTCTCGGCAAGAGAGTGTGGCCTTGGTCAAGACCACTGTCATCATGGTGCTCACAGCCTGGTGGCAGGGATGAACCAGGAACCAAAGGTCCCTCAGTGAGGAAGGAGCATTGGAGGTGGAGGTGTATAACCATGGGCATGGCATGGGCAGTAGACTGAGGGAGAGTGTCAAGGCAGGACTGTGCTGGGATGACAACAGCTCTGATGCCTGGATAAGGAGTTTGGCTTATAAGGTCTAGATAGTAGGGACCCATTGAAGATTTTGGAGCTGGGGAGTTATTTCATCAGAGCTGCATCCTAGGAAAATTAGGCAACAGTGTGTAAGGTGGATTGGAGAGAGAACTGAAAAGAGCAGACATTACAGGGAAGGAGATAAACCAGTGGGCCCACTTCAGAAATCCTGCCAGCTCTAGAGTGAATAAAGCCTTTGACTCAAAATAGATGTCCTAGAAGTCTGCCTGAGAGTCTAAAAACCCCAGGAGATTACACTTTTGGGCCAAGCAGCTTTCTCTAAAAGGCTCCTGTCAATATGTACATAGATGACCCGCAAGGAGAAATGGACTAACCCAATGTCCCCCAGTCCTCTTTGGAAGGCTTTTGTTTACTTGATTAATTGGCCAAAGCAAGCAGGGTCCTGAAATAGGGGACATGAGACAAGTAAGTCTTGATTGGGATGGAGGGAGAGAAAGAACACAGCCAGAGGCCAGGGCAGAAAGGACCACAGGAGAGGAGCTTGTATGGCACGTACATATGTGTGTGTGTGTTCACTTGCACATGCAAGCATATACATGTGTATGTTGCGGACAGTCACTGGAAAATAGGGAACACCCTGCAGTGGAGCAGGCAGCACTTTGGATGAAGGACATCCATGTTTAGGAACATGAGACCCCCTCCCGCCCCTGCATATGCAGGGCTCTGAGCCTGCATAAACTCATTCTGGTTCTGTCACTGCCAAGTGGTGTGACCAGGGGCAAGTGTCCTTATTTAGTTTATCTGGGTAACACTAATTAAGATAATGTCTGTGCAAGTGTTGAGGGTTGTGCAAATGTGAGTTGGGGGCAAAGCCTCCTTCAGGCCCGGGAGCCTGGGACACAGGGAGCCCGATCTCTGCCCAGGACTCTGGGGGAGAAGGACTACAATACCTGTTTTATAATGACTCTCTCTCTTTTAATATCAACTTCCAGTCATAGAAGAGAGAGCCAGGAAGACTATAAGCAACCTAATCAGATGGTCTGGAATGCATGGGGCAGCACACAGTGAGGGAAAGTGATGATAGGGGTGGCCCATGAAAAAACATCTTTCATACTGAGGCTTGGGATTCCAGCAGTAAATCACCCATCTGCTGGGTTCAGCATGATCCACTGCCCTCGGTACTCCTTTACATGCTCATCACCTAATGTGACTTCTGTCTTCCTATTTGCTTTACCTGTGGTTTCTACAAATAAGCCTGTATTAAATGTGCATGATAATGTTCTTAATTTTGTTTCGGGAGACAGTCTTACTTTGTTGCCCAGGCTGGAGTGCAGGGGTGCAATCTCCGCTCACTTCAACCTCCTCCTCCTGGGTTCAAGCCATTCTCATGCCTCAGCCTCCCAAGTAGCTGGGATTACAGGCACGTGTCACCACATCCAGCTAATTTTTGTATTTTTTAGTAAAGATGGGATTTTGCCATGTTGCCCAGGCTGGTCTCACACTCCTGAGGTCAGGTGATCTGCCCACCTTGGCCTCCCAAAGTGCTGGGATTACAGGCGTGAGCCACCGTGCCCAGCTGATAATGTTTTGAATTGCTCACCCTCCCCAACATGAGACAAGACCAACCTTCAGCTGCTGACTCTTAGAATGCACAAGTATTTCAGGTGCTCCAGGAGGCAGGAGGCCCAGGCCCCAGCAGGCTATGGAGCCTCTAGGGTAGTGGTTCCCAGTCTTTGCTGCTCATTGAAATCAATCCGGGAAACCCATTAAAAATACCAATGCCTGGCTCCTGCCTCTCAGATATTGGGATTAAATTGATATTTAATTGTTTGATTGATTAAACACTTTATTTTATTGATAATTTAACTGATAAGTTGATATTGCTCACTGGGCATTGGGATTACTTAAACTCCCAGGTGATTCTAAAATGTAGCCAAGTTTGGCAAGCTCTAGGCGGAGGAGAGAGACAGGGTGAGAAAAAGAGTAGGAAGGGAGGGTCTCCAAGAACAAATCTAAGGGGCTTCGCAACTGAGCTGCCGCCGACCCCTTGTGGGAACCGCACTAGAAATGTTGAGCTCCTACTTCTGTTTTTTTTTTTTTTTTTCTTTTTTTTTTTTTTTTGAGACGGAGTTTTACTCCTATTGCCCAGGCTGGAGTGCAATGGCGCAACCTTGGCTCATTGCAACCTTCACCTCCCGAGTCAAGTGATTCTCCTGCCTCAGCCTCCCGAGTAGCTGGGATTATAGGCATGTGCCACCACGCCTGGCTAATTTTGTAGTTTTGGTAGAGAGGGGGTTCTGTCACGTTGGCCAGGCTGGTCTCGAACTCCTGACCTCAGGTGATCTGCCTGCCTCGGCCTCCCAAAGTGCTGGGATTACAGGAGTGAGCCACCACGCCCGGCTTCATACACTGATTTCTAATGACTTTCCTCCCTGATTTACTTGGTGTCTCATCTACATCCTGAAACAGAAGCCAGCATAGCAGAGATGCCTTAGAGGCAGACAGCCAAGTGCAGATGATAGCTCCTCACTTCCCAGACAAGTCACCTTGGGCAAGTCGCCTCCCAGAGCTCAGTGTCTCATCCATAAAATGAACTGTTACCAGAGGACTATAAGGATTTAATAAAACCTTATAGGGTTGTTACAAGGATTAAATTTTTAAATGTATATAAATTGCTTAACACGGCCAGGTACAGTGGCTCACGCCTGTAATCCCAGCACTTTGGGAGGTTGAGGCGGGTGGATCACCTGAGGTCAGGAGTTCAAGACCAGCCTGATCGACATGGTGAAACCCCGTCTCTACTAAAAATACAAAAATTAGCTGGGCATAGTGGCACATGCCTATAATCCCAGCTACTTGGGAGGCTGAGGCAGAAGAATCGCTTGAACCCAGGCGGCGGAGGTCACCGTGAGCCAAGATCGCACCATTGCACCCCAGCCTGCGCAACAAGAGCGAAACTCCGTCTCAAAAAAAAAAAAAGAAAATAAAAAAATGAAAAAATTGCTTAACACAAGGCCTAGCACTTTGCACTCACTCATCAAATAGTCTTTGGTTATCACTATTGTCTTCTTCACAGTTGTTCTGGCATTGCCATCTCACATCTTTCTCATGTGGACTCAATATGGATTCCTGTGTTCTGTGCTGGTACACTGGAAGCATGGCACTCTGTGGTTGCAGGTGTGTCTTGCTTCATAAAGTAAAAAGGGGAGCCATGAAAAAGCAGCAAGGGTATCAGACCAGGGTCTGGGAATCTGGGAAGCCCAGAGAGGCCAGGGGTTATGTTCAAGGTCACTGGGCCAGTGAGTGCCGGAACCGGGTGTGGAAATCCTACCTCCTGCTCAGTCTGTTCTTTCTGCCTCGCTAAGCTGATTCTCTAGGTAAGAAAACATTTTGCTTCCATGTACAAAATTCAGCTCTGCAGTGATGGGAGAATCTAGGAAGCTGAAGCTGCAATGCAGGTTGGTTTGAAACTGTCTCATCCCCAGTCAGTTCACTGGGTTCAGATAAATCCTGGACAGGGGTTGAGAGTACCCACTGCTCCCCTGGACAGCCTGCTGGGTGAGCCACACCCGTGGACTCACCATGCCGCCAGCCTTTCCAAGGGAGGGCCCGGCCATGGCTGCCTGAGTGCATGCCACACACACACACTGAAATGCACTTTCAATTAACTATATAATTTTATTTAATTTCAAAGATGTATTTTCCCTGGTCTTATTCTGTTTTATGTTGCTGGGCACATTTACAATAAACAGAAATTTATTTGGTTTACGGTTCTGGAAGCTGGGAAGTCAAAGAGCACGATGCAGGCATCTGGCAACGGCCTTCCTGCTATGACATCCCATGGCAGAAGGTGGAGGGCAAGAGAGATAGAGCAAGAGAAGACCAAACTCACTTTTATAACAAACCCACTCACAAGACAACTAACCCACTCCCAAGATAAAGACATTAATCCATGCATGAGGGCACAGCCCTCATGACCTAATCACCTCTTATAACCACTTCCCAACACTGTAGCATTGGAGACTAAGTTTCCAACACATGAACTCTGGGGAACATGTTCAAGCCATAGCACCCTCCAGACCATCCATTGGTAACAAGGGTGTAGAGAAACCTGTATGAACAAATACATTGATGTTGCACAAAAGCTTTTGAAACTTGCAAATCTGGTAGGCACCAGTCTGCATATTATTTCTTCAAGAACTGTTTGCTTGAAACCAGAGAGGAATATTTTTCAATCAAGGCTATGGGAGGTGTGTTTTTTGTAATAATATCTGTTTTTTTAATAACAATTTTATATGTTTGTTAGAATTGGAAGCTGCTAGTAATATCCAACTATTCAGATGTTGTCACTATTAGCATTCTGATGTATTTTCTTGTAGATTGGTTTTTTTAGATAGGGATCCTTTTATATGCAGGTTGAGCATTCTAAATCCAAAAACCCAAAATCCAAAATGCTCCAAAATCTGAAACTTCTTGATCACCAACATGATGCTCAAAGTGAATGCTCTTTGAAGCACTTTAGATTTTGGATTTTCAGATCTGGGATGCTCAACCAGTAAGTAAAATGCAAATATTTCAAAATCTGAAAAAAAAATCAAAATCTGAAATACTTCTGGTCCCAAGCACTTTGGATATGGAATACTCAAACTGTATAGAACTTGATTCTGTTTTACTAAGCGTAGATCTTTAGCAATGCTCATGCCACTAAATATTCTTTGAATATATGATCTTAAATGACCTCAGAATATTCCATTATATGGGTGTACTGTAATTTATTTTGACAATGTCCCCATTGCTGTCCCTATGATAAATAACATGGCAGTGACTGTTTCAGTGTGCTTCTCTGTTGATTTCCCTGGGGTAAGTTCCTGAAGCAGAATTATTGGTCAAAGGTCATGAACCTTTTAAAAGTGTTGGAGAGGTTCTGTCAAATGGATCTCCGGAGAAGGTGCCCTACTTCACACTCCCACTCATCCTGGAGCAGGGCGTCCATGCCCTCCTCCTGGGGCTGGGGATCAGGTTGTATCTCAAAGACACCCTATCTGCCAATAACTCTGTCTGTTGGCATTGGCACACAGGGTGTATTTGAGATACAACCTGATCCCCAGCCCCGAGCTCTTCCTTGGGAAGACTCAGGGTACACAACAGCTGCGATTCAACATTTGACATTGAAGTTCTGTCCCAGCACCAAGAAGGGCTGGACTTGTTCTGTGAGCCCTCCAGGATAATGCCCACAAGAACAGGGTGAAGATCTCCCTAAGGGTTATAGACTCCAAAGAATAGGTCTCTTCCTCCACCCTCCACCCCAGGCAGCAAGGTCTCTGCCCCAGCTCTGTTGAGACTGAAGTTCTCTGAGGTTCTCTAACCAGATGGCAGGTTAGAGCCCTGGACCTCCGAGAACCCTACCCCTGGGACAATTCTGTGAGCCGACCATCTGAACAGTCATTGTACAGTCATGGAACATTGAAAAATCTTGACTCCATAGAAGCTCACTAAATCTCTGTTTTCTTAGTTGTAAAATGGGCTTGTTATGAGGATTAAATTTGATTATATTTGTAAATCAATATAAATGTGTTTATATTAATATGCTATTATATTATCAATAGCCATGTGTTAGTGTTGGTGTTAGTGTATTAGTGTATTAGTATGAAGCATGAGAAAACAGTATTGTGTAGCAGTTAGGAGCCAGGCTTCAGTGACAGACAGGACCAAGTTTGGTCTCCGGTCACACCCCCTGTACAGAAACAGTAACTTGTACAACAGAGGCATATGTGGGACTTGGGGAGAAGATTGCTGACATTTTTTAAAAATTTACAATCAGCTTCCTTTAGAACATTTGGCAGAGGCATTTTGTTTGTTCTTTAATTTTTATGTTTGTTAAAGTAATAAATGTGCAGAGGTCAGAAGGTCTAATAATACTCTACAGCCTGTAGCACTGCAAAGTGATGTGCTGGGGTTGGCTTGTGTTGGCTCGTGAGAGCCTACTGGTAAAATTTTTAGGAATTTAGGAGTTTTGCAAGCTGGTTGTTAAACAGAGCCATTATTATAAATTACATTGAGTAAACTTGCAATTAAGTTATAGTAAAAGCAGAAGTACTAAATATTAAAAATGTATTACTTCCCAATTATTTCACTATTATCTGTGTTCTTGAGGTTATCTGTGACTATTACATTTGCATAGTGGAAATATTCTATAATAGTGTGCTGAGAGCCTCTTCTATCTCTGTATTTGGTGGCATTAGCCTGAAATCAGTGATCGTGGGAATATTTACACCACCAAAATTGGCAAACGCTATGAATCAGGGCCTTTTTTTCTCTGGAGACCCAGTTGTTAAGCATCTACAGCCCACCACTGCCTAGAGCCACAATCCCTGTCCCGTCTTGTGACACCCCTGCATTTCCTACTCTGGTTTTAGCTGTTTCTTTTTGCACTTACCCCCATATTTCTTAATTACATGCCTTTACCACTGCATCTTGATTTTCAAATATTAGACATGGCCTACTGGCTCCCTATTATGGAAAATGAGGCTCTAGCTTTTTTCCAGCTCTGTCTCCCTTCTTACTACGCACACATACACACTTTCCTCGCCTCTGTCTTCCCAGTACAGCATAGCACAATTCTTGCTTAAGATATAAATATTCAGGTTTTACATTATTACAATCATGTAAATATTGTACATAAAGCATTAAGCAATGTGATCACGTTAGCTTTCTTTTTTTTTTTTTTTTTTTTTGAGACAGGGTCTCACTTGGTCATCCAGGCTGGAAGAGAGTGGCATGATCATGATTTATTGCAGCCTAGGCCTCCTGGGCTCAAGCAATCCTCCCACCTCAGCCTCCCAAGTAGCTGGGACTCTAGGTGTGTGCCACTATGGCTAGCTAATTTTTTTGGTATATTTTTTGTAAAGGTGGAATTTTGCCATGTTTCCCAGGCTGGTCTCGAACTCCTGGGCTTAAACGATCCACCTGCCTTGGCCTCCCAAAGTGCCAAGTGGGATTACAGGTGTGAGCCACTGTGCCTAGCCTACATTAGCTTTCTCAGACAACATGTTTTCTTGGAGTTAATAATTGCATTTTTAAATTTGTTTGATGTCTCTATAGAAAACTGGTTTTCGGCCAGGTGCGGTGGCTCACGCCTGTAATCCCAGCACTTTGGGAGGCCAAGGCGGGTGGATCACGAGGTCAGGAGATCGAGACCATCCTGGCTAACACGGTGAAACCCCGTCTCTACTAAAAATACAAAAAATTAGCCGGGCAAGGTGGCGGGCGCCTGTGGTCTCAGCTACTCGGGAGGCTGAGGCAGGAGAATGGCGTGAACCCCGGGGGGCAGAGCTTGCAGTGAGCCGAGATCGCGCCACTGCACTCCAGCCTGGGAGACAGCGAGACTCCGTCTCAAAAAAAAAAAAAAAAGGCCGGGCGCGGTGGCTCACGCCTGTAATCCCAGCACTTTGGGAGGCCGAGGCGGGCGGATCACGAGGTCAGGAGATCGAGACCATCCCGGCTAAAACGGTGAAACCTCGTCTCTACTAAAAATACAAAAAATTAGCCGGGCGTAGTGGCGGGCGCCTGTAGTCCCAGCTACTTGGGAGGCTGAGGCAGGAGAATGGCGTGAACCCGGGAGGCGGAGCTTGCAGTGAGCCGAGATCCCGCCACTGCACTCCAGCCTGGGCGACAGAGCGAGACTCCGTCTCAAAAAAAAAAAAAAAAAAAAAAGAAAAGAAAAGTGGTTTTCAAGCTTTTTTTTTAAGCAATGGAGCTCATCAGTCTCTAGAAAGACTTGTCTCCTTCCCGAGTGCAGGGCTCTGGCCACTCCTTCTTCTAAATAGGCTCCTCTCTGTTCTGAATAGGTTCCGGTGATGTTGCCTAACCTGCCCCTCCAGTGTATCGCCCGTGGGCTGCTGGCTAGAAGCTCCTGTTATCTGATGGCCACCTATTGACTGGTTCGGTGCCTTTCAGATTTGCCTGGGCTGGGCTGGGTGCCAAACACTTAATGCACACAGCTCTGCTCAGGGAACACTCCAATGCAGCTTTTGCGATCAGATGGAAGGAATGACTCTGTCAGAGAGTAAGTGAGCTGTGGAAGCAGATGATGCAGGGCCTGTCTGCCCATGAAAAGTCTGAGCTGCAGGAGGGGAGCTGGCTAACAATGACCAGTAGGGTTCAAGAACACTCGCTTTTGAGAATCACACCTGTGTGGAAATCCCGGCTTTGCTTTCAGCTGCTTGACCTTGGGCAAGTAGCTTAACCTCTCTGGGCCTTAATTTCCTCATACCTAATTAACAGGGTTGTTTCCAGAGTTAAAGATAACGTGCGTAACCCTAATAAATCTGAGTCACATGTGACCCGCCTCTGCTTAGAGTCTCATTTTTTAAAAATCATATTCAGCTGGGCGCAATGGCACACGGCTTTGGAAGGCCAAAGCAGGCGGATCACCTGAGGTCAGGAGTTCAAAACCAGCCCAGCCAACACAGGGAAACCCCATCTCTACTAAAAATATAAAAATTAGCTGGGCATGATGGCTGACACGTGTAGTCCCAGCTACTCAGGAGGCTGAGACAGGAGAATCGCTTGAACCCGGGAGGCGGAGGTTGCAGTGAGCCAAGATCACACCACTACACTCCAGCCTGGGCGACAGAGTGAGACTCTGTCTCAAAAGCAAATAAATAAAAAAAATTAACATTAAAATTTAAAAACTTTCCTTTTTTTTTTGTTTTTTTGAAGACAGAGTCTCACTCTGTCGCCCAGACTGGAGTGCAGTGGTGTGATATCAGCTCCCTGCAACCCTCGCCTCCTAGGTTCAAGTGATTCTCATGGCTCAGCCTCCCAAGTAGCTGGGATTACAGGTGCCCACCACCATGCCTGGCTAATTTTTGTATTTTTAGTAGAGACGGGTTTTCTCCATGTTGTCTAGACTGGTCTCAGACTCCTGACCTCAGGTGATCCACCCGTCTCAGCCTCTCAAAGTACTGGGATTACAGGCATGATCCACCGTGCCTGGCCTAAAAAATTATATTCTAACAGCCCAAAAGTAATTTAAAATATATTCCAAACCTAACTGCATCTTTCATAGAATATTGAAAGGAAGCCCATTTGTAACTGATATCAACGCTCTCCAAATCCTTTTTCTCTATCCTCTAATTTTCCCACAACATACAACATCAGTGAAATTCTCCTGGGTCCAGCCTCTGAGGCTTTTTTCCCCCTCTCTTTCTCTGCCTCATTCTGCATCTTCCATACCACTACCATTTTCTCCAGTCCTGTTTTTTCCTCTACCCATCCTGCCATGGCTCTGTTGCAAAAGATCAAACGATCTGGAAATGAGCCGACAGAGATGCAGGCAGGAAGTGGTGGGGAAGAGGTCACAGCAGGACACATACTCTGAAATAACTCTTCTTCATCTCACTGGGAAGTGCCAGGCATGTGCAGTAGCAAGGGCTTGGCAGAAATTGGTTCTCCTCCTCCTTATTATTCTGATGAGGAATCTGAAGGAGACAGCGGTATAACCTCCTAGACTTCCCTCTTTTCTGACCACCTACCCACTGTTAGCAGATGGGCCGTAACTGGAGAAACTTCCTTGCCTCCTTTCCTCCAAACTCCCCAAAAAAGTAGCAGGAAAAAGACCTGAGAGATGGAAGCATAGCTTCTGCCTATTCCCCCTCCCTTCTCTGCCACCTTTGTAGCCGCTAAACATGGAACAGCTCTTCCACACCCATCCACGCCCCTTGTTCCATCCGTTTGTGGACTCACCCCCTCCCAGGAAGTCATGGACTGAGCACCTACTGGGTACCAGACCTGTAAGGGGCTGGAGATTCAGAGACAAGGATGACACAGACTCTGTCCTCAGTTGCTCACAGACAAACAGAAACAAACTGCAAATCAGATCTGGTTGTGATTTGTTTGTTTGTTTGTTTGTTTGTTTTGAGACAGAGTCTTGCTCTGTCACCCAGTCTGGAGTGCAGCGGCACAATCTTGGCTCACCGCAACCTCCGCCTCCTGGGTTCAAGCGATTCTCCTGTCTCAGCCTCCCGAGTAGCTGGGATTACAGGCGTGTGTCACCATGCCTGCTTAATTTTTGTATTTTTAGTAGAGATGGGGTTTCTCCACGTTGGCCAGGCTGGTCTCAAACTCCTGACGTCAGGTGATCTGCCCGCCTTGGCCTCCCAAAGTGCTGGGATTACAGGTGTGAGCCACCGCACCCGGCTTGGTTGTGTTATAATGGAGGGAAGCACAGAATGCTGTGAGAGCACAGAGGAAGAGATCTTCACCCACTAAGGGATCAGGGAAGACTTTCTGCAGGAGGTGTCATCTAAGCTGTACAATAATAAGTGCTGTCATATATTGAGCATTTACTGATATTCTCTTCACTAAGTGCTTTGCTAAGCATATTAGCTCACATAATCTTCACAACAATGCTAAAAAGTAGACATTGCTATTCTCATTTTAGAGAGGGGAAACCGAGGCTCAGAGAAGTTCATTAACTTTCCTAAGGCCACAACTTTCACTGCTAAAAATCAGCAGAGCTGTAATTCAAACACAGGCCTGTGGGACTCCGAAGACTATGCTTTCAACCACAGGGCACTGTGTACCGGTGTTCAAGATGTACACTGCAGAAGGACGCTCATTCATATCGTAGAGAGAATGGCTCGTGTAAGAGTATATAGGTGGACCCAGAGATTCAGACCTCTCTGCTGACTCCCAGAGCAGCAGGAAAGAGCCTCCTCCTGATCCAAAGCTGACTGTGCCCTGGGGGAAGCAGGGAGTGTGGGCCCCAGGGAGAGTAGGTACACCCAGCATCTGAGCGTGCGTGAACAAGGCAGATCGTGGGCCTGTGTGTGTGCCACCAGGGCTGCTGCCCATCAGGCTGGTCACTCCAGTGGGTAGTAACAGCTTAACTTTAAACACTTTTACTTGATGCAGGGGCACCTTTTCCTTATTTGCAGAGGTGTATATGAACGAGCAGCAGCCTGTCCCACCATGGCTGTGTGGCCTCCCTGAACCATTCAGTCTTGGGGAGGACACAGCTGCAGAGCAGTGTGGCCCAGACTGACTTGGCCCAGCAGGGCCCAAAAACAAAAATAAAACACAGGTGATTCCTCAAGGACCTTCCAGTCCAGTTGAGAGGCCCAGAAAAAAGGTGCTCCATTCAAGGCCACCCCAGGGCCATCAAACTAATCTCCTTCTCTCTCTCTCTCTTTCTCCTCTGCAGACAGGCAGGATTGAACCCAACTACCCCAAGGTCTGCGGCCACCAGGGCAATGTGCTGGATATCAAATGGAACCCCTTCATCGACAACATCATTGCCTCGTGCTCGGAGGACACGTCGGTGAGCAGAGGGGTGCTCCCGGAGGAGGGTGGGCTCAGGCCCCTCCCTGCTTCCTTTGGAGGCCTCTCTTCCTACCCTCCCCTCCTCCACCCTTTGCCCTTCTTCCCTCCTCTTTGTCATCTTTCCAGCAAGCCCCACGATGTGGGGGGGATGGGAGCTAGGAAAGAACCAAGGCAGCAAATCCCTGCTGGATTCCAGAGATCTGTGTTTTCAGTGTGATTGAGCTTGGAGGTGTTGCTTTTGTAGGTGAGAATTAGAATTTAAAAATTAAGCGTGTGATTCAGCATTTGTCTATGCTGTCTAAAGAAGGGCAAGGGAAAGAATATGAACAAGGAGGGAGGGAGAAAAGGAAGGAACTGGATGGGCATGAGGAAAAGAGCGCCTGTTCTTTGCAGGCTGGGCAGGGTAAATGTACCATCTGGTTTGTCCTCTCTGAGTCGTGGTTTCTAGGAAAGGAGACTTAGCTGAGAGAAGTGTCCTGATTTTTCCAAGGACCCACACAGGTGACCCAAAATTTGAACTCCATGTGTCCCACCATTCAATGAGAAGAGAGAAGAAACAGGAGAAGGGAGATAAGTAAGAGAGATCAGGGAGGAGACAGAGAGAACAGGGAGAGAACAGATAGGAGAAATAGAGATAGGAGGGAAAGGGGGAAAGAGACAATTTAGAGAGGGGGATAAAGAATCCAGGGTAAGTGGCTTGGGCACAGTGGGTTCACGCCTGTAATCCCAGTGCTTTGGGAGGCCAAGGCAGGAGGATCACTTGAGGCCAGGAGTTTGAGACAGCCTGGGCAACACAGTGAGACCCCCGTCTCTACAAAAAATTGAATTAAAAAAAAAAAAAACTAGGTGGGTGTGGTGGTGCACACCTGTAGTCCCAGCTACTAGGGAGGGTGAGGTGGGAGGATCACTTGAGCCTGGAAGGTCAAGGCTGCAGTGAGCTGTGATTGTGCCACTGCACTCCAGCTTGGGTGACAGAATGAGCCACTGTCTCAAAAAAAAAAAAAAAGAGTTCGAGCATGGTGGCACATGCCTGTAATCCCAGCACTTCGGGAGGCTGAGGCAGGTGGATCATTTGAGGTCAGGAGTTCGAGACCAGCTTGGCCAACATGGTGAAACCCCATCTCTACTAAAAAGATAAAAATTAGCCAGGCGTGGTGGCGCACCCCTGTAATCCCAGCTATTCGGAAGGCTGAGGCAGGAGAATCACTTGAACCTGGAAGGCGGAGGTTGCAGTGAGCTGAGATCGTGCCACTGCAGTCCATGCACTCCAGGCTGGGTGACAGAGCAAGACTCTGCCTCAAAAAAAAAAAAAAAAAGAATCCAGGGAAAGTGAAATTTGAAACTGTGTTCTGGCCACTCCTTCCTCAGACTCTACCAACTTTCACCAGTGGAGGTAGGGTCAGAGGGCGCTGGCAGTGGCCTTCCAGAGGGAGGGTCCCATAATGTGTTCCACACTGTCCCTGAGCAGCATCAGTACACCAGCTTGGAAGAAAGAGGAGATTTCAGAGCCTCAGCTGAGCTGGTGAGGAGGGCCTGGTGTTCCCAGATGAAGGAGGATCAGCCTAAGCCCCTGGTGTTCCCAGGCAAAGGAAAATCCCAGCCTTTTAGTCAGGCCACAAGCATCTACCTGGTGCTCACTGGCAGAGCCTGGGTACCGGTCAGATTTTCAGGAATGTTGGAATGGGAAGGAACTTCAGAGCTCATGTCTCCCTGTCTTCCCAGACTGGACTGTGAGCTCCTGGGAGCAGAGACCACAGCCTATTTGGTTCTGCACCCCATGCATCCAGCACAGGGCCTGGTACCTAATAAATGCTTAGTAGGTGTTGGATGGGATCGATGGATGCATGGATGGATGGATGGATTGTGGATGGATGGATGGATGGATTGTTGGATGGATGGATTGTTGGATGGATAGATGGATGGATGGATTGTTGGATGGATGGATGGATGGATTGTTGGATGGATGGATGGATGGATGGATGGATTGTTGGGTGTATGACTACATTGATGGATAGAGAGACGAATGAGTAAAATTGATGATGGATAGATGAATGAATGAAAGAATGGATAAGTAAATAGATGACTGTATGACAGGTGGGTAGATGGATGAATGAAAGATAAACACATGAACAAGTAAATTAATATAGTCCATCTAATCAGTTATCCAAAGAAAGAAAGATTCACAGTAAATAGCCTCCATCAGTTCACACGCTGGGGGTGAGGTCAGCTGGCACAGTACCTAGTACATGGGAGAGTGGTGAGGAGGTGACTGGAAGGGTGGAGTGCACTTGACCAGCCCATAGTCCATCACAGAGGGCTCCTGAGAGTGGCAGCAGTGAAGGCAGTGCCCTTGGGAGCAGAGAGAGCAAGAGCCTATAGTGAAGATGGTCCATCAGGCTTCAGCAGCCCAGAACCAAATTAGGGACAGTGGTCAGGGGTCAGGACATAGGCAGGCCAGGGCTGCAGAAGGAAGGGCACAGGTGCTGGAGCTGGGGGACACAGAGAGTTCACCGGTTGCTTCCTGGGCTGGGAAAGAGGCACAGGAGCTGGTGGAGGCTGGAGAGCCCAGTGGCCAGCACAAGAGGCCTGGGGTCAGTGGGAGAGAGGGCAGGTGGAGGTGCTGCCCATCCTTCTCTCCTGGGTTCAGGGAGCCCAAGAAGGAATGCGGTGACCACAGCTGGCTCCGTCCCTGCCTGCTGAGGTGCTGGGAGAGTGGCGGGAAGGGCTGACCCCAGCTGGTGTCACCAGCCAGCAGGTAGTAGCCCCTGGAACTCAGGGCTGCTCCTCTACCCACTCTGGGATGGGCCTTTCACATACATTTAGCTCTTAGAGCCACTCCATGAGACAGGCACTGCCACCCCCAAACTGAGGGTTGGTAGGTAGGTCACAAGCCAGGAAGTAGAGGAGCAGGGATTTTACCTGGCCTGCTCGCTGCAAAGCCCATGCTCTGCCAAGCTTCCTCATCACAGACAGCCAATGCTGTCTCCCAGTGGCTCATGTCTTACCCAGGGACCCAGCTAGGATAACAGATGAGCAGTGCCTGTCTTGATGTAGGGGGGACAAATTAGACCAGGGCTCCTGGAATCACTGGCCACCCAGGTTCCTCCTCAGGTCTCAATTTCTCCTGCCTGGCTCATGGTGAGAAGGATCTGACCAGTCCTAGCTCGGCGTCTTATTTAACCTGATATGTGCCTCATGCTCCAGGACCCCAGCTTGTAAACAAGACATCCATGGTTTGTGTCCAAGAAAAACATAAGGCTGCATCCCCGGCCACATGAGCCAAGAGACTCTGTTCAGTTTTGCACACACTGACTGACAGACCACGGTATGCCTTGCACCACCCTGGCTGCTGGGGTCCAAAGAGGGATCTGGTAGACCTGGGCTGGAATCTCAGCTTCACCATTTACCATCTGGGTGGCCAATGGAGTGTTACTTGGCCTCTCTGAGCCTCGGTTTTGCTCGTCTCTGAAACAGTAAGATACCTCCCTTTGGCTGTTGTGATGAGGATGAAGGTTAGCCTATGCCCAGTAGTATGCCTGTCCCTTCATCTATGCCTGCTCATCTCACTCTTGCTCTGGAAACACCCCTAGTAGAGGCGCAGAGGGGCAGGGCCCACCCCACCCACCAAAACGTGGTGCAGAATGAGGTCATTGCATCCACCAAGGTCAAGCAAAGGGCTATGCACACAGAGAAGAGAGAGAGAGATTAGTTTTGACCAAGGTGCAGAGAGGAGAAGAGGTAGTTAGCTGGACTTTGGAGAAGCAGGACATTGACAGACAGAAAAAGGGTTAGAGAAGGAGTCCCAGGAAGAGACCCAGTATATCCGGTGTGCTTGGCCTGGAGAGAATGCATATACAGTGCGCTTAGAAAAGGGAGAGTCATCTGGTGTGACTGGAGCCCTGGGGTGGTGGTCAGTGAGAGGAGCGGGCAGGAAGGGCAGCTGCGAAGGGCAGTTGGACCCAAGGAGAGAAGGCTTAGGGTTCAGGGTGAGCAGCCCAACTTTGCAGCGAGACTTGTGCTTCTCAAGCCATCTGAGCATCAGTGGACCCCACCGAGTGTGGTGCATGGGAGACACTACACGCTCCAGGGAACCAAGGGGACCTGTGTGGATGGAGGGGGTCACAGACAGATTTATGGAGGACATGGGGCCTGAACTAGCTGGATACAGGTAGATCAGTGGAGAGAAGGGAAGAGCGGAGGGGTGTGGCTGGAGGAGTGAAGGGAAGGGACACGGGCTTGGGGCACAGGAAGGGAGGGGCTGGCCTGGGCTGCTGATCCAGAGACAAGGAGATTAAGTCTGGATCAGAGAGGAACTAAGCTCTCGCTCCAGCTGCCAGGCCAGCTGCCCCAGAAGTACAGCCCTGAACCGCATCTTACCCGGGTGTCCACCCCTCCCCGCCTTGGAGCTAGGGATCTTGGCAGTGGAACCAACAGGTTCCTGAGGCTGGATCCCAACCTCTCCTGGAGGACGTGCTCTGGGACCCTAAGGGAGGTGCCTTGCCCAAGGTCACACAGGGAGCCTTTGTCCTAGGAAGGTCCCCTGACTCCCAGTCTGCACTCTCAGCCCCTCACCAGTGGCCCTGGTTCTACAAGGGAGGAAACTGAGGCTCAGGGCCATGGTGGGCTGGGCTGACAGTTCAGATTCATCACGCTCAACATTTACATCACAGCGTCTGCTCTCCTCAGGGTCCAACCTGGGTGCTGGGGGAAAGCACAGGAGAGGCATCCCCCGCTGCAGCCTGGGAGGGGGTGGGGCGTAAAGGAAATGGAGTTTGCAGCTTCCAGGGGGTGGACAGGAGGTCAGCACTGCTGCCAGGGCCCTTCCCACGGCCTCCCTGCCTCCTTCAAAGCACCTGAGGCATCGGCCACCGAGGCCCTCCCTCCACCCATTCCAGCTGGAATGGTCAACTTGCTGCTCACCAGACACGACATCCAGACCCAGGCTTGGGAGGTCAGTCGGCAAAGCTGCTGTGTGTGCCAGGCACTGTGCTACATACAGGGCTGGGGACGGCGCCAGGCCACAGGGGCCCAGAGGGAAGCTCTTCACAGCAGGTCTGGACCAGTTCCCCTGGTAGTGCCTGCCTGTTTCACCCCCAGCCCTCCACTTCCCTCTACTTGTCTCAAAACATTCAGAGGACACTGGTGGGATTTCACGAGCCCTGATTTCCCCAGCTCCTTCCCCATATCCCCCAGCCCTGCAACCTCCAGTGAAATCAATCCCCGTCCCCCAGGATCCGTTTCCCCTCCCTGAGCAGGAGGAGGTCCTCTGGAGTCTATCCTCCATCCCGCCAGGGATCCAGCAGAACATACCCAGGCCCTTCCCCAGGGGCTTTGGGCCCGAGGGAGGGCTGGGGGCCATAACTCTCCCTGGCATCTGGCAGAATCCAGTTCTTTCCGCTGCTGGGTGATGTCACCTATTGTTGAAGGCTATGCTTTTTATAGCTTCTGCCGCAGCTAGGGAGGGCGGCTGGCAGGCGGCAGGGAAGGGCGCTATCGGTTTCCAAGCCTCGTGCTCCCAGCCCTTCTCCTGGGGCCAGCAGCCGCGGAGAGAGAGAGAGGTTTCTGTCATCTTAAGGAGAGGGAGAGAGCGATCCCAGGAGAGAGGGAGGAGGGAGAAGAGGCAGGCGCCTCTTGCTGGTGGGCCGAGCTCCACATCTTTCCTTTGCCTTTTATTCAAGCTCTTCCATCCTGTGTCTGCTCTCCTCACCCTGTAGATGATGCCCCTCCCTGAGGAGCTGGGGGCGGGATGGACAGGATGTCAGCCCTGCTGGAAGCCACCCACCACCCTGCCTCCTGCACACCCCCACCTCCCGAGCTCCGGAACCAATACCTCTTGGAGCTGGAAGGGAGTGATGCACTTTTGTAGAAGGAAGGTAGCCCTGAGGGGCCAGTGCGCCGAGTGGGTCTTCACTAATGATTTAGCAGCCACAGAGAAAGCAGCAGTATGGCTCCCTGGCTAAGCAGCCAGGCTCAGGAGTCCCTTAGGCCTAGGTTCAAATCCTGGCTCTGCCACTTCCAGGCTCTGCGATCTAGGACTAGTTTCTTTTTTTTCTTTTTTTTCTTTTTTTTGAGAGACGGAGGCTCGCTCTGTCGCCCAGTCTGGAGTGCAGTGGCGCGATCTCCGCTCACTGCAAGCTTCACCTCCCGGGTTCAGGCCATTCTCCTGCCTCAGCCTCCTGAGAAGCTGGGACTACAGGCGCCTGCAACCACGCCCGGCTAATTTTTTTTTTTTTTTTTTTTTTTTTGAGACGGAGTTTCGCTCTGTCGCCCAGGCTGGAGTGCAGTGGCGCGATCTCGACTCACTGCAAGCTCCGCCTCCCGGGTTCACGCCATTCTCCTGCCTCAGCCTCCCGTGTAGCTGGGACTACAGGTGCGCGCCACCATGCCCGGCTAATTTTTGTATTTTTAGTAGAGACGGGGTTTCATCGTGTTAGCCAGGACGATCTCAATCTCCTGACCTCGTGATCTGCCCGCCTCGGCCTCCCGAAGTGCTGGGATTACAGGCGTGAGCCACTGCACCCGGCCTAGGACTAGTTTCTTTACCTCTGAGTACCAGTTGCCCTATTGTAAAATAGGAATCATCTCGGGCTCTGAGAACTAGATGAATATAAAAGTGTTTTGTGTCCCCTAAGAACTCCATAGACATTAACTGTTACTTTCTTTTCCTTAAGTGAGGGCCCAAGAGTTTAAATAACTTGCCCAGGCCGGGCACGGTAGCTCACGCCTGTAATCCCAACACTTTGGGAGGCTGAGGTGGGTGGATCACCTGAGGTCAGCAGCTTGAGACCAGCCTGGCCAACATGATAAGCGGAAGGACAGATCATGTCCTCCTCAGGGGGTTGGGTCCAGCCCAGGGAAGAAGGAAAAATCAGGTACGGGCACGGGCAGGAGTGTGGAAGAGAGGAGGAGGGTAGTCTGCCTGATTCCAATTCTGAGTTTGAATCCCAGCTCCTCCTTTCCTAGCTGTGACACCTGGGCAAGTTTTCTCACCTCTGTGGGCCTCATTTCCTTATCTGTGCAAGGACAGTCTTTAGTAGTCATAATAATAATAGGTAGCACTTATTCTTTCATGCATCCAGCGCCACAACGACCACTTCATGCATCCTCTAGCAACCCCCTCCCAGGACTCACAGCAGTAGATGCTCAACAATGCTTCCTTCTGGGTCCTCAGTTCGCCCCTCCTACCTCCCTGGGTTTGGTGGGATTCGTTTCCCATATTGGCAAACAGTGAGTCCAGTGCTCAGAAGATGTCAGAATCAAGGTAGATGTTGAGATTCTACCTCTTGTTTAGATGAATGATGATAAACTCAATTTTTAGAATGAACAGAATGATTGACAAGAAACGGGGAGGAGAGAGCTCCAGGAGCCTCCTGGCCCCTAAGCAAACACCTTCAGCTTTTCTCTTCACTGCAGGAGACATCACAGTTACTGTGCTCTTGGACCCAGGCACCATCTCTGTGGATTGGTTAGATGGAAATCTTGGAGCCAATGATTGTGTACTGTATACAGCTAAATTGGAGGCTTCTCAAGGGCAGAAACCATATCTTTTTCTTTTTCTTTTTCTTTTTTTTTTTTTTTTTTTTTTTGAGACAGAGTCTCACTTTGGCACCCAGGCTGGAGTGCTGTGACACAATCTTGGCTCACTGCAACCTCTGCTTCCTGAGTTCAAGCGATTCTCATGCCTCAGCCTCCCAAGTAGCTGGGACTACAGGCCCATGCCACCACTCCCAGCTAATTTTTGTATTTTTAGTAGAGACGGGGTTTCACCATGTTGGCCAGGCTGGTCTCGAACTCCTGGACTCAAGTGATCCACCCGCCTCGCATCCCAAAGTGCTGGGATTACAGGAGTGAGCCATTGTGCCCAGCCCAGAAACCATATCTTTCTTTTTTTCTTTTTTTTTTTTTTTTTTTGAGACGGAGTCTTGCTCTGTCACCAGGCTGTCATGCAGTGGCGCGATCTCAGCTCACTGCAACCTCCGACTCCCTGGTTCAAATGATTCTCCTGCCTCAGCTTCCCGAGTAGCTGGGATTACAGGCACGCGCTACCACGCCCAGTTAATTTTTGTATTTTTAGTAAAGACAGGGTTTCACCATGTTGGCCAGGCTGGTCTTGATCTCCTGACCTCAAGTGAACTGCCCGCCTGGGCCTCCCAAAGTGCTGGGATTACAGGTGTGAGCCACCTCGCCCAGCCCAGAAACCATATCTTATACTGTCCTGTTCTTCCCCACGCTACCCCAAAACAGATTTGTTTGTTTTTTGAAGTAGCTACTAAGGGGTTAGATATCAGATCTTCTCCTAGCTGCTTAGGCCCATGGTGAACTCCAACTCCTCCTGTGAACTTCTATACCATATATACAGACAGTGGGTACTGTCTGCTTGCTGTAGCTGTGTAATAAGCAGCAGGTCCCTTAAATGGAGAATTCTGCCCCTTAGGAACAGTGTCATCAGAGGAGCTAACAGCCCTAGCCCTAAGTCACTAGCAGTCATGACCCTCAACATGTCAGAAAGCAGAGATCTAACCAGACACCTCCATAATCATGTACGCGTTTTAAAGATGAAGTTTATGCTGCATTCCATAAAATGGAAACAAACTTCATATCATATGTATTGACTACACAGCGGGCAACAAAGTGCACATGAAAAATATAACTTGGCCAGGCTCGGTGGCTCATGCCTGTAATCCCAGCACTTTGCAAGGCAGAGGTGGGCAGATCACTTGAGCTCAGGAGTTCGAGACCAACCTGGGCAATATGGCAAAAACCCTTTCTCTACACACACATACACACACACACACACACACACACACACACACACACACACAAATACAAATATTAGCTGGTCATGGTGGTGCGCATCTGTAGTTTCAGCTACTTGGGAGGCTGAGGTGGGAGGATGGCTTGATCCTGGGAGGTGGAGGCTGCAGTGAGCCAAGATTGCACCACTGCACTCCAGCCTGGGTGAGAGAGCAAGACCGTGTCTGAAAAAAAAAAAGAAAACTATAACCCAATTACATCTAAAGTTTGACCACTATAAAACTTGGGTATGATCCCTAATTAATATTAGGTAAGCATCCTTAAGTGTTATTCTTTGGTCATCTGCTTGGTAGTGTATACATTTTATCTTTACTTAGTATTTATAGCAGCTCTGCTGTATGGGTATAATTATCCTTACAGGTATGAAGACAGATGTTCGGAGAGGCTAAGAAACTTGGGGAAAATCTCACAGCCAATAAGGTCAGAGCCTGCATTCTAACAGAGCTGTCAGACCACAAAGCTTCTTGCTTGTTGGCCAGCTGCTCCCTCTCCCACGTGCAGGGACAGTTGGTTTTGTAGCTTTATTAACTGTCCTTATCAGCTGCCTTGCCTTTGCCTTGTCTGCAGTGTCTGCTGCCTCCCCAACAAGACTGACAGCTACTTGAGACTAAGAGCCGTTCCCCCGTATCTAATCTGTTTGGCACACAGAGGGGAGCTGGGTATGTTCTGTTGGGTTGAACATCACTGAATTAAACAAGGCTCTGACCCAGGGACCTGTAAAGGGGACAGTCCCCAGCAAGGCAGGCTTGCTGGAGAGAGTAGTTTTGCCACTTCTCCCCACCCTTTCCTTCCAGAAATCCGGTTTGGCAAACGCTACTGAGTTTCCTGTTGAATTGAAGTAACCTCCCAGAGCAACCTCTGAGCAGATCCACAGGGCTCCTCCCATGCCTTATCCACTCTGTTTTCAACAAATCCCTCGAATACTAAGGGATTGGAATTCCTTTCCCAGCTACTCAGGCCCACTGTGAACTCCAGCTCCTCCTCTGAGCTCTGTAGCATGTGGTGCCAACTGTTTGCTATAGCCATGGGTCAAGCAGAGCCCGTCTCCTTCTCCCAGTAATGTATTCAATGTCAAAGCAGAAAAGTTTGGAAGATTAACTAATACTATCTAAATGTGCAGATGAAGGCCAGGTACAGTGGATCTCACTTGAGGTCAGGAGTTCGAGACCAGCCTGGCCAACATGGCGAAACCTTATCTCTACTAAAAATACAAAAATTAGCTGGGCGTGGTGGTGGGCGCCTATAATCCCAGTTACTCGGGAGGCTGAGGCAAGAAAATCCCTTGAACCCAGGGGATGGAGGTTTCAGTAAGCTGAGATCACATCACTTCACCCTAGCCTGGGCAAAAGGTGAAACTCTATCTCAAAAAAAAAAAAAAAAAAGAAAGTAAATGTGCAGATGAGAAAACCAGGACCCAGGGAGGGAAGTGGCTGGTATCAAATGGGGATAAAGCAAGGCACCTCTCTCCCTCTCTGTGGGATATTTATTCATCTGAGTCCCTCAAGCCCTGCCTGAGACCCTACATCCAACAGTTCTTGGTGAAAACAGCTCTCTTGGTTTCCATCTGTAGCCCTTCATTCCATGAGACTTGAATCCAGTTAAGGGGCTGGTGCCTGGGCATAGACACCAGTTACCCTGACCCCCCATCCCTGGGCTTAGCCCCTAGGCTCCTAGGCAGAGCTGTCACCTCAGCATGTCAGCTCATGTATCTAGAAGGCTTCACACTTCCAAGAGCTCTGCACCCAGTTTACTTGAACCCACACACCTCTAACAGGTACAGTCTCTATTTTCTGGATGAGGAGCCTGAGCCTCAAGACAGGTTAACTGGCTTGTTCACAGTCACTCAGCTAGTACGTGAGACTGGAACCTGGGCTGGGGCTCACTCCACAGCCCCCCATGTGACTCTACCTTACCCTGGCATAGGTGTAACCCAGAGATGCCTCAGTTACTGGGTTGCTCAGGAATTAGGGTGTCCTGGGAAAGAGTTTTCTTCTGAGACTCTGGGCCCAAGCAGGGCTTCTTCAAGCCTCAGTGACGAGATATGACACACATGACCTCTGGCCTCCTCTCCACCAGCCAGCCTGCTCCACACGAGCCAGGCTGACCCCCGTGCAGGTTCCCTACCTGCTGGCGCCCGACCCCACACACACTGGGCATTTTTCTGCCTCCTCACCGCTTCCAACATCCCAACTTGTCTTTTTAAACTTAGTTCAACACCCTCTCTTCCAACACTGCTCCTCCCAGGCCCTCCCACCCTCGTCCCCCTAACAGCTGGGTTCAAGCTTTCCAACAGCTCTGTGCCCCCACAGGCTCTCCGTCTGCATGCACCGCTTAGTGCTACTCAAGAGCAGGCATGGGCAAGTTCAACACCACACCCCACTGGCTCATAGGAGGCCCTCGGGAGGTGTTAGTGGAGTTAATGAGGCTCAACTTTTGGCTTCAAAGATCTTTCTTGATGGCCAGGGGCAACTATTCTACCTCAGTCAATGCTTATGCACCAAGATACAGTATGAGACATCCCTAGACAGAATCCTCTGCCCCCAAATATCTCTTCCCTTTGAGTCTGAAAGCTTTAGAGCTTCCTACTCAAGTGCAGACAAGGGTAGCCGGTAGACATGAGAAAAGATGCCTGGTATTTTTTTTTCTTTTTTTTTAGAGACAGGGTCTCACTCTGTCACCCACACTAAAGTGTAGTGGTGTGATCATAGCTCACTGCAGCCTCGTCTTCCTGGGCTCAAGCGATCTTCCCCTGCCTTAGCCTTCCCAGTACCTGGGACTACAGGAGCATGCCACCACATCCAGCTAATTTTTTCCTTTTTTGTAAAGATGGGGGTCTCACTGTGTTGCCCAGGTTGGTCTTGAACTCCTGGGCTCAAGCAATCCTCCCACCTAGGCTTCTTTTTTTTGAGACAGAGACTCACTCTGTCGCCCAGGCTGGAGTGCAGTGGCACAATCTCGGCTCACTGCAAGCTCCACCTCCCAGGTTCCAGCGATAGTCCTGCCTCAGCCTCCTGAGTAGCTGGGATTACAAGCGCGCGCCACCACGCCCAGCTGCCGCCTAGGCTTCTTAAAGTGCTAGGATTACAGACGTGAGCTACCACGCCTGTCCTCGGTATTTCTAAGAATGGAAGGAACACAAATCCAAACAACAGGTGGCATTTTTGACCTATCAGATGGGTAAAAATCCAGTTTTTTAAAGGTATAGTTTTAGAGGCATAATGAAGCAGTCTCAGACTCTGTGGGTTAAAAACTAGGACAGTTTTTGGGGACAATTTTACAGTAACTATAAAAAATATGAAACACTTCTAGCCATTTTCCTACAAGAATATCCACACCGCTGCACAAACTTGGATTACGAGCATGTTTGTCATAGAATAAATTGTAATCATGGAAAAAAGTGAACAGAACTTAGATGTCAATTAATAGAGGTCGATTATATTCATCATGGAACGGTCATACAACAGATGCCTCTCTGGCCACTTAAAAAGATAAGGTAGATATTCATGGAGTGGTGTGGAAAGATGCCCAGGATCTGTTATGTGAGAAAAGCAAGTTGAAAAAGAACATGTGTAATAGTATCCCTTCTGGGTAAAAAGAAAGAAGTGTGTGTGTCTATATGTCTGTGTCTGCGATAGGTGGGTGTCTAGCCCAAGCATTAGTCTCCCAGCTTCAGGGTCACCTTTCTACAGTACATTTGGGGACAGAAGGAATGTGGTGACTACTGAGTTATGTACTCGCCAGCTTGTTCCCCCTGCACCCTCTCAGTCACTTCCAGACCAGTCTTCATCCCTGAACGCCCTGGTGCAGGGGTTGTTGAGGAAAGAGCATTGGGGTATTCTGGGCCCCCTATACATCACTCCCTCCCCCAATTCCCCCCCTCCCACCATCTCACAGGACTGTATGGGAGTCTTGGACTTTACTAGAGGGTTGGAGCCACCAAAGGGGATGACAATGGGGATGGGAAAATATTTCAAACTCTCCCCAAATTATAAAGTTTTTCGCAAGTGGGCTTTTGAAATGGATTTACTGAAACTGAGAATGGTGCACCCAAGGGTGACCCCAAACCCTTGACAGAACTTGCCTTTCTTACCTTGAAACCTCCCAGTCAACAGCCACAGGAGCTGGCTCTGTGGGGGGAACACACATGAGGGAAATGCTTATTCTTATAGTATGAGGAGGAGGCACCAAGAAGGAAAATTTGTCCAAGGAATTCCCTGAGGGGCACCCCAGTTCCTAGCCTTGCTCCCAGGACTTCTGGTCTGCCTTTGGCTTTCTTTTTTTCTTCTTTTTTTTTTTTTTTTTTTTTGAGATGGAGTCTTGCTCTGTCACCCAGGCTGGAGTGCAGTGACGTGATCTCGGCTCACTGCAAGCTCCGCCTCCCAGGCTCACACCATTCTCCTGCCTCAGCAGCCCAAGTGGCTGGGACTACAGGTGCCTGCCACTACGCCTGGCTAATTTTTTTGTATTTTTTTAGTAGAGATGGGTTTCTCCGTGTTAGCCAGGATGGTCTCGATCTCCTGACCTCGTGATCCGCCCACCTCGGCCTCCCAAAGTGCTGGGATTACAGGCGTGAGCCACCGTGCCTGGCCCTGCCTTTGGCTTTCTTCCTTTTTTTTTTATTTTCTGAGACAGAGTCTCGCTCTGTTGCCCAGGATAGAGTGCAGTGGTACATTCATAGCTCACTGCAGCCTTGAACTCCTGGGCTTAAGGGATCCTCCCACCTCAGCCTCCTGAATAGTTGGGACTACAGGTGCATGCCACAACATCTGGCTAATTTTTTCAATTTTTTGTAGAGGCGGAGTCTCACTATGTTACCCAGTCTGGTCTTGAGCTCCTGGGCTCACGTGATCCTCCTGCCTTGGCTTCCCAAAATGCTAGGATTGCAGGCATGAGCCACCTCACCTGGACTTGACTTTCTTTAACATGCTTTCTGCATTTATTCATAGCCTTTGGAATTATAATCAATTGACTAGTATTACATATTGATATAATGTATTACATTGTTCCTTTAATGTTGATCACTTACACTGCTTCTACATTTTCCATATAAATGATGTTGCAGTGAACATCTTCATGCATGGAGATTTTTTGCTTATATTGTATTTTAAGAGTGAAGTTACTGGGTCAAAGAGTATAATATAAACGTCTTTATGGCTCCTACTAAAGATTGCCAAATTGCTTCCAAAAGAGTTACTCTGATTTATAATACTACCAACATCCATTCAATCTATAACTTCTAGTATTACCTTGCCAACACTGGCTCTTTTTATTTTTTTTTGGTTGGCTATTTTAGCAGATTATAAATGGTATCTCAAAGCTGTTTTTCCTGTTTTTCTCCTTACTAGCAAGGGTGGAGTTCAGATTTTCGAAAAGATTTTTTTTTCGTGTTTTTTTTTTTTTTTTTTTTTAGACAGAGTCTTGCTGTGTTGCCCAGGCAGGAGTGCAGTGGATCTCAGCACACTGTAACCTCCGCGCCTGGCCTCAAGCGATCCTCCCATCTCAGCCTCCCGAGTAGCTGGGACTATAAGCGTGCGCCACTACACCCGGCTAATTTTTGTTTCTTTGGTAGAGGCACGGTCTCGCTGTGTTGCTCATGCTGAAAGATTCTTTTTCTTTTTTTGTTTTTTTAAAGTGTCCTAAATTATAGTCACATGTGCTCTTTCCAACCAGTTAGACTGTAATGAATAATATTAATGATAATAATAACAATTATAATTCCTTAGGCCTTTAGAGCACTTTGCAGTTTATAAACTGTTATACCATTGTGTCTTTTCATTCTACCAGTAGGTGAAACAGGGCAGGGATGTTCCCCCCACCTACCACCTACCTTATTGATTAAATAGTTGAAGCTATGCAGAGGAGGTTTGCTTTGAGTGACAGAAGCCCACCAGGGCTGATGTAAATAATTAAGGGGGTGATTCCAAGACTGCAGAGAAACAGCTCAGTCTCTCCCTGTCTGGGGCCACGTGGTCTCCTCTCTGCTTCTCTCTGCATGTCCCATCCTCCTCTCTGCAGATCATCTTTTTCTGCTTCTTTATCAGTATCCACAAGACTGAAAATAGCAGCTCTATCCAGGCTCTGCCCATCCTTTCAGCTCAGGCCCCAACATCTGATCAGTCTCTGCCTTCAAGTCCACCATCTCTCAGGAGAGACCTGGGGCCCCTCAGCCTCCCAGATGCAGTTCCCCCTGCCCAGGGGTCCATCCTGGGTGGGGGACACAGTGGGGGATAAGGCCCTGCAGTCCAAACAGCCAAAGTGGGGCTGAGCAGAGTAGCAGGAAGGCAGAGTCTCCTAGAAGGATGTGGCATGTGAAGCAAGGATAGGCTTTTTAACACAACATTTGCTAAAAGGGGCTCATGCATGTTCTTCTTATCCGGGCTAGGCCACAGCAGTAGCAACATGCCAGTAATAACAGTTCTTAGGTCTGCAGAGACTTCCCAGAGAAAACCTCCCACAGGCAGAGAGATGGTCTCCTTCCTCTCCAGCCACACCCTGAGACCTCCCAGCAGGCCTCAGTCGAGCTTTGCCCATCGCCTCAAGCCAGGAGGTGGCTCATCAGGCAGATCTCAGAAAGCCTGGTGTCCGAGGAAAGGGGCACCTCTCATCAAGGGACTTCTTGGCCGTGTCCACCCAGCCTGGACCCTCATCTCCCTCTGCAGGTGCGGATCTGGGAGATCCCCGAGGGCGGGCTGAAGCGGAACATGACGGAGGCGCTCCTGGAGCTGCACGGGCACAGCCGGCGTGTGGGGCTGGTCGAGTGGCACCCCACCACCAACAACATCCTGTTCAGCGCTGGCTACGACTACAAGGTATGCAGTGGGCAGGCAGCTGGGTGGAGAGGGATTGGGGAAGAGAAAGGGGCCTTTTGGGTACCCGTAGGAAGCACTGTTGCTTCCTAAGCAACCAATATGGCCTCATCTGTTCATTTGCTTATTCATTCATTCATTCATTCGCTACACGCAACTGAGCAACTCCTGTGCACCCTGTCATTCCTGGGGTCCACAGAGGCCGGAGGCATCTTTTCTGCCTTCTCTGGTGGTTGATTGGAGGAGAATGCCCCTTCCATGCCCACACCCTTTGCCTGGCCACTTCTTAACCAAGAGGTGGCAAAAGGGGTAACCAAAGCTGCTGGAGGGCAAAAAGTGGAGCCTCAGCCCCGAGCCCCAGGCATATCCTCAAAAAAAGGTGGGCTGACCACATGGGACCTGACAAGGAACATGTATCCTTCTTGCTCTTCCATAAACTGAGCCCAGGCTGGTGCTGGGATCTGACCAAGGATATTGATGGATTTGTGTGCCAGGGATGTATCAGCCTTTCCATATAGAACTCAATGACCCCCTCCTGCACCCCAGCACACCCCAGGCCCTGCATGGGGCGCTTCTCCCAGGGCAGTCAAGTGTGCACTGGGGACAAACACCCCAGGACCCTAGCAGCCACTGACCCTGCCTCCCATGCATCTGCCCTCGCAGGTCCTCATCTGGAACCTGGATGTGGGTGAGCCGGTGAAGATGATTGACTGCCACACGGATGTGATCCTCTGCATGTCCTTCAACACGGACGGCAGCCTGCTCACCACCACGTGCAAGGACAAGAAGCTGCGTGTGATTGAGCCCCGCTCTGGCCGTGTTCTGCAGGTGGAACCCTACATTTTTTGAGATTGAAGGGGAAGGTATTGAGGGCTGGGGCTCAGCTTTCAGCAGGCCTGGAAGAAAAAGGCTGTGCCAGCCCCCTTCTCCAGTGCATCTCACTGCACCTCTGTTGAACAACCTTTCTCTCTCCTGGGCCCTTCTCAGCTCATAGGAACCCTGCCTTGTTCTGGGTGGGGAGGGACCTCATACCCTTTCCTGTCCCCACTGCACCCCCTACCTCCAGACAGGATTCTTCTGGCTTGCTCTGGGGGCTGAACTGGTGACACCCTTCAGTGCATACATCCCCAGGTGTTACCCAGGTCCACCACAGGCACAGGAGGAGGAGACACTGGACTCACTGCCCAGCCACTTGATAGGATGAGCCTGAGGGAAATGGCTAGGGTGCCAAGGCTGATGGTGAACTTAGCTCCACTTTTGGTCTTTGAATCTCCTGGGTCTTGGGTTTGAGGAAGGGGTTAAGTGCCATTTGGAAGTAAGAAATTACCATTTTTTGAGCACCTGCTGTGTGCTGGTCATGGGGAGAGATGGAATGGAAAATATGGATGATATCTGAGGTTTGCCTTCTACACAAGAAGGGATTAATGCTTGATCTGGGTGTGTTTACCTTGGAATAGTCCAATATTACAAGACCAGAAAGTTTTCTAGTACTATAGGTTGAGCATCCCAAATCCAAAAATCCAAAATCCAAAAGACTCCAAATCCAAAACTTTTTGAGCACTGACATAACACCCAAAGGAAATGCTCATTGGAACATTTCAGATTTTGGATTTGGGGATGTGGGAAGCTCAACTAGTAGGTATAATGTGAATATTCTGACATCGGAAACAATCCAAAATCTGAAACACTTCTGGGCCCAAGCACTTCAGATAAGGGCTACTCAACCTGTACCACTACAAATAAGAATAATGAGAGTTGCTTAGCATGATTAGTGTTAACTGACATCTGCTAAGAGCTCACTGTGTGGCCTGCACTGTGCCCGGGGCTCTGCACATCATCTCATTTAATCCTCAGGACAACCCTCTCAGCTGGGTGCTGTTACTCCTCTCATGTGATACGTGAGAACACTTAACCTTAGCGAAGTTGGGAGACTCGAATCTCACAGTTCCAGGAGGAGCTAGGATTCAAACCCAGAGCCCATGCCAAGCAGAAAGAATGTTTATGAACAGAGAACCCCCACCTCCAATTCCCAAATGGGGCCATGAGCCCAGGGAAGGTGAAGGTCTTCTCTTGGGCTACACTTTTTTGGTGGAGCTAGAACTAGAGTTCAGAGTGTGTGACGCCAGCCTGAATATGTGCACTGCCCCATTGGCCTCTTTTCTGACTTGCTGCCAACTTACCTGATGCCGAGGACTGTTGTGTGTTAGGAGGAAATCAAGTGTCACGAGCCAGTGGGCAGGAAAGGAGGCCCAAGACAGCTCAGTTAAGGAGGCACTCCCTGATGAGGCAAGCTGTGAAGCAGTGATGGGCATGAGTCTCTTGTCCTCCTGAGCCTCAGTTTCCTCACCCTCAAAATGGGGATAATGATTTCTTCCGATAGATATTGTTATGGGGATGAAAAGCAATGCCCCTGGTGAGAGCTCCTGAAGTGGTGTAGCCCCCAACTGGACTTGGTGGACGTTGGCTCCCCTCTCGCTCCCTGTTCCCCACATTCTCTGGGAAATGGCAGAGAAGGCATCTGTGGAGCCATTGCTGCACAGTGCTTAGAACAGTGTCCTATGGCTGCTGTAACAAATGCCCACAAACTAGGTGGCTGAAAACAACAGAAATGTATTCTCTCACCATTCCAGAGGCCAGATGTCCCACATCAAGGTGTCAGCAGGACTGTACTCCCTACAGATGCTCTAGGAGAAAACCCATTCCTTGCCTCTTCTGGGGGTTGCCGGCTCCCGTGGCTGGTGGCCACATCACTCCAGTCTCTGCCTCCAGGGTCACACACCTTCTCCCCTGTGTGTCTCTGTAATCTTACCTCTCTCCCACAAGGACACTCATGATGGCATCCAGGATCCACCTGGATAATCCAGGGTAATCTCATCTCCAAATCCTTAGCTTAACCACATCTGCAAGGACCCTTTTCCAAATAAGGAAATAATTGCAGGGGCCAGGGCTGAGGACATGGGTGTATCTTTTCGGGACCACCATTCATGCCACTGCAGAACCCACATGTTGGGGACCCTGGCTCACCACCTCCCTCTGTTCCTACTAGGAGGCCAACTGCAAAAACCACAGAGTGAACCGGGTGGTGTTCCTGGGGAACATGAAGCGGCTCCTCACGACAGGGGTCTCCAGGTGGAACACAAGACAGATTGCCCTCTGGGACCAGGTCAGCCACGGGGAGGCCTGCTGGGTTTGGGCTAAAGGAAGCATCGTTGCCTCGGAGGTCACTTCCTCAGAAAGTCAGGAGCCTGGGCCCGCACACCAGCTTCTCATAGCATTCCCAGTGGAGAAATCAGACAGAGACCCCCAGAGGCCGAGCTTGGGTACAGAGGCTTCAAGGAACAATGTCGGCCACACCTGCAAGATGTTCACCCTCTTTTTCCAGAGTGGGGGCTGAGCTCCAGAGAGATTGAGAGACTTACCTGGGGACACATAGCAAGTAGCAGGTTTGGGGACAATGAGAACAAGTCCCTTGCCTCCTGTTTGTAAGACCCTTTCCACTGCCCCTGGCTGCTTTTCGTGACAAGAAAGTCAGTCTTGCCACCACCCATAGGACGGGCTTTTTAACATCTAGGGGAGGTCTTAACATAAAGTAGTTGCCATCCTAAGAGGCCTTCCTGGGATTTGGGGAGGGGTATGCCATCCTGCCTGCAGAGAGGCTGAGACCAGCTCTTCTCCCTCAGGAGGACCTCTCCATGCCCCTGATCGAAGAGGAAATTGATGGGCTCTCTGGCCTCCTGTTCCCCTTCTATGATGCTGACACCCACATGCTCTACCTGGCTGGAAAGGTAGTAGGAGGTGGGGGAGGGCCCGGGGCAGCCTGTGGGAGAGCCCTACCCTCAATGCACCCCTGCACCTGCCCCACCCCCTGGAGAGTAGCCAGCCTAACCTTCCAAGTTCCTGGGCCTCACCTTTCCCATCCACACCTGCCCTCAAGTCTGACACCCATTCTTACTCAAGTGTCTGCTACCAAGAATTCCTTCAAAGGTGAGCTGGAGCGGGCTTTTACATTGGAATAAAGATCAGAGCCTGCAGTGTAGTCAGTGATGAATGATGGAATTTGAGATACCCGCCAGGAGATCCTTGGTGAATACAGCCTTGTTTGTCAGAAAGGCTGTCTACACACACACACTCACATCAGCCCATCCACCTCCACCTCTCCACCCGCAGTGAGTCCCCTGTGGTGCACCCACTAGGAGCCTAGAAGCCAGGTTTCCTTGGTTTTTTTAACTGCCCATGAGGCACAGGGGAGAGCTGTCTTCAGCTGGCTCCTGGGACCAGGCCCTGCTCTGCCCTCCCTACCTGCCACCTTCCTCAACTCCATCTCTCCTGACCCCAGGGTGATGGAAACATCCGGTACTACGAGATCAGCACTGAGAAGCCCTACCTGAGTTACCTCATGGAGTTCCGCTCCCCAGCCCCGCAGAAAGGCCTAGGTAAGTGGCCCCGAGGCTGCCACAGCTGGTGTGCTCATGGCACGGGAGGACATCTGGCCCATGGGTCACCCCCTCCCTTAAGTGGAAAATCAGACTCAGAAGGCCATAGCACATGGGCAAGTTGGAACAGAACCTGCAAGAGCTGGCCCTGCTGCAGCTGTCACTGCCCACTGGACCGGCGCTGTCACCCCACTGTGCTCACATCCACCATCAGCGGCAGCTTGCCAGCATGTGCTCTGCGTCTGCACTCCTGATCGCAGATGGGGAGCCTGAAGCCCACAGTGGCTATGATGATGGTGGGAAGTGGTCCCGTAACTAGAGGTCAGAGTGGGGTCTAGGCACAAGTCCCTTCCTGAGCCTCTAGGAAGCCGTGACTCCCAGATCCCAGCAGCAGCTCTGTCTGCCTGATAGGGCAGGAAGAAGTTCCAGGTGTTCCCGTGACTGCAGCCCCAAGCTCCCTAGGCTCTCAGGCAGAAACCCAGAGAGGGCTCTGGGATTGACAGGGTGTAGTGAGTGAGACCCCACATTCTCCCACCACTAAAAGTCTTACAACCAATTTTCCTTCCTTTCAACTAACCTGGTAATGCATATGATTCAGCAATTCTATATTTCGGGTCCAAATCACCCAATGAAACACCTATTTTCAGGGACCTCCCGTTCCCACCTCTGCGGGTGATCCTCTTTGGAGCTTGAGTCTAGCTTGCTTTCCCTGTGGGTCTGGTATTATGGACAGGGCCTGAGGGCCAGCTTCAGGAACATCGGGGCTGAAAGGGCCTGAGAGCCCACTCCAGTGACCAACAGCAAAATGGAAACCAAAAGATGTCCGAAGTCCTAATCACCATTCCATCAACTTTACTCTTCCCCAACTCTGTCATCCCCACCTCCTTCACTGTCACTCCTGCATCAAATAGTATAAAAATCAGCCTGGACTTTGGAGTCAGACCTGGGTTTACATTCTGGCTCAGCTGTGCACTTAATCCCTCTAAGTCTCAGTTTCCTCATCTGTAAAATGTGGATAATCAAACCTTCCTTGAATGGCTAATGTAAGGCTTAGAGACCACATGTGCAAGGCACCTGGCAGAGCACTTGACTCCTCCTGCTCCTTCACATAGTTGTTCAACAAACAGTTATTGACCTCCAGCTGTGTACCAGACCCTGCGCGAAGTCCAGTGGCAAATAAAACAGAACATGGCCTTACTCTCATGGAGATCACATTCCACTGAGCAGGAGACAGGCAATAAACAAATAAGAAAAATATTGGATGGGAATGAGTTCTAGGCAGAGAGTCAAATGGTGTGCTAGAACAGAAAGTGACTGGGGGCTACTTCACCCCGGTGGTCAGGGAAGGCCTCTCTGTGATGATGGTATTTTAAGTTGAGCTCTGAAAGATGGGAAGGAGAAAGAGCAGTCCCAGCAGGGGGAATGGTTAGTGCAAAGCCTCTGTGGCCAGAATGAGCCTGGCATGTTCTAGGAGCAGAAGGGAGGTCAGTGTGGCTGAGCGTGGTGTAGACTCTGTGATGTAGCAGGAGATGGGGGGAGGATGTTAGGAGACCATCGGAGAGGGGGGCAGGGGCTAAATCCATGGGATGCATTAGCCTGGGAAAGGAGTTTGCATTTGATAAGGAAATCATTATGGGGAGGGTTCTTTTTCTTGAGTGGGACATGAGACAACATGATGGGATCCGAAATGTTAGTTAAGATTGCTCTGGCAGCCAGGTGTGGTGGCTCAAGCCTGTAATCCTAGCAGTTTGGGAGGCCGAGGCAGGTGGATCACCTGAGGTCAGGAGTTCGAGACCAGTCTGGCCAATATGGTGAAACCCTGTCTCTAAACCCTGTCACCAAAAATACAAAAAGTACCTGGGTGTGGTGATACACCCCTGTAATCCCAGCTACTTGGGAGGCTAAGGCAGGAGAATCGCTTGAACCCGGGAGGCAGAGGTTGCGGTGAGCTAAGATCACACCACTGCACTCCAACCTGGGCAACAGAGCCAGACTCTGTCAAAAAAAAAAAAAAAGATTTCTCTGGCTTCAGTAGAGAGAATGGATTTGGGAGGGGCAGGAGGAAGACAGGGAAACCAGTTAGGAAGAAGTTGCAGACTTTTAGGCAAGAGAGAATAATAGGTGGGGAGAAGGAAGACGGGGAGAACAGTGTGAATCCAGATGTTTAGAAAGTAATGTCAGCAGGACTTGCTAAGGTATCGGATATGGAGGGGTGGAGAGGAAAGAAGCAGGAAGGGCTCAGAATGACTCACTTCATCCTCATCCTCATCCTCCTCACCTGTGACCACTATTGAGCATTTGCTGTGATGTAGGCACTTCTTGTAGACTCAGAAAAGTTAAGCAACTCACCTGAGGCAGGTCTTATCTGCTAAGTAGCAGAAGAAGAACTCAGACCGAATCTGCTGGCTCTTAATCCCATTTGGGAAACCATTTCACCCCTTACCTCCAGCTCCTGGAATTCCTTTATGTGGAAGAGCAGGCTTCCAGCCCAGAGGAGGAGAGGCAGAGCCTTAACTCATATTCACAATACAGGGAAAGAAATGAATGTGGTCTGTGCTCGTCACGGTGCCAGGCAGTTAATGAGTATCTTGGAACATATTCTGCTGATCACCTCAGGTAGGGCCATTGTTGTCCTCCTCGAACCAGCCAAGGAACTGGAAGCTCAGAGAGTTGTAACTTGCCAAAGGACTCCTAGATGGAAAGGGGGCAGAGTGAGGACTCAAACCCCGTTGGTCCACCCCTAGATAGAGCTGTGCTCCTAGCACCACCACACTGCCCCTCATCCCCATGATAGACGTTCAGCAGAGGCAGCTGTTAGGGACATGTGGTAAGTGAACCCACACAGGAAACATGGGCACACATTGTTGGTTCTAGGAGACATAGAACAGAACAGCAATCTTAGGCTGCGTCCAGACCTCTAGGGTGTATGGGGAATGGCCTCTCCCTCCTTTCTCTCTCAGGACTGGAGACACAGGAGGCTTAGGGATGACTGTTCATTTCAGAGGGTAATGGGCTCTGTGGCCCTGCCCCTGCTGTGCTCTGTGACCTTGGGTAACCCCTTGCCCTCTGACCCTCTCTGGACCCTCATCTAGAAAAGGAGTGGGCTAGATTCAAATGTTTCTGCAGTTTCTTCCAATTCTAAAGGGTCCAATTCTAAAGCACGCACTGTGGTGAGGCAGGTCTGGCCCAAGGAGCTTGAGAAGTGACCACCCAGAGACAGAGACTGATTGAAGGCGCCCCGGTCTACCCCCTGCCCTCTGCATGGGCCGTTGCCTCCAAACCTAAGTACATTCCTCAGCCTTTCCCCTGGCCCAGAACATCATGGGGTGATGTCACTGAGACGCAGTTTCTGGGACCCCATGGAGCCACATGTGTGCCTGTTACAGGGGTCATGCCCAAGCACGGGCTGGATGTGTCAGCCTGCGAGGTGTTCCGCTTCTACAAGCTGGTGACTCTCAAGGGCCTGATCGAGCCCATCTCCATGATCGTGCCCCGGAGGGTAAGTGGGGCTGGGCTGGGCTCCAGGAGGGGGGCCTGCATCGCCTCTTAGCCTGCTCACCACTGACCATGACCCTGGAGAAACCCAGGTGAGAGATGTGCTGTGAACTGGGGTCTTCAAACCTAATTTGGGGTGAGGGGCATTCTCAGATGGGGACAGTTGGGTTTGCTCATGAGTGCAGTCAGGTAGTTCCAGGAGGGAGACACAGTGCAAAGGCATAGAGGCAGGAGAGCAGGTAGAGTGACTGGAGATCAGTAAGAAGAGTCTGACTGAAGAGTAGGGGCTTTCCCAGCAGCCCCCCATGTGTCCTCTCTTCTGCTCCTCCCACTGTAGTCAGATTCCTACCAGGAAGACATTTACCCAATGACACCAGGCACGGAGCCAGCACTGACCCCGGATGAATGGCTGGGAGGCATCAACCGAGGTACCACAGCGGGGGGCTCCACAGAGCACAGGCGGCTGCAGCCTTTGCCTTCAGCGCAGCTCACCCCAGTTCTCCTTGTCTGTCCCCCTGTTTGAACTTCCCTCCCACCCAGCCTGCTGGACCATCACCTGACAGTCCATGGGATCGTCAGTGAGAGCGTTTCCCTTGCCTTCTTTAGATCCCGTGCTGATGTCTTTGAAAGAAGGCTATAAGAAGTCCTCAAAAATGGTATTTAAGGCTCCCATCAAAGAAAAGAAGAGTGTTGTGGTCAACGGAATAGATTTATTAGAAAATGTCCCACCCAGGACAGAGAATGAGGTAAGGAATGTAAGTTATTACCTCCACAGGCCCTGGAAGAGCAAGACCTTTACATTTCAATTATGGGCTTCAGGCCTTTAAGCCAGTTCCATTCTGAGACATTTTTCTTTCTGTGACAAATGCCATAAGTAGCCTGATATTGGCTTCTGATGCTTCTGACCCCAATAAATAGAAGCTGGGATGTCTGGAGATATCGGTTCCCCACACCACCCCCACGCCTCAAATTCACTAACCCACAGTTATGCATCTCCTCATGAACTCATTTCAGAACGTTGCTGTCATTTGGAGTTCCAGGAGTTATAAATTCCTGACTAACAGGGGCAAGCCCGGCCTCGTGTATCACAGCCCTGCCTCCCTCGCTGGCGTTGCAGCAGTGCTGGAGTCTGACACTTCCAGTCTTTGTGGAAGAGACTGGGTGTTTATGAAGGTGCTCTCTGTACCACTTGGAATGGGAGCAAGCTCTTTTGGGGCAGCTCGGCTGGGCCTTGTCCATGTCCCCCAGCGGTATTTCGTTCCAGCCCACACCCCCATTCCCTGATGCCAACATGGTTTAGCTCAGCTGGGATTCACAGGATGCCTACTGTGTGCCAGACATAAGGCCTGATACAACTGAAATGGAGATGGCTGCATGACCCCACCTGCATTTGAATCCTGGCTCTGCCATTTCCTGGCTGTGACTGAGCAAGTCTACTGACCTTTATAAGTCCATTTCCTTGTGGTAAAATAGGGATATGGAAAGCTGTGAGCATTAAAGAGATAATTCATAAGTGTCTAGCACTCTTCCTGGCTCATATTAAGTGCTCAGAGAAAAAGGTCACCTGTATTAGCTACCTACTGCTGTGTAACAAATTACCCTAGAACTTAATGGCCTAAACCCACAAATGCTTATTAGCTCACAGTTTCTTTGCATGCCCGTGGCTGAAGGTCTCTCATGAGGGTACAGTTACACTGTCCACTGGGGCTGGAATCACATCTGAAGGCTCAACTTCCAAGTTCACTCATGTGGTTGCTGCTAGGACTCATGTCCTCAGGGGCTATTGGAGTGAGGGCCTCAGTTTCTCCTTGGGCTGTTGGCCAGAGCTTCCCTCAGGTCCCTGCCACGTGGACTCCTCCATAAGGCAGCTCACAACAGGGTATGTGAGCAGAAGAGCAAGAGAGGGCACCCAAGATGGAAGCTACAGTCTTTCTGTCACCTAATCTTGGAAATGGTATCCCACCACTTCTGCCCTATTCTGTTCATTTGAAGCAAGCTATTAGGGCCAGCCCATGCTTGAGGAGAGGGGATAAAATGGGAGCCATCTTAAACTAGACAGTCTATACCACCAACTTATGCTATCACTATTTTTTGTTTTGAGACAGAGTCTCACTCTGTTGCCCAGCCTGGAGCTCAGTGGCACAATCTCAGCTCACTGCAACCTATGCAGGTTCAAGCGATTGTCCTGCCCTAGCCTCCCAAGTAGCTGGGATTACAGGTGTGCACCACCACACCCAGCTAATTTTTGTATTTTTGGTAGAGACAGGGTTTCACCATGTTTGCCAGGCTGGTCTTGAACTCCTGACCTTAGGTGATCCACCTGCCTCGGCCTCCCAAAGTGCTGGGATTACAGATGTGAGCCACCACACCTGGCCCACTAATCACTATTATTAATAAAAATAAGACCCTTCTTGACCTCTGGGACCTCACAGTCTTAAGGGGGAGATTGGCAGGTAACTTGATAATTGCCATAAAATATGCTTGTATGCCATTGTAGAGGGATATTCAGGGCTAGATGAAATGATGTGATAAATGGGATTTGCTTTAAAATAACCCCTGAGGAAAGTGGTGCAGTGTAGGTGGGTGGCAGTAGAGGCGAAGTAAGAATGGTCATACGGGCTGGGCGCCGTAGCTCATGCCTGTAATCCCAGCACGTTGAGAGGCCAAGGCGGGTGGATCACCTGAGGTCAGGAGTTTGAGACCAGCCTGGTCAACATGGTGAAACCCTGTCTCTACTAAAAATACAAAAATTAGCCAGGCGTGGTGGTGCGCGCCTGTAATCCCAGCTGCTCAAGTGGCTGAGGCAGGAGAATCACTTGAACCCAGGAGGCAGAGACTAAAGCTGAGTGATGGGTACTTGGGGGTTCATGGTGCTATACTTTCTATTAATATAGATATATAACATTTTTCATTTAAAAAATTTTTAAGTGTTTTCTTGTATTTATTTATTTATGTTTTAGAGACAGAGTCCTGCCCTGTCTCCCAGACTGCAGTGCTGTGGCACGATCATAGCTCACTATAACCTCAATCTCCGAGGCTCAAGCAATAATCCCACCTTAGACTTCTGAGTAGCTGGAACTAGCGGCGTGTACCACCATACCCAACTAATTTGTTTTTAAACATTTTTGTAGAGACAGGGTCTTACTATATTGCACAGGCTGGTCTTAAACTCCTGGGCTCAAACAGTCCTCCCACTTTCGCCTCCCAATGTGCTGGGATTACAGTCATGAGACACTGCGCCCAGCTATTTTCTTGTTTTTAAAAGAACTCTACTCTTTGAAGATAGAGACACAGGGGTCATTGTGATAGCCCAGGAGGGCAATAACAAGGGCCTGAGCTCAGTTCTGGCACTGGGTCTGGAGAAGGCAGGGTTGAATAGTAGTTAAATCAAGCAATATTTCGCTGTAGACTTGCCTATGGAATCAGAATTGAGAACCTGGAGGAAAAGCTTAAAGGGTCTCAGAGCAGACAAAACAGATGCCACAATCTACACCAAAGTTGTGCATCTTCCTCGCTGGGAAGAAGCTTTCTCAAAGCCTGCTGACTCTGCCTTTATCCACAGTTTTAATCATCGTAGCAGTTCGGAAGCAGCCAGTTAGAAAGTGGGGCTGTCAAAGGTGGACGCATTGATCTAAGTGTGAGGAAACAACTGACAGCTTGATGCGAGGGAAAAGTCCTACGATTGTACAACTCAGGAACTTTACTAAAAATCGCTGAATTGTAAGCTTAAAATGAGTGACTTTTATGGTGTGTGAATTACACCTCACTAAAGCGGTTTTTTTGACAAAAGTGGACCAAAAAACAATGCAAAGAAATTTTGAGAACTTGGAAGACGCAAGAGTGTGTAGAGTCATTTAGTGCAAAGGCAAATAGCACGTCATCCCTCTCAACAGATGTAACTGGGACTGGTGGTTTGTTAGTTAACAAAAAATATTTTTTTAAGTTATATTTTTTTAAGTTAGTTAAAGGAGGCAATCATGGCTGGGCACGGTGGCTCACGCCTATAATCCCAGCACTTTGGGAGGCTGAGGCGGGAGGATTGCCTGAGGTTAAGAGTTCAAGACCAGCCTGACCAACATGGTGAAACCCTGTCTCTACTAAAAATACAAAATTAGCCAGGTGTGGTGGCGCACGCCTGTAATCCCAGCTACTCGGGAGGCTGAGGCAGGAGAATCACTTGAACCCAGGAGGCAGAGGTTGCAGTGAGCGGATATTGCACCATTGCACTCCAGCCTGGGCAACAAGAGTGAAACTCCGTCTCAAAAAAACAAAAACAAAAGGAGAGAATCATAAAAATGATACATACATTCTTTTTTTTTTTTTTTTTTTTTTTTAGACAGAGTCTTGCTCTGTCACCCAGGCTGGGGTACAATGGCACAATCTTGACTCACTGCAACCTCCACCTCCCGGGTTCAAGCAATTCTCCTGCCTTAGCCTCCCAAGTAGCTGGGACTACAGGTACCCACCACCATGCCTGGTTAATTTTTGCATTTTTAGTAGAGACAGGGTTTCACCATGTTGGCCAGGCTGGTCTTGAACTCCTGACCTCAGGTGATCCACCTGCCTCAGCCTCCCAAAGTGTTGGGCTTACAGGTGTGAGCCACGGCGCCCAGCCAATAGATACATTTGGTTTCTTTGTTGTTGTTGTTTTGTTTTGTTTTGTTTTGAGATGGAGTCTCACTTTGTCTCCCAGGCTGGAGTGCAGTGGCATGATCTCGGCTCACTGCAACCTCCACCTCCCGGGTTCAAGCAATTCTTTGCTTCAGCCTCCCGAGTAGCTGGGATTACAGGCACCTGCCACCACACCTGGCTAATTTTTATATTTTTAGTAGAGATGGGGTTTCACCATCTTGGCCAGACTGATCTTGAACTCCTGACCTCGTGATCCACCCACCTTGGCCTCCTAAAGTACTGGATTACAGGCGTGAGCCACCGTGCCCGGCCGATACCTTCTTTAAACCATTTATTTTTGTTTTAAACATAAAACATGCGAGGTGTAGTGGCACCCCTCTAGTCCCAGCTACTCAGGAGGCTCAGGTGGGAAGATCGCTTGAGCCCAGGAGTTTGAGTCCAGCCTGGGCAACATGGCAAGACTCTATCCCTAAAAAATAAAAGTAGGCCGGGGTGGTGGCTCACACCTGCAATCCCAGCACCTTGGGAGGCTGAGGGTGGATCACTTGAGGCCAGGAGTTCAAGACCAGCCTGGCCAACATGGTGAAACCCCGTCTCTACTAAAAATACAAAAATTAGCCGGGCGTGATGGCACACACCTGTAATCCCAGCTACTCCAGAGGCTGAAGCAGAAGAATACCTTGAACCCGGGAAGCGGAGGTTGCAGTGAGCCAAGATCGCGCCACTGCACTCCAGTCTGGGTGACAGAGCAAGACTCTGTCTCAAAAACAAACAAATAAATAAATAATAAAAATAAAACATATACATTCATTTAGCATATTTTGATGCAGGACCAGGACCTTTTCTTCAAGGAGGCCCTCCCTGGTTGGAATCTGCCATGTCTTTCACACAAATCACACCTTAACTCCCATTTCCAGTTTCCATTTCTTTTAGGTAGAAAAATAATTTAAAGTTCATCTGAAAGCAAAGTCCTAGTTTTTACAATGTTTTCTCTCATCTTTTTTTGAGACATTGAGGTATAATTTGCCTATGGTAAAATTCATCCTCTGTAGTGTGTCGGTTTAAGAGTTTTGACAAACACACACAGTCATGCAGCCACCATCAGCCAAGATATAGAATATTCTCCAGTCTTTTAGGGCTAGATCTTCCACACCCAATTCGGCCACAGTTTTTTTAGCATCATCTTTATCAAGATTTTCTAAAGCATTTAATTAAGTTTTTATAGAAACAACAACTCTCTTTTTGTGCTCATTTCATCAATTTATATTATATTTCATTAAATTATGCAATTACAATAACAAATGTAATTCACACCAGAAAGTTTGAGACCAAACACAATTGACTGTGGGTAACATTCAACTCAGGTGTGCAGGAGCCTCAAGGAGCCTGCTGCCTTCCAGGGCTCGGCGTTTTGTGGACATCTGTCAATATGCTTTACAGGAGAAATGGAGGCGGGTTAAGCTAGAGAGTCATTGGGGTGAAGATCTGCCAGGATAGCTGTACATGAATCCCTGACCAGTGCAAACTTTGGTATTCTTGTCATAGTTCCTCATCAGTAGGGAAAAAGCTAGATTCCATTCTGTATCCTGAGCCTCCTTAAGAAGAGAAGGATACAAAGCATTTTAGAAAGTTCTAAATTATCAGCACAAGCCGGGCATGGTAGCTTACACCTGTAATCCCAGCACTTTGGGAGGCTGAGGTGGGTGGATCTCTTGAGGTCAGGAGTTCGAGACCAGCCTGGCCAACATGGTGAAACCCAGTCTCTACTAAAAATACAAAAATTATCCAGGCATGGTGGCACATGCCTGTAATCCCAGCTACTCGGGAGGCTGAGGCAGGAGAATTGTTTGAACCCAGGAGACAGAGGTTGCAGTGAGCCGAAATCATGCCACCGCACTACAGCCTGGGCGACAAAGCGAGACTTTGTCTCAAAAATAAATAAATACATAAATTAGCAATAATAATGTAATAATATATGTAATACATGTAATAATACATCTATTATGTATTATTATACATCTATTATTATGTATTATTATAGATGTAATAATACATCTATTAATACAATGGTAAAGAAAAGCATTAAGTTAGGACCCAAAAAGGGACAAGCTTGGGATATTTGGAAAACTGGACTGTTTGGTCACTCCTTTTTCAGTGATCCTGAATCAATTAATGACGCAGGTTTTGTTTCCTACCTCACAAGGGAAAGTAAGAGCCATGGGCTGAGCTAGAGATGGGAGAGGTGCAATAAATGCACCTGGGGAGAATAAATGTATCAAGCAGTGGGAGGCCTGGGGGAATGTGAGGGCACGGGCGGCAGGCAGCTGGAGACTCACCTGGGAAATCCTTGTCTCACCTGCTCTCTCCTGGGCCCTCCTTGGCCCCCTCTCTTCCTCCACCCCAGCTCCTTCGAATGTTCTTCCGGCAGCAGGATGAGATTCGACGGTTGAAAGAGGAGCTGGCCCAGAAGGACATCCGCATTCGGCAGCTCCAGCTGGAACTGAAAAACTTGCGCAACAGCCCCAAGAACTGTTAGCTCCCCAGCTGGGCTGTTTTCTAAGCCGATCTCTCCGTCGTTTCTACTCATCCCTTAACTTCTCCCTTACCAGTGACCCCAGAGACAGAGCCAGGACAGGAGTGGGGGCCAGCCTGAGGACCCCCGCCTACCACCTCGAGAACTGGAAGCCAACCTCTAACCTCCTGACCTCATGCTAATAAAAGTCCCCAGCTTCTGGAGACCCCCTGCCGGCAGCCCCTTTCCCTGCCACCCCAGGAGCCAGGCTTCCCCTCAGCTGGGTGAAGACTACAGACTCCCTGGGGTTGGCAGGGGCTCCATCTCAGTGGACCAGGAAGCAAGAGGGGAAGCGGGATCCCAGCTAGACTTAGAACTTGGACTTTTCCCCTGTGAAGGGGGCTGCCAGGACATCTCAGCACTCCCGCCTGGAGCTCTCAGCATCACTGAAGGTACCACAGTGTAAGTGCTGGACTGCAGGCTGCAGTGATCCCTCTTTCGTCCCACCCCCTCTTCCCTCAGCAGCCCCGGAAGCCTGCCTCACCCGACGAGGACAGCGAGCGGCCCGGCTCCTTTCTGTCTCTTCCCTTCCCACCCTCTTGTCTTCAGGGAATTCAGAGGATTGCTCTCCAAGGCCATAATGACCCCTTGCCTTCCCCATGATTCTCTACAAAGCTCTTGCACACCCTTTTCCCATTCAATTTGTGAGCCAGGCAGGGTAGGGATTAGTGTCCCCCTTTGACAAATGACAGAACTGAGGGTTGCAATGGGGAAATGACTTATAAAGTCACCCAGCAGGTCAACAATGGGCCCACGACCAAGACCCTGGGTGTTCAGACCCCAAGGCCAGGGCCTTTCCCGCTGCATCAAGATGCCAATCCCTTTGTGGGCTTCACCAGTGCCCAAGTCTCTATGGAGAATGAGAACTGGAAGCCACTGCTACCGTCTACCCAGCACCAGTAGTGCCGATGTGCCACACTGCCCAGTTGAGGCCCCTCACGCTCTGTGCCCCTAGATCCTTCAGGTCCCCACCCTCAGCTGTCACCACCACCCTCCCCAGGGGACTCCATCTGAGATGAGGCCTCGTCCTCCTGGAAGCTGAGGCTGAGAAGGGTGGAGCTTGGCCCTGGGGAAGGCAGACCAGGGTCTGATGGCTTCTAGGGATGCTCTGCGTGTGTCTCAGCACCGCTATCTCAGCCACTTTCAGCCTTATGCACGTAGAATGACCACAGCCACTCGCATCCGTATAGCACTTTAAAGTTTCTGCAGTCCTTTGACACATAGGATCTCATGGAGCCTCACGTCTACTCCCTTCTGCAGATGAGGAAACCGAGAGAAGTGGCCCAAGGTCACGCAACTCTGAGATGCCACATTTCATTTGATCTTGTACACATTTTCTTTTATTCCTTCTTTTTTCCTCCTTTCATTTCCCACTACGCACAAAGAGTTTATAAACACTGTTCTCAGAAGAGTCACAGTTTGGGGTGAGATCTGGAAATCAAGAAATGGGTGTCCACTCTTTTCTTTCATTAGCTAGGATCTACTAGATGCATTATACTCCATACCTGCTTTTCCCATGGCCGCCCTACGGAAAATCCCATCCACAGAGGCCAGGGCTACCCAAGCCCCTCCAGGTGAGCTGGGCCTTTCCTTTATGAACCTCCATCCTCCCAGCCAGCTACAGTAGGGCCTCCTCACCCCGTACCCCACAGCTAGACAGTGTCAGCACTCATCTCCTCCTCCCACATTTCTGGAGCTTTTTTTTTTCCTTCCCCATTGACCTTTGTGGTCTTCTGTGATTATTTATGCTGCCTCCCAAGGATAGAATTGAAATAAAATGTTTTCAACTTATCAAACCTGGGCATAGCCATCTCATTTAACCCCAGTGGTTCCTGTTCTTGGTCACCATGGTACCTTGATGGTCAGCTCCCCACCCACAGCTCCTTTGCCTTTCTGGAATGACAACCCACGTCTGTACCTACAGATATAATTTCACACCTTCATTTATCTCAGCACTATTGACATTTGGGGCGAATAATTCTTTGCTGTGGGGGCTGCCCTGTACATTGTAAGATATTTAGCAGTATCCCTGGCTCCACCAATCAGATGCCATAGCAACCCTCATCCAATTGGGACAACCAAAAATGTCCCCAGATATTGCCCAATGTCCCCTGGGGTGTCAGAATCACCTCCCGGTTAAGAACCACTGTTCTACCGCTATTCAATAGATGCTGCCCCGTGTTGGGGTCTGGGTGAGACCAACGCTCTACATTGGAACGGTGCCTTGAAGTTTATCAGGCAGGATTCCACACACTTGACTCATTTGATCTTCATAGCAGCTCTAATTGGTAGGTCCGATTATTCCTGTTTTCAAGAAAAGCAGTCAGGCCCAGAGTGGTGACATGTTCAAGGTCACTCAGCCAGTGTAGTGGGGGAAATACACAGGGACTGGGTCTTATGAGCCAGAGCCAGAGAAGGTCTGTGTTCCCAGTCCCCAGCCAGACTCAGAGCTGGGCAGAGTCTGTTCTGGGAGCGTGGCCGGGGCCCATTCTGAGACCAGGGATGCTAGATATCCTCAGTCTCTCAGTAGTCCAAGGTTGTCTTAAATAAGAGTTGTCAGGCTGCAAAGTGAACAGGCACCCGGCAGTGTGTACACCACAGGAAACTCAGAAGAGCCAGAAGAAAGCAGTGTGGGCCTTAGAAAAGGGGTGAGGAGGAAAGGATAAAGGGCTGCAGAGGAACAGCGGGCAGGACACCGGGAAGGCGTGGTCCAGGCCTGGCCCTACCCTCGACTAGTTGTGCAACATTGAGTAAGGCTTTTTTTCTCCCTGGGCCCCATTTTCTCCATCTATAAAATGAGGGGATGGGACAATTTCTAGGGTCCCTTCCTGGTGTGTCATCCTAGGTTTCGTTACACTAGCAGTTGAGAGGATGGGACAAATCCCCAAGACCACCCATTGTCTAGCACGAGTGATTAAAAAAAAGAAGAAATTTATTGGGAAAAAGGAAGCAAAGAATGACTTCCTACAGGACTTGGGTGCAGAAAATCACTTTTGCTGAGTCTCAGGGAACAGGTGAATGGATAAGGTTATCTGTCTCATATGTACTTCTGTCCCACCTAATCTCCAATTCTGAGCCCAACGGGGCGGCTGTTTATCATTACTTATTATGGTACACTGTCTAAGGTCGGGCTCGAACTTGCTTTCTGTCTCCCCACTAGCCCATTTTCCCAACTGCATTTGTTGAATAACTCATCAATTCCCCATTGGCTGGCTGTGTATCCTTAATTTCTTCATATGTTATATATTCCATGACTAGTCTGTTACGCTGGCCCCTCTGCCCATTACACACTGCGAATTACACTGCCTAGCCCAACACATTGCTTTAATTATCATAATGATGTAGGAGAGTGCCATTCATGGCTCTTTGAACCTGTCCCCACTGCCATGCTCCCTACCAGGTGTCTGCTCCCTTCTTTTCTCCAAGTAAGGATACCTTAAGCTAAACTTCAGACCCTTCTCTTCTACGGAGATGTCCCTAATGCCTTTACCATCAGCAAGAGTATCCTCCTGCACGTGCCTACAACTCTTTATCCTACCCCTGACACCTAATCGAATTTTCAACTCAGTTTAACACATACCAAGTAGCTGCATCTATTTAGGACCAGGTGCTGGGAACCATGACATGAGAAAGAACAAGCCCTGCTCTTGAGGGGCTCCAGCCAGTGGTCTATGTATAGGCATCATATCATCCAGCAGGACCTGGAGCCCTTGGAGGCTGGGATGAGCTTTATCCTAGGCTGGGTTCAGTGTGGAGTGGGCAGTTTGTTCTGGGATTGGACGACTCCTGGGTTGTCTTCCAGCCAGCCTCCTGAGATCCCAAGATGGGCTTGGGCATTTTTAGACTCTCTCCTGGTGCTGGGCAAACATCCCAGACTGCCAGTGGACCGTGCAGAACGTGGCTGCTTCTTCACTGTGGGAAATGACTTCATGTTGAAAACACCCCCACCTCCCGGCCCCCGCCCCCCCAGCCTTCCTGCTTGGAAGGGCTGCCGTGATGGGGGCTGCCTGGAGCAGAGGCACTTACCTCGGCCACAGGAAACATTACCAGATCCTTCTCCTCCCCCTGGTCAGCCTGCACAGGGACTGTAGGGCTATGGTGCAGGGAGGGGAAGAGGCCTGCCTGGAATGTTGGCAGAGGCTCCTCATTCTCTGTGTATGTGTGTTTCCTATTTGGGAACAACCTGCAGCCTGTCTTTCCTTGGAATTTTAATTCAGTAACAAGCACAAATGGGTCAGCCTTACTCAGAGAAAGGTGAGTGTCTAGAGATCGGGTGAGAGTAGTTCTAGCAAGCTCCTGTCCCAGAGCCCCTCCCTTGCATCTGGCTTGTCACACTGCCCAGAATCCCCCCATTAGCACATAGTTTCTTTGGGTTAAGCATTGCCCTTGCCAGAACCATCTCCATGTGCAAATCCCCCTGGGATTGGGATGCTGGTATGAATCGGGAGAATGGATCCAGCGAAGGGGACACGGGAACAATGAAAGACGGTGGGCCTCGAATGAGAGGAGGGAGGTAGGGACACTGAGCAAGGTCACAGTGATGACAGCAAGATTCAAAGACCAGGAGTTTGTAGAAACTTGAATCCAGCCAGCAGGTGGCAGATTCTGGCCTTCCTATCAAGCCCATTTTTTCTAAACTGGGTCCCTTTTGCACCTCCCACTCACTCCAGAATTAATGATCCAACCATAGGCACTGAGGCCTCATGGCAAAGCAGGCGCACACAACAGCCAGGAATCAAAGCACCCCAGGTGGAGAAGGGAGGCTTGAAGGAGGGCAGCCCAGGGACCAACTGTTTCCAAGGCACAGCCAGAGGAGGGCACGCACCTCACCTTCCTCCCTACGGGGCTGTGGAGACCCTGCCTAGTCTTCCTTGAAGCACAGGAAAGAGGCTTGGTCTGGTTGTTCTCACCCCACCCAGGCAGCCTCTGACCTGCTCTGTGATCTTGAGCAGTTTCCCTACAGGAATAGTGACAGGGATGGGGCCCTTTCTGCCTGGAGAGTCTGCGTTTAATGAGGCTTGGGCTGAGGGGGTGGTAGAAGGAAGAGCTGGAAAGTGAAGGGGGGCAAAAAACTAGGGGTGGAGGGACCAGGTGTCCAGGCCAGACATCTGCACTCGGCCAAGTCCGGCCCAGCCCAGCCTGGGGCTCGCTGCTGCAGCCCACGCAGCCTCCAGGAAGCTCCTGATGAGACAAACAGGACCAGTCGTCCAGGGTCTCTGCTTCCCAAGCACGGGAGCAGCCCAGGACACAGAGGAAGAGGCCAAGGCCAGACCCGGGAAGCCCTGAATTTTTGCCCTGGAAGGCTGGACTCCACCCCAGGCCATGAGGAGCTAAGGAAGGGCTTGAATCAGGAGTGGACACCTCCCTCTGGCTACTTCAAGGGAAGGGATTGGAGGGCAACACAAGCCGGGAAACGGTGGGGGCTGGTGGGTTGTCCAGGTAGGAGATAGGAGTGGCCCAGCCTGGGGCAGTAGTTATGGCAGAATTAAGAGAGCTTGCTGAGATAAGGAACTGACCTTGATCCCAGGGGTGGGTGGGAGGAGGGGATAGGGAGGCAACAGGGAAGAGGGAGGAAGAGGCAGGTTAGGAGAACTCAGAAATGGAACCAGAGCTGGGACAGGGATGACCCACCCCCTGCTGTCTAATGGGGCACTCCCCAAAGATAGGGATCGTGTTCTCTAATCCCCTTGTAAACCAACAACAGCAGTGCTGGCCACACCTTTCTTAACGAATGTTCCTTTGGCTACCTGAGAGAGGAAGGGCTGGTCTTAGAAAGCATGTTGGATGCCGGGGCGAGGTGGCTCATGCCTATGATCCCAGTAATCCCAGCACTTTGGGAAGCCAAGGTGGGAGGATTGCTTGAGGCCAGGAGTTCCAGACCAGCCCGGTCAACATAGTGAGACCTCATCTCTATTGGAAGAAAGGAAGGAGAGAGGAAGAAAGAAAAGAGAAAGCTTGTTGGGCTTTTTTAATCACTGAAAGACCTGGCAGGCCCTAGAACTTCTTAGCAGTGTGATTCAAGTGATTCTAAATCCCCCACCCACCAGCCGTCTCCCATTCTAACTTATCCCCCACCGGCCTGAAATTCACATAGCTCTCTGAAAGTCATTTATAATAATGAAATAATGAAAACAGCTTATTTTTCTTTGCCTACTGGAATTTTGAGACAGTTTTCATTCAAAATTATTTTATCAAATATTTATCAAATGCCTTTTCTGCATCGGGTATTGTCCTAGGTGCTAGAATAAGATGTAGTTCTTGGTCTCAGAGAGGTTCCAGTCTGGTTTATAATTAAAATTCATATTCAATGCAGAGAGAAATGTCTGGAAGGACTGAGATAATTAGCAGTGATTATCTTCAGGGTAACAGGATAAGAGAAGAAGGTATTCTTTAATTTTAAAGACATTTTAAATGTATGTAAAGGTTTAGGATTTGCCACGACTGTGTCCCTTGGGATGAAATCTCAAGCTTATTCTGTTCAGTTCACCAGGTATGGGTGCTAGGGCTTTTCCTCCCACATCACCTCTGCCCCTTTGGAGGGCAGTTGGATGGGGTGAGCAGACAGGGCTGGCCAGGTGTCACTTCCATTGTACACTTGACAGGTGGAGTCCTGACCAGAAGGCCCAGCCACCACCACACAGCCCCACAATGCGAGGCATGCCTCACAGGGATCCCAGCACAGTCCACTGTGGCAGCAGATGCTCAGCCTTTCCCTGATCCTCTTGTTGCTGACTCTGCCCTACCTACCTGATCCCTCCTGGTCTGGTCCCACCCACTGATCTCCTCCCACTCCACTCAAGGTGGCCCCAATCCCTAAACTTGCATAGGGCGAGGTACACTGTCTCTTCACCCGTTTTCTTCCCAATCTACCGCTTGTGGCATAAACCTTATGACCTGCTTTCTCTGGCATTGAGCCCTTTCTTCTCTTCAAATCAAAAGCCCTGGCCAGGCACGGTGGCTCACAACTGTAATCCCAACACTGGGAATCCGAGGCAGGAGGATTGCTTAAGCCCAGGAGATCGAAACTAGGCTGGGCAACATAGCAAGACTCCCATATCTACAAAAACATAAAAAATTAGCCAAGTGTGCTGGTGCATGCCTGTTGTCCCAACTACTCAGAAGGCTGAGGCTGGAGGATCCCTTGAGCCCAGGAGGTGGAGACTGCAGTGGACCGTGATTGTGCCACTGCATTCCAGACTAAGCGACACAGCAGGACCAAGAACCTGTCTCAAAAAAAATTAGATAAAAATAAAACCCTTGGCTTTTAAGACTTTACTGTCTCAGCCATGAATTTTTGCAAATCTGTTTAAAAACTCAAAAGCTGGGCACTGACTATTATTTATTTGTGTATTCCAGCTATCAGAATCCTGATCCTCCCTCTAGCAATGAAAACTACTGGCTGAGTGGGAGGAGGTACACCAGGAACTATAGGATCAACTGTGACTACTTCCAAAATCTACCCTCTCCCACTCCCTGCACCACCATGTATATATAAATGGCCAGAGGTATTAAGGCCATATGGAATGGAAGGATTTTAATTAATGATAATATGGAACTGGAGAACAGTGTCCTTTTGCTAATTTTCAATGAACATCTGCTGGACAATGACACTACAGTAGGTGCCAGTGATATAAAACCAACTGAGATATACAAATCACTGGACTTGGGGGCTTGGTTTAGGGAAAGATGCAGACATGCAAATCAGTAATTACAATTCAGTGTTGAGTACTAGATCAGAGCAATCAAGATGCAGAAGACAGAGGACAGAACTCGTGGTGGCAGGTCATCTGAGTTCCTAAAGTGAAAGCAGTTTTCTAACCGAGAAGAGGGAGAACGGCACTGCAGTCAGAGGAAGAGCATGTGCAAAGTGAGAGAAAGGAGGCAGCTGGCATGTGGGGAGAATCCCAAAGGGCTTTGAGTTTCCGAAGCCAACAAGAAGGCTGGCGAGAGGACAGTCAGCAAAGGGCCTTATACTCAGGCTATTTACTTGGAATGTACTTTTTATGCAATGGAAAACCTCAGAAGGTTTTAAAGCATCAGAATGACCGGGTGAAATTTGAAACATTTTTTAATAGTGCACACACAATATTTCTCTCTCTCTTTGTGTGTGTGTGTGTGTGTGTGTGTGTAAGAGAAAGGGAAGGAAAGTGGTGTGTTATATATACAGAGATTCAAAATAAAATATGTTTCTCACTATGGGTTGCAATCAACAAACTTTGAAAGCCACTGGTCTAGAACTTGATAATGGTGCAAAGCAGAGAGTAATTGCCTACAGGATTTCCAGGAGAGAGGATTTAACCCATGTGTGGCTGCCAGGGATGGCTTCCCAGAGGACAGTCGGCCATGGGAACTGGGCCTTAAAGGAGGAAAGGGTGTAGGGGAGGGGAGAGGGAAAAGCATGAGGGAAAGGCATGGCAGAGGGGCCCTAAGAAGTGGCTCCCAAAGCAGTCCTGCTGGATTCCTCCTTAGCAAGAGCCCTGCCTAACAGCCTCAAGATGATTATCTTGCAGAGATAATAGTTCTGTCTCAACACAGAAGAGCATCTACTGACAGCTTATCTTTTCCCCCAGCACTTAGTACAACCTATCTGCCACATAGCTCATGTCACTTTTGACCTTCTGCACCAGGGCACCAAGTTCATTGTCAAAACAGCTGACTTGACTAACAAACAAGGGACATTTTCCATTTTCATAAAGACTACCAAGAAAGAGAAAATGGAATGAGCTGAGATTTGGGTTCAAGTTCTTGCTCAGAAGCTCATTCATCCAGTTGTTGCTAAACTAATTCTAAACCCCACTTTTTTCCATCATAAAATGGGTTAATCAGAACTTCGCAGCCTTCCTCCCAAACTTGCAAGCATTAAATTCAATGAGATCTTGGGTGCATCCTAAGTCACAAGGACTGCCAACTGGTTACCTTTCCCATTGGCCAGAAGGCCCAGTTAATGTTGGAGCTCCCAAAGAATAGGCACAGTTTGGCAACCTTGTCATTGCAGTAGCAAAGAAAAGTTATTATTTTATCAGCTGGTACCAGAGTTCCTTTTAGGGAAGGAAGTGTCTTTGTTTGGGGAAATACCTTGATAGGCCCCTTGGGGGTAAAAGGTGAGGCCCTGAAGACATGAGTTGGGAGGAAAAAACAAAGATAGCCAAATAGCTCTGCCTAAGAAATGAACAGGAATTTGAGGATAAGGAAGAACAAAGGAGGGAGGAAAAAAGAAAGCTAAGCAATGTGGTTAGAGACTAAAGCCCTAGTAGGTGGGAAACTGGGGAAGCTCTTAGAAAGATATAAGTTTATATTTTAAATTTTCTGGACTGCCATTTTGCAATCCAACTCTTCTCTCCAATGTCATCCATTCCCCAAATCTCCAATAAATGTCTATGACACAAGCTGCCCCATGGAAGCAGGGTAGGCAGGCATCAAGAAAGAAAGGGCTATGTTCAACTTTTGGGGCAATTCTGGGATAGAGGTTTGGCCGCAAGACAGCAAAGAAGGAAATTTAGAGCCAGAGATGACACTGAGGAACCTAAGCCCAGGGAATTCACAGAAATCTTGCAGAAGGCATGGGGTTTCCCCTAGATTGTGGGATGGGGTTCAAACCAATTTCATGTAGAGTTGAGGTGTTAGAATTACATCAGTAGATACCTGAAACCATTGGCTTCCAATTTTTGTCTATTATGAGGGTAAACATTTTCTCCAGGCTTCTCTCTGGCTAAAGTCAATATTATTTGGCTATTATTGGTTGAACTTCAGTCATAACTTAATAATCAACCAGACAAGAGAGGGTACCTCAGCTTCTTACTTCTCTTTTCTGACTGCATTCTGACCAGACTACACTCTGGGTAGTGCTTACCTAATGCAAACAGGTAATTTCTTTATGATAATAATCAATTGCAACTGCATGCTATTTAAAGCTTCTTCACCACCTTATCTCATCAGATACTGGATCTTCAAAATAACCCTACAAAGCAGGAAAGGTGTGGATTCCCCAAGTTAGCAATGAGGAAGCTAAGGCCCAAAGAATCAAACAACTAAATGTGGATTGGGCATGAGATTCAACCTCTGATCTCAAGGAATGCTGGAGAGACAAGGTAGAAATCCATGAAAAGACAACAGCATTAAAGAAGTAGAAATAAATATAAAAACAAATGTCTTAAGGTAGAGCACAAGTCATTGCTGGAAGAGTGATAGAGATCACAAGGCATCCAAAATCAAAGGTAGACCAGTTCTACCTTCTCACAGCCCCACCCACTTCTTTCCATCTTCATGACCATCTCCAAGGCCATCATTGTCTCCACCCAGATTACCACAACAGCTTCCTGGCCAGCCTCTCAGGCTCCAGCTTTGTCCCTTTAATTAGTTCTTTTTTTTTTTTTTTTTTTTGAGACCTCGCTTTGTCACCCAGGCTAGAGTGCAGTGGCGCCATCCTGGCTCACTGCAACCTCTGTCTCCCCAGTTCAAGCAATTCTCCTGCCTCAGCCTCCCAACTAGCTGAGATTACAGACGCCTACCACCACGCCTGGCTAATTTTTGTATTTTTAGTAGAGACAGGGTTTCACCATGTTGGCCAGGCTAGTCTCAAACTCCTGACCTCAAATGATCCATCTGTCTCGGCCTCCCAAAATGTTGGGATTACAGACATGAGCCACTGCACCCAGCCCCTTTCATCACAAAGACACAAAAGTGATCATTATGATATGCAAATCAAATCACAGTCACTCCCCTACTTAAATCCTTGGTGGTTCCCCATTACCCTAATGGAAAGTAGAAATTTTTTTTTTTTTTGGAAATTTTTTAACTTCTTTCTTTTTTGGCGTGGTCCTCTAATCTCTGAGACCTCATCTCTTGCCATTTGCTGCCTGAAACTCTCTGCTCCTTATAGACTGTGGTAATAATAAAATAAATACTTGGCCTTTGTTTCTGGTTCTCGGCACAGAGCTCCTAAAATGCTGGGAATTTCCTGAAAGATAGGAATATCTTTTGTAATTTATTAGGAGCCCCTTTCCATCATACTTGAGTTTATGCTAATGAGGTGAGTTACGGTAGCATCTCAGGATGGGACTGGCACCAGAAAGACCAAGTAATAAGAGGATGGAAACTTGGCTAGGTGCAGTGGCTCACACCTGTAATCCTAACACTTTGGGAGGCTGAGGTGGACAGATCACTTGAGCCCAGGGGTTTGAGACAAGTCTGTGCAACATGGCAAAAACCCATCTCTGCAGAAGAATACAAAAATTAGGCTGCGTGTGGTGGCTCACACCTGTAATCCCAGCACTTTGGGAGGCCGAGGCAGGCAGATCACGAGGTCAGGAGTTCGAGACCATCCTGGCTAACATGGTAAAACCCCGTCTCTACTAAAAATACAAAAAATTAGCCAGGCAAGGTGGCGGGCGCCTGTAGTCCCAGCTACTCAGGAGGCTGAGGCAGGAGAATGGCATGAACCCGGAAAGTGGAGCTTGCAGTGTGCCGAGATCATGCCACTGCACTCCAGCCTGGGTGACGGGGGGAGACTCGTCTCAAAAAAAAAAGAATACAAAAATTAATCGGGCGTGCTGGTGCACACCTGTAGTCCTAGCTATTTGGGAGGCTGAGAGATAAGAAGATCGCTTGAGCCCAGGAGGTCAAGGCTGCAGTGAGCTGTGATCGTCCAGCCTGGCAACAGAGTATGACCCTGTAAAAGAGGATGGAAACTTTTCATTGGAATAACATACAAGAAAAAAAAAAGAGGGTGGAAACTTTCAGCCCCACCCATTGACCTCAAAGTTGGGGAGGGGGGACTGGAGATAGAGCTATATAAAACTTTTGTTACTATTTTTATTTTATTTATCTATTTTTTTTGAGACAGAGTCTCACTCTGTTGCCCAGGCTGGAGTGCAGTGGTGTGATCTTGGTTCACTGCAACCTCCGCCTCCTGGGTTCAAGCAATTCTCCCACATCAGCTTCTGTAATAGCTGGGATTACAGGCACACACCACCACACCCGGCTAATTTTTGAATTTTTACTAGAGACAGGGTTTCACTATGCTAGCCAGGCTAGTCTTGAATGCCTAACTTTAAGTGAACTGCACACCTGGGCCTCCCAAAGTGCTGAGATTACAGGTGTGAGCCACCACACCCAGCCTTAATTTTTTTTAGAGACAGGGTCTCACTCTGTCACCCAGGCTGTAGTGCAGTGGCATGATCATAGCTCACTCTTAGCCTCATTGAACTCTGGGACTCAAGAGATCCTCCCACCTCAGCCTCCTGAGTACCTGGAACTACAGTTATATGCCACCACACTCGGCTAATATTTTTACTTTTATTTATGTATTTATGTATTTATTTATTTATTTATTTATTTTTGTGATGGAGTTTCACTCTTGTTGCCCAGGCTGGAGTGCAATGGCATGATCTTAGCTCACCACAACCTCCACCTCTGGGATTCAAGTGATTCTCCTGCCTCCACCTCCCAAGTAGCTGGGATTACAGGCATCCGCCACCATGCCCGGCTAATTTTTTGTATTTTTCTCCATGTTGGTCAGGCTGGTCTCAAACTCCCTACCTTAGGTAATCCACCCAATTCAGCCTCCCAAAGTGCTGGGATTACAGGCATGAGCCACTGCGCCCAGCCTACTTTTATTTTTTTATAGAGACAGGGTCTCACTGTGATGCCCAGGTTGGTCTTGAACTCCTTGCCTCAAGTGAACCTCCCACCTTGGCCTCATAAAGTGCTGGGATTACAAGCATGAGCCACTGCCCTATACACCTTTTTATTTTTTTGAGATGAAGTCTCGCTGTGTCACCCAGGCTGGAGTACAGTGGCACGATCTCAGCTCACTGCAACATCCACCTCCTGGGCTCAAGAGTTTCTGATGCCTCAGCCTCCCAAGTAGCTGGGATTATGGGCGTCCGCCATCATGCCTGGCTAATTTTTATATTTTTAGTAGACACAAGGTTTTGCCATGTTGGCCAGGCTGGTCTTGAACTACTGACCTCAAGTGATCTGCCTGCCTCGGCCTCCCAAAGTGCTAGGATTACAGGTGTGAACCGCCTCGCCCGGCCTCTATATAACTTTTGAACAGAAAGTTTCTGAGAGCTTCTGAGTTGGTGAATGCACCCCAACTACCCAGGGCCAGAAGCTCCCGCACTCAGGACCCTTGCAGACCTGGCCTATGTACCTTCTCATCTGGCTGTTCATTTGTATGCTTTAGGATATCCTTTATAACAAACACTTACTTAAAACTATAAGTAAAGTGCCTTTCTGAGTTCTGCAAGCCATTCTAGCAAATTAACAAACCTGAGGAGGGGTTCATGGGAAGCCCTGATTTACAGCCAGTTGGTCAGAAGTACAGGTGGTCTGAGATTTGGGACTGGCGTCTGAAGTGGGGGCAGTCTTATGCAACTGAGCCCTTAAGCTGTGGGGTCCACACTAACTCTGGGTAGTTAGTGTCAGAATTGAATTGAATTGCTAGGTACCCAGCTGGTGTCGGGGAATTGGTTGATGTCAAAAAACATCCCAGACAGACCTACTTTTTGTTTTCGTTTGCTTTTCTGATTTCCTGAGCTGTGTCCAGGGACTGTCTTGCCTCCTGGTCTTCGTATAGCACATTCCTTCTGCATGGATCACCTGCCTACTCTCTTGGTCTGGCAAATTTCATCTTATCTTTCAGGTCTCAGGTTCAGTGCCACCTCCCAAGAAACATCCTTTACATCACTAGAATAGGTCAGAACCTACACCTCAGTAATCCCATAGCATCCTCGATTTCCCCATCCCAACATTCATCACACTTCACCATTGTTACTGATATAATCATCTGTATTCCCCAACAGTGAAGGCAGCTCTGTAAGCCATTGAGAGATGGACCATGTCTGTCCTGTTCTCCATTGTATCCAGCATCTGGCACAGTGCCTAGTAGGTCATAGGCACTCAGTAAGTATGTACTGAGTTCAGAATGAATGAATAAATGAATGTCGTAGGAATTCAGAAGAAACAAGAGATTAATATAGACTGAGGAAAGAGGTAGGCTAGGACTTGAATAACAAGTAGAGGAGCTTCCACTGTCACCTAATACATTAGGGACAAACCACGTCTTCCTACCTCCAACCCAGGAGGCAACTACAAAAACAGAAAGAGCATTGAACTACGAGACCGAAGAACAAGCTCCGGTCCTGCCTCTGTGCCTCAGTGTGTAACTTTGAACATATCATTCAACTTCTGAGCCTGAGTTTCCTCGTCTGTAAAATGAAGCCGCTATAGCCCACCTAGAGGGGTTTCTCTGAGGTTTGGTGAGGTCCTGAATGTAGTAGACCCCCGCACAAAGTAGACCTGACCAGATGTGTGTGGATTTATTTTCAGCCACATAGCCTCTGTCTCTAAGATTTCCCAAAGCACTGGCTGAAAGCCCACCTGAGAAAAGCCTGCATCTGTCAACCCAGCTTCCTGGACCTGAGCACACTCATTCTGCCCAGGCTGATGTGCCATCTTGCCCCTCTTCCCCAACACCAGCACACAGCACCCAAAGCCTTCCTCACACCCAAGAGAACCACGCTCTGAGGACTACCACCTGCAAGAGCCGAAGACTTGAAGGCATTTACCTCCCACAAGGGGGTAACATACTTTCCTCTATCAATTTCTGAGTAAAGAATATTTTCAGGGCCGGGCACAGTGGTTCACGCTTATAATCCCAGCACTTTGGGAGTCCAATGTGGGCAGATCACCTGAGGTCAGGAGTTTGAGACCAGCTTGGCCAACATGGTAAAACCCCACCTCTACTAAAAATACAAAAATTAGCCAGGTGTGGTGGTGGTCACCTGTAATCTCAGCTACTTGGGAGGCTGAGGCAGGAGAATCGCTTGAACCTGGGAGGTACAGGTTGCAGTGAGTCGAGATCATGCCACTGCACTCCAGCCTGGGCGACAGAGCGAGACTCTGTCTCAAAAAAAAAAAAAAGAAAAGAAAAAGAAAATTTTCAAAATGAAATTCTCCAGAATTTTTACTCTCCACTTTAATTCCTGGTGTCAGACAGCAGGACCCTCACGTTCCCCTGGCAACAGAGTTTATTAGGCACCCACAGTGCCAGGGCTGTGCTGGCACCCCAACTCCTCATGGAGATTACAAACTAGCTGGGGGGGGGGGTGTGGCAGGCCCCCAACAATGCCCATGCACTTATCCCTGAAACCTGTGAATTTATCTGTTACACGGCAAAAAGGGTCTTTGTGGATATAATTGAGGTTTTGAACCTTAAAATAGAGCCATGTCCTGCTTTGCTCAGGTGGGGTCAATCTGGGGTCAATCAGATCACATGAGCCCTTAAAAGCAGAGAACTTTGTGTAGCTGGAATCAGAGACTCAAGTCAGTGGGTGGGTGAGGTGGCTTACACCTACAATCCCAGCACTTTGGGAGGCCAAGGTAGGTGGATCACTTGAGGCCAGGAGTTCGAGACCAGCCTGCCCAACATGGCAAAACCCCGTCTCTACCAAAAATACAAAAATTAGCCAGGCGTAGTGGCACATGCCTGTAGTTTCAGCTACTCAGGAGGCTGAGTTGAGGCAGGAGAATCGCCTGAACCCAGGAGGCAGAGATTGCAGTGAGCTAATATAGTGCCACTGCACTCCAGCCTGGGTAACAGAGTGAGACTCCATCTCAACAAAAAAAAAAAAAAAAAAGAAGAAGAAGAAAAAGGAGGTGGAGGAGGAGGAAACCAGAGATTCAGAGCATGAGGGGTACTCAACTCACTATTGCTGGGATGGGTGGGGACATGAAAAATGTGAGAAAGAATGAAGGCAGCCTCTAGGAGTAAAGATACCCCCAGCTGACCACCAGGGAGGAAACAGGATCCTCAGTCCTACAACCACAAGAAACTGAGTTCTACCAACCCGAGTGAGCTTGGAAGTAGATTCTCCCCTAGAACCTCCAGATAAAAGCCTAGTCCTGCTGACACTTTGGTTTCAGCCTTATGAGACCCCTAAACAGAAAACCCAGCCTAGCTTCCCTAGGTACAGGTTGAACCTGGGAGGTACAGGTTGCAGTGAGTCGAGATCATGCCACTGCACTCCAGCCTGGGCGACAGAGCGAGACTCTGTCTCAAAAAAAAAAAAAAGAAAAGAAAAGAAAAAGAAAAAGAATATTTTCAAAATTAAATTCTCCAGAATTTTTACTCTCCACTTTAATTCCTGGTGTCAGACAGCAGGACCCCCAAGTTCCCCTGTCAACAGAGTTTATTGACCCATAGAGCTGCCCGAGATTGCGCCATTGCACATTGCACTCCAGCCTGGGCAACAAGAGCGAAACTCCAGCACAAAAAAAAAAAAAAAAAAAGTCAGAATGGAGGCATAGGAAGGGAAATAGAAAGGGGATGGCTTTGAGTCAGACACAGCTGGGTACTAACCCTTCCTCCAGCAGCTTGCACAGGTTTCTTTAGCTTTCTGAGATTTAGTTTCAAACCCAAAAAATAAAGAGATGATAAAAAGGACCTATATCACAAAGGGCTGTGAAGAAACAGAAGGCAGGTTATTTATTGATCATCACACCACATGAGGAAAAATACATTCCATACTATATTTTCCAATTCAAAAGCCCTGATTTTTCCCACTTTAACATCTTCGAATCATTCAACCATGCAGCAGTCCTGAGATACTTCTATTGCTTGCACTTGCAAAATCAGTGTTACTGGTTAGGAAGAAAATTCCAAAAGCAAAAATGAAGCATCCTATTAAGAAATGCTGGCCGGGCACAGTGGCTCAAGTCTGCAATCCCAGCACTTTGGGAGGTTGAAGTGAGCAGATCACTTGAGGTCAGGAGTTCAAGACCAGCCTGGCCAACATGGTGAAACCCCCATCTCCACTAAAAATACAAAAAAAAAAAATTAGCCAGGTGTAGTGGCACACGCCTATAATCCCAGCTACTCGGGAGGCTGAGGGGGGAGAATCGCTTGAACCTGGGAGGCAGAGGTTGCAGGAAGCCAAATCTCGCCACTGTGCTCCAGCCTGGGCAACAGAGCGAGATTCAGTCTTAAAAAAAAAAAAAAAACAAATGAAATGCTGCCTCTTCAACCTCTTGCTAACACTGAGTACAATCTTGTATCAAAAAACACAGACATCAATGATGCTGAGCCATGGTGATGCAGAAGAGCCAGAATCTAATTGTGGAGAAGTCTTAGGAGTGTCATAACCAATTTATTTTGCCTATATTTGTTTTTTATGTGCACACAAGAGAGACATAGGATAAAAGAAAATCTGTCTAAATAAGTCTAAAAGAGCCCTTCAATAAGTACAAAAACTTCTTAAAAATTTCAAGTGATAAAAAGATGCTGAGAAAATACAGGCATTATTTATTATGCCCAGCTGACTTCCAGGAAAATCAAGGTCTAGGGAATATTCACAGTGTGGCCAAGGCCTTACAGCAACAAACAGCTGAACTGAGAAAAATGAAGCAAATGGTCTCAGGCCTACCACAGAGGCCAGTTTGGTGTGGCTGGCATCTATCAGCTGTGTCCTAAATTCTTCACAAGGAGCCTGAGAAATGTGACCTTAGCCCACCAGAGGTATTACACTTCAGTTTTGTCCGCTGAGATTATGCGTTTGCACATACACACAACATTCAAAGCAGAGGAATTGGTTGAGAAATGTAAAAACACTAGGAAGAACAACATTCCGAGGAAAATAATAAAGCCACTTGCATTTGTCCCTCAAGGGCAAAGGTTGAGCAGATATGTTTGCAGGCCCTTATAAAAGATTGGGGTTTCCTAAGCCCAGGGTTCATTGGCTGGAATGCAAATTCACTGTATGCATAGCATCCACTGACTACTGTGGTATGAGTTATAAGGTTCTTTGTCTTTGACCCAGGATGCACAAGTTCAGAGTCTTTCTTTTTTTTTTCTTTACTTTTTATACCATCAATAGAGGCAGACAAAAAAATCTTGAGTCTTCTACTAGCATCAAATTGTGGCAGGCTAATTTGTATGCTTGCAAGTACAGTATTACCTCAGAACCTTCATGGTTCTTGTTAACTACGTGAAGTTTTCTTTTTGTTTGTTTATTTCTTTTTTTTTTTTTTTTCTGAGACAGAGTCTCACTCTGTCGCCCAGGCTGGAACGCAGTGGCACAATCTCGGCTCACTGCAACTTCCACCTCCTGGGTTCAAGTGATTCTCGTGTCTCAGCCTCCCAAGGAGCTGGGATTACAGGTGTGCACCACCACGCCCAGCTAGTTTTTGTATTTTTAGTAGAGATTGGGTTTCGCCATGTTGACCAGGCTAGTCTCAAAATCCTGACCTCAAGTGATCCGCCTGCCTCGGCCTCCCAAAGTGTGGAATTACAGGTGTGAGCCACTACACCTGGCCTATGTGAAGTTTGATACCATTATTTGGAGTTAGACTGTGATAATTTAAAGATGTATATGGTAAACTCTAGAGCAATCATTCAAAAGTAAAATATAGATAGAGCTAATAAGCCAAAAGTAGGGATAAAATGAAATCATTAAAGTATTTTATGAATTAAAAAGGAAGTCAAAAAAAAGGAAAAAGGGACAAAGAATAGTAGGGACAAATAGAAAACAAATAGCAAAATGGTGTATTTAAATACAACCATATTTATAGTTACATTAAATAAAAGTGGCCCAAACTCTCCAATTAAAAGGCAGAAATGTCAGATTGTATAAAAATCTACCTGAATAAGCTCTAAATATACTGCATAGGTAGGTTAAGAGTAAAAGAATAGAAAAAATATATATGAAGCAAACACTAATCATGAAAAAAGCTGAAATGGATGTATCGATTTGTGCACAGTGAACTTTAGGAGAAAGGATTATAAGCAGAAATAGTGATATTTTATGATGAGAAATGGGCCATTTCATCAAGAAGACATTACTAAACATGCATACACCAAGTAATAGAGCTTCAAAGTACATGAAAAAAGAACTGACAGACTGAAAGACAAAATAGACAAATCTACAATTTCAGCTGTAGATTTCAACACTTACCTCTTATTAATTGACAGAACAAGGAGATAGAAAACCAATAAGTATATAAAAGATTTAAACAATACTATTAAATAACTTAACCTAATATATAGTTATAAAACACTATACCCAGCACTGGCAGAATACATATCTTGTTCAAGGGTACATAGAACATTCACAAATGTAGACCATATTCTAAGCCATATACAATCTCGATAAACTTATAAGGAATGAAATTGTACAAAATATATTCTCTGAGCATGACAGAAATAAAGAGGAGGGCCAGGTGTGGTGGCTCATGCCTGTAATCCCAGCACTTTGGGAGGCCAAGCCGGGCGGATCACAAGGTCAAGAGTTTGAGACCAGCCTGGCCAACATGGTGAAACCCCATCTCTACTAAGAATACAAAAATTATCTGGGTGTGGTGGTGCATGCCCATAATCCCAGCTACTCGGGAGGCTGAGGTAGGAGAATTACGTGAACCCAGGAGGCAGAGGTTGCAGTGAGCCGAGATCATGCCACTGCACTCACCCTGGGCGACAGAGCAAAACTCTGTCTTGGAAAAATAATTAATTAATTAATTTATTTATTTATTTATTAAAGAGGAAAAAGAAAAATATCTAGATAATCCCTAAATATTGAGAAATTAAACAGTATACTTCCATGTAACCCAAGAGTTAAAAAAGAAATTGCACTGATGGCTGGGCGCGGTGGCTCACACCTGTAATCCCAGCACTTTGGGAGGCCGAGATAGGTGGATCACCTGAGGTCAGGAGTTCGAGGCCAGCCTGATCAACATAGGGAAACCCCGACTCTACTAAAAACACAATAATTAGCCGGTGTGGTGGTACATGCCTGTAATCCCAGCTACTCAGGAGACTGAGGCAGGAGAATCACTTGAATCCGGGAGGTGGAGGTTGCAGTGAGCCAACATGGCGTCACTGTACTCCAGGCTGGATGACAGACTGAGACTCCATCAAAAAAAAAAAAAAAAAGAAAGAAAGAAAGAGAGAGAAAGAAAGAAAGAAAGAAAAGAAAGAAAGAAAGAAATTGCACTGAAAAACCGAAAAATAGAAAATATTTATTACTGAATGAAAATAAAAACACAATAAGCAAAAGTTTATAAGACACATCTAAAACGGTGCTAATAAATTAGATTAATGTATAGCTTTAATTGGTTACAGTGGATAAGAAGTGCCTAAAAGCAGCGTTCTAAGCCTCTATATTAAGAAGCTAGAAAAAAAGAGCAAAATACACCCAAAGTAAATGGGAAGGAAATCATAAAGAGTAGAATTAATGAAATAGAAAATGGACAAAGAGGGCAGGTGCAGTGGCTCTTGCCTGTAATCCTAGCGCTTTGAGAGGCCAAGGTAGGCAGATTGCTTGAGCCCAGGAGTTTGAGACCAGCCTGGGCAACATGGCGAATCCCCTGCCTCTACAAAGAATACAAAAATTAGCCAGTCATGGTGGTGCATACCTGTAATCCCAGCTACCTGGGAGGCTGAGGTGGGAGGATGGCTTGAGCCCAGGAGAGACTGGTGCTACTGCACTTTCAGCCTGGGTAATGACAGACCCTGTATCCAAAAAAAAAAAAAGAATGGAGAATATTAATCAATTTGGTACAAAACTTGATTTTGATGTTTTTTTGTTTTTTTGTTTTTTTTGAGAGGGAGTCTCCCTCTGTTGCCCAGACTGGAGTGCAGTGGCGCGATCTCGGCTCCCTGCAAGCTCTGCCTTCTGGGTTGACGCCATTCTCCTGCCTCAGCCTCCCTAGTAGCTGAGACTACAGGCGCCTGCCACCACGCCTGGAACAACATTTTTTTTTTTTTTTTGTATTTTTAGTAGAGACGGAGTTTCACTGTGTTAGCCAGGATGGTCTCGATCTCCTGACCTCGTGATCCACCTGCCTCGGCCTCCCAAAGTGTTGGGATTACAGGCGTGAGCCACTGAGCCCAACTTTTTTTTTTTTTTTGAGACAGGGTCTTGTTTGTTTTTTTTTTTTTTTTTTTGCTTTGCTGCCCAGACTGGAGTGCAGTGGCGTGATCATGGCTCACTGCAGCCTCAAACTCCCTGGTTCAAGTGATTCTCCCACCTCAGCCCCTCTATCCCCTCAGTAGCTGGGAATACAAGCATGTGCCACCCACCTGGCTAAGTGTTTTTTGTTGTTATAGAAACAGGGTCTCACTTATGTTGCCCAGGCTGGTCTTGAACTCCTGGCCTGGAAGTGACCCTGCCACCTCAGCCTCCCAAAGTGCTAGGATTACAGGCATGAGCCATTGTGCCCAGCTAAAACTGGATTTTTTTTTTTTTTTTTTTTTTTTTTTTTTTTTTTTGAGACAGAGTCTTGCTCTGTCGCCCAGGCTGGAGTGCAGTGGCGTGATCTCGGCTCACTGCAACCTCTACCTCCTAGGTTCAAGCGATTCTCCTGCCTCAGTCTCCTGAGTAACTGGGGTTACAGGCATGTGCCACCACACCCAGCTAATTTTTGTATTTTTAGTAGAAATGGGGTTCCCCCATGTTGGCCAGGCTGGTCTCAAACTCCTGACCTCAGGTGATCCGCCCGGCTTGGCCTCCCAAAGTGCTGGGATTACAGGCATGAGCCACCACCCCTGGCCTTAAAATTGGACCTTTGAAAAGATGAATAAAATTGATAAACTAGCTCAACTGACCAAGAAAAAAAGACTCAAATTAACAATGAAAGGGAAATTAAAAAGGGGACATTACCACAGATACTTCAGCTGTGAGAAGGATAATAAGGGACTATTATAAACAACTTATGCCCACATATTCTAAAACTTAGATGAAATGGGCAAATTCCTTGAAAGACACAGAGTACAAGTCTTACTGTAAAAGAAATAAAAACAGTCCCATATTTACTTGAAACATTAAATTTTTAATTTAAAATCTTTCCTCAAAGAGCACACCAGAACATTTGGCTTCACTGGTGAATTCTAGAAAACATTTAAGAAAAAAAAATCTGTAAACTTTCTTTAAGTTGGGGAAAAAGTAACACTTCTTAAGACATTTTCTAAGTCTAGTATACCCTGATACTTAAACTAAACAAAGGCATTACAAGAAAATAAAATTACATACTAATATACTTCATGGACATAGATGAAAAAAAATTCTAGACAAAATTTTAACAAATTGAATTCAGTGATATATAAAAAGGATAATACATCATGATCAAGTGGGCTTTATTCCAGGAATTCAAGGGTAATTTGATAAAACAGATGATAAAACCCATATAAGCATCTCAATAGATATAGAAAAATCATGTAAGGCTGGGCGTCGTGGCTCACGCCTGTAATCCCAGCACTTTGGAAGGCCGAGGCAGTTGGATCACTTGAGGTCAGGAGTTTGAGACCAGCCTGGCCAACATGGCGAAACCCCATCTCTACTAAAAGTACCAAAAAAAAAAAAAAATTAGCTGGTTGTGGTGGTGCACGCCTGTAATCCCAGCTACTCAGGAGGCTGATGCAGGAGAATCACACGAACCTGGGAGGCGGAAGCTGCAGTGAACCGAGATTGCGCCACTGTACTCTAGCCTGGGCGGGTGACAGAATGAGGATCTGTCTAAAAACAAACAAACAACAACAACAAAAAAACAAGCCGGGTGCCGTGGCTCACGCCTGTAATCCCACCACTTTGAGAGGCCAAGGTGGGCAAATCACGAGGTCAGGACTTCAAGACCACCCTGGCCAACACGGTGAAACCCGTCTCTACTAAAAATACAAAAAATTAGCTGGGCATGGTGGCAGGTGCCTGTAATCCCAGCTATTTTGGGAGGCTGAGGCAGGAGAATTGCTTGAACCTGGGAGGTATAAGTTGCAGTTAGCCGAGATCACGCCACTGCATTCCAGCCTGGGCGACAGAGCAAGACTGTGTCTCAAAAAAAAAAACCAAAAAAACCAGAAATATTATGTGACACAACTCAACACTCAGCCAGGCCAGGTGGCTCATAACTGTAATCCCAGCACTTCAGGCAGGAGGATTGCCTGAGCTCAGGAGTTTGTGACCAGCCTGGGCAATAAAGGGAGGCCTCATCTCTACTGAAAAAATAAATCAGCCAGGTGTGGTTGTGTGCACTGTAGTCTCACCTATTCAAGAGGCTGAGGTGGGAGGATTGCATAAGCCCCAGAGATCAAGGCTGCAGTGAGCTGTGAAGGCACCACTGTACTCCAACCCGAGTGACAGAGCAAGACCCTGTCTCAAACAAGCAAGCAAAAAACCCCCCAAAAATATATATTAACAATTCAACCTCATTCACATTTAAAACTCTTATCACACTAGGAGTAGAAGGGAACTTCCTCACCCGGATAAAAGGCACCTAAAAAGTAATTACACCTCTCATCATACCTAATGGTGAAAGGTGAATACTTTCTTCTAAGATTGGGAACAAGGGTAAAGATAGCCATTCTCACAACTTCTATTCAGAATTGTACTGGAGGTCCTAGCCTGTGTAATAAATCAAGAAAAAGAAATAAAAGGTAAGTAGATTGAAAAAGAAGAAGGGGAAGTATCTGTCGCCGTGGCTACGGGCCTGGGATTCCCAGCCATGGCTGTTTCCTCTGGGGAGCAGGGTAAAGGCCAGAGAGTACAGCCTCCGTGGTCCGTTCCTACTGAGCCCAGCCAAGCCATGTAAGCTTCACCTTTGCAACAGCCTCACTGGGAGCAAGGACACATTTGTACCTATAGGTGGGAGAAAGGTGACATGGTCCAGGCCGACCATCTAAGGTGCATGTCACACAGGGCACGCCAGGTCCTACATCTCTTTCATTATCTTGAGAAGAGTGTTGAAGGATGACTTCAAATGTGATGTCCTTTATTGCATGAATATTAGGGACATTGGTGATAAGAACTACTTGTTGAGGAGTATAGGGAGAAGAAGTCCCAGGTGGCACAGCTGCTAGGGAATGTTCACACTGCCCTGAAGCCATTTTCAGTAAAATTCAATGAGACCACAGATCCTGATAAAAAGCAGATGCTGTAATGAATTCAGCACACAGTGAAGCTTGCCACAGAACCGCCTGAGAAAGCTGTGTAGTGCAGACTTGCTGGAGAGGAAGTCAACAGCTGTGTGCAAGGATTGTTGGAAGAGGCCAAGGATTTGCTTTCTGAGTTGCTGGATTCCACATTCTGGAGTCAGGTGACTGACAATTTCATTTTCTCCAAACTGCCCAAGTTCTGGGATGGGGAGTTCCACAAATACATGGACACTCTGAACGTCCTCTCTCTGGATGTTTTAACCAGAGTTAGTGCGTATGTGCCAGAAATTGTGAATTTTGGCCGGGCGCGGTGGCTCACGCCTGTAATCCCAGGACTTTGGGAGGCTGAGACGGGCAGATCACGAGGTCAGGAGATTGAGACCATCCTGGCTAACACAGTGAAACCCCGTCTCTACTAAAAATACAAAAAATTAGCCGGGCGTGGTGGTGTGCGCCTGTAGTCTCAGCTACTCGGGAGGCTGAGGCAGGAGAATGGCGTGAACCCAGGACGCGGAGCCTACAGTGAGCTGAGATCGCACCATTGCACTTCAGCCTGGGCAACAAAGCGAGACTCCATCTCAAACAAAAAAAAAAAAAAAAGAAAGAAACTGTGAATTTTTTCCATAAGATTGTGGACAATGGTTGCAGCTATGCTTCCAATGGGTCCACTTTGATATAGCAAAGTTTGCTTCTAGTGAGAAACACTGCTATGGGAAGCTGGTGCCCAAAGCTGTTAGGGATCAGAAAGCTCTTCAGGAAAAGGACAGTTAAAAAAAGAAATGAATGAATAAAAGAACAAAAAAGATAAGCTGTGCACTCTCCTAATCGTATACAATCTGGATTGTGTTTACCCTTCATGGTTATGGTGGAATGTGCTGAATCCACCACTCAGTCACAGGAAAGTGCTTTTTCACCTAAATAAATTTTAGGGGTTGGGCATGGTGGTTCACACCTGTAATCCCAGCACCTTGGGAGGCCAAGGCAGGCAGACCACATGAAGCCAGGAGTTCGAGACCAGCCTGGCCAACATGGCAAAACCCCATCTCTACTAAAAATACAAAAATTAGCTGGGCGTGGTGCCACGTGCCTGTAATCCCAGCTCCTCAGGGGGCTGAGGCCCGAGAATCACTCAAACCCAGGAGGTTGCAGTGAGCTAAGTTTGTACCACTGCACTCTAGACTGGGCAACAGAGCGAGACCCTGTCTTAAAAAGAAAATAAAAGAATTTCTAGGAGTTTTCTATACTAAGACCATGAAATGAGTTTTTTTTTTAATCGATGCATGGTAATTGTACTTATTTTGGGGTGTATACAATATGTAGTAATCAAGTTACAGCGGTTGGATATCCATCACTTCAAATATTTGTCATTTCTTTGTGTTTTGAGTTTTTATTTTTTTTAGAGGCAGGGTCTCATTCAGTCACCCTGGCTGGAGTGCAGTGGTGGGATCTTAGCTCGCTACAGACTCAAACTCCTGGGCACAAGCAATCCTCCCACCTCAACCTTCTGAGTAGCTGGGACTACAGGCTCATGCCACCACGCCTGGCTAATTTTTAAATTTTTTTCTAGAGACAGCGCCTCACTATGTTGCCCAGGCTGGTCTCAAAGTCCTGGCCTCAAGGGATCCCCTTGCCTCAGCCTCCCAAAGTGCTGGGATTATAGGTGTGAGCCACCACACCCAGCCTCTTTAGGCAATTCTGAAGTATGAAACAATTTGTTGATGGCTGTGGTTACCCTTCTCTGTGTTAGAAAAAAAAAGAAAGGAAAAAGGAAAGAAAAAGAAGCAATGCTGTCTTATTTGCAGATAATAGTAAACATAGGAAGAAAATCTAAGTGAATGTATTAAAAAGCTACTAGAGTTACTGAGTTTAGCAAAATTACAGAATACAAGGTCAATATATAGAGATATCATTTGTTCTTCCTCCCCTCCCCTCCCCTCTCCTCCTCTCCCCTCTCCTCCTCTCCCCTCCCCTCTCCTCCTCTCCCCTCTCCTCTCCTCCCCTCCCCTCTCCTCTCCTCCCCTCCCCTCTCCTCCCCTCTTTTTCTTTGTCTTTTTCTTTTTCTTTGAGACACCCCTCCCCTCTTTTTCTTTTTCTTTTTCTTTGAGAAGCCCCTCCCCACTTTTTCTTTATCTTTTTCTTTTTCTTTGAGACAGAGTCTCACTGTCGCCCAGGCTGGAGTGCAATGCCAAGATCTCAGCTCACTGCAACCTCCGACTTTCGGGTTCAAGCAATTCTCCTGCCTCAGCCTCCCCAGTAGCTGGGATTATAGGTGCACACCACCATGCCCAGCTAATTTTTGTATTTTTAGTAGAGATGGGGTTTCACCATGTTGGCCAGGCTAGTCTGGAACCACTGGGCTCAAGTGATCCACCCACCTCGGGCCTCCCAAAGTGCTGAGATTATAGGCGTGTGCCACCACACCCAGCCAGTACTTTTTAAAATGCCGCAAATAATTAGAAAAAGAAATTAAGAATCAATACTGGCCAGGCCCGTTGGCTCACGCCTGTAATCCCAGCACTTTGGGAGGCCGAGGTGGATCGCCTGAGGTCAGGAGTTCGAGACCAGCCATGGTCAACATGGTGAAACTCCGTCTCTACTAAAAATACAAAAAATTAGCCAGACGTGGTGGTGGGCGCCTGTAATCCCAGCTACTTGGGAGGCTGAGGCAGGGGAACCACTTGAACCCGAGAGGCAGAGGTTGCAGTGAGCCGAGATCGCGCCATTGCACTCCAGCCTGGGGCAGAGGTTGCAGTGAGCTGAGATCGCGCCGTTGCACTCCAGCCTGGGCAACAAGAGCAAAACTGCATCTCGAAAAAAAGAAAAAAAAAAAAAAAAGAATGTGACTGAGCAGTTACTTTAATGCACTGCTGGTGGGAGTATAAATTGGTACAATCACTTACAAAATAATTAGTCGTTTTCATGTAAAGGCCAACATTTCCAAACTCTAGGCAGTGGTTCTTGTACTTTGGTGTGATTCAGAATCGCCTATGAAAATTGGTTAAAAACAGAAATAGGCCCAGGTTCTGGGCCACTTCAGTGAGCTCTTTGTATTCCCTATTGGCCTTCCAGGAGATTCTGATAGACAGAAAAGTTTTGTGGGGTTTTTTTGTTTGTTTTTTTTTGAGATGGAGCCTCACTCTGTCGCCCAGGCTAGTGGTCCACCCGCCTCAGCCTCCCAAAGTGCTGGGATTACAGCCGTGAGCCACCGCGCCTAGGCGTCAAAGTTTGAGAACTGCCATTGTAGACCCATTCCTCATTGTATGAACTGCCAAAACTCTTGCACATATGCACCAGGAAGCATGTACAAGATTGTTCATTGAAGCAATGTTTCTAATTTTAAAAAACACGGAAGCAACTTAAATGTTCATCGACCAGAGAATAGATAAATTACAGCATATTATACAGCAGTGAAAATAAATAATGTACAGCTACATGCAACTTCTTGGAAGAATCATAATGTTGAAGGGTAAAAGAGTGCAGGATAGAATTTTTTTTTTTTTTGGAGACGGAGTCTCTCTCTGTCGTCCAGACTGGAGTGCAGTGGCGCCATCTCGGCTCACTGCCACCTCTGCCTCCCGGGTTCAAACAATTCCAGGATAGAATTTTTATAGAGCTCAAAACCAAGCAACATTAAACAACATACCATTTAGCATACATATAAGAACTATGTATTTTAAAAACAAAGAAAAAACTCAAATATTTAGGATAGTTAGAGGGGGGTAGGAGAAAGGAACAGAAGGGGATCTCAAAGGGAAATAGTTCTTGGTAATGCTCTAAATGTTGACCTGGGTTATAGTTCACTGTGCTACTTATTCTTTATAAATAATATATGAGTTATCTGGCCGGGCATGGTGGCTCACACCTGTAATGCCAGCACTTTGGGAGGCCGAGGCAGGCAGATCACGAGGTCATAAGATCGAGACCATCTTGGCTAACACAGTGAAATCCCATCTCTACTAAAAATACAAAAAATTAGCCAGGCGTGGTGGCGGGCGCCTGTAGTCCCAGCTACTCGGGAAGCTGAGGCAGGAGAATGGCATGAACCCGGGAGGCAGAGCTTGCAGTGAGCAGAGATTGCGCCACTGCACTCCAGCCTGGGGAACAGAGCGAGACTCCATCTCAAAAAAATTAAAAATAAAAAAATAAATAAATAAATATAAGAAAATAAAAATAATAAATAAAAGTTATCTATAACATACACTATTAAAATTAAATAAGAAAAAAATGCATGAACCATAAGAATAGTGTTATCTGGGAGGAAAGTGTGAGTGATTGTGATTGTGAATTATAAAGAGGCTTCAATTGTATTGGTCAGGCTTTATTTCTTAAGCTGGCTGGTAGATGCACAGGTATTCTCTAATCTGTGTTTTATGCATTTTCTAAATATAGGCTTGGGGAAGCAGGAGAGAGAAAGAGAGAGATGATATATCACTAAAGAACAGGATGGAAGGCTGATTGCCCTTCAACAGGACTAAGCTGAAAACATTTTGTTGGGGTAAAAAGCTGCTTTGCGGTAGTTTTGGGGTTTTTTCCTCTTTTTTTGTTTTTTTTTTTTTTGAGACGGAGTCTTGCTCTGTTGCCCAGGCTGGAGTGCAGTGGTGCAATCTTGGCTCACTGCAACCTCCACCTCCCAGGTTCAAGAGATTCTCCTGCCTCAGCCTCCTGAGTAGCTGGGATTACAAGGGCCCACCACTACGCCCGGCTAATTTTTGTATTTTTAGTAGAGACGGGTTTCACCATGTTGGCCAGGCTGGTCTCAAACTCCTGACCTCAAATGATCCACCCGCCTCAGCCTCCCAAAGTGCTGGGATTACAGGAGTGAGCCACCGCGCCCGGCTGCAGTAGTCTTAATGATTCATTCTCGTGGCCCCATCAAGAGGCTATCAGAGGTGAAACAACAGAGGAAGCAATAATCAGGGACTAAAGCCACAAGATGACTTCCAAATAACCTGTTGGTGACAAGGACAAAACTGAGTAGGGAAACTGTAGGTTCCCGAGACCGATGAGAAGCTGGACTCCAGGAAGTGATGTTACTGGGAAATTACATATTTATGTAAAGACGCAATCCAGGAAGTAGTGTTTTCGTTCCTGTTTGTAGCAGGGGAGGCAGACATCCTTGATGAGAACCTGCACGGGGAGCTTCCTGAGCAAAGGCGTTGCGGAGCTTTGCAGCAGTATGCCAGGGCTGTGGAGAAAGGAGAAAGGAGAAAGAAGACAGGGCAGGATGTCCCACCCGCTGGGGAGGTGGCAAGCCCTGAGGAGTGCCCAATGAGACGCCCCAACTACAAGTATCTTCTTGAGATGACACAAAACCAGAATACAGGCTTCTTCCAAGATCCATGTTTGCCCCTCTTTCATTGTGAGAGAAGAGCAGCTGAAAAGAATAGATGTTTTCGGCCACGTGGGTGGCTCACACCTGTAATCCCAGCACATTGGGAGACCGAGGCCAGCAGATTGCTTGAGCTCAGCCAGTTCAAGACCAGCCTGGGCAACATGGTGAGATCCCATCTCAAAAAAGAAAAATATTTATATTAAAAGAAAGCAGAAATTTTTTTTAAAAGAATAAATGTTTAGAATAGTTCTATAAAGCAGAAGAAAATCAAGACAATGTTGGCCAGGTGCAGTGGCTCATACCTGTAATCTCAGCATTTTGGGAGGTCAAGGCAGGAGGATTGCTTGAGGCCAGGAGTTTGAGACTACCCTGGGCACCATAGCAAGACCCTGTCTCTACAAAAATAAAAATACAGTGTTTTGGTTTAGGAAAATAAAGAAAAGGAGAGGAAAAAGGAAAAGAAGCACAACCACCAAGCACCAGTAGTAAATATCTACCAGCAAGGATGAGCACTGCCAGAAAAGGGCTGAAAGAAGATGATAAATTCAATCACTTTTTGCTGTAAAGCCCTGGATATAGCTTAAAACTTAGGGACTCCAACGATGGCCAGAGACTGCAGATTCCTTTGGCTTCTGGACAAATTGAGTTAGGCTCAGGAACCATATCAGCTCAGGAAACCCCTCCCAGACACCAGTAAGACATCTGGGAAAAGTAATAAATGGGAAGGTGAGTAATAGGATGATAAAACAGGGTCCCCAAGACACAACAAACATCACATTTTAAGATAAACGAGAAAGAAGGCAGAACCAAGAATCTTTTTCCTAAGAAAGATTTCCAAATGGCTCATACTCCAGAAAACTCAGCAAAAGAATGGGAGCAATAATATGCTAAGGTGAAGGAGGAAGGCAGGCTGAATACCTCAGAAATTAGGGAAAGGATGATAAAAAGGAAAAGAAGCTTGGAAAATTAGGATTCCTCAGATAGAAACTTTATCCAGAGTTTGAAACTAGAAGGTGCAACAACTTTGTCCTTAGAGGGTCAGGTGTACTGAAATAGACACTTCCTGCTGACAACTTCAGCAGCACAGAAATTCTTTATTGGAAGATGAAGCTTTATCCTCTCTCTTCTCAGTTTTCCTGGTAGGAAACTGATTCCTTGAAAATTCCCTTTATATGATTTCAAACGACTTTCTCCAAAGATCAATCCTTCATTTTTCAGTGATTCTCCTCCTTTCTTGAGAACAGTCTCTCTTCCCCAGAAGCAATGGAGTTCTTTGGGTGGGATTCTTCTCATCAGGCCCATCCTTTTCAAACATCCTTTTTTTTGTTGTTTTTTTTTTTTCTTTTTGAGATGGAGTCTCTCTCTGTAACCTGGGCTGGAGTGCAGTGGTGCGATCTCTGCTCACTGCAACCTCTGCCTCCCAGGTTCAAGTGATTCTCCAGCCTCAGCCTCCCAGGTAGCTGGGACTACAGGTGGCGCACCACCATGCCTGGCTAATTTTGTATTTTTAGTAGAGATGGGGTTTCATCATGTTGGTCAGGCTGGTCTTGAACTCCTGACCTCTGGTTGCCGTCTGCCTCGGCCTCCCAAAGTGCTGGGATTACAGGTGTGAGCCACCGTGCCTGGCCCAAACATTCTTGATCCATGATTTCTTTAGTTTGAAGTGGCCTTGCAAGTTAAAACTTGAGCTTAGTGTACCTGCCAAAATTTCAAAGATGTATACTCTTTGACCCAGCAGTGACAATTCTGGGAATTTATCTTGCAGATACACCAGCAGACTTGCAAAATGACATGTCTACAAAGTTATTCGTTGTGGTATTGTTTGTAACAGCAACAGACTGGAAACTAACAGGATACTGGTTAAATAATTTATGGCTCATCCACACAATGGATTACTATATAGCCATTTTTTTTAAAAAAAAAAAAAAAAAGGAAAAGCTCTCTTTGTACCAATACAGAGCAATATCCAAGATATATTTTTTTTTTTTTTTTTTTTTTTTTTTTTTTTGAGACGGAGTCTCGCTCTGTTGCCCAGGCCGGACTGCGGACTGCAGTGGCGCAATCTCGGCTCACTGCAAGCTCCGCTTCCCGGGTTCACGCCATTCTCCTGCCTCAGCCTCCCGAGTAGCTGGGACTACAGGCGCCCGCCACCGCGCCCGGCTAATTTTTTGTATTTTTAGTAGAGACGGGGTTTCACCTTGTTAGCCAGGATGGTCTCGATCTCCTGACCTCATGATCCACCCGCCTCGGCCTCCCAAAGTGCTGGGATTACAGGCGTGAGCCACCGCGCCCGGCCCAAGATATATTTTTAAGTAAATATAAGAGTGGAGTAGCTAATACTTATATCCCATATTTCATCAATTCTAAGATGTGCATTTTTTTTTTACTTTGTAACATACTTGAAACGAGGATGTGTTATAGTCAAAGGCAGGTCATAATTTAATTGTAATGGTTTTTCTTTCTTAGTGCATAAAATAATGATGTGTCTTATAATCCATGGCATCTTGGATCTGATGAAATACAATAGTGCTTACAGTGTGCAAGGCACTGTCCTTTTATATACATATATATATATATATATATATATATATATATATATATATATACACACATATGATCAGTTCAATCCCATGACAACTCTATGAAGGTAAGTACTATTATTATTATTATCACTATTTGAGACAGAGTTTCGCTCTTGTTGCCCAGGCTGGAGTGCAATGGCATGATCCCGGCTCACCGCAACCTCTGCCTCCAAGGTTCAAGCGTTTCTCCTGCCTCAGCTTCCTGAGTAGTGGAGATTACAGGCATATGCCACCATGCCCAACAAATTTTTGTATTTTTAGTAGAGACAGGGATTCACCATGTTGGCCAGGCTGATCTCAAACTCCTGACCTCAGGTGATCCACCTGCCTCAGTGCTAGGATTACAGGTGTGAGCCACCGTGCCCAGCCAGGTAAGTACTATTATAATCTACATTTTACAGGTAAGAAAATGAATTTGGCCTTGGGCAGTCTTGCTCCAGAGCCCACGCTCTTAGATTCATGAAACCACACCTCCCTATGATAACAGTAACACAGACAGAAGGATCCCCATGTGCCAGGCCCTGTCATAAATGCTTCATACATATATTAGCTCATTTAATCCTCAAATAGCCATATGAGAGAGATGCTATTATTATTCTCACAATACGGATGAAGAAATTGAGACACTGAGAGGTTACGAAACTTGCGTAAAGATACACAGCTAGTGAGTGGAAGATCTGCAGTTTTGACATTGTCAGTCTGGCTTCAGAGTTCACCTTCTAAATGTTCTTTATGCTACTTTTTGTGTGGAAAAAAAAGTGGGGGGGAAGAGAAGTTATAATAATATATTTATATTTGTAAAAGGATCTTGGAATAAAAAGAAAGTGATGCAGGTGTGTCACTTGTACGGAAAGGTAGGGGTGGGAACAGAGGAATTGGGGGATGGGGTGGGAATGAAATGTTTTGTTATACACCTTTTTAATATTATCTGGGTTTTGAGCCATGTGAATGTATTACCTATTTAAAACAAAAGGGAACAAGAATTTTAACTTTGTGGCCGGGCGCGTTGGCTCATGCCTGTAATCCCAGCACTTTGGGAGGCCGAGGCGGGCGGCTCACAAGGTCAGGAGATCAAGACCATCCTGGCTAATGTGGTGAAACCCTGTCTCTACTAAAAATACAAAAAATTAGCCAGGCGTGGTGGCGGGCACCTGTAGTCCCAGCTGCTGGGGAAGCTGAGGCAGGAGAATGGCGTGAACCCGGGAGGCGGAGCTTACAGTAAGCCGAGATCGCGCCACTGCACTCCAGCCTGGGTGACAGACTGAGACTCCATCCCCACCACCCCCTCCCCAAAAAAAAGAATTTTAACTTTGCTTCAAATTAATATACCAATGATATGAGAGAAGTGGTCCTAGATATTCAGCTGATGAGGTTTCTGTACCCATTTGTTCTTTCAATATTTTGATATTTACCTTTTAAGCCTTAGAAGTATTTTATTTTATCGTTTTAAAGTAGCAAGGGGTAAGAGATAAAAAATTTTCATTAATCCTGATCACAAATGCCATGATTTCAAGGCTTAAATCCCATTATAGTACCTCATATATAAATCTGCCAGATGAGGCTGACAGAAAGATGACAACAAATTTAAGAATAAAACCATAAAAAGTTTATTCTTTGAACACAATGGAATCCAACTAGATATTGATAAAAAAAGAGAGTAAAAATTTCAAACAATTATAAACAAAACAATACATTATTAATCCCTGAGTAAAAAAAAGTCTCAAGAGAAATAAAAAAAAATACATAGAGCTGAATGAAAATGAAAATAAAGCATAGGAAAAATTGTGGCCCAGCGTGGTGGCTCACACCTGTAATCCCAGCACTTTGGGAGGTCGGGGCAGGCATATTGCTTGAGTCCAGGAGTTCAAGACCAGCCTGGGCAACACAATGAAACCCTGTCTTGACTAAAAATACAAAAATTAGCCAGGTGTGGTGGCATGTGCCTGTAGTCCCAGCTACCTGGGAGGCTAAGGCGGGAGGATTGCTTGAGCCCAGGAAGTGAGGCTGCAGTGAGCCGAGCTCACACCACTGCACTCCAGCCTGGGTGACAAACTGAGACCCTGTCTGAAAGAAAGAAAGAGAAAGAAAGAAAGAAAGAAAGAGAGAGAGAGAGAGAGAGAAAGAAGGCGAAGGAAAGAAAGCAAAAGAAAGAAAGCAAGAAAGGAAGGAAGGAAGGAAGGAGAGAGAGAGAGAAAGAAAGAGAAAGGAAAAGAAAAGAAAAGAGAGAGAAAGAAAAGGAAAGAAAGAAAGAGGGATGGAGGGAAGGAAGGAAAGAAAGAAAGAGAAAGAGAAAGAAAGAGAGAGAGAAAGAAGGCGAAGGAAAGAAAGCAAAAGAAAGAAAGCAAGAAAGGAAGGAAGGAAGGAAAGAAGGAAGGAAGGAGAGAGAGAGAGAAAGAAAGAGAAAGGAAAAGAAAAGAAAAGAGAGAGAAAGAAAAGGAAAGAAAGAAAGAGGGATGGAGGGAAGGAAGGAAAGAAAGAAAGAGAAAGAAAGAAAGAAAGAAAAAGGAAAAGAAAAGAAAGAGGGAGAAAGAAAAGGAAGGAAAGAAAGGAGGGAGGGAGGGAAGGAAGGAAGGAAAGAAAAAGAAAGAAAATTTGTGGAAGACAAAGTAGTGCTGAGAGGAAAATTTTAGCACTAAATACATACACTAGAAAAGAGGGTGAGAGCCCATCTCTATAAGAAAGAAAAATACATAAATATTCCAAAAAAAAAAAAAAAAAAGGCCAGCTATGGTGCCTCACACCTGTGATCTCAGCACTTTGAGGCCAAGGCAGGAGGATTGCCTGAGCCCAGGAGTCTGAGACCAGCCTGGGCAACATGGTGAGACACACCCCCGCCCGCCCCCCACATCTCTAAAAAAAAGAAAATAAATAAATATTAAAGAAAAGAGGGAAAGCCCCAAACCAACAGTCTAAGCTCTCACCTCAAGAACCCAGAAAAAGAGCAAAATACACTCAAAGCAAGAAGGAAGGAAATAATAAAGACAAGAGGAGAAATAAATAAAATTAAAAACAGAAAATATAGGTAAATTGATGAAACAAAGAATTAGTTCTTTGAAAAGATCAATAAAGTTGACAAAACTCTAGCAAGATGTACAGAAAAAAATGAGAGAAGACATTAATTATAAATTACCAATATCAGGAATGGAATTGGGGATATTGCCACAGACCCTGCAGAGATCAAAAGGAAAATAAAGGAATACTATGAACAACTCTACACACATAAATTTGACAAACTAGATGAAAAAGATCAATTTCTCAAAAAACACAAATTGCCACAACTCACCTAATATGAAATAACTTGATTAGACCTTTATCTATTAAGGAAATTGGATTCATAACTTAACTCACAAGAAAGAAATCTTCAGGCCCAGATGGTTTTACTGGAGAATTCTACCAAATATTTAAAGAACTAACACCAATTCTAAACAAAGTCTTTCATAAAACAAAAGTGAGAATAGTTCCCAATTTATTTTATGAATCTAGTATTACCCTGATACCAAAATCAGATTAAAAATAATACAACAAAGAGAATGACAAACCAATATTCACTATGAATATAGATGCAAAAATCCTTAACAAAATATTAGCAAATAAATTCAGCACTATATAAAAAGAATCAGGCCGGGCACAGTGACTCAAGCCTGTAATCCCAGCACTTTGGGAGCCCGAGGCGGGCAGATCACCTAAGGTCAGGAGTTCGAGACCAACCTGTTCAACATGCTGAAACCTTGTCTCTACTAAAAATACAAAAATTGGCCAGGCATGGTGGCGGATGCCTGTAATCCCAGCTACTTGGGAGGCTGAGGCAGGAGAATCGCTTGAACCTGGGAAGTGGAGGTTGCAGTGAGCAGAGATCATGCCACTGCATTCTAGCCTGAGTGACAGAACAAGACTCTGTCTCAAAAAAAAAAAAGAAAGAAAAAAAAAATAAAAATTAAAAATAAAAAGAATCCTACATCGTAAAAAAGTCGGATTTATTTCCAGGATGCAAGACCAGTTCAACACTTAAGAATCAATTCAATACCCATTCCTGATAAAGACTCTTAGAAAAATAGGAAAATAGGAGTACCAAAAACCTACAGCTAACATTATACTCACTGAAGAAAGACTGAATGCTTGCCCCCAAATTTTAGGAACAAAGCAAGGATGTTTGCTTTCACCACTCTTATTCAAGATAGTACAGGAAATTCCAGACGGAGTGTTAAGTCAAGGAAAGGAAATTAAAGACATAAAGATTAGGAGAAAGAAATAAAACAGCCCCTAACTGCAGATGATATGATTGTGTATATGGAAAACTCCAAGGAATCTACCAAAACTTTTAGAATAAGTGAGTTTAGCAAAGTCGCGTGATACCAGATCAAGATAGAATAGTCAATTGTAATTTTATATACTGGTAATAAACGTGTGGACATCAAGATTAAAAATAAAATACCATAATCACTCAAAAAATGAAATACTTAGCTATAAATCTAATAAAACATGTACAGAATGGGCGTGCTGAAAGCCACAAAGCACTAATGAAAGAAATCGAAGATATAAATAAATGGGGAGATGTACTGTGTTAATGGATTAGGAGACAACATAGCTAGGATGTATCTAAGTTGATATATAAGCTTAATGCAATTTCTGCCAAAATCCCAGGAAGATTTTTTGCAGACATAGATAAGATTCCTCTAACATTTATATGGAAAGGCAGAGGAACTACAATAACTAAAAACAGTTATGAAAAATAAGAATAAAGTAAGAACAATCAGTCTATCCTATTTCAAGACATTATATAGCTACAGTAATCAAGAGTGTCTGCTGTTGGTTCAGTGATAGACATACAGATCAATAGAATAGAGTTGAAAACCCAGAATAGACTCACACATACGTGCTCACTTGATTTTTGACAAAGACGCAAAAGCAAATCAATGGAGAAAAAAGAGGCTTTTCAAAATATGGTGCTGGAGAAACCGGACATCTATCGCTTAAAAAAAAAAAAAAAAGAACCTCAACTGAAACCTCACACTTTATACAAAAATTAATTCAAAATGGATTGTGAACTTAAATATAAAATGTAAAACTATAAAACCTTTGGAAATGAAAACATAGGATAAAATCTTCTGGATTTACAGCTAAGCAAAGAGTTGTTAGACTTGGCACCAAAATAATCGTTCATAAAAGGAAAAATTGAAAAACTAGATTTCATCAAAATTAAAAACTTTTTGCTCTGCAAAAGACCATGTCAAGAGGATGAAAAGACAGGCTGCAGACTGGGAGAAAATATTTGCAAACCCCAAATTCAATAAAGGACAATCTAATATACATAAAGAACTCTTAAAACTCAACAGTTAAAAGAAAAAGAATCCAATTAGAAAATCAACAAATGGGGCCAAGCATGGTGACTCATGTCTGTAATCCCAGCACTTTGGGAGGCCGAGTTGGGTGGATCACTTGAGCTCAGGAGTTCAAGACTGGCCTGGGCAACATGATGAAACCCTATCTCTACAAAAAATCCAAAAAGGAGTAGGGTGTGGTGTCGTGAGACTGTAGTCCCAGCTACTGGCGAAGCTCAGGTGGGAGGATTGCTTGAGCCTGGGAAGCAAAGGTTGCAGTGAGCCGAGATTGTGCCATGGTACTCCAGCCTGAGTGACAGAGCAAGACTGTCTCGAAAAACAAAAGGAAGAAAGAAAATGGACAAATGACATAAAGATATATTTCATTAAAGATGATATACTGATAGTAAATACGTACATGAAAAGGTGTTCAAAATTAATCATTAGGGAAATGCAAATTAAATCTACCATGAGCTGTTACACACATCTATCAGAAGTTCTAAAATAAATTACTGGGTGTGGTGGTGAGCGCCTGTAATCCCAGCTACTCAGGAGCCTGAGGCAGGAGAATCGCTTGAACCCAGGAGGCAGAGATGAGCCAAAATCGTGCCACTGCACTCTAGCCTGGGCAACAGAACGAGACTCCATCTCAAAAAAAAAAAAAGAAAAGAAAAAGAAAAAGAAGTTCTAAAATAAAAATAGTGTTTGCGACAGTGGCCCATGCCTGTAATCCCAATACTTTGGGAGGCTGAGGCAGGAGAATTGCTTGAGGCTAGGAGTTCAAGACCAGTCTGGGCAACATAGTGAGACCCTGTCTCTAGAAAAAGAAAAAAAGTTTTTTGTTGGACATGGTAGCATGTGCCTGTAGTTCTAGCTACTTGGGAGGCTGAGGTGGGAGGATCACTTGAGCCCAGGAGTTTGAGGCTCAAGTGAGCTATGATTGTTTCACTGCACCTCAGCCTAGGTGACAAAGCAAGACCTTATCTCTTTAATTAATTAATTAATTAATTTAACAATTAAAATAGTGACAACATCCTATACTGGCAAGGATGTAGAGAAACTGGATGACTCATGTATTCTGGTGGAAATGTAAAATGGCATTGGCACTCTGGAACAGAGTTTGGCAGCCGTTTTGAAAACTAAACATGCAACTACCATATAGTCCAGCAACTGCACTCCTGTGTATTTATCCCACAGAAATGAAAACATGTTTACATGGAAACTTGTACATGAATGTTTATAGCAGCTTTATTCATAATACCCCAAACTGGAAACAACCCAGATGTCCTTCAATGGGTGAGTGGTTAAACTATAGTACATCCAAATCATGGAATACTACTCAGAAATAAAAAGGAACAAGCTACTGATCCATGCAGTGGCTGGAATGAACCTCCAGAGAATTCTGCTGAGTGAAAACAGATAATCCCAAAAGTTTACATAACGTTGATTTCATTTATATAAAATTCCTGAAATGGCAAAATGATGCAAGTGGAAGACAGATTAGTGGTTGCCAGGAGTTAAGGAAGGATTAGGGGCTGGAAGGAAGTAGGTGTGGCTATGAAAAAGACAATATGGGGAATCTTTGTGGTGATGGAAATGTTCTATATCTTGACTCTATCAATGTCAATATTCTGATTGTGATATTGCACTATAATCTTTTCTTTTTTAAACAGAGTGTCGCCCTTGTCACCCAGGTTGGAGTGCAGTGGCGCGATCTCAGCTCACTGCAGCCTCTGCCTCCCAGGTTCAAGCGATTCTCCTGCCTCAGCCTCCCAAGTAGCTGGGATTACAGGCACCCACCACCATGCCTGGCTAATTTTTTGTATTTTTAGTAGAAACAGGGTTTCGCCATATTGGCCAGGCTGGTCTTGAACTCCTGACCTCAGGTGATCCGCCCACCTCGGTCTCCCAAAGTGCTGGGATTACAGGTATGAGCCACCTCACCCAGGCTGTACTATAATTTTGCAAGATCTTACCATTGGGGGAAACTGGGTAAAGGGTGTGCAGAATCTCTCTGTATTATTTCTCACAACTACGTGTGAATCTATAACTATTTCAAAATCAAAAGTTTAATGGAAAAGGTAAGCAATAAGCTGAGAAATAGCTGTAGCAAACACATAAGGCATGAGATTAATACACTTATTTTACAAAAAGCTTCAACAAATCAATATAAAAGTAGTAACAGCCTCCCCCACATGATAGATAAAGGATGTAAACAGATAATTTAGAGAAGAAATACAAATCACTAGTAAGAATTTGGAAAAAAGAAATGTTTAAATTTAACAGGATTCAAAGAAATACAAATTACAATGATAACACAATACAATTTTTCCCCTATAGATTGGCAAAAAACTTAAAACTGAATTTAAAAAAATACCCAAAGATATCAAAGTTGCAGGAAACAAACACTCTCGTAAACTACATAGGGTATGTAACTTGGTATAACCTTTCTGGAAAACGATTTGTTAGTATTAAACATTAAAAATGTTCCTAGCCTCTGACCCAGTAAGCCAAATTTAAGGAATCTAACCTAAAGAAAAATCAAAATGTGGTCAAAGATGTATGCAGAGTGATGTTCACCCTAGCTTTGTTTGGAATAGAAAAACTTGGAAATAAGCCAACATCTAACAATAGGGAGTGATTAAACAATTTATATATAGTACATACATGCAATGGAATATATTACCATCTAAGAATCGTTTTTTTGAAGAACATTTAATGACAGTGGAAAATTTTCAAGATACGTTAAGTAAAAAAAAGAAATATACTAATATGTTGTAAGTGATTTTCCAGGGGTTGTAAGAGTACAGATTTTTAAAATGTTATTTCTACTCTGCATATTTTAAATTTTCTTTTTCTTTTTTTTTTTTTTTTGAGATAGAATCTCACTCTGTCACCCAGAATGCAGTGCAGTGGTGCGATCTCGGCTCACTGCAACCCCCACCTCCCCAGCTCAAGTGCTTCTTGTGTCTCAGCCTCCCTAGTAGCTGGGACATACATGCCTGTGCGACCACACCCGGCTTATTTTTGTATTTTTAGAAGGGACAGGGTTTCATCATGTTGGCCAGGCTGGTCTCAAACTCCTGACCTCAAGTGATCTGCCCACCTCGGCCTCACGAAATGCTGGGATTACAGGCGTGAGCCACTGCGCCTGGCCTCAGAATTTCTATAATGAGCTTTTTTTTTTCTCTTGTAATACAAGTATTATGTTAATGTGTTTTAATTAAATATAAAGATACAAAACTAATGTTTTCAGTGATTTTTAAAAATTGGCCATAATCTTAATTCTATAACATCGTTTTGCATATTATCTTCACACCATTATTTCGCCATGAAATTTTTCATATATACTGAAAGCCTGAAAATATATTTACTACCTAGATTCTATAATGAACATTTTGCTGTATTTACTTTACCATATATACATCAATTAATCTTATTTTTTATGCACGTCAAAGTGCAGAAATCAGTGCACTTCATCTCTAAATGCCTCAACATGCATATCATTAATAAAAGTTCTCTATTTATGTTTTTTTATTTTTGTAGTGTACACACAGTGAAATGCACAAATATTATATGTGTTTGGTAAATGCACCTGATAGCAATAACTTAGGGTTACCCTGAAAATGACCCCGTATGGCAGACACACCTGAATGTGAACTAGGGCATCTGGGAGTGGCCAACCTGGAGATTTGTTCCTTGTCTATGAGGAACATCTGAGCCCCAGTCCCACCCTGCGGAAGACAGCCCATATGGGAGATTGAGTCTCTGAGTTCTGAGCTGAATGAAGGTTGCCAGGTGAAGGTTGTTAGGGTGCTAAGTGGAAATGCTGTATCAACTGCATGCCTTTTGCAAGCAGTTGCATTTCTTCTGCCTGGCCACCACGACTGCACTCTCTCTCCTACAGGTAAGCCCCCAGTAAAACTCCGTGTCACATTTGGTGGCTCTGGGTCTCTTCTTTGGCCTCTAGAGCCTAGTGCCATCATCACTGGAGTCGATAGGGGTTAGCACAAAAACATGTTGATTTTTTTTTTGAGATGGAGTCTCACTCTGTCGCCCAGGCTGGAGTGCAGTGGCGTGATCTCAGCTCACAGCAGCCTCTGCCTCCCGGGTTCAAGCAATTCTCCTGCCTCTGCCTCCCGAGTAGCTGGGACTACAGGCACGTGCCACGAGGCCCGGCTAATTTTTTGTATTTTTAATAGAGACGAGGTTTCACCATGTTGGCCAGGCTGGTCTCAAACTCCTGACCTCAGGTGATCCACCCATCTTGGCCTCCCAAAGTGCTGGGATTATAGGCATAAGCCACTGCACCTAGCCAGATTTTGACAAATGCATACACACGTGTAATCTGCACTCAAATTAAGAGAATAATTCCATCTTCAGGCAGTTCCCTCATGCCTCTTTTCAATCAGTCCCCATTTCCATGCTGGCAGAGGCTTGCTATTAAATTTTATATAAATGGATATGGGGTGTACACTTTTGTGTCTGGCTTGGTTTTGCTCAGCATAATGTTTCTGAGATTCTTCTGGGTGGTGCTTATCAGTAATTCACTGATTTTTATCGTTGGGTACTATTCTGTTGTATAGATACACCCCAATTTTTTTTTCATTCATGTTTTTGGACATTTGAGTTGTTTCCGGTTTGGGGCTATGACAAACAAAGTTGCTGTAAACTTTCTTGTACAAGTCTTTTGTGAATGTATTTTACTTTTGTTGGGTAAATATCATGGCATAGAATGGCTGGGTCCGGCTGGGCGCAGTGGCTCACACCTGTAATCCCAGCACTTTGGGAGATCAAGGCAGGTGGATCACTTGAGTCCAGGTGTTTAAGACTAGCCTAGGCAATATAGCGAGACCCTGTCTCTACTAAAAATACAAAGAAATAATAGCTGGGTGTGGTAGTGCACACCTGTGGTGGTCCCAGCTGCTTGGGAGGCTGAGGTGAGAGGATCGCTTGAGCCCCCAGGGGTCAGGGGGGAATTGGGGAGGGGGCATGCAAAGATTGCAGTGAGCTGAGATCATGCCACTGCACTCCAACCTGGGTGACCCAATGAGGTCTGTCTCAAAAACAAAAACAAAACAAAACGAAAAAGAAAAAGAAAAAAAAATTGCTGGGTTGGAAGGTATGTATACAATTATAAAATTAAAAATTGCCAGAATGTTTCCCTAAGAGGTTGTACCATTTTCCAAGCCCACCAGCCAATACATAGCTCTCTGATTGCTCCACATCCTCACCAACTTTTGGTGTTGTCAGTCTCCTTAATTTTCACTGCTTTAGTGGATGAGTGATAACTCATTGTGGGTTTTATTTGCATTTCCCTGATGATTCATGATGTTGGGCACTTTTTCACGTGCTTATGAATTTTGACAAATGTATACACATGTGTAATCCACACTCCAGTAAAGAGAATAATTCCATCCCCCGCAGGCAGTTCCCTTGTGCCTCTTTCCAATTAGTCCCCATTCCCATGCTTGTAGGAGCTCTTCTTTTGTGGTCTGTTCAAATATTTTTCTCATTTTTTAATTTTTTTTTTCTTACTGAATCTAGAGCATGTTAACTTTTCAGGTGACAATAAACTTTACATACTATCCCCATTTGTATGCACAGTAATTGTTTTCTCTTCTTTTCAATAAATATTGTAACATCCCCTACTGTACCTTTTTCCTCCTAGAAAGCTAGAAACTGCATTTTTAAGTGTCAGAAGCCTCTTTCCATTCTGAGACAGTTTTAAGAATTCTCATTTTTGGTGGCTGCTGATCAAATTTGGCAAAATTTTGTCTGTCACTATAAAATCTCAAGGGACACCTCAACTCCAAATCGTGCTTCAGTCTGCTGTCTTCAAACAGAGCAGAAAACAAGCCTCCTTAAACTTTGTAGCCCCACCCAATACCTACTCCAGTGGTTGGCATGGTGGTCAATATCTGCTCTTGGCCAGGTGAGAGGTGGCGCATGCCTGTAATCTAGCACTTTGGGAGGCCGAGGTGGGTGAATCACCTGAGGGTAGGAGTTTGAGACCAGCCTGGCCAATGTGGTAAAACCCCGTCTCTACTAAAAATACAAAAAAAAAAAAAAAAAAAATAGCCGGGCGTGGTGGCAAGTGCCTGTAATCCCAGCTACTTGGGAGGCTGAGGCAGGAGAATCGCTTGAACCTAGGAGACAGAAGTTGCAGTGAGCTGAGATCATGCCACTGCACTCCAGCCTGGTGACAGAGTGAGATTCCGTCTCAAAAAAAAAAAAAAAACAAAAAAAACAAAACCTCTCTCCATATATCTTTATATATCTGCTCTCATTTACTATTTTCTGGAGTGTGGTCCATTTCCTAAAAACCAATCTGTCGAGAAGTTTGACTCCATAATGTCAACAGAACCATGGGTTTATCCTCTTGTTTAAGACCCCTCACTGCAAAAACTCCATATTTCTGCCCCGCTTTGCCTGCTAAGGAATTGAATGGCAACAGCTTCGAGCTGATAAGTAGTAATAAGGACTGTGCCAGGAACCAAAACGATGGAGGTCAAGTCAAGTCAGTTAGGCACCTGTAGAATATGAATAGGGTTCAAGGAAGCCAGCAAGTCAAGTCAGGTAGGCACCTGTAGAATATGGATAGGGTTCAAGGAAGCCAGCAAAGACAGGTTCTGTGACTGAGGCCCACAGGGGGATCTAGAGTGCTGAAGTGTGGGCAGCCAGACTCAGGCACTCTGCTGCCTTAGACAATCCGTGGAGCTCCAAGTGGTGAGCACGCCCACAGCCTCTTCTGGGAAAGTGGGCCCAGGCAGTTCTTTCAGCACAGTTGAGAGGGCCTATAAATTAAAGCAGGAGCCCCCTCACCAGATGATTGAAGCAAGGGTTGGTGTCCAAGCCAGAACCTGACCAATCAGGGGGCTTCCTAGTGTTGGTGACCAACCAGCTTAGGCAGCTCATTTTTGCCTGGGTCATGCAGAGAACAGCAGAGTGAACTGAATGCCTGTGGCCCTGGAGCTGCCATCATATTTAGGTGATAGAGGAACCTTTGCTGCAGTTGTCCAAAACACCTGTTGTATGGTCTGGATGGGGCTTGGATGGTATAGTGGTGTTCCTGATTTCCCCCTGCCATCTGAATTCTAACAATGAAGTTTGGAACACTGGCCAGAGGTGACAGGGGACACCTGACTTATGTATCTGGAAAATGGATGCTCAGTCAGTGAACTTCTTGCCAGAACTGGTCTGAGAGGGTGGGTGGATTGGAGACAACAGGCAGTGACTGCCATCTGTTCCTGGTTAGAACAGAGAAGTGAGGGTGTGGGGCTGCAGGAAGTTGGGCAGCCCTCAAAAGGAGAGGCCAGCAATCTCCAAAGACTCAGAGAAGACAAGCAGAACCCAAGACAGCCAGCATCTCTGTGGACATCCATAAGCACTGGAACAGAAAAATCTGGCTCTGTAGCCTGCCCTAGCCCTGCTGCACCAGCAGCTTAAAAATACTTCCTTCCATGTATATGCTCAGGACCCTGAAGAGCAAAGCCTAGAGCTGTGTTGTCCAATATGATAACCACCTGTGTCTCTTTCCACTTAAATTAATTAAATATAATTAAAAGCTTCATTACTAGGCCAGGTGCAGTGGCTCACGCTGGTAATCCCAGCACTTTAGGAGACCAAGGCGGATGGATCACTTGAGGTCAGAAGTTTGAGACCAGCTTGGCCAATGTGGTGAAACCCCTTCTCCACTAAAAATACAAAAATTAGCTGGGCATGGTGGCATGCACCTGTAATCCCAGCTATTTGGGAGGCTGAGGCAGGAGAATCGCTTGAACCCAGGAAGTGGAGGTTGCAGTGAGCCAAGATCGCACCATTGCATTCCACCCTGGGCGACAGAGTGAGACTCCATCTCAAAAAAAAAAAAAAAAAAAAAAAAGCTCCATTCCTTAGTCTCTAGCTGCACTGCAAGTGCTCTGTGGCTGGACACAGTGGCTCATGCCTGCAATCCCAGCACTTTACCAGCACTTTGGGAAGCTGTGGTGGGAGTATTGCTTGAGCTCAGCCTGAGTAACCTAGTAAGACACTGTTTCTATAAAAAAAAAAAAAAAAATTAAAAAAATCAGCCAGGCAGTTACTCAAGAGGCTGAGGTGGGAGAATCATTTTTGCCCAGATGGTAGAGGCTGCAGTGAGCTAAGATTACTCCACTGCACTACAGACTGGGCAACAGAGCAAGACCCTGTCTCTAAAAATTAATTAAGAAAATACATGAACGTTATAGCAGGAAAAACAAGGGCTATTTTCTACCCTTTTCACGTCCTCAACCTGCTGGGACCATGTGTGGTCCATTGGTAAGCAGTTGATGAACCTCCTCTTTTGCTCCCTGCCTGATAACTCCACTCCCCCTGCAGACTTCTCATGAGGAAGCCAGAAGGATGGCTGCCCCTTCTTCCTGGGCCCCAGAGCCTGGAACTGGGGCATTGTTCTTTGTTCCACATTACTGCTTCCATGGCTCCTCCCTTCTCCTTCAAAGAGGCATGAGTGCCTCTTCGTTGCTGCATTTGGCTTCTGCATGAGTGAGGACTAGCTTTGATTCATTATTTTTTTTTCTATTACTATTCCCATTATCATTCTCAGCAATGTCAACAATCTCAAGGATTAACCTTCCAATACCTTGGCTTCTCACTTCTGCAACCTCCTCATCTCCAGTGAAAGTCGGCTCCTGTATGCTATGAGACACCTGCTCCCAGAGTCACATCCTTGACCTTCTCACTAACCCCAGCAACCCTTCAGCCCTAGCACATCTCCATCTGTTGACCTTCCCCACCTTCTCACTATCAATGCTGACTCACTTCCCTCCCTAGCCAGCTTAGAACTCATGGTCCATCCTTACAGCCTTCTAAATGCCCTATCCTCCATGGCCTGTGCTTTACTCATCAGAATCATCTGGCTAGTTAACGCAACTGTCTGCCTCCTTGGTGCCTGCACTCAAGCTGCTGAGCCATGGTGATGGGCCTCCCCTTAAAGTCATGCTCACTGGTCTCAAATAAGTGGGCATTTAGCCCTCCCATGCCTCCTGGTGTAGTTGTTTTCCCACCCCCAAAACAACTCTCATGCCTCCTGTCTCTCCTCAAACTTCCCACTCCCATTCTGCCCCTCTGTGCCCCCATCTCCCACTGATGACCTTGCCTCACATTTCCTTCAAAAGCCAACATGAACTCTCCCATCTTCCCTCCACTGAATCTGCCCACCTACCTGTATCTACAGCCTTTCTCCTGCTCTCCTGTTATGAAGGATGAAGCGTCCTGTCCTTTTCCAAAGGCCAAACTTCTATTTATGTACTAGAACCCATGCCTCTGATTTTCTCCAAGATTCTCCCCCTCTCTCCTCTATCGTTGATGCCTCCCTCTCTACTGGATCATTCCTATCAGCATGCATGGATGCCCTGTATCTCCTGACATTCTGGGAGGTGAAGAGTAGAGAGAGGTGGTTAGTCCAAGGTCACACAGGCTTCCTAGCTCTAGCCTAGGATGGTACCACCAACTGTGCTGCCTCTTCCTATTTTTCAGGCATTGAAAGGAGCTGCTATTGATCTTTCACAACATCTAGTGTCCCTCTCTCCAGAAGTAGAGATCCATTATCCTTGTTCCTGAGGTTCAAAACATTTTTGTTGCAAGACATCTGTTCCCAGGGACTATGGAGAGACTGGTTTTGTCACAGGCTTGGAAGTCTGGAGAACTGCAGAGATGAGTGGGAGGAGCGTGCTGGGCCTGAGAGCTGGATGCTTGAGAAAAGGTGTGAAATTAATCAAGCCAAGATTTGGGTGAGATGAATCTTGCTGCAGTTCATTGTAGGCTGCACAAGACCTAAAAATTGAGGAAACAGCTCCATACTTTAGACCAGGAAGCTACGGGTTCTAATACCATTTGGTGCCTTCCTGGCTGTGTGACCTTGAGCAACTTAACATAATGTCTCTGAACATCCGTTTCTTCATCTGGAAAGTGGAAATCATTAATAGCTACTTCAAGTAGAATTCTGCTGTGAGAATTAAATGAGATCACATGTGTCAAGCTCTGGGCACATAAAGGGCACTCAATACAGATTGGTTTTATCTGTACTTCCTTATTGAGCCAGTTGGATTACCCAGGCAATTGTAGGTGTGTATAGACCAGGCTATCGGTCTACACTTTGAGACCTCAGAAAGTCTTTTTGCAAATTCTCTATCAAAACACTCCTGCCTCACTAGAGAGGCCACTATTTCTCCCACATTGACCCTTCCTACTGCCACTGCAGAGTTTTGGCAGGGGAATGCTTTATTTTGTGTTCAAAATAGATGTAACTATAGGCCCCAGGGCAATGAGGGAAATAATACAACAAACTATCGACTAAGACTGTCAAAGTCATTTAGTCCGCATCACTGTTTTTATAGGACACAGAGGTGACTTGGCGACTACCCAGCTAGTTAGTTTCAGAGCTAGGATGAGAATCCAGGTCTCCTGACTCCTGAGTGCCTCACCAAAATGTGTAACACCTGCAGAAGGCCATCAGCAAGATTTAGGATACTCCCAGAGGGCAAATCCATTGCTTTTTATAACCAAGATAGTCCATGGAATGTATCATGACTGTGGTGGTTGAAACAAAGAAATTATTTAATGGATACAATGTATATTGTTCAGGTGATGGTTACACTAAAGGCCCAGACTTCACCACTATGTAATACATCCATGGAACAAAACTGCACTTGTACCCCTTACATTTATAAACAAACAAACAAAAACAACAGAGTGGATTTTGCTAATCTAAATTTTTAAAGGGAAGGGAGGAAAACTTCCAAGAAGCTTGTCTTAATTACCAAGGGCCATCGAAAATTTTGTTTTCTCCTTGTTACAGAAAATATTTGGGTTGCCTGGGATTCTTTACCATACTTAAAAAAAAAAATAGAAATTTTCACTTTCCACTGCTCTTTCCCATCTGGTATGGTTTGGATATGTGTCCCCTCCAAATCTCATGTTGAAATGTGATCCCCATTGTTAGCGGTGGGGCCTGATGGGAGGTGTTTGGATGGGGCAGATCCCTCATGAGTGGCTTAGTGCCATCCCCATGGTAATGAGTGAGTTCTTGCTCTGAGTTCACTCAGAGATCTGGTTGTTTAGAAGAGCACAGCACCTCCCCCTTCTCTCTCTTGCTCCTTTACTTGCCATGTGACGGGCCTGTTCCTGTTTCGCCTCCACCATGAGTCAAAGTTCCCTGAGGACTCACCAGAAGCCAAGCAGATACCAGGACCACACTTCCTGTACAGCCTGCAGAACCATGAGCCAATTAAAACTCTTTATAAATAACCCAGCCTCAGGTACTTCTTTTCTTTTCTTTTTTTGAGATGGAGTCTTGCTTGCTCTGTCGCCCAGGCTGGAGTGCAGTGGTGCAATCATAGCTCACTGCAGTCATGACCTCCTAGGCTCAAATGATCCTCCCACCTCAGCCTCCCGAGTAGCCAGGACTACAGGTGCACATCACCACACCTAGCTAATTTTTGTATTCTTTGTAGAGACAGAGTCTCACCATGTTGCCTAGGCTGGTCTCTAACTCCTGGGCTCAAGAGATCTGCCTGCCTCAGCCTCCCAAAGTATTGCGATTACAGCTGTGAGCCCCCATACCCGGCCAGGCATTTCTTTAGAGTGAGGTAAGAACAGACTAACACACCATCTTTCCATCATCTCACAGCCTGTGAGATACACAGGTAGCTATTATCATCCCCTTTCTACAAGAGGTGTAAAAGATATGTGGATCCACATTTGAATTCTGCTTGCCACCTGTGTGATGTTGGGCAGGTCAGTTAACCTCTTTGAGCCTCACTTTTCTCAGTTTTAAATGAGTATGGCCATATTAGCTGTGGCTATTGAGTTTAATGCAGCATTTCCCAAACTTCCCTCATGATGAGAATCCTCTGGGCATTGTTAAAATCACAAATTCCTGGGCCCTAGTCCAGGGCTACTGAACTAGAATTCCCAGGGATGAGGCCTGGCAGTCTGACAGGCCCCAGAGATTATCAGGGAAATTTGGGAAACACTAGGTTGAGTTTTATAAAGCATTTACTGTTGTGTCTGGCACTAAGCAGCCAATATTGAGTATTTAGATGGGTTCAATCTTTGAAATGTGGATAATGATGATTACAGAATAGGGTTATGATGAAACACAAGAAAAATAATGTGTAGTCCCTGGCAAACAGTAAGTTCTAAGTATCTGTTGAAGTCCTCACTTCATTGCACTCATCGGGACTCCCAGGATGAGAGGGGATCACCTGGAGGTTCGCTGGTTCTCTGTCATGGCTCTATCCAAGGGCTATGCCTCCTCAACTCCAGGCCTCCATCCTCTAGCCCAGCACCTCCCACGGGAAGATTCTTGTTTTCTAGATTCCAGGGAGCAAGCCTCATTTGACCAATTTGGGTTTCAGGTCCTTCCTTGTACCAGTCACTGTGGTTAGGATTTGGACTAGGCTGACTGGCCAGGACAAAATAACTTGCTTACCTAAGACCCAGAGGGATGGGGGCCAGCCCATCTGAACTTCAGGAATGGAGAATGGTCCATATCCATGTGAGTCCTTCCAGTGGTCCCTTGGAGGTGTTGCTAGGCCAAGAAAAACGGATGGTTGGCAGGCAGCCCCACAGACGTTCCTTGCGTCAGCTCTCCAGTTCACAGTCAGCCAGCAGACTCCAGATGCCTCAGTGACTCCGGAGCTTCTGGCAATCTCTCCTCTGCTAGTGCGACCACGGCCAGGCTTGAGGGCCTCAGTCAGATGACCCAGCCTTTGACCTACCCTCATCTGTGCAACCATCTCCAGCCCCCTCCTTGGCCTGCTCACCCTTGGGCCAGCCTGTCCCAGGGGCCTATCCAAGGGCTGGACCAGGGACTTAGAGCTGCTGTTGTCCAAAGCTGCTTATTAGAGACCCACTGTGGGAATCCTTCCAACCATGAACAATGAGTTTCTAAACCAGGATAAAAACAGCCTTTGCAAGTCAGCAAATGAGACAAACTGAATTGCTCAACCCCCCTTCCCTCATTTGCCTGGTACTTTGAACACAGTGGCTAAGAACAAGGTCTCTGGAGTCAGAAGGATGTAGTTTTGAGGCCCTTCACTTACTAGCTGGGCTAGTTGTCTCACTTCTGAGCCTCGGTTTCCTCTGTGAAATCTATGAAGATTAGAGGAGGCAATGGATGGAAAGCACATGACACAGAGTAGCTCATAATCAAGAAGCATTGTCATTACTGTCCTCTCCAGGCACTGGTCTGCACCAGGAAATGTGCAGCCGTTCAGTGGTGATCAATGTCAGATAGGACAATGTCAAGGAGCCAAATCCACTGTGAATATCAAGAACCTATGATGCATTCCAAAGCCACATAGAACACATACATGGCCATGACACTCACTGTATCCTGTTCACTCAAGGCTCGGCTGTTTTCTTCCTGGAAGATACACTGCACTGTGTATCTTGTCGCTGCAGCTGGCCTCCCCCCACCCAAACAGTACAGCTGTGGGTGAGATGGTGCAGAAGCCCAGGGATGGGAGTCCTGGGTTCTAGGCTTGGCTGTCACTCCCTTGCACGGCCACCTTGGGCACGCCACTTGCCTTCTCTGGGCTTTGATTTCCTCTTTGGTCAAATAAGAGGGTTGCATGGGGTGACTTAGAAAAAGTTCTTCCCTCTCAAGGGTCTGTCCTGTGGCATTGACTAGCACACTGAGTGGTGAGACTTCCCTCGCTGAAGCCATGATGGTCAGGGTGAGGAACTACTGCAACACGCCTCACTCACACAAGTGGTCTGATCTGGGGAGCAGGAGTCAGGATGTGGGAGGCACTTATGGTACGGGCAAGAGGGCTGGCTCTGGAATCGCACACCTGGTTAATTCCTGATGGTGCTCTTCTTCCTGGCTGTATGGCCTTGGGCATTACCCTCTAAGCCACCTGTGTAGCAAGGGTAATAGCATCTACATAAGGTGGCTGTGATGATTCGGTGAGATTAATGAGACGCTGCATTTGAAGGAAAGGGCCTAGCCCATAGCAAGAGCTCAGGAAAAGCCAGCCCTGCCCCTCTCTCCTCTCCTTTGTCTGAGCTTTCTGTGCCACTAAGTTCCATGAATGAAAATAGCCCCAGATGGGCCTGGGTTTCATGCTGATTCCACTTCTTCCAAGTTACTTGACCTGTTTTCCTTATCTGTTAAATGGACATATGATCTTCCTCAAGGGCTGACGTGAATGCTTGGCATGATTAATACAGAAAGGGTTCTCCTCCCTGAGGCCCATTAACATCAACCCATTCACCACCTTCCATTTTTCCTTCCATTTTGTAGTTCTTTCTTTGTGAGACAAGTCCTCAGCCTGTCATCCAGGCTGGAGTGCAGTGGGGTGATCATGACCCACTGCAGCCTCGACTTCCCTTGCTCAAGTGATTTTCCTGCCTCAGCCTCCTGAGTAGCTGGGACTACAGGCGTGCACCACCACGCCTGGCTAATTTCTGTATTTTTTGTAGAGACAGGATCTCACTATGTTGCCTATGCTGGTCTCAAGCGATCTCCTGGACTCAAGCAATGCATCCGCCTTGGCCTCCCAAAGTGCTGGGATTATAGGCATGACCCACCGTGCCTGGCCTATAGTATTTATTGCTGTATCTGATACACCTGATCCTTAAAGACCCCATGGTGGGAAGTCAGGGCCAGAAAATCTGAGGCCAGACCACAGCATTTCTCAGTTTCACCCCACTCCCATGTTCTTTCACTCTGAGAGGCACAAGAACATGCCTGCCTAGTTCATTCTCACAGCCCAGATGCTTAGCACAGCACTTGGGCCAGAGGAGGTCACTTCTCCATCCCATGCTTGGAACCACAGGTAGCTTGCTTCAAAGGGCAGTAGGTGCCAGGGTACCACCCAGAGGGTGAGGTGGGTCACGGGCTCTTCTGGAAACACTTTACACTGCTGGAATCACACAACAACTATAAGACATTGTAAGGAACTAGGGCTTGTTGTGGGTTCAAGGCTGTATAGAATGAATACATAAGAATGAGTATATGTGTACGTGTATAAACAACCACAGTAAACTGGCTGAACTCTTCTGGAAAACATGGAACCTTGTACATGAGCCTCATAAATGTTTTTAGCTTTTGGTCCAATGACTCTACTACTTCTAAGAGTTTGTACTAAGAACTCCACAAAAAGTATAAATAAGTAGTAATATAACAATATCCACTACAGGGGTAAGCTGGACATAATGAAAACATCTAACCATTTGGTTAGAATTAAGTAAATCAGAATATAGTTGATGGACTACTATGTAGCCATTTAAGATACATGCTTTTGAAAATTAAAGAAACAGGGAAATGATTATAATACTGTTAAGTAAAGTAACAAAATAAAACACCATATGTAAACCTCTGGGTTTGTGAAATAATTTGTTTTATAAACATTCCTGAGTTTTCAACCATACATTCTTTTTACAATACGACAAACAAAACAATGAAAGATATTCAAAACAAGGTTCCAAGGTTGGCCCAACTTGATTGTTTGGGTACTTGTTTTTTTAGTAACTCTGTAACTTTTTTAAAGGAAGCTTTTAATGAAGATACACCACTGAGTCTTGCTTTAAGACCAAAAATATCCAAACATAGTATCACATTATATATATCTCATAAGAAAAGCTATTCTATCAGGTAACAAAAATGAAGCTTCCCCCTCACCTAGCAGTTCATCTGGAATGCATCTTGAAAAGATCAATGGCCTGTTGGACTCAAAGAAGCCATCCCCAAAAAAATTGTATAAAAAGATTTATTGAAATTTATCAATGACAAACAGACATAAAACTCAAAGTTTGGCTCTTCTGAGGGGCAGGAGAAAAACTGGTGCAGATGTTCTTTTATACAGATGAAACATGGGTTCAGAAATTACACGTCACTTCTAAAGCAACCAGAAGAGGGACACGAAAGCAAACCTGTACATTCACTAGGAATTTGCAGTCATTTCAGATTTCCACTAGGTAAGAAAATACAATTTTGCGTTAGTTTTTCCGTGCTCGGGTGTATGAAAAAAAAAACCCAGCCGACATGCAGCAACGTCTCCAGCGCTTAGGTCCGTAAAAATGTTCTAAGCACAGAAGTACATGTGGAAGAATTCTCTCATCATTTTTTGTAAAACAAAGCGTTCTAATATTTTACAGAACAAGATAGGACAGTTTTTTTTTTCTTTTAAAGAAGTTGAAGTTTGAAGGTGTGTTTCTTCTAATTTTAATTACCAAATCCATTTTCCTTGTAACTTAACACAACAAGCCTGCGGTTTTCAGCTCTCTGGCTCATAAGCTCAAGAGTAACATCAGAGTCCTCTTTGTAGAGCGAAGCCCACCACCATCTGTGAAGGGGGAAAAGGGATGAGAGATGGGGAATGTCCCCAGACCAGTGCCAAAATACGCCTTTAGGTTGCTATTTACAAACCAGGGCGTTGGATGCCTCTAGCAGGCCTGAGAAAAGCAGGTATCATCATGTGAACCAAAGCAAAAGATATGGCTGGTGCTCAGCCCCTCCTGGGCATTGAGTAACCAAACTGAGACCAGCCACAGCCTTCCAACCAACCCAAGAGACTTGGGAAATACCAGGAAACGTAAGAGAACTCCAAACCATCCTCTTTGAGAGTCAGGAACAAATGCTCACTTAGTGTGTACTTAGCTATCGCATTTACAGGGACAAAAACCGGACACAAAGAAAAAGTAGGGGAAAAAAATAAAGAGTGGCAGTAAAAATAGTATTTTATTCCACCCCCACCCGCCATCCCTCCCCCCGCAACCCCCAGTACACTCTTCCCCTCTCGTTCCCACAGCAACGTTACAATCAGAAAAAAATAAGTTTCAGGGGGCAGGATTGGAGGGGGGGGGGAGAGGGGATATGGGTAAAAACAGTCAAATCACAATAGGAATTTTTCAAAATAGGTTATTCCACTTAGTCATCATCTTCTCCCTCATCTTCAGGTTCTCGTTTTCGCTTCTGACCCCTTTCTTCTTCTGGAAAAGTAAGAAAGCGGCATTTAGATTAGTTATTAATCCCACCTCTTTAACTCAACCCACCCAGTGAGAAGTCAGGGGACCCATGACTAGCAAGCTGTGCCATCCTTGGAAACCGAGGCAAGACATCTGCACAGCTGGAAGGGGAATCTGAGGCCTCTGACAGGAGTGTCCTGCCCACTGCCAGGGGCCTCTGAGTCTAAGCAATCTAAGGCCAAAGTGAAAGGGCCAGGCTGCTACCAGCTGAGAGTAAAAAGGCTGCCATACCACCAAGCTCTTCTTCATCTTCCTCGTCATCTACCTCTCCATCGTTATAACCTTCTTCATCCTCCTAGGAGAAAGGACAGACACCAGAACATTAGAAATGCCCTGCCTTGGGACATGCTGAGGAAGCCACACAGAGCACAAAAAGGCCGGGGTCACCCCCAGCCTCTCAGAGCCCCCACCAAGACTTGACATCTCGGGAGGAATGTAAAGCAGAGGTTCTTAATTTATTTCAGATCAAGGACTCATTGGGAAATCTGCAGAAAGCTTTGAACTCCTTCTCCAGAAAATGTCCGTATCATTTATAATATTTGCAAGCAGTTTCAGGGGGTTATGGATTCCAGGACCCAGGTTAAGAACTCTGATCTGAAGTCCCTGTAAGGCAGGCAGCTCTCCAGTCTGCACATTCTCTGAGGAGAACAAGTTCCCGAGCAGACTCCCTGACGTGCAAAGTAGGCCATCCTTTCTTGCATCTGTCCTCAATCTAGTTTTGGCTTCAAGAGAAGACCCCAGTTTAAGCAAATCCAGATTCTGTGGGCAAGTTCAACGTCACCTGACCCAGCCCCTTCCCTAGCTTGCAAACTTGGACCACCTGGAAGGGTTGGGGAAGATAAATTCAAGACCCCCTGAGGACATCATTCCCAACCGGCTTGAGATTCAGCAAGGTGTATGACTTTCTTTCTCAACACAGGGCCCTTGCTTTCCTCTGCTCCTGAAAGTATATGCAAGTTGAATCTCTGCTTGTTAAACCTGGTTCCTGAAGTTTAAAAGAACTTGGTGACAGACTTCTTTTTTGTCAAGGGAAACATTCTTTTAAAATGTCACCAAAGAGTTCCCTCATCAGTCTGTTTGCTAAGGTTCTGGTTTTTTTTTGCATGTATAAGCTCTCCTTTACTGAAAGCTGGAAATATGCAGATGGTCAGTGAGATTATTTAAAAAACAAAAAACAAAAAACAAAATCCACAACCCTCCCCCATCCCCACCCCCCCAAACCTCACATGCAGCACTCCTGTGACAGGAAGAGGAAGATGTAACAGCTATTAGCCAATACAACTTACTGCCCTGTTCTAGGGGAACCTGTTTTACTAAGACTTTATTTTTAAAATACAATATTCTTTAGAGATGAGCCTAAGAGTCTAGACCTAGGGAGAAGGCAAAGCCAGCAGCACAACTAAACAGAAACCAAGCTCATCTGGCCAGCTTTTTTTTTTTTTTTTAACTGAGTCTCGCTCTATTGCCCAGGCTGGAATGCAGCGGTGCCATCTCGGCTCACTGCAACCTCTGCCTCCCAGGTTCAAGCGATTCGCGTGCCCCAGCCTCCTGTGTAGCTGGAATTATAGGCATCCATCAACATGCCTGGCTAATTTTTATATTTTTAGTAGAGATGGAGTCTCGCCATGTTGCCTAGGCTGGTCTCGATCTCCTGACCTCAAGTGATCCGCCCGCCTCGGCCTCCCAAAGTGCTAGGATTACAGGCGTGAGCCACCGCGCCTGGCCTCCGCGATTCTATTGTCATTGGCCTGTGTCTCTCAAGCCTGGGCCGGCTGGCTGGAACTGGAAGACACTATCTGAGTGAGTCCGTGTGGCAAGCGGATGTGTCTGCATCCTCCATTGAGGGAGACAGGAAACTGCGGGGGGAGTTGGGAGGGGACACAGGCGCCTTGTCCATGCTATTGTCACTTTAAAACTCTCTAGTTCTAACTTTTGCAATTAGCAAGAGTTGATTTAGAATTCTGAGCAAGTCATAGAAAATGACTCTGCTACAGAGAGACTCAGAACACACAAACACAAAACCCAACACAGTGCCAGGAACCTGGAGGAGGGTGTGAACGCCTACAATAAGCAGTCAGACACTTACCCCTTGTCAGACACTGTCCTTAAGCATTTTACTTACACTTCACTTTATCCTCTTAACAACCCTGTGAGAAAGCTATCATGATCCCTATTTTACAGATGAAGAAATAGGCTCAGAAAGGTCAGGTAAATTGTCTGGGGACACACAGCTTGCGAGTGGTAGAGCTGGGACTCACCCCCTCACAGATCTTGTTAAAAAACTGGGAACCAGCCAATCTCTTTAGGAAAATGGCCAACTCCTGGTGCTCTATTTCCATAGTGTCACTCTCTGATTTGGGATCCAGCAGTGTTATCCTGCTACCTATCAGTTCAAGGCAGACTTTGGTTTTCCCTAGCACAGTTTAAGTGCTCAATGAATATCTTAATTAGCATATGAAAGCAAAAAGCAGAAAATGGGGCCATGCATTCTGTACTTCTTCACATAGAAACAACGGCCAGGCTTACCCCAGCAGGTTCAGTCCCTGCCTCTAAAATCCTCTTCCCCTCTTCTAATCCAGCCTCCCCAGAGCTTACTGCAAGTCTTGTCTCCCCAGAAACAGCCCAGTGAAAGGCTCTGAAATGGACTCACTTCACTACCCATCGGGGAGCGACTTTCCTAACCAGGGCTCCGGGGCTGCCAAGACTGATCACAGAGGCAGTCAGTGGGACTGCCTCAAAGGGGCAGACGGTGGCCCTGCCCAGCCCAGCCTCCTTACCTCCTCCTCTCCACTCACGTCCTCCTCTTCACCTTCCTCCTCCTCATCCTCGTCCTCCTCGTCTTCCACTACCTGAGCATCTTCATCATACTCCTCCTCTGTGCAATCGAAATGGGGAACGGAAACAGAACTAGTGGTGAGCTGGCTCCGCCCCCCACACAGCACAGGCCCCTTGTAGCGTCTTCAGTGTGGGGCTCATGACCCTCCCACACCCACCTAAGTCCAAAGATGGAACACACTAACTCTCATGAAAACAGTGCTGACATAATTAAACACATCCTGAAGTTGTGCCAAAGATAAGCCCCCCTCACAAGTGTTATGCATGTGAAAGGCCCCTTCTGGAGGCCTCTCACACCGAGACCACCAGGAAATTGTCAGAGCACAGCAACAGGTTCCAGGGCCCGGGAAAGCGGCAAGATCAAATCAAACTCCTCAGGTTAAAGGTGAGAGATCTGAGGCACAGAGAGAACTGACTTGTTCAAGGTCACGCATCGAGTCACTAGTTGAGCTGGGCCTAGGGGACCTGGTCCCGGGACTGCCAGTTTTGGCTCCTTTCTGCCATATCACAAGATCCCCACCAAGGCAAACATGGTCTCTGAGTATCTTGCAAAACACTCCCAATTGAACAAAGAAAACCAAAATCCTGTATCTGAATTAATTAATCAGGCAAGTGTCTCCATTCTCAACTTTATCTGGCCACGAAGATGCATGGGAAAGCTGCACTGTGCTGGTGGCAAGGGAGAAGGGGAGGGAACAGGACTCCCTTCTTTTCCCTCCTTCCTTCCTGTAGGCCTCGACTACACACCACACTGCCAGGGAACCCAACAAGTGGCCTGCAGTCCTCCACTTCTGAGCACCTGGGGCTCCTGAGCACCTGAGCCTGTGCCCCTAGGTGTGGGGCTGTAGGCTGCAACCACCAGGGGGCCCCACAACCCCTCTAGCTCTGGACCTCCTCTCCACTACTGAATACCTAGATGGGAAAGAGGGGTCCTCAGGCCACACACTCTTCTCTCTCTATCCCCTCCCTCCCTCCCTGGGAGAGTGTCTAAGTGCGGGTCACACTACAGAAAGACTGTAGAATCCCACTCCCTGGGGGCTTTGGAAAAGGGACAAAAATTGAAGTGGGGATTCAGTTGGATGGTTTTAAAGGAGTTATTATGCAGTTGGAGAATCTCAGGATATTTCCATGAGCATGGGACTCATGCTTTGTTCTTTTAGGGAAGTCAACCAATGAGACAGATTAGGGACTATGGAAAACAAAGCAGACAGCCCTACTCCCCTCCATAGCTTTGGAAGGTGGTAGCTACCAGACAGACAGCCAGCCTTCAGTAGCTGGGTGGGGGCCTCCCAACACCCAGCCCACCCACCTCTGCAAAGCCAAGGACGAGCCCCAAGGCCTCAGCTGGGCCCCTGCAGCCCTGGGCCGCACCCTGTCACCCACCATCCTCATCCTCCTCCTCATCATCCAGGCCCTCCACGTAGCCCTCAGCATCCGAGTCAGGGGCCTCCTTGTCGTCCCGGTCATAGCCGTCGAGATATGTGAGTTGCGGGAGGAGCTTGAACACATTTTCTCGGTAGTCGTTCAGGTTGGTTACCTCGCAATTGAAAAGGTCTAAGCTCTTGAGGTTTTCTAACTTTTTCTGCAAGCGGAAAAATGAAGCCAACAGTAAGTGATTTGTGGGAGGAAGGTGGAGGAACAGCCCTAGCAAACAGGCAAGGATGCCATGAGATAGCATGCGCAGACCATGACTTCCAGGTGATAAGGAAGCTTGGATTTGGCTCTGCTTAGCCACAGTGTTTGCCCAGACATATCACCTGCAGTTTGTGGGCCTCGGCGTCTCCATCTGGAAAATGGGGGGTTGGACTGGAGGATCTTTGAAGCCTTATCCAATGTTAACACTTTTATTCTGCAATTACAGCTTCTGTCTTAACAGTGATTGACTTGAAATTAGCCTGGGGCTTTCTTGGTGCATGAGCCAAGAGGTTTACTGCCTCTCCCTGAGACTAAGGAGCCAGAGGGAAACCAAAAGTCAACTTGAACTAACAAACTAACTCCTTCTGCATCTGATAATGATGATGATAAGGGCGGTTAACATGGCACTTCATGTACTGAGTCACTTTATCTCACAACCCCTGTAAGGTAGAAATAATTATTAGTTAATTTCACATATGTGGAAATGGAGGGCACAGGATTTGGTAATTCATCAGGCAGCCCAACTTCAGACCTGTGCTCTTACTCTTTGAATATTGCCTGTCAAAAAAGGACAAGAGAAAAAGCAATGGAGGACCCCAATTCTGTCCATGGTATTTGACACGATGTGCTCTGTCAAAGCTTTACACCAGACGGGTTCTAGCCAATGTTATCCCTGTTTGATGGTAGAGGAAACTGAGGCCCAGGAAGTGAAGGGTCATACTGCTTGCAAGTAACTGAGCTACATTTTGACTTCCCACCTCACCCACCTTTGAGGCACCAGGTACAAAAAAATCCCATCCCAGGCTGAGTCCCCATTCCAAAGGTGGCCAGGTCTAACAAGGGAGTGAAACCATTGCTCCTTGGAGTCAATGTCGGGAGCTAGGTTGCTCTCTCTATGACCTTGCAGTTGAGACCTGGGTCATTCTCAGCAGAAGCCAAGGGCAGGGAGGAAGTCTTGACAGTGGTCTGTGTGGGCAAGCCCAGCACCTGCTACCAAAAGCAGCTTCCCGCCCCAGGACGGTAAGGCAACACACACTGACAAGCAGGGGCGGAGAAAGCACTGAGACACGTGTGATCTGGGCAGGGGGCAGTGGAGAGTGTGAACATGAACGTGCCTGAGTGCCTGACCCCTAATGGTGACTGAATCACAATGTTTTACAAGGATTTTATATACTCAATCCCCATACCTCACCCATATACAGAACTTCAAAGACTTTTTCCTTTTGTAATGACATTATAAAATCAAGACTTCCAGACAGATCAAAATAGTTTGGCTTTTTCCTAGGAGACCAGTGAAAGGCCTGAAAAGAAGTTCTGTGGGAAGCACATTCTACTAGTTGGCCCCAATGCCATCGATGGACAGGTAAAGAGCTTGGAAAAGAAATGCCAGTGTCCTCTTCTGCCACACTGGCCACCAGCAAGTCCCGTGAGCATCCATGGAGAGCAAGGAGTGCCTTTTGGGACAGAAACCCTGAAAACTCCAGCCCAATCTGAGGGATACCCAACCTCCCCTATAAACCCAGAAGGGAAATTTGGCAAACGTGGCCAATTGTCCTCCTGGCCTTTCCCTGATTCTAAGATGCCTGAGGTGCTGCTGCTGCTGCTTTTTTTTTTTTTTTTTTTTTTTTGGAGACAGAGTCTCACTCTGTCACCCAGGCTGGAGTGCAGTGACGCGATCTCAGCTCATTGCAACCTCTGCCTTCCAGGTTCAAGAGATTCTCCTGCCTCGGCCTCCCGAGTGGCTGGGACTACAGGCGTGTGCCACCACGCCGGGCTAATTTTTGTATTTTTAGTACAGATGGGGTGTCACCATGTTGGCCAGGCTGGTCTCAAACTCTTGACCTCAGGTGATCCACCTGCCTTGCCCTCTCAAAGTGCTGGGATTAAAGGTGTGAGATACCACGCCCGGCCTTATGAGGTGACTCTTATATGTATATTCACAACAGGTGTATTTACTTCATGTGGTAGTATTTCCTATTCCAAAAGAGTTGTTTTCAGTGACACATCTTACAGCTGATTTCCTTAAAATCAAAGGAATACAGCGAATCAGATCCTGGTAATTATAGAAAGTGTTGTTCTGAACATGACCTGCCCCTTTCTGGCTGGTAAATCAGTGAAGCTTAGGGGATGTCTATCTCTACAAGGATGAGCAGAGGAGCCAGAAATGCTACCCAGGCCCCTGAGAGCCTGTTCACTATCGCAACAAGGACTGGTGACCAGGGGTCACTCTTCTCCACACCACGTTGAGGAAGGCCTGCCTGCACGAGGCTCTCACACCACACGGCTCTCAGTCATTCCAGGGTTCTATGTCAGGACTGACTCATTTCTCACAGTTCAGGGGCCAGCGACCCAAGGAGAAAACTGGAGTCCACCTCCAGGGCCAGTTTAATTCTTGGATTGCTCCTCCCTTCCCAAAAAGGGGCAACAAGCCATGCCCTGAACCTGAAGACATTACAGCTCAGGTTTCCAAAGCTGAGCAGAAACTGAGTGGAAAAGCAGGAGACCAGAAATTGAAACTAGGGTTCTACGCTACCCGTACAATAGCTGCCCATTCTGTCTGTGACCTTGGTCAAGGTATTTAACTTCTCTGGGCCTCAGTTTCTCTATGGACTCAGCAGAAACAATAGCTCAATTCTATCTCATAGCACATCATGAGAGTCAAAAAAATTAAGTGGGAAAAGGACAAATGCAAAAGTAGTATTTGCTGATGCCAATTCCTCCCACCTCCTACCCCTGCAGGGAGGGGAGGGTCCGAATGACTTACCAGTGGCTCTATTGTGCTGAGGTCTTTAATTTTGTTGCCACTTAAATTTAGATGCGTGAGGTTCGGACACTTTTCTGCCAATACTTCCAGGCCCCCTGAGACTCTGTTATCGCTTAGTTCAAGCTAAATAAGGCAGGGAAAGAAAAAGCAGAAACAGCTTTTAAAATGAAGGCTACCGGCTCAGAGCTGCCCGGCTTTCCCCAGACGGGCAAGAAGGGAAAGCAGTCTCAGGCAATTGTCTGGCATGTTGGTGCAAGCACCCGGCTTTCCCTTCAATTACTCTTTCTAAACATAGGTAATAACCCTTCCCACTCCCCACCCCCGCCTCCCAGCACACACAGACTCCACTCTATTTACCTTCTTAAGTTTGTTTAACTTTGGTAAGTTTGCGATTGAGGTGAGGCCTACGTTGATTGTACTTAAGAATTCCAGTTCTTCAAATTCATCTGTGAGGCCTTCGAGTTTGCCTTCATTCGACCGACTGTTGTCCAGGACAAGTTCTTTCACCTGAAAGAAGGCCCGACCGTGTGAGCGGGGCTGAGGAATGGGGCTGAAGCAGGGGGAGGGTGTTAGAGGACTCCTCAGAGAACAGGGAGACAGACGCAGGAAGCAGTCAGTCACTCCGTCACTTCTTCTAGCTTTCCGGATCACTGTGCTGCCAACGACCACAGGATGGATTTGCCCACCCTGACTTTTCTGCCTTTTCAACATCTGGGTGAGAGGAGGCCTGTGGTGAGCCGAGCTGCAGAACCAGGGGGCCACTCCAGACAGGGGCCTTGGCTGTACCGCAGAAGACAAACCCAGTAAGCCCTGCTGCCTCTGCAAGGTTGGTGGTCTCATTCCAACCCTGCTCTCGCATTCTCCCAAAACCCACATGCACCAGCCACAGCATTGTTAGGGACTTCTGGGCCTTGCCCCGCCACCCCAATGCCCCCACAAGACCCCCACATGCCCAGTTGCTTTCACCCACTCCTGCCATCACAGCAGAGCCTGCCGCTGTAGCTGGCATTCACATGGCAGTACCCATGTGGCCTGTCCTGAGGCAGGCGCAGCAGACCAGGGGCTCCTCCAGCTCTCCCACCTCTAGCCCAGCACTGTCCAACAGAACTTCCTTCAAGGACGGAAACGGTCTGTACTGTTCAAGACAGGGGCCACTAGTCACATGTGGCCACGGAGTGCGGCCAGTGAGACTAAGGAATAGAGCTTTTAATTCTATTTAATTTCAATTAATTTAAGTGTAAACAGACACAGGTAACTACTATATTGGATAGCACAGCTCTAGACTTTGCTCTTCACGGTCCAGCATAGACGTGGAAGGAGAATGGAAACCCACAAACTTAGGATGGGCCCATAATGAAATGCTGAGATCTGTCTCAAAGTCTGTGCTTGGAGGCACCTCTGTGGCCCTGTCTTTTTCCCCACTCAGCTCCCTTACCCACAATTTGGGTCCTAAATCCTTTATTTCTAATGAGGTAGAAAGAACGAATAAAAAGCCACCCTCTCACAGGGTTGTTAAGAGGTAGACTTAGCTGAAGGTGAAACTGCAGGTTCTAATGAAGAAGGTAGAAAGACAGGCCGAGGAAAAGTAACCAGGTCGCAGGCATGAAATGACCCTGGGAGTAAGCAAAGGAGACCCGGTGTGTGGCCCTCCAGGCAGCTGGCCCAGAGTTCTCCTTCCTGCCCCAGAGCAGCCAGCTTCTGGGAAACCCGGCCTCTCTGGACTGGAAGACACCTTAAATGTGATCCCTGCCCACACCTGGTATCTCAAAGAGTCCCTTCAGCCCAGGACACAGCAGCCCAAGCTCCCTGCAGGTGCCAGGAAACACTTACCAATGTCAACTGGATTTGTTGCCTCCCTCCCTGGAACTTCCATGCACAGGCCCTGATTTCTCACCAATGGGTCACATGGCACAAGCCTTCCTTCTCAACAGCAGTCCAGCATTGTTCAAAGGGTTGCTCCTGCCCCTCAGGGCCTTTTCTTCTCTTGGATAAGCAGCCAGGCTTTCTAACCTGTCCCTGTCCAGGGCTGCTCCTGCTCCTTTGAGCAGGCCAACATGCCTAGCTTCTTCTTTCTGGGCCCAGAATGACTAGGTGCCCCTCTTACTCAGGCATCTCTGGGCCAAGTAGAGATATGGGGGAAAGGAGGTGGAAACAGAGTCCACATGAGGCCTGCTATGCCCCTCCTCAGCCCCCTCTTGCCAGTGGGCAGAGCAGGGGAGCACTGGGGTACACATCTGGATCTCAGAGTCCTGCAGGGCCCTGCAACTGCCCTGCCTTCATTCTTCACTGGTGGGTGGAGGCATGCCACTCCGCCCGGGACAGCAGCAATTTGTGGGTTTCATCTAGCACAGCCCACAGAGCAGGAGAACCAGGGAGCGCAGCCCTCTCCTGGAGCTAAGGAGCTCTCAGCCTAGGAAATGGTCACCAAAGCCCACCTTCCTGTTGGGTCTGGGAGGGGGAGGCTCAGTCCTTTCCCACCCCCTCAGTCCCTGAGATCCAGATGTCCAGGTCAAGCCACCTTCTCAAGGTCATGGCAAGAGTGCCTGGGAATAAATCCTGTGAGGCCTTCTGCCCTAGGGCAGGAAAGCATCGCAGAGCCAGGAAGCCAGGCCTTAGGGGGCCAGTGCAGATGGAGGGAGAGTAACTGTGTTGGGGGAGGGGAGCCATCTCCTTCGTTTGCAGTAAACACTGGAGTCACGTGGCCCACAGTCTTCTTTAGTAATTGGTTTCCTTGGAAGGCCTGGGAATTCTTGAAGCTCCACCAAAGCAAGGCAAATATGAGAAGAGATTCCAGTCTACCCTCAAAGACTGCAGACATGCGGTTTTTCTAGACGGGTCAATGGCTTCTCCTTACTGCCGTTGGCCGAGGAGAGGAGGGCCTCAGAGAGCAGTGCTGGGGAGCCCAGGGAATTCGTCCAGGAAGTCGGTCTCCTTCCTGGAGAGGAACAGTGCTGCCTGCCACCCCTGCCCACAGCCCAAGGGGCTGCTGCTGGGGTAGGCTGCCTAGGAATGCTACAGATAGACATAGGTTTCGGAGCCCTGACGAGGCCAGTCCCTGGCTCCTACCACAACACCAAAACTGGTGGCTGCTCCTCTGGAGGACAATACTCAAGCAATCACTATTAATGCTTTGATTAAAAATAATCGTCATATCTTTCTCAAGCACTCGCTAGGCACACTCTAGGTGCTTCATACACAGTCTCGTTTAATCCCCATAACCACTCCTTGGGGTGTGTTCTCTCCGTTTTAAAGGCACGTCCGAACTGCTTATCCTAAAATCCCAAAAGAAGGTCACAGGAGGGTGGGTGTCTACTGCACTCAGGTGGCTAGTGTTAGCCACAAGATGAGGAGGGGCCCCTGTTGGCTTCTTGGGACTCTCCCCAGACCCCCAAGTCAATTCTACAAGTTCTTGGCTGTGCTGGGGCTCAGAACACAATACCCAAATGTAAGGGGCTTTGGCGTGCTGGGTACTTTGAACTAAAGGAGATTGGAAGGCCTCAGAAGCAAGCTCTGTGAATTTCTCTTGCCCTCCTGTCTCTCACCCTCTCTCCCCAGAAGTCACAGAATCCAGAACTTCTCTTCCCCAAGGCGGGTCACAGAAACTAGAATTCCTCTCTCCCAAAGCAAAGCCGAGAAAGGTTACTCTCTCCTGTCCCTTCTCCCTTGAAGACCCTCATGCCAGGGAAGTCCTGCCCCATATCTAGGAGGAAGGAATGCTACACAGAGAGGCCACAAAGAATCTGAACAGACAGGCCTTGCTGGGTTCCCTCTCAGCCTACACCCCTTTGTCCAGTCCCATTTCTTCATGGCTGTCTATTCTTCATCAAACCTAAGTATAAAAATAGGCAGTTTCCCTGGGTCTTTGGTTCTTCTTCTCTGAAGGTTCTCATGTCACTTACAACTTTGATTAAATAAATTTGTTACGCTCTTCTTTTGTTAGCCTTTCTTTTGTTATAAGTGTTGGCCATGACTCTTACGACGGGTAAGGAAAGGGATCACACCTTCCCGCCCCTACAGCTGTAACTGTTTCTTTTCAGCTCCTCTTCTAACTGTTCCACCAGCCAGGTGGGCACCACCCCTAGAGGTCTCTGCTCTGGTTACACATCCTTAGCAACCAAAGCACAGAGCCTAACCCTGCCCTGGCTCAGATGACGCTGCAGGAGGGGGCAAGGATACAGAGAGGGGCCTGGGACCCTGCTCTTCCCCAAATAGCAAGAGGTTGCTTCCACTCCCTTGGGAAATCCCCATCGTTTTAAAGGTGGTGTCTTCAGAATCCCCACTGTTTCTGCATTTCCTCCCTGGTTGGTTTCAGCACCATGCAGGGTGAGATCACAGAGGGGAAGGAGGGGACAGGGCTTAGACCTGAGGTTGCTGATACCACCAAAAAGCCCAAACCACATGGGGGAAAGACCCACTGCTTTGTCATGAGATGAAGAGGGGTCCCAGTGAGAGCAGCAGGTGAGCTGTGAAGTATCTGAAATGCACCAAACAGGACAAAACAAAAATGTCAGCCCAACAGCTGCCTGTGAAAGACATCCCATTCCCTTCCCTGCCTGCCTCCATGAGGGCCACACTTTCCTAGTGCTCTAGTTTCAAAGCCTAGACCCACCCCTGAACTCTTGCTACAATACCAACCCATTTCCTCTGTACTTGGTTCTAACCCTTCCATGCAAAGAGAACATCCCTTTTCCACCCAGGGTGTGTTCTGCTTTAAAAAGAAAAAAAAAAAACCAAGGCCCACTTCCCCTGCCAAGTCCTGGGTGTGAGTGAAGCGCAAAGTTAAAATTAAACTGAAAATTTGTACTTTTGTAGACTTTTTCCCAATTCCACTGACCATTTAAAAATATCCAAATGTGGTTACCCTACCTAGTGGAACTGAAATTACTCTGCTTGTATCAGAAGCTTTTCCAACACCCCAAAGAGAAACCTACACAGGACCCAATGCTTCATTCCTCAAGTGAACACCTAAAAGGAGCCCTCATATTCATAAGAGAGGTCAGTGAGGAGGCAATGAAGGTTCCCAAGATGTCAGATTGCTGGGGGTCCTGTACTTCCTGAAAAACTTGTCCCCAAAGCAAAGACCTGTCAGTCATTTTTCACCAATGGGACCTGAAAATTCCATGATAAACACAAATACGTTATTACTCTAAGGAACAATTTGTTGTTTAAAACTGAAATCTTGTCTTTACAGATCTCTCAAATTTGGCCTTTCCCCTCTGTTCCCAACGTTGCAGCACTGGTCACTGTCACCTCGAGTCACTTCAAGCCTGCTTTTGCCTCCACACCAGGTCTCTATGACTGTGAGGATGGAAGTGGTCAAGAGGCAGCCTGGATTACTGGGAACAGGCCTCGACCTAGAGGGCTCGACCCAACTGGCTCCATGATCTCAGCTCTCTCCCCCAGGCCTCAGGCTTCTGCCTCTGTAGAAAGGGGATGATGAGATCTGTTTAACCTATAAAGAGTAAACTCCAGCCTGGAAAACATTCCTGGCTTCTCACTGCCTTGGGAAAAATTCAAGTTCCTACACATGACCTCCAAGGTTCTCCATTCTTGGAGCTCCCTCCTCTTTATCCAACCTCAGCACCCCCAATCTCTCACTCTTACCCTACAAATCCAGTTCCCCTTCCCAGGAAGCCTTCTCCAACCCAGCTCTGTGCATCCTGGGGCACCAAGGGCAGCTGCTGCATGAATCATTTACTCGTGTATTAAGCATCCGATCCTCCTAGAGGTCAGGGACTGTCCTCCGTAATCAGCCTACCAGGGAGCGGAGACCAGAGCAACTGCTTAACAAATGTCCTGTTTATTGCGCCAGGTATAACATTAGGTGCTGGGAATATAGAGGTGAGTCAAACTGTCATGAAACGTATTCAACAGTATGACGAATAAATGTTGAATGAACCCTATCTTTTATAAACACCAGTGGTTTTTTGGAGTCTTTCTTGTGCCCAAGACAAGCATAAGCCCCTGAGAGGCAGGTCAGCTGTGCACACTCCCCCTGACCTGAATGACCCAGTGCTCTGCATGCAGGTCTCCAGCCCTCTCCACATGGGGCACACCTGCGACACTGTTGGCTGAGGAGACACGGAAGAAACAGTAAGCCAAGGTCGGGGTCCTTGCCAGCAAGAGGTGTGGTGGCCGGCTGGGAGGAGACAGCCACCAGTAAACAACTCCAGTCCAGTGTGCCAGGTAGCAGGACTGGGGCCGGGCCAGGGTGCATTCTTCAAATGCCTCTACCAGATAGAACAGGCATGCTAAAGGCAGATGAGGGGGACCCAGAAGGACCAACGGAGGAGATACACTATATCAAAAGCCAGGACTGGCTTAGAGGGCCCAGCATAAAATGAAAAACACGGAGCCCCTTGCTTAAAAATTAAGAATTCCAAGACAGTGACAGCAGCGCATTAAACCAAGTGCGTGCTGCACGGGTCACATGCCTGTGAAGCTGGCCCTGATTAAAGTGGACAGTTTGGGCCTGAAACAGAGCCCTTTGAAGGACAGGACCAGAGAGAAGGAAGCTTAGAGTAAGAACTGCTCCTTCTTTTTCTAGTACTTCCTGAGGCAACAAGGAAAGGTGGACAGAAGGCAGGCTCTCGAGTCCGAGAGAACTGGCTCAAGTTCAATTTTTCTTCTTTTTAGCCCAGCTTACCTTTCTGAGCTTCCGTTTCCTTTAGTGACTATAATGTCCATCACCTAGGGTTGGATTAAATAAGAATGTACTTGGAGCATCCCCAGCTTGGAAAAAGCCACTTGCCTTCCCCTTTTTCCATGGCTATCTTTACTGTTGCGTACAGTCAAGGCACAAGAATGGAAACGAAGGGCAGGTTAGCAGATTTGAGTCAACTAAGCTGTCTGTACGGCTTCCTTATAGTAAATACGAGGCCTCTTAACCTGTTGGGGAACCAGGAATGGTGTGCTTAAAACCGACCCCTTTGGATTTTTACATCCACACCTTGTTTTGTTTTTCACACTAACCCTGACCACCCTTGATTTTCTTTTCCTTCACGGAGCAAGAATTCAATACATATTTGTAGCTTTGGTTTCAACCTTGTCAGTCCCTGACTAATTTGGTTTTCAGGTTCCAGTCTTTGCACACAAGAGAAGACTCATATCAAATTGACCCTGTGTTTTTTGGTGCTCGTGGGTTTTAAATAGGTCAGCTTTTAAATGGGCCATCCCCTGTTGCAGATCCCATTTCAGCTAGAAGGCCAAACTGTCTGAGACACCAAGGTTTTAGACTGGGGTGATAGATGCTTGTGATTTTGTTGTTTTAACCATAAAATCGATGGTTTTGCTGAACAGCCAGTGTGGCAAAACCTGCAGAAATCAGTCAGGTTCCATGTTGGGGAAAAGTGAAAGCTCTGACAGAAAAGTTAGACATTTTGAAAGCTAGAAGGGCCTTAGGGATCTCCTAGGCCAGTGGCTTTCTACATTTTACACCGTGGCTCAGTACACACGTTTTTGTGTGTGTATAGGCATACACAACTGAAAACAAAACTTAACACTTGCAATTACTTTCTTATGTTACTTAGAACAAAATATGTGTAACGTGACCTACAGTCTGCAAAACTCTGGTGTAGGTCAGTTCTCTTTTTTCAGAGGAAGAAGCAAGGTCCAAAGTTGGGGCCAGAGTCACTGTGAGCTGGGCGATTCGTTTCCCTGCAGCACACACCACCACCAGGCATCAGAACTCACATCCCCAGTGGAAGACCATGGAATTAACAGATCACTCGTGTAGCTTTCAAGTTTCTGCTAACAGGAGGCTATTCTGCAGCCTCAACAGTAGTAGACCCAGATCTCCACACCTCTAGAAGATCTTTTAAAACCTTAACTAGGGGCAGAGTCCCCTATTACTTTAAAACAAACAAAAAATCTCCCCAAGAAAAAAGCATCCACGTCTCTGATTTTTTTTGTTGTTTGTTTCCTACAATAGAGCTCTGAAGGCAGGCGGGGAGCACATGGCCCGGGGAAGTCGGTGACGCCATCCTTATTATTTTAGGGAGCCAAGGAACACAAGCTGAGGCGCGCTGCAGCGGTAATTAAGCTGTCTGCCAGGGCCCCGGCTCATAGGCTAAGCCGCCGGCGCGGGGAGGGCCCGCATTAACATAAACCCTGTGACTTGCTCCTGCACCGCCTGGAACCGGCTTCCTCTGTCTCCTCCCGCGGGTGTGAGAGGGACTTGGGTTTCTGCTTCACCAAAGCAGAGGAGCTGGTTCCACCGCAGATGTTCCTCCAGCCAGAAACACAGACTCAGGGCAGTACTCCGCAGGCTGGGGTGGCTGCAGGACCTGAGTTTTGGGCTTGCCAAATGGGCCTGTTTAGCTGGTGAATCCTAGCTGGGCCCCTCCCTGATATTGTTCCTTTGCTTCCTCCCCCTTAAACCTCCTTCCTACCTTCCAGCTGGTATAGACTCCACATCAAGGACCTGTCAGTTCTACCTCCCGCAGGAAGCCTTCCCTGACTGCCCAGCCTCTAGCCCAGGCCTGTCTGGTTTAAGAGCGTGTATAGCTCTTAAAAGTGTTCACAGAGGAGCAGGAACTGTTTTGGGGTCTGAAGAAGGGAAGGAGGGGTTTTGGGTCTAGCTTTGCTGGGGGATGGGAGCTGCAGTGTGGAAAAGGGGAGATGAAGGTTTTAGAACTGGCAGGGTACACGACCCAGTGAAAATCTTACAGACTCAACTCTTTTTATTTTGAGACAGTTTCGTTCTTGTCACCTAAGCTGGCGTGCAGTGGCGTGATCTCGGCTCACTGCAACCTCTGCCACCCAGATTCAAGCGATTCTCTTGCCTCAGCTTCTCAAGTAGCTGGAATTACAGGCGCCCACCACCACGTCTGGCTGATTTTGTATTTTCAGGAGAGACAGGGTTTCACCATGTTGGTCAGGCTGGTCTTCAACTCCTGACCTCATGTGATCCACCTGCCTCCGCCTCCCAAAGTGCTGGGATTACAGGCGCCCACCATCACACCTGGCTAATTTTGTATGTTCAGTAGAGACGGGGTTTCACCATGTTGGCCAGGCTGGTCTTGAACTCCTGACCTCATGTGATCCACCTGTCTCCACCTCCCAAAGTGTTGGGATTACAGGCATGAGCCACCACACCCAGCCGCAGACTCGACTCTTTCTACATGGTTGTTCCCCTCCTACCTTCAGTGGATGCTGGAAGACTGAAGAGGTAGGTGCTGGAGGACTGAAGAGGTAGGCACTGGAAGCAGAGTCCCAGCAGGTGGTGTGTGAACAGTAACCAGGGAAGAGAAGGAAAAGGGGCCAAGATGCACCAAGGTGTAGTGCACAGAATGCTTGTCAGGCACTCTGATGACCTGGGCTTTGGTCCGCCTTGCCGCTAACTTGCTGTGTGACCTTCGGGAAGTCACTACCACTCTCTGGGCTTCTCCTAGTCCTCTAGTCCATACACTGGACAATAGAGCCTGAGTGCAGAAATAAGGTCCCTCTAGTTTCAAAATTCTCTCGGTACATACACTTTGAGCCTGAGTGCCCACCCCACATTCAAACTCAGTCACTGTTCCGGAAAGAACGTGGCCAATTTCATGGGTCAAGGGGCCCAGGATTCATCACTGAGGGATGCCAGGAAGGAAATCTGGGACATGGGGCAGTTACCCTGGGTAATAAGTGAAATGGGAAACTCAATCATCTAATCTCTTAAAACATATCAGCACCCCCAAAATAAGTACAACTATATCAATTTGTAAAATTAATTACAACAAGTTTTTAAAAACCACACATCAGGATATAAAAACACCCCCCAGAGGCCCCGGGTGCTGGGTTCTGAATGTGGGAGTCCAGCATTGTCCCATCTGATGTCTATCCTCTCACAGGTCATTGAGTGGCCTCCAAGATGCCTGGGGTGGGAGGAGAGGAGAGACCAGGATCACCCATCACTACTCAGATCCATGAGCTGACAATTCAGTGATTCAAAACACAAACCACAGCCGTTCTTGGTGATCTTATTACAGAACCACAGCACTGCACCCATGCAACAGAAAAGCCACAGAGAATGAAGACCAAGGCCTAGAGAGCAAAGAGGGTAAATCCTGCTCAATCTTCCTAAAACGCTGCTTTGATCACATCACATCATGTCTCATTACTCCCCTGTCCAAAAGCTTTTAATGGCCACAGGGATCAAGTGCAAATCCAGAGTACGATTCCCAGACCCCCACCCATCAGTGCTCCCTGGCAAAACCCCTGTGCTTCCTCCCATCTCAGCCCTCTGCTAGCCTCCCTGATGTGCAGCAAAAATAATGACATCACTTGGCATTGCATGTTACGGTTTACAAAGTGCTTCTCCCCTCATAGACAATGGAAATTTTACCCCTTCTGTCCCTCCCAGGCAACCTGCCCCTGTCCACCAGGGCCCTGAATGCTGCTGAAGGCCAGTCATTCTTCCTCCTATCTCTCCCCCAACACAGCCTTGCTAAGGTCTGAGGTCTCAGTGTCACCCTAGTGCCCTCCCCAGAGGGGCTGGCTTTCAGTAAATGCTTGCTGAATGGCCAAACAGGCTAGGGGAGGGGTGGGGTGTGGGTGGGGAATGGCTCTGGAGAATAATCTAGATTACAGAAGGCTAACCCTTTATTCACTTTCTGAGGCAAAGCTCCCCACTAAAACCACTCTTAGAAAAATCAACTGTCCCAGCTGACAGATACGGTTAATTCTGGCTGCTGAAATCAGATTGGGAGATTGAAGCCCAGCTTGGCTGGGACCGCTTGTGGACTGCGGGAGCTGTCTGCTTAGGAAATCCCACTGGAGTCTTCAGGGAGCAGCCCAGGGTTTCTGCCTTGGAGTCCGGGATGGACCCCGAGTGGAGGAACTGTCAGCAAAATAGAAGTTAATTCATTTCTCCAGTGTTACTATTCAGAGACCCAGGAGCTGGCAATTCAAAGTTTCTGCCTATTCCAGCCCCCAGCATAACCCATCTAAGAAAACATGCCAATCAGACTCAGAGGCCAGGACGCATCCCACAGCCGTGGTGTAAGCGTCTGCCCCATTTTCAGATAGCTTTTAAAAAATGCTTCAAAGAACTAAAGGACCCCATCAATGCCACTTTTGGGGAACTACTGTATCTAATCCAACTTCCCTAGCAATTGATGAAGCTGGGTGGAAACTAACTCTGTGACTCACCCAAGGCTACACAGTTACCCCACTGTAGAATCGAACCTTAGGCCATTCTCTCAAGACTCCAAACTTAGGGCCCACACCCTCAAAGTCACAGGACTCTCCATCCTCCTTGAAGCAAGAGGAAAGAAAGGTGGAAAATAAAATTAGCTGTTAGGAAGAGCCCAGACCTGAGCTCAGCCCCTGCTCTCCCCACCACCACCTTCCACACATCCATGCAGAGCTGCAAGTGGAGAAGAGGCAGGGAAAGCTAAATGGCCTCACAGAAGAAACCTCGACCTTGGCCTCCTTCCCTGCCACCTCTATGCAAAATGACAGCAGCATCAGCAATGACAGAAGCAGAGCAAACGCCGCCTCGGCACTGAAGCCCTGTTGTCCAACCACCAATGGGAAATCGCTGATTTGGGCAGAAATGGGAACCAATCATGCAGAAGAACCTAAGGCTGGGGCTGAAAGTTTTTTCTATCCAAGGCCACAAAACAAATTAGCCAGGGGCTACACATAAGAAGCAATTTAACATTAGTTATTTCTCCCTTAGACAAGTGTGAAATGTGCAGCTTCCTTAAATCTGTGAATTACACATGTATGGCAAAAATTATTAGTGAAGGAAGTGCAAGAAATGCTAGCAGTATATGTTAACTCCATATTTCTAATTGGAAGGAGGATTAATAAAAGAAATGGAATGAGGGAAAGCAAGGAAACTATGGGGAACTGAGGGGCTGCTGGAAGGAAGGGGAGAGGGAGAGACAGACACAGACAGAGAAAGACACGATGAGGGAAGAAAGGAGTTGGAGGCTTGGCAGGTATTGCTGAACTTCCAGAGTTCCATCCTCTTCATCTGGGTTTGGTGGTAGAACCTTACCTACACTTGTTGTTTTTTAAAAAGAGTGCAGGTTGAGTTCATTGTTGTTCACAAGTCTATGGCTGCTTTAATCTCAAAATGCTAAAAAACAAAAACAAACCCCAAACCAAAAAACTATGAAGAGAGTCAGGGAGGGTCCACATGACTCGAGACAATGTAAAAAGGAACTTAATGATTTTAGTCTTCATCAGAGGCTCATGAAGGAGGCTTCTACCATGGCAGCCAACACAGATGAGCCATCGAAGGCTGTGCTGATAGGAACACGTGGGATGGACCAGGGCTCCTTGGTCAGGGTCCCAAAACACTCTGCACTGACAGGACTAGACCTGAAATTCCAAAATTTAAAGAACAAATTTGAGGAAGGCAACCAGGGTAGGAAGGCATCTGAAAACTGGGATACTAGAAGAACAATTGAAGGAACTAGTGATGTTTAGGCTTGAGGGTAGGGGAGACCATGATCACTATCTCTCTCCACTTATTTGAAGGAATGTCATGTACGTTTATTGTGTTTTCCAGTGGTTCAAGAACTAAGATCAGAGTGCAGGAATCATAAAGAGACAGCTTTCTCCCCAGTGTACTTTGTAAGAAGGTCTCTAGATCATTATGGCTGTCTCACAAAATAATGGGCTGCTCTGAAAACTTGGGAGCTTCCTGTCCCTGTATGAATCACAAGGCTGTTAAGTGACCGTGGGCAAAGAGCTTCATACATAAAGAGTGCTGGATGCTTATTAGATGAATTAATAATATTGTATGATAAAGCCCTGCAAAGAGAGCTCTGAGTCTTTTCCCCTCTTAAAATGCTATGATTTGATTCTTTCTTCTTAAGCATTACTTGCTTTAGGATGCAGGCCCGATACAATCATTCAACAGTCCGTACAGAGTATTTACTACATGCCATGCCAGGTACTATGCTAGGTGTTAAAGATACCGTGGTAAACAAAACTAGGTGCCTGTCTCACAGATCTACATTCTAGCAGGGGAGCCAAAGAATAAACCAATAAATGTATACACATGTATATAATGTGTATGAATGCTGCAAAGAAAAAAAAAAAAGGACAGAAAGGCACCGGGCGCGGTGGCTCACGCCTGTAATCCCAGCACTTTGGGAGGCCGAGGCTGGCGGATCATGAGGTCAGGAGATCAAGACCATTCTGGCTAACACGGTGAAACCCCGACTCTACTAAAAATACAAAAAATTAGCCAGGTGTGGTGGCGGGCACCTGTAGTCCCAGCTACTCCGGAGGCTGAGGCAGGAGAATGGCGTGAACCAGGGAGGCGGAGCTTGCAGTGAGCCGAGATCCCGCCACTGCGCTCCAGCCTGGGCGACACAGCGAGACTCCGTCTCAAAAAAAAAAAAAAGAAAGAAAAGAAAAGGACAGAAAAGCAATAGTGACAAGGGACACTACTTTAGAGAGGGTAACCAGGAAGGCCTATCCAAAGTGAGCTTTCAGCAGAGACGTAAGGCCAAGTCAACAACTAGGAGGGCCTTCCAGACAGAAAGAAGGAAAAGCCAGGGCAAAGATCCTGAGTGGGTGGCATGCTTGGCCTTATTGGGGAACAGCTAGGAAGCCAGGTGGGTACGAGAGAATTTGTGGAAGGGAAGAAAGGAGGTGGCAGCATGAGATTGGGGTGGAGAGAAGGCTGCTGTAGGTTACACACCTTTACCCACAGGGGACATTCCACATGCAACTGGTGGTAGGATAGTGGGTTTCACAGGCAATGCAAGAAGAATTGCTTAGACCACAGGAAAGTAGTTAAGACCTGAGATCTGGCCATAAGCCTAAGAGTTACCTTGCTCTGCCTTAAAGGAAGAAGAAGAAGAAAAAAAAAAAAAAAAGCAAAGGAAAAAAGTGAAGGAGAAGAAGCTTTAATCAGGATTGTGCTTGCCCCATGTTTCCAGGTAGAAATGGGCCTAATCTACACCCCGGACATCTCCTATGGGAGAATGTTTTGATTATGGGGGTTTGGACACATGAGAAGTAGTCGGAAGATCTGGTTTGGTTTCAGGCTTTACTGCTTACAAACTGTGTGGCTTTGGACAAGACTTCACTGAGATTCAGTTTCTTCACCTGTAAAATGGGACGAGTCCCTACCAATCCCACCTGTCTCCATGGGACCCAATGAGATCATGGGTAAGCCAGGCTGTCCTAGAGGTTACTATGATAAATTTTATAAGCATGTTTCTTACCCAAGACTTTGCACCCCAGAAAGCAGAGGTGAGGTATTATGCAACTGATTCCCCCACACTGCCTTGCACTTAGCTTTCAATAAATGTTTGCAGAACTGAAAAGCATTAAAAATAACCCGGAAAATGTTCTGCCATTTTTTTCCTTCCTATTAAACTGTAGCACTTTGCCAGAATGCTCCAGAACAGTCTCTCTTCACTGTAATCCTTCACTTTGGAGGAAGAACCAACTGAGTCACACCAGAGGTGTGTGCTCAGAGGATAAACTCTGAGGAATGGGGACAGGAACAAGGCCTGACTCCTCTGGGGAAGGCTCCTTGCTCTCTGTGCCCCCAACCTTTCTCAAACATCCTGAGAGGGCCAGGCCAGGCTACCAACGGAAGGGACTGCAGATTACCCTAGCACAAGGTCAGGATCTCCTGGAAAAGTCCATGAAAGCCTGAGAAATACAATATTCACAACATTCCACTTCAGACTAAGGAGTCTCAATCTGGTCCAACTGCCTCACCATACGGATAGGGAGGCTAACACACAGGTCAGTGGACTCGCTGGTTCAAGGTCACCTCTTTTTTTTTCTCCTTTTCAATTTTTTGACTAACACATTCATTCTCATGGTTTTAAAACCAAAATATATAAGATATACAGTTAACTCTCCCTCCTATCTTATCCTCTGTCTGCCCAGTCAACTATACCACCTGCTAAGCATCTCTCTAGAATGTTCACACACATACAAGCAAATTCAGAATCTTATTTCTTCTCTCTTTTATTAAAAACCTAGCATATTATACTAATCATTGCCTTGCCTTTTTTTCATGGAGTTTGTGTAAGAGTACATAAAAACCCTCTTCGTTTCTTCTTTGCAACTACATAGTGTGTCATCATTTTTCTTAACCAGTCTCTTATTGATGAGTATCTGGGTTGCTTCCAATCTTTTGTGTAATAAATAATTTTGCAATATCAATAAGCTTGGGCATGTCAGTTTGCATTCACCTAGCTTACGGATAAGAGCTGGAATCAGATCCCATTTCTGACCTACAGGGTGGCAGTCATACAGCCTCAGAGTCCTATTATCTTATTTATTTATTTGAGACGGAATTTTGTTCTTCTCGCCCAGGCTGGCGGGCAGTGACGCCATCTCGGCTCAGCGCAACTTCCACCTCCCAGGTTCAAGTGATTCTCCTGCCTCAGCCTCCCAAGTAGCTGGGATTACAGGTATGTGCCATCATGCCCGGCTAATTTTTTATATTTTTGGTAGAGACGGGGTTTCACCATGTTGGTCAGGCTGGTCTCGAACTCCTGACCTCAGGTGATCCACCCACCTTGGCCTCCCAAAGTGCTGGGATTACAGACGTGAGCCATTGTGCCCAGCCCAGAGTCCTACTATCTAATGTCTAAGTTACTTAACCTCCATTCATTCAATACACGCTCCTCAGAACTACTAAATCCCAGGCACTACACCAGGTGCTGAGGGTACAATGATAAAGGTGTCTTTGACTTCTGCTCCCAAAGTGTCCAGCCTGGAAGGGACAAACAGAAGGGAACATTCCGACACACAAGGGCCGCTCAGTGTGCCCCGGAAGCCATCTGACCTTTGTAGGCCAATCTCTGTCAGGAAATGGGTGGCCTTACCTACACCTCAGGGGTGTTTTAAAAGGTAAAAAAGATAATGCTTGCCAAGTACCTAGCAAGCAAGGACCACACAAAGCTCATGGCAGATACTCAATAAGGGGTAAGCCTCCTCTTGTCCCAGAATGGGTCTTAGTGATGGCAGCAGCAAGGTGTTCCAGGCAAAGGCACTGCATTGCCATGCCTGTTCCACAATGAGCAATTCTCTTTTCTTAGAGGAGTCTGGAATACACTGCTACTTATTTTTTAAAGCAGCACCTAAGCCCCTAATTATGTCTTAGCCTACTTTTATTGGAAAGCCATTTGCCTCTCTCCCACATTCCAGACCCTCTTCAATATCTCTGAGGCACCTGGGTATGCTTCTCACCTGCGTGCACAAGCCCTGGTGTTTGATGGAGTGTCAGAGCCACAGAGGAAACCCACACACATTTCTTAAGACCCTGGCACAGAAAGGCACAGGCAGGCACATGGAAAGTCGCTTTTACTAGGATACCCCTGAAAGTATTAAATAATAAATAGAAAAAAAATAGGACAAAAATCATTAAATCTCACACATATTGTTTGGTTTTATGTGCTCTATTTCACAAACTTTTTTTTTTTTTTTTTTTTTTGAGACGGAGTCTTGCTCTGTTGCCAGGCTGGAGTGCAGTGGCACAATCTCGGCTCACTACAACCTCCGCCTCCCAGGTTCAAGGGATTCTCCTGCCTCAGCCTCCTGAGTAGCTGGGATTACAGGCGTGCACCACCAAGCCCAGTTAATTTTTGTATTTTTAGTAGACATGGGGTTTCACTGTGTTGGCCAGGATGGTCTTGATCTCCTGACTTCATGATCCACCCACCTCGGCCTCCCAAAGTCCTGGGATTACAGGCATGAGCCACTGCGCCCGGCCCACAATAAAACATTTTTAAAAATCAGAACTTTTGGCATAATCTATTTCGCTTTCCCAGGAAAAGAAATGTAGCAGATTTTATAACAGAGAAGAGAAAGTAAAGTCAAGTCAAGAGTCTAAGGTATTTCCATATTATCATCAAAGTTGCCGGGAGAAGGTTGGGGGTCAAAGCTAAGATTCCAGGTTGGATGACCTGGTTTTGTATCCAAGCACAGCTCCTCAGTACTACCTGACCTTAGGTTGGTTACTTAACCTTTCTGAGCCTTGGTTCCCTCATTGGCAGAGTGAGCATAATTCCATTCATCCAGCAGCATTTCTGTATAGATTAAAGAATAAATATGGTGCCTGGCACATTGGCATGAACAAACAGTTAAAAACAAACAAAACACATTTTTAAAAAGATATTACTTTTTCTATTTAGTACAAAAATGAAAATCTAGTGTCTTCCCTTGTTTTCTGAGTCTCGCTCTGTGGCCAGGCTGGAGTGTAGTGGCACAATCTCGGTTCACTGCAACCTCTGATTCTCCTGCCTCAGCCTCCTGAGTAGCTGGGATTACAGGCGCCCACCACCACGCCCAATTAATTTTTGTATTTTTGTAGAGATGGGGTTTCACCATGTTGGCCAGGATGGTCTCGATCTCCTGGCCTCGTGATCCACCTGCCTCGACCTCCCAACGTGCTGAGATTGTAGGCGTGAGCCGCTGCACGCGGCTGTGTCTGCCTTTGAGAAGCTTCAAGAAAAACAGTGGGCATGAAATTATCCAGCCCTCATAATACTGGGAAACTATTTTCCTAACAGGCTAATTAATAAAGTCTTACTTCAGCCAGAAGCTCCTTTCAAATTGATGTAGGATTCCTGCTTTTAGATGAAATTATTGGCCAATTATAGCTCAGTCTGGTCCTTGGGAGAGGTGGGGTCTGCTGCTGTATTTGTGACCTCTGATTTAACTGTGGGCTTCTCTCTCCCTAAAATAAACCCTGGGGGCCCTGTGAGTCCTGCCTCACCATCTCTGGTCAGAGGCATCAGTAGGGTCTCTCCAGCCCCCATTCAAAAGCATCTAACCCCCTAAACCAGGTCCAGATGGAATCCAGAAAGTACAAATGGGGGTCCTCCAGGAAACACTGCTATTTCAGAAACACCAATGGAAATTCCACTCTGACAGTGACGGCAGCTGGTGGTACAAAATTGGGCGGTGTCTCCGCCTAGGCAGGAAAAACACCAGCTCCAGGCAGTCAGCCGTTGCCTTACCTGGAGGGCTGATCAACCGTCACAAATGTGTTTAAAATTTCTACCCCCTCCCCACACCCAGCCATGAGAAAATAAATGTATTATTGTTAATAAATGCAATTTGGAAGTCTAAATCTTTCAAAGGGCTGAGTCTTGAAGATAATAAAACACATTCTGGGATGAAAAGGCAGAGGGCTGGAGCCCAAGGCTGGTGTGAGCAGAGCAGTGGCCGGCTATTATACTTGTCCTTCTTGGGTTTAATTTCATCTTTCCCATGAATCATCCCATGAATTCACACCTTAAGCTCACTGGGCCTTAGCTTGTTTATTGGGAAGAGGACTTCTAGAGGTACTTCTAGATCAGATATCCTAAGTTCCAGCTCATGGGGTCAGAAGTCCAGTGTAAGGCACTTGAGTGCTCAAATGCCACCTCCTCAGAGAGGCCTTCCTGGACCACCCATCTCCTTTAACGCAGCCTTATGGGTCTTCATGGCACTCATCACACCAGCAGCCATGCCTTTGCTTGAAGGCTTACTACTGACTGTCTCCCCCAGCGGAACAGAAGCCCCACAAGAGCAGCATAGGTGATGTGTCTGTCTAGTTCCTAGAACAGAACCCAGTACAGAGTCGGCATTCATCAATGTGTGTGGAATGAATGAATGAATGATTAGCCAAGCCAAGGGTCAACCAGAAAGACAGGGATTCCAATCTTACACCTTCATTTGCTATCTGGGCACCTCTGGGTAAGCCACATAACCCCTCCACAGTATTGTGTATTTGCAGAAACCACCCCCATAACTCTGGTTAACATCAGACAGTAGTGGCCAAGTGCTGCTCACCATCAGGGACATTTGTGGCAGTAATAAGCCTCCTGGGGCTAATAAGCCATTGGTCGATACAAGTCTGGTTTCTGGTACAGTGGGTGCCTCTCAGACCAAGATGCACATCTTGCTGGAGTCTATGGCCACTGGTCAATCTCAGAGGCACATTCTCACTCCCATATCCAACCCTGCCACTCCTGATGATGAACACCGGCCGCTGAAACTGAAGGAAGACTCCTGAGTGCCTACACATGCCAACTGCCTGCCCTGAATGAAGTACCCTTCTGGCTTTAAGAGGGCAGTCAGCGTTCCATTTCCGCTCCCACTACTCCCACCCCAAAGAGCAACCCTGGAGGGCTCTCCTCTAGAAGCCTTCCCAGACTCACAGACCACACCTAAATGCAAAGACACACCAGTACTTTTAACCAAGACACAGAAAGGCATGTCTGCAACAGAGCCATAAACTAGACAAGGGCTAAAAAGAACAGAACTGCTCATTATGGCTTCAGGCCAACCTCTGCAGATAGGCTTCATCAGGCCTACCAGAGACAGCTGAAAGCTTCACAAAGTACAGGCCTGCCCAGTCTTCAGAGACCACAACCAGGGTACACCCAAATCTTCATGGGGAAAGGAAGACGTGCAGAAGTGGAAGGAACGCCTGGGTGGCTGTGAAGGCCAGTTTCTGACCCTCCATATGGAACAGCCCCCTGTGCCAGAACAGACAGGCTACTCCCACTGGCAGCCAGGCAAGAGGCTGGAGAACCACATCTGCCATCGTCACAGAGCTCTTCTATGTCCCCAGCTGCAGGAGAGTCACACTGGGCTCTGTACACCGTCAATGCTGCCCTCTGGCAGGGGGTATGGACATATAAAGGAGCACTGACCAGACAGAGAGAAAGCCACAGATGCACACCTAAGTGAGTGCTATTGGACTTGGCTGAGAGGCGAACGCTGCTGCGTGCCCTGGAAGTCCCCAGGACTTTTACCTTTATGTCACCTAGGTGGACACAGTTTGCTCCCTTTCTTCCAGTGAGTTGAGGAGGGCTTCCCAGAAAAGGGGACCTCTCAGGAGCTGTATGAATGAAAGATAAAGGACTGGGAGAGGCTGGCCCAGACTTCTGCAGCCAGAGGGGAGTTTAAAGGCAAGAAGGCTAGGGTCACGGAGCAACTGCTATGGGAAAGGTGAGCCAGCGCGACAGCCCCCACCCCAGAAGAGGCCCGGGGCAAGGGGATGCCTGCAGCTTGGCTGGTATTCCTCCCGCCCCACCTCCACAGAAAACGGGGGGGGGGGAGTCTCTCCTTTGCCCAGAGCCTCCCTGCCCCTCCCCTCCGCTTCACAGCTCCAGGCGAGGCCTCCTCCTGGGGCAGGCCGAGACAGCTCTTCTCAGACTTGCTCCCACCCCAGCAAGCACCTTCTGGAGAGGGGCTGACTCCACCCCACCCCCACCGCTGACCAAACAGCTCATTCAAGCCCTGACGGGTAGAATCTAACCTTCAGGGTCCGTCTACAACCCATACCTGGCATAAACGATATTTCTTTCCGTGCTAACAACAAGCTCTGGGAAGCAGGTTATTCACCGTTTCACAGATGTGGCAACTGAGGCTCAGTGAGGTGACCTGCCAACATCCTCAGGCTCAGCAGTTCTCAAGCACTACTGCCCACTGTACCTGACTGCCTGGGTCTGCGCCTGGGCCCCCGCCCTTTTACAAAAGGTCCACGGCCTCTCAAGAGCTGGACATGAAGGATGGGCCAAGTCCAGTCTTGATCGGTAATGCCCACTTGACACTCCCAGGAGCAGCATCCTGAGATACACGTAAATGAAAAATTCCAAGTGTGATGAGCAGAACGTGGTTGTGTGAACAATCCCATGGTGGTGGGGATGTGGGGGGCAGGTCAAGGAGCGGATCCCTGAACCCCAGCAGATTAAATCCTGCATCCTTCTTTCCTATTTCCTGGTTTCTCTGCTCCATTTTCCTCTAGTTTCCACTTAGTTACTTCTTCCTACCTGCTGTGAAGCTCTGCACCCTGCTCCATGGGGTGGTTCCCAACTGTGCTTTAGAGTCCCCTTTAGAGCTTTCTAAAAATACACGGACTGGGGCACCACCCTCAGAGACTGATTCAGTTCAGGCAGAGCCTGGGTATTGCTTCAGATGCTCCCCTGGCAGTTCTGATCCACAGCTGGGGTTGAAATCGGCTTTACTAACCACACACCTTCTTCCCTGCAGTGTATGTGCTATGCTCCATCACTCCAGCTCCACCACAGGAGCCAGGCACCACCATCCACTATAACCACTCTCTTCTCTCCTACCCAGCCCAGGATGCAAGGACTGGATTCAAGAAATTAAATTTGCTACAAAAATACTTACATAGCATTTATACAACTCCTTGTCTCATTCCCGATGCTGGGCACACAGGCCATATCAGTGGACTCCCCTCACCCGTCCATTCAGTTACACCACTTAGGCCTGCCCATGAAGCCAATGGCTAAGGTGACAGTTGGTTACATAAATTGAAGATGAGTCCCTCCTCCAGATGCATGGTCCCTGAAGAAATCTGAAAGTAATTCCTCTAAATTGAGAATGACAGGCCCTTGCCTCCACCCTATCACCCCCTGCACACGCACATGCATACACACGTAGTTCTCACGAATTCTACAGGAGGCAGCAGAATCCAGAAACCCAGCACTGGGCACTGCTGGCTGCAGAGTTCCAGCACAACTTTGCTGAAATCTCTCAGCAAACACACTCTGCGGGCCTCTCTCTTTCAAGCTTCACTGTGCACCTCTGTCTCTGCCCTTCCAGCCCACACATCCTGCCTCTTACTTGTTCCCCACTCCAAGATAACTAGGAGAAAGCCACCTTCCCACCCACCCTGAGTCTATGGCTGATGGAATCCTTATCGTAGCTACTTCCTGGCCTCTCAGGACATGGGCAGAGAGAACCCGGGGGTTTACCTCTGTGGGACCCCAGGGGTGACTGGAGGGGACTTTGGTGGATCTGTCCACACAGCCTAAACAAAGAGCACCAAGCTGACACACGGCAGTGGAGCCTTGATTCACCAAGGATCTCGGGCAAGCTAGCTTATTGTATTAAAGGGAGACTGTGAATGTCCCCTACCCCTACTCATCACACACTAGAGCTGGAGAGATCTTAACAAGCAGTGTCTAGGAAGGTATGAGCGTTTCTTTTACAGAGTGAACTTTAGTAACTGAATTTAAAATAAAACGAGCAATTAATTAGAACAGTAGTCTCTTATGTGGACTGCCCAAGCCAATCCACTGGGATGCAAGAATTTCAGGACTTTTTAGATGTTTAAATGTATCCTTTTTAATTTATATTTTTGGCGTTACATTTTATAATGTCCATATTTATAGGTAGTGTATGTGAATAATCCATAACTGCAAGGTAGACATACTGGGGCTCAGGTTCAAATTGTTTACTGATAAGGGATGTGATAATGAGAAAAACATGATGACCAGCGACCTAAGAAGTGTGCATCACCCACCCAGAGCAACTCCATCAGAAAGTCACACCAGCGGGCGTGGGGGTGCGGGTGTGAAGGTGTGCGCTTCGTTTCAGTGGCTTCGTGCTTGATGTACCAACCGGTAGGTGATGAAAGTGACAAGAAGGTATAAGTACCACAGATCCTTCACTCCATCAGTACTTCTAGAATGCTTACCATGTGCCAGGCACAGTGTGGAGCTCTGAAGACCACAATGATGAGCAAAAGCAAGTCCCTCAAATCGTGCAGTGCACCCATTAGGCAAGGGGACAGAGATGCTAATTAAACACTCATAATCTGGAATATGTAGTTACAAACTGAAGCACTCTGAGGGAAAAGTTCTGTAAGAGTTTTCTGGCAAAAGAACTAGATCTAAACCTGACGGAGGAGGCTGGAGATGGTAAAGATGACTAGATGCTAACTGGATACAGTGGCAATCTCAGTGTGGCACAGGTTTGCAGGAATGAGAGGCAGCCAGGGAGGCCCAGAGAGAGTGGGGCAAGGGAACAGATGACGGGAAGTGGCCAGACCATGCAGCACCTTGTTGGTCTTATTAAAGATTTGGGACTTTATCCTAGGAACAATGGTGAATTTTAAGTATGGGGTGACATTACATGTGTGTTTTGATAAGATCATTCTAGTTGAAGGTCACAGCATGGCTTCAAGAAGACTAGACTATGATACAGGGAGATCAGTGGCAAGCAACAGAGCATGTTTTAAACAGACAAGACTTGTGATGATGATGGATGGAAAGAGGATCATGAGTGTGTGTGTGTGGGCAGTGGTGGGCAAGGGACAGAGGACATGGGTTCCCTTTGGACTTAAGAGTAGGGCACTTTTGGAGCACCCAGGTGGAGACATCAGGTGGGTCTCAAGCTTACTCAAGCAGTAAACTTCAAACCTCAGAGAGCAGCACGCAGTACCTGCAGCTGTCAGTGAGGAAGGACAAATTTCCAACTGGAGAGAATACAGGATAAGAATGCCCAGCGCCCAAGTTTGACTAAGTCAATACTTCATGGCTAAACAGGAGAGCAACAGGACACCAGAAACTGAGCAGTGACTAGAGCCGTAGAAGATATACCAGAGAAAGGGAGAGCATCTATCATAAAGTCAAGAATGCTGAATCCCAGCCGGGCGCAGTGGCTCACGCCTGTAATCCCAGCACTTTGGGAGGCCGAGGCAGGCAGATCACTTGAGGTCAGGAGTTCGAGATCAGCCTAGCCAACATGGTGAAACCCCTTCTCTACTAAAAATAAAAAAGTTATCCGGGCGTGGTGGTGGACACCTGTAATCCCAGCTACTCGGGAGGCTGAGGCACGAGAATCGCTTGAACCCAGGAGGTCGAGGTTGCAGTGAGCTGAGATCAAGCCACTGCGCACTCCAACATGGGCCACAGAGTGAGACTCTGTCTGGGAAAAAAAAAAAAAAAAAAGAATGCTGAATCCCGCCACTGAGACATCATGCAAGATAAGAAATGAAGGCTGTTGGGATTCTTGGCACTATTTAGGAAGCAAACCAGACTTCACGTGGTGGAGTAAGAGAGGTGACAGGATGGAGAAGATAGACAATTCAGAAAGTTTAGGGAGTAGGGAGAAGAGTGGGATGGGCAGTAACTACAGCGCAACACGGGATCAATTAGAGTCTTTGCTTTAAGATGGGAGAAGCATCCCCAGCTGGAGAAGAATCCAAAGGACAGGAGTGGCTAGGTGCCCAGGAGGAACAAGGGAACTGAGGGAGGGATGGACAAGACAAGAAGACCACTGAACTGGGAGGGATTAAGGCAGGTTCAGCCTCACAACTACTTAAGAAACCAGGAGGTTTCCATTTTCTGTGAAGAGGACGTCCTGGCCGGGAGGGAAGGGGTGGAGGCCTGAAATAGCTGCTGAGGGCAGTAAGAAAAAGAGTTGCCCAGAAGAGGGACGAGTCACTTACCCTCAGTAGAAACTACCTAGAGTCCAATGTCAGGACTGTAGTGAATTCCTAGTGGGAAAAAGTAACTCCTGGTAACTTTGAATCTCTAGCTTCTAAACCTCCTTTCCCATTGAAAGAAAATGGTTACTTTTGTATGTAATGTGTCTGCGGATAATGTAAGTTGGGTTTTTTTGAGACCGAGTTTCGCTCGTTGCCCAGGCTGGAATGCAGTGGCACGATATCGGCTCACACTGCAACCTCCGTCTCCCAGGTTCAAGCGATTCTCCTGCCTCAGCCTCCAGAGTAGCTGGAATTACAGGCACCTGCCACGACACCCGGCTGATTTTTTTTTTTGTATTTTTAGTAGAGACAAGGCCAGCCTGTTCTTGAACTCCTGGCCTCAGGTGCTCTGCCTGTCTTGGCCTCCCAAAGTGCTGGAAGTACAGGCGTGAGCCACTGCGCCTGGCCCTAAGTTGTTTTTTTTTTTTTTAAGTGAATGCCAGGTATGGTATTCTAGCTATGGTGTTCTAACGGCAACAACAGCTAACATTTCTTGAGAGCTTACTGTGTGCCAGACAGTGCGGCAGGCACTATTACAACCTCATTTTGCGGAGACAAAAAGGGAAGGTGCCCTGAGAGGGGCGTGCCCAAGTGCCACAGTTGGAAGTGGCGGAAGCAGGACATACCCCCACGCAGTCTATGTGGGGGAAACCAGGTGCACTGTCCTCTCTCCACAATCTTCCCTGACCCAGCATGCAAAGTGTGCAATGCACTGAAGGATGGGGCCCTGGGTGACAAGAGTGTGGAGAAGGGGCTGGGGGAACATGGCTGATGGGGGGCCACTGGCACCAGGAACGTTGGAAGGCACCCGTCTGGGGTAGGAGCCTAGGATTGAGTCCTTATGCTGAGAAGGTTGGAGGGGAGAGAAGCAAGACATAAGGAGAGCAGCTGGAGAAGATGGGATGGGCTGGTTTAAAACAGAAGTCATGATTGACCCTCAGTGGAGAGGCCTCACAAAGGTACCAAGGGCATCCTCTCATTCCCCCAAACAAAACTACAAGTATTGAGTATAAAGAAACCTTAATATTCATCTTTTAATGGCTTTCAAACATTAACAAATAATGAAACTAATTTGTAGGTCCAAGCCAGTCAGTTTTCTTTTTAATGAATAAAAGTGTTTTACATGTAGTGAGGGAGGAGCATGGTGTCGGTTTTTCACAAAACACAGGAATGCGTGTACATACCAGGGAGTGGAGTAAAATGTATTTCTCACTACTAGGAGCAGAAAGTTCGAAAGCCACTGATCTAATTCAACACTCCCATTTTAGAATTTCAGAATGGAGAAAACAGAGGCTCAAAGAAGCCAAACAACTTGTCCAACTTACTTAATAGCAAAGCCGAGAAGAGCATCCAAGTCTTTAATAGTTCTCTGGTAATTTCCTCACCAAACCAGAATCTCCAAATGTAAATACCTCTGGGAAAAACAGTGCTGACTTTAATCCACATTAGAGTAAATAACAGTGGAGTAGTAAGTAAGCTGATCTTTTAGATCTGCTGCCTGGAGCAAGTTTTGGTAAAGGAAACAGTAGCTGAATGAATTCAGGGGGCAGCTGTGGAGCTAAAACAAAATAAATCTGAGGGAAAGCACTGGGTTGCAGGGTGTGGCCCAGCAGGCCCAGGACAGGGCTTGGTGTGGTAGAATAAAGGGACTTTTATCTTCCTTAGAGTCTGTATATCATCAGGACAACTAGTTCTAGACAAGGAGGCTGCTTCCATGTCTGAGAAGGTGGCTCAGGGCCATGGTGCTTTGCTCATCTAGTTTCAACAAATTTTATTAAATGAGAAGTTCTGAATAACAGATGCCTTCACAAATCTCTGTCCCTGCCAGACTCCATCTCTTTAATGAAAACATCATTGTTGGGTATTTATCATTTGTTGTATAATTCTATTTCAAAGCTATAGAAGATTCAGAGTCAGGTCCATGTTTCTCTACTTGAAGGCAGTGGTGCTGGGGGACTGGGAGAGGGTAGTTCCTAGGAGACCAGAGAACTAGCTAGAGTAAGGGATGGACTGCCAAAACAAAGAGGAGGGATGCTGGTGGCAAACATTTCTAAAGGAATGCCTCTCTAGACACCAGAGCTATGAGCCTCCTCTTAAACTAAGTTAGAATTCAGGCCAGACAATTGGGCCACGTTCATTGGGCCAGGGCCCAATCACCAACAAGCTCCCGGCTCCTTTCCTAAGTGACTGCACCAAAATAGCAAAGGCATGAGATGTCTAAAGAGTATCCTACACAATTTCCAGGAAGTTTTTTTTTTTTTTTTTTTGAGACGGAGTCTCGCTTTGTCCCCCAGGCCGGAGTGCAGTGGCACGATCTCTGCTCACTGCAAGTTCTGCCTCCCGGGTTCACGGCATTCTCCTGCCTCAGCCTCCCGAATAGCTGGGACCACAGGCACCCGCCACCATGCCCGGCTAATTTTTTGTATTTTTACTAGAGACGGGGTTTCACCGTGTTAGCCAGGATGGTCTTGATCTCCTGACCTCGTGATCCACCCGCCTCGGCCTCCCAAAGTGCTGGGATTACAGGCGTGAGCCACTGCACCCAGCCTCCAGGAAGTTTTTTATTTCAATGTGATGTAATTAATTTGGACCCAAGCTCTGGGATGGACAGCTCTGAAAGCTCAAGCAGATGTCTTTCCAATGGTATTGAAGAAGGGGGCCAGGCACGCTGGCTCACACCTGTAATCCCAGCGCTTTGGGATGCCAAGGTGGGCAGATCACTTGAGTCCAGGAGTTTGAGACCAGCCTGGGCAACACGGCAAAACCCCGTCTCTACAAAAATTATAAAATAAATAAATAAAAAAGGAAACAAGTCTCATACTGCTATGGGGAAAGAAAAAAAAAAAGAAAGATGGCCAACTGTGTAAGTCTAGAGTAAGCCACCTTGAGAGGCTGGTGGTGCAGCAGCAGCAGGAAAGAGGGAATTGGGGCTGTGGTGTGCTGTCATAACACAGGCTGCTGTTATGGGGACTAGGATTTGTCCCCTTGAATTTATCTCCTCCTCCCCTTGACCTGGCCAATTTTATAACCATTCCTTCCGTTCATTAGCTCAGGCACAAGACGCTAGAGGGAAAAACTTCTGAAACTCAAAGCCACTATGCTGCTGGTTCATTCCCCAGGAAACACGCATGGTAGAAAAGCAGCAGGCCAAAAACTAGAGATTCCAGGATTATCTGTCATTTTCAAAGATCTGGGCTCTGAAAGGCTGATGTGAGCCACTGGGTGCACAGCTGCCCCGCCTTTGGTTCAAGCCTCAAAGCTCTAACCGTTGCAACCCAAAGCTCTTTCTATCTCTGAGATGACATCTAGAACCTAAGAGTGACCATTCAACTACAAGATACACAGAAGGCTTTGACATGTTCTGAGTACACAACGAAGAATTTCAGCTGGCTATACAGAACTCTAGACGAGAAGTGCTTCATACTAAACCAGTAACAAGGATAATTTCTCTTCCTATGGAGGTTCCTGGGTTGAGGCTGATTTCCACTAGGCACCAATTACTTACAGGGCACAGAACACATAAAAGGACTTAAAAAGACCCTGAGAGTACCACCCAAATATATGGCTTGCCATTTGCTTAAACAAAGCAAAACACTAGATCCCTGGGGCCCACCCTCCAATCTACTGAACCACCTTTTCAGCAAACCTCTTCTGCAAAGGGGGCAGATAGTAAACTTTATCAAGAGCCAAAATTAAGAACACTACATAGGGACTTTTATAACAAGAGAAAAATCTAACACATTTCCACAATTCTTTTATTGATAAAGTTCAGAATATATTGAGTACAATTTTTTTTTTGTAACGAGATCTGTTAACGAGACAAGTGGATTTCTTATTTTTTGGGAGAATAACATTTCAAGTCATTGGGATTCAAAGAGTGTTCCATACCATCAAATTGACTGCAACGTTTATATGTACAAATAATTCTTAGCTCATGACTGTACAAAAATTGGGAGCTCAGTTATAGTTTGGTGATTGCTGTGGTACTCCTGTGATTGGGGTGGAGCCCAGGAATCTGCATTTTACATGCCTCTCACGTGATTCTGGTAATGGGCCATGGACCCAATGGACTATCCAATCCTCGGAATCTCTGTCCACCAAAGGGGCCTGTGGTTTTGCAGTGCGAGAACCCGGCTGTGCCACCTACCAGTTGCTCAACCTCTCCAAAAATCAGATGATTCATCCTCACAACAGGGGTGGCATTGCACTGCTTGGCCTACCCTTAAAGAGTTGCTGGGATGATTAAGTGAGATGATCCATGAGGTGCTATGAGCATACTATGTCCCAGATACTAAAGACATGCCAGTTATGTTGAGTTTTTTTGGCTGCAGATGCAGACTGCCTGAGCAGCTCCTGCTTGTCTTCTCCTTACTCAAAATGTGTCCCCCAGCACCTTGAAGGCCAGATCCACTTCAACCTAACCCACTGTGATGTGCTAAAGCAAACTCAGTGCAAGGCTTCATAAAATGATAATCCACAGCCCCTGGTCCTGAACCTCCTGGCCCTCTAATATCTCCAACCAGGATGCTATCCACTCTTCATTTCAGCGTCTTCAATAATAGAAAACTCATTCTCTTTCTACGGTGGCACCACTCCAAAGCTGGAGAAGAAAAAGCTCTTCCTTACAGTATCTTAAGAAAAAAAGGGTGTTTCAAAGGAGGCAGTAGAGTGTAGAGGTTGAGTATGCAGACTGGCTGAGTTTGAATCCTGGTTCTGCCACTCACTGGTCACATGATAACCCCTGTATGCCTCAATTTCCATATGCACAATGACGATGATAATAATAATACCTACCTCATAGTGCTGTTGTGGGGACTAAATTAGTTGATACATGTAATCCACTTAAGAAATGTGCCAGACACAGCGTGGTTGCTATGTAAGCACTAGCTAATATTGTTATTATCCTAAACCATGGAGGAGCTCAAAGTAATGCCTGGAAGCACCCTGATATGTCTCCGAGACTAAAACTGTCATATAGACAGCATATACTGAGGGCCATATCAAACCAATTTTGTCATCATTTACTGATTAAATAGGATTATTCCGTTTTACAGGTGAAGAAACAAAGCTTCAAAAAGGTAGGTTAAGCTCACCAGCCCAAGGTCACAAGGGCAGGTAAACGTATCCTACCTCCTTGTGGCAGGAGGAATTCAAACCCAGGTCTGTGTAATTCCTAAGCCCATCTTCATCATGGAGCCCCTCAGACTCGAAACTACTATCAGCAGCAGAACTCAACTGACTATGACCACAGGGGAACTCAGGCTCAATTTTCTGCCTGCGAGTTCCTGGTTGGCTTGCATAAACTGTAGTTAATATCATGCTACTTGAACCCAATTAGGCAGTAAGTCAGCCTGGAAAACATCATGCGATGTATTCCAAAGGTCAAAGTAAAAGCTGGCTTCCAAGGCAGCCTCTGCTGGACACTGCCATGAAAGTTAGTTTCTGCACAGATACCAGAGTTCAGCTCGTGAGGTGCTTAACCAGCACCTATATCGGCTTTTTAAAATTCTCAGAGATGCCAGCATCGGAGGACCCGACGCGACGAATTGCCTGGCTCCTAAGTCAACATCCGGAGAAAGGCGGTTTACTTTTTTCAAAAGCAAACCTTCATCCCTCTCTTTCGCTTTAGGATCTCATTACTATTGTAGCTGCCTTCTCCCAGGCAAAAATAAAAGGGGGAAGGAGCAGGTTTAGACCGAGGAGGAGGGTTCCCCTAGCCTGCAGGGCGCTGCAACATCCACCTGAAACACGGAGCTCGACCTACCTTCCCGGAGAGCCCAGCCCGGGAGGGCGTTTCCCCAACGGATCGACAACTCTTCCCTCCCGGGGAACAGGCTGCTGTCCTTGGCTTCAGTCAGGGCCACTAGAGTCGCGTGCGCGACACCCCTCACCCCCGCCAAAAGAACCTCATGTTTAATGTTCCCCTTACTCTATCACTTCCGCCGAAAGAGCAAACACCAGAGCGATCGGTTAGTCCTTAAGGCCACATTTAACTACGTCTGAGCGCCTGCAGGAGGAACGGCGAAACCCCGGAGAGGAGGCGGGGGAGGCAGGGAGCGCGTGGGGGGGGGCATTTGCACAGAGGATCGTCGTCCTCCCGGCGCCGCGGCCGCCGTGACTCTCCAGCACAGCCTCAGGCCGTTGGCGCGGGGCGGAAACCCCCATCGGGGCTCATAGCACAACTGGGGGTCCCCAAAGCCGGCTCCCCCTGCCTCCTCCGCGCGGGAGGCCGTCGGGGTGATGGCGCAAGACTCCGCTCCCCCCGCCCCCCACAGCGACAACAGCCACGGTGACAAAATGGCAGCCCGGCGCCCGGCAGTCGTGCCACAGGCGCGCAGGGCCCTGGAGGCGGCTCCTGCCCCCCAGTAACGCCTCGGCGCCCTTCGGGCTCAGCCCCGAGTGGGCCTAGCCGTTAAAAAAAATAAATAAATAAAAATAAATAAATAAAACACCTGGAACTCAAAACCAGCCTAGAAAGCCACAAGGCCGGCCCCGCGCGTACTGCACCCCCGCCGCCCGCCTGCCAGCGCCCCGCGCCACATGGAGCCCGGAGCCCGCATTCCGAGCCCTGCGCCCCGCGCCGGGGAGGAGGGGCGGGGCGTGCGGCGCGAGCCCCGGGAAACATGGCTGCTCGTCCTATTTCGGCGTCGCGGCATGGCCACCAGCTCCCGGAGCCCAGTTGGGAGAGGTGCCGAAGGTGGGTGTGTGGGGGGCCCAGGGGCAGCGCGGCGGGGAGGGGCGCAGGGGGCGCGCTCCGGGAGCCATTTGTCTTAAGAACGTTTAAAAAAATACAGTTCCTCCTCCCCCAACCCTTTTGTCCCTCTTTCGCTAGCTTTCTCCCCCTCCCCCGCAAATGTGCAGAAAGTGCCCCCTCCTCCGCCACCCGCGCCCCACCCCGCCTCCAGGCAGGGGGCAGGCGTGTGGGCCGCGAGGCTGGGAGGCGAGGGGGCGAAGCGTGAGAAATCGCTCCCAGTACGGCGCGGTGCGCTCCCCTCCCCAACACACACACACACTCGTGGAAGTTTAAAGAGCCGGTTCGACCCGCTTTCCTGCTTGCTCCCGGGGGGCCGGCAGCGTCGGTCGGGTTCGCCAGGCCAGCCGCGCCCCCGCACCCACCCGCGGCGACCCCGGCCCCGCGCTTGGCGCCCTTCCCCCTCCGCGCAGGGGGCTTCCGGAAAGTACGCGGGAAGACCGCGGCCCCGGCCCCCTCCCCCATCACCACACCCAGCCCCCAAACGCTAGGCGCCGGGTCCCGGCCGGGACGAAAGCGGCCGGAGAGAGGCAAACCGCCCGCAAATAGTGCGCGGAAACTCCGGCCTCCACCGGCGGCGCCCCCTCCTCTCCCGCGGCCGCCCCCTCCCCGCCCTGCGCGCCATAAGGCACTCGCACGTCTCCAGTCCACAGCTGCGTTAAGGCGGGGAGGGGGTAGACAAAAAGGATCTTGTTTTCAAAAGTCTCACTCAGGTTTGGGGGAGGAACTAGGGAAAAGAGGAAGCGAGGCCTGCCTTCGCCGGGATTCGGGTTTAACGGGCTAGAGGGGCGACAGGCCAGCGCACGGTGCTGCCCAAACTCCCAACTCCATGGAGCTCGGGCCACCGAGACTGGGGGCGTCCTCCCGCCAGCGCGTCCCCGGTCCCCCCAAGGGGCCAAGAGGGGAGCTGGCCAGGGTCTCCGCCCCAGAGCCGCCAACTCGCCGAAAACACTCAGGTTTGAAAGCGAGAGGGAGGCAGAAATAAAAACCAGCGTTCGAGTCACCCACCCTCACCTTCCCCCTCCTCAGGGGTAAGCTTTCGCTCGAGCCTCGCGATTCCCACCCGTGTAAGTTTCCTCCGGCCGTGCTCCCGCCGCTGCCCAATCAATAACGGCGGCTAGCGGGCAAACTCCCATCCTAGAGCTGCGTGTTTGCCATGCCCGCATAAACGTGGACCCAGCCAGTACCCACCACGGGCGCCAGCTCCGGGCAGCTCGCGTCCTGACAAAGTTTCCCGTGCCCATTTATTAAGCAGGCGCCGAATGGCTGCCGACAAGCCCAGCACTGAGAAAGACGGGCCGGGGGTTCGAGCTGGGGGGCACCAGGGCCCAAAGGCTGGCATCTTGGGGAAGCCGGAAGGAGCTGGGGCGAGGGGGCACCGGGACGTAGCCTTTGGGCAACTTGCACCAGCGATCGCTGGAGGCAGGGAGACGCGGGGATTATCTGTGCCTTAGCACGTTCGAAAATCCCTCCCCCTCCTTCTAATTTATCCTCCCTTCGGAAGGAAAGGAAGAAACATCAGCATCTGGCCCGAAGGTGGGGTGGAAAGAGTGAGGGAGAAAGAGGAGGAGAGGAAGGGAGGCAGAGAAAGGGAGGGAGGGAGAGAAAGGGCGCGTTCACGAACACTACAAAGTTACAAATATGGCTCCCCCGTCTCTCGCCTCATCACTGCAAAGAAATGAAGACGCACTTTAAACTCCAGCCATTCCCAACTCCGCTGCAGCCCCCTCCCCACGCGCTCTCCCCGGGGGCCTCGGCCCACATTTATCAGAAACTAAACCGGACTCGCGAAGCCCCAAACTTATTGTGTGTGCGAGCGAGCGAGCGAGAGAAAGGGAGGGGGGAGGCGCGGGAGGGGGGCGGAAGGGGGGATACATTTATAAAATGTAAAACCCCCTTTTTTTGTTGTTAAATCCAGGAGGCAGCCCCTCTCCTCCTCCTCCCTCGTTAATCTTCCCCCCAGACGGAGTCACGGGAGCAGCGATCTCCGAGGGTGATTTCGCCTCATTCTCTCCGACCCAAACGCGTGCGCCCGCCGGCCCCCGATGGGTGCACACTCGCACGCACACTCTCGCACCCACACTCGCACACGCGGGAGCACACGCACAGGTAGTCACACACCAAGGGCAGCGGCGGCGGCAGCCGGAACATGCTCGGATGGCATTGCAACCCCCCAGCCTTGCCAATTCGCTTGCAGTCCGACCCCCAAACCCGCACCTCCCGGGCGCCCCCCCCCAAAAAAAGTGCCTCCCCCCAGCGCGCACACACACACACACACACAAAGTAGGAGAATGGACCGACAGAGATATTTTTGGCAAATGCTCACATCAGAGGGCGTCCTGTTCCGCAGCTCTAAATGAATCCGTCTGCCCATCTCCATCTCTCGCGCTCTCTCTCTGCAGAGGCTCCCGCGCCGGCGGAATTCAATCAATAAACCCCGAACCCACGGCCGCGCGTTTTAGGACTTTGAAGGCTCAACCAGCTCCGCTCGGTTCTCGAGCCCCCAGCACCCGCGGCGCACACTAACCTGATCGCCGTGGAGGCGGGATCTGCGGCCCCATGGACGAGCGGCAGCGGCCCGAGCCAATCGCCGCCGAGGGTCTCCGGGCAACAGCCAATGGCAGTGGCGGCGGGGGGGGGAAGGGACCAATGGGCGGGCTGCGCAGCCGGCCAGGGAGGCTCGGCCATTTGGTAGTGGTGCCGGAGACGGACCCCTTTAGATTTCGGGGCGGCTGAGGAGCGCGGCGGCTGCTCTGTGGCTGAGTGAGGGGGGTGGGCGGAATGGCGGGGGAAGGGAAGGTGACTGTGCCTCGAGGGCCGAGCCGCCCGGCCTTGCCAGCCAGCCGCCGCCTCAGCGTTCGGCCGGGGGCGGGGCCGCAGGTGCGTTCTGCGAGGGGGAGGGGCGCGGCCGGAGGGGTCGGGTCGGGGTCCCCGCCCGGCCGAGGGCTTCGCGGGGCGGCGCGACGGGGTTGCGGAAGGAGGCGGGCGGCTTGAGGTCCGGGGACCGCGGGCTGCCCAGCGGGAGGGCAGATGAAAGGCCTGGAAGGAGGAGAGGGGTCAGGGTGCAATGCCGGGAGGGGCTCGTCGGGTCCCGGGTCCGGCGGCTCGCGCTGGGGAGCGTGGCTGCCCCCGTCACCCCCACCGCGGCTGCCCAGCAGCCCGCGCGCCCCTTCCCCTCCGGCCTCGTCCCTGTCAGGCCGCCACCATCGCCACCCTCGTATACATAAGTCAGTAAAAGCAAGATGCTTCCACTTTTGGATGACTTACCGCGCGGTCGCGACCCTTCCCACGAAGAGGCTTTTCACTTTGCTGTCATATTAGGTCAGCTTGGAAGAAGTGATCACCAAGAGACACCCAAGATCTTGTTTAGGCAATAAATGAATGAAGACCATGGATTAAGAACCGTTGCTAGATATGTAGAATATTAAAAGGTGGAAAAGGAAGGTGCTCATAACTCCTGGTTTTCTGGACCAAACATAATTTCTGGGCTTTATAGACCTAGTGAAAGAGAACGGCGCACGGTTTATTCTAATCGTCCACCTGAGTCATTCGGTTCGGTTTGGGTTGCCAAGGAGGCTCTAACTGGAGCCCTTTCTCCTGGTTTTTCGGCGTGGTTGCCTTGGGTATTTTTGAATCACATTAAGTTTTAAGAGACCTTAAAGCCCCGATGCCCACTGGGTTACCGACTTACGGCACTAAGTTGGCTGCCTGTGGCTGTTAATAAACCACGGGGATTGTTGTCAACGAGGACAGATACATCCTTACCTTTCCACACGACTGTATTTTAGTGTTTGTTTCTACATGTCTGCACTCTTCCCCACACGCCTCAAGGTAGTTTTTCTGGATACATATGTTTATTTTTCAGGAACAGGAGTTCAAAGGAGAGATAAGCCAGTATGTATGTTGCAAAGTTAAAATACTGTTGCATAATAGCAATCCAGTTTCATTCTTAGACATACGAAGTTGAGGAGGAAATAAAAAGTGACAATGTAAATAAAACACATACAGAATGCTTACACTGGGGAAGAAGCTGTAGTAACTTTAATATTGCAACCTGATGGATTGCAAGTGTAAAGCCCTGCAACTAAGGATTTTACTCAGTAAATTCTTTCAGATAAAATGATAAATGGAATTTGAAGTCTGATGTTTACTCTGATTAGGTGGGAAATGCACCATAAAAGTTAGAAGTCATTGTTTTATTTTATCTGGGTATAAATAGTATAATTTATTTAACTTGTTGACTTGCCTGTCATCCTCAGATTTTGTTAATCTTATTGAAGCCTATTTGTATAGTTGGAATTTATTCTAAGTTTTATTGGCTTCTTTGTAATACATGAGGAACCCCAAATTTCCTATTTATGCCATTGAGACAGTTGTTATTTCTGGATATGGTGTTTAGGATTGTATTCAAACAGAACTCTTATCAAAACAGGTCAATATGGTGTGTATGATCTGTGTAACATAGGAGTCCTGAAGTTTGTGTTCTCTTTGATGGTAAATGTTCATTTTCAATTTAAAAGTTTAACCACAGTTAAGACCACGCTGCTAGCAATGCAATATGAGACAGTGTCTTTCCAGAGGAGTAATCCCTTAAAAACCAACCAATCAAATGCAGAGATATGCCCCATCCAGCTTTGCTAAATAGAAGCAAATAGCTCACTTTATTGTACAAAGACTCAAGAGGAAGACTTAGAAGCCCACCCCCTCCCCCATTAAAGAGAAAGTACAGAAACAAATTAGAATCGAAAAAATCATGGCCTGATTACTAAATCAAAACGTTAAATGTGACAGTTGTTTTTAGAAGCATCTTACATTTATACATTTTGATGACTTTTGTATTAATGTTAGAAAATTGAAAGAAGGCTTCACTGGATGTCAGTCGTTACAGAAATTGAAATATCCAAAAGTATATGTATAACCAATTGAGTAATTTCCGCTTTCCTTACACACTTGAAATAAATTTTCTTTTGCTTTTACAAATAGATCTATATGTAAGAAAATTTTCATATGATTTTGCTTTTTTATTATTAAAAAAGGAATATAGTAAAGCCAAAGCTGAGCTGTATTTGCCCCACACAACATGACCAAATATAAAAAAAACCACTGCTCTTACAAATATCTTATTTTACAAAGTTGTTTTTTAAATTACATTTTATTGTATATTATAATAGTAAATAAGTGTTCTAAGTGGCACTGCATTTCAGAAAATATAGAAAGAAATCCCATATCAAGGAATCTTGGCTGAATTTTGAAACGGAGTTGGGAACAGGTAAGAGTTCCTATCTACTGAGTAATTCTACAACAGGAATTGTGTTTGAAAGATGTAGAGTCTCTAACCTCTGAAACTAGGTTTGAGTCACACTGAGAAGAATAAATGAGATACAATTCAAAGTTTAACCCCCTAGAGAGATAGATGGCCCAGGAAGGAAAGATCTTCCCGCCTTCCAGAATATCCTCCATCAAGAACCATTCCAAATAAATGAGCAGCCTATTTTGTTCTCAAAGACATGAACAATGAGTGTCCTTAGGCTCTTTTGAAATGTGTAGGAGAGTACTGTTTTACAAATAACCATATCGTTACTATTGCCATTTTATTAGGTTGGTGCAAAAGTAATTACCATTTTTTTTAAAAAAGGCAAAACCACAATTACTTTTGCACCAATAGCACATTTGCCCTTGTTTGGTCTCTAAAGATGGAGACCCTTTGGTTAGCATCCTTTTTATGAGTCAAGCTAATATACCCACAGCTCAACTTTTTGTTCTTGAGCTTGAATCACATCACTGGCAATCGGCCGTAGTACTCTCTTACCTACATCATGGTTCTGCTGCTTGGACCCCAAAGACAATGACATGGAAAAACTCCAGCTTAATTATGTTCTTTTTTGTTTGTATATGTAAATAGTTTTTAGGAATGTAGATTATTATTTTGAAATCTGTGGTAACAAATGTGAAAACCACTACATTTTATTTATTTTCATTGAATAGCAAATAATGTTGAAGCCTGGGATCTAAAAAGTTAAATATTATTTTATTTTGCTTAATAAAGTATTGGATAATTTAGAAAAAGAATTTTTTTTTAATGATTGGATAGTTACCTTATTAATGGATTGGTCAGGGAGAAAAAGCCCTGTTGGATGAAAACTGTCATATATGTGACTTTTAAAGTGAAATTAATAAGCCAGGCATGGTGATGTTCCCCTGTAGGCCCAGCTACTTGGGAGGCTGAAGTGAAAGGATCACTTGAGCCCAAGAGTTCAAGAACAGCTCGGACAACATAGCAAGACCTGTTTCTCTAAAAACAAAAAACAGTAAAAATCTTAAAAACCGCTTAAAGATGGTTGGTTTCTTTTAAAAAGGAAAAAAAGGCTCAGGTGCAGTGGCTCACGCCTGTAATCCCAACACTTTGGGAAGCTGCAGGCAGATAGCTTGAGCTCAGGAGTTCGAGACCAGCCTGGGCAACATGGTGAAACCCCATCTTTACCAAAAATGAAAAAAAAAAAAAAAAATTAGCCTGGCATGGTGGCGTGCACCTGTGGTCCCAGCTACAATAGAGGCTGAGGTGGGAGGATCCCTTGAGCCCGGGAGGTGGAGATTGCAGTGAGTAGAGATCACGCCTCGGCACTCCAGCCTGGGCAACATAGCCAGATACTGTCTCATTAAAAAAAAAAAAAAAAAGGCCGGGCGCGGTGGCTCATGCCTGTAATCCCAGCACTTTGGGAGGCCGAGGTGGGCGGATCACGTGGTCAGGAGATGGAGACCATCCTGGCTAACACGGTGAAACCCCGTCTCTATTAAAAATACAAAAAATTAGCCGGGTGAGGTGGCGCACGCCTGTAGTCCCAGCTACTCGGGAGGCTGAGGCAGGAGAATGGCGTGAACCCGGAAGGCGGAGCTTGCAGTGAGCAGAGATCACTCCATTGCACTCCAGCCTGGGCGACAGAACGAGACTCCGTCTCAAAAAAAAAAAAAAAAAAAAGCCAGGTATGGTGGCTCACGCCTGTAATCCCAGCACTTTGGGAGGCCAAGGCGGGTGGATCACCTGAAGTCAGGAGTTCGAGACCAGCCTGGCCAACATGGTGAAATGCCATCTCTACTAAAAATACAAAAAAAAAAAAAAAAAAAAAAAGCCGGGCTTCGTGGCACGTGCCTATAATCCCAGCTACTCGGGAGGCAGAGGCGGGAGACTTACTTGAACCCGGGAGGCAGAGGTTGCCATGTGCCAAAATCGCACCATTGCACTCCAGCCTGGGCAACAAGAGTGAAACTCCATCTCAAAAAAAAAAAAAAAAAAATCACTTGCACACTTGTTTGGAAGTCTCTAGAAATTTTGTGAATCGGTTTCTTAAATATATTTATTAAAGACAGTTTTGAAGTAGCAATGAGGGAAGTTTGTTTACCATTCATCAGGAAGAAAACCAGAGCTGTAAGCTCTTACTTTTAGTATTAAAATATGGCTGTGAAGGAAAAAAATAAATGCCTTAAAGACAAATAATGGAATGAGGAGCTATAGAACAAAGTGACATAAGGCAATTTTGGTTGAAAAATAGAAATGCAATTAATTTAGATTCCACTAATTTGTTTTAATCCATCTAGAGTTGAGGTTTACCTCTATGAAGAAAAGAATACTAAAATCTATTAAGATATGAGGTAGAGATCAGACTTTTTAAGAACTTTTAATGTTTTTACCATTTGCAAATGGCATTTATAACTTTCGTATACATAGTAAAATTATGTATACAATAATTAAATCCTCTTAGATTCTCTGCTTTGTAATGGCAATTATTATTTGTACCTCTAAGTAATGATCTATTTGTAAAAAATTTTCTACAGCGCCTCTTGAATTAGAGATCAATTTAATGCATTCTGAGAAATTAGTAAATTTTTAACGTATTTCTAGTTGAAATATTGGGTTCTTTCAGGCAAGTATATGTATACCCTAAACTTTCTTTGGAAGTTCTGGATCCTAGCAACTATAATATAAAAACTTTGAATTCATTTGTACATGACGAAATGAGATAGCCACGATAGGTGTTAGAGGACTTTTACCCAGTGGAGGAACATGTTTTACTCTGCTGCATTGGTCTTTTTTTTTTTTTTTTCCTTTCTTTTTGAGACAGGGTCTCACTGCCACCCAGGCTGGAGTGCAGTGATGCGATCATGGCTCACTGCAGCCTTGACCTCTTGGGCTCAAGCAGTCCTCCTGCCTCAGCCTCCCAAGTAACTGGGGCCACAGGCATGCACCACCACACCTGGCTAATTTTTAAATTTTTATAGAGATGAGGTCTCACCATGTTGGCCAGGCTAGTCTCAAGCTCCTGGGCTCAAGCGATCCTCCTGCCTGGGCCTTCCAAAGTGCTGGGATTACAGATATGAGCCGTGGTGCCCAGCCTTGCATTGGTCTTATAACTCAATAATGTACGTGAAATTATTGTATATGCCTTCTTGTATATGAGAATTACCACTTCTACATATATATTGGAGGGCAAGTCAAGTAAGTGTGACAAACATTTTTCACTAGGCTAGGCCAACTCATGTCTGTGTTCATGTTGAGAAGTAATTCTATAGATAAGGCAGAAGAGCAGACAAACTCAGGATACAAGTGTGCAAAGATGTATAACAGACATGTTGATCATTGTATCATAGCATTTTTATAATAGCGAAAGAAAGAAAAGAAAGGGGAAGAGGGAAAATGAAAAAGAAAAAAACAGAAAAGATTCATATGCCCAGGAAAAAAGTCTGGGAGAGTATGTACCAAAAAATGTTTAAAAACTTTGATTACAATGGTTTTGCATGGGTGATGATGTCATAGTGGTTTTTGATTTTGAGGTCTTTTATTTGTCTATATTTAAAAAGTTTTCCATTGATAATTTTTGCAATGAAACAGGTATTTTAATGGAAATTATAGGTGTAGATGATATGTGGAATGTTTATGCTAGTCAGAATTTTTGGTGAAGATAACAGAAATTTACCTTGACCAACACAAGAAAAAGGCAATTTTTATAAGTCTGTCACAGAACCAAAGAACAAGGTCCAGGAAAGAAGAAGCCAGGGAAGCTGGCAATTTGGAGCACAGCCAAGATGGTCCCTGCCCTAGGTAAAGTCTTCAGAGGACCTCACACCTCAGAAGTCATCTCTGCTATGGGCTGTGAATCCCACCATACCTACAATGATCTCAGCATCCTGCCTTTTTGTGTCACTCCCTCGAGGTTCAAAGCCCTTGGCAAGAACATTTGCAGATGCCCCAGCTGTCAGAGAGAAAAGATTATCTTCCTCCTTTAGCTTCCACAGTGGGATGTGTGACCCTGCCTCCTGCCTATTTTAGGACTCTGCCTAAACTAAGTGTTCTGGTGCTAGGTGACCAAAACCAAAAATCCACGAACATGTTCTAACAAAATAATGCTGTGAAGGTTTCCTGATGATCCATGTTACTCCCATAGTATCTCCCCTCTTCCTCCCTACTACTTACCAGCAAGAGACCGTACCACCTATTTAGGATCAATGTAAAGCAGAGCTAATATCTGAAATCCCAGTTTCTTTTCAAATGCTTCCCTTTCCAAATTTGAAGCCAGAAGAAACAATGTATCACTGCTGATGTCAATAAGACTTCCTTGGCTGGGCACCGTGGCTCACACCTGTAATCCCAGCACTTTTTGAGACCGAGGTGGGCAGATCAGTTGAGGTCAGGAGTTCAAGACCAGCCTGGCCAACATGGTGAAACCCCAACTCTACTAAAAATACAAAAGTTAGCTCAGTGTGGGGGCACACGCCTGTAATCCCATCTACTTGGGAGGCTGAGGCAGGAGGATCGCTTGAACCTGGGAAGTGGAGGTTGCAACTAGCCAAGATGGTGCCACTGCACTCCAGCCTGGGTGACAGAGTTAGACTCCGTCTCAAAAAAAAAAAAAAAAAAAAAAAAAAAAAAAAAAAAAAAAAAAGACTCTACCGCAGCAAAACTGGTGATAATCTTAAAATTTGGAAAGGAAATGTCCCTAGTAAAGATATTTGATTTAAATTACAAGGAATTTAGTTCTAAGGGATAATCGACATATTTCATAAATAAATGCAGATATCTCTAGATATCAAATGATAAAAGATCTTGAGCAGTGATGGATTACTGCTAATGGGTTTCTGTCTGCTACTCTGAGCACAGTTCAGGCTCAAGAACTGACATGAAGGGTTTGAGAATTTAGTCAAAATCTGGAAGTAGGCAGGTGGTCACAGGCTAACTAAGAGTTCATAACCGGATGCAGTCGTTGAAGGACAATTGTGAAGAAAAAATGCTGATGGTGAAACGAATGCAAAAACCACAAACACATTGAAGAGGCCTATGTTCCTGGGAACAAAGAGGAAGGTTATCAATGATGTGCTTGTAGAAAACATATTAATACTGGAATATTGTCTTCTTTCCCATCATTTCAGGTCAGTTAGCTTAGATTACTATTCAGCTAGAAAAAACAAATGATACCCTTGCAAGGACTCTGAACAATATTGGAATTCAGCTGTTTTGTTTCTAATAAAACATGGTTTAACTGTTACATGAATAGAAGTTCCTTATAAGTGCCAATTACTTCTTTCCAGAGAAGCAGTGCTAAAGATTCTGTTCATTGGTACACTAAGTGTTCTTCATGACCCAGTGTTTTATTTCCTATAAGTTAGCTTTTTTTCTCAGATGATTTAATGAAAATTATGGCAGTCTGCTCATTGTTCAGCAAAATCCATTTCCTCTTCTCCTTGAACACAAAGCTTGACTATGTTTCCTAGATGGCCCTTGCAGTTAGTTGGGGCCATGTGACTGGGTTCTAGCTTGTTGATTATAAGTGGAAGTGATGCTGCCACTTAAAGGCTTGAAAGTGCCACTGCATACTGACTGAGATGCAGTGGAAGCCCTGTGTTTATGAGGTGGACCCCCTCTCAGGCTGAAATGTCTCTTAAGAGTCATTTCAGCAACCTATTTACTTGCCCACCAAGAGAGAAATTGTGACTAAGAAACTTTTATGGGGCTGTGCCATTATATGCTTGTATCCATTTGTTACTGTAGCCTATGCTAGTAACTAACACAATAATAAAGGTTTTTTTCAGTCTTAGTTTTCTATTCATTTGTAGACCAATTGTAAATGTGAATATTGTATTTCCATTGTATCTTGGCTTACATGTTCAAAGCACCATAAAACAGATAAAAGGATTATATTAACAAGTACTTAATGTAGAAAAGATCAGTGCAAGGGAGTCTATGGAATAACATGCAAATATGTCTCTTTCCCCCAAACTTAGTGCTTGGCTCATAGTAAGTATAAAATAAATGCCTGTTGTTTCATCAATAAGTAGTCCTCCCCTCTCAAGCTGCAGACTGACATTTTAATTGCTCATTGGACATTTCCAAACAGGTATCTTACAGGAACAAACCACATGACATTTCCAAAACGAATCTCTTCCTTGCCAGCCTCTGCCTACTCTGCCTCCACCAAACTACCTTTATCCTTCTGGCTCTCCTGTTTTGATTAATGGTACCCTTGGAATTGTCCTCTGTTGACTCCCATAACCAAATGGTTAACTCGTCCTCTAAATTTCCAACTACCTTTCCTCCTATCAGCCCCACTTTTTCACCACTCTATCCAAGCAAGCTCGCCCCACCCTTTCTCATGTCTAAATTGGCACCGTGTGCTAAGAGTTCCCAGGCTTTGGGTTTTCTCACCAATAACATTTAAAAAAAGGGTTTAGGACCAACATAGAATTCCCAACTTTTAATTTTGCCAGATAAAGACATTCTTTAAAAAACTTATCTTTTATTGTTCTATAGACTATTTTTAAAATGGCAATGTAGGGAGGACTCAGCTTTAGAATATAGGACACTCCTCTACATTGAATTTAATTTTATGAGAATTCACTACCTTGTTCAAGATTGAGTAGTTGGAAACTCTTGTCTAGATCAGCACTGGCCCTGAGGTCTTGATGTGGTTTTGTGGCCAGATGAATGTTTCTGAGTTCCAGTTCCAGTGCTCCTCCGGTCAACAACAGCCTCTCTGGTTCCCTGTGGCCTGCTTTCCCCCACCTGGCATTAAAACTCCCCAAAGAAGGCCTCATACTACCTTCCAGTGTTATCTCTAATTTCCAGGCAAATTAGACCTTCTGTTATTCCTTTTTCTTTTCTATCTTTGACTATGCAGTTCTTGCACCTGTACAGTCTATCCTTTTTTCCCCACCACGCAAAATTCTACCCAAAATTTAAGACCACATTTGATATCATTGCCTCCTTTGAAACCTTTGATGATCCATTTTACCCACACAAACAAGAGCTTTCCTCTCCTTGAACTTGCATAACATGGTAAAGTATAGCACGTGGCTGCTTTCTTCCACATGCTGTGCTTATTTACCTCTCCCACAAAATTACAATAAATCCTTAAAGATAAGAAAAATGTTTGATTCATTTTTATTACCCCTCCATTATTTGAACATTAAATGTTGAATATATATTTAATGACTTAATGAATACTTTAGACATAGTGAACTCCAGACTTTAAAAAGTATCTTTGAAACATTTAAATAACTTTAATCTTCAATGTCAAGTAAATAACAGTAGGGTATTGGGGAAACAGATTGCTAAGTAACTTCTTTATTCTTTCCAAAATGAGGGAAACAAAACTAAATTCCAGTTTCCATGATCATAACACAGAAGCTTTTCTACTATAAACATTGTATTTTAGGCTCCTACCCAGGAATTGTCTTTTATTTTAGGTGGCTAACCAGGAATTGAATTGTCTTAAAAGACAATGTGTAGGAGAAATAGCAATTACAGATCTTCCTAACTCTGATCTAATTTTGTGTACAAGCCATTTTTAGTGAAGGTACTTGGGCACAGCTTTTATTCCTTTAGATTTTGTATTCATCAAAAAGCGAGAAAAAATGGGGTGACAAAACTCATCTATTTCCCTCTTATTTCACTTTTGAAGGAAATCAGAGCACTTGTACTTCCATGTTCTGTCTTTGACCTAAGAAATATTTATTTCTATAGTGTTCTATTAGGAAAATCAATATTGGCCGAGCACCATGGCTCACACCTGTAGTCCCAGCACTTGGCTGAGGCAGGCAGATCACCTGAGGTCAGGAGTTCAAGACCAGCCTGGCCAACATGGTGAAACACTGTCTCGACTAAAAATATAAAAATTAGCTAGGCATGGTGGTGCACACCTGTAATCCCAGCTACTCGGGAGGCTGAGGCAGGAGAATCGCTTGAACCCTGGAGTTGGAGGTTGCAGTGAGCTGAGATCACACCACTGCACTCCAGCCTGGGCGACAAGAGCCAAATGTCTCAAAAAAAATAATATGTAAATTTTAAAGTTTTATTCCACTTATATGAATAATAGAAAAGTCCACAAAGATTAGGTCAAATATATTCTATCTTGTTATTAATCGTTTTTGGGTTTTTTTGTTTTTTGTTTTTTTGAGACGGAGTTTTGCTCTTGTCGCCCAGGCTGGAGTGCAATGGCACGATCTCGGCTCATTGCAACCTCCGCCTCCTGGGTTCAAGCGATTCTCCTGCCTCAGCCTCCTGAGTAGCTGGGATTACAGGTGCCCGCCACCACACCTGGCTAATTTTTGTATTTTTTAGTAGAGATGGGGTTTTGCCATGTTGGCCAGGCTGGTCTCAAACTCCTGACCTCAGGTGATCCACCTGCCTTGGCCTCCCAAAGTGCTAGAATTAGAGACGTGAGCCACCACGCCCGGCCATTTTTTTGCATTTTTTAGTAGAGACGGAGTTTCACCATGTTGGTCAGGCTGGTCTCGAACTTTTAACCTCAGATGATCCACCCACCTTGGCCTCCCAAAATGCTGAGATTACCAGTGTGAGCCACCATGCCCAGCTGTTATTAAGTGTTTTATGGAAGGTATGAAAATAAAAGACAGAACCCTATAAAAATATAGAACTTTTCTTGGCTCTTAGCACTGGCCAGGAAAATACAATTTGTAATCTGAATTTTAGAGCATGTGGTAAGAGGCTTTTTATGTGTAGCTGTGCACTACAACTAGAGATGGGAAAAACATAATGGTTTTTTAAATTTATTCCTTTTAAAAAATAAATTTCTTAACATCCAGTTCTAGTCACGATTGAGTAGCTGGTACTGGACTCACCTTTCTGATGTAAACAACAATAGAAGCTAGACACATTACGTGAAATGACAACATGCGTCACTGGATTATTATCCTTCAGAAAAGGGAAGCACGTGGCCAACCTCACATTCATCCCAGCACAGAGAGATGGAGCCCAAAGAGAGAGCGGCAGTGTCTCTGGGCAGAAGAAACAAAGATCGGAGCTCAGGCCTTCTAACACAGCTGGGTTTGGAGGGCAAGGTCACTTAGAGGCAGGAGCTACAGAAAAGGAGCCCTCAAAAATTGCATTAAAATTTCCCTCAGCTATTCAGCCCACTGTTAAGATCTGTATTTGCAGGGCAAGACTTCAGAATGTCTAGCAGATAATAGTTTTTGGGAGGCTGAGAGCTGAACAGTGATTTCAGAGGCTGCACAATAATGTGGATATGCAAGAGGTTAGGCTCATTCTAATGTAGAATGTGTAAACCTTCGTGGATGTCTAGGTATTCATGGAGACTCTAGAAAGCCCACATCCTAGGATTATGGACCATGAATGACCAGTGTTACACAGTAGGAGTGAGGGCTACATTTATTTATTTATTATTTATCTATTTTTTAAATGTAATACTGTTTATTTAACTTCAAAAACATTTCAACATTCTAAGCAAAAAATAACAAAACAGCAAATTGTGTTTAAGTACAGAAGGTTCTTGAACTTTCATTGATACAGTGGCTCTTCGCTTTGCTGACAATGAAGAGTTCTACAGTTTGTTTAAAAACAAACAGTTGAAAAACTACCCCACTTAATTAAAACAAAACAAAACGAAACAAGAAAACTTCTCATGCCAGCTGATCCCCCATTGTCCACGGCTAAGATGGCAGCAGAATGCTGTCATTATATACAGAAACAAGACAACCTGAAGCTAAATGGATGCCACTGCAGAGTCAACAGGCCCAGCCTCACAGTGCAGGTTCTGAGCTATCGCCCCTCCAAAAGGCATCTTCTCCACAGCCTCGATGCCAAGCAAGGAGCATCCGAGTTCGTCTCGTTTGTTTTGTTCTTTTTACAAATATATATATATATATACACACACACACACACACAATTGATAACTTAGAATTTCTAGCCAATAACCATATAGTTAATACCACCTTACCAAAAAAAAAAAAAAAAAAACAGAAACATCTTTAGATGCCTTGTCACACACCAATAGCAAAGTGCACAGAGGGAGGAGAACACGAGAGTGCCTTTTCATTTTGAAAATGTTTGTGTGGGGTCGACGGCTGAGGAGAAGCTGGGAGCGAGCCCAGGCGGCAGTTTTTAGGTCCATCAGCACTGCACTGCAGGAATGGCAGATTTTGGGATCTCTGCTGGCCAGTTTGTGGCAGTGGTCTGGGATAAGTCATCCCCAGTGCAGGCTCTGAAAGATCTGGTGGATAAGCTTCAAGTGTTAACTGGCAATGAGGGCCGCGTGTCTGTGGAAAACAACCAGCTGTTGCAGTCTGCCCACAAATAATCCAGCTTTGACATTATTTTGTTGGGTTTAGTCCTGGGAAGCACCACTCTACTGAGTGCTGAGATTTTGGCTGAAATTGCCCGGATCCTTCGGCCTAGTGGATGTCTTTTTCTGAAAGAACCAGTAGATCCAGCTGTAGATAACAACAGCAAAGCGAAGACAGCAAGCTGTGTTCAGCCCTGACTGCTTCCGGTCTTGTGGAAGTGAAAGAGCTGCCATGGGAGCCCTTAAGCCCTGAGGAGGTACAGTCTGTTCAAGAACACCTGGGTCATGAAAGTGACAGCCTGCTCTTTGTTCAGATCACAAGCAAAAAAAAAAAAACAAAAAACAACTTTGAAGTGAGTTCTTCTAGTCAGCTTAAGCTTTCCATCACCAAGAAGTCATCTCCTTCAGTGAAGCCTGCTGGGTACCCTGCTGCTGCCAAGCTGTGGACCCTCTCAGCCAATGATATGGAGGATGACAGCATGGATCTCATTGACTCAGAGGAGCTGCTGGATCCAGAAGATTTGAAGAAGCCAGATCCGACTTCCCTGCAGGCTGCTCCTTGTGGGGAAGGGAAAAAGAGGAAGACCTGCCAGAGCTGCACCCGTGGCCTTGCCGAAGAACTGGAAAAAGAGAAGTCAAGGGAGCAGATGAGCTCCCAACCCAAGTCAGCTTGTGGAAACTGCTATCTGGGCAATAGTTTCCACTGTGCCAGCTGCCCCTACCTTGGGATACCAGCCTTCAAACCTGGGGAAAAGGTGCTTCTGAGCAATAGCAGTCTTTACCATGCCTAGGAGGGACCCGACATGGGACACATCTGCTCCTTTGGCCAACTCCTGTTCCTCAAATCCCACCACGGTGCTCCTCCCACCTCCTCTGGATTTCTTCTCTCTGAGATCCATTTGCAAAGTGGGTGCTTAGCAGACAGATTGAAGCTGGCTGGGGGGGGCACAGTGGTGTGTAGTGTATATCAAAAGACCAAGGTATTATGGGGCCCCATTACCCAGAATGGGATGGGTTTCTTCACCTCATGTTAAGAGAAGGGAGTATGTCCTGAAGAAGCCCTTCTCCTCATGTTAAAATGCTGACCAAAACACTCTTGAGCCCAGGCATCCTTGAGCATCAACACTCTGTGACAAAGCTCCAGGCCCTGGCCCCTAGTCTAATCTCAGCAATGCTGCCAGCTACTTGTCTTTCAGAGTTGTTAGTTTACTCCATACTTCGTGACACGGTCAAGTGTCTCATGACCTCAGGGTACCAGAGGAGTCATTCACTGGTTGGCGTGATGATATCCAGTGTCCCTCTGCCCCCTTCTACCCCCAGCCCCATTTTACTGTAGCATTGCATCTGTGTCCTGTTGCCATTTCTGTTAACCTTCAGGTATTAAACTTGCTGCATATCTTGAAAATAAATAAAATAAAAATGTTTGGAAATATGTACAAATTTGATACAGTTTCAGGGTTCTCTGGACACCCATGGCCACTTCATGTAAACCACTGACAATTTCTAGAGCACTTTGAGAGGCTACAATATGATCATGATCAAATTTTATAATTCTCAGATAAAAGATGTGTCAATTATGTCATATGAGGGCTAAATTTAAATAGACACTTGCTGCTAGAACAAGATTCAACATTCAGAAGAATATAATCTAGAGCCCATCCACTGTATTAATCACTATATACAGCATACAAAAAAAAGTCACTGAACATGCAACAAAAAAAGAAAAAGGAAGAAACAACCAATCAGGAGATAAAATAGTAAAAGAAGCAGACCCAGAGATGATTCAGATACAAGAGTTAGTGGACAAGGATTTCAAAATAATGATCATGAGTATGTTTTAAAAAATTGGAAAGATGGATAACATGGATGAAAAAGTACTTTAACCGATCATTTGAATCTATGAATAGGAATCAAATGGACATTTTAGAAATGCAAGTTGAAATGTCTGAAATTAAGAACTATTTGAATGGTTACAGCACCAGGCTAGATTCAAAAATAGTCACAGAAAATATTCAAATGGAACACAGAAGGAAAAAAACATAATGGGGATAAAAAATAACAGAGAGAGATGTGGGGCATAGGCAAAAGGTCTAATGTATGTGCAATTAGCATTTAGAAAGAGAAGAGAAAGAGAAAGAACATAAGTAATCTTGAAAAAATAATGGCTGAGAATTTTCCTAATCTAACAAATGATAAAGTTCACAGATTCAAAAAGCTTCACAAAAAGCTTCAAGCAGGATAATAAAAGCACACCTAAGCAAAGCACAATAAAACTTCTGAAAACTTAAGATAAAAAGAAAATCTCTTTTTTTTGAGACAAAGTCTTGCTCTGTTGCCCAGGCTGGAGTGCAGTGGCACTATCTTAGCTCACTGCAACCTCCACCTCCTGGGTTCAAATGATTCTTGTTCTTCAGCCGCTTGAGTGGCTGGGACTACATGCATGCGCCACCACACCCAGCTAATTTTTGTATTATTAGTAGAGATGGGATTTCACCATGTTGGCCAGGCTGGTCTCCAACTCCAGACCTCAAGTGACCCGTCCTCTTCGGCCTCCCAAAGTGCTGGGATTACAGGCATGAGCCACCACACCTGCTCCAAAAAGAAAATCTTAAAAGCAGCCCAGGGCCAGGCATGGTGGCTCACGCCCGTAATCCCAGCACTTTGGAGGCGAAACGGGTGGATCACCTGAAGTCAGGAGTTCGAGACCAGCCTGGCCAACATGGTGAAACCCGTCTCGACTAAAAATACAAAAATTAGCCAATCGTGGTGGTGTGTGCCTGTAATCCCAGCTACTCAGGAGGCTGAGGCAGGAGAATCACTTGAACCGAAAGGCAGAGGTTGCAGTGAGCAGAAATTGTGCCACTGCACTCCAGCCTGGGCAATAGAGCGAGACTCTTAAAAAAAAAAAAAGGCAGCCAGAAAAAAAAATGATATAATTTCTCTTGGGGAACAACAATAAAGATAACTGATCTCTTAACAAAAACCTATGGACAGCAGAAGACAATAACATCTTTAAAATGCTGAAAGAAATACAAAGCTAAACAAAAACCCTGTCAACCTAGAATTCTGTTACCCTCCACCAAAAAATACTTCAAATATGAAAGTGAAAAAAACGTCCTCAGACAAATAAGGACTGTGAAGTTGCACACCTAGTAGACTAACATGAGAAAAAATCCTAAAGTAATTTATCAGGTCAGAGAAAATGATCCCATGTCATCATGCCCAGTAAATATGAAAGAAGGCCATCCACCCTTTTTTTTTTTGAGATGGAGTCTCGCTCTGCCACCCAGGCTGGAGTGCAGTAGTGTGATCTTGGTTCACTGTAACCTCCACCTGCTGGGTTCAAGCAGTTCTCCTGCCTCAGCCTCCCTAGTAGCTGGGATTATAGGCAGCTGCCACCATGCCGGGCTAATTTTTGTGTTTTTAGTAGAGACGGGTTTTCACCATGTTGTCCAGGCTGGTCTCGAACTCCCGACCTCAGGTGATTTATCTGCCTCAGCATCCCAAAATGCTGGGATTACAGGTGTGAGCCACCATGCCTGGCAGACCATTCACTATTAAAACAACAATCATAATATATTTGCAGGGTTTATAACATAGGTAGAAAATAAAATATACCATCTTGGGCAACATAGTGAGACCCTGTCTCTACAAAAAGTTCAAAAAATTAGCCAAGTGGTGGGAGGCTGAGGTGGGAGGATTGCTTGAGACTAGGAGGTAGAGATTGCAGTGAGCTGAGATTGTGCCACCGTACTGCAGCATGGGTGACAGAGCCAGAATGATACCTCCCTAAAATGAGGAAAAGGTAAGAATATGCATTATCACCACTTCTGTTTGACATTATATTGAAAATCCTAGCCAGTGTGATAAGACAGGAAAAAGAAATAGGTGTGCAGATTGAAAAAGAATGAAGCAAGACTGTCTTTATGGCAGTCATGATTATTTACATTTAAAATCTTTAAAAATCTATGAAAAAATACTAAAACTGAAAAGTGAATTTAAGAATATTGTGTAATACAAAGTCAATATACAGTCAACTGTATTTTTATCTGCTACCAACAAACAATTGAAATATAAACTTTAAAAATGCCACTTAGATAGTATTCAAAAATATAAAATATTTGGGAATACATTTGATAAAATATCTTCAAGACATTTATACTCCAAACTATAAAACATTGTAAGAAAATTTAGCAAATACCTAAATGAATGGCAATATATAATGTTCATAGAATAGAAATTTAGTATTATTAGGGTAATAATTTTCCCCAATTTGATATATAGATTCAACATAATCCTGATCAAAATACTAAGCAGCCCTTTTTTTTTGTAACAAATGAAGCTGAGTGTGAAATTTATATTTATATGGCATTGGATTGGAATGAGAAGTATTGGCATAGACTGGGCGCGGTGGTTCACACCTGTAATCCCAGCACTTTGGGGGCCCGAGGCGGGCAGATTGCTTGAGCCCAGGAGTTCCAGACCAGTCTGGGCAATAGGCTGGGAAACCCTGTCTTTACTAAAAATAAAAATAAAGAATTGGTGTAGATTCATGGTTTTCAATACACATAAGTTAGGTATAGAAAATTCAAAGACCTAGGAAAAACAATCTTGAAAAAGAAGAACAGAGTTGGAGAGCTTATACCACCTGATTATAAATGTTATAGTAACCAAGTACCATGGGATATTGGTGTATTGATAGACTACAGATCAATGGAACAGAATAGAGAGTCCAGAAATGAATCTCCAATATATGGTAATTTATTTACTTGTTTATTTTTTAGAGATGGGGCCTTGCTCTCTCTCAGGCTGGAGTGCAGTGGCACAATTTTAGCTCACTGCAGCCTCTATCTCATGGGCTCAAGTGATCATCCCACCTCAGCCTCCTGAGTAGCTAGGACTACAAGTGCACACCACCACACCTGGCTAATTTTTAAATTTTTGTAGAGACAGAGTCTCACTATGTTGCTCAGGCTGGTCTTGAACTCCTGATCTCAAGCAATCCTTTCCCCTTGGCCTCCCAACATGCTGGGAATACAGGTGTGAGCCACCATGTTCAGCTGGTAATTGATTTTTGACAAAAGACCCAAGGTCGTTCATCAGGAAATGAATATATTTTTCAATAAATGGTGTTGGAAAACTGGAAATCTGTAGGAAAAAATAACCTTGACCTCTGTCCCATAGCATACACAATTTTTTTTTAAAATAGGGGAATACATTTCTGAATTTAGGGTAGGTAAGTGTTTCAGACAGGACACACAAAAAAGTGCACTAGCCATAAAATTAAAAACGTATACATTGGACTTTGTAAAAAGTAAAAATTCCTGCTCAATACCATTAAGAAAATAAAAGGCAGGCCACAGTGTGGTTGAAAACATTCTCAATGCATTTATTGAAAAAGGACTTGGATCCAGAATAGATGAACTCCTACAAACCAATCAACAAGAAAAACAACTTTATAAGTGGGCAAAAACCCAATCAGACTTTTGACAAAGGAAGATGTATAAATGCCTAGTAAGAACATGCCACGTGATGGGGATTTGGTGAGGGTAGGGGGAGGCAGCTGCAATGGGTTAGAACAGTATATCAGAGCCTGAGAAGGGTGAGTAAAGCATCCCCACAGTGGGAAGTCCTGGCATGGTCAGAGCCCAGGTAGGGGGAGAAGGCTAATCATGGAGGAGGAAGCCTGGCATGGAGGAATTCAGAGCTCCAGCAGAGAGAGAGAGAGAGGTGGTCATGTCCAGGGACAGTTCAGCATGGCATATTGGAATAGGAGCCCCAGGGTAAGACAAATATCCAGTGTTGGATATCACAGCCTGAGCTAGGAGAGCAGAGTCCATAGAGGAGGTAGCCCAACCTGGGGAGTTAGAGCCTCAGCCGGGTAAGAGAGGTGTTACTGTGAAGGTGGCCCAGCATGGGGAGTCAGAGCCTAAGTGGAATCAGGAGGGCATCTACTGGAGGGAGGCTCAAAGAAGATTACAAGGTGAAGATTTCAAGAGGTGAGGTGAAGAGGGCACACTGGCAGAGGGATGACCTAGAATGGAGTGTCAGAGAGTGAACATGATGAAGAGGTTACCACGCTGGGGAGGGGATGGCAATGAACATGGAAGATTGGATGCACTTAGCACATTGACCAAATAAGTGAATATAATAAGGACAGCACATGTCAGAGAAAGGGGCTATTGGATGCAGAAAGGGGGATTGGATTTAGAAGTATTGGCATACGCTGGGCATGGTGGCTCATGCCTGTAATCCCAGCACTTTGGGAGGCTGAGGTGGGCGGATCGCTTGAGCTCAGGAATTCGAGACCAGCCTGGGCAACATGGCAAAACCCTGTCTCTACTAAAAATAAAAATAAAAGAAGAACAAATATTGGTGTACACTCATGGTTTTCAATACACATAGGTACAGAAATAAATACAGATGTAAATGTATATGTTTGTGTGTCTGTATGTGTGTGTATCCATCCACATATTCTCCAGCTCTGTTCTGAGAGAGGCCCTGGAAGCAGTAACATGCCATAACATTGAGCACACCAAGTACCTAAATTTTGGTTTCTAGATACAATTTTTCACTAAAAGAAACTAGGCTTCCTTGGAGAAATGGCTGATTCCAGGGATGGACAGAAAAAATACAGGGGATTCTGGATATTTTTGTTCCAGAGAGGAATAGGTTGTTCCAAGAATGATAAGAACATGTGTGTCAAAAGGACACAAAAGCCAGTTTGGAGAGCCACATTTAGTACCATTTGAGTATTAAAATAAATGATAGATTATGACCCACCGAAGAATATAGGAAACCACAAGTTTATGCAGATATAAATTAATAAATGAACAAATTAAAAATCTGTCTGGGAAGCAACTTGTTAACTAATCTGAGAGTACCTCTGCAAAAGTATTACTTACAAGGGGAAAACAATAATTTTTTAGCGGAGAAGACTTGCAAACACCACCTTATTCAGTGATCAGTGAACATCATCAGTAAAGGGGCAAATGAAAGTGATGTGCCTTCTATGATAACCTTGCCAAAGCTGCATAATCTGAATGTAATTATGAAGAAACATTAGATAAACCCAAATTTTGTGGACATGTCTAGAAGTGAAATTTTTAGATAAACCCAAATTTGGGGCTGTTCTACAATGCGATTGGCCTGTAAACTTCCAAAGTAGCAAGGTCATGAAAGTCAAGGAAACCTGAGAACAGTTCCAGCTTGGTGGAGACTAAAGAAATTTGACAACTAAATGCAGCATATAATTTTTGAATCATCCTTTTACTAGAAAGAATATTATTGGGATAATTGTTAAAGTTTGAGGCTGAGCACGGTGGCTCATGCCTGTAATCCCAGCACTTTGGGAGGCTGAGGCAAGAGGATCACTTGAGCCCAGAAGTTTGAGGCCAGCCTCGGCAACATGCCAAGATCCTGTCTCTACAAATAAAATAAAATAAAATTTAAATTTTAAAAAAGCTTGAATAGGGTCTGAGAATTAGATGGTTGTATGCACCAATAATTTCCTAATTTGATGGTTGTATGTGGTTAAGTAGGAGAATGTCTTTGTTAGTATAAAATGCACACTAAAGAATTAGGGGGAATGGAGCATCAGGTTGGCAATTTATTCTAAAATGTTCAGAAAAAAAAGTTCTTTGTTTTGTTCTTGCAACTTTCTCTAAATATGTGATTATGCCAAAATTTTGTTAACTATTATCATCACACACACACACACACACACACACACACACACACACAAAATAATACCAAGTGTGTGTGAGGAAAGGGAGCACCTGTCCCACTTTGGAAAATTGTGTGTCTGTTTCTTATAAAGTTAAAGTTACACCTAACTTAGGTGTAACAAACTTTTGCTTCTAGACACATCCACAAAAGGACCTGTGTGTTCTTAGCAGTTTTATTCAACATACCCCCAAACTAGAAAGAACCCAAATGTCCATTAATAAGCAAATGGATAAATTGTGGTTTGTCAATACAATGTGAATACTATTCAGCAATAAATAGGAATGAGCTGCTAACACACAGAACAACATGGATGAATCTCAAAAGTGTTATGTTGCATGAAAGAAGTCAGACACAGGTGAGTTTATACTTATGATTCCATTGATATGAAATTCAAGGACAGTCAAAGCTAAACTATAGTGATTGAAATTAGAATAGAATAGTTGTTGCTTTGGGGGAATGGAGATTGACTGAAAAGCATTGTGGGAAAATTTCTGGGTGCAGAAATATTTTATATATATTTTTTTTTTTTTGACAGAGTCTTTCTCTGTTGCCCTGGCTGGAGTGAAGTGGCGTGATCTAAACTCACTGCAACCTATGCCTCCCAGGTTCAAGCGATTCTCCTGCCTCAGCTTCCTCAGTAGCTGGGATTACAGGCTCCCACCACCACACCCAGCTAATTTTCATGTTTTTAGTAGAGATGGGGTTTCACCATGTTGACCAGGCTGGTCTCAAACTCCTGACCTCAAGTGAGCCACCCACCTTGGCCTCCCAAAGTGCTGGGATTACAGGCGTGAGCCACCGTGCCTGGCCATGTTTTATATCTTGATTGGGTGGTGGTATATATTTGACAGAACTAATCAAATTGTACATTTAAAATCTATGCATATTGATTTAAACTATATCTCAATTTAAAAAGCTAACTATATCTCAATTTAAAAAGCTAAAAACTTTAAAACGTACTAAATCCTCAGCAGTGGTTATCTCTAGGGAACAGGATTCCCACATTATGTATTTCTGAGGTTTTGAACTATTTCAACCAGTATGTCTTAGTTATTAAAAAGAGCCACACTGAGCATCTAAAAATATAATTACATGAAGATTGTAGGATTTGTCCAAATTGCACTCCAGCAATTAGTTATTTTGGGGAAAACTTAAGTTAGATCTTCTTTTAATATATACAAAAACTGCTTAGATAAGTCAAAGAGGTAATGTATAAAATCAAGCCATAAATTTTAAATTGTCAAATAATAGAAAACAGGGGTTAACATTTATCTGCTTTCTGAGTTGCAAAGAAACTTTCAACAGTTAAAAGTAATGTTAGGAACTCTAAACAAGTAAATTTTTGCTGCATGAGAATACCCCAATACATAATGAAATGGAAGCAATTAAATGCAACAGGAAGTTGGGGGAATCTACAAAAACATAAGGACATTCAACAGATTTGTAACTAAAGGATGTAAATTCTAGAAAGGAAAAAAGGATAGAAAGAAGGGAGGGGGGAAGGTAGGAAAGAAGGAATGGCAGGAGGGAAAGAAAAAAGACAAGAAGAAAAAGGGAAAGGAGTTAAGGAAGAACAGACGAGGGAGAACACAGATGGCTAATCAGCAGGTGAATAAAAAGTAAACCTGAATTTTTACACCCAAATTAAATCTATCAAAGTAGCAAAATTATTGTTAAATGATAGCATTCGATGGCAGCTGTGGCGTGGCCAGATGAATGTATGTTCAATACATGGAGGGGTGTAATTGTTAGATTTCTGAAAGCCAATCTAGGGATGTGTAGTGATAATCTTTAATATGATTATATATTTTGAACGAGAAATAACCACATTTTGGAATCCGTCTAAAAGAAATAATAAAAATACTGTTTTCAGGATTATTCATAAATCAAAACAAGAAAAATAGTCTAAATGCCAACATTAAGGGACTAATTCTTAAATTATGAGACATCCGTTTGATGGATTATTATTCTACCATTAAATGGTGTTTACAAGGGGTTTTTAATACCACGTTTTTCTTTTTTTAATGCTTTTGTGTGTGTGTGTGTGTGTGCTCACGATAACTTAAGGATAGCAAGGCTGAACTCGTTCAGTTCGGAAATAGAAACTTCCCGGCACAGTTGGCCTGTAAGACACGCTTCAGTTTTGTTCTCCTTCATTGTATTTAAATACTGCCTCCACACCCCCTCTACCCCCCACACACATACACACACACACGTGTGTGTGTTTCGGGGCTGCTCAGGAGGACAGGCGGCTCTGCGCTGCGGCTGTGGTGGGCTCCGTGCACACCGCGCTAGGCTCATAGGGCGGCTGGCAGGTCCAGAGAGCGGCGTGGGAGCAGCTGCTGCCACGGTGGCAGCGGAGATGAAGGTGTCAGCCTGACGCGGGCGGCTCCTGAGAGCTCGCTGGGGCGCCTCAGCGACTCTCACATCTGTTCAGCATCTGGCTGTCACCCCCTCAAGAGAATAACAGATCCCCTTCCCTTCTCCCTTCCAAATGTCCCTCAAGTTCCTCCCAAGGCAAACTCCAGCTGGAAGGGGGCATACTGGGAAGTGTAGTTCCCGTTGCTCTGCATTGCGGAGGAGGGGCGGGAAGGATGCTGAGCGCTGCCTGTCTATCCCAAACAACACGCCAGGTCAAGCTGGAAATCATCCCACCCTACCTGTCAGTCAGCCAGGGAGTCAGAAGGCCACAGGTTGAGTAGGAAAAGGATCTGGATTATAGATAGCAGAGCTTGGACTATACATAGTTTATAAGTAAAATAGTTTTTTTTAAATGTGTATGTCATTCCCAGTATATTTTATTATACGTTTGCAAAACAATACAAGACAGAAGCTGTATTATTTAAAGAAAGTTATACAAATCTTTTAGAAGTTTAGAAAAGAACAGCATTAGAAAGTTTTCACTTGAAACCCTCATATATTGGAGGGAATGTAAAATATGCAGCCACTGTGGAAAACAACTTGGCAGTTCCTCAAAAAGTTAAACCTAGAGTTATCATTATAACCCAGTGATTCTATTCCTAGGTATATCCATTTTCATGTTTACAAAAAAATTGTAAACGTGTTCACACAAAAATTTGTACACTAATGTTCACAGCAGCGTTATGCATAATAGTTCAAACATGGGAACTAACCCGCATATCCACCAACTAATGAATTAACAAACAAAATGTGGTATATCTAGACAATTAAATACTATTTGGCCATGGAAAAATATGAAGTACTGATACATGCAATGACATAGATGACCCTTGAAAGCATTATGCTAAGAGAAAGACACAGAGCCACATATTTTATTTCATTTATATGAAATGTCAAGAATAGGCAAATCTGCGAGACAGAAAGATTTGTGGTTGCCTAGGGCTCGGGGTGGGAGGAAACAGGGAGTGGTTGCTAATGGGCTTGGGTTTCTTGTGGGGGCGGGGGGATAAAAATGTTCTCAAATTAGATAGTGATGATGGTTATACAACTCCGTGAACTGAACAACATTTAAAAAATTGTGGTAAAATATACATAATTAAAACTTACCATTAACCATTAAAATATTAACCATTTCAAGTGTACAGTTCAGTGGTGTTAAGTACATTCACATTGTTATGCAAACATCATAACCAGCCACCTGCAGAAGCTTTTCATCTTCCCAAACTGAAACTTTGTGCCCATTAAACAATAACTCCCTACCTCCCTCCACCTGCATCCCGTGGCAACCAGCATTCTACTTTCTGTATGAATTTATTATTCTAGGCACCTCAGATGAGTGGATTCATACAGTATTTACCCTTTTGTGACTTGCTTATTTCACTTAGCATAATGTCTACAAGGTTCATTCATGTTGTGGCATGTGTTAGAATTTTCTTCCTTTTTAAGGCTGAATAATATTCCATTATACACTTATGCCACACTTCGTTTAGCCATTCATCCATCATGGATACTTGGGTTGCTTTCACTCTTTTTTTTTTTTTTTTTTGAGACAGAGTCTCGCTCTGTCGCCTAGGCTGGAGTGCAGTGGCGTGATCTCGGTTCTCTGAAAGCTCCGCCTCCCGGGTTCATGCCATTCTCCTGCCTGTCTCCCGAGTAGCTGGGACTACAGGCGCCCACCACCATGCCCGGCTAATTTTTTGTATTTTTAGTAGAGACGGGGTTTCACCGTGTTAGCCAGTATGGTCTTGATCTCCTGAGCTTTCACCTTTTGACTATTGTGAATAATGCTGCTATGAACATCGATGTACAAATATCTGTTCAAGTCTTTGCTTTCAGTTCTTTTGGATATGTACCCAGAAGTGGCATTGCTGGATCATATGGTGATTTTATTTTTAATGTTTTAGGGAACTGCCACACTGTTTTCCATACCGTGTATACCATTTTACTTTCCCACCAACGGTGCACAAGGGTTCCAATTTCTCCACATCCTCATCAACACTAATTTTCTAGTGTTGTTGTTTATAATAGCCATCCTAATGAGTATAAAATGATATCTCATTGCAGTTTTGATTTGCATTTTGAATTGTACATGTTAGGATGAATTTTATATGTGAATTATATCTCAATGAAAAAATGTTCATTGAGAGACCCAAGTAGCACCAAGCACACCTTGTGCCCAGATCTTGGCTTCTAAACAGCTTTCTTCACTAAAGGGGGCCCAATATGGGGCACAGGAAGTACAAGGTGAGCCTGGGATATTTCACTGTACAAGAAAGCAAGGAAGTGCTCAAAGAATGGCAAGCATGTCTAAATGACACTGGTCAAATTTGGGAAAATTTGAGCATCAAAATGAATAATGACCATAATTATTTGTAAATACCGCAAGTAACAATTCATGAGGCCGGGCGCGGTGGCTCACGCCTGTAATCCCAGCACTTTGGGAGGCCGAGGCGGGCGGATCACGAGGTCAGGAGATCGAGACCATCTTGGCTAACACGGTGAAACCCCGTCTCTACTAAAAATACAAAAAATTAGCCGGGCGCAGTGGCTGGCGCCTGTAGTCCCAGCTAGTCGGGAGGCTGAGGCAGGAGAATGGCATGAACCCGGGAGGTGGAGCTTGCAGTGAGCCAAGACAGCGCCACTGCACTCCGGCCTGGGCGAAAGAGCAAGACTCCGTCTCAAAAAACAAAAAAACAAAAACAAAAAACGAAACAAAACAAAAAAAAACAATTCATGAATTCATGGTAATAGAAAGAGAGAAAAAGGCAATTCTTTATGGAAAAGTGCTAGTAGCTAATAGATGTAAAAGGAATGATAGAATTTTAAAGTCACCGTTTTACAACTTCTAATGAAATAATTTTGGTTCCAGCTTGGTTTGGATGGCAATCCCATCCCAATTGCTGGGATTGGCAATGGATGTTACAGCCATTAGGTGAACAATTACTAGAGAACCAAATATTCACATGATTATTTGAATCATGCAGATTATTCGTTAACTGCAAATGGAAACATACATTTGCAATGAAGAAATCTGGCAATTACCACCTTAAGCAAGTAATCAAACTCAACATCATGAATCATAGAAAAACTTGATATGTATGCTTCCTAACATGATGTAATATTAAGCATACAACATCACCTACAAAGCATTTTTACTAAAATGTGTGGCCTGAGTGTAAGCAAGCTCCTCTAGACCGGGTCTCTACCTTTCAGGAATTCAGGGAATAGTGGGACAATTTAAAGAACACCATGCAGAATATTTAACAAGGCAATTGACCTGAAATCTTCAAAAAGCCAATATCATGAAAAGAAGCAGTAGCAGTAGCAAGGGGACTGCTGTAGATGAAAAACACTTGAGGGACCTAATTAAACAATTGCAACAACAAAACACACCTGTTCAGTGAGGGCCTACTGCTAGCTGTACTCAGATTTTATAAATGAATGCAAAAATGATGCAGGCACATTGATTTATCATGTATTAGCGATAATCTAAAATATTTATTATTAAAACATTTTAATAAATGGAAATTTTTATTGCAATTTTCTTTCGTATTCCCCCCCATGGGAAAAGAAACCATAATCATATAAATGGCTATCCTTGAAAGCAGATAATATAACATGTGCTCCAAGATATTTGTATGATTTATCACTAAATCACAGATTCAGCCTGGAAGAAAATAGAAATGTATGGAACAATTTTTCATTTAATTGGGCATGAGAAACCTTTCTACCTGTTAATGTCATTAATTGCAACATGGGCATCTCCATAACATAATATTTCTAGACATAATGTGCTTTTTTTTTTTTTTGAGACATAGTCTCAGTCACCCAGACTGGAGTGCAGTGGCGCAATCTCAGCTCACTGCAACCTCTGCTTCCTGGGTTCAAGCAATTCTCCTGCCTCAGCCTCCCGAGTAGCTGGGATTACAGGCATGCACCACCACTACCGGCTAATTTTTGTATTTTTAGTAGAGATGGGGTTTCGCCATGTTGGCCAGGCTGGTCTCGAACTCCTGACCTCAAGTGATCCACTTGCCTCGGCCTCCCAAAGTGCTGGGATTACAGGTGTGAGCTACCACACCCAGCTCATAATGTGCTTTTAAAATATCACTGTCCAACAGAAATATAATGTGAGCCACAAATGTCAGCCCATATATAATTTTACGTTTTCTAGTAGTCACATTAAAACAAGTAAAAAGAAAATAGGTAAAATTAATTTTAATATTTATATTTTACTCAATATATCCAAAATACTATCATTTCAATAACTAATCAGTATAAAATGATTAAAGAGATATTTTATATTCTTTTATTGTACTAAGTCTTTGAAATCCAGTGTATATATTACGCTTTCAGCAAATCTCAATTGGGACTGGCCACATTTCAAGTACTCAGTAGTGGCTTACATGTGGGACAGTTCCAGTCTGAAATAAAAATACTGGGCCTAATAGAATTGGCTTTACGTGTTGCAAGTGAGCAGTATTAAGTACCACATTTTCAAAGGTGAACTTTCCAAATACGTACTTTTGATTTGCATTTGTTCTGGAATATTTTCAAGAATGGAAAAATAAGCTGAAAAATTCTATTTACCTAGCAAGCAACTAATATTTTTGCATTTAGGATAAGAGAGTGGAGATAACAGTGAAAAGAAAAGAGAACCTTCAAGCTTTGTATGTATATGTCAGAATCATGAAACACTGAATTACCTTATAATACAGTTTGCCACTAGGGTCTGAATGCTAGGGACATAAAAGTTCCAAATCCTGTCTATCCTTCCTTCAAACCAGACTTTGCATTTTCCCGTTAGGTTCCCACTGCCCAGACCTTCTTAACCTAAACTCTTTGCCAGTTTTTAATGTAGGCTTCCAAATAGACATGATCTGTGTGGATGCATGGGAGGAGAGGGGAGTGAAGAGTCTGGACCCCCACAAACCAGTCTTGGCTCTGCCAATAACTGAGGAGGATATCCAGGGAAATGCCTTTCACCCCCTGGGCCCGGTTTCCTTATCTATGAGACAAAGAGATCCAACCAGGATAATCCTACAGATTCTTCTAGATCTTTATTATTTCATTTTCATGAACACTTTTAATATACGTATGTTACATATAGTCATTCTCACCCAACTACCTGGGTTGGTAAAGAAGACTTCTCTCTGTTGTCTCCGCTCCTGAAGTTGCCCCAGCTCTGCCTCACAGATACCGCCAGATTTGTCCTTCTTTTCCATGCCCCTGCCTCGAAGACCAGGTGTAGCCCCAGCCACCTCATTGTGTCCCAGCCATCCTTAATGGAAGGTTTCTATTATCTGGACTAACCTCATCTTTCCACCTTGAATGCCATCTACCTCCCCGCAGCAACCCAGGCTCATGCAATTTCCCTCAGCTAAGACATTCTCCCCAAACTCCACCTGGCTACTTAAGTCCTCTTTCACTGCCTAGTGTACATTTCATTGCCTTCAAGGCACCTCTGCTGTCCTGACTGTTGGCAGGCTGCTCTCATCTTCCTCTGCCCATGTTGGGGTCACTTGTGGTTCACTGCCATTCACGTCTCCTGATTGTTCCCATGTGTATCTTATCTCACTTGCGAGCCTGCAGGGACAGCTTACTGATTCCTACAGATTCATGCCTCTGTACTCTCCTCAGCCTCACACTGGTGCTGAGCTCACAATAGGCACTCAGCAGATACTTATGGACCTTTCCAAGGCTTCCCCAGAGTTTAGGGAGGAGACCTCTAGAATGCCAAAAGACAAACATAATACTTGCACTTGAAAAAGTGTGTATGGGGCCCACTGCTACTTTGCCTGGAGAAAAGATCAGGTTGTGGAAGACATTGGCCATTTGTGGTAGATTAATTGCAAAAATATTCTAGAGTCTTCACCCTGTCCTATAGCCATATCTGTTGCAATGTGGCTTTGCAGGTCCTCCTATTGGGAGGTGGAGTCCACTTCCCCAGCCTCGAATCTGGGCTGGCCATGTGACCTGCTTTGGCCATTACAATGAGACAGAAGAGAAAAAGTGCCAGTTATGAATGTAGGCTTCCAAAAAAACATGATCCGTGTGGACACATGGGAGGAGAGGGGAGTGAAGAGTCTGGACCCCCACAAACCAGTCTTGGCTCTGCTAATAACCGAGGAGGATACCCAGGGAAATGCCTTTCGCCCCCTGGGCCCGGTTTCCTTATCTATGAGACAAAGAGATCCAACCAGGATAATCCTACAGATTCTTCTAGATCTTTATTATTTCATGTTCATGAACACTTTTAATATATGTATGTTACATACAGCCATTCTCACCCAACTAGACTAATGAATGAAATTAATTGCCAGCTATTGTGGAAAAATATTCTCTATGTGGAAAGTACTCTGTATGTAAAAGTGACACTCCAGCTGTTGTGTTCACATAGTTTTAGTAATCACTAACCATATCTTAAACCATCTTTGAAAATAGTCACTAAAAGAGGAAATACTATTTGCCAGGTGCTTTCATGCACCATTGTCTCATTTAATTCTCGCAACTCTGTAAGTTAGATTTTTCTTTTTTTGAGACAGAGTCTCACTCTGTCGCCCAGGCTGGAGTGCAGTGGTGTGATCTCAGCTCACAGCAGCCTCCGCCTCCTGGGCTCAAGCCATCCTCCCACCTTAGCCTCCCAAGTAAGTAGCTGGGACTACAGGCATGCACCACACTCCTGGCTAATTTTTATATATTTAGTAGAGATGGGGTTTCGCCATATTTCCCAGGCTGGTCTCCAACTCCTGGGCTCAAGCAATCCACCCACCTTGACCTCCCAAAGTGCTGGGATTACAGGTATAAGCCACCATGCCCTGCCTGTAAGGTGGATATTATTAATATTATAATTTATCTTAACTTTTGGGGAAACAAACTCACATACATTAAACAACCTCTGTGAGGTCACACAATTAGTGAATGGTAGGTGGGGCTGGGACGTAGACCCTGGTCCTACCCAGAATGCATACCCTCCCCACTGGGCCACAGGGCCCTGCAACAGTTGGGATATCTCACAGTGACACATGTCTGTTAAATTAGTTACCTACATGCATTCTAGTGTGAAGACAACCCAGTGATACACCTTTAAAGCTATAAATTTTTTTATACCTTAATTATTTTCCTCCCAACTTTAGGCCTAGGGGCAAGTCCATAATCAGGGTTTTCTTCTAACTCTTGTTTCTTTGGAACAATTCTCCCAGGTACGGTCTGTCATGGTCAGGGATGCACATTTCAGAGAATCACATGTGAATGTTGTATCCAAATGACATGATATCTGACTTCATAAGGTACACTGATGAGTGGAAGAGAAAGATGTTCTTATAACTTTAAACTTTATTGGACATCAGTGCTGATAGTGTAGTGTAAATTAATACTCTAATAAATCTACGATTATCTTAGAGTACATAATAAAATAAAAATGTACCTGTTTTGTATTTTAAAGAAGGTCACATTTATTATATGTAAAAATTTTAAATACGCTCCAATTTTTGTAACCTTTGCTGAAAGTTTCTTTGTTTTATAATATAGACTTGATAAAAGGAAGAAATGGGCTTCTATTAAGAGAAACAGTTTCTGTTCATATCCGAGTCATTCAAGGTACAGATAACCCTATAAAGATGGCTGGTTTCACGTTAGCCCCTTTTAGAGAGGAACAAAATATACCTAATTTCTTCTAGCACCAAAATAGACAATTATTCTAGAAGGATGGTTGTCTACATACACTCTAATCCTACTCGGGAAACCAGGCAGTGAATCTATTGACTTCCCAACTCAAAGAAACTTTCAGCAAAAAACACAAAAACAAAACTCAAATGTAGATTTCTGCTTCTAGGTGTGACAGAGTAGTTGGTACCATATTTTCTCTCCTACTGAGAACCACTATGAAAACTAGATTTAAAAAGCTATTTTATGAAAGCTGTTTGAAAGCACTAGAGAAGAAGCAGGATAGCTAGGACTTGAAGGACCAATATCCTGAAGCAAAGAGAAGTGAATTGAGTTGTTTTCTAAATGCATTCTCAGTAGCTTTTCCCCTTGGGGTGTTTGCAAATTCACAGTTCTGGCGGTGGAAGCTGAATAGAAAGCAGCAGCCCAGAACCTTCAGCAAGCTTACTGGGCCCGGGAGACAAAAATTGCAGTTCAGTGCTACCTAGACAGCTAGGATTTAAGGGGTCAAGATCCCAGAAAAAAGGAAACTACAAAGAAGTGAGCCTGAAATTCTATTTATAATCTCCTTTTAAGGCATTTGCTGACACCAAAGTTGAGCTTATAAGATTCCAAAATAAAATAAAATAAAATAAAATAAAATAAACATGAAGAGAAAGGTGCAAAGGGGCTAAAAAGCTAAGCAGCGATTTTGGCAGTTTCATATTTATGAGGAGACAAATATTGAAGTTCAGAATTCATCATGGATGAAAGACCCTCGTAAAACCCAGGCCCTTCACTTGAGCCCCCTGAACAGGTGATGCCTTAGGCAAACTGGATGTAGAGCAGCATTGGCGGAACAAGATGATCTGCTTTAATCTCTCTGTCTGATAGTGTGAGGAGAGTGTCCATGCGGGGGCGGTTTGGCGTGTCAGAGCTGGAACAACATGAAGACAGCTGCCCAGCACAGGGTGGGAAGGTGTCCATGCAGCAAGGGGAGGGTGAGAGCCAGACCAGAGCCAGGTGAGAAGCACATTCACAAGGGGGAGCCCATCCGGGGCGTGGGGATCCCAAGCAGGGTGAAGAGGATACCCAGGGTGAGGGGCAAGAGCTGTCACGGGTGTCAGAGCCTGAGCCAGGTGAGGACCGGCATTCACATGGGAGCTGGGGAGGCCCTGGGTGAGGTTTCAGAGCCTCAGCAGGGGAAAGGAGGGCCTCCATGTCGAAGGCCAGCCCAGCATTGGGTGTTGGAGCCCGAGCAGAGTGAGGAGGGTGTTCATACAGGAGGCTGGTCTGAGGGGAGTTGTTGAACCTGGACATGAGTTTTGCATGAGGGAGGAGTGGGTGGCAGTGATGTCAAACTGGTTCCATACTGAATAGCTAGACATATTAAGGATGATTGGAGCCAGGTTTCTCACTGTCAGAGAAGAGAGCACAAACCTGGAAAGGGATTAAACTAGAATGAGCCCTGAGATGCTGGACTGGAACTGAAGGTATTGGTGTAAGCTAATAGTTCTCAATTTACATAGATAGAGATAGAAATAAATATAGATAGAAATATATGTATGTGTGTATGCATATATATACACACCACATACACATATATGCATACATACATATTTTGTGTGTACACACATAATATATATGCATATAATTGTATTATATAGACACTTGCCCTGTCTACTGAAAGGGCCTGGGAGAAGGAACCCCCCAACAGTGAAGAGTCCAAGGGAAGCCTGGGACATATTGTTGTGCCTGAAAGCCAGAAAGTGCTAAAGAATGATGAGGATATGTGAAAAGGACAGAGAAACCAGCTTGAAAGGACTCTTACTAGCCAAATCAGGGACAATTTAAGCATCAAAATACATAGTGAATAGTAATAGATTATGACCATTGAATTAAATAGGATGGAAGAGTATGGACCATGAGTCCATACTGATATAAATAGGTAAACAAATAGAAAGTTTCACGACGAGCAAGACATTTACGTGCTCTAAAATGATTTCCCCATAAATATTTATTAATTGTGAGGGACAATAGAGTGGCTTTAGCTACATATTGAGTGATTCTACTTACATTTTTTAGCTACACACTGTATGATTCCATTTATATGACCTTATCCTCTAAAGCACAAAGACATTATGGAAAAGGCAAAACTGTAGGGATGGAGAACAGATCAGTGGTTGTTTGGTGTAAGGGGTTGGGGGAGGGCTTTACTACAAAGCAGCAGCATGAAAAACATTTTCTAGAGTGATGGAACTGTTCTATATCTTGACTACAATGGTGGTTACATTGTTATATATATTTGTCAAAACTCATAGAACTATGCGCCAAGAGTGATTTTTGCTGTGTGCAACTTTTTTTTAAACCAAAAGGAGCAACTTTATAGTGGAAAAGCCTGGGAGACAACACTTTAATCAAACAATCAAAGTGAACATTGTCAGCGATGAGACAAATTGAAACCTGAAAACTAAGAGGATGTAGCAAGAAAAACCAGCACCCACTTTTGTGATATTCCTGACAAAAATGCATAACCTGAATCTATGAGGAATCACCAGAGAAACCCAGATGAATTGGGATTCTACAAAATACCTGCCCTGTAATCTTTAAAAGTGTCAAAGCCATGAAAGTTAAAAAAAAAAAAAAGGCTTTGTAATTTTTGTATACATATCCTGTACATATTTTGTTAGACTTACATCTATATATTTCTTTTTTTCAGTGATCGAAAATGCTATTGTGTTTTAAATTTTGGTTTTCACATGTTTGTTGCTAGTATATATGAGTGATTTTTGTGTGTTGGCCCAAAGCTTTCTTAATTCATTTATTAATTCTAAGACATTAGCTTTTTTTTTTTTTTGAGACTCCTTGGTATTTTCCATATAGACAATCATATAATTTGCTAATAGAGACAGTTTTATTTCTACCTTTCCAGTCTGTATGCTTTTTATCTCGTTTTCTTACCTTATTGGTCTGGCTAGGATTACCAGTATTGTTGAATAACAGTGATGAGAGGGGACATCTTTGTTTGATTCTGATCTTAAGATAAAAGCATTCCGTCTTTCACCGTTTAATACAATGGTATCTGTAGGTTTTTTGTAGGTCCTCTTTATTAAGTTGAGAAAATTCCCCTTTGTTGTTAGTTTGGTAAGAGTTTTGGGGTTTTGTTGTTGTTGTTTAGTTGGTTTTTATCATGAATGGGTGTTGAGTTTTGTCAAATGCTTTTTTTCAATATGACAAGGCTGATGACTGTGTGACTTTTCTTCTTTGTCTTCTTAATATGGTGGATTATACAGATTGATTTTTGAATATTAAATCAGCCTTACATCCTTGGAATAAAACACTCCTGGTTGTGTTTATTATTTGTTTATATATTGCTAGATTCAATTTGCCAACATTTTGTTGAAGATTTTTCTTCTATGTTCATAAGACATATTGGTCTGTTTTACTTTTTCTGTGCTTTCTTTGACTGATTTTGGTATTAAGATTATAATGGCCTCATAAAAATGAGTTGGGAAGCGTTTCTTCTTCTATTTTCTAAAAAAGATTGCATAGGATTGGTGTTAATTCTTTTTTAAACATTTAGTAGGTTCAGCATAAAATGATTTAGCATCATTTCTCTCTTGCTGCTCATCCATTCTCATCCACTGAAACCATCTGGGCCTGGAGATTTATTGTTCAGACTTAAAAAAAATATGAATTCAATCTCTTTAATGGTTATAGGCATCTTTAAATTACCTGTTTCATATTGGATTAATTTTAGTAGTGGTCTTTTTAAATGAATTTAATTAATGGCTTCACTAACAATTTACCTAAATTATTGAATCTATGCGTGTAGAATTGTTCATAATATTCCTTTATTATCCTTTCAGTGTCTACAGAATCTGTAGTTTTATTCCTGATATTAGTAATTTATGTCTTTGCTCATTTTTTCTTTGTCAGTCTACTAAATGTTTGTCAATCTATTGATCTTTTCAAAGAACTGACTTTTGTTTTGCTGATTTTCTCTGATGTTTTTCTGCTCGTCTTTATTCTCTCATTCCTTCTGCTCATGTTGCATTTATTTTTCTCTTCCTTTTCTAGTTTCTTAAGAGCTTAGATTATTGATTTGAAACCATTTCTTTTTCTATTATAAGCATTTAGTTCTATACATTTGCCTCTTAGCACTGCTTAAGCTGCATCCCACACATTTTAATATGCTTTATTTTTATGTTCAATGCATTTAAAAAATTGCCCTTAAGACTTTCTCCTTGACCTATGTATTATTTTAAAGTGTGTTATTTAATGTCAGGTGTTTGGAAAATTTTCTCTTATCTTTCTATTTTTGATTTCTAGTTTGATTCCACTGTGGTTAGCAACACACTCTATATGATTTCACTTTTAAAAAAAATTGTTGAGGTTTTTTTTTGTTTGTTTGTTTTTTGAGACGGAGTTTCACTCGTCCCCCAGGCTGGAGTGCAATGGTGCAATCTTGGCTCACTGCAGCCTCTGCCTCCTGGGTTCAAGCTGTTCTCCTGCCTCAGTCTCCCGGGTAATCGGGATTACAGGCACGCCACCATGCCTGGGTAATTTTTGTATTTTTAGTAGAGACAGAGTTTCCCCATGTTGGCCAGGCTGGTCTTGAACTCCTGACCTTAAGTGATCCACCTGCCTCAGCCTCCCAAAGTGCTGGAATTACAGGCATGAGCCACCACACCCAACCGTGAGGTTTGTTTTATGACCCAGAGTGTAGTATGTCTTAGTGAATGTTCCATGAGCTTGTTAGAATGTGTATTTGGCTGTTGTGACTCGAATGTTGTATAAACATTAATTAGACCCTGTTGATTGATGGTGTTGTTTAGTTCTGGATTCTTGCTGTTTCTGTTCATAGTTCTCTCAATTGTTAAGAATGGGGTATTGATGTCTTTTAGTATAATTGTAGTTTATCTCTCCTTTTAGTTTGGCCAATTTTTGCTTTGTGTATTTTGAAGTTCCATTTTCTTGGGCATAAATATTTAGGATTGCTATGTCTTCTTGGTGGATAGACTCCTTTATCACTGGGTAATGCCCTCTTTTTTTCTGGTAAAATTCTTTGTTCTTAAATCTACTTGATTTGATGTTAACATTGCCACTCCTGCTTTGATTGATATTTATATGGTATATCTTTTTCATGCATTTACTTTTAATTTACCTATATCATTACTCTTATAAATAGCATATAGTTGAGTCATGCTTTTAAAAAATCCATTCTGCCAATTTTTTTTTAATTGGTGTTATTTAGATCAATTACACTTAATGAAACTATTGATATATTAGGGCTCGAGACTACCATTTTATTTTTTTGTTTGTTTTCTGTTTATTCCTTCTGTTTTTCTGTTTCTCTTTTTTGCTTTTCCTGTCTTCTTGCATGTTGCTTAAAAATTTTTGGTCTATTTGATTTATCTATAGTGTTTTTGAAGGTATCTGTTTCATAGGTTTTTCAGTGGTTACTCTAGGTATTGTATTATTCACTTATAACTTAACACTGTTCACTTGTATCAACATTTTACTACTTTGAGTAAAGTGTAAAAACCTATAGGTTCCTTTACCTCCTCCTTATAATTCTCTTAAATATTTACTCACATACTTTGAGAACCATATCACACAGTATTATAATTTTTGCTTTGACCATCAAATATAATTTAGAAAATCCAACAGGATAGTTTATATTTACATATTCTATTTTTTCTCATCCTGTCTTCATTCCTTATGTTTCACGTTTCCTTCTTTTGTCATTTCCTTTTTGCTTGAAGACTTTTCTTTAGATATTCTTTTAGTGTAGGTCTGCCAGTATCAAATTCTGTTAGCTTTCCTTTATCTGAGAATGTCTTGACTTCCCCTTCCTTATTGAAGGATATTTTTGATGGGTATAAAATTCTGAGTTGACAGTTTTTTTGTTTTTTTTGTTTTTTTTTTTTTGAGACTGAGTCTCTCTCTGTTGCCCAGGCTGGAGTGCAGTGGCGTGATCTCAGCTCACTACAACTTCCACCTCCTGGGTTCAAGCGATTCTCCTGCCTCAGCCTCCTGAGTAGCTGGGATTACCGGCATCTGCCACCACTCCCGAGTAATGTTTGTATTTTTAGTAGAGACAGGGTTTCACCATGCTGGCCAGGATGGTCTTGATCTCCTGACTTTGTGATCTGCCTGCCTCAGCCTCCCAAAGTGCTGGGATTACAGGCATGAGCTACCACGCCCAGCCCTCTCTCACTGCTTTTGAGATTTTTCTTTGTCTTTAGTTTTCAGAAGTTTGAGCATGATGTGTCTTGGTGTGAATTTCTCTGGGCTTATTCTCTTTGGGATCTTGCTTGACTTCCTGAATCTGTAGGTTCATATATTTTGCCAAATTTGAGAACTTTGCAGCCATTGTGTTTAAAATATTTTTTCTGCTCCATCTTTCTTTTTCCTCTCCTTTTGGGTCTTAATGAGGTGACATTTAATATTTTATTTTCCTGCTATAGGTCCCTGAGTCTCTGTTCATTAAACCTGTTGATCGGGTTTAATCATTTTTGTCCTTCTAGCTTTAGGTTCACTGAGTCTTTTCTTCTGTCATCTCCATTTTATTAAGCCATCCACTGAGTTTTAAGAAATTCAAGTTGTTGCATTTTTTAATTCTAAAATTTTCATTTAGTCCTTTTTTATATCTCATATTTCTTTGAATTTTTGTTAAACAACTTAAAATATTTCATCCCAGAATAGTTCAATATATATCTGTATCAATCAGCTTTTACTAAGTTACACTGCTATAAAAAAATAACCTCTAGACCTCAGCAGCTTTCGGGAAAAAAAGATTTACTTTTCTTTACATTACATGTAAGCTGCTGGTCATACTCTAGCCTTTGGATGGGCTATGGGTCTGCTCTACTTGTCTTTTCATCCTGGGACACAGGCTGAAGAAGCAACCTCTATCTGGGTCATACCATTCTCATGGAAGAAGGAAAAGAATAAGAGAGCAGACAGAAACTTGCAGTCCCACTTCCAGTTTCTGCCAGAACCAGCAAACTGTCACCTTTGCTTACATTTTACCCATCAAAGACCAACATGATGTCAACGGAGTAAAGAAATAGACTCCTTCTTTTTTTTTTTTTAATTTTTTGTATTTTTTTTTTATTTTTTTATTATTTTTTTTTGTTTTATTATTATTATTTTTTTTTATTGATCATTCTTGGGTGTTTCTCGCAGAGGGGGATTTGGCAGGGTCACAGGACAATAGTGGAGGGAAGGTCAGCAGATAAACAAGTGAACAAAGGTCTCTGGTTTTCCTAGGCAGAGGACCCTGCGGCCTTCCGCAGTGTTTGTGTCCCTGGGTACTTGAGATTAGGGAGTGGTGATGACTCTTAACGAGCATGCTGCCTTCAAGCGTCTGTTTAACAAAGCACATCTTGCACCACCCTTAATCCATTTAACCCTGAGTGGACACAGCACATGTTTCAGAGAGCACAGGGTTGGGGGTAAGGTCACAGATCAACAGGATCCCAAGGCAGAAGAATTTTTCTTAGTACAGAACAAAATGAAAAGTCTCCCATGTCTACCTCTTTCTACACAGACTCGGCAACCATCCGATTTCTCATTCTTTTCCCCACCTTTCCCCCCTTTCTATTCCACAAAACTGCCATTGTCATCATGGCCCGTTCTCAATGAGCTGTTGGGTACACCTCCCAGACGGGGTGGCGGCCGGGCAGAGGGGCTCCTCACTTCCCAGTAGGGGCGGCCGGGCAGAGGCGCCCCTCACCTCCCGGACGGGGCAGCTGGCCGGGCGGGGGGCTGACCCCCCCACCTCCCTCCCAGATGGGGCGGCTGGCCGGGCAGAGGGGCTCCTCACTTCCCAGGAAGGGCGGCCGGGCAGAGGCGCCCCTCACCTCCCGGATGGGGCGGCTGGCCGGGCGGGGGGCTGACCCCCCCACCTCCCTCCCGGATGGGGCGGCTGGCCGGGCAGAGGGGCTCCTCACTTCCCAGTAGGGGCGGCCGGGCAGAGGCGCCCCTCACCTCCCGGACGGGGTGGCTGGCCGGGCGGGGGGCTGACCCCCCCACCTCCCTCCCGGACGGGGCGGCTGGCCGGGCGGGGGGCTGACCCCCCCCACCTCCCTCCGGGACGGGGCGGCTGGCCGGGCAGAGGGGCTCCTCACTTCCCAGGAAGGGCGGCCGGGCAGAGGCGCCCCTCACCTCCCGGATGGGGCGGCTGGCCGGGCGGGGGGCTGACCCCCCCACCTCCCTCCCGGATGGGGCGGCTGGCCAGGCGGGGGGCTGACCCCCCCAACTCCCTCCCGGACGGGGCGGCTGGCCGGGCAGAGGGGCTCCTCACTTCCCAGTAGGGGCGGCCGGGCAGAGGCGCCCCTCACCTCCCGGACGGGGTGGCTGGCCGGGCGGGGGGCTGACCCCCCCACCTCCCTCCCGGACGGGGCGGCTGGCCGGGCGGGGGGCTGACCCCCCCCACCTCCCTCCGGGACGGGGCGGCTGGCCGGGCAGAGGGGCTCCTCACTTCCCAGTAGGGGCGGCTGGGCAGAGGCGCCCCTCACCTCCCGGACGGGGCGGCTGGCCGGGCGGGGGGCTGACCCCCCCATCTCCCTCCCGGACGGGGCGGCTGCCGGGCGGAGACGCTCCTCACTTCCCAGACAGGGTGGCTGCCGGGCGGAGGGGCTCCTCACTTCTCAGACAGGGCGGTTGCCAGTCAGAGGGTCTCCTCACTTCTCAGACGGGGCGGCCGGGGAGAGACACTCCTCACATCCCGGACGGGGCGACAGGGCAGAGGCGCTCCCCACATCTCAGACGATGGGCGGCCGGGCAGAGACGCTCCTCACTTCCTAGATGGGATGGCGGCCAGGCAGAGACGCTCCTCACTTTCCAGACTGGGCAGCCAGGCAGAGGGGCTCCTCACATCCCAGACGATGGGCGGCCAGGCAGAGACGCTCCTCACTTCCCAGACGGGGTGGCGGCCGGGCAGAGGCTGCAATCTCGGCACTTTGGGAGGCCAAGGCAGGCGGCTGGGAGGTGGATGTTGTAGCGAGCCGAGATCACGCCACTGCACTCCAGCCTGGGCACCATTAAGCACTGAGTGAAGGAGACTCCGTCTGCAATCCCGGCACCTTGGGAGGCCGAGGCTGGCGGATCACTCGCGGTTAGGAGCTGGAGACCTGCCCGGCCAACACAGCGAAACCCCGTCTCCACCCAAAGAATACGAAAACCAGTCAGGCGTGGCGGCGCGCGCCTGCAATCGCAGGCACTCGGCAGGCTGAGGCAGGAGAATCAGGCAGGGAGGTTGCAGTGAGCCGAGATGGCAGCAGTACAGTCCAGCTTCGGCTCGGCATCAGAGGGAGACCGTGGAAAGAGGGGAGAGGGAGAGGGAGAGGGAGAGGGAGAGCAGAAATAGACTCCTTCTATAAGAAAGCTACAAATCGCAGGGCAAGAGAAGTGGGGACGGAAGGATATATAATCCTCACCCAGGGAAGAGGGATTACATAATTGAGAATAATAATAGATTCCTACAGCATTTGCAAATAGTAAGTACATTTTCCTATGTAATCACAACACATTGTCACCTCTAACAAAATTAACAATAATTATTTTTCTTTTCTTTGTTTTTCTTTTTCTTTTTTTTTTTTGAGACTAGTTCTTGCGTTGTCACCCAGGCTGCAGTATAGTGGCATGATCATAGCTCACTGCAGCCTCAAACTGCTGGGCTCAAGCAATCCACCAACCTCAGCCTCCTGGGTAGCTGGGACTACAGGTGCATGCCACCATGCCTGGCTAATTTCTTTATTTTTACTAGAGATGGGGACTCACTATTTTGCCCAGGCTTGTCTCAAACCCTTGGGCTTAAGTGGTCTTCCCATTTCAGCTCCCAAAGTGTTGGGATTACATGCATGAGCCACCACAACAGGCCAATAACAATTCTTTAGTATCATCTAATACCTAGTCTGTATCCAAATTTTCCAATTATCTCCAAAATATACTTAAAATTTACTTTATTGAAACCAGGATATAACCAAGGACCAATGTAATGTGGTTACATGTTTTAAAGGGAGTGCAGTGGCACAATCTCGGCTCACTGCAACCTCTTCAAGTGATTCTCCTGCCTCAGCCTCCTGTGTAGCTGGGATTACAGACATGTGCCACCACGCCTGGCTAATTTTTTGTATTTTTAGTAGGAATGGAGTTCCATTATGTTGCCCAGGCTGGTTTCAAACTCCTGGCCTCAAGTGATCTGCCAGCCTCAGCCTCCCACAGTGCTGGCATTACAGGCATGAGCCACCATAGCTGGCCGAGAGTGGTTGTTTAAATTAAACCATACTAGGAGGCAAGAAGGATGACAAGATTGATCATTAAGTTAAGGTTTTTGACAACCTATTCCTCCAATGTAAAGGTGATTTTTTTTCCTCTTTTAATCAAATGATGTGTTGTGTGAGACTTGTGAACTATGTGAATATTCAGTTTCTAACCAACTTTTCATTCAAAGGCTTTAGCATCCACAGATAAGCCTATCTGAATTAATCATTTTTTCGGTTGTAATAAAATTATAACTTTCTATCATTATTTTTACATTTGTTAGCTGTCAAACAATATGCCCTTTCTGTGTAAAGAAGGGCTTTCCTCATCAATATATACAGTGTCATTTATGAGAAAGATATTAAAAATAAAACTCTTAGGATTCTATACATTGAGTTTTTAATCTTTTTAAACATTAATATTATAAGTACTTTTCTATATATTTATTTTGAAAATATTTTGATGGCTATGCAAAATGTATTATGGTGATGATGATGATGAGTATAAATCTAACAAAAATGTATGGAATTTATATGCTGAGCATTACAAAATAGTTTCTCATGTTTTCTTGACTTTCACATCTCTGACTCTTTAAAAAAATTACAGGGCAAGTATTTTGCAGAATGTCAGTCAATTTGGTTTTGTGGTTAGATTCAGGTTATTCATCTAGAATTTCTAGAATTCTGGAATGTCTACTTGGGTTTTAAAAATGTTTTCCCATTTTTCTATTGAGATTCCCTATTTAAGATATTTATACCTGAGCCAGGCATGGTGGCTTGTATCTGTAAACCCAGCTACTCAGGAGGCTGGAGCAGGAGAATTGCTTGCACCCAGGAGTTTGAGGCTGCAGTGAGCTATGATCATGATACTGCACTCCAGCCTGGGTGACAGAGTGAGACCCTGTCTCTAAAAAAAGGAAGTTAAAAGAATATATTAATATTTGTTTTAAGGCCTTTCTCAGCTAATTTCAACATCTGAGTTATTCGTAAGTGTGCTTCTACTGATCTCTTGATTACAGGTCACACTTTTTGCTTCTATGCATGTCTAGTAATTTTTAAAATTATGTATTGGTTGGTTTTTTTTTTTTTCTTGAGATGGAGTCTTGCTCTGTCGCCCAGGCTGGAGTGCAGTGGCACGATCTCAGCTCACTGCCAGCTCCACCTCCCGGGTTCACACCATTCTCCTGCCTCAGCCTCCCAAGTAGCTGGGACTACAGGCACCCACCACCATGCCTGGCTAATTTTTGTGTGTGTGTGTTTTTAGTAGAGACGGGGTTTCACTGTGTTACCCAGGATGGTCTTGATCTCCTGACCTTGTGATCCGCCCGCCTCGGCCTCCCAAAGTGCTGGGATTACAGGCTTGAGCCACTGTGCCCAGCCGATTGGTTAGAATAATCTGTTGTAGAAACTCTGGGTTATGGTATCTTCCTCCAAAGAGCATTACATTTTGTTATGGCAGTGATTAAATTGCTGGCAAATCAACTTTATCCTGTGGGGCTTAGTTTTAGGCTTTGTCAGGGTAGATATATTCATTTTGCCCTTGGTTCCAGGATGTGATCTTTATCCCTAAGGTGTGGTAAGGTGTGGTCCTTTTGACATTTCAATGGAAAGCCCAACATATTTATCCAATTCCTTTTTTTTTTAATTTTATTTTAAATTTAAATTTAAATTTATTTATTTTTGAGATGGAGTCTTGCTCTGTTATCTAGGCTGGAGTGCAGTGGCATGATCTCAGCTCACTGCAACCCCTGCCTCCCAGGTTCAAGCGATTCTCTTGCCTCAGCCTCCCGAGTAGCTGGAATTACAGGTGTGCATCACCATGCCCAACTAATTTTTGTATTTTTAGTAGAATTGGGGTTTCACCATATTGGCCAGGCTCGTCTCGAACTCCTGACCTCAAGTGATCCTCCTGTCTCGGCCTCCAAAAGTGCTAGGATTACAGGCATGAGCCACCGCACTCAGCCTAATTCCAATATTTTCGTTTGATTTAAATGCCAAATTTTATCTCCTAGACAGCTGCTAAAATCTCATCTCAGTTCTTTAGCCTCCTTCTTTTTCCTAGGTTTCTTGGAGTCTTGTCCTGTGGATACACAATTTACAAATCAGTCAAGGATTTGAGGAAAACTTATGTGAACATTATGAATGTTTCCTTTGTGGCTTTCTCCTTTCTGGGATTCTCGCCCTCAATTTCCAATGCCTCTGGATCATTTCTCAAACTCTGATTTCTGTCTGTCTCACCAGCCTACTAAAGGTGCCACTCTCTGCTTCAGCTCAATTTCTCCAGACACTGCAGTAGGGGACAAGCTGATTTAAACGTGGACCTCACCCAGTGAGCTTTCCTTCTTCAAGAATAATATTCATTCTCATCTCTTCCTAACTTCAGCTGCCCTCCAGTGCCTTCACACAGTTGTCTTTTTATGTTTTGTTCAGAATTTGTAATTGTTACTGGTAGAAGAATTAGTTCAATACAGGCTACTCCTTTAAAACATGAACTGGAACTGGATAAATGTTTTGAGTCAAGACACTTGAAATTAAGCCTAAAGATGAAGAAGTAAATTAAACAAGCACTATTAATATTTATGTGCTAATGAATTTGTTTCTGTTTGGTTCTTTAGATATTGGTAATGTTTAATAGCATTTAGCATACTAGATTTGAGATTCTAACTTACAACGTGTAAATGAGTTTGGTTTAAACTTGTTATTAATGTTTAAATCTCACTTATTTGATAAACAATAGAGGAATAATTAAAGGCATTTAAGACTCATCAATTTATATTTAACTTATTAAATTTGAAGTATTACTTAAAGACACTGGAAGGATCTCTTTGTTAATGAGATAATTGAAATGCATAAAAAAGAAATTTATTATATTAAATTTTAAAATTCAGTTTGAAATAAAGCATTTAATTAAATTTGTAAATGGGACCAAAATTAATCCAAGCTCCTTATAAGCAATTATTAAATTTCTCTAGATGTATAAGGAGAATAAGAGCATGATTAATATTTTAAATTGAACTGCAGTTTTTGCATTTGTAGCTTTAATTTATTGAATAATTAATTTTAAACCAACATTCTAAATGAGTATTTATTGACATAGATTAAGTGCATGGGTTTGGAGTCTCTAAGACTTGGTTAAAATTGCTCCAGATCGCAATTTACTTAACATCTGTCATCCTCAATTTTTTAGCTGTAAAATGGGAGTAATGATAACTCCCTGAAATTATATGTCTCAATAATTAATAACTCTAATAATGGTGATAACAATGATTAATGATAGCATATTTTTAAGGAGAGTTATTGAACATTGTGTATGGTATGATTCCATTTTTTGGTCAAAAAAAAAAAAAGATATGCAAGCATAGGTGTAAAAAAGTCTCCAGGAGTCTATCTAGGTGACTTTAAAAATTTTTCAATGTAATTCTCATTTCTAATTTTCTAACAGTGTATATCTATTATATCTATTTGCACTCACAAGTAGATATAATAGATGTACATCTATTATATCTATGCTAATAGATGTATGTATTCACATATAAAAATTTTAGTTGTAGTTAATTATTTTGTGGGGTGGGATTATGAATAATTTTTACTGTATGTTCTTTAATTTTATTAATTTTCTTTGTTGGACAGATATATAAGTAGAACAAACATACATCTGAACGTTTATTTATTTATTTATTTATTTATTTATTTATTTATTTATTTATTTTGAGACAGTCTTACTCTGTCACCCAGGCTGGAGTGCAGTGGTGTGATCTCTGCTCACCACAACCTCCACCTCCCGGGTTCAAGCGATTCTCCTGCCTCAGCCTCCTGAGTAGCTGGGACTACAGGCGCCTGCCACCACGCTCAGCTATTTTTGTATTTTTAGTAAAGAAGGGGTTTCACCATGTTGTCCAGGCTCTCTTGAACTCCTGAGCTCAAGTGATTTGCCCACCTCAGCCTCCCAAACTGCTGGGATTACAGGTGTGAGCCACCGTGCCCGGCCCACCTGAGCATTTTAAAGTCATGAAAGGGACTTTATTTATTTATTTTTTTACTTTTAATCCCACGTGAAGACCCTACCGCCAGGGTTGAGGGAGAAGGAAAGAAGTCATGCTCAGTATCGTCCATCATCACAGCCATCAGGTGGTTCAGAATCCTTGTGTGGTGGTGCTCAGTTGCAGCACCTTCACTGAATAAAGGACGCCCTAGTACTTGCCTTGAGGCTGGGTGCAGACTGACTCCCTGTATCTGCTTCCTTCCTGACAGCCAACGCGCTCTTGCTTCACACTGTAAAGGAGGTGTATGTCTGGAGAGAAGTTTTTAAGTAGGAAAGAACTTTAACTCCTTTCCTCTTCTTTGGCCATCCCCTTTCACTTTCAACTCTCTCGTAGAGATTTTCATTACGCTTGAGGTCTCCTGAATCCCCCCTGAGAATAAATTTCCAAATCTGTCTCTTAAATTCCTTCCTCTTCCCAGGACCCCAACCAGAATATCCAAATATCCACCTGATGTTCCCATCTCAAATACAACAAATCACACACTGAGTTTCACAGCCTACAAACCAGATTTTCATTCTTTTTTTCTAATAATGGTTAACAGGACCTTCAGTTATTATTTTTATTTATTTATTTATTTTGAGATTAAGGTCTTGCTCTGGTGCCCAGGCTGGAGCGCAGTGGTGTGATCTTGGCTCACTGCTTTTATTGCTATGAAGTATTTTGGTAAAAATAAATAAATAAATAAATATTGTATGGGTTTTAATGATGGTAAATAAGGTTTTCTCTAACTCCACAGATGATTATGTTGGCAAAGGCATCATGGATGATTATGTTGGCAAATGCATGGTGGTCAGGGAAGACAAACCAGCACCCTCAAATAGGTGTTTATTTCAATCAGGGCAAATTGATAAGTACAATATAACAAAATTGCTAGTGGGTGGTTGACTGGTCGCCCTAGGAAATGGTGTTCAGTCTTGGTTTTTGCTATTAGTTGCTCCAAGATAGATCCATAATTGCATTTGCTTGATGTGGACACCTTTAAGAGCCTCCTCTACAATGGATGCCCTCTGGTGAACATTTGCATGAGGCACACATGTCCCCACACTCTAGGCCTATTTCATATATCCATCCTCGTAACTCTTACCCAGACTTTATTGTCACCAATCTTACAATCTTGTTTTTACCAAGTTCCTAACCAGGTGGCCAAAGTGTTAGCCACTGCCTAAAACTCAAGGTAGATCTCTTCATTTACCAGGTCATTCTCCTTCCATCTGCAGTGGACAACCAGATGAATTACTCTCAGTTCTGTCTATGGGGCAATGGAAGTTCCTCATAAGGGCACAGATTGAACTGAGGGAGGACCAGCACTGTAGCTCAAGGTGGCAGATGTAACTTGCATGTGCCTTCCAGACCTACTTGAACCTGATCTCACAGATACCACCTCCATTTGATAAGTTTGTTTCTGCAGACACCAAACCTTAAGACTTAGAGGATCAGAGAACACTCACTTCATGGTGGGAAACTCAAGCCACATAGTCACTCAGCCTTATGGTAGAGTGGATACTGTGGTACTCAGCTCACATCTCCCAATCTAGGATTGAGAGGCTGCCACAGCTGAGCTTCCTGTGAAATTTCTCAAAGCTCACGGGAACAGCTTTGCCCGAGGTTACATGGTTCCCACATCTAATACCTGGTTGATATGGCAACACTGGCACCTGTTCCCTTTCAAGGCAGGACAACTCAATAGGGACATCCCAATTTGAGTTCCCTTTGTGAGCAGCTGAGGCCTCTGTTGCAACAATCACAGTTCACCTTCTTCCTCTGTCTCTCTTACTCTCTAATGGATTGTTGCTCCAAAACGCAGTCTCCAATATACCATCTGTCCATCAAACCCCATCTTACAATTGGCTTTCTGGAGAAACAACCAAATAGTCAAATGTTCAGAATCTACAAAGTCCTTGAGGTAAACCAGGGTCTTCTTCTCAAAGTAAGATTAGTTGTCAGCTCAGGAAGGTATAGCTTTGCTTTAAAATACTATGGGACTATGCTAGGGTTCTCTTATTGGGACTTCCCTGTTCCATACAGCCTTTTTCTTTACCACAGACCTCTGAGTACTGTTGGATCTGTTGGATCACAGTCCTGAGCCCCAGGCAGCATGGCCTGTGCCACACCTGGGCCCACTATAGAACCTGCTCTTGCTTTGGGCTTTACCTAAAGCTCAGTCTTAGCAAGTTACTTGTTAGATGGGTTGGAGCTTCACACCCAATCTATAGCCTCTGAAATCCAAAGAAGCTCAGGAATGGTCCAGATAGTTCAATAAAACACATGTATTTTACAAATGTGTCTTATATACTGATGTCTACTATATGGCAGTGACTCTGGGAGATGCAGGAAAGAAATGAGAAATGGTTCAGCCTTTGAAGGATTTGGTCTAGTCAGTTATGCAGCAGTGTGAGCTGTGGCGATGACACTTGGTGGACAGTGCCATATGGCGTTTATGTATGAAGTGCCATGAGACAGCAAGGAGAGAGTAATCATTCCTGCCCTGCCAGGCTGGGTAAGAGAATTGGGTGATATCTGGTCATATTAAACTGTAAGCTGATCAGCTCAATAAACAACAAAATATCTTATTTATACCAAATATAAAAGGTGTTAAGACATTTCATAACTCTGAGATTTAAGCTGTTCCCAAGTATGTAATTTATATATCAGATACAGTTTTTTCTTGGTTTGGATCCTAAAAATGGAACAGAATGACTTTCTGTTCATTTATAAAAGGAGAATTTTTTAAAAACCAGATAATTTCTGATTGCTCTTCAGAACAATGACAATATAATCCTCACCATTGTCACCTTCTGTTCACAGCCTGTCACTGAGTAGAGATAAACAACTACACACTTAATTATAAGTTATGTGCTAATTTGGGCACGCTAAGTATAATACTATTGGATGTATAATATTGGCACCAAGTTTTGAGAGTTGAGTACAGCCTTTCTTTTGTCTTTTATTGCCAAATCAGATGCAAGATATTCAGGACACTCCAGCATTAATTCCTATTCACTATTTCTAATTATTTAAAAACTAAGATGTCATCTTGAAAATAAAGTAGGGAAATGTTCAGCTACTTGAGGGAACAATCTGTACACAACATCTTGTATACACTTAGGTCAAATACAAGACTGAATAATTTATATTTTCCTAGTGACAGCAAAGACTATTTTGGACTTTCTTTACAAAAAAGGAATTCTTGGCTGGGTGTAGTGGCTCACGCCTGTAATCCCAGCACTTTGGGAGGCCGAGGGGGGCGGATCACGAGGTCAGGAGATCGAGACCATCCTGGCTAACACAGTGAAACCCCGTCTCTACTAAAAACACAAAAATAAAATTGGCCGGGCGTGTTGGCGGGCGCCTGTAGTCCCAGCTACTCGGAAGGCTGAGGCGGGAGAATGGCATGAACCTGGGAGGCGGAGTTTGCAGTGAGCTGAGATTGAGCCACTGCACTCCAGCTTGGGGGACACAGCGAGACTCCGTCTCAAAAAAAAAAAGGAATTCTTCTGATACCTACTTCCTAAACTAACACACACACACACAGAAAGTGAGAGAGATGTAAATGTTTTGCTTCATAATCTCATAGCTAACGTCTTAGGTTTAGTGTGTATGTGAAGTAATGGTGGTGGCTAACAATAGTGGGTGTAAATAATGTATAGACATGCACTGCATAACAAGGTGTCAGTCAACAGCACACCACATCAATGACCATGGCCCCAAAAGACTATAATGCAGCTGCCCTATACAGGTGTACCATTTTTTTCTTTCATACTGTATATTTACTGTACCATTTCTATGTTTAGAGGTGTTTAGATACACAGACACCATTGTGTTACAGTTGCCTGTGGTATTCAGCACAGTCGCGTGCCGTACGGGTTTGTAGCCTGGAAATGATGGGTTATACCACGTAGCCTAGGTGCGTAGTGAGCTAGCCCATCTACGTTTGTGTAACTACACTCTATGATGTTCACACAACAACAAAATCGCCAAATAACGCATTTCTCAGAACGTATCCCCATCCTTAAGCAAGGCATCACTGTGTCTCCAGTAGTCTTCTTGATAAGTTCAAGTCTTGTTAGCTGACCTTTTGACAGACCTCGTTATTGGATGGTTGCTGTTTGTAACCTTGCAAATAGGCAGGAGATGTGTCAGGTTTGCCCTTCTCTTGTTGCGCACTTGTGCTTGTTTTTTTAGTGTCATCTTTGATCCAAGGTCCCTTTGAAGGTCCAATTTTATAACATTTGTCCATCTTGGGAGGGTTGCTTAGGTTAACAGATGATTTAGTCTGTAAATCCATGTAACTTACTGCCTGCAAACTTCAGTGCTTTGCCATGAGCTGAAAGAGAGGAAAATCTCAAGGGCACCATCACGTTGGCCACTCAGAGTTGTGGAGCCCCCTTTGGCCCCTCAGCTTCCTGGGGTTCCCATGAATAACACATGGTTGTCACATGTTGGGGTGAGAGCACTAGTGTCAATCTGTTTACTGCAAAATTGAGCAGGGGCAAAAATCCATTCAAACTGCAAGACAGACCAGTGGGTTTTAACATGACTGCGTACTGAAACTTTATTGATATGGTTTCAGATTCTACCCTGCAACTAACCTTACAAAGCGGCCACAATGATCTATAAAGGCTACTGAAATATTCCTCCCCTCTCCAATTCCACGTCCGTGTGAGCTTGGATTATCTTCATATATTTCTGCCAAACAGCCTTTCACAGCAAATTAAATGCCAAAGCAGATATAAGAATCTGGCTGTCTTCTATCTGGCCAGACACTAAGAAGATTTGTAAAGTAATGATTTAGTTTTCTCACTAAAATTTTTTTGTGTCTTGAGAAATACAGTCATTTCTAATAAAATGAATGTTTCTATGTTAAAATGGGGTCCTTGTTATTTTAAAGCAAATAAATATTTTTAACAATCCTCAGATTAAATTTTTAATATCTATGTTATTGTTAGAGGTAATCTTCATAAATAAAAGCTCTTAGGATTTTCAATAATTATGCAGACACCAAAAGGTGGAGAAAATGAATGTATAACAGTGACATCAACAATATGGATAAATTTTATTAACATAATAAGGATTAAAAATAAGTTTTGGAGGACTACTATGATGTCCTTTTAAAAAATGACTTCACTTTTTTAGAGCAGTTTTAGGTTCACAGTAATATTGAGAGGAAGGTACAGAAACCTTTCATATTACCCTCTGCCCTGACACATACAGAGCCTCCACTATTATCAACGTTTTCCACCAGAGTGGTACATTTGTTACAACTGATGAACTTACACTGGCACATCATAATTATCCAAAGTCTGTAGTTTACATTAGAGTTCACCCCTGATGTTGTACTTTCTATGTGTTTGGACGTATGTATAATGATAGTTACTCACCATTATAGTATCATACAGAGTAGTTTCAGTCCCCTAAAAATTCTCTGTGCTCTGTCTATTCATCACCCTACCTCAGGCTCTGGCAACCCCTGATCTTTTTACTGTCTCTACAATTTTGCTTTTTCCAGAATGTCATATAGCTGGAATCATGCAGTATGTACCCCTTTCAGACCAGCTCCTTTCACTTAGTTATATGCCTTGAAGATTCCTCCATGGCTTAATAGTGCATTTCTTTTCAGTGCTGAATAGTATTTCATTGTCTGGATGTACCATAGTTTATTCATTCATCTACTGAGAACATCTTGATTGCTTCCAAGTTTTGGCAGTTATGAATGAAGCTGCTATAAACATTGGTGTGCAGGTTTTTGTGTAGACATAAGTTTTTAACACCTTTGGGTAAATACCAAGGAGCATAGCTGCTGGATCCTATGATAGGAGTATGTTTAGTTCTGTAAGAAACTGCTACACTGTCTTCCAAAGTGGCTGTACCAGGCTGGAGTGCAGTGGTGCCATCTCGGCTCACTGCAACCTTCGCCTCCCCGGTTCATGTGATTCTCATGCCTTAGCCTCTCGAGTAGCTGGGAGTACGGGTGCGTGCCACCATGCCCAGCTAACTTTTTTTTCTTTTTTTGTGGTGGAGAAAGGGAGTTTCACCACATTTGCCAGGCTGGTCTCAAACTCCTGGCCTCAGGTGATCCGCCCATCTCGGCCTCCCATAGTGCTAGGATTACAGGCATGAGCCACTGTGCCTGGCCAATGGTATCTTGTTGTTGTTCTAATTTGCATTTCCTTGATGACATATGATGTGGGCATCTTTTCATATGTTTACTTGTCATCTGTATATCTTCTTTGGTGAGGTGTCTGTCAAGGTCTTTGGCCCATTTTTTAAAAAATTGAGAAAAATTGTATTTATAATATACAACATATTTTGACAATGTATACATTTGGAATGGTTAAATCCAGCTAATTAGCATATATGCATTACCTCACATACTTGGCCGTGTATATAGTCAATTTTTGTAAATATTCTGTATGTGATGTGAAGGATGTGTGCTTTGCAGATTGTTGTCGCAGGTCTGTAAGCGTGCATTACATCAAGTGAGTTACTGATGTGTTCGAATCTCTATCCCTTATTGGTTTTTTTTGTTTGTCCCATTAGTGAGATGAGTATATTAAAATCTTCCATTGTTGCTAGGATTTGTCTGTTTATCTTTGTAGTTTTCTGTTCACATTTGCTTTACACATTAGAAGACCACATTATTAATGCAGCTTGCCATCTCAGTAAACAGGAAGCCCCTACTCGGCCTGATGACATGCCTGTAACCCAGGTGTCATGAAGCTTTCCCTTTAATTTCCCTTTATAATTCTGCTTATCTTACTTTATAAAAGAAAGGCGTCTCACTTACCCATTTAACTTCTTACTATGTCTCTGCCTCTGGAGCACCAAAGAAAGGTACACTGACGTGTTCATTAATGGGAATCAAGGCACCATAAACTGAAGGCATGGCTTTTCATCGTCTAGACATCTAGGTGTTAAGGGCACAGCATGGCATTAGATCATCATGGGATTTTTGAGATATATCTCAGAAGAAAATTTTAAAAAGTTGAATGACATTGCATAACAAAATTCCTTCCATTTCTACTCACTGATATATATATATAAACATATATATTTTTGATAAACATATATACATATATACTTATTTATTTAGTTATTTATTTTTGAGATGGAGTTTCACTCCTGTTGCCTAGGTGAGAGTGCAATGGTGCGATCTCAGCTCACTGCCACCTCCGCCTCCTGGGTTCAAGTGATTCTCCTGCCTCAGCCTCCCAAGTAGCTGGGATTACAGGCATGCACTACCATGCCTGGCTAATTTTGTATTTTCAGTAGAGACGGGGTTTCACCATGTTGGCCAGGCTGGTTTCGAACTCCTGACCTCAGGTGCTCTGCCCGCCTCGGCCTCCCAAAATGCTGGGATTACAGGCATGAGCCACCATGCCCAGTTGGTAAACACATTTTCTAAGTATTAATATATACAGAAATAAAAATTGGAATGGGATTTATTCTGAACCCTGTCTCATTTTAATAATCAGTGATATTTTCCGTACATATATGAACTAACTGAAAAACAAAAGCCTATTTCATTAAGGAATATGTGTATAATTTAATACAATTTAAACGTGATATAGTTAATGTAATTCAACATTTTATACCTAATAAAAAATTTATAACTTGATGTTTTGTTTAATTTTATACAGATGATACTTGCAATGATAACTCAATCTGGATTTTTTTTAATGTTTAGAATCATATGAAATTTTAAAATTAAAATAAATTTCCCATATTTTAGTTATACATAAGGATAATATGGTAATCAATTTAAAAAACTTTGAAACATAAAGATATATTTTTATGTAAAATTTTGAATTGAAGGAGGAAAAAAGATGTAACATTTTTGACTGTTAAGGATAAGCTAGCTCATGTATGTTTTAAATAGATAATGGAAATCAAATTACATAGCAATTATTTTCCATTGTATCTATTTGTTCATTTTTATTTTTTAAATTTATTTTTACATGGAGTTTCACTCTGTCCCCCAGGCTGGAGTGCAGTGGTGCAATCTCAGTTCACTGCAACCTCTGCCTCCTGGTTTCAAGTGATTTTCCTGCCTCAGCCTCCCAAGTAGCTGGGACTACAGGCATATGCCACTATGCCTAGTTAATTTTTGTATTTTTAGTAGAGGCGGGGTTTTGCCATGTTGGCCAGGCTGGTCTCGAACTCCTGAGCTCAGGTGATCCGCCCACCTTGGCCTCCCAAAGTGCTGGGATTACAGGCATGAGCCACCATGCCCGGCCCCATTGTGTATATTTAAAAGAACATTATGAAAGTTTTCTTTAAAAATGTCAACTCCCATGACAGACAACAAACAATTTAGAACGAAAAATTTTAGAGGGCAACTGCTATAATGTGTGAAATTCTTGTGGGGTATATTCGAGAAGGACAATGTGAAGACCCCACCTCCTGCTTTTGGGCAATCACGTGTCCAGCCAGACACTAGATGAACTACGAATTTCCTGAGAAGAAATTTCCTCTCTTGGTAAGTGTTTCAGTATCCAGAACACTTAACCATCTTGGAATTCTTCCTAATACTCACCTTTATATCTAGGGGAAGGTAAAGAAGTGGGGCCCCCCCACACAGCAGTGAGTGCCAGAGCTGGAAGTATTCAGAAGATAGAATGGTGGACCATGCTCCCTTTCAGAGCCAGCAACTGATAACCCATCTCATTCTGGTTGGAAAGAATAAGGAAAGAAGAAAGGATAGACAGAAACACAGGTAGACATACCTATTTATGAAGTGCCTTCTGTGTTCAGGGATCTGAACAGCTGCGTGCATGTATGTTATTTGATTTTCATAACACTGCCTCCTACAGATGAAGAAATGGAGCCTCAGGAAGATGACACGGCTTGTCCAAGTTTATACGGTTTGTCAGTGGTGCAGTTGGGATCCCAGGTTTGTCTGACTTGGCTATAACCACCGCCTTAGAGTCGGAAGATATGTGTGCCCTGGGGCAAATTACTTAACTTCTCTGAGCTCAGGTTTCCTCATCTGTAAAATGGGGCATTACTAGCTATTTTGCAGGGTGGTAGTTAAAAGCTAGCGAGTTAATGTGTGGATGTACTCAAATTCCTAGCACCGGGCCTGGTGCACAGAAGGCCCTGAAGTTAGAAGAGTTGACTATTCAGGCACAGAGTCGGGTATTCTGGCACCAAACTTCTGCCAGCAAAGTGATCGCTGGTGTTTGGGGCACAAAGCTTTGGGAGTAGAGCTGTCACTTAATGGTGACAAAGTGAGTAGTGGCTCACGTTAAATTTTAAGATAAAGCACCTAAAACTTTGGACATTGACTTGGGGTTGCCTTAAGAGATCCAAGGCTAGTGCCCATCCACTGCATTCCCTCCTAGCCAAGAATGTCTCGCCCTTCGCATGTTAAAACTAAACAATGTAGCCCGCGGAGCCCATTCAATGCTCTGCAGTCAAGGATTAAAAACTCATGCTGCCTAGTAATCCCAGCACTGTGGGAGGCGGAGGCGGGCGGACTGAGCTTGAGGTCAGGAGTCCAGACCAGCCCGGCCAACACGGTGAAACCTCGTCTCTGCTAATACAAAAATTAGCCGGGCGTGGTGTTGTGCGCCTGTAGTATTGGCTACTCGGGAGGCTGAGGCAGGAGAGTCGCTTGAACCCGGGAGGGGGATGTTGCAGTGAGCCGAGATCGCGCCACTACACTCCAGCCTGGGGGACAGAGCGAGACTCTGTAACAAAAAGACAAACAAACCAATCCAAACTCATGCTGCCTCGCCCTTGCGGGGCAGAACCTACAAAAGTCACCATGCCTCTGATGTTCATTTTCACTTTTTTTATGTTACGAAGCAGGATCGTGTGTGTGTGTGTGTGTGTGTGTGTGTGTAAACGGATCCAGATCTAAAATTGTCACTGAAAGGACGAACTCATCAAAGAAGTCCATGTGTAGCTGCAAGTAGCTTTCTGGAACTATTGGTGTTGTTTGCGCGCCCCCTGGCGGCCAATGGCCTTCCTTGTCAAGGAGGTTGGCACAGATCATCAGTTTCTTAACCGTGGTGGCACGTGAGGAATTACCTGGAAATTCTGATTTAAAAGCTCTACTGATAGCTCACGCCTGTAATCTCAGCACTTTGGGAGGCAGAAGCGGGCGGATCACCTGAGGTCAGGGGTTCGAAACCAGCCTGGCCAACATGGTGAAACCCCGTCTCTACCCAAAATACAAAAATTAGCCGGGCTTAGTGGTGCACGCGTGTTATCCCAGCTACTCTAGAGGCTGAGGCAGGAGAATCGCTTGAACCCGGGAGGCGTAGGTTGCAGTGAGCCGAGACCTTGCGGTTGCATTCCAGCCTGGGCAATAATAGTGAAACCCCGTCTTAAAAAAAAAAAAAAAAGTCTACTGCTGGGATAGACATTAGTATTATTTTTTTAAAAGAAATTTCACAGGTGATTTAATGTGCAGACAGGGATAACCACTGCTAGGGGGATTTCATTTATTTATTTATTTATTTGAAATGGAGTTTGGCACTTGTTGCCCAGGTTAGAGTGCAATAGCACCATCTCGGCTCACTGCAACCTCCGCCTCCCAGGTTCAAGCGATTCTCCTGCCTCAGCCTTCCAAGTAACTGGGATTACAGGGATGCGCTACCATGCCTGGCTAATTTTGTATTTTTAGTAGAGACGGGGTTTCACCATGTTGGCCAGGCTGGTCTCAGACTCCTGACCTCAGGTGATCCACCCACCCTGGCTTCCCAAAGTGCTGGGGTTACAGCTGTGAGCCACCATGCCCGGCCCTGGGGATTTCATTTAGAGTTACAAATTGATGGGTTTGATTCATTTTGCAAATATTTATTGAGCTCCTACTAGGTGTTAAGCACTGTGATAGGAGATGATGAGCAACAGAAAGACCAGTGCCCTGTCCTCATGTAAATTACAAATATTAGTGAAATAAACATACAATGAAAAAATAATCATTAGAGCTCAGAATAGGACAATCTGAGTGCATCTGGAAGTCAGCAAACGCTTGAGGACTTGCCTTTTGAAGTGAGGTCTGAAGAGTGAGCTGGAGTTAACTAGGCCAGGCTGATGCACTGACACAGCTAGTTGCCTCAAGTCTCCTTGCTCTTGTCAGGCAAGTGGCCCACGAAGTTGGAGGTAGGCCTTCTTTTATATGGCTCTGGCCTCCTGCCCAAGTGGACAATCGGATCCCTGGATGACTGACGATGATTGCCTGTTAATTCCATCAGGGTAATGTGAAAACATTAAAAGGAGGAAAGTGTTGCTCCTGAGGGCAGCAAAAGATGTGTGCGTGAAGGTCGAGGAGGAAGACAAGATGGAGCGCTGAACATCAAAGAAATGCAACTTTAAACAAAAAGGAGCCATGTCTCGTCAGGCCAATTGGCAAAGGCGTATAATACATAGTGCTTGATGAGAATGGAGATTCTTCTCTCTGATCCAGCAAATTCACTGTTAGGAAGTCCCCCTGGAGAATGATGGGCATAGATAAGTGGAGAGTCTAGCAGAGAAAGGGAGTATGGCTGAGCTTAAAGAACAGGATCATAACCCCTTTGGGAGGAGAGGTTTGTTTTAAAGAGGAAGAGTAAGTATTGTGTGGGACGTTGTCTCAGTGGCTGAATTACCATTGATCGCTCCATGTGGGATTACATAAAAGAAGATTCATGTGTAGAAAAATTTCCATATAACAACCTCTCTTATCCTTTTAATTTCAACTGAATTTGACATACCTATTGAGTACCTGCTGTTGCAAGGCTTAGGTGGGTGTGAAGAACTGCATTATCATGAGGGATGGGTGACATGCCTGGCTCCCTGTCCTCCAGGAATGTAGGCTAGAGGCGAAGGCTGACAAGCGACAAATTGAAATGCAGTAATTATAATAAAATAAATATTATATTATAGGTATAAGAATGTGTGTTTAAAGTGTTATGAGAAGAGAGGTAAAACATTTTTCAAATTGTAATTGAAGAAACGAGTCTGAGGAAGATTCCCAGAGGAAATAACATTTGAACAAAATTTTGAAGAAACAATTGGATTTCACTAGATTTGGCATAGGAGTATTGGAGGGGAGAAGGCCCTTCTGCTTTAAGGAGAGTTGCATGAGGCTTTATTTATTTAATAAGGCTTTACTGAGCACATTGATAAATGCTGTGTGGGATACAGAAGGAAGAGAACTTTCTACCTTGGAAAGGAGACAAAACACACCACAAGCAGAACAAAAGCCATGATATTACATTATATTGTGTAATTAGGTGTCAATGTTGTCAGCAAGATCTAGAGATGAGGCCATTGCTTCAAATATTTGCAGCGCAGTGGACAGAAGCCTGCTGAGGGCAAAGGGAGAAATGGGAGGTACATTCTTACCATCACCTTTCCACAAACTTCTGGATTAAAAAATATTATTGTTTCTTTTGACAATTTTTTATTTCAATAGTTTTTGGAGTATAGGTGTTTTTTGGTTATGTGGATAGGTTCTTTCATGGTGAATTCTGAGGTTTTAGTGCACCCATCACCCGAGCAGTGTACACTGTACCCAATATGTAGTCTTTTGTCCCTCACCCCCCTCCCAACCTTCCTCCTGCATCCCCAAAGTCCATATATCATTCTTATACCATTGCATCCTCACAGCTTAGCTCCCACATATAAGTGAAAACATATGATATTTGGTTTTCAATTTCTGAGTTTAAAAAGTATTATTGTTTCTTAATGTGACATGAACCATACCCGAAAACACTTTGGCAAAAAACTCAAGCATAAAGGGGGGAAAAAAAAGCCTCCCTCACCACCCCAACTCCCCCGTAATCCCGCATGTCTCCTGAGATGTAACTGTTATCGCCACTTTGGTGTGGATTCTCCCAGAATGTTATCGATGTATTTATACATAAATACAAATATGTAAATACATAAACATATAGTTTTTGGGTTGCTGTGTGTTTTATATAAATGGTAAATTCGGAACATTTTCTATAGCTTTTTTTTCACTCCAAGGTATTTGGGGAACTTTACATGTCAGTTCATTTAGATATACCTCAGTATTTTAAACTTGTATTCCATGGCATGGTGCATCTCAGTCACTGAACTATTTCCAGTTGATAATATGGGCAGTTGATAAAATTTATACTTGATTTGTGCATCAGCAACAATAATAACATCCAGCCTGGGTTTAGTAAATGGAGCCCTGTCTTGAGGCACCAGTCTAGGGTAACAGTTCCACTGCTGATTCCATGATCTTGGTCAGTTCCCAAACCAGAATGAAAGGGAAGCTGGGGAGCCTCAGAGAAGAACCCAGCACGACAAACAGCTGAGAGTTGTACTGCAAGCCTCCCACTAATGACTGGTTGTCATTGATCAAGTAACTATATGCTAATAAAAGGAAAATACCAAGAGCTTGAAAGCTACTCTGGCCCATTTGTGAAGGTGGGGGCTCTCAGCAGGCAGGGGAATAAATGGTGTTTTGATTTGACTCTATCTCATAGTAGGCTCATTGTGACAAGGACTCTAAGGACATTTGAAGATATTTGGGGTGGGGAAGGGAGGTCTAAAAGTGCTTTGTATTGCTAAAAGTTAAAGACATAAAGATTAAAACAAGATAGCTGATTGGCAAGTAATACGTTGTTTATGGGATGAAGATCTACATTTTCCTTTTGACCCAGCAATCCTACTTTTAGGAATTATCTCATAGAATTACTCTCATAGATATATAGAGACAGGAGCAGAGAACGAGAGAGCTGGTAAACTCTATTTTACTTAAGCCATGGAATTAAGGAACACCTGGGGTAAGATATTTTGAATTTATCTGGTGATTATTTCCCAAGTTCCTGAGTGTACAGTTAAAATTGATATACTTAGAAACTGGCAGAATTTTCACACTCAATCCCCTCTACGGAGTGAGAGCTGTTATTATTGGAAGAACCAAGACATTCCCCCTTCCCCTGCTTTTTTAAAAACTAAATTAAAGAGTAATATTGCATTGTTGGGGGAAACACAGTGGTTAGCACTACTATCCAAAACTTGAAAGATGCAGAAGTGATGATTTCTCTCTTTTTTGAGATGGAGTCTCGCTTTGTTGCCAAGGATGGAGTGCAATGGTGCAATCTCACCTCACTGCAACCTCTGCCTCCCAGGTTCAAGCGATCCTCCTGCCTCAGCCTCCCAAGTAGCTGGGATTACAGGCGCCCACCACCATACCCAGCTAATTTTTGTATTTTTAGTAGAGACAGTGTTTCACCATGTCGGCTAGGCTGGTCTCCAACTCCTGACCTCAGGTGATCCGCCCGCCTTGGCCTCCCAAAGTGCTGGGATTACAGGCGTGAGCCACCGCGCCCGGCCAGAAGTGATGATTTCTATCACATCTGCAATTTAAGTGACAATATGGCTGATGCAGTATATAGAATAACTCAGAGAATGAAATGACAATGACTTTAATTGCATCTGCTTTTACAGACATTGTCTCCTTCATAGCCCGTGTTATGTCATTATCAGTTTGGCGAATGCTTTTTTCTCCATCCCAATAAGCAGTAACACCAGAAACAGTTTGCTTTCACATGGCAGGGGCTGCAGAATACTTTCAACATCTTGCCTCAGACTTATACCAGCTCTAAGGTCCTGCGCTTCAGTTTTGTACTTAGGAATCTTGATCATATCACTAACCCACAGGACACAGCCCTGGCCCTCCACAAGGATGCTATTTTGCTAAGAAGGCCTGATGAGAAGGAGGGGGGCAGGTGCCCTGGCTGACTTTGTTAAGACACACACACGCTGAGGGTGGGAAATACGCAGTATTCCATGCTTTCACTTTCCGAGGTTTTAGTTACTCACGGTATAGTAAAATAAGATATTTTAGGGGTACAAAAAATAATTGGAACGAATAAGATCTAGTATTTGCTAGTATAACAGAGTGACTATAGTAAAAAATAATTGTACATTTTAAAATAACTAAAAGAGTGTAATTGGTTTGCAACACAAAAGATAAATGTTTGAGATGAAGGTAAATAATTGCATTTAACCTGATGCGATTATTATACATTGCATGTATTAAAATATCTCACGCACCCCGTAAATATATACTCCTACTGTGTACCCAAAAAATTAAAAATAAATTAAAAAATTTAAAAAAGGACTGCGCATGGTGGCTCATGCCTGTAATCCCAGCACTTTGGGAGGCCGAGGCGGGTGGAGCACCTGAGGTCAGGACTCAAGACCAGCCTGGTCGACATGGAGAAACCCTGTCTCTCCTAAAAATACAAAAATAAGCCGGGCATGGTGGCAGTTGCCTGTAATCCAAGCTACTTGGGAGGCTGAGGCAGGGAGAATTGCTTGAACCCAGGAGGCACAAGTTGCAGTGAGCCAAGATCATACCACTGTACTCCAGCCTGGGTGACAGAGTGAGGCTCCGTCTCAAAATAAATAAATAAATAAATAAAAATTAAAAAAAGATATTTTGGGAGAGAGATCACATTTATATGCCTTTTATTACAGAATATTGTTATAATTGTTTCATTTTACTATTAGTTACTGTTGTTAATCTCTTACTGTGCCTAAGTTATAAGTTAAACTTTATCATAGGTATGTGTGAATAGCAAAAACATAGAATATATGGGGTTTGGTACTATCCATGGTTTCAGGCATGTACTGGGGGTCTTGGAACACACCCCCTGTGGATAAGGGGGGACTACTGTACTCAGGTTAATTTTATTCAAGTGAGAAAAAATGGTTCAACTGTAAGTATATTCTCAGGGTGTTTTGATGACATCCATACAGAAGGATAAGTCTCCCTCATGAAACGTTAATGAAAAGGCTCATGGGACCCTACTTCTCCAACATCTGGTGTCTTTGGGGGAAGAACAGGGCCATAGAAAGCTTTGGGTGTAGACTCTAAAGACTGAGGTTGCAACCTCAGAATTTCAAAATAGTTTAGTATCAGACAACCTGACATTCCTATCCATGTTTTAGCCATCGTGTACCATAAAACGATTTGACCCTCTTCGACGTCCATCCATCATGTGCCAGCCAGCCACAGGGTGAGTTTTGTTGACCCTCACAAGTGCCACAATTCACTAAGGTGTACAGAAGCCATGTAGTGGAGTAGCGCTGAAGTTGGAGTCTCAAATTTGTACTCTCTTGGATGGTAAATATACATCTTCAGGCACATTTAAAAAACAACATGTTGTTATTTAGAAGTTGTTAAAAAATAACATCGAAGGCCATAGCATGGTGTGGGACCGTCCCCTTTCCAAAAGAATCCATTAAAACCCTATCAATTCATGTATCCATGTATCCCATTCAGCCCTTTTGAGCAGAGGCAGACAGCTTATTTTACGTAGTATAAAGATTAGGGAGGGTGATCTAGGAGCTAAAATATGGAGAGAGTCCTTCCTTAGACAGAGTGGTAGAATTTGGTATTGGGAAATTTCTGAACTGATAATCCAATCAAAATCAGATGCATTGGTGGGGTGCTGTGGCTCACGCCTATAATCCCAGCACGTTGGGAGGCCGAGGCGGGTGGATCACGAGGTCAGGAGTTCAAGACCAGCCTGGCCAACATGGTGAAACCCCGTCTCTACCAAAAATACAAAAAAAAAAATTAGCTGAGCATGGTGGCACATGCCTGTGATCCCAGCTACTCGGGAGGCCGAGGCAGGAGAATTGCTTGAACCAGGACCCAGGAGGCTGAGGTTGCAGTGAGCCGAGATCGTGCCACTGCACTCCAGCCTGGGCTACAGAGGGAGACTCAGCCTCAAAAACAAAAACAAACAAACAAACAAAAAAAACAAAAAAACAAATGCATTATAGTTCTGTTTTCAGAGGCAGCCCAGCTTCACCCATTTTGACGATGCATTTTTCTATGTGGTATAGAAAATTAAAGAAGGCTTCTCTGGATGCCGTTCTAATTGTACCAAGTTTGAATCAATCACTTTGTAAGTTGAAGTATTCAAAAAGCTTATATAACCAACTACATGCTCACCATTTAAACATTTTTTTACAACATATATTAGAAAATACCCTCCCTCCAATATTTTACAAATAGAACTTATGTTTGCAGTTTCTTTCTAAGGTAATTGTAAAATCTGACTTTGATTATTTCACATATTAAAAATGATATAAAGGCTTATATCATAGATTTAAAGGCTGAGTGGTTTACTCTGTGTTACTCAGCTCAGCACTGCTAAGGCTGCCACTGTCAGGTACGTTGTGCCACCTGATGTGAGGCCGAATGAAGCACATGGCACTGCACTTGCAGTATCCTTCCCTAAAAGAGAAAAACAGTAAATCTAATCAACCAGGAGAATCAAACATCATGGTGAACAGCATCACAGAAATACAGTCAGCCTCATGGTACCCGTATGTCAAAAGATATCACCACTTTTCAGATTACTGGTATACATGACTGAACTGGTTCCAGAAAGTTAAAAATGTATGTACTCACCATAGTGAGCAGAAATTCATCTTACTGCAGAATTGCTTATTAAAATCAATTTTAAGTAATGTGCACTATTTGAATTTGGCAAAATGATATTTGTATTGCATGAATTTGCAAACAATTGAGGTTAAATGTATTTTTTTGCCTATTAGTTATTTTTGTTTTTTTCTTTTTCTTTTTTTTTTTTTTGAGATGGAGTCTCTCACTCTGTCAGCCAGGTTGGAGTGCAGTGGTGGATCTCAGCTCACTGCAACTTCCACCTCCCAGGTTCAAGTGATTCTCCTACCTCAGCCTCCCTAGTAGCTGGGATTACAGGTGCCCACCACCACACTACTCCTGACCTCAGGTGATCTGCCCACCTTGACCTCCCAAAGTGCTGGGATTACAGGCTTGAGCCACCTCACCCAGCACTTTTTAAAAATAATTATCTATTGATATTTTTTCCCCATTGATTTGTTTGGACCTTTAGGGCTTTTTTGTTATATATATGAGATTTTCACTTAGTAAAGATTTTTACACATTTATCATAATTGTTGCAATTTTTTCCAATGTAATTAAATCTACTGCTACTTTCCTTTTCCTTTGAGGTTTTTTTTTTTTTTTTTTTTTTTTTTTTGAGACAAGGGCTCACTCTGTCACCCAGGCTGGAGAGCAGTGGTGCAATCTCAGCTCCCTATGGCCTCAACATCCTGGGCTCAAGTGATCCTCTCACCTCAGCCTCCTGAGTAGCTGAGACTACAGGTGCATGCTACCACACCTGACTAATTAAATATCTTTTTTTTTTTTTTTTTTTTGTAGAGACTGAATTTTGCCATGTTGCCCAGGCTGGTCTCGAACTCCTGGGCTCAAGCTGTTCTCTTGCCTAGGCCTCCCAAAGTGTTTGTACTAAAGGCATGAGCCAGTGCACCCAGCAGAATTTCTAAAATTGCTCTTTAACTTAGGAAATTAATTATTCCCCATTGAGGGAGGGAGATTCTGTTTGGTGAATAGAACCTGATAGATATGCAACTTTATTTTCTCTATTTATGGACTGACATTTACATATTAACTATTTGATCTACCTAGGCGTTTCTGGTATAAGATAGGAAAAGATAATTTAACTTATATTTTCCCCAAATAAAAAATTCTTGGCTTGAACACCATATTGAATAATTCCTACTTTCTTATGGCTATTGGCAAGTGAAGTTATTATGTCATCAATTCCTTCTTTATTGCTGATCTAGGAAGACCAATTCTCTCAAAACTTGAATTACTTTGGTCTAGATGTATTCTGCTAAATTTTGTTATTTTTTTTTAGGTAAAAATGGAAGCTAGCTTTTTCCTCCCTATGTTACTGAGTGACAAATAATGGATCATCATTTGCAGTTTACATTAGTGAATATTTTCCCTGTTTATATTTTGTAAACTGATATCATTTGATTTTCACTAATAGCAATAAATTTTGATTTCAGTTTGCATGCACTCATCTAAAAATTGGAAAGCCAATTTCTTCAATTACTGTAAGTAAAATCCTGACTGATTCTAAATTTAAAATATATTCCTAAAGGGGAAGTACAAAATTAAGAAAAAAAATCAACTCACAAAACAGAGAAAATAATAACAGTCAACAAGTTGATTAGACTAATAGACCACAAAGACATAAAGAGGAGGTGAGTTTTGTCATGGGAGAAAGGGAAGAAGAGGACCTCCCCCGACCCGACCCCCGAGGACAGTGCCAAAATGGGTTGCCCAGACATTCCAGAGAAAATTGCGAAATCCAGCAGGAATCCAGCCAGGCTAGATTCTGGTCTTCTGCTGGAATGTGTCATTTAATATATATAAAACCCGGTGGTGAAACATTGGCTGCCTCTAGATACACTGCTGGGTTTAAATATATTAAATGATGCCAAAGAAAGAATACATGCCAAGTTTCTACGAGCCTTACACAGTCATTCCTGCATGTCAAAATTGGGCAAGTAACTAGGAGGCCAGAGGTGCTAGAACTGAGTAGGAAAATAATCTGAAGACAGCAGAGCCATGCTAGCAATGAAATTATTAATACATTATTAAAACATTCTACTTTTCACAATCTAACACTGTAAATTCCTTCTTCTACAAATTAGTAAACAAATAAGCCAAATTGTTCAAGCTAAGTTGTACAACCTTTTCAAAGGCAATAGTAGAAAATGTTCACAAACTATTCATTGAGGGCCCACAGTGAGCTACATCAGAATGTGTTAAATTAAATATGCACCTTAGTTTACTGTGCTTTAGTAATAAAGATAAAGGATCTGTATTGACATTATGTTTTATGTTTCTTCCCTATGGGGGAGAAAAACCAAACACAAAATTTGTCCTTGAAAGCAGAGAGTAGTGACATGTGTTTCATGATACTGGTATCATTTATCACTAAAAAGTGGAGCCAGGCTGGGAGGAAGGGTTTGGAACAAACTATGCATGCACTGGACACATGAAACAACTGCAGCTGTTATCATCACTAGCCGCATAAAGGACCACTCTGTGACAATGCCTAAGGCCTATATATATGTCGGACCAATAAAGAATGGGCCATACAGATGTGCAATATCAGTACAGAATGTTCAAGTACTTGCTGTGGATCTCTCCCTATCCACTGCAGTTAACTCTCCAGATTATTCCCTGTGTGGGTCATACCTCATCCATGAGCCTCCAGGGATGGAGCACTAACCTCTGAATATTCCTGCTTTTGGTGTAGCTCCCAACAGGCTCTTCTAGGTACTCACTGAATAACTTTCCAGAGGGGCTTCACAGTTTATAGAGGAGCTATTTGGAAAGTCTCACAGGCATTAATTTAATTTGTGCCTCGCGGGGGTCGGGGAAGACAACATTTGGGAAAAACATGGCTACTTTTGCACAAAATAAATTTTTGCATATGGGAGAGATTTTGCCTCTTAAACAATATGTTCTTTTCTCCAAAGTTGCAGCTAAACTTCTAGACGCAAATTTTTCAGATCTTGAATTACACTTGAAAAATGAGGAAGAACAGATAGTGAAAGATAATTTTACGGTTGTGGAAAGTACTGACATCTGAGTCGGAAGAACAGAGTTTAAGGTTCAACTCAGTCAATTTCTAACTGTGTGATCTTGGGCAAATTGTTTGGCATAAACAAAAGATATAAACAAATATATTCTAACAGTGAATGTGAAAGCAAATACATACAACTGTTAGGTTTTCTTATTATCACATCCCCCCTCAGATTTGAGATTAGATCAATACTTTACAAAAAGCTGCCTTAAAATCAGAAAATGAGCCAGGTGCAGTGGTGTACACCTGTAATCCCAGCACTTTAGGAGGCTGAGGTGGAAGGATCGCTTGAGCCCAAGAGTTCAAGGCTAACCTGGGCAACATAATGAGACCCTATCTCTAAAAAAAAAAAAATAAGCTGGGCATGGTGGTGTTCGCCCGTGGTCCTCGATACTTGGGAGACTGAGGTGGGAGGATTGCTTGAGCCTGGGAGGTCGAGGCTGCAGTGAGCTGTGATCATGCCACTGCACTCCAGCCTAGGCCACAAAGCCAGACCCTGTCTCTAAAAACAAATAAAATAAAATTTAAAAATCAAATCAAATCAAACCAGAAAATGGGTAATGGAAATATTAGGCAGATAGCATTGTTTATTTAGTAACTTTCTTTTGTCCATGACACAAATAGCCCAAAAGACTCAGACGAGCCACAGCAGCCTGCTTAGGGTAAAGAGGAAAGAAAAGGGGAGAAGAGGTGGCCCTGGAGACTCATTTCCTTCTTTTTCCATGGCTCAGCTTCCATGGCTCCTTAGGGCTGAGTTTGCTGATGGAAGAACAGGCTCCAGAGGTTGCTTCTTCAGGGAGCCCCCCTTTCTAACAAGGCCTCTTCCTCAGCCTAGCAACTTCTGCAGTTACAAAGGAACATAGTGTTACCTGTTGCTTTGACCTCTAAGTATAGAGTGTTATGAGGGTGGGGTCCCTCGCCACTCGGATGCTAGCCACAGCATGCCCAGACCTATCTCTGGGTGGGATAATGAGAGCTCAGGTGACCAGGTGCCTCTGATACTTCTCTACCTATACAAATTTTCCAATAAACTATTTTATATCGGTATTGTATGGTGCTAAAGGTGTAGGTCCATGCCCTAAATTACATTCTGGAAGATTTTCACCCCTAGTGAATATTGTCAGGGTAGGCTAGAGTAAGGAGAGTTGAGGGTCTGGGGCCCCATACCCCAATAACCAGTGGGGTGACCTTGGGCAGGGTGCTTCACCTCCTGGGCCTAGTTTCCTCCTCTATGAGAGATACTCTTAAAGACTTTTCTCTTTTTTGTTGTTTATTTTTATCTCTGACTTTTCTAATTCTTTAGCACATCAGGTGCTTCTATTTCGACTACGGTTAATATGTGCGGTGTAAGGGACATTTCTCACCCAACCAGAATACCACATTAGCCAGAACCGCCTCACTCCTGGCAGTGGGAAACATGCAGCTTGCTAGACATGGAAAAGTTACTGCAGCCAACATGTACATTGTTTGTTTTGCTTTATCATGGAAAAATGTAAATATGCAAAACATAGGATGGTATGATGTAGTGCTATTCAAAGTGTGGTTTGTAGATCGCTGCCCATCCATGAGGAGATAAGTACAGAATTGAAAGTGAGGGAGAAGGAGGTGGGGTGGGCTCTGGGTTGCCCTTCCAGCCTCGGTTTTAGGTTGGTCCCGTGGGCCTGGGTTTGGGAGGGGGGTCGTGCTGTCTCAACATTCCTGCCCCTCCCTCTCATGGCAGCCAAACGCTGCATTTGTTGGTCTTGGGTGGGAGAGAGTTCCCCACTCTTCCCTCGTGGAGCTAACCTATGTTGGTGTTGGTGTCGGGTCCTGAACCCAAGACCATTTCCTGCCCCTCTCCCAAGGGTTTTTTCCTCCCCCAGTGACAGTAGGTCTGTGCCTGTGCCTTGAGGACAACAGGCTTTGCTGCCTCTACCCAATAACCAAAGGCACTTTCTTTCTAGGCCAGGACTGGAGAAGCAGAAGCGGCTGTCACCTCCTGCAACCTGCGCCCCCAGGGGCTTTCCCACTGCAAGCCCTGCCTTCATCTCCATCTTGCCCCGCCCTCACCCCGCCCCGTCTCTCTTCTGAACACTCGGTGGGAACCTGGGAAAAAGAGCTTTTGGGGGATTGCCATCTCTCCTTGTGTCTATTCCACACTCGGTCTTTATTAAAATTTTTGCTGATTCTTCTCGCCCTCTTGTATGACAGCCGCTTCCTCCTCCGGTGCTCAGCCTCCGGGGAGACCTTGTGTGTCCCTCCCTCCTAGGTGGCACCCTGTCCCTCTCCGGAACTCAGGCTACTTGGTTGACTTGCAACTTCAGCCCTCTGACAGGCTCAAGGAAAGTTACGATTTTGTAGTTTATCTAGCTTTCCCACAGTTTAGACACATTTCCAGCTTTCTATAGCCTAAGTAGAGGAGGAAAAAAACGATTTGTTTTGTATACAAATTTAAAAATGACTATCCTGAGTTTGCTGAAATTTCTTTAAAAATTTGTTCTTCCATCTCCATCAATATACCTCAAGGACACTGGGTTCTTAAAATGAGTGCTACTAAAAACAAAACATAGAAACAGTTTAGATATGCTATATTGCCCTCTGTGAACAGTGGCATCGCTAATTCCACCTGGCTTGGATAAGGTTATACACAAGAATGACCTCACTTCTCACATTAAAAACTTTAAATAATTTATTGACACACACAGTGTTCATCAAAAGCGTTTTTATAGATGTTTAATGTGAAGACTTCCTATTTCATAAATTTTGTATAGCTACAGTGATGAAATGACAAAGTTATGAGTGTAAAAATGATTCTTTTTTTTGGGTCGGGGAGGGGAACAGAGTCTCTGTCGCCCAGGCTGGAGTGCAGTTGTGTGATCTTGGCTCACCGCAACCTTGGCCTCCCGGGTTCAAGCAATTCTCCTGTCTCAGCCTCTCAAGTAGCTGGGACTACAGGTGCACGCCACCACACCTGGCTAATTTCTGTATTTTCAGTAGAGACAGGGTTTCACCATATTTGTCAAGCTGATCTCAAACTCCTGACCTCAGGTGATCCACCTGCCTCAGCCTCCCAAAGTGCTGGGATTACAAGTGTGAGCCACCACGCCCAGCTGAAAATGATTCTTTATATTATTACATGATTGCATATATCTATGTCACATTTTAAATAAACAGAGTATAATTTTTATAACTTTATTTTCCCATTTGTTGCTTGTTCTGACTATATGTATTAAAAATACCTATGTTGAGTCTAATAATAAAATTGGAGATTATGTTGTTGCATGTCTTTTTTTTTTCTTTTTTTTGAGACGGAGTTTCGCTCTTGTTGTCCAGGCTGGAGTGCAATCGTGAGATCTCAGCTTACCGCAACCTCCGCCTCCCGGTTCAAGCGATTCTCCTGCCTCAACCTCCTGAGTAGCTGGGATTACAGGCATGCACCACCACGCCCAGCTAATTTTGAATTTTTAGTAGAGACGGGGTTTCTTCATGTTGGTCAGGCTGGTCTCGAACTCCTGCCTCAGGTGATCCACTCGCCTTGGCTTCCCAAAGTGCTGGGATTACAGGTGCGAGCCACCACACCCGGCCGGCCCTCTTTTCCTTTCTTTTTACAAATTAACTGTTTATATTATAACAGTTTTAGATTTACAGAAAAGTTGCAAAGATAGTACAGAAAGCTGCTATAGACCCTATTCCCGGTTTCTCCTATTATGAACATCTTAGGTTAGTATGGTACGTTTGTTACAATTAATGAACCACTATTGATACTTTATTATTAACTACTTTGGAAAATTTATTCATATTTCCTTAGTTTTACCCTAGCGTCCTTTTTCTGTTCCAGGATCCCATTCAGGATACCATATTACATGAGTCTTCATATGTCTCCTTGGGCTTCTTTGGACCGTAACAGGTGCTTGGACTTTCCTGGTTTTTGGTGTCCTTGCCAGTTTTAAGGTGTACTGGTCAGGCATTTATTTATGTATTTGTTTATATTTATATATATTTTTTAGAGATTGAGTCTTACTCTGTTGCCCAGGCTGGAGTGCAGTGGTGTGATCATAGCTGTCTGCAGCCTCGAACTCCTGGGCTCAAGGCATTCTCCCACCTCAGCCTAAAGAATTGGATTTTTTAGAAAATATAGGCCTATTCAGATTGCCAAAACTCACACACAAAAAAATAGGCAAATTATATTTCAAGGAACTGGTTAATTTCATCTAGGTTATCAAATCTGTGAGCATACAGTTGTTCAGAGTATTCATTTATTATGATTAAATAATAATGCTCATATTTAATGTCCATAGGCTCTAGTGATTGATGTCTTCTGTTTCTGATATTAGTAATTTGTGTCTTGTCTCTTTTTTTCTTAGCCTGGCTAGAGGATTATCAATTTTCCTTCACTCTGACAATCTCTGTCTTTTAGTTGTTGTATTTAGACTACTGATGTTCAAGGTGGTTGATCTTTTCAAAGAACTAGCTTTTGGTTTTGTTAATGTTCTCTTTCGATTTTCCATTTTTAATTTCATTGATTTCTGCTCTAAGCCTTATTTTCTTTTCTTCTGCTTACTTTGGATTTAATTTGCTCTTCTTTCCTAGTTTCCTAAGGTAGAAACTTAGATTATTGATTCTAGGTCTTTCCTCTGCTCTAAGATACAAATTCAAAGTTAAAAATTTCCCTCTAAGCACGGCTTTTACTGCATCCCACTAATTTTGATAAATTGCATTTTCATTTTTATTTAGTTCAAAATATTTTTAAATTGATCATAAAATTTCTTCGACACATGTGTTATTTAGAAATGTGTTGTTCAATCTCCACAGACTTTGGGATTTTCCAGTTGTCCTTTTGTTACTGATGTCTAATATAATTTCATTGTGGTCTGAGAGCAGATCCTGCATGGTTTCTGTTCTTCTACACTTGTTAGGTTGTGTTATATGGTCCAGAATGTGGTTTATCTTGGTCAGTGTTCCATGTGAGCTTGAGAAGAATGTGTATTTGTGCTATTGTTGGATGAAGTAGTCTATAGATATCAATTATATCTAGTTGATTGTTGTTAAGTTCAACTATGTCTTTACTGATATTTTGCATGCTGGGTCTGTCTGTTTCTGAGAGAGAACTGTTGGAGTTTCCAACTATAGTAGTGGATTCCTGTATTTCTCCTTGCAGTTCTATCAGTTTTTGCCTTATGTAGTTTGATAGTTTGTTGTTAGGCTTATACATGTTAAGGATTGTTATGTCTTCTTGGAGAATTTACCCCTCTATCATTATGTAATATTATCCTTCTTAATTCCTGATATCTTTCCTTGCTTTGAGGTCTGCTCTGTCTGAAATAGAGCTGCTCCTGCTTTCTTTTGATTTGTGTTAGCATGGTATATTTTCTCTATCCATCTACTTTTAATCTACATGTGTCTTTATATTTAAAGTGGTCTTAATGTAGATAACATATAGTTAGGTTTTGTTTCTTGATCCACTCTGACAATTGGCTCTTTTAATCGGTACATTTAAATCATTGATGTTCAAAGTGATTTTTGATATAACTGGATCAATATCTACCATATTTGTTACCGTTTTTTATTTGTTGCCCTTATTCTTTAATTCTATTTTTGACTTCCACTTTTTTTCTGTCTTTTGGGGTTTTAACTAGAATTTTAGGTATTTATTTTTTTTGAGACAGGGTCTTCCTCTGTTACCCAGCCTGGAGTGCAGTAGAGTGATCTCAGCTCACTGCAATCTCTGCCTCCCCAGCTCAAATGATCCTCCCCACTGAGCCTCCTGAGTAGCTGGAACCACAGGTGCATGTCACCACACCCGGCTAATTTTTGTATTTTTTGTAGAGACAGGGTTTTGCCATGATGTCTAGGCTGGTCTGGAACTCCTGAGCTCAAGTGAGCCTCCCGCTTTGGCCTCCCAAAGTGTTGGGATTACAGGCATGAGCCACTGTGCCTGGCCTAGTTGACCATTTTATATGATTCCATTTTCCCTTCTTAACATATCAGTGATACTTCTTTTTTTACTTTTTAAAGTGATTGTCCTAGATTTTGCAATATTCACTTATAACGAATCCAAGTCCACTTTCAGATTACTATATCATTTCACAAGTGGTGTGGGTATCTTCTAATGACAAAATAATCCCAATTCCTCCCTCATGTCCTTTTTAACATTTCTGTCATTCATTTTATTTATGTTTAAGCATATATATACACACACACATACACATAAGTACAACCAAGTATATACACACATAAGTGTTCATAATCAAATGCATTGTTGCTTTTATTTTGAACAAATTGTTATTTGTTAGATCAATTAAGAAGAAAAACATAGCAGTTTTTATTTTATCTTCACTCATTCCTTCTTCAATGGGTACTCTCCCTTTCTTTATAGAAATTGAAGTTTCTGACATATTTTTCTTCTCTCTAAGTAACTTCACATTTCTTGCAAGGTAAAACTTCCCTCAATTTTTGTTGTTTGAGAAAGCCTTTATTTCTCTCAGTTTTGAAGGATAATTTTGCAGGGTACAGAATTTTTGCTCAACACTTCAAACAGTTCCTTCCACTTGCTTCTTGCTTGTTTTTTTTTTTCTTTTTTTTTTTTTTTTGAGATGGAGTCTTGCTCTGTTGCCCAGGCTGGAGTGCAGTGATGTGATCCCGGCTCACTGCAACCTCCGCCTCAAGCGTTCCAGCGATTCTCCTGCCTCAGCCTCCTGAGTAGCTGGGATTACAGGTGCACACCACCATGCCCAGCTAATTTTCTATTTTTAATAGAGATGGGATTTTGCCATGTTGGCCAGCCTGGTTTCAAACTCCTGACCTCAGGTGATCCGCTCGCCTTGGCCTCCCAAAGTGCTGGGATTACAGGTGTGAGCCACTGCGCCTGGCCCCCACTTGCTTGGTTTCTAAGCAGAAGTTGGATGGACGCAATTCTTCTTTGTTCCTCTATAGGTAATATGTTTTTCCTTTAGAACTTTTATCTTTGATTTTCTGTAGTTTGAAAATGATATGCCTACGTATACCTTTCTTTTCTTTTGCATTTATCCTGCTTAGTGTTCTCTGAGCTTCCTGGATCTGTGATTTGGTGTCTGATATTAATTTGGAGGAAATTCTCAGTCATTATTGTTTCAAATACTTCTTCTGTTCCTTTCTCTCTTCTGGCATTTTTATTTTGTGCATGTTACACCCTTTGTAGTTGTCCCACGGTTCTTGAATATTCTGTTTTATTTTTTTCAGTTTTTGTTCTCTTTTCCTTTCAGTTTTTAAAGGTTTCTATTGAGATATTCTCAAGCTCAGGGATTCTTTCCTCAGCTGTGTCAGGTCTAATAAGCTCATCAAAGGAATTCTTCATTTCTATTAGAATGTTTTTGATCTCTAGCATTTCTTTTTGGTTCTTTCTTGGGATTTTCGTCTCTCTGCTTACATCACCCATCTGTTCCTGCATGCTGTCTACTTCACCCATTACAGCCCCTGGCATATTAATTGTAGCTCTTTTAAATTCCTGGTCTGATCATTTCAACGTCCCTGCCATGTCTGGTTCTGATGCTTGCTCTGTCTATTCAAATTATGTTTCTTGCCTGTTGGTATGCCTTGTAATATTTTTCTTGATAGGCAGACATGATGCACTGGGTAAAAGGAACTGCTGTAAATAGGCTTTAGTGATATGATGGTGAGGTGTAGGGGACGGGAAATGTTCTGTAGTCCCATCAACAGGTCTCCGTCTTTTAGTGAGCCTGTGCCTCTGGACTATGAACATCACATGTGTTTCTCAGCTTTTTTCCTCCCACTTAGGTGAAATAGGATGGCTAGAGGGAGCCCGAGTTGGATATTTCTCTCTACCAGTTAGGTTGGGCTCTGATAATACCCCAGCAGGTTGGGCTCTGGTTAACTTCTTACTCCTGAAGGGTAGACATTGTTAAAAAGTACATAGTGCCCCAGGGTATTTTCAAATGGTTCCTTTCCACCTCTTCCTGCTGGAAGCATGAGGGGGTTTTCTCTGATATTTACTGTGGGAATGGTGGTTGAGCTCCTGAAGATAAACATCACAAGACTGTGGGGGCCCTTCTATGAGTGGGTCCCCCTGGAGTTCTTAACTGTTAGGCTTGTCCACACTGAGCCTCTGGCCAATTTGTCAATGAACAGTTCAGGTTCTCCTACCCAACACTGCTTCCCTTGGTTGTTTCTGCCCATGAGTCTGCTCTGGTAAGTTGTGGCTCCCTGTATTTATCTGTCTTTCCCATCTCGGGGCAGCATTTGCCCGTGTCCTCACCTCTCTTATGGATCCAAGAGCAGTTGTCCATCAGTCTGTTCAGCTTTTTTCTTGTTAGGATGGAGTGGCAACTTCCAAGTTCCGTACATGTGCAACCAGAAACAAGAAGTCTATCGAGACTTTATATCTTTACATCTTTAAATATTTTAACATTATCTCTAAAAAACAAGCACAGTTTAAAGCTAATGGCAATACTGCTGTCATACTCAAAATTAAAAAATTCCTTAATATTGCCGGGCTTGGTGGCTCACGTCTGTAATCCCAGCACTTTGGGAGGCCGAGGCGGGTGGATCATGAGGTCAGGAAATCGAGACCATCCTGGCTAACACGGTGAAACCCTGTCTCTTTTAAAAATACAAAAAATTAGCCACGCGTGGTGGCAGGTGCCTGTGGTCCCAGCTACTCGGGAGGCTGAGGCAGGAGAATGGCGTGAACCCGGGAGGTGGAGCTTGCAGTGAGCCAAGATTGCGCCACTGCACTCCAGCCCGGGCGACAAAGCGAGACTCCGTCTCAAAAAAAAAAAAAAAAAAAAAAAAAAAAATTCCTTAATATCATCAAATTCCCAGTCAATGTTCAAATTTATAATTGCTTCAAATGTCATTATCTTACAGTTTACTTGAATCAGGATCCAAATAAGGTCTCTATATTGCCATTAGTTGAAACAACTCTACTAACTTAAATGTCTATGCTCTATCTCTCTTTTTTTTTTTTTTTTTTGATGGAGTCTCACTCTGTCACCCAGGCTGGAGTGCAGTGGTGCTATCTGGGCTCACTGCAACCTCTGCCTCCCAGGTTCAAGCGATTCTCCCCGCCTCAGCCTCTCAGGTAGCTGAGATTACAGGTGCACACCACCATGCCCAGCTAATTTTGTATTTTTTGTAGAGATTGGGTTTCACCATGTTAGCTAGGCTGGTCTCGAACTCCCGACCCCAGGTGATCTGCCCGCATCGGTCTCCCAAAGTGCTGGGATTTCAGGCGTGAGCCACTGCACCCGGCCTATTCTCTTTCTTTCATGTGAGAATCCCAGTTCTCATGACACTGGGGTGGTAGAATTAGAAGATCATACAACTACTCATTTGCTGTATTCTACAGTGTGCATGTGCGTGCACACACACACACACACACGCACACGCACACACAATGTTTCAGAGTAACAATACCAACACTACACCAATAATAAGATTATAGAAAAGAGTTTATGATTTTTGGGGGTAGTTTTCCTTATACATTAAGGATATTTTATAGGGATGAATAGTCAAATCAATTTTGTTTAAAGTCACTTGGAGTTAGTTACTATCTGTTTGATTATGGGACCAACTTGCTACCTATTTAGGTTACATGCAGTTTGAATATTCACCAGTAAACCTAGGAATAATTATCACTGTTCAGAAAATCACCAATAGTTACCGAGCACCTCCGAGGTACTAGAAATGTTCATGATCATTGTTACACTCAAGTCTTGCAAAGCCCTATGAAATAGAAGTTACTTTTCCCTTATAATTTAGGAAACAAACTCAAAGAGGTTAAAAGCTTACAGTGAATCAGTCTCACAGCTAGTAAGAAGAATGAGTGAGGTAAGATTGAAATTCCAGTCTCTGGAGTCCATATTCTGCCCTTAGAAAGATTAGGATGATTTATGATAGCTTATAGAAAAAGCTGCTGGTTCTATTTATTTTATTACCTCTATATATTCCAGTAGGGAGACAAGGTGGTAACTGATAACTGTGTTATACCTGATTACAAAGGTGATAATTTTTTTCTTACAGATTTATGCTCAGAAACAGTGCACCTGACAGTGTTAGCTGGTTTTCTCTAACTTCTTTTTCTGGGGCAATTCTCCCAATGGGTTTGAATTTTTATGAGCTTACTGATGGGCTTAAAAGGGTGGCCTTCAATATTTCCTTCCATTCAGGGCCTATTGTGTCCTGGGCTTCAAATTCACAGAGGCCCTTAAATTTAGAATTTGGACCTTACATCCATCCCAAAGAGGTTCTATCTGTGATCACAGAGATAAACCAACAAGGACAGAAGAAAGAGATGTGCAACTTACAGCTTCAGCGTTGGATCCCATTAGTGGAAGGCACTGCTGGTAGGTAGAATACCATCATTATGGTATTCACAGGATATTTACAGGATTTATAAAAGTAGTGATGAATCACTGATCTCACTTTATTTTTTATAAATCCTGTAAATATCCTGTGAATTCCATAATGATGATGAATTATATATTTTGATGGAGTTTAAAAAGTGTCAGCTTATTAAATGTAAGCATCTCAAATACATAATGATTTTTGTAACCCTATTTTATCATTTCTATAATGTCTAAAATATCAGGAGTTGCAAGCAATGGAAGTATCTGGTGACTTAGGGCAGCTGAGAAGCTCTGTCTGCTTCCACTTGGCCCTGAGCACTTCTGTGGACAAAGCACTCTGACCTGACAGGGTGCTGGTTACACATTGGCTGAGTTTGTGGCTATTTCTAGGGAGCAGAGTCTGGCTCTTTCCTCATTTACCTGTACAATAAGAATACCCGCCTGACAGGGGAGAGGTGAGGATTCAGTAAGCACAGCACAAGTCTCTAGTAAAAGAAAGCTGTCATGAGGATGATAACAGTTAATGAGAACATGTTGTTCAGGAGGTTTTAAAGGGCAGATACAGCATGATCCTGATTTTTAAGAAAATTAGATATAAAAACATGGGCACATGAAAAAGCCCCAACAGGCTACAGACTGAAATATTTATAATGGTAGTGGGAATAAAGGTGAATTTTGCTTTTTCCATGTATTTGTCTGTTTTAATTTTTTCGCAATATACTTATACTAAATGATGATACTTATTTTGTTTATGTGGATATACATAAATCTACAGACATACAAAATTATGGATAATTTTTCTTTTGTCTTTCTAAATTTATAAAATTTCTCACTTAAATATGTGCAAGTTCTATAATTAGAACAAAGAGATCAAAGGCATTTTTAAGACAAGGAGAAGCAGCTGGGTATCATGGCTCATAATTGTAATCCTAGCACTTTGGGAGGTCAAGATGGGAGACCACTGGAGCTCAGGAGTTTGAGACCAGCTTGGGCAACATAGGGAGACTGTGTCTCTACATAAAAGCAAAAAACTTAGCCAGGCATGGTGGCATGCATCTACAGTCCCAGCTACTTCGAAGGCAGAGGCAGGAGGATTGCTTGAGCCCAGGAGTCGGAGGCTGCAGTGAGCTGAGATGGTGCTACTGCACTCCAGCCTGGGTGACAGGGTGAGACTTCATCTGTAAAAAAATGATAAAAGACTGGGAGAAGAGCCTGGCTGGGTTTTAAGCCTACCTGGGGACATGGCTGCATTGTTTCTGAGAAACACAAAGAGCCTGCTCAGCACCTGCCATCATCTCAACCAGAAAGCCCACTCCAGATGCTGTCTTGTCAGTGGCTCAGTCAGTGCACCTTTGATTTATGATGAATTCCCCAGTGTTTACAGACTGGTGAATGCAGAACAATTTCTCCCCATTAGAAGGAGTCATGGTGTGGCAAGTTCAGATTAGTTTCTCTTCTATGGAGTTTCATTCTTTCATGAAATGTGGTCTTGCTTCACACTGTGAGGGAGTTTGGTGCCTCTCTCGGCCTGGGTCACCTGCTAGTGTGTGTTTGGCACTAGAAAGAGGCTCTCAGGGAAAGGGTTCCTGACTGCATCCTTCCTTCCTTGCCCCTTCTCTCTCTCCATGCTCTCCAAGAAAATATTTACCACCCTTGAGGCCTCCTACTACCATTAGGAAAAAGATTGATAAAACGATGACTTTAAAATTAAGAAGTTCTGCTTATCTAAAGAGTTCATAAAGAGATTAATAACACAAACCACAGAATAGAAGTAGAAGCTATTTGGTAATACATATAACCAACAAAGGACTCTTATCCAGAAAATACATGTTTAAAAAAAAACACTAAAAATTATTAAGTAAGACATAACCCAACAAAAATTCCAGAAGTGGTGGGCAAGGCCAGAAACTCAGACAAATGATGTTGGTACCAAGACCAGGCTACACAGTGGCTGGACCAGCAGCTGGTAATCATGCAGACCCATGCTCAGCCTTTTCGCAGCGAGATGGAGCAAGTGCTGTGAGTGCTGGAGATGTTGGCATGCTGAGGATCTTACAGGCAGAGGATCCAAAGAGCTCGCTAGAACTGGTCGCAGAAGCCCCAGCCAGATTCTTAATGCCTTTAATTTTCCAGGGAAGAAGCTTCTCCATCACTGAACTGTTTCCATATTATAGATACTGTAATATCTATGGGTTTTCCTAATACTCATCTTTGTATTAGCTGGCGTTTTTACCCAACCAGGAAAGGAGTGGAGCCATGAAGCAGTGAGTGCCCAGAACTGGAAGAATTCTGAAGGAGATGGGACTGTGGACCATGTTCTCTCTCAGGCTAACATCTTAATAACAGCCTACTCTGTTCCAACCAGAAAGAATGAGAGAGGAAGGGAAGACGAACAGACAGAGACAGATGGACACATACTTATGAAGTGCCCACTGTGCTCAAGGAATTTGCTAGGGGCTTTCACATTTGTTGTTCACTTTGCTTCTTGTAACACTCCATTCTGTTGATGAGACGGGAGCCTCAGGAGAAATACATGGCTTGCTCAAGTTTAGTTTGTCAGTGATGTAGTTGGGATCTGATCTCAGGGTCTGTCTCATTTTTTTTTTGAGATGGAGTCCTGCTTTGTTGCCCCAGTTAGAGCGCAGTGGTGCAATCTCGGTTCACTGCAACCTCCGCCTCCCTGGTTCAAGTAATTCTCCTGCCTCAGCCTCCCAAGTAGCTGGGATTACAGGTGCCTGCTACACCACCTGGCTAATTTTTATATTTTTAGTAGAGACAGGGTTTCACCATGTTGGCAGGCTGGTCTCAAACTCCTGACCTCAAGTGACCCGCCCGCCTCAGCCTCCCAAAGTGCTGGGATTACAGGTGTGAGCCACTGCGCCTGGCCCTGTGACTCATTTTTCTAATTCCATGGCCTTGGAATCAGGTGTGTGTGAGCTTGGGTAATTATTTACCTCTGTGAGCTCAAGGCCCCTCTGTGAAATGATATCTGGCTAGTAGGAGCACCCTTGCAGGACTCTGCGCATGATGTACAGTAGTTGGTTTTACTGTAAATGTACTCAAATCCTTAGCACAGGATCAGGTACACTGAAGACAGTGAAGAGAAGGGAGTTAAACACTTTTGAAGTCATATTTTCTTTTCTCAGGTTCAACCACTCTGCTAGGAGAGAAAGGCAGAGAACAGGATAAGAAGATTGAGAGAGAGAGGTTGATTGTGAGGACGTAGTGTCTGGGACACATATATTTGGTCACAGAGTCATGACTTGAGGGGTGGCACGCTGAGAAGTTGCCTGTCTTACTCTCTGAGACTGAGCAGCTAAGATAGAAGGCTGAATATTGACTTGGGACAATACAGTCATGAGTTGCTTAACAAGAAGCCTATGTTCTGAGAAATATGGTGTTAGGCAATTTCATCACTGTGCAAACATCATAGAGTGTACGGTACTTACACAAACCTACACAGCATAGCCTACTACACACCTAGGCTGTATACTATAGCCTATCACTCCTAGGTTTGTAAACCTGTACAACATGTTACTGTACTGAATACTGCAGGCAGTTGTAACACAATGGTAAGTATTTGTGAATCTAAACATATCATTAAAAGGTACAGTAAAATATGGTATTTATAACATATTTTATAAAAATATGATGGTTTCTACCCTGGACTAGCTAAGAGATCTGAGGCTAGCAACTGTCCACAAACCTCCTCCCTCTTCCCCCAACCAAAGCCAAAAATATCTTACCCACCATTTCTTAAAACAAAACAGCCTGCAAAACCATTCAGCATTCTGCAGTAGAAAACACAAAACTCAGGTTGCCCCATTGAAGAAGGCCAGAAATCTTTGGAACATCACCCACTTAGGAGCATCCTGCCTCTGCTATTCACTGCCAGAAGTTATTTTACAAAGCCAAGCTTCTGTAGACCGTTCACAGCATGGGCTGGCCTTAATGGAGAGCTGGGCAAGGAAAATTCCCTCCTTCGAGCCTGGGCTGAGGAAAACCTCACCTGAGGAATGAGGGCCATTCTTGTTTATTATGATTGAATCACTATGCATATTACTTTCATATGTAATGCATTTGCCATTCTGAAGTATGCAGTGGGGATGGGGGTACTCCCACTTAGCCAAATCAAAACCCAGGTCCCAAGATTCTCAGTAGAAGAGATGGGCTCCCTTCACTCGGGAGGTCCCAGGGTGGCTGCAAGTACTCTCCTTGTACTATTAGGGTTGTTTTGGCACCTCCTCTTGGCAAACCCTAACAGAGACACTGTCTTTGTTTCTCAATCCCTGCTACAGACTGAAATTATCTGGGAAATTAAAAAAATATATATGATGACAAGCCGCTACCTCCAGCTATTCTGACTTAATACATTTGCATTGAAGACAAGGATTTGGGGTTAAAAAAAACTCCCCAGGTGATTGTGATGTGCACCCAAGTCAGAACCAAGTGCTATACCGATTTCATGTAAAATTGTTGATTGATTTATGTCTTCCACTTCTTGAGCTCCTGGTATATGCCAGGCACTGAAGCACTAATGAACAGAAACAGGCAAGGCTCTTACTCTCATAAACATTACAGATATTCGTCAGATAATTACATAAGCAAATAATTTGGAATTATAAAAGTACATGGTGCTTGGGGCTGGGCGTTGGTGGTGCACGCCTGTAATCCCAGCACTCTGGGAGGCGAAGACGGGTAGATCACTTGAGGTCAGGAGTTCGAGACCAGTCTGGCCAACATGGTGAAACCCCATCTCTACTAAAAATACAAAAATTAGCCGGGTTTGGTGGTGGGCGCCTGTAATCCCAGCTACTCAGGAGGCTGAGGCAGGAGAATTGCATGAACCTAGGAGGTGGAGGTTGCAGTGAGCTGATAGTGCCACTGCACTCCAGCCTGAGTGATAGAGCAAGACTCTGTCTCAAAAAAATAAAAAAATGTACATGGTGCTTGGGCAGATAGGGAGGGAAGGGGTAAGAGGATTAGAAAAGTGATCCATTAGAAGCTCCCTGGTGTACCTCTCTCTTTCCAATACTCACTCACCAAGGGATAGCCATATATCTGACTGACCAATGTCTATCTCCCAATAATTCCATGGGAAATAACTCCTATTTTCCAGTAATAGGAGAATGAATAAAATATGAAAAATGTAGACTCTAGGGACTTTCAAAAGAGACAAAACCCATTGTGAGGAAAGAATATGTTATTCATGTATCATGTACTAAATAATTAAAACAGCCAAACACAGGGCTCACACCTATAATCTCAGCACTTTGGGAGACCAAGGCAGGAGGATTGCTTGAGCCCAGGAGTTCGAGACCAGCCTAGAGAGCCCCTGTCTCTACAAAACACAAAAATTGGCTAGGCGTAGTGGTACATGCCTGTAGTCCCTGCTACTTGGAAGGCTGAGGTGGGAGGATCACTTGAGCCCGGAAGGTCCAGGCTGCACTCCTGCCTGGGTGACATAGCAAGACTCTGTCTCCAAAAATAAAAAAAAAAGGGCAACACCAAAACAAACAAAAAAGAATTAATACAATCTGAAGGATGCAGAGATGAGGCAGAACTGCTGCCCAAACATCTGTAGCAAATTAGCCAGTGGGAAGAAGTCAGCTAAACCTAGTAGAGGCAAAGGGAGGAATAGATTACTTCTCCCCCTACCTTCCCACAAGGTTCTGGATTAAAAATATTTGATTAAAAAAAATAAAATTACGTGCATAAAATCTGAAAACATTCTTGTTGCAAAAATGTTTAAGCAATAACAGTATATTAAGCAATAACAGTATAAAGAGTGCCAACCAAAGCCTCCCTTTACCACATATCTTGTTTCCAATCGCTCTTCTCTCCCTAGAGGGATCATCATTCACAGCTGGCTGTGTTTCTTTCCGGAAGTTTTTCTTTGCATTTATAAACACTTATTTCCAGAAACAAGTGAATAGTTGTTCTATTTGTCTGTGTTTTTGCATACTCTTCACGTTCATCTGCAATTTCTTTTCTTTTATTCAACAATTATATTATTTTGCGGTCAGGATGAAGGTGAGGCGAGTGAGGCATTTTGGCACACAATTTAAGGGAGTCCCCACAACAACTGAAGGGATTGCCAAAAGCTCAGTAATCGAGATAAATTTTAGTGCAATATTAAAAAAAAATCTAAATCAGCACCAAAAATGTATATTGAACAAAATATCAAAACCTTAAAGACTGGATCTCTATTACTGAGTGTTCCTTTGGCTTTGGGCTTCAATATGGATGAGCAGGTGACTGTTACTGATCCTGTCCATGTGATCTTTCTATGTTGGTACATGTAGATCTTTTTTCCTAAAAAAATCATATTTAGAAATAATTTCAAACTTCCAAAAATTGCAAATAACTCCCATATTACTTTACCCAATTGCTGATGCCACTAAATTTTCTCTATTACTCTCTCTCTGTACTTATATATACCCATTATTAGTCTTTTAAGGAACCTTTGTATATTTTCTAAAACACTAGGATATAAAACCAGTATACAACCTCCAAATGAGGACATTAACATTGGTTCCCCACTGCTGTCCAATCCATAGTCCTCATTCACATTTGCCACCTGTCCTAACAATGTCTCTATTTCCTGTCTGGTCCAGGAAATGTATATTGCATTTAATTGTCATGTATCCTCAGACTTGTAAATCTGCAACAGGTCTTTTGCCTTTTCCTGTTTTCTATGTCCTTGACAGAAACTAAGTACAGGACTTCCATTCTGTGGGATGGCCTTCAACATGGGATATTTCCTTATGTCTAGATTCAGGTACACCAAGATCTGCTACTGTGTTCCTCTCAAGGCATTCCTTCCAGAAGCACACCGTGTTGACCCATCCTGACGCTGGTGATGTTAGCACTGATTACCTAGTTGTGTCATTGTCTGCCCCATTTCTTCACCATAAGGTCATGATTCTTCCCTTGACAATACCATAGTATTTTGTAAAGAGGTGTTCGGAGATTATTGCAATATCTTGTTCCCCATCAAACTTCCACCCAGCTTTAGCACTGATCGACAATTCTCACTTCAACTGGGCATCCCCATGATGGTTGCCAATGCTGGTTTTCTATTTCCATTCTACGTGTATTCGATGGCATTCTACTGTAAAGAAGAGCTTTGACCCCACCTTATTTATTTATATGTTTATATCAGTATGGATTCATGGTCTCCTATTTTATTCGGTAGGTTGTAATTCATTACTATCCGTATTTATTCTGATTGTTCAGATTCTTATTTGTTCAGATTGTCCCTGTTTTGGCCAATGGGAACTCTGTCAAGCCAGTTCCTATGTCCTTTTGATATATGTCCATCTGTCATTGAGCATTTCTTCACTTTCTGACACAATATAAGGTTCCAGTCCTGTCTTGTCCTTTCCCTGCTCCAGCCCTAGAACTAGCCATTTCCACAAGGAACACTGGTACCTTTTAGTAAGAATGTAATTTAGGAACCAACACTGGAAAACCAGATGTGCTCATTACCATTGAAGTGCCATTGCTTCTAGGCCCTGTCAGTGGACAACGCTAGGAAATAGACGCTCTGAAGGCTGGGAAATCCAAGATCAAGGCACTAGCAGACTCAGTTGTTTAGTGAGAGCTCCTCTCTGCTTCCACGATGGCACCGTGGTACTGGATCCTCTGGAGGTGAGGAATGCTATGTCCTCACATGGCAGAAGGCAGAAGGGCAAGAGGGCTGAACCTGAATGAAGCCTCTTTTATAAAGGACATTAATCCATTCACGAGGGAGGAGCCTCCATGGCCTAATCAGCTCTTGGAGGCTCCACCTCTTAATACCATCACATTGGCCATTAAGTTTCAACACTTAAATTTTGGAGGGGACATATTCAAACCTCAGCACATACATACTCACAAATATGTGAATGCACTCAAACATCTATAACTATTCCTATTTTTATATCTGTATGTATATATATGATCTCCATCTGTCTATAAAATATATACCTAGGTATCTATATGCATCTACATATATATTGATGTCTCCATACATGTTTTTTTTTTTGAGACTGAGTCTCACTCTGTCGCCCAGGCTGGACTGCAGTGGCGTGATCTCAATAGCTCACTGCAACCTCCGCCACCTGGGTTCAAGCAATTCTCATGCCTCAGCCTCTCAAGTAGCTGGGACTACAAGTGCCCGCCACCAGGCCCAGCTAATTTTTGTATTTTCGGTAGAACAGGGTTTCACCATGTTGGCCAGGCTGGTCTTGAATTCCTGACCTCAAGTGATCCGCCTGCTTCGGCCTCCCAAAGTGCTGAGATTACAGGTGTGAGCCACCACACCCGGCCGGAATACGTACTTCTTTTAAACTAATTTTCCATATTTTGGATGTACCTTCGTTATCTATAACCACACTGATGGATCAAAAATGGTTAGCCTCTTGAGGCTCTCCTTGATTTGTATAACAACATTACAAACAAGGACTAAAGCCTCCTTTTGTCTAATTCTGACCCGGTTCACAGACCAAGAGCCCTTTGAAAAAAGAGGAAGCTGGATACCCTTGAGGAACAAATAACTAAAATGCCACAAGTATGTACTCAGGGTCCAACTCCAGTTCATTTCTAATGGAATAAACAATTAACCAGCTAACTGTGTGGTGAGAAAAGAGAAGTACCCAGATTTTGGGAAGTACCCAGATACCTTAATTCACAGCAACCCAGAAAGCCACTGTTGTCCCCAGAGGATGTGGGGTCTTATAGGGCAAACTTTAGTCTTAAAACACACATGTAGAACTTCAAAGACTTTTCCCTTACCAATGGAGTTATAGCTTCCCAAGTGCATCAACATATTTTTGCTTTGTTCTAGGTCAGTAGAAGACTTGAAAAAAAATGCTAGGCAGCACATACTGTTTATGACATTGTGTCACAGATGGGAAAGTAAAATCTGGGCATGTGAAAGGAATGTTAGCATCCATGGCTCAGGAGACCCCACTCCTCCACTTCCTTGATGCCTGTATTCCAGGTCTTTAGCAGTGAGCACTTTTTGCACAACAGCCCTGCCAATGAGAGAAGCTACAGCCTCTTACACACACACATACACACACACACTTAGAAAAAGCAGGCACAGACTTAGTAAAATATCCTCATGGCATTTCCTAGATTCTAAGAAGTATGGCTTTTCAGGTATTAGCATTTCTGAAATTTGATGTATTCATTTTTATTTAATCAGTGTGTTTCTTTAAAGTGGCAGTCCTTACTTTTGCAAAAACAATTTTGTTATTAAATCAGTGGACATTTCATCCAGGCTTCTGGGAAAGCCATGCTATTCACAGGTTCTGTGTTGGGAGTGGCCCAATTTCCAACATTCAGAGAGTTCTCCAGCCTCAGGTCAGCCACTCAAGGAGAAGCTGGAGCTGTCTTCCCGCTGTCCCCATCTCCCTCCACTCCCTGGGCCTGCTTGACTCCTTTAGACATAATTAGACTCTTCTTATATCTTTTCAACTCAGAATGGGCAAGGTTCATGTTTTCATGAACAGTAGGACCAAATTGCATTGTGTGATAGTTTAAGGTTAGGTGGTTAACTGTGATGCAAAAATACATAAAAATCTGAAAAAAGTAAGCATTTTGATAACTTGTTTTTATAATCAGCCTAATTTTTAATCAAGTCTACTATTTAATTTATAATATAACATTATTAGTCAATTTAGGGCAGTAAAATTTGTGTCATTTCTTTTTAGCCATAATTTACTAGAATTAACTTTCATTGGAATTTTTAAAAATCTAGAAAATACATACCTTTTCTAAATGTAGCACGAGTAGTAAATCAAATAATAACGATGAAAGTAATTTTGAAGACATGACAACCAAAAGAGTTTCTGCTAGATTGACTCAGAAGTATAATCCTTTACATACTGAGTTCAGTTGCACTGCTCTAATTAATTGAGAAGCACTAAAATTTGAATGTGTTATTTGCAGAGATATACTGGCTAATGTAAGCAATTCACCGTCAAACTATAGGCAACATGCATACGCAACTCATAAAGACACACATTCACAATGAAAAGAATTGTTTGAAAGAAGGAATATTGAATTAAAAAGTTAATGGAAGAAGATGTTCAATATTTCATATATGAAGAGTGAGTAGTACTTTTCAGGCTTCTTATCAAGTAGCACTTTGCATGACTAGGACAAAAAATTAAATTGTGGTGACATTAGCAAAAAACTTCATAAAAAATGTTTGCTTGGAAATGATGGGGGAATCTTGAGCAAAGAAGATACTGTGAAGACTGTTTTCCAATGAAACTATAGATTAATGTATTTTAAAACTATCTAATTATGTGGAAGACCAATTTATGGTACAAATAAAGCCAGCAAACTATTTTTTAATGAAACCTGATGCACAGGTAACGCTAACAAAGCAATTCTTTTAGTATATGTGTTATTTGAGCATGATGGTAATATGAAAGTAGAATTTTTTTTTCCAACTTCATTACCATAAACAGAACTCAGAACTGTATAAAATGATGATAGATTACACTGTCTATGTGGTTTGGAGATTAGGGGTAGAAGTATTTTTGATGCACAGATGTAATGACAGGTAAGCATTCTGGAGTAGTTAATCCAGAGAAAAGAGCTGGGCCAGAATATAAACCAACATGCTGTTCCTTCATTGAGAAAGTCTTGCTATCAAACAAACAAACAAAAAAACCAGCTGAACCAATAGTGTCTTAGCAGCATAGTTAAAATTGTGAGTTACATAAAGGATTATGTGTTAAATGTGAGGCTATTCTGTGATCATATGGAAGCTAATCATAAACAAGTGGTGTTGTATGATGAGGTATGATGGTTGCTGAGTGGAGAATTCTGCAGAGAATAAACATTCTCTGCAAACACCAACTCCTGGTATTTCTGCAAGATAAGAAACTAATTTGGTCCCAGCTTTTTAAAGATGTCAGAATTGCTAACTTTTATGATATTCCCAATATGTGAAGTTATCTCACTAATTTCACGCGAGGATGAAATGAAGTATTTTCAAATGCAGATAAGATGGAATGGCAAAATGGCAAAACAAGATGGAAGACTGGAAGGACAAAGTTTCTGCAGATGGTTATGGCATGTTTCATAATTTCACAATTATCGATAGCATAGATGAAGACCTGGAAACTGCACAACTGCAAAATGTTCTCAGTAAATGATTGAAAGTAGATGAGCTTTGTGCAGGCAGAAATCTACTGTACAACTGGCAAGGGCGCCATGTGGAAGAAGTGCTTGGCTCACTGGGGGGTCTGAATGTAGATTTGCACAGAATTTTTGAAGGGCAATTTGACAGTGTATATCAACATTTTAAAAGTATGTAATTTTGAAATATAATTTACAGAGAAGTGTATAAGACAGAAATGAAGAGCTCAGTGATTGGTCACAAAAGGAACACCCGTGTAACTTCTACCCAGGTCAAAATAACTAGTAGTATTTCACTTGTATTAATGGCAATCCATTTTGCCTTCTATTTGTCTAGTTGGAAAACACTCTTCCATTAACAAATCCAGTTTTTAAAATAACTGTAACTGAAATTCTGGCCAGTTCTATATAAACATTGCATTCCTTTGAAAAGTTCAATGGTTAAAAGAAATCAAAGTATTAAAAGGAAAAATAAATAAATACCAGCCGAAAGGTTTATAGGGGTAGTTGTCTGTGAAGAAGAAAAGGTAAGTTCTCACTGGAGCAGGAGTTGTGGGGTTGCAGAAAGTGGGTACAGCAAGAGTGGAGGAGTGAGAGGAAGGCTGGTGTGGAAATGGTCTGGCAAAGCATTTTAGAGAAGCGGTGGGGCTCAGGGAAAGCCCAGTGAGGCTGGATTTCAGAGTGGTTGGTAACAAAATTCCAAATTTGTGAAAACATAACTCTGAGTTTTAAATACAGCTGATCCTTAAATGATGCAGGGGTTAGGGGTGCCTACCCCCTGCTCAGTCAAAAATCCATGTGTAACTTTTGACTCACCCAAAACTTAACTACTGATAGCCTTACTGATAACATAAACAGTCAATTAACACATATTTAGTATATTAGATATATTATATACTATATTCTTAAAGTAAGCTAGAACAAAAGAAAATGTTATTTAAAAAATCCTAAGGAAAATCCATTGACAGTACTCTACTATATTTATCTGTATTGTAAGTTAACTGTTTACAAGGTGAATTGTCTTTCTGAAATGGCAACCATAGCTGCAGACCTCAATCCACAGTACGTATCAAGCAATCTAACTTTTTCTTGTAATGTCATGAATTTTCTCTGCTTCTTGAGACACTTCCAGCATCACTAGGGGCACTTTGTATGGATTCCATGGTGTGAGTCAAGGTTTACAGTATTGAACTAAACATAATGAAAGCTATGTGAGAACCATGAGAGATCACATGTACTGTGGTTCCAATGGTCTGCAGGGAGAAACTGCTCACCTGGAGATGACCTGCATCACTTGAGTTAAGCAGATACTCACGACAGTTGAGCTCCCCACAATAGCAACAGGAGGTGGCTATGAAGTTTTTACAGTAGTACAGTATATACCACAGTTCATTTGGTGCATTACGATTTAATACTGCATCTTATATTTGTTTACATTTCTCTTGACTGAATTGTGTCATCTACCGTCTGTAAGTGTGTGCATAAGTTTTTATAAATTTTAACATATTATAATGGACTCATTTTATGGTAATAAATGATAAAATGGACCAATATCGACGTATATTTTATACATTTATGACATACTTAACTTTCTTAATTTTTTCATTATTTTTAAGCTACATGGTTCACATCAAAGTTTTTTCAAATTGTTGGAAATGTAGAACACATTTTCTAATGTATTTATTTTAAAAACCCACATAGAAGTGGACTCATGTAGTTCAAATCTGTGTTGTTGAGGGGTTAACTGTTTATCAAATGATCCCTCCCACCAGCCCACACACTGAGGATACATGCCAAGTCTATCATATCTAAGTCTCATTCTCATTCCAGCTTGTTATATTTGAGCAAGCAGCCAGGTGGTCACAGGTGTTAGGACTGAGTAGAAAAATAATCTGGAGCATGGACCACAGAGGCTGTGCTTTTTATCTAGTGCCTAAAAGAGTCTACTGTCCATATCAGTGGCAATGTATTAAATTACATTACAAATTAGTAAACAAATGAAAAAAAAGTCAAACTGTTTAAGCCAAAACATTCAGCCTTTTGGAAAGATAACAAAAATTCAAACATGTTTCCTTAGGGTCCTACTGTGAGCTAGATTAGAATTTTGTAAATTAAAATTAGAATAATACAGGCACCTCAATTTGTTATGTTTTAACAATGAAAATAAAGAAACTGCTTATTAAATTGTTCTTTAGTGAATGTGAGTTTGTATTGTAACTCTATGACATATTTCCTACTCTATAGAGAGAAGATCATAAACCCATAAATGTCTGTCCTTGAAAGCAGAGAGAGAACATGTGCTTCATGATAGCACCAGGCCAGACTGCATCTGTGAAGAATATAGAAAAGTTTGCAAAGGTGTATCCCTTCATTGGGTATGTAAAACACCTCTACCTGTTAATGTCATTAACTGCAGTTTGGGTCACTCCAAAGCATATTATTTCTAGACAGACAACATACAGTGTCTTTAGAATGTAAACACTGGACAACACAGCAAGACCCTGTCTCTACAAAAAATTAAAAAGTTAGCTGGGTGTGGTAGCATGCACCTGTAGTCCTAGCTACTCAGGAGGCTGAGGCAAGAGGATCTTTTGAGCCCAAGAGTTTGAGGCTGCAATGAGCTATGATCACAACACTGCACTCTAGCCTGGGCAACAGAGTGAGACCCTGTCTGTATATTAAAAAAAGAATATAAAGACTGGATCTAGATAGAATTGGCTTTATGTATTACACATATCAGATAAAAAAACCTTCAAAAGGTACATTTTTATAAAATTATTTTTGTGCTAAACAGTATAAAATGTATCATCTTAACCATTTTTAAGTGTGAAGTTCAGTAGTGTCAGCTATTTTCATATTGTTGTGCAACAGATTTCTAAAAGCTTTTTCATCTTGCAAAACTGAAGCTCTATACCTATTAAACAGCAACTCCCCCTCTCCCCTTTCCCCAGTCCCTAGCAACAATTCTGCTTGTTTCTAAGAGTCTGGTTTCTTTAAAACCACATTTAAGTGGAATCATGTAGTATTTGTCTTTTTGTGACTGTCTTATTTCACTTAGCGTAATGTTCCCAAGATTTGACCTAGAACAAACTGCTGAATGTGCTTATTACAGTATCTGTATGCCTTTTGGTGGGAAAATGTTGAAAAAAAAAAAAAAACAAAAAAAAAAAAGACAGCTGGTAACACTGCAATGCCCAACGCCCAATTCCAAAGCTCCTTAAATATTCCTTGCAGAGTTAATGTTTTGGAGCAGTGCTTCTGGCAGGCCTCTTCTCACTTTTTGTTTTGTTAGGGGGCAGTTGATGGCATACCTAATATATTCAACATCCCCGATCCTCTATAGGGCAAGATTACCTTCTGTAATAATCAGTAATAATGATTCTCTTGATTTGTTCTTTAGTTTTATAACAACTACTAAAAGAGTATACATTTTAAAGATATTTCACATATGAAATAAAATTTGTGTTAACAACAAAAATATATCTCACAATTTGCCCTACTTTACTGTTTCCAACTTTATTATTTTTTTCCTTTTATTTTTTGAGATGGAGTCTTGCTCCGTCACCCAGGTTGGAGTGCGGTGGCATGATCTCGGCTAACTGCAACCTCTGCCTCTCAAGTTTAAGTGATTCTCTTACCTCAGTCTTCCAAAGTAGCTGGAATTACAGGCACATGTCACCATGCCCAGCTAGTTTTTGTATTTTTAGTAGAGATGGGTTTTTGCTGCGTTGGCCAGGCTGGTCTCAAACTCCTGACCTCAGGTGATCTGCCTGCCTCAGCCTCCCAAAGTGCTGGAATTACAGGCATGAGCCACCGCACCTGGCCTGTTTTCAACTTTAAATACAAATGAAAACGCTAAGAGGTCACAAAGACTGACATGATTGAAGTAACTCAGGTTTTGCTTCTTCATCTATAAGGCTGTGCCATCATTGCTGATGTCAAATCTACCATCTCAATGCAGGAATGTGTTTATCACTTGAGCCGGATTCAGGCACACACTGTGCCAGACAGCTGGAACAATTCTCAAGTATAAGCGGTAAACAGATGTACTAATTGACAGATTACATGTATATTCTTAAAACTCACCAGTAATCACTGCTATTGTATAGAGTGCAGACCAATAATTTTGTTTTTAGGTAGGAGTGTTTTATTATTGACTTTTTTTTTTTTTTTTTTTTTTTTTTTAGACAGAGTCTTGCTCTGTCGCCCAGGCTGGAGTGCAGTGGTGCATTGTTGGCTCAGTGCAACCTCCGCCTCCCTAGTTCAAGTGATTCTCTTGCCTCAGCCTCCCAAGTAGCTGGGATTACAGGCATGTGCCACCACATCTGGCTAATTTTTGTACTTTTAGTAGAGACAGGATTTCGCCATGTTGGCCAGGCTGGTTTCAAACTCCTGACCTCAGGTGGTCCGCCTGCCTTGGCCTCCCAAAGTGCTGGGATTACAGGTGTGAGCCAACGTGCCTGGCCTTACCATTGACATTTTTTATAATTGCCAGGGAGTAGTGACAATAAAAAGTAGGTCAACTTTCCATTGGTTTTGTTACTTTATAAATTTTTTTTCGATGTTCCCTCTTGCCTGCACCACGGGCAGGCTTACCTTGTTCTTGGCACTCCACCCTCTTGAATGTCTTACATTTTGCCACTTTAGTGGCAAAATGACTCCTCCCACCTCATCAGAGCTGCCACGGCCAGAACTCACTTTCACAGAGGGCCTTGAATTTAGAATGTGGACATGCCATTTATATGAGGCTATTTCTGTAGTCAGAGACAGACCAACAAGAATGAAGGAAGGAGATGTTCACCTTACAATGTTTAACTTATGCCGTTAGTGGACTGCTATGTGTAAATTAATATTGTTAAAAACTCTGAGATTATTTTTATAAATAGCACAAGTATAATAAATTGTACATTTGGGGTGTTTTAAATGGGTTAATTTAAAAAATTTAAATGTTAAAACAGATCGCAACTTTTATAACCATTTTGCCATTTCTACAAAATGACAAAGTAATAGATGCCATTGAGCCTGTTTGCACTGCTAAAGCAACCAACCCTCTGGGTTGCACAGAACTACAGGATTTCACGGGATGCAGGGCTGTCAGTGCTAAAACCCAGACAGTCCTGTCCAGGTAAACCAGGATGGTTGGTTACTGACGTAGGCCCTTCAGAGTACAGCACACCCTAATCTTAGAGGATGCCTGGTTTCTTACTGCTGAGTCTGGAGATTTTTTCTGGTAAAGAACAGAAGATAGATGTTTTCCCTTCATGCTGAAACAGGCACTCAAACTAGAAGAGTTCAGCTTAGAGGAACGGAGGCCTCCACAACCCTCTGCCCACATCTTTCTAAACCAATCTCTAACTCAAATAGACTACCGGACAACAACAACAACAAATGCAATTACATAATGTCCTTTATATAACTCAGAGTAGAGTGTTTTATAAACTAAAATCAAAATGGCCATAGAAAATTTGCAATTTTCTTTCTGACCTGAGAGAGACTTACCTTTCTCAAAATTACCTGGAGGCTGTTGCCACACCTCTGTGGCATAAATTCAGAAAGCCCTAGATTTGGGGTTCCAGGGCTGAAATGTAAGTATCCAGAGATCTAAGAAATATTTTTGAATATGGAACGAAATAAAAGGTTCAGAGAGTATTACAGCCCTGCTGAAACTGTACCCCAAGTGAATCGCATTACTAAAAAATCAATACACATTACCAACAGCCAAACTACTGTATTGTTGGAGGTTTAGTGCTGAAACAAATAATAGTAAAAGAGAATAGTGGTGTTTCTCATAGATTGCATGTTGTCCTTTAACCAATGGCATGGTCTGCAGAATCTATAAATAATGATTTATAGTAGAACTTAAGTCTTGAAATAAAGTCATTTGTGATCAAGTTTGATTAACATATTTGCCTGTTGCTACTTGAAAAACAAAACTAAACCAAATCAAAACAAAAAAGACTTCTAGACCTGAAAGAAAAGAATCAAAATGGTAAAATAAACAAAAAAGTTACGGCAGCTTCATTAATTAACCACTTAAGACTTGGCCATTCACAGCACCAGTGAGATTTCAACTGCAAGGTCAGTTAAAACAAAGGCAATTGGAGCTCATGAATGACTGAAAATAGATTACTTTTATCAAAGTGGAGAGTCAGATAAAAAGTCTCACCAAAAGGATGTGGGGAAGACAGTAATCATGTCTGCATTTGTGGAAAAGTAAACGGATACAAGCTTTTTGGAGGGCAATTTGACCCCATATACAGAATTTTAAATACGCATATACTCTGATTGAGTAAGGTCATTTCTGAGAACCCAGCACACTGAATATTTACACAAATTTGCAAAAATATATGAACAAGGAAAGCTTATTGCTGAATATCTGTAACATTTGTAATAGTTAAAAGTTGACAACCTAGATATTTAACAATAGAGTTAAAAACTTCATTGAGGTGTTTTGTATACACTGACATGGAAGTAAGTTGGGAATAAACTGGGGAGAAGAAAACAAGTTACAGGCATGTACAGTATTAAAATAAGTTAAAAAATAAAACAATCTGAATACATGTGTATATGTATGCTCATAAATAATACAGGAAATACTATATTCCCAGCAAATTGTCAAGGGTGGTTAGTACTTGGGAATGGGACTGGAAGTATTTCATTTGAATTTTTTTAGGGTGTGCTTATATTAGTTTCTGTTTTTTAAGGCAGAATTTTTTTTTTTTTTTTGAGACAGAGTTTCACTCTGTTGCTCAGGCTGGAGTGCAGTGGCACAATCTCGGCTCACTGCAATCTCCGTCTCCTTGGTTCAAGCAATTCTCCTGATTCAGCCTCCCAAGTAGCTGGGATTGCAGGTGTGTGCCAGGTCTGGCTAATTTTTGTATTTTTAGTAGAGATGGGGTTTCGCCATGTTGGCCAGGCTGGTCTCGAACTCCTGACCTCAAGTGATCCACCTGCCTTGGCCTCCCAAAGTGCTGGGATTACAGGCATGAGCCACCGTGTCTGGCCAGAATGTCTTTAAAAACACTTTTTTTTATTTTTATTTGTTTTTTTTTTTTTAGAATCAGGGAGCTGTTGTTAGGTCCTTACTCTGAATACCATGTACTTGCATTGTCTACATAAGAGACAAAAAGCAGTGGTGACTGCCACTGGTGACAAACCAGGCTCTCCACACCATCTCAGAAAACAAATGAACAAACAAACACCTTATCTATCCTACTATATTTTGAGGAAAAGGGTTCACTTAGGTAATATTAAAGTCACTTATCAAATAAAGCTAATATATTGTCTAAAGAACTAAAGTTATGTGTTTGGGCCTATTCATATTGCTCTATTTTAAATATGGAGGATAAAAAGAATAAAGAATGCTTTTCCTTCTTCCCTAAGTTATTTCTTACTCTCTTGGGTTTTCCCAAGCCTACATCTGTCTCTCTCTAGACACCATCCAAGTAAATTTTCAGATATTTTTAAAACAGGAAGCAGAAGCTGTCTGTGAATGGCTCTAAAATAAATGTTATTTCTGGAAGGTTCCAAATGGCCTGGGGGAGTGAAGTGGGACTAATAGAAACAAATTTGATAAAGTTGCATGGTACAAGATCAAAACACAAAATTTAGCCATATTTCTATATATAAGCAATGAACAATTTGAACAGAAAATTGAGAGAGGACAATTACATTTACAATAGCATCAAAAAATAAAATACCTAGGAATAAATTTTACCAAAAAGGTGAAAGACTTGTACACTAAAAACTATAAAACACTGCTGAAAGAAATTTAAAAAGACCTAAATAAATGAAAAGACAACTGTGTTCATGGATCATAACACACAGAGAGCCCTGAAGAGCTGAAACAATCTTGAAAAAGTTGCAGGACTCACACTTTTAGATTTCAAAACTTACTACACAGCTACAGTAATCAAAACTGTGATACTGCCATAAGAATAGACATATAGGCCAGTGGAATGAAATCAAGAGTTGAGAAATAAGCCCACACATCTATGGCCAATTGATTTTTGGCAAGAGTGCCAAGACTGTTCAATAGGGAAAGAACAGTGTTTCAACTAATGGTGCTGGGACAACTGGCTGTCCATATGCAAAAGAATTAAGTTGGATCCCTACCTCACACCATATTTTAAAAATCAACTTAAAATGGATCAACAATCTAAATATAAAGGCTAAAACTATAAAATCCTTAGAAGAAAACAGAGGTATATCTTCATGACTTTAGATCTGGCAATGGGTTCATAAATATGATATCAGAAGCATGAGCAACCAGAGGAAAAATATAGACAAATTGGACTTCATCAAAATTAAAAACTTTTGCGCATTAAAGACGTTATTTAGAAAGAGAAAAGACAACCCATAGAATGGGGGAAAATATCTGCAAACCATATCCCTGATAAGAGTCTACTGTCTAGAATATATAAAGAATTCTTGCAACTCAACAACAAAAAGAGAAAAAACCCAATTAAAAAATGGGGAAAAAACTTGAATACACATTTCTCCAAAGAGGATATATAAGTGGCCAAAATGCCCCTGAAAAACTGTGCAATATCATTAGTCATTTGGAAAATGCAAATCAAAATCTCAATGAAACTTCACACCCGGAAATGGAGACACAAAAAGCCCTTCAAAAAAATCAATGAATCCAGGAGCTGGTTTTTTGAAAAGATCAACAAAATTGATAGACCACTAGCAAGACTAATAAAGAAAAGAGAGAAGAATCAAATAGACGCAATAAAAAATGACAAAGGGGATATCACCACCAATCCCACAGAAATACAAACTACCATCAGAGAATACTATAAACACCTCTACGCAAATAAACTAGAAAATCTAGAAGAAATGGATAAATTCCTCGACACATACACTCTCCCAAGACTAAACCAGGAAGAAGCTGAATCTCTGAATAGACCAATAACAGGCTCTGAAATTGAGGCAATAATTAATAGCTTACCAACCAAAAAAAGTCCAGGACCAGATGGATTCACAGCCGAATTCCACCAGAGGTACAAGGAGGAGCTGGTACCATTCCTTCTGAAACTATTCCAATCAATAGAAAAAGAGGGAATCCTCCCTAACTCATTTTATGAGGCCAGCATCATCCTGATACCAAAGCCTGGCAGAGACACAACAAAAAAAAAAAAAAGAGAATTTTAGGCCAATATCCTTGATGAACATCGACGCAAAAATCCTCAATAAAATACTGGCAAACCAAATCCAGCAACACATCAAAAAGCTTATCCACCATGATCAAGTGGGCTTCATCCCTGGGATGCAAGGCTGGTTCGACATATGAAAATCAATAAACGTAATCCAGCATATAAACAGAACCAAAGATAAAAACCACATGATTATCTCAATAGATGCAGAAAAGGCCTTTGACAAAATTCAATAACCCTTCATGCTAAAAACTCTCAATAAATTAGGTATTGATGGGACGTATCTCAAAATAATAAGAGCTATCTATGACAAACCCACAGCCAATATCATACTGAATGGACAAAAACTGGAAGCATTCCCTTTGAAAACTGGCACAAGACAGGGATGCCCTCTCTCACCACTCCTATTCAACATAGTGTTGGAGGTTCTGGCCAGGGCAATCAGGCAGGAGAAGGAAATAAAGGGAATTCAATTAGGAAAAGAGGAAGTCAAATTGTCCCTGTTTGCAGATGACATGATTGTATATCTAGAAAACCCCAACATCTCAGCCCAAAATCTCCTTAAACAGATAAGCAACTTCAGCAAAGTCTCAGGATACAAAATCAATGTGCAAAAATCACAAACATTCTTATACACCAATAACAGACAAACAGAGAGCCAAATCATGAGTGAACTCCCATTCTCAATTGCTTCAAAGAGAATAAAATACCTAGGAATCCACCTTACAAGGGATGTGAAGGACCTCTTCAAGGAGAACTACAAACCACTGCTCAATGAAATAAAAGAGGACACAAACAAATGGAAGAACATTCCATGCTCATGGGTAGGAAGAATCAATATCATGAAAATGGCCATACTGCCCAAGGTAATTTACAGATTCAATGCCATCCCCATCAAGCTACCAATGACTTTCTTCACAGAATTGGAAAAAACTACTTTAAAATTCATATGGAACCAAAAAAGAGCCCGCATTGCCAAGTCAATCCTAAGCCAAAAGAACAAAGCAGGAGGCATCACGCTACTTGACTTCAAACTATACTACAAGGCTACAGTAACCAAAAGAGCATGCTACTGGTACCAAAACAGAGATATAGACCAATGGAACAAAACAGAGCCCTCAGAAATAATGCCACATATCTACAACTATCTGATCTTTGACAAACCTGACAAAAACAAGCAATGGGGAAAGGATTCCCTATTTAATAAATGGTGCTGGGAAAACTGGCTAGCCATATGTAGAAAGCTGAAACTGGATCCCTTCCTTACACCTTATACAAAAATTAATTCAAGATGGATTAAAGACTTAAATGTTAGACCTAAAACCATAAAAACCCTAGAAGAAAACCTAGGCAATACCATTCAGGACATAGGCATGGGCAAGGACTTCATGTCTAAAACACCAAAAGCAATGGCAACAAAAGCCAAAATTGACAAATGGGATCTAATTAAACTAAAGAGCTTCTGCACAGCAAAAGAAACCACCATCAGAGTGAACAGGCAACCTACAGAATGGGAGAAAATTTTTGCACCTACTCATCTGACAAAGGGCTAATATCCAGAATCTACAATGAACTCAAACAAATTTACAAGAAAAAAACAACCCCATCAAAAAGTGAGCAAGGGATATGAACAGACACTTCTCAAAAGAAGACATTTATGCAGCCAAAAGACACATGCTCATCATCACTGGCCATCAGAGAAATGCAAATCAAAACCACAATGAGATACCATCTCACACCAGTTAGAATGGCAATCATTAAAAAGTCAGGAAACAACAGGTGCTGGAGAGGATGTGGAGAAAAAGGAACACTTTTACACTGTTGGTGGGACTGTAAACTAGTTCAACCATTGTGGAAGTCAGTGTGGCAATTCCTCAGGGAACTAGAACTAGAAATACCATTTGACCCAGCCATCCCATTACTGGGTATATACCCAAAGGATTATAAATCATGCTGCTATAAAGACACATGCACACGTATGTTTATTGTGGCACTATTCACAATAGCAAAGACTTGGAACCAACCCAAATGTCCAACAACAATAGACTGGATTAAGAAAATGTGGCACATATACACCATGGAATACTATGCAGCCATAAAAAATGATGAGTTCATGTCCTTTGTAGGGACATGGATGAAGCTGGAAACCATCATTCTCAGCAAACTATTGCAAGGACAAAAAACCAAACACCATATGTTCTCACTCATAGGTGGGAATAGAACAATGAGAACACATGGACACAGGAAGGGGAACATCACACACCGGGGACTGTTGTGCGGTGGGGGGAGGGGGGAGGGATAGCATTAGGAGACATACCTAATGCTAAATGACAAGTTAATGGGTGCAGCACACCAACATGGCACATGTATACATATGTAACAAACCTGCACGTTGTGCACATGTACCAAAAAGTTAAATTAAAAAAAAAAGAAACTTCACACCCCTTACAGTAACTATAATTAAAACAAACAAACCAGAAAATAAGGAGTCTTGGTAAGGATGTGAAAAAAACCAAACCCTTGTATATTGCTAGTGGGAATGCAAAATGTCTAGCTGTTGTGGAAAAGTTTGGCGATTCCTCAAAAAGTAACATACAGAATTTCAGTTTGATCCAGTAGTTTCAAATAATAGTCCCAATAATTGAAAACAGATACTCAGACAAATACATTTACGTGCATGTCCACAGCAGCACTATTCACGACAGCTGAAAGGTTGGAAAAAACCCAAATGTCCATCAACAGATAAAAGGATAAACAAATTGTGGTACACACATATAATGGAATGTTATTTTACCATAAGAATTAAATGCTGATACATGCTACAATGTGAATGAACCTCAAAAATAATATGCTAAGTGAAAGAAGCCAGTCACAAAAGCCTACATATTGTATCAGTCCATTTATATAAAATATTAACAATAGGCAAATCCAAAGAGACAAAGCAGATTGTTGTTTTCCAGGGGATGCAATGAGAGGGAAATGAGAAATAACTGCTTACCAGGTATGGAGTTTTCTTTTGGGGAGATAAAATGTTTGTTTGTAAAAATGGAGTCTCACTGTGTTGCCCAGGCTGGTCTTGGACTCATGGGATCAAGTGATCCTCCTTCCTAGGCCTCTCAAAGTGCTGGGATTACAGGCATGAGCCACCATACCCCACCAATAAAGTGTTTTGAAACTAGATCGGAGGAGTAATTACACAACATTGTGAATGTACTAAATGCCACCAAATTGTGCACTTTAAAATGGCTAATTTTATGTATGTGACGTTCACCTCAGTTAAAAAAAATAAGCATCAATGAGATGCTGACTTCTACTCTTCTTCAATCAACTACTCAGAGTAAGAGTAAGGAGTAAGGGGAAAAAAGCCCTAAAAATCGGGTCTGCCTTTGTGTGGTCACTACTAAACCTTCTCTAGGCTGCACTGACCACCTCAGAGACCACTAGCAGTATTTGCCAATTTCAACATCAAAAATTAAGCATTTATTCTCTGTGATGGTAAATATAGTTCACTGACATTGAAATAAAATGAAAGTGGTGGGCTGGGTGTGGTGGCTCATGCCTGTAATCCCAGCACTTTTGGAGGCCAAGGCCGGTGGGTCACTTGAGACCAGGAGTTCAAGACCAGCCTGGCCAACATGGCAAAACCCCATCTCTACTAAAAATACAAAAATTAGCTGGGCGTGGTGGTACATGCCTGTAATCCCAGCTACTCGGGAGGCTGAGGCAGGAGAATCACTTGAATCTGGGAGGTGGAGGTTGCATTAAGCCAAGATTGTGCCATTGCACACCAGCGTGGGCAACAGAGCAAGACTCTGTTTCAAAAAAAAAAAAAAAAAAAAGATGTGGAAAGTTCTTCATCTTCGTTCAAACTCTACTTACTAGAGCCACCTGCTGCATTTGTCCCCCTACAGTACAGGGCTTCTCAGCCCTAGTTGTGTATTAGAGTTAATTATCTAAAATCTTTTGTACTCTATTTTTTTAAAAATCCCAATGTCCAGACTCCACCTGAAAAATTCTGATTCAATTGGTTGGGGATAGAGCTTTTTTTTAAATTAAACTTTTGAAATAATTGTAGATTCATATGTATTTGTGTAGAAAATAATACAGTGATTCAACATACCCTTTTACCCAGTTTTCTCCACAATGGTAGCATCTTGCAAAACAAGATATGTACAAGATGTGTATAATTTCACCACCAGGATCAGGATTTTTTTTTTTTTTTTGAGACAGGGTCTTGCTTTGTCACCCAGGTTGGAGTGCAGTGGCATGATTAAGGCTCACTGCAGCCTCAACCTCCTGGGCTCAAGCCTTTCTCTCACCTCAGCCTCCCAAGTAATTGGGACAACAGGTGTGGGCAACCATGCCTGGCTAATTTTTGTATTTTTTCGGGGAGGTGAGTTTTCATCATGTTGCCAAGGCTGGTCTTGAACTCCTAGGCTCAAGGGATCCGCCTGCCTCAGCTTCCCAAAGTGCTGGGATTACAGGCATGAGCCACCATACCTGGCTCTCCACCAGGATATTGAGATTGCTATAATAAAGGCACAAAACATTTCCATCACCAAAGGATCCCTTGTGTAGCCCATTTTTAACCACACCTCCTTACCTCCCACTTCTCTTTCCTCTCCCATCTCCTACCCTCACAACAACTAACCTTACTTTATTTCTATAATTGTCATTTTAAGAATGTTATATAAATAGAATCATACAATATGTAATCTTTGGGGATTGACTTTTTTCACTCAGCGTCATTCACTGAAGGTTCATCTAAGTCATTGCATGTATCGTTGCATGTATCAAAAGTTCATTTCTTTCATTGCTGAATAGTAGTCCATGGTGTGGGTGCATCACAGTGTGTATAACCATTTGCCCACTGAAGGACAGCTCGGTTGCTTCCAGATTTTTTTTTGGTTATGATGAATAAAGCTGCTATGATTACTCATGTATAGGTTTTTGTGTGGGCATAAGTTTTCATTTTCTTGGAGAAGTGCCCAAGAGTGCAATTGTTGAGTTGTATGGTTTTTGCATATTTAGTTTCATAAGAAAATGCCAAACTGCCTTGCAGAGGTGGCTGCTGGAATAAATCCACCAGCAATTTATAAGTGATCCAGTTTCTCTGCATCCTCAACAGCATTTGGTGTTGTCACTATTTTCATTTTAGTCATCCTGATATGTGTGTAGTGATAACTCATGTAGTTTTAATTCACATTTCCCTGGTGGCTAACGATGCTGAACACCTTTTCATGTGCATTATTTGCATCTGTGTATTCTCTTCAGTGAATGTCTGTCTTTTGCCCATTTTCTAACTGATACTTCTCACTGTTGAGTTTTGAGAATTCTCTATATTCTAGACACTAGTCCTTTGTCAGATTTGTGGTTTGCAGATTTTAAAAGAAATTTGTAATTTGTCTTTCATCCTAACAGGGTCTTTCTCAGAGCAAACATTTTAAATTGTGATGCAGTCCAATTTATCAGTTTTATGAATTATGCTTTTGTTGTCAAGTCTAAAAACTTTTTGCCTAATCATAGATCCTGAAGATTTCAAAACCCAGGTGTTAATTTGATCAGGTCTGCCTACCCTGCTTGGTTTTTTTGGTCGCTTGCTTCTTGTTATTTTTTTTCCTTCCTTTTTCCATGAAGCTGAAGGCCTCAGTAGCTGAAGCCCTTGCTGCTGCACACTGAAATTTATCCTTCCTTGGCTCCTTTATCGGTAACTCATGGGTCACCATGGTAATGGTCACTTCAGTTGTTTTTCAGGAACTTGGGCCAGCTCCTGTCCAGTTTGAACTGGTTGAGGCCACTGCCCCTTCAACTGGGCTTGTGCAGGTGCTGGAGAGGTGGCCTTTTGATGTTAGAGGGCCAAAGCTTCTCCCTCGGATCATGCTAATGCTGGCATTTTCTGTGCATATGTTCCATGAAATGACACTTGTGCAGAACCTGCCACTTCATTTTTCCCCCACTGTCAATCACCTTTCCCCACACCTTAGACCACCCCACTTCCCTAACCCATAAATATCCCTAAGCCTCATCTTTGGGGAGGCAGATTTGAGAGCTGGTCTCCCACCTCCTCACCTGGCAGCTTTGTAAATAAATATTTTGTCTTTTGCAAATCCAGGTGACTGTGACTGACTTACTGTGCATGGGCAGAACAGACCTGGACCTGGCTGATAACAATTTTCTCCTATTTTTCTCTTAAAGTTTTATGGATTTATACCTGTGATCCATTTTGAGTTAATTTTTATATAAAGTGTGAAATTTAGGTTGATGTTCATGTTTTTACCTGTGCACATCCAATTGCTCCAGTACCATTTATTGAAAAGGCAATCCTTCCTTTATTTAATTGCATTTGCATTTTGTGAAAAATCACTTGGACATATTTGTGTAGTCTATTTCTGGATTTTTCTATTCTGTTCCATTGATACATGTGTCTACTCCTCTGCCAATACCACACAGTCTTGATTATTGGTTATGTTTAAAAAGTTTCTGAACTAATTCTCAGTGTGGCCTGAGAACCATTTCTGAAGCTAGAAGAAAGTCTCCAAGAGACTGACTAGTCCAATTATCCCCTGTAATCCACAAAGGTATAGTCAAAGTGTGCTGTACTGAGAGTCAAAAGACCTGGGTCTTGTAGTCTCAGCTCATCAGGATGTGGCTGAGTGACCTGGCTAGGTCTTTTAGTCTGAGTCCCAGTTTTCTCACCTGTGGAACTGGGATGCTCATACAGCACTTGTTTAGCCTACCCTCCCAGTATGCTTGTGAGTGTAAAAGGAAATATATTTGATCTATATGTAAGGTTTAGACTTAAGCATAATTCAAATACAAAGGGTTCTTATTTTAGGGATAAGCACAATGAGATTCAGAGATTAAGGTTCTCCTTACCCAAAGTCATCTTCTATTTGACTTCGTGGCACCCATCAGAAAATTTCACATATTATTCAGCACATACGTAGTGTCCAAACTCTGCCAGGCACTGTGAAAAGTCCCTGGGGTACAAACACAAAAAGACATGGTCTCTGCCTTAAGAATCTTTCTATTTAGTGAGGACATAATTTTACAAAAGCTAAGTGAATACAAATTAAATTTGTATTGAGTATTCCTTTAGAATTCCAGGACCCTCCTAGTTGGATGAGTCCACAGGACAATAAATCATTGTCCTAGCATCTCTGTAAGTCCCCAGCTATACTTTCAGACTTTCACAGGGATGCACACTGACTTTGGTAGAGTCAACAGGAAAGAGGGTTTTCCTGGACAGAGCTAAAAATCCTGTGAGGTTCACACACTTGTAACCCCTTCCCAGCGATCACCATCTACACTCCAGGATTCCTCTGCCATCCATTTATTAATCAAAAACATCCCACAGAGCCTATTCAGGGCCCAGATGTCAGGCTTAGTATCTGGGTGATAAAATAATGTATACAACAAACTCCCATGACACGAGTTTACCTATGTAACAAACCTGCACATGTGCCCCCGAATATAAAATAAAAGTTAAAAAAATACAATTTTTAAAAAATTTAAAAAGTGTATATTGCCTACATCAGGTGGGGCAGATCGTGCAGACAGTGGGCATTCCCAAGGGTCAGCCTGCTTCTTCTGTGTGCTCCCAGGTCTCATTTCATGAATTGATTTCAGCCAAGGACTATCTATAATGTAACTGCATGTGGACTAGCTTTGTCAGAGAAAAGACTGGATGTAACATTCTTCTACGTAGCCGGCACTGAAGAAAATCTTCTTTGGAAAACAAAGGCTATTACTATTAAATCACTTAAACATTATTACATGCTATTTGGTACGTTCCAAGTGCATGAGAGTAAAGCAAAACACACAATAGCAAAACATGATCTACTGCAGCAAAATCAAAATTCAGTTTCTAGAGTCACAGCTGGAGAGATGCTCTGATGTAACCACAAGTGCCATCCCAGCCACTGGTGAGGCTCTACTGCCCCCGGGTGGCTGAAGTCCTTCTCTGACAAAGCTGCCGGTGCTCTCATGCTGATAATGTTACAGTGATTTTTACAAGGGCAGAGTGGATGTATGAATAGTTGGATGGATGGATAAATGCATGGAGGGATTGGGGTATTCATTCATTTAATAGTATTTAATTTCAACTATTTTTCCACACATGGGGCCAAGAGCTGTTAAGACATGATGTTTGAGATCTGAGATGTAAAAAACTGCATTGGTGTTAATTAAGCTAGAGCTGTGGTCCTAGCTGCTCAGTGCATTGGTCCCAGGAGAATGGGGCGGGGCGGGACGGGGCGGGGAGGGGGGTGGGGTGGGCGGGGTAAGAAAGGATTAAGGAAGTGACCTAAGATAAGAGGGGAGGGACTTCCCAAATATACTTCTTCTAGGGAGACAAATATAGCTCTGGCTAACCCATAGCCTATTAACTCATCACTTGGGTTAACAGGAGAAAGAATAAAAAACAGTAAGTGTGGGGTTAGATGTATACTAGAAGGAATACAGGGAAAATCCAAGGTGGGAACAGGGAGAGTAGGCAGAACACTTTGCTACACTGAAAAACAAAGTCAAACAGGTTAAAACAAGATATGGCACTTGACGTGACTGGTCTTCAAAGATGATGCCACTCAGTATTAGTTACTATACTATTGATGGATATGCAAACTGGTACATTTATTTTGACATAGTGGTTTCACAATCAGGAATTTATTGTCTAGAATTACTTGCATGATATACAGAGAGAAGAACAGATGAGACCACCTGTTATTCGTTTCACCTGGACTTAAATAATAGAGTTAAGACACTTCGAGATGAGGAGTTTCTTCTGGAGATTGAAGATTGTGCTGGAAGTTGTCACTGTAGCTGGGTTAGTATTGTTAGCTCTTTTTAAGGGTCTGTAAAAATTCTACAAGATTCCCAGCGATCTTTTTAAGATTCTATAAAAATTCCCAGTCTTTTGATTTCAATTGAACTCAAATATGCATTTATTGAGCACCTGATGAATGCACACTACTTTGGCTGGGTTTTAGGAGGTTGTGATGCAGGGATAACTCAGATCAGATTCCTTCCCTCAAAGACCTTGGTCTAGAGAAGCCTGGCTTGTAAAAACATAAAATACAGAATTTATGGTGAAATAATGGCTACAATACAGCATTATGAAAATATGGGATAGGGAAGATATGATACATTCTAACTGGAGGGATGATGGAGGGGAGATTCCCAGCAGATGTGGCATTTGAGCCTTGAAACAGAATTTTGACAGCTCTAGGGGAAGAGGGTGGGGGAAAGTGGGGAAGGATTCTTTTCCTTTAGGTTGGAAGAGCATGTGTTGCTATTTATTAAGTCTTTATTGAGCACCAGCAAGGTGTTGTGTAAAATAGACAGCATAAAAACAACTATAAAGGGGAGATAAAATACATCCCTGAAAAAAAGTCATAACAGTAAATGATACTGTTTGATTACCTATCAAAACAGTCTACAGAATCCAGAGGTGAAGCAGAAATGCAGGCTACTTTTCTCTGGGTAGTGAATTAGCCACTTCAAAAATATTTCAGTGAAGTCAGTAAAGGAAAACATGAGGCATAATAAGACATTTCTACCACTAGCCCTCCTTTCTTCACTAGATTTTGTAAAAAGTTACTGTTTCTATTTTTAATTACATGAGTAATCTTGCTTCAAAAAATTCAAGGGATAAGAAAAAGTAAAAAGCAAAATTCTCCCTTCAAAATCCCCTGTTCTCCTCCAATCTCATTTCTCTTTCTGGAAGTAAGCACTATTATCAGCTTACTGTGTTTCCTTCCAGAATGATTTCAGATGAATTCATGGAAATATGTAACTGGTGTAATTTTGCATAAGTGGATATATGTGTTTTTCTGAACTTTTTTACTCAACACCATATTTTAGAGAATTTTATATGTTAGCACATAGACCATGGAGTACAGAGCTACAACATTTTTTTTTTTAAACTGGAATTCCACAATTAGGATATACCTTGGCTATTTCACCGTTTCCTTTTTAATGGTTAACAAGATGAAAACTGCTAAAGTCTTATTGGGGTTTTTATAACCAAACAAGGGAAAAACGACTCCAACTCTGGGCCTAAAAGACATCCTACTTGAACCTCTCACTTGCAGTTCCTCATTCAATCCCCAAACTGCAGTGTGTTTCACAAATCCAGTCTCCTAAGTGAAGGGAAAGCAGGAAACCCTTGACGAATTCAGTAGTAATACAATGAGATAAGTATGTGCTGTGATTCTTAACTCCTAGCCTTCTCCAAAGGGACCAGTGATCATCTAGGGATAAATATGCACTGAAAAAAAAGGAAAATCGCAGTATGCCACAGTAGTTCACTGGTTAGAGTGGGGTTTACAGGGGTGAAGTAATTAAAGGAATTTTAACCCAAGTCCACCTTACAGTAAGTTCGATGGAACCCTAAACCCTTCCAGTGTTTTTTCCCCAATTCCTGAGTGTACATTTAAAGGACATAAGGCAGAATCTTCACATTGGTTTCCTAACCTTTAGAACAAGGGTGAGCAAGATAGAAAAGACTATGAAGAATCCACAGAGCTTTATTACACTCTCCAACCCCCAATCAAAATAGTAATGCACAAGTTATAACAATCCCTTGTTGACTAGCTATAGTGTCACCCTAAAATATCTGAATCAATTATCTTAATTTATACCTGCCTTCCAGCTTGACTGGTAATGAAAACAGATGGACCTGGAAGAATGACTGACAATTATTAACTCAATTAAGTAGTGTACCCAACTGCAGGTGCCTTTCCAAGCATGGTCTCTTTCAAGGAACAAATCAACAGAGACCCTTGTATGTAGCTATTGCTTACGCAAATGCTTTCTCCTCCTCCATTTAACAAGCACTTACTGTCTTACAGTTTCTGTGAGTCAGGAATCTAAGCGTGGCTTAGCTGGGTGCCTCCATCTCTGGGTTTCTCAGGCAGCTACAATCAAGATGTCAGCCGGGCTGTGGTCAACTCCAGGCTCACCTGGGGAGAATCTATTACCAAGTTCACTCACCTGATTGTTGTCAGGCCTCAGGTCCTTACTGGCTGTTGGCTGGAGACATTGGTTCCTCAACATGTGTCCGGAATTGGTGGGTTCTTGGTCTAACTTAAAGAATGAAGCCGTGGATCCTCGTGGTGAGTGTCACAGTTCTTAAAGGCAGCATGTCCGGAATTTGTTCCTTCTGATGTTCGGATGTGTTTGGAGTTTCTTCCTTCTGGTGGATTCGTGGTCTAGCTGGACCAGGAGTGAAGCTGTAGACCCTCATGGTGAGTGTTACAGCTCTTATGGTGGCCCATCTGAGTTGTTCATTCATCCCGGTGGGTTCGTGGTCTCACTGGCTTCAGGAGTGAAGCGGCAGACCTTCGCAGCGAGTGTTACAGCTTATAAAGGCAGTGTGGGCCCAGAGTAAACAGCAGCAAGAGTTATTGCAAAAAGCGAAAGAACAAACCTTCCACACGACAGAAAGAGACTCCATAGGGTTACTACTGCTGGCTCGGGCAGCCTGCTTTTATTCCCTTATCTGGCCCCACCCACATCCTGCTGATTGGTTCACTTTACAGAGAGCTGATTGGTCCGTTTTGACAGGGTGCTGATTGGTGCATTTACAATCCCTGAGCTAGACACAAAAGTTCTCCAAGTCCCCACTAGATTAGCTAGACACGGGGTGCTGATTGGTGCATTTACAAACCTTGAGCTAGACACAGAGTGCCCATTGGTGCATTCACAATCCCTTAGCTAGACATAAAGGTTCTCCAAGTCCCCACCAGACTCAGGAGCCCAGCTGGCTTCACCCAGTGGATCCCACACCCAGGCGCAGGTGGAGCTGCCTGCCAGTCCCCGGCCCTGCGCCCGCACTCCTCAGCCCTTGGGCGGTCGATGGGACTGGGCGCCGTGGAGCAGGGAGCGGCGCTCCTCAGGGAGGCTCAGGCATGGCAGGCTGCAGGTCCCGAGCCCTGCCCTGCGGGGAGGCAGCTAAGGCCTGGCGAGAAATCGAGCACAGCAGCTCCTGGCCCAGGTGCTAAGCTCCCCCCAACTGCCCGTGGCCAGCGGGGACGGCCGGCCGCGCTGAGTGCCGGGCCCACCGAGCCCGCCGAGCCCACGCCCACCCGGAACTCGGGCTGGCCCGCAAGCGCCGTGCGCAGTCTCAGTTTCCGCCGGCGCCTCTAGTCTTGCTTCCCTCCAGTCCATTCTTCATGCTACAGGAAGAGTGAGTTTTCTGGAATACAAATCTAATCACAACCGTTCCCAGCTCAAAACCTAGCAGTACTCTAGTACTGGTGCCTCAGACTAAAATCCAAGCCCCTTGCTTCCTGAGGCAGAGATGAGTGTACGTGAATTTTTAAAAATAACCATACAGAAAAACAGATTCTTTGGGATGTGCAGTTCTGCGAATTTTTATTTTTATTTATTTTTTTGAGGTGGAGTCTTGCTCTGTCGCCCAGGCTGGAGTGCAGTGGCACGATCTCGGCTCACTGCAACCTCTGCTTCCCGGGTTCAAGTGATTCTCCTGCCTCAGTCTCCCAAGTAGCTGGGACTACAGGCGTGTGCCACCACCCACGCCTGGCTAATTTTGTATTTTTAGTAGCCACGAAGTTTCACTATGTTGGTCAGGCTGGTCTCGAACTCCTGACCTCAGGTGGTCCGCCCACCTCGGCCTCCCAAAGTGCTGGGATTACAGGAGTGAGCCACCGTGCCCGGCCTTCTGTGAATTTTAACACATGTATAGATTCTTGTGGCCACTGCCATCTATTAGTCCCCAAAACAACCTCATGCTATCCTTTCATAGTCGTACTCTCCCTCATCCCTACCCCTATCTTTTTAAGAAGGTCAAAGAAATGGAATGTGATCTTTTGAAAAACAAAAACACCCAAGCCCCTTAGGGCGTTTTTAATGCCCTTGCCTACCTCTCCTCCCTGTCCTCCAACAACTGCCCTCCCAAGCCCCACAATGCAACTCGCCGGAACTATGCTCAGTTCTTGGGGTGCTCCAAGCTGTCCTCCACTTAGCCAAGCTCCCCACCCGCTTCCGGGGGTGGGTTTCCACTGTGCACAACAGTACCTAGCGCTTCCCCCACTACAGCCCCCTTTCACGCTGTGGTAATTGCCAGGTTATCTGCCTCTCCCATTACAGTTCCTTCCTCACAGGGACCGCGTTTAAACCACGGCGGTATCCCTACCGCGCAGGATGGGCCGAGCCCCGCACGCCCCGAGGCAGCACCCCGCACGCAGTAGCCGGGCGTCGAGGCGTTCCCAGCCCACACCAGGCGCGGACCTACGAAGGCGGAGCGAGCATGCGCACTAGGAAGGGGCGGGGCGGGGCGCGCGCGATCCCCCGCCCCCTGCACGCGGTCCCAGGAGGGGCGGGCCTTGGCCGCTCGCTCTCCCCTCCCCCATGCCGCTGCGCTTGCGCGCTGGGGACAACCGTTGCTGGGTGTCCCAGGGCCTGAGGCAGGACGGTACTCCGCTGACACCTTCCCTTTCGGCCTTGAGGTTCCCAGCCTGGTGGCCCCAGGACGTTCCGGTCGCATGGCAGAGTGCTACGGACGACGCCTATGAAGCCCTTAGTCCTTCTAGTTGCGCTTTTGCTATGGCCTTCGTCTGTGCCGGCTTATCCGAGTGAGTGACGGGCCTGAGGAGGCAGCGGACCGGGGACACCCTGGGGGAACTTCCCGAGCTCCGCGACCTCGAAGCCTGGCCCTTCCTTCTCCCTGGTCCTACATGCCTCCCTCCCCCACTGTCCGGGGTCCTGGCCTCGACGCCGAGGGGTGTCCCTCTCCTCTCCTGGTCAGGGAACGCAGCAACTGAGGCGGCGCGGCCCAGATGAGACGGGAAGCGCCTGCGGGCCGTGGGCGCGGGTGGAACCCCCTCACCTCACCGGAGGCCTTCCTCTGCCCACCCGATCCTTCCCCAGCCATTGGGCGTGTGACCGTGCAGGGGTCGTGTGACAGCTGCTGGCCAGCTAGGAATGATTTTTACATTTTCTTCCTTTTTTTTTAATTATTATACTTTAAGTTCTAGGGTACATGTGCACAGCGTGCAGGTTTGTTACATATGTATCCATGTGCCATATTGGTGTGCTGCACCCATAACTTGTCATTTACATTAGGTATATCTCCTAATGCTATCCCTCCCCCCTCCCCCCACCCCACGGCAGGCCCTGGTGTGTGATGTTCTATTTTTGCATTTTCAAAGTAAATATGAAATGTACTCTTTCATGACTTGTGGAAAAGCATGACGCTCACATTTCATTGTTCGTGAATAAAGTTTTACTGGCACACCACCACGCTCATTCCTTTACGTATTGCCCATGGCTGCTTTCCCACGTTAGAACAACGGGGTTAAGTGGTTGCCACACAGTCTGGTCTGCAAAGACTGAAGTATTTACTCTCTGGCCCTGTACAGAAAAAAAGGTTGACCCGTACGGTAAAATTTGGAGAGCATGTGGATTGTGGGTCGCGGTCTGGGACACTCACCTGAGGATGCGCTCCCAGAGAGCATGCTTGCGCACACGGCATTCAAAGCCTTAGTTAAGCAGGATTATAACTTAAGACCTGCCAAGGAGCAATTTTTGTCCCTCCCCGAAAGCTGAAAACCAATAAGGTCAAATTCAGGGGTGCTAAGACTTTACTATATTAACAATATCATGTGGGCACCTTAAGGCACTTAGTATTTAAGTCAGGTAGGTGAGGCTTCCCCATTTAGTCTAACTGTAGTTCATTGTGGCATTTAGTAATGTTGGAGTTTGGTTTCACTTAAATCAATAAATACAATTTAACAGGTGTAAAAAAAGCGCTATCGTGCATGCTGATTATGCAAATCTATTTTTCAGAATTGCTAAACGATCTTAGTTAAAAATCAAATTTAAAAACTGAAAATACAACACAATCTAAATTATGAATAGTAATGGGAAAAGTTCTAGATGAAGTTCTAGGTAACTAAAGTTAGCTCTTTAAATACTAGCATTTATGATTTGTAGCTGTTTTTAATAAAAAGTTTTGTAAAATTTTTCTTCCTTGACATAGAGGACCAGAACATAATGAAGATGCTACTATCTTTTCTTGATGTCTGATGATCATTATTACTAACACCAGTTATTGCATTTTGGTAGTTGTAGATCAGCAAGTCACAAGTGACTAACATATATGGAGACTTTAACTGAAGTGACTTTAACACTGTCACACAGTACACTCTGGGACTGCTAGGTAGGAGTCCCTGGACACCCACTTAACTCAGTGCAGTCTCTTGCCTAACACCATAATTTTCCCCTCCCCCTCCCCTTCCCTTTTCCCCCCCTTTTTTTTTTGCCTGAGACAGGGTCTCACTCTCTAGCTCAGACTAGAGTGCAGTGGCCCGATCTCGGCTCACCGCAACCTCTGCCTCCCAGGCTCGAGGGATTCTCCCACCTCAGCCTCCTGAGTAGCTGGGATTATAGGCGCACGCCACTACCGCCTGGCTAATTTTTGTATTTCTAGTAGAGACGGGGTTTCACCATGTTGGCCAGGCTGGTCTCGAGCTCCTGACCTCAAATGATCCATCCGCCTCGGCCTTGCAAAGTGCTGGGATTACAGGCTTGAGCCACTGTGCCCAGCCAGCCTGTTGTCTTTCTTAGCACCCTATTCCCTAATCTTTCTTGGGAAGAAAGAAAAGGGTTGTAGGAAATGAAAAGACGCTTCCCAGAAAAAAGGAGTGATTTTGTGTTGAATATATAGATGTTATAAGACATAAGGAAACTATATACAGGTTGTAATCATAGAAGATGTCTTGGAATATGTAATTACCTTTCTTCTACAGAAGTGGATTAAGGAATATATAGAGCAGGCAGTGGTACATGGCTGCTTTCTCTGTATCTGTCTCTCTACTTTTTCTCTAATTTTAATTTTGTTTTTAAAATAAGTATACCAAAATGCGTATATCATTGAGCTTGATGTAAATCAGCTATGCATTCTTTTATATGGCCACTATTCAAACAATTGTTGGCGAGATGCAAAAGATAAGGTACATAGGTTTTTATAATGAAAAGTGCAGCTTTGACACATTTTTTCTAGACTACTAGACAGTTTTGAGGTTATTACGCAAACATCACGGGTGTATTAAGTAATTGCATTTATTGAAAACCTCAGTACTTCTTGTATCTGCCTATACCTTTCTAACAGGCCCAATCCAAGCTTAGCTAGTATTTGTTTAATCTAAATTCAGTTAGACATAAATGCAGCTTGGGTATACAGAAGTCGGCACTCCTTTACATACACACACACACATCCTGATGGTGCTGGAGAAACAACGTTTTACTATATAAAATTTTTATACATTCAGTTTCCTCTACCTGATTTTTCCATAGTTTTAAATACTTTGCCATTTTTAAATTTTTGAATGGGAAAGTATTTAATGTATTCCCTCTTTAATGTATTTGCACTGTGCAACTTACTTTACTTTTTAATGAGAATTCTTTTTGCTTTAAAAAAAAAAAAATGCACAGGCCGGGCACGGTGTCTTACACCTGTAATCCCAGCACTTTGGGAGGCTGAGGCGGGCAGATCACCTGAGCCCAGAAATTCAAGACCAGGCTGGGCAACATGGCGAAACCCCGTCTTTACAAAAAATACAAAAATTAGCCAGATGTGGTGGGGCAGGCCTGTAGTCCCAGCTATTCGGGAGGCTGAGGTGGGAGGATCACCTGAGCCCAGGAGGTAGAGGTTGCAGTGAGCTGAGATGGCGCCACTGCATTCCAGCCTGGCTGACAGAGTGAGACCTTGTCTCAAAAAAAAAAAAAAGCACAGTAACTTCTAAAGTAATATTAACATAATAGTTACATATTTAAATAATATCAACTACTATTAAAATTATATAATTGGCCTTTTTAAATTTTAAGTCATCAAATATTCATGGGCTGGCAGTGCAAACTAATTAAAATTAAAGTGTGTTAATATTAATTTAATATTAATATATGTTAATTTTTAAATGATTCAAACTTTGCATAATAAGTATAAATAAAATTAAAATATTAATTTTGGGGTATCTCCCAAATAAATTATTTCCTCTAGATCATCTCTTGGTATAGACTAGGAAAAATAGGGTTAGTCTAGGATTACAAAAGCTCTTATTTCTAGATTGGTATTATAAGAAGGCTCAATGTATCAGTCTTTGGCTTCTGTCATTGTGTTTAGGAAGGATTTTGTCCTAATGAACCACAGAAGGTAAGGGAAACAATAAGGCAGCAACCAGCAACAATTGTTTGAATCTATCACCAAATAAATTAAGAGGAAAAGAATATTCTTTTATTTCAAATACATTCTAAAGGTAAAGTTCACTGAGTTCTGGTGCTGCAAGTTCACTTAGCTAGTGCCCAAGGCTACAGCATTTAAAAGGTCTCTCAAACCTGTGAATAAACTGTCATGACACACTTTGTTAATGTTTGAGATAATGAGGAGCATGTCATCCAATAGGCAAGTGTCAAGAGAGTATTCTGTGGGGGAGTAGCAGGAAGTTTCATTAGCCTGTCCATTGATGTTTTATGGGGGAAAAAAGTCCTGTCTTTCTGTTCTGTTGATCATATTATCCCTTAAATGGATATACTTTAATCTCTTGATAATATATGTGAAATTAAACTTAAGCAACATTTTTTATCTCCAAATAAAATACTAGTTATTTGAAAAGAAAATATTTTCTTTTTTTTTTAGTATCACTATATATTTGAAGCATTTTAAAAACACACAATTTATTTAACCTAAGTATAGTTTTTTCCGAGCCTCAAATATTCATACCTTGACCATTTGGAGCCATTGTAAGCTGTCTTCTCTTGTTCTTTTGATAGGATCCCATATATTTTTAAAGACTTCTTGTTTTCTGATGTTAACTGATTGTTCCAAGCCCACTTTGTGTCTTTCCCACTCTATCTTTCTCACTCTGAATGGAATTAACTGTCTTTCCAAGGGGATGGAGAACATGGTATGAGAGACCAAAGTGCCTGCGATACATACTAGACTACTGCAGTGGGGAAATATTGTTATTTTTGTCATTTTAGTGAACAGAACTAGAAGAGAAAGATTTAAAATAATGAGTTTATTTTGGTTTCAATTATAACATTACTCATAGGATGCATCTTGATTTTTAACTCTTTATCCGCACTAGAATTGTAACATAATTTAATAAGGCTATTTTGGTTGTGTATTGTGGCAAAAATGACTGCTCCCCAAATTTATCATTTTTCATGATTCTATGGGTTCACTAGACTCAGCTGGGCAGCTCTGCTTCATATGGTATAGCTGAGGTCACTCATGCAGCTGCATTCAGCTGGAAGTTCAAATGGATAGGAACATCCCAGATGGCCTCTCATCCTCCAGGGTCTTTACATGACTTCTCATCTTTCAGTACTCTAGCCCAAGTTTCTTTACACCATGGCAGCTTGCTTCCAAGAAGGAGATTTATAAGCCCCAACATGGATGCTCTTACGAAGCCTACACTGTATCAGACTTGCTAATGTCCTATAGGCCAAGACAAGTCACATGGGGCAAGCCCATATCCAATGTCAGAAGACACTACCCAAGAACATGAATAGCAGGAAGTGTAAAGCCATAAAGTTACATTTCTTTAACTGGAACACTTGATTAATATGAACATAATTACTTGTTTATTTACCTGTCAGCAAAAATTAAGATTTGTGTAATAATAAATTATAAGAAAATTGCTGGATGAATAAGAAGATTTAATATTTCCTTTTATGACCATTCCTTGAGTACACCTCAGTAATTAAGCACAATTATTACTACTTTGAGTTGGAAATACAGTACTCCAGCTCAGTTCGTTTTAAAATTTTAACCTTCATAAAAGTTCATTTTAATTTGAAGGTGTTGGATATTTTAACTGGTAGTTCTTGCATTATTACAGCTTTCAGTTATTAATTCTTACTTTAGTACTTAACTGCTGTAGAATAAGGGAAGTTTATTCTTTATGAGTCCACTTCATGGTATGTATAGAAAATACAAGCAATTTGTTCTCCAAAGTTATGGACATTCAGCCAGAGTGTGTGGACCATCTATAAGTGATGGATGCTTGGGTATATGTTTAAGTTTTATATACATGAGTTCTTTATGGATAAAGCCATTTTGTTTTCACTATCATTGTAATAAAAATCCTAGTTATATTCAAATCTTTAACAAAATGAGCATCCATAATTGGTGATTAAATTTTGGGTGCAATCAGCAGTTGCCATATCAAGGCTACTGGCCAAGGGCAAAGTAGAAATGTATGTGTATCTACACAATGAAATATTATTTGGCCATAAAAATCAATGAAGTACCGATACATGCTACAACATAGATGATCTTGAAGACATTACGCTAAGTATAAGAAGCCACTCACAAAAGGACACATATCGTATGAGTCCATTTATATGAAATGTCTAGCATAGGCAAATGCGTAGCTACAGAAAGTAGATTAGTGGTTGTCCAGGGTCTGGGGGATAAGGGATATGGGAAATGGATTTTACTGTGGGATGACAAAACTGTTTTAAACTTAGATTGTGGTGGTGATTGCACCACTCTGGACATACTGAAAACCATTGAATTTCATACTTTAAGATAAATAAAAGGTAAATTATGGAGGTATTTTAATATTAAGATTGTGATTTACTTACATTAAAATTATGTCAATGCAGTATTACTTTAGAGATTGATAAAATTCAATGAAAGGTAATTAGTAGAACATAAGTTTATGTGATCTAAACTTACATTAGGCTATTTAGTAAGGGGCAGTTACAAGAAGTATGGGGGCTCTCTGAGAAATGGAGCTATTTCACCATGATGTTTATGATGTTATTTTATATAAACTTCACACTTAGAAATTTAGAAAGACGTAGTAAGCTGTGTCTTTTATTATAAAAAACTGCTTACTTTGCCTAAAATAAAAGAACATTCTTATTACTCATTTAAAATTTTCTCTGTAATAATTATTGGACAATTAGCCAGAAACTGCTCCCCACACAATAGTTTTTAGACTAACAGATTTATTTTTAAACATAACATGAAGTCTAGTTTTCTTCCTCTGTATTCTTCTGTAGAAATGTTTTACCTGTGATTATCTTAGTAAGATAAATTACTAGAAGTGCAATTAATTTACATACCTTCCAGCATTCTGTTCATTCATTCAGTTATTCATACTTTTTGACTGTCTAGTATGGTTCTAGGCACTGGGTAAAACAGAGTATATAATGAACAAATTAGATGTGTCACAGCTCTCAAAGAGCTTACTAAGTGTAACAGTTAACAAATATTAAACTAACAAATACAGTTAGAACTGTCTAAATTCTATAAAGAAAAGATCAGTATGCTAGAGAGAGACTAAAGAAGGATCTAGGGATCAAAAGGGGAGTAAGGATGGAACTTATTATTTTTTTTCTTTATTTCTTCTAAAAAAAAAACAGGATCCATGTGTAGAACGTGCAGTTTCTTACATAGGCATACGTGTGCCATGGTGGTTTGCTGCATCTATTGGCCCATCCTTTAAGTTCCCTCCCCTCACCCCCCACCCACCAACAGGCGGTGGTGTGTGTTCTCCAGGGGCTGGGGTATAGGGGATATGGGAAATGGGTTTTATTGTTCTCCTCTCTGGGTAGGAGGGAACTTATTTTACTAAGGAAGTAACATATACACATGCCAGTCCTAGGTTTTATCATTTAAAAATATTTGCCTACTTGACTGGCAAAACAAAAATTGTTTTTAATTTGCATATCTTTTATGAACAATGAATTTTAGCAAGTTTTCATGCAAATTGGCTTTTATGTTATTCTCTTCCTCCTTTAATTGGTCATTCTATGAAAAGGAAATATATTTCACATGTATTATTTATTGAGTGAAGTTTTAAATTTTATTTATTTATCTATTATTTTATTTTATTTTTTTGAAATGGAGTTTCACTCTTGTCCCCCAGGCTGGAGTGCAATGGCACAACCTTGGCTTACTGCAACCTCTGCCTCCTGGGTTCAAGCGATTCTCCTGCCTCAGCCTCGAGAGTAGCTGGGACTACAGGTGCATGTCACCATGCCCAGTTAATTTTTGTATTTTTAGTAGAGATGAGATTTCACCATGTTGGCCAGGCTGGTCTCGAACTCCTGACCTTAGTTGACCCACCCAAAGTGCTGAGATTACAGGCGTGGGCCACCAAGCGCAGCCTGAAATTTTATATTTCATTGCTCATTTTAAATCATGATTTTATTATTTTCCTCATAATAAACTCAAAAGTAATTAACTTGCCTTTTATTTCTGTGTGAACGGGATGTATTTTTTTGTAAGTCATTGATTGTCAGTTACTTGTACTTTGTAGTAAGAAAATACTGTATTTGGATTATTTTCAATATTACTAGATACATCTTAATATGCGAAAGGGATGCATTTTGGTCCATTTGATGATAGAACAAAATTTGGTCATATTTAATTTAATTTAATTTTAATATTTACATGTAGTTTAAAATATTTTGGTCCAGTTGACAGCACAATTTCGGATACTATATTTATTTATTTGATTTTATTTAATGTTCACATGTATTTTAAAACAGAGTAGTATCCCTGCAGAATAATTTTATCACAACACTAATACAGCTTTGCCAGCATCCTTGTGTCATTTCTTTATGACAACATTGTGTGGTTGTTACAAGCACCTGCTTTGAAGTAAGGCAGCCTGTGTTCAAATCTCATCCTTACTTATAAGTTGAATATAATCTTAAGCAAATTGCTTATCCTTTCTAAGTCTCTTCCTTTTCTTCTTTGACAAAGTACTTCTCACAGTCAAAGCTCTGGGTATAGTGCCTGGCACATAGTGATCATTCAATCAGTGGAAGCTATTAGGATCTTTTAAATCATTATCTTCCATTTCCCCTTTGGATTTCCTACCACTTTTGTTCCTACAGTTATTTAGTACCATTTTGTTTACTTTCTTACCATTTCTGTTGTGTGACAGTTCTTCCTGTACTATTTCAAGAAGAGAAGTGCAGGCAACCTCAGGCTCACCTTCAGGCCCCATATCTGAGATTCCAGCAAAATCTCAAGCCTGCTTAGCAGTTAGCCATCCTGCTTATAAGAGGAACTGGAGAGCAGCATCATGGTTTCCCAAGCTGAAGATTCTTACCTGGGCCAGAGCCATGTTCTAGGACATTGCCATGTTTGCTTTAATCACTTACTGGTAAAAATAGATGGGATATTATAAAGTATACCAGTGTAGACTATGAATATCCAAGTATAATAACACAACTTCTAGCAAGATTGTCTGTTCCTTGTAAGAATTTGAATTTTGTTCAGCTTTCTAGCACCTCCTGAAGAATGGAGAAAAACAGGTTTTCACAGTGGCCACAGCCATCTGTAGGGACAGTTGAGGCTCCACTATCTTTTACTACCTTGACCTACAAACATTTTTATAAAGATCAAATTGATTTGCAAGAGCAGACCTGATTAGTAGAACTGAGAAGGTCAACATGAAATAGGGAGATGTTTTAGGGGACAAAAGCAGGAGGTAGAAGGTGTGTGGAGAGAGGATGGAATTAACAATAGAAAAATATGGAGCCAAGGGTACATGAAGAACAGAGGAAAATCGAGGTAGGAGGTAGTGCACTCTGTTGCTAGGCAGCCAAGAACAGGCTTTTGGGTGTTGCCTGAGTAACAATAGAAGGGGATAATAAATATTTCAGTTTGTTAAGGAATCAGCTAGTAGTAAGTATCTCCTTTTCCTGTCCTTTGGCACTCTAACTCACCTAATATCCACCTGGGTATCTTATTTACTACTTTGAGAAGAGGCAAGCTAAATGGTTGAAAAGCAAGTGTTTAGCAGCCTATAATCTAATGGCAATGTCTTTCTAAAAGCGTTGAAACCTTTGTTGGTTTTACATTTTAGATTTACTTATTATAGTTGCTCAGAATTAAAATCTTTTTCAGATTAAAAAAACATTTTATTACGGAAAAATTTAAATATGTACACAAGTACAAAGAATTACATAATCTCCACATATTTATAATAGCTTCAGTTATTATTACTATTATTAGCATTTCAGTAGTTTTTGGGGAACAGGTGGTTTTTGGTTACATGGGTAAGTTCTTTAGTGGTGATTTCTAGCTTTAGTTATTATTAATTCATGATTAATCCTATTTCATTGATAGCTCTACCCACATTCCTTTTCCTCTCACTTCCCTGGACACTCTCCCCAATTTCTCGGGCTTGGATTATGTAGAAGCGAATTCTAGACATCCTATAATTTTATCAGCAAATACTTCAGCATGAAGCACTAAAATATAAGGACTTTACAAAACACAAAACAATGTAATTTTTTACTTATAAAAATAATTCCTTAATATTATCAAATATCTGGTTAGTGTTTCTGATTGTCTTTCTCTTTTTCCAGTTTGATAGAATCAGAATTCAAGTAAGATTTATACATGTAACTTATTGATATACCTGTTAATTCTCTTTTAATCTATAGTTCTTCCTCCATCTCTGTTTTTTCCCTTGCAATTTAATTGTTGAAGAAACTGGGTCATACATCCTTTAGTTTTTCACAGTCTAGGTTTTGCTGATTACACCCCCATGGTGTAGTTTAATATTTCCCTTATTGTCCTATATATTTTCTGTATATTGTTAGTTATATCTAGGGAGACCTACTGGATTCAGATTTGACTTTTTTTTTTTTTTTTGCAAGACTACTTCATAGGTGGTGTTGTGTTCTTCCATCAAGAAATACATAACGTCGGATTTTTTGCCTTTTTAGGTATACATAGCCATAGAAAATTATTGCAAAATGATCATATTTTAATTATAAACGGCTTCTTTAATTATTAGCTGAAATAGTTTACAGATTGAAACCTTTCTTCCTTTTGAGCTATTTTTCCATATGCAATTGGGTCTATTTCTATATTTTCTGTTCTGCTCCATTCATCTGTTCATGGCCAATGCTATACTATTTTTCATAATAGAGGCTTTATAATATATTTAAATATTTGATTTTAATATCTGATAAGGCTAGGCTTTGTTTTCCTGGCTGTTCTTATTTGTTCTTCCAAATAAACTTTATAATAAAATTTTCTAACTCCAGAAAAAAATTGACATTTTTAGAAACATATTAAATGTATAAATTAAAAGAGAGGATATGACATCTAAGCATCTTTATGATGCTGAATCTTTTCATCTGAGAACATGGTATAGCTTTCTATTTGTTGATATTTATGTCTTTCAAAAGATTTTATTATATTCCTGTATTAGTTTACTGTAGCTCCTATAACAAATTACCACAAACTTGATGGTTTAAAACAGCAAAAATTTATTCTCACAGTTCTAGAGGCCAGAAGTCTGGAATCCATTTCCCTGAGCCAAAATCAAGGCATAGACTGGGCTATGCTCCTTCTGGAAACTCAAGGGAAAAATACGCTCCTTGCGTCTTCTAGTTTCTGGTGGCTGCCTACATTCCATGACTTGTGGCCACATCAGTCTAATCTCTGCCTCTTCCTCCACATTACCTCTTCCTCTTCTGGGTGTGTGTCAAATCTCTCTGTGTCTATCTCTTATAAGAACATTTGTGACTGGATTTAGAGTCCACCCAGGTAATCCAGAATAATTGCCCCATGTCAAGAAACTTAATTTAACCACATCTGCAAAGACACTTCTTTCTTAAGGTAATATTTACAGGTTCTAGGGTGATATCTTTGAATATTCATTATTTAGCCTACTATAACTCTTCATATTGATTTTGGCATGTTTTTAATATTTTATGGTTATGTATATATATAATGCCAGGCTGCAGTACAGTGGAAAGATCATGGCTCACTGCAGCCTCAGCCTCCCTAGGCTCAAGCAATCCTTTCACTTCAGCCTTCCCACTAGCTGGGAATACAGGTATGTGCCACCATGCCCAGCTAATTCTTGTACTTTTATACAGTTGGGGTTTCACCATGTTTCCCAGGCTGGTCTCGAACCCCTGGGCTCAAGCCATCCACCTGCCTCGGCCTCTCAAAGTGCTGGGATTACAGGTGTGAATCACTGCACACAGCCAATATTTTGTTTCATTTTTTCTGTTATGTAAACAACATCTTATTTCTTTTTTTTTTTTGAGACGGAGTCTCGCTCTGTCGCCCAGGCTGGAGTGCTTATTTCTTATATCTTCTAAGCAGTTTATATTTATATATTCATTTTGGTATATTGATTTTTATGACTTGCTATTTATGAAATTCTCTTACTAATTGTAGTAGCTTTTCAATGGATTCTTTTGTGTTATCTGTATTTATAATTCTATCATCTGTATGTAAACATAGTTTTACCTCTTTCTGTCCAATTCTTATGTCTCCAATTATTTTCCCTCATCTAATTGCATTGACTAGTATCTCCAACATGATGTTAAATATTAACAGTAATGAAGATATTAGGTATTCTTATCTTGTTCCTGTCTTTAGTGGAAAAGCTTCTACTGTTTCCCACTAAATAAGATACAAAGTATATTTTAATGTTCTTTTTAGGGAACATGTTTTTCTATATAATTTTAAGGGAAATTTATATTTAAAATGAGAAATGTAAGCAGTTACCTTTATAAAGAATAATATCTTATTAGTGATCTGTAGCTTTGAAAGTGTTTTAAAATATCTAATTTATTTGGTTCAGTGAGATAAAAAGGCAAGTGTAGTATCTTAGCTTTATAGTTAAGTGAATATCCAGATAAGTTAAATAATTACCTAAGGTCATGCTGCTATAAATTGGTAGAGCCAGGACCAGGATCAAATATTTTATTTTCACTGCACAAGGCATATTCATTTTACTCAATTATTTTCCTTCATGAAGACTCTGATTCAGGACAATGCATTTTATGAGTTTACATAAATAAGTTATTTTCCTTTTTAAAATGTGATTTTTATACAATTTTGGTTTGCCATTAAAAAATAAAGGAGAAAAAATTCTTGAAACTTAAAAAAATAAATGTGACTTATAATGGTTTACTATATTAAATGATTGGTGTGTGTGTGTGTGTGTGTGTGTATGTGTGTGTGTTTAGTGAGTAAAACATTATAGTTAAAGTCTAAAGTCTCCTCTACTGACCAAATTGAGTCCCACTGCCTCTCCTTAGAGGCAACTGCCCATATGAGTTTAGTACATTATCATTACAGTCCATTAAAAAAATCTGCAGTTCACAGACAAAATATATGATACTATGTGAGTGATTTTTAAAAAGTATTATAAGGATAACATCAAACTCTATGTTTTATGCTTTCTTTTTCACTTATCATCATCATATGGATCTTAGGAGTATACAAGGTTTTTCTAAGCATTACATAAAATGCAGAATTTACTTTTAGAATCAAGACCTCCAGACGTGTGGTATCTTTCCACTAACCACATTGGCTCACTAAACTGTTCTCATTAAGAATTTTTTAATAATCAGCTGTGGAATCTAGTGTAATTTCATTGATCAGCATCTGTTTTTGAGGTGAAATGGGTTAATATAAATTATATCTGTTTTCTCATTGGGCGTAAATGCAGAACTTCCACCTCAAGCAGCCACCCCCTGATTTTACAGTTTTTGGGGGTTCATTTTGTTTGGGGCTCTTTTCTGATGGCTGTTCTGTTCAAAACCAATCTATTCTGGCCACTGTTAAAGGTTTATACTCTCTGTGAATAAAGTAGGAATATGCTAGCAGTACGAAAGAGATTTTGTAAAACTGTTAATGCTAATTACAAATGGTGCTTCTAGTAAATAAAGCTGGCCTCCTTAAAACTCAAAAAAAAAAAGAATTTTTTAAGATTTAGAAATATGCCTTCAATTTTGATTAAACGTCGATCTGGTCTTTCTAAGTTGTAACAGAATAAAGAAGAGAGGAGAAACATGTAAATACAAAGCAGTTTTTGAGTATTTTGTGCTTACCAAAAAGCTAAATAAAAGTGCCTCCTGAACAGAAAGTTTACTTTATTTAGCCTGCAGGGGGATGGTTCAGGTAGGCGTAATGCATTAGTGTTTGGTAAAAAGTGATTTACTTCCCTGAATTAAATCAATTTGTATACTTGAAAATGGCAAACCTTAAAATTGCCCATGGTAAAAAACCATAGCACTTAAAATTAAAATACCCTGGTTCAGGAGTAGTTGAACAGAATTCCAGAATATCTTAATATCTTACTATCTTTTCTGTTCTCCACGTTGGAAATGAGAGGCTTTACTGCTCAGATGCTGCAAAATAGGAGTATAAATAGAACTACCTTTTTTTTTTTTTTTTGCTTATCAAAATATTTTATTTTAGGAGACCCCTCAAAAAAAGACTCTCCACATTAGATAGACGCCCCAACAATACCCTTGGGCTTTTTTTGTCTTTTCTGTATTTTTTCTTTTTTAAGTCAACTAAAACAATTTGATGCTTAAAATAAAAGACAGGAAATATTTCCTGACTAGACTTTAGTCAAGAATATATATATATTTTTGATCCGGGGGCAGGTGAGGAGAAGGAAGGTGCTGCCAGCGGTTCATGAAGTAGAACTACCATTTTGTTGTTAAGAGTGAAATGCTGATGATTTAGACCAGGAACTCACAAACTTTTTCTGTAAAGGGTAATATAGTATTTTCAGCTTTGCAGGCCATGTGGTCTCTTACAATTACTCTAGTGTTGCAGGCAAAAGCACCTGTAGATAATACACAAACAAATAGGCAAGACTCATTGGGTTCCAATAAAACGTTACTTACTAAAACAGTTGAGTGGATATGAGTCACAGACTATAGTTAGATCTTTGTTGGGTTGAAGGCAGTAGTATACTGGTAAATATTTAAAACTGGCTTTTCGGAGAGAGGAGGAAACTCTGATTTGTAGCATTTGCTCATTTACATGGCGTAGATACTCCAACCATGGTTGATTTCAAACTACCAAGTTGACATCACTGAGCAGGGAGGTAGAGATGCACAGTAGCACACCATTATATGCATTTTCATCATACAGATACACTAGATGTAAATAACCTCACAAGCATAGAAAATAGTAAAATAATTAGAAAGTGATGAGTTTGGGATATTTATTACCTTTGCTTTTAATATAATTTATTTGATTGTAAATGTAGATAAGTTAATTGTTAAATAATGTCTGTGTTTAACATCTGGCTCACAAAATTCATAAAAATTTAACAATGGGCTCTAGTCAACCAGTATAAGCCTACTCCAGCACACCACTGTGTTAGAGGACATAATCAAGAATTTTCGTTTAATAAGTTGCCTGTTGAATCATAAGTTATATGGGAGAATAAAAGCAAAAATATAGAGAGAATGGTGTTAATATGCAACTTTTGCACTAATCTTGCTCAACTGTTTTAATAAGAACCTGAAGAAATAATTTTGTTTATTTAAGTGAAAGTTGACTCTGTGTCAAAGGTGCTTTGCATATTGGTTCTTTATTTCAATTTTTAAGTGATAGCATATGAAATAAATTTTGGTCAGTAGATTCTGTCAGTGTGTCATATATAATAATAAATGTTACTTATTATTTATTTGATTTTTTCCCTGAAGGCATAACTGTGACACCTGATGAAGAGCAAAACTTGAATCATTATATACAAGTTTTAGAGAACCTAGTACGAAGTGTTCCCTCTGGGGAGCCAGGTCGTGAGAAAAAATCTAACTCTCCAAAACATGTTTATTCTATAGCATCAAAGGGATCAAAATTTAAGGAGCTAGTTACACATGGAGACGCTTCAACTGAGAATGATGTTTTAACCAATCCTATCAGTGAAGAAACTACAACTTTCCCTACAGGAGGCTTCACACCGGAAATAGGAAAGAAAAAACACACGGAAAGTACCCCATTCTGGTCGATCAAACCAAACAATGTTTCCATTGTTTTGCATGCAGAGGAACCTTATATTGAAAATGAAGAGCCAGAGCCAGAGCCGGAGCCAGCTGCAAAACAAACTGAGGCACCAAGAATGTTGCCAGTTGTTACTGAATCATCTACAAGTCCATATGTTACCTCATACAAGTCACCTGTCACCACTTTAGATAAGAGCACTGGCATTGGGATCTCTACAGAATCAGAAGATGTTCCTCAGCTCTCAGGTGAAACTGCGATAGAAAAACCCGAAGAGTTTGGAAAGCACCCAGAGAGTTGGAATAATGATGACATTTTGAAAAAAATTTTAGATATTAATTCACAAGTGCAACAGGCACTTCTTAGTGACACCAGCAACCCAGCATATAGAGAAGATATTGAAGCCTCTAAAGATCACCTAAAACGAAGCCTTGCTCTAGCAGCAGCAGCAGAACATAAATTAAAAACAATGTATAAGTCCCAGTTATTGCCAGTAGGACGAACAAGTAATAAAATTGATGACATCGAAACTGTTATTAACATGCTGTGTAATTCTAGATCTAAACTCTATGAATATTTAGATATTAAATGTGTTCCACCAGAGATGAGAGAAAAAGCTGCTACAGTATTCAATACATTAAAAAATATGTGTAGATCAAGGAGAGTCACAGCCTTATTAAAAGTTTATTAAACAATAATATAAAAATTTTAAACCTACTTGATATTCCATAACAAAGCTGATTTAAGCAAACTGCATTTTTTCACAGGAGAAATAATCATATTCGTAATTTCAAAAGTTGTATAAAAATATTTTCTATTGTAGTTCAAATGTGCCAACATCTTTATGTGTCATGTGTTATGAACAATTTTCATATGCACTAAAAACCTAATTTAAAATAAAATTTTGGTTCAGGAGTTTGTAGTTTTTTCTCATTAATTTTAAATGTTGTGAAGACCTTTACGATGTTTAAGCTTTGATTTTACTTGAATAGATTAGTTAAATTCATTCATTTTATGAGTTAAGAGACTGTGCTCTCTCTCACTCTATAGCTAGTTTTAAATAAAATAATTCTATAGACATACAGTGTAAAATTTTGGGGCATATGGTCTTTCTTATTCTTTCAGATAATCTGAGTTGTCTTTTTTTTTTTTGAGACAGAGTCTCAGTCTGTCACGCAGGCTCGAGTGCAGTGGTGCGATCTTGGCTCACTGCAACCTCTGCCTCCCGGGTTCAAGTGATTCTCCTGCCTCAGCCTCCTGAGTAGCTGGGATTACAGGCACCCATGACCACGCTTGGCTAATTTTTATATTTTTAGTAGAGACGGGGTTTCACCATGTTGGCCAGGCTGGTCTCAAACTCCTGACCTTAGGCAATCCACCCTCCTCGGGCTCCCAAAGTACTGGGATTACAGGCGTGAGCCAGTGCGCCCAGCGAGTTTTCTGTCTTAATAGCATAACTTGGAGCTTGTATCTGCACTTTTATTTGGATATAGGTGTGCCTCCTTTAAAATGTAGATACTATATTAAGATACATCTCTATTCTTTTGTCATTAAGTACTTTTGGAGTATCAATGAGGGACTGTAACCTGGATATGTAATGAAGTCATTCTCATTTCCTTTCTTTGTGTACATACACATTGAAGATTTTCAAATCTTTTGTCAAGAGAGTATGACTGACACCATTAAGGTTAACTGTGTAGTATTATAATAATGGCTCAGGTAATTCTGTTTATGATTTGACCAGTATTATATTCAAATACATTTATTTATTTGTTCATCAAGACATTCATTTATAGTTTGATAAAGATTTATTGACCTTTTACTATGTGCAGGACACAATAGATGCTAGGCTTTGGGGATACAAAAATAAGACCTACTTTCTTTTCTCTTTGACATTATATTATAGCGGGAAAGATACACACTAAACAAATAATTTCAAGAATTTTTAAATTTCAGTTGTGACAAATTATTATGAAGGTGTGAGGTGTTTGACCTCACTTAGACCAAGAATAATGGGAAAGCTACCCTGAGAAAGTGGCAATTAAGGTATAGTCTGAAAGATTAGGGTGTGTGTAAGGAGAAAGTGAACATTCCAGGGAGAGGGAACAGCAGGTATGAATACTGTGAGTTAAAAATAAGGATGAGAAGTTCAGGAAGTACCTGGAGTATAGAAAGGCAAGAAAGAGCATCACAAGATGGATCTGGTGACATATACACCAGGTCAGAATATATCCTGTGGCGCCTTCAGTGCGTTATTAAATGTTTTAGCCTTTACCCTGTGATCAATGAGAAGCCATTAGTGGATTTTAAGCAAAAAGGACTAGTATGTTCAAATATCTGTTAACAACAACCAAACCCACTCGCTGCAGTTTTGGAAGTGGGCAAAAGTAGAAGCGCACTGTGCACAGGCCAAATGTTGCTTGGAGTAGGTGGAAAGAATTGGCAATTAAGAGGGAGAATCAGGCCGGGCGCAGTGGCTCACGCCTGTAATCCCAGCACTTTGGGAGGCCAAGGTGGGCGGATCACCTGAGGTCAGGAGTTCAAGACCAGCCTGGCCAACATGGTAAAACCCCGTCTCTACTAAAAATACAAAAATTAGCTGGGCGTGATGGTGGGAGCCTGTAATCCCAGCTACTTGGGAGGCTGAGGCAGGAGAATTGCTTGAACGTGGGAGGTGGAGGTTGCAGTGAGCCGAGATTGCAGTGAGCTGAGATTGCAGTGAGCCGAGTTGCAGTGAGCCAAGATTGCGCCACTGAACTCCAGCCTGGGTGACAGAGCAAGACTGTTTTGGGTGGGGGGGGGAAGAGGGAGAATCAACAAGATTTGGTGATTGAATGGATATGGGGACTGTGCTAATAGCAGGGACCAAAAATAATTCCCACAATTAGTTGTATTGTAAAAAGTATTATATATAGGCTTTGTTTACTAAAAATACTCTTTTACTGTTATTTATAAAATAATTTTACTTTGGAAAATTTCAAAAATTTGCAAAAGTAAAGAATAATATAATGAATCCATGTACATGTCAACCTTAAAAAAAGACCTCATAGAGACAAGCTCTCTGAAACAAAAGATTTTAATTGGGAATAAAAAAGCGTTGCAATTTAGGGTACACAAGCCATGAAAATCATAAGCACACACACCAGGAAAATCAGGACAAAGGGAGTTTTTAAAGCAGGAGTCCACACAAACTGCTTTGAAACAAAGCTCACTGCAGGAGATAGGCCTTGGTAGGCGCCTGTCCTGGTCAGATCATATCAGAAATGCTGAAGGCCAAGGAAATGCCTGAGAATAAGCTCTGATTACAGGATACATCCAAGATGTATAGGTATTTCAAGAATGTAAGCAGGAGGATTTTTTCTTTATGACCTCCCCAGCTCCCATTTTTGATTAGGGCTTTGACATAAGTGACTCCATTTTGTTATTGTTCACTTCCACATACCCATCATCTAGTCTCAACAATCATCTAAAGACTAATCTTCTTTCATCTATATCCCTACCCCTTTCCCCTCTTCCTATTTTATGTTGAATTAAATCACGGATACTTTATCATTTCATCAGTAAAAATATAACAATGTGAAGCTCTGTAAGTTTTTTTTTTAAAAAAAAAAAAACATAACCACAATATCACACATAAAGGTTTAATGATTTCTGGCTGGGTGCAGTGGCTCACGCCAGTAATCCCAGCACTTTGGGAGGCCAAGGCAGGAGGATCATTTGTGGTCAGGAGTTCAAGACCAGCCTGGCCAATATGGTGAAACCCTGTCTCTACTAAAAATATAAAACATAGCTGGGTGTGGTGGTGCATGCCTGTCATCCCAGCCACTCAGGAGGCTGAGGCAGGAGAATAGCTTGGACCCAGGAGACAGGTTGCAGTGAGCTGAGATCATGTAACTGTGCTCCAGCATGGGCAACAGAGGGAGACTCCATCTCAAAAAAAAAAAAGTTTAATGATTTTTACTATCATCAAATATCTAGTCAATGTTCAAATTCCCAATTGTGAAATAATTTTTAAAATTTAGGGTTTATATGAATCGAGATTAAATAAAGTTCACACATTAAAATTGGTTGATTTGACTAATAAGTCTCTTTTAATCTAAAGTATTCCTTTATACCTCTTTTTTTTCCCCTTTAGGTTTATTTACTGAAGAAATTGGTCATTTGTCCTATAGTTTCCCACAATATGGATTTTGCTAATTGCATCCCCATAGTGCCATTTAGCATGTTCTCCTATCCTCTATCTTTTCTATAAATTGGTAGTTGGATCTAGAGAGGCTTCATCAAACTGAGGTTTTTTTTTTTCTTTCTCTTTCTTCTTTTTTTTTTTTTTTTTTTTTTTTGGCAAGATGCTGTTTTATTCTTCCATATGGTTGGGTCTCTTTTTGTATTTTTAGCAGACTTTTATGGTCATTGCCTAGATAGATTAATTGATCAGGTGATACAAAGTAGAGACATCATTCCTTCCATTATTATCTGGAATGTGTCTATAAAGAGAAACTTTCATCTATTATTTGATTCCCCAGTGGTCTAGTGTGTATTGGAAAGACATCAAATGCTTGAATCCCTTTGCTTAATAATTTCCAGAATAATTAGTTCATAGAATCTCCAATGATACTCTATTTTATTAGTAGCCTTTATTTTTTTCAAACAATTTTAGTTTTACAGAGAAATTGATCAGAAAGTACAGAGTTCTCACATCCGTCTCTCTCCTCCCTGACACATCTTGTATTGGTGTGGTACATTTGTTATAATTAATGAACCTACATTGACACATCATCATCACCTAAACTCCATAGTTTATACTAAGATTCGCTCTTGGTGTTTTACATTTTATGCATTTGGACAATTGTACATGTGTCCACCGTTATAGTATCACACAGAGTAGTTTCACTGCCCTAAAACCCTCTGTGTTTCATCTATTCATGCCTCTCTCTCCCCTAACTTCTGGCTGGCAACCACTGCTTTTTTTTTTTTTTTTCCATAATTTTGCCTTTTCCAGAATGTATATATAGTTGAGTAACTTATTTGAAATGTGTAGGACCAGAAGTGTTTTGAATTTTGTTTTTTTTTCAGATTTTGGTATTTGCATATACATAATGAGATATCTTGGGGATAGGATCCAAGTCTAAACATGAAATTCATTTATGTTTCATATATAGTTTATGCACAGAGCTTGAAGGTAATTTTCTATAGTACTTTTAATAATTTTGAACATGAAATAAGGTTTGTGTACATGACCCATCAGAAAGCAAAGGTGTCAATATCTCAGCCACCCATGTGGACAGTCTGTGGTTACTTAGCATCACTATCATTTCTGACTCTGAATTTATTTGCTACTGATAAGCGATTATTTTCTTACACTTATGCACACATAAGTACTTGACAGTAAAAACATGACATACTATTAATACAGTGAAAAAATAATGTGTCAGTTGTGGAATTTTTCACTTGAGATGTCCTGTCAGCATTCAAAAGCTTTCAGATTTTGGAACATTTTGGATTTTTGTTTTGTTTTGTTTTTTTGCTTTTTGTTTTGAGACAGAGTCTCACTCTGTTTCCCAGGCTGGAGTGCAATGGTGCGATCTTGCTCACTGCAACCTCCGCCTCTTGGGTTCAAGCAATTCTCCTGCCTCAGCTTCCTGAGTAGCTGGGACTACAGGCACGTGCCCCTATACCTGGCCAAATTTTTTTTGTGTGTATTTTTTTTAGTAGAGTCAGGGTTTTACTATGTTGGCCAGGCTGGTATCAAACTCCTGATCTCAAGTGATCCGCTGGCCTCGGCGTCCCAAAGTGCTGGGATTACGGGCCTGAGCCACAGCGCCCAGCCCATTTTGGATTTTGGATTTTCAGATTACGGATGCTCAGTCTGTAGTTGGAATCAATGCAGTCTGTAGCCTTTTCAGACTGGTTTCTTTCATTTAGTAATACACATGTAAGTTTCCTCTGTGTCTTTTAATGACTTGATAGTTTATTTCTTTTTGGTGTTGAATAATATTCTATTGTCTAGATGTACCACAATTTATTTATTCATTCACCTACTGAAGGACATCTTGGTTGCTTCTAAGTTTTGACAATTATGAATAAAGCTGACGTAAACGTTTATGTGCAGGTTTTTGTGTGGACAGAAGTTTTCAACTCCTTTGGGTAAACACCAAGGAGCATGATTGCTGAATCATACGTGATACGGTTTGAATGTGTGTCCCCTCTAAATCTCATGTTGAAATGTGATTCCCAATGTTGTAGATGGGGCTTGGTGGGAGATGACTGGATCACAGGGGCAGATCCCTTATGAATGATTTAGCATGATCCCTTTGGTGATAAGTGAACTCTTGCTCAGTTAGTTCATGTGAGATCTGGCTGTTTAAAAGTCTGGGACCTCCCCTCCTTGCTGTCTTGCTCCCACTCTCGCCATGTGATATGCTAGCTCTCTGTCACTTTGTGCCACGATTGTAAGCTCCCTCAGGCCCTCACCAGAAGTAGATGCTTGCACTACACTTCCTGTACAGCCTGTGGAACCGGGGGCCAATTAAACCTTTTTTCTTATAAATTACCCAGCCTCAGGTACTTCTTTATAGCAATGCAAGAATGGACTAATACAACGTGGTAAGAGTATGTTTAGCTGTGCAAGAAATTGCCAAACTGTCTTCCAAAGCGGCTGTACCATGTTTGCATTCCCACCAAACGAATGAGAGTTTCTGTTACTTCACATACCCGCCAGCATTTAGTGTTGTTAGTATTCTGCATTTTGGCCATTCTAGTAGGTGTGTAGTGATATCTTATTGTTATGATCTATTGCTTTTTAACCTTATTTTGTGATATAGATTCACATGTCTTATAGTTGTAAAAAATAATGCAGAGAGATCTAGTTAAATGTACCCTTTCCCTATTTCACCCAAATGTAGTTAAATTAGAGTACAATATAACAGCCAACATATAGATATTGGTACAAGATACAGAACATTTCCATCATCATAAAAATCTCTCATGTTGCTGTTTTATAGCCACACCACTTCCCCCCTCCCTGTCTAACCACCGGTAATCACTATTCTGTTCTCCATTTCCATAATTTTGTCATTTCAAGAATGTTGTATGAATGGCATCATACAGTACATAATCTTTTTGGGACTAATTTTTTTTCATTAGCTTAACTCTCTAGAGATTTATCAAGATTTTTGCATGTATCAACTCATTCCTTTTTATTGCTGAGTGGTACTCCACAGTTTAACCATTTACTTGTTTCAGAATTTCTGGATTGTTTCCATGTCTTGGCTATTAGAAAAGAAAAGCTGCTGACAGAATGGGAGAAAATATTTGCAAATTATATATCTGATACAGATTATATATAATCTGACATTCATATACAGGTGTTTGTGTGAACATAAGTTTTCATTTCTCTGGGATAAATGCCCAGGAGTGCCATTGTTGTGCAGTGTGGCAGTTGCATATTCAGTCTTATAAGAAACTGCCCAACTCTTTTCCAGAGTGGCTGTACCATTTAACATAACCACCAGCAGTGTATGAGTTTCTGTGTGCTTAATTCTGTGTGCTGAAATTTATTATGGATTCTTGCATGTATTAATGAGGGATATTGGCCTATAGTTTTCTTTTTGTTTTTGTACTGTCCTTCTCTGGTTTTGGTATCAGGATATTATCTTTATCAAATGAATTGAGGAGTATTCCTCTCTCTTCTATTTTATGGAAAAGATTTTGTAAATTGGTGTTAATTCTTCTTTCAACATTTGGTAGAATCATCGCCAGTGAACCATCTGGGCCTGGAGGTTTCTGTTTTGAGAGTTTTACCTCTATAAATTCAATTTCCTTAATAGTTTTAGGGTTATTGAAATTATTTTATGTTAGGTGAGATGTAACTGTTCATGTTTTTTGAGGAATTGGTCTATTACATCCAACTTCTCAAATTTATGTTTTTAAAGTTGTTCGTAATATTCCTTTTTATCTTTTTGATGTTTACAGTCTTTAGTGAAATAACTTGTTTCATTCCTGGTAATAATTTGTGTCTTTCTTCTTTTTACCTTTTTCAGTCTTGCTAGAGGCTTGTGGATTTTATCTTTTCAAAGAGCAAACCAATAAAAATTTGTTTCATTAATTTTTCTTTATTGTTTTCTGTGTTAAATTTTATTGATTTCTGCTCTTTATCATTTCATTCCTTCTGCTTGCTTTGGGGATTTTGCTCTTATTTTTCTAGGTTCTTGGTGTTAGACTTTTTCTCTTTTCTAATGTATGAATTTAACACTATACATTTTCTTATAAGCATTGTTTTTTCCATGTCTTATAACTTTTGATATGCTGTATTTTCTTTTCCTTCAATTTAATGTATTTTTCATTTTATTTAATGACGTTGAACTTTTTGTTTGCCTATTGGCCATGTGTACATTTTCCTCTTTGAGACTTCCTCTTTGGCCCACGGATTATTTTAAAGTATGTCATATAGTTTCTAAGTGTTGGGGGAGTTTACTGTAATCCTTCCATCACTGATTTCTAGTTTGATTCTATTGCAGTCAGAGAAAAAACTATATATGATTTAATTCTTTTAAAATTGTTAAGGTTCATTTATGATCCAGGATATGGTATATACGTATAGAAAATAATGTATATTCTGTTGGTTGGAGGATTTTATAAATGTTAATTAGATCCTATTGTCTGTTGTTGATTTATTCTGTAATCTTTCTGATTTTCTATCAATTGTTGAAAGAGGAGTGCTGAGGTCTCCAACTGTAATTGTGGATTTGTGAATTTTTCCTTTCAGTTCTATCAGTTTTTGCTTCACATACTTTGCAGGTCCGTTGTTTATTGCATGTACATTTAGGATTGTTATGTCTTTTTGATGGACTGAACATTTAATCCTTGTATAATGTCCATTTATGCCTCTGGTAATTTTCTTTGTTATGAATTCTACCTTATTTGATATTAATATAGCCATTCTTGCTTTCCTTTGATTAATGTTTACTTGATATATTGTTTTTTATCCTTTTACTTTCAACCTGCCTATATCATTATGTTTGAAGTGAGTCTCTTGTAGAAAGTGTAACCTGGGTCATGTTTTATAATTCATTCTGCAATCTCTGCCTTTTAATTGGGCCATTTAAATTTAGTATAATTACTGGCATATTAGGGCTCATTTTGCTATTTTAGTTTATTTTATTTTTGTTTCATGTTTGTTCTCTCTGATTTTTGTTTCTCTGTTTTCTCTTTCCTGCCCTCCAGTGGATTACTTGAACATTTTTTGGAATTTTATTTTGATTTATTTATGTTTTATTTGAATAGATTTGTAGCAGTTACTCTAGGTAGCATATTACATATACATAACTTAAGACAGTGTACTGGTGTCATCATTTAACAGTTTGAGTGAAGAGTAGAAACCTTACCTCTCTTTAGATCCCTTTATCCTCTCCAACTTAGAATTGTCTTAACTATTTCCTCTACATACATTTAGAACCACATCAGACAGGATTATAAATTTTGATTTAACATCAAACATAATTTAGAAAACACAAAAGTAAAGAAAAATCTATTGTATCTACTCACATTTTTGCTCTAGCCATTATTTTCTTCTTTATGTTCCACGACTCCTTGCTTTATGATTTCTTTCTCATATAGAAAACTTCCTTATCCATTCTTTTAGTGTAGATCTTCCAGTGACAAATTCCCTTAGTTTTCCTTTGTCTGAAAATATCTTAATTTATTCTTTATTCCTGAAGGATGTTTTTACATGATATAGGGTTCCAGGTTGATCTTTCCTTTCATCAATTGAAAAATGTTGTGCTACTTTTTTCCCTGCCTTCATGGTTTTTGATGAGAGATCCACTGTCATTTCTATTGCTTTTTCTTATTGGTAAAATGTAATCTCTCTCTCACTGCTTTCAAGGGTTTTTTTTTTCTCTGACTTTAATTTTCAGAAGTTTGGATATAATGTGCCTTGGTATGGATTTCTTTGTATTTATCCTGCTTGAGATTTGCTCAGCTTCTGGAATCTGTAGGTTTATGCCTTTTGCCAAATTTAGACACTGTATCCATTCTTTTGAGGATGTTTTCAACTCTTTCCTTTTCTCCTCTTTTTATGAAACTCCAGTGACATGAATGGTAGATCTTTCATTATAGCCCCTTGGGTCCCTGAGGCTCATTCCATTCATTTTTGCTCCCAAACTTTTCCCAGTCTATTTTCTCTTTATTGATCAGATTGGGTAATTTCTATTGTTCTATCTTCAAGGATACTTATTATTTCATCTGTTCTCCCCATCCTTCTGTTGAGCACATCCACTGAGCTTTGTATTTCAATTATTGTATTTTTCAGTTCTAAAATTTCCATTTGGTACTTCTTTTTTTTTTTTTTTTTTTTGAGATGGAGTCTCGCTCTGTCACCCAGGCTGGAGGGCAGTGGCACAATCTTGGCTCACTGCAACCTCCACCTCCCGAGTTCAAGTGATTCTCCTGCTTCAGCCTCCCGAGTAGCTGGGACTACAGGCACATGCCACCACACCCAGCTAATTTTTGTATTTTTAGTAGAGATGGGGTTTCAACACATTGGCCAGGCTGGTCTTGAACTCCTGACCTTGTGACCCACCCGCCTCGGCCTCCCAAAGTGCTGGGATTACAGGTGTGAGCCACTGCGCTCGGCCTGGTACTTCTTTATATTTCCTAATTCTTTGCTAAGACTCTATTTTTTTGGGGGAGGGGAAGTTTTTATACTTTTTAATGGATTTCAAGCATGTTTATAATTGTTCACTGAAGCATTTTTATGATGGCTGATTTAAAATCTTTGTCATATAATTCAACATCTCTGTCATCTTGGTGTTGACATCTATTGATTATTTTCTCCATTGAGTAGTGGTAAAAATCCTGGCTCACCATTAGGGCTCCTCTGATACTACTGTAGTGGTGAGGGGGAGGAATGACTCATTAAGGCTGGGTGGGGGTGAAAGTCTAGGCTTTTCACCTGGTCTTCACTAATATAAAGTGGAGAATTCATACATCCAACAGAGATGAAAGTCCTGTATCCCTACTCAGCCTTCTCCAACACGCCCTTACAGCTTGGTGAGTATGGAAATCTAGGTTCCCAACTTGGCTTTTGCTAGTGCGGATGGAGATTGGATGGGGGTCACAGTTTTTCTGTAGTGTTTGGCTGGAATAGAATGGTTACTGTCTAAAAGTTTTCTGTGTTGTCCCCGATCCCTCTCTCAATCCTTTGGCTAGAGGGAAGAGGCTTTTGTTGGGGATTTTATGTCTGTGCCTGTTCATGTTTCTGGGTTGTCAGCTTCTCTAGCTCCAAGTTTGGGATATATGAGGCTAAAAGAAAATTCAGAGAATGCACCACCGTGTCATTCCTTGGGTTCAGAAGTCTTTAGCCAGTTTGGCTTTTTTTCTTCACCTTTTACAGTTATCTTATATTTGTTTTATATATAATATGCAGGACCTTTATTTGTATGTTGGAGATTGTACTTTATTCTTAAGACAATGAACATATTTTGAAAGATTTTAAGCATTTTTTGCAAGTCACTTTAAATGGCTTCAGTGTAGATAAAGGAAAGGAAGGAGCAAGACTGAGAGTAGAGGCCAGTTAGGAGACTGTCATAAAAATCTGGTGAAAGATGATGATCTCCTGGACTTGGATGGTAACAGAGGAGATGGAAATAAGTAGTAAATTTGAGAGATATTTAGGAATTAAGAACCAAGAATTTGGTGATTATTTTGTTACTGTAGGTAGTTAGACATGAACAGGGTAGGAAAGCCCTCTCCCGACCCCACCAGGAATGTCAGGCGACCATTAGATGATGGTCAGGTGGTTGTTAAACTGTCTCTCTAAAATAATACTTGGTTGCAACCAGTGCCGGGAAAAGGCATTCTCCCAGTAGATAGAAAAAACCTGACACTGGTGATCAGCAACTTCCCAGCAAAATCTCAAGAGCTGGGGAAGTGGGCTCAAGTATGTGCACTAAGAGGTAACATGATGGAGTTTAAACACTCGACAGGTAAGGGAAAAACACCTCGACTGAGTATGTGTACAACTTCAGTAATCACACTTAGTATGTGGCCCCTCTCAAGTGCTGGCAGGCCACTGCACATGTGCATGACCCACCCCCAGAGAAGAATCAAGGAAGGAGGAAAGAAGACCCCAGAGCCATGCCAGTGTATAAAACCCCAAGTCAAGGGCTGATGAAGTCACTTGGATCTCTCAAGTTTTCTCCTTGGCCCTCTTACAAGTTTACTTCCTTTTATTCCTGCTCTAAAAGTTTTTCATAAACGTTCACGCATGCTCTAAAACTTGCCTCAGTCTCTCCTTCTGCCTTCTGTCCGCTGGTCGAATTATTTCTTCTGAGGAGGCAAGAATTGAGGTTGCTGCAGACCCATACGATTCACTGCTGCTAACAATTTGATGTGCAAGATAAAGAAAGCGGTAAGGAATAACTTCTGTTTCCGACTTGAGCTACTTTGTGGGTGGTAGTGTACCTTGTCTTTTTTATAGCATGTATCAACATTGTATTATAATTTTATAGTTATTTATATGATTATTTGTTTAATGTTTGTCTCTCTTTACCAGATTGTAAGTCTATAAGAGAAGGAGTAATAAGAATTTTGTTCACTGCTGTACTCTCAGCAGCTAGCACAATGTCTGGCCTGTAATTATATGCTCAATAAATATTAATGCATTATGATATATTTAAAAGGGGAAGCATGCTTATGGAGAAGATGATTTTAGAAATCTCATTTTTGAATATATTAAATTTAAGTTGCCTATGAGACATATCCAGTTAGATATATTAGTCTGGAGCTTAAGAGATCTACAAATAACGATTTTGGAGCTACCTGGAAGCTAAATGGAGCTATCTGGAAGCTAAATGGAAATTTAAGCTATTGCAGTGGAGACATTCTTTATAGAGTGTACAGAGAAGAGGAGAAGACCTAGAACTAAGCTTTAAATATCTCTAATTTAGAGGGAAAAATGAAGAAAAGCACCTACCAAAGTGACCAAGTAAGAATAGTTAGAAAAGTGCTTAAAAATATTAAAACATTTGAAATATTTCTCCTGTATTTAACCACACCAGGAAAAGTGTGGTTAAATAGATGTCAAAGGAAGAAAGAGTGTTTAAAAAAGAGGGAGGATTTGACACTGTTGTAACTCAAAAATCAAACGAGATAAAGACTAAAAATCATCCACTGGATTAGTGCAAAAACGGTTTTGATAGGTTTGGAGATAAGCCATACTGGAAGAATGAGTTAAGGTAAGAAAATGGAGGCCGGGCGCAGTGGCTCACACCTGCAATCCCACCACTTTGGGAGGCCGAGGCAGGCGGATCACGAGGTCAGGAGATCGAAACCATCCTGGCAAACACAGTGAAACCCCATCTCTACTAAAATACAAAAAATTAGCCAGGCGTGGTGGCGGGCGCCTGTAGTCCCAGCTACTCAGGAGGCTGAGGCAGGAGAATGGCCTGAACCTGGGAGGCAGAGCTTGCAGTGAGCCGAGATTGCGCCACTGCACTCCAGCCTGGGTGACAGAGAGAGACTCCGTCTCAAAAAAAAAAAAGAAAAGAAAATGGAGACAAAAAGTAGAGACAATTCTTGAAATATTTAAGTGACTAGAATGAGAGAAAAAGGTGATGGGGGTGGGGGGAATGTAAAGCCCAGGGAGAATATTAGTTTGTTATTTTCAGATAGGTGAGACTGAGAGGTGAAGCCAGCTGGACTTCTAGGTCAGGTGGGGACTTGGAGAACTTTTCTGTCTTACAAGAGGATTGTAAAATGCACCAATCAGCACTCTGAAGCTAGAATTGTAAAACGCACCAATCAGTGCTCTGTGGCTAGCTAGAAGTTTATAAAATGTACCACCAATACATTGTAAAACATACCAATCAGCTCTTTGTGGCTAGCTAGAGGTTTATAAAATAGACCAATCAGCACACTGTAAAATGGAACAATCAGTGCTCTGTAAAATGGACCAATCAGCACTCTATAAAATGGACCAATCAGCAGGACATGGACGGAGACAAGAGAATAAAAGCTAGCCACCCCAGCCAGCAGCAGCAACCGGCTCAGGTCCCCTTCCATGCTGAGGAAGGTTTGGTCTTTTGCTCTCCACAGTAAATCTTGCTGCTGCTCACTCTTTAGGTCCACACCATCTGGAGCCCTAACACCGCAAAGGTCCGTGGCTTCATTCTTTAAGTCAGAGACATCATGACCCCACCCGAAGGAACCAACTCTGGACACGAGACTAGACCATGTTTAGCAGCTGATGAGAAAGAGCCAGTAGAAAAGGAGAGGTTGAAGATGGGGTGCAGAGAGTAATAGGAGGGAAGGAGAAGAAATGAATACAGATAAAGGTAAGTCTGAAGGTTTGGTAGCAAAAATTGAAGGAATTCCAGATTGTAGCTTCTAAACATTTTTTTAACGGTGTAGAAATTGATATCTGTTCAGATTAAGTTATAAGGTTTAAAAAAAGACAGCATATATGAAGGGCCTAGCATGTAGTAGGTGCTTAATAAATAGTAGCTTTGTGTTACTTGCAGTTTTAGAAAGGTTTTGTATGATTATAGCATTAGTACAGTATAATGTGATTTGAGAACATTTAAAATATTTTCTTTGTAGGTCTGCCAAAGTGCTTGAAACTCAACTTTGAGAAAGTGGTTACATTGGACTAAAGCATTGTAAAATACTGCTTTATCTGTTTTATTTGTTCATATTTTGGTGAGATGCATTACTTTATTTTATTATTTCAATAGTTTTTGGAGTACAGGTGGTTTTTGGTAATGTGGTTAAGTCCTATAGTGGTGAATTCTGAGATCTTAGTGCACTCGTCACCCAAGCAGTGTACACTGTACCCAATATGTAATCTTTTATCCCTAACTCCCCTCCATGTCCTGCTCCCCTTGGCGTCCCCAAAGTGCATTACATTATTCCGTATGTCTTCATGTCCTCACAGCTTAGCTCCCACTTATAAGTGAGAACATAGGGCATTTGGTTTTCCCATTCCTGAGTTACTTCATTTAGAATAATGACCTCCAGCTCCATTCAGGTTGCTGCAAAAGACATTATTTTGTTCTTTTTTATGGCTGAGTAGTATTCCACGATGTATATATGCCACATTCTCTTTATTCACTTGGCACTTAGGTTGGTTTTACATCTTTGCAATTGCACATCTTGCTGAGGTATCCATGCATGTGTGTGTGTCTTTTTCATGTAATGACTTTTTTTCCATTAGGTAGATACCCAGTAGTGGGATTGCTGGATCAAATGCTAGATCTACTTTTAGTTCTTTAAGGAATCACCATACTGTTTTCCATAGTGGTTGTACTAAATTACATTCCCAACAGTAGTGTAGAAGTGTTCCCTTTTCACCACATTCACACCAATATATTGTTTTTTGACTTTTTAATTACGGCCATTTTAAAAACAAAAAAAAATAATTTTGGCCATTCTTTCTGGAGTAAGGTGGTATCTCACTGTGGTTTTAATTTGCGTTTCCCTGATGATTAGTGATGCTGAGCATTTTTCCATACATTTGTTGGCTGTTTGTATATCTTCCTTTGAGAAATGTCTATTCATGTCCTTTGACCACTTTTAGATGGGATTCTTTTTTTTTTCTTTAATGCAGTGTTTTAAAATGTAGCCAACTTCTTGTTTAGTTCCTAGTTAAATAAAACCCTTAAAAAGGGTTTTTTAAACTGACAAAAATTGTATATAATTATCATGTATAACATGTTTTGAAATATATAAACATGGAAGAGAATTAAATTGAGGTAATTAAGATATGCATTACCTCACACACTTATTTTTTTGAGATGAGAACACTTAAAATCTACTCTCTTAGCAATTTTCAAGAATGTAACACATTATTGTTTAAATCTCCTTTGATGCTTTCCTGCAGGTTCAGCCTTGCCCCAGTCCCTTCCTCTTCTGTTTTTTGAATTTGTGAAGGATTAGTGTTAATTCATGCTTAATGTTTGGGTAGAATTCACCAGTGAAGCCATCTGGTCCTGAACCTTTCTTTCTTGAGAGGTTTTTGGTTGCTGATTCAATCTCTTGGCTTACTCTATGTCTGTCAAGATTTTTATAGCTTCAAATCTTACGGTTAAGTCTTTAATCCATCCTGAGTTAATTTTTTGTATATGGTAAGAGATAAAGATCCAGTTTCATTCTTCTGCATATGACTAGCCATTTTTTCCAGTACCATTTATTGAATAGGGTGTCCCTTCCTCCATTTGTTGAAGTTGGTTGTAGGGGTGTGGCGTTATTTCAGGGTTCTCTATTCTGTTATTTTTGCTTAGTACTGCTTTGGCTATTTGGACTCTTTTTTGGTTCCATATGAATTTTAGAATTGTTTTTTCTAATTCTGTGGAAAATGATGTTGGTGGTTTGATAGAATTTCATTAAATCTGTAGATTGCTTTGGGCGGTATAGTCACTTTATCAATATTGATTCTTTCTACCCATGAGCATGGGATGTTTCTCCATTTGTTTGTGTCATTTACAATTACTTTTGTCTATATTTTGAGGTTCTCCTTGTAGATGTCTTTCACCTCCTTGGTTAAATGTATTTCTAGATATTGTATTTTTTTGTGGCCATTGTAAAGGGGATTGAGTTCTTGATTTGGTTCTTAGCTTGAGCATTGTTGGTGTATAGCAATACAATTGGTTTTTGTGCATTAATTTGGAACCTGAAACTTTACTGAAGTTGTTTATCAGGTCTAGAAGTCTTTTGGAGGAATCTTTGGTTTCCTAGTTTGGTATAAGTTTATGTCATTCGGCAAACAATGATAAATTGACTTCCTCTTTTTCTATTTGGGTACCTCCTTTTATTTCTTTGTCTTGCCTGATTGCCCTGGCTAGGACTTCCAGTACTATATTGAATAGGAGTGGTGAGAATGGATATCCTTGCCTTGTTCCAACTCTTAGGAGGAATCCTTTCAACTTTTCCCTGTTCAGTATGATGTTGGTTGTGGGTTTGTCATAGATGGCTCTTACTATTTTAAAGTTTGTTCCTTCAATGCCCAGTGTGTTGAGAGTTTTTCTTATGAAGGGATATTGGATTTTATCAAATGCTTTTTCTGCATTTATTGAGATGATCATATGGTTTTTGTTTTTAATTCTGTTTATGTGGTGAATCATTTATTGACTTGCATATGTTAAATCATCCTTGCGATCCCTGGAATAATTATCGTGATGAATAATTTTTTCATTTTATTTTATTCCTTTATTTTTTGAGACAGGGTCTCTCCCTATCCTGGGTTGGAGTGCAGTGGCCCAATCAGGGCTCACAGCAGCCTTGACTTTGTGGGCTTGAGTGCTTCTCTTGCTTTAGCCCCCCAACTAACTGGGACTACAGGCATGTGCCACCACATCCAGCTAATTTTTTTGAATTTTAGTAGAGATGAGGTCTCACTATGTTGTCCAGGCTGGTCTTGAACTCCTGAGCTCAAGCAATCCTTCTGCCTTTGACTCCCAAAGTGCTGGGATTACAGGCATAAGCCACCATGTCTGGCTATGATGAATGATCTTTTTGTGTGCTTCTAGATTTGCTTTGCTAGTCTTTTGTTGAGGATTTTGCATCTATGTTTATTACAGATACTGGTCCGCAGTTTTCTTTTTTTGTTGTGTCCTTGCCAGATTTTGGTATCAGAATGATACTGGTTTTATAAAGTGAGTTAGGGGAATCCCTCCTCTCTGATTTTGTGAATTGTTTCAGTAAGATTGGTACCAGCTCTTCTTTATATGTCTAGTAGAATTTGGCTGTGACTCCATCCGGTCCTGAGCTTTTTTTAGTTGGTAGATTTTTTGTTTTTTTTTTTTATTGATCATTCTTGGGTGTTTCTCGCAGAGGGGTATTTGGCAGGGTCATAGGACAATAGTGGAGGGAAGGTCAGCAGATAAACAAGTGAACAAAGGTCTCTGGTTTTCCTACGCAGAGGACCCTGCGGCCTTCCGCAGTGTTTGTGTCCCTGGGTACTTGAGATTAGGGAGTGGTGATGACTCTTAACGAGCATGCTGCCTTCAAGCATCTGTTTAACAAAGCACATCTTTCACCGCCCTTAATCCATTTAACCCTGAGTGGACACAGCACATGTTTCAGAGAGCACAGGGTTGGGGGTAAGGTCCCAGATCAACAGGATCCCAAGGCAGAAGAGTTTTTCCTAGTACAGAACAAAATGAAGAGTCTCCCATGTCTACCTCTTTCTACACAGACACGGCAACCATCCGATTTCTCAATCTTTTCCCCACCTTTCCCCCCTTTCTATTCCACAAAACCGCCATTGTCATCATGGCCCGTTCTCAATGAGCTGTTGGGCACACCTCCCAGACGGGGTGGTGGCCGGGCAGAGGGGCTCCTCACTTCCCAGTAGGGGCGGCCAGGCAGAGGTGCCCCTCACCTCCCGGACGGGGCGGCTGGCCGGGCGGGGGGCTGACCCCCCCACCTCCCTCCCGGACGGGGTGGCTGGCCAGGCGGGGGGCTGACCCCCCCACCTCCCTCCTGGACGGGGCGGCTGGCCGGGCAGAGGGACTCCTCACTTCCCAGTAGGGGCGGCCGGGCAGAGGCGCCCCTCACCTCCCGGACGGGGTGGCTGGCCGGGCGGGGGGCTGACCCCCCCCCCTCCCTCCCGGACGGGGCGGCTGGCCGGGCAGAGGGGCTCCTCACTTCCCAGTAGGGGCGGCCGGGCAGAGGCGCCCCTCACCTCCCGGACAGGGCGGCTGGCCGGGCAGGGGGCTGACCCCCCACCTCCCTCCCGGACGGGGCGGCTGGCCTGGCGGGGGCTGACCCCCACCTCCCTCCCGGACGGGGTGGCTGCCGGGCGGAGACGCTCTTCACTTCCCAGACGGGGTGGCTGCCGGGCGGAGGGGCTCCTCACTTCTCAGACGGGGTGGTTGCCAGGCAGAGGGTCTCCTCACTTCTCAGATGGGGCGGCCGGGCAGAGACGCTCCTCACCTCCCAGACGGGGTCACGGCCGGGCAGAGGCGCTCCTCACATCCCAGACGGGGCAGCGGGGCAGAGGTGCTCCCCACATCTCAGACGATGGGCGGCCGGGCAGAGACGCTCCTCACTTCCTAGATGGGATGGCGGCCGGGCAGAGGCGCTCCTCACTTCCTAGATGGGATGGCGGCCGGGCAGAGACGCTCCTCACTTTCCAGACTGGGCGCCAGGCAGAGGGGCTCCTCACATCCCAGACGATGGGTGGCCAGGCAGAGACGCTCCTCACTTCCCAGACGGGGTGGCGGCTGGGCAGAGGCTGCAATCTTGGCACTTTGGGAGGCCAAGGCAGGCGGCTGGGAGGTGGAGGTTGTAGCGAGCCGAGATCATGCCACTGCACTCCAGCCTGGGCACCATTGAGCACTGAGTGAATGAGACTCCGTCTGCAATCCCGGCACCTCGGGAGGCCGAGGCTGGCGGATCACTCGCGGTTAGGAGCTGGAGACCAGCCCGGCCAACACAGTGAAACCCCGTCTCCACCAAAAAAAAATATGAAAACCAGTCAGGCGTGGTGGCGCGCGCCTGCAATGGCAGGCACTCGGCAGGCTGAGGCAGGAGAATCAGGCAGGGAGGTTGTAGTGAGCCGAGATGGCAGCAGTACAGTCCAGCTTCGGCTCGGCATCAGAGGGAGACCGTGGAAAGAGAGGGAGAGGGAGACCGTGGGGAGAGGGAGAGGGAGAGGGAGAGGGAGACCATGGGGAGAGGGAGAGGCAGAGGGACAGGGACAGGGACAGGGACAGCTAGTTGGTAGATTTTTTTATTACTGATTCAATTTCATAACTTGTTACTGGTCTGTTCAGGATTTCAACTTCTGGATCAATCTTGGGGGCTGTATGTTTCCAGGAATTTATCCATGTCCTCTAGGTTTTCTAGTTTGTGTGCATAAAGATGTTCATAGGAGTCTCTGAGGATCTTTAGTATTTCTGTGGTTTCAGTTATAATGTCATCTTTGCAATTTCTGACTGTGCTTATTTGGATCTTCTTTCCTGATTTCTTGGTTAATGTAGCTAGTGGTCTATCAATTTTGTTTATTCTTTCAAAGAATCAACTGTTCATTTTATTGACCTTTTATATGATATTTTTTGTGTCAGTTTCATTTAGTTCTGCTCTTATCTTTGTGATTTCTTCTGCTGGCTTGGGGTTTGGTTTGTTCCTATTTTTCTACTTCCTTGAAGTGCAACATTAAGTTGTTAATTTGAAGTCTTTTTGTCTTTTTGATGTAGGCATTTGGCACTATAAACTTCCCTCTTAACACTTTCTTCTCTTTTTTTTTGCTGTATCCCAGAGGTTTTGGTATGTTGTGTCTCTGTTTTCACTTGTTTCCAAAAAAAAATGTTTATTTCTGCCTTAATTTCATTGTTTAGCTAGAAGTTGTTCAGGAACAAGTTGTTTAGTTTTTATGTACCCATGTGGTTTTGAGAGTTCTTCTTGGTATTGATTTCTAATTTTATTCCACTGTGGTCTGAGAAGGTGCTTAATATAATTTTGATTTTTCAAAAATTATTGAGACTTTTTTTAATGACCAAGCATATGGCAAATTTTAGAGAATGTTTTGTGCACAAATGAGAAAAATGTATATTCTGCAGTTGTTGAGTGGGATGTTCTGTAAATGTCTATTAGGTCTATTTCCTCAAGAGTCCAATTTAAGTCCAGAGTTTGTTAGTTTTCTGCCTCAGTGATCTGTCAGTGGGATGTTGAAGTCACCCACTATTATTGTATGGCTGTCTATCTCATTTCTTAGGTCTAGTAGTATTTGTTTTATAAATCTGCATGCTCCAGTGTTGGGTGCATACACATTTAGGATAGTTAAATTTTCTTGTTGAATTGAACCTTTATCATTATGTAATGTTCTTTTGCATATTTTTAACTGTTGGTTTAAAGCTGATTTTATCTGATACAAGACTAGCAACTCCTGTGCTTTTGTTTTCCATTTCCATGATATGTCTTCTTCCACCCTTTTACTTTGAGCCTGTGGATGTCATTACACTTTAGGTGGATCTCTTGCAGGCAGCAAATGATTAGGTGTTGTTTTTTCATCCAATTTGCCAATCTGTATCTTTTAAGTGGAGCATTTATAGGTTGTTTACATTCAATCTTAATATCAATGTGTGAGATTTTGTTACTGTCATGGTGTTGTTATCGTTTTGTAGTCTTAATTTTGTAATTGCTTTATAGGTTCTATGAACTTTGTACTTATATGTGCTTTTACGGTAGCCAGTATTGTCCTTCTGTTTCCACGTTTAGAATGCCCTTGAGCATATCTTGTAAATCCGGTCTGGTGGTGAAGAATTTCCTTAGCATTTGATTATCTGGGAAATAATTTCTTCTTTGTTTATAAAGTTTAGTTTGACAGGATATTACATTTTTGGCTGGCATTTGTTTTCTTTTAAAAGGCTAAAAATAGGCTCCCAATCTTTTCTGCTTGTACGGCTTCTGTGGAGAAGTCCACAGTTAGTCTGTTAAAGGCAGCTAGGGCAAAGGACCAAATGTGAGTGTCATTACACACTAGTTGGGTGTCCTGGAGGCAGCAGACGATTGGCTCTTGTTTTTTCATCCAATTTGCCAATCTGTATCTTTTAAGTGGAGAATTTAGGCTGTTTACATTCAGGGTTAATCTTGCAATGACACCATATTTGGCCCTTTTCTCTAGCTGCCTTTAAAATTTTTTATTTAATGTTGACCTTGGCCTTGGTGATTTTCATCTTTTATGGTATCTTGCAGGTGTTCTCTGAATTTCTTACATCTGGATGTCTACCTCTCTATCAAGAGTAGGGAAATTTTCCTGAATTATTCCTTCAAATTTGTTTTCCAAGTTGCTTACTTTTTCTTCTTTTCTTTCAGAAATGCCTGTAAGTCATAGGTTTGGTTGTTTTACATAATTCCATATTTCTTGAAGACTTCATTTATTTTTAAAATTCTTTTAATTTGAAAGCCTGTTCTTTGAGCTCTGAAATTCTTTTTTTCTGCTTGGTCGAGTTAGATAGTTTCTCAGGTCCTTTTCAGTTGTCATATTTTCTGAGCCTTTTATTTTAATCTATTTGCATTAGAAGAGTATTGATCATTAACATTTACAAAATATTTAAAAATTTTTGAATTCATATAATCCAAAACAGAAGGAAAAATATCTTGATCTTCTTAATATTAAAAATAATATGATTGATCAACAAAATGGCAAGGTCTCTTCACTGCACAGAAACAACAATACAAGCAGAAACTGTCAGAGCCAACTGTATCAGAATTCTGGAAAACAAAATTTTATAGCAAATAAGTAAAAGTGCTGAATCAGGAAAAAGGCAACTTTTAAATGGTGGGGAGGTTTTGTGGTGTTTTAACTTTTCCCTGCTTCAGCCCCTCCCTAGCTCAGCCATGGTCTTGAAGATGGCAGTTCACATTGCCAGTGAGGGACCCTGTTTCCTGATTCCAGAGGGAGCACAGAAGACCTTATTCACACATTATTGTGTTTGCCTATTCTAACCTATGTAAGGACTCACTGAATGACTGATATGAGGTGCCCTTGTGTGTTATACTTAACTCAGAACTCATCAGGTGGAAAAGCAGTAGGCACTGTCAAAAACATTGTAAGACAAATGAAAACCATACAGCAACCTGGGGCAAAAGACAAAATAGGCCACCTAAAGCCTGGGAGGAAAAGATAGGAAGAATGTCTTTGAAAAATTAGGACTTTCAAAAATGCCTGTGTATTTTGATGAATCTAGAAAAACATACACATGCTCAGAAAAGACCTGAGAGGACCCTAAGCTTTCACTCTGACTGATCTCTAGGTTCAGTACAAGCAAGAAGTGAAGGCTACGGCAGAGTTGTAAACAGCCTGGCTAAGTGTTGAAGGAGTGCCACTGCACAGAGATAATCTGCAAAGAATAGAAGTGGTTTTTAAATTTATTTGTTTGTTTTTAGCTACTGGCACTTAAGAAAATCTGTGTCAAAACACTAGTTAAACACAAGCTAAAGAAACATAGACTTTAGTCACTAAATATGACAAGGAATACAGTCTTTGCAAAAATAATCTGGAAAAGTCACTAAACAATGGCTGACTTCAGCCTTCAACAATAAAAAAATGACAAACTCTGGGAAAGGAAATATCTGATTTCCATAGTTACCACATGATAATAGTCAAATGTTGAGTTTTCAACAAAAACCAAAAGACATACAAAGAAATAGTAAGTCCAGGCATTGGATTTACTAGACAAAGAATTTTTGTCGACTGTCTTGAATATGCTCTAAGAATGAAAGGAAACCATGGACAAAGAACTAAAGGAAACTATTAAGTAAGAACAAAATGAGAATATCAGCAAAGAGATAGAAATTACAAAAAGAAACCAAATAGAAATTCTGGAGCTGAAAAGTGCAATAACAAATAGTATACTCACTAGAAAGATTCAATTTGATTAGGCAGATTTAATTAGGCAGAAGAATGAATCAGTGAACTTGAAGATAGGATTACTGACATCACCCAAGTCTGAGGAGAGTAGAAAGGAAAAAAAGAAGAGGTGAACAGAGCCTAAGGGACCCATGGGACATCATTAAGTGTACCAACATATGTATTTTTGGAGTCCCAGCATATAAGAGAAGTAGGTAGACTATTTGAAAAAATAATATCTGCAGGTGCCCAGAATTTGATGAAAGACATGAATCTTCATGTCCTAGAAGCTCAATAACTCTAACCAAGATAAACTCAAAGAGATCTGCACTGAGACATGTTATAATCCAATTGTTGAAAGGAAAAGACAAAGAGAAAATCTTAAAAGCAGCAAGGGAGAAGTGACTCATTATATACAAGGGATTCTAACTAAGGTTATCAGGTATTTCTCCTCAGAAAACATGGAGCCAGAAGGCAATGGGCTGACATATTTAAATGCTGAAAGTAAACAAAAACTGCACCTATAATTTTATATTCAACAGAACTATTCTTTGAAAGTAAAGGAGAAATTAAGACATTCACTGATAAACAAAACCTGAGGGAGTTTACCAGTAGACCTGAGTTATAAGAAATACTGGGAATTCTTCCAGCTGAAATAAAAGGACACTAGACAGTAACTCAAAGCTGTATGGAAAACATGTTGATCTGTAGTAAGGGTAACTGTATAGGTAGATATAAAAGTCAGCATTATTTTATTTTTAGTTTCTAACTCTATTTTTATTTCTTACATAATAAAAGACAAATGCATTTAAAATCAGTTATTAGTTACACAACGTATAAAGATATAATTTGTGACAACAACAACATAAAGGGACAGAGACAGAGCTGTATAGGAGCAGGGTTTTTGTATGTTATTGAAGTTAAGTTGGTATCAATTCAAACAAGATTGCTACAAATTTAAGATGTTAAGTATTATCCCTCTTATAGCCACTAAGAAAATATCCAGAAAGTATACACAAAAGGAAATGAGACAGGAATCAATATTGTTCACTACAAAAAAATCAGCTAAACACAAAATGAGACAGGAATAGAGGAAATGAGAGACAAAGGTATATAAAGCATACAGAAAACAAACAAAAAAAGAGGCAGAAGTAAATCCTTCTTTATCAGTAATTAATTTACATGTAAATGAGTTAAATTCTCCAACCACAAAGCAGAGGTTTGTAGAATGAATGAATACAACTAAACAGGACTAAACTATATGGTATCTAAAAGAGGTTCACTTTAGATCCAAAGACACAAATAGGTTGAAAGTGAAAAAAAGATGAAAAAATATGAGGCAAGGGGATGTTCAAAGAAATAAAATAACATGTCCAAAGACACAATCCTAAGTGATGGTAGAGACAACATGATAATCTACAGTTTCTGATTTCCAGTCTATTACTGTTTCTGCCATCTAATTTTAAACTCCCTTATTTTCCTACAATGGGTTTTCCCTTCCCCAATTTTTATTCATAGTATAAACATAATATAAGGAAAAATTTACAATCATCCCCTTGCCTCAATAGAAATATTTCTCTTTAGTTTATTTTAGTCCTTGCTTATATGGATACATTATTGCAAATCAAATTATACTGCTTATATTGCAATGCTGCCTTTCCATCAAGTACACATTATTTTGTCACTACTTAATCATTTTTAATGTTTACATAATACTCCATTGAGTTTACATGTTATTATATACTGCACCAATCCCTAATTATTAGAAATTAGGTTTTCCTAGTTTTAAAAATAATACAACTGTATGGATCATTTTTAACAGTCTGACTTCTTTTAAAAAATAATTTCTTAGGATTAAACTCCTGGAGAAGGGTTAAATCATGATCTTTAATATGCTTTTCCAAGTTATTTTCTAATTAGGTTATATTTAACCTTTCCATTATTATAAATCTACCACCCCTGACCATAAGAATAAGGTTTAAGACTCCTAAACATATTTTAATATTTAATAATGGCCACAATATAGCAGAATAGAAATTTTTTTAAAATGCAGAGAAAACAACTCATTTCATTTTTGCATTTTCACTGTTGACCTTTGTACATATGATCATCCTTTTAAACTTTCACTCATAGATAATGATAGTGACTAATTCTTTTAGATAGAATAACTGTAATTAGTTTCATATACATATTAGCAGGCATTATAGCAAAACTTATCCAGAATAGAGTTAAAAGAATATTGTTGAATCTCTAATAGTATTCTGATTTTTCAATTTAAATTCCTGATTAAAATAGCAATTTCAAAATTAGAACAGTAAGATAATTCAGAACAATATATAAACAGTATGAAATGTTAATTCATCTGTATCTCAGCTTATTATTTTAGATAGCTAAATTTATCTGTAATTTCATGGCAAAACTAAAAAGTTATGCCTAAATGTTGGACTTTTTGGACTATTTCATAAAAAATTAATTTTCCAGATAACCAAATTTTATGCCTTTAAGTACATACTTTTATTTTGGCATTTTTGAGGACATTTTACTCTTAAGCAAAGTATATTGAACACTTTCTCTGCCTTAATAAAAAAGTATTCTGAACAGAAGTTGATCTTTCCTTGACTCAGGACCTTGTCATCATTTTAAACAATGTGTTGTGTGGGATTATAATGGTACCTGGAGAGCTAATAATAGTACCTGAAGCTAGTAAGATGTAAAGGCTTTTTACAACCATGCTAAGCGGTTCCAGTATGCTGTACTTTTGGGGAGTATTTGTTAATATTCTTATTTATGTTTTCTCCCCATCATGTAATGCGTCTACCTCCAATTACCTCTCTGTTGTCTGTTTCAAAAATGGGCTGGGCTAGGAAACCCAGATAACAGAGTGAGAGTTACGTATGAAATTAAAAGCAAATGGGTTTTTATCTTTGGTAGAGTTCTCTTAAAAATTTTTTTTATAAAACCATTCCTATCTGTTAGTCACTGCTCATGATTAGGTATAGAGCCAGACCTCAGGCCATCTCTCCTTCCTCACAACATGGATAACCATGTGTACTGCTCAGAGTTCTGCCCACTGAGAGAATTTCTCTTCACCACTGCCTTTCAGAGCCACCTGGGAGGAGGATTTGTGGTAGTCTTCTAAGGCTGCCATAATAACGTACCACAAACTGGGTGGCTTAGATAACAGCAAGGTATTATTTCACAGTTCTGGAGACAGGAAGTCCAAAATGAAGGTGTGGGCAGGGTTGATCTCTTCTGAGGGCTATGAAGGAAGGATCTGTTCCATGCCTCTTCCTGAGCTCCTCTGTGCTAGCTTCTTGGGGGTTGCTGGCAAGCTTTGGCATTCCTTGGTTTATAGAAACATCACCCTGATCTCTGCCTTCATCTTCACATGGCATCCTCCCTGTGTGTGTGTGTGTGTCCAAATTTCCCCTTTTCATAAGGACACCAGTCATTTTGGATTAGGGCCCACTCTAACGACCCAATTTTAACTTGTTTATCTCTGTAAAGATCCTATCTCCAAATAAGGTCACATTCTGAGGCACTGGGGTTTAGGAATCTGCAATATCTCTTTTGAGGGACACAGTTCAACCCACAACAGGACAGTGGCTGCCTACTTCTGGCTGGTGCCGGTATACAGAGCTGTAAAGAAGAACTGTGTTTTTCTTCCTTCATTAGTGATCTTAGGGAACTCCCCAGCAAAGACAGAGGCAGGGCCATAGGGGAGGCTGAGCCACCTGCTCATGGAATTTCCTTAGGCATTTCAGACCTGCTTGGGCTGGGTCTAATGTAAATTGTTTCCATTTTGTCGGGGGACACTGCTATCCTTATCCAGTTTTATGCTTTTTGGATCATAATCAGTTCGTTGTGGATGGTTCATGGTCAAGCCTTTAGTCACTGCCAGGGCCTGTCACAGGCCAGGCTCTGCCCTTCCAATGGAGGAAAGTGTGGGCAGAGGATGGTGTGGCTTTACTTCGAAGTTTGTGTGGTCTGCTGAGTGCTTCTTACTGTGTTTGCCAACCTCTGTGTAGCATCTCTGCCACCACAGACTCTTCCAATATCATCGGATCCACTGAGTCCTAAGGTACAAGAGTTAGGGCAGCTTGTACAGTACCCTGGACCTGCGACAGAATCCTTGCTTATTCAAAATGGGCAACATTACTTTTATGTATGTATGTATTTATTTATTTATTTTTGAGATGGCGCCTCACTCTGTCGCCCAAGCTGCAGTGCAATGGTGCAATCTCGGCTCACTGCAAGCTCCGCCTCCCGGGTTCATGCCATTCTCCTGCCTCAGCCTCCAGAGTAGCTGGGACTACAGGCACCTGCCACTACGCCCGGCTAATTTTTTGTATTTTTAGTAGAGACAGGGTTTCACCATGTTAGCCAGGATGGTCTCAATCTTCCGACCTCATGATCCACCCACCTCGGCCTCCCAAAGTGCTGGGATTACAGGCATGAGCCACCCTGCCCGGCCAACATTACTTTTATTTTTAAATTTTAAAGTAATTATAGGTTTGCATGAAGTTGCAAAGAAATGTACAGAGAAGTTCTGTGCATCTTTCCTCCAACCTCCCCCAATGTTGACATCTGGTGTAACTATAGTACAATATCAAGTTAAGAAATCGACATTGGTACAATCCACAGAGCTTATGCAGATTTCACCCATTATTTGAGTACTCATTTGATTGTGTGTCTCTATGTGTGTATGAGGGTGGGATGTATAGCTCTATGTATTTCTATCACATGTGTAGCTTCATGTAACCATTACCACAATCAAGATGCTTAACTCTGTTATCACTGCAAGATTCCCTCGTAATACCTCTTTACAGCCATATCTACCTTCTCCCCTCCCATATCCCTAACCCTTGCAACTACAAATCTGTTATCTTTATAATTTTATTATTTCACAAATGCTGTGTAAATGGAGCCATACAGTATGTATCCTCTTGAGGTTGGCTTTTTTTTTTTTTTCACTCAGCATAATTTCCTTGGGATTCATCCAAATTGTTGCATGTATCAACAGTTTGTTTCTTTTTGTTGTTGAGTAGTATTCCACAGTATGGATTCACCAGTTTGTTTAACCATTCTTTAGTTGAACAACATTTGGGTAGTTTCCAGGATTGAGCTATTACAAATAAAACTGCTATGAACATTTGGGTGCAGGTTTTTGTGTGAATATAAATGTTTTTTCATTTCTCTGAGGTAAATGCCCAAGACTGCAATTGTTGGGTTGTACTGTAGTTGCATGTTTAGTTTCATAAGAAACTACTACCAAACTATTTTCCAGAGGGGCTATACCATTTTACATTCCCACCAACAGTGTATAAGTGATCAGTTTCTCTACCTCCTGGCCAGCATTTGCTGCCACTATTTCTATTTTAGTCATTCTGCTGTGTGTGTAGTGATAGCTCATTGTGGTCTTAATTTCCATTTCCCTCTTGCCTAATGACAATAAACATCTTTTCTTTTTTCTTTGAGACAGGGTCTCAATCCATTGCGCCCAGGCTGGTATGCAGTCATGTTGTATCTGGAATTGGTGGGTTCTTGGTCTCACTGACTTCAAGAATGAAGCCGCAGACCCTCGTGGTGAGTGTTACAGTTCTTAAAGGTGGCGTGTCCAGGATTTGTTCCTTCTGACGTTCGGATGTGCTCGGAGTTTCTTCTTTCTGGTGGGTTTGTGGTCTCGCTGGCTCAGGAGTGAAGTTACACACCTTCGTGGTGAGTGTTACAGCTCTTTGGGCGGCGCATCTGGAGTTGTTCATTCCTCCTGGTGGGTTCGTGGTCTCACTGGCTTCAGGAGTGAAGCTGCAGACCTTTGCGGTGAGTGTTACAGCTCATAAAGGCAGTGTGGACCCAAAGAGGGAGCAGCAGCAAGATTTATTGCAAAGAGTGAAAGAACAAAGCTTCCACAGTGTGGAAGGGGACCTGAGCAGGTTGCCACTGCTGGCTCAGGCAGCCTGCTTTTATTCTCTTATTGGGCCACACCCACATCCTGCTGATTGGTCCATTTTACAGAGAGCTGATTGGTCCATTTTACAGAGCACTGATTGGTCTGTTTTGACAGGGTGCTGATTGGTGTATTTACAATCCCTGAGCTAGACACAAAAGTTCTCCACGTCCCCACTAGATTAGCTAGACACAGAGTGTCGACACAAAAGTTCTCCATGTGCCCACCAGAGTAGCTAGATACAGAGTGTTGATTGGTGCATTCACAAACCCTGAGCTAGACACAGGGTGCTGATTGGTGTGTTTACAAACCTTGAGCTAGTTACAGAGTGCCGATTGGTGTATTTACCATCCCTTATCTAGACATAAAGGTTCTCCGAGTCGCCACCAGACTCAGGAGCCCAGCTGTCTCCACCCAGTGGACCCCGCACCGGGGCTGCAGGTGGAGCTGCCTGCCAGTCCCGTGCCATGCGCCCGCACTCCTCAGCCCTTGGGTGGTCTATGGGACTGGGCGCCGTGGAGTAGGGGACGGCGCTCGTTGGGGAGGCTCGGGCCATGCAGGAACCCATGGTGTGTGGGGGAAGCTCAGGCATGGTGGGTTGCAGGTCCCGAGCCCTGCCCCACGGGGAGGCAGCTAAGGCCTGGCGAGAAATCGAGTGCAGCACCAGTGGGCCAGCACTGCTGGGGGACCCAGCACACCCTCCGCAGCCACTGGCCCGGGTGCTAAACCCCTCACTGCCTGGGACCGGCAGGGCTGGCTGGCCGCTCCGAGTGTGGGGCCCGCCAAGCCCATGCCCACCCAGAACTCCAGCTGGCCCACAAGCGCTGCCGCAGCCCCGGTTCCTGCTCGTGCCTCTCCCTCCACACCTCCCTGCAAGTTGAGGGAGCCAGCTCTGGCCTTGGCCAGCCCAGAAAGGGGCTCCCACAGTGCAGCGGTGGGCTGAAGCGCTCCTCAAGTGCCGCCAAAGTGGGAGCCCAGGCAGAGGAGGCTCCAAGAGCGAGCGAGGGCTGCGAGGGCTGCCAGCACGCTGTCACCTGTCAATGTGACCATGGCTCACTGCAGCCTCAACTTCCCGGGCTAAGGTGATCCCACCTCAGCTTCCTGAGGAGCTAGGATTATAGGTGCATGCCACCATACCCAGCTAATTGTATTTTTTATAGAGATGGGGTTTTGCTATGTTGCCCAGGCTGGTCTCAAACTCCTAGGCTCAAGTGATCTCTCACCTTGGTTTTCCAAAGTGGTGGGATTACAGGTGTGAACCACTGTGCCCGGCCATGGACATCTTTTCATGTGTTTATTTTACCCCTTTGTGTCCTCTTTGGTGAAGTGTCACTTGGATTGTTTTTTTTTTTTAATGTTGAATTTTGAAAGTTTTTAATATATTTTTAGGCGCAAATTTTTGGTCAAATATGAGATTTTGAAATTTTTTTCCAGCCCATAATTGTCTTTTCATTATCTTAATAGGGTTTTAAATATTGCTTTACATTTTGATGAAGTCCAATTTTTCAATTTTTTTCTTTTATAGATGTGTTTTTGGTGTTAAGTCTAAGAACTCTCTGCCTAGTTCTTTTAGAGTTTTACATTTTCCATTTAGGTCCATGATTCATTATGAGTTCATTTGTGTAATGTATAGGATTTTATCAAAGTTTTTGTTTTCCCCCAACATGGATGTCCAGTTGCTTCAGCATCATTTATTAAAAAGGCTCTCCTTCTTCATTTGAAATGCTATTGCTATTTTGCTAAAGATTAATTTGGTACATTTCTGTACACCTATGTCTAGGTTCTTCATTGGTCTATGCAACTATCCTTCTCCAAGTACCACTCTTGATCACTATACTTACATAGTAAGCCTTGACACAGGGAGAAGTGATTCCTCCCACCCTATTCTTCTTTTCAAAATAGTTTTGACAATTCTTATCAGGGGAACCCACCCCTGATAATTCAACGTTATTTCACGTAGGTTCTTTTCTATTTCCTTAAGTGTCAGCTGGTCTGAGAAATAAAGGGAAAGAGTACAAAAGAGAGAAATTTTAAAGCTGGGTATCCAGAGGAGACACCACATGTTGGCAGGTTCCATGATGTCCCCCAATCTGCAAAACCAGAAAGTTTTTATTAGTGATTTTCAAAGGGGAGGGAGTGTACGAATAGGGTGTGGGTCACAGAGCTCACATGCTTCACAAGGTAATAAAATATTACAAGGCAAATGGAAGCAGGGTAAGATCACAGGACCGGGGCGAAATTAAAATTGCTAATGAAGTTTTGGGTATGCATTGTCTTTGGTAACATCTTATCAGGAGACAGGGTTTGAAAGCAGACAACCGGTCTGACCAAAATTTATTAGGTGGGAATTTCCTCGTCCTGATAGGCCTGGGAGCGCTACTGGAGACCGGGGCGTGCTATGGGAGACTGGGGCTTATTTCATCCCTTATCTGCAAGCGTAGAAGACAGACGTTCCCAGAGCGGCCATTTCAGAGACCTACCCCTAGGAACACATTCCCTCTCTCAGGGCTGTTCCTTGCTGAGAAAAAGAATTCAGCGATATTTCTCCTATTTGCTTTTGAAAGAAGAGAAATATGGCTCTGTTCCACCTGGCTCTCAGGCAGCCAGATCTAATGGTTATCTCTCTTGTTCCCTGAACATCACTATTATCCTGTTCTTTTTTCAAGGCGCCCAGATTTCATATTGTTTAAACAATTTGTGCAGTTAATGCAATCATCACAGGGTGCTGAGGCGACATACATCCTCAGCTTATGAAGATGATGAGATTAAGAGATTAAAGTAAAGACAGGCATAGGAAATCACAAGAATATTGATTGGGGAAGTGATAAATGTCCATTAAATCTTCACAATTTATGTTCAGAGATTGCAGTAAAGATAGGTGTAAGAAATTATAAAAGTATTAGTTTGGGGAACTAATAAATGTCCATGAAATCTTCACAATTTATGTTCTTCTGCCACGGCTTCAGCCAGTCCCTCCATTCAGGGTCCCTGATGTCCCGCAACAAATTCTAGAGTCAGTCCCTTCCACATAAGTTTTAGAATAAGCTTGTCTATGTCTACAAAAACAACCTTGCTGAAATTTTGATAGGAATTGTGTTAAATATATAGATCAATCTGGGGGGAACTGGCATCTTCACTAGGTAAGTCTTCCAATCCATGAACACAGTATGTCTCCCCAAGTACTTGCATGTCTTTGTTTTTTTCATCAGCAATTTGTAATTTTCATCATACAATCCTGTACCTAAGTATTTCATTATCTTTGGAGTGATTGTAAATAGTACTGAGTTTTTAATATTTGTTTTCCTGTTCATTGTTAGTATATAGAAATGGAATTGATTATTGTGTGTTGGTCTTATATCCTTTGACCTTACTACACTTGCTTATTAGTTCTAAGAGGATTTTGGAGGTTTATTTCTCAGAATTTTCTTCATAGGCAATCATGTCATGGAAAAGCCTTACTTTAACCCACTAAATAGATTGTAGCAGCATGTCCAACTGTCACATGGGTTGCCTTCAAGATGCAAAGAGGCCACCCTGCTTTGTGCTTTCCCCTTTATGGTGGCAGGAAAATTGTGTCTTACTTTAAACAAGATATTCCAATATACACCAGACCCTTGAACTCCTTGGAACTTCATTGATGTGATTGGCCACTGAGCTTTGGAGGAATTATTTCCAACTGCTGGCTGACGTGTCATAAGGCATCTAGGGTGCTTGCTACGTTCCACTCGCAAGTCCAATAGGCATTCTGTCACCAAAGCAGTGGACCTGCATGATGTCCTTTGGGATATCAAGATGATCAGGATACTTCTGGACCATAGTATTATAATGTTCTATAGTCCCTGCTACGTGAAGGTGAACTGCTTCTCATTTTTTTCTTTAACTAACGGAGAAGAGGGAAAATCCATTTGTTTCATCAACACAGCTAGGGAGCTAGGGGCTGTGTTCATCTGCTCCAGTAAAGATACCATCTGGAATTTCTGCAAGTGACATCACCATCTGATTGTGTGTGAAGATCTGCTGTTATCTTCCACAATTCATCAGGCTTTTTGCACCAGCCAAAGATAAAAACCATCATTGCATTTGGGGATGCAATGGGAACCACTGTGCCTGCATCTTTCAGGTCTGTGATGGTGGCACTAATCTCTGCAATTCCAGCGATGTGGTGTTGCTGTTAGTTTACTATCTCAGTGGGAGTTGCAATTATAGAGGCTTCCATTTAAACCTCCCTAGCTATACTTAAGACCCACTCTTGACAGGCAGTGGCATTTTAGGTATCTGTGGATTAGCATCACTCAGGAACAGTCTCTAACAACCCTTAGAAGATATGGGTATTCTCTTTTCCATAGTGCTCAGTGCTCAGTCACTCTGTTAAATGACTCTGGAGAAGACCTAGGGGAGATTCACACAATCTTGTTGCAGAGTCCTTCCTCAAAAAGACCTGGTCTGTTTTTTGGCCAAAGAACTTGTGATCTGTGGACTAGCTTAGGTCTAGGACCTGAGTAAGAGGATATAAATCATCATATTCAAGTAAGATTTCTGTTCCCCCAGACCCAGAATTTTCCTGCATGCACATGTTAAGCAACCTTTTAGTAGACTGCTTACTGGGTCACATTTTAGGATCCAGCAATTAATTAGCCATTGCCACAGATCTGTGCAGGCCAAAGCCCTTTGTTTACCACCCCATCCCTGTACTTATTGTGATAATTGTGCCCACTTGGTCTGTGATAGTAGAGCACTGCCATCTGGCCTCTGCTACTTCAGAATCTCACTATACCCACTGTGAGCAAAGAATGTAATTTCGTAATCTCTCACTAGTGTCATCACCTTGGAGAGCACAACCAAAGCAAAACTATTCAAGGATGCTGGCATCTCCCTCTTCAAGGTACCTTGGTGAAGGGAGTGTCTTCCAGGCCATCCCAAGGAATATGGTTGATGAAGAAGGGATGCTAAGCAGATTGCACAAAACAGATCCTTGTGAATCTTTGGATCTTTTATGTATCCTAGGGGAATTTTTCCTATCTCTGAATCTTTGGACCCTTTCCATGTGCCAGGAATCTTGTCATTACCCATAGACCAGTATTAAGCTTGCTCCTAACATTTGTGGTGACCAGGAAAAGGGTACAAATGGAGGGTCACATACATATATTTGTAAATCAGGATAAAAAACAAATAAAATGTTTTGTCCTTCTACCTTGAAAAATGTTACAGTTTAGAATGTTCATACTTAGGATTCTCAGAGAAACTTTGGAATTCCACTATGGAGCATGGTGGCACTGCTCCATGAGGAAGGGCCTGGGAGAGGAGCAGGTCTAAGGACAGCATTGGTCACTGTCGAGTTCAGGCTTCATTTAGAGAATCTCGCAGACTATTTGTGCCCCTCTCCAGTGCTTAAGCCATCATATTAATTCCTGAACTTGAGTGAGTGCACTCAAGTTAATGAATTCAGCTGCTTCCAGGGATGTATTAGGACCAGTGGATCCCAAGGTCATGTGTCCATTGTCACACCTCCTTTATCATAAAATGGGTACCTTAGTCCAGGGTGATGTTATATAGGATACCCTTTTATAAAGCAGGCATGTGTAAGCCCTCAGATGGTAATGCTGGATAGAAAACAAAAATGGATACAGTGGATACATTGCATAGAGAAGAAAAAAAATACAATGGATAGAGAAGAAAAACCCATATCCAAAGAAGATGCCAGTCCCAGGAGGGATGAATCACTGCTTCCTGCATGATGGAGGGGTTTCATGTGATTAGCTGGCTGCTCTATTCAAGAGATGGCACCCTACTGGTGGCTCAGGTCCAGTCTATGTAGCTCTATAATCACTCAGTCAGTAGTGGCAATAATTAGATCAACTTTGGTAAGAGAAAGCTTATGTTTTTGGGCTAAAACATGGTCTCACCCCTGCCACTATGGTTTACTCCATTCTTGGAATCATTTTATAAGCACTGAGGTAGCCAAAGACAGAGGCTAGCTGACATCCACTGGATGTACCATCTTATTCACTGGTTTTTCAGTATCTCCTCTGAAGTGGATACTCTCAGGTAGACATTGATGGACAGACATAGTTCCACAAGCTTATGCCCACCCTCACAGGTCATCTATATGTCTCTTTCCCACATCTCCTAGTCTCTACTCTTGCTCCTTTTAGTTCATTTGTCATTACACAGGAGTCCATGTATATCCTTACTTCAGGTTATTACTCCCTCCTTATAAAATTGATGATTAAGTGTTCTTAAAGCTCCACCTGTAAGATTTCTCCTCCCCACTGCACCACCCGATATTGTACTTTAGACACAACAGATGTTCTGCAGCAGTAGCAGCAGTAGTCCTTATTGGCTCATGCCAGCATGCTAGCCTGACCCATTCATGAATTAGACCCAGGTGTTTTCTTCCTCCTTTATCTGGTCATAGGGAAAATTTACAAGGTTTGAGCTAAGGTGTTGATGCAATGAATGGGGGAGGCTTGGAGGTTTGGGTCACCTGTTTATGTAGCTTTTTTGTGCCCAGGGTATTCATGAATATGATCGTCTCCTGCATCTTGGTGAGGTTTATCTCTTACCCTCTAGCACAATTCCTGAAAATTTTCTGCTTCTTGTTCACCATATCTAATTAATATGATGTTTTATCATTATGGTGGATGAGCACAATATTCTGTGCAATGTAAAAATGATCAAAGTCCCTGTGGACTATATTGTAACAGAGAACAAGAGAGCTAACATAGCCCTGGGGTGAGAGGATAAATTTGTATCTCTGTCCTTTCCATATGTATTATCTTCATTTGTCCTTCTTTATTGATGGAGATTTTAAAAATTACATTTGCCCAAACATTAGATCTGTTGTAATAAACATGTAGCAGCTGGCATGGCAGCTGTAATTGGAGCTACCACTTGGTTAAGTTTTCAGTAGTACATCATTATCCTCCACCATCTGTTTATGTTTTGCAGGAACCATACGAGTGAATTGAATGGGGAGGTGCGATGGGAATTATCACCCCAACATCCTTTAAATTTTCTAGAGTGACTCAGCAAATGCTCAAAGATTCATTATTTCTATTGATTTGCCATCTTGGTTGTTGAGGGAGGGTGCTAACTTAGGAGCTTTCGCTTGCCCTTCCTGTATAATGACGCTAATGCCCCAGGTCAGGAAAACAATGTGAGGACTAAGAGTTGCTAAGAAAATCCATGTCAATTATATACTCAACATTGGGGAAATCACCAGAAGGGGATGTTATGGACCCTTTAGAACCACGGCGAGATAGACTTGAGCAAGGACTCAATTTATCACCGTGCAGGGCCAGGACTAGGGTGAGGCAAATGAGCACCTAGCATGCAAGTTTTAAGGAAATACTCACAAGTGCCAAACCTGCACTTGCACAACCCTGAGAGTGAGTGCTTCCTCAAATGTTGTGACCTCAGCACCTTGTTTGTCTCACCCTAGTCCTGGTCCTATATTCAAGTATAAAGGTACTGCACATCCCAGTACCTCCTCTGCCTCTTTTTTTTTTTTTTTTTTTGAGACGGAGTCTCGCTCTGTCGCCCAGGCCGGACTGCGGACTGCAGCGGCGCAATCTCGGCTCACTGCAAGCTCCGCTTCCCGGGTTCACGCCATTCTCCTGCCTCAGCCTCCCGAGTAGCTGGGACTACAGGCGCCCGCCACCGCGCCCGGCTAATTTTTTGTATTTTTAGTAGAGACGGGGTTTCACCTTGTTAGCCAGGATGGTCTCGATCTCCTGACCTCATGATCCACTCGCCTCGGCCTCCCAAAGTGCTGGGATTACAGGCGTGAGCCACCGCGCCCGGCCCTTCCTCTGCCTCTTATATCTCATCCAAACCATAGAAGAGTCAATAATCCAAGAAAGCAGTGATAAGAGAGTTTGGAGAGTAAGACTGCAAGTGAAGGAGTATTTCTGAGTTGTTATCTCTGTGGGGAACTGAGGTTTAATAACCCTGAGAAATCATGAATTATGTACCTCGGAATTATCCCATTTGTGGAGGGGAAACTCCCTTGCAATAAGAGGCTGTGCATTCCAGCAGGCTGAGCATGTTCTTATGGTTCTGGAGAAAGCTCTGAGGCCGAAGAATGGTGAGTGTTTCAGATGGGAAGCCATCAGTGTGCCTGGGACTGTCCTGCACAGCTGTGGCTGACATTAGAGCTGGGCTGAGAAGATATGGCATGGAGTACCAACAACACCTTCTAATCTACTCTGTGTCATTACTAGTAATAACTTGAGTACTTATGATGCCACCATATGCCATGGATTAACTGCTTTCTCATTTCTCCCAGGCAAGGAGTGTACATCCTTGCACTTCTCAAATATGTGAGCAATCCAATTCTAGAATCACATTCTGAGGGTCTGTTCTTTGGGGCCACTTTCTGTAAAACTTAGGAAAACAGATGACCTTCCCAAATTAGGCGATTTAAAGAGAGTTAATAAAGATACTTTTTACAAAGTTATGGAGAGGGATACCACAAAGAAGAGTGTGGTATCTTATGGTGAATAACAGCAGAGATATCATTACTTCCTTTAACTACATGGAGGGAGGAGAAGGAGCCTTTACCAGAACCTGGAGACAGAACTGTGTGGAGAGGACCAACTAATAGATCCGCCTAATAGGAGCTGCCCCCTTAGATAGAGAAGAGCAGCTAGCCAGCTATGATTCTTCCAGAGGGAAGCCAGGGGTGTAAGTACCTGGCCTCACTCTCCATCTCTCTGATCTCCTGTGCCCACTGGTTAACTGCCTGAGAGCAAGGGAGCCCACTGATGCTGCCTGTCCAGAGAGCAAGGGAGCCCACTGATGCTGCTTATCCAGGTCAGCCTCCTGGGTCGCTCATTTCTAGGGTGGAGACAGGCAGATAGTAGGCCTGAAGAGATAAATCCAGTACACATTGCTTAAAAGGAAACAAAATAGCTTTAAAAGAACCAGTCTAGAACTGGCTCCTCGGTGAGAGTATATCCCACTGAAGAAGGAATTCATGAATTTTACACTATGTAAAGCCAGAAAATTAACTTTCCCCTCAGGGCTTAGTGTAGTGTAGCATCCCCCACCCCCCCACCATATTCTAAGTTAGAGAAGAATACTAACTGCCTATTTTTCCTTCTGTGCTCAGTGAGCCTTATCTGTTCTCACTGGTTTCACATTCCTTGAGGCTCAGCAAGTTCTTGCTTACCTCCCCAGCACAGCTGCAAGGTCATAAGATTGATAAGTATATGTTACAGAACCATGTATTCCCAAGAATGTAAGACGTGAAATAACAACTGCCTTTGTTCTCGCTTCTGTAAGTATGCTTCCTGCATCATGTAGCTCTGGGCCACTGACTGCTTAAAAGGTGGCTGCTTTCTTTGTCCAGGGCTCAGACTTTCCTGGACGCTAGTCCACCTGAGCCAGATGATCACCTTTTAATAAAGGACTCTCCTGAACTCTGTTCATTCTCTCCCATCTTTGATTGTCCCACAACACCACAACTCATGGTCCAGTCATCTGGCCCATTTTGTTTCGGTGTCATCCTTTCTGGTGTGTAGGACAAGGATCTTTGGGGGAGTGGCATATTTGCCTACTCTTTATTTCAGAGTTGTCTATGTGAGTAATAAACTGTCTGAATCTGAAAGTAGCTCACTGTATTTTTACTCGCTGAATCATGCTTTGCCTTCCCTTGTATGCGCTTGACATAGAATACTACTTCCTTCTCCAAAATCTGTAGGTCCAAGTTCTAAGCAATTGCTGTGATTCTGTTGTGTTTAATATTCCATATGTAAACTCCAGATTATCACATTTGTATTACTTATCTATGTTACATGGAATTTAATTTGGAGAGCTTGGCTGGGCCCGGTGGCTCACGCCTGTAGTCCCAGCACTTTGGGAGGCTGAGGCGAGAGGATCACTTTAGCCCAGGAGTTCAAGACCAGCCTGGGTAACACAGCAAGATCCTGTCTCAAAACAAAAATTTGGAGAGCTCCCGGTAATCGAGTGCTGAGTCTATGTCAAAGACGTGAAGACACGGAGAGCTCTTCTCCATGAGCAGCTGACATTGCTATGTCAGAGGAGGGCAGATGGACTTTCTGGTCAGGGTCACCAAGACGGCATGTGAAGGAGGTGCCAACCAGTGGACTTTGGGCTTCACTTTCAGTCATAGAAACGTCCTCTCTGCCCAGGATCCATAGGAACTGTGACAGTGTGGTGTTGAAAATCAACATGTCCTTCAAAAAAGCCTAAAATGTGACAACTTAGAAACACAAGAGGATGCCCTAACCCACCAGCAAATAAGAAAAAAAAAAATTGAAAGCATCTGCGTGAAATCTCTCAGAATCTTAGTGTGTTAAAATCAGAGGAGATCTACGAGCTAAACTAATGCAAGCCCCCCATTTTACAGATCATAAAACTGAGGCCAAGGGAGGGGAGGACCTTGCTCATGGTCACCCTGCATGCTGGTGGCACATCCAGGACTAGCCCCAAGCCCACCCACAACCCTCCCCACTCTTTGGACGAAGGGCATCACACTTCCCTTTTCTCATTCTTGCTGCTCCTAAGTGCTTATCTGTTGGATTTTACATGTGTATTCCATTAGATCTAGTCCTCCTACCATTGCCCTGGTTAAAGCTGTTTTTTTTTTTTTTTTTTTTTTTTGCCACGATGTTGATGATGGCGATGACAATATTAATAATAGCAGCAGCTAACCCTGATTGAGCCCTTCCCACTCTTCAAGCCCTATTCTAGGCTTTACAAGTATGAACACTTTAAAATCAAACAGCCCTTTGGGGAAGGAATTAGTATCACTCTAGTTTTATAAATGAGGAAGCTGAGGCACAAAGAGGTAAAGCAATTTTCTCTCTCAGTGTCAAGAGTGGTAAGTATTGGAGCCATAATTTAAGTCAGGCCGTCTGACTTCAGAGTTTATGCTCTCAAAGACTTTATTAAACTGCCTTTAATGTATATTAACATAATGGTTAACATTATTACACCATTTACAGATCAAGGAACTGCATCCTGATGAGATTAAGCAAGGTCACAAGGCTAGTAACAAGCAAAATTAGATCTCAAACCCGAGTGTCTGACTCCAAAGCCCATGCTCTTAAACACTAGGTGTGCCTCTTTCTTGTCATAATAACTTCCTCACCTTAGACTTGCTAAAAATAAATCTCCAACAGAGAGCTAAAAAAGCTGTATTTCTAACTAGCACACAAGTTTAAAAATCACTATCAGTGGTCAAAGTTAAGGTACTTTGGAATCAAACAGTATAGAGCGTGGGATCCTGGGCCTATCACGTAACCTCTTTAAGCCTCATTTCTCTAACACAGGGATAGTAATTATGTGTAATGAGAGCTCGCATGTGTTAACTGCTTACTGCTACCCAAGCCCAGTGCTTCATGGGCATGACCACGTTTGATTGAAGTACCCATCTCATCAGGTTGTAGTGAGAGTTAAGTGGGTAACACAAGCAACTTGCTGCCACAGTATCTGCAGCCAGTAGACACCCAAGAAGTGTCGACTGGCTACTGTGAGGACTCTTGGCCCTTTTTGTGTTCACCTCCCTTCTGGGTAGGAAGCTTCCTACACCTATGATGTGTGTCTTACTGATTTTTGTGTCTCTCCAGAGTCTGCCTCGTAGCTGGTCTCCAATCAGTCTGTATAAATCTGTTGACATGAATGTCAAAGTGCATCCTCTGCTAGGCTTTGTGACCCCTGAGGGTTTTCAGGCTGACATGAGCCTCTTGCCAGATTTGTTCACACTGTTCCCAAATTCTCCCCTGAATAGTAGCAATACATACATATTGTACATACATACAACACACACATACGTACATTCAGTGATGATGTTTCTGCTTTAGGGTTAAGGGGCAGTGTGGGTTGATTTTTGAAGGTTTTGCAGATAAGAATGGACAATTTGGGCGGCTTGGACAAACCACTGTCACAATATCATATAAAGGAGGCTGAGATGATCGTGGCCAAGGTTCCAGAGAGTGCTTAGATGGGAGACCTCCCTGGCTTAGTCACCTGCATTTGATTTCTCACAGAGGCTCATCTTGCTATGGGAGTGCTTCTCTTGCTGTCACCTATAAAATGGGGTAACCATTGCCTTCCACATCAAGGGGTGGCTTGAAGACCAAACCAAATGATCGCATGCTCATGGAGGCTTTTGTCAACCATTAAGCTCTGCATCAGCGCAAGACGTGGGTCAGATGGGGGTTTTAGTTCTCAGGAAGGAGGTGGTTTCTTCCCACTGTGGAGGCTTCCTCTCCCAGGACTCAGGGCCGCACCTTCTCTAGGTTCTCTCCTCCTGCTTCTCTGTCATTCAGCTTAAGCCGGGCTGAGCAACTTAACTTGCTTCTGAATCTTTTCAGACCCATGTTCCTTATCCTTGCCCCCTGCTTGCAGATTCTTAGCTAAGCTTTTAACTTTTCTACCTCAGTCTTTCTGGTGTTCCGGATTCTACTCCAGCAGCGCCCTGCATCCTCTGGTAAGTTTCATTTGGCAATCTTGGGCAGGGACCACTGCCTGAGCATGCAGCCATCTTGGGGCAGGAGTCTATTCTTGTCTTCCTTTATTAAAAACATGCGTGCCAAAAACATGCATGCCACTCACCTCCTGGAGCATTCTGTCACATGTCTTGTCTCAGGCCAACAAAATCCCACCCTTCATAAGAATTTGATTTCTTTTCTGACCTCATGTCATTCCATAAACATGATTTTCTGGTCCCTTGGGGACCCTCTGAATATCTCCAGCTAGGGGGGATCTAACCCAAACTACTGGAAAACACAGCCTGCTGCTGACACTAAGAGCTACTTCTCAGGAAGCTGCAAGTGACACATATGTGCAACACCTCAGTGAAGTCCCTGGCAGGTCACACAGGAGAGCTCTGCTCCCTGCCACTTCACTTCCAAGCCCCGGGAAAGTGTTTGAGGAGCAGGGACTGTCTGAGCCCAAGCTAAGCCATCATATCCCCTGTAACCTGCACGTATACATCCAGATGGCCTGAAGCAACTGAAGATCCACAAAAGAAGTGAAAACAGCCTTAACTGATGACATTCCACCATTGTGATTTGTTTCTGCCCCATCCTAACTGATCAATGTACTTTGTCATCTCCCCCACCATTAAGAAGGTTCTTTGTAATCTCCCCCACCCTTAAGCAGGTTCTTGGTAATTCTCCCCACCCTTGAGAATGTACTTTGTGAGATCCACCCCCTGCCCACAAAATATTGCTCCTAACTCCACCGCCTATCCCCAAACCTATAAGAACTAATGATAATCCCACCACCCTTTGCTGACTCTCTTTTCTGACTCAGCCAGCCTGCACCCAAGTGAAATAAACAGCCTTGTTGCTCACACAAAGCCTGTTTGGTGGACTCTCTTCACACGGATGCACTTGAGAAATTTGGTGCTAAAGACCCGGGTCAGAGGGACTCCTTCCGGAGACCAGTCCCCTGTCCTCACCCTCACTCCGTGAAGAGATCCACCTATGACCTTGGGTCCTCAGACCAACCAGCCCAAGGAACATCTCACCAATTTCAAATTGGGTAAGCAGTCTTTTCACTCTCTTCTCCAGCCTCTCTTGCTACCCTTCAATCTTCCTCTCTCACTACACTTCAATCTCCCTGTCCTTCCAATTCCAGTTCTTTTTCCTCTCTAGTAGAGACAAAGGAGACACATTTTATCCATGGACCCAAAACTCCAGTGCCGGTCACGGACTCGGGAAGATAGCCTTCCCTTGGTGTTTAATCATTGCAGGGATGCCTGCCTGATTATTCACCCACAATCCACTGCCTCAGCCTCCCAAAGTGCTGGGATTACAGGCGTGAGCCACCCCCCCCAGCCAGGACTCCCTTTTTTCATTCCAGACCAGCCTGATCAACATAGAGAAACCCCATCTCTACTAAAAATACAAAATTAGCTGGGTGTGGTGGCGCATGCCTGTAATCCCAGCTACTCGGGAGGCTGAGGCAGGAGAATTGCTTGAACCGGGAGGCAGAGGTTACAGTGAGCTGAGATTGCACCATTGCACTCCAGCCTGGGCAACAAGAGTGAAACTCTCTCTCAAAAAAGAAAAGTGGGGAGTCCTTCTACTTCCTGCTTGTCTTCAAGGGCCCCCACACTGATATTGCTCAACAGATGAAATATAAGCAATGGTTTTGCCTGAGCCCAAGTGCTTTGTCCCTATCTCAGGTGAATGATGGGCTATCTGATGTTGTGAGAAGACAAGACTCATACACAGAGAGAACAGAGAGAAGCTGCCATTTCTGTTTTAGCCAAGCAGGCAAGTTCCCATCAAAATAAGAGGAACTCCAGAAAGTAATGATACATACAGCCCATTATTAGGTAAGTTTGCTATTGAACAATGATGCTCATGTATGGGGCCCTGTAGAATGTACAAAACAGACCTTCAGCTGGACACAGTGAGGGAAGGACCTGGAAGTGTGTTCTAGACACTTTAATACATTCACCCCACAAGGCCCTGGCTGCCCACCCTCCACCACTCAACACATTGTGCATACACACACACGTGCACATACATGCATGCATGCATGCACATACACTTGGCCACTCCTCTCCTTCTCTCCTGCACATCCCTGAGGCCACTTGACTTTGCTGCTCTTCTGTCCAAGACCACAGTCCCTGCCCAGCTTCCAGATGTACAAAGGAGAGCTTAGACACTTGAGGAAAATGGCTTTCAGCTCTAACAGCCTCCCTGGTCTCACAGATCTGCTGGTGTTGACCTTTGGGGACTAAAGAATTGCTACGTCTCCCCCTGAGGGGCCTGAACTGGGGTGGAGGTGTGGTCAGCTGGGTGGAAACCAGTTCAGATAAAAGTACAAGAGCCACTTTAAATAGTAAGGTCTGATGGGAAACAGGGAAACTGAACACAAAGGCAACCTTCTGTGTTGACAAAAACAAGGCCCTCCAGGTCCTGGCACAGGCCAGAGGACTCAAGTAAGGACCTATGCTGATACAGCACAGAGTGCAGGAACACAGGATTGGGGGTCAGACAGCTTCAAATCCTGGCTCTGCCCCTTACTGGGTTTGTAACTCTGGGTAAATTGCTTGATCTCCCCAACCCTCAGTTTCTTCATCTGTGAAAAAGGATGATCCTTATCCTTGCCCCCTTGCCTGCAGATTCTTAGATGAGCTTTTAACTTTTCTACGGAAATCAATCTTTCTGTTGACAGCTTCACAGAGCTTTCGTCAGGAAGGCACAAGACAAAGTCTGTGGTCATATGGCAGGCACATGGCCCATGGCAGAAAAATGCATTTCTCAGTGTATTGGCCATTGGCTATGTCTTTTTATTTTCTGTATTTTGATGCTTTGCATCCTTGCTGACCCTGGAGGGACTGCCCCTCCTAGGGTTAGCCAGTTCCTACAGAGAGCAAACAATTTGCCTAGAACATGACTTTCATATGCAAACTAACCAAACCCTTGCTCTTACCCCCACCCTCCTCCTTTATCAGGCCTTTGTACTGCAGGCCACTATCCCCCTGCCTTAGTCACCCATGAGCTGGGTACCAGACAACAAGGGACAGCCCCTGTGTCCCAGAGCCCTCTGAAATTACTTAAAAGAATCAATCCTAAGTGTGCCAACCCTGCCTTGCTCATTCCTTCTTGTGGAAGTCATGACAGAGTCTCTTGCCCACGTTTCTCCTGCTCCTCTCTGGCTCTTGAGCAACTGGCACTTTCTCATGTGGCTCTGAGTGGTGGGCGGCGCCTCCTGCTTCTAGGGATCTGTATAGGTAACAAACGTCCCCCTTCCTAATGGTCACTTTAGTGTCTGCGTGTCATGTCATACTTGAGTAGAACCAACTCCACCTACCCTTCAAACAGCTAGGCACAGACCGAAATACGCACTCTACAGGCAACAGCTTGTTGATCCTCAGCACAATCTGTCAGGTTGGTGCTGTTATATTTCACAGAAAAGGAATCAGAGCCCTAAGTACATTCAGCTGAAAGGGATAGCACTAGGATTCAGAATTCAGGCATGCCCACTGGACAGCCTGGACTCCCAACCTCCGCCCTGCTCTGCTGCAATCATGATTATCCCTACCTCAGCAGGCAGGCATGGGGGCAGTCTGGGTCCCAGTGAGCTCCTGTGTGAGAGTAGAGGGGAACTTTGTCTCTGGTTCTGGTCCTGAGCAGCCCTCTCTTGAGAGCTCTAAGGAACCACAGAGGAGCTGGACCCCGGGCAGGGAGGCAACCATCTGGAGCATGCTGTCTTGATAGACGTGAAGGGCCCTGGGGTGGCCCCTGCCAAGAATCCTCTAGACAGTGACCTATTTCCAACCATTTCCCTACCATCTTTCAGTCAAGATTTTAGATTATCAGCAACAGAAACCAGCTCTGGGTAACTTAAGCAGCACTGATTGGAAGACTTTGGGCTGGGGGACTGTTCATGGAATTGATAGAGAAGTTGAACAGCCAAGGTCAGAACCTGTGTTGTGGGAATCAGGAGGCTGGAGAGACCATGGAGTGAGACAGGAGGGTTTATTGAATACACTCAGACCCAGTGGTTTAACATCCAAAAACTGGGCCCTGAACAAAGACAGGGTTTGGCTTATATACACACCTTTGAAAGGTGCTAGCTTGAAACAAGCTTACAGTGATATGAAGTGTAGTGGTGCAAAAGCCAGGATACAGAGGCAGAACAGAGGCAGAACAAAGGCAGCTAATCAAACTGTGACAGGTTCATAACCCAGGATTACATGCAACTCTTGCTGTGCGGTCCAGATGGCTGTTATCTAGGCTTACTCAAAAGAGCCTTGCATGGGCTTATCTCATAATGTTCGCTCTGGCACCCAGACGGCCGCAGCCTAGGCCTGCTCAGGCATGTCTTATAACCTTCACTGTGCTCCTCAGATAAAACAGAATACTTGAAGTTACTAGTTAGAGAAAACAGGAATCTATAAACTCATAAAGCTTGAAGAGCAAGGTACAATCACACAGAGGGGAGTGGGATTTGAGGGGGAACTTCACTTTTTCTTATCCTTATGTTGAGGGAGTGCTGGGAGAGTCTCCAGAGCACATCCCTTTGAGCCCTGGCTTCTTTGAAAATGTTATCAAGACTGCCTGGGTCTGGGCTTTGCCTGCTACTGCCTCTGGGATGTCAGCCTAATATAGAAAGCTTATTTTTCTCTTTTTAATTTTATTTTTCTTGAATTTCCTGCCTCATTTCCCCCCTTTGATGTTTCCTATAAATGGAATTTAATAGAAAGCATCACTATTATTTAGTCCTTCATGACAAGGCAGATCTTCTCTCTTTGGCAAAGGTTTATACTTTGTTAGAGCCATTAGTTGAGTGGTGGTTGTTTTGTCCACTAAGACTTCTATGGTACAATAAAGTCTTAACTACTGTGTTTCCTATCCATGTAGTATGCATGCAGTGAGGGCATCCTTCTATGGGCCCTTCTCCTTCTAGCATGGATATGGGGACCATCAAAAGTAAAGCAAAGAGTAGCATTCTTACACCCAGCATGGGCAGAAGAGATGTTTTCCCAGGGGAGGGGGTTGGCTAAAGCAACAGAACAACAGAAGTACAATTAATAATATAGGAAAGATTATTGGGCCTAAGATTTCCAGCCACATTTACTCATTTGATGATGACTCCTCAAGCTTCAGCCGTGTGTAGACTAGTCAGCTTCTGGGGTGACTAGAGCAGGGTTTGCTGTTTCCTCAAGTTTCCGCCGTGTGTAGACTGGTCAGCTTTCGGAGTGACCAGAGCAGGGCTGTTGTTGTTCTCAGTGGCAACTTGGTCTTGTCACAGGATCAGCCTGGTCAGATGGTCTGGGTCCTGCTGGCAGGTCCACTGGTCCTGGGATGCCAGTTTCAGCCAACTGTGGTGGATCTAAGGCACGATTCCTGCAACTTTAACAGCAGTGGGAGTGGACAAGATTACAGTATGGGGCCCATCGCATATGGGTCCCAGAGTGGTTGGATTCCATTTCTTAACCAAAACAAAGTCCCCAGGTTTGAAAGGGTGTACTGGGTCTGTCAGACTTATAGGCATTCTTTCCCACACCCAGCCATGCACTTTCTGCATGGCCATCCCTAAAGCCTGCATTTGCCTCCTTAAAGTTAATTCTCCTAGCTCACAGAGATCACCTTTAACCTGACTTATAATTGGGGGTGGCTGGCGGAACAAGACCTTATAGGGTGAATACCCAGTTTGTTTTGTGGGGGTACACCTGACTCCGAGGAGGACCACTGGCAAGACCTGATCCCATCGCGGAAGAGTCTCCAGACAAAATTTCTTCAGCAGCTGCTTGAGTGTCTGGTTCATGCGCTCCACTTTTCCTGAGCTCTGCAGCCGGTAGGCTGTGTGTAGCTTCTGTTTTATTTTTAATAGTTGAGTTAAGTCTTGAACTATTTCAGCTACAAATGCTGGTCCACTGTCTGACCCCAGAGTCAGGAGTAGTCCAAATCTAAGAATAATGTCTTTTAACAACACCTTAGTCACTTCTTGTGCTTTCTGTGTTCTGGTGGGGAAAACCTCAACCCATCCTGAAAAGGTGCAAATGAACACCTACATGTACTGATAGCCCCCTGCCCAGGGCCTGAGTTAAGGCTTCTTTGATTTCTTTAAAGGCCTTCTCCTGGTTGGCCTCCAAGAGGAGGGGTTCCTTCTCTCCCCACTTTGTGGCTTCATATAATGGCTTAGCCATGAGCGAGAAATTTGGGAGGCAGATATGGCAGAACCCTGCTGCCCCTAGGAATTCTCTTATTTGTCACCAGGTGATTGGAGTGGAAAGTGTCCAAACAGCCTGCTTTTGTTCACTACCAAGCCATCTTTCCCCTTCGCTTATATAGAAGCCTAAATACTGGACACTTTCAAAGCAAATTTGAGCCTTTTCCCTGACATTTTATATCCTTCCTTCCACAGCAGGTGCAGGAGGTCTTGGGTTCCTTGGAAGCAGTCCTCTCGTGTTGGGGCTGCTAGAAGAAGGTCATCTATGTAGTGAAGCAAGACACAGTCACTATTTGGTGCAGTGTAGGCTTTAAGGTCTGAGGCCAGTGCCTCTTCAAAGATTGTAGGAGAGTTTTTAAATTCCTGTGGGAGTCTTGTCCAAATGTACTGTGATTCACCTCATTGAAAAGCAAAAATAGGCTGACTAATCGGTGCCAGCCAGAGACAGAAAAATGCATCTTTTAAGTCTAGGACTGTAAACCAGGCAGCACTTGCCAGAATATGTCCCATTAAAGAATACAGGTTTGGCACCACTGGGTGCATGGTCACTTTGGCCTGGTTTACAGCATGCAAGTCCTGCACTGGCCTATATTCTCCAGACGCCTTCTGCACTGGCAAGAGAGGGGTGTTCCAGGATCACTCACATTTGACTATGATTCCATGCTTATGAAGCCACTCTAAGTGCTTGTGGACACCCCGTATGGCATCGGGGAGTAGTGGGTATTGGTGAACCTGAACTGGAGTTGCTCCCGGTTTTAACTCTACCACAACTGGTGCCTGATTTACAGCCAGTCCAAGTGGATTACTTTCAGCCCAAACTCCAGGAATTTTAGTAAGCACCCCATGCATTTCATTTACCCCTGGTTCCAGAGTCTTTTTGCATATAGCCTCCATTCCTCAGCCTGTGGGACAGTAAGGGTTAATACCATAGTCTCCAGGTGAGCTAGGTTTAAAGTTACATTCCCTTGTGGCCCATATGTAATCTGTGCTTGCAGTTTTTGGAGGAGGTCTCTTTCTAGCAAGAGAACTGGGCAGTTTGGGAGGTATAGGAAGTCATGCTAAACTTCTTCTCCTACTATCATGCACATCCTTGACTGACAGAAAGGCCCTTTCTCTGAGACTCTGGTGGCTCCTACAGTAGTTGCACAGTTCTTGGATAGTGGCCCTATAGGTCAGGTTACTACTGAGTGTTCAGCCTCGGTGTCTACCATAAAGTCCATCAGCTGGCCTCCAACTTCTAATGTGACCATGGGCTCCTGGAGGCCCAATGAGAAGGAGCCCAGTCTGTCCTAGTCCTCATATCCTTCAGCCCCTGCCAACCCAATCAGGTCAGTGTCGGGTTTCTCCTGGGTGCGGTAGCCCTCGGCTGGTGGCTTTCCCATACCACGGCCCTGGCCATTCTCTTTATTATTATTCTCTGGACATTCATCCTTCCAGTGCCCTTTCCTTTTGTACCATGGACATTAATCTCTCTCTAGCCTCGGCCAGCTCTCAGATCTTTTTCCATGCCTGTATAAATATAGGAATGAAATTATACCATGACACTTGGGGTGCAGTTGATGTAGTGTTTCTAGGATGTCTAAGTTCCACTGAATGGGGACGAGAAATGGGATCCTTTCCACCATTAAAAAAGAATGTGTTGGTGCTGAGTAAGCTGATACAGAATGATCCTCAGAGTAGGCGGTGAAAGGCTAAGGGCAACACAGTGTACTCCTGTGTGTGTGTGTGTGTGTGTGTGTGTGTGTTTAGGCAGCTTTATAATTGTACATATCATGTATCTGTACATAAAAAAAAAACAAACCCTGCTAATGGTGTTACCTCTGCAAAGCGAGACCAGGGCCTGAAGAGGGAGGGAGACCCTCTTTTCCTTGTTTACTCTCTCACTGTTTCAGTTTTCACTATGTGCGTGACTTATTTTTATTAAAAGAAGATTAAATCCTGTTTGGACCCTCTTTAAGCAAGACTGACCAGAAGTCTTGTATCATCATATCCTTGAATTCTCCTGGGTTTGTCAAAGGCCCCCCCTAGGGACTTAGCCATCTGGAAAGGGGGTCTTGCAGCTTCTGGTCGCCATGACAGCTGTTGCTCCTAGTGATCGCAAGATGCAGGCCTAGGCTTCCCAGCTCTGTATGCAGCATCCCACCACCAACCTGGGTCCCAAATGTTGAGATAATGTCTCTCGCAGTGCCAGTGTGTTGGTGTCACACTACGGTGTTACTTTAGGAAGAAAATACGTTCAGCACTCTGTGCTATACACTTAGGAAAAACAAATGTTCTTTACCTAAAAACATCTTCACCCTCTACCTTGCAGTACTGCCTTTATTCTCATTTCCCTCTGGGATAATCTGGCTTAACTGCCTCCAGTGGTCTCTAAACACAGTCTTGTTTAGAGGTTGTCTTCAGGGCTGGCCATTCTCACACCAGGGCCCCTCCATGCCTACTCAGCTTCCTCTCTCAGACCCAGAAACAGAAAGAATTGTCTATTGCTCCTTAGGGGGTTGGAGAATCCTTGTTGCCTCTAGGAAGAAAATCATGCCACCCTCCAATAGGTGAAGCTCTGGATAGCTTTTTTTCTTTCCTTGTGAGCCGACAGCAGCAATAAATGACATAAATTAATTTCTCAGTGAGTTATTACTATACATTACATTTTCAATGAGTTCCTCTTCTTCAATTCAGGTATATCCTGATAGAGTAAAAGTACAGTAGGCTGGGCATGGTGGCTCACGCCTGTAATCCCGGCACTTTGGGAAGCCGAGGCGGGTGAATCACCTGAGGTCAGGAGTTCAAGACCAGCCTGACCAACATGGTGAAACCCCGTCTTTACTAATAATACAAAAATTAGCTGGGTGTGGTGGCACATGCTTGTAAGCCCAGCTACTCGGGAGGCTGAGGCAGGAGAATCACTTAAACCCAGGAGGCGGAGGTTGCAGTGGGCCGAGATTGTGCCACTGCATTCTAGCCTGGGCAACAGAGTGAGACTTTGTCTCAAAAAAAAAAAAAAAAAAGAGTAAAAGTACAGTGTAGTGAGAACTAGAGGAGAGAACTAAATTAGCTCTCTTGGGGAGGAGTGGACTGGAAAAGGGAACACTTGTGCTTGTGGTGGTACCTGAAGGTTGAGTAGGAATTCACCAGGTGAAGAAATGAGGAGAGCTATCAAAACTTGGTGCTAAATCCAAGGACCTGACTCTATCCAGAGATTGCCCAAACTATACCAAGCTACAGCGGCCCCAATTCCTCTGCATCTCTAGGATTTAAAGAGTAGGTCCAGGTGAACTCAGAGTCTTTAGTGAGAGGATGCTCTTTTGGCAGCTGTCTGGGACTTGAGTGGTCAAGATGGAGGCTGTAATACGCCAGTGTGGACGGAATCACCAGATGCCCCATGCTTCTCCTGTGGAGCCAGTGTTCTGGGAACAGGCTGGGACTGCTGCTCTAAAGGAAGGCCTTGTCATTCATGCTGTGATTCCTGTGGGTGCCAATAATATGATTAGAGGAAGGAAAGGGAAGGAAGCAGAGGAAAAAGCAAAGAAAGGCAAGGCAAGTTGGGGAAAGGCGGGGAAAGGGAAGTCAGTTCTGCTTTGGTGAGGATCACAGGCCTTGGCTCACAGTGGGGACCAGAGACAGACGTGGAGGCTTACATTTCCTTCCTCTGAGATTCCCAAGGCCTGATAGTTCTTGGCATCTCTTAAAAACAAAAAGTAATCATATTTTTACTTCTTCCAGTACAAAGTCTGGATTTATAGCTACTCATCTTACGCCAAGGACTGATTCTTAGGAAGTTGGATTCAGACATAAGTTTACAGAGTTCCTGGGTCACCCAAGATTCTTTCCCCACCAAAGCCACAAAGCACTCCACCCTGCCTTTTTCCTCCTTATATTTCAGGTGCAGAGCTGAGCCTTGCATTCTTCAGTTACCTCCTCCGGTGGAGGGCAGTGGGAAGCACCTCCATTTCTCCATCTAGAAATGAAAGCTACCACCAGATCTTTTGCAGAAGAATATCTGCACACACATGTTTTGGAGGGTCAGTTAAAATTTTACCCACATGACTGAAAATGAATTTTAAGTGTTCAGAAGCCAATGGAATAAGGAATCTCCACATCTGTACTCAGACCTATTTTCTGGGAGTCTCTAGACTTCTCCAAGCTCAAAGGTGGGATGCAGGAAGGAGGAGAGAAACAGAATTCTTTCTGCATCTGGGTTCCCACAGTAGCTGCCCTCACCCATTGCCTGTTGTGCCTCACATGTGCCAAGCTGAGTGGTGGTGCCCTCACCACGTGTGTCTCTGGTACCCAGAACAGAAAGTGAGACTCTTGTGCTAAGGATGCTGGAGGAGGATATGAGGGCACAGGGGCAGCCATGGAGGAGAGGCTCCTGCCCAACTCAGATCTCTGCCCCACACTCTATGGAGGACAATTCCCTGCTGTCAGCAGCAGGACCCCTTCAGTAGGAGGGAGAAAGAAGGGGACAGGAACTACCACGTGTCCAGTGCAACCTGCTAGGGGCTGTACATGTGATGTCTCAATGGAGCCTAACAACATTATGGGGATAGGTCTTAACAGGCCCTTTTTAGAGATAAGAAAAATGAAAAATAGGAAAGGAAGCACATTGGCCTCAGGCATTAAGGGATGAGCCAAAGCTGTCAATTCTGTGGGTGGTGGGGTGAGCTGGAGCCTCAGAACAATAACCCCCGGGGGGTCATTTAGGGTCATGCACACTCAGCTATTTCTGCTTCAAGAAGACTAATTAGCATTCTTTTACTGGAACTTGAGGAACAAAGGAGGTGGTTGAGAAGAACCAAAACAACCTTCTGAATGAGTGAAAATGAGTTGAGTGTCTGTTATGGACTAGGTGCTTCCTCCTATGTTATTTCATTTAATCCTCACAACCAGGTGGTCAGGTGGGCGGAACAGACAGGACCCCCATGGCTGCAGGGAACTCAGGCTCAGAGAGGTCCATTTCACTGTCTCCCAGGTCCCATACCCATCATGGGGCCATGAACCATACTTGCTAAATAGCTCATTGTCCCACTGAGTTGCTCAAGGTCAGAACCACGTGTTAGTCACCATCTGCCCCAGTCCCTGGTCCAACGCCTGGCAGAGTAGATGGCCAGAACCTCTCTCTCTCTATTTTTCTCTCTCTCATGCTCTTTTATTTTCTCCACCTATATGCTCCTGTGTGCCAGGGTTACTCCCAGCTGCTAAGTGGGAAAACAGCTCTTCTCCTTCAGCAGGAATTCATGCCTCAGTGGGTACCAGGATGAAAGCACTGTGCTAACAGTTTAGTACCAGATCAGCCACAAACCCACTCTGCCTCAGTGTCCCCATCTGTGCCATAAAGCGATCTCCTAGAGAGTCTTGTCGCCCAAAAGAATTGAATTCTGTAAAATATTTGAAAAGATTTATTCTGAGCCAAATATGAGTGAGCATGGCCCGTGACACAGCCCTCAGGAGGTCCTGAGAACATGTGTCCATATGTCCATGTGCCCAAGGTAGTCGCGGTGCAGCTTGGTGCTATACATTTTAGGGAGGCATGAGATTTCAATCAAATACATTTTAAAAATACATTGGTTCCATCTAGAAAGGTGGGACAACTCGAAGGTGGGGGAGGAGCTTTCAGGTTATAGGCAGATTTAAATTTTTTTGATTGACAATTGGTTGAGTTTATCTAAAGACCTGGGATCAGTAGAAAGGAAATGTCTGGGTTGCTATAGGAGGTTGTGGAGACTAAAGTGTTTTTATGTTTGTTTGCTTTTGAGATGAAATCTCATTCTTATTGCCCAGGCTGGAGTGCAATGGTGCGATCTCGGCTCACTGCAGCCTCCACCTCCCAGATTCAAGCAATTCTCCTGCCTCAGCCTCCCGAGTAGCTAGGATTACAGGTGCCTGCCACCATTCCCAGCTATTTTTTTGTATTTTTAGTAGAGATGGGGTTTCACCAAGTTGGCCAGGCTGGTCTTGGACTCCTGACCTCAGGCGATCCACCCACCTCAGCGTCCCAAAGTGCGGGGATTACAGGTGTGAGCCACTGCGCCTGGCCAAGACTAAAGTTTAATCATGCAGCTGAAGCCTCTAGGGAGCAGGCTTCAGAGAGAATAGACTATAAATGCTTCTCATCAGACATCAGGTCTATGTTAATGTTAATGCCGGAGCCAGAGATGTGTAATAAGCCATGTCAGAGCCCCCACTTCACATCATAGCTTGAACCAGTCTCTCAGGTTAAATTTTGAAAGTGCCCTGGCAGAGGAGAAAGTCCATTCAGATGGTTGGAGGAGCCTCAGAATTTTATTTTTGGTTACAGCTTAGAGGTCTATTCTGGGCATAAGGGCTCTTCCACCCTTTTATGGGTGGGGCTCCCGATGTATCCCAGGAGCAGGGCCTAAAGGAATTCCTTTCTACGAATGCATTACATTCAAAAGCTGTTCCACAGCCTCTGTCTCTGTGGTCCTTCCTGCTTTTCTACTTAAAAATAGTCCTTGCAGGGCTTTGACCAGATCAAAGAGACAGACACTGCTGGAACTTGTTGGCCAGAGGCTGTCCCTGTTAACTCGTGCCTGCTGGCTACAAGCAGGTTATGCTGGGTCCTGCAGGGAATAAGAATTGTAAGCACTGCGAGGGCTGGAAGCACGTCTTGCTTAATTATTGATTTATCCTTGGAATAGCAGAGAATATTTCTTAAATGAATGCATGAATGAAATTGTGAATGTGTGGAGGTGGTTCCTGCCTATCTAGAGCTGACCTGCTAGCTGGGGAGATGAGGTACACACACCACACATGTAAAGTATAATGATGACCCAAGGACCAAGTTACCACACAGAGCAAGGGCACAAGATGTTGATGACAGCACAGCATGTCAGGTCACATTTGTGTTGCAAATAGTAAAGTCTGCAGGAATTTATTGTAACTCAGGGCTGGAGGTAGCAGGAGGGGCCTCCAGGAGGAGGTGGGCTTTTAGCTGACTCTTGAGTGCTGAGAACCCTCAGAGGCATCCCACAGGAGAGGCAGTTGCTGCAAAGGCTCTATTCTGGGAGTGAGCAAGGCAAGTTCAAACAGAGGCTGTGTCTCTGCCATAGGAAGAAGGGAGCCTGAGCAGGTGCTAGTGGGGCTGAGTGTTGTGGTCCAGGCTGGGCCCCTCAGCTCACTCTGTGAGCTGACTCAGTGACTCACCCACTCTGTCTCCAGTTTCTCTGTCTGACAGATGGAGCCTCAGAATATCTACCTGCTTGGGGTCTGGTTGGGATTTCCTGGGATGTGTTTGCATATACGCATTTTGCAACTGAGAGCTGTCTTCTTACTCAGGGGATTGCTCACCATGACCCCAGAGCTCCCTGCAGAACCTCCTCCCAAAGCAGACAGAATTTTTGCCATCTCCGTATTTTCCTCAAGATGAGGGATGGTGATCCAGGGAACAGGAAACTGACCGGAACCAAAGCAGTAGCTGCTGAGGGAGCTGCTACTGCCAGCCAAGCTCTCAGGGGATACAAGAGAAAGAAGACATGTTCCAGGCTTCCAGGGCTTAAACAAACAAGATAAGAAGAAACTGATGAAAACTTAATTTCCTCTGAAATCTTGTGTATAAGTTCAAAATAATAATAGAACTTGTCTGGAATGATCTTAGGGAATCTTACCTGCTCTGATTTCCACGAGAAGGTCATTTGAGGGGGCAGGGGTAGGCCACATTTCATCTCATTAGAATAAACTCCAGTTACATCTCCAGAAAGACAGAGCTTCTGCATATTTTTTTGGCCCCAAGGGATGCCACACTGGTTGTCAGACCTCCACAAGGAAAATTCTCTTCAGCAAATTGCCAGTAAACAGTTCCTTTTGAGTCTCTCAGACAAAGACAACTGTTTGGGCTTAAAAAACAAAACAAAACGAAACAAACAAATGCTGGCCAGGCACAGTGGCTCACGCCTATAAACCCAGCACTTTGGGAGGCTGAGGTGGGTGCATCACTTGAGGAGAGGAGTTTGAGAGCAGCCTGGCCAACATGGTGAAACCCCATCCCTACTAAAAATTCGAAAGTTAGCTGGGCATGGTGGTACACGCCTGTAATCCCAGCTACTTGAGAGGCTGAGGCAGGAGAATTGTTTGTACCTGGGAGGTGGAGGTTGCAGTGAGCTGAGATCATGTCATTGCACTCCAGTCTGGGTGACAGAGTGAGATTCCATCTCAAAAACAAACAAACAAAAAACACATGTCTATATATCCCTATGTCTGCTCTTACACAGTGTCCCGAGGCAGGGAGCAAAGGAAGAAAATCTCCATTGAGCAGACGAAGTACTGGGTCCTGTAGAGAGAAGGTGACCTTGCCCAGATCATGCAGTGAGTTAGCAGCCTGGGAGTGGAAGCACCTCTCCTGATTGCTCCTTAGAACTGGACAGGGGCATTGTAAGCAGTTGACTGGAGTGGGGGCATCCTCTGTAGGGTGCTGCTGCAGCTAGCCCACTTCATTCACCTAATAGCAATTGTGTGGCTACTATAGCCCAGCAACTATTTGTTAAAAGAAAGCCTTAGATGAATTAAATTTAACAGAGCTTAATTGAGCAAAGAACAATTCGTGAATTAGGCAGCCCCAGGGCCAGAATACAACTAGAGAGACTCTGGCGCTGCTGTGTGGTTGAAGACTTATAGACAGAATAAAGAGCATGAGGTTCAGAAAACAGAAATGAGGTACGGAAACAGCTGGATTGGTTATAACTGGGGGTTTGCTTTTCTTGAACAAAATTTGAACAGTTAGCCACCTTTGATTGGCTGAAACTCGGTTATAGTTGGCCATTGGCCAAGAATAGGTTATAGTTTGTTCACACATTCAGTTAGGTTGCAGTTTACTATGTATGGAGAAACCTTTAGGGCCAAACTTAAAATAGGTAAGGAGGCAGCTTTAGGCTAAACTTAACAATTCCCCCCACAAAATTGAGACATTGACCAAAATTTCAGGCATTGATATCACTTCGTTGCCATCATAAATGTATTTACTTCGTCTCAAATCCCACTGGGAAATAATCAGAACAGTGTGTTCTCTAAGGCGAGTAAGGATTAGAGTAGAGGACACTTCCTTGTGCTGGAATCTCCTATTTACTGGAGAAAAACAAAATTTGATCTGTTTTAGGATGTATTAAAGTTTCAGTTTGATTATTTTGCATTTAGCATGAATGACTCCATTTTGTTTTGGTCTTGTCAGCTGGGGCCTAGTTCACAAAATCAATTCGAAAGAATGGCCTCCCTTTGGTTAAGTTCTCAATTAAGTGAGAGTATAACTAACAGGTCTTTAACACCACTCTCAGGTATCACCATTTTGGGTTTTTGGTCTCAGCACATTATTTATAGATTACGGTGTCCTTATGATAACACATTTATTTGAATTTTTGTTGGTCCAGTTGAAGAGAGATAATTTGAATCTTTACAGATGGCTGTATGCAAACATTTAAAACTTTTGAGAGAATACAGTGCACCAGGGAGGTTACCATTATGACTATCAAGAGGATAATATCAAGAGTTTAGAATGTGCTCCGTAACCAGGGTCTCCATGAATGAAACCAACTAAAATTAAATAGATTAAATAACAAGCTAGATAAAGAGTCTACTTGTTTTAACCAAGCAGCCTTTTCATTAATCCCTTACAATTGAATTTCCATAATACTTGATGTATTCCTCCATGTGTAACAAGAAGTATCAGCAACTGCACAGATACTTTTCTGTTTAGCAAGGAGGTAATCTAAAGTGATACTTTTCTGTTTAGCAAGGAGGTAATCTAGAGTGAGTCTATTATTCAGCACAACTTTAGCAAGAGAATTTAAAGTCTACTGTGTAACCATAGGCTTTATAGCAGAATATGCTATAGAGCCTATTTACGAGGGAGAAATTTTGAATTATTGTCTCATTTACTCCAAACCATGGAAAAAGAGACTTAACAAGTCTTGTCCATCTAGAAGAGTGAAGGCCTCCAAACAATGTTCTCTTTAACCTATGCTGGCAATGTTCTCTTTAACCCATGATGTAGGTTAAGAGGAGTGGATCAGTGTTCTGTTTCTGACTATGAATCACCAAAGTATCATTAAAATTTGTTTACCCACATTGGCCCTTTGTCTTCTGTCTACCAGGGCATAAGGCTATCGTAAAATCCCTTGCAAAGAAAAGTATACCCCATGAGTGAACACAAGAGATCCCCTTTTTAGTTCTGTTGTTCATAGAGAGATAAGCAAGGAAAAAAATGAGAGACGATAGTCTTGTGATAGCAGAGAAGCCTTGATCCATGATCTTGGGAAAAGGCTGTTGACGTCTAGGATGCTATCTGCTTCTAGTGAGAAGCTGGTTAGCTTTATCTTAATGTCTTCAATGGGTGTATAGTTCCAAGAGTCTGGACAGGCCCTTCTGAGCTGTGAAACTATGAACCCAAAGGTTAAGGTCCTGAGTTTTTTTGCAGTGTGGGTAGGGCAGTCTTTCTCTGATGTCATTTTTCAGAAGATCCAATCTCTCTATGAAAGATCCAATCTTTAACATAAAGATTAAATAAAGAGACAAGCTGAGGAGTTAGAGAGTGAGTGAGATTGTGAATGGTTTGATTGTCCATGTTTTCTGAGGACCATGAAAAGCTTCTTTTATCTGGTGAAAATACACTTTGGCACAATGTAATAAAGCCTTGCAGCATTTAGTCATATCAGAGTTTAGTAGCAGAAGATACATGAAATTCTATTACTAGGTGCATAGGCATTACAGTGACTATTCCACTGGAAGTGGATCTGATTGTCATGAATCCACAATACTTTTGACCAAGGCAATCCAGTCAATTCAGTTGGCTTTGCCTAATGCTATTGTGTCAGTAATACCTTATTTAACTATTATACAACTTGTTCAGTAAAGCAAGTACCTCTATCACTGGAGATTTGTCCAGGAATACCCCATAAGGAAAACACATTTCCTAATAACCTTTTAGCTACTGTTTATATATCATCCCTCTTGCATAGGAAAGCTTTTACATAACCAGAAAACATGCATTGAAACTGATGAATGAAATCCCTCTATAAATGTTTAAATGGCCAATCAGGTAAATATATATATACATATATGTTTCATTTGGATTATTTTGTCTCTTCCGTGATGAGTCATGGAATGCAGAACTTTTAATAATGGAAGCTTTAGGGACTCAGGAAGGACCAGGCAGCTGTCCAGGCTCTCCATTAGTCCATGCTTAATGTTAGACTTATATCCTCTTAAATACCAATTTTGTTTCTACAATTTAGGTGCATAGCACTGTTTATTAGATGAGTTATCATAAGTAATTTGGCTTGGACCATGGAGTTTATTTAAATTGCATATCTAAACTTTAGTACTGGTTGATTTAACATGAAAATCTGGAAGAGTGTTTTCTTGGTATTCAATTAATTCTTGTCCTGCTTGCATTAGCAGTTTTATAAGCCAGCTCCTTTCTTGGAGTTCTGGGAATTCTTACCCAGTCCAAATGATATGATCCTAAAATGACCAAAAACCAGTATTTAAGAGTGCTTTTCAGTGTCCTTCTCATCCTTTTTATGAACCTCCTTGAAGACACAATGATCTAGGATTTTACTTTGCTTGTGAAGAGTTTACAGAAACTGCATCAGAATTAAGCAATTAACTATAAAAGTGATTTAAAATGGTCATAGTGAAAGATACAATAGACAAAGAAATTTGGTCATTTTTGTGACCTACTGTTAGAAATACCAAAATTGTTAGAAATAGATAATCGGTGCCACAAAGAAAAGTCAGCACAGAGACCAAAGATCTCTCAGCAAGGCCATCTTTACTTTCTGCAGAAACGTTGCTTAATCACAGATGGAAAAATGGCAAGAGCACACTTGAACAAAGGAAAAGCAGACATATTTATCCCTTATGCATTTGGGTTGTCCTTACTGCTTTGTCCTGCATCCATTGGCTAGAGCGGGACCTCACAGTCTTAAACTGATACCCGATTTGCTAATAGCCTAAAACTTTCCTAAATAGGTAAGTGCAAGGAAGAGCAAAGAAGTTGCTTACAAAAGGTTTAAGGAAGCAGTAACATTTCCATATAAGGAAGGGGCATAGGCTGTGAGCTTGAATGTGCCTGTGAGCATGTCCAACAGTTACATAGGATAGGGCTTAACAAAGAGTTATTAGCACAAAGCAAGGAGGCTTGAAGAAAGTTAATCTTTAAAAGAAACTATTGTTTCTAACACTTATGATTTATTCTTTAACAAGAAGGGGAACTTTGAAGAGGAAATTTTTTACTTTTTATACCTACAATAATTTAATATAACCATAATTATAAGTGATAGAATATACCCAGATATATCAGATTTTTAGGAATCCCATACAATTTTGTAACATATATTAATAACATATTTATAAAAATCTATTTTGAAGAAGGTTAAACATCATTTCTTATTTGACAATGCCTCCCCTGGAATTTAATATACTAATTAATCCTGTTTATCTCTTTGTTGGATGCTGCGGGGGCTCTCTGTAGCATCACAAAGTTAGTTTGAGGCCAAAAAAATACTTAATTTTAAATTTTAAATTTGATTTGGGAAATCTATCAAATATATAAAAGGTTTAAAACAATCAAAATAGGATCACAGGTCACTATTAAATAATAGTTATTTATTTAGCCAAAGTGATAATTCAAAGATTTTACAAAGCAAAAACTTTTTAATAGAGAGGAGACTCAGTTTTCCAATCAAAGAAAAACAGCATGAGTCAGAATATTTCTTTTCTTCTCTCCACTCTCCCTCTCTTTTTTTCAGTTTATAAAAAAGGTGAACAAAAATATTTTACTGTGACTTATTAATACTACATGAAATTTTTGTTTAAAAGAGAAAACTGAATTTTACTTTTGTATTTATGTATTATTAACACTAAAGTTAATTTTAATAAACCTTATAAATAAATCTATCTAATCTTAGTTAGCTTTTGACCACAACAGATTTTTATAAACCTTTTATAATCTCTTATGATTTTTAAAATATTTTCTCTTCTCAATTCTTTGCATTAGCTAGTGTTATCTATTTTTTAAATTTGAAACAACTTTTAAGTAACTTTTAAACCAGAAAATATTATTGTTTTAACAAATATATTTTATGCCTTTATAACTTTTTATCAAAACCACGTCTTTCTGTTGTTTATACACTCTGTATAAAAAATTGTTTTTCTCATATCTAGTGGTTCTGATTACATATATTTTCAATAATTTTAACTCTTAGTAACCCTAATTTCTAGTGAAAATTCTAGGAAGTAATTTTGAACTGTCTTATATCAGTATTTGTAGATGAAAACCATTTTATAATTTTTTAGAAAGGTGTTTCTTCAAATTACTCTTTATTACATTTAAATATATTTAGCTTTTTAATACCATATAAAAATAAGATGCCAAAGTATATAAACTTATGTTTAATTAATATTTTGGTATTTTAACCTTAAAATGACTCAGATACTTTATAATGATCTATTATCTAACATAATATAATTTAATATTTTAAGTTTTTGAAAGTAATTTTGGAACTATAACACAGGTACCCTCCCTAATGTCTTTTTTAGTCATCCTGGGTCTCAAGTAGCTACACAGCACCCAGGATGGCTATAAAGAGGAGGGCCTGAGTCCTGAATTTATATGCCAGGTATAGAGTTCAAGACAGAAGACATTGCTGTGAAGATGGTGCCTGGAGGATCAAACCCCTCTCAGAATAGCCAGGAGGTAAAGCTGGGGCAGAGAAGAAGGGGCCATATTAGGCTTGATTCTGCCTCATAGCTGCTAGTCTAGGCACTGAGAACATGTTCCCAGGCCTGTTAGATATGAGTTCTAAATTTCTTTTCAGAGAATTAATATGTCAATATGTTAAATTCTTTGCCTTCTACTTTTAAACTTAACTTCCTCATAAAGCAATCTTTTTCAATCACCTACTCCACCCTGACTCATTCCAATCACCTGCTCCACCCTAACTCATTCTGATTATCTGCTACCTGCTCTGCCCTGACTCCTGCCAAAGCACTCACCCCATCATTCTCTTTAAATTAGCCAATCGGAATTAGTTTAGCCTGTGCAGTCTAACCCTAGCCAATAGGGGAACAACACAGCAGCAGGGGTCATGTGCATCAGGGATAAGAACCCCTTCCCCTCCCTTGTCTGAGTGTGCACTCACCATTTTTCCATCTGTAAGGGCGCACCTTTCTATATAGAAGTACCTTGCCTTGCTGAGAATTAAAAAGAAAATTTTATATTTGAGTGCTATTCCTTTTGTGGCTCCAAAACTTTATATATAAACAGGCCTCACCATGATGACCTATTCAGAATCCAGGTGTTTAAAACTCAAAATATAAGCTCAAAGTCAAATCAAACAAATATCAAAAATATTACAGAAGCAGTAGTATTATGACCTTAAAACATGTAACAAAGGCAGCATAAGCCTGTCTGACCAGTAAACCCAGGCAAAAATGTCTGAATTATATTTAACTGATAATTTTGGAGCCATTTCTATTTTACTAACATTTAAAATCTAGCTTTATTTATCAAATATTATCATATACACATGCCACATAGTGACATATAGTCATACAAACACAAACAGAAGCAGATCTTATAGTTTTTATAAGTAATTCTTACTTGCCAGCTTTTAGTTTTTGTCCCCATTTAGACTGTTAATCTTTTAATTACTTGTTTTATTGCCCTAAGCAATTGTTAGCTATGCAACAATTTGCCTTTTAAAAAGATGACTCAACAGGTTAAACAAGGTAGAAAATGTATATCTCAAAAGAATAGAGCTAAGACCTGTTCTTAGCTCTGTTTGGGCCTAAATATTGTACCATCATTTGCTTAAACCAAGGAAAAAAGGTTGCATGTAAAGGCCCAGTTAAGACAAGATGGCCAGGATAGGCGCCGTAACAAAGACCTGTCATGTAAATTTCAAACAATGGTAACAGTTTCTAGTGACCCAGGCCTCCCTCTCAGACACCTTTACAAATGGAAATTTCCTTCATAGATTTAAATTTCTCCTATAAAAGTGTTTACAGATAGCCAGTTAAATGCCAGAAATATGTATTTTAGTTCAATAGGTGATCTTTTAAACTTAGCTGTTGTTAGCTAAAATTACTGAGTTTAGGGTGGAGTCCATTAAGAAATAGGGCATAGAAATCATTCTCTATCCCTGGACTCAGCATGGATAGATCGGGAAAAGAAGTGAGCCTACTTTACACCTGTGCACATATCGTTTATAAACACTTTATTCAGAATAGCTTTTTTCTGAGCCAGAGTCTTGCTCTGTCTCCCAGGCTGGAGTGCAGTGACACAATCTTGGTTCACTGCAACTTCCGCTTCCCAGGTTCAAGCAGTTCTCCTGCCTCAGCCTCCCGAGTAGCTGGGATTACAGGCATATGCCACCATGCCTGGCTAATTTTTGTATTTTTAGTAGAGATGGGGTTTCACCATGTTGGCCAGGCTGGTCTCAAACTCCTGACCTCAGGTGATCCACCTGCCTCAGCCTCCCAAAGTGCTGGGATTACAGGCATGAGCTACTGCACCCGGCCAGAATAGTTTCTTTTTTTTTTCACCTTCAGCTGTTTCAGAATTCTTGGAAAGCTATTTGGCTATGTCAAAAGGCTTCAGAAAGTTAATACTTCCTGGTTTTGTTGTATTAATACATTGTGCAACCATCACTACCATCTATCTTCAGAACTTTTTTCGTCTTGCAAAACTGAAACTGTATGATTAAGCCGTAACTCCCCATTCCCCTCTTCCCTCGGCCTCTGGTAAGCACCATTCTACTTTCTGTGTCTATGAATTTGACTCCTCCAGGTACCTCATGTAATTGGAATCATACAATATCTTTTCGTGACTGGCTGTTTCACTTCAGTGCTGCCCATCTTATAAGTTCTTATTATTTTTTTAATGCATGTTTTTCTTTCCTTTCTTTTTTGAGGATTCTAAACATGCTTAAAGTCTATGATTTTCACTTCTTAAAGTATGAGTTCTTCTCCCTATTTTTGGTTTGATTGGCTGTCTTTCTTAGCATTCTTGATATTCTTTTTCAGATCTTTTGGAATGCCAGCTTACTGGTTCACCTTGAATGGTAATTGTGTGAGTGCATGTGTGGGTATGCATGCGTGCATGTGTGTGTGGAGGCATGTGCATGTTAGTGTTCAGTCCTCATCTAAAAGTTTTGCGGTAGCTTTCACCCCACTTCCTGGGCTCCCTAGTTCAATTCTGGCTTTGTATTGGTGTCTCAAGGCTCCTGTCCATGGAAATCCTGAGGCTATTGTGGGTCCAATCACCAAGGAGCAGTTGGCCTAGTCTACTTCTTCACTATCAGGCTTTGTGAATTTCTTCTTCTCTCCTAGATACAAGATATAAATCATTGTCCCAACAATGGCCAGTCCTAGCTCTTTTCAGTGCTCTGCCATAGGCAGGGTCCCCTCTGTGGAGGGTGCATGGCAATATATTCAAGCTTATGTACAAGGCATTTGAGGTCGAGGAATGGAAAAGTACCGAGGCACTGTGTGCATGTTGTTTGTGCATGCGACTGAAACTCCTTGACCCTGAAAACAGGGCAAGGAAAGGAATGTGTAGTAAGGAGCGCTGAAAACAGCCTCCTGAGACTATGGTCTATGTGTATTTCCAAGGCCATATGTGCCTCATGGCCCAACTGCAAAGAGCCGCCTGGTGGATGCCTTTTGTTTGAATTGTAGTTTAAACAAGCTCTCTCAATAAATATTCGGTGGACAGACCTTGGAGCGGCACTCTCTCAGAGGAGCTGCTCCCCGCCCTGCTCAGCTGGAATTGTCTGAGTACTTCATTCTTGGCACTCACTGCAGCCACAAGCTGCACCCTCAGATGAGGGGTTCACATCCCTTCACCTGCAGCAGCCTCTACTTGCCTCTGGACTTGGAGCTGCGCAGAACTGTAGCTTCAGTTTCACTTGCCATTGCATATTTCTGCCTTATCTCTGGTCAATAGAGATGTTTATCTGTTTTTCAAGAGCAGGCAGTCTTTTAAACCGGGCGCGGTGGCTCACACCTGTAATCCCAGCACTTTGGGAGGCCAAGGCAGGTGGATCACCTGAGGTCAGGAGTTAGAGACCAGCCTGGCCAATATGATGAAACCCCATCTCTACTAAAAATTCAAAGAATTAGCTGAGAGTGGTGGCAGGCACCTGTAATCCCAGCTACTCGGGAGACTGAGGCAGGAGGGTCGTTTGAACCCCAGAAGTGGAGGTTGCAGTGAGTCGAGATCACACCACTGCACTCCAGCCTGGGCAACAAGAGCCAAACTCCATCTGAAAAAAAAAAAAAGACTTTATCTCTCATCGCTTTGTGTATGGCACAGATGGGGAGGTCTCAAAGGGTGAACTCAGAGTAAACTTGATGCATCTCAACCAGAAGTCCCGAGTGACCACTTCTTACTTTTCTGGCTCCAGCTTGTGGGTGTGAAGGAAGGGACATTAGCATGGATGTACCCCTTTGGCTGACTGCAGGGTCTCAGGCTCCCTCAGCCAACTGTCAGTTCTCCCCAGCTATTTCCTGGGTAGGCACCTCACAGGCACTCACAAGCCGGCCACTCACATCCAGTCACTCTGACAGCCTTTGGAGGGGATCTCTTCTTCCATTGTCCCATAGTTTGTGTCTCTTTGGAAAGCACCTCCCAGTGCAGGGGCTCTCCCCTGGGCCTCCAAAATTCACGACCCCTGAATAACCAAATAATACCAGAACCACACCAAATTCCCTGCAAAATTAGGGAGAGCCCCCCACCTTCTTTCTTCAGGGTCTCAGATCAGAGTTCCAGGGCAAAGCTGGAGAAGAGACTCACACTCTCCCTTGTTCCCCAGGAACTATCTGAAGCCCCCCAATCCAACTTCCTCCTTAGTGGCAAATCGGCCTCAACAAGGCAAACTAGCTCAGGCAAGTGAGCTTGTCAGACACAACCCCACTCTGAATCCCACGCTGGGCTACCTTCTGCATGCAACTGGAAATAAACAAACATTCCATTTTAGCAGTGATTTTAATCTGGGCAAGTGGATTACACCGATTTTTACTCTTTTTTTGTGCTTTTAGGCTTTTTTTCTAATTTTTAAATAATAATAATTATTATTTTTTAAAATCAAGATGGGGTCTCACTCTGTCACCCAGGCTGGAGTGCAGTGGTGTGATCTTGGCTCACTGCAGCCTCTGCCTCCTGGGCTCAAGCGATCCTCCCATCTCAGCCTCCTGAGTAGCTGGGACTATAGGTGCACACCACCACACCCAGCTAATGTTTTTGTATTTTTGGTGGAGATGGGTTTTCGCCATGTTGCCCAGGCTGGTCTCGAATTCCTGAGCTCAAGTGATCCACAAACCTTGGCCTAATAATTAATGTTTATAATTTGTGTAATTATAAAAAAGTGTCATTGAGAGAAAAAAATCTCTCCTTCCAAAAGTTTTGTTAGAAAAAAGACGCTTTTAAAAATACATTTTCTGGCGAGGTGCGGTGGCTTACACCTGTAGTCCCAGCACTTTGGGAGGCTGAAGCAGGTGTATCACTTGAGGTCAGGAGTTCGAGACCAGTCTGCCCAACATGGTGAAACCCCACCTGTACTAAAAATACAAAAATTGGCTGGGCCTGGTGGTGCATGCCTGTAATCCCAGCTACTAGGGAGGCTGAGGCAGGAAAATCACTTGAGTCCAGGACACGGAGGTTGCAGTAAGCCAAGATCATGCCACTGCACTCCAGCCTGGGCAACAGAGTGAGACTTCGTCTCAAAAAAAAAAAAAATTTTTTTTCATGTTTATTACTTCCCTTTAAAAACTTGCATTTTGTCCAGATACTAGGATATGAACTAGATTGTTGTCAGAACTTTGGCAAGTATTGATGTGTTGCTCCATTGCTTAGCATTGCTTACTGGCTTCCTAGCTCCTAGGTAATCCTAGGCCTTTAGCTCTCTTCCTGCCAAATTTGTCATGACCTGACTCCTGCTCCCTGCTCCAGTTCTGCTTTCAAATGTGTGCGTCTCCAGGTCATTACCTGAACTGCTTATAGTTCCCAGGACACAGAATGCATTCTCATTTCATGCCTTTCTACACGATCTTCTAGCTGCCCAGAATGTCCTTTTCCGTTTCCACCTGGCAAACTCCTACTCATGTTCTAAAACCCACTACAGATCAGTCACTTTCACTGGGAAGTCTCCTCGGTTCTCCCTTCCCAATGCTGTCTCACAACACACTTCTGTATCTTCATTTACCATGCTGGATTATCTTACTTGTCTCTGTGTATACAATCAGGGCCTGGATATAGTGTTTCCTAAGTATTTGTTGAATTGAGGCAGGTTTATTCATTCCACAAACATACATGGAATGCCCATGATATAGTGAGCACTGTGCTAGTTTCCTGGGATTCAAAACTAATGAGGCACAGATCTTGCCTTTAGGGGCTCACAGTCCAGAGGGACAGAAAGAGACACACACAGATAGTTACAATTACAGTGGGTACCGGCAGCTCTGTCTCACATCTTCTCATTCTTGCTTTTTTCCCTTAACTGGCCATAACTTGAAAGTATAATTCATATTTACTGCTTGGCTTATTTCCTCAAAAGAATTTTCTGTTTCCTACATATTATTCCTGAACTGATTTAATGAAATGTGTTTGTATTTCTCTCTTTACTTTGCCAGGAAAACTATTGAAACAGTCAAAGTAGCCTCCAAAATTGCTGCTCTCCAGGCATGGGAGCACCCCATTTCCAGAGATTACCAAAAGATCACTGAAATTCTGTAGAACTTGTCTTGGGACTGGCCCCAAACAAATGAGAACTGGCTGAATCTGTGGGTAGAAAAATATGTGAGTGACAGCAAAGAGGCTTCCAGTGAGCCCCTGCTGGTTCAGAAGACTTGACATGGCCAGCACCAAAGGATCCCTTTAGGGTACCCCCACCATGAGCCACATACTGGGAGAAATTTCTTGTAGCACTCTGCTTTAAAACAAAACCATAATGATAACTAATCATTTCCCTGATTTTGGAAATTAACCAGAGACATCTAAAATCACCACTAGGACATCCCAATCTGCACCAGATGGCCAGGGTTATCAGCCAAAGCTGATCTCTTTCCAGGCAAAACAAAAAGTATAAACACTTTGAATTTTAATCGCAGAGCAGTATTACCTAAGTAATTATACAATTTCCCTTAAGTTTAAAACAAAATAGCTTGCAGGTCCCACTTTTTTCCCTAGGCTCTATGGGCTAGGAACCTCTGCAGGTGACTGTTTCAATATAGTTGTACACAATATGTTGAGACTGAGTATAGCTCCATGGGTGGTTAACTATACAATCTCCACAGTCAGCCCAATGTAGTTGTAAAATTTGTGCTGAGCCCACTGGACACATTACTTCACCTCTCTGTTTCACTTCCCTAATCAATAGAATGATGCCAACACCCACCAGATAGGGCTGTGTTACGAATTAAACTGAGCAATACGTGCAAAGTTCTTAGCACAGTGCATGGCTCAGAGTAAGTGCTTAAACATTTTTGTTGATAATTGATATTATTGTTATTGGCGAAGTCTTGCTTGACTTATAAGCAGGGCCTGCCTGGAGTTGTTGGTGATTTTTTTCACAGTATGTTCCTAGATAACCTAGCTTCACCATAGTATTTTTGAGGAAAGGAAAGAGAAGATACTGGGCCAGATGGAAGACAGCTCATCCTTCCTAATAAAACTCTTGCCCCATTGCATTCCATGCTTCCTGGTTGGGATTTTTCTAGACCAACTCAGCCACCAGTTTTATGAGGGACTGTGGGTGTGAGCAGGTCTTTAGGAGTCAGGAAGAGGAGGAGTCAGGGGGGTGGCTACACAGTGCAGGCAGCTCAATGGACAGCAGTCTTTCTGGGACCTGTGATCTAGAAGACAGGAGAAGATGAACACATCTGGAGACCCAGCCCAGACGGGCCCTGAAGGCTGTAGAGGGTGAGTGGCTCATTTGTCCAGCTTTCCATGCCAGGGACAAGGGAAAGGTGGGATTATTTGCCTTTGTGGGATCTACAAAAGGTAACTGTGTCTGCCTTGGGCAGAAATCAGAAGATCTGAGCTCTATTCTTGCCTTGCTACTAGCAAGCTGGGCAATCTTGGATAAGTCACCAGCCCTCTCTGGGTCTGTTTTCTCATCTGTAAAATAAAGAACTGGCCAAGTCAGTGTAATAGCAATACCCAGCATTTGTACAATGCTTTCCAGTTGTACTTTTCCAAACAGCATCTCATTTGGTCCTCATAGCCCTTTGTTGGAGAGATGCTTGTGGGCTGGTCATTCAGCTGGTGCAAAGCAAGGCTGGACCTAAAATCCTGGTCTCCTGGGGTAAATTCTGGCCTCTGGTGAGCACATTGTTCCCCTTGAGCTCTGAAATCTGAAGATTCCCGCTCCTTCCTGCTACCTACAGTGTTACCTTCCTTCCCACCCTATTCCCTCACCACCTAGATCACTCTGGCTGTCCCAGTCTCTTCTCAGCCCCTTCCCAGAGTTACCTCTCCCCTTGCACAGGCCCACCACACTGATCTTGTTTCTGAAAAGTGGGAGGTGAACAGCAGATACCTCCTCCCTGCCTTCCCTGCGTTAGCACTTGCATGCAGCCCTTTTTCCAGAATTCTCTCTGCTTTGTGGAATGCCTTCCCGAGGGTCCCGAGAGATGAAGAAAGTGGAGGCTGTTTAACCCCTAGGGCAGCATTTCTCCAGGTGCATGGGTGGGTCACCCATGCGTGGGTCACAAGATCCGGGGTGCAGGTGAAATGTGCAGATTCCTGCCTCCTCCCCACCAAGGTTGGCGAGTCAGAATGCACATTTTTACAAACTCTCATGTTTCTGGCAAGAACATATTGCAGTTTGGGAACCACTAGTCATTAGGTGAGTGCTCTTTTGGGCCGTGGAGGGCTGCCTTGAAACCACCAAAGGGTGGCTATAAGTCAGTGGGAGGTGTGAATGTCTTTGGGGGGGCAGTGATGGGAAGGCGGCTTCAGCTCAGGGACATGAGAAGCAGGCACTCGAAGCTTGGAGTCTGCACAGGCAGTGAACGCCCATCAGTGAAGGTCGAAGCAGAGTCATTGTTGGGTCGGGGGTGGGGAGAAGTGTGTGGGGCTGGGCCCAGGACAGTGGTTCTCTGGGGCTGGTGTGAAAAAACCTAGGAAGCTCTTAAAAGAGGCTCCTTGGCTGATGTTGAAGCCACGAGGGATGAGAAGGTCTGATGCGAAGCTCTCTTCCTCTTTTCCAGCTGTGGGCTGCTTCTGGTACACAGGGATAGTAATAATACCTACCTCACTGGGCTGCACCAAAGACAGAAGGGGCCAATATACTAAATAAAGTGGCTGGCACACTGGAGGGCCTGGAGCCCCTGCCTTGGGAGCGTGCAGGAGCTGGCCTATCTCAGTGGGAGGCTGGGTGGGGGCATTGCCCTGGCCCTTGACACTCCCAGCTACAGGTTCTCTCCATGCCTCATCTCACCCCCCTCCTCCACAGTGAGTTGGGCCCTGGGAGCTTTGGACTGGCCTCTGGCAGGGGCTGCCTGGAGCACCCTCCTTGCTGCCTGCAGCTCCAGTGACTTACTAGGACCACACATTTATAGGCGAGGAGAGAGTGAGAACCTAGACAGGTGGTCCGCAAGAAGAACCTGAGGAGTCTGAAGCCTGGGACTTAGGCCTGGCTCTGCCCCAAGTCAATGCAGGGGCCCTGAGAGGACATCTGTCTGTGCTCCCTGTGGGAAATGGGAATCCATCTAGGACTTGCTGACTTGGAAAGTGACGTGAGTTAATAGGCATGAAAAAGAGAAGAGAAAGGTGTACATACCTAATCATCATGTGCTAGACAGACATCCTATGCCCTGTCACAACTCTGCAAGGTGAGCTATCACTAACGCTTTTAATAAATGAGGAAACTGAAGCATGCATGCACACACACACATACACACACACACTAAAGCATATATGACATATGCATATATATATATACATACATACATACACACACTAAAACATATATTTGTAAACCAAAAATAAAAATCTAATCCCCTCAGCCATCTGAATGGACCCCTCCTCTCAGCAAAGGGCATTCCAAAGTTAGCCTGAAAAACTAGTTCAGGCCATCATGGGAAGGAGGGACCAGACATGCCTCATTATACTCTCCTCCCTTGTGGGATTACTGATAGAACAGACCCTTTAAGTCTGATGAGAAACATTTATACTCTATTGTCTTTGAAGCCTGCTACCTGGAGGCTTTACCTGAATGACGAAACCTTGGTCTCCATAACCCCTTATTTTAACATAGAAATTTCTAAGTATTTATTTATTTATTTATTTATTTATTTTCTGAGACAGAGCCTCACTCTGTCACCCAGGCTGGAGTGCAGTGGCGTGATCTTGGCTCACTACAACCTCCACCTCCTGGGCTCAAGCAGTTCTCATGCCTCAGCCTCCCAAGTAGTTGGGATTACAGGTGCATGCCACCACACCAGGCTAATTTTTGTATTTTTAGTAGAAATGGGGTTTTGCCATGTTGAACAGGCTGGTCTCGAACTCCTGACCTCAAGTGATCCATCTGCCTCGGCCCCCCAAAGTACTGGGATTACAGGCATGAGCCACTGCGGCCGGCCAGACGTTCCTAAGTCTTTAGACAAAAACTTAATTCTTTTAACCAATTGCCAATCAGAAAAATCTTTGAATCTACCTACGACCCGGAAGCCCCTGCTTCCAGCTGTCCCACCTTTCCGGACAGAACCAATGTACAACTTACATGTATTGATTGATGTTTTATGTCTTGCTAAAATGTACAAAACCAAGTTGTGACCCAACAGCCTTGGGTATATGTTCTCAGGATAGCTTGAGGGCTGTGTCACAGGCCATTGGTCACTCGTATTTGGCTCAGAGTAAGTATCTTCAAGTATTTTATAGTTTGACTCTTTGTTGATATATTTTATACACACACACACACACACACACACACACTCAAATACATGCCACACATATATAGCATAAGACACATGCCTATAAAGAGGTCAAACAGAGAAACAGAGGTCAAATAACTGGCACAGGATCACCCAGCAGGCACGAGGCACTTTAGAAAACCATGGAAGTGCTGTCTGAGGGTTTCTTTTCACTCAGTAATACCAGCGGCTCTGAGAATGCTTGCTAGAATTCACACTCCCAGGGCCCAAACCTCAGAGCTTCTGGTCCTGAAGATCTGGGGCTGCAGAGAATGTGCACTTTCAACTCTTGAGATGATGCAATTGTGGGCGGTCCATGGACCGGACCGCACTCATGGAGCCCCAGAGGCGCCGGTTGCTCAGGCATCCTAGGGAAACTCCAACTCCCATTTGGGTTTCAGAGAAAGAGGAACAAGCAGCAGGTGGGATTCCTAGGGATTGGCAGGGAGAATGGGCAAGGAGGCTGCAGGGCCAGGCCTGGGGACCGGGTACTTGCTCAGGCAGGTGAGAGGCAGCTGGCGGAGTTGGTGTGAGCCAGCAACAGACTCTTTAAGTCTGATAAGAAACATTTACACTCTGTTGTCTTTGAAGCCTGCTACGTGGAGGCTTTACCTGAATGATGAAAGCTTGGTCTCCATAAGCCCTTATTTTAACCTAGAAAACGCTGCTCTGATAGGGAATTACAGTTAGCTGGGACACAACCTAGGGAGATGCTGACAGTGCACCTCTCCCACCAAGTGAGGACCACCCCCACCCCCACCCCCACAAGACTCTTTTGTGTTACTGGACGCCCAAAGCTGGGAACCGTGCTTCAGAGGGCGGATTCTCATCTGATCAGTGGGCTGTACCTGTTGAGCCACTTGCCTCACAGGTGTGTTCTGGGATGAGGTTGTGCCGTGTAAAATGTTTGTTTTACTAAGGTATTAATTTGCTGGGGGATAAGAGGCCAGTAACACCCTTGATATCACCTTTTGGAGAAGCTGCCCTGGGGAGCCACATCCCGGGCCAGAGCTCACTGATGGCACAGGATTAAAGGTCAGGGGATGGAGAGGGATTTTTTGTTTGCTCTATTCTATTCTATTTTATATTTTATTATGTTATAAGGGATGGGTTCTCTGTTGCCCAGGCTGGAGTGCAATGGTGTGATTAAAGTTCACTTTAGCTTCGACCTTCTAGGCTCAAGCCATCCTCCCACCTCAGCTGCTAGAGTAGCTGGGATCACAGGTGCATGCTATCATGCCTGGCTAATTTTTTAAATTTTTGTAGAGATGAGGTTTCACTATGTTGCGCAGGCTGGTCTCAAACTCCTTAACTCAAGCAGTCCTCCTGCCTCAGCCTCCCAGTGTATTAGGATTACAGGCATGAGCCACCACCCCCGGCCTTGCTTGCTTTTTAATTGTCATACCCGGCAGTAACGAGGTACTCCCTCCTCCTCCCGACTGGGATGGTCAGAGGAGGCCCAGTGGAGAGTCAGGACTTTGCCCACTGCCCACCTGCCATGGAAGGGGGCAGGGAGGGATGTAGGTGTGGCTGTGAACCGGCAACTTGAGAGAGTCTTGTGGTGGAAAGTTCTGTATCTTGACTCTATCAATGTCAGTATCCTCTTTGTGATATTGTACTACAATTTTGTGAGATATTACAATTGGGAGAAACGGAATAAAGAAATCTCTACATTATGGCTCATACCTGTATGTGAATCCATAATTATCTCAAAATGAAGAGTTTTCAAAGATTATCACAAGAATGGTGTATGCTCATGGATACCATCAGATCAATCATACTGAGGCGTAAAGCAATACAGAACTGAAATCCTCTTTCTCCCCTCCAGTCCTGCCTCTTTAAGGACCAGTGCTGACAGCCTGATGATTCCCTTCCACACAGTGCTACTGTATTTATTCAAATCAATTCACACCTATTATAGATAACGTGGGCGGGCTTAGCTGTTTTGAATGGCAATCTAGTACACAGTGGTGGATGATGGATATGGGCCATTATGCAGTAACACTTTTATTTTTGTAGGATACATTCCTAAAAATTGAATTGCCTGAAAGATAGTACAATTCATGTTCTCACCAGCACTGTTTATATTGGATATTACCAATCTTTTGATTTTTGGCATTCTGATACCACTTCCCCCAACTACAAAAGATATAATTGTTATAAATCCCATTTCCCCAGGCATGAGAAGTGAATTGAACATCTTTTCAAATGTTTATCAACCAATATAAGTTCTCTCTTATGAATTGTCCTTTTATATCTTTTGCTACTTTCCATTGCTGGTTTCTGTTTGTTTGTTTTTGCTTCTGTCAAACCTATAGGACTTCTATGTTAAAAGAACACTAACACAGCTGCAATTTATCAATACCTAATAAAAGCATTTACTGTTATTGTTGCCCTTTTAGTTGTTGTTATTTTATAACAGGTGTGACCATTCCATCATGCTTATTGCAAATATTTTCCTTCAGCCTATTGCCTTTTGAATTTGTTGTCTTCTGTCATGCAGAAATTAATTTTTACATATGCAGATCTACAGATCATTTTCCTTAATGTTTTTGGGATCCCTATCTTGTGCCCCTACTTAAAGATGATACAAATTTCCTATAATTTCTGCTAATTCTCATTATTTTATTTATTTTTACATTTAGGCATTTATAATTTGATCAGAAAATGTAAATAAAATAGTATACTGTAGTTATCTAATTATTTTATTCTGTGTAGACATTTTGCCAAAAGCATTTATTTAATTATCCAACTTTTAATAACAATTATAAATACAATTTTTTAAAATTTCCATTTGTAACTGCTTTGGCTAATAAGATAGATGGTAAAGATGTAAATAAATATGAATATATATATATAGATATCAATTTTTATATGCATATAAATATAGATAGATATAGATCATTGATTTTGGTCTGTTTCCCTTGAGCCCAGAAACTAGCCATCACTAATACCTAGTATTTGGAGATTGAATTTAATGCATTAAACTAGAGAAACTAAATAAACATTGCAAATATCATAGAACAAGAGAGAAAATTACTAGTTTGTAAACTAGGTAATTTCCTCCCATTTTTCTTATAGTTTTAATTAAGAATGAATTTTGAACTTTATCAGGTGCTTCCTTAGCATTTATTGACATAATAAAAACTATTTTTCTTCTTTAATTTGTTGATATCAAAAATTACGTTGATAGGCGTCTTAATAATGAACCATCCTTACATTACTAAACTAAGTTCTAACTAACTAATTAGGTTCTAACTAACTAAACTAAGGTTGGGTTTGTTTTTTTTTTAAAGTGACCTTCTAGATTTAATTCAGTTATATTTTAGTTAAAGCTTTGTATAAGTTAAACTTGTATAGAATTTCCTTTTCATATGCTCTTTTCATTGGATTTGGGTAAAGCTTGCTTTGTAAAATGAATTGGGAATCTTACTATCTCTTTCTATGATCTAAGATGGTTTACCATTGGGTTTATCATTCTTTGAAGATTAGATAGAACTCAGCTCTAAAAACAAGCTGGCCCTGACATTATTTTCAATGGTTGACATTTAACTGCCCTTTTGAATTCTTTTTTTTTTTTTTTTTGAGACAGCATCTGTGATCTCAACTCACTGCAACCTCTGCCTCCTGGGTTCAAGTGATTCTCCTGCCTCAGCCTCCCCAGTAGCTGGGACTACAGGCATGTGCCACCACGCCCAGCTAATTTTTGTATTTTTAGTAGAGATGGGGTTTCACCATGTTGGCCAGGATGGTCTCAATCTCTTGACCTCATGATCCACCTGCCTTGGCCTCCCAAAGTGCTGGGATTATAGGTGTGAGCCACCGCACCTAGCCTAACTGTCATTTTGAATTCTTAAATAATTATTGGTCCATTCAGATTGTTACCTTCTTTGGGAGCTAATTCATTTCTCTTAAATCCACCAAACATTTGCACACAGTACTCTTGTATTTCAGTAGCCCTTTCCTTATCTGTAATTCTATTGCCTTTCTCAGTATTAATGTATATTTGGGGGTTTTATTCTCTCTTTTATCCTTAATCATGCTTTTCTTCTTAGTTTTTTAAAAGAACCAACTTGTTTTTCACTATATTGAGGCATAAATGATGTGCCATAATCTGCATATTTAAAATGGATATTTTGACATGGAAGGTGGCAGCCTAGAGAGGAGCCTGGGAGAATTTGTGAAAGCTCTTCATGATTTAGAAAGCACAGTGCACATGCTTGGTGGCATTATTAAGTGGAAGCTGCTTCTTTAGGGTTTGTTTGGAAGGTCCAGCTGACTCATCTCAACATTTATATCAATGATTGTCAGTGTTCTGCCTCTGAGCACATGGATCCTGAGATTGGAAACTTTGGTTAAACCCAAGTGCTATTAAGCAGAGTGAGTAAATAGTGAAAGCCATTTGCGCTGAGAGTGTGTGTCTGGAAAGAAAGGCAGAAACTCTCCAGATGTCTTCCAATAATGTCGAAGTTTTTATCCCAATGTCACAAGGAAACACCAATGGCTTACCCAAGGTGACCTCAAAGACCTGAAAGCATTTACTGAAAGAGCTGTGCTTTCATAACATCTGTTATCAAGAAAAAGTGAAGAGCAGCTTTCTACATGGTCAAAAACCAGTTGAGAAAGAAATACAATTGAATATCAATGGGATCGTGAAACCTGGCCTCAATGCCATTCTGGGACCCGCAAGTGGAGGCATTATTAGATGTCTTAGTTTCAAGGAAAGACCCACATGTATTATCTGGAGATGTTCTGATAAACACAGCACCTCAACCTGCCAATTTCAAATGTAATTCAGGTTACATGGTACAGGATGATGTCATGATGAGTACCCCAACAGTGAGAGAACATTTACAGTTCTCAGAAGCTCTTCAGCTTCCAACAACTGTGATGAATTGTGAAAAAAAAATGAATAGATAAATATGGTCATTCAAGAGTTAGGTCTGGATAAAGCAGCAGATTTCAAGGTTAGAATTCAATTCATCTGCAGTGTGTCAGAAGGAAAAAGAAACAGGACTAATATAGGAATGGAGCCTATTACTGATCCTCTCATCTTGTTCCTGGATGAGCCCACAACTGGACTGGACTCAAGCACAGCAAATGCTGACCTTTTTGCTCCTGAAAAGGATGTCTAAGTAGGGACGAACAATCATCTTCTTCCCATTCACCAGCCTTGGTATTCCATCTTCAAGTTGTTTGATAGCCTCACCTTAATGGCCTCACAAAGAGGAATGTTCCATGGGCCTGCTTAAGAGGGCTTGGGGTACTTTGCATCAACTGGTTACCACTGTGAGTTCAATAATAACCCTGCAGACTTCTTCCTGGGTGTCATTAATGGAGATTCACTGCTGTGGTATTAAACAGAGAGGAAGAAGACTGAAGCCACGGAGACTGTAGAGACCGCTAAGAGAGATAAGTCACTCACAGAAAAATTAGCTGAGTTTTATGTCAACTCCTCCTTCAACAGAGAAACAAAAGCTGAATTAGATCAACTCTCAGAGGGTAAGAAAAAGAAGAGGATCTCAGCTTTCAAGATCACCTAATGCCACTTCATTCTCTCAGATGGGTTTCCATGCATTTATTCAAAAACCTGCTGGGTAAATCCCAGGCCTCTATAGCTCAGGTAATTGTCACAACCATACTGAGGCTGATTATAGGTGCCATTTACTTTGGGCTAAAAAATGATTCTACTGAAATCCCGAATAGAGCCAGGGTTGTCTTCTTGACCACCAGCTGGTGTTTCAGCAGTGTGTCGGTCATAGAGCTCTTTGTGCTAGAGAAGATCTTTATACACAAATATATTAGTGGATACTACAGAGTGTCATCTTATTTCTTTGGAAAACTGTTATCTAATTTACTACCAGGAAGATGTTACCAAGCATTATATTTACCTCTATAATAATACGTGCATTATAAAAATAATGCTGTATAATAATCCTAATCTTGTTAGGATTAAAGACAAAGGTGGACACCTTCATCATCATGATGTTTTCCCTCATGATGGTGACTTATTTAGCACTGGCCATAGCAGCAGGTCAGTGTGGTTTCCATAGCAATGCTTCTCCTGACCATCTCTTTTGTATTTATAATGGTTTTTTCAGGTCTATTAGTAAATCTCGCAACCATTGCATCTTGGCTGTTATGGTTTAAGTACTTCAGCATTCCAGTTTTACAGCTTTGCTGCCTAACGAATTTTTGGAACAAAACTTCTGCCCAGGACTCCGTGAAATAGTAAACAATACTGTGGCTCCCCAATATGTACTGGCAAGGAATATTTGATAAACCAGCCATCAATGTCTTACCCTGGGGCTTGTGGAAGAATCATATAACCGTGGCTTGTATGGTTATCTTCCTGATTTGCCTACCTAAAATTGTTATTTCTTTTAAAATATTCTTACATTTCCCTTTAATTTACTATGATGTGTCCTCACATAAAAAATGAGACCATAATTTTTAAAAAATAAAAAGGAAAAGAATAATTTGATGAGTGTCGAGAGACAGTACAGCCCTGTTACACATGGTTTCACTTTCTATGGTTTGTTGCCCATGGTCAACCAAGGTCAAAAATACCCAATGAAAAATTCTAGAATCAACAGTTCATAGGTTTTAAATTGCAGCCATTCTGAGTAGCCTGATGAAATCTTGAGCCTTTCTGCTCTGTCCCACCTTGGTTCAGTGAATCCACACTATACACGCTGCCCATCCCTCAGTCACTTAGTCGCTGTCTCGGTTATCAGATCCACAGATCTCAAGAAGAAGAAGGGTTAGTACAGTAAAACCACATATTTTCAGAGAGACCACATTTACTTAACTTGTATTACAGTATATTGTTATATATTGTTATAATTGTTCTATTTTATTACTAGTTATTGTTAATTTCTTACTGTAGCTAATTTACAAATTAAACTTTATCATAAGTATGTATTATATAGGAAACACATAGTCTATATAGGGTTTGCTACTATTTGCAGTTTCAGGCATCCACTAAGGGGCTTAAAAAGTATCCCCCCACAGATAAGGGAGAAGTATTATATGCATACATCTGTAAAACCATTTCCATAATTGAAATAAATGTATCATTTTGACTTTTTTTGGTTTTCTAATACCTTAATTTCTGACTTTATATTTAGTAGTATGTACTTACATGTGTGTGATATGTATTTCATTCTTTGTCTAGTTGCTTATGTGAAAACTATTACATTTATTTTTAATATTTATTTAGTCTTTAAAAATAAAATCAATTCTCATTTATGTTCTATAAAGTCACTGCAAACGCTGAATTAGCGAATTCAGAACCATTGTTCTTAGAAGGAAATATAGAGTTAGGCTCATGTGAGCCTCAGGGCACAATATTTTTGTCAAACGATCAATAAGTTGCCTTGTTTTATGTGTGTTTCTATTTAAAGACACCTTTAAAATATGTATTGTTGATTCGTTGACATTGAACTCATGGCCAACAGCACTGTCACTTGTTCCTGAATGAAGCTTTCCTAACACGTATTTCCTCCATACTGCACAGTACAGCCTTTGCTCGCTTAGAAATGCTAGAGAGCACCGCAACATTATGGTTGGGAGCCGTTTTAAACAGTGAAAACACCAACAAAAAGCACAAAAATGTGAAAAATGTAGTACTAGATAGATCATGAAAAGGACACTCACTGTCTGAGAGCTGAAACAAGAAGGCAGGCATCGTCGCCTTGCTCAGCCTCAGTGGGGAGCAAGCCATTGGGTGACTCAGTTTCCACTGCTCTGTGCATGTCCACAGATGACTACGGATGGGCTGTGAGTACTGATTCAGGGGTTACACATCAATTTTAGGAAGTAGGCAGGTTTGCAAATACAAAATCCACAAAGAATGAGGATTACTGTAGCTAAGTCATTTAGGGTTATGTTACACTCATGAGCTATAGACAAGGCCATTCTCCCAGGGAGTCATTTACAGCAACAAGAATCTGTAACTCCTCACTCACTGCCTCAATTTTGGTTTCCTGGGTCCTAATGCTAGGGAAGTGTCCTAATTTCATCACTCACCTCTGTTTAGATCATAGTACAGACAGCCCATCTGTGAGGGTTTTAGACAGCCAATACCCTGGTGACATCATAGAAGACAACCTGGGCCTGAAGAGTTAAGACCTGAGGGCTGAATCCTGGCTTGATCCATCTTGTATCACAAGCATTTAAGCAGAGGGTGGAGGCTTTGGGGCAGAATGGAAAAAAACACTGGACTTGAATTTGAACTCTGTCTCTAACTTGCTGAATACATTTAGCTAAGTTACCTAATTGCTCTGAGCCTATTTCTTCTCTGCAAAATGTCCTGGCCCACCAGGCTGTCAGAGAGACCAAAGGAAGTAGTGGTGGTGGGAAATATTTGGAAAGCAGTAAAGATCTGTGTAAAGGCAAGATGGAAAGTCATTGTCATGATGTTAATTAATGCAGTCGCAGCATGCCACTCTCTGACCTGATCCCCACAGTGTGGGTCCACCTCACTCGGGCCCTGTCATTTCAGAACCTAAAGAGAAGCAAGCCTGGGCCAGCCAACTCAGGATAAGAGGAAGAGACTGAGGCATAGGGAGGAGGAGAAACGGCTGTGGGAAGCTCCAATCCACAGCCAGAACTGATTGACCCGATTCAACTCAGGGAGGCTCAGGGCCCTAGTTAGAGCAAGGCAGAGGCCCTGGGACCACCATGAGACCTCATAAGGCTTTGGCCACCCCAAGCCCATAAACCTGTTTCCTTTGCCTCCCAGCACCATGAGTGCCGAGGAGGATGCCAGGTGGCTCCGGTGGGTGACTCAGCAGTTTAAGACCATTGCAGGAGAAGATGGGGAGATCAGCCTGCAAGAATTCAAAGCAGCTCTGCATGTGAAAGAGGCAAGTGTTGGGCCAAGGTGGAAGCCCTGCATTTATCGTTATGTGGCCTGGTTCTCAGGGCATAGCCCTTACAGGGAGGGAAAGGGAACTCCCTGGGGTTCCTGAGGTCTCCACCTTGTAGCGGGCTGGCGGGATGTTTATGGCACCCTCCCATTCCTCTTAATAGTCATGGCCTCCTGGGTCTTCAACACATGAAGTTGGAAGTCAGTAGCTTGTCAAATCTTAAGCAATATGATTAACCTCACAATTTCCACTAGGCTCATGGGCAGAGCTGATGCTCTGACTTAAGCTTCCTCTCAAGATAAGCTTGTCAATGGTCTATACCTATTAAAGTCCTGTCTGCTGTGGCACACTGTTCCCAGTCCTCCAGACTCCATAGCTACCCTGCCCACCCCACACAGCCTGCATGCCCTGACACACAGAGGAGACATCAGCACGGAAGGGAGGACTGAGTCTGAAATGCCAGCCTCTCCTAGCTGTCCTTGGGACTGGCATTGAATAGTGGCCTGGTCCTTGACAGGGACTAGCCGATGAGCATCTGAATGCCCTGCTTGAATCAGAAGGACCCTCCCCTGCTGGTCCTGGGGATACTACTAAGAACTCTAACGCCACGCCTCCTTTCACAGCAAATATGGGGAAGGAAAAAATCCCATTCTCCCTAATGATACAATCCCATCCAAATGGGAGGGTGTAAAACATCTTAAGACAAAGAGCATTCGGGATGGTAGAGAGTGATAAAGGTACTACCCAGGGATCCTGGGGATGAAGAAGAAAGCCAAGGCAAGGTGGCAGTTTTGTCAGTCCACAGCGGACTTCGGCCTATACCTCATACTTGTGAACCCCTCATAGTTTTATTAAGTCAGACACTAGAGCTCCACAGGGTCCTCCCCCTGCCTTGAGGGGAGCATCCCAGGACACAGCATCTTTGGGACACCCATCATCCAAGCCTGTCTTCTTAATTTCTGTGCTCCCAGGGTCTAACACCAGGCCTGGCAGGCAGAGGCTACACAGTACAAGACTGCTCAGTGAATGAATGAGTGAACTGGTGATTAAGAACAAGCCTTAAGTATAAAATGTAGGCAGCCTTAAGAACAAGCAAAAGAAAGGACTCAGATCTTCCAGTGGAATCTATAAGTCCTTCCCAGATTCACTCATCCCTTGCGCTCACCCCAAGTGGGGTGAGACAGGGCTGGAAGGAGCCTGCAGGAGGACCCTCTGTCTGACCCTTTCCCATGTTGGTTAAGGGGCCACCCAGAGGCTGGGATTTAAAGGCTGATGGGGGTGATTGTATGTAGGGGACAGAGAGCCCATGCAAATTACAAAGTCCAGTGCCTGAAGGGGGCCTGAAGTCCAAACCAAGCCCATCCTTACTGCAGGGATCGGAACAGGTCTTCCATTAGAGCAGATCACGATGGGTGTTCAGGCACCTGAGTTCTGCCTGAATACCGCCACTCTGTGGTGCACCCCCCCACCACCACCCCAGACACAGGGAGACAGTGAACAAATTCAAAGCCCAGGCCCTGCGGCCACAGTTGTGCTGTCTTCCACCCTTCTCGCCCACAGTCCTTCTTTGCAGAGCGATTCTTTGCCCTATTTGACTCCGATAGAAGTGGCACCATCACCCTCCAGGAGCTGCAGGAGGCACTGACCCTGCTCATCCATGGCAGCCCCATGGACAAACTCAAATTCCTCTTCCAGGTGTATGACATCGATGGTAAGGGCTCTTCCTGGGTGTGGGCTGGGGTGGGGAGATCAGTGGGCCTCAGTGAGAACTGGCCATTTCACCTTGGCAGGCCTGGAGGTGCCATCCCGGCCTCCTGAGCCCAGCCTGGGACTGGTTTCTCCAGGTGAGGCTGACACTTCCTTTCCTCACATCTCTCTCCCAGTCCCCAGTCTCTCTGTCTAATCCCTGCCCCCCTTTCTGGGGCAGCAGGGAGAAAAGGAGGGACTCTGGCACAGGAGACAAATGCCTTCTATTCAACTTACCAGAGGCCAGAACCTTTTTCTGATCTTTTCTATGTCTGAAAAAGAAAATCTCTGTTGTTTTTTCCTTTTCCTCATAGTATAAGCTCACTATGAACATTTTAGACAATACAGAGTGGTATAAAAAAGAATACAAAAATCACCCGTAACATTTTGCTATATTGCCTTCTAACTGGTTGCACATACACACGCCACACACCTTTTTTTTTTTAACAAAATGGGATTAAAAAATGAATCCCATTTTTTAATGGGATTTTTCACTTACAAAAATGAACTTTTTCACTTACAAAAATGAACATTTTGAAATGTAAAAATATATTGCTTTACAGTGTCATTTTTATTGTGGTAAAATATACATAATGTAAAATTTGCCATCTTAACCATTTTTAAGTGTACAGGTCAGTGGCATTAATTAAGTACATTCACATTGCTGTGCCACCATCACCACCCTCCATCTCCAGAACCTTTTCATCCTTCCATTGAAACTCCTTGCCCACTGAACACTGAATCCCCATGCCTCCTCCCCTAGTCCCTGGCAACCACCATTCTATTCATACATTCTGTCTCTAAGAATCTGACTTCTCTAGGCACCTCATCTAAGTGGGATTATACAATATTTGTCATTTTGTATCTGGCTTATGTCACTTAGTATAGTATCCTCAAGCTTCATCTGTGTCATAGCATGTGACAGAATTTTATTCCTTTTAAGGCTGAATAATATTCCATTGTAGGTATATGCCATATTTTGTTTATCCATTCACCAATTAGTGGACATTTGGGCTGTTTCTACGTTTTAACTATCGTGATTAATGCTGCTATGAACATTGGTGCACAGATATCTGTTTGAGTTCCTGCTTTCAATTCTTCCGGGTATATATCCAGAAGGGGAATTGCTGGATGACATGGTAATTCTGGTAATTCTATTTTTAATTTTTTGAGGAACTGCCATACTGTTTTCCACAGTGGCTGCATTATTTTACATTCCTACCAGTAATGTACAGGTGGTCCAAGTTCTCCACATTCTTGCTAACACTTGTAATTTTCTGCTTTTTTTTTTTTTTCTGAGATGGAGTCTCACTCTGTTGCCCAGACTGGAGAGCAGTGGCATGATCTCAGCTCATTGCAGCCTCCACCTCCCAGGTTCAAGTGATTCTCCAGCCTCAGTCTCCCGAGTAGCTGGGACTACAGGCACCTACCACCATGCCCACTAATTTTTGTATTTTTCATAGAGATAGGGTTTCACCATGTTGGCCAGGCTCGTCTCGAACTCCTGGCCTCAAGTGATCCACCCGCCTTGGCCTCCCAAAGTGCTGGGATTACAGGCGTGAGCCACTGTGCTCAGCCTTATATTCTGCTTTTTGATAATAGCCATCCTAATGGGTGTGAAGTGGTAACTCACTGTACTTATAGTGTCATTTTTAGTGGCTGCATTATACTCCACTGTATGTATCATGCAGCATCGTGTAGTATTTAAGACTCTAAGCACAAGCTACCTAAGTTCAAATCTCAGTTCCATCACTTATTATATGATCTTAGACTAGTTACTTAACTTCTCTGTACCTCAATTTATTTATCAAATAGGAATTATGATAATAATATTTCATACTCATGGGGTTGAGATGAAGGTTAAATTAGTTAACTTACGCGCGACGGGGAGCCATCAAAGTGTGTTGAGCAAGGGATTCGCAGGGATGGACCTGCATTCTGAAAAGCTTTTCTTCAGCAATGTTCATTTTGCTGCCCTGGTGCCAGAGGGCGGAAAACAGGTAGCTGGCTTCACCCAGGGATGGGATATTCTTAGAGTCAGTAGAATGGAAGGTTAGAGGGAGAAGGAAGGAGAATGTGCACATGAGAATTATTGTGAGGGAGGACCCTGGATTTGAAATTGGCCAACAGAGAGATTAAAGCAGATAGAAGAGGCCATGAAGGGGCCAGGGGGAGACTGGTCCTCTGGATGAGTCCAGAAACCTGCTGTCATCTTGGCTGTTGACTAGGAAAGCAGAACAGGCGGTGTGACTGGAGAGTGGTATAATATACTCTAATTGATTCTGCATCGTAATGTGATTTGGGCCGGAATGATGATCACAACACCAATGAGAATTTCCATGTATATGCAATTTCCTTCTCCCAGATACTGCGTTAGGTGTTTTACCATTATCGAGTTTCCTTGAGCTAGTTCTGAGAGGGAGAAATGATTACTCTCATTTTAGAGATGAGCAAAGTGAGGTCCACTACCCCAGAGGACTTAGAGCCCACTATTGCACAGTTAAGGAGGGGCAGGAGCAGGATGCCACACTGGGTGTGTCCATATCCAAAGCAGGCCAAGAAATCATTAATCACGGGCTCTGCTGCTCAGGAAGAATAAAATACAGAAAAATCTCATCTCTGTTGGTAGTTTTGGCTTCCTTATCCCATCACTTTCAACCACCCATGTTTACATAAGGCCACACTGCTGGGCTGGAATGCCTAGCTGTGGCCCCTCTCAAGACAACATGATAAACAGAGCATTTGCTCCAAGTTGAACAACAAGGCACACTCCCTCAGCGCTAACCCACATACAGTGTGCCTTTGGATAACTGAGGCTGTGGGCACACCGCCCCTTATAGATTAAGTAAGCAGGTGTATTTTCTGGGCAGATAGTCTTGGAAGTTGAGTAGTACTTAGGGAGTTACCGATTCTGGAGACAGGCAACCACTGAAGCCAAAGATTCTCCACCCGTGGGGAGGTGTCCATTGCTGTTGAGCTAGGCAGTCGGGAACATGGAAGGTTTCTGAGCTGAGGGTGACATTTGGTCCTTCAGTTGCATGGTCTATACCCCCAAGGAAAGCTGACTGGCAGAAAGCTGGAGGTGGGTAAACAGAAGAGGCCCACCACTTCTTGCAGTGTGTGCACGGCAGGGGGCGTCTGCAGGTACAGAGTGGGGTGCTGGGGCAGGCCCGCACTGGGCTTCATCCCCACTCGGGACAGGCAGTGGCTCCATTGACCCGGATGAGCTGCGCACTGTGCTGCAGTCGTGTCTGCGCGAGAGCGCCATCTCGCTGCCTGACGAGAAGCTGGACCAGCTGACGCTGGCGCTCTTCGAATCGGCCGACGCGGACGGCAACGGGGCCATCACCTTCGAGGAGCTCCGGGACGAGCTGCAGCGCTTCCCCGGAGTCATGGAGAACCTGACCATCAGGTACGGCCGGGTCTCGGGCATTGGCACTGTCCACGGCGGCGTTAGACTCCTGGTCGGAAGTGTGGCAGGAACTCACCGCGGATCCACTCTGCCCTACCCCGCCCTGCCCCGCCCCTCCCCAGTTTAGCCCACTCTTGAGTGTACTGCAGGGCAGCTGTCTTCATTGCCTCCACTTCCTGCAGTGTCTCTGCAGAATCAACTCAAGGTCTGAGGCACCTACTGTGTGCTGAGCACTTTTGCATATACCAGTGCATTTTATAGCAATACTCGTTTTACAAAAGGAAATTACTTCGCCTGAAGTAAGTTGCCTAGGATCACACAAATAATTAACAAAGGTATTTATGCAATAAATGTTTGAGCAGCTTCTATGCAGCAGGCACTGTTCTGATTAATGCAGTGAATGAGGTCTCCACCCTGCTGGGGCTCCATTCCAGACGAAGAGACATGTCATTTACACCAATAAACACACAAACTAGAGAAGCACAAAATTAATAAGTGCTGTGGAGAAAATAAGAGTGTAACAGCAAGACCCAAGTCTGTCCGACTCCAGGCTCTGAATAGAGCCGGTTTTGTAGTTCATTCTTCCTGTGTATTAACTTTTTTTTTTTTTTTTTCTGAGACGGAGTCTCACTCTGTCGCCCAGGCTGGGGTGCAGTGGTATGATCTCGGCTCACCGCAACCTCCGCCTCCCGGGTTCAAGCGATTCTCCTGACTCATCCTCCCGAGTAGCTGGTATTATAGGTGCCAGCCACCACGCCCAGCTAGTTTTTGTATTTTTAGTAGAGACGGGGTTTCGCCATCTTGGCCAGGCTGGTCTCGAACTCCTGACCTCAGGTGATCCGCCCGCCTTGGGTTCACAAAGTGTTGGGATTACAGACGTGAGCCACTGCACTGGGCACCTACCTGCCTATTAACTTTCTTGGGGCTTACTTACCAAAACATATTTCAGATTCTTCCATCCTTTTCGACTGCTTCTTTTAAAATTGGAAAGTAAAGAGAAGTAATAAAAATAGCGGTGGTTGTGGCATTAGGCAGACCGGAGTCCCCTTTCAGCTCCGCGGAGCTGTGCGACTGTGACCAAGCCACTTGACCTCTCTGTTTCCTGGTGTGAAGAAAGCCGGCCTGCTTGCCAGACTTGGTCGGCCATAGCTTGAAGGGGGTCTTTAAGTTAAGACACAGGTGGTCCCCGCCCCACCGCTCGCCTCTGAGCGGAACCCGCCTCTCTCGCAGCGCTGCCCACTGGCTGACGGCCCCCGCCCCCCGCCCACGCCCGCGCCGGCCGCGCCAGCTGACCCGCGCCTACTGGCACAACCACCGCAGCCAGCTGTTCTGCCTGGCCACCTATGCAGGCCTCCACGTGCTGCTCTTCGGGCTGGCGGCCAGCGCGCACCGGGACCTCGGCGCCAGCGTCATGGTGGCCAAGGGCTGCGGCCAGTGCCTCAACTTCGACTGCAGCTTCATCGCGGTAGGCTCTGCCAGCACACGGTGCTCTGAAAATGTTAATTAGGAGCCGAGGTGGGCTCCTCCTAGACAGAGCGACCCACAGAGGACACCTGGAATGCCAGGGCAGGGTGGCACCTTAGAAATCAGCTGGGCCAACGCTCAGAGTTGGAGGACGCCGCCCAGAGAGGGACAGTAGCTTGTCCACAGTCACACAGCCAGTAAATAATAACATAACTGGCATTTTTGTGCACTATGCACCAGGCACGGTGCTGAGCACGCTCCATTTGATCTTCACAACTCCCCTATAGTGGACCCCTGTGCAGGAGCACCTTCAAGAGGAAACCCTAGAAGAGGCTTTGAATACCAGACCATGGAGTTGGAATGTGGTTCTCTGGCTCATGGATGAGGCCTCTAAGAGGTGTTTTTTTTTTTCTTTCTTTTTTTTCTTTTTTTTTTTTTTTTGAGACGGAATTTTGCTCTTGTTGCCCAGCTGGAATGGCACGATCTCAGCTCACTGCAACTTTTGCCTCCCGGGTTCAAGCGATCCTCCTGCCTCAGCCTCCCCGTAGCTGGAATTACAGGCAACCGCCACCATGCCCAGCTAATTTTTATATTTTTAGTAGAGATGGGGTTTCACCATTTTGGCCAGGCTGGTCTCGAACTCCTGACCTCAGGTGATCCACCCTCCTCGGCCTCCCAAAGTGCTGGGATTATGGGCATGAGCCACCACGCCTGACCTCTAAGAGTTTTTGATCACACAACTCCTACCATTAAAACAAAAGCCCTCTTATGCTTATATGCATGCTCTATTATCATTAGCTAATAGACTTATGGCACAAAGTAACTACAGGGGAAGATTCATCATTGATGAGCAGGGATGCCCATCTCTAGCTCAGATACGCTTCTGGATATGAGCTTCTCATTAGAGTGGGTTTTATAGGTTTTATTTTAAATTTATTTTTATTATTTTTAATTATTAATCTTAATTTTTGTGGGCACATAGTAGGTGTATATATTTATGGGGTACATGGGATGTTTTGATACATGGGATGTTTCGATACATGCAATGTGTAATAATCACATCTTGCAAAATGGGGTACCCATCCCTAAAGTGGGTTTTGTCTTAATGGCTCAACGAGCTAACAAAGACTTCATTCCAGGAGTGGGAGACGTGTGATTCATTTTCTTGGTCACTTGCTCATGTATTACTAACACAACTGTTAATCTGTGGTTTCTCTGCTGGGAAACTTTTAAAGCTACTTGTCCTTCCTGTGAGGGGTAGTTAGCTTAGTTTTGGTAAAGTCAAATACTGTAACCTACAAGTCCACATCCTTGGCAAACATAAATATACTGAAAGCAAATGAGCAATGAGAGAACCCTGGTTAACCACTCTGGATTTGGCTCCTGCAAGGCACCTCGAGAACTAACACAACACGTGCCCATCTGACATATGGACTAAATGAGGGCACCAAGTCAACAGAGATATTTTATTTATTTATTTATTTATTTGAGACATGGTCTTTGTCACCCAGGCTGGAGTGCAGTGGACTGATCATAGGTTGCTGTAACCTCAAACGCCTGGGCTCAAGCAATCCTGGGCTCAAGCAGTCCTCCTGCCTCAGCCCCCTAAGTAGCTAGGATTACAGGTGTGTGCCACCATGCCCAGCTAATTAAACAATTTTTTTTTTCTATAGAGACAGGGGTCTCGCTGTGTTGCCCAGGCTGGTCTCAAACTCCTAGGCTCCAGTGATCCTACTGTCTCAGCCTTCCAAAGTGCTGAGATTAGTGGAGTGAGCCACTGCGCCTGGCCCATATATTAAATATTAGTAAAAGCATAGATGTTTCTCATGTGTTTAGACAAAAATTAATACAAATAGACATTCTGTAACTTTCTCTTCCCGCCACAATTCTGGAGATCCTCCTCTAGAGACCCCAGGTATGAATCCAGGGAAGCAACAAGGCATGGGGGCAGGGGACTTTGGTGAGTGTCCTGTTCAGAAAGCACAGCTAGCTCAGGAGGATGCAGGGAGGTGGCTGGGAAAAGAGGACAAGGCAGACAGAGAGTGAGGCAGGGCTCTCTCCCACTCTGCCTGGCCAGGTGCTGATGCTCAGACGCTGCCTCACCTGGCTGCGGGCCACGTGGCTGGCTCAAGTCCTACCACTGGACCAGAACATCCAGTTCCACCAGCTTATGGGCTACGTGGTAGTGGGGCTGTCCCTCGTGCACACCGTGGCTCACACTGTGAACTTTGGTGAGTGATCTGGGGCAGGGTTGGGTCGGGGAGAAGCTTGAGCAGCCTCAAGCCCAGAATGCAGGGCCCAGCCCCTGTGTGTACTGCCTGCCCAAAGGGCAGAGAAGGGGTGCCCTGGATAAGCCAACGCTCTGGACAAAAGTTTCTGCCCGTGCTAGTATCTGATGGTGCAGGGTGGGGATCCCAATGGGAAGGTGGAGTGGGAAGAGCTGGTCTTGCAGTCACTCAACCTTTCTGAGCTTGTTTCCAGTACTCCAGGCTCAGGCGGAGGCCAGCCCTTTCCAGTTCTGGGAGCTGCTGCTCACCACGAGGCCTGGCATTGGCTGGGTACACGGTTCGGCCTCCCCGACAGGTGTCGCTCTGCTGCTGCTGCTCCTCCTCATGTTCATCTGCTCCAGTTCCTGCATCCGCAGGAGTGGCCACTTTGAGGTGCCCCAGTTGCTGCCCTTTTGCTTCCCCCAAGGCCAGGGTCCTACTTTCATTTCTTTCTGTGTCCCCTCTGATTTACTCCAGAGCCCAGGAAGGTCCCAAGCTGGTCTGCATATTATTTGCATGTGATTTGGGACCTGCTGCTGTGTTCTGCCACTGGACTGTAGTTTATGTCTGCCAAGTGTAGATGTTTTGCTGCGGAAGAGTCTGCCTTTTTGCTGGCTTATCCCTTTAGCCTATTTGGATTAAGTTGGGCTTAAAACAGTACAGGGAGGGGAAGGAACATAGGCTCAGCAGGTTTTGAATCCCCACTCCACTGCTTACTGGTCGCTCAACCTTTCCAAGCCTCAGTTCTCTCATCTGTAAAATGGAGGTGTAATTCTCTATGTTATTTTAGGAATTATAGGCGATAATACATGTAAAACCACTAACTACATCCTAGCACATAGGTGCTCTGAAAATGTTAGTTCCATCTTTGCTTCTGTCTCTCCAGCCTCCTCAAGATGCAGAAAGTCACAGAGGACTTGGTTTGGAGAGCTTGACTATCTTGTGGCCTGACCACATCAGAAATAGACATATACTGAGCACGTACCTACTCTGGGCCAGCAACAAGCCTTTGAAGTAGGAATCAGAATCCTCATTTGACCCATGAGGAATTTCACACTCAGAAAAGTAATGAAATTGCCCAAGATCACAAAGCTTCAGAAGGTGCTAAAATTGTCTTCTGCTATTTCTTCTCCACTCCCAGGAAGCCATTGCTGTCTTTCCTTTCTTCCTTCTGAGAATGGGTCGGGGGTAGCGATACTGATGCTCATGATCCCTGTGGGGGCAGTCCACTCTGCCCAGAACCTCCCCAGGCAGATATTTCAGATGTTTGCCTCTGGTATCAGGAATCTTCCCTTACAGCCTCCTTTGGCCAAGCACCCAGAAAAAGAAGCTTCCCAGCCCCAACATCTTACCCAACTCCATCCCCGGGAGAGAGTCAAGGCTCTGAGCACTGCCCTGGCTTTGAGGATAACCCTGAGTCCTGGCTCTGTTCCACCCCCCAGGCCTTGAGCTCTGGAAGTTGACTGCCCCCCCTACCCCCATAGGTGTTCTATTGGACTCACCTGTCCTACCTCCTCGTGTGGCTTCTGCTCATCTTTCATGGGCCCAACTTCTGGAAGTGGCTGCTGGTGCCTGGAATCTTGTTTTTCCTGGAGAAGGCCATCGGACTGGCAGTGTCCCGCATGGCAGCCGTGTGCATCATGGAAGTCAACCTCCTCCCCTCCAAGGTACAAAGGTGGGGGATGGGGAGGTGCTTTTCCAACTCACCCCAAGGGACAGTTTGTGGGGTGGAGCAGCTGGATACCCTGTCAGACCCCCAAGGAAATAGAGAATAGTGTAGCTGCAGCCCCATTGCTATGGAGGAGAGAAGCAAAATGCAAGACCCAGTCCAGCCCTCCAGGAGGGAAGCTTTAGGAAGATGAATGGCAGGGCAGGCAATAAACCTCTAAAATCCGATTTTGGGGAGAACAGTCTCCTTCAGCTCAGTAAGCGTTTATTAGTGCCTACAGGGTGCCAGGCCCTGAACTAGGTTACAGAGAAATAGAGAAGGTTCTGCACTGTCCTGCTTTCTAGGGGAGCCAGCCCTTTCATTACAGTGCAGGGCTGTGTTGCTGGAGGTATTAAACCCTTTGTCTTTGGGAGGTCAGAAAAAGCTTCAGAATAAGGGAGAAGATGCCATATCAGGGTTTTGAGGGATGAATAAGAGTTTGTTGGATAGAGAAGACAAGGAAGGGTATTGCTGGCAGGAGGAACAGCACAGTAAAGACACAGAATTGTGAAAGGGTATACTGTGCTTGGGGGACCACAGGTAATTTGGCATAGCTGGAGCCAAGTTGCCAGGAGGAAGCCAGAGAGGTGAGGAAGGCCTGATTATGAAGGGCCTCCTGAGCTGGGAGACCAACCCCGCAGGCCATGGGGAACCCCTGAGCACGCTGGGAGGAGATGGTGGTATTAAGCTGTGACCATTAATATTCTAGTTAGATTTCTTTAGTTGCTCTGTGGAAGGTAGCTTGGAGGGGGCTTGTGGGGAGGTTCTTGCAAATACAAAGATGAGAGTTCATGAGGGCCTTGACACTGAGGCAGTGGCCATGGGATGGAGGCAGGTGCACATCACAGAAAGACTCAAGAAGCAACTGGTTATGTTTTGCGGCAACAGAGAGGATGGAGTCTAGGACGTCTCCCAGGTGTCTGAGAAAAGGAAGGCAGTTCTAGGCGGGCTCAGCTCTGGACACACTGCGTTAGAGGACCTGGGAGGCTGAAGAATGAGGCTGTGCTCTGTGTCTAGGCTCTGGCATCCAACAGCCTCAGCTGCATTCAGATCCCACGGTTTCTTACCCAGTGGCCTTGGGAAGTTATTTAACCTCTCTGAGCCTCCTCTTCTTGTCCCTAAAGTAGAGAGAAAATAATATCCACGTCATACAACTGCTGTGAGGCCTAGAGATAACACAGTGCTCCAAAGCAATTGTCTGGAAAGATGTTGTTATCCAAGGAGAGATGCCCATTGATGGTTAGAATGCTAGCCACACTCTGGCTGAAGTTCCAAGAAAGGGCTGGAGTAGCCAGGGAGGCATCACAGGGATACGTCACAGAGGGTCCACTAAAAAGCAGTGCTTACACCCTGAGAGGCAGGGTAAAACCAGGGGCCCCAATTCAGACACAGCCTGGCTGCCCCCTCTAGGATTGTTGCCCACTTCCAGATTGGCAGGTTGGCTGCTGAGGTGGGCCACCACTCAGAAGCACAGAAGAGTGTCATGTCTCGGGGCATGCCTGTTTTATGGAGGAGGAGGGCAGCCCAGCTTCTGCCCTCTTGTCCTGTAGCCCCTGGTGGCTTTGGGCCTGCAGGAATGATGCAGATCTCCTTCCTCTTTCCCAGGTCACTCATCTCCTCATCAAGCGGCCCCCTTTTTTTCACTATAGACCTGGTGACTACTTGTATCTGAACATCCCCACCATTGCTCGCTATGAGTGGCACCCCTTCACCATCAGCAGTGCTCCTGAGCAGAAAGGTAATGGCCACCTCCTCCAGTCACTCTGCACATATTCACTGAGTTCCTACCGTGGGCCAAGTACAGGCTGGAAACTCGGAACACAGCACTGAACAAGGCCAGAAACACAAAGTCAGCCTCAAAAAGCTCTCTTTGAAGTGGGAGCAGGCATGCAGACACCGATTGGCATGGCAAGGGCTGTACCAGCTGCACTGAAGTCTTACAGGGAGGGCCTGGCTTGGTGGAGAGAAGCCTTTGCAGACACAGGGGCATTCAGCTGGACTTTGAATGGTTAGCAGGAGTTTACCAGATAGGGAAGGAGATGGGGAGGAGGCAGAGGGAAAAGCAGAAGTAAAAACATGAGGACCTGGAAACTCAGAAGAGTCTTCTGTAACTAGAGCTATGGGGGGTGGCGGGGGGTAGGCAGGTGGAGTAGCAAGGAAAGAAGGGAGGGACATACAGAGAGAGAAAAAGAGCATGAAAGGCAGGTGATGTGGCTGGCAAAGCCAGTTAGAGCTAGGATGGGACTAAGGAGGACTTCAGAAGCAAAGTTGGAATCCAGATGGATGGAGCAGCCAATTGGGAGCCAGGAATGGTTCTTAAGCAGAGGAGTAGCCAGCTCAGGAGAGGATATAGGCATTTTTAAGAGGGCTGCGATGGGAGACCAGGCTTCCCTACTCCCACCTGGACTTGGGCCTTATAGAGCCCCAAGGCAGCAGAATCCCTCACACCCTTCTCCAGCCCTGAACTATTCCCACTGCTTTTTGGGTTCCCAGCACACACAGAACAGTTCAGCTGATGCTTTGCTCAGCTGTCCTCTGACTCTCACCCGTGCACGTGCCTTCCTTCTGGTCCCAGGCTGTTTTTAGAGCTGCTACCTGGACCTCTGCCCTTCTGGCCAGGCCAATGATTGGCCTTCCCACCACGAGAGGTGCCTCCAAGTATGACAAGTGTGGCTTGCACTGACATTTCCAACAGGGAAGGCCTTGAGTGACCTATTACAGTAAGACCCTGGCTTGGCTTCATGAGGGGTATCCAGCCCTGGGTGCTGGGGGTTCTCTGACTCATCCTGGTTACAAGCTTTAGTGTCACTCAGGATGCCTCCCAGACCCAGCCCAGCAGGACCCCTGGCCCAGATCCCTCAGCTCACGATGTAGACCCAAGGCCAGGGTTTCCCCATGTGGGGCTGCATACCCCCTACCTTGGAATCACCTGAATTGTGCCCTCAATGTACCACGGAACAAAGTTAGAGGTTGGAGAGGGTGAAGCTATTTTCTCCCTATTTTTTTCCTTTTCTTTTCTACTTTGTAAAGAACGTCTATGCTCTCAGAGAACTCAGACAATATCAAAATATGTACAGAAGAAAATGAGAATCCTTCAAATAATTTTATCCAAGGAAAACCATTGCCAATTATTTGGTGAATAGGCTTCCAGCTCTCTCTCTCTATCTATCTATCTACATGGCTAATCAGATGGAGAGATTTTGTATACATGGGCTCACACTACAGGCAGTGTTTCATAGCAGCACACTTTTTCTTAGTGAACAGTATGTCATGGAGATCTTTGCATATCAGTGAATATACAGCTTTTCCTTTTTGTGGCTGCATGGTATTCCAGTGTGTGGATACTAATATGGTTATTGACTATTATTAATATTATATGGGCGTGTCATGTATTTCACCAATTCTTTTTCTCCCCTAACTTTCCAAACTTGTTATATTTCACCAGTTCTTTTTTTTTTAGAGTCTCATTCTGTCACCCAAGCTGGAGTGCAGTGGTGTGATCTTGGCTCACTGCAGCCTCCGCCTCCCGGGTTCTTCTGCTTTAGCCTCCTGAGTAGCTGGGATTACAGGCACGTGCCACCATGCATGGCTAATTTTTTTGTATTTTTGTATTTTTAGTAGAGTCTGGATTTCACCACGTTGGCCAGGCTGGTCTTGAACTCCTGACCTCAGGTGATCCACCCACCTTTTCCAAAGTGCTGGGATTACAGGCATAAGCCACTGTGCCCCACCTTCACCAGTTCTTGAAGGGATTTCTTCTGGGTCTCAGTTTGGAATCTGCCTGTCCTTGGACCCTGGGAGAGTCTCCTGCCCTGAGCTGAGAGGGTTCATGTGGGGGCTGATAATATACCAACTTCGTTTACAGAGCTTGTTTACTGGAGTCAGGAGTGGGACTCAGTTTAGCAGCTGTGGCTGAATGAATTCAACCACCATTCTTGGAGACCTCCTAGGTCTGAGTCATTGCTTGAGGCACTTCAAGCGACTTGGGATGCTGATGCCTTAATGAAGGAGGAAACCTCAGAGAGGTGGATGGAGCTAGGATCCTAGAACTTGAGCTCCAGTCCTGACTTTTCAATCCACTCCTCATAAACTATGAAGCACCTCTCTAAGCCTCTGTAAAATGCAGAGTAACACCAGGTCATGAATTCCTTCATCAACTTGAATGGAACATCTTTATTTTTACTAACCTCTAACTGAAATTTAGCATTTTCTTCAATGATAAATGTGAGCAACAAACCCCAGGAGCATTAATGATACCTCTGACTTTTTCACGGTAAAAACCATGGATGCCTTTCTGTATGTTACAGTTGTGGCCAATGCTTCAAGAGTATTTATGCTCACTACTACTTCTGATTCCCAGGGCTCGTTGGGTCCTGCTACAGCTCATTAATTCATGTATTAACAAAGAAGCACATGGATTCCTAAGTCACAAATTTTTTTTAACATTTTGATAACTAATTATAACTGGATTCATATGTAATTTCTCTGTATATTACTTTATGTCAAGCTTGTCCAACCTGTGGCCCTTGGGCCGCATGGGGCCCAGGACGGCTTTGAATGTGGCCCAACACAAATTCATAAACTTTCTTAAAACATGATGAGATTTTTTTGTTTGTGTGATTTTTTTTTTCTTTTTAGTTCATCAGCTATTGTTAGTGTTAGTGTATTTTATGTGTGGCCCAAGACAATTCTTGTACTCCCAATGTGACCCAGGGAAGCCAAAAGATTGGCCATCCCTGCTTCGTGTATTTAGACCCTTATTCTGAGAAGGAGACTATCCACTGCCTTCACAGGACTGCTAAAAGAATCCCTGGTTTAAAAAAAAAAAAAAAGGAAAAGGGCAAGAGTTCAAAGCAGGAGATCTCTTGCATCCTCCTCACTCTGATGTTGTGGATTCTATTTGGTACCACTCAGCAGAAGAGTCACGTCACCTCACACCACATTTCCATCAGTCATTCATTCAACAGATGACCTTAGTAAGCACCTGCTACATCCCAGGCATGGGTATCATGAAAGCAGTTGGTACCACCATGGACTGAGCGCCTACTGTGTGCACAACCATTGAATAGCAGGAGGGCCTGTTTTGGTGAGTCCTTGGCCTGATGAAGGTGGCAGAGTCCCTGCCTTTAGAAAATTCCTAGTGAGCTGCTCTGATCCTTTCTTTGGTACAGGAGTCTGTACCCTTATTAAGCTCAGGTTGACTTCATCAAGAAAGATCTCAAGGTCTGCCCCACAGAGATCAGCTCTCCAAGTCCTGTGGCTATGGCTGCTAGTCTGGTCCTGAGGAAGGACATTCAAACCAGGACTTGGAGGGCTGAGGCCCAGCAGCAATCCCTCCAGTGGGGTGAGGCTTGCTCCCTGGTGCCGGTCACTATGGACCTCCTTTCCCCTCCCACTCTTCTCTTTCTCAGACACTATCTGGCTGCACATTCGGTCCCAAGGCCAGTGGACAAACAGGCTGTATGAGTCCTTCAAGGCATCAGACCCACTGGGCCGTGGTTCTAAGAGGCTGTCGAGGAGTGTGACAATGAGAAAGAGTCAAAGGTCGTCCAAGGTAGGTGGCTACTGGAGGGAAGGGGTCCACTCTGCTGGCAAGTCCACAGAGACCAAGTTGCCTCCTTCTTCTCAGTGAGCATCAATTATTGAGCAACTGCTGTGTACATAGATGGCAGCACAAGGGGGTTAGGCAACTGCTAACTCCGTGGTCCAAGAACCTTCTCGAAGTCTGACCACTCCAGATCCTTCCCAGTCTGATGTCCCCCATTAGAAGGGGGAGAGAGCAACAGAAAGAGAGTGGAAATTGAAATCAGAAAATCCCATCTCCAGGTCTCTGCTCTAATACTTTCTAACTGTGTGGGCTTGGGCATGTCTTTTGGTTTGTTCATCTATAAAATAGAAGTCGTTTCCTCTGTTACTTACCTTTCTCCTGTGACTATTTTAAAAACCAACTGAATGAATGCACATAAAGTATTGCTTGAAATAGGCAGCCTGGTCCAGGTGGGCCCCTCATCATCATCATCACCATCAGCAATGTTATTCTCTTTTGAGCCTTGATGAAACCTATAAAGCTGATGAGTTGCTGGTGTCATCAAGGCTTTGGAGGAACAGAGAGAGACAGAGCAACTGCTAAAGAAATAAGAATAGACGCTGAGGCCGAGGGTGGCTGAACTCAAACTAAGTAGACTGTGCCTCCTGACTGGGATACAGGTTAACATATGAAAACCCTGCCATAGGAGACGTTCCCAGGCCTGGCCCAACCCTACCTTGCCATTGGGGAATTTAAAATCCAGAGTTGAAATCCAGGTGAGATCCTGCTTGGCCAGACCAGAGGACCTTTCCAGGACCACACCAGGAGCAAAGGTCTGGGATATGCAGGGATAGGTAGGAGAAGCAGAACGTTCTCGGCTGTTAATCAGGGAAACTTCCTGAAGGAGGAAGCTGACTTTCAAAATCAGATGAGTCATGGCACACTGTGGATCAATGGGCTAGATACACTAAAAGCTGTTTTCTTGGGACCTCAGTCACCTCTGCCACTATAAATTGGCGCAACTTTCTGGCAGGCAGCCTGGCCATATGTGTCAGCATTTTAAATATGTATACCTACACACCCAGCAACTCCATTTTAGAGATGTATTCTTAAAAGCTAATTGGGGGCCGGGCACGGTGGCTCACGCCTGTAATCCCAGCACTTTGGGAGGCCGAGGCTGGCGGATCATGAGGTCAGGAGATTGAGACCATCCTGGCCAACATGGTGAAACCACGTCTCTACTAAAAACACAAAAATTAGCCAGGCGTGGTGGTGCGTGCCTGTAGTCCCAGCTACTCGGGAGGCTGGGGCAGGAGAATCTCTTGAACCCAGGAGGCAGAGGTTGCAGTGAGTCGAGATTACACCACTGTACTCCAGCCTGGGCAACAGAATGAGGCTCCAACTAAAAAAAAAAAAAAGCTAATTGGACAGGTGCACACAAAACATAGTAATTTCCTTGTTCATTTAGCAAATATTTATGAAGCACAGCATCTGCTATTTTCCAGGTTCTGTTCTAGATGCTGGAGATCTATCAGTAAGCAACATAGGCATAGTCACTGCTTACCTTCTGGTGGGGAGACAGACAATGAACAAATAAATATATGCATAACATCTCAGGTGATAATAAATGCTATAAAGATAAATAAGTCAGTGTCAAGAGGTAGGGATGGGAAAAGTGCTATTTCAGAGAGGGTGGTTGTTCTCAATAATGAGAAAATGAGGCTAATCAAAATGCCGAACAATAGGAAAATACCTAAATAAATTGCTGATCACCTTTACAATAGAATATTAAGTCTCCTAAAAAAAATGATTTGGTCAATTTAAATGTATTTACCTGGAAAACCAGTCAAGATGTAGTAAGTGGAAAAAGCAGGTTACTAAAAAGTATGCTCCATTTATGTAAAAGTGTTGTGTATGTCTGTGTTAGAAAAAAATCTGTAAGGGCATAGAGAAAATGTTGAGTAGTTATGTGCTCTGATACTTTTTTCACTATTGTTTAATAGTTTCTATATCTGCATTTTTAAAGCTAACATTATCGATTTGTGATTTAAATAATAAAGAAATTTCTGTTTTGAAACAAAGCAGAGTGTACAGCCCCCACTCATCCAGTCCTGCATCTCAGCACAGGGAGTTGTGGCATCCAAGGATGTCACTGGAGCTGACGTCCTATAGGCCCAAGGGAGATCCCTGGCCGCAGGACGAAGACCTGGTGTACACGAAGACAAAGGAGGAGACTCACACACAGTGGGAAACTTCTTCTGAAGACAGTGGCCTAGTAAGGCTGAGGAAGGTGGGACTAGAGACAGGAGGGCCAGCTGGCTTATCTTCCCAGGGATCGTGGGTCCTTGCAACATGCCTTAAGGGCAAAGCCATGTTCAGGAAGTATGACACATCACTTGGATGTCTCTGAAGCCAATCATCTGCCTGCTACCTTCCTAACTTTTGCGTAAGAACTGCCCCAGTAATACTTTCTACTTAGTATTTCTCTTACATCCCAACATTACTTTAAACTTAATTGTATTCAAAACAAGTCATAAGATTATTATCTCTAATGGAAAACTAGTATCGCATGCTGCACAGGATAGCTCTGAAAGTAAAAACAATGAGAATCAATGTTATTAAATTCTTGCTAGATGGCCTGTCTGCTAAGGCTCCATGCCAGAGGTGGTGCTCCACACTCTTACTCCTTCCTTCCCTCCCTTCCTCCCTTCCTCCCTCCCTCCCTCTCCCTTCTTTCTTTCTTTCTCTTCCTTTCTTTTTTCTTTCTTTCTTTCTTTCTTTCTTTCTTTCTTCCCTTTCTTTCTTTTCTTTCTTTCTTTCTTTTTTTTTTCTCTCTCTCTCTCCTTCCTTCCTTCCTTCTCTCTCTCCCCCTCCCTCCCTCTCTCTTTCTTTCTTTCACTCTTTCTTTCTTTTCTTTCTTTCCTTTCTCACTTTGTAAAAAGGAAGGAAAAAAGAGAAGAGATTAGTAAGTGTTAGAGAGGTTAAAAGATGCATTAGCCAGAATGGAAGGCTTTCTCGTTGCCATCAGAAGGACTAAAGAAAATTAAAAGGAGAAGAGCTGTCTCACAGCATAACTCTCAAACCACCGCCAGGAGTTCATGCCCCACACCAGGGGGAGCAGCCTTCAGTCATCTCGGGACAAAGAAGCAACACAGCGTGATGTCACAATCCTGGACAGGCAGCAGGAGACCCAGGCTCTACCCGAGCTCTGTGGGAATGTGGGCACGTCCTTCCCATGCTTTCAGCCTGGATGACTGCGAAGGTCACTCCTAACTCTGCCTCCTGCACCAGAGCGGGAAATAGCACAGGCTCCTTCAGGCCTGTTCTGGGGTCTGCTTCCTTCACCTTCCAGAAGGAAAGGCATTGACTTGGACAGGGCTGTCTGACTGTCTACCACGCTCTAAGTCCTGAGGAAGACAGAGGAGGCCTGCTCTCTTCCCCGAGGAGCACACTGTCTGAACCCCAGAGCAAAGCCCTAGGGCCTGGGGAGCTGTGAGCCAGGGGAGGCCCTGGCTTCTCTGCTTGGAGAAGGTGGGAAGAGCTTTGAAGAGGAATAGCAACTTCAAATGAGCTGGACAATGAAGGATACAGTGTACACTGACAGAATTTGACAGCTGGGGAAGAGGAAAGGGTGTTTCAGGCAGAGGGAAAAGAATATTCCAGGCTAGTAGGGGAATGCTCTCCAGTCACACCCTGAAACTGACTTGTGCTGGACCATAGGAGCCACTGTTAAATTTTCAGGAATTTCATGAGCTGGTTGTTAAACACAGTTGTTATGGTGGGAGCCATGGTGGGCAGGATTTACACCACAGAAATGGGCAGAAGCTAACAATCAAGACTGTTATCCCTTCGCCAGAAGTCAGTTTACCAGCACATCCCTGATGTTCTCTTTCAAAAGAGCTTCGTGTTCCCTGAATGGTTTGGGCAGAAAAAGCAATTCCCTTTTTATAAAGTTGCTCAGACTGGCAAGGGCAAGAAACTTCTAAGAAATCCCTAACACTGTCCATTCCAAGACCCATAACTCTCTGCTCTACTCCCTGCAGGGCTCTGAGATACTTTTGGAGAAACACAAATTCTGTAACATCAAGGTGAGAGGCTGCAGGGGTGGACGTGAGCAATAATGCCTGCCCCAACCAAAGGAAATGAAGTCTTTGCCTTTAAGGAGGGGCTGTTGTGGTTGTGGGTACTCAAGCTCCTCAAATCCTCATGGGCTGACATCCAGGTATCCGGGTCATGTAACCACATCCCTCCCCCTGCTCTTTATATCCAAGGGTGCTCAGCCTCACCCTCAGCCTGTCTCTTCACCAGGAGCAGGGATGGGTGTACAGTGTATAGGCCTACGTGCTCTCCATCCCTGTCTCCTGGGCACCCACGGCACACACCCCAGGGATGCGAATTGGGTCCTTGTTTTCACTAGCTCTGCACTGTAACACCTAGAGCTCTCCCCAGACTGGTGCTGAGAGCACAGGATGTGGAAAGAGCACTGGAGTGGGAGCCACTTAGACCTGGCTTCCAGCCCAGGAGATGTCTTTCTATATATAAAGGGGGTTCTGAAGCCCTGGGGACATCCCCTGGTAGCAGGGGAGACCAGCGTCACCCCCCATCTCTCTTCTCTGATGCCCTCTTGTGCACAGTGCTACATCGATGGGCCTTATGGGACCCCCACCCGCAGGATCTTTGCCTCTGAGCATGCCGTGCTCATCGGGGCAGGCATCGGCATCACCCCCTTTGCTTCCATTCTGCAGAGTATCATGTACAGGTGGGTGAACAGTGTGCTCCTGCCTGCATCCTGGGTCAGAGCCCCAAGGCGCCCTCCCTGCTCCTCCTCCCTTTATTCCTTCTCCTTCCTCTCCTTTCACCTGTCTCTCTCTGCTCTTCTCTCTCTTTCCTCTCCTGCTCTGCCCCCCTCTCCTTTTTGTGTCTCATCCCTCCCCTTCCTCATAGAGTGGGCTCTGCCACCCCATCCTTGCTCCCTGTCCCCTGAACTGTTCTCTGGGGTCCTGAAAAGTCTCACCCCAAATTTACAACCCCTTCCTCCTGCCTCCCCTCAGGCACCAGAAAAGAAAGCATACTTGCCCCAGCTGCCAGCACTCCTGGATCGAAGGTGTCCAAGACAACATGAAGCTCCATAAGGTGAGTACCACCTCCTGCAGGCAGGCCTCCAGACCTTCTCCCCTGGACAACTCCTAAAATAGGAGCCCATCCTCCTGTGCAAAGGTGGGAGCGGATAGGTGATCCCTAATGGGATCTTTCTTTCCCCACAATACCCTGAATTCTCTTAAATGAGTTATCCCGGTGCCTCCTGAATGTCTGAGCTCCGCCCCTGCTTCAACATTCCCATCACTTCTGAGAGATGTTCTTAACATTTCATTAAATGTTGCAAAGCTTGACAGCTAGGCAGTCTGGATTCAGTTACAGCCATGATGCTACCTATCCATGACCCTATGGTGGTTTTAAGAATGAAAACATACTGGCTGGGCATGGTGGCTCATGCCTGTAATCCTAGCACTTTGGGAGGCCAAGGCAGGCAGATCACTTGAGCCCAAGAGCTCAAGACCAGCCTGGGCAACATGGCGAAACCCCATCTCTAACAAAAATACAAAAATTAGTTGGGTGTGGTGGTGAGCACCTGTGGTCCCAGCTACTTGGGAGACTGAGGTGGGAGGATCACTTGAGCCCAGGAGGCAGAGGTTGCAGTGAGCTAAGACCACACCACTGCACTCCAGCCTGAGTGACAGAGTGAGACTCTGTCTCAAAAAAGAAATAATAAAAATAATAATAATAATTAAAATAATATAATCAAATAATAATGGAAACATGTTTGCCTTTTGAAAATTCATCATCCTGTATAGGCCACTTAGAAGAGTTTCTTAAAAAGTAATTTATGTTTTTCTGGCTATCCTAAGCTAGTATTTCAACACACTGTTTGTTGTAAACAATAGAAGATATTAGAGAAAATCCCCGCCTTGGGGTCAGAAACCTGGTTCTGGTCCCATGCTGCTCTGTGATCTGGGCATGGCTGCTCACCTCTATGAGCCTTGATTTTTCCCTCCCTTAAATGGGTATCTGAATGTTCCCTGCTTACTTCAGGGTGGTCATATGGGTCCCAGGGATTACAGATGTGAGCCTCCTGCAAATCAGGGAGACCCAGCCTCTGAGCTGAAGGGCCTCTCTCCGTAGGTGGACTTTATCTGGATCAACAGAGACCAGCGGTCTTTCGAGTGGTTTGTGAGCCTGCTGACTAAACTGGAGATGGACCAGGCCGAGGAGGCTCAATACGGTAAGAGAGGGACAGGGCCTGAGGGCAGTAGGAGTAGGGCAGGGGCCTTCAGCTTCTTTAAAAAAATAATTTATTGATATGAAACTCACGTAACCTAAAATGAACCATTTAACCATTAAAGTGAACCCAGAGTCTTTTTTTTTTTTTTTTTGAGACAAGGTCTCACTCTGTCGCCCAAGCTGAAGTGCAGTAGCACGATTATGGCTCGCTGCAGCCTCCACCTCCCAGGCTCAAGCAATCCTCCACCTTGGCCTCCAGAGCAGCTGGAACCACAGGTGCAGGCCACCACTTCCGCTAATTTTTTTTTTTTCTCGTAGAGATGAAATCTCCTTATATTGCCCAGGCTAATTCAGAGTCTTTTTAAGAGGTGTTTATTCCATTTCTGGAGAAGTAGGATGGGGGGAGATTCTATTAAAATGTAACATTTTGTAAAGTTGAAAAATAGAAGGGGGAAAAAAAAGCCCTCATAATCTCATCCAGCTATCCAGGCTATCCAGATGACATCAGGCATTTTAAAGGATTCCCTTCCAATTTTTGTTTTCTTATTCATATTTTATAAAAATATATTTCTTTATTTTTGTAATTTATCTTTTTCATGACATATCTTTTAATTCAGAATAGGCACATGTTGAAAATTTAAATTCCTAGGCCTCACCCCAGATCTTCCAAATCAGATAGATTCTCTGAGAGTCAGGCTCAGGGATGTACATTTTAACATGCTCCTCAAACGATTCTTATTCACACTAATTTGTGTTTGGCTTTTGAAGTATAATTTACATACAATAAAATTTACCAATTTAAGCGTACAATAAATACAATGACATTTTGACAAATGCATACAGTAGTGTAACCACCACTGCAATCAAAATATGGAGCATTTCTTTCCATTCCTCCTGAAAATTTCCTCTTCCTGTTTTGCAGTCAACACCCTCCCCTGACTTGTAACCCCTGGCAACCACTGGTCTGCTTTCTATCACTACAATTTTGCCTTTTACAGAATTTTACATAAATGGAATCATATAATACGTAGTCTGTTCCGTCTGACGTCTTTCACTTAGCATAATACCTTCAAGATTTATCCGTGTTGTTGCATATATCAGTAAGTCCATTCATTCCTTTTCATTGCTGAGTAGTATTCCATTCTATGGGTGTACCACCATTTGTCCAATTATCTTTTAAAAAGAAATTTAAAAATCAGAAAAGCAAATTTTTTATTTTTATACATATATTTACCATTTCTGGGGTCTTTTCACTTTTTGTGCCTGGATTGAGATTTCCATCTGGGAAAGTTTTCCTTCTGCTTGAAGAACTGATGGTTCTTTGTAATGCAGGTCTGCTGGTGAGAAACTCTTTTGGCTTTTCACTGCAAACACCTTAGCTCTGTCACCCAGGTGCAATCTCGGCTCACTGCAACCTCCACCTCCCAGGTTCAAGCAATTCTTCTGCCTCAGTCTCCCAAGTAGCTGGGATTACAAGCGCCCGCCTCCACGCCAGGCTAATTTTGTGTTTTTAGTAGAGAGGGGTTTTACCATGTTGGCCAGGCTGGTCTCAAACTCCTGACCTCAAGTGATCCACCTGCTTCAGCCTCCCAAAGTGCTGGAATTACAGGTGTGAGCCACCGGCCTGGATTTTATGTTATTTCTTTAAATAGTACTGCACTTCGTTCTGGTGCACAGTTAAATTATGTAAGACTGTGGATCTTCTTGAGGCTCACTTTTAACTTTTATTGGGGTGAGTCTAGAGCAGCCTTTAGTGCGGGATTAATTTAACCCCAGTACTAAGGTGATACACTTCTGAGGACTCCACCTAATGCGCTATATACGGCAAAGCCTCTTCGCTTTTAGTGAGAACACCAACTATTCCCAGCTGTTTAAGCTCGAGGTATCGTTTATCCTAGTTTTTCTGGTCATTTTCTTTCACACATTCAAATTAATGCTCAGCCAGAGACTTAGGAGAAACTATGCAGATTTTCAGAGCAAGTGAGTAGCCTCCTCCCTGCCTCCCCTCCTCCCTGCATCTCTCCTTCTCTCCTTCTCACCTTCCCTCTCTTCCTTTCTGCAGTTCACTTTTCCAGTCTTGTGCTTAACATTCTGGCTGTCCTGGCCTCTGTGAATGCCAGTTTCTGTCTCCTCTCCTCTCCTCAGGAGACTGCATCAGGCAATAAGCGGGGCTGTTGTAGGGCTTACTTCGTCTGTTTCTCTTCTCTCAGCAATGATAGTCCCGTGCCACCTGCTGATCAATGTCTGGAAACCATTGTTTCATGTGTTTTGTCCATTTTTCTGGTTGTTTCAGGTGGAAGGGTAAATGTGGTTCATTTTACGGCAATGTAAATTTTTCTTTTTTTTTTTGAGACAGAGTGTGTCTCCATCACCCAGGCTGGAGTGCAGTGGCGCTCACTGCCACCTCTGCCTCCCGGGCTCAAGCGATCCTCCCATCTCAGCCTGCTAAGTAACTGAGAGTACAAGTGTGCGCCACCATGCCCAGCTAATCTCATTTTTTGTAGATGAGATTTCTCCAGGTTACTCAGGCTGGTCTTGAACTCCTGAGCTCAAGTGATCTACCAGCTTTGGCCTCCCAAAGTGCTGGGATTACAGGCATGCACCACTGCACCTGGCCTGCAACATACATTTTTGATGTACACAAGCTGTGAGTAGAGACAAACATGGATACAGATATATATTTATGGGGGGTGAGTGCTCAACCTTTTTTCTGATGAAATGAGAATAAAAAGTTTAGAGAGTGATCTAAGATAAAGATTAGACACCCTTTTTCCTTCCATTCCTGTTTTTTTTTTAAAAAAAGATTAAATACCTTAACATACATGAAGTCATTAACTGTTTGGTCCCTTCTTTTATACTTTTATCAAAAATGAATGTTTGGCCTGGTGGCTCACGCCTGTAATCTCAGTGCTTTGGGAGGCCAAGGTAGGAATATTGCTTGAGGTCAAGTTTGAGACCAGCCTGGGCAACACAGGCACATGCTGTCTCTACAAAAAATGTTTTTTAAAAAACTAGCTAGGCATGGTGGTATGCACCTGTAGCCCTAGCTACTTGGGAGGCTGAGGTGGGAGGATCACTTGAGGCCAAGAGTTTGAGGCTGCAGCGAGCCATGATAGCCCTACTGCACTCCAGCTTGGGCAACAGAGTAAGACCCTGTCTCAAAAAAAAAAAAAAATAGAAGGTTTGAATGTCCTCCCCTCAACCTCTCCAACCTCTCCCTCCTCACTGCCTAAGTGTTTGCTGTATTCTACATTTTTTACTAAGCATTTACTCTCATCATTGTTAAGTATGATAAAATATTTCTCTGGATCATATCATAGTCTTCATGGGACATCTTTGTGGAATACTGAGGGTTTACACTGTATTTAAATGTTAATCTGTTAAAGTCATTGTTTTGTTTTCCTTATAATTTATACAAGAAGAAATATCTTTAGATATGTTTCTAACTTTTTAAGAGAATTGGCATAGTGTTTTAGACTTGTTGAGTTCATTAGAACTAGATCGTATTTGACTATTTAATTATCACAAGGTTGTCATGAGTGAATTCAAATTCCTATGATAAACACAGTTTATACATTCAAGGAATCAAACACAATTTTCTACAAGAAACTATCCAAACAGATCTAGTTTACTATAACAAACATTCAGAGCCTTAAAGTTCAAGTCAACAGTCTTTGGAAGATAACTCTTCAAGCTTAGACTAGTTCAGTAAAGCTCCTTGCCCTTTCTTGTAAATAACAATTACAGCAAATATTTATATAACATTGACTTCATTTTTCTAAATGCTTTTACGTATATTAATTCATTAGAAACTCAATTTTATGATGACAAGCTAAAGGAAAAGTTTAAATTTAATTTAAATTTTCTAGTTACTGGCACATAAATATTTGCTGTTTGCTTCTTCCTAATCTGTGTAAACAAAGGGTAACAGCTAACCCAGTGCTTTGCATTCTCAAAGCCACTCGAGTCAACAACTCTATCACATCAAATTTCTTTCAGGGTTTCTCATTAACTGCAGCTGAAACTTGTGGCTTCTGATTTCAACTTTAATTATACGTCAAGGTTTGCATTAAATAATTTTTGGTTTATAATTTTTCATTGCTATAGCTTAAGCGTCAATTATTCTGTCTAAGTTTGTATCTTTACTCTACCCTTAATAGGTATAGGACCTTGGGCATATTATTTAACTAGTTTGCCTTGAAAGCAGTTATCTGAAAAATCTGGATGCTACTAGTACCCACCTCATAGGATTGTCATGGGAATTAGATGAGATGTCATCTGCAGAACACATAGAACAGTGACTGGAGCTTAATAAACTGCTTGATAAATTTAGTGGTGGTGGTGGTGGTAATAGTAACTGCTTAATACATTTATTTGTAGTAGAAGTGCTAGTAGTAATAAGTGTTTAATAAAAGTAGTAGTAGTATTTAATGGCTATATAATGAGTGGTATAGTTAGTGGTTATACCGTAAATTATTTAACCAAGCTCCTACTACTGTACATTTTGTTTATTCCTCATTCTCCATAATCATAAAAATGCCAAAATTAATATATTTGTGCACATAGTTTTTTTCCTTGCTTTGGATGATTTTCTTAGGAAAGTGTCCCAGAAATGAGATGGCTATCTCAAACACAGCTGGATGGAGAGAGTGAGAACCATGCCAGGTCATCCTCCACAGCCCCTTTATCTTCTCCCTCCCACCATGGTGTCTCCCCTTCTCTCCTCTTACCCCTCTCTGGGGTATGGTGACTCTGAGGGAGGGTAAGAAGCAGGGGGTCCCCCAGGTGGGCATCTCATAATACATCTCCCTCCCTCCCACACCATCCAGCACGACTAGGGGTTAAGTGACATGTGACATGAAATGTGCTAGCCCTCCTAGGGCCATTTGCATTGTAACAGCAGCTGAGACCTTAGGCCAAATGAAAAATGAGCTGATGGTGACTTAGGAAACAATAGAGAGCAGGTTGGAATGGCAAAGCTCCTTTAGTCTGGGTGTAGAGGAAGAGAGGGAGAGGAGAAGGATGAGGTGATCGTCAGTCAGCTCAGAAATGCTCCTTCCCACATCCTAGATCAGGCCCTGCCAACTCTGGCTTGAACCGACGCTCAAGCCTAAGGCAGCACTCACCAATCTTTTTCTCACCATGGCATACATAAAAATGATAACATTCATATGTCATGTCTGGTTATGGAACACGGAGGTGCCCACCTGGGAGCCCCTGAGTGCTGAAACATCAGTATCCCAGCAGACCTATAACTTTGTGGCGCAGAACTGCGGGTGCTCTGGCCTTGTGGGCTCCTTCGTCCCAGTCTCCTTCCCCATCTCTTCAGCTCTCTGATGCCCTTCCTAAAGTGCTGTTTCATTATGTCACACCCTACTCAGTTACTCTCAACCTTCCCCTGTCTCCTAGCTGGGCATTCAAGACCCTTCTCATTCTGGCCTCAATCTGTTTCTAGTCCCATTTCCTTTTGCTCCCATCCGAGGATGCGGCTCCAGCCGGGCACCACACCTTGCCCCGCAAACATCGCGTTTGTTCTAGCCTCTCACTCTGTACTCACACTAGTCCTTCTTAGCATGCCTTCCCTTCACCTCTGCCTTTACTCTCACCCCTTGTCCCAGACCTAACCCAGTCCCCATCCCTTCTGGGAAGCAGCTCTGTCTGCATCAGCCCTTCCCTGCATATCAGTAGCCTTCACGCTATGATCCATTCACTCGACCCTTGACCCTTTAGTCCAAATTACCTTTTCATGTGTGTGTGGCTTGTGTCCCCAGCCAGGCTGAGGACAGACATGTGAGGCATGGAAGGGCATGAGCTTTGGAGCCCAGGGACTGCCATGCTCACTTCCCTGGGATGCATTTCTTCTTCTATAAATACAAAAAGTCTTGGCCAGGCATGGTGGCTCACACCTGTAATCCCAGCACTTTGGGAGGCTGAGGCGGGTGGATTGCTTGAGTTCAAGACCAGCCTGAGCAACATAGTGAAATCCTATCTCCACAAAAATACTAAATAAATAAATATAAAAGATCTAACTCTTGGAGTGGTTGTGAGGTTCACCTTAGTGCATATAAAGTAACCAATGTGTGCCATGTACATAGTAGGCCCAGCTCAAGCAATGGGCTGCCTTTCCTCTCCATGGCACTGGTTACACAACAGATCCTGGGCAAAAGACCTATGGGTCTCCTTCCAAGCCCCAGGGTAAGGTAGTGGTTGGCATCCTGCCCTGCGCCCATGATGGGTACTAGACCCTCAGTGCAGCCCTTGTCCCCTGCCCAACAGGCCGCTTCCTGGAGCTGCATATGTACATGACATCTGCACTGGGCAAGAATGACATGAAGGCCATTGGCCTGCAGATGGCCCTTGACCTCCTGGCCAACAAGGAGAAGAAAGACTCCATCACGGGGCTGCAGACGCGCACCCAGCCTGGGCGGCCTGACTGGAGCAAGGTAATGCCAACTGGAGCCCTGCAGCTTGCAGGTATGGATGAAGCTGAGAGCTCGAGGCAGCGGTGGGGAGACGAGGCCCAAGCTGTCAGGGGCAAAGTGTGAGGTTAAGTCCAGAGTCCAGAAGGGACCTCGTGGTGTGAAAGGTAAACAGGGCACCTACACTGGCTTTATCACTAACCTTTGTTCCATCATTAGCCTCAGTTTCTCCATCTGTTCAGAGAGGAAGTTAGTCTCTATGACCTCAAAGACCCCTGCAGCCTTGACTCCCTATGGACCAGTGTCAAAAGGCCTGAGTGGACAGGGACCTGGAAAAACAACAAATCTTATCATCTCCTGTTACAAATGGGGAAACTGAGGCACAGAGACATGAAATCGTTTGCAATCCTTTTATTTTATTTCTCAGATTGGTTTTATTATTTTTCTTTCCTGAACACTTACTTGTCAGGGTTTGCGGTTTGCAGGAAGTGGCCCAGAAGGTGCTGCTTTTAAAAGTGCTGCAGATGACCCCATGCCTGGGTCATGACAGCTGAGTGGGAGGGGAATGTCTGTGGTGAGTGCTTGGGCATCAAAGAGGACTTTCAGAAAAAGGCAATTCATAAGCAGAATTTGGGGTAGAAAAGGGTCCTCACTGGGGGAAAGACTGACATCAGGAAGGATATTTAAATCACAGCAGGGTGGCCAGCCCTGGGGACTAACACCAGGTTCAGACTCCCATGGGAGTCCCAGAGCACTGTATGCATCTCTCTGCGTGTCTGATTTAGTGCCTGTCTCCCACAGTTGCAGATCCTTGAGTGGAGGGCCTGGGTCTTATTTATTTCTGGCCCTGGTCCTCTACCTGGGGTTCTGGGTCATGTTGCCAGCTGAACAAATGGCTCTTAGTTGAATGGCTGAGTGTTGAACTCTGCTGTAAAACCCAGCAGCTGTGCCATGCAGCTCCCTGTGTAAAATGGGAATGCTCATTGCTGCCGACCCGTTATGCTGTTACCTCCAGGTGGTTGTGTCACTGGTGAGTCAGCAGCTCCACCTATCTTCCCTCTTCTCTTCCTCAACCCCACTGACTCCAGGTGTTCCAGAAAGTGGCTGCTGAGAAGAAGGGCAAGGTGCAGGTCTTCTTCTGTGGCTCCCCAGCTCTGGCCAAGGTGCTGAAGGGCCATTGTGAGAAGTTCGGCTTCAGATTTTTCCAAGAGAATTTCTAGCCTCACCTCTCCAAGCTCTGCCCCAAGTCCACACCATGGGTCTGCTTCATTGCATTAGTATAAATGCCCCCACAGGGACCAGCCTCAGATGACCCACCCAATAAGACAAAGCCTAGGGACCCCCTAATCCTGCTCAACAGAGAGAACAGGAGACCCCAAGGGGCAGATGAACTTCCTCTAGAACCCAGGGGAAGGGACAGTGCCTTGTTCAGTCTGCTGTAGATTCTGGGGTTTCTGTGAAAGTGAGGGAACCAGAGGCTGGTCACGGGAGCTTGGGGGTGGGGTTCGAGGGGGCAGAGGGCAACCACTCCTCCAAACATTTTCCGACGGAGCCTTCCCCCACATCCATGGTCCCAAACCTGCCCAATCATCACAGTCATTTGGAAGCTTATTTCTCCGGCATCTTATAAAATTGTTCAAACCTACAAAAAGTGAGAAGAATCATACAGTGAACAGTGTTACCTACTTTCTAGACTCCTCAGTTAATAATTTGCTCTGTTTATCACATATTATCCATCAGTTCCTCCTCCCTCTTTCCATCTGTCAATTTATCTGATTTTTTGGATGCATTTTCAAGTTAGGTGCAAATATCTCAGCACACCTTGCTACTTGGAGGAGCCTTCTTCAAATGCACATTCCTTGGTCCCACTACCAGAAATTCTGATTCTGATGATCTGGGAATGAAACCTGAAATATGTATTTTCCACCAAATCCATTTGCATAGGGAGAAATAAGCAGCATCTTTCCCTGCCCCTCCTTGTGTCTTTGTCTCCCCATCTCCCTCTCTCCTGGCGCGTCCCTCAGAGCCTCTCTGGGCTCTGTATGCTGGCCTCTTCCTTCTCTCTGTGTGCTGAGTCGCTTGAGAAACAGGATGGAGACAGCCTCTTTGTGTGCCTCTCTCTGTCGTGGAAAGGCCAAGTGCCTGGGGATGAAGCGGGCTAAGCCTGGAAGCTCAGCTCAGCCACACTCTGGCTGTGTGGCCCTGGAAGCTTCCCCATGTCTGTTATTTTCATCTGTGAAATAAGCTGATGCCATCCGTCAGTCACAGTTGCTGTGAGGTGACATGAGACGCCAAGTGCTCAAGACATTCCACCTCAGTTCAGCTCCTTGCTGCTCCAGGCTTTCGTGCATCTACATCATTTCTCTTTATCCTGGCTCCCTCTGTCTCTGTTTTCCAGCCTCTGTTTGCGTCTGTCCCTGTCTGGGCAGGAGGGAACAGCAGAGGCAGCAAAGGCTCTCTCAGCACATACTGTGGGGAGGAGCGGCCCTGGGCAGAGGACAGGGTGGGCCTCACCTCCTCCATCTGAGCTGGACATTTCCATCTGTGCCACACCATGAGCTCCTGTGAGCCCCACATTTCCTGGGCATCCTCCACCTTGCAGTCAGTCCTGATAGGTTCTCTTCTTGACAGTGTAAAGCACCCTTCCCCAAGGCTGCCATCATGGGGTTGGAACCAGGCACTTTCCAATGGGATTGTAGCTGGCACCTTTCTTTTCCATGGGTTGGAAGTCCATGGTTGCAAAGGGGGAGGTAAAGAAGCCGGATCATAACCTGGATGATGATGTCCCTTATCTAAGGTGGGGCTGGGATGCAGCAGTAGGGGTGGGTGTGACCTGCAGGGGATGAGCCAGTTGGGTGGATGGAAGAATGAAGGTGGGGGAAAGCTCTCTTCTGAAAGGGGCAATAGGAAGGGGATGGTGGAGGAAGACGCTGAGGCAGGCCCTGGGAAGGGGAAGGCAAAACATACCCTGAGGACTGGGACAGAGCAGGATGGGAGTGAGGATGTCATCTTTAAGATGTGAGGAGGAACGGGAAGAAGAATACGAGAGGAGGAGTGGGGCCTGCAGTCAAGGAGAGGCTAATTCGGTTTGGGTGGGTGGAAAGCGGGGCTCGTGCTTGCACCAAGCCTCCATCTCCCTGGACTGGGAGTCAGCAAGGCCAGGAGACCTGGTGTTGGGGCCTTCCAACCAGATCGTGTTTAATTTCCAGCAAGCCTGGGGAGGCACACAACTCACCAGGGAAACTCACACCTGGAGTTTTACCAGCCTGAGGCCACACACTCTTGGAACCTCTTTCCCTCTGTTGAGTCTGTACTTTCCCCTCTTCATCAGGCTTGGGAAGGCTTGGACAAAACGCTCTCTGGGGCACAGAAGGAAACTAAAGAGGGTGTTCTGACTTAAGGTTGGAGGATGTAAACAGGCTGTGCCAAATCATTTGGAAACGTGGCAGAATCTGTTTAGCACAGGATGTCTCACACATGCACTCAATGCACACACACACATGCATGTCACCGTTTTGGATTCTTTCCCATCTCTGTCTACACCGCCTTAACACATTTGAGCCCTGCCCTCAGTCCTTTGCCCTCTCGTAACAGATTTCCACCAGGCTCCCACCCGCATATACAAATAGTCAGCTGTTCGTTTAGGACTTAATAATATAGTGGGTGGGAGCAGGTGGAAGGACTTGGACATACGATTCTAAAATCCGTGAATGCCCACATGTGTGACGACCATATGCCCGTGTCCTGAGGTTTTCTCTCCAGACAGATTCCAGTTGCCCACGAGAGGGCGCTGCAGAATCACGGATCTCAAGCGGGTTTGTTTCCCAGGAAGTGAGACTGGTCCGTGAGTGGCAGTTAATCAAAGGGAAAGGGGCTGGGAAGACAACGCCCTGTTCCAAAGCTCCCCACTAGAGGCAAAACCTCCAGGCTCCATCTCTGTGAAGTCAAGAGACTTCATGTTCAAGGTCAGTTTCTCTAGCTGGCAGCTTCTCACTGCCGCTGCCTTCCCCCAGAAACTCTACCCTCCCCATACCCAGTGTCCAGTTCTGGGCTTTCCTCTTTTCTGCTTGCAACAAAATGTCCATCGGTGAGGTCAAGTTGAACTGAACAGGCCTGGCTTGGGGAGAGTTCACAGGTCCAGGTTCTGTCTGCCTCGGTGGACATGTCATCGAAGGCAGCAGGACCACACATGTGAGTGTACAGCACGCATGGTCTGACCATCTGGATGTTTCCCAGATGTGCAGATGGGCATCATCGGCCATCAACAGGAAAATGCATCCGGATGACTGGCTGACTTTTCTTCTCTCACCAGATGTTGCCAATGCTGTAGAAACATCTGGGCCCACGACAGATAAGGCTGACACATGCAAAGAGAAGAGAGAAGGAGCAAGGCCAGTTATCGGCACGTGTGCCCATCCTCCCCCATGAAGCTGCAAACTCCCCAAGGCCAGACATGGGGACCCAAAGCCTAGCACAGAGTGTAGACCAGATGTCGGTTCCTCCCAGGGCAAGGGGTTACTTAAATGGAATTATCCTTACAAAGAGTCTTTTGCACCTAATTGTCACTTGTAATTTGGGGAACAAAAGCACAAACACAAGCCCACTGAACCACTTTGCCAGGTGCCATTGCACTGTTCTGTGAGGACAGCGCTGACGGAGACAGCAGGCATTCCTGAAATGACCAATCAGGCAGGGCCCTCCTGGACGAGCGGCACAAGTGCAGGCTATTAATACACTGAGCTGGGGCATTCGTGGGAGGGGAGGGGGCATGGGCAACATGGAGAGTCACCAGGCTGGCAGACAAGGTTGAAGGTAGGGAGGGATGAGGAACATTAGCCGAGACTGGCTCTGGGCCAACCTGTTGGAGACACAGTGGACAAACCTTTGCCCTCTGGGAGGCAGGGCACTGAGTCCTACACTTGCCTCTGCCACAGTCTGCTGTGTGACCTTGGGTGTATCATTTGACCTCTCTGAGTTCTCACTTTCTTATTATAAAGTGAACAGATCAAGTATGTATGCGTTTAAGCACTTGTCATTTCTAAAAGGATACATGAAAGTATATTTATCTGTGTGCTCTGGGGAGTGGGAATGGAGGGATACAATGAAGGAAAGGATTTTGTGTTTTTGTTTTTGTTTTACTTTTTGCCCTTCTGTAAAGTTTAAGTTTTTATTAATATTATAGTTTTATTTTAAAAAGAAACCCCAAATAGGATGTCATGTAAAAGAAAAGAAAAAACAAGTACCAAGTGTTTGATATAATCCTATTTATAACACAGAAAATAAATGACATATGTATATCATGTGGGGATAAATAGATAAAAATACACGGAAAGACAGTTAGAAGCCAGCCTTAATCTGTCTTGGGCCCAGACAGCCCTTATCTGTTGGGGGCCCAGATGTGTCTACAGCATTGTTAACATCTGGTGAAAGGAGAAAAGTCAGCCAGCCATCCTGATGCGTTTTCTTGCTGATGGCCGATGATGCCCAAATGCTAAGCAGTTCGCAGTGGTTAACTGTGGAGGAGGCAAAGGAGGACTTGAATGTTTTCCTCTTATCTGTTTCCTGTATTTGTGTGTTACCTGAGTAAGGTTTCACTTCCTGTATTACTCATGTGATATTTTACTTTTTAATTTATGTACTTTTGTATGGCTTGTATCTATTTTTTAAGAGTAAAACAAAATGCAGAGATTATCTGCAGTGTTGTCTAAGATCCTGAATATTGATTTGGTATCAAGTGAAAGTATTTCGGGCCTAAGCCAGGGGACTGGCCCTCCCCGTCAGGGGTCACTCCGTGGGCTCTTCAATAAGGGAGGCTCCTATAGTGCCCATTATCAATATGCTGCTGGCCCTGAATGGCCTAAGTATTAAAATAAAATGCCCTGTCTAGGCCCAAAACTAGTCCAGAAGGACTGTGGAGGCCGTGGGCATACACGTGAAATTGTGTGCACAGGGGCTAAGCCCAGCACCAGCCCAGCCTGGGAGTTGAGATGCCTCAGGGCACACTGTCTGTGCTAAACAAATACTCATATTAACCAGCCTTCCTGACAGATTGATGCATCTTTTTATGATCTGTCTTTACAATATGATGACTCTCTCCTTTTAAAAATAAGATTAATTCAGACAAGACATTTATTTTATGAGGAAATTCATCCCAGGGGGAAAAATACTCAACCTGAATGGCAGAAATGGCTGGAAAGAGACTTGACTCTCAAGGAAGCTTCCAGCCTCCAACCTTAGCCACCCAGCCATGGCCCCAAAAGGGCTGCCCTAATACTACTCAGGGACAAATGGGCCCTCTTAAACTACCCTAGCTGTGTGAGTGTAGCCTGCTGGAGAAACAAAGAAAGACAGGTAGTGAGTTTTAGTGTGGCAGGGAAGAAAAGGATGCATTTTTTGGTAAAGGAAAAAAAAATTCTGAGATTTACCCAAATTTGGCTGGACATGAGTTTATAAATACAGATTAAGCTTGTCTTTAAATAACCCTAAAGAATGTTCAAGAACAGTGAATGATTTGTCTCTGTGTCCCCAGTGACTAGAATAGCGTCACCACCTAGTAGGTGCTTGGCGTGTTTCATGAATGTTTCCACTGCTATGGTCTGTTTCAGCTGGTGACCCCATGAGGTACCCTTGGCTCCTCTATCTCCCCCATCTTCCTCCTTCAGCCAATCATCAAGCCTGTCAACATGGCATTCTAAATGCTTCTCAAGCACATTTCCTTCCCCACTGGCCCTGCCTTGGTTCAGTCCTTAAATTGCCTATTGCCTGAATTGGTGCATCAGAGACAGGCTGGAGAAAGGAAGACCAGTTAGCCAGAAAGGAAGCTTGGAAGACCACCCAGCTAACTGGTCTTCCTTTCTCCAGCCTGGCTCTGATCCATCCTCCACACACTGCTGTGGGTCTGACTGCACACCTTCTTTTTGGAGGACTCTCCTATTATAGCCATCAAACTCCTGAGTCTGCTACACAAGGCCCCCCCAACATAAGCCCTAGATGAAGATCTGCTACCATTACAGCCAGTATTACCTGGCCCTTGCCTACCTCTCAGGTCTTGGCAATGTCCACCTTGCTTTTTTTACTTTAAATAGCATCATTTCGTGCTCCCCCAGGACACTGTGCAGCTTCGCACCTCCAAGCCTTTGCTTCTGCATCGCCTGACACTTGGAGCACCCTTCTCCACTTTCAGATTGAGACTTCGGAACACTTTATCATCAGCCTATCTGTAAAGACTTCCTTGCTGGTCCCTCCCATCGCAGAATAAACAGCCTGCTCCGTAGGATTGTACTGTACGTACCTACTTGTACCTACACATGTATTGGACGGTATTGTATTTGCCTACTTACTTGTCTGTGAACTCCTTGTGGGCTTTGTCTCCCCAGTGCCTAGTGATCAGAATAAGTGTTGGTGAGCTGCTGTGACTCCTTTGAGCCTCCTTCTCATTCCTTTCCCTATTTTCTCTGCTGCTCCCCTGCAAGGGTGAGAACATCCCACCATACCCGCAGGCAGACAGGACCAGTGGTACAGGTGGGTAGAGCAGCTGGCTGCCTTTCAAGGTGCACCTTCAGGGGCCCTAGAAACATCCCGCCTCCCCCCAGCTCTAGCTCTAGATCTCTCACACATGCTTTCATTCCATAGCCAGGGATCAGGTTGAATTTGCAAACCCTAGAAATCCACTGGCAGATGTGCACTCCACCTTAAAATCACACTAAGATGGGACAGGCTGGTGACAGAGCTGCTCCCAGCTCCCCCTTGGTAAAATGAGGAGGTGGGGGCCGGGTGTGGTGGCTTACACCTGTAATCCCAGCACTTTGGAGGCCGAGACAGGCGGATCACAAGGTCAGGAGATCGAGACCGCTGTGGCTAACACAGTGAAACCCCGTCTCTACTAAAAATACAAAAAAATTAGCCAGGCGTGGTGGCTGGCACCTGTAGTCCCAGCTACTTGGGAGGCTGAGGCAGGAGAATGGTGTGAACCTGGGAGGCGGAGCTTGCAGTGAGCAGAGATAGCGCCACTGCACTCCAGCCTGGGGGACAGAGGGAGACTCCCTCTCAAAAAAAAAAAAAAAAAAAAATGAGGAGGCGGGGCTCATGGTGGCTGGTTCCTTTGTGCTACCTCCTCCTTCTCTTCCTCATTCTTCTTCTAACTCAAAAGAGATGAATGACTTAAAAAGCAAATGAATCAGAGATAGGGAAAGCAAAAAGAGAGGTAATTTTGCTAAGTTATTATTCAAAGGAGCTCTCTGGGACTGAGAGCAAGAGTGGCCCCATCAATCACCTAGCAGAATGGGGCAGGCGGGGGACCCAGCAGTTGGTGTCTGTGGATATCTCTGTGCGTGAACAACCAGGCCAGGAGCCTGGGGCCCTTGCCAGATGCCACAGAGGAAAGAGGCCAGAGGGACACTGAATGGGGACAGTTAGCCCAAAGGCCTGAGAGGGCTTTACTGACCTGCTTTACTCAACAGAGCCCCCTGAAAGCCCCATTCTAGGGCGGGCCAAGAGTGGGAGGAGGGAGATATGACTGACAGGGGCGTGGCAGGAGCCTGTTCTCCCCAAGGCGTTGCTACCCTGAGGGAAGAAGCCACTGCCTCATTTGATCAGATGGGGATCCAAGCCATACTCATTCCTGTATTCCAGGCCTTGGCCTAGTGAATGCATTCTCACCTGTAAAATGGGGATGATCATAAGATTGGTACTATTAGGTAGAGTAATGGCAAGGATTAAATGAGTGAATGTACATGAGGTGCTTAACGCAGTGCCTGGCATGTAGTATATTTCAGTCAATGTTGTCTGTCATCATCCTCATCACAATTACGTTCTATGGAGGCAGGCAGGCAAAAACCAAGTAAACAGATGAATAAACAATGACATTACGGAGAGTAAGTGCTCTCAGAAAATAAAACAGGGAAGCGGCAGACAGTAAGTGCAGACAGGAGCACGGGTACCTGGAGTCAATCCCCTGGGGCGCACATGCCAGGAGTTGTGTGATGACAGGAAGTCATGAAATGCTTGGTGTTTTAGTTCTTCCTTTACCCCGTAAAGTGAGGGCAGCAATGCCCACCTCACCATGGAGAGTGTGTGTGGGAGGGGGCATAGTGTGTGAGAATGTATGTGAGTGCACGTGGTGTGAGTATGTGCATTTGGGGAGGAGGTAGAGAATTGGATAAGGTACAACTGTAAACTATCAGCATTGGGGCACAAAGGTTCAATAAATGCTGATCATTGTTCCTGCCTATGACAAGCCTCAATAGATACTAATTCAATGATAATGTGATTTAGAAATTTCCCAGATGTTAGGACTTTCTCAGGGAAAGGTTATTCAACAGGGAGGTCGCTGTGGGTCCCCCACCTTGCATGCACCCCTCCGCAGCTCCACTGCCCCCTGGAGGTCTCTGCAGCCCCTCATCTTCACGTCCTTTGTGACCAAGCCACATTTGGAGGCCTAATAAATGCCTTCCCTTCCTGAGAGGACCATCAGGCTATGGCACTGCCCCTCCCTGCATCCTTCTCCAAACACTGATGATCCTGGGCTGCAAGAGGTGGGTGGAGATCCACTCCCAGCCCCTCCAGCTCATTAGCGGTGCATTATGAATTCCGGGGATAATGTGTGTGATTTCCTCTCCTGATTGCTGCTGAAATCTCCTGCCTGTTTATCAAATCTGAGCCATGCTCTGCAGCCCTCTGCTCCTTGGCTCTGGGCTCTTCTTCTCCAGAGGAGGAAAACAAGGAAATGCTCCTAGGGGATTCCGGCTCTAGAGAAGAGGATGATGGTGACAGTGAGCAGGAAATAAGGTTGGCTTTAGGGGCAGAGGGCAGAAGGGCTCCATAAAGCCCCTGACCCCCGACCCAGAGCCACACTGAGGCTAAACTCCCAGGGAGAAAAGCCCTACTAAATCAGGTGAGACCTACTCTGTCACCATTAGAGAACCACTCATTCATTCATTCACCCCACAGGCATTGGCTGAGTGTCCGCCTCGTGTCAGGCACTGTATCAGTTAACAAGGATACCAAGATGAAGCATAGGCCCTGCCCTAGAGTGAGAGGGAAACACACAGGCCCATAGTGCCAATACAAGGGGCAGATGCCAGCACAGTCCTCATGAGGTGCTGGGGCAGCATGAAGGAGAGAGGAAGCAAGGTCAGGGTGGGGGCGAGATGACCCCAGGCGGTGGTCTTGAAGGAGAAATGAGACTTCACCAGCTGGAAAACAGGGGAGGGGGAGGGTATATCTGTGCACACGAGTCCAGGCGTGTGAAAAGACCCAGAAGTGTGAGTTGCTGGGTGGGATCAGCCCATCCTGGGGTGGCTGGAGGCCAGGTCAGGAGGCAGCGAGAGAGGAGCACAGGCGCAGTGATGGACCTCGAGGCTGTGCCAAGGAGTCTGTCTTTAATCTGAAAGCAAGGAAGATCCACTAAAAGGTGTAAAGCAAGGGCATGTTTGGTCCCATCTACCTTTTAGTGAATCTTCCTTGCTTTTAATACCTTTTAGCGTTAAAAGCACTAAAATCAGGCGATGAGACCAGACACACCCTTGCTTTAACACCTTTTAGTGGATATTCCTTGTTTTAACACCTTTTAGTGGGATGGGGATGGGCCTGGACGTCATGGGTCAACACCTTTAACAGCTGTGAGCAGGGCATGTTCCCTAGAAGGAGCATGGGCAGGACAGGCAGGGAAAGTGCCTATGACAATGACTGCTTTGAACTGCGTATTCAGTTGCCACCAGATCCCTTTTCACTTTCTCTGGGCACGGGTTGTTTCAGATGTGTGCGTGTCATCTCCTGCCAGTCTGAAAGCCCCCCGAGGCTGGATCCTTCCTTCCCTCTTCACATGTCCTTCTTGGAAAAGACCGTAGGAAACAGCAAGCACTCAATAAGGACTTTTTGCCTCATCTTGGATTGTTTCAATGCCATTTTACAGTTATTTCACTATTTCCTTACTGTTTGCAATGATATATTTGCCATGGAATGTTTACCTTCTCCAGTGTCTGCCTCCCCTGCAAACACAGAGACAACCCAACTCTGACTACCTGCCCAATTTCCTTCTCCCTTGCAAACTGAACCCTGCCTTGTTCTGGGCAGCCCCAGGTCATAAACAGTGACCAAGTTAACCATGAAGATTCTGAGGTAGCCACAGGCCTGGTTCTCCAGTGACGGTAAGGAGGGATCTGCTGGGGATTCTGGGGAAGCTTTTGCTCTTCTGCTGAAAGGAACAAGGGAGGCTGATCCACCTCTTTCTCCTGCTTCCTGTCTTGACTGAGATTCCTGGACATCCTGAGGTCTCCAATGCCCATGAGGCAGAAGCCCCAGGCATTCAGGACAGTGACAAGGCCCTGCCCTGATCCGGGCTGCCTTCTTGCTCTATGAGGGAAAGAAGTTTGTTTTTCTCTCTGCTCTTTCCCAGCTCCTAGAACAGCGCCTGGTATGTGGTGGCCACTCAATCATCCTTTGTGGGCTGAGGGAAGGTCTACATTGCTTAGGCCACTGTTAGCTGGGAGTTCTGTTACTTACAATTGAACATATGCCTAACTCAGTAACTGTGAAAAATAATAACAGTATATGCTAAGTTTATAAATGGAGTAAACTGGGTAGAATCATAAACTAAGGTACCACCCTAAAATTTGAAGAAAGATGCTGTCATGAGCCACCTGTTTTCCTGACCCCTCAGTCTTTCTCTGCCCAGAGCTGGAACCACTTGCCCCTTGCCCCCTCCAACTTGCACTTGCACCCCTCTTCCTCAAGGGACTGGCAGAATGGCTCATTTTCCTATGAGTCCACATTTCATAGTACAGGTCATCACCTTTTGGCCTTGCCTTGACTCCCAGAGCTGAGGATTCAAGTATGACCCAGATCTTCCCAGACTGGAGAGCTTCAAAGCCCCACCAAAGACCAGGAAGGGAGAGAAGCAAAGAAAGGAAAACCCTGAAGTCATTCCTGCCATATGGCTACAGCCTTGCATCATCCCTGATGTGAGCCATTAACCTGCCAACTACCAACCAATTAGCTCTGGTCTCGGCTGTGCTTCCCTAGCTTATGTCTCTGCTTCTCATCAGCCACACAGAGGGGCCCTTATAACCCCCACCCCTTGGGGGCTGTCCTTGGGGGAGGCCTAAAAGGGTCCTCTATAAACAGCTTAAACACATCTTTCTGAGCCCCCTCCAATGGGTGCTGAAGAGGAAGTTTCCCCCAGGAGACTCCACAATCAGGGGCATTTATAAAGGGATTATGCTGCCATTCACAAATTATGTTTTTACCAAACGGAATGAAGAAAATGAAGATCATGAAATAACCAGCTTTCCTGAGGTCCCTGCTGCAGGCCTAGAACCTGACTTGGCAAGATCCCCTTTGAGACCCATTATTTTTATGTCCAGCTGATATCAAACTTGAGTTTCTCAGCTCCCACTCCACATGCTCCTATTTTATTGCTATGTTGCTGTCAATGCCCCCCATTTCCAACCCCAGCCATTGTCTGAACTGGCACCTGCCCTTTCCTTCAAAATCCAGCTCAAGACTCTCTCCCTGTAGGAGTGTTCCTGACCCTAACTGAACCCTAATGACCCCATCACTAAACAGTCTGTTTACATCATACTTCCAAACACACACGTGTGTGTGGATTAGTAAATGTCTAGAATCTTTATACTTGCCTTTGTACAATCTTCTTGCCCAAACTAAGTTCCTGAGGGAAGTTGCGGGCAGTTCCTCTATATATCTCCTAATGAGAATCCATGATTTGGTACATAGTGAAAGCTCAAAAATATTGCTGACTTTTTCAATAATCTGTTGCTTTTTAATACACCAATGCAAAAGTGAATGGCTTAAGACAACCATTCTGTCATCTCTCATGAGTCCAAAGGTTGACTGGGATCAGCTGGGTGGTTCTTCTGTTGCACATGATAGCAGCTGGGGCTGCGGTCATCTGGGGACTACTGGGCTGAAGTATCCAGGATAAGTCACTCACTTCGCTGGTGCCTTGAGGGGGTGGATGGAGGCCTGGCTCAGTTGTGAAGCTGGGACAGTTGGACCTCCCTTCCTCCCTGTCTTCCTCTATCCATATATTCTCAAGGTCTCTCCTTCTCCACTTGTTCTATGTGATCTCTCCAGCACAGAGAGACCACACTTCTTACATAGTGACTTGAGGATCCCCAAAGCACAAAAGTATAAGATTTGAGGATTTTTAAAACTTAGACCACAAACAGCTTAGTGTCACTTCCAACACACTTTATTGGTTAAAGCAAGTCACAGGCCAGCTCAGATTCAGTGTGGGAGGGGATCACACAAGGGTGATGTGATTCACTAGGGGAGGTCTGATTTGCTAGGGAACATCTTGGGATACTAGCTACCCCTTGACTGAATGCCCAGTAGCATTTATGGAGGCCAGGGTCTGGTTGTCATTAGTGACGAGATTACTATAAAAAACCTCAGCTGTCTCTTCCTCAGACTATTTTCATCAAGAATAAAAAGAACACACACACACACACACACACACACACACACACACACACACACACACACACTCACACTCACACATACTCATACCACCTGGAAAACCACCATTCCAACCTGTAAAAAATATAAAAAAATCTCTAAGAGGGTGAAAATGTGCATATTATGAAGGAAAGATTAAACACCATCACTATTAGCTGTCCATTTTAAAAAGATGTCTTAAATACATTTTTTCATTTGATCTTGATTCCCATCCCCATTTTAGAGATGAAGAAACTGAGGCTCAGAGATAATAAGTAATTTACCCAAAAGGGTGGAGCTAGGTCTGAATAACCCCAAGACTTGTCCCTGATGCCAGAAAGAATTATTAGAATATGAATTAGTGTGGTGGCTCATACCTATAATCCCAGAACTTTGGGAGGCCAAGGTGGGAGGATCACTTGAGCCCAGGAGTTTGAGACCAGCCTGGGAAACATACCAAGACCCCATCTCTACAAAAAAAAATTTTTTAAAGAATAGGAATTATGCCTATCAATGATAGACTGGATAAAGAAAATGTGGCAGATATGCACCATGGAATACTATGCAGCCATTAAAAAGGATGAGTTCATGTCCTTTGCAGGGACATGGATGAAGCTGGAAACCATCTTTCTCAGCAAATTAACACAAGAACAGAAAACCAAACACCACATGTTCTCACTCATAAGTGGGAGCTGAACAATGAGAACACATGGACACAGGGAAGGGAACATCACACACTGGGGCCTGTCTTGGGGTTGGGGGGCTAGGGGAGGGATAGCATCAGTTGAAATATCTAGTGTAGATGATGGGTTGATGGGTGCAGCAAACCACCATGGCACTTGTATACCTATGTAACAAACCTGCACATTCTGCACATGTACCCCAGAACTTAAAGTTTAATTTTTTTTAAAAAAGTGCAACAAAAAAATAAGAGTTAGTGTTTTTGGTCTAAAGAAACTGAGATCCTGAAAGGTGAAATAGTCCAGGGTCCCTCAGCCAGGATCCTGATTCCCCTTTAGAAGAGAACAGATGCAAAAAAAAGCACAGGGCCTGATTCGTAGTAGATGTTCAGTAAACACAAGCCCCCATCTCTTCTCCAAATGAGATTTCTTCTACAGCTCACTGTCATTGGTCCAAAGAATGCAGCCGCTACACTGTGTTATTGGCAGGATTGTGGGCATGACTGATTTCCTTTCTGATTGGGTAGGAAGGCTGAAGGGCGAGTTTGGAAGGGCTCTGTTCCCTTCATCTCACTCCTTTCCCCACTCGCATTTCACCCAACAGTCGTCTGATTTTTGAGCAATCTGTTCCTGGAAAGCAGAGGAAAGTAACAGATTGATGCATCGACTGCGTGTGGCCAAGTGATTTATTTTTAATGTGACTAAACAAGACACACACCTGCCTATGGAAACGTAATCACATTGAATCATCAGGGACTTAGATAGCCATTTAAGCAAGGGAAAGACAGAGAGGAGACAGAGGAGAGGAGGAAGAGGAGGGAGAGAAAGAAAAGGGAGGCAGGGGAGCAGAGACAGAAGAGGAGAGATAAGAAGGGACTGGAAGAGAGGGAAGGGAAGGGAAGGGAAGAGAAGACTGGGCCAGCTCCCTAAAAATGTTTATTTCAGCAGCATCAGTGAAGCACCCTCAATTGGCCCAAATGCCTGTGGTTTAGCTTTGCTGATGCCTGAAATTTCATAATTAGACTTTCGTCCCTGTGATTTAACCAAACACAGTATGTTCTCCACTAAAGTGTAAATGCAACAGAAGTAGTGCATCAAACTACATCAATCATTTTCACCTCAGTGAGAAAGAACTGATATCTTTTATGAAAGCAGGAGTTTTTCTATGGGGGGGTTGTATTAGTCCATTTTGCATTGCTATAAAGGAATACCTGAGACTGGGTAGTTTATAAAGAAAAGAGGTTTATTTGGCTCATGGTTCTGCAGGCTGGATAGCATGACACTGGCATCTGCTCGGCTTCTGGTGAGGCCTCAGGAAGCTTTTACTCATGGCAGAAGGCAAAGGGGGAGTAGGCAGGTCACATGGCAGGAGAGGGAGCAAGAGAGGGAGGAAGAGGTGCCAGGCTCTTTTATACAATCAGATCTCACTCTAACTAATAGAGCAAAAACTCACTCATTACCACAGGGAGGGCACCAAGCCATTTATGAGGGACCCACTCCCGTGACCTAACACTTCTCACCAGCCCCCGCCTCCAACACTGGGATCACACTTCAACATGAGATTTGGAGGGGAGAAATATCCACACTATATCGGGGGCATTAAAACAAAGTTTATGGGAGTCACCAGTGAAGGCACAGAAAGGAACCTTGGGGGCTCTAGGGACTTTCTCCTTCATGGCTTTTCTTAATGATAACACCTACCTTTACGAGCATTTGTTATGTTCCAGGCACTATGGATGCGAGCCATTACATGTACTATTTCATTCCATCTTCCCAATGGCCCTGGAATTTTGCGCTGGTGTTCTCATCACTCTCCAGGTGAGGGAACTGAAGCCCAGCCTGTCGTCATCTGTCTCAGCACTCTGAAAGGAAGATCCAGTTACAGCAGAGTTTCTCGTGGAATGCCCAGCCTCACCAATAGTATCTTGCTTGCAGAAGGCACTCAGTAAGTATGTGCCAACAGAGTGAAGTGGCAGGGATGGGACATGAATGTAGACAGTCTAACTCCAGAGCCTGTACCCTTAGCATTTGCCACAACTTTCTCCCAGATAGTCCACTCCGTTCTCCCTGCTTCTCACCCGAATAGCATACGAAATTCATGAACCACTGACTTTGGGAGGCTAAATGTCCTCCATCACAGCTCCCTTCTCAATCTCCCTGGGTCAGTACCAGGAATTAGCCAGCCAGACTGTTCCACTCTGTACTGCTAGTTTTCTATGTCCAGATACCTTTTCCCAGTTAGTCTGTAATGCCTTTGAGGGAAGGCACAGCATCCATGCAGAGTCTATGGGGGGATGTATGAGTCCTTTTGAAATTGCAGTTTCTTTCTCAAAAGCAAGATTATATCTTTGTGTTTTCTATTAATATGATTGTGGTAGGTTTTTTTCTTGAATTTTATATCAATATCCTTCACCCTGCCCCTAGCAATAGCACGTGAAGGAGATTATGAAGTCATAAGTTAGGGGGGCATCAGATTGATAGCTTTTTGAAGATTGATAATATCTAGTGTGGGCAAGGATGGAGGAAATGGATACTCATACATTGTTGGGGAGGCTTTCGAGGAGGCAAATCATCAGTAAGTAACAGTGGCTGAAACAAGATAAAAGCTTTATTTTATTTTTTTCTCATACAAAAGTCTAAGCTAGTAGAAAGTCCTGGAAAGAAGGCTGGCTCGGCTCCACAAGGTTATACAAGGACACAGGTTCTTTCTGTACATTGTACCACCATCCCCAGGGGTGTTACCTGCATCACCTGCTGGAAGCTGACTCCCACTACCACATCTGTTCTCTGAATAGATTTCTCCCTGGGGAAAGCAGAAGTACAACAAACAGCGTATTTTAAGGACCTGATTCAGAAATTGCACACAATGCTTCTCATCAGTCATAACTTAGTTACACGTCCCCATGTAGTAGCAAGGGGGGTGGAAAATATATTCTCAACTCATACCCACCTGAAACTCAGGAGATTCATTGCTAAAAGGAAGAAAAGAGAAAATGGATAGTAGGGGGACAGTGAACAGTTTCTAATACAAACAGGAGGAATTATCAAAGTTAAAAGTGCATATATTGCTAGACCCAGCAATTCCAGTTCTAGAAATGTATTCTAAGGAAATAGTCACACAACTACACAAAGATTATGTATAAGGGTAATACTAGTGGTTTTAAAATATGTTCACAAATTCTTTGATACCCTTCCCTTCACAAAAGGGCTACACTTAATGACTTACTCCTAATGAATAGAATGTGGCCAAAGTGACAATGTGTGACTTCGGAGGCTAGGTCATAAAAGGCCCTATGCTTCTACTTTGCTCTCTCGAATGACTGGCTATGATGGAAACAGCCACCATGTTGTGAGGACACTCAATTAGCCTTGTGGAGAGACCCACATGGGTGAGAAACTAAGGGCTGCCACCAACAGCCCACATCCACTTGCCAGCTCTGAGAGCAAATAGATCCTGCAGGCCTAGTCAAGCCTCATTTGACTGACGCCTCAGTCAACATCTTGACTGCAAGCCCATGCAAAACACTGAGCCAGAAACCACCCACCCAAGAAGCTGTGAATTCCTGACTGGCAAAAAATGTGAGTGATTATAAATATTTATTATACTTTTAAGCCACTACTTTTTGGAGTATTGTGTTAGGCAGCAGTAAATAACTAATACAATAATCATTGCTTCCTGTTTGTAATGACAAAAAAGAGAAAGAAAATAAAAAATTTAAAAAAAGAAACACCAGAAATGTAAATAATGGGAGGTTAAATAATCCATGAGAAATCCACAGTTTGGAATTTGCAGCTATTAGAAAGAGAGCTATGGCGTAAAAGACCTGTATGTTCTGTCATTGACAGCTCCTTAAGACATATTAGTACATGAAAATGACAATCTGAAGAACACTTACTGTATGGTCTCCATGACATAAAACTGCAAAAAAGTTATGTGTGCATGTACATATGTGCATATATGCAATAATGTTATATTTGTGTATATCCGAATGTGTACTTTCACATACTTGTAAATGCGTGGAATAGGAGTGAATGTCGCATACCAAATGGCAGGCAGTGGTTTTACCAGGGTGGAGGAAAGTGGAATGGGGGTGGCGAGTTGCAATATGGTGTTCACATTTTACTTTGTAATCTCCTGCATTGTTTCAACTTCTTACAATGAAAATGCATTTGCATATTCCCTGTGTGATAAAACAAAGAAAATCATAAAAAGAGAGAGAGGCAGGCAGATAGCAGAGATGGAAGGAAGAGGAGATAAATAGAAACAGCATTTTACCCACTGAGTCGTGACTACAAGCATCTTATTTTACCTGTTTGTTTTTCCTTAACATCCCAACATAGAAAACACACACTTTGTTTTAAAGTAACAGCGAGGAACCGCCTCGCTGTGGTCTTTCGCTTGCTTGGCATTGCCCCTAGGGTGCTCGGAGATGGGCTGTGGAGGGGGACGTTGGGAACTGCCCGACCCCATTCTCGCCTTTTCCCGCTGGATGTGCAGCTTTCGGAACGTGCAGGGGCGGGAGTGTCTACAACCTAAGAAAAGGGCCGCGGTGGGGAGCCCGGAGCAGGGCTGGGTGCAGGGAGCGCTCTCGCTGCCCGGGGCGCTCTGCGCTGCGCGCCCAGTGGGGACAGCACGCCGCCCCGGGAGTCTCCAGGCGCGGGAGGTCCCAGCAGATTTTGCATAAAGGGAGGAATCGAGTCCAGAGAACAAACAAGATACTGGAGGTGGTGGCACGGAGAGGATTGATTCGGTTTGCAACCCTACGAGGTCGTGGCCGCTCGGGGCAGGAAAGCAGGCTCCTGTCTCTCCAGGATCCAGCCTCCCGATCACCGCGCTAGTCCTCGCCCTGCCTGGGCTTCCCCAGAGACGGGAGCTTGGGTGGGGGACCCTGGACCCGAAGCCAAGGCTGAACTGGTGTGCCAAGCCCAGGGAGCAACCAAGTCCCCAACTCTTTCCCTGCCCTTCCCGCAGGCTGAGCAGAAAACCAGGAAATGGATGGACTCCACCTCCGCAGCCACGCCTGCCCGTTTGCGCTTACTGAACAGAGGTCCTCAGGAACGTGGTGAGACAAAGAGAAAGGAGGGCGTTTTCGCCACCCTCTTGCTAATGCTTCAATAACTCCCCATTGCCCTAATGAGCTCACCATCAGAGCCTGATTAAGACCTTTGGAGGCCCTAAAATTATAAGACCCACTATCTCCATCAATGTAATTAAAAAAAAAACAACTTTAAATGGAACTTTACCAAAAAGCCGATTTTCCTCTGTGAAATTATTTTAATAGCAACGACAAGCCCTTGCCTTGCAGCACACTGGCCTGCCCAACAGAAGATCCAGTAAGGTTTGCAAAACCAGTTGGGATCTCCTCACCTTGCCTCTCTCCTCTTCCTGCACCGGCCGGCTAACCTGTTTCCAGTTCCTCCGAGGCTCAGTCCTTCCCTGAGTTTCCCATTGCCCTCCAGAGCCAGCATATATTTCCACTTCCCTAGCTTTCAGTCCAGGCTGTGTTAGATGCCTTCAGTGCTTTCTCCATCACAGGACTTAGCACACAGAGTAGGAGAATATTCCCGTTTCTTCCCTGTCACCCTCTCTGTGCTGAGGGCTCAGAAGGCAGAGACACCTTTTCTGTTTTGCTTACAGGTATGGTCCCAGAACCTAGCATGTGGACTGACACACCCTTTGCTCAAAAAAATACATCAATATTTGAAATTAACCATTTATCCATAGCAAAACACATAGCACAGAATAAAAATGCATAGTCCATTCTGGCCTATGCAGTTTCAGCTTCTCAGCATTTATTGAGCACCTCCAAATGTGCTAGACAGGTAATACTCAATACACATTAGTTCCCTCCATGCTAAAATAGACTTTGCGTCCACGTAACTTTGCTGGAAACTTGAGGGAAACCAATTATCCTGCCCTTTCCCTGGGTGTCTGATCGGCATGTCCGTTATAGCCATAGAAATATCACTAACAGGCAATGCCAGCAGGATTAGATCTGCCAAGTGTTTAAAGTTTAGCAAGAAAGCTTTTTGCAAATGTCAACACTACCACTCTGTTTCCTGCAAACCAGCATTCTAATCAGCAGGGCTGCCTTTTCCAGCTCATTGAGCAATGACATAAAAAAATCCCAGCATAATCATTTCTCTAGGAGAAAAATACCGAAAGTCAGAGAGGATGCAATAACAATCATAGCTACCTACTATGTGCAGGTGTCATGCTTACTGCTTTAGTTATGCTTCCTCCAATCCTCACAACAAAACTGACAAATGGGGAAACTGAGGCTTACAGAAGTCACACATCTCCAACTAAGGCCTGAACTTGAGTTTTTTCCATAGCACTCTACTACCTCTGGGGGGGAAAAAAAAACTACTATTGTGCCCAGTTAGGATACAATGTATTAGAGTGGTAGGGACTTCAGGGGCTGGTTGTAGGAAAAGAGAATGACAATGCTTCTCACGCCAGGGTTTTCTGGGGTTTTCATCTTCTTGTTTTCCTCTCCTTCTCCCCTCAGAGGCCAGGTGTAGTGACATAATGATTTTGGAAATTTTTGAGCTGAAAAAGGAAAACATTTTCTTCTTTTCTTAAAAGGGGAACTGTTGGAGTGTTTGCATTTTGGGTTCCTGGCATAGCAGCTGGTAGGCTTGATGGGATTTCAAAATGAAGTTACTAATGGAAATTATACACTGAGGACATTCCAAAGAAACTGCTAAGAGAGAATGGCTTGTGCTAGGTGAGTGGAAGTGTTGCATCAGGTTATCACAGCTGGGTATTGAGGCCAGGCCCAGCTGAAATGTTACAGCAGGGGTCACCTCTCAGACTTGGCTCTGTACAGGAAACACATCCAAGGAGGAGCTACATCCAAGGCAAAGGTATAAAGCCAGACGCAGAAGACACAGTACCTGGGTTAGCTGCCCATCTGTCCCTGGGTGTAGGCTAAAGACATTTAATCTTGGACACAGGCAAGCAGCTGCATACAAGATCCTGATTCCTGATTCCTGAGCAGGAGTGGGCAGCAAGTTGTTAATTCTGACCTCCAACCATCCCTGAGGCAGTGTAGCCCTCCATTCTCAACCCTGGCTGCCCACTAGCATCATCTGGTGAGCTTTGAAATACAGATGCAGGACTCATCCCAGATGGGTGAAATCAGAAGTGATGGGAAAGGGATCCAGTGTCACATATCTTCACAGCTCTCCATGTGATTCTAGCTTGCAGCCAAAGTTCAAAAGTTCTGACACAGCCTAGGTGATCACAAGAATTACTGGAGCACTCCCTAGAATAGTTTTGCCCCAGCCTCTCTGCTGTAGATCTTAATTCAGTGGAGCTGGCAGGGGCCCAAGAATCTGTATTTTGAACAAGCTCCCTGGCAGTTGTTATGATCAGATAAGCCTGGGGACCCACAAGTGTAATAAAATGGTATATTCACATATCATCATTGCAGTCACAGCTTCTGAAATATTATGTTTTTAATTTGTATGTACATCATTGTATCTCAACCATCATTCGATTGTAAGCTCCAAGAGGGAAAGGACCTTGTCTCATTCACTGGGATGTTCTCAGTATGGAAAAGAATGCAAGCAAGTGGTGGGGATTCTGCAGATATTTGTTGAATAAATAAATGAATTTCTGTTTTGTATTTGTCACTTCCGCTTTGTGAACCAAGTTAAGAGTGAGATTGAGGGCCGGGCGCAGTGGCTCAAGCCTGTAATCCCAGCACTTTGGGAGGCCGAGGCGGGTGGATCATGAGGTCAGGAGATCGAGACCATCCTGGCTAACACGGTGAAACCCTGTCTCTACTAAAAAATACAAAAAATTAGCCGGGCGCGGTGGCGGGCGCCTGTAGTCCCAGCTATTCGGGAGGCTGAGGCAGGAGAATGGCGTGAACCAGGGAGGCGGAGCTTGCAGTGAGCCGAGATTGCGCCACTGCACTCCAGCCTGGGGGACAGAGTGAGACTCTGTCTCAAAAAAAAAAAAAAAAAGAGTGAGATTGAAACTTTGAAAGAAAATACAAATGTATACAATAATTTTATTTCACTTTTATAGATCTAAAGTCCTGCTTTTAAAAACACAAAGATTTCTTCTATATGGAACTTGATTGCCTTCATTCAGTCATTGAGAGTCTTCAGGAGATCTGAAGACCCAGAGCAAACCAGAAATGTTGACGGGGAAAAATGTGCAGAAATGTCTGAGAGTAAACCCCCTGTCCTTAAACAAATTTTTCTTCTGAAATTTTCTGCTTCATTGTAAGTTTTATGTCACCAGTTAAGTAGGGCCTAGGCAGAAAAAGATACAAAGTATTTTCAGAAAAGTTGATGAAACTGCATCCATTTATTCATGCACATTCAGAAAATGTTTATCGTGGAACTACCATTTTTCCAGTAAGTGCCAGTGGGAGCCCAATGAAAAATAACACACAGTCCTGCCCTCAACGACTAGCTTTCCCAGCAAGTGGAAAGCTAGCTATGGAACTAGGCAGTTACAGTACAGTGTGATAACACCGGTCATCAAACCCAAGATGCCTTCTGTTGTAAGATGCATCATTGGCCAGGCGCAGTGGCTCACGCCTGTAATCCCAAAACTTTGGGAGGCCAAGGCGGGTGGATCACGAGGTCAGGAGATCGAGACCATCCTGGCTAACACAGTGAAACCCCGTCTGTACTAAAAATACAAAAAATTAGCCGGGCGTGGTGGCGGGCACCTGTAGTCCTGGTTACTCTGGAGGCTGAGGCAGGAGAATGGCGTGAACCCAGGAGGCAGAGGTTGCAGTGAGCTGAGATCGCGCCACTGCACTCCAGCCTGGGCAACAGAGCGAGACTCTGTCTCAAAAAAAAAAAAAAAAAAGATGCATCATTAATTTATGCACCACTAAGAAAAATGCTGCCAATTGAACCGTGACGTGTTGTGGATTTTATCAAGATCTGTTCTAATTTCAGAGATGTGAAAATGTAACGGGGTGGTAGGGAGGTGAGGAATGTGCATTTTATTTTATTTATTTATTTTGAGAGACAGGGTCTGTCTTTGTCACTCACACAGGCTGGAGTGTAGTGGTGCAATCTCAGCTCACTGCGGCCTCAACCTCGTGGGCTCAAGTGATCCTCCCACCTCCTGAGTAGATGGGACTATAGGCATGAGCCACCATGCCCGGATTTTTTTTTTTAACTTTTTTTTTTGTTGTTGTTGAGACAAGGTCTCATTCTGTTGCTGCCCAGGCTGGAGTGCAGTGGCTCGATCTCAGCTCACTGCAACCTTTGCCTGCCAGGCTCAGGCAATCCTCTTATCTCAACCTCCCTAGTAGCTGGGACTACAGGTACATGCCACCACGCCCAGCTAATTTTTTTTTTTTTTTTTTTGGTAGAGACAGGGTTTCGCCATGTTGCCCGGGCTGGCCTCAAACTCCTGAGCTCAAGCGATCCACCTGCCTCAGCCTCCCAAAGTGCTAGGATTACAGACATAAGCCACTGCACTCAACCATAATTTTTTTTAAACTTTTTGTAAAGACGATGTCTCACTATGTTGCCCAGGCTAGTCTCGAACTCTTGGGCTCATGCAGTCCTCCCACTCTGACCTACCAAAATGCTGCAATTACAGGCATGAGCTACTGCGCCTGGCCAGAACATGCATTTTAGAACTGATTAAATAAGTAAGGTAAATCAGACACGAAGGATATACAGAATAAGCCAAAGAGTAGGGTGTAGGGTGTAGGGAGACTTGGAAGAAGGAAAGTACTGTGAAGAGGGGACAGCTTGTGCTGAGAGGTCTGGAGGGAAGAGGGTGGCTGCTTATAGCTCAGTAAGACTGCAGTTAGAGCCTGTGGGCTGGAAGGTGACAGATGAGGCTGGAGATGGAAACAAGGGCCAGATCATGGCCTGCCTCATAAGTAGATGGCCTTAGTCCCAGTTTACATCTGTAGTGCATCTTTTTGATCTTAAGTGCCCTGTTGGACAATAAATTATATGATCACCCTACTAATAAGCCATTTTTAGATATGTGCTTTTTATCTTAAGAGAAATGAGAACAATGGAAGGGTTTTAAACAGACAGTAACAAAATCAGATTGTGAAAGTGTGTGTGTGTTGGAGGCAGGGTGTGTATTGCTTAATTTGAATGTTTTTGATGAGCTAATATGTTCATACAAGTCAAAACTTTAAAAAACACAAAAGTGAAAAATCTCCCTTCCACCCTGGCCCTCCTTCCACCCCTTCCACCCTACCTCACGGCCAACCCAATTTTCTTCCCTAAAAGCAACTGATACTATCAATTTCTTGTGTGCCCTTTCAGAATTTTGTTTTCCTTTTCTTTGAGATGGAGTCTCACTCTGTTTCCTAAGCTGGAGTACAGTGGCGCGATTTCGGCTCACTGCAACCTCCACCTCCCAGATTCAAGTCATTTTCCTGCCTCAGCCTCCCCGTAGCTGGGACTACAGGTGTGTGTCAGCGCGCCAGCTAATTTTTGTATTTTTAATAGAGACGGGGTTTCACCATGTTGGCCAGGCTGGTCTTGAACTCCTGACTTCTAGCGATCCGCCTGCCTCGGCCTCCCAAAGTGCTGGGAATACAGGCGTGAGCCACCATGCCCGGCCCCTTTCAGACATATTTAATGCATATAAAATTAATTCTTCTTTGCCTTTCAAATGTACCTATTGTTTTCTAATTCTTTATTTTCATTTAGTTTGCCTCCTTTTCTTATTCCTCTCACTATCTCTCATTGAGTTTCCACAGTATGTGTTCCCCTTTTACTGCTTCAGATTTGAGGCTTCATTTTTTAAGAGTGAAGGTTGGATAGTTTTCTTTTTTTCTTTCACTTCTTCCCCAAGCTCTGGCAGCTCAGGATTCATTTCCTCCCACTGTTTCATTACCTCTTCCCTCATCTCTCATGTGCGTGTTTTCTTTGTGGGGGAAATTACTTTGCTATGTTTTCTTAATTTTCTCGTTAAAATTGTCATCTGCTCCATGACAATGTTTTTTGATGAATCTTCTTTACCTGCTGTTTGCTGTTTGCTTTTTCTTTTTTCCTCCTTTGTTTCTTGTCAAAACTTTGTATATATTACTCATTATTGAAGAAGGTAATGTTTTTTCTTCCCCGTGGACCTCAGGTGTGAGAGAGGCCAAGATTGTCTTCCAGGTTGGCTAAATTTTCCTTATGACCCAGGGTTGATGTAAATTCACTGAGCCTTGAATTCTTTCCAACCAATGGCAAAGATTCCCCGAGGCAAAGTCTCTCCTCCCCTGTTGCCACAGAAACAGACCATTTCCTACAACTATGGCTTGTCTGAGTCCTGAGCCAGCAGAGCTCAGGCCACAGCACCTGCACCCGTTTTCTGCTGCTGCACACAAGGGCTCTGTGCATTCCGCATCCAGGTGTGCCCCTCCTCTTCTGGAGGATTCTTTTTCAGGCTGTCCCAGAGACTTTGCAGCACAGCATCCTTGCTCTATTTCTTCCTGCAACATCTCTGCTGAAGCTCTATTGCTTTTGGCAACTCTTCCGTCTATTTTGTGGTTTAGGTGTCTCCTACTTTTACTAAAAATGGAATTTGTGTTTTTATCGCTCAAGTCCTTTTTGCTTTTGGATTACTTCCAGAAAATGAAGGGAGGGTTACTAACTTTATGCCATCTTCAAACCAGAAGATCTTAGATTAGTAAGATCATGTTGGCCATGGCATGGAGAATGGGCTGGAGGTGGAGAGACTGGAGGTTGGAAGTCCAGTTAGGAGATTGCTCCTGCGCTGGGGAGTTGGTGTTAGGACAGAAGATCCAAGACGCGTTTCAGAGGTAACTGCTGAATCTTACTGGCTGGTTAGATGTGTGTTTGGGAGTGGGGGTGGATCAGGAAGAAACGGGATATTTCAGGGCTGGCTGCTGGAGGCTGCTTGCGATGTAACGTGGAGCTGGGCTTCCTGCCTGTTCTGCAGCTTCCTGCCACATTCCAGGCTGCATCTGTGTGGCTGGGCCCTCTGGGAAGGTCATAGGGAGTCCTAATGGGACAATGAGCTTCCCAGCCGTTCCCTTGAAGGTCCCTTGCAGATATCTGGATGAAACTCTTGGCTGGTGGAAACTTTCAAGAAGGCCTGAGGCAGTCAGAAGCCAAGTTGTGGTTTCAAAATTACCGGCCTATTCTCCAAGTCTCCCTGATGATGAGATCTCAAGATAAAAACAAGAAAACTGGGCGCAAAATGCTCTGTGGAACTGTTGATATCCCAGGGTTTCCTGCCAAGTCCTGGCTAAGGAACACAGGGAGGGAAAGGGGACCTAACAGAGGTCATAGAACCCACTCTCTGCCTCCATAGAGGCTTTCCAGGTCATCCAAACTACGAAAATTGAACAGAGAGCTTTCTCTCTCAGATTCTCCAGAGGGGGGAGACTCAGATTCTTTTCTTTAATCAGTCTGTAATAAGTCCTGAGTACTGGCTTTTTCCCCCCCTTAATGTACAACCAGGGTTGAGAACTGAGGGCTACACAATCTCAGAGATGATCAGAATTCAAAGTTAGGAATGTGCTGGCTCCACGTCTGTCCACTCTTGTGCAGTAACACAGCTGCCTGCCTGTGTCCAGGATGAAATGTCTTCAGTTCTGTTCCCTGGGATAGACTGACAGCTGTGGAAACAATGACCCAGATACTGTGTCTCCTCCTAGGATATGTTTCTTGACTCCGCTTATGTGGTTACTGCCAAACCTGGCCTCAGTGCCTTCTACACACAGTTTTGAAAACCAGGGCAATATTTCCAATCATCTAACAGAAGCTGCTCCTTATCAGTGATGTCTTTGGAAAGTTACCAGCAATTACTAAGCTAGCTATTGGGAAATCTTAAGGATTTATTTTAGCAAGAATAATATGAGGTCTTCTGGTCTGTAAGGACCTCTGTTCCTAAAATCACAGAACCACGGCTGTGCTCTACAATGTAATAGTATGAATTCATTTGCAAGCGTGCTCAGATAAGATAGAGTCTTTAGGGAGTTTTAAAAAAACTTGGGGGGCAGTGCTTATGATATTGTGAAAAACAAACACAAAAACTGTAATTTCGTGTACGTTAAAAATATGTGATCAAGTGAAAAGAGACTTCTTACCCTGCCTTCCCCAGGATTCCACACCCACCACTATTTCCTTTCTGAGTGATTACAAGAGTCGGTAACTTGAGTACAATATGCTGTTTTGTCAAGTTAATAAAGGATATCTTGTCATCTGACCTTGGACAGAGAGGATGTAAATGTTCTCTTGGGCTAATAAGGTCAGAGTGTTTGCTCACAGGAAATAGAGTTATGAGTAGAGTAATAGGAGGAATATCAATTTCTTATGTGGGCCAAATATTATTTCTGTAGTTGTATTTTCTTTCCTGGAAAAGATTAGTTTTTAGAGGATGAGATATGTTTTATTTTAGACGAGTGCTTCATTGAGTGAAGCAGCTACAGTTTAAGCAGAAGTCCTCCTTTCCCCACCTCCTGCCTTGCACCTCAGGGAGCCCCTTCTCCCCACACCTTTCTTCTCAGAGATCTCACCTCTTCTCTCCTGAAGCAGTAGCTACTGAGGAGAAAGAGGTGAAAAGCTAGAGAGGCAACAGGAAGAGGGGAGATGGGGAAGAGATCCATGCAGGAGACCTTGTGTGGGTCCGTGGGACTTCATGAGATACCTGCCTCCACCCTCCCATTTCCCCCAATAGGACTCCAATTCTGTGAGGCCTGAAGACAGTCTCCTTTTCTTTTTCTCTTTCTTTCCTTTCCTTTCTTTTCTTTCTTCTTCTTCTTGTTCTTTTTTTTTTTTTGACGGAGTCTCACTTTGTTGCCCAGGCTAGAGTGCAGTGGCACAATCTCGACTCACTGCAACCTCCGCCTCCTGGGTTCAAGCGATTCTCCTGCCTCAGACTCTCAAGTAGCTGGGATTACAGGCACCCACCACCACACCCAGCTAATTTTTGTATTTTTAGTAGAAACAGGGTTTCACCATATTGACCAGGCTGGTCTCAAACTCCTGGCCTCAAGTGATCTGCCCACCTTGGCCTCCCAAAGTGCTGAGATTACAGGTATGAGCTACCACACCTGGCCCACTCTCTTGTTTTCATTCAATGACAAAGTGAAACCTCCCTTAAGGTCTGAGTTACTGCAGAGGAAGGCTTTCCGGCTGCCTCCTTGGTTGGGGTGAGCCAAAGCAGCTCCGTCATTGGCAGCCACTGGGTATGGGAAGCAGCCATCCATTAAGGGACAAGCTACCTGGAGGTAGGGAGGCTGATCTCCTAACGCACCCTCCCTAGAAAACTGCAGAAAGAAGCCTACTGCAGGAGTTGCAAATATATATGCATAGAATAAAGACTAGGAGAAAAATAGTCTAAAATATTAAGCATGCTTCCCTCTGGGTAGCTGAATTGTGGATATCATATTTTCTTGCTTCTTTAAATTGTCAAACTTTCAGTAATAGGAAGTATGAGCTATTTTTATAATCAGGAGGGGAAAAGGTTCCCTGGCCAACTCAGGGAGGACATAAGGCTGGAGGTTTCGGAGTAAGAGGCCAGAGGCAGATTCACAGGGGTGAGGACACAGTGGCAGTGAACATCTCAGACTGGACGGGACCTTGAGAGGTCATCTAGCCCATCCTCCTGCCTTCCGGATGTATCTGAATAAGACCAATATCTGAACCCTCTCCCCCCACCATGTCAGAACTGCTCCTTGCCTTCCTTGCCCTTCCACTCCCAGCAGAATGCCAAAAGAGGTTTGACTTCGTGCTAATTATTCTTACTTCTTTCCTGCTTTCAGTGTTCTGCTAAATAGAAAATAGGGCACTAATGGCTGGATGGAAAATAGGGCATGATCTTCCCACAAAGTCTTTGCTCAACCACCTGCCTATAGCCAGTGTCCTCTTGGAAAGCCCAGTCATCCAAGGAAAGAGAAGTCAAGCTGAGTCCCAGGGAGGGGGAGACCTTGGGGAAGAGGACCTCAGGGAAGAGGAAGAACAGGAGAGCATTTCTACAGGAATGTGCAAGGAGAGCTGGGGCCTGCAGAGAAGCACTGACTCCTTGTCTTCTTTTTTCCTTCCTTCCTTCCTTCCTTCCTTCTTTCCCCTTCCTTCCTTCTTTCCCGTTCCTTCCTTCCCTCCCTCCTTCCTTCCTTCCTTTCTCCTTCCTTCCTTCCTTCCTTCCTTCTTTCCTTCCTTCCTTCCTTCCTTCCTTCCTTCCTCTTTCCCTCTCTAATCACATATGAAGTGCTGTGCCAGGCAGATTGTGTAAGATAAAACAACAACAAAGCTTGAGATGTGGTCTCTGGCTTCCAGGAGCCTATAGCCTGGTGAGGAGGTACCACCCAGCTGCGAGAGTTAATTTTCTGGCACAGGTACTTGATTTTCATAAATTGCCCTCATGCCAGATATATGTGTTGGGGGCAGGGAGAGGATAAGAAACAAACCTTGTGATGTGATAACCTTGAAGAGCAGGGATGTCACTTTTTAGGAGGCTTAAATCACACCAAGTGTAGAAGGTTCCAGACTTTCAGAGGTGAGGGGACAGCTACAATTTGCAGCAATACTACCAACCCTTCCCCCAACATACCCTTCTCCCCTTCTTCCCTGAAAAATGATCCCCAAATATGTCCATGTCCTAATCCCTGGAATTTATGAATATGATAACTTACATGCCAAAAGTGTCTTTGCTATTGTGATTAAATTAAAGGTGTTGAGATGGGGAGGTTGCCCTGGATTATCTGGGTGGGCCCAGTGTAATCACAAGGGTCCTTATAAGAGGGAGCTAGGAGGCTCAGAGAAGACATGAGGGTGTAAACAGAGGTCACACAGGGAAGAAAAGGCCACTTTGCTGCTGCTTTTGAAGACGGAGGAGGTGACCACAAACCAAGGTGGTCTGTATAAGCTGGAAAAGGCTCCCCAGAGCCACCAGGGGAATGCAGCCCTGCCCACCCACTTTAGAGCTCTGACCTCCTGAACTGTAAGACAATAAATGAGTTGTTTAAAGCCACTAAGTTTGTGGTAATTTGTCACAGTAGCAGTAGGTAGCTCATACAGTCTTCTCTTCTCCTCTCTGTGATCCTTGTGTGGCTAAAAAGGAGAAATGCTAATATTTATTAGAAGTTACAGCAGTGAAAAACAGAGAAAACGTATTTCTAACATATAAACTTGACCACAAACTTATTAATTTACAAAAAGTTTGATAAGAAAACAACCAAATGCCAAATTTTTAAATGAGCAAAGAATATGAACACGTAGAGTTCAGGAAAAGAACAGTGGATTGCTTTGTGCTAAAATGGGAAGCTTCTCTCACACATGTTAGAGTGAAAGGAGTGAGCTGCAGAATACCCAGGGGGTACTCTCTCCATTCATGTCAAAAACAAAATAGAGTCATATCTATAGGATTTTACACGCTCGTTTTTGCTGGAAAGAATCACAAGAAAATATTAGCAAAGATTGCCTTTGGGAGAGGAATAGAGGGGAATGGTATTTAATTTTTAAAACTTTCCTGATGTTTGAATTTTTTAACCTTATACTTGGGTTTGTTAATGTCAACAAAAGCTATCTGACCAGGGAGATTTTGACTCATTTTTTTTTGTGTTTTTCTTGGTGCCTCTTTGTCTTTAAAAAAAAAAAAAATCCAATTAGCATTATATAAGGTGGGTCACACAGGGAGAAATCTTCCAGAGTCTACCATGGCATATACTATATGCACTAAAATTCTTGCAAACAGGAAGACTGGGCTGTCCTGTGAGGTTACTATTCAAGCTTTAACGGGGGGCCAGTGTCAAAAGAAGTATGACAAATCCCCAGCCCTCTATAGTCCTGGTTTCTCTCAGGATGGTTACCAAGGCCCTCGGAGCTAAAGATGATTGTGTCACCAGCCTGGTACCTCTAGGGCTTTGGGGAGAACAGATCTGCATCAGGAGGGGAAAAGGGGTTTGTCACTCACTAACCATTCAACGTTGGGTAAGTAGGGACTTTTCTAGGCTTTTGTCTGCATCTGGCAAAATGGGAGTGGTGAGGGTGTTTGTTCTCAGGGTTACTATGAGGCTTAAATAAGATCATGCTGTGGGATGCCCAGCATGGCCACGGGCCCAAGCCAGAACATGACAAAACCAAGTCTTCTCCTCCTTTCTTATGTTTATTTCTAAGCCTGTCGAGGACTGAAGGAGGCCCTTGTTCAGCAGAAGAGAGGTAAGAGCAAGTCTTTGTCTATAAAAACCCAGAAGCCTGATACAGAAGAGCAAAAACACACAGCCACAGGTCTATTCCCACATATGTGTGTTTGCCACCGGTTTGCCCTCTCTACCGAGTCACAGAAGAATATTAAAGTTTGTGAGCCCTTTAAAGCCAAACAGGCACATTTTTCCTTCTCCCCGACGGACATTTTAATGTCACTGCAGTAGCTGAAGTCTTAGGTGTCGTTAACCCACGTGCCTACCTCCCATGACCAGGGTGGGGGAAGAACAAGCACGCTTTGTTCCCGAAGCACCGGTTGCGACGTGCTGGTTTTCTGAGAGCAGTTGGACTTTTAGTTGCTCCAGGTGGTAACTGGGGTCAAATGCACTGAGCTTAAGGGAAAAGCTGAACATTTGGAATCCCAAAATGTGGAGATTCAAAGGCTCTTTAAGAATCCTTTCCTCTGATGGACAGTGCCTGTCAGGAGCTGTCCTGCACCCCTGGCCGGAGCTGGGCAGCCCTCTGCCCGATGAGCTTTGAATGAGGAAGGACCAGTCTCTGCCAGGCCAGCGCCAGTTGTCTGAGGAAGCTCCTGCTTCCCTAGGCCTTTGGAGATACTGACTTTTTCCCAAGAAGAATCTTCTTGCCCTTTCCCCTCTCATTCACAGGTTGATTTGTTCATCTGCACATTTCTGTGGGAGTCTTTAAGCACCAGGCGCTGTCCTGAGCTCTTGTCAGTGTGGCAGTGATGAGGATATCGACCCTGCCCTCAGGGCCAGGCCACTCTGGTGGCCAGGGGAGCAGTTAAGAGGCTCCGCAGCACAGGGGAGGGGGCTTTGGCTAAAATAGAAAGCATCAGTCAAGCAGAACTTCACGGAGCACCTAACAGAGGCTGGGGGAAGGAAGAGAAAGAAGTAGATGGATTCCAGGGATTTATGGCCTGGGGCTTGATTAAATTTGAGGGAGTGAGAGAGGAAGGGATCAAGGGTGATCAGATTTCCAGCTCAGGGGCAACAGTGACAATATAGAAGGGGAAGGAATTTTGGAGCAGGGTCATTGGGAGGAGTGAGAATGAATCAGGCTTTAGACATGTTGGGTGTCAGGCCCCTGTGGGAGGTCAGAATGGAAAGTCCTGCAGGCAGTGGATATATGGTTTCATGGTACAAGAGAAATATCGGAACTGGAGACATGAGTTCAGGAGTCAGCAATGCATGAGTGGTCAAGGAGGGCAGAAGAGGGTGAGATGATGGCTCAGGAGGGAGACCAGGACAGCACTGTGAAGGCCCTATCCTCAAAGGATGGGGACAGAGGAGCCTCCAAATCTAGAGGACGAATCCTAGAGAGTAAGGAGAATGCACACACAGTGTGGCATCGGATTCACCCTTATCCAGATCCCATGTTCTCAGGGCAATTTCCTCTGGGAAAGCAGCCTTCCTCCCTTGCCTTCCGTGTGGATGAGGATGGTGGATCCTTAGCCAGTTGTGGATCCCAGCCCCACGCCCCCTTCATTGGTTTTGGGATGGCTGTATGACCCCTCAGAGCCAATGTGCAGCGAGGAGGCATGGATGTGAGTGAGGGGAGGAAAGGCAGGCTATTGTGGGAAGGAGAGACTCCCCCTCAGGTGGGAGAGAGTAAGGTAGAGATGTGAAGTCAGGCACCAACACAGCCATTTACAATTGTGAGGGAAAGCTTGGAGTTACTGGGGGTCCGCTAAGTGAAGCCTGCAGGTGAGGCCGGTATTGTAGACGGCAGGACGGAGAGAAATCAGGTCGTAGATAACATTGTTTGAGCCACAAGATCAAGCTTCACCTGAGCCAAACCTCCCTCTGGGCTTTTCAGTTATGCAAGTCAATAACTTCCCTTTCCCGTTTAAACGGTCTCAGCTGAGGTTTTGTTTGTTTTGCTACTCGCAATACAGAGTCCTAATAAATGCACAACCTGAAGAAGAGACCTCCTGGGGTCAGTGGGCAGAATGGGGTGGGAGGGGAGGTGTCAGGATTTAAGAAACTTTGACACATCTGTGTCCCTGAATCACTGTCACCTGCAGAGCCACAACAGGTTTTCGATTTTGCAATCTCTTTACAGTGTTTTTCTTCTCCTGCGGTATCACTTCTCTGGCAATACAATTAACATGATTCCAAAGTTGCTTACTCACTAAAAATGAGATGTAGTTGGAAAATAGGTTATCCTCCCCTTCTCCTTATGTTGCCTGCCCAGATGCTGAAGGGCTGTCTTTATACACCAGGGTCAATGGTATGTAATGGTGTGTCTCTCCCTATTCAGATCCATCTTCCATACCATGGCCAAGTGGGCTCTCTAAAATGCACATCTCTGCTTAAAAAACACTCATACTTACAAAACTGAGCCAGGCATAGTGGTGCACACCTGTAGTCCCAGCTACTTGGGAGGCTGAGGTGGGAGGATCACCTGAGCTCAGGAAATGGAGGCTGCAGTAAGCTGTGATTGAGCCACTGTACTCCAGCCCAGGCAACAGAGTGAGACCCTGTCTCCAAAAACTAAAAAAAAAATAAAAATTAAAAAAAAACCACTTATACTTCCCATGGCCTGCAGGAAGAGATCACAGACCCCTTAGGATGGCATATATAATCACACACATGTTCTAGATCCTGGGTGGCCTTCCTGCATCAGCAACCCTCCTATGATCCTCAGACAGCACTGCTGTGTGAACTCCAGCTGTGCGATTGTGCCATGCCCCCCCAGGTCTCTGGGCCTGCGTTCCTATCTCCCCTCTGCTTGGAAAGGTAATTCACAACAATAGCTCACACTGACGGGGCACATCCTGTGTTTCAGGTGCTCCACTGGAGGCTGCAGGTGGATTATCTTGTTTAATCCTCACAACTTCCTAATGAGGTAGCGCTGGTATTAACCCCTCCACCCTGCCACAGTGTCACTCGGCTAAACAACTCAGATTTGGGGGAATATGCTAGAGAAGCACATAGGAGTTCTGGGTTGAGGTCTCCCACCGGAGTTAGGGAATGAAGGATCAAATGAAAAAGGTCAGAGGAAATATGATAGTCTAGAGGCCAGGAAGGGGTTTGAAGATGAAGGGAGGAAAACTAGGTGATGAACTGGGGCTGCGTTGCAAGACTGGGCAGCTCCATCTTGGTTGACATTGGGGCTCCTCCCCACGCAAGCAAGGGTCTGAGGGCTTAAGGAACCCACATAGCTCAGGCTAGGTCCTCTGGACTGCGAGCTGCCCTGGACACCATAGATAATGGCTGTTGTCCAGGATTTCCTAGTCCCTGAAGACTGGAGGCTCTGCCATGTCCCTGCCAGGCTTACCTGAGAGTGTGTGTGTGTTTGTGTGTGTGTGTGTGTGTGTGTGTGTTTATAGGGGGGATTATTTGCACCTTTGTTGAGGTTGGGAACCTTGTGTGCCAAGTAGGCGTGACCACCCTAGGGTCCTCACTGCCCACTTCCCTCTAAGGTCTCCCCACCGCCGCCCATCCCTATTGCCTGTCTGCCCCTTTTTCTGGTGAGGAGAAGCTCCCCAAATCCCTTCTTCAGCTACTTCCCTCTCACCTGCTCCAAGCCCTCCCTCTCTCAGACAATTCAGCATAATTCCCCTGAAAACGTGTTTTTACAAAACAAAAGCCAGGAAGGGGAGGAGGTGTGTTCTGGGGTGCTTGGCAACAGCAGCCTGTGCAGCCAGCGGCTTGGCTGGATGATGTGGCTCACCCAGCAACACAAAATCCTCTGAGAACAGAACTCACAGAGGCTGGGCTCTCTCCCACACTGGGGAGGGGAGTGTCTGCAGCTGGAAGAGCAAACTGCATGCAATTGCCTCCAGGTTTCCCCATCCCATGTGTAATGACATCTTCATTTGATTAATGACTGTCTTCTGCATTCACCACTGAGTGTAAACTGTATAAAGACAGGGTTTTGTGTCTGTTCTGGTCACTGTGGCCTTAGTACAGAGTCCAGCACACAGTAGGTGCTCAAGAAATGTTTGTGGAGGAGGGAGCGAGGGAGGGAAGAAAGGAAGGAAGGAAGAAGGGAAGGGAAGGGAAAGGAAGGGAAGGGAGAGAAGGGGAGGGGAAGTGAGGGGAAGGGAAGGAGAGAGGGAGGGAGGGAGGGGAGGAAGGGAAGTGAAACAGTTTGAAGGAGGTGATGGGCAGGATAAGAGGAGCATCTGTAATTTCACCTTTCTCCGCCTCCTTTTCTCAGAGCCCCTCTTCTTGGGCCTGCGATTCCTCACCTGGAAGGGAGAAGAGTGGACTTCCTGCCTAGAGAACACCTTGGTAAACTCTTTGTGGTTCCTGTCATGAGAAGGTGTGCAGCTTAGGGAAAAAGCCTGTGAGCTCTGGAATCAGATGGAACTGGATATGAATTTCCATTTAGTGCTTGTTGGATTAAATGTGATGCTAGTAAGTACACTTGCCTAGTTGCTGCTCAAGAAATGGAGCTATTATTATTTACATCATAATTTGAACTTCATTCATTCAACCCATACCGATGAGCAGCCACAGGCCCTCCTTCCACAGGGCTTACCTTCAGAAAGTTCCACGTGTCCCTTACTTTCTGGTAGGCACATTCATGGGCACGTACCATGCTAAGGACCAGGGACCTGGAGATGAAGACAGTCCTGTCCACTGAGGGGTTCACATCTTTCCATAAAACGTTCTGACCCCCCTGTTTCTTTCTTCTCATCTCCTCCTCCAATCCCCCCTGGGCTGGGGCACCTCCTCTGCACTGTCCCTCTGGAAGCAGAGAGGAGTTTCCAACCTCCTCCAGTCCCCTGCCAGGTATCCTGAGCCTGAGAGCTCCTCAGAGCATTGTCTGCAGTTACCTCCTCACTTACAGCCCAGACTGAGATACTCACACTTGTGATTGCCCAGGTGGAGGGGAGAGGTCAAACTCTTCCCATGGCCTCCTTTCTCCTCTGTGAAAACTCCAGATCTTTGCTCCTGATTTTTTTTTAGTGTGTACCCTTTTGTATTTCAGCTTCTCCCAGCCGAAAGAATAAAACTGGTAAGAGGAAGGGAAATGCAGCCTCAGTAAGGAGGCCTCCATTCTGGAAGGGCTTCCCAGGCCCAGAGAAGGGAGAAAGTAATTTGGAACCACCCAAGTATTGGTGATGCCAGGCCTCACCCTACCCTGGGGATATTTGAATCTCAAAAAGGGAGCATGGGAATCTGACAAAGCACTTGCATGTATAAAGAACTCCTCCAAATCAACAAGGCAAAAACCTCATTAGATACATAGGCAAAAACCTCAGAAGAGCCACATCACAAAGGAGCACCTCCAAATGGCCAAGAAGCATATGAAAATATGTTCAATCTCATTAGCCAACAGGGAATTCAAATTAGAACTACACCAGGATGGCTGAAAGTGCAAAGACTGACAATATCAAGGGCTGGTGGGGATGCAGAACAACTGGAACTCTCCTATGCACTGCGGAAGGGGTAAATTAATACCGCCCCTTTGGAAGAACAGTTTAGAAGCATCACTAAAGCTGAATATATTCATGCCTACTCCGGAAATCCTGAGCCCAGGTATATATCTAACAGAAGTTTGTTTATAAAGGCACCAAAAGTCAATTACACAAGATACAAGAATGTTCATAGTAGAGCCGTTTGTATTAGTCATAAACTGGAAACCACCCAAATGCCCATCAGTGGTGAGTAGATAAATAAAGTGGGGGTAATTTAGACAATGAAAATGTGTATAGCAATGAGAATGAATAGAGCACTGTCACCTGCAACAACATGAACAAATCTCACGAAGGTGATGTTGAGTGAAAGAAGCCAGATACGTAAGACAGCACGCTCTGACGCCATTAATTTCAAGTTTGAAAACATGTAAGCCTTAAGTCTGTGGTGTTAAGAAGTCAGGACAGGGGTTGCCTTTGAGAAGGAGTGGGGCAAAAAGGGACTCTGGGAGTGCTGGTAAAATTCTGTTTCCTGATCTGGTGACAGTTATAGGCTATGTTCACTTTGCAGAGATTTATGTTGTACATAATTGGTTAAGTTTTGCATCTTTCTGTATGCATGTTATACTTCAACAAAAAAGAAGTTTACTTGAAAAGGAGGCAAGTAGAGCTGGGCATTGTGGCTCACACCTGTAATCCTAACACTTTGGGAGGCTGAGGCAGGAGGATCACTTGAGCCCAGGAGTTTGAGACTAGTCTGGGCAACATAAAAATATTTTTTTAAAGAAAATTACCTGTGTACAGTAGTGTGCACCTCTAGTCCCAGCTAGTCAGAGGCTGAGGTGAGAGGATCGCTGGAGCCCAGGTAGAGGGTGCAGTGAGCTGTGATCGCACTGCTGCCTCCAGCCTGGGCGACAGATGGAGACCCTGTCTTTAAAAGAAATTAAATTAAAAATAAAAAGAGGACAGTAGGGGGAAAGCAGTATGGAAAGACAATGCTCAGCCCAAAGGGGTGAGTAGGGGACTCTGCGACTGTGTTTACTGGAATTTAGAGACAGTCTCTGGGAGGGAATGGAAGGGAAGGAAGCAGGTGGGGCAGAGGGAGAGGTGGGGTTTCAGTGCAGGCCAGCCACAGCCTCTCCAATCCCTCAATCCCTTGTAGGAGTCCTGCAGCTAGATGAGTTCCTCAGAGTCATCATGACTTGGGCTGTGATGGCCACACCTTTATACCCCAGCATTGGTCAGTCACTGAATGTGCACTGCCCAGGAAGAGGAGGGATCTCAGGCCTGGCTGCGCTCTGCAGCTGAGGCCGTCTGAAAGGGGCTGGCCTGACTATAGCTCTCCCAGCATGTCCCTCCTTGAAGTGGATCTGGGCGACCACCACAGGAAGCCTGCCACCTGAGTTTAGAAGATTTGGTGGCCTGTAAAGATTTTTTTTCAGATCCCTCAGTCCCAGCATTCCTAGTCTGGTTAAACTCGTCCAGCGGTGCCCAGCACTCATAGGACCTGCTTTGCATCATAGCCTGCAGACAGGCTTCCCACACAGGATCCAATGCCTGGACACACCAGAGGTCTTTGCAGTTTGCCTCTCACACCTCAGCCAAAGCCTCTCCTTGGCCTGGACTCATTTGGTGAAATCCAGCTATCCTGTAAGACTTGAGAGTCACCTCCTCCAGGAAGCTCTCCCAGATCTTGCCCCTTCTACCAGGAAGGCTGGGCCCTTGCTCTTCTGAGTCCCCTCCAAGCACCCTAGCACCCTGCCTTTTATAAAACTCTCATCACACTCTTTGTTTACCTGCTGGTAGAAGTAGACTGAGATCAAGAGATGCCTTGTCACTCCTGATCACTGACACTGCACAACAGTGACAACAATTCTGATGGCTGCCATGTACTGAGCTTTTCCAGCCAGGCTGGCATTTGCTGTGCACATCCATGCCTGAATTTACTAAATCCCAACAACCAACCAACCCTGTGAGGTCAGAGTAGCTACCTTATAAAGCAGGCATGATTGCCCACAATCACACAGCCACTAACTATCAGAGTTAGCACACACGTGGGAGTCAGTTTGAAGTCCTGGTATCCTCTGGAAATGGTGGTCGGGGAAGGAGGGGAGAAAAGGGAAGGGAGGGGTGGGGAAGGAAAGAGAGGGAAAAAGGAAGGAAGAAGGAGCGAGAGAAGAAGAGAGAAAGGAAGGGAGGGAGGGAGGGAAAGAAGGAAGGAAAGAAGGAAGAAAGGAAGGAAGGAAAGAAGGAAGGAAAGGAGGTAGGGCTTTCCATCCATGGCCCTGAGGACTATCAGAGTCCTCAGGCCCATTGGAAGCTGTTTCACATTTGAAGAGGGACTCATGAAACTATGGCAAGCTGCTGAGTGGGAGAGGGCAGTCCCCCAGCCCCTCCCTGAGCCCCGCCCATCTCTGTGTTTCCAGAACCTCTTGCTCTCCCTGGGATCCTGGCCTGGGGAAATGCAGTCCTCAAATCAAAGCCTGCCTGTGGGAGCAGGTTCATGGGCCAGATCTAGAGCAGGGGCAGGCTTAGTTCACAGTTTTAATCCTGATGTTTACTTTCTTTCTTTCCATTCCTAGTGGCTCCCTTTGAAGAACTGCCTTGGGGTTCATGTTGCAGCATCAAACAGGGATGGAAGATGCATCTTGCTTTAGCAGCAGGAGCCTGGAAAGCAGCTGAAGCCCTGGAGGGTGCCTGGCACACAGAATCTTGTGCTGAGCCCGGAGCACAATGGGAGCGGGCTGGCGGGGTGGGTTCACAGCTGGACTGGGAGCAGCAGACATACAGGCCGTAGGCACAGACATATAAAGACAGTCATGCAGATTGCAGGATGCCTGAGAGCACAGACTCTCACATGCACAAATACGTGCATGATCGCCAGTGTGCATCCAGACAGCCCCACATGCATGCACACGCATGCACACATGTGATGTGTACATAGATGGACACATGTCTATGCCCACAAACACTGCAGAGACACAGAAGTGTCTGGCAAGGAACACTATTTTGTCCTCAATTTTCTGCCAGTGAGAGTCTACTGACTCCATCTCTGAAATGTCTCTACTTATTGTCCCTCTTCTCCACCTGCACCACATCCCTAGTCCCTGAAACTCCCACCGAGACCCCTGGGCAATAGCAAAGTCTGCACAGGATTCCTGCTCCGCCTCTACCCCACCCTTAAGCCCATCCTACATGCAAGAGCAGGAGTTATCTGGGTATCAAGCAAATCTGACCACATCACCTCCCCACTGCTTAAAACCCTTTCCTACAGGATGAAGTTGAAATCACTTGACATCCCATATAAGGCCCTTGACTGTCTGGCATCAGCCATAGTCTGGCCTCAGGCCCTGGCATGGAGTCCCCTGGACTCAGTGCTCTGGCTGAGGGCCTCCAGGATGAAGATACCCTGTGCAAAGCCTCACACTTTTGCTGTTGCTGGGCTCACTGTGTGAAATTCCCTCCTCCCTCCTTCCACCTTCCCTATGCTGAACTGCCACTCCTCCATCCTCCATGGCCAGCTAAGCCAACACCTCCCCACTTCCTCCTGACAACCCAGGCACAGCCACTGACCTGTCCCATGGCTGTCACAGCCCTTTCTTGGGCTCTCAATGGTATCATTGTCACCTGTGTGCTCATGAGCCTCTGCCACTCAACTCCAAGCACATCAAATAAAGAGCTCAAAACATATCGGATACTCAACAAATTTCTGGGTATGAGTGAATGAATGAATTAGTCTGTAAGACAGGATCACACTAGGTGATTGTTCTGGCTACAGAACCTGGGCATGTCCTATATGTAACTCCTATGATCTCAGCCTCCACATAGGTAAAAAAGGGCTCTCTATCTCCTGGCAGAATCTATGGTTCAGACCATGGAGATGTATATAAATAACTGAGCTGAACGGCTAACATGGTGGGCGCTCCACAGATGACAGCCATAGTTACTGTCTTTAACTTCTACTTTTATTTCCAGTGAAGTCTTTCCACTCATGTTTCTTAATTCTCCATCTCCCTCACTGCCTATCCAGTTCAGTGCTGGACTCCTGGAACCAGCTCATTGAAGGTGCATTGTCGGATTGATCAGCTGAATGGCTTCTTAAGGCTTGTTTCCAACCTGAGAACTCTGAGCTGAGTACTGTTCTTCCTCCCTCCCAGCCTCCCCTGAGACTGAAAGCTGAGAGCCATACAGAGATCACTCCTCTTCCAGGCTCCAGAAGCTGAACATCTGCTCCGTTTGGAGTTCTATGCACTGAGCTGAGTTAGGACCTGGGGGGACAGGAACAGCTGAGCCTTTCTGCTCCAAAAGGCAGAGTCATTTCAGCCAGCCACCCAGCAGCTGCCTAGCCCCTCCCAGACACCCCCAGGGATGCTGCACATGTGGCTAGGGTTCCCATAGGAACCTCTGTGGAGACCTGCCATCCCTGCTTCCCCACATCTCCTTTTGGACTCGTGAGAGAGGTTAGGAGGAGGAGGGGAGGGGAAAGGACAGGACTGCCAGGCACTTTCATACACAAACACCCAGTCTCTTAATCCTCACAATAACTCTAAGAAATATGCTATTGTTATCCTTGTGGTACTGACAAGGAAATTGAGGCCCAAAGACATCTAACCCAAGTTCACCCAGGTAACAAACAAGAGAACTGGTCTGCCACCTTATCAGTTTGTACTGACACAGTATCAGTCAGTACCAGCCAGGGATCTCTGGTTGCAAGCCACAGAAACCAACTCCCACTATCACAAGCAAAAAAATTGCTGAAGGACTGTGGTGCCACACCAGAAGGAAAGGAAAAGCTGAAGACACATGATTGGAAAGGACAGGAAGAAGGGCAGCGTCAGGATCTGGGTGCCAGGAACGGACCATCATTTCATTGGAATAAATAAACTTCTATTTTTAAATTCTTTTGTCTCTCCATTTAGGATTCAGGTTTGGGGAGGAAGCTGGGCCCAGTGCCACTTGTTGGCTGGAAGAGGACAGACTACTGTAATTGACAGTCCTACCAAGCCTATATTCAATGGGATAGGGACTGCCCCTCCCTCCAAATTGGGATGCTGTTTCCAGAAGAAAGGGGAATGAATCCTAGGCAGGCGGAATCCCAAGCTCACCTGACTGCACCATGCTGTGATGGGCTGCAGGGTGGGACAGTTTCTATGGCTCTCTCTAACGGAACTAGACCCACTCAGGAGGCAGCAGTGGTTAGAAGATGGGTACTGGGAAGAAGGAAGCTGGAAGTGATGGTCTTCGTTTTTATGGGAACAAAATGCATTTACATCTCAATGTTAACCACCCTGTTAACTGACCTCTCACATCCCAATACTATCTCTCTCTTTTTCTCTTTACCCAGTATTGAATTCCCAGGATCCCAGAGAATTATTAGTCACCAGCCTTGATTGGTAGAAAGAGTCCTAGTCACCTTCTAATATTCTATATGATTTACTTTTGTTAATTGTTCTTTTTTTGTATAGACGGGTCTCACTATGTTGCCCAGGCTGATCTCAAACTCCTGTTCTCAAGCGATCCTCCTACCCCAGCTTCCCAAAGTGCTGGCATTCAAGGTATGAGCCACCATACCTAGCCCATGTTGTTTATTGCATGACTCCCCTGTCCCCTGTCCCCTTTAGAGTGTAAGATCCAGGAGGGCAGTGATTTTCTCCTGTTTGTTCACTGCTGTCTCCCCAATGCCTAAAAGAAGTGACTGGCACAGAGCAGGTGCTCAATAAATATTTGCTGAATGAATGAGGAGGTACCAATCTCTTCAACAGGCATTTGGGATGCAATGATGAACCAGAAGACAGATCCTGACCTCATGGAATTTATAGCTTCCATGACTTTAGTGAGACAGAAACAATTACAAAAACATGTAGCAAAAGAACAAAACTAAAATAATGAAAAATTGTGAAATATATTTTGAAGGAAACACACAAAGGTTTTAAAAAACAGAACTAAGAGGGTAGGAAACTACTTAAGATATGGCAGTCACAGAAGGAAAGAAGGCCTCTCTCAAGCAACTTTTAAATGGAGACCTGAAGGGTGAGAAGGTGCTGACCACAAAAAGTGTGAGGGCCGCTTCTTCCAGGCAGAGGAAAGAGTATGTACAAAGGCCCTGAGGCTGGAAATAACTTGGTATGTCTGAGGAGCTGGACTGTGAAGGCCAGTGTGGTTGGAGCTTAGTAAGCAAGGGCTAGAGGCCTACAGGCTGAGGATGGAGAGTGTGCCAGGCGCTGGGTTGACAGCCCCTTACAGGCGATGGCATGGAGCTTGGATGGCATTCTGGATACATTGGGAAGCTATCAAATGGTTTTTAACATTCGTGCTTGACCCCATTTGCATTTCAAGCTGATCATTCTGGCTACTGGGTGGAGAATGCATGGAGCTAGGGAGTGGGGGACCAGTTCGTAGGCAACTGTGGTGGTCCAGACTGGGGCTGAACTCAGGTGGCCAAGGCTCAGAGGACAGTGGAAACTTTTGAGTCACTTCTCAGTTATAGTCTCCATGACAGGTGCTATCATCAGGCTGGATGGTATCACCCTCCAGGGGCCACAAAGGCACCCCCCCTTACCAGCCCACTCCCAGCCTGTGGGTGATGGATAGACCAACTCATGGTCTGGCTAGGCCCTGGGCCTAAATGACAGGTGACGGATGGGGTTGGAACTAAACGCTCTGAGCCATGTGGCCAATGCACTGTTCCAAGGAAGACTTTGGAGGCAGGAGTTAATTTAAAGAAAGGAGTAGGGGAGCTCAATATCGCTTCCTCCACTGCTCAATTAGTGGAGAGAGCTGCAGGGAGCTGGAATTGTAAAGACCCCCTTAATCATCTCTGTCTGCCTGGCAGCGTGCAGGAGTGTGGCAGGGATAATTGCACCTACCCATTAACAAATGCAATTAAGGCGCCTGGGCCTCTAGCACCCCCTTCTCCAATTAAACAGCAGATGAGGGGCCCGTGGGGGTGGGCTTTAAGATGAATCACTTGAAGCTGGAAACTTGGAGCCTGGAAGTCTGGACAGAGAGGCGATTAGAGATGATAAAATCGTGATGGGGAAGGAGAGACTCATATCCAATACCGGCCTGCTCCAGCTTGAGGCCCAACCCACAGTTGGGCAGATATTCTTTGGGACAAATTAGAAGAAGTTCTGCTTCACACATAAGAAAGTCAATATTTAGAACCCACCAACAACCACTTCCAGCCAAGTGCTTCCCCTTTGCCAAGGACACACTCACTGAGTGTCTAGATACAGGTGAAGACCTGAATAATTCATTTTGATGAGAAACCGTGAGGTCTGGGTATGTTGGCAGGGAGGGTCCAGGAAGGCACGTTCTTGTCCTGTGAAGGGGGATGGGGGTGGAGGAAGGGGACTTCCATTTGTGGGCACCTCTAATATGCCAGGCCTTGTGCTCCCTCCCTTTCCATATGGCATATCCTTTAATTTAATCCAGATCCCACCAGCCTCACACAACAACCACGATCTCTTCATTGCAGTGATGGAATAGAAGTTTGGAGAGCTCAAGAACCTTGTCTAAGATCACATAATTAGCAGGTGGTGGAGCTGGTGGAGCTGGGATTTGAACCCTGGTCTATGTGGCTTCCAATAGGCCACTCCCCTATGCTGAGATGCTTTGAAATTGCAACTGTCAAGATCTTGCCCCTTGTGCATTTTGATGCCCCCATGAGGGTGGACTCAGGGCAACATTTCAGATGTTATTCCCAAATCTCTCCCTGCTCCCCTTGGCTGAATCCCTGAACTTCTGAAACAAGGCCTGTCTGTGGTTCCTGTTGTGGCCTTGAGGTAGGATTTGACAAGTTGTCAAGTCCCGAGGTGCTGACCAACATGCTCATCTCAAGCTGAAATAATAAAATAAAAAATCTCTCCTACCTTAATTGCCTCTCCCTATTCTCTTTATGCGTTTCACCAATTACAAATGCTATGAATCATTATGCATGTGTGGATCATCACTTTCATTTAGCATCTCCACCGAAGCTCCAGGTGCTGAAGTGCATAATTGAAAAGCTCCACGATTTAAGTTTGCAAAGAGGAGGCTCAGCTCCTCTGAACGTCACAGTGTGCAGGTCTCCCCTGCTGGGGCCTAGACAGCAGCCAGGAGGTGACAGCCTGCATCTGCCCGAGAACCCAGCCACACCAAATGAGTGCTGAAGTAGTTCTGCTTTTGCCCAGGGGAGCTCAGGCAGTGAGTAATATGTTTCTAAATTCCCAATTCCCCCATCTTATTTCCTTGGGAACTTTGCTTTTTTATTATTTTTTATTTTATTTTATTTTATTTTGTTGCTACTGTTTTCCTCTGTGGCTTCAGAGAGCAACAAAAGTCACTGGGTTGCCATCTGCTAGTTAACCCCTTCCTTCAAGACCTTCCTGAGCTAACTCCAGGACACCTGTTCCTTTCTGCAGCCTACATTCTTCCTGAGTGTAGGGCTCTCCCAGGTCTGCCTCACTCACTTCTGACTCCATAAAAGCTCCCATAAGATGGAAGGAGAAAGGGGCAGAGATGACCAGCTGCAGCTTGGCCCAGGTGAGGAATGAGCTGCCTGTCTTTAACAGCAGCTAGGCTCTATCCTAGCTGCCAGAGGGAGGGCTGTGTCTTCTCCTGCACCCCCATAACCTCTATGACATTGCTGGGCATTTAGACATGGCCATGGAGTCCTTCCTCTCTCCTCCCCTCCTTTCTTTCCCAAGCATTTCCCAAATGTCTACTATGAGTCTGCCTAAGTCCAGGGGCTGAGGACTGAGCAATAAATAAACCTGCTCCCTGTCCAGTAGGAGAGACACTCCAGTAAGAAACATATAGTAATAAATACAATGTGAGAAGTTTTTCCATAGATGGAGGAGCAAAGACTTCTCTCTGGGAGCAGGGAGGAGGGAATACTGATTCAGCTGGGAGAGGCAGGCATTTGCATTCAGTCTTGAAGGCTGAATAGGGCAGGGTAGGCACAGTGATTCCAGGTACGGGAAAAGCCTAAGCCAAGTAAAGAAAGGCACAAAAGACATGGCATGTTCCATGCCACCTGGGCCCTGCTGCTTCCAGGGCCCTCGAATCATCAGAGTTTCATAGAGCCAGCCCCAAAGGGGAGGATGGCTCTACCCCCTCAGATGTCAGCCCCTTGAGCCAGATGGGAGCGCTCAAGGGCTCGGACACATGCCCCTCCACTTCTAGTTAGGTTGGAGTGGAGGTGGGGAGGCCACAAGACACCTGGACTGAGGCCAGCATTCCAGATTCAGGGAGTGCCCTTGGCACACACATCTTGGATGACAACCTACTTCTAGCATAGTCTGGCCAAAAGTAAGGATGCGAATGCACGCACGTATACACACACAAAAACACATACACACACAGAAGCTGTGGGCACAGCTCCCTGGACCATCTCACTGCCACCCTCCTGCCCTTCCATGAGCAGGTTCCCCTTCACACCAAACTGAGCACCACCAATCACCTGATGCCAAACAGATGGCGGGAAAGAGTTCTTGCTCTGAGTGGGGATGGCGGCAAGGTCACTGCTGATGCGTGAGGGGCTGGGCTGCAGGGCAGTGAAAAATCAATGGATCACTTCCCTCTCGTCACTTTTCTGCCACAGATTGAGCTGAAAGATAGTTCAGCTTGGAGCTGAGAAGCAAAGTCTGTAAGGTTTACTCTCTCATACCTTTTTATTTTCCCTCTTCTTTTCACTTTCTCAATTTTCAACCTCCATTCACTCTTCTCTTTCTCCTCTACTCCATCTTCTCTTTCCTTTGGTGCGGGGAGGAATGGGGATGATGAGGGGACTATGGGTGATGGGAAAAAAGAAAAGCAGCCCCTGTCATTTAGAAGCTGGCCTGACCCTTGCAGCTAAGCCATGCTATTCTCCTCTTGGATCTAAACAATCTCACAGCATACCAGCCTCAGACAGATTAACTCCGAGGCCAAGATAAAATGAAATGAAGCAAGGTGACTTCATAATTTTACCTAAGGTCAGACAAGAATGAGGTCACTCTGCCACCCACAAAATACCAAGTAGCCCCTCTCTTGGCCAAGATGAATGACTGCTACTTCTTTTCTATTTCAACTTTATCTTCATTCTAGTCTTTCCCATAGTCCCTAGAGATGAGATTTATTGAGATACCCAATCATAGAATTGCCCCTGCTTACTGACAGCATCCAATCTAGAGTAACCTTCACTTCCTTGGACCCCTTCCCAAGTTGTCCCATCAAAGCCAAGATTCTATAATCAATTCTAATATCCTCTCTTGGAGAGAACACACCCCATGGTTTCCCATGCTGTGCCTTCTCCCTCTCTGCAGTAAGCGATAAACCCAACTGGTTTAACTGTGTTCCTGGCAGTCTTTGGTAAATTACAGGACACTGGCAAAATTGGAGGTCCCACCAAGATTCACCTGAGACTTTCATAGCTTTAACCAGGACCCTGACTCAGTAACAGTTCACATATCGTGGAGGGGCGGGCCTCAGGCACTGGTATGTTTTAAAGCTCTGTAGGTAATTTTAAAAGGCAACCTGGGTTGGGAGTTGGTGGGGAACAAGTTGCTTTAAGAGTCTCTGGTGAGGGTCAGAGGGCAATGCCTCTAAATCACTGAGTTCGGGACCTGGCCCATGGTGCCCAGTCATTGTTGTTGGCTTCTGTGACTTATTCACTCTGCTGTCCCTCTCAATAAGCTTTTGTTGAATGAAAAATGTAATAGGTCTCAAACCATGCTGCCATTTTCTCCCCAAACTATTTTTCCCCTGGCTCCAGTGTTCTCATGGCACTGGAGGCTCTGATTCATCCCATCGCCCTGACCATGTCTCCCATCAGCCCCAGGCCCTGCTTCCCTCTTCAGGCAGGACCTCTTGGCACCCCTTCCTTTCTGATTCCACTTAGTAGCTTGAGGCTCTGTGGTCTTCTCTGTGCAGCTCACCATGGCCAGAACAGATCTGTCTAGATATTGGCTTGACCATGTCATGCCTCTGGCTCAGATACCCCTCATGGATCCTCATCACCCCCTAATAAAGTCCAAACCCTTGTCTTGACATTTAAGGCCTTCCATAATCCAGCCCTACCTCACGCATGTATCATACTTAAAGGTTATACCTAGTAGCCCCATGGACATCCTTCATGCCCTCAAATTATTGTGCTTTGCTTGTGCTGGGCCTGCTACATGAAATGCCCTCCCATCATTATGTCTGTATAAAGCCTGCTCACCATTCAAATGCCAGCTCCAATGCTACTTCCTCCATCCCTCATTGCCCATACTAAAAGGGACTGCTGCCCCTTTATGATCTAAAACTATCCTCTTTAAAAAACAAACAAACAACAAACAAAAAACTCACTTGTGACCCTTTATCACATGTTAACCTGAATTGTGACTATCTTTATTCACCTTTGATCTATGTGGGATGGGAGCCATTCCATACCAGTAGGTTAAGAATCTAGGCTTCGGAATCAGGAAACCCTGGGATTGTAATCCTATTCCCTCCTGTTAACTAGTTCAGTGACCTTGGGCAAGTCTCTTAACATTTTTGAACCTCAACTTCTCATTCACAATGAGGGGAGCCTGATAGGGTTATGGCGAGAAGTACATGAGATAATCACATGTGTTGAATGCCTTGCACAGAATGTGGCGGATATAATAGTTATTATAATTACAATAAGAATAGTTATCATTGCTAGGTTGAAGTCTCCTAGAGGAGGGTGCCTCAACTTTAGTGTGCACACAAATCACCTGGGGATCTGGTTAAAATCCAATGTGATTCAGGAGGTCTGGGGTGGGCCTGAGATTCTGCATTTCCAACAAGCTCCCAGGTGGTGCTGATGCTGCTGGTCCAAGGATTACACTTGGAATAGCAAAGTCCTAAAGAGCAAGGCTCATGTCTAGTGTAGCAATATCTCTCTTGCAGGATCTAGCATGGTTTCCTGCACAGAGTAGGGACACCACCATTTTTTTAAATGAATGCATCGTCTTGATGATGGTAGGGATGGTATTGCACATAGCCTTCTTTGCTCGGAAGATCACACACACACTGCATACACACACCAGCTAATCTAACCTTGCATAGGACTGAGATTTCCCAGGGGCCCAACTGCTGTGTTTCAGAAATCAGAGCTCTGAGATGGAACCGGCTGTGCACTAACCTTATAGCCCTGATTAATTCCCTCCCTTTGTTTGCCTCATTATCATGATTAGGTTCTGCCCGTAGCATAGCAACGGCTAATTGTAGGCTGGTTGCAGAGTGCATAATTCCTGCTATTAAAATTTTATCGAGGCTTAATTGTGCTCCTTTTTGCTGCGGCGAAGCTTCAAAGTTTCAGAAGAGAGGGGATGTGGTTAGTGGGAACTGATGATGTTTTAATCTTAGCAAGCCCTGTAAAACCCTACTCTGCAATATCATTGACCTTGAGATGGTTTCCTGTGGCCAGAAAGAAGCCCATCATTTATTTATTAACCCACCAGAAGGTCTGCAAACATCCCCTGTGGCCAGGCGGAAAGCATATTATAGGTCAAATGCCATTACAGAAAGCCCCAAAGGGCTGGAAGACCAAAGAGTGTGGCCGTGTGGGCATTAGGGTGGGGGAGGTTCGGTGGGGAGAGCTGCACTTTGCACGTGGAAGTGGGTCAGTGTGCAAAAAGTTGTGTCACTCCTTAGACACCCAGTGGCCTCTCAGTGGACCTCCAAAACCTGCAGTAGAATTGACAGGCTTTCAAGGCATTTTCCAGGAACACACCAAATTGCCCAACTTGTGCTTAGTGGGAGGTGGAAAGAAGTGAACCCATTAGCAGGTACTTTCCACAAATGGTTTCCAAACCCAACTGATCACTAGTATTACCTGGGGAGTTTGTTAGAGCTGCACATTTCCAGGCTCCAGCCCAGACCTACGGATTCAGAGTAGGGAGGGAGGCTGGAAGTCACTCCTCAGGTGGCGCACTTATGCTGAGCCACTTTGGGAATCCCTTACCTGTGGAAAGAAGGGGCTTCGGCAATGTAAAAAAGACAGCAGAACGAGCTGCTTCTTGGGGAGGGGTCCACCTACTCAGCTTAGCTCAAACTGGAGCCACAAGGCCTAATGATATGAGATGGCTCTAAGTCAGTGCTTTTCAAATAGAAGTGTGCATCAGAATGCCCTGGAGAACTTGCTAAAACACAGGTTGCTGGGCCCTACTCCCCACAGTCTCTAATTCCTTAGGTCAAGGGTAGGGCCTAAGACTTTGCATTTCTAACAAGCTTGCAGGTGGTGCTGCTCTAAGGACCACACTTTGAGAACCATCGCCTTTGGTGATTCTCCAAATCTGAAATCTGGACCAAATGTGACTCTTTGAAAAGGACTCAGTTGTGTTTCTCAGTCCTCGCATTACAACACTGCTCTACGTGAAGACTCCATCCTTGTGTCTTGAGCATCTTTCTATAATCCAGAAACAGTGGCATTTGTCATCAATCAAGCTTTGACTTGAGATATTATGAAGGCGGAGTAGAGCCTGGGGTTTTGTTTTTAAACACAGTTAAATGCAGATAAATCCACTGCCATTTTACCCTTATTAAGTAAAGCAAGGATTTTAAAAGGACATGGGATTTCAGGCACCACTTAAACAAAGGGCAAAGCATTATTTGATGAGCTGGCCTCAAGCTGGGAAAGGCTTTAGATAATACACAATGATAGAATTATGGTGAGTGGAGAATAACAATAAGCACATTTGATGGAGAGGAGATGAATTGTGGTGAATTGTGGGTGCGGGGAATGGTGAAAGGGAGAAAATTCAGAGTAAGTGTAAAGAAGGGGTTGTAACTCAAAGGCTAGGCAGATCACAGAAATGCATCAGGCAGACAAGCCAGACCACCATTAAAACCCATGGCTCCAATCTGAATGAGACTATATGGAATGGTGAGGACTGTGGTAAACTGGACAGTCCTGGGCCCTCTAACAAGCGGAGGCCTCAAGTCAGCTCTTGCCAGTTGTTGCCATGAAAGAATGTGGGCCCAGGAGTGCTTGCCCTTCCTTATTTTCAAAAGAAGCTTGGAATGTGGATTCTAAGATAAAATTTCCCTATTTTAAAAACCTTTGCCCCAATCATAACATGCCTGTAGGCTATCAGTTTACAATAATAGTTTAGAAGTTTTAAATCCTAATTCATAGGGATGTTATTTTGGAACTGGGAATAGACCAATATTTTTTCCCTTTTTTTTAAGGAGGGAAGGGCAGGTAGTTTATAAGGAGAGGGAAAAAAAATGAGTAAGATGGGGAAGGAGGATGAAATCATGGAAAACATGGTGGAAAAGACTTCACTACTCAGGCGGAGCTTGGAGGTTTACACAGTGCTCTCTTCTCCTCTGTATAAAGAATATATCACTCTGCAACATCCCTGGTGTACCACACTATTAGTTTGGTGACCATTGTGGAGTCCCCTCTCGCAATGACTGGGCTTGGCCAGCAGGACATTAGCAGGTATGATGCCCGCAAAGCTTGTCAAAGACTTGCACCCTGAAATGCACGCTGTTGGACATCTCACTTGGGATCCAGCTGCTGTGTGGAAATGCCATGAGGAAACGTATGGAGGAAAGAGAGGTCCCAGCCTTTCAACTATACCTGTCAAAGTGCCAGGCATGTGGCTGGGCACGGTGGCTCATGCCTGTAATCCCAGCACTTTGGGAGGGGCCAAGGCAGGCGGATCACCTGAGGTCAGGAGTTCGAGACCAGCCTGACCAACATGGAGAAACCCCATCTCTAGTAAAAATACAAAATTAGCCGGGCATGATGGCGCATGCCTGTAATCCCAGCTACTCAGCTGAGGCAGGAGAATCGCTTGAACCTGGGAGGTGGAGGTTGCGGTGAGCCGAGATCGCACCATTGCCCTCCAGCCTGGGTGACAAGAGTGAAACTCCATGTCAAAAAAAAAAAAAAAAAAAAAAAAGGTGCCAGGCATGTGAGCAAAGCCAGCTTGGATCCTGGTTGTAACTACATGACAACCCAAGAGAGACCAGCAGAAGAATTCTCTAGCCCAGCCTCAGTCAACCCATAGAATCATCATAATAAAAAGATTGCCTTAAGTCCCTAAGCTTTGGTGTTAAGCAGTGAAAACTAACAGAAACACTTAGTACGTAGCTGGCCTATGAATCAGATAGGATCTTGTTTGGTTAGACGTAACAGAACACCTGATAAATAGTGACTTGAGCAAGTAAGAGGCTTATTCTCAGGCAACAAGAAGTCTGCTTTTGTTTCATTGGTCAGAACCAGCTGCACCAAGGGGGACTGAGGAAGTGTGATTAACTGGGCACATTGGTATTCTGAACAAAACAGGGTTTTTGACTAGTAAGGAAGAGGGAGGAATAGGTGTATATTTTGCAGTGTCTGCCACAGCCGTCTTACTAAAAAAAGAACAAACGTGTTTCTCTCATGATTTTTCCCTTCTGTACCAAATTTAGTCATAAAACCACAAGCCCAGCAACCCATACAGCCAGCACACATTTATCCCATGTTTGAAGGAAGAGGTCTCATCTTGATTTAATGGCTCAGCATTTTGTATTTGTCTGCCTGCTTCTTCCAGGTTCATTTCATAAAGAGCTGATTGATCTTGAACTTGATGCAGCCCATTGATACCATCACTACTAATAAAAGGTTTCAGGGCAATCAACTTTAAATTGGAAGCAATGGAGATGAGCAAACATTTTCAAATGAGCATATCTTCTGCAAAACTTAGCAGACTTCCAGGATGGTTGGTACAAGAGAAGAGGTCATAGAAGAAGCTAAATATAAAGTTTGCAGTTCTCATAGTTAGCCTGTGGCCATTTCAAGAGTTAGAAGCGCCTTGGCGGGAGTGGGGGGAGAAGCAATAAAAGAAAATGAGATTGAAATTCACTCATTTTCTTTCTTTTTAGCAACTTCTTGGAGAGAGGAAAAGGAGATGAATGAGACATAATATCACAGAACTTAGACTTGGCAATGCTCTCAGAGATGAATTATCCAGCCTTTCACTGAATTGCAAATAATAGTAGCTAGAATTTATTGAGTGTTTATCACATGCTAAGTGTTATGCAAAATAATTTACTGGCAATCTTTGATTTTACCTGCACCCCATCTCTAAAGGGTAGTATGATTTTAATGTCCACTTTACAGACATCAAGTTAAATAACTTGTTCAAGGCCATGGTAAATAAATGGGGGTACCAGATTTCCTGGCTATGTGTATTGCCTCTCCTTACTTCTTTTGACCCCATCCCATAACAATCTCTGCTCACCTCTTCCAGGTCTCCATTCCTCTAGACAACTCATTCCTATTTGAAAAACCCATCCTATTAAGTTGAAGTCCGCTTTTCTGAATCTCTCATCATCTGGTCTACCCTCTGGAGCAACACAGGCTGATTCCTCTGACCTACGATAGTCCTTCCAATAATGCATCCTCTGAGCTTTTTCTTCTCTATGCTAAACGTCTACAGCCATACTAACCGTTCCCTTCTTAAATGCTGTGTTTCTTCTTCTATGTGTACTGTATTCAAGGACCGCAAATTCAAAGTTCTACAGACACCAGGATAGTAATGAAAACAAATAGAGCAGGGTAGGTATGGTAAAATCATATGGCTGCCTCACTCTTTCATTCTCCCACTTTTCTTAGAGACATGGATATAGAGATGCTTTCCTCTACAAACCCAGTGATAAAAGGCAACGAGCACTCAACCTTGCTACTGTGGGACAAGAGGGAGTGGTGAGCACTTTGGCAAACTGGCAGCAGATGCTTGATCTAAAGGACACAGGTGCTACTCAGAGCCTGCCAGGTGTTTATAGTAAAGGAGGGTGACAGCTTCTCTGAGCTTTTCCAAAGCTACTGGAACTCTGGGTTTTCATTTGAAAACTTTTCATCTTTATCAGATTTTTTTTCAATTTTTCATTTTTTTACAGTATCGTGTGGCCGAAACAATATTCTACAGGCTGGATCCAGCTCCTGGGCTGCTGTTTGACAACTGATGTTGCTGGTCACCAGCTGGACTCACTCCCCTGATGAAGTCTAAGGCCAGTGGAACTCACCCTTCACTAAACCTACACACCACGCTTCTAGGAATGCAGACTAAATTTGCAATCATTTTTCCAGCAGTTGTGTCATATTATACTTTAAATTCACACGAAACTGGTGGCTAAGGACCTGCAAGTCTTCATGTGAGTGTTGTCCAGCCTGACCTCTCAAACCATCTTGTGCAATGATACGTTGAACCTACCTGCATGGCTTTGCATTTATCTCTGTTGGTCCCCATTCTGTCTTACAGAGTTTGTGCTATTTTTCCCCAACCTGCTTTTGGCACAGCTTTGAACATTACTTCTTACATGAAATCACCAGCTGGATTCAGTAACTCAGTGAAGTCTGACAAGTCCTAAAGGCATTAATACAATTTTTGATTAAGCCTGGACAACATAGTGAGACCCTGATCTCTACAAAAACATTTTTTTAAAATTAGCAGGGCAGAGTGGCACGTGCCTGTAGTCCCAGCTACTCGAGAAGCTGAGGTGGGAGGATCACCTGAGCCCAGAAGTTTGAGGCTACAGTGAGCTATGATCATGCCACTGCACTCCAGCCTGGGCAACAGAGCTAAAACCTAGTCTCAAAAAAACTTGGCTAGAAATGTGATGCTCCAAGGTACCCCAAATGTCACCAATGCACTAATGAACACCCCTTGCCTTCAGAGTAAAAAGAAACTAGCCTATGTTCAGCACCTGCCACGAGCTCAAGACTGCCCAGTTCCCTCATTCTCACTTCCCATCTAATGCAGAGACCCTTCCAGCAGCTCTGCCCCAGTGACCAAGGAAGAAACCCCAGGCTGTCCTCCAGATAAGTCTGAAATCTCCACTCTGGTCTGGAATTCCAAGAATGATTCCTGATTGAACTGTATATTTGGTTCTAGGTCTCAGGTTCACCCCTGGGTATAGGCCCACACTCTGCAGCCCCAGGATCACTGGCCCCTGCCCAGTGTCCAGCCCAGGCAGCTAGCCATTTGCCTGTGGTCTGAGACAGCTCCTGCTTGTCCAGGAGGATATACACTGTGCCAGGCACTGTCCATGGCACTGCAACATTCATTGTTTCACTTAATGATGAACCCATTTACACATTTACTTCCACTGCCATCTGGCCCACGTTTTTCAGTTGAGCCTTTGATTTATCAAGGAACTTGTATCATTGATGCTCTTCCTGCCTCCCTGTTATTGTAACTGAGAGCAGAGCACCAAGCTGTTTAGCAGCTTGCATAAAGACAGCAGCACATGCTCACTCAAATTCCCTCCCTTTTTTGAGCTCTTTGTGCCTCATTATTTTCATTGATAAATGAGGTTGTTGTGAGGGGCCCATTAGTAGATATTAGGCAGTTGTAACAGAACTGGGTATGTAGTGGGCACTCATGAATGTTAGCTTGAAGGAGAAGCAGTTGAAGAACTAGTCATGGTCATCTCCTGGACTAGCCCCCAGTAGCCAGAGGGAACACCTCTTTATAAGGAAATGTCACCAATCTCCTACCATCAACAAGCTCAGCAGCAGGCACTCCAAGTTGTTTTTCTGTCAAAGGGAAAGATTTGGTTCAAGCCATCTGTGTGGCCCAATGGATGGCCAATGGAAGACCCAGCATGGTCAATTACCTTACCCTGTGGCTTTGGATCAATTGCTTAACCTCTCTGGGCCCAAGTTCTTCATCCACAAAAAGGAAATACTAATATATAGCTTACAGAATTATGGTGAGAGCCAAATGAGATTGAGAGTAAAACACCTGGCACATAGTAGGCACTTGATATAGTAATGATGATAGTGGTGATGATGAAAATACCCAGACACATGTATTGTCAGTGAATCTTCCCAGTGAGCAAAAGCAGCCTTCCTTTTTTTGTCCTGTCAGATTTGCAAAAATTAAATTACAAACTTATTGCATGGTCATTATTTTTAAAAGCAAACACAATACAGGCATTTATAAACTAAAATAAAAGTTGGAGTCCTCCTCACTCCCATTCTACTCTTCAGAAAGAGCCACGTTAACTGTTCGGTTCATGCCCTTGCTGATGTTTTCCTACACAAACACACACACACACACACACAATTTTAAAGCAACATTGGGATCATACTATGCATATTGTTCTGCACCTTGCTTCTTTCTCAAAGCAGGTGTCATGGCCACTTTTCCAAGTGAGAGTACATGGAGCTAATCCATTGCTATGGGCTGAATTGTGTCCCACCCACAAATTCAGATGTTGAAGCCCTAATCCCACAGTACTTTAGCATGCAACTCTGTGTGGAAATAGGACCTTTAAAGAGGTAATTAAGTTAAAATGGGATTATTAGGGTGGACCCTAATCCAGTATGACCAATGTCCATATAAGAAAAGGAGATCAGGACCGGGTGCAGTGGCTCACACCTGTAATCCCAGCACTTTAGGAGGCTGAGGCAGGTGATCACTTGAGGTCAGGAGTTCAAGACCAGCCTGGACAACATGGCGAAACCCCATCTCTACTAAAATTACAAAAAATTAGCTGGGCGTGGTGGCAGGCACCCGTAATCACAACTACTCAGGAGGCTGAGGCAGGAGAATTGCTTGAACCCGGGAGGTGTAGGTTGCAGTGAGCCGAGATCATGCCACTACACTCCAGCCTGGGTGACAGAGCAAGACTCTGCCTCAAAAAAAAGAGAGGAGATCAGGACACAAATAGAAAGAAACACCAGACATGCCCACACAGAAGATGACTATGTGAAGACACAGTGGGAAGGCTGCCATATGCAAGCCAAGGAGAGGGCCCTCAGAGGAAACCAACCCTGCTGATACCTTGATCTTGGACTTGTAGACTCCAGAGCTGTGAGGAAGTAAATTTCTGATGTGTATGCCACCCAGTTTATGGTATTTGTTATGGCATCCCTAGCAAGCAAATGCATCCATCCTTTCTTAAGAACCAGAGTATTCCATTTTATAGATGGTACATAAAATGTGTTGTGGACTCTTATGTTTTTTCCAGTTTTATGCTTATTACTAAGAGTGCTTCAAGTAATATCTTTGCAATATACTTTGTGTACATATGTGAGGATATTTGTAGGTTCTGTTCCCATACAAGGAATGACTGGGTTGGAGGATATGCACATTTTAAATGATGTATGAATTTACTGTACCAATGAAAACTCCAGTAGTGCAGGCAAATTCCTGCCTTTCTATACCCACCAAAGCATAATTTCAAGGACTTATATTCTGTGGCCATTAAAATATAATGAAATTGACAATCCAAAAAAGTCTGACACTCTTGACCTTGGCTTTGCTCATACTGACCACCGCTGCCTATGCCAGGACCTTGGCCCCATCAGCCACCTGCGAGAACATACAACCTTCCTAAACAGAGAAAGCTCTCACCAGACTCTTCACTGTGAAGGCAAACTTGATAACAACAAATGCCCATGCTTCAAATAGAAGCATTGATTTTCATTTTTTAAGAGTATAAATAGATTTGAATCACACATAGTATATTGGATTTGGGAAGAAAATATTTCATGACAACCTGCCAATATATTTGTTTTCTTATCTTTCAACAAATAAGAATGGAGATTAAAGACTGCTGAAGTGAAGAGAAGCTGACAATGCCACTCAGAATGGCCATTCTGATACGCATTGAAATTTCGGAAATGTAGGCTCTAGAAAATATATATATATATTTAAAATTGTTAACTGTAGCACTACTTTAGCTCCATCATAAGCTTCTTTTCACCCTTCCTCCTTATTCCCCTGACACAAGTCATGTTTTTCTCAAGACTGACATAATCAATAATCTCTCCAAAAGAGATTCCTGGATCTCAAATCCCGGAAATATGGGCGGGGGGTGATATTGTGTTTCTGTTTTCTCTTTGCTGAAAGAACAAAAACAAAAAAAATAATGATAGTTGATCCATGAATAAAGTACAAATGTGGCCTATTGTCTTAAAGGTACAGGGACCCAATCCACCCCCATGCTGTGAAAGTGACCCCAATGGCTATGGATCATTCTCATCCCCTGAATCTTGGGGCTATGTCTGTTGGTCCAATATGTCCTACAAACTAAATAGGCAGTGGAAATTTAAGTAAATAGTATTCATTAACATTGTGATCATGTGTGGCATTTTCTATTACTAAATGATCCTAGTACACAGATTATTCACTTAAATAATCAATCACTGTCAACAAATTACAGGATGCAGAGAATGAAATTAGCAAAATGAACTATGAATGTAAAATTCATTTGAAATTCAATTTAGTGACAACGTTAGCTTTCAATTAGTCTGCCCAACTGTTTGAATGTCTTCCTTTTGCATTGATTTTTAAAAAAATGTAATTAACCTTTTTACTGTTAAATTGCTGTTGGGTGCAACAATATCATTGTTACATGGCTCCTATTGCTGGGGAGTGAAAGGATTAAATGATGAGTCAGGATGAGGGCAGTGGAGTGGGGCTTCTCCTCATGACTGAAGGGCTGGGGAATAAGAGGAGCCCAGGAGCGGGAAATGGATGTTGTTTGAGCTGAGGCTTCCCCCACGGGTGTCCGGTATTGCTGCTATTGTCTCTAGATTCTTGGAGAAACCTTCTCAAGACCATCTCCTGCTCCAGATTTCTTGCTCCCTATTTCACACAAAATGGTTTGTATTCTACATTTCCTGTCAACTTCCCAGAAAACTCGGCCCCTTCTCTCACTACCTTATTTCCTTTCGTGATTCTCTGACACCTTTTATTCAATTGGTCTGGCTGGAGAGCTGGAGTGTCCCATCAGACTCCAGCTCCTTCTCAGCTCCCACAGACAGTGCCACCTCTTCAAGTCTTCTTCCAGTCGAACTCGGCCACTCTCTTCCTGCTTGTGTCTGTGGTGGCCACAGTGGTCTGGGTCCTCATCGCCACTTGCTTTGTTGCAGCATTGCATTGTGGCAACCTCACCTCTACCCCACAATCCACCCTGCACACTTCTGCCAAGCTTTAACAGAGCACTCCCAGACTCAAGACCCCGCCGCCGCTCCCTGCTGCCTCTGCGACTGAGCCCAAGCCTCCCTTCAAAGGCCACCCCTCACCACCTGTGGGGCGTGGGCTCCCCCACTTCCTCTGCCTCTGTGCCCCTCGAGTACAGGTTGCCCACTTCAAATTAGCCTCCTCCTTAGCCCAAAACGTGTTGTGCACTTTCCTGCCCTCACACCTTTGTTCTTGCCAGCTTCTCACCTGGAAAGAAAACACCTTCCATTTCTCTTTCTTAGTAAAATCCTTCTTACCCAATGCCCAGCTCAAACCTCACATCTGCCAGGAAGCCTTCCCTGCCACACCCCAGGCTCCAGTGATCCGTCAGCTTCAAACGGTTCAAGAACTTATTGCCTGGGACATTCCTTTTGATCTTTAATAACACGCTTTGTGATTTTCCTCTGCACTCTCAGCTGAATTGTACATTCTTTGAAGGTAGGGACACGCCTTGTGGTTCCTGCTTCTTGCCGACAGTCTTGCTTAATGGGCAATGGCTTTTCTAAGCCTTTTTTGAAAAAGGACGGCACCAATCTCTCTCATCTACTGTGTTCAGGACTGTCTTGAGGGGGACAGCTCAGCTGTGGTGAGAACCAGGAAGCCTATGCATTGGAGCAGGGTGTGGTGGGTGGGCTGGCCGGGGTTACGGTGAGGCAGGCAGCCTCAAGGAGCAATTACAACATGTGGACACGGTAAAACTGTCTCTTGTCAGCTGCACTGGCTGAGATAATCTTGGTTCTGAACCACATCCCTGCCTGTTCCAGATCACCCATTATCTCTCCAGAGCTGCCGCCACTGCTGGGAGACACAGGAGTGTTTAGCTGTGCCAGGGGTCTGCAGATAGAGGCAGTTTCTTATCCCGTCTTCACGAGGAGCTGCAGGGAAATAAGTCACACTTAGACATTAAGAGGCCTCCATCCTTCAGCAGCCTGGCAGCAGAATTCTTTATGGGTCTGAGGAGAATCTCCATGAATTATTGGGATTCATCCCTAAGAACCCCATGGGGATGTGGCCCGGATGTTGAACCTGTTCCTTCTTAGGTCTGAGAATAGAAAGAAACAGCCTCACTCCTCTCTGAGCGGTAGCTCCCTTCCCTTAGCTTCCAAAAGCCAACTCAGTTCTCCTTGGTACTAGCTAGCTGCCATTTATGAAGCCATCGTTTGTGTGCCAGGAGCCATGCCAAGTGCGTCACATATTTTATCTCGTCGAATTTTCATAGCACCCTACAAAGAAAAGTTCTCATTTTAGAGATGGGATTCCTTAGGCTGGGGGCAGTTAGCAAACACAGCTGGTCAGCAGAGCTGAGTCCAGATTTCCTCTTTCTTTTTTTGAGACAGGGTCTCTCTCTGTTGCCCCGGCTGGAAGTGCAGTGGCATGAACACAGCCCACTGCAGCCTTGACTTCTTGGGTTTACTTGATCTTCCCACCTCAGCCTCCTAAGTAGCCAGGACTACAGGCACATGCCACCATGCCCAGCTAATTTTTTAATTTTTTTGTAGAGGTAGGGTCTCATCATGTTGCCCAGGCATGGTAGCCTGAACTACATCCCTGACTGTTACAGACCACCCCATTACTTCTTCAGAGCTGTCGCCACTGCTGGAAGACACAAAGAATGGGCAGCCGCTCCAAAGGCGAACTCGTGGGCTCAAACAATCCTCCTGCCTTGGGCTCCCAAAGTGCTGGGATTACAGGCGTGAGCCACTGCGCCTGGGCCAGATCCCCTCTTTCAACCACCACACAACCTGCCTCCTAACCCAACAGGTCCAGAATCCCATCTCCTCTGGGAAGGCCCCCACCTTCAGGTTGCCTAAATCATGGGATTGCTGCCAACATCCATCACTCGTTTCTTTCTGGCCTGTTATAAAATGATGGCATCAGGTGCTTCTCCTGACATGTGGGCTATGAAAATGTGTGGATCCGGGATCACCATGCCATGTTTCCCATGAACTAAGTATTTGGGCAGGAATCAGGTTGTCCACCTCCAAGCCTGGCTGGCTAGACTCTCTTCAGGGTGTCAAGACTTAAAATGAGGGTCTAGGTGGGTTTTAGGTCATTGTGGGTGCTGTGTTGCCTTTCCCCCATCCCATATACTCTTTGGGATACCTTTGAGATAAAGTCAGCAGGGCAAGCTCTTCCCAGTCCCTTTCTTGGATTTAAGTTCTGGCTTCACACATGCTGGGTGCCTTAGTAAAGGACTTAAACTCTTTGTGCCTCAGTTTTCTCCTCTGTAGAATAAAGACAGCCTATTACATTATCTGAGAAGCAAATGAGATAAAGAATATTAAACATCTAACACAATATCTAGCATACTGTGGGTTTTCCACAAATGTTTGTTTCTTTCAGATCCCAAAGAAATAACCATGAGTATAACTGGAACTGGAGAATAAAGTCTGAACAACACACACACCTCAGACTGCATGCCCAACCTCCAGGTGAGCAGGACCCAGGCCCCTCTATCAGCTCTTAGCTCATTTTCCTATTACTAGAGCTCTTACTCAGGCTCAGGGTAGACAGCGCCCTTCCTAAGGAGGCAGAGAGACAAATGGGAGAGGGAAGCAAGACTAGCCCCACCCACTATGCTTCTGCCTTTAAGGACACCGCGGAGGTTGCCTCTCCCCTCCTCCTCAGCTCACTTTGCGTACATCTTACACTAGTACAGACAACTTTGTGGAGGTTTGCAGAGAAATGGAGCAGTAATTGAAGGGAGTAGTGGAGTCAAGGGAGGGCTCTTTAAAGATGGGAGGTGTTATTTAACACATTTAATGATCAAATAGAAAAATTAGTGGAAGAGCAAAGGATGCTTCCACTGAATCTGGTTTGGCCATTTTATCTGGCCTCCTTTCATCCCCCTTGAATTTTAGGCTAAAGTTCTCTTTACCATGTCAGTGACTCCCTTCTTATACTCAGTAGAAGCTGTTCATCCGGTGGAAAAAACTTTGGAATGTGGGTTCAAATCCTGGTTCTGCCCATTATTGGCTGGGTAGCCTCTCTGGGCCTCTATTTCCTCACCATTAAATTGAAATAATAATGCTTTCCTCTTGAATTTGGTGTGAGGATTAAAGGAGTCATGTTTGGCCTGGCCCAGCACTTAGTGGGAGCTCAAAAATGGTCATTGTTGTTGCTACCATTATTTTATTGAAAAGGTTCTTCCAAGTCTTTGTGATATGCACCAAGTCCCTTGTGAGGAGCCAACCATAAACTACAGTCCTCAACACTAATATGTGGGCTCTTATTAGCATGAACAGTGGCTGGGACTTGAGTTTTCACGGTTGTTCTGACAGAGCCCTCCTTACCTAACTCTTTGCATACCTGCCTGGGTTTGCCACTCTCTGTAGGATAGTGTTCCTGGGAACTCCGCATGAGCCTGATGCTGCCTCTTGCACCCTGAATGTGTCAGACAGGGAGGCAGCTTCCCCATCCTGGGCGGGGTGCTGCGAGATGAGCAGTCACTCTGCCTTTTAACCCCCTCCCTGTTCCGTGTTGATGACTGGGCAGGTGGGGGCAGTTGCTGTGAGTGGACGCATCTGCTGTGGCTTGTCAGCCTGTGTCAGACTCGACCCTGAGGGCAGATAGGGTCCCAGCTAATGAAAAGCCTAGAGCCACAGCCTCTGGGGTAGCTCCGCAGCTGCTGTCTCTGTTTTCTTTTTCCTTTTCCTTTGTGCTTGGCAGTTCTGGCCCTCGGCACAGCAAGACCAGCACTAGAGACACAAGCACTGAGGTTCCCTTCTCCAAAGATCAAGTTACAGAACACATTCTCTGGCTCACCTTGAAGAACAAAGACTTGAGAAAAGCAGCCTGCCTGGGGATGAGGAGGCGGCTGCCTGCTTGATGTAATTTCAGGGTCTCTGGAAAAATCTCTTGAGCTCCAAATATTTTCCTGCTATAAACCTGAGAATGCCATCATTGGAGACTCAATCTTTTTACATTTGGAGCAGTGGTTCTCAAAGTGAGGTCTGTCTCTGCCCCATCCCATCCCCAGCAGCATCTGCATGACTTGGGAGTTTATTAGAAATGCAAATTCTTGGGCCCCCACCGCAGACCCCCTGAATCAGAATCTGGAGGAGGGAGTATCTGTGTTTAACTGGCCCTGTGGGTGATTCTGACGCCTTAGTAACCCCACAGAAGGGCACGTCACCCAGGAGGGGGGTACTCATCAGCATTATAGCTCTGATTTACTGCTCAGCTTGATGGACTGTGAGGAGGTGCAGAAAGGGACAGGGACAGGGGAGGGGAGGGAATGTCTTGTCTGGTGTAGAGCAGTCAGACAACCTGGCATCGACTCCTAGCTCCTCCTTCTCCCTCTGTGGCCCTGGGCAAATTACTTCATCTTTTCAGCTTTCCTTTGCTCCACTGCAAAATTCAGCTTGTGCAACCAACTCACAGGGCTGAAGATGAAATGAGATATAGAAAGTACTTTGCACATAATAGGCGCTTAAAGAGTGAGCAGTTGCTCTCTCCAACTCACCCCTACATCCTCTCTGATAGAGAAGAGGTCTATGCTGATTGGCATATGGTAGAAGGGAAGGTACCAGAGGTGGGGATTCATGTATCATAAAGGCATGGACCAGGAAAGAAAGGGGCTAGAAGTGGATGAGATGTCAAGACACAGAAAGGGGAGGAGAAATGAGAATAAGGAGCTCCCCTAGACTCAACTCATCTGGTTTCTTCCATTTTGCAGGGGGTGGTCCTAAGACCAGGGTCTCATAACCTGTGGCCCAGTCTCACCACCACCCTTTCCAGATGGTGGGTAGGGCTGATTCTTTGCTTACCTTCCTCCTACCTCATTCTAACCTTTTCAGGTGCATGACTTAAAGGTCTGAAGTTTCCCTGCAGGGAGATGACTGGTGGAAATATGCAAATGGTGAGCTTTATGGCAACTCAGGATCTTTAGGGTTAAGAAGAGAGCTGACAGTTGGTACAGAGGCCACCATGGTGACCTGACCCTTGCTCAGACACAGCCAACAGGCAGGAAGCAGAGAGCGTCTTAAGAGAAGGAGAAACAGATGTGTGTGCCCCAGAACAGCATGCTTCCCTTTCTTTTAAAGCCTTCACATGATGTCTTGAGCCTTTGATGGCAGAGCAAATTAAGATCTCAGTCTCACTAGGAAGGCTCACATCATATGGCTCTGGGGCAATTCTACCCCCATTTCCCTATCTCTCCATTGCCAGGAATTTCAGAGTCAGTGTTTCATCATTTATGTAAGGGCTTAATCCCTATGAGAATTTTCATCTCCATTAAGCTGTGTTCTGGGCTTGGGTTAGTCAGTCTGGATTCAAATCCCAGCTCTACCATTTGTTAGTTGTTATATTCTGGGTTAAATATTTAAACTCTTCGAGCCTCACTTTCTGCCTTTGTAAAATAGGGACAGCGTTTTATACACACACACACGCACAGACACACATATACATATATATGCTCGTTATTTCAAGGGTTAAACATGTACAGTGCTATTTGGATTTCTTATGAATATATTTCTTTAAAGCTACAAAAAGAGTGGGAGGAGTAAAGACTGAAGGGAATGGTTGAGATCGGGGATGGCTAATAGGTCTCACCTACGAATGTGGGTGGATTCAGAGGTGCCCCAGGTACACTGCATTGTCAGTTTGTGAAGAATCCCAAGGCAGCTGACTGCAGTCTTGGCAGACAGCATGTGACAGTGTGGAAATGTCTGCTCCAATGTGGGCAGGGTCCTGAAAGCATGTGCAAGCCACATTTGCCATCTCTGCTCTAGTTGCTTCCTGCCTGAAGGCAAAAAGACAGGCTGTGACTCTTGCAATTACCTGAGTAGAATTATAGAAGCCATTACCTGGGATCTTCAAAGGCTCCCACAGAGAGAGTAACTTAGCCTCTTAATTGAACACAGCCTCCCAGTATCATTCTGGAACGTTGGAGCTGTCCCCAGTCACAAGGCACAGCCTTCTTAATCTGATAATAGTGTACTCTCCAGGAGGGAGAAGAGAACTCCCTCTGTAGTAGCACCAGACACAGTGCAGTGACACACTGTGAACCAGAAAGATCTTGAAGATGGTTTCATCAGGGTGGGGTGAGTGTTGGGAACCCAGGGGTGGGTGGGACTTAAAGGAATCGAGCACCCCAGGGGAGCCTGAGCTCTAACTCCGTGGCTATTTTGGATATCAATTGCTGCTTTTGTGTGTTTCCCAGCTGGACGTCTGTGAGGCTTGCAGGTGTTTTACATTATTAATCAGCTAGATCTTTTTTCTTCCTAATAATCTAGCCTCCTTCCATACCTGTGAAAGCCCTTTGAAAAACAGGCAGCAGTGCATACATTCAGTGTTTAATGGAAGGGGCAGGGCAGGGCCCACGTTTCCATTAAGCACAGCAGGCTTTGTGCCTGGGGCCCATAGGACTTTCAGGGGCCATGAATTTGTTTTAATTGTGGTTTCTTTTAAAATCAGAAGAAAAAAATGAATATAATAATAATGATATAGAAGAATAAATCCAGCCTACATTATACTTGTCTTTGTACCAATGCAATCATAAAATATAACTTTTAATATTTTGTTATGGCAGAAGGGGCCCCCAAAGGCAAAAGTGCCTAGGGCTGAGGGAAGTCATAATGCAGTCAGTCCTAAGCATGGGATTGGAAAAGATTTGAATGGGGTCTGAAGACAAAGCTGCGGTTCTACCTCAGGCCCTACTGACCCCATGACTTTGGGCAAATCATCCATTTGGGGTTGCAGTTTTCTCTGTGGTCCAGTGTCCTACAACTGCAGGAGAGGACTGAGTTCTTCCCTCCCCTCCTTTTCTCAGTCCTAGGCTCTAAGGAGATAATAGCTGTAAAGTGCTTGAACATGTGTAAACATGCAACAGGTATAATAAAGGTCAGAATCTTCAGAATCCTTATTATCTGGAGGGAAGATGGAGACCCGTATACTCCAGGAATGGATGGCTCCAGAGCGGGGGTGAATGTTGCCATGACACACTAACATCTACCAGGCAACCACCATCTGTCCCATTCCTAAGAAAAAAATCAGTTAGGAAGAGGCTGGATGAGTGAACTGGGCCTTTGGGGGGTTACGGGGGCTCCAGGGAAACTGGAGCCTTCAGAGAATCACACAGCTCTGGCCAGAGTGCTGAGCAGGCTTCTAGAATGACCCGGGGGAGGGAGGGAGAGGGGGGCCAGAGAGACACTAGGTGTGAGAGACATGGCCAACCTGCATGACCAGGAGCTTGTTCTACTCAGTGAGTACCTAAGCTGAGTTGAAGAACTGAAACAATCTGGAAATTAAGGGACTTTTCAAAAATAGGCTATGGGAGAGTTAGGGAATAGGACAAAGGAAAGTTTGATTATAATCTGCTGGTCTGCGGTGTGATGCAACTGCCTCCATCTCCCCAAGGCATCGCCATAAAATGAACATCACCACAGCTCTTGGGAGTTGAGTTCATGTTTTGGAGATGCCGCTAACAGCCAGCAAGTCTGGCATGTGTGCTGATAACCCACCTGCCTCATGCTCTTCCGCTTCCTCCTTCTTTACTTCTCTTCTCCTTCCCTCCTCTCTCCCTTCAATTTCCCTTTCCCTTTTTTCTCCCCCTCTGGCCTTTCCTCTTTCTCCTCTTCCCCTCTCCCTCTCTCCCTCCTTTCCCTCTTTCTCTCTCTCTCACCTTCCCTCTCCCCTTCCCTCTCTTTTCCTCTTCTTCCTCTTCACCTCTGGAAAGTGGAGAAAAGTGCGTCCATTGGAGGTTTCCCAACTGTGGGGACCCCAAGCTCACAGGGTTTGGAAGCCTCCTGAGGACAGCTGCATCACCATCCATCATCTTTTTGATGAATGGAGCTCTAAATGGCTTAGTCTGACTGTGATGCAACCCAGATTTTGCCAGTGGCATCAGTGATTTAAATATCATTGCTTTTCTTTTCCTTGTGCTTCTATAGGATGGACTAGGTGTAGAGCAATGGAGGCAGTGCTTTCCCTCAGTCTGCGAGGACTGGGATCTAGGTGGCCATCCCCACCCAGCTGTGGAGCAGTCAGACAGCGGGACCCTACCCTGCCAGCCTACAGGGGAGGGACAGCAGGCTGAGGCCTGCCAATACCAGCACCTTCATCTGTAGGGACAAACCAAGGACCTGGCCTGGCCTCAGAAAGAAAACTCCTGACCCCTACTCTGCCCATGCTGCTGGGAGAGAAAAAGAAGGGAGTGGTCTAGAAAGAGGAAAACAGGCTGGGCGCAGTGGCTCACCGCTGTAATCCCAGCACTTTGGGAGGCTGAGGCAGGCAGATCACTTGAGGGCAGGAGTTCGAAACCAGCCTGGCCGACATGGTAAAAGCCTGTCTCTACTAAAAATACAAAAATTGGCTGGGCATGGTGGCAGGTGCCTATAATCCCAGCTACTCGGGAGGCTGAGGCAGGAGAATCGCTTGAACCCGGGAGGCAGAGGTCATGGTGAGCCAAGATGGCACCACTGCACTCCACCCTGGGCCATAGAGCAAGACTCTATCTCACAAAAAGAAAAAGAAAAGAAAAGAAAGGAAAAGAAAAGAAAAGGAAAGGAAAGGAAATCTAAGACTAGGGTGGAGTGGTGGGCTGGATAAAAGAAAGGGCTGGCCGAGCCCTCTCTACCTCTCAGACCTCCCCACCCCAGACCTCAAAGCTGCCGTAATTAAGAATCAAAGAAATGCACCTTCAAATAATCGAAGACCATTTTTTAACCTTATCAGATGGGCAAAATAGTAAAAGGTTTTGAAGAGTTGGCTACTAAACAGGTGCTCTCAAATCCTACTGGAAAAAAATCACACCAACTTTCTGAAGACACAATTTGGAAATACATAACCCAAAATATATTCTCGGACCCAGCAATTCCACTTTTGAGAATTTATCCTAAGAAATCACACATGCCATTCAGAATTACCCACCAAAATAATACCAGAATTATTACAACTAAAATTGTAATTTTGGTTATAATAGTGAAAAGTTTGAGACTTAGAGAAGTGGTTAACTAAATTGTGGTACATTTGGCCAGGTGTAGTGGCTCATGTTTGTAATCCCAGCACTTTGAGAGGCTGAGGCGGGTGGATCTCTTGAGGCCAGGAGTTTTAAACCAGCCTGGGAAACATGGTGAAACTCCGTCTCTACTGGAAAAAAAAAAAAAAAAAAATTAGCCAGCCATGGTGGTGCACGCCTGTAATCCCAGCTACTCTGGAGGCTTAGGCACAAGGATGGCTTGAACCCAGGAGGTGGAGGTTGCAGTGGGCCGAGATTGCACCACTGCACTCCAGTCTGAGTGACAGAGCAAGATTCAGTCTCAAAGAAAAAAAAAGTGGTACATTTATTCAATGAAATTCTGAATGCTAGTTAAAAATGATTATAGATATGGATTTACTGACATGGAAGATGTTCATGATATACTGCTAAAGTGAAAAAAGCTGGTTTCTGAACATTACCTATGTTATGATCCTAACACAGGATAAGGAAAAGAAAAAAAGAAAAGAGAAAAGAAATAAGCATATCAGTTATCTGTTGCTGTATAACAAATTACCCCCAAACTTTTCACCTTAAAATAACAAATGTTACCTTATAGTTTCTGTGAGTCAGGAATTCAGAAGTGGCTTCTGGCTCATGGACCGTCCTGAGGTCGTCGTTAAAATGTCAGCTGTGGCTGCAGTCTCCTGAAGCTTGCCTGGGCTGGAGGGGCTGCTTCCAAGATGGCTCACTCACATGGCTGCGGGCAGGAGGCCTCAGTTTCTCACCACATGGACCTCTTGGTAGAACTACGTGAGTATTCTTGGGGCTTGGCAGCTGGCTTCCCGTAGAGCCAGTGATCCCAGAAAACAAGACAAAGATTGCAATGTCTTCCGTGACCTAGCCTCAGAAGTCACACTCTATCACTTCTGCAATATTTGATTCTATTGATTATACAAATTGGCCCTACTCAGTGTGGGAGGGGACTATACCACAGCATGAATACTAGGAGCCAGGGATCCTTGAGGGTCATCTTGGAGGCTGTCTACTGGAATGTTTGTATTCATTCCTTCAATAAACAGTGTTTGAGCACCTACCAAGCAAGCATCAGATCCTCATGGTACCCTACTCGGGGTACATCCATAAAAAGAGAGACAAGATCCCTCTTCTCCTGGAGATTACCTTCCAGGGCAGTGGGAGGGGAGAGACACTAAAGAGGTAAGAATTGTAAACAGCGGTCAGTAACTGAAGGGTAGCATGAGGAAGGTGATGTCAGAGGAGCAGGCAGGGGCTGGGTGACAAGGAACCTTGCAGGCCATGCAGAGAGTTTAGATGTTATCCTAAGGATGATAGGGAGCCACTGAAGAGTCTCAAGCAGAACAACGACGTGATCTGAGTTATATGTTTAAAAGATCACTATGGCTCAATGTGGAGAATGAATTCAGGGACAAATGTTGAAATAGAGGCCAGTTTGGAGTTTATAAAAGTACTCTAGTGGCCATGGCTTGGATGACTACACAAGCAATCCTGGTGGCCATATATTTATATCTCACAACCATGCTCATATTTTATATATATATATATAAACCAGCCTGGGAAACATGGTGAAACTCCGTCTCTACTGGAAAAAAAAAAAAAATTAGCCAGCCATGGTGGTGCACACCTGTAATCCCAGCTACTCTGGAGGCTTAGGCACAAGGATGGCTTGAACCCAGGAGGTGGAGGTTGCAGTGGGCCGAGATCGCACCACTGCACTCCAGTCTGAGTGACAGAGCAAGATTCAGTCTCAAAGAAAAAAAAAAGTGGTACATTTATTCAATGAAATTCTGAATGCTAGTTAAAAATGATTATAGATATGGATTTACTGACATGGAAGATGTTCATGATATACTGCTTAAGTGAAAAAAGCTGGTTTCTGAACATTATCTATGTTATGATCCTAACACAGGATAAGGAAAAGAAAAAAAGAAAAGAAAAAAGAAATAAGCATATCAGTTATCTGTTGCTGTATAACAAATATATATATATATATAGTTTTTCTTTTTATTCTCCCACCCGTTGCCTAGCAGAGTGCTGGGCACATGGTAAGCAGGTGGGAGGCCAAGTGAACACAGAGTATTGGATTGTTCGTTGAGAGACCATGTCCACTTTCACTGTGTGACAGTCACTCCCATTCTGTGCCTCAGTTTCCTCATTCATAAAATGTAGCAAGTGAATGAAGCCAGTGATATGCCATTTTTTCTTTTTCCTTTTCTTCGATTAGAATCAGCACCCTAATAGATAAACCAGATGAAAGAGAGTGCAGTGGCAGAAGCAGAAGGAGCCTCAGCCTCCTCCTTCTCCTCTGGCTGCATGATTTGAAGCCCGTTGAAAGGACTCCCCGCTGACCCTTCTGTCCTTGAATGCTCCACATGCCATGCATTTCATAAACAGTCAGGACCAGCCAATTGTTTTAATTTCTGCCAGGCCTTTCCTGCCGCCACGTTGAAATGCTCTGTTCCATGTCCCTCCACCTGGCGGTATCTGGACATTCCATTGCACTCCGTTTTTTGCACACGGGGCTGCCCAGCTTGGGAATACTGCACTGTCCCCCAAGGGGAGGGAGGCCCAGCACCTGGGCACTGCTGATGAGTTTTCACTCATATTTAATACGAGACTTGGGGCGCCCTAGGGAGGAAGAAGCTGCTTTGAGATCCCCCTCATAAGCTCTCCGATGAGTGGCTGCCTTTCCCTGAGCTCCTTGGATGAAAACTGTCAGGGGAGATTTCCTGGCTCAAATCCTTTACTCCCTCCACGACTGTGGCCCAGACACTCCCACACCCTCTCAGCAACCCTGATATCGTTTTCTTCCCAACCCAGTATTGCACTTGCTAGCCATGGACTTCAGGGTAATCTCACCCATCTGAGCCTTGGCACCCTCATCTCTAAATCGCGGATATCAACACCTACTATTCAGCCCGTCCACATCCGTGTAGGTATTCCAGTTGCTACAGTATTCAAATACATCCATACTGGTTGGTGAAAAGCCAGGACTCTAAGCCCCTGGGTTTCCCTCACCCCAAACACTCCAGCTTCCCCCTCTGAGGCCCACAGACATCCACAGAATCAGCAGCCTACAGGTCATGCCTGACCCGGGAGGAACCTGCAGATCCAGCTCTAGTGCTATAACCAAGGTCAGTTCTGACAGGTTGGTGTCTAGGCCTCACTGGTTGTTAAATACTGTAGTATTACCCTTGACCATGGTGATGCAAGATTACGTACATGAGGCACCCAGCACTTCAGTTCCTGGAACACCAGAGGAAGAATAACTTTCATAATCCTCATACTTCACAGCATGGGGCCTCCCATGTTTGTTTTCCTGTTAAAGTCCAGCTGCGATTTATCCTCCTTCACCTTTCCATTTCACCCCTTGTTTCCTTTACTGAGAGCTGAGATATTGAGGTTGGGACCTGGTTTGTGTGTGCTTTCTAAATGTTCTTAGGTTTCCATGTGGTTTTATGCCTATTTTGTTTGTGGGCTGACTTCAGAAGTGGTAAGGTGAAAAGAGGTGAGCCCATTTTGTAAAGAAGTGAGCGGTGCAGGAGGGGCTATTCCTAGCCATTTGTCTACACTGGCGCACACACAGCCCTGGGGTTCATCCCCCATTGTACGTTAAGCAGTCAAAACTGGCTGGCCCATTTCACAGAAGCCCACCCTGCAGACTGAGAGAATCAGCTCTTTATTTGACTTGCTGAGCACTGTGGCCAAGTACACACTTTGAAGTTATATACTCCATGCTTCTCGGTGCCTGTCGCTGGCTGAATGGTGGGCCCTAAAAGGTATGTCCATGTCCTAACCCCCAGGACCTATTAATGTGACCTTATTTGGAAGCAGGTTCTTTGCAGATGTTATTAAGTTTAGGATCTCAAGATAAGGTCATCCTGGATTTTTTTTGTGGGCCCTAAATCCAATAACTGTTACCATTAAAAGAGAAACACAGGGCCCAGCATGGTGGCTCACCCCTGAAATCCCAACACTTTGGGAGGCCAAGGAGGGCGGATCACTTGAGCTCAGGAGTTCGAGAGCAGCCTGGGCGACATGGTGAAACCCCATCTGTACAAAAAAAAAGAAAAGCAAAAATTAGCCAGGCATGGTGGTGTGTGCCTGCAGTTCCAGCTACTTGGGAGGCTGAGTTGAGAGGACCACCTGAGCCTGGGAGTCAGAGGTTGCAGTGAGGCAGAGGTTGCACCACTGCACTTCAGCCTGGGTAATAGAGCTAGATAGACCCTGTCTCAAAAAAAAAAAAAAAAAAAGAAAAGAAAAGAAAAAGGAAAAAAGAAAAGAAAGAAAGAAAAGAAAAGTAGGAAAGACACAGAGAAAAGGCCATGTGCTAATGGAGGCTGAGATTGGAATAGCACAGCTACAAGGAATGCTGACAGCTGCTAGAAGCTAGAAGAGGCAAGGAAGTATTTACCCCTAGAGCCTCCAGAGGAAATGTGCCCTCTGGACACCTAGATTTCAGACTTCTGGCTTTTAGAGCTGTGAGAGAATCAATTTTTGTTGTTTTAAGTCACCAAGATTGTAGTAATTTGTTACATCAGCCACAGAAAACTAATACAGAGCCTAACATGCTTATTGGCTCAGACTCAGTAAACAAGGATGAGTTAGGATACAGGAGCCGCTGCTACAGCAAAGACCCCAGATAGCAATAGACAGCTTAAACACAATGGAAGTTTATTTCTATCTCATGTAAGAGTCTGAGCATAAGCAGTGAGGGCTGATAAGGTGGCTCCCAGGTGTCAGGGACCTGGCCTCCACCGTCACCTCAAATGAAGGTCAACCTTGTGGTTGACTGATTTAATATAGCAACCTGCCCCTCCCCTGCCCCCTGCACTGTATCTGTGCCCCAGCTCTTTCTTTTTCCCCATAGCACATCTTTTAATGTACAATATAGGTTGTTTGTATCATGTTTATTGTTTATTATATGTCTCCACCTGTTGGGCTGTAAACTCCACTGGGGCAGGGATTTTTGTCTTGCTTATTCACTAGTGTATCCCAAGTGCCTAGAATAGTTCCAGGCAAATGCCTGATGTGCAATAATAATTTTTTTTTTGCTTTGAGATGCTGAGGAGGGAAGATAGCTTGAGGCAAGGAGTTTGAGACCAGCCTGGGTAACATAATGAGACCCCATTTAAAAATGTTTTAAAAAAACATTTCTTTTTAAAAATAAGGCCAGGCGCAGTGGCTCACGCCTGTAATCTCAGCACTTTGGGAGGCCGAGGCAGGCAGATCACCTGAGCTCAGGAGTTTGAGAGCAGCCTGGCCAACCACAGCCAACATGGTGAAACCCCGTCTCTACTAAAAATACAAAAATTAGCTGGGCTCAGTGGTGGGCACCTGTAATCCCAGCTACTGGGGAGGCTGAGGCAGGAGAATCACTTGAACCCAGGAGCCGGTTGCAGTGGGCCAAGATTGCACCATTGCACTCCAGCCTGGGTGAGAGACCGAGACTCTGCCTCAATAAATAAATAAATAAATAAATAAATAAATAAATAAATAAATAAAATTAAAAATTAGCCAAGTGTGGTGGCCCACACCTGTAGTTCCAGCTACTCAAGAGGCTTGAGCCCAGGAGCTCAAGGCTGTAGTGAGCTATAATCGTGCCACTGCACTCTAGCCTGGGTGAGCCAGACCCTCTCTCTCTTTCTCTCTCTCTTTTTCTCTCTCTCTGCCCCCCCTCCATTCCACCTCTATTTCCTAATCTGATCTCTGAGAGGGACAGGAAAAGGCAGAACCAGGTTCAGAGTCCAGGCCTGTGACTCTCTTACTACCTACTTCTTGCTAGATCTCCCCTGCCCCCTGAAGTGGATTCCACCCTGCAGCACAGCCCTTCTGACTAATGGGAGCAGGGCAGAGGGCCAGTGAGCCTCTTTTGACCCTGATCCAGGGCCAGAGAGCATTGGAAGCAGAAGAGAATCTGAATTTCCTCATCCAACAAAATGAAAATGCCAACTCTGAAATCAAAAGTGATGAGAAGTAGAAAACCAAGTCTCAGAGCTCCTTGTCTGTACAGGCCATTTGGCTGACTGGCTGGGCACACAATCAAGAGAGAGAGAGAGACACAGAAAGAGAGAAAGAGATTGATTGAATGAAGTTGTCTCACTACTTTTTGTACTGGCAGGCACAGGGCAAAGCCACAATGTAGCCCGCACTCTTTCCCTGTATGGCTATAACCCGGAAGCTGCAAACATTGTATCCACTCACATCTTGGTAGCCAAAATTAGTCACATGGTCACATTTGACTGCAAAGGACACAGGCTTTATTCTGAGTGCTATGTGACCAGGCAAGTTCAGCAAGTCTGCTAGTAAAGGAAATGGGGAGAATGGGTTTTGGAAGAAAAACTATGAGTCTCTAGTCAAAATGATGGTTGAATAAAGATTATGTATTTCTAATAAGCGCCTGGCGGAGTCCAATTCAGGGGGATAGGAGCACTGAAAAAAATCCACATCAATTTCACAATGTGTCTAAGACAAAATTCAGAAAGAATATTCAATGTATTCATTTTACAGCTGAGAAAACTGAGACTAGAGGGTGAAATGACTTGCCCAAGGACACCTAACCAGAGAGAAATCTCGCGTGTCTAATTCCACACTGAATCTTCTTCCCTTCTAAGCACACCCCTTCTCCTGAAGGATGCGGCCCGTGAGAAGGACAATACTTCAGTCCAGGGATTTTCAGCATGAGGACTTCCAGCATCCGCATCATCTGTGAACTTCTTAGAAATGCAAATTCTCAGGCTCCCACCTAGACAGGGGAGAGGGGGCAGCAATGTGCATTTTAACAGGAATCCAGGTGATTCCCATGCGCCCTAAAGTTTGCTTTAGGCAAAAGATTGAACCTCTAATGGGGCAATTTTCAGAACTCACGGCAGCTTTAGGGATGTTCTTTTCTGTGACTCCTCAAACAGCGTGTCATGCTCTGGGAGATCATTTAGGGGCTGGGCAAGCAGAGGGCTACTAAGATGAACAGAAGGAACTGAGGCCACACATAGGTGCCTTCTACTGGAGGAAGTAGTTACTGTGGAGCCAGGAAGGCCCATGGCTTAGGCCCAGAGCAGCACCTAGTCTCATTCCTTAGCAACTCAGACTTAGACCCTTTCTTAGCCAGTGGTTGGCTGGGCTGTTCAACAATGTCAGCCTCTTTTTCTTCCAGTTTCTACAAACCAGCTTCTTTTCCCTCTAGACAGTGTCTGAAGATTTTCACTGCCCCTTTTCTCTTCTGTTTCTTTTATTTTTCCTTTTGCCTTTAAAAAATGCATCTGAAGGAGGAGAAACCTCCACTCTCCTGTTCAACCAAATGTTAGCAAACTAGAAATTAGACATTAGAAGAGGAAGGTGGCTTAAGTGTGGGGGCTCCTTTGAGATTTTGATCATCGGAATTTTCTTTACCCTTCCAGGCAAAGACAGCCCTCGATGGATTCCAATCCCAAATAACCCTGCTCCAGGCTCCAGGAAACTCATGCTGTTTGTCTTCCTTAGCCTTGGCTCTTGCTAACTCACTGCATGACTGTGGGCCAGTCCCCTAATCCCACTAACTCTTAGTTTCCCCAACTGTTAAACAAGGGAATTGAACAAAGTAAGTTAACTTTGTGTTTCTTAACGTTGACTATGGAAACCCTAGACATTTGGATAGCAGGCCACAGGGGAGCACCACCTACCCACCTCCTGGTGACAGCATACCTAGATTACAGATAAATTACCCAGGAAGGACACAATAGCCTGACAAACTCAACCCACAAACACGAGTGAGGAAATCCCTAATTTAAAGAAAACAGCATTGTTAGGAAGGTTTGTCCAGCATTTAATTTGTCTCTATCCTTATGACTTTGGAAAACTAGGTGAAAAAAGAATCCCTTTAAAAAATGGGCAGACAAGTTCAAGTGACATGTGCTCAGCTTACTGTGATGCATTAATCCATCCATTCATCCATTCTTTTCTCTTTTTTTCTTTCTTTTCTTTTTTGTTTTTTAACACTTGCTCTGTCACCTAGGCAAGAGTACAGTGTTGCGATCTTGGCTCACCACAACCTCCGCCTCCTGGGTTCAAGTGATTTTCCTGCCTCAGCCTCCTGAGTAGCTGGGATTATAGGCACCTGCCACCATGCCTTGCTAATTTTTGTATTTTTAGTAGAGACAGGGTTTTGCCATATTGACCAGGCTGGTCTTGAACTCCTGACCTCAGGTAATCCACCTGCCTCGGCCTCCCAAAGTGCTGGGATTACAGGCGTGAGACACCACACCTGGCCTCATCCATTCATTTATTTTATATTTCATCTTCCAAGAATTATTTGAGGCACAAGTAACAATGCTAAAAGCTATTGCCTTGCTGCTGTAGGACAGAGTTGAGAGAGAGAGAAGAGGCAGAGGAGGGGCAAAAGAAGAGGAAAGAGAAGCAAGAATAACTGACAAGTTGCTAAGATAAAAAAGAGAAAGAAGGAAAATACTGTCCCTAGCAAAGTTTCATTTACTAAGCAAACAACGCTTGCTATTTTTCTTTGGCTCTGTTCTCAAAAGGCCTCTGCTGGGCATTATCGATTGGACAACCGGGCCACAGTCCTCCTGCCAGGCAGAATTCATCAAGGCAGCACCAGCACTTATAGGAGATGGGTTTTTTGGCCCTGATGGAGCAGGAGCCCAGCAGGTTGCTTGCAGGAGCCAGTTGGGACCTAAGTGTGCCCCAGGGAAAGGGGAAACTGCAGTAAGATGAGAGACACTAGGGTGGAGGGCTTACAGAAGTTGAGATTCACTTCCTCTCTGGGACCAGGATACTGCAGCCCTGTGACCAGGCTTCCTGCTCCCTGAGCTGGCTCTACAGCCCTGCACACAGATTGTTGGAAGGTCTTTTGATCAGCCAGTCACTCGATTAACCAATAGAGCCATCTTTATTGAGCAGTTCTCAAGGTACCCTGGGGAGGTGCTTGAACAATGCCCTCAAGGCCTTTGCTAGGGAGAAAATGTCATCACACAGTTTAAAAAGAGCCACTCTTGAAAGTGAATCAGTAACTTTAAACATTGAAGGAAGGAAAGAGGAACAGGGTGTTACTATCTGTGGCGACTGACTCTATTAGGAGAGCCGACCCAGTGGTAGGAAGCTAAATTCAAGGCTCCTAAAATTAAACTTTTGAAAAGTGAACCCTTCTTCTTCATGAAAAACAGAAGGCAATCGGCAGTGCAAGGCCATGCCTGGGAGTGAACCCTGCAAAAGACGGAGGAGGTGTTGCTTTAAGATTTCTGAAGAGGGAAAGCCCCCCTCAGCAGGGGTCCACGGGGGCCACTCAGGGAGAGGCAGAATGGAAGAGAAGATGAAGGATAGGGGAAGGGGTGGGAAACAGTCTCAGAAGAGGCTATGGCATAAGCAAAGGCAAGACCAGAAGTATAAAGCGTAGTTGGGGCCCAGAGTCATGAACTAGTGTGACTGGAGCCAAGCCTGCCCCACATTTTGGGCCTGGGAAGAGTCAGAAGGGCCCTGTGTGCAGAACCATGGAAATGCTAATAGCTCATATTTGTATGGTGCTTAATCTGTATATACAGTGTATTAACGAATGTAATCCTCAGAATAGTTCCATGAGGCAGGTACCACTATTCTCCCCATTAGGCAGATAGGCAAACTGAGGTACAGAGAGACTTAAGTAACTAGCCCAAGGTCACCCAGCAAGTAAATGGTAGAACTGGAACGTGAACCCAGCAGTCTGCGTCGCAGGCCTTGTATCCTCAGCCACTAGGCTATCCTGTCTCCATCAGGATTATCAGGAAAGGGAGCCAGAGCATGAGGAAGGTGATGCTTGCTATTTGGGACTTGTTGCTTTGAGGTGGATGCATCTACCAGGCAATTGAGAGCAAGGGCTACCACAGAGGGTGGGGTGCTTGAGAATGCTATGATACCTGCCCATACTCTTCCTGTCCTTGGGTAGGGCAGAGAGGGCATTTTGTTTTGTTTGTCAGTGAGCTGGTCTCCAGGACAAGGTTAAATATATATTAAAATGTACACACACACACACACACACACACACACACAGAGTCGGCAGCATATCATCCATTCTCTCTTGGCTAATACACAGGCAGAAGTCTTTATGCTGAGCTGATCAATGCCCAGTCAGGGCATTCTTTTCATACACACACACAAAAATCAATTAGTCAGTCTGAACCAACAAAGAGGAACAACAGGATGGCCCAACTGATGAAACCCACTTCTAAGAAAGCTTATACTGTGTAGTTATTCATTTAACCTTCAAAATAACCCCATGAGGTAGATACTATTATTATGGTCATTTTTACACATTGACACATTCCCTGTGGACAAAAGTCTTTAAGATAAGATAAACATTTGTTGGTGGAAAGAGCCTGGGCTGAGAATCAGGACACATGGCTTGTAACTCCTACTTTGCAGCTTACAAGTGTGTGATGGGTCTCAGTCTTCTCATCTGTAAAATAGGAGCGGGGTTGGAGTGCAGAATCACTAAAGTTCCTTTCTGCTAAGGCTCTAGGATTCCAGTACTGTTCCCAGGACCTCATATTTTCATTGGCTTCCTGGACCCAGCCTGGCTGCTCAGCTCCTGCCCCCAGCTGTCCCTTTACTAGCAGGCACAGGCTATGGCTTCCATCCAAAGCTTTGCCTTCCCAACTTGCCCCAGGGCCTTCAGTGAGCATCTGTCATTTCTTCCTGCTTCTTGTTGTGAAGTTTGGGGGAAGAGTGGCACCCTGTGGGGCCTGGCCAAAAGGCCAGGTTCTTCCCCATCTGGCTGAGGACAGGGAAGGAGTGTGGCAGATGGTGAGCAGAACTGTCCTTGCCCTAGACCCGGGGGGCCCATCACCTGCCACCCTCACTCTGGCTGCAGTCTTGCTTGGTTGGCAGCACCCACCCTGCAGCCCAGCTAGTCAGCCAAATGGCCTGTACAGACAAGGAGCTGTGAGACTTGGTTTTTTACTTCTCATTGCTTTTGTTTTCAGGGTTGGCAATTTCATTTTGCTGGATGAGGAAATTCAGATCCTCATCTGCTTCCAATGCTCTCTGACCCTGGATCAGGGTCAAAAGAGGCTCACTGGCCCTCTGCCCTGCTCCCACTAGTCAGAAGGTCTATGCTGCAGGGTGGAATCCACTTCAGGGAGCCAGGGAGATCTAGCAAGAGGTGGGTATTGAGATAGTCACAGGCTCGGACTCCGAACCTGGTTCTGCTTTTTCCTACCTCTCTTAGAGATCAGATTAGGAAATAGAGGTGGAATGGAGTAGGTCACCTCTGGGTGGTCTTTTCAGATCTTAAACCTATTCCTGTACATCAGGTTGACACACCACAGCCCACAGGCCAAATCTAGCCAATAAAGTTTTATTGGAACACTGCCATGCCCGTTTGTTGTAGCTGCTTTCATGCTACAGCGTTGAATAGTTACAACAGAGACCGTATGTGGCCCACAAAACCTAAAATATTTACTATCTGGCCCATTACTGAAAAAGCCTACTCAGCCCTGCTCTTCATAGCTATTCTCACAGTCATAGGGGTTATGGAATTGCCTGCTGCTCTCCTTTTAGCCAAGGCTGTGTAATAATACACGTCTCTTGTGGCCAGGTGTGTTTCAGAGCTCAGAACTGCTTGGATTTCAGTGTACGTGCACTGCATATATGGTTCTATTAGACATCACCCATGGTAGGGCCTGGGACAACATGCCATAATCAAATACATTCATTTTTCTATAGTGAAATGTAGAACTATTCCCTCTACATAAGATAAATAAGACCACAGATATGTTCCCATCAATGCAAGCCAGGCTCTACCACCTAATGTGTTCATGTCAGGTCAGATGTGGCTGCAAAATGAGTTGTGAAAGTCAGTTTTGGATCTCAGAGCATTAGGGCTATCAGAATTGTTGCTAAGGAACTGTGTTGTCATACTGACGCTTTATTGGGCACTGGAGCAGAGGAACTACAGTCCTCTGAGGGGGTGTGATGATCTATTTGGTAGATTAGGAAACTGAGACTCAGAGCAGGCATATGGCCGAGGTCACCCAGTTAGTGAAGAGCAGAGCCCACACCCAAATCCAGATTTATCTCCAAGTTCTAATCCTAACCTCCTTTAAGACCCAGGTTTAATCCCCTGATCCCTATCACCTTTCATGAAGTCTTCCCTGAGAATGAAAGTCTACATTTACCTCTGACTTTTCCAATTTTTTTTGACTTTGAAATCCAGCACTTAATTATACGCTACATGGTGTTGTTATGCCTCAGTGGTCTTCTCATTTTTTGAGGGCAAGGTCGGTGAATTCCATTTTTTTCTGTCTTCCCCACAGGGCTGAATGCTCAGTGTATCGGTGATGATTCATCGTTGATTGAAAGAAAGTAACTCACTTAGGCTGTAACTTCGCTTCCTTCACCCAGAGGGGCATGGAAAGGATGCGGGGGGCGGAGGTTGTCAGGTATGTGTCCATGGAGTAGGAAGGCCATGGAACCTAGCCTATTTGTCTCCCTTGAAAACCTTGACACTCCTTAATTAAAGAGGTTGGATTTGGAGATGGATACATATGGAAATGAAGCATATATGTGTCTTATTTTGTTAGGTTGGAAAATGCCACGGGAAAGCTGTAGATCTGCATACAGTTATCTCGATGATCAAGAGCAGCCAGCAGTCAGAGGTGACTGGCCCTCTGTGGTTGGTGTTAGCAAGGAGGATAAAGACACTGTCTGCTTTTAGAAAAAGCATTTAGGTGAATCTCCTGGCTGAGTGCTCCTGTGGGGCTTGGATAATGCTGATGAATATGTGCATTTTGAAATGATCAGGAGTCAGCCTGATAATCCATCACATGTAAAGATGCCTTTGGGAGCAACTAACCCTTTCTTTGCTCCTGTGAAGTTCAAACCCTTATGAGAAGGGGCTCCTAGGCATCATTACCACAGGGTTTATCATCATTATCAGCCTTCATGGTTGCCAGCATAGGTTCCTGAAAAGCCTGCTTACGTATGGTACTTAGATAAAGCTGTGTCTAGGACAAGCCTCACTGCTGCCCTCAATAGTCTTGTGATCCAACCCATTCCAGTCTATGCACTAGGAGACTGGGTGAGGTGGTAGAACAAAGCATGGCCTCTGGAATCTGGAACCTAGGTCTGGATCCTGACTCTGCCACTTAGTAGCTGTCTAGTCTTAAGCAAATTACTCACCTTCTCTGAGTCTCCGATTTTCATCTATAAAAAGGATTGCTAATAATACCTCTTTCTCAGTGTTGTTGTGAAATATAATGTGATAGCCACTATTAAATATTTTTATAAGCAAATTTTAAGTCCCTTCCCTTCCTGTCCACCATTAGTCTCTGTATTAGTCCATTTTCATGCTGCTAATAAAGACATACTCAAGACTGGGTTAATATGTCAGGAAAAAGAGGTTTAATGGACCCACAGTTCCACATGAGGAGGCCTCACAATCATGGTGGAAGGCAAAAGGCACGTCTTATATGGGAGCAGGCAAGAGAGAAAATGAGAGCCAACTGAAAAGGTTTCCACTTATAAAACCATCAGATCTCATTCACTTATAAAATCATCAGATCTTATTCACTACCATGAGAACAGTATGGGGGAAAATGCCCCCATGATTCAGTTATCTCCCACTGGGTCTCTCCCACAACACATGAGAATTATGGGAGCTGCAATTCAAGATGAGATTTGGGTAGGGACGCAGCCAAACCATATCAGTCTCCAAAGGCAAACAGTAACCTAGACAAGGGAGGGCATAGATGTGGCACACATGCTGCTCCTCTCTCTTCCAGTGCCTGTGGTAGGCATCAGTAATCAATCACTGCACTCTACTCTGTTCTGCTAAGCTTAAACGAGGCCCCAAAATCTTCAACATGGTGTTCCAGGCTGCACAACCTGCTAGGACCTATACGAGTGTCTGCAGAGCTCTTTCAGTTCATCCCTTCGTGGTGGCGGAATCTCAGTTGAACCTAAGCTATGATCCCAGTAGGATCCAGAATGTTCTATAGACTGTTGGGGCAGGCCCACTAGGGTCTATTTCCCAGGAACCAAGGAGCCTCCTGGAGAAGAATTTATCCTAAGAGAAGAGAGCCAAAGAAGTAAGGTTCAAGGTAATAGTCCATGGTGCAGGAGGTGGGGATGTAGAATCTGCCACTCAGGATGACCTCTGCCTATCCCTACCGGACAGATGCCTGAGCCCTTTTTTAGAGGAAGGGCTACAAAAAAATTATAAAGGAGTAGTTTCTCAATAGTGGTCATAGATAGTGATGGTCTAGCACAGCTGCTGCTTTGGGGCCAGCAACTGCTTCCACTATGGGAGCAGACATAGTACGTCCAGCCTAGATTCCCATGCCAGGTGTTGGACTCGGCAAGTGGTGGGCATGGGCAGGTGTTGAGCATGGGCAGCTTCAGCATACGCACCAGAGAGCACCAGCCACAGAAGGACCCTTCGTGGCACCCCCAATGCACCAGGCATTGGCAGATACCCTCTGTGGCTGCTTCTTGTGCTATTGGTGGTGACCAAAGATTTCAGTGCAGTGAGGCAGAACAAATGAGCGGGCTGGTGTCAGGTGCTCTGAATCCTCCACAAGCACAGTAAGTCACCCATTGGGAGCCCCCAGAGCAACCTGGGAGGGAATTTAAAGTGTCAAAGAATGGGTAGGAAGCAGCCAGAGAAAGATTTTAAAATAGTATTCCTTGAGCTCCCTCTAATCCAGCCCCTGGTGGCCTAGGAAACCAGAGTTAGTATATGATCTTGAGCCATTTTGCATCTTATGTCATTTTTCAAATATTTATAAGTCACCTCCGGAATCTCTGAAGTGAGAAGAGTGTCTTTTGTACGCTAATGAGATGACTGGTGGCTGGCAGCCCCTAGATGGCTTCAGAATGGGGACTGGTCACAGGGAAGTCCCTCTGGTTAGGATTTTCAGCCCCATCCCCCAACCTCCATGAGGGGAGAGGAGCTGAAGGTTAAATTGATCATCAATGGCCGGTGATGTAATCATTCATGCCTGTGTAATGAAACTTCCATACAAGCCCAAAAGGACAGGGTTCAGGAAACTTCCAGAGAGCTGAACATGTGGAGGCTCCTGAGGGGTGGTCTACCCAGAAAAGGCATAGAAAGTTCATGCCCCTTCAGCCATACCTCTCCCTAAGCATCTCTTCCATCTGGCTTTGTAACATCCTTTATAATAAATTGATAAATGTAAGTAAAGTCTTTCCCTGAGTTCTATGATCCTCTTTAGCAAATTAATCAAACCCAAGGAGGGAGTCATGGGAACCTGGATTTATAGTAGGTTCGTCAGAAGCACAGGCAAACAGCCTGGGGCTTGTGACTGGTATCTGAAATGGGGGGCAGTCTTATGGGATCTGGCACTCTCTCCAGGTAATAGTGTGGCACTGAATTGAATTAGAGGACACCCAGCTGGCGTCTGCTACAGATGGCTTGGTGTATGGAGAAATACCTCCACACATCTGGGGTCACAGAAGTATTCTGTGCTGTGTTGTGGTGAGCAGAGAATAGGAAAAACACACTTTGGTTTCTCCTCTATAGCTAGAAGGTATAGACCCTAGAAGCAGTACGTGGATTTTATGTCTCATTGTGTCCTCCATGGTCTCTAGTACAGGCTGGTATGATGGTAGTTCCTCAAAAAAGTTTGGTCAAAAGAATGAATTAACAGAAGGAAGGAGGGACAGATGGATAGGTGGGTAAATGAATGGATGGATGGTGTGCCACCCTGCAAGCCAGCATTGATGGTCCTGTAATACTGATTACTATTTGCATTTTGTTTCCTCCCCACCCTCTCTCTTTTCCTTCCTTCAAATATTTTTTCTTCCTTAGTTCTCATCAACCCCATCTTTGGCTCCATTGTGAGGTTCCTTTCTCATAATTTCACTCTCTTGAGATCAGAATGAAAAGCTGGGTCAATTTTCCATTAATTAATTCATTAATTAATTGAGTCAATAACTGTTTATTGAGCTCCAGCTGTTCCTTTGTCCATTGATGCAGTCACTTGACAAGATGCTTATTGAGCACCGGTGGTGTGTCTGATGTGGTGCCAGAAGCTAACTGATGGGGAAACACAAAGATCTAAGCAAGATCCCTGCTCTCTGGGGTCCAACATCTAAATGACAAAGTGGACAGAAGCCAGCAAACACTGAGCTCTGCTGACCCGTTGCTCCCATCCTGATCAGTAGCCCCATCTTCAGGTTGTGAAGGTCAACCCACCTCCAAACCCCATGTTGTTTTGCCTCTTGTTCTTTGTTAATTGGTCTAACAGGTTGCCTGCAGTGGCCACATAATTAATATGGCATTTGCAGAGACAGGCACTCTCTGCTCGCTACCTCCCTTCGCCCTGCTTCTTGCTTCATCTTCAGTCTCCCCTGCTCCTTCCTCATCTGAATCCTCAGAATGCAGAATTAGAAGAGATCTTGGGGTGCTTCTGGTTATCCAGAGCCCAGCATGGGTGTCCCATCCACAGCGTCTCAGAAGCTGGTCCCTCACCGTGGCCCTCACCTCCAGCAACAGCCTGCTCTCTCTGCTTCATGAGCCTCCTGTCCTGCCCCACGAAGGCACGTTCATATGTTCAGCTCAAGTTGACCCACGTTGTCTGGACTGCATAAGTTAGAGCCTGGAATAATCCTGATTCATCTTTTGAGCTGCAGCCTTTCAGATTTTAGAATTATGGCTATTATGTTCCTTTTCAGGATTTTCTTGAGGATAAATATTTCCAGTTTCTCAGCTTTTCCAAATTCAAATTTGACCTCTCACAATCCTGAAGATGTTTCTCTGGACAGCCTCTAGTTTTTCTAGAGACCCCTCAAAATGTGCCCCATTCCCCCAAACTGACTACTACAAAGAGAGCTGCCCAGCAATTGAGGTCAGCTGGGTTATTGCCTGGTTTTAAGTGACCACTCTATTCCTACTTGTGCACCCTAAGTTTTCATTAACTACGATTTACATACTGCTAGCTCTTATTGAACTTAGAGCCAAATAAAACTACCAAGTCTTCTTGACATGAATAAAATAAAATAGCGTTATATGTTAAGGTTAAAATAACCCACTAGGATTATCTGCTAGTCCAATCTACTAATTTTACAGGAAAGGAAACTGAGGCCCAGAGAGATCAAGGGACTGTGAAAAGGCTCATAGCTTGTGTGGAGTAGGGCACAGCGGGGACTCCTAACTCCTGATCCAGTGCTCTTTCTAAAACACCAGGCTGCCTCCTGATTGGCAGCCATTTCGAGGGTAAATAGAACGCGTCTTCTACTTTCATGTCAGTCTTTCTCATGCAGTGCTTTATGCTGTTGGATGTTGGAACCCAACGCATGACCCTGGGTTTAGCCCTTTGGGATTTCATCTTATTCATTTCATGCAATCTGTCGAGATAATTTCCAGCCTGATTTTGTGAGGCATTGCTGTGGCAGGTCCTCCCAGGCTTGTGTCGGGCTGACGTATGGAATTTTCTCCAGCTCTGGATGCTTTTCATTCTGTGCCCTGTGCCAGAGTGTTCCACCGCAAACCTGGCAGAGGAGACGCACTGTCTGAAGCCAGACGCACCGCGCGCTTCCTTCTCCCCTCGCCTGTCTGCCTGGCGGATGTCTTCCACGTGAGTCTCTCTCCTCCCACTTGCCTCCTGCCCTGCTTGTTAGGTAGGAGCCCCACAATCCATCCCAACTGTACCACCAGCGTGGAACTTAGGGGCAAATGTGCCAAGCAGGGTTTTGTTTTATTTTGTGAAATAGCCTTTCTTGAGAATCTACCTGTTGCAGAAAAAAAAAAAAAATCCCTGAACCAAGCATACTCAGACATGTTTCCTATCCCTTTATGGACTCACATTACGATTCTCTCCTTAGTTTTCTCATCTATATAATGGGAGGAGACAGAAACTCAGGACTAGTAAGCATCTACTCTGTGCTAGCAGCTATGCCAGGGGCTTCATTTACGTTTGCCTTTACGTTTACTTTTAACTGTCAACACAAGCCTGCAGATGATATCCCCATTTCAAAGAAGAGAAAACTGACCTCAGAGAAGTTAATTTGCCAAGGCTTATCCAGTTAGTAAGTGGCAGAGTTTCTTTACCCTCTGCCCTCCCTTGCTGAGTTACTATAAAAATCAAATAATTTAGTAATGAATGTAAAGCTTCTTTGAAAAGTGTAAAGCACTCTGTAAACATAAGGGAGAATTGTTAAAATACTTAGGTTCCTCACTTGCTTTGTCTCTCCTTCTTCTTTTCTGTCACCTCCCTAAAGTATAAGCAGCTGCCTTCGGTCCAGACCTATCAAAGAAATGTCATAAAACTATTTTTCAAAATGTCAAATGCCTGTGTACTTTAGCCCAAACTAATTATGCCCTTTGATTTTCTCGAAGTCACAATGCAAAACCCTGGGAGCTTCGAGGATGTGCCCTTTCTCCTCCATCCTGAACTAATGGAAATCAAGGCTGAAGGCTGAGCCTGCCGGGGAGCCCACAAGAGCCCCTCAGTGCCACAGAGGCCTGGCCTGACTTTGGCAGGTCTCCAGCAGTGACCACAGAGTGCTAAATAATAATAGGGTTGAATTATTTATACAGAGGCCAATGACTCATGAGGCATGGTCCACTTCTAGAAGAGTGCCAGGGTCCCAAGTCTAAGGTGAGTGGCCACCAGAGGGAGGACTGCAGTCCTGGCCTCTAGAGCACCAGTGCACACACCCCCCACCCCCCCACCCTGCCATCATCCCACCCCATGTACAGCAGGCACAGCTCTAGCACAGTGCCTGGAGGGCAACTAACATTTCAGTGACATTATTGGGTGTTTACACCAAGCTAGCTATTTGTGCATACAATTTCCCATTTCATCTCTAAAACAATTTTTATTTTTCATATTTTTCCTGATAAAGAAAGTGAAGCTTATGTTTCAGGTTATACAGTTGGCAAAGCATAGAGCTGGAACGAGATCCAGGTCTGACATTTCTAAGATACCATGTGCTATTTCTTTTAGAATTCCTCTTTCCTGACAATTACATTTAAAAGCATAATCTGGGAAGTGCAGATGGTGCCAGGCCCAGTCTCAGGGCACAATGGATTCTTTGTATGGTCTTTAGGGCCCTTTGTGATCTGATCTCATTCTGGATTCTTCTTATCAGACACAATGTTTTTCATCATCAGAATCACCTGGAAGCTTTAAAATACAGATTGTTGGAATCCATCCTTGGTTTACTGTAATCCAAATAATTGGTACTGGAATCAATTATTTGTATTTTTAAGGCTTCCAAGTGATTGTGATCATCAGTTGGTTTGGAAACTATCATGTTATGTGCAGAAAGTCACTTCCAAATTCCCATCCATATTCCCATTTGTGTGACTTTGCTCAATTCCATGGACTTCACTTAAATTGGCTTTTTTCTACTCCCACCCATTGTTCTCATCCAGCTCACACTCCATCACCTCTGTAAGGATCTTGGCTCCCAGAGCTTCCAGAAATGCTCCATCATCTGTATTCCATTAACACCTTTGGCTCTAAACTGATATATATTAGTCAGGATGTGAGTTTAGAAGCTGTCCGAGAGACCCAAAATAGCAGTTTTGCCTCATTTAACACCTATAAATACATCCCTGTCTTCTCTCACGGTACAGAATAATCAGTCCATCAGGGACCCAGGCTCCTGCAATCTTGTCGCTCATCCCTAGCGTGGTGCCTTTGTTCTCATAGCCCAAAACGGCTCATCACCATGCCCATAACCAGACACTGGAAAAAGGGAAAATGGAGTAAGGAAGAGCAACGACAAAGAATTGCACACAACAATTAGGATCACCTTCCACTGTCCAGAACTTGATCACATAGCCACCCTTAGCTGCAACCAAGGTTGAGAGATTTAACTTTATTTTGCATCACTACATGCCTAGTAAAAATGGAGGGTTCTGTTAATTGTGCTACTGGTTGGGGAGAATGGGTATTGGGGAACAACCTAGCAGGCTTAACTTCTACTTGGGATTGTAATTTTCTCTTTGTGTCTGTGTTTCCAGCTAGACTATAAAAGCTCTGTGAGAACTAGGCCCCTGACTTACACCTGTTTGTGATCCTTCTAGGAAGGCACTAGATCAGTACCACTGGTTGGCAAGATAGACTAGAGTGATTGACAAAGCTCTGGAATTTAACTTTTATTTTAGTCCTTGTTTTCTACAATTTAGCACAAGTTTCTTAACCTCTCTGGGCTTTAGTTTCATAGAATCATAAAATTTAGTTGAAAGTCACCTTCGATATTATCTAGTGCCATCCTCTCATTTTGTAGATGAGGAAGCTGAAAACCAGAAAGAATAGTGACCTGTCCAGGACACAAAGCTTTATAAATAGAAGAGCCAGAGACCAGGTCTCCTAGAAACCAACCCAAGGACAGCACTAAGGTGTCTTCCCATATCCAGAAAATAAGTACAAGGGACAATGTTATCTTTAAGCTTCCTTCCAATTCAGAAACTCTGAGCCACATATGCAGTCACATTTGTACCCCTTGCTCAAATTAAGTATAAAAGTGGGATAATTTCCAAGCACTCAACCACTGCATCCTGCTGGATCTTGCTATGTACTTCAGCAGGTTAGATGGACACTCAAGAGGTTCAGTTCAGTGCTTTGGGTTCCAGGGTCATCTAAGAAGTAAACTGGGTGGAGAAAGCAAAGAAGAGATACTTGGGTGACCCCACTCTCTGGTCACAAGCAGTAATATTCCCTGTGAGCTTCTTAGGAGATGACACAGCTCCAGGTGTTGTGGAGCAGCTGCCCTCAGGGAATTTGGAATCCAGGTCACACACAGTTAAATAGCAGTAGAGGAGGGCGTATGTAACATTAAACAGAAGAAACGTCACAAGGCAAACTGGCTGTAATAATAATAACAGCTTCAATTTATTGCTCAACTGCAATGTGTGCCCCACACTGTGATAGGTGTTTGTTTTATAGGCTTGATCTCATTAAATCCTCACGACAAGCCTCTGGGATTACTGAAGGTCATACAGCTGGTAAGTGGTGATTAATTGTCAGAGGAGTGGTGTGAAGAACATAAATTATGGCGCAGTTCAGAAAGAGAGAAGCCTGAGGATGGAGTGGTCTGGGAAAGCTCTGTGAAGGAGGAGAGTTAAACAGGATTCTGAGGGTAGGTGGGATGTGAAGGAGGTGAGAAAGAGGGAAAGTGAGTGTAGATGGCAAAGGCAACACAGGTACAGGGGACACTGAGTTAAAAAATTCCCAAGTAAAGCATGAGAGTAATTAAATCCAAGGGCAAACATCCAAGCTGTGGAATTGTGGGGCTAGGGAGTGGTGGGGGCAATGAAACACCCAATGATCATTCTTGGAAAAGGGATAAAAGGTCAACTGAAGTCCCATAGCTCACATGTGGCCTGCTACAAAAGAAAAGAGGAAAGAAAATGACTGAAAAACTCTAAAGGCAATTGTGTCAAGTGACTTACAAAAAAAAAAGTATCTTTTCATCCAGTAATCTCTCTTCTAGGGTTTAAACTAACAAAAATTTCAGAGACAGAGTGAAAACTGAAAACAAATGTCTAAATAATAGGAGAATTCTTGAATATATTATCACACATATACATGGTCAAATGTTATGTAGCTTTTACAGAACGTACTTTTGAAAAATGTGTAATGATGTCACATAATGTCAAGAAGCAGAATGTGGTCCAGGCGCAGTGAGTGGTTCACACCTGTAATCCCAGCACTTTGGGAGGCCAAAGAAGGTGGATCACCTGAGCCCAGGAGTTTGAGACCAGCCTGGGCAACGTGGTGAAGACCTGTCTCTACAAAAAACAAACAAACAAAAAACCCCACAGAAATTAGCCAGTGTGATGGTATATGCCTGTAGTCCCAGTACTTGAGAGGCTGAACTGGAGGATCGCTTGATCCTGGGAGGTTGAGGCTGGGGTAAGTCGTGATCACACCACTGCACTCCAGCCTGGGTGACAGAGGGAGTCCCTGTCTCAAAAACGAAACAAAACAACCCTCCCCCAACCAAAACAAAACAAAGAAGCAGAATGCAAAAAAGTATAGTACCACAGTTCGTCATTTTAAATTATATGTATGTATATATTATGTAAAATCATATGTGAGTATACACACACAGAAAAAAAGACTGAAGGAAAGACAGCATATTTACCATGGTTATCATCACAGAGTAAGAATGTGGGTAAGTTTTGCTTTAGAGTTTTCCTTTTCTATATTTACTAAGTTATGTTCAGTGAGCACACACTTTTATAGTAATAAAAATGTTCATTTAAAATTTTTTAAATTTAAAATGCTCATCCTCTGCCATAAAGCAATATTTATAAACCTCTTGCTTTGTCTTCAAAGAAAATTCATTGTCTCTGCCTTCAGTATGCAGACACAAATATTCCAACCAAATGATTATTCAGTAATTGCTGAATCCATAGATTTTTTTGAAAGTTCATTTAAACTGGGTTTTCCTGGGTTCCCATGTAACGCTCCCAGCTCCATGGCTCCCAAGGGACTGGAAACATTAAAGTCTCCCATTAATGTTCTCTGGAGCCATTTAGATAAATTGTCTTCCCCAGAGCTATAAATCCTAAATGAATGACACCCTTATTTCAGGGGACAGGTACCAAAGCCTCTTTCAAACTTGATGATTTATGTATCTGTGGCTTGCAGAATGTCAGGGGTCCTTCATCAATATCCACAGGGCCTTCCCAGGTATAGGAACATACCACATCTGATGGAAAGACATTACTGTACTTGGGTCAATAGCTTTCACCTTTATCCGTCCTGCTTGCTTTGCGTTGGGGGTTTATTTATTTTTCTTTCTTCCACTGAAATAGCTGGGATATGAGCTGAGTAAGAGAGGCAGTGCATTAAATATAACTTGATCAGAATCCCAGGCTGTCTTTGCCCTCACTGCAATAGGGGCAACATAAAGGTTAATAACTGAGAGAGGCCCCCACGCACTTAACCACAGTGCAGCACCCCATCACCAAGTGACAATTAGGAACTCTCCATGAATGCCAATGACTGGTGATCAAACAGAGCTTCACCCAAACCAGGCGCACTTTTGCATTAGCTCAGCTCTCCATTCATCACTGAGCTGACAGCTTGCAGAGCTCAATGTTGAGTATGCGGCTCTGTCTTTGTTTTACCCAGTGAAATGATCTATGCTACCAGGACTGAGTGGGAGAGGAGCAGGGGAGGGAACGAGGGAAATGAAATAGGCTTGTCTTTGGCATGGTTGGGCAACAGCTCAAAGTGTCTGTTTGAGACTTGAAGAGAAATATCGCATAATGATCTTGCTTGTTCCTGCTTTCAACTTTTTGGCTCTCAGACAAGGATGGTCCTACCTTAAATAGTTCTCTTTTTGGAGGCAGCATGACAAATTGGAGCAAGCACATAGCCAGCTGTGTGATTTTGGGCAAGTCACTCTGGGTCTTAGTTTTCTCATCCATAGAATGAAGGAGTGGATAAGAACAGTGATTTTCAAACCAGGTTCCTCAGAGTGTTAGGGTTCATAGGGGCACCTCAGACCCTGCAAGGGCATGCTTCCTGCAAGGGCAGAGGTGAGGAGGTTAGTAAATTCCAGGCACAGCTGCTCCATGTTGGCTCATTGAATTTTATTAGTAGACTACTTTATTTTTCTTTTATTATACTTTAAGTTCTAGGGTACATGCGCAGAACGTGCAGGTTTGTCACATAGGTTTACACGTGCCATGGTGGTTTGCTGCACCCCTCAACCCATCATTTACATTAGGTATTTCTCCTAATGCTATCCCTCCCATAGCCCCCAATCCCCCGACAGGCCCTAGTGTGTGATGTTCCCATCCCCGTGTCCATGTGTTCTCATTGTTCAACTCCCACTTATGAGTGAGCACATGCGGCGTTTGGTTTTCTGATCTTGTGATAGTTTGCTGAGAATGATGGTTTCCAGCTTCATCCATGTCCCTGCAAAGGACATGAACTCATCCTTTTTGATGGTTGCATAGTATTCCATGGTGTATATGTGTCACATTTTGTGCAGAACATGGTCTTACATTCTAATTTCATTTGGTCCTCACAATTTGTAAGGTAATTAGGACAGATATGACCAACTATTCCAGTAACTATTGCTGTGTTAAAACCACCTCAAGACTCTATGGCACAAGACAACCATTTTATTATGTTCACGGATTCTTTGACTCCGGAATTTGGGTGGGCACAACACGAAATGCTCTTCTCTGTTCCATAATGTCTGAGACCTCAGCTGGAAAGACCAAAGGCTGGTAGTGACTAAACAGCCGGGGGCTAGATTCATCTGGATGTGTCCTTACTCACGTCAGCTGAGCTATTGACTGGAACACTGACACACAGCCTTTCTCTGGGGTTGTCACATGGGCTAGTTTGGGCTTCTTCACACAATGGCAGCTGAACTCCAAGGGCTAATGTCCCAAGAACAAGGCAGAATTGCACTTTATTTTTATCATCTGAACTCAGAAGTTACATATTGTTGCTTCTGCCATGCCCTGTTGGTTGAGGCAGTCCCAAAATTTCACCCAGGATCAAAGGAGGGACAAGATGGGAGAAGAATCAATGTCACAGTGGAGGAAGAGCATGTAGAACGGGAGATAGTGTTATTATCTTGAGAATATACAATCTGCCAAGCCCTCTTCATGTGAAAGATGAGGAAACAGACAGGGGAGAATTCATACACATTTAGTAAGAGCAGAGCTGGGACTAGAGCCAGTTACTTCAGATTTGAGCCCTCTCTTTGCCATGCTGCTTTGGGTTCCTCATTTCATCTTTCTGAGTTAACTCTTTATTAATTCAGTGGATAGACTCCTTAAAATATGAATCCTCATCATGGCGATGCATGACCAGCCCAGGAGAGCTGTATCTTCTTGTGGATGGAACACTTTTCTCATCTGTTCTCAGAAAATTGGAGTGAAAAATGTACATAAATTCCATTAAAATTAAGGTAAAAGGCAAGGCTATTCATGTCTCTTTCTAGCTTCCAGTCCAGCATCAGGAATATAATTGGTACTTAGTAAAGGATTGAGCTCTTTGTGTGTGTTTTTGTTTTTTATGTATCAACATTTGCTTTTAAATCCTTTCCAAATTCAAAGCCATATAAACAATTCTTTAAGGTTGTTTTGACTCTTTGATGGTTCCTACTTGGAGTTTACTTTTATCTTCATCCATTCTGACAACACCTAAGTGTATTTATTTCCAATTTACCAACATGAAAAATGAAAGCCGAGAGACAAAAAGAGAGCCAAGGACACAAGGTAAAGTCTGAGAAAAGAGTTGGAATTTGAAGGAAGTTATGAAGTAGGATTTTTTGTTATTGATTCAGTAGCCATCAGCTGGGAAGTGTCAATGCCCAGTCATACGTTCAGCACAGAATCCAAAGGCAAGGTGACAATGGTCCTTGCCATGGAGAGCCTCACAGTCTAGGAGAGTAGTCTAGGTTATCCAATATAATCGTTGCTGAAAGAGGGCCTGAACAAAGCACTGATAGAACACAGAGGAAGCAGCTGTGGGCACTGGCTGGGAGTTTGGGTGCTTCACAGAGGTGATAATGTTTAACCTGGACCTGGAGGGAGAGGTAAGAGCTGTCCAGGCAGAGGGAGCGAGGTGGGACAATAATCCTGAGCATAGGGAATACACATGGGGAGACACAGAAACATGAAAGGGCATGATGTGTACTGAGAAAGATAGACATCTGGTCAGTGTGGGAGGGTAGATGTGAAGGGTGGGCAGACAAGTAGGGAAGCAGTCTGGAAAATTGAGGTCAGATCATAAAGGAGTGCCAGTAGCATCCCTAGATACTCCCTTTCTGTGAACTTTATCTTTCTCATAGTCCCACCTTACCCCTGCTTCTGAGATCTTGCTCTCTACCTCTTCACAATTAAAACCTGCTCTGGAGAGTGTTGGATATCAGTCATTTACACTATAGTATAAATGACATTATATATAGACTATAAGCCAATGTGTTATTTCTTGGAACATTTTTTTAATTAGAAATTTTATTTCAGTTTATTAAACAAAAGGCTATGTCTTTCTTGTTTGAAGGGATGTTGTGGAGATTCTTCTTATGGCCAGTAAAATCCCAGCCCAGAGTGAGAGTCTTGTAGGGAAACATCCACCACTCTGTACCAGAGACAGAATCCTGGGCCAAACTAATCATATGTCCAACTCAATGTACCTGCATCATCCCCAGTCATTTTGAGCTCTCTTGGTCTCTGGATAAGAACTTAACTATCCCAAGAGCTGCTAACCACTTTTCCCAATAAAATATAATACATGCCCCATAATGATCAACCTGCAGAACTCTTATCCTTCATATCAGCAAGCCAAACTCCTTGGCATGGGGCAGAATGTAAACGTTAACAATCTCATAGCTCACTGCCTATAAAAACTCTTTAATGTGTGTCTAAGTAACAGGTGATTGTCCACTGCCTACAGCTAGAGTGATAATTCCAGCTCCTCTTTCCTGAAAGAGATGAGTATTGATTGTCTATGTGAGAACATGTGGGTTACAGTGATGTTTGGGGAAAGCCAGATCTTACTAACATATGGACACAGTTCATTTACAGTTCTGCAAGGGAGGGAGAAGAACGTTTCCTTAGGGTTTTCTTTCCTTTTTTTTTTTAGAGACAGGGTCTCACTCTGTCACCCAGGCTGGAGTTTAGTGGCATGATCATGGCTCACTGCACTTGGCTCCTAGGCTGAATCAATCGTCCCACCTTACTCTCCCAAAGAGCTGGGACTACAGGTGTGTACCACCATGCCTGGTCCTCCTTTCATTGTTGATTGGTGTTAGGTACTGCCTGATCTCTTAACTTATAAGTGCCATTCTCATCTCCCACTTGCTGCCATCCTTGAAGTCTACTTGACTTGGTATTAGAAGGCACTTGGCTGATTGTTAAACTCCATTCTCACTGATTTTTCTCAATTACTCCTTTAACCTCTTCTTTCTGCCATCTCTCAGGTCCATCCCCATAGATGGCCTCTTGACTTGTCTCACCTCCTAAGCTCTGGTTTCCTGATCTCCCACTGCATTAATGGACTTTGTTCCACGCCTTACTGTCCTCTGTGGTTGCCAAGGCTACTTTGTTTCCTCCTGTATACAACTCTATCCAATCCCTCCTCCAGTATTACTACCCCGGAGGATTGACATTGAGTCAGTTGTGCTGTGGCTGTCACTTCTGTTCCTTGGACATGGTCCCTACACCAGGAAAGAGGTTCTTGTCTTGTTCCCCTGTGTGCTGAGCCTCTGCCTGTGCCATGGTCCAAGTTGCCAGATCTATATCTCCTCCTTTTGCTTGAACCCCTGCCCTGCCTGATTCCTTTCTAAGTGTTCCTGCTGTATCCTTTAGAATAGAGACTCCGTCTTGTCCTCACTGTGAAAACTGTGTTCCCAGGGACTGGAGTCTTGTGGGAGCCCCAGTCCTTGGAGTCCAAGACTCCCTGCTATCATGCTCAGCTAATGCCAAGTTATGGCTGCTAGGACCACCTTTGACTTCCAATCTGGGCTCTGATCCCTTGCCTGTCCATCTCATCTCTGGTCACTGGAGTTTGTTTCCTTGCATGGACTTCCTGCTGCCATCTGTTGCTGGGTCTGACCAGAAATCTGCCATGTCTCACTGGTTAATGCCAGAATAGGCCAACTGCTCTGACAAACAATCCCACGTCTCAGTAGCTTAACACAGTAACAGGTTTATTTCTCATATCAGTCCAAGAGTTCGACAATCTACTACAAGATGATTCGTGGACATGCTCCTTCCATCCAGTGGGCCCTCCATCTTCTAAGACCCTGGAATCCTTAACTGGTTCCTTTGTATCCAGCCAGCCAGTGGATGAGAGAGGCAAGACAGCAAAGGAGATATCAGGAGATTTTTTAGGGGCTGACCAAGAAGTGGTATTCATTGCTCTGACTTCATCATCACTGGTTAAAACTAGTACCTAACCTAACCTAGAAAATGAAGTCTTCCTGAGTGCCAGGGGAAAATGAAAAAATCTGGTGTACAAGTAGCATTTTCTCTGCTACGCAGTGGAACATCTGTTTTCTAAGTGCTATCTCTTTCCAACCCAGCCTATTTCTCCCCCTCCAGCTTATCATTCAGTCCAAAGTCTGGAAATGACTGGACTCCTGAGAAGAAATTTCAGAAGTCACGGAAAATGGGGACCAGGGTTTTTGCCTTCCTACCACCTGAGCAGAAGGTGGATCCCAGGGGGAAGCCCCCCTAGGGAGAACCTCCAGCCCTACATAATCTTGCAAACTGGGATCTTTTTGATAAGTGGCAGCCTTTCATTTCTTCCAAGAAATATTCTTTTTCCTCTCCCGGGGACTTGTTCAGAGAAGAGATACTCAAGTGATAGGTGCTTTGCAAATATCTAGATGGAGGGGGAAAATGGCATGAGAAAAAATTTAGACAAAACAATGTAGATCACCATGGAAACAATCTTTAGAACACACTGAGGAAAAGAAATCATTGTTAACATGGTTCATATTTTGCAGAGATATCCAATCACCAAATTCAATTTTAGACCTTTCAATCACGCTGCCTTCAAAATGCCAGGGTTGTTATGACCACAGAACATGCTGATTTTCTGGGATCCCTCCTCTTACTCATCTAATAACCTTTAATGAAGATACAGCTTTAATTAAGGCAACTTACTGTTTCCCTGTTGTTTAATTTGAAATCAGTGAAAGGTCAAGTTACCATTAACACAGTGAGTTTACTAAGCTATTTTAGAAGTATTTTTATTCTGACAGCAGAAGCTTATAAGAATATGGCAAAAATATTTAGTTGAAATGTGAACAAGGAAAATAGGAGGTTTGTCTTTTGCATGGCATGGTAAGAAAAAGAGAAACCATTCTTAGTTACTCAAAAGCAGTTTTTCTTAGAATTTTCTGCCCTAATATACGTGAAAAAGTCTACAGGTATGGATGACTGTTGGTCAATAATAATGCTTCAATATGGCCATTTAAATAAAACCTTTGGGTGTTGCTAATGAACAGTTTGTTCTGGGGGCTTCTAAAGAAATTTCAGAAGAAAAGCAGTGGCTTTTGCAAGTGAGATCTCAGAGACAGAGGGTCACCACCATCTAGGTGCTGGGCTTCCACCTTGCAGGCACAGAAATGTAGTGTTTGCCCATGGTTATCTGCCCACCAGTCTCATGGGGCTTCATCCCTGTTCATTCTCCAGGTTCCCAGTCTTTCTGGGGAAAAGTTTCTCTCTCTCTCTCTCTCTCGTTACACACTTTAAAAGCAAGGATGTCTTTCTCATTGGAAGGCAAGGCCAGAGTTTTATTGGATAGTCCCAGGATAGAAAGTTACAAACTATGCATTCTGAGGCCTTTTGGAAAATTTATATGTATAGTGTATATGTTAGAGACAGGGTCTCACTTTGTCACCTAGGTTGGAGTGCAGTGGCACAATCATAGCTCACTGCAGCCTTGAACTCCTGTGATCCTCCCACCTCAGCCTCCTCAGTAGCTGGAACTGCATGTATGAACCACCACCCTCGGCTTGGAAAATGGATTTGTGCTCTGTTCTCTATTTTCCTTGGCCTTAGTCTTCTCAGTACATGATATGTGTGGGCTGAGGGAGAAAAGAGCCAGTGTGCTTATGTGAAATAGGAGGCAAGTCTTGATACAACTATGAGCTCTATTTCTTCCTTTCTCTCATTTCTTCCTACAAATATTTGATGAGCGCGTACGACGTATTAGGTATTCTCTCTGGTGCCACTAGTAGTTCTTTTGTGTGCATCTTTTCCCTCTCTGTAGCTTTTCTTCTTCCTACTTTAGGTATCATATTTCTTTCTGTCCTCCACTTCCCTGTGACCTCAAAACCTATTCTCAGGAATAGGTTGAGCTGTGAGTTGTTTGCACTTTGGTGCAAATGTAAGTTGCTTTAATTTAATCTTCCGTTGTTGTATCAAATGATTCCCTGTTCAAGAAATTTTAGACATCAGTTTGCAAGCAGGGGAGATATTTTCAAAGTAGAAGCCCTTCTCCAAAACCTCAGAGTCACACCATCTGTTGACCACCTACTTGGAATATGCAAGAGATGGGTCCTTTCCTTGGCTTTCATGTATAATCAGAACAGATAATGGAATTGACCAACCTCAGAAAAACATGCCAACATTGCTATTAGGATAAAGTCCCAAAGCCTTTTCCATAGCACACAAGACCCTGCATAATCCTGCCTCCTACCTAACTCTTTAGACTCTTTCTTTATCATTGGAGGAAAGCCACATTGGAATTTTGTCAGATCTTTGATCAAAATACCATCTAATCTTAGCATGCTTCTGCTTGGAGTGTTCTGCTTGTCAACCTCCTTCACCGTGCTAACTCCTACTCCTGCTTCACGTCTCATCTTGGATGTTACTTCTTCTGACAAGCATTCACTGACTCTCAGGGACTTAATGAGACTGGGATTAGGCCCCCTGATATATGATCTGATAGCATCATAATTTTATTATTTTTTCTTTTTTTAAAAAATTATACTTTAAGTTCTGGGATACATGTGCAGAACGTGCAGGTTTGTTACACAGGTATACACGTGCCATGGTGGTTTGCTGCATCCATCAACCCATCATTTACATCAACATTAGATATTTCTCCTAATGCTATCCCTCCCCTAGCCCCCCACTCCCCGACAGGCCCTGGTGTGTGATGTTCCCCTCCCTGTGTCCATGTGTTCTCATTGTTCAACTCCCACTTATGAGTGAGAACCTGCGGTGTTTAGTTTTCTGTTCTTGCGTTAGTTTGCTGAGAATGATGGCTTCCAGCTTCACTCATGTCTCTGCCAAGGACATGAACTCATCCTTTTTAATGGCTACATAGTATTCCATGGTGTATATGTGCCACATTTTCTTTATCCAGTCTATCACTGATGGGCATTTGAGCACAAGTAATTTTCATAGCACTTCTCATAGTTGTGCTTAGTTATTTATTTCACAGAAGTATACTTCATTAATTTTAGTCTTCACACTGTCTTGTCTATTATTTTGTATCAAACATCTATCAGAGTGCTGGGCTCATAGTAAATATCTGTGGAATGTATACATAACCAATCTTAAATACTAAATCTCAAAGTCAAAACTTCATCAAGAGTCCCCTTGCAGTTTGGTAATAAGCTGATTAGCTCTGCCTTGCTGAGTGGTCACCTACTGTGAAGGTAATTCCATCTTGGACAGAATCTGTACTTGGGTTGTGCCCTCATTGTCTCATGTCTAGGATTTCCCCACTTCAGCTCATGAGATCATACCAGAATAATCTTCCCCTAAACTCTGGTTTGACCAGGTCATTCTTCTGCTCAAAAGCCTCTGATGGATTGGAGTTGGCTACAGAATAAAGTTCAGACTCTACAGAATAAAGTTCAGACTCCACCTGGCCTTCTTTAAGCCCTTTTGTATGTTGATCCTGACCTCTATTTCTATATTAACTTCCTTTCTGAGATGAATTGTTCCTTCCACCAGACATTTTTACTCACTGACTTTAAGCTTTTGTTTACATTATTTTCTCTATCCAGAAGCACCTCCTATCCTTCTGTTTATAAAACTCATATTCCATCTTCTAAGAGAACAACTCATATTCTGAGAGAACAACTCATATTCCATCTTCTCTGTGCAATAGTCTCAGGCCACTAGTGTTAGGACTCTTTCAGGTGCAAGTGGTGAGACTGATCTCAAATTGCTCTAAGTAAAAAAGAGAACTTACTCTTAATACATGCAAGGTACTGTGTATTTCGAATTTTCCTTTAGTCTGCATGAGTTCTCCCCCACCCCCCGCAAAGGAAAATGGAGATATTTTACCTATTCCTGTGATAACAGTATCTCAGTTTTCCTTTGTGGAACCACCCACGTCTCACGCTCCATTCATGCAGTTCCATGAGGCTGACCTCACCCATGGGCTCCAGGAGTGGAAGTTTTTTCTATCTCTGGGGGAAGTCCTCTCTCCATCTGCTTCCTTCTTCCTACAGCTTCTGGCAAGATCTGTAGCTTATACTTGCATTCTTACACGTAGGAGTCATCCAATAAGTATTTGTTCATTATATTTCAGAATGGGGGGTTGAGGGAAGGGTGGAAGACTCAGATTTTCTCTGGGATTGTGTAGTTCAAAAACTTAAATTTGCCCTCACTGCTAAAGGAAATCGAAGGTCAACACGTCTGTGTTATGGCATTTGAATCATGGAGATCCAAATGTATCTCAAATATATTTTCTTAGCTATAAGTTATCTCCTGGTCAATTTGGAAATCATTCAACTCTTTGTATGTATGGCCCATCTATATGGCTCTTATATATGTAAAATGAAGTTATACAGGCAATGTACATAACTCAGCCAGCTGGTCTCCTTTTTATGGGGATTTTGCTCATTTTTAATTTAATAAAGAAATCATTCTTTCACTGAATTTTAATTCACGATGATAAGACTTCAGAAATATAGTATTATATTCAGAAAGAATTTCAGTCTTCTTGCTGTCAAACACCTCTTGCTCTCACATGGGCACTTTAATGTTGTCAGGATGTAAATTCTATTTTGACAGAGTCCTTATAGATGGAATTTTCAACTTTTTATTCTTAGCTAATATGGATGGGTAAGAGGATGTTTGAGTTTTCTCTTCTGTTTTCATAAAAACATACTTTCCCACAAGACTAGATGAAAACAGTCTGGTTGTGAAGCATTCTAAGGTTTGGAGAGACAAAGTTTTCTCTGCTCCTCAAGACCTACTGTTAACTATCTCCAAATGGCTCTGCGGTTATTGTTATCTCTAATTGCTGTGATGCTTTGGAGAGTCTGAAGGCACTGGAATCGTTGTTTCCACCAAGAAATGGTTTCTTCTACTTACTTTTGGTGCAGTTCCAGTTGAGTTTCCGATGTAAAGAGTTATGGCTACAGAGCCATTGTCCTTTGCTCTTTACATAATGTTAGGGCCTGATGATTAGAAGGATGTAAGTTTTTACCTCTTTTGTCCAGGAATAAGAGTAGACTGAACTACACTCAACACTTGTATTAGCTATCTATTGCTATGTAAAAAGTGATCCCAACATGAAGTAGCTTCATAATAAACGTGTTCAACAATAAACATGTATTATCTCACACATTTTCTGTGTGGAATCTGGGAGAGGTTTAGCTGGGTGGTTCTGGCTCAGGATGTCTCATGAAGTTATGTCAAGGTGTTGGCCTGGGGCAGTAGTCATCTGAAGGCTTTGCTGGGGCTGGACTGGGGTTTTCAAGGTGGCTCATTCACATGGGTATTGGCTGCAAGCCTAAGTTTCTTGCTTATGGAGACCCCTGCTTGAAGGCATGGCAGCTGGCTTCCTCCAGAATGAGTGATCAAAGAGAGACACCAAGGAAGAAGCTGCAATGCCTCTTATGGCCTTGTCTCAAAAGCAGTCACTTTGTCCATATTCTACTCGCTAGAAGTGAGTCACTAGGTGTAGCCCATACTCAGGGTGAGGGGAATTGAGGCCTACTTTTTGAGAGATGGTATATCAAATAATTTGGGGACATATTTTTAAACTGCCACTGTTCTTTTATTTCCCTCCTTTATGATTGGCTAGGTGCAAAACACATACAGATGAACAAACCAATCAAGGTCAGGGGTTTAGTCTGGAGTCAGCAAATGGACAGATAAGTACTGTTCCCTCAGTCTTGGGGTAATTTACAGAGAATTTCATGCTTCCAACCTAACAAAATAGGTGGTCCCCAAAGCTCTAAAAAGATGAAGTGGAAATTCGGTCTGAGAGAGCCAGATTTTCAAACAATACTGGCTTCTGTGCCCTTGTGAATATGCAGTGGCCAGGAGGTAGCTTTACTCGGGGAGTGCTCAGAGAATGGGACACCAGGAAGGCTTCTGAACAGGGATAGAACTGCTTGGCTGTGCTCACTTAGACTAATAGGTCAGAATGCAGGCAGCAGATGGTAAGACCTGAGTAAGAAGCTAGCTAGTTCTGTTCTGCAGGTTGGCAAAGGCCAGTCACAGATGGTGACAGTGAGGCTACAAGTAGATCCCAGTTCTGGGATCAAGCAAGTGCCAAAGCCTCACACTAAAATTATCTGCAGCACTGCTGAGAGACGTGCAGGATCCACAGGCAGAATTCTAGGCTTGGATAGCTAAAACAGAGACCATAGTGGTTCTGGCCCCTTGGTGGCTCTAAGTGCAAAACATGAGGAAGGGAGCACTTGGTACCAGATGGAGAGGTTGCGGGAACAGAGCATGACTGTCAGACCACAGAGTGAAACATCGCACCATAAAGACAGATGGCGAGAGGGGTGCCCCCCTCCGTGGCAGCTCACTGCCTTTTGAGTACTCTTACTGCCTGTGTACCCTTCAAATGGGCCTCTCCAAAAGCTTCTACTTCCAAAGCATTTTTATCTAGAAGTCAAATGTAAGTGTTTCAAGCTTGATTCCAGGCTGAGAGCACTTCATAGCTTTTCTATTTTCTCACATTTAGAGACTACCAGGTTTCTGATGCACTAATTAACAAGGGAATCATAGAATGGTGTAATTTATGAAATTGAGCATTGGAGAAAAGGATAGAGTCTTTCCAGTACATTCTTGCTATTAAGATACTCGTGCAAAGGCAGAGGGTGTGGGAAACAGAAAATGCACATATTTATACTTCAAGGTATAGATCAACTCTACATGTCATTACCCTACCAAGAAATTCAGTGGCTCTGCTGCTACCACCTTTAGATGCAGACAGGCAGGGCTTCCCTTTAAAGGCTCTGCTCTGGCTCTTCCCCAGCTGTGCTCCTACATCTGAGGAGTCCATTAAGCCAAGAAATGTGTCCACCTGGAGGTGACTGTACCCCTTCAGACCTCACATCAGGTACCCAGGAGCCAGTATTCCCTGCCCAAATGGCTCTGAGCCACTTCCAGAGCCTGCATAGGCTTCTCCCCTAGATCCTGAGATATGCACCCCTGGACCTGTGGAATAGCCAAGAAATGACTGTTTTGGAGGGGAGAAAGTGAAGACAGAGCTTGGACATGTGGGCTAGTGCGTTCATGGAGTGGAGGGTACCTGGCACTGTAGGGCTGAAGGGGCCATGGGAAGCAAAGGGTAAAGGCTGCTCCATGTGGGGAGCAGTTCTCTCTGACCTGCCTTGTTCCAGCAAGGAGCTCTGAGAAGTCTCAGAATTCTCAATTCAAACTGGGTCTTCCAAGTTGTTATGAAAGTACATTTGTCAAGGTGAAAGGATATAATGCTTTTAGTACTCCATTTGTTAGCTTTTTAACTTTCACATATTTAGACATTTGGTATGTGGGTCTCCATGTGTAGCCTTCTCATGGTCCCTACAAATATTAAAATTGGTCCCGGCTCCCCATTTAATATGGAATCCAAGTCAAATCGGCTTGGCCTGATTTTTAAGGCCTTTTACTATTTGATTTTTCTCTAATCTTACCTCCCGCTACTCTCTGCAGGAATCTTCTATCTGTCAAACCTGTCGACCTACAGCCCAGGCTCAGCCCACATCCTTTTCTCTGTGCTCAGGTTCACATTATTTTTCTCCTCTGAAAGGCCTCCGTTTCTGCCTTGGATTTATATGGCCAACGTAGTGTTTCATTATGACCCAGCTCAAGCCTCACAGCCATGTCTCCTCCTCTGGACTCTTCTAACAGCTTTTGTCTCAGCCACTTATTGGCACTCAAAGTGTGCAACTGTGTGTGGCCATTTTTCATATTATGCACAAGGTGTGGCTATAAGATAAGGAGACATAAATATGCAAGTTTTCAAACCAGGACAAGGGACAGGGAAAAAAAAAAAAAAAAGAAGAGTTGCCAAAGAATCAGGAGAATGTAGTTAGGCAGCTACTAAGGGAAGAGATGTCAGCATTGTCAATAAGCTGAGAGAGGTCATGAGAAAGATACCCCAAAATAGACCATTATTCTAGAAGGTAAGAGGTCTTTTGTAACCATTGAAAGAATAGCAGATTGTGTGAGCAAAAGCAACGCTGTAGTGGGAAAAATAAGAGATGAGAAAGTGGAGACAACAAGTATACTTTTATTTATTTATTTAGAGACAGGGCCTCAATCTGTGGCCCAGGCTGGAGTGCAGTGGCTTGGTCACAGTACACTGCAGCCTCAACCTCCCACACTCAAGCGATCATCCCATCTCAGCACCCCGCCTCCCCCACCGCGAATAGCTGGGACTATAGGTGTGTGCCACCACACCCGGCTAGTTTTTTATTTTTTGCATATAGGGGAGCCTTATTATGTTCCCAGACTGGTTTCAAACTCCTGGCCTCAAGCAATCCTCCCACCTTGGCATCCCAAGGTGCTGGGATTACAGGCATGAGCCACAGTGCTCAGCAGCAAATATAATGTTTCCCAAGAAGTGTGATTCCTAGGAGAAAGGAGAAGGTAGTTTGGGTGGAAGAGATTGGGTGGCTTTGTTCTGTTCAAAGGATGGGCGAGACTATGTTTGTGGGAGAAAGATTTAGGTTAGAGGAAGAAATTAATAATGGGGAAAGAAAGAATAGCTGAATAAAATCTGGGAATGGCTGGGATCCAGGGCACAGGTGCAAGATTTAACCTTGAGGAGAAAGGGCACTTCTTGCTGTGGGTGAGGGAGTGAAGAGGGTAAGATGAATGAAGGTACAGGATAGGCATAATAATGAAGAGCCTGGATTTAAGGGTGAAGCCACTGGCTCACATTATAGAGGAAAGGCTAGGAAAGCCGAATTTTCTGGGGCCAGGTCCAGATTTAATATATTTAAGTATAACAGTCTTAATTCATTCCTTTCACCTTATTCAGTGCCCTGGGTGTGCCAAATACTACTGGGCACTGGGGTCTACAAAGGTACGACTTTTCATGTAATGTTGGAATTTGTTATGTTGGTAACTCGAGATTTGCATATATTTAACAGTCTTAATTCATTCCTTTCACATTATTCAGTGCCCTGGGTGTGCCAAATACTACTGGGCACTGGGGTCTATAAAGGTACGACTTTTCATTAATTTTGGAATTTGTTATGTTGGTAACTCGAGATTTGCTTTTCATTCTTCTGGAAGGCTGTATGTAGAAATAAATACAGTCATCAGACGAGTTCTTTGTCAGACCAGATGTCCTGGGTTGGGGTTTGGAAAACATGGGCATCTTAACAATGGTGCCCTGTTTGAGGTGGAGAGGGAGGAGAGGCCCAAATCGGGGAAAGGAATTAAATGGAGGTTTAGACGCGGGTAACCGGAGTGGGTGGGCCTTCAACCTGGAAGATGGGAATCCCCAGCGCACTTCGGGCAGCGCTGTAACCAAGGGTAACCGCACCTCGGTTTACACCGGTGTGAAGACCAGCCTCTTCCCCAAACCAGGTGTATCTACGGCGGCCTAGCAGGACCACACACAAGCCAAGCACGTCACGTCATTCGAGCTACCTTACCGCGAAAGTCCACTGCCTCCTACTACTTCTGGTCACTACTACCTTTGCTCACAGTTTATTAAGGAGGAGCGGAGAAGAAGAGGGGCGGAGAAGGGGCGGGGAGAATCACCTTTCCTTTTTTACAATTGGTCGTAGTAGACTCCGAGTCCTGCCGCCCGTCCTGCAGCCGACAGGCTGCCAGGACTGTCACTCGAGGAGCTGCCGCTACCGCCCCCCGCCGTGGCCCCGCCCCTTGCCGTGGCTGGGATCTCGCGGGAAGAGCTGCGGGCACGGCGGTGGCTCGGTCTCCCGGCTGCGCGCGGAGCGGGAGGGCTCTCCTCACACAAGCGCTTCCTTGCCGAGAGGCTGGAGCTGCGGCACCGCAGGCCTGAGCCACCCCTTCTCTGCTGTCTCCTTCTCTTCCTCAGGGCTCCCGTGTCTGCTCGCCCTCCGACGCTGCTCAGGTTAGAAAGCCCGGAGCGCGTCTCCGCTGAGGAGCGGTCGGGGAGCGGGGACACGGAGCAGCCGGAGCAGGCGGGCTCCTGACGGGGGCGGCTCTGGGGGCTGCGCGGCGCTGCCTGGTGGGCGCGAGGCTTGGCGGGGTTTGGGAGTCCGGGGGGCGAGGAGGCGGTGCAGTGGGATCCGGGCGCGGGCGCCCAAGGGCGGTGTAGCGGGTGCCGGAGCTCCCGAGGTGAGGGGGCAATGTATTAGGGATCCTGGGGGCTCTTCCGGCTTGGGGTAGGGGTGGGTGGCGGCACACGGGGTCCTAGGTCTTTGACGTCGAGGGAGATTTATCAGGGTCTTGAGCTTCTTGGAGGTGGTGTAGCGGGGTTCCGGGACAAGGGGTCTTTTTACCCGGGTCCCGAGCTCTTTGGGGCAGAGAATGCAGTTTAGCAAGGTTTACACCGGTGTAAACCTTGTCTCTGGAGGCAGATCATCGGGGTCTTGGGGGTTCTTTGAGCGGGCGTGGGCGTCCGTTTCGCATTGCTGGGATGAAGAAGCAGTGTGTCCGGGTTCTGGGGAGAGGGGTCTGTTCATCGGTGTCTCCGGGTGAGAGAGCGATGTATCCGTTCCGCTGGGGCCGGGGCCGCCTTGGGGGGTTGTTGGGGGCTGAGGGTGTGTAGCGGCGACCAGCGTCTGGCCGGGGTTTCTGCTTTGCCCGGAGCGGGGCGGTAACTTGGCATGGTCTCCAGTCTTTTGGGGGCGACGGGGCGAGTTAGCTGGCCCCCGGGCAGTCTCTCGGGGTGGGCGCGGCTCCGCAGGCGCTGGGTCCGCTGAGGGCGGGAGAGGGCTTTGGTGCTACCGCGCAGGCTGGGCAGCATCCTGAAACGTTTTTGTTCAGGTCTCCTTCTCTCTGGATGAGATTTACTCAATGCTTAGTTGGAGGATTGATCGGTGTTGTTGCCTAGTTGAAGAAGCAGTGCGTTTGTTCTGCAGTTTTCTTTTCTCTGCCCCGGGATCCCTGTGGGGGCGCGCTGGTCTCGCTGGAGCTCCGGGAGCTAGAGTGGCAGCACCTTAGGTGGGCGTTTGGTCTGCAGGTTCTTTAGGAGGCCGGTGTCCGCAGGTTGAGCGTGGATACAGCTCCTGAGCAACTGGAATCTGTTGAGGGTGGGGAAGACTGATTTTGGCTTGCTTTCCTAGGTGGTGGTCTGCTTTGCTCATCCTGCATGATTAGATCTGTTCTGAAGTCTTGCCTGAGTGAATGTTAGGCAGAGTCGGATAGTGCAGGGAAGCGTGTTCTGTCTGGCTTCTTTCTGTCCTTTGAAAAGCATTTGTAGAGAGGGATAACGTCAAATTCAGCCTCCAGAAAACAATGGAATTTGAAATCCCAAAGCTAGAACTCTGCAAAAACGTTTTCTGTGACCTGTAAGGATGGTTAATCGAGCTTTTTTAGAGAATTCTGCTTAACAGTTTCATTGTATTGTAAAAGTGTATTTAGCCTTGGATATTACAGAGGTTTTGGTAACTAGCGTAGGCGTAGGTGGGATTTAAATAAAATGACTTGTATGTATGTGTATTGGTTAAAAAAAAAAACAGCGTATAGGTGAGAAAGCCTATGTGTTTGCCTGACATTTCTTTTGGTTAGTTACTCTATCACAGAGGCCTGTATATGAAAGTTAATGTGGCAGGCAGTGAAGTCCGTACTCAGAGCTGTTCTGTAAATATGTAATCTGGGGTTAACAGACAAATTTGAGTATACCAAAGCAAATAATTTTGCCTGCCTTAGTCTTTTTCTTCGTGTCAGTTTTTTTTTTTTCTTGTTTTTTGGTTTGTTTCTTTTGAAACAGGGACTTATTCCGCCTTCCAGGCTAGGTTGTAGCATCGCTACCATGGCTCACTGCAGCCTCGACCTCCAAAGCTCAAGCAGCCCTCCCAGTTCAGCTTCCCATCCCCACCCCCAGTAGAGGAGCTGGAACTACATGCATGTGCCACCACGCCTCACTAATTTTATTTATTTATTTATTCAATTAATTAAAGACAAGGTCTTGCGCTGTTGCCCAGTCTGGTCTTGAACTCCTGGCCTCAAGTGATCCTTCAGCCTCAGCTTCCCAAAGTACTGGGATTTAGAGGCGTGAGTCACCATGCCAGGCCTCTTAGATACAATTTTTTTTAAAAGATGTCATTTTTTCTGATCTTAGAACCAGACAGATTAGGGATAATGTACTTAATTTTGGAATTTTACATCATTTTGAAAAACAAAGGAATCCCGCACAGCAATATTTAAGACTTTGAAGGGTTTAAAATAAGTTTTGTTGTTGTTGTTATTCAGACCAAAATACCTGGTTGACATTTACAGCTATCACAACTGATTGCTTGAGCAGATATTTGGTTGGAATGACAGCCCCCAAACCTGTAAGCAGATCTTATTTTTCCTTTTTTTGAGAGAAAGACAAAGAACAAATTAAGCAGGTTTCAGAAACTTTTTTTTTTCTAAAAAGCAGCTTTCATCATTTCTAAGTAAGGCATAGACTGATAAGTCAACACATATTTGATTATCTGCTAGGTGTCACAGCGCTGGATGTACACTGATTAAAGCTGTCATGTGACTTTCCCCTTTAAGTCCAGAGAGAGGAAGAAAACAAATAAATACAGTTAAAAATTGTGATACTGCTAAGGAAGAAATACACAAGGTACTTAAGATTCAGCTCTCTTTTTTTAGTAACCCCTGAATGATGATACGATTGATGTGTGTTGTGATAATAAGAAACCAAGCAAAATAGTTAACTGCCTTCTGAATTAGTAAAGAAAGATTAAATTACAATCAGTAGAGTTTTAGGTGTTAAATGTATGTTGACTCTTTGTAGATGATTGTGCTACGTAAGCATACAAAAGCCTATAAGGATACACATCAGACTTAACCATGTTTGGATTCTTCAGGAGGGAGTTGCAGAGGCATAGAAGAGAGCGGTTTAATTTTATAGTTTTATATTACTTGAATCTATTTCAATGAGCAGACATTACTTTTAAGTACAAGTTAGAGAAACCCTAAAATTAAAACATTTCAGTCACTATGCAAATGGTGAAATGTACAGTATTTATAAGGCTTTTGTCAGTATTGCCAGTTGTACCCGTGTATACTAATGAAGGAAAAGGGTATTTCAAGTATCTGAAAATTATAAGGGTGTGCAGGGTGGGGTGGGTAGCACAACAAAATAAGAAAAGACACAGACCTAAGTAAAATGTTAAAACATGTTAAGTTTGTTGGATATTTAATTATGTAAAGATAAATTAATTTTAGGACTTTCTTTTATCAAATTTAATTGTTTCCTGAGTTTGCAAAAGGAAGTTTTTAGATTTCCTAGAGGAGAATAGGGTGGGGGAATAGGTATTCTTATTGTGGTACAGACTTCAGGAAATTTCTTTTTGTCAAACATATACACATCTGATAGATATATTTTGCTTGTGAAGCATACGAACCATACAAATAATTTTATAGTTTCATTATTACACTGCTGAAAATGACAGTACCAAAGTGTCTTTTGAATTATCATTCAGAGTTCTAGAATCATAAATATGATATACTAAAGCAGTTTCTAGAAAGGAAATCATAAGACATGAATTCCAGTCTTCACTGTGCTACTCATGGTGTGTCCTTGGATAATTCCTTAATCTTTCAGGGCCCCAGTTTTCATATATACATATATGAATTATACTTACATACATTTTATATATAATATATACTTTTGCTTTAATATATACATATATGACATGTGTATGTTGTTATATACATATGCCATATATGTATATAATATGTATAATATATAAAATATGTGTATAAAAAGATACATATACACACACTTAGAGTTTTTGTGTTGCAAGTCTGAAGTATTGTATGTACAAAAAGGAAGAGATACCTTAAGAGTAGCTAGTTCTCAAGAAACAACTAGTTCCATGTAATTTTTACATATTATACCTAATTTTAGAAGCCTCTTCTTTTTAAAGGTACATGGCAAGTATTTAATTCCAGAATATAGATTCATGAAGGTGAGTGATTTTCTTTAGATAATTTAGCTTTATCTGTTAAAGCATTATTATTTTTAGTTCCAATCCCTGGTTCTGTAGTAGATTATCTATATAATAATATGTCCTTACTTAACTCTGGATATAGAATGAGGTCTCTAGTGGTTGCCTCCAGACTTGATCCCCTTTAATCCATCCTTACATTACTGCCAAGGTGATTTTTCTGAAGTGCAAATCTATTCATTGCTTCTTTTCTTGTTTCTTTTCTCTTTTCTTTCTCTTTCTTTCTTAGAAATGTTACTGAGATTTATTTATTTATCTTTCAACTTTTCTTTTAAGTTCAGGGGCACATGTGCAGAATGGGCAGGTTTGTGACACAGGTAAACATGTGCCATAGTGATTTACTGCACAGATCATCCCATCACCCAGGTATAAAGCCCAGCATCCACTAGCTATTCTTCTCTTCCTGATGCTGTCTCTCCCTGCCCTTCTTTCTTAAAGCCCATACTTTATCAGCCCAACTCTCTATCGTTACAAGGCCTTTCATCATCTGACTAATCTTATGCATTTCCCCCACCATAAATCTAAAGCTGCACTTGTACTAATACGAGCAGTTTACTGAATGAGCCATACTGTTTCCTGACTCAGAGCCTTCACATATGTTCTCTCCACTATTTAGGATGTCTTTCCTTCTCTTGTCTTGCTGGCAAAGTCTACTGATTTTTTAAGATACAACGTAAGCACTGTCTGCTTTTTTTTTTTTTTTTTTTTTAGCTCTTTTTTAGTTACCATTTTTTCTTTTTTTTCTTTCTTTACTGTCTGCTTTTTAAGTCTTCTGGTCTTCCCTCTTCCCAACCCTAGGTGTTATATACTCACTGTATCATGTTCATTCATTCTCTTGTGTTTACTAATGTGTTGTAATTAAGTCTCTCTTTCCTCCTGGACTCAAAGGCAGGTTTATATTTGTCTTATTACTTTTTGACTTCCTGTTGCTTGTTTATGCATAGTTGGCTATCATTACATGTTTGAACTCTCAGTACCAAGATTGATGTGTTCATGATGTCAGAAGTGAGTTAAACTCAAATCTCAGTCTTATCCTGTTTTCCTAAAATTTGGGAGTTTCTAAAGTATCTTATTCTCTTGCCCTGTGACCATAAGCTGATATGAGAATGGTAGTTCTTAGCTTTGTGTTTAAGAAATAAGACTTCTCGCACTTTAAGAGGTGATGGTTACACTGTTAAACTTGCAGAAAAGTCTTGTAGAATTTTGAGGCAACTACTAATCCTTATCTCTAAAATTGCTAGAAGAGATATTAACTAGTTTGGGTGTTTTAAATCTTGGACATCATTATTTGGTAGATATTTTACCTTGGCTGCTTTTTACTTGGAAAATGATAGTAGCTGATGTATGCAGGTTTTTATATAGGCTTTAATAATTGCTTTACATACATTGCCATTCATTTTCAAAATAAATCCTAAACATTTAATAATTTGCTCAGCGTCATTATCTACTAAGATGCAGACTATGACTACATGTAGGTCTGACTGTCTCCAGACTCTATGCTTTTTCTAATACTACACTGTTTTCTGAATATGACTGCTTATTCAGTGTTTAAAATTATTAACATATTTAATTCATTTTGTAAATTGAAGAAGTAGGTTGTAAAGTTTATCCATTCAGTTCTTCCAAAAAAGCTAAAGTAGACAATTTGAGATTGATTGGACTTTAGAGACCATTTAATCCAACTCCTTCCTTTAGCATATGAGGAAGCACACATGCAAGAGTGGTGGAATGGGGTGCTGAAGATCACACAGTTAGTTGGTCTATAAGATTTTCTTTGTTAAGCTGGTTGTGAACACTGGTGTTATAAAACTATTACTCGAGGCCAGGCGCGGTGGCTTACGCCTCTAATCCCAGCACTTTGGGAGGCCGAGGCGGGCGGATTACCTGAAGTCAGGAGTTCAAGACCAGCCTGGCTAACATGGTGAAACCCCGTCTCTACTAAAAATACAAAAATTAGCCGGGCGTGGTGGCACACGCCTGTAATCCCAGCTATTCGGGAGGCTGAGGCAGGAAAATTGCTTGAGCCTGGGAGACGGAGGTTGCAGTGAGCCGAGATTGTCCAGCCTGGCCGACAGACCTAGACTCTGTCTCAAAAAAAAAAAAAAAAAAAAAAAAAGGCCGGGTGCGATGGCTCACACTTGTGATCCCAGCACTTTGGGAGGCTGAAGCAGGTGGATCACTTGAGTTCAGGAGTTCGAGACCAGCCTGGCCAACATGGTGAAACCCCGTCTCTACTAAAAATACAAAAATTAGCCAGGTGTGGTGGTGCACACCTGTAATCCCAGGTACTCGGGAGGCTGAGGCAGGAGAATTGCTTGAACCCGGGACGCAGAGGTTGCAATGAGCTGAGATCGCGCCACTGCACTCAGGCTGGGTGACAGAGCAAGACTCATCTCAAAAACAAAAAACAAAACAAAACAAAACAAACAAAAACTATTGCTTGAAAGGGATACCAGATGCTTGATTTTCCCCCTCAAGGGGAAGAAGCAAAAGCCTAGAATGACTTTTTATAAAAGTAATGTTGAGGATCTGAGAGTCTTAAGGACAATCAGAGAAAATCCTGACTTTGGATCATGACACATGGAGACACGCCAGTGCCTGAAGCACATGGTTCCCTAATCTTGGCTCCTTTCCTTCCTCTTTTTCTTTCTTAAAATTTGTCCACAGTTTACTGATCTTATGCCTGCTGAGTTGTTATTAGCATCAGTCTTACCAGTTATCATTTAAGTGCCAACCATGGGCCAACTAATAGGAATACAGAAATGCATAAAATCTAGTCACTGCCATGAAGAAGCTTGGTCTGTTTGGGAGCGGAAGGCAGTTTATATCTAATTGCAAGGTAGTGTATAAAGATAACCATGAGTAGTATAACTTTAGCAGCTCAGAAGATTAGGTAAATGTGGGCTGGGCTAGTGGTTACAGAAATTTCTATATAGAAAAGTTTCTACTTAAGTCTTTAAATGAAGAGTTGGAATGGTGTAGAAAGAGAAAAAGACTTGGGAAAAGTTTTTTTTTTTTTTTTTTAAATCTCAGCTTTTACTAATCTTACCTTGCTTACTTTCCTTCAGCCACACTCCTCACTGTTTCATGAGGTCTTTAACATGTTCTTTCAGATATCCAAATGTCTCCCTCCTTCACTTCCTTCAGGTCTTAATTAAAGTATTATCCTTTATCTGAGAACTTTACTGGTCACCTTGTTTAAAATGACAATATCTCTTCCACACATACTCTTCCTATCCTTCTTGCCTGCTTTGTTTCTTTTTTGTGCTTTTCACTATCCAACATACTCTAGATTTTTATTGTCTTTCTACTCCTACTAAAAAAAAGTGTAAGAGCCGGACACGGTGATGCATGCCTGTAGTCCCACCTACCTCGGAGGCCGAGGTTGGAGGATTGCTTGAGCCTAGGAGTTTGAGATCAGCCTGGGCAAAAAAGTAAGACCCTGTCTCAAAAAAAAGAGTTAAATTAAATGAAAAATTAAAAAACATAAGACCCTCCAGGATAGGGATTTTTACCCATTTTAGTCAATATTGTATCCCCAACATACAGAACGGTGCATTTTACAAAGTAGGTGCTCAAATTTTTGTTGAATTAATAAGACAGTGGAACTTTAAAGCAGGAGCTTAAAAGATCATTTGATCTAAGCCTCTCATCTCTTCTTTTCTTTCTTTCTTGCTGGCAGGCATGGAGGAAGAGGAACTTTCCATTCCATCTATTCCTTTTTTTTTTTTTTGAGACGGAGTTTCGCTTCTGTTGCGTAGGCTGGAGTGCAATGGCCTGATCTGGCTCACCGCAACCTCTGCCTCCCAGGTTCAAGTGATTCTCCTGCCTCAGCCTCCTGAGTAGCTGGGATTACATGCATGTGCCACCACTCCCGGCTAATTTTGTATTTTTAGTAGAGATGGGATTTCTCCATGTTGGTCAGGCTGGTCTCAAACTCCCGACCTCAGGTGATCCGCCTACCTCGGCCTCCCAAAGTGCTTGGATTACAGGCGTGAGCCACTGCCCCTGGCCCATCCATTCTGTTTTTTAAAAAATTTGATAGGACTCGAAGAAAAAATATATACAATAAAGTACACAAATCATAAGTATACAGCTCAATGAATTACATATGTAAACATGTAACCAACAATCAGATCAAGATAGAGAACATTTCCAGGACCTTGAAAGCTTCCCTCCTGTACTCTCTTAGTCATTGCTTAACGAAAGTTACCACTTTTCTGATACCCATCACTATAGATTAGTTGTGTTTATTCCTGAAATTCATATAAGTGGAATCAAATCATTCTTTTATGTCTAATTTCCTGTGTTGAACATTACATCTGTGAAATCCATGTTTTTTGAGTTAGTAGTAGTAATTCTTTTTCATTGCTCTGTATTATTTCATTATACGAGTGTCTATTTGCGTCTTCTGTTGACAGACATTTGGGCTGTTTCCAGTGTTTAGTTCTTAGAAACAAAGCTACCATAAACAATTTTGTGCATGTGTTTTGGTGGCCATAAAAATTCATTTTTTGGCAAAGCGCTTCATTTAAATATATAATAAAACATATCTCCATATATATACACACATATACACACATAATTCTTTTTTTTAATTATACTTTAAGTTCTGGGGTACATATGCACAACGTGCAGGTTTGTTACATATGTATACATGTGCCATGTTGGTGTGCTGCACCTGCAACTCGTCATTTACATTAGGTATATCTCCTAATGCTGTCCCTCCCCCCACCCCACAACAGGCCCTTGTGTGTGATGTTCCCCTTCCTGTGTCCAAGTGTTCTCATTGTTCAATTCTCACCTATGAATGATAACATGTGGTGTTTGGTTTTTTGTCCCTGCGATAGTTTGCTGATAATGATGGTTTCCAGCTTCATCCATGTCCCTACAAAGGACATGAACTCATCCTTTTTTATTGCTGCATAGTGTTCCATGGTGTGTATGTGCCACATTTTCTTAATCCACCCTATCATTGATGGACATTTGGGTTGGTTCCAAGTCTTTGCTATTGTGAATAGTGCCGCAATAAACATACGAACACACATAATTCTTAAGCTCACATGGTTCCTCTCACATGCTAGATGATCATTAAATGATTAAAGATGAATTAACTAATCTCTTATTATAAGATTATTTCAAATGTATTAAAATAATTTATTCTCTCTGCTAATAACATTTATGTAAATCTTAGTACATAATCTTTCTCCCTACCTGATTTGTTTAAAGAATAGGAATAAAAACATTAAGTCAAAAGATAAGACCTTAAAAAAATTAGACATTGCCATATTGCTTTCTAGAAAGTTGCTAATTTATATGCCAATATGAAACATTAGTTTTAAAAAAACATTTGCAATTTGATAAGCAAAATATCTTACTTAATTTGTATTTCTTTGGTTATAAGTGAAGTTGAAACATTGTAAATTGTTTCATAAACAATTAGATATTAAAATATTTATAATAAAACAATTTTTAAAAGAATGCCTCAGATGTCTTGTAAGGTAAAATATATTTTATCTAGAATTATTGTTCTTTATTGTTGTTTCTCCTTTTAATAGATAAATTTTGAATAGTTATTAGAAAAACATAACAAAATTCAGAGATAGAAACAGTTGTCCCAGAGGCAGCCATTGTTAACAGTTTTTTATGTATACTTCTAAAGATATTATAGACTATGCATATATATGTATATGTGTATAAATGTGTGTATATGTATATGTTTGTAAGTGTATGTATATATATTTGTGTGTGCATGCATGTGTGTAATGTGTGTGTATATATGCCAAAACATTAGATGAATTATGGAAACCATTCATTAAAATACTTTCTGGTTTAGATGTGTTATTGTGTACCATTTTGTGTATTAAAAATTAGAAAGGGTCTAGCTATGATTCGTATCTGGCTACTGGCCCAGAAGGAAGAAAAGCAGGGTCTGGCAGTATTTGGCGGTAATTTTCTGTAAGACAAGTGGCCTTAGCGCTCCTTATTATTGAATCAGTTCTTTGACAATAGCACTTCTGTTTATAGTACTGATTCTGTAGTACTGTTCCAAAGTGAAAAGCCAAGTTTTTGAAAATTAGACAGATGATACCTGAAAGAAGCTCTTTAAATGTATGAAAGCTATTTGGAGGTATTTAGGAAAACATTTAGGGGAAAGATACTTTATTCTTAAGCATTTTAGGATTCATTTGCTTGACAGTTACAGTTTTTGCAGAATTCCTCTGACTACTGTTTAACAGTGAAAATTTGAGTTTGAATAATTGCAAATAAAATTATTCATTTACTTAAACTTTTATTTACCTAATTTAAAAACCAAATAAAATTATTCATTTACTTAAACTTTTATTTACCTAATTTAAAAACCAATCACCCTCAATATAAACATATTTTAAAAATATTTTAAGACAGTTTTTCATGATAATATATAGTAGTAATTTGTCTCATATATAAAAGATATTTCTGAGCTTGACTTGAATGTCACTGTTAAATAAATGGTTTGAGCAACAAGAGTCAGAAATTTTAATTGGTTTCTGCAGGATTTTAATGGTTTAGGGAAAAGATATTTACTTTTGGGATATATTCTTTTTTTTTTTTTTTGAGATGGAGTCTCGCACTGTCGCCCGGGCTGGAGTGCAATGGCATGATCTTGGCTCACTGCAACCTCGGCCTCCCAGGTTCAAGCAATTCTCTTGCCTTAGCCTCCTGAGTAGCTGGGATTACAGGCGCCTGCCACCATGCCCGGCCAATTTTTTGTATTTTTAGTAGAGACGGGGTTTCATTATGTTGGCCAGGCTGGTCTCGAACTCCTGACCTTGTGATCCACCCACCTTGACCTCCCAAAGTGCTGGGATTACAGGCGTGAGCCACCGCGCCCTGCTCTGGGATAGATTCTTTTTAAGGCCCTTATTTCAAAAACTAAAATTTGGGAATGACTATTGTTTACTGAATACTAACTCACTGACGTAGCCCAGGATAAGTTAGGGGTATTATAAGAGTTCCTGTTTACTGGAATTCTTGTCTCCTACTGAGGATAGATTATAAAGCTCTAAGGGCCGCTGAAAGAATTTACATCTAATTGTGATTGGTAATATTTGGGGAATTTGAAGAAAGAATTTGTCAGAGGGAAGAGATCATCTTGATTTTTTAAAAATGTTCAATTTTGAAATATATCTTTATAGGAGAATTGCAAAGATAGTCCAGAAGATTTCCATGTGCCATATACCCTTCACTCAGCTTTCTCTAATGTTCACATCTTATATAATCATGTTATATTGATCAAAACTAAGAAATTCATACTGATTTTTTAAAAGGGAATTCAATTAACCATTTTTTTTGAAGACCTATTATGTATAAAAGAGTATTTTGGCTGCTGAAGTATGTACAATATGGGAAAACAAGTAAAGGTTACAGACAATAATAGACTGATATCAGAGCTTGGTGTCATTCCTTGAACAAATTCTTAAACAGATTATCGAACACACGTGTTGTCGGTACTTAACAAAAGAAGGCACTGATCACTAGGAGCCAGCATGGGTTCACAAAGAACAAGTAATGACACCTAGCTTCACTTCTTTTTTTATGGGGTAAGTGAACTATTAATAGTAGATATATCAGAAGATACTCTGGCCATAGTATATATAGAATTATTGCTACATTTATTGGATTTTAAATTACGTGCTGGGCACTGGATTAAATGCTTTTACATAGGTTGTCTCATTAAGTTATTGTTTTACAGATGAGGAAAGGGTCCCTCAAGGTTATACATATAGCATTTGACATCCTCTTAACGATATCTTTTTAGACTAGATAGAAAATGTGGTCCGAATAGTTACATAGGTAGGTGGATTAGTAATTGCTTAAATGGCCATATCCAGAGCTTGATGATTAAAATTAAACTGCAGTACATTCTTAGTGGTGTGCCTCAAGAAGCTATCATGTCCTATTTAAGATTTTTATCAGTTACTCTGAAAATTGTAAGGGAATGCTGGTATATATACAGAATCAGCATCTTCACTCTTACTGCCTTATTTCTAATAGTTAAAAATGACAGACTGTATTTAGAAAATATTTGTTACGAAATATGTTATAAGATTTTATATTTGGTGTGTAAATATTTGATAAAGACCGGCCTATAGTTGATTTTTTTTTCAGAAGTCTGCACAAATACAAGATGGGAATCTTGGAGGGCTAACAGCAGTAGATGTGTGTTTGTTTAAGCAGAGGTGTGTGCCTGGGTGTGTCTCCTTATTTGTCTGCAGTTGGTGAGTCAGTGGTTTATTATAACTATCCCAATATTCAGCACCTGCTTAAGCTACACTTTGAAGCATATTGTCCAAAACAGTTGATTATTCTTTTCTACTCTGCATCTAGCTTAGTTCTGTTCTGTTTGCCACATTTTAAGGTAGGCATTGATAAACAGTGTAGTGAGAAGAGAGTAATCAGAATGAAGCATGTCTTGAAACAGTTGCAAAGTAATTGAAACATTGAGGTTGTTTAGCATGGAAGAAAGAAGAGTTGGGGTATATGATAATACTTTTTAGATTGGGTAACTGGATGATCTTTAATGTTCTTCCTGACTCAAATCTGAGATTCTGTGAAACATGAAGGGTTGGCACATGGAAGAAGGATTAAGCATATCTTTTGCATTGCAGTCTGGAGGATGGAACTAGGAACAATGAATGAAAGTTAGAGGAAGGAAAATATTGGTTCATAATGAAGAAGCCTTTTTATTTTTTTAAGAGATGGGGTCTTGCTCTGTTGCCCAGGCTGGTGACAATTTGAATGGAGTAAACATTCACTCCCTGAGGCACTAAAGCATAGATTGAGTAGGGTTTAATCAAGCGATCCTTTAAGGACTTTTCCAATTTAAAAATTTTTAAAAATTTTCTTCATTGGTTGTAATTCCAATTGGCAAAACATTTTCTTGGGCACTTATTCACACTTATAATACTTATGGCTTCATACAGTATCAGATTCTATTAGAGAGAATGATACCTTCCTGATAATCAAAATCTGAAATTATAGTATGAAATAATTTAACTAGATTTTTTATTTTTTTGAGACAGGGTCTTACTCTGTCATCCAGGCTGGTGTGCAGTGGTGTGATCTTGGCTCACTGCAACCTCTGCTTCCTGGGCTAAAGTGATCCTCCAGTCTCAGCCTCCCAGGTAGCTGGGACTACAGGCGCATGCCACCACACCCAGCTAATTTTTGTATTTTTGTAGAGATGGGGCTTTGCCATGTTGCCCAGGCTGGTCTTCAATTCCTGAGCTCAAAGTGATCCACCTGCCTTGGCCTCCCAAAGTGATGGGATTATAGGCATGAGCCACCATACCTGGCCTTAGATGATTTTTAAAAAGTTTATTCACAATTCCGAAGGAAACAAGATTTTAGTCTTGTTTTAGAAATGTCACAGACTAATTGAAGTTGCTTTTAAAGATGATGGCATAAGTATCATTAAATTCAAATGCTTGTGGTTTCTCTTCTGTGTATCTAAAAAAATGTTAATGTCAAAAACTGAAACCACTCATGCCTGTAATCCCAGCACTTTGGGAGGCAAAGGTGGGCAGATCACCTGAGGTCAGGAGTTTGAGACCAACCTGGCCTACATGGTGAAACCCCGTCACTACTAAAAATACAAAAATTAGCTGGGCATGGTGGTGGGCACCTGTAATCCCAGCTACTCAGGAGGCTGAAGCAGCAGAATCACTTGAGCCTGGGAGGTAGAGGTTGCATTGCGCTGAGATCGCACCAGTGTATTCCAGCCTGGGCGACAAGAGTGAAACTATGTCTAAAAAACAAAACAAAACAAAACAAAACAAACAAACAAACAAAACCCCAAAGATTATTAACTTCTAAATGATTCAGTTGTTTAAATCTAAAATGGAACAGTAAACCATTTTATTCACTGTCATCCCTTACACAAATCAGAGCTTTTTTTGGCCTTCATGACCTTCATATTTTTTTATCCTGAGAATACTCTCTTTCTTTAAGCCCATCTAAAGTCTAATTTTTAGGACTTAACCCTGATCCATTTTTTTAAAGTCATCTCGGGTTCTTCTATCCAACACTGATATTTTTCTTTCTTTTCTAACAGTTTGGTAATCTATTAGTACTATATCCTATACTGTTACTAATTGCTTTATAATATGTAAGGTTTTTTAAAAAAATTAACAGGATTATAAGCCCCTTGAAGACTCTTTTACTGAGGCTTGAAAACTACTTAATGAAATTAAAATTTACAGACTCGGTGGTTGAATTTTAGCTAATGTTGAAACTCTTAATAGCATGAGAAAAAGCCTATGCAGAATTTCCATGTTTAGTTTCTACTTTTTTTCTTTAGCAATATGATCTTTAGTCTTCATCTGATGTATTGTAAAATTTACAAATAATAGTAATATACCCACTTTAAAAATGAAAAATAAGAAAAAGATTTTTCCATCATCCTCACATTCTTAATACCACCATCTCCTAAATTTTGGAGTCTCCCTTTTGTTGTTTTTCAATGCATATGCCAATGTCTTTGTCATTAGCCCTCAGAAGTGGCAAATAATTTTAAAATGTGTATTTCAAAACGAAATTTCTTTTTAGAAAATCAGGAGATACATTCTAGTAAATGTACTTACTGGACCTCAGTAGTGTACTTTTTACTTTGTTACATTCATATGAACACCAAAAAGTTTAATGAATAAAATAGAATATATTTTAACATGTTTAAGAAGTATGTCTGTGACAACATCTAATTGAGCTGTTGATGAAGTTAGTTTATAGTCATCAGCTTCATTTTCTATATTCTTCATTCCCTGTACAAAATACTTGTCATACCCAGTGGGTGTTCCAGACTTAGCATGTTTTAAAATCAAGGTAGCATTGTCATATTTTGTTTTGATTGGCTTTTGCTCAGGGGAAGTTTGGGTCCATATCAGAGATCTGTTTGCCTTCTTCACTGAAGCTAATGACTTTCTGTTATGTGATAGGCTTTCACTGCTTCTTCATGTGGGGGCATCTCTGCAATGTAAATTGCTATTTTCCAGTTATTTTACTTAAATTAAAACAAATAAAGTTTCTGAAGACACTCAGGAAATGTGTGAATTTACTGAGTATATAACCTTAGAACCCTTGAGCAGGAAAACATCAAATCACAAATAGGGAGGTGAGTATACTGGCTGGCAAATCTTACATTGTACTTTGTCATGTAACACTGTTCACTTACTCATTTTTAGAAGCTACATGTGCATTATATACTAATGGTATATCTCTCAAATAATTGAAATAATGAAAAATTGATAATTCAGAGCCACTTTTTATTTGGCATGGGATGTGATTGTTTTTGCATTACCACATATTAAAGTCTAAAAGGAGTTAAATTTTGTGATCTAGTAGTTTTCAGTGGAACCTTGTTTTTTTTTTTTTTTTTTTTTTTTGAGACAGGGTCTTGTTCTGTTGCCCAGGCTGGAGTGCAGTGGTGTGATTTCGGGCTCACTGCAACCTCCACCTCCTGGGTTCAAGCGCTTCTCCTGCCTCAGCCTCCCAAGTAGCTGGGACTGCAGGTGGGCAATACCACACCTGGCTAATTTTTGTATTTTTAGTAGAGACAGGGTTTCACCATGTTGGCCAGGCTGGTCTCAAACTCCTGACCTCAGATGATCTGCCCACCTCAGCCACCCAAAGTACTGGGATTACAGGCATGCGTCAGCCACCACCCCTGGCCCATTTTTGTTTTTTTTCCTCAAACATCTATATGGCACTGCAATATAGAATACAAATAAAAAGTAACATTTTTGTATAACTTTAAGTACATATTTATAACATTAACTTAGCATAAAGGGGATCAGTGACATTCAGGGTAGGCTCTTAAGTTGTCTTATCTTCACGACATTCTATTGCCACTTTATTCCTAGCATTTAACAGTGCCTCATACATAGCAGATTCCAAATGTATCTTAGTGAAATAAATGAATGAATGACTTAGGCCATTTTGATGTACTCAAGAATTTGAAATTGAATAACTGATAATGATTGTAGTTTCTCAATCTCTGCATTAAATTTCTATTTTGTTTTGATTGTACAATGTCCACCACAACTGGAAGAGTTGTTTTAGTTGGTTCTTGAGACTTAGAGTAGAATCAGGACACTCTCAAATTGAACTATGACTTTGAAAAAAGAAGTGGATAATGTTTCAAACCTGAATCAGGAACATTTCATATTTGCTTTTTTTTTTTTTTTGAGACAGTCTCTTTGTCACCTAGGCTGGAGTGCAATGGTGCAATCTCGGCTCTCTGCAACCTTTGCCTCCTGGGTTCAAGCGATTCTTGTGCCTCAGCCTTCCGAGTAGCTGGGATTATAGGCATGCGCCACCACACCCAGCTAATTTTTGTATTTTAGTAGAGACGGGGTTTCACCACGCCCAGCTAATTTTTGTATTTTTAGTAGAGACAGAGTTTTGCCATGTTACCAGGCTGGTCTCAAACTCCTGACTTCAGGTGATCCATCTGCCTTGGTCTCCCAAAGTGCTGAGATTACTGGTGTGAGCCACTGCACCCGGCCTTGCTTGTGTTCTTTATGATGAATATAAAAGAAGTTAAACAGGAGATATCACCATTTTTTGATAATTTTTAAAACAATAGTACAATATGTTATGAGTCCCTTAGTATAACAGCTTCACTGAAGTATAACTGGCATATAGTGAATTACACAATTTAGTAAGTTTTGATGTAGGTATATACCTGTGAAATCATTACCACATTCAAAATAGTGACCATACCCATCATCTCCAGAAGTTTCTTCATGCATGCCCCTTTATTATCTTTACTTCATGCCCCTTTATTATCTTTACCTCATGCCCCTTTATTATCTTTACTTCATGCCCCTTTATCATCTTTACTTCATGCCGCTTTATCATCTTTACTTCATGCCGCTTTATCATCTTTACTTCATGCCCCTCCACACTCCACCCTCTCAAAGTAACCATTGATCTACTTAATGTAACTACAGATTGATTGTTTTGTATTTTCTAGAGTTTTATATAAATGGAATTACATAGTATGTACTTTTCTTTATAGTCTGGCTTCTTTCACTCAAATAATTATTTTGAGATTCTTCTCTGTTGTTGCATGTATAAATAATTCATTCATTTTTTGTAGTAATATCCCATTATATGGGTATACCAAAATTTATCATTCATTTGCTGATGAGCATTTGGGTTATTTACAGTTTTATTTACAAATAAAGCTGTTACGAATATTAGTGTACGAGTCTTTATATGGACATATATTTTCATTTCTTTTGGTTAAATAGGATGACTAGGTCACAGGGTAGGTATCTGTTTTACCTTTTTTGGGAATAACATATTTATCATAAAGGGCTAATTTTCTTAATACACAAAGAGATCTTGTAGCTCGGTAAGAGTAAGATCAAAAATCCAACAGAAAAATGGGCAGAGGACAAAACCAGGTAGCTAATATCAAAAAATATACAAATGGCTTTAAGCATAAGAAAATATTTTTGGAAAGCTGAACAAAAAACTTAATATGTTGTTTAAAATTTAAACCTCTAGAGTCAGTCTGCTTGGGTTTGCATATTCTCTAACAATCAGTGTAATCAAGTTCCCTAACCTTCCTGTGTTTCAGTTTTCTCATCAGTAAAATGTGGCTAATAATAGCAATATCATCTACCTCAAGGGACTGTTATGAGTATTAGATAAGTTAATATATGTGGAGTTCTCAGAACAATATCTGACACACAGTAAGTGCTCTATGGAAGTTTATTTTTATTATTATTCAAATGCAAATTTAAACAGGAGAACATTTTTTGATTATCAGATTGACAAGGATTAAAAAGCTCAATAATACACAACACTGGCAAAGATATCTAGAATCACTGTTATATACTGTAGGCAGGAACACAAATTGTGCAATTTCTTTGGAGGACAAGTTGACTTTACATGTTAAAATGATAAATATTCATACTTTTTCATTCAATTTTAAATAATTTATCTTTGCTCTTTATAGTATTAATTATATTGTCAAAAAACATATATGACTCTTAGTAGGGGTCTGGTTAAATAAATGATGATATAGCCACACAATGGGATGTCATATAGTCATAAAAAAAGAAAAAAGGAGCACTTCTCCATAAGCTAATCTCTAAGACACATTATTGGGTTAAAAAAAAGTAAGTTGCAGAGCAGTGTTTATGGTATGCCGCTTATATTGCTGTAAATAAGTTGTGTATGTGTTGGTGTAAATACACATGCATATGCACACATTAATAAACATATTTTGCTTCAAAATGCATAGACTTTTCTAGAAGGATACACAAGAAAGGGAATAGTTCCTTCTGAAGAGGGACTAAAAGAAGGGACCAGGAGATTGGAAATCAGATCTCGGTATGACTGTGGTTGGGTTTGGTTGTGTACACTTTTATACTGCTTGAGTATTTATTTCTTGTCAAGAGAATATTACATTAAAAGAATTTGTAGTATGTAATTATAGATTCACAGGAAGTTGGAAAATTCGTGCAGAGAGGTACCATATACCCTTCATCCAATTTCAAACCCTGCTGGTAACATCTTATATAACCCTAGTGCACTATCAAAACCATGAAATTGATGTTGGACAATCCAAAGACTTTATTCAGATTTCACCAGTTTTACAGGCACTCATTGTATGTGTGTAATTGTTTGCAGTTTTATCATGTGTAGTTTTGACCACCACAGTCAAGATACAGAACTGTTTCATCACAACAGAAATCCCTGTGCCATCCCTATATAGTCATATCTCTCATCCTAACCACTGACAACGTAACTCCTGGCCTTAAAGAGCATATAGTTTTATAGGGGAGATAATAGAGATATACCAACAATTCAGTACAAAGAACAACACAAGTGGCTGTGTGCAGTGGCTCATGCCTGCAATCCCAGCACTTCAGGAAGCCAAGGCGGGTGGATCACTTGAGAGGTCAGGAGTTCAAGACCAGCCTGGCTAACATGGCGAAACCCTGTCTCTACTAAAAATACAAAAATTAGCTGGGCGTGGTGGTGCATGCCTGTAGTCCCAGCTACTCAGGAGGCTGAGGCACAAGAATTGCTTGAGCCTGGGAAGTGGAGGTTGCAGTGAGCTGTGAATGCGCCACTGCACTCCAGCCTGGACGACAGAGTGAGACTCTGTCTCAAAAACCAATACCATAACAAGTGCCAAAAGAACGTATTTATTGCTTTGAGAGTTATGAGTGATCAAATATTAAAAAAGGATCAGAAAAATCTTCATGGAAATAATTAGTATAGTTATAAGGAGAACTGGCTATAGTTCTGATTCTGCATTAAACACCACTAACTAACCAGATGTATAAAATAAGAAAGTTGAGAGAAAGATTTTTTTAGTGGTCCCTTTTAGTATAGTCTTAATACTGTGGATAATTTGGCATCATCCTTGAAGGAGGGCTATGATTTTATTCATTTATCAAATATTTGACCATTTTATGCCAGGCACTGCTCTAGGCTCTGTAAGTACCTCAGTGAACAAAACAGACAAAAATCCCTACCCCTACCCTGAGAAGACATACATTTTAGATGAGTGAATTAAAAAAAATGTAAGTTTACAGCATGTTAGAAGATAAGTAGTAAAGAGGAAAAATAAACCAGGGAAGGGGGAATAAAGTATGGGAGGAGTTACACTTCTCTAAAGGATGGCCAGGAAAATTCACTGATAAGGTGACTTTTAAATAACATGAAGACAGTCAGTGAAGGAGATATGACACAAATACAAATCATTCTAGGCCCAGGGAATAGCAAATGCCAAGTCTCTGAGGTTGGAGCATGCCTGCGGTATTTACATTTGAAGAAGCTTGTCATTGGAGTTGAGTAAAGGACTGGGTAATATAGGATGAAGTCAGAAAGGTAATGATGGCACTGGTGATGGGCTGGTTGTGCTGCCAGGTCAAGCAAGGTCTTATAGACCATTTTAAGGACTTCAGCTTTTAGACTAAGTGATACGTGGTATAGAAAGACATTGGATGAGTTGGAACAGAATAGTGACATGATTGGACTTTTAAAGAGTCAGTCTGGCAACTGTTGAGAGTAGGCTAAAGGAGAACAAGGGCAGAAGCAGTGAAACCACCTAGGAGACTGTTGCAGTAATTCAGGTGAGAGGTGATGGCTTGGACCAAAATGGTAGTAGTGGTGGTGGTGAGTAATTGACATTTTGAGGTCAACAGGATTTGGGGGACTGGGAAGCAGGGAGAGAAAAAAGAGGGAGGCACAGAGGTTAAGGGTGATACAAAGTTTGTGGTCTGAGCACCTAGAAGGCTAGTTACCCATTTGCTGTTATGGGTAAAACTATGATGGAAGATTTTGGAGGAGAGAAGTTGGATCTTGGACAAAGTAAATTTAAGATATATCTTAGGTATTCTAAGTGAGATGACTGCTAACTATCTGAGTCTAGAGTTCAAAGGAAAGGAATGGGCTAGAGGTTTAAGTTTGGGAATTATGTATAGATGCTATTTAAAGAAATCAGATCAGATGACTTCACTAAGGGAGTAAGCATAAAGAGGCGAAGGTCCAGGACAGAGATTTGGAGCACTACAACATTTAAAGTTTGGGAAATGAAGAACTAGCAAAGGAAACTTAGAAGGAGAAATCACTGAGGCAAGAGGAAAACCAGGAGAACATGGAATCTTGGAAGCCAATGAAGAAAGTGTTTTGAGAGGAGGGAGTAATGAACCCCTTGTCAGATGCTGCTCATAGTTCCAGTAAAGAGAACTGGTAATTGAATTGGTCATTCTAGTTTGCAATGTGGAATTCATTAGTGATTCTGACAAGAGCAGGTTTGATAGAGTGGTGGGGAAATAGACTCATTGGAATGGATTCAAGAGAAAGGGAAGTGAGAAATTGGAGACATGCAGAAAGAATCATTTTTCTGAGGAATTTTGCTGAAGAGGGAGGGAGAGAAATAGAATAGTAACTTAAGAGAGATGTTCAAAGAGTTTTTTTGTTTTTTGTTTTTGTTTTGACGTGTTTGTAGGAGGCTGAGAAAAAAATGGAAAATTTGATGGGATAGACGAAGAGGTAGTGGTGGTTAATGGGGATCTAGTGTGTAAGTAAAAAGGTTGGGTCTTGGGTAGAGCAGAAATAGTTCACGCTAGTAATGAAAGAGGAATCAGAATATGTGGGCACAGACGTAGTTAGGTAGATGTGGTTTGAGAGTTTGTAGAAGTTCTTTTATTGCTTCTAGTATTTTATTAGTAAAATAGGACACAGGGTCATAAGATAAAAGTGAGGATGAGAGGGAAGGTGATGGAAGATTGAGGAGCAAAAAGTTGAAATAGTTATGTAAGAGAGTGGCAGAATGGATGAATCAGGAAAATAAGGTATAATTGTCAGTCAGCATTAAGGAAACTCATTTGAGGCTCCTGGCCACGAATTTAAAGAGAAACCAATTTATCAGACATCGTGTATTTGTGTGTGTGTGTGTGTGTGTGTGTGTGTGAGAGAGAGAGAGAGAGAGTGCATGTCCATCCAGCCACATGCAGCTGTGTAGGTATCAACACAGAATAGGCAGAAAATTGCGCTGAAAGAGAGAGAGAGAGAGAGAGAGTCCATCCAGCCACATGCAGCTCTGTAGGTATCAACATAGAATAGGCAGAAAATTGCATTGGTAACAACTAGCCAAGCAAGATTGACATAGTCAGAAGGAAGACAAGTAGTTAAGCATGTATGCAAAGGAAGGAAGGAAGTAAATGATTGAATATGGATTTAATTTGGGTAAGAAGGGGATTGAGGACATGGGAAGGTAAAAGGAAGTGCAGAAGTCATCAGATTAGTGGACTACAGGTCTGTTGGGTTGGCAGATTTTTTGGAGTTAGGATATTAGAGGTAGTGAGCTGGTATCAGAGTGTGATACTTAAAAATGGTATTTCGAGGCTGGGCATCATGCCTCATGTGTGTAATCCTAGCACTTCGGGAGGCTGAGGCAGGTGGATCACTTGAGGTCAGGAGATTGAGACCAGCCTGGCCAACATGGTGAAACCCCGTCTCTACAAAAAAATACAAAAATTAGTCGGGTGTGGTGGTGCGTGCCTGTAGTCCCAGCTACTCAGGAGGCTGAGGTGGGAGGATCACTTGAGTCCAGTGAGCTGTGATTGCACCACTGCACTCCAGCCTGGGCGACAGGGTGAGACCCTGTCTCAGAACAAAACAAAACAAAAAATGGCATTTTGGAAGGGTTGCATTTATTAAAATTGAGAAGGTTTAAGGTTTGACTGTATGGGAATGAGTATAAAATAGGGTTGAGGGAAGGATCAGTGGAAGATCCTAGATCTACTGAAGGGCAGAACTTCCTTTCTGATAATAAGAAACTGACAAGCAAGAATTGGGAAAGGATTGTGTGGATGATGAGATTCCCAAGCATTATGAAAATAATGATGGTGTAATGAGCAAGCAGCTAAAATCTTCAAGAAATAAAGTGGAGAGCTTGATAACTGCAGTAAAGAACGGCTACAGTCTGATGATGAGATTTCAGTTTGGATGTTTTTAGGGAAGAGTTAGGAAGAATTGTCTGGAATGGGCAACTAGGATTGAGAAAGAATAGAAGCTTTTAGTCTGAGGAACTGAGCCACCATTATCAGGCCTAGAGAGGCACTGAAATGAAATAATTACCTCTGGAAGCCACATGCTGTGTGGGCTCTAGACTGATACCAGGTAGCCATAAAATGCCATGTGCTAGACGCCATAACTCATACCCTATAGTTCGACAATATATAGTCAATCACTAATCAATGCTATTTCTGTAAACCAATGAGAATTCCTGTCAAACAATTGTGTATCAGTCTGCTCCATGTCCCCCTTTGCCTTTAAAAACCTGCTGGTAACAAAGGCTGAATGGGGCACTCCCCAAGGCAACTTGGAAATGTGTCCTAGGCTGCAGGTCTCAACCTTGGCTCAAATAAATTCTCTATATTAATTTTACTTCAGTTTCTTCCTTTAGGTCAGTAGGATCAAGAAGACCTACCTTCACATCCAGGCCCTGTGGTATGAGGAGTTGGGAGGGAAAACACATAACACTTGAGAAAGCTTCAGGGGAAATGCCGATAACAGAGAACCAAGTTGTAGTTAGAGCAAGAATGACTTTAACTAGTAGAACCAGTGAAGAACATCCCAAATAGAGGAAACACCAGAAACAGAGTCACAAAAGGTACATTATTTGATGTTGGAGAATAGCGACAACTCTAGTGCAGTTTAGAATTTAAGGTTTATTCCAGTTTGATGTCTTCGTAGTCACATCCCTTTTAGTATCATGTAGAATTTATAGGCATTCTCTATATTTTAACATCCAGGAATTTTTCATAAGAATGAACATCAATCCCAATATTGAAATAGTAGGACATGGCTTAATGCTGATCCTGAACCATTAATAATGATTTTTGTTACAGCTTCCCAGCCACTTCTTCAATTTAGTTGTAGCTCTGGGCATGCAATGCGGAATAATGACATCTCTCCTCCCTTATGAATCCTACCTCCCACCAAGTCTCTCAGGAATACCCAAATCAGAGAAAAATATTAATTATAAAAAATAAGCATAGAGCTCTTTCATCTCTTTCCCAAAGTATTTCTAGAATTTTTTCACCTAGTTTATATTACTACATTTAAATTACCCACTAATAGAATAACAGTGTTCTTAAAATATTTTTAGAAATCCAAGAGACCATGTTGGTTCTTAAGCACCTTTTGTTGTTCATCAGCTACATGTATTATATCACTAATATGTTTCAGTTAGGTGTCTTTCAACTTTAGATATCAGAAAGCCCAATTCAAACAACCTTACACAATGAAGAAATTTATTAGCTTAATGTAACTGGAAGTCCAGAGGAAAGGCAGTCTTTAGGATTAGTCAGTTAGTACCTTAATGAAGACACCAAAGATTCAGATCATTTCCATTGTTCCACTCTGCTGTCCACAGTGCTGGCTTTATTCCAGGGTGGGATTCTCAGATTCTCTTCATACAGTGGGTACCAGGAAGGAGCTATATGTTCTATAAGGAGGAAAAATTCTGGCTTCCTCCTAACAGAAAGGACAACCTTAACCAGAGGCCACCAGCAAACCTCTTCTACCTCTTCTCCTATCTGATTGACATGATTCCTTCTCATATCTGAGTCAGTTTCTGGCAGTGAGGATGGATCCACCATTGAGCTAAAGTTAGTTCTCCCAGTTTTTGCCACTCAGAGTTGTGGCGTGGATATTGGAGAACACAGTCACAATGTCTGCTTACAGTGTTTGCCTTGGTTGTGTTCTAATGCTCTGAGGTTCTTTATTCATTCTTATCTGTTACATTTTTATAGTGAGTTAAAATATGCTTCATCATACTTTATTGGTTTAATTGCCATGTTCAGAGCTTTCTGTCATATAGAGAGTAGAGCAATTATTAAGCATTCCTTTCTGCAAAAAGGGAAAAATGCTGGAATAGTGAAAAGATTGAAGATAGTTGGCAAATTTGAATCTGTACCTCCTTATAACCAATAGTTTTTAACCTCTTTCAACCTCCAGTAATTGACTTAGCTATCATTTACATAGAAACTTTAGTAATTTGATTTGTATCTCCTTTCTCTCTGTCAAAAGTTGCCTGAAGCGTTGTGGTAAAGTAGAAAGTGGACTGGGTTGTGATTAAGTTTCTAATTAATTCTAGCTCCACTGCTTTCCAGATCTGTGTGATCATGGGCAGATAACTTCATCTCAGACCTTCTGCTTGCTTCTCTGTAAGCCTGGAGAGAACTACCTGTCTTCTCATCAAGTTGTTTTTATTGGAGTTAGTGTAGCGAAAACTCTCAAACCGTGTTTTTTTCTACTCTCACACCACCACAAAAATCATCATCAATACAGAAGAAGACTTCTGTGACCAAAGGTATGGGGGTTTTTCCCTACACACCAAGCAGTGCACATCAGCTGGGTATTCTCCAGTTCAATTCTGGCACTGTCTACCTGGAGAATTTAAGAACATGCCAACCTATCCTTAAGATACCAGTCACAAGTCCGGGCCACCCCATCCTTCAGACACCAGTTGCAAATCTGGGCCTCTGGAACTTCTGACCAACTGGTTTCAAGTTGGGTTCCTCTTTGGGCCCACTTCCTCTTTGGGCTCAATTAATTTGCTGGAGTGGTGCACAGAACTCAGGGAAATACTTGCTTACCTTTAGTGGTTTATTATAAAGGATATATGTAGAGGATACAGATGAAGCGATGCATAGGGTGAAGTATGGGGGAAGGGGTGCGGAGCTTTCATGTCCTCCCTGGGTATGCTACCCCCTGGGAACCTCCGTATGTTCAGCTATCCAGAAGCTCTCTGAACCAGTTTTCTTGGGTTTTTAAAGAAGCCTCATGACATCAACATTCCTTCCTCCAGGGTATGAGGCAGGACCCTCTCTGGAGGGTCTTAAGACCCACTGTCAGAGAGGCTGGGTAGATTAAAGTCCTGCTATAGAGCCGATAAAAGGAGAAGAGGAGAAGGTCAGAGGCCTGCCTCTGAGGCCTCACACCCTCAGCATTATAACAAAAGACAAACAAGGGCTATAGGGGTTAGGAGCCAGGAACCATGAATGAAAACCAATGTATATGTATCATAATGCTGCAGAGTTAAATAAGCTAATATGAAAGAAATCTGATAAATATAGAGTAGCAAACAATTTTAAATTGCCTGAATTATTATATTCTAATAGTAAACTGTAGGCAGTTAAAGAGAGGAACCTGAATAACACAGAAGATTCTGATGCTAAAAAATAAATAGTTGATCTTAGTTTCTGAGTATCTAAGGTGTATCAGAAGAAGATAAGGATGTGTGCAGCTTTTTTGAAAGTAGATGCTTAATGAATAGTTAGCTACTAGTTAGTATATCCAATGGCTACTTCTCAAGTATTCCCTAGAATTTTTTTAACTTAAATTTTTGCCCCTTTTCTGGCTAAAGCTGTTTTTGAAGGTATCAACTAGGTATTATAAGCTTTAGGGCTTTGTGTAGCTTACAAGGTATGACAGATACATTTATTCAAATTATTGACTGTTTTCTCATATACACTTTTTTTTTCCTTTCTTGGAATATCATTCTTTTGAAGAACCCCAGGGTTTCACATTGGGTGAAGTTTGGTTGTTATTACCAAAAGAGATAGCACATTTCATTGCTGAGAACCCTCAAGAGCAAGACTTCATATTTGGAGTAGAATGAAATTAAGATGACACTAAAGAATTTGACTTATAAAAAACTAATATATCCATTCAATGTCTTAGGTTAATGTTCATGGTGAGTCTGAGTATGTTAATAAACTGTATTAGCTATAGTTTCTGTATCTCATTACTATTGGTTTGAAACTGGGTATATATGCTTCTTAAATTGTTGACATTCACCTTTTTGTTTTGAGCTAGTCACTGTTATCTGTCATGTTAGACTTGGGGCCATAGCTTTTTCTAAATGAAAAGACTTATCTTACCATATTTTTTTTCTTTTACATAAGAGATACTATTAATATATATAAGCCTTGAAAGGAAAAGGATACTAATGTATGTTGACTGTGTTACTATGTACAAGCATACCAAACATTTAACATTTGTATCATTTAATTCTCCCTTCAACCTGGTGAGAGAGTATTATTGTCCCCATTTTACAAAAGGAAACATTGAAACATAGAGATTAAGTAAACAAAATTACTATAATGGAGAAATCCTGCTTTCTCCTTCCCTTTTACCCTCAGTGGGCATTTTTCATACCTGCTTTCATTTAATTATACAACTCTTTGAAGATGTTATTATCATTTTGCAGATGAAGAAAAACATTAACATGAATGTACAATTTAAAGAATAAGAAAATGAAAATGTGTACTACATTAAGGAATAGAAGCCTATATAAAAGGTTTTCGTTTGGTTTTGTTTACATCAATTGATTCTCAAATGTTAAACCAACCTTGCTTTTTTTCATATCAACACTACTTGGGGCCGGCCATGGTGGCTCACCTGTGCAATCTCAGCACTTTGGGAGGCCCAGGCGGGTGGATTGCTTGAAGTCAGGAGTTCGAGACCAGCTTGGCCAACATGGTGAAACCCCGTCTCTACTAAAAATACAAAAAATTAGCCAGGCATGGTGGCACGCACCTGTAGTCCCAGCTACTCAGGAGGCTGAGGCAGGAGAATCACTTCAACCTGGGAGGCAGAGGTTGTAGTGATCAGAGCTCGCCCCACTGCACTCCAGCCTGGGTGACAGAGCGAGACTCCATCTCAAAAAACAAAAAACAACAACAACAAAAAAATTAGCTGGGCCTGGTGGTGCATGCCTGTAGTCCTAGCTACCCAGGAGTCTGAGGCAGAGAATCACTTGAACTGGGAGGTGGAGGTTGCCAAGATTGCCACTGCACTCCAGCTTGGGCGACAGAGTGAGACTCCGTCTCAAAACAAAAACAAAAAACAAAACAAAACAAAAAAACACAACTTGGTCATGAGGTATTGTACTTTTTACATATTGTTGGATTTGATTTATGTCATATTAAGTATTTTTACATCTATATTCATAGGAAAATTGGTCTATAGTTTTCTTATAATATCTTAGTTTGGTTTTGATACAGGGTCATGGTGCCCTTTTAGAATGACTTGAGAAGTGTTCTCTCTTCTTCAATTTTCTGGATAAGCCTTTTAGAATTAGTATTATTTCTTCCTTAAATGTTTGTTAGAATTGACCAGTGAAGTCAGCTGGACCTGGAAGTTTTCTTTGTGGGGTGGTTTTTAACTGTAATTTCAATTCCTTTAATATATGTAAGGTTATTCAGGTTATCTGTTTCTTCTTGAGTGAGCTTTATAATTTGTCTTTCATGGAATTTGTCTGTTTCATCTAAGTTGTTAAATCTATTGACATCAAGTTGCTCATGACGTTCTCTTACCCTTTTAATGTCTGTCTTTAATTTATCTCTCTCACTTGTGATATTGGTAATTTATGTATTTTCTCTCCACCCCCCTCCTCCATTAGTCTGGCTAGTGATTTATTAATTTTATTGATCTCAGAGAGCCAGCATTTGCTTTCATTGACTCAATAAAAAATTTTAAATAAACTTTATTTTTTTAGAGCAGTTTTAGGTTCACAGCAAAATTGAGTGGAAAATACAGAGTTCTTATATCCCCCCCACCAGCCTTTCCCACTTCAACATTTCACACCAGAAGTGGTATATTTGTTACAACTGAACCTACAGTGATGTATCATTATCACCCAAAGTCCATAATTTACATTGGGGTTCACTCTTGATGTTGTACATTCTGTGGGTTTTGACAAATGTGTAATGGCATATATCTACCATTATCATATTATCATACAAAATAGTTCCACTCTCCTAAAAATCCTCTGTGCTCCACCTGTTCATCCCTACCTCCCAGTTAACCCCTGGCAACCACTGATCTTTTCACTCTCTCCATAGTCTTTGCCTTTTTCAAAGTTTCATACAGTTGAAATCATATAGTATGTCACCTTTTCAGATTGGCTTCTTTCACGTAGTAATATATACGTTTAAGGTTCTTGCATGTCTTTTCATGCATGGCATGATTGCTCATTTCTCTTTAGCGCTGAATCATATTCCATTGTCTGGATGTGCCACGGTTTATTTATCCATTCACCTACTGAAGGACATATTGGTGGCTTCCAAGTTTGGGCAATTATGAATAAAACTGCTATAAACATAAGGACATACGTTTTCGACTCATTTGGGTCACTACCAAGGAGCATGATTGCTGGATCATATGGTAAGAGTATATTTAGTTTTGTAAGAAACTGCCAAACTGTCTTCCAAAGTGGCTTTACCATTTTGCATTTTACTGATCTCAAAGAACCAGCTTTTGGTTTCGTTGACTTTTTTCTATTTCTTTTCTGTTGTACGTGTATGTTTTTCATTCCTGCTCATCTATCTTTTCTTTCTTCTCCTTCTGTGTACTTCCCTTCAGAAGAGGAGGACACACTTACTGCTTAGGATTAGCTTGCTTTTCTCTTTCTAATTTTTTTTTAACTTTTATTTTAAGTTCAGGGGTACATGTGCAGGTTTGTTATATAGGTAAACTTGTGTCATGGAGGTTTGTTGTACAGATTATTTTGTCACTCAGGTATTAAGCCTAGCACCCTTTAGTTAGTTTTCCTGATCCTCTCCCTCATCCCACTCTCCACCCTCCAGTAGGCCCCAACTAATTTCCTAAAGTGAAAGCCTAGGTCACTGATTTGAGACCTTCTTTTCTAACATTCAGAAGTATATTGTTTAGTTTCCAGATGTTTGGAGATTTTTTTTTAGATGTTTTTCTAATTTTAATTTCTAATATAATTTTATTGTGATCAGAGAATATACTTTGCATGCTTTGAAATCCTTGAAACTTAGTGAGAATGTTTTATGGCTCAGAATATAGTCTGAGTTGGGGTGTTGTTCCATGTGTACTTGAAAAGATGTGTATTCTGCTGTAATTTGGTGGTGGATTCTATAAATGTTAATTAGATCAAGTTGGTTGCTAGTGGTGTTCAAGTTTACTATGTCCTTACTAAGTTTTTGTCTACTAGTTGTGTCATTATTGAGAGATTTGTTGAAATCTCTGACAATAATTGTGGATTTGTCTGTTTGTGCTTGTAATTTTATCAGGTTTTGCTTTAGGCATTTTGAAGCTCTGTTACTAGCTTAGGATTTTTCTTCTTGATGAATTCATCCCTTTACTCATTGTGAAATTATTCTTTTTATTCTTAGTAATAATCTTTACTGTAAAATATACTTTATCTGTTATTAATATAGATACTCTAGCTCTCCTTTGATTAGTGTTAGCCCAGTTAACAATCCTTTAACCTTTATGTGTTTTTATATTTAAAATGGGTTTCTTGTAGACAGCATATAGTTGGGTTTTACTTCTTTTTAAATACAATCTGACAATCTCTATCCCTTTTAATCAGGAGTTTAGACCATTTAGTCTTAATATGATGACTGGTATGATTAGACTTTTGTCTACTGTTGTGCTGTTTGTTTTCTATTTGTCCCATTTCTTCTTTGCATTTTTCTCTCTTTTCTTGGCATTCTTTTGGATTGAGAAGTTTTTAATGTTCTATTTTACTTGCACTATTGTCTTAGGAACTTTGCCTCTTTTCTTTTTTAGTGGTTGTCCTAGGATTACATTCTATATCTTTAACTTACACCGTGTTCCTACACATTATATTATACAACTTCTATATTTTACTTCTGTATTTGTTAAAAACCCCACAGTAGATTGTAATTATGGTTGTTTTAAACCATTTTATTTTAAAGAGTTGTAAAAATAAGAAATATCTTTTATAGTTACCCACATATTTACTCCACTGTACCTCATGTCTTTGTATGGTTCCATGTTTTTGTTTAGTATCATTTTTCTTCTGCAAAAAATCTTTCTCAATATTTTTTATTGTGCAGTTCTACTGGTGACAGATTTTCTCGGCTTTTATGTGTCTGAAAAATTACATCAACATTTCAGAAAGATATTTTTACTGGGTACCAAATTGTAGTGTATCACCTCCGGTTTGGTGGTTGGCTAGGAGGACTCGGGACTTAGCATATAGTCAAACTCATGGTTATGACTTATCACAGCAGAAGGGTACAAAGCTAAATTAGCAAATGGGAAAGGTTCATGGGTGAAGTCTGGAGGAAACAAGGCACAAGCTTACACGAATCTTCTCCCAGTGGAATCATGCAGGATACATTTAATTTAACAATGAATTGTGACAACACATGTGAATACAGTTGAACAGGAAGCTCATTAGAGACTCAGTGCCCAAGGGTTTTATTGGGAGCTGGTCAGGTAAGCGTCCTCTGCCTAGCATGTAGCAAAATTCCAGTTTCCAAGAAGGAAAGCAGATGTTCAGAATATTGTTTGCATAAATACTTCAGGCACAGTAAAACACCCTTTTTAGTTAGGGAATGTCAGGAACCCTTTTGAAGTTCAAGTTCTTAGACACCAGCCAAGGCCTAACCTTACAAGTAGGCCTTTCTAAGGATAGCACTCCTGAGCCTGCTGTGTTACCTTTTTCCTGCATACTAGGTTGCCTTGTTTTTTTCCTTTTCTGTACTTTGTAGATTTTAATTTATTGTCTTCTGACTTGTATAGCTTCAAGGAGAAATCTGTGATGACTTATCTTTGCTCCATTGAATGTAATGTACCTTTTTACCTCTGGCTGCTTTAAATGTTTTCTTTATCATTATTTTCAGCAATGTATGTGTGAATGTGTGTTTGTGTTTATCCTGCTAGATATTGCTTGAACTTCTGGGAACTGTGGGTTTGTAGTTTTCAACAAAGTGGAAATTTCTGTAGCTATTTTTTCCAATATTGCCCTACTCTTTTTGTTTTCATGCTTTCATTATGGTTATGTTGATTGCCGACATTGCTACAGAGGTCATGGCATCTTTATTTTTTGGAGGGGTTATGTGTGTGTGTGTGTGTTTCTCTCTGTCTTCATTTTTGGATAGTTTTATTCCTGTGTCTTCAATTTACTAATACTTTCTTTTGTAGTGGCTAATCTGCTACAAATCTTATATAATAATATTTTTATTTCAAGTATTTTTTTATATGTAGAAGTTTTATTTGATTCTTTTATGTTTCTTTGTCTCCTCATTGTGTTTGGGTTTTCTCTTATGCTGTTGAGGAAACATTTGTTATAGCTGTTTTAATGTTCTCATCTCTTAATTTGATCATCTCTTTCATTTCTGGTTCTGTTAATATTGACTGTTTTTCTAGTTCACAAGTCACATTTTATTGCTTCTTGATAGGTCTAATAGTTTTTTATCGAATGCTCATTATTGTGAATTTTATGTTATTTGCTGGATTTGGTTGCATTATTTTAAAGGATGTTAGTTTTTTTCTAGTATGCCACTGTTACTTACAGATAAGTTCGATCCTTTCAAAGCTTATTTTTATGCAGCTTCAGGGAGAATCTAGAGTAGCCTTAAGGACTAATTTAACCTCACTTCTAATGCATGGTCCTTCTGGAGTCACTCATGGCTGCCCTGCTATTCAGCAAGATTTCACCACTTTGGGTAATACAAATTTTAACAATTCCTGGCCTTTTGTGAGCACTGACAGTTGTTTATCTTACAACTCCTGGTAATTTTCTTTTTCTAAAGGTTGATGTTTTATTTTGCCCAGCCTCTTGGGGGTTCACCCTCCACATGTATAACTTGTATTCAGCCAAAGATCCAGTAGGACTGCTGTGCATTTTTTGGGATCTCTTTCCGTGTTGATCTCTTCTCTCAGGCATCTGCCCCCTCCCCCTCCCCCTGAATTCTAGCTGTTTTGGCCTCCCTAAACTCTGATATATGTCTTTTCAATTCAGCAATGTTCCTAGGTTCTTATGAGGTTACCTTTCCCTGCGCCATTGTTTGTAAATTACCTCCAGGCAGAAGCTGGAGGGCCCTATTATTATTGCCCTTTTAGGGCAATAGTCTGGTATCATAGACTTGTGCTGCCTTTGTTCAGTGCCAGCAAATAGTTTCCTCTATTTTATCCAATTTCTGGTTGTTAGGGAGAAGGATATTTCCAGACCCTCTTTGTCCTTCATATTCAGAAGTGGAAATCTCCCTATAAACATTGCATACTTTTCCATTTATACCATAAATGTTTCCCTTTTCTGAAGCAACTTCATCCTCGTAATGTGTGAAAATGTCAAGCCTTTACTTTTTTCTTATTATATTCAGAAGATAATAATGATGCATGTGATCAGGATCTCAAACTTCAGATTTTGCTCAGATTTTGTTTCAAATTTTTGTATTCACAAAAAATCTCCTATGCCTTTGATGAACATCTAGGTATCACTGTGGATCTGGGCTCCAAGGAGGGTGAGGCAAGGGGGGCGCCTAAGGTACAAAATTTAAGGAGACACTGACTCTCAGATGTCAATCCTGTGCTTGTACTACCTGGAGAGTAAGTGTCTCCTTAAATTTTGTACCCTAGATGCCTTGTTTGCTTCAGTCTAGTACACGCTTTGCACTGGATATTCCAGACTAAGATCACTTTTATTACCTAGGGCATTAGTCTCAAACCATTATTAACTAGATCACATATTGCCTTTGTAGTAGGTGTCTTTTTTACCTTCATAGTTAAATTATTTAAACTTCTCTGACCATCTATTTTTTTGGAGGAGTTGTAATAAAGTCTGATGTAAAATGCCAGTTCCTTAGTATTGGCTGAGAAATGAGAGAAGAAAAGAAAAGAGTATTCAGGGTAGCAAATACTGTCCCACAAAGCCAAAACCATGTGTACTGAAGCCTTACCTATTTTTAGTTTAGTCGGCCTTGGCCCTAGAAAACAGTTCCTCTCCCTACCTAGGCCAGATTCCATTAATTCCATGTGGGCTGTTGCCCACTGGGCATGCAGCTGTATTTGCAGTTTGAGAGTCCCAAGTAAGCCTGACTAGGCTTCAAAAATGAATCTAGATTTATACTAAGGAATTTTAATATGGGTCAGAGACATGCAGTTGGTCTCTGATGGTGGGAAGAACAGAGTTTTTAATCTTACATAAAATGTACTCTCTTTGAGGTCTTTGGTTTGTGACCCACTTTTGGATTGCCTTAGAGTGTTCTTGCAGCTGGAATGATAAAGGAATCTCTTTTCTCTCTTCTTAGAATATTAAAGGAGACAGGAAGAAGTCCAGATGAAGTGACTCATGGAACCATTTGTTTATCTGAACCTGAGCTAAATCTTAGGAGAGAAGGGTAAAAATAATTCATTCTTATTATTTTTAGTCCAGATTACCAGGATTTTTCAGATAGTGATGTAGGTATGGGTTCTGGCAGTAATAAACGGCAATTTTACCCAGAATGGCATCTGTTAAATATCTTCCTCTGGCACTTGAAGTGGTATTTGGTATCTGTTTGATAGTTCAGGGGTTGTTCTAAAACATTGATCCTGTGTGCAGAAAGTAACCATTAATCTCATGTTACTACTGCTTGACTCAATTTTCTTTATTTTTATTTTCTTGGACTTTTCTTTTTTAAAAAATAAGAAGAGTAGCATATTTGTACCATCTGCAAAGCACTTTTATAATGGATTGGAATGTGAAAATCTCTAATCCAGAAGGAAGATTCTTATATAGTCTTTATAGATAAATGCAATGTACCTTTCTTTAATTACTGGGTGAGGTAATATGTTGTGAAAGAAAATAGTGAACTTGGATTCAAAAAAACCTAATTATAGTTCAGGTTGAACTGCTTGTAGCTCTGTGACCTTGAGCAGGCCAGTTAATCTCTTTGAGAGTCACTTTTTTCCATCTGCAAAGTATGTGTATGTATGTGGGAGGTGGGGGAGGATGTGATAAAATCTGCCTGCCTATTTATTCGTGTCAGTGTGAAGAGCATAATAAAGATGTGAAAGCACTTGGGAAATGTGTAAAGAACATATACATACAAATGTAAAAATGATATTTATAAGTATTTTATCTCAGCAAAATCAAGTCTTGTTTTTATCTTTGGGACACTGTGTAAATATAGTCTCAGCTAAATTTTTTTTTTAAAATCACTGATAGCTTAGAAAAAGAGAAGTAAAAAAATACGTATATTGGAAAATGGATGGAAAACACATCAAAGGTTACAAGTTACCTATGAAAGAATTGATAAAATCTCCTTAGAGTTTGTGTGTGTGTGTGTTTGTGTGTATTAACAAAATTTGAAATTTTTACTTACCTTCTCTTTCACCTCTAGACTTTGAAAGTCTGTATCAGATTTTGTGACATATTGTATGTGGATTGTCTACTTTAGATTATCCATGGAAAACTATTTTTTAAAATCAGTCGTGTTGCTCCTTGTTGTCTAAGACAATTCTGGATGTTTTCTCCTGATTGGTATGTTTTCAGGGGAATGCAAACTAATTTAATATAGCCCTGGTGTGTATAATGAGGGTGTTAAATCTGTCAGAACACAAATCACAATGATTGAAATATGAATGTAATATTTTGGTACCTTTGAAACTATTAAATTACTCCCCTATATTACATTAAATCAGTGAGAGAATTCCCTTGGTTGGTTCATTCATTCATTAAACAAATATTAATACCATTCCTACTATTGCCAGGTACTGTTGTATCACATACAACAGTAAACAAAACAGACAAAAATTTCTGCCTCTATGGAGCTTACATTCTAGCTGAGAGGGAAACTGAAACTAACAGATAAAATATATACTGTATCAGATAGCAAAATAAAGGAGGGAAAGGGGATGGGGGAGTGTTGGAAGGCATGGCAGTTGGAGGAGGGCAGGCCTGGGAAGGATTGTGACATTTGAGTGAAGACCTACAAGGAATCTGTACAGATATCTCAGGGAAGAACATTCCTGTTCTAAGGTATAGCAAGGGTAACAGATTTGAGGAAAGTGTGTGCCTAGTATGTTCAAGGAACAAGGAGGAGGCTAGTGTGACTGAAGTGGAGTGAGCATGGAGTGTTAGGCTGGTGCAGACATAATTGCGGTTTTTGCATTGTTTAAATTTGCTGTTTGGTATTGGAATACATTATTAAATAAATGTGGTTATGTTATACATAATTTTAATGTGCATTTCTTGCTTTGTTTTGCTAATGACTTATTACTTGCTGTTTATTTTATATTTATTTAGACTATGGAAATGATGTTAGACAAAAAGCAAATTCAAGTGATTTTCTTATTCAAGTTCAAAATGGGTCATAAAGCAGCAGAGACAACTCGCAGCATCAACAATGCATTTGGCCCAGAAATTGCTAACAAAGGTACAGTGCAGTGGTGGTTCAAGAACTTTTGCAAAGGAGACGAGAGCCGTGAAGATGAGGAGTGTTGTGCCCGGCCATCAAAAGTTGGCAACGACCAATTGAGAGCAATCATCGAAGCTGATCCTCTTACAACACTAGAAGTTGCCGAGAACTCAACATCAACCATCCTACGGTCATTCAGCATTTGAAGCAAATTAGAAGGTTGTAAAAGCTCGATAAGTGGGTGCCTCATGAGCTGACTGAAAATAAAAACAATCGTCATTTTGAAGTGTTGTCTTCTCTTACTTTGTGTAACAACAATGAACCATTTCTTGATCAGATTGTGACGTGCGTTGGTAAGTGGATTTTATATGACAACCGCTGATGACCAGCTTGGTGGTTGGACTGAGAAGAAGCTCCAGAGCACTTCCCAAAGCCAAACTTCTACCAAAATGTTAATGGTCACTGTTTGATGGTCTGCTGCCGGTCTGATCCACTACAGCTTTCTGAGTTCCAGCAAAACCATTACATCTGAGAAGTATGCTCAACAAATCTCTGAGATGCATGGAAAGCTGCAACGCCTGCAGCCAGCATTGATCAACATAAAGGGCCCAGTCCTTCGGCACAACAATGCCTGACAATGCGTCGCACAACCAACGCTTCAAAAGTTGAATGAATTGGGCACAAAGTTTTGCCTCATCCACCGTATTCACCTGACTTCTTGCCAACTGACTACCACTTCTTCAAGCATCTCAGCAACTTTTTGCAGGGAAGATGTTTCCACAACCAGAATGCAGAAAAAGCTTTCCAAGAGTTTATCGAATCCCAGATCACACATTTTTACACTACAGGAATAAATAAACTTATTTCTCATTGGCAAAAATGTGTTGATTGTAATGTTTCCTATTTTGATGAATAAAGATGTGTTTGAGCCTAGTTATAATATAATGATTTAAAATTCACGGTACAAAACCGCAATTACTTTTGCACCAACCTAATAAGATTAAAACCAGTAGAGGTGGGTATTTTGAGAACCATGTATTTCAAGGACGGAATTATTGTTTGTGTCAGCTACTGCTCATAGGTAAAATAAGAGGAAGTCGGAGAATCGATTGTTGTGTTTAGCAATGTGGAAGATGTTGGTGACCTTAAATAAGTGCAAGTTGGTAGACAGATGGGATGAAAAGCTTGGTTGATATGGATTCAGGAGAAAATGGGAGATGTGGAGACAGTGAGTGTAGATAACACTTTTGAGTTTTATTGTAAAGGGGGAACTATGCACATTTGGTGTGTAGAGTTAAGAGAGTGGGCTTTAAAAAATTTTTTGGTTCTATGTTTAATGTGACAGGAATAATCCAGTAGAGAGGGAATATTTGACAATGCAGTAGAAGGAAGAGAAAATTGCTGCAGCAGTTTTCTTGAATAGGTGGGAAATAATTGGGATTACCTTTAGTTTTCCAAAGTGACCATTGTATTTCTTTGATGCTTATAATTCACATTCTTCCCTTTTAAAGAACATCAGTGCCTGAGCCTTTTTATATACATATCCTTTCTTATGTCTGTACCTTACCCCTCACATGTATACTTTTTTCTTTTTTTTAAAAAACCCTGCATGTGGCATTCAAACACATGTATGCTTTTATCAGAGCCCCTAAAATACTTTATTACATTTATTTACATGTCTCACCCATTACTGGATTGTCGATACCTTGATCTATGTTATTACTCAACTATTGGTTCTTTGACTGTAGTGTTTTTATTCATTGCTACATGCCTATATTAGTTACCCATTGTTGCATAACAAATTACTTTAAAACATAGCCACTCAAAACACACATTTATTATATTGCAGTGAGTCAGGAATCCAGGAACAGCATAGGTGCTGGGTCTCTTACAAGGTTATGAACCAATGTGTTGACAGGGCCTGAAGTCTCATCAGAAATCTTGATGTGAAAGGATCCATTTTCTAGGTCACTCATAAGGCAGGATTCATTTCTTCTCAGGCTGTTGGCCAGAGGCCTCCCTTGGACCCGTGCCAAAGGGCCCCATAGAGCATCTCACAGTATGGCAGTTGACTTAGAGCAAACAAGCAAGAGGGCAAGAAAAAGTGCCAGCAAAAGAGAGTGCTAGCAAGAAGCACATCACAATTTTTATAACCTAATCACAGAAGTGACTTCCCATCACTGTTGCCATATTTTCTTTATTTTTTAAAATTGAGACAGAGTCTTACTATGTTGCCCAGGCTGGTCTTGAACTCCTGGGCTCAAGTGATCCTCCTGCCTTGGCCTCCCAAAGTCTTGGGATTACAGGCGTGAACCACCATGCTTGGCCAATATTTTCTTCTTTATAAGCAAGTTACTAGGTCTAGCCCACACTTAAAGAGGGTTACACAACATGTGACTATCAGAAGGCAGGGATCACTGCAGGGACGTATTAGAAGTCCGCCACCCGGTCCCCAAACTCTAGAACTATAAAAATGCTTAACTTGTTGAATGAATTAACCTTTTTCCAAGCACCCTCATAACTGGTAGTGTACATTTGTAAGAGGGCTGGTCAAGGGTAAGAATTTGGTTTGAGACTGTATACAGAATAACTTGATACTCATGGATTATTTCAACTGTTTCTTGTTTCCTTAATGATTTGCTTTTATGAAATAATGTTAATGAAAAGTTCAAGTCATTTTGTATCTTCAGGAGCTAAGCAAAACCAGGAATGCTATTCAAGAAAATCAGAATACATGCAGTATATTTTAATAGGAATTCTAGAAATAATCTGATAGCAAGCTGTATTTTGAGATAATTCAAGCTTCCAGTCATTCCTAACATATATACCCTTTTATGACATGGATGAGCATAAGGATATATAAAAATCTGTGCAATTGAAATGTAGTTGAATTTGATCTCTACTATAAAATAATCTTTATAAAAATAAGATTTTAACAGGTAGGAATAAGCATCATCAATCAGATCATGGATTTCAATTTTTTTGCATAGTTTACATGTTGAGGTGATTTAATCTTTTGAAGAAAACTAAGGAATCTCATCCTCTTATAAAATGTTAGATATTAGAAATAACTTGTCCAATCCTATATTTTTATAGTTGAGGAAATGGCTACCCAGTGACGTACCCAAGCTTTCTGGTGGCACGGCCAGTGCCAGATCCCAGGCCTCCTGACTCCATTCAGTGCACTGTACCATGCCTTAAACCATACTGGAGCCACTTGGGGAGTTTAAAAACTTTTATGCTTCTCTTATCCCCAGACCTTTTGATTTAATTGGTATGGGTTAGAACTTGGTCATTGGAAGTTTTAAACACGCCCCAGGTGATTCATGCATCATAGTCTGGGAACCTCTACTCCAAAAAGAATTAGTGTGCTTGAGGAATTGGAACTAGAGTGAAATCAGTGGTACAGACTTCTATCCGTTATGATTCCTTAATCACTTATTTGGCTGGGTTTTATCAGAGTAGTAAGACAATTTTTTACATTGAGAAATAATTAAGATATATGCAGAGCAAAGACTTCCTTAATAAAACTGTCCTTTCACTAGTATTTTGTGAGATAGCCTGTGACAAAATTTTTCCTAATCATGAAATTGGAGAACAATTTTTTGACACTAATCAGGCAAGGAGAAAGTTTCGTGCCATCTGTGTTGTGGCATGCTCTGCTGTTGTTTTAACTAGATAAAATTCTAATTACTGTTAAACAGATTGTTTATGAGGTTGTTTTTAATATTTTAGAGCAAGTGCATAAATATAAAGAGGCAAAGAAATGGTTCCAGATTTAAAATACAGTTTCTTTAAAAGTAAATCAGAATTTGACACACTGGGTTGTTTAATTACACATTTCAGTTTGGGTCCTTGGTACTGCAATGTTGCAAGGCATATGAAATTTGCAGTTTGTTACAACTATTCTGTTGTGTCGTTTTATACTTTTGGATATAAAGCTGACCAAACATTCTAACTAGAAAATACTAATTCATGATTGATAAGTGGCATTTTGTTTCTACATATTGTTCTTTTAAACAAGGTCTTTCTTTGATAATGACAGATGTAGGGAATATGAAGCAGAAGAGGTAAGAATAGGAGATTATGATCAGATCAAAGCATTTCAGAATGTTAAATCTTTTATTGAACCAGTATCAGGGTGTTGACAAGAAAAGCTATATATTTGGGTTGCTAGAGTAGAAGCGATAAGGGGCATATTAGTTTTCTATTGCTACCATCATAAATCAATACAAACTTGGTAGCTTAAACAGAAAGCTTTTTAATCTTACAGTTCTGTGAGTCAGTAGGCCAATCCAGGTCTCATTGGGTTAAAATAAAAATTTCAGCATGGCCATGTTCCTTTCTGGAGGCTGTAGGGCAAGATCAGTTTCCTTGCTTATATGAGGTTTTGGTAGAATTCACTTCCTTGTGGTTGTAGCATTTGTCTTGATCAGAGCCCTTTCTAGCACCTACATTCCACCCTCGTTCCCTGGCATGTGGCCCTCCTTCATCTTCAAAGCCAGTAACAAAGGTCAAGTCCCTCTCAAGCTTCCAGTATTTCCTTCTCCTTTGATTTAAACTCTCTGATCCACCTTCTGTCTTCCTCTTCCACTTTAAAAGCCTCATGTGATGAGATTGGGCCTACCTGGATAATACAGAGTAATCTCTCCCATCTCAAGTTCCTTAACCTTAATTACAACTGCAAGTCCCTTTTGCCATGTAAGGTAACTTAGGTTCCAGTGCTTAAGGGCACAGACATCTTTGGAGGGCCATTGTTCTGCCTGTCAAAGAGGGCTAGATCACTGGAGTCAAGGAAGCCAAGTGTCAGTATTGACATAGCTGTTGAAAGTCTTCATTTATACAACAAATTTTTTTTAGTGCTTGCTGTGTCTAGTCATTGTAGTAGGCACTGGGGCTATTGTGGTAAACAAGACAGACATAGTATCTGCCCTTGCCTATCTAGCAGTATACTTATAAAAACAAGTAAAACATATAGCATTGCTTTATAAAGAATTCTTCATGTATTCCATATTTATGTAAGCTCTTTGAAAGCCAGTACTAGTGTTCTTTGTTTTGGCCCTTTCCTCATCCCATCACTACAGCAGTGTTTTACATACTAGATGCTTAACAGATACTGTTAACAAAGGCTTACTTTGTTTTTTCTTTGCATTGAGTTAGAAACCTCATTTATCTCTCTTTTTTTCTATTTTCTGCTTCAAAAGCAGTGAGGAATTTTGAGTTCAAAAATCCAGACTTAGAGGACAATTTAAGATTTAATCAGATACCCACTGAGGAATTTTTAAAAAGTCCTTAAGAATGACCATGTACTCCATTTTACTTTTCTTGGTAAAGACTCTAAAGTGCTAAAGGCAGCTCTGTTTTGCTTTTTCCTCCTCCTCCTCCTATTATTATTATTACTGTTATTTTTGAGAAAGGGTCTGGCTCTGTCACCCAGGCTGGAGTGCATTGGTATGAGCACAGGCTCACTGTAGCCTTGACCTCCTCAGCTCAAACAGTCTTCCTACCTCAGCCTCCCAACGAACTGGGACTATAGGCACACTGTACCACATCTGGCTATTTTTTACATCTTCTGTAGAGATGGAGTCTCACTATGTTACCCAGGCTGGTCTTGAGCTCCTGGGCTCAAACTATCCTTACACCTTGGCCTCCCAAAATGATGGGATTATAGGCATGAACCACGGTTCCCAGCCTTGCTTTCACCTCCTAAATTCAACAGTCAGAGAGTACTTACCCAATTAAAAAAAAAAATCAACAGTTGCTTTAAACCAGTATTCACCTATAGTGAAGAACTGCCAACTCAGAAGCAAATTAAAATAAATTTTTCAATATGGCTTTTCTGAGATAGATAGACTTTTAAAATAATGGAAGAGATTTACTATCTGTTGGTCACTGCTCTCAGAGCTTCTATCTTCCTCATATACAATTCTCTCTTGTGCTCCCACTGTGTGCCGAGTGTGGGTCTACCCTTCATGGAAAAACTGCGGTATTCTTACCAATCGTTAAATGCCTTCTAAAAGACAGTTATTTGTAGTTTTCTTAGTGATAGTCCTGGTTACAATTCTGTATCATGTAGTTTCCCAATGTAGCAATAGGAAACTTCAGTAATGGTGGATTGGAGTAAGCATAGGTATATGAGATTTATAGTCTACACAGGCATTGATTTCAATCATAGAACTTTTTATCAGAACTATTAGCAAGTGGTTAAATATACTTGTAACACAGGTTTGGGCTACATAGTGTTAAGTGTCACATGAGGCCTTCTTAATTTCAGTACATACCAAGTTCTCCATCCCAAATCCCTTCTTGATTCTTTGATGATTTAACATTATTTATGGATAATTTCTTATTCTGACCTTTAATGTTTCTAAACAAATAGCCTAAATATATTTTATATAAAACTTCATTTCTGAAAGAAGAACTTTTGGAATAATGGGTGGAAAGTTCATTTGATTTGCTTAAGTGTAGAGATGGCTATTGTGATATTTAAGTTTGGATGGTACTAATTTGGGTGAAGGAAAGTAGTAGCTACTTTTATAGAGATAGGTGGTTCAATCTTTAAAATGTTACTAGGTAATGTTGATTTCTGTGAACTTAGCATTTCAGTGGCCAGTAAGGTAAAGCATCCTGTTGGGTTTAGTTCATATGTAAAAATTCTTATTAATTGGCAACTTTTGAAGAGAGCTGGAAGTTTAACTGTGAATGGTGTAATACTAATTAACTGAAGTTTTCTTGATTCTTTGAAAAAGATGGGAAAAAACTCCTGTGTTTATGGACATTAAAATATAGTAGTGACTTAAACACACGCAATGCTACAGAGAGAAGAGACAGGAAATTTACTAACCTACTGAAACTTTTGACAGGTGCAGTGCATCTTTGGAAGTCAGATTTTGATTATTATTAATAAAACAGCCTTTGTTTAGTAAGTTGAACATCAAGTGAGAAGATTACATGGAGCAGTAAGCATACAGATTTGCAATAGGTACTCCATTCAGTGGGTTTTAATGGGTGTCAAAACTAAACTGACCTTAGTGAATTATAGCTACTGCACACACATGGCTTCAGTTAGAAAGGATATGGTACCAGGTAATGTCATCAGTTTTTCCAAATGTGTTCCTGGGGAAAATAACCTAAATTCTTGAAGCAGATCATTTAACTTATAATTGGATGTAATATTATGACAAGAAAAGACCTTAAGGCAAAAACTGTTCCTTATAGAGGCTTTTTGTTTTTCATTTGAAATTAGTGCAGTTGCTGATTGGCTTTAAAAAAAACCCTCATATTCTTTTAAATATAATAATCTGAAGGTGTTGCTAAATTTACTAGCCCAACTGAGAAACAACAGTATCCTTAAAAACAAATAATTGAGTTTAGGTTAAATGGAAATAGTTGGCTAAATATGATTTTTAAAAATAATACCTAAGGTACATGTAGGAACCAGATAGATTAAATAACATGATAGAAAGTGTTCAGAAGAGGTAGTACTTTTATACTTAGTTTTAAAAAATTTAAATTCCTCTACTATGTAGATTTTTATATTTTGTGACCACATGCATGTATAGTATAGTAATAATTCACTGTAAGCTTGTAGTGTACTATATTAGTTGAAGTACGATAAAGAAATTCTTGCAGAAGAGTAGAAATACTTCTGAAATACTGTGTTTTCCAGCTTGCATTCCTCATCCTACTTATTCAAATAAAGCGACTATTTTTTCCCTGATAAAAAAGTTAGAAACAAATGATTGTTTTACTTTTTTTTTTTTTTTTTTTTTTTGAGATGGAATCTCACTCTGTCACCCAGGCTGGAGTGCAGTGGCACGATCTCAGCTCACTACAACCTCTGTCTCCCAGGCTTAAGTGATTCTCATGACTCAGCCTCCCGAGTAGCTGGGATTACAGGCGTGTGCCACCACACCCAGCTAATTTTTTTGTATTTTTGGTAGAGACAGGGTTTCACCATGTTGGCCAGGCTGATCTCAAACTCCTGACCTCAGGTGATCTGCCCACCTTGGCCTCCCAAAGTCCTGGGATTACAAGCATGAGCCACCTTGCCTGGCCTGTTTTACTTTTTATTTTCAGAATGCTTATTATGCAATGGAAGCAGAATTAATCATATTCCTCTCCCTGACCAACAATGTGGAATTCTCTACTGACTGTAAATCAGTATTTTTAAAAGAGCTTTAATGAAAGTTCTTTTATGATACCACTAAGCAGATGTCAGGATTTACTTTTCAATTAGGTGGTATAGTGGTGATGAGCAGATCAGACTCCTTTGCAGGTGATACATTGCTTAGGGGAACTGACATTTAGACCATTGATCCCTCTAGTGATTTTACATGTCACGACTGAGCTATTTGTCACTTGCTCTATCTGAAAAGTAGGCAGAATAAACAAGAGGATTTTTACAGACTATAAGATCCAAACTAAATAATCCTGAAAAGGCCTTTGATTTAAAATTCTTTTAAGTATCATAAATTTTATTTTTTTAAATGAACATGCAGTAAAACTGACTTTTCCTATGTATAGTTGATATATTTCAACATGTATAGATTTATCTAACCACCATCACAGTCAATATCCAGAATAGTTTCCTTAGCTCAAAAAACTCCTGTGTTATCCCTGTGTAGTTGTGCTCCCCCCCACCCCTCAATACCTGGTAACTCTGCCATTTTACTTTTGTCTTTTCAAAAATGGTCATGAAGTGGAATAATAGAGCATGAAGCCATTTAAGACTGTTACATATCCATTTACTCAGCATATGCCTTATAAGATTCATATAAGTTGTTCTGTGTATTGATATTTTATTCCTTTTTATTACTGAGTAGTATTCAGTTGTATGGATGTACCACAGTTTGTTTATAAGTTTATTAATTGGAGGACATTTGAGTTGTTTCCAGTTTTTAGCTATTTTGAATAGAGCTTCTATAAACATTTGTGTATAGGATTTTGTGCAAATGAGTTCTCATTTCTTTTGGGTAAAAATACATAGGTATGGGATTGGTGGGTCATATGGTAAATATTTATTGTCAAGAAATTGACAAACTGTTTTCTAAAATGGCTGTTTCCACTTTGTATTTCCATCAGCAATGTATGAGTGTTCTAGTTGTTCTGCACAGTTGTCAGCACTTGGTATGTTCAATCTTTTTCATTTTAGCCATTCTAATAGATTTGTAGTGGTACCTGATAATGAGTTTCATTTTTCACTTTCCTGATAGCTAGTGATGTTGCGCATTTTGTCGTATGTTTTGTTATATTCTCTTTGGTGAAGGATCTATTCAGGTCCTTTGACCATTAAAAACAACCTTTTTATTTTGGTAGAAGTTTAGGTGTATAGAAGAGTTACAAAGATAATACAAAGAGTTTTATATTCCTTTATATTCCTCACACAGCTTGCCATAATAATAACAGTTTACAAAACCAAGTGCATTTTTCAAAACCAAGAAACCAACAGGTGCCTTACTACCAACCAAACTCCAGATTCCAAATTGAGATTTTGCCAGATTTTCCACTGGGTCTCCTGTTCTTGAATCCATTCCAGTATTACATGTTACATTTGTTATCTCTCCCTAAATCTCCTATAGTCTATGACAGTTTCTCTGCCTTTCTTTGTTTTTCATAAACTTGATAGTTCTGAGTACTAGTACCAGTCAGATATTTTGCAGAGTGTCTCTCAATTTGTGTTTGTCTGATGCTTTTCTTGTGATTAGACTGAGGTTATGAGTTTTAGGAAGAATACACAGAGGGAAATGCCCTTTTCCTCACATCTTATCAAAGTGCATGATGACAGCATTACTTGGCTAAGGTACTGTTTATCAGATTTCCTCACTGTAAAGTCGATATTTTTGTCTTTTTGTATTATATTCTTTAGAAATGAGTTGCTAATTTCAGCCCACAATCAAAAGGGTGGGAGATTGTTTCATCTTATGGATAGGGTATATCTATATGTTATTAAGTTTTCTTCTGTAAGTAAGCCTTTGTCCCTTCTCTTCCATTTATTTATTCAGTCATTTATATCAATATGTATACTTATTTTATACATTGGCTTATAATTCAATACTATGTTATTTTGTTGCTAAAATTGTTCCAGTGTTGGTCCCTGTATTCCTTTGACATGTCCCGTCCTTTTCTTTTTTGAATACTTCCTTAATTTCTGGTACTACAAGATACTCCAGGCTTATCATATATTTTCTCTGCCCTACCCCTAGAATCAGCCATTTCCACCAGGAGCCCTGGTTTCTTGTGTTGGAGAATTGTGTTTAGATCCATTGTCTCTCTGGGTACTGGATATACTTGTTGATGCAGGGGTATCACCATTTCAAGGCCTTCTCAGAGGATAGAGCTAGGAAATAATACATTTGTATATTAATCATGTATTTATGTACATCTATAATTGTTTCTGTACCTATTTGTATTATATATTTTGCTGTATATATATTATATGTTAAGTTCATACTGATGTCTGTGACTAATCCAGTACCACAGGGTTCATTCTAGGCTTCCCCACTTTGCTTATCTGTAACTTTCCTTTCTAACAGAAACCTGGCCTTATCCATTTACTTGTTTGTTCCATCTCAGTAAAGCAAGTTCACAATTGTTAACCAGTACCCCTGTGAGAAATAAATTTACCCTACCCCCTTTAGTTGGGTTATGCCATTCATTTATAATACAGCCAGATTCATTTGTCATGGACTGCATTCTATCTTAAAATTCCCCCAGCATCTTTGTTGATTTTTTAAAATTTGCATACATTAAAGTTCAGTCTTTGTGATGTGCGGTTCTGTGGGTTTTGACAAATGCATAACGTCATGTATACACCACCTCAGTGTCATACAGAACAACTTCATCACACTAAAAAATTTCTCCATGCATCCCCTTTGTAGTCAGCCACTACTCCATACCCCAACTCCTCTCCTGACAACCAAAATCTCCTGTAGTTTTGCATTTTCCATTGTGTCATCTGAATGCAATCGTATAATATATTGCTTTTGGATCTGACTTCTTTCATTTAGAAAAATACATTTAAGGTTTATTCATATTGTTTCATGAATCAAATAGTTCATTCCTTTTCATTTCTGCATAGTATTTTATTGTATAGGAATACCACAGTTTGTTTATCCATTCACCCGGACATTTTGGTTGCTTCCAGGTTTTGGTGATTATGAATAAAGCTTCATTAAATATTGGTGTATAGGTTTTTGTCTGAATACAAGTTTTCAGTTCAGTTTAGTAAGTATCTAGAAGTTTGACTGCTGTGTCATATGATAAATGTATACTTAGCTCTGTTAGAAACTGCCAAACTGTGTTTCAGGTGGTTGTGCCATTTTTTATTTCCACCAGTAATGAATGAGATTTCCTATTGCTCTGTATCTTTAGCAGCATTTGGAATTACCAGTTGTTTTTGTTTGTTTGTTTGTTTGTTTTTTAAGCTATTCTAATCATGTACTTTTGCTCATATTTAAATTATATTGTTTTCTTACTGTTGAGTTTTGAGTGTTCTATATATTTGTTGGACAGAAGTCCTTTGTTCCATAAGCGATTTGCAGGTATTATCTCCCTGTCAGTAGCTTGTCCTTATGTTATGTTAAAGATACCTTTCCAGAGCATAAATTTTTAATTTTGTTGAAGTCCAATTTATAACTTTTAATTTTATGGATTATGTTTTTGATGTCATATCTCAGAACTCTGCTTAACTTCAGGTAACAAAGATTTTCTTCTTCTTTGTCATTTTCTAGGTACAAGTTTTACAGTTTTATATTTTACATTTAAGTTTGAGTGAATTTTTGTATAACATGAGGGTTTAGGTGAAATTTTATTTTTTTCTTTGCATATGGATGCACAGTTGTTCCAACACCATTTGTTGAAAAGACAATCCTTTCCTCACTATATGTCTTTGAACCTTTGACAAAAATCAGTTGACCCTGTTTGTGTGGATATATTTGTGAACACTCTATTCTTTTCCATTGATTGATCTCTCCCTTCAGCAATATCACATTGTCTTGGTAAGTAGCTTAAAGCCTTAAAATTAGGTAGTATAATTCCTTCAACTTTATTCATTTTAAAAATAGTTTTGTCTTCTCTAGTTCTTTTGCCTTTCCATAATAATCTTGGCATCAGCTTGTCTATAACTACAAAAAATCCTGGAATTTTGATTGGAGTTGCATTAAATTTCTAGACCAGTTTGGGGAGAATTGACATCTTTACAATGTTGAGCTTTCTGATCTATGAACACAGGATATCTTTCTACTTACTCAGATTTTCCTGATGCATACATCAGCATTTCGTTGTTGTTAGCATATAGCTCTTGTACATGTTCTAATATGTTTATGCTCAAGTATTTGTTTTTTATGGAGCTATTTTGAACGGTATTATTTTTAAATGTGAGGGTTCCAAATTGTTCATTGTTAATGTACAGAAATGTGATTGATGTTGACCTTTTCTCCCCAATCTTTCTGTATGTTCAGATTGGATCATTTTTATTCATCTGTAGTAAGTTCACTGACTTTTTCTTCTGTCGTCTTGATTCGGCTATTGAGCTCATTTAGTGAGCTTTTTATTTTGGTTATTGGTATTTTTCCACTTCTAAAATTTCCATTTGGTTCTTCTTTTATCTTCTATTTTTTTTTCTGAGTTTATCTCTGTTTCAAGAATGTTTGCACTTACTTGTTAAAGCATTCTGTAATAATGGCTCTAAATATCTTTAATATCTTAGATAATTTTAATATCTTTGTTTTCTTGATGTTAGTATTTTTCCTGTGCAAGTTGAGTTTTTTTGATTCCTTGTATACCTAGTAATTTTGGATTATGTCCTGGACATTTGACTATTATGTTAGGAGACGTTGGGTCTTGTTTAAATACTATGCAAAATGTTGATATATTTGTTTTAGTAGACAGTCAACCCAGTTAGAGTCACACTGCAAATTTCTGTGGATTGTAGTTACAACATCAGTTTGATTTTCAAAACTTTTGCCATATTACTTGGTTCTGTCCCACATGTGTACCACCCATTGCCAGTCTGGAACTTGAGGGGTCGTCTGTTCATAATTCTCAAAGTCTGTGTATGTTTGTTTGGGTCAGATGTATGCATGTGCCACTCGAGGGTGAGTCCAGGAGTTCATAAAACAACTTTGAGGTGTTGCTCTCCCATGTTCCTTGTCTGTGATCTCCCAGTAATTTCTAATTCTGCATGGCTCCCCTTTTCTGATCAGAAAGTGGATCTTTATCCCTCTTTAATGTTCACTCCCTGCAGCTGTGCCCATATTCAGGGCCAAGTGGCAGGAGGACAGAGAGAGAAGCAAAAGGGATTCACCACATCCTCTTGGGACCACAGCTTCTGTGATCAGAGAGGTAGATTCCCTCTCTCAGAGTTTTAGTTCTTAGTAACCTCCATTGCCACTGCTGCCACAGCTGTGATGGGTGGCTGGGCTTGAGAGAGTGAAGAGAGAAAAAAACGGGGGGATTTGCACACTTCCTTGTGAGTCCTAAGAGACCCCTTTCCCTCTCTCAAGCCAGAGGTAGAGGGCTTCTCCTGAAGCTTTCCATTTGGGCTGTATTATGTTCAGTCTGGATGAAAGCAGAGGGGGAAATAAATGGTAAACCTGTGGTTGCTTCAGTGGTACATCAAATTCTGGTTGTTTTAATCGGCCTGCTACTGTTACTTTTCAAAGTTCCTTAGTAGTTGTTCCATGCATTCTGTCCAGGTCTTATAGCTACATTAACTTGTTGGCATGTGATTACCCCATCTTATCTGGAACTGGAAGCTGACTTAAGGTTTTCAATTTTGTTTCTCTAGGAATTTGACAAGAAACTGAAGTTTTGATTCAGATATATTTTGAATTGAAACCAGAGATGTTCTAGAGTTTAGATTCTTTCATTTGATTAAGGTAAGATTGTTTGATAAAATTTAATCATACCTTTACTGTACGTTTTCAGTGATGTGCTAGAATTTAGATTGTTTCATTTGATTAAGGTAAGATTGTTTAATAAAATTTAATTATACCAATACTATGCATTTTTAGACTTATATTTTAATGTGTATTTGATTAACACATTTAAATTTCCCAGTCTAATCTGAGATTCTGACCTCAGGAAATATTTTCATGGTTTCTTTACCACTTAAATAGCTAATGTTCCTTGTAACAACTACTAGATTCAAGGGAAACATGATTATACATTCACTGGAAGTGTTATAGACTGATATCAAATCTGTTTGCCTAGAGCAGGAGTCAGCAAACTATGGCCTATGGGCCAGCCACCTATTTTGGTAAATAAAGTTTATTGGAACACAGTCACACCCACTTAATACATATTGTGTGTGGCCATCTTAGCACTACATTGGCAGAGTTTTTAGTTGGAACAGTGTCTGTATGGCCCACAAGCCTAAAATCTGGCCCTTTTAGGAAAGTTTGCTGACCCTTGGCCTAGAAAACTGAAGCAGGGTATCTTATTCTGCTATGTAATTATAATACATGAAATGGTAGCTAACTGATTTTAGTTGTCAGTAAGGCTTGTTGTATGAAAACTTATTAGAGATTTAAATATGCATATAAGTATATGTGCAGATACAGGAACTCTAATTTCTTGAAGTGAAGGGTCTGTATTATTTCTTGGGAGGTGCTAGTTTTCTGAAGTAATTGATTTTTAAAATAAGACTTAATGTTAGCAGTTAAATACTATGCTTATTTTTTAAGTAGAAGCCTTCATTTTGCTTAGATTTTCAAAAATAAAAGTTTATATGATAAAGGTCAAGCTTGTTCTCATTCTAAAAACTATTCACACGAATGTATTTGATTATATTTGTCTCTCCTACTAAATTTAAACTGAACAAATAATATTTTGAGAGTGATGATTGTGTGTTTTTAATATCTGTTCTAGTAGTGCAAATGGTTTAGCATATATGAACTTAAATGAAAACTTGCTAATATAGAACTACATTTAGTGGCTAAAGTTGGAGTTACGTTTCTCTCTGAGGTTTAAATGGAAACGCTTACACTTGTTTGTGATTCCTAAAATTATTAGTGTTTAAATAAACATAAGATAGAAGGAGAAAATAAAATTGGAGCCTAGAAAGTCTATAAAATCTTTGCTACCCTCCTCAGAAGTCTCTTGGCTGAAGAAAAAAAAAAGTATATTTTAAAAACATGCCATATAAGTTAGAATTTCCAACCAATATCATAAAGGAATTTCTCTGTTCAGGGCACCAAAATTAGAAACAAATTATTTTTGCTATTTCCCATGTAATTTTAAGAAAATAAAGTAAGCTTCTAAAATCTTCATCTCATAAAGAATGATTATTTGATTTGAAAACAGCCTCTTATATCCTGCATAACCTGAAATATATTTGGTTTCCTAATAGACTTGTGTGAGGTATCTTTGCTTTCATTTTCATAAAGTCAATTTAAAACTTTTTAAAATTTACTTTTTAAAGGAGGGAATCTGGAAACTTATCAGAAAGAAAATACTTTGCATCTTTTTGTGCCATCACACATTTTATATTTAAATCAGTATGGATTTAGAATTTGAGTGCTTATACATTTGAGTTATGAAAGATGATAAAATTAAGCTGCAGAAGGGATGGAAATCTTGATAGCTTTAATATGTTAATGAGGCCACCTTAGCATTGTGTGTGTTTAGCTGTGGAGAGTATCTGATTTGTATACTAAGACTTAGGAATAAAATAATCAATTTCTTACGAATAAGTAAAATTTCCTCTTAAATGATGGATGATATAAGAAGGTAATGCTAACATTTTTTGCATCTATTAAAATCATATCTTAAGACATCTTTTTTTAATTTCCCTGATTTGTGTTCTAGTTGTGGTACTTAAAAGTAAAACAAGGGGAAATAAACTCATAGGAAAGTTTATACTTTGATTTTCTCTTTCATATAATCTTAGATTATTTAGATTTTTCTAACAGCATAAAATATTTCATTATAAAATCAAATACTGAGTCATTGCCAATTTGATAGTATCATTGAAATTAAATATGTGTACTTTAAAGACAGGCATAGGATTTTTTCTTTTAATTGAATATACTGCTTATCTTTTAAAGTATATGTGGCTAGATAAGAAAGGACCTGAATGGACTTGATTTGGAATTTTCTCTGTTCATGTCTTTGAAGGTATTCAGACTAAAAGAGAATGTCAGCTTTTTAACTTTGTAAAACCTGGTCCATATTACCGCATAGCTGTTAGTTACAGTAGCTATTTGCAATGTTGAATTTTTGAGATGAGTATTTTTACTGCTAACGATGTGGACATGTGTATTATTTTCATATAACTGTCAGGGCAGTAAAGAAACTAGTTAGGAAGTCAACCTCCAAGATTTATCCTCATAGGAGACAGTGTTAAAAATCTTACTTTAGTTGACCACTATGGGGTTTTCTTTAAAATGTTAAATAATGTTTTCGAATAATTTGGTTTTTGTACCCATTTTATCTTCTACCAAATAAATTTAAAAAAATCAAGTTTATACACGTAATTTGCTATCAAGAAAGGTATACTGCATTTGAAGGAGAAGAATAACGTCTCTTTTTCTCTTGTTTAAAGCTCTTGAAAAAAATTTTATTTTGAAATAATTTTAGATGTACAAATAAGTTACAATGATAATATAGTACAGAGAGTTTTTTTAATATTCATTACTCAGCTTACCCTCATGTTAACATCTTACATAACCATGGTATAATGATCAGAACTAAATAATCAATAATGACTTACTAAAACTACAGACCTTATTAGAATTTCACCAGTTTTTCCACTAATGTTCTTTTTCCAGGATCCCATATTACATTTAGTTGTGTTTTTCCTTAGTCTCCTCCAATCTGACAGTTCCTTAGTCTTTCCGTGTCTCTCATGATTTTCACACTTTGAAAGACTCCTGGTCAGGTATTTTTGTAGAATGTCATTCAATTAGAGTTGAGTTTCTCTGATGTTTCCTCATAACTAGATTGAAGTTACAGATTTTGAGACAGAATACCACGGAGGTGATGTGCCTTTCTCAGCACACAATATCAGAAGCCACGTGGTGTCAGAATGTCCTATTACTGGTAATGTTAACCTTGATCACTTGATTATGGTGGTGTCTATCAGATTTCTCTATTAAAAAGTTAATACTTTTCCCTTAATTAGTAAATATTTGGGGGAAAATGCTTTGAGGCTTCAAAAATATCTTGTTTTTCCTTAAATTTTTGGCCACTAATTTTAGCATTTATAGGTAGATCTTGCCTGCAGCTTCTGTGGTGTTTTAGTGGTGATTTTCTATTCTCCGTATTTCCTCTACATTTATCAATTATAATTCTTCTGTAATACAGAGTAGTCCCTGCTCACATTTATTTACTTAATCATTTACTTATATCAGTGTGAACTCATAGATATTTATTTTATTCTCTGGATTAGAATCAAAATTCTGTTGTTATTTATTTTGTTGCTCAAATTGTTCCAGCTTCAGCCACTGGGAGCGCTTTTCAACACGTCATTGTCTTTTTCTTTTCTTTCTTTTTTTTAAAGCAATTCCTTACTTTCTGACTTTATGAGATGCTTCAGGCTCATCTTGTATTTTCCCTGCTTTAGTCCTGAAATCACTTACCTCTCCAAGGAACCCAGGTCCAACTTATTGGAGAATAGTATTTAGAAACCAGCATCTGGGTGCTAGGTATGTTCATTGCTACCGAGGAGTTACTGCTTTTAGGCCTTTCAGGAGTCAGAGTTAGGAAATGTATACTGATATGGTTAGGCTTTGTGTCCCCACCCATATCTCATCTTGAATTATAATTCCCATAATCCCCACATGTTGAGGGAGAGACCTGGTAGGAGGTGACTGGATCATGGGGCAGTGTCCCCATGCATTTCTTATAATAGTGAGTGAGTTCTAATGAGATCTGATGGTTTTATAAGTGTCTGACAGTTCCTCCCTTACACACTTGCCCTCTTGCCTGCTGCCATGTAAGACATTCCCTTCTGCCATGATTGTAAGTTTCCTGAGGCCTCCCCAGCCATGTTGAACTGTGAGTCAATTAAACCTCTTTCCTTTATAAATTACCCAGTCTTGGGCAGTTCTTTATAATAGTGTGAAAACGGACGAATTACATATACCAACTCACATACATACATCTATATTTATTTGTGTTTACTTTCTGTATACACGCTTAAAATTTTAATTCATGCTGATACCTTCAACTCCAGTTTTGCACCACAGGGATTATTCTAGCATTTCCCCTTTGCTTATTTGTAATTTCTTTCTCCCACAGTGAGAAACCTGACTCTCATTCTCTACACTATATTTATGTATTTATTATACATATATAGTAGTTTCCAAATTGCTAATCCATACTCCTGTGAGAAACAAATTTACCAAATAGAATACAGTGTTTGTATACAGTTATTTTTATCTTTATTCTCACATTATCCAGCCAGAATGCTTTTTTCCAAAGTTAGTTGTCAGGTCTTTTCTTCTGTATATCCCCATCAATCTACTGTGCCATTTCATTTGTACCACAGTTAGATTCATTTTGTCACAGTTCACATTCCATCTTGGGTTTCCCTGATATCCTAGTTATTTGCATTTAATTTGTATACAGTAAAATTCATTCTTTGTGTTGTAGTTTTGTGGATTTTGAAAAATGCATAGAGTCACATATCTACCAACAGCAGTTCTGTGACCACCCCCGCACCCCCAATTTTTTTGTGCTGCCACTTTGTAGTCAGCCTCTCTTCCAAGCCCCAAATCCTGGCAACCCCTAATGTGTGTTCTATCCCTTTAGTTATTAGCCTTTTCCAGAGTATCATATACATGGAATCATATAATATGTAGCCTCTTAGGTCTGGCTTCTTTCATTTAGCAAAATACATTTTAAGTTTCATCCATTTGTTGCATAAATCCTTAGTTTATACCTTTTTGTTGCTGAGTAGTATTCTATTATATGTACACGATTTGCTTATTCATTTATCTGTTGTGGGACATCTGGGTTGTTTGCAGTTTCAGTCAATCGTGAATAAAGCTACTACATTTACATAAAGGGTGTGTGTGTGTGTGTGTGTGTGTCTCTGTGTGTGTGTATACATAAGTTTTCATTTCACTTGAGTGAATACCTAGGAGCAGGATTATGGGCCTTATCTTAAGTGTATAGTTAACTTTATAAGAAACTGTTAAACTATTTCTAAGTGAATATACAATTTTGCATTCCTGCCACCAATATATAAGAATTTTTGCTGTTCTGCATCCTTGTCAGCACTTGATATTGTGCAGTATATTTTTGCCTTTTATCTGTTCTAATGTATGTGTAGTGGCATCTTGTGTTTTTCTAATGACTCATAATGTTGAGCACCTTTTTATATGTCATCCTTATATGTTTGTGAAAAGGTAGCTGGTCTCTTTTATTTCTCTGTATTTTCTTCTTTTATGATCAGCCAAGTAGATAGTCTTTCCAATATCTTTTTGACCAAATTAGCTGTTATTATCTCTGACTATTTAGCTATGCTTTATAATAAAATACACATTTTCATATATGAGTTTTGGTTATCTGTAACTATTCCAAGGGAAGGTATGTATAGTTTTATATAGGTGAGTATTTGAATGATAATTTTATTGTTGTCTAAAGCTAGATTGCATCGTAGGAATCTATCCAAAGATTACATCTGTGACTGAAAAAACATGTAAAACAAGACGAAGTGTAATAAATACTGCTAGTGCTGAAGATTGGCATTGGATTGACAAATGTTACTCTAGAAAAATAAATTTTAGAGTCTTTGGTGAGATCTTTTCACCTTTGAGTATCAAATGGACAAAGAAACCTGATACTGTCTTAGGATATCTGTCAATATGGACAAACTTTGGTATGTTCTTACAACTAATCAGTTAATATTAGGTGAAAGAGATTAGAAATGAATGTTTTTAAACTTGGGCTACTTTATATAAACATTTAAACTAGCAACTTAAAATACTTAGGACTTATATTTAGTTTCTGTCAGAATGGAATGAAGACATAGCAAGTTTCAGTGGTAGTTTTCTACCCTATTTAAGCCTGATACTTACTATTTCTTTTTGTAAAGACCTATGTTTAACCCATTAGAATATGTGCGGGGATGCCATGTTATTTAATTAGGCCTTTCTATTTGTTTGCTGTATAACAAATAGAAAGTTATACAGCAAACTGTATAGCTGCTGTATAGTTCTTGCCCTTTTAAGAACTTTACTATATTACACAAAATAATATGCTTAGATTTGAAAAATACTGTATGCCTAGATTTGGAAAATAATATATGCCTTAAAGGATAGCATTCCTGTCACATTATGTGAGTAATTATGATTGATTCTGTTGATAATTCTAATTAGCTAAGTGAGTTCCCTATTTCAGTAGGAGATTGTTTCCTATTTCAGTAGGAGAAAGCCAAACGAAACAATGTTTTATTTACATATTCAGATTCTGAAAATAACTTTAGTATTAGAAGTCATTACATATGGGAAGATGACTTTTTCTGCTTTAGAATAAGCGTACCTCTTTAAATGTCCTATTTAATAGTGTGATCACATGACTGATATTTCTAATGGCTAAACCCAGTGTTGTTATTATGATGATGATGACAGTCTTTGATTTAAACCAAAGCCATTATAGAAAGGTCTGCCCTTTCCAATATAAAACTTATAAAACATATATATATAAATTACATTGGATGTAACTTGTGTATATATAACTTACATTAATGACTGCTGTAGTCATTGTATATATCTTACATTGTTGTCCCTTCTCAGGCCATATTTGTAAATGAGATGTATTTTTTGTTTGTTTTTTATTGATCCTTATTCCTAGAAATGTAAATGAGATGTAAATAAGACCAACTGTTTTCCAAGACTTGTAAAAGTAGAAAAATTACTATATATACATATATTATAAATATATATTTTATTTCCTTTTTCCCTTCTCTTGAAAAGCAGGAAAAAAAAGAAGAAAGAATGTGGGTTTTTATTTGTTCTGTAAGGCCTTGATAGCAGCCTACTTCCTTGTTTATAGGAGACTAGGAACTTTGTGACTTCAATTGAGTATGCTTTAGAACCTGAAACATAATAAAGTGGCACCTGCTAGCAGTTTTGCATGTATGACAGTTGACATTATTAATTTCACTTTCATTGTTGAAATCAGCACTTCTGAAATTGGGGTATTGAAGAAGGATGGAATTTAACTTCTTTTGAACAGCTGTTCTTTGGTTGACTCTGACTCAGACACTTTGTTTCTTTATTATTTTATTTAATTCTTAAATTTAATCCTCACAATTTATTTAGTCTTCACAATTAGCCTACAAAGGAGGCGTGATTACACACATTTTACAAACAAAATTTATTCAAAGGAACACAGCAGGCCAGGCGCGGTGGCTCATGCCTGTAATCCCAGCACTTTGGGAGGCTGAGGCGGGCAGATCACAAGGTCAGGAGTTCGAGACCAACCTGGCCAACATGGTGAAACCCTGTCTCTACTAAAAATACAGAAATTAGCCGGGCGTGGTGGTGCGCACCTGTAATCGCAGCTACTTGGGAGGCCAAGGCAGGAGAATCAATTGAACTCAGGAGGCGGAGGTTGCAGTGAGCTGATTGTGCCATTGCACTCCATCCTGGGTGACAGAGCGAGACTGTCTCAAAAAAAAAAAAAAAAAAAAAGGAAATTCACACTTTTATCAACTATACTATATTGCTTCTTCTAAGACTAGAAAAATAGGCCAGGCACAGTGGCTCATTCCTGTAATCCCAGCATTTTGGGAAGCTAAGGCCGGTGGATTCCTTGAGCTCAGGAGTTCAAGACCAGCCTGGGCAACATGGTGAAACCCCATCTCTGCCAAAAAAATACAAAAAAATTGGCTGGGTGTAGTGGTGCATGCCTATAGTCTCAGCTACTTGGGAGGCTGAGGCTGGAGGATCGCTTGAGCCTGGGAGGCAGAGGTTTCAGGGAGCCAAGATCAAGCCACTGGAGTGAGACCCAGTCTCAAAAAAGAAAACAAACAGAAAAAGAAAAGTGATGAGAAGTGTTAGAAAATCTCTCTAAACTTAAGCCTGTGGGAGGGAAACTAATAATTAGACAAGACTGAAATTTCAACCTTATGTTTAATTAATAATTAGACAAGACTGAAATTTCAACCTCACGGGGCTTCACTTTTGGAAAACCTGTTTTATGTGTGTTATACAAGAGAACTGTCAGTATAATACCTATTAATGCTAATCATATGGCTAAATATCCATTTGATATCTTGGAAAAGATTATCTAATAACATTACTGATAATTGTTTCCTTAGAAACAAATTATCTGTGAATCAGAAATAATGCACATATCTGCATTGCTGTTAGCAGTAAAAATACTCATCTCAAAAATTTAACACTGCAAATGTAACTTTCTGATAGTCCAATTAAACTCTTAAAATGATACTTAGTATAATATTTGTAAAACAAACTCATATAGCTGCAAATAATACTTTTAAACTGTTTTGTCAATAAACTCATTTTATTGTAGATCAGTAAATTCTATTTCCATAGTGATTAAACCGTCTTTATCTTAATGGTATTGATAGTAATATAGTAATGTTATACTGTGAACATTAATAACTTCATGTAGAATTGTCAGTTGTAAGGGTTTTTCTTAATATTTTTGTTATATTAGCAGTCTTATTGTATACTTAATATAAATTTATCTATAGTCCAGTCATTATTTAGTATTTATTTCCAGCATATTAATATTCCCAAATCAATAAAATACATAACATGTTTCAAGGATAATGAAATTGTATAGACAGTTGTTTCAGTATATATAAGCAGTCAAACTGTAGATTTTCTGTTGAAAAAGTGATAAATGTTAGTTGACATTTGGTAAGGAAAAAGTCCAATAATTTAATATTTTTTTTAATAACATCCTAGGGTAAAGTATGTTGTAATACTAAGTAGTATATATAAAAGTAGTATCTGAGTCTGTGTATTTATTTCAGTGTTATAAGTAGAACAACAAAGTTAGAAAGCTGCAATGGAAAGCAAAGCCTTTGTAAGTAATCACAAGACTTGGGTCTAGTGTTGGTGCAGCCAGAACTAGTTGTGTGACTTTGGACAAGTCATTAAACTCTAGATCTTATTTTTTTGTTGTTCTTCTTTACAAATAAGCTGGTTGGATTACGGTTTTTAAGATTATTGCCAGTTCTGTGATTCTTTTTTGTTTTCACTTGTTTAAATTGTGTTAAAATACACGTAATATAAAATTTACCATCTGAACTATTTTTAAGTATATAGTTCAGTGGTATTAAATACATTCATAATGTTGTGCATCCATTTCCATTACTCTTTCAATCTTGTAAACCTGAAACTCTGTACTGATTAATCAGTAACTCCCCAGTTTTCCCTTCCCCCACTCCCTGGCAACCACCAGTCTACTGTGTGTCTTTATGATTTTGAATAAGTACCTCATACAAATGGAATTATAGTATTAGTGTTTTTGGTGACCAGTTTATTTCACTTAGTATAATGTCCTCAAGGTTCATCTATGTTGTAACATATATCATAATTTCCTTTCTTTTTAAGGCTGAAAAATATTTTGTTGTATGTATATACCACATTTTACGTATTCATTCCATTGATACACTCTTGGGTTGCTTGCACATTTTGGCTATTGTTAATAATGCTGCTGTGAACACAGGTGTACCAATATTTCTTTGAGAGCCTGTTTTAAGTTCTTTAGGGATATACTGAGAAGTGGAATTGTTGGATCGTATGGTAAACTCTGTTTTTAAATTTTTGAGAAACAGTCATACTGTTTTTCCAGAGTGGCTGTACCATTTTGTTTTTCTTATTTTTTAAATTTATTTTTCTTTCTTTTATACAAACCTGCACATGTAAGTGGCTGTACAATTTTACATTCTCATCAACACTGCACAAGAGTTCCATTTTCTTTACATCCTTGTCAGCACTTGTTATTTTCTGTTTTTTGATAATGGGTATGAGGCAGTATCTCATTGTAGTTTTGATTTGTGTTCGTTAATGATTTATGATGTTGAGCATCTTTTCATGTGTTTCTTGGCCAATTATGTGTATATTCTTTGGTGAAATGTCTATTCAAGTTCTTTGCCCAGTTTTGAATTCGGTCGTTTGCTTTTTGTTGTTGAGTTTTAAAAGTTATCTATATATTCTGGATATTAATCCCTTATCAGATACATAATTTGCAAATATTAGCTCCTATTCTGTGAGTTGCCTTTTTACTCTGCTGATATTGTCTTTTGATGCACAACATTTTAAGTTTTTCATGAAGTCCAAATTGTCTATTTTCTCTTGTTGCTTGTGTCTTTGAGTAATATCCAGGAAATCATTACTAAATCCAATATTGTGAAGCTTTTGCCCTGTTTTCTTCTAAGAATTTTATAGTTTTAGAATTTATGTTTAAGTCTTTCATCTATTTTTGCATATGGTAAGGATCCAGCTTCACTCTTTTGCATATGGATATCCAGTTTTCCCAACACCATTTGTTGAAAAGACTGTGCTTTTATTCCCCTTTGGGTGGTCTTGCCACCCTTGTCAAAAATTATTTGATTATATATTTGAGAGTTCATTTCTAGGCCCTCTAGTGTATTCCATTGATCTATATGTCTATGCCAGTACCATACTGTTTTGATCATTCTAACTTTTGAAATCAGAAAGTGTGAGTCTTCCAACTTGGTTCTTTTTTAAGATTGTTTTGGCTATTTGAGGTCCTTTGAGATTCCATGTGGATTTTTGGTTAGGTTTTTCTATTTCCGTGAAAAACATGTCATCAGGATTTTGATAGTGATTGCATTGAATCTGTAGATTGCTTTGTGTAGTGCTGACATTTTAACAATATTATGTCTTCCAATCCATGAACATGCGATATGTTTCTATTTATGTCTTCTTTAATTTTGTTCAGCAGTGTTTTGTAATTTTCATTTTACATGTCTTTCACCTCCTTGGTTAATTTCTAAGTATATTATTCTTTTTGATGCTATAATAAATGGAATTACTTTTGTCATTTTCTTTTCAGATTGTTCATTGTTATTATATAGAAATTAACTAATTAAAAAAAATTAGGCTGGGCACGGTGGCTCATGCCTATAATCCCAGCACTTTGGGAGGCTGAGGTAGGTGGATCACCTGAGGTCAGGAGTTCAAGACCAGCCCGGCCATCATGACGAAACCCCGTCTCTACTAAAAATACAAACATTAGCTGGACGTGGTGGTGGGCACCCATAATCCCAGCTACTTGGGAGGCTGAGGCAGGAGAATCACTTGAACCTGGGAGGTGGATGTTGCAGTGAGCCAGGATCACGCCACTGTACTCTAGCCAGGGCAACAGAGTGAGACGCTGTCTCAAAAAAAAAAAAAAAAAAAAAAATATGCCCTGGCTTTTAGAGTTGCCAGAGTTCTTGTGCTGGTTCTTTCTCATTGATGAGGGCTGATGTTCTTTTTTCCTTTGAAGTTGCTGTCCTTCAAATGGGACTTTTTGTTTTTATGATCTTTATTGCCTCAAGAGTTTGCCTGTGGCACAAGTTGCATGTGGTTGAATGCCTTTGTTTCTGAATGCTTTTAAAGGGCCAAGGTTCAGCTTTACGCTCATGGGCTGCATGCTCTAACTCTGGGTGGCCTGGACTGAATCCACAGCTTTGTCCACTGATTCCTCGAAGCTGAGCCCAGGCTGGGCTAGAGGGGCTGAGGTACTCCCAGACTGCTGACAACAGCATTCCATGAGGTATGGCAGCACGGGTCCATGGGCTTAAGTGCTCCTGTGGGAGCATTGCAGGTGGGAGGCATTCTGGCAGGGGCACCATGGGTGGGAGGCAGGGGTGGTGGAGGCACCACGGGCAGGAAGTGCTCCAGCAGGGTAGTTGAGGCTTTGCTGTGTGTAGGCACGACCAGACAGGGACTATGCGAGGGGCTGGTGGACAGCAGGGTGCACAGATCAGGCTCACCCTGGTCCCACAGGAAAGAAAGCCCTGTTCTCTCCAGGTCTGGCAGCTTATACAGGTCAGAGCCACCCCTTCCTAAGGAGCTGTTTAGGGCCTTGAACATATCCTGGCACTTGGCAACCCTGTGTGGGGTTCCCAGTTTCCTCCCCCTTCAGTCCTGGCATCTAGGTCATCTCTCTAACCTCTTTCAGTGTGATTTTCTCAGATTGTCTGTCTGGATTATGCCAGTTTAGTTGATACTCTGGTCTATCTCAATGGGAGAAGTTATTTCTGGCTATGACTAGTCAGCCATCTTGTTTGGGTCCTCTGCAACTGATTTCTGTTCATATCCTGCTCCTTTGCTGAATCCATAGTTGATTTTTTTTATAGTGAAAGGTTTAAAATAATTTCACATTCCTGTTTGTGTATTTTCTATAGCTACTTTCTTTGTGGTTACCATGGGATTACAATTAACATCCTAGGTTATAACACTCTAATTTGAGCTTATAAAAGTTTAACTTCAATAATATCCAAAAATCCTGCTCATCTACAGCTTTATTCCCACACCTGTCAGTTGTTGGTGTCACAAATTACATCCTTATACATTATGTACCCACAAACAAACTGTTAAATGCGGTAGTCTCTTAGGTTGTATAGAAAACAAAAAGTGAAGTTACAGACCATTATTACAACAATAGTAGGTTTTATGATTGCCCATGTAGTTACTTTTATTGAGATATTTATTTCTGGTGTTCTTTCATTTTACCTTATAGGTTTCCATTGATCATTTCTTGCAGGGCAGGTCTAGTGGTAATGAATTCCTTCAGCTTTTATTTATCTAGGAATATCTTAATGTCTCCTTCACCTTTGAAGGACACTTTTGCCGGATATAGGATTCTTGTTTGACAGATTTTTTTGTTTGTTTGTTTGTTTGTTTTCCTTCTAGCACATTGAATATGTCAACCCACTGCCTCTGGCCTCCAAAGTTTCTGATGCGAAACATGATGATAACCTTCTTGAGAGTCCCTTGTATATGATAAGTCTCTTTCTTACTGATTTTAAGATCCTCACTTTGTCTTTGGCTTTCGATAGTTTCATTATACTATATCCCAATATGGGTCTCTGAGTTCATGCTACTTGGAGTTTGTTGAGCTCCTGGGATGTTTATACTCGTGTCTTTCATCAAACTTTGGAAGTTTTTCATCATTATTCATGTGATCTCTTTGCCTCTTTCTCTTTTCTCCTCCTTTCAAAACTCCCACAATGTATATACTCATCCAATTGATGGTGTCCCACAGATCTCTTAGATTCTCTTCATTTTTCTTCAGTCTTTTTTTTTTCTGTTCCTCAGAGTCATAGTTGCAATTGTCCTATCTTAAAGTTAGCTGATTCTTCAGCCTGCTCAGATATGCCTTTGAATCTATATAGTGAATTTTTCATTTTGTACTTCTCAGCTCCAGAATTTCTCTTTGGTTCTTTTTTAGGTTCTGTAGCTCTACTGATACTTACACGTTTTTCATACATCATTTTCTTGATTCTGTCTGCACCTTCCTTTAGTTCTTTGCACATCTTTAAGACAGCATTTAAAGAGCTATGGTAGATTTGCCATCAGGTCTTTTTCAAGGACGATTTCTATGATTTATTTTTTGCCTTTGAATGTGCCATACTTTCCTGTTTCTTTGTATGCCTTGTGATTTTTTGTTGTTGTTGAAAACTAGACATTTAAATCTATTAATGTGCTAAGTCTGGAAATCAGATTTTCTCCTTTCACTAGGGCTGGTTGTTTTAGTATTATTTTTGTTTATTGTTTTTGGTTTTTGTAGACTGGGTAAGGAAACAGGGATCAGCCTATGTCAGAGATAGAAATATAAACTTAAGGTCTTCCCAGGTATTTTCTTTGCATCTTTTCCTGGACATGCATGATCATTTTCCAGTTTTGTCCATATTTACAGTTGTTTTTGAATGTCCCAGTCTTTAATGTCTGGCTCCCAAAAGGAGAAAAAGAGAAAAATAAATACAGGAAGAAAAATTGGCTCTGGCCCTTTAAGTTCCCTGGAAGTCATTTCAGGGGAGCAGGGGGGCTCTTGCAACACCGGGAGGAGGTGCAACAACAATGGCTGGCAGCCTCTTTGACTACACCCATGTGATCTTTGGCAACAATCAGTGATCAGAGTACAGATCTCCATACCTGGAGGACAAGGTCCTTTTTGCCTACGTGGGCTCCTGCAAGCTGAGTACAAACTGCTCCAGGAGCACATGCACAGCTGCCTGCCAGGGAGCTAGGAGTGGAGGATGGCTTGCTGCAACAGTGTTAAGAGCTGAAAATGACCCAAATTAATGCACTTTATCATTTAGTCCTTCTCTTGGAAGTTGCAAGCCTTCAGTGGACTACAGAGTTCCAAGATAATTACTTTAGACAGATTCTGCCAGTGCAGTTGTTGTCTAAGTTGGGAGACAGATTCCTGGTGGTTCCTACTTTGTCATCTTTCTTGAATCCCTCTGTGATTTCTTATGGCAGAAATTATGTTAATAGTAAACTCAACATAAGTGATATAGTTTTTTGGTTCCTAATAAATCAGATTTTTGTTTTTTGTGTTTAGAATGGCAGCCCAAGATAACTATGCTGGTGGTTCTATGGCTTATGGTGCTACATATACCCATAGTGATATAATATGTCTAAAAAGGTATGATTATTGGTATTAGGAATAAAAGCTTCATTAGCCAAATATTTTAAAGCTTTTTTTTTTTCTTTTTTGCAGGGCAGAGGTGGAGAGGGGTTAGATTATTTCATCTGCCCTACAGTTGGCATAATAAAGAGTAAGCCCTTAGTTTTGGGAATGTATGCAGTAAGCTAGGCATCCTTGCGTCGGCTGTCATAGAAGTCCCTGTCCTCTTAGTCTTCAGTAAACATTAGGATATACCAGGACTTATATTCTGTACCACAGAGTTCAGCATTCAATTAAATATGGTCTTATATCATAGTCTAAATAATTTGTTAATAATTATAAGGTTTTGAGGGGCAGTTGTTATGCCTCTTGTTTGTACACACAGTGCCTAGTAGGTATTCAGTAAACACTTGTTGATTAGGTTATCATGTATAAGCAATAATTTTTTTGTGGAATAATGAAGGTCTTGAAACTTGAGTAGACATTAGACTGAAAGTATGCACAACTTCCTGTAAATTATGTGTAAATTTGTAGATTTGAACTTTGACTTGCATACTAAGGATTCTTTTACTGATTTCAGAGTGGTAGTGCTGATATTTCCTAACATTTACTGAGTACTCTCTCTGTGCCTGGCATCGATCTAAACAATTTATGTACATTAACTCATTTAATACTACATTATGAAGTATTCTTTAAATCCATATGGTATATGAGGAAACTAAGATATAAACAAGTTAAACTTTTTCTTAAATACACAGAGTTAATAAGTGATAGAGCCAGGATTCAAACCCAGAAAAAAACAGCTAAAAGCCTACATCCTTAACTTCTATGTTATACTGCCTCCCAGTGTTACATATATGACGTTTCCAATTTTTATTGGACTTAAGGGCCTAAATTCATCAAACCTCCCTCCTCTAAACACATACACGTGTGCACGCATGCACAGACACACACACACACACACACACACACAGACACACACACACCTATTTTAATCTTTTGTTATTAGATACAGTTATTAGACCATCTTGGGATCATGGCGTTTTCTGTAACTTAAACTACCTACCTTTAGGTGAATTGAGTTAGAATTGAGTATTTGACACAAATATTACTTCTATTCCAGATTATGAACATTTCAAAACTCTATTTCATAAGTAATAAACATGATTTTGGCAATATTCCAAACACTGCTGTTGTTGGAAGTGTTAGGTTAGATAGAATTCTGAGTACTTTATTAAGTTAAATAGACACTGACAAAGGAATATTTTTATAAAGATCTGATAAGCCTTCTGGTCTGTATAAACCCTGTCTGTCCTACAAGTGTACAAATGTAGAAGATAGCAAAATCTGAGAAATATTATAGTCAATTAGTCACTCCTAAAATGTAGCGTTTTTACTTTGTCCATAGTGTTTATTGCAAAACAGCATAGGAATAATGGAGTCTTAAGAGTAAAGCTCAGTTGCCAAATAGGAAAGCTTATACTAAAATGGATTCCAATTTCTTAGTGAAAATCAAAACTTGATTGCATAGAAAGTATAAGAATTTCATGTTCATGCACATCCCTGATCCATAAATCAGGACTTTTAATATAGATTTCATATCTTCAGCCAGAGTGAGCTTGCTTGCTTGCCTTTTTTTTTTTTTTTTTTTTTTTTTTTTGAGACCTAATCTTGCTCTTGTCACCCAGGCTGGAGTGCAGTGGCGTGATCTCGGCTCACTGCAACCTCCGCCTCCCAGGTTCAAGCGATTTTCCTGCCTCAGCCTCCTGAGTAGCTGGGATTACAGGCGCCCACCACCACACTCAGCTAATTTTTGTGCTTTTAGTAGAGATAGGGTTTCGCCATGTTGGCCAGGCTGGTCTCGACCTCCTGACCTCAGATGATCCACCTGCCTCGGCCTCCCAAAGTGCTGGAATTACAGGCGTGAGCCACCATGCCCAGCCAAGAGTGAGCTTTCTAATTAGTATATTCTTGAGTCGGATGTTAGTAGGGAAAAATGTGTATGTGTATAAAATATATATAATTATTGCCTAACTAAATCAAGGATGATTTATTGTTTAAATGCAATTTGAGTCAGTAGACCATGTGTAAGAGAGACATTTTTGCTAAGTCTCTAAGATTATGGGGAATATTTGTTACAGCCCCAGGCCTAGTAGATTATCCTGACTAACTAATACCCTATAGAAAGGGTATCCAGATAATCATTAGAGACCCCTATTTGTATTGGAGAGAGAACATCAGTATTAGTGAAGCCCTATGATAACTCAAGTCACTAGTCTTAAATATGATTTGTTCAATGAAGAGCTGATACTAGAGTAGGTGTGTCAGAGAAAGCTTTCTAAGTATGCACAAAAACACAGTATTTGTTAGAATGAACTGTTAGACAACTAAATCAGGAGAGTCATGAACTTTCTTTTTTCATATGACAGAAAAAAAATTAGATAATCTTTTTTGAGTGAACGCTGTGAGCCGAACATAAACCTTGCAAGAAGCAGCAAGATCTGCAAGTATAGCTAAACCATCATTTAAAAAACAGTCTTTGTGTGCAGCAAACTTGGGCATATATGCTGACCTTATACTGATAATTTCAATTTTGTTCTCACCCTTTGTTGGTTGTCCATGATAGTGTTAAATATGACTGACTAATCTGTATGGTTATAAAAGCACATTAAGGAATATAGGTTTAGTATGGTAGCATCAATCCCTTTTGTATTTTTATACATGAGAAAATTCCGCTTTTATTTTTATGAGCTTATGTGGAAACTGGGTAAGGTAAACAATGATATGTAAGAATATGACTGCTAGTAGAAGTAAATATAGGTAAGTTGCATGTTTTCTAGGAAGAGTTATTAGAGTACTGAAAATTGTCACATCAAGTATTTTCAGTTGATCTGCTAATAGATGCATTGAAAGCTAGCATTTGACATTTAAGCCTACTCTTAAAATAGTAGAGAAAGCTAGGAGGAAAGTTTTTCTTCTCCAAGGCATTATGTTCTTTCTCTACTGAAGTATTATGCTTTTCCTTCCCATAATCTGTCTGATAACATTTTTATTTTCTATGTATCTTCTTTGTATTTTATAGCACTGTGAGGAACTATAAGTTGTCAAAACCAGTATGTATGGATTGAAGAGTGACAGAAAGGGTAAATATATAGATGAACTATATTAATTGTATCAGACAATTTTTATGAGCTCTAAAATGTATGTGGAATTAAAACTCATGATATCAGCAACTCAAAAAGTGGGAAGGGTATACATAAAGTGTTTTAAGGTCTTAGAGTTAGCTATAAAGTGATAGAAGTACTGATTTGTATTAGACTGTAATTAGCAAGGATGGTTTTAATCATTAGGGTAACCATGATTGAAACAGTAAAAGAATTATTAGCTGGCAAAAGAAATTGAATAATGAAAACTACTTGATAAAATCAAAAGAAGGCAAGAGAGAAGAGAAAGAATATAAAACAGGTTAATTGGAAGAAACAAACAATAGGCTAATGGATAAAATTTAAAATATATTAATGACATCAAATGTAAATGGTTTAAATATTCTAGTAAAAGACAAATTTGTTTGAAAAATTTGGAAGACTAAATTTCTTTCTTTTTCTTTTGAGTCAGAGTCTTGCTGTGTTACCCTGGCTGGAGTGGCACGATCTCGGCTCCCTGCAACCTCTGCCTCCTTGGCTCAAGCAATCCTCCCACCTCAGCCTCCCAAGTAGCTGGGACTACAGATGCATGCCACCACACCTAGCTAATTTTCTTTATTTTTTGTAGAGACAGAGTTTTGCCATGTTGCCCAGGCTGGTCTCAAACTCCTGAGCTCAAACGATTTGCCCACCTTGGCTTCCCAAAGTGCTGGGATTATAAATTTCTTTAAAACCAAAATATATTTCATTTTCAAGGGATACATGTTACATATAAGAACACAAAAAGGTTGAAACTAAAAGGATTAAAATATACCATGCAAATGCTAATCAAAGGAAAGCTGATGAAGCTATGCTAATATCAGGCAAAGTAGACATTAAGGCAAAAAGCAATACTAGACGTAAAGAAGGTCATTTCATAATAATATAAAAGGTCCATACACTGGAAAGACATAATAATTCTAAATTCATGTGAACTTAATAATTTGGCTTTAAAGAAATAAAGCAAAATATGACAGAGCTAAAATGAGTATGGCCACAAATTTCATTTCTCTAGAAGCTAAACCAGAGAGTCTAGCTGTGTGATTTAGAACAAATGAAGTGAGCCCACAATGTTTCCAGGCCATAGCACAGGAAGAGGGAACCCAAACAGCTCAGGAATTACAAAGGTTTGAGTTTGGGTTCAGAGATGACAAGGAATGAAAATTATATCAGATGGAAATTTGCATCTACAAAAATAAATGAAGAGCCCTGGAAATGGTGAGTGTATATGAATGGATATAAAAGTCTTTTTTTCTCTCATTTAAGAAACTTTTTTCTTAAAGATAATTGCTTAAAACAAGAATAATAATATGTTATGGAATTTTTCACATAAGTAGAGGTTTTTTTGTTTTTTTAAAGCAGTATAGTTAATATACCAGTAGTGGAGATAAAATGGAATTATGAAAATTACTTACCCAACAATGACAAAAAGAAAAAAAAATGACAAAGATGAGACATAGTAAACCAATAGCTAGATAGCAGATATATACCCAATCATAGCAATAATCACATTAAATGTAAATGGTCTAAATACCATTAAAAAATGGAGATTATCTAATTTGATTTAAAAAAAAATTTCATTTACATATTGTCTACAAAAACTCACATTGAATATAAAAACACAGGTTAATAGTAAACAGCTGAGGCTGGGTGCGGTGGCTCATGTATGTAATTCCAGCACTTTGGGAGGCAGAGGAGGGTGGATCACTTGAGGTCAGGAGGTTGAGACTAGCCTGGCCAACATGGTGAAACCCCATCTTTACGAAAAATTAAAATTAGCTGGGCATGGTGGCGGGCACCTGTAATCCCAGCTACTCAGGAGGTTGAGGCAGGAGAATCGCTTGAACCCAGAAGGCAGAGGTTACAGTGAGCCAAGATCGCGCCATTGTACTCCAGCCTGGGTGACAGAGAGAAACTCCATCTCGATTTAAAAAAAAAAAAAAACGAAAAGTAAACAGATGAAAAAAGATATACCGTGTAGACACTAATAAAAAGAAAACAGGAGTTCCACAATTAGTATCAGATAAAGTAGATTTTAGAGCAAGAAGTATGAAGGACATTTGATAATATAAAAGGGGTCAGTTTACCAAGAGTATATAGTGATCTTAAACATGTAGGCCCCTAATAATGGAGCATTAAAATAGATGAAGGAAAATTAATAGAATTCAAAGGAGAAATAGACAAATATACAATTATAGTTGGGGTCTGCAACATTATTTCTCAATAATTGATTCAGTTGAACTGTAGTCTACCACAAGAGGCATGATTTATCCTTGTTACATTAGTTTTAATGTTTCCATTCTAATTGGGAGTTGCTCTCTCATTAGCCAAAAGATTATTCCTGCTAACCCTGATTATCAAAGTAGTGTTAAAGTGCACATTCTATTCTAAGTGTCAACAACCAGAGATCAGTAAAAATAGCAAATACTTATTGGGGCTTACTAATTTCTAGATGTATTTGTGTCCTGTTGTTATTATAGCAAATTACCACAACCTTAGTTGCTTATAACAACACAGATTTATTTTACAGTTCTGGAGATCAGAAGTTCAAAATGCATATCACTGGGCTAAAATCAAGGGGCCAGTAGGATTATGTTCCTTCTGGAAGCTGTAGTGGGGATCTTTTCCTTGCATTTTCTAACTCCTAGAGGCTGTCTGTATTCCTTGGCTCATGGCTCCCTTCTAAAGAAGTAAAAAGGCCTGTATTTCAGATGGAATACTTGATCTGTGTAATCCATCAAGTAGATAAAACCACTTTTTTGGTTTATTGAAACAAGACCATGAAAGTAAAGTTTTGAAAAAGAAAACAAATTTTCAATTCGAATCCCCTTTGCAATTCTGATGACAGTTTTTCTCCTGGTGCTCTGCTTAGGTATGGGTAAGCAGGGGTGAGACAGATTTTATTATACTTTAGACTTTTGAAGACAAAATATCTAATTTTACCAAGTTTTTATGAGCAGCCAGAGATTTTGCCTTTGCTACCTAGTGTTTTTTGTCCAGTCATTTTTTTTTTTTTTTGAGATGGAGTCTCGCTCTGTCGCCCAGGCTGGAGTGCAGTGGCCTGATCTTGCCTCACTGTAAACTCCACCTCCCGGGTTCACGCCATTCTCCTGCCTCAGCCTCCCAAGTTGCTGGGACTACAGGCGCCCGCCACCATGCCCGGCTAATTTTTTGTTGTTTTAGTAGAGATGGGGTTTCACCATGTTAGCCAGGATGGTCTCGATTTCCTGATCTCGTGATCCGCCTGCCTCAGCCTCCCAAAGTGCTGGGATTACAGGCGTGAGCCACCCAGCCTTGTCCAGTCATTCTTAAAAATCACATGTTAAGTGAGTTGATGGACTATTCGCTGAGCACTTGGCAACATCCTCAGCAAATGCCCTCATTTCATTTTGTTGTTGTTGTTTGTTCTCTAGATCTTAAAGGACTTTTTGATATTTTTATATATGCCTATGAGCTTTTCCCATTTAGGATATACATGTGATTCAGATATCTATCTATCTTTTTTGTTTTGTTTTGTTTTTTCTGAGACGGAGTATTTCCCTGTCACTACTCAGGCTGGAGTGCAATGGCATGATCTCTGCTCACTGCAGCCTCTGCCTCTTGGGTTCAAGCAATTCTCCTGCCTGAGCCTCCCAAGCAGCTGGGATTACAGGTACACACCACCACGCCTGGCTAATTTTTATATTTTTAGTAGAGACAGGGTTTCACCATATTGGCCAGGCTGGTCTCGAACTCCTAACCTTGTGATCCATCTGCCTCGGCCTCCCAAAGTGCTGGGATTACAGGCCCAAGCCACCACCCCGGCCTCAGATTTTTATATATACGTTTGGATGGAGTAAAGTAGGCTATTGTCTGAGTAATTACCATTTCCTTTTATTTGCAAGAAAATAACAATTTTAATTATTTGAGAATGGACAACTTCCTGTGTCTGGTATGTTAACGAGTGAATCTATAGTGTCAGTCTGGTAGGAGAGTATGGTAGAATAGTCATTAATGTCTTTCTAACATATAGTGCTGATCTAGGACTAATTTATGTTCTTAGTAATCAGTGATACTTTCAAGCAATGGCTCCTGAGATACATATTGTGTTATATTACGAAATGTCTTCCTAGGAACAGAAGTCTTGATTAGTCACTTGGTTTTATGGGATTGATATGACTACATGAATCGTGTGTGTGTGTGTATGTATGTATATTAATATGTCCGTATGTTCTTACTCCTGAGTTATTTGTCATGAAAATAGAAATGATTGAGTTATGCCTTTATTTTGCCAGTTGTCTAAAATATTTCAAGTACTTTTTAAAAAATTGATGTGTTGCTTTCTAGCTTTTATTGTTACAGAGCTTGGAACCATTATACTTCCTAAACTAGCTGCGGCTTCTTACAGGGAAAAAATAAGTGTTTAGAATAGCAGAGTAGAATTTGAGGGGGGAATTATATTCACATAATTTGTTTATATGTATACTAGAAACAATTAGACAATTAAATAGAAAACAAGGGGGAAAAATCTATTCACACATGGCTTCTTCTCTCAAGGAGTTTATTTTTTGACATAAATGCAGCAGCAAGGACCTGTAAGACATTTATCCTTGAGAGTAAGCTTTTGATTAGTCCAATGTCATAGACTAAATGAGAGTATTTCTGTTTGGGTGGAGAATATGCTTTTTCGGGAGGAGCAGCAGACAGTAGGAAAGGAGCCAAGAATACACAATTGAGAAACAGTTTTCTAACAGTGTAAGATGACTTACTTAACATTGATTATTAAAGATTGTAGAATATTCATATTTGGGCATTTTAGGATAGTTTCTCATTTTCCCAGAAAGGCTGAAAGAGGGCATACTGGCTTAAAATTTCATAGTCATCTTAAGGGGTTCCTTTCAGAAAAGTATGTTCAAGCTGGACATATTTAACTTTTGGGTGCTCTATAACCTCTAAGGATTTAGGTGTAAAGTATGTGAAAAACATGTAAAAGATTCCATAAAGCCCCCAAAAGTCTTGAAGTTTGACCTCCTCAGTCACTTCTTGTGACTAACATGGAGAAAAGAGAAATCAAAATTTTATTGACTTTATGTTTGTTTTTAGTTTATAAATTCCCCTTGTTTTATCTCTACATTCAGGCTCTATAAATTTATACCAAGAAACTGCTAGAAAAATTACATTTTAAGTCAAGAAATAGACATCAATAACATACTTGAATGCTTTCTCCCTCCCAACCCCAGGCACTAGTAATGGGGGGAAACATTGATGTCATATGAGTCTTCAAATTCAGTATATGTTAAACTTCTGTTTAAAGTCACTTTGCTTCCTAGAGGTGGAGTTTCAGCACTAAGGAAAAAGAACAGTCTCTATCCTTATTACATATGTGCATTGTAGGGTATGATAAGAAGCTCAGTTTATAACCCAGGTACCCTATTAGACTGTTTAGGGACCATAGCTACTTTGTGGTTGGCTTAATAGAGAAGGAAAGATTTGTATAACATCTTAATTTCTTAATCAACATTTGCCACAATTTGAAACCTAGAGTTTATTATGATGTGTGAGTAATAATTTAAATTCTGTCTTAAGGAAGCAATTTTTAAAACATGAAGCAGTGTGTAGGCTACACAGTACAGCTTGTTGCAGGAAGAAAACTCATACATACATACATATGAAATATATGTGATGCACATATACATACATATATGGAGAAGATTTTTTTGTTTTTTTTTTTTGAGACAGAGTTTCGCTCTTGTTGCCCAGGCTGGAGTGCAATGGCGTGATCTGAGCTCACTGCAACCTCCGCCTCCTGGGTTCAAGCGATTCTCCTGCCTCAACCTCCCCAGTAGCTGGCAGTACAGGCACACGCCACTACACCCGGCTAATTTTTTTATTTTTAGTAGAGAGGAGGTTTCACCATGTTGGCCAGACTGGTCTCAAACTCCTGACCTCAGGTAATCCGCCCGCCTCAGCCTCCCAAAGTGCTGGGATTACAGGCATTGAGCCATTGCTCCCGGCCAGAAGATTATTTTTTTTTAATTTTTTTGACCTTATTTTTTCTGGGGCCACCGTTCACACAGCTGAGGTGGGGATGCCGCCCCATAGAAGATGATTTTGATTTGGGAAGAAAGACAGAAAGTATAATTTTCTCCTTGCCAAATATTTGTAATTCAGGTTTTACCTTTGTAAATAATCCTAGTGCCAAGATTTTAGGTTATTTATATAAATGTCAGTGAAAACTTAGTTTCAACCCTTAGAAAATGTATTGATATATATATATGGAATATATTTATATGCCTTAAGAAATAATCTTAGGTAAAATTTCATTTCTGCTTCACCACCTTATTTTTTTAGGTAAATGCTGTTTCTGTGCTGCAAGTTACATTCACCTCAAATTTAAAAACCAACAGAAAGTATCTACACCCTTTGATCAGCATGAAGTAAGGTCTTAAGCAGGAGGTTAATGAAAGGTCTTGCAGTGCTGAAGTTAATTCAATTTGGTAACCTTCTTATTTGCTTAGAAAATTGTGCAGCTGGGAAATCTTAGTTTAAATCTTATTTAATTCACATTTATTGCTGATAAAATTTATGTTGCCTACCAATATATCATTCTGTGGAAAGCCAGATTGTATTTGTTTCTTGATTGCTATTCTTATCAACTTTTATGAGATAATAAAAATTACAGAAGCTTAGAGAAAGGTGATTTTTTTCAGGGGAATATGTACTCTGGTTTTACTGATTGCTTATTTGGGAAAATGCTAACATACCTTATAACAGATGTTTAACAAATATTTGTTGATTAAATGAACTGATACAGATAGATGAAGATTATTCTTTTTTTTTTTTTTTTTTTTTTTTTTTTTTTTGAGATAGAGTCTCGCTTTGTCACCCAGGCTGGAGTGCAGTGGCACGATCTCAGCTTACTGCAACCTCTGCCTCCTGGGTTCAAGCGATTCTCCTGCCTCAGCCTCACAAGTAGCTGGGATTACAGGCTTATGCCACCACACCCTCCTAATTTTTGTATTTTTAGTAGAGACGAGGTTTCGCCATGTTGGCCAGGCTAGTCTCAAACTCCTGACCTCATGTGATCTGCCCACCTCAGCCTCCCAAAGTGCTGGGATTACAGGTATGAGTCACTGTGCCCGGCCTGAAGATTATTATTTTTCTAATTGACTTAGATATCACTTCATCCATAAACATTTTCCTTTGTTTGCCTATTATGAGTGCCTACTGTGTGGTAGGCACTAAATTAAGTGTTCACTTAATCTTAAAACTACTTTATAAAGCAGAAAGTATGATATCAGCTTAACAGATGAGGAAACCGAAGTTTGGAAAGGTCAACTAACTTGTCCAAGATTGTCAAGCTTACCAGGATTCAAATTTAGGCCTATCAGACTAAAAAGCTCAGGTTGTCCCAAAAATATACCTTCTCACTTTGTTTGTATGACCTATTTAATTAGTTTCTTCTATATTTTCATAGCATTTATTACTCAAAAACAAAACTATAGAAACCCATTATAGATTAATTTTACTAAGGTATAGTTTACATAAAATAAAATGTGCCCCTTTAAAATTTATAGTTGGATGAGTTTTGTCGGATGAATACAGTCATTTAACTACCAGCACAACAATCAAAATCTAGAACATTTCCATCGTCCTCAAAAGCCCCTCATCTATGTCCCATTATAAGTCACTCCCTTCCTGCCACTGCTGATTAACTTTTATCCCTATGATTTTCTTTTTCCAGAATGTCACATAAATGAAATTATATAGTAAGTACACTTTTGTGTCTGACTTCTTTCACGTAGTGAAATGCTTTTGAGATTCATCTATGTTGTGGCAGGTTATCAGTATCAGTGCATTGCTGTGTTGTGTTCCATTGTATGGATGAACCACAGTTTATCCAGTCACCATTTGGTGGACATTTGGGTTGTTTCCAGCTTGGAATTATCATTAATAAACTGCTGTAACCATACATGTTCATAACCTGTTTAGTTTTAAAATTTCTGGATTATTATGGCATTCTCTGGAGTCATATGGCCTTCTAACGAGTTCATAGATTCCTTAGTTTTAGATATGAGATACATCATTGAAGGCTGTGAGCCCTTTGTTAGAAATTGGAGATGAATTTGTTGATTGCTTTCAAAATTTGGAGATGACATTTGAGACACGCCTTTTAAAAAAATTAGCATGTAGTAGTAGTAGTAGGAAATAAATGACATAAAAAGTGCAGGGAAATGTAGTATAATGGCAAACACTGGACTAAGATAAATTTGGGTTCTGAGCCTATAATCTGGTTTCATTTTCCAGCTGTATCTCTTAAGAGATTTTGGACAAGTTGAGACTTGAAAAAACTAGTAACCGCTCTAAAAGAAAAATGGAACTTACATTTCCACATTCTTGAGTATATACACGTATCTCATTTAGTTCTCAAGACACCTGTGAGGTACCTGTGAGCTAGATAGTACTAGTGCTAGTGTACTAATGAGAAAACCGTGATTCAGAGAAGTGAAATAACTGGCAGTGGAAGAAAAGCTAGTAAGTGATTGAGTCAACAGTTGACTCTATATCAGTTTCCTTATCTGAAAAACGAAGGTAATACCACTTTGTAGTTATGAGAATTAAGTGGGATTACATTAATAAGGACTCAAAACTGCTGCTAGTCTCTTCCTCTACCCCCCTTTTTATAAAGGTCCCCACTTCCCAGTCTCTTGACCTGCCATTCTGTTAACTATTAATTAATAAGAGAAATTTATAATATGGATATTACTCTTATGTATCTTTAAAATTGCAAAAGATTATGCAGTGTCTGAAGGCTGTATATTAAATGTTTCTTTTTATCATAAACATTAGAAAAAACATTACTTCAAATTGCAAGTAGAATTTGCAGTATTGTTTATTCTACCAGATTATCCTTACATGTTTCCATTAGCGTATTCTCACAATCATTTTTTCTGATATCATGCTTTCTGCATTGCTTTGTGAAGTAGCTCAAAACTGCATTCTATATAAAAAAATTATCCTAATAATAACTCATTTAAAAACCAATTTGGGGCTGGGTGCGGTGGCTCATGCCTGTAATCCCAGCACTTTGGGAGGCCAAGGCAGGTGGATCACCTGAGGTCAGGAGTTCAAGACCAGCCTGGCCAACATGGTTAAACCCCGTCTCTACTAAAAGTACAAAAAAAATCAGCCAAGCATGGTGGCGCACACCTGTAATCCCAGCTACTTGTGAGGCTGAGGCAGGAGAATCGCTTGAACCCAGGAGGCAGAGGTTGCAGTGAGCCGAGAATGTGCCACTGCACTCCAGCCCAGGTGACTGACAAGACTCTGTCTCCAAAAAAATTAAAAAAAAAAAATTGGGTACTGATTTCTTCCACATATAATTTCTTCTGCATAGCTAATACTCTGTATCTTATGATTTTTAAAATTACTATAAGCAGGCTTCTTGATGAACCTTTCTCCTTTAGACATTCCAGTTTGCAGGATGGCGCCAAACTTGGTAAAAGATGTTTCATAAAAACTTATTGTCAACAACTATTCTATAGAACCTGTGTTTGAACCATGCAGAGTAAACACATCATTAAGTTTTCTTTTTCTTGGCTTTCCTAATGAGTGGAGAAATCTTAACACAGCTGGAGAAGCCTGAAACTCCTTTCTGAGCTGATTTATTTACATAGCATATGCTTAGTTTGACACATTGCTTAGAAGCAAGCAGAGAGCTTTTAAAGTTAAGTGCTATACAGTACTTCAAAGAACATTTTAGCTACACTGTAATTGTTCAGCTTTTCTGGATACAAAGCATCTCTTTGCTGTTAAAAAAACATTCCTGTCTCACTTTTTTATGTTATGGCTTTCAATGCTAGAGAAAAGTAAGCTGAATGTATTTAAAAGCTCTTTTTAAAAACATATTTTAGTTTCAGAAGCTGACGCATAATGCTAGTAGTTTAAGATTGTGTCTGCACAACCAAGGGTAAATCTTTCTGCTCTTATCTAGTTGGTGTGAAAGTATATGGTGACTTGGAGCCATAATATGATACTATGATGTAAAGAACTTACACTTCAAAGCCAGATTAAATCTAGGTTTAAATCCCACTATGTGCTCACTAATAATTTTTCTTCAGCAAAGTTAAGAACTACTCAGTTTCTTCAACCATATGTGGGTGATAAAAAAAAAATCTTCTTAGGGTTTGATTTCAATAACCGAAAGTATATCTAATGCTTAGCATATATGGTAAAACTACTCGTTAAACCTTTCCTTTTTCTGTGACCTTCCCCACCCTCCCAAAAAGGAACAACTTCCTTTCTCATTGAAATGAATATTTTTTTAGCCTAAATATGTTTTATTAAGGTTTGAGGATAAATGAGAGTAGCAGGGTTGACCTACTTATGGAGTGCTGATGATGATTTTCATTCAGCACAAGCTCTGGATTGTGGAAAGAATAGGTTGCCATACAGGTAACAAAACCCAATAGAATAGTTTGAAAATGAACATACATAATTATAAACATGGCGACAAAATACATGCCTTCAGTGTGTCTGAATAAGGCATGTTTGAGTGGAATGCCTGAATAGGCATTGATAGAGGGAAATATATATATAAATAAAAAATGCCCTGCATCTTCAAGGAATTCAATCTAGAGAAAAATACCCACAGATTCATAATTACTTGCAAACCAGACTTGAAGAATTTGTGTAATTGAGATATAGTAAAGGGCGACATGGGGAGAGAGTGATTAATTTGTACATTGAGAAACTTTCTGGTGAGATGGTATGACAGAGACTGTGGGTTTCCTCCCAGGGTCTGTTTTCTCCTTAATAATAGAACCCGGTTTTTTCCACTTGGCATGTGGCTGCCTAGAACAGAGGTGCCTCCTAGCTTCCCTTGCAGCTAGAGGTGGCCATGTGACTAAGATTTGACTAATGAAATGTTGGAAATGTGTGAAGCTTGAGGAAAGTCTCATTAGTTTGAATTAGTTCTACTGAGAGATGTGCTGTTTTGCCCTTCTGCCTTTCTTTTTCTTTCTGGGATACAACACAGACATGATGGCTGAGGCTTCAGTAGCTTTCTTAGGGCATAAGGTGATGTAGAAAGATAGAAAGCACCTAGGTCCTTGATGAGCACATAGCTGCATATATGCTCCAGACTGCCTATTTCTAGATATATTTTATATGAGTGAAAACCCAAGCTGGAACATAAGATGGTTTATTTCTGGTGTCTGTTACTAATAGCAAAACCTGTTCCTCACAGGTACAGATAGCAGTGTGGTACAAGCATCTGACTCCCTCTAACCCCACATCTAGTTACCACTGAAATGACTATAAATATATCTAAATAGAGTGTACCAGCATTGAAAACACCAAAAAGGAAGTGTTCACATACCTGAAATACCAACATCCCAAGAAAAAGAAATAACTGCAGTAGGTTGAAATGTATCAAATATGTTAAAAATCTGTGAGTTCATATGTTACTTTTTTTTAAAGCTCCTTATGTTTGGGGACTAGGGAGCCAATTCATTATTTTGAAAATTGATAAAGATTTAATCATTAATTCTGCCCTTCCCATACAAACTGTATATCTCAGGGTAACCAAGTAGTTGGCAAGAGCAAGATTTTCTTTATAGAAATATTTTAACTATACATTAAGAAGGTCTGATAGAATATCACCCATTTTGCAACTTTTAATGAAACAATCATCAGTGATTGCTAAAAGTAATATTGGGTGAACTGCTAAAGGATAACTTTATAATGGCTTTCCTCTTGTTTTTGGGCTACAACACAGACATGGCTGAGGCTTTAGTAGCTTTCTTGGGTCATATAATGGCTTTATAATGGATTAGGCTGAAAATAGGGATTAATCTTAACATCATAAAAAGAGAGACAGTTGAACATTATATACTTCCTGATGAAGGTTCACATCTCTATCATGAAGTATCCTTGTGAAAAATCAAACCCTACTTTTATCAAACCGCCGAGATCCCGCCACTGCACTCCAGCCTGGGCGACAGAGCGAGACTCCGTCTCAAAAAAAAAAAAAAAAAAAAAAAAAAAGAAAAGAAATATTGAGGAGACAGACTCTGAAATAAGATTCTGCAACCTTAAAAATACAGGAATGTTGCACTCAACACCAGGGCAAAAGCACATACTCTTGATATAAAAGGTTACTTCTGTAACAAGAAAATTGTAGAAAACATTTTTTTATGCTTGTAGATTTTTTAAATTGTGGAGTCTTTGGAGTGAGATGTAGAAAATAAGTTCATAAGGCAGCAGGTGGGGATGAAAGTGGGGGCTAGCTAACGGGGAGGCATACATTAAAAGGGTGTTGGATATTAATAAGTACGGCCTATAGGATGGAAACTAAAAAATGCAATATCCGAATAAGAAACAATAAAATAGAAACTAAATAGGCAGTATATAGATTAAACTGTACCAGAAGCAACAGAGAGTGGATTAGAAAATTGTATTAGTGATGCAGACTACAAATTTGAGAAGCTCTCCCAAAATGCAGAGGAAAAGGGGGAGAAGAGATGAAAAAAGAAAATTTGAAGAAAAAGATGATTGACATAAAGGATAGAGTACAGAGATCCAATATATACAATTGACATTTTGGAAGAGACCAGAACAAATTCAACAGGAACAATTATTAAACACACAATGGGATAAAAACTTTTCTGAGATGAAGGATGACCTGAGCCTGCAATTCGAGCAGGCTTGTTGCCAAACACCAGGAAAAATTAATGAAAACAGCCTAACAACTAAAGCTATTCTGGCGAAACTTTGTACTTTCTCTTGTTAAAATCATCATCGTCGTCGTCATCATCATCATCATGATCATCAGGCATCCAGGAAGGGAGAAAAACAAGAAAACATACAAGTTGTTCACAAGGAAAGAAAAGATGGACTAGCTTTAGATTGATTGTTCTTATCATTAAACATCGGCTTGTTCTTGCCATTAAACAGTTGAGCAGTGTATACAGAGTTCTGTAGGCAATTTGGACCCTAAAATTCTTTATTCAGCCAAGTTGTTTGATGAAGAAGCAACACATATTTTCAATTCTGCAAGACTTCAAAATATATACCACCCACCTACCCTTCTAAAAGAATTATTTCAAAACATACTGTAGCTGAGAGATTCTGCAACATACAGGCAAAAGCCAAAACTTACAAATTTTTTCCAAGCATGACTTTAGGGCTTAGCTAACTCTTGAATCACTGCTTTGTAAATTGATTCAAGAGTTAACTAAAGTCATTCTCACTGGAGCACAAACTAATTATTCTGCAAAAATCAATATGCTAGTGACCCTAATTTTCAGAATTGCCTAAGATAGTTCTGAGTTTGGGCAGCATACGTATTTCCACTTGCACATAGTACCTACTTTATGCATATGGTATATTACAGTGGTTCTCAAAGTGTGATCTCCTGACCAGAAGCATAGGTTTCACCTGGAACTTGATAGAAAAGCAGGTTTTTAGGTCTCTACCTAGATTTAGTAAATCAGAAACTGTGGGGTTTGTGAACAGCAATCTGTGTTTGAACAAACCTTCTAGGTAATTCTAATGCCCAGTGAAATTTAGAGCCAGTTGTATTGGTTCTCAGACCAAATTAATCATCAGAATCACTTGTGTAAGACTTTGAAATGTCTTTTCCCCGTCCAGATGAGACTTAATTATCTGGATTTGGAAATCACTGGTCTGATAAAGCTTAGAACCAAAAGACCACCTTATCAATTTCTGAGCCTTAGTATTTTCTATTGTAAAATAGCACTCATTTTCCTGACCATTTCATTGGATTGTTGCAGAAATTAAATGAAGAAATGAATGTAAAAGTACTTTGCAGTGTAGATAAGGAAATCCATAGCTACAAGTTCATTATCCTGTGTTTGAAAAGGGCCTCACTTAATGGTTGTTAATATTCTCTTGGAGACCAGTATATACCATCTGTGTTGGGCTTCAGTGAAGTGTTCTCCCCATGCACCTCTTTCTAGTATCTTTCCCTTTCCTAACTAAACTACCTGCCACACTACTTTTTATTTGATTTTCAAATTCAATTATTATATTTATTTTACCACCTTTTCAATGTGGATTTTTTTCACTTGTTTTCTGTATGTTCAAGTCTTGTATCTTCAAGGTTCTAAGTTATTTGAGAGCGGAAATCGTTTCTATATATATTTTTATTTTCCTCAGTATCAGATGTTAAGCTAAGCTATGCATCTATATATCTATATACTATAGATATATAGTAATACTAAGTAAAATGCTTCATTCATTGAATTTAGTCTGTTCATTAGCTCATTGTCATTAACTGCTGTAGGAATTGATGAGGATTTTCTTTTTCTATTTGATTAATTTAGTGCTTTGATGCAAACAACTTTCCTTCTACTAGTATGAAAAAGTGGTTGGTCTGGAACCAGTCAACATCTGTACTTCTTAAAATTATTTTTTTAAAGGTTCATCATATTATTCTTTCTGCCTAGTTTATGGTTGCTGAAGTTAAGAAAACTGGAACTAGGTGTGGTAGCTCATGCCTGTAATCCCAGCACTTTGGGAAGCCGAGGCAGGGGGTGTTGCTTGAGTTCAGAAGTTCAAGACCAGTCTGGGAAACACAGTGAGACTTCATCTCTACTAAAAATAAAAATAAAAAATAAAAATTAGCCAAGCATGATGGTGTGCACCTGTAGTCCCAGCTACCCAGGAGGCTAAGGCAGAAGGATCACTTGAGCCCGAGAGATTGCAGCTACAGTGAGCTATGAGCATGGCACTGCACTCCAGCCTGGGTGACAGAGTGAGAGATCCTGTCCAAAAAAAAAAAAAAAAAAAGAAAGAAAGAAATGAAAAGAAAGGAGAAAGGAAAGAAAAAAAGAAAACTGGAATTGCTTTGGTGTCCTGTTAGGGGTAAGACTAAGATTTTCCTACAAAAGTATGTCAGGTAGGAGGCCCAGTAGGCTTAGAATATGAATTTCCACACCTGAGCTAATAGAAGCCACCAGGTGGTCTCAGGTCTCCTTATGAGTAAAGTGCAATAACCACGAATGTGTCTTCCCCCAACTTCTAGTTCTGTTCTGCATTTTTATTTATACATTATCTTTAAAGGCTAATAAAATTAGCTTTCCTTAGATGGTTCTCCTTTATCTCCATAGTGTTGAAATTTTTTATTTTTGTTTTGCTTTTTCGTTTCATAGCTTCAAAGCCGATTTATTGGCTCGGCTCAGTGGCTCACACCTGTAATCCCAGCACTTTGGGAGGCTAAAAGGATCACTTGAGCCCAGGAGTTCAAGACCAGGCTGGGTAACTAATGAGACCGCCCCCATCTCAAAAAAAAAAAAAGCCAATTTGTGTTGCATGACATGAGCAAATAGATTTGACCTTTGCTGTCACTGGTGATTTTCATTCTAAGGGTAATTACAATCTGTATTCAAGATTATATGTTCTTGCCAGAAATTAAACTAAGTAGAAAAAAAAAAGTTAAAGCTTTTTATTCCCCTTGACTTCTTGCCTTTTTTTATTATTATTTTTATTTTTGCTATGGCTAATAAAAAGTCATAGAATAAAATAATTTTTTTAAAAAAAAAGACAGGGTCTCAGGTCACCCAGGCTGGTCTCGAACTCCTGGCTTCAAGTCATCCTCCCACCTTGGTTTCCCAAAGTGCTGGGATGACAGGCGTGAGCCACCATGCCCAGCCCAAAAAATAGCTTTATCTTTAGATTCTTCTTTTTCACACCCTAATTTCTTGTACTGTTAGTTACTCACATATACTGCCACCTTGGGGCTTTTAGAACATGAGTACATTTTCAAAGCCTCACATTAACATGGGGAAGGTTTTGCTTCAACGAGCTATACCAGAATATCATAATAATTATGACAGAAATAAGGTATTATAATGCATTTGTAAGCTATTGCTGGATTTGTGGGGCCAGTGAGGATCCTGTTGTCAAGAGCTTAATTATTCTAAGCCACCTGGGGACCAGGTAGCTTTCTTAGAATAAAATACATAACATTCACAATCATGACTCTCATTTCTGTCCCTTTCTAATATTAATATGGCATTTAATTATACTGTTAGATTTAAAGAAAATTCAAAAATTTCAGTAGCTTCATTCAGAAATGCTAATACATTTTTAGAACAACTAGATAACTTTTCCTAAAATTATGTTTACCTGTGTGAACTGTTGATTTATGGTAAAATTAAACTTTAACCAAAACAAGACCTGTGAATGTCTGAATTCAGTTCGCAGTCTAGTAACCTGTTATAAGTTAAAATCTTCTGGGGAAGGGGAGTATTCAGCTTCTGAAATATAATATTTATATATCTGTTCTAAGATACCCTGTGACATATCAGAGCACAGCCTTTGGAGTCAGACTGAAAAACTGGAGTTAAAATACCATTCTTAATACTAGATATGTGAACCATCAAATAATCATGTGGCTTCAGGTAAATTACTTAACATCACAATGCCTTAGTTTCATCATCTGTAAGTAGGGAATGCACAAAATTTTTTTATCAGATTTAAGTTCTCGTCTTGGCTTTGTTCCTGTTCTTTTCCTTTAGTAAATCTTTTTGTGGGTCCTTATGCCTTAGTCTTTTCATCTATGAAATTCAAATAATATAATTTACTATAGGAATACATTGGAGATACTGCAGATTCAGTTCCAGACCACCATAATGTGAATATCACAATAAAGTGACTCACACACATTTTTTGGTTTCCCAGTGCTTATAAAAGTTATGTTTATTCTGTACTGTAGTCTGTTAAGTGTAGAATAGCATTATGTCTAAAAAATATACATACCTGGCCGGGTGCAGTGACTCACAGCTGTAATCCCAGCACTTTGGGAGGCCAAGGTGGGGAGGATCACTTGAGGTCAGGAGTTCAAGATCAGCCTGGCCAACGTGGTGAAACCCTTTCTCTACTAAAAATGCAAAAATTAGCCAGGCATGGTGGCATATGCCTGTAATCCCAGCTACTCAGGAGGCTGAGGCACAAGAATCGCTTGAACCCCGGAGTTAGAGGTTTCAGTGAGCCGAGATCACATCACTGCACTCCAGCCTGGGAGACAGAGCAAGACTCTGTCTCAAAAAAAAAAAAAAAAAAAAAGTACATACCTTAATTTAAAAATACTTCATTGCTTAAAAATTGTTAGAGATTATCTGAGCCTTTAGCAAGTCATAATCTTTTTACTGGTGGAGGGTCTTCCCTTGATGTTGATGGCTGCTAAATGCTCAGGGTGGTGGTTGCTGAAGATTGTGGTAGTGGTGGGAATTTCTTAAAATAAGACAACGATGAAGTTTGCCACATAGAATGAGTCTTCCTTTCATGAAAGATTTATCTGTATCATTCCATGCCATTTGATAGCATTTTATCCACAATAGAACTTCTTTCAAAATTGGAGTCAATCCTCCCAAACCCTGCTGTTGCTTTATTGACTAAGTTTATGTGATATTCCAAATCCTTTGTTGTCATTTCTTTTTCTTTTCTTTTTTGTTTTTTGAGACAGAGTCTCACTCTGTCATCTAGGCTGGAGTGCAGGGGCACCGTGTGAGCTCACTGCAACCTCCGTCTCCTGGGTTCAAGCAATTCTCCTGCCTCAGCCTCCCAAGTAGCTGGGATTACAGGTGCCCACCACCACGCCCGGCTAATTTTTATATTTTTAGTAGAGACAGGGTTTCACCACGTTGGCCAGGCTGCTCTCGAACTCCTTACCTCAGGTAATCTGCCCGCCTCGGCCTCCTAAAGTACTGGGTTTACAGGCGTGAGCCACCGCGCCCGGCCAGTCGTTTCAACAATGTTCATGGCATCTTCACCGGGTGTAGATTCCATCTCAAGAAACCACTTTCTTTGCTCATGCATGAGATTGCAGCAATTCAGCCCCCTCTTCAGACTCTACTTCTAATTCTGGTTCTCTTGCTGTTTTCACCACATCTGTAGTTACTTCCTCCACTGAAGTTTTGAACCCCTCAAAGTCATCCATGAAGGTGGGAATCAACTTACAAACTCTGTTCATGTTGATATTTTGACCTCCTCCCATGAGTCATGAATATTCTTAATGGCATCTAGAATGGTGGATCCTTTCCAGCAGGTTTTCAATTTATTTTACCTAGATCCATCAGAGGAATCACCATCTATGGCCAGCTATAGTGTTACAAAATGTATTTATTAAATACTAAGACCTGAAAGTTGGCTGGGTGTGGTGGCTCACACCTGTAATCCCAGCACTTTGGGAGGCTGAGGTGGGTGGATCACGAGTTCAGGAGTTTGAGACCAGCCTGGCCAACATAGTGAAACCCTGTCTCTACTAAAAATATAAAAATTAGCCAGCCATGGTGGCACATGCCTCTAATCCCAGCTACTCAGGAGGCTGAGGCAGAAGAATCGCTTGAATCCGGGAGGCAGAGGTTGCAGTGAGCCGAGATCATGCCACTGCACTCCAGCCTGGGCGATACAGTGAGACTCCATCTCAGAAAAAAAAAAAAAAAAAGACATGAAAGTCAAATTGCTTTTTGATCTATGGGCTTCAGAATGAATGTTGTGTTAGCAGGCATGGATACAGCATTAATCTCGTTGTACATCTCCATCAGAGCTCTTGGGTGACCAGCTGCATGTCAATGGGCAGTAACATTTTGAAGGGAATCTTTTTTTCTGAGCAGTAGGTCTCAACAGTGGGCTTCAGATATTCAGTAAACCATGTCGTAAACAGATGTGCTGTCATCCAGGCTTTGTTGTTCCATTTATAGAGTGCAGGAAGAGTAGATTTAGCATAATTCTTAAGGGCTCTAGTATTTTCAGAATTATAAAGGAGCATTGGCCTCAACTTAAAGTCACCAGTTGCATTAGCCCCTAACGAGAGTCAGCTGGTGCTTTGAAGCCAGGCATTGACTTCTCTCTAGCTATGAAAGTCCTAGATGGCATCTTCTTCTAATAGAAGACTGCTTTGTCTACATTGAAAATCTGTTTAGTGTGGCTGCTTTCATCAATGATCTTAGCTAGAGCTTCTGAATAACTTGCTGTAGCTTCTACATCAGCACTTGCTGCTTTACCTTGTACCTGATAAACCAGCCTCTGCTAGCTTCCAACTTTTCTTCTGCAGCTTCCTCACCTCTCTCAGCCTTCATAAAATTGAAGAGGGTTAGGGCTTTGCTGTGGATTATTAGGCTTTGGCTTCAGGGAATATTGTGGCTGGTTTGACCTTAAGACCGCCAGAATTTTCTCCATTATCAGCAATAAGGCTGTTTCACTTTCTTTTCATTCATGTGTTCACTGGAATAGCAATTTTAACTTCCATCAAGAACTTTTCCATTGCTATCACAGCTTGGCTTTTTGGCACAAGAGGTCTAGCTTTTAGCCTATTTTGGCTTTAGACATGCCCTCCTCACTGAGCTTAATCATTTCTAGCTTTTGTTTTAAAGTGAGAGACATGTGGCTCTTCCTTTCACTTGAATAGTTACTGGTCATTGTAGAGTTATTAATTGGCCTAATGTCCATATTGGTGTGTCTCAGAAAATAGCAAGGCCCAAGGAGAAGGTCAGAAACAGGCAATCGGGGAACAGCTGGTCATTGGAGCAGTCAGAAAACACAAAACATTTATCAATAAAGGTTGCCATTTTATATGAGTACAGTTAATAGTACCCCAAAACAATTAAAATAGCAACATTGAAGATCACTGATCACAGATCACCATAACAGATATAATTATGAGAAAATATTAGAAATACTGTGAGAATTCAGTAACATAGAGCATGTCCATATATATACCCGCTACTCAGTTTCCTTGGGATTTTTTTCCTAGAAATACAATCTTATTTGAAGTATTATGAGCACTTGTATCACAGATCATTTCAATTTTGTTACTAAAAAATAAAAGGGACTTGCAAAATTTCCTTCCTGTTTTGCCTTATTGTGAGTAGCTACCAGAGAATTCTACTTGTTTATATTACTGGAAGGATCCTAACAACCAAAAATATTAGGCAGTTCTCCTTTGAGTTACATCTATCACTGGATATTTAACAATTTGACTGTATAATTTAAATCTTGGTCTATTAAGCAGTAAACAGATGGAACATTACTAACAGCAGTAATTAAATTATAAATCTGTTTTAAAATCGGCCAATATACAGCATCACAGTCCGTATTCTGTTATGTCAGTTATGTTCGTTTTTATTTGGATTACAATTTCTGAATACCCAAATATTGGAAAGAAAACAAAGTTGTCTGGTTCAAATGTCTGTTTTTTATCTTTTTAATTATATAGGCCAAGTGCTTGCTTGCTTGCTTGCTTGCTTTCAAGAAAGGAAGGAAAGGAGGGAGCAACGGAGAGGAAAGAATATTTAACAATGTTCATTTATTCAACAAACCGTTAATGAATGTCTACTCTGAGCTAGGCACAGTTTTTTTTTGCCCCCTCACTCTGTCGCCCAGGCTGGAGTGCAATGGCGATCTCAGCTCACGGCAATTCTCCTGCCTCAGCCTCCCAAGTAGCTGGGACAACAGGTGCGCACCACCACGCCCAGCTAATTTTTTGTATTTTTAGTACAGATGGGATTTCACCATGTTGACCAGGCTGGTCTCAAACTCCTGACCTTGTCAAGTGATCCTCCCACCTTGGCCTCCCAAAGTGCTGGGATTACAGGCATGAGCCAAGCTAGGTGCATTTCTAAGTATTGGGGATACAACAGTGGCCAGGAGAAGCAAAACCCCAGCCCTCATGGAATTTGCATTCTAGTGGATTGGGGATGAATAATTTAAATGTATAATATGTCAAATGGTGATAAATGCTATGAAGAAAAATAAAACTGAGTAAGGACCTAGAGAATGATGGGGTGAGAACTGGTATTTTAGATAAGGTGGCCAGGGAAGCCCTTTCTAATACATTGGCATTTAAGCAGTGACCTGAATGAAGTGAGAGAGCCATCCAAATGGATATCTGGGGAAATAGAGTGCTAGGCATGGGGAATGACAAGTGCAAATACCCTGACTTGGGAGCATGCTTAACTGTCAATCTTCAATTCATTCTACCTGGAAGCTTTTCTTAACACCTTAAAAGGTTAAGGTGTTTTATAGCATAGTCTACATAACTTTTTTTTTACAGTTCTTAAATCTTAGCATTATTATTTTTTCTGCCTGCGAATCTGTCCTTTAGAGACATGGATAATGCCTTACCTGCCACATAGTAGCTGCTGAACAAATATTGATCAAAACAATCAGTGAGTTTGATTATTTGTTGAGCAATTACTATTTCATCTACTTACTCAGTATCAATAAATTATTTTTTAATTAAGAGTAAGCATTCTTCTCAATCAAGGAATTATAGGAAACATAAATAGATGTGTAAGTAGATAAGAGAAATAATAAGCAGGGAAACTTTGGCCTACATTATTCGAGGGAAAAAAAGCCAATAACAATGTAAGTGAATATTTAAAAAACCTATTGAAAGGTTGTTCTTTACTGAAATACAACCTTCATATTTTGAAAGCTCATGATGCTATCCATAGTTCCTGATATTTAGTGAATTACTCTAATAGTTACTTGAAGTAACTAGGAAAATAAATCTGAAAAGTAAAGTATCACAGAAAAGATGTTTGAATTGCAAATCACTTTAGAATAGAACAATTTGCTTTCCAAAAAAAACCCTAAGAGTTATGTTTTACTTTCCCTAATTTTTAACTATTTCTACAAAGAAGTTTTTCCACAGTTTCTTTATGATGCTTACTGCATGACATTTTCTGTTTTAGATCTCCAGCGTTATAAGACCTGATTTTTATTGGATTATATTTCTAATGAAATAAATCTTTAGGGTCAGCAGTAGGTGAGGTTTCAAGATTTTTTTTTAATTTATGAGTTTTTCATTTGTTTGTTTTACCTAAAGCATCAATCTATTTTGTAGATGTGGCAAAAGCTTCAAAATAAATAGGAAGCCTCTCACCACTCAAAGTTACCATCATTTATACCTAGCAGAATGTCAGTGCAATCTACTTCTTGAAATTTCAGAGTGTCTGTGTCAGTTTTCTATAATTTGGCAACATTATAATGAAATTACTGAGTTTCTCTTTAGATGAGCCTATTTTTTAGTTAATACTGTATGTCAACACTCAGAGATTTCCTTCTCTTCATCCTCCTTCGATCTCTCTTACCATCCCCGCCCCTCTGAAAAAAACCCGTGCCCATTTGAAAGCTAAATTTTTCTACAAATTTTTAACTGACTTACATTTTTTTCTTTCAATATTTTAACAAAGTTAACCTTCCCCTTCTTAGTTTTTCATTATTTTTTTTTAAGAGACAGGATCTCGCTGTGTTGCCCAGGCTGGAATACAGTGGCTCTTCACAGGCGCAATCCCACTACTGATCATCACACTCCATTTCCAGCCTGGGCTGGTTCGTCCCTCCTTAGGCAACTTGGTGGTTCTCTACTCCCGGGAGGTCATCATACTGATGGCAAACTTAATGTGGACACCCGATCGGCATAGCACCCTATAGCCCAGAACTCCTGGGCTCAAGTGATCCTACCCCAGTCCCAAGTAGCTGGGACTGCAAGCACATGCCATTTTTTATAGTTAAAAAAAAAAAAAAAAAACAGCGTGGTCATGGAAAATTAGAAAATAAAGACCTATATATGCATTGTTTACTTAAAATAAGATAATACTAAATGTGCTGTTCTGTAACCTATATTTTTCAGTTAACAGTCTTCATTTCAGTATCTTTCCATTTTATCAAGTCCATTGTTGAATTTCCCAGTCCAGAACCAAGTTTCACATCTGGTTGTTATGTCCCTAAGTCTCTTAAAAAAACACACACAAAACAGCCCCCTCCTTTTTTATTTTCATATCACTTATTGAGTTGAGGAGACAGGACCAGCTGTCCTGCAGGATGTCTCACCTTCTAGAAGTGTCTGGTTGCTTCCTCCTTTAACTTGTTCCTCTATCCCTTGTATTTCCTGTTAACCAGAGATTAAATTTTATGTCCTGAGAGATCCAAGTGAAACATTTTGGGCTGGAATGTATGGTAAGTGATATATTTTTTATTATGACTTATCAGGAGACAGCTTCTGGATGGGTCACAATTAAGGAGACTAAAGTTGACCACTGAATTAGGGTATGACTATCTGATCTTTTCACTGTCAAGTTTAATCTTTTTCTTCTTTCAACTAGAAAATAACATATTTGGTGTTACTTTGCACAGTATGAATCTCTAGGTCATGGCAAACGTATACCTGCATTTAACACTTGCCTGAATCTGTAATATCATGAGGGATTACATAATGCTAATTTTCTTATTTTTTAAAAAAATTTACTTCTTATTATTAGATAGGCTTTTGCACAACAGAGTATTTTATTTACTAGGGTTTTTGATTTGTTCTGAAATATGGCTGCTCCTACAAAGACAAGTAAATAATTTTTTTCACTCAGTTGCCAATTTTTGTCAGCTTAGAAGATTAGGTAAGTTTTTTGCTGGCTTTCTCCTTTTTAAATATTATTGCAGATTCGTGGATTTTTATTGCTTCGTTGTGTTTCAGTCTACTTCACTCATAATTCTTACAAATTTGACTAATAGGAAAGAGGACCTTTTAGACTGATTCCTGTGTCTTTTTGCCATGATGTTATATATTTATGGAAATGTTTAAACAAAAGTATATAGTGAGTGGTATACTGAACTTCCAATATATCTGTCACTCTCAGTTTTAGCAATTAGCAATAATTTTCTAATTTTATCTGTCTCCTGCTGCTTTTTTGACACCCTTGATTTTTATTTCATTGGTAGTGGAAAGTTTGTTTTCTGGTGTGGCAAGGTGTCCCATCCCTAGACCTGGAATTACTCATTTCTTTAAGAAGCCCTGATTGTCTTTAGTAACGAATGGCATCAGACAATAAAACCTGGACATAAGGATTATTGGAAGTTTTTAAATTTGATTTTTCTTTATTTTCCCATCGTGTGCTTCAACATATTGGTAGCTGTGTTAGTTTGTTCTTGCATTGCTGTAAAGGAATACCTGAGACTGGGTAATTTATTTTTAAAAAAAAAGAGGCTTAAAATTGGCTCACAATTCTGCAGGCTATACAAACATGGTGCCAGCATCCACTCAGCTTCTGGGGAGGCCTCAGGGAGCTTTTACTCATGGCAGAAGGCAAAGCTGGAGCAAGCAGGTCACATGGCCAGGGCAGGAGCCAAGGGAGTGTGGGCAATGCTTTTAAGCAATCAGATCTCACGCAAACTCATTCATCATCAAGGGGATGGCGCTAAGCCATTCAAGAGGGATGCACCCCCATGATCCAAACACCTCCCCCTAGACCCCACCTCCAACACTGAACATTACATTTCAACATGAGATTTGGGTGGGGACAAATGCCCAAACTATATCAGTAGCCTTGTTCCATAAGCAGGGTTGCAGGCATGCGAGTAGTGGAGGAAGGGCACTTCTCAAAGATAGGATAAAAAGCTTTATATTTCTATATTAGTTGGTCAAAATGTAAGGCGTAGCTGACAGATTACTCAGCTGTTGACATGTAAGTGCTTTTAATGAAGGATTTAAAAAAAAAAATAAACACCATTTAGTGTTATCAGTTTGCCCCCACTGCAATATAAGGAAATCCTCAATTTATATGACTTCTTAAGTTTTGTTTGTTACACACTTTGGTTTCTCATAGTAATAATGCAGATGATGAATTATTCTCAGTTAATAGGGTTAAAAATGTATTATTGGGTTTCCACTTCTTAAAATCTGTATTCACCTCCTTTCCCTTCTGATGCCCCAGCAAAATAAAATGTTTAAAAATGAGAAATGAAGAAGCCAGTAACAGTAAATAGGAGGACTACCCAAGGATGATAGTTGAACAGATTTCCAGATCTCTAGTTGAGTACCAGTAGGCCCAACTATACCCTCTTCTCCCCTCCTCATACCTCTTTCACCCCTACACTTGAATACAGATAGCTGGCAAGAATCCCAGGCAAACACTAGGCAGATTTTCTTTACAGAGCATGAGAAAGACGAAGGCTTCTAAAGTGTGTGCTGTGTTCGTGTAACAAAAGAGAAAACACCATCTTCTTTCTGGCATTTGAAAGGTCTGCTGGCTCCCCACCCACTCACCCTGTGGGAACACTGCCAGTCAGCTTATGTCCAGCCCACACAGAGCTCCCTCTTTTTATCCCCTCCAGGGGAACAATCTAGCCAAAATCAGACTATCTTCAAAATAACACAGGAAATCTATGTTGGCTAATGAGTCATTCTCCCTTAAATGTGAATGAGTAACCGAAGATCACCAGGCATGGTGGGAAAAACTAATGGCATGAAAGACTAAATAACCAGGAAAATGGCCAGTGGAAAAAGTAAAACTAATAAGAAAGAACTTTATTTTAAAAAAAGAAGAATAAATCATCTAATATATTCAGAGATCCAAGAAGATACTACATCTATTAAACAAGAATAGGAGGACACAAGTTTTTAGATTGAAAGGGCACACCAAGCACTGAAATAGAGAATCAAACATGGTACTGTGACACATCTCAAAACTGCAGAATTCCTAGGATAAACAAAGATCCCGGAAGAAATCACACACATAGTAACAAGTAACAGACTGAAATCAAACCCCTTATGAATAACTTTTAATGATTTAAGACAGTAAAGTATTGCCTACAACATTTTAGAAAGAAAATAATATGCAACCATGGATTCTACAACCTGCCAAACTATTAATCAAGGGTGAGAGCAGAATACAGTTGTTTTCAGACACTGAAGGGTGCAAAGTTTGCCTTCCATTGGAAGTAAAAGAAATGAATGAATTACACATTCACCATCAACTTCTTGAGAAACGGAAGTTTAGCATTTGATTTTTTTTAATATATCATTGCTGCCAAAAGGGTTGAGGGGAAAATGAGAAGGGGGGATTAAAAACGATAAAATTAGTTGTTGATTCACACCATACAATAAATTACAGAGCTCCTGTGGCAAACGGCAGTTAAACTACTCCCTTTACTCTCAGCAGGCTGAAATGTATCATACATTATATGTATAACTATCCATAATTTCCCATGTTTCCCAATCATCCCAGCAAAAAGTAACCCAGGACTACTTGCATTGCAATCACAACAGGCTCATACACCATATGGCCAGAAGAAGCAACAGCATCACATTTTCCTCCCATCAGGACTGGAATGACATGATCTGACTTAAATTTAAGAGCATCATTCTGACTGCTGTGTTAAGAATAGACTTGAGGGTGGAGTAGTAGGGTAAGCGTAGAAGGAGAGAGACCAGTTTGAATATAACTGCTGTGTTCCAGGTGAAAGATGACAGTGATTCTGACAGGGTAGTAACAATGTAGTTGGTGAAAAGAGGTCAGATTCTGGGTATAATTTGAAGGTAGAACCAACAGAATTTCCTGACTTATGGGATATTGAGTGAATAAGAAAGGGTCAAGATTTTTAGTCTGAGCAGTAGGAAGGGTGGAACAGATTGAGGAAAAGATTGGGAGTTAAGTTTTGGATGTTATTTCAGAAATCTATTTGACCTCCAAATAAAGATATATGTATTGGATATACGTATCTGCAGCTCTGAAGAAAGACCTGGCCTGGCGAGAGAATTTGGGGATAGTCAGCCTTGTATTTAAAGGCATGAGGTTGGGTGAGATCAAAGTGAATAGACTGAATAGAGATAAAGAAGTTCAAAAGACTGGGGCCCTAAGGTACTCTAACATTTAAGAATTAGGGAGATGAAAAGGAAGACTCAAAGAAGAGAAGAACAGCCAGTGGGATTTTAGGAGAACCAAAAGAGAATGGTGCCCTAGAAACCATGGGAAGAAAATGTTTCAAGAAGGAAAGAGCCATTGACTATTTTATGCTGTTAGGAGGTCAAGTAGGATGAGCACTAAAAATTCATTGTTGGATTTAGCAACATGGATGTTGGTGTTTACCTTGAAAAGGTCTACTGTGTTTTTTCAGACAGCTACTAAGGTGTTAGGACATAAATACTTGTACATAAGTAGTTATTTGGCCCTAACTATTTAATAAATGCTACATGTTGAGCATCCCAAGTTCAGAAATCGAAAATACAAAATGCTTCAAAATCAAGAACTTTTTAAGCATCAACGTGATGCTCTAAAGAAATACTCAGTGAAGCGTTTCAGATTTTAGATCTGGGGTGCTGAACTGTTAAGTGTAATGCAGATATTCCCAAATCTGAGAAAAATCCAAAATCCAAAACCCTTCTGGTCCCAAGCATTTTGGGTACAGCATACTCAAACTGTATTAGGTATTTCTTTTGGCCTAGGGGGCATTGTGAAAAATTACTGAGATACCAAGGGAGCCACAAACTAAGAAAGTTTGAACATCTCTGCTTTAGAAGCTTGAGCTAACTAAGGATTTCACCAAAAGGAGGAAGCACCTCTTACCTTTTTTTGTGCTGAAAAGTTTGAGTTTGCAATTTTAAATCTGATCCAAAATTGTCCTAATACAGTTGTTCAACATTAAAAAAAAAAAAAGCAAAGAAAACTTTATCCTATGAAATGCCGGTAGTACATCTTTGCATGATTTTTTTTCTTCTTGCCTCCATAGGTATGGTCTGAATATGCGTTGCTTGGCAGCTCGGGTCAACTATAAGACTTTGATTATTATCTGCGCACTCTTCACTTTGGTCACAGTACTTTTGTGGAATAAGTGTTCCAGTGACAAAGCAATCCAGTTTCCACGGCGTTCGAGTAGTGGCTTCAGAGTGGATGGGTTTGAAAAAAGAGCAGCAGCATCTGAGAGTAACAACTATATGAACCACGTGGCCAAACAACAGTCTGAGGAAGCATTCCCTCAGGAACAGCAGAAAGCACCCCCTGTTGTTGGGGGCTTCAATAGCAATGTGGGAAGTAAGGTGTTAGGGCTCAAATATGAAGAAATTGACTGTCTCATAAATGATGAACACACAATTAAAGGGAGACGAGAGGGGAACGAAGTCTTTCTTCCATTCACTTGGGTTGAGAAATATTTTGATGTTTATGGAAAGGTGGTTCAGTATGATGGCTATGATCGGTTTGAATTCTCTCATAGCTATTCCAAAGTCTATGCACAGAGAGCCCCCTATCACCCCGATGGTGTGTTTATGTCTTTTGAAGGCTACAATGTGGAAGTCCGAGACAGAGTCAAGTGCATAAGTGGGGTTGAAGGTTGGTATCTGTCTGCTTCACTTGCATTTTTCAAGCATGATTGTGTTGAGGAATAAGAAAATGTTGTTAATTATACATCAAGTACATAGCTTACTGTCAAAAGACCTTTCATCACTCTAATTTAGCAGGGAGGAACAGGTTAAGCCTGAACCTAGGGCAACTTTCTAGATGCTATGACTTAAGGGCTGCCATAAGACCAAACCTGGGCAAACAGAATTATTTTATTAACGTAACTCAGAATCTAAAATTCTCACCAGTAAGGTAAAGGCATTGTTTCTCCAGAAGTTTGCGTTAAAATATATAGCTAGAATCCTGTGAGAGATGGGAAAGGGAGAGAGACCATCCAGTGGACCCATCAATGTACCAGTGTGGTCTGGTTACCTAATGAGTCAGGTGTCATCTCTGGAAGGAGGTTTCAAGTCTTCAGAACAAGACAATATGTAGATGCTTTTTCTCTGGACTTATACTGAACTCCTAGTCTATTACATTTTTCATTGTCTTTAAAACCTGGGGCAGTAAGAGTTCCTTGTGGATACAATTAATATGCTTTGGAATTTGCTTTTCAAACCAGAAAGCCAAATTGAATTTGACTTTAAAGTATATCACTTAAACAGAGGAAAGAGCTTAATATGTTTGAGATTTCTTGGTTTGGGTTTTACTTTCCTCATTTTGTTATAAAGTGATTTTAAGATCTTAATATTTTAAAATCTGTATTGAAGTAAGTTTTTAACTAACTAAATATATATTTTTTGCTCTGGAAAGAAGTTTGTGCTCACTTGGTGACCATGTGGATGTTTTCAGACTCCCACAGACCGAAGGATTATAGCCCACTCATGTCTGTGAAGTTAATGGTGTGTTTATTCATCCAGTTGGAAATTGGAATTTACATATCTGATGCAGGAGTTTTTTCCTTTGTTTTTACTACTTAGATAAATTTTTTATAATATCTTTTTCTCTTATTTTGAGACAGAATCTCACTCTGTCACCCAGGCCTGGAGTGCAGTGATACTGTCATGGCTTACTGCAGTCTCGATCTCCCAGGCTCAAGTGATCCTCCCACCTCAGCCTCCCAACTAGCTGGGACTATAGGCATGCTCCACCATGCCCAGCTAATTTTTTAAAATTTATTTTTTGTAAAAACAGTGTCTCACTGTGTTGTCCAGGCTTGTGTGAAACTCCTGGACTCAAGCAGTCCTTCCACCTTAGCCTCCCAAAGTGCTGGAATCACAAACATGAGGCACTGTGCCTGGCCAATATCCTTACCAAATGTTTAGAAGAGAGAAGTGACCAGATTCACCTATACTCTTACCACCTCAATATAATTATTATTATTTTTATATATTCTCTGGAGGCCTTTGTACTTAGACATATGTTTTAGCATAATCGTAATGATGTTTACTATACAGTGATTCAGGAGAGTAATAGAGATTTCAAAGATATTCAGAGTCAAACCTTTTTTTCAGCAGTTTTTTAAATGCATGAAATTAATAGGCGCCTAAATTCTAAAATAAAAAAGTAAAAAGTACCCATAACCACTATTAATATTTTGACTTTTTTTCCCCATTCTTTTTGTTGTTGTAGAAATATATTTTTATTTTATTTTATTTTATTTTTAATTTTTAAGTTCAGGGGTACATGTGCAGTTTTGTTATATAGGTAACTTCATGTCATGGAGATTTGTTTTACAGATTATTTTGTCACCCAGGTATTAAGCCTAGGACCCATCAGTTATTTTTCTGATCCTCGCCCGCCACCTACCCTCTACCCTCCAGAGGCCCCAGTGTGTGTTGTTCCCCTCTATGTGTCCATGCGTTTTCATCATTTAGCTCCCACTTAGAAGTGAGAACATGCAGTATTTGGTTTTCTGTTCCTGCGTTGGTTTGCTAAGGATAATGGCCCCTCGCTCCATCCATATTTCTACAAAGCACGTGATCTCTTTCTTTTTTATGGCTGCATAGTAGAAATGCATCTTTAAAAAAAATTCAGATCATACTGTATGGTCAATTTTTATTCTGATATTTTCTACTTAACATGTTTCAACTATTTCCCCTCACTGAATATTTATTGAACATTTTAATAACTAATATTTGTAGTAAGGACATGCCATGATATATGTAATGTATGAGACCCTTCTCTTTAGTTGTACACTTAGGTCATTTCCAGGTTTTTTATGTTTTTTAATTAATGTTTTATATTTAATTTTTGTGGGTACATAGTAGGTGTATGTATTTATGGGGTGTATTAGATATTTTGATACAGGCATGCAATGTATAATAATCATCACATCAGGGTTAATGGTGTATCCATCACCTCAACCATTTATCCTTTCTTAGTGTTACAAACAATCCAGTAATATTCTTTCAGTTATTTTTAAATATATAATAAATTAAGATCAAGTGAATAAAATCTGGTATTTGGTAGCACAAAGGGTGACTAACTATATTTCCATTTTTTTGCTATTATAAATGTTACAGATTTTCATTGTTAATCTTTATTTGCTATTTTAATTTTATTCTCATTGTAGTGTATTCCTATTCTGAGAATATAATTAACTGCCATGTCAAATAACCTGCCAAACCTTTGTACTGTTTTGCCAGCCATTTTCCAGAAAGGTGGAACTTGCTCATGCTTCCAGCAGCAGAGTATGAGGGTGCCGTTTTCACCCAACTCTTGCCATCATGGACCATTGTTTTTTTGTCTGTTGGTTACAGAGGGATATTATAATTTTCTCTCTTTAACAACTAGTGAGGTCAGATATCTTTTTCTTATGCTTTTTGCCGTATTTTCATGTTCTTTACCCCTTTTTCGAATGTGATAAGTGGAGTTTTTTAAAAATGTATTTGTGTGAACTTATGTAGTAAGGGTAGCAGTACTCATATTTGTTAGAGATGTTTCTTCAATCTGGTTGTCTTTTCATTTTACATATGATTTGTTGGTTTTAGAAGTTTTTAGTTCCATTTATTAAACTTATGGGGTTTTTTGGATCTTTGTACCTCTTCTTTTTATGCTTAGAAAGGCACTTGCCACACCACATTATGATCAGCTTTTCACTTTTAGTTTCTCTGATAGTTTTATGGTTTCATTTTTTTACGTTTAACTTTTTTAGTTCTGCTAAATTGATTTATATTTTGGCAAATGGTACAAGGTCACAGCCTAATTTTAAACCTTTTTCCCCAATATGTATTGAATCATCTCTTTTCCCACTGAGTTTGATGGAATATTCGTCATTATACTAAATTCTTAGGAGTACTAGAATGTGTTTCTGGACTGCTACTTGGTTTCATTGATCAGTCCCAGTTCTTGTGCCAGTTGCACATTATTGTAGTCACCACTCATGTTTAATGAAGTTGTATAAACCACCTTTTATTAATTGATAATAATTCTATTTGAATTACAGAGGAGATCCCCCTCTTGGAGGAAAGGTACAAATGTTAAAAAGCTTATCTGTAGCCTACCTAATTCCGTAAACATTGTTTTGAATCTACAACAAAACACATAAAATTTTGTAGATTCCCAGTCTCTGCTGTGCTCATCAGATTCTTATTAATTTTAGAACTACAGATAGTAGTTTATCTCTCAATACATACGTGATTCAACCATACAACATTATGTAAATGTAGGATTTGTAGCTCCTAAGTAGTAAATTACTAAGAAAAACACTAATACCAAACATTTAAAAGTTGTACTTAGAACTTTACATAAGGTAATCCATTAATGAATTATTTCAAGAATCTATGGTAAAATATACAAACTAAATTCATGTTTTAAAAAACACTTCTTAAGAATTACATTTTAACAGGAAAGATATGAAAAAGAATTTCAAGCTGTGTTTATATTTTAAATTGCCAAGTCACAACTGGTTTTTTTTTTTTTTTTTTTTTTTTTGAGACAGAGTCTTGCTCCATCATCCAGGCTGGAGGGCAGTGGCGCCATCTCGGCTCACTGCAACCCCTGCCTCCTGGGTTCAAGTGATTCTCCTGTCTCAGCCTCCCAAATAGCTGGGATTACAGGTACCTGCCACCACCCCCAGCTAGCTTTTTGTATGTTAGTAGAGACGGGGTTTCACCGTGTTGCCCAGGCTGGTCTCAAACTCCTGAGCTCAGGCAGTCCACCCACCTTGGCCTCCCAAAGTGCTAGGATTACAGGCATGAGCCACCGTGCCTGGCCACAACTGGCTTTTTAAGCAAATACATTAACCATCAGATGACATACCTAATTAGTAGACCACACTTTGACATTGGAGGGAAAGATGAGTATGTAGTAACTTGACTGTTAAGTATAAATGTTTAAGAAAATTTCAGGATTAATATTGAAAATAGAACTGTGGTGACATTAGCTATACGCATCTAAATTGTGCAGAATTTGAATGTAGGAAACAGGATTATGAAACATGACATCTGTAGCCATGAGCAAAAGTAACACACACAAAAAGCCAGTCCTTAAAAGGTAATTTATAGCGTTGCACTATTTGTTAACAAATAATGAATGAGAGTGAAAGAATACTTAATTTTTGTTTTTCACATCTGGTTAATTTGGTACTAGATCTGGTCATTATGAGAGCAGTATTATAAGGAAGCCCACAACTTCCTGATAACCCTGTAAGATCCCCCAGAAGTAAATCAGTGAGGAATGGTATTAGGAATAGGCTTGTAATGTCTGGATATGATTATTCATTTTGTTTCTCTATTTTATAGGTGTGCCATTATCTACACAATGGGGACCTCAAGGCTATTTCTATCCAATCCAGATTGCACAGTATGGATTAAGTCATTACAGCAAGAATCTAACTGAGAAACCTCCTCACATAGAGGTATATGAAACAGCAGAAGACAGAGACAAAAACAAGCCTAATGACTGGACTGTGCCAAAGGGCTGCTTTATGGCGAATGTGGCTGATAAGTCTAGATTCACCAATGTCAAACAGTTTATTGCACCAGGTAAGTTATGTATTATATGTGCCTGCTAATTTTATGTTGATTTATGGGACCCTGATAGTCCCTTAAAATTTTAATATGGTTTAAAAAAACACATAAGCAGACCCTTTATATTACATATATAAAGTAACAAATGGTGTCACCCCAATGAAATCTCTAAAAAAGATACAGCTAAAAAGTCAAGGTTATAAAAAGGAATATTTACTATGTAAAGAGCCAAGCCATAGATTGAATGGTAAGGTCCAGGTTACTGCACAATGTGTACCTGCCTCCAGGGGTCTATATCTGATAGGAATGAAGTTCCTCCATTTAATATTTCAGTACAGTATAGTTTAATTTTTAAACTTTTGCAGTAAATAGAATGGTTTTAAGGAGACAGCCATCTTTTCCTTTGCCTATTTTTTGCCAATAGCTTTTAATTTTTTCAGGATAATAGAGCATTACCAAAGAGGCCTGTTTCCCATATTGGATTTTGTTAATGTAGTAGATTATCTCAAACTTCATGTAAAGTCATTTTCATTAATAAAATAATTAACAAAATCAAATTAACTTTATGCAACATTTCCCCTTTTACTAAGACAGTCTCATTAATTAGAATGTAATGCATTTTCCTGCACTAATCAATATCAATGAGAATTAATGAGTCCATTACTTAAGAAGACAATGAAATAATTTTAGTTAGCACCTCAGGTTTAATTCTCTATGGGGGAATGTTGTCAAGTACAGAACTTGTTCCCCCTCCCACCAGTCTTGCAGTTGGTAAATAAAAAGAGAGGAAAGGTTATAAGACCTCTTCTGTATTCTCTCCTTGTTCTTCATTGATGACTGTGTAATTTACAGACCCTGAAAGCCACAATACAAACCTACTCATTCTAGATAGCCTTAAGTAATGAATTTATGAGTACTGAATGCAGTGCAAATAATAGATGACCTTTAATTTTTATTCTGTCACTAGAACTCCTTTTCTCCCATGGCATTCTGTGATATTCTGGTACACAGAGCATCTTTGCTTATTGTAAACAACAGGTTTGGCTGAGTGAGAAAGTACAACTAAATTTTTAAGAATATTTAGCTTGTGATACCTAAGAGGTTATTGCAACAGGAAATGATTAGACTATGCAAAAGAACTTTTGGGTGCACTCAAGAAACTTATTTTTGCACTAGTTAATAATGGTTGTCTGGATTAGGGTGGAATCAGCAGCCCTCACCTTGATCTCCTTGAGTGTTTGGAAGGTTTTCTAGGACAGTCTTTTGAACTCTGTCCTATTTAGAGCAACAGATTTCATTGTGCACTTTTGGGTGCTTTGAGTAATACAAAAGATAGGTCCCCACATCTTAAATGAGGGATCCTTAGCCCCTCATTCTGTAGCCAGTAGCTGGAGATAAAACTACTTCCTAAGATGGTTTTAAGCATATAGAGGAGAGAACTCTGTCTCTAACAGCCACTCTGCGAGTGGGACACAGCTGTTCTAAGTTGGAACTCCCTGTTGGTGGAAGCGTGCTAGCTGGGAATGGAATTCTGTGTGTGCATGTACAGGTTGAGTATCCCTTATCTGAAATGCTTGGGACTAGAAGTGTTTCAGATTTTGGAATATTTACATATACATAAATATCCTGGGGATGGGACTCAAGTCTAAACACAAAATTCTTTTATATTTCATATGCTATACACATAGCCCGAGGGTAACATATTATAATATTTTTAATAATATATGCGACCCATCATGAGGGAAGATCTGGAATTTTCCACTTGTGGCATCATGTTAGCACTCAAAAAGTTTTGGATTTTGGAGCATTTCAGATTTCGGATTTTTGAACTAAGGATGCTGCCTCTCCAGTTGCATACTATAAGAGTATGAGAGAAGGTGAGTTGGAGTTACATGGGAGTTATTGCTCAGAACAGAGCAGGAGAAGGGAATCAAAGAGGTGAGACTATTTTATTGAAGCATAGGTATGAGAAATGAGGCTTTTTAGAGGATATAGACCTCATGGGAGATAAATTCAGAGAATCACCATTAAGAGGAAATTGGAACTTGTACATAAAAGCATAGGCTCAAGTGAGGTGAGACCCTGGAGGACCACAAGCTGAATGCTGTTGGTCTTTTTTTTTTTCTTTCTTGGCCTTCGATTTTTTTTTCTGAAAGGGGATAAAATCAAATATGAGTGAAGAGGCATATAATATGGGTCTGCAGCATATTTTTGTTGTTTTATTTGTCGAATAATGTTTTATTCCTTTTTCTAATTTTAAAATTGAATGAATTGAAACTTTAGGCCTGTCCTACTCTATTAAATTAAATTAGCTTTCCCTTTCCCCAAGCACTCTTTTCATTTGATTTCCATGACCTCACTTTCTCCTATTTCTGTAGCCATTCTTTCTCAGGCTTCTTGGGAGCTTCTCTTCTTCTGCCTGATTCTTCTTTCTCTTGGTGTTTCTTAAGATTTTGAGTAGGGCCTCTTCTCATGCTGCATAGTAAATCTGTTGATTAAACGAATGGATTGATTAACAGTTTTTGTTGGATGTGAAACATTGATTTAAAGGCTTTTTTTCCCAGCTTTATTGAGGTATAACTGGCAAATGTATACAATGTGATGCTTTGATATACATATATGTTGTGAAATGACTGCCATAATTAAATTAGTTAACACATCCATCACCTCATAGTTACCTTTCTTTGTATGGTGTTGGTGGTGGTGAGAACATTTAAGAGATATTTTAGCACATTTCAGGCATACAATACAGTATTATAAGCTGTAGTCACCATGCTGTACATCAGACCCCTAGATCTTACTCATCTTATATCTGAAGTTTGTACCCTTTGATCAACATCTCCCCATTTTTCCCACCCCCCCAGCCCGACAACCACCATTCTACTGTTTCTGTGAGTTCAGTTGTTTGGAGGTCCACATATAAGTGAGATCATACAGTATCTTTCTCTGACTTGTCACACGTAGCATAATTCCTTCAAGGTTCGTCTATGTTGTCACAAACGGCAGGATTTCCTTCTTTGTTATGGCTAATATTCTATTCTATAGGTATGTGTGTGTGTATACACACATGTGTGTGCACGTGCACACACACACACACATATTTACACCATATTTTCTTTATCTATACTAGACACTTAGGTTGCTCCCATGCCTTGGCTATTGTGAATAATGCTGCAAAGAACATGGGAGTGCAGGTATCTTTTTGAGGTTATTGATTTCATTTCCTTGGGTTGTATACCAGGAAGTGGGATTGCTGGATCATATGGTAGTTCTATTTTTAATTTTTTGAGGAACCTCCATACTGTTTCCTAATGACTATGCCAATTTACATTCCCACCCAAAGTGCGCAAGGGTTTCCCTTTCTCCATATCCTCACCAGTACTTCTTATCTCTTCCCTTTTTTATGATAGTCATCCCAACAGGTGTAAGGTGATGATATATCATTGTGGTTTTGCTTTGCATTTATTTCCCTCGTGATTAATGATGTTGAGCACCTTTTTATATACCTTTTGGCCACTCGTGTCTTCTTTGAAAAAGTGTCTATTCAGATCATTTGCTTATTTTTTAATCAGATTTTTTTTTGCTATTTGTATAAGTTCCTGATAGATTTTGGATATTAACCTCTTATCAGATATATGTTTGTACATATTCTCTCCTATTCTATAGGTTGCTTTTCATTTTGTTGATTGTTTCCCTTGCTGTGCAAAAGCTTTTTAGTTTGATGTAGTCCCACTTGTTTTTCTGTGCCCCTTTTGCTTGTACATTTGATGTCAAATCTAAACAATCATTGCTAAGACCAATGTCAAAAGTATTCTTAAATGTTGATCATCCTTTATTGCCTAAAGTGCATATATATGTGTCACATATACCAAAAATAAACAGTTATAGTAACTACTGGGAATAACTGGTTAGGAGAGGATGGGTCATGGCTTTCAAACAATAAAAAAAAAACAAAACTTTCTATTAGATTTGAAGGAGGAATCTTCAGATAGCCTAGTACCTCCAGTAGAGCTCAGAACCTTACCTGGTACATTGCCAAACTGGTTTCCACCATCCCATTTGCTCCCATTCAGGTCCTCGTGAATGATGCCAGGAGGTTATTTAACGTCCTCTGTATATCTATAAAATGGGAATTAAATGATTTGTAAGATTGTTGTGAAGATTATAATTGTTGGTTGGTTAATTTAAATTGAGGATTGTGACTTCTGTCACTTCTCCTAGATGACTCAGTAACACCCTCTGCTGGTGTTAAGGTCTTAGGAAAATTAATACATTGGCTTTTTAAAAGGTTACATCCCTTGACATCGTTCATTACTGAGTTCTTTGGACTGGTTTGTCATATGAAGATATAAGGTGACTGATTAAACCATGTCATTTCATTAAATTTGTGTAAATAAAATTGTAATTCTGGGAGGAAATGGGTACTCTTCCAGCTTCCGAAATTCTGGGAGGAAATGGGTACTTTTCCAGCTTCCTCACACTTGGACTTCTAAAGATGGGTCATTGTTATCCAGTTTGGCCAGAATAGACGTCATAGTTAATAATCCCATCTGATGAGAATGAAAAAATAAGCACTCAAGATAGTCTGCTCCACTGAATATAATTTAATCTTGAGTGGTTCATAAGTCAGTTCAGAATCCTGCAGTGTTTCAGGGATGTTGTCCTGAACTTCAGATCCCATTTTACTATAGATGCAGAAAAATGCTAGTTAAGAGAGAGAGTACATGTTGACATTTTGCCAGATAAGATGGATTTTTTACTGTATTAGAAGTTTACTTCTGCAATCAGTTTTTCTATTAAGTTACTCAGAGCATTGTTTGATGCATAAGTCTATGAGGATGTTCTCATTCTTGATACAACTTTCAGAATTGTCTGTTCCATCCAATGAAGTAATTAAGAGCCTTGGGACAAATATAACCATACTGCTTGAGTCCAGTGTTGCAAGAGTTAAATGATCAACTCAGCATACTGACACCCTCCAAGTATACACTATCATCAGTTCACATTCCTTTTTCCCTTTCTTTTTTTTTTTAAGAGACAGAGTCTCATTCTGTCACCCAGAACAAGAGTGGTGTGATCATAGCTTACTTCAGCCTTAAACTCCTGGGCTCAAGCAGTCCTCCCACGTTGGCCTCCCAAGTACCTAGGACTACACATGCCACTGCACTTGGCTATTGTATTATATTTTTTGTAGAGTTAGGGTCTCGCTTTCTTGCCCAGACTGGTCTCAAGCTCCTCGCTTCAAGCAGTCCTCCTGCCTTGGCCTCCGAAACTGCTGAGTGTGACCAGTTGTGCCTGGCCCAGTTCACATTTCTGATCTTTGCTCCTGGTGACACACTAAAGATTTTTTCAAGGATTCTGCAAAGCATAGATCTGCTTCTATGGCTGCATCTAAGAGAACCTTTCTATTGAATATTCTCATAAGAATACCATCTCCAATATCATTTGTCTTTTTCACAGTCTGAACCTGAGTCCGGGAAACCTGGATTCTAGTCCCTGCTCTACAACTAATTAGCTTTTGGCATTGGGCAAACCATTTAACCTTGCAAAGCCTACATATCTTCACCTCTAAAATGGAGATGTAATATAATAATTCCTGCCCTACCAGCTTCAGAAGATTAAGTATCAAGTGAGATAATACATGTGAATGCGTTTTGGACATTTAAGCTGTGAAAAGATCAAGATAGGAAGATTTCCCTTTAATATTTTAAAATTTGTACTACGTATATTTTTGTTGTTCTTATTCTTGCTGCTGCTACTGCTATTTTAATATGCTCAGTTTCTTGGTAGATCTAGATGAGCAGTATTCAAAATGTCATCTTTCTGGGAATTAGCCATCATTAATACTATAAATATTCAAGAGAAATTTTCTCTTTAATAATTTGTCAAATAAAACAGCTTTAACTTTTTGACCTCTGAAGCCAGTGGCTTCGGAATAATAACCATCATTTATTACTATATTCCACTCCATTGTCTTTCTTAAAATCCTCACAATTACCCTGCAAAGTAATATTATCTCTATTTAACATGTGAAGAAACTGAGGCTCAAAGAGGTGCATCTTGCCAGACTTCTCAAAGCTAGTGGTTGAACAAAAATTCAAATCTGAGGTTTTTAAACTCCAAAGCCTGAGCTTTACCCTGTCACTCCACCATTCTCTCACTTTTTGTTGTACACATGAGCCCATTGCTTAATTTCCAGAAATTTTATTAGCACTTCTAGCAAGTATGTGAAAACAAATCTATCATTTTCAAAATCAAATTAATAATGTGTTGTGGAGCGAGACCAGGCAACCTGGGTTCAAGTCTTGTACCTTGGGCAAGTTACTTCTTTGTGTCTCAGTTCCTCATCCATAAAGTAATAGTAATAGCACCTACCCTTGTAATTGTTCAGGGGATTAAATGAATAAATAGGTGTAAAGCCCTTAGAACATAGTAAGTACATATTAAATGTTAAATAGTTTAAAATTCATGTATAACCATTTTTTCTAGCCTCTTTCTTGCAATATTATGTGCTGAGCCAGGTTTTGGCTTTTTTTTTTTTTTCTGTTTGCAGAATGGGTATAGTAGAATAGTCATTGATTACTGATCAGCTAGTACTAGATTTAGGAAAGGCAGTTTTGATCAACAATACCTTAGCCATTTGCTCTCAATCCTCTGCTAGAACCTAGACAGGGCAAAAGGTAAGAGCTTTGGCCTGATGCTCACAAGCCATCGTGAACTCACCAATTCTGTCATTTGTTTTTGTTTAATTTAATAAAAAATAAAATTACAAATGATCTGATACTAAAAATATGTAAGTGTTAATTTTGTGCGGTCAGGGTTTTCAAGGATGAATTGCAATTCAATTTCAAATACAAAAGTGCTTTTATTCTAACCAGTCTTTGTTGGTATATTCTCCCCTACAGAAACCAGTGAAGGTGTATCCTTGCAACTGGGAAACACAAAAGATTTTATTATTTCATTTGACCTCAAGTTCTTGACAAATGGAAGTGTGTCCGTGGTTCTAGAGACCACAGAAAAGAATCAGCTCTTCACTATACATTATGTCTCAAATGCTCAGCTAATTGCTTTTAAAGAAAGAGATATATACTATGGCATTGGGCCCAGAACTTCATGGAGCACAGTTACCAGGGACCTGGTCACTGACCTCAGGAAAGGAGTGGGTCTTTCAAACACAAAAGCTGTCAAGCCAACCAAAATAATGCCCAAGAAGGTGGTTAGGTTGATTGCAAAAGGTAAGGGATTCCTCGACAACATTACCATCTCTACCACAGCCCACATGGCTGCATTTTTTGCTGCTAGTGATTGGCTAGTAAGGAACCAGGATGAGAAAGGTGGCTGGCCAATTATGGTGACCCGTAAGTTAGGGGAAGGGTTCAAGTCTTTAGAGCCAGGATGGTATTCTGCCATGGCCCAAGGGCAAGCCATTTCTACATTAGTCAGGGCCTATCTGTTAACAAAAGACCATATATTCCTCAATTCAGCTTTAAGGGCAACAGCCCCTTATAAGTTTCTATCTGAGCAGCATGGAGTTAAAGCTGTGTTTATGAATAAACATGACTGGTATGAAGAATATCCAACCACACCTAGCTCTTTTGTTTTAAATGGCTTTATGTATTCTTTAATTGGGCTGTATGACTTAAAAGAAACTGCAGGGGAAAAACTCGGAAAAGAAGCAAGGTCCTTGTATGAGCGTGGCATGGAATCTCTTAAAGCCATGCTGCCCTTGTATGACACTGGCTCAGGAACCATCTATGACCTCCGTCACTTCATGCTTGGCATCGCTCCTAACCTGGCTCGCTGGGACTATCATACCACCCACATCAATCAGTTGCAGCTACTCAGTACCATTGATGAGTCCCCAGTCTTCAAAGAATTTGTCAAGAGGTGGAAAAGCTACCTTAAAGGCAGCAGGGCAAAGCACAACTAGAGCTCACAACCAAAACTGCACTTCAGCCTCTGCTGTACACAGAAACTACAGGCTCTGTCTCAGGAGAGCATAGGCACATTTTAAAAGGTTATGTACTAGGTTTTTGTGGATTCTATCAAAGTGATAAGTGATCCTTAAAACCAGCCTTCTAAAATAATTGCATTCCATGGGTTGGGTATTTAGAAATGTAGGTGGCATTTAGAACACAATGTTTAATCAATGGGCTGAACAAAGATGCTTCACTTTGCCTTGCCCATCACCCTATACAGTTTCGCAGATAGTCTAGTCACTCTATGTGAGAAAGATAATGGTAAGTAGTTGCTACTGGCCAACTGTCTAGCACTTACCTGAAAACTTAGTATGGAGCTCTTTTAAAATGTGATTATTTATATTTATGTTGAAAGCGGACTTTAAAAAAAATAATGTGCTGTAACACAGTAAATATGTACTTGTAGCCTGGATAGCAGACTGTGTTCAACTTTTTAAAAAGATGTTTCCTTTCTAAAGATTAATTTCTTGGGAGCAAATGAGTATTTGTTGCATTTGTTCAATTTGTTGTATATGGTGAATATTTAATTATGGTTTTCTTGAAACGTGTAAATTAAAAACACAATCAGTGTTCAGGCTTCAGTTATATAATGTAAGCACAACTAAAATGAAACTTGTTGACTGCACAAGAAATTACAAAAATGTTTCTGTTTTGAAACTTGATCTACAATCAGTAAAAGTTTGATAATCAGTATATCCCTTCCCAACCCCCATTGTGACAGTTTCTTTTTGTCACTGTCTAGAATTTTGTATTTTATTTCAGACTATACCTTGGAGTTTTGTATATTTTGAGAGAGATATTTTTGGGACATTATTTTGGAAACTTATTACAAATCTAAATTTGGAAAGGAGCTAGTAGCTTTAAGGCCACCACCATATTTTACTTTTTTAGGATTTTTCCCCCTTTAAATAAAAATATTAGATCAAATACTATATGCAAGAAATCATAGCAAAGTTTTTTTTTCCTACCAAGATCATTCTTGATCATCAGCTTCCCAAACTAGTAAGTCTGTGCATCATTGGGTGTTTTTTTTTAATTTAATTTTAAATTATCCCAGCTATTAGATAGAAGGGATGTTACTGCACTTATGTGTAATCAGATCTTTATTTAGGTATACATATCCTCCTATACCGCACATAAATAGATTTCAGAGCCCCCATACAATGGGCAGTGTCTGCTATAGGGCTTCAGGCATTAAATAAAACCGAGGGTTGTTGATTTTGCTGTGACAGTACACTAAATCAATACTATATCTTATACAGTTTGAAAATATGATACCCTACACTTTCAGGGGACCGAGTCTGACAAACACAATACATTTATCTGTGACCTATATCAAGTACACATTTAGGAGCCAGGTAGGTTACCTGCTTACACACTATATTTTAATTGAATTCAAACTATCAAGCACTACTTAGAAACTGGAAAACATATATATGTTAGCATCAAAGGGGGCAGAAGCAAAGAAGATACAGATCTGCACTGAAGACATTAGACTGGCCATAGAAAAGTAAGCTTGAACTCCCAATTGATGTGACCACACTCTTCTTAATTTTGTTCACAGTAAAAACACTTTTTTGAGTTATTAGGCTTACCCCTAGCTTTTGACCTTTGCATTTCATATATGTTAGATGTCTCAGCAAGAATATCTGGTCTCCCCTAATTTTTATTCCCAGTGCCGATGTTCAAAATAAACTTTCTCCAGTCTGGGAACCTTTTTTACTTCCCCATATTTGTTATTATTTAGAATGGTTCATACGTCTGCTTTGTTTGCATACTGGTCTTCAGATTATGAGACTCGATGATAACAGTATGGTACTGCTTCTGTGACAAATATCGTGCCTTAACAATGTGGCTGTCCTTTTCCACTGAAGAAGGAAAGACGTTTTGATCTAGAAATAGCGTTGTGATTTCCTTGCTGTTGGTTTTACACTGCCTTCCACATTGCAACAGCAAGTTGATTTCTTGTGATCCCAGAATTTTCTAAGAGGATGAGTTGAATCTATAGCAGCATTGTCAGTACAGACCAGTGGTTCTCAAACTTTAAAATGCCTCAGCATCACTTGGGAGCTTATTGAAATGCAGATCCCAGAGTCAGTAAATCTGCCTGTGAAGTATGATAGTCTGCATTTGTAATGAGCATTCAAGTGATTCTGATGCAGGTGAGCTGGGGGCATACAGGGAGGAACACTGCCCTGGACTATCCATTGCATTTTTGCCTCTAAACAACTACAGAATTTTCTAGGGTTTTAAATTATGTAAAATGTTTACTTATTCTGAGCTTAGAGAGAATGGGGAGGGTATTTTTAAATTTTATTGTTTTATTTCTTTAAGTTTTTCTTTGCTTTAAGATTATAGGTATTAGGTTTGTTTTTGTTTTTCCACTTATCTTGAGTTCACTTTGATGTTAAATCTATTGCTACTTCAGTTGTAAAACCAGCCAAAAGTTTCTGGATGAAGGTCAAGTTTGACCTTTTAGGAGTTATTGTACATAAAGGCTTCATCCACGAACCATCCAGCGCACAGAAGCAAGTGCAAAAATGACACAAGCACAACTCTCCAGACGTGGCTCCTTCTCCTTTCTCAGTGCAGACTCTCACTGAAAGCTGCTATTTTCATCCTCCTTGTGGTTGCTTTTCTTGTTTCTCTTCCATTGTACATGTGGGTTATATACCATATGTTAAATATGCAATAAAGTGTTTACAGGATGCCCTTCTGAAGGGTAGTCCTTTGTAAAGCTGTACAGACTTTGCAGTTTAAGCACAATGTGCACATGTTAGTTTTATATACAGCAAAACTTGATTTTTTGCAGATGGAAAGGTATTTTGTTTCTATACAAAGTAAATGGATTGTTTGTGCTTAATGTAAAGCCGCTTTATAAAACTGTAAAATAAAGTTTTTTTCTTAAAAAGAATATACCTGGATATTTCTCTTTCTTCTCAAATTATTCTAAGGTTATTTGAGCCCAGCAAGCAGATTTCTGACCATTTCCTGTTCAACCCGTGACCAGAAGTCAGGCAACAAATGTTGTTCATCAAAGGCATACCAAGCCCTGTCAGACAATGTGTGGGAACAAAGAGTATGCATGGGCTTTAATCCTAAGGACCCTTAGTCTTCAAGGGGGAGCACAATGTATACTAAAAACTCGAAGAAAAATAAAATGCTAAATTGTGTACTCAGGGAAGGTGTTAGGGAAGAGACAGAGCCTAAGCTGGTGTTCCAGGGGTGGAGTCCAGGTGGAAGAAGAGGAGGGAGTAACCTGAGCAAAAACAGGTGTCCATGCCAGGTGAGAGGATGGCCTTTCCCATGCTCATTCAGACTGGGTAACCATTTTTTATTTAGATTTATTTGAGAGTTTGTCCCTCATATATTTTCTCTACTTGCCTCTTCAGAACAATTAGCATTATTTAATGTTTACCCCCTTCTCAAAGAATAATGATTTAACCTCCCAAACAGACAAAACCAGAGACCAGAGTCTTGCTTCATGTTATGTTTCATTGCACAGTATTTTTTGGATTATAAACATTCTGCACCATTTGTGTAATGGAATTACAATTGATCACGAATCAACTTTTTCCAGCTGATGGGTGCACAGATTTTGACAGGCTACTAATCAACATTCTTGGCAGCTTTTCCTTCCCCACCGTCTTCAGTTGGGAAATGGCCATAAGGTTGCAAGAAGTCTTGGGCTGAATGAGCTCTCCAGCTGCTCTTGCTTTGATTTTGCTGCTTGTAGCCAAACTGTTAATACGTTGGCTGTTCTGCCTTAGCACACTGAGCATCTCATATTCATCTCCCCATTGCCCTTGAGTGGGGTGGGCCCTCCATACTCCAGAGAACTTACTTGGCAGTCTGATGAGTGCTCCTTCCCTTCATAGCCACAGGCTCTGGCGGCCACTGTATGCCATGTGACCCTGCCTTCTCTGGCCATGACTTAGACGAGGGGCGAATCCCCCTCACTCAAGCTGGCCGACCAATCAGTCTTTTCCCCAGGAATTCAAAATGGGATGGATTAAAAAACTAAAGCAGAAATACAGTGAAAAGCGGAGATGAGAAACAGAAGACAATGCTCCAGGCCCTGGATCCAATGCCCTTCTGAGGCCAGCTGTATTCCTCTCAGGTTCCGCGAGGTACCACTGTATCCTTAGGATAAATTCTTTTTTTTTTTTTTTTTTTTTTTTTTTTTTTTTTGAGACGGAGTCTCGCTCTGTCGCCCAGGCCGGACTGCGGACTGCAGTGGCGCAATCTCGGCTCACTGCAAGCTCCACTTCCCGGGTTCACGCCATTCTCCTGCCTCAGCCTCCCGAGTAGCTGGGACTACAGGCGCCCGCCACCGCGCCCGGCTAATTTTTTTTGTATTTTTAGTAGAGACGGGGTTTCACCGTTTTAGCCGGGATGGTCTCGATCTCCTGACCTCGTGATCCGCCCGCCTCGGCCTCCCAAAGTGCTGGGATTACAGGCGTGAGCCACCGCGCCCGGCTGGATAAATTCTTAACATTTGCTGAAGTTGGCTGGATTTAGTTTCTGTTACTTGCAACAAATGAGCCCTAATTAATAATGTATCTCCATTATAGAGGAAAATACGTGTAAATACAGTGTAAATTCTGCATTTTCCTCCAATCTGGACCCTGTTGTATTAGCTTGCTAGAGCTGCTCTAACGAATACCACAGACCGGGTGGCTTACACAAGAAATTTATTATTCTCACAATTCTGGAGGCTTGAAGTCCAAGATTAAGATGTTGGTAGGTTTGGTTTCTTCCAAGACCTCTCACCATGTCTTGCAGATGGTGCCTTCTTGCTGTATCCTCAAGGCTGTCTCTCCAACTGTGCTCTCTGTGTCTAGGGCCCACTCATGTGACCTCATTTTACCTTAATTACCTCTTTGAAGGCCTGTCTCTAAATGCAGTCACGTTCTGAGATGCCGGGGAGTTAGGACTTAACGTGTGAGTGGTGAGGGGCACACAATTCAGCCAGTAGCAACCACTCAAAGGGTTGCCATTTAATTCGATGATAATCATTGAAGGACAAAACTGAAATCTGTAGGGAACATTAGTTGGGCAGAAATCTAGACTTGGTACTCAGAATACAGGGCTCCCTGGCTCAGCCATTAGAGCATCAAGAATTTACTCAGGCCAGGTCCGGTGTCTCACGCCTGTAATCCCAGCACTTTGGGAGGCCGAAGTGGGCAGATCACCTGAGGTCAGGAGTTCAAGACCAGCCTGGGCAACACGGCGAAACCCCGTCTCTACGAAAAATACAAAATTTAGCCAGGCATGGTGGTGCGCACCTATAATCCCAGCTACTCAGGAGGGTGAGCCAGGAGAATCACTTGAACCCTGCAGGGAGAGGTTGCAGTGAGCTGAGATCATGCCACTGCACTCCAGCCTGGGTGACAGAGTGAGACTCCGTCTCAATAAAAGAAGAATTTACTCTTTCACCCCATAGACTTCAGTTGCCTCATGGTACAATCCAATAAATAGAGAACTCTGCTCTCAAAGTTTGTAATAAACTAACAAAAGGTAACCACTAAATTTAAGCAGTGGTAAAAACAACAACAACTTCTAGGTTTTTATTCTTCTTACCTGTATGCCTTTTTCATTAGCTCATTCGGAATGCAGAACTCTGGGGTACTGGGAGCGGGTTGGTGGGAAGTATAGACAGAGTATATAAAAGTGCAAGTAGTGGTGAGATTTTGTTTAATGATAATTTTTTAATCCCAAGTCTGCACTATCGTAACTTACAAATAACAATATAGGGATAAAGTATTGATTTTCATTATACCAGCTCATTAAGGATGTCAAACTGAAAATGGATGTGAATGTAAATGTTGTATTGGTGATGAATTTGAATGTTTGCTGCTCAATTTCTGGTGAAAAGAGATACATTTACCATCTGGTAAGAATGATTGATAACTTGCATGCGTATGCTGCATTTCCTGAATGTTAAGTAGCAGCAACACTGTGTAATTTTGCTAATCCTTTTCTAGGAGGATTTCACAAAATGACAGGACTGCAAAGCAAGCCATCAAAGAGCAGTAGCAAAGAGAACAGCAAAAGGGGCGGAAAAAAAGTCCTGTGAAGGACCAGAAATAGAGCAGTGGACAACTGGTATTAAATACACAGTTTAGATAAGATGTTCTTAAGCAACGCAAAGCTCATTGCATCTAAGCTTAACGTCAGAAGAGCTGGTGTCTCCCTGGGAGTTTGCTCTGTTCTGTCAGCACCTAGTGAAATCACTGAGATAAGAATGGCTGCTCCATTTCAGTTCAGAAAATCTAGTAAAGAGAGTTCATCTCTCTGGGGACTACAGAAGGAAGTAAATCTCTGAAGTGGGGTGAGGAAGAGGTCTTGTTTTTAAGCAAACATATAGCAAAGATGCATGATCTTAATTTAATGCCTGTTATTCTGTCATCTTTCCTTTTTAACACCAATGAAGTTAAGTTTCTGCAATTCAGTTGAATACAGTGGGAGGCCCCAAACAGATTCCTATCAATGGCGTGGCAAGGTAGTCTTAGGGAAAGTGTCTGTCTATCTTCTCAGCTACTGCAGGCAACAGAAAGAGGCACTCTCTTCATCTGAAAATATCCATCAGAAGAAATTACCTAGGCAACTTCTTGTGAGCTTGAATTAGTAGGTTTCAGTGTCTGGGGTACTGGAAACCATGGTCCTGGGTTAGTGTTTCTTGCTAATGAGCATTTAGGAATAGGAAGAGGAAACAGGCACCATTACAGGTGCTCCTCAAACTAACTCTCATTAACTGCTCACCATGACTCTGGAAGCCCGACTCCTGGTAGGTGAGAAAAAGAAACACTGCTGCCTAGTGTTCCATTATCGGAATGCTAAGCATGTGGGAGTTATTTACATCCTACTGCTCAAGGTCATCGCCAAGGTCTGATTTTTCATTCGTGCAAAAATTCAAAAAATTGTAACCCCTGGCATAAATGGGTTAAGGAGCTTGCTGAAGTTCGTGCAGTTCTTTTCACTACGTATTTATTGAACACCTTCCTACTGATTGTGCTACCTGCCAAAAGCAAAGATGAGACCTGTCCCTGTCATGAGTCATAACTAGTTAACATAAATAACTGAGTCCACAGCTGACTGGCCTGGAGTGCTCTTCCCTGGGGTAAGCTTTGGATGGCCTTTCCTTTCCAAAATCACAGGCAGAGCAGTGGGGCCAACACGAAGAGCCAGAGTGTCTAAGCTCCCACAGTGGGTCGGGCTCTTGCTAGAAGACTCCACGGGTGTTCTTTCTAATCCTTTTGACAACCTTGGGAGGAAGTCTGTGAACTTCACGGATGAAAAAACAAACTTGGAGAAGTTAACAACTTGCCAGAAACCATTTAGCTATTTGATAAACAAGGTCTCAAGCCCAGGTATGTCTGACTCCAAATTCCATGTTCTGACCCATCGTCCCCAGGCAATAACTATAATCCACTATCTCCTGACTCCACCGTCTACACAGTGGGCTCAACCAGGGAGGCAGATCTCAGCCCCAGAGCTCTCCTACATTCGCCAGGTAAGATAATTAGTCCATTTCATCTGTGGACTCTATATCAGATCTGCTGAAATTGGTATTTGCTCCACTAAATGGTTAGAAAAGCCCAAAAGCAGAGACAGGAAGTTTTTTCAGCAATTGAGTCTCTTAGCATGTGCCTCCATTTCTTCAACTTCCATTGATGTTATTTTTTGAATAACCCAACATAAAAACCCCTCTAGCCTCTCTCCAGCCCTCTCCTGCTATTTGCTCTCTTCCCTAGTGGACTTTCAAAAAGCTGCCTCTATTACAAATTAAAATGTACACAGCGTGTGTTTAATACGTGCAAATACGCGCACACACACACACACAAGTGAATACACAGATGCACAGCAAACAGCCTGCACTGTGCTGGCTGCAAGGGATGCAGTGATGAGTGAGATGAAGTCTCTGCCTTCTGTGAGTCCATGAAGTGACAGCTTTGGGAGGTACACAATTTTATTCTTTGCTGTGAAAAATGAAACCGTTTAAAATTTTTCAAATTCCAAATTAGAGTTTGAATTAATGAGATTCTAAAGAACCTTCCTACGTTATACTTTTTAGCTCATTTCATGAAAATAATGACATATTTTATCCTCAGAATGGCCCTAAGAGACTGGCCGAGTGGGCACCTCCTCTCAGTGGCGGAGCAGCGGTGTGTGTGTGAGGACTGTGTGGGGTCAACGTCCTGGTGACGGAGCTGGAGTAAAACCCTGGTCTGTAGACTCGCAGTTGGATTCTCTTCATCTTGGTGCCTTCACATCTATGGGAATCTGGAAAAGAGCTTCCCGGTGTGCACTTAGGCAGGGCCATGTCTTGTCTCCTTTGGCCCTAGGCTTGGCATGAAAGGAGAGGGGAAATGGGGCCATTCTCTTGTGTTTCTGTTTCTCCTCGGCTGTCAGCACTTCTCTGTCTCATTATGTCTGAGCTCTCACCAACAGGAACCCACCCAAAGGCCTGTCTACATGTTGCCTGGTTGTCTTATTTAAAGCTGTATTTTAATTTTTAAAAATACATTTTTTGTGGGGTGTGATGGCTAATGCCTGTAATCCCAGCACTTTGGGAGGCCGAGGTGGGTGGATCACTTGAGGTCAGGGGTTCGAGAACAGCCTGGCCAACATGGCAAAACCCCATCTCTACTAAAAATAGAAAAATTAGCCAGGTATGGTGACGCAGCCTGTAATCCCAGCTGCTCGGGAGGCTGAGGCAGGAGAATTGCTTGAACTTGGGAGGCGGGGCCCCTGCACTCCAGCCTGGGTGACGGAGTGAGACTGTGTCTCAAAAAAAAAAAAAAAAAAAAAGTATAGAAAATCAGATTTGACAATAGAACCAGCACACAGATGCTTCCCAAGTAGCTGGGACTACAGGCATGTGCCATCATGCCCAGCTAATTTTTGTATTTTTAGTAGAGACAGGGTTTCACCATGTTGGCCAGGCTGGTCTCGAACTCCTGACCTCAAGTGATCCACCCACATCAGCCTCCCAAAGTGCTAAGATTACAGGCATGAGCCACCACACCTGACCAAAAATATTCCATCTTAAGGTGCCAATTACTTCATAAACTTTAAGATAGTTATGTTTTATTCCTGGGGAATACCCCTGAGTGCCACCCTGCGATTCGCGCTCGAGTAGCTGTGAGAAAAGCCGCTTCGTGTCGGGGGTCGACTGTTCCCTGCTGGCCAGCTGTGGGTGTGGAGCCAGTGACTTTGCCTCTTCACATCTTGGTGACTCCGTGGCTGTGTGGACACAGGATTGCAGGGGCAGGAGTGGAAGCAAGAAGCCTCCTAAGGAGATGGATGCTGGAGCTGTGGTGAGAGGGAAGGGGGGCCAGGGCTGAGAAGGGGTGGAGAGAGGTGGGTTGACTAGGACACATGGCAGAGCCGGTGCGCTGGCTGTATGGAGTGAGGACTAATGGGGAATCAAGGACGTCCAGCTGTGGATGGCAGAAGGGCCACTGTCTGAAGTGGGAAGTCTGGACATTCCCAAAGGAGTCTTTGAAAGACTGGGTCTTCTCCTGAGCCTGAGAGCAGTGCTTCTTCCAATGGCACTGCTTCCATTTTAAGGTATGTGGAGGAAACAGGATTTGGGGTGTGTGTGTGTGTGTGTGTGTGTGTGTGTGTGTGTGTGACATTTCGGATGCCACTTTGTTTGCCAATGGGATTTCTGCCCCTGCCTCCCTCCCTGCAAGCCTGTGTCCATGTAGCCAGCAGAGTCATTGTTTTGGAAAATAACATCAGCTGTTCAAAACTCTCCAATAGCTTCCCAATACCTGAAAATGGAATTGAAATTCCTCAGCAGGTCTGCAAGGCCCTCAGTGAGCTGTCCCCTGCCCCTACCCTCCCTCATTCTCAGCCTCCTCAATCCACCACTGGGCTCCCTCAGAGGGCTTCATGGACTGCCACGCTCCTCCTGCCTGGCACCCTGGCTCTCGAGTTTTCATGGGGCTGGCTGCTTCTCCTCACTCAGTCATCAGCTCCAATGTCAACTCCTTGGTGTGGCCATCTCTGCCCAGCCAGCCAAGGCGGACACCCAGGTGCTCCTTATCATAATACCTTGCTGTAAGGACCTGTTCCCGTGCAGGTTTACCTGCACACTGCCTCTCTTCCCCCACTGGAATGTGACCTTCTTGAAGACAGGGGCTTGACTCCTTTGTCTCCATCTCATACCCAGCATCTTAGCACAGGCCCTGGCACATCAATAGATATTGGTTGGTTAACTGGATGGATGGGTGGATGGATGGATGGGGGAATGGATGGATGGATGGATGAAAGATCCCACAGAATGGAGAGGGGGCTGGGGGCTAGAGTTCTCCTCACAACACTTTGACCATGTTCTTTACATTCTCCAGCATCAGCATGGCCCGGGAGCTTGTTGGAATGAAGAATCTCCAGCTCCACCCGAAACCTGCTGAATCAGAACCAGCATTTAACACGTCACCAGGATCCCAGGTAACTGCTGTGCACGGTGAAGTTTAAGAAGCTCTTCTAGAGCACTGACTGTCAAACTTGCCTGCACACTGGAATCACCTGGGGAGTTCTAAAAGTCACCGATGCAGGCGGGGAACGTTGACAATGAGGGAGGCTGTGCACATGTGGGGGCAGAGGATATGTGGGAGATCTCTGTGCCTTCCTCAATTTTGCTATGAACCTACAACTACTCTAAAAATTAAAGCCTTTAAAAAAATTTTAAAGACACTGATGTCTGGGCCACTCCTGCCAGGGATTCTGAGCTAATCAGTTCTTGGACTGATTAAAGTCTACCAGCTGATTCCATTGACTACCCAGCTGACACTAATGTTTGGCCAAGGTTGAGAACTAGCTGATGTCTGGCATTCTTTTTTGTTGGGAAGCAGAGAGCAAAGCTCAAGGAATGGTCAGGAGGGAGGCCGGGAGATTGTGAAGAGAAGAAAGGGAAATACACATTTCCTCCCTGTCGCTGGGGCTTGGCTGTCTGCAGAGCACTTGCTCACCTTCATTAATTATATCAGGTGCCTTTCTCCTGGTTCCTAAGATGCTCTAGGCCGTTCAAGAAGCTCTCAGGGTCGAGGTGAGCCCCAGACCCATGTGTGTGTGCCCGTATCCCCCCCATCACCACCCCCCCACACACACAGTGCAGCCGGACTACCGTCTTGGGGAATCCAGAGCTTAGCCCAGGCCTGGTGGGCCCAGCAGATGCTCAGGCAGAAGCTGCAGGAAGGTAGGAGTGGTAGAAAACCAAGAGAAGCCAGGAAAATCACACTTCATTGCTGTGTTTTCAATGCAAAGGCGTCTTTGCCCATGGTGGAACCACACAGAAGAAATACCTCAGGGTTGGGTCTCAAAGAACAGTTCCAGCTCCCACTTGAGGAAAAGCTTTTGGGTCCAAGAACAGGCCTCCTGCCTCTTCCCCCACCCCACTTTGCGGGCTCCTCCCCAAAGGTCTTCCCTACCTTTCCCTCAACCCCTAGCAAGCTATGCCTGGAATCAGAGACTTGGGCTGAACCATGATTGCGGTTAAAATGCAGACTAAATTGTAAGTTGTTTTCATCATCTACACCTCGATGTAACTGGAGTAACCAGATCCTCTTTTGAGAATGGTTTGCTGGGAGGCAGCACAGCCAGTGGGCCCTGGCCAGGGGAGAGAGGCCTTGTGGGGCTCACACCAGCCTCCCACATTCTCCCAGCCTGACTCCCACCTCCACGATGCAATTCTTGTCTCCCTTTCTGGCTCCTTGCCCTCCAGAGCTGCCTCTTAATGGGGGGAAAAAATCACTAATCTAAGCCTTCCTCTCCGGTTCACAAAGTTACTCACTTTGCACAGCTGCCTTAAATCAATGTGCCCAGCCCTCTGGTGACAGTCATAGTGCCTACTGTAACTGTAAACAGATCTCGTAGTATATTCATTTTTTAAAAATCACCAACTGAATTAAAATAGACCGAGAGTAAAAGGTTGCAGAAGTCAGCCCTGGGTCTCTTCTTTGCTGATTGCACAGAGTTCCTCCAGGGCCCTGCAGAGACCTCTGTCCACCCGGCTAGGCCTCTTTCAGGAGGTTAAGGGGTGACCTTCGCAGAACTCTACAAAAGCCAGGGACTCTCTCACCAGAATAATGCTCAGAGAATTTAGGTATGTTTAAGGTCCCTGTCCACAGTTTTTGGGCCTCCAGATACTCTGAATTTCATACAAAGATCTGAAAAGGGTCCACAAACCCCAAGTGAAAAATCACTACAGTTTTTATATTTAAAAACTCAAACTACAAACTCACAAGCCTTCAGAAACCAGGCAGGGGAAGATTTGTCACCAGACTTCAGAAACCAGGCAGGGGAAAATGTATAAGTGAATAATTGAGTCCGTGGATGATAAGGAATGGTGGGTACCATTTAAATTCATTTCATAAATTATTACCGGATAGACCAAGTAATATATATCTTCAGACTAGATTTAGCCCATGGGTAACCCATGTATTGTTCAGAATTTTATAGGTATTTATACCTGCCTCCACCCTCCATTTGATAATGAGATCTACCTAGTATCTAAGCCCAATCATTTCTGCAGGAACATGAGCTTATTTCTCCTCAGTTTTACTTGGCAAGAGTTCTCTCAATTCTCCTCCTCCATACTACTGTCAGTTCTTCCAGAGGTCTGCCCAGCTCCAAGGCCCAAGTTAAACAGCCCCTTCTTCCATGAAGCATCCCTGATAACCCCACACCCACAGCCAGACCCGCATCCCTTGCCCTTCCATTCCTAGCCACGGGTGTGTTGGCACTACAGTGTGCTCCCTGAGTCCTCTCTGACTTGATTGTCAACACCCATTCCCCAAGCTGTTGCTCTTACCTGGAAGCTATTTTGCTTCCTAGGGGACATTCGGCAATGTCCGGAGACATTTCTGATGGTCACCGATTGGAGGGAGGGAATCCCCCTGTCATCTAGTGGGAGAGGCCAGGGATGCTGCCAAACATCCTACAATGCACAGGACAGCCCCCCACAACCAAGAGTTACCCAGTCCCGATGTCAATGCCGAAGCTGAAAAAACCTTCCTCAGCGAGCGCTGGATAAACCCCTTGAGGGCAGGGCTGTGTCTTGCTTAATGTGGTCCTCCCAGAGCCCAGGATACAGGGTCTGGCATGCAATAGGCACTCGACACTGGCATGTTGATGGGGTTTAATGGTAGCAGGCTAGGTCAAAAGAGAAAGACCCAATCTCAGCCCCAAATAGCTCATAGCTAGATCAGAGAGGAAAACACATGTCCAGTTGGCTCTCCACAGTGGATGATGCAACCAAGGCTGGACAACCATGAAATGAGTTTGCTCTGGGAGGGGCTTCACCACTTTCAGGAGGGGACATTAGGACTGGGTGTTTGTTTCAGCTGAGCTCTTTATTGCAATACAGAAATGAACTCAGGGCTCCTTAAGAGGTGAAAGATCCACTGCGAAGAGACACCTGAATGAACACCCCAGCCCAGGGAAGAGCAGAGCATCCATCCATGGGAGCTGGGCTGTGGCGGTCACACGGGCGCTGTCCACTAAGGAGATGCAGAGACAGCCCCACCTCTTCTCTCCACCCCACCCACCCCAGGTTCACCCAGACGTTTCTGCTTCCCCTTGACCTGAGACCCCACCAGGGCCAATTATCTGTTAGCTACAGTGCCTAGGGCCCACAATACTTCTTAGGGGCCCTTAAAATGTTTAATTTTAATTTATTTTAAAATCAGAAGAATAAAAGAACATAATAACAATGAATCTAAAATAAGGAATCCAGCCTGAATTGCATTCATCTGTATATCTATGCAGTCATATAATCTAATTTTTTCTACATTTTTATGGAGAGGGGCCCAAAGGTACCAGACATCACCCTCTCCCAGCCCTCTCTACTCCTCCCGGGTGAAGCTCCCACCACAGACCAGCACTCCTGGGTTCTTCATGAAAATCTCATGGAGGATCCACTGGAGACATTTTTCTCTCTTTTTTTCATTTTTACTACCAAATACCTATGGAGATATTGTTGTTTTTGTTGTTGTTGACACGGAGTCTCGCTCTTTCACCCAGGCTGGAGTGCAGTGGCGTGATCTCGGCTCACTGCAACCTCCACCTTCTGGGTTCAAGCGATTCCCCTGCTTCGCAAATAGCTGAGATTACAGGCGTCTGCCACCATGTTGGCCAGGCTGGTCTCGAACTCCTGACCTCAAGTGATTCGCCTGCCTCGGCCTCCCAAAGTGCTGGGATTACATGCATGAGCCACTGCACCCAGCCTATGGAGATATTTTTAATACAAATATGTAACTCAGAAGTTCTCTGACTGATGAATTTTTCTTGGGAAAGGGTTTTCCAGAATGGACTCCATTAAGTCAATTTAATTCCTTGATCAATTCTGTAAAAAGCTCGGTTAAACTATTTCCAATTTTTCCACTTTTTCATTTCCAATGGACTGAAATTATTTTCATTGGGACCAATTCTTTTTCATTTGAATTTTATATCAGAACTGTGGTTCATAGATCGATTTTTGTCAATATCAACTTTCACCAATGATAGCTGCTGCCGTGGCAAGTTTCCTTTTGTGGACTTTATTTCTATCACCTCCATTTTCCAGGGTCAAATTTTGTTCTAAATTTTGTCGAGAACATTTGATTCTTTCGTGAGTTCTACCGGATAACAACTTATCTAATTTAGTATCTCAGTTTTTTAATGCATTGGATAAAAGACTTTAGAGTTTTTAACTGTTTCTTGGCTTAAACCATGAGAAAATTGTGACTATATTTATGAGACAGAGAGGGTGTTGCAGGAGAGAGGAGAGGCAGAGCAGAAAGGCAATGAGTTTAGCAGCTCTGTTAGGTTGAATGCACACTGGAGGTCATGATGTCCTGGGGAGGAGAAGAGAAACAAGTGGTAGGATCAAGACACTGTTTTCTGTTCCAGCTCATTTTGCGAACAATGTTATGTCACAGGTCACTTGGCTGTCCTTGGCTCAACTGTGAGTAAGGAGGAGTCCTGCGGAATGAAAAATGACTACCCAGATTTGCCACCAAAATCCAGCAGGAGTGCCTTAGAAAGCAGGTAAGGCATAGGAGCCCCAGTCTTGGGGCACAAGAAGAATGGTCTCCATCTGTCCGGTCCTCTTCATGGGAGGAGCCCTTGCCTGTGCACTCTTTTTTTTTTTTTTTTTTTTTTTTTGAGATGGGGTCTCCCTCTGTTGCTGAGGCTGGAGGGCAGTGGTGCAATCTCAGCTCACTGCAACCTCCACTTCCTGGGTTCAAGTGATTCTCCCCCCTCAGCCTCCGGAGTGGCTGGGATTACAGGTGCATACCACCACGCCCGGCTAATTTTTGTATTTTTAGTAGAGACGGAGTTTCAGCATGTTGGCCAGGCTGGTCTCGAACTCCTGACCTCAAGTGATCCACCTGCTTTGGCCTCCTAAAGTGCCGGGATTACAGGTGAGAGCCACTGTGCCCGGCCACCTGTGCACTCTTTCATGGGATTTCTAAGCAGTGCCGGGAGGCAGGCAGGATCGCTTTTGACTTATGATGATGGAAGAAAATTAAGCTAAAGTGGGTCATCTTGTTTCAAATGCAGTGATTGTCCCATCATGCCTTGAAGCCTCTCGAAAGGAGAGGTGTGAGAGTCAGTACAACACTTTGCCATCGGCAGAGGTCTTTGGGCTGGCTCTCGATGCCTCTGGGCCCTGGAACAAGAGAACAAATGGAGGCCGCCCACCATGTGTCTAAATATTATTTAAAAGTTATTAATTAGGGGCTGAGCGCAGTGGCTCATGCCTGTAATCCCAGCACTTAAAGAGACTGAGGCAAGAGGATCGCTTGAGCCCAAAACTTCAAGACCAGCCTGGGCAACATACAAGACCTTGTCTCTACAAAAAAAATGTAAAAATTTGCTGGGTGCGGTGGCGTGCCTATAGTTTCAGCTATTTGGGAGGCCAAGATAGGAGGATGGCTTGAGCCTGGGGAGTTGAGGCTGCAATGAACCAAGACTGCACCACTGCACTCCAGCCTGGGCAACAGGGCGAGACCCTGTCTAAAAAAAAAAAAAAAAAAAACAAAAAACAGGCCGGGCGCGGTGGCTCACGCCTGTAATCCCAGCACTTTGGGAGGCTGGGGCAGGTGGATCACGAGGTCAGGTGATTGAGGCCATCCTGGTTAACACGGTGAAACCTCGTCTCTACTAAAAATCCAAAAAAAAAAAAAAAAAAAAAAAAAAAATTAGCCGGGCGTGGTGGTGGGCGCCTGTAGTCCCAGCTACTTGGGAGGCTGAGGCAGGAGAATAGCGTGAACCTGGGAGGCGGAGCTTGCAGTGAGCCGAGATTGCACCACTGCACTCCAGCCTGGGCGACAGAGCAAGACTCCGTCTCAAAAAAAAAAAAAAAAAAAAAAAGGCCCAGGAGGAAGGGGTACAGGAGCTTCTCGGTAGCTGAACACGTGGGGTTTACGGAGAATGCTGCATCTGAGGAGGACATGAAAATTCTGTCCCCCTTCCCCATATCTCACCCTATGTGTCGCCTCATCGGTATCCTTTATAATATTCCTTATAATAAATCAGTAAACATAAGCAGTGTTCCCCTGAGCTCTGTAGAACCGCTCCAGCAAATTAATCAAACCCAGGGGGAGGGTAGTGGGGACCCTGATTTATACCTGCTTGGTCAGAAGCACAGGTAAAACAACCAGGGGCTTGCGGTTGGCGGCGGAAGTCGGGGGGCAGTCTTGTGAGACTGAGCCCTCAACCTCTGGGATCTGACGCGGTCTTTAGGTAGAGAGTGTCAGAACTGAATCGGAGGACACCCAGAGCCCTCAACCTCTGGGATCGGACGCGGTCTTTAGGTAGAGAGTGTCAGAACTGAATCGGAGGACACCCAGCTGGTGTCCACTGCAGAACTGATTGCTTGTTTGCTGGTGAGAGAAATCCTCACATATGTGGGCACAGAAGTCTTCTGTGTTGATTGTTGTGATGTGAGAGCAGATAAAAAACATTTTCAATTTGTGGCTTTTTTCCACTCACATATCTATATTCAAAACAAAAAAGAAAGGATCTCACATACCCACACCTTACACAAAAATGAACTCAAAATGGATTATAGTCCTAAGTGTAAAACATAAACCTATGAAACTTCTAGAAAATATAGGAGAAAATATGTGTGACCTTCAGATACTAAAGGAATAATCTATAAGAAAAAAATGATAAATGAGATTTTATCAATATTAAAAATGTTTGCTCTGAAAAAAAAGTGAAAATGAAAACACAAACCACAGACTGGCAGAAAATATTTACAAATCATATATTTGACAAAGGACATAAAAAGACTCAACAGTGAGAAAATAAGTACATTTTGCCAATTAAAAATAGGCAAAAGACTGAATAGATACTTCACCAAAGAAGAAATGAGAATGACAAACACACACACACACACACACACACACACACACACACGCAAAGATGCTGAACATCATAGTCTAAGGGTAATATAAATTAAAACCACAACAAAATGATCTAAATACTCAAAAATAAGTGATTAGTTAAATAAATTAGGGTGTATTTGTGCAAAAGGTTATTATCCATCCCTTAAGAATTATGTTTTGCACTTTAAAATAACATGAAAAATAGTTTTGGAAAAATGTATTAAGTAAAAGAAAGAGAATTTAAAGATATACACAATATTAATCCAAACTTGAAGGAAAATTGTGTATATGTTACGTACATGTGTTCAACAAACACTGAAATACATTAAAATATAAACAGGCCTCATTTCTGGGTGTGGCAATTATAGAAATTTCATTTTTTTTCTTTCTATTTCTTAGACTTTTCCTAAATATTTTCCAACACACACATATTATTTTTATAAATTATTTAAGCGATGAGAGAAAAACATAGACATATATCTGAGCCCCCCCTCCAGTCATCATTCAGCCCTTCTTGTAAGAGATGCCACTGTGGAGACCCCCAGCAGTGGAAGTCATGTACCTCAGTTTTCCCTCTCAACAGCCTTTCCCAGAAGCCTCCTCTGGCTCTCAGCTCTTGGTGCTGCTGCCTTTCCTTCCAACGGGAACGCCTTCCTCCCCTGGCCGTCTCCTTCACTGACACTCCTGCTGAGTCCCTCTCCTGGGGTGGAGGTCCCTGGGGATCCTTTCCTTCCCCTTTTCCTTCCTGGCCCTCATTCTGTCCCTGTGGGATTTAATTTACTTCTGTGGCATCAGCAAGGGCACCCAAGACACCCACATCACTGTGTCTGGCCTAAACTGTTCTCATGGGCTCCAAGCCCATCCATGCCACAGATGTTTATTGGGTATCTATAGCCAGGCTCAGCTCCAGGGTCTGGGGACCCAGCAGGGGCAATCACAGCAGAGCCCCTGCTTTCAGGGACCATGCATTCTAACAGAGGAGTCAGGCAGTAGACATATCCACAAATCAACAAGCCCATTCATACTTCAGAACCTGCATTTTAGCAAGATTCTCCAGAACAGGTGAAGGCACATTAAAGTTTGAGGCCCACTGCCCTACACCAGTGGTTCCCAAAATGTGGTTCCCAAGCAGCGGCTCTCCTAGGAGTTTCTGAGAAGTGCAGCCTCTCAGCTCCAACCCAGACCTACTGAATCAGGAGCTCTGTGGGTGGGGCCCAAAATCAGTTGTGTCCTCCAACTGATGGAGGGCCCTCCAGGGGATTCTGCTACAGTCCCATAAAGGGCTACTCAGGGCTAGGGACCACATCTCATTTATCTTGCTATTTGTTAGTTTCCAATTGTAGCAATCACAAATCACCACAAAAGTAGTGGCTTAAAGCAACACAAGTGTATTATCTTATCGTTCTGGAGATCAGAAATCTGAAAGCAGTTTCGCTGCGCTAAAACCAAGGTGCTGGCTGGGCTGTGTTCCTCTTGGAGGCTCTAGGGAATGGTCCCTTTCCTTGCCTTCTCCAACTTCCAGAGGCCGATGGCATCCCTTGGCTCATGGCCATATTGCTCTGACCTCCACTTCCGTCGCCACACTTCCTTCTCTGACTCTGATCCTCCTGCCTCCTTCTTAAAAGGACGCTGTGATTACATTGGGCCTACCCTGATAATCCATGATGACCTTCCCATCTCAAGATTCTTAACTTAATCATATCTGCAACATCCTTTTTGCCATGCAGGGTAACATACTCACAGGATCTGTGGATCAGGACGTGAACATCTCTGGAAGCCATTATCTACCCCACACCATCTCTCTAGCACTTAGTACACGGCCTGTACAGAGCAGATGCTCGGCAAGGATCTGGAGAAAGAAAGAATGAATGAATAAATAAACAAAGAAATCAGGAGCCAGATGAAGCCTCCCCTTCTTTCCCCCTGAGCCCTGGCCCACCTGTGAGCATCTGACCTGGATCAAATGCTCCAGGTCAAAGGCGATGAGGCCCCACAGTGCTCCCTAACACATGAGTCCTTCAATTCAAGGTGGGGCTCAGGGTTGAGGCTTTGCCCTCAGGACCGAGCTCCACAGGCAGCACCAACCAGGCAGTGGGGCAACCAGGCCAGCACTGTGGAGGTCAGCAGTGAAGGGGCTTCTGGGGTCCTAGCTGGTAGGCATGGTGTATAGGGGCACCAAGAGAACATGGGCTTTTGGTTGAAGTCCTGACTCAGCCACTTGCCAAGTGTGTGAGCTGGAACAAGCTACTTAACCACTATGAGCCTCCTTGGTTACTTCCTCCTGCATATGGGATGGTAACAGCAGCCTTGCCAGGTTGTCCTGAGAATTAGAGGACACGAAGTACCTGGCCCTGGAGTGGTGAATGAGCGTGGAGATGCTGCTGCCGGAAGTAGGGTAAATGGGAAGCTGGCATTCGGACCTGCGCTTGGGGAGTGGGCTGGGTGCTGGCTTTGATTCTGGCTTGCCTGGAGATCAGTCTCCCGCCCTGAGGCCCACTGGCCCCCAGCCATGACGAGCCTGGGCATGAATTACCTTCTAGGTTTCACACGGTTCTTCCTCTCTGTGTGATACGCTGACTCTCTTTAGTCATTCAGTGCAGGAGAACTGAGCTCACAGAAGGGAGGAGTCATTGGGGGTCCTCCCTGCAAACCCCAAACTGGGACAGAAAATGCTCAGGATGTGGATGAGGAAACCTGGGCTCTGACACTTACCAGCTTCCCTGACCCTTTAAATCTTGGTTTCCCTGTCTATAAGCAGGGATCTGCAATCTGTCCCTCCTCCCACTCCGCCCCTGTGGCAAGGACATGCCGAGGAGGTGAAGGAGTATGCGACCTTGCAGGATGGAGGGAGCAGAACCTGGGACCAATAGAAAGAGGCTCTGGCTGGAGACTTCTGATTGGGGGTTTTGATAGTGAGCCTGAGAAAGGGTTGTTTATCATTAGTTAGACCTGGGAATATTATGATAAAGACGTTAATGTTCTGTAATTAAGGCTACCAGCTTGAGGCTAAATTAAATATTTACACAGCCCTCGATTATCTTCTTCCTCTCTTTTGCAACTCCCTCTCCATGCTAAAATATTTAGCAGGGATTTCAGAAGTGTTCTCAAATCCAGCTACGGTTCAGAAAGTTACTTAATAGCCAGGAAGTTTGCAAACACTGCTTTAGTAGATTCCCAGTGGCTGCTACTGTCACTGGAGCCCAGGATAATCCACATGGCTCATCAGATGGGGGTGTTAGATGGAAGCTTTTACACTTGGATTTTTACAACAGAACCAAAATAAACTGCGTAGGGTAGGTGTGAGACAAGCTGGACCCAAAGGGACTCTCTAATACAAGTGTCAGAAACTGCCCCCAAAATAACTGCACAAAAATGTTTAAGGAGGAAGAAACCCCAGCGGGACAGGTGGCAATGAATGCAAGGTCAGCCTTTAATTCCTGAAGTGACAAGCAAGTCACTTGCCCTTTTAGGATCTTACTGTTCCTAGAATAGCTAATAGATTTCCGTGGTCCCTTCTGGTTTAATGTATGAAATGGACTAGAAGTACTCTATATTTCCCAAAAGAACAGTGGACAAAATGCCTGCTCCCCACATTATCTGAATATTCACCATTTTTGCCTCAAAGGCACGATCCTGTAAGAGCCTCCAGATTGGCTGGTTGAAGTGAATAGGAGTCCTGTTTTGAACATTAGCTATAGGATATATGTGGTGGTGAATTCAGAGCATATATGTTCAAGGAAGAATTATATCTATATTTAATTTTTGAAAATCTAAATGTACTCTCTGATTACTAAGAGAAGTGGTACTAAGAACCGTGTGAAACCTACTGGGTAATTCACGCCCAGGCTTGCCATGGCTGGGGGCCAGTGGGCCTCAGAGCGGGAGACAGCAACTGAGAACACAAACTTTGGGCCAGTCCTGATTTGAGATCCAGCTGTGTGATCTTGTAGACGTCACAGCCTCAACTTTCCAATCTATAAAATGGGATGGTGATAGACATGGAGTTTGGTGAGTACCACATGAGATACTGATCCTGCAAAGCTCTTGGCACCTAGCTTGTAGCAAGAGCTTGGTAAACATTGGCTGTTATTATCACTTTAAATCCTCTTATCAAAGTGAAGCCTTCCCTTCCCATGGAATGTTTTGTGTAAATCTGACTTCCACACCCTGAGCAGACTGGGTATGTCATAGGGTTCTTTGGCCTGCCCTGAGCTGCCCCACAGCCAGCAAGTCCAGCCCAGGCCCCAGGAGAGCAGCCAGGGAGAACTTCCTACGTCTTTTGAGCTGGGTGGGAACAGAGAACACAGCAAGGCTTCCTCAAGCCTTTCCTGAGAACACAACTTCAAAACGTCCACACCCAGATGTTAAGAAAGCCCCAGGCCCAGTGCCAGCCCCCTCCTCCCTGGAGTCAGCACCCTGTCTCAGCCCTAGAAGAGTCCATAGCCCTCCAGCCTGCTGCAGAGGAGGCTCAGGAGAGCGGCTGGTCACCTCTCTCCTCCCCAATCTCAGGGGGAAGACCCAGAAACAGAAGGTAGAAGGCCTGTGCCCTTGGCTGAGACCACCTGGGTTCAGCTCTCATACAAGCTGTGGCCCCTTGGCCCCCTTCTTACTCTTTCAAAGTATCCCCATCTGACCCTACAGATAATCCTTTTTTTTTTTTTTTTTTTGAGATGGGGTCTCACTCTGTCACCCAGGCTGGAGTGCAATGGCATGATTTCGGCTCACTGTGACCTCCGCCTCCCCGGTACGAGTGATTCTCCTACCTCAGCCTCCGAGTAGCTGGGATTACAGGCGCATACCACCACACCCAGCTAATTTTGGTATTTTTGGTAGAGACAGGGTTTCACCATGTTGGCCAGGCTAGTTTCAAACTCCTGACCTCAGGCGATCCACCCACCTTGGCCTCCCAAAGTGCTGGGATTATAGGCATGAGCCACCGCACCAGCCCAGATATTCTTAATATGGAGTAAAATACCGCCCAGAGAAAGTGAGGCTTGGAGCCTGAGTTGCCTGTAAGCTCTGCACGACTGTCTGCCCCTTCCTGCATTGCACAAAGGAGAGTGCACTGAGCTAGGAAGGCTGGTGGTCCTGTGGGTGGCTGTGTGGGGAAGGGGTCAGCTACGGGTGGTGAGCTCAGGGCCTTTCCTTGCCCATAATAAAATAGCTGTCACCGGCCGGGCATGGTGGCTCACGCCTGTAATCCCGGCACTTTGGGAGGCCAAGGCGGGAGGATCACTTGAGGTTAGGAGTTTGAGACCAGCCTGGCCAACATGGTGAAACCCTGTCTCTACTGAAAATACAAAAAATAAATCAGCCAGGCCTCTGGGTGAGCGCCTTTTGTCTCAGCTACTTGGGAGGCTGAGGCACGACAATCGCTTGAACCCAGGAGGCAGAGGTTGCAGTGAGCCAGGAGATCATGCCGCTGCATTCCAGCCTGGGTGACAGAGCGAGACTCTGACTCAAAAATAAATAAATAAATAAAATAAAATAGCTGTCACCCTGGCTGCAGTGTAGGCTTCTTTCAAATGCAAACACTCCAGAAAGACAGTCCATGTGAGGATCCATGCTCAGGTACACCTGTGCTGGAATAGGTGCATTCAAGAGGCTTCTCTGGATGTACAAGAAATTATTATCATTATTATTTCTTCATATAAAATATTTATTGCACAAACAATATTATAACACCACCACAAATAAAAAAAAATTACAATCCCCCAAACCTAGTAAATGGGCATTGGTTTTCTTTTTACTTTTGCAATTCCCCTCCATCTCTCATTCATACATACACAATTTTCTCATAGCTGGGCTCCAGCGCAATGCAATTTGCACCGAACACCATATCATCAGCATTTCTCCACGTTGCCACAGTCTTCACTATTAGCTTTTAACATGAGCATGCTTTGCTTACCAGCGCTCTGGAGCTGGGCATTTAGGTTGCTTCAAGTTTCTGGCTATTAGACATAAGGCTGAAACTTTGTTCAAAGGGCTTTTTCATTTTTTCAGGATTATTTCCATGGGCTACGTTCTCAGGTGTGTGATTGCTGGATGAAAAGTGATGATTATTTTTGTGGCTCTTGAAAGAGACAGCCTAGTAGAGGTTTTGCTTGGGGCTTGCAGACAGTTGGTACCTTAGGGTTGAGAGGGAGATGGGGTCAGGGAAGGAGTCTCTGTGCTTGCTGGGGCAGTGGAAGTTTTGCCTGGAGTAATCCTTAAAGGACTTTAGCCCTAAAGGAGAGGCAGTGGCTTCAGGCTGAGAGCAGATCCCAGAAGCTGCCCAGAAGATGCTCGCTCCTTCCCGTTCCTCCCTGAGTGGGGACAGCTTCAGCATCTGCAGCATCCACTCACTGGGAGAGGGGGCATGGGCAACAAGGAGAAACCCAGGGAAGCAGCAAGCACTGTGTAACTGATGGCCCGTGATTCAGACAGTAAGGGCAATTGCAATTGCTGCTGGGAAGAATCCACCACCATGGCTATTTGCTGGAGCGGCAGTAGAAGGCTCTGTGTGTCCACACATACATACATATTTATATGTCTTTGCTGTGTGCTGGGCCCAACCCAGAGAACTGTAGGAGCGAGATGGTAAGGAAGCAGCCGTGGCCTCGCCTCTCAAGGTGCCCCAAGAATCAAGCAGGCCGAGGTAGTTGGACTACCTGGGGGTCTCCGCCCTGGCTGCACATCAGAATCCCCTGGGAGCCTTAAAAGAGACGTGGGCCTCACCTCCAGAGATTTGAATTAAATAGCGTCGGATGCTAACTTGTTGCCAGGATTAAGAACCAATGGACCAGACGTTATGTTTTCTTATTAGAGCAATTATGGATGCAGGAACAGAGACCCTCTTAAGCTAATAGGATAAAACAGAAATTACTGTGGGTGACTGGGATGCATGCAGGGGAGGGTGGGCTAACCCCCCTTCATAGAGGCCTCTATAATCACCCTCCTCCAAGCCACCCCAATTAAACCCTCCACCTAAATGAAACAGGCTGCTTCTATCCTATTGTAGCTTCAAGCCCAGCCCCCCAGTTCTCCCTTTGCAAGCAGGGGGCTGCCCAAGAGGCACCGTGGACTCTCAGCTGCTGTAAAGATATTGCCTGGGCCTGGGAAGCTGGCACCGAGACAGAGGCAACCTGGATGCTGCAAGCCTGCTGGTCCCCTCACTGCATCTTTACTTCTCTGCAAGCAGCTTTCCTCCCTAGGTCAGATGGCCCTGAAGGCCTTGCTGAGTGTTCTGGTCCTTGATGGCTACTGGCCCTCAGGAGCCCACCTGGCACAGGGCACGCCTGGGGCTTCCTTCAAGTACCGGACATGACAGGCCCTTGTGATCTCTCTCTCTGGCCAAGGCAGGTCACCCTCCTCCTGTCTCAGCATCTTCCCCCTGACACACACTCTCCAAAGGCCAGCTTCCCATGCTCCACCTCCCTCAATCCTGCTCTCAAGACAGGGTCACACCTGGGGATCCATGCCAGTCACAGTGTCTCCTGCCCCAAGGGGTTCTGCCTGGAAGTCTGTGCTTTCCGCATGGAATTCAAAGCTTTGTGGCTCCCTGGCAAAGGGGCTCTTAGGACCTGGGCATCAGAAGAAGGGCTGGGGCACAGATGGGGTGAGAAGGGAGAACAGGCATTTTCTCTGAGCCTATTCACCGTAAGGGACATCTTTCCATAGGGACCCCATGATGGGAAGATGTTAGAGGAAGGGGATCCAGGGTCCTTTTGAAAGGCCATGGCCAGGCCGGGTGCGGTGGCTTACGCCTGTAATCCCAGCACATGGGAGGCTGAGGCGGGTGGATCACTTGAAGTCAGAAGTTTGAGGCCAGCCTGACCAACATGGTGAAACCCCATCTCTACTAAAAGTACAAAAATTAGCCAGGCGTGGTGGTACCTGAGTCCCAGCTACTCAGGAGGCTGAGGCAGGAGAACCGCTTGAACCTGGGAGGCAGAGGTTGCAGTGAGCCAAGATAGTGCCATTGCACTCCAGCCTGGGTGACAGAAAGAAAAAAAAAAGCCATGGCCAGACTGTGAGGTGGTAGGAAAGGGAGTTAGAGGGAGGTAAGTCCCCCAACTCAATGTCCCCAGCAAGGACCCTATATGTCTTTACCCTCCTTTCTCCTCCATAACATGACCAGATAGGAGAAGATGCTATAGGAGACCCTCTCTGACACAGTGAGAAGTTGAGGGAAGGATAAAAGGAAGAAACTGACCTTGCTGGATCCCCTTGTGCTGCCAGTGGGGGAAAGACACTGATGTCGATTGAACAGTGTCCCCAAAATGTATGTCCACATCCTAACTTCCTCTACCCGTGACTGTGATGTTGTTTGGAAAAAGGGTCTTTGCAGATGTACTTAAGCTAAGGATCTTGAGATGAGCTCATCCTGACTCCAGTGACTGCTGTTCTACAGAGACGAGAGGACACAGACACACAGAGACAGCATGTGAAGACAGGCAAGATTGTGTGATGCTGCCACGAGCCCAGGGATGCTGGGAACCAGAAGCTGGAAGAGACAAGGAAGGATTCTCCCTCTCAGGGTTATTGTGGTGACCACAGAATGCATTTGGAAGTGGCTTTGTAAACTGCAGAGTGATAAGCCAATTCAATATTTGGAGTTGTGTTTTATCTTCCAAAGGCCTCAGTAAACATTTGTAGAACTGACCAGTGTTGGATTGGGCATGGTGTCTCTTCACAGCCATGGGCAGAGGGACCATAAACGTAGGGGGCAGGGATGGGCAGCGGTCAGAGGGAGCCATGGAAGCTTCAGAGGGAGCACAACTCTGCAATGCCCCGACTTGGGACTTCTGGCCTCCAGGACTGAGAGTAAATAGTTGTCGTTTGAAGGTGCTGTGCATGATAATTTGTCACGGCAACACTGGGAAACCACTGGCAACATGGACCCCTTATCTGGATACAGTGGCAGAAAAGAAAGCTCTGCAAGAAGTTCCCGTAAAGCATGTCCTTGCCCTTAGTGCCCATTTCCTCCTCTGTCAAATGAGGCAAATACTTCCAGCCCTGATGAGATAATGGCCTCATCAGCAGGGCAACTCTGACGGTGTGGGTGAGGCTGTTCTAGGTTTCGCGCTGCCAGGCAGCGCCTCTCTCCTAGCCTCCGTTTTCTCATCTGCCAAGTGGGGCAGTAAGCCCTGCCCTGGTGACTCCATTGCCAAGGAGAGGGGAGGCGTGAGCGGACTTATGGATTGGGGTAGAGTTGGGTGCCAGGGGGCTGAGAACACATGTGAGGGACCTGAATCTTGCCATATTAACTAAGGGCGATGGTTTCTGTAGTACCGTTTCTGCTATCCAACAAGGCCTTGTAAACAAATATAACGTCTGGGCCCACCCAGGAGGAGCTGGTGAGTGCCTGAGGAGTAGATGGCCAGTGGGGATGGGTGAAGAACACATAGAATAGTGACATCTGATATGGCGCCCCTTGAACACACAGGCAAAGGAAGAGATGGGGCATTTTGAGTCACATGGATTGGGGTAGGACTGTTTCCCCCCAAAAAGGCTTTTTGAGTTATGTTGTAAAGATGTCAGAGGGAGACTCACATTTAAGACTGAAGCTCTCCTTCCTTCACACCCTTGCCAGGACTCCCTCTGACCACCCCAATCCCTGCCCCCCTCCGTTTGTGGTCCCTCTGCCCATTGCCATGAGGAGAGTGTCCAATCCAATATCAGTCAGTTCCACAAATGTTTACTGAGCCCTTTGGAAAATAAAACACAACTCCAAATATTAAATTTACTTAGCACTCTGCAGTTTACAGAGCACTTCCAAATGCATTCTGTGGTCACTACAATAACCCTGAAAGGAAAAAAAGATGATTATCTCTCACTCCACAAAAAAGAAACTGAGGGTCAGAGAAGAGAGACAACTTGCTCAAGGCCATTTGATTGGAGGTTGCCTGACTCCTGGAGCTGCTCTTCCCCGTCTCCTTGCTGCCTTGCTGTCATGTCACCTGCTGTCTCACTGGGTCATTTGGGCGTGTGCCCCTCGCACGCCTGTATCTTCCCAACTGGTGTCAGCTCGAAACCCTCTGTGGTCTGCAGTGCTCAGCCTGGCTTTCCAGGTCTGGGCAGCTCCCTCCTTCCAGATCCTGCCTGTGATTCCAGCTCCTTTCCCTTGCTGTACAAAGTTCCCACCTCTGCACTTTGCCTCACTCTTTCTTCCTGCCCACTGGTACGTATCCCAGTCCTTCCCACACTTCAGGTCTCCCTCGGCTGCACAGGAGGCTCAAATCCAGCATAGATTCCTGAAGTCCTGGGTCCAAGTTCTAGCTCTGCTACTGACTTCTTGTGACTGTGTGACCTTGGGCAGGTCACTTTCCCTCTCTGGGCCTCCATTTCATCACTATGAAATAGGAGTGTTGAACACAATACTCTAAATGCATCTCCATGTGGTCTAAGTACCCCCCTCCCCGGCCCCTCCCTGCCCTTCCCCCTCCTCTGATCATCCTGTGTGCTCACCATCCACAATCCCCTCTCCTGGCTCCACATCATTCTCCAAAGGGTTCATGTTCAATCATTCAGTTAGACTTTAAACTCCCTAAGAGCAGAGGAGGGTGATTTTGGCCAAGATATGCAGATCGATTCATCAGTAATCCACTGACCACCTCCATTTAGGTTGGGAGCCTCTTTATCTTCCCTCTTTAGTTTCTTCAAGGTGCACACACAGATACCTACAGCAGGCAGGAATCCAGGTGGGGCACCAGGCATCTCTGCTCACCTTGGCTGCTGGTGGTGGGGTGCCTGCCTGTGCTGTGCATGCTGCAGCTTTGGCAGGGTGGCCAATCAGTCCAGTGCCAGCCTTTGCCTCCCAGAGAATGCTTCACACCCTATTCTTCCCCCAAACCCATCACTGGCCCAGACATCAAAAGCACACATCCCTGTGCTATTCCCCTTCAAAGAGCTTCATATCTAATATCTCACTGAGTCCCCCGACTAGCCTTGGAAAGGCAAAGCAGGGATTATTAATCTCCATTTTGTAGATGGTGAGGGTCTTGTCCAAGGCTACTCTGAATTCAGCATAGAGCTGGGACTGGGCTCCACTCTTGTGTCCAGTCATTCTTGTCAAACTCTGGTCTGTGGAATATACATGCCTGCCTCTGTGTAGGCCCCAGTCTCTTTCCCTTTAAGAACTTGGGTCTGAGAGGACAAGCGCATGTCGCACGCACACACACACGCACATGCATACACACCCTTACAAGATGCACAGCCACCAAAAAGCCTAATAAAGCAAGGTGCCCAAGACCACGGTTCAGGATCCGTAAAAATGGCCGGAGATAATTGACTGCAACCTATTCACTGCAAATGGGGCAACTTGGGCCCACAAAGGGCCAGAGACTTGACCCGAGTCACAGAGTAGACTAGAGCCCAGGTCTCTGGACTCCCAGTCCTGTGCTCTCTCCACTGTGTGTGCCCTCAGCAAACAAGGCAAGGCAGGGAGGAGCAGGAGCTCAGAGAGCCTGGGGCTGAAGGGTGGGAGGAAAGAGCCTGGTGGGGGACTTCGGTCCACAGGTGTGGATGTTCCAACCTTTCTCTGGCAGGGTCGGGGTGGGGGCACCAGGTAGCTGCAACCTGTTCCTTCAGCACCTGGGAGGAGACACAGAGTCTGGTTCCCTGAAGCCAAATGTTTCTTCTTTGTCCTCTGTGTCCCTTCATCTCTTATAGCTGTGTCCACTGAGTGGCAGAGGTCCAGGCCCAGCGCCTTCCAGTCTAGGAGCCTGTGACCTGGGACAGGATCCCTGGGGAAAGGGTGAGGGCTGGCAAAGGGCCCGCCACCCTGAGCACTCCAAGAGACAGGGGTGGAACTCACTTCAAGGATTCAGGGCGGCGAGGATCCTCTCCCACCGGCGAAGCGGACACCGCGGTGGGGCTGCGAGTACCCAGTTGTTGTTTTTTTCTCCTTCCCTGTTCTCCACCCCATGCACTTTTCCGAGGGGCAAGCTCCGCAGTTCTCCCATCAAGGAGGCTCTCCAGGCTCCCTGCCGGCCTTCGGCTCCTGGGGTGGAGGTGGGCGTGGGGTACATGGGCCCTAGGAGAATGGGGTGTGAGAGACTCCCCTGGGCTTATGGCTTTGGTGGCACCTCAGGCTGTGGAATGGGGTGGCGAGTCTTTGGAAGTCACAGAGCCCAGGGTCGGTGGCACGTGATGAGGCGCAGGCCTGGCTCAGGGGGTGGTGCCCACGGCCCTCGGCTCCTCCCCCGGGGCCGCCCCGCCCCGCGCGGGAGGGGACGGGCGGGGACCGGCATGGGTAGGCGCGGCGACCCGCAGGGCCAGGTGCAGGGCCCGCGAGTCCGGGGTCGCCGCAGCCCGGGAGGAGTGTCTGGTCTCCGGCCTGCCTGTGCTGTCCCCGCGCCCTGTCCACTGGACTCCCGAGACCCTTGGAACCCAGGTAACCCGGGGCGGGACTCCCCGCCGCGCGCCGCCTCCCCACCTCCCGGTCCACGCGCACCCGCCCTCCGCGGCAGCCCCAGCCGCCCTGCGCCCGTGGAGCCCGTTGAGCCTGGGTGGCCGCTCCGAGGGCGGGTCTGGGAAAGTTTGTGCCGGGGCGGCCCTGATCCGGCGGCGGCGCGGCTCGGCCACTTTCACCGCACGCGGGGCCGGTGTGAAGGTGGGGCGGCCGCCGCCGTGCAGAAGGCTCTCTGCTGCAATCGAGGGCGGTGAGGGGAGCTGTTGCCTTCTCGCACCTTTTCTCTCACTCTCCAGGGCGTTTGCGCCGCTTATCCTTCCTCCACCGCCCCCCTCCCGCCGCCCCCACTTTAATAAAACCCTTGGATTGGGGCTGCACAGTTGGCGATTTCTTTACACCTGTGCTTCCCGCCTCCTGAGCCCAGATGTGAGCCTGGGCTGAGCAGGACCGTGTGGGTGAGGGGCGGCCCACTGCCTGCGGGGGTCGTCCCGGCCCTGTTGAAGTGGGTGCCCAGCTACAGGGAGTTCCCCCTGCTCTGTCATTGGCCTCCCCCCGGCCACAGCCCCCAGCTGGGCATCTCCTGGCTCCCCTAGCACTTCCCAAGTCCTAGTCGGATGAGCCCAGGAGAGGGGGTGGACCCCGGCCCAGCAGAACAAGAACTCAGGAGCCCGGTAACTCTTATCCGTGAGCAGAACCGGCTTCCTCCCGCTTAGGTTGGGAGGAGGGCTCAGCTTAGTGGGAGTCGGGGGTGACAACTGCCCCTTCCCACGCAGAGCCATAGAGAAGAGATGGGGAGAGGTCAGGGGATCTGAGAAGAGCTAGCAGCCAAAAAGGGACACATCCCTGATTTCATTTGAACCTAACAAACCAATGGCGAGTAGATATTAACACATGGGCAGATGAGAAGACAAGGAGGCCCAACAAAGCTCAGCCATTTGCTGGAGAAACTGGTGGGCTTTTCTCCACCACTGAGTGGCGGGTTTCCCACCGCATCCTTCCAGAGCTGCATGGTCGCTTCTGCATTCTTGCAGTGCCCTTGACTCAGCAGAGGTTTGTTTCTTTTACCCCACTCCCCACCCCCCTAGGTTCTGCCTGTGAAAGAGGTTCAGGGGAGAGGGCACCTCCAAGCAGACACAAACTCCAGTCAGTAAGGTCCTCCAAGAGCCAGCCAGAGCCTTGCTAAGCTCCCAGAACTGCAGGAGGGCAGGGACCTGCTTTGTTCCCTGCAGGGACCTGCTTTGTTCCCTGCCGTAGCAATAGTACCTGGCACACGGAAGGTGCTCTGCGAGAATGGAATGATTAGCCTGCAACAGCAAAGCTTCTTTTCCAACTGCCTTATCTCTGCCCTTGGCAAGCAGAAAGGGCACTCTGAAAAGTTGGATCAGAAAGGTGTCCAGCCCCACCACTGAGATCCCTTGGCACCCTTACCCACGTGGGGCAACATTTTCCCCTTACACCAAGAGTACATCCTTAATCCCGTATGCTTTTCTTTCTTTCTCTTTCTTTCTTTCTTTCCTTCTTTCTTTCTTTCTTTCTTTCTTTCTTTCTTTCTTTCTTTCTTTCTTTCTTTCTTTCTTTTCTTTCTTTCTTTCATTCTTTCTCTTCCTTCCTCCCTCCCTCTCTCTCTCTCTTTCTTTCTTTCTTTCTTTCTTTCTTTCTTTCTTTCTTTCTTTCATTCTTTCTCTTCCTTCCTCCCTCCCTCTCTCTCTCTCTTTCTTTCTTTCTTTCCTTCTTTCCTTCCTTCCTTCCTTCCTTCCTTTAGTTCGTTTTCTTTCTTTCTTTCTTTCTTTCTTTCTTTCTTTCTTTCTTTCTTTCTTTCTTCCTTCCTTCCTTCCTTCCTTTCTCTCTCTCTCTCTCTCTCTCTCTTTCTTTCCTTCTTTCTTTCTTTCTTTCTTTCTTTCTTTCTTTCTTTCTTTCTTTCTTTCTTTCTTTCTTTCTTCTTTCTTTTTGACTGAGTCTTGCTCTATTACCCAGGCTAGAGTGCAAGGGCGAGATCTCAGCTAACTGCAACCTCCGCCTCCCGGGTTCAAGCAATTCTCTTGCCTCAGCCTCCCGAGTAGCTGGGATTACAGGCGCCTGCCACCAAACACAGCTAATTTTTGCATTTTTAGTAGAGACAGGGTTTCACCATGTTGGCCAGGTTGGTCTCGAACTGCTAACATCAGATGACCCACCCGGGTTGGCCTCCCAAAGTGCTGGGATTGCAGGCGTGAGCCACTGCACCCAGCCCCCATGTGCTTTTCCAGAGAGACAGAGGACTTTCACTTTACCCTTGTCCCGCCAAGGAGAGGCCGAGGCTGGTGGGTTCCATGCCAAGCTTGGCTCTACCCTAGACTGAGGCAGAGCAACTTTGTCCCTTTACGTAGAATTCTTATGCATCCCTCTGGGGGTAAGAATTGGAATTGGAATTATTTGGAAACTTTAATCTTCATTGTCTCCTCTCTCTCCTTACCACTCCATGGGGCAGCTATGTATTGAGGGAAGAGAAGGTGCTTTTCTGGGCCTCAATTTCCTCATCTGTAAAATGAGAGCAACAGACCCTGTGTGGTTTTAGGAGATAGTAAGTGGTTCCAAAGGACTCTGTGGGCTGCAAATCAAACTGTAAGAGCGGATTGTTATTTTCTCATGTGTATTAGCCTGGCCTCCCTGGTTGGCGGTAAGTCCTTTCTCAGCATCTTGGCATCCCTCATTCATCCTGAGTACACAGAAGGTTTACAAGACATGTTTTCAAAAATGATCCGTACAGGAAGAGAAAAATTGTGAATTCATAAGAAATGGGGGGAGATTTTTTTTTTTTTTTTTTTTTTTTTTTTTTTTTTTTTAGCACAGTGTTAGGAGTCAAGAATGGTGGCAGGAAACTGGGCAGGGCCATGCGTGAGTACAGGGACAGCTCTCAGGGGTGGTGGGGGTGGTAGGTTTGTGCATGGGCTTGAGCCCCAGTCTGTCTCTCAGCGGCTTCCTCCAGGAAACAAAACTGACCAACTCCGGGTTGGTCAGATATATATATTTGAGACAGGGTGTTGCTCTGTCTCAACAGAGCAGGCTGCAGTGCAGTAGCATGATCTCAGCTCACTGCAACCTCCGCCTCCCGGTCTCGAGCTATCTTCCTCACCTCAGCCTCCTTAGTAGCTGGGACTATAGGCATGCACCACCGTGCCCAGCTAATTTTTGTATTTTTTGTAGAGGTGGGGTCTCACTATGTTGCCCAGGCTGCTCTCGAACTCCTGAGTTCAAGCGATCTGTCTGCCTCTACCTCCCAAAGTGCTGGGATTACAGGTGTGATCCACCATGCCCAGCCAGAAATGGGGACTTTCAAATTCCTCTCCCTCCCTCCCCATGTAAGGGGAGGGGACACCCCACCATGCAGGGGAGGATCAGTAGGAGGGAAGGAAGGGTCTGAGAGCCCCTGTAGTTGGAGGTGGCCAGTGTCTTGTTCATCGAAGGCCAGGGCAAAGTGAGGGATGTAGAAGAGTCACTGGCAGTGCCCTGAGGATGCTGCCCACCTTGCTTTGAAGAAATCCACCCCTCAGTCAGGACTTTTGGGGCCCTGCCAGGAACCCTGTGTGACCCCTGGACTCCTCAGCAGACCCAGGTGTCTGCCTTTGACTTGAGGACAGGCCAGCACACCTGGGGTTAGTCAGTTCTGTTTCCTGGAGGAAGCCGCTGAGAGACTGACTGGGGCTCAAGCCCGTGAACAAACCCACCATCCCCACCACCCCTGAGAGCTGTCCCTGTACTCACGCATGGCCCTGCCCAGTTTCCTGCCACCATTCTTGACTCCTAACAAGGATGCAGCAGAGTAAGAGCTTTAGACCCAGAGTCTCTAAGCTGGACTAATCCTTAGCAGCCATGTCCCCCTGCTTCTTCTTTGCTTCATTTTCCATGGCTCACATCCCCTTCTGATGGCCTATAGATTTCACTCCTTAATCTTGTTTGCCATCTGTCCTCCCTGTTAGAATAGCAGCTCTGTGAGGGCAAAGCCTTTTGTCTCTCTCGTTCCATGGTCTCTCCCAAGAGATCAGAGTGTAGTAGGTGCTCAGTTAACACGTGCTGAGTAGATGAACACATCCAATGCACCATTTCTCAGTATACAGATGGGGAGACTGAGACCCAGAGGCGAGGAGTGACTCTTGGAGGCAGAGCTGGAGCTTTTCCTAATTAGACTCAAGTTAATTCAAATTTGGGTCTCTGTCTCCCACTTTGAATTACCTTGGTTGCTAGGGGTGCTTAAGAGGCCCTTGGCAAGAACCTTCAGGCCAGCTGCCTCCAGAGTTACCCAAAGGGGCAGCTCCCAGACTGAATGGACAGCCGCCACATGAGGCGATTGGTGAGTTCCAGGAAGGAGTCATCCCCACCAGACCTCCATCCTCAAAGAAAACCTCCCAGGGTTGCTCTCCCAAGGCAGCCAATTCCTCTGCTAGTGAGTTCTCTCTTGGTGAAAATAGTGCCCTCTTCAGGCAGCCTTTTAAAATTCCCCAGTGCAATTAAAAAAAAAAAAAGCACATCCAATCAATCAATCAATCAATCAGTCAGTCAATCAATTCTCCAGTGCACTGGAGAACTAAGGAAGTCCAAAGCCAGGCTCCAGGCAGCCGTGGGAGAAGGAGTGGCATTCCCATGGACTTGGGCTAGGGATAACCGACCAGTCTGAGAAATGCAGCCAGAGGCCCAGGGAAGCCTTGGGGTTCTGAGGCCTCACTTGGGAATCTGGCAAGAGAGCCTAGAGGCCACAGTGCTCAGCACGCCCCCCACAGAGGAGCAGATCTTGTGCAGGCCTCTACATTCCATCCATGGGGAGCTTTGGCTTTTTTCCCCAAGCCCAGCTGTTGACCCCAAACATCTTTTTCCATCGTCATTGTGGTTTGCCAAATTCAGGGTTAGAATGCACCTGAACCTTGGAGCTGGGGGAAGGACTCCAGAAATTAGGCCTTGAAGGATATGTAGGAGTTTTCAAGCTTGTTGGAAAAATTAGGGAGGAAGGAGACAGGCAGGTGAGGGAGCAGTGATAATGCTTTGCCTGAAGAAACAAATCTGTAATGGGGCCTTCTTCTGTGACTGAGGCCATTGTAGGCCCTTCCCTACCCCCCCATCCTTGTCCCCAACCACCTTCGATGGGCTCCCTGCTCCTGAAGAGGGTGAGGCCCTGACCTAAGACAGAGCTTCATGCACTACTGCCCTGGCCTTCTCTTTATTACCACTGTTACTACAAGTTTGCTGACTTTCAGCCACAGTGGATGGAAAAGTACGCCTGTTGCAACATGACGTGAGTCAGTTGTTCATAAATAATGGGATTGCACCGTCAGCTCTGATGCCCTGGTGTCTGGCCCACAGTTGGAGACATGGTGTTGGCTCCTTGGAGAAAAGGGTAAGGGTGACTCTAGACATCAGTTTGAAATTATGCAGGATGGCAGTGAGGATCCAGCAGGTGCGAGAGCTACAATCATTTTTGGCATCTAGGAAAAAAGATAGTGCCCCCAAATCAGTGATCCAAGGTTTAATTCTCACCCATGCCCTGTCCTCCGATCCAGGTTTTGCCTTACACAGTCTTCCTCTCTTCTGACCTTGACCTCAGCCAGGACCACCCCCAGCATGCTATGGACTTAAGGGGTGAGTTTTGCCCAAGCCTCAGACAGGGTCATTCTGCCTGGACACACCACAGCCCCTTCAGACAGTCTTCCTCTGATTATCTGGGAACCCTTTGACCAAGATGGTCAGGTTCACCTTGGTGGGATTCATTTGGAGCCTGCCAGAGACACAGAGACCAACTATGATAGCTTCTAGACCCCAGAGTCCCAAATTCAGCCACTCCACTAGCTTGCCACTTGTTTTGGAGTTGATCACTGCACTCCTGGGAGCTGAAGACTAGTGTGGCTGGTAGAGAGCCTTGGATTCTAATTCTGACATTATCTAATGCATAGTGTGACTTTGATCCTGTCACTTCCTCTGCCTCAGTTTCCTCTTCTGTACGGCTTGGATTCATCATGGTGTCTCAACCTCAGCACTATTGACTTTCGGTACCGGATAATTCTGTGTTTGTGGTGGGCGGTGGAGAGGGGGGATGTGCTGTGCATTGTGGGAAGTTAGCAGTAGCCCTGGCTTCTACCCAGCAGACACTGCACCATCACATCCCCTTCCCTTCCTGGCAACCAAAACTGTCTCCAGACATTGCCAAATGTCCTCTCGGGGACACTCCATCTCTGGTTGAGACCCCTGGGATCAATGATCTATGAAGACCCTCCCAACGGTCATCCTCAGGACAGGGGAGACCATGTTCTCTTTCCAGCCCCTGTTTCATGAATGTGGACTGGGTGTGAATGAAGACTCAACACGTGGGGTGTGCAAGGACTTATGGGTGGAGGGGCCCCTTGGACCTCATGCTGAGAGCCAAGGCCAGTTCTCTTCGCCTTCCAGACCTTGGGTTACATAAGTCGGGGTGGGTGGGGCGAGGCTCGGAGTGAGGGGGAGAGAGGCCTGTGGTTCGGGCCCGCACACTAAGGTCAGTGGCCTTCCAGTGCGGGGCAGCGTGGTGAGTAATCATCTATTCATGCCCTAGGACTCAGCATTCCACCCACTTTCCCCTCTCACGCTGCCCTGGGAGGGGACACAGGAAGTGAATCAGCCCACCCACCAAGCAGAGGAGGGAGAGAGGGTGGAGTGTGGGTGTTGTTAGACGCAAGGGCACGCCTGCGCCGGCCTACCCTGGGTTTTATTTTGTTTATTCCTCCCAAGTTAGCTGTTTATTAACTTCGTCCACGGAAACCCCCTTCTGACCTTGTCGCTTAATGGAAGGGCAGACGATCTTTGGCAGGGGGAGGGGTTTGTTGATGAATATTAGAAGTAAATCACTGTCTCTGGGAATAACAGACTGTGAGGTTTGGGATAGTACTAACCCAGACCTATTGCTCTGGGGGATTCATTCCTTCATTGAAGAAACTCTGCTCTGGACTGTGGGCTAGATGTGGGGCAGGAGAAGGGAATGAGATATAGTGCCTGCCTGCAGAACCCCTCAGTCTCAGAGGGAAGACATGGCTGTCAGGCTGTCCCTGCAGGGTACTGGGAATGTACATGGAATGCATGGAGTGGGGTGTGGGCAGCACCACCCAGCTGTGTTGCGGGGAATTGGGGGTGGGCAGCTGGGGCAACACATGTGCTTGGGGAGGTGGAGGGAATGTTCAGGCAGCTTCCCGAGAGGAAGAGGTGGAATTTTTGTTGTGTTATTTTGTTGTTACCTTTTGTTATTGCAGTAAAACATACAAAACATTTAACCTTTTTTTTTTACCATTTAACCTTTAACCTTTACCATTTAACCTTTAACCATTTAAAATTTACCATTTAACCTTTTTTTTTTTTTTTTTGATACGGAGTCTCGATCTGTTGCCCAGGCTGGAGTGCAACGGCACCATCTCGGCTCACCGCAACCTCTGCCTCCTGGGTTCAAGCAATTCTCCTGCCTCAACCTCCCGAGTAGCTGGGATTACAGGCGCACACCACCACTAATTTTTGTATTTTTAGTAGAGACAAGGTTTCACCATGTTGGCCAGGATGGTCTCAATCTCTTGACCTCGTGATCTGCCCACCTCGGCCTCCCAAAGTGCTGGGATTACAGGTGTGAGCCACCGCCCCCCGCCCATTTAACCATTTTTTAAGTCTGCAACTCATTGTCATTAAGTACATTCACATTGTTGTGCAACCATCACCACCATCCATCTCCATACCTTTTTATCATCTCCCAGATGAAACTCTGTACCCAGTAAACAATAATTTCCCATTTCCCCTCCCCTGGCCCCTTGCAACCACCATCATCCTTTCCGTCTTTTTATGAACTTGAGTACTCTAGATACCTCCTGTAAGTGGAATCATGCTGCACTTGTCTTTTTGTGACTGGCTAATTTCACTTAGCATAGTGTCTTCACTTAGCATAATTTCACTTAGCATAGTGTCTTCAATTTCATCCATGTTGTGGCATGTGACAGAATTTCCTTCTTTTTTAAGGCTGCATAATATTCCATTACATATACATCATATTTTTTTTTTTTTTGAGAGATAGTCTCGCTCTGTCACCCAGGCTGGAGTGCAGTGGCACGATCTCGGCTTGTTGCACCCTCCACCTCCCGTTATATACCACATTTTGTTTATCATTTGTTTCTGACACTTCAGTTGCTTCACCTTTTGTCTGCTGTGAATAATGTTGCTATGAACATGGAAATGCAAATATCTGTTTGTGTCCCTGCTCTCACTTCCTTTGGATGCGTGCCCAGAAGTGGAGTTTCTGGGTCATATGGTGCTTCTATGTTTAAGTTTCGGAGGAACCATCATAGTATTAAGGAAGACGTGTTTGAATTAGGTTTTAAGGATGAGCGTGGAATCTCTGGACACCTCAGAGGGAAGGGGAGGGGAGAGGAGGGAAGGAAAAAGCCCAGGCTGCAGGAAGAAAGTGGTGCTGAGGTGTTCGTGCCTGGGGCTGGAGATGAGGCCCTGAGGGTAGGAGGGGCTGGGGAAGAGTATGGAAGGTCTTGCACCTTTCATCCCCCACAAGGCTGAGGAACTTGGGCTCTGCCCTGTGGACAGTGAGAAGTGTCGAAGGAGTTTTCATCAGGAAGTGAGACAGGCTGATGGTCATCTTAGAAGGACATAGTTGGGAGGGATGTCCCAGGTGGACTGAGAGGGAAAGAGGCTTCAGGCAAGAAGACCAAGTGAGAGAAAGCTGGGGGACCCTGTGGCTGTCGGTGGGGTGGTAGAGGGAGCAAGTCTGAAGGGTGCTGTGCCGCACAAGGGTGCCCAGGATTCTGGTTTGTTGGCTGGGTTGATGGTGGTGCAGGCACCTGGGTAAGTTCACTGGAGGAGCAGCTGACTTGACAAGATGAGGAGTGGATAAACTTGGGCCTGGTGGCTTTAAGGGGCCCACAGAACCACCTGGAGATGAACTTAGAGACGAGGCATTGACAAGTGTGAAAAGGCATTGCAGAGCTAGTTGCTGAGTTCAAGGTGAGAAGCCAGTCAAGGGCCAGGGCAAGGACTGCCATCAGATGACCTGGAGGGCCCTGCGGAGTTGAAAGCCAGGACACAGGGTGGCCTCTGCTCAGTGTGGCTCAATCCCTGCCCTGGGCATGTCATATCAATCCACACATTCTCACTGCCAAGCTCGAGGCTGCATGCTTGGTTTGGGCACTGTGGGTAGAGACCCAGAGATCAACATGACCTAGTGACTTTAATTCATTTATTCATCCCATAAAGCTCAGAGAATGGAATCTGGCCAATACCTTTGCACAGCTAAAGATTGAATGTCTGCAGGAGAAATGGAGTGTGTTATGGAAATGTATCATGGGGACATGACAGGCTAGAGCAGGATTTCTCACCTTGGCCCTGCTGACATATTGGGCCAGATAATTCTTTGTCGTGTGGGACTGTCCTGTGCACTGCAGGATGTATAGCAGCATCCCTGGCTTCTATGCAACAGATGCCAGTAGCCACACACACCCCCTCCCTGCTTGTGACAACCAAAAATATCTCCAAACATTGCCAAATGTCCACTGGGGAGCAAAACCATCCCCAATGAGATCCATTGGTCTAAGGGTCAAAAAGGTTTCTTTGAGGTAGTTATGTTAATCTGAATTCCAGAAGATAGATAAGAATTAGTTAGGATACAGCAGGGGTGGAGAGTGGAGGAGAGTATTCAAGGCACAGGTTCCAGCAAGTGCAAAGGCCCTGAGGTGAGAGACAGCATGGAGGCAGCAGTGAGGAACCTGGTGTAGCTTCCTCACTGAATGAATGGGGAAGGCTTTGATTAGGCAAGCAGTGGTGAAGGTGGGAGAGAAGGGTCAGATTCTAGGGATCTTCCAGAGGGAACACTCTAGGTTCTGATGACCGAAAGGGTTTGGACATGAGAGTGCTAAGGAAATCCCCCAGGTGCAGAGAATGAAACCAACTAGAAGCTGGTGAATTACATTTGGAGCATGCTGGGTTGGAGATACCTGGGAGACAGCAGGTGGGGTCCTGAGCTCAGAAGAGAGGCCTGGTTGGAGCTACACAGTTGGAAGCTACATGCATACAGGTGATGAGAGAAGCCATGGGGTGGATGGGACAGCCCCGGGAGAGCCTGCAGACTGAGAAGTGGAGCATGGAGAGGAGGGCCTGGCAGGAAGCAGCAGGAGCTCCAACATTTAGAGATGGAGAACGAGTTCCAAGAGAGATAGTGGAGGACCGTATGGAGAATGGTGCTGTGGAGGCCCATGGAAGAGTGCTCCAGGCGCAGGGCATGGGCCACGGTGAAGCCTGTGGAGCACGAGTAAGTGCATGAGGACTGAGAAGTGCCTGGGGATTTTGAAGTGCTATGAGGAGGAACCAGACTTAGATGGTTGAGGAATGGGCAGCAGGTGGGAAGAGAGGCAGCTGGCAGACAGTTTTTCCAAAAATGTGTCAGTAGACGTGAGGAGAGAGTGAAGAAGCCAGAAAGGGAAGTGGGTTTAGGATCTCACTGGGAAGAGTTTTCATCCTCCTATCTCCCCCGATCTCCCTGTCCCCTCCCTCCTCAGAGGCAATGTTACCAGTTCCACGCATGTGTTAGAAAAGACGTATACAGATTATTTCCCCCGGATGGTGGCACATGCATGCACTCTGCCCCTGCGTCTTAATTTTTCCACCTAGCTACCTACTGTGAGGTTTCTCCATATCAGTACCTAGAAAGCTGCTTCTTGGCCAGGTGCGGTGGTTCATGCCTGTAATCCCAGCACTTTGGGAGGCCAAGGTGGCTGATCACCTGAGGTCAGGAGTTTGAGACCAGCCTGGACAACAAGGTGAAATGCCATCTCTACAAAAATACAAAAATTAGCCAGGCATGATGGTAGGTGCCTGTAATCTCAGCTACTTGGGAGGCTGAGGTGGGAGAATCACTTGAACCCAGGAGGTGGAGGTCACAGTGAGCTGAGATCGCTCCACTGCACTCCAGCCTGGGTGACAGAGTGAGACTCCATATTAAAAAAAAAACAAAAAAAACAAAACGAAACAACAACAACAACAAAAGAAAGCTGCTTCTTTCTTGCTTATGGATGTCACATAACTTATTTAACTAATCTGTTTTTTGGACATGGAGGCAGTTTTGAGCCTTTTGCCACCACAAATGATTTCCCACAGAATCCCCTTGTACTTCAGTCATTTTGCAAATGTAGGTGGCTATAGGTAGGATAAAGTCCTAGAAGTGGAATTGGTGGTTCATGGGTATGTGCGTTTATATTTGGAAAGATATCGGCAATGTGCTGTCCATAGAGTTTGTAAGAATGTACCCACCTACCAGCAGTGGATGAGAATACTCATTTACCACACCCTCCAACAGAGAGTGTTACCAAACACACCAATATTTGCCAATCTGGAAGACAAAAAATGATTTATTGATATAGTTTAACCTGCATTTTTGAATAAAGTTAAATATATTATTACAGATATAAAAGTCATTTGAATTTCCTCTTCTGTGAACTGTCTATTCATATGTTTTATCAATTTTATTTGAAGTTGTTCTTATCAGAACTTTTTCTTATTAGAGGAATCAGAGGGAATCTTGAAGTATTGGAGAAACTAGTCTTTTGTCTGGAATATACATTATACGTTTTTCCCTTCCTCATTTGGTCAACAATTTATTATTATTATTATTATTGCTGTTACTGCTGTTTTTTAAGAATTATGAGTGTTGGCCAGGCGCGGTGGCTCATGCCTGTAATCCCAGCACTTTGGGAGGCCAAGGCGGGTGGATCATGAGGTCAGGAGATCAAGACCATCCTGGCTAACACGGTGAAACCCCGTCTCTACTAAAAATACAAAAAAATTAGCCGGGTGTGGTGGCGGGCGCCTGTAGTCCCAGCTACTCGGGAGGCTGAGGCAGGAGAATGGTGTGAACCCGGGAGGCGGAGCTTGCAGTGAGCCGAGATCGCGCCACTGCACTCCAGCCTGGGCAACAGAGCAAGACTCCGTCGCAAAAAATAAAAAAAAAAAAAAAAAAAAGAATAATGAGTGTTGATGGAAGAGATTCACTAGAGAGGGGATCTCTGATATGGAGGTCCCTGAGGAAGCATTTAGGTGAGTTCCAGAATGGACCAGGGCTTGTCCTTAGGCAGGAAGGGAGATACCTCGCTGTCATGACAAGTAGAAGGGAGGGAAGACGGAGCTGTGTGCCAGGAATTGGATGGCTACACGTTGAAAGAGTGAAGGAAATCGTGAGTTCATCTAGGGAAGGGGCTGTGTTCACGAGATGGCAGAAGTTAGAGGGATGAGAGAGTTCACCGATGTAGCAAGAGAATGATTGGACTGATGAAGCCTGGAACCTGAGTTAGATGAGGGAAGTGAGTGGATGGTGTTCTGACGTTTGCTTAGATTTTGTATTTGTTTGTGTGGCATTTGTTAGTCACAGGGCAAGCAATCAGCCCAAGTTGTTTCCATCTCCCCTGCAACTTAAAATCCATGCTCTGAATCACTTCCTTATCTAACTGGGATGCACCCTGCCAATCTTTCCCTGCCCTTAGTCGCCCAGGCTGAGGTACCAAATGAGTTGGGACAGCCTCTACGCCCCAGTGCCCACAGGGGTTATTTAAACTAGCCATTCCTAACCTGCTCAACCTGCCCTGCTGTGCTTTTCCCGTTGAAACCCAATAAAGGATCTGACCGAGGCCTCACGCTCACTGACCAAAGCCTGGTGATTCCCCTGCAGCCACACACTGGGTTTGGTGTGGCCCCTCCTCTTGGGAAATGTGGGTGATACATTCTTCTTTCAGCAACATTGCCTCTGTTATCACTCAGTTGCCTCCATCAATTAAAATCCTGCAGGTACAATTGAGACCACAAAGGACCCTCAAACAGGAATAGAATGTAAGGGTCAGTAAACTGCAGGCCCAGTGAGGCTCCAGAGCCATCAGAGCATGAGTGGTTAAATAAGCAAGCTCTCCGGGAAGAATTCCTGGAGGAAGTGGGCTGGGGAGATGGATTCTGAAGAATGGAGATGAGGAGATGCGTTGTAGTGGGAAAGGCAAGAGCAAACTGCGGGGTGCAGGGGAGTGTGTGGGTGTGTTTGGGTGTCCGGGAGGACAGCAATCAGAACTGAAAGAGGCTGGAGGAAAATCTGCAATGAGGAGGTTAATCTGATGTTGTATAGAGGAGGCAGGGGCGAGAGGGTCCAAGAGGTAGGGTGGAGCCTGCAGATGCTTTTTGAAAACAGGATTTTTCTTTCCAAGAATGATTTGATTTTGTGGTAACTCCTTCTGGGGGCTCAGAGTGGGGCTTGAAGGTGCCTATGATGAAGGACCTAGATGTGTGTTCCAACCTTGCATTAGGTCCAACTTGACTGTTGCTATACAGTAAACCCCCTACCCTGCTACCTTTTGGTTACCACATTAACAAAACCCCATTCCTGGCTGAGCTCAATCATCTGACTTTGCCCTTCAACCCTGGCAAAAGTCATCCTCTTCTCTCTCTTCTGCTTGTCACAGCAGCGGGGGAACTTCGCTCCCATCTGAAGTGAGCCTCAGCCCTCTTGGTGCCTTCTTCCTCCCCATGAAAACCCCCCTTCTCCTGTCCAGTCCCCCCGTCCCCCAGGATCAGCTGCCCATACCTGGTGACTGCTTCTGACTTTCCAGGGGCATTTGACTTGAGAAATAAAAAAAAGAAACTGGAAAACCGAAAAGTCTTTAAAGCATGAAGACTTGAGCAATACTGGTTGGATGGTGGGTGATGGCATTGCAGTACTGAAGCCTGAGGCCCTGTTCCACACTGCCTCAAATCACAGAGACTCTTTTTTGGGGGTGGGGATTTGCCTGTTCTAATAATGCTGGCCTAGGTCACAGTCCTATGTGCTATAAATCAGTAAATCCATGGGAAGTTCACGAACACATGCACCTATTGGGCGATTCCTCATGCTACCTTGGGATTTCTCTTGTATCGTTGCTTACACAGTTATTTACCTTTTTGAGAGTGGAATTTGTGGGGAAGTCATCTCATATTCAGCAAGTGCTTGCCTAGTTCTCACGAACCCTGAACTGGGTCAGGTGGCATGGATCTTAAACCTTTGTTGTATGTGTTTTACCTCCCCAGTAAAGACCCTGTCACGACTCCCTGATATGCCCTATAGTCCCCATTGCCAATGCAGAGAATAAGGGAACCCAGCCAGGCACAGTGTCTCATGCCCGTAAAATCCAAACACTTTCAGAGGCCAAGGAGGGAGGATCCCCTGAGCTGAAGCGTTTGAGACCAGCCTGGGCAACATAGTGAGACCCCCATTTTTACAAAATTTTAAAAATTAGCTGGGCATGGTGGTGTGTGCCTGTAGTTCCAGCTACTCAAGGGGGCTGAGGTGGAAGGATCACTTGGGCCCAGGGAGCTGAAGCTGCAGTGAGCTGTGATTGCACCACTGCACTCCAGCCTGGGCAACAGAGTGAGACTCTGTCTCAAAAACAGCGGCAACAACAACCAAATAAATAAATAAATAAATAAAGGGAACCTAGATGGGCTGTGGTTGGCAGAGAAGATTTCTTGAAAAAAGGAAGAGCTCGAGCAGACAGTATGTCTAGAAAAGGTAGGAAAGGGGAAGGAAGAGAAAAGGAAGTCCACCAGGGAGGCCCCATTTCCGGCACTCTACAGAGCCAGGTGTTCCCGAGAGGAGGTTGAGTGTCAGCCCTTCAGGGTGGCCAGTGGATGGCGACTGGTCACCCTGGGGTGGGGGGGTGACAGGTGAGCAGGTGAGCCGCCTAAGAAGGAAAGGGACAGGAGGCAATGGAGTTCCTGCCAACAGTGAGGGTGGGGATCTGTGAATGTTGCCCCCTCTCTGCCAGCTGGGGAGTCCTGGGGGGGCTGCAAGCTGGATGGGCAGGGTGGGGAGTGGGTGGACTCAGGGACCTTGCCTTTCTGTGAGGGACTGAAGTTCCTTCACAGCCGCCTCCCCAAGCGCCCAGGGAACAACTGTTCTCCCAGATCAGGGCTCACTAATGCCTCCTGCCTGGAATCCTGGCTTGCTGAAAGGGAGTGATAGGGAGCAGGGAGTTCTGAGAGGAGGGCTTCCGTTTCTGAAATAGAGGATGCCAATTGTTCATTTCTTCGATGTCTTTGGTACACGTCCTCTCTAGAACCTGACTAATCATTTTTTACAAATTGTAAGTGGAAAAAAAAAAAGGAAATTGTGTGCAGGAGGATGAAAACTTTGGCTTAAGCGTGGGCTTAACCAAGCAGGAAGGGAAAGTGGCTGGCCCAGCTGCCCTTCTCCCTCCTGTCCCTCCTAGTCTGGTTTGGTTTAATCTTACCTTTGTCCTAGAGGCAGTTCCAGATGCCCAGTTGCTGGAACATTACTTCTGGGTGTAGCTTAACAAGACCATGGCCTCTGGACCCGCGATCAGCTCGCTGTGTGGTCCTGAGCAGCCACCCAACATCTCTGGGCCTTGGATTCCTACCTGGCCTTTCTTCTGGATGCATCATTTTTGCCTTTAGGTATCTGGACCATTCCCCCCCATGGATGATAAAGTCTTTGCTTCACACCCTCAGGATTACCTTAAAGGCCTGAAAAGAACAGAGGAGGAGTCTGAGGAGGTGAATTCCAGCCGTGCTCTTGCAGGCTGGCTGGGCAGTGTGCTGGGGAGGAGAGGGAGCCTCTGGCTGGGCCTCCTCCACCGGGCCTGGTGTGCTGGGAACACCCCGCATTGTCCCAAGGCCTCAGATTTGACTTTCAAAGGGAAAACAGCTCTCCTGATAAAGGTGGGTCTTGTTCTATGATATATGGCTTTGTTCCAGTGTCCTGCAGGTATGAGAAGAACAGAGGCTGCACCGGGTCTCTAGGGGGTTAGACGACTCCTGCTTTGGGGGAGCTGAAGGGTTTCATGTGCCTGGGCTGTGTCTGATTGTGCCTTCAGTATCGCTGTCTGGGCGCCTGCTGGTGCCGGGCACTCTATTAAATGTGATCTTACGGACCACTCTGGAGGAGCAGTGCAGGAGTGGTCGTCTCTATTCTCTCAGCCTGGGATGAGGAGACTGAAGGGTGTGCAGCTTGTGCAGAATCCCTTGGGCTTCCCAGGGGACAGCTCAAGTCAGATTTGAACCACGTCTTAGGAGTCCTTGCCCAGAGCTCCTTTCCCCACAGACTGTTTATGGTGGGCCTTCACACGACTGCAACTGCGTTCTCTGCCCTTCCACTCCGCCCCTTCTGCTCTCATGTGTCCCCTGCAGCATCAATGGTTGCCAATTATTGAGGAAATGAATTCACTTTGTTCAGGGAGGAAGATCGGGGTCTTTGTCTGAATAATAAAAGAAAAGAAAAGTTTGCTCTAATAATTCCAGTGAATCCCCACAGCACCTCCCCTCTCCCCAAAGCATCAGCATGTCTTCGCGTTTTCCAGCATCCTTGAAGACCCAAGGGAATGGGTCTCGAATGGGGAAATCTCCAGTCTCAAGTCACAGGGGCTGGCCCCTGACTCACACTGCAGAGGTGACCACTTTTCCACCTTCTTACCCAGCCTTACCTTCTTACCACAGCCAGCCCTGGGTGACATTCCTGTGCCAAGAAATGCAAGGACCTATCTCCAAGTGTGTTTCACCTTGACTGGCACTTTCCACCTCACATACCCAGGGACACGAGTTTGGGAGAGGTGTCTAAACTACAGAAGTTATTTCCTTTCTTCTCACTTTTCATATAGAGGCCCTGCTTTTTCTCCCTGGGCAAAGTGAATCATTTCCCATGACAAGCAATGGCAGTTGGAGCTCTGGGGGCAGGGACTACCTGGGTTTAGGGACAACTGTAGTAAGAATCTTCCCCTCCAGCCCCTCCACTGTCATGCACTTGCCAGTCTCATGCCGCTTCCTTCCCCTTGGGCTCGGGGCAGTCCTTGGGTCAGGAGCTCAAGGCCAGCCTGGAGCCTCAGAGGTGGTCCTGGGCAGTGAAGCCTCGGGGAAGGCGGAGGGCTTACTATTTACACCTTCTGAGCTTGGGCTGCACGTTCTTGGGGGCTGATTTAGATGAACTGTTATTCTCATTATTCATAGGGTTTTTTATTTTTTTATTTTTTTGAAACAGAGTCTCCCTCTGTTGCCAGGTTGCAGTGCAATGGTGTGACCTTGGCTCACTGCAACCTCTGCCTCCTGGGTTCAAGTGATTCTCAAGCCTCAGTCTCCAGAATAGCTGGAATTATAGGCGTGCTCCACCACACCCGGCTAGTTTTTGTATTTTCAGTAGAGCCGGGGTTTTGCCATGTTGGCTAGGCTGATCTGGAGCTCCTGACCACAGGTGATCCACCTGCCTTGGCCTCCCAAGGTTCTGGGATTACAGGCATGAGCCACCGTGCCCGGCCATAAGGTTTTAAATAATGCATTTTGCCTCAGCCCTTTAAAAAAAAAAGCCTGTGCTTAATAATGCTACAATAATGACGTTGTGTCACATTTCAGCCACGGGGCTCTTAATCCACCACTGCATTCAAATATTGTGAAATGTGTTACTTACGATATTGGGTTAGCGGGAAAAATAATGTCCTAGCAAGAAGGAAGGAGAAATACATTTTCCGTTTTATCTTGTAGCCTGGGACAGGCCAGAGAAGGCATGTCCCTGGTCATAAGTTAGAATGACAGTTGCTCTTTTTGAGTCCCGGCTATGCATCAAGGGCTTACACATGGGGCTTACACTTACTAATGCTTGAAACACCCCAAAGAGGTAGTTGCTCTGGGGATTATAAAAGTGTCCACCTGAAGAGATGCTGTGAAAATTAAGTGGGGTGTAAAATGCCCATAAGGGGTTTATTTATTTATTTATTTTGAGATGGAGTCTTGCTCTGTCCCCCAGGCTGCGTGCAGTGGTGGGATTTTGGCTCACTGCAACACCTGCCTCCTGGGTTTAAGCAATTCTCCTGCCTCAGTCTGCCAAGTAGCTGGGATTACAGGCACACGCCACTAGGCCTGGGTAATTTTTGTATTTTTAGTAGAGATGGGGTTTCACCATGTTGGCCAGGCTGGTCTGGAACTCTTGACCTCAGGTGATCTGCCCGCCTCAGCCCCCAAAGTGCTGGGATTACAGGCGTGAGCCACTGCACCCAGTCCACAAGGGGTTTAGAATAGATTGAGTGCTCAATAGTGGTGTTTCAAATCAAACTCATCATCTCCATTTCACAAGGGAGGAAAGTGAGGCCCAGAGGGGCTTCGGGACTCAAAGCCTGGGTGAGCTGACTCTGGAGCCCAAATGCCATACACACCAGGGGGAGTGGTTGGACATTATGCAGGCGGGGGCATCCACCCAGGCTCCCTCACCCCATCTAAGCTCCCCACTGGCTGTGGGGCCACTTACAAGACATGCCCTTTCCCATCTGTGCCCTGCAGCCTTCTCTGACCCCTAGTACCCTCCAGTCTCTGCTGAGGTCTGGGCCCATGCCGGTCCACCCCCCTACCCAGGTCCATGCAGCCTTCTTCCCTCTGCCAGTTCACATCTCCCTGGCTGCTTGGCTGCCCTGACCATTTTCCCCTCACCTGTGAGGTGTGCTCTTTGGGTAATGATTACGTGAAATGGCTCACCTACAGCTTTATAGATTTACAATCCCCCCAGTCCCAGTGGGTGAAGCTCAGAGTTAATGATTGCTAGAAAAGCTTCCCACAAATGCAAATCATCTAGGGAGGTGCAGCAGCTCCCTGGACGCTCCCTCACTGGCCTGGCATTGAAATGCACCCGGGGTGCTATGTCTTGGCTTTCTCCACGTGCCCACCCTCCTTTCCCCTTCTCCCCATGCTGTGCTCCCACCTCTTGCCTCTCTGAGCTCAGCACCAGCAGGCCTCCCTACTTGCCGTCTGCCAGTCTGCCTCCCTGCCTTGTGCCTCTGCTGTCTCTGGGGACATCGTTCCCTTCTCTGCCAAAGCAAGTCCTCAGCCTCTTTGGTATCCACCTAAAGCACTGCCTCCACCAGGAGCCTGCCCTGACTGCACCACCATCCTTGCGCAGGGTTTCTTCTCTGAACTTCGCCGAGCCACCAGGCAGATCTTTTCTGAGTGCTATCCCATACATCGGGCAATGTTTCGTTGCGAGGACTCAGCAGTGGGCAAGGCAGGAGCCCTGCCATCCAGAGGGGCATTGGTGTGCTCTGGGAGCACCCAGCCAGCCTGAGCTGCAGCAGGGGCTCAGAGGAGAAGAGGGGTGCACTGGAGGCTGATGAAGTGGGGCTCGGGCTGGGACAGACGGTGTGGTGGAATTGCCTAGGCAGGCAAGAAATGCATCTCGAAGCAGAGGGGGCAGCTTGTTCGAAGCACAAGGCAGGATTTGGTGTCAGACATTATGCAGCCATGTCATGTTTGAGACACCTGTTTAACACCCAGGTGGAGGCAGGTGATCCCTCAGAGATGTCTGTCTCCCTCTCTCCTGTTACCTGCTCGTGGTCCACTGGGTATGTCTTGTCTCCTCAGAAAGATGGGGTTCTCTTTGAGGGCAGCCAACATTTCTGACACTCTGCCCAGCTCAGACCCCAGCACTGAGCACGCACTCACTGCAGAGATGTGGGATTGAATTTAAACTCACCTCCGTCATCCATTCTGCCTCCTTCTTCTTGGGGCACCTGCTTTTCACCTTGTCCTGCTAGTACAGTAGTCCCCCTTATCTGCAAGGGAGGTAGTTCAAGACCCCAGTGGATGCCTGAAACCACAGATAGTACTAAACCTGGTATATACTATGTTTTTTCCTGTATATACATACCTATGGTAAAGAGTAAGTTATAAATTAGTAAGGATTAACCACCATAATAATAAAACAGAACAATTATTATAATATGTTATAATAAAAGTTATACGATGCCAGGTGCAGTGGCTCACGCCTGTAATCCCAGCACTTTGGGAGGCCGAGGCAGGTGGATCACCACCTAAGGTCGGGTGTTTGAGACCAGCCTGGCCAACATGGGGACACCCTGTCTCTAATAAAAATACAAAAGTTAGCTAGGCGTGGTAGGGGGCGCCTTTAATCCCAGGTACCTGGGAGGCTGAGGCATGAGAAAAGCTTGAACCCAGGAGGCGGAGGTTGCAGTGAGCCAAGATTGTGCCACTGCACTCCAGCCTGGGCGACAGAGCGAGACTCCATTTCAAAAAATATATATATAAATATATACATATATATATATATATATATATATATATATATATATATATATATATATATATATGAATGTGGTCTCTCCCTCTCCCACTCTCTCAAAATATCCTGTTGCACTATATATACCTATTTTTGGACCACCGTTGACTGCAGGTAACTGAAACCCCAAAAACTGAAGCCATGGATAAGGGGGACTGCTCTATGGGTCCCCAGCTCCTTGTACTTCTGCTTGCTTTTGGTTGTGAGTGTCTTGTCTCCCAAACGGATTCTAGGCCATGTGACCCGAACGAGCACAGCTCAGAGCAGTTGTTCCCTCCTTGGGCTGAGCATGGGACTCACCACTGGAGCCTGATAACAGGGTGATCCCCAGGCAGCACCCCAAGGGACCCTGATTCAGAAGGTTCGAGATAGGCCCACCTTGGCGGCTCTGGGTTCTGACAAGCCAGGTTTCTTTGGAAACACAGCTGGGCTTGGGACTTGCTGCCAGAGAGGTTTCCAGGCTCCTGTCTCTACCCTAGCTTTAACCAGTCCTCACCTCTTCCCAGGGTTAGAAACTTAGACTCGATTTGGACATTTTTGGAGCAGGGAGCTCAGTGCCCATGGAGCAGCATGCGGGTGCTTGCCTCTGTGGGTTGAGCTGAATGAAGCCTGTCTCCTGGAAGCTCTTGTCTGGGGGTCTTGGTTCTGCTCTCAGCGGTTGCATGGCCTCCTCCAGGTTCCCAGCCTGCTGCCCCTGGACATGTGAAGGCACTCACCCTCGCCCCACGTCTTCTCTGGGTCTCCTTCCTTTCCTTCCTCTGCGGTCTGGTCTGGCTTCCACAGGCTGGCAGCTTTATCTCAGACTTCAAGTTTCTGATCAGATTAGAAGCTTGAGAGCAGGGTGGAGATAGGATCTCGCCTTCCCCCGCAGCCAGAGCCTTCCCCGTTGGGGTGAGGGGAACCCAACAGTCAGGGCCTGGAGTCACCTTCCATCAGCCTGGCAGGGGCTTCGCCCTTTCCCAGCCTTGGGGGAGGACCCCGCCTGCTGCACCCACCCTGGAGGCCAACTAGCTGGGTAGCATAGAGCCAGAACGATCCCAGGCTGGCGTTTGGCACCCTGGTGCTAGATCTACAGGGCTCAGCAGCAGACTGGCTCCAGGTGGGCTCTGCTCCTCTTACCTGGGACCAGCTTTACAGTCACTGACGTGGGTCCCCTTCCCCTCCCCTGACCCTTGGTGAGCTGGATTTAAATGAGCTGGGGTTCGGCCTGGGCATTAGTATTTTTTAACTTTCTGGGTGGTTTGGATGTCCATTCAGAGAGGTGCCTAGCATCCCCTTCCAGCTCTGACAATGCATGGAAATAGTTATTGCATGCTCGGGTAAGATCACCAGGGCCGATAATATGCATATCATATATTGCTGAAATCAGTATTTGTATTTTACAAAAAGGTATTTAAAAAATGTAAAACAGGAAACCCAAATATTTAATAATTTTAAATATAAAAATGCTTTAGAATACCAATAAACATTGACTTAGAAAAATACACATTCTCATTCTAGTCTATGTTAGCAGATAAAATAAACAAAAATGAAATATTCAAAACATTAAAACCTATCCACCTCAAAACCTCAAAATTCAGTCATGGAAAGTTCAAGAAGGGATACTATTTGATCCCTTTTAAAGCAGAAATTTAAAATCAAAGGATGTTGGCAATATCATTATGTCACAAGTATGCTTTTTTTCCCTGTAAAATTTTCTAGAAAAAGCTTTTCCTGACTCTACCCTAGTTGGGGAATAGTGAGAAGATATATTTGTGTGATATCTTCGAATATTTTCCGCCGACAAGGCCTTTTGGCTTTTTTTCAGAGACTGCCGTCTTTTATTTATAAGGAGCCACAATTTTTGTTTCTAAAGCATTTCCGATTTGCCTTTGAGTTCTTTGGTTTTATCTTGTTCAGATGGAGATTCTGATGCACGCTTCCTGTATCAGTTTCAAAACTGTCATGTTGATATCCCACATGTTAGGAAAGTCTGTGAATAGAGTGGTAATTATTCTTGCAACAGAGTTTTGCTTTGTCTATAGGCATGCAACATCTGAGTAGGACTCAAAAGACATATTTCATATTTCAGGGTTTTTTCTGACATTGTTATTCTCTCATTTTCAAAGCATATACAAAGATTGAGAGATTAGTAGATTAACTTCCATGCTGGCTCCAGCAATTATCAACTCATGGCCGTTTTTTATCTATACTCTTACCCAGTCCCCTGGATCCCCACCAGATTTTGTTACAGCCGGTCTGAGACGTCATATCGTTTTATCTGCAATTACTTCAGTATACATCTCCAAAGGAAAATGGCCCAATAAAACACATAACCACAGTACTATTACTGTACCTTAAGAATTGATAATTCCTCATTATCATAAAAGAGCAAATGTTGACATTTTCCCAGTTGTCTCCTACATTTTGTTTTACAATTAGTTTGTTTGAGATTTCCTATGTTTAAACTTTTGAAATAAATATCTTTGGACCAAACAGATATACAATTTTGGCACTGAAGTGCAGTTTTCGTGAACACAGCGTGGCAACCACCAGGTAGAAGATGCCAGACAACCAGGCCAGACCCTGCCTCTAGGGCTCAGAGTGCAGTGGACAGCAGAAGTCATTCAGTGGCTCAGCAAACATTCATTCATTGAACAGGAACACTGGACAGTGTTCCTGGGCTGGGCACCACGGGCACAGCAATGACCAAGACAAGCTGGGTCTGTCTTGACCTGATGGAAACCAGGACACTGGAATCTAACTGAAGTTTGCAAATGAAATGATAGATACCCTTGTACTGGAACCCAGAAGTGAGTGGAAGCTAATTTTACCCTAGAAAGCATTATAGAGCAGGTGACATTTGCGTTTAGCCATAACAAAAGGAAGAATTTTGTCAAGAAGACTGGTGGCTTATGCCTGTAATCCCAGCACTTTTGGAGGCCAAGGTGGGAGGGTCACTTGAGACCAGCCTGGGCAACATAGTGAGACCCCATTTCTAAAAAAAAAAAAAAAAAAAATTAAAAACTAGCCAGGGCCGGGTGCAGTGGCTCATGTCTGTAATCCCAGCACTTTGGGAGGCTGAGACAGGCAGATCACCTGAGGTCAGGAGTTCGAGACCAGCCTGGCCATCCATGGCTAACATGGTGAAACCCTGTCTCTACTAAAAATACAAAAATCAGCTGGGCGCGGTAGCGGGCACCTGTAATCCCAGCTACTTAGGAGGATAAGACAGGAGGCAGAGGTTGCAGTGAGCCGAGATCGCACCACTGCACTCCAGCCTGGATGACAGAGGGAGACCCCGTCTCAAAAAAACCAAAAATAAAAAACAAGAAAAAAACCTAGCTAGGTACTGTGGCGTGTGCGTGTGGTCCAAGCTACTCAGGAGGGAGGCTGTGGTAAGAGGATCATTTCAGCCTAGGAGGTCGAGGCTGCAGTGAGCTGTGTTTGTACCACTGCACTCCAGGCTGGGTGACAGAGTGAGACCCTGTCTCAAAAAAAAAAAAAAAAAAAGAAGAAGAAGGAGAAGAGGAAGAAGAAGAAGAAGAAGAAGAAGAAGAAGAAGAAGAAGAAGAAGAAGAAGAAGAAGAAGAAGAAGAAGAAGAAGAAGAGGGAGAAGAAGAAGACGAGGAAGAAGAAGAAGAGGAAGAGGAAGAAGAAGAAGAAGAAGAAGAAGAGGAAGAAGAAGAGGAATTATTTCATCAAGAAGAGAAGATGGAGTAAGAGATGTCTCATCCAGTGCAAATAACGAGCACAAAGAGCGCATGGGGGTGGGAAGTTCCTGGTGCACTAAGGACCGAGATGACAGGAGGGCAGGCATATGGCAAGGCTGGTGGGAGGTGGGGCTGGGGGACTGCGGAGGGCTTGAGGATATGCTAAGGAGTGGGGTTTTCCAGGACCTACTGCTGGGGACTGCGCTATTTTCTTGTTTGAACATAAAGTGTGGAACATGGGGCAGGAGAAGAGAACCTTGCAGGAACAATGAGGAGGATTTGGATTTCCAAGCCCTTCCTGGAGCCCTCTGTCCACTAGGCCAAGAGTCTGCCTGGATCTCCATGAGTCTCCAGGGATAACACAGAGGCTGGCGCACAGTGAGTGCTTGATATAGGTCTACTAGCAGATGGCCTCTGCCATGCTCCCAGTGAGAGTGCTCCCACCAGCCTCCACCTTCACCTATGGTGGTGAGGGAGGGATCCCCCTCTTTATGCCTTCGGCTCAGGGAAATGGGGTGGCTTTTCCAAATGCATGAGCTGTTAGGCTTTAGGACTTGGTCCCCAGCTCCCCTGAACGGCCAGTGGTGCTCCTGGGCCAGAGGCAGGATGGGGGCACATAGAGTAAGGCTCACCTGTGACCTTCTCAGGTGAATGTACAAGCAAATGCCAGCATTTGCAACCCATGGGCTGGCTGACACAATTAATCCTTTTAAGACCTGCCAAGAGTTAGAGGACTCATTCATTTATTTTCTTCTAATAGCGTTGCGTTAAATGAAAGAAAGAAAAAGAAAAAAGAATATACATGCTCATTGTGGGCAAACCCTGTTGTTACAGAAAAGGAGAAAGAGTAAAGCAAATCCCTAGATTTGCTGATCTACCACTACCATCCAGAGAGAGCCACAATGAACAGCCTTCTAAATCTTCTTCTGTTCATAAATACAAAGCAGTTAAATGTAGCACCATTTTATATAGACAGTATTACGAGATTTAGGCTGTTCTATAACCTGCTTTTTTTCACTTAACAACTTGTCATGACACCGTTACCTGTCAGTTACCACAGATCTGTACCATTTTTAATAGCCCCACGGTACAGTTTTGCATGGATGTGGCCGTAAGTTACCCACCAGTTCTGTTGCCAGAAATGTGGATTGTTTTCCATTTTTCTCTGCAATGTGCTAGGGAATATCATTCAGCTTTTTCAGATATGTAATAATCGTCTAGCAGTAAATATTTAGAATAGCTGGGATAGCTAGGGCAAAAAAAAAAAAAAAGAAAAAAGAAAAAAGGCTCAGTACACTCAGAGTCCTAAGCCAAGCTGGGAGGTCACCATGGCAACCCCCTGCCATCCTCACACAGGGAGTGCCCATTTGCCACGGCTCCAGCCCAGGAGGTGGGTCAGAGCTGGAGGAGAAACAGTCTGTTTTCAAGCAGTTTTATAAACCAAGGGCAGAAGGCACAGGAGAGAGCATTAATGCAGACCTGAGACAGCTTAAAATGCAGTGGTGATAATAGCTCTTTATTGAGTCCTTGTCATCTGGTAGATACCATGGGTTTTCATCCTCACCAGAGCCGTTGAAACTTTTATGATCCTCATTCAAGTGATTAGAAACTCAGAAACTAAGGAATCTGTCCAAGGGCACACAGTAAATGATGGAGCCAGGGTTTGAAATTAGGCTGCATTCACTCTTCAGCATTCTCCTTGCCACCACAATTGGAGTGGCCAGCCTCTGTCTCATCACCATCCCTGAGGCTCAGGTTCTCTTTTCCCAGTCCCACTAGAGCATTCATTCCCACCCCATTCATATGCAGCGCACACCAATTCTTCATCTGGCCTCTGTTTTCTGGGCTCCACTCTGGCCTCCTGCCACTCCATACCCTGCGTACTTCCGTGCTGAACTACAGATAGGTCCTCGAATGGCACGCCCTCTTCCTACCTCCATGGCCCTGTCCTGCTATACCCTCAGCTCTCCCCCATAGCTGTGGCACTCCTATTGACTCTTCAAGACTTATCCCAAGTTTCATTTCTTTTTTTTTTTTTTTTCTGAGGTAGAGTCTTGCTCTGTTGCCCAGGCTGGAGTGCAGTGGGGCAATCTCAGCACATTACAATCTCTTCCTCCCAGGCTCAAGTGATTCTCCTGCTTCAGCCTCCCAAATAGCTGGGACTGCAGGTGCCCGCCACCATGCCCGGCTAATTTTTGTATTTTTAGTAGAGACAGGGTTTTGCCATGTTGGCCAGGCTGGTCTTGAACTCCTGACCTCAGGTGATCCACCCAGCTCAGCCTCCCAGTGTGCTGGGCTTACAGGCGTGAGCCACCGCGCCTGGCCCCAAGCTTCATTTCTTCAAGAAGTCTCCCCTGACTCCCTAGCATAATGCCCTCCTCTGTGTTCCCCTAGAGGCATAACCACTATTTTTTAAGCACTGTCTATCCCCAGGCAGCTGCATCGCCCTTATAGGTCAGGCAGCCACAGCACCCTGGAATGTTTGTTTCTCTTGCAGAGGGAACGAGCACCCACCTGGGCCTGCAGCCAGGTGCACAGTGAGTCTGCAATAACCACTGCTTTACTATTAGATGTGCCGCGTGGCAATTGTTAGTGCAGATCTACACTAGAATGTGAGCTCTTAAGGGATAGAACTGTTGTGTCTGCTTCTTCATCCCCATATCTTTCCTACCATAGCTTTGGACATATAGTAGGTATTCAGGAAATGTGTGCTGAATGAATGAATGAATGAATGAATGAATGAATGAATGAATGATCAAGCATATTCCTGCCCACTCTCCACTTCTGCTACCAGCCCCAGGGCAGGTGCAAACTCGGAACTACATTAACCCAAGCAGCCTACCAAGTTCGCTGCCTCTCACCTGGCTGGTTCCTGACCACTCCCCAAACACGTGACCCCTCCTGTCTCCTTAAGCCTCATCTACCTCTCCACCCACCGCAGTTTCTACGCACAGCCATCTGCCCGGGAAACTAAGGTTCTGGGTGAACGCTTATCATCACCTCTACCACATCATCCCATGAACCTGGCTTTTTCTTCTCCCTTGGGCTCCCCTGTCTGTGTTCCTCTCCTTGGTGGGACCTCAGGTATTCCCTGGGGCTTTGAAAGCCACTTTTCTCTCCCTCTGAAATGTATCTGTAGCCTCAACTTCTCCTCCAAGATGCAGTCACATTTTTTTTTAACTGCAAATACATGCAAATCAAACTCAACTTGTCTGAAAACTGTCCTGGTTTTCCTCACTTTCTTCATCATTTCCCATTGATGTCGTCATTTTCCAGTGCCTGGGAAATGGTGCTCCAAAGACGCCAGCCAAATTTGCCTGTTTCTCTGTGATCAGACACCTGACTTTTATCACCAGGGCTCCAAACTCCCCAAAGCTCCCAGCCAAGCCTGGCAGGAGTAGTGAGGCCTCAGCAAACCTAAGGGTGAGTATCCATGTGAAGAAGCTGTGTTTCCTGGGCTGCATCCCGTTCTTTCCATGTGCAGATTCAGCCCAGGGCTGTTAGATCTTCAGATTTATCAAAAGAAACTGGGAGCGGGGTTTTTATGTTGACAGCTCTTTGTCTTTTTTTTTTTTTTTTTGAGATAGGCTCTCACTCTGTTGCACAGTCTGGAGTGCAATGGCATAATCTTGGCTCACTGCAATCTCTGCCTCCCAGGTTCAAGCAATTCTCCCTGCCTCAGACTCCTGATTAGCTGAGATTACAGGTGCCCGCCACCACATCTGTCTAATTTTTGTATTTTTAGTAGAGACGGGGTTTTGCCATGTTGGCCAGGCTGGTCTCAAACTCCTGACCTCAGGTGATCTGCCTGCCTCGGCCTCCCAAAGTGCTGGGATTACAGGCGTGAGCCACCGCACCTGGCCTTTTGTTTTCTTAATAGACTTTATGTTTTAGAGCAGATGTAGGTTTATAGAAAAATTGTGCAGAAGGTAATTTCCATTCCCTCCCTCCCCACCCCCGTTATTAACATCTTGCGTTAGTGTGTATGATGAACAAACATGGATGCATTGTTATTAACTATTGTCCCTCCTTTACATTAGGCCTCATGCTTTATGTTGTGCATTCTATGGACTTTGACAAATGCTTAATGTCATGTTTCCACCATTACAGTATCATGCTGGGTTTTTTTTTTAGATGAGGTTTTGCTCTGTTGCCTGGGCTTGAGTGCAGTGGCAGTAACATGGCTCACTGCAACCTCGACCTCAGGCTCATGTGATTCTCCTGCCTCAGCCTCCCTAGTAGCTGGGGCTACAGGCATGCACCACCACACTTGGCTAATTTCTTTATTATTATTATTATTATTTGTAGAGATGGAGTCTCACTATGTTGCCCAGGCTGGTCTTGAACTCCTGGACTCAAGTGATCTTCCCGCCTCAGCCTCCCAAAGTGCTTACAGGTGTGAGCCACTGCGCCCACCACATGCGGATTGTTTTGTAAACACTTTAGGCATCAGAAGTCTCTGCTTTCTACGCTCTTTCATCCTAGTGTGCCCCTCCTTCTCATTGTAGCTACCCCACAGTATTCAGCTCTTTCCCCCTCTCTCCACTCCTTAGAGCTTCCTGTCCCTACACATGGTCATCCTTTCATTTGTGTCATCTTTCTACCAAACTCTAAGCTCCTGGAGGCATTTGGAGGTTTAATTTAGAAGTCTCAGTCTCCCCAGTGCCTAGGGTGCTTTTGAGATTCACTAACATTCACCTGCAGGCATATTAAGCAAGTGCCTGCAGGTGTGTTGGCTCTGAGGCTTCCAGGAAGATGCTTTTAGGTCCTGTTGACAACAGAGAAAGTGAGAGCATGTGGCAAGGGATGAAGACTTGGGCACATCTCCAGTGGCAGTGGCTGCAGGGAGGAGAGAGGAGGTTTTCCAGCAAGAACAGTTTTAGAGAGAGGAGAGGTGAGGGGACAAACAGCTTTGAGTGGGAGGATGCTTGAATCCTTGGGAGCTGCCCCATAGAATGCCCAAGTTGGGATCTCAGACTCCCAGGGCCCTCACCTACCAGAGTCAAGCGATTCTCCTGCCTCAGCCTCCCGAGTAGTTGGGATTACAGGCTCCTGCCACCACACCCGGCTAATTTTTTTGTATTTTTAGTAGAGACAGGGTTTCACCATGTTGGCCAGGCTGGTCTCAAATTCCTGACCTCAGGTGATCTGCCAGCCTCAGCCTCCCAAAGTGCTGGGATTACAGGTGTGAGCCACCACACCCAGCCAAGTCTCTTCTTCTATAATGAAAATAGATCCAGGTCCTGTCATTCAGGAATCTAAATTGTGGCTACCAAAATGACAACATTTGAAAGGATCAGAGAATGATATACATCAAGCTAATAATCATAATGACCTTTGATTGAGCTGTTTGCTGCCAGCCACGCTCTATGCAAAGAAGCTTATGTACATTATTTCATTTAATCTTCATGCAGTTTATAAGCTAAGGATAGAGAGGCTGAGAAGGCTAAGACCAAGGCTGAGAAAGTTAAGCAACATGTTCAAGGGCACCAGTTAGTGAATAGAGAAGCCAGGTCTGAAAGCCAGATCAGTGTGACCCTGAAGTCTGGTCTCAGCCATTTCCCTACAGCTAGAGGGTTCAGGGAGGAGGAGGGCAGCAGGAGAGGAGTCGCTGGAGCCCGTGTCCCTCCTGGAGGAGGCTGACTGTGGGCTGGGCCCGAAAGGCTGCCAGGGAAGTGGCCAGCTAGAGGGTATTTGAGGCTTGGGGGCAGGCCTGCAGCCTGGCCAGCCTGGAAAGACTCCCAGGGAGTTGCTCGGGATGGGGGTGGGGGTGGCCATTATTCCAGCCTGTGCTTACCCTGAGTGGCCCACAGTGACATGGATGGCAACCCCTCCTTAGGGCCCTGCCAGGTTCCCGTTGCCTTTCCCTCTGTCACCCATCCCCCTGGGTCTGCAGATGAGATCCAGGCCCATTGCCTCTGGTGTGGGCTGGTTGCCTTGGGTGCGGACTTTACCCAAGTCAGAGGGCAAGGCCAGTGCAGCCTGCAGAGCCGCTTCTCCCTGGATCACACCTGCTGAGGGAATGCCTCTCCCAGCCACCGGACCAGTTTCCAGTTTCCAGGGTGGGGCAGCCAGGCAGAAACAGGTTTCTGTGAAGTGACACTCCATTCACTGACTGGTAGCATGACTCTGTCCCACCACTTGGAGCCACGCCAACAAATCCTGCCCTGGAATGGGGATTCCGTCTGGACGCCAGGTTACCCTGGGAATGCGGCTTCGCCCTTGTTCACCAGGCACTGCAAGGGGCTGGTGGTTCTGAACCTTTCCTGGCTCACAGATGCCACTGAAACTGTTGAAACTTTGTTGAAAGCCATAGCCCTTGTCCCCAGTGACACACACACATATACACTCACTCACACATAATTTAACCTATAATTTGATAAACTCCCTGAGGTCCATCCATGGATTTTCATGGGCCTCAGGTTAAAAACCCCCATCCTTGAATATAGAGAGTAGATTGGTGGTTATCGGAGGCTGGGAAGGAGGTGGGGGATGAAGGGGAGAAAAAAAAGAATATAAATGTATTGACAATCACTGAACTAGATGGTAAATTATATATGTATATTTTACCTAAATTTATTTTTTCTTTCTTTTTTTTTTTTTTTTTTTTTTTTTGGAGAGAGAGCCTTGCTCTGTCACCTCGCTCTGTCTGATTGTTACCAGTGCAGTGGTGCAATCTTGGCTCACTGCAACCTCTGCCTCCCAGGTTCAAGCAATTCTTGTGCCTCAGTTTCCTGAGTGGCTGGGACTACAGGTGTATGCCACCACACCCGGCTAATATTTTGTATTTTAGTAGAGACAGGGTTTCATCATGTTGTCCAGGCTGGTCTTGAACTCCTGAGCTCAGGCAATCTGCCTGCCTTGGCCTCCCAAGGTGCTAGGAGTATAGGAATGAACCACTGCAAACAGCCTCAATTTTCGGTTTTTAAATCATCCTAAAAGTTTTTGCCGCTGATGGCTCACTCTCCTGAATGTGTTCTTTGTAGTAATAGTAGCCATAATAGTAGCCATAGTGGTAAATACCACTGGCATTGATTCAGGGTTTTGTAGCTAATAAAGTTTGTTCACATCTATTATTATTTCATTTTAGCTCCCCCATAGCCCTGGCCAGGTAGGTATTAATGTTTTTATTTCACAGATGACAAAAATGAAAGTCATTTGGAACAAGCCCAGCCAAATTCATACCTAGGAGATGGTAGAGAGAAGACCTGACCTTGGTCACCCAAAATCCCAAGCTCTATGTGCCTCTCCCCATCTTCATAGAACATTCTCCAAGCTTAGGCAGTCCAGGGTACTTGTTACAATACACCAGGGAATGTTAGTGAAACCACCTGTGCAAAATTATGACTGAGACCGTGAAAGAGATCTAACTTAACTGACTCCATCTTGCTTCTAACCCCAAGCTGTCTTTGTTCATTCCTGGGCATAGGCTGAACTTACTTTGGGAGAAACTGGGTTTGTAGTTTATGGTTTAAACAAAAATGGTAACAGCTCTTTCCCAAAGGAGACCTCCTTCTTGCCTGGGGACTAGATTAACATTAGCCACAGAATTAGAAATTATGGTTTAGGAGTCATGCAGTTGGAGGCCACAAGATTCTGACCCTCCCTAGACTGCTCTTAAGATCAGTGCTTGGGATATTTTGCAGACCCTGCACTCGGTGGATCAGCAGGCACCACCCAGATCAATGAACTGGCTCCTCTGATCTTGTGGCCCCCTCCCAGGAACTGAGTCAGTGCAAGAAGACAACTTCGACTCCCTATGATTTCATCCCTGACCAGCACTCCTGGCTCATTGGTTACCCACCCCCCAACCACCAACCAAGTTATCCTTAAAAACTCTGCTCCAGGAATGCTTGGGGAGACTTATTTGAGTAATGATAAAACTCCAGTCTCCCACACAGCAGGCTCTGCGTGAATTACTCTTTCTCTATTGCAATTCCCCTGTCTTGATGAATCGGCTTTGTCTAGGCAGCAGGCAAGGTGAACCCCTTGGGCACTTACAAATTTGGTGGCTCATCCAGGATTGCCCTTGTGGCTACCTGCCCATGGTTCGGTGGCCCCACTCCAGTGATGGATCCAGAAGCCAGCCCAAGCAGCCACCTAGTTCTCTTGGACTAGGGGCTGACTCAGGGACTCTCTGTACTGGTGGGGCACTGCCAACCCAGTGTACATCGATCTAATTGCAATGGAGAAATAGTCCTGGGGCGACGTTCCTTAACTGTAGCCCTATCACAGGGTGTCTGTATAGCCTATGATGGGGTGTCTGTCTGTAGCCCCATTGTGGGGTGTCTGGATTGGTGAGTAACCTAGGTGCTGCCAATGCCTCCTTCCTTCTCGCCACTGGTTCTGTAGCCCTATGGTGTGGTGTCTGTAACTCCACCATGGGGTGTCTTGTGTCTGTAGCCCCATTGCAGGGTGTCTGTTCAGCTCCTGCGGGGTCTCAGTTGGCTCTTTCTAACTAGTAAGAAGAGTCTTGGTTTGAGAGACTTATCCTCAATCTGGAAGATTTCGAGGCAGTTTCTCAGACGGAGAATAGGAGGATAGTTTGGAAGGGATACTCTTGGAGTTCTTGGTTAGGGATCTGATTTAGAAGGCCTTCTGTCTATCTCGTCTTTGTGTGTGTCTGTGTATGTGGAAGGGATCTCAGGAGAGGTTGCTAATGGAAGTCCAGCAGGTCTAACTCAGAGATCCCTCCTTATTTGCCTGGTTACATTTGGTAAGCCCTAAAGAAAGCTCAACAGGCCTGTCTCTCGGGGTGACTATCTGGTCTTCGCCTTGCCCAGAGACTCCATTGTGAATTACCATTTGGAGGTCATCCCTCCCCTCCCCACCTGGAGTGGATCAGAAACAGGGAGCAACGGGAAAAAGTTTGAGCTTTACCAGACTTATATTGGGTGCTGAATGAGGTGACTAATGTCTGTTCTGTTGTGTATATTTTGCTGGGATGGAAAATGTTAATTTGGTTCCCCATGCAACCTGTTGGTTAGCATCTTGCAAATTGAGAATCTTGCCTATGGTTCCATAAAACAGTAAAGTGGTTTATTTTTTCTCTTGTAAGTGGCTTGAACCTCACAGCTATAGCACAAGCGAGCAGGGTCATGAGAAGCCACTCTTTCTTCTGGAAGCTGCAGAGAAAGAGAACCCAGAAACCGGGTATGCCAGCAAAAAGGGTGAGAAATTCTTACCAGCGAAGATTCTGGTCTCTCTTTCTCTGTCTGGGTAAAACAGTAAACTATTGGTCTCCTCTGCAAGGGTTTGATTAATAGAAAAAAGGATTTGTGAGACTAGTCTTAGGCGGTAGCAAATCTGCTGTACTTTGTGCTAAGAATTTGTTTTTCTTTGTTCTGTAATGGAGAGAGGGGTATCACAGGATAGAATGTGGGTTTAGGACCCCTATAAGCCCGCTTTTCAAGCCAGCTTGGCAGGCTGGTCAGTTACAAACCTTGCTACAGGTTCCTGAAACCAATACTGGATGAAATTTCTCTGTCTTGCTTTGTGTCCTTAAGAGCTTAACCTTTTGACCATGTGGGGATACTTTCTCTTGGTTTCTGCCATCCAGAGGACAGGAATTTTGGGGTTCATGTCATAGTCCTAAAAATTTTTTCTTGAGCAGTTAAAAGCCTGTGCAAGCTTGAAATTGGCTTCTCTAGGCTCCTTCTGGGGAGAGGAATAGAAACTGCTCAATGCTGTAACTCAGTAGCTGAGGCTTTGCTTTTTGACAATGGCAGCCTGAGTTTTAGTCTTGGCTTCTGGAATGATTCCTTTCTGAGTTTTATTTATGAAACTTTGCCATTTATTGAGGTTCCCCACCCCACCCCCACCCCGGCCAACCCATGGATAGCTTCTGATTTCCTGTCTTGAGTTTTCCTTTCTCTAAACTACCCTGGGGGAGATTCTAAATCTTGTAAAAAAAAAAAAAAAAAAAAAAAAAAGAAACGGCTTACCTTCTCCTTGAGACATGAATGTGTCCATGGTTAAGTTATAACCTTAGCTAAAACTTATTAATTTCATGTGGGAAGTTAACTGTGGTAGAATTTAAAAGCCAAAAATACTGGTCGCTTAGTGTTAAAGTCGGGTAATAAAAAATTTAAAAGGATATTTTTTAAAGAGCGCTATGGTTAAAAGTCAGCTTAATTAAAAGTGGATAAACAAGCAATAGGTATATTTAAAAGGCCTTTATGTTTTCCTCTTTTTGGGACTTGTTTTTTTCCTGGGAAAAGGTTTTTTCTTCTCAGTTGACTGAATTATTTTTTTCCATTTTTTTTTATCTTGCCAATCTTAATACACACATGAGAGGCCCTAAGATAACTTCTGGTAGCCTGGGACTCCTTGGGAAAAACAGAGGAGGCACCACGAACCCCGTTTTGGAAAAAAGGCTCTGTTTTCCTCATGAAACCCCAGGAATTAAAAGCGGATAGATCCCTCTCAGAATCAAAGGCTCTGTTCTGTTTTTCACTGTGTTATCTGACAGTTTTGATTTTTAGGGGTATCAGAAATTACTTATTATGAGAGAGCTTTGGTGTGTAATAACTAGGTAGGAAATATACTTTAGGGAGTGGCTAATAGTAGTTGTGGAGGGATACTTGACTCTGCACACTTGGATCAGAGACGCATGCTCTCGGCCACCTGGAAGATAAGGAGGCGTCCCCACCCCGCACTGGGAGATGAGACTCCTGTGAGAGATGGGCCGATTACAAAATGGGCTGATTGGCTTTGGGTTGCCTTGAATGGAATGCAGGGTAGAAGCATTGCACGGTCTTCTCCCACAGTATTTCCCTCCTGTTGGGGATCCAGGATCCAGTATAAAATGGCACCCTTAATTTTGGGGATCTGTCTTTGCCTTCAGCTGCTTATTTGCTGCTTATTTGGCTCTAGAAATGCATGCTTTCCCGGCCCTGCTCCTCCAAGGGCTCCACCCTAAAGCCAGTCACCCAATTAAGAAACTGGCAAATGAAAAATTTTACAAGTGCTGAATCTTCTGTCTGTCTGTATTCATATGTGTTGTGTGTGTGTGTGTGTGAGATGTTTGTATAAAAGAGCTCTGGTTAATTGGCTTAGAAATATAAGCATTTAAATCAAATATTTTATCAGAAAAATAGAAACCGTAATACCTTTTTGTTCACATGACTTTAGTAGTCTTTTGGAAATAAAGACGGTTTTTTTGTTTTTTCTTTGAGATGGAGTCTCACTCTCTCACCAGACTGGAGGCAGTGGCGCAGTCTTGGCTCACTGCAACCTCCACCTCCCGGGTTCAAGTGATTCTCCTGCCTCAGCCTCCCAAGTTGCTGGGGCTACAGGCGCCCGCCACCACGCCGGGCTAATTTTTTTGTATTTTTAGTAGAGATGGGGTTTCACCATGTTAGCCAGGATGGTCTCGAGCTCTTGACCTCGTGATCCACCCACCTCGGCCTTCCAAAGTGCTGGGATAACAGGCATGAGCCACTGCACCCGACCTGGGAAATAAAGACAGTTTTAAAGATTATTGGTAAAATAAAATGTCTTGAAAATGTAGACATTTGGTCTAAAATAAGGTCAGGTATCAGATTTGCTAAATGCTTTAAGGTCAAACTGTTTCTTTGACTTTTGAGAATTGTTCAATTTCCCTACTTTGGAGCATTAGATGATAGGTAAGGCCTGGGGACATGTGGAGAGCCATGCCCGCCAGCTATGCTAAGAGTCAGACCTTATCTTCATTTCTGATTGATGTCCTAGGCTCCACCCCAGTACATAATTAAAATCGCTTACTTACCAGGTTTTTCACTAAAAATAAAAGTTGCTAAGATTTAACATTGTAATATGTAGTTGAGACCACTGGAGAATGCGTTTTACATACTAGGTGTGTAGGGAATGTGTTTTTGGTAAAAGATGATCAGAAGGCATGGGAATATGGCTTTTGTTAAAGGGAATGTAATTTTGTCTACTTCAGAGGGTTTTAAAGATTGTCTTAACCCAAAAGAGTAATGGAACAAAACTGAAGGTTTAAGCAAAGGGAAAGGGGTTTGTAAAGGGTTGATCTTGTAACAAATTCTGTGGGTATAAACAAGTTGGCTAAGATTTAAAAGAAATTGGCTGGGCGCGGTGGCTCACGCCTGTAATCCCAGCATTTTGGGAGGCTGAGGAGTGGGGATCCCTTGAGGTCAGGAATTCAAGACCAGCCTGGCCAACATGGTGAAACCCCAACTCTACTGAAAAAATACAAAAATTAGCCGGGCCTGTGGCAGGTGCCTGTAATCCCAGCTACTCAGAAGGCTGAGGCAGGAGAATCGTTTGAACCCAGGAGGTGGAGGTTGTAGTGAGTCAAGATTGTGCTCAAGCATGGGCAACAGAGTGAGACCATGTCTCAAAAAAAAAAAGATTTAAAAGAAATTTTAGCTTTTTTTTTTTTTTTTGAAATGGAGTTTTGCTCTTGTTGCCCAGGCTGGAGTGCAATGGCATGATCTCGGCTCACCACAACCTCTGCCTCCTGGGTTCAAGTGATTCTCCTGCCTCAGCTGCCCAAGTAGCTGGGATTACAGGCATGAACCACCACACCTGGCTAATTTTTTATTTGTAGTAGAGAAGGGGTTTCTCCATGTTGGTCAGGCTGGTCTCGAACTCCCCACCTCAGGTGATCTGCCCGCCTCGGCCTCCCAAAGTGCTAGGATTACAGGTGTGAGCCACCGCATCCAGTTTTTTTTTTTTTTTTTTTTTTTTTGAGACAGAGTCTCACTCTGTCGCCCAGGCTGGTGTGCAGTGGCACGATCTTGGCTCACTGCAACCTCTGCCTCCCAGGTTCAAGCCATTCTCCTTACCTCAGCCTCCCGAGTAGCTGGGATTACAGATGCATGCCACCCTTAGGTTAAAGCATTAAAATCATACTGATGTGGGGCCAGAATCTGGGTCTGTGTGTCCGAATAACAGGGTTTTCTTAGAAAACTGATCTGCTGTTGGATGGAAATTTGTAAAGAGTTCTAAAAAGTTTATAAAAATCTTACCTTATGGTCAGACTAATTACAACTGGATCGAGATATAAAATTTTATTTAAAAAACTAGCTTTAACATTAAAGATGCACTAATGCAAGCCTGAAATTTGGTTTTCTCTTTTGAAGACGATTTTTATGTAATGTTAAAAGATAATGAAAGTGGTTTTGTTTTCTCCTTTGGGTAAGTGGCAGGAAAAAAAAGGAGGAGAGAGAGAAAGGAGACAGATTCAGGTGGCTTCATGCTATCTTCATTGAGTCTTGTTTGGAAAGCTAAGTCTCCTCTATCAGAGTAAAGGCTTTCTTTTTTAAAAAAATTTTTTGGAGTTATCATTTTGGCTAAGTGAATGACTTATGGTGACCTGGGATTCTATTTTGTGATATCCAGTGTTTTAAACCTTTGATATTTGACAAACTTTCCAAAATCAAATTATAAATTATATCTCTTTCTAACCTAATATTTTAGATATCAGGTCCTCTAAAGTCCAAAAATGACATTTGGCTTATTTGACATAAAAATCATACAGGAAGCATTGTCAAGTATGAAATGGTGTTTGGCTTTCTTTGGGCTATATTTGTGTAAATGTATTATTGGCATATGTTCCAAAATTATGTAAAACTCCTAAAATTCTAATATGACTTTGTATATGTTATCAGTAATAATTATAATTATGTTAAATGGCTGTGTGCCACAGGTAACAAATCTCTTTGTCGATCGTGTCTTTAACTGTGGCTACCCTATAATGTTTTTGTCATCCACAGATGATTGTTGTCTTATTTTGGTCCTCCTAAAAGTTGGTTTTATAATCAGCTGTAAAATTTAACAGGTGCTCTTAAATGCAGATTTCTGCTTAATAACTCTGGAGATTGTGACTTTAGAATAGACAGAAAACTTTCAAAAGAAAGAGAGAATGGTGTTTGGTTTTCTTTGGACTGTATTTGTATAAATATGTTATTAGTATGTGTTCCAAAAGTTATGGGAAACTTCTATAATTCTGATATGATTTAGTGTACATTATTAATAATTATAATTGTTATGTAAAATTGTTGTATGCCACAGAAGTGGAAGAACCAAAATTCCTAGTCAATTGTAGCTTTAATAGTGGCTATAGACTTTTGTCATCCACAGACATTTTGTCTTGCTTTGGTCCTTTTCAAAAGGCAATTTATAATCAGATACAAGACTCTGAGTGCAGGTCTCAGATAACTTTAAAAATTGTACTATTGGAATAGAGGAAAAAAGGAAACTTCTAGGACTCTCGTGGAGAGCTGGTATGTTAAACATTGCTAATCCTTTTGTTTTCAGAGTAAAGATTACTTATTTCTTTAGAGCTATTTGCAAGCTTTAACAAGTGAGTAAAATATACTCCTGTGGAAAATTTTGGAGCATATTTGTTTCTCTCTACCTGATTGCTCTAGAATTTGGAAACCATTTGTGTGTATTCTCAATTTATGGCAGTATAGTTAATTACATAAGTGCAATAAGAATCTGTTTTCTTTTGTCACAGGACACCATTGGAGAAACTGGGCATTTTACCAAGGATTTGACTGGAATGGCATGCTTCCTTTAAAGATGAAAGTTGACTTTTAGAGCCAATTAAAGCCCTTTGGGGAATCTGGCCTCATACCTTGTCCACACAGAGTTCCTGTACAAGGTTCCTGACCTGTGGTAAGTAAAGAACGTCACTTTCTAACAGGCCCAGGAACCCCAGGTTATCTTGGGACCTCAAGAGGAGAGGATTTTGCTCAACTCATAGGTATTTGAGGGTACAAACCCATGGCTGGGCTCAGCTTTTAAAAACTTTTATCTGAGATTCTTCATGGAACAGAGTTCTATCAAAGCCAATTTAAAAAGCCTAAGTGAAAAATAATTATTCTTGCTGCACTTTATGCAAATCATCAGGCCAAGTAGAGTAAGACTAAAATTCATTTTGTAAACTGTAAATCAGTTCTATCATGACTTGCTTTTAAAAAAATGGGGACTGAAATCCCAGCACTTTGGGAGGCCCAGGTGGGTGGATTGCTTGAGGTTGGGAGTTCAAGACCAGCCTGGACAACATGGTGAAACCCTGTCTCTATTAAAAAAATACAAAAATTAGCCAGGTGTAGTGGTGTGCACCTGTGGTCCCAGTTACTTGGGAAGCTGAGGCACGAGAATTGCTTGAACCCAGGAGGCAGAGGCTGCAGCGAGCTGAGATTACACCACTGCACTCCAGCCTGGGTGACAGAGCAAGACTCTGTCTCAAAACAAACAAACAAACAAAAAAACCAGAAACAACAACAACAACAAAAAGATTGTTGTGGGAGGACTAAGGCTACCAGGTACCCAGACGGATGCATGTCTGGACAAGAAGCCCCTCCTAATGTAACTGCCCAAGGGGTTCACCTTGTCCACTGCCTAGTGGCAAAATTATGCTCCAAAAGAAAACTATAGTATACTGTTGTTAGCTGTTCTTGAGGTTTTTTCCTGCAGTTTAGACTAAATTCTAAATTCCTTGTGGGTTAGAAGTCCCCAAGCTAATGCTTTCAAATCTTTGCTTTTAAAATTGGGAATTGTACTCCTAATTGTAGAACTCGTAATGTACCTTATAGTAGGCTGTTCACTTAAACACTGTAGTAAAACTATAGATGAGAGCACTAATGTTTTTCCCACACAAGCCTTGGAAGCCAAGCCAGGCCTGCATGAGTACACTCAGACAGTTAGAAAGCGGTTCCACTCTTCTCACCTTGGGGTTCACTCCCATTCCCACAATGTCCCTTGTCAGCAGGAAGAAGCCAGAGCGATTGACAGCCTTCTCCTATCTTCATAGCCTACACCTTGAGATTAAGGTGTTACAAAATCCAAAGGGAGGGATTGAGACCGCCTTTGCAAAATTATGACTGAGACAATCAAAGAGATCGAACTTAACTGACTCCATCTTGCTTCTAACCTCCAAGCTGTCTTTTTCATTTCTGGGCATAGGCTGATCTAACTCTGGGAGAAACTTACTTTGTAGTTTATAGTTTAAACAAAAATGGTAACAACCCTTTCCCAAAGCAGACCTCCTTCTTGCCTGGGGACTAGACTAACATTAGCCAAAGGATTAGAAATTATGATTTAGGAATCTTGCAGTTGGAGGCCTCAAGATTCTGACCCTCCCTAGACTGCTCCTGAGATCAGTGCTTGGGATATTTTGCAGACCCTGCACTTGATGGATCAGCAGGCACCGCTCAGATCAGTAATTTGTCTCCTCTGATCTTGTGGGCCCCACCCAGGAACTGAGTCAGCGCAAGAAGACAGGTTCGACTCCCTATGATTTCATCCCTGACCAGTCACCACTCCTGGCCCACTGGCTACACCCCCCACCCCGCCACCAAGTTATCCTTAAAAACTCTGCTCCTCAAATGCTCAGGGAGACTGATTTGAGTAATAATAAAACTCCGGTCTCCTGCACAGTTGGCTCTGTGTGAATTACTCTTTCTCTGTTACAATTCCCCTGTCTTGACGAATTGGCTCTGTCTAGGCGTGGACAAGGTGAACCCCTTGGGCAGTTACATTAGGAGGGGCTTCTTGTCCAGACATGCATCCGTCTGGGTACCTGGCGGCCTTAGTCCCCCCACAACAATCTTTTTGTTGTTGTTGTTGTTTCTGGGTCTTTTTGGTTTCGTTTTTGTTTTTGAGACAGAGTCTTGTTCTGTCACCCAGGCTGGAGTACAGTGGTGCAATCTCAGCTCACTGCAGCCTCTGCCTCCCAGGTTCAAGCAATTCTCATGCCTCAGCTTCCCAAGTAACTGGGACCACAGGTGCACACCACCATGCCTGGCAATTTTTGTATTTTTTATTACAGACAGGGTTTCACCATGTTGTCCAGGCTGATCTTGAACTCCTGACCTCAAGTGATCCACTCACCTGGGCCTCCCAAAGTGCTGGGATTACAGGCATGAGCCATTGAGCCCGGCCCCTCCACAATCTTTAGAATGTACCAGAGCATGTGTGACTCTAGGTGGAAAAAAATCCATGGCTCTTCGTAATCAATACAGGTGACCTGTGACATTAACACCTTTTTTTTGGGGGACGGAGTTTTGCTCTTGTTGCCCAGGCTGGAGTGCAATGGCACAATCTTGGCTCACCGCAACCTCTGCCTCCCGGGTTCAAGCGATTCTTCTACCTCAGCCTCCTGAGTAGCTGGGATTACAGGCATGTGCCACCACGCCCGGCTAATTTTGTATTTGTGGTAGAGATGGGGTTTCTCCATGTTGGTCAGGCTGGTCTCAAACTTCCGACCTCAGGTGATCTGCCCGCCTTGGACTCCCAAAGTGCTGGGATTACAGGCATGAGCCACCGTGCCCGGCCTCACATTAACACCTTTTTTTCAAGCTTTTTTGTTTATGGCTTTTAGTAAGCAATACCTTTTGTCATAATCTAGTATACACATACAGTCATACATAACATAGCAAGCAATATCTATAAACATATGTAACAAACATCATAAAACAGTACTTACCTTTACTCTGCAATACACTGATATTTTCTGTCTATTCTTTTCCATACGATTCTATCTTTAAATGTTAATCATGACTCACTAAATAGATTTCACGATCCATTGAGAGGTTGTGACCTGCAGTTTGGAAAGCACTGTGTGAGCAGACATAATCATGGCTTTAATGAATGGCAAACTACTTGGGAGTTGTTTATAATCTTGCTGAGGTGGGCATTTGACCCATGCTGCAAGGAGGCTGAAGTTCAGGCACGTGTCATTCAGCTGATGAGTGACCTCAGCTTTCCCCCAGCTCCCTGCCCTGTGAGTTGGCCGTTTTCTTCCCATGGTGGATTCAGGCATTGGCATGGCGGGGTGAGCTTCTGGTCCTTCCAACTCTAGGACCCATGCACATGTTCCCACTGTTCGTTAGAGACCTTCCTTATTTTTGACTTTGCCAGGCCCTCACTGAGTGACCTCAAGCAAGTCATTTCCTATCTGAGGTTCTCAGATATAAAATAGGAAGAAGGGTGGATTGAACTAGTCTGCGCTTCTCACAATAGTGGGGGAGGCAGTTTGCAGCAACAGGATGTGTATAATATGTATTTTTTTTCTGGAAGATTTGGAGAAAATAAATTTTTGTATTAAAACAACTATAAATTATGGAGCAGACTACAAAAAGCACGTGCTTTTTAATGATACTTTTTTATTGTGGTAAAATATACGTAACATAAAATTTATCATGCTAAGCACTTAAAAATGTGTAATTCGTTGGTATTGAGTACATTCACATTGCTGTGCACCTATGACCACCATCCATCTCCACGACTTCTTCATCTTCCCAAATAGAAACTACGTATCCCTTAAACACTAATTCCCCATCCCCTCTACCCGCCCCCGGCCCCCCTGCCAGACTGTCTTTACGTAAATGTCTCTAAAATTTGCCTATTCCAGGCATGTCATCTCAATGGAATCATACAATATTTGTCCCTTTGTGTCTGGCTTATTTGACTTAATGTTTTCAAGCCTCACCCATGTTAAAACATGTATTAGAATTCTATTCCTTTTTTTTTTTTTTTTTTTAAAAAATAGGGTCTTGCTCTGTTGCCCAGGCTGGAGTGCAGTGGTGTGATCACAGCTCACTGTGGCCTTGTTCTCCTGAGCTCAAGTAGTCCCCCCACCTCAGCCTCCAGAGTAGCTGAGATTACAGGCATGAACCATCACATTGGGCCTTTTATTCTTTCTTAAGGCTGAGTAATATCCTGTAGTATAGATATACCACATTTTGTTTATCCATTCATCTGCTGAAGAGCATTTGGGCTTTCACCTTTTGGTCATTGTGAGTAATGCTGCTATGAAAATTGGTTTAGAAATACCTGCTTCAGGCCGTCGCACCTGTAATCCCAGTACTTCGGGAGGCCAAGGTGGGTGGATCACTTGAGCTCAGGAGTTTGAGACCAGCCTGGACAATATAGGGAGGACTCATCTCTACAAAAAATACAAAAATTAGATGGTGTGGTGGCATGTGTCTGTGGTCCCAGATACTTAGGAGGCTGAGGTGGGAGGATCACTTAATCCCAGGAGGTCAAGTCTGCAGTGAGGCACTCCAGCCTGGACAACAGAGTGAGACCCTGTCTCAAAAAAAAAAAAAAAACTGTTTCAGCCCCTTTCACTTCTTTTGGGTATATAGATAGAAGTGAAATTGCTGGATTATATGGTAATTCTGTTTAACTTTTTGAGAAACTGTCATACTGTTTTCCATAGCTATTGCACCACTTTACAGTCCCACCAGAAATGCATTAGTTTCTATTTCTCCACACCCTTGCCAATACTTACCTTCTGTGTTTTTTGTTTTGTTTTTTGATAGCAGCCATCCTAATGGCTATGAAGCGGTATCCCATTATGGTTTTGAACTGTGCTTCCCTAATGACTAGTGGTGCTGAGAATCTTTCCATGTGCCTATTGGTTGTTTGTTCTTTTATTATTATTATTATTATTATTATTATTATTATTATTATTATTTCTTTTATATTGGTTGTTTGTATATTTGGGGAAAAATATCTATTCAAGCCATTTGCCCATTTTTGAATTGGCTTGTTTGGAATTTTTTTGTCAAGTTCTGGGAATTCTTTATATATTCTGGATATTAGTCTCTTATAGACATCTGATTTGCAAATCTCCCATTCTGTGGGCTGTCTTTCACTCTCTTGATAGTGTCCTTTGATGCATACAGGTTTTTAATTTTGATCACATGTTTTAAGGTAAAACGTGGTCTGAAAGCAGCTGGGGCCCCTGCTCCTAGGCTCTGCCTCCCTCCATCGTCCCCCAGGGTGCTATTCAGTCCTTGGAGGTGGTGAGGACTGCTGGGGCCTTCTGGCACAGTGATGGGATCAAGACTTGGCCTCATTCACCTCCTGGGCTCTGTGCTGTTTTCTGTTCACATGAAGGAGATTAGACAGGAGCCCCAGGGGAGGGAGAGGATCAGAAGTGTGGCTCAGCCACCCAGAGCCTGCCTAAACTCAGGACCTCCCCTTCACCTCTCACTCTCTGTTCTTCTCCAGCCACGCTCAGACCCTGCACCTTGCAGCACTGGCTAAAGAAGCCAGCTCCTCCTACCACATGCAGGAGGCATTCAGACCACTCTGAGATAAGCAGAAAGGTGATGCTGGCTTCCCTGTCCTGACATCTCCTTGCTTCCTTCTCACAGAACCTGAAACCCCTATGTTAACCTTGCTTCTTTGGGTCAAATGTATGACCACTTGTCTGAAATGCCTTTAACAAAATCCAGACATCCGGTGGTGATTTAGACTGGATGGCTTCTCAGAAGCTTCCCAGTCTCATGTTTCCATTTTAAAGCAAGCATGGAGAAATTTCCTACCAAACAGTGTTCTTTGCCTTTGTTTTGCATTACCCGACTATGAGTTGAGTATTTTGTTTTCCAATATATTTTTCAGGAACAAAGAAGTGGCATCACAGCTGGGTGTATCCAGAGCTTTTCATATTCAGGGTCACTGTGTTCCTTTATTAGGATAATAGGCTGTCTGGGGGAACGCCAGGTAACCCTGGACTTTCCCAGTGAATACTTATTTGGGATCCTTTCAGAAGGCACCTGACACAATCAAGAGAGAGGGAAAGAAATAGAGGCAAAAAAAATGTAACACAGATTGAGATTTATTCCCAGGAATATGGTCTTCCACTTGCAAGTCCTGGTTTTGTGGTAAAAGAGCCTTTAAAGATCCCTTTAAAGAGCAGAGTAGTGAGTTTGGAGAAAGTAATCATTGCAGATGAACTTAAGCCAATTGCTTATTCACAATAACTGTCTTTCATCAATCAATTTCAACACGCACTTTTTTTGTGACATTTTAACAGCTCTGAAATCAGGATTCATTTCCCATCAGTGGTGCCTCCTGATAAAATTGGCAGCATTTGTGGGTGTGTGTGTTAGTAGTAGGCAAAAATAGCGGCATGACTTCCAGCTGATAGATAGTGTCTGAAGTTGATTGAAATACAATCCTAGGTTCATTCAATATCTGCAGGTACCTGAGAACTAGAAGGAACCCCACAATCTCAGCACCAGGTGGCACAGCACAGTGGAAGATTCAGGCTGAGCAAGCAGACAGATAAACAGTATAATGACCTAGCAAACCCCAGCAAGCTGCTCTTCCTCCTGAGTGGCTGGGACCACAGGCACATGCCACCATGCCTGGCTTATTTTTGTATTTTTGGTAGAGATGGGGTTTCACCAAGTTGCCCAGGCTGGTTTTGAACTCCCGGACTCAAGCAATCCACCTGCCTTGGCCTCCCAAATTGCTGAGATTACAGGCATGGGCCACCATGCCCGGCTACAGCAAGCTACTCTTTTAGGAACTCTTAGGCACACCTTGCTTGAAAGTTCATGCATGGCTGATGTGACGGCTGTCTTGTGGCATGCTTCAGCTGAACTTCTAGTTGTATTCAAACCATTGACTCTTCCCTAAAGTGTTTATCTGGGCTCATTCAGAGGAGTGGCCTCTTTGGGGTATACCATAGCTGTCATGCCAGAGAGAGGAAACCTTCTCACTAATTCGCATATCTCTAATTCCACTCATTTCTCCAAAGAAACAGCATTCACTCTGCTAATTAGCAAGCCCCCTGGTGTTGATTAAAAATAACCTCAACTGAATCAAAGCTGTACTCTCCGGAATGTGTGTGTGAGTTTATGATTTGTCTTTCAAATGCTAACTAACCACCCCCACCAGGGGTATGGATTAAAACTAACATTTTCATATCATGTTATCTATGTGAAGTATTTGAAAGCAAATTGCAAACAGCATAATAATAGCAAATGAGTACTTGTGACTTGGGACACATTTTTCAGCAATTAGCATTAAATGCAGCTTTAAAAAGTATAGATTTCAAACAACTTTGTTGGCGGTAAGAGTATTTTTCAAGTAAACTGTGTGAGGTGACTCAGAAGAGTGGCTGTAGTTGTGAAGATGCTCTTGCTGATTTTGAATACACTTATTTCTATGAAATATGAGTGGAGGCTGGGCACCATGGCTCATGCCTGTAATCCCTGCATTTTGGAAGGTCGAGGCAGGTGGATCACTTGAGCTCAGGAGTTAGAGACCAGTCTGGTCAACATGGTGAAACCTTGTTTCTACCAAAAAATACAAAAATTAGCTGGACATGGTGCTGTGCTATAGTACTAGCTACTTGGGAGGCTGAGGTGGGAGAATCTCTTGAACCTGAGAGGCGGAGGTTGCAGTGAGCTGAGATCACACCACTGTACTCCAGCCTGGGTGACAGAGTGAGACCCTGTCGTGAAAGAAAAGAAAAAGAAAAAAGAAAAGAGAAAGAAGAAAGGAAAGAAAGAAAGAAGAAAGGAAAGAAAGAAAGAAAGAGAAGGAACAGTGGAAAAGCTATTTTAAAATTAATATATTGAATATATTTAGGGGTTCTGAATATGTATGCCTAACTACATTAGTGAATTAATGCTGTGAAGAGACTGTTTATTAGTTTATTTGCATTACTGGAAGTTATTAAGTTTTTGGACTCTCTCATTGGGAAAATAGTCCATAGGCTTATAATTTGGCCACCTTTTATGTAAACATATTCAATAGGTTATGAGTTTTGCCAACTGTGTCCTTCAAGGCCTAGTATCCACAGAGTGTAGGCCAAAGTTCTGTGTTGGGGGATCTTTATGGATGGACCCCTAGCCTGAGAGGAATGAGATAGCCAAGTGCAAATTTCACCTCTTAGTAATTTTGCTTGGTCTCAAATGGAAAGGTTTTAGCCTGAAACCTCCTGAGGGTGATTTTGCTGTTGATTTGCCTGTTTTGTTTTCTTTTTTAAGGCTATTTCAGGGGAACTCAGCATGTCCTGGAGAGTGCATTAAACACACACTCTCTTTTTGTTTTGATTTTTTTGAAGCTATTTAAAACTTATTTTAAAGCTTTGGAACTCTCTTTTAAATGAAATCTTACATTCAGGATCTGTATCCTAGGTAAAAAAAGAAATCTTGCATAGTCAGGGGTGCCTGTAGTCCCAGGTACTTGGGAAGCTGAGGCGAGAAGGTTGCTTGATGCCAGGAGTTCAAGGCTGCAGTGTGCTGTGATCACACCTGTGAATAGCCACTGCACTGAAGCCTGGGCAACATAGACCCTTTCTTTAAAAACAAAATAAAACAAATGAAATCTTATATGGAACACAAATACACTGTTAAAACATTGGCAGAGCTTTACAGTTATGTTTTGACTTCAGAATTCTTAGAGGCCCTTTTGTTTCATTCAAGATGTTTCTAGACCTCTGCAGAAAGAGATAACCAGCCAAGCTGCTGTTTGAAATACTAGAAATTACAATCTGGATTTTATAGTGTTGGTGAAATTAAGGTCTTGGATTATGACGGAAAGAAGCTAAAAAGACCAGTGAGTTCATTTTATGCTCAATCATAACTGAAATGATTAAACACATAGGAATCAGTGACCACACATGATGACTTCCTGTGATTGGCCATGGATATTTTGTAATTTTTTTTTTTTTTTTTTTTTTTTTTGCGACAGGGTCTCACTCTTTCACTCAGTCTGGAATGCAGTGATACAATAATAGCTCACTGCAGCCTCCACCTCCTGGGCCCGAGCCATTCTCCCGCCTTAGCCTCCCAAGTAGCTGGGACCACAGGCACATGCCACCGTGCCCAGTTAATATTTTTTGTAGGGAGGAGGTATCACTATGTTGCCCAGGCTGGTCTTAAACTTTTGGGCTCAAGTGATCCTCTCACCTTGGCCTTGCAAAGTGCCACCTTTTATCACCTTTAATGTATTATAAGCGTGAGCTACCACGTCCAGCTGCAATTTTTTTTTTTTTTTTTGAGTACACAATTTTACTCTGTTCCCCAAGCTGAAGTACAGTAGCATGATCTTGGCTCACTGCAACCTCCGCCTCCCAGGTTCAAGCAATTCTCCTGCCTCAGCCTCCTGAGTAGCTGGGACTGCAGGCATGCACCACCACACCTGGCTAATTTTTGTATTTTTATTTATTTATTTATTTATTTTTATTTTTTATTTTTTTGAGATAGAGTCTCTGTCGCCCAGGCTGGAGTGCAGTGGTGCAATCTCCACTCACTGCAAACTCCGCCTCCTGGATTCAAGCAATTCTCCTGCTTCAACCTCCTGAGTAGCTGGGTTTACAGGCACCCACCACCATACCAGGCTAATTTTTTGTGTGTATTTTTAGTACAGATGAGGTTTCACCACGTTGGCCAGGCCGGTCTCAGACTCCTGACCTCAGGTGACCCACCTGCCTCGGCCTCCCAAAGTGCTGAGATTACAGGTGTGAGCCACCACGCCAGGCCTCCAGCTGCAATTTTTGACAAACTTAAAGATTTACATTTTAAATGCAAAATAACCACGGATTAGCAAGAGAGTTCTTATTTATCCGGATGGCAAGAAAACATGACACAAGAAATCTCCCACTTTTGAAACAGGAGGGTCAAGTTGGGTCTTACCTGATAGTTTGTCTCAAGCTAATTAATTGGCAAAGAGGTTCATTGTTTAGCATCTAAGTTATAAACGTCATTATAAACATTCTGTATTTTCCATTTTCTATCAGTCGGAAAAAGAAATTAAGTCCTAGTGTCTGCTAGGGTTTAAGTCCCTTTAGCTAAAGTCAATTCTCTTCTTAAAAGGAAACTTACACCCCATATTTTCTTTCTCAAAGGGAGGGCCTTATGTTATGTTTTCACTATAATCCAGAAAAAAGTGGGCATCTTCTGGTTAAAATAGGGACAGAAGTGACCTCTCTTTCTCCCTGGTGGCCATTACAATCCCCGCCCCTCCAAAAGTGGTCTCTGGGTGTCTTAGTCTGTTTGAGCTGCCATAACAAAATATCATAGCGAGTGACTCATAGACAACAGAAATTTCTCACAGTTCAGGAGGCTGGAACTTCAGTAGATTCGGTGCTTTTGGTCCATAGACACTGTGTCTTCTTGCTGTGTCTTCCTATGGCTGAAGGGCAGGTGAGTTCTCTGGGGCCTCTTTTATCAGGGCGTTAAGTCCCTTTCATGAAGACTCTGCCCTCATGACCTAACTACTTCCCAAAGACCTCACTTCTAAATACCATAACATTGGGAATTAAGCTTCAACATATGAATTTTTAGGGTGACACAAACATTCAACCTATAGCACAGGAGCATAACCAAGGGCCCCACAGAGGGCAGTTTCAAAGCCTCCAATCTCTTGAGTCTCTGCAGCCAACAGTCCTCAGCTCAAAGGGCAGGGGTCCATGGACCACCAACATCCTTCCCATCCCTGACTCCCTCCACAGACCTTCAGGCAAACCAGAAACCAAAGGCCGCCTACTGGCTGTGTGATCTCGGGCAAGGTCCCTAACTTTGGGACACCTCTGTTTTCCTCTCAATAAAACATAAAATTAATTTTCCTGCCTGAAAATTAATAATAGGAAGTGTTTGTTGAACCCTTACTTTTATGGCAGGCCATTTACATGGGTTATGTCTCTTAAGTATAAGAAGGACCCTATGAAGAAAGTACTGCGATTTTAATTTTACAAATGGGGAAACTGAAGCACAGGGAGTTAAGTAACTTACCTAAGGTTGCACAGGAAACGGTGAAGCAGTCTTTGAACGCAGGTGTTTTGAAAGCAGCACTTGGGCCCTTACCTGCTTTGCTGGGATTTCTCAGATGGCTGAGGTGAGGGTGAATGAGATGAGACAGGCAGGCGAGGTGACCAGCATAGGTTTGGTTCAGAGTAGGGGAGAGATTCCCTGCTTCTCAGGGTTTGCATGTGTTAGTTGGGTACTGTGAGGGTTAATTTTAGGTGTCAACTTGGCAGGGGACATGTTCCAAGACGTTCCAAGTGAAGGCCTGAACTGCATATAGTACTAGACTCCAGAGATGGTAGGTTTTTCCGATCTGATACTCAAGATGGCTACCTATAGCACTAGACTCCAGAGACGGTAGGTTTTTCCGATCTGATACCCAAGATGGCTACTAGGTGACCAGAGGGGCAGGTAGCTGTACTCAGTGAATACACTAGACAAAGGGTGATTCACAGGGATTCACTGCCCAGGCCCGATGGAGTGGGATGGTGTGAGATTTCACCGTGCCACTCGAACTTTGCACTATTTAAAACTTAAGAATTCTTTCTGGAATTTTCTATTTAATATTTTTAGACTGCCATTGACGTCAGGTAACTAAAACTATGGAAGGCAAAACCTTGGATGATGTGGGGAGCACTCTACCTTGAGAACTGGTAAAGCATTATTTTGGGGTACACCTGGGAGGGTGTTTTCAGGGGAGATTGGCTTGTGAGTCGGTGGACTGCGCGGGGAAAATTTGCCCGTAATGTGGGTGGGCACCATCCAATTAGCATCCCCACCCACAATGGTATGGCCTTCCCACCTCTGTCTGCGGGTAAACTCTGCTCGCCTGAGGAACCAGAAATGTCCTCTCCAAGGCAGTTGCCAAGAAAGATAATTCTGATTCTCCTCAGGACCCACACATATCACTCCACTTTGCTTCTAGACCTGCAACCAGGCGTGAGTCCCAGCAGGCCCCTGAAGGTGAGGCCCAAAATGTGACCCACGAGGAGCTGTACTACCCTCCACAAGAACCAAATCCAGAGAACATGTGTGGGGATGGCTATCAGGGTGTGGGATAATGTGGAAGGAACATCAAGTTGGATCAGGCCGAATTTATTGCTGTGGGCACACTAAACAGAGATTCTGCATGTAATGTTCCAGTGTGGGGAGTTAAGAAAAGTACTAACACTTTGGTTGGTTGGCTGAAACATGAATCAAAACATGGGCCACTATTAACAAGTTGGAGGTGTTCGATCTCCCTTAGTTTATTTTTATTTTTTTTTTTATTTTTTGAGACGGAGTTTCACTCTTGTTGCCCAGGCTGGAGTGCAATCGCATGGTCTCAGCTCACTGAAACCTCTGCCTCCTGGGTTCAAGCCATTCTCCTGCCTCAGCCTCCTGAGTAGCTGGGATTACAGGTGCCCACCACCACACCCGGCTAATTTTTGTATTTTTAGAAGAGATGGGGTTTCACCATGTTGGCCAGGCTGGTCTCGAACTCCTGACCTCAAGTGATCGGCCCGCCTTGGCCTCCCAAAGTGTTGGGATTACAGGCGTGAGCCACGGTGCCCAGCCTTCCCTTAGTTTCAAGCAGAGGAAGGGATCCACAGGCTTAGGGAGATTGGAAGGCTAGAGTGGATTTTTCACTTAAGACTTACTCATCCTAAAGAGCTCTGATTGCTCATTTCTGTAGGCCAGACTTTACAATGGGAAAAGCAGTCGCTTAATTGGAAAAGTTAAATGCAGTGGGAATAACTGGATCCCAGGGTAGCAGGGGCCGCGTGGCGGCACTCAGCTCCAACGGCAAAGTGGGTATAGTTATGGTTGTGGGCAGCAGAGGCAGAGAACCAATCAGAATCGTCTGTCTCGTGCAGATCTATGGCATTGGCTGGTCTAGAAGTGAAATAGAAAGTCTACTACGATCTTACTTGATCTGTATAAGCAGACAACTTCCAGACCAAGTCAACAAAGGCCTAATTCAGAGTGTAAGAACAGGCTGAACATGGTGGCTCACACCTGTAATCCCAGCACTTTGGGAGGCCGATGCAGGCAGATAACTTGAGGTCAGGAGTTTGAGATCAGCCTGGCCAACATGGTGAAACGCTGTCTCTGCTAAAAATACAAAATTTAGCCAGGTGTGATGGCGCACACCTGTAGTCCCAGCTACTTTGGAGGCTGAGGCGCAAGAATCGCTTGAACTCAAGAGGTGGAGGCTGCAGTGAGCCGAGATTGAGCCACTGCACTCCAGCCTGGGCAACAGAGTGAGACCCTTTCTCAAAAAAATAAAAAAAATTAAAAAATCACACACACACACACACACAAAACAAACAAAAAAACCAGAGTGTAAGAACACAGACTCACAGTACCTCAATCAATTCCCAGACATGAGCCAGTTTATAGACCCAAAAACCCTTGAATATAGGGGAGGCTGGGTTCCCTCAGGGAGGGGGACACTACTGAAAATTTATACTATTACTCTTTCTCCCAGGCTTCGCCAAAGGGATCTGTGACCCAGGGTAACTGTGCTTTAGGAAAAGGAAGTAATCAGAGGTTTCATGGACTGCTAGACACCGGCTCTGTGCTGACATTGATTCCAGGAGGCCCGAAATGTTACTGTGGCCCTCTAGTCAGAGGCGAGGCTCATAGAGGTGAGCTGATCAGTGGAGTTTTAGCTCGGGTCTGACTCATGGTGGGTCCAAGGGAATAGACATACTTAGAGGCTGGGAGAATCCCCACATTGCTTCCCTAACCTGTGAAGGGAGGGCTATTATGGTGGAAATGGCCAAATGAAAGCCATTAGAGCTGTCTCTACCTAGAAACATAATAAATCAAAAACAATATCCCATCCCTGAAGGGATTGCAGAGATTAGTGCTGCTATCAAGGACTTGAAGACACAGGGGTGGAGATTCCTACCACATCCCCATTCGGCTTATGTATTTGGCCTGTGCCAAAGACAGATGGATCCTGAAGAATCCAGAAGACAGTGGATTATCACAAGCTTAACCAAGTGGTGACTCTAATTGCAGCTGCTGTACCAGATGTGGTTACATTGCTTGAGCAAAATAACACATCTTCTGGTACCTGGTATGCTGCCACGGATCAGGCAAATGCCTTTTTCTCCAACCCTGTCTATAAAGCCCACCAGAAGCAACTTGCTCTCAGCTGGCAAGGCCAACAATACACCTTCACCGTCCTACCTCAGGGGTATATAAACTCTCCAGCCCTTTGTCGCGATTTAGTTTGCAGGGCACTTGATCACCTTATCTTTCCACAAGAGATCATGCTGGCCCATTACATTGATGGTGTTATGCTGATTGGACCTAGTGAAGTAGCAACCACTCTGGGCTTATTTGTAAGACATTTGCTTACATAGAGGGTGAGAAATCTGACAAAATTCAGGGGCCTTCTACCTCGGTGTAATTTCTAGGGATCCAGTGGTGTGGGTGGGGTATCTTGAGATATCCCTTCTATAAGATGAGGGATAAGTTGTTGCATTTGGCCCCTCCTACAACCAAGAAAGAAGCGCATGAACACCTTGGGCTTGTTTGGATTTTAGGGACACACATTCCTCATTTGGGTGTGTTACTCTAGCCCATCTACCAAGTGACCTGAAAAGCTGCTAGTTGTGAGTGGATCCTAGAACAGGAGAAGGCTCTGCAACAGGTCCAGGCTGCTATGCAAGCTGCTCTGCCACTTGGGTCATATGACCCAGCAGATCCATTGGTGCTTGATGTGTCAGTGGCAGATAAGGATGCTATCTGGAGTCTTTGGCAGGCCCCTATAGGTGAACTGCAGCAGATGCCCTTAGAGGGCCTTTTGGAGCAAGGCCTTGCCGTCATCCACAGATAAATACCCTCCTTTTGGGAGGCAGCTCTTGGCCTTAGTAGGACTGGGCCTTAGTAGAAACTGAATGCTTGACCATGGACCACCAATTTACCACATGACCTGAGCTGCGTATCATGAACTGAATGTTATCTGATCCACCAAGCCATAAAGTTGGGCATGCACAGCAGCATTCCATCATCAAATGGAAGTGGTTTATACGTGATCAGGCCTGAACAGATCCTGAAGACACAAGTAAGTTATATGAAGAAGTGACACAAATGCCCATGGTTTCTACTCCTGCTACTCTGCCTTCTCTCTTCCAGCCTGCACCTATGGCCTCATGGGAAATGCCCTATGATCAGTTGACAAAGGAAGAGAAAACCGGGGCCTGCCGTCCAGATGGATCTGCGTGATATGCAGGCTACCTGAAAATGGACAGCTGCAGCGCTATGGCCCTTCTATGAGGCATCCTTGAAGGACAGTAGTGAAGGGAACTCTTCTCAGTTGGCAGAAATTCGAGCAGGGCACCTGGTCATGCACTTTGCTTGGAAGCAGAAATGGCCAGATGTATATAGTTTACTGATTCATGGGCTGTAGCCAATGGTTTGGCTGGATGGTCAGGAATATGGAAGAAACATGACTGGAAAATTGGTGACAAGGAAATTTGGGGAAGAGGTATGTGGATGGACCTCTCTGATTGGGCAAAAGAGGTGAAGATATTTGTGTCTCATGTTAGCAGTCACCAAAGAGTGACCTCGTCAGAGGAGGACTTTAATAATCAAGTGGATAGAATGACCTGTTCTGTAGATGCCAGTCAGCCTCTTTCACCACCCATCCCTGTCTTCATCCCAGAGTCTCATGAATAAAGTGGCCATGGTGGCAGGGATGGAGGTTATGCACTGGCTCAGCAACATTGACTTCCACTCACTGAGGCCAACCTGGCTACAACCACTGCTGAGTGCCCATTCTGCCAGCAGCAGAGACCAACACTGGTGTCCCTGATGTGGCACCATTACCTGGGGCGATCAGCCAGCTACCTGGTGGCAAGTTGCTTACACTGGACCCCTTCCATCATGGAAGAGGCAGTGTTTTTTCCTTACTGGAATACATATTTAATCTGAATATGGATTTGTCTCCCCTGAATGTGATACTTCTGTCAAAACTACCATCCATGGACTCATAGAATGCTTTATTCATTGCCATGGTATTCATACAATATTGCTTTTGACAAAGAAACTCATTTTACAGCCAAAGAAGTGTGACAATGGGCCCATGCTCATGGAATTCACTGGTCTTACCATGTTCCCGTTATTCCGAAGCAGCTGGCTTGACAGAACAGTAGAATGGCCTTTTGAAGTCATAATTACAGAGCCAGCTAGGTGGCAATACCTTGCAGGGCTGGGGCAAGGTTGTCCAGAAGGCTGTACATGCTCTGAATCAGCGTTCAATATGTGGTACTATTTCTCCCACAGCCAGGATTCACAGGTGCAGGAATCAAAGGGTAGAAATGGAGGGAGGTGGGGGGCACCACTCACCCTTATCCCTAGTGACCCACAAACAAAATTTTTGCTTCCTGTTTCCAAGAAGACTTGATGCTCTGCTGGTCTAAAGGTCTTAGTTCCAGAGGGGAGAATGCTTCCACCAGGAGACACAACAATGATTCCACTGAGCTGGAAGTTAAGACTGCCACCCAGCCACTTTGGGCTTCTTGTGCCTCTGAATCAACAGGCTAAGAAGGGAGTGATGGTTTGGGCTGGGATGACTGATGTGGATGACCAGGAGGAAATTGCACTCCTACCCGACAACGGGAGTGAGGAAGAGTATGTCTGGAATACAGGAAAGCTCTTTGGGCCTCTCTTAGAATTATCCTGCTCTGTGATTAAGGTCAATGGGAAACTATGACAACCCAATCTAGGCAGTACTAACAAATGGCCCAGACCCTTCAGGAATTAAGGTTTAGGCCAACCCACTAAGTAAAGAACCATGACCAACTAAGGTGCTTACTGAAGGCAAAGAGAATGCAGATGGGTAGTAGAAGAAGATAGTTATCAATACCAGCTACAAACATGATCAGTTACAGAACCAAGGACTGTAATTGTCATGAGTATTTCCTCCTTGTTTTGTTAAGAATATGTTTGCATGTATATATACATATATTAACAAATATCCTTGTGCTTCTCTTATTTCTTCATCACGTAATATAAGATTTATTGACCTTGTATCAGTAGTTAAGTATTATTAATGTTATATCATACTATTTAAGTTATGAGATATCAAGAGAAGAATAAACATTACCCAAGAACTTTACCTCCTCTTCTGTGGAAGGGATGAGTGCATTTTGGGTTGTATGCAGGATAATTGTATCATGTTTTGCAGAACTATCTTATTGTTATTGTTTTTATTTGGAGATTAAATATGATTTAGGAGATGCAGATGGGTACCAAGTTGACAGGGGGTAGACTTGTGATGGTTAATTTTAGGTGTCCACTTGACTGGATTAGGGAATACCTAGAGAACTGCTAAGCGTGATTTCTGGGTGTGTCTGCGAGGATGTTTCCAGAGGAGATCGGGTTGTAAGTCCATGGACCAAGTGGGGAAGATCCACCCTCAGTGTGGGCAGACACCATCCAATCAACAAGGGCCCAGAGAGAACAAAAAGAGGAAATTCAAATTCTCTCTCTTTTTCTCCTGGAGCTGGGTCACCCTTCTTCTCCTTCCCTTGGGCATCAGAACTCCAGGCTTTCTGGCCCTTGGACTCTAGGACTTGCACCTCCACCCCGCAGAGTTCTCAGGGCCTTCTGCCTCAGTCCGAGAGTTAAACCATCAGGTTCCCTCATTCTGAGGCTGTAGGACTTGGACTCAGCCACACTGTGGGCATCCCAGTGTCTCCAGCTTGTTAGAGAGCCTGTTGTGGGAATTCTTGGCTTCCATTATCACATGAGCCAATTCACCTAATAAATCCCCTGTCACCCATCTCTCTCTCTCTCTCTCTCGCTATCTGTTTATCTACCTACCTATCTACCTATCTACTTGGTTCTGCCTTTCTGGAGAACTCTAATACAGGAGTATATTTGTCTTCTTTCTCTCTTTCTTTCTTTTCTTTCTTTCTTTCTTTCTTTCTTTCTTTCTTTCTTTCTTTCTTTCTTTCTTTTTTTCTTTCTTTCTTTCTTTCTTTCTTTCTTTCTTTCTTTCTTTCTCTTTCTTTCCTTCTTTCTTTTTTTTCTTTTTCTTTTTCTTTTTTTTCTTGAGACAGAGTCTCACTCTGTTGCCCAGGCTGGAGTGTAGTGGTGAGATCTCGGCTCACTGCAACCTCTGTCTCCCAGGTTCAAGAGAGTCCCCTGCCTCAGCCTCCCAAGTAGCAGGGATTACAGGCATTCGCCACCACGCCCAGCTAATTTTTGTATTTTTAGTAGAAACAGGGTTTCACCATGTTGGTCAGGCTGGTCTCGAACTCCTGACCTCAGGTGATCCACCTGCCTCAGCCTCCCAAAGTGCTGGGATTACAGGTGTAAGGCATTGTGCCCGGCCTGTCCTATTTCTTTATTTATTTTTTATACATTTCTTGGAGACAAGGATAGTCTTATTCATCTTTTTTCCCCTGTGAAATGAAGGAATAGAATGATATAAAGCATGACTACTCCCCTCTATTCTGCGTATCACAAACTTAAACAATTTTTATATCAGTTAAATTCTCAGCTTTTCCTTAAATCTGCGGCAGCCCACAGAGAATAATCAGCTATTCACTTATCCCTTATCCTTTCTTTCTTAAGCTATTCACTTATCCCTGATTAAAATGCAGTAAGCAGTGAATGAATGAAGAAATTAATGAATCCTACACTACTTTGTATTACCCCTTATTTTTGCATGGCTAATATGGTCATCCTACCTAAATAGTGTGAGAGTAGAGACTGTGTCTTTCTTTTTCTTCCCATGATATTGAGTCAAAGCCAGAGATAACTAAGGGACCTAGGTAGGCAGGTCTGTGGAGACCCAACCTTGATTTCTATTGTTGTCTGAGGCTTCTCTGGTGTGTTTGAGTTTCCCTATTACTGGACATTTGCCTCTTGTCCTGCCATTAGGTGAATTGGTGGTGCTTCTATGAGTGTGCACGGCTTGGTGATTTAGCCATGAAAAACTAAGTGTACTATGGCTCATTTACATCAGTACTGTATTTTTTGCAAAGTATTAACTTTTATTTTTTAACCTGGGCAAAATGTATGTGAGCTTAAAAAAATTATTTTCTTTATTATTCTATAATTTTGAAATTGTATGCCACTATTTTATTGGTATAAAATATACATAACATTTAGCATTTTAACCATTTTTAAGTGTATAGCTCAGTGGCATTAAGTACGTTGGTACCGTTGTGCAACCATCGCCATCATCCATCTTCAGAACATTTTTATCATCCCAAACAGAAACTCTGTGTCCTTTAAATACAAATTCCCCATTCTTTCCCCCAAGCCCCTGGTAACCACTATCCAGCTTTCTGTTTCTAGGAATTTGACTACTCCAGGTGCCTTGTACCTGTGGAATTGTACAACATTTGTCCTTTTGTAAGTGGCTCACTTCACTTAGCTTAAGGTCTTCAAAGGTGTGTCCTGGTTGTAGCATATATCAGAATTTCCTTCCTTTTTAAGGATGAATAATATTCCATTGTATGTATATTTCACTGATATAGTTTGAATATTTGTCCCTGCGCAAGTCTCATGTTGAAATGTAATCCCCAATGCTGAAGGTGGGGCCTGGAGGGAGGTGTTTGTATCATGGGGGCAGATCCCTCGTGGCTTGGTGCTGTCTTCGAGATAGTGACTTCTCTCAAGATCTGGTTGTTTAAAAGTGCGTGGCATCTCCCCACCCACTGTCTCTCTCTCTCTCTTTCTCTCTTGCTCCTGCTTTCGCCGTACAACTTGCCAGCTACTCCTTCGCCTTCCGCTATGATTGTAAGCTTCCTGCAGCCTCCCTAGAAGCCAAGCAGAACCCAGTACCATGTTTCCTGTCCAGCCTGCAGAACTGTGAGCCAATTAAACCTCTTTTCTTTATAAATTACCCAGTCTCAGGGTGTTTGTTTGTTTGTTTGTTTGTTTTTGAGACATAATCTTGCTCTGTCGTCCAGGCTGGAGTGTAGTGGTATGATCTCGGCTCACTGCAACCTCCACCTCCCAGGTTCAAGCAATTCTCCTGCCTCAGCCTCCCTGGTAGTGGGGACTACAGTTGTGCACCACCATGCCTGGCTAATTTTTGTATTTTTAGTAGAGACGGGGTTTCACCATGTTGCCCAGGTTGGTCTCAAACTCCTGACCTTAGGTGATCCACCCACCTAGGCCTCCCAAAGTGCTGGGATTACAGGTGTGCGCTACCACACTTGGCCTCAGGTATTTCTTTATAGCAATGCAAGAATGGACTGATACCACCACATTTTGTTCATTCATCCTTTAATGAACACTTCGGTTGCTTCCACCCTTTGAGTATTGTGAATAATGCTTCTATTACTGTTTTTAAGAAAGAAGCATATTTACGACGGTGAAATAAACAGATTGTGTTTTGCTGCATAGTTTCAGATAACACTTAGAACATAAATATAAGAAGAAGCAAAAGTAAACGAACCACAAAAATAAAAACAAAACAACTTCAAGTTCAAACTATGAGCATCATTGCTTCATTAAATAATCATTTGCTGAGGGCCCAGGGTGGACCATGCATACACCCCGAGTTTCCAGCCAGCCATGGGAGGCTTCTTCCTGAAGGGGCAGACGAGGCCTAGGGAGTTAGCTGTGACTGTAGGTACGATGTGGTTGGTGCTGCAGGTACATACAAGCAAGGTCTCTGGGTCTTCAGAGGCAGGGAAAGAACACCTCTGACTGATGAGGACTATGAGGAGGGCTCTCAGGAGGTGGTAGACTTTGGCCCAGTGATGATAGGGGTAAAGGAGGAAATTTACTATGGTAAATTCCCAACTCTGCTCTTCTTTGCTAAATCCAAGGTGTATTTTTCTGTTTCTTGGACCTGTTGCAAGGGCTCTGGGTCTCTGTGGTGCACATTACTCACAGCTCTTAAGTGGTCTTCATCCTGCATTTAAGCAATCTTGTTACTTACTCTTGAGTTGCTCTGTCTCCAACAAGTGCCTTGGATTTATTTGCTTGGCATGGTTCTTTTGTGTGTCTCAGGGCAACCAAGCTCTGGTCAGCTTTCTGGAAGAGTTGAGTTGCTTCTCTTGCTGTGATCTGAGGCAGCTCCTGACCCTCTTCCACCCACTGGCTGGACACAGACTTAAGATCCCACTGTCCGTCCAGGGGCAGCCTCTGGTGGAGTGGAGAGTGAGCAGCCCAGCTCCCTGCTGCGGTGCGGCCTTGGGAAAGTTATTCCGCCCCTCCCACCTTCATGTGTAACATGAGAAGACTGGGTGACCTCTAAGGCCCTTTTCTTTTCAGCTCTGTGGCATTTTTTTTTTTTTTTTGAGACAGATTCTTGCTGTGTTGCTCTGGCTGGAGTGCAGTGGCATGATCATGGCTCACAGCAGCCTTGACCTCCTGGGCTGAAGTGATCTCACTTTAGCCCGCCCTTGAGTATAACACCATACCCAGCTAATTTTAATTTCTTCTTTGTAGAAACAAGGTCTCACTATATCACCCAGGCTGGTCTTGAACTCTGGGGCTCAACTGATCGTCCCATCTCAGTCTCCCAAATTTCTGGGATTATAGGCATGAGCCACCACACCTGGCCTTAGCTCTGCAATTTTATGATCACTGTCTTAGTCCATTTGGCATGCTATCACAAAATATCTAAGACTGGGTAATTTATAAACAACAGAAATTTATTGCTAATGGTTCTGGAGGCTGGGAAGTCCAAGGTCACAGTGCCAGCAGATTCCCCGTCTGGTGAGGGCCCATTCCTCATAGATGTCTCCTTCTATGTGTCTTCACATGGTGGAAGGGGCGAACAAGCTCCCTCACACCTCTTTTCTATGAGCACTAATCCCACTCGTAAGGGCAGAGCCTTCATGACCTAGTCACCTCCCAAAAGCCCTGCTCCTTGTCACCACATTGGAGATTAGGTTTTGACACATGAATTTTGGGGAGACACAAACATTCAGACCATAGTAATTGCCCATATTATTGTCACAGGATGAGCCGCAGACAAAACTCCTCAGACACCGAGTTAAAGACGGAAGCGGTTTATTTGGCCGGGGGGCATCAGCAAGACTCCTGTCTCAAGGGCCGAGCTCCCCAAGTGAGCAATTCCTGTCCCTTTTAAGGGCTCACAACTCTAAGGGGGTGCGTGTGAGAGGGTCGTGATTGATTGATCGAGCAGGGGGTATGTAACTGGGGGTTGCATGCACTGGTAATTAGATGGGAACAAAACAGGATATGGATTTTCGCAGTGCTTTTCTATACAATGTCTGTAATCTATAGATAACATAACTGATTAGATCAGGGGTCAATCTTTAACTACCAGGCCCAGGGTGTGGTGCCGGCTGTCTGCTTGTGGATTTCATTTCTGCCTTTTAGATTTTACTTTTTCTTTCTTTGGAGGCAGAAATTGGGCATAAGACAATATGAGGGGTGGTCTCCTCCCTTATTATTAATTACCTCCCTCCAGCACTCTTGGAGTGGATGACTCAGCAGTCTGATCATTTTGCTGTTTTTAAGGAAGCTTGATCTTGTGCCATCATGTGTAGCAAGTATATGTTCAATAGTTGAACAAGCTGACTGTCCTGACCCAGCTGGAGTTAGGCTGAAACTGACTGGATTTCTTCATGCTGTCCTCTTTCAGGGAAGCGGCACAGCACCAGCTAGGCAGAGACGCCCCAGGCCATGTTAGAGCTTTGAGTGAGGCCTGGTAACAGGGAGGCGCTGTCACCTACTGGCCTTGCCAATCCAGCTCCAAGATGCTGAGCCTGAAGCTCCCCAGGCTGTTTAGCATAGACCAGATACCCCAGGTATGTGCTCTATTGATTATGATGGTTCATTTCCAGAGTGTGACCAGGGCTTGGCCTCCGCAATGGGGGGCTGTTGTCTTCACCTAGTCTGTTCTGTACAGGCCCATTCCCTTCAAGGACCCCTTCCCACACTTCCTTGGGGGATATTACAGCCTCCTACTTCCCCCACCTACCTTGAAATGGAAGTATTCCCAAAGTTGTTTAAGTTGTAACCCTTCCTTGCAACATCTGTGTGTTATCCAGAAGCAAAGTCATTACTGAGATTCAACCTGAAGAGATAAAGCCAGCAGCAGCTGGCTGGGTAGGAAGTTTATTTTTTCAGGCCCCTCCTATGGGTGCTTGAAAGCAGGCTATGGGCAAAGGCACACCAGGTCATGGCTTTGCTCATCCCCATTACTTGCAGGATGCCCAGGCCAGGCCTTCACTGGGGCGATGGGGAGGGTTGTTGAATGAGCCTTAGCATTGCCCTTTAGTGGACCCATGGGCCTGGGAGCTCACAGGCAGGTACCCTGAAATATGTGAGACTCACTGATGATCTGCTTTACTAAGCCATAGGTGAGCCTGGTTGTGTGCTACAGAGAACTGGTGCACTTCCTCCTTCTCTTGCAAAGGAAACATCATTGTGTTGCACCCCTTTGTTGATGTCAAATTTCCTTCCTTTTTGACTAAGAAAAGTGGGTGTCATTTCATGGTGGGAAGTTTCTTTGGGAAGATGTGACAGAGTGGAGGAGAGTTCTACTTGGCTTGGCTGATTACCAAGCACTTATGACTTGCCCCAGAAAAATAAGTTTGAAATAAACTCAACATCACCAATGGAAGGTTGAGGGGGAAATTGCCAAACCCTAACCCTAAAAGCCTGTGAAGCCAGGTGATTCCAGGAAGATGGCATGGGGGAAAACCGTAAGTGGTGCAGAGCTGTTTGGTGGGGTGAGCTGAGGAATGTGGCAAGTAATAGGCAAGCTACACGTGTGGCTGTCTCCCATGACACTGGGCAGAGCACCTGCCTCTGTTCTCACAGGGCAATCACCTTCTCCTTTTGGTGCACTTTGCTGGTTGGTTCTACCCATAGAGCATTAGCAGCTGTGATTAGTGGGAACACAGTGTGATTCTTGAATTTATTTACTCATGAAATTTGTATTGACTGCCTACTATGTGCAAGGGATTCAGAGAATAATTACATACAAATCCTGTCCTTGCGTGACTCATATGTTGGTCAGGAAGATTTTTAAATGTGCATGAGAAATTCTTTTCTAAAGTGGGTTAGGGTCTATCTTAAGACAGGGTGATTGTTTCAGAGAAGGGATTGGTCACTTCCATCACGAGGGAGTGTATTAGTCCATTCTCACACTGCTATAAAGAACTGCCTGAAACCTGGTAATTTATAAAGAAAAGAGGTCTAATTGACTCACAGTTCCTCATGGCTGTGGAGGCCTCAGGTAACTTACAATCATGAGGGAAGAGGCACGTCTTACATGACAGTAGGCAAGAGAGAGCATGATGTGAAGGAGGAACTGTCAGACACTTATGAAACCATCAGGTCTCAAGAGAACTCACTCACAGTTTGGGGGACAACACCCCCATGATCCAATCACCTCCCACCAGGTTCCTCCCTTGACATGTGGGAATTATAGGGATTACAATTTCAGATGAGATTTGAATGGGGACACAGAGCCAAATTATATCAGGGAGGAAGTGATCAGGGAAGGCTTCATGAAGGGGGTGATCTGAGGGGTGGACAGGATTGTGGAAGTGGGGAGAGCATTCCAGGTGGAAGGAGCAGTGTGAGCAAAGGCCTAGAGATGGGAGATCATGGGGCAGGTGGTGATGGTGGGGGGACTGGGGAGCGTCTTGGGGGTAGAGGTTATGGGAGTCTGCTTAGATATCTTTCTGGACATTTTGGTCAGGGTTGGATTCAGAGTATGTCCGCAGGAAAGAAGTGAAGGGGGCAGAGTGGTATCAATAGGTCCTTTGGGTAACCTGCTGGGAATCTGAATGTATGGAGATTCTGAATGTCAGGGCTGGACAACCCTGGCAGAGGCTAAGGGAGAAAGATGAACATGTCCTCTCTGTCCAGTTTTTCGTAAGTTAGAGGATGATGATATCTTTAGTGAAATGGCACTAGCTAGAGGCAGAAGACCAACATCACACTTTGCAGCCACCGTTTGCTTCAAAATCTGCCTTGGGCTCCAGCATCCACTATTGGGTTTTTGGGCATCATGCCCAGGGTTCATGAAGCCATAGAGAAAATATAGTGGCTCTGCCTGCCTGGAGGGTAGTTTTACCTGAGGATTTGGGGGCAAAGACATTTATTAGTATTAAAACAGATGCACAGGTATTAAAAATGGAATGCACAATTTACATGAATATTTAAAATAGGATACTTCATACAATTGTTAAAGCTTACCTTTGGTGGGATCTGTGGGTTCCAATACTTGGTTTTTAGAGTGGCCTCAAGCAAGATAATCTCTCTACCTCAGCTTTGGCTTCTGTAAAATGGGAATGACAACAGTATCTGCCTCCTGGGGTTGTGAGAATTAAATGAGATAACCCAAGTGAAGTGCCTGGCACGTGGTGAACAATTAATAATGTTGGTTGTCATTATTAGCATTCTCTCCTAGGCTCTTTAGGGCACTTTGAGGGGTAGAGCATGCTGGCAGGAGACTTCAGAGGCCCTGTCCATAGACTCGAACCCCGGCTCCCTCGCCTGCTGTTCACCACCTTCACCAGCCTGATCCCTCCCCACCTCTTCCACCACGTCCCATCCACAGACCCTCTTCTCTTTATTCTCCCCAGGAGATGCAACCTTCACTTGTCTTGATTTCTGTTTGAAGAAGGCTTTCCTCTCCCCAACCTTTGCTCCCCCTTTGTGACTTCCTTTTTTATGGAGTGGCAGGTGCCTGCTCCCTTCCCCGAGCTCCTTCAGCTGTTGGTTGTACCTCTACAAGCTGCTCTGTACAGCTGCCTCTCCTTTTGTGTATCAGCCAGCTATGTGACCTGGGCCACTTCACTACCCTGTCTGGGCCTCAGCCATCTATAGGGAATGGTGTGCCCACCTCTCTGCATCATCAGAGTTGTAATCCTGGTCCATTCTTGGTGCATTCCTGGCTGATAGATTGTTCATGGAAAAGGGCAGTTTCTCTCTTCCCTCAGAAGGCAGAATTTGTGTGTATGCCTCATAATATTTAGTCTCCCTTGTGTCCAAAACTAAGCTTGGGTACATCAGAGGGTCATTAAAGATGTGAACAAAACCTCAAGGAATGGAATAATTATCTAGATGTTGATTCTTACACAGACCCCTTTAGAGACAAAACAGAGAGGCCTAGAAAAAAGACAACAAGTTCATATGCAACATGGCGTGACACTTTGCCAGGAAACAAGAACATCGAGTGTCAAATTGCTAATCTGTTTTTTGTTTTTGTTTTTTTTTTTTTTTGAGACAGAGTCTTGCTCTGTCACCCAGGCTGGAGTGCAGTGGCACTATCATGACTCACTGCAACCTCCGCCTCCCAGGTTCAAGCGATTCTCCTTCTCCTGCCTCAACCTCTCAAGTAGCTGGGACTACAGGTGCACGCCACCATGCCCAGATACTTTTTGCATTTTCAGTAACAACAGGGTTTCACCATGTTGGCCAGGCTGGGTCTCGAACTCCTGACCTCAAGTGATCCGCCTGCCTCAGCTTCCCAAAGTTCTGGGATTACAAGTGTGAGCCACTGAACCCAGACAAATTGCTAAGCTTTAAATAACTACAGCCTTGACTCACAGGCTACAGGTAAACACATCCCATAGTCCCAGATGCCTTAGTTTAGGGGCATGGACAGGAGGATTCCCTGAGGCAGTGGTCTACACAGAGAGGAAAAGCAACGCCGTTTCCAGACTTGCACTGCAGCTCTGCCACACAGTCATAAACTTAGTCTCAGTGTTCTTATCTGTAAGATGGAAGTGACTCCTGTTAAGTCAGTCTCACAGGGCAATTGTGAAGATCCAATAAAAATGAAATAGAACAGTGGGATTATTATGAATGAAGGAAGCACAGCCAGATCAGTGTCTGGCATAGGTGTTTGGTAGGTGGGCTCAGGCACTGGGAACAAGGAGCCATCTCAACAGGTAAATGGTTTCTCCAGCCCAGTGCTATTCAGAGAGAGTGCTTAGATCACCAATGTCAGAATTACCTGGTAGCTTATTAAAATATGATAGAAGCAGGGCTCGGTGGGTCACACCTGTAATCCTAGCACTTTGGGATGCCGAGGTGGGTGATTTTAAAGCAATCACCATTCTGTCTCCAAAAACAAAACAAAACAAAACAAATATATATATATATTATATACATGTAATATATATTATATATGTAATATATATACATTATATATGTTATATATATACATTATATATGTAATATATATACATTATATATGTTATATATATATAACGAGTTGTGATAGCAGGCATCTTTGTATTGTTCTTGGTTTTAATGAAAAGAAATGCTTTTAACATTTCACCATTTAATATGGTTGCTGTGTGTGTGTGTGTGTGTATAAGTAATCTTTTCATCTTTATCAGATTAAGGGTATCACTTCATATTCTAGTTTGCTAGGATTTTTTCCCTCATAATTTTTTTTATTTTTTTGGAGATGGAGTCTTGCTCTGTTACCCAGGCTGGAGTACAGTGGCAAGATCTCGGCTCACTGCAACCTCCGCCTCCCAGGTTCAAGCAATTCTCTGCCTCAGCCTCCCAAGTAGCTGGGATCACAGGTGTCCGCCACCACACCAAGCTAGTTTTTGTATTTTTAGTAGAGATGGGGTTTCACTATCTTGGCCAGGCTGGTCTTGAACCCCTGACCTCGTGATTCACCTGCCTTGGCCTCCCAAAGTGCTGGGATTACAGGCGTGAGCCACCGCATCTGGCCTTCCCTTATGAATTTTATTTTATTTTATTTTATTTTATTTTATTTTATTTTATTTTATTTTATTTTATTTTATTTTATTTATTTATTTAGAGACAGAGTCTTGCTTTGTCACCCAGGCTGGAGTGCAGTGGCGCAATCTCGGCTCACCGCAACCTCTGCCTCCCAGGTTCAAGCGATTCTCATGCCTCAGCCTCCCAAGTAGCTGGGACTACAGGCAAGTGCCACCATCCCTGGCTAATTTTTGTATTTTTTAATAGAGATGGGGTTTCATCATGTTGGCCAGGCTGGTCTCAAACTCCTGACCTCAGGTGATCCACCTGCCTCAGCCTCCCAAAGTGCTGGGATTACAGGCGTGAGCCACCGTGCCCAGCCTCCTTTATGAATTTTATAGAACTCTTTATTCCTATCATCTTTTGAGATGATCATATATGATTCATTTAAGTTGTTAGTGTGGTGATACACTGATTAATTTGCTAATGTTAAACCAATTTTTTGTTTTTGGTTTAAATACAGCTTGATTGTGATAGATCTCTTTAATCTATTGCTAGAGTCAGTTAGCTAATATTTTGTTCAGGATCTTTAAGTCTATTAATGAGTTGGCCTATAATGTTTTCTTCTTATGCTGTCCTTGCCTGGACTTGGGATTCAGGTTACGCCAACCACAAGTGAGTTGGAGATTGCTGCCTATTTATTCTATGGGGAAAAATATCTAATATTAGAATTATACATTCCCGAGTAGTTGGTAGAATTTGTCTGTGAAATTACCTGGGCGGAGCCACCATATTGCCCAACTCTAAGGGGGCACCATTTCCCTTTTAGTCTACGTGAATGGCAACCTCTGGAGTTATGCAGGGAACAACTTGGCCCTACAGCTGAATTTTCTTGATGGAAAGATTTTTTTATAACAGCCTAGTTGAGACACAATTCACATATTATAAAATCCACCCTGTAAAAGTGTACAATTCAGTGTTTTAGTTTGTTGAACACAGAGTATATTGCACAAAACCATCACCATGATCACCAGTTTTTAGAACATTTTCATCACTCCAGAAAGAACTACACCCGTTAGCAGCCATTTTCTATTCCCTTAGTTCCTGGCAACCACCTAACCTACTTTCTGTCTGTATGGATTTGCCTATTGTGGATATCTCCCACAAATGGGATTGTGCAAATATGTGGCCTTTTCTGACTGCCTTCTTTCACTTAGCAGGATGTTTTCAAGGTTCATCTATGCTGTAGCATCTATCAGTACTTTGTTTTAATGGCCAAATCATAGTCTATTGAATGGATATACCATAGTTTGTTTATCCATTCATTAGTTGATGAACAGGTGAGTTGTTTCTATTTTTTGGATATTATAAATATGCTGCTGTGAACATTCATGTACAAGTCATTTAGGTGGACAAGTTGTCAGTCTCTTTGGTGTACAACCCAGGAGTGGAGTTGCTGGATCATATGGTAACTCCATGCTTCCAAGTATATGGAGTTTTTATACTACTGATTTAACTTAATTGATCTTGGTCTGAGAATGCCCCCTGTATTATTCCAATCCTTGACGTTTGTTCAGACTAGCTTGATGGCCTAGCACATGAATAATTTTCATACATCTTCTAAGTGTGCCGATAAATAATGTATAGTCTCCAGTTGTTGGAGGAAGTATTCCATATTTGTCCATAAGATCAATTATCTTTATATTTTTACCAATTTTGTTCTACTTGATCTATGCATAATTGAGATGTGTTAAAAAATCTTCCACTATGGTGGCAAATTTGTAAATTACTTCTTGTAAGTTAATTTTTACTTTACGTATTTTGAGCCTGTGTTTTTTAGGTATATCCAAGTTTATAATTGTCCTATTTTCTATCTTCCCGATGTTGCAAAGGTATGATTTTGTAGTGATTATCTTTATATCTAGTAATGCTTTTTGCCTTGGAATGCATCCGATATTAATGTAACTACTCTAGCTTTTGTTATCATTTGTTTGGCTTATCTCCTTCCTTTGACTTTCAATCCTTCCCCATGATTATATTTTAGCTGTGTCTTGTGTAAACAGCACATGGTGAGATTTTATTAGTTTGACAATATTTGTTTTTTAGCTGACAGTTTAGTCTACTTATATTTATAATGATTACTGATATCCACATTTATTTTCATTGTCTTAAATGCTTTTGTCTTGTTTTCTCTATTTGTTCCTTGTTTCCCTTACTTTCTTTGGATTGAGTTTTACATTTCTCTTTTTTTTTCTTTTCATATGCTATTTTTCCCTTCCACCTGTTTTATAATTAATGTGTTAGAAATATGCTCTGCGTGGATTAGTTTAGTGGTCACTTCAGCTATTTTAACATGAATAGCTGTACTAGACAGGGTCAGGCTATGCTGAGTTAAAAATTACCCCATATAGCTCGGTGACTTAACATAGCAAAGGTTATTTCACATCACACTACATAGCTAAGTGGTCAGTGAGGGACTGAGACACCCAGGCAGCCATCTCCTGGCTGCCCCCTCTGCAACGTGCAGCCTCCAAGGTCATCCCAGAAGGGGAAGCCAGGGTCTACAGCAATACCACCCTGAACACACCTATCTTGCCTGATCTCAGAAACTAGGCAGGGCTGGGCCAGGTTCAAGCTTGGATGGGAGAAGAAGAAGAGAAAGTTAGTTTCCCTAGAAACAGACTTTGAGAAAAAGATTCGGGCACAGAAAGTTTATGGGGGAGTATTCTCAGGAACAACCCCTGCAAGGATGTGAAGGAGGCGGGATTGTGCAGAAGGAGAAGCTGCGTTAGAAACCTCCACCAGTCACTCAGGAGCTCTGGAAGTTAGTGGGCCTTTCAGAGTTGTCCCAAATGGGAAAAGGAGGCTAGGACCTTGATCTGTCATCAGTGGATGTACACAGCCCCTGGGGAGGAGTATAACTAGTGCCCGTTGGCCAAAAACAATTCCCATGGCATGATGAGTGGCTCAGTTCGGAAGAGTCCTTCCGAAAGGTCCTTCAGAAGTTTGTAGTGATATCTGCAAGAAGGCTTTCTGCTTTTTTTTTTAGACCAAGTCTTGCTCTGTAGCCAAGGCTGCAGTGCAGTGGCACTATCTTGGCTCACTGCAATCTCCGCCTCCCAGGTTCAAACAATTCTCCTGCCTCAGCCTCCTATATAGCTGGATTACGGGCATGCACCACCACGCCTGGCTAATTTTTGTATTTTTAGCAAAGATGTGGTTTCACCATGTTGGCCAGGCTGGTCTCGAACTCCTGACCACAGGTGATCTGCCTGCCTTGGCCTCCCAAAGTGCTGGGATTACAGGCATGAGCCACTGTGCGTCTGCTTTTAACTCTTCTGGCCTAGAAGTAACATTAACTGGAAATAGTCACATGGCCCCAACCTAACTTTGAGAAAGTCTGAGGAATGTAGGAAAGCACATGTAATATTTGGTGAACACCAACTGTCTACTTAACCTCTTGGATCTGAAAACTGATGACTCAATAATGCTAGAAATGTATCAGTTATTTCTTCAAATAGCACATCAAAACCATTTATATCTTCTCCTTCTGGAGAAATGTTCTCTGTGTCTCTTATTAGCTTTTTCATATTTTCTATCTATTACTCTCTCTGGACTGCATTCTGGGTACTTTCTTTGGATCTTTCAGTTGACTAATTTTCTCTTCAGACAGGTCTGGTGTATTATTTATTCCTTTGATGTATTTTAAATTTCAATTATTTTTTAATTTCTAAAAGTTATATTAGGCTCTTTTTTTTGAGACAGGGTCTTGCTCTGTCACCCAGGCTGGAGTGTCATGGTGCAGTCATGGCTCACTGTAGCCTTAAACTCTTGGGCTCAAGTGATGCTCCTGCCTCAGCCTCCCCAGTAGCTGGAACTACAGCTGTGCTCCACCATACCCAGCTAATTTTTTAAAAAAATTTTGTAGAGATGAGGGTGTCTCACTGTGTGGCCTAAGCTGGTCTTAAACTCCTGGGCTCAAGAAATCCACCCACCACGGCCCCCAAAGTTTTGGCATTACAGGGTTGAGCTACTATGCCCAGCCTGTTCTTTTCAAATTGGCTTGTTTCCTGTTTATCTTTATTTCTTTAAATATATTAAACACAGTTATTTTATATTTTAATATTTGTTCTTTGATCTCTATCTCTGCCGTCTACTGTTTCTGCTGTTTCTCACTCATGGTGTTTTCTTTCCCTATGTGTGCATGCCTGTGTTAAAGTAGAAATCCGGCTGGGTGTGGTGGCTCACGCCTGTAATCCCAACACTTTGGGAGGCCAAGGCAGGTGGATCACCTGAGGTCAGGAGTTCGAAACCAGCCTGACCAACATGGTGAAACCCTGTCTCTACTAAAAGTACAAAAATTAGCAGAGCCTGGTGGCATGTGCCTGTAATCCCAGCTACTCAAGAGGCTGAGGCAGAAGAATAGCTGGAACTCAGGAGGCAGAGGTTGCAGTAAGCCAAGATAACACCAATGCACTCCAGCCTGGGTGACAGAGCAAGATCCTGCCTCAAGTTAAAAAAAAAAAAAAGTAGAAATCCTTCAGAGAGGATTTGTGTTTGCTTTTGTTACTTACCTGAGGGAACTACAAAATTTTAACCTCTTTCTATTTGTAATCACTTTAATTTTTTCACTTGAGATTTCCTGGACCACAAAAATAGTAGGGGCATGGACCACAAACCTATATGAAGACTAGCTGATGGTTATGAATTTTGGGAGAGATTTTTTTTTTTTTCAGAGAAACAACTTTCCTTATCGTCCTCTTCTGGCTGGTTGAATTTATTTCACACTCACTTATCTTTAGACTCCTAGCTTTATTGGCAAAGTCTCGTATTAGATTCCCTGCCTTTGGTGGGCCTTGGGTTTCATCTCTTGTTTACAAAATCTGGCAGCAGAGACTCTGATGGTGAATGCAGCTTACCTCACAGGGTTCCTGGTTTCCCTCTGTTTTGGGGCTTTGTGACTTCTTTACTTTTGTGTGATTTTTGCTGATACACTGGCTTATGATGCATACTCCAGACAGCATATTAATTGCATTAATCAGAAAGATCCTTCATAACATCTAATCGACCATCATTCGGCCAGAACTGGAGTGCCCCAGCCATTCTTCCATGACAGCATTTCTATAAAACATGTTTGTAGCAATCCTTGGTTCCACCAGCTGGGTGCTGTGAAGCACACAGGAGTTTTGCAGTTTAAGACTAGGGTTTGCATCTTGGTTCTGCTATTTATTATGGCCTTGGGAACTTCGTCTCACTGAGCTGCAGTTTTCTTATTTGTAAAATGGGTCGACAGTCCTTGTCTTGCCATGCTCTCATGATGAACAAAAGAAACCAGACCTGCCCTTAACAGATGCTAAGTCTGAATAAGGAGGACAAATGCAGGCCATAGGCTATATGTCTAAATACTTAAAAGTTATAAATGAAGCCAACAAACAGTTATGTAAAGTGGTTCTATTCTACCTTAACAAATCCCCCTTTATTTTATTATTTACTTATTTATTTATTTATTTTGAGACAGAGTTTCGCTCTTGTTGCCCAGGCTGGAGTGGAATGGCGCGATCTTGGCTCACTGCAACATCTGCCTCCCAGGTTCAAGCGATTCTCCTGCCTCAGCCTCCCGAGTAGCTGGGATTACAGGCACCTGCCACCACGCCTGGCTAATTTTTTGTATTTTTAGTAGAGGCAGAGTTTCACCGTGTTAGCCAGGATGGTCTCAATCTCCTGACCTCAGGTGATCCACCCGCCTTGGCCTCCCAAAGTGCTGGGATTACAGGAGTGAACCACTGTGCCAGGCCTGACAAATGCCCCTTTATAAGGACAGAAAAAGTGAAACTCTGATTTTTATATAGCTAAAGTCAGCAAAATATGAAAAAGAACTGAGTTTAATTATTATCGCACATGTCTAAATGTTACATTGATGAATTACTTATGTTTGAAAGAGTAATAAAACAAAAACATGCATAATTTATAAATTATTACGTGTTTATTCCATATAATTTATTTTATTTCTTCATTTCAGCAAAGTTGAGTTATAGTGTTGTAATCGACATTATCATATAATTTGTGGTCTATTGACAATGATGTTAAATTAAACCACTATTCCTGAGTCATTGTAGTTCTTAGTTTTGTTTCTTAAATTAATTTCATTTAGGAGAAACTTCTGCTGAGATTCCATTCAGTTTTATTGAGGTAGAACAGCTGGAATTACAAAAAAATAATTCTTAAGTCCACATTTTGAATCAGAAATGAATTATACATTTTTTCTTTTTTTAATTGAAGCCAGTTTGAGCAAGAAAATTATAAATTTTTCATATGAAGTTCAAACATTGTAATGAGGCTGCAGCATATGATAATTATATTAAGCAGAAAAATTATTAAATATTTTAATTCCATATAGATTACCATCTCATCGTGCTATCTTTACTCCCTCAAAGTAATATCTAGATTAGTATTCATCTATTTTATTAAGAAAAGTATATTAGAAAGAGATAATATAAAGAAAACTGAAAACAGTAGGGTTTTACTTAGTCAAAATTACACCTCAGTCTACAGTGTCCGGAGAAATAATCCCTACAGAAGTTAATTTCAGGATGATTTGTACGTGAATCTTCTCTTCACAGTCCAGAGACATTTTTGTTTCCTTTTTTGGATTTTATCTGATTGGAAAGTCACCTTTATTATGCATTTTATGTGCGACTCCTTTGGTTTAGAAAAGTCCTATACATATTTAAAATAATAAATACGTATTTTTAATCCCTTTAAAAATGGAATAGCCAAACCTAGATTTTTTTGTAGGCTTTTGCTAACATTATCTCATAACAAATATCAGTTGAGAGCTCAAATTCAAAATTGATGTTATTTCCTATGAAAAATAGAATTTTCTGTTACACTGATTTCTTCTCATCGTCCTATATCTTACCTAAATCAAATCTAAGCGTTTAACAGCATGGATTTGTTATTCTCATTGTGTGAATGAGAGGAGTTAAGGTCAAATTTGGTATGTGTTTCAGCAAGATGTCCCATTTGAGAGAAGATTCAGAGAATGTCATACATAATCTTTGAACTATTCCATAGAAAATCTAATTGACAGCCTAATCAATTTTAGTAAGCAATTCAAACCATGTGCTACCACACCCAGCACTAAGAATACTTTCAAGCCACCTTACATGTTCGGCCAGAAGAAATTTACCATTGTCTTCTGTAAATATTGTGCTGCACGTAAAAAAAGCATTCTTTGGCCAGGCGCGGTGGCTCATGCCTGTAATCCCAGCACTTTGGGAAACCAACACAGGTGGATCACTTGAGGTCAGGAGTTCAAGACCAGCCTGGCCAACATGGTGAAACCCCATCTCTACTAAAAATACAAAATTCACTGGGCATGGTGGCACATGCCTGTAATTCCAGCTACTCAGGAGGATGAGGCAGGAGAATCACTTGAATTCGGGAGATAGAGGTTGCAGTGAGCCAAGATCGTGCCACTGCACTCCACCCTGGGTGACAGAGTGAGACTCTGTCTCAAACAAAACAAAACAAAACAAAAAGCATTCTTATGCTTGACTGAATATTGAACACATTATTTTTTGAAAACCATCACACCACTGTTGTAAGTTGGCATTTTCCTGTAATTGTTTCATACCAGCAATGGCTGGCTATTAATTCAGCCTATTTAAAGTTCTAGTAATTGCATGTGTGTTGTGTGTAAGCGATGTTTTATGTTCTTTTAATTGAAAGCCCAATCACTTCTCCTAGTAAGCAATTCAAACCACATGCCACCATACTTAGCACTAAGAGTACTTCTGGATTTTCGGTGAAATTCTGATCTTGCATTAGTTTTCTGTTACTGCTGTAACAAATTACCACAAACTCAGTGGCTCAAAAAACAAACAAACAAATATATGATCTTACAGTCCTGTAGGTTACAAGTCTGACATGGGTCTCACTGGGTAAAATCTAGGCTTTGGTGGATGCTGTTGGGGAGAATGTCTCCTTACCTTTTCAGCTCCTAGAGGCTGCCTGCTCTCCTTGGCTCCTGGCCCCTTCCTCCATCTTCACATCAGCAATGTTGCATCTCTCTGACCTTATTCCATAGTCACTTTTTCCTCTGAGTCTCTTCTTCTGCCTCCATCTTCCATTTTTAAGGACCTTTTGATTATACTGGGCCGACCTCGGTAAACAGAGAATCTCCCTATTTTAAGGTCAGTGGATTAGCAACTTTAATTTCACCTGGGACGTTGCTGCCCCTTTGCTGTGTAACCTAATAACCTAATATATTCACTGGTTCTGGCAATTAGGATGTGAACATTTTTGGGGAGCCATTATTCTGTCTACTGTAGAGTTAGCAACCATGTTATACTATTATCACAAGCTTGCCTATGGCAGCTTTTGAAATCAATGCCTAAAACTGAAAATAGTTTTTCTACTTCTTAAATCAAAGACTGCATTTTTACAACAAATGTAAAACCAGCGGAATTGCTCTGTTATTTCAACTTTCTTACTTTCTTCTGCTGTAGATCAATACGTCTATAATGCTAGTCATTCAATGGGACTTTTCTTCTCTAGCACACACTACCTGAGTTCTGTTTACTTTTCTTTTTTCGAGTCAGAGTCTCGCTTTGTTGACCAGGCTGGAGTGCAATGGCACAATCTCGGCTTACTGCAACCTCTGCCTCCCAGGTTCAAGTGATTCTTCTGCTTCAACCTCCAGAGTAGCTGGGACTACAGGCACGCTCTATCATGTCCCACTAATTTTTGTAGTTTTAGTAGAGATGAGGTTTCACTATGTTGGCCAGACTGGTCTCGAACTCCTGACCTCAAGTGATCTGCCCACCTCAGTCTCCTAAAGTGCTGAGATTACAGGTGTGAGCCACTGTGCCCAGTGCTATTTACTTTTTAAAAACATTTTGTGTATCTTTTTTTACTTTATTGTCCATTAAATTATTAATACTCTTTGGTTCCTCCATCCCTGATATTCATCATTTATTTCATTAATTTTTATCCGTCTTACATGTTCAGCCAGAAGAGACTTCTTCTGTAAATATTATACTGCATGTACAAAAAGCATTCTTATGCTTGACTGAATATTGGACATGTATTTTTAAAAAACATCACAGCAATGTTGTAAATTGGCATTTTCTTGTAATGGTTTCATATCAACAATGGTTGGTTATTAATTCAGCCTATTTAAAGTTCTAGTAATTGCATGTGTGTGGTGTGCAATTGTTGTTTTATGCTCTTTTAATTGAGAGCCTAAGTATTTCTGTCCTATGGGAACTAAGCATGGTCCTGCAAGGGATGTGGCATACTGTCCAACCTAGAGCCTGGTGCACCGCAGGTACCCAGGAAATGATAGGTTATAATTGCTGCAGCAAGGCCGGGCACAGTGGCTCACGTCTGTAATCCCAGCATTTTGGGAGGCCAAGGCTGGTGGATCACCTGAGATCAGGGGTTTGAGACCAGCCTGACCAACATGTTGAAACCCTATCTCTACTAAAAATACAAAAATTTAGCTGGGCATAGTGGCATGTGCCTGTAATCCCAGCTACTCAGGAGGCTGAGGCATGAGAATCACTTGAACCCAGGAGGCAGAGCTTGCAGGGAGCCGAGATCGCGCCACTGCACTCCAGCCTGGGCAACAGAGTGAGACTCTGTCTCAATAATAATAATGATAATTGCTGCATCAATGCATGGCCTCCCCCTTTTCCCTCCCATTCTTCCCCTGCCCTCTGCCAGCAAACACCTCATCAGACTCCCCGCTAGCCTCTAACTATTCCCTGTCCTGGCTTTCCCTGTCACCATGTCCCTCTTACATACAAGGAACTTCCTCTTCTGTAGGGAACTGGATTCTGGGCAGGGAGGTGACAGCACGATGCTGGGGTGGGAGTCCGGCTTTGAAGCCAGAGGCAGTTGCAGCATCAGCAGGCCCTGGGAGCTGGTTAGAACTGCAGACTCTCGCCCCAGCCACCACACTGCAGTAAGGTGCCCAGGTGATCTGCACACACTTGCAGAAGAAAGTTTCAGAGGCACTGGCTTGCATAACCTCACCGCTCATATTAGTTTGCTAGGGCTGCCATAACAAAATACCACAGACTGAGTGGTCTAAACAACAGAAAGTTATTTTCTCGCAGTTCCGGAGACTGAAAGGTGTTCAAGATCAAGGTTTGGACAGGGGCAGTTTCCTCCAAAGCCTCTCTCCTTGGCTTACAGATGGCCACTCTCTTGCTGCCTCTGCACAGAGTCACCACTCTGTGGGTGCTCATCCCTGGTGTCTCTCTGTGAATTCAAATTTCCCCTTCTTGTGAGGGACACCAGGCAGATTGGATTAGGACCCACCCTAATGGCCTCTTGAAAGATCTTATCTCCGAATGCAGTTGCATCTGAGGTCCTGGAGGTTAGGACTTTAACTTAACAGATGAATTTTGGGAGGGACACAGTTGCCTCCCAGATTTAGTTCATAATGGCACTTTAACGAAGAAGAATCTAAGGCTCAGAGAAGTATGTCACAGTCCAAAATCATAGTACAGGCCAGGCGATAAGGGTTTTATCTCTCGACAGAGCCCTCCCCAGGCGGAGCAATGAAGGACAGTGCACAAGAGGACAGGAAATGGAGTGTGCTGTTTGCATTGAGGTTTCAGCTTTGCTTCCGTTACTTTTGAGAACTTGAATAAATGCCCTAACCTCTCCAGGCCTCAGTTTCCTTTTCTGTGAAATGAGACAATAAAAGGCTCTTCCTCACAAGCTGGTTGTGAGGATTCCGTGAGCAGGAATTGCAGAATTCATGTGAATAGCGCCTGAGGTCCCCTGATCCTACTCTGCCTCTTCTCTTTCCCTGCTATCCAAATCTGCCATTATTTACTGCTGGCCAAAAATGCCCAGTGATTTTCCCCAGGTGGTTTGCAGTTTAATAGCTAGAAAAACCAAAGGCTTGAAACTGTCACGGTAGAATTGTAGGCATTGGCTAGCAGGTGCATGCAAGTCTTGGCCATGCAAGAAGGCTTTCCTGGATGCTGAGCTTGAGGCAGGAACTGAAAGGGAAAACTTGCTGATGTGCCCTTCTGCTCCTAGTTCCTGGAGGTTCTCTCTTCTAAATAGGCTGCATATGATTTGATTTCATTTCACTCTAAATTGCTCAGCCTGCAACTAGGGGTGCAAGGTGGAGTCCTACAAATCAATTCTGCTGTGCAAATAAGCAGGCACCTGCTTACTTGGGGGTGCTTAGAAATGAGGCCAAGCTACGAAGTGTTGAGGAAATGATTGCAGTTTTCCTTTGGGGTCAAACTGGGTTTAGAATACAAAATTGTCTTCAAATATTAGTTTGTCCTTTCAATGTATGTACCATGCGTTTTATGAAGGTCTGCTCTATGCAAAACACTTTGCTAAGGCTAGAGTGGGAAGACGGAGAGAATGTTTCTTCTTTCCTGTGCTCACAGGAGCTCAGAGCAGGAGTGCAACTAAGACCTAGTAATAGGGTTCCATAGACAGAGGTTCAAGTTGGGGAGGGCAGGGCAGGTCAGTCCTCTTAGTCTAAGCTGGAACATCATTGTCCTGGGACAGAGGGACTCCTTTTATTATCCTGTATCCGTCCATTTATTTTTTTGGAAAGGCTGCTTTAAATCTTGCCCCTATTACGTGGCCAATATTGGGCTTCCCATCCTTGTCTGGGGTCAGCATAGCAGGTCAGATGGAGGCAGGTTTTTTTAATCTGGGCTCAGCCCTGGCTTTGGTGGCAAAATATCCTCCCCAGGTCTGGGGCCAGATTCCTAAATGAGGTCAAGTTGTCCAATGTATGGATTTCCCTTCTGTTCCCCGCTGGCTTTTGACGACGTCAGTCCCCCTAGTTTTGCCTGCCAGAATGCCAGGATCCACAGAGAGAAGGGAAGTAGTCACAAACTGTGAGTGGCCTTTTCCTCTAGCTTCTGTCCAGCCACTGCCACTGTGGCTGTCACGGGGTCTGTGCTCTCCTGCAGCCCTACCCAGCCTTCTCCCTGCAGGTCACCGCCCCCACATGTCCAGTGCTCTGAAATGTTTCTGCTCTCACTGGTCCCTTGTCACAAAGTCTCTTGGTTTATAGGATCTGCTAGTCTAATTCATATGAATGAGTAAATAATGATTAATGGAGTCTGCATTGGAACCAGTGGCCAGTGCTTTAATTAATAATTATAAAACAACAACTTAAAAGGAAGAGAGAAAGAAGCTTGAAAGGTAGAAGGATAGACCCAGTGTGGAGCTCCTGGGAGCTGTTATTTCTGCTAGAAGGCTTTCCGAGTCCTGCCAAGCACGTGCCGTCCTCCTCCACAGGATCAAAGGCTGAAGGCCATTGGCCTATTTGCCTCCTTGTCATCAGCCTTAGTGGGGTGGAAATCTGCAACTCAAGATTCCTGCTGCCCGTTACAGGAATCTGTCCACCATAAACCGGGGATGTCAGCAGAATTGAATGGTGAATCAAAAACTGGAACAAATCATTTTAATTACCTAAGACCCAAACCTAATTCACAGTATTTCTTCACTAGACCATGAATCAACTTCATTTTATCCCCTCCCTCTAGTTGAGCAGTTCAACCCAGAACTGAACTAAGAGTTGTCTAAAACTTGGAGCTACTGCTGGAAGGGAATGTGCTGACCATTCAGCTAGCCAAGCCCTCTCATTTTACACAGAGGCCCTGAGAGCTGTGACCCAGGGCTTCAGCTGCACTTAAACGCTTCACTTTTCTCAAGGCCACATGGCACCTCGGGGACCCAGATTTGACTCATTACTCTGGCAGCCCCTCACCTTCTGCACTGTTCCATGTGACTGCTTGACTTGGAACCCCAAGAAATAGCACAAGGCTGGGCACAATGGCTCACACCTCTAATCCCGGCACTTTAGGAGGCCAAGATGGGAGAATCACTTGAGCCCAGGAGTTCAAGATGAGTCTGGGCATCATAGTGAGACCCTGTCTCTGCAAAAAATAAAAAATTAGGCTGGGCGTGGTAGCTCATGCCTGTAATCCCAGCACTTTGGGAGCCCGAGGTGGGTGGATCATTTAAGGTCAGGAGTTTGAGACCAGTCTGGGCAACATGATGAAACCCTGTCTCTACTAGTAATACAAAAAATTAGTCGGGCATTGTGGCATGCGCTTGTAATCCCCGCTACCCGAGGGGGCTGAGGCAGGAGAATCGCTTGAACCCAGGAGGCAGAGGTTTCAGTGAGCCAAGATAACAACACTGCACTCCAGCCTGGGCAACAAAATGAGACTCCATCTTAAAAAAAAAAAAAAAAAAAAAAAAAATTAGCTGACCATGGTGGCACTCCTGTAGTTCCAGCTACTCAGGTGGCTGAGGTGGGAGGATCATTTGAGCCAGGAGTTTGAGGCTGCAGTAAGCCATGATTGCACCACTGTACTCCAGCCTGGGCTTCAGATCAAGACCCTGTCTCAAAAAAAAAAAAAAAAAAAAAAAGAGAGAGAGAGATAGCACAGACTCTGGTATATATTGTACATTTTTTTAACAGAGAACCTCTCTTACACTAAGAAATTGATACCCCAAATGAGAAATGGGTGGCTAGATTGAAGTTCCTCTAGCCTTCCCCTCACAGCCCTAGAAATTCAAAGGAGAGGGTTTGCAACTTATTGTGACCTGATTTAGATTATGATTACTAATATTATCATTGTTATTATTTGCTTCAATTACCCTACTCATTTATAATTTACGTTTCAAAGGGTATGGCAACATTTATCTAAATCAGTGGTCCTTACCTGGGGGCGATTTTTGCCCCCAGGGGACATCTGACAATATCTGGAGACATTTCTGTTTGTCACAACTTGGGGGGTAGGGTGCTGACAGTGTGAGCTAGTGGCATTTAGCGGATAAAGGCCATGGATGCTGTGAAAGGACTCACAGGTTGGCCCCCACAACAAACAATGATCTGGCCCAAAGTGTCAATAGTGTCAAAATTGAGAACCCTTGGTCTAAATCAACACAGAAGGGGAAAACAGGTCTCCTGCAATCCTGCTACCTCAACAAATTAAACACTTCACTTTTCTATGTTCCTCCCAGCCTCTGCCCCATGGTGTAAACTTCATTTTCCCAAGCTCTTCTAACCATGGCAGGAATATAGTTTAAATTCCACATTTCTTCACTTATTATTGTATCCTGGGCTGTTGTGCCTCTGGCCTCATTATCTTCTCACTTACCACTTTTAGTGGATGTAATACAATACTCCAGGCAGGTTGATACCCCATATTTCACCTGACCAGTCCGGGTTTCTCAGTGGGTGTTTTTTGGGGGGGACTTGCCAAATGGGCTGCATGGGGGTGGGGGTGACTTGAGCAGCCGTGCTGTGGGCAGCCACCTCCTCTTCCTGCAGCCCAGGCATCAGCATCGTGGTCCTCATCATCAAAAGCCCTTTATGAAGCACCTTGGTGAATATATCCTGGCACCGGGGGCATCTTCTGCAGAGTTCTTCCCACCAGCCCCTGACATGCAGGGCTTGCCAGCTCAGACAGACAGCATCTGTGTCAGCTCACCAAAAAGGCGTCCAAAAACTGGGCTGTAGGCCCCAGGCAGAGGGGTGAGAAAACGGATTCTTAGGCAAGATTCATGCCAAGAGTAAGTACGCCGGGGAATGCAAAGACAGGCTGGATTCCCAAAGGGAGCCTGGCCCTTGAATTCCCTCCCCCAGCTAGCTGGAGGCTTCTTGGAGGACAAGGGATTTTAGAAGCTACTGCGAGGGAAGGAGAGAGTGAGGGGAACAGCTTAACAGGTTAAGGACTTGGGGTCAAGCGTTCCAGGCACACAGAGCACGGCCTGGAAGATGTTTCTCCAGAGACCTTCGTGCCACCCTCTGGTCTCACCTCAGTGTCCTTTTCCTTTGCCTCTGCAGGTGTTCCATGAGCAAGGCATCCTGTTCGGCTACCGCCATCCACAGAGTTCTGCCACTGCCTGCATCCTCAGCCTTTTCCAAATGACCAATGAGACTCTCAACATTTGGACTCACTTGCTGCCCTTCTGGTACCTTCTGGCCCCCTCGACCGGCCTGTCTCCTTCAGGAGCCCTGGAGACCAGGGTGTCTTAAAACATGGCTAGTGTTGAGAGGGCTGAGATTCTGTGCTGGGGTTTGGGGATCCCCCGTGGGTACACGCGGGTGAAGGGAGTGTGTGACAGAGGGAAGAGACATTGGGTGTGCCACTGGGATGACCTTTAAGGCATGGACTGGGGTAAGATTTGAGGGGAAATCCCAAAAGTGCCTCAGTCCTTCCTGCTCCCTGCTCCGGTGCCTGATATGATAGCATTTACCTTCATCTCCGGTCTTGGAGACTTTCCAGGTCTTCCAGGAGCCCTGGTTAAAATGTCACTAGTTTGAGCAAGTCAACCTCTCTGAGCCTCTCATTTTCCTACCTGCAAAGCAGGAGTGATGGTCCGCACCTCCCCAAGGGTTGCTGTGAGGGTTTGGGGAGAAAACATTGGTAGAGGCATCTGCCACAGAGTTGTGGGTGTTCCGTAATCATTCTGGGAACCACGACAACTGGGAGGCACTTGGTCAGGCAGCCTGTAGATGGAGCCAGCTAAGAGCAAAGCTCTGGGAAGCCTGTATGCAGAAATGGAAGTGGCCAGGGAAGCGAAGAGGGGCCTTGCTGAGAAAGGTGGGGGATGAAGGCCAATGTCACACACTGCACACCTTTGCTTAAGGAATGGAGGATGGAGACAGGGTCAAAGCACCAAATCACAGTGGATCTGAGCTGGAAGAACTCAGAGGCCATTCAAGCCACTGTCCCACTCAGACCACCACTGGTCGATGTAGACACAGCCGAGAGACGGGGTGGCGTCCTTACGTCATGCAGGGGCGCCGTGGCACAGGCTGGTCACTGGACTCCCTCCAGTCATGTTGAGAAGAGATGAGGAGTGTGCCATGAGTGGAGATGGGCCCAGGCTCCCCGCACAGGGGCAGCCAGCCTGAGTAGAAGTCAGATGACAGACCCGGGGCCAAAATGCAGGGGCAGGCTGTTTGGTTCCAGCAGCCAGCTCAGTGGAGAGGGGAGAGAGCTCAGTCTGGTGTGGACTAGGGTGATCTGTAAAGGAGTGTGGCAGCCCTGGGCCTGCGGACTGGGCAGGGGTGGCAGCACAGCCCTGCTCCAGGGGCCATTTGTCATTTTTAAAAGTATACATGCTTACAAATTATAACCCTTCAGAAGGGAATAGAGTCAGGCTCTGCCACTGGCCCCAGTTCTCCTCCCTGGAGTGGCCAGGGGGACCTGCTTCCTATGCGTCCTCCTGGAGCTTTTCTGGGGGACCCAGGAGCATCTGTGCTGTGAGCATCCACAGCATCTGCCTCTTTCCCTGCTGCCTTCCTCTTACTTCCCTCCCTTGGAGATCTCACTCTGTCAGCATCTGCAATCTGCATGTCTCCTGGACTTTGGAACATCTGCTTGGTGTTCCATTTTCTGGATGAATCATGGTTGATTTAGGCTGTTTTGAGATTTGAGCTGCTAAAAGGGTACCAGCCTGTCCATCCCTGCTTGTGGGTCTTGCACTCCATGCATGGATCCCTGTAGGGTGATTTTTTGCTATGTTACAGCTGAGCCAAGCTGGGTGAGCCGCACCCCCATCACCTCCAGCACTGCCTATGCACTTCTACACGGTGCCAGGCTCTCAGAGATGATCCTGACTGAGCAACAGAGAGTAGCAGGAAGGACTTGGGGAGGTCTGGATCAAGATGCCCTAAGGAAATGGGACCACTGAAAAATTGAAATAACTGAAGGATACATTTTGAGAAACAGCAAATAGCTTAAGCTTTACTTCCCGCTGGGACAAAATTAAAAAGTCCACAAGTGTAGCTGGAAGGATTTAGCAATGTTCCTTCAGCTCCTGCATATGAAAAGCTTTGTAGAGTCTCCTCCCTTGGAGGAGTTAGTGAGAAAGGGAGCCAGCTCTCTAGGAGTGATTTGTGGAAGCGAGGTGCTCTGCAGGCGGGACCTCATGCGTGGATTGTAGGCCAGGCAGACCTGGTGAAGAATTTTGAAGTGTCTCTGCATAGAGATCTAGGCTCTGCTAAGAGTCAGCTGTGGGACTAGCTATTCCGAAAAGTGATTGTACTCTTAGTGGAGGAACAGTGTGGAGGAGGAGGGAGAAAATAGTTCTCTTGGCCTCGGCTTGCAAGGCTCCACCTGGGGCATTGCTTCTATTTGAGGAGCCTTCCTACAAGAGGGACATAGACAAACTACATGGAGGAAGGACAAACCACGGGGATGGTGGTAACGCCACATTTAGATCCTGCGAGGAATGGCTGAAGGAACCGGGAGTATTTAATGTGAAGTTCAAGGAGGTGGGAGGGGGTTAGAAAGACTGCCTTGAAATATTTGACAGGCGGCCGGGCGCAGTGGCTTATGCCTATAATCCCAGTACTCTGGGAGGCTGAGGCAGGCAGACCACAAGGTCAGGAGATCGAGACCATCCTGGCCAACATGGTGAAACGCTGTCTCTACTAAAAATACAAAAGTTAGCCAGGCGTGGTGGAGGGTGCCTGTAGTCCCAGCTACTTGGGAGGCTGAGACAGGAGAATCACTTGAACCCAGGAGGCAGAGGTTGCAGAGAGCCGAGATCGTGCCACTGCACTCCAGCCTGGTGACAGAGCAAGACTCTGTCTCAAAAAAAAAAAAAAGCATATATATATATATATATATATATATATATATATATATATATATATGTATGTATGTATATATGTATGTATATGTGTATATATATATGTGTGTATATATATGTGTATATATATGTGACCATATATATATATATATATATGACCATATATATATATATATATATATATATATATATATATATATATGCATATGTTAAGCTTGTTTTCTATGATCCTGGTGGAGGGAACTAAGGCCAATCAAATGGAGATAGATTCCAGGAGGACAGATTTGAGCCAATGAAGGAGAACTTTCCAGCCCTTGGAGCTGCTTTGGGAGGTAATGAGCCCCCCATCCCTGGAAGCATGCAAGCTGAGGCTGGAGAATCACTAGGGGATTGGACTAGATATACATAAAGCCTCTCTTCTTACTTCACCTGCCCATTCCCAACGTACTGCCTCCCAATTAAAAAAGGACCCCCCACCTTCCTAGCACATGGTATTTCCCCAAAGTGAGAACACGAAGGAATTAGTCACCGCGGGGGAATGGAGACAGTAGATAGGCGAGGATCTAAGAGGGGCTTCCATCATGGAGGGTGAGCAGGTCCTCCATGTTCATCATGGAGGGTGAGCGGCCCTGCGTGCTCATGGTGGAGGGTGAGCGGGCCCTCCGTGCTCATGGTGGAGGGTGAGCGGGCCCTCCGTGCTCATGGTGGAGGGTGAGTGGGCCTTTGTGTACATGGTGGAGGGTGACTGGCCCTCTGTGTTCATCGTGGAGGGTGAGTGGGCCCTCCGTGCTCATGGTGGAGGGTGAGCGGGCCCTCTGTGCTCATGGTGGAGGGTGAGTGGGCCTTTGTGTTCATGGTGGAGGGTGACTGGCCCTCTGTGTTCATCGTGGAGGGTGAGCGGGCCCTCTGTATTCATGGTGGAGGGTTAGTGGGCCTCTGTGCTCATGGTGGAGGGTGAGTGGGCCTTTGTGTTCATGGTGGAGGGTGAGTGGCCCTCTGTGTTCATCGTGGAGGGTGAGCGGGCCCTCTGTATTCATGGTGGAGGGTGAGTGGGCCTCTGTGCTCATGGTGGAGGGTGAGTGGGCCTCTGTGCTCATGGTGGAGGGTGAGTGGGCCTCTGTGCTCATGGTGGAGGGTGAGTGGGCCTTTGTGTTCATGGTGGAGGGTGAGTGGGCCTTTGTGTTCATGGTGGAGGGTGAGTGGGCCTTTGTGTTCATGGTGGAGGGTGAGTGGGCCTTTGTGTTCATGGTGGAGGGTGAGTGGGCCTTTGTGTTCATGGTGGAGGGTGAGTGGGCCTTTGTGTTCATGGTGGAGGGTGAGTGGCCCTCTGTGTTCATCGTGGAGGGTGAGCGGGCCCTCTGTATTCATGGTGGAGGGTGAGTGGGCCTCTGTGCTCATGGTGGAGGGTGAGTGGGCCTCTGTGCTCATGGTGGAGGGTAAACGGGGCCTCTGTGCTCATGGTGGAGGGTGAGTGGGCCTCTGTGCTCATGGTGGAGGGTGAGTGGGCCTCTGTGCTCATGGTGGAGGGTGAGCGGGGCCTCTGTTTTCACGGTGGAGGGTGAGCGGGGGCCCTCCGTGTTCATGGTGGAGGGTGTGTGGGCCTCTGTGTTCGTGGTGGAGGGTGAGTGGGCCTCTGTGTTCGTGGTGGAGGGTGAGTGGGCCCTCCGTGGGTGAGTGGGCCCTCCGTGTTCATCGCGGAGGGTGAGTGGGCCCTCCGTGTTCATGGTGGAGGGTGAGCGGGTCCTCCGTGTTCATGGTGGAGGGTGAGCGGGCCCTCCGTGTTCATGGTGGAGGGTGAGCGGGCCCTCCGTGTTCATGGTGGAGGGTGAGTGGGCCCTCCGTGTTCATGGTGGAGGGTGAGTGGGCCCTCCGTGTTCATGGTGGAGGGTGAGTGGGCCCTCCGTGTTCATCATGGAGGGTGAGCGGGCCCTCCGTGTTCATGGTGGAAGGTGAGCGGGTCCTCTGTGTTCATGGTGGAGGGTGAGCGGGCCCTCTGTGTTCATGGTGGAGGGTGAGTGAGCCCTCTGTGTTCCAGGTTCTTTGCATGGAGGTTTGTGACTGCACTGTATATGACAGACATCAAGAATGACAGCTACTCCTGGCCCATGCTTGTGTACATGTGCACCAGCTGCGTGTACCCACTTGTGTCCAGCTGTGCGCACACCTTCAGCTCTATGTCCAAGAATGCCCGGCACATTTGCTACTTCCTGGACTATGGTGCCGTCAACCTCTTCAGCCTGGGTATGTGAGGCCTTGTTCTTGCTTTCCTTCCCCTGCAACCGGGCTGTTTGCCCCTTCTCCTGTGAGCTAGGGTCACCAGAAGGCTTTGATGAGTTTGCAGAAGAATCCAGGGATTATGCCAGTGCCCCTGTCCAGGTTCCCAATGGGTGTTTTATAAGAAACTGTCCATAAGCATGCTGCTAAATATTTAGCCACTGGCTCTGTGGGGACAACAGCCCCGATCTGCAGTGTTGCCAGTTTCTGTGGTGTAAATCTTCCCATCATGTCCAGCTTCAACCTACTAACATGACATCACAGAACACAAGGGTGGGAAGAGATATGCGTAGCACACTATTACAGAAATTCCACCATGCAGATACAGTAGATGTAGTCATTGAGTACTCAGTACTTTTGTTAATATGATTTATTTAATTGCAAGTTTCTGTGATTTAATTTTTAATGATGGCTGTGTTCAGCACTCAGCTCTCTCACAGGCCAGAATGAACTGACTCCAGTACATCAGTGCTGGTCTCTGTCATGCCAGGCAAGAAGAGGAGGGTGAGGTCATGAGCCTCGTATATCCAGAGGCTTAGCACAATCAGAGAGATGCTCAGAGTGTGCGGGAATAGATCAGCAACCTAAGCTGGTGAAATTCGGTGCTGACCGCCCCCTCTTCCTTGTCTTTTTCTTTGACTATGATGCTCCCTCCTCTGGCCTCTTCTCTCCTCCCCTTGTGGGCATGCATCTATCCCTAAGGATATGAGTTCTAGATTCTTCCTCCAGGTCCCATTCTAGGTGAGAAAACCAATTATTGTCTTCCTTGCCCAAGAGGTTGTCCATGAGGAGCCTACCTCCATCCTCTTTCTTCATATACACACGTTCACACTCACACAAACACACACTCATGCACTGACACACACTGACACACACACATACAATGCACTCACACATGCACATACACACACTCACCACATATACACAATACACTTACATGCACACACACACACCACATGCCACATGTACTCACACATTGACACACACACAATACACTCACATACACACACTCACACCACATACACACAATACACTCACATGCACACTCTCAAACACTACACACACACACCACCCATACTGACACACACTACACTCACATAAACACACATCACATACACACAATACACTCACATGCACATACACATACTCTCAGACCCTCCACACACACTCACATCCACATACGCACCACACATGCTGACATATACACACAATACACTCACATACACACTCACACCACATACACACTCACATGCTCATATACGCACACATACTCTCAGACACTACACACACATTCACACACTCACACTCTCACATACATCACACACACACACCACACACACACATCACACACACCACATACATACACACACACCACACACACGCTCACTCACACACTCTCACACACATACACACACACTTTCCCACTTCACTGCCCACTCCTTAGTGCTCTGCTGCCCAGTCCCCAGCATTCACTAGACCGTGCCCCTTTCCGTGTGAGCCAGGCTTACCCTCAGGCTTTGATGGGTTTGCAGAAGAGAGTGGGGAATGTGCGTGCCCCTGTCCAGGGTCCCGGCCTCCTGACTGCCAAGATTGATGCAGGGGTCCTTCAGGCCTCCTCAATGCCCCTCTCTTTCTCTGGTCCCTGTCACATCCCTCCCTCCCTCCCGGATTCCCTCCCACCCTCCGGATCCCCTCTTACCCTCCATGTCCCCCCTCCCCTGGGCTGGCTCCCCTCCTCTGCTTTCTGGCACACATGGGTGGGGAGGCTCAGAAGTGGTCCTTTGACCTCTCCTCTCACACGATCCGGCTCCCCAGAGATCTCCTCCATGCCTACTGCATCTCTTCCACCTCCGGAGAAACCCTGTCTCCAATGTAAACCTCTTACCTGAGGTCCACGCCACCTCAGAGCCATGAGACCAGAACTGTACCTGCTCCCGCCCCTGCCCCTACACCTGCTAGCCCTCTGTATGTCCAACCTGACTGATGGTCGCGCCCCTACTCCTTCTCCTGAGTCAGAAGCCTGACTAATCCTCGGGGTCCCCTTCCTCTCACTCCCCACCCACGCCCACCCTCTGGCCAATTGGTTATTAAGGCCAGGTGACTTCTCTCCTACCTGCTGTAAGCGGCACTGCCCCTTTGTCTTGACTCAGGCCCCGGCCTCTCACTTGCACAGTTATCACAGCCTTCTCCACCTCACCCAGCCCCTGGAGGCTTCCACAACACCTTCTACCACATCACCCTCCCACTGTCAGGGCCCTCATCAGCCAGAAGCAGTCCAGACTGCTTAGCGGGGCGACTTCCTTGGCCCTCGGTTGCCCGCCCCGGACTTGTTTTGATAAGTGTGGGCATTTCTGGAGTAATCGCTGCATGGCAAGCCCTGGTCCAGGCCCCTGACACACACCCCTGAGGGGCCACACCACACCATGTTTAATGGTCCAGGTGCTGGCACCTGATTCCACCACCCCTAACTGTTAGAGGTTCCTGTGCAAGTTTCATAACCCTGCCAAGCCTCAATTCTTTCATCCACAAAATGGATGTAATATCTTCTTTGTGGGTATGTTCTGATGATTAAATGTGTTTTAAATGAGGCTCAGAGCCTGGCCTTAGTCGGCATCTGAGGGCAGCCATTACCACGATGATCTTGTTAACCGTGGCAGCAGTCCCTGAGGTAGGTCCTAGTGTCATATCCATGCGTAGGTGAGGACAGTGAGGCACTGTGGAGGTAAGTGACAGGTCACACAGCTGTGCATGGCAGAGCCAGAGTGAGGACTGAAGCCCATGTGGTCCACCACCAACCTGTCCCCTGCCTTCCTCCATCACGGGCCTCACTGTCTGTCTGTGTAAGAGTTCCTCTTGTTGCCATGGTCTCCCTTCTCTGTATCCTCCCATAGGCCATTCCCCAGAACTCCCTCTTCCCTTCCCTGCAGGCTGCACCACGGGAGCCTCAGGGGCCCCTGCCCTGTGCCCTTCCTCCAACCCCCAGACCTGGATATACCCCCACCATGATTCTTCTGATCCCCAGCCTGCCAGCCATGCTGGCACACCTCCATTGCTGAGAACAACTCCGGAGCACAGAAGATGCTTCCAATCTGTTTTTCTAGCCCATAGCCCAGTGCTTGATGTGGGGAAGTGTTCAGGAAACACGGAAGGAACATCTAGTCCACTGAGAGAGCCATTGATTCCATCTGGGACTCCCGGCTCCACCCTCTGCCCCTGCCTCCCTCCTCCCTCCCTGTCAAAGCCCTCAATCCCACCAGTGTAGCGCCCTCCTGCCACCTCCCAGGCTTCCAGGGGTTCCTCCCTCAGGCCATCCTGTGTGCTTTCACTAGGTTTTGGTCATCAGAATCCTTCAGTGGCTCCCTTAGTGCCTGAAAGAGGAAGTTTCCTTTCCTTAGCCTGCATCCAAAGCTGAAAGCCTCCCTGCCCTCAGGCTCTTGTCAGAATCCGGGATGACCTACCAGGCTTTGTTCCAAGATCAGCTCCTGTGCCTTGTGCTCCACCCATCCCGAAAGCCTGCCCCACACTGGAACCTGACTCAGGCTCTGGTCTTTTGCTTCTGGCTGCGGTTCTGGGCAGGGTCAGAAGCTCCCTGGCTCTTGCATGGCCCACAGTTTGCCCCAGTTGGCATCTGCTGAGCGAATGCATCCCAGTCCAGCAGGGAACCCCCTCCCAGTATGGGGCCAGACAAAGGGCTTGCCTGTCCCTCTGGAGGCAGCTTCCCACTGAAATCTCGCGGGCTGCCTGCTGCAGCTGGGAGTATGGGACCAGGAGGCTTTGGTGTTCACCCTCTTTGCCTGTGTGGCCAGCTTTGCTAGATCCACCTGTCACTGGGATAAAAGACAGATCAACCTGTATGGCCCAAAGCCTTGTTCAGCCCTGAGCTAGGACTCCACAATTCCTGATGTCTTTGGAATGACAGGTGACCTAGGCATGGCCATCAGGCCTTGGGCTGCCTCCCTTAGGGGAGACCTCAGGAGGTGAGGGTGCAGGTCCAGGCCCATCTCCCCAGCTGAAGCACACCTGGCCCCTTTGAAAAGGACAGTGATCTCCCCTGCTCTTCCAAATAAATGCTTCAGCAAAAAGGTCGCTAGAAGGTCCTTAAGCAACCCTTCTTTCACAAACTTCAAAACCTAAAACACAACGCAACACCCAACCTCTCAGCTGGTCTGTCTCCCAGCTGCTGCTATGACATCCTCGTCTCAGCAAGGGCCCTCCCTCCAGCACTGATCTTTCTACCAGGAGCACCCATGTCCCTGGGCAGGTGAGATGTGCACACTCTGAGTAGAGCTCAGCTCGCTGGGTCTGTCGTCATGGACCACAGCATGTGGCTAAAGCAGGGACTGTCACTAACCTGTCTGGGTTTGAAACCCATCTTTGTTAACTCTCTAGCTGCAGGACCCTGGGCGAGTGATTAAACCTCTCTATCCCTCTGCTTCCTATCTGTACAATGAGGATAAGTGCAGAGTTATGAAGGAGGATGGTTGAAGTATTATGTGAGGTCATACATGTAAAGCCCTTGGAGCAAAGCTGGGCTCACAGTAAATTCTCAGGATGGGATTTGGGTGGGCAGAGAAGAGAAAGCAGGACATCCTAGAAGGGGGAATGGCACCAGCGAGGGCGCAGAGCCAGGACTGTGGGAATGATAAGGGCCAAGCCAGATGCTGGGGACAGTCTTTGCAAGGGGCCCATGTGGTGCCAAGGCCTGGCTCCTCTCCCAAGGCTGGCTTTTCTTCCCCAGGCTCAGCCATTGCCTACTCTGCATACACGTTCCCGGATGCGCTCATGTGCACCACTTTCCATGACTACTACGTGGCCCTGGCTGTACTGAACACCATCCTCAGCACAGGCCTCTCCTGCTACTCCAGGTACTGGTCGCTCTGACCTCAGATGGGAGGGGAGGGAGGGTCTTGCATGCAGCTCCCTGCACTCTTTGAGGGAGCCGGGGAAGAGGTGGGCTCAATGGAAAAGGTGCTTGGGAACCTAGGACTCCGTTCCAGGTGGACTTCCTATGCTGGCAAAACCAGCTTCCTGGGCACGCAAGCTCCAGGCCTCCATGCTCAGAGAGTCTCATACTTGGTTTAATACTCTGCTGCCTTTTTTTGTTTTTGTTTTTGTTTTGAGACAAAGTCTCACTCTGTCACCCAGGCTGAAGTGTGATGGCACAATCTTGGCTCACTGCAACCTCCGCCTCCTGAGTTCAAGCGATTCTCCTGCCTCAGCGTCCCATGTAGCTGGGATTACAGGCACCCGCCATCACGCCCAGCTAATTTTTGTATTTTTAGTAGAGACAGGGTTTCACCATGTTGGTCAGGCTGGTCTGGAACTCCTGACTGCAGGTAATCCACCCACCTTGGCCCTCCAAAGTATTGGGATTACAGGCGTGAGCCATGGTGCCTGACCTGTTTTTTATTTATTTATTTATTTATTTATTTATTTATTTATTTATTTTTTTGAGACAGGGTCTCTCTCTGTGGCCCAGGCTGGAATGCAGTGGTGCGATCTCAGCTCACTGTAGCCTCGCCTTCCTGGGCTCGTCTGCTGCATTCTTAATAATTTGTAATAATTTTTGAACAGGGAGGTCCCTGCTCTTTGATTCGGTACAAGGCTTTACAAATTATGCAGCTGGTTCCATTTGCTGGACAAGTGGCTTATCCACCCTGAACTTCAGTTTGCTCATCTATAAAATGAGGCCATTACAAATACCCCTAAGACAAATGGAAGGATTACAGGTAATGTACCCAGGACACTTAGCACAAGCCTGGCACAGAGGAGATGTCCCATAAATGTGTGGTCACTAATGGTGACTGGGTGTGTCTGCCTCTGGGCATATGTGATGGATGATGGTGTTATTCAAATGCCCTATGCATCCCTCATCAGTGAGTCAGGCCCAGCTTACGCGCTCTAATTCCCACTGTTTTTTTTTTTTTTCTTTCAAGAAAACTCATGGGGGTGTGAGTGCAGAGAATGTTGTTATGGGGATAACTACACCAATTTATTCAGCTCTTTGTAGAAGTGAACTGCCTGAAAGTTCCTTTTCCCTAAAATACTCAGGAAATCTCCCAAATGGTTGTGTTGGGGTGACAGCCCTGGCTGAATAGGGCCAAGGCTGGTACTTTTGGGCTGGGGGCCTTTCGTGCTGGTCAGGAAAGGTAAGCTGGCAGGTACATCTGAGTTCTCTGTCCTCCCGCAATGGCAACTCCAGCGAGCCAGTGGAGTCTCCCTGCCTCCACTTGCCCCCCTCTCCCCAGGAAAAAACAGGCAGGTGAGATATGCCCCATCTGGTAACTTCTCCAGAATGATTTTGTCTCCAAATTCCTTTGGGTGACACTTGGGATGTGTGGGGCCAGCAAGTTTCACAAGGGAGAGCAGGCAAGTTTCACAAACAGGACAAACCAGTTTTTTTGTTTCTGTTTTTTATTTTTAAATGGAAGGATAGATTCTGAAACAGCATTGGGAATACTTGTTCCAATTCGCCTTCCATTCACCTGCGCTAAGGTGGGTTGGAAGTGTGGAGCTGCCTTCCATGGGAGTGAAAGTCTGTTTCTAGGAGTCCCTGCCGTGGATGAAGGGAGGTATAACAGATATAGAACAGTAATAACCCTGCGGAAACAAGTCCAGCAGAGATGAAGCAAGCCCCGGAGACCTGGGTGCATGGGCTTGTGGACTGGCCATGGTCCAGGAACCTGGACACTCTTGGACCTGGTCCTTGGACCAGTCACTGCCCCATCTGGTTCGCTCTCCTAGGGCTGTGTGGCTCTGGCGTTTGAAATTTAGGATTAGACAGGGAGAGTACCACAGGTTGAGGGGGCAGAGGAGGAAGAGAAGGCTTCGTGAGTGTGGAAGAAAGTCTCCAGAGTGAGGCTGGGTGCAGTGGCTCACACCTGTAATCCCAGCATTTTGGGAGCGCCAGGTGGGTGGATCACCTGAGGTCAGGAGTTCAAGACCAGCCTGGCCAATGTGGTGAAAACCTGTCTCCACTAAAAATACGAAAGTTAGCTGGGTGTGGTGGCAGGTACCTGTAATCCCAGCTACTCAAGAGGCTGAGGCAGGAGAATCGCTTGAACCCAGGAGGCAGAGGTTGCAGTGAGCTGAGAGCATGCCACTGTACTCCAGCCCGGGCAGTGGAGCCAAGAAAAAAAAGAAATTGTCTCCAGAGTGAATGATCCAAGATGGCTTCCCCATGAGCTCATAATTCAAATTCTTAGAACACTTGCTGGTTTTATTTTATTTTTTTTTGTTTTAAGTAGAGACAAGGTTTCGCCATGTTGGCCAGGCTGGTCTCGAGCTCCTGACCTCAGATGATCCACTCTCCTCAGCCTCCCAAAGTGCTGGTATTACAGGTGTGAGCCACCCTGCCCAGCCTAGATTACTTTCTTCTAGCCAGGAGTCTTCCCTGATGGTTCAGATATAACGGATGGGGTCTTTTGGATGTGGCATGCCTGGTGTCTTTGGAGGAACTTATCTGTCAGGGCAGCTTTGCCAGACATCTCCTGGGTGCCTGAGTTTGGGGGCTTCTCCCTTTGCCAATGAAATGGGTTATTTATTTATGGAGTACATCTGTGCCTATTCCATCTATCCACCCATCTACACACCCGCCCACCCATCTAACATTCCTTAAATGCCTGCCATACTCCAGGTACCACGTTAGGAGCTGAGGGTGCCAGAAGGATGCCCTTGCCTTCAGAGAGCACCCAGTGCCATAGGAGAGACAGACTGCAGATGCCCCCAGAGGTCCATGAGGCCATGATTTCCGTTAGAGTGTAGCAGGAGGGAGTGTAATGTAAACAAATAATGATAAGGCAGAATGACACCTGCCGGTATACACAGGGTTCTGAGAAGTGGCTTTAGGACTGGATATTGAAGGAGGTAGAACACTTTAGCTGAAGAGGAGGACATAGCAACCAGCCAGGACAAGGATGAGGACTACAGAGAGGGTGGGCCAGGGTGGGGAAGCAGCAAGGTGTGTTAGAGCTGCCAGAGTCTGCAAGAGTAGATGGAGGAGAGCAGCTACAGAGGGGCTTGGATGGTGGGCTGGGGGCCTGTGGGTCCTATGAGGACTGGCCCTTTGCTCATGAAGGATGAGAATCTCTTAGGGAAAAAAAAAAATCCTACGCACTCAGCTTCCATGCCCTGAGGGGTTTCCAGGCATATTAGCAGCAACTGAAGTGGGAGCTGAGGGGAGAGGGAGGTGAGGGGCTATGTTGGAATCAAAAAGGAGGAAGGGGGCACATGCCACACTCTTGCACCCAAAGGTAGAGTGGGCATGTGGCCCTTCCAGTGCCCTTTGTACCTCGTCCTCGCTCCACGTTCCCTGACCCATGGTTTTGCTGCTCTTACAAGGCCTGTCCTCCCCTCTCTTCATTCCCTGTCTCTGCCTTTGGTGTCTGGAGAGTGAGAAAGCTGACTCGTGTGCAGAAGTGATGCTGGCCCTGAGTAATTTCAGAAGAAGTGGGTAGAGAGGAGGGTGTGGGTATCTGGAGGCCTGAATTTCAACCCTGCTCCCCCAGACTTGCTGTATGGCCTCAGGGCAGTCACTGTCCACTCTGGGCCTCAGGGTCTACGTCTTCAATGAGGGCATCTGAGACAATACCCTCTGGGTCCTCTCTGGTTTGGGCATCGTGCAATGTCGATGCCTTAGTGTCTTCTCCAAGCTTCCTTTCCCAGCTGTCTTCCTCCCCCAGGCTCCACCCCTGCCTCTCCCTCCTGCTCCATCCGGCTGCAGTTGGGCAGGAGCGGGAGAGAACCACCTTCCCCTCCAGGGAGGGGAAGACCTCCTGGGGGAGACCAGGAACCTCAGTATTTGCTTGACAGTTATCTGATGCTTGCCCGAAAATCAGGGTTGAAATGGCATTCGTTCCATTACAAGGCAGACCATTAAGGCCAATCTCAACATAGAGAGCTTTGTCGTCCCCTGAGTGGTTTTTGGTTCTTATTGTCATGGACTTTGGTTCAAATGAAAATGTTCCAGAAAACTGCCTTCTCATTCTGTAGCATTTGAGAGGGGAAATGAGAGAATGCGTGCCCTCTTCGTGGTTCTTGGAGCAAGGTGGGGGTGGCCGAGGCCCTGGCCTGCTCATGCCTGCACAGGAAACGGCTGCCACTCCCTTCAGGAATGTCAGTTACACAGCAAGTACTGTATGGACAAATCACTGTCCATCTCCTTCCAGTGCATCCAACCATTGATTGTTTTTTTTTTGTTTTTTGTTTTTTTTTTTTCAAAGAGCTGCTGAGTGAAAAACCTCCTGGTCAGAGCAGTGAGGGCGAGAGATTAATTTTCACCCATGAGCTCTGCTCTAAGGACAGCTTAGAGGCAGTTGCTGAGGCAGTTCAGAGGGGTGGAGCTGACCTGGAAGGGGTTTGAGGTCAGCGCTGGAGGTAGAAGGCTCAGCAGACATGGTTCTCAGACAGAGGCTTGGCCAGAGGATAAAGTGCTGCTATAGCCAGTTAGGGGCATGGGGAAATGTCTACATCCCTGCAGTTCTCCAAAATAAGACAACTCCTACACAATAAAACAACCATAACTACCGCCCCCATGTACACACACACGTGCACTCGTGCGTGCGCCTCTGCAATAGAATGATTTTTCCAAAGGCCCGCTAGTTTCAAGCCCTAGTTCCGGAATTCCAGTTGCCAATCCTTCCAGCTTTTTTGTCAGATTGTGTTGAATCGACCCTTTCTTAACGAAGGCTTCTCCCGTAACCCAGTGTGTCCTGCCAACCTCGTTCTGAGCAGAGACCTCACTTCCTCTATAGCAGCCCCTTAGCCCTCTGGTGCGGGACTGCCCTAAGCCCGAGCAGGCTGGGCTGTGGGGCCGCACGTGGGGCGCCTCTGAGGATGCTGCGGCTGTGGTTCTGCTCTGGCTGTGGCGACATCGCGTGGCCTAATGCGGAACTGCAACTTGGTAGCGGACGGCCCCTCTCCCGAGCTACTGGCCCTTCTGCCTTTTTCTCTCTGTTGCTGTCTCTCTTCTCTTCTGCTTTTTCTCCTTCTCTTTTCCCTCTAGACCCGGCTTTGCAGCTGGAGAGGCTGGTCCGTTTGCCCCTGGGGAAACACTTTATCAGGCCGAGCGAAATGTTGTCTCAAGTCACAGAAAATCCATGCTTTGGGGGATGGCCTTCGCCAGCCACAGCCAGATTTCTTCGCGTGTAAGTGGCCACAGGGGCCCTTTAAGAGCGAGCCTCTCAACCTGGAGACGGCAGGCGGTGGCAGGGCACAGGGCAGGAGGGGGCGGCCTGCCGCGGCAGGGCAGGGTCTGCCGGAGGACTAAGAAGGCCGGTGAGGCAGATACCTGGCTCTCGGGATAGCAGGAGTGTGTGCCCTCTGCTCCAGGGGCAGAGCGGGCAGGGAAGGGTGAAGGCCGGGCGGGGTCTGAGTCTGCGCAGCCTACTGCCTGAGACAGAGGGGGTGACACTTGGGGGCCAGAAAGCCCAGGGTTTAAATCCTAGCTCTGCTTCTTATTGGCTCATCTGACTTCAGGCAAATCACCCAGAACCTATTTGTTCCCTCCTGTTCCTATTATCTGGACCAACATAGATACAAGGTGGGGATGGGGAGAGAATGGAGCTCCACGATGCATGTGTTTTTAAAAGCTGCTGTTTAGTCTGTGCGACTGTGCCATGCACAGTTCTAAACACCTCGGGAGCATCGTTTCATCAAATCCATACAACGAGGCTGTGACAAGGCACAGTCATTGTCCCTGTGTTACACATGAGGATCAGGAGGTACACAAAGGTTAGTGACCTGCCGAGGTCACGTGGTTGTGAAGGGCAGGGTCAGGATTTGAACCCAGTGTGTCCCAATCAAGCTCTCCACATAAAATCACAGTGCTGCGCTGCCTCACCTCTCCGGGAGTTTGGTTCTTTTTCGGGGGGGATGATGCATCCTAGTTCCTTCTCCTTGAGCTTCTCACCTGGTACATGCCATGTACCATGTATGACTTACAGGCAGGGTCAGGAAAGAAGAAACACGAAAGTGGGCTGGAGTGAAGTTGGGGTTTGTCTTGGGAGGCTGTGGGGCTTCTCCGGGCACACAGTGGTGTCCCTTTCTCCTGAAACAGGAATCTCCGGGTGGGCCATTTGTGCTCGGTTGCCCTGAGGACTGAGTGGAGCACAATAGCCTGGAGAATGTCCGCATCCTCAGACCTGCTTCTGTGCTGGGTCCCCAGGATCCAGGCCTGACCAGATCTGGCACCTGCCTGAGGAGGGTTCCCTAACTGCCCAATGTGGAAGTCCCTGCATACTCCATGCTGAGAGATACAGGCAGCAGCTGGGTTTATGGTCAGGTGGCTTTACTGGCTCATACGAGATATGAACAGCCTGGCCAGGTGAAATCGGTCTGGGCTCAGAGGAAACAGCAGATGGCATTTGAAGGAGAAGGAACAGGCTTGTGGACTGGGACCGAGGTTCTTGGGAGCAGAGATAGGAGCCACAGCAGGACACAGACCCCATCCCTCCAGTGTGATAGGGGGCAGAACTGTCAGCAAAGGCTGAAAGGGCCCAGATGCATGCATTGCCTTTACAGACTGCATCAGAACAGCCATCCCAAGAGCCTCAGCGTGTGGCTGTGCATCCACTGTGCTGGGTTCCTTACCCTGCAGCCCTGTGGGCCCCAAGGGAGGACACAGCCCTCCACAGTACACCTCAGCATTGATGTGGGGACTTTACCTGTCCCTACTACCTGGCCTTGGTGGCCCAGCCAGGGCCCATGAGCACTTCCTTACCCAGGCCTCAGTTCAGGGCTGTGATTTTGTGCAGAGACCCTCCCTGCCCCTCCCCATGTCCTCCCAGTGTGCAGCCTGCTGTCTGTGCTACCCAGTTCCCCATACCCTGAGCTGCTGCCCCAGGCTGGGCCCAAGTCAGCTGAGGCCCTGTCATGTTCTGTCTGGGGGGACCTGCCTCTCTTCTCAACAATCAGCATCACTTGTTTTAATGTTGCTGTCAGCTGTCTTTGGATTGGAGGTTGGGTGAGGGTGGCAATGAAGAAGAGAAGGAAAGACTTCACGTTTATTTAGTTTTCCCAAGCCAAGTATCCCTGTGTGTGGTATAAATATTCCAGAAAGCTCTCCAAGGGTCAAACACCTACTTGAACCCAGGTCTCCTGCATGATAATACCTGGGCTCCAACTAGATGGGTGCATCTCAGCCTCTGCAGAGTGTGCCCCCCAAGAGTCTGTGGCAGTGGATCCCCCGATTCCCCCTACCCGTTCCCTGTCCCTGTAGCAACTAGAGTTTTAAAAGGTTCTTTGGCAGTTACATAACTTGGCCCTTGAAGGGTTTCTGCCCAGCGCCTCCTTTCTGGCTTAGTCTGGACACCACTGCTTCCCATGGTCAGGAGATGGTGTCCCTGGAGATCTTTTTGCATCTGAAGTTTTGTCACTTCCATTGGGGTGGGAGGAATGGACGAGGCTGGTGGAGAAGCTGCTGGCCACAGGAGCTTGTAGAAAAATGCTTGTCCTCTGTTGATGACCAGGCCCTCGGTGTGCATGCATGTGCGTATGCAATTTGCTGAGACTCTTTTCATTCCATTTCCTCCCCACTTTCCTTCCCTGATTTAGGTTTCTTGAAATCCAGAAGCCCAGACTCTGTAAGGTGATTCGTGTCCTCGCCTTTGCTTATCCGTACACCTGGGACTCCCTCCCCATCTTCTACAGGGTAAGGACTGGCTGCATCTCCTCTCTGCCTGTTGGCAACACCAGGAAGTCAGTTGTTTTCCTGAGCTTCTGGGGGGTCACAGCACTGCAATGGGAACCGCAGAACAAAACAGGAGTCGAGACCCAGGTGAAGGGGGCCAGCCCCTCCACACCTGTGGGTATTTCTCGTCAGGTGGGACGAGAGACTGAGAAAATAAATAAGAAGATTTTTCTTAGTACAGATCAAAATGGAGTTTCTTATGTCTTCCTTTTTCTACATAGACACAGTAACAGTCTGATATATCTTTCTTTCCCCCACACCCAGGTGCTGCCTTGGTGGCACTTGAGGAGTGGTTAGGAGATGACATAAGCACAGAGGCCCTGACTGACAATATGACTGGGGGCTCGGGAACGTCATAGAACAGGCAGCCTGGGGCTGAGTGGAGTGAGCAGGAGAGCGAGCTCTGCAGGCAGGTCTCCAATACTTGCTGTCAGTCCCTGGGCCAGTTCTCTATGCCTCGATTTCCTTCATCTGTAAGCTGGGCCTGATAACACCTCATGGGCTGTGGGGAGGATTACACGGGGAACATGTCAAGTGCTGACTGGTAGCAAGAGTTCGGGAATGCATTGTTCCATCATCAAGTAGTATACTGTTAGTATTGAAGGAAAAGGCATGAATGAGGGTCTTAAAGGAGCGATGGGAAAGAGATGGAGAGCATAAAGGAAGAGAGTGTAGGAGGGACAACAAGTAGGACTAGAAGGGGAAAGTCCACGCACTTTCAAACCATACGGGCTTGAGTTCAAATTCTGGCCCCACTGCTCACTGGCTATGTGACCTCAGGCAGGACACACAACTCTCTAAGCCTCAGATTAGTTTCCTCATCTGTACATAAGGGTACTAGGCCTCCTTTGTAGGGGAAAACAATGGATCTGATAGGCTCTGCGGTGCCTGTCCAGTACCCGGTGAGTGAAGCTCCCTCCTAGAGGCAGCGTCCTGTGGGCTTGAAGAATAAAGCCCAGATGGCAGGGCTGAGGGACAAGGGGAGGGGCTGAGCTCCACCCAGCAGCTGGGGCATTGAGCACGTTCTCTGTGCTCTGCCTCTGTGGGTCTGGGAGAGCGCCAAAGATGGGGCTGCAGCCCGTTCCCCTCACTCCTTCCTCAAGGGCGCAGACCACACACAGGAAACCAAGAGCAGACAGAGCAATTCTGTCCCATGTACCTCCAAATCAGGCAGTGCAAGTCCTGTGTTGTGACAAGCATCGTGTGCTTCTGGCATGTGGCTGAGTCAGAGGAGGGCAGAGGGAAGGGGAGGTCCAGTTCTAAGTGGTGATGTTGATGCTGGAATCAGCCTGCCTGGATTCAGATCCTGACTTCACTTCTCACTAAGTGATGTGCAAGTCACTCTCTGGCCCACCTTCCTCACCTGCAAAATGGGGAAGATAGAGTCTGCCTTATGATAATTGTGGCTCAGGTGAAATGATGCATGTAAGAGGCCTGGCCTGCTGCCCTCGGTAAGTGGTGGCTACTATGACTTTATAACAATAATACAAAAACTATACTTAGCTCTGAAACAGTATAGTGGCCATCATTGATACTTTTGGATGACTCAGAAGGCCTTCCAGGGATTTCTAGGCCTTAAAGCCTTAATTAGGAGCACCAGTTCAGTGGATGTGCTGATAAAAAGTGAGTTCCAGTGTGAATCCACTAAACAGTTGACCCTTAAACATGGGTTGGAACTTTACATGGATTTTCTTCCACCTCTGCCACTCATGAGACAGCAAGACCGACCCCTTTTCTTCTTCCTCCTCCTCAGGATTTTCTCAATATCACTTGCTTTTCTCTAGCTTACTTTATTGTAAGAATACAATATATAATACCTACACAAAATATGTGTTACTTGGCAGTTTGTTACAGGTAAGGCTTCCAGTCAACAGGAGGCTATTAGTAATTAAGTTTGGGGGAGTCAAAAGTTGTACATGGACTTTTGACTGCAGGGGGTCAATGCCCCTAGCCTGCATGTTAAGAGTCAACTGTACTTACATTTTACCCCAGAAAGAATACCAATTATCTAATAGGATTTTTTGTCTTTCTTTTCCTTTCCCATTCCTTTCTTCTTTCCTTTTTCTCTCCGATTCAGTTAAGTAAATAAACCAAAAGACTCTCATGAGTATTTGGGGGATTGAAATACAATAGTCTCGAGTCTCAATCGACCACACTCAGGATAGGAGCTCTGCTCACATGGTGCCTGAGTTTCCTCTACCAGGTCACAGACCTGAGGAGGTGAGGGCCTTGGCCTCTGGAGTTTGTGTATGTGTGCTAACATGTGTGGGTGTCAGAGCCCCCAAAGTCCCAGATGCAGGTGCTGAGAAGGAAGAGGGCCTGCCTCAGGCCTGTCCTCTCAAGACCTGATGTTTCTTTAAACACCTGCAGCTATTCCTGTTCCCAGGGGAGAGTGCACAAAATGAAGCCACCTCGTACCACCAGAAGCACATGATCATGACCCTCCTGGCCTCTTTCTTGTACTCTGCACATCTGCCAGAACGCCTAGCCCCTGGACGCTTTGACTACATCGGTGAGTGGGCAACAGCCCTGCTGCTCTGCTCATTGCCCTCCTGACTGGGGAGGGTCCTGTCCCTGACTCCAGTGCACGTAGCTGCAAAGGGCAGGGAAGGGCAGAGAGAGAGGCCAAGGCGAGTAACATTGCAAGTTGACAGAGGTCAGGATGTCTGCAGCAGGTGCATTGTTAGGTAGCATGGGCAGGATGGAGGGCAGGTGGGCCCAGGAGCCTAAAGCATTCTGATGGGGTATGGAGCCAGTGTGTCTTATTGTCATCCAGAACATGGAATCCCATGATTAAGTGAACATTGGGGCTGGGCGTGGTGGCTCACACATGTAATCCCAGCACGTTGGGAGGCCAAGGTGGGCAGATTACTTGAGACTGTGCTCAAGACAATCCTGAGCAACATAGTGAAACTCCATTTCTACAAAAAATACAAAAATTAGCTGGGCATGGTGGCGTGCACCTGTGGTCCCAGCTACTTGGGAGGCGTTGGTTTGAGCCTGGAAGGTTGAGGCTACAGTGAGCCATGATCATGCACTGCACTCTAGCCTGGGTGAGAGAGATCCTATGTGAAGAGAAAAAGTACATTGGGAGCAGCCGAGGAGAGGAAGAGGAAAGAAAGGATGAAGATGGCTCTGAGGGTACCAGACAACAGGGGGCTGTGCAGAAAAGGGAAAAGGGGAGAAAGCATCTTTCTTTGTCTTGAGCATGGTGGACGGGAGGGGGCCAGGGGTTCAGGGTAGAGCAGTGGTTTCTCCAGGGGTGGTCATCAGCCAGCAGCATCAGCATCATCTGAGAACATGCAGATTCTCAGGCCCCACCACAGACCTCCTGAACCAGAAACGCCAGGAGTGAAACCCAATACTCACACAGAGGCCGAGTCATCCTCCAGATGAACCTGAGCTCACTTAAGTTTGAAGTGATCTGGTGGAGAGAAGGTGTCAGAGTCACGGGGGTTTCCACCTGCTGGCAGAGTTCTTTCCCCGCTCTGTCTAGGGAAGGAGGGGCGGGTCCCTGCAGAATGTGCCTCCTCCGCTCTGGCTCTGGGACTGGCTAGGAGGAGGAACCCTTGCATCATTTCTGGTGAGGCTGACAAGACTTTGGGGTGAGAGTTCCTTAGGTGAGTACATGGGAATCAAAGGGCCAGTCATTGTCCCCACCAGGGCAGGAAGCTTGCTTCTCCCCAAGCCCATTTTGTTCCTGATTTTCCATCTCCTCTCACTAAAAGATGTGGCCAGATGCAGTTTGTTTGATCTGATTAAAGTTTTATCTCCTTTTCTTCTTTTGTTGTGTCAGAAGGGGTTGTAACTAGTAAAATGCTTAGAGAACAGATTTCCAAAAAGGAGGAAAAGGAGAGGCCAGGGAATCGGAGTCACCAGCATCCTGACTGCCATGTCCACCTCCCCAGCCCCGCTTAATGAAGTAGAGGTGGCTGTGTAGCAAGTTTTGGGGTTGCAGGAAAAATGGCCCTGGGCCTTCTTTTGCTACCACTCAGGTTTCTTAATAACATTTTATTCACCTCTGTCCCATCCTCTTGGGCCTAGGGGTACAGAGCTGAAAAACACCCCTCTGGGGGACATTTCCTAGAAAATAGTTCATGACAGATCATTAACAAGATTTGGAACATTCTCAGTCCTTAACTAACAGAGTCTGCTGGAGGTGGGAATCCCTCTCTGCTCCTGCTCAATCTTCCTAACTCTGCTCCTGCTCAATAGTAGAGGTGGCCAGGCCGGTTCATTCCTAGGACACATTTATTGAATATTTCTTCTGAGATAGGTCCTGGGGGTGAAACACTGAATTTTTTATTTTTCTAGAGATGGGATCTCACTGTGTTGCCCAGGCTGGTCTCAAAACTCCTGGGTTCAAGCACTCCTCCTGCCTTGGCCTCCCAAAGTGCTGGGATTACAGGTGTGAGCCACCATGCCCAGCCTTTTTATTTTATTTTTTTTAAACCAAAAGAGAAACCTTATTTAACTCTTATGCTGCATTAGTTTGCTAGGGCTGCCATAACAAAGTATCACAGACTGTTGTGGCCTAAACAACTGAAATTTATTTTCTCACAATTCTGGAGGCTGGAAATCTGAGATCAAAGCGTTGGCAAGTAGGCTTCTCCGGAGGCCTCTCTCTTTGGCTTGTCGATGGCCGTTCTTTCCAACTGTCTTCACATGATCTTTTTCTTGTATACGTGCATGTCTGTGTCCTAATCTCCTTTTCTTTCTTTTTTTTTTTTTTGAGACGGAGTCTCGCTCTGTCGCCTAGGCTGGAGTGCAGTGGCATGATCTTGGCTCGCTGCAAGCTCTGCCTCCCGAGTTCACGCCATTCTCCTGCCTCAGCCTCCAGAGTAGCTGGGATTACAGGCACGTGTCACCATGCCCGGCTAATTTTTGTATTTTTAGTAGAGACGGGGTTTCATCATGTTAGCCAAAATGGTCTCTATCTCCTGACCTCGTGATCCACCCGCCTCAGCCTCCCAAAGTGCTGGGATTACAGGCGTGAACCACCGCGCCTGGCCTAAACTCCTTTCCTTATAAGGACACCAGTCATAGTGGATTAGGCCCATCTTAGAGACTTCATTTTTATTTAATTATTTCTCTAAAGATCCTATCTGCAAATATGGTCTCATTCTGGGGCTTAAGACTTCAGCACATGTATTTTTCAGGGACATCATTCAGCCCATAACACATGTGGTCGCCTCCTTACTCCTGGGGTCTGAGGGTTGTCCCCCAAAGCTGCCCCCGACCCTAGGCATTGGATTTGTTTTCTCACCAACCACCCAGCACGTCCCTGTCCCTGTCACTCCCACTACCCTCTACTGGGCTCCCAGCCTCTGTGAAGGGCACCATGTGAGCTGGGTCCAGCATGGCATTGGGGAGGAAGAGTCCTGGTCATATCTGTGACTAACTGGCAGTAGGGAGAGGTCCACTTGGTTAGTGGCCAACAGAAAATTCAGCCAGCTTCTCCCTCAGCACTGAAGTGAGACTCTGAGCTGATCAGTGCTGGCTCTCAAGAGATGAACTTTGGTGCCTAATTTTTTCATCTGAAAAATGAGACTGGTGGATAAGTTGTTTTAAAAAAGAATTTGGATTTGGTTTTCTCTGATGGGCCTTTTATTTTTCCCATATTGCTTCTTAAAAATAAATTTATTAAGGTATATTTCACATATTCAATAATTCTCTAATGTCAAGTATACAATTTAATGATATTTTCAGTAAATTCACCATACATCAGTTTTAGAACATTTTCATCCCCTCCATCAGACCCATGCACTGTTAATACCTATTCTCACCCCCTGCTTGAGGCAGCCTCTAATCTACTCTCTGTCTTTATGGATTTGCATATTCTGGAGATTTTATATAATATGTGGTCTCCTGTCTGGTTTCTTTCACTTAGCATCATTTTTAGCATGAATGCCATAGCATGTATCAGTACTCATTCCTTTTCATTGCTGATCTTGACGGCCTTTTGTGTTTGCCATAGGTCACAGTCACCAGCTGTTTCACGTGTGTGTGATCCTGGCCACGCACATGCAGATGGAAGCCATACTTCTGGACAAGACTCTGAGGAAGGAATGGCTCCTGGCCACCTCCAAGCCCTTCTCTTTCTCTCAGATAGCTGGAGCCATACTTCTGTGCATCATCTTCAGCCTCAGCAACATAATTTATTTCTCAGCTGCTCTGTATCGGATTCCCAAGCCAGAATTACATAAAAAAGAAACATGACTCAGACCATAAGCTTTTCATGCCAGATGTCAACATTAAGCTGCAACATCCTAACCACCATAAGCCGGAGGTGGTTACAGCTTATCATGGCCTAAAATATTCATAATGGTTGGTGTCTTTTGAATGAATTCATGTCAAAAATGTTATTCAGCTGGGGAAATTTCTCTAAATGTACACTGATTCTGTGTGTGTGATTTTAAAAGGAGAATATGGTTCAAGCAAGTCCTTGTTAAGGCAAACTATTGATATTTCATTAATTTTAAATTTACTTAAAATGTGGTTTTAAATTCTATTTAAACATTTGGATTAAGCATATTACTCTGGAGCTTTGTATTATTCTTTAAAAATGAATCTTGCTTCATTTGATGAATTTCATGTCACAAAGCTTCTCTCAAGAGCTCTCGTAGTGGCCTGTCAACCACTTTCGGAGAATGAGCCAGGTCAGTCACTGGGAGGACCTGTGAAAGAAAGTTGGTCACTGAGTGCCTTGGGGACTGGCAAAACATTCCAGAATGAAGAGAGCTGTCTGGGGAGAGCCCTTCTTCCCTTCTCCACCTAGTGAAGGGAGAACAGAAGGGGAGTCCTCTCTTCCCACAAGTCCATTCTGCCTTCAAAGTGTAAGTTCTCATGTCATTATGGATTTGGAGTTTGTCAGTTTTTTTCTTAAAAGTCCACAGCGGGGTGTCATGTGTTCTGTTATGTTCTGTTTTCTGGTTGCCAGTTTGATCTGCAAAGTATTTTTCAGTGCAGGTAAAATGTGTTAAACCATAAGAGTTGACTGAGTTAATCCCAATTGGTTGTGCTCATATGCCACCTTTTAAACCAATGGAAATTGCTATATTTGGGGATGTCATACATTTGATATTGCTTCAGCATTTCAAATATGTTGCAAAATTTAGTATCCATATGCATAAGAAGTTAATCACCTTGCCAGTGGGGTGGTCACATATAGTGTTCTCAAGCTTTACTGTGAATCAGAAACATCCAGTAAGCTTGTGACAAATGCAGACTCCTAGGGAAAACCAGGGGGTTCTGCTTCACTAGGTTAAATGTAGGTTTTGTAGAGGAGATCTGCACTGGAGCAAGTCTCCCAGATGATTCTAATACAGGAGGGCCAGAGGCCAAACTTGAAGAACTGCTGGTGTTACATGTTCCAAAAGGCATTAGACCTATCAGCTTTGTTTCGCCTGATCTCAAGTTTTAGCAACTCACCAACTAAGGCGTAACCTCATTTTATGTTCCAGCGTTTTCTACTCTGAATAGTTCTAAAACACTGAGCATTTTCTCATTTGTTGCATTACTGATTAAAGTTCAGTATTTCATGGTGTTTTCAGGGAACACAGAAATGCGGATGCAAAACAACTTTTGACAGAGGCCCATCAAACCCAGATCTGCACTTGGTAATGACTTAGGGGGGCTTCCTCACAATGCAGGATCCTCTTTGCTGACTCAGGAATACTCCATATTTTAGACTACTGCCTCTACCATTAACTAGCCCAGACATTTGAATGGCCTTGTAAACAGCTCACTGTCTAATACTCGAAGGACAAGTAACAATTTATATTGGATGAGAGTGGTCAAGAAATATGATTTCGTTAGTTTTATTATCTGTTTACTTCCTCTGGGGAAGGCAGACTGATAAAATTATATGGGCTGGTAAATTTTTGGTACATTAATTGCAAGCTGCATGACAAAATTTGTTTTTCTGGCAACAATCTGACATTATTAGTGGAATTCCACACCAACAGGGCTTGTGAGCTTCCATTTCATCTTACTGTAACTTCAATTTTATGGCAAAAAAAGGTACAAAGTTTAAATACCCCTTTCTAGTAATGCCAAAGACATACAGTGTTTTACATTCTCTCCTTTATAGGTAACAAAATAATGTTTAGCTCAGTAAGTACTGAAATAATGAGTGACCAATTTGAAGGATTTTTAGATTATTTAATCTTTGCTTATGTTGCTTTTTCACATGCTTAATGATGGAAATGAAATGTTAAATCAACAAAATAAGATCCAGTGTTTCATAACATTTTTATAAGTTTGGTAAACTTTAGTCCCATTATATACTTTTGGGGACAGTGTTATAAATCAGAATTTTACGACAGTTTGCAGAACACTGATTTGAAAGCTTCCTATGCAAAATGAGAAGGGGTTCAAATATATTAATTATCATTAAGTATTAAATAATAGGCATTAGATGTCTAATGTGAGTATAATTTCATCCAAGCCATCTCAGAAAGTCTAAAAGGTTGGCAGGGGGTCAGCTGAAGACCTCACTGGAGTGGGTCTTAATTTTTAAAAAGTGTCTCACTACATTTAAGACATGTGACACATTCCCATTGGTAACAATTGCTCACCATGGCATTGTCTCAAAAAAGACTATGGTGGGGAGGGTGGCACATTCCTAATGGGATGTACCTCTCCCCACTCCCCTTGCTTGAGAAGCACTACTCAAAAATTTACCAGACCTTACAACTGTGATAAAACTTGAATGTGTATGATGAATAAGGCCATTCAGTTAACTTTACCTCCCTTTACCCATTGAAGGGGTTCCTTTTCCATTGCTCAGTTTTTAGAAAATAATTCTCATCTTTTTTCTAAAGAAATGAATTTGTGGCTGGTCTGAAGGTAGTGAGTTAGCTCAATTGATTGTTCGCAGTCAGTTATAGATCAAGCTCCTTGTTCTACTCTTCCCCTCTTCTCACTACTGCACTTGACTAGTCTTAAAACAAAGAAAGAACGAATGAATGAATGAATCTGTGGCTGGATGCAGTGGCTCATGCCTGTAATCCCAGCACTTTGGGAGGCTGAAGTGGGAGGACTGCTTGGGCCCAAGAATTCAGGACCAGTCTGGGCAACAGAGCCAGACACTGTCTCTATAAAAAAAAGTTAAAACTAGCTGGTTGTGGTGGTGCACACCTGTGGTCCCAGCTACTGTGGAGGGTGATGTGGGAGGATTGCTTGAACCCAGGAGTTGGATGCTGCAGTGAGCTATGATTGCGCCATTGCGCTCCAGACTGGGCAACAGGGCAAGACCCTGCCTCAAAAAAAAAAAAAAAAGAATTTGTAATTGTTGGTAGGATGTTATGGGAAATTTAGAGGTCTTCTGAGTATAAAGTGGTTTAAATATTTGGTCTGCTGAAGTCTTTCTGGAAGTGTTGTTCCCCCTGCTGCCCCGCCCAGTAGAAACTTGCTCATATGAGAGGTTCTGAGGTAGGTGCGGTGTAGTAGAATGGCATTGTCAGATATGTTCAAGAAACCCTTCATTTGACACTATTTTGTACCTTATGGTACCCTTTAACATTTTTTAATTAAAAAAAATATTTTTTGAGACAGGGTCTTGTTCTGTTGCCCAGGCTGGAGTGTAGTGTTGCAATCTTGGCTCACTGCAACCTCTGCCTGACAGGCTTCAGTGATCTTTCCACCTCAGCCTCCTGAGTAGCTGGGACTACAGGTGCATGCCACCAAGCCTGGCTAACTTTTTGTAGAGATAGGGTTTTGCCATGCTGCCCAGGCTGGCTTAGAATTCCTGAATTCAAGTGATTTGTCTGCCTCAGGCTCCCAAAGTGCTGGGATTACAGGCATGAGCCACACTGCACCCAGTCCATGCTACCCTTTTTATATGAAACACCTATTAACACGGTACAACAACACTTCAAAACATATTATTTGAATTTCGGCCTCTGATTTTCTAGTCAACAATCCATTAAGGCAAAGACCTGTTTCCAAACTCAGATGTTCTCCAACTTACACTAATGTCTGGTTTTCTTGAACTATGTGAGAGAAAAAAATAAACAGAATTTATTTATTATCATAAAGTCATCCTGTTTGCCACTTAATTTGGTTATGTTTTATCTACCACACTGCAAATATGTTAATTCACCATGAGAAACAGATCCCTGTACACATGTGTATCAGTAAATCATTCAATGAATAGTTAGTGCTTAGGATGTATAGAATGGCCACTGTCCTAGGAACTGGGGATACACAAGTGAAAAAAACCTGCAATGTCCCTCCCTAATGAAGCTAGTGTTCTGGTTGGGCAGGCAGACAGGATATATAGATGAATCCAGATAATAAGTGCTGTAAAGAAACTAAGCCTAGTAGGGCATGTGAATTGATGGTCACTCTGATAAGCTGACATTTGAGGAAGACTTGATGGGCAAAAAGGAGCCAGCCTTGTCAGCTTGTCGGGGGAAGGGATTGCAGGTTGAGCTAAGTAGAGGGGTCCCAAGGCTGGCAGGTACTTGTTCTACTGGAAGGATGTTAACTCCAGAAGATATCTGGATGACTTGATTTTTGAAGAATTCTGAGATTTTCCTGATTTTTTTTCCCTTGAGAAATTGCCTATAGGGCTTTCCTATGTCTCTTGGTACTTGTATGGAATGTGTCAACTCATAAGAAATTAACTTCAGACAGTTGCCACGCTCATTCTCTTCATGCTAAGCAACAGATTTCTGAAACAGGCTGAATTTTTTTGCCTCCTCCAGAACACAGAAGGAAAGGCCCTCAAAGATCATTTAATTCAGCCCTTTTAAAATTTGTTCGATGATGTATAATGCAGATTCTCAGGCCCAAACATACTGACACAGACTACCCACAGTGGGGGAGGTGATCCTGTAGTTTCAAATTTTTAGCTAAAGCTGTAGGTAATTTTTAATATAAGGGAGTTCAGAAGCACTGATATAGTCCAACCATTTTTAAATACAATTTCAGACTTAGAAAAATGTTGCAAAATAGTGCAAAGAATTCCCAGGTACTTTTCACCTTTTCTCCTTTCCTCCCTTTTCCAACAGTGAGAAAGCTGACTGCCATTAGCCACAATATGTTTTATTTTATTTTATTTATTTTATTTTTTTTTGAGACGAAGTCTCACTCTGTTGCCCGGGCTGGAGAGCAGTGGCACGATGTTGGCTCACTGCAACCTCTGCCTCCCATGTTCAAGCGATTCTGCCTCAGCCTCCTGAGTAGCTGGGATTACAGGCGCGTGGCACAATGCCTGGCTAATTTTTGCATTTTTAGTAGAGACAGGGTTTCATCATGTTGGCCAGGCTGGTCTCGAATTCCCGACCTCAAGTGATAGACCTGCCTCAGCTTCCCAACATGCTGGGATTACAGGCATGAGCCACCTCACCCAGCCCATGATACATTTTATCTGCTCAATCCTAGAATGTACAGAATGTTGTTTCAGAATTACCAACTAATGTCTGTGCCTACTAATTAGAATTCAAAACGTTTCAAGTTTTTTTTTTTTGTCTTGACCCTGAGGGCAAGCTTGATTCTAAATAGTCACAGTTACCTGGGTTATTTCCCCCTTTCTGTGTATGTTATTTATTTGAAATATAGTTCAAGTCATTTGTTTCTTTTTGTGTAAATTTTACAGTCCCCCAACTCCCCAACACACACACACACACACACACACACACACACACACACATCCCCAGGTTGATTTTATTAATTTGTGTTTTCTGTATGTAAACATTAACATCTAACCATTCATGTTACAAATGGCCTGGCGAGAGAGATTCATGGCCTGGGAACCTGAGACAATGTTTCTAAGGCCACTGAGTGACCAGCAGGGCCTGGGAGGGAACAGTGTGCGGAGCATGTCCAAGATCCCAAGGCAGTGCTGTCTCCATTTTACCACCTCCCCTCAAACACTCGGGGCTTCAGCAGTTTCTGGTCATTGGTGTTTACTGGGTTCCCACAGCTGGACTTGCTTATCTGGGTGTTTGGATTAATATATGATTTCGAATTTGTGTAGTGTCAGCCCCTCTTCAATGATTTGGATAAGACTCGCCTGGTCCAATTTAACAGTTTCTAATAAAGTTAAACTTACCGTAAGACCCACAATCCCACCCAAGAGAAATAAAAACACACCTACATAAAGACTTTTACACAAATAATTATACCAGTTTCATAATCTCCAGAAAGTAGAAACAACCTAAATGTCCAACTGGTGAATGAATAAATTGTCCTGCATTCATACAGTGGAATAGACTCAGCAACAAAAAGGGAACAAATTACTGGTACATGCAACACATTGATGAATATCAAAGCATTATGCTGAGTGAAAGAAAAGACATTCTGGAAAAGGCAAAAGTATAGGGAAGAAAATCAGAAAAGTCGTTGCCAAGGCCTGGGAGTAGGGGCAGCCCAGAGAATTTTCCACTGTGATGGAAATATACGTTTGATTGTGGTTACAGCACACTATATATTTGTCAAATACACATAACGATACAACTAAAAAGGGTCCATTTTACTGTATGTAAATTATACCTAAAATACTTGACTTTAGAAAGAAAAAAGCCCCTCAGTTCTCTTCTCCCCACCCTCCTACGCGCACTCCTGATCTGGATCTCTAATTCTATGGTAAAATGCAAATCTTTTAATGGCTATAGGTAGCCCTTTGCTATTTTTGAATAGAAAAATGATGTAATTATTTGGTAGTTTTAAGGAAATTAATAAGCCAGAGAACTTTAATACAGAAGTGAGGGAGGAAGAAGAAACTGGCCTGAAGAGAAGCTGGAGGTGGTGCGATGTAACTGGGTCCTCAACTGGAGCGTTCTTTGAAGGGATGATTCATTCATCCCTTCAAGCCATGTATGGGGCACCTGCACTGCTAGGCACTGGGCATGCAACGATGCCATCTAGTGAGGCTGTGGGGATAAGCCAGTAGAGGAGACAGGAATGAACAGTGACTGCCAATTGGAATGTGAGTGCTGAAACAAGTCAACAGGTGCAGTGAGTGGGAAAGGGCAGTTTTGGGGGCGTGGGGGCTGTACCACGGGGCCCAGTATCCACAGCAGGGTAGCTGGCAGATCTGCAGAGAACTGAAGGCAAGGCATTGTCAGAGGAAAGGAGGGAGGAGAGCGTGACAGCACAGAGAATGGCGTGTGAGCCCAGCGTGTTCAGGGCACTGCAGTTCAACATGACTAGAGGGGACAGGGGGCAGTGATGGGTGATGAGCCCCAGAGGAAGCGTCTCAGGGCCCTGTGGTGGGTCTCCAACAATGGGGAACCACTGCAGAGTTTCATATAGGTATGTGACATAATCAGATCCATGATTTAGAGATGAGCAAAATGGAAACTGAATTGGAAAGTGGCAGCAGAGAGGCCTGTTAGGAGACTGCTGTCTTTATCAGACAAGAGAAGATGGTGGCTGAGGAGACAGAGAAAAGTGGAGCAGTTTGGAGGTTTGGCTACTTAGTAGGTAGAACTGTTAAGATTTAGTGATTGAATATTGAGACAGAAGAAGAGAGAAAAGCTAACAATGTTGCTTTAGACTCTGGCTTGGTGGATGCCATCCACTGAGAGGGAGCAAGTTTGGGAGAAGAGATTAGAATGTGTTAGATGTGAGATGCTTGTGGGATATCGAAGTGGAGAATCCAGAAGACAGCTGGATATATGGCTCTGGAGCTCAGAAGAGCAAACATGAATGGGATGTGAAGCCATATGAGTGCTTGAGAGTGCCTAGGGAAAAGGCACACCTAGTGACCAGCTCTAAACCCTGAGCCCCAACATTTAAGGGAGAAAAAAAGAACTCACAAAGGAGACTGAGAAAGAAGGGCTAGACAGCTAGGAGAAAAAATAAAGGCATGGGAAGAAAGGAATGGGCAACATTTTTTAGTGTTGTTAAGAAGCCAAGTAAGACAAAAGTCAAATAGATTTAGCATCAAGGAAGTGGTAATTTTGGTGACAAGAGTTCCAATGGAGTCTGAGGTAGAAGCTAAACTGAAGAGCAACTAGGATATAAGTAGTCAGCAACCAAGCCCAATTCCTAAATGATAAAAATTCCAAACTCTAGGCCAGGTGCGGTGGCTCACACTTGTAATCCTAGCACTTTGGGAGGCTGAGGCAGGTGGATCACTTGAGGTCAGAAGTTCAAGACCAGCCTGGCTGAGGCAGGAGAATTGCTTGAACCCCGGAGGCGGAAGCTGCAGTGAGCCGAGATTGCGCCACTGCACTCCAGCCTGCGTGACAGACTCCGTCTCAAAAAACAAAACAAAACAAACAAACCAACAAAATACCAAACTCTAGCTTGACAACAAAGTCCTAATCATTCAAAGACTTCAACATAGGAAGCAAAGCAATAAAAGCACTAGGAAACAAAAAATGAGAAATAAAATAAAAAACTCAGAATGGATGTATTTTTCCAGTATGACACAAAACAGAAGCCATAAAAGAAAAGACGGATTAATCTGTCTACCTGAAATTTTTTCCAAGCTGTCACAAAACATATACAAATAAAAATAACCAAAATGTGAAAAATAAAAGTATTTAAACTCGTATTTTGGATGAGGACCAATTTTTTTTTAATATAAGAACTTTCACAGATCATTAAGAAAAACGAACAACCAATAGAACAAAGAGGCAAAGAATATGAACACAGTTGATAGAGAAGGAATCAAAAGGGCTCTAAAATATATGAATAGACAACATTTATCTGAAAATAAATGAAAAATTTAACTACATGTTTTTTCTCACCAATTGATATGAGATATCAATAGATTGGTAGCTACTGAAAAGTTTGATAACACTTTGAGAATTGTGGAGAAATAGGCACTCTCATACAGGCTGGTGGGAGTGTACATTTGGACAGCTTTTATGGAGAATGATTTGCAATATCTGTGAAATGTTACACATATGTATACTCTTTGACTCAGCAATTCTGTTTCTAGAAATGTTTCCTACATATTTACCTGCATTGTATAAATTTCCACATTCATTCACTATAGCTGTATCTGTAATAGGAAAAGTTGGAACCATCCTAATGTGCAATGTAGGGGTGGAAAAGGTGTGATACTTTTCTTTACCCATCTTAAGGGTCACAGCTGACACTACCATAACAAAAAACAGGTTAGCAAGATAAATGGATAACTTATTGAATCACAGTTTTATGGGATGTAAGTGCCTTCAGAAATGAAGACCCAAAGACCCAGGGAAAGCTGTCCATTTTTATGCTTAGATGAGATGAAGAATGGACAGCTGTGTAGAAATGTGATTGTACAAAAGGAGTATGATCTAATAGTAACAGACTGAAGGAGGAATCCAGCAAGTCCTGTCTGTTCAGATTCTTCTTGGCCTCTCTGTGCAGCTTTCCTTCTTCCTGAGTGTAGGGCAAGACCCTTTTGGAACGAGGGTCTTATGACAAGGTACATCAAAGAATGTCTTTATGGCCAGCTCTTACACAAAAAGGTGGGGGAAGGCTAGATTAATATTTCTAGGTTTTTCTAGAATAATGTTTCTGGCTTGCTTGGGAGAAAAGGGGTTCTAGTTTCCATGACCCGCCTTGGGGAACAGAAATTCTGGTTTCTATTATTTGCTTTAGGAGACACAGAGGGGTGGGAGACAAGAGGGCAGGAGAAAGTCAGAGACAGACTTTGCTTTTAAGGCTTCTCTGAGGCACTTTCAGTCTTCTTTAGTTCAAAGCACTCAGTGTGCCAAAGAGCCATACTCTGGGGTGTCGTTTCCTGAGCACCAACAATATTGGCCAAGGACATTGTGACTATCCTTACCAGTGCTGTGGTCCTTTAGGAAGTTGAGAAGGGGCTAGAGTTCCATGAGAGCCCAGGTGTAGATGTGTATTTGGTAGTCATCGGCTTAGGGTCAAAGACAGAAGTGATATAGAATCAGTTCATCTAAGGCAAGAGTAGGTTCAAAAGGTTGCCCCTTAAGGGTAAGGACCAAATTTTATTCATCTCCGTAAGGCCAGGATCAAACACAATCAAGATTTGATAAAACAGGCCGGGCGCAGTGGCTCACGCCTGTAATCCCAGCACTTTGGGAGGCCAAGGTAGGCAGATCACCTTAAGTCAGGAGTTCTAGACCACCCTGGCCAATATGGTGAAACCTCATCTCTACTAAAAATACAAAAATTAGCTGGGCGTGGTGGTGCGCGCCTGTAATCCCAGCTACTCGGGAGGCTGAGGCAAGAGAATTGCTTGAACCTAGGAGGTGGAGGTTGCAGTGAGCTGAAGACTGCAGTCCAGGCTGGGCGACAGAGCAACTCCACCTCAAAAAATAAAAAAGGAAAAAAAAAAGATTTGATAAAATAATGTACATATAGGACAGAGCTGGAGGGAAACCCAGGAAAGGTGAATCAGAGAGAGAAAAGACGCCAAGATAATGTGGTGACTTGGGAGCCAGAGAGACGGAGCCTGAGACTTGGAGCAGGGCACAGCACAGGAATACAACACTTTTCACCAGAACGACATTCCGACCTCTGAATCAACCCTGGAAAGGCCCTTCCATTGAACTTCTTGTGATGGAGGAAAAGAAACCCTCAGTTTCGTCATCGCAAGGCGGAAGAGTTTAAATACCATACCTCAAGATCTCCCTCCAGCCCTGACACGCGACTCCGCGGCCCTTTCAGCGTCGGTCGCCTAGGAGACAAGCGCCACTTCCGGCAGCGAAGTCACTTCCGCGGAGGTCCTGCCTCTCCCTGCGGACGGGCGCTGATTGGCCCGTTTGAAATGCGCCAGGCGGGAGCTCACCTGGGCTCTTAGCGTCGCCGCCGGCTTCGCAGAGCACCGCGCCTTAGCCGCGAAGTTCTAGTTCTTGCTGCCGGTCCTAACGTCCCGCAGTCTTCGCCAGCCAGCCGTCCCGCATGCGCGTTTGGGCGGCGTGGAGCCTGCTGCCATGAAGTCAGCGTGAGTACGAGGCCGCCGAGCAGGGAGAGAGGGCGGACGGGGGCCGAGGCCTCGGGGCTGGGGGCAGGCGTCTCCACTCAGGCCGCGGCCGTACGCGGGCAGCGCGGACAGCATCCCGCCCGGTGCTGCTGCGGCCGCGACCCCAAAGTGGGAACCTCCACGTGTGGCCGCTCCGCGGGAGCCTGGGCGCGGAGACCCCTGCCGCGTCGCCCCCCGCCGCCCCGCCTGGGCCTCCAAGGGGCCAGGAAGGGTCGGCCCGGAGCCGGGGTTGTTTTACGCCGCACCCGGTTCCCGGGGGCGGGGCAGTCCTCCTCGGGGTCCCGGGACAGCCTTTCCCTTCTCCCTCGCTGGCTGCCGCCGCCTCCAGAGTGCAGTTGGCCAACTTAGTGCGGGTCGGAGGTGGTCTCGTGTGTGGAGCAGAGCGAGTGTGCTGGGCATTGGTTAGATGGGCTCCGTTTCTGGAGAGCCCTGGCACCGGTGATCGCCGCTAGCTTTTTTTTCAGCCGAGCACCCTGTCCTTGAGGCCGAGCCCATCCGCTTACACAGGCCAGTTACTTCTGCTGTATTTTGTGGCCGCAGAGAACCTCCGCCCACATTCCTAAGCTAATATTTTCGGCGCAGCATCATTCCTGGGTAAAGAAATATTTGTCGTGCAAAGGAGAGGATTGGCTTTATTACCATTTAGGGAGTCGTTTGCAAAAGACAACTTGTTTATTAAGAGGCCGAAGTCAAAATCTTTAGATGAAAAAAATTATATATAAGAAATATACGTTGAGTTTAACTTAAGCCCACCACAAAGTATTTTGCACTGAATAACACGAATTTGCTTGTGTTTCATCTGAGAATATGTTTGGAAAAATATTTTTAAACTACAGTCGAAGCCAATAATCTTACTTAATTTTAATGTGTTAAATGTATATCTAGCCTATAGATAAATGTGAAGGGAAAAAGATGAGATGCTAGAGAAATGGTGAAATCAATCAAAATAACTTTTTGATTGCCCCTACTTAAGAAACCAAGAAATTGGCAGTTTGGGACCAGATTTTGTTTGGAGACAAAGAGTAATGTTTTGAGCATTCAATGACTGGTTGTTCCTTGAAAGTACAGGCGTAACCCTTGACGAAAGAATGGTTTCCTCCATGTGCATTTTTATAGTGTATTGAAGTTAATCGCTTGTCAGTCTGTAAAGTGTGGGCAGTTATAATTTGTAGTGCCTCTGTTAAATTGTTGCTCAAGAAAATATGCAAGCCATTTTAAGTATAGAACTAATCAGAGAATAAGTAGGTAGCTTTGGTACCAAAAATGTATTCTAAAGCAAATTTTAATTACTTTTGGATTACGCATGCCACAAACACTCTGCTACTATGATTATTAATGTTATTTGGGATGCAGTGTTTTGCAACTGCTAAGGGATAATTTACAGATAACCTAGAAAGATTGTATAAGTTTTAGGTGAGGCTTTTGTATTCGTGTTGAACTGAAAAAAAAGTTATTATTATTTTTTAATCTATGACCAGGAGAGCTAAGACACCCCGGAAACCTACCGTGAAAAAAGGGTCCCAAACGAACCTTAAAGACCCAGTTGGGGTAAGGTATCCCTGTAAATTTATGTGTGGTGTTTAAGAAACTTATCTCTTCAGTCCTTTCTGTCTTATGTGTATGCTTGGAAGGGAAAGAAGAAGACATGTGGAAGTATAATCAAAGAACATTTAGTTAAATGGATGTACTACATTGTGTAAAACTAGTGCTAGCTGTGAAATTTTCTCTATAAGATTAATTAAATTAGTCCAGTAAAATGAAGTCTTTGGTTGTCAACTGCATACCTTCTGTAATTATAATTTGGAGAGTTAGATAATTAAAAATCTCCAACTGGGTTCATATTCATCCCAGAGAATATGAACTGAGTTCATGCCATACAGTAACTGATGGCATGAGGAGAGTTCCAAACTTCTTGGGACCAAGTTTAATTCAGTTAAATTATGAAGAAAAAATGAAGCAGGCAAAAAGAATAAGAATTTTAAAACAAAACAACAAATGGCAAACAAAAAGGGTTCTTTGCTCTGAGGTATTTTAAATCTATCCCTCGTTGCCACTGGAGTGGGTCCCTGGCTCTGAGTTAAGGGAACCGGGTGCTTTGCACACAGCTGAATGAGTTTTCCTCAAGCCCCCTCCCCTGCTTTCAAAAATGTCTCTGTAGGCTGGGTGCGGTGGCTCACATCTGTAATCCCAGCACTTTGGGAGGCTGAGGCGGGTGGATCACCTGAGGTCAGGAGTTCGAGACCAGCCTGGCCAACATGGCGAAACCCTGTCTCTACTAAAATTACAAAAATTAGCTGGGTGTGGTGGTGGGTGCCTGTAATCCCAGCTACTCGGGAGGCTGAGGCAGGAGAATTGCTTGAACCCAGGAGGTTGCAGTGAGCTGAGATCATGCCATTGCACTCCAGCCTGGGTGACAAGAGAGAAACTCTGTCTCTAAATAAATAAATAAATAAAAATGTCTTTGTATATTAAATGTTGGGTTAAGCTGACAAGTTTTTAAATTGACATCCATTTCCAAGAAATTCTAACAGTTTTAAAAATCTCGTGTGACATGTTGTTGACTTTTAGAGATATTAGTAGTAGTATAACTATTATTTGTGTACAATATAATAGTGAATACACTGCAATTTGATTTTTATTAAAATTTATTTTAATTTTGTGTGTATTTAAAGTATTCTCATATCTAATACATACTTGTATTTGTCAATCTCAAGTAGCAGATTTTAATTTTCTTAGCCCTTGGAGATACAGAGCTCTTAAATTGAGAGACTGAATGTTTGTTGAATGAATGAATGAATGAGAAGCTTAAGTGAAAAATCAGGCAAAAGGTCGAACTTTCTTCTTAAAGCACCTTCCTATTTCTTCAGGTATACTGTAGGGTGCGCCCACTGGGCTTTCCTGATCAAGAGTGTTGCATAGAAGTGATCAATAATACAACTGTTCAGCTTCATACTCCTGAGGGCTACAGACTCAACCGAAATGGAGACTATAAGGAGGTAATTCTGATTTGGACCAAGTTGTTTTTACTCAATATGTTGTTTCCTGAATGACTTCTAGATTTTTAGATGTAACAAAGTTCATTTGTGAGCCCACATTTTCAAAAGACTTATTTACTTCATTATAACCACTGTATCTAAAGTGTTTTTGACTTCTGGGATGCACAGACATACCTTTGGTATGCTGGGGTTAGAGGATTGCTTTTAGCAGATAATTTCTTACACTGAGTATTATTGTTTCTTAGAGCATGTGTTAGGGATGATTTAATGTGGAATGATACATGATTGTGCTAGGCAGTTTTATATATACAACTTGATGTGTGGAAATGAAAATAACATTTAATAATAGACATTGTTTACTTGCATCAACCTCCTATGCAGTGTTTTTATTTTTAGTAAAGTTTTGAGTCAGCTCAAAAATATTGTTTAGCAAATGTGCTAAGCTAATAGTTGGAGGGTGGAAGGAGATTAAAAAAAAGAGCATGACATACTCCTTGCCTTTAGAAAGTTTATAACTTAAGATATATGGTAAACAAATAATTCTCATATAAATAAGACAGAAAGTTAGATGTGCTAAAGATGAGGGGACCGTGGGAATGCAGTAGGATTAATTCAGGCTACCATTTCTACTTCTAGCTGTCACTCACTCTTTTGTGCCTACTATTCCTGTGAAATTGCTCTTCAGAAGACTACCAGTGGCCTCTTTGCTGCTAAATTTGATGTATACCTCTTCATCCTCATTTTAACCTGTTTGTCAGCAGCACTCTCCTGTCTCCCCCTCCAGCTCTCCTTGTATCTCCAGCTGAAACCTTTTCTCTGGCTCTCAACATTCAACCACTTACTTGATATCTCTGCTTGGATGTCACATGTGCATCTCAAATTTTACATGCCCAAAAAGGAGTTCTTGATTTTTCTTATTCCCTCTCTAAATACTTCCTCCCTTGTTTTCTTCTCAAGGAATGGCACTATCGTGTGTCCAGTTGCTCAAGCCAGAAACCTGGTACCTACCTTTTACTTGCCTCTCCTTATAACTAGTTCATTAGTAGCTCCTATCAGTTATATTCCAACATGTGTCTTGAAACTGTCCTTTCATTTCCATCTCCACTGCCACCACCCTAGTCTGAGCCCCATTATTAATCACTGAGACCAGAGCTACTGTAATGAAGGAGTAGCTTTTTTATTTTTAATGCGTCACAGCTGAGACTTTTGTACAACTTGTGCTAGATGGAACTGCCCGTGTGAGTTAGACAATAGGGAACTAGTTCATAATCTCTTCATAGAGATGAGCCTATTGAATACATGCTGAAATACTGATAATTGAGCAGTGCCAGATGGAGGCTCATGCCTGCAGTCTCAGCACTTTGGGAGGCCAAGGTGGGTGGATCACCTGAGGTCAGGAGTTCAAGACCAGCCTGACCAATATGATGAAACCCTGTCTCTACTAAAAATACAAAAATTAGCCGGGCATGATGACGTGTGCCTGTAATCCCAGCTACTCAGTAGCCTGAGACAGGAGAATCACTTGAACCCAGGAGGCGGAGGTTGCAGTGAGCCGAGATCGCGCCATTGCACTCCAGCTTGGGCAACAAGAGTGAAACTCCATCTCAAAAAACAAACAAACAAAGAAACAAACAAACAAAAAACAACTTTCTAAACATTTAAGTAGTCTGGTAACCAATCTCAGACTGGCATTGGTTTGCTGAGTGTGCTTTGGGTATCATTGACAAGACTTCCAAAGCCCAACTGCCTCCACTTGGAATCTTCTCTAATCCATTTCTACAGAGCAGACAGTGATCTTTTAAAACATAAAATCTCATTTTCCTGTTCAAAACCTTTCAAAGAATAAAATCTTTGAACAGACAAAATCCTGCTTCATCCGTCTCCCATCTGTCTCTCCACCTTCATTCATCTTTTAGTATTCATCCAATCCTTTGAGTTTCTTGGATAAGGCAGAATCCTGGCTGTTAGCTGTTGCCTTAACCTGGACTTCTCTTTTTCTGGGTCTTAGCATGGGTCATCGTTGGGTTTCAGCTTAAATATCACCTCCTCGGGTTGTATAGACTACCCAATCAGAAACAGCACCCCACAACCCCTCTCCCCTGGTCTGTACTCTGTATGCCTCCTTTACATTACTTAACCACAATCTATTTGTTTACTTGTTTATTGTCTTTCCTCTACCATAATGTAAACTTCCAGGGAATATGTACCTTATATGTTCTGTTCATCAAATAGTAAATATGGCTTCAGCAAGAATGAATGGTCTGGGAGGGTTTTTTGGAGGAGCAGGTCTTTAAGGATATAATATAGTTAAACACTGATTTACTGAGTTTTACTTCTTTAAGTAAATTTCAAGTATGTATAAATATAGGTATCGAGTAGGTATCGAGTAGGTATAAAAAGGTTTGATGGGGATTAAAAATAGTCACTGCTTTCTGACAGAAGGCAACATTGTATAATGAAAAGAGCATTGCTGCCGGGCATGATGGTTTACATGTGTAATCCCAGCACTTTGGGAGGCCGAGGCAGAGGGATTACTTGAGATCAGGAGTTCGAGACTAGCTTGGCCAACATGGCGAAACCCCATCACTACTAAAAATACAAAAATTACCCAGCGTGGAGGCATGCGCCTGTAATCACAGCTACTCGGGAGGCTGAGGCAGGAGTATTGCTTGAACCCAGGAGGCAGAGGTTGCAGTGAGCCGAGATCCTACCACTGCACTCCAGCCTGGGTGACAGAGTGAGACTCTGTTTCAAAAAAAAAAAGAAGAAAACAAAAACATTGCACTGATGATGGCTTTGATACTAATTAACTCCATGGGCTCAGAGAAGTTTCACCTTCGGGCCTCAGTTTTCTTTACCTTGAAAGGAGGGAGTCATTCATGAGGACTGTGAGGTCATCTATCTTCTCAGTATTAGCCTATGTGTATCCTTTCAGTTCCAAGATTCTTTGTTCTTTTTGAACTCTAAAGCTGATTTTTACAGGATATTTTATTAATTGTATTTAGAGAGCCTTGATAATTGAAGTATTCTTGCTTTCTTAAAGGTCACAATTTATTTAAAATGTATTTCATGTAAGAACTCAGAGATGAGATAATATTTACAGTTTACTTCTGGTTTTAAACTATAGTACATCAAAACGTGGTATTATGCTGCTATGCCATTTTATTTTATATGTCTTTTTTCTTTTTCTTTTTTGAGACAGGGTCTCACTTGTTGCCCAGGCTGGTGTGCAATGGTGTGACCACAGCTCACTGTTTTTTGGTGAGGTTTTTTTGTTGTTTTTACTTTTAAAATTTTTTATTAGATGAGCTTGCCCAGGCTGGTCTCTTAACTCATGGCCTCAAGTGATCCTCCTGCCTCAGCCTTCCAAAGTGGGATTATAAGTGTGAGCCACTATGCCCATGCTTTGCTATTTTAAATGACACCTTTATAAAGAAAAACTAGGAAACAGTAAAGTTGTGTATGACATAATGCTTGTAGATTTCCACAAATCTGTGACTATGAATCGTTACAATACCTTTTGATCTCTGTCACTTAATTAAAACAAAATCAGCCTTAGATTAGAAGCATTAGTAGACTTAAGACTTTTCTACATTTTTGGCCAGGTGTGGTGGCTCACGCCTGTAATCCCAGCACTTTGGAAGGCTGAGGTGGGTGGATCACCTAAGATCAGGAGTTTGACACCAGCCTAACATGGTGAAACCCGTCTCTACTAAAAATATAAAAATTAGCCAGGTGTGGTGGCACGTGCCTGTAATTCCAGCTACTTGGGAGGCTGAGGCAGGGGAATCGCTTGAACCCAGGAGGCAGAGGTTGCAGTGAGCCGAGATTGTGTCATTGCACTCCAGCCTGGGCAACAAGAGCAAAACTCTGTCTCAAAAAAAAAGAGTTTTCTACATTTTCTTTAGTAGTTGTGACTGAAAACGTTTACCAGTTTATAATTGGTATGATATAGGTATGTCATGACTTTTTAGTAACTAAATAACTAAGGGTTCCAACTGTAAAAAGACCATTTATATTTTTTCTTTGCATGCTTAGATCTTAAATGTCATAAACACCTTAAGTTTAAGGAGATGTATTTTTAGCCTAGATAATAGTGGAATTCTATTTAGTGCATTTTTTTCTCTCTCCACAGACTCAGTATTCATTTAAACAAGTATTTGGCACTCACACCACCCAGAAGGAACTCTTTGATGTTGTGGCTAATCCCTTGGTCAATGACCTCATTCATGGCAAAAATGGTATGATATGACTCTTGGAGTTTTGTTAGATTTTCCTTTTTCTCCTCTTCTGATAAAACTTTTTTGATATTTATATATTTGATTTATGTTTGGTGTTGAATCCATATTTAATTTGTTAGGGTGGTGCTAAACTTGCCTTTTTTGAGCTGGCTAATTGTTAGTGTTTTCTAATGCAGTGAAGAAATACTCTAAGTGGAGAACTTCTAAGATATAACTCATTGTGACTTGCTACACTGTAGGTCTTCTTTTTACATATGGTGTGACGGGAAGTGGAAAAACTCACACAATGACTGGTTCTCCAGGGGAAGGAGGGCTGCTTCCTCGTTGTTTGGACATGATCTTTAACAGTATAGGGTCATTTCAAGCTAAACGATATGTAAGTATGATTCTTTTGTGTTGTGACTATCTTACTGGACTAAGACACCTATGGATACAGTAGTAGTAAAGAAGAACCAAAGCACTGGATTCATTTTGAAACCTTAACTGTTCCTTAGTTTTTAAACATATTTCTTACTATTTAAGTTAAATTCTAAAAAACGTGGTGTGATTTTTTTTTTTTTGCCCCCACTTCAGGTTTTCAAATCTAATGATAGGAATAGTATGGATATACAGTGTGAGGTTGATGCCTTATTAGAACGTCAGAAAAGAGAAGCTATGCCCAATCCAAAGACTTCTTCTAGCAAGTAAGTAATTATATTTGTCTGCAGCACTGGCCTAGGGGCACAGGATTCTTTCCTGTGGTTTGCCCAGACATGAGGAATGGTGAACATTAAATAGAGAAGTTGACTTTTGTGAGATTAAAGTTAAGGAATGTTCTTAAGTTCTTTGCTCAGATGTTTTCTCTTTGGCTTTGAGCACATTTTGTTTCAATCACTGTTTTAAGAGGGTGCCACTCTGGATGGGGAGAGGGTATAAAAGCCATTGTTGTGTGTTCGGGAGGACGTGGGAATACTGTTGGCAAACCATGAGTATGAATAAAGCTGCTTTGTGCATTTCTGCTTGTAATTGCAGATATTTATTTTATCTGTTAGTTTCCCCTTGGGATCAGTTACTTTTTTTTTTTTTTGAGACAGAGTCTCACTTTGCTGCCCAGGGTGGAGTGCAGTGGCATGATCTCGGCTCACTGCAACCTCTGCCTTCCAGGTTCAAACGATCCTCCTGCCTCAGCCCCCCTAGTAGCTGGGATTAGAGGCACACGCCACCATGCCCGGCTAATTTGTATTTTTAGTAGAGACGGGGTTTCACCATGTTGGCCAGGCTGGTCTTGAGTTCCTGATCTCAGGTGATCCGCCTGCCTCGGCCTCCCAAAGTGCTGGGATTATAGCTGTGAGCCACCATGCCCGGCTGGGATCATTTACTTTTAAAATGGACTTATAACGTATACAATTGAACTTTTCTTTTTTTAGACGACAAGTAGATCCAGAGTTTGCAGATATGATAACTGTACAAGAATTCTGCAAAGCAGAAGAGGTTGATGAAGATAGTGTCTATGGTGTATTTGTCTCTTATATTGAAATATATAATAATTACATATATGATCTATTGGAAGAGGTGCCGTTTGATCCCATAAAACCCAAGTAAGTAATAAAGAGAGCCCCTTCTTAGCTGTTAATGTTGGGGAAGTTACTTTGCCTCAAGGAGTTTTAGTTTCTTCAGTTATGAAAGAGAATAATGCTTGCATTTGTTTTCAGAATGAAATGATATAATTTGTATATCACGTGGTTTTGTGTTTGAGTATGTTTATTATTAACTAGATATGTACCTGTATTAGGGAACTAGTGGGTTAAAGCATCTAAGGAGAAGAGGGACCCAAATATTCATCTTGGAGATTACTTTTGAAAACTCTGGGCCCTGGGCTATGTTTTGAGAAGGATCTTAATTATATAATTAAGAACGTTTCAAGAACCTGAGACAGTAAAAGGAGTTTTGTAGGCTCTTTAACCACCCGTGTCTTGGTGATTTCTACAGACTGGAGCCTAAAGCTGTTATCTATACAAGTAATACTTACATATCTTCTATCATTCATTAATATGGTATGATATCTGCACTGTAATTCCATCAGAGTTGAAATACTACTTCCTAGATTTCCTTGGGTCTTGCCTTTCTGAGACGTAAGACTGGTTACCACTTGGCATCACAAATGATAAATCTGCATTTGTGCCAGAGTTGACCCTGGGATCTTATGTTTAATATTAGTATCTTGTTCCTGAGTTGATGGTTTTGTTTTTCAGCTAAAGGCTTGTCTTTAATGCTGTCTTTATTAGGGCCTCTCAGGACATAAATAATACGAAGACCTGTGGCTTATATTTAACTTTGTATATCTAAGGGAACATTATTGGAGAAACAGCTGGATTTAGAAAATCATTAGACTGAGAATACATACCAGTATATCCACTTTTAATTACATGAAGAATTTATGGACTCTGGTTGAGGCCATACTTGATACAAGCATTTCTGTGGTTCTTAGTGAGTCACATTTTGATACAGTTATCTTCACCAGAGTCCTTGAATTTTCATCACGTTTATTGGGAAAACAATTACAATATGGCTAAGTAAGCTAAATGTAAAAATATTAACACTCTTAATACTAAGAGTTTATGCCAAGGAAGACTCTTTGGCTCTGTTTAACATTTCTTCAAGTGAGAACTTTACAAAGGGACTTATTTCTGGAGTGACCTATCTATATTTACCCTTGGAATGTTGGTAATAGTAAAAATACTTGGGTTAGGTTGTGGAGCAATACATGGAAGAGTTAAAACCTTGTGAGACAGTTACTTTTTATTTATTTTTGAGACAGGGTCTTGCTCTGCCATGTCAGCTCACTGCAGCCAACCTCCTGGGTTCAGGTGATCCTCCCGCCTTAGCCTCCTAAGTAGCTGGAACTACAAGCACAAGCCACCATGCCTGGCTAATTTTCTAATTTCTTGTAGAGATAGGAGTGATAGGGGTCTCACTAGGTTGCCCAGGTTGGTCTCGAACTCCTGGCCTCAAGCAGTCCTCCCACCTTGGTCTCCCAAAGTGCTGGGATTACAAGTGTGAGCCACCATGCCTGGCCTGACCATCACTTTTTATATCAAACTAATTACTTTCCCATTTGTTTTAAAGTGTCAACTGTCTTGACTCTAATCTTGAGTATACCCATTTTCATGTATGCTCGTGTGCCAACTTTTTGTTTGGTTTGTTCTAAATGAGATTATTTTCAAAGGATCATATCTTGGCTTTATTTAGTTATACAAAAGAAGATTGACAAAAGTACCTTGTGTGCTTTGTAACCTTTCTGGGTAACTCCTTAAATGAACATACAAGGGTGCTTGTTTGGCCCTGAATTCAGATTTAATTTGTTAGGTTGGTGTTAGACCTGCTTTTTTAAGCTAGTTAACTTTTAGTACTTTTAATACAATGAAAAACTATTACAAGTGGAGGGTTTTTAAGATATGACTCATTGTGATTGTCACATAGTCTGGACTGAACATGTTGGTGTGAGATGGCTGCTGTAGAAACAGTAACTTCTACCTTATTCCTTTGGTAGGTGGAACAGTTGCAGCACACCCATGAGGAACACAGATTTTGTGTATGTGATGGTGTTGGCTCTTTTCTTAAGGAGAAGGGTGCAGTTATACTATGGTTGGCATTCTGTGGCATGTTTGCATGTAGGTTATTTTCCATTGTCACTGGGCTGGCTGCTGTCTCTAAGCCCTCCTTGCTTCCTGAAAAATCTGCTATTGACTATCAGTGATGGTGGCTGGTAAATGTCTCTACCCTCACCATTCACAAGACTTAAGACCAAACAGGTAGCTCTCATACCCAACCTTCATCTTGTCATACAGACTAAAACTTCATAAGCCACTTTGAAAGGATTGCCACTCCTGGTATATACCAAACTCTTTCTGAATTTGTTTTCTGCTGTTGCTGAGGAGGTCAGAACTGGTTCTATCTGCTAGTCTTTTCAAATTAGGAAAATACTAGATTTTGATGCTTAACCTGTGCATGTGATGTTGCTGTAATACTACTTTGGTCTCTAAATTGTTTAGTGTATTGTTTCATGTGCTTTCTTAGAGCAAATTAGAGCAAAGCTTTTAAAACAAAATTGGTTTCTGTTATCTTGTTACTTAACTAATCTTGACTATTTAGCTTTACAATCTTATCTAAGTTTAATATTTCTCTGGAGTATTATACGTTATATATATATTATAAAATATATATAATTTTCATTAGAAGAATAACATGTCATGTCACTTGGCGTTTTAGTCCTAGTCTTAAATGAAGATACCAGCATCTCATAATTTAGGAGACTAATCTTTTTTTTCTTTCCCATAGACCTCCACAATCTAAATTGCTTCGTGAAGATAAGAACCATAACATGTATGTTGCAGGATGTACAGAAGTTGAAGTGAAATCTACTGAGGAGGCTTTTGAAGTTTTCTGGAGAGGTTAGAAACACCTAGAACTAGAAAAATACAGAATGATGAATATCACCTAGAGTTGCTACTAAGTTTGATGGCAATTTTTTTTGACTTATTAGAAAGCATGTATAATGAAATGACTGAGTTCAGGTTTGACCAATGATTTCTCTGTTGTCCTAGGCCAGAAAAAGAGACGTATTGCTAATACCCATTTGAATCGTGAGTCCAGCCGTTCCCATAGCGTGTTCAACATTAAATTAGTTCAGGCTCCCTTGGATGCAGATGGAGACAATGTCTTACAGGTAAAGTTGTAGTATGTGGAGTTTTTCTGGTTCTAACTCTATCCTTAATTTTTGGAATTAGAGTAATCCAGCCAACATGGCAAAAACCTGTCTCGAGTAAAATTGGAAAAATCAGCCAGGCATGGTGATGCACCACTCCTGTAATCCCAGCTACTTGTGTACCTGAGGCAGGAGGATCGCTTGAACCTGGGAGGCAGAGGTACAGTGAACTGAGATCGCGCCACTGTAGTCCAGCCTGGGTGACAGAGTGAGACCCTGTCTTGAAAAAAAAAGTTAAATTAGAGAGGTTTTATTGCAATGAAGATTGCTCTAGAATAAATATACAGTTGGTTCTCTGTATCTGTGAGTTCTACATCTATAGATTCAACCAACTGTGGATTGAAAATATTCGAAAATAAAATGCTGCATTTGTGCTGACCATGTACAGACTTTTTTTGGTCATTATTCCTTAAACAATACAGTATAACAACTTGTTACATAGTGTTTACATTGTATTAGATATTATAAGTACTCTAAATATGATTTAAAATATACAGGAGGGCTGGGTGCGTGCGTGGCTCATGCCTGTAATCCCAGTGCTTTGGGAGGCCAAGGCAGGAGGATCACTTGAGGCCAGGAGTTTGAGACCAGCCTGGACAACAAAACAAGACTCTTGTCTTTGCAAAAAAATAAAATAAGGCTAAAAAATAAAAAAATAAAAAAATAGAACTTTAAAAAGTGTATGGGAGGATGTGCATAGGTCATATGAAAATACTACACCATTTTATACACAAGATTTGAGCATCCATGGAATTTGGTATCTGTGAAATTTAGTATCCATAGGAGATCCTACAACTAATCCCTCGAGGACACCAAGGGATGACTCTGTATGTAGGCGATGACATTAAAACTTTTTTTTCCCCATTATTATAGTTTTGGGAAGCTGGATATCGAATCTTAGAGCCTGAATTTTGCTGTGAAAAAAGTTTGCAAATCTTTAAAAATCCCTTTGGTAGAAGTGATAAAATAAGACTGTGATTTTTTCTCTCTGGCGACTCCTTCTGTAAGTGGAAATTCAGTTAGTGGTTTTAAAATGTCAGTAATTCATTTTTCAGGGTAGGTATAGTTTAGGAAGTGGCTAGTGTTATAAGTTGTTCATCTCTTGGTCGATAGGCCAGTAGGGTCCCCCATATGCAGATCACTATTTACTGCCTGGCCTGCCACAGTACAAGGCTTGTGTCAATTAGTAACAGCATTTGAGTCTGAGTATACATAATCTAATAACTGTAATCCATTAAAGTGTAATTTTATTCAAACTGTATCATGAAATTGTGGCATTATGAAGATTTATAAGTGGCAGGAGTGGTATTGAAGACCTCCAGGATTTGAATGCTCATTTCTATTTATTTACCGACTAGCTATAATAAAACCTCCTTATAAGGTTGTGAGAATTAAAGGAGGTAATGCGTGTAAAGTTCTTAGTCCAGTGCTTAGCTTATAGTCAGCCCTCAATAACCGTTAGCTAGAAAATAGTTATAAGGGCCAGGCGCAGTGACTCACGCCTGTAATCCCAGCACTTTGGGAGGCCAAGACGGGTGGATCATGAGGTCGGGAGATTGAGACCATCCTGGCCAACATGGCGAAACCCCGTCTCTACTAAAAATACAAAAATTAGCAGGGCATAGTGGCGCATGCCTGTAGTCCCAGCTACTCGGGACTGAGGCAGGAGAATTGTTTGAACCAGGGAGGTGGAGGTTGTAGTGAGCCAAGATTGCGCCACTGCACTCCAGCCTGGCGACAGAGTGAGACTCTGTCTAAAAAAAAAAAATGGTTATAAGTCAGCCTTCCATATGCACCTGATTTCCATTGAATCACATCTAATATTACAGCATTAGTTCGGTACCACTTGACTTTCACTTCTTTTTATAAGAATTATTTGCTGGGCGTGGTGGCTCACCCCTGTAATCCCAAGCACTTTGGGAGGCTGAGGCGGGCGGATCAACTGAGGTCAGGAGTTCGAGACCAGCCTGGTCCACATGGTGAAACCCTGTCTCTACCAAAAATACAAAAAAAATGAGCTGGGCATGGTGGCACACGCCTGTAATCCCAGTTACTCGGAAGGCTGAGGCAAGAGAACCGCTTGAACCCAGGAGGGGGAGGTTGTAGTGAGCAGAGATGGCGCCACTGCAATCCAGCCGGGAGGTAGAGCGAGACTCTGTCTCCCAAAAAAAAAAAAAAAAAAAAAAAAACAAAAGAATTATTTATAGCATTATGAAATTATAAGATTATTAAATATCTGATTATAGAAGAATTTAGGATAATCCTGTTCTAGACTCTTATTCAGCAAATATCTGCTGAGTTCCTACTCAGTGGTAGGCACTGTGCAGCATGCTGGTGATAAGGTAGTAAAAGACAGAGTCCCTGCTCTCAGGGGGCTTACTGTCTGATGCAGAAGGAAGACCAGCCAATTGACAAGTAATCATTAATGTCATGAGTATATTTATCATACTCTTCTAGCAAACTCTCCCCTAAAATAGGTATCCTTTGCCTGTCCTGTGCATTTTGTACTGTGCAAATGTTCATTAAGACTTAGCTTGTTGATATGAATCTATTTAAAGAACATTATAAACCAGTTATAACCCATTTTAAGTTATTGGCTTTGTGATCTTTTTAGGAAAAAGAACAAATCACTATAAGTCAGTTGTCCTTGGTAGATCTTGCTGGAAGTGAAAGAACTAACCGGACCAGAGCAGAAGGGAACAGATTACGTGAAGCTGGTGAGTAAAGCATGGTATTTATTTATTGCTACAACTTTCAGAAACTTGCAATGCCAGTTTATTATCTACTTATCAATGGGTGGTTCTTTGTTTTTTAATTTTTATTTTATTGAGACGGTCTTACTCTGTTACCCAGGATGGAATGCAGTGGTGTGATCATGGCTCATTGCAGCCTCAAACTCCTGGGCTCAATTGATTCTCCCATTGTAACCTTCTGAGTAGATGGGACTACAGGTATGCACCACCATGCCTGTCTAATTTTTAAAAATTTTTTGTAGAGGTGGGGTCTCCTTATGTTGCCCAGGCTGGTCTCAAATTCCTGGGCTCTAGTAATCTCTCACCTTGGCCGCCCCAAAGTCTTGGGATTACAGGAATGAGCCACTGTAACCGGCCTCGATGGGTGGTTTAAGCACAATTGTCCTCCATTAGATAATTTAGAGGCTAAGTTTATAGTTAGGCTGGTTTGGTATTAATCTATTACAATACACTGATTTCTTTAAGAATGAGGAAAGTTGTATTCAATTAGTCTGGGTGCGGTGGCTCACACCTGTAATCCTGGCAATTTGGGAGGCCAAGGCATGTGGATCACTTGAGCCCAGGAGTTCAAGACCAGCCTTGGCAACATGATGAAACCCCATCTCTACAAAAAATACAAAAAATTAGCTGGGCGTGGTGCGTCTATAGTTCCAAGGTACTTGGAGGCTGAGGTGGGAGAATTGCTTGAGCCCTGGAGGTCAAGACTGCAGCAATCCCTGATCTCACCACTGTACTCCAGCCTGGGCAACAGAGAACCTGTCTCAAAAACAACAACAACAACAAAAAAGGACTCTATTTTTAGTGTTGTAGGTCAGAATTGGGTCCTTGAAATGTTATTTCAATACTTATTAGTGGTAAAAATTGGCTTCTAGAGATGGGAAAATTCTGAACACAAGCCAATTGAAGGCTTTAAATATATATATAGCCAATCTGTATATGTGTTTTTTAAAATTCATGCATGTTATGTCCTGTTACCTTTTTGTAGTTTTTTAAAAATTAATATATCATAGTTGTACGTACTTTTTGGGTATATGTTATATTTTGATAGATGTATGCAGTGTGATCAATCAGTGTAATTGGGTTTTCTGTCACCTTGCATGTTGTGTTTTATGTTAATAAACATGTATTGAGTACCTACTATGTGCCAGGAATTAAACACAAATTAATTCCCATTAATTCTCTCTGCTGGAGCGAGCCCATCCTAATAGAGGAGATCAGTAGATAAACTAGATTGTTTGAGTAGAGTATGATGGGAGTGCAGGGTAGGGCTGCCTAAACCAATCTGGGAGTGGGAAGGTGAAAAATTGAGTAGGAGTGAGCTGTATGAAGCAGGATAGGATTAAAGGCAACGTTCCTGTCCCAGGAGGCAGTTGCTTGGTCCTGAGATACTATGGCAGAGTCAAAGTAGCTGAAGTAGAGGATGTAAGTTGGTGAACTATGAGAACTGAGGCAGGAGAGCAAGGCAAGGTCATGAAGACCCCTGTCTGTCATATCAAGAAGTTTGAATTTTATCTTGAAGGAATAATGTTAGCTGCCAACTATTAAGGGTCTAGTGTGTATGATAGTATCCACACACTAGATAGGTAGGATTGTATCACACCCATTTTTCAGATGAGGAAATAGGTTTGGGAAGGTTAATTTTCTCAAGGCTGGAGCCAGATTGGTTGGACTCTCATAGCTTGTGTCTTTATACTATGTCATACAGCCTCCCCTTAAAGAAGGATTAGTCTTTTAGAAAGATCATTTTGCCAGTGTAGAGAAATAATTTACCAGGAGCGAGCCTAAATACATGAAAGAGCAGTTAGGAGCCTTTTGCCCCAATTCAGGTAAGCAATTGTGTGACCTGGAGGCAAAGGTCAGACAACACTGAGAGCTAGTTAGGATGTGGAGAATAAGGAGGTGTTTGATTGAGGAGAAGCAGTTTTAGGAGCAGGTATAGGCAGGTAATGAGTTGTATTTGAAATGTTCAATTTATGCAAGTGAAAGTGCCTTGTAATTGGATGCAGAGGTACATGGATTTGGAAGGAGAGAGATTTTGACTTGAGGTTTATAGGTTTAGGCTTTGCCAATAGAGAAATGATTGGCTGGATGCAGTGGCTCACGCCTGTAATCCCAGCACTTTGGGAGGCCAAGGCAGGCGGATCACGAGGTCAGGGGATCGAGACCATCCTGGCTAACAGGGTGAAACCCCATCTCTACTAAAAATACAAAAAAATTAGCTGGGCGTGGTGGTGGGCGCCTGTAGTCCCAGCTACTCGGGAGCCTGAGGCAGGAGAATGGCGTGAACCCGTGAAGCAGAGCTTGCAGTGAGCCGAGATCGCGCCATTGCACTCCAGCCTGGGCGACAGAGCGAGACTCCGTCTCAAAAAAAAAAAAAAGAAATGATTGAAGCAATTGGGTGAGATAAGATAATTCATAGCGAATGGAGAGGAACAAGCTGAGAGCAGAAGCTTGAGGAACAGCAAGCCCTTGATTATTAGCTTGGGATGGACAGAGAAGGGTGATAGCTAAAAGGGATTTGAGGGATTATGAAATGATGAAAAAATACACACACACATTATATATGTACATTAGAAGATAGTAAAGACTTGAGTTTATTCATATGCTGAAGAGATGATGTTTAAGTCCAGTGGTGAGAAATGGGGCCTTTAGAGCTGCCTCTACCCTGGCCCAAAGGACTCTTGCAATTTGTCTGAATCATTTGAATTTCATGAGAGTGGACTGTGTGTGTGCTGTCTGTCAATGTCTACCCAGTGCAGCTTACCTACTAGGTGTTCATAATAAAGTGGTGATTATTGGCGGAGCAAGATCCTGGAAGAGGCAGGAAAATCTGAATCTAGATCCAAGAGGAAGGATTAACTTTGATGGGACAAGAGCTGGTTTGGGAAGAAAGTAAAAACTTGAAGTTTTGGATGCTTTGGGGAAAAGCTAGAAAGGACTGTTAGTGTTAATATAGAGTTAGGGAGTGAGAGAGAAAAGGAGATTGTAGTTGGGGCATATGGCAGAGGCTCCAGGTTTTTAGAAGTGGTACACTTCTGAGGGATAGGGTTTGGGCTGTCAGCTGTAATGGAATAGAGATAAAGATTTACTGGAGCTGGGACATTGGGACCCTGTGACTACAGCATATGAGAATGATTGTTGTTCTCATGGACACCGAAATAAACCAGGGACTGGCATGTAGGAGGAATATTTCAAGGCAATAAGGAGGAACTAGGAAAATGTTGCTAGCCTCTCCCTCTGTTTACCATACTTGTAGAATGTCAGCCTTTAGAAAACAAGTAGCTTTTTTTTTTTTACTCCAAAAGGCTACAGGGCTGCAGCAAGAGATAAATGGTTAGGTTGCAGGGCTGTGTGCCATGGATGTAGGGTGAAGCCTATGGACCCTTCCTGGTATAGTATTTCTGAAGGTATAACACAGAGAGGATTACAGAGGAAACCAATTGCATTGAAATGTGTTTTAAAAGTATTCTTAAGTTTGTCATACAGTAATTATGTGCTTCTTTATTAATACCTTAAAGACACAGCAGCAGGTCTGATTAAATAAATGCAGTGTAATGATGAACATAAATATCTTGATGAGCAACAAACTGTAACATGCTATAAAAATATCTGTGATTTGTATTGATACCAATTACAGGTACTACTAATGCTGTGGTTTTTGGCCTGCATTCATAATTGAAGGAACTAGTGAATTCCAGTTGGTTTGGTAAAAAGTAAATAATGTAATTTATTTTCCATCTAAGTATGCAGACACCCCATCATGTTCCCCCGGACAATATAGACCTCAGGTTAAGAACCCCTGACCACTAGGGAAAGCTATCAATGGATTATTTTGTGAGAGATTTGAAGATGCAGGGAAATCTGTTAATAACATGAGTTCCTGAGAGCACAGTGGAAGAAGAAAGAACATTAGGAGTTTGGGTCAAGGAACGTAAATCATGAATCATGGAATATTACAGAGGTACAGATGAGTTCTGTATTTTGGGAGGTGTATCCAAGATCCTCCAAGGAGGCCAAGGGTGAAAGCATAATCGAGTTAGCTGACCTCAATCAAGGTTTCAAAATGAACTCATTCTTATGGGGTCTAATCAGATGAGAGCTGCATTCTTGAAAGCTTGATTAGACTGTTAGACTTGCCTTGGCTCAGAAATCCAAATAAGAGTGGTCAGAAGTAACAAGTATGCCACCTAAGAAATCCTTGCTGAGATGTAGAGGGGACAGAGTTAGCTGATTCTGAAGACACTTGACTGTTAGAAACAACAGGAGAGCCCCTCTAGATGCAGCAAGAGCTTCAGACTCTTGCATGCTTCTTATGAGAATCTAATGCCTGATTATCTGAGCTGGAATGATTTCATCCCAAACCACACCCCTCAAGCCTCAACCCATCTGTGTAAAAATTGTCTTCCATGAAACTGGTCCCTGATGCCAGAAAGTTTGGGGATCTGCTGCCTTAGAGAATATATTTTATTTATTTATTTTTTATTTTATTTTATTATTTTTATTTTTTAGCCACATAAAAGGTAGCAGCACACTTATTTGGAAAACAATAATTTCAAAATCATCTCCTGAACTCAGAATCGATGGGTCAGGGTAGACACCCTAAGTAAACAGGTGAAATCTTCATTAATTGTTCACTTATTAAGTAAAAATTTAAATTAATTGATTATGTACAGCAGTGTTTTTCCACATTTCCCTGATAAGAATCATTTGGAGTACTCTGTAAACACAGCTTCACTGGAGATTAATCCCATCAAATTGATTTAGTGGCTCTGGGATGGGCCACAGTAGTTTGGAAATTTTTATTTTTACAAATGCTTCCTGATGATGACCAAATCCAAGGAAATTTGGGAAACACTGATCTGGAACATAACTTTCAGTTTTCCCTGCAGTTTTTAAGTCTTGAACGACTGATCATCCTAGAGATAACCCACTGAAAAGTCTTCTCCAATCCAGTTTTATGAAAGAAAACTCTAGAACATTTGGTTTGATAAAATTTTTCCGAAGCACCAGAAGTACTTTACTTTGGCTTTTTAAATTTCTGGTCCATCCCTTCTAGTTCATGTTTTCTTGAAGAATCCATCTTCTTTGAGTTGAGCCACAGCAATCTAATCTTTTTTTTAAATAATTGGTTTCTTATTAAAGGATTGCGACATTTAATAGCCGTTGCTTGCTTTTGTCTTTCTCCCTTCTCCCTGAAACTTGTTAAGAGATGCCTCAATATTCTGGCCTTTCCACCTTCAATCTCATACTGACCACGCCGTGTATGCCAGCCTGGATCTCATAGTTTTCTTTAACTGGTTCAACTCCCTTTGTTGTCCTGGTCAAGATAACATCTCCTTCTTCCAAGGTCATGATCTTAGAAACATAGTTGATGATGTAGGGGATGGAAAAAGTCATGGAGGATGTCTCACCCTCCTGTCTTGAGTTCGCCGTTGACCTTGAGCCAGAGCCTCAGATTGGGAGGATCAGGGATCTTCTCCTTGGGCACGAACGCGCTGACTGGGCAGGAGGCCATAAAGCTCTTGGCCAGAGTCCAAGGCAGCCCCTTCTTCTTGCACTCATCCTGCACGTCCCTGGCAGTAATGTCCAGGCACAGGGCATAGCTGCTCACGTAGTCCATAGCTGCGCGGCCATGCTTGCCCATCACCATGCCCAGCTCCAGCTCGTGGTGCAGGTTGCAGCTGTACGCGGGCATGAGGATGGGCGAGCCCTCAGGTGTGTAGGCCGTGGACAGCTTCAGAAACAGCACGGACTCGCTCAACACCGCGTTGGCATCTCCCTGGTGTGGTCCCCATAGTTCCTCCCCACACAGACGATATTCTTCCCCCACCCCCAGAAGCGGGACGGTGGCCTGGGGGTCGCCATGATTCCTGTCAATTGCCTAGAGAATATATTTTAATATGAGGATATTAAACATCTCTATATAAGATATTCCTTCAGAGAATTTAGGATTTGGAAGAAACCTTATAGTCATTAACTGTAATGTTGCATTTTGTGGAAAATCCTGTTGGTAGAATCCCTGAAGGATGGCTGTTTAACCTTCCCAGAAATACTGCTATTGAAAGAGAGCCTGGACCATGCATAGACAGCTCTTTATATTGAGCCACAAAAATTTGTTATTTATAATTTCTATCTAGTAGTTGTTTGAAGTTGAGATTTTATAGGCAAACAGAACACACTTTAGCTACTATACTGTTGTTCTGAAATGGCGTCTATGTATTTTTTTCTGTCAGGTAATATTAATCAGTCACTAATGACGCTAAGAACATGTATGGATGTCCTAAGAGAGAACCAAATGTATGGAACTAACAAGGTAAGCAGCAGCCTTCTCTGTTCTTTTGTATAGTTTCATTTGTGTGCATTTTTTTTGCGTAACACATTTGGATATGAATGTCTTTGTAGATGGTTCCATATCGAGATTCAAAGTTAACCCATCTGTTCAAGAACTACTTTGATGGGGAAGGAAAAGTGCGGATGATCGTGTGTGTGAACCCCAAGGCTGAAGATTATGAAGAAAACTTGGTAATTTTAATGTATTTGTCCTATAAAGTCTTGAGTTTTTGTCGGGAAAACAGTTACTTGGATGAGCAGAATGACATTTTGAATATTTTAAAAATGGATAGAGAACCATTGATTGTAGAAGTAAACTAGGCTTGGTGTGGTGGCTTATGCTTATAATCCCAACATGTTGGGAAGCTGAGGTGGGACGATCAATTGGGCCCACCTGGGAGGTCGAAGCTGCAGTGAGTCGTGTTCATGCCACTGCACTCCAGCCTGGTGACAGACTGTCTCAAATAAATAAAAATAAGCAATCTTTGCTTCATTTAGTAATTTCTGGGACTTGGATATCCTTATTTTTTTTTAAACTCCATTTGTTTTGTGTTTTAGCAAGTCATGAGATTTGCGGAAGTGACTCAAGAAGTTGAAGTAGCAAGACCTGTAGACAAGGCAATATGTGGTTTAACGCCTGGGAGGAGATACAGAAACCAGCCTCGAGGTCCAGTTGGAAATGGTATGATTTGGTGTTGTATCATTTGTCCACTCATTGGTCTGTCTGTTTCTCTCTTTTTTAAAAAAAATTATTTCATTTAAGAGAAATGTTTACATACCTTCTGAAGAACCAAGCACATAATAATTTGAACAAAATTTAAATGAGCTTATTTTGCATACTATGATTCTTAGGTAAGTAAACTTATGTCAGCTCAAGAAATTGCAATGGTTAGTTGCACTGGGGCTGTATGCAGTGTTAAACTTGTTTAAATAAGCTCTTTCTCTCCTATGTAACTTTTTGTAATTTTCTATAATTCAATACAGAACCATTGGTTACTGACGTGGTTTTGCAGAGTTTTCCACCTTTGCCATCATGCGAAATTTTGGATATCAACGATGAGCAGACACTTCCAAGGCTGATTGAAGCCTTAGAGAAACGACATAACTTACGACAAATGATGATTGATGAGTTTAACAAACAATGTAAGGGCAAAACTATTTGAAATAATTTTATTTAATTATTTTTTTTTTTTGAGACATAGTTTCACTCTGTACCCCAGGGTGGAGTGCAGTGGCACAATCTCGGTTCACTGCAACCTCCGCCTCCTGGGTTCAAGCGATTCTCCTGCCTTAGTCTCCCGAGTAGCTGGGACTACAGGCACATGCCACCACGCCTGGCTAATTTTTGTACTGTTAGTAGAGACGGGGTTTCGCCATGTAGGCCAGGCTGGTCTCAAACTCCTGACCTCAAGTGATCCGCCTGCCTCGGCCTCCTAAAGTGCTGGGATTACAGGCATGAGCCACCACTCCCAGCCAATTTGCAATAATTGTAACTTCTGAAATTGAAAGTATTTTCAATGAATCTGAGTTATATGGTAGATTGCATATTTAAGGAAGTTAAAGAAAATTGTGTCTTTAGAACTTTGAAGCACTCAAGGCATTGTTTGATTAGTATGACAAGGCATTTTTCCACAGCTCTTTTTTGTATTCTAAGGAAGTCAAAAAGAAAAAAGTGAGCGTGTGTTCTTTCTTTTGTTTTTTACAGTGATGGAGACACAAAGAAATATTTTTTAGTTTCCCCTGTCTACATAGTGGGGATTGTAATTGTTTCTACCTCAGGATATGTTGTGAAGATAAATAAGATAAAGTATGAAAATCCTGTAGAACAGTAAATTCTGGTACATAGTGAATGTATCTCAGTGAATGAATGTATCTACTTTTTTTTTTTTTTTTTTTTTTGAGACTGAGTCTCGCTCTGTTGCCCAAGTTGGAGTGCAATGGCGCAATCTCGGCTCACTGCAACCTCCGCCTCCTGGGTTCAAGCGATTTTCCTGCCTCAGCCTCCTGAGTAGCTGGGATTATAGGTGCACACCACCACGCCCTGCTAATTTTTGTATTTTTAGTAGAGACGGGGTTTCACCATGTTGGTCAGGCTGGTCTCAAACTCCTGACATCGTGATCCACCCACCTTGGCCTCCCAACATGCTGGGATTACAGACGTGAGCCACCATGCCTGGCTCTACTATTTTTATTATCATTATTCATTTGAATCTTTACCAAAAAGTTGTGAGATAAAGTGGTATTTAAATTTCCATACTGAAATGAAATTTGCCCAGAAATATTAATTAACTCGCCTAAGTCATAACTAGTAAGTGATGTTCCAAGGATTTCAGCTCAGGTTTAATTAATCCCAAATAGTAGTGTTGTTTCTATTTTTGCGTTTGTTGTTGTGAAGCAAAGTACCTGTAAGGATTGGGAAGAGAATGCTATAGTGCACAGTGAAAGACTTGAGTATTTTTTCAGCATTTAACAGAAAGCTTCTGTGAATATCTTGTCAACTGGAGAATGAAGCTCCTGATTTCCCTCTAAACTTGTTTTCTCATTATAGACTGATTCTCACAGAGATTTGCTGAATAACTACATTTTATCTAGTGTCTGCTAGCAAAAGTTGATATCATTGTTTGTTTTAGAACTGGTGTAAAACTTGACCTGTATGTTTTTGTTTCAGCTAATGCTTTTAAAGCTTTGTTACAAGAATTTGACAATGCTGTTTTAAGTAAAGAAAACCACATGCAAGGGAAACTAAATGAAAAGGAGAAGATGATCTCAGGACAGAAATTGGAAATAGAACGACTGGAAAAGAAAAACAAAACTTTAGAATATAAGGTTTGTTTTGACATTATTATGATAGATGTATGTGCTGGTGTTTTAGCACTGTTCTCTGAGGGAGATATTGTGCTCCAACGGCCTGTAAATGCTGCTTATTAAGAGTTCTCGGTTGAGTGCGGTGGCTCATGCAGGTAATTCCAACACTTTGGGAGGCTGAGGTGGCCAGATCATCTGAGGTCAGGAGTTCAAGAACGAGCCTGGCCAACATGGCAAAAGCCCATCTCTACTAAAAAAGTACAAAAGTTAGCTGGGCGTGGTGGCGAGTGCCTGTAATCCCAGCTACTCAGGAGGCTGAGGCAGGAGAATCGCTTGAACTGGGGAGGTGGAGGTTGCAGTGAGCCGAGATTGAGCCACTGCACTCCAGCCTGGGCGACAAGAGCAAGACTCTGTCTCAAAAAAAAAAAGAGTTCTCAGGCTGAGTGCGGGGGCTCATGCCTGTAGTCTCAGCACATTGGGAGGCCAAGGCAGGGAGATCACTTGAGCCCAGGAGTTCCAGACCAGACCGGGCAACGTGGCGAAACCCCATATCTACAAAAAAAATTAGCCAGGCATGGTGGTACATGTCTGTAGTCCCAGCTACTCGGAAGGCTGAGATGGGAGAACAGCTTGAGCCTGGGAGGTTGAGGCTGCAGTGAGCTGGGATTGCACGACTGCACTCCAGCCTAGGTGACAGAGCGAGAGCCTGTCTCAAAAAAAAAAAAAAAGTTCTCAATTGGTTGTTTACTAATCCTCATCCCATGCTAAGGAGGAAATGTGAGTGAAATGAAGAATCATATGTTCTTTAATTTTATGAGAGTTTTAACAGTTGAAAAGGATGTTCTCTGACCCAAACAAGGGAGCTTTCTAGAGCTTAGCTTTGGTTGTAGCTTGCTTTTGAATTTATTAGAAATATTTCCTTAGTATGCTTTTTTTTTTTAATGAGATAAATGATTAAATGAAATGGTATAAAAGTGCCAGCATCGGGCCTTGGACGTAACAGATACTCAGTAAAGCTTAATTGGATCTGTATTTGGTTTACAAATCGATTGTAAAAGTATAAACTCAGGATTAATCTCTTACAATGGGGTAGAAGGAAATACCGTTTTGTTGGGAAGCATTGCAGCACTGTGTAATGTATGTCTGTTCTCTCATTTACAGAGGGTCATTTAGAGGTTTGGTGGGGGTACACATTCATAAGAGAAGTTAGTCTCAACCAATATAGTTTTTTTAAATTCTGAAAATAGCCTAAAAACTAAATTTTAGCCCTTAATTTTAGGAGAAAGTAATTTTCACATGAAGTTAGTTGTAAATGTCTTTGGGTGAGGAGCTTGTTTAACATGTTTTCATTTCTGAGAATGGGGGTGGGAATTCAGATGAAATGTTAGAGAAAAAAGTGCTTTCTCCATGATGTTTCTTTCCACAAATATGCTTGCATAAGCAAATTAAGGAAGACTATTTTATAGCGACATGAAATGTTTATATACCAAATATTGAACATAGTGGTCTACCTTCCTAGATTGAGATTTTAGAGAAAACAACTACTATCTATGAGGAAGATAAACGCAATTTGCAACAGGAACTTGAAACTCAGAACCAGAAACTTCAGCGACAGTTTTCTGACAAACGCAGATTAGAAGCCAGGTTGCAAGGCATGGTGACAGAAACGACAATGAAGTGGGAGAAAGAATGTGTGAGTATCGTTTGGGTAGTGCTTGTCTCAGAGTCGGATGATTTATTTTACATTGTAGTTAGGTTCGATATTTTGAATTATTGTATTTGCGGTAGGGTTTTGGTGGTGGTTGTTAACTCTCAGGAAGAATTGGAGAACTGTCATTTTTAGGAAATAAAGAGATTGGGTAATCTGGTGTACTCGTTTGCTGTGATGGAATGATAATATACATTGCCACTGATAATCTGTAGGAGCGTAGAGTGGCAGCCAAACAGCTGGAGATGCAGAATAAACTCTGGGTTAAAGATGAAAAGCTGAAACAACTGAAGGCTATTGTTACCGAACCTAAAACTGAGAAGCCAGAGAGACCCTCTCGGGAGCGAGATCGAGAAAAAGTTACTCAAAGATCTGTTTCTCCATCACCTGTGCCTGTAAGTTATTTGTAATTGTGTAGTAACTTTGTACTAGAGAAATTTTGTTCAGATTAGATGACTATTTCTATGAGGATTTTTACATTTTATAATACTTACATTTCTGAAATTTCTCTAAAAATATTTTAAAATTTAGAATAAACACAAATTTAGCACAAAAAAATAGAACAAATAATTATTTGTAATGTTAAGTCTTCATGTGCTAACATTATAGAAAAGTAATGAATTGTTTCTCTCAGTTTTTCAGTCTTGCTCATTAATTTTTCTCCAATTTTTCTAGCTTTCTAGTAACTATATTGCTCAGATTTCCAACGGCCAGCAACTCATGAGCCAGCCACAGCTACATAGGCGCTCTAACTCTTGCAGCAGCATTTCTGTAGCTTCCTGTATTTCGGAATGGGAGCAGAAAATTCCTACGTACAACACACCTCTCAAAGTCACATCTATTGCAAGGCGTAGGCAGCAGGAGCCAGGACAAAGCAAAACTTGTATCGTGTCAGACAGAAGGCGAGGGATGTACTGGACTGAAGGCAGGGAGGTGGTTCCTACATTCAGAAATGAGATAGAAATAGAAGAGGATCATTGCGGCAGGGTTAGTGCCAGTATTATTTTAACGCATTGTAGCAATAGATTTTATCTTCTTTGTTTTTTGTAACTTGTGTCTGAAAGTTCATTGGAAAAATGGTTGGGCTATAGTATAAAGAAGGTCTAATTTCTCAGTTAATTTGAAAGATTGACTTACGGAAATTGAGGCCTGGCTCCTCATCTGAAAAAGCCTAAACACATCTGGCAGCGGAAGTGTGTTCAGTGAACACAGGTCAGTTTGGTGCATCCCAGAGTAGTCTGAGCTTTTCAGCTGCATACGCTAATAAGCTTTGCACAGAATTGGTGAATGTGTCTTAAAGCATACTTTCCATATTTTTCTTTTGGTTCCCCTTCCCCAAATTAGATTTTTTATACCTCCTTTCATGCCCTAGTTTTAAAAATTGTTTTCCCAAATTTTTATTTTGAAAAATTTCAGACCCAAAGCAAAGTAGAAAGAATAGTATGGTAATGTCTTTCCCTCCTTGCCTAAGTTTACCAATTGTTACTTGATATAGATATGTAAACCTTTTTCCCCTAAGCCTTGTGAAAGGAAATCACAGACTTAGAGACACTTAATCTCTAAGAATAAGGACATTGTACTACCTAGCCACAATCTTTATCACATCCAAGAAAATCAACATTAATTAATTATCCTCTATTGAGACATTGTGCAGTTGTCCCAAAATTGGATTGGCTTTTCTTTTTTTTTTTTTAAAGACAGAGTCTCACTCTGTCACCCAGGATGGAGTGCAGTGGCATGATTATGGCTCACTGCAGCCTCAGTCTTCCTGAGCTGAAGTGATCCTCTCACCTCAGCCTCCCAAGTAGCTGAGATTACGGGCAGGCCACCATGCTAATTTTTTATTTTCAGTAGAGACAAGGTCTCACCATGTTGCCCAGGCTGGTATTGAACTCTTGAACTCCAGCAATCCTCCTGCCTTGGCCTCCAAAGGTGCTGAGATTACAGGCAAGCCACTGCACCAGCCAGCTTTTTTTTCAATCCATGATACTATGAAAGTGTATGCATTGCATATCATGATTATGTCTTTCATCTCTTTTAATATAAAATAGTCTCACCCTGTCCCCCTACTTTTTTTATTTTTATGACATTGACTATTTTCATTGAAGAGTTTAGGCCAGTTATTTTAAAATTACTGATTTCCATGCCCAATAAATTGCTTTTAATCTTGAGGCATTTATCTCAATTTACATTTGCCTCATTCAAGGGTATTTAAATAAATTCACTTTCATATTTTTCTTCTTAAAGATTAAGGTAAAGTTTCTTTTGAATCTGAATAAATGGACCAAGTTAATGTTTGCGAATTTTATATTTAGTAAAATCTTCACAAAGCTCTCTTAGAATATTTCTTCTAAATCTTACAGTAAACATTTACTTTAGATTTTCTTATATAAGTCAGGGTATAGATGAATGTTCATTTATGTGGCCTGAATTCCTGATTATTAAGGGATGGTGATGAATCCCAAGTTATTTACCAGGGAAACAGATGATTCTAAAGTCTCTTAAGTTCTTTACTTTGCAGATTTTTCCTTAAACATTTTTAGACAGCAAATTAGGTAAATGGTCATTCTGACCAACTCTAGTCAGTCATTTTATGAAAGTTTATAGGCTGAAAACTATTCAAGGCTTGCGTATGCCTTGCAAACCGTAATGAGATATCTAATTTGGCTATGAGATATTTAAGGGAATTTACTAGAGATTCTTACGTGAAATCAAAATCTCTTTAGAAGTGCAGCAGAAAAGTTACTGTAAGGTTAGTATCTGTGCATCTAAGTTTGTTGGTCAAAAATTATGTCAGGTGGACTGAATTTATACTTCAGTGAGGAAAAAATTTAAATATTTGTTTCATAAATGCTAGTAGATTGTATGGATTATCATCTTTCTGAAGTGTGTTTCATCATATGCTTATTGTTAAATGTTTGAAGAAAACCTTTGTTTTTGCTAAATGGTAGATGATAAGGACCAGACTTTCTTTCGTGTTCAACATTAAATAAATCATTGTAGGAATGGAAAGTTCCTGTTTGTCTTGAGGCTCAGCATCTTTAGTGGCAAACTGTATTGCCCATGTCTTAGAGCTGTCACTAGTGCTGCATTTGTTTCTTGTTAACTATATAGCGAAAATGATTCAGTTCCTCAGATGTGCATTTTGAAATTGAGGTCTTCATACTTGACTAGCTTTGACAGATTTGGCCTGTGATAGACTTTTTCCATTTGCTTTCAGTTTTGTTTTTTGGGTTTTTTTTTTTTTTTTTTTTTTTTTTTTTTGAGATGAGGTCTTGATCTGTTGCCCAGGCTGGAGTGCAGTGGTGTCATCTAGGCTCACTGCAGCCTTGACCTTCCAGGCTCAAGTGATCGTTCTACCTCAGCCTCCTGAGTAGCTGGGACCACAGGCATGTGCTATCGCACCTGGCTAATTTTTAAATTTTTTGTAAAGATGGGGTCTTCTTACATTGCCTAAGCTGGTCTCGGGTGATCCTTCTCCCACCTCAGCCTCACAAATGTTGGGATAACAGGTATGAGCCACTGCACCCAGCCCTGCTTTCAGTTTTACAAACAGGAGATGTTCATAAAATTCTAAAGATAATTCATTGCTTCAAACTATAACTATGGCATATATGTGACATATTATTTTCTTAGGCTGAATGTGCTTAATTTAGCATTCCCAGGTTTACATGACATTTGACTGGAAGCAACTTGTTTGTTTTTGAGGCAGGGTCTCATTCTATTGCCCAGGCTGGAGTGCAGTGGTGCGATCTTGGCTCACTGCAATTTCCACCTCCTGGGCTCAAGCAATCCTCCCACCTCAACCTCCTGAGTAGCTGGGACTACAGGCACGTGTCACCAAGCCCAGCTAATATATATATATATATTTTTGTTTGTTTTGTTTTGTTTTGTTTTTGTTGAGTCTGGGTTTCACCATGTTGCCTAGGCTGAACTTGAACTTCTGAGTTCAAGTGATTCCTCCACCTCGGCCTTCCAAAGTGCTGATTACAGGCATGTACCACCATGCCTGGCCTAGCAACTAGTCTTTTATTGTGTGATAGAGACTGATTTGACACTGTATTATTTATTTGTTTCTTGGAACCTGTATGAAATGTTTGGGGGAAAAATTAGTTGGTATATTGTAGCCATTACTGTATTTGAACTTTTCATGAAGTTCTATTATGAGATTTTAAAATCTTAACTGAAAGCACTCAGAAGTATTTCACATTTCTTTAATCATTTTATTCATATGGTTCTTATTATACCTATGTTCTTAGGATTGTTTTCTGTTTTGTTTAGAAGCCTAGAAAATGTGTAGGGCTTTCATTGATCTTATTGAAGATTTTAACAGAGTTGTGGACATAATAGATTACCTCTCAATAGCAGGGATAAATATTGGTTTTTGATCAAGAATATGAAATGAGTTGTTTGTCCTGAACCACCCCCAAGCAGGAAAGACTTGCAGCATTACCAGAATTTTTTCTTTTATCCTTTATTGAAAGGGAAACTCCCAGATAGAATGTGTAACATACAAGTTGGTGTTAAAGATGTTTGTTGGTTTTGTGTTTAAATGCAAAGATCATGTTTAAATTACTTGAATAAAATATTTAGCTTTGGAAAGGTTTGCTATGATACTGTCATCAACTAATGTAGCCAAACCTGCTGCACTTCTAATAATACCCTTAAATTAATTCTGGGTTATGCTTGTTTCTCAGTTACTCTTTCAACCTGATCAGAACGCACCACCAATTCGTCTCCGACACAGACGATCACGCTCTGCAGGAGACAGATGGGTAGATCATAAGCCCGCCTCTAACATGCAAACTGAAACAGTCATGCAGCCACATGTCCCTCATGCCATCACAGTATCTGTTGCAAATGAAAAGGCACTAGCTAAGTGTGAGAAGTACATGCTGACCCACCAGGAACTAGCCTCCGATGGGGAGATTGAAACTAAACTAATTAAGGTAAAAAACTAATTTTCACAGGAGAAAAAAATATATTTAAAAATTCAACAAAAGTCCATTTGTCCTGCTACTCCTTTGGTGACACACAGGTAGTGTCAACTGGAACATCAGTAGGTATTTGATATAACCTTTTTGTTAGCAGAAAATTAGTCACTGCTTAGGTTTTAAGTCTGCCAAACTGGGACTAAGTATGCTTTAAATAGGTATAGATTCTTCGGTTTCTTAGAATTCTAGATCCATGATGTACTTTAATTTTTTAATGACTGTATATTTAGTTTTAACCACTACTTAAAGTAATCTAAGCAAAGAATTCCTATTGCTCTCCATCAGTTCAAGATAAAAAAACAAAAACAAAACAAAACGAAACCTATGTTAAAATTTGACCCGTCAAAATTACTCAGTATTGAGCTGCCTAAAGCCGTTTTCCAGAAAGAGACTTGCCTGACTATAGAAGAATTCCCCTTTGATCATAGGGTCAGTGAATAATCAGGAAAGTAAAAGATAAGACCAAAAAAAAAAAAAGCTTTTTATTTCAATTTCAATTTAGAGTTTTTGTTCTTATTATAATTAGCTACAAATAAGACTATACTGTCATTTGAATATGGGCAACAGGGGGCACTCAGAGAAGAAAGTACCATGCCTTAGAGCGTGTAGAAACTTCCAGCAAATTTCTTGATCCTTAGTGCAGTTTAGTTTTTAAATTACAGATGGAGCAAAAGGAATATTTTTTTCTGCAATTATGAATGTTACTGATTACATTGAATTGGACTTCTTTTATTTGTGAGAGATATGTACTCAAATTTCTAAATTATTTTGATAGTACGTACTCAGCAAGTACCAAGTACCATCTGATTTTGTGGATGGGAATTTCTATAAAATAGAATCATGAGAACAGTTTGAAATATATATGTGTGTTTTTCGTTTGGGTGTATCAATGTGTAACAGTGACCTTTTCTTTTGGCTTTAGGGTGATATTTATAAAACAAGGGGTGGTGGACAATCTGTTCAGTTTACTGATATTGAGACTTTAAAGCAAGAATCACCAAATGGGTAAGTAACCATCAAAAATCTCTGTATAAAAGTTGGTCATTTTCTTAGCTGCTCATTTTGGAGGAACAGAATAGCCTGTGAAATGTATCATTAATTCTCCAAAGGGATGTAGATAGTATTCCCCTACTTCTAATATTTTTCCTCTTCTTAGATGGAAAAATAATTGTTGCATCATGTTTCCCCTTTTTCAGTAGTCGAAAACGAAGATCTTCCACAGTAGCACCTGCCCAACCAGATGGTGCAGAGTCTGAATGGACCGATGTAGAAACAAGGGTAGGGGAAAAATTAAATATTTGTCTGCCTACTAAAATTAGGTTTGTCATGTTTTAAACCCCACAGCTCTAGATTTTTATGCTCTTTGAAAATGCTGAGGTATAATCTCACATTGCCAGTGCACCATGTAGGCCTATTCCTAGAATAACAAGAATCCACTTCATCAGGAACTCCCTTGCAAGTGTTATTCCTGAGGAGAATCTCTTGGAAAGAACATGGGAAGGTAGGGGTCAGGAGGCTAAGCTATGGCCTTAGCCACCAACTCTCTTTGCAAACTTATCTAAAATGAGATAAGTTACCTGGATGACCTAAAGACCTTTCTGGCTCACAACATTTGTGGCCTGTGCCAGAAATAAATTACGAGTGACTGGTGTTTTAACGTAAGAGTCTTTGCTGAACTAGAAAGCAATATTGCATTTCACCTAGGTGTGGAGCCTGCTAAATAACTGTGTTTTATAGACTATTGAGAGGAGCTGATCTTTTTCCTCTTGTCATTTTCCTCTCAGTGTTCTGTGGCTGTGGAGATGAGAGCAGGATCCCAGCTGGGACCTGGATATCAGCATCACGCACAACCCAAGTGAGTACTGACTGTAATTGGGGTCTTGCTGTGTGCTTTTTTCCTCCTCTGGTCTTTACATTATCACTCCTTCTACCAGCCATCCACTTATTCTTCAGAAGAAATATATGGTTTTGGTTTTCCCCTTGGACTATCTGGGCCTCCATGGGCAGACTGCAGTAGGCAGCTGGAATGCTGAGAGCCTCAGAAGGCTGGATAAGAGCAATCAGAGCTGCAAGGCAGGCGGTGGTGGAAGATTGGTGGCTCATGTTCATATTCTGCCAACGCTCATAAAGCTTTCTGAGGCTGAACTGAGAGTACCTCTAAGGAGGGAAGGCTAAAGGCTTAAGTTGGAGACTAGACAGCTTTGTGTAAATCATTGTTTCCTGACTTGCTTCTTGGTCTTGGTGTAGCAATAGGTGTTCACTAAAATAAATAACACTGAATGAAAGAATTTATAGTAGGGAAGGAATCATACCTTTTCTTCTTCTGTTAAACTTATACTCAGGAGTCTGACCCAGTCTTTTTCCATATTTTAATAAAATCCCTTCTTTACAAATACATACATATATGTATATCACATGTTATATACATATATGTATATAAAATGTTATATGTATATAACATTTTAAACATTTACATACCTTACTGAGCAATTTAGAAAATTGTTGCAGCAGGATAAAGATGGGAAATCCTTTCTAAATTTAATACTAAGATAAGCATATTTTATAAAAGTTGTTTGCTTTCTCAGAGGGACTTGAATTATCTCATCATAAAACAGCAGTTCTCAAAGGCCTCCTAAAGATTGATTTGCTATGAATGTGTTACTAATTGCAAAGTTCAACTCTAAGTGCTGGTTGTTATGTTTTAGGCGCAAAAAGCCATGAACTGACAGTCCCAGTACTGAAAGAACATTTTCATTTGTGTGGATGATTTCTCGAAAGCCATGCCAGAAGCAGTCTTCCAGGTCATCTTGTAGAACTCCAGCTTTGTTGAAAATCACGGACCTCAGCTACATCATACACTGACCCAGAGCAAAGCTTTCCCTATGGTTCCAAAGACAACTAGTATTCAACAAACCTTGTATAGTATATGTTTTGCCATATTTAATATTAATAGCAGAGGAAGACTCCTTTTTTCATCACTGTATGAATTTTTTATAATGTTTTTTTAAAATATATTTCATGTATACTTATAAACTAATTCACACAAGTGTTTGTCTTAGATGATTAAGGAAGACTATATCTAGATCATGTCTGATTTTTTATTGTGACTTCTCCAGCCCTGGTCTGAATTTCTTAAGGTTTTATAAACAAATGCTGCTATTTATTAGCTGCAAGAATGCACTTTAGAACTATTTGACAATTCAGACTTTCAAAATAAAGATGTAAATGACTGGCCAATAATAACCATTTTAGGAAGGTGTTTTGAATTCTGTATGTATATATTCACTTTCTGACATTTAGATATGCCAAAAGAATTAAAATCAAAAGCACTAAGAAATACATAGTTGTGTGATGGCTGTTCATTCAACACGTCCTCCCAGCACCTGGCACAGTGCCCTGCATTTACCTGGCACTCATTGTTTGCGGGATGAATTAAAAGAAAGCTCTAAAAAATACAAGATAATATGATGTTAAACGGACAATGCCTTTTTTTATGTGACAACCATAATTATCTACATATTAAGTATGACTTCTAGACATTTAAACAAAAAGCATAGTTTGGGGACAACATAAATTAGAAAAAATACTGTCGAAACCATGGTGAAATATCCCATTGCATGGGTGAACACACATTTTACTTGGATTTAATTTGGATTTCTTTTGAGGCTGAGCTTTTTTTTTTTTTGAGATGAGTTTCGCTCTTGTTGCCTAGGCTGGAGTGCAATGGCACGATTTTGGCTCACCGCAAACTCTGTCTCCTGGGTTCAGGCAATTCCTCTGCCTTAGCCTCCGAGTAGCTGGGATTACAGGCATGCGCCACTACGCCCAGCTAATTTTGTATTTTTAGTAGAGATGGTTTCTTAATGTTGGTCAGACTGGTTTTGAACTCCCAACCTCAGCCACCTGCCTCGGCCTCCCATAGTGCTGGGATTACAGGTGTGAGCCACTGTGCCCGGCCACTTTTTTTTTTTTTTAACTAAAATGATAGTTTAATCTTTTGTTATTAATAATAAAAGTGTGATATCAGTCCTTGCCAAAAGCCAACTCAAAAGTTAAGGGAGAAGACAAAATGCACTAGTCACTCACAGTATAGTAGTAAACAATGTCATATATGTGTGTGTGTGTGTGTTTTTGAGGGGAGGGATGGATTTTCACTCTTGCCCAGGCTTGAGTGCAATGGCGCAATCTCGGCTCACCGCAACCTCCGCCTCCTGGGTTCAAGCGATTCTCCTGCCTCAGCCTCCCCAGTAGCTGGGATTAAAAGCATGAGCCACCAGGCCCAGCTAATTTTGTATTTTTAGTAGAGACGGGGTTTCTCCATGTTGGTCAGGCTGGTCTTGAACTCCTCAGGTGATCCGCCCTCCTCAGCTTCCCAAAGTACTGGGATTACAGGCGTGAGCCACTGCACCTGGCCTATATGTGTGTTTTTAGAACGCTTCAGGACACTAAAGGTTAAATTGCTATTGCAGTAGATACAGAATTTATTTCTTGATTTTCTTCTTAAAGTTTTTTTTTTAGAAACAGGGTCTTGCTCTGTTGCCCAGGCTGAAATGCAGTGGTGCAATCATGGCTCACTATAACCTCAAACTCCTGGATTCATGTGATCCTCCTGCCTCAGCCTCCCAAGAAGCTGGGACTACAGGTGCTCACCACCATGCCCAGCTAATTAAATTTTTAAAAATATTTTTGTAGAGCTGGTGTCTTGCTATGTTGCCTAGGCTGGCTTTTTTCTTTCTTTTTTGAGATGGGGTCTCATTCTGTCACCCAAAATGGAGTGCAATGACATGATCACAGCTCACTGTAGTCTCAACCTCCCAGGCTCAAGCAATCCTCTCACCTCAGCCTCTTGAGTAGCTGCAACTACAGGCAAATGCCAGCACACCTGGCTAATTTTTTATTTTTTGTAGAGATGGGGCCTTGCTCTGTGGCCTTGTCTGGTCTCAAACTCCTGGCCTCAAGCAATCCTCCCGACTTGGCCTCCCAAAGTGCTAGAATTACAGGCATGAGCCACAGCACCCAGCCTGCTTTTTAAATTATTATTTAAAATAATAGAGACAGCCCGGGCATGGTGGCTCACAACTGTAATCCCAGTACTTTGAGAGGCTGAAACAGGATGGCTTGAGGTCAGGAGTTCAAGACCAGCCTGAGCAACATGGTGAAATCCCATCCCTACAAAAAGTTTAAAAATTAGCCAGGTGTGGTGGCACGCACCTGTAGTCCCACCTACTGGGGAGGCTGAGGTGGGAGGATTGCCTGAGCCTGGGAGGCAGTGGTTGCAGGGAGGCAGTGGTTGCAGTGAGTTGTGATGGCACCACTGTGCCCCAGCCTGGGCAATGGAGTGAGACCCTGTCTCAAAAACAAACAAACAAAAAATTAATAGAGACTGGGTCTCACTATGTTGCCCCAGGCTGGTCTTGAACTCCTGGGCTCAAGCGATCCTCCCGCCTTGGCCTCCCAAAAGTGTTTGGATTACAGGCATGAGCCACCATGACCTGCCCCAGCCCACTTAAAAAAAAAAAATTTAGCCGGGCACAGTGGTTCACCCCTGTAATCCCAGCACTTTGGGAGGCCAAGGTGGGTGAATCACCTGAGGTTAGGAGTTCGAGACCAGCCTGGCCAACATGGTGAAACCCTGTTTCTACTAAAAATACAAAAAATTAGCTGGGCATGGTGGCACACGCCTATAATCTCAGTTACTCTGGAGGCTGTGGCAGGAGAATCGCTTGAACCTGGGAGGTGGAAGTTGCAGTGAGCCGAGATCGTGCCATTGCACTCCAGCCTGGGGAACAAGAGTGAAACTCCGTCTCAGAAAAAAAAAATTTTTTTTAATGGCTTATTGCATAGTATTTTCAAAATATTAATAGGAAATTTTTACTACGATAGGAGAATATGGGGCAGTGGAATTTGTCTGAAGTAACTGTTGAATCCACTAAGTCCTTCATCAACACAAAAGGAAATGCATGAGTACTGATGTTTTGCTTAACTACTTCTCTTGAATAGCTGTGGTTAGTGCTTACTGTTTGATACCCTGTAAAAAGTATTATCTATAATATATAGATGGAGAAGAAGATTATTTCCTCAATGACCACAAAGTGCCACTTGTCAACCAGATCAGTTTTGTTTTTTTGAGAGGGAGTTTTGCTCTTGTTGCCCAAGCCGGAGTGCAATGGCACAATCTCAGCGCAATGCAACCTCCGCCTCCTGGGTTCAAGCGATTCTCCTGCTTCAGCCGCCCTAGTAGCTGGGATTACAGGTGCCCGCCACCACGCCCAGCTAAATTTTTTGTATTTTTAATAGAGACAAGGTTTCACTATGTTGGCCAGGCTGGTCTCGAACTGCTGACCTCAGGCTATCCACCCGCCTCAGCCTCCCAAAGGGTTGGGATTGCAGGCGTGAGCCACCGCACCCGGCAGATCAGTTTTTTATGTACACTGCTGGACAAACAGTATTTTGGACTGACTCATTGTAGCTTTGGAAATGTTTGGATTTTTTAATAGCTTTAACCTTTCTTGACCAAAATTCCACTATAATGGCTGCTTAGATTTGGATGAAAACTCAACAGCTTTATTTTTTAAAAGTTTGATAGCTTTATAAATGCTTTTTTAAAAAATTCCGGATGTGAAAATATTTATGTTTGTAGTTAAGATTGACCCAAGTGGGACTCTAGATCGGTGGATTCCAACAGAAATGTTTCTTCAGAGATGATTATTAAATAATGGGATGGACTAAACAAAGAAGGTGCCCCCCCCCCACCAAAAAAAAAGATATATATACATAGAACTAACTTTCCGGTAAACTAAGCAAATTCCACGAGGAATGCAAAGATGACCATTTTTGAAGGTAGGAATTTAAATTGGGTTTAGATAACAAATAACGGGTTGTAGACAGCTTACCCATAATCCCTCCTTCCCCCAAGCACTAGGCAGTGAAGTTAGACTTCTGGATTCCACCTCCACGCTCACCGCGCGGCACTATGCAATCTTCGGTTAGTTACCAGGTCTAAGTTAGGCTTCTGGATTCCAACTCCACGCTCCACCGCGCGGAACTATGCAATCTTGAGTTAGCTACCGGGTCTAAGTTAGGCTTCTAGATTCCAAATCCACGCTCCACTGCGCGGTAACTACATAATCTTGGGCTAGTTTACCAGCTCTAAGACTTAATTTTGCCATATGCAAGATGGAGATAACATCCAACTCCTGGTGTGTGAGGATTACGTGAATCCTTGCAGAATGTGGCTCAGTGCCTGGGACATAGTAAGCGCTCTACGGCTTCTGCTAGCATAACGCTGTTAGTTTCTCTCATCCTCCTACATCTACCTATCTCAACCAAGGTCCTGCGCTAAGCAGGGGCCTCCAAGCTGGGACGCAGCCCTTACTCTCAGGGTCAGCGCCGGCTGGGAAGGCCGCGACCTAACCAGGAGATTACGAACAATGTCACCAGGGCCACAGCGGAGCTCCTGCCAAGTCAAGCAACTCATGGAACCAACGGAGGCGAAGTCCGAATACCTAGGCAACCCTAACCTAAAAGTGTTTTTAACGTTCTCAGGTCCTATAATTTACCCAAATAAAGTGGGACCGTATTTGCAGGCGCTGAGAAACTTTCTCAACAGTAAGAACCAATCAGGCGCAGTGCGCAGGCGCCTTCAGTGGGTCCTGGGTCCGCCTCTTCCGCCCGGTGCGGGCGCCGATTGGTCCGCGTGGACACATAAGAGGCTGCGTATAGGCGCGAGAGCCCCTTTCCTCAGCTGCCGCCAAGGTGCTCGGTCCTTCCGAGGAAGCTAAGGCTGCGTTGGGGTGAGGCCCTCACTTCATCCGGCGACTAGCACCGCGTCCGGCAGCGCCAGCCCTACACTCGCCCGCGCCATGGCCTCTGTCTCCGAGCTCGCCTGCATCTACTCGGCCCTCATTCTGCACGACGATGAGGTGACAGTCACGGTGAGTGCGGGCGCGGGCCGGCGGCCGGGCTGCCTGTGGGCGGTGACTTTCGGCTCTCCATGCGGTTCCCGGCTCCAGGCCGTTCGACTGAGCACTTCCGGCCGGGGCCAGGCCGCGAACACAGGCCGCATAGGGCGGGCGCTCCTCGGGGCTGGGGCCTCTCTCCGGGCAGGTCCTGGGCCCCCGGGACCACGTGCGGGCCCAGCGGGCATGGAGTGCGCTTGAGGCTGGGCGCTCCGGCTCCAAGAGCCTTCGTGTAGAAAAGCTCTTCCGCAGTGCTTGGGCACCCTGACCCGTGCCTCGTCTCTCTCAGGGACACTTACTCGGACCTCTTTCGGTGTAATTGCCTTGAATTCCCCCGGTCGTGGAGGAAGGCGCCCGAGCTCGGCTCCACCTCCCAGGTCTTGTAACTTAAAAATAGCCGCGTGACTCAGGCAAGTCCCAGCCCGTGAAACAGCAGTGATGGGCTCGCCTCATTGCAGGGCGCCTGGCACACATCTCTTTTGCTTGTGATAGAATATTTGAGCTGGTTAAACATGTTATGTACACTTATTGAGTGACGTGCAGCATTTTGGAGATATTACATACGCTACGTTTTGATGGATTGACGTTTTTATTTGTTGTAGGAGGATAAGATCAATGCCCTCATTAAAGCAGCCGGTGTAAATGTTGAGCCTTTTTGGCCTGGCTTGTTTGCAAAGGTAAGGTGATGGTGGCAAAGTGATTGTGGTAAGGCCTGCTGATTTACGAGGGCAGTTGTACATGCTAAAGTACCCCCAGCGGTGCCATAACGCCCCACATGCCGCTGGATCTCCTAGGTGTTTTTCGTTGCATGTATATCTCTAGGAGCTAATAAGATTTCAGCTTGTCAAGTCTTACGTTTCCTTATCAGACTCTGGTTTCCCTTTTGCTCTGAAACCATGGTTAAAAAAAATGTGAATCAGGTCATTTATTCCCAAAAAGGGTCACTCGGGAGATAGGTACTACGCATGTTAAGTTGCAAGCAAATTCTTTTTCTTTTTCTTTTTTTTTTCTTGAGACGGAGTCACCCAGGCTGGAGTGCAGTGGTGCGATCTCAGCTCACTGCAAGCTCCGCCTCCCGGGTTCACGCCATTATCCTGCCTCAGCCTCCCGAGCAGCTGGGACTACAGGCGTGCGCCACCATGCCTGGCTAATTTTTGTGTGTGTGTTTAGTAGTGACGGGGTTTCACCATGTTAGCCAGGATGGTCTCGATCTCCTGACCTCGTGATCCCCCCGCCTCTGCCTCCCAAAGTGCTGAGATTACAGGCTTGAGCCACCGCTCCCGGCCCGCAAGCAAATTCTTTCAGTAAATTCTTGCATTAAACCTATGGTTTGATGGACATTTGGGTTTAGCGGACTTCATTGACACAGTAGGTACTGTGTGTTGGGATATAAAAGACTAATAAAGAGGTTCCTGGTCATGGAGCTTGCACTGGCTATTTTCCATTGTACAGGTTACTTAATCTCTGTCAAGTGAAGCTAATAGCATCTAACTCCAGGGTTGTGACCTCTAAAGAGTTTTGAAAGATTGAAAACATTGTACCTATGTCATATTTAACAAGCCCCTTTTGAAGTCCTATATTTGTTTAGTAGACTGAAAATTTGAATTCACTGTTAAGAGGAGACATGGAACTGTGGAAAGAATATTCATTTGAGTGTTTCAGGAAGTTTGGATTTTTTTTTTACCAACATATTATTTGTAAAAGGAGGGAAATCAGCTGCCTCAGGAGGTTCTTAACATATAGGAATGTAATTATCAGATTCAAAGCTGAACAGTAGTGCGTTGCCCTGTAACCTAAGTCTTGGCTGTTAGCAAAGAAAAGCCAGTGTCTGGGGTATTGGTTCCAGGACCTTCCACTAATAACAAAATCCCAGGATGTTCCATCTCTTATATAAATGTATTTGCATATAACCTATGCACATCCTCCTGTATACTTTAGAAGTCTACATGTTTGGTACACATGCTTATTTTTCCACTGTTGAATCCATGGATGTGGAACTCACTGTATATAGTGTTAGGGGTTGATCACTGTAACCTGGAATGGGGGATACTTTTCGTTTTTGGCTGCGTGAGTGCTTAACAAGGACAGAACTGGGCGTTTACCTATGCATGCACATGTATTGCAGGCCCTGGCCAACGTCAACATTGGGAGCCTCATCTGCAATGTAGGGGCCGGTGGACCTGCTCCAGCAGCTGGTGCTGCACCAGCAGGAGGTCCTGCCCCCTCCACTGCTGCTGCTCCAGGTAGGAAACATGGAGTTTTTAGTATTGGGAGGAGTGTAGAGATTTTTTAAAAAATAGTATTATAGACAAAATTGCCATTAATTTTTCACAAGTATATGAAGTATGGAAATCCTAACACCTGATTGACTTTTTTTTTCTAGCTGAGGAGAAGAAAGTGGAAGCAAAGAAAGAAGAATCCGAGGAGTCTGATGATGACATGGGCTTTGGTCTTTTTGACTAAACCTCTTTTATAACATGTTCAATAAAAAGCTGAACTTTACTGCTGTTGGTCTTGTCCATAGTTTTGGAATGTGCTCTGCAAAAATGGTCTGTTTTGTAATGTTGGCTTTCAGCCTATTCTGCCATGACACAGGCTGGATTTTCCCTGCCACCATTGCCGGATGTGAGATTTAGACAATCCTGATGCTAACAAGAAGGCACCTCATGGTACAGTGTTGAAAACTGCACTGGGGTGGCAGGAGGAAGGATCAGAGCAGATGCTTTGTCCAGGTTACCTGTGTAAACTTGATGATTATAAGGTGTGTCCCCTACACTGGGGGTGGAGGGTAATACAGACCAGCTTTAGAAAGCCTCCTGGGTATTTACCCTATACAACCCTGCCTAAGAACGAACTTTGACGTATGCTGAATGTTGACTGCTACATCCCAAGGTTGTAAAAAAACAAGACTTAGCTATGTAATGTCTCACCAAATGTTTGGGAGTTTTATGGTAACACTGAAGGAGTGCAGAAAGTTTACTTAATAGTTTATTAAGGTCTCCAGTTACACAAAGTGGAAAAAAAAAAAGATTCAAACCTGTGTTCCAAAAACTAAGAGCTTTTTTTGTTTGCCAATTAATAATACCATGAATGGAATTTTCAACTTTTCAGGCTTGGATTTATATAATAAACCGTGGGTATTGTGTGTTCAGAGCAGCTAATGACATGCCAGGCACATGAATGAGTCTTATCCTTACCTCCATTAGCATTTAGTAGATGAAGACATTCAGTGATGAAAAGCGTGACTTCTAGCCGGGACTCCTCGTGTCAATGTGAAAAAGACCATTTGTGTAAGTTACTACAACTACTTGGGGAAAATGGCAGTTCTACTTTGAGGCATTACTCAAGAGAAACTACATGTGGACATAGGATACATGCCTGGGAATGTTCAAAGCAACACTTGGGGCTTCTCATAAGCTCAAAAAAGACATTAAATATATGCATCTGCTAAGAGTAATAAATACCAAAGACGGGATAGTGAACAATTTAGGACCTTGAGCAAGGTGGAGTTGACAATGGGTAGGAGTATGTAGGTGTCAGTATTAGAGTTTTATGTTTTAAGTTTTTTGAGAGGGGTTCTTTTGCTGTGGCCCAGGCTGGAGTGCAGTGGTGCAGCCATGGCTTACTGCAGCTTCAAACTCCCAGGCTCAAATCGGTCATCCCACCTCAGCCACCCTCAAGTAGCTGGGACTACAGGCATGCCACCATGCCTGGCTAATTTTTTGTAGGAAAACCTCAATCTCCTGGTGTTAAGTGATCTGCACGCCTTGACCTCCCGAAGTGCTGGGAGATTGCAAGTATGAGCCACCATGCCTGGCTAGTTTTGTGTTTTTAATACATGGCTTGAGCATCCCTTACCCAAAACCCAAAACGTAAACGTGACACGCAAAGGAAATGCTCATTGGAACGTTTTGGATTTTCAGGTAAGGAATGCCCAACCTGTATATTAAAACCATAGGCCAGGCATGGTGGTTCATGCCTGCGATTCCTGCACTTTGGGAGGCTGAGGCAGGAGGATTGCTTAAACCTATCCCAGCCTCTACAAGAAATTTTGTTTTAAATTAGTGCAGTGTGGTGGCATGTACCTGTGGCTTCAGTGAGCCGTGTTTGTATCATTACACTCAAGACTGGGTGACAGAGCAGGACCCTGTCTAAAATTATCTAAGATCATAAAGTATACATAAAAACCTTAAGTATATACAAATATTCCGAAGTCTGGAAAAAAGTAGAAATCTGAAACACAAATGGTTCCAAGCATTTCGGATAAGGGATGCTTAGCCTGTACGAAAGGGCAATTGTGAACTAGTGAGGATGGTGTCACAAGACAAAGATAAGGGATAGCCTATATCCACATGTTAAGTGCCTGCTTTTCCTTCACCCATTAACAGCTAACATTAGCTAGGACTGCTCATCTGTGTGGCATGTCATTCTTCACAACAGTCCCATGACAGTATGTCCCCATGTTGGGGATGGGGAAGTGGAAGCTCTCAGGTTACAAACTAGTAAGTGGATGGGTGAACCAGATTAAAACCCACTCTGTCCCTGTTCCCTTAACAGCATGGTCCATGCGTCTGGTCCTTTCTCCCACCTGCATCAGCTTCCTCAACTATAATGACCGTAGGGTTCTGGAGAGGTAACAGTAGGAATTCTTTGTGCTGAGTGAACAAGTGTCAGAGGAGGGAATACTAACACTTCACTTAGCTGAAAAATGGGTTAAAGAGAATACTAACAAGATACGGGAAAAGGACAGCATCTAGAAGAGCAGACATTAAGTGGTAAGCTAGGGATATTGTAAATATCAAACTCAGCTATCCAAACAATCCAATCATAGCTAAAATGTTCACTAGCAAGACTCCAATGTTAACAGTCTATAAGTCCATGGCCCAGGCTTTTTCCCCCACTCAGACTGCATTCTCTCCCTCGGAGGAAGAGAAGAACCATCATCAATGGCAAATGACAGTTGCAGCAAAGCAACACCAAGAGCCAACCTCACGCTCAGCAGAGAATGCTGTGCTGCCACCTCCTCATGGTTTCCAGTGTTGTACATGTTAAGAGAAACTTCTCTAGTAAGGAACTACAGAATTGATGCCTGAAATTATACTCTTGGTCCAGCATTTTTTTTTTTTCAATTTATTTGAGACAGGGTCTCACTGTTGCCCAGGCTGGAGTGCAGTGGCATGGTCATAGCTCACTGCAGCCTTTCTTGGGCTAAGTGATCCTCCCGCCTCAGCCTCCTGAGTGGCTGGGACTGTAGGCATGAGCCACCCTGCCTGGCATGGCCCAGCTTTTTAAGAAATCTTAATATAGCTAAAAATCTTTCTAAAGAACAATTTGAAAATCAAATTAGGAGACCCACATACATACATAGAAATACTAAATTCATCTGGTACTGAATGAAGTCCTCTTTGTTTCATCTGCTTTCTAGTTCTCCTGAGCCTTCTTTTTTTTTGTTTTTTGTTTTTTGTTTTTTTTTTTTTGCAAATGGGAATATCTATTTCATATTGGGGAATGAAAGAGGTAAGTGAACATTCAATACTTGTTACTTCCCTTTTGCATACAGTACAAGGAACATGGCTGGCATCCCTCGTTCCCCAAATCTCCAGGTCTAGTAGGTCCAAGCCTTGTGCTCCTCAAACCCCCTACCCCCCATTTTTTCTGTTTGTTTTTTGTTTTGTTTTTTTGAGACAGAGTCTCACTCTGTCTCCCAGGCCTGAGTGCAGTGGCGCGATCTCGGCTCACTGCAGCCTCCGCCTCCAAGCAATTTTCCTGCCTCAGCCTCCTAAGTAGCTGGGATTACAGGTGTGCGCCACCACACCTGGCTAATTTTTTATTTTCAGTAGAGACAGGGTTTCACCATATTGGTCAGGCTGGTCTTGAACTCCTGACCTCATGATCCGCCTGCCTCAGCCTCCCAAAGTGCTGGGATTACAAGCGTGAGCCGCTGCACCCGGCCCCCCATTCTTATCAATCAGGCAGGTTTGGTTTCTCGTATTTCATACTTCTGATTGTTCACCAAGCATACATGTTACTTTGCTTACATTTCCATTGCTCTCAGCATTGTGTTCACATCTGTGGCCACTGGAAGCGTACCCAGGTCCATGGCTGGCCAACTCACACCCCTTTAAAAGTCTATCAGCAGGAAGCCAAGATTAGGCATGAAGGGCTCTCATGTTCTGGAGAACTGTAGGAACAGACATGCTCATAGACAAACCATCTGAACAACTTCATAAGCCTGTATTGTCACTGAATGTGTTGCACAATGGGATAAGTAAAAATATCCAAAGCTCCTGCCAATCGTTTTACTTTCTAATTTTTTTTTTTTTTTGCTTCTTCTCAACTGAAAATAAGGAGAGAACCACATGTGAAATTTTAAAACCACCTTTTGGAAGAGATAAACACTCTAATTAAAATGAAAGAATTAGGTGCAGTGGCTGAAGCCTGTAATCCCAGCACTTTGGGAGGCCCAGGCAGGCTGATCACTTGAGCCCAGGAGTTCCAGACCAGCCTGGTCAACAAAGTGAGACCCCCGTCTCTACAAAAAAAATGAAAAAATTATAATGTCCAGATTATTGATCTGACCAGAACAGTCCAGGTTCCATGATGCATGCAGTGGTGTCTGTGATCTGACTTTGAGAGACATCTGGCTCTGTTTCAGAAGAACTAAAAATGCAAGTGCTGTAAAGCTTTAAAGCAGCCCATGTTTATCTCAAGTTGAATTATCCAGGCTTGCTTACAAAGATGAGAGAAAAGTGGCCTGTAAAATGACAGAGAAAAACATTAAGTGCTGGTCACTGTATCTTACAAAAGTACGTGTGTGGAGAGGACTCCGTGACACGGTAGAAGAAATGCTGGGTTGAGACAACTGAAGTGCCAGGCCTAACTTTTACCCTGCCATAGCTGTATGAACTTACGAAGGTACTCAACCTCTCTGAGCAAGTTCGTTGTTTTGTTTAAAATTGTTTTGAGACAGAGTCTTGCTCTGTCACCCAGGCTGGAGTGCAGTGGCACAATTTCGGCTCACTGCAACCTCCATCTCCCAGGCTCAAGCAATCCTCCCATCTCAGCCTCCCAAGTAGTTTAGATTACAGGTGCATGCCACCATGCCCGGCTAATTTTTTTGTATTTTTTGTAGAGACGAGGTTTCGCCAGGTTGCCCAGGCCGATCTTGAACTCCTGGGCTCAAGTTATTTGCCTGTTTCAGCCTCCCAAAGGTTTTGTTGGGCCAACGTGAGCCACCATGCCCGGCCAGTTTCTTTATATTAAGAGGGCTAATTGAGTTCTTCTGACATGGTGAAGTCCTGAATGGGAGAACACATAAAAGTTATCTCTAAAGTGCTACTCAACCAGATCAACAATTACCTGGCTCACATTGTTCCCTAAGAATTTTCTGTACATACTCATTGAAATTATGGGAGGGACAAAGGATTTGGCATGTTTTATTTGAATTTATAGAAATACAGTAAACATTTTGCTGCATAATTATTTTGAATTCTTTCATTTTACTTTATTTTTTGAGACAGGGTTTTGCTTTGTTGCCCAGGCTGGAGTGCAGTGGTGAGATCAGTGCAGTGGTGAGATCACAGCTCACTGCAGCCTCGACCTCCTGGATTCAAGCCATCTTCCCACCTTAGCCTCTGAAGTAGCTGGAACTATAGTTTTAGTTCTTCTGAAATAGAGCCAGATGTCTCTCAGTCAGATCACAGACACCACTGCATGCATCATGGAACCTGGACTGTTCTGGTCAGATCAATAATCTGGACATTTCCATCAGAAAACAGGGTCAGAGGTCTTCACATATGTTTATAGGATTGCTCAAATACTTATGGGCTTTCAAAGAATTCTCCAAGGCCTTCTCAATTTAACTTGCTGAAGCTTCCACACCTCTGACTTGTATGCTTTTGAGACTGTTTATAATGTCCAATTCAAGAAATGTGTGTGTTTCATGCTCCAGACCTTTGCACTTGCTATGACCATGCTACTGCACTCCAGTCTGGGCAACAGTGAGACCACTTTGGGAGGCCAAGGTGGGCAGGTCACTTGAGGTCAGGAGTTCCAGACCAGGCTGGCCAACATGGTGAAACCCCATCTCTACTAAATACAAAAATTAGCGGGGCGTGACGGCGCATGCCTGTAGTCCCAGCTACTTGGGAGGCTGAGGCAGGAGAATCGCTTAAACCCAAGAGGCAGAGGTTGCAGTGGGCCGAGATCGCGCCACTGCACTCCAGCCTGGCGACAGAGCTAGACTGTCTGAAAAAAAGAAAAAAAAAGAAAAAAAAAAGTACACGTGTAATTACGTCCACGTGACTGTTGACTATCTGCCTCCTACTCCACACCATATGTTCTGGGGATCAGGGCTGTCCGTTTTGCTCACCTGTATCCCCAATATTTAATGCTGGGCTCCTTGTTGGCCTTTAATATATATTTATCAGAGTTCAACTCTCCTTTTACATGTTAAAAGTTAGAACCGGCTAGGCGCAGTGGCTCACGCCTGTAATCACAGAACTTTGGGAGGCTGAGGTGGGCAGATCACCTGAGGTCGGGAGTTCGAGACCAGCCTGGCCAACATGGAGAAATCCCGTCTCCACTAAAAATACAAAATTAGCCGGGCGTAGTGGCGCATGCCTGTAGTCCCAGCTACTCGGGAGGCTGAGGCAGGAGAATTGCTTCAGCCAGGGAGGCGGAGGTTGCAGTGAGCTGAGAACGCGCCATTGCACTCCAGCCTGGGCAACAAAAGCGAAACTCCGTCTGAAAAAAACAAAACCAATAAACAAACAAACAAAGAAACAAGAAGTTAGGACCCAGATGGGAGGAGGAACTTATTAAGCAGCAATGATGAATGGAACCAGAACTGGAACCCATGAATCCAACTAGCAAATGCTCTTTCCATTGTAGCAGCCCTATAGGGGCAAACACGCGCCCGCCATCCCCCAGGAGCCTCATTCATTCATTTACTTTCACAGCACGCACCTTCCAGGCTCCTCCGCACAGGTACAGGTTTGAGGCGGGAACCAGATGAGGACGAAGGCGGAGATGCTGTTGGTACCAGGTCTGGCCTTGCACTCTAGCTCTGCGAACCTAATGCGCGGTCTTGCAAGCCTAGCCCCTGGGCATCAGGGCTGACTGCCCTGGGAATGCCTGGAGAGATGAACAGGGAACTCATCAGATGCCACAGCAGAAGCAAAGGCGTGGCACCTGGAGGCCCACTTCCTTCTGGACACGGAGTCCCGCACTCAGGGTGACCTGTCACCTCCTCTGTCACGTCCAACATCACCTACGATGAAGAAGATGCAGGAAGCTTAGAGGCCGAGGCTAGGCGGCCAGACGAAGTGTCGTCCTCTGCCCCGGTCTCGGCCCCAGGGAGCCTGGCACCTCTCCAGCGCTGGCGCGTGAAGGTCGCAGGCCCACAGTTGAGCTTTTTTTTTTTTTGAGACGGAGTTTCGCTCTTGTTGCCGAGGCTGGAGTGCAATGGCGCAATCTTGGCTCACTGCAACCTCCGCCTGCCGGGTACAAGCGAGTCTCCTGTCTCAGCCTCCCAAGTAGCTCGGATTATAGGCATGAGCCACTACGCCTGGCTAATTTAGTAGAGACGTAGTTTCACCATGTTGGTCAGGCTGGTCGCGAACTTTGATCCACCCACCTTGCCCTCCCAAAGTGCTGGGATTACAGGCGTGCGCCACAGCGCCCGGCCGACAGTCGAGCTTTTAGAGCCCGCGGCGCGCCCACCAACGCAGGGCCGGGAGGAAAAGGCGGGCCGAGAGGCGGGGCTGGAGGCCGAGTGTGGCCGAGGGAAGCCGAACTTTCCAGTTTCGCTGAGGCCTGTTAACCGCTGGGGGCGCCTTCGGGACAGCTGGCTTCTGCGCATGCTCTTGACCCTCCGTCCCCCGGAGGAATGTCTTAAGTCAGGAGCTGATTAGTGGTTGAAGGCAGCTGATCTGTTTCGAATCCTGTGTGTCCGGAGAGGCCAACGCTTTCATTAGCCAGCAGGAATGGGCTGGGGCGCGTTTGTAGTTGGGAATCCTGAGCCCGGGCTGTTGCTTGGAGGACTCGGGAGCAGCAGTGGATTTCGGCGTTACCAGGAGAGGTCTCGAGCACCAGATCCCTCTTCCTTCACTTCCCAGTAGTGGGTTCTAGCCGTTCCCAGCGCCTTCATTTCCAGAAGGCGATTTTACCCAGAGAAAGGAGAGGGAAGATTTGCTCTACCTTTGGCTTCTTATCAAATAGCTAAATCACGTGGGAAGCTGGTAAACAAAAACAAAAATGAATGAAACAAACAACTAAACAGCTTGCCGGGCCCCTCCAAGGCCCACCGAACCAGCCCCTCGAGGCAGCCACCGGGAATTTTCATAAGCTCTTCTGATGAGCGGGAGGATAAGTCAGTCAGGGCTGGAAACTCCCGGATCAGAGCAAACCCAGCTCCTCAGCACCTGAGGAGAAGACGCGTAGTCAATATGGTTTGAAATAATGTGTAAATGAATATATGAATGAAGAGCTGTCTTCAAACGTGGAAGGAAAAGTTAACAGTTTGATAAAAAGCCATATTGACAAACCTGGGAAAATGGGCTGTTGGTTGATTTGGGTGTAAATTCCTATAACGTTTTTCTTCTTTCTTTTCTTCTTTACTCCTCCTCTCCCTCCTCCTCCCCTACCCCTCCTTTCCCCTCCTCCTCCTCTTTCTCTTTCTTCTTCTCTTCTTTTTTTTTGAGACAGGATCTCACTGTCGCCCAGGATGGAGTGCAGTGGCATGATCTCTGCTCACTGCAACCTTGAACTCTGGGGCTCAAGCGATCCTCCCGAGTAGCCGGGATTACAGGCACATGTCACCACGCCAGGCTACTTTTTTTTTTTTTTTTTTTGGTCTTTTCTAGAGATAGGGTTTCACCATGTTGCCCAGGGTGGTCTTGAACTCCTAGGCTCAAGTGATCCTCCATCCTTGGCCTCCCAAAGTGCTGGGATTACAGGCGAGAGCCTCCACACCCAGCCCCTTAATGTTTCATTCTACTATTTTATTAAAGACTGAAAACCACAGTTAATAATGTGGGGATTTTGAATTTTTTAAATTTACTTTTTTTTTGAGACAGGGTCTTGCTTTGTCACCCAGGCTGGAGTGCAGTGGTGTGATCAAGGCTCACTGCAGCCTCGACCTCCTTGGGGCTCAAGCAACCTTCCTGCCCCAGTCTCCAAGTAGCTGGATTACAGGTGGTGAGCCACTGTGCCATCACTACAAGTTCCAATTTTTTTTTTTAATTTTTAAATGTTTTCTTCAGCCTGTTTGAGTTTGAACTACTACAGTTTTGTTTTGTTTTTTTTTTTTTTTTTTTTTTTTTTTGAGATGGAGTCTTGCTCTGTCGCCTAGGCTGGAGTGGAGCGGTGCGATCTCAACTCACTGCAAGCTCCGCCTCCCGGGTTCACGCCATTCTCCTGCCTCAGCCTCCCGAGTAGCTGGGACTACAGGCGCCCGCCACCACGCCCTGCTAATTTTTTGTATTTTTAGGAGAAACAGGGTTTCACCATGTTAGCCAGGATGGTCTTGATCTCCTGACCTCGTGATCTGCCCGCCTCGGCTTCTCAAAGTGCTGGGATTATAGGCGTGAGCCACCGAGCCCGGCCAGAACTACTACAATTTTTTTAGGGTCATTTGGTCCTCTCTCTCAAAAGTGCGCTTACCCTCTATCCAGGAATTTCATTTGTAGGAACCTATGCTATGTACAATTTCACTGAAGTATTGCTTGTATTAGAAAAAAAGTATGGATGATAGGCAGGTTGAATAAATGTTAATGTTTTCATGTAGCTATGTATAGGAATGCCGCTATGGAAAGACATCCAGGACACCTTGTTAAGTGAAAAAAGGTAAGTTGCCACCAGTATGCATAACATGACCCTATTTGAGTAAAAAAATAAAAAAAATGTGCATATGTTTTATAGTATTAAAAAACTTCTGGGAGGATTCAAGAGTAATTATAGTGGTTACTTCTGAGGACAGGGATTGGATGGGGTGGAAGAAATATTTTTACTTTCCAGTTTATCCTTTTTATATTGCTTGAATTTTTAAAGACCATGAACATACATTACTTTTCTAAATTAAAAACACTGGTTTTGATTTTTTAAAAATTGGAGAGGGTTTCATGTGGAAGAGAGACTCAACTTCCAAGTAGTTCTAGAAGGAAGAACTCTGACCAGTTTTGAGACAGTTTTAGGTCAAAATAAGAAAAATAAGGAAAAGCTTTGCTAGGTGTTAGGCTGAGGCTGGGATATGGAAGACAGTGTTGCTCCAGGAGGAAGTGAACTAGATGCTTCCTCTAGCTATGAGATCATGTAAGTCTTCTGGGACACAGGGTTAAATGCTCTGATATCAGACTACCTGGGCTGGCTCAAATCCCATTGCCGCTAAATAGGGCTGTGTGACTTTGAGTGAGTTATTTAACCTCTCTGTGCCTCAGTTCCATCATATGCATAGTGGGGATCATGTTGACACCTACCTCATAGAGTTCTTTTAGAATTAAGTGAGATGGCACATATAAAACAGCATAGTTACTGTTCAAAAACTGTTGAGCTTTTCTTTGCTATCTCATATGAATTGGTGGCTAAAAAGTTAAAAAGTGGCAGGGCACGGTGACTCACTCCTTTGGGAGGCCGAGGAAGGTGGATCACTTGAGGCCAGCAGTTGGAGACCAGCCTGGCCAACATGGCAAAAACCCACCTCTACTAAAAATACAAAAATGAGCCGGGTGTGGTGGCGTGTGCCTGTAGTCCCAGCTACTCAGGAGGCTGAGGCATGAGAATTGTTTGAACCCTGGAGCTGGAGGTTGGAATGAACCAAGATTGCGCCATTGCACTCTATCCTGGATGACAGAGAGAGACTGTCTCAAAAAATAAAATAAATAAAATAAAAAGGAAATCAAAGAAACAGTTTCTACAATTAGAAAGGCTGTTTTATTTTTACACCCTTTATGGAGAAGGTCAAATATTGGATTTTCAGAATTAATGGAATTATTGGGTTGGTAGAATTTCATACATGCTGGATGGCTTTGCTGACAAAAGGAATTTTTGTTTTCCAGATGCTGGCTCAGTGTTGCCCCATAGTGGCCAATCCTGGGAAGGGCTACTGGGGTTGACCCCTTCACGCTAGAGTGCTTCTAGGCTAGGGTGTGAGTTCCACAGTCAGAGCTGCCTGGCTGCTTGGCCGAAGGATGAGTGAGTCAGTCCACACCTTAGTAAGGAAAGCATGTTTGTGTGCCCTCCCATGACCCAGCCAAGAGGAAACCAAGAGCACTTTAATATGGTCTTCCCTCCCTTGTAATTTACTTAGCACGCTTCACTTTGCCTCTGCAAATGCTCAAGTTCATTTCTTGTTTAAAAACAAAGAAAGATGTCACTGAATCACTGTGCAATCTGGTGCACCCTTGGTTTTCCTCAAAGGTTGTTGGAAGAAAAGGCCACATGAAAACCATTTCTGCTTTTGCCAGAAAACTTGAGCAGGCTCTTATATTGTTATGGTCTCCTAAATAAGGTCTCATGTGAAAAATTCTTGTAAAATTTAGGGGCAGGAGAAAGTTTGTGTCCTCTGGGGCATTAGTCTGCATCCTCCTGTATGATAACGAGAGCTCTGTGACTTCACACTCTCTCTTCTCTGCTTCAGCTGCTGAGAAATTCAGTACCAGACCAGGTGCCCAATCTCAGTAATTAAATTAACCCAAATGGATAAGGTGTTTACCTCCTCCTCCTTTTCTTGGTACTGATTTTTAAAATAAAAATTTTGGCAGCTTTTTTATTGACTTTACTGCATCGTTGTACTTTGATCTATACTCAAATTCTTTTGAGAAAGAGGAAAGGAATTCACAAATTAAATGAAAAATTGAATATTGGAAGGTTTTTTTCTGGTGGCACGTTAAATGAGATATTAAGTTAGTGGTTGTACTTGGGTTTTGAGACTAACAAGCTTATAGGTCCAAGATTTCAGGTCATAATTTTTCTTTACTTGGGAAAATGAGAACCTCATGCATATCAGGCCATCAAAGAAGTTGTGAGGTGTGGTGAAAAGACAGAAAGCAGTTCAGGCTTGTTTTTTGTTTGTTTGTTTGTTTGGAGATGGAGTCTCTCTGTCACCCAGGCTGGAGTGCAGTGGCATGATCTCGTCTCACTACAACCTCCGCCTCCTGAGTTCCAGCGATTCTCCTGCCTCAGCCTCCCGAGTAGCTGGGACTATAGGCGCGCACCACCACACCCGGCTGATTTTTGTAGTTTTAGTAGAGACGGGGTTTCACCACGAGGCTTGTTTTTTATCCACTGTCACCAAGGATAATATTGAATCAGTGTGAACATTCAGAGACCGAAAAAGCTAGAAGCCCTATTCGGACCCAAAATATTTTCCCTCTGCTGTCATTTCAGACATGCCACCATTAGGGCTTCATTTCCCTGCAGTCTTCTTTAAATACCAAAACTGCCCTGGGAAGGATAAGACATCAGTTTCTTCATACTTCAGAGCAAATGGGATTGATTCCCAGGACCTCCTTTCTGTGGACTGGGTTTTTGCCTCCTCACCAAGAGACTGGGCTCCCTGGGCGAGCAGAGGCTGCTGGGTAAGAGAGATTTAGTTCTGTTTCAACAAGCTGTGGGGCCTTCGACAAGCCCCCTGACCTCTCTGGCCCCTGGTGTCCTCACGTTGCCATGAAGGGCTTTTGAGGATGCTCCAGCTCCCACATGGCCAATCCCGACTCCCCTCCCAGGGCCCCTGTTGGGCCCTGCGGCAGGTGCCAGTGGAGTCACCTTCCAGCCCGGCGGGGCCCATTAGCTCCTTGCTCTGTTGACTCTCAGGTAAAACCTTTCTTGTGTTTACTCAGCAAAGATTCTTTTAAGACGGGCTAAGCACACGGTTTACTCTGCTAACAAGCCTTGGCATTTATTGTGAGGACCTGTGTTGACTTATTCTCGAGTCTCCATTGACACTCACTGAGAAACGTTAACGCAAACACAAGGAGACATCCTGGGAGCTCTGAGGCCCGACATTGTGCTGGGGAAGGAGCTCCAGAAAGGGCCATCCTTTCTGTTTTGGTTAGAATCACCTTGAGAGTTAAAAATAACAATAATATAGGCACCATAAGAGATTCTAATGATCTCCTTTTACTTTTTAGGTTCAGTATCTGAACACTTTTGCTAAAGGTCTCTGGAAAGCTCCCTGTGTTAATTCTCGATGAGACTACGTCTGTGCCGGCCGCTTCCTGAGCCTCCTTCCATGTGCATAGGCCTGCTGCATGCTGGAGACCTGCGGCACAGCTGCCAAGTGCCCCGTGTGGTTCTGTGATCTTGGGACAGTCACTTCCTCTCTGTGGTTGTCAGTCTTCTCATCCCTAAGGTAAGGGGACGCTGTCTCCACGCTCATCTCCTCAGCTAGACTGGGGCCTCAGGCCTGAGCCCAGGGCCTAAGAGCCCTAAAAAATGTTTGCTGAATAAATGAATGAATAAGCCACATTAGCCACTCTCTCCGGTCTTGCTCCGACATCTTGTGCCTGAATCCTCCCCCAGTGCAGGCTCTGCTTTGAGTCGTACGTAGTCTGATGAGATCTGCTAATGGGGTCACTGCAGACAACCACAGAGCCCCAGCGTCTGACTCATACGCTGCGGCTGCCAAGTGGTTTCACCTGCCTCTGCCTCTCTCATTACCTCCTCTCATTCAAGCTGATGCTTGTAAAGGAAACAGCTTTCAGGTGAGGGGCCTGTGTATTTGGTTTGTCTTTGTTGCCTGGAAACTGTTGACATCCTGAGACATTCTGTTGCCTTCACTGGGTAATGAAAAATTGATTACTTTTCTCTCTGTCAACAAACTATAGCCCGTTCCCCTTGGCTGGGAATGGGTGAGAAGTGTGTGCGTCTTGCTCCGTGGCTGTTTGCTTGCTTTCAACAAGTTGGGTTTGCTTGACTTAGAGGTGGGGGTGGGGCCCAGAGCAGAGGGACAGGATAAGTGGCTGTGGGGGAGGCTCTTGGGGAGAGGACTCTCCTCACTTCCCTTGAGCGCTCCCTCAGTTCCAGCAAATGCCTTCACCCAGCTGACCCGTGGCATCTCTCCCCTCTGCAGTGTTCTCTCTGCTCAGCCTGCCCAGAAGCCTCCTTGAGTCTCTCCAGCCCTGGGGACAGCCTGAGATACACAGCTAATACCATTTCCTCTGTGTTCTGCTCTGTGTGGTGTCTCCTCTGGACTGTGCACTGGGCTGGCATCCCCTACCTGAGGGGATGGGCAATAGATATACCCAGAGGAGCTCAGCATGCTAGATTTAGAAGGGACCTCAGAGAGCATCCAGCCCTCTTGGTTTTACATTTGTGGAAGAGAAAGCTCATAGGGCAGGTGACGTGGCTGTGGCCACATAGCTAAGTGGTAACAGAGTATGCCTTCTTGACTCCCAGTCCAGTAGGATGAAGGTCGTCAGTTTGGTACTCACTGTCCTTGGTGGAATATGAAAGTCATGGGATGGCCCTCACCCCAGGAACATATCAAACACTCAGCAAAAGGGGTCAGAGACTGGGCAAGAGTGGACAGAGGCCTGGGGTCTTTCCGTGGGGAGCATGGTGACTTGGCCACTCAGCAGGGATGGAGGTGGCGGAGCTCACGTGAGAGAAGCTTTCAAAAGGTGGTGTTGAGAGAACAGTGAAGAATGGGCTTTGCGAGGGTGGCCTGATGTGTAGGCTTGGCTAAGTCCTCTCCTTTCCTGACTCCATGTTTGGTGCCTGCATGCCTTGCTCCCCAGAGCGGGGACAGCGTGTGGGCCCCACAGCCATGGGAGAGCAGAACTGCCCAGGGTAGGAGGTCACAGCCTCAGGCTGCCTGGTCCCACTCCAGCAGCCTTCTTGGCCCCAGGTAAGATCTGTAGATGACCCCGTAGGCTCAGCCTTGCCCCCAGCCTTGGGGGAGCCCATGCTTGCAACAGGATAGATAAGGGCTCTCTGAGATTCCCTGAGCTATCACTCCTGGCTGGCCCTACTTTAGACCTGCCTTGCTCCAGGAAAGGATCTTACACTTTGTTCCAGGGCCCCAGGCCTGCCTAGACATCTCTGAGTCAGCTTCAGGGGATCATAACTTTAAGCCTCTTGTTCTTCACTGATTGCTGTACTCAGGCATTTCTTGAGTTCCTTAGTCCCTGGGTTTCGGGCTGGCTTAGGAGCAGCCAGTTGGAGGGCTCTGGAAGTGTTTTGCTTGCTTTGCATCAATGGTGGACTGGGGCTGGGGCTGGGGCTGGGGCTGGGGCTGGGAAGGGTGCTTTATCACTGATGTCATTAAGAATTGCCAGCGCATGGTCAGGATGAGAAGCAGACTAGCTTCTTTTTTTCTTCTTGAGACAGTCTTGCTCTGTCACCCAGGCTGGAGTGTAGTGGCGCGATCTCAGCTCACTGCAACCTCCGCCTCCCAGATTCAAGCAATTCTCCTGCCTCAGCCTCCCAAGTAGCTGGGATTACAGGTGCCCGCCACCACGCCCGGGTAATTTTTGTATTTTTAGTAGAGATGGGGGTTTCACCATGTTGACCAGGCCGGTCTCGAACTCTTGACCTCAGGTGATCCACCCACCTCGGCCTTCCAAAGTGCTGGGATTATAGGCGTAAGCCACTGTGCCCGGCCCAGACTGGCTTCTACTCAGTTTTATCACTATTGTTACTTTCTCTACAGACTCATTGCCTGACCCTGGGGGATGGACCCTTCTGCCCCTCACCCCCACCCCAGGTATACCACCGGCAGGTATAGAGGTTTTTACATACTTATTTCTTTTTAAAATAAACCTTATTTTTTAGAACAGTTTTAGGTTTACAGCAAAATTGAGCAGAAGGTACAGAGATTTCCCATATATCACCTACCCCTACAACATGCACAGCCTCCCCCACCATCAAAAACCTGCAGGGAGTTGTCCATTTGTCACAGTCCATTAACCTGCATTGATACATCATCATCTCCCAAAGTCCATAGTTTACATGAGAGTTTGCTCTTGGTGCTGTGTATTCTGTGGATTTGGAAAATGTAGAATGACGTGCATCCATCATTGAGGCATCACACAGAGCAGTCTCACTCCCCTAAAAGTCCCCTGCACTCCACCTGTTCATCCCTCCCTCCCCCAACCCTGGCAACCACTGATCTTTTTACCGTCTCCATAGTTTTGCTGTTTCCAGAATGTCGTCTAGTTGGAATCGTGCAGTCTGTAGCCTTTTCAGATTGGCTTCTCTCGCTTAGTAATGTGCATTTAAGGTTCCTCCATGTCTTTTCATGGCTTGGTAGCTCATTTCTTTTTAGCACTGAATAATACTCCACTATCTGGTTGTGACATGGTTTATCCATTCATTTACTGAAGAACATCTTGGTTGCTTCTAAGTTTTGGCAATTATGAATAAAGCTGCTATAAACACCTGTGTGCAGGTTTTGTGTGGATATAAGTTTTTTTTTTCAACTCCTTTGGGTGAATACCAAGGAGCATGATGTATAGAATTTAAAAAATTGGGAAGCAGGTGAGGCACGGTGGCTGATGCCTGTAATCTCAGCACTTTGGGAGGCCAAGATGGGAGGCGTGCTTGAGCCCAGGAGTTTGAGACCAGCCTGGGCAACAAAGTGAGACCCCCAGCTCTACAAAAAAATTAAAAAGTTAGCCGGGTGTGGTAGTACACACCTGTAGTCCCAGCTACATGGGAGGCTGGGGCAGGAGGATCCCCTGAGCCCAGGAGGTTGAGGCTGCAGTGAGCCATGGTTATGCCACTGCACTCCAGTCCAGGTGACAGAGCAAGACTGTCTCGAAAAAAATAAATTTAGAAACTACCCAAGTTGTGGATTTCTGGTTTCTTGTTAAACGTTGGAGGATCTGGATGGTATGTGTCTGATGGTGCAGTCAGCACCGCTGCTGCTGTCCTTTTGGGTTGGGCATGTGCCACCTCTTCAACTCCTCTCTGCGCCCCCCTTCTATAGTCTTTACTCTGCCTCAAGTGCACTCGTGCCTAGCCATTTGAGTTTGCAATCCCTGGAGGAGATAGCGTAACACTTCTCACGTGGGGAGCCTTGAGAATGGTCCAACTGCATCACTACGTGTCCCTGGTAGTCCTGGATTTGGTAGATGTGGTTTAGGTGCCCTGGAGGTCCCTGTAGCAACATGTGATTTTCCTGTGGCCTGGTTTTGAAGTGAGTGTGCCACAAGGTTGGTAGAATGGAGTGAATTGCTGACAAGCGAGTGAGTGGGCCTAGCCTGCCACCTGCCACCCAGCTCTCAGTACCCCTGTTGGGCTTGGTTTTGTTCCCAGAATCCAGTCTTGATGATTTGCCTGACAGTCTGCTCCTTCCCAGGTGCAGGAGTTTGTTTTAATTCTCCTTTCCTTCTATGGACTGGACGCATTTGTCTACTAATTCATTCACTCATTGAATTATTCAGCATGTATCCACGAATTATCTATTAGGCAAACACTGCTTTCGATGTCAGAGATGCAGAGATTAATTAGATCAAGTCCTAACTCTTAAAATTCTCTTATCTGGTGGAATAAAGACCCTTCAAGGGTTATACTGTGTTTAGGAGGTCTGTGGTAAGGAGCAGCAGCTGTCAGGAGGCAAGGGTGGGGCAAAGGGGTGGGCTTGTGTGGGAAGGTGTTAGGGAGGCTTCCTGGAGAAGGAGATGTTTTGGCTGCAGAGAAAGCTGCTGTTAAACAACACGGAGTAGCTAGATAAACATCCATAGAACTGCAGGGATGTGGTGTGGATGGAACTGAGTGTAAGGAGAGTGGCAGTTGAAGAGATGACTGGGTGAGAGCCAAGCTCAGAGTAGCCCTGCCCAATAGAAATAGGACGAGCCGCCTAGGCGATTATAAACTTCCTAGAGCCACATTCAAAAATGGAAAAGGACACAAGCTAAATAACTTTTATTTTATTATTATTATTTTTTGAGACGGAGTCTCACTCTTGTCGCCCAGGCTGGAGAGCAGTGGCACAATCTCGACCCGCTGCAACCTCCACCTCCTGGGTTCAAGCGATTCTTCTGCCTCAGCCTCCTGAGTAGCTGGGATTACAGGCGCCCTCCACCATGCCCAGCTAATTTCTTTTTGTATTTTTTTTTTTTTTTTTTTTTTTGAGACGGAGTCTCGCTCTGTCGCCCAGGCCGGACTGCGGACTGCAGTGGCGCAATCTCGGCTCACTGCAAGCTCCGCTTCCCGGGTTCACGCCATTCTCCTGCCTCAGCCTCCCGAGTAGCTGGGACTACAGGCGCCCGCCACCGCGCCCGGCTAATTTTTTGTATTTTTAGTAGAGACGGGGTTTCACCTTGTTAGCCAGGATGGTCTCGATCTCCTGACCTCATGATCCACCCGCCTCGGCCTCCCAAAGTGCTGGGATTACAGGCGTGAGCCACCGCGCCCGGCGTTCTTTTTGTATTTTTAATAGAGACAGGGCTTCACCACGTTGGTCAGGCTGATCTCAAACTCCTGACCTCAAGTGATCCACGCACCTCGGCCTCCCAAAGTGCTGGGATTTCAGGCACCTGGCTCAATTTTTTTTTTTTTTTTTTGAGATGGAGTCTCGCTCTGTCACCCAGGCTGGAGTGCAGTGGCGCTACCTCGGCTCACTGCAACCTCCACCTCCTGGGTTCAAGCGATTCTCCTGCCTCAGCCTCCTAAGTAGCTGGAATTACAGGCATACGCCACCAACCATGCCCGGCTAATTTTTGTATTTTTTTTAGTAGAGACAGGGTTTCACCATGTTGGTCAGGCTGGTCTCAAACTCCTGACCTTGTGATCCGCCCACCTTGGCCTCCCAAAGTGCTGGGATTACAGGTGTGAGCCACCGCACCCAGCCTTGAGCCACTGTGCCTAGCCCACCTGGCTCAATTTTAATAATGTATTTTATTTAACTCAATATATCCAAAATATTGTCATTTCAACATGTGGCAGTAGCCACACTTCAAGTGCTCAATGGCTACATGGACTAGTGGCTACTGTAGTGATGGGACATTCTTCTAGAACGTTCTTTCTATTTTTTTTTGAGACGAAGTCTCATTCTTTCACCCAGGCTGGAGTACAGTGGCGTGATCTCGGCTCACTGCATCCTCTGCCTCTGCCTCCTGAGTTCAAGTCATTCTGGTACCTCAGCCTCCCAAGTAGCTGAGATTACAGGCTCATGCCCCCATGCCTGGCTAATTTTTGTAGTTTCGGTAGAGATGGAGTTTCGCCATGTTGACCAGACTGGTCTCGAACTCCTGAGGTCGAGTGATCCGCCCACCTCAGTCTCCCAAAGTGCTGAAATTACAGGTGTGAGCCACCATGCCTGGCCTCTCTAGAATGTTCTTTATCCTCATGCCTCAAGGAGGGAGTGACACAGTGGGTTTTTGTTGAAGAAATACCCTCCAGCTCCTGGAAAAGTGGAAAAGTGCCTGAGGGAGGGAGGTGGGGAGACCCGTGGAGGCAGTGCAGGAAGCACCGACCTAGGCGTGAGACGGAGAGGAAAGCTCAGCTATGAAGGAGGATTGTTTTTTAATGACTGTCTCCAAAGGAAGTTGTGATTCAGCCTCCTGAGAAGATGTGATATCAGCAGGAATCCCCACTCCTCGTGAGAGCCCCAGAATTGTCTTGAGCCCTAAGACAAGGATATAAATTTAGGGAAGTCATCATAGACAATTTTGCTCTCAAACTCAGGGTGCTTGACTGGGCACAGTGGCACACACCTGTAGTCCCAGCAATTCGGAAGATCAAGGCGGGAGGAACGCTTGCGCCTAGGAGGTCAAGACTGCAGTGAGCTGTGTTTGCACCACTGCACTCTAGCCTGGGTGACAGAGCAAGACCCTGTCTATAAATAAAACAAAACAAAAAGCCACCCAGGGTGCCACCATCCGCAGCCCCATGTCAGGTTCAGATCCCATCCCTCCCTCCCAGCCTGCATTTCCAGAGGCCGTCTTGACTCCTTGACTGAGACAGCATCCACCTTTCTGCTCTCTGCCTGTTTCTCACAGATGGGGAGGGCTGAGCTCAGGGGCCGACTTTGAGCCACTGTCCCTGGGGCTCTGTCCTTGTCCTGAGCTACCCCTCAGTTCCAGCTGCAGATCTAGAGCTGCACCCTGAGTCAGCAGTGGGACCTGAGTCTCAAAACGGCAGAGGAGTCCTGGCTGTCTGCTGAGGTAGTGCATGAGGAAATGGATTCCTCGTGCTGGCTGGGTGGCCTCTGGCCTGTCATTTGTCCTCTTTGGACCCGTGCTTCTCACAGCATAGTCTGTGGACTGCATTGGCTCTCAAAATATTGTTACTTGTCTATATGGAGACAGGTACAGTAAGTACCTGCTGAGAATGTAAGAGTAAACATAGAGACTTTTGGCAGGGTGCAGTGGCCCAAGCCTGTAATCCTGGCACTTTGGCAGGCCAAGAGGAGAGGATCGCTTGAAGCCAGGAGTATGAGACCAGCCTGGGCAACATGGTGGAATCCTATCTCTACAAAAAAATACAAAAAATAGTCAGGTGTGGTGGTACACGCTACTCAGGAGGCTTAGGTGGGAGGATGCCCTGGGTGGGGAAATGGGGAGAGATGTTGGTCAAAGGGTAAAAGTTTCAGTTAGACAGAAGGAATACCTTTTTTGAGGTCTATTGCACAGCATGGTGACTATCCTTAATAATAATGTATTGTATATTTCAAAATTGCTAACAGTGTACATTTCAAATGTTCTTACCACAAAAATGGTAAGCGAGATGATGGATTTGTTAAAATTAGCTAGACTTTATCATTCCACATTGTATACATATATCAAACATCACATAAGACCACATAAATGTATGCAATTAATAATAAAAAATTATAAACAGGAACAAAAGACCAGTGGCAACCTGGTCCTTCTTCAGAGAGGGCTTGGGAAGTCCTGCCTCCACCCGCTTTCCAGTGGGGTGAAAGGGAGGTGAGCCTTGCAGTTCTCCTTTGGGGCAGGAGGGGGCGGCAGATACACGGGTAATCCATCTTTCCCTGCAGGACCGGTTCCTTCATTCTTCAAGCATCCTCCATTTGGCACCTTCTGGATGCTGGGGACACAAGGAGAAAGAGAGGCTTTCTCCTTCTTCCTGTTTTGCCTCAGTCCAGGGCAAAGCCACCAGGGAGAGTGTCCAGGAGAGCTGTCTACATGGAGATGACACAAAACGTGACCCCTGCCAGGGGCTCTTCTCCCAGGAGGTGTAGCTGCGTGGCTTGAGTGTATAGCAGAGGCCTGAGTTGGGCTTTCTGGGTTCGAATCCTGGCTCCTTCTCTAGTTGCTGTGAGACGTAGGAAAGGCTTTGGAGTCACCCCCAAGCCCAGCTTCTTCAAGTGTAAAGGGGGCATGTTAATGGTAGCTGCCCTACAAGGGTATTGGGGGATTAAAGGATAATTCTTTTTTTTTTTTTTTTTTTTTTGAGATGGAGTTTCACTCTTGTTGCCCAGGCTGGAGTGCAATGGTGCATTCTTGGCTCACAGCAACCTCCGCCTCTCAGGTTCAAGTGATTCTCCCACCTCAGCCTCCCAAGTAGCTGGGATTACAGGTGCATGCCACCATGCCTGGCTACTTTTTTTGTATTTTTAGAAGAGACGGGGTTTCACCATGTTGGTCAGGCTGGTCTCAAAGTCCTGACCTCAGGTGATCTGCCCGCCTCGGCATCCCAAAGTGCTGGGTGTGAGCCACTGCGCCCGGCAGGAGATAATTCTTATAGAGCACTTAATACTGTGCCTGGCCTGTACAGACACCTGCCCAAGCAATGTGTTCATTATTTTTGACAGTCTCATCCTGTCTTGCTTTCTCTCAGCTCCTGTGAGGTTGAGAAATGTCACTCTTCTTTGATAGGCACTTTTCCTGAGGGCAGCCAGTTCCGCCAGTCACTCTGACTGTTGGACCCTTTGACATAGTGAGATTTGGCTCAGTCCTCACCTCCTCCAGGAAGTCTGCCGAGATGATCCCAAGTCCTAAGAGCCTCCTCACTGTAGCCTCGTTTTTTCAATGATTAATTCCTAATTTGTCTAATTTCTTCCTCCTGCATGTCACCCCAGCCCTGCACAGACTCTGCACGTTCCATAGTGTACAAGGCATTGTCCTAGCCATCTTGCTGCCAGAAGACACTGTGAGGGTTGCAAGCCTGGCACCGGGAGCCAGCCTGCCTGGGTTGGAATTCTGGCTCCACCTCTGGCCAGCTGTGTGGCTTTGGGCAAGTTGTTTGACTCCTCTGGGCACCCAGCCCTTGGTTTCCCTGTTCTATCTTGCATATTACTGTGATATGAGTGAAGTAATGCAGGTGAAGGCCAGGTACCCGCATTGAGCAAGTGCCCAATAATCCCAGCACTTTGGGAGGCCGAGGTGGGCGGATCACTTGAGGTAAGGTGTTTCAGACCAGCCTGCCCAACATGGTGAAACCCCATCTGTACTAAAAATACAAAAATTAGCTGGGCATATTGGCGGGCACCTATAATCCCAGCTACTTGGGAGGCTGAAGCACGAGACTTGCTTGAACGTGGGAGGCAGAGATTGCAGTGAGTCCAGATCGCACCACTGCACTCCAGCCTGGGTGGTAGAGTGAGGCTCTGTCTCAAAAAAATATATAATAATAATAATAAAAAATAAATAAATAAAAGTCAGGCCAGGCGTGGTGGCTCATACCCGTAATCTGAGCACTTTGGGAGGCCGAGGCACGTGGATTACTTGAGGTCAGGAGTTCTAGACCAGCCTGCCCAATATGGTGAAACCCTGTCTCTACTAAAAATACAAAAAAATTAGCCAGGCGTGGTGGCACACGCCTGTAGTCCCAGCTACTTGGGAGGCTGAGGCAGAAGAATCATTTGAACTCGGGAGGCAGAGGTTTCAGTGAGCCAAGATTGTGCCACTGCACTCCAGCCTGGGCGACAGAGCGAGACTCCATCTAAAAAAAAAAAAAAAAAAAAAAAAATTCAGCAGAAGAGAACACTGCGGCTCAGGAAGAAGAGCTTGATTATTAAGTACCTACCAAATGCAGGGCCCTAAACATACACTATCTCATTTTTTCTTCCCAGAAGAAAGGTAGGCACTTTTGTCTCCATTTTGCACATGAGAGACTCAGTTGCACAAGTCTGCAGGACCACGGAGAACAGGAGTTTTTCCCGATATGAAGTATCTGACAGTTAGTATCTGATACAAAGTCCAGAGTTCCTCTTTGCCGGTTTTGTGATGGAAGGATAAAAAGATGTGGGTTTTTTGGGGTCCCCTAGGCATAGACCTAGAAGGCCAGAAATAAACATTTATTTTCCTCTCTGTTTTGCCTGAAAACCAAGAGGGCTTTCAAGAGGATAAAGGTGTTAGTGGGAAAGTGGGGGTCTCATTCGAGGACCCCCAAGGGTCTCTTGTAACAGGTGGCCCTGCAGCATTAAAGGCTCTTGCAGAAGAGCGTGGGAGTGAGCAGCAGGGGGCGCTACGCCCTCGGCAGAGAGACGCAGCTTCCCTGGGGAAACAGACCCCGGGCTTTGAGTGCTTAGGAGCGGAGCTCAGCCTGAAATAGACAGGCAGCAGCATCCCAGCCCACTCACCTACTGAGGAAACTTGAACCTGAGAGCTGAGAGCTAGAGGGACCTCCCGAAATCAGGATCAGTATGGTCATTGCAAGCACTGGCTTTGGAGTTTGTGGATTTGTAATTGAAAATCCGCTCAGCACTTTCTAGTTACGTGACCCCGGGCAGGTACTTAACCTCTTGGAGCCTCAGTGGCCTCATTGAACAAAAATTAACACCTGTTTCATGGGGCTCTCAGGAGGATCAAGGCAATGATGCGTGTAAATTTCTTAGCATAGTGTCTGGCATCTATGAGCACTCAATGAAGGGCAGCCAGTGTTGCTATTAAGGGTCATGTGATTTGCAGGGTAGTCCCAAAGAGGCGAGGCCCCTGCCCTTCAGTGTCTAGAGCCCCTGTGCTGCTGTGGACACCTGCTTTGGTTCTTCAGTGGGGCTCACTTTCTGGGACACTGGAGTATCTGAGTCTCTTTCTGCCAAGGAAACTGCCCACGCCCTGACAGACTTGCTTGTCTCCAGATGCCTAAGAATCCCATTTGGGCCAACAGGTTTGCTGGAGGTCAGTGGGGAGGAGGAGGGCAGTGTGGTCCCTGCTCTGCTATGAATTTGCTGAGGCCTGTGTTGCCTGGAATAAGTCCCTTGCCCTCTCTGGGCCTCGATTTCTTCACTTAGATCCAGAGGAGCTGCAAGAGATAAGTGTTGGGATCCCTCTCAGTCCAGCTTCAGCATCCTGCGAGTGCGTCCCCATCCAGGAAACATATGTGCATTTTAACGGGGCCCTTTGCTGGCTAAATGTGAAAGTGTGGTTTGAGGTAAAGAACAGATAGGCTTCTAGCTAAGGCCCATGGACAAGACAGCTTTTGGACAACTTTTCTCAGTAAAGAGGTGGCATGGGCCTTCCACACTGTCCAACATGCCTTTCCTCTGTCCCTCCTGGATTACATTGTCCCCAGGATCAGGGTCCCTATCCTCTCTCCACACCACTCAGCACAGTCTGCTGTAAGGAAGGGTCTGAGAGAGTAGTTTTCCCTAAGGCATGAATGACTATTAGGGATGGAGCTACCCATTCTGAGGAGATTTGAACTTGGGCAGGCATAGTTTTTTATCCAGAGAAATTAGACTCTATTTATGAAATCCCAGCAAGAGACTTTGAAACTGGAAGGATGTTGCCTCCATTCAAGTCACAGCAGCCTCATTGCCTGGCTTTGCTCGGGCAGGTGTGGCTGCCAGGGCAACTGGTTCAAAAACCTGTGGCACACAGAACGAAGAAGAATGAAGACACTGGACGTCATCAGAATCACAAACTTTTGTGCTTCAAAGGATACCATCAAGAAAGTGAAAGATTATCCCACAGAATAGAAGAGAATATTTGCAAGTTGTGTATCTGACAATAAACTTGTATCCAGAATATGTGAATAACTCTTACAACTCAACAACAAAAAGACAAATGCCCAATTTAAAAATGGGCAATGGACTTGAAAAGACATTTCTCCAAAGAAGATATACAAATAGCCAACAAGCACATGAAAAGAGCTTGGTGTCATTAATCATTAGGGAAATGCAAATCAAAACCACAATGAGATACCACTTCATACTCACTAGGATGGCAATTATTAGAAAGATGGATAACCATAGGTGTTGACGAGGATGTGGGGAAATTGGAGCCCTCATGCGTAGTGGGTGGTACTGCAGCCACTTTGGAAAAACAGTTTGGCAGTTACTCAAAGAGTTAAACAGAGTTACCATATGACCCAGCAATTCACTCCTAGGTGTATACTCCAGAGAATCAAAAATAGATCTACACAAAACCTCCTATGTGAATATTCATAGCAGCATTACTCAAAATAGCTAACAAGAGGAAATACCATCCATCAAATGATGAATTGATAAATTAGTATATATCCATACAATGATTTGAATAAGTGAATTCAGCCATTAAAAAGGAATGATGTACTTATACAGGCTACAACATAGATGAACCTTGGAAATATTATGCTAAGTGAAAAACCCAGAGACACAAAAGGCCACATACTGTATGATTCCATTTATGTGATGTCCAGAATAGACAGATCCATAGAGACGGAAGTAGATTAGTGGTTGCTGGGGCTTGAAGGAGAGGGGGATGGGGCATGACAACTAACAGGTACAGGGTTTGTTTTTAGGGCAATGAAGATGTTCTAGAATTAGATAGTGGTGATGGTTGTACAACTTTATGAATGTGAATGTACTAAAAACCACTGAATTGTACACTTTAAAGAGCAAATTTTTATGATATTAGAATGCCATTGCACTTTTTTTTTTTTTTTTTCAAAAGCTCACAGAAGCTGGGTGTGGTGGCTCTCGCCTGTAATCTCAACACTTTGGGAGGCCGAGGTGGGAGGATTGCTTGAGTTCAGGAATTCAAGACCAGCCTGGGTAACATAGCAAGACCTTGTCTCTGCTAAAAATTAAAAAAAATATCTGGGTGTGGTGGTGTGTGCCAGCTACTCAGAAGACTGAGGTGAGAGGATTGTTTGAGCCTGGGAGGTTGAGGCTGCAGTGAGTCATGCCCCTGCACTCCAGCCTGGGTGACAGAGTGAGACCTTGTCTCAAACTGCACCCATGTCTTACAAAAGAAAAAACTAACAAAGCTCATGGAAAGAATGGGGAAGTTCTTGAAACCTTCAATAAATGATAAATGCCCCATTCCCGCACCCAACCCACAGCTACCCTAGTGTATGTGGTGACTCTTCTTTAGGGCAAATTTTCCATGCAGATGGGAACGCCCCGGGAGGCCCTTTAAAAATGTGTGTGTAGGGTATTTCTGGTGGTCACAATGTTAAGAAGCCACTGCTGGCATGATTGGGTGGCCTGTGAGAAACCAAGGGTACAAGACACTCTACAATGCGTGGGTCATCTCACAATAGGGGACTGTCTTGCATTCCACGTGACTTTCGAATGTCTCTCAGGACACTGATGTAGATTAGATGATTATCTAATCTGAAAACTCAACTTTGCTTTACATAATAAACATCAAGCATATTTGCAAGGCTTTAAAGTATACCAAATTTTCCAAGAATATAGCTGCCCTGTCAGTTGGGAAGACTGCATGACATCTCCTGTTTAATGTCAGTAATCTATCCCCCACAATGAGATGTTCTGTGTGAAAATGCTTCTGGGAACATATTTCCTTTCCTTTCATCTCTTTTTGTTTATAGTCTTTCCATTATTCTTAAAGGGAAAAAAGTTATATTGTTACTGGTTAACCCAGCCCCTTAACCAATTTCCTAAATTCTAACTAAAATACAGTAAAATGCTTATATTTGTAACCAACAGTCATACTAGGTTGTAAGATGCTTAAAGCTTTGCTTCTTGGTCACCACATAATTAATATAGACATTAACAAGCAGTTGCTCTGTAAACAGGAACCTGGCCTCTCTTAGTACCAGCAACAGCCAAGCGGCACCACCCACTTCATTGTCACCGTCATGTTTTTCTTTCCTTCTTTCTTTCTTTCTTTCCTTTTCTTTCTTTCTTTCTTTCTTTCCTTTCTTTCTTTCTTTCTCTCTCTTTCTTTCTTTCCTTTTTTTTTTTTTTTTTTTTTTTTTTGAGATGGAGTCTTGCTCTGTCACCCAGGCTGGAGTGCAGTGGCTCAGTCTCAGCTCACTGCAACCTCTGCCTCCTGGGTTCAAGTGATTCTCATGCCTTAGCCTCCTGAGTAGCTGGGATCACAGGTGTGTGTCACCATGCCCAGCTTATTTTTGTATTTTTAGTAGAGACAGAATTTTGCCATTTTGGCCAGGCTGGTCCCAAACTCCTGGCCCAAAGTGATCTGCCCACCTTGACCTCCCAAAGTGCTAGAATTACAAGCACAAGCCACCACGCCTAGCCACCACTTTCATGTTTTTCAAAACATAACTTCTTTCAGACAGTCTACTAATTGTATTTAGAATGCACCTTAATTCTCTTCCTGTACATTATTCCTTTAAAAAAAGTTATATTGAATTTTGGAGACATATACACACATTTTTCCCCATGTAAATACCGGCCAACAAGCCCTGGAGTGAAGATACATATGTTCTGTTAAGGAGTGGTTGTGCAGGGAGAATGTTACCTGGGGTGGAGTTCTGAGGGTAGACCTGAGCTTTGTTTCTCCGAGCACAGGAGGTAGTATGATTTTCTAGTCCTGTTGCAGCTTGAAGGACTTTGGAGAATGTCTCATTCTTTTTCAGTTCACAGGGAAAGGGCAAAGAGGCCTGGAGATTTCTCCAGGGTCATACAGTGCCCATGGTAGAACTGAGCTGGGAACCCAGGCACCTAGCATCCAGATGGACGGCAGCTCTGGGCTTTACGCCAGGATCTCAGGCTGGCAAATTGGAATACAGGCCACCAGACAGGTCTGGTGGATCAGTCACTTTGCCTTAAGCAAAGCAACCTCCAAACATCAAGTAACTAATGTATCGTGTTGTCCCTGCTAGTGGAAGGTTAGTGACTCTTGGTAAACACACCTACTGGCTATTTATAGAACTCAGTCTAGGGACCAGACTGGGCCTTTCAACACAGTCAAGTCAGGATGTGGGAGCCAAGCAGAGAGGCTGGGAGGTGGGGCCCAATGGTCTGCAAAGCCTGCGCATCTGCTGCTGGGATGGGGAGTTCAGGGCACTCCTGGCTTCCAAGAAAGCCAACCCCACAGTCCCAAGGTGCTTCTTCCCAGATGGCATTGCAGATACATCTTGATGAGGGTATCCTAGCCTGGTTTCCCCCGAGCAGGGCCCAAATCAGAGGCTTTTGCAGGATGAGTTCTTTGAGTACATTCCTAGGAAGCTGGGAAGGGGGCAACTGGTCCAAGGAGGCATGACGGACTTGCTTCTGCTCAATATGGTGGGGCCTTATAAGAAGCCTCCTGAAAATGAGTCCCAGAACTGCCTGCCTGGGAAAGAAGGGATGCCATTTATTCATCCCCCCTTTGATCCGGGTAACCCATGAAGTGTTTATGCTACATTGCATTTGGGTGAGCACCAGGTGGGTTCGGGGCCACTCAGGCAGGAAAGCCTGGGGCAGATGAAAGAGGGCAGGGAGGAGTCAGAGGTGAGACTGGGACAGCTTGCACCTTCACAAAACAAGCAAAGCTGCGTGGAGCTGGTAGCTTCGGGGCTGACAGGGATGAGAAAGAAGGACAAGGGGGTCTGCAGTGGTGTCAAGAGGGCATTGGTACAAGTGGCTGGGGGAGATGAAACTAGGAGCAGATTAGCAGTTGGTGGGAGTCCAAATTCCAGAACACGTGCAATGTGTCTCTTGCCCTGTGCGCAGTGCAAAGGGAAAGGTATAATATATCACAATCAAAAGACAGAAGATTTCAATCTCCCCAGAAAGTTCTCTGTGTCCTGTTTTACCCGCCCTCCATCTGCTTTTGATTCTGATAGCAAGAGTGTTATTTGGTCCCTCTTCCCATTCTTTTTTCTCTCCCTCTCCCTCCATCTCCTTCCATCATTCTCTCTGTTCCTTCCGCTGTGCCCCTTTCTACTCTCCTAAGCTTGCTGGGAGCCTGGCTCACCTGCTGAACTACACTGGATGCTCTTTGAGAGTAGAAGATGCACCGTGTTAGCTTTTCCATCTGCTCCCATCCCCTGTGAACATGTATCTCAGATGGCAGCCAGTGGCCCCAGCCCCTGAAAATCTGAAAGGGCGTGACTGAAGTCCTCATTTCATGCCTGAGGGAACCCAAGGCCCTGTAAGATGCAAATTCCTGCAAACTGTCCCCATCCACGTTGGCTTCAGACTGCTGCCTCAGTGGCGTCTGATTTTCCTTTCACTGTGAGTTTCAGCTGTTTCTTTATCTCTTCCCTGCAGTTGGCCCAATCGTAGGGCCTGGAACTTTCTCCTTAATCTTCCCATTCTAAAGCCACTGCAGGTAGTAGAAAAGCGACAGAAGATTCTTGGGTCACCAGGAGGTGTCTCAATGTGCTCCAAACAGCGATAACATCAAAAACCTTTCACGTTTTACATTTTACTTTGAAAAAGTTCTGCCAGCCTCCATGTCAACTGGCTAGTCCTTCCCCTCCCTTTTGAGTGACGAACTTCCCCCAACACCTGTGGGTCCAGGCCATCGCACTCTGGAGCAAACCAGCCAGGTTCTTTCCATTCTGGACCAGCTCTGCAGGACCAAGGCCACCTGTGTTCTCAGTCAACACTGTAGCAGAGTTCACCATCAGCAGGAGGTGCTGGAGCTACGGCTCCCATGGGACCCCAGAGCCTCCTCCATGGTTCCCTCAGGATTCTGGAAGCTCCATCCTGTTAGGTTTGGCCAGAGGCTCCCTGCCTCAGGGGCCTTCTCTCTCTTCATGTCAGCTCCAGTGGGACCTGGCATAGCTTCATCCTGGGATTGGAGTCAGATCTCAAACAAACCGCCTTTCTCAGGGAGACAAGCACCCCAGAATCCACTAATCTCCTTCTCCAGCAGCATCGTGTTGCTCTTTGTGATCTTAATCTCTCTTGGCAGACCATGCTGGAAAAAGTGCCAGGGGAAACAGGATCTTTCTGGGTAAAGCCAGGGCTACCTCCCAGTCCACTCCCTCACACCACTGGGTGTGCCCTGCCCAGGAAGGAGCGCTTCCTTACAGTGGCGCCTAGCCACAGCCCCACAATTACAAGCTCACGAGTTCTCAGAGCTCCCTCTAACTCTCTCTTCGGCTCTGCCAGCCCAGTGCTAGGCTCTGGGCCACTGGGGTTCAGTGAAGGGTCTCCCAGCTCATGTCCCCTCTGCATGGAGGAGGATGTATGGAGAAGAGGGAAGGGAAAGAATTGGGCTTCCAGATCAGAGGATCTGGGCTTGCCCGCTTTGCCCAGGCAGGGTAGGTCACCATGTAGCTGGCTATGTGACCATAGGCCTCAGTGTATGCATCTGTAACCAGGGCATAATATGCCACAATCAAAGGATAGAACATTTCAATCTTCTCTTTGATTGAAGTTCTCTCATGTCCCTTTGTACCTGCCTTCCACCTGCTTTCGGTTGGGGTAGCTGGAGTGTTGGATGATGGAGCTATACAGACAGATTATTTCGTGTCTGGCTCTTGCACTCGGCGTGATGTCTGTGAGACTCAACTATGTTGTTGGGTAGATCAGTTGTTTGTGCCTTTGTCATGCTGAGGAGTAATCCATTGTATGGATAGACCAGAATTTGTTCATCCATTCACCTGTTGTTGGACACCTGAGCTATTTTTGGCTTTTTTCCAGTTTTGGCTATTATGAATAAAGCTCCTAGAAACTGCCATGTACAGATTTTTGTGTGAACATAAGTTTTCATTTCTCTAGGGTAAAACCAGGGAGAGCAATGACTGAGCCATAGGTTGAATAAAATGAAAATTTTATAAGAAATTGCTGAACTGTTTTCCAGAGTGGCTATACCACTTTGCATTTCCACTAGCAGTATATGAGCATTCCAGTTGCTCCACGTCCTCATCAGCACTTGGTACTGTCTGTCCTGATTTCTTCCTCCTCTTGTCTCTATCTGCAGCCATTCCCTGTGACCCCAGGCCTACCAGTGCTTCTTATACTCTTAAGCTCTCCTGCTGTCTCCCATGCCTGCTTCTCAGGCCTGGCTGAGGCCTTAGCACGGGTGGGGACTCTGGGGAGATGCAGAAACTTTCAGGTCACCTTTATTTGAGATCTGACCTGAGATATAAGTTTAAATGTAGCCTTTTAACTCTACAAAGCAGATAACTTGGGACCTTTTCAGAATCTCTTGGCTCCCTGTCTCAGGGCCAAGAATCTTACTTTGCTCATTTTAATGGTTCCTTTCTAATTATTCAGGTCCATGCTCAAATGTCACCTTTTCAGAGAGGCCTTTCATGACCTCTGGGAGCAGAGCCAAGCTTTGTGGAGCCTGATGTTTATGTGATTTTTGAGAGTGGTTTTTAGGAAAAAGAATACACAATTGTGAATACAAAATTTGGTCAGGAAGCATTTATTGTGGGAACAAGAAGGGACCCAAGTGAGCAAGGGGCCCTAAAGCTTAGCTTTATTACCTCGGGGTAAATTCACTTCTGCTGACCTCACTACATGAGTTCCTGCTCCTCCATTCCTCTAGTTTAGCCCTGTTCCTTGGTGTCTTCATTTTTACAGCATGCACAGCTACTGATGTCATATTCTGTTTGCTGTCTGACTGGAGAGCATGCTCTATGAGGGTGAGGGGTCATTGGTTCACTGCTACACCCCTGGCCCCCAGAATAGTACCTGGTACATGGTGAGTGCTGGATAATTATTGATTAAACACATGAATAAATGCCTTTTGAGTACTACTGGTTTTCTATTTGTGGAAGTGAGTTTGAGTTTTTAAAGTGAGTCAAGTTATAGAAAAATATTAAGCTCATGGTGCATGGTGGTGACACACAGAAATGGCCAAGGTCACAGTGAAGGAAGTGTGGGGGCTGTGGATGACAGCCTAGGAAGCTGGCATTTGGTGAGTGCATGCTATGGACTGTACATTTTCTATCCATGGTCATCTTGAAGACTCTCGCAGCAACCTGTGAGGTGAACATCTCTATTCCCATTTTGCAGGAAACAGAGGCTCAGGGAAGTGAAGTCACTCAACCAAGTGTCACACCACCGGCAAGTTTGCACCCAGGTTCTCCCTTTCTCTTGCCCTGGCATGGCCCTTGAAGCTTCTGACTCCATGGTCCCTAAGGGGATGGTAGAAGTCTAAGAGGGTACTCAGAGCTGAACGCTGGGGAAGTTGGGGTTACAGGCATGGAGAAGAGTCATTGCATCATGTTTTCTGATGGGCACCAGAGAGGGAAAAGGAAGGCTCTGCACTCCTTCACCCACCTCCCTAACAACATCCCTGCTCAGGTCAACTTGAACTAGGCCAGCCTGGAATGAAATCATGTTCATTGTTAAACAAAGGCACAAGGGCCTGGCTTCCAAAGAAGGTGAGCTTTGAGCACCTTCCAGGACTTGATTTGATTTAGAGAATAGGGAGAGTACCTGGGAGCCCAGAAACCCTTCCTGCATGAGATACCAGAAGTTCCTGCAGTTATAACACCCTTGAGAACCTGGGTGAACAACTTAACTTGTTTGTGTTAATGTTTTCTCTTGTAGACATGGGCACAAAAACACCCACCTCCCAGGCTGACATGAGGATTAATTAAGGTCATGTACATAAAAGTACTAAATATCTGTGAATTCTCTTTCCTCCCCCACTTTTATTAAAAGTCCTTGAACTGTAGATTTTTGGCTAAAGTTATCCTGGTAGCCCTTGGCTCTCTCTGCTTGGAACACTCACCTTTGCCTCAAGTTCTGCTTCAGGTGTCATTTTCATCCCAGCATCATCATTTTAGTCACAACAGTCTTTTATTTAGCACCTACTATGTGCCAGGCACTGGACACTCATTCTCTCTTCTTCACCCCAGCTCTGAAAACTAAACTTTATGACTCCCATTTTGTTGCTGAAGAGAATGAGGCCTGACAGGTAGTAAGCAGTGCAGCTAAGTTGAGGAGGAAAGCTCTTGCTCCATTTTCTAAGCCACTTGCCTCCTCTCCTGTGTTCCTCTCCACTGCCTACTCCAAGCCCAGAATGCTACATGGCTTGACTTTTACACAATGGAATATTTATTTATTGAACTCCCACTCTGTGTGGGGCAGGGTCCTTCCCAGCCCAGGACCGAGGGAGAGGACAGCCTCACTGTTGCCTTCAGGGAGCTCAGAGAGTAGCAGGGAGACAGATGAGTAGTAAGGAGTTCCGGAGGAATGGGGCAAGTGCAGATTAGCAGGAGGGATGCGGTGCTACGGGGCACCTGCATCTGTCGGGGAGGCAGGGAGTCTAGAATGTGAGCCATCCAAATGGGATTTATCAATACCCTCTCAGTGCTTTGCGTGCATATGTATGTGCATGCAAGTGTAAAGTGATGGTGATAAAGATTAACGAGACATCGTTGCTACCTCAACTTATGGTGGTTGTGCAGTGCCCCCAGCCATCTCCCTCCATCTCGAATCTCAATTTTCACATCTTTAAAATGAAAGTTTTGACACAAGCATAGGTCTACACACTGGAACTTGTTGATGGCAATTTGGCACTTTTAAAATCCATAGGCAAAATGTTTATAATGGAAGTCCTTACTTCTGACACATTAACTTGAGAAGCAGACTTAAAAATATACATATGGTTTCAACTTTTTACTATGGAATTTTAAATATATATATTTTATATATAATATATATATTCTATTATAATATATTCTATATATCTTATATATATTTTATATATATATATTATATATAATATATATAATATATATATAAAATAGAATAAGATCATGAAGCCCTATGTACCCAGAACCTGGCTTCATTAGTTATCCACATTATGCCATTCTTAAAGAATCTTGATTAATTAAATAAATAGATATTTTGCAAAACATTGAATGTAATTCGTGTAATGCCTATTGTTGTTTTTCTCTGATTAAAGAACTAGAAAAGATTTTAAAATATTTACAATGTTTGTTGGAGAAGCTAATATAGACACACATCTGTTATCTGTCTACAGTAACTTTAAAGGTGCATGGTGGAGAATTCAGATTCTTTGGCTAGAGGGAATCTGGCCAGGGAAACACCCCACTAGTCTGTCTCTTGAAGACCTAGCATTCTGTGATTCTCTTATCTGTAGAGAGAAAAAGCCCATTTATAACTTTTCTAGTCTGGTTTTAAATGTGGTGGCAAAGATTCAGGAATGTGTTTGCTTGGAACTCGTAACCCTTGGAGATTCACTTAGAAAACAAGGCCTCGTTGTCTCCTATTCTGACTCCCAGGACACATTTTAATGAAATGCCCTCAAACCCAAATTGGCTTCAGCCTAACTCACAGCAACCGCAGTACTCTGGGGAAAAAACAGAAACCAGGGGGGCAGAAAATGTGGCTTTGAGCCTCAGCTCTGTACCCATTAGCTGTGTGGCCTTGAGAAAGTTGCTTTTCCTTTCTGAGCCTCCATTGCCTCATCTGTAAATGGGTTTTCACCTGGGCCTTCTCTGTGGATTCTTCCAACTCTGGGTGGCTGTGGTCTGTGGCCAAGTGCAAGGAAGGAGTGTTAAACACCATGCAAGCCATGGTAGATGTGTGTACTTGTTCATTTATTCTTCAGGAAATGATATGCTAGAGGGCTTTGATATACTTTAGAAAGGTCAACAGTTTTCTCTGAGTTTATTAGATGCTCTGCACTTAACAAGCATGAGCCAGATGTCAACTGGGGGCACTTAAGATCTATCAGAATGGCTTGAATCCCCATTCCAAAGCCCCCTTCACTCCTGCAAAGATTGCTATGAGTCCCTGAGGGACCCTATGTTCTCGAGGTGCAAATCCAGTAACCCTCTCTCTCTCTTCACTTCACATGGCCCAGAAGTGAAATCAGTCCATTGCTGCTCCACCCCCAAGAGACCCACATACATGAAGATCTGGGAGCATGACAGACTTCCCTTTGGGAGCAAGCCACAGTGAGCGTCGCCCCACACGTAATTTAGAATCATGCAGCAGCCTTCCTTGTTTTAAAATGTTGACCCAGCTCTTTGCCCTCCACACTGCCTAACCTTGCCCTACCTTCCTGGTTTCCTTCTTTCCTCCTTTTGTTTTTGGATGCCCTCTCCTTCTCTCCCTTGGATGTCCAAATACATTTCCTTCTGTTTTGCAGAGCAGTTCAGCATTGCTCCAACCTGCAAATGCACACACTCAAACCTGTCAAGGTGCTCACCAGGCAAAAAGATTTCCACTTAACAGGATCAGCCTTCCACAGAAAGGACTTGTTATCATACAGATTAAAAAAAAAAAAAGAGTTACACAAGAATATAGCCCTAAAACCATTTGGGTAGGGTTCAGGGGTGATGATACTACTTCTGGTTTATTGTCAGAAAGATCTGGCCTTACGCTATGAGAACATCCTGCAGCATTCAACAAGACTCTTTCCTCCCTGGTGGCTGCCCACGCTTGCTCTCCTGGTTCTCTCCTTTCCTCTGCAATGGCGTCTTCTCTGCCTCCTCCTCTTTGGACCTCTGGGCTGCCTGTGTGGGAGTGAAGGAGAACTCGGGAGTTTGGCTTTGAGCATCCGTGCAATCGGCTTCTCCTGGGGGCCAGAGCTGGGCACAGTTCACTCTTCCTGATGCTCTCACACAATGAATCTTTAGGCTCAACTCGTGAGTCTTTAGAGCTGGTTCCAGAGAATGAACTTGATGAGGGATGCAGAGAATGGAAGTCAAGAAGCAGCCACAGAAACTGATACAGTTTGACAAGGCTGGGAAGGGGCAGTGGCACCTGGGAGAGGGAAGCAGCCTCCTACCCATGTCCAGAACTCTCCAGTGTGTGCTAGTTTACGTGAAGAGCTGGAAAGAATGGTCTGTGCTGTTGCACAGGGGTGGACTTTGGCTCTGAGTGGAAAGTGACTTGCCTTGGTTCCCACACCGAAGAAAACCTGGTCTTGTGCCTCGAGATGTGGCTGGAGGATTGCCGGAGAAAACAAAAGAATAAGGGAGTGGGGAGTGGGGTATGGGTGTGTGCAAATTTCTTCACAGAGATTTGTGAGCTGAGCCTTGAAAGATGAATGTGGACACTTGCCAGGCTGATCCACTTTGATAGGCAAATAAGTCTGGGTGGGACGGGGCTGCGAGAGAAAAGCTCACTCCCGTCCAAGAGAGCAAGTCACACAATCAAGGCCTGGAGGCTGAACAGCTGGCATGTCTGGTGAACCACAGACAGTCCTGTGAGGCTGGATTGGAAAGGTTGTTGGGTGAAAGATGAGGCTTTTGTAAGCTCTGCTGAGACATTTGGGCTCTGTCTTGTAGGTCTCAGAGAGTCATGGGAGAGTTCTAAGTAGGCAAGTGACATTGTCAGATGCATGCCTTGGAAAGATGCCTTTGGCTGCTGGGTGACTTCCAGGGGCCAATGTGGAGCTGGGAGCCCAGTTATGCCTCTGTTGCATCATCTAAGCAAAAATTGTGACAGGGCCTTGGCATAAAGGGAATGGAAAGGAGCAAATAGACATCACGGAGGTAGAATTTATAAAGTGTAGTGGATAAATGTGAGAAGTAATATTATATGTCTGGTTCATTTTAACTGCTGCATAATATTCTATTGGGTGAATGAATCGCATTTTAGATTTTCATTCTCCTAGTGATAGTTATTTCCACTTCCTCACTATTACAAACAGGACTTGGATGAACACCTTCGTACTTGCACATGTGAGAAACTGTCCTTAGGGTGGTTATTTATAATTGGTTTTTCTGAGTTGAGAGGTTTGCACATCTTTAAATCTACAGGATATTCTCAAATTCCTCCTTAAAGTGGTTGTACCAATACACCTTCCCATCAAGTAGAGGCACTCCCTTTCCCTGTTTCTTTCAAGTTTGTTATCAGACTTGCAAGATTTTGCCAATCTGATTGGTGTGAAATGGAATCTTTCTATTGTTTCAATTTGTTTCCCTGACTATTGGTGAGATTAAGTCTATTTTAATACATGTCACTATTTTCTTCTGTAAATTGTCTGTTCATATGTTTTGCACAATTCTCTGTTGGATTGTTTGTCTTTTTCTTACTGATTTGTTGAAGTTCTTTATATATTCTAAATACTAATCCTTTGTTGGTAAAATATCTTTTTTCAATCAGTGACTTTTCCATTTCATTTATAAAAGTCTTTGTTAGGCAGAAATTTTAAATTTTAATATATTCTAAAATTTCAAAAATTTCCTATATAGTTTGTAGTTAATGTATTTTGATTAAATGTTTTTTTCTATGCTGAAATATTCTTCTGTATTTCTTCTATTTATTTTTTCTCTAAAAATTTAAAAGTGTTGATTTTTCACATTTGTATCTTTAATCTGCTTGAATTGTGTGTGTGTGTGCCATGTGATGAAAAGGCCTAATTTTACCTTTTTCTTAAGTGGTTAGCCAGTTTTCCCATTACTATTTATAGAATAATTCATTTCTTCATTCATTACTTACAGAAAAATTCATTATACTCATTTGTAATTCCATACCTGTTATATATTGCCTATGTTTATAGGTTTATTTCTGGGCTCTATGTTTTATTCCATGGTGTATTTGCCTATTCTTAGAGCAACATCACACTGTTTTAACTGCAATAGCTTTATAATAATTTGTTTTATCTGGCAAGATAAGTCTCTCAATTTTGGTTCTTTTATTTCAAAGTTGCCTTGGCTGTTCTTAGCCCTCTTTACTTCCGTATTAATTTTAAGATCATTTAATCAAGTCCTGTGAAAAAAATCCTTTGGGATTTAAGTGGGAATTACATTAAATTTGTAGCCATAATTTGGCAGAAATTGCTGTTTTTAAGATATGGAGTCTTTCCATCTGTAGACATGGTATACCACTCTATTATTTAAGTCTTCTTCAATACCCTTCAATATAGTTTTACATTTTTCTTGCTATACTATAAATCTCTTGAGAGTTTTTTGTTAGATTTAATTCTAGAAAACATGATTTCTCATTTTAAAGAAAATATGTCTAATGTTTTACCACTGAGTACAATATTTTCTGCATATTTTTCAAAGATGTCTTTAATCAGGTTAAGGAAGGTCCCGCTTTCCCAAATTCTCTATGAGAATTCTCTTTTTTCTTTTTTTGGCTTTTGTTTTTAACATGAAGCTTTGAATTAAAATATAGATGTAAATTTTATCAAAATGTTTGTATAGTTTTTTTATTTGTTAATTTGATAAATTATGTTAGTCATTTTTCTGAAGTTAAACTCTCCTTGCTTTCTGAGGTGTTACTTGGATAGACAGATAACAGGTAGAGAGATAGCTAGACAGGTGATAGGTAGATACATAGCTAGATAGGTGATAGGTAGATAGATAGCTAGATATGTGATAGAGAGGTAGATAGATAGATGATAGATAGATAAATAGAATCATGAATATATTACCATGTTCAATCTGCAGGCCTCTGTCTCAGAGAGAGGGGAGTTGTAAGGGAAAGGGCACAGTTTTAAAAGACAGGTGCATTTCTAAGGGGGCTGGTGCTCTCTAAACTCAATGGATGTCTAGCGCTGGCTTTCTCTGCTTGGCATTTCAGGGATTTCTCTGAGTCCTGCCCACCCCATGGGGAACTTCAGCTGCAATGCCTCTGGCATGGTGATGTCATGACTCCAGCTAGCCATCTGGCCTTCTCTGCCAGACCCTCTCTGTTTGCTCCCATTCCTCAGAGGGCAGATTCCTTATCCTCTTCCCTCTTGCCCTTTGATAAGCTCATTTGTCCTTTTCCACTGTCAATAAGACAGCACTTTCTCTCTCCTGTCCACTCTCCTGTGAGGCAGGTCCGATCACTGTGATTTACCTTTAGATTTTTCAGGTATGCCATAAAGACTCCCCAGTTCTGAGGAGTCATAAAGCTCCATAAGTGGGCCTCTTCAAGCCCCTCTCACTTGGTTTGAGCACCTACCTATACTCCCATCTTCAAAGGTATCTTTCCTTCTTCCAGGCCTCTCCAATTTGTGTCCTTTCAGCAGCTGGGCCTGGGGATGGTCAGTGCTGGCAGAACTAGTTTTCAAAGCCTTAGCTTGTCCAGTGGAGGCAAGGTGGTTTGGCATCTTGTTTAGGAATGGGAAACATTTGGTAGCTTGTTCTTGGTCTCTAGAGTCTCAGCTAAAGCTAAGGTGGAGATAGTCCCATTTTAATATCCTGTTACACATTTTTCTAGACCATTACTTATTTTGTCTGTTTTCTAATTTATTGGCATACAGTTGTGCATAGTATTCTCCTGGGAGTTAAAAAATATCTACCGTAACTGCAGTTATATTGTCTTTATCATTCTGAATAGATGTGCCTTTTTTTTTTTTTTTTTTTTTTGAGGTGGAGTCTCACTCTGTTGCCCAGGCTGGAGTGCAGTGGCATGATCTCGGCTCACCACAACCTCCGCCTCCCGGGTTCAAGCGATTCTCCTGCCTCAGCCTCCCGAGTAGCTGGGATTACAGGTGTGGGCCACCATGCCCGGCTAATGTTTGTATTTTTAATAGAGATGGGGCTTCACTACGTTGGCCAGGCTGGTCTCGAACTCCTGACCTCATGATCTGCCCGCCTTGGCCTCCCAAAATGCTGGGATTACGGGCGTAAGCCACCATGCCCAGCCATATGGGCCTTTTCTATTTCTTTTTTGATCAAACTTGCCAGGGATTTGATTGTTAGTGTTTTCAGAGAACATTAAAAATTCTCTTTTGTTTCTTTGTATTCTAATTAATTAAATTTTCTTTCTTCTTTTTTACTCTCTGTCAAATAAATCATACATACAAAAGAGTGCATGAAAAGTATGTGTGTGCATGACAAATAATAATAAAATGGACAAGCATGTATCCATGGCTGAGTTTAAGAAATTGAGAGCCAGGATGTTGGAAGCCTCAAATGCATTACCCGTCTCACCCCAGTGCAGCCACTGTCCTGTCTGTTGTGTTAGCCATACCTTTTCTTTTTAGAAACATGTTTCACTTGTGTATGTATTGCTAAACAATAGTCCATTTTAGCATTTTTTAAAAAGAGTCCCAGGTGACCAAAGTGCAATTAATCAAAATCCTTACTTCATGGCATAATCTCATATTTGACCTACAAATGGACCCCCTTCTCTCTCCTCCCTTCCCTTCTTTCTTCTATCCATTTTTGTTCCCTTTCATATTTCTTCTTTTAATGTGATAAATACCTGTGAAGCTGGCATCTAACAAAAGCCAGTCCCTTCATAATAGCACATATTAAACTATAAGATGACTTTCTCAATTTGCGTAACTATCATCCTGAATTCTATGATATATTTTCTCAAAAAGCTTTTTTTTTTTTTTTTCCCCGAGGCAGAGTTGTTCTGTCACCCAGGCTGGAGTGCAGTGGTGTGATCTTAGCTCACTGCAACCTCCGCCTCCCAGGTTCAAGTGATTCTCCTGTCTCAGCCTCCCGAGTAGCTGGGATTAAAGGCACGCACCACCACACCCAGGTAATTTTTGTATTTTTAGTAGAGATGGGGTTTCACCATATTGGGCAGGCTGGTCTCGAACTCCTGACCTCAGGTGATCCACCTGCCTCGGCCTCCCAACGTGCTGGGATTACAAGTGTGAGCCACTGGATCCAGCCACAAAAAGCGTTTTTTCAATTTTAGTTTTTTAAACTTTATTAAGAAGATATGCTCTATGTCATCTTTGGAAATTTCTTTTTTCTTAATATTATCAAAGATATATCCACATTGTCAAGTTTACTATAATTAACTTTTTATTGTAGTAAAATATGCATAACATAAAATTTGCCATTCTGACCATTTTTAAGTGTATAATTATGTGTCATTAAGTACATTCACATTCTTGTGCTACCATCACCACCATCCATTTCAGAACTTATTTCATCTTCTCAAACAGAAACTCCAATCAATGTGTTTTGACTGTCGTACATAGTGAGAACACACCAGTTTATTTATTCTCCTGCTGATGAACAATAATTGGTGTTTCCAGGGTTTCGCTATTGTGAACTGTGCTGCTGTGATTATTCTGGTAATGTCTACTGCTGAACATGTGTTCATTGTTGAGTTTTAGGTATCTAAATGTTCAGCTGTAGGAGATAAAGTCACACGGTTTAAACAAAGTGGTTGTACCAATTGACACTCCCACCTGCACTGTGAAAGAGACACCATGAATCCACATCGTCACCAACACTTGGCTTCAACTGCTTGAAATTCTGCCAAATGCATGTAGAATGGCATCTCTTAGTGGCCTTGACTTGCATTTCTCTGATTCCTAGGGATGTTAAACATCTTTTCATATGTTTATTGGCTTTGTATGTTTTTTCTTCTGCAACTTACTTTTTAATGTCTTTGTCCATTTTTTTCTCTTGCATTGTTTGTGCTTTTCCTAACAAGTTGTGAGTTATTTCTGTGTTGCTCATTCTAATCTTTTGGCATTTTTATGTATCACAAATAGATTTCTCCAGTCTGTAACTTGTATTTTTTATTTTTCAAAGCGTATTTTGATAAATAAAAGTTCTTAACTTTAACATAATTCTCAATCTTTTTAAATAATGTATTTAGATGTCTTGTTTAAGAAATATTTTTCTCATCAATGTTGAAAATATTTATTTATTTATATTTTCCCTTCCCTTCCCTTTCCTTCCTTCCTTCCTTCCTTCCTTCTTTCCTTCTTTCCTTTTTTCTTCTTTTTTTGAGACAGAGTCTTGCTCTGTTGCCCAGGCAAACTCCTGGGCTTAAACAATCCTCCTGCCTCAGCCTCCCAAGCATCTGGGACTACAAGTGTGTACCACCATGCCTGGCTGATTTTTTTTTTATTTTTAGTAGAGACTGGGTCTCGTTATGGTACGTAGGCTGATCTTGATCTCCTGGCCTCAAGTGACCCTCTGGCCTTGGCCTCCAAAAGTTCTAGGATTACAGGCATGATTTCCAATGTCAATGATGCTGTCTTCTGTTGCACCCTGGGATTCCACATGCAAAGTCTCCTAATTTCTTCCCCTTATTGGCAAGGGTCTACTATGGCATATTCCCTCCAGTGGGGCACGAAAGAGCCAGCACTTGCTTCTCCCCTATCCCATTCCCCAGGGGAAAGGGGTCCTAGTCTCATTGGAGCAGGGGCTACAGAAGGGTCCTCAGCAGGCATCCTGGTGAGGAAACAAGGCAGAATCAGCCCCCTGGGCTGCACCCCAGCACTGTGGAGCTCTGGGGCACCTTCCACACAGACTGTAGCACCAAATGGCACCACAGGAGTTGTGCAACACAGCAGCCTTCTTATTGACCTTTAGTTTGGGTGTCTCGTCCTGGTCCCCTTACTCAGCTTGAAATAATATGCAATTGGAATGTCCCTGTTTCTTACAGTAGAATAAATGAGAGAGTGTGAATAACCAGAAACCATCAGATCTCTACTTCCTGCCTGTGCCTTGTGCTGTTGCCTGCTGGGTTTCAAAAGAAGTAAAGCCATGAGCACCTTTGTTCCAACCAAACTCAGAATAGAAAGCAGATTGGCCCCTGGAGTCCTCTCCAGAGAATGCTTATGGCTCCAATAAGCATAGTTGGAGGGCCACCGCAGCAACCCTGCTGCCCCCATGCCCTCTCCCTACCTCCTCATGGCCTTACTAGGAGGACCCCAAGCCCTCTTGTCCTTTCCCCTGCAGATGGTTAACCGAGAAATGGACCTTGACCAAGGCCTTTTCACCTATATGTAACAGGATTCTACTCAAACTGGCTTCAGCAAAAAAGGGGAGTTTATTGGAAAAATAAAGGGGTGGGTTACAGCACACAAGGATTTCACAAGGCCCAGAGCCAAGTGAACCCAGGCAGCCTCTCTCTGTGACTCTGTCTCTGCATTTCTGTTTCTGTCTCTCTGTCTTTGTCTTCCTCTGACTCAGACTTTCTCTCTCTCACATTTGGACCATCTGACCCCATCAGCATGAGGCCCCAGGTGCAGCTTGAATAAATGTTGCTGGTTGCTGGGGGCAGATCCCATCTCAGAGAAGTGTCTCTACATTTTTTCTGCCTTCTGGAGTCCACATTCTAGACCAGAGACAATCGACATGTTTGTACTGCAAACCTGAGGCTGAGGCCATCAAGGAGGGCTGCTTACTCTTGTGGGTAACGGGCAATTCTCTGTGTCCTGCCTGCTAACCCCACCCCTGCCTTTCCTGTGAGAAAGAGGGGGGAGCACATGGGATTAAGATGACATAATTACAGGTCTAACTTGAATCCATTCTGATTTCTACAATTCAACAAGCCACTCCCAGACTTTGACATCTTATCGTCAGTAGCGAATTATTTGCTCCACACTTCACAACTGATCACTACACACCACACCTTGCCTGTGAATTTTCCTTCCATGTGTCTGAAGGTTCAGTATGACTGAAGGATGGGAGGTTGGGTCCCAGCTCTGGCCTATACATATTGAAGCGTTGTATATTTTAAATCACACATGGATGAGCCGTGTGTGCGCGCGCGCGTGTCTGTATGTACGTGTGTGTGTGTGCATGTGGATGTGTGTGTGTGCGTGTGTGTGTGCGTGTGGACGTGTGTGTGTGCATATGCGTGTGTGTGTGCATGTGTCTGTGTGTGCGCATCGCATGTGTGTGTGTTTGCATTGCCAGACTGCCTGGAAGAGTTTTGGTGGATCAGTCCCTTGACCTCTGACAACTTCTCTGGGTGCAGATGGAGGGCAGGTGCCGGGACATTGGAGCAGAAGGAACCAATTATAGTTTTTTTCCCTCCTTCTCCTCCTTCAAGGAAACTCACTTTTAATTTCCTTTGTGATTATCCTGCTTATTGCCAAACATAAGCTGCTGGCCGGCTCCCCTTTGATTCTTTCTTTCAGTAAGTCCCCTGATATGTCCTTTCTGCCCTTCTCCACCTCCTTTCATTTTTTTACGGTTTTATATTTAGTCCCAGACAGTTGAGAAAATATGCAATGCATGCAACCATGCAGGTCTCATCGCTTGTTTGGGGTTGATTTTGGGCACTGGGTCAGCATCCTGCTGTTGAGGCAATGGGACCCCTTGGGATATCAGAGAGTGAGGCCTGAGAATTAACAGGCGCAACGCTCATGTCAAGGTCTGGGGATGGAGCAGACCCTGTGTTTAAAAGTTTGTATCAAAGTATCCTAAGAAGTCCTCTGATCCTTCCATCCCACCTTGCGCATCCTGTTGTAGTGACTGAGACCGTTGTTGATTCATTCAACAAGTACTTCCTGAGCCCTGCAATGTGTCAAACCTGTAGCTGGTGCTGAGTAAATGCCATGGCCCCCATTCTCAAGCAGCCTTCCTCCTTTTTAATTGCAAAGCCTAAAGAGAGGGTTACCCGCACCCTCATTATGACCTGATTAGTTTTCCAGATTTCTGGCTGCTGCTCAGTAGAGCACAGCCTTGGACGGGGGGTGGGTGGGGTAGGCAGGGGCAATAGCAAGTTCTAAGGACCCGGTCAGGGATGAGAGGTCTGGAGCGCATGCATGAAGAAGGGCTGGGAAATCAGGAGGCAGCATGAGAGTGCAAGGCCCCCGGCAGGGTGTGGGGTCCCTGGAGTTAGAGAAAATTGAGGCAGAAAAGGCCTTGGAGATAATTGAGTTGATCTCTTTCATTTTCACCATGAAGACAGCTGGGCTGAGGGCCAGCCCTTCTGGTGAGAGGTGAGAAGCCCTTCCTTGCCCCTGCACTCTGGGTGTTACTTGCTAAAGTCCTTTCCTGTCTCATGTAGCTGGCATCTTCCTTTGTTCACAGACCTCAATTACGTTTAGCCCTACAGCGGGGAGCGTTGTGAGCAGAAAGGTCAGTCACATGGTGCCCCGTCTATGCTGACTTGATGGCCCTGCTGCTCTGTCGGAAAGCTTCCCAGGCTCCTGGGCTCGGAATGAGCTGAGGCATGGAATTCCACCTGGGCTCCAGGTCACTGTGCTCTCATCGCTTAGATGACTCAACCTCTAGGACAAAGGTGGCTCCCATTGCCGTGGGGAGAAGCTTGTTCTTGGGGGGCTTGACCCAGAACCCTTCAGAGCGGAGCCTGGTCTGGAGTGAGAGCTCAGTGCCCCACTGAGCTCACTGGAGCACAATGGGCTATTTTTAGGGCCTGCCTCTCCTGTTGCTGTCAAACACGCTGGCTGACCGTTTGCATCTGACGCTGTGAGCTGGCGGCCTAAGCAGCTTGTCGAGCCCCTGTTGCTTCCCAAAACCCACTGCCCTAGTTCTGCCTGTCATCTTTCTTTTGTTCTGCCTGCTTTGTCATCGGTGCTGGCACTGTTTCTCCGGGAGCTGGAGAGATGAGGTCTCAGCAAATATCATCAAGGTAGCAGCTTCCTATAGCAGTGCATTAATTTCCTGGGGCTGTTGTAACTAAGTACCACTAGCTGGGATGGGTTAAAACAACAGAAATGTATTCTCTCACAGTTCTGAAGGCTGGAAGCCAGAGATGGAGGTGTGGGCAGGGCCATGCTGTCTTGGAAGGATCTAGGGAAGAACCGGTTGCATTCATTCTCATAGCTTCTGGGATTTGCTGGTCATCTGCACTGCTCCTTGGCTTGAGGCCACAGCACTTCCATCTTGGCCTCTGTCCTCACATGGCCATCTTCTGCTAGGGATCTGTGTCTTTCAAGTCTCCTCTTACAAGGACACCAGTCATACTGGATTAAGGACCCACCCTGCTCCAGCATGACCTTATCTTAACTTAACTAATGGCATGTACAAAGGCCCTACTTCTAAATAAGATCACATTCTGGGGTACTGGGGTTAAGGTGTTCAACATATCATTTTGGAGGACACAATTCAACCCGTAACAAGCAGATTCCCACTGAGTGGATGGTGAGAGCATGGGTGGATGTTCCACCCCCAGGGTGTATGAACCCACCTGTTATCCACATTCCCATGGCCAAAACTCACCAAGGGACAGGGGCATCCAGGGTTTGTGGGGCTTCAGGCGCAGGCAGCTTAGGGACTTTCTTTAAGAAAAAGAATACATCCTGGGCATGGTGGCTCACACCTGTAATTCCAGCGCTTTGGGAGGCCGAGGCAGGTGGATCTCTTGAGGCCAGGAGTTCTAGACCAGCCTGACCAACATGGCGAAACCCTGTCTCTACTGAAAATACAAAAATTAGCTGGGTGTGGTGGTGCACACCTGTAATCTCAGCTACTTGGGTGGCTGAGGCAGGAGAATCACTTGAACTCTGGGAGGTGGAGGTTTGCAGTGAGTTGAGATCGTGCCACTGCATTGAAGCCTGGGCAACAGAGTGAGGCTCTGTCTAAAAATAAATAAATAAATAAATAAATAAATAGTCTCAGAGCAAGAGATGCCACTGTCTCAATGATCTCACATGCCTGAAAGGGTGAAGCTATCTATATGTTTGCTGAGACCACTCCTGCTTTTGGAACTTGGATGGGATTGAAAGGAAGCCTGTATACCTGAGTGGCTTCAGCCTGGGAGACATTTATACAATATGACAGACTAGGCTAATTACTAATGATCATGTATGTTCTTTTGATGTAAAGGGCCCACGTTAAAAAACCAAGGGGTGACCTGTGGTGTTATGATGTATACATGTATTGGTTTTTGTCCACGGTTCCTGGCTTGCCGCCCCCAAAGCACTTGTTATAGGCTTAACATTGTGGGCATCAGGCCTCAGGAGCAGGACTCAGGAAGCAGAATCCCTCCGACCTTCTCCTGCCCTCCCTTCGGCAACCCCAAGCCGGGATGCTAATCTTCCCCTGTTTCTCCTGTTACACGGGTCATAAGACTCTCTCCTCCGAGGGTCCTGCTCTGTGCCCTGAGGGAAGGAATGGAGATGTCATGAAGCTTCCATAAAAACCCACAAGACCTGGGTTTGGAGAGCTTCTGGACAGCATGTGGCATTCCACATGGAGGTTCCTGAAGGTGGTGCTCCAGGGAGGGCACAGGCAGCTCTGTGTCCCCATAGCTTGCCCTACGTGTGTCTTTTTTATATTTTTATTTTATTTTATTTTATTTTTTTGGAGATGGAGTCTTGCTCTGTCACCCAGGCTGGAATGCAGTGGCACGATCTCGGCTCACTGCAACCTCTGCCTCCCAGCTTCAAGCGATTCTCCTGCTTCAGCTTCCTGAGTAGCTGGGACTACAGGCGCCCGCCACCACGCCCGGCTAATTTTTTGTATTTTAGTAGAGACGGGGTTTCACCGTGTTGCCCAGGCTGGTCTTGAACACCTGACCCCGTGATCCGCCTGCCTTAGCCTCCCAAAGTGCTGGGATTACAGGCGTGAGCCACAGTGCCCGGCCTCTTTTTTATTTTTTGAGACAGAGTCTGACTCTATCGCCCAGGCTGGAGTGCAATGGCGCCATCTTGGCTCACTGCAACCTCTACCTCTGAAGTTCAAAAGATTGTCCTGCTCAACCTCCTGAGTAGCTGGGATTACGGGCGAGCGCCTGTAACTTTTGTATTTTTAGTAAAGATGGCGTTTCATCATGTTGACCAGGCTGGTCTTGAACTCCTGACCTCATAATCCGCCCATCTTGTCCTCCCAAAGTGTTGGGATTGCAGGCGTGAGCCACTGCATCCAGCCTATGTGTCTCTTCATCCTGTATCCTTTGTAATATCCTTTTTAATAAACTGGCAAATGTAAAAAAGAAAAAAAAAGGAAAAGAACAAAAGAAAAAAATACATAGTTATGAACACAGACTTAGGCATAAAGTGAATGTGCTGGAGCTGCTGCTGCCCCCTGCAGGTCCCTCTACCGGGAAAGGTGATTGGAGTTCTGGGGGGTTTTGGAGGGGACCCTTGGGGCAGTGGCTATTTACTACCTGGTGTGGAAGCATTTTAAGATTTTAATGCTGAATGTGGCTGTACTGACATATGCATGGTAGCTGCACCTCCACGCTGGGTGCTGTGATGAAAGCGCCCTGCACTCAACCAAGGCACCCCCTGTAAGGGCAGCTCCTCCGTGCTTCCCATGCTGGCTTGTCCTCAGCTGAAGGTAGGCCAGAGGCGCTGTGTGGGCCGGGTGTGGTGGCTTCAGCCACCGTGGCAGCTGACGGAGATGGAGGCCGCCTGGGATGGGCCTATGGGTTTTTTATACTAGGGGGAGGTAGGTCTGCAGCAGAATCTCTGAGGAAAAAAAATTTTTTTTCCAGGAAATTAACAGAACAGAACTGTATTGCAAACATGATGAAGGGAGGCAGGAAGCTCTTTGTAAGTCAGAAAGAACCGGGACTTGGATGTATTAGAAGGGAATCCAGGTAGGCTGCTGTTTCCCAGCCTGCCTAGCAGCTAGTAGGGGGCAGGTGAGAGGAGAGAGGTAAAGAGAATGAAAGTCCAGCTTAGACTCATTTGATGTTAGAGTTGGAAGAGTCTCACCTCCACGTGGACAAACTGAGGCCCAGAAAGGCAAAGTGGCTTGCTTCACATCATGTAGCTTCCTATTTTATAGGCTCATTTGGGTTTTATATGTGAGTTCTTCTTTATAAAGTGGTTATGTGGAAGGATTTTTTTTTTTTTTTTGAGACTCTGTTACTCAGGCTGGAGTGCAGTGGTGTGATCACAGCTCACTGCAGCCTCGATCTCCAGGGCTCAAGCAATTCTCCCACATCAGCCCCTGTGAAGGGATTAAAGTAATTAAAAATGGGTACCCTTTGGGGTGATGTAGAAAGGGTGTTGGACTTGCAATTCTCTCACATTCCACTGGCAAGAACGTGGTCACACTCAAGTACAAAGGTGTCTGGGCAATGTAGTCCACAGCTAAGTAGCTGTGTGCCAACTACAATATTATTACTCTAGAGGAGCGAAAAGGATTTTGGTGGACAGCTGGCATTCTCTGCCACAAGCTAGAAAATGTGCACACACACACACAAAATCTTTAGGGTTGTGGTTGCCTTTAAGCTCTTCTAGGTTTGATTTGATTCAATATTAGATCAATAGTGACATACTCCAGGAAACTCAAAAAATACAGTAAGGACAAGAAAGAGGGAAGGATGACTCTTGTGTTTATCAGGCACCTGCTATGCTCAGCCCCATGCCATTGATTGAGCAAATATCTAGGAAAAGGCATCACCCCTCAAGTTTAGTTAGTCCAAAACACACTTGGCAAATAAACAGCCCCTAAATCATGTGTTGAAGACCAGGAATGCTGTAAAGATTCTAGAGAGGAAGGGATCAAGATGGACTGGGATGGTCAGGGAAGGAAGGTGCTCTTGAGTTGGCTCCTGGGACTTAACGAGATGGCGCAGATCAGAGGCAAGTTGTTTCAGTGTGGAATGGGGGTGGAGGAGAGGAATAACATCTATCGGGCACTTGCTGTATGCCATTAACAAGTGGTTTCAATTAATTTTCACAGTAACCCCAGTATCTCCCTTTTATAGATGAAGGATTGAAGTCATGACAGGCTAAGCTCTTGTCCCCACAGCTTGATTGAGGAGCTGAGATTCAAACCCCCGTCTAACCCCAGGGTCCTAGTCCTCACCCCTCCCTTTCCCCACTCCCCCAAACCATTTAGATCCAAATCTCCTGACTGTTTCTTAAATTAATGTTCTGTTAGCATCTTGGGCTCATTGTACATGTTTCTTAGAGGACACAGCTGGGTGACAGGACAAGGCTATGTGTGCTTGTGTGGGTGTCTGTGAAAGAGGAAGACAATTTTAAAATTACTGTTTCATTACATATGTCTCAGCATTGGTTAACTAATTTTTGCCAGGACCATCATTGATCAAGCAAATAAATTCAAAAGCCATTTGAGGGGGGAAGAAAAGAGGAAGACAATTCTGTTGGTTTCTAGCTGTTTGGCTTTGGATAAGCCATTTATCTTTCCTGGGCCTTAATTTTAATCTCTGAACAATCTGTTTCATTGTCCCTGCACAGAGTGTTTGGTGAGGTTTGGATGAGGTCACAGATGACCACATGCCTTGTTCATCACAGGGTGCTGTGTACACTGCCAATGTGCTGGTGGGCCCCAAAGGCCAGTGAGCTGTTGAATATCATTGGAAGGAAAATGGAAAGAACGTAGAAAACATCACCCCCACGCTGTGTAAAACTGGGTGTCCCTCAGGAATGCCTAGTGCAGTTGGTGTCATCATCTCTTAAAAAACACAGGGTACAGATGGCAGGTCGTGGAGGGCAGCTGGATGCATGCTTGGAACCTGGTGCTGCAGAGTGAGGGCCTCCCCAGTACCCAGGACATGAGCTCCTGTGATGTGGCAAGCTCCTTGAAGCATGCTCCTGGCCCTCTACTAGCTCCTGAAATGCTCTGCCTGACCTCCCAGCCTTGAAGCTTTGTGTGGTGGTAAATGTTACAACTAAACGGAAGATCTGCTTTCTACGGGGAGAGACAAGCTGTTGGATTTGTACAGTGCTTAATTATTCAGTCTTTTTGGTGATAAAGGACACAGGGCCCTGAAACTTTCTGCAGAAAATGGGAGCTTATGGTGAGAACTGGCAAGTCCAAAAGCCCAGAGACTGAAACTGCTTTTATTATTATTATTATTATTATTATTATTATATTGTTATTATTTTTTTTTTGGAGACGGAGTTTCACTCTTGTTGCCCAGGCTGGAGTGTAGTGGCACAATCTCGGCTCACTGCAACCTCTGCCTCTCGGATTCAAGTGATTCTCCTGCCTCAGCCTCCCAAGTAGCTGGGATTACAGGCACCCACCACCATGCCCAGCTAATTTTTGTATTTTTAGTAGAGATGGGGTTTCACCACGTTGGTCAGGCTGGTCTTGAACTACTGACCTCAGGAGATCCGCCCGCCTTGGCCTCCCGAAGTGCTGGGATTACAGGCATGAGCCACTGAGCCCGGCCAGAAGCTGCGTTTATGCCCGTAATCCCTTTGTCCCTTGAAATACTCCTGCAAGTGGGCGTTATCATCCCCATTTCACAGTGAAAGAAACTCAGGCATGGCGATGTGAAGCAATTTTCTCAAGGCTAGTTACGTGGTCTAGCACACGGCACCAAATATGTGCTTTTTGAATAATATTATACCTGTTTTTTTTTGTTTGATAGTGATTTTACCATGAGGAAACTGAGTCACAGAGGAATCCTATCCCAACCACCATAGTTCAACTGAATGGGCAGAGTGTGGAGGCTGTTGGTCCTAGCCTGAACTTGAGATGGTCAATGTTAGTCGTAGATCTTGCTTTTCCCTGCACAACCCCCGGTTGCTAAGCCCCATATGACGTAGAAGCCGTCCTGGAATGCCAGACTGATACCCTTGATTGCCGCGGTGATCTTGGTCTCTGGCTGAGACATGTCAGTTTCAGCCTCCATTAGAAGCCTGAGCACCATTGCAGTCCTCCTATTTATACTTAAAACTTGGAGACCCAGGCAGGGTATGTCTCCTTTCCACCACCTTTGAAAGAACTCTGTCCTTAGACTCCTGGTTTTTCACCCTCGCCTGACCCGCTCTGGCTCCAAGGCATCTTGTTAGATTTAATTGGTCAGCAGGCAATATTGATTGCCATGGAGACCTCTGAAATGAAGTTAGGAATCTGTACTCATTTATGTTGGCTGATAAAAGGCCGACATAAATTGTGTGTTTCTCTTTTGTTTCTTGATGTAATAAAATATATATTAAAAAGAGAAAGCATCATGGCCAGTGAGATGAAAGCTTTGTCAGGGTGCCTGGGGCAGGTATGTTACAGGCTTGCCCCAGCCCCAGCCCCCAGCCTTCTTCTCTATTTTTTTTTTTTTTTTTTTTTTTGAGATGGGGGCTCACTCCCACCCAGGCTGGAGTGTAGTGCTCGGTTCACTGCAGCCTCTGCCTCCTGGGCTCAAGCTATCCTCCCACTTCAGCCTCCTGATTAGGCGCACGTCACCACACCAGGGTAACATTTGTATTTTTAGTAGAGACAGAGTTTCGCTATGTTGGCCAGCCTAGTCATAAACTCTTGACCTCAGGTGATCTGCCTGCCTTGGCCTGCCAAAGTGCTGAGATTACAGGAGTGAGACACGGCGCCCGGCCTCTTCTCATCTTTTCTGGTCTTCAGCACAAGTGTTCAAGTCTACCAATCATTCAACAAGTGTTTATTAAATGCTTAGTGGCTAAAGCCTGGGAAACTAAGCCTCCTGAAATGGGTCCTGGCCTCAAGGAGCTGACATTCTGGGTCCTTGAGGAAACAAGGTGCAGAACAATTGACAATCAGGTTAAGTGCTAAGTGGGGTGGAGGGGTTTGGGTGGTGAGGGAGCAGCCTGGCTGTGGCAGATGAGAAAAGGCTTAGCCCAGGGTCTTGAGTACATGAGAGGGGGCTCATAGAATGAGCTTGTATTTTGATCTATTCAATTTTAGTTTTGAATTCCAACTCTATTTCTTGTTAGCTATAAGACCATGAATAAATCACTCAACCTCAACCTCTCTGAGCATTTTGCTTTGTTTTTAATTTGAGACAGGGTCTTTCTCTGTCTTCCCAGCCTGGAGTACAGTGGTGCAATGTTGGCTCACTGCAACCTCCACCTTCTGGGTTCAAGCAATTCTCATGCCTCAGTCTCCCAAGTATCTGGGTTTACAGGTGGACACCACCATGCCTGGCTAATTTTTGTATTTTTAGTAGAGATGGGGTTTCACCATGTTGGACAGGCTCCTGACCTCAAGTGATCCACCCGCCTCGCTCTCCCTCTCAAAATGCTGGGATTACAGGCATGAGCCACCACACCCGGCCTCTGAGTGTTAGTTTTCTCATCTATTTCTATTTAATCTATAATCATGTCTGCCTCTTGGGGTTGTAATGTGAATTTAAGTGAAATCATGAATGTGACATCATTTTGTACACACAAGCTTAAGAAACTTAATAAACAGTTTCTTTCCCATCCTTCCCTGTATCAGTTATGATCAGGCTTTGCTGTGAGTAACAAACCCCAAAATATCAGTGGCTTAAGCAAGATAGACAGAAATGTATTTCTCTCTCACGTGAAAGATGGCAGGTATGTGGTGCAGGACTGGTGCTCTGTGGTGTTAGAAACTCCAGCTCCCTCTAGTTTTTTGTTCTGTGTTCATGGTCTCTATTCCCAAGATTATGTTATAATCCAAGGCGGCACCCCTAGCATCTCTGCATTGCAATTGGTAGAAAGGAGAAAGTTATACCTTTTCCTGTTAAGGATACATTCTGGAAGTTGCACATACTACTTCTATCATAGGGCCTCTTCCAGCCCATTACCTCTTCACAGCAACCCCATTTTCTTCCTTTTAAAGTGAAGGATTGAGGTCAGGACAGGCTAGCTCTTGTCCCCACAGCTTGATTGAGGACCTGAGATTTGAACCCTAGTCTAATCCCAGGGTCCTCACACCCACCTCTCCCCCACTCCCCTCAAGCCATTTAGATCCAAATCTTCTGTTTCTTAAATCAGCTTTCTGTTAGCATCCAGAATATCTTGGGCTCATTGCAGATGTTTCTTAGAGGACACAGTAGGGTGATGGAACAAAGCTATGTGTGCACGTGTGGGTGTCTATGAAAGAGAAAGACAAGCAAGGGAGGCTGGAAAATACAACCTCTTACCCAGGTGGCCCAGCTAAAACATGGGGTGCGGTTACTTTAGAAACAGGGGGAATTGGATATTTCCTTACCACCTTCTCTTTCCTTGACAAAGGCTTTTTGGAGGCAGTAGAACACGAACTGGGGGTTGAAGGATAATAGGATTCAGTTACCACTACTACCACTACTAATGGTGGCTGAATTATTTATATGGGTCTGCATAAAAATTACCCCAAAATGTAGCGGTTTAAAACAGCAATGAACATTTATTATCTCATACAGTTTCTGTGGGTTGGGAATTCAGAGCTCAGGCATGGCTGAGCTGTGTGGTCTGGCTCAGGGTGTCTCATGAGGTTGTAGTGAGGATGTCAGCCAGGGCTGCTGTCTCACAAGGTTCAGCTTGGACTGGGGCATCCTTTTCCAAGATGGATTGTTCACACAGCTCACAAGTTGGCGACAGTCATTGGCAGGAGGCCTCAGTTCCTTCCCACATAGGTCTCTCTGCAGGCTCCTGTGGCAATATCCCTTATGACCTAGTGTCAGGGGTCACACACCATCACTTCCTGCACACTCCATTTGTTAGAAGTGAGGCACCAAGTCTGTCCCACATTTGAGGGTAGAGGAATTAGGCTCTATCTTTTCAAAGGAGCAGTGTCAAAAAAACCACCACAGTGGCTAACATTTTTTGAACATTTACAGTAATGGCTGATATTATGCTAAACATTTTATATGCATTGTCTTAATGATGTCTCACAACAACCCACGAAGTGGGTACTGTTCTTATTTCCTTTATTGCACTGAAGAAACCAAAGCCCAAAGGCAAAAAGCACCTTGCCCAAACCCACTGTTTTGTTAAACAGCCGAGCTGAGATGTGAACACAGGCAGGCTGACTCAGGAACTTAACCACTAGGCCATTGTGGAGCAGGCGGGGAGATGTTGGGGAGAGTCAGAGCTGAGACAGAATGACAGGGCAGATAGAGGCACAGTGAGAAACAGCTAACACTCTGTGCCTCCTAGACAGTGTATCGACTGGGCTGGACTTAATGTGCAGTGGTCTGTCTTCAAAAGTGAGCATGATGAAGAATAAGTGAGAAAAAAAAGGTTATTTTACCAGGCTGGGGTCAGGTTACTGCTTTTCCCTCCTGCTTTTGGCTTTGATTTTGGGCTCTAGAATGTCAGGAAAGCATTTTACAGAAAGCTGTCCTCTACTCTTGTTTTCCTTCCTAGTAACATGGAAATCAACCTAAAAATCAAGTCTTTTATGGGGGAAGCGTTCTTGTTTCAACTTATCTCCATTTTATGGATAGGGAAAGGAGACCAAGAAAGCAAAAGTGGTAACTGCAGTAACTTAGAGGCAGAGCTAAGACTAGAGCCCAAATCCCCTACCCCGCAGCCCTGGAGAATGATGAGCTAGTGAGAAGGAGAGAAGAAGAGCAAAAGGTGGGAGAGAGACCCGGACTCAAAAGTCATCAGTAAGTAAAGTCAGGGGAATCAAAACAATGTAACATTGGTGTATGGGTCAACAAACCGATCCATCAAACAGAACAGAAGGTCCAGAAACAGACTCATACTTATCTAGTTAATTGATTTGTAAAAGTACCAAGATAACCAGTGATAGCCTTTTCAGCAAAAGATGCTGGAATAATTGGATATCCATAGGGGAAAAAAATAAACCTTGACCCCCTACCTCACACCACACACAAAAATGAAGATGGATCATTTGAAGATGGATCAAAAATGAAGATGGAATGTAAAAGCTAAAATGATAATGCCTCTAGAAGGGAACATGGGAAAAAATATCTTCACAACTTTGGGATAGGTAGAGACTACTTAGACAAGACAAAAATGTGCTAACTATAAAATAAAAAAAATATGGACATGTTGGACTCCATCAAAATCAAAGACTCTGCTCTTCAAATGACATTCCTGAGAAAATGAAAAGGCAAGCTACAGGTGGGGAAGGAATATTTATTTACATATATCTGACAAATAATCCATATTTAGAGTCTATAGAAAACAACAATAACTCAATAATAAGGCCAACAATCTTATTAAAAAATGGGCAAAAGTCCTAACAGATACTTCACAAAGGAAGATATATGAATGGCCCTGAAGCATATGAAAAAGTGTGCAACATCATTGCTCATCAGAGAAATGCAAATTAACACCCACTGGAACAGTTAAAATTAATGTGCCCAACAACACCAAGTGTTGCAGAGGATGTGCAGCAACTGAATACTTTGCTGGCATGACAGTAAAATGATATGACTATTTTTGGAAACAGTTGAGCATTTTCTTAGAAATATACACCAACCTCATTGTGATGGTCAATATTTTGTGGCAACTTGACTGGGATCAGGGATGCCCAGATAGCTGATAAAACTATTTCTGGGTGCATCTGTGAGGGTGTTTCTGGAAGAGATTAGCATTTGAGTCAGTGGACTGGGTAAAGAAGATCACCTTCCTCATTGTGGGTGGGCACCATGTAGTTGGCTGAGGGCCTGGATGGAACAAAAAGATGGGGGAAGGGTGAATTCTCTCTTTCTCCTTGAGTAGGGACATCCATCTTCTCCTTTCCTCGGGTATTGAAGCTCCTAGTTCTAAGCCTTTGAAATCTGGGACTTGTACCCATGGGCACCTCTCCCCACCCACTCCCCCTTCCCAGGAATTCAGCCTTGGACTGGGAGTTACACCATTTGCTTTTCTGGTTCTCCAGCTTGCAGAGGCATATCATGGCACATCTCAGCCTCCATAATTGCATGAGCCAGCTCCTCTTGTACATCTACATATAATCCTGGAGAACCCTTACAAATACACCCATGACTCAGCAATTTTACAGCTAGGTATTATTTACCCAAGAGAAAAGAAGCATATGTTTACAAAAAGACTTGTACAGATGTATTCATGATAGCTAAAACTGAGAACAACACAAATTGCCATTAACCAGAGGATGCATTAACAAATTGTGATACATCCATGCAATGGAATATTACTCAGAAACAAAAAGGAATAAACTGATGTATACGGATATATGTAACATGTATGAATCTCATAGAAATTTTGATGAATGAAAAAAGCTAGACACAAATATACTGAATGCTTTCATTTTATGCAGTAGTAGAAAAGCCATAATTAACCTATAGTGATAGAAATCAGACAGTGGTTGCTGAGAGCAGCAATGGGGGTAGGGTGTGACTTTCAAAGGCACAGGAAGAAACTTTTGGGGGTATTAGAATATTCCATGCCTTCACTGGGGTGGTGGTTACATGAGTATGTACATATATCAAAATTCATCAAATTGTACATGTAAAATCTATGCATTTTATTGCATGTAAATTATACCTCGGTAAAAACACATGTCTATAAAGAATTCATTATCAAATGCAACATTCCTCTACATAGGCTGATGTATTGTTGTTGTCATGATTTCAACACAAATCTTGGGTGACATAACTCATTGACTTAGAACAGGCTGTTAAGGGAGCCAGGAGAGATGCTGGTGGGGTCATGAATTTGATCCTAGTGAGTGCAGGCAATTTACATTGCTCGGTCTTGAAGAGCCTTGCATTTAGGTCCAGCCCTAGTCTTGGGTGGTCACCCATGTGCTATGATTTTGTGGTGACCAGAAGTCAACCCATTCCAAATTCCTTTGCATACTGGAGTCTGAAGCCAGTTGGGTGAAGCCCTGCCTTTTCCCTGTCTTCTCTTCATGAAAGGAGTGGCAAGATGCTGAAACCCCACTTGGAGGTATGAGTGACTGTATCAGAAGCTGTCCACCCAGGGCTGGCTACATAATTTGCAGGGCCCACTGCACTATAAACATGCAGGACTCTTGCATGTTTCACAATGAAATAATGAATTTCACGATGGTGTCAGCAGAATATTAAAACAAGCATGAGTCAAGGAAATTGGGTACACTGGGAAAGGGTGAAGACACTCCACCAGTTTCAATGCTATTTTGGGTTGACCTCTGATGTGACCAGGAGGTGGACATAAGCATATGGCACAGGGCGAATCTTCCTTCTACAGACCTCATTCGTGTGCATCCAGACTTCTTTGCATACACTATGCTGGCCCTGTGCTCAGCCCTGGAAATAAGAGAAGCCATGGGTCCTGCTTTCTAGGAACTCATGGTCTCATAGGAGAGGGTCACCCAGGAACATGACAAGCTTCAATATGTGGTAGAGAGCCCTCATTGTCACCAGAGAGGCACAGATGGTGTCATATCCAGATTGGGAGTAGTGGAGGCAGTCAGGGAAGGGCTCCTAGAAGAGGTGGTATTTGATTGGGTCATTTGAAGGTTGATCCAACTGGCTATAAGAAGTGAGGGCGGCCGGGCGCGGTGGCTCACGCCTGTAATCCCAGCACTTTGGGAGGCCGAGGCGGGCGGATCACGAGGTCAGGAGATCGAGACCATCCCGGCTAAAACGGTGAAACCCCGTCTCTACTAAAAATACAAAAAATTAGCCGGGCGTAGTGGCGGGCGCCTGTAGTCCCAGCTACTTGGGAGGCTGAGGCAGGAGAATGGCGTGAACCCGGGAGGCGGAGCTTGCAGTGAGCCGAGATCCCGCCACTGCACTCCAGCCTGGGCGACAGAGCGAGACTCCGTCTCAAAAAAAAAAAAAGAAGTGAGGGCAAGGCATTCCTGGGGGAGAGAGAGACAGAGCAGAGCTGGAGTGATGGGAGAGCCCCAAGTGGGTGTGGGGTGTGGAGGAAATGTTGCTGTAGCTGGGGCGCAGGCAGTGTGTCTGGGAATCAAAGGCTCTGTCTCTCCCTGTGGAAGCAAAGAGAGCCAGACTCCCCTCTACCTGGACCACAGTGATGGGGCTGCAGAAAGAGGCCATGCTTGGTTGGTTGGCTACTCCCACCTGGGATGGGGGGGTGAGGAGACTGATGTGAGAGTGTGGGCACATTTAGATATTATTCATGGAGGCTGTGGGGCTGCTGAATGGTGGAAAGTGGCCAGTGGTAGAGGCACCAGCAGTGGTATTCTGGCTGGACAGTATCTGGACATGCATGACTTTAATCTCTGCCCTTTGCTGGTCAGCCTCCCTGGCCTTCCTACCGATTCTATGAGCTCCCCGGTGTCCTCCTAGTAGATTATTTCTGGCTTAAGTTAGCCATGGTCACTTTCTATTGTTGGCAACCAAGAACCCTGATGCAGGATGGTCAGCTGGGGTCAGATGATGAGAGACTTTAATGTTGGCATGAGGAGGATGGCAGACAATGGGGAGCCATGGGAGGTGCATGAGTGAAGCAGAGCCTTGATCCACAGATCCAGGAAGAGTCACTGTAGAATGAAATGGGGAGGAACAAGACTGTGGGGGGTGGCGGGCAAGCTGAACCAGGGCAGTCACAGTGACAAAGGAGGAAATGACACTGAGATAAGGGGCTCAGGATTGACAGGATTTTGCAATGGGCTGGATGTGGCAGGACAGCAGGGAGAACTTTTTACAGAGAATATACATCATGGCGTGTTTCCTCTCTGGTCTTCTGAATAACCGGCTCATCTGTTTTAACTATGGATTTGGGGGAGGTTATTGGCCAGGGGTCCCCAACCCCTGGGCCACAGACTGGCACAGATCTGTGGCCTGTTAGGAACGAGGCTGCACAGCAGGAGGTGAGTGGCAGGCCAGTGAGCATTACCACCTGTGCTCCACCTCCCGTCAGATCAGCAGCAGCATTAGATTCTCACAGGAGTGTGAACCCTATTGTGAACTGCACGTGCAAGGGATCTAGGTTGTGTGCTCCTTATGCCTGATGATCTGAAGTGGACCAGTTTCATCCTGAAACCATCCCCCACCAACTCCCGTCCGTGGAAAAATTGTCTTCCACGAAACCAGTCCCTGGTGCTAAAAAGGTTGGGGACTGCTGTTCTAGACCAAGGGGTGCTGGCCTGCCTCTCCAGCCTCAGCTGGGAGGTGCCTTCCCCTCAGAGCTGTGCTCTGGAGTGAGCAGGCAGGAGGGCTTAGGAGCGATTAGTTTCTAAGGGGAGGGAAGTGAGTGACCCTTAATTCCTCTTTAATAACATATGTCAGTAGGTAACGTTTTCAATATGTCACTGTGTCTGCAGCTCTGGTCAGCAGGTTGCTATCATTTTTGAGCAATAAACAAAAGACTGCTTTTAATTACTTCTGTGAAATTGCCCGACCCATGCATGATTAAATATTCATAATGTAGAACGAGGCATTTTCTTTGTATATAGATCCATATTAAATTTAGCTGGCAACCCGCTGACCGAACAGCACTAATAAATTTCTGGTAATGGGCCACAGCTTTTCCTGATTGCTCCATCTCTTCCCTCTCAGTCCCTCTCTACATCCCTGTCGCTGTCCTGGCCTGGCTATCTCTGTTCCTTCCTTTTGGAAATTGAAGTGAAACTTGTCCTGGCCTAGCTATCTCTCTTACCTTTTTAGGAAATTGAAGTGAAATGTACACAACATACAATTAACCATTTTAATAGGTACAATTCAGTGGCATTTAGTGAATTTACAATGTTGTGCAACCACTACTTCTTCCTAGGTTCAAAACTTTTTCATCACCCCAGCAGAACACTCCATACCCATTAAGTAACCACTCCTCATTCCTCCTCCTTCCATCCCCTGGCAATCACTAATCTGTTTTCTGTCTCTACAGATTTGCCTATTCAAGATATTTCGTATAAAAGAAAAGAGCAGGGCACGGTGGCTCACACCTGTAATCCCAGCACTTTGGGAGGCTGAGGCAGGTGGAAACCTGAGGCCAGGAGTTCAAGACCAGCCTGGCCAACATGGTGAAACTCCATCTCTACTAAAAATACAAAAAATTAGCCTGGTGTGGTGGTGGGTGCCTGTAATCCCAGCTACCTGGGAGGCTGAGGCACGAGAATTGCTTGAACCTAGGAGGCAGAGGTTGAAGTGAGCTGGGATTGCACCACTGCACTTCAGAGCAAGACTCTGTCTCAATCAAAAAAAAAAAAAAAAAAAAAGAGAATTCATACAATATGGGATCTTTTGTGTCTGGCGTATTTCATGTAGCATAATGTTTTGGGTGTTAATCCATGTTGTAGCATGTATCAGTACTTAATTCCTTCTTATGGCTGAGTAATATTCCATTGTATGGATATACCAATATTTGATTATCCACTCATCAGCTGATGGATCCTTGAATTGTTTTCACCTTTTGGCTATTATGAATTATGCTGCTATGAACATTCGTGTACCAGTTCCTATGTGGACATATGTTTTCGTTTCTCTTGGGTATGTACCCTAGAAGAGGAATTGCTGAGTCATGTGGTAATTCTATGTTTAGCACTTTGAGGAACCACCATACTGTTTTCCACAGCTGCTGTACCATTTTACATTCCCACAAGCAATGTTATGAGGGTTCCTATTTCTCCATACCTTCACCAACGCTTGTTATTTTCCATTTTTAAAACTTGTTGGCTGGGTGTGGTGGCTCACGCTTGTAATTCCAACACTTTGGAAGGCTGAGGTGGGCAGATTACTTGAGCCCAGGAGTTTGAGACCAGCCTAGGGGACATGGCAAAACCCTGTCTTTACAAAAAATAGAAAAATTAGCTGGGTGTGGTGGTGTGCACTTGTAGTCCCAACTACCAGAGAGGAGGAATTGGGAGGATTGTTTGACCCTGAGAGGTTGAGACTACAGTAAGCCATGATTGCACCACTTCATTCCAGCCTGGGTGACAGAGTAAGACACTATCTCAAAAAAAACAAACAAAAAAAAAACGTAGCCATTCTGCTGGGTGTTAACTGGCATTTATTTCATCATGGTTTTGATTTGCATTTCTGTAATAACCAATGATGTTGAAATTTTTTTCTTCGTTTTGTTTTTGGAGACAGAGTCTTGCTCTGTTACCCAGGCTGGAGTACAGTGGTGCGATCTTGGCTCATTGCAACCTCTGCCTCCCAAGTTTAAGTGATTCTCGTGCCTCAGCCTCCCGAGAGGCTGGAATTACAGACAGCGCCAGCATACCTGGCTAATTTTTGTATTTTTAGTAGAGATGGGGTTTCATCATTTTGGCCAGGCTGGTCTTGAACTCCTGACCTCAAGTGATCTGCCCACCTTGGCTTCCCAAAGTGCTGGGATTACAGGTGTGAGCCACCATGTCTGGCCAAGAATTTTTTCAAGCGCTTTTTGGTCACTCATGTATCTTTTTTGGAGAAATGTCTATTTGAATCATTTGCTTTTTAAAAATTGGTTTGTCTTTTCATTGTTGTAAGGGTTCTTTATATATTCTGAATACTAGATCTTTATCAGATATACTATTTGCAACTATTTTCTCCCATTTTTTATATTGCCTTTTCACATTCTTGTTACTGTCTTTTGGTGCACAAAAAATTTAACTTTTATGAAGTCAAATTTACCAGTTTTTATTTTGTTGTTCATGTATTGGGTGTAAAATCTAAGATTCCATTGCCAAATCCAAGGTCATAAAGACTTACCCCTATGTTTCCCCTAATAGTTTTATAAAGCTTTAACTCTTTCATTTAGGTCATTGATCTATTTGAGTTAAATTTTGAGTATGGAGTGAGGTAAGGGTTCAACTTCACTGTTTTGAGTGTGCTATCCAACTGTTCCAGGACCATTTGTTGAAGAGACTCTTTCTTCTTTTGTTAGAGACATTCTTTCCCCATTGAATGGTCTTGGCACCCTTATTGAAAATTCTGTCATCTTTGTCTCATTCAACTTCCCTGTTTCCGTCTTTCTCACTTTTTGTAGACTTATGCTGACATCCACATTCCTTACCTGTTGTCTTGTGGTTGCAGCATTCCCCAGAGAAGGGAAATGATGGAATTTGGGGTAGGCCTGGGGAAGTACTCAGTCAAAGGAGGGATGCTATGGAAGGAGTGAGGCTGTCATCAGTTGCCAGCCAAGTGCTTTGACACACAGTGGCAGAGGGGGCTCAGGGCTGGCAAGGAAGTAAGAGTAGGACTGATCTTTCCTTTTAACACCAGATCAAGGCTATTGTAAATATTTGAGCAATATTTCATTACACTCGGAGTCCACATCTTGATTTTCCATTTCCATTAGACCTTGTGGAAAATTAACTGTATTAAATTAATATATGATTCTAATTTTTTTGAGTTTTTTTTTTCTCATTCCCTCTATTTTCCCTCTCCCTTAACTAACTCATTATTCCATGGTGACCACATAGCATTTTGAGCAGCTGAACTGGAATTCATTTTAATCCACACCAGGTATACTATTTACTAGCTTAGCTAGGGGCAAGGAACACCAGCTTTCTGGGATTCAGTTTTCTCATTTGCAAAATGAGGAATGAATGTGAAAGTATTTTACAAACTGCAGCACAAGGAGTTATTTTTATAATAATTATATTACAAGTAATTTATTATTGTTTTAAAGGCACAGAGGTGGAGAACTCAGAGCTTCAGGAAATCACAGGGACTTTTTTGTCAGTGATCTATAATGCTGCAGAGCAGTGATGTGGATATGACCTGAAGCTGAGACCCTCACCCCATTCAGGCCCTAGCGACTCTGTGCCTGCACAACCTCTGACTTCCTTTATGCTCAAAGGGCTCTCGAGATTATCAAGTTCTACCTGCGTATTTTACAGGGGAGGAAACTAAGGCCCATGGAAGGGATTGTCCAGGGTCCCACAAGCATCAGTGATGAAGCCCATCTTCCCATCCAGAGGCCTGACTCCCAGCTCAGGGCCCCCATCTTCCTCTTTAGACACGCTGTGGCTGCATTGCTTATTCTTAGGCAGCATCACCTTCCTGGGAAGCTGGTATCTCCCAGGGTGCAGAAAAGAGATGGGGCCACTGTAGGTCCAGTGAGCTCAGTAACAGCCCAAAGACTACCCACCCCCTGCCAAACTCCAATTATAGCTGGAGGGGAGTTACTTTAGTGGGAGCATGTTTGGGGCCTAGGGTATGTGTTCTTTTTTCTTGGAGTTTCACAGAGTTTCACTCTGTTGCCTAGGCTGGAATCCAATGGCACGATCTTGGCTCTCTGCAACCTCTGCCTAATGGGTTCAAGAGATTCTCGTGCCTCAGCCACCCGAGTAGCTGGGATTACAGGCATGCATCACCATGCCTGGCTAATTTTTGTATTTTTAGTAGAGACGTGGTTTTGCCATGTTGCCCAGGCTGATCTCGAACTCCTGGCCTCAAGTGATCCGCACACCTCAGCCTCCCAAAGTGCTGGGATTATGGGTGTGAGCCACTGCACCCAGCCAGGTATGTGTTTTTTAATAAAATATTCCAGGCATGACAAACCATGTACCCACCACCAAGCTTAAGAAACAAACAGGAGAAAATGAACTCAGCAAAGTTGCAGTATACAAAATCACAAAAATTAGTCACATTTCTATACACTAATAATAAATAATCTTAAAAAATTTGAGAAATTATGATAGCATAAAAAATACAGTGATGAGCCACATAATGACGTTTTGGTCAATAACAGATTGCATATGTGAAGGTGGTCCCATAAGATGATGACACTGTTACTACAGTAACATGCTGTACAGGTTTGTAGTCTAGTAGCAACAGGCTATACCATATAGCCTATGTGCGTAGTAGACCATACCATCTAGGTTTGTGTAAGTACACTCAATGGTGTTTGCACAATGACAAAATTGCCTAATGACACATTTCTCAGAACATAGCCCCATCATTAAGAGATGTATGTCTGTACTTAGGAGTAAACTTAACCAAGGAAGTGAAAGACTTATACACTAAAAACTCCAAGATGTTGCAGAAAGAAATTAAAGGAGACATAAAGAAATAGAAAGATGTCATGTGTTCATGGACTGGAAGACTTAATGTTGTTAAGATGTCAACACCACCAAAAGTGATCTACAGATTCAATGTAATCCCTACCAAAATTCCAATGACATTTTTTGCAGAAATAGAAAAGTCCATCCTAAAATTCATATGAAATCTCAAAAGACTCCTGATAGCCAAAGCAATCTTAAAAAAGAAGAACATTGCTATCCAAGAAGATGTTAAATATATAATTAAATTAAAAAAAAGAAGAACAAAGGTGGAATTCTCACATTTCCTGATGTAAAAACTTAATACAAAGCTATAGTAACTAAGTCAGTGTGGCACTGGCGAAAAGACAAACATATAGACTATTGGAATAGAAGGGTGAGCCCAGAAACAAACCTTCACATATACAGTCAAATGATTTTTGGCAAGGGTTCCAAAACCATTCCATAGGGGAAGAACAGTCTTTTCAACAAATGGCACTGGGGACACTGGATATCCACCTGCAAAAAAAAGATGACATTGGACCCTTGCCTTACATCATATACAAAAATTAATTCAAAATGGATCAAAGACATAAACGTAAGAGCCAATATAAAACTCTTGGAAGAAAATATAGGGAAAAGCTTCAAGACATTGGATTTGGCAGATTTCTTGGATATGACACCAAAAGCACAGGCAACGAAAGAAAAAAATGATAACGTGAACTTCATCAAACTTAAAAACTTTTCTGCATCAAAGGACACTGTCAACAGAGTGAAAAGGCAACCCACGGAATGGGTTTGCAAATCACATTTCATATCTGCCAATTATATATCTGAGAAGGAACTGATAACTAGAATGGATAAAGAACTCCTGCAACTCAACAATACCAACAACAAAACAGCCCAATTAAAAAGTAGGATGGAGACTTGAATAGATAAATCTCCAAAAAAGGTATACAACTGGCCAATAAACACGTGAAAAGATGCTCAATATTACTAATCATTAGGGAAATGGAAATCAAAACTACAATGAGATAACTTGTCATACCCAATTGGATGGCTACTATAAAAAAACCCCAGGAAATAACAAGTGTTGGTGAGGATGAGGATATGGAGAAATTTGAATCCTCATGTACTGCTGGCAAGAATGTGTAATGGAGCAGCTGCTGTGGGAAACAGTATGATGATTCTTCAAGAAATGAAACATAGAATTATCATATGTTCCTGCAATCCTACTTTGGGTGTAAAACCAAAAGAAGTAAAAGCATGATCTCAAACAGATATTTGTACATCTGTGTTCACAGGAGCACTATTTACAATGTTCCTATGAACCATTTGTTTTTTGTTGTTGTTGTTGTTTTTTGTTTTTTGTTTGTTTTTTGAGATGGAGTCTCGCTCTGTCGCCCAGGCTGGAGTGCAGTGGCGCGATCTTGGCTCACTGCAACCTCTGCCTCCCGGGTTCAAGCGATTCTCCTGCCTCAGCCTCTTGAGTAGCTGGGATTACAGGTGCGTGCCACCACATCCAGCTAATTTTTGTATTTTTACTAGAGACAGGGTTTCACTATGTCAGTCAGGCTGGTCTTGAACTTCTGACCTTGTGATCTGCCTGCCTCAGCTGAACCATTTAGTTTTACAACCAAAATGTGGAAGCAACCCAACTGTCCATTGGATGAGTAAACAAAATATGGTGTATCCATACAATGGAATATTATTCAGCTCTAAAATAGAGGGAAATCCTGACACTTGCTACAACATGGATGAATCTTGAAGACATTATGTTAAGTGAAGTAAGCCAGGCACAAAAGGACAAATACATGATTCCGCCTATGTGATGTACTTAGAACAGTCAAATTCACAGCAGCAGAAAGTAGGATGGTGGTTGCCAGGGGATGGAGGTAGGGGTAATGTGGAATTACTGCTTAGTGGGTAGAGACTTTCTGTTCTACAAGATGAAATGGGTTCTGCAGATGGCTGGTGATGATGGTTGCACAACAATGTGAATATACTTAATTCCACTGAACTGTACACTTAAAAATGGTTAAATAATAAATTTTATGTTATGCATATTTTACCACAATTTAAAAAATGATAAAAGAAAGAAGCAAGGGAGGAGTCCATTCTTGGATCGTGGTGTCCTCTCTACGATATTCTTCAGGAGCTTATGGACATGAGGGTTGGCTATGACAGTAGTGCTTGCTGGGGAAAGTGAGTCTGGAGGCTCCTGCAGAAGGGATCAAAGGCTTTTGAGAAGGTGTTGCCTCCCCTGGCAATCCCAGGGAAATGTAGGGTCTGTTGGGCCTCCCTGGCCCCAACTCTAACCTCTCAGCAGAGTTCTCTAAGGCTTGGCTGGACTGTAATTCCTATTCTTGTGTCCCCACTACAAGCTTTTTGAAGCCTTCCTACCCTCAGAGTATTATAGGAAGATATGTTGAGAGGGTCTCGGTTTCTTGCCACCCACAGCATGCAGACCAGAAGAGCTGAGTAGTGAGAGGAATCAGGGTGGGAGACTCTGTGTGTGTGTGTGTGTGTGTGTGTGTGCGCGCGCGTGACAGAGAGAGAGAGAGAATTCAGAGGGTTTTGGAGACTGTCCCAACTCCTGTGAGCCCATAGAGATTTGTGGATCTTTCTTCTGTCCTATCCTATGGGTTAGGTCTTGAGTGAATTTAAGGGAGGTAGCTGCAGGCCTTGTAAATTTGGAAGTGGTTGGGGAGTGGACACACATCTCTGGATTATTCCTTACCAAGACAGGAAGACAGGGACCACCGCTGTGTTTTCCTATACAGCAGGCACTAGCCACATGTGGCTGTTGAGCACATAGAATATGGCTAGTGAGACTGAGGAACTCAATTTTAAACTTTATCTAGCTTTAATATATGTTTAAAAACTAATAGCCCAGTTACTGGAAAACTTTTAAACACGTTTGAAACAATTTGTCTATGTGAGTTTACTCCCTCATCAAGAAGTATCCTCTTGGTCCAAATACAGATCAAGTATTTCCAGTGAGAATGTAGTGTCTGAATTGAGATGTGCTGAAAGTGTCAAATATACATCAAATTTGGAAGACTCAGTTTGAAAAAGAGTGCAAAATATCTTGATAAGTTTTTATATTGATGACATGTTGACATGATCATGTTTTGAATATATTGGATTAAGCAAACTATTGTCAATATTGATTTCACCCATTAAATTTTTTTTTAAAGGCAACTGGGCTGGGTGCAGTGGCACATGCCTGTAACCCCAGCACTTTGGGAGGCTGAGGTGGGCAGATCACTTGAGCCCAGAGGTTTGAGACCTGCCTGGGAAACATGGCGAAACCCCATCTCTACTAAAAATACAAAAAATTAGCCAGGTGTGGTGTCATGTTCCTGTAGTCCCAGCTATTCAGGAGGCTGAGGTGTGAGAATCACCTGAGCCCAGGAAGTCCAGGCTGCAGTGAGTCATGATTGCTCCATTGCACTCTAGCCTGGGTGAAGGGAGTGAGACCTTATCTCAATAAATAAATAGGCAGCTATTAGAAAACTTAAAATTACATGTGTGGCTCACATTATGTTTCTCTTGGATTATGTTGGACTAGAGCGACCCAGGGAATCTTAGGTTCAGATCAGTTGGGAAACTTGCATAGCTAATAAATGGCAGAACCAAAATTTCAACCTAGTTTTCCAAAGAGGTAGTGCTTTCTTTTTTGGTTAATTGGAAAACAGTGGGTTTGATCTAGGACCTCTAACAAGCCCCATCTGGGAAGGAGGCCGTGGTTCTCACCCTGGGCTCTGTGACCAACGCACTGCTCCAGGAAGGGGAGGCCTGAGAGAGGCTGGTGGGCAGGGCTAGAGCTCCCCCACCCCTTGTCCCTTGCCATACAATCACCAACCAATTCCATCAGAGAGCTGTGCTTTTATTGTTTCTCTTATACACGGGACCTGAGATTTCATTTGAGAATGCAATTTCTACTTAAAAAAGATGGAAAATCATCTGTGAAGAGGGAAGCCTTTAGACTCAAACAGACCATATACTTATGAATTCTTTGTGAGTTCACTACTTGGGGCCTCAGTTTCATCATCTGTAAAATGGGTGTTGGTGATACCTGTCCTGAGAGATTATGATGGTAATGAGATAATGGAGGATCTAATGCACGGCTCATAGCAGGTGTGCAATGAATGCAACTCTTCTCTCTTTTCCCCTCAAGACTGGCCTTGGACTCAGTTCTGACTCGTGTGTGTGTGTGTGTAGGTGGTGAACTTTCCCTAGGAGTTTCTTGCCTCATATTTTCCTTATTCCTGGAATGATTTGCTTTCAGTGGTAGTTTCATATTCATCTATAGACAGGGAAGGACATGGCAGAATGAGATAAAATGGGGGATGAATGCTGCTAAATACTGCCTTTGTGATTGTATTCAATTACATGGGCTTTTTCTTTGCCTGTTTGATGAGAAAGGTGATGAGAAAGGCAGGCCTGCAGGGGGCAGCACATGGCCAGTACTTCACTCATGAGGGACTGGCTCATGGGACTCCTGGCTTTGCAAGAAATCAGAGCCTTCCCAGGCATAGGGGAGCCTTGGAGATTTCTGCAAGGAGCCTCAGTTCTGGTGTTGAGATATTTATTATGCCCTGCAAGTTACTGATGCTGGTGGAATTAGGTCCTTGGGCTTCTTGGTCTCCTGGCCTCTGTGGTCCAGCCAGCCTCTTCCCCTATCCCTCAAGGATTACTTCTACGATCTCCGAACTTCAGGGCTGAGAGGGACTTAAATGGTGATCTAACCCTAACACATCATGTTACCAATACAGGAGGCAACCAACCTTGCAAGGTGGGGATGTGTGTATCTCCCATCTTACAGGAGAGAAAACAGAGGCTCAGTGAGGTTAAATGACTTTCACCAGGTCCCACAAGTAAGAAGTGATAGATTAAAGCTCTTTTGTTTGCAGGCATCAGAAATGTCTAGTCAGTTTAAGCAAAGGAGAGGAACATGGATCCTGGGGGGATTTCACAGAATGGCAAGAAAATCAACTAATTTGGCCTCCATGGGTGGGGCCCGGGGTAGCTCAAGATTGGCAGCAACAGTCTGTGGCTCTTTCTGTCCTGAACCTGCTCTCAGGGATGAGCACTAGCCCCAGTCCAGCCCAGACCCTGTATCTCTCAGGTCTAAAATTCAGGTTGCTGGGATAGAGGTTCTAGATGGACCCCTTGGATCACTCAGCAGTGGTCAGAGGTCAGGGGGTTACTAGCATAGTTATGGAGGATTTGTTTTGAGTCCTGTAGTGAAGCCCTGACAAGAACACCACAGGTGTCAACACCTGGTCGATGTGGGTCTTCCAAGGCTCAGCCGGGGCCTCTGTTCTGTCGCACAGTCACACAGTCTGCTCTCCAGTAGCTGCAGGCTAATCCCAGCTGTAAGGTCAGCCGAGGAAACGGAAGGTGCTGTTTGCATTTTAATAAGGAATCCAAAAGACCAAAGGCCTCTGGGTCCTAAAAGACTGGTTTTCTCAAATGGTGCAAAGTCCAGGTATTGTAACTGATGGGGCACCAGGGGTAAGGAGCCCTCCCTGGTACTTCCCGTCACACCCACACAAGTGTGCCTCCAACTTATAAAGTTCACCTGTTTATCTTGCTGCCGCTTGTTCCCCCAACTCCTTTCCATCTCCCTCTCCAAGGATTCAGTAATATGTTGTCTAGACACTACTGCTGCTGTTTCTCCTCCATTAATCCATTTTAATTGGAAAGTTATCATAATGCAAACTCTCTTTGGTATTATTTGCGGCTCTGCATTATTAGAACCTCACCAACTCGCTTTCCCAGCAAATTAAACTTGCTATGGAAGCAATGAGATCAGCTGCTCATATTAAATCAGGCCGCACGTTGTTAAGTGGGGCTGGGAATGGGGCTTCCTCAGCTGGGTGGGGCGCAATCGCTGGAGGCGTTTACAATGGCACCACTGTTTTTATGCTGGGGATTTGGCCTCTGTGCTCAGTTCTCCTCTTTTTTTGGCACTGTGTATTGGAAATTAGAGATGGAAAGAAAGAGGGGACAAAAAACCCTCTGGTGGTATTTGGCCTCTCACCCCAAACCCAGGGCAAACAGCAATGATCAGAATGCACATGGCCTTAACCCCAGATGAATTACAAAGCATATTCCAGTAGTCCTAAGAGCCTTGTGAAGTAGCGATGATCATCCCCTGTGTATGCAGCTGGAAACTGAAGCTCAGAGAAGGTACTTCTAGGGGCTGCACAGGCAACACATAGTAGACGCGGACTCTAAGCCGAGTCCTCTGAGTCTAAAACCAGACGGCCCGAAGGGATGAAACGCCAACCACAGTGAGCAGACCCTTTTTACAGAGCAGATCCTGGAACGGATTCATTTCTAGCTGATAGTATGGAAAGCAGTTAATAAATGACCAGGTTTCCTATTTGTGGATTATCACCACCTCAGCATCTAATTTTTCCCAGTTACCCACTCAATAGAACAACATGGCTGACACTCCTGCCCACCCACCCAACGGCCATTTCCCCCTACTCCCTTGCTACCCGAAACCTAATTTTGTTAAGTCAGAAATGTGCCCAATCTCAGAGGAAGACTCATGATTGGTCTAAGCCAGCCATGGGCGTCTGTTTCCCTTGTCAGTGATTGGTCTAGAGGTAAGCATGTGACTCATTTCTGGCCAATTACACCTAAGGGAAAGACTGCCGATGACTTCTGGGAAAAACTTTCTCTCCGATGGCGGCAGAGCAGGGAGGAAACTTTTGCTTGAGTTTCTCTCTTCCAGTGTGGGCACTATTTGTTATAGTTAAAAAGTCCCCCAATTCTTTGACCTTGCTTCCAAAGGTGGAGCCCATTTCCCCTCCTGCTGAGCGTGGGCCACACTTAGCGACTGGCTTTCAATGAAGAGAATGTAACAGAGGTGAAAGTGTGTGACATTCGAGGAAAGGCCATAAAAGACATTGGTGCTTCAGCTTTGCTCTCGCGGCTGTCTGACTCTGGGGGAAGCCAGCCACCACGTCATGAGGACACCCAAACAGCCTACGGAGAGGCCCACGTAGGGAGGAGCTGAGGCCCCCTGCCAGCAAGCAGCCCTAGCCCGCCAGCTGTGTGAGTGAGCGAGCCTTTTTGGAAGTGCATCCTCCTGTCCCAGTCCAGCCCTCAGATGGCTGCAGCCCTGCTAGCATCTTGACTGCCGCCTCATGAGGGACCTCAAGCCAGAACCAACAGCCACGTGGTGCCAGAATTCCTCATCTGCAGCAGCCGTGTGAGATCATAACTGTTTATTGCCTTTTTAAGCCACTGAGTTTTGGGGTCGTTTGTTACTCAGCAGTAGATGATTAATATGCTGTCATGCAGCTGTCTTGGAACCAGGAGGGGCAAGACTGAGGGCAGAAGCCACTGTGGTGAAACTGGCGGAGACATGGAATCTGGATTCCTGGTGATGTGAGCTAGTGAGCTGCCCAGCCAACCCTGGGTTGCCTATTTTGGGACTTTTTGTTACATGAGCTGATAAGAACCCTTAATTCATTGTTAGTCTGGGGTTCCATTATTTGTAAACAGCTTTTTACTGCCTCAGCCTTGGGGAGATACGTGATCCTTCCAATCACATTTCATGGCTAGCAGAGGTCACATGGTCTCCACCCACAGTCACATTGGGATGGAGAGGAGGGAGAGAGGGCCCTGCTAAGGGGCTTAAATGCTGCACGTACATTTGCATGTTGAGATTTAATAGAGGCCTTCTGGAGACACAATGCTTCCTCCCAGGGAGGGCCTAATTGCAGAAAGTCGGGCACTGTGATGGGCCTGGGGGCTCTTGTGACCCTGGGTAGGCGATTGTCTGTGTGACAGTTGAAGTGATGGTATGTTAATAGCTTCTCGATGAAAGGCTCAATCTCAAGGGGTTCATGTTTCTCAGCAGCCAAGACAGCGGGTTTCTGCAGCAGGTGGTTCACAAACGGCATCCTATCAGCATGGCCCCAAAGTAACTGAAAGCTGCTCAGACTGTCCCGCCCTCCCCAATGCCCCCCACCTAGGTGAATTCCAAAGGAGGAGGAACCAATGGGTCTGTGATGGATATTACCCTTCCCCATTAACTCTACAAGTTAGTTTTCTTCTTTTCATTTTTTTATTTTTTATTTGTGACAGAGTCTCGCTCTGTCGCCCAGACTGGAGTGCAGTGGTGCGATCTTGGCTGACTGCAACCTCTGCCTTCTGGGTTCAAGCGATTCTCCTGCCTCGGCCTCCCGAGTAGCTGGGATTACAGACGTGCGCCACCATGCCCGGCTAATTTTTGTATTTTTAGTAAACACGGGGTTTTGCCATGTTGGCCAGGCTGGTCTTGAACTCCTGGCCTCATCTGATCCACCTGCCTTGGCCTCCCAAAGTGTTGGGATTACAGGCATGAGCCACTGCACCCAGCCTAATTTTCTTCTTGAAACTGCTCTTTCCTCACCTGCAGCATAGGCACAGTCACACCACAAAGGCAGCAGTGTGGAGTTCCTGGCAGAACTGCCAGAGGTTCAAGGGTTCTCAAGAGGGTATCCCAAGCACACAGATCTAGGGAGGGATCTGTGACATCAAGCCTCTGGGGGAAGGGCCTGGGGTCAGCATTTTCCTATACACTCTCCAGGTTATCCCGACCCACTTTGCATGTTTGAGAGCCACTCAATGATCCTGTCTGTCCCCTAGGACAGCTGTCGCTGTAGGCAGGGCAGTGAGAATGACCCACATGGGGAGCTAAGGAAGCAGAGGCACAGTCCTGCCGGCACCCGAGGACAGGGTCGGGGCTGGAATCTGATTACCTGTCTCTTTTCACTGTCTGTAGTGTTGTTTCTCACCCTCCTAGAAGGGGGCAGGAGAGAAGGGACCCCAGGAAACCCAGGATCAAGGAGGGTTCATAATTGGGGGAAGCAGGAGCCCTCACTCATTCCATTCATGGCTGTCAGCTCCCTGCTGTCCCCTAGCCCATATTCCTGGTTCTGGGAATATAAACAGAAAATGAAAAGCGTTTGTATAACACTTCATATGTACCTGCACAATGCCTTAAGCACTTTACATCTACAAACTCAATGAATGCTCACAATTACCCTATGAGATAGGCACTATTATTATCCCCACTTTACAGATGAGGAAACTGAGGCACACAGTAAACACTGAAAGTCCATCCAGATTCTCAGCCCCTAAAGCTGCTGAGTGGGCATTCCCTTGGGATACTTCCAGTTCAAGCCCTTTATTTTATAGAGAGAAACCGCTCGGTGAGAGAAGGGCCATTCTGAATCATACACGTCCATGGCAGGGCTGGGCCAGGTCCCGGGTTCTGGCCACTGGGCCATGCTGCCTACCTCAGAAAGGGGTGCTTCTGGGCTCTTGCGACCACAGGGCTCATTACCGATGCTGCAAATTGAATGAAATAGCTGCTCAGTTACATATTAATAACAGATTTGTTTGTCATTAAGGCAGCATTGTTTAATAAAATTAGTTTAGCTGAGCGTAATTACCTTCATATAAAATTCCCCCTTAAAAATTACTTTGATAGATGTAAGCCAGTTAGGTGGTGTAAAGACTGGGGTGTGTGGGGTTTGGCTCTGAGCTTTGGTTGGGTCCTTAAAGTGACATTCCCGGGTTGGGAATTCAATTGCCAAAGACCTTGGGTTATCCCTCTGTGGACCACTTGAAGGCCCAGTGGAGAACACGTAACTCAGCCTCTCCAAGGCAAAACTGCAGACAGCCTTGGATGGTCCCTTTTGCTAAACTCAAAATAGTGTTCCTCCTACCGAGGCCCTGCGTTCTCTTGCCACCCTGCCAGCTTTTCACATTCCCTCCTTAACTCTGGGGCTTTCAAGTCATTTCTCTGCTTGTAGACTTTCAACAGCTCCTGATTGCCCATAAGCTATGATTGCGAATCTTGATCTTATTATTCAAGGCCCTGCAAATCTGGCCTCATGGTAATTTAGCGAAAATGATAACCAAATTGGGGATCAGGAGACTGAGGTCTTAGACCGAACTCTGGCCCCAGCTCATGCTGGATGTTCTCAGACAAGCAGCCTTACCTTTTTAGGCTCCCTTTTACTTATCTGTAAAATGGGAAGCATAATATTTTCCTTCCTAGGCGGTAGTGGGGCACTCAGGAGATCATGGCTTTGGTGCTTTATAAATCGCAGACCCCCATCCAGGCCCCACTCCCACTCTCTCCACCTCCTCAGCAGCCGTCTGCATTCTCAGCCTGGCCACTCAGCCTACAGTGACTCGGAATTGACTCTGGGTCCACCTTATTGCTGGGACCACACAGCCCTTTCTGGAACATCTGTCCTGCTCCTTTCTGATTAGTTGGCTTCTTGTTGTTGTTTGAGACAGGGTCTCTGTTGCCAAGGCTGGAGTGCAGTGGCATGATAATAGCTCACTGCAGCCTCGACCTCCCAGGCTTAAGCAATCCTTCTACCTGAGCCTCCCAAGAAGTTAGGGATACAGGCGCATATCACCATGCCCAGCTAATTTAAAAATGTAGAGACTGTATCTCTCTATGTTGTCCAGGCTGGTCTCAAACTCCTGGCCTCAAGCCATCCTGCCTTGGCCTCCCAAAGAGCTGGGATTACAGGTGTGAGCCACTGTGCTTGGCCTTGGCTTGGTTTTGAAGGTCCAATCAATACCTTCTCTCCTGTCAGCCTCCCCTGACTGCTCTTCAGGCTCCGAGCCTTCTCCCTGTCGGTCCCCTGAGCTTGCCTCTGAGAATATGTCCCCAGACAGGGGTGGGGAGGAGTGTATGGAAATCACACCCTACATGGTTAACTTCCAGGACTGTCTTTCTGCTTTTACAATTGGATTCTAGTTTTATGTCATTGTTTCTTTAAACAACTCTCCGTGAAAATCTGCTCTAGAATCAAAAGATGCTTGTGCCTGCCCTGGATGGAATCTCAGAGATTAGCAGGCCCAACCTCCTCTTTTACAGATGGAGAAATGGAGTCACAAAGCCACTGAGTGGCAGTGCCAGGTCTGGATCTCCCATCTCCTCACTTCCAGGCTGGAGCTTATCCCCAGCCTGTGTTTTCCATTGATTTCTGCTTTGCTGCAACCCCCGTTGGCCCTTCCTGAGACTGTTGGTCATTTCCTGAACAATACTCTGTTTTTACCAGATGCCTGAATTTCAGCCCCGAGGAGGTGGTTAAGGGGAGTTATTCAAGCAGAAAAGCTCAGGTTAGATCCATACATCTTTGCTGCACAACTTATAGTCCCAGTCCCCAAATGGCCCTGAAGGAAGCCAGTGGAAGGAAAGAATGCTGAGTAGGGCGTAGTGCTGTATAACTCCAGGGGACGCCATTCACAGACTGCAACACCTCCGGCATTGCACAGTGTACAGCCTGCACAGCTGTACGCTGTGCCCTGGAGCTGAGGATCAGGAAAGACCTAGGCAGGCATGTAGGAAAAGAATCCAGCTTAAACTGCAGGGAGGTGGCTGAGACACAGAAGGAAGTGGGGCAGACACTCAGGTGGCAGAGGACAGCCCCTTGTCATAGAAACCTCTGGATCCATCTGGCTTGTCATGAAGAACAGCTGGGTCTTCAGGCCTCAGTTTTCTCATTTGTAAAATGGTGAAAACAACCTGTACTTCATAAATGCATGTAATAAGAAAATAAATGTCAATGTGCTTCAAAAGTAGAAAGTGAAATCCGAAAGCTGGGGTGATGTTAAAGCAATGACTGGATGTCAGAGCACAGGGTGTCTGGGAATGGGGAGCCTCAAGGAGCCCCTCCCCTCTGTTCCAGCCCGAAGCCCTGGCTGATGGCCTGGGAGGAGAAGACCCCGTTTATGGGTGGAATTCCAGCATCCACCCAGGAAGCCAGAGCTTTGGTGACAGCGGTGTGTTGAGTGTTGTGGGGGTGGCGGGAACACTGGCCTTGCTTCCTCTGCAGAGAGAAGGGAGGACATGCCCCATTTCCCTCAGTTTACCCTGATGCTTTCACATTCCCAAGACTCATACTGCCAGGGTGGCCCCTCCTGAAAGGCTTCATCAGTCACCCAGCCAGTGGGCTTGGGCAGGGGAGGGGGCTCAGAGACAGCAGCACACACAGACTGGAAAGTTCTAAAATGCGCCTCCTGAGCACTGGCCCCCTCCTCGGTCCCCCAGCTCCCTCTAAAGCCCCTTTTGAAGGGGACCTCGGAGCTCTAATGAGTTGAGAGCTTTTATGGGAGCCCAGGCAAACCAATTAGGTTTGCTTAAAAATATTGTATTCATTAGCATGAAAATAAAGCTGAACTTTTTAGAGATAATTGCATCTTTTAAAATGTGGTAGTCTTTGTCTGGGCTTGTCTCATAAATATGCATGCTGCATAATCCTTTTGGAACCATGGTCGCAATCATGAGTAACACACAAATGCATCCAGGGTGTTAATATTCTGACAAGAGTGGGGCCTCTCGGGCAGGGGGTGCCACCGGCGGCGGCCTCCAGAGGCGTCCCTGTAATCCCCAGCTGCAGCCTGCACAGCTCACGGGAACAGAGCCCAGTCCGGGCTCCCTGATACCATAGACCAGGGCTCCAGTTCTAAATCGCTCCCTTTTATGCCGCTGCCTCCAAGGGTGGGCTGGAGGATTCTGAGGCTTTGCTCAAAATGCCAGGAATGGTGGCACAGAGGTCGAGCTCGATTTACAGCTGGGGAAATGGAAGCCCCGGGGGGTTAAGTGGGTTGCCAAGGTCACCCCGCATGGATAGGGCCAAGATGAAGCCCGGTTTGCCATGGCAGACTGATGCTTGTTATCTGAAGTCAGGCAAGGGCCCCTGCCAGGGAAAGGACTGCGTTTACATTTAGCAGGGAAGGGATGCATTCCAGCTTGGTTAGCCTGGGTGGTTGGGGGAAGGGTTGGCATCTCTAGCCCCACCCACTGCCTTTCTATCAGCTAACCTCTAAGCCTCCCCAAATAACATGCCATCTAAGTTTAAGGAGTGAGCTTGCTACATCGGTGCAGCTTCAAGACAAGTCCTCAGTTCCACTTTTCCAACCAATAATGCCCCTCAGCCCTTCTGGGTAGAGATTCCTCAACTACCACTGGTCCCTGTCCTACTGGGCTTCTTTAATTTCCTCCTACCCCACTTCCTCCCAAATGCAAAAGCTTTATAAGATTAATATCCCCCTTCTTGATGGAACACTAGGACTGGCCCCCAGGGAAAACTATGAGCTTAGTGAAGTTTCTTTTCAGCAAACATTTTCTAAGTGCCTGCTCTGTTCAGGGCCCCAGCTAAGCCTTATGGGGCTACAGAGACTGTAAGACCAGGCACCTGCCTGCCCAAGCTCACCATCTATGGGAGGTGGGCACATTTGTCACTACTGCTGATAGAAGGCAGGCTGCTGCTTAGGCCTGAGCCCCGGGCTCCTTCCAAAGGCATGCTGTGGGGGTGTGGGGAGGGAACACATCAGTTGGGTGGGGGAAGGCTGACTGGGGCCAGGGCAGCTGCCTTTTGAAGAATGAGTGGGATTTGGGCAGGCTTTGGGGGACACCTTGAACAGAGGAAGGTGTAGGGTTTGGGGTGTGTTTGACAATATCTGAGCCTAATTTTTCTTTGCCACTTTCTCATCTCCCTCCCGAGACTCATCTGTCCTGTGGCCAGGTTCTTAGCTGTCCCCTGGCTTCTCCTGCCTAATAGCTTCTCAGGCTATGGCCAGACCTGCCAGGACTCCAGAGTTACCTTTCCTTCCAAATAGGAAACTGTCCAAATGTCACCTGTGCCTGATGGGTTGAGAAAGTGTGTCATATTTATTTGTAGCCTATCCACTTCTGTCAAAAAACTTATTACACTGAACCACATGAAACTGCCCATATTCAGCCATTTTGGAATAAAATGGTGATTGTAGCTTCTATGGAATGCTTTTTGTGTTAGGTGCGGTATATGCATTATCTCATTTAATCAACAGGGAAAACCTATGAGGGAGATAGTGTGACTGCCTCTCCCATTGTACAGACTGGAAAACTGAGGCATAAAGAATTTAACTTTCCCTGGTCTTGTGGAGTGAGGCGTCCTGCCTAGGCTGCCTGGGCCACATGGAAGTACAATGAGACAAAAGGCACAGTGGGATGGAACCTCAAAATGCAGAAGAAAGATGAAAATCCGGAGAGGTAGCTTGGAGTAGAAAATTGCATCCAGTGACCGACTGAGGGACATTTTGGTTGCTGAAGGCAAAATATGGTTCTGAGTGTCCTAACAGAGGAGGCAATTGGTGGTGGTGGGCGGGGAGGTGGGGTGGGGGCATGGATCAGGGAGCAGGCTCGTTGTGTTCTCCCTGACTGTAGGGAAGAGCCTGCCTGTGCAGTGGGACTGCTCCCAGGAGAGGTCTTTAAGGTGCCGTTTCCCTAAGAGGCATGATGAATAGCGTAAGGTACACATCATTGGCCCCAGTTTTTAGAGAAAGAGCAGAGGTTATATTGGTGAAGGGCAAACCATAGTGTTAAGGTCGGAGATTGGGGGAAACATTTCTGTTTAGAGGAAGGACACCAAAGGCTTGATCCCCAGAACGCAACTTCCTGGTGATCTGAGTTAACGTAGGGATATAAGCTGGAGGACCGAGGAAAGGCTTGAAGTGGAAAGTACTTGTTCTATTGTCAGATCCGAGTTTCAATCCCTGCTCTGTAACACATTTGGTGGGTGGCCCTAGGCCAGTTAATTATGTCATTTCATACCAAGGTTAAGTGACTCTAGAGCCCTTTTCCTTCCATACTTAAATATTCCAGAAGAATTCATATTGTAATAATAGGACTTTTTTAAACACTGAAATTGATTTCTAATTTGTGAAGTCAGGTCTGGGTTCAGGGAATGAGGTTGGGCACTCCACTGAGCCCTCTGATTACTAATAAGGCTGGTATATCCTGGTCTTACTTGGCTCTTAGGATTCATTATAACTCTGTTAGAAACGAGAGTTATAACTCTATTAGAAACCTCACCCAACCAATGTATCATGAACATCTCTCCTTTCTTCTTTTGTTTTTTGTTTTTTTTTTTTTGAGACGGAGTCTCGCCGTGTCACCCAGGCTGGAGTACAATGGTGTGATCTCGGCTCACTGCAAGCTCCGCCTCCCAGGTTCAAGTGATTCTCCTGCCTCAGTCTCCAGAGCAGCTGGGATTACAGGCGCCCACCACCATGCCTGGCTAATTTTTTTTTTTTTTTTTTTTTTTTTTTTTAGTAGAGATGGGGTTTCACCATGTTGGTCAGGCTTGTCTTGAACTCCTGACCTCAAGTAATCTGCCTGCCTCGGCCTCCCAAAGTGCTGGGATTACAGGCATGAGCCACCGCACCTGGCCATCATGAACGTCTTTCTATGACCATATTTACAACACTGCCTCATGTTTTCTAATGACAACACAGCATTTCATGACGTGGATATATCTGATTTTTTAAAGCAATATATGTATTTTTCTGCATTTAAAAGAATTTTGTACCAACAGTTCTGTAATGATCAACATGGTACATATATAATAATTGAAAATATTGCCACAAATAACATTTTATATGATAGCATTATGTATATATATATTTTATAGTATTTGTAGAATTTAGAAGAATTGGTGCATTAAATTTATGTGCATTTAGCACGTTGATTACTCTAAAAACAAAAAAAAAGGAAAAACTGGTTTATATTTCTAACAACAGTTTTGAGGATATTTATTTCCCCAAATCCTCTACCCAAGGCTATCTACCACGTACCCATTTTTCTGCATGTTGAATCTTCTTATTAATTTCCAGGTACTCTTTGTATATTACAGATATTAACTTTTCATCAGCTATATGTGATGGTACAACTATTTTCTCTGTTCTGTCACTTTATCTTCATTTATAGATTATTTTGCCATGCAAAAACTTTACACTTTTATGCAATTAAATCTGTAATTCTTTTCTTTTATGGCTTCTGGGTTTAATGCCTTGAATAGAAGGCATATTCCTCTCCAAGATTATATATAAAAAAATCTTTCCTCATACTTTTCTTCAGCTTAAAAAAAATCATTGAAAATACTTTTTTTTTTTTTGTGGGGAGGGGGATGAGATGGTGAAAGTAGTGTGTGGTTAGTGTCCTCTTCACCAGATATTTCTGGTTTTCTTCACTTTGTAGCATGTGGTAGGATTCACATCTTGTGCTCCTTGCGGTTGGGTGGGGCCGTGAGACTAGTTCTAGCCAGAGTTGTGAGCACAAGTGATGGGGCTTTTCAAGAACAGGCAGTTGAATGTGGATTCAGGACTTTCTGGTCTGTGTCTAGACCTTCTCTGGCAGTGTTTGAGATGGTGGCTTCTCCGTCAGCCTGGCTCCTGTGTGATTTCAATGACCAATCTCAATGAACATGTATCCTGAGCCAGAAATCAGCTTTCACTGCGGTGAGTCACTGAGACTGGGGGGATGTTTTACCACAGCATAGTGTAGCCTATCTTGGCTGATACCAGAAGGGATCTAACTTTTGCTTTTTCCCATATAGATGGCAGGTTATTGACTTTCCTTTTTTTAAGCAGCCCATCTTTCCCTGCTGATATAAAATGCCATGTTTATCATGTCCCCAGTTCTCATAAATACACAGGAATATATATCTGAACTCTTTATTCCATCAACCAGTTACCTATTCTACTTTAATACTAATTGATGAAGCTTTATGACACATTTTCATATTTAGCAGAGCATGTTTCAAGCTTATCTTGTTTATCCTTATGAACTTACTCTTCAGACAAACTTTAGAACTAGTTTTTCAAGTTTCATAAAACCTCATTAGGATATGGGTGGGAATTACATTGAATTTCTATATTAATTGGAGACTTTCTGTCTTTACATAGCAAATCTTCCTCTTATTTAATTTCATATGTTAATTAATCCTCTTATACTGCTCAGAAAAATTTTTCTGAGCTCCTACTGTACACCAAGCATTTTTCTAGCACCAAGGATAAAAGATACAATCCATGCCACCTGGTGCTCACATCTAGGGGGAGATGGACAAGACCATTGACAGTGGTCCTGAGGGAGGAGGCAGACAGCGCTGTGGGAACCCAATGACAGGATGCAGCAAAGCTCGGTCTGACAGTCTGAAGACAAGTTGCCCAGGTTGACAGGCAGGCAAAGGCCCCTTTGGGCCATACCAAGCAGCTGGAAGTGCGTGACTAAGAATTCCAGGGGGGGACATGGCAGGAGAGGAGGAGGAAGGTAGGGGCCGGTTCATGGACTTGATCTCCAGAACAACAGGGCGCTGCTGAAGGGTTTTAACTGATCCTGACACCATAGCCTTAGTGTAGCATATATCTGGGGTACGATCTGCCAGTTTAACTGGGAAGAAGAACCCTGTAATTACCATATTTAATCAATTAACCAATTTGGAGCATAAACCAAGTCAAAGGATATCAAATCAAATGGTTAAGAAAAAAAGGACTGAAGTCTAGAAACTAACATTTATTGAGTGCCTACTGTGTGCCAAGAATTTTTATAGGGTAGTGTTCATGTTGTCAGTGTATTGTCAGATATTTTTACATAATATAAAACCTCAGAATAACCCCGTTGTGCAGGTATGATTTCTACTTATAGATGAGAGAAATGAGGTTCAGAGGGTTTTAGGTGATTTGCCCCAAGTCCAAAAGCTACTTAGAGGCAGAGCTGGGATTGTGCTGCAGATTTTGTGTTTCCAAATCTGGGAGTCTTTCTGCCTCTCTACAGCTGTGTGTCCTTATAAAAAGGATATAGTTCCCAGCCTGGGGAAGAGAGGGAAGGCTCGTTCTTGGCCAAGTTTCATTTAATTTTCCATCAGTAGGTGTCAACTGTGAACTAGTCAGAAATGCTAAAATAACAGCTTAAAAACATAGGAACAGAAATGGAAATGTAATTTTAGCGTGCTTTACCAGCCCCTCCTGAAGATAAGTGCTGCTTATGGAGTATCTGTTACAGAAATGTAACACTTAAGGACTAAACTCACAGGAGTTGCTGGCGATGTGCAATTTAGCAACTTGGGCTGTTAAAGAAGGGAGGAAAAAAAAAAGAACCAACTCCACAAGCAGAAAATTGAAAACAAAAGGAAATGGAGAAAAAAAGCAACATAGCATTTCTGCCTCTGGTTGTAGTTCCTCCTAATGGCCTGGGAAATAGCTTGTTGGATAAAAAAGGCTTGCCTAGGAGAAACATTAACTCAGAGATGGCGCACTTGATAGAAGGGAGGCTGGATTTAGCCAATCAGGCATCAAGGCCTTTGACTGGTAAATTAGCAAGTACCTTTCAGCCCCTGTGATTAGCCAGGTGTGGAGCCAGGCCCAGTGGGACTCCAGGATGAGGGACAGTGGCTGGCATTCTTCCCTCAAGGGATTTGCTGCTTGAATTGGGGTGCAACATCTCCTGGAAGCGATGAACTGATAATGCAAATACAGGACAAGAAACAGGGACGTGTGCAACAGGGACCTCACACTGCTGCTGACGGAGGGAGGGGTACAGCTCTAGCGTGGGAGGGCGCGGGAAGGTGACTTGGAGAGGGAGCGTGGGGCCACAGCTTAGGAGTGAGGATTGGCATTCCAGTCTCAGCTCTCACCCTAATTTATGGTGTGAATTGGGACAAACCATTTCACCTTTCTGAGTCTCGGGTTCTTCACACGTGGAACAGTGGAAGCTTTATCAGAAGGTTTCTAAGGCCTTTCCAGGCTCTGACACCTATGATTTTATGAATTAGAATTTGCATTAAGGTTCTTCAGTCGCCAGTGACAGAAATCCAGTTGCAACCAGTTTAATTTTAAAAGTGGCATTTATTGGTTTAGGTAATTGTGAAGCCCAGAGGTAATTCTAGGTTCAGGCATGGCTGGGTCCAGGGCCTCCCAAAGGATTCCTTGAGCTGTCTCCCCTGGTTCTGCCTTCTTCTCTCTGTGCTTGCCTATCATTCCATTGTAAAGGGATAATCTTATTTAATAGTTCCAGTGGACTAGCCCCTAGGAGCTCAGCCCCATCCAAACCACAAGGGATAGATTTCTTCCAGAAGAGAAGGCCTCAGGCACCAGCTGAAAGGGGACAGGATTGATTTCAGGCAAAAATGACAGATGCTCTCCATATGGCCCTTGAATATATTTCAGGTCAGATAGAACAAGTAGGGGAGGGGAGGAGCATTCCAAGATCTACAGGATCAGAGTTGTGCCTTAGGCCTGGTCAGAACATTTGTGGGGCCCAGGGTAAGAGTACAAATGGAGGCCACAGACCATATGTCTCAATATTAAAAAGCCGTAACTCACACTAACAATCTGTTAAATAGCATAGGTTTATCTGCTTATCTGGACACATGTGCCTTCATAATGACCTGGAAGGTGGGTTTCAATTTAGAATTTTCAGAATCCTTGGAATTTTGCACCAGCATGAGATGGAGCAGAGAGAGGCTGCAGCGCATCCCTTCTCTTCCCACCCCTGACTGCATCCACACCGTGTGGACACCTCAGCCCACATCCAAGCACTGAACACAGTTCCAGTAAACAGCTGGCCAGGGTGTGCATGGGAACCCTCTGTTCACCCTCAGCAGGGCCAGCCGGGAGGAGGTTGATGAGGGCTCTGGGAGGGGGCTGGGTCCAGCTGAGCAGTGAATCCCAGATACTGGAGCATGGTCTTCGGGTGAGGGGGTCAGTAGACTTTGGGTTTAGCCCTACAGATGCTTGTTGCAAGGTGAGGGGCACGGCTAGAGGGGGGGTCAGAATGGGGCTATTTATAGACTGGGTCCAGAGCAGGAGCCCGCTTGCCTGAGTGAGCATGGCCCAGGTGGTGTCACAAAGAAGAGGGCTGGGAAATAAAACTGAAAAATAACGTTTGGGCTTAAATGAAGGAGAAATTGGACTTTAGGCTATGAGACTGGACTTGTTCCTATGGGCAATGAGAAGCCTTGAGGGGCGGGTCTCAGCAGGTGACTGTACCCATGTCCAGAGTGGCCCCCATGGTCCTGCATTTGGGACTGCTGCCCTCCCTCATGCCCTCTGGTACTTACAGGAGCTCCTTGGAATTAGGGCTTTTTGAGATTTAGCTTTGATGTGAGGGCAAGTCTTTCAGGGGAACCTTTCCCTGGATTCCAACTCCTGCCTCACACTCTTCCTCTCAGAGCCGCTTGGGTTCCCTTCATCACAGAGCATCATATAGTCCTGCAGTGGCTGGCTCAGTGCTGCCTCCCGTGAGCCGATCTCATTCCTCTAGTGTAGGGACTTCTACAATCAGGTCCCCCAAAAGTGTTGTTGGAAGGAAGGGGATTAATGCACGTGATTAACCCAAAGGAGGTGAGGTTAGGAGAAAGCTTTTGTAGACAGTATTTTGCTTACTTAAGCCCTCAGCGATGTCTCTCCTTCAAAAATATACCTAGAACTCGACCCCTTCCACCAGCTCTATGGTGACCGGCCTGGGCCAGCAGCTGCTGTTACTGCTGACCTGGACAACTGCTGGCCTCTCCTTAGTGCTTCCCTCCCCGCAGTCTATTTCCAACCAGCAGCCTGTTAAACGTGAGAGTGCATCATCTGCGACCGCCTTCATCTCACTCAGAGTAAATGCCGAAGTTCTCGCCAAGGTCTGCAAGGAGCTAATGAACAGCCAGATCTCCTGGGGACCTTGAAAAATGCAGATTCCCATTCAGAAGCCCTGGGGTGGGCCTGAGAATGTGCATTTCTAACAAGCCTCCGGGTGCTGTGGGGTTGCGGGGGGTGGGGGCACGCTGTGAGTGGTGAGACGGTGAGACCCTGCAGGATGTTCACTGTCCCCCTCTTCTGACCTTATCTACCACCCTCACCCTCATGGTAGGGTGACCAGCTGTCCCTGTTTGCCTGGGGAGTGTCTTGGTTTTAACACTGAAGGTCCCATATCCCGGGAATCCCCTCAGTCCCAGGCATACTGTTGCTGTCCCCTGCTCTGTGCCTCCGCTCAGCCTCACTTCCTTCAGGTCCTTTCCTGCCTCTCGGGGGGACTTGTATTCACCGCTGCCTCTTGCCCACGCTGATGTTCTCTACTCCTCTGCCCTGCTTAATTTTTCTCCTTAGCAGTTATCACCCACTAGCATACTATCTATTTTATGCATTTATCTTATTTGTTGTCTGTTTCTGTCCACCGGACAGTAAGCTCCACAAGAAGTGGAATATTTTCTCCCCTTTGTCACTGAAGGACTCCGGTGCCTACAACACTGCCAGGCATGTGGTGAAGGCTCAGGAAAGATGGTTGCATGATGAACTGAATGCTCCAAACCAGGGCTTCTCAGACTTCAGTGTGCACCTGGAGACTGTTAAACTGCAGATTCTGATTCAGGGGTCTGGAGTAGGGCCTGAGAATCTGCATTTATTCCACAGATGGAGGCTCTACTTGGTGGTCCGTTTTCTTCTCCTCATTTATCCCCTCCCCTCCCTGGGAAGGAGGCAAGTTTGGACTTGGAGATGGGGCAGGGGCTCCTTAGAAGTGTGAGGAGCAGGTGGGCCATCTAGTCCCTGTGAGGAGGGGCATTCAGCACTGGTGTAGCTGGGTGGACAACCAGCTGGCCCGTCAGACTGACGGACTCAAAGATGAAAATGGCCAGGACCAAACTTTCCCTGTTCTGTGCTGGCTTTCAGAAAGAGCTGCCCCCTCCCACTTTGCTTCATGGTCCCTACAGCTGGTTCCAACAAGCAAAAGATTTCTCTCCAGAGCCGGGCTCTGTTTGGCCTTGCACCTGCTGCCGGCAGCTGTTGCCGGGGCTCCCGTTAATGGCACAAATGGAGCCTCTAATGGATGGGACCTAAGCCCTGGCTGGCAGCGGGGCTGGGAGGATGTGGGCTGTGTAGACGGATGGGAATTCTGCCAATGACTGGGATCCAGGCCGTGCTGTCAGTCAGATGAACGGCCAGACAGTGGCTAGCCAGACCCCTAGACAGCCACACAACCAACTCAGAAGACTTCACCCTTAACAGGCAGCTTTGGGGGACTCGGGGAAGTGTGGACAGGCTCTCAGCCCTCTGGGAGTTCACGTTTTAGTGGAGGTGAGAACACTTTGAGGTAGAAAAGACTTGAAGACGGAGCCAAGGACCCTGGGTAAAAACCTGGGCCCAAGTTGTGTGTGTGGAACCCACCAGAAGAACTGCAGGAATTCTGATAAACTGGAATATGTCTTTTCTCCTAAAGATTTTGATTAACTCTAATAGAGTGTTTTAAATTTAAAACTGAGATGCTGTCTGTCAACAAATAATGTACGTACTCATGAGAAAATTGTGACATGTAAAAGCTTTTTAATTTATGGAAGCAGAATAAAATCATGAGTGGCACTCACTGGCCATTATCTACTATTGCTAAAACTGCTTAAGGATTATAAGGGCTTGCGTTTGCTTGTGTTGCTAATTTTTGGATTTCTAGTTTTTATGTATTTATTTAGAGACAGAGTCTCGCTCTGTCATCCAGGCTGGAGTGCAATGGCATGATCTTGGCTCACTGCAGCCACCACCTCCTGGGTTCAAGCAATTCTGCTACCTCAGCCTTCCAAGTAGCTGGGATTACAGGCATGCGCCACTGTGCCCGGCTAATTTTTGTATTTTTAGTAGAGACAGGGTTTCACCGTGTTGGCCAGGCTGGTCTTGAATTCCTGACCTCAGGTGATCCACCTGCCTCGATCTCTCCAAGTGCTGGGATTACAGGTGTGAGCCACCGTGCCTGGCCTCTAATTTTAAAAAATATCAATATGCTAAAATACTTACCCGCAAGTTAATGACGCTGATGTTGATGCAAGTGCTGGTAATAGTGCCTTTTTTTCTTTTCTTTTTTAATCCTAAATGTGATAGTAAATAGTGACTTTTATTGAGAATATTTTATATGCCCAGCATGTAATCTCAATGCATCCTCATGACACCCTGTGAGATAGTGGTAGCCATTGACCATGGAGCTGCCCACGTGCTATTGGCCCTTCATCTGGTCACTGTGTCCTGATTCCCATAGAGGGGACTCCATCCTGCCCCACTGCCATTCCTTGTGCATCTGAGAGGTGACTCTACCGCAGTGCAGAGGTGTGACATGAACTCAGGCCTGGCCCATCAGAGCATTTCCTTGGCCATTGTGGTTGATTCAGGGATGGCCACGTGACCCAAAGAGAGCCAACGATGCTTGGGAAGGTCTTACTTTCCCCTGAAGGACGTGAAGCTGAGAAGATGTAGGACCAGGAGTTTCTGCCTCCAGCTTATGCCCTCCCGAGGAGAACCTGTCTGCAAGCTGTGGGTAGGGGACGCCTACCCAGGGCAGACAGTAGAGCTGGGCCTGGAGATGGAAAGCAGGGCCTGGCGACATGTGTGCTAGTTTTTGCTTGAACAAGTGTGAGCTATTTGTTTGTTTGTTCCTTGCACCTTGGTGTCTTAGTGATATGAAGGCAAGTACCTTTTATACTCCCACCTGCAGACAAGAAGGCCCTATCTAGAAAGAGGGGATGATAAGAGCTTGAACTGGCATCTACAGGGTGTCTTATCAGATCTGGGCAGAGCGAGAGGGTGGAAGGATGGATGATAATGCAGTTTCTGATGGGATGGCTGGGTGGATGGTGGAGCCCTTCCCTGAGAGAGCCTACGGAAGAAGAGCTGATTTAGAAGGAAGGTAATGAATTCAGTTTGTGCAATACCCAGGTGCGAATGCAGTCTGGAATTCTCGAGATTGGGTTGGAGATGGGGGTTTGGATGCAGAGCAAAACCAGCCAACCAACCAACCAAACAAACAACATCATCCTCAACAACAACAAATCAACCATCCTGAAGAGAGCTGTGTAGTAGGTGGCATTACCCCAGCTGATCCAGGTGTAGGGAAGTGGTCTGTTTCCTTGTGCAAGGGTTCTTTTGGGTCTCAGGTGCAGAGTGTTGAGTTATTTCTCAGGCCGTGACACCCCATAATTACTGGTTCCTATAAGACCCTATATGTTTGTTTACTTATTCCTTTATTCCCCATTGCCCTCTCCCATTCCTATTCCACCCCCATAGATCACTGTTCTAACATGTATTTTGTTTGTAAGTGTTCCTACAAAATGTGTTTTGTTGTTTTACCTGTGCGTATCTTTAATTGATATCAATGGACTGGTGCTATAGAGCTCATTCTGTATTTTATCTTTTTCGCACAGCACCATGTTCTTTATTTTTATTTATTTATTTAAGATGGAATCTCGCTCTGTTGCCAGGCTGGAGTGTAGTGGTGCGATCTCAGCACACTGCAACCTCCGCCTCCTGGGTTCAAGCCATTCTCCTGCCTCAGCCTCCCGAGTAGCTGGGACCACCACGTCCAGCTAAATTTTTTGTATTTTTAGTAGAGACAGGGTTTCACCATGTTGGCCAGGATGGTCTCGATCTCTTGACCTTGTGATCTGCCTGCCTCAGCCTCCCAAAGTGCTGGGATTACAGGCATGAGCCACCGCGCCCAGCTGAGAGCCAGAAGCAAACAGCAAGACTGCCCCGAAATTCCTGACCCATGGAAATGGAGATAATAGATGTTTGTTGTTTTAATCCACTAAATTTTGAGACAGTTTGTTATGCAGTAAGAGATAACTAATATTACGGGGGAGGGAAGTTGCTGGGCCATAGGGTGTGCCTGTACAAGTTTTGATCATGTGTGTGGTTTGGAGAATCAATATGGAAATCTGTAGCAAAGTTGCTTATTTATTTGGCCACTTCTGCATCTGGGTGGTGGGAAGGAGGTGATGGGTTCACCTCTGCATAAAGCCCTAGAAGGGTGTCAGACTCCATTAAATGCTATTGGGAAATGATTGTCTGGGCCAGTAGACAGCATTTCCAGAGAATTCCCAAAGGATTGTCCCATACCCCAAATCCCAGGGAGCTGTCCATTGTGAGTCAGAGTACCCTAGTCCTTGCTGGGGCCAGCAAGAGGCTGGGGCCCCCTGGTGTGAGCTGATTCCTGTCCTCTGGACTGGTAGCATGATATGCTGACATAAGTGCAGTGACATTTGGCCAGGCAATTGAAGAGCTTCAATCTGCAGATAGAAGTGATGGAAATTCATTTTCTCTTATTTTCCTAATCTTTGTCTGTAAAATAGATTCCTGCAGTGTCATTTCTCTGTTCATTCCAATCTTTGTTAAGGAAATGAAGTGCTGGAGTTGGATGTCTGTTCAGAGTGCTTTAGCAATCTCCAGGTACCTGACTACTTTAATGTCCCAGGCCGTTGGAAATTGAGCTGGTCTGGCCAGACATTTTTCCATTTCAAGTTGTGCTTCCTCTACAGGTTTTATTCACAAGGCACAACAGAGTTCCCACTGAAGGCAGAAGAGACAAGAATAGCCAACTCCCATATAATAGCAGTAATATCCTCCCATTGCAACACCCCCTAATGCTCCTCGGATTGTATAGTGCTTTGTGATAACAAAGCTAGTATGGGGCAGGACCAAGAATCTTACCGAAGTGACTTGCCCAAGGTCATCCCGCTAGCAAGTGCAGAGCTGGTATGACATCCCTGGGCTCCTGACCCACAGTGCTCTCTGCACTCTAACCCTGTAGCCAAAAGAGTGTGGACTTTGGGTTTACTGAATATGGGTTCTAACCTGGCTGTGCTTTTTGCCAGCAGTGTGACCTTGAGCAAGGCATTTACCTTGGTAGAACTTCAGTTTCCACATCTGAAAAGTGAAGTGAGAAAGAGGATTTCAAGAAATTCAGGAGAGTGGGAGAAGTAGGTTCAAGGAGTAGGTGGCTTGAGTGGGAGCTATAGAGGCAGGGAGGGGTTGGATCTGCAGGCCTTGTAAGGCACACAGAAGAGTTCGAACTTTATCCTAGGGCAATGGGGAGCCATAGAATACTGGGGAGCCAGGGGGTCAGATTTGACTCAGAAACTCGACATTCACTGCTGTGTGGGAGTTGGCGAGGGATGGCTCAGCCCTGTGCCAGGTCACATGGCTGGGTGAGTGTAGAGCAGGCTAGGTTTCAGCCCCTAGTTTCCCTCTTGAACTGGTGTCCTTGTCCAGTCCAGAAAGTAACCCACACAACTATATGTGACACACCTGCTTCTATTAGAAGCATTTGCTCAGACATCACCTCAAACCAAGGCAGATCTACCCCTAAGAGGGGTTCTGTGCCAGCTGTGAAGGCGCTGACCTTCCTCCACCTTGTCACATGTGTCATCCTCACCTCACCCCTAGGAGATGGAGGGATTATCTCCACTCTGTTCATGAACAGACAGACACAGAAGGTCAAGTCGCAGATCCAAAGCCACAGTAAGGGACCAGGTGGGGACTCTGACTGGTCCCTCTGAACCTCAAGTTTCTGTTCTTTCTCCCATCCTCCTGTGCCCTCCACCCATCCTTCCATCCATGTGCCTCACATATTCCTCAGCACTTCCTCATTGAACATAGAATCATCCTGTGACCCCTCAAACAAATACTTTACATTAATGTGCATAACAGCTTCATTCACAATAGCCAAAGGTGGAAACAGCCCGAGTGTCCGTCGGTGGATGGGTGGGTAAACAAAATATGGTCTATCCATACGAGCGAATATTATTCAATCACAAAAAGGATAAGATAAGTAGTGTTTGATAGCACAACAGGGTGACTACAGTTAACTATAATTAATTGAACATTTAAAAATAAAGGATTCCTTTCAAATGCTGAGAAAAGAAAATATCAAAAAGAAAAAATAACAAAAAGAATATAACTGGATTGTTTGTAACACAAAGAAAGGAGAAATGCTTGAGGTAATGGATACCCCATTTACCCTGATGTGATTATTATCTATATTATCTATAGTCTTCTTTTTTTTTTTTTGAGATGGAGTCTCGCTCTGTTGCCCAGGCTGGAGTGCAGTGGCACGATCTCGGCTCACTGCACCCTCTGACTCCTAGGTTCAAGCGATTCTTCTGCCTCAGCCTCCCAAGTAGCTGGGACTACAGGCATGCACCACTACGCCCAACTAATTTTTGTATTTTTAGTAGAGACGGGGTTTCACCATATTGGCCACGCTGGTCTCGAACTCCTGACCTCGTGATTCACCCGCCTCGGCCTCCCAAAGTGCTGGGATTACAGGTGTGAGCCACTGTGCCCGGCCGACGTGATTATTATCCATTGTATGCCTGTGTCAAAATATCTCATGTACCCCATAAATATATACACCTACTCTATACCTACAAACATAAAAAATAAAATAAATGCAATCCTGACATGCTGCAGCATGGATGAACCTTGAAAACATTATGCTAAGTGACATAAGCTGGGCATAAAAGGAGAAATATTGAATGATTCCACTTATAAGAAGTGCCCAGAATGAAAAACTCATAGAGACAAAAAGTGGAACCAAGCTACTAGTGGCTGGTGGGTTGGGAGGGAATGGGGATGATTACTTCGTAGGTACAGAGTTTCAGCACAGGATGACGGAAACATTCTGAAAATAGATAGTGGTGATGGTTGCACAACATTGTGAATGTACTTACTGCCAACGAATTGTACACTTAAAATGGTTAAAGTGGCAAATTTTATATTATGTATATTTTGCCACAATAAAAGAAATTTAGTTAAAAGATGGGCTTCAGACCACACTGTGTTATGGCTTTCTTTTCAGATAAGAGTCTTCTAACTGGGGCTATGGCCTTCTCCAGAGCAAGACCATCTTGTCTTGTCTTCATCTGTGTGAGTCCTGGTGGCTTTCAAACGAACCTCCTCCCCTAGATTTGTCTTATATTAGGGTGGGGAGTGGTTCACTGGGTGTCAGCTCTGTCCCCCTATTACCCTGGAAACTGAATTTCTTCCTTGTGGTTCAGCAGACCTGGGACAACCAGCTTTGTGGACTGAGTGTAAATAATGCCTCTTCTAGCAATGGTCAAAAGAACAGGGTTTAAGCCCCTACGTGCTCAGATTTCCTAGGAGCCTCGTCTCTCTCTCAGACCCCCTTCTCCCAAATGTCCAGGCATTTCCCAGCTTCACACAAGGTCAGTTTAGTCTGTTCCCAGAGCTGAAACAAAGTGGCAGCTGCCTGAGGCCAGAGGATGCTTCACTGGTCTGGAAGCTGCAGCACCAATGGGACCTGCCAAGTCAGGGACAGCTGGAGTCTAGGGTGGGTGCTCACAAAGATGCCCCGTCACCTGCAGCTGCTGGCCCTGGAGGGTGACATCTCTGATCAGGTCTGGAATGGGTGGACCAGGGACCCTGTGGCTGCCCCCTGCACCAGTACACACTCCAGTGCAGGATTTGGAGATCCTCAGAGGGTGAACACAAGTAATGCCGAGGTCCCACTCTTTTTTTTTTTTTTTTTTTTTGAGACAGAGTCTTGCTCTGTCGCCCAGGCTGGAGTGCAGTGGTGCCATCTTGGCTCACTGCAAACTCCACCTCCCGGGTTCACGCCATTCTCCTGCCTCAGCCTCCCGAATAGCTGGGACTACAGGCGCCCACCACCACACCCAGCTAATTTATTTATTTATTTATTTTTTGTATTTTTAGTAGAGACGGGGTTTCACCGTGTTAGCCAGGATGGTCTTGATCTCCTGACCTCATGATCTGCCTGCCTCAGCCTCCTAAAGTGCTGGGATTACAGGCGTGAGCCACCACGCCCGGCCCAAGATCCCACTCTTAATGCCCCACCTGGCCAAGGATTTCTAAGTGCCAATTGGTGGGTAAACTGTTCAAGGCAAATTTGTTTGAAAGAGAGGGGGAAAAGGATTTTTTGGCTCTCACCAGTAGCTAATTCAAGGGCTCGTTTCCACATGGTGGAACCAGGGGTCAAGTGAAGTCATCAGATTCTATCTTTCTCCTCTTGGCTTTTGTGGTCTCCTGTTGGCTTTATCCTTCATACCGGTCTTTTCCATGGAGGAGGCAACATGGTGACTGGTGGTTTCAGACTCATATTGTCTCAATTCAGCAATAACAATTGAGGTCATTTTCCCTGTTACCTCTGACAGAAAAGTCCCAGGGCAGCCTCTTACTGCCTCACCAGGATCACCCATGCCTCCCTGAATTAATCATTGTAGTTTCCTTCAGAGAGTACTCTGATTGGTTGGACCTGGCACTGGATCTTTACCAAGGCAAGGTGGGGTTGCATGATTGACAGGTCCCTCAGGACCACCAGGAATGGGGGAGCTGTGTCAAAGGAAAAGTGGTTGCATTACCAGAGGAGGGAGTCTTTGGTGGGCCCCAAAGACTTTGGGAACCTGAATCTATAACAAGCACCCAAGGGCTGAGCTCCCAGTGGGGCTCTTTTGTGTAGATGCATTCTGAGGGCTCCTTTCCCAGAGTGTGGGGCTCTCCCAGAAGAGCCAGCTTGGGCCAGGTTCTGGGGTCCACAGACACACTAACCCAGAGCTCCCATTTCTCTTGAGACCACTTTGTTTTTGTTCCAGCACTCAAGAAGCCCTTCCTTCTCTGGCTGTCAAGTCTGGACTCATCTCTTGTCTTACACACGGACAGTTGTTTTAAGGAAAAGCCCCTGGTTGGACTTGCAGATTGGGCACAGCCCTGGACGTATACTACAGGTGCTCATCAAGGCTTGCCTCATCTGTTTACCCTCCAGGTCATGCCCCTTTCTACCTCTACACCCTGTTGCATTGCGGGCATGGCCTCCGGAAAAGTCAAGCATGGCGAAAGGAAGCGTGGCCCAGAGCTGGCACGCCACAGGCAAGTGCGTGCATGAGTGAGTGAGTGAATGATTGCTTGGGTGGATGGCCGACAGTGCTCAACTTCAGAAGGAGATGAAAAAATAAGACACTATCCCCAACAGGGTTTGGCAAAAGGCGTTTCTGGCCAACTCAAGCCTGGGATCTATCACATCCCAAATCAATTTTCAGACTTAGAACAAAAATGCATATCTATCCCCCTCCCGTTCCCTCTGCCTCCCCTCCCAAAAGAACGCGTCTGCGGGGACAGATGGCCCTGTGTCAGCGTCCCTGTGTGATATTGATGTGAACAGCGAGGGAAGGCGACGTGTCTCATGGCTGTAAAAATAGACGTGCATTAGGAATGCATGAAGTCAGACTCCTCCTCCGGCCACACCAGGCGTGCTATTCTAAATCCAGCGCTCATGGGCTTGGTATCCAACCACCCGGCAAGGCAAAGCAGTGGTCTGGAACTTGACATTTAAAGGGTTTGAAAGAAATAGAAAGAGGCACCGAGATTTCTTTTTTTAAGTCAGTCTGGCTATTTCTGAATGGGGCATGCCAATGAAGCTGGAGACCAAATCCACTGCATTTTTGAACCATAGCATCTGAGAGATGGAGGGGGCTGTAGGAGCTGTTCGGTCTGGTCTCCCTCCCAATGCAGGGATTCCTTCCACAGAGCCTCTGATGGTTGTCTAGTTTCTGCTTGGATACCTCGAGTGATGGGGTACTCTTTACCTCGAGGGGCACAGTTTCATTGTTGGATGTTGTTGGATGCCTCTGGCTGCTACCGCAAAGTGCTTTTAGGAAAAGATTGAGTTGATATCTAATCTCTCTGAAATGTTCCTCCACTGACCCTGGGGTTTAGGACCATTTTATGCTCTTGAAATTTATATCCACTGCTATTTGCTGGGCTCCTTCTATGTGCTCAGCCCTGCATAAGGAGCTATGGAGGATGAAAGAGAAAACATCATTTCCAAAAGCCAGCTAACACCGATCTGGGGAGATAATGAACATGTGCAGAGTAATGAGATAGGGCATGGCGACAGGAACTTATTAAATTTGACATCGTGTGATACTGCCTGTTTCCTTCCCAAAGTCAGTGGCAATTTTTGCCACCCCCATATTGGTTAATGGGAACTGTATTTTAGCAATGGCTCTGGCTGTGGGCTTGGAAAGACCTTGGTTTATTCTTACTTGCTCCAGACCCAGCCAGCCCCTCACTGCATCCTGTAGAGTGATCACTCACAAGCATCTCTCAGTGTCTCTCTCCTCCTGAGAACGCTATCATCACCGTCCCCAGCTTGGGGTCCCGGGCTCCCTTGTAGCTTGCCACTATATTGCTCCCTTTGGGCTCTGCGTTCTACTCAGCACTCCCCTTGAGCTAGCTCTAGCCGTACACTTGCACCCACAGATGACTTCTGCTTCCTCCAGTGCCTCTCCTTCTTTCCAAATGTCCAAGTTCCATTGCGTCTTTGAAGCCAGTGGCAGTTTGCCTTCTCTGTGTTCTCTGCATCTAGGTGTAAACAATTTGCCTGTTTCCCAATGGCTGCAGTTTTCTCTATAGCAAAACTACTGGCCACCCCTTGAACCCTGTCTCTTGGCTTTTAAAACTCACAGCCCCATATGACAGAAAAAAAATAATGGGTTTGGTGTCACAAGACTTGGGTTCAAATCACGACTCTGCCACTTACTAGCTGTGCTCTCGGGCACATCACAGACTCTCACTGGTCCTCAGTATTCGCACTTGCATTGTGGGATGAATTCCACCCACCTCTTTGGGTTGCTGATTAATCAAGACAATGAATGTAGCAAGTCTTTACCAAATACACACTGCCTTACAGGTAGTGGTTATTATCATTGTCCTGCCTTCTTTTAAAAGAGAAGGAAACTGGGCTTAGGCCCTTTTTATGTCCTTGGAATGTGTATCAGCAAGTATTTTTGGGGCACTGGCTGTTTGTATAGCCTTGTGTGATGACCTTAGTGGGTTAAAAGCAAAGGCATGGTTTCCAGCCAGGGAGCTCACACTCTGGAGAGGTAATGAACACATGTGGAGAAATGAGCCTGTGGGATTGGACAGGGTATTATTAAACTTGACATTGTGTGATGCTGCCTGAAAGTAGCATAGGGTTCTGAGAGGGGGTTGCGGACAGCAAGGGTGACTGGGGTGGGCTTCCTGGAAGAGGTATCCTGGAGTCAGAGCATAAAGGGTGGGTGGGTAACCTCTGGGAAGGTGGAGAGGAAGTAGGAGGGCAGTCGGCAGGGTGATTTCTCTGAAGAATGCAGCCCACCCTGGCTGCAGTTGGATGAGAGAGAGGGACTCCTTTTCAGTCAGGTGCTGTGCTGGGCGCTTATTTGCATCTCACAACTCTGGATTCAAACCTGGAGAGCTGCTTATAGACAGTTCCTCATTTGCAGATGAGAAAACTGCAGCTAAGGGAGCTTTAGTGACTTGTCCAAGGCCCCACACCTAAGAGGGGATGGAGTGAAGGTTTTCCATCAGGTGAGCAGCAACTCAGAAAGTCTGTTAGACCCTTGTAAGCGGAAAGGCCAACTCTCAGCCCCTGTCCCCAGTCAGCCTTGAAACCACCTTTGCAAACATTACGACAATGAGAAAAATCTGACATGGGAAAATTATGACAGTGAAAGAAATCTGACTTAACTAACACCATCTTGCTTTTAACCTCCAAGCTGCCCTCGTTCATTCCTGGGCATAGGCTGGGTAAAGTATAGAAAGAATTTAGATTGTAGTTTAACTTTGAAACAAAGATGATAACAGCCTGTTCCTGAAATAAACCTCCTCCTTGCCTGGGAACCAGATCGCCTGTGTAAAACTAACAAATGAGCCGCAAGATTAGAAATTACAGCTCAGAAGTCATGCAGCCAGAGGCCACAAGATTCCTAACCTCCCCACTTGCTCCTATGGATAACATCACTACTGTAAAACCTGAGATTGATGTTCTAGATATTTTTCAAACCCTGCCTTCTAATGAACCAGCTGGCACCACCCAGGTCGGTAAACTGGCTCAACTAGTTCTGTGATCCCACTCAGGAACTGAAAGCAGCAGGAAGAACTTGCTTCAACCCTCTCTGATTTTATCCCGACCCAACCAATCATTGTTCCATACTTCCTGGCTCTCTGCCCCCCAGATTATCCTTAAAAAACCCTAGTTTCTGAATTTTCAGGGAGGCTGATCAAAGTAATAAAACTCCAGTCTCCTGTTTAGCTGGCCCTGTGTTTATTAAATTCTTTCTCTATTGCAATAACACTGTCTCAGTAAATTGGCTGTATTTTGTGCCATGGTCAAGAAAAAGCCATTGGGCCATTGCAGCCTTGTGACTGTATCTGCCTCAGACCCGACTGACCCCAGCAGAGCAGGGAAACTGACCCATCAGCATCAATCTACAGAGTGACCAGTAACTTAGTGTGTGGCTTGGTATGAGAAGATGGGCCAAGCAGATTCAGGCTCTTGGGAATTGGAATTAAGAAACCCAGGGAGAATAAGGCAGGTAGAATCAGAGACAGATTCTGAAATGATATCTATGGGTAGAGGCAAGGCTGCAGTTGGCCTTTTGCAGGCTAAAGCTGGGAGACCACAGAAATCATAAAGAAGCAGGAAGTGGCTCTCAGGCCTTGAGAAGGCAAGTGGGGAAGCACTGGTGCTGAGAGATCCGGTACAATATGCGGAGAGGCTACGAAGGAGAATGGCCATGCAGCCATGCGAACAGACTGGGTTCTTGGGGTCCCTCCGACCACATCCAGTTATGATCTCCATCCACAAATGAGCTCCCTCCCATTTCCCCCCACCTTTCTTGATGGGGAAAGGTTTATGGTTCCAAGTGCCTAACCATAAACCCTCTCGCCCCTCTGTTCTGTCTCAGGAAGAGGGCTGGAGACACACTTGCTGTTCTTTTGGGAAAAGAGGCATGGTAGTCAAACAATAGGATTGAGGAGCATTTGCAGAGTCAGCTGTCTTCTCCAGCCACAGCACGCATGTTCCACCCTAGCTGGGGCAGAACTGTGGGCTGGCCTGGCTGTGAGCCTTGTGGGACTACGAGAAGCCTCCAGCTTAGGACTCAGAGTCTCAGATGCCCCAGGAGAGAGGAGGAGACTGGAGAGGCCAGCACGCACAGTGACTTAATCCAAGAAGGTGACTTTAAGGGGTGCGGGGGTAGAAATGAGCCAAAGGGCCCAGGTGGTAGAGAGGAGGTACAGGCCATTGAGGGCCCTTGGGCACAGAGCATCCCAGCTCTGCCTGTCACTCACCTTTGCTAAGGCAGGACCCCACATTTGGTTTTGGTTTCTTATGAAGTGGGAGTGGATCCCAAGGGCTGAGGCTAGCATCCCCTGGCCCAACCAAGAGTATGTGTGGGGAAGTGGGGATCAGAAAGGAGTCAGAGTAGGGATCAGAACAAGTCAGGATGCCATTCTCCTAACCCCAGCAAGTCAATTTAGCCCCCACAGGCTCATCCATTTCCTGTCACACATTTAACACTTACATTAAACACACCTTCCTTCTCTTTCTGCGGAAGTTTGTTAGTGGCAAGAGCGTGGGTTTGAGGCCAGGCCTGTGCTGACTTCCAGCCTGGCCACTTTGTTGCAGGAGGACCTAGGGAAAGTGTTGTCAGTGTCCTTATCTATAAAACAAGATTATCACACATCACTTAGGAGTGTGAGAGGACTAAAGGAGATAATGCACGCCTGGCACACAGTAGAAGCTCAGCCAATGGAAGCTGAGCCAGGAGCAAAGCCACCTCCCTTCCCTCCTTCTTTCTCTAGCTTTAGTCCTGAGTTTGGAAGGGTCTGTTTGAGGAGATGAAGTAGAGCCGCCGTTGGCTTTTACACCATCCTTGATGAGAAGCCAGTGATGAGGAGCTGACTTCACCTGGGAGAGCCCCAGACAGGGCCCCTCTATCCTTATTATTCTATGCCCCAGGTCATCTGACCACCTGGACCTTCCCACCAAGGTGAAAAAACCTGAGGGATTTTTCACCCAACACCTGTAGAAGGTTTTGTTTGTTTGCTTGTTTAAATTACAGACTTTACAGACAGACTTTACAGTTCTGGAACCATTGACTCAAAAGAGTCCCAGGGGCTGGAAATGAATCAATTCTGCCTTCACCTGCCTCTTCTTCCTTCTCTTCCTCATTTTAAGAGAAAGGCTCTTTATTGGTGGCAGTTCATATAGGTCAGTGACCCGGGCTCCTAGCCTCCCTGTGTAGTGGACTCTGCCTCCAGTGCTTGAGCTGAGAGTTTTCACGTGAGAAGCAGTGGCTGGAAGTTGTACTCCTAGGAGCTATGAGCGGCAGGTAGGCAGAGTCGTAGATTCATCCTACAGGTCAGAAAGCAGCCTGGGGAGTTCAAAGGGGAGGGGCAGGGTGCTTGCTGGTGCTAACTGGATTTGATATCCTGAGGAAAGTTATATTTTGGATCCAGCATTCTCTGATTTGTCCTCCTCTAGCTTCCCCAAGAGTCATACAAATATTGGGGGATTCACAAGCATTGTCCCCCACTGGTGAACACCAGGAACAAGTGGGCAGTGGGGGCTGCAGAGTGTTTCTAGAGAAAGGGCTTAGGGGTGGCCCCTGCCTGGGTGGCACAGTGAGCACACTGTACTCCTAGGTAGATCGGATATTGACTTGGAGAGGTCTTGGAGAAAGGCTGATGAAGGTGATCGACAGCCTAAATCTCTGAAGCCGTCTCCTGATGCAACCTCTGACCCAACAATCTCTGGGTCTTGCTGTTATCAGCTCCATCAGTTTTACTGGGTGAGTAATTCATTTACCTGCTGTTATTGCCAGGGTGTCATCCTTTTCCTAGTTCCTGGTGGAATTGGAGATATGCTATCGGGAGTCCTTTTAGAAAGTGCCTTGTCTCCTATCCCATCTTTATAGCCCTGCATCTCACATCTCCAGCGACCTTGGCCTGCAGCCTGTTAAGGGGATTGGTGCTGAAGGCTGCTAAGCTCACCTTGAGAGCCCGTGATAGCAAAGGCTGGGGTGATGCTCACAGCCTCCTTTGTTCTTTTATTTGCCCAGCCCTGAGCAAACAAGCCTCAATAAACTAAATGGCATTTGGATATTGAAAATGCAAAGAGAAAGTGTCTGGAAGAACAATAAAGGAGTTAGAGCAGAGGTTGCGTGCAGGAGGAGATTACATTGTCTAATTCCCCTCAAAGGCACCATGGTTTTCCAAACAAGAAGTGTTTATCTGAAGCCTGGGTGAGAGCCCAATCGGAGTTTTGCTCTAACAACATCAACCTTATTTGACTGGATGCTGACTCAGAAGCTGTGATTTTGTAGGCAGGACCTGTGCTCACATCTTAGCTAGGCCCCAGGAATGATACAAAATGATGCCAGGTCGCAGAAGCCCTTGGCCTCAATGGGGAGGAAAAATGGATAAGAACAAAGCAACTGGGGGACCATAAAGGCCTGAACCAAGAGGCAATGGCTCTTCCAGGAAGCTTCTGGCCTCTCCTGGAAATCAATTACTTCTTTCTTCCCTGTGAATCCACAGCACTTGGCTAGCGCTTCCATAATTGCACAGAATTAAGTTTCTATCTTTGCATAGTAAATTATTTATATTTTTGTCTCTCTCTTTAGACCAGAGGGTCTGCAAACCATGGCCCAAGTAGCTTTTGTAAATAAAGTTTTATTGGAACATGGCCACTCATTTGTTGATACGTTGTCCGTGGCTGCGTTTGTACTTGAAGGGCCGAGTCGGGTTATTATTGCAACAGAGATGGTCTGCAAAACTGAAGTATTTACCATCTGGTCCTTTACAGAAAAGGTTCGCGGACCTCTGATTAGACCATGGGCTGGTGGAGAGCAGGGACTGGGTCTTACTCATATTTCAATCCCTAGGCACAGTGCTGCGCACAAGATGGACTTCCATAAATGCTTAATTAAGGAAAGAAGTGTCCAAGCTGGAGAGAATGAAGAGCATCAAGGGGAAACAGTTAAATTACTTAAGAGCAAGAGCCAGTTTTCCTAAGACTTTAAAAGCCTTCATTTACATATACAGAGTTGATAAGCTAATTACACAACAATCTTGTCCTAACCGTTAAATCAGCCCCCTAAGGTCTTGTTAGATAACACCTTGTTAACCTAGTTCAAGGAAACCTGCTGTTTCTCGAAAATAATAAAAGCTCAATTTCTGCAATCCAAACTCGACTCCCCCAACCACTCCAATCTCTCTTTAGTCTGAATTAGATATTAAATCGACATTTCCACTGAATTGGAAACGACCATGAAAATAATCAGTATTGCTCTATAAGTATGGCATTTCTCGAACTGTAGAGGCTGGCTGAGTGCAGCCCTATTTTATCCATCCTGCACTGTAGGCCTAGTCCTCAGGGCCCACATGCTTTCCCAGGACCTAAGAAAATGATCGTGACATGGAAATTTAAAAAGTGTTGCCTCCAAAATTAACATTCCTTGCAACTGAGCAAAACCAATATGAAAAAATGTTTAATTATGAGTCTACTAAGCAAATGACATTATACCAGCTCCAACTCAACTCCTACAGTTATTTATAAATTAGATGAAATGCGAGATGTGGGTGCATGTTAAGATGTTAGTTATGATGTAAGGGTGGTGCCTCCAGATGTGAAAATGGATGCAGAGGAGGATGTGCGTTTTGGGGGTCCCAAAGCTCACACAATTTTAGGACCTTTCTTTAAGAAAATGGATGCAGCACTTGAACCCGGGAGGTGGAGGTAGCAGTGAGCTGAAATTGTGCCACTGCACTCCAGTCTGAGCGACAGAGTGAGACTCCCTCTCAAAAAAGAAAAGGAAAGAAAAGAAAATGGATACAGCAATATCTTACTTCTGCAAATTTTAGCCAAGCATATGACCAGGTGAACACTCAGTATGGGTACTTCCAGAGCTCTGCAATGACCAGTGCAGGTCATTGCACTGCATTCAGAGAGGTTCTGAAGTCCAAGATTCCTCAGCCTGATGGTAAATACTCCCCAGGGTGGATGGGTTGTTACATCAATTATAGTAGAATGAGCTTGGAAAGTGCTGTCACCCCAGGCTTGGAGAGTCACACAATTCCTGTTAACTCTTTAAATGTTCTGAGAAAGTCCTCCAGTTCAGAAAGTTAACTTTATTTGACCCAGAGTTTTCAAAACTTGGTTTTTTTTCTTTTTCTTTTTCTTTCTTTTTTTTTTTTTTTTTTTGCTATAGAGACCCTCTCTGGGTGAACATTTTTGAACATCTCAGAAAGGGCTGGGAAAGGTTGACTTAGTCCCTTCTGCCTTCCGCTGCCCCCGCAATGCTCTTTCATTTTATGAAGAAGGAAACAGCAAGGACTCTGACTTCTCTGTTATCTCAGAAAAGAGCTGAAATTATCCCTCAACCTCAACCTCAGGTTGCAGACACGGCAGGTCAGAGAGGAGTTTTTCTGCAGAGGGTGGTCAGGGAGGAGAGGGGTTAGCTTAGAGGACAGGGCCAGACCTACTCATAAGGTATTTCTAATGTAGCGAAACACTTCCTCCAGAAAAAAAAAAAAAAAAAAAATTCCACACCTTTCTCTTGTTCAGAATTTTAAAAGAATGGGGCATTTTGCTTCAGATGGGGGCAAAAGTGGCTTGATGTGTGGATTCCTGTGTCTCACTTTCTCTTGCTTTCTTCTTTAAGAGTTTAGCCCAAGCCTGGAAACATCATTTTCAGGTCCCTGTGCAAAATGGAAATGCTGGGGCTCCCTGTTCTAGAATTATTCAGAATTTCAAGAGAGCATTCAACCAAGTTGGGGGTGGTGCCCTTTGGAGCTCAGGCCCTGAATAACTAGCCTCATAGGTTGCGTGCCCATGAAGCCAGTCCTAGTTAGTGCATATTCGTGTTTACTTATTTCAAAGTTCAAAGTTCTGAAGATATTTAGAGTCTGTATGTAAGGCCCAGTGGCGTAAGAGCTTTTAACATAATGAGCCAGATCTGGGCACCAGCGTGGAGATGCATTTTTACAGGGTGAATCATTAATTGGGCATTCTAAGAGTCACTCAGCCTTTTCAATGATTCATCAGCCATGCTGATGCTGTTGTGTAGTTCATATTATTGTTGTAATTAGCTGATGCTTGTCAAATGTAAACCTGGCTCTAACCTGGGTGTTTTCAAAAACAGCACTAGTTACTGTGTATTCAGGTAGAGGGGGTCAGCATACTGTAACTCTCTGTTTTCCTGACTTGTAATAATTAACCCCTTCTCTCAGGGGACGCACTCTCATTGTCTTTCCTGTAAACAGTTGGTAATTGTGAGTGGAGCTGTGGAGTGAGAAAGTGGGTACTGCTTTTCCTGTTTCAAGGGCCTGCATGTTCAGAAGCAGCAGTGTGGCATGGGAGATGTTATAGCAGCAGAGTCAGGGGCCAGTTCTTTCACTGCCTGATAACTTGGGCTTTCCAAGGGAAAGGGAGGGAGGTGGTCACTGCGGGTGAGACAAAGAAAGTGCTTGGTAAGGGATTTCTGGGATCCTTGAGCCCAGAGTGGATTAGATGGGATTAGAGACCCACTCTGAGCTGTTTCTACCTGCATCTTAATCCACTCCAGAGCTGAGGCTTCCTGATCCCTCTAACCAGGTGCATGTTCACTGGGCTTCCAGCTTCCAAGCCTTCTACCTGTGGAATGCTTGGTCCAATGTCTGGGGCACCCACTCTTACTCCAAACTCCTCCAGATCTGCAGAGTGGCCCAGCATATTCTCTTCTTGAAAGGAGGTCTTTGCCTAACAGAAGTAAGTCTGTAACCCTAGGCTGATTGGAGAAAGGGGTGTGGTGTTTATGTGACCTGTTTTCTTGCCTCCAGGGCAGGTCAAGGAATCCTTCCTTGACCCTTAAAAACAGCAGTGGTTTTAACAAGTTTTCTCCTTTTTGCTTTTAACTTTTTCTTGGTTCATAGTCTGCATGCTACTGTCTCATGGAGCCAGGAGCAGAGCAGGAGAGGGGGAAAGCTGGGGTCTGATGGAGGCTGGGAACCTTGTGGCCTGTGCCTGAGCTCTGTGGGACCATGTTGGGGCAGGGATGGGAGTGCCCTAGGCCCGGAAGCAGGTTGGCCGTGGCTCAACACTCACCAAATGCACCCAACCTTAGCTAAGACTTCTCCTTATAGGGGGATCATCGATACCACATCTTCCGGGCCCATTTTCCTTACTTAACCAGATGTTAGGCCATGCAGATTGGAGAAATATAGTTATCTCTACTTAACACGTCATAAATTACAATCATAAATTACCCCCGTGTTTGTGTGCCCTTGTTCCGAAAGCAAAGGTTCTGAAACAACCTTAGTTGAGATGGACGTTTCCAGTGAGGGTAGGTATATCAGTAGGTTGAGACGAAGCATGCCAATGCAGGTACGATTTACTTATTTGTTTTTAATTGCTGTAGATAAACCCTAATTCATAACTATTTACTGGAGGTGAATTGGGCCCCCATCCGCTCCACTTTTAAGGCAAGCTTAAACTTCTCCCTGATAACCTGTCACTGGTTTTGCCTTTAAAGACCCAGCCTCATCAGCCCATTTTCTTATTGCCACAAAAAAACCTGTGCAGCCACTGACCTCCTCTGTGACCTCGGGCAAGTCCTTTCCTTACACTGGGCATTCACTGCCCCATCTATAAGCAGAAGGTAATAGACCGGCCCATCTCTATGCCGGAGAACTTTGTCTTCAAACCCCACAGCCTTCTCTTTGCGCTGAGGGCAGGGCTACTGGTCGATGCAGGAGGAGGAGGCCTTGGAGAGGTCCCTCTGATGAGGAAGCCCATCCGAGCGGCTCTCATAGGCCACACACTTGAAACGAAGTGCGCGTCTCCACTTGAACGGTAAAATCTCGGTGCTGACCCAAGGCTCTGATGGTAGGTTTTCTAGGGAAGGCTGGTGGGTTTCCTCACTGGGAGCAAGGCATCCTCTGCAGTCACATATGGGCAATGACAGCTCATTCTCACTAGGGTCTGTCCTGCTCACATCACAAAAATAACCATAAAAGTCCCTATTATTTACTGAGGGCTTATCGTGGGTGAGGTGCCGCACTGAGGGGCAGTCCCTCCAGGGGTATTGTTTCCATTTCACAGGGAGAAGTGTTGTTGAAGTTCAGAGAAGTTAGGTAACCTGCCTAAGGCCTCACAGCACCACGAGTGGCAGAGCTGGGATTCTACCCCAGGCACTTAGCTCTGAAGCCCGAGCTCCTGACCACTTTGCCTGTATCCTTTCATAAATGTAATCTTTAAGCTGCGGCTGTTCCCTGTTAAGCCCCTGTTTAAAGATCTATCAAAGTAGATGCCTCCTCTGAGTTGCAGCCTTCTCTGATTCTCCTTATCATCATGAGAGCAGATACCAAGAGGTAGAGATGGCCAAAAGGTTTTAAGTTCCCTCTATTCTCTTGTACAATGCAGTGCCAAGTAATACCCTGGGGTTACTCACACTGCTATGGCCTCTAGTTGAAGATAGGAGTGCTGTGGTTTTTTTCTTGGCAAGAAATTGTGGACCAGGGGTGATATCCAATCACAGTCCTCTGGCCTCATTTGAGACACAGAGGGCAAGTATTTTTTTAACCCTATTATTTTACAAAAATATTAAAAGGCAAGCAACTGGACATGGTGGCTCATGCTGTAATCCCATTGTTTATGGGAAGCTGAGGTGGGAGGACCACTTGAGGCCAGGAATTCGAGATCAGCCTGGACAACATGGTGAGACCCCATCTCTACAAAAAAAAAATATATATATAGTCAAGTGTGGTAGTGCACACCTGTAGTCCCAGCTACTTGAGAGACTGAGGCAGGAGGATTGCTTGAATCCAGGAGCTTAAAGCTGCAGTGAGTTATGATCGTCCCACTGCACTCCAGCCTGTGTGACAGAGCACGATTCTGTTAGACTGGGTAACAGAGTGAGACCCTGTCTCAAAAATAACAGCAAGTAAGCAATCATGATTTTTTGACTTTTCAAGGAATTTGCAAACAACATGTATTCCCTTTGCCCATCTAGCTTTTGGGAAAGGACACCCAAATTCCAACAGTCACCTACCTAGAAAAATAGATAACCACAGCCATGGTCCATTCCATTGCGACTTGGTGATGTCAGAAGGTCTCAGGCTCAGGAGGGGCATCTCCCAGGGTCTCTCAGCAAATATCCCGATTCCTTAAACTGGGACAGTGTTTTCTGTCTGCAGAGTGTGCTCCCACCTTGGAATGGGCTTGTCTGGCCTGACCCTGAATATGCCCAGCAGGGACTGCATCCCTCAGTTCATAGATACAGAGGTTGAAGGTCAGGGAGGTGAAGACAGAAGGGGCAGCCAGTCAGAGCCAGCAGCTGCAGCAGGACCCAGATTTCTTGATTCTGAGTCCAGGATTCTTTCCACTCCACCAGCTCTCTTGTATGGACAGCTCAGGGGTCAGAGAAAGCACCTTTATTTCTGAATTTCCTTCTTCTCTCCTGTAGCCTTATGACCAGTGTTCAGAAGATTTATCTCTTTCTAGCTTGGGACTTGCACCCAGCAAGTTTCCATGCAAGGCAGCTGCCTTTAAGAAGAACAGAAGAGTCCCAGTTGGGCTTATGGGGAATGAAATCAGTCCCAAGCCCCGATCTCTCTGAAAAGTTGTTATTAAATTCTGTGCCTGGCCCTGACCTGGATTTAAAGATTTGCAAGAAGACAAATTCCAAACAGATGCCCATTAGGGCCGTGACAGCCGCAGCTTAAAGATAACATTTACATTCTGCCGGGGTTTGTATCTCTCTGTTCCCCACTCGGCCCCTCTCTTTCCTCCGGTGGGATCAATACCTCGGTTGAGGTTACGTGGAGGTGGCCACATTCTTTTAAGCTGTTTGCTCAGTGCTTGGTTTGCTCTGCTAACACGCTGGGCACTTCTTCCAACAGCCCTGTTTGCCCAGCATTAGGGCTGTTTGTTGAAACACCTAGCCCAATCCGAGGGGGCTCAGCTTTCTAAACAGTTGGTCCCCGAATCTGTCAATCAATAACACCAATTGGGTTCCTGATACGAACAGCAAGTGTGGCCAAGTCCAATATTTGCCCAAACACTGCCTCCTCCCCCTGCACCTGACTGTCCCCCAGCTTGACTAAAAGGACGATCACCAGGCGCATGGGCTGCTGGGAAGATACAATGTTGGCAAACAGGGAGCTGGTTCCAGGAAAGAAGGGCACATGAGCAAACATGATGGCCCCTTTATGAGAGGTAATTTACTGAAATGCACAGCGATTACCTGCTCACCCAGCCCTGATGTAATTAAAAATGGCAGGCTAGGGGCTCTGTTTCCCCCGGCTCTGGCAGAGAAACCTGGGTTTCGACTTGTGAAGCTTGAGGTTGGATGTGGGAATTGGCTTGGAGTCATAGGCGATGAGAGGGACATTAGGATATTATGAAGCCCGTGAACTCAACTCCTGAGAAGGACGCAGCAGAGCGAGAGAAAAGGTATCTTCAAAAGAGGCTGATGTTCAGTGGGTACGGGCTTTTCTTTTGGGATGAGGAAAAAAATGTTTTAGAACTTGTGAGAGGTGTTGGTTGTGCAGCATCGTGAATGGACTAAATGCCAAAGAATCGTTCACTTTAAAATGGTTAATTTTATGTTGTGTGAATTTCATCGAAAAAAAAAAAATAAAAAGGGTGAATCCCAATGAACCCGGGTCGTTTACATTTCAGAAGCTCTAATGCCTAACTCAGGGTTTGGCTCAGAGTAAATGCTTAATAAATGTTTATTGAAAGAACAACCTAACATTTGCACAGTCAACAAAGCTCTTTGTTATACATTAGCTCATTTCATTTTTAAAGAATCCTCTGAGGTGGGCAGGGGTAAGCATTCTCGTGTTGTAAAGGGGAAACTAAGGCTTTGAGAGGAGTGTGGCTTGCACAGTGTCACGTAGCTAGTGGCAGCACTGCCAGAATTCAAACCCAAAAGTCTCTGGCTCCAAAGTCTGTGCTTGTAAAGCGATACTATTTTGTCTACCTCATGGCTTTCAGGATGGGAAAGAAAGCAATAGGGTTTTAAAATATGTTCTCTCCCCTTCTTTTTTTTAAGGGTATTTATTACTAAAAGTGTTTTAAAACTGGACCACTGAGTAAAGTCACTCCATCTCCTACTGTTCCTAGCACAGTGCTTGATAAATATTTGCTGGCTCATTCAGCTGCAGCTGCAGAGACCTACCTGTGTTTGCTGTGGCGACTGTCCGGGCCAAAGCTCAGGCAGCTGGAAGTATCAGTGAAGCCAGAAGATTCTAGCTGTTCAGGGTCTGTGAGGAGGAGTCAAGGTCTGGGGTTTGTGTCCTCTGGCATAGCAATGGCACTGCAATGGGGGAGCCTGTTGCTGGGCTGGGCCATCTCGCCACTGTCACCTGCCTGTTGAGGGGTGACGGTGGTTGTTGAGAGGCTGGATCAGACCCCAGAGGTGACATGGATGTGGCATATTTGTTGGACTTACACAGCCTTGCATTTTATTTTCATCTCTGTTCCTTCCTCCCATGAGATCTTGGGTGGTGTTTATCAACCCTGAGTAATCGTTTCTTTGTCTGCAAGATGGAATAAAAAGGCCTACCTCATTGGGCTCGTGTGGGTGAGGAGAACTGAAGAGTCTGAGAGCGCGGCACGAGCCAGAGGCTACGGAAAACACTGCCCTCCTACACTCCACCTTGGAGAGACCCAGAAAAGAACAAGCTTCATTTGTAAAAAAGGAAAACAACTCAGGCAATGGGGGTGGCTTAAAGTGAGTACCCTCAAGGGGCTCGATCAGACCTCTGGCCAGAGAGCCTTTTGGGAGTGGGGTGAGGGTTGGTTGTTGCAGGGTAAAGGAAGTTGGTGTCTTTGGGAGGGGCGCTTGGCTGTGAGGTGACCTCTAGTTGTATTTGGCATAAGGGGAGAGGAGGGAACAGGGATTAGTAAGGAAGAGGGCTAAGAGACTGCCAAAGGTCTCCCTGTTTTGCCAGGGTTCTGGCTGGTGGGAAGCTGGGCCAGGGAGGTAGGGACAGGAGTAATCACCCTCTATGATTGCAGGGCACTCTACAGTGTGCAGATGCCTTCCACTTCTTCCATCTGCCCTGTCTCTCCAAGAACCCCTATGGCCCCGGTCTCAGAACAGAGCTGAGTGCAGAAATGAAAATCTATGGCTCTGTGTTCCAAAACGATGAAGAATTTCAAGATGGTGGCAGTGGTAAAATCTTTCTCCAGGAAAAATCTGTCCTTGGCCCAATGTGTAAACACTTGCTGAGGTACTGTGGAGCTTCATAATGCTGATGATATTGATGATGATGATAAGTATATAAGCTTCACATTAGGACAGTTTTTGTTTTTGTTTTTTTGAGACAGAGTCTCACTCTGTCACCCAAGCTGGAGTGCAGTGGCACCATCATGGCTCACAGCAGCCTCGACCTCCCAGGCTTAAGCGATCCTCTCACCTCAGTCTACCGAGTAGCTGGGACTACAGGTGCGTGCCGCCATACTTGGCTAATTTTTGTATTTTTTTATAGAGGCAGGGTTTCACCATGTTGCCCAGGCTGGTCTCAAACTCCTGGGCTCAAGCAATTCACTGCCTCCGGAAGTGCTGGGATTACAGGTGTAAGCTACCATTCCTGGCCTTAGGACAATTTTATTTATCTAATTTAATTTAATTTTTTTTTTTAGATTTTTAAAAATTTTTATTTATTTATTTTTTTAATTATACTTTAAGTTCTAGGGTACATGTGCACAACGTGCAGGTTTGTTACATATGTATTCATGTGCCATGTTGGTGTGCTGCACCCATTAACTCGTCATTTACATTAGGTATATCTCCCAATGCTATCCCTCCCCGCTACCCCCACCCCACGACAGGCCCTGGTGTGTGATGTTCCCCACCCTGTGTCCAAGTGTTCTCATTGTTCAATTCCCACCTATGAGTGAGAACATGCAGTGTTTGGTTTTCTGCTTAGGACAATTTTAATACTTATCCTTTAATAAAAACTTTATTGCACATGGAAGTTACTTTGGGGGAACTCCTAGTTGTAGAGTTGGCTCTTGAAACAAGACTCACTCATAGGCATTTATTTCTAGAATAACATTGTCAGGGTACAGAATTGTATCCTTTAGGTGGGACACAAATCCTAAAATGACATCCTTTTCAGGTATAATTTGTGTCTGGTATCTGGTATCAAATATTCTTGCTTTTAAAAAGTAGATTCAAAATGAACAATGATAGCACAGTGATTGTGAAGATGAAACAAAGTAACTTGAGTTGCCTGATTTGATCATTCTAGGTGGCCGGTGGAGTTATTTCTGTTTAAAATTTAAAACAATGAAACAGAGTATGAAATGTGAGGTGTAATATTTGTGTTTAGTAAGTGTATATTTTAGTTCATGCTTGAAATATTTTACTGAATTTCAATAATGTTTTTAAATTGAAACTTACTTTTTAATTATTTTGAAATGGCAGAACAAAATACAGACCATAGATTTATCAATGTTGTACCGTCTGCTAACATTTTGCACTTATTAAAATCCTCTCATTGGTCTCTGAATAATTATTTACATAAATTATTAGAATGTCACCAAAGGATGAAAGTCAAACTGATAGGTATATTTAAACATAAGTAAGTAAATAATTGTGCATCGTTGTCCTGTAGGAACTTGGAATAACTTGCAGTGTCTTGCAGTATTGTGAAACCAGCAACTTGTTCACAATTCTTCTGAATTTCTTGGGAAATTTGAAGTGGAGTACCTGTACCAACATGAAATGACACGAATTTAAGTGACGCTCAACAACGAAAAGCAAAAAGAACCAAAGAGGAAGCAACTGAAACAACATCTGGATGTATTTAAAAATATACAATGCCTCCAAAATCAGGTGTCATTAATGAAAATTCTGAAGAAATGCCACCGGACATAGCCAACGCACCTACGCTGTTGTTATTCATTTCCTGCTTTTCACAGAAAACAATTTTGTTGCATGGAAGATCGGTGAGTTAAAAAAAGACCTGCCCTGGGTGTCAAGCACAGTAGTTACACCGCTGGTTCTGCTCCCTCTGCTTGGGATACATGGGCAGGGTGCCCTGGTGGTAGGGCCTTGGTCACCAGCAAAGTCAGTTCCCATGGGATCCTCTTTCTGAGCTGATGCCCACTCCCCTGAAGAAGGGGCTTCTATTCAGGCCTCTTGTTGCAAGGAGCAGAAACCCACTTAGGCTGGCTCAAGTCCGCTGTGTTCCGCTGTTCAGCATCCTGTTTCACAGATGTGTCCCAGCCTCTCTTGGGGTATGACACGAGGCTGGCAGGGGAGACCCAGGGAATGTCACCAGTCCTTGGGGTTGCCTCAGCTCAAAACAGTCCTTCCTTTTAGCCTTTTTTTTTTTTTTTTTTTTTTTGAGATTGGGTCTTGCTCTGTTGCTCAGGCTGGAGGGCAGTGATGTGATTTCGGCTCACTGCAGCCTCCACCTCCTAGGCTCAAGCAATCCTCCCACCTCAGACTCCTGAGTAGCTGGGACTACAGGCACGTGCCACCATGCCTAAGTTTTAAATTTTTTTTGTAGAGACAGGATTTCGCCATGTTGCCTAGGCTGGTCTCAAACTCCTGAGCTCAAGTGATCCACCTGACTCAGTCTCCCAAGGTGCTGGGATTATGGGCGTGAGCCACCCTGCCCGGCCTCCTTCCTTCCACTTTTAGGTAGCTGTGTTCAGAGTGCGTCATCCAGCAGAGGCAAACAGGTACAAAATTTCTTCCAAGGCCCTGTGGGAAATTTTTATTAATTCAGTTGACAAATATGTGTTAAGTGCCTTCTTTAAGGACAGACAATGTCAGACCTGACTCAGAGGCTGTCTTCCTTGGGGAGCTATGGCAAACATGAGCATGACCAGAATTCAAGGAAGGGCAGGACGGGGGCTCTAAGAGAGAGGGAGGTGAGTTGTTATGGGCATGTGAAGAAGGGTGAGAGAACTTCGCCCCAGGGGTCTCCAGGAAGGGCTGGGGGCCTTTGTAGAAACTGAGATGTGCCAGGAGAGAACATCTTCTAAAGAATGGCATGCTTGGCTGGGCGCAGTGGCTCACACCTGTAATCCCAGTGTGTCCGGAATTGGTGGGTTCTCGGTCTCAACTGACTTCAAGAATGAAGCCGCGGACCCTCGTGGTGAGTGTCACAGCTCTTAAGGTGGCGTGTCTGGAGTTTGTTTGTTCTTCCTGGTGGGCTCGTGGTCTCGCTGGCTTCAGGACTGAAGCTGCAGACTTTTGTGGTGAGTGTTACAGCTCATAAAAGCAGTGTGGACCCAAAGAGTGAGCAGCAGCAAGATTTATTGCAAAGAGCAAAAGAACAAAGCTTCCACAGTGTGGAAGGGGACCCGAGCGGGTTGCCACTGCTGGCTCGGGCAGCCTGCTTTTATTCTCTTATCTGGCCCCACCCACATCCCGCTGATTGGTAGAGCCGAGTGGTCTGTGCGGACAGGGCGCTGATTGGTGCGTTTACAATCCCTGAGCTAGACATAAAGGTTCTCCACATCCCCATCAGATTAGTTAGATACAGAGTATGGACACAAAGGTTCTCCAAGGCCCCACCAGAGCAGCTAGATACAGAGTGTCAATTGGTGCATTCACAAACCCTGAGCTAGACACAGGGTGCTGACTGGTGTGTTTACAAACCTTGAGCTAGATACAGAGTGCCGATTGGTGTATTTACAATCCCTGAGCTAGACATAAAGGTTCTCCACCGCCCCACCAGACTCAGGAGCCCAGCTGGCTTCACCCAGTGGATCCCGCACCAGGGCTGCAGGTGGAGCTGCCTGCCAGTCCCGCGCAGTGCGCTCGCACTCCTCAGCCCTTGGGTGATCGATGGGACTGGGCGCTGTGGAGCAGGGGGCGGCACTCATCGGGGAGGCTCGGGCTGCATAGGAGCCCATGGAGCAGGTGGGAGGCTCAGGCATGGCGGGCTGCAGGTCCCCAGCCCTGCCCCGCGGGAAGGCAGCTAAGGCCCGGTGAGAAATCGAGCACAGCGCCTGTGGGCTGGCACTGCTGGGGGACCCAGTACACCCTCTGCAGCCGCTGGCCCGTGTGCTAAGTCCTTCATTGCCTGGGGCCGGCAGGGCCAGCTGGCTGCTCCGAGTGCGGCCCGCCAAGCCCACGCCCACCCGGAACTCCAGCTGGCCCACAAGCGCCGCGCGCAGCCCGGGTTCCTGCTCGTGCCTCTCCCTCCACACCTCCCTGCAAGCTGAGGGAGCCGGCTCTGGCCTTGGCCAGCCCAGAAAGGGGCTACCACAGTGCAGCGGTGGGCTGAAGTGCTCCTCAAGTGCCGCCAAAGTTGGAGCCCAGGCAGAGGAGGTGCCGAGAGCAAGCGAGGGCTCTGAGGAGTGCCAGCACTCTGTCACCTCTCACCAGCACTTTGGGAGGCCGAGGCAGGTGGATGACTTGAGGCCAGGAGTTGGATAGCAGCCTGGCCAATGTAGGGAAACCCCGACTCTACTAAAAATAAAAAATTCAGCTGGGCGTGGTGGCACACACCTGTAGTCCCAGCTACTTGGGAGGCTGAGGCAGCAGAATCGTTTGAACCCGGGAGGCGGAGGTTGCAGTGAGCTGAGATTGCACCACTGCCCTCCAGCCTGGGCGACAGAGCAAGATCCTGTCTCAAAAAAAAAAAAAAAAAAAGAAAAGAAAAAATGAAGACTGGCATGCTGTGTTTATTTATACCAGCTCTGTGACTTTGAGCAAGTCCCCCCTGCCTTCTGGGACACAGCTCCCTCCTCTGATGAAGCGGGGTGGGAGGGCCAATGGTCTGACATTGACATTATGGGCTGAATGTAATGAGGATAAAGTCAGGCAATCACAGAGCGCCAGCCCCCATCCAGAGTTAAGTGCTTAATAAACGGTGACTGATGGCAGGTTCTCAGGGTGTCCCAGGAACTTCCCCTTCGCTGGTGGTTCTCTACCCTGAGGCAGAGTAGAATCAAGGACTTAACTCAGACCTTCACTCAGAAAAGGCCTTTCTGCAGGTGCTGGGCTAATTCTGGGATGTGGTTCTCTGATGAGAGAACCCAGTCCACACTTGGAATTCCCAGAGGAACAGATACCGTGGCCCTTGCACAACCTTCCTCAAATATACACTGTCTCAGTGGAGCTTTTGAGAGAAGCTAGATAGCTCTTGTAAAATATAAACCGTCATTTTTGTTGCTAATAATAATAATGACAGTAATTCCTAGGCTCCTGCCTTGGAATCATAGCCTATCTGGAGGCAAATTTCATCATCACCCAAGGACTGGCCCAGCACCAGGAATAATAATTTCAGCATTCCTTATGCCTCAGAGGTTCACTAGGTCTGTGTGCGTGCCTTTCTGACTCACCTCTAGATATGGTGGTCCCTGTGCTGCAGGAGAGCTTTTGCTCTTTCACTGCCATTCATGACTTTCGTGTCTCTCAGGTACTTGAGCTGTATACCTAATTTAATCCTATAGCAACCTTGTGAGGGAAGTTATCTTAGGGATGGCTGGGATTTGAACCCAGTTCTGTCTGCGTTCAGAGCCCAAGCTCCTAAGCACAGCCTCTTTGCTGTTTGATGGAAACAATTCTAGCTCTGGGAGGTGCAGGCCAAGATGTGCACCCTGAAACAGGTTTCTCTGAAAGGAAAGAATATAAAATAAGGGCCTCGACCTAACTCAATGAAATGTCTTATGCTCAATCTTCACTGAGTGAGAATCTGTTAAAATCTGGTCAGTCCTGTGCTGAACTTGCCTGGAGCACTTTCCAGGTAGAGAGAAACTGGTGAATGAAGAAAATGCATCATGATGATTGCAGGGGAAACACTTAATCTGTGGAAGATAATACCTTGTTTTGAGGCATTTGCAAATACTTTCTGAGACACCCTGTTCCATGCCAATAATGGATGGACTAACCTCAAATTGTTCTTATTTGTTCATTAATGCAAGTCCCCCAAGGGCTTGCTATGCAACACTTTATTAGCCTGGACCGAGTAATATATTTTAAAGCAATAAAACTACATTATTTTAAAATTATTTTTTAATGTGGACTTTCCAGCCATTGACTGCCCTCTCTGATAGGTCTGAATTAGTGAGTTTTAATTGCGTGTAAAAGAGCAATGAAATCATCATTATGAAAATGATGGGGTGCCTCCTTCATGGCAGGCACTGTGCTGGGCCTAGAACTCAGCCTCACTACACCCACCATGTGGGCACCCCATGCCTTCACTGCACAGACAGAACTCACGTTCTGAGGGGTTCAACTCCTTGCTAATGAATGGGGGAGCTGGGACTTAGGCCCAGGTGTGTCAACCTCTGTTGGGGCTCAGAAAATGATACTCCCCAATATGGTGCTTTGACGTGCTGGACTAAAGAAGAAGCCTCAAGGTCTCTTGACCTTCCCTACCCCTCCTACCTTCCTGTTTCTCAATCCCTTGTCTCTCCCAAAACACAGGACAAGGCTGTTCTCTGAAGTTCCCTCATCCACCTAGAAACCAGATGGCCGAAGAGGAACACAATTGCCTTCCATCCCCTTCCTGAAATTTCATTATCTAGAGGATTAAAACCCATATCACAGAGGAAGAGATTGAAAATTAAACATCACACCTACAACCCATACTTCGGAGCACTGACCCAAATTGTCTATTTTTAAGTCCCATTCCATTTCCAAAGATAATTATTTACTAACCATTGTCTGGAGCATTGGGCCCATTCATTCCTCTTAAAAATCATTTGCTGGGCCAGGAGTGGTGGCTTACGCCTGTAATCCCAGCACTGGGAGGCCGAAGCGGGAGGATCACGAGGTCAAGAGATCGAGACCATCCTGGCCAACATGGTGAAACCCTGTCTCTACTAAAAATACAAAAATTAGCTGGGTGTAGTGGCACATGCCTGTAGTCTCAGCTACTCGGGAGACTGAGGCAGGAGAATTGCTTGAACCCAGGAGGTGGAGGTTGCAGTGAGCCGAGATCATGCCACTGCACTCCAGCCTGGCGAAAGAGTGAGATTCCGTCTCAAAAAAAAAAAAAAATTATTTTCTACCCCTCAAAACAGCCACTTTCTCCTCCATCTCCTCTTCCCTGATGAAGAAAGGCGTATGAGCATCTGGACCTCATTGGGTTTAGGTCATCATGTTCTTGCAATTCCTGTGTGCTTATGCACATTAAATGAATTTGTATGCCTTTTCCTCTTATTAATCTGCCTATTGTAAATTCATTTTCAGTGAACTTCAAAGGGCAGAGGGGAAACTGTCCCTTGGCCTCTACCCCTCCAAGGCCCCACTTTTTTGTCAACACTCCTTGGACGCAGCAGAAGTATGAACATAATATGGTCCTGAATGAGGCTGAGTCTTTGGGCGCAGAAGACCCGGGTTAATAAAAATAGGAAGGTAAGAAAAGAAAAGAAAAATCAAGACACATCATAGGACTAAATTCCTATTATTTATCCACTCAGGATTGACCACCCCTTTGGGCCAGATAGTTGTACCCCCATGTACCAGGTGGGCACATGAAGACACAAGAAGTGCTGTGATGGTTCATTTTGCACGTCACCTTGCGTGGAGTATGCCAACTCATTGTTTGGTCAAACACTAGTCTGGACATGGTGGTAAAGGTATTTTTTAGATGAGATTAACACTTAAATCAGTAAAGCAGGTTACCCACCATACTACGGGTGGGCCCTGTCCAATCAGTTGAAGGCATTAAGAACAAAGATTGAGGTTTCCTAAAGAAGATGGAATTCTCCTTGAGACTACAACATAGAAACCCTATCTGAGTTTCCAGCCTGTTGCCCTGTGGAATTCAAACTCAGGACTCCGGTCTATGACATTAACCCTCACTTAACTTTTCAGCCTGCCAGCCTGCCCTATGGATTTCGGACTTGCCAGCCACACAATTCCTTAAAATAAATCTCTCCGTCTCTGTCTGTTTCTCTCTGTCTATATACACACCTGCATGCATATATACATATATATATGTATGCATCTATATATTTATATCTAATCTCGTATTGCTTATTGGTTCTGTTTCTCTGTAGAACTCTGCCTAATACAGCTGAAGATGTATTCTCTTTAGAAAGCTTGCAATTACTGGGGAACAATCAGTACAGAAGTCGACAATTACAGAAAGGGGACTAGGGTAATATGGTGGCCAATGTCCTTGTGAGTAGTGGTGACAGAGGGCAACAAGTTAGAGACTGCCAAGGGAAAGTCAAGAGCAAGGGAAACAGAGATGAAGTAGGTTCAGCCAGGCCCCACCACCTACCCAGACTAAACCTGGAGAGTCTCTTTTCCCTTTAGTCTTTTAAAAATATTTTATTTCTGTACTTCAATGGATGCAAGCCCCTAAGTCCTGAAGGATCTGTTGTTTGTTGTGTTACTCCAAGCAAGTATTAGCCTAGAAGGGACCTCACCTCCCAACAATGAAATGCAACTCTTACATTTTATAGATTGGGAAACCAAGTCTCTGAGAGCTTTCTATTAAAGTGACAAAGGTACTGGATCATGGTAAGCAGGAATATGTACCCAAAGGAGTAATAGCAGCTGTTCATATGCATTTTATTCTAATGCGCCTTCCTGTGATCATGTTAAATGAATTCCTGGGTTTTTACCAAACTTGACTCTTTTGAGAAAGAACCAAAGGAGCTAAACCAAACAACTCTTGGGGATGGATCTGCAAATGTTACTCCTGAGCTATGGGGGCTCCAGGTCCACCTCACATTGCCCCCTGCAGTCACCCTCATCCAGCCCTAGCCCCCAGGCAGATTGTCCCTGCAGACTGGCAAAGTCATTTCCAGGTGTGGTCTCAGAGAACCTCTCTCTGGAATGGTAGAAGGGTTTGTAGCCATAAGAGCTGATATCAAGGGGGCTTCTAGAAATCTAGAAAATTTAATTCCCCAGAATGTGCCTGAGAGTTAGTTTCTCCTCTAGAGTCCTTTTCTTAGGAAGCACCGGAGTCCATGCTTGCTCTTATATTTTTATCCAAATATCACCTCTATTAAGGCATCAAAGTCCCGTGAGAAACACCAGCTCATGCCCTCTTGTCCTCCCCGACTCCTACTGGATAGTAGGGACAGAAAAGTGGAGATTATTCCGCATTTTATAGAAAGAGAAACCAAGGTGCAGAGGAGGGTGGAACTAGCTTCTGATCCTAGGCTACACCCCTGGCAAACTGGGAAAGGTGTGTCAGGAGGAGTTGCCACAGGCATTGGCCCCAGGAAAGCCCTGCTTTGTCACTTTGAGAGGACAGGGCACCACCTAGGCTGGCCTTGCCAATTAGAACCAGCTCTGCTGCTCCAAAGACACCCAGGCCAGTGAGGGGTCCACATGTGGACAAGCTTTAAAATCATAATTCTTCCCTCTGACAGTTCCCTGAGGTCCAAGACAACCTGTTTGGTAGTGATGCTCTGTGACCCTCTGGCTCCCTATCCCAGGGATGTGGGGTAGAGCTGCACCCTAAGTCTCTTCTTACTGTGGGCGATAAGGATTGCAGCCATTAGCCAGAGTAGGGGGGAGAGACATCATCTGCTAAAGTAGGAAGGGCATGTGGTCTGAATACCTGAAATTTAATCCCAATCCTTTTTTTTTTTTTTTTTTTTTTTGAGATGGAATCTTGCTCTGTGGCCCAGGCTGGAGTGCAGTGGCAGAATCTTGGCTCACTGCAATCTCCACCTCCTGGGTTCAAGTGATTCTCCTGCCTCAGCCTCCCAAGTAGCTGGGATTACAGGCATACACCACCATGCCCAGCTAATTTTTGTATTTTTAGCAGGGACAGGGTTTCACCATGTTGGCCAGGCTGGTCTTGAACTCCTGACCTCAGGTGATCTGCCTGCCTCGGCGTCCCAAAGTGCTGGGATTACAGGTGTGAGCCACCATGCCTGGCCATTTCTTTTTTTCTTCTTTAAACTAGCTGTGTGACCTTAGATAAGTTACTGAACCCCTCTGAGTCTCAGTTTGTGCCTCTGCCTCTGTAAAACAGAAATAGTAAGAATAACTACCCCCAGGGGCTATCAGTGACTTCACACAAAGTCATGAATGTGCTCATATTCTGTAGACTGTAAAGCACTCTACCAACATTCACTGCCATTCTTTCTTGATATGCTTTAAAGGAGATGGGGGAAAGAAAGGATCCAGAGCTGGGAAATTCTGCTTTCTCAAATCCTTTCTTGTTACAGTGAGGCCGTAGTCCAGAGAGTTTAAGCAGACAGCTCTAAGTCACAGAGGGCAGGAGGCAGGGTTTGCATTGAGCAGTGAGGGTGGGTAGGGAATGAGGGGACTGTGCTAGCGCCCAGAGACTGGACCACGATGAGACCCTGGAGGAACCCTGCAGGAGGGTATTAGGGCAGGGGCAGCGAGGTAGGGGGAGCCAGGTGGGCAGTGGGCTAAGGACACAGTGCTGTCGAGTGGGGATATGCCAGCCCTGGTTACCAAAACCCACGTGGGGGTTTCTGAGTTCAAAGGCATGTGGATGGTGCAGCCCCCTGCTGAGATATGACTGCAGCTTTGGAAACATGATAAAATAAACACACGACGTGGGTCTTCAGACCACCCCCGATTAGCAGCTAAAGAGGTGGATGGGTAGAAGAAAAAGCAGAGGTTTTCAAAGAACAAAAATACAACAAGGCAGCACATCCGTCCCCGAGGTTGAGAAATGTGGGCTGCACTAGTTTCCGCATCATCAGAACTGTGCCCGAGTCAGCACAGTTCTGAGCACAGGGAGAATGTAGAGCACGTGGGGCAGGGAGGCAGGGTGCATGTACCTACGAAGTGCTGCCCCCACACACATCCCTTAAAGGAGAGTTACCCTAGAAATGATCTGAGGATTCTGGTAACAAGAGTTGTCATTCAAGATAGGCCTGACTCATTTCTTCCATGAAGGAGGAACTGAACAGTCAGCAGCAGAGATTAGAATTCTTATCCAGGCAGATCTTGAGTGCTTCCCTCCCTCCTACCAAAGTATTCTCTCTTTTGGCATCTCCCTGCCTTATATTTTGCCATTACGGGTTGATCCTGTTGGCTTGTCAGTCTCCAACAGTTCTCTATACAGACGCAAATGTTCTGGAGAGGCAGGCCACAGGTCAGCCCCAGACTGTGAACCCAGCTCAGGCAGCCAGGACCCAGGACTGGTTCCATCAGGGGCATGAGGGCCCACAGGAGTGAGCGAGGGAGAAGGATGAGGACAGTGATTATTGTTCCCCCTGTATGGATGAGGAAACTGAGACTCAGAGGAGTAAAGAAAGCAATGAGCAGTCTGAGGTTGGGGAAGGCCAAACCTCACTTCCTCCTCCCAAATCATGTGTCTTCAGAGTACATTCAAGGGCAACTCCACGCTCTGTGTTTCAGAGAAAACAATCCTTCATGGCTGTGCCCACGCTCTCCTCCCACACCACCAGATGTGCAGGCAGCGTGGGGTCTCTCCAGCATCCCCTGTTCAGACGGCCCGTTCGGAAACTGGACATAACTGTGACTTGTGTGCCTGGCTCTGAATAATCAGTTAGGCCAGTGAAATGGGAGTCTCTCTGTGTGTCTGGAATTTGAACTGAGACCCTAAGTTGGGACCACTCAGAAGTCTGGGAGACTCAAGAGTGAGGTGGCCATTACAGAGCCACACACAGCACAAGGTATTAAGTCAGGAGAAACTGAGGCAGCCAGACAGACGGGGAAGGGAGCAGGGCACAGAAAAAACCAATGAGGAGAGATACCCAGGGGAGAGGCCAGAGCTGCCTGATCAAGGACGATGCCCACCTCCAGGACAGGGACTCTTAAAGTCTGCCCAGGGATGGCAGGGCTGCCATGGAGCAGTATCCCCTGAGATATGGCTCTCATTTTTCTGCTTTCCTACTGGTGTGTTTTTTTGCCACTCTCTAGCCCTGGCTGTACCACTGAGGACTGAATTTTAACAGGCAGCAGGAAACTGGGATTCTTAGGTTGCAGGTCACTGGATCAAGAGGCACCACATCTACGTGTGAAGCAGGGATTACTGCCCCTCACTGCTGATATGGGATGCCAACATACCGCCCTGAGACCCTGCACCTGAGGACGATGCTGCCCCTGGGGCGGATCTAGGGCTGCGTTCCCTGGGGAGGGATGAGGTACTTTGCTTGCAGGAGGGAGAATGAGCCGGAAGCCATCAGTAGTCAGGAATGTGCCCTTTCAGTGTCCCTAGCTCCTGACTTCTGGGCACCTGGTGGGATTGCACTTTCTGCCTCTTTTGCTTGGGTGGGGCTGTGTGATAGATCCCACCAGTGAGCTGTGAGTGGAAGTTTTTCACTGTCTGTGTGAGGCCCTCAGTCTCTTGCTCTCAGTCACTGTAGCCAGCATCATTCCAGATGGTGGTGGCTACTGCCTCAACCTGGATCTTAGAAAATGGACACAGAGCTTGTCCAGCTAAATAAACCTGCCTGATTTGGAGCCATTTCGTGTTGGGGATTGTTTGCTACTACACCACACCCTGGGTGATCTGGCGGGTGCATTGCCTTAGCCAGGGCTTCAGCATCACACATTTCCTGGATCCTTCTGGGAAGTAGATGGAGGGCTGCTAAAAGCTGGGGCAACCCTAGGGGCTGGAGACATTCCCTGGGTCCCCCTGCCAGCCACAGTGCCAACCCTCAGGCTGTGGCACGGGAGTGCTGAACAGCAGAGGGCACCAGAGGCCTGTTTCTGCCTTCCCCATCCTGGTGCCATCATGGGGGTTGGTGGCATCAGTATTGCTGGTATTGTAGGAGGGTAGCATTTGGACCTACAGCAGAGAGAGATCTCGCTCCTCTTCTGTCACTGTGGTTGTGGGCAAGTGTTTGGAAGATGCAGACTCACCCTTCAGTAGGCTTCAGACAATATCTAGGGACCAGGGTCGGGGCACCCACCACAACTTCCTCTGGCCCTTTCTCTCTTGGGCTGGCCCCACCTTCAGTTGTCATCTGTCAGGCCCAGGGGTGGGGAGGAAAGCCAGGAGCCAGGATACAGCAGAACAGGCACAGGCAGCCTGACTCAGCACACAGCAGTGTTTTCAGGCCATCCCCTGTGGCTTTTCCTCTTCCATGCCTCAGATCCCACCACTATACTTTTGCCCATTTAGCACCCTACTTTCAATTCTGAAAATGCAGCTCTTGTTTTTTTGGGGAAAGGGAAAGGATGGAGGTTGGAGAGGGTGGGACTAACAGCAGATGTTTTCAGGATTTGAGAGCTTCGTCAGTACAAAGAGCTTTGTGCTAGGAGCCTGGAAGCCAGGTGATCTGCAGTAGGTCTTTTTCTTCCTTGGGCCTCAGTTTCCTCCTCTGCAAAAGTGGGTTTTGGGACAGCCAAGCTCTGAGCCCCTTCCAGAGTTTGTAACCTAAGATTCAGGTTTTGCTGGTCAGGAAGAGAGAGACAGCCTGGCCCTGGGGTAGGGATAGGAAGGAGGAGGAAGGTGCTACCTGTAAGGTAAAGGAGACAGGTGGGGGAAGCTTGGGTCACTGGGAGTCCTTAGCTGGACCATGACACTTTGCCAGGAGTGGCTGGATTCCCTGCACCTGCTGCTTTACTGTTGGCCTGTGTTTCAGTATTTACATTTCTCTGGATCATATAAGACCAAGGTCAGGTTAAGTCCATTACTCCTAACCCTAGTTGGCCCAAAGTCAAACAGAAGAGGTTGCCTGTGCACCTGCATCTCTGCCCTTCCTGCCTTCTCTAGGTGCTCTTAGCTCTGCATTTCTGCTCCTTCCTGCGGGGGCAGGAGGTTGGGCCTGACTCTGAAGCCCTAGTAGGGCCTGTCTTCCAGAAAGACAAGCACGTAGACACTGCAGGCAGCCACCTTGGGGTGGGGAAGGGAACACCCGCCTGGCATCTGGCTGTTCGCTGGGTGGGGATGCCTCTTTCTGCTGCCTTTGTTACCCTTTTCCCTCACCACTGCCAGCACTCAGGCTCCATAGTTAAAAGGCGGCACCAGGTTCTTCCCAGCAAGAACCTCAGGAGCTCTGGAGGCACCTTCTGGGTGGGGTTTGGTTGGATAAGCAAAGCATCTCCTTCAATCCTTCAGCCTCCATTCTGCTCAGTCCCTGGAAGGTCGGGTGGTAGCATGGGAGGAGGCCACCTCCTAAGCTTCCCCCGCCCTCCCCAGTGCCCCTGTTCCTCTGAGCTCTGGAGGTCACCAGGGCGCTGCGGAGCTCATTGCAAGCTGCCCTGGCTTGTTATCGGTCTTGAGAGACTCGTCTCTCTCTAGCTGCCTGTAAACCTCTGGGACCTGATGGATGGGTTTTGTTGTTTTCCTTCCCCCTGACTTGTTGGTGCTGTCACCTCCAGTCCCTGGTGGATGGACATCTTTTTATTCCAGCAAACCCACTACCTGTACTACCCATTCACTTAGTCATTCACTGAGGCTCACCATTGGCCATAAGATCACCAGGGCCTAGACACACAGAGGGGTGTGAGCACAGAACACAGTCCTTGCAGGGCTCTGGGTTTTGTAGGTGTGAGATGTGCCCGAGGCCTGCCAATTCACGGTGGCAAGTGCCCTGATGATGGCTGCACTGGCTCGTATGGGAACATTGCGGGAGGTGCATGGGGCCGCTTCTCAGAGGAGGCGATGTTTGAGCTGAATTGGAGGAAAAACAGTAAGGGTTCCCTAGATGGGGGTGGAGGGCTGGGAGAGAACTTTCTGGAAAGGGCACATCAGTCTGAGGGAAACACCTACATGCAGGCTGGCAGGTGAGAGGACAGAGTCCTTTCTGGGATCAGGACTGTTTGGGGCCACTGGAATAAGTGCAGGAGACTGGAGACAAGGCTGGGGAGAAGGCGGGACTTTGGTCATGGAGGTACTTGGAGTCTTTATCCTGTAGGTGGTGTGAAGACCAGAAAGGAGGCTGTTGCACTAGTTCAGGAAGAGAAGAGGAGGTGGGCGACAGAAGTAGAGGCAGCGCTCTGAGGGACCTTGGGCAGGTGGAAGCCACAAAACTGGATGGCCATGAGGGCAAGGTGAGGAGGAGGGGGAGGCGAGGAGGAGAGGGAGGCGAGGAGGAGGCGGAGGAGAGGAGGAGGGGGAGGCAAGGCCGACTCCAGGTCTCCTACTCAGGTGGCTCATGGCTCGGGGCCACTCGCTGCTCACCAATCCTGTGAGCAGAGGAGGAGCAGATATGGTGTAGGGTGCATATGTGAATCCAATTTTGGTGATGCTGAGGTTTGGATGCCCGAGGCCGCTCAGGAAAGGACATCCAACAAGCATTTGGTGTCAAGTTTGGCAAAGAGATCTCTTCTGGAGAATTGACTTGGGCACCATCGGCATTAGGCAGCATTTGGACCTCTGTGATGTAGATGACGTGATTAAACGGCAGTGTGTAAAGACAGGAAGAAGGCCTATGCAAGACCTCGGTACTGGCATAGGAGGGGCTAGGAGGGCAGGGTATGACGGAGGCTGAGAGGAGCACTGTGGAGAAGGAGCAGGTAACATGCTTGAGTGCTGCACAGACTGAGTCAGACAGGACTTGGTCTGACCACTGGCAGGAAGCCCGTTGGTGCCCTTGGCTTGAGTTCAATGGCAGAATGGCAGAAGAGGGTGTAGGCTGTGAAACTGACGCAGGAGAGGCAGGCTGCCGCAGCCACTCCTGACGGCACAGCTTTGAGCTCCGTGCTGGGTGTTCAGTGCTCGGGATAACACATGTGCAGTAAACATTTCTAGAATGACCCACTTTGGGGGTTGAAGAGACTTTTTTGTTTTTAAAATAGGTGGGACTTGAGCATCTCACCTCTCCCACCCCCCAGCCCCTGAAGTGAGTCAGAATCAGAAAGGTAATGGATAGGAAGTTTCCAGTTCTTATCCAGATCTGGAAATTCTGATCTAACCCGGGAAAAATGTTGAGGTCTGTTTAGAAAGACATGAGTGCTCCCTGGGGGCAAGAGAGCCTTTTCTCTGGGGCCTTTCCAGTAGCCCCAGCCTCACCGGTCACCTCCAGGTGGTGAGCTGGGCATTTAGGGAAGCCGTGCCTTTTGGCGCTAAGCTGCTGTTTTTGCAAGACTGGGCGGCTGGAGATCCTTTCTCAAGTCAGCAGCCATCCCAGGGAAGAAGGACCAGAGTAGGAGTGCTGGGCTAGGATCCTGGTCCAAGCTCTGCCATTATCGTATGTGAAACAGTCATCTCTCTGGGCTTCAGTTTTTCCATCTGCAAAGCAAGAATTCCAACACTACATTCACAGGAGTATCTGAAGGATAAGATGAGATAATAGATGCAGAGGTGATGTGAAAAGTAGGAAGTGCTTTACATGTGCCAGTTTTCTTCATTCATTCACTCTCATTCACGCATGTACTAATTTAGCAAAAAATGATGAAGCATCCATTAGATGCTATAATTGCAAATTGCTAAGTGTTCAGGGCAGAGCAAGTGGACAGACTTTGTAACAAAAGCCTGCTTTTGACTATTTTATCCCTGCCCCCACTGTCTGCAGAAGAAAGAGAAGGGTAGAGCTGATGGGTCAGTGGGCATCTGTGCCCTAGGCTGGGGGTCATCACTAGCCCTCATTTTGCCCTGCAATCAGTAGACTCTGTGCGTGGGATTCTGTGATGGGAGGAATTTTCTACCCTCTTTGTTCTGGTAGGGAAGAGTTTACAATGAGTAGGGTCAAGGGTTGTTTTCTGCTTTGTAGTGTTGATTCCAGAGGCTGCCTCATCTGTTGTCTGGCAGCAACGGCACACTGGCCATTGACATGGGCAAAGGTCACTGTACTGAGATGTGAGTGCAACAGAATCATGGGGCAGCTTTAGCAGACCATCATCAGAGACAGCTCAGTGGATGCAGCTGCCTTCTGAGGATAAAAGATTTGGATTCAACTCGGGTGGGTGAACTTGGACAAGGTGCTTAACCTTACCAAGACTCAACTTCCCTATCTGTAATAGGGGACTCTTAATACCTACCCTTTATGCTTGGTGAAGATAAAGTGAGAGTCATGAGAGAATGTCCTCCTCTCCTTCTTCCATTGACGTCAATTCATGATCACTGACCTCATCGGGCAGTTATCTGACTCAGGTGTATCAGATCTAGCGGGTACAGTGACCTCTGTGCCACTCATACGCCCCTCAGTTATTAGGTACCAGGCTTCTGGTGATGTGAAGAGTGTCTGTTGTAGCCACTGTTTCTGAATTGTTAATAAAATAAGACAGCTCTGGTCTGGAGGAGAGTTGGGGAGAAGCCCAGGAGTCTGCTTAAACCCCATGTCCAGGTGGGCATCCCCGACTGCTCTTCTTCCCTCCCTAAAGGTTCTGGGGATTCAGCCTGTTGCAACTTCCTCATTAACCCTTTCACCCATCATGGTGCTCATGGTGGGGTTCTGTCCCTGAGCCTGGCTGGGGAATGGAAAGAAGCCTCTCAGCATGCCACCACTCCCCTCACCGTTCCCAAAGACAAGCACTCTGGCCATTTGCATAATGGGGGCTTTATCACTAATCAGAGAAGGTAAACACACCAGGCAACAAAACAGTAAGCACATAGAAAGGCAAAGTTTTCAGAAATCTACAAATCCCTGATGCCGCAGGCCCTCACACATGGAGGCCCTACTGGACTTATTCTTTCTGTGCCAGGCTGGGTGAAGAGGACAGGAGCTAGCAGCTTTGATCCGCTCTATCATCACACTTGCAGTTTCAGGGGACTTCCAGACCAATCAACCACTCACTCCATCCCCTTTGCCTACCCCAACGCTAGCCCCTCTGTCCCAGCATTGTCTGGATCTCTACTTTGTCTTTGCCTGTCTCTGAACTGTGGGCTCCTTGAAGGGAAGAAGAAAGGTATTTTCTTCTTTCCTGTGTCCTCAGAGCTATCATATGTTTCCAAGAAGGGGATGGGGAAGTTTGGCCTCAGGTGTGAGGAGTAGTTGCCTGGGTCATTGGCTCACAGTGGGGGTGTTTCTGGGGTCCATGCAGTTACTCAGATGGTGCTCACCTTGCTGGGCTCTGTCCTACTCTCTCCTTCTTCTAAAGCATGCTTCTGGGGTGTGACAGGTACACTCAGAGGGATAGCCATCAAAGTGCATTCCTAGCTTATCCTTCCTTCCATCGAACTGCCTGCTGAGTGGTTTGCCCCAGTAAGAATTCGCCAAGTTCTTGTCTTAATTCTATTCTATTACACCTCATAAAGGTTGTAGCCCAAACGACTCTGAGTTTCAGGACCACAAAGCATCAGTATAGGAGGAAGCCTTGGAGAGTGTGTGGTCTGTCTGAAAAAAAATAAGTGGATAAAAAATGGGATGGTGCCTCCTCAAACATGAGTGTCTTTGTCAATGATCCCACTAGCCTTCTGGGCCACAGCCAACATGGAGGGCTAAGGTGGGCATGGTTCTAGTGCAAGTCCCTGAACAGGTACACGCCATCTGTCAGCAGGCATCTGCAGATGTTCAGATTTGGGCAGCCTGGCAGAAGATTTTGGGGTGCAGGCGATGGTTGGATTTTTCAGATTAAGCTTTGAGGTTTAACTACCCATAAATGACTTCAAGGTCTATTGCATGCCACCATTTGTAAATTGGCTGAAGTGGAATGTGAATTGTTGGTGTTTGAGGCTCATAAAAGGGAATGAGATTTGGCCTGGGAAGGGTCTTGTCCATTGACCAGTATCTCATCCCAATTTGCCCTCAAGTGTTCAAACTCATGAATGATAACCAAGAAAGCCAACTACTGGGGTTGTGGGTAGCAGTGTGGAGGAAGAGGCCATGGAGAATAAGAAAGTGAAGATTTTAAGCCAGAAAATAGAAACTTGAGGTAACTTAAGCTTTTCTTTTTTCTTTTTTTTTTTTTGAGATGGAGTCTCACTCTGTCATCCAGGCTGGAGTGTAGTGGGGCAGTCTCAGCTCACAGCAGCCTCCATCTCCCAGGTTCAAGCAAATTCTCCTGCCTCAGCTTCCTGAGTAGCTGAGATTACAGGTGCACAACACAACCCTGACTAATTTTTGTATTTTTAGTAGAGATGGGGTTTCACCATGTTGGCCAGGCTGGTCTTGAACTCCTGAACTCAGGTAATCCACCTGCCTTGGCCTCCCAAGGTGCTGGGATTACAGGTGTGAGCCACTGTGATTGGTCATAATTTTCAGGTATATATATATCTGAAATAAAAAATATATATATATATATTTATTTTACCATATGAGATAAGTTGTGTTTTATACTATGTCTTAGTCCATTTTCTGCTGCTATGACAGAATACCACAGACTGGGTAATTTATAAAGAAAATAAATTTATTCATTACAGTTCAGGAGACTGGGAAGGCCAAGGTTGAAGGGTTGGCATCTTGCAAGGGCCTTCTTGCTGTGTCATCTCATGGTAGAAGGCAGAAGGGCACAAAAGCCCAGGAGAGCAAAAGAGAGCTGAACTCACTTTTATAACAACCCATGCTTGTAATAATGAACCCTTTCTCATGATAATAACATTAATCCACTCATAAGGGTGAAGGCCTCCTGAATTAATCACCTCTTAATTATCCCACCTTTTAACACTGTCATGATGGCATTTAAATTTCAATGAGAGTTTTGGGAGGGACTTTCAAACCACACCATGCTGGTATTAGTAAATTTGGAGATTCACAAAATCTTTGGGATATATTCTTTGGAAATGTTATAGTAAACCTAACGCAATAGCAAAAATCTAGAAACAACTGAAATATTCCTCAGTAAAAGTGGTTATACAATAGGATCAATACATAATGTTTATATTAACAATTAAGCATGATATTACTGATATGTACTAAATATATTATGGTACTTTCATACTATAGAATGTATTACAGTTGTTAAAAAAATTTAAGTGATGGTTTAATAAATGAAAAAAGCAAGGTGCAGAGAAGAATGTGTTAGTATGAATCCAAATCCATTTATGAATTTCTTTTAAAAGCTTATGCACATTTATCTCAGGAGAGGCTCCATTTTTTTATTCTGGGAAGATACACAGGAATCTGTTGATGAGGGCTACCTGCAGAATCTGCACATCAACTCTCTGAGCCTCCGTTTTCTCACTTGTATAGTTGGCTTTGTAATCTCATATTCAGGATGTTTGTTAAACTCCAAAGGGACACCTCCTGGGCATAGCCAGCCATAGAGCCTAATAGAAACAGCAGCTATTGGTGTGTGCTCGAGGCAACGTGATGGGGGGACGTTCCATGACCTCTGCAGTCAGGCAGATTAGGGATTGCTACCCTCTACTTGTATGGATCAGAGGGGAGCTGTCTCTTGCTTCTGAGCTTCAGTTTTTTGTACAAATTCTTAAATGTAAAGATCCTAACGTAGCCCCTGGAATAGACCATGTGTTAGTTCTGCTTCTGCACAGCTGTGGAAGTCACACTCTGTAGGACTTCCTGACAACTGACTGTGGGCAAAAGGGTGCTTCCTATGAACCCTCCTGGGGCTCTGCTGAGCCTGGAGGCCCCCCTCCTGACTGGCAACGGAGAGAGGCCTGCTCTGGGAAGTGTTCCCACCCATCAGGCTCCTCACACTTCACTGGCTAGTGGATAGCCTTCCGGAAGCAGGCCTAAACACCCAAAATCAATTTGCTAAAAGCCAACTTGCCAAACGATCAATTCACTGAATGACTAATTTGCCATAGGACTAAGGATTTGTTTTCTAAATTTCAGTTTCCCTGTGGCTTTGCACAGAAGTTCTGGTTACAGAATTTTGCATGAGCGTCAAAGTTTAGATGCTGAGCCCAACTCCAGCACTCAATATTTTATATAGAAAGGATAGACTTGCCCCATCTCTCAGCCTCTGCCCCTGAATCTGCCTCTTCTCTGCTTTTTAAGTAAGTCTTTCTTTCAGATGCAGTTTCTATCTTCTCAAAAGTTGTTTTTTTCCAACCTGGCCCTATGTTTTCTTATGAACAGACATCAGCGATGATAGTAGATTTTTTATGGAGTAGGGGCCCAGAACTTAGCCCTAAGGAGGTTCAATACCATGCACTGGGGTAATTAGTGGAATAAAAGAAAGGGACATTTCTTGCAAATGTGAGTTTGTGATCTACGACTTATATCTACTTATTGTTATTATTTATCATTTTAATTTAAGTTGTAATAGACATTGAAATAGCATTTCAAGGTGAAGAGATCTATTTATTTGTTTATTAGATTTTAGATTCTGAAGCTTAGTTTAGAAGCATCTTATAGCCAGCACATAAGTGGATAAAATGTGTAGTCACTCCAAACCAGTAGTTTAAGATCTTGAGTTATTTTAACCCTTGATTTCCCTACATTTCTTATTTATTTCTATCTCCATGTCTATCTACCTAACCTTATGCCTATACCTATCTATGAACAGGCAATTCAGAAAAGCAGACTGATCCCAAATGTTTTCATATGCTTTGGAATGTGTGGTACTTTTTTAATTTCTAGATTTTCCCTCTTAGTAGTCTTCACTTACATCTGCACCCATTTCATATACTTGTACCTAGTAAACGTTAATTAGTTTTCTTATTAACTTTTTCATCAGACCACCATGGTCTCTTGAACAGAAAACTGTGCGGTTGACCTCTGGGCAAGTTAACTAATTTCACTGAGACTCAATGTCTTCATCTGCAAAGTGGGTGCAAAGTGGCCCATTCCTCGGGGGTCTCAGTTTTCTCATCTGTTGCATGGGATAATAATCTTGTCCCTGGACTGCTACTCTACCAGGAAGGTTGTGAAGGGGTTTATGATAAGATAGAGGTTGGAATGTTATGGGTTGAATGTTTATGTCCCCTCAAAATTCATATGTTGAAGCCCTAAACCCCAGTGTGACTGTAATTGGAGATGGGGCCTTTAAGGGAATAATTAACATTGAATAAAGCCATAAGGGTCGGGCCCTGAACTGATGGAACTGGTGCCTTTGTAAGTAGCAATCTCTCCCTCTATCCGTGTGTGCTTGTGGCAAGGAGAGGCCGTGTGAGAACATAGTGAGGAGGCAGCCGTATACAGGCCAGGAAAAGGCACCTCCCCAGAAACGGAATCCACTGGAACCTTGATTTTGGACTTCCAGCTTTCAGAATTGGGAAAAAACAAATTTCTGTTGTTTCAGCTGCCCAGTATTCTGCAGTATTTTGTTATGGTAGCCCCAGCAGACTAAAACAGAATGCCTGATTCCTGAAATCACGCCATCATTCTAGGGGTGTCTGTCTTGGAGCCTGGACTGGGAGTCCTGGGCCTGAAAGCCTGAGAGATGGCAGTGTGGGAGAGGCCACTTTCTAGGCAATGGGGAGAGAAGGAACCATCTCTTGGGAACATCAGCTTCTTTTGGGACGCTCCGCTCTGGGCTGCCTGTCCCTAGCCTCCATGGGCCAGGCTGACTGTGGACCCATCTCTCAGAGTAGCAAGGATCCTAAGCTCTGAATACTCAACGTCATCACTAGATTCCTGTTTAAAAAGTCTATTGAGCGGAAATATATGGAGTTGTGCTTTCTTAAGAAAAATCCAACATTTCTTCTAATGTTTGGTGAGGGAGCTGCTGAATGTGTCCTAGCACCTTGTGAACCCTGTGTCCTTGCCCCTCCATGTTCTGGAAGTCCTGGCTTTGCAAAGCCAAACAGGGGTCTTTGATAGCCAATCACTCTTAGCTCAGATTCGCATGAAAGAACCTGGTTTTGCCCAATGCCACACCTCCAGCCTCTCCTCCACAATCCTCTGGAATGTAGAGCTCCAGCTCTGCCAAGACCCTCCCACACCAGAGCAGGCAGCATCCTCTGACCTGGCTCTATCAGCCCTCCCTCCCCTTCCCCCTGGTTCCCTCTTCCCTAGAGCACAGGAACGCAGCGCCAAGGCTGGGGTTGTGGCACATCTTTCTCTCTCCTATTCCACAGTCTACCTTCCCTTCCTTCTCTCTTTCCAGCCCCCATATGAGAGCTAGTGAGCCAATGTATGGAAAAGCAATGCGGGTGGAGAAGTGAGAGAGGCTGGTGGGTCTGGGATAGTCAGGGAGGCCTTCCTGGAGGAGGAGACCCCAGGCTAGGCTTTAAAGGATGGATAGGTTTGGAAGCACAGAGAGGGAAGGACAAACTCTAGAACTCAGAGTTTAAGGATGGGTGTGGGGACCCTGGCTTAAGACTGTGGCATAGGGTGGAGGCCAGGGGTGTGCATGTGGAGCTGGGAGGGGACTGGCTAAGAGAAGTCTGGAAAGCCAAAGCCCAGATATTTTCTTTGATGCAGAACCCGGTGGTCCCTGGCTGCAACCGCTGTAGCTAAATAAAGCAGTCACTGTGATTTTGAAACCACAGTGGGCTTGTTCCACTGTGATGGCAACTAATTACGGATTGTAATTTGTCTAAACACAGGGAGGTGTTTTGACCTGAATAGTAATAATGTGACAGGCTTCCTTTGGTGTCTTCCTGCTGCTGGTCCACTAGCCAGGGGCACGTCTGCATGCCCGCCCTGCTGTGGATGCCCGGCCAGGACAAGGGGAAGCAGGGGCGATGTCCACCCTGGCACAGGGAATGGTCTTCTCTGGATCTTCAAGAGGCAGGCCCTGGCGGTGGTCAGAGCCACAGAGGGACTTGGGGTCCAATCCTTGTCTGTAAACTTGGGACCAACTGTACCGGGTTGTCATGGAGATGAAACAATGTGGAGGGGAAGGCACCTGCGCGTGGTAGGTGCTGGATGCATGGGAGCTGTGACAACTGTCATTAGCACAGCTAAGGTGACTTCATTTTACAGTGAGGAAACTGAGCCCCAAGGGGACCCTTGGCTGAAGTTCCGTAGTCACAGGCTTTGGGGCTTTCTGAGGACTCCCCTCAGCGTCCTCTCATCCATGCAGCTTCCAAACAGTATGAGTTTCCTCTCTCCATCTTGTCTGTAAGCCCTAAGAGAATGAGGCTGTGGCATAAAGTGCCGTGCCCTCTCCCTGCCCCAGCATAGCCTAGCAGAGGTCCTAATAAATATTTCACAGTCACTCAGAATCATCATGTGGACAAGTCACTTTATCTCCCTGAGCCTCGGCTTCCTCATTTGTGAAATGGGAATAATGACTGCCTATCTGATGGAGCAGTTGTGAAAATGAACATGCAGAATGTGCTTGGTAAGTGGTGGTTCCCCCCATTCCCCCACCACCATTGCAGTCCAACAATGCGGCTTCATCAAGAATCAAATCCAAGGAGAGGCCTTCAGGGATGTGTGCAACCATTTCCTCTGTGCCTGCAGGGAGAATGCTGGCCCAGCAGTGGAATATCCCAGGTGGATTCAAGGCCATGTCTGACCCTGATGATGTCCAGATATGAACTCTGAACCCTCCATGGGGGCTTGGTTTCTGTGCCTGATCCAGTTCTCTCTTTACAGCTTCCAAACAGTATGAGTTTCCTCTCTCCATCTTGTCTGTAAGCCCTAAGAGAATGGGGCTGTGGCATAAAGTGCCGTGCCCTCTCCCTGCCCCATAATAGCCTAGCAGAGGTCCTAATAAATATTTCACAGGATCTGAGTGCAGAGTGCTCACTTTACAGCTGGAGAAGCTCTGAAAGGAACATGATGTTCCTGCAGAGCCCGGACTTATAGCCAGGTCTCCTGACCCACTCCACAGCTCTTTCTGCTGCCCTGTTGAGCTCACATCAGAGTTGTCCTCTGCCTAGAATTCTTCCCAACCCCTCTGCTTGTCTGGATCTCATGTAGCCTCTGGGCCTCAGCTGAGCTCTTACAGCCATGACTCCCAACCTTGACTTGGTTGAATCAATCCCCCTATGCTTCATTCTTACATCATCTGGGGCAGAGATTTCTGGTTCCTTCCTGACATCCATGATTACCTTCTTCTTTTGTAATAACTCCTGATTTAACGAGGAAGAAACATGTACAGTTAAAAGACCACATTTCACAGCCTTCCTGGCAGCTAGGACGTTGCTGAGTAAGCCTTCCAGGAAATTGAGAAGGAGTCAACTCCTTTTTTTCTCTTTGCATTTTGTTCTTTAGACCTTTCCTTCATTTTACCCAGAACACAAATGTGATGGCTGGAGCTACAGCACCTATTTTGGGCTTGTGTGCTAAGGATATGATTGCAGAAAGATAGGAAACCCTGAGGACTTTGTGGGAGCCATCGTTCCCACCCTGGGCTGCCCATTTCTAGACTTGTTTTATGGAAGAGATAAAGCCTTCATTTGTTTTCATCACTATAGTGGATTTCTGTTACTGGCAACCAAACCCAATCCCAGTTGATAGGGGACTCCTTGTAGTTCTGTCATAGTTCATGATAATTATGGTCAGAATCATTTAATGCCTCCCTCACTAAACTGTGTGCTCCGTGAGAGCAGGGACCCCATCTGCCTTGTTTACTTCTGTATCCCCAGCAACCAAAACAGTGCCTGCCACTGTTAGTGCCAGTAAATGCTTAGTAAATCTTTTGGGGTGATTATATCCCAGTGAATACTTGGTGGTCTAGCAGAAGTCCTAAGGGATCATTTGAGGAAAAAGTGGCTCTGATAGTGGCCTTCATACTAATTGTGACAGGCTGCCCCAGCTGCTAGCAACTACCTTTCCTTTCCTGGTAAGTTGGCTCCTCGATATCATCATTTAAAAATCAAATTTTTGATGGAGTGTGGTGGCTCATGCCTATAATCCCAACACTTTGGGAAGCCGAGGTGGGAGGATCACTTGAGGCCGGGAGTTTGAGACCAGCCTAGGCAACATAGTGAGACCTTGTCTCTTATTAAAAAAAAATCAGCTGGGCATGGTGGCATGTGCCTATAGTCCCAGCTACTTGGGAGGCTGAGGTGGCAGGATTGTTTGAACCCAGGAGTTGGAAGCTATCGTGAGCTGTGATTGTGCCACTGCCCTCCAATCTGGGCAACAGAGAGAGAGACCCTATCATACACAAAAAATAAAATAAAATAAAAATAAAATTTAAAAAACAGAATTTTAATTTTTTCCAATATGAAAGTCTCTTTCAGGATATTCTTTTATAACCTCACTACCTATAATAGCTGCTTAAAAATACACAAAGAACAAGTAGAACACACAGGAAAACCAACTTTTTTCTTTTCACTCTCAGTTCTATGCAGTTGCTTTTTTCACATAGGCCCACATAAAAACTTGCATCAACCCCCACTCTAATATCATACTAGAATTTTCCCACTTATTAAAAAGTTGGACTGAGTGATAATTTTTAGTGGAGAGACTGCAACTTGTTTCCCATCGAGGAGAATTACTTGGCCTGTTCCCTCTTCATTTTGTACTTTTTGTTTGAACGATGCTATCATGAACCTCTCTTTGTGCCCAAAGCTTTTTCTGTACTTAGGATTATTTTCTTAGATAGATTCTCAAAGTGGAATTATTTGATCAAGGGAGGTATACATGTTCCAGTGTCATTTTGCAAAACAGGAATCAATGCACAATTAAGGGAATCTTAAGGGAGAGACCCACTCATTTTTTCTTTTTCTTTGGGCTCAGTTTCCCTAGCTGTAAAACTGAGCAGGTCCAAACATAGAGAGCTCTAGCTTCCCTTACAGGTTCGAAGTTCTGCTGATGGTTCAGGAATGAGGCTTCTGAGATCTTTCAGGGCACAAAGTCGTAAGACGACCTGGGTTTGTCAGCCATTGCCTCTGGTTCACCCTCTTAAAAGCTGACCTTCACCATGGGGAAGTGGGTCATTGGAGCCTCCAAGCTGTCTTCCTGTGTTTTCCTCACAATAATACTCCTTCCCCAGCTGCCAGCAAGCTTATGCTCTAGTGCAACCCTAACCCTTCTAGAGAGGGTGGAAAGCTTCATATCCTAGAGTCTGAGGGATGTGAAGTTGGGGATTCACCTTTGAAAGCAGTAGCAAGAAGAGGGCAATGCTTAACCCAAAGGGACACCTTGAAACTAGAACATCAGACCCCACTGCAGGCCACTGAGGGACCTCAGCCCACATGGCACGTAAACTACTCGTGCACAGCTGGAGATACCATTTATGCTCTGTGGCGAGGCTTCTCGGCCTTCTCCTCCGTAAGATCATATTACTGCACTTATTTTCATCTCAGTGACCTGCCAGACTGTGAGCTCCTTGAGGACAGTGATTCCTCTGATGTGTCTGCATCTGAGACACAGCAGGTGCTCACTACTTATTTTAAGTGAGCAAGAGAAGGGAGATGCCCCGATGTGATGGGAAGAATTCATGGCGAGATGGGGAGGAGAGCCAGAGCTCAGACAGGAAAGAGTGGGAGGGAACAGCTGACGGTGGGAAAAGTCCTGGGATGCTCCTTTCTCTGATTCAAGACAACATAAACTGAACCAACTCCCAGTCCCTGCAGCCTGGCCCTTCTTGTGTGTGCAGCTTGTAGGCCCTGAGGTGGATGTTTAGGGAATGAGTCCTCAAAGCATATACGTTGGCAAGGGTGGCAGAGCGCTGTGGGAGAAGGAGAAGCATGTGCAGAAAGAGGAGGCCAGGGGACCTTATGGCTCCTTTGTCCATCCACAAAGCATTAGTTTATTTATTCACTCATTTTTTCATCCAATATTTTTTAGCATCTGCTATGTATTATGTTCTGTGTTAGGTGCTGGGTGTTCAAGGAGGTAAATGAGAGCTGTGGTCCCTGCAAAGGCCAAGAGCACTCTGAGGAAACATCAGTACCTGGGGAGGCAGTGTGTGGTACCCAGCGGAGTGTGTGATGGGTGATGGGCATGGGCGGAACACTCACACAGAAGTGGCAGCGTGCCACAGGGGTGGCTGCAGGGGTGGCCATGCCTGGGGAAACGCGACTGCCTGGTTTGTCAGTGGGCCCTGTAGGACAGCAGTGAGGCACCTCCCAGGCAGCTCTGCAAGTGGCACTCCAAAGGAGAGCTGGAGAATAGAGGAGGGAAAAATGGGAATTCCTTGAGTCATAATTGGGTAGAGCTTTAGAAGGGGTTGAAGGTCATAAGTGGGAAACATGAGCCTAGAAAATATTGCTTACACATGAAAAAATGGCAGGCAGGATCAAACAGCAAATTGCAACCTGACATGCATGCTAGGGTCATGTCTGTGAAAATTCTACCTTTGGGAGGTAATGTGCCAAAAGAAAAAAAAAAAGAGACAAGAGAGAAGACTGTTGATTGAATGATGGGGGTAAGCTTATGGGTGATTTGTTAGATGGTTTTAAATGTTTAATCTTATTATGTAGTAGCTATAATCTTATCATTACAGTAGTAATACTAAAATTGAGGAGTAGAACAATGATAGAGTTTGGGGGGATGAGAGATGTTTTCTTGAGATTCATTTCACATAGTAAAAGAAAACCCAATAAAAGTAAGATGGAATGAATCCCCTCTACATCTTCTTCTGTGACTGGGTCAGGCAGCTGTGAGCAGCTAAGAGAAGCCCTGATCTTACAGGTGATTCAGCTCCACTTCCACTTCTTTTTGGGACTCACTGGGGATTATTTGTTTCTCTTAATGGGCAACAATTAGCTAATACCCCACCACTACAAGCAAAGTAAAAACTGGGCCTGTGTTAACAGTTCTCTTTTTGATGGGGTCATTGGTGTAACAGATAACTTCTAGCTGCATTAGGACTGGTAGCACATCAACATTGCCTCTCTGTTGTGAAAGGAAAATAGAAACGGCTAAGTCAACCATATATAAAGGCTTATATTTGCTCTTCAAAAGTTTTTTTTTTTTTTCAACATATCTTTGCTGGGGTTGGGCCATAGCTTGATGGGTATTTGTTGAATGACTAATTATTGACTTATAGGCTAACAGCCTCCTTTGAAGTAGGCTGAGCAAACAAACCATTAAGTGGAACATGGTGTCTAGGTTACACAGCTCACTCATCTGCTAATCACTGGGGCACACTGCTGGTTATTATTACCTGAGACCCTGAAAGGAAGCACTAAAGAAATGAAGACAGAGGAATACCAGGAGAGAAAGGAGGTCCAGTTAGACCTAAAGGTGGGCAAGAAGAAGAAGAAGAGGTGAGATCCTCAGTATTGAACAAGTACAGTGCAGCACATAGGTGATGTCTTAATAGGGGTCTTGGTCAATAATTGTTTGGTTGCAAGAAATAGAAGTATTATAAATTTAACTCTCAGTAATAACAATGATTTCGTTGGAAGGCTATGAGGAATCTCACCGACTTCAAGGGCAGGGATGACAACCAGACCCGTGAGAGGCTCAGAGACTTTCCTAGCTTCTTGCCTGTGTTTCTCTGGGTGTTTTTTTTTTTTTTTTTTTCATCTCAGCTTATCTCAGTAGCTTTGTTTCATTCTTTTCTCTGCAGACTGGCTTTCTCTGTTTTGCCTTTTCTTTTTCTCCTTCTTTCTTTCCTTCCTTCTCTCTCTCTTTCTTTCTTTTTTTTTTTTTTTTTTTTTTTTTTTGACAGAGTTTTGCTCTTGTTGCCCAGGCTGGAGTGCAATGGCACAATCTTGGCTCAGCGCAACCTCTGTCTCGTGGGTTCCAAGCGATTCTCCTGCCTCAGCCTCCGGAGTAGCTGGGATTACAGGCATGCACTACCATGCCCGGCTAATTTTGTATTTTTGGTAGAGACGGAGTTTCTCCATGCTGGTAAGGCTGGTCTCGAACTCCCGACCTCAGGTGATCCACCCGTTTGGGCCTCCCAAAGTGCTGGGACTGCAGGCATGAGCCACCACACCCGGCTGTTCTGCCTTTTCTAGGTTTTAACTTGTTCACTTAAACTTGGACATGATCTCTCAGGTTATGGGCCCAATACCAAGAATCTAAGTCCAGAGACCCAGGAGACAGAATCTGATTGGTCAATGGCTAGCCAATGGGGTGCCTCCCCTCAGTCAGGAGTCCATTGCTGTTCCAACAGCTGCAGCCAGGGAGAGGTACGTGAATGTGGATAAACATGGTGGCAGGGACAGTTCCTGTGGGTGGTCAGAAAAGGAGGCACTGACTGAGCAGGCAGCACATTGGCTAACATGTCTGCTGTGGGGAAAACTGGAATGACTTGGCTGTTGGATAAAATACTCAACCACATGTAGAAAATGCCCACCATGTATTTTTAAAAATGAATAGCTTCTGAAGGTTGGAGTCCAGGCTGCCATAAGGGTCTACATAACACTTGATTTCCAAGGAGTTTCCCCCTCGTTTTCCAAGTCTTTGGAGAGAGCAGTTAGTAGAAAATGTTAATGGCCAATTTTAGCAAATGACCATTTTGGTACTCCCAGGCCACTAGGGCTGGCTAGAGCTAATTTTTAGAATGCCCCCTTGATGATCCTGGCAACTTGTTTCATATTGACCTGGAGACACGGCATGGGCCCAGATCCAAATGTACTGCTAAGCCTACATTTGCTGTACTTGTGGGCAAGGAAAAGCCACCCCAATTACTCCATGTGGATTTCTCGTCTCAGAATATTCCATGGCTTGTCTGGTCTCACTGCAGAACTGCGGGGTGTGGTTGGGCAGGTTGCACACGACTGTGCTCATGACTCCCCTTAGACTCACACGGGAGCCTTGATTCCACGCTGGTTGCACGGTTTCATTTCTGTGCCTCCAGGTTCTCCCTCTGGACTGTGAGCTCTGGGATGCAAGAGATGCGACTTCCTCTTCTATTGCTTGCCCAAGGGGCTTGTGTAGGCCTGGCCACTCGTTTCTCTCCCCGTTCCTTCTGTCCCTCCGAGAAGACACTCAGACCCTGCCACCCATCCTCACACCGGATGTGAATGGAGGTCACTGCAGTCCCTCTCCTGGGCTACGCTTTAGGGCCCACTCTCATGGTGGCAGAGTCAATGTTGGCATCTGTTAAAGGGACCTCAGCCCAGTGGGCGGGGAGAGTGCTTTCCTGCAGAGCGGGTTGTGCTCAGTTGTGAACTCACAGCCAGCGCTGGTGAGACAAGCTCCAAGGCAGAGGCTAGTTTTCTCGGTCTTCCTCATGAACACGTGGTGGCTGCATTAGCTTATCCACAGGGTCCTCCTACTCTAAGCTTCTGGTCCCAATCAGTAAGCGACTGGCCCCTACTAGACCCCCACCTACTGGGTATTTGACTGATGGATGGAGTCACCATCTGTCTGCTTGGGCACCTGGAGCCCCTGAGCTCCAGTCCCTGCAAGCCTTTCCCTGCAGAGCCCAACCGCAGGGTTTGGCTGATAGCCTGGAACTGCCTCACCATCATTTTTCACTGGCCCCACCCCAAAGGACAGCCTCCCCAAGTAACCTTTTTCAATTGCTCCAACTTCCCTGGAGTGTTGACTTAGCCAGAGAGCACGCTCCCTCTCTAACCTCGGTGTGTTTGCTCAGCGGAGGAGCGGGCATTAGGTCCGCTTGACTCCATGAGCACACAGGTTCCTCTGTCTTTACAGGAGCGTCCCACGGAGGGGGTGCGGCGGGGGGCAGGGGAGACTGAGGAGGGAGGCGCAGCTTCCTGTTCTGCTGCCGGTTATCACAGGCTGTTCTAATGCTGCTCAAACAATATTGAGAATAACCCCGGCTCAATAGCACCAGTGTTAGGCTGCAAAGTCAATATTGGCTGAGCAAACACAGCAAATAAGGAGTTGCTATTTGCGTAGCTATGAGTACTTGTGTGCTCCGGCTGCCTCGACAGGGCCCTTGGAAATGAATGGGAAGGAGGAGGGTGTCTGGAGGTGGAGTGGGTTCCTGAGAGGGGATAGGCCAGGGTTTCTCACCTTGGCATTGTTAACAATTGGGGCCGGATGGTTCTTTGTTGTGGGGGAATATCCTCTGCGTTGTAGGATGTTTAGCAGCAGCCCTGGCCTCTGCCCTCTAGATGCCAGTAGCACCCGCTCCTGATTGTCCAGAGAAACCAAAATGTCTCTTGACATTGCCACATGTCCCCTGGGAAAGGACAGAGGGCAAAACCTCCCCCTGCTGAGACACACTAGGCTAGGTGCAGGACAAGGCTGAGGAGCAGACGGGCTAGAAAAGAGAGAAGGGCTGGGAGGGGCTCACTATGCCTCTTTGACCCTCCTGCTTTCCAGCTGGGGCTCTCCCCAGTCTCTTGTGAGTGCCAAGAAAAGCCAGCCTTTTTAAGAACTAGATGCAATGTACAAGTGCCTCTTCGATAGAAGAGCCTTTTCAGCTGCTGGCTGGATGTCCGTGGCCACCTGCTTACCCTTGCCCTGTCTTGGAACTCACTCCTGTTCTCCACCCCGAGAAAGAGAGAGGTGGTGAGATGCTCAGATAATTTATGTCTGTCTCTCTCTTGTAGAATTTCTGGCATGTTTTGCCCTGGCCGGTGACCTTCTCAGTCAGACATGCCTATTTATAACAATCTGTCCCTGGCTCTACTTCCTCCCCTTTGCCACAAGGGATTGGCTCGTGCATTCTTGAATGCTGCAAGTGGCCAAGGCTGGGCCTGTGGGAGGGCATGGGGCAGGGAGGGGAGCCAGGCACGCTGGCCAGAGGGCCTCCCTGGGGACAGGCTGCACCAGCTCAGTTCTCCTTCAGGCTCTGCAGGGTCACATCCAGGTTCACCTTTGGTCCGCTACTGGGAGGGCGATAGAGAGAGCGCTTATAGCCTGGTGAAGGCCAGGGCTGCCTCAGGGGCTGTCTGTGCCATAGTCACCAGTCCTCATTGCTGGGCCATAGCTGGAGCAGAAAGACGCCCAGAGAGGCTGTGCTGAGGGGCTCCGAACACATCTTGATGCCTGGAGACTTCTCCTCCAGGCCGGGCTGCCACGGCTCCCAGGTTGGGGTGGATTAGGAATGAAAAGAATGACACTGACCATAAATGAGCATTAGACACTGCTCCTTTTTGAATGTTGATCCTTTTGGTTGTGGTGGGAGTGAAGGGAAGCCCGTACTTGGAGCAGAAGGGGAGCCCGTACTTAGGCAGCTGTGATGATGTGGGGGTCATGATTGCCATACCATTGGCCTTGGCTTCAGAAAGTGGCATCTTGGGAGGAAGGAAAACTCCTGGATCTCCAGACGTTGAGAAGGAAAGAGCAGGCAGGCAGAAGAGAACCGGGCAGCCTAGGCGTGAAGCAGCTGCAGGAAGGTGGACAGCTGTGATTTTTTTTTCCTTTTTTTCAAAGTTAGCACACACCTTATGCACCACTCTATTTGGCCTCTCTCCTTCCCTCCTTCCTTTGACAGAGGAGGAGAAGACATTTGAGAAACCTACCGCATGCGACTCCTTCCTAAAGGTACTTGCACAAGAATGTTTCACAGAGCAATGGAAGCCTTTCAAAACTTGTCAGAACCATTGCCTGATTTCTTTAGAGACTTGGCAGGGGGCAGGTTGGCATGATTAGACTCAAGCCCCAAAGATGGAAGCATTCCTGAAGCAGTCATCCTGATTGTGGGGCCACCTGGGGAAACAGGGATCCCTCCCTCCAAAGCTGATTCTGCATTTGGAGTGTCGGGGAGGGCCTCGGGGTCTGGCCCACCCCAGCTGGAGCCCCCCTGCTGTTGCCTTATCCTGGTGGCCCGCTTCCCAGCTCCCTGCAGGTGTATTTTCCTTTCTGCTTGGAAGATGGGTGATGTGGGCTGTGGTTGTGGAGAAAGAAGCCTCGGTGTTAGCAATGGGGATGGAGAGGTCCATCAGCTGGCTTCGGTCTCACCTCTCTGGCATCCTGGGATCTTGTGTCAGACTTCATTTGAAGAGTGGCTTCTGCTCTTAAAAAAAGAAAAGTTGAAGCTATAGTAGAAAACAGCGTGACTTTCAAGCCAGGGGTAACTGAGTTCCCACCCCTGTTCTTTCACTTACTGGACACATTCACAAGAGTGGATGTCACCCTTCTGAGTGTCACTTGTCCCACCCGCAACATGGGAACAGTAACATTCAGCCTCTAGGGCTGAAGCAAGGATAAAATGAGACTGCATGTGTGTGTGGTGACAGTGCCATGCTCAATGCCATAGACACTTGGGAAATGGAAGCCCTTGATTCCTTTGCCTTCCCCTCTAGATCCTGCTCAGCTTCCCAGGCCAGCCCAGGTTGAGGCGCTGCCAGGTGGTCCCTTGGGACCTTGCTTCTGAAGCCCCCCAGTGATCTCTTCTCTCTTTGAGAGAAGGAGAGTGATAGAAAGAACACCTGCAGTGGACTCAAAAGACCTGGCTTTAAATGCCGACTCAGCAACTTAGTAGCTGTAAGGCATCAGGCCAGTGACCTAACCTCTCTGAACTTTGGTTTTCTCATCTGGATAATGGGCCTGATGATACTTTCCTCCGAGGTGCCAGTAAGTCAGGAGAAGGCAGTGCTTCAGAAATGTGGGTCTAGTTATGAAGCCCCCTTTGGGGTTTGTTTAAAGTGCAGGTTGCTTATGTTCACTACTCGAAGCTTCTGATGCAGTTGGTCTGGGGTGGAGCCCAGGAATCTGCTTTATAAATAAGCCAGCAGGTGGCTGGGATGCAGGTGGCCCACCAAGAAAAAATATAGAGTGTGTGATCCCAGTGTCCTGGGTGCTCTCCAGACCGTGTCTGCAGGGGAGGCCCCCACATAGCACAAACACACCCTATCTGTCTCTCCAGCAGCTCAAGCAGGACCACCAGGAAAGTCTTCTCAATTGCCTCTGAGATTCCCCCCAAATGCCACCTCATGCTGCAGTCGCCACATGGGCCTGTCCAGTTCTCGCTATGTTAACATAGGCGAGAACATGGACAGTTAATCCATGAGGTGAGTTCAGAAATCCAGCAGTCTGAAGGTGTAAAGTGGAGGGAGATGAAGAGAGAGGGGTGGGCAGGGAGCAAGTCCTGAAATCTGAGCTGAGGATAGGTCTGGACTTTTCCTCCATGATCAGGAGCCATCAAAGGTGTGAAGCAGGAGAAAGACCACTTTGGTGGACCTATGGGGGATGCACCAGAGGAGGCAAGGCTGGAATCAGGACCCCCTTATGAGGAGGTTGTAGTGGATGGGGATAGAAGCCAGGTAGGGCTAATGAGAAGGGAGAAAGTGGATGGATTGTATCAGTTTCCTTTTTGCTGCTGCAACAAATTTTAAACTTAAAGCAACACAACTTAATTTTCTTACAATTCTGGAGGCCAGAAGTTCAAAATCAATCTACTGGGCTAAAGCCAATGTGTCAGTCTGGCTGGTTCCTTTGGGAGGCTCTAGGGTAGACGTTATTCCCAGATTGCCTTTTCCAGCTTCTAGAAGCCACCTGCATGTCTTGGCTCATGGCCCCTTTCTGTCATCCTCAATCCGCATTATTCCAGTCTCAGCTACCATCATCACATCACCGTCTATCTGACTCTGACCTTCCTGCATCCCTCTTATAAGGACTGTTGTGGATATTCAGGGCCCAGCTGGAAAATCTCATCTCAAGGTTCTTAATCACATTGGCAAATTTCTCTTTGCCATGTGAGTTAACATTCACAGGTCCTAGGGGTTAGGACGTGGATATATTTGGAAGGCCATTATTTAGCCTAGCACCTGGATGCAAAGGACTTTGGGAACTGTAGCCAACACAATTTGGTAACTGTCTAGGGAGAATGGAGGTGATAATGGGAGAGAAAACCCCTGTGGATACTGGTTTGGGCAGCAAGTGAATGGTGGCGCTACCCACTGAAAGAAAGAAGGAGGAAGAACAGAGTTGGAAAGCAGGTATAGGGGGAGGTGTGGAATAACGTGCTCAGTTTTGAACATGTTGAATTTGAGATGTCCAGTAGGTCATCAGATACGTGGAATTCAGGGGAGAGGTCTGGGTGAGAAAGAAATCTGAGTCAGCCATGTGCAGCTGGTAATCGAAACTGGGGTGTGGGCAGCAGTAACTCAGGGAGCGTACAGAAAAGAAGTTTTTGAACTTTATGGTACATCAGAATAGCCTTGGCTTACAGTTGGCAGGTTTAGCAAATGAAAGTACAGGAGACCCTGTACAAGTTGAATTTCAGATAAACAACAAATACTTTTTTAGTATGTCTCACATATGGCACACACCTCGCTTGCCCTGCTTCTCATTGTTTATCTGAAATTCAGATTTAACTGGGCATCCTGCGCTTTGCCTGGTGACTCTACCTTGGGAGCACGTTAAAAGCAAGGCACCTTTGTGGGCTGCGTTCCCAGGGATTCTGGTTCTGTTGGTCTACGGGGAGGCTTTGGAATCTGTATTTTAACACGCTTCCTGGGAGATTCTCAGGCAGTTAGACCTGTGAGACACTGAAGGAGAGTGAGGAAGGAAGAGGGCTCAGGAGCAGACCCCAGGAACCTCAGCACTGAAGGGCAAGGGAAGGAAGGAGCCAGCACACTGGCCTGAGAAGGACCAGATGGAGCAGCAAGAGGAAAACCAGCCCTGGTGGCCTCTTGCAGGTGTTTTGAGGATGAGCATCAGTGCAGCAAGAAGCTGTAAGAGGCCATAAATTAAAATGTGGAGTCAGTGGTGACTGTGGCAGATTTGTGGAGACTCCACGGCATTCTTGTTCATTGGAGTTCTTCTCCAGTCTGGGCTGTACCCGGGACACGGTGATGGTGCCTGTATCTCTCTGCCTGTCTGCCTCTCTGCCTGAGGGCTTTCCCCAGCACAGCTTGGCTGCAGGCAGGCACGACCTGAAAATTCAGAAGTGTGAATGCCCCAGGACAACCCTCACCAGTGGGGCATGCAAGCTGGTGGACCACTGGCCCAGCCTCCCAGCTCCAAGAGCTCAGTCCACTCAGTTTCTCAGAGGGAGCTCAGAGGTATTGAGCCTTCATTGCCCACAGTGGTGTCCTGCTTATTAATCACACTTGGTTAGCTTCTCTCCCTTCCCTGTCTCACTCTGTTCCTGTCCCTCCAGTTCTCATTCTCTGGAATCACTTCTCAGTTATACTACACGCACCCAGGACCTTGTCTCAGGGTCTGCTTCTGGGAGGACCAAAACCAGGACCCTGGAGATGTCTGTTCCCATGGAGTCATGGGGATGAGCTGAGGGCAGCAGGCAGAGGGGTGGGAGGGGGGCAAAGGTCTCCGGAAGGAGCTGTGAGGCAGGGAAAGGCTGTCTTCAGTGAACCCCAGCCTGTGCTGGGTGCACCTCTCCTCCTTGGCAGCCTGCATACCCCGGTGTTTATCTCATGACCCTGGTTCCCTGAGGCCCCTCTGTAGAACCTCCTTCTAGGATCTCTGGACCCTGGTGGGCCATTTCACTGGGACTCTGCCCTCTTCAGCCGTGCTAGTGAGGGCATGTATCTATCCCCCTTCTCCTCCTTTGCAGCTGATGATGTTCTTCCATTTCAAAACGTGCCTTCAATGTCTTAGAGAAGGAAGGAGATGAAGCTTTCCTGAGCACTGCTTTGTATACAACTCTGCTATCTCATTTAATCCTCACAACACCATAGAGAGTGATTTTTCTCATCTTTCCAATGAGGACACTGGGGCTCAAAGGAGTTAAGTCACCTGCTAAGGTCACCCCACGCAGTAAGTTGTGGAGCTTGGACGCTGGTCTCTTGCCTTGCCAGGCTACCTACACATGACAGGTATTTGAGGATGACACCCACACTCAACCAAGCCCTTTCCCTGCCCAGGCCTGTGTTCACAGTTTCTTTAGATGACACTTCAAGGGGCATGGCTCCTGAACTCTCACCTCTTGGGTGACATTCTTGGTTTGCCTTCCCAGTGAAATATAGCACCCAGGGCTGGTAGCTTTCCAAAAGAGCCCTGTGCCAGTTACCTCTGCTGACCTGAACATTACACCTCCATCTCTGACCCCAGGATCGCATTAGCTTTTGAAACAGCCACAGTCCTTACATGGGCTCATATGAAGCTTTGGGGTTACCTAAAACCCCTGGGTCTTTTTCACATGGCCTGTTGCCAAGCCAGGATGCTCCTGGAGCAGTTAATCATTTTGATCCCAAATGCAGGCCTTGGCATTTGTTAGGACTGTGGTTTTCATGGTTTGGGCTAACATTACAACAAAAAGAAATGCAACAGGTATTGATTTCTCTATACAGCCATTGATTGGCCATCAATGAATTCATATTTGTGTGCCTCATATTTCCAAGTAGATTTTCAGTTCCTTGAGGGCAGAGGGCATGCTTTCCCTCCTCTGCATTGCCTACAGGGTCTGGCACAAAGGTCTGCAAACAGCAGGTATTCCACAAGCATTGCTATTGCCTGAGTGAGGAAAAAGACTCTCAATCCCTCAATCCTGCCCTCCTCAGCCTCAGCTTCAGCTCTTGTCAGCACCACTCTCCCTGACTGTACTACACAGAGCACCCCCATCTGGAATGCTTCCGTGGAGTGGCTTCTTACAGTATTGGTGGCAGGCAAGATGGTGGAGTGAAGGAAAGAGCACTGGCCCTGGAGCCGAGAGACCTGGGTCTGAATCAGCTCTCGCATGTGACTGTGTGCTGTTCCCTCATTTGTAAAATAGAGACAATGAAAACAGGTTAATGTATTGAATTCATACTGTAAAATGTGCTCCATGCTTTTTGCCCATAATCTCAACCCAGTGAATTAGGGATAATAAATATTTCCATTTTTTAGATGAAAAAATCTGAAATTCAGAATAGTTAATTTGTTTGCTCAAGGTCACAAAAGTAAAAAGTGCAGAGCTGGCATTTGAACCCATGCTGTCTGCTCCACCCTTAGCCATTGGGCATAATAAATATGTCACCTCATAGATTATTGCACAGGAGAATGGCAACTTGCTGATAAAGTGCCTGTTACCATGCCTGGCACATAGTAAGTACTCAGTAAGTGCTATCTCTCTCCCCAGCTGCCTCTCCACCTTTAATTTTTCCCTCTTCTCAGGGCAGAGCTAGGACGGAAAGGTGGAAGTAGAGGAGATTCACTTTCAATACAGTCAAGGGAGCAACTTTCTGACAGTTTTGAGTCCTCAGAGAGAGACCTCTGTTCTTGGAATAGGAGAGCAGAGCCTGGCTGGTCAGCTGTTGGTGGCGGAACCCCTGTCTTGGTCTGGAGGAGGGAGGAGTCATCATGCAGGGGTCAGCTGGAGGCCCGTGGGCCTTTGAGGAAAGAATTCCTTAGTTCGCAGGGCCATCCTGACCCCTCTCTCCCTTGTCTCTCACACATGATCTATCACCACGTGGCGTTGATCCCACCCCATCTGTCCTGGCATCCTTCTATCTGCTTCTCTCCAGGCCACCAGCAGCTCTCCTGTTGAGCCTGGCATTGGCCATCTAACTGATTGTGTGACCTCTCTTGATTGTTGATCCACACAGCACTCTATAGATCTTCCCAAAATACAGTGTGCTCATGCCTCGCCCCAGCCCAGGACCCTCAGAGCCTTTCCATCTGTAGGAAAAGGTGCTAAGAGACCTCTGAAGGTCTCTTAGCCAGTCACCCAGGCCTTCTCAGGGCCCCCAAAGCCTCTGACAGGCCTTTGTACGTGCCTTTCCCTCAGCCCGGGACCCCCTCCACCCTCTCTCTCTGCTAACTTTGTCTCCCCTTCCAAGTCTGTGCATTTCCTTTTCCTGGAAGCTGTCTTTGAACACCCCTTTTCCTCCATCCTCACCCCAGACGACAGAGTGAGTCTTATGTCATCAGAGCCCCCACCTCTAGGACCTAGATTTGAGCCATGCAGTTCAAGCTTTTCTTGAGTCCTCCAGGTGCCAAGAAGACTTGACCAGACCACGAGGATGCAGAGATAAATGAACCATGTTCCTAGGCCTGGAGGAGCTCTTCAGAATAGCATGGAGTGATGTGTTGGCTAAGTGAAGCTCAGGTGCTCTGGGGAAAACCACACAAGGAACACGGATAATCCAGACTGAGGGAGTCAGGGGGGCTTCCTGGTGGAACAAGTGCTTAAATAGAGCTTTAAGGTCTCAGTGGGGGATAGGACGTCAAGAAGGGAAAGAAAAGTTTGTGCTCAACTAGAGCCCTGAGTGAGTCAGCCATGCCGGGCACTGCAGAATGACTGAGCTGAGGCTGCATGACCCTTGCTGATGGGTGCCGCACTGGCTGAGTGGGAAGGAGTCTCCTTGGAGGCCTCCCAGGTCTCTGGAAAGGCAGGAGTGGGGGATGCACAGAAGGACTAGGTTTGGAGGGACAAGAGGGTAAAGAGGCTGATCAGGAACTTGCTTGATTTAGAGTCCTTGTGGGATCCCTGAGTGGAAATTGCTTAGTGGGAAGGGCATCTGAAGTGGAGGGAACAGCACGAAAAGGCCAAGAGGCCAGACTGAATGATGGGCCATAGGTAGTGGGACAATGAGGACACCTGGCTGGAGTGTGGAGAAAGAGGAGGGAGGGACTGGTCAGCTGGAGGAGGTTCCCAAGGTGACTGTATCTGAAAGTCAGTTATGGGCCAGACGCTGTGCTAAGTGCTTTTTTGAACATCACTTTTTATCTTCCCAACAATCCTGTGGCAGCCCCATTTTGCAGATGAGAGCATTGAGGCTCAGAATGGATAAAGGACTTGCTCAAGACCACATAGCACCAGCCAAAGCCTTGCACAATAGGTGCTCAATATATATGTCTGAAGGGGCTGGCTGACTGCATGAATGAATGAGTGAATGAATCAATCAATGAATGAGTAATAGAATTCAAGCCCAAGCACCCCTGGCTTTTAGCTTGAGCTCTGTCCTGTCCTATACCTTGTTGCCTGAATTCTCTCCACCTCAAAAACAACTATAATTCTAATGGTAAGAAGAGTGAATAACATAGCTTCCCCCTGAGCCTGAAGTGCTTGGGGCTTTGAGCAAAGCCCTCACATTCCTCCAAGCCAGGAGCTCATGACCACATGCTTCCCCCCTTCTGGAATCTTCCCTAACTCCTCCTGGGGCAGCTCCATGCCAGCTGCCCTTTTGAAAGCCACTGTTTGCTTTCCCTGCCTCCAGTTTTATCATTTTCTCCAGGAAAATATTTGCCTTCCCATTATTTTAATCATGCCTCACGGGTCCAGCAGGGAGGCCTTGCAGAAGAATAAGCCCTGTTTCCTGTTTGCTGTACTGGGAAGACAAACAGGTTTGTTTGACTTACCTGCATCTTCCCAGTAGGTGGACCTCTTGGAGCAAACACAGACTAGACCTTGGGCGTCCTGCCCCTTGGACCTGGAGTTGACTTGACTGGGGAGCATTTAAAATGGAAATTGCTTCCCATAAGGCAAGCTGGGGTGGATGGAGCTATTCTCTTTGGTTTATCACAGAGCACGGGTTCCTCTTATCGTGCATGGTGCCTGAACTGGAAGTGAGCTTCTCTTGAATCCAGGAAACATTCAGTCTTCCTCAAATAGCAACCGAGCCCTGTAATACTTGAATGGATTGATCTAAGAGTGAGACTTCAAGATGAAAATATTCTAGAGATTAGGGGTGGGAATAAGTAGGGGGCTATGACCAGGGAGAAACTTGAAATTTATTGGTGTAAAAATGGCCCTGATTTTTGAAGCCAGACAGATCTGGTTCAAATTCAATTATAGGTGAACTACTTTTTATGTGTGTGTTGCTAAGGATAGAGCTGTTGCTTCATCCATTCTGTGAATGTTTAGTGAGCACTTCCCAGGTGTCATCCCTATTTTAACTGTTGTGATGCACCAGTGAACAAAACAAGTAATAATTTCTACCCTTTGGAGTTTACAATCCAGTGGAAAAAAGCCAGGCAAACATAAGACATAAGAAAAACATGTAGCAAGTTAGAAAGGGATTAAAAAAAAAAAGTGGAAGAGGGCCAGGTGCGGTGGTTCACGCCTGTAATTCCAGCACTTTGGGAGGCCTAAGCAGGTGGATCACCTGAGGTCAAGAGTTCAAGACCAGCCTGGCCAACATGGTGAAACCCTGTCTCTACTAAAAATATAAAAATTAGCCGGGCGTGATGGCAGGTGCCTGTAATCCTAGCTACTCTGGAGGCTGAGGCACAAGAATCTCTTGAACCCTGGAGCCGGAGGTTGCAGTGAGCTGAGATCATGCCATTGCACGCCAGCCTGGGTGACAGAGTGAGACTCCGTCTCTAAAAAAAAAAGTGGAACAGATTTAGTGTGACTGGGAAGGTGTTGTGGGTGCAGGGTGGGTGGGTGAGGGTGCAGTATAAATAGGATGGTCAGGGTAGGCCTCTTGAAGAAGGTGATATTTGAATAACAACTTAAGGAGGGAAAGTACTTAATTCCAGACATGTCTGATTCCAAAGCCCAAGCTCTTAAAAGCCTACACCACCTCTCTCCCAGTTGAATACCAGCAGAAAGCTGGACACATAGTAGTACTTGGTAAGTATTAGTGCTTATCCCATCCCTCTTCCTTTTAGAGTATCTTGGGCATGCATCAACCGGGAAGACAGACAAGAGGGTGGTGGGGATCCCAGCAGGGCACCATTGCCAGAGCAATGTGTGGGCATGAAGTAGGGATCCTGGGGAGCAGGCAGTCACCAAGATGCCCATGTCTTCTCTTAGGGTTGGAGTTCACTCAGGTTGGGGAGTAGAGTTAGGGTGGGGAGGGCTAGAACAGTTAGGGAAGATAAGACTCATCCATTGATGCTCACTGCGCTCTCTAACTTTGCCCTGGAAACAAATGCACTACACAAACATTTATTGAGGGCCTACTAGGAACCCGGTGCTTCCCCATGCATGTCATTCTCCCAACTGTCCTCTGAAGCAGGCAATAGCATCTCCATTTCACAGCTAGAGAAACTGAGGCTCAAAGGTTGTAAAGCTTATGTGTTGCTGACTGGCTTGGATATAGCTTTGGATCTGTCTGATTTTACAGACCAGGTAATTTTTACTTTATAATCATGATCAATTTCTGACTGAACAGAAAATTTATCTGAACAGCTGCCAATGTCACTATCATCCTCAACCTCACCATCAACATTACCAACATCACCATCACCATTAAAATCGCAATCACTATCACCACCGTCACTGTCACCGTCACCATTATCGTCACCATCATCAACATCACCATCAGCTTCACTATCAATGGTCCTGTGATTACAGGCAGCAGGGCATGTCAGATCATCTCTCTCAGCTTCAGCTTCTTTATCTGTGAAATGAGGATAACTATATCTACCCCAGAGGTTAGGAGAGGTGCTGAAGTAGGTCTTCTATTTCCTCCACTCCACCAAAACTGCTGTTTTCAAAATCATCAATGACCTCTATAATTGTTGTCATTATACTCACCCTCCAAGAGCATTCAATGCCTCTGACCACTTCCTTCTCTTGGCTTTGTGACAGTCGCTTTCTGGTTTCCCTTCCAGCTCACCGATCCCCATCCTCCTTTGCTAGCTCTGTCTCATCTACTAGATCCCTAAATATTTGAGTCTTGCAGAGCTTTCTTCAAACGGGCTCTCTAACTGCTTCCTCCCTAGTCCAAACAACCATCGTGCCTCCCTTGAAATACTATAGAAACTCCATATCACTAGGGCACGGTCAGGGAAGTGGACCTTAGAGTGGGCCATGGAGCACCCCCTGGGGAAGAAGGGTCCCTTCCTGGGCCCATCTAGAACTAACAGCACTCACTTCAAGGAGGAGATATAGGGTCAATCCTGAGCAGAATTTTTCGCAGGTAGTTTGTGAAGTCTCTGCCTCCTGAATCTGCATCCCTTTCAGCTTTCTGTTGCTTGCTGGGTCTGTACTATCTCAGATGATCAGAGCCCTCAGAATCTTCCCACCCTAAACATGTCCACACTGAGATGTCAGGGACAGTGGCCCCCACTTGGTTTCTATTTAGCAGAGAACTAACAGAGTGCTATAGAGAGATCCCCAGTTAATGGCTGGGAACATTTGCAGAATGCTTTCCTGAAAACTGAAATAGCACCCCTTTGGGGGCTACTGTTTCTGCCTCCACATTGGGGGGCTTGTTCTGAGACAGATGGTCCCCTGTTGGGCTGTTCTCACACACACGAGCAGAGGAATTCTTTTAGGTCCTCTTGGCCTCGGGAGCATTTTGAATCAGATGCCAGGAGAAACAGATTGCCTACCCCTTATTCTGGGGGCTGTGGGTGGATGGCTTTGAGAGGAGATCTCTTCCAAGAATGTGTTTTCCCTTACATCTTCAGGATGCCATGCACTTCCCGCTCTGCTCTTTTGAGGCTGGCATAAGCATGAGAGTTGCTTGGGGGGGAACGTCTGTACCGCCTCTGCCCCACTGCTCAGGAGCAATGGCGGATGAGTGAGTCACTTTTGGCATCCTCCTTTGTTCCCTTTGCGTAGGGCTACCCAGTTGGTAACACTACAATCTGCTCTCCACCACCAGCTTAACATTCCTAAAATAGCTCAGTGTGATTGGGCCATTCCGTTGCTCAAGAACCATCCAGAGTCTTCCATTGCCTGTAGAATGAAGTCCCAGGCTTTCGTCTCACGTTCGAGGTTGCTACCATCTGGCCTTCATTTGCTTTTCCAACCATGCCCCTCATTCCTTCTCTACCCAAGGTCTTCCCTCCAGACAGTCAGGTCTACTCTCCTTTCCCAGAATGCCTGGCCTCCTGGCTGCATCCACACCATTCTCTTGGTTAAAATGCTATCCCCCTTTGTTGCCTGTATAAACTTCTTCCTGTTCTTCCAAACAGGTTTGAGGCCAACCTTGCAAAGGCCTCCTCTCCTTGGATGTCTTCCTTGATCCCTCCTTTCATTTGCCCCCTGATTCCATGTTACCACACAGAGGCCCTCTTGTGACTACTTACCTAGGTGTGGGCAGGGAGTGGGAGAACCACAAGGGACAGTACCCAGGGCTATTACCACCAACAGGTACTCCCAGTAGCAGGAGAGCTATTACCACTTCTAGGCCTGAAGAAGCGAGGGGAGGAAACTGTTAACAAAACCTGGAAGGAGGAAGGCCTGCAGAGAAGACCACAGGGCTGTGACCTTCCACAGAGATGTAGTCAGCTTGGGGAGAGCTCTCCGGTGAGTCAGGAGAATGAGCACCCCTTAATTGAGACCAATTGGAAGCCAGAGCGCAAGGGAGCCCCTTAGAAAGTCTCTGCAGGGGCCGGGTGTGGTGGCTCATGCCTGTAATCCCAGCACTTTGGGAGGCCAAGGCAGGCGGATCACAAGGTCAGGAGTTTGAGACTAGCCTGGCCAATATGGTGAAACCCCGTCGCTCGTAAAAATACAAAAATTAGCCAGGCGTGGTGGCAGGTGCCTGTAGTCCCAGCTACTCGGGAAGCTGAGATAGGAGAATTGCTTGAACCTGAGAGGCAGAGGTTGCAGTGAGCCAAGATCACACCATTGTACTCCAGCCTGGGTGACAGCGAGACTCCAACTCAAAAAAAAAAAAAAAAGTCTCTGCAGGTCAGCCTTCCTGTGTGGGTAGAGGAGTGAAGGAGTGTGGAAAGGAATCTGGAGGGATGTAAAGAGGAAGGGGATTCTAGCTTTTACCTTAGATATCAGATGGGTAAATTGTGAAGACTTTGAATGTCACAAGTAGAAAGATTCTTAGATTCAAGCTGTTCCACATCATTTCCCATATAGGAAAGTGGAAGCCCAGAGGGTGTTCGCGCTGATCTGAGACCACACAGTAAGGTAGTGTCAGAGATGAGACGGGACGAAGTGTGAACCCCCCAGTTCATTAGTCAATTGTTTCTTTGGAACAGAGCATCTAATAAGTTACACAATAAGAATCTGAGTTTTAGTCTTACTGGCCATGCTGGCTGTTTGGTAACTGGTGAGATGGCCTGACGGGAGTCTGTTTGCAAGTGGTGGCTGACAGCCCTCCACGGAAGAGGTGCATCCTGAAGGGGGAAGCCATGGACGATGATTTTACCCAGTGGTATGTGGATTGACATTATGGACATAGCACGGCAGTTGTTTGTTTGTTTGTTTTCTTTTTTTTCTTTTTTTTTTTTTTTGAGACAGCATCTCACTCTATTTCCTAGGCTGGAATGCAGTGGTGCAATCACAGCTCACTGCAGCCTTGACCTCCCAGGCTCAAGCAATCCTCCCATTTTAACCTCTCAAGCGGCTGGGACTACAGGCACGTACCACCATACCTTGCTAATATCTTTAAATTTTTTTTTTTTTTTTTTTGTAGAGACGAGGTCTCACTGTGTTGCTAGGGCTGGTCTCAAACTTCTGACCTCAGGTGATCCACCCGCCTCAGCCTCCCAAAGTGCTGAGATTACAGGCGTGAGCCACTGTGCCCAGCTGGCAGTTGTTTTTCAAGTCTGTTGTCCACCTCGGTTCCTGGACACCATTTGAATGCTCTCCCACGGAGAGCAGAGAGAGAGAGAGAGAGAGAGAGAGAGAGTGTGTGTGTGTGTTTTAAGGGGAGGAATCTACAGTAGAATCTGAAAGAGCTCTTTCACTCATCTCTGAGTCACACTGAACTCCAAGCAGCACTGCTGTGGGTTCCCCATAAGGGAGCATAACAGAGAGACAGCTCTCCCACACCCCACTGTATTTATTATTATTATTACTTTTTGAGATGGAGTCTCACTCTGTTGCTTGGGCTGGAGTGCAGTGGCGCAATCTCGGCTCACTGCAACCTCTACCTCCCGGGTTCAAGTGGTTCTCCTGCCTCAGCCTCCTGAGTAGCTGGGATTACAGGCGCCCATGACCACTCCCGGCTAATTTTAGTAGAGACAGGGTTTCACCATGTTGGCCAGGCTGGTCTCCAACTCCTGACCTCAGGTGATCTGCCCACCTCAGTCTCCCAAAGTGTTGGGATTACAGATGTGAGCCACTGTCCTGGCACCCAACTTTGTTTTAATTCTCTTTCACCCGATTTCCTTCTACTCTTTTTTTTAAAAATTGAAGCAGTTGTGCAGTTTTTTGCAATGTTCAGACTCTGATACTTATGACTCCTTACATCTCAGATCAAGCCGTGGGAAGGCCCGGGCAGGGAATATGATATCCAATGGTCAGTGGAAAGAATGCACTCAGGGAAGTCAAATACATGGTCTAAGTTCCCACAGCTGGAAAGGGATGACCAAGCAGTAGGCTTGACTCTGAAGACCATGCCGTTTTGATTTTACCATATTGGGACTCTCTCCCTCTGCCAACCGTTCCTTTTTCTGAGTCTTTTCCTATTCTTTTTCTCTCTCATCTCTCAACCTTTCCCTTCTTCACCTCCATCTCCCCCATCCTCTCTATCTCTCTCTTTCTCCTTTTCCCCTCTCCCCACTCTTCTGAAAAGCCACAGCTTCTCTCTGTTCTAATATGCCTAAGACATTGTCCCAGAAACTTTCTTATGTGCTTCTTGACACCCAGAGTGACTGAACACAGGTATGTTTGTTGGGAGAGCCTCTGCCTCCATGGGAAGAGAAGCTAACTGGTTGACTTTCTGCTACTTGTACCAGCCAAGGGGCTATTTGCAGACAGTACATAACAATGACAAAGCACCATAAGACATTGAGCAATCTTTCCTTGCATCAATTAGATTCTGACATCTGCTTACTGTTTAATTATCTTTTGACTGAGGAAATGGAAAAGTTGACAAGTAGTTCAACCCAACAAGAGTCAGGTTCCTTATTTTTCCCCCTTCATGAGCATGTTTTTAGAACACTGATCTGCCAGCATCTCCTGGTCTCTCTGGGGCACTGGCAAAAAATACAGACAAATATTTATGTTCCATGAACTCAAGAAGGTTTTCATATTGTTTTCATGTTTAACTGATTTCAAATGAACGACAATGGCTCTTAATGTGGTTACAAGAATTTGCCATTAATTTTCACTTGAAATTGGATGCAGCCGGTGTACATGCCTATACTGTATTCTAGTTCTTAACGATTTGCCTTCCAAAAACATAGGCTGCTTCCTACTGGCTGATGGGCACAGCAGCTTAGTGAGGGTATCGATCTCCTATTACATGTGAACAAAAATTAAATTGAGAATATCACCCTATTTCAGAGTGCTTTGCCTGTAGCATTTGAGGCAGGCGGCTGGGACACTGAATGAAGAGCCTGGGGGAGGCAGGTTCAGCATGCCACCGTTTCCTGGTCATGAAGATGCCAGCTCCAGCTCCAAGCAGGTGACAAGGCTGGGTGGCCAGGGGACATGGGAGTGTGGTTCGAGGTCTCAGAGCATTTTAAAAAACTTCCGTTGTCTTTCTACCTTGGATTTCAGGAGCACCAGGGTAATGTTCTAAACTTCTTTGTGAGGTTTAAAGTCTTCCCTCCCTTGGTCTAAAATGTTGAAGTGGGTGGTGGAACAGAGAGGTGACATGAAGATGAGAGTTGAGCCAGAGGAATAGGATTCTCCATCTTTGGGGACGTCATTTAATTTTGGAAACACTCAGTTTCTGTTTAAGCAGTGTAACCATATAATTTGTTGAACACTTTTGAAGGGGTGAATGTTAAATTGGATAGCATGTTGGGAAAATGGGCTTAAACTGGAGATAAGGTCGACCTATGAATAAAGAAGGGATTAGGCCACATAGCGGGGGTCAGGGGTGGTAAATAGGTTTCATACCCATGGTAATTATGGAAGAGCCATCAGGCTTTCTGGACTGCATTGTGGAGGGGATGGTGCAGCTGCTTTTGAGCACCATGGAAGAGTTTCCTGATTGATTAGCAATGTCTGCTCTAGTCTCTGGGAAGGATGGCTGCACCCTTGCGGGTATTCACCATTCCTGGATTGGATGTCTTCAAGAGCCTTTTCAATTCTATTTTTGAAATAAGAATAATTGAGAAGTGAATGAAGCTAACCTTCTTATTTAAATGCCCTGGAGTTTGAGACCTGGAAAGCCAGACTGAGAGGCCTATGGCAGTGCTTTTCCAACTGAATGTGTACACTTGAATCTTGTCAAAATGCAGATTCTGAATCAGAAGTCTGGGCTAAGGCCCAATAGCCTCAATTTCTGATGAGTTCCCAGGTGATACCGATGCTGCTGGTCTGTGGGCCACACTTTGAGCAACAAAGACCTAAGGCAGCATCCTGAACCTGGGCCAGTGCCCCTTCACTGCAGGCTCATAGCCTGCAGAAGAACCTGTATATATGCTACTTTCCAAAGATTTTTTTCCGCAGGTCATTTAAGTGATTCCTCCAGACAGCCTTTTAATGTTTGATAGATTATTTCCCGCCCCCATCACCCAGTTTTTTTTTCCTAAATGTGCTTTTCAGGTGCAGCAGGTTTAAGTGCCTAGCCCAAGAGCTATAAATGGCAGAGCTGAGACTCACATTTAAGTCTTTGCCCTTCCCCAGGTGGCCCTTTGAGCACCTATCTGGCAGGCCTAATTATAGAGGTAATGTTGTGAGTGCCCTCAGCTCAAATGGGGCAGCTCTTGGAGCAGTGCCAAGGGATTGTACTGATGCTAAATATGCCTTCAGATCACGTCAGAAGCCTAAGATTGCCTTGTGACCCCCAGCTCCACCATTCCAGCCAGTCATTAAGGCAGGCAGACAACATCTTACAGTCTTGGGTTCATGGGAGCCTTTTTTGTTCTTATGAGGGTTTTAGAGCCAGATAGACCTGGATCAGAATCTTTCCATGTCATTTGACCTTAAGCAAGTTACTTAATCTCCCAAATTAAAATCCCTTCACCTGTAAAAAGGCACATTCTTGGCTGAGCGCGGTGGCTCACGCCTGTAATCTCAGCACTTTGGGAGGCTGAGGCAGGCGGATCATAAGGTCAGGAGTTTTAGACCAGCCTGACCAACATGGTGAAACCCCGTCTCTACTACTAAAAATACAAAAATTAGCCAGGCATGGTGGTGCGCAGCTGTAATCCCAGCTACTCGGGAGGCTGAGGCAGGAGAATTGCTTGAACCCAGGAGGCGGAGGTTGCAGTGAGCTAAGATCGCGCCATTGCACTCCAGCCTTGGCAACAGAGGGAGACTCCATTTCAAAAAAAAAAAAAAAAAAAAATAGGCACATTCTTGCCTTTCAGAGTTGTTGGAAAGATGAAAATAAACAATGAATGTAGTAAAATGCATGGCACAGTGCATAGCAAAGATGGAACATTTTGTTTCTCCCCTTTGCCCTTCAGAAGAACTGTAATTCCTTAGTGTTGCTACTCACTGCACAAATACAGTGTAACTATCTTAGATTCTTCTTGATACAGTGGTGTACTCCACAATAATGGGTTCAACCTTTATGTAGTGCCTTCCCGTACACAATAAAATAGAAAACCATATTCATTACCAAATATCATTCTTTCATGATATAACACACAAAAAACTATTTAAACAAACTTCAAAACTTATACTGTAAAACATGTCAGCACCAAAAACTATGCAGGCAACACAGACAAATTTGAAAATTAGAAGAAAACTTAAAATGTCCCCGTTGTGATTTGGCATTAGCAAAATCACCGATAAGTTTCGCAACTTCTGCTGCCTTGTTTCTGCAGCGAGTGGTGTTAATTCTGTTAAACATTGTTGTCACAGAGTGTTCCTTAAATAGTTTTTAATTGGTTTTAATTTGGAGAAAAAACGTTTTGCTGAAGATACAGGGGCAGGAATTGTCAAAAATAAAATTAACAGATAACATTCTACGGAAAAACTTGGAGACATGCTGTGTCATTGTATACTCCCTTGGCAAATGTATGGATGCTTTAATTTTGTCAGTTTCACGTGTTAATGATTTTCACAGAACAGTAAGTTAATTGGTAGTGCTTCCAATGGATCCCTGGAATCTTTCGTTTTCACCTCCTGTGCGTTCTTCACAGCGGACTTTTCATCCACATGAATTAATTAGGATGGTGGAAAAAAATGCAATCAAATCAGCAGTTGTATTTAACCCTGAAATCTTAGGCCTATTTAGGTAATCAACATTATCAATTATCCATGAAAAAAAGGTAAGGAATATATAAAATCCTTCTTTAAAAAAAAAATCTGCTGAAGCTCAAAGTACTGCTGTCCTGATACTCAGCAAATCAACAGGTGGAGGCAGATGATGTAGATGATGCAAAAATCTTTTCATTATTATGGTATCTTGGCAAAATTTTAGCCAAAGCAGTCTCTCTTTTTTTTAATTTGGAAAATATAGTCAGATTTTTTCACCTATCTTTTAAGATATTAGCATAGTTCTATATGTATAAATGCATAATTCTATTAAAGAATTCTGCATTGCTTCAGCTAAGGGAGCAACAGCCGCTCTGACAGCTCTGACTTTGCAAATGCCAGCCAAGTGCCCACATTCTCTTGGCTATAAAGGCAGTAGAGGTCAATATGCTTTCCTAGGAGTCATCAAGTATTGCCAAGGAATAGTCCCAATCTCATTGCATATCACATTTCAGGCATGCCGTACTCTGTTCAAATGGCATCTGGTGTAAAATATGTATTAGAAACTGCTTCTTCCCAAGATTGAGAAGATCTGAATTATGCAGGGGGAAAACTGACAAGTACAGTGTGTCTACACTTAAGTATATGTAGTATGTCCTTGTATTTGCTTAGCCAATAGGGTGCTAAGAGGTGGGATTTGAAAGTTCCTGTCTAACAGACAGAGTATGTATTTATTAATAGTACTCCATAGGCCATTGGCTACAGAAGAGATGTTCTTGAATATTAATGATATTCTCATTTGATTGTCATGGAAGCCAGAGTGGAATTCTATTCAAGTGCAGTTTTTATTTATACTGCAATGGTGTCACGTAGATTTAAAAATCAGTCGCCCGCATGATAACCACAGCTAGTACCATAGAAGCTTTAAACTCTCAAGGGCTCCTAGTAACCCATGGCCCTGAAACAGTGCACCATCCCAGCTTGACATGGGTTCCTTAGTTTCCCCCTTTCATAGTGATCAACTGGGTGATCAAGGCCTCCACAGCCTGGCCCCAGCTTCAGCCCAGATCCCCACCTAACAAAGCCCCTCCCCAGCCCCACTGTGCTGGCCCTCCTGAGCAAGGCTTCTGTCTTCTGCCACTGCTCCTGCAGCCTTGTGCCTGCTTTTCAGGTTTTCTCTGCTCCTCTGCCTGTATCAATCCTGCTCATCCTTTAAGACCCGGCATAGACCCTGTATCAATCAGGGTCCTGGCAAGAAACAGCTGATGCATCAGAAAGGGGTTTGAAGAGAGTTAAGGAGGGATGCTTTATAAGGGAATGGCCAGGGCACAGCAAGAGCAACATGAGATGTTGTAGAACCCTGGGACGACTACAGTGGGGAGCTGCTACTGTCCCTAGGCTGGAAGAGGTGAGGCGAGGGAGGGAAACCACAGAAGGCCCACAGCCATAAGTGAGGACTGCCTGGTGGGAGTCATGGCCTTCGCTGGAGGAAACTGGTTATTGGTAACCCTCAGCTCGGCAGAGAGGAAGCCAGAGGAGTGCAAACCCTACTCTTTCCTCTTGCTGTGCATCCCCTGTTGCCCATCAACTTTGGCCAAACCCAACTTAGAGAGGGAGGACAAGAAGACCCTCGCGCGGCCCTTATAAGGGTCAGCCTCCCAGCCAGAGCAGGGTGGAGAGAGACAGAGCCTGAATTGGGAGGGGACCCCTCTGCCTTCTCCCAGGAGCAGCCTGATGAATCCAGCCCAGAGAGGCCTCTCTCCTCTGAAGCCCAGAGCACTTCTGGTTTGAATGCGCACTTGGCCTGAGTAGCTGTGATGTGTCTTCATGTTGTGCTGCAAGGTCATTGCTTTCTTGCATTTTTAGTTTGCCTCATGCTCCCCACTGACTATGGAAGCTCCTTGAAGCAGGGCCTTCACTTGTTCTCTTTGTATTTCTCATATGGAAAGAAGTAAATACCCTGGAATGTCTTGCTTGAGTCAGTTTGGAACATATTGTTCCTTTGTTGCCACTCCACCCCACCCCCAACCCAAACACACACCTCCGGGGCATCAGGACCTGTGCCTGGTAGATTATTCTTGGTAGGAGGGTGGGTATTGAGATAAGGGGGAAGAAGCCAGGAGCCCTGGCCCTGGTTTGGGGAGTTTTCAGCAGATGCAATAGGAAGCCAGAGCACAGGGTCAAACAGAGGGAAGCCGAGGGCCAGACCTAGGAGGAGCTGGGTGAGGCGGGCAGAAAGTGTCACCAAAGCAAAAGGGGAGGGAGACAGAGACTGACATGGGATGCCAGTTGGGAGTACAGGGCCAGGGGACCCGGGCAAGTGAGTTACCACTAATGAGACATTGGAACTGATGGGGAGGGACTCGGATGCAAGGTTAAACAGGGTGCCAACCGTAGTCTAGCCCTATACTGTCCAATATGTCAGCCACTAGCTATGTGTGGCTATTTAAATTTAAATTAACTAAAATTACCTAAAATTAAAAATTCAGTTTCTCAGGCACACTAGCCACATTTCAAGTGCTCTACTGTGTTGGCCAATGTGGATGCAGGCATTTCCATCATTGCAGAACCTCCTACTGTACAGCCTGCTCCAGAACATTCTAGAGATCTTAGGGTCCTAACAATGCTAAAAACATACCTGTTTGTTTGATTTGAGCTGGTCTTATCTGTCTTGATATCAAATAGTCCTAGCTTTCACTTTGCTAGTGAATAATTGTGTGACGAGTCCCCAAACCTCAGCTTTGTCTTCTAGAAAATGAGGCAAATGACAAAGGACTAATTGAATTGAGGATTTGAAGGTGTCTTGAATGGCCATAGATACAAAGGAGGAGCTCTCTAATAAATATTATTTCCCAAACTCCTGACGACCACAACAAGGATACGAACCAGCACTTACTGAGAGCTTGTTCAGCTGGCACTGAGCTGAACAGTGATTGCCTTATGCAATTCTCATAGTAATTCTGTAGGGAGATAGTATCACTGTTCCCATTTTTCAGATAAGGCAATGAAGCTGCAATAAGATTAAAACTGTTGCTCAATGCCACATAGTGGTGGAGCCAAGTTTCTTTGTATTTGATTTAAAACTGTCAAACATTGTTCTCTGCTGTTTCCTGTAACATCTTGTCTTCCCACTTAGGCCATTAAGAACATCTTAGGCTTCATTTGAACCTTGCAATGTGCGTGGCACAGGACTGGACTGATGCTCAGTTGCTAATTGGCACATCAGTTTTGATAAATTTTAACAAAATATTTAAACTTTCTTTCTTTTTTTAAAAATTATACTTTAAGTTTTAGGATACATGTGCACAACGTGCAGGTTCGTTACATATGTATACATGTGCCATGTTGGTGTGCTGCACCCCTTAACTCATCATTTAACATTAGGTATATCTCCTAATGCTGTCCCTAACCCCTCCCCCTACCCCACAGCAGGCCCCGGTGTGTGATGTTCCCCTTCCTGTGTCCATGTGTTCTCATTATTCAATTCCCACCTATGAGTGAGAACATGCAGTGTTTGTTTTTTTGTCCTTGCGATAGTTTGCTTGGAATGATGGTTTCCAGCTTCATCCATGTCCCTACAAAGGACACGAACTCATCCTTTTTTATGGCTGCATAGTATTCCATGGTGTATATGTGCCACATTTTCTTAATCCAGTCTATCATTGTTGGACATTTGGGTTGGTTCCAAGTCTTTGTTATTGTGAATAGTGCCGCAATAAACATATGTGTGCATGTGTCTTTATAGCAGCATGATTTATAATCCTTTGGGTATATACCCAGTAATGGGATGGCTGGGTCAAATGGTATTTCTAGTTCAGATCCCTGAGGAATTGCCACACTGACTTCCACAATGGTTGAACTAGTTTACAGTCCCACCAACAGTGTAAAAGTGTTCCAATTTCTCCACATCCTCTCCAGCACCTGTTGTTTCCTGACTTTTTAATGATCGCCATTCTAACTGGTGTGAGATGGTATTTCATTGTGGTTTTGATTTGCATTTCTCTGATGGCCAGTGATGAAGAGCATTTTTTTCATGTGTATTTTGGCTGCATAAATGTCTCCTTTTGAGAAGTGTCTGTTCATATCCTTTGCCCACTTGTTGATGGGGTTGTTTGTTTTTTTCTTGTAAATTTGTTTGAGTTCATTGTAGATTCTGGATATTAGCCCTTTGTCAGATGAGTAGATTGCAAAAATTTTCTCCCATTCTGAAGGTTGCCTGTTCACTCTGATGGTAGTTTCTTTTGCTCTGCAGAAGCTCTTTAGTTTAATTAGATCCCATTTGTCAATTTTAGCTTTTGTTGCCGTTGCTTTTTGTGTTTTAGACATGAAGTCCTTGCCCATGCCTATGTCCTGAATGGTATTGCCTAGGTTTTCTTCTAGGGTTTTTATGGTTTTAGGTCTAACATTTAAGTCTTTAATCCATCTTGAATTAATTTTTGTATAAGGTGTAAGGAAGGGATCCACTTTCAGCTTTCTGCATATAGTTTCCCAGCACCATTTATTAAATAGGGAATCCTTTCCCCATTTCTTCTTTTTGTCAGGTATGTCAAAGATCAGATAGTTGTAGATATGTGGCATTATTTCTGAGGGCTCTGTTCTGTTGTTCCATTGGTCTATATCTCTGTTTTGGTACCAGTAGCATGCTGTTTTGGTTACTGTAGCCTTGTAATATAGTTTGAAGTCAGGTATCGTGATGCCTCCAGCTTTGTTCTTTTGGCTTATGATTGACTTGGCTATGTGGGCTCTTTTTTGGTTCCATTTGAACTTTAAAGTAGTTTTTTCCAGTTCTGTGAAGAAAGTCATTGGTAGCTTGATGGGGATGGCATTGAATCTATAAATTACCTTGGGCAGTATGGCCATTTTCACGATATTGATTCTTCCTACCCATGAGCATGGAATGTTCTTCCATTTGTTTGTATCCTCTTTTATTTCATTGAGCAGTGGTTTGTAGTTCTCCTTGAAGAGGTCCTTCAAATCCCTTGTAAGTTGGATTCCTAGGTATTTTATTGTCTTTGAAGCAATTGTGAATGGGAGTTCACTCATGATTTTGCTCTCTGTTTGTTATTGGTGTATAAGAAAGCTTGTGACTTTTGCACATTGATTTTGTATCCTGAGACTTTGCTGAAGTTGCTTATCAGCTTAAGGAGATTTTGGGCTGAGACAATGGGGTTTTCTAGATAACAATCATGTCATCCGCAAACAGGGACAATTTGACTTCCTCTTTTCCTAATTGAATACCCTTTATTTCCTTCTCTTGTCTGATTGCCCTGGCCAGAACTTCCAACACTATGTTGAATAGGAGTGGTGAGAGAGGGCATCCCTGTCTTGTGCCAGTTTTCAAAGGGAATGCTTCCACTTTTTGCCCATTTAGTATGATATTTGCTGTGGGTTTGTCATAGATAGCTCTTATTATTTTGAGATACGTCCCATCAATACCTGATTTATTGAGAGTTTTTAGCATGAAGGGTTGTTGAATTTTGTCAAAGGTCTTTTCTGCATCTATTGAGATAATCATGTGGTTTTTGTCATTGGTTCTGTTTATATACTGGATTACGTTTATTGATTTGCGTATGTTGAACCAGCCTTGCATCCCAGGGACGAAGCCCACTTGATCATGGTGGATAAGCTTTTTGATGTGCTGCTGGATTCGGTTTGCCAGTATTTTATTGAGGATTTTTGCATCGATGTTCATCAGGGATATTGGTCTAAAATTCTCTTTTTTTGTGTGTGTCTCTACCAGGCTTTGGTATCAGGATGATGCTGGCCTCATAAGGATGAGTTACGGAGGATTCCCTCTTTTTGTATTGATTGGAATAGTTTCAGAAGGAATGGTACCAGCTCCTCCTTGTACCTCTGGTAGAATTCGGCTGTGAATCCATCTGGTCCTGGACTTTTTTTGGTTGGTAAGCTATTAATTATTGCCTCAATTTCAGAGCCTGTTATTGGTCTATTCAGAGATTCAACTTCTTCCTGGTTTAGTCTTGGGAGGGTGTATGTGTTGAGGAATTTATCCATTTCTTCTAGATATTCTAGTTTATTTGCATAGAGGTATTTATAGTATTCTCTGATATAGTTTGTATTTCTGTGGGATCGGTGGTGATATCCCCTTTATCATTTTTTATTGCGTCTATTTGATTCTTCTCTCTTTTCTTCTTTATTAGTCTTGCTAGCGGTCTATCAATTTTGTTGATCTTTTCAAAAAACCAGCTCCTGGATTCATTGATTTTTTGAAGGGTTTTTTGTGTCTCTATCTCCTTCAGTTCTGCTCTGATCTTAGTAATTTCTTGCCTCCTGCTAGCTTTTGAATGTGTTTGCTCTTGCTTCTCTAGTTCTTTTAATTGTGATGTTAGGGTGTCAGTTTTAGATCTTTCCTGCTTTCTCTTGTGGGCATTTAGTGCTATAAATTTCCCTCTACACACTGCTTTGAATGTGTCCCAGAGATTCTGGTATGTTGTGTCTTTGTTCTCGTTGGTTTCAAAGAACATCTTTATTTTTGCCTTCATTTTGTTATGTACCCAGTAGTCATTCAGGAGCAGGTTCAGTTTCCATGTAGTTGAGTGGTTTTGGGTGAATTTCTTAAATCCTGAGTTCTAGTTTGATTGCACTGTGGTCTGAGAGACAGTTTGTTATAATTTCTGTTCTTTTACATTTGCTGAGGAGTGCTTTACTTCCAACTATGTGGTAAGTTTTGGAATAGGTGTGATGTGGTGCTGAAAAGAATGTATATTCTGTTGATTTGGGGTGGAGAGTTCTGTAGATGTCTATTAGGTCCACTTGGTGCAGAGCTGAGTTCAGTTCCTGGATATCCTTGTTAACTTTCTGTCTCGTTGATCTGCCTAATGTTGACAGTGGGGTGTTAAAGTCTCCCATTATTATTGTGTGGGAGTCTAAGTCTCTTTGTAGGTCTCTAAGGACTTGCTTTATGAATCTGGGTGCTCCTGTATTGGGTGCATATATATTTAAGATAGTTAGCTCTTCTTGTTGAATTGATCCCTTTACCATTATGTAATGGCCTTCTTTGTCTCTTTTGATCTTTGTGGTATAAAGTCTGTTTTATCAGAGACTAGGATTGCAACCCCTGCCTTTTTTTGTTTTCCATTTGCTTGGTAGATCTTCCTCTATCCCTTTATTTTGAACCTATGTGTGTCTCTGCAAGTGAGATGGGTTTCCTGAATACAGCACATTGATGGGTCTTGACTCTTTATCCAGCTTTCCAGTCTGTGTCTTTTAATTGGCGCATTTAGCCCATTTACATTTAAGGTTAATATTGTTATGTGTGAATTTGGTCCTGTCATTATGATGTTAGCTGGTTATTTTGCTCGTTAGTTGATGCAGTTTCTTCCTAGCCTTGATGGTCTTTACAATTTGGCATGTTTTTGCAGTGGCTGGTACCGGTTCCTTTCCATGTTTAGTGCTTCCTTCAGGAGCTCTTTTAGGGCAGGCCTGGTGGTGACAAACTCTCTCAGCATTTGCTTGTCTGTAAAGTATTTTATTTCTCCTTCACTTATGAAGCTTAGTTTGGCTGGATATGAAATTCTGGGTTGAAAATTCTTTTCTTTAAGAATGTTGAATATTGGCCCCCACTGTTTTCTGGCTTGTAGAGTTTCTGCCGAGAGATCAGCTGTTAGTCTGATGGGCTTCCCTTTGTGGGTAACCCGACCTTTCTCTCTGGCTGCCCTTAACATTTTTTCCTTCATTTCAACTTTGGTGAATCTGACAATTATGTGTCTTGGAGTTGCTCTTCTCGAGGAGTAGTTATGTGGCATTCTCTGTATTTCCTGAATCTGAATGTTGGCCTGCCCTGCTAGATTGGGGAAGTTCTCCTGGATAATATCCTGCAGAGTGTTTTCCAACTTGGTTCCATTCTCCCCATCACTTTCAGGTACACCAATCAGACATAGATTTGGTCTTTTCACATAGTCCCATATTTCTTGGAGGCTTTGTTCATTTCTTTTTATTCTTTTTTCTCTAAACTTCTCTTCTTGCTTCATTTCATTCATTTGATCTTCCATCACTGATACCCTTTCTTCCAGTTGATCGAATCAGCTACTGAGGCTTGTGCATTCGTCACGTAGTTCTCATGCCATGTTTTTCAGCTCCATCAGGTCCTTTAAGGACTTCTCTGCATTGGTAATTCTAGTTAGCCATTCGTCTAATCTTTCTTCAAGGTTTTTAACTTCTTTGCCATGGGTTCGAACTTCCTCCTTTAGCTCGGAGTAGTTTGATCGTCTGAAGCCTTCTTCTCTCAGCTCGTCAAAGTCATTCTCCATCCAGCTTTGTTCCATTGCTGGTGAGGCACTGCGTTCCTTTGGAGGAGGAGAGGCACTCTGATTTTTAGAATTTTCAGTTTTTCTGCTCTGTTTTTTCCCCATCTTTGTTGTTTTATCTACTTTTGGTCTTTGATGATGGTGACATACAGATGGGGTTTTGGTGTGGATGTCCTTTCTGTTTGTTAGTTTTCCTTCTAACAGTCAGGACCCTTAGCTGCAGGTCTGTTGGAGTTTGCTGAAGGTCCACTCCAGACCCTGTTTGCCTGGGTATCAGCAGCGGAGGCTGCAGAACAGCAGATATTGGTGAACAGCAGGTGTTGCTGCCTGATTGTTCCTCTGGAAGTTTTGTCTCAGAGGAGTACCTGGCCGTGTGAGGTGTCAGTCTGCCCCTACTGGGGGGTGCCTCCCAGTTAGGCTACTCGGGGGTCAGGGACCCACTTGAGGAGGCAGTCTGTCTGTTCTCAGATCTCAAACTCTGTGCTGGGAGAACCACTACTCTCTTCAAAGCTGTCAGACAGGGACATTTAAGTCTGCCGAGGTTTCTGCTGCCTTTTATTCAGCTATGCCCTGCCCCCAGAGGTGGAGTCTACAGAGGCAGGCAGGCCTCCTTGAGCTGCGGTGGGCTCCACCCAGTTTGAGCTTCCCACCACTTTGTTTACCTACTCAAGCCTCAGCAATGGCGGACGCCCCTCCCCCAGCCTCACTGCTGCCTTGCAGTTTGATCTCAGACTGCTGTGCTAGCAATGAGCGAGGCTCTGTGGGCATAGGACCCTCTGAGCCAGGCGTGGGATACAGTCTCCTGGTGTGCCGTTTGCTAAGATCGTCGGAAAAGCGCAGTATTAGGGTGGGAGTGACTCAATTTTCCAGGTGCCGTCTGTCACCCCTTTCTTTGGCTAGGAAAGGGAATTCCCTGACCCCTTGCACTTCTCAGGTGAGGCGATGCCTCACCCTGCTTCAGCTCACGCTTGGTGCGCTGCACCACTGTCCTGCACCCACTGTCCGACAATCCCCAGTGAGATGAACCCGGTACCTCAGTTGGAAATGCAGAAATCATTTGTCTTCTGCGTCGCTCACGCTGGGAGGTGTAGACTGGAGCTGTTCCTATTCGGCCATCTTGGCTCCACAAAATATTTAAACTTTCTTCAGTGCTGATTATTGACTTTAATATTTAAGGGCATACTCACCAATGAGGGTCTTGACAACTAATCCAAGAGTGTTCAATTTCCATCTTTAATTTGGTGCATTGCTTGCAGAAGACTTTAGATCCTGGAGATTTTAGAACCACCATGCTCTTAGGTGTAGAAGGAAAAGGCTGGTTCCTGTTTGGGGGACACTAGAAACAGAAAGAAATAATGGAACACTGCCTGGCTTTGACTGTAAGCTGCCTTAAGTTGGAATCTAGTGTGCCTTTGGTTAAGTTATTTATACTCTTGGAATTTCAGCTTCTTTACCTGAGAGAGACAACGTCCTACTTCTCCTGGGGATGGTCTTGAAGACTGAATGGCTCTATAAAACTTGGCCCAGTGCCTGGAGCACAGATGCTCTCAGCAAACATACTCTTGTCCCCACCCCAGAAAGCTTCCAGGTCATTCTGATCTCTCTGGTGAAAGGGAAGGATCTCTTATTGTCTGAACCACACATATTTAAAGAAACTAAAACTGTGTGTCCAGGGAATTATGCTGATTATGTTAATTTCTACCTTGATTGGTATATAGCACATAGATTAACTAGAACTGCAGAGGGATGGGGAGATGCTAAAGTCACCTCCTAGCCTCCCCCAGCACTGGGCTCTGGGCTCCCTACCTCCTGCCTGACATGGGTGGCCCTAGTGCCCATTGGGTCTGCTAACCAGGTCCTGGCTGAAGATATGAGGGAGGCCTAGGGGACTCTTGGGCTGGGACTGAGATGGTTTAAAGAAAAAACATGTGAGAACCTGTGTAATATTGGGATGTGGGAGAGGTGATAGGGCTGAGAGGCACCGAAGGCAGTGACTCATGGTAGTTCTGCAGCTTGAGGTTATTAGGTGGCATCAATCTGAAAAGAAACTGGGGCTCACCACCCTTTCCCAGCCACTCCCTACGTCAATTTCTCAGCAGGTTGTTGTCCATTTCCATGGGGAGACATTTCTGTTGTTTCCTCTGGTGAATTCCAGCATGAGCTAGTCTCTCCTTGGGTTGTTATTTGGGGCTTGGTGAAGGGGGGATTCTGAGCACCCCTGGGTGGGAGTCACCATGTTGTCTGAAGACACCATGTGACTAAGTGTTAGACTCAGTGAACTCATGTCCAAGAAGGTTGGGGTGTGGTGTGGAAATTACTAATTTTAGAGTCAGATTCCCCTGGGTTCCAGCCTTAGCTCAGTCACGTGGAAGCTGTGCCTCACTGGGCAGTTACTTCACCTCTGTGATGTTTTTTGGAACACCAGCTTTGTATTGGGGTTTTCACAGGAGTTATGTCTTCTAATTCTCACAACCAGCCCGATGTAAGGGATGTTATTCCTATCTCACAGATGATGAAAAACTGAGCCTTCAAGAAGTGAAGTAACTTCCTTCCTTCCTTCCCTCCCTCCTTCCTGACTTCCTCCCTTCCTGCCTTTCTTCCTCCCTCCTTCTCTCCCTCCCTCCCTTCCTGCCTGCCTGCCTTCCCACCTTTCTGCCATCTTCCCTCCCTCTCCTCTCATTCTTGATCATTCCCACTCTTTCTTTCAAACATGTTTTAAGTGCCTGCTAGTTTCACCTACATGATCATCTTTTAATATATTTTTGAGTTCAAAGACACCTACTTGAAGTGCTTTCCTTCCTCCATCTGGGACATGCTCCTTGGGTCCAGACCAACTCTGTTCTCCCAAGGGAAGAGAAGCAGCTCTCACAGAGGAGCTCCCTTCTTCCGCAGAATCAGATGCTGCCCTTGTGGCCAGTTGGGTTCCCACCCACCTGATTCTGGAGCCCTGGACCAGAGCCCTACGTTCACCATGGGAAGAGACCTTGTGATAAGCCACTCCTGAAGGCATGGCCTAACTCTGGACACAGGTGGACAGTGGGTCACCACCAGGCTTGGCCACCACCCAGATCCCCTTGGACCAGGAGATCAAGGCTTCGTGCTCCATCAAGGACATGAAACAAAACAATGGGGAGGAATAAAACAGGAGACCTAAAAAGCAAGTATTCTTGTCCCTTGTCCAGACTTTGGAAACATTTTGTCTTGAGAAAAATCTGATTCACAGAGGGGGCTTGGGGAAGGGGGCTGCAAAGGCAGGTTGAGGAGCTCAGTAAATACCAGAGAGTGAGCCTGGTAGGAGACTCTGTTCCTCCAGCTCTGAAATGACTGTGGGAACATGAAAACAAGTTTGTTTTTAACCATCTACCAGCACATGGGAGGAGAGAAAGTTCTGGGATTTCCCTCTCTCTCCTCTCTTCCTGAATTGAAGAAAACTTGGCCATTTGTCCTGCTCTGGTTTCCAATACTGTCTCCTGGGTCCTTAGGAGGTGCTAAGCCGAGTGGCCAGCACACACAGAGGGTGTTATTCCAGCTTCAGGTCATGCTGATGGAAACTAGAAACCAAGTCCTACCCAAAGCAGAATGAAATACACACCCCACATCATCATCATATGGTTTGTTTCCAAAGAAAAACCTGCTTGCTTGTTTTTCTTTCTTTCTTTCTTTCTTTCTTTCGTTCTTTCTTTCTTTCTCTTTCTTTCTTTCTTTCTTTCTTTTTCTTTCCTTTCTTTCTTTTCTTTCTCCTTCCTTCCTTCCTTCCATCCTTCCTTCCTCTCTCTCCCTCCATCCCTCCCTTCCTTCCTCTCTCTCCCTCCATCCCTCCCTTCCTTCTTCCTTTCTTCTTTCTTTTTTTGATAGAGCCTGGCTCTCACTATGTTGCCCAGACTGGTCTCAAACTCCTGACTTCAAGCAATCCTCCTGCCTCGACCTCCTACAGTGCCGAGATTACAGGAGCAAGTCACCATTCCTGGCCTAAAATTTTCTTTTATCAGCACCCCATTTTCCAACAACCTGCAGTTACGTTGGCCAAAGGCCAGAATCTACTTCTGAAAGCTCCTGCTTCATCTAAGGCCTCAACTCTTGCCCCTCTCCCTTGACCTCTATGTTGTTAATGTAATAATTTCTTATTCTTAGAGTTATGGGCTCTGGCCCAGTGTGGAGGGGCCAGAGGCTGACTGAAAAGCAGGCCCAGAGAGAGGAAGAAATTCATTCACCCAAGGTCACAGAGCTTTCAGCAGAGCTGGGACAGACCTCCTCTGACTCCCAGGCTGGGGCAGTTTCCTCCAGGGCTCCTCACCCAACCACGAGTTGTTCTTCGGTGACCCCAGGCACCTTCACAGCTCCAAACATCACCACCAAGAGCTGCCTTGACTTTTCAGACGTCATCGAGAACAATAACAACAAAAAAGCATGAAAGAAAAAAGAAAGCAACAAAAACAAAAAGTAATAAAACCCTCCACCGTTCCCCAGCCCTGACCCAAGATGCCTTCATTGCACAAATCAGTGGTGAGGTTTCCCCACAGCCTGCTCTGACCAGGGTCATTTTGCAAGGGAAAGTGGCATGTTTTGGGATTGTACCCCACCCTGTATGTTTGTAGGTGCTGTATGTCTGAACATTTAAACTAGAATGTCTTCAAGAGCACCAACCGTGCTATTTGTTTTTCTCAGGCTGTTTTCATTAAGGCTGTGGCCTCCCAGGCAGAGCCCAGGGACTTAATTACGGCACCCAAAGGTTATCTCCCCAAACTAAATTTCATCTCATGTCGGGCAGCTGGAGCCAACTCCGCCAGCTGTCTTAATAGTTCAGACTTTGCCTCCCGTCCCTCTGCTTGGAAATTAGGCTGGCTGGGTCAGCTCTATACCCACACTTACTGCCTGCAATGCTTTGTGAGAGGAGTTGCCTGCCCTTTGGCTCTTGCACACCTCCTGGAATGACAATAAAGCCTTCAGTGATTGAGGGCAGAGATTTCCTTATTCACCTTCATATCCCCAGCACCTAGCCCAGGTCCAGCACAGAGCGCAGGAAAGGTCTGTCAAATTACCATGTATTTCCATATATTTCTATTTTACTCAGGTTGGTCAACTCCTCAGCTCTTGAGCCTACATTTTGCCTCTGCACTTCAGCTCGGGTTGTTCCCTCTACCTAAAACGCCTTTCCACCTCCTTTCTACTGCTCAGAATCTTGTCACTTTTCAAGGACCAATTCTACCCCCTCCTAGAGGGTGCACTTCTTAAGAAAAAGGGTTGGGCTGATTTATGCATGTATCCCTATGTAGAAGTGTTCAGCACATGTCTGTACCAAGAATAAATAAATGAATGAATGAAACTCTGATTTCTCCCCCCAACCCCTCCAGGTTTTTGGGCCCTTCTCAGAAACCCCCCAGCCCATGGCGCTCTCTTCTGCTCATTGGGCTGACCTGCTTATTGGGTGCCTCTTGACTCTTTGGTCATCATCTGGCCCAGCATCCCAGGCTATGATTGGCTATCTTGAGGAAATCTTTCTCTCTGTCTTCTAACACTATTTGCCTTATTTTCTCCCATCTAAACTATGTCCAAGGGAAGTCCTACATGAGGGGATATATGGCACGCTGGCCCAGGTCATGTCCAGGGGGGCCACCTGGGGTGGAGACAAGTAAAATCATGGGTCCAGGGAGGAAAGAAGTCAGGTCCTGGAGATGTGCTTGGATGGGGGGCAGGGAACGTGCTCTCAGGCACATACCACAGGCTTTAGAGCTCAAGTCAGAGACATTTTCTGCCCAGAAGGTGCAGTGTTCCCTAAGGGCTAGCATTGGCAGAAAAGGACTGCTGAGCCAATGACCATGGCTGTCAGGAACTCAGATCCTAAGGCAAAGATGGCGGCTCACAGCAAGAATTGGTTGCTCCATGCTGGGCCTGTGGGCTCTTGACCAATAGGAATGGGCAGTGGCCAGAGGCCTGCAGGTGAATCCTGTTACTAAAGCAGCCAGCGGCATTTCAGGCTCTTCAAAGGCTGGGTCCATGTCACCACCTCATCCCAGTGTTTGTCCAAGTCCCATTGCATCAGAATCTATGGCATGGGACCAGGAACCTTCACCTTTAACAAGCTTCCAAGGTCCTGCTTAGATGCACTAAAATTTCACGACCACTGCCTCCTGTTTCTCTGAGTTTTCACATACCACAGCTCATGGTTGGACAACATAAATATTTCAGCTTATAAGTCACAGGGGGTCTTCCCTGTTCCTTGAGATCCAGGTAAGATTGGCTCAGATCCCCAAATTCCTCCTCCATGGAGATCCAAGGACCCTAAGATTTCTGAGCCTCTCCAGAAGCTACACATTCAATTGGCTCTGGCTGCCTCAGAGTCTTGCTTTCACACTTACTATCTTCATCCCACACCTCACGGACCCAGATGGGAAGCTCAGCCGCTTCTCATTTTCCACATAACAATCTGCTGGCGCAAAGCATTCGTGGGTGAGGCAGATTTATTTGAAGATACGGGGTGGGGCGGGGGTGGGGATGAAGGAAGGATTTACATCACTGCAATGCAAACAACTTCAAGTTGAACATGAGATGCTCCCATTCTTAAAATGCCCTTCTGGCCACTCCACTGCTGGGTGCTTCTCTCTGGCCTTTTGCTCCAGGCAGCTACAGCTTTGCACCATCTTGCTGCTCCCCAGTCCCTGCCTTCTCTGATTCTCTCTCCCGTTTCTTTCCTTGTTCCCTACAGAGGAGGCTGGCCTTTGCCCCACGGCCTTGGCTGCAGCACCATCACATGCCTCCACGCCTCTCCATCTCCTCATGAAGATCTCTCTCCAGATAGAGACCATTTCCTCCCTAGAGGAATCCTTGTACTATCCGTAGGTGAGAACACTTCACCTCATTACCTGGATGTGGAGTGTTGAAGCTGGAAGGGATCCCAGAGATCGTAAGTCAAACTCCAGTGAAACAGTCACAGGCCCAGTCTCTGGCAGGTGCGAGGCAGAGTGGAAGCTAGAACATAGGTCCCTGGCTCTCATGCTAGGGCTCCTCTTGATTAATTGATTCCAGGAGTAACTCAGGCTACCAAAGCCCCTTACAAATGTAGCAAGGCTTTGGGGCAAGACCATATTGTCCACTCGGGCTATCCAATGACACCTGTTGGCATTTCTTCATCACTTCACCCTGACTCAGAAGTTAATTCTCATAAGCATAGTCCTTCTGCCTCTGCACAGGTCTTGGGGTGACAGGCAGCCAGGATTCCAGCTCTACTTTTACCATCAACATGCAGCTTGATCTTGGCCATGAATTGTCTTCTCTTTGGGGCTCAGTTTACCCACTGTTAAAAAGAGGCCTGTTTTTGACATTGTCCTAGCAATTTGCAGAACTGTTTCAGGAGCCTTCAAGGGGTGGTGCACATGATCCAAGCCTGTGTGTGGGGCTGGGGGAGTAGGGATTCAGTCCCTACTACAATCAGAGACAGCTCTCCTTACATCTATTCTAATGACGGGTTCATAAGGACTTCTAATCAAATTAAGATTTCTATTGCTTACAAAGTACTTAAAAACCTCTGGTCTAGCTGACATTTGGGGTCCACAGCTCTAGTGACCTAGGAGCCTCATGGCTGAGGCAAAGCGGGCTGTCTCTGCAAGGCTCCACACAGCTGCGCCTTCCACGTGGCGCCACTTATGAGCAAGTGGGAACATCCATCACGAGGCACTGGGGACAGCTGGGCGGGCAGGCGGGCGGGCGGGTCCCCATTGTGGAGGCTGTTTTGGGGACTTTCTGAGTATTGGTAAGTGTGAATCAGGCCCCAGATTTTCCATTTCCTCTGCCCATTGCTCTTTCAGAAGAGCTTGTAAGTGTGTGCTTCAGCAAAATGCAGGTGCTGAAAGTTCCACGCGTCCAAAGAGGGTGTGGGAGAGAGTAGAGGGCTGGGCGCAGGTGGGCACCGGGCATTTCCACTGTGGGTGGTACCCTGAGGGTGAACAGCCTGTCCCACCTGCAGCCCTTCTGAGGGTCCACTCCCTCGTCAGCTTAGGTGCTCTGGGGCTCTTAAGTGTCTCTTTGTCCTGAGCGTCTGAGATTTGAAGCAGCCAAGGCTTGTGTGGTGGCCCCAGTGTTAAGAGAGGGCTGCTCTGCCGGCCAAGATGGCCCTGGTCCCTACACATGTGCAGATGCAAGCCTGGCCTGCTATTGACTTCCTTTGACCTCGTTCAAAGATTAAATACAATGTGTATGTGCAGCACTTCAGAGTACGCCCAACGCTTCCTAACCACGATCTCATTTGGCCTCACACAAATCTGAGAGGGAGGCACAGCAGGGAACACTGTGATGCCATGTGAGATTCACATGTGGGGTGGAAACAGGTCTTTGGGCTCTAAGGCCAGCGCTCTTTGCTCTCCACTACGGCACCTCCCAACTCAGCCTCCGTCCTTGGCTTCATTTTTTACTTCTCCATCATTAAGAAGGGAAGCATTACTAAAGACATTTCCTTGGCATTTCTTACCCAGCTTCAGTTATTAAAATGACAGTTTAAGGATTTGTTCCTGCGGTCATTCATTTATTCACTCACTCTCTGAATCACTTGTTTATACACTCACCTCATTTGTTTAGTTGCTCACCCCACACAGGTAGCCATTTGTTCACTCATTTATTCATTCATTCAAGTCCTTTTTGAATGCCTACTATGTGCTCAGCTGATGGTGGGCATCAGGGAACACAAAGAATGCTGAGTCAAGATTCCTGACTTTGAGAAGCTTGTCACACTCTCATTGAGGAACAATGGAAAGGGGTGTCCTGTGTGGTTTCTCAGTCACAGAGGATCCAGTTTTATTTGTTCTTACCATTGAATGCTAATAGATATTGCTTATTATATGGCTTTCCAAAGTCCCAGATATGTTCTGGTTGGGAAAATGCTGGGCTAGGTGAGTTTTAGGTGCCTGCAGTGCTGGAATCCCATGGCTCTTTAGGAGCTTAGAGAAAGGAGGGTACTGATAGTTGAGGTGGCCAGGGAAGGGTTCATGGAAGAGGTGGGAGTTGAACTCGGCTTGGGAGGTCGTGGGGGATTTGTGAACAGAAAGAGGAGAGGAGCAGAGGCCCAGGATGGCAGGAGGGGCAGAAGTGAAGTCCCATGCATGTTCAGCAGCTCTGGATAGGCAGCCAGGCCAGGTCTGTGTGTGCATGTGTGTGCATGCATGTGTGTGTGCATGAGTGTATGTGTGCGTGCATGTGTGTGTATGCATGCATATGCATGCATGTACATGTATGTGTGTGCATGTGTGCATGCATGTGTGTGTGTACTCGTGCATGTGTGTGTGTGGTGGGGGGAGGCGAGCATGGGAGCAGAGCAAAGAGGAGGGTTGTTGTCTGGGGAGGGCGAGGTTTATGTGCAGGAGGCTGTGGAAGCACCTGCCTCTGGCCCTTTTGCCTGTGACTATTTGGCTTTGTGTCAGTTGCATCTGATGTGTGAGGGGGCAGCCGCTCTCAGCAAATTTCCCTCTAGCTTTAACAAGAAATATGGGCTTTGCTCGTTGTGTGGGTGATAAGACACCCTTTGCCTCTTTCAGCTTTTGGCCATACAAGCATAAGCAAATAATGTTTTTCTCTCCCTCCTTTTTAATTGATTTTTCTTACAGGGAAGTGAGAGGGAGAAAACAATGAACTTTGAGTGCAAAAAGAGAAGGAAGGAAAAGGTAGAAGAGAAAGAGAGAGAGGAGACAAAGGAGGAAAAAGGTGGTAGAGAATGGTAAGGAATGGTTAAGAAAGATAAAAGTTAAAAAAGAAGAAAGAAAAGGAAATGGTTAGAGAAGAGATGGTGTTAAAGGGAGTCTGGAGGGGAGAGAAGAGGGGAAGAAAAAGAGAGAGGAAAGAGCAAAAGGAAGAGAGGGAAGAGAAAAAAGGGTACTAGAAGAAGAGAAAACAGGAATATAAAGAATAAGAAAGGCCAATGGCAGTGTCTCAATTCTCTCTAGAGCTTTGGCTAATTTTTTTTTTTTTTTTTGCCAAAAATACTTGGGATAAATACCTGGATTCCTCAGAACCTGAATGCCCCAGAGGACCAACTTTACAGGGTTAATTACACAATAAACTGCCTTTCCAGATGGCTGTTTCCGCATCTGCAGAGAGGAAAAGGAGTGGCTGCCTGGGGTCCCCTCTCTCCTCAGCCTCCTGTGGCTGTGCGTTGCCATGTGCACCATCTCCATGTGGATAAGAACCTCTCACAGACTCTCTCCCTAACAAGCAGTGTCATAGGTGGTGATGGCAGCAGTTGTCATAGAAATGCCTCTCTCTGTCTTCCCACTGACATGACCATTCTTAAGAAAACAACGTCACACGCACACACCTCTCTCAAAAAACTTGAGATAGAAGGTATTTGTCTAACCTGATAAAGAAAAACCTATTTTAAAATAGGAATAAGACAAAGATATCTTCTACCAACAATCTCTTTTTAAACATTTTCCTGAAAATTCTAGCCAATGCAAAATTTCATGAAGTCAGGGGAAAAAAGGACCTTAACTACTGAAAATAAGACAAAACTATTATTGGTTTTAGGTTATATAATCACATATGCAGAAAACAAGATGAATCACTAGAAAAACCCTTAGAATGTATAATAGAGCTTGGTATCGTGACCGAATAAATGGTAACCCTAAAAATCTCAGGGTCCCATATGGTTTAGTCTCAGCACAGAGTTATACTAAAAGGAAATCTAAGTTGGACTCCAGAAACCTGGAATGGTCACGTGGACTTTTAGGGCAGGCTTTCTTAAAAAGGCTTGTCATGCCCAGAGGTTTTACATATCCCGCGACATAGAAAATTTTCCAGAAATTCTCTCTAGATGTTCGTTTCTCTCTCCAAAACTACACACTCAGGGCAGAGGCTAGTATGCAGTCACTTCTCTGTTCAGGTAGTTCTTCCATTGCCGGCATCTCCCCTCCCACCTACATTTTCTCCTTCGCTGGTGGACCCCACTGCCCTGAATCTGATCAGACATCCTTGTGACCTTCTGATTGTCTCCCCACCCACACTGAGGAAAGGACTGAACCCTTGGGGACCATAGCTTTTCTTTCTCTTTCTGTCTCTCTTTGACCAATTTTTTGTTTTTTGTTTTGTTTTGTTTTGAAGACAGACTTTCACTCTTGTTGCCCAGGCTGGAGTGCAATGAAACGATTTTGGCTCACTGCAACCTCCACCCCCTGGGTTCAAGCGATTCTCCTGCCTTAGCCTCCCAAGTAGCTGGGATTAGAGGTGCCCTCCACCATGCCTGGCTAATTTTTGTTTTTTTGTAGATATGGGGTTTCAACATGTTGGCCAGGCTGGTCTCGAACTCCTGACCTCAGGTGATCCACCAGCCTCAGCTTCCCAAAGTGCTGGAATTACAGGTATGAGCCACTGCGCCCAGACTCTCTTTGACCAATTTTCTTGTGAATTATCACTGGGAACATTGCTAGTGAATATATTCTCCTCTCTGATACACAAGATAAATACACAAAAATCAATAACTTTCTTATGGACCCACAATAACTAGTGTGAAAAGAAAAGCAAACAAAAACATAATCTACCTCTGAACAATTCTCAGTGAGAAATGTGTAAAGCTTTCATAAAGAAAGTGACAAAATTTTATGAGTTTTGTGTAAGAGAAGACCTGAATAAGTGGAGAAATATGACGGGTTCTTGGTTGGGGAAAAGGAACAACGAAAGATGTTAGTTTCTCCTGAATTAATACATAAGTCTAGCAAAACCTCAATGGAAACTTTTCATAATTCATCAGAACAACTTTACAATGAATCTGGAAGAATGACAAGTTAAAAACAGCTAAGACATTTTTGAAAGAACACGAAGACAGGATTTCCTTTAACATAGATTAGAATATATTTTAAAGCTACAGCAACTGTCCAGCAAGGTACTGGCTCAAGAACAAGTCAGCATCAGTGGCACATAACTGACCTCTGAAACCAAACTTACAAGCAAAATGAAATAAAAAGAAGCATTGCAAATCCATGAGAAAGGGTTGGATTAACAAATGCTGTTGAGAAAATTGACTACTTGGAAGCCAATCTTTTTAGATCTTAATCTTTTTCTCAGGCAAATTCCAAGCAAGTTATAGCATTAAGTATTTAAAAACCTCATAGCAAAATATGAAAGTTTAAGTGAATATTTAAATGATCTTAAAGTGGGTAATACATATTTAACTTAAGAACAATTGGAGAAATCACGAAGGAAATTGTCAGTAGAATTGCCTACACAAAGCTCTAAATGTATATTTTTAAAAAAGAAACTACAAAAATAAAAAGGTAAATGACAAATTGGGAAAAATGCTTGCAACAGGTATGGCGAAAGGCTAATAGCCTTAAGAATACAAAGAGTTCTAACAAAGTCTAAAGAAAAAAAGGACTAACATCCCAGCAAAAAAAACTGGCAGAGAACATTCACAAAATAAGACATACAGATGGCTAACGTATGAGAAAATGTTTAATTTTACCATTAGCCAAAGAAATGAGAAATAGAACAATAATAAAATCCCATTTTCACTTGTCCAGTTATTAAGATTGGAGATGATGATGATGATGATATGTGTTAGCAACTAGGTGATGATATTGGAACATAAATTGGCACAACCTGTCTGGAAAAATTTAAACAGTTTTCATATTTTTGGACTCCATGGTCCTACTTCTAGGAACCCATACTAAGAAAACACTGGCAATGAGATCAGGATGTTCATGAGAGCATTATTTATCAGACTTAAATATTGGAAATAATTGTTATATATGTAACAAATGAGGATTGATAAAATAGAGTATATTTATATTGTAGAAAACATTTTTAAGGCATATATTCAAAAAATACTTAATAACATGGGAATGTGCTTGCAATGGATTGTTAAACTTTTAAAAAAAATAATCAAAGCTCTGTGTGTGCGTGTGTGTGTGTTTGTGTGTTCATATGTATGTGTGCTGAATCTGAATTTTCTACTCTTCTGTAGGTAGTCGGGAGAGCCAGAGTTAATATGATCTGTTATTTACCTTCATGCCCTCAGTCTCCTCACCTGTGAAATGGGATCATAATGCTCGACTCTCAGGGCTGTGTGAGAATGAAATGAGACCGCTTATATGAACAGGATGTAGGTCTAATCTTTCATGCATCTGTGTCTTCCCTATTCAAGGAAGTTGGCTTTTCCTAAGGGCAGGAACTGTGTGACTCCTTGACCTGTAAGAGAAAGTGTTGTACGGGGTGTTCATTAGGATCTAAAGTTAAGCTTTAAAGTTCTGGGACCATGTTGAGTTCCAGCCTTGACATTATCTCATGCTTCTTGCATGACTTTAGGCAACTCACCATCTGCCCATGGGCTCCAGCTCCTTGGGATCAGATGAGAAAATGGCTATGCTCCCTTCAAGAGCTAACAGGATGTGATTCTCTTTTAACCTCACAATTAAAAGTCACAGCCATCTCATAGTTTGTCTGGGTCAGGGATGGCCTCGCAGGGCTCTCAGGCTGGGCTACTGCCCATGGACAGATGGATTGACCAGTGGAAGGATGGAGTAATTATGCTCACACATGGCAGCAGGGGTCTTCTTCTGTTTTGTCCACTTATGTGTCGCCAGTACCCAGAGCCGGGTATGGCTTTTGGTGAATGCTCAGCACTCATTGACTGAATGAAGAATGAATGGAAAGATGGACTGATGGATAGATTGCCTGCAAGACAGGCTGTGTGGCTGACTTGAGATAGTGTCCTCAGGACCTCCTTGACTGGCCTTGGACCCATTAAGGAGGGAAGGAGAGAGGTGAAGGTAAAGGTGATGCAGGAGGAGAGAGACCTCCTGCATCATCTTTGTCTTCCTTGGACAGCCTGGTGGAGGCTGGGGTTTGCGTCTCTCACTGTGTGCATGCTGAACAAATCAAAAGTCATGGTCCTGGGAGCCTGAGCCTCATCCTGTGCTACATGTTTTACATGGATTATATTATTTGGAGCTCACTTAATCCAAGGAGGGTAGTATCATTATCCTCATTTGCATATAAAACAATGGCCTCAGGAAGGGAGGAAAATTTACGCCAAGGTCACACAGCTTTTTAGTAGAGGAGTTGGGATTTGATCCTAGGTCTTTCTGATTTCCAAGCCATTGACCTTGAAGTTATACTCTACAAGTGTTGCTCTCCTTAAACTTCTCCCTTTTGTAGAAAGGAAAGACTCCACTTTTGCTGTGTGTGCATCTTGGGAGGAGTATGGGCTCTGCCCCTAAATCATAGCCTCAATATGAGTGCTGTGCTGGGAATGGGCCATCAGCGTGGTGACGGATCCCCACCGTCCATCACGCCCCCGCAGCATTGTGACATGCAGTGCTGGAATGTAATCAGAGTGATGGTGTCCTGATCTATGGGGATGTTCATCATCTCAGGGCTGGTACCTTGACATATTACCGTAGCTTGCTGTCAGTGGGACAGCCCCTTAATGTATTTCCGTAATACATCACCCACTGATGGGGATCAAGGAGGCCTGCTGATGCTAGTCGGCTGGAGCCCTTTCTGTGAGTCTCCCTGACTTCTTGTTCTCTTAAAGATTCATGTGAGTTTGTGTGTGCCTCAGGAGACAGCATAAGAGAAGGAGGCAGGAACAGAGACCGAAAGATGAAGAAAAGATGAGAATAGAGAGACAGAAAGAAAAGCAGGAAAAGAGAAAAGGAAGAGATGGGAAAAGAAAGGGAAGAGAGCAAGAAAGATTGGAGAGGAGATGAATGGGAAGAGAAAATAAGAGAAAAGAGGTGGGGGGGTGGAGATAAAGATGGCAGAGAAGAAAGAGTGAAAAACAGGAGGAAGAGAAGATTCAAGGGAGAAGGAGGAAAGGAACCAGAAGAATCAAGGCTAAGGTGCAGTGTAAACAGAGAGCAGCAGGAGAGAGTAGGGAAGCACTCAGCTCTGGAGTGAAGCGCAGGTGTTGTTGGAGATTCGGATCCTTTTATTTAGCCTTGGTGGAGGCCTGGCTTTCCTGGGGGCTAGAAGGGCTGTGGGAGTAGGTGGGGTTGCCTGAAGGGAATGGGATATGAAAATTCTTTCTCCCTCCAAAGACAGCAAAGAAGTTTTTGTGGTCAGCCACAACCTTTCTCATTCTGCCTTCATTGTTGCAGAGGTCACCTGGGTGGGAAGAGTCTCAAAACTGCCTCTTCACCCCCTCACCCGCCAAGTCCACCTGAGATCTGAACATCTTTGCTCAGACTGCCCAACAGCACCACAAGCTCAGAGACCCCTAACTGTGGTCATTCACTCTACCCCTGGTCTCCCTTCTGGCTTCCCCATTGCAATGAAAGGTGTTGCCAGTCTCTAGGGCCCTGGTTCACAGGGGCATCTTGTCTTGTTATTCTCTCCACATTTAGATCTATCAGATTCGTAGAGCAACTGAGCCTGTTTGGGCTTCTTACCAACTTCTGTTTGCCTCACCCATTATCTAGACCCTCTGAAAGCAGAGTCTGGAAGCTGACTCAGCAAGCAAGAACCATTTCCTCTTAGAAGCTGAGGATGGATTATACACTAGTGATTTTATTTCCTATTACATGTGAATCACTTTTGCCCCTGGCCCATGAGTACTACAACTGGGAATCAAGGTGAAGATCTGACAAGAAAATAGGTAGCAAACTGAGTAGTCGAGAAGGTTCAAAAGAGACAGTTTCAGAAGAATAGTGGGGACTGGGCAATTGGCTCAAGAATGAGACTGTGAATGGAGGTGTGAACCAGGGCACCATTTCTATGTGGAGCCTGGCACTTGCTCTGGGTTGGCTGCTGCTGCTGCTGCTGCTAAAAGGGCTCTCAGGCCCTTGCAAGGTCAAGGCTGAACTCCTTGCCTTGCCATTCAGGGCCCCTGACAGCCTGGCCTGTACGTTCCATTCCTGTCCTATCTCTTATTGCTCCCCCTATACTGACACCCCATTTACTGCAGCCAGCTTCCCCTGCCTGCCTCTCTCTAGTGCTTAGCCTTTACTAGGGTGCTCTGTCCCCCCATTGCTTCCTGTCTACATTCTACTCCTTTTCAAGGCTTCAATTAAGTTTCTCCTCTGTGGAGCCCTCTCTCCTCTTGTCATGCTGATTATGTCTCTCACTGACTTGGCCACAGCGTGTTGCATCTCCCCAACGAGACTCTAAGCTCTCTGAGGGCAGGGGTCGTGTATTCTATTTCTCTGTAACCCTCACAGTAGGGCTAGAATAAAGCCCTTCCGAATGAACAAATGTAAACTAGCAGTAGTGTGAGTCCTGAAAGGAAAGAGGGACCAAGATGAGGCCTTATGATGAGGTACAGTGGCCCTGGCTAGGCTCCTGAGCAAACTCCTCTTTATCGCTCCAGGCCTGAGTTTCTTCATGTGTGAATTGAAAGGATTGATGAGATCTATGACCTGCACTTAAAAAGGAAAAACAGACAAACAAACAAACAAAAAAACCCTTAAGCCTCTTAGTTCCAGATAATTACAGATTCACATGCAATTGTAGGAAACAATACAGAGAGATCCCATGTACCCTTCACCTATTTTTTCTCCAATGGCATCATCCTTGCAGAACTACAGTATAACAACTACGATATTGCTATTAATACAGTCAAGATACAGGCCAGGCATGGTGGTAGGTCATGCCTGTAATCCCAGCACTTTGGGAGGCCAAGGTGGGCAGATCACTTGAGGTCAGGAGTTTGAGACCATCCTGGCCATCGTGGCGAAACCCCCATTTCCACTAAAAAATACAAAAATTAGCCAAGCATGGTGGTGCACACCTGTGGTCCCAGCTCCTAGGGAGGCTGAGGCAGGAGAATTGCTTGAACCCAGGAGGTGGAGGTTGCAGTGAACCGAGATCACCCCACTGCACTCCAGCCTGGGTGAGAGAGTGAGTCTCGGTCTCAAAAAAAAAAAAAATACACACAAGATACAAAATATGTTCATCACCGTAAGGATCACTTATCTTGCCCTATTATAAACATCTCTATGTTCCCCTCACCCTCCACCCCCATCCCTGACCCCTAGAAACCATGAATCTACTCTCCACTTGAAGTATTTTGCCATTTCAAGAATGCTATATAAATGGAATCATGCAGTATAGAACCTCTGTGATTGCCTTCTTTCATTCAGCATAATTCTCTGGGGATTCATTCAGGTTTTTGCATGCATCAATACTTCATTCCTTTTTATTGCTACGTAGTATTTCATGGTATGGTTGTACGATTGTTTGTTTAACCATTCACCACTGATAGACCTCTGGGCTGTTTCTAGTTTTGGTGAATACAAATAGAGCTGCTGTAAACATTTGTGCACAAGCTTTTGTGTGAACATGTCTTCATTTCTTTGGGACAAATACCCAGGAGTGCAATTGCTGGAGCATGTGGTAGATGCATATTTCGTTTTTAAAGAAACAGCCAAATTGTTTTCCATGGTGGCTCTACCATTTTACACTCCCACCAGCAATGTATGAGTTATCCAGTCCCTCTGCATCCTCACCAGCATTTGTCGTTGTCACTACTCCTTATTTTAGCCATTCTGATAGGTGTGTAGTGACATTTCATTATGATTTTAATTTTCATTTCCGTGATGGCTAATGGTGTTGAACATCTTTTCATGTGCTTATTTGTGATCTATATATGCTCTTTGGCGAAGTGCTTCTTCATTCAGTTTGTTCATTTTAAAATTGCATTATTTGTCTTTTATTGCTGACTTGTGAGAGTTCTTTATATGTTTTAGATACTAATCCTTTGTTGAATATGTGGTTAGCAAATATTTTCTCCCATTCTGTAACTTGTCTTTTCATTCTTCTAACAGGGAAGATTTTTAATTTAGTTTTGATAAAGTTTAATTTATCAATTTTCTTCTTATGGGTTATACTTTGGGTGTTGAGTCTAAGAACTGTTTGCCTAGTCTTAGATCCCAAACATTTTCTTTTATTTTTTTCTAAAAGCTTTAGAGTTTTGCATTTTCCATTTTGAATTAATTTTTATGTAATTATCAAGCATGAGACTTAGGTCAATTTTTTTTTTTGGCTCTGAATGCTGTGCAACTTCTCTGGCACCATTTGTTGAAAAAGCTATCTATACTCCATTGAATTGTTTTTGTACAAAAATTGATCGGGCTAATTTGTGTGGGTCTATTCCTGGTTTCTCTCTTCTGTTCTATTGATTTATGTGTCGATTACTCTGCCATTACTACACAGTCCTTACTAGAGTGGCTATATGAGTCTTGAAATCTGGTAGACTGATTTCTCCCACTTTATACTTCCTTTTTGAAATTGTTTTTAGCTATTTTAGTTCTTTGCCTTTCCATATAAATTTTAGGATACTCTTGTTCATATATACAAAAAATCTTGCTGGGATTTTGATAACAATTGTGCTAAACTTGTATATCATTTTGGAAAAAATGACATTTTTACTATGTTGAGTTTTCCTATCCAAAATCCCAGTATGTCTCTCCATTTATTTAGATCTTTGATTTCTTTCATTCACTATTGTATAGTTTCAGCATACAACTCCTATTTATATATGTTATTGGATTTATGTCCAAAGTATTTCTTTTTTTGGACAATTATAAATGATATTGTATTTTTTATGTTGGCGTCCATGTGTTCATTGCTAGTGTATAGAAATACAACTGACTTTTATGTATTTGTCTTTTACCTTGTGATAGAACATCACTGGTTAGTTCTAGGAGGTTGTTTGCTTGTATTTTGTATTTTTGTAGCATCCTTGAAATTTTCTTTGTAGACAATCATGCTATATGTGCACATAGAGACGGTTTTTCTTTTCTGATTTGTATGCTTTTTAGTTACCTTTCTTGCCTTATTACATTGGCTAACAATTCTAGCACTGTGTTGAATAAGAGTGGTGAGGATGGACATCGTTGCCTGTTTTTAGTCTTAGAGGGAAAGCATTCAGTTGTTCGCTGTTAAGTATAATGTTACCTGAAGGTATTTGGTAGATGCTTTTTATCAAGTTGAGAAAGCTAGTCCTCTATTCCTATTCTCTTTCTGAGAACTTTTATTGTGAATTGTTGCTGAATTTGATCAAATGCTTTTTTTTGCATCAATTGATATGATCATGTGATTTTTCTTATTTCACCTGTTAATATGGTTGATTACATTAATTAAGTTTCAAATATTGAACCAGTGGGCATCTCTGGAATAAACCCCATTTGGTCATGGTATATTATTCTTTTTATATATTGCTGAATTCTATTTGCCAATATTTTGTTAAGGATTTTTGCATCTATATTCATGAGAGATAACGCGTTGTATCTTTGTCTGGTTTTAGTATCAGGGTAATACTAGCTTCGTAAAAAATTGGGAGTGTTCCTTTCTCTTCTATTTTCTGGAATAGATTATGTAGAATTGGTGTCAATTCTTCTTTAAATATCTGGTAGGATTCACCTGTGAAACCATTTGGGATTTGTATGCTTGGGACTGGAGAGTTGTTTTTGTGAATTAAAGAAAAGTCATTTACTTTCCTTGAATAATTATAGGTTGTAGTTACAGTTATAGGACAATTTTAATGATCTATTTTGCGTTAGGTGAATTGTGGCAGTTTTTAAGGATTTGGTCCATTTCATCTAAGTTGTCAAATTTATGTGTGTAGATTTGTTGTAGTATTCTCTTATTAGGTTTCTGGATGTCTGCAGGATCTGTAATTATATCACCTGCTTTATTTCTGATATTGATAATTTGTGTCTTCTCTCTTTTTTTTATTTGTGAGCTTTTTTCTAGAAATTAGTCAATTGTGTTGATTTTTTCAAAGAACCAAATGTTTGTTTTGTTAATTTCACGATTGTTTTCCTGTTTTCAATGTCATCAGTTTTGCTCTTATTTTTATTATTATCTTTCTTCTACTTGCTTTGATTTTATTTTACTCATCTTTTTTGAAACTCTTAGGCGGGAGCTTAGATTATTGACTTCAGACTTTTCCTTTTTTTCTAATGTATGTACGTAGTGTTATAAATTTTCTCCTCAGCATTTTAGCTGTGTCCCACAAATTTTTATATGTTCTATTTTCATTTTAATTCAGCTCTATGTATTTTTAAAGCTTCCTTTGAGACTTCTTTGATCTGTGGATTATTTGAAAGCATGTTTTTTAGTTTCCAAGTGTTTGGAAATTTTTCTGTTATCTTTCTGTTAGTGATTTCTAGTTTGATTCCATTTTGGTTGGTGAAAATACTCTGTGTGATTTCTATTGTTATAAATTTGAGAGTTATTTTATGGCCTAGGATACAGTCTATCTTGGTTTATGTTCTGTGGGCCCTTGAAAACAATGTGTATTCTGCTTTTATTGGGTGAGGTGTTCTATAAATGTGATGAGAATCCATTGTTAACGGTGATGACTTCTATATCCTTACTGGTTTTCTGTCTGGTCATTCTATAAATTGTTGACAGAAGGATAGTTAAGTCTCAAATTTTATTGATAATTTCTTCTTTTAGTTTTGTTCTGTTTCACATAGTTTGCATCTTTTTATTTGGTGAATTCACATTTAGTATTGTTAGGTCTTCTTGGTAAGTTGACTCTCTCTTTTTTTTTTTTTGAGAAGAAATCTCACTTTGTCGCCCATGCTGGAGTGCAGTGGCGTGATCTCGGCTCACTGCAACCTCTGCCTCCCGGGTTCAAGCGATTTTCCTGCCTCAGCCTCCTGAGTAGCTGGGATTACAGGCACCCGCCACCACGCCCGGCTAATTTTTGTATTTTTAGTAGAGACAGGGTTTCACCATGTTGGTCAGGCTGGTCTTGAACTCCTGACCTCGTGATCCGCCCACCTTGACCTCCCGAAGTGCTGGGATTACAGGCGTGAGCCACCATGCCCAGCCGCAGTTAATGCTTTGACACAACAGTTCTGTGTGCAAGCCTAGTTTTTTAGATGTTTTGAATGTTAGCCAGGTAGCCATCTCCACTTTTTTTTTTTTTTTTTTTTTTTGAGGTGGAGTCTTGCTTTGTAGCCCAGGCAGGAGTGCAGTCGTGCAATCTTGGCTCACTGCAACCTCTGCCGTTTGGGTTCAAGCGATTCTCCTGCCTCAGCCTCCCAAATATCTAGGATTACAGGCATACGCCACCACGCCTAGCTAATTTTTGTATTTTTAGTAGAGATGGGGTTTTGCCATGTTGGCCAGGCTGGTCTCGAACTCCTGACCTCAGGTGATCCGCTGTCTCGGCCTCCCAAAGTGTTGGGATTACAGGTGTGAGCCATTGCGCCCAGCCAACACTTTTATCGTTACATAATGTCTCTTTCTGTCTCTGGTGATTTTATTTACTCCAAAGTCTACTTTATCTGATTATTGACATAGCCACTCTTGCTTTCTTTTGAATATATATATATATCATTTGTTAAAAAAACTGTCAACTTGCTTTTGTCATTGTATTAGTTTGTTCTCCCACTGCTATAAAGAAATACCTGAGACTGGGTAATTTATAAAGAAAAGAGGTTTAATTGACTCATGGTTCCACAGGCTCACAGGAAGCGTGGCAGCATCTGCTTCTGGGGAGGCCTCAGGGAGCTTTTACTCATAGCGGAAGGCAAAGTGGGAGCAGGCGTCTTACATGGCAGGAACAGGACCAAGGTGGGGTAAGGGAGGTGCTACACACTTGTAAACAACCAGATCTTGTGAGAGCTCTGTCATGAGAACAGCACCAAAGGGATGGTGCTAAACCATTCACGAAGAATCCAGCCCCATGATCCAACCACTTCCCACCAGGCCCCACCTCCAATAACGGGGATTAAAATAGAACATGGAATTTGGGTGGGGACCCAGATCTGAACTATATCAGTCATTATATTTGAAGTGAGTGTGTTGTAGCAGTATTTAGTTGGGTCATACTTGTAATCTATTCCGCCAGTCTCTATCTTCTACTTGGTGTATTTAAACTATTTACATTTAATTTGACTATTGATATGTCAGAGTTTAAGCTGATATTTTATTTTTTGTTTCTTGTTTGTTTTCTGCTTCTGTTTGTTATTTTGCCTTCCTATGAGTTACTTGAACATTTTTGAGGATTTTATTTTGATTTTTCTACAGTGTTCTTAAGTATATCTATTTGTATAGGATTTTAGTGGTTGTTCTAGGTATTATATTATATATTCATAACTTTTTACATTCTACTGGTATGATCAGCTTACCATCCAGATGAAGTGTGGAAAACGTCATATCCTTTATATCTCTTATCCATTCAAAACCACATTAGACAGTGTTGTACCTGTTGCTTCAACCATCAAACATAAATTATAAAACTAAATAACAAAAGGAAAGTCTATTGTTTTTACTCATATTTGTGCTTAATATGTTCTTTATTTCATCATGATATTCCAGGGTTTCTTCTTCAATAGTTTTCTTTCTGTTCAGAGAAATTTCTTTAGTTATTCTTTTAGGGTAGGTGTGTTGTAAACAAATTCTCTCAGTTTTCCTTTATCTGTGAATATCTTGATTTCTGTGAATATCCTGCATTTTCGAAGGACAGTTTTGCTGAGTGTAGGATTCTGGATTGACACTTCTTTTCCCTGAGCACTTGAAAAATATTGTGCTGTTTCTTCTGGCTTTTATGGTTTCTGATGAGAGATCCACTGTCATTTAGTTTTTCTTCTTTAGGTAAGGTGTCATTTTTCTCTGGCTACTTTCAAGATTTTTTCCTTGTCTTTAGTTTCCAGAAGTCTTGTTGTAGATTTCATTGGCTTTATCCTGTTTGAGGTTTGCTAAAATTTAGGAAATTTTCAGCCATTATTTCTTGTAGTACTTTGTCAGTCCTGCTCTCATTTCTCCTTCTGGGACTCTGATGACAGGAAATCAAATATATTTTGCTATAGTCTCACAGGTCTCTGAAAATGTGTGTGTGTGTGTGTGTGTGTGTGTGTATGTGTGTATTTTCTCTTTGATTTTCAGATTGGGTAATTTCAATTATTCTGTCTTCCAGTTCACAGATTCCTTCCTCTCTTCCCTCCATTCTGCTGTTGAGCCCAATCACTGAGTTTTTAATTTTGGTTAGTGTATTTTTAAATTCTAACATTTCTATTTGTTTCATGTTTATATCTTTTATTTATTGACTGAGGCTTTCTATTTTGTCATTTGTTTCAAGCATGTTCATAATTGCTATTGAAGCATTTTTTATGATGACTGCTTTAAATTCTTTGTGAGATAACTTTCAATCTGTCATTTCAGTGTTGAAATCTATTGTCTTTTTTCATTCAGTTTGAGATCTTCCTTCTTGGTATGATGAGTGATTTTAAAATTTATATCTGGATATTTTTCATTATATTATGAGACTCTGAGTCTTGTCTTAAACTATCTGGTTTAGCCGGCTTTTTTTTTTTTTTTTTTTTTTGACATTGCTTTAGCTGGGTGGGGATTGAACAGTGGGGAGACTACTGCTTTGTCCCTGCAAGGTGGAGGTAGGAGTCCAGGTTCTCCACACAGTCCTCATTGATATGTGAGAAGGGATCTCTCATTACTGCTGGGTAGGGATGGCAGCTCCAGCAGCCTCCACTGATAATGAGGTGTGGGTGACCTTGTTACTGCTGAGCAATGGTAAAAGTCCTGACTCTCCACTAGGCCTCCCCTAATACCACCTCAGTGGGATGGAATGCCTCCTTCCTGCCAAGTAGGATAGAATTTAGGCTCCCCACTTTACCTTTGCTGGCATGGGAGATGGTGGGGCCATGATGTTTTTCTAGAGTGAAGCAGTTATCACTTGAATGTTTTCTGTCTCACTAGGCTGCCCCTTTACTTGTCCTTTGGCTAGAGAGAGTAGACTTTATTTGGAACTTTTCTTATCTGCACCAGTTGCAGTTTCTAGGTTGTTGGCTTCTTTAGCTCTAAGTCTGGGATGTGCCATGCACAAAGAAAATCCAAGGAACTCATCATTGTGCAGTTCCTTGAGTCTTAAGGTCCCTAGCCTATCTGCTTTCTATCTACCTTAGGTTTATTTTGTATATAATATCGAGGACTTTTAGTTGTACATAGCAGCAGGAATAGGGAAAAGTACATCTACTCCATCTTGCTGGAAGCAGAAGTAGATCTGGCCTTTACTTTTAATCTGCTGAGCCGTTCAACAAATCTTGTAAGTGGAAGCCCAAAATTTTAGGTAGAAAAATGTTGTTCCAGTTGAAGTGGTAGTGTGGACTACAGCCCTGACCACTAGTCTTCTATTCCCAGTAGCCCTTTGAAGTACTTCCCAGAAGTCCTGGGGTTCCACGGAGAATGCAGGTTGCAAACGCAGAGCATTAAATGACCTTTTCTTTTCCTATAATGGGGGACACAGCCACGAAAAGACAGTGAATGAGGACTTGGGCATAGGGGTAAATTTGGGCCAGCAGGAAGTGCCCAGCTACTTCCCAAGTGGACCTCTTTTGCCCACAGGAGTCATCTGCTCTTTTATTTATTTATTTAGAGACAGAGTCTCACTCTGTCACTCAGGCTGGAGTGCAGTGGTGTGATCTGGGTTCACTGCAACCTCTGCCTCCCGGGTTCAAGCGATTCTCCTGCCTTAGCCTCCCAAGTAGCTGGGATTACAGGCGTGTGCCACTATGCCCGGCTAATTTTTGTATTTTTAGTAGAGACGGGGTTTTGCCATGTTGGCCAGACTGGTCTTGAACTCCTGACTTCAAGTGATCCACCCGCCTCGGCCTCCCAAAGTGCTGGGATTACAGGCGTGAGCCACCGCGCGCCCGGCCTCATCTGCTCTTTAGCATGCCCTAAATTGGCTTCCTTCTCTTCCCTTTCTCACGTCCACGCTCCCTGACTGGCGCGTCCCGCGATTACCTCTCACACGAACTACTTTCCCTCAAATCCTTGTCTCAGGGTCTACTTCTGGGGGGAGCCAAACTTAGAAGCATACAGATTTAATCAATGTAATCAGTGCTGTGTGTGAGAATGATGGTGGTGAGCTGACTTGGAAATGACAAATAAGACCAATCTGTCTCCATGGCACCATCCTCTGAGTGCATTTCTTGTCATCATTTCAGACCCAACTGTGTTGCTACCGGCGCCAGCAGTGCTCTGGGACCCAGGCCTGCTGTGCAGAGCAGTGTCCTCCCACCCCCACAGCCTGCCTCTGAGATCACGCTGGCTAGAACAGACAGTGGAATTTCGGTTCCGGGATATTTGCCAAGGGGGCTTTCGTGTTTTTGTTGTTTTTGTTTTGGTTTACTCTGAAAGTACCTGTTCTCAAAGCCGTGATTGAAGAAAAGTTTTCCAGTGCTGTGGGCTGCTTTTCTGTCTTGGATCTTGACCCCTGGCTCCCTGCTGAGGTTTTTCTTTGCTGTTGGTGGGCTCACAGGGACACCCTGCAACCAGGAATCCCCACTGCCCTGCTCTGAGGCTGAAGCAGGAAAATGAGGGACCCCAGCCTTCCCTGGTCCTGGAGATTGTCCGACCACACTCTGCAGAGCTCCTCCCCAGGTCAGCTTGTTGATTCAGCCTTTGCTCTTTTGTCCTGTAGGTGAGGAGCAGGCAGATTCCTTAGTCTTCTGAGATTTCCTCTCTGCTCTTAATCCCAAAGAGTGGCTCTTGTGGTGGAATCTCAGGCTTTGGGAGAAGCTGTCCCACAAGAGGTGACTTCAGAGAATCTTGATGTCTGATCAATAAAAAGACAAACAGACTTCGTTAGGGAGAGGTTTAGGAAGGAACTGTTGCAATAGAGAAAGTGTTCTGACTATGAGATCTGCAGGCATCACAGGTAAGATAGAAAGAGGATTTTCTTGTATAAAAAGGGAGTAAACCAGGCTAGAAAGAACAGGCATGGGGAAGGGAGATGAGAGGGGGTGACCCTGGGACAGTAGATGGGAGAATGTTTTACCCTGAGGCCAGCCTGTCTCTGGAAGAGCATTAGGATAGATGGCCCGCTGGCTCATGCTGAGGGTAGGTTAAAATTCAGGGGCCTAGGTGAAGGAGAGAAACTTAACCCAGGTTTTGTTAACATGCCTTTTGTTCCAATTAATTAGTGGGAGCAAAATACTTAATGATTTATGAGACAAAGAAGGGGAATTTAAAGGGTCTGAGTCTGGTCTTATCATGGGTAAGCAAGGGGGCATCTAAGAGTCCTATCCAAGTCATATAGAAAGGATGCTTCATTGCAGTAAGCCTTTTCCTGGAACACAAAGGGGTGGAAGGATTTCTTTAACCATCATTATTTTCCAGAATCACAGAGCTCAGATAAAATTCAACATTGTCAGTCCCATCCTGGGACTTGAGTTGCACCCTGCAGGAAATAGACTAGATCCAGCATTTCTCCATGAGGACGAGATCCCCGTGGGAGCTGCTCTCACCTGGAGAGAAGCTTCCTCCCTGCTCTAGTGGGCATGGGCCAGGGCTCCGGGGGCTTTCCAGGCAGCGTTCTTGGGCGCTGCTCATAGCTCAGAGCTGGGCTTCCCTCCTCCCACCCTCCTACCCTCCCAGCTCCCGGCCGCCCCCTTCTCCGCCTGCCACACAGCTGTTTTGCCAACATCATTGCCTGATTATCTTTCAAGTGGCTTCTCGGAGCAGATGTTCCCGGCTCCTTCCTGCCTCGAAAACAAACAGGCGCCGTCTCTCCTGGGGAAAATCCCTCTGCTGCCACAGACTCTTCTTGAGAGGTTCGGCGATGTCTGTGAAATCTCTCTGGGCTGCTCTTTGCCAGGAATTTGGCTCTGGATGGATGGCAGGGGCTCCTCAGGTCTTTCAAGGTGTGTGTGGCCCCTCGAGGGGCACTGGGAGTGGGGAAGCACACTTTTAACAGAATCAGATTCCAGTCTGGGCGAAGCAAGGGTGGTATTTCCTTCTGTTACTATGTCTCGATCTTATTTAACCTTTTGAAAAACATCAACATCCATCAACTTTGATTCTGAAAGACCCTCTTGGGGGTTGTCCTTAGTTCGAAATCCCTGTTTGTTTCTGATAGCCCCACCAACAAGAAGATGTTGTCAGGCTTGCTTTTTGAGGTTTGTATTATGAAAGCAATAGGTTTTTGGTTTCCCTTTCATGAATATGAAAGTCTAGTATAAAGTTGAATGTGTATTTTAAAATGTGCTCATCTCATCTCCTTACCCACAGTGAGAATCAAGGCTCTTCGTGGCCCCCAGGCAGCTGCTTACAGGGTAGGCAGGATAATCTGGGCCACAGTTGAAAGGCCCTCTTGCCTCTCCAACCTGCTGTGTGCAAAAAATTGCACCCTCAGCAATTCCCTTTTTGGAGGGAAGGCTTGAATGCACAGGTAATACACATTGGCCACAGCCTCCAAGCTGCTCTGGCAGAGAAGGAGAGAGGCACAGGCTGGGGCTTGCCTGGGGAGGAAGATGGGGCATTGGGAAGACCGCAGCAGTGAGATCTCTCTGGAGGAGAGGGTCACCTGAGGATGCTGAGCTGGGAGGTAGGAAGGCAGGAAAAGGAAGCCCTCCTGGTGTGTGCAGAGGAATGCGGATTGCCAGCATTCTTGCTCGCCTTGGCCCGCCCAAGAACTCTGGGAGCTGGTAGCAGACAGAATAAAATCATATGTGAAATACGTTTGAGGGTCTGTTCCCAAGTTTTCCACTGATTTGGGATGACGTCCTTGCTTCTGTCCATTCTGAAATCCCCAACTCCTCCCCGACTTTGTCGCTAGAGTATCCTCCTCTGCCGCACTCAGTCCTGCCTTACTCCTCCCCAGCATTCCCCTGGAAGCGTGCACATGGCTGCATCTCATGGCTCCTGCGCTCATCATGCTTAGCAGACAGACTGTTGATCACCTGGTCCTGATTTGCCCCTACTGTGTTGGCCTCTGAGGTACCACCCTCTCCTGATTTCCATCTTACTTCTCTGCCTATTTCCTCTCTTTCTCCTTTGCTGTTTTTTCCTCACTGATCTGCAAATGTGCAGATTTCTGTGATAGGGCCCCTGCCCTCCTCTAATCTTTTCTTAGACCAGTGTTCTACGCATGTGAGATAGCATCCAGACACTCTGGGGTGATTGTCAAACATATAGACTCCTTAGCCCCATCTCTAGACATCTCTTTTGGGGAGCCTGGGGGCCCAGAAATTTGCATGTTCAACAAGCACCCCAAAGAGTCCAAGAAAGTTCTGCACTGCACTGCACTGCACTGCCGCATGATTAAGCCCATCCAGTCCCAAGGCATTGCCGAGTATTTACCTGCTGACAACTCCCCATTTCACATCTCCAGCTCCAGGCTTGTATCTCCAAATCTACTTTATGTCTCCATTTGGATACCACCCAAGCAACTGAACCTGAGCATCTCCAGAAGGAAACTTGATTTTCCTCCCCAAACCATTTTTCCTTAGTCCCATCCCTGGAAACGAAAGCACCAACCTCCAGCAGATCCTCCAGACCTCCCATTCTGCCAGTCCTACGTCCAAAACGTTAACAAATCCTGCCAGCCGTGTTCACCTTCAGAACACTTTTCTACCTGGCTGCATTTCCTTCCTCTGGTACCACTGCCTCTCTACTCCAAGCCACCTTTATCACTGCCCGGATGTCTGCAGTGGATGCCTAAATGGTCTCCTGCCCTAACTCATTCTTCTGCACCAGCTAAGGAGGAAGTATGAAACACACAGCAGCCCCTGTTGCTCCCTTTAGTGGCTTCTCATCGCACTTAGAATGAACTCCCTAGGCCCTATGCCGTCTAGCTGCTGCCCACCTCTCCCCCTCCTCTGTTGTCACTCTGTGCCTTGCTTCATGTTGAACTTCTTTCTGTTCCCTGAATGGGCCAAACACTTTCCTGCCTTAGGGCTTCTGTACATGCTGATCCTTCTGCCCAGAATGCTCTTCCCTGGTTCTTCAAGTGTTTTTGTTTATTTTTATTTATTTATTTTTATTTTATTTTATTTATTTATTTATTTATTTTTTGAGACGGAGTCTCGCTGTGTCGCCCAGGCTGGAGTGCAGTGACGCGATCTCGGCTCACTGCAAGCTCCGCCTCCTGGGTTCACACCATTCTCCTGCCTCAGTCTCCCGAGGACCTGGGACTACAGGTGCCCACCACCACACCCGGCTAATTTTTTGTATTTTTAGTAGAGACGGGGTTTCACCATGTTAGCCAGGATGGTCTCGATCTCCTGACCTTGTGATCCTCCCGCCTCGGCCTCCCAAAGTGCCTTCAAGTGTCTTTGGCTCCTCCCTATCCTTTAGGTTGGAGTTTCCTGACTTCCTTGTTATCATATTATTTCTTTCATCCTATTATTTGTGATCATGGCAATCTGTTTATTCTTCCACAGACACTCATAGTTTTTAACTATACATGTGTTAATAATTACTTATGTCTTTTTGGTTCCTTTTACAAGACAGTGTGTTCTACGAGGGCAGGGACTATTCTGTTTTCCTTACCTAGTGCAGAGTAGCACCTGACAAACATTTGTTGAATGAATGAAGTGAATTTCATTTCATCCAGTTATGTACCATTTGGCTCCAGCCCTGTTATCCTATTGCACTCTATTCTGTTCAGACCTGTTTGCAACTATTCTGCCCTGTGCTGGTCTGCTGAATCCTATTCTATTCTGCTGCATCCTGTTCTAGTCTATTCTGTCCTGTTCCATTCTGTTCTGACCTGGTCTAGTCTACTCTGTCCTGTTTTATTCTGTCCCATCTTGTTCTATTCTATTCCAGCCTGTTCCAGTCTGGTTCTACTCGCTTCGTCTGTTCCATCCTCTCCTATTCTGTTCCATTCTAGTTTGCTTTTTTCGTCCTACTTCTTTCTATCTGTACCATACTATTCTTCTTGCTTCTATTCCATCACATCCTGCCCCAGTCCACACTGTTTGCTCGATTCTCATTGACTTCATCTCATTTAGTCTCACTCCAGCACATTTCACCCCGGTACTTTCCTCAAGCTTTTTGGAATACCTGCTTTGTGCTCAGTCTTCTTCAAGGGAGCCATGCGATTATGAGAGAAAGAAACATCATCCTGGGCCTGAGATGACCCCTCTAAAGGGTGAGTGAATGGGGAGAGAGGAGAGATTGACATCGGGGTCTTCACTGACCTATGATGGGGCGTGCTTGGTTAGGAAGAGAAGGCAATGGCATGAGAGGAAGCAGGGAATGGGCCCTGGAGTGTGGGTGATGCTCTGAGGACTTTAGCATGGGAAACTTAAGCAGGAGCCTGGGGCTGGGGCAGGCAGAGAGTACAAAGTAATGGGAGATCAAGGTGCAAAGGTAGGTTTTTCTCTTTCTGTGGTTGACTGGTGCTTTGATGTTTTCAAAGAAGGACACTTGCATGGTTTGGAAATGACTGTTGGGACACCATCCAGCCTGCTGCCATCAGGACATCAGAAGAGGCAGTGTTGTCCAGTGGAATGGGAATCCCTGGGGAGGCTGCTTAGCCTTTCTAAGCCTCAGTTCCCACATCCGTAAAATGGTCATAATAACACCTACCTTGAGTTTTGTGAAGATAAATAGCTTAGACTCCTGTGCAGAGGGTTGGCAAGCACTCAGTCCAGCACCTGACCTATTGTAGGTGTCCACGCAATGTTCACCCTCTCCTACCTTGCCACTGATCACTCTAGTCCACCCTGATGTTACTAGGTTAGCTCTGAAATCAGTTCTCCCCATTGTGAAATGGAGACAGTGTGAAGCAAGCAGGAAGTATTAGAGAGGCTCTGTAGAATTGTGGTTTTGAGCTTGAAGGGTCTGGATGCATGACAAATGTTTGTTGATTGAATGATTGATTATAGCTCCCTACATCCACCATAATACTTAGCATGGAGGTGGGAGCACATAGGAGGTACCTAATAAATAACCATGGACTTGTAACAAATATAAAAAGAACCTGAAAGAGTAGAAGGTGGGTGACACCCTTTCCAAAGCAGACCAGACAGGTAGATGCTGGGACTGAGCTGATGAAATTTGCACCAAACCTCCAAATATATTCAGAATCAGGGAATTAGGAGACAACGGAGGAGGCTGCCAAAAAGAATTTATCTCTGAAGTGGAGCTTGGGGAATAGCACTAATATTTTCGGAAATTGAAACTCCAACCATGAAATTGCCTATCATTTATCATACATGGTCTCTCAAAGGGGAAACGGGAAAGCATTTAGTCTTATTGCTTTTTAAACACATGATTGCTGAGCATAGCCATCCAGGCTGAGGTTTTAAGAGACAATGTGTCTGAAAGAGTCTGGCCAGCAAGTCACTCCAACCTAATGCAAGGCTGCTCTCTGCAGACTCTCCTATGCCAAGCACCCTGAGCCACGCGTGGTGAGGGTGCAACCCAGGCCAGGCTTGGGTGACTGGGTGTGGTGCCAATTCTAGCTTTCATAGAAAACTCTAAGTCTGAATTTTCCCCCAGCTCCTTCTTGATGCCCAATAGCTATCTCATTATTAAAGTCATTTGCACTTTTAGTTCCAAACTTCTTTGGAAAGGGTCCCACTGATGACTTCCACTTCCACCTCTATATTGATGCTTATCAAATTTCTCTTTCCTAGACCTACTGGGGATTTCAGGCCTCTATGTGAAACCACCACCCAGGTCTCTTCAACTGAAATGCCCATAGGTTCATCAAATGCAGCATGTTTGAACTGTAGACAACATTCTCCCAAGCTTCCTGGCTTGGCAAAAGGCATCCCTGCTGCCCTGAGAGCTGGAACAGACTCTGAGACACAGAATGACAATCGCCCATGTGTGTCAGCAGTTTGAAGGTGGCATTCTGCTATCACAGGGCTCATGATAGTTGATCTCCCAACAAGGGGCAGGTTGAGAATATCCACTAGTGGATCTGAGGTCAGTGAATAGGAAAGGAGGCTGGGGACTTTCTGGAGCAGCTCTTATACAGTGAGCCCAGTGTTTGCACTTGGACTGATATATGTTTGAAATTGTAAGGGAGACAGGAGGTGAGCACAGACTAAAGTCCTCTCAAGCCACCCTTCTGCTCCCAATAAGCTTGTAAGGAGAGCAGGGAAGGAACTGTTAAATTGTTATTACCATCCATAGATGAAGAACCTGAGTTTGCAAGAGACTGTATAACTTATCCAAAGCCACAAAGCTAGAGGTGGTGTCCATGAGATTCCCACCAGGCCTCCTGATGACCAGCATCGTGTTCTTTCTCCTGAACAGAGAAGTGCCCAGGACAATGGCCAGTACACTTGACAGCGAGTCAGAGGATGTGAGTTCTCACTCCTGCATGGCCACTAAAAATACCCAGCTACTGCCTGCTCTGCAGTCCTTGAGTGGGCCCTGGGAAATGGGGGTGTCTATGAAGCAGCCCCCCTGGGGCTCTGCACTCTCCCTGGACAGTGCATTCTCACCTCTGGCTACAGTGACCATCTCTGTACTGATGACATCTGGATCCTCATCTTTAACCCAATCTGTAGGACACCTCTCTTGGGAAACCCTACAGGCACCACTAAGTGAATATGTGTTTTGGGAATTCCAAATTCCTTCCTGGAAATCTTCATCTCGAGCCCTCATTAACTTCCTTCCCGCCAGAAAGGCTCTCAAGTTAGGTTTCACTGATTTTCTCTCACATTTCTTCCAGAACCACCACCACAAATGGTTGTCATGAATGTGCCTTTGCATTCTGTGAGACTACTGTTGATTTTTGCATTGTCCTGCATGCTATCCAATGCCTCTTGTATAAGGATCACTAAGGCAAATGCCTGCTATAATTGAGTCCTGGCCAGGGTTGGGGGTAGGCTGGACACTGAGATCTCTGGAAACAGCAATATTTTTCCTTTTAGTAAACATCCAGACTCAAACATTTCCCTTCATAGCTTGATTACCAGAAAGCTCAGACAAAATGAAGTGCTCCATTCTAGCAATTGTATTAGCCCACATTGTAATATATATTTTTCTTTTTCTTTGTACATGTCAATTTTTTATTGTGGTAAAATATGCATAGCATAAAACTTATTTATTTTATTTTATTTTTTTTGAGACGGAGTCTCGCTCTGTTGCCAAGCTGGAGTGCAATGGCACGATCTCGGCTCACTGCGACCTCCGCCTCCCGGGTTCAAGGGATTCTCCTGCCTCAACCTCCCAAGTAGCTGGGATTACAGGTGCCTGCCACTCTCGGCTAATTTTTGTATTTTTAGTAGAGATGGGGTTTCACCATGTTGGCCAGGTTGGTCTCAAACTCCTGACTTCAGGTGATTCACCTGCCTCTGCCTCCCAAAGTGCTAGGATTACAGGCGTGAGCCATGTGCCTGGCCTAAAACTTATTTTTTTTTTAAACTATTTTTAAGTGTACAGTTCAGCAACATTAAATGCATTCATATTGCTGTGCAGCCATCACCACCATCCATCTGCAATATTTTTTCTTTTATTAAAGATCCAGACTCAAACATTTCTCTTCATAGCCTGGTTACCAGAAAGCTCAGACAAAATGAAGTGCTCCATCCTAGCAATTGTATTAGCCCACGTTGTAATATATATTTTTCTTTTTCTTTGTATATGTCTATTTTTTATTGTGGTAAAATATGCATAGCATAAAACTTTTTAAAAACTATTTTAAGTATATAGTTCAGCAATATTAAATGCATTTATATTGCTGTGCAGCGTCACCACCATCCATCTTCAGAACGTTTTTTAAAATCTTCCCAAACTGAAACCCTATACCCATTAAACAATGATTTCCCATTACCTTCTCCCCTCAACCCCTGACAATCACCATTCTACTTTCTGTCTCTGTGAATTTGGCTTCTCTAGGCACCTCTGTACATGGGACCCTACGGTGTTTGTCCTTTTGTGACTGGCTAATTACACTTAGCATAACATCCTTAAGGTTCACCATGTTGTAGCATGTGCCAGAATTCCCTTCCTTTTATGTATGTATGTAGGTATGTATGTATGTATGTATGTATGTATGTATTTATTTATTTATGACAGTCTCACTCTGTCGCCAAGGTTGGAGTGCAGTGATGTGATCTCAGCTCACTGCAGCCTCCTGCCCACCCCCGGGCTTGAGCGATTCTCCTGCCTCAGCCACCTGAGTAGCTGGGAATACAGGCACGCGCCACCACTCTTGGCTAATTTATTTTTTGTATTTTTAGTAGAGATGGGGTTTCACCATGGTCAGGAGTTGGCCAGGCTGGTCTCAAATTCCTGACTTCAAGTGATCCACCCACCTTGGCCTCCCAAAGTGCTGGGATTACAGGCATGAGCCACCGCGCCTGGCCCCTCCTTTCCTTTGAAAGGCTAAATAATATTTCATTGTATGTATATACCACATTTTCTTTATCCATTGATCCATCAATAGACATCTGGGTTACTTTCACCTCTTGGCTATTGTGAATAATTCTGCTGGGAATATGGGTGTTCAAATCCCGACTTCGAATTCTTTTGGGTCTGTATCTGTACATGGTTTTTAATTTTCTGTTTTAACAGCTTTATTGGATGTATGCCTATTAATATAAGAAGCAAATATACCTGGCCAGGTGCGGTGGCTCACACTTGTTATCCCAGCACTTTGGGAGGCTGAGGCAGGTGTATCATGAGATCAGGAGTTCGAGACCAGCCTGGCCAAGATGGTGAAACCCCGTCTCTACTAAAACTACAAAAATTAGTTGGGTGCGGTGGTGGGCGCCTGTAATCCCTGCTACTTGGGAGGCTGAGGCAGAAGAATCACTTGAACCGGGGAGACGGAGATTGCAGTGAGCCAAGATCACACACTGCTCTCCAGCCTGGGGGAGAGAGAAAACTGTCAAAAAAAAAAAAAAAAAGAAGCAAATATACCTAACCTGTATCGGGTAGCACTGTATGCCTGGCACTGTTCTAGGTTCTGTGATCATTGTAATGTATATTTTACAGTTGGGCAATTGCTCTTTTTTGGAAGAAGATGGAATATCAGTTGTAACAAAGCCATTAACTAACTAAGCTGCCTCTACTTTCTTACTCCTGACATATTCTTCAGCCTGAAGCAACATGACTCCACCCCCAGCACCATGGAAACTGTTTTGGCAAAGGTCACCAGTGACCTTCATGTTGCCAAATCCAGCAGAGAACTTTAGGTCTCTTACTTGCTACTGATTTTGACCCTGTTGACTATTCATCCTTCCTGAACTTCTTCACCGGCACCTGGGACACCACCACTCTGTCCTGGTTTCCCCCTGTTTCCTTTTCTCCTCTGTCCCTTCGAAGGGTCCTTTCCCTTTGCAGACCCTCAAAGGTAGGCACTTTTAATAGCTGTCTCCTTGAGTTGCTATTTTTCTCTCTTGACACTGCCTTTCCTGGTGACTCCCGGTCTTCCATGTCACTGTAGTCACTGCCTCTTGGAGCCGATGACTTCCAAATCTCTACCTCTGGTGTTAGGCTCCATCCTGACCTTCAGTCTCACATATCCAGCCTATTGCATTTCTCTCTAGAATGCTCCACAGTTATCTTAGCCTCAACATGTCCCAAGTGGAGCTCATTTTGGCACCTCCCCCTGACCCACTGCCCAATCTCAGCAAATGACATCACAGACCCAGTTGCCTAAGCCACCAACCAATTGACCGTCTTCCAGTTTATCTTCAGACCTCACCAGTCCCACCTCCTTGCTACTTTTCAGGCTGATCCCTCTTTTCTATTCCTTTTCCTCATTCCAAATTCAGGTCCCATCCTCCCTAGCCTGCAGTGTTAGAACTAGCTGTGGACTGGTCCCCCTCTCTCTAGTCTTGCCCTATTCAAATACATCTTCCACAGCTGCCAGATGGATTAATCTCAAACACAGGGCTGACCATGTCCCCTCTATACTTAAAACTCCCTGTGTCTTCCTGGCCCTTGTAGGATACAATCTGAGCTCTGAGAATGGCATTTACCCCTTCTCCTGCCGCATCATCACCATTGCATGGTCCATCCTTCCTGTGAACGTGCACTGTGTTTCTACTACCCATCAGCAATGATGGGAGGGTACTGGAACTGGAACTGGGTGCAGTGATGAGAAATCAGACATGCTCTGGCCTCACAGCCGGAGGGGAGGGAGATAGTCACCCAAAAAATGTAGCACCACTCAGTCTGGTCCGTTGCATAACGAAAAAGAACCTGGTGACACAGGAGCATAGAAGGGGTAGGACTCGGGGGTGGGGGCAGAGCTCCAAGGAGAGGGAAAGGCCAGTGCCTGATCTTTCCTGGTGGTTCTGTACTCTCTCACTCTGCCTTCAGGATCCATCTCTTCTCCCTCTCCATTAATTCAGGCCTTCTTGATTTCTCACCAGGATTGCTTTAATGTCCTCCTACGTGATCTCCCTGCCTCCATCTCTTGACCCACTTCACCCACTGCTGCCAGAATGTCCTTTCTAAAACCCAAATCTGCCAGCCTGGGCAACATAGTGAGACCCCATCTTTACAAAAAATAGAAAAAATTTAGCTGGGCATGGTGGCATGTGCCTGTAGTCCTAGCTGCTTGGGAGGCTGAGGTGGGAGGATTGCTTGAGCCCGGGAGGCTGAGGTTGCAGTGAGCTGTGATTGTGACACTGCATTCCAGCTTGGGTGACACAGCGAGACCCTGCCTCAAAAACAAAACAAAACAAAGCAAAACAAAAAAGCTCACAAATCTGATCTTATTGCCCTTCAGCTGACAACTCTTTGATGACTGCTACAGTAAAATGTCAACTTCTTGGTGTGACTTCTGAGGCCCTTCACAGTTAGGTTTTCTTCTTTCCTACCTGAGCTGCCCTCCCCTCCTCGCCTCTCCTCCTCTTAGACTGCAACTCTGCCCCACTGCTCATGAGTTGCCGAACAGGGCGTGCGTGTGCGTATCTCCAGCCTTGGGCCATGCCGCCCTCATCACCATATTGCTCCTTCTGCCTTCTCTGTTTCCTGCTTACACGTCAAGGCCCCTCTCTGTGGAGCTGCCTCCTCTCTCTCAAGAAGGATGCATGGATCTGGGAGGATGCAGGATGCATTTCTGTGCCTTTAGGGCTCCTTCTGTGTCCACCTATGCGGAGCCTGACATGCCACAGTTTGCTGGGCAGCCTCTCTCCCAGCCTTAGTGAGCCTCTACAGGGAAAGAAAGATGTCTGGTTCATCTCTTTAATGCTGGGCCATGCAAGGGGTTTGGCAAGGAAAAGCTCCTCAGTAGCTATTTACTGAACACAGGATTCCAAAATCTGACCCTGTCCCAGAAGAGAAGGCACAGCCCCACCTCATGGAACTTTCAGTCTGTCTGGGTGGCACTGGTGGACCAGTCACTGTATTCTCCATTTCTGCCTTACTAGGTGACTCCACTTTTATTTAGGGCAGCAACAGGCAGCTCTTAAAGAAAAAAAAAAACACATATTCCAGAGCTTTGGGAGGCCAAGCAAGAGAACTGCTTGAGACCAGGGGTTTGAGACCAGCCTGGGCAACATAGCGAGACCCTGTCTCTATGAAAAATTTAAAACAATTAGCCAGGTGTGTTGGTGAATGCGTCTAGTCCCAGCTACTGAGAAGGCTGAGGCAGGAGGATCGATTGAGTCCAGGAGTTCAAGACTGCAGTGAGCTATGATTGTGCCACTGCACTCCAACCTGGGCAACAGAGAGAGACCCCATCTCTAAAATGAACGAACAAACAAACTCTGTTTCCCAAATTCTCCTAAAGCTATGGGTGTCCATGTGATGTGGTCTCACCAGTGAGCTATAAGCAGATGTCTCCTAGATGGGGATCCCAGAAAAGTTATTACTATTGTGATGAAAAAGGATAAACTCCCCGGCAGGCCCCATTTTGCCCTTTTCCCTTCCCAGCCTGCCTGTCTGGAATGCTGCCCTGTGAGCAGGAGGGAAGAAGCCACAATGTGGATGGTGGAGCAGGAAAGGAGTAGGCGCTGGGGGCCCTGTGTGGGATGAGAAGTTTCCATTCCATTCAAAAGGTGGTGAAAGCCACTGGAGGGTTTTAAGCAGGGAAGTGGCATGGCCTGATTTCCACTGTACAAAGCTGACCCTGGCTGACTCACGGTGAGTGCATTGGGAGGGCAAGAGTGAAGGCAAGGGCCTGGCCTGGGGGGTCCACCCTCCTTCAGCCTAGAGGCACCAGTTTCCACAGAGATGCCCATTGGCCTGGCCCTTATGGTCCCTTCAGAGCCCAAACATTGCTGGAAACTTTGCCCAGGAATGTGATGCCTGGGGCCACCAAGAGCACACCACGCCACCTTTGCCTGTCCATTCTGCAGATGAGCAATACAGACCCGGAAAGGCCTAAGGCTGCTTAGCTCTAAAATAATGGCTCACTCACCCAGTGCTTCTAATGTGGGGCCTAATCACTTGTGGTTAGAGAGGGAGCCCCACGTTCGGTCAGGAAGGGGTGGGGGCTGCAGGTAGGGGAGGGCATCACTGATGCCCAGGAGACAGACTTTAGTTCAGCAGTGAGGCAGTGCTGGCCCAGATTGGGGTGGCCATGGGGAGAAGGAGGAATGTGGACAGACTGGGATGTGTGTTGGGGGTGGGATGGTCAGGGACTTGCTGATAGCTTGGGTGTGCGGGATGAAGAGGGGAATTCGAGCTAACTCTGGGATATTTTGCTTAAGCACCTGAGTGGGTGGTGATGTCATTGACAGAGGTGGGAAGTCTAGGGAGCAGGGAGGAGGAGCAAGTTTGCAGCAAAAGCTAAGAGTTTGGTTTTAGCCATATGCATTAATTTTGAGATGGCTCCTAGTCATTCTCCTGCAGTTGAATACACACCCTGGGAGTTCCAAGGAGCAGCCAGGACTGGAGATGGAGGCGTGGAGTCAATGACGGAGACCTGGTATTTGATGCAATTGGATGGGATGAAGTTATCTTGGGACCATTGGGAAAGAAGAAAAGAAAGAGGCCGGGGGGTTCCCCCTGAGATTATCCTGCACATAGAGACTGGGACATGTGGCAGAGTTGGCTGAATAGACTGAGAAGGAGCAGACAGGGAGTAGGAAGAAACCCAGGAGAGGGAGCAGTGGAGGCCAAGTATAAAGCATTATAGGAAGTGGGAAGAGGTCCTGAATCAATCACTGCTGAAAGTTCAAGTGAAAGGAAAAGAAAGTGAACTGGACACTTAGGGGTCGGTGGTGACATGATGAATGCTGAGTCAGCTAAGCCATGGGGACAGAATGCCCACTAAGAAAGTGGAGGCAGGAGGTGCAGACGATTTTTTAAACACTTTTTGCAGTGAAGGGGAGCAGAACATTGAGATGGAAGCTGGAGAGAGAAGTGGAGCCCAATGGAGCTGTTTGTTTATCACAGGAGATCCTAGAGCAGCCTGTTGTGGATGACCTAATGGAGAAAGAGGAAGCGATGTGCAGAAGGAGGAGGTATCTACGGTTCAGATAACAGAAGTGGGATCCAAAACCCACATGGAGGGAATGGCCTTGGGCAGAGCAGTGGCCTTCATCCACAGGAGCAGGAGGGAGGCTGCCAGGTTTCACGATGGGAAGATGACTTTTCTGATTTATGCTATTTCCTGAGCAAAGCATGAGGCAAGTGAGGCTGGGGGTAGTGAGGGGTGTGGGGAGAGGAGAAAGGCTGAGACAGTTGCTCTGGAGAATGGGAACGTGCAAGACAACGGTAGCAGTGCTGTGGAACAACACCAGGGCCCAATTGAGATTTCAGGCTATGAATTTAGAGGAAGCCAGTCTGTTTTTTCTCTACCTTTATTTTGCTGTGTGGGTGCAGGCATTGAGTAGGTGGGTAGTTGGATTTAACCCAGGTTGAGCATGGTCTTTAAGTATGAAGAAGTAAGGGGAGAAAAGAAGATGAAAGATGGATGTGATGGCAGAGGGCTGATGGTGGTGACAGAGGAGGGTGAGGGGTGGGAGGGCTTGGCGAGGCGGAGGGATCACTTGTCATCTGGAAGGATGACAGGTGGTCTCCCGGTGGGATGTTTGAAGTGGAGATTGTGTGGATGGTGCCGTGTTCATGATGGTACAAGATGTGATGCCCGTGGGAGTAGGTGGGGAGGAGGGTGACAAATGGTTGGACCGACCTGGTAGAGGAAGAGAGAGGCACCAGTGTTGGGTGGATCTGCAAAGTGGATGTTGAAGTCACCAAAACTGATGATAGGATGAGGGTGGGGAGGAAGACAGGGCAGATGTGTCAGTTAAGTCTGTGATGAATGTGAGGTGCAACCCGGTGGGGCAGTGGTGACAGGTAGAGTGTATGGACATGGATTCAGAGAGGATGGCACTTAGAAAGGGAAAGGGAGGGCAAATGTTTTGGAAAAGGCAATCCCAGGGTCTGTGGGGGCGTGGGAGAGGAAACAGGGGGAACTGGTGTGTTGGGGGCAGCCAGGTGTCAGTTAGGGAGAGTTCAAAACAGAGGCTGAGGGTATGGGCTTGCTTGTAATGACAGGGTCTGAGTCCCCAGCACCGAGAGAGGGTGCTGTTCCTGGAGGCTGGAGGTCTCAGTTTCTGTGGGAGGCTTAGATTCCACATCTGTGTGGTTTCAAGTTCCTCAGAAGCAGAATGGTGTCATGGTCACTTTTGAGTGGGTGATAGGATGCTACGGAATGAGGGGTATGGGCTCAGCCCTGGACTTGCAGGAGCTTTCTAGCTGTGCCTGGGCTGATGGGCATGGAGTGCCCAGCCAGGCAAACCCACCAGTTGGTAGTAGGAGGCTGATGGCCTCACTTGTGGTGGGAGGCCCCGCCCTCCACGCTGTCCAAGTTTTGCAGATAAGAGACGAAACACATTTCGAGGGCAACTGAGCACTGGACACCATGCTGTGGCTTGGCAGGTGCCCGCAGCACAGGTGTGTGGGTAATTGTGTTACATGGGAAGATGCACAAAACCACCAGCCCTGGGCTGGCCTTGGGGGCAGGAGCAGAGAGGGGCTGGGCAGAGGTGGGACAGGGACATTACCTTCTTGCAACGAGAAGACACCTCAGGGCACAAGCCCAGGTTGGTGAGAACATTTGCATTTCTTTAAACAAATGCCAGAGAGATGGGGGAAATTCAGGCCAGTTTCCATAGAGATGCCCACTGGCCTAGCCTTTATGTTCCCTGCAGAGCCCAAACATTGCTGGAAAGTTTGCTCAGGAATGTGATGCCTGGGGCCACCAAGAATACACCATGCCACCTTTGCCTGTCCATTTTGCGGCTCAGCAGTACAGACCTAGAGAGGCCTAAGGCTGCTTAGCTCTAAAATAATGGATCACTCACCCAGTGCTTCGAATGTGGGGCCTAATCACTTGTGGTTAGAGAGGGAGCCCCACGTTCAGTCAGGAAGGGGTGGGGGCTGCAGGTAGGGGAGGGCATCACTGATGCCCAGGAGAGAGAAGAGGCTTCCTGGAGGAAGCGGATCTGAGCAGGACCTGGGCGGATGAGCTGGATATGGGGATCTGTGAGGATAGGCAGGGCTTTCCTGGGGCGGGGAATAGAGTGGACAAAGGTGTGGTAGTGGAAGAGTCGGCATGTTGCTGGGACAGTGAGGTGTTTGCTGAGTCTGTTTTCAGGCTGCAGAATTAACTGTTCAACTTGGCTGCTTTTGCACAGCTAGATTTAGGTAACCTCTTAGGCTGCTGTCAGCCTGACTACCTTCTTTAGACTCTAAGCTCGTTGGCTGGAAGGGAAAAGACTGTTCACCTGGTCTGCCCAGGCGGTCTCACTTAATCTTCTCATTAGCTCCTAGGAGCAGATGCTCTTGCGTCCATTGTGCAGCTAAGGAAGCTGAGGACCCACTGAAGGCTGAGGGTTTGACCCATCCCTCCCACTGCCTACAGGGCTGTGGACAGAGCTAGGAGCATATGTTGTGCACTCCTGACTGGGCATCCAGGAAGAGAGAAGACTCAGATAATCCCAAGGGCATCCCCTCAAAGTCTGATGGCCCTCTGCCCCTCTTTGGGCCTGTCTTGTAGAGCAGCAGGAAGAGCTATGAAGTCAGAAGCCCAGGCCAGGACTCCAGCCCTGCCCCTTACTGGCTGGACCACCTTGGACCAGCCAATACCCTCTCTGCCTCTGTTGCCCAATCTCTAGCATGAAGGGCTGTGCTGAACAATCTCCAAGTCCCTTCAGCTCTATAAGCTGGGGCCACTAAGCTTCATTTTTTGCCTCCAGCCTGCTGAAGGCTGAGAACTTGGTTCGTGCCTGCCTCTGGCCTTCCTCAGCCATGGATTCGATGCTTCTTGGTCTCCTCTTACTCAAACACGTCAGAAGCTGAGACCTGTCTCAACATAACCTCATGCCAGGGGGTATTGTGTCAAATGGGCTCACCTGTTGGTCCCAGCCCCATTCCTTATGAGCCTTTTGAATCTGTATTCCCCACTGAAAGCAGACATTCACTCAATCAAGCATGTGATAGATGCCCTAGGGCTGTGATACTGGCAGCTGCCATTGACTGAGTGCCTACTATGTCAGACGCATTCCATATTTTGCATCTGTACACTCTTCCTGCCAGGAATGGAGTTGTTTCCCTGTTATGCTGTTGACAAACTGCAGCCCAGAAAGGTTAAGTGACTTGACTAAGCTCTCACGACTTGGAAGTGGAAGAGTGGGGATTAGAACCCAGAACTCTGTGACTTCAAAGCCTGGGCTCCTGCCGTGTGACATATCAGTGAGATGCCCATTCCTGGCTGGGCCCTAGGATCCAGAAACATCACATCAGTGACCCTGCCTGCCCACAGGGCACCCTCAGCAGCTTCTCCTCCTCAAGCCCAGGAGTCTATAATCCTGGGCTATTCCCTTTCTGGGGCCACTCCCCAGAAAGGACAGTCAGACCCCCTGGGTGGTCTTTCTGTGGCATCGAGTGGACAGGGGCCTCCCTCTCTGGCTTGGGCAGGCAGGCGTGTGCTACTGTCGTCTCTAGGCAGCCATCGGATGAATAACTGATGGTGATTAGCTAAATCATAACATTGCTCATGCCATGCATAAGTGATGAGCCAACTGGTGCCAGGCCGCGATGAGAGGCAGTGAGCACCCCCACCTCACCCCCCAGCCCGGAGAAGCCACCACCGCGCTGCCTCCCTGTGTTATCTGGCACATCAAGTGCTGCGACAATGAATATAGATTGACCTTATTATAGCAGCCGGCTGCTGGTGCCAGGCGCAGCCAGGCATACTTTGCACAAATTAAAGGTGTCAGCATGTAATTTACGGTTCATGGCAAAAAGGGGTGGTAGGGGTAGGGGAGGCACTGAGGCAGGTAGAAAGGAAGGTGGGCTGGCTGTGGGGCTGGCACCAGGAGCCCAGGCGCTAATGACAGGAGGCGCAGCCGTGGTGTCATTTTCATCCCGGTTTGCTCATTTTTAGCTATTTCTTGCTCAAGGGGGGCAGCCCCCTCTCCTGAGCCCTCCCCAACATGCTCTGTGTGCATGTGTGCGTGTGTGTATTTTTCAGCTAAATTACTGGTTTTACCTGAAGAGCGTAAAGTAGGTGTGCTAATTTACAGCTCGGCAGATAAAGCCGCAGCGTGCAGCGCTGTCTGGGAAGCCTGTGATCCGACATCATTTTACTAACACACCCGAGAGCAGCTTGACACATTGAGTCGGGCCTGTGATTAAAGTTGTAGTCTTCTTTCCCCCTCCCTCTCTCTTCTCCAACACGGAGAACAGATTAAACTCTAAGTAATAGATCTCGGTTTTCTTGCCATCCCACTGATATACACAGTACACAGTTTGACACAAAGAGTAAGTTATACATCACAAACAACAGCCTCTGCTCTTTACCGCCCAGAATTAATTTTCCATTTGCTACGCTTCCCTCCTCTCCAAGCCCATTTTCCTGTCCAGCAGGGCTCTCTCCTCTCTTGAAAAGGCAGGTGAGGAGAAGTGCAGGTCAGGCCTGGAAGAGGTGGCTCGGGACAGAGTTTAACCCTTATGGTTTAAGGATGAGGAAACAGAGACCTGGAGAGAAGCGACTTCCTGATGTCGCCCTTTGTGTCTGTGGCAGTGGTGAGGCTCAAACCTGTCTTCTGGTTGATAAGCCAGGCCCCACCTCCCATGCCCAGACAGCAGAGGCTGCCCGAGGAGCTGCTTGTTTGTTTGCCCTGCTATTCCCAGCAACCTGCCAGCAAACTGTCTCTGCTTCTCTGCTCTGCTCTGTGCCCCAGGAGGGGACCTCTAAGGGCTGCCCATGCCTCTGACCACTGCCTGGGCTTGGCCAGCGGGAGATACCAGAATGAGAAGCAACAGTGGGAGGAGAGAGGGGCTGGGCTATTTCTCCTCTGCTTCTCCCTCTGGGACGTGTGTCTCGGAAGAGCTGCCTCCCTCTGTGACTGCGCTCCTGTGGGGCGGCCCCTCCTCCACGGCCCCCACTCCTGCTGGTCTCTGGCCATGACATCCTGCCCTGCCCTGTAGATGCGGGCTGCGGACAGCTGTCAGCTGTTCTAGTCCAGGAGTCTCCCCATCCCTTTTGGATTTCCTTAACCCTGCCTAACTCAGTCACAAGCCCCTCCATCTGTGTCTCTTCATTTGAGCCACCTGGGGGGAATTCTGTTTCCTGTGGGGACCTCGAATGATACTGGGGTGGACCCATTCTTTATTGAGGACCTACGCTGGCAGCCATCTGCCTAAAGGCACACACTGGGAGGAAGGAGTCCAGACCTCCCAGGGTAGCACACATCCCTCTGGGAGGGTCCACCATTCACCCGGCTTGCTTTCCTGGCCACTGACACCCCTCCCCAGGCCCCACCGCAAGTCTTTGTACACCACCTTAGTGGAGTCTCGTGTGTGGCCCTGTGAGGCAGGGTCTGGCTAGGCCCTCTAAGGGATGTGGAAACGGAGGCCCAGGGAGGCTGGGGCTCTTCCCTAGGGTCACCCAACTTTGCACAGCAGAGTCCAGTTCCAAATGTGGGGCTAGCTGGCTCCAGTGCTGAGCAACTTCCTCTGTGCTGTGTGGGAGGTTCGTCTTGCTCATGTAGCTCACGTAGAACACACACACACACACACACACACACACGTGCACACACAGGCACAAATGACTAAATGCTTTTAAGGAGCTGTAGGAGAGTATGGGCAGGGATGCAAGGCCAGAAGTGAGGAGGGTTAGACGTGGCAGGGAGGGCTGGGTAAATCCAGGAGGGCATTTTGGAGGAGGTCAATAAGTCCTGGAGATGATTGGAAACCGCGTGGAAGCATATAGCCAGGAACTCTCTAACCGCGCCTCGGTAGACTGGTTGCACTGAATCACCAGGTTGGGTGGGGTTTAGGGGTATGCTTTAAAATTAGACTCCCAGGCCTCATCTCTAACATATAGAATCAGAATCTCTGGGGATGCAGTCCAAGAATCTGTTTTGTTTTGCTTTGATATGCAACTAGTCGTGGGAGCCACAAACTCTTCCCACTTCCCCATTTTACGTGCTGGGGAAGTATGTAAAGGAAGTAGAGAGAGGCCTAGGGACTTGCTCAGGGTCTCACAACAACCAATTCCAAAGCCAGGGCTGGCACCCAGGCCCCTTGGTTCCCAGCTCGGTGCTCATCCGACTGCTCATTCACCCTCGGGCTTCTCAGTGGGCAGGGTGGAAACACAGCTTCCTTAGATGATGGTCTCAGCCTCCTCCTCCCCCCGCCCCAGCCACCCTGCAGCCGGTTCTCAAGATGGCAAGTGGGGGGTGGATGAAGGTGGTGGCAAAGCGAGAAAGCGCCTGGAATAACACGACATTTTGAAATGTGAATCACTGGCACTTTCTGTTTTCTCCTGTTCCCCCTCTGCACCCTCCCATTCCCGCCCCCCCCCCCCCCCCGCCGACCAGGCACTCTCTGAGCTGTAGGAACGCTAGGCCTGGACATCCACCCAGCGTGTGGAACCAGCTGGGGAAGCCACCTGCGTGCAAGAGTGGGTGGAGTCTGAGATGAGAGCAGAGACTGGGGCTCTGGGCCTACTGCTGTCCCTTCTTGCTGTGTGACTTTGGGCAAGGCACTGTACCTCTCTGGACCTCAGCACTGGGATGCTCACCATAAGGCTTGTCAATACCCTTGGGCTGCCACATGGTGGGGGTGGGGGCCCTGCAGGACCTAGTCTATCCTGAATCCCTCTTCTGCCCTCCTGTCCTGACATTCCATCGCTCGTGTTCCGGTCTTTTGAACCCTGAGTAACAGGAGCCCAGGACGGTGCTGGTGGGAGGGTGCTGGGAAAGGGGGAAGCTGGGGAGGGGGCAGTTAGGGCTGCCAAGTGGAACAGGGGCCACTCAGCCGCTGAATGAGTGTCTGGACTCCCACCCCCAGACACTTCCTCCACATTCCCTCAACTCAGGAGCTAATGATTCAAAAACAGAGGTCAGCTCCTGGCTCCATGTTGACATGCAGGTACAGGGCAGAGCAAGCCAATGGTACCCTGGACCTCAGGGGGCTTGTGCCCTCTGTGGTGTGAAAGGTCACTGGGCATTTCTTAAGTGCCTCCAGCGCCAGGGCTTCTCCTCAGGCACCAAGGAGTGAGTTGGCTCTGTGTGTGTTTGTGTCCCCATCCCCAGATCAGGCCTGACTCACCCCGTGTCCCCACAGTCCAACACAGTGCTGGGTGCACAGCAGGGGCCCCAGGGACATCCCTGCATGGAATTTGTGCTGCCTGGCCAGGACCTCGTCAGCCTCAGCAGGCAGGAGCCTTGGTCCCAAGAGGATTGCCTTTGGGCAAGGCTTTTTTTCAGGCCCTCAGTGACCACATTTCTAAAATTGTGGTAGTGGCCAGTTTCATAGGCTGAGGAGCTCTTTCTGCTCTCCCTCGCCACAGGGTCCCTCTGCCTCAGCAGGAGAGCAGGCCAGAGTGCAGAGTCTGAGTGTGAGGCAGATGTGCATACGCAGGAACTCAGACAGGGCTGGCACATGGCAGCTGCTCAGTTATCGTCTATGAGGGGAAGAAAGGAGGAGGAGGGAAGAGGCAGAAAGAGGGTGAGGCTGGTGTGTGCAGCCCCATCAGCTGGCTCTGTGCTCATCTGATCCCTCTTGATCCCCCAGCTGGCTCCTGCCCACCCTCCTCTACTTCCTCCTGTGGCCTTTTCCCCTCCTCCTGAGAAGAAGGTGATATTGGAGGAAATGGTGGGGAGGGCACTGGAGAAAGCTCCCTAGGAAGTGGAGCTCTGTTCTAGAGACTAGGGAAATTAGGCCGTAAGTCTCCAGACCTCCCCTTCTGAGGAGCCCTCCATATAGCAGGAGGTGCTCAAAGCTGAGTGTCCCAATCCTGAACTTGGCAAACAACCTAACCCTAACACCCCACTGACGGTGTCCCAGGTGTAGACCCCTGTCTGGCTAGGAGGGACAGTGTTTAGTTTGCCACTGAGTGAGGGTGGTGGTGTGGGGTGGGGCTGTAAGAGAGAAATGCACCCCAGGAAGTGGGAAGCCAAGAGTGGGGAGAGTTCCATGCCCAGGAGCCCAGGGCCCACTTGTGGCTGCTCACGCTCACCATGTTTTGTCACCTGCCACTGGCTCCTAACCACTGATCAAAAATAGTCCTCTGCTTGCCCTTACATGTGACCGGCCTGTGGTCAGAGCACCCTACCCAGGCTGGGGTTGGGCTGCACGAGCATCCTGGCCAGCCCTGCCCCAAATGAGACAGGAAGTGCTCTGAAGTGCCTCTGTAGCTGATGGGGGCCGGGGTGGGGGGACCCTGCCAGCAGCTATCTGGGAGAGTTTGGCTTATGTTTCATAGTGTTTTCAAGGTCAGTTTCTTCCTCCTTGTTACCTGTGCCTCTTGTTTCTCTTAAAGGCCATCTGGAAAGAGGATATGGCCCAGAAGCATTTCTGTTCTCTCTCTGGACCTGAACATGGTTCCCCAAGGGTGTATTGTCTTGGCTGGCATGGTGGGTGGAGAGGGTATGGGGACAGGGTGGGCCCTAGCTTAGAATCCAAGCCACAGGGGCTTTAAACCCAAGAGAAAAAAACGTGGAGAGCTACAACCAGGCATTTTACCAATGAGGAAGCAACTTCTAGGGAGGTGAAGTGACTCACCTAGTGACTTCAAAATAAAAAATTCCCATTTCACAGATGAGGAGACAAAATCATAGAGACAAAACGTGACCTGCCTAGGGTAACACCATAGTGGCAGAACTCTGACTGGACCCAAATCTCTGGGTTCCTCGCTTCCTTCCATCCTGCTGGACAGCTCTGTGTGTGTGATCTGTTGGTAAATTAGTTATGCTTATCTCCATTTACAAATGAGGAAACTGAATCTCAGAACAATGGCGTACTTGGCAAATAATGACACCTTCAGCTCTGCTTGAGATCAGACGCAGCAAGTCCAGTGGAGGCCCAGGTCCCAGCTCCTCTAGGAAACCTGTCCTGACGATTCCAGGCCACATGGAGTCCTTCCTTCTCCAAAGTCTTACTATGCTTATTTTAAGGAATAGAAAAATAATGCTAAGAAAGAAGCAAGGAAACATTCGTACAATGCTCATGGCACGCTGAGTATTTGCCAGCACTCATGGGCGCCTAGGGACCACCTTGAGCAGGACTCAGGATGATGCTCATTTTACAGGTGAGGAAACTGAGGTTCAGAGGGCTCAGGTCCCAACCCATGTCTGTCTGACTCCCAAGTTCAATGCGCTTTTCTCCCTTATTCAGCCCCACATTCTCCTCCTCTAGAATCGTTTCCTGAGTGCTTTCTTGTGTCTGCAATTTGGCTGTAAGCTCATCAATCATAGAGATCATGTCCCTGCTTGCACCCCACGCAGCTGACCTGGGCTTGACCTCGGCAAAGGGTCAGCACAGACTCTAGGCCTTGAGGAGGCAGGGATGGGGCAGAGGCAGCAGGCCGGCTCCAACTCCCCTTAGCCACTTCCTAGCACAGTGAAGGCTGTTAGTTTATTTCTCAGAACCTCAGTTTCTTCATCTATAAAATGGGGTGGTACTAACCATGGAGTCTCAGGCTTGCTGAGTGAAGGTGCAGTAAGGTAAGGAGCTTTGAGTGTCAAGAGCCCAGTGTGAAGCCTGGCACATAGTGGGTACCTAATATGAACTGGGATTACTCTTGTCAGCCTGCTCATTTTGTGGGGCATCTCTGGGGTGCCCTCTCACCCCCAGCAACTATGACCCAGCCTTCCTTTCCTGGAGGAAGCCTGCCTCTCCCTGGGCCCTGTGTGTGTAGGGGCTGGATCTGGCTGATAGGCACACAGGGGACTGTGTTTCTGCATCACTCACTTTGGGTGGTGGCTGTGAACACTGCAGTCTGTGTGTCCCTGCCCTGCCTCCAGACTTTGTTAACCCTGAGAGCTGAGGGTTTGTCGGTGCTTCCAGACGCCCAGGGGGAGGAGAGGACCTCAGCTGAGACACTGGTTTCCCCTGGCTAGCCTGCCTCGAGCTAGGGAGAAACCCTTCAAGATGAGCTCCTGGCTTCAAAGCCCAGTGGGGTTGGGTGGCTGACTACAGGGGCAGAGCACAGCCCAGGAGATGGTTGCTGCAGACATGCTGCTAGGCACATCTCAATCACCACCAAAGCAGCAGCTGCCAGGCCCTCTTTTGATGGAAGAGAGACGTGGAGGTGGGGAGAAGAGAGCCTCCCAAGTCAGGGAGCCAGGGGTGGGATGGGGTGGGCCATCTGCACGATCTGAGCTTCCAGTTTAGTTCTCCAAGTCTTTAGTATTAAGTGGCAAGGGCTCCCTTAGATGCTCAAATCAAGCAGATATCTCGAAGGGGAGTTTGGACCTGTCTGGGGCAGGAGTGCTGGTACCCATGGGTGGTGTTTTCTCTGCACTGAGTTATCACCTAGCTGTATATGCAGCCCTGCCTACATCCCGCCCTTGCTCCCTCAGCCCCAACCACTCTGCACTTTCTTCTGTCCCTTGAATAAACCAAACACGTTCTTTCCCCAGGCCTTTGCTTCGACTGTTTCCTCGTCTCAGACAGCTCTTCTTCTGACCTTATGCAGGGTACCCTTTCTCATCAAGACCACCCCGCTCATGGGGGCCTCCATTCCCCAGGGCAGGTGACCCTCTTATATGACCTTCATGGCCCGTAACTCCATTGGTAACTATCCTTATTAGATTGTTTCTTGCTTTTTTTTTTTGTCCCCCCACTGCAGTGGAAACTCCCCAGGAGTTTGGATGCTTCATCTCTGCTGAGACCCAGTGCCTGGCACTGAAGGTGCTCAGGAAATACCTTCTGAATGATCGGAAGCCCCTGCCATCTGCTAAACTGGATCTATGATGACAGAAGCCGAGGAATGTGAGGTTCATCTAGAGAGTTCTTGTGAATTTTCCAAGGGTAAGCGCAACACCTAGCTCATTAGATCCCGGGATAATCCACAACCCCTCCTTCACTCAGAACAGGTGAAAGTACTGAGACCTGGAGAGGGGTGGGATCACCATGAAGGTGACACACCTGGCTGGAGGGGCAGCAGCAGGAGTGTGGCCCCTTCCTAAAGCTGCAGGCTTATGAAACGAAACATAAGGAGGGCACGTTTTCACCTGGACATGGAGCCTCAGCCTCACAGGTCCTGATGGGGCCAAGGCCCCTGTGGTAAAGCCCCTCCTGCTTGCAAAAAAGGATGCTGAGACCCAGGGAGGTGCATGGCTGATCAGAGCTCCCACCACAAATTAGAAGTAGTCTTCAGATTGTAGATGCGTCTGTTTCTTCGTGTGCCAGGCTGGTGGGGGAAGTCAAGCTTGCCAATGTCCACATGGGGCTAAAGAGGTCTCAGATGAGGATCTCAAAAAGGATCCTGAGGAGAGAGGGCCAGGTTGCCTAGAGCCCCCCATCTGTGGAAAACCTGGTCAGGGGTCACTACAAGGGAAGAGTGAAGAGCAGTGGCCTCAAAACTTTACAATTAAGAAAAAAAAAATCAGACCACACAGTCATCAATATATGTGCCTGAGCACCTTCAGTGCAAGGCACTGGGTCTCAGCAGAGATGAAGCATCCAAACTCCTGGGGAGTTTCCATTGCAGTGGCGGGACAAAAAAAAGTCAAGAAACAATCTAATAAGGATAGTTACCAATGGAGTTACGGGCCATGAAGGTCATATAACAGGGTCACCTGCCCTGGGGAATGGAGGTCCCCATGAGCGGGGTGGTCTTGATGAGAAAGGGTACCCTGCATAAGGTCAGTCAATATAAAATATATCTTTGTTTATTCACTATGTACATTGAGATATAATAATATGTATGAAAATGTGCAAAAATAGAAATTTTGAAATGAGATTTTAAAGCATATATAACATTTCTGTTATTTTCTTCCCATATGACAATCGTGCCCAGCCCTGGGCCTTAGGGCACTCCCTTTGCAGAGCACTCATTAGGAACATGTGCTTTGGGGCCCAGCAGACCTGTGTTTGAATCCAGGACTTTCCTGTCATTATCTGTGGCTTTAGGGCAGCTTCTGGGACACAGTCTCTTCCTCTGTAAAATGGGACAATAATTCCTACTTTGCTCTATGCTTTAAATGAGGTAATACTTAAACGGTGCTTGGTACCAGACTTGGCAGCCTGGAAGAGCTCATATATGGTAACTATAGTGATTATTATTACCATGATCAGGCTCATCCTTGTTTGCTAAAATTAATGAAACTCAACTCTAAATACCATGGACCCTCAGGCTTGTTTCTTGAGCTGCACCATCCTCACCAGAGATGCTGGGTCACCGCTGAGTATAAGGCTGGAACTAAGATGACAGTTTCCCTTGGCCGAATACGATGCCCCCAGCATTGATGCAGATGGACCTGGAGCCTGGCTAAAGAAAGGCTGGCTGGGCGTCCCCGAGGATGGGGCTGAGAGGCCGGTCAGATTTCAGCTTTCTCTGTGTTCCTTTTAAAATAATTGAAGTGTCAGCTTGGGTTCATGGGCTGGTCACGGTTTCCATCCCTCCCTAACTTCATAAGGCAAGTCCATGAATTATACAGTGCCGGAGCAGACGGTGCTAAGTAAGGATGCATCACAAGCTGGGCTTAATAAGGACACTCCAGCTATTCTTGGAAGGCATTTGCAAGTCAAAAATATGGTGCATGGAGATCTGATGTCGACTTCACATTCTGAAGATTTCAGCTAGGTCAGCATTATTTTATGTTAAATCCCATCAAAACAAAAAAATAAAGAAATAAGGAAGCGCTATAGTACATTGTTTTGCTTCGTTTTTAATTTGAACTTTTTAGTAATAACACAAATGGTCAAATCTGCCTACCTCCTCCCACACACCCCAACCCCATCTCCCATTCCCACACCCCCTCTAAGTAATGTCAACACACATTCTCATGGACTCATATGGTGTGGGTAGGCATTGCCTTGCTGTGGAATTAGAAAGTATTCCTACCATTATAATTTTGTGCTAAATAGTGAGAATATAAAAGCTTTCCTATTTTCTTTCTTTTTTTCACCAAGCTTTCGCATGACCCATACCTGCGCTTTTCTATAACATGTCCACGTGTTAAAAACTCAGCCATTTATCAGAAAAATAGGGACTGACATCTATTTAAAAAATTAAATTGCGCTGGAGGATAGGAACCAAGAACCACAGTAAAAGCTGGGAGGCTTTTCTCCTGTACTCCAGGAGGGTGGCTTTTCATCCAGAATGCCCCAGGAGAGACGGTTGACCATTCTGGATGGCTCCTTCGTCGCTTCGTGAGAATCAGCTGCCTCCGTAGGAGATGCTGGGCCCTGTAGCGCAGGGATCCCACTTAGACTTCCCTTTATGGGTTCACATGTGGCTTTGTTTATAAACACAGTATTTCAGGGGGAAAGGCAAGCAGGCATCACGTGCCAGGAGGTAAGGGAAGCACAGAAGCAGGAATATCTAAGAGGCCCCTGCAAACCTTTTCTGGCCATTGATGGCAAAAAAGGATCAGGGTTTCCCTAACTCACCTCCTTGCAACCTGGAGAGCCACTAGCATCTTTGTGTACACAAGGGCCAGGTTTATTTTGGGAATCCTTAAATGTAAACCCAATACAGCAGCGATGAGAGTATTTATATCAGCAGCAAAGTGCAAGAACAGCCTGTGAACTGGAAACCTCTTGGACTGGAAAAGTCCAAGTGCTCAGAAGAAGGTAGGTAGACCAGCATTTCTCAAACTTAAATATGCCCAAGAATCCCCCTGGGGATCTTGTTTAAATAAAGACCAAGATTCTGCAAAGGGCCTAAGATGTTGCATTTCTAAAAGTGCCCAGGCAATGCTGCTGCTGATGCTGGTCCTTGGACCCCACTTTGAGTGGTGAGGGTGTAGGCTAGGTCCCTTTTTCCAGGAAGGCTTATATTCAGGTTACTGGGCTCAGGTGCTGTGATGGGGGTTGGGGGGACGTGGTTTCGTGTTGGCTTCCAGATTGTGCCTTAGATGGACATGATTGGCTCATACAGGATGGTGGCCGGGGGTGCTGGGCAGGCATGGGCATGGGACAGAACACAGGACCATGAGTCAGGAGAAGTGGATTCTCCTGGCACCACCTGGCTCCCCTACTCAGCTGTGGAGTAGTAGAGAGTATTTGATGACAGGGAGGTCATTGGCAGCTTTCAGAAGAGCAGATATAAAGTCTCTAGGATGTGTTAGGTCAAAAATCTAAGTGTAATGGGGTGTGTATGGTAGGCTGACACTGAGTAAAGAAAGTGAGGGACCACATACACATAGATGAGTTTGTGTAAATGGAGAACTTCTCATTCTGAAAAGATACACAAGAAACCATAAACAGTGGTTGACTTTGGGGGGGAGAAACTGAGAAAGAAGATACATGGAGCAAGAAGAGACTCCCTCCAATTGAAACACTCACTTCTCTGACCACAGTGATTGGTTCAGTGGGCTTGGACCTGTGACATGCCCTGTTCCAATCAGAGTGAGTCTCTGGATATTTGCTGGACTGTGTTGTTCTCCATCTCATTCCAGTGAGACTCACTTGTCAACATCTGCTGATATCTGCCATCCAGTGTGTTGTTCAGACAGTTGTTCCCCTCCTTGCTGGCATCAGCTGGGACATGACAGTGTCCTCATCTGATCTCACAGGACATCCTCTCCTGTTGTTGTGAGTCCCCTGCGAGGCTCTGCCTTTCAGGTGACCCCTCTGCCCCACTCCTTGTGGGCATGGAGAAGCCCATCTATTCTCTCTGCACCAGGCTGAGTGAGGGAGTGGCACTCTCTGTGTCCATATGTCTGGGCTCCTCCACTGGACAGGGATCTCTCTCTAAGGTTTGCTATCATCCCAAGGCCCCTCCCTTCTTGTTTCCCAAACTGGCCAGAGATTTCTGGGTCTGATACTTACTTCCTCTCCCACTGAGATTGGACCACAGGAGGAGTGAAGCATGTGACTCCTTGTCCCTGCCTCACATATCAGTAGCTCCTTCTGCTGCTCTCACCTCTGCCTCCGCCCACCCCACCCCTCTTAGTTATCCATGTCTAATCTCGGCAGCATGGCAGTCTGGTTCTCCAGCTCTCCTTTTTCTAATCTAGACTTTATGCCCCAATTCCTTCAGAGCTTTGCTTCTGATGATGCTAAAACTAGGCTTTTAGAACTGGAAAAAAAAAAAAAACAGTTTTTGCAAATCAAAAGCCTTATCTTTCAAGAACTTGTCTCTGCTATGAGTACCAAAGTTCTATTTTGAAATGAAAAGAGTTGACTGTTTCTCTTCTCCTCACATTCCGTGTTCCTGATCTAACAGTCCTAATCTTGCTTGAGGCCAGGCACCTTCGCCTTGGGTACATGGGTGTGGGAAGTATGATCTTCCTGCTGTGGCATCAATGGCCCTTCAGCTCCCCGCAGCCTTCCTAAGTTCTGCAGGGGAATAGGAGAAAACAATTTTGGAGTTGGGGCACCCAACTAGTGGCAGAAATAGTCCCACTTCTGCCACTCAATTGTTGTGCGACCTAGGGAGTGGCTGAATCCTTTTGAACCTCGCTTTTCTTATCTGCAAAATGGGGAGAGCAACAACCACCTCTCAAGGTTGTTTCAGGATCAAGGCAGATAACATATGTGAAAGTGCTTTGCAAATCACAACGTATGGTATAAACATGAAGCATCATTACTTTCCAGTGTTCTTAACTTCTTTGTGTAGTTTTCCCTGCCAAAGGCTTCTGTCTTGAGCTCGCATGGCAATTTGCTCACAGAGCCATGAACGTATTGTATTGTGCCGAACTTATATTTTAACATGTCTGCTGGCTTGCACTGTTTGTGAGTGCTTGGAGGGCAGGGACCACACCTATGTGATCTTGGCACCTCTTGCCTTCAGCCAGTGTCTGAAGTAGGTGCCCAGCATGTGTTTGTTGATGAAGGGGTAGACACTTAGCAAGTACTCAGTAGATTCATGTAATATAAATAAATAATTAGCCAGGAGCAGCAATGGGCTGGAACTTCTGTAGACTAGTGGTTTTCAACTGGGAACAATTTTGTCCCCTTCCTCCCAGTGGGTATTTGGCAATCGGAAGATGTTTTTGGTTGTCATAACTTGGGGAGTGCTACAGATATCTAGTGGGTAGAAGCCAGGGATGCTGGTAAACATCCTACAATGACCAGGACAACCCCCTACAACAAACAATTATCCAGTCTAGAATGTCAAGAGTGCCATTGCCTAGAAACCCTGCTGTAAGCTCTCTTTTTAAACAGTCCTGAGAAATAAGTCCTGTGAGTCCAGAATTGGAAGGGAAGCTTAGACTTTGGGTTTAAAAATGATGTCTTGATTATCTTTGATGAATGGAAGGGGGTGGAGATATGGTAGCTAATGATGAAGATTCTGAAAATTATTACTAGCTGGGGGTGGGAGAGGAGAGAGACTTTGGAAAATGTCCAGCTGAAGAAGAGAAGAGGGTTGGCATCGGACAGGATAGGGTGGGGCCCTAGTGTGCTGGGAGGCACTGAAGGAACCTCTGAGTAGAGAAGTTAAGCATGTGTGCTGAGCTCTATGATTGTCCATTAATTCCCTGTCCTCCTTCTGCAGGAGGCACCTGTTGAATTCAGGCATCGGCATGTGACTTGATTTGGTCAATGAAATGTGAGAGAAGTGACATCCACTTTGAGGCAGGCACTTTCCGAGTGAGTATGTACTTCCCCATGTTCCCCAGTGTGGTTGCTTAGCCCAGAATGAGATAACAGCAACATAGAGCATGACCTGTAATTGCCGTGAAGATGAGAGAGAAACAGACCTGGAATGCCTTACACCACTGCAGTTTTTTGGATTATGTTTTATTGCACCATAATCTATCCTATCTTGAGAATGTACTATATTGGGGCTGACGTAGCTGGCAATCCTGTGTAACTGAAGATCAGCTCATCTTTCCTTTCCCCTTTGAATTGGTTTGCACAGGGATCTCTGAGGTGTCTTGGCTAGAGAAGACAAATGCCAAGTGACTAGGACCCCTAATTGTTGTCAACGAAAAGAGTCAGACTCTGTAATGTATTTGGAGGGGTTTATTCTGAGCCAAATATGAGTGATCAATGGCCTGTGACACAGCTCTCAGGAGATTCTGAGAACATGTGCCCAAGATGGTCAGGCTACAACTTGATTTTATACATTTTAGGAGGACATAAATCATCAATTAATATGTGTAAAATACATTGGTTCAGTCGGGAAAGGTGGGACAACCTAATTCAAAGATTTTCTGATTGGTAATTGGTTGAAAGAATTATTATCTAAAGACTTGGAATCAATAGAAAAGAATATCTGGGTTTACGATAAGGGGTTGTGGAGACCAGAGTTTTATCATGCAGATTAAGCCTCCAGGTAGGAGGCTTCAGAGAGAATAGATTGTAAATGTTTTTCTTTCTTTCTTTCTTTCTTTCTTTCTTTCTTTCTTTCTTTCTTTCTTTCTTTTCTTTTCCTTTCCTTTCCTTTCCTTTCCTTTCCTTTCCTTTCCTTTCCTTTCCTTTCCTTTCCTTTCCTTTCCTTTCCTTTCCTTTCCTTTCCTTTCCTTTCCTTTCCTTTTTCCTTTCCTTTCCTTTCCTTTCCTTTCCTTTCCTTTCCTTTCCTTTCCCTTTCCTTTCCTTTCCTGTCTTGCTCTGTTGCCCAGGCTGGAGTGCAGTGGTGCAATCTCGGCTCACTGCAACCTCCACCTCCTGGGTTCAAGCGATTCTTGTGCTTCAGTCTCCTGAGTAGCTGGGATTACAGGTGTCTGCCACCATGCCCAGCTAATTTTTGTATTTTTAGTAGAGATGGGGTTTCACCATGTTGACTAGGCTGGTCTGGAACTCCTGACCTCAAGTGATTCACCTGCCTCAGCTCCCAAAATGCTGGGATTACAGGCATGAGCCACTGCACCCAGTCAAGAATAGACTGTAAATGTTTCTTATCAGATTTAAAGAGTCTTCTATCAGTAATTCCAAAAGGGAGGAGGGTATAATGAGGCATGTCCAGCTCTCTGTTCCCATCATGTCCTGAATTCATTTTTCAGGTTAACTTTGGAATGCCCTTGGCCAACAGGAGGGGTCCATTCAGATGGCTGGGGGAACTTAGAATTTTATTTTTGGTTTATACAGTCCATCTGCATTCTCAAAGCTCCAGGAGGCAGGAGCCATGGTGGGTCCAGGGGAAGGCAACTGACACTCCAAAACTCCCTTCTCACTGCTGCTTCAATGCCAGCTTCACAGAAAGATATATGATGGTTCTATTTATTTAGTTATCACAAATGTCACTATTATCACAGAAGACATTAATTTTTAAAAGAAAAGGAAGAAAATATGTCACATTTCTGTTTTGTGCATATGCTGATTGAATGAAAAGTTTATATCAGATGCCAACTTAAAATAAGGACATATAAATATTTAATTGTTTATATGTATGTATACATTGCTGTATAGACAATATTTATCTATACAGTTATAGAGCACTGATTCTCAGCTGAGGGGTGATTTTTACTTTCCAGGGAGACATTTGGCAATATCAGGAGACATTTTTGGTTGTCCCAGCTGAGGGCTTGGGGGTACTCCTGGCATCCAGTGGGTAGAGGCCTGGGATGCTGCTAAGCATCCTTCAGTGTACAGGGCAGTCCATATTATCTGAACTGTGCTGAGGTTGGGAGAGCCTGGCCTGGATGTACATCTAAAGCCAGGAGTTCTGGGGCTGTTTTGTGTGAAGCCATGAGTGCTGGCATCATTCTTCAGAGCATCATTGACACACATCTGCTTGATTCATTTCACGTCCCCACCTTGGCTGACTCATCTAGAAGAAACCACAAGTCACAGATCAGCGAGGGGCCAGCCCTCACGGTCCTTACAAGACAGCCTCGATGGCACTGGGGTTCCCCTGGGAACACACATGGTCAAGCATAGCTGCCTTGCTCAGCTCTCAGGATGACAACTATTTACACCTAGTGTGCTTTATAGCACACCTGGGATGGGAGTTGCAACGGCGGAAAGGTAACGGTGTGGGAGGAAGGGAGTGAGAAGGGGAACCGGAGAAGGGAGGGCCAGTCATGTTAGTTTTATGAAGATATGACAATTAGCGCATCATTTAAAACATTGCTCATAAGGATTGCTTATGCACAATTTGTCTATATATGAAGATATTGAGATATGTGATTTTATAGCTACAGCTATATGTAATATATGTGTGTGTGTGTGTGTATACACACATTAGTAATGAGGTGAAACATTTACTGTCCTAACAGCTGGAACTAACATTCCACATGGAATGGGAACTGACTTTGAGACACTTTCTGGATAAGTCACTGGACTGGAGAGAGAAACTTGGAGGGCAAATGCCCCAGCTGGACTCCCAGAGAATAAGCTAGCTTGTTGCTGAAGATGGAAACCTTCTCACTTTTGCTCCTGAGAGGGGAGATTAGAAAAAAAAATAGAAAGGAAACAAAAAACAGAGAAAAAGAAGGAGGAAGACAGAGTAGCCAGAAAGATGATGAGATGCTAGGATGCTTTATGGGTGGCAGAGCCCGTGAGAAATGTGTGGTGGGTTTTGGGGACGGGGTGAAGTGGGAAGGCCTTTAGGAAGCAGACTGTGGTGCTACTTTGCCACTTTTCTAAGTGGGAGAGAAAAAAAGAATGAGAGTGTGGCCCTAGAACATTTGTCATGCAGTGTGCTCAGAGCTATATTAGGATGTCTTTCCTGTCCTGTCTGATGCTCTATGTGGCAGGTTTGAGCTGCCCAGGGAAGAGACTCAGCCTCCAGGGCCCTCTCTTCCCCTGTGCCCTGCTCCATACCTCCATGTGGTGCATGAGGGAGGGCCCAGGAGGCTGAGGCCATGCTGGGGCCCTAAGCTCTGGCCTAACCAAGTGAAGTCTCAGGGGAGACCTTGAACCATAAGGCAGGGTTTAGTGTTTCCAGCCACACGGATCTAGATGTTAAGGAAGCTAGGGAGCTCCAGCTGACAGGTGGGGAACCAGACTTACTCCACCAAACGATTAGACCAGATGCCAACTCATTTCCAGATCTCATTGCCAAAGATACTAGAAAAGCCCTTAGGTAAAACAAAGCGAGGAATTGGAGGCAGACACAAATCCACCAAGTGGAGAATCCACACACTTGCAGCAATGACACTAATGCTTTGAAGGAGGCAAATTTCTCAGACTTGTCACATATTTATTTGCAGTTTCAGTCTCTAGAGATTCCAGAGTCTGGGATCTGGACTGGGGTGAAGGGAGGCATGGTTTTGCCACAGCCTGCCCTGTACTGCTGAATTCTCCTGCGCGTGCTCAAGTGCTTGCAAATGAAAGGTCATCTGGGCCTTGATCAGTCGTGTGGCCTGTGGATGGTGAGCAGCCTGGCAAAGGCAGAGGTCTGTGAGGTGGGGGCAGTGGGGCTCCGTGGGCAGGTTTGCCATGCCTGAGCACCAGGTCCCTACTCTGACACAGGCACACCACAGAGATATTGCAGGTTTGGTTCCAGGCTACCACAATAAAGCAAATATCACAATAAAACAAGTCACACAATTTTTTTGGTGTCCCAGTGCATATAAAAGTTGTGTCTGCATGATACTGTTGTCTATTAAGTAAGCAATAGCATTGTCTAAAAAACAATGTACATACCTTAATTAAAAATACTTTATTGATAAAAAATGCTAACGATCATCAGAATCTTCAAGTCGTCATAAACATTTTGCTGGTGGAGGGTCTTCCTTCAGTGTTGATGGCTGCTGACTGATCTGGGTGGTGGTTACTGAAGATTGGGATGACAGTGGCAATTTCTTAAAGGACAAAAACAATGAAGTTTGTTGCATCAATTGACTCTTCCTTTCAAAAAAGATTTCTCTGTAGCTTTTGACAACATTTTATCCACAGCAGAACTTCTTTCAAAATTGGAGTCAATCCTCTTAATCCCTGCTCCCGCTTTATCAACTAAGTTTGATATTCTAAATACTTTGTTGTCATTTGAACGATGTTCATAGCACCAGTAGATTCCACCTCAAGAAACCACTTTCTTTGCATATCTGTCAGAAGCAACTCCTCATCTGCTGAAGCTTTATCATAAAATTGCAATGATTCAATGTCATCTTTAGGCTCCACTTGTCATTTTATGTCTCTGCCACTTCTGCAGTTACTTCCTGCACTGAAGTCTGAAGCCCTCAAAGTCATCCATGAGAGTTGGAATCCACTTCTTCCAAACTCCTGTTAATGTTGCTATTTTGACCACGTTCTATGAATCACAAGTGTTCTTATGGCATCTAGAAGGGGAAATCCTTTCCAGGAAGATTTCAATTTATTTTTCCTAGATCCTTCCAAGGAATCACTATCTATGACTGCTAAAACTTTTAAAAAATTATTTCTTAAATAATAAGACTTGAAAGTTGAAATTACTCTTTGAGCTAAGGGCTGAGATTGGATGTTGTGTTAGCAGGCATGAAAACAACATCAATTGTACATCTCTTTATACATCTCCATCAGAGTTTTTGGGTGACCAGGTCCATTGGCAATGAACAGTCATATTTTGAAAGGAATCTTTTTTTCCTGAGCAGTAGGTCTCAAAATTGGGCTTAAAATATTCAGTAACCCATGTTGTAAACCAATGTGCTGTCATCCAGGCTTTGTTGTTCCACTGATAGAGCACAGGGAGAGTAGATTTAGCATCGTTCTTAATGGCCCTAGGATTTTGGTGATGGTAAAGGAGGAGCATTGGCTTCAACTTAAAGTCACCAGCTCCATTAGCCCCTGATAAGAGAGTCAACCTGTCCTTTGCCATGGAAGTCAGGCACTGACTTTTCTTTTCTTTTCTTTTCTTTTTTTTTTTTTTAATTATTTTGAGATGGAGCCTCACTCTGTTGCCCAGGCTGGAGTGCAGTGGCATGATCTCATCTCACTGCAACCTCTTGCCTCCCGGGTTCAAGCAATTCTCCTGCCTCTGCCTCCCGAGTAGCTGGGACTACAGGCGCATGCCACCACGCCCGGCTAATTTTTGTATTTTTAGTAGAGATGGGGTTTCACCATTTTGGTCAGGCTGGTCTTGAGCTCCTGACCTTGTGATCCACCCGCCTCAGCCTCCCAAAGTGCTGGGATTACAGGAGTGAGCCACCATGCCCAGCCGACTTTTCTTTATCTATGAAAGTCTTGGATGGCAACTTCTTCCAAGAGTAGGCCGTTTCATCTTCATTGAAAATCTGTTGTTTAGTGTAGCTACTTTCATCAGCCATCTTAGCTAGATCTTCTGGATAACTTGCTGCAGCTTCTCTGTCAGCACTTGCTGCTTCACCTTGCACTTTTATGTTCTGGAGATGGCTTCTCTCCTTAAACCTCATAAACCAACCTCTGCTAGCTTCCAACTTTTCTTCTACAGCTTCCTCAGCTCTCTCAGCCTTCATAGAATTGAAAGAGGATTAGGCTCTGGATTAGGCTTTGGCTTAAGGGAATGTTGTGGCTGATTTGATCTTTCATCCAGACCACTCAGACTTTATGTCAGCAATAAGGCTGTTTCACTTTCTTATGATTCGTGTGTTCACTGGAGTAGCACTTTTCATTTCCTTCAAGAATTTTTCCTTTGCGTTCACAACTTGGCTGTTTGCTGTGAGAGGTCTAGCTTTCAGCCTCTCTTGGCTTTTGACGTGCCTTCCTCACATGCTTCATCTTTTCCAGCTTTTGATTGAAAGTGAGAGACTGTGACTCTTTTTTCCACTTGAATACTTAGAGGCCATTGTAGGGTTATTAATTGGCATAATTTCCATATGTATGTGTTTCAAGGAATAGGAAGGCCCAAGGACAGGGACAGAGACAGGGATTGGCCAGTAGGAGCAGTCAGAACACACGCGACATTTATCGAGTTCACTGTGGGCGTGGTTCATGGCACTCCAAAATAATTACAATAGTGACATCAAAGATCATTGATCACAGATCACTATAACAGATGTAGTAATAATGACTAAGTTTGAATTATTGTGAGAATTACCAAAATGTGACAACAGAGACACAGAGTGAGCACAATCTGTTGGAAAAATAGCTCTGATAGACTTGCTGTATGCAGGATTGCCACAACCTCCAAATTGTACAATTGCAACATCTGCTGAGCACAATCAAGTGAGTTCAGTAATATGAGGTGTGCCTGTAAATAGCATGAGGTCCCCTAGTTTCTCTTCCCTCACCTGCAGGAGCCTTTAAACTTGAGACTTGAGTTGGGTATTGTCCCCTGGTCCCCAGCATTCTCACCACTTTCTATGGCGTCTTCCTGGACTGTAATGGTAGGGAAGATAAAAATGATATTTCTCAAACTCCCTTGCAGCTATTGCTCTGACAGTACACTTTGTTCTGCCAATCAGATGCCATCAAGCTGAGATGTGAAGCGGAAGTGAGGCAGAGGCTCCCTTCCTTTTGTTTGGCGCAGTTTTCTGTGAGAGAGCAGAGGTGGGAGATGAGGGGACCTCTGCCCCAGTGTTTCTGCATCCAAGCTCCAGCCTTGTTGAAGGTGAGAAAAGCAGCTGTGATGGTTTTATGACCCTAGTCCCTGGCTTCTGATCCCTGGACCACAGCTAAGGGGCTGTGTTCTTGAATAGATAGTGGTGATCTCCCAATTCTCCCCGTCCTGGCTGTGTCACAGGGAGCAACTCTCTCAGTGGGTTGGTTCTGTGGTGTTTGGAGAGACATTCCTGGAAGCCCAGGCAAGAGTCTGCTGCTCCAGTCCTTCCAGTGCTTTTTTGTTTATTTATTTATTATTTTATTTTATTTTATTTTATTTTATTTTACTTAAAGTTCTGCGATACGTGTGCAGAACGTGCAGGTTTTTTACATAGGTATACATGTGCCATGGTGGTTTGCTGCACCTATCAACCCATCATCTAGGTTTTAAGCCCTGCATACGTTAGGTATTTGTCCTAATGCTCTCCCTCCCCTTGCCCCCGACCCCCTGACAGGCCCTGTATGATGTTCCCCTCCCTGTGTCCATGTGTTCTGTTCTCATTGTTCGACTACCACTTATGAGTGAGAACATGTGGTGTTTGGTTTTCTGTTCCTGTGTTAGTTTGCTGAGAATGATGGTTCCCAGCTTCGTCCATGTCCCTGCAAAGGACATGAACTTGTTCTTTTTTATGGCTGCATAGTATTCCATTTTAAAAAAATCCTTGTATTAAATGCTTTCCTGTTGAAAATAGCTATGCTAGGCTGGGTACAGTGGCTCAAGCCTGTAATTCCAGCACTTTGGGAGGCCAAGGTGGGCAGATCACCTGAGGTCAGGAGTTTGAGACCAGCCTGGCCAATATGATGAAACCCCATCTCTAATAAAAATACAAAAATTAACCGGGCATTGTGGTGCATGCCTGTAATCCCAGCTACTCAGGGGGCTGAGGCAGGAGAATTGCTTGAACCTGGGAGTCAGTTTGCAGTGAGTCAAGATCCCGCCACTGCACTCCAGCCTGGGCAACAGAGCAAGACTTTGAAAAAAAAAAAAAAAAGGAAAGAAAGAAAAGAAAAGAAAAGAGCTACACTGGTTTCTATCTCCCACTAACTGACACAGGACTTTATAAAGACAACCAGAGGAGTTGTTAAGAACCATTGAACTAATACCCTGGATTTAGAACAACAGAAAGTTCACAACACACAAACAGCCATAAAGGAGGTAGAGTGGGTTCCTTTCCCAGTCAGCACTTCCTCCTCTCTGAGAGCTAAGCCTGGATTCTCATACACGAGGGGACTGTCCCGACTCCTCTGGGCCCCACCACGTTCCTGTCTCCCAGGCTGGGCTGGGACTAGGGTGAGGCAAACGTGCCTAGGCATGAAATGTAAGGAGGCACTCACCCTCAGGGCTGTGGGAATACAGGCTGAGCCCTGAGAGTCAGTGCCTCTATAAATTTTATATACTAAGTACTTCACTTGCCTCACCCCAGTCCTGGCCTCCTCAAAAATTTGACCTAGGTGGACCTAGCTGGCTTCAACGTTGAGTGCAGAGAACTCTTGTCCTCTGCTCATGCTCTGGCTCAAAGCCCATTCTGTAAGTAGCTCCTCTGGAGGGCTCTCAAGTCTGCCCTGCACCTTACACTGTGCCTATGTGAGGCTGCAGCTCCCAAAGGCTCTCTGCATTCCCTCTGCTGTGTCATCCCTATCCTACTAACAGGAGGGAGGATCTTTGGTCCCAAGCTTAAAACGGGTCCCCACTAGCTATGCCAACACGACATTTCCAGGTAACATCAGACACCCCCAGGGGAATGGCAGCTTGGGGCATTGTTCTGTGAGCTCTTTGTGCCCAGTGTCCAATCATCAGGCTGTATGAACAGAAGTGCAGTATGCAAAACAAGGGAGGGGAGAGTTCGGCTCCACCCCAACTCATCAAACACACCTGGAGAGGCTCCATTTCTAAGGGGCTGGAGTCCTTGAAGGAAGAACAATTGGCAAACAGCTAATCAACATACAGGTGTTGCCCAATTTTAATAGAAAGTAGAGAAGTGCAAATGAAAGCAGCAGAGCAGAAAGTTACTTTTTGCACTTATCAGATTGTCAGCAGTTAGAACTGCTGGGCACAGTGGCTCATGCCTGCAATTCTAGCACTGTGGGAGGCCAAAGTGGGAGGACCGCTTGAGCCCAGGAGTTTAAGGTCAGCCTGGGCAACAGAATGAGACCCTGTCTTTACGAAAAGAAAAAAGAAAAAAAATTAAAAGAGGAAAAAAATTAGAAGAATGAATGATTCAGTAGCAAGGTCTAGAGCTGGGTGCTGTCTCATCTCTCAGTACCCCGGACGCCATTGGCTGAGAGAAGGCAGAGAAGACAATGCGATGAGTAGTGTCAGTGCTTTTATAAAGGAGGGAAGTAAAAATGCGTTCTTCTATGTTTCAAAATGCCCACATACCTAGCAAGAGGCAGATAGCAAAGCTGTGGCGTTCCCTTCCATCCTGTTCACAGTCACTTCTTATCTGCCTGGAAGGTTCACTGGGGGAGCTCGAGGGAGCAGCTGCTGAGGCAGGCCATGCACAGAAGGAGATTTCAGCCTTAGAACCTATTCAGATGAGCACACCGCTCTGCTTGCATGGGATCTGAAGATATCCCAATCTGGGTTTCCAGGAAGCTCTGGGCACTACTAGAAACACATCTGGAGTTGGGATGGAGGAAGCCAGCCTGCAATAGCCTACATAGCCATGGACTATGAGCTTGCCTGAGCTGTTATTACCTGATGGAAGTGTAGCCCCTGGCTGCTAGGTATGGGCAGGGGTGCTGGGGTGGTGTGGGGTAAGGAGAGATGTGAAGAGGGGGAGAGGGAAGCTCTTTATGACAGGGAAATATGTGTACCTCCAGGAGGTTTTGTGAGTGCCAGGTGCAACCATGATTAGTAAAGACACACTGGCAACTCCTGGACAAGCATTACCACATACGCACTAGTAAGGGAGAAGGAAAGTTAGGAAGGGGGCCATTTCTCTTTAGGGAGGTGGCACAATGTGGTTATTTTAGTGAGAAAATAAGTCTTACCTTGGTCTCAGTCTTGCAATGTAACCTGAACTTATTTGCTTAACCACTCTGAGTTCCAGTGTGCGCACTGGAACTTACTTAGCATTCTTACTTAGAATGTGAAAGTCAAAATAAGAGTATGTAAAAAGATATGCTGAGATGTTTCCACTGTTACACAAATGTAAGGGTTGGATGTTATGTCCTCATCTCCTGTCTGGCTCTTCTCTCTCTACCTCCAGCCTAATCTTCCCCTTCTCCACCTCACTGTCCTCAGCCTCACTGGCCTTCATTAAGTTCTAGAAAGAGTTATCCTCTTTCCTGCCTCAGAGCCTTAACACATGCTGTTCCCTGTTCCTGTAACACTCTTCTCTTTTTAAATTATTATTATTTAATTTTTGAGATGAGATCCACTCTGTCACCCAGGCTGGAGTGCAATGGCACAATCTCGGCTCACTGCGTCCACCACCTCCTGGGCTCAAGCAATTCTTCCACCTCAGCCTCCCAAGTAGCTGGGATTACAGGTGTGCACCACCACACCTGGCTAATCTTTTTTGTATTTTTGGTAGAGATGGGGTTTCCTCATGTTGTCCAGGCTGGTCTCCAACTCCTGAGCTCAAGTAATCCACCTGCTTCGGCTTCCCAAAGTGCTGGGATTGCAGGCGTAAGCCACTGTGCTCGGCTTCCTTCTCTTTATGTCTGGTTAGAAGAGCTCATCCCCCAGAGCTCAGCCCAGGCATCACCTCCCCAGGGAAGTCTTCCATGACTTTCCTGATTAGGTCAACTCTTTATTTGTACTCCTATGAGCAAAAGTACATCCTTCTCATTGTACTCATCTCAATTGTAGTTTTACATGTATTTGTATGATAAGGTGATGATTACCTGTCTCATTAGAGGCTTGTTGTGAGGATCATCAGGCAGCTCTATTGAAAGTCTACCATAGAGAGGAACATAAGCCTTTAGTCAGCTCCAACTCACCAGCCATATGAATGAGCCACCTTGGAAAAGGAGCCTCCACCCCGGTCAAGCCTGCAGATGACTGCCGCTTGAGTTGATAAATGTCTGCAATCTCATGAGACATCCTGAACTAGAACTACCCAGCCAAGCCACTCCTGGATTCCTGACCCACAGAAACGTAAGAGAGAATAAATGATTACTATTGTTTTAAGTCACTACGTTTTGGGGTGTTTACTATACAGCAGTAGAAATAGTGCAGATTTAGGTGCCTGGAAATGTGGTGCTGCTGTAAGAAATGTGGGAGTGGCTTTGGCACTGGATTTGGGCAGAAACTGGGAGGCGAGGGTGCATGATAAGTTAAAGGGACTTCAAGAGACTTCACTTCAAGAGAAGCCTGATGGCTGTGATAAGGATGCAATAAGAGCTTAAAAGAAAATGAGGAGGGTCAGGTACTCATGCCTGTAATCTCAACACTTTGGGAAGCTAAGCTGGGAGGATCACATGGGGCCTAGAGTTTAAGACAAGCCTGGACAACATAGTGAGACCCCATCTCTACAACAAATTTTTAAAAAATTAGTGGAGCATGGTGGTGAGCACCTGTAGCCCTAGCTACTCAGGAGGCTGAGGCACTTGAGCCCAGGAGTTCAAGGTTACAGTGAGCTATGATCACGCCACTGCATTTCAGCTTGGGTGACAAGTGAGACTCTATCTCTAAAAAAATAAAAGTAAGAGTAAAACACTTGAGAGAAGAGCTTCTTTGTTATGTAACGGTAAAAAGTTTAGAAATGCTGTCACTTGTGATAACCTGGAAAATAGCAAGTGGTCCTAATGAACTGGGTTATCCAACAAACAAGAGTTCCAGGCAGTGTTGAAGAAACACAGAGTATCACTTCTGGGCAGTGGTAGGAGTGAATCCCAATCAAGAAATGATTAACATCTGCTCTGCTGGATTTCAAAATTGCTATGGGCCAGTGACTTCCATATGCCTCTTGCTTTCCCCATTTTTGAATGAGCAAAGGGAATCTAGAGTAATGCCTGTCCACCATTGGAAGTTGGGTGTGTAGGGGTGCAGATAATGTATCTCTTTAGTTTATAGTTTTAGGATGGAGAGGAACTATACTCTAGGAGCTGTACTTGAGAAACCGCATCATGGGACCTTCATTTATGCCAGGACATGATTTAAATAATAAGATACTGGACCTCATGCTGATGTTGTCATTGAAGGACTTTTTGGGCATGTTGAAAGGCTTGGGAATCAGCTAATTTTAATTTAAGAGAGATGTGAATTACAGAGGGCAAGAAGGCAGACCATGACTGCAAGTATCTGAGATGGTCCCCAATGAGCCTGATATCATGGTATCCATTGTCTGTGTAGTTAGTTCCTTCCCACATGATTAGTGCTTTGTGACCAATAGAATTCTGTGGAAATGACAGGGTGTGTGACTTCTTAGACCAGGTGATAAAAAGCATCGCAACTTTTGCATTGGTCTCTTGGATTGCTCCCTCTGAGGGAAGTCAGCTACCATGTCAGGAGGACACTCAGGCAGCCTGTGGAGAGGCCCACATGAGAGGAACTAGGGCCTCCTGCCAATATCCACCACCAACTTGCCAGCCATGAGAGTGAGCCACCTTGGAAATGGACCTTTCACCTCCTGTCAGGGCTTCAGGGACTGCAGCCCTGGCCAACATCTTGACTGCTACCTTGTGAGAGATTCTGATCTAGTGCCTGCATGAGATAATAAGTGATTATTGTTGTTTTGAACCATTATTTTTGGAGGTAATTTGTCATGCAGCAATGGATAACTCATACAGCCAATCCTCTCTTCTCTGGCCTGCATTTTCCTGGGTAAACTCTCTTGTTTTTGACCTTATATTCAATTTGTGAGCAGGACCAGGATGAAGATGAGGTGAGGGGGTGCACAGGGCCTCCTTCAATTTTGTGCCTGAGGTGTCTTGCTTGTTTCACCCTTGCCCCAGTCCTGTGTCTGGTTTCTGCATGGTGTGATAAAAAGTCAGTCCCTGGTGATCTTGCCCTTAACCTTGCAGCCTGACTACTGCCAGCCCCCTGTGCCTGACTTGGCTTCCTGTGGAGAAGCCTGTGGAGTCAGGTGGACAAACCCTGTGGTCCTTTAAGACTGCAGGCAAAAAAAGGAGGAATGGGCTGAACACCACCAGTGGGGGCAGTTCTCATAGAATTCTGGAACCCAGCAGGTCCTTACATTGGCCCTGAGGTGAGTGGAGAGACCTTTAGTGGTGGAGTGCATCAGGTGGTTGTGACACCTTGACCTTAGGGTGCAAACAGGCCTCAGGGGTTCAGGGCAGTCCCAGAGGGGGCCACGAGAGAATGGCCTTCCTCGAGGTAGAGATTGGAGCCCATGTGGGACATTCATATATAGAAGCAGAAGGAAAATAACACTAGTAACACATGGAGTGACTCCTCCAAGCCAGCCATTGGCTTTACCTCATCCAATTCTCCCAAAAGCCCAATGCATGATATACTCATCATCCCTTAAACCCAGTTTCAAAAATCCAAAAAGTGGTAGCGTGCAGTGGCTCATGATCTCAGCACTTTGAGCAACAAAGTGAGACCCCCGTCCTGGGAGGCTGAGGCAGGAGCATTGCTTGAGTCCAAGAGTTTGAGGCTGCAGTGAGCCATAATCACGCCACTGCACTCCAGCCTGTGTGACAGAGCAAGACCCTGTCTCTAAAAATAACTCCAAAAGCTCTGACAACCGAAAGATTTTTATAACTCACTTGGTGGCAAGTCCTGGACTGAACTGATGTGAGACTATTTATGGTCTTAATTATGCCATTTACTGTAAATATCTATAAGTTTCCCTACAAAAATATTAATGCATTTGATTACAGGGTGTTCCCCAGAACCCACTGAGTGCTCCATAATATAGTGTTATGTACCATGTAACTTTTCTAAAACCCAGCATTTCTGAATGTTGAAACATCTGGTCCAAAGATAAAGTACAGTGGGCGTCTTAGTCTATTTTCTGCTTCTATAACAGAATATCTGAAACCGAGTAATTTACAATGAATAGAAATGTATTTGGCTCATGATTCTAGAGGTTTGGAAGTCCAAGAGAATGGTGCTGACATCTGGTGAGGGCCATTGTGCTGCGTCATTCCATGGTGAGAGGCAGAAGGGCAAGTGAGCATGTGAACCAGAGAGAGGATGGGGACTGCCCACTCCCATGACAATTAACCCACTTCTGCCATAATGGCATTAACCTATTCGTGAGGGCAGGTCCCGAATGACCTAACCACCTCTTAAAAGACCCACCACTTAATATCAGCAATTACATTTCAACATGAATTTTGGAGGGGACATTCAAACCATAGCAGTGAGACTGTATTATTATTTTTTCCATTTTACATATAAGAAAAACTGAAGTGTCATGAAAAGTGATGACATTTTCTAATTGCACAGTGACAGCCTTTTTCTTCCTCCTGTTCAGAGGAGAATTATTTCACAATGCTGAGACTCTGTTACCTACCCACCGTCCCCACCCCGATCACAAGTTCTTGATGGGATTTGGCACTCTGAGATCTTTCTAGACCCCTTCTAGTTATTTTTATAATAAACTTCCAAATGCTTTCTGTGCTTTGGGTATTGATTGTTTCTGGACAAGTGGCAATCAGATATTTATCCACAGAAACTCCCTGGAGTTTAAGGAAGCCTTTTGTACTGCCAATGTGTTCATGTGACTAAAATAGAATAAACTCTTGAGGGTTTCTTTTCATTGCCCGTCTCCGCACTGTCCCTCCTTCACTCCAAACCCTTGCTTACCTTGTGCCCTTGCCAGAACTTCCCTCTGATCTCATTCTCATTTAGTAATTAATTCACTCAACAAACACTGATGGAGTCCCTGCTGCTTCCCACAACGTGGTGGAAGAGGTTTTATGATTTATTAGGAGACCACTGGTTTGACAGACAAAAGATTAAGGTCCTGGTTCTGTAAGAGTTCAGACAAGGCCTTTTTTTTTTGGCTCTGGACCTCAGTTTAGCCTTAACCAAATATGAAGTAAGAAGATAATTGAGAGGATGTAGAAACCATCATCACAAAGTATTGAAACCTAATACAAACAGGACTGAACAATAAAGAGTGTGGGCCTTGGCACAGTCTGCCCAGGGTGCTGGCTGTACAGTTCTCTTTATCCAGTCCTCCTCTTGGTATCCTTTTGATTTTCAGGGTGGCTTATCTCATGATCACAAAAAGGCAGCCAGCAGCATCTGCAATCACACGCTTTACAGCCAGAGCGGGAGAGATGGAGCTACTTCAGGCATTAAGCTCAGTTCCCAAACTGGTTGCTCTGAGCCAGGTCTATTCCAGTTGAGCCTACGCTGGTTCCAGGGGTTCAGAGCCTGATCTGGAGAGGTTAGCAAATATTTTAACCATCACTCTTGGAAAGAGTGTTATTTCTAATAATCATCACACAGAAGTCCAAATTTCAAGCTAATTGGCTTAAGCTGGAGTTACCTGAACAAATCCCATGGCAGGAGGCTTAGGATTGCCCCACTTGGCTTGGAACTATTAGTCCTACTCCAACAACTGGGGTTGAGGTCAGTTTTACTCAGATTGCATGCTCACTACAGATGGGTGGGATTGCATACAGGGGTGCAACCAAAATGTGCTCCACTAGCTCTAAGTTCCCTTCTCACTCTTTCTTTGTTTCTACATTTTGAACCCCTGTACACGACGTTGCAAAGGATACCCCCATCTTAATATTTTTGTTCCACTCATTTACTTTAGCTTAGTCACACTGGCTGGAGATTCTACCATCAACTTCTAATCTTCCAAGAATGTTCCTCTAAATCTGAAGGCAAGGAGAAGTGGAAACCGAGATATGGTGCTCTGCTGGTTTGCAGTGTCAGCCCGGGCTAGGCAGGAAGATTTCTGGGGGCAAAACCTCTGCATCTGCAGGACTTCCCCTTTGCTGGCACTCAGATGGCATTGAATACATGAATTTTCATCAGTTTTTCAAAATATAACAGTAATATGTGGAGTGTTAAAAACTCAAAAGGCTATATGAAACATACTTTTCCTCATCTAATACCTCCAGTTCCCAGAGTGAATCACTGTCATCTATTTTTCGTGTATTCTCCCATTTGTGTTCTATACGTATACCAAAATATATAAACAGTATTTACACAGGTGTGTGTATATATACAACCAAAGCCACCTTCTTCTATACATAGGGATTATAGTACAAATGTTTGTTGAATGAATAAATGAGTGACTAACAGTAACTGGGGGGCTCTGACTGTGAAAGGCTCTCATTTATGCCCCCAACGACTGTCAGTCAGGAAAACAGAGCTCACACAAGTTGTTTGAACAGAGAGATTTTAACGTAGGGAACTGAGTAAACAAGAATTGGAGGCGCAGAAAGACAGAAAGTGGCCATTGAGGACTTACAGAGATAGTAACTGCCAAAAGGCAGCTATACCTTTAGGACAGAGGAACAAAGAAAGAGATCAGGGTTATTAGAACCTGGAAGCTTGGAGAAGAAACTGCAGTGCTAGGACCTAAAACTCAGAGAAGCTGGTGCTGGCTGATTGGTGCTGATGTTGCTGGACATGCCAAGGTGGGTTCTGAGGGTGTGGCAAAAAGCCAGTGAACTGGAATTCACTGCTGGTGGAGTGATGTGGCCAGGAGTAAGCAGCAAATGGGATAGATGGGGTCTCTCCTTCTGCCTCTCTTTGTCCCTCCAAGAGTCAATGGGAGGGGGCCTAGTAAGGAGAAGCTAGTGAAGGGGAAATGTGGCTTGCAGGATTTCATCTCCAGGAGCACAAAGTAGAGAACAGAAGGGTGGATTTGGGGCCGAGGGACAAGAGTTTAATAACCAGCGCTCCTTGTTCCTGTTCTTTTGGAGCTTTTGTACAAATTAGAAAAAAGTATACCCTCTGGGCAGAATTAGCCCTGGGTCAGGGTGCATGGTGTGGTGGGTAGAGAAAGATGCTGCACCATACCTGGGCATAAGGTCGGCAGGAGAATATGGGCTGGATTTTACCCCCCAACTATCCTTTTCACCAGGTGTATTTGTATAGGGTACAACCTAGTGCAGTCGTATGTAATGGCCCTGCATCTGTCCAGCTATAAGCATTATAGTCCATTTGGTTACATGTGGGCATCACACACACACACAGACACACAGACACACACACACACACACACACACACACACAGACACCATGAAAGCACATTCTTTTCTTCTTTGGGAGCAGGGGTTTGGGGTGGTATATCAATCAGGAGGCCTCTGTTATCCCTGCTGTATCAACTCACTGGGTATGGGCCCCTTCTCAACATCAGGACCCAGGGTCTAACTTGTACAAATGTGCATCTATAGACAGAGCATTGACAACATACACATAATTTTCTCAGTAAATCTAGGATGAGAAACTGTTTCTGAGGGGGCTGTGGTGAACAAAGATGGGGAGTTAGGCCTTTTTAGACAGTAGGCGTTCAAGAAGTTTGAAAGGCTATTTCAGAATGCTTCATAACAGAGTTTTCAAATTGGTTGGGAGTCTGGAAATGACCTGGTAATAACGATTATGGTGATGAGAATAGTTGTCTTACACTAGGTTCTCTGGATCCAGACTGAGACAGAGGTGGTGTGAGAAGCTGGTAGGTGTTAGTGGGAAATCATCTGCGAGGAGGTGAGGAGGCAGACAGGGCAGAGGAAGAAGCTGAGAGACGTGCAGCTGCACCAGAGGCCCTGGCTGATCCGGGGACCTCTGGAACAAGGATGGCCCTTTAGGGTAGTCTCCAATTTAGGTAAGAAGCCTGGGCTGTGTGTCTACACATCGGCCCTTTATCGGCCATGGCCCCTCTTGGGAGGAGGCATGGCCTCGGAAGGAGAGCAGGTTTCTGATGAGTAATAACTGTGACCTTCCCATCGGCTGGAGGATTGGGGTCTTGGCTCTGAAGAGGGGATCTGGGCAGCATGCCGCTGCATCCACTACAATAGTGATGAGGGTGTCAATAGCTACCACCAGGCCATCACCTACACAAAAGCTAGATGTTTTGCCCATAAACCTGGTCCTCTCCAAGTCTCCCCCATCTGAGTGAGTGGTATTAACCTCCAACCCCACTTCTCAAAACAAAATCACCAGAGTCTTCCTTGATTCTCCCCTTTTCTCCTCTCACAATCTGTCAGTAGGAATTATTGGTTCCAGCTCCAAAAATACATTCTGAATCTGTCCACTCCTCTCCATTTCCATCCCTCCGGCCCAAGCCATTAAGTCCTCCGTGACCAACTGTAACAGCTTCCTAACACACCTCTTTCTTCCCATCCAGGTTGCCCCGACGGCCACTCTCCATACTGCTGCCAGAAGAACCTTGAAATATCGCTCTTTTTAATTAAAAAGCAAAACTCTTCAATTGTTTTTGTTGCATTTAAAGTTCAAACTTCTTACCACGGAGTGAAAGGCCCCACACAATTGGCCCTGTCTTCTTCTCCAACTTCCATTTTTCTTTGGTCCACCGTGTTCTAGCCGCATGGGCCCTGTCTTGATTCCTTGTACATGTCAAGCTTACTCTTGCTCCAGAGCCTGTGTGGTAGTTGTTCCCTCTGCCTGGAATGGCCTTCCCTAGAACCTGCCTTGGCTGGTTCTTCTTGCTATTCAAACCTCAGCTCCCACATCACCTCCTGTGTTAGGCCTCCCTGGACCACTCTAATTAAATTAGTACTGGAGACATCAGTCCACCTGGCTTCAGGGGCCAGGCCTTCCTCTTGCAGCCTAGAGGCTCTTTGCAGACTGCTCAAAGCTCCCTTTGCACAACTCAACCTGGCAGTGGGGCCTTACTTTCTATTTTTATGATCTCAGGGATGTCTAGAGACCTCGTTGGCCTGGCTACAGTACATCCTAACCGGGCATTGAGTTGGAGGAACTCAGGAGCTTATAATCTGGCCTAGCTCCTCCAAGTTAGTCAGTTACCAAGTGGAGAAGAGAAGCCCTTTACCATTGAATTTTTAATTGTACTGGAAACTGCCTAACCCTTTGGTAGAACAATAAAGGGAAATTTGGTGACTTGGTCTAGAGGCCTGGGGCAAGTAGCAACAGAGATGAGGTTAGAAAGATTTTTAACATGTGGGCTTTCTTTTGTCATTAAAAGAGAAAAACAAGCTCTTACAATGTTTGAAGGAAACCGTCATGCAATTTCCAAGTAGTTATTGGATTCTGTCTGTGACCAAGACATTGAAGGACTTGGGCTGAGCTTTGGGGCCACTGGAGTATGAAGAGGCCCCTTTTGTCATGGAGCTGACTTCTAGGAAGGGAGACAGGGCAGAGGCAAAGGGCGCAGGGACTACACCATGGAGTGCCATGCTGCATCAGGCACTGTGTTTGGGTTTCCATACACACAGAGCAATTAACACACAGCAGGCTGTGTGTACCTGGACCCAAGGGGCTGGCCAGGCAGAGAGGTCTGGGACTGCCCAGGAAGGGGAGCAGGTGATGTCTGAGGAGCAGAGGGGATGAGAAAAGGCTTCCTGCAGGAGATGGACTTGGAACTGGCTCCAGGTGCACCGTGGGCTCTGAACACACACTACTGAAATAATGGGCCATGAAATTCATTCCTCCAGCACTATTCTGCTTCTCTGTCACTTCTCCTTTCCCCATCATTTCCTTCCCCGGCTGGAGAGCACTCAGGAATGCCTTGCTGTGCCCAGTCAGGCCTCTGGAGTCCACCCTACCTAGCTGATGTATTATTATCACCAGCAAACACACACCAGAGGCTGTATCTTGGCTGGGAAGCACATTAGCACCTTGGAAGCCCTTCTTGGAAAAAGTAAAAGATTGGCATTTGAGCCTCCTCATTGATTCCTTTGGATGAGGCAGAAAACCGCTGCCCAGAAGGATGAAGGGGTGAAGTGGAAAAACATGGGCTGGCTTCAAAGTGGAGCACAGGAGGCTAGGAATAGTTCTGCTTTGTGAACAAAGTCGTGCAAAAGGCAGAGAGAGAGAGAGAGAGAGACAAAGATAGAGAGCGCAGGAGAGCGAGGAGGGAGGGAGTCAGCTTTGGCTAATTTGAATTTTGAATTGCCTTGAAAATCACCGTGCAGCAGTATCCAATTCTGCCTTTGATGGTCGAAAGAAACCAGCTGCTTTTATTCCTCTTCAGGTCTTGTTTTCCCCCCAGCAGTGAAGCAAATTAAGCAAAGAAACAGTGAAAGTTGTAGTTGGTATAATATCTCAGGCCAAGGTCAGGCTAATTGTTGGTGGGAGGGGCGGTAGAGACAAGGGACACACTCTAGGTGTTGATATTTCTCACTCCTGCTCCATTCTGCTCCCCATAATGTCACTTTGGCATTTCCAAACACGACCACCTTGGCAGGCTTTCTTTACAAACTAAGGCCCTTGTTCTAACCACCAGCATTCCTATACTATGCCATGCATTCGGGCAGGTAAGATATGGTCCCTTTGCCCAAGTCGGGCTAAAGGAGTGGCAAACCTTGAAACACACCCCAAGATATCCCATAATGCTGTTCTTAATTTGCAACATCAGCAGGGCAGGTATTTGCTAGTGAGCGTAGCCTCATTTTTTCCTGCTGCCTCATTTTTATCAACTCAGTTGTAAAAATTAATATCATGGAGGCTTCCTTGAAAGATATGAAATGCGTACTTCTCCCTAGACAGTCTAAAATGTACCTTTGTATCAAATTTAAGCAGCCATCTGGGAAGCTTGCCTGTGCTGTTTTGGGCCCTGGTAGAGCTCTTTTGAATGTGTGGCATGCTGGCAGGATGCCAGCTGCCTGAGAGGAGGAACCGGGAGTGCTTGACCCCGTGATGGGTAGAAGATGGAAAAATTGTCATTTCAAAACAGCAGGTGGTTCCTCTCTTGATAGAGGTGGAGATTTTCACCTTTTGGGCAAACATTTCCTTTGTGTGGTTGAAATTATCAGAATGGACCCTTGGGGACAACTGGGCAGTAGTCTGAATGCTGATGTTTTAGATGGGAATATGGGGGATTAATTTGTTGCGTGTGGTTATGCCAGAGCAAGGTCTCTCCTTTTTGTCTCCTTCTCTCCCTTCCTTCCTTGTTTTTGATTGTGCTCTGCTCACCTCCTCCTGGTCCACACACCTTAGTAAGTGGTCATTGAATGCTGCTGTCCAGAAGGGGATTCTCTCTCCTCGGCTGCTTCCTGAGTAATAATCAAGGTAAAAGTGATGAAGTGGAAGGGGCGGGTAATTGGACCTATTTTGAAAACTCAAGATTCTGTCCTGACCATTCCTAGGCTTGACACATCTTCCTTTCCCTTAAAAGCAACCCCAGGCTAGCCCAAAGAAGGCCTGGAAGAGGTAAATGTAATTCTGGTTTGGCCACCTGGATTCTTTTGTTGGATTGACCTGACCTTAGGTCATTAGGATAGTGACCACTTGTCTTAGTACACAGCTCATTCAGCACCCTATTGTGGGCCACAACAACAAAAGTTGGGGATATAATGGATCTCTCCATGTTTTATGAAAATGCTTTTGTCACTCTTGCAATGGAAACTTCTGGATTAAAGATGTACATATGAGTAGGAGATTATTGGGAAAAGGGTGATGTTACATTTATTGGAAGGGCAGTTGAGGAAGGACATTGACCATGGCACCCACAGAGGGAATACCTTAGCCTGTACTTGTACTTAGAGGTACAGGGAAGGGAGGGACACTGATGAAATTTGTCTTTCAGAACCGCTTCTGGAGTCTTCCTCCCAAGAGCGAGGCACTGGTGCTGCTCTGTCAAACTGTTCAAGTGCCTTCATGTAACTGCTTGCTGTCTCTGCTGGCCCCTCCCACTGGCTCCAACCATGGCTTGGTCCCCACTCCCCTTAACCCCAGCTCCTGCACTTCCCATGCAAAGCACCTGCCAGCACCTCTGGATAACTTTCCCAACCACATTCTCATACTATTTGCTCAATCATTCCATGGGGCAAGAGAATGTCACCCGACTAGGAGTGTAGACAGACAGGACAAGTTGGACAGACAGCCCTCAGGCAGAATCTTTGAAAACAGGGACTCCATTATTGGCACTGAAAACCCTAAGTCTTACCACCCATGGAGAGGCCATATTGGAGCCAATCAACCTGTGCCCCTAGCTGATGTCCCATTTGGGGATCCCCAACAACTGTGGACAATACTTCCTTTCTAGGGGCACCATATGCATCCCAGGGACTGTAATTGTGAATTGTGTGGAAGCCAGATGTTACATTGTCTCCCTACTGTAAACACAGTGACCTTCCCAGACAGATAACTGAGTCATTATTTATGGGTACCCTATGAACTGTTTTCCCTATAATGGGACCCCTGCAATTAGAAAAGGAGGCATGAAATTTGACCCTGACTTCAGCCGACCCCACCGTGGCCTGGGACCTGGAAAGCATTCATGTCAGCCTCCCCTCACTGACCAGGGTTGTGATTGACGACAATAGAATTACCCTACACTTTTTCCTTGTAGGCCAAGATGGAGTCTCTGCAATTCCAAATACATCCTGCTCTACCTGGATCACTGCCTTGAGCTGGGTGGAAAGGTCAGTAGACAAATGTATCCACCTGGCTTTCTAACGTAGACCCAGGTTGTTGATGGCATCCGTTCACCTGGCTGGATGCAGGACCCTGGGGAGGTCATGGCTGAAGCCAGTGCTGCAGGTTAGTCTTGTCTCGCTGCATGGATCCTGTTGGTAGTAACCTTAATTAAATGCTATAGGAGACTAACTAAATCGATTTTGTCCCCCCTTCTATTGGTCAAATTAATCAGAGTGGCTGATAGAGTGATGCATTCATGGGAGGATTTGCCAGAAGCTAAGGCTATAAAAACCAGGGCTAGAGTTGGTTTGAGACAATTCTCCGTGGGTCTTTCAAGTTTCTGCATGGTTTGTGAGCAGAGCTACTGACTGCCTTTGTTCCAGATGATCTTTCCAAGGATGTTGTACTACAAGTATGAGAGATAGTATCTCTCTCTGAAACCAAGAGCAGGCAGGCTTAGTGTTCCTTAGGAAAGATTCACCTTCCCTCCACTTGGGGTTTCTCTCCTGTAGTGCAGGTGTGTGCAGGAGCCTTGTGGCCCTTCCTATGCTGCTCTGTAAGATTTGGAGCTTAGGGAGCCAATGCAAAAAAGCACTGCTTCTGGATCCTGCTACTTCTGTGAGTCATGAAATCTTTGATCTCTGACCCAGGAGTCTTGTGTCTTCTGCTAGCCTCCAAGCAGGGTAAAGTCATCTCAGACACCTCACAGTTCTTGATCACCATGTCTGGCCAGAACCATGCTTGAGTGTGGCATGTCTGTGAACATCATCCATCGTGTATGCATCATAGGAAGATAAAAGTCAGCCGCTCTTGACATCACCAGACCATACTGGATGATAGGTGTGGGGGTCACCACCCACCACTTTCCATGCAGGCGATCAGTTCTACATAAAGATCCAGGAGGCTGGCTGGAGAGGGCTGGAGGGGCCTCAGGAGTCAGACCATGTGGGTTTCTATCATGATCCTCCATACCCTACAGCCTCTGTTTTCCCATCTTTCAAGCAGGGATAACAACAGCACCTACTTTGGAGGGGTTTTGTGGGGATTCAATAGTATGGCTCCGCCCAGGAAAGCCCTGATGAAGGTAGAACCTGTTATTTGTGTTTACCATTGTTATTATCATCCATATCATTATTCTGCCCACCTGGACTTATTCTTTGTAAGGCTTGCCTCTCCCTCTGAACAGCCTGTATATAATCTAAGTCTATCTTTTCTGCACCAAAATTGGCCAATTTATGTGGCACCCCTCACCACCATCACTGGATGTGCCTCTAATCTAATTAGACTAATTTCAATTTCCTGGATTTAATTACTTTTAATTTAATTAATTTAGAATGCAGTATACTAGGTGATTAATTAGGAGACGTTACTGAGGGATTCGGAAGGGGAATTGCAGTATGTAAGTGTTTAAATATTATTGTGGCCATAGCCACCAGTTGTCACTTTACACAGGAGGCCGCTGAGGCCCTGGGAGGGGCAGAGCTTGGAGAACTGGGATGGGACAGGGACTCAAACAGAAGTCTCCTGGCAGCAAGCACAGAGCTCTTTCCTTTCACTGCTTTTGGCAACTCCCAGGGGAGGCAAAGAAGAGGCAGCTGATTCCAGTGACCAGCAAGTTGGAACTAAGTCATGAATTGTGGGAGGTGAGAACACACTTGGTCTTTTAATAGAGTGATATTTTACTGGGTTTTTCATGTACATAGTAAATAACCATAGGTCTCCCTCTGAGCTATCACACACTTCTGTTATTTTTCTTTTTTGCTACACACATTTACTGAGTACCTGGAATAATGAATAGTCATCACCATCATCATCATCTTAACAAACATGTATGTGGTGCTACATGCCAGATGTTGTTCTGAGTGCTTTTATATTGATTAGCTCATTTAATTGTCATCGGAGTTAAGTACTGTAAGTGAAGTACTGTTGCTTCCATTGTACTATTGCTTCCATTGTCTAGAGGACTATTGCTTCCATTGTCTACAGTACTATTGCTTCCATTGTCTAGAGGAGGGATCTGAGGCACAGAGTTAGCTCTGTCAGGAATATCTATTATTTGTGTTGTACAAAGGGACAAGTCCTAGTGAATTTCAGGCTTGTGCCAGGCAGGTGGGGGAGACAGTCTAGGGCTGGGCCCTTTAGGTCACACAGGTTTACCTACTCCACCTCTGAGAGGTAATAATAACACCAGCAAACACCTGCAGAGCCCTGACTGTGTGCCAGGTCTGCTTCTAAATCATGTTGTGTATTGACTCTGGACACACCTGCCCTACTCACTACTCCCTGAGGGTAGATTGAGCTATGGCTTTCTCCATATCTCTGTTTGTCAATCAGGACTTGAGACTACAGTTCTGATGGACCCTTGGAGGCAGAGCTGGGCCAGACCCTCTATCCTGAGCGAATCCTGCAGCATGAGCTAGATCCTTCACTCTGAAATCCAGCTCCAATTCCAAGGTTACTCATTTACCAAATGAGCCCATTGGGCATTTTCAGGGCTTTGACCCCTGTTCTCTTGGAATGTTGGGTTAGGATTCAGGTAAGAAGCCTGTGTGGTGTAGGACTTCACTCTGATGCATGAGCAATGCCTGCTAGGCCGGGACCCTCTTGCAAGGAGAAGTAAAGACACAAGAGCTGGCTTCAATATATTCCCTGTGTGGGGACTAGGACCACAGTGAGACTTTCCTCTTTATAAATGAATTTTCTAATAGTCTGAGCTGTCTTAGCTGCAATGGGCTTGTCAACAGGCCATCACTGGGGGTATCCAAACAGAAACCGATTGACAACAATTTGCTCACTTGGTCTTCTCTTCCTGGAAGGCTCATCTCTATCCTTTTTGTCAGTTAACTCCTATTCAACTTTTAAGACTCAGTCCAGGTGTCACTTCTTCTGGAAAGGCTTCCCTGTAAACCCCAACCCAGCCCCAGACTGGGCCAGATGTCCTTTGTGTTCCCATAATGTCTCAGGCATATCTTTATCATTACACCCACTATATATTGCAATGACCTGCTTATGAGTTTGTCTCCTCTAGGTTCTGTCTATGTCACCACCCTCTTCAATAACCAGGTGAGGCAGACATGATTTCCATTTGGAGGATGGAGAACCGAGGCTCAGGACCTCGCCCGTGCAGCCAAGAGGAGACAAAGATGGCTAGGTCTGGTTCCCAAGCCTAAAGACCATGATCTGTCCAGTGTGGAACACTGCAGGCCCCCAAGTTCTGTCATTTGTAAAGTCATGGGCTTGTGTGAGTCCCGAGCAATCAAAGCAGCAGAAGCAATGCTCCCAAGGGGTGCACGAGGGCCATGTTTGGAGCCATGCCAGCTTGCCAATCCTTGGCATACTCTGTACATAGCCAGATAACTACACAAGCTCACCTCATCTGCACAAACTCACTCTCTGAACACTTCTAAGGTCACCGAGAAGTCAGGGAAAAATGAGAACCAGGACAGTCAAAGCCTTTGCCTCTCCTGAAGCTATGGGGCTTGTTGCCAGAGCCAAAGCCCCTCTTAGCACTCTTATTACTTCATTTAACAAACATAAGGAGAGCCCGGCCCTCTGCTTTTAAGGGTGGATTCCATTACTATTAAGACTTCTGCGGCCCCTGAAAGATTAACTCAACAGTCACCCCTGTGAAAGCTGATCCAAGTGGAAAATCGAGTTAGAAAATTCCACCTTCCCTTCCCTCACACCTCAGCAGATTAAGGGGAAGGCCTGATGCTGAGTTATGGGGATTTATGGGAATGTGCAGTTGCTGGCTTTTAAACGCTCACTCTTTGGAATGTTGGCAACCTTGCTTCCTATAAATCGTTGCTGGTATTTCTTAGCCTTTCCTTGCCAGCAACGCGGAGGCCTGCAACACCTTTTCCGTGCAGTAGCCTGTGAAAATATTGAAGTCAGGCCCAGAAAAACACCAGCATTGAAAGGGGAAACTTTGATGTTTGCTAGTTCTTTTCAGACAACTCTTGCCAAATCTTAATTTTTCCAGTTTACAAGTAAGGGATTCTGACCATCTGTCTGCTGTCAACCGATGTTTGTTTGGATGAAGATTTTATTTTTTTCTCCCAATCTAGCACTCCTGTTCTTACAAGTAGTTTATTGGACTTCATAAATGTCAGCTTTTTGCAGGCATTTTGTAAGCAGCTTATGATTTAGTATTTAATCAAAATTGAGCAGTCAGCGTCTGTAATCAATCTGAAGCAGGAGTAACAATGAGATTGAAGCTTAAAATGCACCAGGACCACAATTTATGTCTCCCAACTATCGTTGTAAGAACTAAGTTTGCACTTGAAGGTCTGGGGTGGGGAGATGATGCAGGAAATAAACACTTATTGAGTACCTGTTGTGTGTCATTTTATGATTGTGTCAGTTATTAATTGCCAAAATAATACTGTGCAACAAACCATCCCAAACTCGGTGACTTAAAAAAATCAGTCTTTTTAGCTTGTTGGTCTGATGAGTCAGGTGGGAGGTCCTCTTGGCCTTGGCAGAGCTCTTTATGTGTTGGGGATGTGTTGGCTGCTGGGTGATCTTTGCTGGCCTCGTCTGGGACAACTAGGGCATATTGGCTCCATTCTGTGTGTTTCTCACCCTCCAGCAGGCTAGCTGAGGCATGTTCTCATGGCCATGGCAGAGTGCAAAAGTAAGCAAACCCAGTCTGTAAGCACTTTCTCAAATTTCTGCTTGTGTCACATTTGTTAACATCTCACTGGCCAAAGCAAGTGACATGGCCGAACTCTGAATCACAGAGTTCACGCAGGCTGCTCTAACAAAATTCCATAGACTAGGTAGCTTATAAACAACAAAAATTTATTTCTCAGAGATTTGGAGATTGGGAAGTCCAAGATCAAGGTGTGCAGACAGATTTGGTGTCTAGTGAGGACCCGCTTCTTTGTTCGTAGATGTTGCCTTCTCACTGTGTCTTCATGTGGCGAAATGGGCAAGGCAGTTCTCTGGGGCCTTTTTTCAAAAGGGTAGTAATCCCATTCATGGGATTACTCATGACCTAATCATCTCCCAAAGGCCCCATCTTCTAATACCATCATGTTGGTGTTTAGGTTTCAGCATATACGTTTTGGGAGAAGGCAAACATTCCACCCACAGCAGGGAGAAAGACTCTCTCTCTTCACAGCAGGAGGACTTACAAAGTCACAGGCAAAGTTCATGGGCACAGAGAAGGGTGAAGAATCAGGGCCCTAAAACAATCAGTCTATCACAGTGATGCTGGAAATCCCTGAAGGAGGTAATTATTATAACCGCCATCTCCAGACGGAGAAATTCAGAGATTAAACCATTTGCCCAAGGGTTCTCGACAGTTAGCAAAGAAGTCAGAATTCTTTCTTGGCCTAAATCTTAAGCAGTTTACTTTTGTCTCTCTGAATCTACTTTTCTCTAGACATAGGTAAAGCAAGAGTAGTGGGAGGCTCTCAGAAATCATCAATTCGCCACCCTCATTTTAAACATGGCCTCTAGAAGGGGAGCGAATTGCCTAAGGTCTTACAGGGGAATGGAAGGACACAGGAAGGCCCAGCTTTCAGGACAGCACTCTTCCTGCGCCCAGGAAGAGCCGTGCATCTCCAATCTTTCACAGTGCTGTCTTCTGCAGGAAGCTGCTGAGGACTTTGAACTCCCCCTCTCAGACTTGAATACAGTATCCACTAGGCAGGCTCTACAGAGACCTGGCTTGGTCATGGCAGCCTTAAGAAAATGTAGCAAAATTACTCTAAGGGGCTCCCAGATGGAGCAAGGATGGCAAAGGCCTTTGCTAGGTTTACTAGAGAGGCATATTGAATGTTGGCAGCCTTTTATGACATCATGATTAAATTCCTTCCTTGGTTGGTCCTATGAAATGAATTCATATGTTGAAGCCTAAACTCCCAATGTGACTGTATCTGGAGATAAGACCTTTAGGAATTAATTAAATTAAATGAAGTCATAAGGGTGGGGCCCTAATCCAACAGTACTGTGCCCTTATAACAGAGAAGAAGGCCGGGCATGGTGGCTCATGCCTGTAATCCCAGCACTTTGGGAGGCCAGGGTGGGTGGATCGCCTGAGGTCAGGAGTTCAAGACCAGCCTGGCCAACATGGTGAAACCCTGTCTCTACTAAAAATACAAAAAATTAGCTGGGCGTGGTGGCACATGCCTGTAATCCCAGCTACTAGGGAGGCTGAAGTGGGAGAATTGCTTGAACCTGGGAGGTGGAGGTTGCGGTGAGCCGAGATCATGCCATTGCACTCCAGTCTGGGCAACAAGAGTGAAACTCTGTCTCAAAAACAAAACAAAACAAAAACAATAAACAAACAAAAAACAGAGAAGAAAGAGATATTTCTGCCGTGTGAGAACATCACAAGAAGGTAACTGTTCGCAAGCCAGGAAGAGAGCCCTCACCAGAACCCAGCTGTGCTGACACCCATCATAATCTCAGACTTCTGGCCTCCAGAACTGTGAAAAAATATGTGTATGTTGTTTTAGCCACCATCCAGTCTATGGTATTTTGTTGTAGCAGCCTGAGCTGATTATGACAGATGAGGAATCAGATTATCAAAGGGTCATTTATGTATTCACTCAGGCATTCAACTTATATGTATTAAGTATATACCGTGTGCAAACTCTCCATGCTACAGTGGGGTGGGAGGCTGGGATTTTCCCTGGAGAGTGGAGGAGTGGCTTTTCATGTTGCCCTGATTTGCCCCCAGTTCTCCATCTAAGCTGCCAGCAAAGCCTTCACTATGTAGGTTTTTCCCTCCTGGCTTAATGAGCTACTGGCTTTGGAGGAGGCTGGGATGGCCACCTGACTGACTGTCCCTAGGGCAGTTGGCTGGAGTAGTCCGTTTTTATGCTGCTGATGAAGGCATACCTGAGGCTGGGAAGAAAAGAGGTTTAATTGGACTTACAGTTCCACATGGCTGGTGAGGTCTCATAATCGTAGCAGAGGGTGAAAGGCACTTTTACATGGTGGCAGCAAGAGAGAATGAGGAAGAAGCAAAAGGAAACCCCTGATAAACCAATTATATCATCTCATGAGACTTTTCACTGTCACAAGAATAGCATGGGAAAGACCAGCCCCCATGATTCAATTACCTCCCCCTGGGTGACTCCCACAACACATGGGAATTCTGGGAGATACAATTCAAGTTGAGATTTGAATGGGACACAGCCAAACCATATCATTCCCCCTGGCCCTCCAAACCTCATGTCCTCACATTTCAAAACCAATCCTGCCCTCCCAACAGTCCCCCAAACTCTTAACTCATTTCAGCATTAACCAAAAGGTCCACAAGTCCCAAGTCTCATCTGAGATAAGGCAAGTCCCTTCCACCTGTGAGCCTGTAAAATCAAAAGCAAGCTAGTTACTTCCTAGATACAATGAGGGTACAGATAATGGGTAAATACAGCTGTTCCAAATGGGAGAAATTGGCCAAAACAAAGGGGTTACAGGACCCATGCAAGTCCAAAATACAGCAGGGCAGTCAAATTTTAAAGCTCCAAAATGATCTCTTTTGACTCCAGGTCTTACATCCAGGTCACACTGACGCAAGAGGTAGGTTCTTATGGTTTTCAGCAGCTCTGCCTTTGTGGCTTTGCAGGGTACAGCCTCCCTCCCAGCTGCTTTCATGGGCTGGCATTGAGTGTCTGTGGTTTTTCCAGGTGTACGGTGCAAGCTGTTGGTGGATTCTGGGATCTGGAGGACAGTGGCCCTCTTCTTACAGCTCCAATAGGCAGTGCCCCAGTAGGGACTCCGTGTCGGGGCTCTGACCCCACATTTCCCTTCTGTACTGCCCTAGCAGAGGTTCTCCATGACGGCCCCATCCCTGCAGCAAACTTTTGCCTGGGCATCCAGGAGTTTCCATACATCTTCTGAAATCTAGGTGGAGGTTCCCAAACCTCAATTCTTGACTTCTGTGCACCTGCAAGCTCAACACCATGTGGGAGCTGCCAAGGCTTGGATCTTCCACCCTCCAAAGCCACAGCCTGAGCTGTATGTTTGACCCTTTCAGTCATGGCTGGAGTAGCTGGGACACAGGGCACCAAGGCCTTAGGCTGCACACAGCATGGTGACCCTGGGCCCAGTTCACAAAACCACTTTTTCCTCCTGGGCTTCTGGGCCTGTGATGGCAGGGGTTGCCGTGAAGGTCTCTGATATGGCCTGGAGACATTTTCCCCATGGTCTTGGAGATCATCATTAGGATCCTTGCTACTTATGCAAATTTCTGCAGCTGGCTTGAATTTCTCCCCAGAAAATGGGTTTTTCTTTTCTACTGCATCATCAGGCTGCAAATTTTCTGAACTTTATGCTCTGTTTCTCTTTTAAAATGGAATGCTTTTAACAGCACCCAAGTCACATTTTGAATGCTTTGCTACTTAGAAATTTGTACCACCAGATACCCTAAACCATCTCTCTCAAGTTCAAAGTTCCACAAATCTCTAGGGCAGGGGCAAAATGCTTCCAGTCTCTTTGCTAAAACATAACAAGAGTAACCTTTGCTCCAGTTCCCAACAAGCTCCTCATCTCCATCTGAGGCAGCTCCCAAAAGGTTCCTCATCTCCATCTGAGGCCACCTCAGCCTGGACCTTATTGTCCATATCACTATCAGGTTTTTGGTCAGTCATTCAACAAGTCTCTAGAAAGTTCCAAACTTTCTCACACATTTTACTATCTTCTTCTGAGGCCTCCAAAGTGTTCCAACCTCTGCCCGATACCCAGTTCCAAAGTTGCTTTCACATTTTCAGGTATCTTTTCAGCAACACCCCACTCCTGGTACCAATTTACTGTATTAGTCCGGTTTTATGCTGCTGATAAAGACATACCTGAGGCTGGGAAGAAAAAGAGGTTTAATTGGATTTACAGTTCCACATGGCTGGGGAGGTCTCATAATCATGGTGGAGGGTGAAAGGCACTTCTTACATGGCAGCAGCAAGAGAGAATGAGGAAGAAGCAAAAGCAGAAACCCCTGATAAACCCATCAGATCTCATGAGACTTAGTCACTATCATGAGAATAGCATGAGAAAGACCAGCCTCCATGATTCAAGTACCTCTGCCGGGTCCCTCCCACAACACTTGGGAATTCTGGGAGATGCAATTCAAGACAGAATTTGAATGGGGACACAGCCAAACCATATCAGGGCCTTTGGCAGAGACTGTTGTGCCTGCTGTTGCTCTCCTGTGGAGCTCCTCAATAGGTCATGTGGGCAGTGAGTTTTTTTTGGTACATCAAATATGATGTTTCCTAAAGACTTCAGAATCATGGATTCCAATGCCTGGTCAAGTGATCCTAACACCATAGCTTGATTTTTGTCTTGTTTTTCTATTCCCAGCTGAGTGTCATGGAAAATGCCCCAGGAGCTGGAAGGAAATTGCTAACCAAGAGCAGAAAACACTGACTGGCTAGACCAGCAGGGAGGGGCAGTGTCTGAAATGGATACAGGGAGGAAAAAGATGGTTCAGCTTCTTTTTTCTTTCTAGCTCAAAGGATCAGCCTCACTTTATAAAGTTTGGTAAAAATTTTCATGAGTGAAGCTCATATGATAAACAAAGGTATTCCCAATAATTGAACTTGCCAGTGCCCCCTGTGTCCACACCCTGTGGCTGTTAGGGCACCTCTGTAAGACTCAGTTTCCTTCTCTGTAAAATGGTGGGACACGGTTTATAATGTGGTTGCTATAAATGCCTACAGTCACACCCAAGAGGATGTCTTGCTCATGGATATTAAATTAATATTCTTTCATTGGCCCTTCCCTGCTAGACTCCCTCCCTACCTCTGTCTATCTGAATCTTCCTAGCACTTTCTTATCCCTTCAATAATTCAACATTAATGGTTTATTAAACAGAGCCTTCCTAATGGGCTGTTATTGACCTGATGCAGAGCAAATCTTCCACTGTGGGGTTGCCCAGGCCCTTGACAGGAGAGTAACTGATGGGAGAGGCTGACTGTGATGGTGTTCTCGGGCCAAGAGGGAATGGCCCAAGAGCAAATCCTAATACTGTTACCTTCATGCCTTGGAAAACCTCTTAACCTCCTGAAACCTCAATTTCTGCAAAATGGGATTCATATCACCTTTGCCATGAGGTTTCTATGAAATTGAATCAATGTAGGTGAACCTCCTAGCTCCTCACACCTCCCCACTCTGCGCCTAGGGCTCAGGCCAGCCCCAGCTCTGGGGAATGTGTTCAGTTATCCACCTGGTCTATCTGCGGGACTACAACACCCATGTATCTCCCTTGCTTGAAGTCTCACCATAACAGATTTGTTCCTTTGAGTCCACCTCCAGAAGTCTCTGTGGTAAAGAGAAGTGCCTTTGTCCACCACAAGCCCCTGGTGGCTGACGACTAAGAGGCAGGGCAGTGAGATGGAGGGAGCCCTGAGGGAGGGGTTGGGATTCCTGGCACTAGTCATGCTGACTTTCTTGCTACGTGACCTTGGATAAGTCACTTTCCATCTCCGGACTTTAGTTTCCTCAGATGTAAAATCAAAGGCTTAGGTTGTATGGAATCTAGGATTTGCTCCATCTGCAACCACAATTAGCTCAAAATATTAGTTTTGAGATTCCCAGTGGGGTTCCAAAGAAGGGGATCTCAGACATGTCAGTTTCGATGAGACATGTGGTGAAAGGGCAGAAGCAAGGGCCAGGGGCAGGCTGCCTTTGTACGGAACCAATGCTTACTCACACCTGTCACACTCGATGGCTCCAATCAAGGCTCCTCATTGGCTGGCTGATTCATTGATTCATTCATTTTCTTTATAGAGTTTTCTCTGACCACACCAGCCCAGAGTGTTCTCTCCCCTCTTTGACCCTCCATGGCCCTTCCTGTGACATCTCCTCCATTATCCTTTGGTGGCCTTGGCTATTCTGCAGATGGCCCTGTACCTGTCATACTTTCCCTCACTGTTCCCTCTTCTTGCAAGTCCCTTCCTCTCTATCTCCCAAACTCCTGGCCATCACTTCAGGGACTGCTCAAAAGTCACCTTCTCCAGGAAGTCTTCCTAGGCTTCTAATTCTAAACTCTCTCCCCTGTGCTCTCTCTATGCCTATTAATATCCTTCAATGTCTTCCCATTGACACAGAACTAGGCCAAAACCCTCAGTGTAGCTCCCCAGGCTCATCTCTCATCACTCTCTTCCCCCGCAACCCAGCTCTAGTTATGCCAGGGAGTCTCTCAACTCCACTCAGGTGCTTAAGTTGCTGCTTCTGCCTGGGGGCTCTATTCCTCACCCTGTTCCCATAGTGAGGATACTTAATGACTTTAAGACTCAGCTCATATCCCTGGTACTGGCAGGAGTTTATTGAACTCATCTTCTGGTCTGTATTCTCTGTTTCGTAGTGAGCCAGTCTTGTCCATGACTGCAGTGACACTGGCTTATTTGTCTCTGAAGTCACACTGCCTTGCCTATGACCTAGCACATAGTAGGTGCTCAGTAAACATAGCAGTGAAAGGAATCCTCGTATGTGTCCATCACAGCACCCAGGAGGGGCTGTTATTGACCTGCCCTGGACAGGTGTGTTGATGGGGCAGTGGATTAAAAGCTTTGTTTGCAGCAGCCCTGGGATTTGGAGTCTTGGAACAGGCTGATCTGGAGAAATGGCTCCTGTACTAAGTGTACATATGTATATGAGTGTGTGTGTGTGTGTGTGTGTGTGTGTGTGTGTGTGTCTTCTCTGTGGGCATGTATGCTGGGGTCTGGATATCTGCCATGCATGGGGGAAGATTGAGTTCCCCAGGATCTCATGTCTCTCCCCTGACTTCCAGAGGTTTCCTCCTGGGCACTAAACCACCAGCCCAACAACTCCAGAGTCAATACAGAGATGCTCTTGGAGGGCCCTCCACAGTCCTGTAAAAGAGACAACGTTCTTCAGAGGACCAGGGCATGGACTTGGAGCTGGATAGCCCTGTGCTCTGTAGCCTTGGACAGGTCTCTGATATCTTGGCTCCTCTGGGGTAATTACTTATGCAGGGCTTCTCTTGTGCCAGGTGTTGAGTGAAACCCCTTGCTTGGATTATCTGATTTAATCTTCATAAACACCTTAGGTTTTGCAGAAGGGAAACTGAGGCACAAAGCGGTTAGATTACTTGTCTTAGATCAAAAAACAGCTGAGTAAAGAGCAGGGGGCTGAAGTCAAGCAGTCTTAGCTCAAAGCGCATGTTCTTGAGTGCTGCACCCCACTCCTTTTCATAGAGTAAAGCCTGATGATACCTTCTTGTAGGATACTGAATTAATATAAATTAAATGGCATCTATGAAATGACTGGAACACTACAGAAATGCAATCTATGGAGGCTGATATAATCAATATCTATTTCAACCCTCCTCTCTTAAAGGTGAGGAAACTGAGGCATGGTTTATATACATGACTTGATAGTCAGCGTTGAGTATGGTAGTCTCAAAGTCATGTCTGCTGATGGCCAACCAGTTTCAGTTTTCATTATGCTGTGCCTTGTCAGGTAAAAATTAGAAAGAAAGGTAACCTAATATTTTGGAGGAATCAAGACTAAGAGAAAGGTGGGGTGGATAGGCACTTGAGGATATGTGAGGACTTTTCCCCATAACTTCCCAACCACCAACGATTTAGGTCCTAGGATCCCAATTTGCAATTTGCATATCTGGTCTCAGAGAAGTAGGTGACTTGCCTGAGGCCTTTGCATGATAAGAGAGGGCCATGATTTGAACTCTGGCCTGTCTAAGTTAGTGATTTTTTCCTACATTCCCAGCTCAAAAGTGGGGCCCAAGATTAAGCCCACAGTAGACACAATTGTGACTACAGATTGTGGTGGGGATGGGGCGGGCAGTCTCTTTATTGCTGCTCCTCCTTCATAGCATCAGGGGAGCTCCTGGGGCTGGGGAACAGGTACTCGGAGGGGCAGTGTGCCCTAGAGAAAGGGGCAGCTCTTGAAACAGGAAGTGGCTGGACTTTTTCTTGAGCACCAAGGAAGCCAAGAACAGCCATTTGGTCTTCATGTATCCAAGATAGCCTCTAGGGCCCCTTCTGCCCAGCAGGGTGACTTTCAAATGTCGGGAAGGTGATGTTGTACCCATAGGGTTGAGGGGTCATATGCCAGTGGCAGATAGAAAATATCTCAGAAATCTCAGGCTTTATTTTAAAAATGCGTGCAGAATTTAAGGAAATCTATTTCTTTCCCACAGCATATCCACGTGTGCATGTATGTTTGTGTGTGGGTATGCATAAGTGTGTATGCACATCGCAATTCTCTAACTAACCACTGTTCTAGGAAGAGCTGCTGTGCCTTTGGTATAGCTCCCTATACTCCCTGGAACCCTGCCATGTATTCATCACCCTCACTCTGGGATATGTGTACTACCCAGCAGGTCAAATACTTCCATTTCCTGAGCCTAGGGAGGAACTGGGCAAACAGTTAAGGGCTAAAGGGGCATAGTTCATAGTGAGGATCTGCTCAGTGTGGCTGAGCTGAAACAGGTCAGGAAGTTACAAGATTGCCTGATGTCACCCAGTAACTGTAAGACTAGAACTCTGGTCCCTAAGTCCTAGTTCAGCACACATTTCCACCTCCTCTGGGCCAGCTCCTGGGCAACAGAATATACTTGGTCATACTTCTTGCCTTGTCTGCCTACCTGGCACATTGCTGGGAAACAGGGCTTCTCTCTGGGAGCCCAACATTCTGGCAATCAAATATAAAGTATGACTTGTGCCCACCCCACTCCTCCCCACTACTGTGGCTGAAACGCTGTGATTCCCACACCTGGGCTCTCCCACTTGCCCTTTTGGATTTCTAGACAGGCAAGTGAGAAATATGTGATCTGTTTGGACTTGAGCAAGATATTTGGCAAGGTGTCTCATGCGCATCTCAAGGTGAAGAGTTAGGACTGGATGCTAGTGCAATTCAATAGATTAGGAACCGGTTAAAGGGCCATACCCAAATGGAATGGATAAATCTAACTACATCAGCCTAGATGAGGGTCTCTAGTGGCATGTCAAGGGACTCTGTCTTTGGCCATATCTTATTCAGCCCTTTTATCAATGACTGGAATGAAATAGGTGAGGGAAGGGTGAACATTTATTGAGAAACTCCTGTGTCAGCAACTATTGCCAATATTTTACAAAGCTTATTTATCTTATCCCTCACAGCCTGACTGTAAGAGAGGTTGTATTACCCTTTCACAGACCAGGAAATAAATATGTAACCAAGGGCAAGCAACTTGCCCAAGGTCTCACAGCAATTAATGCAATAAGATTTGGCATCCAGACTGGGATCTGAAGGCTGGGGCTCTGTGTCACATGTGGCACTAAACTGTCTTATCACCGAGGGGCAAGTGGGAAGGTCAGAGGGATGGACAATACCAGGAAGGTGAGAGGCAGGTCTGAAGAGGACTGAAATTAACACTGGGCCAAAATAACTGCACACCAAGATGCAAGGTGATAGAGACCTTTGCTCACACTGGGGCTCAGATGCTCACCAGACACACACAGGATGTGGGATACCTGGGTCAACAGCACAAGTGAAAAGGTGTTGGGTTTTTAGTTGACAGGAAGTTTCATATGAGTCAACGGTGGGATGTGGTAGCCAACAGAGCTAATGTCACCGTGGCCTCCACAAGTGGAGGTACAATGAACAGAGCGAGGGAGGAGCTACTCCTTAGTCAGCGTGTGCCCAGGAAATGGAGCTCAGACCTGGTGACCTCAGTGGAAGACAAGCATCGAAAACCCGCCGAGCTCTCGGAGGGCAGGGAAGAGGGGCTTCTTGCGGTTGCTGCTGCACATTCCTCTCCTCATTCTTTGTCATTCCCAAAATTACCAAAGCTTATTAATACCTTTCTGAGAAGTTATGGCCACTTCTTGATTTTTATGCTTTTGCCTTTCAAGCCCTAAGAATATGCTACTCATTCAGTTTTGAATTTTTATTAATGTAACTTGAGTGAATGCAGGGAGTCCTTGTGACCCAGTCTCTACATTAAGTTATAGTCAAAGAAGCACAATCCAATAACCAAAAGAAAGTAAGAGATTTTCAATCTTTATGCACATCTCTCAAAGGAATGAAAAGAATGAGACCTGCTTTTAGTTCTCTGTCTCATTTCCTTATGCTTCAAAAAACATCCACTCTACGAAACACTCCAAACTCTCCTATATCCAGTCAATCTCTTGTGCCATCTCCCTTTGGTTCTTCCATATCTCCATTATTTAGATGGGCTTAACATCTGTGTTTTCATTTTCTTTTCCTTTTTCTCCTCCTTGACTCCACTCTTCTTTAGTTTTCTTTCTAGTTTACTTCTGACCCAAATTCCTTTTTACAAAGGAGAAGTCAGGAACTGACCTAGCAAACCAGAATACTACCCCTTCCCTCCTGTCTCTGCAACACTGCCCATCTCTCCCCATCCTCCCCATCCTGGGAACCTGGATGGCCAAGATGGAACTCTTTTTTGAGAGCTGGGGGAGGAGAAATGGAGCAGGCAAGGAAGACAATTTTGGTGGTGGGTGGTAGCAAACATGGTGTTGGAAAAGATGGTGGGGAGGCTGGGAACACTCTACATACCAACCTTGTCCTCATCACATTAGCATGTGGGCACTGTGGGTGGAAGAGCCTGGCCACTCGTGCGTGACAAACTCCAACACAGACTGCCATGCAAGAGCTACTTGTTGTAGTGAATGGCAGCAAGGAGAGGCCCCTCCTTACCCCTGAGATCCCCATTGCCATGGATGGTTCATTTTCATTACCTTGCTGGTCTCCTTTTCTTTGCAGAGTTGACTGTTTCTGTAATAGCATACCTTGAGATCTACTCAGAAATGGCAGACTGGGAGAGATGGCACTCCCACTTATTCCACGTGCTCTCCTACACTTCCCAGCCTCCTAGGTGAGGGCTGTGTGGCTTGTTCTGACCAACGCAGGCACACCTTGGGGATATGCAGGTTCCATTCCAGACCACCCCCAACAAAGTGAGTATCTCAATAAAACAAGTCACACATTTTTTTTTGGTTTCCCAGTGCACATAAGTTATGTTTACACTGTACTATACACTATTAAGTGAGCAATAACATTATTCCTAAAAAAAGTACATACCTTAATTAAAAATACTATATTGCTAAAAAATACAAATGATCATCTGAGGCTTCAGTGAGTTGTAATCTTTTTGTTGATGGAGGGTCTTGCCTTGAGGCTGATGGCTGCTGACTAATCAGGATGGTGGTTGCCAAAGACTGAGGTGGTGATTTCTTTTCTTTTTTTTTTTTTTTTTTTTGAGACGGAGTCTCACTCTGTCACCCAGGTTGGAGTGCAGTGGCACAATCTCGGCTCACTGCAAGCTCCACCTCCTGGGTTCACGCCATTCTCCTGCCTCAGCCTCCCAAGTAGCTGGGACTACAGGCACCCGCCACCATGCCCGGCTAATTTTTTTGTATTTTTTTTAGTAGAGACGGGGTTTCACCGTGTTAGCCAGGATGGTCTTGATCTCCTGAGCTCGTGATCTGCCCGCCTCAGCCTCTCAAACTGCTGGGATTACAGGCGTGAGCCACTGAATCTGGCCAGTAATTTCTTAAAAGAAGATAACAATGAATTTTATCACATTGATGGACTCTTTCTGTCAAGAAAGTTTTCTCTGTAGCATGCGATGCTGTTTGATAGCATTTTATCCACAGTAGAACTTCTTTAAAAATTGTAGTCCATCCTCTCAAATCCTGCCATTGCCTTATCGACTTATGCAATGTTCTAAGTCCTTTGTTTTCATTTCAACAGTGCTCACAGCATCTTTACTAGGAGTAGATGCCATCTCAAGAGACCACTTTCTTTGCTCATTCATAAGAAGTAACTCCTCATCTGTTCAAGTTTTATCATGAGATTGCAGTAGTTCATTCCCATCTTCGGGCTTCACTTCGAATTTTAGTTGTCTTGCTATTTCCAGCACATCTGCAGTTACTTCCTCCACTGAAATCTTGCACCTCTATAATTCATCCTTTAAGATTACAACCAACTTCTTCCAAACTCCTGTCCACATTGATATTTTGACTTCCTCCCATGAGTCATGAATATTCTTAATGGCATTTCGAATGGTGAATTGTTTCCAGAATATTTTCAATCAACTTTGCCCAGATCCATTAGAGGAATCACTATCTATGGCAGCTATGATCCTATGAAATGTATTTCTTAAATAATAAGACCTAAAAGTGAAAATGTCTCCTTAATCAATGGACTATAGAATGATGTGTTAGCAGGCATAAAAACAACATTAATCTCCTTGTCCATCTCTATCAGAGCTCTTGCGTGACCAGGTGCATTGTCAATGAGCAGTGATATTTTGAAAGCAGAAATCTTTTTTCTTCTGCAGTAGGTCTAAATAGTGGGCTTTAAATATTCAGTAAACCATGCTGTAAACAGATGTGCTATGATCCAGGCATTGTTGTTCCAGTGATAGAGCATAGGCAGGGTAGATTTAGCATAATTATTTGGAGTTTTGGAATGATAAAAGAGTATTGGCTAATGTAAAGTCACCAGTTGCATTAGCCCCTAACAAGAGAGTCCCCTTGTTATTTGAAGCTTTGAAGCCAGGCATTGACTTCACTCTGGCTAGGAAAACCCTAGATGGCACCGTCTTCCAATAGAAGGCTGTTACATCTATGCTGAAAATCTGTTTTTTAGTGTAGCCACCTTCATTAATGATTTTAGCTAGATCTTCTGGATAACTTGCTGTAGTTCTACATTATAGCACTTGGTGCTTCACCTTGCACTTTGATGTTCTGGAGATGGCTTCTCTCCTTAAACCCCATGAACCAACCTCTGCTAGCTTCCAACATTTATTCTGCAGCTTCCTCAGCTCCCTCAACCTTCATAGAATTGAAAGAGTTAGAGCATTGCTCTGAATTAGACTTTGGCTTAAGAGAATGTAGTGGCTGGTTTGATCTTTCATCCAGACCACCCAAACTTTCTCCATATCAGCAATAAGGCTGTTTCACTTTCTTATGACTCATGTGTTCACTGGAGTAGCACTTTTCATTTCCTTCAAGAACTTTTCCTGGCAGGACTTGATGGCTCACGCCTGTAATCCCAGCACTTTGGGAGGCCGAGGGGGGTGGATCACGAGGTCTGGAGTTTGAGACCAGCCTGGCCAACATGGTGAAACACCATCTCTACTAAAAATACAAAAATTAGCTGGGCATGGTGACAGGCACCTGTAATCCCAGCTACTTGGGAGGCTGAGGCAGGAGAATCGCTTGAACCCAGGAGGCGGAGGTTGCAGTGAGCTGAGATCGTGCCATTGCACTCCAGCCTGGGCAACAAGAACAAAAGTCTGTGTCAAACAAAACAAAACACAAAACAGAACTTTTCCTTTGCATTCCCAACTTGGCTAACTGGTGTGAGAGGCCTGGCTTTCAACTTCTCTTGGCTTTTGACATGCCTTCCTCACAAGCTTCATCATTTTTAGCTTTTGATTGAAAGTGAGAGATGTATAACTCATTTTTCCACTTAAATACTTAGAGGCCATTTTATGGTTATTAATTGGGCTAATTTCCATATTTTTGTGTTTCAAGGAATGGGGAGGCCGAAGGAGAGGGAGAGAGAGAGAGAGATTGGCCAGTAGGAGCAGTCAGAACACACAAAACATTTATTAATTAAGTTCGCTGTCTTACATGGGTGCAGTTCATGGTGCCCCAAAATAATTACAATAGTAGTATCAAAGATCACTGATCACACATCACCATAACAGATGTAATAATAATGAAAAAGTCTGAAATATTGCAAGAATTACCAAAATGTGACACAGATACAGGAAGTGTGCACATTCTATTGGAAAAACGGCACCAACAGACTTGCTCTACACAGGGTTGCAACACATTTTCAATTTGTGAAAAACACACAATATCTGTGAAGTGCATTAGGCAAAGTGCAATAAAATCAGGTATGCCTGTAGAATGAGGCTCATGCAGTTAAGAGCTGGTGTGGCTCCTTCTTGTCTTTCATGGGGTGATGACTTGGAGGCCCTGCATGCCCAATGGCCTGCAGAATGGAGGAGGGCCCCCCACTCCATGGCATTCTCCATGAGCAAGAAATAAACTTTCATTATTTTAAATCTCTGAGATTTCAAGGTTGTTACTTCAGCATAGCCTGGCCTATTCTAGCGAATACCCAGCATGTTGGAGTTCACTGAGTAATTGCTGCTCTTGAGTTCTTTAACACCATGAAGGAAAAAGCTGCCTCTTGAGCCACCCAGGGCAGCTGATTGACACTTTCCCTCACTCTCATCATCCAGCCCAGATGGCACTTCCTGTTTGGTAACACCTCACGTGGGCTCCTTCGTCCCCCACCAACTCTGCCAGTCACCATCCTACACAGTCAAATGTGCACAGTATTAGAGGTTTGCCAAGAACACATCCTTGTGTCTGCCAAGGAGCGTCTGTTTGAGGAAGAACATTCTAACAGAGAATGTTCAGAGACAAAATGCTGGCTGTGGGAGACAGTCAAATCTTTGTCTCTATGATGAGCAAGTGGAGGCTGGATGGCCACTGTGGATAGGGGGCAGGGGTCCTGAAGATGGGATGCCAGTCTCAAATGGGGAGGGGTTGGGCTGGGAGGGGCAGGATGAACAGGATGATTTTTAAGTCCCTTCCAACCCGGAGAGTCCCCACCTTACTGCCTAACTCAGTATTTTTTTTTGAAAGTGCATGAATGAATACATTTCAGTCACAAAGAAAGTAAAGGACATATGAAATAAAATAGCCTGACTTAATGAGCAAATAAGAATTATAACACAGATTCTTTCTGAAAGGTGTAGCCTCATGAGATCAATGTTCTCAGCCCTCATGAGGCTGACGGATGGTGAAGAGTGGTCAGGAAGGCATGTGACGCATATCCGTAATTTACACGCCAGCCACAAAGAGGGCTGAGCTCAGGGAGGAGTCAGAGCCTTGAGACAGGCTGAAGCCATCATGATAACAGCCCCTCACAAGGACACCTGGTGCTTTGTCATGCACAAAGTGCTCCCCCTGACATCCTGAGTGCTCAGAAACTATTTTCTCTGAGCTTTTAATCATAGATCATAGATTATCCTATATCTCTGAGCTCTTCTTATCATAGCCTCAGGAGAGAAGAACTGCTATTCCTATTTTATAGATGGGTAGGCAGTTTTCAGCAATTTCCCCAAGATCACATAGTGAGTAATGGGGAGATCCAAGACTTGAACCCAGATCCTGTTACACAAAGTGGTGGGTTTTAAAATAAGAGAATACACTTACTCCAGGCACTGGAAGCTGAAATTGCAATTAGTTCACATGCTCCCAGGTTCCTGAGAACTTCCACTTTTGTGTGTAATGTTGATTGTGGACAGATATTATAGGGACAGGCTGACTCTGAACTGCCTTGAAGACAAGAAGGATTTTCTTGGGAAAAGCAATGGACTGGGAGACAGAGAGTCCTGCAATACAGGCCCTGAATCTTTTTCTGACCCACTTCATTACCAAGAAACCTCAGTTTCCTCATCTGAAAGTATGAGGAAAGATGTTGATCTGGTCTACCATGAAGAATTTCTGTGAGGACCCAATGCGAGGATGGGGTGCACATATTTTGAAAACCAATAAAAAGCTGTAAAGAACTATAAAAAGCTGGGGTTCTTGTTTCAATTAAGAATGCATTTTGCTAGGCCAGGCACAGTGGCTCACACCCGTAAATACCAGCACCTTGGGAGGTCAAGGTGGGTGGACCACCTGAGGTCAGGATTTCAAGACCAGCCTGAACAATATGGTGAAATGCTGTCTCTACTAAAAATACAAAAATTACGTGGGTGTGGTGGTGGGCACCTGTAGTCCCAGCTACTCGGGAGGCTGAGACAGGAGAATTGCTTGAACTTAGGAGGTGGAGGTTGCAGTGAGCTGAGATTGCACCACTGCACTCCTGCCTTGGCGACAGAGTGAGAATGCATTTAGCTGCAAGTAACAGAGCAGCCAGCTACAGTGGTTTTAACAGATGATGCTCTGATTTTCCTATGACATAAGAAGTGCAGGGTGGGTAGTACAGGGCAGGAGAGGATGATTTAACAATGTTAATGGGGGCCTAGCCCTTTTCCCCTCTGTTCAAATTCCATCCTCACACATGCTACCTTATATGCACAAGATGGATACTGCCCCTCCAGGCTTTACGTTCCAGTTGCAGGTGGGAAAAAGAAGGGAGAAGGAGGAAGAGTTGGTACCTACATTACGAATGCAAAAGTTTTCTTAGAAATCCAATAACTGTAATATTGGCCAGAACTGTAATCAAATGGTCACCCTCTAGGTACAAGGGAGGCTGGAAGAATGAACATTTTTGGCTGGGCACACCACTAAACAAATCCAGGGTTTTGATGGAAAGGAAGGGGTGGGGATGGATTGCAGGTGACAGCTGGTGGTGCCTACCACAAGCTCCAATACCAAGATGGGCACTGAATTCACAGGGATCTTTTAAATTTAGTTTCTGGATTTGAGTGAAAGCAAATTGGGTTGCCTCATCCTTCGAAGGAAAAGTGGATCCATAGTATTCTACTGTCAGAAAGGGAAATAGAGTCACCTTGAAGACAAGAGGTGAGAGAGTGCTGCAGGTCTGGAGGGCCAAGTGGATAGAAGCTCAGCATGACCTCCCTCTCTCTGTCTCCCCTTTGTTCACTTTCATTAGTCCCGTTCACTTGGGCTGGGAGAGCTGGATCCGGGGAGCTCATTAATAGCCTCTGGGTTTGTGTGTGTCTCCACCCGAAGAAGTCTAACCACAGACTTCCTCTTGACTCTTGGCAACAGGGAGAAAACAAAACCACAGCAGCTTTCATTGCTGAAAAAGACAAAACTGACTCGTTTGCTTAATAAGCCCAGACGGAGGAACTTTATTTCTGGGAGGAAGTGCTGAAGACTCCGGTACAGGCCGGGTGCGGTGGCTCACGCCTGTAATCCTAGCGCTTTGAGAGGCCAAGGCGGATGGATCACGAGGTCAGGAGATCGAGACCATCCTGGCTAACACAGTGAAACCCCGTCTCTACTAAAAATACAAAAACATTAGCCAGGCATGGTGGCGGGCGTCTGTAGTCCCAGCTACTCGGGAGGCTGAGGCAGGAGAATGGCGTGAACCCGGGAGGCGGAGCTTGCAGTGAGCCGAGATCGGGCCACTGCACTCCAGCCTGGGCGACAGAGCGAGACTCGGTCCCAAAAAAAAAAAAAGACTTCAGTACAAGGAGTCGTGGTTGCGCCGTGAAATTGCCAGACTCTGCGATGAGACATCCTGGGTTGACAGTTTAGAGGTTGAGAGATTGGTGGGAGGAGGCCACGAGTCCAGGGCTCAGTAGGACTACGGGGCAGAAGCCTGTGCTGCAGATAGGTGGGACTTTGCAAAATGGATCTGCTTGGGGAAACTGAGGCCTCCTCCCACCTCCGACAACATCCAGACCTCTTTTGCCACTTCTGGTTTCCAAAAATCCATTTATGTATTTATTTTCCCTTTTTCTTATTTTCCCTTATTAAATTCATCTATTGATTAATTCCCATTTCATACTTTCTTTTTTTGTTTGCTTGTATTTCTAATTTCTTACGATGTATAGTCAGTGCTTTTATTTTGGTCTTTCTTCTTTAATAAGAAAGCCATTTCAGGCAATGTATTTTCCCGTGTTAAGCTTTTTTCAAGATCTCATAGGTTTTGAAATAAAATGTTCCCCTTTCCATCGGTTTCTAGATGGGTTTTAATTTCATTTTAATGTTTCCTTTGATCCATGGGTTACCTAGAAGTACGTTTATTAATTTCCAAGTAGTTAAAAATATTTTCAGCCACATTATTGTTTTCTTTTTAATTTAACATTATGGGGTTATAGTAAGAGATTGTGGCCTGTAAAATCTTTAATTTTAAATTAATTTTTTTTCTTTGTTTCTAAGTATGTGTTCAGACTTTATAAATGTTCTATGGGGCAGGAAAAGCTGAGCTGGTTGGATTCATGCAGGAAAGAATGGAATTCTAAAATGTGCTAGCTCTGAAGACATACTACCCTGTTTCCAATCTGGCTTCTACCCCTTTCCAGCTGTGTGTCCTCGGATGAAACACAGAATTTTCTGAGCTTTATTTTCCATTTAAAAAATGGGAACAATAAGAATATCCAGTTTCCAGTATTGCCGTGAAGATTAAATGAAATTACTTACTTAAAAATACCTAGAATACTGCCTGGTGTGGATTAAAAAAACTCACCAAAGAGAAATATTGCTATTTTTTTTGCTTTTACCAAAAAAAGGAGGAACCTTCACTGTTTGTGTTCTCAGCTTTATCCTAACTCAGAGCTGTGGTTGCTGGTTGTTGAGGGAATTGGGAGAAAAGAGGAAATGGATGGCGCAGTGCGGCAGTCACCTTTCCTTCCACGGGAGGTACCTGGAGCCCGGGGGATGGAGCTACTTGCCCAAGGAAACACAGCAATTTGGTGGCAAAGCCAGGCCTCAAACCCAGGTCTCACCTGCTCATTCCTGCCTGTTCTGCTGGCAAGCTGCTCTAGTTTCTCCCTTGAAAGACGAGACAGTTGACTGCAGATTCGCCTCTACGCTGTAGGGAAGGCTGGAAGGTCTCAGGAGGCAGCAACCTCAGAGCTTTGTCATGTTACACCTTGCTGTCTGGGAAAGGGGAACTCTGAGGTCAGTAAGTTCCAAGAGAAGCTATAGAAAGAGGGTTGAATTGGGAGTGGTGGGAAGCTCTGGGCATTGCTGTTCCATTGATCAGTTGTGGCAGGAGAAAAAGCCAGTCCTCTAAAGCACCCCTAGGGGGAGGTCTGTCTGCACCCCTCTGGGCTTCAAGCCTTCATTGCCTGCGTGCCTTGCTTCCCAAGCCCTGGTACTGACCGTGGCAAAGGCAGATCCCCAAGAGGCCCCATCTTCATTTGCCTAGCAGGTCCTATGTGGAGCAGAGCTCAGGGGCAGGAGCCCTCTGTTACTGTTCAGGGGGGCTCAGCAGCACGGATGTGCTCATGGAAACTGGAGAAACTGGGGTGACAGCCTCAGCAGCACTGAGGAGGCCTAATTAAGAAGTAAGGCAAAACGAGATGCGCTGCTCGGCTGTGCTGCCAGCTGACATCTGAGAGGGGCTGGCACTGTGCCCTGGAGCAGCCAGGAGCCATGAAGAACTCAGGAGGCATGGGAGCTTCTTTATGGCAGAAGTCCGGAGAGGAGAGGGAATCTCAGGACAGAATTACAAGGTGGAGGGTGGCTGAGTTATCTGATTAGGGCCATTGATCTTGGGAGCAAGTGACCATTTCTTGGCCAAGGACTCTCAGTATCCTCAAGCATCATGTCATCATGCTGTGTATAACCCACAAGTGGACAAAGATGCCTGGAACAGATATCACAGGGCATGGTTAAAGCACACATGGATATGTCTCGGCAGCAGGTCTCTGACCTCAGACACACGCCCATGCTGTGGGGTAAGTTGTCACCAGGGAAAGCTTGGAATTAGAGGCTGATTTTCATAGCTCTTCCATGCAAGTTTTTAAAAAATGTATGGCCCCCATGATTATTATGAAAATTGAATAAATCCGGGCATGCAAAAGTGCTTTGTAAATATCAGCACAAGCACAGAAGAAAGTTATCGCACGTGCATTTTGGTTAGAAAGTGCTAGCTAATTCCTTGCTATGTCCCCAGCCCTTTGTTAGAAGCTGCAGAGGAATCAAATAGGCCTAGATCTTGTTCCTGTCCTCATGGGGCTTGTGGGTTTTCTCAGTGTGAAATGCTTTGCAATCATTGTCTCTCCCTCCCTCTTTCCCCCATGCTACTTCCTTCTAACATAGCTTAATTAAGCACCTCTTCTAAGTGAAGTTCTGGGCTAGGGGCTAAATTATATAGAAATTATTGTCTATTAAGGGAGAGACAGGAGCAAATGGATAGGTACAAGCCCAACATGGTAGCCATTTATTGAATAGAGAAAGACCCAGGTTCAATGCATACAAAGCAAGAAGGCAATGAGCAGCGATCCCAGGGAGGTTCCTGGAAAGCTTCAGATAGAAGCACGTGGGGCAGATCTCGAAGAAGGAGCAAGAACAAGGAACAGAGTCCTCCTGGGGAGCATGGGAAGAAGGCATGGCAGGCACAAAGGCATGGAGGTGGGAAATCCTCTGAGCAAGAGTATCCACCCACACAGGGGCGTCAGTGAACACTGGGAGCCTGAATTCCAATCCTTGATACCCTGGTTGATGCAGATTGGAAGTCTTACTGGAGCTCAGAAAAGTTGATGGCCCTAAATAGAAAACTCCTATTTGAATGAACCCATCATGATGTCAGCACAGACTGGGGTCAAGGCAGAGTTTGCCTGCCAGAGAGTGGGTAGAGCAGAAAGAGGGCAGAGCTTGAAGCAGGCAGTCCTGGCTTGTAATTCAGGCCCACCACTGCCTAGCTCTCTGGTTGTGGGTCACTACAAACCTCTCTGAGCCTTGGTTTCATCACCTTTAAAATAGGAATAGGTGACCTGGGCATTCTGTTGAAAATCACATCCTTTGTTGAAAAGATAGTGAGAAGATGGGGTGGGTGGGTGGATAGAGACCAATTTACACTGAACGTGGCACTGGGGAGACACAGAGAATAAGCTGTTAGTCACTCTGAGCTCTGATAGGCTGAGTGGGGCCGGGAGGTGTGGGAGTCCAAAGGAGGAGCCCTTCGCTCTGCCTGGGAGGTTTAGAGTTTTCCTGGCAGCAATGAGAGCAGAACTAGGGGCCTTCCCACAAGGCAGGTGGAAATTCAGAAGGCTAAGAAGGAAGCAAGGGGAATTCCAGGTAGAGGGGACCAAAGGACAAGGGAACCAGGAGCAGTTCTACTCAACTAGGAAATGTGAAATGGGGAGTGATGAGGCTGCAGAGGCTCGACAGTGGCCTTGAATGTTGAGTTAGGAACTTGGACTCTATCTCATATGCAGCAGGGAGACATTTAAGAATTAGAAGCATGAGAGAAAGGATTAGTCGGGCTCTGTCACCAGGACAGTGATAGTGGGCTAAGGAGAGGCGGTTGCAGAAGTCCTAGATACTGACATGAAAGGTACTTGTGTGAAGTCGAGTTTATCATACTGCAGGGACAATGTAAAGCAGACACCACAGTCTAGTGTGCCATTGAGGTCCCAGGGATGGGATGGGCACTCTTCCCTAACACAGCCCTCCCTAGCTCCAGACAGGACAGCCCAGGGCCTTGAGAAAGAAGTTGCTGCAGGGCCCAGGCCTTCCAACCAGCCCCTCTGCAGGGACAGGCTCCTCAGGCCCTGGTGGCCTAACTGGGGTTGTTCTAGCTGGAGCCCGTGTGGCCATGAGAAACAGCCCTTTTTGCTCAAGCAAAACAATGACCTTATGGGAAGAAGATGGTGGTATTTCACAAAACTCAAGGGTGAAACATTCAGCCCCGCCTCTGAGGAACTAGAATCAGGAACTGTAAAGTCATGCCTATGGCCCCTCTCCCTCTCTTGCTGGTTCTCTTCCTCTTTCTCCTCTCCATTTTCCAGCCAGCTTTCCCTGTGTAGAGGGGGTGCACAGCTGCCTGGCCCCAGCTCCCTAGCCTCAACTGTCATGGCTCCAATGTCCTGGGGAGAGTCTGACCATCTGAGCCCAGGCAGCAGATCAGCCACCTCAAGGCAGACACCCTCCCTTGCTGCCCTCAGCCCTGTGGCCAAGAAAGGGGGTGGTCTCCTTTACAGCAAGGCTCCAGAGCCCATCCCCGCGGGTTACGATGGAGGGTGGTTCTCAGAGGAGGGACGCTGGCACTGGACTGGCCCCCAGAGGTGGTCTATTCTATGTAGTCCCTGACCCTACCTGGCACTGTTTGTATTATTGGCCAGGTAGAATTGGTCAAGGGACATCCGGGTAAGCTCGCCCCCAAGGTGCACCGTAGCGAGCTGGAATGCACAGGGCCTCCATTCACCTCTTCAGGAAGGAGTCAGAGACAGTGAAAATGAAACTCTGAAAAGTCCCCATGTTTTGCTTTGTGGATGGTAGAGCCAGGAAAAGAGAGGGTCTGAGAGGCGCTTGTCTTTGCATGCAGTAAAGAGGGGTATGGGAAGAATGGCCCCTTTGCTGCTGGCCTGGGGGAGCAGGTTTAGAGCCCAGGGACCTGGGGGAGGTGGCAGCTCTGGGGAAGAAGGGGCTGAGTCTAGGCTGAGTCCCTGGGGCTAGAGGCCAACCCTTAAGCAGCCAGCTGCCTAGAGCAGAGGGCAGGGGAGGGCCCGGAACTTCTGGGGTGGGCCTGCGGCGTTCCTTTGTTTCTCCATTCTCCTCAGATGGCACACAGCACCAGCTCGAGGAACCAGAGTCATTTGGTTGTTTTCCCCAAATGTGGAGGATTCTTTCCCCTTTCCCTTCTCACGTGTTGCCAGAAGCTGGGCTTCCTGGGGGTTCTCATAAACCCAGGCGGCTCTGCAGTCATTTTCATATAGAACGTTTTCCCTAAATAGCTGAGAAGGCCAGCTGTAGCTGCTGGGACAGAAAACAGCATTGGCTGCTGGGGGATGAACACAGATCCTGTTCTTGTGCTTGGCAGCCCACTTCCCTGGAGACACAGCAAGTCATGGGGCCTCTGGCCTCTGCGCCACCCACTTCAACTCCAGCCACTGTTACTTGCCAGTAGAGGTCTGAGGTAAATGACTTGATCTCGCCAAGTCTGTTTTCTCACCTGTGAAATGGGAATAATGACAGTACAAAGAAGGGTTGTGGTCCCCAGAATTTAATGAGACACCTGCGGAAAGCACTCAGTAGGGTGCCTGGGTGAGTTCTGTGATGTTAATGGTTTTAATTACTACTGACCCTGCATTGGCACACACTGCAGGGGCTCCGCCCTAGTTCCTTTATTTGCTGATTTTCCATGGATAATTATAATGCATCTGATATGCTAGCCACCCTGCCTCCTCAGTGGTTTTTGAACTCTCCCCACAAATTGCCACCTCTGCAATTTCACTTGGGCTCTTTTCTCCTCTAAAAATGCTTCTCATGAGTATTTGTATTCACACCTGACCAAGACCTCATCATTCCTCAGGGTGCAGCTAAGGTCCGTACTCCTTCACTACAGCTTTGCAGTGGACCCAGGAAGGAGCTCTTCCTCTCTTCCCCCAAAGCTCAGAATTTCTTTTTCCCTTCCCTTCCCTTCCCTTCCCTTTCCTTCCCTCCCCTCCCCTCCCCTCCCCTCCCCTCCCCTCCCCTCCCCTTTCCAGGGTTTGGCTCTGTTGCCAGGCTGGGGTGCAATGGCACAATCTTGGCTCACTGCAACCTTCACCTCCTGGGCTCAAGCCATCCTCCCACTTCAGCTTCCTGAGTTATCTGGGACTACAGGCGAGTGCCACCATGCTGGGCTAATTTTTGTATTTTTGGTGGAGACGGGGTTTCGCCATGTTGCCCAGGCTGGTCTCCAGCTCCTGGGCTCGAGCAATTCACTTGCCTCAGCCTCTCAAAGTGCTAGGATTACAGGCATGAGCCACTGTGCCCGTCTGAATTTCTTTTTGTTTAATTATTTTTTTTAATTGCAGGAGCTTTAGGAGTACAAGTAGTTTTTGGTTACATGGATGAATCACACAGTGGTGAAGTCTAGACTTTTAGTGTACTTGTTACCCGAATAGTGCGCATTGTACCCAATAGGTAATTTTTCATCTGTTACCCCTCTCCCACCCTCCCTGCTTCTGAGTCTTCAATGTCCATTAAACCACTCTGTGTGCCATTGCATACCCATAAGTGCTCGGAATTTCAATGAACCTCTGTTAGAGAAAGGCAGCATCATGCAGTGCACAACTGTGCAGCCTCTGGGTGCTAGATCAATGCACACCTCTAGCTGTATGACTTTGGTTTTTCTGTGCCTCAGTTTCCTTGTGTGTCAAAGGGAAATAATACAAATAGTGCTTTCTTCACAGAGTTGTTGTGAGCATGGAATGAAGTGATACCTGTAAAACACTGACAGTACTACCTGAGAAGGGCTCATTGAAGGTTGGCTATTTCCATGAAATAATCTTCAAAAACATGAATTTTAATGGCTGTATGAACTTCTATTGTGTGGGTAGATCATAATTTATTTAAACACCCCCTTATTGTTGAGCATTTCAGCTGTTTCCAATTTTTCACCATTATAAATAATGCTGTAGTGAACATCTTGTATATAAATCTTTCTGTTTATCTCTGATTGCTTTCTTAGAAGAACTTCCCAAATCTTGTTTGTCTAAGAACAAAGCTCTGTCCCCAGACTTTTAAACAATGCCCTTTGAAATAAAAGTAAAGGCTATTTTCCATCAGAGTAAGAAACATATGGAACATGTTAACCAAGAAGTGGTTCAAGAGGAAGGTCGAAATAGGTTCAAGATGGGTTTAGATCCATTTCAAGATGTCTGACATAGAATGAGTTATAAAGCTCCCCTCCAGCCCCCTTTCCTCCAGAGGAAAGGAAGGGTCTTGATCCTCAGGGACCACCGATTTCTCTCGTTGAGGCAGTTCCAGGGGGCTTTGAAGTTCTCAATGTCAGAGAAACAACAATGACAGATCAATAAAAGAAGGCAGTCTGCGGGCAATCCAAAATTCCTCCAGCCAGTAGGGGGCGATGTCGTCTGTTTCTCTTGGCTGCCTGGAACCTGGTAGTTTTTTTTGTTTGTTTGTTTTGTTTTGTTTTTTGCTAACAAGGACTCCCTTTATTGATGACCTAAAACTTTGGCTTACATTTTATGTATCTCTCCTGTCTGTTTTTCGTTCCTTCCTCCACTTCATACCTTCCAGCACTCACACATTCATTCAGGAGAAATCCAGTGTGTTCTTCCTCTGGGCCAGACATCAAGATGGTTTTTAGACTTCTATCTGGAGACACTTGCATTGAAGGCTCCACCTCACACACATCCAACATATTAAATATAATTTTTTTCTGTAGAATTATAGGAATTTTTTTTTTTTTCTGAGACGGAGTCTCGCTCTGTCACCCAGTCTGGAGTGCAGTGGCGCAATCTCGGCTCACTGCAAGCTCCACCTCCCGGGTTCACGCCATTCTCCTGCCTCAGCCTCCCCAGTAGCTGGGACTAGAGGCACCCGCCACCACACCCGGCTAATTTTTTGTATTTTTAGTAGAGATGGGGTTTCTCCGTGTTAGCCAGGATGGTCTCGATCTCCTGACCTCGTGATCCGCCCGCCTCGGCCTCCCAAAGTGCTGGGATTACAGGCGTGAGCCACCGCGCCCGGCCAGGAATTATTTTTTATAACTTCGCTTTGAAATTATTTGGCTACTCGTCATTCATTTGATGCTTGTTTCGGTTTGATCTCTCAGCGATTATGAGGGGTACTCAGGAATTCTTGCGAAGTAAGAAAATCTAACTTGCACATTGTTTTCAGATAGAGTGAAGTTTTTATAAATACTAAATGAAACCATTAGTGAGGTTGATGTAATACTTTGTTTTGTAGACATTCCATTAAAATTTTACTAATTTCCATTGCAAAGTTTTCCCTTGATGTTTTGGATCTCATAATTTTGTTTCTGGGTCTCATACTTTTTTGGAGATCTCTCAAAAGTTCTCAGACCCTCTAGCACCAAGCAGATAAGAGAGCCCTGCCACGCTGGGAGATGGAGGGATGAAAGACTCTGTGCGGACTGTACAGAGCTGCTGGGCCACAGAGCTTGTCAGTGGACAAACTCCTGTTACCAAAGAGTAAGAGTACTGTTACATGAAATGTGATCAGGATACAGTGAAGATATCATCTTCCCTGAGCGTCCTTATGGAGAGGAGGGGCTCAGTGGAGACTTGAAAGAACAGACATCACCGAAGCCAGAACATGAATGCTGAACAGGACTTTTCTGATTCGAGGAGGAAGGGCATTGCAGACGAGGAAATAGCACATGCAAAGGGGCTGGACGGGAAAAGAATATCTGAATAGACAAAGGTGACTCAGCTGGACCCGCAAACAATGATCTCTAGGCCCTTGTTTTTCCAGACGAGCAGCACTGGCATCACCTGGGAACTTGTCAGAAATGCAGACTCTGAGGCCCCCAGAATCAAAACCTTTATTTTAACAGGATCCCAGGTGACTGGAATGCACGTCAGGGTCCGAGAGGCAGGCTCTAGTTCTGACAGGATCAGAAATAGGTCTCCTGTAGCCAGAGCAGAACAGCAGTTGTCTAAGTTGTTTTCAAGCTTGGCCTGAGAATTCAGTCCCTGAGGGCTCAGACAGTTTCACCCATTGCTTGGAGGGTTGGGGCTTTTCCTGCTCAGGGACTCTTCCACCCGCTGGGCCTGCATCGTCCCTTCTGCTGGCCTTTGCTCCAGACAGCCTGTCTTGCCTGATGGCTCCTTCATCTGGCACACCACCGATTACCTAATAGACTGTAGGCTATGTGCTTACTTTATTCCTGTGAGTAATTGATCACATTAGGATGAGCAAGGGGCAGCATCAGGAAGAGAAGAGAGAAGAGACATCAATAACCAGGGGAAGGAAACCATGCTACAGTCAGCTAATTAGATGTCTCACTGAGGCAGCTTTTTAAACAGAATGGTCCATCTTGCTGTTGTCGGTTGACCATGCCCTCCCCTGCTTCTATGTGTGGCTGGGCTTTCCGATGAGTTAGGGGTGGTAAGTAGTAAGAGCTCCAGACCGAGTCAGAAAACTTGGTTGCCAGGCTAGGGGATCTTAAGCAAATTAGTTATCTCTGGGCCTCAGTTTCATCAACTGTAAATTGGGGAGGGCTGGATCAATGGGTTACAAACATGGCTGATATCAGAATCACCAGAAATACTTCTAAAAACATAGATTCCAAGGTCACATCTCCTAAATGCTGATACAGTCGGTACAGGGTGAGAATAGGAATCCTTGTGGCAAAAAGCATCTCAAGTAACTCTGACACAACTGCATGGGAAACTGGGAACCACTGGGTTGGAAAGATAACCTCTAAGCTCCTGCCCGGCATCATCCGTTTCAGATTGTCCATAAGGATGGATTTTCCCAAACCTCTTACAGAGCAACAGTGCAGTCCTGGCGGGGGAGGAGGGGGAGACAAGAAAGACAGGAAACTCATCTTCCACTCCTGGCTCTGTCAGCAATTCATTGCCTAACAACAGTTTCTCCCTGAGACTCACTTAACTCACCTATACATACACTGACAGGTATGACAATTCTTTCATCTGAGCATCATACCAATGTGTGCAGAGGTTCCCAAGCATGGGGAGATTTAAAAAAAACAGATACCCTGACCAAAATAGTGAAACCCTGTCTCTACTAAAAATACAAAAATTAGCCAGACATGGTGGCATGCACCTGTAATCCCAGCTACTCGGCAAGCTGAGGCAGGAGAATCGCTTGAACCTGGAAGGCGGAGTTTGCAGTGAGCTGAGATTGTGCCAGAGCAAGACTCCATCTAAAAAAAAAACAAAAACAAAAAACAAAAAACAAAAGAAAAAACACCAAAGCAAAACAAAAAACACAGACTCCAGGTCCCCATCTACCCACATATCACTCTTGAGTACATCTGGAGCAGCTCAAGACAGTATGTGTTTAAAGCCTGCCAGATAATCCAAAGATCAGCCAGTGGCCTGGCCAAAGGCATTGCTCAATAGGACCCCTGGTGCCCCAGTGCACGTGCAACAAGGCAGGGTCTAGCTCAGGAGGGCCACTGCCATGTTGGTGGGAAATGTGGACTGCAAAGGGACCCAGGCATATCCCACTCACCTCTTGGTTTTCAAGAGTTTAGACAAATCCTGTCAGGGGAACACTCAACAGTATTGCACCAGAATGAACAGTAAACCCATCTTCCAGAAGACCTATGTTTAAATCCTGGTGCTGTTACTAATGGGGTAACCTTGGACAACTCATGAGAGCTCCCTGAAGCTGCTTCTTTGTCTGTAAAATGGAGTCAGCTGTAACTCTAACCTCCCAGCTCAGTTGAGAAGATTAAAGAGAACAACTTGGACACTGTACTCTGGGAGTGGGCATTCTGTGCAAATTGTCCAGCCACCTACACTGGGACCAGTGGGAACCAGCCTGACCGAATGTTAATATCTCTCACCCTAATGAAAGCAGGGCTTGGAGAGAGTCTGCTATTGCACTGGGACAGAGGACCAAAGGTCCTGGTGGTAATTTCTGGAATGATTCTGCTCTGCATAGCCAGCTGCCTTCTGTCCAGTATTTTTTGTATTTTCTCTAATCTTTTGGGGCCTTGCTTGATTCCCTTAGTTGATCAGCAGGGGTATGCCTGTTGGCTGGCCTGAAAAGCTGAGCCCAAAAACCAACTCCAATGGGACTTAAATCTTTGCACCTGTCCCCTTCTCCACACCCTTTTTCTACCTTCATCTCTGGCCTTGACTATTGCAGAATGCTCCCAACTGGTCTCCCATAGAGACCAGAAATGTTCTCCTCATAGCAGCCAGAGGGGTTCTCTTAAGGTGTAAATCAGATTATGTCGTTAATTTTGACTGGCTTCTCATTCTCCTAACATAAAATCCAAACTGGTGAATAAGGACTACCATGGAGTGCCTTCTCAGTCTCCGAGAATGAACTCCATTTTTCTTCCCCTGGTTTATGAAGCTCTGCACATTCTGGTCATCTATTTCTCATCTGGTGCCATGCTAGCCACCCTTGCTTGCTTTGTGAGGCAGAAAAATACTATGTGTTCTGCTAACCTGTTTTACTTCCTTCCTTTGCACATAGCTAAACCCTATGTCCTGGCTCCTCTGCAGTTAGATGAGACCATATATTGAGTTCTAGTCATTGGAATATGAGTGGGAGTGATGTACACCATCTCCAGGCCTGGCCCCCACATATCCTGGAGCTTTTCTCTTTGCTCTTGGCTGCATGCAGAGGGCACGGTGGACAACTCAGAGGAAGCCTAAAGGACGGCAGAGTAGCTCATTAGAAGGAACTTGGGTTTTGAATAACAAAAAACTGTCCACCTAACACATGACAAGAAGGAAAAATAAATTTTTATTGTCTTAAATCACTGAGATTTAGGGTTGTGTACTTTGGCTACCACCGTTGCTCACTCTGAATGACAGCCTATTCTCAGTTTCCCAAATTTGCCAACATTCACCCCGCTTCTCCCATCCTGTTCCCTCTGCTTAGAATGTTTTTCCCTGGCATTCCTCACATCCCCTTCTTAACCTTTAGGTCTTCACTGAAAAGTCGCCACCCAACTATGAGCCTGTATTTGTGTTCTTGTTGATTTTTTAATAGTAGTTTTTAATAATGCACGTGGTTCTTAAACTTTGTTTTTCACTGTATTTCTCCTAGAACGTAAGCTCCCATGAGCATAAATCAAAGCTGTCTTATTTACCTTTCTGTATCCCTAAAAAAGTGTTGAGCAAAAGGTAGCATTCAACAATTATTAGCTGTTGGATTAAATGAATGAATGAACCAAGTGTGTATTCAGTTCAATTCAATTCAAATATTACCGAGCACCAACTTCGTGTGAGGCACTTTGCACGCATCTAATGCATACTGTATTCAATTCTCATTACAACGCCAGTGGGGAGGTAAGATTATTATTCCCACTTTACATGTAAGGATCAAGAGGCACTGTCAGCCAACGTAGCACAGATCCTTTCCACATGGCATTGTCCAATTATCATCATAGTCCCAAAAGGTAGAAATTATGATCTCCATTCTGCAAAAGGGAAAACTCAGGCTCAGACAGGCCAAGTCACTTTCCTGGGTCATGTCGCTACTGAGGTCATGGAGCTGGGATTTAAATCCAGGGAGAGAGAGAATGGCATGCATGTCTCTTACAGCGTTATTCTTCCTAAAGTTTGACAACCTCATTAGAAATCCCCAAAGAATATCCCGAGTGTGGGGCAAATGAAGACATGGAACTGCTCCTGAGTCCTATGGGCTTGGTTTGCAGTGGGATTTTATTTTAAATGCAAGATCCAATCTTCCCCGATGCCTGGGATCAGGGGGTGCCATTTTGCAACCTGGGGACTCAGCTCCAGTTTCCTGACTGAGCCTGGCCAGGTTGGCCGCCACCCATAAACTGGAGACCAGAGTGCCCAGGTTCATTTAGGGAGAGCAGCCGGAGTTGTTGCTAGGCAGAGAAAGTCTGTGATTAATTATGGCTGATGAAAGTCTGAAGCCATGAATCCTTTTTGAGGGCTGGGCAAGCTGAAGAGTCTCACTCGCTGAATGCATTTGGAGACTGCACAGTCCCTTCTGAAACAAGCAGTAAACTTTAATGGCTGCAAGATCTGCGACTTGGCATGCTGTGGATTGGATGGCACATAGAACTCATGAATTCTCTGGGGTGGGAGCTAATTAGAGTGCAATTTTTCAATTACGGAACATTAAGCAAGCCTCTCCCCAGTCCCCCCACCCCATCTCTCAGTGGATACACTCCATTTATCTATTTTCCTTTATTTCTTAATCATTTGATGATATGACAACAATTATTTGTCATTTGGAAGAGAAAATTGTCACGGAGCTATTGTTTCCCTCTTGAAACCCCAGCTCTTCCGTGGTGATGGTTGCATTTGATAAATCTTTTGCATTCCTGCAGCTCCTCCCCCTCTCCCACCCAGGGTTGGTGTGGCAACAGGAAAACATTAGCCTGTGACGTGGGCCTGTTCTGATTGAAATGCCATTTGTAAAAAGGCCTGGAAAAGAGCAGGCTCAAGTTTAAAAGAGCCACAGCCCAGAGCTCCCGGCCCACCCACATCACCCAGGTTGAGACTCTGGGACATTTGCTTTGGGAAATTTGGTCATTCCTCTGAGCTAATAAGCCAGCTTCAGAATCAGGAATGCAAAACAGAAACAGAACAAAAAGAATAAGGCAAAAGAAAAAAGAAGCATGCCCCCAGAAATGGGAAAACTTAAATGACTTTGTTTAAATGTCATGGTACTCTCAAAACCCTGTTCTCATATGTATGCAAGTTAATTAAATGGAAAAATGTCAAATTAGTTGCTTAAAATATTAATGGGAGGAATTATCCCAGATTCTAGAGCAGGGAGAGTAGAGGAAACTAACCTTTTAGGGCTTAACCCTTTGGTTGGCTGTTCTTCTCTGAAAAAGTAGACATTTCTTTCATTTGTAAAAATGCCAATTAGTGCTGAGGGGTTTTGTAAGTTTCAGGATGGGAGCTTGCCAGTGGGCTTGCACTATGGGATTCTCCCAGTGACACAGGACTCACTGGTGGCATTTATTCCCACAGTGTCGGCTTTGCATGGGGGATTTGAGGTCCCTGGAAAGGCCCAAAAATCATGCATATGTCTCTTCTGGAGTCAGAGTAATTTGCCATTTTTCCTTTTGGTTTTTTTGAAGAGTATTTTGAAGAGTTCATTAAAATGCAAAATTGGAAAGATTGCACAAAAAGAGTTGTCAATGTACTACTCATCAAACCTTTATTCAGTACCAGTGGGATCCAAAGCCTATGCTGTTTGAGCAAAATGCCGAGAAAAGGGAGCGTCACAGACTCAAGGGCATAGGATCTGGTAAGGAGAGGCTGTAGAGCACCCTAATCTAGCCTCATGTTAGCATGTGGGAAAGCCAAAGCCCCAGGAAAACAAGGAACATTCCCAAAGCCACACAGCTATTGAGTGGTGAAATCAGGCTCATTTATTTATGCAACACAGCTCCTGCCTACCCCCTGGAGGGACTTGTGTACATCCTGGGAGGTCAGGGCAAACAAACCCAGGGCAGCACATGCCACAAGCCTAACACTGCAGAAGGAAGGGCAGGAGGTGGACAGCAGGGTGATGGGTATCAGGGAGACCTTACCTCCGTCAGCTAAAGAGCATCTACTGTCCACCATGGTAGCCAGCACTGTATAACACCTGGCTTCTCCCCATTGTGACAAAAATAAGCAGGCAAGGAAGGCCACGTCATCTACTGAGAAGTTATGGCTAGTCACTGTGGCCACATGTTCAAACTGATCTCATGTAATTCAGTGATCAGTTCTACCCATTGCTTGTTCTGCAGTTATTGGTAAACAGATATCCCATTGCCTACCATAGGATTACAAATTCTTACAGTCAATTCAGCCATGTCCTTGGCTTGTGCCATCCAATCCACAGCATGCCAAGTTGCAGATCTTGCAGCCATTAAAGTTTACTGCTGGTTTGCTTGGAGGTCTTTCAATTTCCTCATCTGTAAAATGAGGGTAACAGATTAGGAACGTGGAAGATCTCCAAGCAAAGTAAGGGGCTGAACTGACTCTGTAAGAATGGGATACCTGTTTACCAATAACTGCAGAACGAGCAATAGAAATGCCAAATAATAGGTGCAGAGCCCAATTTCTAAAAATTGTATCCACAGAAGGAGGAAGGTGTTATATTGAGATGCTCTATGGAAAAGATATCCAAATAGTTTAGGGGGAACCCTGTATATTTTAATCCTTTTTTGCTTTGGTCAGTGTGGTGGGCTGAACCATAGCCCTCAAATATATCCACGTTTGAATCCCTGGAACTCATGAATGTTACCTTACATGGCAAGAGGGACTTTGCAGATGTGATTAGTTACGTCTCTTGAGATGGGAAGATTATTCTGGTGTTCCAGATGGACCCAACATAATCACATGGGGCTTTATAAGAGGGAGGCAAGAAAGTGAGGAAAGATCATTTTAGAAGCAGAGATTAGAGGGATGTGCTTTGTAGTTGGAGGAGGGGGCCATGAGCCAAGGAATACAGGTGGCCACTGGAAACTGAAAGAAAGGCAAGGAGATGGATTCTCCCATGAGCCTCCAGAAGGAACCAGCCCTGTTGATATTTTGACTTTAGTCCCCCAGTGAGGCTAATTTTGGATTTCTGCCCTCCAGAATGGTAAGAGACTCAATTTTTTTTTTTTTTTTTGAGGCTGAGTCTCAATCTGTTGCCCAGGCTGGAGTGCAGTGATGCGATCTCCACTCACTGCAAGCTCCGCCTCCTGGGTTCACACCATTCTTCTGCCTCAGTCTCCAGAGCAGCTGGGACTACAGGCACCCATCACCACTCCCAGCTAATTTTTTGTATTTTTAGCAGAGACGGGGTTTCACCATGTTAGCCAGGATGGTCTCAATCTCCTGACCTTGTGATCTGCCTGCCTCGGCCTCCCAAAGTGCTGGGATTACAGGCGCGAGCCACTGCGCCCGGCCAATGTGTGTTGTTTTAAGCCACTTGGGTAATGATAATGTGTTACAGCAGCAACAGGAAGCTAATACAGCCAGTCATTTCTAAGTAATGAATGACCTCAACTCTGCTTTTCATTCCTGGGTCTAGGGGTTGGCTGGAGGAGCTCTGCTTCAGATTATGGGTTGGTTTTAAGTCTCTCCACCCACTGCCCATTCTAGGGCAGTGGCTGCCAGGGGTGTGCTCCACTCATGGCAATGGCCAAAGCATGAGAGACAACCAGCAGATACTTCTTATGCCTGTCACCATTTCAGCTCTCAAACACCCCCTCCCACCCACCTTCTCTTTGCCAAAGTAAGTCACATGGCCAAACTGAACTTCAGTGGGAACTGGAAATGTACATAGCCTAGTCTAGAGGGAGATACTGCAAAGTCACATAGTGAGGGCAAGGATGTATGATTCTAATATTGGAGAAGAGCAGTAAAAGTTGGAACAATAATCCAATCTGCCACACTTTTTTGGAAGATTCATAATAGGTATTAACACGTTAAGAACTCTGAGAAGTCCTGCAGTAAATAAACCTGTCTAACTATTTAACACAGTGTTCCCAAAGCTTCTTTGAGTGCAGAATCCTACTGTCATCCTGTAGAACTAATATTTTGAGAAATGCTTATGTAGGCAGTTCATCTCAGAAGTCTGAGGGAGGAGAGGGCAGTGGAACTTGACTGGGCCTTGAAGAATGGATTCAACTAAGCAGATTGTGACAGGGGATTTACCAATGGCAGAGAGAAATGGAAATGTTTTCATAAGGGATGCTTTCTCCTGAGAATCTCATCAAATGTTCTATGCCCGTAGGGAAAAGAAGAATCTGTAATGATACTTGTCTTGCCTGAAAGAGGGAACACAATTGTCTTGGAGTCCAGTGTCCCCTCATCCAAGGATCTATTTGAAATGCCTTAGTCACAAAAGGTGGACACTCACTTTTAAGCCAAGGATTGGTGCATCTCCAAGCCTTCTTCGGCAAGCTAGAGTCTGAATTCTTTTGAAATCCAGAGATGCTGAAGGAGATTAGAAGGTGCAGTTATTAGAGACAGGTACTGCCACCTGGACTCTTGCAAATATGCATGCGTTGGGAGGTGCTGCTCCCTTAGAAACAGTGAGAGAGAAATGGGCCAAACAGGTTTCCCACAGAAGTCTGGTCATCTCAAGTCCACTAATAGAATTTCTCCTGGAATGGAGATGAGAATGTTCGCCTTATTTTCATGAGGACCTAGACTAGGAACAGGCCAAGGAACAGGAAGCAAGTCCTCCAGGATGGGTGCCTGTCAACCCCACTGGGGCCCAGCAGAGCGTCTAAGCAATGAAGGGAGGCCATTGATAATTGCTGGAGGCCTCCTCTGCCCTGCAGAACAGAGATTCCCCTGCATCCTGCCTCCTCCCTCCACAGTGGGGCACTACTGTGTGGGGAGGGCTGGCCACACTGCAGGACTGGTGACTTACTTGACACAGGCAATTAGCCTATTTCCATGTAACACATTTTAAGGGAGGTCATTAGAGCCTAATAAAAGGAAACAATAGTGCCATAAATCCCAGGATCAATAGAAGGGAAAGCAATGAGGCTGAGAGCTGGCTTCCTCTGCAGAGCCCAGAGAGGCTTCAAGAATGAAATGCCCCTTAAAATGGAAGGACAAGGAGAAAGAGTATTTACCAGCTCATGCACTCACTCCTTCAGCAAAAATATAGAGGGCACAGACCAGCCCCCAGGAGACAGACCAAAGGCGCAGGCTAGTTGGGGGAGAAAGGTGCAAGGACAAGAATATCATCACTCAGAACAAAAGCTAGAGGGGCCCAGAGGAGGGAGTGACTCCCCAGAGGCAAAAGGTTGGAATGGCAATGAAGGATCAATAGGAGTTTTCTGCGTGGAGAAGGAAGGGGAGGCAGAAGGATTCTAAGGGAAGGAAGAGTACACAGACAGCTCTGAGGCAGGAGGAGCCTGGTGAACCCTGGGGACAAGGAGTGCAAGAACAGCTAGGAGCATAGACATAGGGAGGGGAAGGGGGTGTGGATGCAGAGGTATGTTGAGGCACAGATGGGGAAGAGATTTCTTTGCCAAGCTGGAGTTTGGATTCTTTTGAAATCCAGAGACACTGAAGGAGATTAGAAGGTGCAGTTATTAGACTAGGCAAGTACTGTTGTGGAGAAGACTGTGGATAAGGAAGCTCCTTGTCTTGGGTACTCATTCTGTACACCTGGAGCTGGCCTGGCACCCTGAGGAGCCTTGCGGGAGCCATAGATCCTGCTCTCTCAGCCAACTTTGTACCTGAGCAGAAGTATACCTCAGCACAGCATTGATTCATGGATTTGGAGGTAGGCCTGGGGGTGGTCGAGGAAGACAGTGGGTGAGGAACCTGTCCATACACCTGAAAGGAAGGGGCTTGATCAAGAGAAACCCGCAAAGATGTTTTGAGGGGCAGATGAGGTGTTCACACTTCAGGTTGTTCCGAAGATAAAAGATGTCATCAGCAATTCACGAGGCTTTAGGCCAATGTGGGATGCATGCCCGCGGCTCATTAGCCCAGTGGTGAGAGCCCCGTGTAGCACAGTCAAGATCACCAGCTCAGTCTGCTTTTCCAATTTACAGTGATCAGGAACCCACGAGTCCTTATGCTGTATCCAAGAGGAGAGGTAGATGCTGCACTTAGCTTTGCCATCAGCCATTGACTTCACCTAGGGCCTCTCGCTCTCTCTCTAGATCTGTTTCTTTACAGTAACTGGATTTTCCTCAGTAACCCTCTCCTTCACCCAAACATCCAATCAGTCATGAAGTCCGGTTGATTTCCTCACCCAATGTATCTTTCCTTCCCTGTCACTTGGAAATTGCCAGAGCCCCCAACGAGGGCTTCTCACTTCCAGTCTTGATTCCCTGCTACCTGTGGTCTATGTCAGGGGTCTGTCAATGCCAGTTAGTAGATACTTGGGCTTTGTGAGCCACATGTGTCATTGTTGCATATTCTTCTTTGGTGGAAACAACCCAAATGTCCATCAACTGATGAATGGATAAACAAAATATGGTATGTCCATTCAGTGGAATGTTATTCAGCCATGAAAAGCAGTGAAGAGTTCTATTGTACATCATGGTGACTATAGCTGATAACAGTGTATTGCATACTTGAAAATTGCTAAGAGAGTAGATTTTAAGTGTTTTCACCACAAAAACATAAGTATGTGAGGCAATGTGTATGTTAATTAGCTTGATTTAGCCATTCCACAAGGTATATAAGTTTCAAAACATAATGTTGCACACTATAAAAATTGACAATTTTTATTTGTCAATTAAAAAATACTTAAAAAAAGAAAAGGATGAGATATGGATACATGCTGCAACAGGGAGGAATCCTAGAAACATGCTCAGCAAGGGGTTAGGAACAAAGGCCCACATATTATATGATTTCATTTCTATGAAATGTCCAGAATAGACAAATTCATAGAGATAAAAATTAGATAAGTGAGCGGCTGCTTAGGGCTGGGCTGGGGTTGGAGTGGGCAGATAGGCAGGTGGTGGCTAAAAGGTATAGCATTTTTTTTGAAGTAATGAAAATGTTCTAAAATTGACTGTGCTGGTGACTGTATAACTTTGAATATACCAAAAACCATCAGGTTGTATATTTTAAATAAGCAAATTATATAATATGTGAATTATCTCTCAATAAAGCTGTAGTCAAAAAAAGTAAAAAATAATATTTCAGTCACAGGCCATATAAAAACAAGCCGTGGGCTGAATTTGCCCCATGGGGCCATGGTTTGGTGATCAGGGGTCTATGTTGCTGCCAACACGAACTGTCTAAAATGCAGATTTGATATTGTCACTGCCCTGGCAGGAAATGACTCCCATTGCCCACTGGATAAAGGAATAACTCTTTGGCTGTCATTCAGAATTTTCCACACTCCATCCGCAGCTTGTCTTTCTAGTCTCATGTCCTTCTGTCCTTTTCTGTACTACAACCACATTGATAAATACGCATACATTTGTTTCCCTTTGGTTTGCGTCTGTTGTACCCTATGCCTTCAGTATTTTGGAAAGTCTCAAATTTATCATGTCTCAAATTCTCACTGAGGTGTCCCTTTCCTCCATGAAGACTTCCCCAGCCTCCCTGGGAAAATGGATTGATATTATAGGATGTGTTGTCTTGTATTATCTCTGTTTAAATGTATGCCTCCTTTCCTAAGACTGCAAGCTCCTTGGCATCAGGGAAGCAGGGACTGTGTCTTTTCTTCTTGGCCCAACCACTGCTTAGCACAGGTGCCTGGCACACAGTTGACACTCAATAACTGCTTTCTTGAACTGAACTGAAGCCTAAAGAGAAGCAGATTAGCTAAATTACATCACAGAAATTCAGCAACATTATATTGCTGAAAAGGCTCTTTGAGCCGCTCTAGTAATCCAAGGCCCTCCTTTTCTATGATAAAACCAAGGCCCAGAGAGGGGCACTTCCTTGCCTGGAGTCACCCAGCAATTAGGGGCCAAGGCATACCTAGAGCCTGCATCTCCACCCGGGACCCCAGGGCTCCATGTGCACACCTCCGTGTCTTTCTGCAGTCTCCTCCAACATTAACACGCTGGGGAGCTGGGCCATTTGCCACAGCCAGGTTTTATAGCCATCTCCTTGGCCCGGCTAAGCCAAACCTCCCAATGGCCAGCAGCCTGGTTTGCCTCACCCCCACCCACTCTGGGCACTCTCAGGCTCCCGAGAAGGGGCCAACCACCTCAGGAGCGGCCTGAGATGCTGGCCAGAACCTCCAGGCATTCCTGGCTATGGGAACAGACTGTGCGACACGGCCTCTGACACAGCTGGAGCAGGAGGCTGGACTCAGGCTCAGATTTGGATCCCATGGTTTGATTTATTGCATCGGGTACTTGTTCCACACATGTTTTTCCTATGCCTGGGGATACCCCAGGCTGATTGTGGTTTTCTCTTTCTTTCTTCATGTATATTTGTGTGTGTGTATAGAGAAAGAAAGGGAGGGGGGGAAGAGGGAGAGAGAGAGAAAGGAAGGAAGGGAGGGATGAGAAAGAGAGAGAGAGTTCTGATTTTTGAGACAGTTAGTTGCAGGATCAAGGTTCTTACAGGCTGCTGAATAATTAAACAAGACTCTGGGATTTCACAAAGGTTTATTCCTTCCATGCAGGCACACATATGGCCAGCTTCAACCTCCATAGCCTGCAGCTGAGCCCCTACTATGTGCCAGGCACTTAATCCTTCGAAACCTCACAACTCCATACAGTAGGAGAGACTGCCCTTGTTTTAAGGACAAGGGAACCAAAGCTTAGAGGGATTACATGATTTGCCTCAGGGAGGCAAGTGGTTAGCAAGTGATGGAGTCTGGATCCAGATCCCAGCGTTTAATTCTAGCATTTGTTGCTGCCACACAAGCCCCTGTGCCCTCCCATCTTTAGTGAGAGCCTCCTTTGTACCAGGCACCAGGCTTTAGCAATGACTAACATGTGGTCTTCACCTTCTTAGAGCTGTGTTCATTTTTGTGTGGTGTCATTTGCCTTGTGGTCAGCTTTGCTAAAACTGATCAAACTCCAAGCTGTCTTCCAGGCCCACTCTTATGTTTTCTGTTGATTCTCTGACTTGAGCTTAGAGATCATATCAGCTGTTCCATGATCTCTTGTTTAGTGGAAGAAGAAACCAAGGTCCTGGGGGGTCAAGCAGCAAGCCCAAGGTCACCTAGCTAGTGGATAACTGAGCTGCAACTTGAATCCTTATCTCTTGTCTCTCAACTCAAGCTCTTTTCATCCTCCTGGGCTGCCATCATGCTACAAGCTGTCTTTCTCCGTGGAAACTTTTGGAACCACATCTCGTCATTTCAGCTGGAAGTAGCTTGGATGTAGGGAGCGGTCCTCCTCATTTCAGGCTGTGTTTGTATCTTTGTGATGCTCTCTTGCTTCCGGGGTGGAAACAGCTCACCAGGCCAAGAACCAGGAAATGCAGGTTCAGCTCATGAACCTCTTCCCTGATGCTGGCTTTCAGGTATCTTGTGTCCTCGTCCAAGCCACTCCTGGCACGGACACAGGGACAAACGTGGAAGGGGAGTTAGAAGTCACCCACCTTACAGGTGAGACACTGAGGCCAGAAGGGATAGAAGTGACTAAGCCAAGCATAGGCAGCAGGGTGTAGCTACAGTTTTGAGGGTCCTCCTGCCTTTTCCTGTGTGTCAGAAAGCAGAAGAAAGAGAACATGGATCCTCATGAAATAGGGAGGCAGATGCCAGCTCATTCGAGGAAGCGCATCCGCTAATGCTCAGTGTTGTCTGAATTGGGAGAAGATTGCCTTGAGAGTAGTGAGCTCCTGTGGTAGGAGTCAGCGAAATAGAGGCTGCCTGAGCTCCCCAAGGGCGGGTGGGGCAAAGATCAGATTGAAGGGGCTCAATGGCTTCCGTGCCTATCCCAAAGAGCCCATGACCTCAGGATCTAAGACTCCTGGCTTCCCATCTGGGAGAGTGGGAGAGCAGGAAAGGAGGAGGGTGGTGGGGCAGGGGAGTGGCTTTCACTGATAGAAAAGACCCAAAGAGCTCTTATTATTGGCCATCAGCCAAAGGTTTTGTAGGGTGTTGCCTGAAATGTAGGTCTGGGCCCCCAGAGGGGCTGTCTAACTAGATGAAAGGCCACAGCACTTAGAGGATGGTACGGAACCTCCTTCTGGGGAAACGAGCCCAGGAAATGGGTGGGGATTGTCCCAGACACTCAGCTGGAATTGATGGGGCAGATGAAAGCTCAGGAAATGGCCCATCACTCAGTTCTGGGCGGCAACTTGGACATCTTCATGGACCAAGGGCTGTAGACCTCCTCATCCTGGGGACCTTGGAGGGTGGGACCCAGGGAGGTCTCTTTTAGTATGCAAAGCAGATCTGGCCCTTCCTCTCAACAGCTGTGTCTGTGGGCAAGTTGCTTGGCACTCTGAGTAGGTTTTTGCATCCTGAGTGGGTTTTTGCATCCGTGTACCAAGGATAGTGACTCCTCCCTCCTGGGCTTGTAAGTACTCCGTGAGAGCAGGTATGTGATGTTCCTAATACAAAGCAGGGGGAGGAAGTAGTTTGGATCCCACATCTTGATTCACTGAGTGGGGTAGTTACCCTTCACAGTCTCCTCCTCAGCTTGGGGCCAGCCCACACTGAATGTGGTTTCCTCTTTTTGTGTGTCTGTGTGTGTGTGTGTATGCATGCATGTGTACATGCATGTGTGTGTACCTGTGTGCACATGGCAGTTACCTGCCTTTCATTGACCCTGAGGTTCATATCCACTTTGAGGAGCCCAAAGCTCTCTCTCAGACCTGTGCCATATGCCGAGATTTTCTAGGACCCAGCCAGACACCAGTATACCTGGGCAGACCACAGGGAGTGCTGATGGGGTGCATCTCTCATACTGGTAGGGATGGGGTGGGGGTAGTGCCCCTGGAAAATCAAATAATGATGCAAATTTCAGAAAATAAAATAAAATAAAATAATTAGAATTCTATTCATTTTAATTTTATCTCCCACAGATTGTCTGAAGTGTTTGATATCTGATGTTACCTCTATACGAGAACATAGGATAGGTCTGGGTCGGACCACAGTGAACCAGCTGGTCAGTTACTTTCTTTAACTGTCTCTAGATCTTCTCAAAGAGCTCCTTCACTTCCAGATTGGCTGCTGCCCGAAAAACTTGAGAGTCACTGAGAGCCACTGCTCCAGAGAAAGATTACTCTTCAGGAGCAGGGAAACCTGGGATCCGGGTGTGGCTCTCTACTAACCCACCTTTGACCAGCAGCCTCATCTCACTGGGCCTCAGTTTCCCAGTCATGTTTGGGGTACAACCACGCCTGCCCCCATCCTACCTGACAGGGCTGATACAGGCTCAAGAGTGTGATGGGTGTGGAAGAGCTTCCTGAAATGCCAGCTCGATATGTTCCGATGGGTTTTGCATGAGTGAATTCTACAATGGCAGGGCACACACTCCGTGCAAGTCTTATGCTAGGCTTGCGGACCCAGAGATAAGCGGGACCTAACCTTTGTCTCCAGGAGCTCGCAGTCTGTTCTTTTTTCTGGAAGCTGACTTCCATTCTGTGTGGCTTTTGTGCCCGGTCAGCATACACTGTACTCACCAGTGAAGTTCTGGTGGTGGCGTTCTCACCGCACTCTCCTCCCTTCCTCCCCTCATGCTCTCCCCTTCTCCCTGCCTGCAAGCTGCTTCTGTAGGAACATGAGTGGGACAGGCTTCCAGACACCGTCTCATCCAGATGGCAGTGGAGGCCACTGAGGCTCAGAGGAGTGAATGACTGACCAAGACCTGTTTACCTGCCTGTTTTGTTGGTTTTTAAAAACACCTTTCCAAGAGTTAATGTACACTGATTCTTAATATGTGGGACATATAATATAAAAATTTCATACTGAATAAATGATATTTATTAAGCCAAAAAAGGAAAAAGATGAGGTGTTTTGGCTATATTACTTGAAATACAAACATGCAGGTTTCATCACTGAAAAAAATAGTCTCAATTGTGTTTCTTCATGGAGAACATCAACTGAACCTGGAATTTCCTCACACCTTCTTTAGAAAGAAAACACAACAAAACAAAAACCCAGGAAGAAATTAACTAAAAGCTTTTTGGCCACTGAGACAGCAGGGACGGTACAGCAGGATGCTGAGGGGCACACTGACTAGCAGCAGGTCACACAGCCTTGGCTCACTTTTTGCAGGTCACCAACTTGCTAACTTGTGATTCTGTAAAAGGGGGAACCTGCAGCCTGCGGGAAGCCAGAGGGTATGTGCAATGCACCATGTCCTATGCATATACGCACAATACTGTATGTGCACATGTATATGTCACATGTACACAGGTACGGGGCCGCTGTTCCCAGGGCAGGATCAGGAAAGATACCTGATCCAGTGCCCAGCACAGCCATTTCTGAACCATATAGATATTATTCCATGAAAACACACAGAAGAGTCTTCTCTAACAGCTGAGACCCCTTTTTAGGATGATGATGATGGTGATTTTGTTTACCATTCACTGAGTGTCTGATACGTGACGCTGGAGACCGGGGCTGGCACTGTCAAGTGAGAGAGACAGATTATAAACATAATAAACAGTAGGATTCTGGTTCAAGATGACTGACTGGAGACATCAGACACCCACCCCCTCCAGAACGGAGAACCCACATTATGAGGAGACAATCACGCTGGGGACCCAGAGGGGCCCTGCCCTCCATGAGCCTCCAGGCTGGGAGACAGAGACAGGTCTCCCCTTCAAGGATAGTAATAATGGCAAATGTTTCCATCCCCCTTGCCCTGTGCAGGCATATGTACATGTACCTGTGGCAGTGCAGCAGCAGCAGAATTCATTTTTCTCCCAGCAATTGCAAAGCAGAGACCAGAGAAGCACAGCACTTGAGTGGCCCAGAGCAGTCCCTGTGTCGCTAAGGGACTCTGGCTGGGAGGAACAGCTGGCCTGGCCCTGGAATTTCACCGCTTGCTGAGGCTCAGCAATGGTCCTGGAGGGCCCTTCCCACACCCTCAGGAACCAGCACCTGGAGGGCGACTCCTTGTCTTCCTCAGCCTGTGCAGGCCAGAGCAGGACCGACTTGCCTGGGGCCTTCTTGCCCTTTGCTAAGGGAATACCTGGTCCTGGTCCCTGGCTTTCCTCAAAGACTCTCTCATCGAGTTCTTCCACAGAGGGCACTCACTGGAGACCTGTGGGCCTTATATGGGCTGTGGGCAAGTTTTATTTGACCAGAATTTTTTTCAATAATTTCAATAGCTGCCAGTATTGAAATGTTGGGTGTTTTCACGTTAAAAGCAAACAAACAATAAAATCCTGACCTTTCTTGGAAACTTGGGAAAGCTGACCACAGGAGGCCGGGTTCCTGCACCAGCACGTCTCTGGAGTGGTCGGTGGAAGCCTTGCTGCCCTTTAGCTGAGGGCACGTTTCCCGTGGGCCCTGCCCAGCCAGCCTCACACGTTTCATTACTTGCCTGGCCCTGTGGCATTTGTGTGTGTGACCCATGCCCAACTCTGTCTTTATTTTATAGGTGGGAAAACAGGAGCGGTTTAAAAGTTGTGAAAATTGGAGCTCTGAGAGCCTCCATCTTTTTTCTTTTCAAGCAGCTCCAGGCCCTGTTGGTCAAAAACAGCTGGACCCACAGGAGATGCTGGACCCCACCACATACCCACCATGGGATGCACCCCACCCCCTCAACCATGGCATTTTCTCAAATTAAAGATTCCAGGCAGGCTGGGGCTTATTTTCCACCCAGTGTCTAGGGCATATTTTCTCCTTCAAGTCATTACAAGTTCTACATCTCCAGCAACCCAGGGTCTTGAAGGCAAAGCCTGCTTTTCCCGACAGCCCCAGAGTGCTCAGACGCGAGGTTTCCTCTGTTCAGTTTCCATATGCCCCACTCTCGCCTTTGGTCTGGGTGCAGCTTGTCAACATTAAATAACCACCTCTTGCGGTTCTCTCATAACAATTCCTTAGATCTTGGAAGCCTGGCTGTGGAGCTCTGCATATGTATAGATCTAATTTTCACACAACAGGCTGCTTAGCAGATGGGGACCCAGACCAGCCTCCAACGTTTAGCTGAGAGCTAAGACGTGGGAAACTAGGTGGCTTTTAACCAGCCCCTATTGCTGCCAGCACTCAACCTTACAGAATTTTCATAGAGGGGAAAGAAACTCAACCCCCACCCCCAACAACAACAACAACAAAAAACGAACAACAACAGACACACACACACTCACACACACACACACACACAACCAACAAAACCACAATTTTCCTTGCTCCCCCAAACCAGATGGCAGATGGTATGGAACCAATAAAACACAGATTCAAACATTTGTTTATTTAACATTGAATGTAATATGGCTTTGTGGTCCCTTGCAAGGAAACACCAACCTTCCAACCAAAGAAATGACAGATTTCAGTCAAACCTCAGGGCAGCGTTTGGAGGAGCTACCCCTCAGGAGGCCCATGCAAAGAGGGGCCAGGGAGAATTAAACACTGGACTGGAAGCCTCTTGGCCTGGTTTCCTCTCTGGCTGAAAAGCTAGGTCTTCGGAAGTGCTGACTGACACTCCATTTCTGTTGCTTGCCTTTTGTTGATGTTCAGTTCCAAAGGCAGCCAGCCACATGAAGAATGTTTCTGCCTGCTTTCTGAAACAGCTGTGGAAGATGTGACTCTGGGCTGCCAATGCAAAAGAGCATGAGAAAAAGGCTTGAGCAGTTGAGAAAAGGCTCTTTCTTGGCGCCTTGGGTCTGTAATGTCAGAGAATGTGACTTTGCTATGCAATGTGGTTCCCCTTTTGCTTTGGCTTCCAAGACACACAGAGCTAAATTATATGTTCAGTTGAAATAACTATCTCTACTAGTTAAGATTCTTTTGGTTACAAGTGGCAGGAACCTGGCCCAAATTATTTTTTTAAAGAAGATAATTGATCAGGTCAAGTAAGTGCAGATGGCTTCAGAGATGGCTGGTTTCACCGTGGATTCAGTGTTACTAGGGCTTCCCTTTCTAGGTCTTAGACACACTGTCTCCACACGCCAGCCATGGTAGCCCCAAATCACCCCAAACTCACATCTGGGAAGATGTGAGCAGCCCCAGGAGAAGAACGAGTCTCTTCCACCAGCTCTGCCAGCAAAGTCGTGTTGGAGGAACCTGACTGGTCCTGCTTGGAGCATAGGCTCACCTTCAAACCAATCACAGTGACTGAGACTTGGTGTACTCAGCCTGGCCAAACCTGGGCCATGTGACTATCCCTATAGGTGCAAAGAGGGGCAAGACTAACTTGACCCTGAACACATGGAATATATTTCTTATAGAAAATATGAGGAGGAGGAAGGAGAACTATGCAAATAAATAAGCCTGGGATTCTGGCATAGCTTTTCCTTCTCCTGCCCTAATTCATATTTGTCTTCTAAAATGATTTTTAAACATGTATCTTTCGTGTAAGCAATTCCAAAATTATTAAAAATAAGAGTAATCCATGATGAATGAATGAATTAATGAATAAACAAGTGAAAGATTGAGTAGTCTCTAGAATGTGCTGCTTAGGGTGGTTCCTTTGTAAAATTGTACAATCATTATTCAGATTGCCAGAGCCAGAGGGAGCTGTAGAGCTCTACCTGTTCATAATACTTGGGTTATAGATGAGATCATGGAGGCCCAGAGTGGAGGTACATCACCCAAAGCCTGGTAAAAATCATCTGCACAGCCTGGAACCCAGAGCCCTGATATCAGGCCTGGGGCTCTTCCTGTCCCATATCTGTCTCTTGCCTCTCATCTTCCTAAGTCCTTCTCCCTGGGCTGGCTTCCACTTTCGGGCCCTTATTCTGGAGTCTTGCTATGAGTTGCCTGGCAAAAATTTCTTGCTAGTATATTAACTTATAAGAGTGAAACTGAATTTCCCAGGGCTGTTTGGGCCTTCTAGATCCCCCAAAATGCATCTTTAACAATGATCTCTGTATTGGTTTGTTAATTGTTAAGTAACAAATTACCACAAAGGTAGCAACTTAAAATAGCACATACAAATATCTTCTCTCAGTTTTCATGTGTTGGGTTACCAGACATAGCTTAGCTGAATCCTCTGTACAGTCTCACAAAGCTGCAATCAAAGTGTTTACTGATGCATTCTCATCAGGAGGCTCAACTGGGGAATTCCACTTCCAAGCTCACTCAAGTTGTTGGTTGAATTCATTTCATTTCCCTGTGGCTGTATGACTGAGGGCCCCAGCTTTTTGCTGGCTGTGGGCTGGAGGCTGCCTTCAAGTTAACCTCACAATTCCTTGCCACATGAGATTCCTCAACATGACTGCTTACCTCCTCAAGCTAGCAAGGAGAATCTCTCATCCAGAGAATCTCTCAACTCTGTCATCATGGAGTTTTATATAAAGCAACATAATCATGAGATTGACATCCTATTACCTTGCCATACAACGTAATCGAATCATGAGAGTGGCATCCATCACCTTTACCATATTCTGTTGGTTAAAAGCAAGTCACAGATTCTGCCAGGGGCGAGAATTATTAGGGTGAACTTAGGGTCTCCCTCCACAATCTCAGGTCTTGGTGACTCACCTGTAATGTACTCATAACTCTATAACAGGAAGCCCCTACTCCATGCCAGGCAGCACACTGGTCTTTACACATGGCTGAGTGGAAGTGATGGACCTACAGACAGATAATGGCCAGACAGTAAGGTCAAGGCTGAAGGCTGTGTGTTTGAAGGGTTTGTGCATCACAGAGGATACAGCCTCTTCTTAAACTGGGAAGGCAGGGAGTTAACACTGGCACAGGCTTGATGGGTGAATAGGAAATTGACAGGAAGACAAAAAGGGTGGCAGAGAAGGTCATGATGTGGAGGTAAAAGAGCGAGATGAGTCTGGGGAGCTGCAAGTAATCCAGTTTGATTGATGTTAAAAGCCCTTGGGTCATGGGGCAAAGCCAGATCACTGAGGGACCTAGAAGCCAGGTTTAGAAGTGTGTCTTCCTGCTGTGACCTGAGACAGCCACCGTGAGGTTATAATAGGGGAATTTGGGAAGTGGCATGATGGGCTTGGGCTCCAGGGAGTGAGAAGCTCCAAGTAGGACCCTGAGCAAGGCAGTGCCTATGGGGATGAGAACAGCCTGGCTTGTCTGTGCTAACAAGAAGTCCACTCTCCCCCTAAAATATTCCAGGGAAGGCAGACCTTCTGAGAGAAGTTTCAGGCAGCTGGGCTGTCAGAATGATGAGTTCTGCAGACCAGCAGCTGAATGAAAGAAGAAAAATGTCCCAACAAGCCCCGTTTCACTGCCCTTGACCTTGCAGTAGAGCTCTAAGTGCAAAATCTGTCATCTATTAATCTGCTAGAAGTTGACAAAAGGGACTTTGATCAGGGGTTGTTTTTTCTCCCCTTCTTAAGTTTCCTGATGACACATAATAGCCCATTTCAGCCGTAGGCCCGGAAGCACGGCCATCATTCTTTTGCTCACTTCAACCCCAGTGGCCTCCTCCCCTCTGTGGCTTTCCCCCATCCCCTGCCCTGATATTAATTGGCCTGTAAGTGGTTACATGTGTTTCTTTTTATGTGTCAGTTGGAACCCGTTATTTGAACTTCACAGCTATTTGGGAACACAGAAAGGATTCTCTGGGCCCGAGTTGGAAAATGGAACCATCTAGAACATGTCACATTTGCTTCTACCTCCTGTTTTTTTTTTTTTTTTTCTTCCTCTATGCCTTGAGGTCTTGATATCTCCCACCCTCACTCCTATTCTATCTCCACTCCTCTGAGTTAGGTCTACCCTAACTTTTTAGACCATGGACATTCACAGCCAGGAGGGACCTTAGGGAGCCTACAAACTTTTCTTCTACAATCTATAGCTTCTTGTTTTAAAGTTAGAGAAACTGAAGCCTAAGAGAGGAAAGCAATTTTTTTTTAATGAAAGTAACATCTGTTTCAGGTCTATTAGGTACAGGTTTCTTACATGTGTTCTCTCATTTTATCCTCAAAATAACTGAGTTAGGAATCACATTGCCATTTTTCAGATGATGAAATGGAGACTCCTGGAGACAAAGCAGAAAGGATGCTTGGGGCGGATTGCCTAGGATTATATTCCATCTCCAGCACTTACCAGCTGTGTGATCTTGGGCAAGTGGTTTACCTTCTCTGTGCTTCAAGTTGCTGGTCAGTAATGGGGCTAACAAAAGTGGCTACTTCAAAATGTTATTATGAGGATTAAATTAAATGATTTTTGGGTACCTAGAACAGTGTCTGGTACACAGAAAGCACTTGTTAAATGTTAGCTGCTGCTGCTCTGAGAGGCAGTGCAGTGCAGCACAGTGGTTTAGCACACTGCTTCTGGAATGAGATGTTCTTGGTTTGAATCTCAGCACACCAGTTACTAGCTATATGAACTTGGGTAAATTACTTATGTTCTCAGTGACTAGTCTCATCTACAAAATAGGAATATTCCTGATGATTGGTTCCTCAGTGAAATGGTTAGCTTCCCACATTATTACCTTGCAGTGAGTTCTGCCAACTGAAAAGCCCTTTTCAACCCTATGGAGCTTTTCATCAGATCTTTAGTGACCCATTTTAAACGTGAGTAGACTTCAAAAAATTACAAGTTACATCATCACAGAGATGAGAAGATATTGCATCTAAGAAAATAAAAATGAATGTAAAAAGAAAGAGTGGGGATCAAATGAGAATAAGACAGAGCTCTTGAAAATTAAAATTAATAGTCCAAAAAAAACCTTAAAAAATAACACATTTGATAGATGAGGAGAATGCTCAGAAAGTAAAACAAAAAGATAAACAGATTGGAAATAGGAAAGAAAGATAAGAAAATTGGAGGATCCATCAAGGATATCCAGCATCCAAAAAGTTAAACGTCCCAAAAAGAGAAAAATGGAGAAAACAAGGGGAAGAAAATATTCAAGGAAAAATACAAAAATAAAATTCCCACAACTGAAGCCATGAGCTTACTTATCGGAATCTACCACATGCTAAACACAGCAAATGACAAAAAGATCCACATCGAGGCAAATTATTAGGAAATTTCAGAATACCATAGATCAAGAAAAAATATCAAAAGCTTCCAGAAAAGAAAAACGAAAAGCAAATAAAAACAAAAACATATATAAAAGATCAGGGTACAGGATGGCGTTGGATTCCTCAACAGTGGCTCAGGAGGCTGACTGAGGCTGTAGAATTCTATACCCAGCCAAACTATTAATTGAGTGTGAGCTTCTCAGCAGCAACACTGAAAACTACAAGCAAAGAAGCAGTATCTTTAAAATTCTGAAGAAAAGTGACTTGTGAAATAGAATTTATGCCCAGCCAAATAGCAACCCACAAGAGCGCTAAAGAATTTTTTAAATGACAGTCCCCCCACATTTTCCTTGCATTCTCCTTGTCTCAGGATGCTGCTGGAGGGACTGTTCTGCTAAAATGAGGCGGTCAACCAAGAAAGAGGAAGACATAGAATCTGCAAAGCAGATGACCTGGTGGAGGAAAAACTGAAGGGATATTAGGATTGTGTGGAGAGATGCTAGGTTTGCAGCAGGGCCCAGGCACAGAGCACCATCTCTTCCTGTCAACAAGGCCCCACTGTACTGTCGCTGGTGCTGTGGATCCCCTGAAAGCAGACTGACTCTCATTCCAGCCCCATCTGTCTTCCCCAGCTACCTCACCCACTGCAGCTCCAAGGCCAGTCTCCTTGCACACCCTCCACAGGGCACATGGAGACTTCTGGAGTCCTCCATGCATCACAGGAATTGAGGAAGACTCTGGCATTCTGTCATCTGCTGTGTTGGTTTAAATGCCCCAGCCCAGTTGCCTCATCTTTTAAAAAGGATAATAATTAGCACCAATGTCACAAGGCCAATGTGAGAGTTTATATTTGCAAAGCACTTAGAATGACATCTGTCACATAGTAATGCAATATCGGTATTTGTTAAAATACATTATGTAATGATGTGAAGGTGAAATAGTAGTAGGCTAGAAATGTGTCACTTTAAACTTTAAAAGCTATGGCAAGTTCATCATCTCCCATTGGTCATGTATACCTAGACACTCCCAAATGGACCTTCCTAAAAGCACTTCAACTTGTGATGCCAGTGCAAGTCTGGCCACATTGATTCCTGCTGAACATAGGTTAGTGATTCCTCCTTGCTCTGTGGAAGAGGTCAGGGTTCTATTCTCAGGCCACTAGGATCTGCTCTGCTGTCCCCTCCAGAGTCACCTTGAACCAACCCTTCCTTCCCACTTGTCCTCCAGCTCTGGAAACTTTCTTCAGCATCCTTTCATAAACTGTGCTCCCTCTTGCTTCAAGACCTTCACCCAAGCTATTCCTTGTGTCTGCGTGGCTCCTCCTGCCACTATCTTCTCCTTCCTTTAGCCAGCTCCTGCTCACCCCTTGAATCTTGTCTGGGTTATCATTTTTTGCAAAGAAGTCTTCCCCAGACCCAAAAGAGATGATAAATCCCGTGATGCATTCTCATCCATGTTACGTTTAATTCTTACATTCAGCATGACCTGCAATTGTTTGGGTCATCCATCCATCCATCCATCCATCCAACAAATGCTTATTGAATGTCTATTGTATGCCAGGTACTTTTCTTGGCCTTAACCATATAGCAGTGAACCAAACAGACAGAACCCCCTTGCCCTGGTCTCTAGCAGTTATTTGATGTATATGTGTTACAAAGCAATCTCAAAACAGATATACCCAATTTGGGGCCCAGCTCTATCACTTCTGTTTCATAAACAATAGAATTTCTTTTCTCGTGTCCACTCTGTGCTGGGCTCCTGCAGTACAGACATAAAAGAGATAATTACCACACGTTTGTCTTTGAGAAAGTTACTTAATGCCTCTGATCCTAATTTCCTATATGAAAATTTTCTCTGCCACCTTTGAGGGGCCATGAGGATTAAATTACTGGACAGTTCTCTCTGTTCATGTAAAAGGGCTGTCGCATATGCAGTTGAACAGCAGAAGCCTCTTAAACAACCTGAGATCAACCATCAAAAACACAAGAGCAAGACTCCTAAGCAGTTCTTTGCTTACCACTATATTCCTAGTGTCTAACAGGTACCTGGAGGAAAGCAGTCTTTAATATATTATTTGTTAAGAAATAAGCCAATGAAATACTGCTACCTTCCCTAGAAAGATGATGGATTGAAGGCACAATCCTACTCCTATGAAACTCATGAAGATCTCCTCGAGCAATGGCAGGAAACAGAGCTGCTGACTAGCAGTTTCGCGGGAGGTTAAAAGAAGAGAAGCCCCACCCAGGCGGAAGGTCGCTGCGGTTTCTTTGGTGAATGATCCGTGCCCCAGCTCTCCCATTTAGACCCTAGTTAATCTGGCTACCCTTGTAACCAGGCCAGCCCTCTAGAATAACAGAGCCTGAAGTGAGGAGGTGGGAGGAACATTCATGAGTGGGTAACCCTGTGACTAATCCAGAGAAACAGTTTCAAGACTGGTGGTTCACCCCAGCCTTGTTTGTGTCTAATTTCCCCAGGGGCAAATCAGCCCCTTCATTTCACTCTGAGGTTTAGGGTTTCCCCTAGAGCTCTTGGTGAGACTCAGCCAGGATGTTTTGCATAAGTGTGGGAAGTCTTGGAGGTGGAAGTAGGAAATGGGGTGGAGAGTAAAGGTGAGACTGGATGGGGGGCACTCTGTCCATCCCCACTTCTGAAAAGCTTTGGCATAATTCAAATCAATTGTTTCTTCCCAGGCTATTTTGCAGAAGAATTAACACCAAAGGAGACAGAAGAATTGAGCCTTTTAAAACAAGTTTTTGTTTTTTTTTCCAGGAGAAAGGTGGGGAGAAAAATAAGAGCTGGAAAACACATGGCCCTAAACAGGTGAGAAGTAATAGGCCCTATCTTTTGTATCTGGGCCAGCCATAATTCTTGACAAATAGTGTGCATTTCACAAATGTTCATCAGTGAGTTGAAAGAACATGGGCTCTCAAAGCAGATCCACCTGGTTTGGGGCCTGGCTCTATCACTTCTGTTTCATAAACGGTGGCCTTTTTTTCCATGTGTCCACTCTGTGCTGGGCTCCTGCAGTACAGACACGAAGGAGGTAATTACTGCACATTTGTCTCTGAGAAAGTCACTCAAGGCCTCTGATCCTCATTTTTCCTATATGAAAATCTTCTCTGCCTCCCTTAAAGGGCCATGAGGATTACGCTGGACAGTGCTCTGTCCGTGACAAAGGGCTGTGGCATCTGCGTGCAGTTAAACAGCAGAAGCCCTCTTGAGCAACCTGCAATGGACCAGCTTGCTAGATTAATGTAGACTCTCCACACTACTCAGCTAGCACTGTGCCCATGCCTGGGATACACTAAACCCTTGAAGCTAGCAGCTCCAACTGAAGCTTCTCTCCAGTTTTCCTGGGCACATATGTTTCCATTGGTTGAGCTGTGTGTGCTTACTGAGGGCTATTTGTATTTCTTCTCAACCTGTACCTGTTACTCTGATTAAATAATGCAATCCATCATTTCATAATGCAATGAAATATGAGTGCAAAAACGTAGAGTTGTTTCTTTGCAAGCTAAAGTGAGTGCTTTGGAGAGAATCAATGCATGCTATAACGGAACAACCTCCTGGTGAATTCAGTGTAAGTGCGATAACTATAAAGGTTAGAGGAAAAAACAACAAAATAGAGTCTTTGGCATTCAGTTTTATATTCTCTTTCACTTTAAAGAAACAGAGACTACATATTGTTGGTGCTACCTCGTGGGCGTGATTTATCTGGGGAAGAATTCCAAACAGCCAACCCAGAGAATCCCCCATTTTCTATGACTGTCTTGGGAAAGTGGGTCTGACAAAGCTGAATCTCATCAGATTCAAGAGGGGGTGTTCGGTGGCTTTAATGCTTCTCCGTAAAGTGGATGGGAGAGTGTCAGGGCTAACTCAAGCCACAAAGGGTTCTGAGAACCTCAGAGCTGGGAAGGGCTTCATGTTCACTGGGCCCAGGCATCCCCTGGGGTGGGCACCTCCACCGCAGTCCCACTGCCAGGTGGCTGCCCAGGCTCCTGACTGATGCCCCAGTGACTCAACACCACTGAGACCTGGTTCGGTTTGAGTCGTATTCTGGTAAGCGTGCCTGACTCACTCTGCTCTCCCTTCTCTGTGCTCCTTGATGTACCCTCCTTTACCCCCAGGTGAAAAAGCTCCATTAACTTTGTCACAGCAGGTCCAGAAAGAAGCTAACACTGTAATATGAATTAGCTTAATATATTCTCAAGGTACCTATTTTCCCAGCAGGACAAGGCCTGCTTATCCTTTCAGATAATTCTTCATTCTTTCCTAGGGCCTTCCCATCTCTCCTAGCCCCAAGATCCAGGTCCTTCATCCAAAAGACCTACCCTAGGCCCCATTTCTGCACATTTCCGGCAAGATTCTGCCTGATCACTGCCTCAAGTTGATAGGACAAAATATTGTACCTGGGATCAATAAAAATTCTAATTCTAGCACTTTTTTTTTTTTTTTTTGAGACGGAGTTTTGCTCTTGTTGCCCAGGTTGGAGTGCGATGGCGTGATCTCGGCTCACTGCAACCTCCGCCTCCTGGGTTCAAGTGATTCTCCTGCCTCAGCCTCCCAAGTAGCTGGGATTATAGGCAGCTGCCAACATGCCTAGCTAATTTTTGTATTTTCAGTAGAGATGGGGTTTCACCATGTTGGTCAGGCTGGTCTCGAACTCCTGACCTCAGGTGATCTGCCTGCCTTGGCCTCCCAAAGTGCTGAGATTACAGACATGAGCCACTGTTCCCGGTCTAATTCTAGCACTTTCTAACTCTTAGACCTTGGCTTACATAATTAATGTTTCTAAAAGCTGTGATTTTTTTCATTTGCATAATGGAAATTGAAATAGCTCATTGTGATGGTTCTTCATTCAACATGTTTTTAAAGTCCCTACGAGGTGCTCAAGCACTCTGCTGCTGTGATACTGTGGGTACATGACTGGGAAAGCCAGAGGCCATCTGATACAGCCACAGGAATGAAGCTTTGCTGGTTGATAGATGGGATAATGCAGGGGTTGGCAAACTTTTTCTGTAAAGCGCCAGATAGTAAATATTTTAGGCTTTATTCTGCCATAGTAGTGCAAAAGCAGCCATAAACAATATATAAACAAATGGGTGTGGCTCTGTGCCAATAAAACTTCACAAAAAACAAGCAGCAGGCTTTGGCTTGTAGGAAGTAGTTTGCCTACTGCTGGGCTAAAGGTTAATGTTTGTGGATTGAGGGTCAGTTCCAGATCACTCCAAGAAGGTGGCTTCAGATGATGAACATGTGGACTTAGGCTGGCATGCTGGGAGTTCTTCAGGAGGGCCTCCAAATGCATCATTCCTCTTGCTTATGCAGAGCTGGACGGGTTAGATCTCAAGCTGGCTTAATTAACTTTCCAGGCCTTCTTCCTTAATGGCAAAGTACAAATTCAGTAGCATTCAGTGGCCCCTTATAACAGACACAGTAAGTATGACAAAGATACAACCCAGCCTACACTACTGGGATGACAGGGAAAAGTCATCCCAGCAGGGTTTAACTAGTGGTTTCCCAAACTTGAACACTCATTGAATCACTCAGGATGCTTGTTAAAAATACAGATTCCTGGACCCCTACTTTAGAATGATTATTTCAAGCTATAGAGATGACCTGGGGATTCTGGACCATTAGCATGTGGACCAGATGATTTTAAAGGAGGGAAACTCAGAGTTAGGCCCCTTTTAGCTGTGACATACAGTGGTTATCAAAAGAGTAAAGGAAGCCTGTCTGCCCTTGCTGGGCTGTGGTGGGACAGAGAATGGTGGTGGTGGGGATCGTTATCTTGTCTGCAAAGACGTGGCAGGATGTGGTTGACCTGAACTTCCTGTGAATCAAGGAACCAGAGAACAGGGGGGAGAGATTCACAGCCCGGCAGTAGGCTCAGCCCACATGCCTAGAGTGTGCTCAGTGGGTACTGGGAAATGAGAGCCTGGCCCCACCTCTTCTCCGTGACCTTGGGCAGGTCACTTCACCTCTCAGAGTGTCAGTTTCCTCATGGATACAAAGGAGATGATGATAGGTCATTTTCAAGGACACCATGAAGAATAAATAAGGTATCATTTATAAAACCTCTGTCTCCTTGATTAGTGGTAGAAAATTCTCTTTCAGTGGAATCAGTGTCCACCTCAAAACATCCAAGGGCCAAGAGTTAGGAGACCTCCTTCATGGGCGGGGTTTTACCAATGACTCAATGCTCCATCTTGGAGTAAGTGAGATCATGTTGCTGGGCCTCACTTCACTTGACTGTAGAATGGGACGTTATGCACCTGCGGTTCCCTGTTTCCTTTTCAAGGATTCTCTTGAAGGTTGGATGAGACTATGGAATGAGAAGTGTCCTGGTGCTGTCAAGGGATATGGCAAAAAAAATGTGCAAGACCATTCTTGTCAGGTGCGGGGAGAGATGTTGCTGACTTTAATAATGTACTTCTTTCCATTTGTTATTTTTACAACAAAGGAAGAAATAAAACAGGACCTCTGAAAGATTCCTTGTCATATATAGCTTTCTCCTATTGAGTTATTTTCATCTGAGTTTATCAATCAATTGAGAAACAGTCACTGGATATCAACGGTGTACCCAGCCCTGTGCTATGTGTAAGATAAGGAGGTTCAGAGGTATGCCGCTAGGTCCCTAACCATGAGAGACCCACAGTCCAGCTTAGGAGATAACAAATATGTGTTATCCAGGTATGTTAACACATGGGAAGTGAAATAGAAGTGCAGTGATGATGCTGATGATGCTGACAGTAATGATGGAAAGGATGAAGATGATGTTAATTATTCTTCATATACACCACAATTGTACAGTTTACAAAGCATGTTTAGGACGATTATCTTATCTGATATTCAAGTCTAGAAAAACCCTGATTTTACTGATGAACAAACTGAGGGTAATAACTTCTCAGAGATCAGATAGGAAGAAAGTAGCTTAGTTGGACTCCAGCTTCTTTCTTTTGGCCCCAAGAGTGCCATTATCCTCAAGACATCATAACTTTCTTCCTTTAAATTGCAACAGAACATTGCAAAATGCACATTATCGTCAGATAGTAACATGAGTAAATTAGCACATGGGAAGTGAATGTTACAAGATCTCAAAGAGCAGGCAGGTCAGGAGACTGTTGACTGCAGTGAACAGAAGAGGCTCAGTGGAGAAAGCTGTAACTGAGTTTAGCCTTGGAAGGCTGCATGGTATTTTTGAGAGGTGGAGATGGGGAGAGGGGTGACATTCTTGGCAACTGGAAATGTATAGGTAAGAAAGGAAGTGAGAAAGTTCAGGGTGTGGCAGGAAATAGCCAGACCCCAGTCTGACCACAGTGGGTTCCATATAGTGGATCTGCTGGGGAAGAGTTGGGGATGTTCTCTTCCAAAGGGCTGGAGTGGTACTCTTTACTTTAGCGTAGGTGGGATATGGCCACCATTTTCTCTTTGATATCCTTATCCCCCTCAATCCCGAGTCCATCCATAATCAAATGAAGCAGTAATCAAATCAAATAACAGTCTGTAGTCCTAGCCCAAAGACAGAGTCTGCCACTTCCGACTTTTTTCTTTAAAAAAAAAAAAAAATGTCAGAATGCTGCTGAAACAGGAACAGCATTGAGGCAACAGCAGCTCTGACTCACAAACAGCACATCAAAGCAGCAACGATAAGAAACTGGCAGTAATTGTGCGTGTGAGCAGTGTTTTCCTGATGCTCTTTGAGGCTTGGGGGCCCCTCTGGGCAGCCTGATTGTGGAAAGAAGCATGTGGTTTTCAAAAATTGGGTGACTCACCACACAGGCAGTGTTCAGAAACAAAAACAAAGTCCTGTCTGCTTTGGTTCTCAGAGCCCAGGGCTTTGGGTCACTGCACATTTCAGGACATCAGTGAGCTGAGATTCATCTATTCATTCATCCAACCATCCATACATTTGACCATCCATTTATGCATCCATCCATCCATCCATCCATCCATCCATCCATCCATCCATGCATCTGTCCGTCCACCCACCCATCCAGGCATGCATGCATGCAGGCATCCATCCATCCATCCATCCATCCATCCATCCATCCATCCATCCATCCGTCCGTCCATTCATCCATTCATCCTTCTATCTATGTATGCATCTTTCCATTCATCCATGCATCTATCCACCCATCCGTCCAACCATTCATCTATTTGTTCCACAGATACTATGAGCACATATTTGGTATAGGCCCTGTGCTAGGCACAGAAGATGTAGTGGTGACCAAGATAGACTCTGAACTCAGTCCCTACCTTCATGGGTCTTATAGTCTATTGACAGAGAGAAGTATTGACCAAATAATTACATTGGCAATTAAATCACTACTGTGAAAAGCGCTGTGAAGGGAAATACTGAGGTGTGTAATAGGAGAAAGTGACCTAGTCTGGGAAGATGGTCAATGAAAGCAGGAACTTACGCTAAAAGATAGATAAGATTGATAACTCTACAATCAGCCTTTCAGCACCACCTCCTCCACCATTAGGGATAATAAAGAGGTAAAATTCAACATTTTTCAATCTCTCTGTCTTCATACAAACACCATGAGGAGTTAATGACACAATCATGCTTTTTTTGAGTCTCAGAGACCTGGGTTCAAATCCCATATTCTGAACTTACTACTGCTGTGACTTTGAATAAATTACTTAACCTTTCTGATTCTCAGTGTCTTCCACCATAAAGTGAGGATAATTATAATGGCCTTCAAAAGATAGTTTAGAATATAGGTTGAAATAATTTCTGTCAACTTCCTAGCCTATAGTAGATCCTTAATAACTGTGGCCAGGTTCTTAATCTGCTGTCACTGGTACGCAATTGTATGCATATCTCATGTGAGTTTGTTCTCCAGGGATGATCAGAGCACCATGCCTATTGTCTGAAGTGGCCGGCTGAGTTCTAGAACATAGCCATCTTTAATGCGAGTCTGAATTAGATGATCTCTAAAGTTCCTTACTATCCCAGCTTCTAGAATCCCAAAAATTCTTCATGAAAAAAAGCAAAACCATAGGCCAGGAGTAAGATGCCATGGAATCTCTTTTGCCCCTCTGAGCCTCAGTTTCCCTGTATCTCCAATGGTAGAGTTGGAACTAAGAGTATTTGTGGTCTGACAGTCTGGGATTTTGTGATCTGCAGGAGGCAAGAGGTCCTCGGCAGAGCTGGTGCCTGATCAAATCACGACATCCATAGAGTTTTACTTCTGCCCCTGTCCTTCCCCTGCTCTTTCTGCCAGCTGGCTCCAGGTGCCAGGGCTCTCACCTGCCCAGGTTCCTTCAGACAGAGCATGAAACAGCATCAACCAACAGCTTAGTTTATTCACACTGTGATCCATGAGCCTTAATATGTTTTCCCCCTTCAGAAAAATATACCTTTGGAAAGATGAACCTGGAGAGGATAATGCTTGACTCTCCTAGGTCTATCAATAATGGAGGAACTCCAGGCCTTGTAGGAGAAATGTACGGCTTCATCTCATTTCACACTCAAGGGGGAGCTCTTTATTCTGTGTATGGTCAGGATGTCCTTGCTGGGGATGGGAGCAGATCGGGAGGGAGGGGCTTGAGGTTGGAGCGGACAGGTGTTGAAGGATATCCTTCCTTGTGAAGCTCTTTTGGATGAGAGAGAGAGCAGTGCTGGTTGAGGTTCATGTCTCTCTGTTTCATGGTCTGGCTCCCAGGGACCAGCCAGTGTGGACCAGGACCCGGGGCATCTTGTCCTACATTTCCTCTCAGCCTGAGCCCTCCACAAGAGTTCTCTGGACAAGCCTTGCTTATGAGTGCCCCTGAGAGCTTCCTTTGGTGTGGCCAATGTCCCTTCTACAACCTTATTAGAGCGATGCATGGAGCAGAGTTAAATAAACAGAAATCTCTTAAGCATTTGACTACAGACTCAACTTCCCTTGTCAAATAGCCTGGGCTTTATCATTTTGGTTATTTTGGGAGTGAGGTGGGGTGGGTAGTCTTTCTTGTTTTTAGGAAATGGTATATAGAAGGCATATACAGAAGTGGTATGCAAATTCCACATCCCCTGCCCATGCAGAGGTTAGAAATTGAGCCCATCACTACTAATATTAATTTCCTATAGCCCCAGGCTTATGAGAGATTTTTTAGGAAAATGAGAAGAGAAGCCATGGACCACAATCCCGAGGAGATACATCAGGGAGTTGGAAGAACACATTAGTTGTCCCTAAGTTTGATGGGGCCCAGCCGGGCTGTCCATTCTGCTGAAGTGGCATGGCTTTTCCTGATTTCTCTCACCTGATAATTAGTTGTGACTGGTTAAGCAGCTGGTTAGGACAACTTCAGCCTTTAGCTCTTTGAGATATCCAAGGATAATATTATTTCTAATGTTCTCCTTCTTCCTACTGGCATTAGGTGATAGTGAGGTAACTTGGTTATCTGTTGCTAGTTAGGAATCAGAGCAAGAATTTAGGAAGGAAGTATATGTGCCTTCAAAGCAGCATCAGCATCTTTTGTAGATCTTCCCAACTTGAAATCTAATAAGCTCCAAATCTCGAACTGTTTCCCATTTATAATTTTTTTTTCTCAATAGCTGGCTTTGGAGGCTGGAGTCAGGCTGGGGTTAGCTACGGAGCAGTTGGAGAGAGAAGGCTCTGAAGCAAACTAGAGGGGAAAACATGCCAGGTGGTCAGTACCAGAGTGAGGAGGGAGAGCTGCCAAGACCTGGGAGATGGCTCCAGCAGGCAGTGAGCTGAGGCAGAGCTGGAGGCAGATTGGGCACAGCCCAGAGTGTCTGAGGGGGCACCAGTACCAGGGAAGGGGATTTTTGGGCTCCGGACTCTGCCCAGCCCTCCTGCCCATATTCTTCCCTGGTGCCCCTGGGGCTTCTCCCACTTTCATTCCATTGCTGCTTGTAAGAAGACAGATGTTGATGATCTTCATGTCTCTGGGGCTGTCAGTTCCCCTGGCCTAAGCCAGCTGTTCCATTGCAGAGCCGAGGCCCCAAAGGGTCTTTTACCCGCCATTCTCGCTGATTTGTTTAAAGTGTCCTTCTTATTAATTTTTAAAACTGTTGTAAAAGTTTTGAGGCCTGGCATGGTGACTCATGCCTGTAATCCCAGCACTTTGCAAGGCCAAGGTGGGAAGATCGCTTGAAGCCAGGAGTTCGAGACCAGCTCCACCATGAGTCAGAGACCAGCCTGGCCAGGAGTCAGAGACATAGAGAGACCCCCGTCTCTACAAAAAAATGTAAGAACTTAACCAGGCGTGGTGGTGCACACCTGTAGTCCCAGCTACTTGGGAGGCTGAGGCGGAAGGATCAGTTGAACCCAGGAGTTTGAGGTTGTAGTGAGCTATGATTGCACCGCTGCACTCCAGCCTGGGTGACAAAGCAAGACTCTATCTCTCAATAAATAAACAAATAAAAGAAAAAATAAAACGAAAGTTTTAATTTATTTTTTGAGTCACATGTGTTGAACTTATTTATTCAGTGAAATTTAACCTTTCAGAGTGTACAATGCATTCAGTTTTGACAATGTGTAGTATCCTATAACCACTTATAACAGAGAACATTTACAGGATCCCCCAAAGTTCTCTCCTGTCCCTTTAGAGCCAGCCCCCTCCCCAGCTCTCTAGTTCCTGCCACCACTAATGTGATCGTTGTCACTATCATTTTGCCTTACCTAGAATATCTTGTAAATGAAATCATTCAGTATGCAGCCTTTGAGTCTGGCTTCTTTCACTTAGCATAATGCTTTTGAGGCTCATCCATGTTGCCTGGGAAAGAATAAGACATCCAGTCAATCCCACTTCAAAATCATGAAATGGCAGAGTGGTGGTGCCCTGAATTAAAGGATGCTGGTCAAATAACACCTACCTGCTATAAGAACATTCTAGACTACAATGCTATGAATGATAGAATAAAGGGTTGTTTCCAGTTTTCAAGTGTAGGGTTGGGTATGATTAACTTCTTTGTTAATCCCTTAAGATTTAGGGATAACTTCATAGAAATAGGTCTTCCCTCAATCTAATTTTTAGTCTTTTGGTTTTGTTATTTATTTATTTAGAGACAGGGTCTCACTTTGTCTCCAGGCTGGAATGTAGTGGCACAATCTCCACTCACTGCAGCCTTGAACTCCATGGCCCAAGGGATCCTCCCATCTCAGCGTCCCCAAGTAGCTGGGACTATAGGCATGCACCACCATGCCTGGCTAATTTTCGTATTTTTTGTAGAGAGGGGGATTTCACCATGTTACCCAGGTTGATCTTGAACTCCTGAGTTCAAGCAATCCTCTCAGCTTGACCTCCCAAAGTGCTGGGATTACAGGCATGACCCACCGTGCCCGGCCCTGGTTTTGTTTTAATTCAACAAGTAATACAAATTTATTTAGAATAATTAGAAAGGGAAAAATCACCAATAACTCCATTATCCCAAGATATCACCACTATTGACATTTTTGAGTTCTAGGTTTTTCTTTTTCTGTTTGTATACATGTGTTTGTATGTTTTATATACATATATATGTGTGTGTGTTTATATACGTATTTCTTTCAGCTTTTTTACTGTGGTAATATACACATAACATTCTGACCATTGTTAAGCGTACCATTCAGTGGTATTAAATACATTGATGCTGTTGTGCAGCCATCACCATCATCTATCTCCAGAACTCTTTTCATCTTGCAAAACTGAAACTCTGTATCCATTAAACATTACCTCCCCGCAGCACCTGAAAACCACCATTCTACTTTCTGTCTCTATGATTTTGACTACCCTAAGTACGTCCTATAAGTGAAATGATGTAGTATTGGTATTTTAGTGAGTGGCTTATTTCACTTAGCATTATTTCCTTGAGGTTCATCCATTTGTTGCATGTATCAGACTTTCCTTGTTTAAAGGCTGAATATTATTTCATTGTATGTATACACCACATTCTCTTTACCCATTCATCTGTTGATGGACACCTGGATTGCTTCCACCTCTTGGCTACTGTGAGTAATGCTGCTATAAACTTGTGTGTACAGATATTTCTTCAAGATCTGGCTTTCAATTCTTTTGAGTCTATACCCAGAGGGGAATTGTTGGATCATGTGGCATTTCTATTTTTAATTTTTGAAGAGGCACCATATTATTTTACACAGAGGCTGTACCATTTTGCATTCCCACCAACAGTGCACAACTGTTCCAATTTCTCCACATCCTCACCAACACTTGTTATTTTCTGTTGTGTGTTTTGTTTTTATAATAGCACTCCTAATGGGTGCGAGGTGATATCTCATTGTGGTTTTGACTTGTATTTCTGTAATGGCTAGTGATGTCGAACTAATGGCTTATTGGCTATTCATATGTCTTCTTTGGAGAAATGTCTTGTTGAGTCCTTTGCCCATTTTTGAATCAGGTTCTTTGTTTTTGTTGCTGAGTTTTAGGAATTCTCTATGTATTCTAGATATTAATCCCTTATCAGATATGTGATTTGCTTAGAGTTTCTCTCATTCCAGGGGTTGCCTTTTTACTCTGTTGATAGTGTCCTTTGATGCCCAAAAGGTTTTAATTTTTATGACGCCCAAATTAACTATTTTTTCTTTTGTAGCTTGTGCCTTTGGTGTCATATCCAAGAAAGCATTGCCAAATCTAATGTCACAAAACTTTTGCCCCATGTTTTCTTCTAAGAGCTTTATAGTTTTTGATCTGTGATATATTTTGAGTTAATTTTGTATCTAATTGGGTAAGGGGCTAACTTTTGTATATAATATGGGTAAGGGGCTAACTTTATTGTCCTGCATGTGGGTATTCAGTTTTCCCAGCACCCTTTGCTGGGAAAGGGTGAATGAAAGAACTCACATTGAATGGCTTTGGAACCCTTGTTGAAAATCATTTGTGAGGATTTATCCCCAGGTTCTCTATTCTAATTCATTGGTCGGTGTGTTTGTGTTTATGCCAGTAACACACTGTTTTGATTACTGTAGCTTTGTAGTAAGTTTAGAAATCAGGAAGTGTGGGTCCTTCAACTTTGTTTTTTTGAAATATTGTTTTTATGCCAGTAACACACTGTTTTGATTGCTGCAGTTTTGTAGTAAATTGTGAAATCAGGAAAGGCGAGTTCTTCAACTTCGTTCTTCTTTTCCAAGATTGTTTTGGCTTTTCAGATTCCATATGAATGTTGAGGTAGATCTTTCTATTTCTGCAAAAAATGTTGGGATTTTAATAATGTATTAGTTCGTTTAGGCTACTGTAACAAAATATAGACTGGGTAGCTTATAAACCACAGAGATTTATTTCCCACAGTTCTGGAGGCTGGGAAGTCCAAGATCATATTCAGTGTCTGATGAGGGCTCACTTTTTGGTTCATAGGTGGCACCTTCTCCCTGTGTTCTCACATGATGGATGGGACAAAGCAGCTGTCTGGAGCCTGCTTTTTAAGGGTACTACTGCCAGTCATGAGGGCTCAGCCTAATCATGACCTAATCACCTTCAAAGTTTCCACCTCCTAATATTATCACATTGGTGATTAGGTTTCAATGTATGAAGTTTGGTGAGACACAAACATTCAGACCATAGTAGATAGGTATTGCATTGAATCTGTAGATCAGTTTGGAGTATTGATGTCTTAACAATACTGTCTTACAATCTTACAATGATATGTCATACATATCACAAATATGATATGTCTTTCCATTTATTTATGTCATCTTTAATTTCCTTCAGCAATGTTTTATAGTTTTCTTTGTACAAGTCTTTCACCTGCTTGGTTAATTCCTAAGTATTTTATTCTTTTTGATGCTATTGTAAATGGAATTGTTTTCTTAATTTCCTTTTCAGATTGTTCATTGTTATTATATAGAAATGCACCTGATTTGTGTGTGTTGACTGTATCCTGCTACTTTGCTAAATTAATTTATTTGTTTTGAAAAGGGTTTTTGGGTGCAATATTTAGGGTTTTCTATATATAAGATCTGCAAACAGATCATTTTACTTCTTTTCCAATTTGGATGCCTTTTATTCCTTTTTCTTGCCTAATACTCTGGCTAGGACTTCCAACACTATGTTAAATAGAAGTGGTGTGAGTGGGCATACTTACCTTGTTCCTTATCCTAGAGGAAAAGCTTTCACCATTGAGTATGTTTGCTATGGATTTTTCATATAGGGCTTTGATTATTTTGAGGTAGTTTACCTCTGTTTCTAGTTTTCAGAGTGTTTTATCATAAAAGGGTGTTGAATTTTGTCAAATGCTTTCTCTGCATCAATTGAGATAATCACGTGTTTTTCCTTGTCATTCTGTTAATGTGGTGTTTTACAGCAATTGATATCTATATGTGGACCATCCTTGCATTACAAGAATGAATCCCACTTGGTCATAATATAAAATCCATATTAGCTACCAAATTTAGTTTGCTAGTATTTTGTTGATGAGTTTTTAAATCAATGCTCATAAGAAATATTGGTCTTATGAACATTTACTTAAAATATATAGTTTTCTTTTCTTGCAGTAACTTTGGCTTTTGTATCAGGGTAATGCTGACCTCATAGGCAGAGAGGAACTGTCCCTTCCTCTTCCATTTTTCAAAAAACTTTGAGAATAATTGGTGTTATGTCTTCTTTCAATGTTTGGCAGAAATCACTAGTGAAGCCATCAAGTCCAAGGATTTTTTTTTTGTTGAATTCTATTATAATTTTTATTACTGGCTCAATCTCCTTAATAGTTATAAGTCTATTGAGATTTTCTATTTCTTTGTGCTCCAATATTGGTAGGTTTTGTATTTGTAAGAATTTGTCAATTTCACCTAGGTTATCTGATTTGTTTGTGTATAATTGTTCATAAAAATCTCTTATAATCTCCTTTAATTCTGTAGAATCAGTAGTAATGTTCCCACTTATGTTTCTGATTTTAATAACTGAATCCCTTTCTCTCTTTTTTTAGTCAATTTAACTAAAGATTTATCAATTTTGTTGATATTATAAAGAACCAACTTTTGGTTTTGTTTATTTTCTCTATTGTTTTTCTACTTTATTTACCTCTGTTCTGATTTCTATTTTCTTCCTTCTGCTAGTTTTGGGTTTAGTTTGTTCTTTTTCTAGTTTCTTAAGTTAAATGGGGGAGGGGCATCCACCATTGCTGAGGCTTGAGTAGGTAAACAAAGTGGCTGGGAAGCTCTAACTGGGTGGAGCCCACCACAGCTCAATGAGGCCCGCCTGCCTCTGTAGACTCCACCTCTGGGGGCAGGGCGTAGCTGAACAAAAGGCAGCGGAAACTTCTGCAGACTTAAGCTGTCCCTGTCTGACAGCTCTGAAGAGAGCAGTGGTTCTCCCAGCACGGTGTTTGAGCTCTAAGAACGGACAGACTGCCTCCTCAAGTGGGTCACTGACCCCCACGTAGCCTAACTGGGAGACACCTCCCAGTAGGGGCCAACTGACACCTCATAGAGCCAGGTGCCCCTATGAGATGAAGCTTCCAGAGGAAGGATTGGGCAGCAATATTTACTGTTCTGCAATATCTGCTGTTCTGCAGCCTCTGCTGGTGATACCCAGGCAAACAGGGTCTGGAGTGGACCTCCAGCAAACTCCAACAGACCTGCAGCTGAGGGACCTGACTGTTAGAACGAAAACTAACAAACAGAAAGGAATAGCATCAACATCAACAAAAAGGACATCTACACCAAAACCCCATCTGTAGGTCACCATCAGAGGCCAAAGGTAGATAAAACCACAACAATGGGGAGAAACCAGAGCAGAAAAGCTGAAAATTCTAAAATGCAGAGCACCTCTTCTCCTCTAAAGGATTGCAGCTCCTCGCCAGCAACAGTACAAAGCTGGATGGAGAATGATTTTGAGGAGTTGACAGAAGTACGTATCAGAAGGTCAGTAATAACAAACTTCTCCGAGCTAAAGGAGGATGTTCAAACCCATCGCAAGGAAACTAAAAACCTTGAAAAAAGATTAGATGAATGGCTAACTAGAATAAACAGTGTAGAGAAGACCATAAAGGAGCTGATGGAGCTGAAAACCATGGCACAAGAACTACGTGACGCATGCACAAGCTTCAGTAGCTGATTCAATCAAGTGGAAGAAAGGGTATCAGTGATTGAAGATCAAATTAATGAAATGAAGTGAGAAGAGAAGTTTAGAGAAAAAAGAGTAAAAAGAAATGAACAAAGCCTCCAAGAATATGGGACTATGTGAAAATACCAAATCTACATTTGATTGGTGTATCTGAAAGTGATGGGGAGAAGGGAACCAAACTGGAAAACACTCTTCAGGATATTATCCAGGAGAACTTCCCCAACCTAGCAAGGCAGGCCAACATTCAAATTCAGGAAATACAGAGAACACCACAAAGATACTCCTTGAGAAGAGCAACCCCAAGATACATAATTGTCAGGTTTACCAAGGTTGAAATGAAGGAAAAAATGTTAAGGGCAGCCAAAGAGAAAGGTTGGGTTAACCGCAAAGGGAAGCCCATCAGACTAACAGTGGAGCTCTTGGCAGAAACTCTACAAGCCAGAAAAGAGTGAGGGCCAATATTCAACATTCTTAAAGAAGAGAATTTTCAACCCAGAATTTCATATCCAGCCAAACTAAGCTTTGTAAGTGAAGGAGAAATAAAATCCTTTACAGACAAGCAAATGCTGAGAGATTTTGTCACCACCAAGCCTCCCTTACAAGAGCTCCTGAAGGAAGCACTAAACATGGAAAGGAACAACCAGTACCAGCCACTGCAAAAACATGCCAAATTGTAAAGACTGTCGATGTAGGAAGAAACTGCATCAACTAATGGGTAAAATAACCAGCTAACATCATAATGACAGGATCAAATTCACACATAACAATATTAACCTTAAATGTAAGTGGACTAAATGCCCCAATTAAAAGACACAGACTGGCAAATGAGATAAAGAGTCAAGACCCATCAGTGTGCTGTATTCAGGAGACCCATCTCATGTGCAGAAACACACATAGGCTCAAAATTAAGAGATGGAGGAAGATCTGCTACGCAAATGGAAAGCAAAATAAATAAATAAATAAATAAAAATAAAAATAAAAAAATAAAAAAAGCAGGGGTTGCAATCCTGGTCTCTGATAAAACAGACTTTAAACCAGCAAAGATCAAAAGAGACAAAGACGGCCACTACATAATGGTAAAGGGATCAATTCAACAAGAAGAGCTAACTATCCTAAATATATATGCACCCAATACAGGAGCACCCAGATTCATAAAGCAAGCCCTTAGAGACCTACAATGAGACTTAGACTCCCACACAATAATAATGGGAGATTTTAACACCCCACTGTCAATATTAGACAGATCAATGAGACAGAAGGTTAACAAGGGTATCCAGGACTTGAACTCAGCTCTGCACCAAGCAGACCTAATAGACATCTGTAGAACTCTCCACCCCAAATCAACAGAATATACACTCTTCTCAGCACCACATCACACTTATTCCAAAATTGACCACATAGTTGGAAGTAAAGCACTCCTCAGCAAACGTAAAAGAACCGAAATCACAACAAACTGTCTCTCAGACCACAGTGCAATCAAAGTAGAACTCACGATTAAGAAACTCACGCAAAACCGCACAACTACATGGAAACTGAACAACCTGCTCCTGAATGACTACTGGGTAAAACGAAATGAAGGCAGAAATAAAGATCTTCTTTGAAACCAATGAGAGCAAAGACACAACATACCAGAATCTCTGGGACACATTTAAAGCAGTGTGTAGAGGCAAATTTATAGCACTAAATGCCCACAAGAGAAAGCAGGAAAGATCTAAAATTGATACCCTAACATCACAATGAAAAGAACTAGAGAATCAAGAGCAAACAAATTCAAAACCTAGCAGAAGGCAAGAAGTAACTAAGATCAGAACAGAACTGTAGGAGATAGAGACACAAAAAACCCTTAAAAAAATCAATGAATCTAGGAGCTGGTTTTTTGAAAAGATCAACAAAATAGATAATCTGCTAGCAAGACTAATAAAGAAGAAAAGAGGGAAGAATAAAATAGACGCAATAAAAATTGATAAAGGGAATATCACCACCAATCCCACAGAAATACAAACTACCATCAGAGAATACTATAAACACCTCTATCCAAATAAACCAGAAAACCTAGAAGAAATGGATAAATTCCTAGACACATACACCCTCCCAAGACTAAACCGGGAAGACGTTGAATCCTTGAGTGGACCAATAACAGGCTCTGAAATTAAGGCAATGATTAATAGCCTACCACCCAAAAAAAGTCCAGGACCAGACAGAGTCACAGCTGAATTCTATCCAAGGTACAAAGAGGAGCTGGTTCCCTTCCTTCTGAAACTATTCCAGTCAATAGAAAAAGAGGGAATCCTCCCTAACTCATTTAATGAGGCCAGCATCATCCTGATACCAAAGCCTGGCAGAGACACAACAAAAAAAGAGAATTTTAGACCAATATCCCTGATGAACATTTGATGCGAAAATCCTCAATAAAATACTGGCAAACTGAATCCACCATCACATCAAAAAGCTTATCCACCACGATCAAGTTGGCTTCATCCCTGGGATGCAAGGCTGGTTCAACATACGCACATCAATAAACGTAATCCATCACATAAACAGAACCAAAAACAAAAACCACGTGATTATCTCAATAGATGCAGAAAAGGCCTTTGACAAAATTCAACAGCCTTTCATGCTAAAAACTCTCAATAAATTAGGCATTGATGGAATGTATCTCAAAATAATCAGAGCTATTTATGACAAACCCACAGCCAGTATCATACTGAATGGGCAAAAACTGGAAGCATTCCCTTTGAAAACTGGCACAAGACAGGGATGCCCTCTCTCACCACTCCTATTCAACATAGTGTTGGAAGTTCTGGCCAGGTCAATCAGGCAAGAGAAAGAAATAAAGGGTATTCAATTAGGAAAAGAGGAAGTCAAATTGTCCCTGTTTGCAGATGACATGATTGTATATCTAGAAAACCCCATTGTCTCAACCCAAAATCTCCTTAAGCTGATAAGCAACTTCAGCAAAGTCTCAGGATACAAAATCAATGTGTAAAAATCACAAGCATTCCTATACACCAATAACAGACAAACAGAGAGCCAAATCATGAGTGAACTCCCATTCACAATTGCTTCAAAGACAATAAAATACCTAGGAATCCAACTTACAAGGGATGTGAGGGACCTCTTCAAGGAGAACTACAAACCACTGCTCAACGAAATAAAAGAGGACACAAACAAATGGAAGAACATTCCATGCTCATGGATAGGAAGAATCAATATGGTTAAAATGGCCATACCGCCCAAGGTAATTTATAGATTCAGTGTCATCCCCATCACGCTACCAATGACTTTTTCCATAGAATTGGAAAAAACTACTTTAAAGTTCATATGGAACCAAAAAAGAGCATACATAGCCAAGACAATCCTAAGCAAAAAGACCAAAGCTGGAGGCATCACGCTACCTGACTTCAAGCTATACTACAAGGCTACAGTAACCAAAACAGCATGGTACTGGTATGAAAACAGAGATACAGACCAATGGAACAGAACAGAGCCCTCAGAAATAACACCACACATCTACAAGCATCTGATCTTTGACAAACCTGACTAAAACAAGAAATGGATTCCCTATTTAATAAATGGTGCTGGGAAAACTGGCTAGCCATATGTAGAAAGCCGAAAGTGGATCCCTTCCTTACACCTTACACAAAAATTAATTCAAGATGGATTAAAGACTTAAATGTTAGACCTAAAACCATAAAAACCCTAGAAGAAAACCTAGGCAATACCATTCAGGACATAGGCATGGGCAAGGACTTCATGACTAAAACACCAAAAACAATGGCAACAAAAGCCAAAATAGACAAATGGGATCTAATTAAACTAAAGAGCTTCCACACAGCAAAAGAAACTGCCATCAGCATGAACAGGCAACCTACAGAATGGGAGAAAATTTTTGCAATCTACCCATCTGACAAAGGGCTAATATCCAGAATCTACAAAGAACTTAAACAAATTTACAAGAAAAAATCAAACAACCCCATCAACAAGTGGGCAAAGGATATGAACAGACGCTTTTCAAAAGAAGACATTTATGTGGCCAACAGACACATGAAAAAATGCTCATCATCACTTGTCATCAGAGAAATGCAAATCAAAACCACAATGAGATACCATCTCACACCAGTTAGAATGGCGATCATTAAAAAGTCAGGAAACAACAGGTACTGGAGAGGATGAGGAGAAATAGGAACATTTTTACACTGTTGGTGGGAGTGTAAACTTGTTCAACCATTGTGGAAGACAGTGTGACGATTCCTCAAGGATCTAGGACTAGAAATACCATTTGACCCAGCCATCCTATTACTGGGTATATACCCAAAGGGTTATAAATCATGCTACTATAAAGACACATGCACACATATGTTTATTATTGCAGCACTATTCACAATAGCAAGGACTTGGAACCAACCCAAATGTCCATCAATGATAGACTGGATTAAGAAAATGTGGCACATATACACCATGGAATACTATGCAGCCATAAAAAAGGATGAGTTCATGGATGAAGCTGGAAACCATCATTCTGAGCAAACTATCACAAGGACAGAAAACCAAACACTGCATGTTCATAGGTGGGAACTGAACAATGAGAACACTTGGACACAGGGCAGGGAACATCACACACCGGGGCCTGTCGTGGGGTGGAGGGATGGGGAAGGGATAGCATTAGGAGAAATACCTAATGTAAATGACAAGTTAATAGGTGCAGCAAACCAACATGGCACATGTATACATACATAACAAACCTGCACGTTGTGCACATGTACCCTATAATTTGAAGTATGATAAAAATAAAAAAATAAAAATAAAGAACCAACTTTTGGTTTTGTTTATTTTCCTATTATTTTTCTATTTTATTTATCTCTCTTCTGATTTCTATTTTCTTCCTTCTGCTAGTTTTGAATTTAGTATGTTCCTTTTCTAGTTTCTTAAGTTGTAAAGTTAAGTTGTTAATTTGAGATCTTTTGTGTTTTTAATATAAGCCGTTATAGCCATACATTTCCCCCTTAGCATTACCTTTGCTTCTCATAACTTTTGGTATGTTGTGTTTTTGTTTTCATTTGTCTTTAAATATTTTCCAGTTTCCATCGTGATTTCATTTGTGATCTATTGGTTGTTTAAGAGTGTGTCGTTTAATTTTCACAAATTTGTGAATTTCCCACTTTTCCTTTTGTTATTGATTTCTAACTTCATATCATTGTGGTTAGAGAAGATACTTTATATCTTTTAAAATCTATTGACAGTTTGTGGCCTAATATGTGATCTATCCTGAAAAATATCCCATGTGCACTCGAGAGAAATATGCATTTTGTTATTGTTTGGGTAGAGTGTTCTAAGTATGTCTGGTAGATTTTGGTTTATGTTTTGTTCAAGTCCTCTGTTTTTTTTATTTGTCTTCTGCCTCATTCTACTCATTATTGAGAGCGGGGTATTGAAGTCTCCAACAATTATTGTCGAACTGTCTATTTTCCCTTTAATTCTGTTAATTTTTGCTTCATATATTTTGATGGCCTGATATAATGATATAACATTATGTGCATAATTGTTATATCTTCTTGCTGTATTGAATCTTTTTTTTTTTGAGGCGGAGTCTCGCTTTGTCGCCCAGGCTGGAGTGCAGTGGCACTATCTCGGCTCACTGCAAGCTCTGCCTCCTGGGTTCACGCCATTCTCCTGCCTAAGCCTCCTGAGTAGCTGGGACTACAGGCATCCGCCACCATGCCCGGCTAATTTTTTGCATTTTTAATAGAGATGGGGTTTCACCGTGTTAGCCAGGATGGTCTCGATCTCCTCACCTCATGATCCGCCAGCCTTGGCCTCCCAAAGTGCTGGGATTACAGGCATAAGCCACCGCACCCGGCCCCACTGTATTGAATCTTTTTATTAATATGTGTCTGTCTCTGATAAACTTTTTTGAATTCAAGTCTATTTTGTCTAATATTAGTATAACCTCCTCTGTTCTCTTTTGATTTCTGTTTGAGTTACTTTTCTTTTTCTATCCTTTTGCTTTCAATCTATTTGTGTCTGGATCTAAAATCAGTCTCTTATAGACAGCATATTCTTGGAGAATATTTTCTATTCTGCCAATATCTGTATTTTCATTAGTGAGTTTAGTCTATTTACATTTAAAGTAATTATTGATAAGGAGGGGCTTACTTTGGTCATTCTACTATTTTCTAATGCCTTGTTGTGTTTTTTCAGCCCTTATTTTTTGTGTTACTATCTTCTTTTGTGTTTAGATGATTTTTGATGTGAAATGTTTTAATTCACTTTTCTTCTTTGGGGCGTACATTCTATACCTCATTTTTGTGGTTACCACAGGGATTATACTTAACATCCTAAAGTTATAACATTTTAACTTGAATTTATTGGACCTTAACTTCCATAAAACACAAAACATTGTTTCTGTACAGCTCTGTCCCCACCCTTTTCAGTTATTGATATCATGTAGTTATAATTTTATACATTGCATATCCTGAAACATAATCTAGTAATTATTTTTTAATGCACAATTTCTTAAATTATATAAAAAACAAGATGCAGTATTATAAACCAAAATTACAGTTTTTGGCTTTTAGACTAACACTTAAAAAAAATTTTATTGGTCTCTTAAATCATGTAGAAAACAAAAAGTGGAGATACAGACTGTTGTTACAATAATACTAGCTTTTCTAATTGCCAGGGTATTTACCTTTACTGAGATCTTTATTTCTTTATATAGCTGTCGGTTATTGTCTACTGTCTAGTGTCTTTTCATTTAAAGCTGCAGGACATTTTTGGCTTTTTAGCATTTCTTGCAGAGCAGGTTTAGTAGTAACAGATTTCCTCAGCTTTTGTTTAATTTGGAATGTTTTAATGTTTCCCTTACTTTCGAAGGACAGTTTTGCTAGATACAGGATTATTGGTTGACAATCTTTTTTCTTCTAGAACTTTGAATATAAGTCCACTTTCCTCTGGCCTCCAAAGTCTCTGATGAGAAATCCAGTGTTTATCTTGAGGATCTCTTGTATGTGACGAGTTGCTACTCTCTGGTTGCATTCAAAACTTTTTCTTTGTCTTCATCTTTTGTCAGTTTGATTATGATGCATCTCGGTGTGGGTCTCTGAGTTCATCCTACTTGGAGTTTGTTAAGCTTCTTGGATGTTTATATTCATGACTTTCATCAAACTTGGGATGTTTTTGGACATTATTTCTTCATATAATCTATCTTCCCTTTTCTCTCTTCCTCTGGACTGCATCAGTGTGTATGCTGATCTGCTTGATGGTGTCTCACAGGAACCTTAGACTATGTTCACTTTTCTTCAATTTTTTTTCCCTTCTATTTCAGTTGTGCTATGTCCAAGTTTACTAATTATTTCTTCTGCCACTCAAATATCTCTTTGAATCACCTAGTAAATTTTTTATTTCAGTTATTGCACTTTTCAGTTCTAGAATTTCTTTTTGGTGTCTTTATAAATTTTTCTTTCTCTTTATTAATATTTCCATTTTGTTCATACACTATTTTCTCCACTTTCTGCATATCTTCCTTTAGTTATTTGGACATCTTTAAGAAAGTTTTAAAATAAGTTTCTATTTAGTAGGTCTGCTATCTGGTCTGGCCTTTCTCAGTGACAGTTTCTGTTAATTTACTTTTCCCTTTAAATTGGCTACACTTTCTTATTTCTCTGTATGCTTTGTGATTTTGTCATTGTTGAAAATTGGACATTTTAATTCAATAATGTAATAACTGTAGAAATCAAATTTTCCCCCTTTCCCAGTTTTTTCTGGTTTTCTGTTTTTTATTTTTTCATTGTTGTAGGCTATCTCCGTGCTGAGGATTGGCCTGGGGTGTAAACTTAAAGTCTTCTTATTTTCTGAGCTACAACTTTCTCTGTGTATGTGCAGTTACTTTCCACTTTCCCCCTTTAATGCAGTTGCTTTAGATGTCCTAGTCTTTACTATCTGGCTCCCAAAAAGGAGGAAGATAATTAAAAGGGGAGAAATGCACCAGCCCTTTAATTACTCTGGAAATTGCTTCAGCCTGGGTTGGAGGGGCTTGCAGCAACAAGGGGAGGTGCAACAATAATGGCTGCATGCCTCTGTGTCTGCACCTCCATGATCAGAAGCATCAGTCAATGATCAGAGCACAGATCCCCATATTTGGAAGACAAGGTCCTTTTTGCTCATGCTGGTTTCAATAAGCTATGATCAAGCAGCTTCAGGGACATGTGCACAACTGACTGCCATTGGGATTAGGATGGGGACTGGGTAGTTGCTTCGGAGGTAAGACCTGAAATTGACCAAAATTAACTGCAATTTACCATCTAAGCCTTCCCCTGGAAGTTGCAAGGCTTCAATAGACTCCAGAGTTTCAAAAGAGTTGTATCAGACAAATTCTGGCAGTTCAATTGTTATCTAGATGAGGAAAAAGATTCCTGGTTCTTCCTACTCTGTCACTTTTCCAGAATTCTATATATATATATATATCTAAAAACAGGATTATATACACTGTTTTTAACTTCTTTCAATCTAATCAAGTCAACAGTTGTTCATGTCTACAATTCTTTATGACTGAGTGATTTTTCATTGTATGACCACACAGTGATTTATTGAACTAGTTCCCTATTATTGGACATTTTAGCTTATTTCTAGTTTTTCACCACTATATACCACACACAGAGTTATACATATCTTTGCTCACTTGTCTGATTATTTCACTAGGAAAGAGGAAGTTAAGATTTTGAGGTGTAATTGGAATATTTAGGGGACAGAAAGTACATTAGGGAGGTAGAACTTTCTAGATATCAAGAACAGCTTGAGCAAAGACCTACAGGGGTACAAGTGCATCTCACATTCAGAAACTGTGCAACTGCAAAAATATCCATGCTTTGCTTTCTTTCAAAGTGTCTCCTGACCACTCCAGCCCTCAGTGAAATATCCATACTCTCAGATGTCCTGGGCCATGCTGTTCAGGGCTCTTCCTCATTGGCCAACGGACTTCCCCACAATCCTAGGCTACACCCTATGCAACTGGCAACACACAGACCAATTCTTCTAGGAACCGAGGTGGCCATAAAAGGCTGGGACATATTTTAAGGACATTCACTTTATGTCTTAAAATAGTGCCCAGTCAAAAGGAAAAATTCCATGTGTGTCTAATTCACTTGTGCAAGAAAACAAAATGGCGGGAGGGTGTCCCCACCCCCCTCCCCCGCCCTGCAACTGCATGTCTTTCTTTTTAACTTAAGAAGGGCTATTTGATGTCCCAGAAACACTTTGAGGCTTTTTATTGCCCTTGTAAACTTAACAATAAGAGTCTAAGAGGTAGAAGTTGTTGGCAGTTCTGGGTGAAAAACCCAAGAACAAAGAAAAAAAATTCTGGTTAGATGGAGGCTGAGAATCTCAGAATTTTGGAAGTGCTTCAGGCCGGGGTTCCAGTTTCAGGTTTTCTGGGAGGGGACACGTGGCAAAGTAGAGGTCTCTGTGCTGTGACATAGAGAGTGCCATACCAACATGTGTTTCCCCATGATGCTAGAAACTCCCCATTGTAACCGTAGGTGAAGATCAATAAAAGGTCTCCTATCCCTTCCCCCTGCTGGTACATGGAACTGTGCTAGGACACACAGGAAACTACACCAGTGGTTCTCAGCCAGGAGTGATTTTGCCCCGTAGGAGACATTTGGCAAAGTCTAGAGGCATTTTTGGTTGTCACAACTGGAGGAGGTGGTGCTCATGGCATCTAAGTGGGTCGAGGCCAGGGATGCCGCTAGGCATCCTACAGTGCACAGGACAATCTCCAACAAAGAAATATCCAGCCCCAAATGTCAGCAGTGCCGAGGTTGAGAATTTGGAATATCTCCAAGAGCATACGTTTTACTCCATGGTAAATAATTTAAAACAGCATTTGAAATTAAAATAAGTACATCTATTAAGGTGCAGTGAGGCAGAATAGGAATTTTTCTTCCCTTTCAAACCCTACTATCTCTCCACCAGCAACCCTTCACCCCCCTGCCCCACCATACCCTCTTTCCCCGCAAACTCATATTCCTTCTTTCTGGAGGTTAAGACTCATTAAAACCTCATTCTGAGTCTAGCAGAGCTGACATCAGGAAGGAGGCCATTTGTAATATGTCTCATGGCAGGCCTAAGGGCTCGCTGGAGGTGAGCCAGGAGGCTCTTCCTAGAAAGGCCGAGAAACAGAATGGCTGAGCCAGGTTGAAGGCCAGGAAGAGGGGAGCACTGCCTGTTTGAGTGTGTGGGGGCGATGTGGTCCAAGAGAGGTGAAGGAGTGAACAGGGAGGGTATCTTTGATGAGCTGGCAGCAGGTGGGCTCGAGGGGAGAATCAGGGAAGCCCAAGGTCCCTGTGGGAGCAGCTGAATGGGCCGACCACAGAGCTGATGTGCTCCTGATCTTCCAGCCCTCGTATCACAGTCCATACTCGAGGGGAATGCTGCAGGCCGGCAGTGAGAGACTTGAGCCCAATTAAAGGACAATGTGCTCTGCCCATCATTTGAGAGTCCATGTGTTATTGTCCTGTTAATAGAAGACTTTTTTCAAAAGAACAGGGAATAACCATCTTACCCTTCTGATGTTAAGAGTATAATAAGCGGTTATCATGGAATACCAAGTTACTATGAATTTTAAAGAAAAAAAAAACCCACAAGCGATTTTAAATAAATGTCAAGCTGTGGATTTGGCCCCAAGCCCCCGGGGAGCAGGAAGTGACTCTTCTATGTCCTCAGGGGAAGTTGTGGAGGTCGGAGGTGCCTGGGTAAGTCACAGGGTTTGGGTCAGATGTTGGCTCTCCCGAGGTGGGGAGTGGCAGCAGGGCAGGAGACGATGGGCTGTTAGTAGCCAGTCTCTTCCTGGGCTGGATCTGGTAAAATGAATTAGTCAAGTGGTTACCATTTCCCTGGAGGAAATCAGAGCCAGGACCAAAAGGGTCTTTTTTCATAAAAATGTAAATAAGCAAGGAGGTGTGGCCCTCCCATCCTCTCTGTTACATGCACTGAGACGTGGGACAGCCTTTCCCGGAGACCACCTCCTTCTTCCCAGGCTCAGCGCAGCTTCTTCCCAGGCTCTCCCATAGAGGAATTTCTCCCACAGAGCACTGTCCCCAAAACTGTGTGCTTCCAAGTGGCTGTGTCAAGCTCTGCTTCTTTCAGGGAATCTGACCTCATACAGGCCCTGAAGGGGCAGGTTTGGGACCATGCAGGTGTCTCAGGGGCACTGAGTGTGTGAGGGGATGGAGCTGACAGGAGAAGAAGAAAACTGACTGGGGGTTGCAGGGAAGAGGAGAGAGCCCCTGCATCTTCATGGTCCTAACTCTTTTAGGGCTTGGGGAGCTGGAACATCACACCGGCTGCTCATATGGAACCCCAAAAGGATGGGCTTGAGTTCTGATCCTGCCCCGGTGACTCACAAATAATCCACACTTTCTCTCTAGACCCCAGCTTTCACATTTTACAAACCAGGACACATAACTGCTGCAGGACTGGGATTATTTGGGAGAGTTATCCTGACAGGGCCAGTTCCCCCATACCGACCTCAGGGACAGCTTCAAGGTAGACTCTGTGGGCTCCCAGCCATTTTGCCTGGGACAGTGGTCTCCCTGCATTGGAGAGCCAGGGGTGAGTCTGGTAAAATGAATGGAGAGGCTGTGTGTCAGGGAAGAGCAAGCCCTGTGGGTTACTGATATGGTATATAAGGAACGGAAGTGAGGGGGAAGACAAGGAAATCTAACTCGGTAGATGAAAGTGAGAGTGGTAATACAGAGGTTCTGGTTAAAAAAAATACAGATCTGCACTGCTGGAATGCTAAGAATTATTCCATAAGTAACCTGGGAAAGCTGTGGACATGAGAGGGAGATGGGAACACAGAGAATCAGCCAGGCCAAGTGGGATGAAAGGGGCAACTCAGAGAGTAACCCTTCCTACCGTTCCCCAGCTGGTTACTTTGATGCCTGGGGACTTTGATGCCTTAAGTTGGTCTGCCTTGCCAGGCTCCACTCTCTGCTCTCAACCTCTCCTTGCTATTCTATTGAACTCTCCTAGTTAAATACACTCTTATGCTGCACCCCCTGCTCAAGAGCCATCAGTGGCTCCCTATGACTCTTCTCATCACTTTCAAATACTTCTCTGTGGCTTTCTAGCCCAATTGTTAATTCAACAAGTATGTATCCATTTTTAATTACATATTGAAATTGAAAATCTATTACACCAAGCTGAACATGATTAAATAATGGTGCAAAAGTATGAACAATGCATAGTGAATCTAACTCAGACCCTCAAATCCTCCATCTGCAGGGACATCAGAAATATGCTTTACATATCAAATGATATGTGTAAATATTTTTCTTACAAAAATAGGGCATTATATACTTTGCTCTTCCCCTTGATTTTATCACTTATAAATATATCTTTGAGATTACTCCTTGTTAGTACAGTGTTCCATTGTATGAGTGCACCATGGTTTATTTAATCAGACCCCAGCTAAATACTTGGCTTTAAGTCTTTTGTCAAGATAAGCAATACCACTACAGACACCCTTGTACATGCCCCTTTTGCACGTGGGCAATGCACAGTTATATCTGGAGGACAAACTAGAAGCAGAGCGGCTGGATCAAAGGGCACCTGTGTTCTATCACCTGACTGATAGAACAAATCCCCCTGCAGGGCGGGGCAGAACCTCCTCCCTCTACTCTAGTCACCCCGTGTCCTCATCAAACGTTGTGATCTTTGCCAGCCTACTGAATGAAAAATAGCTCTTGTTTTATTTTGCATTTCTTTGATTTTGATGGAGGCTGGGTATTTTTTCATCTGTTTCAAAGTCACCTGTATTCCTTTTTCTGTGAACGGACTGCTTTCAAGCCCTTCGGCCATTTCTCTATGAAGTATGGAACAAATATTTATTGATATCCAGTTACATGCCAGATAAGTCAGAGATGATCCCTGCCCACCCTCCATAATTGGACTTCATTCTCCCTTATTAACCGTTAGCCGTTACCTGCCCTCCCCAAAGCGTGACTCTAATCAGGTCCCTTGGGAGTTTCACAGACTCGCTTGGCCATCTGGAGTCAACAAGGCAAAGGCATTCGTGTGTGTGTGTGAACACGAGAGATGAGAATATCTCCCTTTTGTATTATCATCCTTCAATATCTACTATAACTAATTACGAAAGTAATGCATCTTCTTGGTAGAATGTATAGATGCTATAGAACAGTATAAATGAGAAAAATTTTTAAATCCCATGTGATTCCAGTCACACTGCAATAAACATCTCTGAGCCACTTCCTTCAATGTTGTTCTCTGCATATTTGTGTCCTTTTATAAAACTGGCATCATACTATACATACAGTTTGGTTTTTAAAATCTTTTTTGACTTAATACTATGTCATTGTAAATTCTAAAATTATTCAAAAGCCTCTTTTTATTTTTCTATTCTTATATTTTTAAAATTTTTAAAATTTCCATAGGTTATTTGGGGAACAGATGGTGTTTAGTTATGTGAGTAGACATGAGTAGGTTCCTTTTTTTGTTTGTTTGTTTTTTTGAGATGGAGTCTCACTTTGTCACCCAGGCTGGAGTGCAGTGGCGCGATCTCGACTCACTGCAACCTCTGCCTCCCGGGTTCAAGTGATTCTCCTGCCCCAGCCTTCCGAGTAGCTGGGACTACAGGCGTCCGCCAGCACGCCCGGCTAATTTTTTGTATTTTTAGTAGAGATGGGGTTTCATCGTGTTAGCCAGGATGGTCTCAATCTCCTGACCTCGTGATCTGCCCGCTTCAGCCTCTCAAAGTGCTGGGATTACAGGTGTGAGCCACCTCGCCCGGCATGCCCGGCTAATCTTTTGTATTTTTTTCAGTAGAGATGGGGTTTCACCGTATTAACCAGGATGGTCTCGACTCCTGACCTCGTGATCCACCTGCCTCGGCCTCCCAAAGCGCTGGGATTACAGGCGTGAGCCACCATGCCTGGCCACATGAGTAGGTTATTAGTGGTGATTTGTGAAATTTTGGTGCAGCCATCACCCCAGCAGTATATACTGCACCCTATTTGTAGTCTTTCATCCCTCACCCTCTTCCTACTCTTTCCCCCTGAGTTCCCAAAGTCCATCATGTCATTCTTATGCCTTTGCTTCCTCATAGCTTAGCTCCCACTTATAAGTGAGAACATACGATGCAAAAACCTCATTTTTATTGGCCAACAAATTCTTTCACAGGTATGTTCCAAAATTTATTTAATCAACCCCTTTGTTCCTGTATCTTGTTTATTCTCTCCCTTCCCTCTCTCATTCCTCCTTTCCTTCCACTTCCTACACAAATACATGCTTATATCTCCATTTCCTTCATGTGGATTTCTAGGAAGGTATTTAACAGATCAAAGGGTGTAACATTTTTATGGCTGTTGATTTGTTGGCTTGGCTAGTTCAAAACATATTCCACCTCCTCTTAGGATGTCTAGATATTAGACAGCTAACAACTGAGACCTCCCTCCAGCATGGATTCTAGATATGATTTAGGCTCCGCTAATGAGATGAACTTTTGCAAGTGTGAGTCAAAGCTAGTGATTCAGGGGAATGGCAGGGGGGTGGGGCCCCCATTTTGCTAGCACAGATCAGAACTGAGGGGCATGGCTCTGGAGCCAAGAGTTATGGTGATCATTCGTATTCTGGAACTTTGTGATCAAGGCAGAGGCAGCAGTTCTGTTGGCAGCCAGGCCGGCATTGTGTTTTTGGAACTCATTCCTGGAAGCCCAGCCTAGGATGCATTACTTCTACCTCCCAATGAGTCTGCAAGCTATCTAGTCTCCTAATAAATCTCTTTCTGCTAAAAGTAGCTGAGTGTATTCTGTTGTGTACAACTAAGATCACTGAAGTCCCTGTTTGTCAAAATGTCCTCCAGGAAGGTTGGACCAATGTAGAGTTCCACTAAGTGTGAGAAGATGAGAAGCTGAGAGCATTTCAGGGGAAGCTGATACTCTCTTCCAGGGATGGGTAGTGTATTAGTCAGTGTTCTCCAGAGGGACAGAACTCATAGGATGTGTGTGTGTGTGTGTGTGTGTGTGTGTGTGTATGTATACACACACAGATATATATATACACACACGCTCACACACATATATAAACATGGGAGTTTCTTAAGTATTAACTTTCACGATCACAGGGTCCCACAATAGGCTGTCTGCAAGCTTGAAGAGCAAGGAGAGCCAGTGCCAGTCTCAAAACTAAAGAACTTGGAGTCCAATGTTCGAGGGCAGGAAGCACCCAGCATGGGAGAAAGATGTAGGCTGGGAGGCTAGGCCAGTCTCATCTCTCTCATGTTTTTCTGCCTGCTTTATATTCGCTGGAAGTTGATTAGATCATGCCCACCAAATTTAGGGGGGATCTGCCTTCCCCACCACTGACTCAAATGTTAATCTCTTTTGGCAATACCCACACAGACACACCCAGGATTCATACTTTCTATCCGTCAATCCAGTCAAGTTGACACTCAGTATTAACCATCATAGGCAGTCAGGGGTTTTCTTAAAAAAGTGACATTAGAACTGTGATCCTGGCCTAGGTGGTCAGTGTGGGTGCTTGGTTTTTGAGCACTTACCGTGTGCCAAACCCTTTACATACATCAATCTTATCACCCTTGCTACCACTCTATGAGAGATGCAATATTATCCTCATTTCACAGAAGCCAAAACTGGGCTCAGAGAGGTCATTTGACTTGCTCAAGGGCACAGAGCTAATTCACAGAGAAGCTGGGACACCAATTCAAGTTAGATGGATCCCAAAGTCGACGCTAGCCTCGTGGCCGTGGACTACCTTGGCTAATGGCCAATGGATCTACCTCCCATCCTCAGGGTTTATTTGGCTTTCCGCAGGCACTGGCGACTGCCCCTGGCTGCCTCTCTGAATTCATGTCACATCACAACAGCTTGCCTGGCACTTGTTTCCTCAGTTGCTGTTTCCTGGAGCTCCTTCCATCAGGGTGGGTCTTTCTGACCTGCAAGTCCCCTCCATACCTCATAAGCCTTGGGCAGATGCTCAGTGAGTATCCACAGTATGGACGAAAAATGATTCAACAGCTTCCTGCACCCAAACCAGGTCAGACCATCGGGGCTTGAGGAGTATTACAGAGTGGCAGGAGTAATAATAGCTAACATTCTCCAGGCACCCCCAGTGTGTCCAGCCACTATACTGAACACTTCACATAGGTGCTCTCATTCACTCCTCCAAACGACCCTGAGAGATAGGATTGAGGTTTCTGTTTCACAAGTTCAGAGAAGTCAGATAATTTGGCCAGGGTCACACAGCTGGTAAATGCTGAAGTCCAGACACAACCCAGCTCTGTTTGACTCTAGAGCCCAGAGTTAAACATGTGATCATGGGAAAAATGGCAAGTGTGCAGTTGAGAAGGCTCTGGACACTGCCTCAACTCAAAGTTACTCAAGCTTAACATCCCCTGCAAGGGGTGAATGGATGGGCCCCCAGTAGACTGCCCTGAGAAGGACTTGGCACCCTGTCTGTGATTTTCCTGCCCAAAGTGCATGACTTGAATTTAATCATGAAGAAACAGCATCAGACATGGCCCAAGTGAGGGACACTCTACAAAACAGCTGGTCTGCAGTCTTCACAAATGTCAAGGTCATGAAAGACAAAGAAAGATGCAGGAACTCTTCCAGAGTAAAGAGACATGGTGACCAGATGCCAGGCCTGGTCCTGGAAGGGATGGTGGACCAGAAAGGACTCGAGAGGGACAATTGACAAAACGTGAAGGTCACCTGTACACTAGCTCATGTCTTTGTTAAGTCTCCTGAGTTTGTGGATGTGGTTGTATGAGAAAATATCCTTGTTTTTAGGAAATACATGCTGAAGCCATTCAGGTTAAAGGGAATAATCATGATAACAGCAATCATGATGGGTATAAATAGATAGAGATAAGGCAAAAGTGGCAAAATGTTAAATTGGTGAATCTAGGTGAGAAGTATATGAGAGTTTGTTGTCCTATTCTTGTAGTATGTACTTAGGTTGAAAAAATTCAAAATAAAATTTGGAAAAAAAAAACCCTGATCTTTCCTGGAACCAATGTTTTAAGCTACAGGGAAGAGAGTAAGAATGGAGATTCCTACTTACTGGGAACCTGCTATGTGCTGGGCACATACTTAAATATTTAGATGTCTACAGGGCCCCTAAGAAGTAGTGTTGCTTGTGGCCATTTTATAGATGAGGAAACTGATGCTCAGGGACGTGAAGTAACAAGCTTAGGGCACACAGCAGGTAGTGGCCCAGCAGACCTTCATGCCAGAGGCTACCTGATCCCACAATCTCTCCCCTACCTCTGGGTAGAGGAGTAGTGCGGGAAGGATGTTGGGGGGATGATGACCTTGACTTCTGGTCCCAGGCTGGCCACCATGGGCAGTAAAGGACAGAGACCACAGCCAGTGCACACCACTCTGGGGAGATGCCCGGTCCTTCCATACATGTAGCTCCAGGGAGCAGCCCTCTTGTAACCAAGGCTTACTCTGAAAGCAGCTGCCATGTGAAGGAAGGAGCAGTGTCCCCAACCTGGTAGGAGCTCAGAGCAAGTTGCTCAAACTCTCTGGGAGAGACAAAGGCTGGCAACTGGGTCTGCATCTCGGCCCACCTGCCAGGAGGTTGTTGGGGAGGGGGAGAGTTGAAATGTCTGGGTGGTTGCCAAAGAGCCTACTAGGGGACAATTTCTGTTCCCCCACTGCTCTTGGGACCGAGCCCCTCTGTCCTGTCGGGGGGCTCTCCATTCTTCAGGGGCCTTGGGTCCCAGTACTGGGTGCTGCAGGCCCCTGTCGGGGAGCTCAGCCTTCTGAGCTGCATATACCTGCCTGGCGCCCCTCATCATCACCTGCCTGGGTGGGGTGGGGCCATGCAGGTGCCTTTCATAGCAGGCTCTTTGCACGTGGATCACTGACAGGCAAATAGCAGCACTATGCATGGGAGGTGGAAGGTCCTCTTCCTACCCTCAAATTTTCCACCCCTGCCTGTCATAGTGCCTGAAAGGCCTCCATTGGTACCAGGTCTTTTTTTTATTTTTATTTAATTTATTAAGTTTATTAATCTGTACTCAATTTCTTAAAGGCTTTTTTATTTCCTTTTAAGACAGGGTCTCACTCTGACACCCAGGCTAGAGTGCAGTGGAATGATCGCAGCTCACTGCAGCCTCGGCCTCCCAGGCTCGAGTGATCCTCCCACCTCAGCCTTCCAAATAGCTAGGACCACAGGCACACACCACCACACTCAGCTAATTTTATTATTTTTTCTAGAGACTGGGTCTCCCTATGTTCCCAGGCTGGTTTTGAACTCCTGAACTCAGGCGATCCTCCCACCTCAGCCTCCCAAAGTGCTAGGATTATAGGCATGAAACATCGCACCCAGCCTTGGTACCAGGTCTTTTAGTTAAGGCAATGAAGGCTTCTGCTGAGATGAAATACACTGCCCAAGGTGGGGAGGATTCATGGGAGAAGGGCTCCCCAAAGCCTCCTCCTCCCTGTCATCCTCAGCTTCTTTGTCTGTAAAATACAGAGAATCATAACTCACTGGGCTTCTAGGTAGAATTTGACCTTGGTGAATTCCTCTTTCCATCTGCAAAGGGAGGCGGGTTGGATTCACACAGGTTTCTTATGCATTAGAATTGCCTGGGGAGCTTTGAAACTATCACTGCCCAAGCTCCAGCCCAGATCCCTTGAGTGAGATTTTTCTAGGAGTGGGACCCCACATCAAGATGTTTTTGTAAATTGCCAGGTGATTCTAATTTGAAGTCAGACTTGAGCGTTGTGGGAAAATGATTTCTTACATCTCTGAATAAGGACATTTCATGAACCTGCGTGTAGTAAGCCTGCGACAGTTTGGCCCCAATTTATGGTACCCCACTAACTTCCCTGGAATTGGGAAGCCTAGGGAGGAATGGCTTGGTAGGGGTGTGGGAGGCTGGAGCTCCTTGGAAGTACTAGAGAGATGTGTTCAGAGCTCAGGGCGGGGCAGATTCAAGGATGAGGGGCCTGAGGAGCTCACGGACTGTCAGATAGGCAGTCAGGATGGGCTTGGTCCAAGGTCAGGGGTGTTTGCATAGTTCAACGATGTAGAGTTGAACTTTGTATAGTTCAATGTGCCTGGCACATAGTAGAAGCGCAAAAAAACATCTGTTGAAGAAAAGGATGAAGACCCAGGCCCGATATCAATCAGAGGACGATGCACCCTTCAGATGCTCCCTTTTATGGTTGAAGCCCGCTATTTCCCACTGAGGCATCAACTAGTAAAATGACATATTTTATCATCTTAACAATCCTTCAAAGCAAGTATTACTGTCCCCATTTCACAGATGTGCGGACTGAGGCTCAGGAAGTTTAGGTAACTTGCTCAAGGTGGCATGGTTCTGAGAAAGCAGAGCTGAGTTTCACAACCAGGTCTGGGGACCCCAAAGCCCGCCCTAGTGCCTTGGTCCCGCCCTCAGACCATGTCAGGGTAGGAGGGTCCTTGGAGACCAGCGCATGCCTCCTCTCGTTTGGGCACAGAGGGAGCTTAGCTTTGCAAGGTGGCATTGGGACGTACCCAAAGCCCACTGCCAGGGAGTGGCCCAGCCAGGACCACCAGAAAGTCTTTGGACTTCTAGCCCAGTGCTTCCTTGGGAGGCTTTTATTGGGAGGTAGAAGATACTGCACTGATGTTGGGATTTTGGTCCAGGTAGGGCCAGCCTGGGCTCAGCTGTGAATTAGATGAGAGTGTTTTTGGTCATGCACTCCTGCCACTTCTACTTTCCCACATCCTCCTTTTCCCTCAGAGCTCTCACCACCACCACCCCTGATCCCACGCACATCCTGCCTTCATGGTGCATCTGAATCAAAGACCCCTACTATGATGACCAGTGCTCCAACAATCTCTTCCCAAGCTACTGGGGAGAAGCGTCCGCTAAATGAATTCACAGAAAAAAAGCCAACAACTACAACATTATGTAGCAACCTCTATTTAACCAACAGCTCCAGAAGATTGTGGCACCTTACCCTCACAGAATAAAGCCCTGATAGCAGAACTTCGAACACCAGTAGGTTCCTGGAGACAAATGCTGGGATGGAGTCAATGGAGGGGAGATGTGCACTGCAGTCTGAAAAATCATAATATTGTAAAACCTCAAGCCGCCCGTGGCAATCTCTTTCTCCAAACTTAGGTTGGAATGAGCTTAAAGCATTTCCACAGTGGTCACCTGGCTTGGTTACCTCTACTGTCAGGGAGCTCACTACCTCACGAGGCAGTCCATTCTGTCTTGCCAAGCTGCTCACAGCTTCATTGTGTAATAGCTAGCATCGCCTGTTATTTCCCAGTACTCTACTGGTCTATCTGAGGGTGGCTGGCTGGGGTTGACTGTGCTCCAGCTGCAACAGGTGTGCATGTCTCCCTGTGACAGCACAGAGTCAGCCAGGCATCCTTACGCCGGAGCGCAAATATTTGTCGCCTCTCCATGGTGGCGGCAGTCGGCCTACCTTATTTTTCCACGTTGGAAGGATCCTATTATAGCAGGTCTTGTCTCGAGTTACATGTCAGAGTTCTCTGACATCAGGTTGTATTTAAAGGCTCAGCGCCGGGACTGTCCCCTGCCACACCCCACCAGCCTTGGCTGGCTTTATGTCCCCATTGGTTTCTTTTGGTCTCAATTGAGTGTTATGCACCATGAACGGTGGTGACACAGGTCTGTGACCTGGCCCTGCCCTGCAGTGGTACACAGCACTGTTTGGGAGAATATACCTGCAGCAGAGACACCAAACCAAGCAAGAACAAGTGAAGGTCATATAAAGCAACTCTGTAACTATCTTTTCATGGTGTTCAGCACACTCTATACTGGGGCCAATAAAGTTAAATCAAACAGAATTCAGTGCATCAAGATTTGGTATAGGCAATAGGTTCTGGGCTGGGTGGTGTGGCATGGAAGGGCAGATATCATGGGTTTTAAAGAGCAGTTAGAAGTAGTTATGCAAAGAGAAGTAGTTCAGCTGCTGTAACTGAAAGGCCAAAACAACAATGTCTTAAACACAACAGAAGTGTATTGCTCCCCCGATAACAGTATTAATTTAAGCAGTCCAGGGCTCCTACGGCAGTTTCATGGTTTTGGAGACCCAGGCCCCATCCACCTTGTTGCTCTGCCATTCTCAATCAACAACCTTCACCATACGGTTCAAAACGGCTGCTCTAGAGCCTGCCATCTCATCACTATTCTAACCTACAGGAAGAGGAAAAGTAGAAATTGAAGAAAAGTCATTCCCATTCAGGACAGGCTGACCCAGAACTGGTACGTGTGACTTCCAAACATATCTCATTGATAGAACTTCTTCTTGCAGCCACTTCTACCTCCACAAGGAGTCTGGGAAATGCAGTCTTAAGTTCTATCACTGAGGGGCATGCATGGGGAGAGTGCATTATCAGGGGTAACCAGCCAACTTTGCCACAGGGAGGAGCCAATCCCAGGCATCCAGAAGACTGGAATGAACTTGGCTTGGGCATGTGGGGATGAGGATCTGAGTCTGCAAGGAACTCGTATAGGGCATCTCAGAGGAAAACCCTAATGGAGAAGTGGTGGACTCAGGGTCTTAATTACTAGGCAGGGCTCCAGAGATGATAAGGGGACCTTGCTGAGCATGGAAGTGAACTCACAGAATTCTGCGCCTGAGCTTTGGTTTATAAATAGACCTGCTTCTGGTAGGTTGAAGTCTTTAAAATTGTACTCTCTTCTAAATTAGCCTGGGGGAGAGAGGTCAACAGGGGTTTGCAGCTTTAAAAAACCTTGTTAGTCCTTTTGCAACTCAGAGAGTTCTTTGGTCAAAGAAAGAGTTACTTGTCCATTGATCTTTTTTGTAAATCCCACATCTGGTACACCTTTTTGGGTACAAGATTATACACCTGTGTGATGACTTTTACTGCTGGGAAGGATCTGCTGGGGATATTTGTTATCTCATTTTATCCTTACATCAATGTTATGAGATCAGCGTATGATCCCTGTTTGAAAGACACAGAAACTGAGGCTTAGGGATTTGTCCAAGGTCACCCAACCCCTTTTGCAGTGAAGCTAAGCCTTTTGTCTCTTTCCACTGCAACTCTCAAGAAGCAATTGGCTATCTGTGGCAACATGTCCAAAAATATGGAACGGTAGAACACTAGACCTTCACATGGACCTATGAGAGAAAGAAACAAATCTGTGGTCAAATAAGACTGGGAAATGAGGCATGTTTATCTAACTCCTCTCGGAGATTCACAGAGCACAGGAGAATACTGATGGTTCTGATGAATCCTGCAGGCTTTAAGTCATTGTTGGTTTAAATCATTGTTTAAATGTCTCTCTCTGACAAGGTTCCTCCAGCTGAAAAGGGTAAGAGGTTGACGGCTAGGTGACTCCAGGTAAAGTCTTGGATTGTCTGACCAAGTTGCTTATCATCTCTGTTGGGGTTTTGGGGAAAGGATAAACAGCATTTTGGTACTTCTCCCACTTAGTTCAGAACAAATTGGGAGATTGCTGGAGGGGTCATTCAGATGAAGATCAAAATATCAGCACCTCTGACACGTGCTACTCAGACAGGGATGCTCGGGTCCCTGGGAGGATGGACTCAGCACATCTTCTGAGTCAGCTTGGCTTAGCCTTTTCCTCCCTGACGCAGAGCCAACAGGCTGATTGCAGGCCCACCCTCAGAGGCTGGGCCCAGGGCACCTCTCAGCAGGCAAGCAGATCCCCTGGGGGAAACTCAGAGCGGCAGAACTCCTTCACCCAAACTCACCATTCAGGTAAGTTGCTGCTTCTCCCAACATGCTCCCACCCCTGGTTTCCTTACTTGGCACATAGAATTAATGAAACCCATTCTTTCTGTCTACAAAGGTTGTTAGCGGGGTGCCACAAAAGGCAATGGGGAAATACACTGAAAAATATAAACTGTTAAATTACTTTATTCAGGTATCAGTTCTCATACTCTTCTTATAAGGCTGATAGTTATGTTAAATGATTGATTCATTGATTCATTCATTCATTCAACGAAGATCTCATTTGTGAAGCACAACCTAGGTGCTGGTAGACAAAGAACAGCACTTCTGCTCAAGGAGAAAGAAAACGTTGAACTCCTATAGCCCAAGCTCCTGTCTGCAGACGAGGAAGCAAAGTTCAAAACAATCAGGGCCTCCCCCGGCGGCTGGGTTGGCTGGGGCGACAGAGCCACCACTCACCCCCAACTATGTCATGCTCCGTCCCACCTCTGTGCCTTTGCTCACTCTGCCTGACACCTCAAAGGCCCTCTCCACGTCTCTCCCTCCACCCAAATTCTGCCTATTCTTAGAGACTAGCTCCAGACCCGTTTCCCTGATGAGCCATTATATATTTTGGTCCCCCTTTGCTCGGAACTCACTGAGCCCTTACTATCTGCTGTGCTCATCTTAGCACTTGATTTTCTCCAATGGTTTTATGGGGCTATGTGTCATCTCCTCACTTACTGCCCTCTGCCCTGTCTTGGGTGCAGGAGGGGTCAGGGAGGGCTGTTTGCTGATGGCCTGCTGATGGATTTAGCCAGCCAGGGAAGGTGGCAGGCTGACGAGGATCTCATTTTCCCCTCTCGCTGACATGTTCCTAATTCGGCCTTATGAGATTTTTCTGAGATGTCAGCTGTGCTGTTTGGAGCTGGGCTGCAAAAGGCAGTATGTCCAGTGGCAAGGGGAATGGCACGTGGGAAGGGCTTGGCAGAGGGCAGGGGTGTCTGCCGCCTTTCCCAGCCTCCAGCAGGGTCTCGGAATGTTCTGGCCCACTTTGGAGTCTTAAAAGGACATGTTGGGATAAAAAAAACACTTACAGAGATTTTTGGAATGTGGGCCACAGAGAGAACATAATAGAAGGCCAAGGCTAAGGTCCTCCAAGGAGAATCACACGAGACCTGAGGGGGCCTGGGGCCGGGTGCGTGAGGACACATTCTCATGGGATGCCATCTCATAATGAGTGCCAACAGGACAGCTGGCCCCAAAGTGGCATTCCCCAGAAATGACTGCACTGCACTGGGTTTTGTCTCTGTGGCCTGTGACAGACCACTACCCTGTGCCTCAGTTTTCTTGTCTGTAAAAAGGGACAATTGGACTTCATCAGAGGCCACACATTAGTCTCAGGTGCTTTCTTTTTAAATTTGAATTCTTTCTATATTTAAAATGGGAATGTTTTACATTATCATTGTATTTTCTGGCTGTTCTTAAAAAAAAAAAACAAAAACGAATGTCCAGAAATCCTGCGCCTGCTCAGCAATCATCTGTGTGGCAGTCATCCCCCAAGTCCTGGCTTTCCTTTCCCTTGATGTGACCTTGTGTTCCCCTTGGGCATTCAGGCTTGTCCCCAACCCTTGCCCTGGCCACACACTTCCTGGGGTTCCTTCCAGCGTGGGCATCTGTGGTTAGGAGTGGACAGTGGGACGGGAGCTCACTGGGACAAGCAGTGCCTAAGGGCCCGGGCCCTAGGTGCTTAGCACGGCGCCTTCACTACCCACTGAGTGACCCTGGGGAGCCACCTCCCCCGTGCTTTCATTTTCCTCATCTATTAAAAGAGGGAGGTGGTTGAAACCATCAATAAGATCCTTTCAAGCTCTCACTTTTGATTCAGGCAAAAATGCCATTTGCCTGAATGAAATGGAACTGTGATTTCAATGCTGTGGAATGTGGCCGTCCCAGCCCTTGAAAACTTCATGACAGAGAGTGAGAGAGAGAGGAAGGAAAAGAAGGAAAGGGGACCCTAGCTAGTAGTGAGGTCTGAGCAAGTATGTGGCTCAGGCCGACCTGCTGAGACTGCTGGTGGGGTTGAAAGAAGCAACCCAGTCTCCTGGAATTCCTTCCAGGTCAAGGTCTTGGAATGCCTCCAACCCCACCCTTTCCAGAAGCCCAGGGCTCTAGGTTAAAGCTGAGGGTGTACAAATCAAACATTCACAGGGGTGGAGGCACAGCCAAATTTTTGGTGTACTCCGTGCCAATGGAGACTTCCTAATAAGTAGCCAGACTGAGGGAGAGTGTTTGGTCATCACGTGAGCAGGAGGGGCCTGCCCTGGGTGTCAGGAGACTCTGCGGTCACTCCAGCTCTTTCCTAATTGCTATTATTTTATTTATTTGGACTTCAATATTATTGACACCTCAATATTATAAAATAAATATTATTTTATTTATTTGGACCTTATTTATTTCTCATTTGTCAAACGAGCTTGAAGCAAACAAGTAATCGAGTCAACCTGTTCTATCTGACTCCTAAGAGGAAAAACAGGAGAGAACAGAAGCCAAATTCTTGGAAAGAAATGAATGTCCCACCAGGTGGCTTGTGGCGTTTCTTGGGAGAGTCCTCTCTGTGGTTTCTGTATCACATTTTCTCCGGGACAGTCTCACTGGCTCAGTACCATTGGGGGCCTGCCTGGTTCAGCCCCAGCAGACAGAGGGCTCCTTACTAAGCCTTCCAATCAGAGGGGCGCCCGCAAGCAGACAGAGACCTGAAGAAATACACACCACTCAGGGACTCAGCACAACCCACACACTGCTAGCTCTGTGGTCTCCTTAACCTGTACAGCATCCTCCCTGCCTCGGGTACTGAAGAAGGTGGGCAAGATGTCCCCTAGCTGCTGGGGAGGACCCCCAGAATCTTGACAGGCCTTGGGAATAGAGCCCTCTTCTGCAGGCAGTCCTTGGGAAGCTGGACACAGTGAGCTACAGAAGAAGTTTAAAGATCTGTTAGAGGCACAGATGTATCTAAATTCACAGGCAGTACTGTGAAGAGGCCTAGAAGGATGCTGGATTTAGGGGCCTGGCTTTGAAGTCCTGTCCTGATGACAGGGTACTGGTGGCCCATGATTTCATTTTCCTGAAGCCCCAGTTTCTGTACCTGTGTAATGGGGAAACACGCCTGCTGGCCCCCGCACAGCATCGTTGTGAGAAGAGATGGAAGAAGGTAGCTTTCAGGCTGGTTGGATAACTGCTGCCAATGGGAGCATGGAGTTGAGCAGCTGAACTTTTTTTTTTTTTTTTTTCAGACGGTGCCTGTCAGTCTCATTCTTGTTGCCCAGGCTGGAGTGCAATGGTGCAATATCGGCTCACCACAACCTCCGCCTCCCAGGTTTAAGCGATTCTCCTGCCTCAGCCTCCCGAGTAGCTAGGATTACAGGCATGTGCCACCACGCCCAGCTAATTTTTTTTTTTTTTTTTTTTTTTTAGTTGAGATGGGGTTTCTCCAGGTTGGTCAGGCTGGTCTCAAACTCCCGACCTCAGGTGATCAGCCCGCCTCGGCCTCCCAAAGTGCTGGGATTACAGGCGTGAGCCACTGCGTGCCCGGCAGCAGATGAACTTTCAATCGGAGCAATGGTATGATGGAAATGCCTGGGTAGAAAGGGGCTGAGAATGGGGGAGGGAAAGAGAATTGGCTGGATGGAGCCCCTGCCCCATCTCTGTCCCAAGGAGGCTATCAGTAGGGGAAGTAAGAGCCAGGGCTCTGGGCTCTGGAACCAGGCTGGCCTAAGTTTACATCCAAGGTCCCGAGAAGCTACGTGGCCCCAGGCAAGCTGTTGTACCTCTTTCAGCTTTTATTGCCTCTCTGTAAAATGGGGACAATATTCAGACCTCACAGAGTAGTTTGCAAGCTTAACGTGAAAAGGGATAACATATATAAAATGTCTAGTGCAGAGTCAGCACATCATACATGTAGCTGCTGGTATTTTCAACAACGTTTTGCTGTGGCTCACTTCTTCCAAGCAGGTAGTTCTAGGCAGCCCCCAGCCTGAGGATGGGTCCTGGCCCACAGGGAGGATGTGAAATGCTTCCTGGCTGAGGCAAGAATGACTTCAGCATCGGGTTCTGCCCGTGGCTGGAGCTCTGTGCTGCTGCCCTGATGGCTTCCTTGGTGTTGGGGTATCTGTCCTGCCTTGACCCCTGGCCCTGGCATCCCTCATTCCTGACCTAACCTATTCCTTCTTGACTCCTGGGCCTTGCCTCAACCATCCCCTTTTCAGCCTGCCTTGGTGGTGAGTGAGAGGAACTTGGGATCCAAGGCCCTCAATACCCTAGCCTTGAAGGAATCCGTGGAGGCTTACCGGTCTGTATGAAGCCAGTCTAGGGCTCCCCGAGGTGGTGCCTGTCCTATATCCCCTAATTTCCACCCTACAGGCAGAAATGAACTCACAGCTGATTTCTTCCCACCTGAAATTGCTCCTGCAGGCAACCCTAACAGGATCACTTTGAATCCCTGTGAGCTGCTCCTATAGCATCATGACCAAGGGCACAGGTCAGCTCTGAAGCCAGACTGCCTGAGTTTAAAATCCCAAGCCCATGACAATCTAGCTGTGTAACCTTAGGTCAGTGATGAAATTTTTGTGCATCTCATTTTCCCCACCTATAAAGATTTACCACATAGAATTCTCATGTGAATTAAATGAGATAATACAGTTCTTGGCACATAGTACATGCTCAATATATTCATCGTTATTTTCACTCCATTCCTCTGCAAATATCCACCTTAGATTTATGTCCAAATCCCTTCCCACCATCCCATGTTGGTGCTTCTTGGAGGGCGTGGTGCTCCCATGAACTCTCAGTCCTTAGGCCTGAATTTGAAATGTCTGGAGACTGACCTGGAGAGAAAACGAAGGGTCTGAATAATTGAATGGGAGGGATCCACGAAGGCCAGAGAGTGCGCTGGGGCAGCTTGTCTCCTTCTCAACTGCATTCACTCACCTGGATTGAGAAAGCAGAGATGCTGCCAGCTTGGGTAGAATAAGACCTCATCCTAAGGTCCCTCCCTTTGGATACACCACTCTTTCTCTCTGCAAGAAAAGAGAGAGAAAAAAGGTGAATTAAGCACACATCTGAGCCAGGTATGAGCAAGAGGCTGTTTCCGGGACCCCTTCTCCCTCTGACAAGCATCTAAGTTTCTGAGTAAGGAATTGCCCCAAAGACCCCTTTCATGTGCTTAATCCCCTTCCTAACTCAGACCCCGTGTAACCAGAGATACATGTTCATGCATCACCTCTGTCCTCAAGTTTATATCAGTGGCTGCTTCTATCTGGTGAGAAGGTAGAGGGGAGGGGTGGCCTTCTTGTGAGGCTCCATGCCTCACAAGTGCGGCAGTGTGGAGAGGCTGAGCAGGCTCGGCAGGCCAGCAGCACCCTGGGATGGCAGGCCTGGCAGGGCTGGTGCCATGGCAGCTGGCTTCAGGCCCACATCTCCAGTGAAGGCCTCAGAAAGCTTCTGAGCCCACATGAGGTGACTGGACTGGCTGCAAGGAGCTGTGTGAGTAGGAATTGGCCAGGAAAAGTGAACCCCCATTGGGCAAATTCTGGTCCCAGGCCTGGCTGGATCTTGCTGTGGGTGAAAACTGACTCTCTGAGTCTGGGCTGCAGAGAGAGAAAGAGAGATCAGTGAGATGGAGCTTCCCCAAAGGCGTGCATGGCTTCATCACAGCAAATCCTCAGGACGCCCAGGGAGCGCTCACTTCCCTACAGCCTTGTTGACACAGAACATGACATCCTCCTTCTCTTCCTCCCTTTTCATCTTTGCCAAGGCCATATCATTGTTGTTTTACTTTGCGCTTGTTTGGTTTTTCCTGCAGTTGTAAGTATTTTTTCCAGGTTTCTTGGCCACTCCTGTGACTTCTGTGAATTGCTTGCTCATCGAGACTGACCTTTCTGTGCTTGTTTTTGCTTTCTCTTCCCTGGATGAAGTAGTTCCTGGCTGAATGATGACTAAGAATTGGGTGAGAATGTGAGCATCTTACCTTCCAATGAGGTTCCTAAGATGGAAGGAAATGGGCCAGTCAGCCTGAAATTCTGGGAGTACATGAGTCCCTACTCCCTACAGGAAGAGGGGAGGGATAGTTTTCCTTTGAGAGTTTTATTGGGAGATTGAATAACCACTACAAACAAGTATCATTGGCTGAGCCAAATGATTCTGGTGGTTTTTCTGATGCCTAGATTCCACGAAAGATGGGGAATTTGGAGGCCCAACTCAGATACGGCTCAGCTTCTAGACCTGAGCTCGGACCTGCCCTAGAATTAGGGTAGGGAGACTCAGAGTCAGGGAGGCAGAGGAAAAGCAGACTCTCTCTGCTCCTGGAGCAACTGTGACGACCCCTCCACCTGGAGCCTGGCACGCCCCCATCCCAGCTCCAGGCACAGCTGTGGCCCCCTGCACATTTGCTGTCCGTTTACCTTTCCCTTGAAGTTTTCCTGTTTCAGAAACGTGGACCACCACAGCTAGAGAGGTCCTTAAAGGTCTCCCGTAGTCAGGACAGGAGCTGAGCAAAAAGAGAAAAAGTGAGAACTAAGATGAGCTCACATCCATATGAGCACATTAATGCACTTGTGTGAAAAGTTAAATATATGCATGCAGTATATCTAAAAACAAAGTGATTATTATTTTTCTACAAAATATTTCCTTCCTCCAAATTGTCCTACTAGACCTGTTTGTTAAAGAATGGTGATGTGGTGTTGGAGACTCCATGTGTGCATCCTCCCGAAATTAATATGCTGAAATCCTTATCGCACTGTGATGGTAGTGGGAGGCAGGGCCGTTGGGAGATAATTAGGTCATGAGGGCGGGACCCTCAAGAATGGGATTCATGCCCTTGTAAAGGGACCTCAGAGGGCTCTCTAGTTCTCTTTCTGCCATGTGACTGCAGCAGTCTGCAACCTGGAAGAGAGCTGCCATGCCAGAACCCTGCCATGCTAGCAACCTGATCTTGGACATCGGGCCTCCAGCACTGTCCGAAATAAATGTCTGCTGTTTTTATAAGCCACCTATTCTATGGCACTTTGTTACAGCAGCCCAGACTAAGACATAGGGGATGGGAATCTTTTCATCCACCCCTATTTTGCAGAAGGGGAAACTGAGGCCCTGAGCAGGTACACAATTGCCACACACAGCAAGTGGCATTTGATCCTGAATTTTCTGCCTTTGAATTCAGGTCCATTTCTATGATATCTGGCTCCAGTAATTGTACAGCCTGGAGCTGCTTCTTGCCTATAGGAAATATTCTTCAGGATTGAATAAAATAAGTCAGAAAACAGGCTATGTTAGCAAATGCACAGTCAAAGGGGTATTTCCATTTCACTCTGACCTCCTTCAATAGGTCACCATTTTCAACCTGCTGGAAAATTGTCCTTTTTTCCTTTACTTTATGTATTTATATGTATGTGTATATATATATATACATATATATATATATACACATACATATACACACACATATGTGGGTGTGCATGCACATGCACATTTTGTATATGGTATAAATATGAAATTGTATATTTGTATAAAAAGTGTATACATGAAATTATATACACACACACACACACAGATGAAACTTTGGGAATTTCTTTTCAAGCCTTGTATGCAATCACTGCAAAGCTGACACACATCACAGGGAGTAGAGTCAGGCAGAGAGAGAGGGGTTTAAGGGTGTTCCCAGAGCTGGTGTCAGAGTGAAGACTTAAGTACAGTTCTGGAATCTTCCCTTCTCACTGAGATGCCTCAAAAGACTTTTTTTTTTTTTTCCTTAGAAACAGAATGCTAGCTTTCTGACAGGACTACCCACCCGTTCCAGCATATTCTCCCTCAGGTTCTCTCTTTCCACTCTCAAGGTGCTTAGAATCTTCCCAATCTTGATCACTGGACACAGCTTTATCCTTTCAAGGTGCTTTTCCCCTGGATGTCTCATTGGGATGTCACAGTGTTCCTGGGGGCTGGGGACAGGCCCGGGGATGCCACTTCCACAGGGGCTGATACCCTGAGATGTCAGGAACGCTGACAGTCACCTAGCATGTCAAGGTCAGAACTTTAAGACTTCTGACTCCAAAATCAGTGCTCTCTGCCCCTCTCCAGCAGGTGTGTGGGTGGGCGTGGGAGGTGGCTGGGGAGGTGGTGCTGAACTGCAGCACTCAGCAAGCTTCCTTGGAAGGACCATGCAAGGCCGAGCTCCGGGTGATGCCCAGGCGGGGGAGGGATGGGGAATGTGCGGAAGCCCAAGCTCCCCAGCCACTGCAGACAAGCTGGGCGGCCCCTCCAGTAGCGGCCATCCTCCACCCCTCCCTAACTCTGTGGACACATCTGCTGGCTGAACCCAACCTCATCAGAACTGTGGGGGTTTCCGGGGTGATAAATCTTTATTTTCCAGGGTTGTCCTGAATGTGCTACTCTGCTGAACAAAACCATTTCTTCATGGGGTGTTTCTCTTAATTGGCTGGTGGTGCTGCCTGCCCTTGGCAAAATCAGGAGGACAGTTGTCTTTGCAGCCTGCTCACTCCCTTTGGCCCGAGAAGCCCACCCAGTGTCCTCACAGTGCCCCATTTCCCCCACTCCTGGTACCTTGTATCAGGCTTTAGGACCCCCACCCCGGCCAATGCAGCCACTCTCAACATCTCACTACATCTCCAAGAAGTTGCAGATAAAGATAAAATTCACAACAAAACCAAAAACTGAGCCTTGCAGGTACCAAGTGCCAGATTCAGATGGATGTCTTGGAACAGATAGCAGTCCCAAGGCAGGTGAAGCTGGACTGAGAAAAACGTAGTCACAATTCAGCTCACAAGAGTTCTCCGACTCTCTTCATACACTGAGGACCGCTGTGTCTCCGGATACATCCCCCATGTCCTTTTCACCATCATGCCACTCTCTTTCTTTTTGATTATCCTTGCCAGAGATTTCTCTATTTCACCAGTCTGCTCAAGAAATAAGTTCCAGCATTTGTATCTCAACTCTTCTTCCTGTCTCTCATCTTTTTTCTCATAATTGTCACTTCTTTCTCCTTTCCCTTTGTATCCCAAGAGAGGTGGCCAATTTTTTCTCTACCTTGCTGATTTGTTTTTCTGGGTCATCAAGTCTATTTTTTATTACTTACTTCCAAAGTGGTTTTTAATTTAAATATTAAGATTTTAGTTACTTTGTAATTCTCCCATTTCTCACCTATCTCCCTTTTTATATTACCTTGTTGCTTCATTTTGAAATGAAATATATATTATCTCCCTAAAACTTTCTGCTCCTTTTTCAAGTGAATGGTGTATCCTCTTCTACTGAGCTCCCTGGCAAGATGGGCACATGTTCTTCTCAGGTCTGCAGCTCGGGGCAGGTGTGAGGGCTCCCAATCAGCCTCTGGCTCCTGGTTTGTCTGGGCTGTGCTGTCTTGGGAGCCTTAACCACCGCCTGAGCCTCTGGCACTAAGCTGCTGTGGGGTGAGGGTGTCTTCCCAGCATGCTCTGGTTGTCATGGCTTCTCCCTTTGCCCCAGCTCCAGCCGGCTGGTGAAAAGGACACTTCCCACAATGCATTGCCTACCTGCCCCTGCCTTTCCATCTTCTGTAATCTGTAGTTTCTGACTTGGTTGTAGACAGATGGTGCAAAGGACAAGGGATGCTGTGATGGAGAGAGGTAATAAGATTTCCGCTTCAAAGGACAACTCTTAAGAGGCAGAGAGGAGTGGCTGGGCTTGTTTCTGGTGGATCAGACACACAGACAGCCCAGATGGGAGCATAGATGTGAAGCCCCTTCTTGTCTTTTCCAAGTAGGCCTCTGATGGAGGGTTTCTGATGGAGGTAGGCAGGTGAGATTGCTGGGTATTTGCCCCTTTGTCTACATTCCTGACATCCTTGTGAGAAGTTATCTTTTTTTCTAGGCAAGAACTTTAATGAATTGTTACCGACAACATAAAAAAAACAGTATAATATATACAAAATCATCATTTGATGTCAGGAGAAAATTCATCATGTCGGCAGCAGAACATGTCTGCCGACCTCCAAGTGGCTGGCATAGTACATCCACTCTGTGACAGGCCCACTGGGACTGTGGTGAACATGCCTGTACCTCAGTACAAAGTCCCCTTTTACTGAGAAATGTACAGAAGGAGAGATGAAGAAAATGTACCCAAAAGGAAGAGGGAGAGGTTGGGTGCCCTGTGCCCCGAGCTCAGAACTTCAGGGGGATGACCTGCCAGTACTTGGGCTGCTTTTGGTCACAGTGCTTGTCAAAGCTCAGCTGCACCGCAGCCTCCATGGCCTGGATCTTGGCGCTGTCCCCATACAATCGCTTCATCTCGGCCTGGGACGCTGCTCTCTAGGCCTCTCAGTTGGGGCCTCTACCAACCAGCGGGTGTTGCAGTACAGGTCAGGTCGTGGTCAGCCTTCACATAGCTTTCCAGGTGCTCTGCATCCAGCTGCTGTCACCACCGTCCTTCTCTGTGCCTCTACCGAGGCACTCTGCAGAGTACTGGCGGAGCTCTTTGGTGATTTCCATATTGCTCAGGTCACATTCTACCTCTGCATCTAACTTGATCTCCATCTCTTCCTCTTTGGACAAATCTTGGTCTTCTCTTGTGGATGCCTGGATTCTACTGCTGTCATGTGGCTGCTGCCCAGACCCTCTGAAATGTAAAGAACTGCACGGGGAGTCCTGCCAGGTCACATGATGGCCATAGAAGGACTAAGGATACGCAGCCTGGTTATCGTAACAGCTTTGGGGAGGAAGTGCAGGAGGGAAGTACCAAGGAAGACTGCAACAGGATTCCCCGGCCTTCCTGTAGGCATTGTGGTGGCTTTGCATCGAAGCCATTGCTTGATGATAATGTTGCCAGTATCTTGCATATATCGGATGAGAATACCAAGGCCTGGTAGCTTTCAATGTTCATGCCTTCACCGCTGCCGTCTCTGATTGTGAAAGTCCAAGTGGGTGCCGAAACTCATGGGCTCTCAGCTTGCATATCCTGAGCGGTGGCCAAGCAGGGGCCTAGTTTTCCTTCCTTAGTGAGAAGTTTTAAAGATTCCCTGGTCACTCATTGTTTTGAGCTAGATGTCTTGTGAATTAGTAGTTGGCACACACTTATTGCTTACCCCTCCCTCACATTCATTTCTTCATCGCCTAACAACAGCTCCTGATTGGACTTGGGGTCAAGCCCTCTCTTAGCCCAGGTGGCTTGGGTGGGGGTTCTTGAGGTAGAGCACATGACCCTGACCTAAGCCAATCATCACTTCTCATTTCCCAGGTCACAGCAATTAGTTCAGGGGTGGGCATGTTACCAGAGGCTAGTACAATCAGAATGAAGTCAGGACTTTTGTGGAAAGCAGGCTCAAGTCTCCCTGCTAGACTTGAACCCTCAGGCTTGTGAAATGAGCCTTGGGTGTTACCTTGAGTTTGAGAATAAAGCTGAGGACTGGAGAGAGGTCATATATTGGAGACAGCACAGAGCTCCTGATCCAGCCTTGCCTGAAGCTGGCCCTACCCTTTGATCTTTTAGTAATAGGAACTAATAAATTTTCTTTTAGGTTTAAACACATTTGGGTCAGATTATAAGTTAACTGAAGTAGAATGAGTCCTCACTGATACAAGTATGATCAGCAAAAGAAAAAGACCAAATATAATAAGGAAGACATATTCCTTGATATTTATAGTTTGGAAGGCAAAAAGGTTAAAGGGGACCATTCTCATATCCCCATGGAATCCATGGAGTCACAGTCAAGCACTCCTGGAGGGATCTGGGTGCCGGCATCTCCAGCCAGCCCTGTGATAGAGATCTGAGGAGTTCCCCTTAGAGCTTCTCAAGGAAATCCTTGATGCAATAAGCCGCACACTTAGGGAAGCTGTTCTCTCCAGACAGGGTACAACTTGAGAAATGGTTTCAAAATGTTTTGACATGTTCCTGAATGGCAGGTCTATGGGAGAACAGAACGGGGGCTGTGGTATGTTTGAGGCTTTCTGTGACCTAGGGGTAGGTGTCAGGAAAGCTTCCAAACTCTCCCTAGAGGCCAAGCCAGGGCTGCCTGAGAGGCTGGACAGTGGGCACTCAGGCCCCACTGGGCAGGGACACCAGTGTGTCATGCTTGTTGTCACACTTGGCTTATTTGCTCTTCTCCACCAGGAATTCTGTGGGGCAGGGGATTGCACACTGCACACATCACAGCTGCTCATCCAGGGTTCAGGGAGCACAGGTGTTGTGGCACTTGCTTCATCTTGAGTGGCACGGAGCACAGAGCAGCCCCTGTGGAGTGTGGAAACACCAAACCCTGAGTCACCACTGACTGTTGCCCTGGGCATAGAACCCCAGGTGAAGGCACTTAACACTGGTTATCCCTGTGCATCCAGGAAGCTGAATGGCGGCCAAAGAAAAAAGTTACAATGCAGTCAGGCTGGACCAGAGAATTCCTGCATGTGCAAGTTTGTGCGTGTGTATGTTTTGGAAGTCAAGCCAGATGTCGTCTTTCCTCATGTGACATTTGGTATCTTTTTTCCACAGCAGTGTTCCATTATGTTCTAGTTCTTGAAAGAGGCAGTGAGGCAACAAGTGTACGACGAAATTGATTTGGGAAATGATTTATGTGTATTATAGTCTTCTCTTAGAGGATCACAAAGTATATTAGCATATTAAAGGCTCTGAGAAGTCCTGTAATAAAGGAGCCTGGTTGATTGAATGATTGTGGAACTCATTGTGGGTGGATCATTCGCATACTGGATGGAATGGGGTGCCAGGCTGACTGTGCAGAGGGTGATTAGTCCCTGAAATGTAGATAGGGGCCACCTAGAGAATGGTGGAGCGTCGGACATGGATGGGTGAACTGACCAACTGGGCTATGCATTTCAGCCCCAAAGCACTTAAAGCATAAGGTAGATTGTAAGATCCTGGAGTTCACCTGCCTTAAACACCTCCTTTCATAGGAGAAGGACACCAAGGTCGTTAGAGAAGAACTGAGTTACTCATGATCACCAGTCAGAGCTCTTGGCTGCACCACATAGATGCCGATGTTGGATACCTAGGGAGAATGAGATTTGATGGAAGGATATGGAGAAGGCCACTGAACCCACTGGAAGACTGGAGAACCAGGTCCAGAAAACAAGCAGAAGCCAAGGGAAAGTGGGCTGCTGAGAGCATAGCCAGATCATGCCACGAAATCTGATTAGCCCACTTCAGCTACGGCCCATGATGCATCAGAAATGGACCCATGGCTCTCTGTGTTCTTCCCAGTGGGTACAGGTGATTGGCTGAGCACAGACTGCGTTCCCCTCCCTGGCTGTTAGGGTCTGGGAGAACAGGTGGGAGGCTTTTGTGGCTTCTGCAGCAGAAGCCCGGAGCCCATCTCTCCCAACGACTCACACAGGAAGGAAGCCCCCATCTGGTTGGGGGCAGAATGAGGTTACAAAGCCCATCTCCTGTCTTGCAGTTCAGATTATGCAGCCAAGGGTACTCTTTTACATAAGTGTTTAAAATCTTGATTTAATCAGCAACATAGACCTTGCAGCGTTCCTGCTTCCATGATAGAAGGATATGAACTATTTGAAACATTCGCAACTACTGCTCTCCTTGGGGATTCCTACCCTCCTTCCATTCTTTACTCACTGGCCTCATGGTAGAGTAACTAGAGCAGAAATGCAGAGCGAGAGAGAAACAAATATGCAGCTTTCGAAACCCATGGCAGAGACAATAGTTTGAGAGTCTCAAAATCTTGCCTTTCGAGAATCCGAGTCCTGACACACAGAAATCAGGAGGACTAGTGTATGGTTTGTTAAGCTACTTTTTCCCACCTACCCAGTCTACATTAATGACTCCCTGAGCAAAGAAAAAAAAAAGTCCTTAGAAGGAAAGAGAATTAAATGCTGGCATGAATCTCTGGGAATGGTCCTGCCTACACGTTCCACGCTCTCAAACTCTGAAGTTGAGGGGACGATAGAATCTCCAATAATTTAGGGGATCAGAGAGAAGAGAGACAGGTGCCCCCACTCCGTGGGGAGGCAGGAAGCTCCATAGAGAAGTCCCAGCATTCAGTGTCGTGAAGGACCAATAGATAGGCAGGAAGCAACCTCCGGGGGGTTCAGGACGCATCACAAGCCCTCATCCCCCCGGTGTTGTGTAGCGAACAACAGAATGTTTCTGAGTGTATCTGATGGTCCTGAGAGCCAGAAAACCTGGAGGGCCTTGAGCCTGGGATGGTAGGATGTAAGAGCAGGTGCAGGTGTGGACCAAGGGCAGGAATGAGGATTCCCCACCAGTCCACAAGGGGTGGCCGCCACCAAGGACCAGCTGGGCAATGGCCAGTCCAGTGGCGCCCAGGGTGGACAGCTGACGGCAGAGAGCCAGGCCTGCTTCCCCAGATGCACTGATGTGATGTTTTCCCCACCTCAACTGAATCCATCCTCTGGGAGAAGGTGAGAAGGGGAAAGCCTTGAATTGACTTGAATGGCGGTCCTGCTAAAAGTGGAATAGCGGATCAAAGGAGAAATTAGATTTTTCTTTTTAAAAAAAAAAAAAAAATCTGAATGTGTGGCCTGTGACATTCATTCTGATATAATGTAAACTGTAGTTTATGCATAGAGTTAAAACTAGTCCACAATATTTTCTTTAGAAAGGTTGCAAGCACCTGTCTCCTAGAATTATTATCAAACACCATTTGACTTTGATTTTCCTTACCCACATCCCAGGTCAAAGTTAAAATGATTGGCAGCATGTTGGCAGTGACTTCCCGTAAAATAGGGCTGGCACTGCTGGTTGCCTTTGGGCCCAAGCCCAGCAGCCACTGAGTGCCCAGGAGCAGCCCCTGTTCCTCCTGAGGCTAGGCCTCCTGGGTTGCACCCTCGATGAGTCACGCTTGTTCCTGGCTTGGTGATCGTAAACACTGGAGGAGATGATGCAGATGACAGTCTTTTGAAAATCTTAAATTTCTGCCTGTGTCTGTGGGACTTCGGTCAAGCCTCCCCTTGGGGCTCAGTTTCCTCATCTGTAAAATGAGGTCACCTTTGCTGCCCTACTGACAGTGGTGGCAGCTTTCATGCATCCAGTGTCTACCACATTTGAGCACTTTCCACTTCCAATCAGATCTTACTTCGTCTCCATGACAGCCCTGCTGGGGAGGTGCAGTCAGCCTCGGTTTACAGATGTGGAAACAGCTTCAAAAGAAGAAACCTGCCAAAGCTCAGACACATAATTAATTCATCAACTCTAAGACTCAGTAGATTGTAAGACACACAATTATTTTACAAACAACAAAAATAGGAAAAAGGGGCCAGGCGCGGTGGCTCACGCCTGTAATCCCAGCACTTTGGGAGGCCAAGGCGGGTGGATCACGAGGTCAGGAGATTGAGACCATCCTGGCTAACACGGTGAAACCCCATCTCTACTAAAAATGCAAAAAATTAGCCGGGTGTGGAGGCAGGCGCCTGTAGTCCCAGCTACTCAGGAGGCTGAGCTAGGAGAATGGTGTGAATCTGGGAGACGGAGCTTGCAGTGAGCTGAGATCGCGGCACTGCGCTCCAGCCTGGGCAACAGACAGAGACGCCATCTCAAAAAAAAAAAAAAAAGAAAAAAGAAAAAGAACTGCCAATTATAACAGCAAGGTGTCACTGATTGCAAGACACATTCCGATTTCAGAGCCGTTAAAATGCATACAAAGGTGGGGCTTAGAATTTTTGGACTACTGAGTGGAACTGATGGTGAAGGTGGGTGTGATTCCAGGGCTGAGGGATTCCAAAGTTTGAGTTCTTTGTGTTGGGTCAAGTGGCCACCCAGAGAGCTGATGCATGCTGATGTGAGACTCCTACAAGCCATGAGACAAAACAGACTTATAAACATGTAACGTGTTGTGTTGACACAAGGAACCAAGCAGTGATGAGGAATGTGCCAATGGCTGAGATGGAGCAACCCACTTGCTGAGTCTTGCAAAAGCAACCTCCCTAGATGAACTTTCAGTGGATTCTGGGTGGAATTCTGTCACAGCACAGAAAACGGACTTCTTGCCATGGCGCTTTATGCAATCCCATCTTAGGAGCCAACTTGTCAAAGAATTGCTTGGCTTAACTCAGATCCAATTCACCTACAGAGAATCAACTCCAAAACAAGCATCCCAGGTTTGTTGCAGAGCTGATGAGCCTTCCGGTTGGTGAGAAGGGCCAGGAAAAAAATCCAAGAGACAACCTGGGATCCCCAATGGTTCTGCCTTGCCCAAGTCTGATGCTGCTGGAGGCTCCTGTGCCTGTCCCTTATCTGTCCCCTCTCTTTGGGTGGAGCAGGACCTGGCTTCCCTGGGGCTACTGTCTTGAATAGAGCATAACAAGCACGCACAGACCCTGTCCTGGAACCTGCCATTGCTGTGAGATTCCCCTCCCCAAATCAGATCTGCCCTCAGATGGAGCCTGAGTAGACACAGTCATTTAGACCTTTAGTTCCTCCTCACCAGGTGCCCACAACTGGTTTACCACCTCTGAGTCTGGCTGATCCTTTCCTGGCTCCCTCATCTCCTCTACCAACCTCTCAGATGCTACCATCTGATGTAAGTTTCCATTACTGTTGCTGGCTGGGGCACACTAAGCATCACCAGCTCTAGCATCTTAGGAACTTTATTTCATCAGGGCTTCCCAACACTCTCTGAAGCAGGTGTTACTTTTATTTTTATTTATTTATTTTTTTTGAGACAGAGTCTTGCACTGTCGTCCAGGCTGGAGTGCAGTGGTACGATCCTGGCTCACCGCAACCTCCACCTCCCAGGTTCAAGCGATTCTCCTGTCTCAGCCTCCTGAGTAGATGGGATTACAGGGGCCCACCACCACACCCAGCTAATTTTTTGTATTTTTAGTAGAGTCGGCATTTCACTATGTTGGCCAGGCCGGTATCGAATGCCTGACCTCATGATTCACCCACCTCGGACTCCCAAAGTGCTGGGATTACAGGCCAGCTGAAGGGTGAGCCACCGCACCCAGCTGAAGCAGGTATTACTATCCTCATTTTAAAGGTAGAAAACCTGAGGTTCAGAGAGGCCAATCACATGTTCAAACGACACAGCCAGCAAGTGAGAGAGCCTTCACTAAGTCGTTATAGAGTGCTTAGAACAGTGGCTGGAACAGCATGAACACTCAGTAAATACTTGTTAGATGACAGAAGGAAAAACTGCCTTATGGTGATAGTGCTGAGAATTTCATCACGAACTAGTTATTATTTAATTTTATTCAACCGAGCACCTGCTTTTGAGCCCAGGGTAGACCTACAAAGGATATAGGTTCTAGGCAACCCAGGTTGTAACACACACACACACACACACACACACACACACACACACACACACACACCCCTCCTTTAATGACCCGCCTGCAATTGATATACTGCTAAGTAGCATTTCTTGTACTGGGGAGATTCTATTTCCACACCAGCAGCAAATATGACCTTTGTGTCAGCTGCCAGCTGCTTATAATTCTGACAGATGCAAGCACATTTCTGGGAAGCTGTAGCCACTCAGGACCTTGCAGATCAACAGGCAACACTGGCGGCTTTGGTAAGATTGATCGGCCGGTGAGAATCCCATTTACAGCCCTAACGGAGCCTTGGTTTACCACGGCCTGGGCACTAATGACTTAGACAGCTCTGATCTAAATCTGTCAGCCAGGGCTGGTGGCGATATTAAAGAACACTCTATTTATATGAAGCAGCAATTAGAGGAATGCTCGCCAATGGGCCACCTCTTCCAAGTAAATCCCCAGCCTTCCAAATGGTGTCATGCTCACGGTTATTTTAATCCGCTTGGAATTTCAGGGATATTAATGTGACGGGCCATCGCAGAGGATTAGCCAGGTTTATTTCTGCTGACATTTCAGAGAGCACACTCAGGTTCCCAAGCCATGCCCCCACGCCTCCCTGGCGCATCACTGGGGGAGGCAATTGAGGGAGGGAGAAGCAGCTGCAATGAGGGTGAACCTGTCTCCCTTCAGCCCTGCCTCCCATCTCACCCTTCCTTCCCCTGCCTCCTCTGCCTTTCCTCCCCACTTCCCTCCAGGCCCCTTCAGTCTCTTCTCCCTCCCTGTTCTAACTTTTTCTTCTTGTTCTCTCCAGGAAACAAGCTCTTGTATGGGGTTGCCAGATAAAATACAGGATGCCAGCTTAAATGTGAATTTCAGATAAACAAGGAAGAATTCTTTTTTTTAGTGTAAGTACCATGCATTTATGTTGGGACATACTTAGACACTAAAAAGTTCCTTTGTTGTTTACCTGAAATTCACATTTAATTGAGCATCTTCTATTTTTATTTGCTAAATCTGGCAACCCTACATAGGAAGAGTGAGTATAAAGTAGAGAGGCCACTGCTGGATAAAAAAAGTGTCCCACCTTGGTCTGCCAGTTAAATTTGTCCTCTGTCATTGTCACCTTGAGAGATTCCCCAGGCCCTGTGCATTCTGTTACTCAGCCCCTTACTTTCTGATTATTTTTTTCCCACTATATTGTGAGTCTCTTGAGGGCAAGGACCAAAGCTTAGTTTTCTTTAGCTCTGACATCTGGGGTCAGAGAATAAATATTTATTGAATGAATGGATGAATAAAAGAATGGTTTACTCCAAAAAATGATTCTGTCATTTCTTAAAGGGTTTTTGGAATTTTTTTTAATCCAGTGATAAACCCCATTGGAAGAACAGCCCTTTCATCCTAGTTATAAATGTTGCCTCTGCTAGCTTTCAGGAAAGGTCTGAGAGGGGACTGGGTGGCCCTCTGGAGATATGCTGGCTGTTAACAGCTGCTATGAACATATTTGAATATTGTAGCTGCAAGTATGGCTGCACTGTTGCATACAGCAACTGAATATTAGTTCTGGAAACAGGTAAAATTATTATCACCCTGTCTGACAGGTAAGCAAACTGAGACCCAGACAGACTAAGAAGTTTGCCTCTGGACACACAGCTAACAAGCAGCAGTGCCAGGTTTGAATCCAGGCAGGCTGGCTTGAGAATCCAGGCCGTATTTCCTCTCCCAATGATCACTACCTTTATTAAGTATTTAACATACCCGTGCTGCCAGGCACTGTCCTAAGCACTTTCTTTATATGCATGCAATCCTCACAACAATTCTATGAAATACATACTCTCATTATTCCCACTTTACCAATGAAGAAATTGAGCCAACCTGAGGCTTAGTTACTTGCCCAGGGTCATGCAGCTGGCAGGGAGAGGGGTCCGGATTGAACCCCTGGCTGCAGAGTTTGTGCCCCAACCCTCACTGGCATGCGGCAACGAGGTCAGGACCCTCATTCCCAGTTCCACAGAGCTTATATTGTGGGATTACAGGACCTGGCCCCTTGTTCATTCACCCAGCCGGTACCTAGAAAGCACTTGGGCCTTGTAAGGCTCTGACTGTGACAGATACTATGAGGGACAGAAAGGTGGATGGATCCCAGTTCCTACCTTCAAGTCACTTAGCAGAGGAGGGAAGATCTGCACCCCATCCATTCTCAAGTGCCAGCTTCATATGCTGTCTCCAGAAAGTGTCATCTCCACCTCTTTGCTCCTCTACACTCCCGGCCCCAGCCTGGTCAGGAACCAGGTTGGCTCTTATATATACTATTACAATAGGCTCCTAACAGTGTCCTGGTCTCTCCAATCCATCTTCCACCTCCTATCCCCCAAATCAGGCCATGGTAACCTCCCCTGCTCAGAATCCTTCAACACTGCCCTAATGCGTTTTGACAACTTTCAAACGCGCCTTTTACTAGTATGTCATCTCCATGTGCCCTGCCTCCTCATGCCCACAGCATGGAAAACAGATGTGAGTGGGGCTGTGCCAGTTGCAAATGAGGGGGTGCCCTGAACGCTGCGGCCCGGCTCCTCATCCTACAGCCCCGCCCCTCACCCTGCAGTTCCGCCTCTTTCCCCGCAGCCCCGCCTCTTTCGCCGCAGCCCCGCCCCCACCCTACAGCGCCGCCTTTTTCTCTGCAGCCCCGCCCCCACCCTACATCCCCGCCTCTTTCCCTGCAGCCCGGCGCCTCGCCCTGGCTTCCTCCCTCTTTCCCTGCAGCTTACCTGGCCATTGTATGGAAACCCGGCGTTCCAGGAAGCAGGGTCACAGCCAATGGCCTGGACAGTCAGGACTGTACTCCATAGCCCGGCCTCACTGCTATTTGTAGTTTGGTTCTAAACTGCAGGATCCCTCAATTTACTCTGCAAAGTCCTGTACTCCAGCCCCAAATTACTTCACGTCCCCCGTGTTAGCTTAAGAGTTTCCAGCAGTGGGGTCTGGGTTTGTACTTCTCAAGAGCCCAGCTCTCCCCTTAGGCTGGTGGTATCACCTGGCACCCTACAGAGGACGCTGCCAAGGCTGGAGACAGCGCTCAAGAGGCCGGCTGGGAGGCAAGAGTCCGGGGAGGAAGGTGGAAGCCAGGGACGAGAGCAGTGACTTTGGGGTGTCAGGGAGGGCCAACATCAGAGGCAGATAAAACTGGCATGCTGGATATGAGGCACAATGAAGATGAAGTCCCAAGACAGGGTACAGGCAGGGGTGGGCAGTGCTACAAACTGAACTATGGAAAAAACAAAAACAAAAAAAAACAACACTCTCAACAACCTTGAGAAGGGGAATAGTTTGAGTTCTGTCCACCACAAAATCTATTTACCTGCTTCTGGGTAACTTTGAGGGTAAGAATTTGATTTCAACACCTTCCTCTGGCAGACCATTTTGGTCACAGCCCAGGGGCCATGCCTGGGTGTCCTCTGTTATCTGCAAAATATGGGGGGCCTCAAGGACACCCCTCCCCCAGGAATCGTGTCCCCCTGGAGATGGGGAGCATGCAGGGAGGATGACTGGGGAGGCTCAGGGCTCTAGTACTCATCCCGGACTCTGAGCAGTGGAATGAATTCCAGCCCTCCTGCCCTCCTCTAACCACATGATTTGCGGTTGGGCTTAGACCAGACTGGCCTGCAGGGTGGGGCGCCATGCCTGCCCTTAGGCAGGTGTGGGGAAAGGCAGTGTGGGGAAGGCCCAGCCCCCGCTGTGTGCCCGGCACCAGATGGGCACTTAGCCCGTGGTCATGTTGCATGGTCACACCAAGCCTGGGAATTGGGAATTATTGTCTTTATTGTAGAACTGAGCTACCTGACCCTCAAAAAGATAAAGGAGGTTGCTCAGGTCACAGGGCAAGTAATGACTGGCATCTGGCTTTGCCTGGTTGTGGCTTCAGCTCTCAGTTTACCCCTCCCTCCCCACATGTATACCCACTATCCTCTGCTCCATCAAGTGGAACTGTTTTCAGACCTCTTTAAATTAGCTCTCTCTGGCCTTTTCCATTCAGGCATTGCTTCCTGCAAGAAACCTTCCAGGATCCCCAGGCTGACAGCTCCCCCTCCTCTACACTCTTGCATTGCCAGGCATCCTCATTTGATTATAATTGCCTGGTGACTTGGCCTGCCCCACTGCATCTCAGTGTCTTTCCCTTTCCCACATCCCCAGACCTAACACCTTCCCAGCACACAGTAGGTGCTCTATCTGTGTTTATCCAGTGAGTATCTCCAAAGCCTGTGTTCCTCCTCTGTACACTGAGGCTCGCAGCAGTGTGGTAGACAGTGAGGAAGAGCCTCTGGACAGAGTCCTGGGTCACCTCTATGAAAATCCAGGCCTTGCAGAGTGAGAATCTCTTGGTTATCTGTGACTTGGCTGAGACTGGGATGCTGGGAACCCCATGATAGCCCATCTGGACATGTGGAAATGTAGAAGTTAGAGGTTTTTATTGCTCTCTTATGAGTCTCTAGACAATTCCCTCTAGAAATGGCAGACCACAGCAAGAACCCAGGTGTGTCCAGAGCTTGGCAAGGGACCAAGAGGGATGCAGGCATGGCTCCACGACTAGCTGCTTGACCCAATGTCGAGCCAGGAGGAGGTTGACTGGGGCTCTGACTCCCCATCCTGAAGACCTGCTCATAACCCTCCCCAGCTTTGCTCGTTGGACAGAGCCCTGGTTCCTCCAGAGTGAGCCGTGGAGGGCGTGGTGAATATTTGAACTCCATCTAAACCCAGCTGGGTACGTGTGCACGTGGGGTCTGGAGGCTGCTGATGGAGAAAGAGCTGGATGCGCATGACAGGACCAGGTTCAAGGCTGAGAGCTGCCTCTTCCTTGTCAGGCATTTGTGCGCAACTCTTGACTCTCCAAGTCTTAGTTTGCTCACCTATAAAATGGGAAACATAATACCAGAGTCATAAAGAAGGTTATGGAAGAGTGGAATTTAGAAAGCGTTTGGGTAATTCAACCAGACTGCCAAGAAAGTTACTCTGACTATAATAGGGAGTTTAAATAAACGTGGACTCTCTCAACTGAGGGGGCCCTGCCCTTGGCATCAAGAATATACACAAATGTGGACTTGATCCCTGCTTTCAAAGGTCTACGGTCTTGCAAGGGAGTCACAACTCACACAGATCCACAATCTCAGGAACATTTCCAGCGTGATGTGCTGAGCCGAGAAAGTGCAGAGGGGGTGAGGCCAGGTGCCAGAAACAGTCAGTAGGTGCCTGATGGAGGCAGAAGGGGCCTGGCTAATTCTTGAAGGAGAGGCAGGACTGGAGGTAGTAGAGTCCTCTCAGGCAGCAGCTTGAGGACCAATTCTCGGAGGTGGGACCAGACTTGCTCTGAGAGGGACCTGGACAGCAGAGAGGCTCTTAGCTGTCAGTAGGAAACCATTTTCCATTTCTGGAAAATTTGTAGGGAATGGAGGATGGGGAGTTGGGAAGCAAAGCCAAGGCCCCTCCATTCTACACAGGCCCCAGGAAGTGAGCCTGCACCTGTCTACCTTCCAGACTGCAGGCCAGAAGGAAATACGTTCAGGCAGCTTTGAAGCCAGGTCCCCATGTCTGTCAACCCCTGCTGCCTTGCCCAGAAAAGCCCCTGCTTTCCTGTGGTTGCAGTGTGGCCTATTCAATGCTGTCTAGGGTGTCTGTGTCAACACTCACTGATTTTCCATCCACTAGAACAAGCAAATGTTCTGAAGGACGGAGAACACCCTTCCTCTCCAAGACTTTCTGATCATCTGGCTTGATTTAATTTCCTGGTGTGTATATTTTTAATGTAATCATGAGAGAGCCTGTTGACTCTTTTACTTTTGGAGTTGATGCTTCCATTCAGAAAAAAATGGGGTTGGTATCCCTTCTCCTCACTCTAAACCTTTGCAAAAGGTAGTGCAGCAGGGCCTTGGTAGGGGCTGACCTGCTGGGTCCAGGGCAGAGCAGCGGATGTGGCTGGTGCAGGGGGCACATGGGCCACAAACCCTGATGTGGGGTCCCTGTAGGCCTGAGAGAGTTGACACCTCATGAGGCCACTAAGATTTCATGTGTCTCATCTTCAACCAAGGGCAGGTATTTCTCCCTCTGCCTCAGTTTTCCTCTTGCTGTCCCCTTCCTTACATCCCCCATCCCACATAAGAGGTGTTCACTGCAGGAGGGAGCTCTACTCTGAGTGTCGGTTTGGCTTGAGAGAAGGCACCAAGCAACAGGTTCAAGGGGTCCCTGGCTGCATAGCTGGCTTCCTTTTGAAATTCTTTAGCTTGAGAATGTCCTCAATAAAACCAGACTAGGATTGGAGCACAACTCTTAAGTAACACTTAGCTCATGATGAAACCAGACAGCATGTAACACTATTGGTTCCACGTGGGGAATCTGGTTTTTAAATCAATTTGGAATTCCATTTGGGTGGAAAGTTGGGCTCCACCTTTGTGACAGAGGGTTGGCCAGTGGGGGCTGGGAATTCCAGTTATGACAGAGATGGGGGGCTGCCATAGGGATGGAAAAGCTGGCAGGGGCACACAGCAAACAGGGAAATGGATATAGAAATCCAGTTTGGAAAATCACATTATGGGACAGGGTCAAGCCAACCTGGGTTCAAATCCCAGCACAAACCCTGAAAAGCAAACTATTTACTGTATCTGAGCTTTGAGAGAGTAAATAGCCTCTTTTGAGGCTTCTTCAAAGAAAGAAAAAGAAAAGAAAAGAAATAAAAGAAGGAAGGAAGGAAGGAGAGGGGAGGGAGGGAGGGGGGGAAGAAAGGTTGATTCTTAGCCCTTTGAGGCTGCTATAACAAAATAACTAAACAGCATAGCTTATATACAACAGAAATTTATTTCTCACAGTCTGGAGGCTGAAAATCCCAAGGTCCAGGTGGATTGGTGTCTGGTAAGGGCCTGCTTCTGGCTCTCAGGTAGTGCCTCTTTGCTATATCCTCACATGATGAGGGTCTCTCTGGTGTCCCTTTTATCAGGGCACTAATCCAATTCACCAGGGCTCCACCTTCATAACCTAATCACCTTTCAAATACCACCTCCTAATACCATCATCTTGGGGGTTAGGATTTCAACACATGAATTTTAGGGGGACAAAAACATTCAGACCATGGAAGGAAGGAAGGGAGGGAAAACATGCACCCTTCTCCAACACTACATGTTTTATTTAAAGTTGTATCATTAATTCCTGGCAGGGTGAGATAGAGGGAGTGATTACACCTGTGGTCAATCATTGTTAATTTGTATTGCATCTACTTATAAAGCTTCACGTTAGTTAAATACCCATTATCTTAGAACCCTAGAACAGGCCTCTTTATCTGCTGGACCTCCATTTCACCATCTAACAAAAGTAAATAATAAACAGAGTCGCTTTTTCTCAAGAGTCCACAGGTCGGAAAAGAAAGAGCATGTGTGGGCCAGGAGCGGTGGCTCATGCATGTAATCCCAGCACTTTGGGAAGCAAACACAGGCAGATCACGAGGTCAGGAGATCGAGACCATCCTGGCAAACATGGTGAAACCCCGTCTCCACTAAAATACAAAAAAATTAGCCAAGTGTGGTGGCATGTGCCTGTAGTCCCAGCTACTCAGGAGGCTGAGGCAGGGGTATATCTTGAACCTGGGAGGTGGAGGTTGCAGTGAGCCAAGATCTTGCCACTGAACTCCAGCCTGGTGACAGAGCAAGACTCCATCTCAAAAAAAAAAGCACAGGTGTGTTGGATTCTATAGCCAAATCAAATCAAGACCGAATGCCAGCCAACGGTATGAGCTGAGAACTGGTTTCCTCATTCAGTCATTCCATTGGATGTCTAGGAATTATTTCTTGAGCCCCCTGCATCTCAGTTTTCTCACCTGTAGAGTGGGTTTTCACCAAGGTCCTACACCGAGGTTGAGAGGATTCTATATGGCAACGTAAGTGAAAGTGGGCAGAGGAATGACATCTTTTCAGCAGCCTGCCAGGCATGCCCAGAGCACAGCTAACAAGGGAGGGGAGCAGAGCACATTCTAAGAAGATTTGTAAGTGGCCTACTGTGTGTTCTCTGGGAACTGCTATCTGGGCTCGTTAGTGAAGAGAATGGATAGTGGAGTCAAACAGGAGAGAGTTTAGAGCCCTGCTTTGCTTCTAACGACCACTTTGGACAAGTCTCCTAATCCCTCTGAGCCTTAGTTTCCCTATCCATGAAGCATCTCTGTGTCGTAGGCACACTTAGAATGAGGCCAGGCATGTAATAAGCACCCAACGGCTGACTAGCTGCTGCCCCACCACTCCGCCGAATCACATGTAACCCGAAATTCAGAGTCAACATAAGGAAGAAAGACTGAGTCTCCTGCTTGTTTTAGATTTGGCTGCAAGTGATTCAATGAAGCGCATGACACCATCCCTTGGCACAGTTTAGAGAACACGGTGAAATTTTAAATGAAGTTTGGCTAAAGACAGAGTGATTAACTGCTCACGCAGGTCCTTCTTTCTCTCCTCCCCAAAAGCCACAAAAATCTAGCCAACTAGATGGAATTGTCATCATGTTGCATTGACACCCAACTCTGTTCCCATTAAATGCATTCATTAGCTAGTAAAAGTTCAATAAAGCCCCTTTTGATAGCTACTCACTTCTGCCCCCTCTCTACTTTCCCTATCAAAGACCCTCCCAAGTTTCCGTGCAGTCGTCAAAGCCCTCCACCAGTTTCTGCCCAAACCATTACTTCTGAGGCTGGAGCTCCTGCAGAATGGAGAAACTGCCTTTAGAAAGATATAAATAGGGCCAATTTAGACGTCTTTCTTGCCATGGTTCCACCGAGGACTGAAGGACAAAATGAAGAGATTCCTGAGACTTTCTTTAAATGTTACTTCAACTCTTAGCTAGCTCCTCTTTGACAGCAAATGGATTTCAATTATGCCAAGCCTGTGAGCAGGAAACATGGAATTTATGCCTTAAATTTCCCCCACTCACCAGTGATTCAGGTTTGTTTATGCCGCCAACAAATCTTTGCGCTGGTGACGTTAAGGTGCAGGGAGCCATGGTTTGATTTCTCACAGAAAAGCTCCCCATTCAGGGCAGCTTTCCAGGTGTGCTCTAGCACAAAGGCTTTGATAGTTGGTTGATTTCTCATTGAAGCCCAGAGTCAATCATACAGCTTTTGAGGTCCCTTCTGCCTGCCATGTTCTGCCCCACTCTGCCTAAATGCAGTGTCGCTGCAGGGGAAGCCTGTGGAGGTCAACAGCAGAACCACTGGGCCACTAGCTAGCTGAGGTGGCCTTGGATGGGGCCTCACCTGCTTCACAGGGTTGCTCTGGGGATGAAATGGAAGGTGAATTTCCTAGGAGCTATGTGGCTCTACACAGATGAAAGCTGTCACTGTCTTATCTGGCTTTCTGTCTGGTTCTGCCTGCTTGCTTCTTTCTTTGATGTTTTAGACTGGATCACAGCTGATGTTCATACGAGAAACTTCTAGACTGTTTTTTCTGCCCAAAGGACTAAATATTAATTTCTGTTACCTACAGTTTTTCCAGGAGGATTTGCTTGTGCTTATCTGCATAGTGAGCCTCAAGATTCTATGGGAATGAACTTAAAAATCTTCTGGCAAGGCTGGGAGCCCCTGGAGAACCAGACCATGAAGAAGGAAGCCCCTCCATCTTCTAAAGAAGGTTGAGAGGTCCCCAGTTTACAGTGATACAGTTAGTATCACTGTGACTAAGAATTGGGTCAATTATATTAAAACACAGAATTCAGCGGTCTTAATCTGATTTCTGTTCTGGAAGCAATGATTATATATGCTGAGCCCTTGGCTAAGAAGACCTTTATGTTTCCCTGAAAAAACTTGGGTAATAGGCCAGGTGCGGTGGCTCACGCCTGTAATCCCTGCACTTTGGGAAGCTGAGGCAGGCGGATCACCTGAGGTCAGGAGTTTGAGACCAGCCTGGCCAACATGGAGAAACACCCCATCTCCACTAAAAATACAAAAATTAGCCGGGCATGCTGGTGGGAGCCTGTAATCCCAGCTACCCGGGAGGCTGAGGCAGGAGAATGGCTTGAACCTGGGAGGCAGAGAACCTGGGATGCAGTGAGCCTAGATCACACCACTGCATTCCAGCCTGGGCAATAGAGTGAGACTCTGTCTCAAAAACAAACAAACAAACAAAAAACAGAAACAAAAATTTGGGTAATAATGGCAGTAGATGAGCCTCATGTTCTTCTGGAGAAATGACTAGAATGTGGAGAAAACCCTGACCCTCCGATCCAACTGCTGCATAATGGGTATGCTTGACAACCTTTCTAGAACCTTTCTGGGTTGAAAGTAAGAGTTGTGGGAAAAAAACCAAACCACTACTAATGTTAAAAATAGCTAATAATTTACACATTATGAGATATATGTTATTTAATCTTCACAAAAGCCCTGTGAAATAGTCATTTTTAGCCTCGTTGTGCCAAAGCTGAGAGGAGGAAATGGCAGCTGAGAGCATTCCACGCCGGCTGTGTGAACCAATTGGTTGTCTTTGTGGCATCAAGGATCCAGCTGGGCTCCCCACTGTGCAGGGCTGAGCCTTGGGAAATACAAACACACATGCCTTCATCCAAGAGCGGAGGTAGAGGGTCAGGCAGGGAGGCCAAGCCACTGTTAGCTCTGTTTGCATGAACCTGAGGCTGTAGTGGTTCAGGAATGTGCTCGTCAGCTTTCCTGACGCCTGACGTGGACCAACAATCCAGTCTCAGCCCTAGACATGGGCCACCTGGGAGGGAGGCAGAAAGGAGGAAATGGGGTTGGTTTAGTGACCACGTGACCAAATAGGGGGCCCCTAGGCTGGCCCTCCCACTGATGGTGGGAAAGTGAGGGAATCTCTCCTCTCGAAAGCTGTTAATGGCTTGCAGCTGCCTATGATAGGAAGTCTGCACATCTTAGCTGTTTTTGAGCTAGACCTGATTCTTACCTGATTCTACCTTTCTGTTTGCAGATGTGGGAACTGAGGTCCAGAAAGAGATGTGTCAAAAAATAATAGAAAAGAAGGCACCAGACTAGGTCTCTGGTCCCAAACTCAGGACTATTCAGATGCTGCTCTATCCAGTCCTTGGCCCTGGCCTACAAGACCCTCACTGACCAGTCAAGGCCCATGCATTGCACACTTCCTCAGGCACAGGGCTGTGTGTGTCTCTGCGTCCCCGATGGCTGCCCAGCACAGGGGTGACACCCTGAGCTCCACACATGCTTACTGAATGGATGGATGGATGGATCTGACTTGGGAAAATGTCTCTTCCCTCAGCAGCTTCCTTCACGTGCGTGTCCAGGGACATGGCTTCTTCTCTGGGACCATGTCCAGGAACCAACCAGCTCGAGGGCTAGGAGGGCTGGAGGTCACCTAGGACTGGTGGGGAAGGGTGGTTAGCAGGGAGGAAGCAGGGGCGGAAAACCTCCAGGGTGTTAAGCTTGTTTTCCCACTTAGACTAGAGGCTCCTTGAGGACAGGGGCCAGGTCTTCTCCCGCCACGGTCCTCAGACACAGGTCTCCGACCTGAGATGCTTCACAGACATCTGGGTTTGGAAGTGGACCAAGTCCAGACCTCCAGAACACCAGCTGCCAGGAGCCTCTGGACTGAGTCCATGGGTTGTCGTAGGTGACAGCCTTCGAGCTGCCTCTGATGGACATGGACTCGAACCTGGCTTCTGCTGCTTTGTAGGTCTCTGACTCGGGACAATCACGTGGCCTTTCTGAGCTTCAGTCTCCATCTCTCTGTCTGTCAGATGAGGCTGACAGGCCGCCCTGCAGGGCTGTATGGGTTGGAGGGGACGGTGCACCATGTCTAGCACAGCCCCTGGTGGGACCGAGTGTCCTGTGGCAGCAGAGCGGGGTGCCTGCAGGCCATGGCCTCCCCTGGGCTTGCTGCCTCCAGTCTGGATGCTGCTGGGGCCTGGACCTGAGTGAGGCAAGGAGATGGGGCAAGGCCAGGGACCCCAGCACCCCAAACTCCTGCCTTTACTGTGAGGAGAACCCTTCACTGAGGGAACTAAGGCTTTCCCAAGAACCCTGCCTTGTAGGACCTTAGCCGTTCCAGAGCCCCTGACGCTGGGGGGCACTGTTGGCATGAGGGGCATCCCCAGAGGTCCTGCCCTTGGAAAGCAAGAGATGAGAAAAGCGGACCTCCCCCAACCCCAATCAGACACATGTCCCATGAAGGGTGAAGGATGAGAGCACATCTGAGTGGCACTAGAGTGGGGACCACACTGGGATGCTTTGGAATATGTCATGATGCAGTGGAAACATGGTCAATATCCAGAAACTTGGGTTCAAGTCATTTCTGCATCGATTCAGCTCTGTGGCCTTGAACAAGTAACTTAAAACCCCTCTAGACTCAGTTCTCCAGTCTGTAAAATGACAGGCTGGACGAGAGCACTGGTTTTCAAAGGTGGGGTGTGTGCAGCGGCAGAATGCTTTGAAACTCACCAGGAGCAGAAGCTATATACCACCGAATGCTAGGAGGGCGCAGGACCTCAGTGTGGCATCCCCTTGGGCTCTCACAAGGGCTGCCCCTGGGAACTCAGTTTGCAAACCTCCGGAGTAGAAGCCCTTTAAGGTCCTGGTCAGCTCCAAACATCCCCAAATTCCTGAATCTTCCACCAGGGATGGTACAAGCAGTGGTGCCTGAAGCACCAGCCTTCACAGTGCCTTGTGTTCTTTCCTTAGCTCTGGGTATCAAGTAGTGCTCTTTGGGTGCGAATAACGGAAATGGACTTGGCGACTTAAGGCAGAGGGAGGACTCAGAGAAGGAATCCTGGGCATCTACAGAATAGAAGCAGAGCAGAACCTCTGGATCTACGTAGCTTTGGAGACCTCAGAAGATGGAGTTGGTGGGACGTCTCTCTGGAGTGTCCAGTTCTGGTATACCTGGACTCCAAATAGCCACCAATCACTGTGGCTCTCATTTCAGTTTCAAATCTGCACAAGAGAGACTGTGATTGGTCCAGCTTAGGTCACGTGTCCACTCCTGGCCCAGCCAGGTTTAGCAGGGCTGCAGGATGCCACTTGCTTATCTTGGGAGGAGTCCAGAGAAAGGGAAGGCCTGTTTCATGGCAGCATATTGATGTCTAATACGTCTTGCATCCCCAGTTTTATTGTCCATTCCTGGAAAATGCAAGCTGTGACTGACGTTTTTACATCTTAAATCCCTCTCCCAGAGCAAAGCAAATTGCTTCAACCCCAAAATACAGGCACAGGAACCCTAGAGATGTGGTAAGGGGATGTGAGAGCTTTTCTTTCTCTGTTTCCATAACTGCGAAAACCTACAACTTAAGGTATTATACTGTCAGAGCAATGTAATCTATTTTATAGACAGACCAGTCAAAACATACATCTTACTGGTCCTGGGAGTCAGTGTAAAAAATCCGTGTGTGGCTTTTGAATGAGGGGGAAGTGGTGTGTGTGTATGTGTGTGATGTCTTCAAAACCCGTAAACACATCTAGACAGGGATGGGCACCGATAAAGGAAATCACACTTATTATTTGAATGTATGCCACTTGGAAATGTTCTTCATTATTAATAATAATTAATAAATAAATGGTTCAGAGAGTTCTAATTTTCTCTTGCTATCAGAAATTAGCATATTTTTTCAGTTTTCCTAAATTGCTACCTTTTTGATAATGTGTATATAATTACTGATTCCACCCAAACTCACTCTTTGTTCGGCTGACTGACTTTGCCTGCATGCTGTCAGATGCTGGTGAGGTTTTTTAAAGAACTGTTATGATTGATGTAATTAAACCAAGATAAGACGTACATTTTGCTTTTTCTCCCCTTTTCTTTTCTTCTTCCCCTCCCCATCACAGCAGAGTTGAGGGAGAGGGAGAGAGACAGAGAGAAAGAGAGAGAGAGAGAATGAGAATTAGTTGTCTCTGATTTGTTGGAGGTGCTTTACCAGAATGCACAGTATCTGCATTTTGCTCAAAGAACTTGATAAAACACCCACAGCAAACTTCAGGCTGTATTGTTCTCGTCAATTACTGGTGCGGCCTCGGGTTTCTCCTTGTTAATTGCTGCGAGCAGGGAAGCTTTACTCAGTGCGCAGTGTACCCAAGCATGTATGGAGTTTAATGAATCATACTAACTCTGCACTCCAAGCAATTAGGTAAATCTAGCTGTTAGTTAGTGAGGCATAAAATAAATTTAATCTCTCTTCTAAAAAATCAATTATAGTGCTGTAATGTATAATTCAATTTGGGTCATGCTACATAAATTTTCTGTTTTTAGTATGTTTTTAAACTGGTTGTTATTCGATTTTGCAAGCTCTGTGTGTGTGTGTGCGTGGTGTGTGTGTGAGCATGTGTGTGTGTGTGCGTGTGTGTGTGTGTGTGTGTGTGTGTGTATAAAGACTGCAGGATGAGGGAAAGTGACAATTCCAAGAAAGTCTGGATTTATTAAGGAAACTGTGTCTGGAAGGGTCTTTGTCCATTTGATTCTATAAGCCTTACTTGAGCCCCTACTGTGTGTGTACTAGCTTCATGGAAGATAGAAGGTGCGAAAAACTACTGCCTTCAAGGAGCTTATGGTCTAATTGATAGTGCAAGACCTAACCAAGTAGAAAATTAGAAAATAATCAGAAGAGGACAGACACAGGTAATACACAGATATTGTATTGTGAAATACGCAGATATTGTATTGTGAAATACACAGATATTGTGAAACTGGAGGGGACAGATACAGGTAATACACAGATATTGGAGAAATAATTGGGGCTTTCAAATCTGGACACTTGGGCTCCATTTTAAACTCTGCTACTGACTAGCTGTGTGACCTAATGCAAAGGACAACCTGTCAGAGCCTTACTTTCCTCATCTGTAAAATGGGTTCCATAGTTCCTTTCTCCCTGTGCTTTTGAGATTGATTGGTGTAATACTGTCTGGGAGCACACTCTTTTGACTGGAGAGGAGTGGATGGCAGTGTCTGATGTCCCCAACTCCCAGTAAGCACCTGGAGGGTGGAGACCATGTTTTTCCTTCTCCTGCTTTGTTCTGGGCACATGGCCCTGGCCCGGTGTGCAGAGAGAATGCTCCAGATGTAGAAACAATGGCATGAGAAGTGAATCCTACAGGTCTGGATGGGCCAGAGAGGGGACACTTGAAGAGTTAACCAATGATAGGCAATTTACCCAGGGCCACTTTGCATCAGGTTCTCTGTTCATACTTTATAATGCACCATCTCTGATCCTCAGAATAGCCCTGTGTGGATCTTCCTAGATGCAGGTGAGGAAGCTGACGCTCACTGAGCTTAAGCCACTTGCCCAGGGCCACACAGTGAGGAGGAGATAGAATGGAATTTGAACTCAGGTCTCCTTGTTCTCTTTACCCTGCCTTGCTTGCCCCACACGGATGATAGGCAGAGTTAGGAAAGATGAGAGAAGGCCGGAAGGAGTCTGGAATTCACACCAAAGAGGTTCTGCTAAGATTCTGAGCCCAGAAACTCCCTCCCAAGGAAGCCTCCAGAAAGCTTTTCATCCCCCTGCCCCACCACTTCCCCCTCCATCTGCCCATTTGATTTTGTTAATGGAATTCTTAGGAAAAATTACACACCGTTACATTTCCCTGCTAATCTCCCAGCAACAGCCATGGTACTGAACATTATTAAAATAGTTAAGACTCCATCCCAGCTGTCTCTTTCCAATTTTCTTGCTTCCAGGGGGTGCTCAGCAAAGCGGTGAGCAGGCTTACCTACTGAGTGCTTCTGCATCGCCGGCTAGCACAGTGATCGAAGCCAGAGCTCCTGAGACCACCAGGGCCACTTGGCGTGTGCACAAGCACATGCAATGTGGGGGCCAGGGAGAGTGGACAAAGGGCTAGGGATTGCAGAGAAATCCCATTCTCAAACGGGGTTCTGCCAGTCTGCTGGGAGGCCCTGGGCAATCCCTTTCCCTCTCCAGGCCTCAGTTATCTCCAACCACCTGCTGGTTCCCTTGCCAGCTCTGAGGCTCTCTCTGCATGTGTTCTTTGTGACTCTAAGAACACACTTGCCCCTGGCTGCGTCTGAAAATGGAGGCTCTGGGGTGCACGCGGCGTTACTATCTAATAAGCCGTGAGCTGCGCAGCAACATCAGTTGACTCACTTTGCAGAGCCTATGGGTCATTAAAAAAAAATCTAAACTAGTGCGAGTGAAGTAGCTTCCACAAAATGATTCCCATCACAAAATAAGCCTTTAATTAGCAGAACATCTCACCCAGCTGAAGCACAACTTTTGCAGACATATACCCAGTGATGTTAATTATGAAATGAATTTGCACATGCATGATTTATGGGTCTTTGACTTTAAAGAGAAAAAAAATCGGCTGCCTACTTTACTTATGCTTTCTGCCCTCTGAGAGAATTCACAAGAGAGAGATACCATGGACGGTTTCAGTGTTTCTTGGAAGCTTAACGTCCCTTTCAATGACTTTTGTGCTTTGCTTACATCAATCAGCTAAATATTTATTGAATTCTCAATTGCCCAGCACAGAGTCAGGGGCTGGGGAGAATGGGGATTCAGGATGAGTCATAGTTCTGGTGCTATGTTTAGATGAATTATGTCCCCTGGAGGGATCTTGCAGAACACAGGGTCTACCTTCCTAATTTTGCAGAGAAGGAAACTGAGGCCAGAAAGGAGACTAACTCCCTCAGAATAGTGCGATGACTCAGGGTTGGTGGCCCAACTCTGGCCTCATGTCCCAGCTGGGTGTTTCCATTACATTCCAACCAACAATAACAGCGGTATGCTAGGGCCTGGAGCGATAAGGAAGTTTTGTTTTGTTTTTGTTTTTGTTTTTGTTTCTGGAGATGGAGTCTTGCTCTGTCGCCCAGGCTGGAGGGCAACGGCGCGATCTTGGCTCACTGCAACCTCTGCCTCTTGGGTTCAAGCAATTCTCCTGCCTCAGCCTCCCAAGTAGCTGGGACTACAGGCATGGGCCACCACGCCCAGCTAATTTTTGTATTTTTAGTAGAGACGGGGTTTCGCCATGTTGGCCAGGCTGATCTCAAACTCCTGATCTCAGGTGATCTGCCCGCCTCGGCCTCCCAAAGTGCTGGAATTACAGGGGAGAGCCACCATGCCTAGCCCAATAAGGAAGTTTCGAGTCTGCAGTCCAGTGGGGCAGATGAAACACAAGCACATGAGTGCAAGTAGGCATGTGTGTTGGTGTGCAAAGATGCACACACACATGCATGCATGCATGCACGCTCACACACGTCAGACACCCTGGCAGAACTTAAGAAGGTGAATGTACTGCAGACTTGCACCTGTTGAGAATGCCAGAACTCCAGGCACTCTGAAGGGGGTCCTCGGAGCCATCCAGGAGCTCCTGGAGGAGGTGGCCCTTGGTCTGGCCCTAGGGAATTTAGACAGGCAGAGAAGAGGGGGAGCTCCTGCGGGAGGCCAGTGTGGGTCAGGAGCATCTTGGAGGCAGGAGGAAGGTGCCTCTGCAAAGCCTTGGTCCATTTGTGTTCCCAGCTTCTCCTTTTGTCCATGTACCTCATCTTGCTGTGGTCAGCTGTGAGGCATGTGGCTGCAGACCCAGTGAGTGACAGGGACAGCTCTTGGCCTTTTGAGCTTCAAAGGGCATAAACAGTACATTTGGAGGAGATGCCTGCTAGTTCCCTTTGATCTCCACCTGAGAGGCAATGGGGACTCTCTAGATGTAGGGCAGGGAGGGGAGGAGTTTTGGATGCAGAGTAGAAAATAATGAGAGAGAGAGAGAGAGAGAGAGATGCTGAGAAGCAACTGAGAGAGCTGCAGGTATTGGTTCTCAGAGCAAGGTGGAGCCTCACCCCGTCCCTCTAACCTGCTGTGCACCAAAGGAAGCTAGAAACGATAGACCCGACCCCATAGATAGGCTTGGGGGACGCGCCCTTCTCCTGCCCACAGCCGCATTCACAGCAGCACCGGGCTGTAGGAGCAGGGCAGTGGAGCTGGTTGGATGTTGCATCTAGACAGACAAGATCAGGGATTCTGTGGCATCCCCCCAGCCCCCGAGGGTCCCAGCACAGCAGACATTACCTGTACCTTCAAGACTCAGGCTGGTGGCCTGGCAGAGGCCCTGTAGTGTGGAGAGGGCACAGCAGCGGGTGGCTGGCCTTTAGCTATGTGTAGGTGGTAACCCCCACAGCCATTGCCTTCATCAGTGTTAGCTCAGCCCCTGGGAGGAAAGGGCCAGGAGAACCCTGACCTGACTGAGGAAACATTGCATTGATGGAGATGATAAGAATTGACCAGCTAATATTTCTGCCAAAGTAGATTCTAAATTGATTTCAGGTAATTGATTTAAGAGAAGCCAGGGAGAGAGATAAGCACTTAAGTCTGTGGCCTAAAAGCTCCATCCTCAGAGTTTGCTTGAAGAGCAGTAAGCTGCAGAGATGGCAGGGAGGGTGACTGCCGATGACCTTGTTGCTTGGGGAGTCTTGAGTGTCCCCAAAGCCCCCATAGCCTGACGAGGCCTTCTTTTAGGGTGGAAAGATGGAAAGATAAAGAGCCCTGGATACTCTAGGGAACAAAGCAACTGGCCTCTCACTTAGCTCTGCCTAAAGCTGGCTATGTGACTGTAGGCAAGTAGCTCAGCCTGTCTGTGCCTTAGTTTCCCCATTTTAAAACAAAGGGGGTAGGCTTGATAATCTCAGAGGCAGTGGTTTTCCAACTTCAGAGTGCCTGACAATGACGGGAGAATTGGGTTAAAATGTAGGTTTCCTGACACAACGGTCCTCAGAGATTTGTACATGAGGGCCTGGGGTGACTTGGAGAACCACTCTTCTTCCCCCAAAGAATGCCTTTCCACTGCTCTGGTTTCACAAAACCTCCTTCTCCTCCCTCCTCCCCACTTCCCACCTCCTTCCCCTCCTCCTCCTTCTCCTCCTCCTCCTTCTTTTTCTTCTCATGACTTATTTATCATACAGTTTTCTCCTGCTTACAAATACAAAAGGAGGCATAGTAAACATTTTCAAGCATAGCAGCATAGAAAGCAGAAAGCTCTTTATGCCTGTGACTCTCCCCCCAAGTCACAGTAGTTAACAGCCTGCTGTGCCCAAGCTCAAGTTTGAAATCGGCATACAAATAACTAAGAATAAATATATTTAAAACAAAAGTATAGCTATACCATACATACTATTTTGTAATATTTTCTCCCCAATGAACAGTATATCTTATCCTCATTTCAGACCCCTATATGGCGATGAACACGTTCTTTTTCACAACTGTATAATACTCCATTGAATTAATTCCCATAGGCCAACATTTAGGCATTGTCTCATTTTTCACAGCCACAAAACGCCACTGCAACAAACATCTTTGCACAGATGTCTCAAAGCACTTGCATAGGTGTGGGGTACATTCCTAGAAGTAGAATGGTGGATGCAAAGGCGTGTTTTACATTTAGCCTGTATGGCATTGCCAATTTGGCCTTCAAAATTGATTTTTCCAACTTATTCTCCCGCCCATATTTTGTGAGTAGCTGTTTTTCCATACACAGCCTCTGCCAACCTTGGGTATTTTCTATCTTTTAACTCTTTGCCAAACATATTGGCAAAAATATCTTTTTATTATTTCCTTTTCATTTTCCTTCATGATTGATGAGGCTGATCAGTTTGGGGCTATTCTTTGAAGTATCACATCATAACCTTTGTTCATTCTTTTTCTCTTAAGAAGGTGAACAAATCATGTAGTCAGGCATTTCCACAGTTTACAAGTGCAGCAGTGCAGGAGTATAAGACAAACATGAGTGCCACATCCCCAGACTCCCAAGCTGTCCAGCTCTCAGGTTAGAACAAACCTGCATTGAGTCCCTGGCTTTAAAGAGCACTTGCATTCCCAGAGCAGAGCTCCTCATGAGGGCCCATGTTTTCCGCCATGTAGAAAGCAGGACCACAGGCTATGTTTATCCAGGGGCTGCCCTCCTGCGGGGCACGCTGCTCCCAGGCTGTAGCTGCATCCAGAAAGAACTTTGTTAAAGGATGATGAGGCCCTGAGGCAGGGGCTGCAGGTGGGGCACAGAAGCAGACCTGGCCAGAGAGCTGGCCCCCACAGGCGGAACCCTGGGCTGTAGGTAGGTGGCTGGGGGTCAGGTCCCAACGTCACAGTTGATTCTCTCTGAGACGCTTGTTTAAGTAGCCATGGCCCTTGGTTTTCCTACTTGTAAAAATGAAAACAGTGATATCAATTTCAAGGGCCTCTTGTGAGACTCCAATGAGACTGTGTACAAATAAAACTGGAGCCTTCTATAACTGTAAGTTCTGAGTTCTGAGTGTTGATGCCAGAAATTCCACCATTAGATCATATCCCTAACGGCTTGTGTACAGCTAAATGCAGACTCCCTTCTGCAAGGGGCCACGCCACACTTTGTTAACTGTTCCATCTATAACACAGTCAGTGGTTAAGAGCATGGGCCTTGGAATTGCAGAGAGCTGTGTTCAAGTCTACTTACTGGCTCTGTGACTCTGGGCAGGTTACTTAACCCCTCTGAGATACAATGCTCTCCTTCATAAAGTGGACATAACCACTTCTTGGTTTACATGAGGAGTTAATGAGCTATGGGTTGAAAGTCTGGAGCAAGAGAAAGGTTCAATAAATGTCAGCTATGTTATTATCATCCTTAATAATGATAAATTATTAACAATGCTGATCTTAACCACAATGTCCAGATGTTTTCTTCCTCTCCCATTGTGAGCTTGTTGCGAGAGGGCTCCCAGAGGACCCATACCATCCCATTCATCTCTTATGTCATCAACCACACAGTCCTGCAAGCGTATATCCTGCTTCCTTGTGTTTGCTCCTGACACTGGGCTCCCTGTGAATAAGGAGGAGGTCCCCTTCATGGCATAATGCGAATAGTTCTGAAAAGGTTCTCTATTGCCTCTTCTTCTGCCGTCTGCAGTGGTAACAGAAATCCCAGCATTTCTGGAAAGCCTCAGGTTGGAGTTGAAACGCATATTTGATATTAGGAAACCGCTTCAGGATGCTCAGCTATGAAATATGTCCCATGGTGTCCACCCTCTGCCTTCTCCCTGGAAGACTCGGGCAGGGTATTGAAACTCTCTGTGTCTCAGCTTCCTCCTCTGTGAAATGGGGACATAGCAGTGTTTTCCTCAGAGGGGTGGAAATGAAAGAGAGCGGCCAGCATGGCCTGGCCCACAATGAGTGCCCGCTAAGTGCCAGCAGTGAGGAGTGCTGCCTCCCACGGGGTGTTCCCTACCTTCTCCGGTAGATGCTCCGTCTCTGCGAGTCCCTTTCTCTGATATCTTAGTCCATCTGGGCTGCTGTAACAAAAATACCATCAACTGGGTGGCTTATAAACAATAGAAATTCATTGCTTACAGTTCTGTAGGCTGAGAAGTCCAAGGTCATGGTGCCAGCCTACTTGGTGTCTGGTGAGGGCCTGCTTCCTAGTCTGGGATCTCTTTCATAAGGGCACTAACCCCATTCATGAGAACTCTGCCCTCACGACCTAATCAGGCCCAAAGGTCCCACCTCTTCATCTACTGCATTGGGAATTAGGTTTCAACATATGTATTTTGGTGGGACACAAACATTCAGACCACAGCATCTGACTTCTTATCCTCCCCCATCCTCGACCTCTTGAGTGGATCAGATGCCCTTACAGGTCACAGCCCACCCTGTGGTTCAGGGAGGGAGCAGAGGAGGGGAGGATGGGGTTGGGGGTGCTCATGTTAGACCCTCAGGAACCTCCCTGGAGGATCCATCTGGGGCAGCACTTTTGCAGTCAGCGTTGTGGGGGAGGCTGAGAAGCCAGAGGCAGGGCAGGTCCCCACCGGAGAATGGTGGCACTAGGGAGTAGGGTGAGGGATGAGCTGTTTCAGGAGAAAGGCAGGGGAAGGGGAATAGGAGGGGAGGGGAGGGGGCAGGAGAGGAGAGGGGAAGGGAGTGAGAGGGAAGGGAGAAGGGAAGGGGGAAGGAAAAGGAAAGGGGAAGGGGGAAAAAGAAGGGAAGAAGAAGCGGGGAAGGGAAGGGAAATGAAGGAAGGGAAGGGAAATGAAGGAAGGGAAGGGAAATGAAGGAAGGGAAGGGAAATGAAGGAAGGGAAGGGAAATGAAGGAAGGGAAGGGGAAGAGAAGGGGAGGGGAGGAGAAAGGAGGGGAGGGGAGGGAAAGGGAGGGGAGGGGAGGAGAAGGTGAGAGGAGGAGAGGGAAAGGGGAGGAGAGGGAAAGGGGAGGAGAGGGAAAGGGGAGGAGAGGGAAAGGGAAAGGGGAAGTGGAAGAGGAAGGGGAAAGGGAAGGGGAAGGGGAAGGGGTTTGGGAAATCCTGACCACACAGTCAGAATGGCTTCTCACCAGCTTCTCCCACCAAGGATGTGGCCCTTTAGGCTCATGACTTCCTGGACCTCAGTTTCTCAATCTGTAGCACAGGAATCCTGAAGTAAGGGGATAATGACTGCTCATAGTGGCATTAGGAGACCAAAACCAGAGGTGATGGGACCACATACAGCATTGCTGCTGAGGAGGGGAGGCTGCTGTGGGTGACCGGGCTGGGGTTTCCTCCACCCCAGCTCTGCTGGCTCCGTGTGGTTTCTAGTATGAGCCAGGCATATCCCAGCTCAGGGCCTTTGCACTGGCTGTTTCCTCTGCCTGGAAATCTTGTCTTCCAGATAGGTGCATTTTTTTACTTCCTCAGATCTTTGCTTGGATGTTTTTTCCTCAACAAGTGCTTCCCTGGGCACACTATTTAGTATATTGTGTGCACGTGTGCGCGCACACGTGCACACACACACACACACACACACACACTCCTTATTCCCCCCCACTTTGTTTTCCTGTGTAGCATTGATCACCACTGCATATACTAATTACTTGTTTGATAGTTTGTTGTCTGTCAGTCTGTCTCCCTCTATGACAATATTCTCCTTATCTCTTGCCAGGTAACATACTTCCTAGAAATTTAGCAGCTTAAAACAGCCAGCATTTTATTGTTTCTCACAGTGCTGTGAGTGAGGAATCCAGGCACATCCCAGCTAGTGGCTTTTCTGTTCCACATGCTGTTAGTGGAGGTTGCTCTGTGGCGTTGGGCCAGTGGCTGGGCTGGGACATTCAGGATGGCCTCACCGGTCTGTCTGATGCTTTGATGAGGACAGCAGGAAGGCTGGGGCTCAGCTGGACTACAGCACCTACACATGGCCTCTCCAGCACACCTGGAGTCAGACTTTTTCCATGGAGGCCCAGGGCTCCTAGAGCCAGTGTTTTCAGAGGTACAGGCAGAAGCTACAAGTGACCTAGCTTCAGAACATCACTTCTTCCTCATTCTATTGGTCACAAAAGTCACGAAGACCAGCCTGGATTCAAGGGGAACAGAGTAGACCCCACCTCTCAATGGGAGGAATGTCAAAGGATTTGTGGCTATCTTAAAGCTACCATCACACGCTTCACCAGGGCGGGGTCTTTGGAGTGTTTTATGCACTGCTAGTTTCCAAGCACCTAGCACAGAGTAGGTGCTCAATAAACATATATTGACTGAGTGAATGAATGAAAAAATGTAATTTTTACAGTCCATGCCAAGCCCACCTCTCCCTGGAAGTCCTCTACACCTACCCCAGGCCATGGGTCCTTTCCCAGCCTAGCCTCCACCCCTCACCTGCCCTGCCGTCCCTCTGGGCCTTGGGCTCTTTCCCCCTTTATAGATGACCCTACAAACAAAGCATTGAGTTCCCTGGGGGCAGGTGTGTGTTCTGCACCGTGCAGATAGGCTTCAACAGGAGTTCCTAACTGTATGCATGGCATAGGTGCATTTTATATGTATAATGGTTCACAAATCACAACCACCCATCAGGTAACCATCGCTATCCCATTTACAGAAGAGAAAACTGGGGCCCAGAGAAGTTGAATCATTTGCCTCAGGTCACCCAGCCAGCCCGAGTCTAGCTCAGTGTCTCCGCAGCAGCAGGTGCTCAGTGGCTCTGTGGACTGACTGTTCCATCCCTACGCTGTGCATATGAACATGAGGTGCCCAAGACTTCCCCTTGAGGTTCCAGAGCCCACTAAAGCAGGGCTTTGGGGCCTCACTTTACCTTTCTCTTCCCTGGAGACCACTGAAATGCACTGGCGAGAGAGATGGGTTTAATATTCATGAACCAGCCAGGCATGAGTGATTAGCTGACTCCTGTTGGAGGAAGAGGAATAATTGAATACGGTATTTACATAATAAGTTAATGCTGCCACCCGCCTGTGGGGCTCCTTTGTGGGTCTGTCCTCCACCTCCCTACTTGCCCACATTGTGTTTCTCCTCACCTGCCTTGGATGGCCTAGGAGGAAGTGCAGTGGCTTTGCACCCCTCTGCAATTTGGGCTGCCGTCTAAATGATAACATTATTTAGGGAACAGAACTCCAGTGCCTGGGAGAGCCTGTAATGGGCTGGTCGGTGGCCTGCCCGGGGGGCTGGACCCCTAAACAAAACCCTTCTGCAGACTCTGAGAAATGACAAGGGGAAGCTGAGAAGCTGAGACTGGGTTTTTGACATGGGCCTTCTTGCCCCAAACCTTCAGGAGACCTTGAGCACATTCCATCCCATTTTTTGGCTTCTCTCCTTTTCTGCAACACGCAGGGCCCCAGCCCGACCCTCTGTGGTCTAGGACTGCATTCCAGCTGCCTGGTTGAAGGCAGCAGGCAAGGGGAGAAGCAGGAGTGTGGGGCCATTCAAAAGAGAACTGCTCTTTTGTGGCTGCAAAGGGGAGGTAAGGCAGTTTCCATGCCTTCCTCAAGAGCTGCCTTTGGGGTTACCCCTGGTCAGTGCTCACTTGGGGTCCTGGAATCAAAGGTTCTTAGCTCATAATCACCTCATTCATGGCTGGCTGGGAGGTGTGCTGTGTGCATGTCTGACCCTGGGCGTGAGGAACACCAGCCAAGTCCTTCTGGCTGCGGTTAAAAGGGCTCACCAGCCTCTCCCTGAAGGTGAAGTGCAAAGATGGGCTGGGGATTTTTAAGGGGAGTGGGAAGTATTAATCGTTGGGGTGCTAGCTCCACTGTAAATACACTAAAGCCAGCATTTTTTTATGTCTCTGGAATGGTGGATGGTGTCCGGCAAGGGCCAGAATAGCCTGGTTCTTCTTGCCCAGATGTAGAAGTGCAGACCCTGGAGAGCTGTACGTTTTATCATTTGCATGACTTCTCCGCAGAATGGGCAGGATGACAGAGCTCCCCTCACAGGGCTTGTGTGAGGATTGAGTTGCTGTATGTTACGGCTCACAACAGAACTAACTCCCCGAGCAGAAACCTGGGATTTCTTCCGAAAAGACTGTGGGGCACTATATCAACACTTGAGTTCTAGCCTTTTTGATGACTAACCTCCTGAGAAAGCTTGGGTACCTCTCATGACTATGAGCTTTAGTTTTCTCACCTGTAAAATGGGGGCAATGAGCCCGATCTCTCAAGCTTGCTGGGAGGATTAAATGACAGTCACCCTGGTAGAAGATGCCCAGCCTTGGTGCCTGGCACACAGTAGGTGCTCAGTGAGAGCATGCACAGATGCAGTATTAGGTCTGTGATGGCCTGTCTGGGGGAGGCGGGCACAGATCCTGGAGAGGGAAGATGTAGGAGCTCAAGACAGCTGGCTTCAGGTGGCTAAAGAGCCCTGAGGGCCAGAGGCTGCACTTCTATGCATTTCAGAATGAGAGACCGGGGAGCATTGATAAGTGTTGCAACTAGAAGTATTTTAATCCAAAGTAAAGAGGAGCCCAAGCTGCCTGACGGTCAGGCAGCATCAGTGGGGTGGGTGCCCTATCACAGGATGTGTCCAAGCTTAGATTGGTTGGGAGGTCATGGAGGGGCTCCAAGTAATGGAGAGGAAGGAGGTTCCTGGGCTGGTTACTAAGGTTCCTTCTGTGATGTATGATCATGAGGTCAGCAGTGGTGACACTGTCTTGATTTTTTTGTCACTCTCAGTAGCCATGTGGCAGCCCGTGCTCCCTGCTGCTTGTCCCCATCCCCTCCCATGCACCTGCCTCACTGCCCGTGGCCAGCAGCATCCTTCCAACACTCTCTAGAACATGTCTCTTCTCTCTACTGGAGGCAGCCTCTGCCCACAGGGAGTGGGGGACCCAGACCCCTGCACTTGGCAAAGGGGGCCCTCCATGCACGGACTCTGACCATCTCTCCAGCTACTTGTCCTGCTGCTAGACAAAGAATCAATACTTAAGCCCACGTTTCTGGACACTGACACCCTTTCTGTTTCTGTTTCCACTGAATCATGACATATTCCAAAGCATTCCAGTGTGGTCCCCACTCTAGTGCCACTCAGAGGTGCTCTCATCCCTCACCCTTCATGGGACGTGTGTCTGAGTGGGGTTGGGGGACGTCCGCTTTCTTCATCTCTTGCTTTCCAAGGGCAGGACCTCTGGGGAATGCCCCTCATGCCCACAGTGCCCCCCAGTGTCAGGGACTCAGGAACAGCTAAGGTCCTACGAGGCAGGGTTCTTGGGAAAGCCTTAGTTCCCTCAGTGAAGGGTTCTCCTCACAGTAAAGGCAGGAGCTTGGGTGCTGGGGTCCCTAGCCTTGTCCTGTCCCCTCTCCTCACTCGGGCCCAGAACTCAGCAGTACCCAGGCTGGAGGCAGCAAGCCCAGGGAAGGCCATGGCCTTCAGGTGCCCCACTCTGCTGCCACAGGACACTCGGTCACATCAGGGGCTGTGCTAGACATGGTGCACCATCCCCTCCAACCCATACAGCCCTGCAGGGCGGCCTGTCAGCCTCATCTGACAGACAGAGAGATGGAGACTGAGGCTCAGAAAGGCCACGTGATTGTCCTCAGCCAGGGTCTTGAGGGCCAATGTCGAGGAACAGAGCTAGTTCAGGTGAGGTGAATGAAGCACTTGCCCCAGGGCACAACATTTAAGGGGGTGCAATCAAAACTTGGCAATCAAGATAAGTATTATTTCAATGCAGTATATGTAAAAATTGAAAGTAATGCAATAGACATTTTGCATTAAATTTTACCTTTTAAAATATTGCTTGGAGATATTATTCATCGTAATTAGTGAGTTTTTGGTTTTCCCGAGAATTGCCCCGATATCCAGTGAAATCGCTCATTTGCTTTCCCTTAGTCTTGGCCCGGGAGCCTGTGTCCTCCAGGTAGCTGTGCTGTGGGGAGCTGGAGAGGACTGAAGAGCTGAGGAGGGTACTTTGGCCTCTGGCTTTGTGGGATGTGGGGTGTGGGGGGAGGGAGGGAGGAGGAACCCAGGCTGGAGCTGTGCAGGGGGGACTGGCTCCAAATGTCTGAGAGACCCCTCTGACCTGGGATGCTGGAGGGGTCAGGGGAGCAAGCTGGCTTTTGAGAGGCTGGGCTGTGAGGCAGAGGCAAAAGGGACCTGTGGGAGCCTCTTTGTCCCCCAGTCCCTGGAGCTCAGCAGACAGGAAGGACGCCAGAGCCCAGCCTGAGATTGGGGAGCAGTGGGTGGCTGAGATTTCTGTAGGGCTTTTGGGGACCTCACCTCACGCCTGCTCTGCTCCCTGCTGGTGTGGGAGGACCCTAGACCCTGACAAGGTGCAGGTCAGGTTGGGGTGGACGGTGTGTGCAGGAAGCGCAGAGGCCCTCCTGTCAGCTCTGGGCCAGGGCTGCAGTAGGCCTTCCCAGCTCCTGCGTCATCTCAGGGCATTCTCCCACAACTTAGGAGGAAGGGGCTCTGTGTCATCCTTCTCGCCTTGCGCGGATGAGGAAACTGAGGCTTGGAGAAGAGCAGATGCCCAGACAGTAGGACAGGGCTGGGGCCCTGCCCATGGCTTTCCTCTCTCTCAGCCCCCTTCCTGTCACTCTCTCAGGCTGCCAGGGAATTACAACACCCTCTCTGCTCCTGCCTGTCCAACTCCAAACTGTCACTTCCACCTTTCCCTCTTCTCCAAACTTTCCCAAAGTGAATATCATTATTAATATTATTTGCCTAATTAACACGTTGGCTGAATGACAGAAAACATGCAAACAGGTTTTGCCAAGGAAACTCTGTCTGATTAAAACTGCAGCCTGTCTAATTAGATGGAGATTTCTTCATTAGTTTCCCCATTTTAGATGCACCTCCTCCCTCCCCCAGCTCCCTTCCCTGCACTTTCACCTCCCAGCTCCCACCCCTAACCCTGGAGGCCTTCTCCCCTCACAATTCTGCTGCCCCAACCCTCCCACTGCCTGCACCCCTCTTCCCTAGGAGGCAGCTGATGAAAGGGCTGACCTGCTTTGGTCTGAAGCTGGCCAGATGACAAGAGGACACTGCCCTGGGGGACAGGTGCTGGCCCACCTTGTAGGACTGAGAACCTCCTGGGATCAAGGTCACACCTGAAGTCTATTTAGAGTGGGAGTGTGCTGGCTGCTGAAAGTGTCTTCGTTAAAAATCCCCATTGACAAAACAAAGCAAAACAACATTTCCAAGTCCTCTCAATCAGATGCCATTGAAAGCAAAATGCACACTTAATAACAAAAGTAGAGTTAGGGAACATTGGTTGTGTACCTACTATGTGTCAGAACTTGCAAGCGTTTTCTTATCTCCATAGCAACCCTTCGAATGAAGTTATCACCATTTTGCAAATGAGAAAATTGAGGCTTAAAGGAAGTTGGCAAGGAGTAGAGCGTAGACTCAGATCTAGCCCATTCCAGCTCCCATACACTGGTTTCTCCCTCTCAGAGGCTCCTTTGTGGTGCCTAGAAGCCCCCACCCTTCTTCCTCCTTTTCCCTTCTCTTCCTTTCTCCTAGCCACAGTGCTCCAGGAAGCAGGAGGTGCTGCAAGCTGGGTGTGGCTGGGCAAGGCCAGGGCAGTCTAGCGAGGTCCCAAGTTAAAGTTCATTGGAGCTTCAGGAGTGGTTCCTTTAAGGGCCTCAGGAATGTGTTCTGGCATGAGAGGGGTGAGGGTGGAGGAGGAGGCACTAGGCACATTATGACACCTGAGGTCAAGCACAAATAGGGATAAGGGTGTTTGGTTTGGAAAGAGCAGGCCAGTGTTGGATTACTTGGAGGAGGTGAGATGGAGCCCATCATCTTTTGTGTCTATCCCATGCCAGGGAACTGTGCGAGGTACTTTATGTGCACACATGTCTACTCATTACAGCAAAGTGTTGTCATCTCCTCATTTTTTTTTCTTCTTTTTTTTCTGAGACGGAGTCTTGCTCTGTCATCCAGGATAGAGTGCAGTGGCACGACCTCGGCTCACTACAACCTCTGCCTCCTGGGTTCAAGCAATTATCCTGCCTCAGCCTCCTGACTAGCTGGGATTATAGGTGCAAGCCACCAAGCCCGGCTTTTTTTTTTTTCTTTTTGTATTTTTTAATAGAGATGGGGTTTCCCCATGTTGGCCAGGCTGGTCTCGAACTCCTGACCTCGTGATCTGCCCACGTCGGTCTTCCAAAGTGCTGGGATTACAGGTGTGAGCCACCATACCCAGCCCACTCCACCAGTATTTACACTGTGCCAGGCACAGGGTCCGTGGTGAGCAGGGCAGGAGCACTCACTCCTTGTGGAGCTGGCCGGCTCAGTTGCAGAGCTTGGCTTCAGCTCCCTGCCCCCATGGCTGGGCCTTTCAACACTCTCAGGGGTGTCCATCACCCAGTTGCCCCACATCCATCCCTCAGGACATTCTGCCCAGTCTCTTGAGACCTAGGACTGCTGTTACTGCCTGCCAGGACCTGCCAACTCCACCTCAATTCAATGATTCAAGAACCATTGAACTTGGGGAGGGTGGGGGGTGGGGAGGATGAAGAAAAGTGAGCTAAAGGGTACAAACATACATTAAGGTAGAAGGAATAAATACAATGTTTGATAGCAGAGTAGGATGACTCTACTTAATGTATGTACCTGGGTGATGGGCACTCTATACACCCTGACTTGATCGCTATGCATTATATACATGTAAAAACTTTCTCATGTAGCCCAGACATTTACACACACACACAAGAATCGTTGAACTTAGGGCAGAAGAGACGGTGTGGGTGGGATGAGCTTCTCCTTCCCTCTCTACTCTTCCCACACTCCATCAACCTGCAAATGATGGAGCAGAACAATTCGCCATCGAGGAAGCTCTGGCAGGCTGCTCCCTGGGCACATCTAGTAAGACAGCAGGTGGCCAGGTGGGGCTGGGCGAGGAATGTGGGCACAGCTGGTTCATTAATAGAGGAGACTGACTTGTCAATTCTATGGCCCAGGTCATTGTGAAGCATCTTGGGTTGGAGCTTTGTGTCTGAGGATGGTGGGGCAGAAGACCTCAGCCCTTGCCCTCAAGGAACTTCTAGTCTAAGTGGAAAAGCAAGCTTATTTCCTTTGACTTCCTCAACCCTCCTGTGAAAAGAGCCCTGGCCTTGGGTTTTAATCCCACCTCTGCCATTTGTTAGTTCTGTGACCTTGGGTGCATGCCTTAATCTTTCTGAACCTCTGTGTCTTCATCAGCGAAATGCAGAAATGATAATGCCTCACAAGCTGGTTGTACAGATTGAATAACAATGTGAACAGAGCACCGAGTATAATCCCTGGTAAGTAGAAAAACTCCATCCCAATATTCAAAGTTCACAGGCACAGTAGTGGCGTTCCGAGCACAGGGTTACATCTTCATCCCTGTGGGTGGGAGGACACTGACTTTGACCTGCCACGGCTAAAGGTCCTTCCCGGAACCCCCAGCTTCCTTCCAGCTCTAACATGTTCCATGTTCCGGTTCTCCCACTGATGGGCCTTTGCCTTTAGGTGCTCCAAATGTCCGAGTCCTCCTATGGGCCCGGCAATGTCTGGTGGCTTCCCAAAGCCTCACTGTGCTCTTCCGACAAATGGGCACAGGCCCAGAACTTCCAGAGGTAATTTGAGGCCCGTTGGCCATTTTTACCAGGGAGCCCAAGAAGCGAAGGGAGCATGATCAGAGATGGGGAGACAGGCCTCATTAGATAGCTCCAGTGCTGCGGGCTCTGTCGCCATGGCAGCCAGCGCTCGCGCAGGCCAGGTGGTTTTTATTACCGAACTTGGAAAACTTTACGGCGGCACCAACAATGAATCTTTATTCTGTTTTTAATAGCGTGTCTCTTATTAACATGTATCTTTTCCCCTTCTTAATAACCTTTACGTTTCCAAGCCACATTTATAATTAAGTCATTAATCCCTTACTGGAATTTCTTGTTTTTCAGAAACAGCAAACCAGAGGTCCCGTCTGGCTGGCATGAATGGAAGGGCAAACGCTCCGACCAAATTGCTCTGGGAATGTCATTCTAATTATTGGATCCTGACCCAGCAGCATGCTGATAAGCTCTGGGTTGGAGACGCCCTATCTCAGAGGAGCTCCAAACCTGCTCAAGGCCTTTTCTTGCCCTCTGCAACTTTCCTGCCAAGCAATTAGCCTCCAGGGGTATCTGAGAGCGGGAGACTGGGAGGAGCGGGGTCCCTCGGGGTTGAAGTGGGGAGGGCTAACGGGCTGGGGATGCCCCCTGTTGTGTTTCCAGGGAAAGCCTGTCCAGATTGCCGTTGCCTTCTTTACCTTCAGTGTCAGAGTTGGGGTCCAGCCTGTATTGTGGGGAGTAGGAAAAGCTTTTCTTGTTGAGCCCTGGGCTTCTGTTAGGGGTTGAATTATGTCCCTCCCCACACTCCACATTCATATGTTGAAGCCCTAACCCCTAGTTCCTCAGAATGTAACTGTATTTGGAGATACAGTCTTTAAAGAGGTCATTACATTAAAATGAGGTCACTGGGGTGGGTCCTTATCCAGTAAAACTGGTGTCCTTAGAAGAAGAGGAAATTGGAACACGGACACGCACAGAGGAAAGACCAAGTGAAGATACAGTGAGAAGATGGCCAACGACAAGCCGAGGAACAGGGTCTCAGAGGACCCCAACCCTGCTGACACCTTGATCTCGGGCTTTCAGCTTCCAGCACTGTGGCAAAATTCATTTCTACTGTTTAGGCCTCCCGGTCTGTGACATGTTGTCACGGTGGCCACTGAAGACTCAGACAGCTTCCTTCTAGCTCTGGTTCTTCTACCGGTGTGCTTTCAGGTGCTCCGGAGGGCCCGGTGGCAGGGAAAGCCAGGTCTCCAGGCTCCTGGCCCAGGGCGTGTTTAGGAGGCAGGGCCTTCTCTGACACAAGTATGAGGAGCAGAGAGGTTTCTCTTCTTCAGTCTCCACTAGGTCCTGGCCTCCATGGCTTCTATAGGCAGGGACCTGGCCAGGGCATTCACCAGAGACTTTGACAGGGAGTCCAGGCCCAGACCCCATAGGCAGAGCCAGGAGCCCTGTGCCAGCTTCCCAGGGAGCACCGGGGCCCAACGTAGAGTCAAGAGCTGGCATCAGCACAGGTGCAAGGTGGGGTTGGGAAGGGCATGGCAGCTTGGGGGTCTGCAGTGCACAGGTGGCCTGGCATGAGGTAGGTGGGCCGGCTTGAAGGTCTAGAAGATGGATAGACACCAGAGACTTGTAGTCTATGTCTCCTTCTTGCTGTCCCCTGGATGTCACCTCCCCTCTGCCCCCAGTGCTGAACTAACCCCCTTCATCTTTTACTTGGGACTCCATCAGTGACTCATCATTGCTTTTGGTGTGACTTACCAGCGGCCGCTCCGTCTGCCTCTTCCTTCCCCTCCAGGGTCATTTTGAACACTCTTCCTTCCTGACAACTAAACTTTTCACTGTTTCCCATCATAACATGTTATTTTATACTTCATTTAACTATCCACCCACCTATCCATTTATCCACCCACCTACCCACCTATCCATCCACGCACCCACTCATCCATCCATCCATCCATCCATCCATCCATCCATCCATCCATCCAGCAAATATTTGCCTAGTGTCTGCCTTGGGCACCCATGCTGGACCCTGGTGCCACAGTGCAGAGCCCACGCCCAGCCCCTCCCCCCATGAAGCTCACAGTCTAGCTAGGGAGCTAGACATCAGCCCATCAGATGACTTACATCTAAAATTATAAACTAAGACATGCAGTGAAGGGAAAAATCAGGGAGTGCTGAGCACAGAAAACCATGGGACCGATGGGGTTGGGGGTTGAGATGAGCTCCATGTGGAGGAGGGGACATTGTGTGGGCTGAGACCTGAACCGTGAGTCAAGTGAATCAGGAGGAGGGGAAGGAAGGGTGTTCTTGGCAGAAGGGACCACACGTGTGAAGTCCCTGAGGTGGCTGGGAGCTGGAAGAAAGCCGAGTGACTGCAGCACAGAGTGAGAGGGTGGCGGTGGTGTTGGGCTGGGAGGTCCTGGGGGGGTTGCATCTTCTTGTTTCTAGGGCAGTAACTGGTTCACGCTGGGAACTCAGCGGGAATTGAGGAAGGCATGAGGTTGTCGCTAGTCATTATTTGCAGGGGGATGGCAGTCTACTCAGGGACTCTTGCTGCACATGACAGCACACCCCCTCCCCGCCCCCGCCCCATTTACCATCTCTAAGGGGTTCTGCTAAGGTCATCTGTCTACTCTGGAGCCCAGAATCCCTTTGTTCCTCCCTCTTCCACTGTTAGTATTTCGACAGGTTTTCCTCTAGGCTTTTTGGTGCAGGTCACTCAGATGTCTGCAGGCCACCCTAGCCCAAGCAGTCACTTTGTTTCTCCGGCTCTGCCCTGCCCGTCAAATCTACACACACGCTTCCTGGAGTCCTGTGGGTATGTCTCGTGTGTGCTCACAAGCCAGGCAGTTTGATCCTGTGTAGCATCTGTCATGTTTTAGTGTTGCCCCTGGTGATGTCCATGTCTGAGACCTCAGATGTTGAGGCGGGGTGAAAATGCCTCACCGTCACCTCCGCTGAGAGCAGCAACACCTCCAGGTGCCAAAGGGATATGCAGCCAGCCAGCCACGAAGCTGCCATGCGGGGTTCTGCCAAGAAGGCTGAGAATGCGCCTGTTCTCCATTCTACATGACAGTTGGTAACCCGGACACCAGAACAACTGGCTGACCGCTGCTTGAAAACAGTGCCCAGTGTCCACCTGTAGCTCTCACTCCTTCAGGCTTGGTCTGTGAATTTGGGCTGGGATCCAAATGTTGGGGGCAGGTGATGCAGGCTCCCCAATACCCCACCCCTCTGGGGTGCACACACTCAGGGCACTTCTCCCCCAAACCTTCATGGAAACCAGCACATGGAAATTGTGACCTCACCTCACAAGATAAGCAAGCAGGCTTAAAAATACCTAGATCCTTATATGAACGTAGCTCAGGTGCTGACTTCACTCTAGTGTAGAGGGTGATTTTAATTTTGTATGAATTATAATCAATGTGCTTTCCATTTTGAGTGCTTTTTTTTACTCTACATTGTAAGCATGTTCATATTATTACAGTCTTCATAGGCAGAATTCTTAGCAGCTCCTTGATAGTTCAATAAGGAGATGCACCCCTTTTCCTGAGCACCCCCTATTATTGGACATTTAGCTTATTTCCAGATTGTTGCTATTTTTAATGATGTGCATGGAACATCACCATATATTGGGCTATTAGTGCATATTTTCAGAATAAGAATGACCAACTTGAGAAGTATAAAAGAGTTTGATCCATTAAGTTTAATTGCCATCCAACTAGTTTGTAGCAACTCACAAGTCCACCAATATTTTCCACGGGTAGGTACCAGATCCTTAACCGTAATTGCTATAGGATCTGCCTGGCTGGATTACCTCTCTTCATAATGACAAGAATGATTCTTGAAGCTCAGGGTTTTATAAAGAGAAAAGGGAATTAGTTAAGGACTGAATGCAGACCATAGAATCAACTGCATAGAGTTTCTAACCAACCATTTAAACATACATATAGATCTAAAATAACAAACTATATATAGCTATAGCGCCTGTGGGGATCTTGTGTCAATGGCACTCTCACCTCCTAGGATGCATGAGTGAGGAAGAAATACCTTACTTAGCCTGGTAAGGTGAGGCCCTACCACTGCTCTGGAACACCCTTCTGTCATCTGTAGGGGGGATTACCCTCTGCTTCTCCATGCCCACCTTGGCCCCCATTCTGACCGATCCACACTGTAGCAGATGCTCCCTCACCTGTATTGGGAATGGCCTGACAATGGCATAAGAGTTCTTACTCTAAAGTTGCGCAAAAGCTACGCTTCAGGGGCGGGGCCTTCATCAGCTGTATTTCTGAAGTTTTGTTTGCTTTTGCTCCTATTTGCTACTATTCAGACCTGCTGCAAAAGCTGAAAGTGTGACTGTCCTCTAGTTTAGCAATTATGTCTTCTGCAGGTCCCTGGTACACAATGGCCGTCTCTCTTTTTTTTTTTTTATTTTTTTTTGCATTTTGGTAGTAGGAGGTGTGTGTGGACCTTCCCAGCTATTTACAGGAGGAGGAAATCTACTTCTTCTACATACATGGTACCCAAATTCATACTAAGCTGTTTTCTAGGTTGCTTAAGTGCACCCTCCCACCCAGCGCAGCAGCCCTGTGCCCTGTGTATGTGTGGGGAGGGAGGTTTAACTCTTTCATGCTACACCTACGTAGTCTATGAACTAAGGTGATAACTTATACAGATGGTCCCCAACTTCTGATGGTGCAACGTCATGACATATTGACTTTATGATGATGTGAAACAGTTGCAATTTTGATGTAATGTACAGTATTCAATTCAATAAATGACAGATATTCAGCACTTTATTATAAAATAGGCTTTGTGTTAGATGGCTTTGTCCAATGGTAGGCTAACCTAAGTGTTCTGAGCAAGTTTAAGGTAGGCTATGCTAAGCCAAGATGTTCAGTAGGTTGGGTGTATTAAATACATTTTATAGTTACAATATTTTCAACTTGCAGTGGGCTTACTGGGACATCACCTCATAACCCCATCATAAGTCAAGGAGCATCTGTACCTGGTTAATAGAAGGAGGGTCCACCCCCCGACAGGTGGCCATTTTCCTTTTTGAATGGGACAATTCTTATGATGAATCATATTTAACAATAAAAAGCAAAGCTATAATGGAATGACAGGCTGAAAGACAAGGACCCAAATCACTCCATAGAGGCACATCTCATTTTGGGGCCATTTTTTGGTCATCCTTGGAGGTGATGGGAAAGGTAGTAATTTCCTACTTGATGGGTTGCATCAATGACCACAGGTACCTGTCAAAGGATCAGGACCAGGTGAACAGTTTAGCATAGTGACTAAGTCAGACTGGAGTCAGGATGCCTGGACTCAAGTCTTGGTTCCTCCACATGTAGCTGTGTGACTTTGGTAGAATCACTTTCTGGGCTTCAGTTGGCTCATGTGTAATCTAGAATAACAATATCGACTTAATAATGCTGCAGAAATTAAATAAGATACTCAGTGTAAAGTGCTGAATGCAGTGCCTGGCATATAGTGGGGACCTAACAATTGCTGGCTATTACTGTAGTTGTGAGCATCTCATTCTCCAAATCCCCTCCCCAATGCTCCAGCAGTAATTGCACACCAGGTACGGTGTCTTACAACTCACAGATGACTTTCACTCCATTAACCCTTTGGATTCTCATAATTATGGAGGAGGAGAGTTGTTTTTTATTCTCCTGCTCTTGCTATATCATCCTCATCTCTAAAATGTGAACAGTTCCACCTCCCACCCTCCTTACAGGGCTGCAGTAAGAATGCCACAAGAAGGTCGATGTTAATTACATGGTAAGGTCTACAACATCATACAAATGGAAGTTACGTGAGCATTTGGAGCTGCCATTAGAGCCTGCCCTTTTACAAAGCCAAATATTTTATCTAACCACATAATAAGTTTCACAGACACGAGCTGCTGCTCCGTCTTCATCCATGATCTTGCACTTGAAGGGCACGTGGCAGACCAAAACAAGGAGAAATGCTGTATTCGGGTAGACTTGGATTTGTTCCTCTGTGACTTTGAGCAAGTTACTGAATCTCTTTAAGATTCAGCTTCCTCTTCTTTAAAGTCAAGTGGTACCATCTATGTCACAGAGTTATTATAAAATTTCAGTGAAATAATTTAGGTAAAATACCTGCCCATTTATTCAACAAATATTTACTGAGCATCTACTATGTGCTAGAAATGATTATAGGCAGTAGGAATAGGGTGCTGAACAGAGATGGGGGCCCTGTCCCCTTGGAGTGGGGGAAACAGATCAGACCATATATAATTGAAGTGCTTTCTGCTGCAAGTAACACAAAACTTGACTCCAAACAGCTTTGATAGCCCAGGTATTTAACATCTCATATAACATATTCAAAGACTATATATAAGACTAGCCCAGGGTTGGTGAGTTCACCAGCTCATCTATGCTATGAAGGCTAAATCTTTCCATCTTTCTGCTCTGCCATCCTCAGCTTACCTATGTTTGTCTCCAGGCTAGTGTCCTCATGGTCACAAGATGGCTGCTGAAGCTCCAGGCTGGCATCCTCACATGGCAAGGGTAAAAGGCCAGCCATGCAAAGGACCTTTCTTGATGTCCATTTTTCGTTTTCCTTAAGGTGAAATTCACATGACATAAAAAGGACTCATTTTAAAGTGTACAATACGGCAGCATTTAGTACGTTCACAATATTGTGCAACCACCACCCACATCAAGGTCCAAAACATTAGTATCACCCTAAAAGGAAATTCCTAAGAAACCTTTCCCAGAAGCTCAGAAGATGTGCCCTCAAGTCTCATCAACCCAAATTGAGTCACCTGATCGTTCTTAAACTTGTCACTGGCAAGGAGTGTGAGTGTGGGATTATTATGATTGGCCAGTCAGAAGTCCTTTCTGCCCAGCAGCCCCTGAAGCCCAAAACTACTGTATTCTTGTAAAAAGGAATAATGAGATTGTTGGCCCAGAGTGAAGCAAATAATAGATACCTAATGTATGCTTCTCTCCCATATTAATGAATGTTAGATGAGCAGGCAGAGCACACTCCAGCCTGCCAAAATGAAAAAATAAAATGTAACCAAAACAGCCCCTCCAAGCCTATGCCCAGTTAATTTTCAGTGCTTGGAGAAGGCATCTTTGCCACGAAAGAACAGCACACACTGTTTCGGAGATGGCAGAGGAATCGGCATCTGGAGCCTGGATGTCTTGCCAGCCTCTCATGAATTAGCCAATTACACTGCTTTTCTGATCTTTTTCACTACCCTAAACCGACTGCTCTTCTATTCCTTTTAAAAAATGTTACTCAGAAACAGTAGACCATAGTATGCATTTTGAGACGCCTGTTTGCAATCACATTTCCTTTTATGCAACTATTTTGAAGCTTGTTTACAGGCGCTACCTAGAAAGCTAAGATGGTATAGCTAACACCTGCACAAAACCTTTCCCACGCTTCATCCTAAAGGATGTGCTTCCCTTTCTTCCTTGCATTATGGTAACTTGTGAGAATGGTGCACTGTCCTTACTTGTCTGACAGTGCCTCAGGTGCAAGGAACATTCCAGATTATCCCTACGGCTCCTACCAAGATAAATGACTAATTAAGTTGGCACCTCCCCTCCTGTCTCTCTGGGGGTCAGGCTGCCCCTGGTTGCTCCAGGCAACAGGATGGGCCAGAGAGTCCCATAACAGGGAAGCAAAAGCAATAGCTTAGTGAAACAGGGATGGTGACTCATCTCTCATTTCAGAGATTGATGTATTTGTTCACTTAGCAAATATCAGTGGAGGTCAAAAATATGCCCAACACTGTGCTAGGCACCAGGCACACAACAGTGCTGCATGGACCCTACCTCCCTGGAGCTCAACGTCCACACTAGTCAAACAACCTTCCAAATATACAACTACACACTGTGGGAAATTAATATGTTTGCAACATTCAACTGGCCGAGTCCATTACCAAGAAAAACAATAATAGGAGAGATAATGAATAGTCTCAATGTCAGACAATTGCAAATGCACACAGAATCCAGATAAGGGGCCAATTGGCCATGACTCCTCCCATTAGTCCTTTTCATGTGCCTTTGAGGCTGCCTCCAAGGAAGTCCAGACTCTTTCCTTCTCAACGTGTTTTGAGTGGTAGTCTTTTGCCATAGCTCATTTGCAAATATCTCTTTTCATAGCTGCATAAGTACGTGATAAAGTAAGTGTTGTAAAATCTTGATGGTAGAATCAGAGTTAAGGGTCAGCAAACCTTTTCTTAAAAGGCCAGACAGTAAGTATCTCCCACATTTTGCAGGCCGTATGGTCTCTGTTGCAACCACACAACTCTGCAGTTGCATCATGAAAGCCGCCGTAGACAATTCATAAACAAATAGGCCTGGCTGTTTCCAGTGAGATTCTATTTATGGACACTTCTATTTGAATTTCATATAATATTCACATGCCACAAAATATCATTCTTCTATAGATTTCTTTTCTTCAACCACTTAAAAACCATTTAAGAATCATTCTTGGTTTGCAGACCATACAAAAGTAGGAGGTGGGCGGGATTTGGCCGATGGACCATAGTTTGCCTGTCCATGATCCGGGTGGTGGGGATGTGGGTATTCTTTCAATTCTTTGAGGTATTTGAAATTTTCCATATAAAATGTTGGGAAATTGTCTTTTCTAAGTCAATGGCTTGTCTTTTAGCTTTGTTTTGATGTTTCATTATTTAAAAATAATTTTTGGGGGGAGCATGCTATTTATTTGTAGCCAGCTAAACTTGCCAACCTTTTCCTTTGTGGTTTGTGATTTTGTATCTTGCTAAGGAATCTTTCCTACCCTGGCATCACCTAGCTATGCTCCTATATTTTCTGTAATCCAGCTGGAATTTACCTGTGTGTGTAATGAGAGCTCAGAGCAGAACCGTCCCATTTCCACGAGGACACTCAGTCACCCTGTGCCCTTCGTTACTGGTAGGTCCTTTCCTGCTGATTGGGAAGTTTGTCTCAGCCACCTGCCGGGTGCTCTGCATGGATAGATGTGACTCTGGACTGTCTCCCTGTCCCTTTGTCCATCGCTGGGACACTTCTCTTTGTTCCTCTCCTCACCGGGGATGGCGACAGCCTTCCTGCCTCTGGTCAGGAGTTCTCATGGTCTGCCCTGAGAGGGTCTCAGGTCTTTAGGTCTCAGATAGGCTTCAGGGAAGACCTTGGTTATGCAAAGCTTTTTGTATAGCATCACTTTGCTGCTGTATTAAGCTGACGTAGAGACTGTCCTGACTTTACTCTGTCTAACCAGTGCCCCTCCCCACCAGGGGCAAGGAGGAGGAAATAAAAGCAGGGATTGAGGTGAGAAAAGGAAGCTCTGGTCTTTCCACAGAAGAAAGCCACCAGGGAGCCCTCACCGCCCCCTTGCAGGCCATATGGAGCTGTGAGGGACTGTCCTGCACCTCCTGCCTCCCCCATGGAGGGTCCCAGGCGGGCTGCTTTCCTAGGGCCCCAGTCTCCTCGCCTGCGAAAGGGAGGGATGAGCCTGGGCTTCTTAGGTCTCAGAGCCCACCAGCATTCGGCCTGACTCATTGAGGACCGCCCCTTTCAGTCACTGACCTCCTCATAGTCTCCCCAGGGTTTCTCCTACCTCAAACCTCCCTCCTCAGGGCACAAAGCTGAGCATGACGGGCCTCTGTGGTGGGAGCGACCCTGTCTTTGGTTTCCTGGCCTCTCTGCCATCCCTTTGTCCTCTTGAATTCAAAGCCCTTCCTCCCATCCTCTCCTCACCCCTCAGTTTCTCCAGCAGCACCCACATTCTTTCAGTTTATCCCCTCTCCACTGCCCCCCAACTGAATGTGGACTCTCAGGGGATACAGGCAGGACCCTGATCTTGAGGTCCCAACTCTGCCATGAAAGTGCCCTGTAACCTGGGAGAGACCCTTCCCTTCTGCAGGCTTGTTTCTCCATTTTTCTCCTGGTAAAATAAATTTTTATCCAGAGGATGTAAAATTTCAGCCTACAATTCCAGCCCTGAAAAAGTCCTCATTGCAAACCTGAGCTCAGAGCAGCCCTCCTTTCCCCTCCTGCAATAGGCCTTCCCTTTCCAGACAAGCCCACTCTCTGCAGCCATTGGATACTGGGGAGGGAGCTGGGGGTAAATATGGACTCCCAGGATTGTCTTGGCCAGCCTCCTTCACCATCGCTGCATCCCCTTGGCTTGCACCTAAATTAAAACAGGTGTCTGAGCTCACGAAAACATCCTGGCAGAGTCCAGCTGTAACACAGGAAGGGAGGCAGCCACCTCCATGGCGGGGGGACACATCTCTTTATCCTGTTCCCTGCACCTTCCATTTAATTAGGCAGTGGGGTCTCTGTTGCCAAACCCAGCCCCTCCAACTGCCAGACTCATGGAAACTCTGCTTTGTAATCACAAAGAAAATATTAGAAGGGAGGGCCACTCACAGCCTGGGAGCTCCTGGGGGCTGGCTGCCACCTCCGCAGCTTAGCTCCCCATTCGAGGCACCCCATCCTCACTGGTTGCCTTCCCCTGAGCACCCGCATGGTCCCACCCCACATCTTGGTTCCCTAGTGGGGTGGTCATCCCCCACATGGGAGGGGATCTTCTCATAAGAGTTCTGGGACAGGGCCCAGCTAATCCTCTTCTTGGGTGGAATCAGAGGATTTGAGTCTTTGATGCAATTCTTTCTGGGAGGAGGAAGGGAGGGGAAGCTGTGCTGCTGAATGGGACAGAAAATAGCCCAAGCAGGCCCAGTGCAGACCCCAGAGGGGAGCACTGATGGATGACCCGGCCAGAGCAGGGGAGGGGACGCCTGCTCCTGGGGTTTTTTCAGTGTTAGACTCAGTAGTTTTCAAAAGATAGAAACTGGAAGAGTCGTTGAGGTGTGATTAAGACGGACCTGGATTCACTTCCTGCTGCACACGTAAGGAGTTGTAAGACTTTGGGGCCTGTGTTTTACCAGCATTAAGCCTCGGTTTTCTCATCCTTGAAGTGGGGATAAGAAGCATACCCCCCTTGCAGGGCTGCTGTGAGGGTTAGAATGAGAAAGCGCCACACAGGCTTTGTATAACATTATCATCACGTGTTAAATTTGGTTTCTCTTGACTTGTGTTTCCAACCTTACAGTAGGTACTCTGGGTGCCCTGCAAGGAACAATGAGAAGGGCATGCTTTTGAGATCCTCAAGAGGAAAAAGAGTGGAGTTGGCCCATGCAGGGATTAGACTTCAGTGGGTGGGTCCCCAGGCAGTGAGTGTTCTCACCCAGCTCCACCATGGCACAACTCCAGAAGGTATGGTCCTGGGAAGACTCGAGGAGGCTGGCGCTTGCTTGGCAGCTGCCTGCCTAGTGAAGACCCCATGCCCTTCATGCAGCCTAGAGGTGGGGAATGGCTGGGAGCCCGGGGATCTTAGGAGCTCACCCAGAACAGTACCTGATGGCCTGCCTCCAAGGCCCCTCCTTCAGTTCTGGAAACACATGAGATGCAGGAACCTAAAGTTCCCTAGTGGGGAGGGGATAAGGGATGGGATGGCAAGAATAACTGATAAAACTCCTCACCACACTGGAATGTTGAACCACAGACTCAGATTTAAGATGACGGGAATAAAGAAGTGTGTTTCTTATACATCTGCACTTAAGGACTCAGATTCCTGTTAGCACAGACAGAAAGTATTTATTAGCAAGCCCAGAACAGAGTAAATTTTCAGTACATGAGAGCGATTCTCAGGGTTCCTCTGCAGAATGGGATATCACAGTGTTGATGTGAGGGGTAAGGAAGCTGTTTATTTATTTTCAGTACTTGGAACAGCCTGGCACATAAATAGCATCATGGAAGTATTTGCTGTCAATCTTTAATTATTTAATTTCAGTTCACTTCCTCCTTGTACAGGAAGGGCTCAAGGACTGGAGGGCTGTTTTGCTGAGGTTGAACAAGGGCATGTGCTGAAGGACCTGTGGTGTTCCCACCACCACATTAGCAATGCCACTGTTCCAGATTAATCTACTGCATGGCACTGGTGGAGGGTCAGTAAGCATCTTTGGGCAGCTGCCCACATACCTGGGGGGCAGAAAGAATTCAGTGGAACTGGCGATGATTTTAAATAGGATGAATTTGTCCTCCAAGGTGGTCGTGGTTTGACCTCACGTTGGCTGGGGAGAGGGGGCAGAGAGTTTCGTATGCCTTTGCCATATGCTGTCATCTGTCAGTGCTCAGAGGGGGCAAGTGACCTGGGCCAGGTGGTGCCCTGAATCAGCACCAGCCAGGGTGAGACTTAGGATGATAAAGAGCACTGGAGGCGAGCGAGACACCACCCTGCCTGTCTGCAAAGATGCCGAGGAGTCCAAAGAGATGGCATTCAGGCGAAATGGAGACACAATCTGAGAATTAAAACCCTTAGAGTGAACCACAACCAGTTTGGAGCCTGGAGGGGAGCAGGTGTGGCAAGGGGACTAAGGTGTGAGCAGGTAGCATCTATATGTGAGTCAGGCTGCTAGGACAAAGCCAAGCTGGCGATTGTAAAAGAGGAGACCAGACGCAGGCAGGGCCAGCCCTTAGGAAACAGTCCTTACTCTCTCCTAGCTCTGCGCCCTGGGCCCCTCCAAGGCTCAGCTGACTCAGCCAAGTCTGTGTCCCTTCTTAGAGCCTAACTCTGTTCCTCAGCCCTCCCGCCCAGTGACACTTCGTAGGACTCATTGCCCAGGAATCCTGCTCAGTCATTGCATTGCCCGGCTCTGACCTGGGATTTCACAGATCAGTGACATTCAAAATGCAATATAATGGGACACCAGCATAAGAGGCCAACTGTTTCCTTTGCCAAGTAAGGTCATTTTCAAAACCTCATTATTCCCATTGTTCTATAAATAAGGGGATTCTTTTTTACTATCTGAATATTGGAAAGACATAACCTTGGAGTTGTCCTTGACGACCCTTCTCTCCCACCCACATCCAGGCTCTCAGCAGGCCCCAGCTGCTCTGCCTAGACTGCATCCAGGTTTGGTTGGGATGCTCTTTAAGAAAAAGAACGTCAAATGCCAAAAAGAAAATTAGACATGAGACTGAGTATTAGAGTAAGAAATCACAACACATCACAAATCACATTTTAAAAAGCTGGTGAAAACACAAACGTGACAAAATCCAGGAAAAAAAAACCTCACTATATTTCATTGTGTTCACTGATATGCCATTAAGACACTTTTTTCTTGTATTTTTGACTGCATAGTCTTTGATTCTTCTCTTCTTATGTCAATAATTTTGTGTTTCTTTAAATAGAGAGAATAGAAGGCCCGTTCTGTCTTCCTTTTGGGATTGGCCATGGCATTTTATTTTATATTATTGATCATTTGGAGAACTTTTCTGTCAGCTTCATAACTCATTGCTCTTAGGTAATGCAATTTTTAAGACTGATGCCAAATTTGGGAAACCGTCTATCAGATTCTCTTCCTATATGAGCTGTCAATGTATCGTGCGTTCATAATTGCATGCAAAGGATTATGGAGTGTATTCCAGATAGGAAAGAATTTTTTTTTGGCCAGACAGCGATGAGAACCAGATCCCCCACTTAGAAGTATACATAGCTGATGACAGCAAGAATTTTCCTTAGACAAGCTTCCTGCTCACTACATTCCAACCTTGTTTCTCCCCTACCAGGTTTGAATGTAATGAGCAGGAAGCCCGTCTAAGGAAAATTCTTCCTGATCTTTCTGATCCACAAACGTAATTTGGTTTTATCAAAAACTTCCTGCATTCTTCTTGCTTCTCTCACTCCGTTGCAGGCTGCAGTGAAAGCAGACTTCCTTGATGAGTCGGGGAAGTGGATGATATCCCCGAGACCCTGGTGGCTAACCCTGGCATGCTGTAGTATCTTTTCAAGATGATTGCCTTCAACAAGGGAGAAAAAAAATTCTTCCCTGTGGAATTCTGAGCACAAGGAAGACTGGCTGAGGGGAGAGTCCGTAGGGGGAGAGGCCTTGCAGGGCATGCCCACCGGCTTCCTGACCTGCCTGCCCCCACTGGCTCTGCCCTGGGCAACTCTGCCTGCTCCAGCCCTGCAGCCGAAAGGGCCACAGGGATTCACCCAAGAACTTGCCCCATGCCTGGATGAGAAGCCTCAGTGATCCCTGATGATGTGGCCATGAGTTCAGGTACAGTCTCTCTCCACCTCCACCCCCAAATTTTGGAGAGTGATTTCCAGGTCTCTTCTTTTCTCTAAAAAGTAATAATAAGGCATTCTCGCTTGGGGAAAAAATGATTAAATTTCAAATTACTCTGCTTGCCAGATAAGATTGAAATCTCTGCATCCCAGCAGGCCGGAGACCTGTTTTGCACACAGGAAGCTCCAACAGCAACTTATTTGCCACGTAGCGGGTTGACTGAAATGGAGCAGCGTGTTTAAAACTGCATTAAGGGCGGCAAACACGGTAATGAGGGCATTTGTTATACTGTAAGGAGGTTTCCAGAACATGGAAATTACCAACATGGCGATTATGATTGTGAACTCGGTGAGGGAAATCAAATCCATCCACCGCCCCTCTTCTCCTCCCATTAAAAGGCAGAGAGTGAATAGGAACAAGAGGCCTTTCAGGGTCTTTGGGAGGGAGGAGTCCTGGAAAGTTATTAAACACTTTAATAATGCGGGGAGTTGTGGCTTCAGCTCAGGTTTATGGGGGCTTTGATCAAATCCAGCCTCACAGCAGGGCCTGGTTCCCCAGGGAGACCCAGGGGAGAAAAACCACAAGGCAGGAAAAGGCTGGCTGAGACCAGCCTCAGATTTCAAAGCTCCGTGCAGAGGACGTATTGTAACTGGCTGGTGGTTCCAGTTTTCTTCCAAATGGCTTGAGGGCAGGGCCCAGTGTCTCTTTGCCATTCAGACTTGTCACCAAACTCAGACTGGAAGCAAGTGTGTGTTTGTGTTTGTGTGTGTGTGTGTGTGTGTGCATATGTGCAGAGGATATGCCAAAATCTAATGATGGGTATACATTGTTGACAGTTATGTACAGACAGGCCTGTGTGTGGTGTCCCCGCTCATACTTGAAAAGGCATCATTCCCAGAGTTGGTAAGATTGACATCTAATCACCACAGCCACTCAGCTTAATGTACTTAGCACCTTTGAGCCTCAGTTTCCCCATCTGTAACCTTACATCCCTTCCTCAGGAAAGCTTTCCTGATCACTCACACTAGTTGAGGTCCCCTGACAGCAATCCTGCATCTCCTTTAAATGGCATTTCTCACTCACACCCATCTTTCCTGAGCAGCAGCAAGCTCTGTGAGGCCAGCACCCACACAGGACCAGCCCTCAGTATATATTTAAGTCCCCCATCTCAAAAAGCTACTTTTATTCAAAAAAAATTAATTTTAGGCTGGAGAGAGTCTGTTTTAGTGAATTGATAACCACAGTAAGCATTGATGACAGCGCAGACATGATGGCACTTTTCGTTATGCCCCTGTACTTTGCATCAGGACTGGAGCCCTCTAACATTTACAGGGCCAGGAGCAAGAAGGTAAGTAGACATCCCAGCCCATGCTGGCTCCACCCCACTTTCATGCCTGTGGATATTCCCATCTATAGTCCATCTCCCCTGACAAACAACCACCCCTCGAGCCACCCCTTGGGCCCAGGGCCTGCAGTCATTGGTGGTGTGGTCAGACCTCAGGGAGACAGATATAGAAGAAGACTCGCTCAGGCCCAGGAAGCATGATTTGGGGGTCCTGGACTCCAGCTTGTGATCTAGAAGGAAAAGCCATCAGCTTGGAGTGAGCAGGGCCCCCTTACCCATGGATTCGTGGTCCCCTTCCCTAGTGCACTTCTATGCAGTGCAATGATGATCTTTACTTCCCCTTTATCTGTATATCCTGTGGACTCCTTCCCCACAGGGTGCAGAGTGGCCAGAGGTGGCCCTGGCTCCCCTTTTACCCATGGATCCTATGGACCCCTTACCGCCAAGGTGCGGTGTGGCCAGAGGTGGCCCTGGCTCCTGTTGCCCAGGTCTCAGGGTGGTGCAGACTTGAGCACAGGGAAAGACACCACTCCTTCCGCATCATTCAATCTGAAAATGGACTGTGGAGCCTAGCAGCTTCATATTGGTCGGTCATCCCTTTGGATTGAACATTGGCCCTACAAAACTTCTCTTTTCAAATGCAACTCTCTCTTGCTGTCCTCCCCATCCCTCTTTTCCCATGCAGGGAGTGGGACAATATACCAGGCCCATTTCTGGCATTGAGGATGGAACCGGGGCAGATGGGAGGTAAAGAAAAAGGAGAAAACGTGTTTTTTGTTTTTTGTTTTTTGTTTTTTTTTTGCTAACTCTGAGTTGAGCGTTTCAGGAGTGGCTTGGGTTGCCAGCATTGGGGAGTGTGACGGAGCCAATGGGCCATGAAATTTCAGAGCATCTTGTGGTTGAAGTGGAGGGGCACACCAGGAAGGGGCAGCCACTCTGCAGTTTCACTCAGATCCTGGCTGAGACCCCAGCCCTCACCTCCGGGAGCCTGCAGTTGTGAAGATACGTTCTTTCTAAATGTGTCTCTATATCTAGGCACATCTAAATATGCTTAGCATTTGACCTGCACATAACGAGAGCTCAAAAAATGCCTACTAAATAAAGAAATAAACAAATGCAAGCGTGAGGCCAAGGCCGGCTCCCAGCATTGCTGACCCTCAGCCCACCATGTGTCTCATCTTCTAGGCAGGGCTTATGTTCCAAACCAGCCTGGCATCCTCACATGTGGGACCCTCGGCCACAACCCAGCTTCCTGTTGTAAAGATAAAAGGCTATTTAACATTTCCTGTAAATTGCACTTAGGCTCCGGATCAAAGGGTCCCGCTGGGACTGCTATTTCAAACCTCAGTTCTCTTAGTGAGGAGCTCCCCGAGCCAGGGCGGTCGATACTGACAGAGGGAAGCCTCTGCTGCCTGTGGGGGTGCTCAGGCAGACATACTAGGCCCTTGCCCCCAGGGGCTTATCCCAAGGGGTTGGTCACCCCATGTCCATTAGAAGTGCAGATCAGGAAAGGAGGGTCTCTGAAGGCCATCACTCAGGTGTCAGGGAATGAAGGCAGCCAGAGCGGCAGTGAAGGACACACAGCATGCTGCCCAGGAGCAGTCCTTGAGTTGCAAACCACAGAACAGCTTGGGACTGGATGAGGCAGGGTCCTTGCTGGAGAGATGGCAGGAAACTCACAGGAGGGCCCGTGGCTGAGAACCAATCTGAGAAACAGAATGAGAGCCAAGCCAGGCTGGTCCTGGAGCTCCTGGCTAGGGAAGCTGTGGAGAAGGATGTTCTTGGACCTGCCCCTACACTCCTGCTTCTCACTGGGCTCCAGTGGCAAAGCCCTGGGAGGGGTGGGAGCTGGGCTCAGCTTGGGGCCTGGGCCTGCCCCTAGCTGGGGTGAGCAGCCCCTCCCTCGAGAGCCCCTCCGAGCCTGCACCAGAGGGAGAGCCTGGGGGCATCGGGCAAGGAGGGTGTTCTCTGGGCAGCGAGGAGATCAGCATGGGCAGGACTCAGGCAGGGCCTCTTGCTGGGGGCTTGGCCTCTTGCTGGGCACTTGGTGTCTTGAGACGGGCTCCAAATGGTAAAAAGCATAAGCACCTCCTCCTTTATGGTTTTATGAGCAAATGTGTGATTTCCCCCACTGTTGTTTTGGAGACTGTTGAAAGCCTGCTTCCATGTAACCCAACACAGCCAGCTTTTCACTACTTTACCCCTCTCCAAGTCTTTTTTCACCTTCTCTTTCCCCTGGAAAAGTGGAACAAATTAGGCAGGCAGGTGATGGGATTTTATGCACCCAAGTAGGCCAAAATAGAAAAACTATAAAGGCCAAGCAGTCTTCAACTCTAGGTACCCAGAGGATTCCTTTACTATAGAACAGCACCCAGTTAGTTGGTGTGTAGGTGCTCACACCTGTGGTCTCAGCGCTCAGAGGCTCAGGGAGGAGGATCACTTGAGCCCTGGAGTTTGAGGCTGCAGTGAGCTGTGATTGCGCCACTGCACTCAAGTGTGGGTGACAGAGTGAGACCTCATTTCTGTTTTTTAAAATAATATTTTAAAGAAAAAATAAATAGCACCCAGGACTCCCTAATTGCTGCTTGTTAGAACAGGAAAGCTCAACGTTTTAGAATGATTTTCATATGAAATGGTTAATACTTTTAACAATATATAGTTCTTAAATTGAGAACCTTAAATTAGCTGGAAATAAACTTTTTGGAGCCCCTCTTGGATCTCCAGGCCAGCAGGCATTCATTTTTTTTTTTCCTTTTTCTTTCTTTTTTTTTTTTTTTTTTTGAGATGGAGTTTCACTCTTCTTGCCCAGGCTGGAGTGCAGTGGCATGATCTGGGCTCACTGCAACCTGTACCTCCCAGGTTCAAGTGACTCTGCTGCCTCAGCCTCCCAAGTAGCTGGGATTATAGGCACATGTGACCACACCCGGCTAATTTTTGTATTTTTAGTAAAGACGGGGTTTCACCATGTTGGCCAGGCTGGTCTTGAACTCCTGACCTCAAGTGATCTGCTCACCTCCGCCTCCCAAAATGCTGGGATTACAGGCTTGAGCCACCACACCCAGCCTCACATTTACTCTTACCAACACAGACACACAACTGGGGTCTGGGGAGCGGAGATAGAGTCCCCCTTTGTTCTTTCCATCAGGCCAAGAGTTGTCATTGGAAGAGCACCAGACAGGGGGTTGAGTGGGTCTGAAGATTAATATCAGCCCTGTCAGTAAGAGCTGTGGGACACTGGGCAAGTTACTTCAACAAACCCTGGCCAGCCTGAGAGAAGAAGGGGATAGAAAACACTTGGAGTTAGTTCTGAGAATTAAACGAGATCCTATAGGTAAAGCCCCTACCACAAGGCCTGGTGTAGAGAAGGTACCCAGTGAGGTTAATTGAATGGAAAAGTGGGGGAGAAGGAAAAGGGTGGACTGGCGGATCCCCGCATGGTGTAATAGCGTCCCAGATCCTACCGGACCTGCCAGCTGCTGCCTGAAATTCTACCATTAAAGCATCTTCCCTTTAGCCTGAAGCACTGATTCCAATTAAAATGCTAATTATCTCCAAGGGTTCTACTTTTCAATTTTTTTTTTTTTTTTTTGCTAGTTTTTATCATTGACCCAGAGTGTGAATGAGGGATCTGAGAGCTGCTCTTCATGAACAGAGGTTGGAGAGGACAGCCTATTCCTCCAACAAGCCAATTTCTGCAGCCCCATGGCCATCGTTTCCCATCTGGTCCCTACCTTGGTTGGGGTGCCCTTCTCACGAGCACCTGCATCCTCCACACCCACTCCAGCTGCTGTGCCTTTGGGCTTGTCTTTCCTTCTGCCTGGAGCGCCCTCCTTGCTCCTCTCCGGCCCACCCTCCAAGGCCCAGCTCAAATCCCACCTCCAGCTCACGGCTCTTTCACTTTCCTCTCCTCCAGGATATCATCACCCCCATCTGCTTTAGCCGTTAATGAAGGATGACAGTGTGCAGTGCGATGGTGATTCTGAGAAAGGCTTGTGTGTGGATAGCAGCTCCAGTTCCCAGAGGTCTTCCATAGGCAGTATAGATCACGAGGCCAGTGTCATGGGAGAGAACATGGTTCTTGGAGCTGGGCAAACTGCTCACATCCCAATTCCACCACCATGGGACCACATGCATTCATCAACACCTCCAAGACCCGGTCTCCTCCTCTATAGGATGGAGAATCAGCATGAGGAACAATGTAAGAATGTAGATAAAAGGCCTGATATTTAATAGGGTCCCAGAATACCAGCTGCATCTTCTTTCTCATGATAGATGATAACACTCAGCCTGAGCATTATTATCCCCATTGGACGATAGATAAACTGAGGCCCATGAAGGTAAAGAGACTTGTCCAAGGTCACATGGCAGCCTGGTGCCCCAGCCAGCGCCTCCCTGGCTCCTGCTCTCTGAAGTGGAGCTGTCTGGGTCGATTCGGCCAGCTGGGGGGTGCAGGAGGATGTGAGGTGACCAGAAATAAGAGGCAGCTGGAGGGTACAAATCAGCAGCCCGGAGAAGCCTCTGCTCTGGGGATTAATTAAACAGAGGCTTTCATGTCATCTCTCTAACAAGGTTCTCCGTCTCCCACGGTTTTGCTGGAGTGGAGTTAATCTCGGTTTCTCTCTGCACTTCAGCTGTTGATGCTGAGGCGATTATGAAGTGAGCAGCTGTCACCTCAGAGGGGAGGGAGCATGGGGCAGAATCGGGTCAGCACTGTAAGGGTCTGTGCTCCTTTTTTACAGGTGGGGAAACTGAGGCTGGAAGGGACTGGCCAGAGGTTTCTTTGCAAAGAGCTCCCCATGCCCACTAGCCAGGAACTGACTTGGGCAGGTGAAAGTCCAGGAGAGAAAGTGAAGACGGCATGGAAGCCTGTGTTCATTCCTATGGTCATTCTCAAACATTTACCCTGGGGCCCAACTCCCTACTAGGCCTGGGAGCCCAGGGGGAATGCAGGAAGGCTTTCTTGAGCAAGTGTTGCTTCTTGCTGAGTCTTGGAGGACAAGTAGCATGTTAGCTAGAGATTTACATTCTGGACACTAGAGACATTTGGGGCTGAATAATCCTTTGCTGTGAGGACTGCCCTGCACGTTGTAGGATGTTTAGCAGCATTCCTGGCCTCTGCCCTCTGGACACCAGCAGCACCACCATCCTTCCGCCCCCTACCAGTCGTGACAACCATAAACATCTCCAGACATTACCAAATGTCCCATGGAGAACACAGTCACCTCTCATTGAGAACCCCTAGATAAATTAAGGAGGGGCATTCCAGACAGGGGAAATCCCGTGAGACACAGGAGAAGGTTTGACACTGTTGGGGAATCACAAGGTTTGTCCAATGTGAGTGAGACATTCCTTCCAGGCTGTGGGGGTGGGCGGAGAGGCGGTTGCAGACATCCTCAGGGATATCTAATGAAAGGCATTGTGTGCTCAGCTCAGGCTCCTGTAAACCGTTCTGGAAGTTACTGTTCTCTTAATCTGACCTCTTCAGCTGACAGCAGGTTTCTTGTCTTATCCACCTGTGTGTTGAAGCCTCAGCAAATACCCTGGGGGTTGAGCTTCTGCAGGAACTCTGAGACCACATTGTCTCTGTGGGGGCTGCACACACAGCTGGCAGTTGCGCCTTCACCTTTAGAATAATCACAGGCATCCAGATCACACCGTGTCCCTTTCCTGACTCAGTTGACATAAACTTAAAGTTGATTTGTTTAAGTGATGACACAAGAAAGAATGTGGGCTAGAAGAGGGGAAGGGTGCAAAGGCATTTTACGACCATCCAGGCATGAGGAAGCTGATTAATTCCCACTTAATGAGTATATTAGATTCCCTCTTCAATCAAAACATCTATTAGAAAAGTCACCTATACCAGATGGATCAAGGAAACAGATGTTTTCAAACCTTGACCAAAGATTAGCCAATGGAGTCTTTTAATTGATGCCTGCCTAAGTGCATGTAAGATAATATTCACTTTAGGAGGACCAGTTTGTCCACAATGTGTTCAGCCAAAGACATTGCATGAAGCGAGTCACCCCATGTTAGTCTGTACCTAATTCCCAACCCAAATACACTTGACTATTTTGGTCTAGACCACACTTGATCATCACAAACAGCCACCAAATCCCTCTCCTCTCCTATTTACGGATGGAAACAGCTGCTGTATTTGCATGCCCTGCTCCTTAATATAAACACAACTCTGATTTCCTAACTTTCTTTGGGGAATTCCTCCTGGGCGTCCATGTTTATTTATGAAGCTGGTGTGGAAATACAGCAGGCACCATTGTACTTTCTGGGGGTTTAGTTGAGGTCAGCGGTGGAGTGATAGCATTACTTGGATGAAGGAGTAGAGCACCCCAATGCCAGTGGGCCACCCCCGTCTCCTAGGCATCAAAGCCCCATCCCCCAGGCCAGGATCAGATTTTCCTTGAAAAGGATCTTCGTGCCATGGATTATCTTATCTTTCGGTTGCTTCATTTTGCTTTGCCTGCCAGGCAGCTCAGAGGTTAATCAGATCTTATCTCAGGCTCCCAAACAGTTCTTTCTCCCAATTCTCTAAATGGCTTGAGAAACCTCTTTGGTTTATTTCTTTCTCTTTTTGGCTACTTTATATATGTATTACTATTGTAAACTCCCTTAAATACATTCAGGAAGTAGATGGGGTATAAGTCACGAACAAATAAACCTCAAATGCACTAAACATTTCCTCCCACCTCCATGAAAATGTAGCTATTTTTTGTCTTTTTTGCTGGAGGATTCCTCCTGTATTAGAGAGCTGATAAAAATGGTGAGATGGAGTGTTAGCCCTGGAACGGACCATTTCTTCTAGGAAAAAGGAAGAAATTCGCATTATGAACTGCCCAAAGTCATTTGCCTGTATTTTCAACACAGAGAGGAGAACACCAAGGTCCAGAAAAAAAGAGAAATGTTTTTTTCTCAAGCCAAGACTAGAGCCCGTGTCTCCCAGCAGCTCCCAGCCTGGGGCTCCATGCATCACTGCCCTGCTGTATCTGTGGGGCTGATGAGGCACTGCCAGTCAGTGAGTTAACAGAGACCTACTCAAGCCAGTTTCTTGTTCCTACAGGGAAGTTCTACTGGTGGGAATGTCAAAGGGAAATCAGAGATTTTAGCAACCCAGTTCACTGTTTAGGTTCTGAGCACATGGGAGGACCTCAGCTGTGGTATTCAGACAGCTTGTTGTCAGCCTGTGTTACAAAGCCTTGTGTTGCAATGTGACAGAACAGGTTGGGAGCAAATAGGCCCGGGCTTTTAACCCAGAAGGAGAGGGCAGCAGCTTCTAAAATTTAGGTAAGGTTAAGAGTCAACCCCAAAAAGGACAATTCTGGCTTCTCAGATTGGGACATCTGGGCCTACCTTCTGTACGATGCTTGGATTTCCTATAGTAATTTGACCATGTGTTTGCCCAGCCTCACCTTGACCATCTCCAGGGACAGAGAATTCATTACCTACATGGGGTTTGAGCCAGCTGAAACAGAGAAGAACAGGCAGGTGGCGGATGTCCTGACTCCCAGGGTCCTGGGTCCCCCAGGTCAAAGAGATGTAGTGAGAGAGCATTTGGGTGGTGTATATTTCTAGAACAAAGGGAGCTCCCCAGCTGTCTTCTGGGACCCTGCATATACCATGGGTACTGGCCTGAGCTGGTCCCCCTTATTAAGGCAGCCATGGGTCCTTGGATCACCTCCCTCAGGAGTCCACTGTGCAGTGCCTGGCCTGCCTTAAGAGATGAGAGTGGGATGCTGAGGGCTGTAGCCAGGAAGAGCCAAAATAAAGGCTGGAAAATAAAGCTGCTTTTTATCCTAGACATCTTCTCTGTGAGAGGGAGATCGGGAATTAGGTTTGGGAGGGGTGAGGTACAGGGTTCTGATTTGTAGTTTTTGATGATTCCCATGGTGTATTAGTCTGTTCTCATGCTGCTGAGAGACATACCCAAGACTGGGAAATTTACAAAAGAAAGAGGTTTAATTGGACTCATAGTTCCACATGGCTAGGGAGGCCCCACAATCATGGCAGAAGGCAAGGAGGAGCAAGTCACATCTTACATTGATGTCAGCAGGCAAAAAGAGAGAGCTTGTGCAGGGAAACTCCCGTTTTTAAAACCATCAGATCTCGTGAGACTCGTTCTCTATGACGAGAACAATGCAGAAAAGACCTGCCCCCATAATTCAATCACCTCCCACCAGGTTCCTCCCACAACATGTGAGATTTGGGTGGGGACACAGTCAAACCATATCACATGGTGTAAATAATCCCACCAGGGTCAATTTCCAGCTGCCCATGTGAGGCCGCTACTGCAGAACTGGAAAGAGAGACTAACAATCATCTTCCTAACAGGTCCCAGCTGGCCCCAGCACATCACTGGCTGAATCCATGGTCTGGTCTTAGTCACTGCTCTGATTCTAACCTGCCCTATACATTCTGGCTTGGTTTCCACATCTACACAACAGAAGTAAGAACAGCTGTCTTCACATGCCCCACAGAGGTCATCAGGTAGTTTTTGGAGAAGTCTTAGAAAATAATAAAAGTTTTACATTATCATCAAGTTTGATCTTCTGAGGCAAAATAAAGAAAATGCACAAGAGTATAGCTATCAAGATGGAACAAAGAGAGAGGCCTGAGTTTTGAATCCAAAACCCCAGCCTTGAGTCCAAGTGGTTACCTGTGAAACCTTGGGCCCTAGCTTCCCCACCTGTGAAATGTGTGTCCCACTTCACACTGTGGCAACCTCCAGGGGTATTGTGAAACCCAGGGGGATTAAAGAAAAAATATACATTTTCAAGAGCCCATGTATGGGAGAAGGAGACGATTGTATCATTAAGACAGATGTAACAAAAAAGAGGGCCAGCCCAATCATCAAAGGGACAATTTATGCTCCAGAAAATGAATCCCTAATTATTCCTTTCAGTTCTAAAGAGACAGGGGCCCAGAAGAGAAGCCGGCAGCTCATCCTTCACATGACTGTTTAAGCCTGGACCAGGAAGAGGAACAACTGTACATACACACGGGCAAGAGTTTGAATATCTAATTTGATGGGGCATATAAATTGGCAGTTATTCAAATGAGAACATTTGCATATATAGGGCTTAAGGCTACATAATTCCTTAATATTTTTTTCCATGATGCAGAGTAAGGACTTTAAATCTTTGTCCTTCTTTTCAAGGGTTTTAGGAAGGGATTGAAAAGGCAGCTAAATGGAGCCCAGGCTGCCCCTGGGTACACCAGGATTTGGGTGTGGGGTTTGCACCCAAGAGATGCTCAGGGGCCCTTCTCTGGGACAGAAGAGGTGGCATCACAATTGTTTTCCTATGCATCTGACCATGGCTTCCCAGCTTGCCAGTGCCCAGCTAGAGCACCTCCCTTGTTTCTGAGGGTAGCAGATGCTATTGGCTGGCTCCTCTAGGTCCAAGTAGAGCAGGGACTCTCAAAGTGGGGCCCCCAACCAGCCACATCAGCACTTCCTGGGAACTTGTTAGAAATGCAAATTCTCAGGCCCATCCAGCACCCCCCGAATCAACAACTGGGGGTGGGGCCCAACACCTGTGTTTTAACAAGTCCACCAGGTGATTTATTTATTTATCCATTCATTAATTAATTCATTCACTCATTCGTTTAGAGACAGGGTCTCACTCTGGCTCCCAGGCTGTAGTTTCATGGTGTAATCACAGCTCATTACAGCTTCGACGTCCTGGGCTCAAGCAATCCTCACACCTCAGCCTCCCAAGTAGCTGGGACTACAGGTGTGCACCACTGTGCCCTGCTGATTTTTTTTTTAAATATTTTTTGTAGAGATGAGATTTTGCCATTTTCCCAGACTGGTCTTAAACTCCTGGGCTCAAGTGATCCTCATGCCTCAGCCTCCTAAAGTTCTGGGATTCCAGGTGTAAGCCACTGCGCCCGGCCCTCACCAGGTAATTCTGATGCGTGCTCAAGTTGGAGAGCCGCTGTGCTAGAGCATCCCCGACATGGGAATCTGTTTTACATATATAGAGCTTAATCTTACACAATCATTTGGGTTCATTTCCCAAGGCCAATTCCAAGTTCTCATCCAGTGCCTTTTAGGGATGGTTTTGACTTCTGGCAAAGGAGGAGGGAGAATCCTGGTTTTCTTTCAGGAAGGGAAAGGAGGAGGAAACCCTGTTCCTCTGATGTTTGGTGGCCTGGGTGTCAGCAGGCAGCATGGGACCCTCCTGTCTGATCTCACGCTGACCTTCCTCACAGGCTGGGTGGTGGAGCCCAGGAGGGCTCCTATCTTGGATGGATGGAGGTAGCCCTAGGTCATGGCTGAAGAACCTTGAAGTTGCTGGAATTTTTCAGCCCTCTCTGTTGGGCCCAGGCCCTGAGAAAAGCCTCTACCCTCTATTACTCAACAGTTTCTAAGGCCCACCCTGTGCCAGGTGCTCAACCAGATGGTGGGCCCAGAGCAAACCTGGGTGGGGTGGGCCCATCCTTAAGGAATGTGCTGCCCTGCAGAGGAGGCCCTGACAATGACTGACTTCAATCAAGAGCTGAGAGCTCTTGTAGGGGATGTGCAGGTGGTCTTGGGACCAAGCAGCAGGGAAATGCCACCTGGTCCAAAGGTCAGGGAATGATTCCTAAGGATGGTGGGAGGAAGACAAGTGGTCAGTGTGGCCAGAGCTTCATGTTTAAATAGGACGCAGGGCCCAAGAAGCAAGTGAGATTCTCGAGGCAACAGGGAGTGTTTGAAATGCACTAAACAGGGGAAGGAGTTAATGGGATTGATGTTCTGCGAAGGCCACACTCTCTGCAGGGTGGAGCCTGGGTTAGAAACAAGGTTGAAGGAAGAGATCTCAGAGAGGGGCTATTAGGACAATCCAGGAGAGACAGGATGGCAGACTGAACAGGAAGTGGCAGTGAGATAGAGAGAAATGATGCTCATTAGCAGCAGATGGAGTTGCCTGGAGAGGGAGGTCCTCTGAATGTTGTGGTGAGAGAGGGGCTATGATATGGTTTGACTGTGTCCCCACTCAAATCTCAAATTGTAGCTCCCACAATTCCCACGTGTCATGGGAGGGACCAAGTGGGAGGTAATTGAATCATGAGGGTGGGTCTTTCTCATGCTGTTCTCATGACTGTGAATAAGTCTCATGAGATCCGATGGTTTTGTAAAGGGGAGTGTCCCTGCATATGCTCTTTCTCTTGCCTGTCACCATGTAAGATGTGACGTTGCTTCTCCTTTACCCCTACTTTGCCTTCCACCATGAATGTATGGCCTCTGCAGCCACATGGAACTGTGAGTCCATTAAACTTCTTTTTCTTTATAAATTACCTAGTCTCAGGTATGTCTTTATTAGCAGCATGAGAACAGACTAATACAGGCTTTCTCCCAAGTGTCTGGCTTGGGCATCTGGAAAGCTGCACAGTGCTTACCAGAGCTAAAAAGCCCTGGGTTAAGATCAGGTTTGAGTTGCCAGATTTGTCTCCTAGACAAATGGCCCTGCCTTAGCACTCTGAATAACTGGATTTGTAGTTGTGGTCTTGGCTCTCAGTACAGGTAACTGGTTGGGGTCATCCCAGTCTGGGCTGGACATGCCATGCAGTAGGGGTGGGCTACAGAAAAGACAAGGGATGGAGACTCAGGTCAACCCAGGGTGGAAGAGGCAGTCAGAAGAGCTGACTCAACAGGATAAAAAGGAAGACGTTAAGGTAATGTAAGTGAATCCCAGAGAGGAAATATGGAGCCTGGATACAGATCAGGATAAAGGAGCTGGGATTGAGGTCCTCTGGGCTGGACCTAGAGTAGAGCTGATAAGCCCAAGTAGGCCATAGACAACTATTTGCCAACTGCTTATGGTGGTCCATGATTTCATCAAGTACCCAGGCTCCTTCCAGCTCTCTGCTCTGCCAGCCCCAAAGTGTGGCCCCATTCTCTTATTTACAAGATGGCTGCTGGAGCTCCAGCTATCATGTCCACGTTCCAGACAGAAAGATTCTAAGAGGAAGGAAGGAACAAAACTCACATGACATCTGAGTCAGCCCCTTTCAGGGGTTTTCCTTGGGACCCCAGTGGATGACTTGGAGAGGTTGGAACAGCAGTTTTTAGTTAGGCACATGCTACCTCCAAAGTGTAGGGAGGGTAGAATGGATATGAGGTAGGCAACTAAAAATCTCTGCTGCAGGAGGAATAAATAGGAAAAATTAGCATCTTTTCCTCATTAGATTTTACTTTTTAAAAATTAAAAAAATTATAAAGATTAGCGAATGAAGTCAATGTATTAAGAAAACCAAGAGTGTTTTAAGCCGAAATCATTTAGTTGCAAGGAACAGAAAGCTACTTGGTTGCTTTAAGTAAAACAGAATTTATTGTAATGATTCATGGGAATATCCCAAATACTGAGTACAGGAAGCTGGTGGGCCCACAAGGCCCTGGAGCCAGAAACAGGGAACCTGGCTCAAGGTTTTGATTTTTCTCTTCCCTTCCTCTTCTTAGGTCTCAGTGGGGTTCTGTCTCCAATTCCCCCCGACCTTCTCATCTGCCTCAGATTCTTTCTGTACCCCTCCCCCTAACTTCATCCTTCCCCTCCCCACTTCTCTTTCTCTGCCTCTCTGTGTCTGTCACTGTCTCTCTCTCTCCTTCTTTGAATTTTGGCTTTCTCTCCCTTGTGTATAGAGCGGAGAATGGTCACCTTGCTCTGCCAGTTCAAGTGCCAATAGGAAAAGTCTCCAGAACCCCGTTCCAAATTCCCTGGGTGTCTTGTCCACTTGTGCTGCAATAACAAAATACCTGGGACTGAGTAATTTGTAAACAATAAAACATATTTCTCATAGTTCTGGGGGCTTCTTCTTCCTGGGTTGGTGTCTGATGAGGGTCTGGCCTGGTGCCTTGTTGCTGTGCCCTCCAGAGGAGATGAACACTGTACTCTCACATGGCCGAAGGGTCAAAAGGGCAAAAACAGGTCTAGCTAGTTCCCTATAGGCCTTTTATAAGGTGGCTAATCTCATCTAGGAAGGTGGAGTCTTGATGACTTAATCACTTCCTAAAAGCCTCATCTTAATACTATCACACTGGTCATTAAGTTTCAACATGCGAATTTTGGGGACACATTCAGACCACAGCACTGGGATAGAATGTAAGATAGCCCAAGCCTGGGTCAGATGCCCACCCTCCTGTTTCAGTAGCTCTGCTTCAGGTGGGGCCATCAGCAGAAACTGGGGGCAGATCATCTGGGGTGCTCAGGAGGGCAGACAGGCACTTAGGCTGTATGTCCCCACAAATACCTGAAGACAGCGTTGCTCTCCTCCTCGTGCTTAATGAAACACTAGCTTTCCTTCCAGGTGTATGGAGAAAGCTTCTCCCTAATGAGATGTCCCTTTCCAGAAAGGCGCTAGGGTTCTAGGCCAAGTGACTTCCAGACTATTCTTGACTTGTTCCTTTATTTATTTCCCTCTTCCAAAGGCTGGAGAGTCAAAGCCAAGTAGAACTGTCCTTGTCCTTAGTGGCTCATAACGAGGGGAGGAAGGTAGACAGGTACACCTGTCGCTTTCAGTAAAATCCAACTGTGGTTTCACATGCTGCATTGTTTGCACAAATAGATTGAGAGCACATTAAACAGCTGGGAAAGACATTGTCAGCACAAGCAGAAGACAGAAGTCTCCTCAACAGATTCTCCATGCATTACATAGGAGCAGGAGCAAAAGTGAGAAATGCTGACTCTGGCCAGGGAGAACGAACCGCAGCTGATAACATTAAGCAAACTGGCTGAGACCTAGAGGATTCTAGCAAATGACATGACAGAATTAATAAAATACAGCAGTTGGACTTGAATTTCCCAACAGCTGAGAGTCAACAAGTCTTGATAGCACCAAATCTGGGAAGAAGCCCGAGGCCGCTATAGGCAGCTGAACACGCAAAGCCAAGCTTAGAGAGTGAATTACATCTCATCAGAGTGACGCTGTCTACTCTTTGCCCTTACAAAGATTTTTTTCAAGTTGACTTTGCAAAAAAAAAAAAAAAAAAAAAAAAAAATAGGTAACATATGCAAGTGTTTAAAAATTTTTTTAAATATAATTTCTGGCTTATTTTCCCAAACAATCCAATTTCTTAAAATTTCCAAAGAGTATATGTATATCCCTGGTTATATATTTTTTAGTTATTTTTCTATATGGAAGAAAACTTAACTCCATGCATCTACCTATTTTAACTGTGTTGAAGCACCACTAATAACCTCCTGACTGACAGCACCAGGTACCAGGAGACAGAGTGAGAATTCCCAGCCTCTCAGCTACTAGACTGATGGTGCAAACCTCGCAAAAGAAATGGTGCTCCCTTCCACATTGGTTCCACAAACACACACAAATATGCACTTTAAAATGGTAATATATGGTTCTGATGAAGTCACGGTAAAACACATGTTTAGCCAACTGAGTACTCAGAGAGAAATTTAACAATACATTCCAAGAACCGTTAAGAATGTGTTTTTCCTTCAATCCTGATCATTTGTCCAAAGGGAATAATATTCCCACAACTACCAAAGAAAAAAGCTAGGCTGGGCACAGTGGCTCACACCTGTAATCCCAGCACTTTAGGAAGCGGAGGAGGGCAGATTGCTTGAACCTGGGATTTCGAAACCAGCCTGGGCAAAAATGGGAGACAAAAAAATACAAAAATTAACCCGTGTAGTGGCACTCAACTGTAGTCCTAGCTACTCGGGAGGCTGAGGTGGGAAGATCATTTGAGCCCAGGAGGTTGAGGCTGCAATGAGCTGTGATCATGCCACTGTACTCCAGCCTGGGTGACAGAGCAAGACACTATCTCAAAAGCAAAACAAAACAAAAAAGTGAAAAGGTGCATATTATAAACTTTTCTTTAATCAAAATGGAAAAGTGGAAGTGTGTATTCACTAATGTTTCAGTTTAGGCCAAGCAGGAGACGTTATTTCCTTCACCAGGTAGAGCAGTTGGGATCTGGAGTGTAGGTGGCCATGGACTGGTGGTGCCCCACCTATCTAAGCTCATAAGCCACCCCCGATCCAATGTGTTAGGTGGGCAGCATCATCCCTTGCAGACAAAGACTCGCTTTCCAAGTTACTGGAAGTGGCAGGATTGATTTCCAGCCCAGTGTTTTCCAGAGAGCTGCAAGGCTCTCCATTATTCTTGGAAACTCTGCCCTTGGCATTGAGACATGCCATCTGGGGCTCCTCTCAGTTTTGAAAGGAGAGAAGACAATATCATTTGATACCTTATCAAAGCGTACTTTACAAAAACAAAAAAATCCCAAGTTTAAACACGTTAGATTTCTTTCCCTTTCTTTTCCCCCTCCTTTTATTAAGCACTTTATATTCTCTAAGAAGTTGGGACTCATTAATTACAGCGGTGGTAATTATAACCCACTCGTATTTCTACAGAGCCCTTCTGAGGAGCTGAGAGTCCTTTATAAATATGAGCTCATTAATCGTCCCAGCAGCCCTGCAGGTAGAAGACAACTACTGTCCCTTAGAGTCTGGGGCTCCAGGGCTGCCTGAGTGGGGGAGCCACAGGTGCTCCAGTGCCCAGGGCTTGGGCTGCCTGAAGCCCTCTGCAGGAACAGCCACTTGCTTGAGGCACTGAAAGTTAAAGGCTGCTGGGTCACTGCCTTCAAGGGCTTCAAGCTGTCTCGAAGTTCCAAAATTAAAGCTGGCAGCCTAGCTCTCCTCCAAAGCACACCCACAGGACAGGGTCAAAGACAGGAGCCAGCAGCCCCATCCTGGCCCCTGCATGCCCTGGCGCTTCCCATCTCAGCACCTTTGCTTGGCTGTGCCCCGTGTTTGTTATGCTCTCCCTCTGTTAAGTTAGCTTTACCCTTCAGCTGAAGTTCTGCTGGGTTCTGCAGTATCTTCTCCCACTGTCCTCCCATGGGTAGTCTGAAGTCCTCATTTTGCGGGTAACCCTAAGCAGCGTGACCTTTTAAGCCATCTGTCTTGGCTTGCTAGTGATTTTCTAAATCATGATTTGGCGTTCCTTGAAAGCATAGTCGAGCCCCTTGAGGGAGGGAAACATCTTTCCCATGTTTCTGGGAGCTCCAGGGACAAGTTCAAGTTCTGTATACTGTAGGGGGTCAAGAATTGTTGACTGATGGGCTAACAGGGCCCTGAGTGGCTGTTCCCCGGGAAGCACTGCCAGAGGAGATGGACTGGGGGAATGCAGAAGCCCGCTGCCCCCTCCCGTGCTGCCATCTCACCCAGCCTGCCATGAGCCTCCAAGCCAGACGACAGCACCTTCTACCCTCCAAGGGCATGGTTTTCACATCTTCAGATCTTATGTGAGCAGCTCCTTACCTCTCCCACCAGGCTTGCCTGTAATATCAAACCATGCTCATCCTTCAAGCTGACATGCAAATGCCATCTCTTTAGTGAAGTCTTCTTTCCTGAACTTGTTCTTCCTCCATGAAAAACCATTGCTTTACTCTGAGCCCTCACAATATATTACATAGGTAATCCTCCCGATTGTGGCTTTACCATGTTCCAACTATATGGACTTGGAAAGGTCTCCACCTCCGCAGGCCTCTGTGTCCCCATCTTTTTGATGGTAATCACACGCCCACCATGAGTGTCATAAGAACCAAAAGGGAGAGCTAGGTGCCTGGTGCTTAGTATCCGTCACTGTTTGTACTCTCTGCCACAAGAAGGGTAAGGATGGTGGCTAGTTCATTGTTAGGGATGGGGTGACTCCCAAATCTCTTGGTTTTTAAAAGGTTATCAAGTGATTCTGACGTGCAGCTACATTTGGAGACCACAAGTCTAAACCAGACAGTGTAAGAGAGAAAACAGGGTTCCAGAAAGTGGGGGTGGGGAAGAAAGGTCAACATCACAAACAAGAGTTGTATCAAAGGTGAGACACACAGAGCCCAGGGTTGGAATCTTCCATGTCACCCAACGAACAACATGTCTGATATTCACATCCCATTAAGTCTTTGATGAGCCTGACTGCTCTTTTTATTTTTAAAATTTTATTCATATAATGTATGAATTATAAAATAATTACCACAGATAAGTCAGAATTCCCCTTGACACTCATCGTTCACTCCCTCCCCACTGTTGTCAGGTTTTGTTTGTAGTATTTCAGGACCTTTTCTGTATATTCAATTGTTTTAAATTTTATTTAGAGGGTAAATGAGGGTATATGGAGGACTTTAAAAAGATCATGTTATACTTGTGGTATTAGTCTCAATTTAATATTAAACTTGACTTCCCTGTCTATATCAGATAATGGGTAAAATTGTTAGCTGGGGCAGGGTCTTATTCAGTCACAGCCACAGCTACAGCCCAGTGGACACTCTATTTAGGAAATGTTGCTGAGCATCTACTGAAATCCAGACATTAGGCATTATTTATAGTCCCCTGAGTTACGCTAAACTCAGTTTCCTGGGTTCCTGCCCATATTTCTCCATCTGTATTTCTTCATCTCCATCAGGATGTACTGAAAGTCCATGCCAATTGCTTTACTGAAATTAGATCTCTTATATTTATTGTGTTTCTCTGACTACCAGTCTGGTAACCTTGTCACAGGGAGCTTATTTTTACATAGGCTTATTTTGATTCACCTATTCTTTGTAAAGCCATCTTAGCCCCTGATGATCACTATTTCATTTTCTAATTGCTGATAACTTGTGGCTTTAATCACTTATGCTACAATACTGCCCTAGATCAATATCAAATTCATAAGCACACCCTATTTCCACTGAAATTCAGCTTTTCTCATCTCTTCAGTCCTTCCTATTTCTCCATCAGCTATGTGGTGATCTTTGCAAGCTCTCTCAGGATTCAGGAGCATAGTTCATTGGCCTCAGAAGACTGAACTGAGTTCAGGGCCATCTGGGCTCCCTGATCACCCCCTTCATCACAGCTGTCAGCTGTACCACCAGCTCCTCTCCTAGCCCTCTTCTCAGTCCAAAGCTCACTTTACTGGCCTGAAAGTAAACCAGCAGTGGAAAGCATGTTTCCCCTTTAGCCTCTGACATCAATGGGAGGCAGAGTGAAAAGGTCAGGGGCCTCAGGAATCAGATAGGTGCTTGTTCAAGGCCCAGCTCCACCAATGGCCAGCTCCCAGGACTGGGCAAGTTGTTGGACCTTGGTCATCCTTGCTGTATTATTTCTGTAAAAGGCCAGAGTGCAGTGGCACCATCTCAACTCACTGCAACCTCCGCCTCCTGGGTTCAAGCAGTTCTCCTGCCTCAGCCTCCTGAGTAGCTGGGACTACAGGCATGTACCACCATGCCCAGCTAATTTTTATATTTTTAGTAGAGACAGGGTTTCACCAATTGACCAGGATGGTTTCAGTCTCTTGACCTTGTGATCCACCCACCTCAGTCTCCCAAAGTGCTGGGATTACAGGCATGAGCCACCATGCCTGGCCGGGAAAACTTCTTTTCTAAGTTGAGTTATTCATCAAAGCAATCAGCCATTATCTCCTCAGTGCCTGCACTACCTTGAATCTCTGCTGAAGCTGATATGACTGATAGAGGGCAGAGATGGGGCTCTTCTAGCTTCTCTATTTAACACCAGAGGGAGAATTAGGTAAGTCAGGGCACTTCAGAGTGAAGGGTGATTCTCCTCCCAAGTCCCTTTGTGGCAGATGCTCTCCTGGTCTCTGGATGGAGGATGCTATGACAGTCCTGTGTGCCTTGTTAAACCCGATCCTCTTTCTATCCTCCATAAAAAAGGTCCTGGCCACAGCTGACCCCAAATACTGCTCTCATTCACGGACTTGGTGAGATCTTTGCTCTCACTACTCAGTCAAACTCCTTTACAGATGAGGAAACCGACGCTTAGAGAGGGGACATAACTTGATCAAGGTCCTCCGAAAATTTGGTTGTGGAACTAGGGCTAGGACACAGAAATTCTGGGGTATGACCTCTTCCTCTAGGCTCAAACCCTCTGACCCAGTCTCCTTGTAGTTGACAGGAAGCTTTCTTTAGGCCCAAAGGTTTGGTGCAGAACAATTTCCATCAGTTACCTCTGCTCCTCCTTCTTCATGCCCTAACAGTATACCAGGACCCTAACCTATACATCAAGAATCCCATTTCTGCTGTGTGACATTGGGCAAGTCACTGCCCTTCCCTGGGCCTCTGCACAATGTGGAGGTTGCAATTCCTGTTCTCTAAATTCACTTTCCACTCTGATTGTCTCAGACTCAGCACCTGTAAGACCGACATCCACATCACTCCACCCTTGGTGCTGAACAATCCCCGGGCTCATTCCAGCCTATAGTGACAGATCAGAGTTCCCTTCTACTCATGCATCCAGGCTTCATGGCCCAGTCACTGAGCTTGAGGGATGCAGGGCAGACATGGGGCCCTTTAATGCAGTAATGTGTACGCTATGAGCTTATATTGCAGTCGACCCACCACACCCTCTCCATTACAGTTTAGTTGGATAGACTACAATCTCTGTGGAGACCCCTGAATGCACACCCACTCCTGAATCACCCCCAAATCTATCAGGTCTCCTGTTGGGAACCCCGAAGAAGGCCACTCTAGAGCCGGGGCTCCCTTGGCATGACTCGTATCGTGTCATTAGCTGTCAGGAGTAGACTCTAGAGGCCGCTCCAACCCCCATGCACACACACACCGCCTTGGGCATCATCCACACACACCCACTCCCACCCCACAGGAATCAGTGTTTGGAAAAGAACGAACACAGCTCCTGCTTGGGCCCAAGTGACTCCCTGCCCATGCAGCCACATCCAGCCAGCACCTCCCACGCTCCCCTGGGGCCACGCCTGCAGAAGGATGATAAGGGAATCGGATTCTCCAGCGACACCAGAGGCACAGTCCAAAGATCCAGAATATTTAGCTGTGTTTACTCGCAATAATCAGCTTCTCAAAGACATGTCGCCGGGCAGCTCTTGCTACATTGATTATGCCGCCTCATATTTTTGGCCCCCAGGGGCAAACAGTTCTGATTAATATTTCACAACACCATTTTTTTTCCATATTCCTTTCTTCGCGTTGTTGCTTTTCTCTCTTTTTATTTTTTTCCTCCTCCTGAGCCCCTGAGAGCCTGGTAGAGAAACATGGAATATTTCACCGTCTCTTGTGTCTGCCTGCTCCAGTAATCAGCGGACTCAATCACGCTTGCAGTGTTTTTATGAATTAATAACAGGCACTTTGGAGGGCTAGCGGGGGAGGCAGGAAACGCAATCTATGGAAGCTTAATGAGCGCCGTGGGGAGCAGCTACCTCCGCCTCCAACCCTGCGACGCTGTGCTCTAAATCATCGCTTCTGAGATCACCCACTTCCAGACCAGCCTGGACAGCTTGTGTGGGACTCCTCAGTGACCCTCTGTCCCTGCCAGGTCCTCCCGGGAAGCGGAATCTGGAAGAGGCAGCCTCAACGCTTCGCCATTTTAATTCGAAAAAGGAAAGGGAGACAGGGGCTCTGGTTTGTCCCTGTCATTGGGTGTGCTTTGTATCTGTTGCTTTTTGATAAATTGGGTGAGGAGCAGGTAAGAGTAGGGCATAGGGATCCACGGGTGATCTAGGCAGGGCCACGCATGGGGTCTTGCTGTTGTAGGTCTAGAAATGTGTTCTTTTTGGTACTCCATGGTGTCTAGATTCTAATAGACTCATTTATGCTAACTAAAACCCCAAGGATTTGAACTGTATGTTCTGAAATACCACTTAAGAAAAGAATTTTCTGGTCTGTCATGGTCTGACATACAGCCCCACTGTGTGTGACCAACACTCAGTTCATATTACGTGAAACTCACCAGTTGAATCTTGTTTGATGAGACAAGACCAGTCCACTGACAGTGTGCATGGATGTTAGGGCAATGCCAAGTGACCACATGAGTCTCTAAGGGTTTTCTCTCAATGTCCTTGTATTCTGGTAACAAACAGGTCGCAGGCCCCTATCCACATACCACACTTTGAACAGTACTGGTCTAAACCTGAATGTCACATTCATAATTTGCAAAGGGAAATATAGCCAACAAATAAACCAGGACCTCGTGGCTGGGGTTGGAGCAGTCTTTACCAACAGGATGGGGACTAGTCAGATTCTAATCAGAAAGTTGTATTGGAAGCAAGGCATGTGTTGGTTCTTCTTTTATTTCTTTCTATTTTGACAAATGTCATATCTACACAAAAATAGAGAGAATTATATAATAAACTTCGTGTATCCATCACTGAGCTTTGGTCATTAAGTTGCATATTTATGACAACCCTGTCCTTGAGCTCAGATGACCACATTTTCCTTGAAAGGCAGGCTCCACCCACCAAATGCCATGTGTCCGAAATTCAATGAGATCAGTGAGTTGGTCTGGCTTCCCTCTTTAGAGATGCCGTGCAGCTCACCCCTCCCAGGAATTACCCCCTCCCCAGTCCTTCTCCCCGAGGGAGGACCCAAGAGTCCAGGTGGGAGAGGCTCTTCAGTCACACATTCACGGATAATCACTTGGATTCTTGTGCTAGATGACTGGTCTTATTCATCACATTCTGATTCTTCCTAATTTCATACTCATGCTAACCTGAAGGACCTGAGAAAGCCAGAAAGCAAGAGTTTGGGAAGCACTGTGTATTTTGACTTGGGTTTTGAAGGCACCCTGCCATGAGGCCCTCCAAATGCAAGTATGTATTACAAGCAGTGGGAAAATGTCCAATCTCTTCCTCCACTCCCTATACTGGGCGCTATGCTGTCAGTGGAGCCCCAAGCAGAAGAGAGCAGTGTCTGCCCTCAGGGGGCTCCTAGTCCAGTGTGTAAATGCTGGTGATTTCTGAGAGTGAGCTCTGATCACTTGGTGAGGTTGTGAGTCACCTATCCTCTGCGAACCAGCTACTGGAGAAACAGCATGGGGAGGAGGATGATAAGGATGATGATAATGGAGGGGGCAGGGGGAAAAGTGGGGGAGAAGGAGAGGGACAAATAGAAAGAAAGAGAGAGAGAGAGAGAGAGAAACAGCATGCCCACACACCATTCAGACACATAAAGGCAGGGGGGAGAGCTAGGGCCTCTGAGAAAACCTGAGCTGAAGTAGAACACAAGGTGAGGGGAGAGGGAACCTGGGGTTCCAGGTGTGAGCCAGAGGGGAGCGGGGGATTCAGGCCCTCTTGGGCCCTGCGGGCATGGGCCCCAGCAAGGTCTCAAGGCCCCATCTTGTGTGTGCATGTTACAGTTCTTCAGAGCACTAACCAAGATCCCACAAAAATACAGATCCAAATTTAAAAACAGCAGCCCTATGTATTAGTCATTTTCTCATGGGGGAGAGCTGCTTTTTGCCAGAAATCCTCCCAAACCATCACACGCCGCAGGGCTTAGGCCTTCCACCAAAGCCTGGTTTTCTGGGGACATTTGGGCTTGCTGTTATGTATCACTGCTCTTCCAAATGTGGTCCTCGTAGTGTTGGCATCACTTGGGATCTCCCTAGAAATGAGGATTCTCAGGCCCCGCTCAGGCCCTCTGAATGGGATTCTGCATTTTAACTCCCTCCGCTTGTCATTCGTGGGCACACACAGGGGTGAGAAGCGTTGGTCTATCCCACACTTGGGGAGCACCTGCCTGGGACACTGGCTTCTCTTTATCACACCCCTCCTTCCTCAGCCCCATCCGCAATGGTTTGCTGGTTTGCTGCCAGCCAGGAAAAGTCCATGTCTCAGGCCAGACTCTCAGAGGCCCAGAGATAATGGCTGAATATTGATGCCTCCCAAATGCATTTTAGCGAAAATGTCTTAAACATGTAAAAGCCTTTAACATCCCAGGGAATAAATTTCTAATAATGACATTTCAGGCCCTTTAACATGCCTTGGCAAAACAATATTTCTAGATAGGAGAAGATGCCTTCCTAACATTGCTTACATTCTGTCATGTAATAATAACTGGAATTTGTACAGCATCTTCCTTTCAAAACATGCATTTGTTACTTCTCATTTAATCCACCTGTCACCTGGGAGGTACGCCAGGCAGCTTTCAGGATCCCTATTTTACAGGTAGGAAACTGGAGCTCAGAGAGGTTAAGGGACCTGCTTGTGGCCACCTAACTGAAGAGAAGCAGAGGCAGGTATGGACCCCCAAATCACCTGCCCCCAATCCCTGTGCTCCTTCTGGGCAGACTCACAACTTCCAGGACAATCCTGCCGGAAGGTACTGTGTACTAAGGGAGGTCTTGTGGTGTTTGCAGTAGAATCCCATCTTAAAAACCCCAGGGCCAGGTGTCCAGTTTAGCCCAACAAACATTGTCCTCCCTCACTGGGCCCTAAACTGGGTGAATGAGACCCAGGCCCTGCCTTTGAGAGCTTGAATATTAGAGCTTCATTTTTTTTATTATTATACTTTAAGCTCTGGGGTACGTGTGCAGAATGTGCAGGTTTGTTACATAGGCCTACATGTGTCATGGTGGTTTGCTGCACCCATCAACCCATCATCTACATTAGGTATTTCTCTTAATGCTATCCCTCCCCTATCCCCTCACCCGCTGGTAGGCCCTGGTGTGTGATATTCCCTTCCCTGTGTCCATGTGCTCTCATTGTTCAACTCCTGGTTATGAGTGAGAACATAAGGTTTTGGTTTTCTGTTCTTGTGTTAGTTTGCTGAGAATGATGTTTTCCAGCTTCATCTATGTCCCTGCAAAGGACATGAACTCATCCTTTTTTATGGCTGCATAGTATTCCATGGTGTATATGTGCCATATTTTCTTTATCCAGTCTATCATTGATGGGCATTTGGGTTGGTTCCAAGTCTTTGCTATTGTGAACAGTGCCACAATAAACATACATGTGCATGTATTTTTATAGTAGAATGATTCATAATCCTTTGGGTATATACCCAGTAATGGGATTGCTGGGTCTAATGGCATTTCTAGTTCTAGATCCTTGAGGAATCACCACACTGTCTTCCACAATGGTTGAACTAATTTACACTCCCATCAACAGTTGATGGAGCAGAGATGTGTTCTTACATCACAGCCTCCCCAAATAATATATGAATGCTTTTTTCCTCTAAGAAAGCAGCTATTTCTCTCCTTTTCAAGATGAAGTAAAAATAGCTCAGCTCCCAGATCCCACCCCCACACCCCCAGCCAACAGCTGTCCCCCAAGATGCCTCTGGCTGGGCTTTGCTTGAATCTGACATAGGCCCCTTGGGCAACGCATTAGCACCTTTTACGTCTCACCTTGGCCTAAGAGTTTTTGGTACAAAGCCAAACTTCAACAAAACTTGAAACCATTTTTTCTTTCTTTCTTTCTTTTTTTTTTTTTTTCCAGCAACACATTTAAATAAGCTTTTCTCAAATTGGATTTAAGGCAGTTTCACTTCCCTCTGCTCTTCTTCAAATCAAAACTTACCTTTCCTGTGTCCCATTTCTTCAGAGTCTTTCAGATGATTTAAAGCTCATCTGTTAAACCACTTTGCATTTAGAAGGATTTCACTAATATTAGAATAATATTTTACTCCTCCCTGAGAAAAATATGCCTTTCTAAACTCATCATTGCCTTAATCCAGCATTCCACAAAGTGTGTGTCTGCAAAGCACTAGGTCTGAAAAGGGCTTTGTGAAAATATTTTTCCGGTCAATGTGGTTGGAAGATCCTGCATACTAAGTCCCCACCTTGGGTCATTAGCATAGTAAGGGCTCTGAGAAGTCCTGCGGGGTATAAAATGCTTTACGTTTGTTTAAATCAGCATTGCCCAAACTTTTTGGGGACAGACCCTCTTAACGCTTTTGCACATCTTGAATCCAGGTGCCACCTAACACACCTTTGGGAAATTTTGTCAACATCCAATGGCTGACTCCCTTTGAGGATTTCAGGTCTGCAAATGGGTGAGGCAGGACTTCCTCTGTCCCTCCAGTCAAATCACCCTGCACCCTGCGTGCTATTCCCCTGGGCCTCTCCTCATAGTCTGTTGCAAAAGCAGCAGAAGGTGTCCAGGCTGTTTTCTGCCTTTGCCTGGCTGTATGACCATACTGCAGTGACTCAGCCTCTCAGAGACTCACCTGTGAAGTGGGAGGGTCCTGCTCCTTCTATCTCACGGGCAACAGGGAGGCTCCGGAAACAGCCTATGTTTCTAGAGCACCTCAGTATTCGTCATCCTAGATTCTACAGGGACCTAAGACCATTGGTTTCTTAAGCAGTGGACAGTAGGGAGCAAGTCCAGCCTTGCTTCAGAGTGGCTACTCCAGCTCACCAAACTCAGGATGACATTTATGTCCTCTCACATTCCTACCAGAGGCCAATCTTGGAGCTATAGCACTACTCGGAATCCCACATTTTGGCAATGATGCCCAAGATCGTGCCTGGTACTTATTGTGGAAGGGGGATGGGGCCAGGTCGTGGGAGAGGGAGGTGGTGCACCCCTCTCTGCCATCACTTCACCAGCGTGCAGTCATCACAGCCTGTCCTTGGCTTCATCCTTCCCCCGAGCCACACCTGTTAGCAATCTGCACTGGCGTGTGCAGTGCCTGTGCACGACAGCCTGGCTGTAGAAATCCCGGGGGAGTTATTTTTGTCGCTTACATACATACCTTGTGTGCAGTCAGACGGGGGTGGTGTTTATGTCTCAGCTCCCTTTTGCAAAAAGAAAAAAAATTACAGTGGAGCTAGAAATGTGTACATTTTGAACAGCCGCCCTCATGCACTGTGTATATAACTCTGCTGCATGAAATTTAAACATAAACTCGAGTTTTCTGAGATTGGATGGAGGAAAATTTGGCCATTGGCATCACGATTATTTTTCTGCACCAACTGCCAAAATCAGGCATTAAAATACAACACTTCCACCCCCAGAAAAAAAAAAAAAGAAAAAAAAACCACATTCACATCTATACAACCTAATTTTCTCTGGGGACAAGGTAGCTGTTGTTGATATGACATGTTTTTGTAGCACAAATGTTGGCTCTTCAGCCCATTTTGCTCTTTTATATACACTCAAATGTGAAACATCTGAGAGAACACACACCATCAGTTCAGAGCATTCTCCCCTAGCCTTGCTGTGAGCTGAGAATCTGTACCAGACTCCAAGACAAACTCTCCAGGAGCTGAGACTGTAAGGTTTGATTAACTGGCACAGAGGGAAAAGGGTGTCAGGCTGCTTTCAGGGTCTAAGGGTGGGTGATCTTGGCATTATTATAGAAGATGGTGGTACAAGTGGGGTGGAGAAAGGGGAGGTAAAGGGGATGTGTCCCTACTATGGCCACTGGAGAAATAAACAAAGCTAAGGCAAAGTCCATTGGGATTCAGAATGATCTTATGTGTGTGCTAAAAAGGGAGATGATGATGGAGACACATGCAGGCTTTGGACACAGATGGACCCGAGTTTGAATTCTGACCTAGGAAAGCTTCTTCCTGAAGAGGCTGCCCACTCCCTGAGCAGTGCAGGCTACTTCCTCCCGGGTGCCTGTTGGAGGTGCTGCACCAGCAGCCCAGACTTGAGTGTGAGTGGTCCCCTATGGTGGTCTTCATGGTTTGTTCCTTGTATGGTCAGCAGCCATTTTGGATTCTTCCTGCCTTCCTAAAAGGCAGCAAAGGCCCTTCCCTCACCAGCAGCCCCGATTTCCACCTCTGATACTCACATCACAATCAGGTCTTCAATGGGAGGGTAAAAAAGTTGAAGACTGTGATTCTCTTAGCTCGCCAACTTTTATAATACATATTTCTAAAGTTTGGAAACTCTCTTAATTCTTTATTTTTTTACTGCTATAACAAAATATCTGAGACTGAGTAATGTATAAGAAACAGAAATTTATTTTCTTACAGTTCCAAAGGCTGAAAGTCCAGGATCAAGCCCTGGCATGTTCAGTTGTCTGATGAGGGCCGCTCTCTGCTTCCAAGATGATGCCTTGTTGCTGTGTCCTCCAAAGGGGACAAATGCTGTGTCCTCACCTCTTCTTGTATGACAGAAGGGAAGAACTCCCTCAGTCAAACCCTTCTATAAGAGCACTAATCCTATTCACAAGGGCCCCACCCTCATGACTTATTCACCTCCATCGCCAGTGTTTTTGTATATTTCCTTTGAGGACTTGGAGAATTTTTTTGTTTTGTTTTGTTTCAGAAATATCCTTCTGCAAGGACAGCAGGGGCTATGCTAGGAGTGATGCAAATGCACCAAAGGGAGAAGCAGAGGAAAAGCCTGGACAAGGATCCAACAGACTTGGAACAGAGAGGAAGGGAGAGCTGAGTCCAGGCTACCTCCTTCCAGTCATCCAATTGCTGGAGGAAGAGAGGTCAAGAGGGAAAGACAGAAAGCTTCTTAGAGTGTCAAAGCAAGAGTCAAGGTTGCAGGTTGTGGAAAAAACGGGTTGGTGGGGTCTTGGGAGGGATTGGGAGGGTGGGGGAGGTAGATGTGAAACAGGGCTCTCAGGAGGTGACGTTCCCTGCCCTGGGTAGGCCTGAACCAGGCAGATGGCTTGGAGTGCGGGACCCTGCTAACCAACAGTCTGAAAACAAATGGCACAGGAAGCCCGCTGCCGGTGAGCCCAGTACCTACTCACCCTGTCCTCTCTCATCTCATCACACGGCACCTCCCTCTCTATCTGCAGCTCATGCTCACTGAGCAACCTAGTCACCCAGGCAGGCCACCTGATGTTTTCCATGCTACCTCTGTGATTGTCCAGAGTGGCATTAACCCACTGAGGAATCTGTCAGGCCTTCAGCACAAGGTTCTTGACTATTGTGTGACCCTGGAAAGAAGACTCACCAAGGCTTGGCAAGGTTTGGTTTGAGGAATATCAAGGATCCCTTCCTGCCAAAGGCCATCATGCCTGTACTGCCACCATTCAAGCACTTTAAGAGGCAGTATGATGCTCTGAGCACTGGGAGGGGAGTCAGGACCCCTGGGTCCTGGTCCAGGATCTGTTCTTCTGAATTAGGACTTGGAGAAGTCATTTCACACTCTGAGTTCACATTTTTCATTTGGTTAATTTAAAAAAAGAAAAGATTGGTTGGAGGCAAAACAGACAAAGCAAAGACTTGCTCCAGGAGTGAAAGGCCTAGAGTCAGTTGTACACACTACGAATGGGCCAAGTCCCTTAGGGTAAGCACTGCTCACGCCCCCTCCTCTTAGGATTTTTTGAGCCATTAGAAGTTGCCATTCTAAGACCTGAGTGTGGATGAGTGTATTAGCCCCTATCTGGGGAGCCAAGGAGCTTAGGGAAGGGAGTTGGGTGCTCAGAACCAGGCTGAACCCAAGATCAAAAAAAGGAGATGGGAAAAATAGGGGTAGGGGTGCCTCAGCCTCACTGGAGGAGCTGACCCAGCCCCGGGGCTTTGCACTGGACAGAGTTTGCTTCCATGTCCCATTTGACCCTAACAACAATTCTGTAAGTTATTGTTATTGTTATCCCCATTTTATCCATGAAGCCCTTCCAAGGCTCAGAGAGGTAAAGTGGCTTACCCAAGTTCACACAGCTGGAGGAGCCAAGTCTCAAAGCCAGTTACACTTGACTCCAAAGTCCAGGCTCCTTCCAGATCTCTGCACTGTGCAAGCCCAGGGGTGAAATGGGGCTCTTGGGGTGGGCACAGGCCCCCACTCTCCCCATCCTCTCTTGTGTCAGCAGCATGGTGAGCCCAACACTCTCACTAGGAGACAAAATTCATCTGAACTTGCCTCCCATGGAAGGGCTTTGTGGAAATCTCTGGATAGAGGAGACATTTTCCCTTAGTGGGGGCAAGAGAGGGAACTGGTGGCTGCTTTCAGAGGGCTGAGAAAGCCACATTGTGGGCTGATGAGAGGCAGTGCTGGTGACCCTAGGAGATGGCAAGGCAGGTCCAGAGGGAAAGGCTGAAGTTCGGTGTTGGAATGCCAGTGCCTGCCTCTTACCACCCAACCCTTCTCACCTCCTCCACCCAGGCCCCCTCCTCCACTGGCTCCCACACATTCTTCAACACCTCTTTAAAAATTAAGGGTGCAGTTGGGGTGGGGGCAGCTTCTGAAACAGATAAGAGGTAATTGCCTGCCTTTGACTCCTCTTGATGTGAAAATGGGATTGGAATGACTCACTCTAGTTGAAAGGTTAGTTGAAGGTTATTACAGGAAAATTGTTATTCATACATTTTTTCTGTGCGGCCGGATAGCCTAAAAGATTAAATTCACAGAGTGCATAATGACCCATCAGTGCGGACAATGGTAGGGGCGTCCCCGGGGAGGGGAGATAACCGAACAGAGACTTCTCTGAATAATTCATGCTCCAGTGCAGTGGCACTAACAGATTACATGAGGGTTTTCATTAGAAAGGAGAGGAGAGAAAGGCGCTTTGAAAACAGCCGGTGTGTTTCTCAGCATCGCAGGCAGCTCTGGCCCAGTTCGCTGTGGCTTCAATTAACGCCTGTCCCTACATCTTGGCGGCCCTGGGAGGGGGAGCAAGTGGGATAAGAGAGCTTCGTTGTTCATCCCGCAAGACGGGCGGGTGACAGACGTCCCACTCCTAAGTGAGTCTGGGCTACCCGGCCTCATTCTAAGCCTTGAAGCTCTCAAAGGGTGGGCAGGCCTGGAGAAGAAGCTGAGCAGCCTGTGGGGCTCTGGATTTATTTAAAAAATAAAGACGTGGTTATAGAAAATTTGGGTTTATTGAGAGTGTGAGAGAGGTGTCTTCTTCCTGTCCCATTGATCACGTCCCAATTGGTGCCTTTTCTGATCTTCCCAGAGGATGCAAGGGTCGCCCACCCACCAATCATTTGTGATCAACACTTGTCAGAGGGGGAAGGGTCTCTCGGTTGCAGATGGGCAGAAAGGGAGCTGTGGATGCAAACAGGGCTCAGAAGGTTCAAGACACCAGCTTGGGCCTCTAGAGGATTAGGATTTAAACCTCAGTCCTGTGAGCTTGGGCAACTGGTGTCTCTGTTCCCCCATCTGTGAAATGGGATGAAATAACTGCACTTACTCCAAAGAGCTGTTGGGAGATTACAGTGCTTGGAAAAGGCTAAGTGCAGTGCCTGGCACCTGGCAAATAGGAACTCAGTGCATGTGGAGCACTTCTTCCCGACAGATCTTCTGGATTGACTGGTTACATTGGTCTCTTTGCCTGAATATGACAATCACATATTTGTTCCTTCACTCACTCATCCATCCATCCACTCAGTCATCCCTCCTTTCCTGAGAGGCCCACTCTATGCCTACCCTCAGCTGGGCACTGGTTCCAGAGAACTCACTCTCATGTGGACCCATCCTCCCAGAGCTCCCAGCATGAGGGAGATACAGACATGTGTGCCAGCTTCAGGGTCTCCCTCCTTGACCTAGAAAATCCAGCATGGCAGAAGAGAGACCGTAAAAGGTAAAGAGAATCCTGCAAAGATTGCCTTGGGAGCTCACGTGGCTTGAAACAAAATGAGATATAGAATCTTGGGCAAAACATTGAGAGCTCAGTGCGAGCATGAGTTGGCACAATATTCCAGTGGGCAGTGATCCAGGTCATCTTTTCTCAGATAAGGTCATGGAAACCCATGGAACAAGGGGGACTTGCTCAAGGTCCCACAATTAATAAACCACCAAGACTCAATCCCAGGTCTCCTGCCCCCTCCCCACCTTCGAGTTTTTCCCTTCTGCTATATTCTCCAACTCCAACTTTGTCTAAAGATGCTACATTTTGGTAATGTTTTACTTAAGACTTTGAAAAAGATTGTCCTTTCCATTTAAATAGTAGTTCATCGCTCACTTTCAGTTTATTGAAGCTTATCTTAAGTGGGCACAGTGTCTCAGTTCCTATCGGTGGATCATATGTCATCACACCCAGTTGGTACTCAAGATAAACAGCTGTTGTTTTCTTAAGCCCTAATTAAATCCTAAATCAAGCAATTAATTTATCCCCTAATGCTTATGATTCGAGTATATGGATTCAGATCATCCTTTTCTTCTCCTTCCCTCCCTTCCTTCCACATCTATGTAATGAGCAGCTACCTTGTGCTGGCCACTGTGCTGCCACATTTAGGGACCCAGGAATGACCACAGTTCTCACCTGGAACAGCCATATTCATCGGGTAGAGAAGAAGGTCAGGTCAGAAGCATTTCCCCTTTACAATGAGTGCACATGTTGGGAATGCACAGACCTGCACAAAATCCCAGCACTCCCCTTGCCAGCCAAGTGTCCTCAGCCACGCTGCAGCTTCTCTGAGCCTCAGCCCCCTCTCCTTCAGGGAGTGGGCTATGCTATCTCCCTCTCAAGGCTGCCATGGGGCATGAAGTGGGAAAATATCTAGAGGCTCTCAGCTTTCTAAGAAACTAGTGGTGATGTCATCTGATGTGATGTTTCAAGGGGTCAGTGTGGGAGAAGCCACTCTGCATTGGAGAAGCTGCAAGGGTTTCATGAGGACTGGGTATTGAAGCTGTATCTAGAACTACAGTGGGATTCAGACAATGTGGGGCTCAAGGTGGGAGGGTGCCCCAGGCAGAGGGACCAGCAGGAGAAAAGGAAGGAGGAAGGATGGGTGCAGAGCATGTGAGAGAACAGTAGGGTGTCAATTTTACTGGAGCGTGGGATTCTGGAGAGTGAAGACTGCAAAGAGGCTGGGTCCTAGAGCAGGTCACCAAGTTTGAGTCAGAACAAACAAACAAACAAACAAAAAAGAATGTTGGATATGGATGGTAAAACCCATTCTGATGAGGTGTCAGGTGGAACTGAGGAACAAGATGTTAGAAACTAAAGACCATTCTTGTTACACACTTGCCAAGAACTCGGCTGAATTGTGTCCATGCCCAAGGACTTTATAGAAGGTAATATTTAAGAGTGATGAGCTAGGATATCTGGTGAAAGAAATTTCTAAGAAAAATATTGAAGAAGCTATGTGCCTACTTTCACCTGCATATAGTAAGATACAAGAAGAAATAAATAGCAAGATGATATTTGTAATTTAAAAGAAGTGGAATGGAAATAGTTTGAAATTTTTAGCCTGGCCATGTAAAAAATAAAAAAGCATTTTAGAGAGAGCAAATCAAGGGTATGGCCAAGTGACCTTTGCTAAGGAGATTAATATGAATAGAAGGGATCCTCAAGACAATGGGAGAATGACCCTCAAAGCATTTGAGAGATCTTCAAGGCTGGCCTTCTCATCACAGGCCCAGAGCTCTAGGAGGGCAGAATGGTTTCAGGGAACTGCCCAGGGCACCCTCCAAGGTTTTGCTGCCACCTCGGGACTCTGACGTTCTGGTGCAGCACCCCTTCAGCTATCCCAGTCACAGATTAAGTGAACCCAGATGTGGCCCAACTCACTCCTCTGCAAGGTAGAAGCCATAAACCTTTGTGGCATCCACATGGTGCTGACTCTGCAGGCTTGCATAATGCAAAAGCTGTGGGGGCATGGCTACCTCCACCTAGATTTCAAAGGATATCTCAGACAGCCTGGGGGTCTAGGCAGAGACGTGTCACAGGGGTAACACTGCAGAGGAGATTCTTTCACCACAGAGAGTCCCCTACTAGGGCAATACCTAGTATAGCTGGGGGAGTGGAGCTACTCCTGAGACCTCAGAACTGGAAAGCTACCAGTGTGCAAAGCCAGCCTGGGAAAGCTGCAGGCACAAAACGCTAACCTGAGAGCTGAAGCATGGGCTAAGCCTAGTAAAACCACGAGAGCAAGGCTACCTAAAAAAACCTTGGGGCCCCAACCCCCTATCAGTGTGCCCAGGATCCAGGACATGAAATAAAAGATTATTCTCTAGCTTTAAGACTTACTGTTTTTCCTATTGGGTTTTGGATGTAGTGGGGACTAGCTACCCCTTTCTTCTGGACTACTTATCCTTTTAGAAATGGGAATGTCTATCCTATCCCTGTACCACCATTGTATTTTGGAAGCACATAACTTGTTCATTTCACAGCTGAAGAGAAATTTGCTTCAGGATGAACTGTGTCTTAAGCCTCACCTACCTCTGATTCAGATGAGACTGTCTCTAGATTTTGGACTTTTGAGTTGGGACTGGAACAAGTTAAGACACTAGGGGCTGTTGGAATCGAATGAATAGATGTAATTTGTATGTGAGTGAGTTTTGGGAAGGCAGGAGTGGAATGCTAAGGTTTGAGTGTCCCCTCCAAAATTCATGTCGAAATTTAACTGCCACTGTGACAGTATTAATGGGGGAGACTCTTAAGAGGCAATTATGCTATAAAGTCTCCGCCCTTGGGAATGTATTAATGTCATTATATCAGGAGTAGGTTAACTATCATGAAAGGAGATTGTTAGAAATGTGAGTTCAACCCTCTCTGTTTCTCACTCTTGGCCTTGCTTCCCCTTCCTCTGTTTACCATGGAATAACACAGCATGAAGGTCCTCACCAGATGCTGGAGCCTTGCTCTTAGACTTCCCAGCCTCCAGAATTATGAGACAAATAAATTTCTTTTCTTTATAATTTACCAGTGGCATTCTGTTATAGCAACACAAAATGAACTAAGACAAACATTGGGATCAACGTGATGAGCTTGATGTAGCCTATTTTGGCAAGGATCTGTGTTGCAGACTGGCATGCACACTGTCACAACTTTGACTGAGGAGAGGCAGAAGGTCAAGATAGTCTAAAAGTAAGATGCATTCTCCTGTGGAACTCCTAATGGTAGGGCAAGGATTCCCAGAACCCACTGAGCAATATGAGTACCTAGAAAAGGAAGAAAATATCTGTGGTTTCTGTCCACCCAGCATCTCCTGCCTCTCCTTCTGGCAGTAACACCCCACTTCCTTTGGGAAAACAGCTCCTCCCCTAGTTGATATATTACCCCTGGGGTAGCCATAAGTGTGCCAGCCTAAACACATCAAACTCTGACTCCTGCAGTTAAGCTTTCTCCAGATAACACACCACAATTAGGACTACATCTTCCTGTTGTTAAATCTCCTCTAATATTTTCTTTGGTGAAAAAAAAAGTGATTCTCTTTGTATTGTAACTAAAAAAAGTCTTTCTGTACACATTGAACCTCTAACTGCCTCAACACATACACAAACATTTTGTTCAAAGTGACTTACCCTCTAGAGTAAGACACGCAGCAAATTAGGGGGTGTCATATAATCTGATCCATGAATCACCCCGCCCTCTAGCTTCTGTCATTACTTTTTGTGTTGAGGTGGTTGGACAAGGCATGGGTACCTGGTTTAAGCCAGACCAGTCAAAACCCTTATTCTGAATTTGCATGAGTCAGGAACCCTTCATGTGGTTGTACCTTCAACATGTGGCCTTGGTTGCTGGGGCTTGGAATTGTCCATAGCCATGTAGACTAGAGAGGCAGAGGGTCCAATTTGAGCAGCAAGGGGAAAACGAAGATTTTACCAGGGATGAGAGATGAAGGGAGAGACCAAATGGCTTCCTGTTCTGATCTGTTCTTGAAATCAGGAAGCTTGAGTTCCTTTAGATTCTGTTAGACATCCCTATGTCCTAAAAATAAATCTCCTCTTTCTCCATTTAAGCTAAATCCAGTTGGTTTCTGCCTCTTCAAAATGAAGACTTCTCTATAAAACATTCAGGTTTTTGCTAAACTATAAAATGCTTCCTCCATCCTTCTCTTCCTTGTCCTCCTTTCCCCATTTCAATCAAATGTGTGATCTCTGACACATGTATATTACGCAGAATATCAAATATAGGTCAATGGATGTCACCATGGTAAAACAAGCAAAAGAAAAGCTCACACTTCTCAATGCTTGTTAGTAAAAGGATACAACAATGCATTCTTCCCCCCTGCTGGTGGGGGGGTCATGAAGGTCAGCCCATGCTTTGGCGTGTGAACTTCTTGTTCCCACCAAATCAGTCAGCTGAAGTGGGAATGTTTTATTTAAGCAGACATGTGTCAGCCTCAGTTTGAAACAAAGACATTCTGCCAGCATCTACCGTCACAAAAGCAGGCTGTGTGAGACATCTTTGCTAAGGCAATGATTTTTCTCTATTGCCAGGCACCATTTTGGAAAGTTGCTATGGGAGGTTGGCCCGCACTTTAATGACGTCTGAGACACATTGAAGGCTAATGTTTTTGAAAAACAAAGCACTGGGAAGGTTTCAGTTGGGGCGGGGAGGTGGTGAAAATCAAATGACCCATTGAAGCTGAATTACCAGCCTCACAGAGCTTTTAGAAATACCATTCTGCCTCGGCCTGGGGCCACCACTCTCTCTCTTGCTCTTCCAATTAATTGTTGTGTTTTAACACTATCTCCAAAGATAATTGCCTGTCAGTGTATCAGTATGTAACACCTCGGGGTGAACAATGTTCTTGCACTCGTCTGTCAGCCCTAATAAACACAGGGCGGGGAGAACCCACCTACTTTCATGTGATCACCCAGAATCCAGATTCTCCTCAGCAAAGATGCTGCCTCCCTCCTCACCCACCCCTGGTTCTCACAGTGTGTGCGGTACAGGGTGTGCTGGGAGCCAAACACATATGCTCCATGATAGAAGAGTTGCCTTATCACCACCCCGAGTCTAAGGATGACTTCTTTTCCGTAGGCCTGTGTCTGTTAATTTATTGTTGAGGACGGCAGAATAGATATCAAAGAAGGGATTTCTTTTTTTGCCAAACTGTCCCATCACCTACTAAAAGAAAAGATATGCACCATTAGCTTTTGTAATTACAGAGGTGGTAAAAGTAAAATATTTTCCAAATAAATCATGGTTGGAGGGGTTCTTTTGTATTTTTAAAGCGAAATGGAAGAGTAATGGAATGCGAGGATTGAAGCTATTTAGTTAAAGCCTGCTGCATTAAATATTTCAATAGGGGAAAGAAAAAAATTCCCCATTTCAAATTAAATTGAACCCATTCGGTGAAAGTATGAGCATCATATGGAGTAAGTGTCAATTAAAGTGATAAGTAGTGGGTCTGGCACCGAGTTCTGGATTGTTCTGATGTCTGCTTCCCCGGTGTGGCCATTCGGTGCTTTGGGGGAAATTGAAACTGATCCACCACGTGCGACCTGGGATTCTTCTGAGAAACGGATTCTAGTTCAATATCTCTGAGTTAATTGGCATTTTATTCTCATTTAAATCTCTGTCACAACCTTTTATTTTATTTTATTTTTGTATTTCAGAAGAAACTACAATTCCAATATCTTCCCTGCAGCTTTCAGGAAGCTCAGAACAAATTAGGTGGTGTCATATAATCTCACCCATGGATCTTACAGCCCTCTGGCTTCTGTCAGGATTTGGGGGGATGAGGTTGCTTGCCAATTGCTTGCTCTCTCAGTAGTAAAATGGAGAGGAAGTGAAATCATTAATAGCTTTGGACACTTTCTGCAATGCCCAGTTTGCTTCTTGTCTTCTGCGTAAGTGTTTGTCACAGCAAGGGGGACCTCTCTGTAAGGAAAGGAAGGGAATCACCTGAGATGGGAGAGGGAGAGTATGGAATAGATTATTATAAGGTTACACATAATTATAAATTATGAAAGCGGCTACAAATCTGTAGCCTGGGAAATAGGAATGCTCCTAGGGTGTGTCCCATACTCATCCCAAAGTGACACTTGGAATGCCCATTAGTAACACCCCAGTGTTGGGAGGGAAGGCCATTAGGGTGTGGGTTTCATCTTCTCAGGGACCCCATCTCGGGGAAATCTCTGGGTTCTTGGCCTTGATTTCCCTGGTTTCATCTCCAGACAATGTGAGTTTGTGGTCACTTTCCCAGAAGGGTCCAGTTTTGCCAGATACCTTCAATGAGCAATACAGTTAGGGCCTTGTTCACCCTGCCCACTCGTCCTCACCAAGGACTGCCTATATCATATGGGCTTTCAGACCCTCCAACAACCAAAGAATGTTTCCCTGGGAGCCACTGAGTTAAGACTGCTATCTCTGTCATCCTTGGCAACTCACATTTTCCCAAACACAAATACAAGCCCACACAGTCATTTACCCACTCTTAGCTCCACCTCTCATCCCCCACAATGTTCTGGTCCCTTTGAGGCACACTGAATTTTCCCAGGATTCCTCAGTTTGTTGGTACACAAAACGTCTCAGCACTTAACAGTATTAAGCAGATTGTTCTGGCTCTCTCCATTCACCTGCTAATGTGGGACTCCCTGCACAGGTGTCTGCTCTCAGTGAGTATATTTCTAGGAACCCACAGGAAGGTCTCATATGAATCCCAGAGAAGTCTGTCTTGTTACCACTTAAGGTAATTGGCCATGGTCACCAGGCATTGGCTGTCTCCCACCAAGTTTCCAAGTTTCCACTTTCCCACCAGGCATTGTATCCACAGCCTGGCATCAGAGTCTCCCATGCTCTCACTCACTGTTCCACAGAAAACCACCATGATGCCCAGAGTCCCCATGGAACCCAAGCAGGGGAGAAATACATGCTTCCTCCACTCTGTAGAACGTTTGTCATCTGGGCTCCCAAACAGGACTGCTTGAGCCCCTGTGAGAACAGCTGCATCAGCTCCCCGCCGGCAGCCTCCACTTCACAGCTTTCAGATATGGTCCAGGGGCTGGGCCAGGGAGAAGGCTCCTGCTCTCTCCCTCCATGGCTCGTCATATCTGCTCCAGACATCTATGTACAGACCTCCTCCCCCATGCAGCAAGTTCTCCCTGGGGGTGTTGCCAGCACACAAGCTCTGCAGACACAGTGAGACACTGTTTTCCCTTTAGAGCCAGCTGGAATCCTGGCTCCAAATCCGTGCCACATTTTGCAATTCTCTTGGCCAGTGGATGACAGAGACTGGCAGAAGCCCTCCTATGATCTCATAGCCCTTCCAGGGTGTCCATCCACTGGGTTCTCACAGCATTGCCTGGAGAGAGCCATAATTTTATTGCCTGGAATTCACTCTTGAAGTCTTCTTTTTCTTTTCATGTCTTTGAGCTATTTGAAGGCAGAACCCAGAGCTCAAATTGTTCTGTGCTCTCCGCAGGATGTGGCCCACTCCCCGGAACAGAGGGGATGCACAGCAATGATCAAGGACCAAACCAAGCTCAATATGAGACACTTAGAGTCAGAATGAACTTAACTGGAAGCCCCAAGAGGCCCCTACAAAATCATATGTTTTTTTATTTTGATTCAGAGGTCTGGAAGAAGTGCCCAGAGATGAGTATATTTAATAAGCTCCAAGGTTCTGATAAACAACATCATTTGGAACCTCTGGCTTAGAACTCAGCACTGCTTATAGCTCATGGAGTTGTTCACTGGGTGTGGGACATGGGGTTGTAGTTGGGTGTGCATGGACTCTTCCTGGCTGTGCCCCTGGAAATCCCTGGACGTCTCCTCCATGGTTGCTGTTTCAACATCCCATGCATAGTACACACCAAGCACCATATCCCATGTGTGGCTCTCTAGCTTCCCTGAATTCCAGTGTGAAATCTTCTTGGTTAGGGCAGTGCATCTCCTTCCTTCCTGGCCTTGAGAGATGACAACTTTGCCTTCTCAGGGACTATCATCCTGGAATCTCAAGCTCGTGGTTGAGCATGGCTTTGGTGTCAGGTCTATGCTGTGTGACTGGAAACTCAGATACAGAGACTGAGAGAAAGAGGGACTACTACCCCACCACACTGAATTACGGCTCTTCTCCCAAAAATATAATTCACCACCCCACTTTGCCATCTTGCCTATGTTACCCTGGGCACTGGTACATGCCTTCAGTCCAACTAAGAGACTTAAAAGTTAACAAATTGCTCTGAGCTTCTATCTCCTACTCCACCTTCCAACCACTGACAGTCTTAGGCTTTTCAAATTTTATAATTAACCATCCACTGATAGATGATGGGAGATCCTTGGGAAATCTGTGACACAGTCACAAATGAAAATTATTATGCGTGTATATTGGGTTTTTGGGAAGAAAGGCTCATGGCAATCTAGTCTCATGGCTTTAAATACCAACTCGATGCTGCTGACTCCCACGTTTATATTTCCAGCTCAGACCTCTTTCCTGGACTTCAGTCTTATATATCCAAACACCCACTCAACATCTTAACTTAGATGTCTAACAGGCATCTAAAACTCAACATATCCAAAATTCCCAATCTCCTCCTACCCAAAACTGTCTCCACCCACAGCTTTCCTCAGCTGAGCTGATAGCACCTCCATCCTTCCTCTTGCTCAGCCAAAAACCTTGGAGATGCCCTTGATTCCTCCCTTTCTCTCACACCCTACATCTAATAGATCAGCAAACCTGGTGCTTCCACCTTCAAATAGATCCAGACTCTGACCATTCTCCCCACTTCCCCTGATACCACCTTGGTGTAAGCCACCATCATTTATCCTGTACCTTACAGCAAAGATTCCCAAATGGGTCTCCCTCTTTCCACTCTTACCTCCTACCATCTACCGTTAACATAGAGCCAGAAGACCCTTTTAAAACACAAGTGCAATCAATCAGGTTTCTCCTCTGCTCAAAGCCCTACAGTGGACTTCTACTCCATGCAGAGTCAAACCTCAAATCCTTGCAATGGCCAACAAGGCCCCGTGTGACCTGCACTTTCCATCAACTCCATCTGCATGCCCTTTTCTAAAACCCTGACTCTAGGTCCTTCCTGCCCTTGAACATTCCTGCACAGCTTCACATCTCTGCTGAACTGTTGCCTCTGCCTAGAAAGTTACTCTGCCAACTTCTTCTTCTTGGCCAACTTCCTCATCTCCATCACGTCTTTGTTAACATTTTGCTTTGTCCATGAGGCCACCCTGAGCACCCTATTAACCACTGCAGCCCACACCTTGGACAACTCCATTCTCAGCCCACTTTTCAGTTTCTCATAGCACTTACCACTTCTTAATAGATTGTATAAGTTACTTATGTATTACAGTTATTGTCTCTCTCGCCTTCCTAGAATGTGCACCTAAATCTTTATTTTGTTCACTGATGGTCTGGCATACAGAGAATGCATGAGTAGGCACTCAGTGAATGTTTGTTAAATGTTGAATGGAGGGTTTGTGAGCATGTGTTGGTTGGCAAAGGAAGGTACGTTGCCAAAGATGGTGGAAATAATGCCATAAAACCAGGAAATCTTGGAGTAAAATGCACCAGTTGTTGGAAGGTAAAAACAGGGTTCTTTGAGAAAACCGAGATGAGTGAGATCCACTAGAGTGAGCCCAACAGCTTAATGCTAAATAAAGACATTATATATCACAATAACAAAAACTCCTCTCAACGTGTAACTTCTTTCACATACAGTTATTTCACCCTCCAATGATTCTACAAGATAGATTTAATATTCCCATTTCACAGTTAAGGAATCAGAGGCCCAGAGAGATGAACACATTTGCCCAATGCTATGTAACTAGGAAATTACTGGGTTGACCAGGTTTGGCCAACTCCAAGTACTAGCTCCCTCCCCTCCCCTCTCTTTACTATGCAATCCAGAGGAGGAGGGAGAGAATGAAGAACAGTGGTTGGGCAGGCAGATCTGGGGTTATCACTTTTCAGAAATATCCAGTCTGGAAGGATTCCCTCAGAACTGAAGTCATCCCATGAGATGCCAACTCACATTCCTCTTTGCAGCCTGGTTCCCCACTCAAGCATGAAGACCTCATTCCTGAGACCCATGCAGGACAGAGTCTTCTAGCAACCTTACCATGGACCAGCCTCCTCCTCCTCCACTCCCCACCCTAAAATGATGTCCATTCCTCACACACTGAACTGTCCTGATCAATTTTCCTTTTTGTTTTTCTTCTAAGAGGATATAAAGTTAAGAGCTATCTGGAGAGCAATGCTGGCATTTTAATCAGAAGAATAGGATTGGAGGCCAAAGGGTTCTGTGTTGACAAGATAAAGACAACATGAAGGGCTGAAGGCAGCCAGCAGAAAGGAGTTATGACTGTCCAGCTTAATGACAGCCAGACATGGAAGGGGTTGTTCGCTCCAAGTTTTAAAAATTCTATAGTGTGCAATTGGGACCTTGCTGGAGTTGTTTTGTCTATTTCTAGGGATGCTGGCGCATCCCCTTCCTTGGCAGGGCTGAGAGCGCCTCCATAACTCACTTGCAAATGTCTACAGTGCCGTCCCACTTCTGGAGTTGATGTTCATTAGAAGACACAACTGGAAATTCTTAAGCTGTTGCAAAATGGGTTGTTTGGAACTGAATTCTGGTCTCTATGTTCACATAGTGGATTGTTGTAGCTCTCTTGGCTGGAGTAGATTTAGATGTTGTCATTGTGCCTGACATGCTGAAAAGACCCAGCTAGAGATAGGTGACACGTTCTTAGATCAGGACAGCTGAAGCAGGTCTTAAGCAATGTCTAGTCCATTTCCACTTGAGAAGCCAAGGCCCTCAGTTGGGAGTCATCGTGCTGTGATGGCAAACCCTCATGGGCGCATTCACAAAGCAGAGACTCATTGCCTTGGCCATGGTACTGGCCTATTTTGCAATTGGCAAAGGCCATTGCAGACACTGACATTCAGCTTTGATTCTGCTTGACGCTTTTTAATTTTGTGCACTAAGCAATTTCAGTCATTCATTCAACAAATGTATTGAGCACCTACCGCTTCTACATTTACCGGGCACTTTCTCAACAATAATAATAACTGACACAGAGCACTCATGGTGCAACAGGCACTGCTATAAGAGCTCACCCATAAAAGCTAATTAACCCTCACCACAACCCAAGAGTAGATGAGCTACTGATAACATGGAAGAAAAGAAGCTTCAAAATCAATAAATACCAGATGCTCAGTCCCCTTGTTTCCCAAAGGTTGCCTCACCGACATCCATAAAACATTAACTGTGAGATTCCCATTTATAAATGGAACCTGATCCTCCAGGAGATATCCCCAGCCTCTTCCACTTTGCAAGCTACTTGATCCGCTTCCTCCCTATCTGTGGGGATCAAACGTTCTTCCAAGGGGAAGAAACATTCTCTTGTTTGAGATTGTCAAATGTCATAAGGATTTGACAAGTAGGGAAATCCATTTTTTTAAAATTTGCTTTTTTAAATACAAAGGCATCCTCAAAGGGACCTGTCTAGGCAGACACTCTGGTCCCAGTAAATTGTAAAAAACTCTCCTAGTCACCTTTTGTTCTCTCAGTACCACAAGCCTGGTGGCTGCTCAGCAGATGTCAGTGCTGATTCATGTATGTGCATGCCTGAATGAATGAATGAGTAAATGAACCAATGAATTTTTAAATTTTAAAGAAATTTAAATTTTAGAGAAATTTTGAGAAATTCTTGTTCATAAGAATCCCCTTGTATACTCTAAAATGTCACCTCTTCAACATATCTAAAATTCTACTATCAAATCGTTATCATCTCAGGCTACACGGCCTAATATGGTAGCCACCAGCCACCAGCCATGCTAAGCTATTTATGTTTAAATCTAAATTAACTCATATAGATTTTAAAATTCAGTTCCTCACTTGCCCCAGCTACAATTCCGGTGCTCAATAGCCACAAGTGGTTAGTGATTACCATATTGGACAGCACAGATATAGAATACTTCCTTCACCACAGAAAGTTCTACTGGACAGCCCCACTCTAGGGAACCATTTCTTTTTTTTTTTTTTTTTTTTTTGAGATGGAATCTTGCTCTGTCACCAGGCTGGAGGGCAGTGGCACAATCTTGGCTCACTGCGATCTCTGCCTCCCTGGTTCAAGCGATCCCCCTGCCTCAGTCTCCCTAGTAGCTGGGACTACAAGTGCAGACCACCACACCCTGCTAATTTTTTGTAATTTAGTAGAGACGGAGGGGAACAATTTCTTAATCTTTTTTGGTTCACAGACCAATGGTGAATCTGATAAAAGATATGGACTGTCTCCCCAGAGAAAAAAGTTTGAGCACATTGACTGTACCCACACTCAGACCTTCCATGGACCTGGATTAAGAACATCTGCTTTAGGTTTAGATCTTTCTTGGAATTAAAATAATCCCTTGGAGAAACAACACATCACACATCAAGTGGTTATCAGTTATCTATACCTGAGTGTGTGTGAATTTATTAAATGTTCTTTGGAGCTCTATCCAACTGGTTTGGAACAAGAGGAAGAGGTGAGGACCTTGGTAGCTGAAGGAAGAGTCTGGGGTACAGACAAGGCATGTTAGCACTAAAGACGCCCATGTACTGTGCAAGGATTCAGGGGACCAATTTTTTCTGCACCTCACAGGTCATCACAGGCAAGATCCTGATGGCAGTCTAGCATGATGCGCTCACACAGTAGGTGCTTAATGCATAAAATTGTTTAATTTATTTTCTTTTCTTTTTTCTTTTTTCCTTTTTTTTTTTTTTTTTTGAGACAGGGTCTCACTCTGTTGCCCAGGCTGGAGTGCAGTGGCGCGATCTCAGCTCACTGCAACTTCCGTCTCCCCAGTTCAAACAATTCTGCCTCATCCTCCCAAGTAGCTGGGATTATAGGCATGTGCCACCACACCCAGCTAATTTTTGTATTTTTAGTAGATGGGGTTTTGCCATGTTGGCCAGGGTTATCTCGAATTCCTGACCTCAAGTGATCCACCTGCCTCAGCCTCTCAAAGTTCTGGGATTATAGGCGTGTACCCACACGCCCAGCCCAAAACTGCTGAATTTCTGTGACAGGTGTTGTGCTTGGCATCCTGGGGTTACAAAAATGAATTACACATAGGTTCTGTCCTTGCAGAACTTAGAATCTTCCCTGGGAGAGACAATGATACAAGCAACAATAGCAGCAAATAATGATGGCTAATATTTCCTGAGCATATGTTCTATATTATTTATTGGTTATGCATTTTTTCATATTTATCATTCCAACAGCCCTATGGGTAGGCACTATTCTTACTCCCATTTTACAGATGACAACTGAAACTTCAAGAGGGGAGGAGTTTCTTCAGTGATGGAGCTGAGCTCGGGTCAGGTCGCCTTGATGCCAAGGTCAGTGTTTGCTTCATGGAGTCAGGTCTTGGTAGGTATGTGAGAGGAACACAGGTCAGGACACACATGGCACAAGCCAAGCAGCTCATATCCCTGGACCACTGGGCAGCTCTTGGTGAGCTGGTGAGTGGGCAGGAATGAGCACTCAGAAGCTGTCCAGTGGGCCTCCCCAAATGCCGATTGACAGTGTGCATGTGCCCTCTGCCCAGGGAGGAAGGCCTTGCTTAGGAGGCGGCCAGGTGACTGTGCACTGGCAGCCCACCTGGGACACCCAGCATGGCCCACACTGCCGTGGCTGCCAGCTGCATTAGGGAGACTGTGGGCCAGGCCTTTCCCAGAGGGATGTGCCTCTGGGTCCATACATCCTTCTGGGTCCGTACAAAATGGGCTCTAAGGAGACCATGCAAAGGGAAGCTTCTCTTTTCCTCCATGGTCCCATCTACACACAGACCTCTGCACAAACTGGCTCACCCGTGCTTAGTCAGGATGGAAAGAATGATCAATTTAAGGGCACAGACCTAGTCTTCCTATAATTCTCCAAGTTCAAGGTCCTCTTGTTAGGGATAAGCATCACAAGCACTATCTCTGTGAAGCTGCACAGCCTTGTGTAGTGTGGGACTTACACTCCACGTCCAGGAGAGGACAGCCAGGCCCAGAGGCTTAATTGACCTGCCTGTGATCAGAAAGGGGCTTGGGACCAAAACATCCACCAGCCTGCCCTGTGCCCTGAGGCTTCCATGGCCAGGGAGTCCACCTGGTGTTTTCTAGGACACCCAGGGGGTCTTAAAGGCCAAGGGGCGCAGACACAGAGGGGGGCGCAGACACAGAGGGGAGCAGCACCCAAGGTAGGCATCCTGGAGAGGTGCCTCTGCAGCTTCTACCTGGGGCTCCTCCAACTCCTGCACTCTCTCTTTTCCTCTCTCTCTGTCTTACACACACGTAGATATACACACTACCACCACCTCTGACTACCGTGTCACTCCGGGGCTTCCTGCCCCTTTCCTAGGGCTGCTGTGGAGCAGAGAGGAGGACCCTGAGTCATGGCCCTGGGCAGTGTGCACCCCCATACCTACTCTCCATCTTTCCTAGCTTTCAGATCACCCATCCTTACACACACTGGGTGGGGCTTCCTCCCTTTCTATCCAAAGCCTCATCTGTGCCCTGGTCCTCCCCATGTGGGGAACACAAACCAATCAGGAGGAAATTTATCTCACAGGGGTGATAAGGACTGATGAGAGGGCACGAAAGAGGAGGGGGAGGCTGCCTGGCCAGAGGGGCCAATGTGCCCACCTACTACTTCCCCTCAGGCAGCCCCTCAGGCTTCAGCCAGCAGGGGTGAGGAAGTGGGGCTCCCTCCCACAATGCCCACCTTCCACCAGGAAAGGAGGCCTTGGCATCGCGCAGCCATGCCTGTTTTCTGGTGGGTGGTAGCTGGTCTGAAATGAGTCTGTGACTTCCAGCAAGCCACGTGAACTCTCTGAGCCCATTTCTCACCTGGTAGGGGAGGCATGCCGGTTAAAGGAGGCACTCCATTAGAAGGTCCTTCGGAAATCATGCTGTAAATAGAAAGTGCGTTCTTTCTCAAAGAAGAATATCAAAATGTACCCACACTCTTATATATGCACAGACACATACACACACACACACACACACACACACAATTTTTCTGTAAGATCTAGTAGGAATTCTTTAAACATCAGTTATGTTCCTAGGACAGTGCTGAGGATACAGAGAAATCTCAGCCACAGCTTCCCCTCCTTGGAAGAATCTGATGCTGTTGGAAGAACAGAAGAGCATCCCCACAGGGTGGGAGCGCCATTCCAGAGCCAGCTGCCACCCAGGCTGGAAGGAGATGGGCTCGAGGCCTCAGAGTGATTGAGAGTGAGGAGAGCCTGTTCCTTCTGCCTTCCTACCAAGGATGATGCAGGGAGAACTCTGCATTTCCAAGTCAGGAAAAGGCAAGCTCGGGAGAATGCAGTGGTTTGCCTGAAGTTCCACAGAGTTAGTGGCAAGATCTGTGGAAACAGCATATGTGCTAGTTACTTAAAAACCTTCCCAGCACCTCCTCCCTTACTCTTGTCATGAAAGATAAACACACACACACACATGCACACACACACAGGCACACACACATGCACACACCTGCACATCCCTCTGGGTCCATACAAAATGGACTCTAAAGAGACAATGCAAACAATTGAACACAGGGCCAGTCTCTGTGACGTCTACTGGAATAGGAAGCACTATGGTATCAGGAAAGCTGCTCTGGAGTCAGAGGCGCCCGAGGTGGAATCCCTACTGTCATATACTAGCTGTGTGACCTTCAGCAAGTTACCAATCTAAGCTCCTGAGCTGTAAAGTGAGCCTAATAATACCACTTGCTTGTTGTGGAAACTAAATGAGATAATGCTGCATAAGAGCTCAGCCCTACCTGGCTTGCAGCTCAGACTGTCGTTATCACTTTCCTAGAAGCAAGAGAACAGAGAACCTACAGTACTATCCCCTATGCCTGACGCAAGGATAAAGCAGGACACTGGCCTCAATGAGAGCACTGGGCTAAGTGCTTTAAGTAGCTATCCCATTTCAGTTAATAATAATCCTATGAGATTGTTCTACTTATCCTTATGCTAGAGGGAAATGGAAGCTCAGAGAGGTTAAGTATCTTGCCCAAGGTCACACAGCCAGGAAGTAGCAGCACAGAGATTTGATTCCAGATCCGTCTGTCTCTAAAGCATAAAGATTTCCTTCTAGTCCACACTGCATTGTCAAGAAGTGTCATCCTGTCTCCTGGCAGGGAGATGGCCTGAAGAACAAGCCCTGGGGTCATACGCCTGTCCTGACTGACCAGGGTTCTGGGCTGAGTATCTTGGCCCACCTCATGGTGCAGGGGCCTGGCATGATGTCCACCTCCTTGTAGCTGGGAGGGGTGGTGGCCATGATCTGACAAGGGCTGGTGCCATTGTAAACTGGGCCAGGCCCACTTGAGGGTGGCCTGAGCCTGAGATTGTGTGGACAGTGAGGAGGCTGCCTGCCTGGGTCTCTGCTGACTGTCTTGGCGTTGCCTTGTGGTCTGGATTTGAGGAGCCCAGTCACAGCCCCTCAACCAGTTCCAGACTGAGTTGATCCTGCTACTCACGGCAAAGGCTGTCTTGGTGATGGGGCCTGTCAGGGATCTTTGATTATTTTTTAGGGTCTACCTGGACTCAGGCTTCCTCTTAATCCAGAAAAACAGGTTTGTGACATGGTTGGGGGATATTCCCATTATCCACTTCCATGAGGCTGGAGGCCAGCCTCCCCTAGCAGCAGTAGCAGGGCCAGGAAGGAGCAAGGACTTCAGTGTAGGACAGGCTGAGCTTGAATCCTGGCTTTGCTGCTTCCAGCTGAAGGGCCTTGGGCAAGTCAGGGTGTGCCCCGGGCTTACCACTTGTGAAATGGGAATGATAGGACCTGCCTCACAGCTCCTGCCGAGAACTATTGAGAATGCACAGGAAGGTGCCCAGCGCTGGCCTGGCCACATGGTGAGTGCACAAACACTGGGAGATCAAGCCTTGACCGCCAGACCTTTTCTCAAGGACACTGAGGCAGGCCCCGTCACCACAGCTCCCTCCCCAACCCTTCATCTTGCTCTCTGCCCTGAAATGCACCTCACCCCCAACACATACACAAACCCACGAGAACCATTCCACTGAGATTCACAGCTGAAGAATGTTTGCGTAATCTCAGCCAATGAGCTAAGCCTCAATATATTTTTCCTTTCTTTCTATTTTTTTTTAATTTAAATTTTATTTAGCCTGGCTTCTATACTAAAAATATCAACCTCTGAGATAAAAGCTTGTGCATTATGATTTTGCCTTATCCAATCTTCCACAATACAGTGAGTGCTTGAGTAATGGAAAGGGGAAATCCAGATACTCTGTGCAATGCTCCGAGCCTGTGAAGCTCTCTGTCTGCTGCAGGAAAGGGATTTTGTGAGGAAATTGATCATTTTCTTCCAGAACCATTGTGTCAGAATTAGGGAAGGGCTGCAGGAAGGCACGGGTCAGTTACTTTTCCTCCTCTGAATACAAGTAGATGTTATTCCAGATGAAATCTTGCTGTGGTCCCATAAATCATGACCCCTGATATACTTCATGCATCTGTAACAGGAAGAACCAACACTCTCGGCCACCCTGGGGGCATTGCAATGTGCAGAGAGGCCATAAATCCTCATCATGCCTCCCTTCTGCTTTCGGAGGTTAGGGTGGGGGCACCTGGCCAGGGAAAAACAGGGGTTTCAAAGTTTCTGCTGCCTTCTGTGAAACCAAAGGGCCTGCCAGGGATAGTGTCTCTGTTGTTCGAAGCTGCAAAGGTAATGGGCCTATTTCCTCTGCTGTGGTGTCCTCTGAGGATGCTTGCAAGGATAGGGATGAATAAAAGGGAAATGGATGTCACTCTGCCTCCTCCCCAGATGGCAGGTAACACATTTACGGAAAAGCTTTCCTACCTTTCCATAGGGCTGTACTCTAATGTTTCCGGGGATTACTGCTGCTCCTTGGGGTGTGTGTTGGCAGACAGTGGATAGGGGTGGGTGCTGGGTGTTTGGAAAAATGGGGAGGTGGAGAGGCCTAGAGCAGAACTTGCTTTGGATCCCCCAGGGCCCCTTCGATTACCCTACTGTCCCCAGCCTTTCTGCCCAAACTCAATTCAGTGTCATTTCAAAGTGGATCCCTTGGGCTTCAGGAAAGGTGCCGGTGGGGAATTATTATGTCCCTCTAATTGTCTAGTGTGGAAGCAAGTCCAGCTCCTGTGGGTTGGAGACAGGGTTCTCCTAAAAAGTGCTGGAGAGTCACCCCGTAGAGATTTATGATTATTATTATTATTTTTATTAGTATTTTGAGACAGAGTTTCGCTCTTGTCACCCAGGCTGGAGTGCAATGGCGTGATCTTGCCTCGGCTCACTGCAACCTCTGCTTCCCAGGTTCAAGCGATTCTCCTGCCTCAGCCTCCCAAGTAGCTGGGATTACAGGCACCCACCAAGTTACTTCTTTATGCCTTAAAGCCCTTAAGAATTGCGAAGGACGGCCAGGCACGGTGACTCATGCCTGTAATCCCAGCACTTTAGGAGGCCGAGGCAGGTGGATCACTTGAGGTCAGGAATTCAAGACCAGCCTGGCCAACATGGTGAAACCCTGTCTCTACTAAAAATACAGAAATTAGCCAGGCGTGGTGATGGGCACCTGTAATCCCAGCTATTCGGGAGGCTGAGGCAGGAGAATGGTTTGAACCTGGGAGGCTGAGATTGCAGTGAGCCAAGATGGTGCCGTTGCACTTCAGCCTGGGGACAAGAGCGAGACTTTGTCTCAAAAAAAAAGAATTGTGAAGGAAGGGCTCGGGGGAGCTGGAGGAGTTGGAAAGAACTATGAGAACAGCACCTTGGGAGGAAGGATTCAGATGGATGGACTGGACAAGGGAGGAAAAGACGGAAAGGGGCCGTGGCATAACAAGGGGCAGAGCAGACTCCAAGACCAGCCATGCCACTCATTACATGGGACACAGAGGAGCTGTGCTGGGGACAGCCCAAGAGGAACGGAACGCTCATCTCTTCATGGGGATGGCATATAATCAGAGTCATTCAAAAATACATTTGACATCTCTATGTCCGGAAGAGTACACATGACTGGCCAATCATTCACACCCTACTCTACGTGATGACGGAGCAGTAGCTCCTCTGCATGCCCACAGCAACCCGAACAAATGTGCACTGAGCACCCATCACATTGTTTTAAATTTAACTTTATGTCTGCGTTGCTTTAAAGAAATCTAATTATCTGAGGGCAGGGGTGTGCCACCATAATGTCATTTATAATAGTTCTATAGCTGCCTCCTACTGAGCATGTATTAAGTGCCAGGCACTGTTCTAAGTATTTGGCAGGCATTATTTCTTTATAGAAGTCCTATGGGGCAGGCACCAATTTACAGATGAGGAAACCAAGGCCCAGAGAAGTTACATAATAATTTGCCTAAGGTGATAATGTCAAAGTAGCCAGAGATTTTCATCAGATTTTGTTCAACTCTATGTCCCCAAGGCCTAGTACACTACCTGGGACCCAGCGGATTGCCAATGTGTATTGACTGAAAAGGTCCGTGGATGGACGCAGCCTGACCCTCCCAGGCAATTGTGTCAGGCTGGCCTGTGAGTCACTGTAAAATGTTTGTATCTTGGCTCACCCTTTGCTTGAAAATGGCCTCTCCTAGGCATGTCCCCAGGCAAAATGCTGCAGTGCAACAAATAAACTAACAAAATACTCCGTGGCTGCTGGAGCAAGCCACAGCCAATGTGTTGAAGGCAGGACAGCAGATGTCTTTAGAGGTAAAGTGATGGACAAACCATTTTGAAAGGAAAAATAAGTGGAAGTGACCAGTCAATTGGCCCAGGAAGACTCAGCCAGCCAACCAACAAGTCAACCAGGCGTGTGCTATATATAACTAAGAATCCAGACTTTTCCGAGATTTACACTGAAAATGCAAGCTTTGAAAGTTGGAACAAACCTCATTCAAATCCATTGTGTCTAAAACAAATGTTGGAATTTGTTAGGAGATTATTTAGAAAAGTAAGATTAAGTCCTTGTTTAAAAACTTATAATTACTTCCATTGTTTAAAAAAATACCGCAACATGGATGAACCTCAGAAACATTATGCAAAGTAGAAGTCAGACACAAAAGACCACATGTTGTATGATTCTATTTATATGAAACGTCCAGAAAAGGCAAATCTATAGAGACAGAAAGCAGATTAATGGTTGCCTGAGGCTGGGAGTGGGAATTGCGATTGACTGCAAACAGACACAAGGATCTCTGTGGGGTGATGAGAACGTTCTAAAACCGGATTCTGATGATGACTGCACAATTCTGTAAATTTACTGAAAATCACTGAATTATACACTGAAAATGAATGAATGTTATGATATGTAAGTCATACTTCAATAAAGCTGCTTTTTTCTTTTTTCTTTCTTTCTTTCTTTTTTTTTTTTTTTTTGAGACAGTTTCACTCTTGTTGCCCAGGCTGCAGTGCAACGGCATGATCTTGGCTCACTGCAACCTCTGCCTCCCGGGTTCAAGTGATTCTCTTGTCTCAGCCTCCCAAGTAGCTGGGATTACAGGTGCCAGCCACCAAGCCCAGCTAATTTTTGTATTTTTAGTAGAGACGGGGTTTCACCATGTTGGCCAGGCTGGTCTCGAACTCATGACCTCAGGTGATCCACCTGCCTCAGCCTCCCTCAGTGCTGGGATTACAGGCATGAGCCACCGCACCCAGCCCTAAAGCTGCTTTAAAAAAAAAAACAAAAAACAAAAAAAACCTCTTGAAAACAACAAAGAAATTGATAGTTCATAAAATCTCTATGCAAAAGATCATAGAAATCATTGAATCCAGTTTTATAGAAGGCAGGGAAATGCTGATAGAAGCTAATAGGAGAGAGGAGTTGCATGAAGCTTGAATCCAGGCCCCTTGGCTCCCAGGTAGACCTATCCTCTTCCTCACAGAGCTTGTTTGGGGTATCTAACTGAAGGGGCGATTTCCCTTCACATGTCCACACTCTCTATGTGGATGTTGGACACTGATGCTAGCTGCTGTCTCCCTAGGTCAGTAAGAGGATCCCTGGGAGCCCTCCTGGGTAAGTTCCTGTAATGGGCCAAGTGGAGAAAGAAGCTAGGCTGGTGAGACCCTGCCCATCCCTCTGGACCCCAAGGGTGACAGGTGCCGGGTCAGAAGTTGTTCTCTGGGTTTCAGGGCTCACAGACACATAGTGTCCCTTTCTAGGCCAAAGCTGCCCAAATCTATCTGCCTCTTAAGTCAATCCCCACTGGGCCTCCTGGGGAGGCTTAAGACAGCCTGCTAGCCCACATGGGAGGAGGTGAGGTCCCTCCCTTCCTCCAATGGAAGATTCTGATATGGCCTTGACATCCAAGGTGGATGTAGCTTGTCATCCACTCATCTACCCATTCAACACTCACCACTCATCTCCACCCATCTATCTATCCCTGCATCCATGCATCCAAAGGTACACCCACCCACCCCCCACTCACTCATCCATCCTTGTACTTATTCATTCCCAAATTTACCCACCCATCCACTTCTCTACCCACTCAGCCATCCAGCTCACTCTGAGCCAGTCTGCTGGCTGAACCCAGCCCTTGCCCTCCAGGAGCCAAGAGCACATGTGCTTGACACACCTTTCCAAAGCACATTTTCACTGGTGGTTCGCATAGATGCACCAAACTTATTACTCACCCAGTCCTCATCTTTTCAGGAAATATCTGATTTCTCATTCCTTCACTTCCCACATCTGCTGCACTAATAACTCACGTAGGCTCTCCCTTCAAGGTACATGCAGAATCCATCCTAATCTCTCTGTCTCCTCCACTCACCAAGATCCAAGCCACCATTTACTGCTCACCTGGACTATTATTACACCAGCCTCCTCACTGACCTTTCTGCTTCCATCGCTGTTCCTCTAGGGGCCCTCTTCCTCACAGCTGCCACAGCCAATCAGATCCCTTCACTCTCCAGTGATTGTTTTTTTTTTTTTCTACCCTGGAATACAATCTGAACTCCCCGTCTTCAGCTTCAAGGCCTTCCAGGCTCTGCACCTGCCTGCTTCTCTGTCGTGTTCTATCAGTCTCCCCTCTGCTCACTCAGCTAGAGCCATGATAGCATTCTCTCTGTGCCTGACTTGCTTACCTCCTTCCCACCTAGTGTTACTGGTTGAGGGTAGTTGTCCAGGTTCTTGGCATTTTGAACAAAGAATTGCACAAAACGCACAAACAAAGCAAAACAGAAAAAGCAGAGATTTATTGTAAATGAAAGTACGCTCCACAAGGTGGGAGTGGGCTCGAGCAAGCAGCTCAAGAACGTCGGTTAGCGAATTTTGCGGGGTTTAAATACCCACTAGAAGTTTCCCATTGGTTCAGTCGATGCAAATGAAGTAGTGGCCCATGGCCAGTCTGATTGGTCGTGGGAGAGGACCAATCAGAGGTACTTTCATTTTCCAACCGCCACACAGCAACTGCCACACAGAAAAAGGAGGGGTTGAAAAGGGAGTTGGCGCTGACATCTAGTCAGCATGAATTGGCCTTAGGTTCCCTGCCTCCAGACCCTATTCTCCTGCCTCACTAGAAGCCTCTGCCCTTGGTGGTGCCTCGGTCTGCAATGCCATCCCTAAGATCTTCTTATGGCTGGCTCTTTCCTGCCACTGGGAAAGGCCTTCTCTGCTTGCAGTCTAAGAAGCCTTATCCATTTCATTTTCCCCATAGCACTTACGGCTACTTTTTGAAACCAGTGTCTGAGTAAACCACACTGACTATCCACTTGTTATATTAGTCAGGACTTTCTTCTTTACAAATAAAAGTGGGGAGGGGGTTATTGGCTCATAAAACTGAGAGGTTCAAGAAGCAAGCTGGTTCACCCCCCTTGAATATGGGTTCCTGCAAGACACCAGGAAGCAGCCTCCTTTCCTCCATCTCCTGCTTCTCAGTGCTGATTTTGTTCTCAGTCCGGCACTCTACATACTTATTGGCCATGCCAGCCTCTGATCATACAGAAGGCATGACTGTCTCCAGAATCCCAGCAGAACCCTGAGAGGACGCTGATTGGCCCAGTTGCCCAGCTCTGAACCAATCAGAGCTCATATTGACTGAACTCCAGTGGGGTAGAGAATTCTGATTGGCTAAGCTCAGTCACATGACTGCTCAAATGCCTCACGTGTCCATCAAACCACCGACACTTCTCTTTGGTTTCCGACAGACAAAAACACACCCCTCCAAACTCCTAGTAATCCTCCTGCTCCCACCCAAACACACTCCTCTAAACTTCTGGAAGGAGTGAAACATGGTTATCTCATCATACCTTTCCCTTCAAAGGAAAAAGGTTGGCCTTCTAAGCTGGGTCATTCCTAATAACCGGCTCTTAGTTTTTCCTTTTGATCAGTCTGTACTGAGCAATTTAGAGACACCAGCCCCTTTGCAAAGAACAGCAGGAGGTGCCTCAACAGTTAGATTATGCCCCTAGGTCAGGAAGCTAGCCAGGAAGATAAGGTAAACCCACAACAATTTACTATGGAAATAATTAATCCCTTGGTTGTGTCGTCAGATAAAGGGAAACCAAAGAATCTCAGAGGGCTTGGCAGTTGGGCAAATTTGAAGGAACAGAGAGATCTGTTCCCTGCCAGCAAGACTTTATTCTGCCAGTTGAGGGTGTGTGTGCTGGGGAGTCCAAATTGTGTACACACGTGTGCAAGCATCCTTCTTCCATGGCTACACTCAAAGATGTCTGAGGCCAGAACTGTGTTTTCTCCTTCCTGGGCATCCAATAAAACCTCCTGAGGTCACATGGCTCTTCTTGATCATTTGGGGCCAACCTCTCTTTTTGTGGGTCTTTCCACAGCTTGTTAACTTTGTCTCGACTCCTTCATTTATCTTGCAGTCTCTGCCTATTTATCCCCAACTCGGTGTGAGTTTGAGTCTGTTAAACTCTGCATGTCTTTGTCTCTTTTAAGAACATCCCACCCCCTGGTGTGGGGTCACACTGAGGACACATAATAGCCCCTAAAAAGAATAGTCAACTCCACATCTTCAGAACTAGCACTGTTTTCTGTTTCCACCACCAATCATGGATAGATCTATTAGGACTTCAAAGCCAAGTATAATACTATGGCTACAGTACACTGTCATTCAAACACTTAGCCTTTCATTCATTCAACAAAAGGAAAAGGTAAACAGGACTGCAAAGGGCATATATAACCAGTTTAAACTATTCTTAAGCATTTGATGCCATGCAAATGCACAAAACAGGTGTGCTTGCCATAGCTCATTCTTTCCTATTGGCTGAGCTGGTCATCCATTCTGTTTAAGCTGGTTCGTAGACACTGAGTTGGTTTTTCTCTCCCTGTGTAGAATCGAGGCCATTCATTACTTCCCTAGCAGACCTCTGCTGAGTGCCAGACCCTGGTTCAGCAGGGAATGAGTGAGTGAGCTGGGTGAGTGGAAATAAGGGAACAAATCCTTCTGAAACAATGAGATATGCTCCAACACAAAAACGGACTTTTGGGAAGGTTTCTGAAGGCATAGGGTGTGAGCGAGCCTTTGCAGACTAGTAGGCTGAACTGGTGGCTGTCAAGATATAATACTAAAAGTTCACTGACAGGAATCCTTGCATAGAAATAGAGTCCCTCTCCTGGGGCCTAGACAGGGCCCAAGTCCAGTCCGTCAATCAGCCAATGGTTAACATGGCTTACTTTGCAGAAAGCCTGGGGAAAATAAAAAATATCTACAATTTATTTTCCAGTATTTAGTGGGTGTCATCTTCCTCCCCAGGAGAAGTTGACATTCCAGGGAGACTAGTAGTAAATATTTCCAGAGTGCAGGGCAGGAGACAGCTCTCAGTTCTGGGGGCAGGAAAAGAATATTTCAGGAGAAAGGGAAAGTTTGAAGGATGGGAAGCCCCACTTTTCATCAGCCTTTTCTACAAGGGCCTTGAAAGAGCAGAGAAAGGTGATCTTTTCTTTTAACAATCATATAGTAATTCCCCCCTCCTGCCCTTTTTTGCAGAGGAGAAAGTTGCAGAGAGCTTAAGCAACTTGCCTAAGATCACACAGCTAGTAAATGATGAAGTAGGACTCAATCCAAGTCTTTCTGGATTTCATTATTTCATGAGGATTTTACTTCTTTTCTAAAAGATGAAACGTATATATTAATTATCAGCCATTTACTAATGGCTCAGTTTCAATTCTTTACCAGATTCTCTGGTAAGGGACTGTGTATCAAAGACATGAGACACATAAAGAATAAGCTTTGGAGAGATTCAGAGATCAGGAAAAGTCCAGAACATGGGCACTCTCCAGAAGGTGTATTTTAATAGGGGAACTGAGCAACAAGAGGTACCTGAGTGTGTAGGAGCTCAACGTATGTTAACTTGACCAGCAAACTCTTACAAAGAAAAACAGGAGACATGAAGCCAAACTGCTCATCTCCTCTGGGTTAGTTGTACCTGTCTTGTCCTGGAGGGTGAGTGAGGTGCAGGGCCCCCTCATTCTCACCGCTACTGTGTCCAGTGGGTCCACCTCAGACAAAGCCACCTGCTGGGTCGTGTCTCTTGAAACACATGCCAGGGTCTGGGGACAGCTCTCCCCTCAGACAACATGAGGGAGCCCCTTAACCTTGCCTTTCCCTTGAATTTGGGTAAAAGGATCATTGTGGCATTTATTTCTCCTCTAATCTAGTGTGTTCCTGAGCACCTGTAAGTGACAAATCACCCTAATGCTCAGTGCTGGGAGTCTGGCACTTCCAGAGCTCCATCCTGGCCTCCATCCGTGCTCCTTCCTTTTCCGTCAAGTGAATTTCAACCTTTGACGTTTTGGAAGTCAGTGCAGTCTCCATGGGTTTCAACTTTGTTTTCTGTATCCTGAAAATAGCAACCCCTCACAGGCTGGAGAGAATCAAATAGAACATGTGAAGCCCCTAGCTGGGATGTGCACAAAGCTGGCCTTGTTCAACACAGCTTACCTGGAGCAAAAGCATTTGTTATGGTTCCAACAGGGTGTATGAAACTTGTCCTTATTGGATCTTTGCTTCCTCTTCTGTAAATTGGGAATTCCTTCTCGACCTACTTTGCAGAGGTGCTGTCAGGATCAATAAGGTGAGCCATGTTAAACCAACCTTTGAGAAATATCACCCAATATCCAAATGCAAGATGCTATTATGTTTTGTGTCAGTGGAAAAATCTAAAAATTGCATTTTCCAATTCATTTGCAACAAGCCGTTTGTTCATGGACCTCTACTCCCAGTTCACATTAGGGAACATTCACAACTCCAGGAATATTTACACTATCACCCGGCAGAAATAATAAAACTAGGGGGGTGATAAAATTTAAATCCACGTTGGTTTATGAAATACTATGGCTCTAAGTAAACCACCATGGAGAGTCGCATGGTTAAAACAAGACAAGGAGAAAATAAAGCCTCCCCTCTTCAATATTTAGAATCAATAAATATGTTCTGGAAATAACACATTAGCCATGCAAGGGCTGCTTATCTGCCAGGAGAAGACTCTTGATGGCTGGAGAACACAGTGGGAAATAGGATAGTCCTTAAGCCTTGTGTTTGCTTGGATGTCATCTCAGTGTGAATAACAAACCCTCTCGCCCTCGGCTCCCACCAGCTCCCAGTAACTGCATATTCTCATTACATAAACGGAAGAAAAACAACTTGAGGGAACAGCCCCCTTAAAGTGGGGCACGCATCTTGCCTTTGTCACCAGCAAGCTAAGGGGCCCCTTGGGGCTTCAGTTTCTCTGGGCCTCTTCCCCACGCCCAGCACAGCACCTCCCAGAACCCCAGCACTCCAAGCAATGCAATTTTAAAACTACTCCTCACATGTTCTTTGGAGACCCTTGAAAAGGTGACTTTCTGTGATTTTATGACAACTTTTGACAGACATTCTTTGATCCTTCTAGCCTTCCCTGGTCCTTTGTGATAGGCGGCCTTATTTCTTAAGGCTGCATTTCCCAGACAAGCCATGTGAGGCTGGAGAGCACCTCATATGACCTAGGATCACACATGTGGATGTGCCTGGCACAGGGCCTGGAAGTACCCCCTCTGTTCCTGGTCCCCAGCCTTGCCAGGGGTACCGACCTCCAGCCCAGTCGGCTGGGCTCCCGCAGTACCCTAGCTCTTTTCCATGGAGAGCTTAATAGCTGTGTACTTGGCCTATGTCCTGTGTGTGTGTGCATGTGTGTGTGTGTTGGAGGGTCTGTCCCCATCATACTTTGCTGGGACTGAGCCTGAGTCCCTGAGGGGCTATCTGTCCACCCTGGCCTCTCCCACCAGGGCCTGAGGGAGCGTGTGTACTGTGTTTTCAAATAAGCCGGATGATTTTTTTTTAATAAAACTGGTTTTTTATTGCTGTTCCCAACCCACCTAGCACCAGCTGTGATGAGAATCACTTGTATGGTAAAGTGCTATTGATAAAATTGCTCCCACCGGAACTTAGCTATGCACTCACGAAGCGCGATTGGCTCCTTCACCGCTGGCTCCTGCGGCCTGCTCAGCCCCGTCCCTGCTCCTGCCCTGCAGCCCTCCTCTTACCTCCTGGCCTTTTGCCTCCTCCCTCTTCTCCTCTTTCCCCTGCTCCTTCTTGCTCATTGTCTCTCCCCCTCCTCCCTTTTCTTTCTACCTGCTCTGGTTTTCTCTACCTTTCTGTCTAATGTTGGCTGATGTCTTTCCTTTCTTCTCTTTCTCTTTCTCCATCCTGGGCTTGTCCACCCCTCTCCCATTTCTCTCCCTCCTCCTTCTGTCTCTCTCTGCTTCCTGTGTCTCCCAACCGTCTGCACGTTTCAGGCCAGGCCGGCTCAGTGAGGCCCACTGGGAGGTCCCAGCTCTCTCTTTAGAGACGGGCAAACCCAGCTGAGTTCTAACATGCAGTTCCTTTGAGGACACCAGCATCCTCAGAAGGGGCAAACAATGCAAAGCAGATAGGAAAAAGGATAATGGTACAGGAAAGAGTGTGTAATCTAAAGGAACAGCATGACATGGAGATGACAAACGAGGTTTAAACTCGCCTAAGTATTGAGGAAGTAGGTAAGGACCCAGTTGCGGATTATGGAAGGCTTAAAAACCTGGCTAAGAAGTTTGACTTTGACCTCTAGTCCTTTCCAATCATTAGGGTATTCATAGCTGTGGCAACATAAACTGGACTTGCTGAAAAGGTCTAAACCATGCATTGACACACACAAACTATGTGAGCTTCAGGACCGGGTCTGCTGGGGCTCCAGCCAGCTCAATTATTTCTGTTGATTTTCTCAGCTCCACTTTCCTGTCTGCATGTCTGCTTGGTTCTCATGGACACAAGAGGTCTACAAACAGCAGTCAGGGCCGAGGGCTTCCTTGTTCATTTATAGCAGGAGACAGGAGAAGACTGCAGCTTCCTGTAGCTCACTCTTGCAAAACCTCCTGCCTCATGTCCTCTTAGCCAGAATTGGGCCACATGTGTCTTCCTGAACCAACCATTGGTAACAAGGATAAAATGATTACCCCTATACCAATCAGGCATTCCCTCTCAGCTGAGGATAAGCCCCCAAATTCAGGCTGCTGCCCAAGGAGGATGGAGTAGATACAGTGTTAGAGAGTCCACCTCAATACCCTCTACAGCTAAAGGTTCCCCAGAGGAACAGGGTGATTGGAGGGAAGGTATATGAAACCCAGGGCCAGCAAGAAGTATCTTCCTAGAACAACACTATTAGCTGAGGAGTTTTGGAAAAATATACTGTATTTAAATGATCACCTAAGGTCAGGAGTTCAAGACCAGCCTGGCCAACACGGTAAAACTCCATCTCTACTAAAAATAAAAAAAAATTAGCCAGGTGTGGTGGCAAGTGCCTGTAATCCCAGCTACTTGGGAGGCTGAGACAGGAGAATTGCATGAACCCAGGAGGCAGAGGTTGCAGTGAGCCAAGATCATGCCACTGCACTCCAACCTGGGCGATAGAGCGAGACTCCGTCTCAAAAACATATATAAAAATAAATAAATGATCACAGATATATTATTGACTATAATGTAAAATGCACATGCTGTTTTAAATTAAAACATGAGACTTCAAAGAAATTTTCTGCTTAACTAAGCTATATAAGGGTTGGCTTACACCTGTTTATTATTGCATTTCTAACACATAAGAAATGCACAATAAATACTTGTGGAATGAATGAATGAATAAATGATTGAGACAGATAATTTTAGGCTACTTCCAGACCCAAGGGTTCCATCACCTCTCCTCTATTAGAGGTGCCTTGGTGGAAAAGTTTGAGAAACACTGCAATAAACAAGGGAATGTGTCCAGGAAGTTATTTTTCTTTTCTTTTTTAATAACGGCCTAATGAGACATAATTTATAACCATAAAATTCACACTTTTAAGTGTAAAATTCAGTGGTTCTTAGTATATTCGGGGTTGTGCAACCATTGCCATTACCAGAGAGTTTTAGCACCATGTGTGGGAGAGTTACACCCATAAACAGTGAGGGGGCTCAGGGCTCTGAGTGGCTGGGAGCAGAAGGGGATCTAGTTGGAGGAAAGTATCTGGTGGAGGCAGGGGGAGCCGCTCAAAAGCTGTTGCAATACTAAAGGGAGGGTAAGGGAGGCCTCGGTCTCAGGGTGTCAATGAGCCTGGAAAGCAAGGCTCATGTAAGAGAGGTTGCAAAGTTTGCAAATGCAGGTTTGGAGACTGCCTGCGGTGGGCAGACAGCCTGCAGGGCAGAGGTGCCTTCTCCCCTGCTTTCAAGCCAGCAGATTTGATGTTTCATATCCACACTACACAGCTGACCCAGGATGCAGCTGAGCACAGTTGTGGATGTCCTCCTGCCTGGGGCAAAGACATTGGGAACATGAGTCCCCGGGCACAAGCCACGTGGAGATGCAGAGCAGGCATGGCCTGCCCAAATTGCTCTGAGAATAGCACCCCAGGCACCATCCTCCTTGCCACAGGCACCTGAGCTCAGCTACTCTTAAGCAGCATTTCAAGGATGGAGCTGATCCAGTCAGGAGGAAGCAAAAATGAATTCATGTTCCACTTGGACAGGCCCCCTTGGGAGCTCTGGAACTTCCAGCTCTGTGGAGCAAGGGGGAGCCTGGAGATGCTGAGTCCAGAACTGTGGCTTTCTGGAAGCCCTCCTCAGAGGGAGCCTTGGCAAGACCAGACTCAATAATGTCTTTAGCACCAAGTGGAAGGAGGTGGGAAAACCTGGGCCCAAGAGCAAAGACCCAGACTGCCCGCAGACACCTCCCAGCTTCTTGTGAGCTTCCTGGCAGTAACACAATCTGCCTGCTGACTACAGAATCTTCAGCACTAAAATGAGGGTGAGGCCAGCTCAGGCTGAACCCCAGGCTCTCTGAGTGTTCCATGGAATAAAGTTTGGGACATGCTGAATACTGTCTTACCCTTTTGGAGAGATAAGGGGTGTGAGGCTGGCAGTAAAGGACACAGTCAATGTTTTCTCACTTTGGAGTTTCCCTGGTATTTGACGGATTGGGTCAGAGTGGGAACTCAGAGCATCAGTTCCCAACCCCGTCTAAAAACAACTTCCCACTTCCAGGTGTCATGTATCTGAAAGCCTATCTTCACAGGCTAATAATGTATTTGGGTCTCCCAGTCTCCCAGTTAAAACATAAATACTTCAGATAGAGGACCACTGAGCCATCTTAGTGGACATTTTCACCAGGACTTCTCCAACAGTTGGCTGGGCACAAGCTAAGCCCAGGGTGAAGGGTAGGACAGGATGCCGGGGGAAGGAAAATGGGTTAAGAAAGGGAAGGAGACCATAAATACCTAAATGTGTTCTTTTATAACTCAGAGTGGTTTTAAGGAGGCAGATTTCACATAAAATCATTTGCAGCTGAAGCTAAGCAAGAAGACAACAAGGAGAGGGTTTTAGACTCAGGGTGGGATTTTTCAGATGAGGAAAAATCCCAGCCAAACCCAGAGAATGGGGTGACGTGTCCCAGATCCCACAAAGAGTAAGTAGCAGGTCAGAGCGGGACCCCAGTCTCCCAGACCAGGGCCCTCTCAGCAGGGCCAAGCTAATTGGCATCTCAGGCTGCCCTCCCTGCAAGCACAGTGCATGGCTCCTCAGCCCCAACGTCGGCTCTGTACCCGAGAACGATTTCTCTTGACAGAAAATAGAGGTAAAAGGGCAAGGGAATGTTTCCAAATGGTTGATCTGACAGCTGCAAATTTCATTTTGTTGTGTATTGACCTCTAATTGTTTCCCAAGTAGCCTGGGACTGAGAGATCAATAAATCCCACAGATACTTAATATCCCCTCTGGCATCTTCGGCTTTAGTTAGAAAATAGTCAAATTCCTGGCTGTCTGCAAATATTAGCTGGTTTTTCGTTTTCTGCAAAGCCTGATGAACTATAATTCAACCAAGGGCCTGGTAGGAGCCTGAGAAATTCCTGGCACGCTGGAGGGCCGGAGCTGGGAAGGAATTCCCAATGTTGCTGGCCCAACCGCTTCTTGTCCTGGAGAGATGAGATGACATCTTCCAGGCCTACAGTGGCCACTAAGGGAGTGGAAGCTCCAACCTCATCTTCCTGGTGATCTTTCTGCTCCATCAAGTGGCCTCCATTAGGTTATTAATATAACAATGGAGTTGTGGTCATTAGCTAACCTTTCCCCAGAGATCTTTTTAAAGGAAGACTTGGATGTAGTTGAGAAAACCATGGGTTTGTCATTATAAAAGCAATCCCCCTTATTCTCCTTCCTCTGTTCCCTATTAGCCGCTTGGTCTCGATCATGGCATTTTCTCTTCTTGCTAAGCCTCAGTTTTCTCAGATACATAATGGGAATAATTATTATCCCTGTCTAAAAGCATTGTCGTGAGGATTAAATGAGTTGGTGAGTGACAGTCCTCACCCAGAGCCTCGCAAAATTAGTGGGAACCTCCATGAACCTGAATGAGGCACAGGAGTATTCAACTGAGACCACCTCTGCCCAGATTTTATACACCTCAGATCTGAGGAAGGAATAGGCTGCCCTGTGGGGCAGGGGGAGTGGTGGGGGTCAGGGGGAGTGGTGGTGGGCGGCGAGCGGTGGGGGAATAAACTGGAATTGACAACCAAGGCCCAAAAGGACAGCCCTGCTCAGAGATGTCAGATGTGTGCAGATTCCCCCACTGGATTGCAGGCGACCTGGTGGCAAGGACAGAGTCCTCTTCACCGTGCCAAGCTCCAGGCAGGTGCTCAGTAAACACTGGCTGAATGCACACAAGACCGTGTCAGGTGGCATGGCAAGGATGGCATTTGGTCCACAGGATGCTGTTAAGAAGAACATTGTGTAGGCAATCATCCTATCACTCACACACACACACACACACACACACACACACGCAGCTATACATGCACTCACAATTGGCCAAGAAACCAACGTCAGCACTGGCTTCATGGTCGTCATCCACCAAATCTGAGGAGTAAATTTTCAGACATGCTTATAGACCTGTAGTGCCAGGGCCGAAACCCACCAAGGGCCCTTTCTTTTTCTGACCCTACCTTGCATCTTATGCAGTGAGTTTCAGCAGAGAGAACTCCCATCTAGGATCTGTAGAATACAGTTTGGTCTCTGCATGACACAAACTGGCTGTGTGATTCAGAGAAACTCACTCCTCCTCTCTGGGCTTCAGTTTTACCATCTGTGAAATGGAGAGATGGAGCTACCTGGGCTTGCCTATCTCACAAGATCTCTGTGAGGCAAGCAGCAGCTCCAGCCTGCTAGAGATGGAAAGGGCACAGCAGATCACTGAATCTAATGGCTTTCAAGCATTTATTTTAGCAGATGAATCTTTAATTTTTTTTTTTTTTGCTTAGAACCCCAACTTATAAGACAGAAAGAACTGAGCTGTTCAGGCTGGGTTGGAGATGGGGGTCATCAATAACAGCTGCCTCATTTTAAAAGCAAGGGAACTGAGACTCAGAGAGGGCCCCTGCTCAAGGTCACATGCTTCCCTTAGAATTACAAATCTTTGGGAGGCTCAAGGACCCCAGGATGTGAACACAGAGGCCAAGGAACCCCTACTTTCATGGTGGGGGCTCTGAGGGCTCATCCGCCACCTGAGGCCCCCAGTGCTGCCTGTGGCTACCAGGCAACCAGCTCTGCGTGGCCCAGCCTCCCCATCAGCACCTCGCAGCTGTCCTCCCAGCCAAAACTGGTTTAGAAAAGGCTGCCCAGCTGGCAGGTAGGAACAAAGGGATTAGGCCCCGTTTGACAGACTGTGTCCCTCCCATTTGCATGTCATTAAGCTGCAGGCCAGTTAGCAGAGAGGGTCACATAGCTTCAGAGTCCCTGCCAAGCTGGGGCACGGAGGCACTGAGGCTTCATTTGCATTTTGGACACCTGCCCTGAACTACAGGAGCCAATTTGAAGAAGAGGGATTTCTTGAGGAGATGACTGGGGTGTTGGAGTGGACTGGGGAGGTGTCCTCATCTCAGTGGTGACCCTAGTTTTTTTCTGTCTCCCCTCAAAACTGACACAAACTGAAGCAGGCTTGTTTTGAGGGACAGAAATGGCTTCATTGCTCTGAGAGTTAAACCAGGCACTATGCAACAGCTTGGGAGAGGATAAGTGAATTCTGAGAACCGGGGCTTCTCTCCCCAACCAGCATCCCCACACCACACACTCACACACATGCACCAGCCTAGCCAAAAGGAAAAAAAGGAAGAAAGGAACACAGGCCACATTTTCTCTGCACTCCCCTTCTAAGGCCTCCTGGGGTGGCCCTGATTGACAGAACACTAAATGCAAGAGGTTTCCTGTGATAGAGAAAGAGATTTTCTTGAGGCATCCAACTCCTGACCTTTAAGAGCTCGGGGAGCAAAATGATTTTCAGTCACTTGGGCCTGAGTGAAAGGTATGTGAATTGATCGACTGCAGGGCTCAGGCCTCCCGAGGTCTTGATCTTATGTCATTAAAATCTTACAATCGAGTTATCCTAATGTATCCCAGCAGCCCCCTTCTCAGAGGTGATTAGTAAATAGACTCAAAGTTACATGGTCTAAAATGCCTTCTCCAAGGGCCTGGAAGACCAGTAATGTGGATGGGGCCTGGGGCCAAATCCGGCCTCTGCTATTTGAGGTTTTCTTTTTTGACATTAGACTATGGTAACTACTGCTGTTGCTGCCTCTCACATTTCTTCCTCTAGCTCTTTTAATCTTGTGAAGGTGCCTACTCCTCTTGCCACAGGTGTCTAGATAGGTTGAGCTGGCTAATTTCCTCTGGCAACAGTGATTGGTCTGGGGATGCAACTGACCCACGCCCAGCCAATCAGAATCTTCCCTAGGATTATTCTCTTTACTGGGGATCCTGAGCTGGGATAGTGTGAGCAGGGGTTGATGGTGAATATTTTCCCTGCCATGTGTGGTCTTGTCTGCAGAAGGTAGGCAAGCCCAGCAGGCAAAAGTGAGAAAGGGGTGGAGTGAGAGAGGCCTGATTCATGAAACCCCATCAATGCTATTGAGCTACCTTCATATCTTTCCTAGTTCCAAGACCCTTAAAATTCCTCTTTTGCTTAGGTTAGCCAAGGTTCATTTCTGTTGCTTGCAACCAAATCTTGCCATGTGGGTAGGAGCTGATATTCCCAAGGTTCAATCCTTTGGGGCTTGAGGAAAATGAAATGGACAGGGAATGATACAAAATGTGGTCATACAGGTCAAAGGTGTAGACCACAGCAGCCCCTCAGGGACAGCCCACTAAAACATCAGCTCCACGAAGAGAGAGACCTTTGTCTCTTTCCCAGTTTCTAAAGCAATGCCCGGCACATACCTCTTCCCACCACCTCCCTCCTGGGCCGCGCTGTCTTGCCTGCCACATGAGATCTCTGCTTCTCCCCGAGCCTCTGCTCAGACCCTCCTCTGTCTCCTAACTTGCATCTTCTGCCTTTTCCACTTTCTGCTCCCTCTTACTTTCAATTTGTCTGTGGTCACCATGACCTGCTCTCCTTCATAGCTTCCACTGTTAACTGCTCTGGTCTCTTCATGTTTCTTGATGTCAGGTTCAAGTGAAGTGCCAGAAGTCAGAGAGAGACAAAATCCGATTGGCCTGGCTTGTCATTCCTGTGTCAGGCCACCTCCCAGGTCAGGCTGGTGTCTTTGGGTCAAGTACCAGTGCCTGAGCTGATCAGCTGAGGTTGTGGGGCAGGGATTCAAATGGTGCAAAACATGGCCACTTAGGCTGTAGACGTCACAAGCCAGCCAGTTCTCACTATTAGGGGCCACAGTATCTCCAGCATAGAATCCATTGCTTAGACTAGCTTGGGGGAACCCAGGAACTATCTACACTCCCCTCTTCCATATTCCAGAAACTTCATCTGAGGCATAAGGTTTTTATTTGACAGTGGGAACCCCTCCCCCCATTCCAGGGAGCTTCCTCACAGGTGCCTCTCTGGTGTGTTTCTTGCTTGAATTGCAAATTAAATGCTGCATAAACCCTACATAACTCAGTGCCCCATGTTGGCAGTATCTTATTTTTCAATTTCTTTTTTTTAATTGAATGAACATATTTTATGCAAGCCGTTCTACCTTGGTGAAGGCTGTTCCCCTGTGATTCATCAGAGTAATAACTAGAAACACCATTATTTGGCTCCATCCTCCTGCTGAGAACATCACATAACTGAGAAATGTTCATGCATCTCACAGAGTTTCGGGGCAGAGTAAAAAGGGGAAGCAGCGAGAGGAGGAGGAGAGGGAGGAAGAAACAAACAAATGATTATGAACACACATGCAAGCTGACAGCAAGAGACATGGCTAGACAGTGAGAGGAAAACACAGGCCCACATATGGTTGTTGATCTCACACACATACACGTATGCACACACATACACGGAGGCACAGAAGGAACCACACATACCTGTCTACCCAGGTATCCCAACATTCGAAAAAATTAAATGAAAAAACCCATAAACTCTACGAGAAGTGATGCTAGAGAGCTGGTCCAGTTGCCTCACTTAACATGTAAGAAAAAGGAAGCACAGAAATGTAGCTATATCCCTGTGTGTCCCATTTGCAGACACCAGTGTTCCTGGGTTTCTGCCTAGAAATACATAATTCAACTTGTCTAAGATGCAAATCATATCGTTATTTATATTTACTGAGTTCTTGTCTCTGGGTTAAAGATTTTCAGACATCCTTATCACTTTGATCTAAGATGTGGCCAGAGTATTCCTGCTATTATTGTTTTTGTTTGTTTGGTTGGTTGGTTTGGTTTTTTAATGATTTTTGTTGAGTTGGCTGAGCATCTGGAAATATTTTCAAAATGTTCACCTCAGGACACAGAAGCCCCTCAGTTAATGTCTTACAAACCCTAGCATGCTCTCAAGAGCTGTATGAATGAACACTTTTAAGGTTAGACAAATCAAACGTTCAAAGCAGGCTTCTGGAAACCTTCCTGTCGCTTCTCCAGGTTCATTGGCACTTCCTTAGCACAGCTCTCCTCGCTGCTTGCCTGCATGATTGCCTTGTCCACTGCCCATTTCCAGCTTTTCCCCTCTCCAATCCCCTCTTCATCTCATTACCAGATGAATTCTTCTAAGACATGACTCTCACCTTACCCTTCTTAGAGTAATCAGGATCCTGAGCTGCAAGTCTACTTCTGCATTGGTTGGTCATCTTCTGGCTGCAAGTGAAAACACCCAACTCAAACAAGCTTGCAAAATGGCAGGAAGGAATGGGATATTTGAGGATTCACATAACTGGATCATCGAGCAGTAAAGGCTGGATTCTGAGGTCAGCTGAGGCTATCAAAAACATCTCTTTTCCTCGATCTCTCAACTCTGCTTTTCTTCATGGCAACTTTTTCTATCCTTTTACTTTCAACTTTTCAGTGTTCTTATGATTTACCTAATGTCTTATAAACAATATAGAGCTGGAATTTTTTAAAATGCAATTTGATATCTCTGTATTTTAACCAGAGATTTAAATCCATTGAAATATGTTGTGCTCACTAATCTATTTGTATTTACTTAGCAGCATTTTATTTTTGTATTCTTTTTACTCTGCTTTGTCTATGCTTTTTTTCCTTCTTTTTATGTCATAGAGTGTTTTTTCTTTAGCCTTTCTTTTTTTCTCTTTGTTACTGGCTTATAGCTCATATACTTTACTGGTTTGTATCTTATGCATTTTTCTTGATTGTCCTTAATTTTTTTAACATGCATACTTGACTTTACTATGTCTGAAGTTAATAAAAATCTGTATCATCAAAGAATATAAGACTTTAGAATACTTTAGCCACTATGAGTCTCTTCACATCTTATATATCATATTCAAATCAAATAGTTTTATATCCAAAAATTATTTAATGTTACTATAGTTTTATGCAGGAAATGCTTGATTGGATTCATCCCATGTTTATTATTTTTTTCTGATTCCTATTTCTTCTTGCACCTCAGTCCTTGCCTCTAGGTGGAATTTTCTTCTTCCTAAAATAATCCTGCAGCAGAGCTTTCAGAGAGGATCTGTGAATAGAAAATGCTGTTAATCTTTCTTTGGGATGCCTTCACTTTTCCCTTTTTCTGACTCTTAATTGGAATTCTAATGTGACAGTTTGTTTTTATTTTTTCCTTATCAATTTTTTGAAGACATTATTCCATTTTCTCCTTGCTTCTATAGATGCTATCGAAAGCTGCTATTGCTTTTATAGCTGCCAATCATTTATTTATAATAATCTATCTTTTTTCTGTTATCTTTCTTAAGATCTCCTTGTCTTTGGTGTTCTGCAGTTTTAGTACAATGTATGATGTTCTAGGAGTGGACTTAATTTTCTTTATGCTGACGGGGGCTATCTGTGATTCCTGAATCTGAAGATTAATGTCTTTCAATAATTCCAAAACATAGTTATTGATTGTACTGTTTAACATTGCCTCTCTCTCTCATTTTTTCTGTTCTCCTTCTGTAACTCCCATTAAATGTGTATGAGGCCTTCTTATCCTGTCCTCCACATCTCTAAACAACTCTTTCATATTTCCATGTCTTTATCTCTCTGCATGCTAGGTATTTTCCTCAGATATATTTTCAAGTTCATTAATCCTCTCTCCAATTGTGTCTAATCTGCTTTTTAATTAATCCTAATTTTAAAAAAAGCAATGAGTACATGTTTTTCATTTCTAGTAATTCTGTTGGGTTCTTTTTGCAACATGAAAGTTATTTTCTCATATTGTCATGTTCTTTCTTGGGTAATTGATTCCCCTTTTATGCATTTATTCATTTCAAGCATATTTATTTGTATAGACTAACAGTTCTGCTACCTGGAGTTCTTGTTGGTGGACGGTGTTAGGGTGTAATACTGCTCTTTGTTGGGGCTCCTGACTGTCGCTCAAGGTGGATCCATTCCTTGTGTGTTTTGTTATATAGGATTATGAGGCTACTTTCAATGGAGCCTTATCTGTGGAGAATCATTTGGGTTGATGGCATATTGCCAAAGAGTCTGGGTTTGCTTTTGCCCAGTTCCCGAGGGCCATCCCTATCCATCCTAACATCATTTTAATATTAGTTTATAGGTTCAGTGATTCCCAGACCATACAGGTAGTACCATGGCACACCCCAACCCCTCACAACACATAGACTTGCCTACATAAATTATCAAGGGACACTCTTTCATCCTCAGAGTTCAGGCCAAGACATACAGCTTTTCTGTTGGCTCCCTGTGTATGATGTTTTTCTCCTGCTGCAAGCACAATGCTTGAAGGATCCTACCTTCATGCACAGTTCTCATGTTTAACTTAGCACAGGCTCAGGGCCTTGTCTTTGGCTGCCATGTGCAGATTCAATCTCAAGTCCTGAGGCTACCCACACCATCTCAAAGCAGCTACAGCCTCAACTTACATGCCAGATACTCTGATTTTTGTTCTATCTTTATTTTATTGGACCCCTTGTGATTCCCCATATTTTTTGCAAGCTCAATTAGGCATTACATATATTTATTTTAATTGATATGTAATTTTAAAAGAATTTTCTGAGGGAGCAAGTTCAGGTTATTTAGCTAAACGTTGCCAGGAACAGAAGTCCCTGCTCTCCTCCTCATTGACTTTATTTCCAGGGCAGCTTTCTCTAAGTGGTGATAACAATGGCCCCTAGCAATTCCAGGCTTATATGAGCCTTAGAGGCAGAGAGACCAGAAGGAGTCATTCCTGAAATAAAATATCCCTCATTTCTGAAACTGGCATAACTGTCATTGGCCTGATATGGGTCACATGCCCACCTACAGTCAATCATAATGATTCAGTCACTCTTCAAGGGAGTGACTAGCATAAGGCCACCCAAGCCCCTAGATCAGAAAAGGGGACAATAGGTGGTTGGCAAGAAAAAACGACAGGTGTCTACCACAGCCCCTTTAAAGTGTGCAGCATTATCTCATGTAATCCTTACCCTGTGAAGTCAGTTTTATAATCATCTTTCCAGTTCCCACAGCTGCTGAGGGGCAACACTAGCACTGGAATGTTGGTCTCCTGACTCAGACCTCAGGCATTTTTAATCAAGGCTAAGCCTCTTGCTCTAGCCCTTAAGGCCATGTATTTCTGAGTCCTTTCTCTGTCCAATCTTATCTGTCACTACCTCTCTACTTGCTAGACTCTGTTTGGTTTCACCCTGTGCTTCACTGAGCTGCTCCTGTACCTGTGATGCCTCCCACAGTTTTTCAACCAAACCAATAAGAGGTTAGACCTGGAAGGAGACCCATCGGTTTCCCTTCCAATGCCAACTCAAATCAGTGGGTAGCATCTACGTGAGACACTATGTTAAGTTAAGGTTGTATCCAGGCTTCGCGGGTGTCTTAGGTCTGGTTGCAGAGCCTGAGACAGGTATTCTTGTGCACATTATTTATCGAGGAAGTGCCTTCCAGAGAAACCTGTAAGAAAGTGAGAGATGCAGAAGAAGACGCTAAACAAAGACATCATTTCAGCTGAAGCCTGGCCTCAGCCTGATCCCATGGGAAGTTCTGGAGTGTGAATGGCACAGCAGGATTGCCCCACAGTGAAGCAAGGCTTTTGTATCTCTGTGTCAGTCAGTCATTGGCCATGGGTTGACCCTGAGGGAAGGTGGGAGGTGAGCGTAACCTCCCAGATACCTCCTGGAAGGGAGACTCATGTTCCTGCTGAGGGATATGCCACAGGGAGGAGTGCAGCTAGGAGCTTGTAGCATCTCACACTCACAACAGCTGGGAGTTGGGAGAACTGGCTGGGCAAAGAGGATCTGGGCAGGACACCAATGGCATCTGTGACAGTGGGAAAGAGTGTTATAATTGATTAATAACAACAGTTATGAAAGCTGTCCTTTGTTGAACACTTCACATGTGTTCTTTCATTTAATCCTGATAATAACCATATAGCTAAGTACTATTATTTCCCAAGATTATAGGTAAGGAAACTGAGGAAGGCCCAGAGTCTCATCACTCAAGTTTACACGGTAGACAGGATTCACATGTACACCAGAGCCTGGACGTAGCACCACCTCATGATGCCTGGTGTGAACATGAGAGACAGGAGAGGCCACACTGGTGGCAGGGACCTACCATCTTGAGGGCATTGAAAAAGCCTGCCTTGTTTGGGAGTTCTCACCATCTAGAAGCCTCTGGCCCTTACATGTGTGCTCTGTGGCTTACCTGCTCATACTGGCCAGGCCACATCTAGAGGATGGTGTCCACTTCCAGAAGCAGACTTTCATGCAAAAGGGAAACTGACCACATGGAGGGCATTTGGGCCTGAGCAACCAGCAGGGTGGTGAGAGATTTGGAAATCATAAACTAGGAAGAATGGGCAAATTGACCAGGGATGTTGAACTTAGAAGGGCAATCTGAGAGGAGTCACCTGTAGCCTTATCTCAAAGCAGAAAAGGACTGTTGAGTTCACAAATTCAAACAGATGGGAGCAGAGAGTCAGAAAGGAGGGATGACTTGTGCCAGGCCTAGTACCCAGTGCCTTTAACCCACAGCCTCTGGTTGAGTAGTGCACTGGTAAATGTTTAGCAATCAGCTCTCTGGGCATAGAAAGCCCTGGTTTGTAGCACTTGTCAGTTGCTGTTATGTACATACTCCCACTGTAGCCAATTTCAAGCTCCCCTTGTGGATTAGTCCATTTTCACTCTGCTGATAAAGACATATGTGAGACTGGGCAATTTACAAAATAAAGAAGTTTAGTGGACTCACAGTTCCATGTGGCTGGAGAGGCCTCACAATCATAGTGGAAGGCAAGGAGGAGCAAGTCACATCTTGCGTGGATGGCAGCTGGCAAAGAGAGAGCTTGTGCAGAGAAACTCCTGTTTTTAAAACCAGCAGATCTCATGAGACCCATTCACTATCATGAGAACAGCATGGGAAAGAACTGCCCCCATGATTCAGTCGTCTGCCACCAGGTCCCTCCCACAACACATGGGAATTATGAGAGCTACAAGATGAGATTTGCTTGGGGACACAGAGCCAAACCATATCACTCCGCCACTGGCCTCTCCCAAGTCTCATGTCCTCACGTTTCAAAACCAATCATGCCTTCCCAACAGCCCCCCAAAGTCTCAACTCATTTCAACATTAACTCAAAAGTTCATAGTCCAAAGTCTCATCTGAGACAAGGCAAGTCCCTTCTACCTATGAGCCTGTAAAATGAAAAGCAAGTTAGTTACTTCCTAGATACAACAGGGATACAGGCATTGGGTAAATACAGCCATTACAAATGGGAGAAATTGGCCAAAACAAAGGAGCTATAGGGCCCATGCAAGTCCAAAACCCAGCAGGGCAGTCAAATCTTAAAGCTCCAAAATGATCTCCTTTGACTCCATGTCTCACATCCAGGTCATGCTGATGCAAAAAAATGGGTTCCCATGTCTTGGGCACCTCTGCCCCTGTGGCTTTGCAGGACACAGTCTCCCTTCCAACTGCCTTCAAGGGCTGGTGTTGAGTGTCTGTGGCTTTTCCAGGTGCACGGTGCAAGCTGTTGGTGGTTCTACCATGCTGGGATCTAGAGGACAGTGGCCCTCTTCTCACAACTCCACTAGGCAGTGCCCCAGTAGGGACTCTATATGGGGGCTCTGACCCCACATTTCCCTTCCACATTGCCCTAGCAGATGTTCTCCATGAGGGCCCTGCCCCTGCAGCAAACTTCTGCTTAGGCATTCAGGCATTTCTATACATCCTCTGAAATCTAGGCAGAGGTTCCCAAACCTCAGTTCTTGACTTCTGTGCACCTGTAGGCTCAACACCATGTGGAAGCTGCCAAGGCTTGGGGCTTCCACCCTCTGAAGCAACAGTCCGAGCTGTACCTTGAACCCTTTTAGTCATAGCTGGAGCAGCTGGGACACAGTGCACCAAGTCCCTAAACTGCACACAGCAGAGGTACCCTGGGCCGAGCCTACAAAACCATTTTTTCCTCCTAAACCTCTGGACCTATGATGGGAGGGGCTTCCAGAAAGGTCTCTGACATGCCCTGGAGACATTTTCCCCATTGTCTTGGGGATTAACATTTGGCTCCTCATTACTTGTATAAATTTCTGCAGCCAGCTTGAATTCCTCCTCAGAACATGGGATTTTCTTTTCTAGTGCATTGTCAGGCTGCAAATTTTCCAAACTTTTATGATCTGCTTTCCTTATAAAACTGGATGCCTTTAATGGCATCCAAGTCACTTCTTCAATGCTTTGCTGCTTAGAAACTTCTTCTGCCAGATACCTTAAATCAACTCTCTCAAAATCAAAGTTCTACAAATCTCTAGGGCAGGAGCAAAAAGCCACCAGTCTCTTTGCTAAAACATAACAAGAGTCACCTTTGCTCCAGTTCTCAACAAGTTCCTCATCTCCATCTGAGACCACCTCAGCCTGGATTTCATTGTCCGTATCACTATCAGCATTTTTGTCAAAGCCATTCTACAAGTCTCTAGGAAGTTCCAAACTTTTCCACATTTTACTGTCTTCTTCTGAGCCCTCCAAACCGTTCCAACCTCTGCCTGTTACCCAGTTCCAAAGCCACTTCCACATTTTTGGGTATCTTTTCAGCAACGCACCACTCTAATGATACCAATTTACTGTATTATTCTGTTTTCACCCTACTGATAAAGACATACCTGAGACTGGGCAATTTACAAAACAAAGAGGTTTAATTGGACTCATAGTTCCACTGGCTGGGGAGGCCTCACAATCATAGCAGAAGGCAAGGAGGAGCAAGTCACATCTTACATGGATTGTGACCGGCAAAGAGAGAGAGCTTGTGTAGAGAAACTCTGGTTTTTAAAACCATCAGATCTCGTGAGACCCATTCACTATAATGAGAACAGCGAGGGAAAGACATGCCCCTATGATTAAATCACATCCCACTGGGTCCTCCCACAACACGTGGGAGTTATGGGAGCTACAAGATGAGATTTGGGTGGGGACACAGACCAAACCATGTCACCATGTGACATCATTGAATACAGAGTTGGGAGGGACGTGCACAATTGGCTATTGTGAGTAGGCGGAAACCGGCTCCTGCACACCGGTGATTCCTACTCCAGAGCTCATTCTGCAGGACTAGTGGTTTCCCAACACTAAGCCCATAAGACTCCCACCAAAAGAGCACTCTAGGGTTACACAAGTTCAAAAAGCAGACCATTCTGAATCCCATTCTCAGAGCACGGCTTGGTGTGTTTGCTTATTAAAGGTCCTCAAAGTCCTGCCATAAACAAACCTGTTTAACTTCAACTAGCTCAGCTTTCCCCAAACCTGTTTGTCTGCCCAACCATTTCATCACATACCTTTTAGGACTAGTATCCTCCAGAACTAGTATTCAATGGAACACCCTTTGGAAAATGGCAAAGAGAACGATGTCTTCACATAAACAAAGGGCCATTGCTGAGAAAGAGGTTCAACTTGCTGTTCTATTTTGCCTCAGAGGGTGGAAATAGAAGCAATGAGTTGAAATTAGAAGGAGGCAGAATCAAATTGGTACGAGGAAGTCTTTTCTAATAGTAAGAACCATCCATCATTAACACAAGGTTAGACACTGAAGGAAAGAGGTCCACATTGCAAGAGACGGTGAATGTCTGTCTCTATGGCAAAGGACACCAAGAAGGTGCTTCCTGCAGCAGGAAGGCAGCTAGGAAAGATTCCCTCCAATGACTCTCTGTGAAGTAAGTACTAGGATTCTAGTAACTTGAAGTGCATAGGCCCTGTCTGGGGCCTCAGAACAGGGCCTGTCAGATGGTCGCCTCTATGTGGAAATAGATATTCCAACTCTATTCATGTGCATGATATAATTTTAGAAGGGCGAGGATGTCGTCACTTCCCAAAATATACTTCTTGACGGTCTTGTTTCTGCATTAATTCACCATTAAAACTTTTCTTCTTTAGCTTAATACTTTATTCTGTGTTCAAATGCACATTCTCATGGGAAAAAAGAGTGGTTCAATAGAAGCTACTGTGGGCCCATCATATCCCTGTGGTGTAGTGAGGTTCTCCGTCCCTCCCAGAGAGCAGGTCTTGTCTGGAGAGGTAGAGCTGGAGGGGAGGGGGTTGAGGCAGGGGTATTGGGTGTCTGGGGTGGGGGCTAGAGAGCAGGAAAGACTGTAAGCCAGGAGGGAGTGGGAGTGCCAAAGCCAGTCTTGGCTGCCTTTATGAATGTGTTTGGGGCTGGGCCTGTCCTAGAGATATCCCAAAACTATTTTAGGAGGCAGTAAATTTAGCTGGTGGCTGGTTTGCAAATCATCCAGATATGTTGGTATTTCTGATGAGACAATCTGTCTCGAGAGGAGACATTTAGAGCCTTTACAACCAAAAGGGATGTGCCTTTTTGAACACGGCCATGGAAAAAGCACAACCACCGCCGCCTATTTTGTTGGCCAAACCCAGCAGTGGGTAAAATGTGCATGATCACGGGAGTTGCATTTGTACAGAGCCTTTCAGGTGAAAACCTGCTTCTAGATTTATTATCTACAGAATTCTCAGAACAGCCTAAAAAAGCAAGTGGGCCAATACCCATCTTGTAGATGAGTAGACTGAGGTGCTTACCTAAAGTTACCTGGGGAGCAGATGGCAGAGCGTGACTTCAGCCCAAGATTTTCAAATTTCAAGCCCCATTGTAAATAATTTTTTAAAAAATTAATTTGCATTTTAACAGAGTAATAAAAGTATTATTTAAACTGTCAAATAGCTGCACGAGGCTTTTAGTGAAAAGTATCCATCTCCTGCCCCATGCCCTCCTCAAAAAATTGAGTGCCTCCTGATTTCCCAAAATCTAGAAGCACTCAATTTCTATTTTTAGCTATATCATCTTATATTTATGTTCATATTTATAAGATGTTTACACTTTTGGTTCCTGATTTTTAAAAAACTGAAATGTAATCTGAAACCTTCCATCTATGAAACACGTGGACTGGATTTTTATACCCCATTCACACAGACACACACACACATACACACTCATACACACTCTCACAAACACTTCCCTCTTCTCTTCTGCACATCACAATATGGTCACATCACAGTTTTTATTTCGGATATGGCAATTTTAATTTCCAGAATCTCTTTGATCGCTCCTTTTCTATAGCATTCTGTTTTTGTTGCACGGTGGATATATCTTTGCTTATCTCTCTGAGATTTTACTTTATTATTTGAAGTTCCATTTCCTCTCTATGGTCTTTGTCTTTCTCCTGAGTTCATTTTCCACTGGTTTGCATTGGGATCTATCTTTCAAGTTAGAGATTGTCCTCAAATATCTGACAATCCTTGTCTTTATATTCATATTTACTCATAAGGTGCAAAAAGGTGTTTAGAAGCTCTTAGTGTCTGGATGGGTGGTTTCACTATAGAATGTCTGCAGTAAGTTCACTGGGGAGTAGTGAAGATGGGGTCTGGGTATGGAGTGAAGGATCTGGGATTGGGCAGAGGGAGGAGAGGAACTACAGGCACAACAAAAGACTCAGACAATCCCATGGGGATTTCTAGAGCTGGAAAAGTCCTGCAGAATTTCCTTGCCCTATGGCAAGAAGGCTGGGCCTTTACGTATCCTCAGTGATCAGTCACTTGAAGTGGGCTCCCTCCAGAGAAAGGAGTGACTTTGGCAAGAGGATTCCCTTTAGCTAAGAGCAATTCCTGGAGAGAGACTTGAGCTGAGAGCCACCAACACTCCCAACAAGTTGGAAAAATGAGTGCCTCGATCCTGAAGGGACAATGTGGGCAACACACCGCAGCAACCACCCAGGGCTCCCTAGCACTACTCCAGTAACCCTTCCTTCACATAACCTTTTATGATTCCGGTTGGCCTCTTAGCTGGGGAAACACACTGGAGGAAAGTTAATGTGAAGAATAGTCCCTCATTCCTGCCTCCAGCACTGAAGCTGGTCTCAATGCTGTAATGATACCCCTCATTTTTTTTTCTATTCTCTATTCTAGATGAGCATTGATGTTGGACCAGGTAAGTAACTTAGTGAAGTAATCTAGACCCTATTTCCTGAGGGACCTGAACCCATGTCTCATGCCCTTCTCAAATTGTGGATGCTGCATGTGTCCATTATCAGTCAAAGTGGGCAACAGAGTACCAAGAGACTACCCAGTATATCACTTGAGTGACAACTGTATCCTTCCCTGCCTCAATTTTAGAAGAGTAGCCCTACCCTCTCCTGAGTCAGCCACTCCTGCCAGGATGGTGACTCCTTTTTTTGCCTACTAGTGCCATAGCACAAAGAGCTCAAAGTGACTAGGCAGTAGTCATAGATTAAAGTTTGATGGAATACTTGCTGGAAACAAGGACCTGAGACCCACTGGCCTTAAGTCATAGGGAAACCTTCCATATGGATCACTAGGAGAGATGATAGACAGGTCCTCTGCTATGACAACTTGTTGGTTCTCAAAATCATCAATTCCACCTACTGGGGATACAGTCACTACTCAGAAAGAGACCATATATGTCTTTTGCCTTGGGTCACTTCTCTGTCCAAAGTAAATGGCCAAATGCATAACCTAAAGTTCTGCCCGCTAGGAGGATTTGCCCTCACAGCTAAATTTGAATTAAGCTATAGTGCAACAGGTGTTGTGCTTCTTTCTTAGTGATGAGAGATGCCAGATGCACTATCTAGTCCTTTACTTTGAAGGAAATGCCCCAGATCACTGAAGCCCTAAAATCTGCTGTGGCAATACTCTGAATCTTGGTAAGCGTTATCCCCCAAGCTCTGGAGTACATGCATTACCAAGGTCTCCAAAATTCTTGCTTACCCAGTCTGATTAACATCATGTCATCAAGAAGGTGGCCCAAGGTAAAGTTCTGTGGACTCTCCAGAGGTCTGGGTCCCTTTAGATTCAATTGTGACAGAGGGTGGGCTGCTTTGGGGAAAAAATCATAAATGTGTACTGTTATCCATCCAAAATGAATGTAAAATATTTCCAATTCTCCTTTATAGGACTAGAAAAAGAATTCACCAAATCAATGGCCATATATTAGTGCCTGAAGCAATATTAATCTGCTCTAACTAAAATTGCATTTGGCACAGTAGCTTCAATTGGAGTTATTACCTGTTTGAGTTTAAATATAGTCCACCAAGAACTGTCTGGTTTATGTAGGGGGTTAAGTCATTGAATTAAAATGAGATATGTTGGAGCAAGACGGTGGAATAGGAGGTTCTATTCCTCAAATCCCCACAAAAGCACCAATTTTAACAACCACCCATGGGCCAGAATACCTTTATGGGAACCCAGGAGTTCAGCTGAGAGGTTCCAGCACCTTAGTGGAGCAAAATATCCAAGAATAGATTCACTGAAGAAGGTAAGAACAGTTTCACTTAATGAAACTGTTCACTTCTCCCCAAAGTGGTACAGCTCTGTGCCTAGAGAAACTCCCTCAGCCCATGATTTCTCCTATGGGGGAAAGTGAGAGCAAAGTGAGCACCCAGCTTCTTCAGCATTACGAAATCCTCAACAGTAGACCCACTTCTGTCTTGCCTCACCCAGAACACAGAGGAGACTGGCACAGCTGAAGCATCTAGGGGCAACTAGGAGCAGGGTAAAAATGAGGGAGCTTATGACCGTTGGTGCACAAATCTCAACAACCGGCCTCAGATCCTACTGGCTGGTTTGTGAAGTCTATCAGGAGCATTGTCCATGAACTCCAAGTGGCACCTCACCTGCAGACACTCTGACTAGCTCATGTATGCTCCCAGCACTCCACGTCCCACATCCCTCATGGTAGGCATCCTGCACTACCATACAAATGCCACAAACAAGGTTCTCCAGGTGGTACATGCCTCCATAGAAACCATACAGATATCAGCAGCCAGATTGACTCTGCTGGATTGGGAGAAGGTGCACAACCTTAAACACTTCAGGACACTGCCCTAGGGAAAATAAACAGGAGGCTCTCACCACCTAGCCTGGCTTTGTGGAATCAAGAGAAGGCACACAATCCTAATACTTCTCCCAAAGGAGGGAACAAGAAGAGTGAAGTAGGCACTTCCACAGAGAAGGTTTAAAGGGTCCCCAGAACCTCTAGTCAGGCTGACTAGTGAAGGTTTTTCTCTCCCACAGCCAGTCAGTAAAGAATGGAGGAGATGACCATTTTCTCAAATGCAAAGACAGAAACACAAGACTTCAAGAAACATTAAAACTCAAGAGAAAAGGACACCACTAAAAGAACAAAATAAAGCACCAGTGGCTGACACCAAAGAAATGGAAATCTGTGCATTTTCTGACAAAAAGTTCAAAATAGTTGTCTTAAAGAAGCTCAGTGATCTACAACAGAACACAGATATACAACTAAATGAAATCAGGAAAATAATACATGAAGAAAATGGGAAGTTCAACAAAGAGATAGAAAGATTAAAAAAAAGAACCAAACCCTGGAGCTGAAGACTATGACTCAACTGAAAATTCAATAAAGAGCTTCAACAGCAGATTTAATCAAACAGAAAAAAGAACCAGTGACCTTGAAGACAGAATATTTGAAATTATCCAGTCAGTGAAACAAACAAACAAATAAAAAGAATGAAAAAGAGTGAAGAAAGCATATAAGACCTATGGGATACCATCAAGCCAACCAATTGTGGGACTTCCAGAAGGAGCAGAGAAAGAGAAAAAGTCAGAAAGCTTATTTAAAGAAATAATGACAGAAAATCTCAAATCCGGACAGGAAAGGAAACATCCAGATCCATAAAGCCCAAAGAACTTCAAGTACATTAAATATGAAGAATTCTTCACCAAAAGACATTATAATCATGTTGTCAAAAGTCAATGACAGAGAGAAATTTGAAAGCAGCAACAGAAAAGCACTTCATCACATACCAGGGAATCTTTATAACACTATCAGTGGATTTCTCAGCAGAAACCTCACAGGCCAGGAAAGAATGGGATGACATATTCAAGATGCTGAGAGGAAAAAAAAACTGCCAACAAAGAACACTATACCTGGCAAATATGTCCTTCACAAATAAAGGCGAGGTAAAGACTTTCCCATAAAACAAAAGCCGAAGGAGTTCACCACTACTTCCTTACAAGAAATGCTAAAGAGAGTTCTCCCAATTGAGACAAGTGTATGTTAATAAGCAACATAAAAACATATGAAAGTTTAAAACTTCCTTATAAAGGTAAGGATATGTGTAACCCAGAATACTCTAATACTATAATGGTGATACATAAATCACTTTTAACTCTAGTCCAAAAGTTAAAAGACAAAGATACCAATAACTGTAGCTATAATTATTTGTTAATGAATAAACAATATAAAAAAATGTAAATTGTGACATCAATAACATAAAATGTGTGTGTGAAGGGTAAAAGGTTAGAGTTTTTATGTAATCAAAGTTAAGTTGCTATCAACTTAAAATACACTGTTGTAAATATGTAAATATGTTTTATGTAAGCCTCATGGTAAGATAAATTTGTAGTAGATATACAAAATATTAAAAAAAGAATATCACTACAAAAAATCATCAAATCACAAAGGAAGATGGAAGAAGTAGGAAAAAAACAACTACAAAACAGAAACATTTAACAAAATGGCAACAGTAAATCTTTACCTAGCAATAATTACTAGGCAAATTATAATGGATTAATTTCTCCAATCCAATGACATGTAATGGCTGAATGGTTTTTTATTAAAAAAAAGCTCCAACTAGATGCTGCCTACAAGAGACTCACTTTAGCTTTAAGGACACACATAAGCTGAAAGTGAAGGGAAGGGAAAAAATATTCCATGCAGATGGTAACCAAAAGAGAGCAGGGTGGCTATATTTAGAAACAATGGACTTTAACGCAAAAACTGTCATGCGATACAAAGAATATCATTATATAATGATAACATAGTCAATTCATCAAGAGTGTAAAACAATTATAATATATGTGCATCCAATGTTGGAGCACCTAACTATACCAAGCAATTATTAACAGAACTGAAGGGAAATGTAAGTAGCAATACAATAATAGCAGGAGACTTCAAACCCCACTTTCGACAATGATAGATTATCCAGACAGAAAATCAAGGACACAATGGACTTGAACAACAGTATACACCAAAGGAACCTAACAGACACATATAGACCATTTCATCTAACAGCAACAGAATACACATTCTTCTGAAGTGCACATGGAACATTCTCCAGGATGGATCATATCTTAGGGCACAAAATAAGTTTTAACAGAGTTAAGAAGATTAAAAATCTATCACATATCTTTCCTAACCACGAAGCTATGAAACTAGAAATCAATAACAGGAAGAAAATTGAGAAACTCACAAATGTGTGGAAATTAGGCAACACCCCTTTGAACAACCAATGGGTCAAAGAAAAAAAATCAAAAGAAAAATAAAAAATGATCTTGAGATAAATGAAAATTGAAACTCAACATACCAAAACTTATAGAATGCAGGAATTCTAAGAGAGAAGTTTATAAACTCTTACATTAAGAAAAAAAGAAAGAGCTCAAATAAATAACCTAAGTTTATACTTCAAGGAACTAGAAAAAAAGAGAACAAACTAATCCTACCATTAGGAGAAAGAAAATAATAAAGGTTAGAGCAGAAATGAAATAGAGATTAGCAAAACAATAGAAAAGATCAACAAAATTAAGAGTTTGTTTTTTGAAAAGATAAACAAAAATCAATAAACTAGGCTAAGAAAAAAAGGAAAAAATTCAAATAAATAAAATTATAAATGAAAGAGAAAATATTACAACTGATACCACAGAAATACAAAAGACCATTAAGAGATTACTATTAACAATTATGCACCAACAAATTGGTTATCCTAGAAGTAATGGATGCATTCCTAGAAACACACAACCTGCCAAGACTGAACCATGAAGAAACAGAAGATCTGAACAAAACAGTAATGATTAGGGGATTTAAATCAGTAATCAAAAATCTCCCAACAAAGAACAGCCCAGGACCAGGTGGCGTCACTGGTGAATTCTATTGAACATGTAAAAAAGAATTACCACCAATTTTTCTCAAACTCTTCCAAAAAAATTGAAGGGGAGAAAGCACTTCTAAACTCATCTCATAAAGCCAGCATTACCCTGATGCCAAAGCCAGGCAAAAATACTACAAGAAATGAAAATTATAGGCCAATATTTCTGATGAACATGTATGCAAAAATCCTCAACAAAATACTAGCAAACTGAATTCAACAGCATATTAAAAGGATCATACACCATGATCAAACAGGATTCATCTCTGGGATGCGAGAATGTTTCAACATATGCAAATCAACAAATGTGATACATCATATTAACAGAGTTAAGGATAAAAACCATATGATCATCTCAACAGAATCTCATAGGCTGTCCTCCCTGAAAAGTTCTCCCTTTTCTCTATTGTCTCTAGCCTTGGGCACGTTACCAAAGTTTCTACCTTCCAGCCCTACCATGATCCAGCCTAGTCAGCCCCAAAATAATTGTTTCTCAAAGAGAAGTACAGTATATCCTGGGGTGTGTGCCATTGTTTCAGGGGGAAACAAAACCACAGGATACATATGGGGCATTATCTTGGGTGTCAAGGCCCGCCCCATTGGAATAAATAGAATTTTGTATATATTTTCCACCCAACAAATATATATTGCATCCTAGAGCTGCAGCAGTGGGACATAGATTCTCATATTCAAAGATGGAACTTTGGGCTGGGCGCGGTAGCTCATACCTGTAATCCCAGCACTTTGGGAGGCCGAGGTGGGTGGATCACCTGAGGTCAGTAATTCGAGACCAGCCTGGCCAACATGGTGAAACCCCCATCTCTACTAAAAATACAAAAATTAGCCGGGTGTGATGGTGGGCACCTGTAATCCCAGCTACTAGGGAGGCTGAAGCAGGAGAATTGCTTCAACCCAGGAGGCGGAGGTTACAGTGAGCCGAGGTCCTGCCACTGCACTCCAGCCTGGACAACAAAAGCAAAACTCTGTCTCAAAAAAAAGAAAAAAACAGAGATGGAACTTTGAATACCTTTTCCCATGGCGAAGCAATTACACATGGTAGGCAGGATCTAATCATTCATTGATTCAACAAGGATTCATTGCATGCCCTGTGTATGCCAAGCACTATGATAGACTAGAGCTAAATAGGAAACAAAACTGTTGGGGCCCCTGCCCTCATGGCACTTCCATTCTAGTGGATATAAGTAGTGACTACTTTAGAAAGAGAATTACCCACTTGGCTGCATAAATGCTCCTTTGAATGAGTAAAATAAAATAAAAACTAATTTTACAAAAAAGAGTCTCATTAGTAGTCACATCATCTCTTGTAAAAGAAAAGAAAAGCTGAGAAATTCTAAAAGGCCATTAAGAGGCCAAAACCAAGAAACATAACCCTGTAGACTAGAGATTCCTAATGAGTTTAAAAAACATAACATTGGAACTCTTCAGGGAAATGGTTAAGTCAGAGCCAAAGGCATTGACACTGAATGAAGAGGAGCCTTAGCTAATGAAAAGGGAGCAGAGAGTGGAAGAAGCCAGGGAAGGAAGGTGACTAGAAATCCAGTGCTGGACTCAGAGAAGGGAGGCGGAGGCGAGAGCTCACCGACAGCATTGTTGGTATGCAAAGCACGGCAGCCTCCTCCCAGGAGTTGGGGCAGCAGCAGCAGAGAGGGAGCCAGGAATTCAGAGGGAAAGCAGGACCTGCAGGATGGCCCCTGGGATCACATTCGGGACTTCTGACTTCTGGAGAAGACTGCACCCCAGGTGGCCAGGGACAAGGCCAGCCTGATATTAGGGTGTCACCAGGTTCTGAGGCAAAGTTGGTAGAGTTTCTTTCACTTTCTCCCTCCATGCCTTTGCTCCCTCCTCTCTGTCCACCTGGCTCTCCCTGACACTGCTATCTTGGTCCAGGTGCAAATTGTTGGGTTTCCTCTTTGCGGAGTGAGGGGCAGCTGAAGCTAATTGCTGAGAGTAGGGAGCAAGGATTTGTTTTTAATGCCAGGTAGAGAGAAGCAGAGAAGACACTGGGCCATGGGACAGGAACAAGACTGGGTGTACATCTTGCAGCATCTCCAGACTCACTCAGAACAAACAGCTGCTGCTCATAGTAAGACAGGCCCAAGACTTTGCCTCTTTGGGGTTCAGAAGTAGTTATTAATAGTTCTAGGCTGGGCCACAGGATGGCTCAGCAAGACCCAGGACAACTTCCAATGATTCCAGCCATTGCCTAGTGCATGCCTGCTCTGTGCCCAGCCCAGTCCAGGCATGGAGGAATACCAAGTGCTCACAAACTAGCCAGGGCCACAGCCAGACAATCGCCCTCCTGGGTGACAGTGGACCCCCTCTCCCGGCTGCTTTCGATGCACCACAGATGAAGCCCCTCTGGGGGCCCCTTGGAGCCCCTCCAACCACCTCACACACAGAGGGCCTCAGGGCTCTGAGCCAGGACCCCAAAACCCTCATGCCCCCACCACCACAGCCCTCCCCCAAAGCAGGTGCTCCCCGTGGCGACAAGGACGGCGATGATTCGGGTGGGAACACATGAGTTATGGTGTGCCAGTGCCTCACAAACAAGTTTGGTGCCCGCCTGTCTTCATGAATCACGGAGGAGCCTAATCCTTCATTAGAACATTCAGCAGTAATTGCTGGCGAAATGCCACTTGCCTTTTTCTCATTTTAACAAAACATTTATGCATGAAAGATTTAATGCCAGGTATCAAGCATATCATTGTAAATTTACCACTAATTAAGCCTAATTAAAATAATTAAATGGCTGTGGAGTCACCATGTGAATTAAAATCACTTCTCCTCTGTACTAAGCTGTTTCTCACTAGCCAGGCCCCGGTTTGGAAGACAAATACATATCTCTCTGTCGATTTTTCCCGTCGCCCTGCTCAGCTTCATGCGGGGTATTTGCATGGCCAAGGATATTTGATAATTAAGATAATGCTGTGATTTGACGGTGCGGTTTTTCAATTTCAGGACCCCAGGAGATTTTCCTTTATCTCGGTGAAGTATAGACAATTTGACAAATCTGTTGCTTGGAGCAGTCGCTAGCGTTTGCATATTCATTACTCATTGGATTTTTAATCAAAGTAGCTGATGGACCCCTTGCACCACAAATAACTTGGTCATGAATAATTTATCCGTGCTTACTGGCTGGGCCATGCAGCCTCCCGGCGCCCCGGGGCCCCTGATTGGCTCGCCAGGGCTGGCCTGCCCTGCGCAGCACATGGCCACTCCAGATGTTTGGGTATCCATATGTGCACAGCTCATCAAAAACGGCAACGGCCCGCACCCGAGGGCCTCGGCGGTCCCCAGATAGGCCATCTGGAGTTGGAGGGAAAACAAACCTCGGCGAATTGTGGGATGCGTAGTTATCTTCAGTGGCGCCCGGAGGTGGCCACGGAGGGGTGCGCAGGGGGCGCGGGAATGCGACGGAAACCCAGAGTCAAGGCCCGCATCTGGGGCTTCAGGAAAGCTTGCTGTGTCCAAAGCTACAGGCAGGGCCGTCATGGGGACATTGTCTGGCCCTTTTCAGATCATGTGGGTGGTCAGCAGCTGCCTCTCCTGCTTCTACGGCCCCTGTGGGTACAACCCCCGACTCCCAGCCCCCACCCACCATATACACACATCTTCCCGCTGGGCCCTCTCCTGCCTAGGAACCCAGCCTGATGTGCTGCTCCCCAGCTCTCTGACTTTGCACATGCTGCCCCTTTACGTGCCATGTCCCTCCTCCTCTGTGCTACCCCAGCAGGGCTGGTTTAGAATTTTCCTGGGGAGGCCTGGCCCCTAATCATGTCAAACCCATTCAATTTACCCACATGCCACATTAAATATATTTTATATATAAGTGTGGAGGAGTTGAGTGGAGATGCAGTTGACTAGTTGACATAATAGCACGTTTTGTAGGCATTTAATGGACCATTTACTCATTTTGATTTTGCAGTTGTCTTTTCCTATGGAGCCCGTGGCGCTGGGCTCCCCAGGCCTCAGGCGTTTCTGCAGTCTCCTGACAAGGCTGTCTGCCTGGCATTGGCCTCCATGCCATGTGGTCTCAAGGCCGTGGTCTGCACGTTAGCCTTTGCCAGTTCTGTAAGGCCCAGCCTGTAGTACCTCAGCCAGCGAGCCTTCCTCTGTGACCCCCATGGCTTAAAGCTGAGGGTTGCCCCTCCCTGGTGCTTCTGGAACACCCCTATCTCCATTCCAGCCCATCACCCATATGGTGGTTGCTAGTTGGCATGATTTCCTCTCCACTAGACAGTGAGCTTGGGAAGGCAGGACGGTGATGTGCTCATCTCTGTCCCTCCCACCTCTCTCAGTGCCTGGCCCATACCATGTGCACAATAAATGTTTGATGAATAAATGAACTTTGGGCTTCATGTTTCAAAGAACAGGAACAATGACCCTGAAAAGAAAATTAAGGCAGAGCAGCAATCTGAAGGGGTGTGCAGGAGGCAGCTGGGGACAATCCTTCTGGCCTGGCACCAGAGCTTTTGTGCAAGGTGAGGAGGAGAGCACTTCTTCTGCCCCTCCTGCTGTTCCCCTCGCTCACTTCTCAGCTGACAGCCTCTTGGGTGTTGATGCAGGGAGGGTCCCGTGGACCCCAGATCTGCTGCATCACACAGGGTGTTCTCCCCCACCATGAGGACTCTGAGATCAAAGGAACAGACCCTCTGCAGGAGACTGATCTGACAAAGGTGGACCTCAGTCACACACACCCCTCTTTAAGTCTGGGTGTTGGTAATCACACACCTCTTGTATTGCAGTAGGTGAGATGTCCTCGCTGTAATTACTTCCCCCACAATCTAGCTCCGCACCCTCCAGCGTGCTGGTGAGGAGCTGGGAGAAGACTGCAGACTAATTATCAGGCAGGCAGGAAAACCAGCAGGCTGTGCTCTCCCTGTGACAATTAAAGTGAAAATATTTCATGATATTTTTAATATTTTTTTAAGGTTGGAGGAAAGGTGTGATTGTACTCTGTGTGTGTGTGTGTGTGTGTGTGTGTGTGTGTGTGTGTGTTGTGAGAAAGAAGGGAGGGAAGAAACAGAAACAGCCTGAGTCATAAGCAGATGCTTCCTGGAGCCTGTCAAGGATGGTAATGACCCCCTCCCGCCCCGACTGGCTGCTGTCTGGGCCCACCTGAGAGGAGGCTGCTGACAGCACACACATGCCCGCCTCATTTGCAGGCTGGAATTCCGCACTGAAGCCCACTCAAGTTTCATGTCATTGGAGAGACCTAAGGTGGTACAAGTCCTGGGGTGGGTGGGCCCACTGCAGACAGGGCGGGCCACCCTTGGGCAGGCCACCCTTGGGCAGGCCTGGGATACTGGAGACCTCAAAGCCCCTCAGCTAGAGACTCTAGCCAGAGTTTCGGAGGGACACAGACAGGAGCAGCCAGAAACAGAGGCACAGCAGAGGCGGGGGGGCAAGGGAAGAGAATGACATTTAGAACAGCAAAGTGTTTTCCCTTGGAGGGCCAGGAGACACCAGGGGGCTTAAAGGGAGCACATGCTCACTCCTGAACCTTTCTCATGCCACCCTTGCCTTCCTCAAGGAGCCCACACACCAAACAATGCATATTAGACCAGACATGTCAATCCCCTTCAGGGACTGTGGCTTGACCAAGGGCCTTTCCTGATCAAATGCTAAGAGGGCCAGGGGAAGGAGGCTGGAGAACTCCTGCCCCAGATGCCACTAGTGTCCAGACTGGGGTGAAATCAGGATGTTTGGGGCCGGCAGTCAGATACCCTCTCTGGAATTTGCATGAAGGCACATTGGAGACTCTGCCAGGTGAGGCCAAAAGAAAGACATGAAGACCCAGAGAAAGGAGCAGTCACATTATTGGTGGAGCTTGGAGCAAAAATGTGCCAATTCTGTGAGCACAGAGACAAAATTAGCTAGTCCCTGGAGACAGCTGGGCTGCAGGAGATGGTTATTCCTGGGAGCTATAAGATCGCCATTTCTCTCACCACTGTGGTACACACGGGCATCCTTAATGGCAACTCTGTTCCTCGCCCTCTAAAGCGTGAAGCCCTCACTGCTTAATGCCACCTCTCTAGGGGTCCTCCCACACCACGGGCTCTAGTCCTAGAAGATCTCCTTCCCCACGGACTGCCAGGATCACACACTGGTGCACCAGGGCACAACAGCAGTCCAAGTGCACACAACCACAGTGCAATTACGCACCTTGCTCAGAATTCCCCAGCCAGCCATCTGCAGCCATAACCATTCTTGGGATACATTTCAGATCCTGGAATTACTAGTCTTATTTGTTTATGTTGTAGTCAGAGCAGTAACTTGTACTCCCAATTCCTTGAAAACTAACTTTATTTTCCTTGTCTTTGTGTTCTGTTGTTACATGTGCAAAGTCTATGTTTAATCATTATAATTTTCAACTACAAATACAAGTAATATTTTTATGTACTCTTCCAATTCAACAAACGTGTATTGAAGACCTGTAGGATGAAAGATGATGATGATGATAAGAATACTGACCTTTATTGAGCATTACTCATTTAATTCTCCTAAAGACCATGTAGATTGTACCATTATAATGCCAATTTTGACCAGTTTACAAATGAGGAAACTGAGGTCACACTGCGAGTAAGTAGAAAAGCCAGGATTTGAACCTTGAAAGACTGACTGCAGAATGCATATACTTAATCACAATTAGAAATAGAAAATAAAAAGCGTATAAAGAGCTTGCCATCCAATAGCAGAAACAGACTCATAAACAAATCATTTAAGTTCTTCTGTTGATAGGAAAATCATATGCACCCTAGACTTAAAAGCTGGAGCTTTCTGTAATGTTTACTTCCACTAATACAATGTTCATTTTTCCTGACAAACTTATCATAGATGACAAATGTAATAACCAAGACTACTGAGTGTAAAAGTGCCTCTATTGTGAGCTCTTCGTTTCTCTTGTGATGAGACCCAACTTCTGTGATAGGAGTGGTAGGAAGTAAAACACGAAAGCTCCGCGTTGCTGGTGTCTGTTGTACATACACAAGTCGGAAATTGATTCTCAGCTATCTCATATTGTTTTGTCTCATATCCCCAGGGAAACCGTAAGCTCCTTGAAGGCAGAGTCTGTGACTTTTCATTCGTTAATTCTTTTGTCCACAAAAGAAGAAAAAAACATTACATTGAACCCCTATTAGGTGCCAGGCATCAGCTAGCGGTCAGAGGGTGAAGTATAGACAATTTGGCAAGGCTTAAAACTTTACCTTGTGACAGAAAACCAAACACCGCATGTTCTAACTCATAGGTGGGAATTGAACAATGTGAACACTTGGACATAGGGTGGGGAACATCACACACTGGGGCCTGTCATGGGGTGGGGGGAGGGGGGAAGGATAGCATTAGGAGATATACCTAATGTAAATGACGAGTTAACAGGTGCAGCACACCAACGTGGCACATGTATACTTATGTAAAAAACCTGCACGTTGTGCCCATGTACCCTAGAACTTAAAGTATAATAATAATAATAATAATAAATAAACATACCTACTATTTGGCCCTTTAAAAAAATAAAAACTTGACCTTGTGTTCTGAGGGCCTTGTATTCTGAAGAGGAGACGTGGGTAAAGAAACAAAGGGTCACAGCATAGCCAGGGCAGTCCCAGGTGTAAGAAAAAGCCCCAAAAACCCAGGGGTGGGAATGTCCACCTCTGCCTGGGAGGTGGCTGTAACCAGTTCCATACAGCAGGGTTTCGGTTACTATAAAGATACAAAGGAGAGAAGAACAATAAAGAGTGGCCAACCATCCAGTGGCAACAACATTCACAACCCTTACATGCCATTAAGCAGGTTTGATAAAACTGTAGTTCATAAACTACAGTTGATGAACACATTCCACTGTACACTAGGTCTTAACACAAAGTCTTACTCTTCTCTCTCTGATCCACACTTCGGACCACTTTCTCCCTCCTTTATTCTATTTCTCAGGACCCTTTCTCTGCCTAGCTGTTTCTCCCCTCTTCTTCATCTTATCATCTTTTTCCTCTAATGATCCTCTTTGTGTCCATCTTTCCCTTTCCTTTCTTAACTGTGGTAAATTGGACATGATAGGAAACTGAGATTCTGAAAAGAATCAGGAGCCCTGAAGACTAAGCCAAGATCCTAGCCTGGTTCTATTCAGGTTTCCTCCTTCCCGCTCCCAGGTTCTACCACCTCCTCCTGGAAATTTTTTCACATTAGTCAAGAAAGTGTCCGAGTACTTCACATGTGAGTGAGTTGTCACCTTCAATACTAGCCTTGCATTCCACCCTCTTTCATCGGCCAAAACTTCATGAGCAGTGCTAAGTATATCCATTTGTGTATTCATTCATCCCTCTATTCATTCACTCATTAGGATATTCTGAATCCCTGTGCTAATTGCCACGGAGGTTGAGATGAATGCAGTCCACTCATGACACATAAAAACATAAATGCACAATGACAAAATGATATAATATAAATCAGAGTTGAAAGGGTCTGTAGAAAAGGAGTCTATGCAAAGAGATTGAAGAGCAAACAGGTAGAATAAGAATCAAGAAGGAATGAGGTCATAGAAACCAAGAAAAGCAATGCTTTGGAACAGAGGAGGTGCCAATGGGGTGAAATGTAGCTGAGTGGCCCAAGAGATTGAGAATAAAGAAGTTTCCCATGGATCTGGCTACAGAAAGTTGTTGATGACTGTGGTGTCACGGTCTCAGTGAGAGGAAAGCTAGGTGGTGGTGGTAGGTCAAGGAGGAAGTGTAGACTGCAGAAGTGGAGAGCTTTTTGTGCACATAGCTCTACCGAAATGTTGCTGTCAAGGAAGGAGAAAAATAGAGCAGTAGCTGGAAAGGGACGTGGAGATGGATGGAAGAGATTTGAGCATCATGGCAGATCTCGCTGCCTCCACTAGGGACAGGATGAAGAGAAAGCCTGTCAGTTTCCCTGTATCCTTCACTTCAAAGGGTACCAGGCCCTTCAACAACACCTGTTATGAAGAGAGTAGGCAGACGGGCTTCTGCCTACTAGATTTGTCCCTAGAGTTACTGGGAAAGCTGGGGCCAGTTGACTCCCCCAGCTGCTGGATCCAGTGAGTGTATGTCATGGTTGGTTCCAAAGGGCACAGGACCTAGAAACAAGTAGGCTGGGGAGTTGGCAGCCCTTCCACATCCAGGGTAGACTCTGACACATCTCAGCTAATTGGTGTGAACCATTCTGAAGGAGTGGGCTTTGCACTGGGGAGCTTCCTCCCCAGACCCCATTAATTTGTCTAGTGTAGTCGGTTCATTCCATGTACAGGCCTGTGGATCATCACGTAGGAACTTCCCTTCTGTTTCAGTCTCACTGTGGCTCACTAAGAGTTAGGCAAAGGGTCCCTGGAGCCAGCAGATGCAGAGTCCTGCCCCTTTAAGCCACAGAGCTGGTAAATGGTTGGTTGAGTCAATGAAAGCAAGAAGCTATGGGGAGGCCATAGGACAGGGGCCTGGGAATGGCCTCCAGCATGGGTGTAGGAATGTGCTCACATGAATGTGGGTGGTTAACGTGAAATGCCAAAACCACAGAATAGAAATGCACCAGATCTAAGGGGCCTCTTTTTACAGATGAGGAAACTGAGGCCCAGAGAGGGGAAATAATTGGCCTGAGGTTGTACAGATATTTGTGGCAGAGCTAAGTTTAACCCAAGCCCTTGAACTGTTGGCTTCTAGCACCATCCGTGCCAACCACCAGAGGCATGGCCCTTCAGCCTCCAACGGCTTCCTTACAGGGCTGGGTGTAAAAGTACATTTGAATACAGGATAATTTTCTCATAAAAACAATGTGTTTCAAGGTGGTTACCTGTGACCCTCCAGCCAACCATGATGGTTACAGGAGACCCCGTTCATCATGACCTCAGGGAAGCCCAGGCCTAGATCCTGAGCCCAGGCCTAGATCCCTGTCATATGCCCCAGAGCACCCGGCACATCTTTGTAAAAGTTGTGGCGCTTGGCAGCTCTTGTTTCGTAGCTGCCATCCACACCAGACCACAACTCCATGGGGACCTGGCTTGTTTGTCTTGTTCACTGCATTGTCCCAACACTTAGCCCATGAACAGCCCAGGGTGCAGCTCAATTAGCATCTGTTGAAATAATTAATTAGTTAATTAATTCGACCCTGTAAAACCAGCTCTCCAGGTGGAAAGGTTTCAGAATTCTGACCTCGAACCTGAGGAAACTGCCTCCCTCCGAGGCTGTGCCGGCTGCAGGAACAGGCCTCAGTTGCTGCCCTGCTTTCCCCCCCGGGAGGACCCAGGGACAGGCTCCTCCAGGTGTCAGCTGAACAGCACGGACCACACATGCCTCCCTGCTTCCATGTTTGGATGTTGTGCTTCTCTTAATGCTGCCCAACTACACTCCCTCGGTCAGCTGTACCGGTACTGAGCTAACAGCTGTCTGTCTACACCCCAACCCCTGCCTCCATTTTGAACATGTACCCAGCATTGCACAGTTGGTTTGGGGCCCCAAATATGGGTCTTGATGCTTATCTTCAGTAAATTTTATCTTATTCAATTTGCTCCTTTAATCATAGACTGTCTTGGTTTGTGTGGGTGCTATCTTTCCTCCAATCTACTTACTGTCCTTCCCAAATTCAGGCCATCTGAAAACTGGCAGGCAATTGTTTTCATTAGCTTTATTGATTGAAATATAAACTGGTCAGCACTGAAATATAAACTGGTCATCATTTAAGAAAGAGTCCTGGCATACCAGTAGAGATCTCATCAGGTCAACGATGCTTATTTATTTATTTTTAAAACAGGGTCTCACTCTGTTGCCCAGGCTGGAGTACAGTGGGGCGATCCTGGCTCACTGCAGCCTCAACCTCCTGGGCTAGGACTACAGGTAAATGCCACAACACTTGGCTAATTTTTTAAAATATTTTTGTAGAGACAGAGTTTTGCCATGTTGCCTAGGCTGGTCTCAAACTCTCGGGCTCACTTTGGCCTTCCTAAGTGCTGAGATTATAGGCATGAGCCACTACATTCAGCCCAATGGTCTTTTATTGATGCTTATTGAGCAGTGCCCCTCACTAGTTACAAATGCAGCTTACTCCATCATTCAGCTCTGACTTTTCCTCCAAACCTTAGTCTGCAGATGGGAAAGACAAGATTGTGTGGTCTCTTGCCATTTTTATGTATCCATTTTCTCTTCCTTTACAGCTTAATTCCTCTCTAAGGCTCCCTACCATCCATTCCCCCGCACCTCCTCCTTTTCCTCATTACAGTTCTTTTTATAAGAAAATATACATAGCTTACAGGTCCACAGTATAAGTATTTGGGAAACCCTGATCTAGCCCAAATTCTCTTGTGGGTTTTCCTATGACTGTATAGAAACTAACATAAAAATGACTATGTAAAACATTTGTGGAAGAAAAGAAAGACATTATGACATGTGTCAAATTTGTTGCTGGAATTCAAATCAACGTGTTTACAATGGGAACACATATGAGAGTGTAGAAGTTGCCAGATCAGAGTCCCAAATCCAAGCGGCAACACAAGGGTAAGGGCCAAGCAGTGGCACCAAGGGTGAGCCAGGCATACGACCAGAAGCTGCAGTGATCTGGGAGCACACGCAGTGATCTGGGAGCACACGCAGTGATCTGGGAGCACACGCTCGCTAGGAGGGTGAGCCTCTATCAAGTGGGCAATCAGCTGTAGCCTGGCAGGATGTGGGCTCAGTGCTGGCAGATCTTCCCATTTTTCACAAGGAGAAAAAAATCCAGATATAAAAAAAAAAAATTCTGTCAGTTTTTCAATGTTGTTAGCTAATGGGAAAAAAATGTCTAAATGCTATAACTGGGTGAGAACTAAATTAAGCAACTTGAAATGTTTCTGAAGGCCATAACTGAAGATTTAAACAAACGGAAAGACATACTATGTTCCTGGATAGGAACACGTGATGTCATAAGGATGTTGATTCTCCCTGAGTGAATCTATAATTTTAGAGTAATACTTAATAGCAGCTTGGAAGAAATAGATATGGGACTCTAAAGTGCATACAGGAAAAATAGACAAGCAATAATAGGAAAATTCTGAAAAAGAGTAAAAGGCTTGGGAGACTAGATTTATCAGATTGTAAAACATAGTATAAAACTCCAGTAGTTAAAACCATGGTGCTGGCACATGAATAAACAGAGAAATGGACACAGCCAAAAGGAAAGTCTAGAAACAGACACAAATACATAAGGGAAGATGTGGTAAAGGTCAAAAGTCAAGAAGGGAGAGTGAATTATTCAATAAATCAAATGGGACAAATGGGTAGATATCTAGGAAGAAAGTAAAGTTAGATCCATGCCTACTCCTCACACAAAATAATATCCATCTAATCTTATATACTAATGATCTATATAATAATTAATGTACTAATAATCTACTAATATAGTATATTAATAATATATCAATATTATATATAATAGTATACTATATGTTACATTAATAATATATTAATATTATATATAATGGTATACTATATGTTATATTAATAATATACTAATATTATATATAACAGTATATATTATATCAATAATATATAAATACTATATATAATAGTATACTATACTATGTTATATTAATAACATATTAATATTATATAATAGTATACTATTATACTAATAATCTAGCATATATAATATAATAATAGCATATTATCATACTAATAACCTATCATGCATAATATAGCATAGTATACTAAGAATATACTCATAATCTATTATTCATTTAGTGTATATCATCCACGGCCTGCTTTACACCTCTAATATAAGCTCCATGAAGCCAGAGGGTTTTGACTTTTTGTTCACTGCTATATCCTCAGTGCCTAGAACTGTGTCTGGCACATAGTGTGTGGTTGATAAATATTTTATAAGGGAGTTGAATAAGTGAATCAGAATTTTAAATGTTAATAACAAAACCTGTAAAACAATAGAAAAACCATTGGAGAACGCTTTTTAAATTTTACAGCTTTAAAAATTAAAATTATTTAATTTTAATAATACTTTCTAAATATTAAAAGAAAATCAAAAGCCATAAAAAGGATCAACTTGATAATAAAAAATTATCTTCATGGCAAAAGCCACCATAATTAAAGACAAAAAAATCAGTGACAATCTGGTAAAAAAAAGAAAAGAAAACAAAAACTTGTATTTCATATAATAGACAAAGGGCTAATAACCTAAAGAGCCCTTTCAGAAAAACACAACACAAGAGAAAAATTGGCAAAGAATATGAATAGAAATTCACTAAAAGATGTTCATCCTTACTCATAATACAAAAAAAATGCAAATTAAAACTACAAATGAGATACCAGTTTTCTTCTGTTAGGTTGGCAAGAGTGAACATTTTGATGCCTCACTGTGTTGGTGAGAGTGCAAGAGAACAGACTCTCCCATAGATTGCCATGGGGGTGTAACTTAGGGCAGGTAGTTGAATAATGCTATCGAAATCATAAATGTTTCTATCCCTTGACCCAGAAATCCCACTTCTAGGAATTTATCCTTCAGATACACTCAAACAGATGCAAAACAGGTTACACAAGGTTGGTCTCTACAGCATTGTTTATAGTAAGAAAGGACTGGAAACAGCCCAATTATCCATCTGTAGGCAGCTGATTAAATAAATGATAGCATCTTCATGCAATAGAGTACTGGGCACTGGAATATCATGCAGCCTTTAAACAAGGAAGCTGTGTATGTGCTAATATGGAAAGGTCTTCTATACTGTCAATGAAAAAAAACAAGGTATAGAATAATATGTATAGTGGGCTACCATTCGTATGATTAGTTTAAAAAACACATATGTGTACATATGTGTATATGTAATTGTGAATGCCTAGAATGTCTCTGGAAGTATAAACAAGAGGTTAACAACACAAGTTGCCTCTAGGAAGGAACACTAGAGGGCTAGAAACAGAGGAGAGGAATCTTCTGCTCAGAGCGTGCATTAGTAAAAATAAACTGAATTGCTGTAACAAGTAGACTCCCATACCTCCTGGCTCAATTCCATAGAAGTTGTTTTCTGAATCATCAGATAATCCAGAGGCGGCATTTTCTATAAACAGGATTATTCAGGGGCCCCAGCTGATGGGGCTGTCCCATTTTTAACACAAGACTTTGAAACATCCTCACCACTGTTCTAACCCCCGGGGAAAGGCACAGAGCTGAAGAAGCATGGAGTGTGGAGGTGCTCTTGACTGGCCAGGCCTAGAAGAGCACAGATCTCTGCTCACCTTCTATTGGCTTCAACTCAGTCACATGACCACAGTCACAAGGAAGCCTGCGCGGTACCCAGGAAGAAAGGAGGGCAGATTTGGATGAAGAGCCATCGGGTCTCTACTGGACTCTTTCTGCACCTTTTAACATTTGAAACACATAATTTTATTATTCAAAATACTGAACACAATTAGTATGAAAAAAATGCGCGTTAGCTCCGGCCTGAGGGCTACCAGTTTACGATCCATTTATAAAGGGCATTTGATTCTATGATAAATGTGTCAATCCATATCAGTGAGAAAAGTATAGACCATTCAATAAGTGGTGCTGGAAAGACAAAGTAACCCCTGGGGTAAAAAAGTAAAGTTAGGTTTCTTACCTCACACCATGCCCCATAAAAATTTCCAAATGGGTTAAATACCCAAATATAATAAATATAACAAAAAAAGTATTAGAAGAAAATATAGCCTTGGAGCTATATTGAAAGACTCAGGATTCACTGGCCACTTATAAGTTTGACCACATAAAAATGACAAAGGACAACATAAAGACAAGAGACAGACTAGGAAAAAATGTTTGCCATATGAATACAAGACAAAGAAATAATATCTCACATATATAAATCCCAGTTCAGATCAGTGAGAAAATACACAAACAATCCAGTAGGAAAATGAGAAAAGAATGTTGAAGGGACATTCACAGAAAAGGAAAGGGCCAATAAACCGTGGGAAGATGCGCATGCTCAAAAGTAGCTACAGTATGAAAATTAAAGAAGAAATGGGATTCCGTGTATCACCCATAGGATTGGCAAAAATTAGGGGGAGGGAGGAGGAACGTATTTGGTGTTGGAGAGGGATTGAAGAAATGGTTTTCTTAAGTGTAGCTGACAGCTGTATATTGGAATGTCATTGTTGGAGGGCAATTAGGCATGAACTGTCATATTTAAACATGTCCATACCCTTCAACCCAAATTTTTGAGTAGCCACTCTAAAGAAATACTTGCACACGCACCCAAAGCAATATGTCTAAGATGTTCATTGCTATATCGCCATAACAAAAAAGAAGGAAAAATCAAATCAAATGTTCATCAACAGAGGGAAGTTAAATTGATACAGCCACATTGTAGAGCACTCCATAGAAGTTTTCTTTTAATGGAATATAGATCTATATGAAAAAAATGAAGATATCTGCAAAGACATATTGTTAAGCCAAAAAAAATCAGATTACAGAACAATACATACACTATTTGTAAACATGACACAAACTGTGGGTTTCTATACTAACAGATGTGTATATACATGCCTATAACATAGTCTAGAAGAATACAGCTCAACAGCCAGCACTTCTGGAGAGAGGAATAGGATGAGAGAGGGTAAAAGCAAACTTTTGCTTTTGCTGGATCCCTCCATGATCGCTCAGACTTTGCGACATGCTATGTCCATGTAAACGGATATATGTTGATTTGTCTGAATATGTGCAGATACTTACACCTATATATTAACCATTGTAACAGAAAACATTTACTGAGAACTTTCCCTGCGCCTAGTGCTGTGTTAAGCTCTTTGCTTGCATTATCTCATTGAATCCTCATGACCACCTTATGATTTAAGCACTGTTATTATCCCCATTTACAGATGAGAAAGCTGAGACTGTAAGAGGTTAAATCAATTGCCTGGGGTCACACAGATAGGAAATGGCAGAGCTGAGATTCAGATTCAAGGGTGTCTGATTTCAGAGGCCACACTGTCAGTCTTGACCTGCTAAGAACATGTAACCCATTTAGCTAGTGACCCCTGAAGTCAACCTCTTCCAGCTCTGTGGCTCTGCAAGGTACTCAGTTCAGCTGAAGATTCGAGGAAAGGGAGCCAGAGTGCCAGGGGAGATAGGCCCTCTGGAGGGGGGGGCCCAGCCCTGTAGACCTCAGGACTCACCTGCCCTTCAGTTAACCCTGAGGTCCCCGGCTCACCTGTCACACACAGACCCTGCAGAGCTTCAGAGTAGAGCTCACAAGGGCTTCATCCCTGGCCTGAGCTCCTCCTGGTACAGATGGGAAAACTGAGGCTTGGAGTGAGAGACAGCTCCATTGCTTCCGGAGGCGGGGCCAGAATTGGGATGATATCCCAGGTAGTCTCGCCCCCTTCCGCCAGTTCAGTGGTGATGAGGACCAGACAGGGTAGGTCACAATCTCTTCTCGGTCCTTAACACATCAGCAGTGTCTGAGGAGGACTCTTATGCTCCAGAGACGCCTGGGAATAAAGAGGCTTTTTATTCCTGAAGAATCATTCGCAAATGCCTCTGATGTCTTCACAAACAGCAGAAGGTGGGCAAGGACTGAGCTGGTTCTCAGAGTGTCACAGAGGTTGGGGGTAGGTCACCCTGGGGCATCTCCTCATGGGGTTCCTCTCTCTCTCTCTCCCCCCTCTCTTCTTTCTCTCTCTCTGGTTTTAAATCACTTAACTGCTCCTGGGCTGGGCTGGGCAGAACAATTACTGACAAATGACCTGAATCAATCTTGAGGCAGCAGGGACCTCCTTCTGGGTTCATTAAATCGGCTGCGGCTGCACCTGGCAGGAGGATGTGGATCATCTCTAGGGGACGAAGGCCGTCCCAGGCTGGCTGCATCCAGAGGCTTTGTTCTCGGGCAGTGTTAAAGGACTGCCCCTGTGTCCAACCACTCTGACCCTCTGGGACAATACCTGTCTCCCTCCCTTTGGGCCTCTCTGCCCCTTTTTCTTCCTCCTCCACCTCCGTCTCGCTGGGTCTCTCTCTCCTCCTCACACCCCATCTCTCTCCTTCTGTCTCTGTCTCTGTCTGTCTCCTCATCTCTGTCTGGACCTCTTTGGGTCACCATAGTAATTTATCTCCATCTCTTTGACTGACTTCTCCCCACATCTGCCCCTCAATCACTGGGGGCTCAGGTAGCTTGATTTCCTAGGCCTCCTCTGCTAATTCTCTATTGTCTTCCTTCTCCTCTCCCTACTCCCACCCCTTCCCATGTTTTCTCCCTCACCCGTCCCTCAGCCAACTGGGTACCTTGGAGCTGGGCAGACTCTAAACTGTGGGCAAGAGGAGTCTGGGACCCCACAGTGTGGTTCGTGGCCCGGTTGGGGGCACTGCTGCCCTTGTTGGATGATGTGCACATGGCTCTGTGTGAGGAGCCCAGGCTCCACGGTGGCTGTGAGTTCTGTCACCTCCCACAGCCCTTGTCAGTCAATGTCAACATGACATACCATGGTACAATTTGTCACACATCCCTTTTGGACGCATTGCCACTGGGACTTGTTTTAAGTTCCTCAGCCCAGCACCAGGCTAGTGGAGAAGTGATGTTGTTGGCACAAAAGGGTCACGAGCTGAGGCCTCGGGATAGTGGTGGCCCACCAGGCAAGGCCGGGACTCAACCCAGGCAGGCATGCAGCGTGCTCTTGGAGGCTGGAGGGCTGCAAAGCATCCCAGGCTCTCCAGGCTGTGGCTGTGTCAGTTACTGGGCAATGAGGAAACATTCTGCCTTGCTGTAAGAGTCATGTCCTCTTCTCACACAAGCTGAGGAATGAGACACTAACTGTGCCAGTTGCCAGTCACCTGGCTAGAAGACCTGACCCTCACAGGTGGCGCCAACCACAGAGCTCAGACCAGCGCCACAGGACACTGGGGGGCAAGCAGCAGTGCCCAGTGGCATGTCAGGGAGTCGCCTGCATGATCAGTCCACAGTGGCACAGGGGCCCCACATGGCTGAAGGCCCCTCTTGCCCCAGCCACGTAAGGATTGCTCTGCTCTCCAATAAATCCCTTTATGTAGGTTGCCTTGCACACTGTGGGCATCAAGTGTAGCCAAGAAATACAAAATGCTTGAAAAAAAAAAACAACACTGTATTGGGGCTCAGGAGAGCTGACTTCTGTCTCTAGCCCGATATATGGACACAGGTAGGTCATTACCTTATCCAAGCTTGTTTCCTCATTTATAAAGCAAAGCATTTGGTCAACCAGGGCCCTTTGGGCTGACATCAGAGATAGAAACTTGGTTGAACACTTTTAGTGGAGTGTGTATGTGTCCAAATGGTGAGGGTTTACGACACACTTCAAACTGACCCTCCTGACCTAACCCCACCCTGCCAGCCCCTCCTGCTGTCCTTGTCAAGGGTGGTGTCACCTGAATGGCTTTGCTCATCTTTCCTTTCCTGACTTATTGATACATCGCTCCTCCCTTGACCCATCTCCACGTGGCCAAGCACATGTCCAAATGCTCCAAGACAGACGCCAGCCCTCAGTTCACACACCTGGGCTTCAGCACGCTTGGCAGCAAAACCTGCTGACCTCAAGCTGCTGCTGGAATTGGAGGAGAAGTGATGAAAAAGGCACCTTTCCCAACCACAAAGGAAGTTGCTGATAGGAGTGTGTCGTCACCATCTTCAGCCTCTATTTCATGTTCAGAGCCCTTTATATGCAAAATGATGCCTCCCCTGTTGCATTTGATTCCTCTGGGTACCATTCAGTACTCACCTGGCCAGGTAAGTATTCCCATTTCACAGGTGAGGGAATTGAGGACTGGATTAGAGAATAGATTTGATCATAGCAGCCCATGCCATGAGGCAATGCAGGTCTTTTATCTTCCCAATCAGCACCCTTTCTCCTACAATACATGGAGAGGCCCCACTCCCACACTGAATGTCCCATGCATGATAATAATAATAATAATTCATAGGTATTGAATGTTTTCTGTGGATCAGGCATTATTCTGGTTTTTCTAAATATGTATTATCTCATTTAATGCTCAAACGAAACAAGACAAAAAACACATGGCATAGATACATCCCCATTTTACACATTAAAAAACTGAGGCCCAGAAACATTAAGTATCTTGACCAAGGACTCTGCTACTAAGTGGTGCAGCTGAGAACTGCATCGCCCTCACCTCACTCAGGGGAGACAGGCATCTCCAGGGAGGTGGAATGGTTGGGGAAGGCTTCACACACCAGGGAGCTCACAACCAGCTCCAGGGGCACCTTCTCAGGGACTCTTACTTCTGAGTGGCCTGACCCCTGCTGGAAGGGCTTTCTTACCATGTAGATCACTCTGGTCTACTCCTGTGGACTGAGAACTCAACTCCATGTCCCCGGAAGTCCATACCAGAACCTGAGCAGGTCAGACCACAATCTGCCACTGCCTAAGGCCCTGCACAGGTGGGCAGAGCGTGGAATAACAGATCCGTGGTAGTTCTCTCCTTCCCACCTTCTCCCCTCTCCTCCAATTCCTCCCTTCCTCTCAGGTAATCTGGGTGCTAAAAATAATAGTCAAACAGATGAAAACAAAGAAACAAGTGTGCAAAAAGCCGTAGGCCTGCTGGGTTCTCTGCTTTCTCTTCACACACACACACATACACACACACACACGTTGGTGGGACAGTGGTGGACAAAACAAGCCCAGACTGGTGAATTGACCTAATTTTTTCCAAGGGCTTCAGCAGCTCCCAGAATGTGCCTGGAGTCCCTTGAGATCTGCCTCAGGGCCCAACAGGCCTGAGGGCTGGCCCATCTCTGGTCAGTAGCCTCAACGGGGCAGCCAGTCACCCATCAGAATATCCTCAAGGAGGCCAGGTGTGGTGGCTCACGCCTGTAATCCCAGCACTTTGGGAGGCCGGGTCACCTGAGGTGACATCACCCAGTCCTTGGGGTCTATGCATCATTTGACAGAGAATTTCCTCCTGTGGTCTACTCTTTGATGTCAGTGGGTTAAGAAACTTCTGCCTAAAGGTGTTGTCTTTCTCTGATGAGAAGAGGAATTAGGGGAAGTAACCCCGGTCTTCAGAGTGTGGTCTACAGTCCAGCAACATCTGCACTGCCTGGGAGCTCTTTAAGAAGACAGAATCAGGGACACCACCCTAGATCTGCTGAATCACAGTCTGCATGTTCATGAGACCCCCCACCCCCAGGTGATTCATGTGCAAATTAAAGTTTGAGAAATAGCTCTTTAGAGTACCATATAGGAGCAAACAACACTCTTCCTCCAGAGAGAGAAAGTATGGTCATATTAAAATCCCGGGTGTGGGAATCAAAAGTCCTAGTTATCCCCCGACACTTTTCCTAAACAGCCTGTGAATCAGGACAAGTTACTCCACCTCCTTGGGCCTCAGATGTCTCAGAAACTCTTGTGTACCAAAAAACAGCACAAACGAGGATAGTCACTGCAGTGAGGCTTGCCATAGCAAAAAGTAAGAAACAATCTAAAGATCCACCAATAGGGAAATGGCTTAGTAAATGAGGATGCATACACACGGTGGGAGGAGCCGTGATCCTGATGTTGATTTTCCCTGGCTTTTAGGAAGAGATGGGCCTGTAGATGTGCAGCTGGAAACTACATTTCCCAGCCTCCCTTGCAGCCACAAGAGTAGCCAATGAGTTGTAAGCAGAGTGATGGCTGCATCTTCTGGGTCACATCTTGAAAGGAAAACACTTGCCCTCCATTTCCTCTTTCCTCTTTTCCAGGGCCTGGAAAAAGCTCCCCTTTCTGAGGGTGGGGAGCTAGTTTCTGTCATGCAAATGGAGACAACACCCTAAGAGATGACAAAGCAACAAGGGAGGAGGAGCCTGGCTCTGAGATGATGTGGTGGAGTCATCAGAGCTGCCTACCCATCTGATCACTGCCTGCTCCAGCACTTACATGGAAACCACCTCCTACCTTGTGCAAGCTTCTGTAAGTTGGTCTTTGTAAAAGCAGCCAAACCAACATCCAAACTAATGTTCATAACATGGAGTCTTTAAAAAGAACAAAGTAGCTTTATAAGCACCTCTATGATGTGATCTCCAGATACGCTATTGGGTGAAAATGTAAAGTTGCAAAAAAAACTCACACACAGTATGATTCCATTTAGGTCTAAGCATGCACAAACCCACACACAGAGAGAAACATATAGATGTCTATGTGTCCATATGCATATATGGAAAAGCAGAGAAAAAGAATGAAAAGGATCCATGCCAACTGACAGCAGTGGAAACCTCTAGAAAAGATACTAGTTTTGTTTCGTAGATGTTGAAGTAAGAATTGTGCATTGCGTCTTTGAATCTTGCATAATGAGACTGTAGTCACCTATTCCTAAGCCCCCTTCCACCACGACATCTTTTGATCCTAAGCAAGATTTTACACCACCATCCCCTAACCACCCATCATTCCTGAAGGTACTCAGGACGTCTTGATTAACAAAATTAATCTCCATTCCATCCCACCCAAGCCTTCCTCTCCCTAGTCAGTGTTCCAGCTTTCTTCACTCTCTCTATTCAACCAAATCTTCCCTTTTGTCTCTTTGCCTCTTTGTTAATCATGAGCTTGGGAAGCCTGTGATAGGCTAATCTCTGTTAGTATGAACTCAGTAATGGATGTCTCAGCTGATGGTGCTTACCTACCTGCCCCATATCTCACCTCCTTGGTGTACCTAAGCCCAGGTGTAGACCTGGCATAGAACAGGTGTACAATAAATACTACAAGAGAGAACACAAACAAACCTTGAAGGCATTATGCTATATGGAATTAGCCAGTCACAAAAGGACAAATATTATACAATAAATTCCACTTACATGAAGTGTCTAGAATAGGCAAATTCACAGATTCAGAAAGTAGAACAGTGGTTACCAGGGGCTTTGGGGAGAAGGGTTGTGAAGTTAGTATTAGGTTGGTGCCGTTACTTTCAACCTAATACTTAATGGGTGCAGAGTTTCCATTTGGGAAGATTAAAAATTTCTGGAGCTGGATGGTGGTGATGGAATCACAGCAATGTGAATGTATTTAATGCTGCTGAACTATACACTTAAAACAGTTAAAATGATCAATCTTATGTATATTTTGCCACAATTTTAAAAATCAGTCCAGGTCAGGTGTGGTGTGGTGGCTCTGGCCTGTAATCCTAGCACTTTGGGAGGCCGAGGTGGGCAGATCACTTGAGGACAGAGTTTGAGACCAGCCTGGCCAATGTAGTGAAACCCCATCTCCACTAAAAATACAAAAATTAGCCAGGGATGGTGGCACGCACCTGTAATCCCAGCTGCTTGGGAGGCTGAGGCACAAGGATTGCTTGAACCCAGGAGGTGGAGATTGCAGTGAGCCGAGATGGTACCACTGCACTCCAGCCTGGGCAACAGAGTGAGACTCTTTCTCAAAAGAAAAAAATAATGAAAATTAAAATCAGTCCATAAACTAGTTCAACCATTGTGGAAGTCAGTGTGGCAATTCCTCAGGGATCTAGAACTAGAAATACCATTTGACCCAGCCATCCCATTACTGGGTATATACCCAAAGGATTACAAATCATGCTGCACATGCACACGTATGTTTATTGCGGCACTATTCACAATAGCAAAGACTTGGAACCAACCCAAATGTCCAACAATGATAGACTGGATTAAGAAAATGTGGCACATATACACCATGGAATACTATGCAGCCATGAAAAAGGATGAGTTCATGTCCTTTGTAGGGACATGCATGAAGCTGGAAACCATCATTCTCAGCAAACTATCACAAGGACAAAAAACAAAACACTGCATGTTCTCACTCAGGTGGGAATTGAACAATGAGAACACATGGACACAGGAAGGGGAACATCACACACCGGGGCCTGTTGTGGGGTTGGGGGAGTGGGGAGGGATAGCATTTGGAGATATACCTAATGTTAAATGACGAGTTACTGGGTTCAGCACACCAACATGGCACATGTATACATATGTAACTATCCTGCACGTTGTGCACATGTACCCTAAAACTTAAAGTATAATAAAAAAAATACTTAGAAAAAAAAAAAAATCAGTCCAAAAGTCAATGAATAGAAGAGGGAAGGGAGGGAGGGCAGCAAGCCTGTGCTGGACGGTGCTCTGTGGGAGAGAGTGCTTCCTGGTACCCTTCGGAATTCCCAGAGCACTTTGCCTTCTGCCTCAAAATTCTTAGTTCTGAAAACTTCCTTCCAAGCCACACTTAACAGATAGCATGCTTTTTGCAAATTGAAGGTTTGTAGCAACCTTGTGTCCACTAAGTCTGTTGACGCCATTTTTCCAACAGCATGTGCTTGTTTCCTGTATCTCTGTCACATTTTAATAATTCTTATAATATTTCAAACTTTTCCAGTACTGTTATATCTGTTATGGTGGTCTGTATTCAGTGATCTTTGATGTTACTATTGCAATTGATTTGGAGTGCCACAAACCTCACCTATGTAAGGTGGTGAAGTTAATATATGTTGTGTGTGTTCTGACTGCACCACCGACCAGCCTTTCCCCCATCTCTCTCCCTCTCCTTGGCCTCCCTATTCTTTGAGACACAAAAATGTGTAAGTTAGGCCAATTAATAACCCTACAATGCCCTCTAAGTGTTCAAGTGAAAGGAAGAGCTACACATCTCTCACTTTAAATTAAAAGTTAGAAATGATTAAGCATAGTGAGAAAGGTATGTCATAAGCTGAGATAGGCTGAAGGCTAGGCCTTTTGTGCTGAACAGTTAGCCAAGTTGTGAATGCAAAGGAAAAGTTCTTGAAGAAAGTTAAAAGTGCTACTCTAGTGAACACATGAGTGGTAAGAAAGCAAAACAGCCTTATTGCTAATATAGGGATAGTCTGAGTGGTCTGGATAGAAGATCAAACTAGCCATGACATTCCCTTAAGCCACAGCTTAGTCCAGAGCAAGGCCCTAACTCGTCAATTCTGTGAAGGCTGAGAGGTGAGGAAGCTGTAGAAGAAAAATTGGAAGCTAGAAGAGGTAGGTGCATTAGATTTAAAAAAAGAAGCCAGTTTCATGACATGAAAGTACAAGCTGAAGCAACAAGTTCTGTTGGAGAAGCTGCCCCAAGCTATCCAGAAGATCTAGCTAAGATCATTGATGAAGGTTGCTACACTAAACAATAGATTTGTAATGTAGATGAAACAGCCTTCTGTTGGAAGAAGATGCCATCTAGGACTTTCACAGTTACAGAGGAGGAGTCAATGCCTGACTTCCATGCTTCAAATCACCAGCCGACTCTCTTGTTAGGGGCTAATGCAACTGTTAAATTTAAGTTGAAGCCAATGCTCATCTACCATTCCAAAAATCCTAGGGTCCTTAATAATTATGCTAAATCTGCTCTGCCTGTGCTCTACCAATGAACAAAGCTTGGATGACAGCACATCTCTTTACACCATGGTTTACTGAATATTTTAAGCCCACTGTTGATAGCAACTGTTCAGAAAAATATATATATTTCCTTTAAAATATTACTACTCATTGATAATGCACCTAGTCACCCAAGGGCTTTGATAGAGATGTACAAGATGAATGTTGTTTTCATGCCTGCTAACACAACATCCATTCTACAGCCCATAGATTAAGGAGTAATGTCAACTTTCAAGCCTTGTTACTTAAGAAATACATTTCATAAGGTTATAGCTGCCATAAATAGTGATTCCTGATGGAACTGGGCAAAGTACATTGAAAACCTTCTGGAAATGATTCACATTCTAGATGCCATTAAGAACATTTGTGATTCATGGGAAGAAGTCAAAATATCAACATGAACAGGGGTTTGGAAGAAGTTGATTCCAACCCTCATGGATGACTTTGAGGGATTCAAGTTTTTGGTGGAGGAAGTAACTACGGATATGCTGGAAAGAGCAAGAGAACCAGAATTAGATGTGGAGCCTGGAGATAGGTCTAAACTGCTACAGTCTCATGATCAAACTTAACAGATGAGGAGTTGCTGCTTATGGAGGAGCAAAGAAAACGATTTCTTGGGATGGAATCCACTCCTAGTGAAGACGCTGTGAACATTACTGAAATTACAACAAAGGATTTAGAATATTACATAAACTAAGTTGATAAAACAATGGCAGGGTTGGAGATGATTGACTTCAATTTTGAAAGAAGTTCTACTGTGGGTAAAATGCTACCAAGCAGCATTGTGTGCTACACAGACAACTTTCATGAAAAGAAGGCAATCAATGCAGCAAACTTCATTATTGTCTTCTTTTATGAAATTGCCACAGCCACCATAACCTTCAGCCACCACCACCCTCATCAGTAAACAGCCATCAACATCTAGGCAAGCCCTTCCCTCCACCACCAAAAAGAGTACAACTCAGTGAAGGCTCAGATGACCTTTTGCTTCTTTTTAGCAATCAGGTGTTTTTAATTCAAGTATATAATTTTAGGCATAATGCTATTGCAAATATAATAGGCTACAGTATACTGTAAATATAACTTTTATATATACTGGGAAACCAAAAAAATCTGTGACTCACTTTATTGCAATATTTGCTTGATTACAATGGTCTAGAACCACACCCATGATATCTCCATATATGCCTGTATATGGGGGAAAGAGAAAACATAATCAATTAAGTGAATAATTTATGTACAAAGATGATTTAGTGCAACATTAGTTCTGCTAATGAGAAATTAGGAACAACACAAATGACTAGTAAAAGGGAAATAGTTAAATAACATAAGGCAAGTCCATACCGTGGAATATCATGCAGCATTTATAGATGCAAAATAAAACAACAAAATGCTCTCTACTCCTTTCTTGCTAGTGGAATTGATTTGATGATGACATCAGGCTCAACCACAGTCACCTGGGAAAGCAGTGCTCAAAATCACTGCCGGGTAGACAGTGTCCAGGGGCAGAGAGTGTCCAACATTCTGCAATGTTGCTCCAACATTGCAGAAAAGCAATTTAATATGTATCACAGGTCTTGGAAATGTTTACATTTGTTTAAGAAATAATTCTCCTCCTAGAAATTATCTTAAGAAAAAAATTTAAAAATGAACAAAGCGTACCATTGAAAAGAATCTAAATGTCCAGCTCTCAGATAATGGTACAATATGGTGCATCCATACTTTGAAATACTACGAGGCCATTAAAAGTATGTCTTTGAAGAGTTTTCTTTAATACTACAGGAAAATGCTCATAATATAATTTTAAGGAAAAAAAGAGTTCAATACTAAAAATTTTATGGAGTACAATATCATAAAGGAAAAGGAAAACCATCCTTAATAAAATGTGAAATAAATGTGCTCAAATGTTACTAATAGCTGCCTCTGGGTAACAATATGGTTGTGGGAGTTGCGGTTACCTTCTTTATTCTTTCTTGAACTTCACAAGTTTTATGCAAAGAGAACATATTACTATGATAATTATAAAAATAATAATATTTAAGGCCAGGCACAGTTGGTTCATGCCTGCAATCCCAGCACTTTATAAGAGGCTGAGGAGGGTGGATCACCTGAGGTCAGGAGTTCGAGAGCAGCCTGTCCAACATGGTGAAACCCTGTCTCTACTAAAAATACAAAAAAAAATTAGCCTGGTGTGGTGGTGCATGCCTGTAATCCCAGCTACTTGGGAAGCTGAGGCTGGAGAATTGCTTGAACCCAGGAGGTGGAGGCTGCAGTGAGTGGAGATCATGCCATTGCACTCCAGAGCGAAACTCCCTCTCAAAAATAATAATAATAATAATAATAATAATTAAACTGTAAAAATTACTCTCCAGGAAAAAAACCAGTATTGAACATACATGAGAAAGTGAAGATAATGAGTGTAGAATTCTTTTAATAAAACCAGCTTTTGGATGGCATAATGGGGAACCCAGTTCTCAGGGTAAGATGATCATTTTAGCTTTTGGTTTTTGTTTGTGTTTTAAGTGATAGGAGAGATTTGACTTGGTTCCTAGACATTGAGGAAAGCGCCAGCAGAAAGTGATTGAAAATGCAAGACAGAAGAGCTACAGATGAACTTGATCACAGGCTTGCAAGGCCCAATAGGCCCCTCTCAGCTCACAATGAAAATGTCCGAACTGATAAAGAAAGTTCACCCTGGACACTAAAAGGAGTGGCTGCATGTTCAGGTGTGGGAGTTGGTCCTGACTGCAGAGTCAACAGGACTAAAATGAAAAACACAATCATGGGCTGTTCCCACTCCACCTTTGAATCACAACAGATCAGAGAGTCACGAAGAAAGTCAGAAAAGCATTTGGCTCCCCCCAACCATGGCGTCTAGTTCAGGGCCCTGGGGCCACACAGACGGGAGTACCTGGCACCCCCAACTCTCCCTGTCCCCCCATATCCCTGTTCCCGCAACTAGAAATGCATCTCCCAGGACAGAGTTGCACTTAGAGTGGAAGGACGTGGTATTGCTTCAGGAGAGGACTGATATGAAGAGGATGTGAGGACGGTTGGGGGAGGCAAAGTAGGACTCACCCCACTAGCCCTGAGTGGGAAGGGGGAAATTGGGAAGGGGCAGATCAGAGATGAAGTGATATTGTGAGAAGCCCTTGACAAATGCCCATGAGACCCTAAATTCTGGGCCAGGGTAAATTAGTAAACCAACTATGGTACATCCAAACAATGTAATGCTACTCAGCAGTAAAAAGAACCAAAATATTATTATTATAATTATTAGAGACAGAGTCTCACTCTGTCACCCAGGCTGGAATACAGTGGTACTATCTCCTCTCACTGCAACCTCTGCCTCCCAGGTTCAAGCAATTCTCCTGCCTCAGTCTTCCAAGTAGCTGGGACTACAGGCACCACCACCATGCCCAGCTAATTTCTGTATTTTCAATAGAAACAGGGTTTCACCATGTTGGCCAGGCTGGTCTTGAACTCCTGACCTCAGGTGACCTGCCTGCCTCGGCCTCCCAAAGTGCTGGGATTGCAGGTGTGAGCCACAACGCCCGGTCAGGACCAAATTATTGATACATGAAACAACTTGGACAAATCTCAAGACATTACATGAAGTGAGAAAAGCTAGTCTAGAAAGGCTATATACTGTATGATTCCACTTACATGACATTCTGGAAACAGCAAAACTGCAGGATGGAGAAGAGATCAGTGGTTGCCAGGAGTTGGGGTGGGGGTGACTACATAAGGGGTTTTTGAAGTGTGATGGAACTGACTGTGGTCATAGTTACAAGAATCTATATGTGTGCTAAAATTCATAGAAATGTACAACAAAAGAAAAAAAGGCAAGTTTAGTATATGATTATTTTTTAAATAAAATGAGCAATATTTCTTTAAAAGTAACCTGGATAATAGAAAACAGATTAATGGTTGCCAGGGGTTGGTGATGGAGTCGACTGCAAAGGGTCAGCGTGAGGGAATTTTGGGGGAAAGGGGTGATAGAAATGTTCTATATCTTGATTGTGGTGCTGATTACATAACCAAGCATTATCAAAATTCACAGAACTCTATACCAAACAGTTAATTTTACTGTGTGTAAATTAAAAAGCAAATAAGTACATTTTTAATACTTCAATAAAAATTTTAAGACTGAGCCAGAGGCTATACATGTCAATTTATCCCTCCAGATCTAGATTTTTATCTGTTTCTTGGAAAATGTATTTCCAAGGGTGCCCTGAAGAAGAAAACTGAGCAAATGAATTAAAGTCACTAATTAAACTCAAAATAGAAGACATCTTTTGTTTTTCATTGTGTTACAGCAATACCTACTAAACAATGACTTATCCTAGGGACAGTTTTTGAAATTACATGATCTAAAATATGTCTTGTGAGCACTAAGGCTGAAAAAAAAAAGGTTCACCTTAAATTTCTCAACAGCAGCATACCCCAGAAGAAAATGGATCTGTGTTTTAAAGGAGTCTTGATGGGGAAAAGGTTAAGGCCAGAAATTCCATACCCAACAAATTTGTTTTTCCCCTAATAGGTCAACATAAAGACAGTTTCAGATATACAAGTCTCAGAAAATATATCAGAGCCACATAGCTCTCCTACAAAAAAAAGTATTTTAAGACATGCTTCAGTCATCAGAGAGACGAATCAAAAATGAGGATTCAAGAAAGGAGATGTAACAGTACAAAACTACTAAGGACAAACATTAGAATCAATTAAATATTGAAATACAAGTATCAAATTAATGCAAAAGGAAGAAAAAATGCTTCAAAGAGAAGGTATATATGTTTTTTTAAATAACAGAAAAACTAGATTGTTGAATTCTGATTAGATTAACAGATTTTTAAAGTAAATATAAATGTAAAAATTCATGGTATGATACAAACTACTGCATTTAGCAATCTACCAAGAGAACAATCTGCTGGTTTATTAGGGTTGACCTCAGGAACATAGGAATCATTTACTCTGAGGCAGTCCAATGATGTCATATGGCATTTCAATGTCAATTTTTATTTTTATGTTTTGTAGAGATAAAGTCTCACTATATTGCCCAGGCTGGTCTCAAACTCCTGGGCTCAAGTGATCTGCCCGCCCTGGCCTAAAATATTTTAATTAACTTATGTTTGATAACAATTATTCAATGAATTTAAACATATTCTGAACTCAAATCTCAAAAAATTAAGAAAAAATGTATAAAAATATATTTCTAACATGGTAAAGAATATCTCTCTCAGCCAGGTGTGGTGGCTCACATCTGTAATCGCAGCATTTTGGGAGGCCGAGGCAGGTAGATCACAAGGTCAAGAGATTGAGACCACCCTGGCCAACATAGTGTAAGCCCGTCTCTACTAAAAATACAAAAATTAGCCGGGCGTGATGGCACGTGCCTGTGGTCCCAGCTACTCGGGAGGCTGAGGCAGGATAATCGCTTGAACCTGGGAGGCGGAGGTTGCAGTGAGCCTTCACACCACTGCACTCCAGCCTGGCGACAGAGCGAGACTCCGTCTCAAAAAAAAAAAAAGAATCTCTCTCTCAAACCAACAGCCAAATTGCAAGTTGTAAAACACCATTAAAATCAGCTCTAATAGTAATAACAACTACCATTTAATCCCTACTAAGTGGCAGGTGTTCAACAGGTACTATAGAGGTTTTATTTAACCTTATAGCAGTGCTGCGAAGTCAATGCATTTGACAGATGAGGAAACTGAGACCTATAAGGACCATGGGACAACATTCTTTGTCCCATCTTTGTAAAGAGGCTGACATGAGCGGAGGGTGCACTCAGCTCCTAAAAGGGCCTCTAATTGACCTCCGACTGTGTGCCAGTCACAGGCATTCTGGGAAGAGAGCAGCAGCAACCAAGACAATAGGAAGCCAAGCTGGAATGCCAGAGGGGCCATGCGTGGAGAGCTTTCAGCACCCAGGGAGGACTGTGTGCCCAGGAGGCTTTCAGGAGCCTACGGGGGTTTCTGAGGTGGGAGTGGTAGTCAGAGTAGTTACATAGTGGACAACACTGACAATATTTTAAAATCTCTAGTTAAATGGTAAAACGTTGTCAGGGGTGAGAATGACAGGCTCAGAGATGCAAGGATATCAGTAAAGGTCGGTACAATCAGGGGAGGGCACCCAGAGCAAATGGGACAGGAACTCAGACTGGAAGGGAGACCCAGGTGGGGAGGTAGAGAGGCCGGCGTCGCAGCAGCGCTCTGCAGTTCATAAACCTGAAAAGGAGACGGAAGTGGACGGGCCATCTGTAGAGAGTGGTTCACTTATGGTGCCGCCTTCATATATAGGTTGGGGCAAACGTAATTGTGGTTTTTGCCATAAAAGTAATGGCAATTACTTTTCACCAACCTAATATAACACTCTATAGATTTTTTTTTTTAATGTGTCAACAAAAACAGAACAGTATCTTAAATTGAACCATGTGAAATCGCCATTTGGTAGGTTATAAAGCACTCGCATGTCAGCAATTTCAAATTGTTCAATCTAATAGATAGTATGATTTCATTCTTGTTTTATTTTTTAATTTTTATATTTTAGAGACAGGGTCTTGCTATGTTGCCCAGGCTAGTCTTGAAATCCTGGCCTCAAGCAGTCCTCCTGCCTCAGTCTCGCAAGTAGCTGGGATTACAGGCTCATTCTTGTTTTCAAAAAAGGAAAAGGCAATTGTGCATATTCAGAGGCATCTATGCAATAATAACAGGAAAAGACTGGAGTGGGGATGGATGGGGGTGAGCTGAGGTGGTAAATTTATTTTCTCTTGAACAATACACTTCTATATGGAAGAAAGGAAGAAAGAAACCAGCAGGCCTGGGAAGATGCATTTTGACAAGTCTCTTCCCGGGTAACTCTGATGATCAGCCAGGTATGGGAATCAAACCTCTGGCCTCAAGTTTACACACATTTCCTTCTGGCTCTAACATTATTCCATGTCAGTTGTCTTCATCTTTCCCTCTTTGACCAACTTTATCTCCAACCCAATAAGACATCCAAGTCCATATGACAGAAAAGTCTTAAAAACCCTTCCAGCACCCAATCCTCCCGGCAAGGAAGGACTGAAACCAGGGGGAAAAACCACATATTTTAATGTTCAAATGCTTCAAATAGATTAAGCATTTGGTTTTACTTGGATTATTATTTTTTCTACAAATATAAACCATTTTGCATTTTGGAATCCTTCTGCAAACAGAGCAGTTTGTCTTTGTGTTTGCTCATTTAAAAACAAATATTTGCCTGCCAAGCAAATACTGTCTCTTAGGATGTGCTATTAATAGGATAATTAGGCAGCCGGTAATGAAAAGGATTGCTGGTAATTATGGCAAGATTTGTTTTGGCATTTGAAGGCAGCGATGGAGGCTGGAGTGCTAAAATCTACCTTAGAGTTAATTAGTACAATTAGAACACACCTGAAAAAATAGCCCAGCTAATGAACACTTCACTTTACTTTTAAAGTGACAGCACTCGGAGCTTCCCAGGCTGCTTGGGCAGTCCCAGCCCTAGCATTTCTAATGTGACAGAGAGTCACAAACAAGGCAGAGAACTTGAATTTGCCTAACCTTCGTTTTCAAAAGCACTCATTCTCTGTAAGCCCTTTCCTCTTTCCCCTCCCCACCACCCCTACCCATCCCACCTGTTTGAAAGCAATTTCTCTTGTATGTTCTCCTTGGAACCTCATGATAACCCTTCAAGATGGATAAGCAAGGTTTAGTTCTTTTCCCATTTTTCAGATAAGAAAATTGAGGACCAGAGATGCCCGGGGATTGCCCAAGGGCACAGATGAAGAGGTCATAGATGAGGTCAGCAGTCGCAGTCTAGGCTTAGAAAAGTTGGAGAACGATTGAGAGAAAAGCAGCTTTCTGATTCGTGTAGGGGTCCCTGTGTCTGCAAGAAATGCTGGGCTTGCCGAGTCACTCCATAAAGCAGGTCTTCAGGGCCCACCAACCTGCGGCCCTGCTTGACTTCATTGGTGGTAACAAGATCTGGGCTTGAAATAACTAAAATCATCCAGCTTGGAAAACATTCTCAAACTTAGCCTTTTTTCTCTCTTCTCTGTTAGCCTTCTCCTTTCTGCGGCTTATCCTCAGGAAGGTTTTCCACTATGAGCAGGCACTGGCTGGGCATGCTGGGCATTGATGGACCAAAGCACACGTGTGATATTCCTGCCAGTATGCATGTGGCGGCATGAATGCTTGGGGGATGTGTGTGTTTGCATGCATGGGGACTTGAGTAGGAGGTACACACACACACACACACACACACACACACCAGGGGGAAGAGCATTAGAGGAATGAAGAGAGGGAGGAAAAAGGCAGTCAATCTAAGGGAAGCTCTGCAGTGTAAGGCAGGCCATTCAATGTTTCAATTCTTAGTTTCCTCATTTTAAAAATGGGGATAGAATTGGTATATCCACATCATAGGTTTGTCATTAAGAATACAGTGAGACAAAGTCCACAGCATGCCTGGCCCATCCTCATCCCCATTCCTATCACCACAATTATTGTTATTATTGTCATCCTTATGGATGTTGTTATAAAACGTGTTTTCTCCCTGACCCTTTGCATGGCCAACACTTGAGTTATCCTCATTCAGACCCGTTCCCTTGTCCCTGCCCCAGGGTTCTTTTCAAGGCACCACCCTGCTCACATCTGCACCAAGAAACTCCCTCTGCCTCCATGACTCCAAACTCCATGTTTTACAGCTTGGAGGTTCCACTGGGACCCTTGGAAATCACAGAATGTGCACTTTTGTGATAATATATCCAATGTAAGAGAGTGAGTGTGCGTATGTGTAGGTTGGTGGGATGAGGAAAGGAGGGCTGAAAAATCCAAGGAGACCACACCCCTCCTGGATTCGTGAACCTTGTTCTCTATACAAGGCAAATACTAATACACAAGTCAGAAGAAAGGAGGAGACTCAGGCCTGAGATTATTGACTATCTCTTCCTGCACTGAACCCTCAAGAATCTTTGTCCTCAATTGCAAACAACAATAACAGCCACCAATGCACCAGATGCCACGCTATGCACTTTCAAACATGGCATTTAATCTTCACAGTAACCCCAGGACACAGGTCTCATCATCTTATTAAGAATGAGGAAATTGGGGCCCAGAGAGGTTAGGTAACATGTCCTAGGCCACACATCCAGGATCAAAGCTGAACTGACTGCCCCTAAGCTCAGATTCTTTCCATTGTCCATGGCTCAAAATCTCCTGCTGAGAACTCAAGGACTTGGGGCCATGACAGGCACATTTTTGGGAATTGTCAAACCTCTTGATCACCCAGTGACCATTAGCACTAGGAATCACAGGAACAGAACTTGCATTTGTGAAGTGAACTCAAAGAAGAAAACCTCTCACTTAAAAACTGAAATCTATGTCCCCCACAGTAGCTGGATTTGCACTGATTAATTAGAAAATTGCATTTATATAACCCTTTAATCTGTATTTATGTGTTGCTAAGGATGCAGCGAGCTGGGCAGGGAATTACATCCAGATTAGCCTTGATCCATAAGCAGCCTGGATTGGAGCTGCTTTCTGTACTAAAGGGGAGAATCAAAAGGATTTGGGGCAGGGATCCTCAATGAGGACTCGCTCTCTCTCCTTCCTTGGATCCAAGGAGTCTGAGGCTTTCCAGAGCCACCTGAGAAATCCTGCCTGGCCTGCTTGGTCAAAACAGGGGGTAAGATTACCCAAAGAGCTAATTTCCAGCTGAGTGTGGCACTTGGTTTCCTAAACAAAATTGGTTTTATTCTCCTCAACATGTGTTCAGCAAGATTAAAGATCCATCAACTGCACAGCTTAATATGAGCTATACTGGAAGCAGCCCATGTTCTCCTGGAGTAGGGGTGGAAAAGAGGGAGGGGGCAGAGCCTGAAATCCTGTTTATTGAATCAGAAAGACCATTAATGGATAGAGGATATTGGAGAAGGGATGGCAATGCTTTGTCATATTTCAGGGAAAGAGATTTGATCACACACACACACACACAAAACACACACAATGTTTTAAAGTATTTCCATTTCCATTGTCATTTTTTTTTCCTTCTTTTTAAGTTGGATTAACAGATGGGCATGGTTGGGGGAGATGTTGCTGGGAGTGTCAGTTCCATTCTTCAGCATGAAAGGCGGTTTGACTCTGGGGCCATGTGGGTGTGGGACTCAATGAACAATGCTCGGTCCAGGCTGCCAGATGGGGCAAGTGGGGCCAAGTTGAGCCTGGAGGTGAAGGAGGGAGTGAGACAACATAGTTGGAGTTTGACTCAGGGCAGGGAGACACTTGCTATTCCCATCGTTGTCAGGAAGTTCAATTTCATTGAGTCTAGTGTGACTGAAAGTTGTTGACCTTGGCCAGTCTGTTGCCCTACCTGGCCTCTCCTACATGAGTTATAATGGAGTAGACTGAATGACTGATGAAGCTTTTTCCAGCTCTAATATTCTGCTCTTACGAGCATCTCTATGGATGTCAGAGCAAATCAAAGCAGCATTTTCCAAACCTCTCTAATACTACCTAGCAGTGGTACAGCATTGTGGCTTAAAAGTGTGGGTTCCACAGTCAGCCTGCTGGGGTGAAATCCAGCCTGGCTCTACTGTTTATGGGTCCTATGGCCTTGGACAAGCTCTTTAACCTTTTTTTGTTGGTTAAAGAGGGCTTGTTGCCCTCCTCTGTAATATTGCAGTGACAGCAACAGCACCTATATTACAGAGCTGATGTGAGAACTAGATGAGTGAATATGTGCAAAGCTGCTAGAACAGTCCCTGAGGACCAGCAGGTATTTCATAATGATAACTCGAATTATATTCACCCTTCCTCCTGCAAACCACAGCACCCTCGCCACCAGGTATGACTCATCTGGGACTCAGAACACATACCTTGGACAGCTCCTGAGTTGTCCTTCAACCTGACACGTATATGGGCCATGCTCCTGTAGCACACACCAGGCTCTTACAAAGGAGGTGGGTGAGCCATTGTCAGCCTCTATTTCATAAGCTGCATCTCAGTTTCTTCGTGGGATAGATAGACCTCACTCCCTCTGGTCTGGTCCTAGATGTAAACAAAAAACAAATGTCTTCCGACACTCAGCATTCTCATTCACATTTATACTCTCCCTTACCTTGGATATTTTGCCAAGAAAGTGCACATTCTCTGATTTCCAAGGGGTCCAGTGTCACCTCCAAACTGTAAAATAACCTGCACTTTCATGGAGGCAGAGTGTCTTGGGGCAGATGTGAGCAGGGCAGAGTTTCGAAAAGAGCCCCAAGGCAGGGGCAGGGAATGGGTCTCTGCTCCACCTGACTTTCCTTGCTGAGCCTCCCTGCCCCCATCTGTGAAATCAGGGCATGACATTCAATTGCTCCATCCCTCCATGTGTTCAGGGGGACACGGGTCCTAAAAATGCTGTCAGAGGAAAAAAATGGCCAAAAAAATTGGGAAATGTGGCTGCTACATCCCCTTATTGATAACAAGCAAAATATTGAATGCGCTGAGAGGACCTGCAGTTTAAAAACAAAATTACTGAGTTTCACTTTAGCCTGGGGTTTCTAGGACTGTCTACCAGTAGAGTCCTCCCTTCATGTAACCTCTCATTGGCCTCCTATGGAATTGGATGGCAATCTCTCATCACTTCCAGTTCCAACAGACTGTGTCTCCTCCCCCAGGAAACAATAAATAAACTTGCAAGATTCCGTCATCTCAAGAAGAAGTAGTTCAGTGTCCTCATTTCTTGGCCTGCAGGAGAAAGAAAAGAAGAGAAAACCAGAACCATGTGGCCAGCTTTACACGCTATCAGAAAAGGAACCCATGACCCCCCGACCCAGGGCAGCAGGGACAGAGGTGAAAGGCTGTCCAAAGAAGATTCAGGAAGCCCAGCATGAGCTGTCTGACATAAATAAATAAATCAGGAGGCCACCCTGCAAAGCAGGTTGTATTGCATTATTTGAGCAAGGCTGCTAGACATCTGCACGTTTCTGTTAGCCCCCATCCCTCCTGTTGCCATACATTTAAGCTAATCCTATGGGGCCCAGGATCATAAGAATAATCCTCACATCTGTGTGGGCTTTTCAGCTTTCGAAAGCTCATTCACGGAATTATCTCATTAGTTCCACTCAATGCCTATGGGAGGGACTCAGGGATGATCATCGCCATTTGGCAGATAAATGCTAAAACCCAGAGAAGGAAAGTGACTTTCTCAAGGTCACACAGGAAAGCAGTGGAGAATTAAGATAAATGCACCAGGTCTGCTGATCCCCAGCCCGGGACTCTCCCAGGAGAATACTACTGCCTTACAAAGATAGCCCTGAGACCCAGATATTTATCCCACAGCTGCCCAGGGCTATGTCTGGTCCCAAAGGAATCAGTTGTTCACCCCATTGCTGCTGTATGGGAATGGAACATCATCAAGAAGTGATATTGGAAAGACCACAGGCTTCACAGTTGAATTGTCCAGGCTCAAATCCCAGCTTCCTGGTCATCAAACCTCAGACCATGTGGTGAAGGCTTGAGGCCCCTGCATTTGTTCCTCACCCCAAAAGGTGGGAATGATAAGTTTGCAGTGAGTGTCACTTGCTTTATCTGCTCTCCATCTCACCTTCTGACAATGACTCCCCACCTTCTGGGAACTGTTCTTCCTCCAGCTCCAACCAGGCGGCTCTGAATGAAGCTTCCCACCACAGCATCCCTACCTGCCTGACTACAGGAGCAGGCATGTGGCCCCAGCCAGGCCAATAAGAGGCCTTCCCTGAGATTTCTCTCAAAATGAAATAGCCCCTTCCTTTCTAGGAGTGAAGCTGAGGAGCTGTGACTCCAGCCTCATGGAGAAAGGTGGCCTGAGAGATCAAAGTTGGCATGCAGAGAAAAGCAGAAGAGAGATGGGGAGAGAGTCCTGGAGGCATCCAAGGCCTAGGATGCAGTCAGCCCTGGGGCCCTGATGCCCCTGCCCTGTCCATGGGTGGATAACATGAGCCTGTGAATCATCTGGGCAGCCCCTTCTGAGTGCCTTCCTGCATACCCAGGCTGTCCTTAATGTATAGCAAATAGGGATGATCACCCCTGCCACTCACTTTGAGGAGCCCCACCAGCACAAATACCAGGAAAGCAGGCAGTGGTCCAAGAGGCCCCTTGAATAGGCTCCATATAACAAAAAAAGACCCAGGTCTCCCCAGCCTTCAGAGACTCCTGGAAATTCAGAGCTTATAGGGGTTCAGCGACTGGAGTCCAGTTGTCTCGTTTGAACATAAGGGTGAGAGAGTCCATTTCATGTTCCCGAATGTTGAACCATAAGAGAACTTACCTAGTTAGAAAGTCTCAGGCAGCAGGATCCCTGATCCAGGCTCTTGGTCTGGGTGCTGTTTGGGCTGCCTTCCCCTATCTTAGAAGACAAAAAGGAAGAAGATGCTAGTGGGTACCCTGGACAGTGAGAATGCACCTGGATTCTCTGCTTTTCTCAAAAAGGGTTATGAAGATCAAGCCCAGTTATATACTATGTAGGCATAAAAGGACCTATCACAGTCTAAATACTGTCTAAAACCAAGACATTATTGTTATGAAATTATGAGCTCCAGATTCCCTTGACACAAAGCCTGACTTTCTCCAGGGAAATAAGGGAAAGCCAGGTTGTGTGCAGGAATTGGAGGAGAGGTAGTTAGAAAACTGAGCCAAAATCATTTCCCAGTGAATCTTGGCCAGGCAGCCAGCAACTGAGCCCCCTGCCTCCCCATGCCCTCTACCTACTTCCCTCTAGTTGCATAAACTTGGGGAATCAGGTGACCAGCCAACCGTCCTGGTTTGTCTGGTGGGCATGGAACCACCCCTCTGCATGCTCCTTCACAATGCCTGTCATCACATAGTATGTAGGAGAAACAGCTAGGGATCAGGCTCTGGAACAGGAGTGTAGCATTTCGTCTTCCTCATAGGGTGGCCAGCCGTCCTGTCTGTCTGGGACTGAGGGCTTCCTGAGTTAATAGGTGCCTGGCAAGACTCACTAGCACCATATCAGGGGCATCTTCCTTTACACATCTGTCTTATCCTGTACCCCGAGCTACTGTTTTCATTCTTACCCCAGGGCCTGTCATATCCGTAGCTTGACTCAAATACTGTCGCATCCTGTGCCTCTGTCCATGGTTCTGAACCGTTCTTTATGAGCTGGGGCAAGGCTAATTCTCCTGATGTGAGGTACTCGTTGGTTCATCGAGGCATTCATTCAATAAATATCTTTACAATTTAGCTTTGCCTATATAACAAACCACCCCAAAACATAGTGGCTTAAAGTTTTTTAAAATTATCAATTCTTATAATTATATGGGTCACCTGGACCATTTTGGTCTGGGCAAATCCTTCTGATCTGTAGTCAGCTGGTGGTTTGGCTGGGGCTGGGTGATCTAGGATGGCCTCACTCATATGTCTGGTAATTGATAATCTGTTGATTGGGGCACCTCAGTTATCCTTTATGCAGTCTTTCCATCACATTAGCTCAAGCTAATTTGAATGGTGGACACAGGGTTCCAAGCCTGCAATAGAAGGCAAGCTCCAATACTCAGGTTCTTCTGATAAGTCTACATCACATTTTCTAATGTTCTGTTGTCCAAAGGAAATTGCATGGATAAGCCTAGAGCCAGTGTTGGAGGCACTGGGCACAGGTAGGAGAATGATTGTAGCCATTTTTTATAACAATTTACCACTTCTCCAAATCTCCTGCATCCCCAAAGCACTATAACACTGCAAATAATGGGATGACCCTCTGTTGAACCTGCAGAGAAATGACTTTACCCCTAGAGCTGTTTTAAACTAAGAGTCCACTTGGCTTCTGCCAAAACCACTTTCATAATTGTATCAGGAGCAGTTGAAAGTCTCTTCGAACCCTCCTTCACAACATTCAGAGGCACAATTCGAGATCTTGCTGAACCACAAAACTAATTTTTTTGCTTCTAAATGAACAAAAACCCTCCTGAATTGTAAGCCTTTTTGACAATCTTCAGTAATAATTTTTTGAGTTGTGCACGGCTGGGCAATAAACCCCTAGTTACCTTCCTGGGTGAAGGCAGAAGAGCTCCAGAGTACAGTAGAATTCCCAGGTCCCCAACTCCTCAGAAAAGAGAATATTTTAGAGAGCATCTCCTAGGAGCCAGAACCTTACATAAATTCTCCTTTAACACTCACAACATCCCTTTTTGACAGTGTTTGTTGTCTCTGTTTTATGGAGAAAGGAGCTGAGGTTGGGGAGATTAAGTATCTTGGTCAAAGTCACAGAGATGGCAAGTTGCATGGCAAGATTTCAAACTCAAGCATTTGGACCTCAAAGTCAGAGCTCTTTCCACTATACCTCATCATGTCAGAGCTGCAGAGCATCTAGACTTGGGTATGGGGCACAGAGCTTTGATTCTAGCTCTGCCCCCACTTCTGTAGCACCTCGAGACACTCCCTTGTTCTCTCTAAGCTTCTGTTGTCTCATATGCAATAGGAACATTACATGCACCTAATCCAGGCTCAATCAAGGTGAATGCAAACATGTTGCTCCCCGAGCTGTAGAGAGGAAAGACAACTGGTATTTTGGGAGGGTGATTTTGACAGCATCTTTCAAAATTTTGGATGTGTGTGTTCTTTTATCTGGCAGTTCTACTTCCAGGAATTCATGTTAAAGAAACATATTCACATGTGAGTAAGAATGCATGTAAAAAGATGTTTATTTCAGCATTGTTTATAATAGCAAAAAAAATGGAAATAATATAAAGGCCCAAAGAAATTATGCATATCCATGATACAAAATGCTATTTATCATTGAAAAGGATCTACTGATGCAAAAATGTCCAAGATATATTACTTCAAAATAATAAAGTAGATTTATATATGATGGCACAGGAAGATCACAGGAAAGTATTTTAAGTGAAAAAAATAAATTTTAAGATGATCAATAAACCTACATATGCTTATTTATGTTTATACGTAGAGAAAAAATCATTTGGAAGGAAACACATCAAACTATTCACAATGGCTTCCTCTAGCAGCAATAAGAAGATGATGACTTCATTTTTTGTTTGTTTATATTTACTTTCTACATTTCTATATTGTTGAAAATGTTCACAAGTATGTATTCCATTTGTAATGCAAAGAAAGAGCAGAATTCTAGTGCTGTAAGAAACTTTGAAGATCACCACGGCCCAGAGAGAGAAGCCAATTTCTCGCTGTCATGCGGCCGGCCATTGGCTATCAGGCTGAAACCCTCTTGATGCCCAGTCCAGGCCGGCTTCAGCATCAGGGCAAGCTCTTTGGAAATCACAGAAGCCACAGAAGGCTGAGGAATTGATGATCTAACACAAAGGAAACTGCACCAGTCAGAGAGCAGAGATCAGCATGTGGGCCTGGCTCGGCCACCTACCTGCTGGGCTGGGCTTGAAGCAGGGGAGAGGCCTTTTCCAGCCCTTGTAGTACCCAAAGGAATGCCACCCTGAGGTCTCAGGTCAGGCCTCTGCTTAGCACGTGACCATCATGCTCCCCAGCAAGTCCCCCTCATTCCCCTCTGGCCCTGCCTTTACTATCCTCCCTGAGTGCCATGGACACAGCAGATGCACAATACAGGCAGCCTTGAATTCTACCAGGGAGGCTAGGAATGGCTGGGTGGCCTGTGGTCATGACCTGCCAGCAACTGGGTTGGAAGAGAGGACTTCTGAGCCCTGCAACTGACGCCATAGGGGCATGACTTTGCATTATCTGGAGCCAGTTTTTCCCTCCAGAAAATGGGCATAAGGGTGACCCATTCAAGCCATCATAAATAATGTACCACTTATAAAGCCAACCTCTCTAACTGTCCTGGGCTCATGTGACATTTTATCAAGAGCCCATCATGTCCTCAGTGTGTGTGGGTCCCAGAGGGGCAATCTCACTCCCCTCCCCTTCCAGTCACCCCTTACTGTCTCCTCCTAGAGCTGTGACCACCTGGGAAAACAGGACATGAATGCATGAAGCCACGGTGAGTCAGCAGATGGCGTGTCGTTCTGTCTGAGCATGGCAGGAGGTCAGAGAAGGGAAAGCCCCGAAGATGCCATTATGCAGAGCCCTGGCCTCCACCTCCCAGCAAGAGCTGGACCCAGCCTGCAAGCATGGCCAGCATGATTTCTGACGAAGCTCCCAACAGATGTGGCTTTCCAGATTCAGGTCTTTGCATTAGGGAAGAGGTGGGGAGGTATGTGAAGCAGTAAACAGAGATGCCGAAAGTTCTAAGTGCATAAAGTAAATATAAAGTAAATGTATATTTGGGAGAAAAGGTGAAATAGCTCTCTGAGTTTTCCTCTGATATGAAGCCTTTGCTTGAATCTTTAGACATGGTCTTTGTGTTTCACGTCCCGTGTTCTCAGAAGGACTTGGTGCTGTGTTTCTGTTGACATTCTTGCCCTGCCCCCACGATAGGGAGCTGGACAACCCATGTGACCTTGTTACACCAAGTAGGGTCTGTGGACCAGCAGCATCGGCATCTCCTGGGACCTTGTCAGAAACAGAGAATCTCAGACCCCACCCAGACCTACTGAATTTGAATTTGCATTTTTGCAAGGTCTCCAGGTGTTTCCGGCGCACAGTCATACTTGAGAAGCCGCCTGGCTCCAGGACGCAGGTTTCCCCTGGGGGTGTGCACTCATGCAATGGCAGGCATGTACCCTGACTTTAGGTGGTACAAGAGTGAACATTTACTATTTTCATGGGTTTTAACTTCAATGTCCCTTTATAGCAAATGGTGCATCATGTACAGAAATGGTAAGTTGACATAAATGGTGTATTTTAAAAGTGAGTCAATTCAAAGAAAACATTCCCTGACTAATAGTCTGGGGTGCTGAGAAATGACACCTTCAAAGGTGGGACAAGAATGGCTATTTCCAGAAGTGATGATCCAGTTTAGGCCCCTCAAGGAGGTAGGAATGAAGGGGCTGCTGCAGAGAGATGGGGGCTTGTCCAAGGCCAACAGTGGGAGTGTGGTGACGGAAGCGGACTGGAACTCAGCCCTGTCCAGGTCAGCAGCGCCCCTTCCTCCCTCTGCCCTGGTTGCACAGCTCGGCCTGAGGCTGGCTCTGCAGCCAGGGTGACGTCAGGAACTGGGACATCTGCAGGTGATACCATGCATATGCACAGAGTGCATGGCTGTTACTACAAACAAAGAGAATGTGTAGTCAGTGGAGCCCAAGGCTGAGCCATTTGGAGATGAACTGTCTCCCCTCCACCCAGGAACAACAGGGCACCCAACTCTTCATTCATGAATAAACATTGTAAGCTGCTCTGTGCAGGCTGAGAAGCCTAATGTTTTCTAGGTTTTCTAGATATGTTGGTGAGGTTTTGCAAACAGGAAATCTGAAGTTAGAAAGGAATTGGTCATTTACCTTCCCAGCCATCTCATGGACTTTGCTCAAATCTCTCAGATGGAGTCATTCACACACACACATACACACACACAAGCAACTTCACGATATGTTTAGGTTTTCTCTAAAGTTTTCTCAGCTGTGTTTGTACTCCCTGAGGTTTAGGGCTGTCGGTATCTGTTTTTTCACTTCTTCTACAGCACAGAATTGAGTAGTAAATTCTCTAGTCTCCTGTCCCCTTCCCATTGTCTTTTGCCTAGCTCCTTATCCTGGCATTCAAGGCTGCCATCGCTATGGCCTCAGTCTAACTTTCCAGGCTGTTTCCCATTGGTATCCTCTGCACACGATGTTCCAACCAAAATATGCCATGAGCCACATATATGAAGTTCAAGACCAGCCTGGGCAACAGGGCGAGACCCAGTCTCTATTAAAAAATAAAAATAAAAAAAGAGTAAACCACATGTGGTCAAACCATGCCCATGCTCTGCAACCTTCACACCTACTAGCTTTCCACAAAAGCTGTGCCTTTGCCTAGAATTTCCCTCCACCCTTGAAATTCTTCTCCCTTAGGGCCCAGCTTAAATGCCCTCTCCTCCAGGAAGCCTCTGAATTGTCCCCAAGCCCTTGAAACTCCCATAGTCCTCTATTGCTACCTCATTGTGACATTTAGAACAGGTCTTGAGTTTCAGCCTCCACAGCTGTAGGGGAGTGTTCCCTTTTCTCTGTGTTCCAGGCTGCCCAGCCCAGGCCTGGCTCATAGAAATCCCACCAGGTAAAATACTTTGGCCCTAGGTAAGTCCTGGGTTTGATTCCCAGCTTTGTTGGGACTACTAGTCAGGGTTGATGCTGGGTAAATTACCTAACCTATCTACTCAGCTATAAAATAGAAATATGAATCATGCCTTCATGGAGAAGGCATGATAGTAAAATGAGGCAGCGGGTACAATGTGCTTAACATTCTGCTTGGCACCTATTAAGTGTTTAATATATCATAGCTCTTATTCGTGTTATTGATAATAATAAAAGCAAACATTAAATGGATTGAAAGATAAAGTCATAAAATCTAGAACTGGATGGCCTCTGCAGGTGTCTGGGCCACTGGCCCATCCTGCCCACCTGCCCACAGGCCCCTTTGCCCTGCTGTGCCTCCCTCACATTCTGGCCCCAAAATGGTTGCTCCTGGCTGCTCCCTGAACCCAGGCCTGCCAGAAACCCTCTCCTTTTCCTTTACCCTGTGTCTCCAGTAAAGATCACAGGCATTTTAGGGGTCTGCAGTCTTCTTTGGGTTAAGAAGCAATGATCTGGTGCTAGCTCTCATTTTATGGGGAAGGAACCTGGCCTGGAGGGAAGGAGGTGTTTGCAAGGGAGGAGGTGCTCTCCAGGGAGGAGGTGCTCCCCAGGGAGGAGGTGATCACCAGGGAGAGGGTGCTCACCAGGGAGGGGGTGCTCACCATGGAGGAGGTGCTCCCCAGGGAGGAGGTGCTAACCAGGGAGGGGTTGCTCACCAGGGAGGGGGTGCTCACCAGGGAGGAGGTGCTCCCCAGGGAGGAGGTGCTTGCCAGGGAGGAGTCCTCGCTACCCCAGAGCCACGGCACTCAGACCAGCAGGGCTCTGCATTTTCCAGAGTGGCATTTCCCCCCTCTAGGTCTGGCACAGATGTGGCTGCTGAGAGCCTGCCTCACTTATTCCTGTTTTCAAAGAACAATGACCCTTTCCTCATCCATATCTTTCTTAACAAATGTACTTGTCTGAGAGAAGCATAACTTCCAAGTCTTCCTTCCCTGAATTGGGAAGAGACTTCAAGGAGAGCAAACTTTCCGAGGACCAGCCCTGGGGTCGAGCCTGAAATAGAATTCCCAGCAGGTAGTCAGCCCCTTCCTTTCCATGGAGGGGTCAAAGCCTGCTCAGGGCTATGCTCACAGGAGCCCCTCTGGGAATGAGCAGGGCACTTCCCCTCCTAGGTGTTGGGGTGACCCCACAGATGGGAGGGAGAGGGCTGGAGGCAGCTAAGACTCTGGAGAGGTGTGTCAGGCTGGAGTCAACTCTGAGGAGCAGAGGCAGGGTGGGACAGCCTGAGCCAAACACCAGGGACAAAAGACGAATTTATGTGAGCCAGCCTCCTTTGAAAGCGAGGAAGCAGGGAGACAGGTCAGTTGACAGCTATAGGAATACAGTAGAAGTCGGATTTCTCAAGAGCTTACAGTGAGCACCAGCTCCTCTAAACCTTGGAGCACCCCTAGGAGGGAGACTCTCATATCATCCCCACTCCACCGTTGCAGTCAAGGCAAGACACTGGTTCCATTTCAAATACCACTCAGCTCCACTTGGGAAAGACAAATACTAAGTCTGAAATAACGAAAAGCTGCCCAAGTGTTTGGTTGAGAGTGGGACAGGAGATGGGGTTTGGGGACCAGGAACGGCTGCACAAGCCCAACCTGAAATGCTTACCCCTAGAGTCACTCCTTTGGGTTAAAGTGACCCAAGGATAATTGAAGGAGGTAAACAGGAGAGGGAAAGCAAGCTCTTCTAGTTGCTTACCAGGAAAGTGATGACCAGACAAGCTGCCTGCCCTTGCCTAGCAGAGCTCTGGGACCCCCAGTTTAGGTCCAGGAACAAAAGGCAGGGTCTGGCTCCACAGAGTAGAGACTTCAAGAAAAACCTGGAGAGGCTTCCCAACAGAGAGGACCTGGCAGGTTTTCTTGTAAGCCAGTCAACCATCTAGCTTTTTTAACATCCCAAGGAATGCCCTTTATGAGCTTAGGATCAGCAGACAGGGTGAAGGTTAGAGCTGTCAGTTTACACGGTCCCCACAGGCTTTTACCGTGTATTGTACTATTTCAGCAGTGCCCCAATACAGGCAAAAGTTAATAAAGAAGCCAGATTTTAAGGGCAACCTTTTCCTCTGCTATGGCAGGCTGCATTTGAAGAAGTCTTGATCTTAGTATAGTAGGTTGACTGCTTGAATGGCCCAGACAGTTTGCACACATCCACCCCATATCCACAGCCATTGCCCCAGGACTTTGCAGTTCCTCTCACTAAAGAGGGGGAGACTACTTCCCCACCCTTAAGTCTGGATTAGGCCAATAGAATGTTGCAGAAATGACATGACAGTGAGTCATTTTCCAGCGCGAGCCTCAGGGACTTTTTCCTCTATAACCGGCATGAGAAGCTGCCCAAGGTAGGCTGCTGAGGATGAGGAGCAGAATCCATCACCCTGCTGCCCAGGTGGAGCCACACTAGCTCGGCCAAAAGCCAGCCAACCCCAGGCATGTTCAAGAACCCAGCCTAGAGGAGCAAAGCTGCTGGTCTACCTGCAGCTGAGCCCGCACATGCAAGCCATAGACAGTTATTATGTGCCTTTGAGGTTGTGTGGTTGTTTGGAATGCAGTGTTATGGTGGCAATAGGTAACATACGGTTAGTCCACTTATTTTCATCTGATAGTTGACCGTGAGTAGTTGTGTCCCTGACTGTCTTCCATCCCAAGTATAAATTTCTAAGAAAATGTAGCCAAAAAGTACTTGGAGAGAAAAAGCTATTTGTTGGCTTCTGAATTTTAAATTAAGGCTAAGATACATTTTCCCCATTCAGAGAAAATATATGACCTAAAGAATCAATTATTACACTTATTAAACATTTTTAAAATAAATCAATTGGACTTCCAGCTCATCTCTGCTTTCTCTCAAAACTTTTACTTAAATTATAGTCAGGAAGTTTAAAGAAAGATAAACTCCAAAAAGAGATTGGGAGAATAAAAGAGAAGATGGCAAATGAGGTTTTAAGAAAATTTTGGGAAATAAGAAACAGAGGGACAACAGATGAATGACTTCCATTTCAGCTTTGTCTCTCTACAAGTACCAGTAAGGGCTAAACTAGAAGAAGCAAGCCAATTTACGCATCAAAATTCTAGAAAGTCTCCGGAGTTGGAAACACCAGGCACTCCTGAAGGCAGTGGTGCTGGGAGAAGCGGAAAATGTAGATTTGGTGGGAAAGTGTGTTCAACCACAGTAACAGAGTAAACCAAGAGAGAGGAAAGATGGCATCCAAGAAATGGGAACTCAAACGCAGGAGAGAGGCCCTCAAAATAAACAAACAAAAACTGCCAGGATGATGCTGGAGGGAGACCTACGGTGATAGCTGTGCATACAGTGGACTCGAAGAGCACCAGTCCAGATTGGAGCAGAAGATCAAGAGCTCTATAAGGGATGTCTCCATAGAAAAAAACAAGACTGGCCCACTCTCTAATGTCTTTATATATATGTGTGCATATATATATATATATATATTTTTTTTTTTTGAGACAGAGTCTTGCTCTGTCACCCAGGCTGGAGTGCAGTGGCGCAATCTCAGCTCACTGCAACCTCCACCTCCAGGGTTCAAGCAATTCTCCTGCCTCTGCCTCTCAAGTAGCTGGGACTACAGGCACGTGCCTCCACACCCGGCTAATTTTTTGTATTTTTAGTAGAGACGGGTTTTCACTGTGTTAGCCAAGATGGTCTCGATCTCCTGACCTCGTGATCCACCCGCCTCGGCCTCCCAAAGTGCTGGGATTACAGGCGTGAGCCACCGCACCTGGCCTTTAGTCATATTTAGAAGAGCTTGACAATTCCTCTGAAGAATGTGGAGAGAAATTCCTGATAAAAGGCAATTATTAGCTGCAGGAAAAATTGAAATTGTAAAAGAAAGGAAATGTAATTATAATACATTGCGTGATTCAGCTGCAAACCATCTTCAACTTGTCATAATGGCATAAACACCAAATATTGATGTTACCAAAGCTTGTGATAGAACTATATTGAGAAGGTAGGGGAGAAGAGTGTGTGCGCATGTGTGTGTAAGCTAAATTCTAATATGTGAAGCCAATAGATGATATATAAAATTGAAAAAAGTCAGAAAACAGAGGTAAAATTATATTAATCAAAATATGGATATGCATGTTCCGCACATGTATCCCAGAACTTAAAGTAAAATAAAAATATATATATATATGGAGCTGAAAAATACAGAAAAAAAAGTAGTGAAAATGATTGCCTAAAGGAAGTAGGACTGGAGGCTGGGGAAGAGGATGGCAGGGAACTGCCTTCTTCCCCTGGAAGTATTGTAATATCAATAAGCTTTGTAGACAATATGCGCATATATAGATAAACAGGGTATATTATATATATATATATATATATATATATATATATATATAAACTCTGATAAAATCTTAAATTGTAAAAATCAATTGTGGTTCACATGTGCTAAAATTACAGAATGTAGTATATATTCATGAGGCAAATATTTATTAGCCACCTGCAGAAACAGTAGAGCAGGACACCTTTCCCACCTCCACAGCTCACCACCTAGTTGGGAAAACAGGCCTACTAAGTGACCATGTCCCTGTAGCACACACGAGTGCTCTGACAGGGCAGGGACGGCATGTGGCAATGGCACTGAGCAAAGAAAGCTCCACAGAGGCGGTGATGGTACTCCTGGGGATTTTTTTCCTTCTACTTACCTGCCTCTTAACAACAGAGAACTTAAGATCTTCTTTTCAGCTGCATCGCCTTCTTAACACATCTCATACAAAAGTAAGGGATGATTCTCATTCTCATCATTGTCACAGTGTCTCCGTGTCAACAGGCTAAACAGCTCTCTAACACTAAGAAGCATTCAAAAGTGGAGAGCTAGTGAGTTCCCAGGCACAGGGGTGTTCAGGCTGAGCCTCTGAGGTCAGCAGATATTTATCACGAAGCCTAGGAAAAGGAGGGTGGTGGGTACTTCCTGGATGAGAGACTGGACTCATGGACCCCAGGGGCCTCCCGTGGACGGCGGGGAGCCCACGCAGCACACGGATCAGCCTGCGCTCTGCCATCCCTGACAGCCCCAGTAGGATCACAGGGTGAGACAGCAGCTCCTGCCCAGCAGCCCTGACCCAGAACAATGGCAGGTCTGGTTCAACATCTCAAAGCTGTGCTGTGGTTCATTTTGAAATCAGACATCCTCCAATCGATCCCTCCTGGAGAGCTGTCAGGCTGGCTGCTTCCTGGTGTCAGCTGAGAGGAGGGAAGCAATTCATTTGTTGGGTCTGACTGCGGCTAAATGAAATCAAAGACAGAGAGGGCACCTTCTGCCAAGAAAGGAAGCCTTTTACTCAGGGCAGCCACAAAGAACCATAGACAAGAGGTGGCATGGAGGTGGGAGGGCAGTGAAGGAAGATTGGGACCCGGGAATTCTCAAAGCTATCCCTCCTCATTTCACAGATGGGGAAACCAAGGCACAGAGAGAGGAGTCCATTTCCTCAAGTTCACACAGTGGGTTAGGGAAAGTCTGCAACCTACAGTGATAAGACCTAGCATTTATAGAGGGCTGATAGTGCGCTAAGCATTTGCTATTCATCACTTCACATAACCTTTCCAAAACGATGAGGTAAGGATCCTCATCTCTTACACGAGATATGCATTTTAAAGATGAAGAAACTGAGTTAGTAGTCCAATATCGCAAACCTCTAAAATGTGGGAGGCTGTGACTTGAACTCCACCTAATTTCTAAGCTCTGAATCTTAACCACTGAGCAACACTACCCCTTGGAGATAGAACTAGGGTCCCTGTTCCAGATCAGAGCCTGGCCCACTGCCCTTCGATGCACAATTGTGCCCAAGCCCTGGCAGTGCTCTCCTGCTGTGGGGTTTACCTATTTTCCCTTCACCTGCCTCTCTTTGTCTATATATTTCCTTCTCTGAGGGCATCAGCATCTCCATCTCTGTCTCTCCCTATGTCTCTTTATCGCTGTTTCTCTGTGTCTATGGAAGTGCTTATCTTTACTCTGGTGTGCATGTCTCCGAGTGTGAATGTGGATCTGTCTGTTGCTCTCTGAATAGCTGAGGAATGGAATTCCACAGTGGGTGGACGGATGGATGGATGGATGATGGATGAATGGGGGACAGCCTCCATCCACAAATGACAGACATGGTAATGAGCGAGCATCTCCCAGCCCAAGTACCTCTGGCAGCCAAGTCTCCCAGAGCCATTGATCTGTCTCCCCCTCTAATGCCCTCTCTCCCCAAGGCCTGCATATTCCATTTCCATCTTAACCCAAAGCTCCTTCCCCAGGGCTTGGTGGCTTGTATCCAGTTTTATTGTTGATACAGATCTTTAACTGCCCTGGGCTTATAACTGACATTTAAATTACTCTGCAAACAATGAGTCAATATTTATGGATTCCTGGACCAATGCATTTGCCAAACCTGGTGTCCTGAGTTTCTCCCAGGCCAAAGGGGCATATGAGTCAAGGTCAAGGCTTCTTCTGGTTAAAAAATGGGGAAACCAGGTCTGCCTCTAAGCAAAGGTCTCTGATTAAAATAGAACTGTGTACCCCTCAGACTATCTAACTGGACCAAGGTGATTCCCCATTGAAAATTCAAATCACTTCACGCACACTTAGGAGGCATTTCCTATATGTGCAGAGCACCACGTTAAGCCTGTATGAGCAACAAGGTTGAATCAAATCAGGTCCCCATCTTTGAAGTGTTCTCACAGTAGGAGGAGACAGAGGCACACATAGGCAACTATGAGCAATCCAAACACAGTCCGTGACGATAAAAAGAAGGGAAAAGTAATTCTAATAAATGGAACTTCTCAGAGGGCTCCCTAGAGGAGAACGTACATTCCAGGAGGGGAAAACAGCCAGGACCAACAAGGACCTGGAGATACTGAACAGGTTTTTAAGGGTGGGAAAAAAGTTTCGTGGGAAAATGTCATAAAAAAGTAAACTGAGCCCTGATCCTGGAAAGACCTGGATAACGAAGCTGAGGCATGTGGCTTTCCTTCTGCAGGCAAAGAGGTGCCACCAAAGGTCTTTGAGCCAGGGAGGCACCCCAAAAGAACTGTGGTCTCTGGAGCGCTTTGGAAGCAGTGGGAAGTGGGGCCTTATGCTGGTAATGGTTAGGGGTTGGCCACTGCGGCACGCAAACATGGAATTCCAGCATTCCCAGCCTCGCCCCCCAGGGCACAGCAGGAGGGCTGGGCCGGTTTTTTCTCCATCTTTTAAGTGTGGCCCTCGCCTGCCTCAAGAAAAACAACAAAAATGAGACTGATGTTTCTGGGGCCTCTTTGGAGCTCTGAGTTATGGAGGTAGCCTTAATAGTGGAGGCCAAACCATTTATCATGCCGATGAATTTAAGCTCTGGTTCCAGGAAAAAAGACAAGCAATCTCTTGTCCCTGCATCAGCACTGACATACATTCCCAGGCAGCCAATTTATTTGTCCAGCTGCCCTCAGAGGCTCAACTTTAGAGCTAGGTGAGCTAAAGCCTCCCCGGTGGCATGTCTCCCGGTGCCAGGCTCAGTCTGGGAGTTTGGTGAGGGAGGATGAGCTCCTGGAATTTGGGGAGGTCATTGCAGGATCTGGAGGAGTGACAAGGTACTTCTGGAGGGGCAGCAGGGAATGCTCCCCAGCAGGGCCAATTTATTCTTTAGGCACAGTCAGCACAGTGCCCAGGGCCACCATGCATTCAGGGGTCCGTGAAAATGTTTTAATTGCTTTTAAAATCAGAAGATAATGAATATAATCTAGCTTGCATTAGGTTCATCTTTATACCAATGCAGATATACATATATGGAGGAAGGGGCCCATGAAGGCAAAAGGCCCAGAGCCCATGACCCAGGCACTCAGTATCAAGGTCTCTCAGTAAGAATAGAAAAAGCCAGGCAGCGCTAGGGCCAAATCCCACTTCCATTATGCATTGGGTCTAATTCCCTGTCTACACCTCAGTTTCCTCCTCTATGAAATGGGCTAGTGCTCTGAACCTTACAGGCAGGTAGAGAAGGCTGGGGGTATGTACAGTGCCTGGCAGAAAAGCACTAGTACCCAAAATTGTTACCCATTTGCCCAATTCAATGTTCCCTCCTCCCTGGGAAGTTTCCTGACCGTGCCAAACGTCCTGTTACCTCCTCCTGAATGTCTGGGGTTCAGTGGTAAGGAGACCCCAGGAGCCTCAGCTTATCTCTGCAGTTCCCTGCTAGGCTAGATCCAGGTCACACCCACTAGGTGCTGGGTGTGGAGAGGCCATCCATGCCAAAGCAGGCTGTCACCAGTGTGAGGCCAGGGGCCACACACACATCATTCTCTTTCCCATGGCATTTGGCTCAGAGCTACACCCAGGAGCTACTCAGTAACCATTAGTTGGTTGAAAATCTCTAAATTTGGAGTTGAGATTCCTTGTGGTTTTCTGTTTTTGCCTATGCTTTCAACTCTAACAATTGCCGTTCATTGGTTCATTCCAACTCCCCATTGGCTGCATGCTTGGGTCCTGCTAAACTTGCCAAGCTCAACTTGCCCCACTCTCCCTCCTCCTCCTTGCAAAGGCCACACATGAACCTCTGGGCCCTGGCACGTGCTGTCCTCTGCTCCAGGAATGTCCTTCCACCCCGTGTTTGCATGGCAGATTCCTCATCCTTCAGGAGTCATTTAGACATCACCTGCACAGGGAGGACTTCCCTGACCACCTTCCTACAGTAGGTCCTTCCACTGTCTCTTTTATCACTGAAACTGACCAATTTCTTCATGGCACTTAACGTTAAGTTTTCTTGTCTCATCTCTCAACCCATGTAAGTCCCTTGAGAACCTTGGCCAATTTAAATCATTACTGTGTTACATAACACCTAGCACAGGGCCAGACACTCCGAAATACTTGTTAAATGAATACATGAGTTGATGAATAAATTAATTATCTTATTTAAAAGATATCACGTGCTCACTCTATACTGCATAGGCACTGAGGGGCCGTTGAAGGTTTCTGTCCCAGAATCTGCACCGTGTGTTAGCCAGGTGCCTTCTACTGCCTGTGCATGAGGAGCTGGGATGGCCAGGGCGGGAGACTGTGGCCACCCAATGCGCCTCATTCAAGGAGCTGCTCCTGCAGGAGGGGATGTCAGTTATGTTGAGAGTCACCCGGACGGCCTTGTGACCTCCTCTGAGTTGCTGCTGCACCCTGCCCACACAGGGCAGGGGAGGCGGGAGCACAGGAGGCCAGGGTAGGGGGCTGGGGGGAGGAGGGGATTGGGCAGAAAACACCTGGCACAACACCCCGGCCTTAGAAACCAATGCAGCACTTGGCCGCTGCGCCTTCTGCCTACATGGGCTGTCAGCTAGTGTGTGTGTGCATGTGGGTGTATGTGTGTGAATATGCGTGCAAATATAAACATGTGAGTGGGAATGTGTGTTTGTGGGTGGCTATGTGTGAATAAATGTGTGTGAATGTGTTGACGAGTGTGTGAATGGATACATGTGGCTGTGCGTGTGCAGATGGACTGTGTGAATGTGTGTGAGTGTGCGAGCGTGAGTGTGTGACAGAGTGAGTGTGAGTGTGCGCTCGACTGGCCCCAGCTGGGCCCCTCCCTCCCTCTCTCCCTCCCTCTCTCCCTCCTCTCTGGAAGGAAGCTGCGGGGAAGGGGCCAGATGGTCTCCCCTGACCTGCTATTTATCATCCCGGCAAAAGCTTATTCAGTTTAATGCTGTTCGGCAATTCATTTAAGGGCTCTGTTTGTTTCTGCTGATGAGGACTGTTAATTTGCACAGCGGTCTCATTAGGCCTAAACCACCAATTAATTCCTTTTGTTCTCATTAAATGGCTGATTCCTAAACATTTCGTGGGCAACAATAGGCTGCCCAGCCAAGCCACCACCCCAGGCAGCAGCGGGTGGGGGGTGGGGGGAAGGCGTGGACTGGGGGCATGGCCTGGGGCAGGTATCCATGGGGGCTCTCTTGGCCCCCAGGCCCCTGGCATGACCACTCCAGCCAAGCGCTGTAAACTGCTCTGTAAACCCTCGGGACCCGCCAATCATAGCCCCGCCCAAAATCCAGACCCCTAACACCATTGCCCGGAAGGGTCCAGGCAGCCCAGCGGAACAAGTCCGCAGTGTGGAGCTCTGAGCACCTGGCTCCCCAGGGCCTTTCAGGCAGGCTGAGGCTCAGGGCCTGCTCTCCCTGCCGGGTGTGCTGGGCAAGCACTTGGGGAGCCCTTGATGCTTCTCAGCAGTGTTGAGCCAAGTGCCTTTGTCTGATGGAGACGTCAGGCCAGCCCACTGCTTCCTTAGATGCAGGTGCCATGGAGTCCCAGGGAGCAGAGAATGTGGAAGTGGTCCTCAGGCTTCACAGAACTGAGAGCTGGAGACCCGGCTGCCCTAGCAAGCACATCACCCCTACTCAACCCCTCCTGGAGCTCAGCTTTCTCTTCTGGAAAAGGAGGGAGTTGGGCCACCAGCAAGATGCTTATTTTGAGAGGCGCTGAGCGGTTTATTCAAGTGCAGCGTCTCACAGATGCCCAGTACAGACTGTGCATAAAAGCAGAGGTGCTCCAGCCGGAATCCTGCGCATTTTCAGTCTCCGCTTGCAAGGTTCCCTCAAAGAGGGGCACCTCAGCTCCCATAAGGGCACCTGGGTGCAGGGTGTGGGCACCTCTGGACTAGCTGTTCTCTGAGTGGGGGATCCCTGCCTTTAAGGAACCTGCCTGGGCCTCCCACCCACTCTCTCCTCTGTTCAGGGCAGCTCCATGGTTGCTGGCCCTGCCTACCGTCACCGGCATCACAGGAAGACCGAGAGAATGAGATAAGGCCCAGGAAGCCCCATGAAAAATTCCAATGAGGAATAGCCTGGCCTACACCAGGGTTTGCATCCGACTCCACCACTGCCTGGCCATTTCTTAACTTTTAGATTTCCTCATCAGTGAAATGGAAATAATACAAGCACCTCCCTCCTAGTGATGACGTGAGAATTAAGTGAGTCAATACCAAAGTGCTTGACAGAGTTCCCGGCACATGGTAATTGCTCCAATAACTGTTGGATAATAGATACTCCTTATCAGTATTAAGCGGACAATGCCTTGCCCTGCCTCCTTTCCCAGCCTCACCCCCACACCCCTTCTGAACACCCCTCCTCACTCACTCCAGCCTGCCAACCTGCATTCAGCTCCCCCTCCCCTGGCCTTCTCTAGTGAGTTCCTCATACCTGGTATGCCCTCACCCCCACATAAAGTTACCAGATTTAGCAAATAAAAATATAGGAGGCTAGGTGAATTTGTATTTCGGATAAACCACAAATAATTTCTTAGTATAAGTATGCTCCAAATACTACATGAGCTATACTTATACTAAAATTATATGTAGTTTATCTAAAATTGAAATTTAGACCGGGTGCGGTGGCTCACACCTATAATCCCAACACTTTGGGAGGCCAAGGCGGGTGGATCACCTGAGGTCAGGAGTTCGAGACCAGCCTGGGCAACACGGTGAAACCCCGTTTCTACCAAAAATACAAATATTAGCCAGGCATGGTGGTGTGCGCCTGTAGTCCCAGCTACTCAGGAGGCTGGGGCAGGAGCATCGCTTGAACCCGGGAGGCAGAGGTTGCAGTGAGCTAAGATTGCACCACTGCACTCCAGCCTGAGAGGGAGGTTCCATCAAAAAAGAAAGAAAGAAAGAAAGAAAGAAAGAAAGAAAGAAAGAAAGAAAGAAAGAAAGAAAGAAAGAAAGAAAGAAAAGAAAGAAAGAGACAGAGAGAGAGAGAGAGAAAGAGAGAGAAAGAAAGGAAGGAAGGAAGGAAGGAAGGAAGGAAGGAAGGAAGGAAGGAAGGAAGGAAAGAAAGAAGAAAGAAAGAAAGAAAAAGAAAGAAAGAAAGAAAGAGACAGAGAGAGAGAGAAAGAGAGAAAGAGAGAGAAAGAAAGAAAGGAAGGAAGGAAGGAAGGAAGGAAGGAAGGAAGGAAGGAAGGAAGGAAGAAAGAAAGAAGGAAAGAAAGAGAAAGAAAGAGAAAGAAAGAAAGAAAGAAAGAAAGAAAGGAAAGAAAGAAAGAAATTTAACTGAGCATCCTGTATTTTATCTAGCAGCCCTACCCCAAGCCCATGAGTCGGTGAACTTGTACTCATCCTTCCACACTCAAGTCAAGCATCGCCTCCTCCAGGAAGCCTTCCCTAATCTCCAGTTAATGTAGCCATCCCTTGTCAGTGCTCCTTCAACTCGCTAGGCTGGCTGACCTCAACCCAGCTCTGATCACTACTTTTCCCCATGCTCTGTGATTCATGATCCACATGCCCATCCCTCCATCTAGATTTTGAGCTCCTGGGGTGGAGTAGAGGGTGTTTTATTTGGCTGAGAGTGGGTAAGGCAACTAGTGCACCCTTCCCTAAACTTGTTTACCATGGGGCCTCCCCTCTCCTTCTTCCTCCTCAGCAGGCGCTATGCTCAGATGAGGAACTCTTTCCTGTCTCTACCACCAGACTAGGAACAACAGCAGGAGGTGGGGACTGGGACAGAGATTGCTAGTTGCCACCCATCAAGTTCATTCTCTCTTCTTCAGTAGTAACAAAGCCCTGCCTGGGACAGCATTGCGTTGTGCCTAAAGACTACATTTTCCTGGCTGTGCGTGGTGGCTCACATCTGTAATCCTAGCAGTCTGGGAGGCCGAGGCGGGTGGATTACTTCAGGTCAAGCCTTCAAGACAATCCCGGGCAACATGGTGAAACCCTGTCTCTACCAAAAATACAAAAAAATTAGCTGGGTGTGGTGGCGCATGCCTGTAATCCCAGCATTCCAGAGGCTGAGGCAGGAGAATAGCTTGAACCTGGGAAATGGAGGTTGCAGTGAGCCAAGATAACTCCACTGCACTCCAGCCTGGGCAACAGAGTGAGACTTCAAAAATAAAAATAAAAATAAAAAGCCTACATTTCCAAGCCTTCCTTGCAGCTAGGCAAAGCCAAATAAAGTGATGGCCAGTGAGATGCATATGGAGTATTGTGTGGAAATCCAGGAGGTCTGGGAGATGTTGCCTTTGTCCTTCCTCTTTCCTCTTTTCTGCTGCTGGGAATGCAGATGTGCTGACTGGAGCTCCAGCAGCCATCTTGCACCATGAGCTAATCTTGAGACTGGTAAAGCAAAAGAAGCCTGGCCTAGATTACTTTGTGGAGTCACCATTTCAGCCCTTTACTGTATAGTGTCAAGTACTGTGAAAGGTCTGAAATTTTACCCTACTTGCAAGTTAACAAGTTAACCTGCCAGAGTGTCATGCAAACTAGCAGAAGACATGAGAATCCTGGTCAGAGACAATGGACTTTATCACTCATGTTACAGCAAGTGGCATGAAGTTCATGTTCATGTCAGTTTGCATTAGTTCCTCTTGTCCCCAGGTCCCTTGGGGCAATGCAAAGCAGTCCAGGTAGATGCTGCAAATGCAGGAGGTTTAGGTCACAGCTGAGGAACCCAAGCTTGGGAAGTCCCAATCCTTTACAACAGGGCTGGTAATAAACCTTCCCCACCCTTGCCCTGAGCAAGACGTTATCTTTATCATACTGGACAGCAAGCAAATCCACCCTTTGACACAGAGAATGACACTATCTGTATGTTCTGAGCCTATAAAACATCTTTGCAAAGATGATCTGGAACAAAAGCCACCCATGGCTCTGCTTATAAGACAAATGAAAACGTGGGAGACTTATGGAGCATTGTCCCCCAGCATATGCTTCCAAACTTCTGAGTAAGACACAACCCCAGTGCATTGAAGCCATTATTATTCAATGTTATATGCAGCTGAACCTGGTGCTAAGTGATACAATAATACAGATCGTTCTTTGTTCCTCATGTCAGGTAAGCATGTGTTCTCTATGTAAAGAGGCCCTTAGAGGAAAATAGTCTGCCCCAAGTTTGTCCTCAGAAATAGAATATTTGTCTTTAACAACTGCGAAATAAAAATCAACCTCATTCATTCTGTAAAGATTAATTTTTCCCCCAAGTTGAATCATTAAAGACGTAAAACTACCGAGATGGACTTCGGGGCAGCAGAAGGAGGTGAGGATATGACTGGGCCAGCATAGTGAGCTACATTTCAGTTGGCATGGATAACCGACTCGTGGATGGAGTTTTGAGTTTATGTTGGGCTTTAAGGAAGAGTAGAAATGACTCAAGAAATCCCCATTATGACTTCCGTGGCCCCACAGACAACACTGCCCACTACTTTTCGCTTTTGTGGCAACAGCACTCTCACTTCTTTTGGGAGCTGTCCCTTCCCTTCATCCACCCACTGGTGAGGCTGCAGAGGAGACAGTGAACCAGTGCACCCATCACTGGCCACGGCACAGGGGTGGGAGATGTGACTCAAGCAGGGCCTGCAGAGCCCTTCCTAGGGACTTTTCAATTGGGAACTAAGGAAAGAGAGTCTTTTCCCCTTGTTGGCAAAACTGGAAATCTATGGCTGGGAATTATGAGCAGTCCGGTGCTCGGTCTCAGAGAGTGACACTGACATGGGTGAAAGACCCTGAGAGCCACGCTGGTGACAGCAGCTGATGGAGCCCATTGCCCCTGCTCTTTCTGTAGGTGAATCCCACAGCTCAGTCAATCTCCCCTTTTGCCTGATTGGTTTGAAGTGGATGCCAGAATTGTAACTGAGAATCCAAACTACTATCTCCAAATTGAGTCTGGTAACCTTAGACAGAGGCTGGCCTCTTATGTGCCCATTCTGTGTCAGCATTTGGGGGAAGGTAAAAAACAAACAAACAATGAAACAAAACAATCAGCCTGGCTTATCTGAATACGCACAACACCGCAGAGACGGCGCCAGTGGAGGCATGCCTCAGACCACGCCATTAACAGAGGCCCCAAAAGTTCTCAGCCCCGTCTCCATCCCACAGCACAGAACTGCTCCAGTGGAGTGAACCAGTCAGGGTGGCCTCGACTGACCTCTGCTACCTGCTGGTGTGTACACAGTCTCGACTCGAGCCCCCTCAAAGCCCGCGTGAGAAAGCAGGTGCTGCCTGCCTGCTCCATATTATTAGAATTCATTTCCATATGTTCCTTTCATCTTCTCTCCAGGATAATTGTTCTTCTGGGGCTCAGGGCGTGGGAGGGCAGGAGGTGCACACTCCTGTTTATCAACTCACTAAATGCCTGCTTTAAATTAAAACCCACACCACATGCTGGCTCACACAGGAATAATATTAAGACCAACTGTTTTCCTGCCTCCTGCTATCAATGCCAAACTGATTTAAACCCGCGTTTCCTTTCCATCTAGGGACATCCATTCTGGAAGTATCTAGCAATAACCTAGTTCCTACAGCTCCCAATCCTTTTTTTTTTTTTCTTTTCTCTTCTCTTTTTTTTTTTTTTTCTCTTTTGAAAGACCCTCCTGCACTTAAGAGGACACACAGCCTGAAAGATCCTTTTATACCCTTTACTGTCAGCCAAACCCTAGTCCAAACAGTGTGTCTGTTTAATCAGTCAACAAGCCATTATTGTACCTTCTCAGTGCCAGGCCCGGTGCTAAGTCCTTCATATACATAGTCTCATCTAATCTGATCTAATCCTCCCAATAAACCTGAGAGAGGTATTATCATCCCTTTCCAGAGGAGAAGCAGAGGTCTGGAGAGGAAGAGCGACCTGCTCAAGGTTAGGTGGCTGCGGGCGGTGGAGCTGGCAGTCCTGCCCATGCTATCTCACTTCGGAGCCCCGCCCTCTGCCCAGCGGCTGGCCACCAATCTGCTCTCCATTATCCCAGCTGCTCCTCTCACCCCACCTGTGGCCAATAGGCCGGGATCATTGCCTGTTCTGTACGCACACGGGATCCAGACTGCACTGGCAGTTACTCACCTAGAGTGATTTCATCAACAGGAAGGATTCTGCTGCTGAGGCAAAATCCACTTCAACGGCCTTCCTTTGACTGAGGTGAGCCCACTAATCCTCTGGGTTAAAACATATGATCCTGTTCTATGGTGAGTAGTTCTATGCAAACCTAGCCCCAAAGCCTAAGGAAGCTGAGAGGCCAAAGAAAGAGGCCAAGAAACCCAGGTTCTCAGAAAGAAACATTTAATAGGGACTCACGAACAACCCATGTCTTGGGTGGCTGCAAGGCGCAATGGTGGACGCCTGCACTGCTACCCCCAGACCCAGGGCTCGTATGCCATAGGGAATTTGCCTAAGGGCAGGATTTATAGTAAGTATGTGTTTATGGTAACATCAAGGTTGTTTTGATCTAAGGGCAGGATTTACAGCAACTACATGAAAGTAGAGATCTTAGAGGCTTTCCTGGAGCTGGGGTTAATCAGAAGTCAGCATGGCACATTAGCATCCAAGATGGAGTCACTTCAGCCTCCACAGGTCCTCAGACATCCCCTTTAAAATGCACCTGCTGTCAGTGTAGTCAGTGCAAAACAAACAGCCCCAACATTTAGTAGCTTCAAACAACCACCATTCTATTTCCTCATTCTTCTGTGGGCCAGTAGTTTGGGCTGGGCTCTTCTGGGCGGGTCTTCTGCTGGTCTTGTCTGGAGTCACTCATGCAGCTACACTCATCTGGCAGCTCGCCCATGGCTGCTCCTCATTGCTGCCAGGGGCTCCAAGGGAACAACAGTGGAAGCTGCAGGACCTCTTGAGGTCTGGGCTCAGAAGCTCCATGACATAACTTCCTCTGCATTCAATTGGTCAGTGCAAGTCGCAAGAGGCAGAGAAATCCACTTCACCTCTTACTGGGATAAAGGGTGTACATACCGGTATTGGGGGGAATTTGTGCCCATTTTTTTGCAAGCTGCCACACTTGGGAAGGTTGGTGAATTAAGGTGTCTCTAAAGCAGGTCTTCTCAGTCTTGGCACTGCCGACATGTTGGGACGGATGATTCAGGGGATTCCTGCTTTGGGGGACTGTCCTGTGTAATGCAGGTTTAGCAGCACCTCTGGCCTCTACTAGCTGTCAGTAGCACTGCCCCAGTGGGGACACACAAAAATGTCTCCAGACATCAGCTAATGCCTCCATGGAATGGGAGTATTGTCTCTGTTTGCTGACCATTGCTCTAAAGCAAGGGCCCCAGAGAAGTTGCTTCCCGAGCCTCTTGCAGTGGCTCCCCTTGGGCCCCATGATGGGCTCTCCTCAGTGCGGGCCAGCCGGAGGAGAGGGGGCTTTGAGAGTGAGAGGCAGGAGGTACAGTTTAGAAACACAGCCCCTGTGTTTTGCCAGCCCTACCTCAGCACAGCACTCACGGCCAGGCCAGGGCCAGGGGAGCGTGTCTTGGTCCCACCAGCCCACGGGGCAAAGGGCCCTGCTGAGGCAGGTCCAACTCTGGACTCTGCTCTCATCACCCCCAACTTCCTGCCACTCCCCAGCCCCACTGTGTGCTCCCCAAACTTCATTCAGCCACCTTTCCACGGGGCTGCCTCGCCAGCTCACACAGCAAGGCCAGGAGTGAGTCCAGCTCTGACAGCCTGGGCCTCACACTTGCCAGCTCCTGCCAGCGCTCTCCATAGGCAGTCGAGGACTCCTGAGTGGACTGACTGCTGGAACCACAGGCCTGCGGCCCACCTGGCCATGGGCAGCACCACCACCTGAGAAAACCTCGGCCTGTCTGCCGGCAAACACAGCTGGATCCACTTTCCATCCATATCCAGAATCTGACCACCTCCCACTACTCCCAGCCTGGCACCAGCCACCAGCACCTCTCACCTACATGCTCCCAGGAGCCTCCCACCTCGCCTCCATATTCTACACTTGACCCTACAGCCTAGGCTCCACCCAGTGGCTACCGGATTCTGCTAAAGCTTCAGTGTGATTGTGCTACATCTCTGCAACTCTGAAAATGGTTGCCATTTTCTCAGAGGTAAAGCCCAAATCTCTACTGTATACAACCAACGAGGCCCTGTCTGACGGGGCCTATTGCTGCTCACCCCACCTCCTATGGCTCCCGCCTCCCTCACCCTGACCAGCCACACTGCTCCTCGCTCCTCCTCCAACACGCCAGACACCCACCCACCTCAGGGCCTTGGCCTTTGCCCCTTTGTCTAGAATGTTCTTCCTCCACACGTTCACTTGCTCCCCTCTTCACTTTCTCCAGGTCTCTCCTCAAAGTCGTCATTTCAAAGAGGCTCCGTCTTAGCTCAGGCTGCTGTAATGACACACCACAGACTGGGTGGCTTAAACCACAGACGTGTATTTTCCCTAGTTCTGGAAGCTGAGAAGGCCAAGGTCAAGGCACCTGGCTTGCAGATGGCCACCTTCTTGCCGTGTCCTCACATGGTGAAGAGAGAGAGAGCTCTGGTCTCTCTTGCTCTCCTTACAGGGACACTAATCCCATCGTGGTGGGGAGGGGCACACACGTGGCCTCATCTAAATCTAATTAGCTTCGTCCCAAAGTTCCCACCTCCAGACACGATCACACTGGGGGTTAGGGCTTCAACATGTGGCTTTTAGGTGACGCACACATCCATCCTCATTTCACCCGCCCTGGCAACTCTTTTGAAAATGTCAACCCCGGACACTCATATTTCTCTTCTCTGCTTTATTCTCTCCACAGCACTCATCCACCCTAGCATATAATCCATTCTACTTTCTCTTATTTATGGTCTGTCTCCTGCACTAGAATGGAACTCCATATGGAGAGGTATTTCCTTTCTTCCATCTACTGCTCTGTCCCAGTACCTAGAACAGTGCCAGGTATATGGAAGGGGATCAATAAAAATGTGTTGAATAAACAAATGATTGATTGAATGAATAAATTAATCCTATGCAGGACAGGGACACCTGTAGAAGGTGGAACTAGCTTGAGTTCTTCAAGCCCCACTCTGCATGGCGTTCAGGTGGCTTAGAGGATCCCCTTCCAGCCTGAAGTATTTTGCCCCAGCCCCAGCCAGGCCTCCCAGAATCAGCTTCCCCCTCTCATTTCCCCTCCTCTTCCATCCTCCCCTCTCCCTCCTGCTGAGAGCCCTGATGCCTGTTCAGCTCTGCCTGCCCTGAGACAGCAGGCCTCAGTGGGGCTCCATCTGGGTGCTCTGAGCCACCCAGTACTGGGAAGAGAGAAGAAGCAAGAAGAGCCAGGCTAGGGGGTGGGGGCAATGCTGCAGATCAAAGGCTGGGAACAGAGGACTCATCACCACAAGGCCAAGGCAAGGGCTGGACCCACTGTAGCATCTCCAGACTTATTTTCACAGGTGCAAACATGCCCATAACACACCCCACCAAGCATCGGCTCTTGCCTCCCTCTCCGGGGGCTCCCACTCCTTTAGTAGCATGAGAAGTGCTCAGGGTGCCAGTCGCCCAGGCCCAGGCAAGACAACAGGAGCCTCACAGTCTCAGCCCTTCCTGGGTGTAAGTCTCCCCCATTTGATGGGCAGAGCAACTGACACTTAGAGGGACTCTGGCTTCTGGACCATGTGCTCATCTGCCCTATCTGAACATTGCCACACAAGCATTGATTTACTTTTGAAATCAGAAGGAAAACTAGTTAAATATTACAGATCCAATAAATGATTCTTGGATAAAAGAATAACCCAGTTTTTTGGCTGGGCACAGTGGCTCAAACCTGTAATCCCAGCACTTTGGGAGGCTGAGGTGGGCAGATCGTTTGAGGTCAGGAGTTTGGGACAAGCCTGGACAACATAGCAAAACCCTATCTCTAGAAAAAACACAAAAAATTAGCCAGGCATGGCAGCAGATGTCTGTAGTCCAAGCTATTCAGGAGACTGAGGTGGGAGGATGGCTTGAGCTCAGGAGGCAGAGGTTGCACTGAACAGAGATCACACCACTGCACTCCAGCCTGGGTGACAGAGTGAGACCCTGTCTCAAGAAAGAAAAAAAAGAATAACCCAGTTTTATAAGCAGAAGAAAGAGAGACAGACAGACAGGAAGAGAGCAAGAGATAGAGGAAAGAAGGAAGGGAGGGAAGAAAGAGAGAGAGGGAGGGAGGAAGAGGAAGGGAGGAAGGCAAGAAGGGAGTGAGGAAAGAAGGGAGGGAGAAAGAGGGAAGATGGGCTTTCATTTTCCCACAAGAGAATGGATACTTCCCACCCTTAACACTGATCACATATGAACACTGAAAATGATTACTTCTTCTGGTACTGCTGTGTTCATACAAATTAATTCAACAGAACAAAAATGTATGAAGGTGATCATGTTCACCAACCTCCCCCACCCCCACCCAATCTCCCAGGGAAAATTTCTTCATCTCCATTCAGTTATCCCTTTTTCCCGCTGGGAGAGGGAGAGAACTAATCTGTACATAATATAAGGCTGAGAGAGAGGGAAGAGGAAGAAGAGGAAAGAAGGCCACCTGGCTTGGGGGAAGAGGGAGGTTTAGGGGATTTGAGGGAAGGGGGTTAATACTTGTAGCTGTGGACTGTGTATTTGAATCCCTTTTAACATCCTTTGAAAAATTTTAAGTAAAACATACGTTTTTAAAAAAATTACTTGGGATTGTGTAACTCTGCCTCTTACGTGTCACACTCACTGAGGCTCATAACAGCTACCTAGGTATTTAAACAGCGCCTTCCTATTGACCAAAGGCTTTGCATAATCACTTCACAGCCACAGCAAACAGTGAAGCAGAGGGTATCTTTACTCCCATTTTTCAGGTCAGGAAACTGAGCTTCAGAGCAGGACAACTAGAATCAGACGGTTAAACAAGAATAAGAGGTAAACCTGGGCTATGATGCAAAGTCCCACTGCCTCCCATGTCCCACACTGCCTCCCTGTAACCTGTGCCCTTAGAGAAGTGGCTCTTGGTGGTAGGCACATCAGAGCCACCCGGGGAGTCTGCAGAAATGCATATTTCCTGCTTCTTCCCCCTGGAGATCCCAATTCAGCATGTCTGAGGGAGGGCCTGGGAAACTGAATTTTTATCGATTAAAAATCTAATGTTGATTGGCCCATGGATCAAACTTCAAGAACCACTGGGATAAGGTGTGAGGATAATATGTCCTCTATAATGGGCCAGGTCACTCCTCTGATGGTGAGAGGTGAATTCACACAGAAAGGGTCAGTGTGGAGCCCTCTGGGGGCAGGCAGGGCTGGTGGTCTGCATGGAGAGTGTGGGTCATTCACTGTGCCCAGACCACTGCCTGTCCAGGGAGCTCAGGGCAAAGGGCAGGCCCCAGGACACCATTTGAACAGGGGATAGGGGCTTGTGGTGTGAGGAGAGATTGAGACCATCAAGATGTCACACAGATGCGTCAGGAGCACAGGGATACAGGCCTGGGGACTGGGAAGGGGAGGGAGCAGAGCCAAGTTTCAGCGGACATGGTGGTCATGCCTTTGGGCCTGAGGTTGTTGTTTTTAGAGGGCCCACGCGTGGACCCACCAACCACTTCTACTCTCAGTTCCCTCTTGGTTCTTGCAAGAGTTTAGTAAAGTTCCTTTTGACAATTCGTTTTATCAATTTCCCTGGGAGGCACCATCACAAGGGCATTTAATTGAATTAAATAATCAGTGGCTATGTGGGAAAGTGTCAATTTGCTCACCCACTACATATTCCCACCTCTTCCTCTGAGCAGCTCTTCCTGGAGAGCTACAACCTGCGCACAGACTCCCTTGCAGCTAGGGTTCCACATTGATTTGGGTTCTGCCAATAGATGGACTCACATGAAACTGAAATTCAGAACTGAGCCAAAAGGGAAGAGAGGCAGCATGAAGCTTCCACCTTGTTGCAGAGGAATAAGATTCTAGAACATGCAGCTGTGGAAGTAACAGCATTGGGAGGTGGGGCCTAAAAAGAGGTGATTCAGTCTGAATGCAAGTTTCATATGAATGGATAGATGTTGTTATGGTGGGAGTGAGCTAGTCATCACCAGAGTGGTCTTGTTATAAAAGCAAGTTGGGCTCCTTCTTGCTCGCTCTCGTGCTCTCTTGCCCTTCTGCCTTCTGAAATAGGATGATGCAGCAAGAAGGCCCTTGCCAAATGCAGGCCCCTCAACCTTGGACCTCCCAGCCTCCAGAACTGTAAGAAATAAATTTCTGTTCTTTATAAATCACACAGTCTCAGGTATTCTGTTATAGCAGCACAAAACAAACTAAGACACTTTGGGAGGCCGAGGCAGGCAGATCACTTGAGGTCAGGAGTTCAAGACCAGCCTGGCCAACATGGCCAAACCATGTCTCTGCTAAAAATACAAAAATTAGCTTGGTGTGCTGGCAGGTGCCTGTAGTCCCAGCTACTCGGGAGGCTGAGGCAGGAGAATCACTTGAACATGGGAGGCAGAGGTTGCAGTGAGCCAAGATCGCGCCTCTGCACTCCAGCCTGGGTGACAGAGTAAGACTGTCTCAAAAACAAACAAACAAACAAACAAACAAACAAAAACAGACTAAGACAGGAACATTCTCAGTGGCTTGCCTCTTAAGAGTCACTCCCAGAAGCTCAGACTAATGCTCTTTTCTCCAGACTTCCCTGTAACTCTGAAAGCCATTGAATACTCTGTGATGAACCCCTTTCTGCATACATAACCAAAGTGGATTCAGTTCTTAGCAGCTGCATCCTTCCTGACTCAGTCATTTAATGACAGTGTCTCCATGAGGGCAGAGGCCACAGCTCTCTTGTCCACCATTGCACCCCCAGTCACTATCTGGAGCCTGGCACATAGTAAATGTCCAAGAAACATTTGAGACATATTGCCTAGGCGAATGAATTCCCAGACTACTTTAGTGCTGCAGAGAGAAATCTGGAGAAAAAGGCTGCTTCTACTCTGGGTCAGGAGACAACCCTCTGGGCTGGAGGGGGCAGCTTGGCAGCCAGCCCTTCCCACCTGCTATTTTATGTTTTGGGCTTTTTTTTTTTTCCTCCTACACACCCAGTAGTAGTGAGCTCGGGGTTGTGGAAAAGGAGAGCAACCAGCTGCCCCTCTGTGCCTGGCCCCTGCTCCTCTGGCCATCCATGAGTGATGGTTTGAAGTATGTTTGATTTCACCTCACCTAAGTTTCCCTTCACACAGTGAGTCCTTTGGGACCCCCATCACCTCACAACAAAACAAACCCAACCAGGGTGCAAATTAGTTCTACTGATTTGCAATTAGAAGAATCAATTAAGAAAAATATTACAACAGTTTCTAATCCCTGCCGTACAAATCACTCCACCTGAAAGCTCCGGAGTGGTCAGGTCCCTGGGCTTCAGAACTGCCCCGTCTCCCCCTATAGCCATTGTACTCAGAGAACACCGAGGATAGGAGAAAGGAGCTGGGGCCTGAGAGGGTGCAAGCTCCCTTCTGGGCCAGCCTCCAGGCCCACCTCCTCTGGTCCCATGAAGAATGATAACACAGTATCAGCCCAACTCACCATTCTCACTCCCACCCGCTAAGGCATGACCCCAGCCCTCAAAGAGGTCCCCAAGTGTTTCTGAGCATCTCCAAAAGGAATCTCACAGGTACTCATGAACAAGCCCTGTTGGGACCCACAGCAAACCCCTGGTCCAGGTTTTGGTAAGGACTCTTCTTTCTCCCTGCCCTGGCCCTGGGCCCTGGAGCAGCTCTGTTGGGCTGTTTGTGTGTGGAGGGAAATGAGGGCTCCACTTCCAGAGGGCTCTGAAGCAGAACTGCTAGGCACCAGGGTTGATCTGGATTTACTTATCGTGGGCCTTGCCGTTTACCCCAATGGGGCCAGCCATGAGTCCCTGGGAATGGGGCTAAGAGGGAAACCAAGTGACAGGTTCTAGAACATTTGGAATGCCCATTTCCTTACAAAAGCTAACACTTGGGTATTTACTGGGTGAGGACCCTTGCACAAGATTCTCCCAGGAGGTACTTCTGCCCGCCCTGCACATGCATTTCATGTCTGCTTCGCCTGCTCATCATTGCCACATCCTGACCCTCATGGTTGACACAATTTAGGTTCTAATTACAGCCCTTAAAAGAATAACACCAGCACTTACATTTGCTCAGAACTTTACCATTTAAAGAAGACTCCTACCTGCGTAGGTTCTACAGAGATACTGTTGGCCGCATATAACAGAAAACCTGACTCAGATTGGCTGAACAGTCATGCAAATGTATTCTCCTCCTTCAGAAGAGGTTGGGGATGAGGTGAGCAGCTCCAGCTGTAGTTAATTCAGCATCTCCACAATGCCATCGAGGACCCAGGCACTCTCGGTTCTTTCTCCCTGCCATCCCCTGCACGTTGGCATTGGTCCTCAGGTACATCCCTTCGTGCTTGTGAGAAGCTTGTGAGACACCACCGCAGCTCCCAGCATCACACTGTCACATAGCAGTGTCCAGAAGCAGGAAGCAAGATGTCCCTTCTTGATGTAACTTTTTAGAAGCAAGAGGCACTTTTCCAGAAGCCCCAGTAGGCTCTCTGCCTTCTGGCCAGAATGGCATCCTGTAGCCTCTCCTGACCCACCACTGGCTGGCTTGGACTGAGCACCTTTTACTCTCTAGGCTGGAGAGGAGTCCTGCACTGTCCTGCAGGACCTGGCACCCCAGCCTGGGTTCTGCTAGCAAGAAGGGAGCAGAGGGGATGGCTACTTGGATTGGCAATGTCTGCCTCTGGCCTCAAAAGTGCCTCCGGGAGGTAGGGCACAGGCTTGTACTAATTTCCGGTGGGAAGCTGCCAAGAGGGTGGGTGTCTAGCCCAAGGTCACACAGCTACAGCAGAGCAGGGTCAGCTCTTGACCTCTGACTGGATCTCCTGCTCTATCCTAATATGTCCTTCTGGTAATATGTCCTAGGGCACACAGCCAGGGCAAGGAAGCAAGGCCCCAGCCCTGCCACCAGGGGTAGGGCCCCCAAAGCAGGGTGGGGAATGACCATGCTCCTCCCAGACACCCCTGACAGGTGGAGAAATCCTTTCTAAGAAACACAGACATTACTTTGTTAATAAAATTCTGCCAATCAGCCATAGGTGCATGCCACACCCTCCTTGCATTTATGCCCCACCCTCCTTGCATTTATGCCCCACCCTCCTTGCATTTATGCCCCACCCTCCCTGCATCCATGCCCCACCCTCCCTGCATCCATGCCCCACCCTCCCTGCATCCATGCCCCACCCTCCCAGCATCCATGCCCCACCTCCCTGCGTCCATGCCCCACCTCCCTGCGTCCATGCCCCACCTCCCTGCGTCCATGCCCCACCTCCCTGCATCCATGCCCCACCTCCCTGCATCCATGCCCCACCTCCCTGCATCCATGCCCCACCTGCACTGGCCTGGAATCCTTTTCAGCTCTGGCTGCAGCAAGCAGGACAGTGTAAATTTTCCCCCGTTACATTAACATCCGACCAAGCAGTCATTAAGAGAGTCACAATCAGTTTTTCCAGAATGATTGCTATTGCACACGGAACTTAATGGAATCACATGGTCATTTGAAAAGAAAGATGCGGGGAGGGGTGGTGGTAGCAAAAGGAGGAAGGTTGCCCCTCCCGTGGCGATTGCCAAGCGCCGGATGGGATCTCATGGTATTCTGACTGGTTAATCACCCAGCAGAATGGGGACTGAGGCTTATTAGGCAAATGAAACATGATGGATGTTGTATTTCAACAGTGGAATTGGGAGGGAAGGCAGGCAGGGCCTTGCAGCGAATGCTGGGTAAGCATGGTCAGGAGGAGCCAGGTTCTGGCATGTGGGCAAGTGGGGAAGGCCCCTGGGGGACCCCAACATGTAGGAAAAACAGGTTCAAGGGGCTGTTTGAAGCAGGAATTGCAGGCTCAACTGACAACAGAAACAGCTTTCTTTTATTAAACTGGAAACCTGTCCAAAGTTACCTTGTGCCCACTGAGACCATGTCTCCAGAAGGCAAGAGCTAAAGCAGATTGGGGCCAGCACACACTTTCTGTGTCTCCAGGGAAGCCCCTTATGGGGCTCTTTACTCTGCAGAAGGGAGCACCTGCTGGAGGTGCATGGCAGAAGGAAGGGCAGCTGTGGGCTGCAGTGAGCTGGGTGGACAAGGGGCACGGGTGCTGTGGCCATGGTCTCTTTCGTCTCGCTCTCCCTGGAGCCTAGGAGGAAGCTATGACTCCAAGGCCTTGCAGAGAGGAGGCTCAACTGTAGCTTGCAAGATCCTGTTCTGGGCACTGGGAATTTCCTCATAGGTGGCTGGAGGAGCACATTTTCCCAGGGTTTGGGAGAAGGTGGCAGGAAGTCCCCGGGGAAAAGAAGCTGGTCAATTCAGCTCCAGCTGTCCTTGAGTGCTACAGGCCCCGGGTCCCCTCACCAAATCTGCCCCCAAGACCCTGCCAAGTACAGTGGCTATATGAGGTAGAATTGTTATTACCCTCATCCACAGGGATGATGAAATGCAGGCTCAAGCAGGTCAGGGACTGGCTTAGGGTCCGGTTGCAAGTGAGCTTGGGCAGAGCCAGAAACGGACCCAACTAAGCTTGACTCCATCTTGGGCACAGATGGCAGGGCACCTTAGGAGGCTCCTAGGGGAACAGTTCTCATTGAGTTCACCTTTTTTTCTCCAAGTCTCCTTGGGGAGCTGATTGCCCATCCAAGAGGATTCCATGTCTTTTGCTCATGGATGCTGTTGTTCATTCGATGGACCTTCACTGGGCAAGGGGGTGTGTTCAGCTCTCTGAGGGACAGCACTGAACCAGACACAGGCTCTCGGGAGCCTTGGGAATCTGACCACCTAGGAGGCCTGCAGAGGGGAACACCATCAGGTCTGCAGTCAGAGGTCAGGACTTGAGTCTGGGCCCTGCTGTGTACCTGCCATGGCATCCAGGACATGTTCTTTAACTTCTCCAAGCCTAAGTTTCTCTGTCTGTACAATGAGAATAAAGGGCATTTACTTTTCAGGATTATTGAAAGAATTGAAAGAGAGAGCTCAGGGCAATAATACCTTATTCAAACTCCTTGAGGCCGGGAGTGTTTCAAGATTTAGAATACTTTTTGGATTTCAGAAATGGAATATGGTGGATATGCCACAATTTTGTCACCCCAGCATGATCTGGGACAGTGTCCTGTAATCAAACTCACTAACACTTCTGCAGGGAAACTAATGAATATTCACAGTCCATGGGATAAATAAAGACTTAAAATAGTTGCCAAATGAATTTTCAAAAAGCTTTCTGTGTTCAGAGTGTTTGGGATTTCAGGATTGTGGATAAAGGCTCTGGCTAGTAATGATAATGGTAGTGACTATTTGCTGAGCATTTACTGATTTACATGCATTTACTCACTGAATCCTCACAGCAACTCCACGAGAGCAGGGGCTGTCATTATCCCTGTTTCGTAGCAGAGGCTGAGGGCCTAGAGAGGTTAATTCACTTGCCTATAATCACACAGTTGCTCAGTAGCAGAGCTGAGATTGGACCCAGGCAGTCAGGCTTCAGCATCTGTGTCTTTGTTCAGGTTAGCAATTCAGGAAGATGGTGGGGCTGCTGGCAGGACCTCAGACGGCACCTAGCTAGCCTTCCTGATGCGACAGAGTGTGATGAGGAAGTGTGACTCTCCAGGTCCCCTGCCTTCTTTGCACCAGGGCCTGGGAATAGAGCCATGTTCCTAGGCTCCCAATCTAGTGTGCTATTACACACACACACACACACACACACACACAACCTCTCAGCCTCCACCTCCCCAGCACTACCAGAAGCCAGAAAAACATGTTTGGCCAGACTGAGGTGCTGGGAAGGAGAGCATGACATTCACAGCACTCAGCCTCCTTCTGCCTCTTCTTCCCCCTGAGTGACACCCCCTCCTCTCCTGAGGCCCTCAGCACCCTCCTTCTGAGCAAGGGGGCAGTAGCTTCAAGGGGATGTCCCTGTGCAGTAGAGCCCTCTTGGGTTGCACTTGATCATAAATACACAGATTGAGGCTAGGGAAGGCCCCAGAACACTAGACTTGGAGTCAGATAGGTCTGGATTTCAATGCCTGCTTCTTTTCTCATGGGGCAAATGGTCTTCAACCAGTGATTCCAGCTCCCTGAGGCCAGCAAAGTAACAGTTACTATCAAGTACTTGATAGTTAACATAAGGCCTGATGGGTTCCCAAGGACAGCTTCCCTCCAGACTCCAGGGAGAGCGAGGCTGGCTGGCCTAGACCAGGGCTGCAGCTCCTGTGGCTCCCGCAGTTCACGGCAGCCCACTGCCCTCCCTCCTGAACAGATGAGCACCCCCGGCATGGCCGGGCTCCCTTCTATGGAGGAAATAGCTCCATGAGGAAGGGCTCCCTGGGGAAACAGAAGTGTGTGGTGTCCCCGGACTGCTTTAAGTCTTGCCATGTGGAGACATGGATGTGATGGGCACTGTCATTTTCCTCATCCGCAAGCTTTTATCGCGGGACCTCTCAGGCAACTGACCAATTGGTGCTCCCCAGAAAGCTGAGCGGCTGGGCCTTGGGGCCACCCCACCCACATTCTCTCATGTGATGGGGGGCACTCAGGGCGTGAAGCCCTGGGAAGTGGGGTTCTAGTCTTCCGTCTGTCAAGAGAAAGATCACTCCCAGGCAGGATGATGTGGCTCATGGCACAGATTCATGAGTCAGGAACCTGAGTCTGAACTTTAATCCCACCGTTTCTAGCTTTGCGACCCTGTTTATCTCTCTGAAACTTCATTTCTTCATCTATAAAATGGGGATGATAATACCTGTTACTTCAAAGGGCTGTTGTGAGGATTAAACAAGGTAGTTAGTTCAAACAAGGATTAGCTGAGCCCCTGGCTCAGCTAAGTGCTTTCAGGGGAGTCCTGAGCAGACAGACATGGCCCTGGCCTCACAGGCCTTACAGTCTCGTAGGTGAGTTGATGATCAAAGTGGAAAATAAAACAAAATATGAGGTCTTGGCTTAAAAAATAGTTCTTATCATCCTCCTTTGAGTGTGGCTATGCTTAGTTAACATGAATGTATTAAAGCATTACCATGTATCAGTATTTATTATTTATTTGTGGGCTACTAAGAGACTTATGTAAATAGAGAGATTTTATGTAAATAAACATAATGCATATGTATAGATGCATAGCCTCAGTGGACCCTCGTAAAGATTCTATGTAGCGGGTATTTTCCCCATTCCTCAGGTAAAGAGAGCAAGGCTTAGGGAGGTGAAGCGATTCTCCCATGGCTCCACAGCAAGGAAGGGGTGGAAGAGAGACTTGAACCTGAGTTAGTGTGCCCCAAGGACCCGTGTTCTTATTCACAGGGTGACCACCTCCCTGTTAGCTCAGAGGCCATGGGGTATGTGAAATGGCTTCTTGCAAATTACAAGGGCCAGGCAAGTATAAGGGATTATTATGGCTCCATTCCCTGCATCACATCTGGTCCCTTGAACATGGGCAACTAAGCCCAGGATGGGAGCCAGGGAGACAAGGACATGGGGATTCCAGAGAAGGAATTGGCTCCCCTTGCCATTTGGGGGACACTTGGTGAGTGGAGGTGGCATCCCCCTGGTTAATGCTTCTTTGGGGTTTCTTGGAGCTGCTCAGCCCAAAGGGAAACATCTCTGGAGAGCTTATATTGTCCTTGGGAGGGCCGTTAGCTGGTCACTGTCTCCACTGTGCAAAGCCAGCTCCATTCTAGAGAATCCCCTAAGCCCTGGATCTGCCAGCTGGGAGGCCTGGGCTTTAGTGACAGACATGCTTGGTCCTGAATCCCAGCTCAGTGTTTCCTAATTGTGTGACCTCAGGCAAGCCATCCAAACTCTCAGAGGCTCCACTTCCTTATCTGCAAGGTAGGGAAAAAGTCCTGTCTGCAGAGCTGTCTTCAGAATTGAAGAGAACATCTGCAAAGCACCCAGGACGGTGCTGGCACAGAGTTGACCCTCCGTAGATGGTACGAGATGAAGAAGAGGGGCCCGGTGGGCAGAGAGATGTCATGGCTGGTAATGCCAGTCTGTGCTGCAAGAAGCAGGGATGACATTGAATCCAGCCAATTAGGAGAATTTCTCATAAAAATTTAATTCTTCAGTAAAATAATAGTGTAAAATGAAATAGGTGAAGCATTTTTAAACTGTAAATTAATGATCTATAGTTATAGCCATAATAATAATAATAGCTACCAATTACAGAATACGGAAGGCCAAATCTGGGCCAGGAGCTAAACACGTTGCAGGCTCCCCGCTTTCTGAGATAAAGATGCTTTGCTGCATTTCGCAGGCCAGGAGACCGGGGTTCAGCAAGGCCAGTGGTGTGCCCAGCACCCTGCAGACACTGGGTAGCAAAACTATAGCTTCTCACTCCTGTGTCATCCTCTGTCCTGTGTTCAGGCCTTTTCAAATACACTTAGAGCAAATGTAAAGAAAAAACGGAACGAGAGCCACCTCTCTTTCAGTGTATGTGTCTCCAATTCAAGGTTAAATGGAATTTAATCTTCCCTCTCCAGACTTCTGTTTCCTGGTGCCAGCTCTGCTTCCAGGCCAGGAACACCTTATGAGCCAGGCATACCCTCGGGCCCCTGCCTGCAGCCCTTTGAGAAAGGCAGTTAAAGCCCCCCAGGTTTTTCTCCTGCATCTTTGTGTGGTGAGAAACTGATAATCCAGACTTCACATCGGTTCCCCTCAAGACTTTCCTGTCTTCAGAGACAGTCTGCTCTCAGGGGACCCTTTGGAACCTTCTCTAAAGTCACCCCCACTGCTACTGACTCCTCTTCAGGGTTAGAAACAGACAAGATGCTGCTGTCTGGAGTGTAGTTGAATTCGTGAGCACTGGAGTCAGGCTACCAGGTTCAAACCCTGACTTGGCAGTTACTGTGTGGCCTTGGGAGAGGCACTCAACCTCTCATTTATAAAATGAGGTTGATAATAATATCACCTACCTTCTAGGATTTTTGTGACATTAAACAAATTAACACATGCAAACACTTAGAGCACTGTCTAGCACCTTGTAAGTACTCAAGAGCTATTAGCTACTATCATTATTTTCTATGCCCTAAATGTTCATTTCCTATCCATGGCCATAATGATTTCTGCTCAATAACAAAGATAAGAAGCAGGATAGCTCTCATTTAGAAAGTTGTACACAGCAATAAACTCTTCCAGTGCACCAGCTCCTCAAAGTGCAAAGCACAGTGAATGGCACATAGTAGGTGCTCAGTAAATGTCAAGATCCCTAAGCACGCAGATCACCCAAATTACTTTTTTACTCAGTTAACTTTTAACCCCTCTTTGTTTTTTAAGCATATATATGCCTTATATATATATATACAGGGTCTCTAATATATATCTAATATGTTGCCCAGGCTGATCTCGAATTCCTAGGCTCAAGTGACTCTCTCCTACCTCAACCTCCCAAAATGCTGGGATTACAGGCTTGAGTCACCTTTCCCAGACTAACTGTAATTCAAATTGCCCTCAACAGTGTGTTTCTTAAAGAAAACAATTTTTTTTTCTGTGTGTTTTAAAATGGACCGAATCATTTTACAGGTCACTCAATGATGGACTGCCATCTTCCAGGGTTGCCTTTCTTTGTGAACCTCCCGTTGCCTTTATTCCAAACCTCAAGGCTCACATGCCCCATATCCAGCCAGCCCCCAAATCCTGTTGATTTTCCTTAAATGGCCCTCTTTCCCAGGCCTTGCTCATGGCTTCTGTTCAGCATTTTTGTTACTCCTGAACTGTGACAGTTCCCTCTAGATCCTCCCCTTCCCAGTCAATCCCATGTCATAAATCTCCCCTTTCTAGGGATCCATCATGGGCCGCCCCTGTGCTGCCCCACCCTGTTCCTAGCCCTGTCAGGCTATCTTTCCGACACAACCTTATTCTGGGCAGCTTTTCTTGCTTGCCCAGCTCATTTGAAAACTCTTGAAGGAGACATCACATTTTAGGTGCCGCATGGATTTTCCAGTACATTCACATCTAACATAGAGTGAGCACAAAAAGAGGCCTGCAACACACACTTCCCAGTGACCAGTGGAGTGGTTAGAGCCATGCTTTCAAATCCAGTTGAGCTGGCCCTGTTTGTAGTTTGAGAAATATTCTGGGGCCCGATTTGCCAGTCTGAGTAACTAGGTGTGGCACCAAGTGTCGGCAGCTAATTGCTTTTAACCATTATTAATAGGTCTGCACTAATTATCTCTTGCACATAGGCAAGATTTTACAGATGAGAGAGGGAGGGAGAGGAGGAGTAAAGGGATGTGCCCAAGGCTACGAGGTGAGTGGATTGTCAGCATGGGGGCTAGAACCCAGGGATTTGCAGTCCTAGGTCAGGGGGTGCCTCCAGGTAGGGGTGGGGTGGAGAGGGGTGGTTTTGGGGGCTGCAGGGCTGGGACCGGGGAGAACAGCTCTGCGCAGGTTGGTGAAGCTACCGTCTTGCCTTCCCCCTCCCCCCACTCCCAGAATGCAATCTACCGAAACCTCTTATTAAAAGTATCCTGGGGGTGATAAAAGTGTCACTAGAGATTTGCTCATTTTCTAAACTGTCATTAAAAAGAAATTTATGGTCAGGGGAAATATAGGCAGTGGAGGGTGGAGTGTGGGCAGGGAGAGAGGGAGGATGATTTCAAATCAGTCCCTTAATAAATTAAAGATGCTCACTTGCAAGAGGGGCTTGGAAAAGGAAATTGCTAGAAACTCATGGCTTTCTCCATTCCAGCTGGCCGGTGTCCTCCTCCTGCACTCTTCCTCTCAACTACACTCCCATTCACACCCACCCCTCCCCTCCTGACAAATCCACAGGGCAAATGCTTCCTCCCTGCGGGCCCACCCCATCCCGTCCTCCTCCAGGAAGGCCTCCAGTTCCCCTCCCTGAGGCTTCCACAGCCCCACTGTCTGAATATTAGATAGACTATGTCTCACCCCCACTATACTGTAAGATCTTTGAAGGTAGGAGTCTTGCCTCGAACTATTGCATGAATCTTAATCAAGGGAGGTGGAGGTGATCTCATTCCCTTAAATTATTAGGAAATGTTAACCGAGAAAAGGGAATGAAGAACCCAAGGAGTTCAGACCTCATTTCACACACGAGGAGCCTGAAGCTCGGAGGGGAAATGGAACTCACCTCAGGTCACAGGGGAGCTGTGAGAACCCGCCTCTCCTGGGGTCCAGCAGTGTGCCCAAGAGCTTACACTCAGAGTCCAACTGTGCCCTCCCCACTCACTGGCTTGGGGAACCTTGAGAAAGTCACCAAGCCTCCTGTGCCTTGGGCACCAGAGTTGTTGTGGGTATCAGCTGTGACGCTGTTCGTGCTTTGCTCAGTGATATTTTTATTTTGCATCACTTTGTCATTGGCATCATGATGGCAGGAAGGAAGGCAGGGAAGCTCGAAGCTGTCAGGGCTTCAGTCTTTTGCCTGGACCCTCTTCACCTGCTCAGCAATTGTCCAAGCATCCACTAAGTGCCAAGTCCTGGGCTAGGCTTGGGAGATACAGAGACCAGCAGGCATGGCCCCAGCCCTAGACACACTTCAGTCTGGTGGGGAAACTACTGCTGCGAATGTGGGGGTCCCCGATGGCCTGGCTCTCACTCCTTCTGGGTGGGTTGTGGGTTCACATTTCTCCCCCCACTGGACTTTGAGTAGCCCTGCCTCTGGCTTTGGCCAAGCAGGACCAGCCCAGAAGGAGGCCTCTGGGGAAAGGAAGAGGGTGTGCCTGGCAGGGGTGGGAACAAGGGTGTGGGGAGCTCAGCAGGTGCTGACCACTGAGAAAGGGAAGTGAGAGAGCAGGTTCAGGCCAGGTTGCAGGCTGGGCCCGTGGGGATGAGGCTCTTAGGTCTGAGCCAGGCCAGCAAGGTGGAATAACCCCGCCTCCGCCTAATGCAGATGCTCAACTCTTGCCCTGAGTGAGGTTCAGGAAGAGAGGCTGGAGGCAGGGGGCAGTCCATAACAAAAGGCTGAGAGCTGAGCCTGCCTCAGACCTGCTCTGCTAGCTCCACAAGCTTCCTGCCTGGGCCTCCTTCCCCGGTCGGCTGGGCACGACGCTGTCCTCTGCTTCCTACCCTCCGAACTGAGGATCAGCTGAAGGCAGTCAAGGAATGAGCACTCTCTGAATGAAAAGAGCACATTTCAGAACCTCATGGAAGCCTTTTAGTGCACATGCCATGAGGCCTGGGTGGGGAGGGGAGGGAAGAGGAAAGGGAAGAGGATTTGACATCGAGATGGAAAGAGGGAACACAGAACTTCTGTGCACGGCATTTAGAACACAAACACTGCATCACTGAACCATGAGGCTGCAATGCAGACAAAAGAAGCCTGGAGAAATCCCAGTGGGTTTCTTGGAGGAGGGGAAGGCTGGTTTGGGCTTCACAAGTTTGGTGCACACAGGGAGAGGGGAGAAAGTAAGGCACAGGCCACAGCGGGAGGGCTTGGGACCATGGGGGCCCTGCAGGTCTGGCCAGGCCATGAGCAGAGTAGGGGGTGGGAGGCTTCCAGTCTCTAAGGGGCCTGAGGACCCAGGTCCCCGCAGCCCTCCTGACCCCCAGGGGGCCCCTCCAGCCTGTTTGGTGGGTTGTTTGCCAGCCTCTGCCTGGGAGCCTCGGCCTTCCATCTAGACATCAGGCCAGCCTCCACGTGGAGGCAAAGGACGGCAGATCAAGGATGGGCTGACGGGCAGGGGGTGTGATCAGTGGAAAGTTCTGCCTGCACAACAGCACACTGATGCCTCCGGGGCCAGCCTTGTCCTGCGCTCAGGATTTCTCCCAGCCTGGCTTGGCCTCTGCTTTACTCCGACACTATTTTTATGCCTCGATACCTCACTTTGCATCTGTGGCTCTCTGTTTTGCTTTCTCTCTCTCTCTCTCTCTCTCTCTCTCTCTCTCTGTCTCTCTTCTCTGCCTCGTTCTGAACATCTCTGTCTGGCTCGCTGTGTCTTGCTTTCCCTGTGTGTCTCTCTCCATCTCTGTCCCTCTCTCTCTCTCTCCCTCTCAGGACTCCCTGACCCGTTCTGTGTGACTCTGTCCATCTGTGACCTGCCCTCTGTTACCACAGCACTAGCTGACAGATGCTGAGAGTCTAGGCTGGAGAAGTTTTTCGGGTTCCAGGCAGGCGTCCTGGAGACTTCAGCCTGCAGGGAGTGCGGCTCCTTTTGCTTTAATCTGGGGGGAATCTGACATTGGTTTCTTTGACCTCCTCTGCCTTTGATCTTTATCTTTGAAACCCTGTGTTGTTAGAATGCGATTGACTTCAGATGTTCTCATCCTCCCCAGAAAGCTGAGGGAACGCAGGGCAGGGGTCTGGCTGGGTGATCCCCCAACATCACATGGGCAAAGATCCTTCAAGGGCTCTGGGCTTCAGGCTGGACACCTCCAGCAGGCTGAGAGGCTGTTTGTGAAGCCTGCAAGCTCTCATACAGTGGAGGGCCATGTGGTACATGGGAACACCCGGGGCTTCAGGAAACAGACCTTCCTGGGTTCTAACCCCAGCCCTGCCATTGCTGCCTGAGTGACTCGGGACAGGTCGTAACTCTGAGTTTCTGTTTTCTCTTCTGGGGTTTCCATTTTCTCACCTCATGGGGGTAAAACTGAGCATGAGAACTTGATGCACTGATACGTGAAAGTGCCTCATGGATTACTTAGTATGTAGCTAGTGCTCAAAAATGTTCCATTTCCTCTGCCTTCCTCTTCCCTCTCTCCAAGACTTCATTCAAGTCCAGGCTTCGCTGGAGCAATAGAACATCCCTATAATAATTACAGGGCCTTGCTCATCATCCCTGCTTTGCAGGGCACAGAGACATTGATAGATACACCACTCTCACCCCACACCTTGTGCATGACCAGCATGTGGCTATTTTTACAGCATCTCCAGGGCTTATCAGCCCTCCAGCTCTCCACCCGCATTCATTCACTGAGGCGTCAGGTCATAGCAGGACCCAGAGAGTGTAAATGACAAGCACAAAACCAACAATAACAATAAAGTAACCGACTTATACAGCGCTCTTGTGCCTGCAAAGTCTTCCTTCAGACAGACTTTGTTGCTTTTCATGAGACTCCCCAAGAGGTTACAGATAAGAGGCCAGACCCACCAACAGTGACCTAGCAAGTCAGGGACAGAGCTAGGACTCAACCCCTGGTCTTCTGACTCTCAGACTAGCCTACCGTGTGTCACCAGCAGGCTTCAAGCACAGCTTTTAGAGACTGCAACTCAGCTGGTGTGTGCTGGGGCCTGTGAATCTGCATTTTAGTAAGCTCTCAAGAATTCTCATGCAGGTGGTCTCCTCCAATCTGAGAAACATCCCTCCCCAACACGTGGATGAAAGAAAGTGATTCTTGCTCAGTTCTCTCCCTAAAGTGGCAGTAGAGGTTTGGCTGGTGGTGATGGAACTCTGCCCCTTGCTGTGGGCAATTAGGGTCAAGGGTTGATTAGGCAAGCTGGAGGGAGACTGATGGGGCCTGGAAATGTGAGTTCTGCATCTGGTGCTGGGGTGCCTCTCTGTAATTCACTCTAGGGGGCTCCTTCCCAGGTGAGGAAATAAATTGGGGGTCACTGGTTCTCAACCGTGGCTGCACATTGAAGTCACCTAGGGGCTTTAAAAAATATTGATGTCTGGAAGCAGCCTGTAGAGATTGTGATGTGATGGGTCTGGGGTGTGGTCTAAAAGCTCCCAGAGGATTCTAATGTGGAGTCATGTTTGAGGATCACTGAACCGGGACACTGAGGTCAGTTCTACAAAATTCCAGCCTGTGACTGAGAGCAGATGTGGCACAAGAAATGTTGTCTTCATATGTCTGTGTGTCTGTGGGTGTGTGTATAAGTGTGTCCCTGCTTGTGTATGTAAATGTGCCTGTGTGTGTTATGTTTGTGTGTGAGTCTGCATATGTTGTCTGTGTGTTTTTCTGTGAATGCACCTGAGAGTGTGAGTCTGTGTGTGTGACAGAGAGACCTGGAGGGCAGGGCAGAGGGGATAGGAGGGGCTGTAGAGGTGAAGAAGGGCTTTCTGGAGACACAAGTACCCTGTTTTTATAGATAGAGCCCAGAGAGGGTAAATGACCAAGCCTGGACCCTAGGCCTCCACAGCACCAATATCCACAACCCAAGGGTCTAAGATAGGAGGCAGAAAGGAAAATCAGAGCTGGTGTATGGCTCCAGGTTTTGCTGGCTGACATGAATGTTTTGTTTGTTTGTTTTTGAGATGGAGTCTCACTCTGTTGCCCAGGCTGGAGGGCAGTGGTGCAATCTCAGCTCACTGCAACCTCCGCCTCCCACGTTCAAACAATTCTCCTGCCTCAGCCTCCTGAGTAGCTGGGTTTACAGGCCTCCACCACCATGCCCTGCTAATTTTTGCATTTTTAGTAGAGACAGGGTTTCACCAGAGACGGTTGGCCAGGATAGTCTCAAACTCCTGACCTCCAGTGATCCACCTGCCTTGACCTCCCAAAGTGTTGGGATTACAGGCATGAACCACCGCGTTTGGCTGACATGAACTTTTGCTTTGCTTTTTTACCTGCTGCAGAATGCTGGGCTCAGGACAGTTCAGCCAGATGTGCTGGTGTGAGAGGGCTGGGCAAACCTCTCTGAGAACCACCAGCTCCCTGAAGCTGCTCCCCAACCAGTAAACCCTGCTTTCTCCCCCACAGATATTTCATGCATACAGGCTATGCCAGCATGAGAAAGAGCCAAGTCCAGACCCCTCACCAGGGAGCAAACCGTCCAAGTGACACTCCAACATCTTGGGGCTGAAGGTTTTTGGACGGAGTGCTTGCCCCAATGCTACCTAGACAAAGCCCCTGGGGAACTGAAAATGCTCAGGGTTGGGGCTGAAGAACCTTCCTCTTACCAGCTCTGTGATCTTAGGCACTGGTAAGCCCTGGTTTCTGCATCTGGTAGATGGGCCTGCAACACCTGCCCAGCCTCCTGAACAGGGGAGCTGGAGGCGCAAGCAGGGGAATGCAGGTGAAAGCACTCAGCAAATTAGGCAGGATCCACTTGTGCAAGAGGTTATTTCCAGGCATGACCTGAAGACTGCCCCAGCCACTCTCCAGCCCAGATATCTTCCTCAACTGCCTGCTGATCCCTGCCATTCTTATCCTTAGATCTAGCCTCTGGATTAAGGATATTCAGAAGATTCTGCTGATTTACAACTAAGGTTTCTGACGGAAGCAGAGGCAGGGGTGATGACACACTTCGCACCATTCATGATGCTAGTGTGACTTGTAAGCAGCTCAACATCAGGAGGTGGCACAAGCTAGGAGGGAGGAGGCTCCTGCAGGGACGGACCCAGAGGGCCTTTCCAGGAAAGGCCAAGGGAGAGGGCCGCTGGTTGCTCTGAGGCTTCCTGGACAGAGAGGGTGAGGTGCTGGCTTAAGTGCCCTGGGACCTGGGAGTGACTGGTGAGGAAAAGAGGCTTGGAAAGCCAGAGGGGACCCAGAAAGGCCATACCAGCTTGACTTACTGCAGCCTGGCCCAGCATCAAGGATTTGGGACCTGGAACCTGACAGATCAAGGACTCTGCACAACTGTGTGGCATATTTCTGAACCTCTCTAAACATCATTTTGTCATTTATAAAATGGAGATAAGAACAATTCCTTTTGGGAGGCTTTCATATACACAAAAGCAGACTAGCTGTTATTATTCTTTACAATTTCGCTGAGACCTTAGCACGGGCAGACTGTGTGTGTGTGTGTGTGTGTGTGTGTGTGTGTGTGTGTGTGTTCTGCCCCCCCTTCTGAGTGTTCACCCCATCTTTGCTGTACTATCTCTCTCCAGACTGAAACAGAGTGCAGTAGAAAGGAGAAGAGTCAGGAGTCAGAAGACCTGGATTCAAATTCTGCCTTTGTACTGGATGAAGAACTGTAGACAGGTCCTCATTGTCACCCAGAGCCTCACATATAAGGGCAATAGATGGGACGATAATCGCTAAACCATGAGGTTGCTGTAAGAATGATATAAAATAATATATCAGCAATAATAGTCCACGTTTCCCCTACACTTACCAGTGTGCCAGGCACCCTTAAGGGCGTCACACACATTATTTCAACCATTACAATCTTTTAAGTATCCCTACTTCTGTAGATGTCCCTACTTCTGTAGATGTCCCTACTTCTATAGATGAGAAAACTAAGGCTCAGAGAGGTTAAGCAACGTGGCCAAAGGTCACACAGCTTGTATGTGGCAGAGCATGAATCTGAATCCAAGTGGCGACTACTTCACTACTTTACTGGGCACAGGATCCCAGCACATCCAAGTTGGAAGATACCTTAAAAGCACACCAGGTCCAACCTGCTGTTGACTGCTGAGGAGCCCGAGAGCCCCACTCCTAAGTTGTGTTACAAATCAAATCTCCTTTTCACCCTGACCTGCATCGTAACTTCCCAGATGATTCTCTGCATCTGAAGGCCTTCACCAGACACATGGCATCCACAGAGCGAGTATGGTTCCCTTCAGAGGAGGGCATCGAGACCCAAAGAAGCCAAGTAATCTGCCCAGGACCACATAGCAAGTCTCAGGCTGAGCTGGGAGTCCAGCCTCCTCCTGCAGGCTCTTTGCTGCAAAGCCTTGTGTTACATGTACTTGGTGGGGCTGGGGGCATTTGATGCTGGAGAGAGGGTAGTGTTTCTGAGACCTCTGTGTGTCTCTAAAAGCATCTAGGTATGACCCTTGATGGCTTGTGATCTAGATTCTGATTAGATGTGGGCAATAATTTCTCCTCCTCTCCCTGAGACCCAGCCCAATGTGGAGCTTTGTGTCAAGTATGGCTGCATTCCTGTTGTGCCCATCCCAGTGCCAGCTACAGACTTGGTGGCCCATGGAGTGGCTCGCACTGCTGGTTGTCTACTCAATATTCATTCAGATTTCTGTATCAAAGTGATATCAGCATGCCCAGCCTCAAGTGATGAAGTGTGATGGGTCTAAATCCATCATGGTAATCCGTTTCCTCTTTGCCAGTGATAGGCTTGTGAGTTGCCGAATGACACAGTTCCAACCAACAAGATGGGAAGGAAGTAAATGGGAACCTCCAGGAAAGATTTTCCTCCCGAATGAAGACACGTAAGAGAAAAGAGCCCTGGGCCCTCTCCCACTCTCCCTTCCTTCCTGCTGGTGATGCTTTTGGGAAGGATATAATGCCTGGAACCAGGGTGACTGCCTTGTGACCATGGGGCAACACCTGCTGAGGATGTCACAGCAGGAGGATAGAGAGAGCCTGGGCCCTCACTGACATTGTTGAGTTGCTGCACCAGCCTTGGAACCACCTGCCTTGTCAACTAAGATCACATATATATATGTACTGGTTATGCCATTATCTGTTTGGTATTATGTTACTTGAAGCCAGCATATCCTAATCAATAAAAGGGATAATAAAGGAACTGGGCATGGTGGCCCACACCTGTAATCCCAGCACTTTGGGAGGCCAAAGAGGGGTGTATCACCTGAAGTCAGGAGTTCAAGACCAGCCTGGAAAATATACTGAAACCCTGTCCAGCCTGGAAAACATACCGAAACCCTGTCTCTACTAAAAACACAAAAATTAGCTGGGCATGGTGGTGGGCACCTGTAATCTCAGCTACTTGGGAGGCTGAGGCAGAAGAATCACTTAAATCCAGGAGGTGGAGGTTGCAGTGAGCCAAAATTGCACCACTGCACTCCAGCCTGGGTGACAGAGCAAGACTCTGTCTCAAAAATAATAATAATAATAATGATAATAATAATAATAATAGTAATAAAGGGATCTACCTTATGAAGTCAACACTCTGATATCTGTTTTACATAAAAGAAAGCTAAGGTTTGGAGAGGACACTGTGATGCAGGGCAGGCGAGCCTTGCAGAGCAGGGCTACTCTGGGCACACTGCCTATGGGGTAGCCCTGCTCTGCAAGAAGCAGTGCCTCTGCTGCTGCTCTCCACTGCCACATGGATTTTAAAAAGCTGTCTAACACCCCAGCTCACCTTTGAATTCTTTCCTGAGTGAAGCCAAGAACCCTCCTGGGCTAAGCCCCAATTTTGGGTCTCACCTGCTCTGCATCAACTGAACTTTCCCACTTTATACACCCCTCCCTAGCAAGTAGAGAAAAAGGGATTTAGACCTCGTTCCATCTGACTCTCAGGTCTGTGTGCCAAACCACCACACAGAGAGGGCTGGCTCCTGCTGTAAGTATATCAGATAAAAAAGCTGATTTCTCCTCCTCTCCTAGATCTGTCTCTAAATGACCCTATTTCCAAGTATGCAGTGAACATGCATTTTGGAAAATGTCCTGTCAGACAGATGATGTGTTTCGGAGTTGAGAAAAAATAGAGATGAATGGATGGGGTCTGTGTAGGATAAAATGAGTCCTGCCTGTCAAAGCCTTGTGCTATCTTTAGGGACCCAGGACGCTCACCTGGGAAGAAGCAGTGAAAAACACCAGGAAATACACATTGTCCCCCTCTCTCCTGTCTGGATCCTTCAAGGCTAGTTCAAGTGACCTTTCTTCCAAGAAGTCTGCCCTGACTGTGCCAAACAGAACTGGGCTCCCAGGGCATATGTTTGCAAACTTCTTACAATGGGCAGATTTTTAAAGTTATTTATGTGCCTATGTACCCCTTCTCATAACTGAGTGTGAGCTCCTGGAAGCCCAGACTGTGTCTTAGGGCCAGCACAGTTCTGAGTATCAAGTAGGAGTGATGCAGCGCAGGCCAGCCCCAGACTGGGGCTTAGCCCATGAGAGTTCTTGTCTTCACCCAGGAAAGAATTCAAGGGCAAGTGGGTGGTAGGATAGAAGAAAACAGCTTTCTTGAAGCAGCAGTGTTACGCTCACATAGGCAGAGATTAGCAGCTCAGAGCAGTTCTGCAGTAATATTTATACCTACTTTTAATTGCATGTAGATGAAGGGGTGGTCAATGCAGAAATTTCAAAGGGAACTTCTGAGTCATCAGGTCATTGCCATGGGAAGGGGTAGTAACTCCTGGGTGTTGCCATGGCAATGGTAAACTGACATAACACACTGGTGGGCATGTCTTATGAAAGCTGCTTCCGCCTGGTCTCTCTCTTAGCTAGTCCTCAATTTGGTCCAGTGTCTGAGCCCTGCTTCTGGAGACAAGTCCCACCCCCTACTTCAGGAGTGCAGGAAATGCTTTCTGGTTTAACGTGACATCATTCAGTGCTAACCACACACTCTGTAAAGACAGCTCCTCCCAGGTTGGGTTCATCCTCTATTGTGACACACACACACACATAGCCCCAGGGCTCAATACAAATCTTTTTCCACCAAAGGGAGCTTCTTTCACCAAAATGTGGGGTGTTTGTTACGGGGCACACCGAGAAGCACAGTGGTCATGTAAACCTCGGGGAACCCAAGACACCAGTCATCACAAAAGACAGCCGAGAAGCTTGGTCTTGGCTGAGGTCCAGGCAAGAGTGAGAGGTGGAGGGAGCAGTGAGGGGTGGGATGGGGGGTGCTGGGAGGGGTGATGATTCCCTGAGAGGAGCCCAGTGGGAACCAAATGTGGGGATCTATGGGACAGCTGGGGTTGGCTTCAGAGAGCACTAGGCACCATAGAAATGGCAGCTTCACAGCTTCCTTCCTTACTCCAGCCAGGCACCGCTGCCTTGGCCCAGGCCTGTGGAATGTTCCAGAAGCTAAAATGCCCTTTGTCTGGGCCTTACCCTTCCCTGGAACACAATGGCTTGTGCTTGAAGGGCTCGGGGTTTGTGATTCCTCAAGTAAGCCAAAGAATCAACAGCTTCCGGGGCTGCCCCTCAGCGGCTCCTATCCACGGTTATTTTTAGTCGCATTTAATTTGGCAGCCAGGAGCACTTTTGATTTCACAATGATTAGTTAGAGCTTGTGTGTGCGCTGTTTTTCTTCTTACCACCCGCCTGTCTCCCCCAAGGGGACTGGGTGTTGTTTTGACTTTTATGTGTTACAATAAAAACTTTCATTGTAGCAAAATGTTTGCTCGTCAAAATTAGCTTGGTTAATTCCAAAGAATTGTTTCATCTTGGCTCCACAGACACGGGGGATCTTTTTTACAAGAGGAATTGGCCACCAGCCAGCTATCTCCGGGACAATTCCTCTATAGTGTTCATCCTCCTGGAATTTACCTTTAAAGAGGAAAGACCTGCCTTCACTTACCAAAGGAAAGCCGAATGCGTCCCCGGGTTCATGTGCTCCACAGCAGGGCAGGGAAAGCCAGCGACGAGTGTGGATTTGGTTGTGTTGATTTTAGAATCACAGGCCTGGAAGAAAGCCCCACAAAGAGACACATGTGAGGGTGTACACAGACACAGCTCACACAAGCACACACCCACAGGTGTCACACTCATGGCACGAATAGACACACGCTCACAAACACACAGACCCACGAGGGCAGGGCAGCTGACTCTGCATACACGGGAAGAGAGAGACGCAGAGGCCTGAGCGCCACGCCAGTCCAGGTGGAAACGCTTGAGCCGCCTCACCTGCATTTGCAGGGCTCAGCAGGCAAGCTAAGCCTCGCCCCGCTGAGACCCGCCCACGTAAGCGAGGGTTGGGGACACCACCTCCAAACAGTCTCAGTTATCCTGGGGCCTGGGCTCAACGCTCTCCCTTGCATGACCGACCTCCCACTCCTCGAGGAAGCTGGCACTCCTGAGCCCGAACCCAGGCCAAGCTGACCCCTCTGGCAGCTCTACCCTGTGCCATCACCACTCCCTCGCCACAAGCTGAGATCGTTGTTAAACAAGAAGGCACAGGAGGCTCACAGATGCCCGTGACAGTCAACAGACCAACGTTAAGTGGAGTCTTTGCACAAACTGTTGGGGAGGCTCAGATGAGAGGTTCACCGCAGCAGGGATGGAGGGACAGGCAAGAGCCGCATAGAGTTGGAAAGTCATCTGACCTGCGTCTACACCGCTGGGACAAAAAGGGGTTGAGGCAGATATCATTGCCAGACAGACTCGCTGGTAACACTGCTCCTTCTCTCCCCTCTGCCTCTCCACGCCCCGTCACCACTCTCCCTACTTGGAGAAAAGGGACAGTCAACATCTAAAGGGGAAATTGGCCTCTAGGCTATGTATGCATTCCCTAAATTTTTATCAGGTGCCTACCCCCAGGAACTGGAGATATAACAGAGTACAAAAGAGAGCTCATGCCCTCTGGGCACTGGTAGGGGAGAGAAGCAACCAAGGGCTACACAGTAACATGCAGCACTGACCAAGGTGATGAAGAAGAAACTCAACACCCACCCCACAGGGTGACGGCAAGTGGTGAAGGAACAGGCCCATCATGCAGGAGGTCTGGAGGCACCGAAGGGACTGGGGAAAGGGAGGATGTGAGTGGGAGCCAAGAGGGTGTCTGGGAAGGGCAATTCCAAGCCAGCCGATCAGAGCTGACGAAGCTTCAAGGCTGGGCAGGCTGGGCGGGCTTTAGGAAGTCGATGTGGCAGTGCTGAGAGAGTGGAGGGGAGAGTGGAGTGGGGGTAGTGAGCCTGGAGAAGTAGCCGGAGGCCAGGTCTTGTAAGGCTTCATGGATGCGGTGAGGGCTTTCGAGGTCAGCCTTCCTCTCTAAGCACCAGAAAGCAGGCAGCCTGGCAGCAGCTTGCAAAACCTCTGGCCCACTCTTCAGCTGCTGGTGCTCTTCAATCTAGAGGTTTCCGTGGCCAGAACTTTCAGTTCCCTGGCTTAGGGACTAAGCCCTCCTTCTTAGTCCCCATTAGGGAAGGGACATGCAGAAACTGCTGGAAAACTCTTCCTTCCCTGCTGTGTGCCAGCCAGGCTTGAGGACTGTGACAAGGACCTGGCCTCAGAACCCAGCTGGGTAGAGGGGCAAAAGCAAGCTGTGGATGGAGTCCTGCGTATGGCTTCCCTTGCCCAGCTGTGTGGCCTTGAGTCACTCACTTGCCCTCTCTGAGTCTCAGGTTCCATCACTGTCAAATAGAGATGCTCCACCACAGAAGCACAAGGGTCAAATGAGCAGCAGAAGTCATTGTAAAATGGGAGAATCCTGCTTATCTGGAAGTTTTTACTTTAAAATTGTTTCTCCCCTGCAGGCTCAGACAGGATGCTGGCTGCTGTGTAGGGAAAGCAGAAGGCTTCTCTGATGAGGGACCCATGCCTCCCTCCCCTACCCCACCCCCCATTCTCCCTGCTCTACAACTAAGTGGCTTCAACTAAACGCTGAGGCCAACTTAGCGGCCCTGCACAGCCCTTCTGGTATCCAGTTTCTCACCTGAGATTTCTGCCCAGGCATGGGTTTCTTGCTCCTTCCAGACCCAGAGCCACAGCCCGAAGAGCAAACCAGCTGTGCTCTCTGAGTGGCAGCTGGAAGAGCCCTGAGGAGCCCAGGCCCAGCCTATGGCCAGGATTCAGAAATGGGAGGATGAGGCCACCAGGCTTCCTCCCATGTCCCCCAGTAGCCCACAGCCTGATTGCAGCTTTGGGTCAGGCTTCCTCTTTGCATTCCTTAATTACTTTTTTAAAAAGTCGATGATCCTTAAAATTGATGCTGCTAAATCCCCTCATTTTTAGATCCTAAGGATGTGTATCAATGGTAAATGGGTAAAATATAAGAAAACATGAGGGGATGCTGAGGGAATAACTAATACAGACAATCAAGGAATTCTGCAGACCTAAAATTCATTACCCCTCAAAAAGACAAGACTTGGCTGGAGAGTGAGCAAGAGTGTAGGGACAGTCACACCTGGGGACTTGTGGCTGGGCACATGAGCAGGAATCGGCTTCTAAAGAGTGCTGGGGAGTGAGGCAGGGGCCTGCCAGGCTCTGGGCGCCCAACCTGATACCTTTCAGTCTCCTGCTTTCACTCTGGCCCACCTGAGCTCCAGCTGGGCTTCTCCACTCACCACAACTCCACCAGCCTTTCCTGGAAGTACTGGCCGCTCAGAGGAGCGGCAAGGTTCAGGGAAGGCAAGGCAGCACAAAACGGTGAATCTGCCTGGGCCCCACCCCTGAGGTGGGCATAAGCCCCCACTGAGCAAAGTCCATACACTGAGAGGCCAAATCCCCAGCCAGAGATCAGCAGTCCTCACCTTCCCTTCCCTGCCCAGCCGGTGTCCCCAGACCCTGCACTGGGCACTGAAGGTACAAGATGAACAAGACCCCATCTCTGCCTTCAAGAAGGTCAGTGTCTCTCTCTGAAAACCAAGTGTCTGGGCCCTGGTGGCTGGAGACAGAAGAGGACTGCATCATGGGGGAGGGAAGGATGACAGAGGGAGGCTGGTGTTCCCAATCCCTGAAGGATTCGAGGTTCTTTTCTCATAACCAGGAGGTCCTTCAGGACCCTGTGGATGAGCCTCAGACAAAGCACCTGCCTCCATGTTTTCTCCTCTTAATTATTTACTGAGCAGTTATGTGCCAGTGTGCCAAGTGCTTTACACATATGAATTCATCTAATTCTCCCAATAATTCCATGGGATAGGTGTTATTGTGTATCTATCTCTATTGGACAGGTGAGGAAGATGGAGCTCAGAGAGGTGAAGTAACTGGCTCAAGGTCACACAGCTATTAGATGCTGGAACCACACTAGACACAGCAGCCAGGTCCAGGGGCTGCACTCTCACCCACCGTGGTAATGGCTTCTCTAACAGGGATGACATGTATAGCACAGGTCTCCACAAAGTGTCAGTGTTGGGAATCTTCCTAACATGCCTTTTGCTCTATTTTATACTTGAGAAGTTAAGCTGCTAGCATAATAATCCTTAATATTCATTGATTAATTTGTAGGTGCCAAGAACTGCTCAGAATACTTTATATACTTTAACTAACTTCATCCTCACAACAACTCCATGGGGTGGACACTATTATTACCTCAATTTAACAAAGGAAGAAACTGAGGCACAGAGGGGCTAAGCATCTTTATTAGTCAGAGTTTTCCAGAGAAACAGAACCAATAGGATAGATAAATTGTTTGATAAATAGATAGATTGATTGATTATAGGAACTGGCTCACGCAATTACAGAAGCTAAGAAGTCCCACGATCTGTCATCTGTAAGCTAGAGAACCAGAAGACTGGCGGCATAATTCAGTCTGAGTCCAAGTCCCAAGGCCTAAGAGTGGGTGGGTGGGGTGGGGATGGGGGCCTAAGTACTTTTCCGAGGCCCAAGGCCTGAGAACCAGGAGTGCCAATGTCCACGGGCAGGAGAAGATGAATGTCCTAGCTCAAACAGAAAATAAATTCTCCCTTTCCCCTGCCTTTCATTCTATTCAGGCCCTCAGTGGACTGGATGGTGCCCACCTGCTCTGGTGAGGGTGGTCTTCTCACTCACTTGATTGATTGAAATGCTGATCTCTTCCAGAAACACCCTCACAGATACACGCAGAAATAGTTTTATCAGCTATCTGAGCATTCCTTAGCCCAGTCAAGCTGATACATAAAATCAACCATCACAGCACCTGGGTGATTCCCCAGGTGATCACTGGCGAAGCTGCCATTTGAACCCAGGAAGTCTGGCTCTATAGAATCTGTGTTCACAGCCACTCCACTCCACTGCCTATGAATGTGGAAAGTTAGCAAAGAGAAGAGCCGCGGGTCAAAGCCAGGTCTGTAGACCACCTGTGCCTGAGCTTAGCCATTGTGCTGTGATACCTGCCCTGCCCTATCTGAGATACTTTTCCAGGTTAGGGATTCCAAGCAGAACTCCAAGCCTCTAGTTCTCTACCTGCCAAGGCAGTGAGTCCATTCTTCCTGGGCTTCTCTTCCTCTAAACAGGCTAGAAGCCTTTCGGGGTTTCTCCCACCTGTCTTGCTTACCTGGGCCTGCCCTGTCATGGAGCTTACCAGTCCTCCCAGCCTTCCGGTCAGATATGAGCTCCTGCTAGACCCCTGGGTTGTGAATCTCTGACTATGGAGCCATCCATAGTTCATTTGGGGAGTTCTGGACCCTTTCCGAGGTTTGTGCCCATAGACAGAATCTGAGCTCTCTTTTCTTGGTCTGGTTTTGCACTCAGCTTTCCTAAAATCAGGAGCCCTTGTCCACTGACAAGGGTCTGGCTCTCCTTCTCTTCTGAAGCTTCTGGGCCACTTTTTCCCTTGCCCTACCCCTGCTTCACTTCACCCATCAGTTCCTCCTAAGGTCACATAATCAGTCTGAACCATGGTGCCCTGATCACTCCCCACCCTCCTGAGCGAAGCCCTGGGTGGCACCAAGCCCACTGGGAAAAAGGCCATGTTGAATGGAAGCAGCTGTGGCAGCTGCCTCCTGTACCTCATCCTGCACAGCTGGGCCCAGGTCGGCCTGACCCAGAGTGGCACTGTGGCTTAGCTGAGCACTTGATGGCCAAGGGTATCCTGGCAGAGTCAGACAAGAGGAGGCTTCCCCAGTATCCTCTAGAGGCAGCACAAAGAAGGGGCCAGACAGATGGCACTCTCCAGGCCTCCTTTGGATCCTGCTCCATGACCTTGGACAGCTGACCTAATCCATGTCCCAGCTTCGCCTTCTGGAAAATGGGGGACATGGTAAACACCTCCAGGGCAGCTGCAAAGATTAAACCCTGACTGCTTGGCAGAAGGTGAAAGGACTCTTGCAGGTCTCTTTCAGCTCCACCAGCTAAGGATTCTGTGAAAACCATGGAGGGAGTCTGTGGTCAGGCTGCATAATGTGGGCATCACATTTCCTGAAAAAACAAAAGACAAGAGGTCACTGACCATTGCCATTTGTGGCACTCTTCAAGAGGAAGCTCTAGCTTCATCCAAAAATACCTCTGTGCAGGAGTCGGGGTGCCACTGCAGAGCCTGCCCTGGAGTTAAGCATTGTCCTGTCTAGCCATCTCATTTGAAAAGAAATGTGTCCTGTCTTAGGAAAGGCAGCAACACAGCAATAGTGGCACCTATGTGGGAGAGAAGCACAGGACTGAAAGTCAGGATAAGGCACAAAGGGGGGCTGAGATCAGCCTGGAAGACAAACCTCACCAACTCCCAAGGTGGCTGAGGGCCAGCTTGGGGTGGCCACACACCTTGGCAAAGTACTTCATACTTCATATGGGCAGTACTTGACTGTTCACAAAGCCCCTTTTGACCTATGCACTCCTCAAACCTCGTAACTCTAGGAGATAGCTTTATTTAGGCCCACTTCACAGATGAAGAAACTCAGGACGAGACAAAGTGACTCCCCTGATGTCAACAGTGTACCAGCGGCAGATCCAGGGCTTGGATCCAGCTCTGCCCCCTGCATTGCTCACTGCCTGGACCTACCAAGAAGAAGCTGTGTCCAGCTGCCCAATCCCAGTGCCATTGCATCCCCTATGGGGAAAACTTGAAGGAGTCCAAAGGCCGTAGGCCAGCAACCATGTGTCTACACCACAAGTAGTTAGGATTCTCCAGGTCCAGTTAGAGGCCTACGTCCCTGGGAAAGTTCTGGGTGCCAACGAGAGAAATAAAAAATGCAGTGAGTGGTCCAGCTCCAGCCACCTCCTTCTCCCTCTGTCTTTCCCTTAGGGAAACCTCAGATAGTTTCCAAGAGAAGAGTAATGAATGAACACCTTCTAAGACAGTGGATTACCCCAGGCTGTCAGGACCACACTGGCAGCAGGGCTAGAAGAAGAGCCCATAATGGAGTCAGCCAAGTCACTAGAAAGGATACAGGGACATAGGAGACTGCCAGCCTCACCCCAATCAGGGGTCCTCCTGGGCTCATGGGAATGGCCACCTCCTTCCTCCTCCCTCCTTTCTGTATCTCTGGCCTATGCTGAACACCCTATAGCAGAACCTACACCCCACACCCTATGCATTCCTGACACCCTACAGCAGAAGCACCAGAGGCTGGGGGCCAGCATGCTGTGTCTAGGGTATGGGGACTGAAGGACAGGTAAGACCTCCACAGAGTAGACCTGTGCCCCAGCCCTGGAGAAAGCAGCAGCAGCTCCGGAGGGCAGGCCTGATGCCGGGGATGGAAGGAGGTGACTGGCCAAGCACTATGACCTGACATTTTCTGGGCGAGCAGTGGCTTATATGAGTTCCGTGTGTTATGGGTCTGTCTGTGGCGTCCATCTGTAAGAGGAGGGTCTTAGTCTCTAGGAGCTGCACAGCTTCGGGATCCATGTGATCTTCCTAAGGCAAGAAAGAAGAATCCCTCCCCTTCAGGTCAAAGGCCTTGCCTTGCCAGTGAAGTCCAGATGGACAAGTCCAGTACCGGGCGGTGCACAGTGGAGAGGGCAACCACTATGTTGCAGAGATCAGTGATGTCATGGGTATGCCCACACATGTGTGGGGTGTGTCTGCAGGGGTGATGCATGGGGATAGGTCAGCTGTCCGGGGAAGCCCTGAAGTGTGTCAAGGAATGGGGCTGTGTGTGTCTCATTCATCCCCCAGTGCCAACCACAGTGCATGGGAAGCATTAGCCTGCACCATCGCCTAACTGTGTGACCCTGGGCAAGTTACTTACCCTCTCTTGCTTCAGATTCCTCTTCTGTAAAATGGAGCTGGTGCTGGGGTTGTGGGGAGGATTTGATGAGACAGTGAGAGGGTGCAGTACGCTTTCCTTACCAATGTCCCTTGTGCCTACAGAGCATCAGGAAACATGGAGCCTGGCACCTGGGGTCCTCCTGGGGAAGAAAGGACTTTTGATCCTAGAAACCAGAACCATCATCAAAAGAGAAGGCCAAAGGCACTGGAAACCTGAAACCTGGAGAATGCTGTTTACTGAGAACACTTCACAAAAGTCATCATTGTTTTCTCTGAGAAGCAGTTCTCTAAAGGGCCCTTGAAATACCTTACCAAGAAATACTCCAAGAAGAACAATCATTGCAACTTCCTTGGAGAGCTGCCTCAAGCAAGGAGACTCGTAAGCCCCCTTCCATCTAGATGTGGAGAGGTGAAGGTGGGTCTGAGGCAGAGGACTGAGTTGAGTCCTGCTGGAGAGCTTGGCTTTAAAAATGCAGGATTGAAGGCACTGAAACATCTATTTACAAATGGCTTTTACCTTATTGGTGTAGAAAAGGACTGTACTGTGTCACAAAAGAAAATAAACTTAGCACAGAAACATTAAGCCTAACACATACTAAGTGCTCAATAAATGTCACGTATAATCATAATTATTTGTGCATTATAAAATATTACTATTATTTATAGACATATAAATATTTCTATATAAGTATACATAATATGTGTATTGATAATAACAATACTATTGTCACTTAATAAAAAATAAATGCTGCTATCTGGAAGAGTGGGAGAAACTACTGGGCGACCTTGAAATTTATTATTTTAGACCAGAGAATCAGTGCTCAGAGGAGAAATTTGGGAGGATGAGACCAGCCAAGGTGGTGCAGACTGTCAGGCTGGAGCTGGGAGAAGCCCTGTCTGCTGTCCACCATACTCCAGCCCTGCCCCAGGACCACAGCCTGCAAAGGGATCAGCACCCCCAACCCCTACCCGATGGTGTCTCCTGGCCAGGGCAACTGCTGTTGGTCTCACTAGCACCTCCCTCTGCCCTTACTCAGGGAGCCTCTCTGGAGGTTAATCTGTGTCAACTCAGCCCTACAGCCACACTAGCTGCTGGCCCACCCTCCTGGGACCCCAACACCACCAGAGATGGCAGACCACCCCAGAAGGCTCCCCTTACCCTTCACTTACAGATGGGGCAGTGTCTTGCCTAGGGCCCCCGAACTCATAAGGGGCAGCAGCCCAAAGGGCCATGGGAACCAGGGACAGTCCTATCCAGAGATGCCACAGGGGACTTGGTGGCTACTCTCCTGAAATAGGCAAACCTAGTCCCAACATTCCCTCTCCCTGGATGGACACTGTCATGTTGTAACGAAAAAGAACATTACAGTTCGAGAGACAATTTTGCTTTTCTCCTGGGCACCAGGGGACTGGAGAAAGCACAGAGAAGGGTGTTCAAAATTTACTTTATTTGCATACTTAGGAGGGGGCCAACAGACTCAGCCCCCACCGGGTTTGAAGCAGGGCAGCCCACTAGCTGGTTGCTTGTGTTTGGGAGGTCCATTGAGCTCCCTGGGCCTCAGTTGCCTCCTCTGTAAAATGGGAGTAATTGGGAGCCACTTCCTGGATCAGCCTCTGGAGGTCAAGTGAGGCTAGGCTTGTAGTAAGGCACCGGGCACAGACGCACAGGGATGGGTGCGGGAGGCAGCGGCTGTCATTCCATTGGCGTGGTAAAACGTCTGAAAGAATATTCACCAAAATGTAAAGTAGTGGGGCAGGGAGGTTATCGCCGAGGGGCAGGATTTCGGTGATTCTCATTCCTTTTCTTCTTTTCCTTTTCTTTTGGCTTATCTGAATTTCCCAAATATTCCACAATGTTCCTGAATGCATTGTGTCACTTGAAAATGATAATAAGGGAAAAACAAGCACTAAGCCCTGCTGTGGTGTGTGGCCGCCTCCATGCTGGGGGAAGGGAGCCCAGGGCAGTGGCAAAGCCCAGGCCCAGCGCCCCAGGCGCGGGGGAAGGCGATGCCCCCTCCCCGGGGCAGGGAGGACCCCCTACCCCAGCGGGCGGGCGGGCCCAGCCCCGCTCACTCGCTCCGGCTGCGCCTGGCTCAGACAATGCGAACACACAATCATTCATTATAACTCAATTACAGTGATTAAAGCTGGTGGCATGCAGAGGCAGGAGGGAGTGTTGCCAACAAAATTTACACTCCGTGTCATCAGCGAGAGATAACAGCAGCTGACGCGGCCGATCGCCTCCCCTGCCATCTGCTCAGTGCGGGGGCCGCCCGAGGGGCGAGGGCCGCTGCGCGCTAATGGTGGACCGTGGAGCAGAGAGCTGCGGAGATGGGCTGCCTCGGGCTGGGACTGGGATAGCAGCAGCGCTGGCTAGACAAGCCAGCCGCCACCCCTCCCTGCAGAATTGGCCGCCCCCCGAAACTCGGCATCTGGAATGGGGCTGTGGGGAGGCCAGGGTGCTACTGTTCTGGGTTGGGCCCACCATGGCAGAGGGTGGGATTCTGACGTCTGGTTTCCACCCCGCTGTTTCAGATGAGGAAACTGAGGCACAGATGCGCAAAGAATCACACCCAGTAATCCTGGGGCACAGCCAAAACTTAGGCCTGCTCTGGGAATGGTGCAGAGAGGGAGGCAGGGAGCTGAGGACACTCTGGACTACAGGGAGAGGGAAGTTGGCCAGGGTGAGGCCTGAGACCCTGGAGGCCCAGAGGCATCAAGAATGGTGGCAGGAGGGCCCACAGGGCAATACATGGAGCACTAGGCACAGGGCAGGGCTGCTGGGGGAATGTCACGGGTGGGGGAGAGATGGCTGGCCTGTGTCAGGTGGGCTCTGGCCACAGTGACCAAGAGAAACTCAGGGGGAAGGGTTGGAGGCAGAAGCCCACAGCTGACATCTGTGCTACCACAAGGTAGAAGGTTGGGGAGGGTAAGCTGCCTTTCAAGGGGTAGCAATGACGCAGGCCATCCCAGAACACTAGGCTTCCAGCTTTGCCAGCCGCAGGAAACAGGGCACCTGTTCAATGGACCAGCAGATGTAGCTGGTCTCCCATCTGGGAGAGTCTCCCCTCTGAGTCCTGTTGAGCAGCAGTGGGACATGGAAGGTGAAAGATGGGTTCAGGCCCCTCTTCCCCTGGTTATGCACTGGGTACATTCTTCTGGCTGTGCCATGCTCTGAGGCTACCGTCACCGTGCTAGTGCCCACGCTGCCAGCTGCCTGGCGTCCTCCTCTCTGCCTTGCCCTGACACCACAAGTAGAGCTTGTTTCCCAATGGCCGAATTCCACCCAGAGTCTCCTTGTTATACTGTCAGAGGCTCCTTGGTTCCCCCAGAGTCCATCTCAGTCCTCAGCATTCTCCTGTCACCCTCACCCTCCCTCAGGAGCCTCTGCACATGCCACACTGCCCCTCCTCCATGGCCTTCCTCATCCCCCTCATCCTTCAGAGCGCAGCTCAGACCTTACCTCTTCCAGGAAGCCATCCTGGCCCTGGGGGCCCGTGGGTGCCTGTCCTTTGGACTTCCATGCCCCTGTGCCAGTTAGTGCCCTAGGAGCACTGGTCATGGAATATTAGGGTCATCTGGGGATGGGGCCGTTCCCCACCCCCAACCCTGGCAGCAGCTTGGGGGCAGAGGCTGGGTCCTGTTCATCTCTGAAGTCTGGGGCCCAAACCGAGTGGGTCTCTGGAAATGTTTGTTGACTGGATAGAGGCTGAATGACTGTGTGCCAGGATGGCCAGACAGGACCTGACACAATAACTGTCTCACGAGGCCTGGCTCAGGTGAGTGCAGAACAGAGCCCACAGATGGGGCAGAGATCAGTGTCCTCAGAGTGAAAAGCTAGGGCAGGAAGCTCAAGGGACGGGAGCCACTCTCCTGCCGGCTCGGGCCTCTCCCCACATCCATTTGGAGCCCCTCAGTTCCTGCCCATACGACCCCACTCTGTGCTCACCAGCTCTCCCACCCCAGGTGGCAGGGCAGGGCTGATGGCTCAGAATGGACCCTCAGAGCTGCTGACTGGAGGCCGAAGGAAAGAGGGAAGAGGGAGGCAGTTGCCCTCTCTCTCCCCCTGCACATCGCAGGTCAGGCCACCTAGAGACTAGGACATAACCAGCTGCAGATAGCAGAGAAAGAATGAGATCCAGGCAGGGCCACATGGCCCTGCTCAAGATGCACAATCCCCTGAATTCCCCAAGAAGAACTGAAAGAGGAAGCTGAGGAGGGGTGGTGGAGGCTGGGGATGGGGTGAGGAGCTCTGCAACACAGAAACACTCAAGAGTCAAGAAGCCTGGGTGTTCGTTTCAGTCTCGACTCGAGGTTGTGTGAAGTCACCCATTCCTTCGTTCTGCACACGGTGCAAGGCACTGGGGATACCAGAGGGACTGAGCTTGACAGAGGTCCTGCTTCCATGAAACTTTCAATTCCAAGTCACTGTGTTCTCTGGGCCTCAGTGTCCCCATCTGTAACAAAGATATTGGACTAGATCTGGCTTTCCCAAGCTGTGGCACAGAGGAGAGTTTTGTAAGAAAGATGACGAGGCATTGAAAACCATGGGCTGCAGAGCAGGAAATTATTCTCTTCCCAATTCTCATTCAATCATTTCTGATTTGGACAAGGCGCAGGTTTCATTTGGGTGCGAATGTCCAACACAGCTCTCAAACACTGGGTCATCTCCCTTTTTTAACAAGGAAGGAGTGAGAACTTGAGGTACAGCTACTTAGAATTGTTTTCATTGCATTTACAAGTATGCAGACTTTTAAATTTAAGGTAAGGAATATTGGTATTTTATTTATGATAATATATAAAGTTTCCTTTTAAAATCTTTACATTTAGGCTTTAAAAAGTAAACTTATTTTTTTAAACCTATGAGGTAAATCATAGGCTGGTGGGTTCTAGACCAGGGCAAATATCATTAGATGACTGCGATTCTTTGATTGCGTAGGTCTAGGTAGCTCTGTCCATGTTGGTGGGTAGGACTTAGAGGCCTGAACACCTGCGCCTCCTGGAACTGAGCCAGCAGGGCCAGAGGAGGGTGCCTCACACTGATAGAAAGGTGATGGTGAGTCAAGTAGCAGTCTTGGGTAACATCTGTCCTTAGGGCTTCCTGGAGACTAGGGAGTGTGTCCCCAAACAAGCTTGAATGCAAATTACTTTCGTTGACAAACAAGCTGATCTACATAGTGCATGCACAGCAGTTGGCAGCAGTTTCCAAATAGTGCCCTGCACAGAGGGATGGCCTCTCTGTGCAGTATTCAGCAAAGTGATTCAGTACTGTGGGCTTCCTCCCTCCTCCCTTCCTCCCTCCCTCCACCTGCTGACCCTCCTGGGAGACACTAGAGGTTCTCTAAGGAGTAGCTCCAGCCCTAGCACAAGGAATCTACAAACTCTTCAGGCCCATCCAAGGACAAACTAGCTCAGAACTGCAGAGAGGCAAGCAGTTCAGGGACTGGCATGTCTAAAATGCCTTTCCCTCTATAAACCTACAACCCCGATGCACTCTTAAACACCTAGTCAAATGTGATCTCCTCTGGGAAGCCTTCATGAATACTTCCCCTTTTTGACCCTTCTGAGAGTTGCCTCTTCCCCCGATGAGGACCCCCACAATATGCTGTCCAGGCCACTAATTATTAATTAGTAGAATTTGTTTTTTCCACTAACAAGTGCATTCTGTGAGGGTATAGATCACTTACCTCTATATTTCGTGCCCCTAGCCTCCAACACTGGGTCTGTTCTGTCTATATTTATTGAATTAATGCATGGGTGTGTGGGCCGATATGCTTGGCTTACAATCCTGAGCAAATTTTCAGATTCTACTCACTCTACTTCTCCTTTTAAGGAAAGGAAACTTTTCATTGAAAGCATTCTTTTGGGCATTTAGTAACTGTTTACCAAACACCTATCAGATGACAGGTACTCCATTAGGAACTGGGAATAGAGAAGTGAACCAAACTTGATCTCTGCCCTCAAGAAATTCACAGTTGGTTGGTTGGAAAAATGAAGCAAGCAGCAAATGAATAGCAACAAGGGAAGAATTTGAAATTCATCTTCACTTAGGTGTAAACCACTCAGAATTTAATCTACTTAGCAAGGAGATACAGGTAGAAGATCAATGAGGTTAAATAAAAAAACCCTGTAACCCTGAATTTGAATTAGAAGCCTCAGTAGACCTCACGGTCTATTTATATATTAACAAATATATAAATATGCACATACACATTTCTTAGCTCTGCTACTGAAAAGGCCCAGAAACAATGATCATTTCATTAGCATCAAGCACCCCAAGCACCCAGATTATGGTCTCCAAATACCACTTTCCACTAAACAGAACCAAGGTTCATTGGAAAAAATGGCCAACTCCACATCCAGGATGGAAAATGTACAAGATGAGCCAGGGACATTGTCTTTTACCAGAAAGCATGGAAGCTCTCAAAGACTAGTATGGTCGTATTAAAAAGACTCAGGAGGCATCTTCAAGAGGATCCCCAAGTAGGATGATTTCAGAAGCAATAAAGATAACTCCACTTGACTCAAACATATCAAATATGTTTAAATTCACACATTCATAATGTTTTAAAAAAGAATACCTCATTGGTCAATTGCTGAGGATACTGAAGAATTAACTTATTATTTTGAAAATTGGCAAATAAAGCAAATGAATCAAGCATTCATCTTGCCTTTCCTGTATGAACTGTACTTCAAGGTAACCAAATGGTTGGTGTGGGGCAGTTTCTTTTTATAACAATATTCAAGCAAATGTTGCAATTGGAATCACCCTTATGTAGCCCCTAATGAGTTAATGAATCTACACAATGATCATCGGTGACTGCTAACATACAAAAGGAGAAGCATCTAGCTGCTATGTGTTTCCTAATGAATCTATGAAGTATTCTGCCTCCCTCCAAAATCAAGCCTGGATCTAATCAAGCTCCAAGATCTAACTACAATTTAGCAATCAGCAAAATTCAGACTATGTGAAGCTCTAAGGACAAATTTGGTTTTTTTTCCAGTAAATAAATATGTGTGTGTATGGATGTGTATGAGAGAGAGGATGTGATATGAAGCAGGAATCTAAAAGACATATCAATTTTGCTTGCTCTGTGTGGATCTTATTTGGATCCTAATTCAAATAAATACACTTTGTAAAAAGACTTATGAGACAATTGGGGATCTTTGAATACAGATTGGATATTTGATGATATAAGAAGTTATATTTTAGGTTTAGTGGTATTTGGTTACATTTTCAAAACAGGTCTTACGTTTTGGAAATAGTAAAATATGTGCTAATTTAATGATGAAATGTCTGGAATTTGCTACATAATACTCCAGTGGTGGTGACTGGTAGAGATGGGTGGGGTATAGATAAAAGAAGATTAGCCCTGAGTTGATAACTGTTGAAGCTGGTTGATGGGCACATGGAGATTCATTATTCTGTTCTCTCTACTTCTCTGTTTGGCATTTTTCATAATGAAAAGCTAAACAAATCTAATCCATGCTGTCTCTGCATGAGAGCACTGCCCCTGCACACTCACAAAATCATTAGAACCACAAAACATCCAAGCTGGAGAGGACCCAGGGATTGATTATTCACCTGCCTTCAAGCATCACATAAAGGATGAAAAGATCAAGGACTGGAGAGATCCCGTGACGTGACTAAGGTGATGTGGTGAGCCCGGGGCTTTGCTATCTGCCACTGGGCATGGGCACCCCCACCCCAGGCCCCCTTTGAGTCACCAGACACTATAACGGGGGCGAGTTCTTAAGTCTTTACTTTTCTGCCTTTTTAAAAAAAAATCTTTAATTATGAAATATTTCAAACATGTCACAAAGTACAGAAAATAACACGACCCTTCTAAAGCCACCACGCAGATTTTTAAAATGTGAACATTTTAACATTCTCTACAGAGTTTCTAAAAAGTAATAAAATGTGATAGGTATAGCTGAACTCCCGCTGACCTTTCCGTTTCTTCCCTCCCCACAGATAACCATTATCCTGGTGGTGTAGGGTGTTCTTTCTACTCATATATATATGTATATATATGCTCAAATATAGAATTGTTTTGTGGATTTCTATTTTATATAAATAGTATCATATCATGTATTTCCTTCCACAACTTGCTCTTTTCACACAACATTGTTTTTGAGATTTATCCAAACTGCTACAGAAAGATATAGCTTATGCATTTTAATGCCTATGTACAATTTTATTATAGGAAAATGCATAGATCTTTTAAAATCCATTCATCCATTAATGGACAGGTTGTTTCTAATTATTTTTGCTCAAACAAGGAGGCAATGAAGATTCTGTACATATCTCTTCATGGAGTTGTTGAAGAGTTTCTCCAGGGTGCATACCTGGAAGTAGATTTAGTGGGTCACAGGGTTGTGCTTTTCCTCCTTCATGATTGCCAAACTGCCTGGCAAGAGTAACCTATTAGTAATAGTAATAGTTGTTTGGCAACCACAAAGTGGTTGAACCAATTTATGCTCCCACAGTGTTTGACAATACTAGTCATTCACCACCCTCATGGAAGCTTCATATGATCAAACTCGAAAACTTGCCAGTCTAATGGGAATGGGTCGTTCCATTTCATTTTGTTTTGTAAATTTGCATTTCCCTGATAGCTGGTGAGATGAGGTATTTTCACGTGTTTGTTGAGCATTTCTGCTTCCTCTCCTGTGAATCACCTATTTATGTCCTCTACCCATTTTCCTCTCGAGTTGTTGGCTTTCAATGTACTGATTTGGAATAATTCATTATCTATTCCAGACACCACTTTTTTCGGTCAGTTGTAGGCATTGTGTTTATGTTTTTTCATGTTTTGTTACTTTATAGTATCTCTTGTTGTACAGGTATTTTAAAATTTAATATCATCAAATTGATCTTTATTTCATTATAGCTTTTGCTTACTGTCTTGTTCAATAATTTTTCCCATCCTCTGAGTCCTGAGGTTGTTCTCCAATATTCTGTACTATAAGCTTAAAAACCTTAATCCTTTGAGAATTTATTTTTGTGTACTGTGTGAGGTAGGGATCCATTTTCCCACCATGAAGATGGCCTGTTGCTCCAGAACTTATTGCTGAATAGTGCTTTTCTCCACTGATGCATAATGCCATCTATGTGGTAGTCACATTCTCACCTATATAGTAGTCTACTTATGGACTCTCTATTCAGCTCCATTGGTCTATTTGTCTGCACATGCAGCAAGAGCACACTTTCCTGCTTCCTGTAGCTTTACAGTAAGTCTTGATATCTGGCAGGCGAAGTTCTCCTCCCTCATTTCTCTTCAAAATTGTATTTGCTATTCTTGGTCCCTTACTCTTCATATAAATATCAGTATCAGATTATCAAATTACACAGAAAACATTCCATTTGGATTTGTTTAACATTGTATTTATAAATAGTTGTAAAATACAGCTTCTTAAATGAAAAAGCTCATAAATGACTATGGCATAGTTTGTGATATACAGAGGTCTTTTTACATTTAAATCTTCAATAAAATTTTGTATTTTTATCCTTAAAGATCTTACGTAGCTTTACTTGGATTGACTCATAGGTAGCTTTTACTATTATAAATGCATTTTTCTTTACATTTTCTAATTGGTTGCTGCTTGTGAATAGGAATGCTATTGATTAATGAAATTTGATCTTGGATCCAGCAACTTGACTAAACTCCCTTATTAAACAGTTTTATATTCTGTGTATATCTAGTCATATTATCTGCAAATAATTACAACTTTGTTTCTTTCACTTCAATCATGATACTTTTATTTATCCTTTTATTTTTTATGTTGTCCTATTGCATTGGCTAGACCCTCCAGCACAACGTTGAACAGAGACAGTAATAATGAATATTCTTGTGTTTAAAAAAAGTTTTTTAGAGATGGGATCTTGCTATGTTGCCCAGGCTAGTCTCCAACTCCTGGGCTCAGGTGATCCTCCTGCCTCAGACTCTCAAGTAGCTAGGACAACAGGTACACACTGCTGTCCTGGCTCATTGATTGTTTTTTATGACTTTAATATGATGCTTCTGAAACTTTACTGTTATCTATTATTTGGCTGCAGGTCTGATATAGCTATCCATTGTCAGATTAAAGTTTTCTTTGATTCCTGGTTTGTAACTTTAAGGGAGTCATGAATGGGTGTTGAATTTTGTAAAATGCTCTATCTGCTTCTTTTTACTGGTAAAACTTTCTAAGACTTCCAGGTGTTCTAGAAAATAATTTGCGGGCTCCAATAGTTGCTTGTAGGGTTCTATGTCTCAAGCTTGTTAATTATGTTGTTCATATCTTTTATAACCTTATAAATTTCTCACAGCTTGATCTACTAGTTCCTCTTAGTGGTATGATAAAACTTCCCATTCCTCCTTGTAATTCTGTCCATTTTTGCTTTATGTAGTTTTTGGGTATTGTTCTGAGCTAGGGATCTCCACTCTACCTTTAAAGTCTTTTATTTACCACATTAAAGGATTCCCCTTTCTTTCATGTAGATTAGCAAAATTGTTTTATTTTAATTTTATACAATATGTCTGTGTTCACATGGTCAAAGTGAATCCTTATTAGCTTGCTGTTTCATTTTCCTGAATTGGAAATTCTAGGCCCGATCTTTTCATCTTCTAACCTGTTGCCACCAAACATTTGCACAGGGCAGCTTCCATCTGTGATACCCTGTAGGGACAAGGCCATAGCCCCATCCTAACTCCCTCTCTTGCCTCAGCAGTCAGGAGCTCCCTAGGGCCCACTTCTGACCTGTCTGAGAGGGGAACTGGGTCCGGGTCAGGTTGAGCACACTGTGGGGTTTTCTGGGCATTCACAGAGGTACTCAAATGGATGTAAGAAAGGTCTGATTTAGCCAGGGGAGCTTCTGTCTCTTGGCTCTTCTTCCCATACTCTTCCACCTAAGATCACTGATCTCCTCTACACGTGGGATCAGTTCTTTCCAAGCTTCTACTCCAGTCCTCATGAGGCAGGCAGTCCACCACCTATCCTCCACTCACCCGCCAATCCTCTCATCCACTCATCCATCCACCTATCCATTCATCGATCCATTCAACCATCCATTCGTCTATCCATCCATTCCCCCATTCATCTATCCATCCATCTACCCATCCATCCATCCATCCATCCACCCATTTATCCATCCATCCATTCATCCATCCATCCATCCATCCATCCATCCATCCATCCAACCATCCATCCATCCATCCATCCTTTCATGCATCCATCTACTCATCCATCCATCCATCCATCCATTCATCCATCCATCCATCCAACCATTCAGCAGCAGTGTCATACAAACCTTACAAGCTGTGTGACCTTGGGGAACTTGAACTTCAGTTGTTTCATCCATAAAATGAGTATAATAATAGCAATGACCTCATAGGTCAGTTATGAGTATTAAACAATATTTATGAAGCACTGACTGACATGATTTACATGCACTAGCACTCTAGAAATATTAGTGTATTATCTTAATCACACACTCACTGATTCATTCAAGTAACATTTTCCTGAGTACCTACAATGCACTAAGCACTGGAGATATAAGACAAAGTCGCTGTTCTCTGAGAGCCCACTGTGTGGTGGGAGGGTCAGGTGGGCATCAGGAGACAGGATATCATTAAACCATACAGATGGTCCTTGACTTACAATGGGGTTATGTCCCAATAAACCCATCGTAAGTTGAAAAATTCTAAGTCAAAAATGCATTTAATGCCTGCAATCCCAGGACTTTGGGAGGCTGAGGCAGGTGGATCATAAGGTCAGGAGTTTGAGACAAGCCTGGCCAAGATGGTGTAACCCCATCTCTACTAAAAAACACAAAAATTAGCCCGGCATGGTGGCGGGCACGCGTAATCCCAGCTACTCCGGAGGCTGAGGCAGGAGAGTCTCTTGAACCCGGGAGGCGGAGTTTGCAGTGAGCTGAGATCACGCCACTGCACTCTAGCCTGGGTGACAGAGCAAGACTCCGTCTCAAAAAAAAAAATGCATTTAATACCCAATAAACTCATCATAAAATCAAAAGTCCTAAGTAGAACCATCTGTAATCATACTAACATTGTGCTTGGTATGTGCTACCTAAAGTTGGGAGAGAACACTCTCAGAGTACCAAGGAGTAGGGAAGTGGGCAGTCAGGGAAGGCTTCCTGGAAGAAGTGACATTGAGGCCTACTCCTGAAGAATGAGCAGAAATTCAAAGAAGGATGCACCACATTCAAGCTGAAAGAGAAGCACATGCAAAACCTAAAATGGGAGAGCATTGCTTTTCAGGGCATTGGAAGTACTGTGCTGCTGGTGTGTGAAGGGAAGCAAGATAAGTGGGGAGGGATGACTTTAGAGATACAGGGCCCACACCTAGATGAGTTAAGGGTGAGTTGTGCTGTGAAGAGGGCCAGTGAGGGGCTCCAAGATGGGCAATGATGGGGCCAGATGTGCAGTTTATAAAAGTAACTGTGTGAATGTGGTGGGAGCTTAGAATAGGTATATTACCCAGGTAAGGAACTGATCATGCACCATGATCCAATCACAGATCCCCGGGTCTTCTGATGCCAATTGTGTTGGGGACTCAGAGCCCTGGGGCATTATCATGGGCATTCTCAGACACTGAATTGCAGCCTCCTTCCATCTTCTCCCCATTCCTCTGCCTCTCCTGGTTCAGGCTGGAATTGTGGTCTCTGTCCAGCTCCCTCCTCCGGTTTCACCAGCCTGCTCAGCCAGAATCCTAGCCCAGCTTCTGGCCTGGAGGCTACTGGTGGGGGTGAGGGGTCGGGAAGTTGCAGCAAGAACTGGGATGTAAGAAGGCTGGATGGAGCTGGAGGGAGGAGCAAGAACTAGATGGGTTAGGTAGGGATGCATTGTTGGGACCATGCTCTCTTTTACCCCAGGCCTTAGCACATGCTGTTCCTTCCACCTGGAACACTTTTCTTCATACCTTTCATTGGCATGCCCATGGTATTCTTCACTTCTGTTTAGCTCTTGGTCCTTCCAGGACCCTCTTGCTCTGCCCTTCCATACTCAAGTCAATGCCTCAGCTATGTGTGGTGACATCTGGTTTGCACTTTCACATATCTCATGGAGTGGGAATTGTCAGTTTCTGTTTTCTCCCAGTTGGCTGAGAGCTCTAAGGGCAGGCACTGCATCTTACTATCTTTGCATCTTAGCATCGAGAACCATGCCAGGCACATATTAGATTCTTACTATATAAATGTTGGTAGGATGGACGGGTGAATAGGATGGCTAGATAGATGGATGGAAGAGTGAATGAAGGGGTATACGGATAAATGTGTGGGTGGGTAATGGATGGGTGGATAGATGGATAGAAGGATGGGCAAGATGGGTGGGTGGGTGAGTTCTAGGAAGTTCTTGAGGCAGGAGGCTGGTTTCCATGACTGTTCTGGGCCATCTCCTTTCCATGAGTAATTTCCTTACCAGTACTGTTGGTAGAGGAGCAGGAAGACTCATTCCCTGGATATTAATCCTCCAAGCAACATCAAGTCCTGTAGGCTGGGCAGTTCCCTCCTAGCTTTCCATCCTGAGTGTGCTAAGGGTTTAGGGGAGGGGGATGTTTCATCATAATGTTGGCTTGGACTCTGTGAGTCATGTTAAGTCACTTGCCCTCCCTGGGCCTTAATTGCCCCATCTATAAAATTGGGCTTAGTATAGATGTCTCTTCAAATATAAAAGGTCCAACTTTGGTATAATGTTTAAAAATGCTCCATTAATCATACAATTTTTTTAAAAGTTCAGATTTGTTTGCTTTATATTAAAAATGATGCTCATTTGTAAACACTGAATAAGTTATTGGGAAAAAAAATTACACTTGCATCATTATGGGCCATTTGATGGCCAGTACCTAACATTTAGCAGTCTTGCTAAGGATCCTTCTGGCTCCAGCGTCCAGATCTCTGTCTCCATACCTTCTCAGAGACCCTACAAGTTAGACAATTACTGCCCATGCTGGGGTTGGGGCCACCTGGGGGCTGCGACTCAGAGGGAAGCTAGAAAGGGTGGCTTTGTCAGCTATTGCCAAAGATGACCCAAATATTTGTTCTTTTTTTTTTGTTTTTTTTTTTTTGAGACGGTCTCGCTCTGTCGCCTAGACTGGAGTACAATGGCATGATCTGGGCTCACTGCAACATCCATCTCCCGGGTTCAAGCAATTCTCCTGCCTCAACCTCCCAAGTAGCTGGGATTACAGGCGCCCACCACCAAGCCCAGCTAATTCTCTTATTTTTAGTAGAGATGGGGTTTCACCACGTTGGCCAGGCTGGTCTCAAACTCCTGACCTCAGGTGATCTGCCCACCTTGGCCTCCCAAAGTGCTGGGATTACAGGAATGAGCCACCATGCCCAGCCCATTTGTTTATAATTTGATGGCAACTAAAACATTAAACCTGGCCTCTGACAACTGTGGCCCTCCATTTTTTAAAAAACAGATCTTGCTTTGAGCAAAAACAGCACAATAGAATTGAAAACACTCCAGACATCATTTCACTTCTCTGGGCTCGGGTTACTGAGTATCGGATGCCCTGGGTATCACGCCAGACACTGTGAATTAGGATAATCTCAAACTGGTGAAAGCTCATCATTCACTAGCACTGCCCTGGGCTGATGAGGTCCTGCGCACTGCCCTCCAGGGAAACTAGTCTAGGTGGGAAGAGACAAGCAAATAGGTGCAGGAACATGTTGTAAACGCTATGGTTGCTACAAGCCTGGATTTCTGCATAAGAGGAAAGGAACACTTGGAGGGTGATAAAGGCCAGAAAAATGGCATCAAAGCCTCCTGTCACCCTGTTAAGTAAAAAGGGGGCAACATGGGGGGATTAAGGATGGGAATAGGTTTACCATGGAGTGGGCCCCTCCTTTCAGACTGGAATGCTTCACAAATACTGATGTGCACAGGAATCGCGGCAGCATGTTAAAATGCAGATTCTGCTTGGGTAGGACTGAGGGGCTCATTCTAGATTTCTAACACGCTCCCAGATGTGGTTCGTGCCGCCAGCCAGGGTTGGGTGGAAAGCAGTGGAGTGGTGGATGGGGAGACGCAGCAGGAGGAAGGAGGAAGCACGTGCAGAGAGGCTCAGTGCAGGGGAGGCCCAGTGTGCCGGCATTAAGGACAGCAGCAGTGGGAACACAGGTCAAATGAAGTAAGGGGCTGTATCATCTCCCCGACCTTGAACTGTGAGCTTCTGTGGCAGGGACTGACTCTTGGTCATCTCTCCATCCTTGAGTGTGCCCAGGAAATCTCAGTGAACAGACTTGCAGAGGTTCAGTCTCTCCTCAAAGAGTAACATTGGCCTTGCTTTCCAATAGGACAAGCCTGGGGGGGTGAGTATTCCCTGATGGACATTTTCCTCTTCTGCCAAACTGGGGCCTGCAAGCCCCAATTCCACCCTGATCTTGGCTCCCATGGGTAACCTCATGCTCTGGACAAACACACAATCTTATTCTGGCCAGAGCCTGCTCCCAGCCCCCTAGCCCTCTGTTGCAATGCCCAGAGATGGACACACGAGAAAGGTATGGTCCAAGGAGAGCTGTTTGACTCACACCCCTGCAACCATTTGAGGCAGAGCTGTAGCCCACTGCAGCCTGTCTGGTCCCTTCTACCTGCTGGCATTGTCTCCTCCATAAGCCTGAGAGGACCTCCCTCTCCAGCTAAATGACCCCTCTGTGTGGAGAGAGGCCAGTTGTCCCTTCTAGTCATAAAGACTGTGCTTTATGCTGAGACTGTCGTTCCTCTTTTTTTTTTTAAATGTGAGATTCCCTTTCTTGTATGAAATGACAGCAGGCAATTGTTTGTGCTGAGAATGACTTTGACAAAATAAGGAGTTGGAAACCATGTTAATCTCCAGTGCCCTGAGAGCTTTTGCTAATGGGTGCATGAAATCCAAGAGCCTGGGGACCGCCCCGGGAATGGGCACCAGCATTCTCCTCTTCCCGCCCAGCCCCCCGACTCCCTCCCTGGGGACAATGACCTGCATTTCTGGGTCTGCCTCTTCTGCAAATGCTTCCTTCTGTATCATCCAAAAACACACCTTTGTGACCTAGAGATTGAAGATCTCCTCGTCCCACCTAAACGTGTTAAGCTTAAAATAAAATTGTGCAGGTTTCCAAGGTCCAGATGTTCACAGACACTTTGCAGTTTCGCTTCAAGTTCATTACGTTTAATTTTTTTCCAAAAAAGTTTTGCATTGACAGCTGTACAATACTTTGGTGTTAACCTGTGGTCTTCCTTCACCTCAGTGAACTCTGCCCTGCCCATCTGTCCAGAGGAAGTCTTAGCTCCTACCCCCCACCCTCCCTGGCGCTTGGATGGGAGGCGACACAGTATGGGATTGTGAAATCCCTGCTGCGATGCTGGGTATCTGGAAGGGGAGAAGGGGGTGGAAGCAGCGCAGGGAATGCTGTGAGATGAGAAGAGCTCACATCGATGGGAAATGGCCCTGGCCCAGGCTCCAGAATGTGACAGCAACAGTGGCCTGGCTGTTTTCCCGGGGGGCGGGGGGCGGGACTGGCAAACTGGGGGGAGAGGCAATTAAGACGCAACAATCAAACCAACCTTTAAATAGTAACTTTTAAAAATATAAAAACAGTTCAGTACAATGACTTTTCATTCTTTTTTTCTTCGGGAATAACTTTCTTCTACCCTCACCCTCCCTTCTGGCTAGAGCCTTAACAAGAGGTGGCAGATGGACATCTGAGACCCAGAGAGACTCTGGACGCCCCACGCGCCCAGCCTTGGAGAGGCACAGGGTGTGTCGCCAGCCTCCACATCCCATGCCCGGTGCGCTCAGCTGGGGAGCAACCTCACTGAAGGTGGGTGGCTTTCCCTGGAGCCCCTCCCACCTCCTCAGCAGACGGAATCACACATTACAAAATAATCCATAAAAATGCAGTATAAAAATTATCTTCGATATGCTACATCCATGGAGAGCCTGCCACCAGGACTCACAGCGGCCTTTAGCTTTTCTTTAAAAGGAGAAAAAAAAAAAGACCAAAAGGAAAAAAAAAACAAACAAAAAAAACCCAACCCAAATCCTAACACCTCAGAACATGTTGGTACCAAAAGGTGGCACCTGCCAGAGGCGATAGTCTACCTAACCTGTTTGGGCCACAAGAGACTGCAATCTGCAAGAAATATCCACAGTGTGCCAGGATCTGTGTCCCCCTCTCCCACCCCCCAACCCCCACTGCTCTGCCCAGGGTGGGGGTGAGGGGGATCCTCTTTTCAGACTCACAACCCTGTAGGTTTATACACTTTCCCCCCTCTAAGGGGAGAGGAAGAGACTGTAGGCGGGAAGGGGGAGAAGGCATTTTATAAAAGGACATCACTTCTAATTCTTTTTATTCAAATTAAAAAAAAAAAAAAAGCACCCACATCAGTTGCTATTTTTCTCTGGTAGCTCCCTGAGCTGAGTTGCTATGCTGTCTTCTAACTTTTTGTCCTTTTTAGGCTGTGTCCCAAGATTCAGAAGAGCTGGAGAGGGAGTTCCTTTGAACTTCCATTGCTCACAACAATAACTAAGTGTGCACCAAAGAGAAAGACCAGGCTGAGGAGGAGAGAGGGAGAGACCAAGAAAGAGAGACACAGAGAGGGCAAGAGGCAGCCAGAGTGCAAGAGACCACAGAAAGCTCCATTTCTGCGGGTGTCCGCCTGGACGGGCCCCCATCTCAGTGCCTTCCATCCCTCAGTCTGGCCGGCTGGTTATCAGTCCGGATGCCCAGACCCGTGTGGAGGCACACGCATTCCAGCAGGCACCTTACGGCCAACCTGGTTGCCTTTTCCACACTCTAAGACTTTTCTCCTCTTTCTTCAATTGGTTCCCCTCCCTGTCTCCTCTTCCCAGGTGAGAGCATCTGTTTATTTAAAAAAAAAAAAAAAAAAAAGCCACCACCACGAGTGGATTACAAATACAGCAGGCGAAATACACACTCAGAGTTTCCGGTGGGAAGGGGCCTCCTCTCCCACTGATCAGTCCGCAATAGGAGTCTGTTATTTACATTTTTCACAAATCTTGTGCACTGCACAATCGGCAAAGAGAGACCCCCCCATCCCCCAGCACAACATTGTGGTCCACTCCAGCACCCCCGACCCAAGGTGAGGGACAGGGCAAAAGAAAAGGGAAGAACAAACAGAGACTCATGAGCGGGTCTGTGGGGGAACCGGAGCCATAAGCCTCCAATAAATCTATTTGTAGCAACTGCCAGCATTGTTCAGGGGGAGGAGGAGGAGCAGAACCCTTCCGAGTCTGTGAGACACATCAATCCAGGCCCAGGAGTCCAGACTGTGACGGGGCACGTGCCCTCTCAGCCGGCCGGAGCGCAGCCCTGAACGCTCGGCTGCCTGCGGCCCATCCTCCGCCATCCTCGGGGCCCCTCGCCTGGGGGTCTCCCTGTCAGAGCCGAGTCGGTTTCTCCCAGAGTTTGACAGCCCTGCTGGAGTTCTTGTTTAGTAGATGACCTCATAAACTGTGGCCTTCTTGTCACCAGAGCCTGTTACAATGTATTTGTCATCCGCTGAAATGTCACAACTCAAGACAGACGAGGATTCTTTAGACTGGAGGAGGAAGACGAGGAGAAGCAGCAGGAAGGCGTGGGGTGCAGGGAGAAAAAAGACAGGAATTCATTTTCCAGTGCTCAACACCATCTCGGTTCTCTCGGCAACAATTGCCCTCCTCTGCCCCTCTCTGATGCTCCGACCTGGAGCACAGTGCGGTGAAGAGGAGGTGGGGGAGGCTTTAAAGCACCCATGAAGCATTTTCAGGTAGAGCTCCCCTCCCACCTGCTTTTCCATAAGGAAAAGCTCAGTAACAGTCTCCCACGTGATCTTTACAGTAAGTCATAATGATCAGAACAGGACGCTTTAGCAAGAGCTTCTCCTCCGAGTTTACAAATAGGAAGAAGCATTTCCAAGCTAGGAGCTGGCGTCAGCAGCTCAGGCCCACAGCCTGATGAGTTAGGAAAAGGATTGCCACCTGATGTTTGAAGCATGTGCTGTAACTAGAGACCCTAACAATGAGGTTTGACACGCTGCACACCAGACATTTCAGCCTGGGTCCAGAAAGCGGCATGTTGGCTGAGGGAGTGAGAGAGAATGCAAGTGTGTGTGTGGAAGCGCAAGAGAGAGAGAGGAAGAAAGTGTGTGGGGGAGACCAAGTGTGCGTGAGTAAATGAGTGTGAGTTTGATCGTGTATGGGAAAGAGTGCACGTGTGTGTGTGCACACGTGTGTGTGCCAATCAGTGCAGTATGGCAGGCCCCAGATCCTGGTAGATTATAAAAAGCCTCTTCCTTTCCTCCTCTCTTTCCTGTCCATGTCCCTGCTGGTGCTGAATGCAGGTGGAAACACTCACTCACTTGAGGAGGCAACACTGCTCTGGGCAAGGCTGCCGGGTGCCCAGGTGCCCAGCGCACCTCCCGCAGGTGCTCAGCATCCAGCCCAGAGCAAAAACACTTATGCTATTCCTCACTCTCCAAATCCGACAAGCGCCCCGGCTTAGAAGCCCTTGCCCTCGGGGGTCAGAAGCCATCAGTAGCAGATTGTGTGTCCTGCTGAAGTCCCCAGGTCCTTGGGAGAACCCAATCTTGCTCCCCTATCAGGTAGGGGTGGGGAGGGGACCAGGGCAGGTCTGATCCTGGCTCCAGGCTCCTCCTGTTCTTCCTGCTGCTATCCTCACTCCCATCACCATCACCAAGTTTCAACTCTGGGTAGAACCCAGAGGAGGACTCAGACGGTGGGCAGTACCTGGAATATGCTGGCTCCATAAGGCGTCCTCCAGGCGTTGAGAAGGTTATCTTTCCCAGTGCTCACGAACCACTTGCCTGCAGGTGGGAGGCAAAGGCATGATCAGGTTGTAGCTCACTGCCCTCTAAAGCAAGACCTGCCCTAGACATGGCCAGCTGCCATAGAAAAGCAGTGAGAACTGCTAACTAGTATAACTCTCCAATTTCGAGAGGCATTTTGCAAATGGGACATGCGGACACCTGGAGAAGGCCTTTCTCTGAAATCCAGGGGGAGGGCTGGGCGGGGCTAGGATGGGAAAAGGTAGGATTTGAAGTTCATTGCAGTGATAACGCTGCCTCAAAAGATTCTTGTTAAAGCCACTAAGGTTGACTGGCCTTTCTAAATTCTACTACTGGAAGGCAACAGGAAATACTGAAAATATCCAAGCCCTGGGAGTCTGGAGACCTGGCTGAAGACAGCAGTCAGTGGGCGACCTTCCTCCAAGCAGGAACTCGGCCAGGGCTCTACAAGTGTTAAAGCCCTTATGCTCCCTGAAAGCCATGAGCACCATGCTATTCCCGACCAGAGAGAAAAATCCACTAGAGTTCAGAGAGGGTGAGATGTTCAAGACTGCACAGCTTGTCAGTGGAGGAGCAGACATTCCCATCCAAGGCTCTCAGATGCCAAAGCAAGTGGTTGTAACCATGGAGAGGAACTGCCTGCACTGCTACTGTCCTGTTCCTTTGCCCCAAGCCTGCAAGAACTGGCTCTGGCCTAGTGTCCTGAGAGTTCAATAACTCATGGTGACATCTGCATCCGAGAAACAAGGATGTGGAACAAGATCACTTAAGGGTGTTGAAGGGGCACCAGCTCAGGGGTCAGGAGGCCTGGTTCCAGGGCCTAGCTTATTCTATAAGCTTTGGGCCCCTCTTCTGTCCTGTTGGGCCAGGCTGCCCTGGGTTCCCCACCCCACTCCATCAGGCCTGGGCCCATCCAAGGCTCACCGCAGTAGGCGAACTTGAGGGAGAGCACGCAGCTCTCGTGCAGGTGCAGCTGGTACTTGTCAGGCTTGGTGTGGTGCAGCACCTCCACGTTGCTGCTCTCCATGCCCACAGCCAGCCACTCCCCAGTGGGGCAGTAGCCCAGCGAGAAGATCTGCAGGTGGTGGGAGGGCAGATGGACTGAGCTCAGCATTCTCTGCCCTCAAGAGGAGGGCGGCTCCCAAAGGTGCTGCTCAGGTCCTCTGAGGCTCAGGGTCCCTCCCCACCCACCCAATAACCCAGGAGTATGGGAGGTCATTTTCCATCCCCATTTTATAGGTGAGAAAGCACAGACATTTTGCATTCAGTTACTCTGTCTCTGAGACTTTCATCTTTCCTTAAGAAAAAAGTGAGTTAAAAAAAAAAAACTAAAATATTAAAAATTTAAGATTAAAATATTAAAGTGAGGAATGCAAATAAGAAATAATAATCCCTGGCATTTACTGAATGCTTTCTGTGAGTCGGGTTTATGGCTACGCCTTTTAGAGGGATCATTTCAGGTGCCCACATCAGACCTAGGAGGGTGCTACTATTATTTCCATCTTGTGAATGAGGACGCCGAGGACAAAGTGCTCAATAGCAGCAGAGAATGAATCGAATTTCCACAGTTGGGCCAAATGTGTCCAACCCCAAGGTCATCTCCATCTGTTTCACTGCTGCTTCCTCCAGGAAGCCTTCCCAGATGGCTCAGGTTGGTCCCAAGTCTCTTGGCCGTGGCCACTCTGTGAGGGTCCCTTTGTCCCTGACCCAGCCACTGGGGCCCCGGAGGGAGGGAACACACTGCTCTTTGGGAAGGGAGGAGTCTTGGGCCGCACACCTGGGAAGTGAAGTCATGCTGCTGTAGCTGTCGGCCCTCCCGCAGGTCCCAGGAGCGCACCGTGTTGTCCAGGCCCCCTGTCCACAGTTTGGTGCCATCATGGGAGATGTCTATGCAGCTGGCCCCATCTGTGTGGCCCTGGAACTGCCTACGAAAGCCAAGCAGGGAGGAGGGTGAGTCCCGGGAACCACAGACTGCCAGGTGGCGGCCATCCCAGGGGCAGTCTGAGCAGAAGAGAAAACTGAGGCCCAGAAGAGTGCACTATGCGCATGGTCCCTTAGCGAGCTTGCAGCAAAGCTAGCCCCGGCCTCTTTCCAGTTCCAGGCCTCTTTCCAGTTCCACGGAAGGGTTTGCCCAGGGACAAGTCCCCTGGGAAATGGGGGGGGGAGGTGAAAAAGGGACCTTGCACTAGCCTTCTGAGACTGAGTCCCTCCAGGGTGGGCCTCTGGAGGAGGTGGAGCTGGAGGCTCAGGAAGGTGAGGAAGGCAGGAAGGCCCTGGGGAAGCTACGTGTGAGATGACTGATAAAGAGAATGCAGGGCCCCACTGCCTTTAGGACACAGCTCCTTAACTCGCACTCCACACGCCCTCAATTTGCCCTCTTAATCTATCTCTTCATCCTGCATGAACTATGGGGCTGAGGCCATCCATGAACACGCTGAATAACACACACAGCCCATGTATACAAGAGTCAGCTGGGCCAGGCACCCGTCTGCCTTTGCGCTGCGGCACAGTCAGAGGAAGATGCTCCACTGTCACTGTTTTACACAGGAAGAAACTGAGCCGCAGGGGTTCAGCGACTTGCACTAGGTCATAGTGGAGGCAGGATTCAAAGCCAGCAGTTTTGTCCTGAGGCTTGTTTAGCTACCACGTGATGTGGCTTCCCAGTCGGGTCTCCCTAATCTGGTCTCTGGGGCTCTGCTCCCAGACTCTCTGCTTGCTCCACTAATCTGACCTCCACTTCCCCAGACATGCTCCAGCTCCACTTTCTTCCCAGAGCCCTCTCCAACTCCTGGGCCCAATGGCCCTCCCTCCTCTGTCCCTCGCATAAGGCAGGCGGAGCTGTCTTTTCACCTGTGCATCCCTCATCCCAACGGTTCTGGCCACCCCACAGTGCCTCAGACAGGGCCAAGGTCACAGCAAACAAGACCAGGCAGGATGGGTAAAAACTTCCCCAGGACGAGGCACTAATGCTCCCTCCTGCCGGCTCACCTGACCAGGGTCTGGTTGTGCAGGTCCCAGACAGCAATGTTCCCATCGCTGCAGCAGGAGAAGCAGACTTTGGCGTCAGGGCTAATGGCCAGGGCATAACAGGCGGGAGCCGAGGACGTCAGCTCGGCCTTGATGCGGGGCGTGGGCGAGGCCAGGTCCCAGATGGTGAGCGTGCTGGCCTCGCCGCCCACGATGAGCGTGCGCCCATCAGGGAGCAGCTTGCAGGAGCGGATGTAATTGTCCCTGTTCTGGAGGGAGAAGGGGCAGGGCTGAGTGCTGCCTACTTCCCCTCCTGGGCACCAGGAGAGTCCTGTCCAGCAACACCGAGCACCCTCACCAGTCCTGCTTACAGCCTCCCCCTATACCCAGCAGCTGCCAGGCTGTCCCCATTCCTCAAATTCACAACCCTTTGATCTTTCATGAATACCAGGAGGTCAGAATCAGCCCCACACACAGAAGGCACAACTGAGGCTCAGAGAGGTTAGTCAGCTTGCCTAAAGTTGCTCAGCCAATACGATGCTGAGCCAGGCCCTGGGGCTCTCCCCTGTGGCCCAGGCTGCCCCATCCTCCTACACCAGCTGGAGGCGGCGCAGCAGCCCTGGGATTCTCACCAGGCAGTCCAGCTGGGAGATGGGGCTCTTGCTGCCTGGCTGGCTGATGTCCCAGATCTTCACGCAGCCCTTGCCACCTGTGTAGACGTGCCTCGTGGGGTTGCTGATGGTCACGGCACACACCACCTCCCCGTGGCTGAGTGTGTTGATCTGCCGGGCGTGCCTCGGGATGCCGGGGCCTGCCAGGGCGTCGTGGGGGAAGGGCACGGGCTGCATCTGCCCATCAGCACTCACATGGAATGAGTACGCTCTGAAAAGGTGAGAAACCGTCACTGCTGCCATCCACCCCGGCCCCTCAGAGTTCCCATAGGCCTGGCCCAGGTCATCTGCACTGCCCCCGACTGGCTGCCCTGCCTCTAGCCCCCTCTGCTCTGAAACCATTCGAACCCAGTAACCCCATGTACTGGGATGGCTCCATCGAGGTAGACATGATTAACAGACCAGCTTTGATTTTTACACCCAGTTATATATCCTTGCTTCAAATCAGACCAGAAACCCACAGGTGTCCTGGAATGCCCTTTCCCACGATCCATACATTCCCCCAACATGCCAACCCTGGAAAGGGCCTGGCTGAAATGCCACCTCTTGCTTTAGGAGCCGGTGGTATTAGGGAAGGGATCTGCTTGCCCCTGCAATAGCAAATGGGAAAGTCCATGTCAGAGCCTGTGGTGAGCCAGCCTGGCCTGCCTGCTGTTTCAGGCTCTGGTGGGTGCCCTCTCAATCAGCATCTAGATTCTCGTTGACAATTAGAGGACTGTGTCAGGCAGTGTCTCGGCATTATCTGTAGGCTCAATCTTTTAGTTTCCTAGCAACCCAAGGAAGTGAAGGGCCGGGGAGAGTGTGCCCTCCAGGGGAGGGAAGCACTGCTGACAGGGAAGGGCCTGCGACCAGCGGCACTGGGGCCTTCCCAGCAGGTCGAACCCAAAGGAGTCGGCAAGGCCCACCACAGCTCCAGGTGACTCGGTGAGGAGTGTTCCTTCTCTCCCAGCCCAGTGGCCATGTACTTAGCTAACTCCATGGCTCCTCTGTCGGAGGGAGCTTCTGTGGGTGCTCAGAAGTGTGGCTTGGCTACAGTTTCCTGGGGTTGCAACCAGCCCTCGGTGCCTCTAGAGGGACAGATACCTTTCCAAAGGGAGGTGCACCAGGGCAAACCCTTGGTCAGGGGATGAGGGGCGTTGTTGGAATTGGGGGTAGAGTGCTCTCTCCTGCCCACCCTACAAAGCATGCAGTAAGTATAGCCAAAGCTTACGGTTTTCCTCCAGGAATGGAGGCCAGGCTTGAGGGGAGGCCTGTGGCCCGCATCGGGGGGTGAGGGTCAAAACCAACCTGTAAAGCAAGGCAAGACAGCCCTCCATCAGCCGTGCTGCCACACACCCCCACCCCTGCCTCCTCCACCACCCACCCGGGGTCCTACCTGCACGGCTCTGCCACTTTGTAACCCAAGAGACAAGCTGAGCAGAGCAGAGCCCATTGATTCAGAGGAGACACAGGCCCAGGACAGCCCGTGGCAGGGAAGGGGTGACAGTGCAGACCCCACTGTGAACCAGCATCCTCCCTGTTCTGCAAGGCAGAGCTGGCCCTGCCCTACTTCTTTCCTCTCCTGTGGTCCTAGTGGGCCTGCCAGTGGAGAGGAGGCCACCCCAGGTCCAGGAGGTAAAAAGGAAAACTGTCTCCTGAAAAAGGGCCCCTCTCCCCGCCAACCCTAACTCTTCTTTTTATTTTTATTTTTTTGAGATGGAGTCTCGCTCTGCCGCCCAAGCTGGAGCGCGGTGGTGCAATCTTGGCTCACTGCAACCTCTGCCTCCCAGGTTCAAGTGAGTCTCCTGCCTTCACCTCCCGAATAGCGCCTGCCACCACGCCCGGCTAATTTTTGTATTTTTAGTAGAGATGAGGTTTCACCACGTTGGCTGGCCAGGCTGGTCTCGATTTCCTGACCCCAGGTGATCCACCCGCCTTGGCCTCCCAAAGTGCTGGGATTACAGGCGTGAGCCACTGCGCTCGACCCCTAACTCTTATTATTTATTCACCACAATAGAAAGTCTTGTACAACCAGTCCCATCTACGAGACCCCTGCTCCATGGACATCACCTGACTTGCCCTGGGATTCCTACCCCCCAGAGCTGGGAAAGCCAGGTGTCAGCCCCGTTTTGCAGACTAAAAGGGAGGCTGCCTTGCATGAGGTCACAGGGCGGCTCACAGGCCAGTGGGGGATGGAACTCAGGTCTGCTGGCCCCAAAGAGTGTACCCTTCCAGCCAAGTCTCAATTGTTTCCGATACACCTTCCCACAGGGGCAGCTGCCTGGCCTTGAGACCCTGAGGGGCCCCTTTAGCATGTGGGGAGCACCCGTCCAACCACTGGCTCCCCACACCACGCCCAGTCCCCAAGAAAGGAGCCAAAAGGTCTACGTACAGCTCCAAAGCTCACCATTGGCGATCGGCCATAGGCAGCGGCTGCAGCAGCGGCGGCGGCGCTCATCTGGGGTGGGATGTTGTGGAGGCCGGCGTAGGCGCCAGGACTGGTGAGGGAGCCGTTCATCTCATGGTGGCTCATCATGGCGAAGGGCGCCGCATAGGAGCTGGTGATGGAGATGGGCGTGCGCAGAGCCGAGGCTGCGAGGGGTGGGCGTCAGGGAGGTGGGCCTTAGGTGGATTGGGACATGGCCATGGCCGCCTCACCCAGCAATAACCCTCCCTGCATTCTTAAGCTGCCTGCTCCAGGCAGTCCTCTCAGACTGAACCCACCCAAGTGGGATCCCTGCCTTCAGAGCCAAAGAAGCTTAGAGCTTGGCAGATGCACCCACCTCTTTTTACAGAGCAGGATATGGAGGCCCAAATGGGCTTGCTTAGAGCCTCACTGGACTAATGACAGGGGTGGGAACAGATTTTGGGAGCCCTGACCCGTCTGATGCTGCTTTCATGTCTGGCCCAGCAGGGGTCCCAGAAACCCTGGTGTCACCTCCTCAAATCTGACCGTGAAGTCCCCAGGGGCAGGCCCTGGGAGACACTGCCTGTGCTCTATCCCATGCGTGTGTGTCACCCCTGCCCTGGCCAAGAGCAGACCCCCTCCCCCCAATCAGATTAACCCAGCCCATGGTGCCTACCCATTATACCTATCGGGTCCATGCCCGGAGGTTTACCCGGCATCGACCTGAGCCCTGGGGTCGTGCTGGTGCCTGGAGTTGGGGCGTCGTTCCTTGGGGTTGGTGTGTTGGACTTGAGCCCAGGGGTGGAGGATTTGTCGTTCTGAAGAGGGGAGATGCAGAACAAGGGAGGCCATGAGGCTTCCATTCTCCTAGGAGCCGGGCACAACTGGTGCCGGTCCCAACGTGAAGCCCAGAGCCAGACCCTTATGAAGCTTCTGCCGAACAGCCTCTCAATCCTTGCCCAACCTTGTTTGGCAGGGACTGGGGTGATCACTCCCATTTTACAGACGTAGCAACCGAGGCTCAGAAACGTTAACTCATTAGCACAGGCCCAGCAGGCACAGAAGGTAAACCGGGGCCAATCACCCACCCAGCTTCTCCCACTCCACCCCTCTGCCTGCCAATCGGCACCACCCCAGCTCCAGTCCCTGCCGCTCCCTTCCCACTCCCTTCCACCCAGACCCCACATACATGACCAAGGTCTTTGGTCTTGGAGGAAGGTGTGCTACTGGAAGAGGCCACCGAGGCAGGGCTGGTGGGGGCATCTTTTTTCAGGCTACGGGCCTTGTCCAGCCCATTTTCAGGAGGGGAGTGTGCCGGGCTGACCCGGGGCGTTGCGGGGTCCTGAAAACACAAGTGATGCAGAGATGCACTGAAAGCAACAGCCAGCCTCGAGGCTTCCCTGCTCTGGGAGTGGGAAGAGAGAGGGCATGGGCGATGGGAAGACGAGCTTGGCTGAAAGACTGGGGGCCCCACAGTGAGGAAAAACTAGCTCTTAACCATCTGGTCTGACTGAGGCCTAGGGAGGGTGGAAGGATGGTCTTCCCAATGTCAAACACAAGTTCAGGACTTCAATCAGCATGGCTGGGTTTGGCCAAATGTAGATGCTCTCCAGCTCCTCCTCAGGCCCCTGAGGCTGAGACCCTGGGGGGACGGAGGATCACGGGGAATAGAAGATGGCCCCTACCTGGGATCTTTGGGGGTGTCTCTCTGGAGACCCATTGCAGGAGGCCCTCCAGGCCCATAAATGCCCAGACACCATGCAGCAAAGCCCTGCCCTGCTCCTCTTGACCCCCTGAGACCCCAAGACTGGAGGCCTTGTCTCCCTGCTCAGGCTGCCAGTAATACTAGAACAGACAGAATAGATCCCACCCTGGGGAGGAATAATTCCAAACCATGCCAAACCAAGAGCCCCCTTGCGACCGGGCCTGCCCATACCTCATTGGAAACATCCACCACCAGATCATCACTCTTGTCTCCATCACTGTCCTGCAACCAAGAGAGAAGCCAACTGGTCAGTAAGAGGCCACACTTTCCCCACCCCTGACTGAGCCCAAACCACCCTGTCCTTCTACTGGCCAGGACCTGAAGCCAGGCCAAACCCCAAAGTCCATGCTTTCTACTCCAGCCCTGCCCTTCAACAGGCTCCACTCCAGCTCAACACGGTCTCCCCGTGAGGCTGTCCCCTAGCCCAGGCCCCGGGTTACTCCACTCCTGTACCCACTGGGCAGCCGCACTGACACCCGCTCCATCATAGCAGTTCTAAGCCCCTGCCCCCACAGCCTGCCCTTCTGCTTCTCTCTGAAGCCAGAACCTTCTTCCCAGCTGGTTTTACATCCACCATCCTTCACAGTCAGTGTGCTGCTCTCACCTGGTCATTCCCACCCATCTGTGTGGGATAGTAACTTGCCTCCTCTCACAGAAACACAGCTGAGTGTCCTTTGGGTGCTCAATGTGTCCAAAGCCACACAGCAGCCATGTGGCTGAAGAGGGCTGGGTGCAAGACCGCTGAGGCCCTGCACCATATCCTCCCCTTCCCTCTGTCCCAGCTCTCAGCCCTGCACAGCCTGACACAGGGGAAACACAACAGCCATGCTTCCACTAGGGTCTCACGTGCCGGGGGCATCCCATTAAAAGGCTAGTAAAAGCCATGACTGGGTGGCCAAGTGAGTGCATGCCTCAGGCCAACTGAGAGGACTATAGGGTCCACATTTTGGGGGTCACTGGGAGCAGCCCCTTAGAGCCAAGTGGGATTCCGGCAGCACCATGACAGCAGCATGGGGTTGTTGGCCTGTCTGTGGGAAGAGACCCCATGGAGGCTAGGACGACCTCCCCATCCACCTCCGCCCCACAGTGGCTCGCATGCTCATAGCGTGTGTGAACTTCACCCTAGCCCTGTTCCCACCCTGCTCTCCTCAATAGGGTCCCCTATCGCCAACCTGTGCTTCTCTGACTCACTGCCAACCACAAGAAGACCCTGGCCACAGCTTGGGCCCTGCAGACACCCCCTGCCCTACCCAACAGAAACCCCAGTGGTGCCATGGCGCCTTGGACGTACGTATCGGCTCAAGCTGTCCTTCTCCTCCGCCTTCCGCTTCTTGGCTTCCATGCTGTAGTCCGCAGAGCCCCGGTGCTTCTCACTGGCCCGGAGGCTTTCCGAGGGTGACACAGAGTTATTCTGGAAGGAAAAAGAGGGTTCGGGGTTAAAACTTTCTGCTGCGTGTAACAATTCACACATCCGCACACAGCTAAGTGCAGGTGACACGGAGGTCAGGGGAGGGAAGAGAAGCTGAACTCCTCTCTGCCCTGCAGATCGTGGCTCCATCAGAGCCTTGCCAGGGAAGCCTTCCCCACTCCCCTGAGACTGAGTCCCCGGGGAGATGCCCTGGGCGCATCCCCAATTCTCTTTTGCAGCTCTGCACTGCTATTAAATAATTAACCCTGCAGTAAGCCGTCTGCCTTCTGGCCTGTGGGACTACGCTCTGTGAGGGCGAGGGTCACCTGGGTCTCATTCACCACCCATCTCGCGCTTGCCACACTCATTTGCTCAAAGGAGGGATAAGTGGAATTTGCACTGAGTCTTGTAAGATGGATCTGAGCTGACAGGCAGGGGCCATGAGCAATACTTCATTTGCTGAGCCCGACAGGAATGGGGAGATTGATAGGGAAGGAGGGCGTCAGGCAGCCACCAACTTCCCAGTGGAGATGAGCAGCCAAGCGTTCTGTGTGAACACCCCCGCCTCCACGGTGAGGCTGTCAGCAACTCTGGAGAAACACCAGGGTTGTAAAAAAAACAAAAATGCCACGTCATGAAGCCTTTCCCTCTGACAGACAGGGAAAGGAGCAAGGGCAGGGACAGTCACTGCCTCTGTAGCCATCACCAAGTGGAGACCCCAAGAGGTTGGTGAATGTGCCCAAGCTCCCCTAGCAGAAGGTGGCACAAAGGGAACCCCAAAATTTCGTGAGTTCTCCCTCAACTATAAAGCAAATGAGGATGAGAAGCCTTTGGGATGGGAGGCCTGGGAAGAGGGAAGATGACGGAGTAGTCCTAGGGGTTGATAGTGGTCAGAAATCACCATGTGGCTGTTACCACCGAGCTGGGGAGCAGGGAGGGAAGTGCAACTGGCAAGGGCACCTGCCAGCAAACCTCTGTGCCCAGAGACTAATATCAGGACCAATGCCCCTCTATGATATTGGTGAGGTTTACTCCTTTCTAAGAGTCCAAACTTTACCTTCACCCACCCACCAATTTCCGAGCAGCTGCCCTGGGTCAGCCCTGGTGCTGCAGGCCAGGAGTGGCAGAATGAATGAGATACAATCCCTGCCCTCCAGGAGCTCATGGTCCAGCTATGATGGAGCTGGAAGAAAAGGACAGGCCATCCCAGGTCCCAGTCCCCATGCAACACAGGAGGTCATATGGAGACCCAGAGGGACATCTGTTCAGAAGAGAAGAGCATCAGAAGGCAAGTGGAATGAGGCTTCCCTTCTCTTCTCCACTTTCCCAGAGGCCAAGCGTGGCTCAGGGGCAAGGGCCACTTGGAGGGAACGGGGCTGGGCAGTATTCGGTGGGAATAGTGCGGCAACCAGCCTCAGAACTTAATTTCCTTTCCTAAGCCGGGTTCTGGGCAGCCCTACCCGGCCAAGTTTCTGCCCGAAGCAAATTAAAATGGCAGAGTTATCAAGCCTTGAAGAAAAAATGGAGGTTATAATGGAACTGCAGCTCAACCTTCCCCACAGCCGTGCAGGAGCGGTGGCGATGCGCGCACAGCCACAATTCAATTAGCTGCTGCAATCGCCGGCAGAAAAATCACCGTCATTTCATTTCATTTCCTCTGACGGTGGTGGCCACCCTGTGCTAAGCAGAAATGCTTCCAGCCCCTCGCACTGGCTGCCCCTTGCAGGCGGGCGGGCAGGGGAGGGGGCGTGCGGCTGCTCGTGTTTCTCCTCGCGACCCGGTGCTCGGCTCGGGAGAACAGCGAGCTCTTTCTTCTCATGCAGTCAGGCTGAAAACCCTCGCCGCTACCGGAGAGTCATGTCAGGCATTTAGCGGCATCGATCCAGCCCGCCTCTGGCTGGCAGGCGGCCAAAAAACTAAGTATTTTTTATTGCTTCGGCTAGGCAAGGAAATATGAATGAAGCTACCACTAATTGGACTCCAGACTAACCCCTCTGGGACAGCTTCCAGCCCGTCCCCCCATCCCCCCTCCCACTCTGACACAGCCCTGTCCTTCCTGCCGTAGGCCTCATCTGTTGACAACCTGGTTTCCAAAGCCTGATTATTTCAGTCTACACCGCCGCTGACACCGTCACCACGCCACATGCCATGCGCACAGCCTCGGCCCTGCCCACTGCTGCCTCTGCCCAGCATCTTGATTCATTCCCACTGGAGTTTCCTGAGGCCCATGTGTGCCATGCATGGACCTCAGCGAGCATGGTAAACAGCCCAGCTCTTGGGGGTTCCCAGGGGGGGTCTTTTAGCAGAAAACTTTCACAGATGGGGCACAAAGCCAGAAGCCAATAGGGATGAGGATGAGGTAAAGACTCATGCTCTTTAGAGAGTGCTGGGCTTCCCACTCCCCCTCCAATTCCACTGAAGTGGGTCCCTGCTAGCCAGGTAATCTGGATCCTCAGTCAGGTTATAAAGGGTCTTCCGAAACAAAGCTGAGAGGTTGGTCAAGCAGGAATTATTCCCATGGTATGGATAAGGAAACTGAGGCTCAGAGAGGCCAAGAGAACTACACAGGGCCTCATAAAGCTGGGACCAGACCTCAGCCTTAAAATGTCCAATCCAGGCCTCCGCCTATCTAGGCAAACTGCCTCTCCGAAAAAATGCCACTGTTAGAGGATCAGTACCGAGGCAGTGAACATGGATTTTCAGCTTCAATGACTCCTCTCTTAGGTACCTAGCCATTCCTCAGCCCAAATGTGGTCCTGGATTTCTGAGCATGTAGGCGGGTCAAGAGGCCACGGACGCCAGCCTCACTGCTAATGGGAGGTTTAAAAAGTCAGCCTGGGTAGGGGGAGGGCCAGGAAGGGAAGGAGGGCTGGATTGGAGAGAGCTGCGCAAGGAAGCTGCTGTCTAGATGGTTAGTTAACTGCCTGACCTTCCAAGTCCTACTTAACACGAGGTAATAACCAAAGCCATCCTAACAGATTAGATGGCCCCAGATACAAGGACAGCGATGAGGAATAAAATAGCTTTGCTAATCGCTGGAGGATTTTTTTTATCCAGACTCCACTGCGCTTATTCAGAAGGCTTATTCACTTGAAACAGAACCTCGGAGCCTCAGTGTGATCAGAAAGATTTACAACAAATCTCAGAGCTGGCAGACACGCAGGCGGCCTGGCCTTAATGCTCGCCTGCTAGCACTTTCTTAAATCGAGTGAAAGCCCAGAGCAGGGAGAAACTGCAGGCGTTTGAAGGGAATGAGGAGGATGCAAGATCATACAGGAGGCATCCTAGCAGGGGGGTGGTAAAAACCTTGGCCCTGAACATGGGACACCTGGGTCCTTAGCCCTGGGTTTAGCCCAGAGACTCCACAAAGCCCCTCGCAATGGAAGATCCAGGGCTGGTCAGCTGACCTCTCAGAGTATCACCTCTCATATGAAACGGAGTTAGAGCTCATTTAGCCCAAGCTCTTCATTTGACAAATGGCAGACCTAAAGCCTGGAGAGAGGAAGGGCTTCCACAACTGAAGGTCACTCTCAACAGGTGACGACAGCAGCTCCCATTTTATGACAGTAGCTACCCCTCACCCTGCCACTGGCTCTGGACTAAGACATCAGCACTGAAGCTCCCAGCTCAGCAAGAGTAAACAAACAACAAAATCCCTAGTTACAACCCACAGAGCAGAAGCGGGAACCCAGAAGCCAGCTTTGGATACCGACTGACTGGTCTCAGGCCCGCGATTCTGGGAGCCCCGAGTCCCACCTCCTCCCAGCACCCAAACACCCCTCCGGGTTCCAGAGTGCCAACACTTACCGCACTGGATTCTCTCTCTTTGGGGAAAGAAGGCCAGGACAGGAGGAAGGTCAGGCACCCCAAAACAAAAAGACAAAAAAGAAAGGAAAAAGGTCAGTCTAAGTCCAGCTGGCTTTTGTGATTTGCTAGTGCACTGGTTTTAAAATGAGCAGAAGGCCTGGATTGCTGTCTCCGTGGATCAGCCAAGGCAGGGCCATTAGGTGGCGTTTCTCGGTTTGGAAATTTGCCACCCAAATTCCAATGCTGCCCCCACCCCTCTAGTCCCCAGGGTGGGCAAGGGAGGCCCAGTCCCCAGGGTGGGGAGGGTAGGCCTTTGACCCAGTTCTCCCTGTCATGCCAGAGGGCACCAAGTTTACTCTTTAGCAGGCTAGGGGTCTTAAGATCACAAGCTTGAGAAGGATCATGCCATATAAAATACCAGTAGGACCTGGGAGTTAAGAACTTTATTGTTAAAAAAAAAAAAAAAAAAAGGAATTTAACAGTGGTTTAATTTTGTTTTTGAAATTAACACCATTCTGTGATTCTTTGTCAGGATGCCCCTAAAAGCTGAAGCCTCTGAAACTGTGCCCAGCTAAGCACTAGCTCCCCAGTTCTCCTGTCTGCTATGGAGAGGCCCCTCTTCCTCTGCCAAAAGGACCATCCTACTGTAAGACAAAAAAATGTAGCCTCCAGTTCCCTGGACCGGCTACCACCCTGTGGCCTGGGCCAAGGCAGGATGGTGACATTCCAGGTCCCTAGTGCTCAGAAGGTGTTGGCTACGTGCCCCAGTAAATACCGTATCTAAGGGCAGAGTGCATTTGGCACCAATTTTTGAAAAGGGCCTCCCAGGGAGCCAGGCTTTTCTCTTTTCTGATCCAATGAACCACTCCTGAGGCCAAGCTCGGTGCAGCTTCATGGGTCCTCATGGTAGGGGCTGCAGAGAGGGTCAGAGAACAAGTTCTGACTCCAAGTCTATGTGATCTCTTGCTGGGGTGTGCACTACCCCCACTTACAGGCAGTCAGCTAACAAACCTTTACCTGAGCACTGACTGTGCACCTTTCCCAGGTTTCTGCATTGGTGAGACATAGATGTAAGGAAAACACCCAAGAACTTGGCACCTGTCCTAGGGAACTAATGATCGTGGTGAGCACAAGACATTTTCCAGGGGTAGGATGTAAGACGACAGTAACAAGGACTCAACTTTGGCATCCCAACTCTTAAACTCTTACAGGAACTTGAAAAAGCCCCTAGTCTGACCAGGAAGGCATCCTGAAGGGTTGGACTGGGGCTGGCCCCTGAAGGACAGGCAAGGGTGTTGTAGGAAGATGGGAGCGAGCTCCAGATGAACAGACAGGGTCTTCAGGACAGAGAATACCAGGTCCACACCAAGGAGTAGGAAAAGGTGCATGGGATGCGGATGGCATTGGCTTCCCTGCACCAGGTATCAACAGATGACTCCAAATCCTTGGTAACTCCTGGTCTTAGGACGACAGCACTTGCTGGGTCCACTCACTGTGAGGCCTATGAGCGCCCATGCCCACCCCTGCCCCGCCCCACCCTCTGCCCCAGCCCAGCCGCACCTCTGTGATCGAGTTCATGGTGGTTCTTCTCATCCTTCACCGTCAGATGGGCCTGGCTGCCCAGGGCGCCCAGTGCCAGCAGCCCGGAGCTGCTCCCTGTCACTGGGGGGATTCCTGGAGGCTGGAGACCTGACGGGTGGGGTGGCAACTGGACCGGGGGGCCGTGTGTGGCATGGGAGAGGTGCTGCGCCTGGAGCTGCTGCTGCTGCAATGAAGTCGGTGGTGAGTACAGCTGAGTTGGGGAGGGCAGGGGAGGCGTGGCCACCTCAGGAGGGAGGGAGGGAGTGGCTCTTCCCATTCCTCTTGCTCCTTCACTGGGTGGGTGGCAGGGGGAAGCACCCCCAAAACCTTTGCCCCCAGCTCAGTTCACATGAATGTCTCGCTGAAGGAAGTCTGTTAATAGACTGTAATGTAAAGATTTATGTCTTCAAGCACCCCCCAACTCCCTGCACCCCCGTTTCACAAATAATTTCTCAATGTTTGTTTCCAAGCCTGAGATAAAGAATGCATGCATTTAAAAAACCGCAGAGTCATGGGGTTCCCTCTGAGTAGAGAGGGATCCATTTTTAAGCTCACAGCCCTGGCAGTGTTTGCTCATGCATACATGCCTTCAGCATTAGCTGCCAGCATCTTCCACCCTGAGGCTGGACCCTGGGGAAGGCTCCTTATTTCTTAGGAACTCCAAGCCTGCCTTACAGAGCAGGGGCAGGGCAGGTCATCACAGCAAAGGCCCCAGAGCCAGATGAGCTGGGGGCCAGTGGAATGAGAGCTAACGTCACCGGACATCAGTGGTGGAAAACGGGGTAACTGGAAGAGTGGAGGCTTTGGAACTAGACAGAACAGGATTGAAATCCCAGCTCTGGCACTTCCTAGCTGTGTGGCCTGGGGCAGGTTACTTCAAGTCCTGGAGCCTCAAATTTCCTTATCTGTAAAGGGGGAAAGCAGCAGACCCCAGAGGATTATTGTAAGATAATGTTTGCAGCAGCTCATGGCGCACAGCTACTAAGCCTCATGGCAGTAGCTAACATTTACAAAGAGTTTAAAATGGATTGCTGAACCCTTCTAAAAACTTGCCATGCAGCAAGTCAGTATTATCAACAACAATGCAATTCTCCCTGTCTCCTCCCCAGTCAAGGACTCCGCTGCCCTGGCTCCAGAGGCCCAACTTCCCCACTCAACACTAGCCTCAGGGGCTTGGGCTTCTCTTTCCTCTCCCTTCGCCCCACCCAACTTCTTCTCCACTACTGAAAGAGAAGTTAGGTATGCTGGTATCCACCTATGCACACATCTTTCTTCTCAACTAGTGCAAGAGAAGAAAACTAACATTTACTGAATGCCTGAATGAATGCCTGGGCACCTTCCAACCACCTGGCAAGGGAGGGGTTGTGGCCATTTAATAGATGCTTAGGGGGCTGGAGTAGGTAGCTAGTAATTGGCCAAATCCCACCACTAGTAAATCTGTCAACCACCACCCCTCATCCAAAGAATGCTCATTCCTAAGAAGATCCCCAAAGCAAGAGGGGTTGGTGGAAAGTGCCATAGAGAATAGATCTGAGAAGCTTCCAGATCTCACACCTTACTAAGGGAGCTCGCCTGTCAATATGAGATGGTTTTCTGGCAACCGCGAACAGATAACAGAACACAGTGAAGGCCCATGGCTCTGGCAGGAGGAGGCAGTAAGCATTTCAGGTTATGGATAAAGGGCCCTACTCTCCCCCAGCTAAGCTGCAAACTGCCCACCTGGCCTCATCCCAAAGTTAACGGCAGCCACAGAAGCCATGGCACTCCTGGCCCCAGAGGGCTCCCTTTGTCAGTTCTGGGTGAAAGGCTGGCACTGCGGCCGTTGTTCAAAGCTGTCAGAGCACTTCTGTGACGTCTGTTGCTAGGCAGTTCATGGGCACTGTCCCAGGGTGGTCTGACCCCACATCTGCACTGAGACACTATGGCAGACACAAAGCTATGGGGGCCCCTGGAGCCAGCATCACAGAGTCCAATGCGGAGATCCAACCCCTCCCAGCTAAGAAACTCCAGCTCCTCTAGGATGGGCGCTTACTCTGAGCTCCTCCACTTTTTCTTTTTTAAGAAAATGTAATTTTTAATATCTTATTACAAAACTAATACATGCCCATTTTAAGAAAATACTAAAAATAAGTAGACATTAAAAAGTTTTTAAAATTACCCTTCAATCCTACCCTCGGAAGATTCTACTGTTAAATCTGCCTAGGTTTTTCTTTATGAAAATCTACACATTTCAAATGTATTTATACAGAAATGGACTCCTGTGAACCATACTGCTATACAGCTTGATTTTAATTTAGGAATGTTCTGAAGAAATTTTCTTGTCCTTTTTAATGGCTACCTAGTATTCCCTGGTGTGGTCGGACAATACAACTTTATCTGGATACCTGGTTTTAAAATGAGTCTCCAGTAGGGCCCCTTTGTTTAGACAAATTGTTGGTAGGCCCGTTAATTCTGCTGGTGATAACTATTTAGTAAAATCCCAGAAAGCAAGGACTGAAAGCAAGGTATTTAATCCACATTTTATAGTGCAGAGCCAATAAGATCCCTTGAGGAAGAGACAAAGAAGAGGAGGGGAAAGAAGGCTTCAAAGAAGTAGCTTTGCTGCCTGCAGACACAGCTAACTCCTTTCATGAACAAGTCTGTTTCTAGAGAAAATGTGCACTGAACATTTGTACCCAAGGCAAGATGGAGTTGAATAGCTCCACGCACCCTGACTCTTATCTTACCAGGAAAGGTCTCTTCTCCTACCCAACCTTCTAGGCTCAGCTTTGCCCAGTTCAAAGGCCATATCCTCTGAATGCCCTCCCACTTCAGGTCAGAATGGATTTCTCTGTTCTAAGAGCTCTAACGGCACAGACAATGGAGCCAGGCAGAATAAGGCAGACTTCCAGCTCTATCCTTTATCAGCTATGAGTCCTTGGACAAGTCAGCCGACCTCTCTGTGTTGTGCCAGGATCACATGTGTGACTACAGGTAAAAATGGAGCAGGTGCTCAATCTTAGCAAACAGACAGATCCCAGGTGTACACTGTTTCTTTTGCCTTTGTGCACTGCTTGGCAACCTGTGAGTTCCAGAAACAGAGACTGTGTCTTCTCCATCCTAGCACCTCTAACAGTGCCTGGCATGTTTGCTCAGTACATGTCTTGTGGGTAAATTAGTGAAAATTTTGGAAAAGGTATATGAAGAGGCTGAGAAATGGTGTCCACAGGTGCCAACCGCCTCCCAGCTCCATGCCTTCCTTCCAAGGCCCAATTAGACGCAGCTAGAACAGTTAGTTGGGACAGGAAGCATCAATGGGGTCATGAGGTGTCCTGCTTGCCCAAAACATGAACCAGTGAACCGACGTCAGAAACTTGGAACAAAGGCAGCAGCGGCTGTTTGGCAGACAGTGGCTTTCAAAGCTGTTAAGCTTCCAAGGCTGAGAGGCTGGTTTTCTGCCTTAGTGTTGTCAGGTAGGAGCGTCCTCTTTGCAAAAGAGAAAAGGAATCTCCCATGCAAAACTGAAGCGTTCCTCATCTCTGAGTGCAAGAGCAACCTGCTGCAAAGAGCCAGAAACTCCCTCGAGGTCTCCTTGGGGTGGTTTGAAGGCACAGCAAGGACCGGTCCAGCAGACTCTGGGAAGCAGGGACAGGAGAGCCAACCTCCAAGGCTCCTTCCTCAGTGCAAGAGCAGATGCCAGGGCTTGTCAGACGGAGGGTCCGCTAACAACAATCTTGGGTACAACAGAGAGTGAAACGAAGATTTTTCCCTGACAGGTGTGGGGGCCAGTGGGCAAAGCCCCACCTGACCCCCGTCCCTATCACAGCTCAGCACCTCTGCAGGCAGGCGGGCACAGCTATCCTCAGGCTGTATTCCTATCCCCTGCAACACGTCTGCTGGCTTCAGAGCACAATGTGCTCAAACACAGTGATGTCTGAGTGGGAGGCTGATACTGTTTTCAACTGGGTAGCTTTCCCCATGGCAGAGAAATGGAATCAATTCCACAATCAGAGACCGCCTGTCTCCAGCTTATACCATTCCTTCCAATATGGGAACTCCTCCATCCACAATATGAAAGGAAGTCAATAATTCCCTCTTGCATCCCTAACCCCAAAGAGGCGCTAGGAGCCTGGAACCAAGCCCATGCATGGGCGTTCACTTTTCCCTCCTTGAACATTTCCTGCCAGAGCACAAATAGGACAACGAACATGTACTCCACACAAGTGATAAGCACCCATGGCCTGGCTCAGAAGGTGCAGTCACTTCCAGGAGAGGTTGAAGGGAAGATCTTGCTTGCAGAGTACGTGTAATTGGATTATGCACATCACGCCTTAGGCCTTCGCTAGGTGATTTAATGCTGCGTTTCTCAGGTTCATGATTTGGGTTGAACGTAGTGAAGTTGTCTAAGCATTTCCAGAGCCAAGACCCGCCAAGGGCTCCCACCAGAGGAGTCAGACAGGGTCCTGACAGCGTAAAATGAACACTTCCTGCCCTCCAAGGACAGCGAGAACAGCTCCAGGCCTCCGACTGCTCCTTCTCTTTCACATCACTCAGTGGGCACCATAGCTCCACACGCATTGAGCTTCTGGGGTTGGTAATAGCTTTTAGTGCTCACAACAACCCTTGTGATCCCCACTTCAGAGATGGTGAACAGGCTCGGGAGGCTGAACAGCTCCATGAAGCCATCAGCAACCAGAGCCCAGACTCAAACTCAGCGTTACCTCCTTCCACCATGGCTGCCTGGCTGAAAGACGGATCCTAAGGCACATTCTCTTGGCCATCCTTTCCCCTCACACAAAATTCAGTCAACTGAATGCAGCTCATCCACATCCTGGAGTGAATACCTTAGGTATGGCTTCAAAATATCCTGTGTATTTTGTGACAAGCTACAACGTCCCTCTTCCTCTCCTCCCTCCCACTTAAAAAAAAAATCAAGTCAATGCTCTGTGACATCTCCCCTACTGTTAATTTCCAAGGGAATGAAGACCAAATTGTCAGTAGGTAAGCAGATGAGACCTCCTCCACTTTCCAGTCCAAAGATCTTGGGCCATGATATAGCAATGTAACAAGAGGGTTCCAGAAATGGGTGATATATCGGCTCAAAGGGTCTTAAATCTGCTTGGGAAATATAGATGCTGCCTTCTGCAGGTTGCTGACCAAGTGTCAAATTTCCCTCCTCGTGCTCAGGAATCTTGTCCTTCTAAAGCCCCTCCTGTTAATTGGATCCAAGAAGCATGTAACAGAAACAGGGCTACTGTAACCAAGTCTTGCCAGGCCCCAGCTAGAAGAGAGACAATCTTCCACTTCTCTTCCCTCGGTAGACACTTGAGTTCCCTGTGGTCCAGCAGGGGAGTGGGTAGGCTTGGCTTGAGAGCCTGGTTCCCTCTGTCTGTCTTTCCTTCCCCTTTTCACACATGCCACCCTGACCTTGGATCCTGCCCTTTCTCACCAGGAAGGAAGACCCCAGGAATACTCTAATCCTCATGATAAATATGCCACCAGCTACCTCCCTGCCCATGCCGGAGGTATCTGATTTCTCTTTGAGTTGAGTTGAGCCGAGCCACAACCTCAGAATCTTTCAAATCCAATGAGCAAGAGAGCCACTAAACAATTAGGGCAGATGGAGAAACTGAGGCCTGGAGGAACAAAGTGACTTGCCCAAAGCCCTCCTCTAAGTCCAAGACCAGGATGCCAGGCTGTGTCTCCTTCCAGAGCAGCAAATCCAACAGTGCAGTGGGGGTAGCCACTGAAAGCTGCCAAGAGCCTCTTGGGACCCTCTCTCTCCTGCCCTTTCCTGCTGGGGCCAGGATGCCTGCCCTTTTGCTCAGCCCATGGCTCTGCACCCCGTTATCCTTCTTCACCTTGCTTCCCAGAGGCAGCTCAGCTGCAGGCTCGCTCTCTGCTCTCCTCGAGGAGGAGATAAAGAACGCCCTGACTAGATTAGCGGACTCCTTCGCGGGAGTGCAGTCAAGCACGGCTCCCCAGTGCGAGCACGACTCGGCTGTCCGTAATTCCTGCCTTGTGAGGCTCTGTCAGGCGCAGCGATTAGACGGCTGCCTGCTTAATGACAGGGCGATGGCTGCATTCACTTGGAGCTGGAGAAGCAATTACCTTGAAAATGGGGGTCACAGGCCCCACTCGTTGGCTTTAATTGAATTCCAATGTCTGCCTCGAGCTGCCTCGACCTAACTTGTAGCTTCCTGAATACTACTTAAGGGAAATACAGCTAATCCAAGCAGTGCTTCTCCCCCAGTTTTACTCCTTTCTTAAAACTTAAAAAAAATTATTTTCATAAGAGGATTTTAATTCCAAAGAGGGGGGCAGAGGGTGAGAGGGGACCCTGCTGTGGCCACCGCAGGGGTAGGAGGAGTTGGCCTGGAAACCTCAAGAAGATGGTTGAAAGGGGATGGGGTGAGGAGCTGGAAGAGGAGAAATGTCGGAAAACAGAATTCACAAGGTATGTCCCAACCCTGCAGCCCCCTGCTACCACTAGCAGAACCACCACCAAGCTGAGAGCTGGTCACTGAGACAGATGACACAGGCCACCCTCCAGGGCTGCACCAGGGCCAGGGGAAGAGCCCTGGGCTGCGAGTCAGCCACCTGGGCCTCTGGCCTGGCTTTCCTCCTAAACATCATAATCACTTCCCCTCTCTGTAAAACAAGGGCATTGAGCTAGATCAGAGGTTCTTAACCAAGGGCCATTTTGCCTCCTATGAATATCAGGGTGTCAGGGTGTTATTGACATCTAGTGGCTACAGGCCAAGGATGCTGCTGAACATCCCACAATGCACAGGATGGCAAAGAATGATCTGGCCCCAAATTTCAACAGTGTCAAGGTTGACGATCCCCGGGCTAGATGATCTCTGATGATACTTTAAACATTAAAATATCATGATTTCCCCTCTTGGGGTGCTGCCTTCCAGCACTGAACACTTCTTCACGTTCCAGTTTCAAGACTCCTCTCTGCCCATTCCACACAGTAGGCCAGGATTCAAACCAGGCCAATGCTTGCATCCCCCACCTGCCCAAGCAGCACTGAGAAGTGTCCCTATGGGCTCAGCCCAGAAGGACAAACCCACTGTGCTGCCTTCATCAAAGGACTCTGCAACCATCACGGGTCCTGACAGTGTGATGGAAGGGCCGGTGTCCATAAGTGTCATTCTGTGATTCCAGCCTCCCAGCATTCCTGGTAGGAGTCAGGAGTGCCCAAAGAGATGAGCCGGTGTACGTTCTCCCTTTACAGATACAGAAACTGAGGCCCAAGGAAGAGAAGGGACTTGCCAAAGGTCACATCGGGGGAGAACCATGACTAAAACACAGACCTCCAGGTCTCTGCCCCAGGCGGAAAAGTCAAGAGTCATCATGTATCCTACCAAGCAGAGGAAAATTGTGGGGCCTTCAGTTCCACCTTGAAATAGTGACTTCCCACGAGAACAGAAAGAGGAAAGAAGACCAACCAGGTTCCCAGAATGTTAGAGTTGAATCAGTCTACTGCTTCCCAAGCCTAACTACACTTCAGAATGATCTAGAAATCGTTAGGAACACAGATTTCCAGTCCCATCCCCAGACCTATGGAAAAGACCTCTGGGGCAAGTGCCCCTGTATCTGTACCGTCCAGAAGCTCCTCCGTGGACTGGGAAGCAGTGATCCTGTCCACCCTCTTCATTTCAGAGATGAAAGGTGGACAGGTACACCCCAAGGGTAAGAGCCTTGCCCAAAGTCACACTAAAAAGACTCTTCTTCCTCAGGTGCTTATCTTAAATGTCACTAGCCTCACACCAAAGCAGCAAGCAGGAGAAAGATGCCACTTGAACCTAAGAAATGCATTAAAGATACAAGCCAGGTAGACCCAGCTTCCCTTTTCCACTAAGGGGCCAGTCCGGAAGTGGGCCTCACAGAGCACTCTTGGGTATGTCTTCCTGTGTAAAGGGGAGACGGGACTTCTAGAAAGTCAGGAAAACCAGTCTCAGCTCCCCAGCTGGAGTTCACAAGCGTACATGATGAATGCTCAGCCAGGCAGCTTCGCGCATGGGACAGCAAGACGTAAACCCAAATTCCACAGCACGATGCACATCAACAGTACAGCAGAGACTGTTCTGATCCCAGGTGGCCAAAGAAGGGCAGACTTCTGCCAGGGAGGAGGCAGACAGGCCCCGGGGTAAGTGTGAGGAGGTGGCCAGGTACTGGCCAGCTGGCCTGGCCTTGAAGGTGACCCTAGGCCCCCACCCTCCTCAATGGCAAGGACACCAAAAGCCAGTGGAAGATGAGGCAGATGGCTGAAGAGGTGGATTTGAGGCGTGTCTGGCTCCCCTTTAGTTTGAGGACTAGGAGGCAACTGGGAGCCAAGGGGGAAACAGCCCTACATGGGTCCAAGCCCTTGGGGTGCTTGTAGAAGCCGGAGCCCTGGGGCCGCCATTCTTTGAGGCCAGCTAAGGTCAGGGTCAATCTCTGGTTATGATAAATGAGAGGAATAAAAGGGCTATACACACGGTAAGAGGCAGATTGGGGAGTCCACGTACCCCGATGATGGCGTTCAGCTCCGTCATGGTGACCTGCTTGGCGCGCTCCACTGCCTGCGCCACCTGCTGCTGGTGCTGGAGGGAAGAGGGTGTGCGTTAGATGCAGCCACTTTCCTGGACAGAGGAGGTCACAGGCTGTGCAGCACTGGCAGGGCCTCTCGGAGAGGCCCAGAGCAGACAGAGGAGTCCCACTGAACAGGCACAGGGCACAAGTAGGGGGGAGGGTGACAGGCGATTTTACTTTCTCTTTTAGACCTTTTTCAATGAGCATGTATTAGTTTTGTAATTGAAACTTCCTTTTAAGTTCTAAAACAAAGAGCATGCCAAAAGATGGCTATTAGTCAACCACACACACACAAATTTTTCCATGCAATTTGCGTATGAGCTGGATATCAGATGATATTACAGGATGATTATTAATTCTCTAAACATGGTAACAATACTGTAATCATGAAGGATGGTATCCGTTTTTAGGAGATGCAGTTATAGTAGTTAGTGGTGAATTGTCAGGATATCTGCAATTTACCGTCAAAGGATTTGGGGAAAAAGTATGTCTACATATACCTTATCCATACCTGTCTAAATAGAGAGAAAACAAAGTATGTTTCCAGATGAACAGATAGAGAAAGAAAAAGTGGTAAAATGAACCCTAATGTAAACTACGGACTTTGGGTGATGATGTGTCAATGTAGATTCATCAGTTTCAACAAATGTACCACTCTGGTGAGGATGTTGATAGTGGGGAGGATATGGGAAATCTCTGTGAACCTAAAACTGCTCTTAAAAAAATAAAGTCTATTTTAAAAAGTGGTTGCATTAATTCCCTTTGGCCTTGAGGTAGTACCAGCCACATACACAGCTTTCTCTCCTACTGGGCTGCAAGCTCCGAGGGCATTGCCATATCTGATTCTTATATATTAATTCAATCATTTACTCAGGTCACCATTAGGAGTCCCTGAGGGAGCTGACATGGTCCCAGCCACTGAGTGGGAGTAGAGGGCAGGGCCTGCCCTGGCTGGAGTGAAATCAGAGGACAGAAACAGAGCCCACTAAAGTCGGCCCGTCTGTCTGGTCGGCACCAGGGGGCTTCTTTGCAGGCATTTATCTCAAATCACCCACTAGTCCAGCCGCTGTCCCAAATGGAGGTCCCTTGGAAGGTAGGCGTAGAAAGTGACATGACCACCTGGGTCATGCTCCCAGCAAGGGCACTCTGTACCAGGAACTGAGGTCCACTTTGGGCTGGGGATGCTAGTTTGGATGGGAAAGAGGCACCCACTGCCCACTGATGGTTAGGTCGCATGCCAGCACTCCAATCTCTGGACTCAGGTGATGGCAGAGAAACAATTCTATGAGAAGAAGGAGCAAATGGTCCCTCTGATATGGCCCCCTGCCTCCAGACTGGCCGGAGAAGGCTCTGGAAATCTCCAGGTTGTCAGCTCAGTCAGTATGAATGGACAGGGGCTGAGGCTGGGGCTGGGGCTGGGGCTCAGGCTCCAGTGAGACCCCACCAGCCACTGGGCTGATTTGGAAAGAAAAGGAAGAAATAATAAAAGAAGGTCTTACCTCTTGTGACAGGAAAGGCATGATCTGTGCTAAAATTGTGTTCAGTCTCTTCGCAATCTCTGTCTGCAAAGGCAAGGAGACCACATGAAGCTCAGGCAAATAAATCAAGTCACTGAAATGTCATAGGCAAGTGGAAATGCAAACTCCCCCCAGACCACAGCCCCTCTCCACGGGGCTCCATCCTTTCTGCCCTCAGTCAGCCTCCTACCAGGAGGCTCTAGCTAAATCCACAGCATGAAGAAATCTCTTTCAACTCCCTTGCAGCCAGGCTGCCTACATTTTAGGGAGCTCCAATTTCCATCAGAGGTAGTCTACATGTCTGGTTCAGAATATAGTTTGCATCCTCTGGATGGAATCCCTAATTAAAGCAAAACGAAATAAAAATCACCCCCAACAACCCAGCAAAACCCACTGTAAGAGTGAAACACAGTTTAGTGAGAGAGGAATTGCTCTGCCCACTGGTGCCCAGTGCCAATAGGACATGAGCTCTCAGATAAATGGGACTAAGCTGATAAGCGGTCCTATGTGGCAAAGGGTTCCCTGGGACTAGCCTCTCCCTCACCAAGATCAATCCCTCCCCCACATATATGCTACCAGGCTAAAATCCTACCATTAAGCCTTCTTTCTTTTTTTTTCTTTCCCATTAAGACAGGGTCTCACTGTCACCCAGGCTGGTGTACAGTGGTATGATTTTGGCTCACTGCAGCCTCGACTTCCTGGGCTCAGGTGATTCTCCTGCCTCAGCCTCCCAAATATCTGTGACTATAGGTGCACTGCCACTCCCAGCTAATTTTTGTATTTTTGTAGAGACTGGGTTTCGCCACGTTGTCCAGGCTGGTTTCAAACTCCTGGGCTCAAGTGATCTGCCCACCTTGGCCTCCCAAAGGGCTGGGACTACAGACAGGAGCCACCATGCCCAGCCAACACTTCATTTTTTAGGATATAGCATTGCCTTGTCTAAGAAGCTGCTCAGAGATGTAATTCATTAGATCCCTAATCCCTCACAGAAGTCAATCTTAGAAAGGTAGATCAATTCTCTGCCTCATCTCCCAACACCCTAGAAAAGACTGCATTTAGAAAGTCAACAGTTTCCACCAGTATCCTATGTAAACTTTAGATCTCAGATCAAGAGTGGTGCTATACGGGTTAACTGAGTCCAGATAGAAAGGCCTAGAACCACTGACAGACGACTCTCAGAATTGCTTTTCTTATCTCATTCTGAATCCTGAGCCCGCCAGGACTGAGGTCCCAAAGCTGGCTTCAAAGCTTTCATCAGCACATAGCAATCTTTCAGAGACAAAACCATGACAACAGCCTTTAAAAATCTGTGATCATCTGCATGTCAAATGATTCTGGATGAGAAATCCTTGTGCACTTAAAATAAAAACAATCTGAAGGCGCATAAATAGACCCTGGACCTCGGGAGAATTCCTTGGGCTAACACCCTCCACCCCCTCCACCCTTGGCCACTAAAGAGGACGCCTCTGGTTTGTGGAAAGGCAGGCCATCAACTAAAGAGCCTTATGGGTTTTTGCAGGCCTGTGTCCTGGGCTGCCAGCCACGGTGGCAGGGCTCGCCAACCTACGGAGCCTGTCCGCTACAGTGGGGGTTCCTGGCAGGGAGAGGATCAGGAATCACTGCTGTCAGCTTTCTGCCTAGAACACTCTAGCTCCTCAGGAACAGAGTCAGTGTTTCCCAGCCAGCACCACTGTTGGCATTTGGGGAGAGACAATTCCTGTTATAAAGGACTGTCGCTCATATCCCAGGCCAACTGTGTCAACAATGGCCCCCACTTCCAAACTGCCCAGCTCAGACCCACTGGGACTCCACATTGACACATGTGTGGGGCACTCTAGCCAGGACACCATACATCAGGGTTTCTCAAACACCATGCTATTGACATCTGAGGTCAGATAATTCACTGCTGTGTGGAGCCCGTTCTGTGCACTGCAGGGCTTTTAAAAGCATCCCTGGCCTCTCCACCCACTAGACACCCGTCATTCATACTCTAAGGAACCCAGGAGGATTACTAAATAATCATTATATAAATTGTTAATCTAGTTAAGTGGGAAGAGCTCTCCCAAACAGGGTCCTTCCTCACTCTGCTTATTTTTTCCTCGCCTAAATCAACTGATAGTAGGAATGGGGAATGAAGCAAAAAAGTCCGGGTTGGATAGGGCAGGAGTTCTAGAAACAAGCATAGGCTGCAGCTCACTCCAAACCGGCAGAGTAACAAGTTCTCTCACCTTTGAGTTCATGCACCAAATAAGAATAGAAAGATATGTAAAAAACAAAAAGCAAACAAAAATAAACAAAAAAAACCAACCTTACTGTTTAGGAAGCTCACAGGTCCAAGGCCTGTTATCTTAAACAACAATAGAGCAGTGTCTGGCACACAGTAGCTGCTCCGTAAATGTTTGGCCCAAAGAATAGTATCACTGGCATCTCTGCATTTATTGAGACTTCATATTGCAGTGACCCCTTGCTGTGGATCTGGGCCTGCCCCAGCATGGGCAGCATCTGTGGGAGGGGCCGTGGTGGATGGAGTGTTGACATACACTTGGTGGCCAGTGGCCCAAGCCCTTCACCAACGGGGTGGGGTGGCACCTCCAAGCCAGGCCAATCGCAAGCCACCTAGATGGGTCCCTGGCCACTACTCCTCCCCACAGCCAGGAAGGCAGGGGCAAGGTCAGAACATCCCCAGTCATTCTGGCCTCCTCAGCAACTATTAACTCTCACAGTCTCTGGGAGAGCAGGGAGGCAGGGTGATTATAAAAGGGTTCTGGCTATGGCCTCCTTCCACTGGTAAACAGGCCAAGGGTCAGGGTCTCGGGAGTTGACAAAAAAGAAACGTAGCTGACCTTGCCCTTCCCCACACCCTTCAGCAAACACGTGGCCAAAGGCTTCCCACAGACAGGATCTTCCCATAGGGCTGGTCTGGAGCCCAGCTCACTCTGGTTATGAGGACAACGGATCTCCCAGGATTTATGTAGCCATCCGGGCCATCAGGTGACCACAGCTGGGTGGCTCAGGGCAAGTCCTCTCTCATTCTCACCCCTCCACCCTCCTAAAGTAGTTCCTGCCTCCCAACACCACAAACAAGCATCAACTGAGGGCTATCGCAACAATGCCACACAGATGCAGAACCTTCCACAAGCCTGGGGTAGTGGCATTCAGGCTGTCTTTCCTGAGGCCCATGTTCGACGAAGAGAGGCCTCTCTGCAAGGCAGGAAGGACTTTGGCACGTCACCAGACAGGACTGTGTAGGGTTGAGGCAGGCAGAGGGGAGGGGCTGGGCTTACGTTGGGAGAACCTCCTGGTTCACCGTAAAAGTTCTCCCAACGTAAACCCAGCCCCTCCCCTGGGAAAGGGACATGAAGCAAGCACATCCCATCCCTCCCAGCTGTCACTGTGCCATCATCTGCTAGTACCCTCTTGGGGTCTCCCCACAAAGTGGAAGCAGGGATTGGGCCTCCCCCATCTCTACAAAGGCTGCCCAACCCTGAGAATGGGCTGCGTGCACTCTGCAGAGTCAAAGCATGAACAGGAAAGCTGTTCGCTCAACATTTTAAAGAAATGTTTATTTTTTGGAGGGTGGCGCTTGGGGGAGGGGAAGTTCCTGGAAATGGAAAGCTGGCTTAACAGAAGCCCTCCTAACAACAGTAATGACCGCTGATATCACCCACCCAACTCGCCATGTGTGCATCCACAATAACCCCGCGGAGAAGGCGCTTGTCAACATCTCCACTTTTCAGATGGGGAAACTGATGCCCAGCCATTAAGTGATTTCACTAAATGACTTCCTACCAAGAAGCCAAATTTTGACATTTCAAGAGAGCTTAGAGAAATATTTTTGAAAGAAAAACCACCATTAAGGTTAATAATTGACAGCACTTCTGATTAGAACAGCTGTTAAAACAGCATTGGATCCAACTCAAACAAGCTCTAAACATCAGTTCCAAAAAAGGAAAAAAAAAAAAAAAAATCAAGTGTGACTTCAACAATTGGGACAGGTCACAAATCACAAACTGGAACTCGATCGTATGTTGGAAAACTCCTTTTGGCAACTTGGCGCAATCCGTTATCGATAAGGCGGCTGTAGTTTCCAGAGGCCGACCTCCATCCTTCCCTCCATCTCGGTCCCACAAAGCCACTGCTTTTGAGCCAGGTCTTCAGAAGCGAATCTGAGAGGTGGTGGGAGGTGGGAAGATGGCTCCCTTTGGAAAGCACTTTGGAAAAGGTGTTCAGGGAGGCTGGTGCCGCCTTTGAAAGTTTCTTTTCAAGTATGGTTCAAAGCAGGCGCTTTGTTGGTGGAAAAACATTGTTCCTCAGAAGGAACTAATCTACTAGATACAGACAGAGAAGCAGTTCAGAGAAATGGGGACAGAGGTCCTGCTACATCCGGAATCTGCACTACCAACTGGGCGCTGGGAGTAACATCTGCCCTGCATCTCTGTCAAGATTGTTAGGCAAATAAATGACAGAAAACAAGATAGTGGGGGGCAAGTGTAATTTCCCAAACAGCAATCTGTTCCATGCGCCTTAGTAGCTCCCATTTGCATGATCATCTCCTCATTAAAGCAGGACCTCTGAACATCTTGCTGTAAACCGAGGGTACTTGAGCATTCTAAAAGTCTATTTCTCTAACCACAGTCTAGTATTCACGTTTGCTGCTACTTCAGACTATCCTTGGCCCTTGACCCAAGACACTAAATTAAGGGAAACGGAGCCTGCTCTTGATCTGTACCCCCCAGCAACCTCCTGCTCCTGGGCTTGCAGCACCCAGCCAGTCCTTGCCCTTATTTTTAATTTAGGTGACTGTGTCCAACACACCGTCGAGAGCTACTTCCACCAGAGAGTCTGTCTGCTAGTTAGTTTTAAACTGCCCTGTCGTGTGTACCTGTGGACTCTGAATGCACAATTCCTTTTAACCTCAGCCAAATAAAGGCAAGGAGAAGAGAAAACTGCCCCTTCAAAGAGTGTGTTATGCTCCAACGCCACGCAGAGATGAGCTGGCTTCTACCTCCAATTCTGCCTCCATTTAGTTGTGTGGCTTTGGGCAAATCACTTCCCTTCTCTAGGCATTAATTTCGTTGTCTGCAAAATGAAGGGATTAACTAGATAACGTATAAGATCCAGGAGCCCTAATTTAGAGTTTTAGAACCCTAAATATTCCCGAATTGGCGTGCAGCTTATCATTTCCTCCATAAAACAGAGCATCACATGAATTTACAAAAGACCAGCAGAGAAGAGCCAAGCCACCTTGAGATGTGGATGGATGCTGGCTGGTTGCTGGGCAGCTGGCTGACCTGGGCTGGGTCCCAAGGACCAGTCTTCAGAGCACGAGCCATTCAAATCTGTCCATCAGCAAAACTGCGCTTCACTGTGGAAGAGCCTCTAGGCAAGAACAATGATATCATACTTCTAAGTGTCAAGCCCCTACTGTGCAGTTTCTGTGATTCAAAAGGGAAGACTGGTTGGTGAGGCTAAGACAACCAGGCCAGGGTTCTCCAAGTTGTTGCATTCAGCGGGAAGTAATTCCACGTCTGTGAGACAGGCAAGCGGCCATCCCATGCTACTAGGCTTCTAGTTACATTTGTGAAATGAGGATTTCTTCTTCGGAAAATCAGGGCAGTGTCATGCAAAGAGCATGGTACTGTGAGTCTGAGACCAGTTTGCGGATGTGTGTGAAAGATGAGATGAGGAAGGGACCTGCCCATTTGAAAGGTGAATTACATTGCAAAGCCATGGGGAAGTGACGATTTTCATCCCAGCAGGCCTCTGGGTCTCAGGTTACTCCTCTAGAAAATGTGTGTGTTTGGGGGTGTCATCTCAGTCAGCTCTGAGGTTCTTAAATTTTAATCAGGTTTTACCTACTTCTCTGACTGAGTCCTTGGAGTTTGAAGAGAGTCTGCTTCATCTTGATTTAAATCCCAGAGCTGCAGGGAAAGGCTGGGGTGGGAGGCTGTGCAGAAAGAGGTGGCCCTGGCCCCAACCTTCCCAGCAGCCTCCCAGCAGCCAGGCGCCAATCACCCAGATTCAGAATACCACGTCTGGGCAATTTTAACTTAAAATATCCCATTGCATTTCCTAGGCAATACTAAATGGATAGCCTCTCAATGATGTGACTAAAAGAGGATAGTCCTTGCCAGGTAGTTTCTCCTTAGGCCGAGCTCAGAGAACACTGAAATAAAACAAGTGGGTGTTTTATCAACAGAGGAAGAAATCCATGGGGGGGCCGGGGGACAGCCAACAAAAGCTGGGGTGGGGTTCTCAGGCCCTGCTCCATCCACGCCATGGGCTCTGAGGGGAAGCAGTGCTACAATGTAAGAAGGGGAGGAGGGTCAACAAATGATCTATGCAGCAGCCTTGGGAAATGTAGCCCCTCCCGCTACTGGAGGGGCTGGTGAAGGTTCACATCACAGATCACTCAATGACAGGTGAGCCTTCTTAAAGGCCCTTTTAGCACTGACATATTGATCAAATTATATATAACTACAACGCCATTAAATATTTATGCCCTCCGAGGAAGCCTGCTGAATTCTTTATGCTGGGAGGACTTGGTACAAGAAAGGCCCAGCCCCCCTCAGCGTGACCCTGAGGATCTGTCTCCTCCGGAAGGGAAGGGGATGCTGGCCTGAGCCGGCCTGTGAGGACACTCTGGGCACCAGCCCCTGTACCCTTCACAGGCGGGTGAGGATGACAGTGAGGAGCCAGGGCAGGGAGGAGGAAACACACTCACCCTTCCCCAGCTAGGACCGATCAACGGCAAGGGACTCTGGGGTTGCTGGGGTTGGGACGACCCTTCTGCACACTTCCCTGAAAGGAATCCCACCTCCTCTTTTCTTCCAGGGGTCTACAGTGTAAGGGAACTGGGGATGGTTAGGCCAAGCTAGCATGCATCCAGGCAACCCAACCCCAGAAACAGGTAGCAACATACAGTCTAGAGTCCTGCATTCCTAGCCCAGATCCATCCTGCACTTGGGCCTCAGTTTCCGAATAAAGAAGTCCAATCTGAGTCCAGTGTAATAATCGGAGCTCTCAAAAATGAATTAGGTGCTGTGTGAGTGCCCTGCCCTTGGGAGCATTCCATGGAGACCCAACAGAGACTTGGAGGCAGACACCACAGGGCCCAGATGACAGCTCAAGTCCCTCCTGGCTTTAGGACTCTAAAGAGTTTCATTCCTCAGACTTTCAGTTTCCATCTACCGGGCTTCCTGTTAACAAGATCCAATAATCTTTAAATATTTGTTCACTTTAATTTCTTGGTTCCCAAACACACTAAACTCTGCTTGCCTCCCACCCCTACTTGTGGGGGGAGATGGCTCTCAAAGAGCTTGCTTGTACAGACAGAACAGGGAGTGCTTTTTCAGATTATACCTTCCCCCAACACTGCCCATTCATCCCAGGCACACCGCCCCCACCCTTCCCTCTCTCCTTCCCCCTCCTCCCTCCCCTCAGATAACCCCCTGCCCCCTCCCCCACCTTCCCAGACTCCATTGGCCAACTCCTGCCAGGAGGAAAAATTCTCAATTCATCCCTGTGGGGTTGCCATGGCAACCCCCAGCCACCTAATCCCCCTTGGAACATTATGCAAATCTCCCCTTGCCCCTCAACAGGCTGTAAAAGTCACATTACCCTTGCAGAGACAGCTCATTAAATTTTGGGGGTCTCCCCCCATCAGGTCAGCACTACAAATGAAATGCTGGCTAGGACTTCTTAAGGGCAGGGACTCTTTGGAAAACCCAAGTGGCATGAGGGAAGAACAAGGTGAGGGGCAGAGACAGAGCCCCATTCTATCTACCTACCATCTTATTCACAACCAAAGAGCATACCTGTTCCGTAAATTAAAATAAAAAGGGTTAGAGGGTCTTCTTTCTCCAAATAAGGAAGGCAGGAGTGATGGCATTTCTTAGGCTATAAAAATCAAGATCGGTCATTTAGAAACTTATTTTATATGATATGCTCCTTCTCAAACTGACCTCCTCCCAAGCCACACCATTTGATCTCTCATTTTACAGATGAGTCAAATGAGGCCCAGAGAGGGCAAGAAGCTGTCACACAGGAAGACCACACAGGAAGACCAGGTGGTAAGCAAATCTCCCAGGTTAGAGCCAGACTCCTTCCTCTATAACAAGGCCTCTCAACCAATAGTAATTGTTTCCCCCAAGGGATTCTGGCAATGTCTAGAGACATTTTTGGATGTTACAACTTGGGCACTGATAACAACAACTAGTGGGTAGAGATTAGAAATGCTGTTAAACATCCTAAACACAGAGGACAATCCCACCACAAAAAATTATCCAGTCCCAAATGTAAACAGCGCCCAGGGTGGCAATCCCTGATCCACATGTGGCTGATGCTCATGTTTTACTGAATTCTGAAAGGTTTCATCTGGTTTCTTCCCAGCACTGGAACTGATGCCTGTAGTATGGTGGTCTGGGGGTAGACATGTGGGAAGACCACAGAAGACCTCATCTTGATATAGCCTATGGATAAAGATCACTGAGGTCCACGAGGGAAGCAGGCCTGGTTTCCAGTTCTGAATTGGCCACTGGTCTGCTGTGCAACAATGAGCAAGTTACTCAACCTCTTTAACCGTCAGTGCTGCTATCTGATGCGTGGCGCCCACGGTGCCTACACTGCAGGACCGTAGAGCCAACAAGTCACATATGGGAAAGGGCTCTGAGAAATCTTACAACATATGCAACACCAAGGATCTTGTCCTCTATGTCTGAGGCCTTGACAATTTGGGGACTCTGTCCCCTTGTGAGAATACCTTGCTTCGGCCTTTCCATGTGCAAGGTTTTGTGCTAAGCAGGCTATATGCATCCTTCATGGCACTCCCTATAACTGTAACTGTACAATTTATGAAGCCACCAGCCACCCGTGGCTAGCTAAATTTAATTAAAATTAAATTTCAAACTCAGTTCCTCAGTCGCAGTAGCCATATTTCAAGTGCTTAAGAGCCACACGTGGCTGGTGGCTGCCTTACTGAAGAGTGCAGACATACAGCATTTCCATCACTGAAGAAAGTTCTACTGGACAGCACTGCCGCAACAGGCAGGTGTTATTATTATCTCCACTGCAAACTGAAGATCACAGAGGTCAAACAGTCTGCTCAAAGTCACACACCAACATGAACTGATCTGGGACTCAAACCCACATTTGTCTGACTCCAAAGCCAACCTCTTAGCCATGAAGACAAATCTCCCAGCTTCTGGTGCTCTATACCTAACTCTCCAGGATCACCCGGCAAGAACTTGTGATCTTCTGAGGGAGAAAGGGAATCCACTGGCCAAGAAAAACTGGCTTGCTGGGAACCCACCCCATCCATCATCCAGTAGGCCCAATGGGCATTCAACATCCTGGGAGTTTAAAAAGGGAGTTTGCCCAATATCCCTGGGCAAATGGATAGTGAGGAAGAGCTGGGTAGGGGTCTCTTGAGAAGTAAGGTAAAAAACCAGGTAAAAGAATAGTGAGAAAACCCAAAAGGCTAAGAGAAAGGGGTATCTAGACACTTCTCAAGTTCCTGCAGACCAGGCCTGTGGGTGCCTGCCACACACAAGGACTGGGTGACATGGAGACCGACACCAGGCCAACAGCAGCAGGACCCTGCAGGAGAGGGGCATGTCTTTCGAGCTCTAAACCAGGCTGCTTCTCCCCCATTTCAAGTCTGGCTTCATGGAGATCCCCCATTTCTCTGGGATAAAGTATGAAAACCCAGCGATTGAGGGATGGGAGACAGGGATTGTACCATCAATCTCAATTCTTCCTGTCTTTCCCCAGGACTTCTGTTGTTAGGCAAAGCAAAATAAGAACTGGACTTCAGCTTTCTTCACTGGAGAGAGAGATCAGAGGAAGGGGCCTCCTTCTAGGAAAAGAAGCAGGTAAGGGTTTAAGGATGAGCTGAAGACCTATTGACCAATCAGTGCCAACAGGCTCACTTCCTCTGTCTCCCCTGCTCCTCCTTCCTCTATCCCACCCGACCAGTTAGACCCTCACTCCAGACCATCTGGCATCACCTGCTGCTTCTGAGCCCTCTGAGTGTCCTACTTCTTCCTGGACAGAGGCCAGGAAGGTTAATAGAAGTTCTTGTACCTCACCCCCACCAGAGAGCTAGAATGGACTCCCATCCCTTGTCCACTAGTCTGCACTGAACTGCCTTCCTCTTCTCATTTTCCCCAGCAGAAATCACAAAGCATCACCGGTTCCAAAGCATGCCCCTGCCAGTATTATCAGAATTAATCAGTTTCAGATCCAAACTCAGCAAAGACCTGTCGAGGGCTAGCCCAAGGGAAAGATTTGGGAAGTGGGTGAAAGGCCGCCTCCTCCAACCTTTTGGTCATATAGCTGGCAGGGTGGTGGAGTCTAAACCTCAAGTCTTCATGGCTGACCAGGAAGGGAGAGCCCTCTCCTGTACCCAAATTGCATTTGGTATTCAGTGCTAAAACACTAGTGGGAAGAGCTCTTCTGCATTTGGGTCTCCACTTGAGGAAAGGGTCAGCCTTCCAGCGCAAACGAAAAAGAAACTTCTATCGGCCTGCGGTAGTTTTCATTCAAAATTAACAAACAAAAAAAGCAGTAGAAGAACTGTGAACAATAGTCAAACTTAAAAGGCTCATGAGATAAGGCCACAACACTTGGAACTCCATGCCCAAACAGCCAAGGCATGGCAAGCCGAGTTTACCAATTCACCCACTCAGCACTTGTCTCTTCCGCATCTCTGCTTTGTCATCTCTTCCTCCCAGTTATCTCTTCGCACCCCCACCCTGCCTTCTTCCCCTTTTGCACTTAAACTGTCCATAGTGTTAGATGAAAAGAAAAAGATGCCTAAGATACATTAAAGACACTTTTAAATAAAGGCTCATGACACCTTTACAACTCTTTCTACAAACACAACGTTTGCAGCCTACAGGCCTCTGTCAGAAAACTAAGAAAGCTTCTATCCTTCCCAAAGAGTCCATAACACTATTCAGGGTCAGAGAGAACCCTGAGCTGGAATATTACCTTCCTTCCTTGAGTCCCCACAAAATGCACACTGTGTATCCAGTATGGGCCAGGCACTGCTCAGGGTTCAGGACCCTTAGTGAAAACAAATACAAAATGGTCCTGTCCCTCACGGAACTCACAGTCCTGTCACAGCACAGGCCTCACCTCCCCAACCCCAATTTGAGAACACAGCCCTCTAGTACACAGGTCATCTTCACACCCCAAGCTTTCAGGGTATGCTCTGATGCTTTTATCCTGGTGTCTGTCTGTCCTGGACCCAAATACCCATTATTTTAGCTGCTAAGATGAAAATGTCGAATCTGCTTTGCAATCAAGTGCTACAGAAATTCTAAGAGGCCGTAGCATTATAATCTATAATATCTGGAAGATCAAATTTTTCAAACAGTTTGTCCTCTGGAAAGTACTTCCCCTGGGATTATTTGGTGGTGGCAGCAGCCAGAACACTGGATCCTATCCTTCACACAGTGGGTGATGGAAGGAACCACCTAAGACACACGAGCCAAGCCCATCCATGCTCCTACCCTTTACCAAGAGCAGCCAGCCTGGGAGAGAACAGGACAACATAGACTTCAGGCCCCAACAGGGTTTCCCTGGCCTCTCAGGCCCCACAGATGGGAAGTTGCTTCTCTCTTCTCCCTTCACAGGACACATTGGCAATGGGAGGCTTTGGTGACAGAGAGGCAAAGGAAACCTCTTCCAAAGGACTGCATTTTCAAAGCAATAATGAAGTCGGCTGGTGTGAAGGGGAGAAAAGTATTTGTTCTCAGATAAAATCTGCCGGGTGGACTAGCCGGGCCCCCTGGTTAACCCTCCAAGCCTGGTGTGAACCTGTACTTAAGAATACAAGTCCTTGCCCCACCCACCCTGTTGATTTCCAGACGGGCCTCTTGGGCCATCAACTCTGCAGCAAACAGCCTCCTAGAATCTGATTCCTTAGCGGTCATGGCCTGACTCTCCAACACGGTGACCCCTCTCCTCCAGCCCTCCCCCAAAAGGTGGCCTCTGCCTAAACATTCACAGTGACAGCTCTGCAGCCCACTGATTGTGCAACATCCTTAGCAAAGAAAAGAATTCAAAATCAATGCTGATGCGAATTCAGACTCTCCCATTACCTCCTTGAGAAACGCAAGGTCCTAAGGACCCTCAGTAGGGCAAGGCTGACCCACAGCTTGCTGCCTGCAAAGGACGATGCTTCAAAACAACAAACCCACCAAATATTCCCCGCTTACATGGCGGCAGGACGTTTCCCCCTTCCTTAAGTTTCTCCTTAACCCCAACTTGAAGGGAACAATTATTTTATAAAGAATTTTTTTTAAATATGTATTTTGAAGGAGAAGAGAAAGCCAAAAGAAGAAAGGAAAAGGAAAAAGGAAGAAAGCATCTTGGCTGTGAGTCTCAGAGAGCATTTGTTGAAAACAAGATATTGTCCCTTTAAGCATATAAAAACAAGGCCCTTGAGCACGCAGTTCTCACTCTGGTACACAATTATGGGTGCTTTCAGCTGTCTAGCACTACTTCAAGTGCTCTCTTAAACCAGACTGTCAATGGCATGTTGAAAGCTATTTTGCTGGCTGCTATCATTAATAGCAAAGTGGAGAGCTGGGCTGATGAGAATTAAATATGGGGGAGGGGGCGGGTCATAACCAGTCATTACAGAATTACCAATATGAGAAAGGAGACAATGCCACTTTGGGGAATAAAGTTCAAAGCAGCATATTACGGTAGGAAAGCAGGCAGAGCAGGCCACAAACGGCCCAGAGCGGGCCCCCGCCCCCGCCCCCACCCCCACCCCGCGGCAGATGGACTCAGGCCAGCCCTGGAGAGCCAGCCATGCAGGGATGCAGGGAGCCACCGGGTGGGGAGCCGCGACTGCAAGGGCAGAGGGGCCTTGGAGATCGCTCTGCTGCAAAATGTCACCACCTCGCCTCACTTCCCAAGTGCAGTCCCCGCCCCACATCATTCCGAAGACGTGTGGCTTCTAGAACATATCTCACTGCCTTGCCGCGAGCTGTTGCCACCCTGGAGGGGCCTCGGCTGCCGACTTCTGCCTCATAAACCCTACCCTCCCTTTCAGACTCGCGCCAAGCAAAGCCCTCAGTGAAGTCTGCTCTCACCCAAGAAGAATAAGCTGTTCTGTGCTGGGTGCTCCTCCTATGACACTTGGGCCACATTAGCACTTACCTCACTGCATTGCAATTACTTCTTTAGACATCCGACTCCCCCGCAGAGGGAATGGTGTCTTATTCGGCTGTGTAACCAACCCCAGCCCACACCCAGCACATCCCAGTCCCCTAATAACTGCTTTGGGAATGAATCCAACCCCCTCATTTCACTGATGAAGAAACTGGATGCTGGGCCATAGGAGGAAGCCTGCAGAGCGGGCGGCCAGCCCACAACTAAAATCCCCACTTCCTACTCACAGGGCTCAGGGAATCGGAACTCTACTCTCAGATAACCTGAGTAAATTTTGAAGAAAAACCAAGATGTTTACTGAGCACCTATTACATACTAAGTGCTATAGAGACCTCAGCAGAGGGGCTTCCTTCATACCTACAAAAATGAGACGAGGAATGAGTGCCAGATCACAGGGGAAAACACTGCCAAGCTTAGGTCTTTGTCACGTTTTTGCCCCTGGTGTCCCAGTATTTTGTACAAACAATGAGACAGAATGACATTCTCCCACGTAGAAAGCAAAAGGAGATTTATTCCTTGACTGACTCACTCCTTCAACAAAATGGAAACAAACAGCCTAGGTGGGAAGGAGGAGTTCAAGGAAAGGAAGAACTCCGTGTCTGCCACGGGCTCCTGGTCCAAGAGAGTTCAGAGAATGAGTCCCGAATTAGGAGCCAGGTTCCCACCCGTTGATCTGTAAAGTAAGGACAAGGGGCCATTTGCTCATCTCCCAGGGTCATTTCAATGACAAATGCACAAGAAGGAAAAGACCCCAAAAGCACTGAAACCCCCACTCTACCACTCCCACTGGCAACTAGAGAAAAGGGGTCCAAAGGCAGTCTTGAGGGGTGGGGCAACCTCCCTCTAGCTAGACAGCATGCAGGGAGCTTGGAGCCCAGCAGACCCCAAAGCTGAGCGAGGCAGGCACCCACTCAGTGAGAGGACTCGTGATTACAGTCTGTTCCAGGGAAGATCAATATAGCAGGAAAAGTCAAGACAGATACCAGGGCATGGGGCCGGGTGGGAGGGTTCTTGGATGCTAGCACTCTGGCAAAAAAGAAAAAAAAAATTTCACAGCTCAACTCAGATGCCACACAAATAGGCACTTCCCTAGTCTAAGGACCTTTGACCCCTTCTACTTTGCAAGTGGTCCCACATTCTCCTATCAAGATAGGCTCAACTCCTTGGCAGAGTCCTTTGTAACCTCATTGCCTGGTAGCTCCCTCTGGCCACCTGTACCTTGCACCTTCACCGTGGTCACAAAACTTCTGTGTGCCTCAAGATCTTCCAGGTGAGCCCCTTATCATTTAGATGAGAAGATCCAGAGCGGGGAGGGGAGGGGAGTGACAAATGGGGATTTTCCATTTCCTACCTCAGCCCTGTGTTTATGGCACCCCATGGCTAGGGTAAAAAGTTCACAGGTTATATATACCACCTTTCCCGGTCTGTGAATCTTTCCTCTGGGATTGCTAGTTATGCATTATGTATTATTATTACACACATCAAATCATTAGTTGTGCAAATAGCTGGCAATTCAAAACAGGACTGTGGACAATAAGGGTTCAGTGATATGATTATACAACCCGAAATGGGGCACTTTGGACTTTGGTGGGGCCAGTTTTGTAGCCTTAGCCTGTTTGGATAATAACACAGAAAGAAGCAATAGTAATTAAAGACACAGAATACACTAGAAAAGGAGCACTCTTCATTTCTTGAGTCTTACAGAAAAGAGTCCTGGGTTGGAAGGGAAGCAGCAGTAGCAGCTTTACCACTAACGTGGGACTGTATGACTGAGTACATAAGCTTCCCTTCTCTGGGCCACCGTTTCCTCATCTGTAACTTGAAAAGTTTGCATGAGAAGCCAAAGGGCTCTTCCAGTTCCAAGATTCAAAGAGAAACTTACAGGAAAGGTTGTTCAGTTCACAGAAAAAGGTGACTGTATTGTGTCGGCACGACACTGCCCCAAAATCAAAATGGCTCAAGTCCACTTTCAAAAATGTCAGTGCTCACCAACAGTGGGTGAAAAGGCTGCCTGACCCAGCTTCTCAGAGAGCCAGTGCCTCAAATCCAATGCATGGCAATTGCTCTGGGGCCCCTGGTTTTAAGCTGGCTTTGTTATTTGTGGCTGACACTGGAAAGCCTCTGCACAAACAAGATGGCAAGTGATGAGCCGGTCAGTCATCACTGCCTTCCCAGACTCTCTGAACCACCCTTGACATTCTGCCTGGAAGCAGGGGGCTTGGTGGAGGTGGGTGACCTCTTGAAGTCCCGGGCCAGGCCTGTGATTCTGTAATCTTTGCTTTACCATAATTAGGGAGGGAGGCAGAAGAGCAGGAGGAGAAACCATTTATTACTTCTCTGGGATTTTGACAGCTTGGAAAAAGAGAGAGACAGAGAAACAGCCAGAGAAGGAGCCAGCCACAGTGAGTTTAACCTCTCAGTAAAATAAAAATGGGCTGGACGCACCTCATCAGCTGCCCTCTGTCAATACCCGGGCCCATCTGGCAGGACTCGAGGTTCCCAGCTAATTGGCATTTCCCATAGAGCCAGCAAAGGAGAGCTTTTAAAAAAAATATGTGGTGGTGATGGTGGAGTGCGTGTGCGTGTATGCGCGCAGGCTGAGGACTGCCACACTTCCCAAGGTGCTAGCTCTATAGATCATCTATTATATAAAAGTACAGACAGTCCCCACCCCCACCCCAGCTTAAAGATGAAGAATCCAGCCTGTTTGTTCCAGGCAGATGTAATCACACGAACAGTCAAGTCTAGAGGGCAGGACACTGCATGAATAATTCAAGCACTCCAGTCACTTGATTGTGTGTGCCGATAAAACACCAGTCAACCGCTAAACAGGTCAGCTGATAAACTTGTTTGCTCAGGCCTAACCACCATTCGCCAAATGCACCCAAGACCCACACTACAATTAGTGGCAGGGCTTTCTTCTACAGAACCCTTGCAAACCTAGGGAGTGGCCAGCTCCATTAGATCAGGGTTGCATTTCACGGCACAGGTTTCTTCACCTCCTTGCCTCTTTGTTCCTCCACAGCCACAGGGTGATTTCACCCAACTCAGAGACTGCCATAAGCTTGCAAAGCCACTGCATTCAGAGCACACATGTTCAGGCTGGGAACTCAGGCTAGAGGGCAAAGGTGAGTGGCAAGCAAGGTAAAGTGCCCAGTGGGGAAGCCAGAGGGCTGGATTTGAATCCCAGCTCTGCCCTCCTGGCCTCCCTGAAGCCTCAGTTTCCTCACCTATAAACAGGGGGCAAAGAATGCCTCTATCCACCACTGGCAGCTGAGAGGATTAAATGAGACAACGTAGCCAAACCCCAGGCATTCTCCCCTTAAGAACCTTGTTTGGGGAATGGCCAGAAATCCCAGATGTACACAGCTGCTCTTTATATAAACCCCACCACCAAATGCGTTAAGATATTTAACTCTTCCTGCGTTCACAGCATCCCCAGGACTCACAGAACAGATCTGCTGCGAGCCAAGGTGGATTCTTAGTGCCAAAGCACCATTCATTCACAGACATGCGGAACACCACCCATGCAGACCTCAACATGCAACGAGACATTACACCTTAATTACCAAGCTCTTCCAATAACTGCTGCTATAAATTTTAAACCTGGGTGCAATTACCCTCTTTAAACACACCCAAGATACTATTTGAGAAAAAAAAAATTAAGACAGGGCAGACAAAGGGAGGAAGTGGCACCCTGCATACACCCCAAGGTCCTTGAAACACCTGGGCCCCCAGTTCCATTTCAAGCATTCTTCCGGGACCTGGCCCCTTCCAGTTGCAGAACCTGTCTCTATTCTATTTTTCCAAGGAGAAATATCTTTACGTATAAAGCCCTGTCTATTATTTCTGTGTGTCAAGAAGTAAAAACATGGTAGCCTTCATGTGCCTTCCTAAGGGACTAACTAATCCCTCAGGAAGCCACAAGCTGGCTTCCCACACATTGCTCAATAAACTCAGGCCCCTTTCTGGCTTCCCTTCACCCAACACTGGGGGCTCCCTCCAGGAGGGGAAAGGAAACTACAGATCCCAAAGGCTCTATAGGAAGCCACCCGAGTGGGTAGGAATCTGCCCACTTTCCAGGGTCACCTGCCCTTCTCACCTGCCCTGGGTCCTGCCTCCTTAAAGAGCAAAATTGAAACCTTGTAAACGACTGTTAATTTAGAGCAGAAAATCCATTCAAGTCACGGTCACCAAAGGCTAGAATGAGTCAACAGCCTTCTGAGATTTCATGAACACCAATTGTTAAAAAGAACAACCGGCCTGCCTGCTCCATTTATACGTGCCAAGTCAACTCTAAACGTTGGCCAAGCCAAATTATAGGCAGCCTTTCCTCAGAACACAAATACACAAACAGGCCTCTCCCACAGCCCAGCCTAGCACTGGGACTAGTTACTGATATGCACTGAGATAAAGGGTGTTTGTATTTGCTCGGTTTGAGGTATACTGTTATTAGAAGAGTGACAATACCAGGTAGTTTACATATCCATCAAACGACACCACACTAGCTAAACTGGTTTGACTTCAGGATTTCAAAGCTGAGCTCAACCCCCAGCCATCTCGAAAGTCCTGGCTAGGCTGCCCCTGGGCAAGTTACTTCACCCAGGAGCTTCAGCTTCCTTCTCTGTAAAATGGGAACTCGGCTGCCTTCAAATCAAGACAGGGATGAGAAAGCCACCTTGTCAATGCAAGGCACTGAAGTTGTATTTCATTCTGGCTTCATATTTTTAAGCAGTTAGTGGCTTCGTTCCCTTAAATTTCGACAGCTCAGCCTGGCTTTTAAGGTTCTTGAAGTTTAATCTTATCAAGGCAGAACATCACATTTCTGCAAAAAGAAAAAAAAAAGGAGAAAGAAAAAAAAAATCCTCCTGCATTTCCTCTTGAGAATTTTACATTAAAACAGATAAAAGCAGCCAGCCACCTCTGGGCTTTCAGGAGTTTGTAAAGCAGATCCTGGAGGTACAACTTTCCCTTTGGTCCTTTATCCTCCACCGAGATCCAAGACCAGGACTAATTTCACAAGCTCAAATGCTAAAAGCTCAACATGTCTAAAAAAAAATCAGCAAAGCCTCAGACCTTGCATTTCAAGGACTGGATCCATTCACTCTTCAAGGAGAAGGGGGAGGAATCGAAGAAGCAGGCTCACTTTCAAACAAGAGAGAACATAAGAAGTCCACATATATAAGTTTTTAAAAAATGAAATATATTTTTAAAAGAGAAAAGCACTTACCTGCTTGTGCATTTCAATGTTCAAGCCATAGGACATCTCATAGTACTAAAAGTAAAAAGAATGGCTATTAACAGACAACACAGAAATCTGGTCATTTTTCAAAATCAGTTTTTTCTTGGAAAGGTTTTGGCCAAATCATACTTTTACGATACATTTGCTAAAGAAGTTTAAATCAAACCCCAAAGCCAGCTTACAGAGCGGTTTAAGAGCTGACAAGGGCGAGCGTTCCTCTCATCTCAACAGAACGTTATATTATGTGGTAGTAAGGGGAGCTGGGCCTTCCCTCCCACAAGCACCACATGTGCCCTATATCCTGTTTATACAAGGTTCAGGTTCAACAGGGAATCGTGTGTACACTGGGACCCTCTTGTCCTCTGAGAGTTATTTAGCACTGTGTCGAAGGCCTCTTATGTGGAAAGCAGTGCAGGGAGCCGTGCCCTCTCACAAATGAAGATTAAAACTTGCTGGGCAAAAGGAAGACAGTCTGCCTACTGCCCCAGCGTGGAGAAGATACCCAGCTGGGGGATCCCTGAGGAGGGGAGTGGAGGCAGAGAGAGCTTTACAAGGCCTCTCCACTCCTCACAACACCCTGGGGAAGGAGGGCTTCTGTCCTACTCTGGCTAGATCCCAGCTGCAAAGCAGAAAAGTTTCCAAACACTCCCAGGAGGTCACTAAGAGAGATTTTTACCAACCCTAATTTCACATGGGCTGGTCCAATCCTATCTTACTAGCCAAGATAGGGCAATGGCAATCAGCCCCTGGGAAACTTTCAAAACACAAATTAAAGGCACATAAAGATAGTACAGAAGTCTCCGGCCTGGAATCGGGGTTTCTCTTTCTGCCCCTCCCCTCACTCACCCTCCTCCAAGTGGCCCCGGCAATGGAAGCTGGGGAAGGGGAGGGCAAGACCAGATTATGCCCTCTCTCAGGGCCGCCCTGCGGCTGGGCGGTGGTGGGGACCTGGCGCTCATCTCCCCAGATCCACGCCGCGCCCCCGGCCGGGGTCGGCGCCCCAACCGCCCCCCAGGCCCGCGGCCGCATCTCACCATCACATAATGGCGCTGCATCTCCGTCTTCTCGTTTGCCAGCTTGTCGTACTCCACTTTGAGGCTGCGAGGGCAGGAGGAGCCGGCTCAGGCGTGGCGCCTGGACAGCCTCCTCTGAGGCCCCGACCCAAGGGCCTCTAGAGCCACTTTTCCACTTTCCTGACACCCCCCCGGGGGCGCCCCCATTATCCCACAGCCTGGGGACGCGGGGGGATTTGGGTCCCCGCCGTGGGGAGGGGGATGTGAAACAATTCGAAACTTCCCGCGAGCCAAAGGACTTATCACGGCAGCAGGGGAGTAGGACCCTGACGCTGGCTCCCGACACCCAGAACCCGGAGTGAACCCGCTCGCCGCGACCTAGACCCTCATTCGGGGACCCCACGGGCGGCGCTGGGAGCCGGGCTGCTGCGGGCAGTAAAGGGTTAAGGCGGCGCGCTCGGAAAGGGGAAACAAAAGGCGGAGGCCCGGGCTGCCCCGCCGCCCCTAGGTCGGGAGCCCCCTCCGTCCCCGCGGGGGATGGCAGGAGCCGCGCAGGGGACCCACCCCTCCCCGCCAGCCCCGGGGCGGCCCCCACCGGCCTTACCTGTGATACTGAGCTTGCAGGAACTGGAATTCGTCTTTGATCCTGTCACAAGACTCAGCCACCGTGAATTTAAATCCCGGCTGCCCGGGTTGATGGGGAGCCTGGAGCCCGCGAAGACAAGACAGGGGAGGGGGCGGGGGCATGAGACCGCGCTCAGAGCGGCCCCGGCCCCTCCCCAACGGCGCCCAACCAAAAGAGGCCACCCTCAGCCCAGAACCTTCCCAGCAAGTTTCTCAGCTCTCCGACGGGGCGGAGGGGGGGCGCCCCATCTCTCCCCGTCGGCAGCGGGGCTCCCATGCCTTTCACCAAGGGCCTCCCTCTCCCCAGTAAGGCGGGGGCGGGAGACAAGCCGGGTGAGTTGGGAGACTTCAGAGCGGGGCCGGGGACCGCGTGAACAGCTCCCCCTGGAACACAAGCAGCCCCCCGCGCCACTCGCGCGGAATTAACCTCCTCTCTCAACGGCGCCCCCCGGCCGCATCCCCCTTTGTGTGAGAGCACACACACAAACACACACACCATAAAGGTAGCAACAAGCAAAATGGAGGTGCCAGATAAACTGCCTCGTTTACCCTGCCATGATAGATGCTTAAATAAACCGAGTTGCAATTACTCACCGGATGTCTGCCCTGCGGATACATGGCAGGGAGGGGTCGTGATTCCGAGAGCGTGGAAGCGCCGAGAGCCCGGGCCGGGGAGGTGCGGGGGAGGGGGGAGCCGAGCCCGAGCGGGGGGCGGCCGGGAAACCGAGAGCTCGCCCCCGGCCCCCCCAGCTCGTTCTCGCAGCGAAATCCCAGAGTCGGGCGCCCGCCCCAAGTGGAGACAAAGAGCCGCGGAGCAGGCGGCAAAGTCGTCGGCGGGCGCCGGGGCCGGGCGGCGGGCGCGGGCTTTGTGCGCCTAGGGCTCGGCGGGCAGCGGCCGGCCGCCTTCCCTGGGCTGCGTCGAGCGCGTCAATGCCTGGGACTGCGCGGACATCGTCGGCTCCCCAGCAGGTCCGGCGCGGGGTCCCGAGGCCGGGGGCCCCTCCTGGGGCGAGCTCGGGCCCCCTCCGGGTCACTCAGCGGGTCGCGCCTGTAGGGGGGCGCGCCGGGGCAGCCCCAAGCATCCGGGGCGCGCGGGTCCGATCCTAGAGGCGTCCGGGCCTGGGGCTCGCGGCGAGAAGAGGAAGGAGGCGGGCTACGAGGTGGTGGCTTGGGGCCGCAGGAGCGCCGGAGGGTGAGGGCGGGAGCCCGGCGCGGGCGCTTCGACGCCCCCCCTCGGAGAGGAGAGCCTGCTGTTCCGTCTGCTACTGCCGCTGCCGCCGCCGCCGCCGCCGCTGCAAGCCCTTCCCAGGGCCGGGGAGGAACTCCGGGCTCAGTAGGTGCAAATCAAACGCCCTGGCATCCTAAGTCCAGCGGGCACGGGAAGCCTCCGCAAAGGGTTCTCGCTGCTCCCAGCTTGAGCACCGCGTCCCCACCGAGGAGCGCTCAGCGCCACCGCCGCTGCCGCGTCGGAGCGCACAGGCAGGAGAGCGCTGGAGGGGAGACGCAGCCCGAGACCGGGGAGCTCTACGGCTTCCTTCCTTCCCCTCGGCCCGGCTCTCCTCTCCGCGCCCCGGCAAACCCCCAAAACACACACACCCAACACACACACACGCGCGCACGCACACACACACACACCAAAAAAAAAAGTGCCCCGGACCTACGGATACCACACACAGACAGGCGAAGGGGACGAGCACGAGGTCTGAACTGCCGCGAGAGCAGTTCCAAATAGGGACTGAAAAGTAACAAAATAATGTGGCAGCTTCGTCCGGCGCTGGCCAATGGGAGCGCGGGGCCCCCACGTGGGGCTGCGGGACTCGGCCTACGACTGGGTGCCGCTGGGCGCGACGTCACAATGCCCTCTTGTGTCTAAAACTATGCATGAAAAGTAGCAATCAGGCCCTACCCGCTGGTGACTTTCGCATGGGAGTGAAAAACAGCGCTCCTCAGATCAGGAATTAACCGAAAGACATATAATAAATAGATATATATTATAGTCCTGGGCTGCTCGAGTTTTTTTCCTCCTTTTTTTTCCCACGGTCTACTAGCAAATAATTATTTAGCGGGAGGAGGAAAGAGGGAAGACAGAGGAATAACAACAAAAGAAAATAAGACAAGCTGTACAATCTTCAAAACCTGTGGCTGGTAGTAATGTATCAGTTTATTCTGCAGCGGCGGCGAACGATTCCTCCCTCTAATCTCATTAGGTCTGCAAAGCAGCCCAATTAGATACTATAAAACAAACAATCACTTTGTCACTTTAATGTTTTCACTTCAAAAGATTTAGGACTGATAAAACGGTGGCTCCTAAAGTTGCCTCCGACCTTTAAAAATTTGCTCGGAACTCAGGATGTCCCCTTTTCTTCACCCCTTCTTCTGCCCGCCTCCCCCACATTAGCCCCCAGCTCTCCTTTGTTCACTCGCCCTTCTTTTCAGAAAGCCAAATAAACAGCTCCTTTGATGTGCGGCGGCTGCCTGCGAGGAGAAGTCTGAGGGACTCTGGCTAGGCGGGCAGCGCAGATGGAAGGGCCCGGCTGCCCGTGGACAACAGGCTCAGCCACGGCTGGCCCCATTCGGGGCGCCTTCCCCGTGGGCACAACTTCACCCTCGACGCAGCCTCGCCGCGCGGGCTCCTCACTGCATCCCCAGGCTGAGGGGGTTGGGGATGGGGTCGGGACCCTGCTCGGCCGAGGCCCGGGAACTCCGAGTTCCCACCTGGTTTGCTCAGCCTGCTCCCGGCAGTGCCACGGCGTTGGCGGAAGCCTGTAGGTGTCTCGGTCGCTAGCCTGGACACTCCGAGGGACGCGGACGCTCCCCCGCTCGCTCGCCCCGGCCCCGGGCCCCCCGGACCCCCCGCTTGGTCGCACAGGCCACTCGACTCCGGGGCCAGCTTGCCCGCAAACCGATGGCCTCGCCCTCCCGCGCTCGGGGTTACGGCGGGGCAGACGAGCAAGCAGGGAGTGGACCTCAAAGCGCGCACCGCCCGGTGGACGGCCAAGGCGGGACCCCCGGGGCCCTCCCCGGCAAGTCCGCGAGCCCGCGCGCGAGCCGGCCGCGCGTCCCCGGATCTATATTTTCCCCTCATTAGGAGCCGGAGGTTCGCTTTTGCATCTTAATGAGGAGCTGAGAGCTAGCGGGCGCTCGGAGGCCGGAGCGCGGGGAGTTACACGTGAGCACCCGCCTCAGAACTGAACCTCCCCGCGCCCGCTCCGGCCGCCAGCCCCGAACCGCGCTCCCCTCTTCATTTATTTATTCTCCTAAATAAAAACATAAATCGTGTTTCGGCGCGCACCGAAGACGGGGGAGGGAGAAGCCCGGCTCGACAGATGCGAGCATCTGGCCGCAGCATTCATTAGAAACAAAATGGCTCCTCTTTGGCGCTTCCTTTCCCCCTCCCCCTTCTCTGCCCTCCCCCTTACGTCACGGGTGGGCGCACCCGCTTCTTACTCGCCCCGCCCATTTCTCGCTCCAGCCCCACGTGGGGGACGCCGACCACGCCTCCGAGCAAGGTGCGAGTCACCAATCACGGACCGCCGAAGGGGCTCTTCGTTGCTGATTGGCGGAGCTGCTGGGCCCTGTCAGTCCGCGGCCAGAGCTGTCAGTCAAAACCACGCGGGGTGGGGGAGCGCTGACAAATGCCGAGGCTTCTGAGCCTCCCGCTTGCAAATAGTGCTTGGAATGGCTGCTTAATTAGCTTTGAATGGCTTTTCCTTCCAGCTCAAACAATCTGTCACTACCATGTGGTATAAAGGAGCCATGCATAAAAAAGTAAGCAGAGGCTAAATATCAATTTGATTTTGTGTATCAAAGGAATATTTTATTTTTCTCCCTAGTAATGAAACGTATCAATTTAAATAATAAAAGGTAAAAACACACACACAAACAAAAAAAAAAAAAAAAAAAAAGAAGAAGGAAAAGAAAAGAGGAAAAAAAAGAAAGAAAAAGAAAACCCAAACTCTACGGTGTGGCGACTCCTGCGCACGCCTGAAACAGGTCACTTCCACAGCCCACGTTCTGGAGGAAGCCTGAAGACTTTCCCCTCCCCCCTTTAAACTTGCATTTAGTGTTTTGTTGTCGTCGTCCTCCAGAAGTCTAGAAGGAGTGGTGGAGGAGGGGTGGCCTGTGAAAGGGGACGTGGGGGCGGGGGAGGGGGCGAACTTTAAAGGGAGCTCTTTGAAGCTGCTACTCAAAGTAGAGGGGGTTTTAAGACCCCGTAAACTGGGGGTCCTACAGCAGGTCTCGATTTGGGAGCTGAGAGGAGAGGGGGATGAGAGCGGGTGTGCGTCTCGCTCGGATTTATTAAACACAATGCCTTCAAGATGCCAGGGACGCGGCGCCTCGCCGGGCCTCCCTCTCAGTCTCCCTCTGGACTGGCTCCGACGGCGCCCGCCAGCAGGCGGCCGAGAAGCCGCGGGGCCCCCAGGTCGGGTCTTCCGAAGATTGTGTACAGAAAAGGACAGCAGCTCTGTCTCTCGCCCGGGTGTCCCTCCTGCCCCGACGTCCACGCCCCCCGGTGACCACACGAGCCAGAGCGCTCCAGCAGGGCAGACCCACGTCGAGTTCACCTGTGAGCCCCAGCGCCAGGGCCGAGCCCGGCACGCTGGAGGAGTTCGCGGCTGCGTGTCCCCGACGCGGTTTTGCAGAGCGCCGCCTCCTCCGCAGAGCCGGGCGGTAGAACCACGCTACGCAGTCAGGAAGAACAGCGCTTGAGCGCTCACTAGGTACAAGGCAGGGCACTGCTACCCAGGCAGCGCTCTCCTCTCCCTTACCTCACTCCCGAGGGAAGCAGTTTGGCTGGGGACCCCATTTTATAGAGCAAAAAAGAGAGGCTGAGAAAGCTCAATCATTTGCCCCAAGCTGGGCAGAGGGTCAGGATTCGAATCCAGGGCAGCCAGTTTAATGGCCAACCTCAGCGACCCCTTTGCTTACGCAAGCTGGATACGTGCAAGTTTTTGCTGAAGAAAAGGCATTCATTCATTCATTCATGCCCAGCCCTTTCTGAGAGCCTGGCTTTGGGAGAACAGGCCTCTCCTGCCTGTAGCTCCCACTCACTCCTCACCCAGCGTCACTCCCCGCTCTCACCGGCTGCCTGAACCCTGAGCAGGAAGGGGGCAGGGAGGTAAGGAACCAGGCCAACATCCCTTTAAGCTTACCACCGCTATCTCCCCGCACCCCCCCACCCCGCCCCAACATGCCACCCCACAAATTAGGAAAAACAAGGAGAAAAATACATGTCTTTTATGCTGGAGAAAGAGAAAAGAAAATAAAAAACATGTATACAACACCCCGTCCAAAGGCTTGACAATTATTTTAAAGAAGGAGGGGAGTCGAGAGAAAGAGTTCAAACGTCTCTGTCTCCAGTTCTAATTGGAAACGTTTCAACTGTTTATGTTACAAGAAGTGTCAGGGTCATTTGCTACCGGAGAGCTGACTTTTCATTGGCTGCTTAATTGAGTACCTCGGAGTCCACCCCACGTGGGAGAGGAATTCCTGGCACATTAAAAAAAAAAAAAAAAAAAAAAGTCACCCGGGTGAGACAGAAAGCCCGGCCTGGATTTACAGAGCAGCGGCTCCCCAGCCCCCAGCCCCTTATTTGGGGTGCAAGGTGGCTGGTGAGCAACTGTCTGCCAGTCCGAGGAGCCACTTCTCTGAGTCTTTTAAAATATTCTTCAAGCACTTTAGCTGAGTTAGTATATGCTTTACCCCCTTAGGAATTAAAGGGTATGGCTCAGGCCAGCCACCAGGCTGTGGTCACCTATTTGAGGAATGGATCACAGTGCCGTGGGTGGGGTTGCAAACCTCTCCCTGTCATCCCTTCCTCTACTGCCTCCACTGGCTTTGATTTGTGGAAGCCTCTTGTTGGAACTTCTCAGAGAGGACAGAAATCTCCCTCACCATGCCACACCCCCTCAGTTGATTCTATAGGGCTCCCCCAATTGCTTTGTCTTCATGACTAGAGTAATTCTGTCCCCCCTACCCCCACCCCTCCACTCACCGGGCATCCCAGACCTTCCTCCACAAGCAAGCACCTCGACATAGAGCAAAAGAAAGGGAAATTTTTATTTATTTAACAAACTCTTACATAGTGCTCAAGCTGTGTGCAGTGCTATTCTAAGCACTTGACAAATATGAACACATTTAATACTCACACAAGAAATGAAGTGGGTGCCATGAGTATCAGCCCCATTTTACAGATGGGGAAATTGATACACAGTGGTACAATGATGTGCCCAAGGTCACATCAGTGACTGATGGACACAGGCATTTGGGCATCAGTGTCCCAGGGACAGGACCCAGGCAATTGGGCACCAGTGTGCCTGCCCTTACCTACTACGCCCTGCTGTATCTACAAGCTTGGCTTTCCTGAGAATGCAGGCCAGGGCTGCAAGAGGGACCACAGGAATCTGGAGGGCCCCAGAGGGAGCTCCTATAAAGCTCATCCTGCAGCTACCTCATCTCAGGGAAGAGGACCAAGGCTAGTGGAAGGAGAGGACTTCCCAGGGTCTCCCAACTCGTCTTCCCATTCTCTGACTGGTTCAAGCTATGTGACCTTGGGGGACTTATTTAATCTTGCTAAGCCTCCATTTCCTCATCTGTAAAGTGGAGATAACAATCCAGTACCTGAGGAGGATTGTCCCGAGAATCGATGGAGATAATGCATGTAGTGTACTTAGTACAGAACCTGGCACATTAAGTGATCGATAACAGTTAGCTGTGGTGGCCATGATGATAATGTACAACTATCTGGGTGATTCAACTCCTCCAACATTTTCTGCGTGCCTGGAGAGGCTAGGAAGGTCTTCTATCCCAGCCCTGGGGGGAGCAAGCCAGGCAGCAGCCCCAACCTTATTCTGCATAGACACAGCCAAGCCCAGGTGGGAACACCCAGCTCCTCTCCTCTGGACTCTCAGGAAGGCCCTCCCGAGGTCACTGGGCCTTCCTCTCCCTCTCTGGGAATCCCATTCTTTATCATGGTCCTCAGATGACCTTGGGCATCCCTGAAGCCCAAGGACCCTTGGAGTGTGCAGGAGAGGGGAAGGAAGGAATGGGGAGGGGCAATTCAAAGCTAAAGCTGGGGTGAGGTGGGAGTGGATAGAGGCAGAGGGAAATCTGTCTGCCACCACAGTGCAATATTCATAGCATTTCTGAGAAGACAAGCCACAAAAAGTAAGCCTATAAAGTATGAAGTGGGGGAGAACAGTTGTGAGAAGGGTGGTTCTGGAAGGGCTTCCTGGAAGGCTGGAGCTTGAGCTCAGCTCAAAAGGATGGACAGAAGTTGTGGTGGGCAGAGGGGACAGGATGAACAAATACTTCTATCGAAACCCTTCCCTTCCCCCTCACCCCGCACCTGGGTGGTTTCTGCTTCCTTGGTCTTTTCTTAGTTTTGCCACCTGACAAGCTGTTTTTATTCCCTGGGGAACGGAGCTAAGAGCTTGCTTCTCTAAGACCCTGCCCCTATCCCGACTCCCATTTCAGGCTCCAGTGAGGATGCCTCTGAAGGTTACTACAGCCAGGAGAGAGGGATCCACTCATCCGGACTGTGTGGCAGCACCAACCTGGGCTTCAGGAGTCTGGAAGATCTGCAAGATCTTGGGCAAGACCCCGAAACTCCTGGGGTCTCCATTTTTACCTCTGTAAAATGAGAATAATGGCACCTAATTTCTTACCTGGCAAGAATCTGCAGAAAGCTTACCTCCAAAATCTAAGGAAAGCCCTTGCCTTCGAAAACATACACAAGGCCAGACTGTCCCCAGTTCCAGGTTGTATTCCAGGCTGTATCTAGGCCCTCAGAGTTAAATAGAGCCTGTGCAGGGAAATGGTATTGGGTAGAAGGGTGGGGGTGGGGAGGGACTGGGACAATTAGGGAAGCTGCCTATAGAGGGTGGCCCTTGCTGTGGCTCAGAGGGGAGGAAGGAAGAGAGCTCCAGATAGGAGCAAAGGTACCCAGCCAGGGCACTACAGAGAACACTCACTGGGGAATGGTTTGGTTTGCTCCATGGCCCAACTAGCAGAGGAAGCCACTGCCTCTCTCCAGAAAGCTTTGGAAGCCAGACTACCAGGCGATGATTTACAATGAGGCCCTCATGCCCACCTGAGACTTTGTGGGGGGGCAGGTGTGCAGGGTAGGCATGGAATGTGTTTGTTCACCTGTCTTTAGCAGAAGCATAAGCCTGGAAACATTCTCCCCTACACCCGCTCCAAAGTTGAGCTGAATTGCATCCCACTGTTCCCAAGGTGCACTTTGCTGACCTCTATTGACTAATGGCACAGGGTTTCCATGCCTCATGCCCGAACCGGGTAAATATTTATCGAAGTGATTGGGCATTCTAATTAAGAGATTTGTGCTGTTTCTTTCGTTCCTTTTTAAGGATTCAAAGCTGAGGCTTAGGAGATTAAGAAATATTTTGCTGGTATTAATGCATTCAACTTCACAAGGGTGGAGGCCCACGCTGTAAGAATTATCCACGCCAGTGGAGGGGAGTTCTGGGGTCAGTATGGATCATTTAGGTAGAATTCGTGCCCGGCATACCTGGTCTTTGATGGAGGTTCTGAGTTGGGATGGGGAATGGGGAGGGAACGAGAGATGAGAGGGTATTTGCCTGACAGATTTGATTTTCACTCTCAGATCTGTTATCAGCTTTGTATCTTTTTAATAAATGAATTTATAAACGTGAGTTTGTCACATACATCCAGCAATAGTGAGAGCCTGATTTTGTATCAAGCGTGTTCTCTTACACCAGTGGCTCTTAACTCAGGGTGATTTTGCTTCCAAGGGGAATTTGGGCAATATCTGGAGATATTTTTGGTTTTCACAACTCAGGGTAGCAGTGCCTTTGGGTACAGAACAGAGATGCCTCTAAACATCCTGCAATGCACAGAACACCCTCCTCAACTAAGAATTATCCAGCCCCAAATGCCAATAGTCCTGAAGTTGAGAGATCCTGACATATACTATCTCATGTAATCTTAATAAATAGTGTCATTGTCAGCTGGAAACCATCATTCTCAGCAAACTATCACAAGGACAAAAAACCAAACATCACGTGTTCTCACTCATAGGTGGGAATTGAACAATGAGAACACATGGACACAGGAAGGGGAACATCACACCCTGGGGCCTGTTGTGGGGTGGGGGGAGGGGGGAGGGATAGCATTAGGAGAAATACCTAATGTTAAATGACGAGTTAATAGGTGCAGCACACCAACATGGCACATGTATACATATGTAACAAACCTGCATGTTATGCACATGGACCCTAAAACTTAAAGTATAATAATAATAAAAAAAAGATAGTGCCATTCTCTATGTCCCTATTTTGCAGATGAGTAAACTGAGATACAGGAAGGAAAGTGTCACATGTTCAGGAAGGGAAGAAGCTGATTGGTGAGCCCAGGCCCCTCTGTCTCCAAAGCCTATCCTCTGTCCTCTACTCTCAGTGCCCTCTCTACTAGAAAGTAATTCAAATACCCCCAGCTCTAGGTTCCTGCCTTGTGCAGTATTTGAGCCATTTTAAAGATTGCTCTACAAGTTAGCAATTATCTAGTCATTCAGATAAAGTCTCTTTATGAAGAGCTAATGCTAGAGAAGTCCTGGGATCCTCTGGCAGCTCCTCCAAGTGGGGACTACAGCCCAGGGCCATTAGGTGCCTGCGTAACATTGGAAAATAGTCACAAAAGTTGCTGTTGGCACATCCCTGAAAGATGTCAGGGTGGAAGGCTAAATGCAGTTAGGTTGTATGGAGTTTGGCAGGGAGGAGTGGACTGGTGATGGGGTATTTTTTGCCTTTTTGGGGAGTGCCCTTCCTGAAGTTGAGGTTCTGCAAGAGGGAGATGGGGCAACCAGAGAGGGGTGGGTTGGAACAAGGTTGGGGGGCAAACACAAGAGACTGATGGGGACTCTGAAGGTCCAGGCTGCAGGTGGACCTGGGAGTTCTGGAAGTAGAGAGAAATGGGGGCAAGAAAAGGGGCAAAGGGGCTTCACTTGTAAGAAAGGCACATAGATGACTATAGATTTTGATGTTGGAGTGGAACTGAAAAAAAAAAAGACTCAATTTTGAGGGCCTGGAGGTCCAACTTATTATTTGACCACTAACCTACCACAAAAAATCTATAGTATGAAGCAAGGTACAAACAAAACCAACGCCATCTTACTTTTGTCTTGTGTTTTCTGCTTAAAGCATTGTCGTGTCTGTGGGTTTCTAGTTAAGACGCAACATGTAGAGCAGGGAAAATTATCTCCATGGCAGATGAAGAAGCTGAGGGCCAAGGAAGGTTAGGTAGTTTGTCCACCACCACACAAGTTGACGATGGCGAATTCTGACCAGACTTAGGCCTTCTGGCATTGGCATTGATTCTTTCTGTAAACCAGTCAAGCTTTCAAATTGTGCCCTAAGGAGGTCCTGGGATCCTCAGAAGTTGATGGGAGTGCTGAGAAGATGAGGAAGTAAAGAGAGTGGTCACAGGGATCGCTTCCTCCACCTCAATCAGAACAGCCTTAATTTTTATCTGTTTTATAGTTTAGGTGTCCTGGTGATGCCTCATTCCGAGGATCTTGTGTTTCCTCGTGCTTTGGGAGTCTTTTAGCTCTAATTTCACATCTCATTTGCTCCTGTGAAATGGCCTACTAGAAAAGGGAGACTCTTAGAGGCCCCATTCATACCCCCAGAGCTCGTTGGTAGGGAAAGTAGACTCAAATTCAGGCCTTGCTGTGTGGAAGGGCTGAACAGCTCAGAAGGGAAAGGCTACAGATTATTCTGGGGGCAGCCTCCCACCCTTTTACAGAGAAGGAAAGGAAGACCCAGAGAGATGGAATAACCTAGCCAAGTCATACCGCTCATGCGTGGTGGGCCTGGGATTCCGTGTAAGCCCTGTTGAGCTGCAGAGGTTGTGCCCATCACCATTGCATTACCCTACCCAATACTATCCTGCCTCACTAACCCGCCTTTCCTTCATGCCAGGTAGGTCCCAGTGAAATAATGCTCTGCTCTCTACTAAGTAGGGGCCTGGCACTTCCTAATACATCACCTAATTTATTACCTTGGCCTCCTGGCACTTGTCTTCCATTTGAACCTCCTCACTGGATATGTTCTACACTGCAGAGACTGACAGCTGAAAATTATGCTTCTAGACTCACTCACTGGAAGGGTTCTGAAGTAAACATGACTCTCCCATTAGATCCACCCAAGCAAGATGGGAGAGCAGCAGTAAGACAGAGACCATCTCTGGCTACCTGTTCTTTCTGGCTGGTGATGTGTTTGCGGAGATGGTGAGTTTTTCTGCACCTATGTTCCAGTATCCAGCCACTACCTTCAAAAACGTCAAGCGTTAAGTTGTGTGGGTGGAGGGTGCAACTCTCTCAGCTCTGAATTTTGATGACAGACCTTCCTGAAGTCAGAAGTTCTCGAGGCCACCATCTATTTCCCTATCTTTCTGACTATACTGGAAGAGGCAGCCCTCTGACCCTATAAAACCCCTAGAAGAAAACATAGGGGAAATCTTTGCGACATTGGAGTTGGCAATGATGTGTTGGCAGTAATGCCAAAATCACAGGCAACAAAAGCAAAAATAGACAAATGGGACTAGAACTTAAAAACTTCTTTGCATGAAAGGAATAGATTAAAAGAGGGGAAAAGGGGGCCGGGTGTGGTGGTTCACACCTGTATTCCCAGCACTTTGGGAGGCTGAGGTGGTAGGATTGCTTGAGCCCAGGAGTTCAAGACCAGCCTGGGCAACATGGAGAAACCCCATCTCTACAAAAATACACATACATACACACAGGCACACACACAAAGTAGCCGGGCATGGTCGTGCACACCTGTAGTTCCAGCTACTCAGGAGGCTAAGGTGAGAGAATCATCTGATCCCAGGAGGTTGAGGCTGCAGTGAGCCATGATCTCGCTGTTGAACTTCACCCTAGGCAACTGGAGTGAGACCCTATCTCAAAAAAAAAAAAAAAAAAAAAAAAAAAAAAAAGAGGGAAAAAGCAACCTACAGAATGGAATGGGAGAAATATTTGCAAATCACATATCTATAAGGAGTTAATATCTAGAATATATAAAGAACTCCTACAACTGAATAATAAAAAACCAAATAACTCAGTCAAAAAATGGGCAAAGGAAAGACATTTTTCCAAAGAAGATATACAAATGGCCAACAAACATATGAAAAGGTGCTCAACATTACTAATTATTAGGGGAATGCAAATCAAAACCACAATGCAATATCACCTCACCCCCATTGGGATGGCTGCTATTTAAAAAAAGAATTGTTGATAAGGGTGTGGAGAGATTCGACCCTTGGTGCATTGTTGGTGGGAATATAAAATGGTACAGCCTATATGGAAAACAGTATGCAGGTTCCTCAAAAAATTACAAATAGAATTACATATGACCCAGCAATCCCACTTCCGAGTATATATACAAAGGAATTGAAAATAGAATCTTAAAGAGATATTTGCATACCCATGTTCATGGTAGCATTGTTCACAATAGCCAAGAGGTGGAAGCATCCTAAATGTCCACTGACAGATAAGTGAATAAAGAAAATGTGATGTGATGTGGATGTGTGTGTGTGTGTGTGTGTATAGACACACAATGACATATTTTTCAGCTCTAAAAAGGAAGAAAATTCTGTCACATGCTACAACATGTATGAACCTTGAGAACATGATACTAAGTGAAATAAGAAAGCCACAAAAAGACAAATACTGTATAATTTCACTTATTTGAGGAATCTAAAGTAATCAAACTCATAGAAACAGAAATTAGAATGATGGTTGTCAGGGGCGGGTGGGAGAGAGGTATGGGGCGTTATTGTTCAATTAGCAGAGAGTTTAGGTTTTGCAAGATGAAAAGTCCAAAAATCTGTTGCACAACAACAGGAATATAGTTACTATTGAGTTCTATACTTAAAAATGATTAAGATGATAAATTTTATATTATGTGTTTTTTACTAGGATTTAAAAAAATAAATAAAAGGAGGCAGCGACTCTGGCAGGTGAGTTCTGTGGAATTCTAGTTCCTGCAGGCCAAGCCCCCAGGCCTCTCCTCTAGCTTAAGATACTAATTGCTTCTATTAAATGTCTGTTTCAATAGCTGGGGTGATTCTTGTTCCCAGCACCTGGCCTCTGACTGATACACTCCTGCTTCTTCCAGCAGACCTCCCTACTGTGCCAATCTCTGCCTGACTGAGGCTTTTTGGGGTCATTTATGTTTCCTTGATGTTTATCTGTTTTATTAGAGTAGTGATATTGAATGTAATGATGACACAAGGCCATTAAGCATATACATGAACAGGTGACTCCACGCAACCTAGGCACAGCCTGCTACTCAGAGCTTAAGTGCTACTTGCAGATATACAAGTTGGAATCCTGACACCCTAGCTTTTTTGCTTTAGGACCTTAGGCAAGACACTTGTTTTTGCTAAGCCTCAGTTTCCTCATCTGTAAAATTGGGATAATGCTAGAGCCTTGCTCACAGGGTTGTTGTGAGAATTAAGCAAGATAACGCAGCTGGCAGCAAGCCTTCAATGACTGTGAGTGATTCTGAATGAATGAGGACACATCAACCGCTTGGTCTCAATGTGTTCAGACTCCTCAGCCTCTTTATCTAAATCCAAGCTTGGACGCTTTTCTACCTAGAGCCAGATTCTCTGCTCCCAGAATTTAAATATGTCTCACATTAATGGGAGACACAGAAAGATGGGAAGCTGGGGAGCCAGAGGCCTCAATGTTAGAAGTCAATGTTCATCAAAGGGTTCCTGGAGTCCTCGAAAAAGGAGAATGCAGAGGTGGGTGGGTTTTCAGTAGACCTGAATGTGTGTGTAGGGGGTGAGAGGTAGGGAGACACTCCTCCAAAGCCAGCAAGGGCCAAACATGCAGGCAGCCCCAGCCCACCTGCCTGCAGCCTCCCTCTCTATGGAGGCCAAACCCAGAGAGAATGGGAGCCAGAACCAGGCTGCCCTCCACAGTTGGCACACAGGGTTCCTCTTTTAGCCAATGATGAGAAGCTCCTCTCCAGCCTAATTAACTGCAGACTTGTAACTTCTAACTCAGACAAGAATGAGGCCAGACACAGACTGAACAAGAACAAAGCCCCCACGACTGTGTCTATAGGGCTGGGCTTCAGAATGGATCTTCAGAAGATCTCTGTAATACTATTGGTTGGGGTCCGCAGAATTGAGGTATAGAGAGGATCCACACGTGGGGTCATCAACCCATGGGGGACATGGACCCCTTCCCAGATGGTACTCTAACATACATGATTTTGGAAAGGGCTCCCAAAAGGGGCTGAGGGAGATCAGAAGAGCAGATAACTTGGCCCTGGATGGCTCATGGGTTGAGAGCCAGGCTAAGTGACCTGGCCTTTATTCAGGGGATACTAAAATGACTGACTTGTAGGTGTCAGCCTTGAGCTAAGCCATTTACACAATTGTCTCATCAAACTGTGTAACAACAGGGTCATGATTGCTGCACGCAGAACCCCCTCAGCACTGAAGCCCCATGCCCCAGCTGCAGAGAGTATTGGGAAAGGAAAACACTGAGCTGAGACCACTTCAGCAGAAGACAGCCAGCTGCCTCCCCAGGAAAGCCAGCCTCAAATGATGCTAGGATGTGAGGGTCCCGGGAGGCCTCGTGCCCCAGCCCTTTTGAGGCAGCTCTGAAGGGCCAACCGAGATCCAGAGCTCCCCGTGGGGTCGCGGGGACATTGTTGTGACTTCATCAAGCCCTATCTACTTTTCCCTATGCCCCATCCTGCCTCCAGGTGAGGCGCTGGCAATGAAACACTCCCCAGTGAGTCCCCTGCATGGGAATATTCTCCACTTTATGGTCGCCAGATTTAGCAAATAAAAATACAGGACACCCAGTTACATTTGAATTTCCTTTAAACAATGAATTTTTTTTTAGTATAACTATGTCCCAAATATTGCATGGGACATACTTATACTAAAAAAAAAAAATCACTCGTTGTTTATCTGAAATTCAAATTGTACTGGGTGTCCTATATTTTCATCGGCAACTCTGCTCCATCTCAGTCTGTGCTTTGGAGAACCTGACCTATAACAAACCCCACCAAATGGGCACTATCATTGCCCTCATTTTAGAAACAGAACACTGAGCCTCAAATTCTGGTCCTATGAGTGACCCTGGTTATTAAGGGAGGAGTGGAACAACAGCAGTGGATTTGGGAGCTGGATCAGCTGGATTGGGGTGGGGTGCAGAAACTCCTCAACTATTTTCACAGCCCCACCATGAACTGGGCCTACAGCTCTGGAGGAAAGGACTCCAGTACGGGTTTTCCAGCCAGCCTTCCCTGGGCAGGGCTGAACTACCCCCTGGAAGAACATTTTAATCAGCCGCCTTGTCTCTGCCTCTCTTGGCCTTTGCTTTCATTGTCAGAGTCTCTGTCAATAGCTGGAAATCCAGGCAGCAGCACAAGCAGACATTTCGCTCCTTCCCAAGCAGAAATCTCACAAAGGGCAGGGCTCCCCTCTTTACAAGGAAAACAAACAGGTCTTCAGGCTCCCAGGGGCTGGGGGTGGGCTGGGGCAGAGGGAGGCTTGGGGGGAGGGGGAGGGGGCAGCCAGCTGGCTCAGCCTGGCTCAGGCTCCCACCCTCACTAGCTTTCCACTTCCATCTGCCTTTCCCCCACGCAGATCCAGACTGCGGGGGGAACCTGGGCGGGCTCCCCTCTCCTCTGGAGAGTGCAGCTGGCTGAAGCCTCAGTATTGCTCAGCCAGCCCTAGCAATTCCACTCCATCCCTCCCTAGGAACCAGGGTGACCTCTAAGCAAATTGGGTTCTGCCATTCCCCTGCTCAGAATCATTCCATCGCTCCCTGCGGACATATACTGTGCACTTTCACACCTCAGACCTTTGCCCATGCTGCTCCCTCTACCTGGAATATCGTTTCTTCTCTATTTGAACCCATCCATTCTTCAAGATCCTTTTTTCTTCTGTGAAACCTTTGCTGTCTGTACCCCCTTAGTCAGAATGAGTCACCTCCCTCTCTAGGCTAGCATGGTATCTTTACTTGTGTCTGACGCCCCCATCCCAGGCTGTCCTGCTCCACGTTTAGCTGGGCACATGTGGTCTCTCCCCCAGGCTGTGAGCATTCATCTGACCTTCGTGCAGCATTTTCCAGTTTGTGAAGTGGTTTCACATCTCTGCTCCCTTACAGCTCTCTTGGATAGACACCATTGTCCCCATTTATTTATTTATTTATTTATTATTATTTTTTATTATTATACTTTAAGTTTTAGGGTACATGTGCACAATGTGCAGGTTAGTTACATATGTATACATGTGACATGCTGGTGCGCTGCACCCACTAACTCGTCATCTAGCATTAGGTATATCTCCCAATGCTCTCCCTCCCCCTCCCTCCCCACCCCACAACAGTCCCCAGAGTGTGATGTTCCCCTTCCTGTGTCCATGTGTTCTCATTGTTCAATTCCCACCTATGAGTGAGAATATGCGGTGTTTGGTTTTTTGTTCTTGCGATAGTTTACTGAGAATGATGATTTCCAATTTCATCCATGTCCCTACAAAGGACATGAACTCATCATTTTTTATGGCTGCATAGTATTCCATGGTGTATATGTGCCATTTTCTTAATCCAGTCTATCATTGTTGGACATTTGGGTTGGTTCCAAGTCTTTGCAACTGTGAATAGTGCCGCAATAAACATACGTGTGCATGTGTCTTTATAGCAGCATGATTTATAGTCCTTTGGGTATATACCCAGTAATGGGATGGCTGGGTCAAATGGTATTTCTAGTTCTAGATCCCTGAGGAATCGCCACACTGACTCCCACAATGGTTGAACTAGTTTACAGTCCCACCAACAGTGTAAAAGTGTTCCTATTTCTCCACATCCTCTCCAGCACCTGTTGTTTCCTGACTTTTTAATGATTGCCATTCTAACTGGTGTGAGATGATATCTCATTGTGGTTTTGATTTGCATTTATCTGATGGCCACCATTGTCCCCATTTTAAGGATGATGCAATAGAGACCCGAATGGTTTCCTGATGTACTCATCATCAGGTAGCTAATAACTGCAGAACAGGACTCGATTGCGTAGATCTTCGAGTCAAAGGCCAGTGCTGTTTCCAGGAGAGGCTGGCATTCTGACCTTACATGCAAACACCACCTAGCTCAATGGCTAGACACACATTATTTCAATCGTGCTGAGAGGAACCCCTTCCCCTGCTCTCCCCACCAACCCTCCTGAGGCCCCAGCTCCTGGCTGGGTATGAGGATGCTGGGGCACGAGTTCGACTTCCGGCCCTGTCTGCTTCCTCTTTAACTGGAATGCTGGGGCCGGGTGACTGGGAGGTCAGCTTCTGGGGAGTGCAATAGGAAGCTACCATCATTGTGCCATTGACAGTAAGGCCAAGAGGAACTGGGATTGGGGCCCATGCACTCCGGAGAAGGGGAGTTGTACCAGGTGCTTTCCGTCTCTGGGTGGCCCCAGCATCAGCAGCCTACCTGGCAAAGAAGCAGGTCTGGAATCTCCCATTTCCCATGGGCCATGCGCAGGGCTGCCCAAGTACAGGGCTTAGGTAAGGGCTTCCCCCCTAGACCTTTAAAGTGGACACCAGTCTCATCAGGGAATCATGACGGCTCTACTGTCCAACCAGATCCCCAGTCCCACCTCTTGTCACCCACTCTGCTGCTACCAGCAGGTCCCAGCCACAGTATTGCCTCTGCTGGCAGACTCTTGCAGCCCCTAACATGCCTCTGTGTTTTCACCCTTCCACCCCTCCGTGTAGTCTGCGCTCAACTGAGGAGTCAGGATGATCATGTCAGTCCTCTGCTCCAAACCCTGCCCTGTCTTCCCATTTCTAGCCAAGAAAAGCCCAAGTCCTTCAGTGGCCTGGTGGGCCACAAACAGATCATGGAGAGGACCTGTCCCCATTGTCCTCTGCCCCTCTGCCTCGCTCACTCCACTCACCCCCTCCTCTGTGCCAGATCCAGCCCCGCCTCTGGCCTTCACACTGGTTGATCCTTCTGCCTGCAAGGTTTTCTTGGCTAACTTTCTCTCCCTCTTCTTTCACATCTTGCTAAGAACCTCACCTTTTGAACATGGCCTACCATACTGGAGTCAGTCCCATTCCACCTCCACCACTGCTCACCCTACTCCCTGCTCTACTTTTTGTTTCTTTGTTAGCACTTTCACCTTTTAACAACCCGTGATTGCTCACTGTCTGTCTCCTGCAGTGGGGAATGCCATCTCCATGAGGCAGCCAGAGACTCTGTCTGTCTTGTTCACTGCTGCAGCCCTAAAACAGAGCCTTTGCCTGTGGTATGCACTCAATAAATATTTGTGGGTGGAACTGAATCTATGAATGTGGATCAGGGGTCCCGAACCCCCGGGCTGTGGACCAGTATCTGGCCATGGGCCTGTTAGGAACAGGGAGACCCAGCAGGAGATGAGCAAGCATTATTGCCTGAGCTCTGCCTTCCGTCAGATCAGCGGCAGCATTAGATTCTCGTAGAAGTGTGAATCCTATTGTGAACTGTGTATTCGAGGGCTCTAGGTTGTGTGCTCCTTATGAGAATCTAATGCCTGATGATTCGAGGTGGAACAGTTTCATTCCAAAACCATCGCCATCCCGTCCGTGGAAAAATTATCTCCCATGAAACTGGTCCCTGGTGCCAAAAGTCTTGGAGATCAGTGATGTAGATAACAGTCCCTAAATCAATGAGCTGTATAATAATTAAATCAATCCATCAAGAACATGAATGTTCTCATGATCAATGTGTTAAAATGAACATGACTGTTATTCTCAGTGAAAGGGCTTAAGGGTACTCCTACCTCTTCCTTCCTGTTGCTGGGGCCTGGGGCCCCATTCTGTGAGTGGGACCTCAGCTAACAGAGACCTGGCCTTCTCCCCTTCTAATCCCCTGCCTTCCCTGGAGAGTGGTAGGTGGGATGGGGAGGCTCATCTGACAGGGATTCCTAGAACAGCCTGTGTTTGTGTCATAGGAGGACATGATGGCCCCATGTGGGCAAGGGACGTGACCGAGGTCTGATGCCCAGCCTAGGTCCCTCTCACCATCCCTCTGGCAACTGCATATTTGGAATCCCAAGGCAAGAGTCAGTATCTAGCAAAGGATGCATTAAAAAAAAACTGTTCGTGAAATGTTTTAATATAGAAAGCCTTACATAGGCATTTTTCATTTTTATTTGGTTATGCTTATATTAAATCATTTTTGTTGCAAAGAATAAAATAATATGAAATTTAAAATGTCCTGGAAAATCCGAGGTATATGATTGTCTGTTTGCATTTTTCGTTTCAGCAGATATTTATTGAGGACCCATGATATGTAAGTCTTGGAGATGGAGAAGGACAAGACACATTCTCTGCTTCCGAGAGTTCTTTGGCTGGGGTCCGGAGAGGATGGGTGGTGTTGTGTAAGAGAGGATGTTGCTGCTGTAGCAGTTGTGCTCTTTGGTATTTATCCAAATGAGTTAAAAACTTATATCCACACAAAAACCTGCACAGGGACATTTACAGCAGCTTTGTAATTGCCCAAACTTGAAAACAACCAAGATGCCCTTCAATGGGTAAATGAATGAACCAACTGTGGTACATCCAGACAATGGAATGTTATTCAGGGATAAAAGAAAGATATGAGCTATTAAGTCATGAAATTACAGGGAGAGACTTTAAATGCATATTACTAAGTGAAAGAAGCCAGTGTGAAAAGGCTGTATGATTCCAGCTAGATGACATTCTGGGAAAGGCAAAACTATGGACACAGGAAAAGGATCAGAGGCTGTCAAGGGTTAAAGGGAAGGGAGGGATGAATAGGTGGACCACTGGAGAGTTTCAGGACAGAGCAACTACTTTGTGTGACACTTTATACATTTGTCAAAATCCAAAGAATGTACAATATCAAGAGTGAACCCTAATGTAAACTGTGGACTTCACCTAATCATGTATCACTATGGGTTCATCAATTATAGTAAATGTACTATGCTAATGCAAGATGTTAGTAACGGGGGAAACTGGGGGTGAAGTGAAAGGGTGTTGGGGAATTCTACTTTCTGCTTGATTTTTCTGTAAACCTAAAACTGATTTTTTTTAAAGTCCTTTAAAAAAAAGAGCGTCATGAAGTGTAATCACGGAGAAATGCATAGGTGTTATGGGAGCAATCTGGGGTAGGGGGTGGGGAGGGCTTGGGAGCATGGGGGTCACTAATGAAGTCAAGACCCTTGTATGTAAAGTTAGACAGACAAAGTTTCAAGTTCCACCTCTGCCACTTATCCACCATGTAGCCTTAGCCAAGTTACTTAACACCTCTTAAACCTCAGCTTACTCCTCTGTAAAATGGGGCTAATGACGCCTGCCACCAAATTATTATGTGATTTAAATAAAATGCAAATAAAGTACTTGGCACTGCCAGTGATGAGAGTCAGTGCTTGGCGAAAGAGAGCTCCTTTTCATGCCATGGTGGGTGAGGAGGCTGGCTCAGGTGGAGAGCAGGAGGAGAAAGCATGCCAGCCCGAGAAGTAATGTGGGCAGAGCCCTGGAGGTTCAAGGAAGAGCAGATGCAGGGGGTTTGGCTCAGCCAAGAAGGGCATGTGGAGGGTGGGGGCTGTGGCTGCAGAGGCAAAAGAGTTAGGTAGGGTGCTGTGGCCTGGCGTGCCATCCCAGGGAGTTGCTGTTTCCTCTTGAGGATTGATGGAAGGCAGGATGACTGGCACCAGGGAGAGCCCTGATTGGCTTGGCAGTTTAGAATGTTTCCTCCAGTAGGCACAGAAAAATGATGGGAGAGAGTATGGGGGAGGGGGGAAGCAGGACAGGAATGACAGCAGCAATCCAGGGACAATTTTTCTGGGTCAAAGTAGTGGGAAAAGTTGGACTGTGGGGTCTAGGAGCTTGGGATGTGGCTTGGGAAAGCAGCTTAGCTGAAGTCACCCGCTGGCTGGCTGTGTGACTGTAAGTAAGTCATTTAACCTCTTAGAGTCTCAATTAGTTCTTCTTTAAGAATGTCCATCTTCTAGGAAGATCCTGAAGTTGAAATAAGATAGTAAGAATCAAAGAAGTTCTGGGGGCGGGAGAGACATGAACTGTATACTGAAGTCTCCAACTATGGGAGGTGGAAGACGAAAATGGCACAGGCTGAAACTGTAGCATTCAGAGCAAGGACCATGGGGCTGACAGTGCTCAGTTTGAATACTGGCCCCGCTGCTCACTAGCATGAAATCTTGGTCTCGCCACTTAATTTATTTGAGCCTCCTTTGTAGCATCTGCAAAATGAGGATAGTAATACCTACCACACAAGGTTCTGTGGTGGGGTCACATGAGACAATTGCCAAGGGCCCAGAACATAGTGAGGGTTTCAAAGATGAGAACAGTCATTACTATCATCATTATTATCATCATCCTTGGAGGAATATAATCAAGAATATTTTTCTTTTATTGCGATCTGTGTTATCAACATGATGTATGTATCGTGAGTGTCTTGATAGTAAAAAATTTAATTTATCAAAAGAATAAGAAGACAAGCCACAGACTGAGAGAAAATATTTGCAAAACACATATCTGATAAAGGACTGTTAATCAAAATATACAAAGAACTCTTAAAACTTAACAATTGGAAAACAAACGACCTGATTTCAAAATGGGCAAAAGATCTGAACAGAGACCTCACCAAAGAAGGTATATAGATGGCAAATAAGCACGTGAAATGATGCTCAACATCATATGTCATTAGAGGATTCCAAACTAAAACAGTGATGAGATACCACCCCACACCTATTAGAAGGGCCAAAATCCAAAACACTGATACCACCAAATCCTGGGGAGGATGCGGAGTATGTGTGCACTCTCATGCACTGATGGTGGGAATGCAAAATGGGACAGCCACTTTGGAAGACAGTTTTAAACAAAACCAAAAGTACTCTTATCATATGACCCAGCAGTCTCACTCCTTGGTATTTACCCAAAGGAGTTGAAAACGTATGTCCACACAAAAAAATCTGCACATGGATGTTTATAGCAGTGTTTTTTTCTTAATTGCCAAAACTTGGAAGCAACCAATATGTCCTTCAGTAGATGAATGAATAAACTGTGTTATATCCAGGGAATGGAACATCATTCAGTGATAAAAAGAAATGAGAAGCCAGGTGCAGTGGCTCACACCTATAATCCTAGCACTCTGGGAGGCCGAGGCAGGAAGATAACTTGAGGCCAGGAGTTCAAGACCAGCCTGGGAAACACAGTGAGACCCTGTCTCTACAAAAAAAGAAAAAAAAAAATTAAAAAAAAAAAAAAAGAAATGAGACATCAAGCCATGAGAAGGTGAGGAAGAATCTTAATGCATTCTGTTAAGTGAAAGAAGCCAATCTGAAAAGGCTACAGACTAGGATTCCAGTGATATGATATTTTGGAAAAGGCAAAACTATAGAGAGGGTAAAAAGATCAGTGGTTGCCAGAAATTAGGGGAGAAAGATGGGTGAATAAGTGGAGCACAGAGGATTTATTTAATTTCAGAGAAAGGTCTCGCTCTGTTGTCCAGGCTGGAGTGCAATGATGCAATCATAGCTTACTGCAGCCTCAAATTCCTGGGCTCAAGTGATCCTCCTGCCTCAGGCTCTGAAATAGCTGGGACAACAGGTGTGCACCACCACACCTAGTTAATTTTTAAAAACTTTTTATACAGATGAGGTCTTGCTATGCTGCCCAGGCTGAGCACAGAGGATTTTTAGGGCAGCGAAACTACTCTGATGCTGAGATGGTGGATGCATGTCATTACACATTTACCAAAACCCACAGCACGTACAACAACAGTGAGCCTTAATGTAAACCATGGACTTTGGGTGACAATGACACATCAATGTAGGCTCATCGATTGTAACAAATGAACTCTCTGGTGAGGGATGTTGTTAATGAGGAGGTTGTATAAATGTGGGGGCAAGGGGTGTATGTGAAATCTCTGTATTGTCCATTCAATTTTGCTGTGAACCTAAAACTGCTCTAAGAAATAAAGCCTATTAAAACAATTTTTTAAAATTAGCTCAGAGTTGACACACAGAAAGAAACATATCCAGGAGACCAAGCACAGATGAAGCTCATGGATTCAGAATCTTGGAGAGGGGAAGGTCTTAGAGATCCTGTTTTCTCAGTCTCCAATCTGTGACCCTCACTTTTATAGAAGATTCCCTCATGAAACCGCCCCAGTTGGAGGACTTTTTCAGTGGGGCCTGACTTTCTTGGAATCTCAGTGGGTCTGAAGTAAAGACTTTAAAGATTGCTGCCTAGCCCCTTTGCAGTTCTGATGAGAATTAGGGTGTAGGGGACAGTGCCCCAGTCTCCCAGCTGTGAGTGGTTCAGCTGGATTGAGCCTCTGAACTCCCAGGGCAGAGGTCTCTCCTGTGGCCTTCCCCCTTGTTGGAAACCCCTTCCCCATCCCCCAAGGAGGCCTGTGAGGGTTGGACCTGGGAGGACCAGGATGGCCAAGGTGTGCAGTGCCAGGCCCAGGTGGAAGTGTAGTGGGGGATAATAAAAGTCCCCTGAACTCCAGGCCCAGGCCCAACAATCGTCCTGCACTCTCCAACCCCCCACCCCACTTCCAGGCTGATCCTCCTGGGCCCCAATCTCTCATTGCCTGGTGCCCTTGGCCTTGCTCCAGGCTTCTCTAAGGAGAGAATGGGGAGAGGCCTCATGGTCTAAGAGTGCTGAGGGCCAGGCCTTGGAGCAGGTGCAAGTTGGGTCTGGACTTTTCCATTCCAAGCCCACTCCCCTGCCCCCAGCTCAGCCACCCAGTTGACCCCCTCAGGCAGGAAGGGATGGTGGACAAACAGCTTGCATGTGGCCTGCCGTTAAGAGGGAGGTGGAGACACTCCCTGGGGCCCCATCCATGGCTACACTGAGCCTGCTGCCCTGTCATCAGATGAAAAGCCAGCAACTGCTCCTGAGAGGACCTCATTGATTAAGTCTCTCCTTGTTATTAACAGCAGGAACTCTGGGCCCAGGGTGTAGCCTTGCAGAGCTCTGAGGGAAACAGGGTGATGAAACAGAGACCTGTGGTCACAATCAACACATGCCCCTTGTTGGCTAAAGCCCACACTCCCTCCAAGGCCCACAGGGTCCCAGGTGACTTCAGCAGCCTCCGCTGGTGCCCCATGCTGGGCTCCAGTTTCAGAGCTGCACCAACCCTCCCCAGGCCTGCTGCCCCAGTAGCACCCAGCAATGGGCTTGAGCCGGCTCCCACTGACCTTTGATTGTCTGCGTTCAGTGACATCATGCCACCATGAGAGTGTTTACACCATACAATGCCAAATGCTACCAATCTGCTGACCCCTCCACCGCCCACCCTAGAGCCAATTATTAGAAATTTACCAGCAGGTCACTGTGCATGCTGACCTTTGCCAGACACACACTTCCTTCCCTCTTAAAAAAATTATTATTATTTTTTTAGAGACAGGGTCTCGCTCTGCTGCCCAGGCTAGAGCACAGTGATGCAATCATGGCTCACTGAAGCCTCAATCACCTGGGCTCAAGCAATCCTGCCTCAGCCTCCCAAATAGCTAGGACCACACGTGCATGCCACCACACCCAGCTCATTTTTACAATATTTTTCCAGAGGTGGGGTCTTGCTATGTCACCCAGGCTGGTCTCAAACTCCTGACCTCAAGCAATCCTCCTGCCTCAGCCTCCCAGGGTACTGGGATTACAGACATGAGCCACCACACCAGGCCACTTCCCTCCCTTTCTATACCTCAGTTCAGGTGGGGCTTCCTTAGAGAGGCCCTCTCTGCTCCCCCGGGCCTGCTTACACGTGCTGTTACAGGCCTATGTCTCTCCTCTCTCCTCAGAGCTGAGTAGAGTGTGGGGCACGTAGCAGGGACTCTGCAAGGCTGTGGGGAGGTGCATGGGGCAGGCTAAAGCATGACAGTTGTGAGAAGGGAAGGAGCGGTAGACACCCTTCTCGGGGGACCTGCAGTGTAGCGCTCTCTCCGTCTGCTCCAGTTAAGAATGATGTCTTCTTCCTGCATCCCTCCTCCCAGGAACAGATGATTTTCATTTTCTGCCTTGATAGCTTCAAATCGCTGCCTGTCTCTGGGAGGACTCAGGCACTTATCCTTCCTCTTCAGCAATGGGAGGATCTCCCTGGACCTCTAAACTTGGCTTTCTGTTTTCAGCAAAGTCCTTGGAAGTTGCAACCTCCGCAAGGCTCCTCTGCCTTTCCAAGCCCTCTCCTTCTCTAGCACCATTTTTCTTTTCCTCCCTGAGGGCCTTCACACTGCCCTCAGATTCCTCTTCCCTCCCATTTACAAACCTTGCTTCCAGGCGCAGACCTGCAGCTGGTCATTTACAGCTTAGTGAGAATTAGTGGTGAGGCAGCCAGAAGCAACAGCTTCCTTTCACCTCTCATCTTTCAGGGCTCAGCTTAAACCTCCTTAAAGAAGTCTTCTTGGAACAATTTCATCTTTACTTGGGATCATAGAACCTTGTTAATTTCTTTCACAGCCCTGACCACAAGTTGTGATATGTATTCATTTATCTTTCTCTAGCTTGTCTATTTACTGGAACGTTGGCTTTAGAAGGCCAGGGAACATGTTTGTCTTCCCCACTCTTACATCCTTGGGGCCTGGCCAATTGCTGTTGAAGGGGCGTTTCTTGGCTACACAAATGATTGCTCATCCATGTGCAAATCTGTGCTCTGCCCTGCCCAGTTGGGTCACCGGAGACAGCTGCCTTGCTCTGTGTCTCGGCATTCTCATCTGCAGCTGGGTATAACGGTACCCGCCTCTCTGGATTTCAAGCCTGTTGTAAGGATCAAATGTGATGCCAGGTGGGAGATGTGGACCCCAGCCATGTGTGTTGGGGTGCTGGGGCTTATTAGTCCCAATGGCTGTGCAAATGGCATCTGCCCTCCCTGTCTCCCTGCTGTACGCCGTGAAGGGGTTCCAGGAACTCCAGGTGGCAGCAAAGAGGTGAAGAGAATAATAATTGATGAATGAAAATAATGATAACCAAGTACATAATAATAATAAAAGTAATAATAACTGACTTTATTAGATACTGTATCAGATGCTGTTCTCAGCTTGTACAGGAATTAACTCATTTAACTTTAGAACAGCCTGGTGAGGTAGGTCCTCTCATGGTTTCTATTTTATAGGTGAAAAAACTGAGGCCAGAGAGATTAAGTAACTCATCCAAGAAGTGGAGGTGGGATCAAGTTTTACTTTTTGATGGGACTTTCCCTCAAATCCCTTCAATCTAATAACTTTCCTCACTTAGTTTCATGACTGTTTATTGGATTGCTAAAACCAAGAGTTTATGTCTGAGTGTGACTTTGCCCCTTTGGCAGGCCCTGGAGGCCCAGCAGTGAGTGGGACTGATCCCTGCCCCCAGGGAACCCATTAATGGGGTGCGTGCGTGTGTGTGTGTGTGTGTGTGTGTGTGTGTGTGTGTGTGTTATTCTCTGCTGCCCAGCCAGTCAGGAAACTCCCTGAGGACACAGGGAGGACTGTTCCTTCTCTGCTGTGTTACTCTAGGACAGAATGAACACTTAGAGTCCTAGAACTCCAGACTATCAGCACCAGAGTCAGCTGCTCATCAGCAAAGTTACTGATCCCTTGCTTGGTACTGGGCTTGGTACTTCATGCCAGGAACACAGTGGGAGCGAAGCCAAGCCCCCATCCTCAAGGGACATCCATATTTGGGGGTGGGGCTGGAACTCCGTGGGTCAATTCTTGGGTCAACAGAGTCCAGAGAGGGCAGGAGCCCTCCAGGGTCAGGAATCAGGTCAGTGACAGTGTGGGGACTAGAACCCAGGGCTCCTCCTTCCTAGAACTGCCCCTTCCAACTTTACCACCTGCCTCTGGATCCTGTGGGAAGCTGGCTCTCCTTCCTCCAGGATGCAGGTTGTTGCCTGGAGCAGCGGCTGACCCAGACCCCACACTTTTAGCCCAGGGCCTATTGGGGCCTGCATGGGAAAGGTGAGAATGAACTCACCACCCTCCCCTCTACCTGGCCCTTAGCTGCCTCCCTTTATCACCTTGTTAAGGACTTTTTCCTCTCCATTTGGAACCTGGAATTTCATTATTTCATATGTGAAGCTTAGGGATAATAGGCTGCCACTTGAAGGCTGCTTTTCACCTTCCAAGCCCTCTGCAGACTGTTAATTAGTCCTCTCTGGCATGCTCCAGTAAGTGTTCTTGGTCCAGGAAAGGGGAACCCAAGGGAGGCCGAGGGACTTGCCTCAGGGATGTGGGGCTGGCAAAAGCCTGAGGAGGAAAAAGAGGAGCCCTGCATTCTGGAAACTTCTCCTAACGGACACCTAGCTCACCTAGCTCCCAGGCTCCTTTCCTGTTAGGACGGCTGAATAACTGAGGGCAGGAGCAGATGGGAGCCCTCCTGTGGGAATATGGCTCAAAGAACTTCACAATTGGACCCTAAGTTGGAATCCCATCCCCTGCTAATTGCACGACCTTGGATGATAATTAACCTCTAAGCCTCCGTTTTCTTTTCTGTGGAATGGAGGTAATAACAAAGTGCTCCTTGATGTTGAGGATTGAGCTAGGTAAGTATCTGGCACAGAGTGGTGCTCACTAGGAGTGAATGGATGAATGAATGAATGAGTGTGGCTAGTGGTGGGTTGGAGTGGGGGAGGATTAGAAGTATGGAGAGGCAAGATGGGGACGGAGAGGAAAATAGGGACTCTCCTTCTTCCTTTGCCCCTCCTTATCCTTAGCCCCAAGGCCAGGGGTTTTGCCCACAAAGCAACCACTATCCATGATGTTGCATGGCTGGTCAACGAGGGATGGATGTCTGTCTTTGCAAGCCTTTGACATCCCCTGAAAATGGTGATATTGTCTATTTTTAACAGTGGAGAACCCCATCGATGAGTTGCCAGGTGAGAATATGTCCATCTGCTCAGCCTCCCCAGCTGGACCACTGTGAGGGTCAAAACTAGACAGTGGATGCCACAGCCCTGGCTTCAGGGTCTCTCAGACCTGGAAACAAATCTCTGCTGCTCCACTCACTTGGACAAACACTCAAGCTAAAGCAGGGAGATCCTCCCTGCCTCTCAGGATGATCGAGTTTGGTTCTGTGATGAGCTGTATATGCACACCAAGCAGCTCACTGTTGAGCTCAGTGGTAGCCAAAGCCAACAATGTAGGTGCCTGGGACACCAAGCACGAGTTGCACCCTTGGGTCCATGGCCACATGGAATGGGAGGGAGGTTGCCTCCAGCCAACTGGTCACCTACCCAGTCCTCTCCATAGACTGGCATGGGAGTTAAAAAGGAGGGCTGAGAAATGTGTTCAATGTTTAAAAGTCATTCCTAGCCAGGTGTGGTGGCTCACACCTGTAGTCCCAGCAATTTGGGAGGCCGAGACGGGAGGATCACTTGAAGTCAGGAATTCGAGACTAGCCTGGAGTTTGAGACCAGCCTGGCCAACATGGTGAAACTCTGTCTCTACAAAAAAAAAAAAAAAAAAAAAAAAGAAACCCACAAAAATTAGCTGGGTGTCATGGCACACACCTATAATCCCAGCTACCAGCTGCTTGGGAGGCTGAGGCATGAGAATCTCTTGAACTCGGAAGGCAGAGGTTGCAGTGAGCCGAGATTGCACTACTGTACTTCAGTCTGGGTGACAGAGTGAGACTCCATCTCAAAATCAATAAAATAATAAATAAATAATAAATGTCATTTTTTACATTTTGGTACCCTCTAAATTTCAGTACCAGGGACCCCTTTGCCCCCCATCCTACTTGGGACTCCTGTGCAAGTTATTTAATGACAGTTTCATCCTTCATGTTGTCTCTTCAAACCCGTCAAAAGCAGGGACTGAGTTTGGGGTGTGTCTGGGTCCCCAGTGGCTGGCACACCATAGGTGCACAATTAATACTTGCTGTTGGTGGTGACAATGTAAGGGATGGGGGTTTAGAACGTGGGAGGGATCAGAAGGACCTCATCTCATGAGGAATCAGAAATACTGATCCTGCCTCCTGTCTGTGCCCAGAAGGTAGAAATATTGAGAGAGAGAGAGAGAGAGGATGGGAAAAGCACCCATGAGAGAAGTGAGTACCACCTGGCTGGTGCTTCCACCATCTGCCCAGCCCTCTTGACTGGGACAGGGGGTGCATAAGGGCTAACCAGATATGAACAGATCCCTGAGGCAGGGTGTATTTGCTGAAGGGTGGGAGGAGCTAGCTGGTTAAGGGATGGCATGGGGAGAGGGTGCTAGGGGAGCATTCTAGGGTAGAGCCCCAGGGTGGGCAAACTCCAGAGGGGCACAAGGTAACCTCTGCCTGGGGAGATTCCTCCTTCCCTCAGCAGCCAGCATCTCTTGGGGCACTGCAGAGAGCAGGAGCCCCCAAGCCCAAGAGACTTGGGGCATCTCAACCCCGCTTCTCACAACAAGTGTGATTTGGGCAAATTATCTAACGAGATATGGCTGGAAAAGGCTTGTCCCTCCCATGTGCAAAATCCCCACTGTCTCCCCAGTGCCTGTGCCAGGCATCTGTGGTCTGGCAGCTGTGAGGATGGTTTCATGTGTAATCTATAGGTTCTTTCCACGCCTTTCTGAAGCTTGGTGAATGCCTGCTACCTTCTTCTGTGATGTGACTCCACGGTCAACCAGAAATGACACTTCACATTCACTCATGTGCTCACTTGCTCACTACTCAAACTTTATTGAGTTTTTCTATATCCCACAGTGCTGGCCACTGGAGGTTGGATGCGAGTCCCCACCTGCCGGGTGTTTACAGCCCCCTGAGGGAGACAGACAAGCAAATGAACCATGACCACACAGAGTGATCAGAGCTCAGCAATGAGACTGTATCCGTGGGTCAGCAACACTGCCTGGAGGAAGCATTAAGGTTTGAGCCCAGAGAGAAGAGAAGATACTGAGGTTGGGAAGAGAAGCTTCCATGTGGAGAGGGGCACATATGCAGGTCTGGAGAATCACAAGTACTTCAGCAAGGCCTAGCAGAGAGCTGAGGGGCTAGGTGGTCAACGGCCTCACATGCTGGGCTTTATTCTGAGGGTAACGGGGAGCCATGGAAGAGTCTGGAGCTCCAGAGTGAAATGTTCAGAAAGTGTTCTTTTTCTTTTTGGCTAGAATAATAATAACTGAGCCAACACTGGTTATTCTGTGGGAAAACACACAGATCATTGCTTAATAGAAGTGGTCTATTCGGAAGAAAAAGCCTGCTGAAAGGTGGGATCCAGAGAAAGAACCAAACAAAAGGCCAAGCAAAAGGTGGTGATGACATTGGTGACCTCAGGCCCATACCATATCTCTTCACCCCACCACCCCAGCTTTGCCCCCGTTATTTCAGACAGACCTTCCTTCCTGTTGGGACACGTGTGTGTGTGGCTGTGCCTGTGACTTGGCTCTGTGGTCACCTGCCTGTGTGTGCCACTGCCCCTGCCTCCCTGCTCTCCACCACTCCATCTCTCCAGAGCCCGGTTCTGCCACCTCCTCCAGCAAGCCTGCCCTGGGCCCCCCTGGTTCCTGAGAATATTTTGCTATATCCACTTGGAAGAACTTTAGTAGGGTTTCTAAGGCAATGTGAATGCTGCGGTTGGGCTGTGAGGTAGAATAATCAGTGCTCAGACCTTAACCTGCATAACCAAACAGTAAGCAATTTGAGGGCAGGGGCTATGCCTCATTCCTTTCGGGAGACCTCAGTCATCCAGCTCTGTGCCTGAGAAGCAGCAGGTCCCATATTAAAATGTCTGTTCAGTGGATTCATGTTTCATTGTGTGCATCCTAAACTTGTCCAGGACTACTGTGAGCCTCCTCTTTGGAATAAGTGTAGGACCCCCCTAAATTTCTGCAGGGTCATTCTCTTCAGTGCCTGGTGGCCCAGTCTCCTTTCTGAGCCTTCTGGACTTGCCAGGTACAATTTACTGTCCCTTTTGCTGGGCTCCCATAGATTTTGGTGCCTATCTCTATTGTGTTTCTTATTCTATTGGGTCAAAGGCATTTTGTAAAAAGCGTCCACTCTCTCCACCTCCCCACCCCCACACCCAGCCCAGTGTCTAATTTGCAGTAGGAGATCAATAAGTGTTTGTTGAATGAAAAAAAATGTACTAGCAAGAGTACAGGACCACTCCTTAGGCATATTAAATGGGAACACAATTACCAATTGAATTCGTTTCCTTCAAAAGAGCCATGTATCCTGGAAGATCCATTCCAGACGTCCAGATGGCAAGACTGGGGAGAGCTGGGAGTTATTCCTATTGAAACCGTTTCCTCCAGAAGGTCTAGAGTTCAAAAGGGAGGCATTTGCCACAAACAATTGGGCCAGTGTGAGACGATGTGGGTGGCACGTTGCCAAGGTCTTGGTGGGACTTTGAGCAGTTACCAATGCAAATAGGAGAGAAGACTTATCCCCAGGGGCAACTGTGGTCACCCAGAAATGGAGCCTTTGGCAACAAGGAGAAAAAACCAGGTCAGCCACTGCACGGGGATTTTCCTAGGGCTGTGGAGTGGCCTCTGGACTTGGAGTCAGGAGGCCTAGCTTCTCAGCTGGGATCTGGGTTTTAGATCAAGGGTTAAGATGATCTAATGCCAACCTTATTTTCCAGAGGCATTTTTCTGAGCCAAGAATTAAATGCAGGGCACATCAAAGGAATTTTCCTGATTTGTGAATTGTTTCTGCCAACTCAAGCTTCAGAATAAAGACCACTTTTCTCATTCTTTGAGATTTATCTATTGAATGCTGGACTATTCTGAAAAACTCTATGCCAGTGAAGCTCATCTCCCAGAGCTGTCCCTGTGCATCCTACTGTCTGACCTCACTGCCTTTGCTCACGCCCTTCCTCCTTTCAGAGAGTCATCTCCTGATATTGCAGCGTCATCCAGACTTTGTTCAATGTTAACTTTTCTTTGAAAGCTTTCTCTGATCACCACAATTTATAGTGATCCAGAGAGAGAGAGAGAGCCAATAAGCATGTAGAAGATATGGAGCACCTATTACTATGTAGTATTGGCTCAGCACTTACCATGTGCCAGGCATCGTGCTAAGCTCTCTACAAGTGTGATCACACTCAGCTCTCACAACAACCCTTAGAAGATCATTCTTAGACAATTTTAAAAATCCCCATTTGTGGGCTGGGTGTGGTGATTCACACCTGTAATCCCAGCACTTTGAGAGACACAAGTGGGAGGATCACTTGAGCCCAGGAGTTTGAGAACAGCCTGGGCAACATAAAGAGACCCCATCTCTCCTAAAAAATAAAAAAAAATTAGCTGGGCATGGTGATGTGTGTCTGCAGTCCCAGCTGCTCTGGAGGCTGAGGCAGGAGGATTGCTTGAGTCCAAGAGACAGAGGCTGCAGTGAGCTGTGATCATACCACTGCACTCTGCCCTGAGTGACAGAGTGAGATCCTGTCTCAAAAAAAAAAATCCCCATTTATGGTGGTCATTAGTGCTGTCATCCTATACTTCTGATTCTCTTTCTTCTGAGTACAACGTAGAATTTCACTTCCTGACCCCTTTGTGGTTGGTGAGGTGGAGCCATGTGAATAGTTCTGGCCAATGCCTTGTGAAATGAAGTAACACATCGTTCCAGATTGGATAATGTTTCATGTTCCTTCCAGAATGGTGACAGGCCAGCAATGTTTGCCATAATGGCTACATCAGCCTTCTTTTTGCTAAGTGAGTAGGATGAGCAGAAACTCCTACTAACCCATGATGAACATGTAGCATGAGCAAGAAATACATTTTGATTGTTTTATGCCACTGAGTTTTTTGGACTTGCTTGTTACTGCTGCATAATCCAGTCTATGCTGACCGATACACAATTTTACAGATAGAGAAATCAAGCTTGCATGGGGAGGCATGGATGACCTTGGCGAAGAGGTAGCTTGAGCCCTTATTGTGCCTTATTGTGTCCAGTGCCCTGACTGGCTGGCTGGCTGTGAAAGGCCTTGAGAGCCTGAAATGACAGGACTTGATGCTGTTATCCCTAAAGCACAAGGGAGAGTTTAAACAGGGGGCAACACAGCCATCCTTGGGCTTTCAGAAGGATCGCTCTGGCAGCTGCTTCTGGCTGAGAGGTCACTCTGTATCTGTCCACCTGGAAAGATCAGCCCTGAACCCAGTTGAAAGCCAAACTCCCAGCATACACAGAGACCCTCAGGGCAGGTCTGCCATGTGCTTACAATTCCCCAGCACCCAGATCGGCCCATCCGAGCCTCCACACAATGGGCAAGGCTGGTTGGAAGAGGGAGCTCCCAGGAGGGCTTCTCCCCATCAAGGCAGGCGTACTGGCTCCGTTGTCCTTTTAAATGACCATAAAACAGCACGGAAATGAATGCCAACTAACAAGGTTAAAGGATCCTTAAAAAACAAATGATGCCATTTTTTCCCCCAACTCGCTGCTGAGTAAAAATTTGTCACTTCAGTAAGCATTTTATTGGTAATTACAGAGTTACTTTATTTGCATATTACAGAGCTGCTAGTGGCCCTAGTGAAAATGCTTAATGTCGCTGAGCATCTTGGAAGGAATTACTCAACCCAGGGAGGGAGAATTCAGTAATTATTTCCTTAAAACTAGAATTTGCTAATAACTTTGCAGTAGATCACTTTGTGCTCCCCAATACAGCAATTAAATAATAGCAATTAAGTGCCAAAGTAACTCAGGCATAGGGCCTATCCCCAAATAGGACCTCTGCTTTATTTCCTTTGAAAGAGGAATAAAGCTACAGTTGGCCCTTTTGACTCCTGAACCACCAGGGAACACCGATTCCTCTTAGAGCCAGTTAGAGAAGGCTGGTGCTAAATGTCATCTCCTCATCTTCAGAGCAGGATCTGGAAACCCAGAGAGACGCCTAGGGTCCATCCTGCAGCGAGGAAAGGCCGGCTCTCCAGAGCAGGATCTGGAAACCCAGAGAGAGGCCTAGGGTCCATCCTGCAGCGAGGAAAGGCCGGCTCTCCAGAGCAGGATCTGGAAACCCAGAGAGACGCCTAGGGTCCATCCTGCAGCGAGGAAAGGCCGGCTCTCCAGAGCAGGATCTGGAAACCCAGAGAGACGCCTAGGGTCCATCCTGCAGCGAGGAAAGGCCGGCTCTCCAGAGCAGGATCTGGAAACCCAGAGAGACGCCTAGGGTCCATCCTGCAGCGAGGAAAGGCCGGCTCTTCAGAGCAGGATCTGGAAACCCAGAGAGAGGCCTAGGGTCCATCCTGCAGCGAGGAAAGGCCGGCTCTCCACTCTAGCAGCTGGGATGGCAGGCACAGAGGTCAGGTAAGAGGATTCTGGCATCAAGCTGGCTGGGCTTGTTGGCTGGGTCCGGCTTATCATCCAGGTGTCTTGGACAGGTTACTCAACCTCTCTAGGTCTCAGTTTTCTCATCAGTAAAGTGGGGGGTCAGCATGTGATCGACTGCACCTGGTGGCTGTGATGATTAAATAACATGACACATGGAAGTTAGAACTTTGAACATAGGAAATGCTCAGTAAGTGTGAGTTGCAGTGTCTGACCCAGAACCCACCACCGCGCTGACAAGGAAAGCCCAGGTCCCTGCCAACTAGGAGAAGGGAAGACATTTGCATGTTGCATGTAACTCCTCTGCCTGCACTGGGGAGGTGTGACAGTAGGAGGGAAGGAGTGGCACTTACCACTTGGGGTTTGATCTGCCCAGGATCAAATCCTGGCTCCACATGCACACACCCAGAGGTAGTGTGACATTGGGCCACTCATACGCTCTCTGAGAGCACCAGTTTCTCACCTGTAAGACAAGAAGTGTGATACCCATCTGAGTGCCAGGGTCGCCAGGTGACCTCTATTTAAGCACATGCTTTAGTTGCTTAGCTTCCTGCCAGGCAGATTTATAAATATATACATATATATGTATATTACAAATATATATATCAGGTGTACAAAGGCCTGTCCTTAAAAAGGATCATTACAATTTCAGACTTGTTCTGTCTTAATTTCTGATTGATACTTAATCAGCAATGGCTTGGAACACTGGCTTTTTGTCTCTCCCTCTGTTAAGTATTTAACAATCTGAAAAACAAACATCGGAGAAGATGGAACCTACAGGGGCCCCTGATCCTTCTGCAGTCCTTGATCCTTCTGTGATAGGGCTGAGTCCACTCTCTATTTTATCTTTCTGCAAGATCTGCTCCAGTGTGGTATTCTATTTAATAATGTAAAATGCTATTTCATGGAGGAGAGAGTACGGAAAGGTATCTTTTAAAAGATTTGCTTTCCCACCTCCATGGCCGGCCTGACCCCTGCCTCCAGGTAGGTTTGTGAGGAATATGCAGTGGCCCTCTGAGAAGGAATATCCAATGAGATAGAAGAGGTCCAGCCCTCAGTACAGGACTTGGCATCGAGCTCCGTAATGGCTAGTCCCCATGTGCAGCTTGGCCTTGCCTGGTATTATACCTAGGAAGTTTTTCTCTGTAGCTTAAGGCATTGGTCCAGAGTCATATTTCTTCCCAGCCTCGATGCTGATCTCACTGTTATTGATCATTTACATTTTGGCATGGCCTTTTCTGGGACCATGCTTCAGAGACGTCTTGTGTCTCAGGGCCAGGAGAGGGGAAGAAGTGCATCAGGTTCTAGCATTAGCGGATGTAAACAGAGAGAGAATGCTACCTTTGACGCCCCTCCTAGGAACTTTGGCCCCTATTAGTTGCTGAGGGTGGAGTGGCCTGGGGTCTTGGGGGCACTGCCCTGTGTGTTAGCAGTGGTAATTTTAAAGGTGGCCCTCTCTGACTAGTGTCCAGCCGATGGGGATTAGGCTGGCCTTTGCTTTTTGCCAACTTTAGAGGCCTCTGCAGGCAGCAGGCTGGACAGCTCTGGAACTGGGCTGTTTCTGCTTTATGGATACTCCTCTCTTTGGTGAAATTCAGCCTTCCATGGCTATACAAAAGATGAATTCCACATCCACGTAGTGGCTCTGCCAGCTTCCAAAGTAAGCTCTTCGGGTCAGACTCTCACCAGACCAAATGATGCCTGGTCCCTGGGCCTCCCCCTGTGACTTGGCTTTTGGGGTATAGCTTGATCACTGGCTCCTGGACCCATCCTGGTTTATTAATGCCTCCCCTAAACATAGCACCAATCTTCATTTCGCCTGTGCTAGCACTTCAAATGTATTGGTGTGGAAGCCAGCTGGAACTGACCAGATGAGCTCATCTACCATTGCCCAGCCAGGAGTTTGAAAGGAGAGAGGATTGCTGATTAAAGCGGAACGTGTGTGGGAGGTAGGGAGGAGGAGAGGCTTGGGAAGGACTAGGCAGGGTTCATCAGGGACTCCAAGGAGGCTGGCTCTCTGCTACAACCAGAGCATCCAGCGCATCCCAGAGGATCTTGCAGGTGCTTAGAGCAGGGGCTCTTGGGAAATGCAAAAAAGGCCTGGACAATAAGTATAAACCACATAGAAACGGCTTTGGGAGTGCTGGGTGCAATAGCTCTGTGATCCCAATACTCTGGGAGGCCAAGGCTGGAGGATTGCTTGAAGCCAGGAGTTTGAGACCAGCCTGGGCCATGGAGTGAGACCCCATCTCAATCAACCAATCAATCAATCAATCAGGTGTGGTGGTGCACACCTGTAGTCCCAGCTGCTTGGGAGGCTGAGGCAAAAGGATCACTTGAGCCCAGGAGGTTGAAGTTGCAGTGAGCTGTGATTGTGTCACTGCACTCCAGCCTGGGCAACGGAGTGAGACCCTGTCTCAACATAAAAAGAAATGTCTTTGTCTTTGTCTTTGTGGGAATAAAATAATGCAGACCCCAGTCCTCCCCTTATGAGATGGCCATAGACAACTCAGCAGCTGACACCTGCCAATGCTAACTGCCTTCATTCTGCCCACTTGCCAATGCTAACTGCCCCTCAGTGAAGACCACCTCTTCTTCAGGGCTGCCGACGTTTGCAGCATGTGTTGTTGGCACATCCATTTGACAATTCTGGGCTGCGACAGTCTCTCATTTCTGACTTAACCTCTCACTCCTCTCTTCCATGGTCATTTAACTTTTTGCCTTCAGTGTTCAGTGAGTGGAGGCTTTGAAGGCTGGGACCAGGTTTTACAGCTTCTGGGGTCCCTCCAGGGCCTGTGCAGAGTGAGGGCCAATCAGTGTTTGCAGCTCTCGTTTGCTGTGGGCAGCAGGGGCTGGAGGCTGTAAAGCTGCTCACATGGAGGGAGGGCAAAGGCTCGGGGGTATGGAAGACATATTTCCAGCCAGGAAATCTGGAACCCTCGGGATGGAGCCCATCCCGGAATAGAAGACACATGGATTAAAAGTCTGACCTCAGATGGAAATTTCTCGTCCCCAGCCTGTGACTCTCTTTTCAGTTCCTAATGGAAGCCTCTACAACCTGGCTTGCTTCCACACAGCTTGTCCCAGCCCTGCAAACTCTGCCCAGCTGGCGTTCAAGCCCAAAGACAGTGGTGTGCTGGTAAATGTTTAACAACGGGCTCTCTGGGAGAAAAGACTGACTTGTATCCTGATTGGTAGCATTTGCCAATTTTTTGTGGTACTCATCATCTCATCATGGCTGATCCTAAGCTACTCAAGTGAACCTACTGAACACAGAGTTGGGAAGAGATGCAGAGGAGCAGCTTTCTTGGAGAGGTGGGAGCTGGCTCTAGCACATCACTGCCCGGTGACCTCTTAGTGCCACCCCCTTCTGATGTCCTCACAGTACTTATCCCCTTTCCTGGCCTTCTTAGGCTGCGAGGATCTCCTGGTTCTCCTTCTCACCATCTGCCCTTTGCTTCTCCATGAATCACTCCACCACCTGCCCTGCAGAGCAGCATTCTCAGTCCTGACTATGTGTTTGGCTCCCATAGGGAGCATTTAAAGCTGCCCATATTGGCTAAACGCGGTGGCTCGTGCCTGGAATTCCAGTACTTTGGGAGGCCAAGGTGGGAGGATCGCTTAAGCCTGGAGACCAACTGGAGTCCCAAGACCTTGTCTTTATAAAAATTTTTAAAAAGCTGGGTGTGGTGATGAGCCTGGGCATTTGAGGCTGCAGTGAACTAAGATAAAGCCACTGCACTCCAGCCTGGGCAACGGAGTGAGACTCTGTTGCTAAATAAATAAATAAAACTCCTGACTCCCAGGTCTTACCTCAGAGCAGTTAGATCAGGATCTCGGGGTGTGGCATCAGGCAGCAGAAGTTTTTGAGGCTCTCCAGGTAATTCCAATGTGCAGCTAACTATGAGAACTGCTGATTTTAAAAATTCCAATGCTGGTTCTTTCTTCCCATCCCAGACAAATCAGATTCCCCAGGAATGGTCCTTGGTTCACTGTATGACTTCAGAGCTCTCCAGATGAAGCCATGTGTAGCCACCATTGAGGCTCACTATCTCTGAGGCCCCGGGCCCTGTCCTCAGCCCTTTCCTAAGCGCTCGCCATTCTCCCCAGGTGGCCTCATCTCCCTTAATGTCCTCCTATAATGTCTCCGATAATGTCCTCATCTCCCATAATGTGTAATGTCCTAGAGATTTGTCTTTTCAAATCTCCATGTCCAGCCCTGTTCTCTCGCCTGAATTCTTCCTGCCTTGCCATATCCACCTGGGACACCCCAGACGCCTCAACTCAACACATTCACCACCTAACTCAGCCTCTTGTCCATTCCTTGTACCTCTTCCTTTCTCACCACTTGCCCTGGCTTACCCCTGGAGAAGTCTGGAGTTCATGGCTCTTTCCATTCCTACTCCAGCTACCCCAGCAGCTCTAGCCTGGGCTTTTTGGAAGTCATCTTCTGGACTCCAGCTCCCTGCACTACTAGCGACCTTACTAAATCACTCCTCCCCACAACCACATGCCTTGGCTTCCCTTGGCCTGCAGGGAATACACATGTGGGACTCCACAGTGTCTCTCTTGCCTCCTGGCTTCATGTTGATCACATCCCAGCCTCACTGAACTGCTCAGTGCTCCCTTACAAGGCCCGGCACCATCCTGCCTATCCCCTTTGTTCCCACTGTCCACTGGCCTTTCTCCCTTCTCCACCCATGGACACCCTCTTTATCCTGCAAATGCCCAGCTCAAGTGGCAGCTTGTATTAGTCTGTTTTCAAGCTGCTGATAAAGACATACCGAGGCTGGGTGATTTATAAAGAAAAAAGAGGCTTAATGGACTCACAGTTCCACGTGGCTGGGGAGGCTTCACAATCATGGTGGAAGGCGAAAGGCACATCTTACACGGCAGCAGACAAGAGAGAGAATAAGAGCCAAGTGAAAGGGGTTTCCCCTTATAAAACCATCAGAACTCTTGTGGACTTATTCACTATCATGAGAACAGTATGGGGGAAACTGCCCCATGATTCAATTATCTTCCACCAGGTCCTCCTGCAACACATGGGAATTATGGGAGCTACAATTCAAGATGAGATGTGGGTGGAGACATAGCCAAACCATATCATATCTCTTCCGTGAAGACTCCTTGACCCCATCCACAGAATTAATTACGCCCATGCTGGAGCCTTGCTCCTGTTGTGCACGGTCTATTATGGGCCAGTCCTCTTTGGATGATCTCAGTCAGCCCTCTAGTTCTGTTTCTGCCTCTCTTCTCTATGCTCTGTGGAGGTAGGGACCTTTTTTGATCATCTTTATAATCTCCCAGTGTTTAATTGATCAGTTAGCAGATAAGGGATGCCTGCTACATGTTGTGATAAGAGTAGATTTAAATTTAATTAATTAATAATTGTTTATGTCTTTTTTTTTTTTTTTTGAGACAGGGTCTCACTCTGCCACCCAGGCTGGAGTGCAGTGGTGTGATCATAGCTCACTGCAGCTTCGACCACCCAGGCTCAAGTGATCCTCCCACCTCGGCCTCCCAAAGTGCTGGGATTATAGGTGTGAGCCACTGTGCCCAGCCTAATGAATAAACTAATCAGCAGGTATGATGGGTTGAGCTTTGTCCTCTAAACATTCAAGCGTTGGAGCCCTAACCCTCAGTATCTTAACATGTGACCTTTTTCAGATACAGTGTCTTTTCAGAGGTAATCAAGTTAAAATGAGGTCCTTAGAGTGAATCCTAAATGTATGTGCTGGTGCCCTTATAAAAAAGGAGAAAGGTGGACCTAGACACAGAGGGAGAACATCATGTGAAGACAATGGCAGAGATTGAGGTGATGCTTCTACAAGGCAACAAATGCCAAAGATTGCCCGCAAACCCCCAGAAGTGAGGGCAGAGGCAAGAAACAGGTTCTCCTTCTCAGCTTCAGAAGGAACCAACCCTGCTGACATCTTGATCTCAGACCTCTGATGAAGTCTGTGGTACCAATGTCCCCATTTTGTATATTTGAAAACTGAGGCTCAGAGAGGTTTGGATGACGTTAGTAAATGGTAGAGCTGGATTTCAGTGCAGGCCAGCCTGGTGCCAAGGCCTGTGCTCCTGATCAGCACGTAAAGCTCGTCCCCTCTCCCTCCAAGGTCACTGAGCCCCACCAGGGTCCAGGCACTAAAGATACTGAGAGAAGCAAAATACAGCTCCTGTCTTCACTGAGCTGCTGGTTAAAAGGAAAACAGCCTCTGAGACCAGTGGCCACCATGTGAAGACTTCTGGCCTCCAGAACTTCGAGAGAATACATTTCTGTTATTGAAGCAACTCAGTTTGTGGTACTTTATTATGGCAACCCTAGCAGATTCAGACAGCAGGTAAATAGTATGTCCTAGAACTTTGATTCAAAACTGAGTTCAAAATCATTTTTACTCTACAAATGTTTATTGCATCCTTACTATTGGCAAGGCAATGTTGTGGGCCTGGGAGGCAGAGCAGTAAACAAAAGGGCCAAGGCCTCTTCTGTCCTATGGCTTCTTTTACAGGGGGAAGACAGGCAATAAAAACACAAACAAGGACAGAGCTAATGATGACAGTTGCAAGGGCTCCTGGGACATGGCCCCTTCTTTCTCTTCTCTTTCTCTTATTTGGGCCATGAAAACTCATTGATAAATGTTCCATCTCTGAGTTTTGCTTGTGTGGGGTCCTTAAGAACAAAATGAGATACTTTTTTTTTTTTTTTTTTTTTGAGACAGGGTTTTGCTCTGTCACACAGGCTGGAGTGCAGTGGTGCGATCATGACTCACAGCAGCCTCTATCTCCCAGGCTTAAGCAATGCTCCTACCTCAGCCTCCAGAGTAGCTGGGACTACAGACACATGCCACTATGCTTGGCTAATTTTAATTTTTGTTTATTTTGTAGAGATGGGGTCTCACTATGTTGCCTAGGCTGATCTCAAACTCCTGGCTTCAAGTGATCTTCCTGCTTCAGCCTCCCAAAGTGCTGGGATTATAGGCCTGAGCCACTGTGCCCAGACAAAATAGAAATTTTTAATAATCAAAGTGCCTTTTGTTTTCTTCTTCCCACTCCCGTGGTTAAAAAAAATGGCTAACAAAACAAATGAAACAAATTTTTTTTTTCTTTTTGAGACAGGGTCTTGCTCTGTCACCCAGGCTGGAGTACAGTGGTGCGATCTTGGCTCACTGCAACCTCTACCTTCTGAGTTGAAGTGATTCTCCTGCCTCGGCCTCCCCAGTAGTTGGGATTACAGGCACCACCCACCATGCTCAGCTAATTTTTTGTATTTTTAGTAGAGACGGGGTTTCACCATGTTGGCCAGGCTGGTCTCAAACTCCTGACCTCAAGTGATCTGCTCGCCTCAGCCTCCCAAAGTGTTGGGAATACAGGTGTAAGCCACCACACCTGGCTTCTTTTTATTCTTTATTTAAAAAAAAAAAAAAAAACACTCAAACTACTCACGTGGGGCTGTGCTCTGCAGGATGGGTGATGAGGGTGACTGTCCCAGTGTCAGCATGTTGTTATGGGCTCGCTGTTTCATGTGGAAATGGACTAATAGCCCTGCAGAGCTCAGCCAATATGGGAGCGGGCATGTCACTTAGGCTGGCTGGAGCATGAAGCCAAAATCTTCCCACAGTGCCGGGGAGCCCTTCCCGAAGACAAGCTTTAACCATGGCCCAGCTGCCTAAGGAGGCAGGGCAGGCAGGGTGTGAGCCTCTGGATAATTTCTTTTCTGGGTGAAGAATCACAAAGACTGTAATTTGAGAATCTATAGAATCGTAACACCTCATTTAGCCAGTGCCATTAGGGAGTGAGGAGTTCCACATAAGTGAGTTTTCCAGATAATTGAACTTCAGTCCCTTAAGAGCCAAAGCTTAAAAGAAATTAACCAGTTTGACAGAAGGCTTTCTAAAGTATGTTCCTCTGCTTTCAGACCCTGGGTACCCAGAAGAGGTTTGGCCCCTTCCCAGCAACTATGATGGGACCCTCAACATCTGCTTCTGGGTTGGATGGGTCACAGTTTCTTCTAGGGTGGTGGTTCTCAGCCCACCTTAGCTGCGTGTTCAAATCTTTTGAAGAACTTTAAAAAAAAAGTCCGGATGCCCCTGCCAACCTTAGGTCATTTCGTTTAGAATCTCCAGAAGGCAGAACCAGGTATAGGTATTTATGAAAGCTTCCCAGATGATTCCAATATGTAGACATATCTGAGAACTGCTGCTCTAGGGTGCATTGAGTTTCCCCCAGTAATAAAAAGTAACATCGTCTCAGCAACCATCGTGCAAGTGACTGCTCCTGAGTCAGATCCTCGGCTGGTGGCCCACCTGCCTCATCTTCAATTCCTGCCACTATCTGGTGGTTTTAACCCTGCTTTTCAGATGGGAAAGCTGAGCTTCAGAGTGGCAGGAACTTGCCCACTTCACTTAGCTAGACAGCAGCAGAGTCACGGTGTCCAGCCCGTTTCATCCCAATGTCCTCCTAGGTAGGACAGCCCTAGCTGGCTCTCTGTTTGGAGCATTCTTCTCCAACTTGCTTTGGTTTTCCTGTTCCCTTCTTCACAGTTGGCTTCCAGCAGCACCTTCCCCTTGTTGCCTACATACCTTTCTCTAACCCTGCCATGCCATTCTGGCATCTGCCCAGCCTGTTCTAGCATCAATTTCTTCATCTGTGAAATGGGGATGGCACCACCCACTGCGCAAGGCTTAAACAGGGCATGTAAAACACCTAGCCCAAGTGATCACCCTGGAGGTGGTGGCTTGTCCTCCCAGATCAAATCCTCCTCCAAACCCATGAGGAACTCTCTAAGTCAACCCCACCTCCGCCTGCTGCTCCTCTACCTCTGATTTGAATCTGCCTGGCACTGGGAATCTGGGTCACTCATCTTGCTGGGACTATGTGCAAACTAAGAGTAAATAGGCTCCAAGTAAAGGCCTGAAAGATGGCCCTTTCTGTGAGAAATGCATGTGAGCCTAGTGCATCATCTTTGGCAATTTGTCTTCACTGCATAGGACCCACGAGATGGCTGTGTAAATAAATCAGCTCACTTCTCAGCCTTTTGTATGCTCCTTGAGGGATCCTGAGGCACCGGGCACGCTGACGGAGCTTCATCATTATTTGCTGGCTGTCTATTTTGGAGATCGCCCCTGGTTGGTCACCCCATGATGTATAAGGAGGATGCAGTCCCCTCTAAAGTCAGCTCCTGCTGCTGCTCTGTCCTTACCTCCCCCATCTCTTCCCTCTCTGGCCAAATGCGGCTTCTCAGGAGCCTCTGAACTGGTCCCGAACATCCTCACCTTGATGCTTTTGTGTCAGCTTCCCCCATGCTCCCTCCTCTGTAAGCCCTGCCCTGCTTCCTTTCAGCAAACACTTCTTAAGAGCTTTTGTAGACAAGGAAGGTCAGTGGACCAAGCTCTGAGAGGGAAAGACAAGCCTTACCAGGACCCTTTCCTCAAAGAGCTTCTACCACAGTCCTGGCCTTTGGGTAAGGAGTCCAGTCTGTTCCATTATAGCATCGATTTCTTCATCTGTGAAATGGGGATGGGACCACCCACCTCATGAGGCTTAAAGTAAAGAGGGTGTGTAAAATACCTGGCCCAAATGATCACCCAGGACGTGGAGGCTCATCCTCCTAGAGACCAGACCAAACCCTCCTAGAAACCCACGGAGATCTCTATCAAGTCAACCCTGCCTCCCCTTCTGACTTCCTCTACCTCTGCTGTTGGGCTAAGACAGCTCCTATGAGATCAGTGAGGCTCAAATAAATGTCATTCCTCCCTGCCCAGCTCTTGGCAGGACGAGAAGTTTACATACTCCCTGGGTGGAGAGGTGGGGGTGGGTGCCAGAGCAGAGGAGGGGCTGGAAGAAGCACTGAGTTCCAGTATTTCTGTAGCTAGGTCTTCAGGAGATGACTCTTCACACCAGCCTTTGGTCCCAGCTCTCTGTGCCCTGGGCTCACCTGGACATACCTCTGCATGCCTTCGTCTGCTCTTCCCAGCCAGAGGTGGACTCTGTGAGAGGGAGCTCCCTCTTCCACCTCCAGTGGCTCCTGTAGGCCCAGCCCAAGAGCAGAGGGCCACTGTGTTCCCCCACTAGAGTCTGATTCTTTCGCCCACATTACCTCCAGCCTCTCTGAATACAGGCCTTGAGAGACCTGAGCATGTATGGGCTTCCGAATGCAAACAAGGAGTGAAGTATTTCAAAACCTGGTATTTCACCAGAAACGGCCCTTCAGAGGGGCCCAAAATACACAGCTCGGTGTTTGCACTTCAAAGAGTGGGAGGCCCAGTCAAGGCTCCAGGCAGCCAGGTCTTCCCTGTGTCAACAAGGGGAAGGAAAGCAGCTTGGCCCTGTCTGGGGCATCCTGAGAAAGGGGTTTTCCGACTGCAGCTGGAGAAGAAGGCAGGGCAGGGAAGGGCTGCCAATCCCCGGGGTGCTTCCTGCAGACGGCGTGGAGACCCAGGGGCTTTCTTGTGAGCTCACAGAGGAACCTTTTGGGGAATTCCCCAATGATAATGACAATAGTTCCCGGTTACTGCCTGTGATATGCTAAGCTCTTTCCATGGTTTTTCCCATTCATCCTGATGAGGCCGGCAGTACCAATCTTCCCATTTTGTAGATTTGAAAACTGAGGCTCAGAGAGGTTTGGATGACATGTAGGTTAATGGCAGAACTGGATTTCAGTGCAGGCCAGCCTGCTGCCAAGGCCTGTGCTCCTGATCAGCATGTAAAGCTCATCCCCTCTCCCTCTAAGGTCACTGAGCCCCATCAGGGTCTAGGCGCTGAAGATACTGAGAGAAACAAAGTACAACCCCTGTCTTCACTGAGCTGCCAGTTAAAAGGAGAACAGCCTCGGAGACCAGTGGCCACCATGTGAAAGTGAAAGTGCTTTGTCAGAGGCTTTCTGCACAGTCGTGGGAGTGGGAAAAGGAAGCACTTGCCTCTTCAGGGGCCCTATGGAAGAGGGGGCCAGCAAGCTAAATCTGGAGAGAAGAGATAGCATTTGCCAGGTGGGCAGAAGGGACAGCACCTGTGGCCAGCCAGACCCTGCAAGCTGTGTTTGTTGTGGTCACTGAGTGGGCCTGAGTGCCGCAAAGTGAACCACTCACTCTGAGGTCTAGGTGGGGCTGTGGAACTTGGAGGATTTTAAGGAGCAGGGAGAATGAGCTAGGCACTCTCAAAGGCTCAGGTAGATGTGGAGGGGGCATGGAGCAGACACAGATTAGCCTGTCCTGACCTCTCTTAGCACATCAGACCCCAAGAGGACCCCGGTGACAATTTCTCAAGACCTCATGACAGCAGTGTGGGTAATGATGACACAGTGGTGGTGTCTCAAATGCACCCAAAACTTATCAGTGTCACTGTTTTTGACAGATCCATCCTTAGCCCAGGCCCAAGATGCAGGCATTTTCACTCCCATGGGACCCACGAGAAGAGTGGAGTGGTTCCACATCAGGAGAATGGGACGCTTTGCGGTGTGAGCCGGGGGAGGCCCTTTTGCTTCCCTCTATGGAGCTCAATTTTTTCAGCAGAAAATGAAGTGGACAGGATGATCCCTGAATTCTGGCTTGAACAAAAGCTCCCGCGTGGCGCTGAAGGTGGAGGTGGTTCGGCTCAAGGAATCTACCCTGTGAGCATGAGGAGTTGAGACAAGCCTGGGCTAGGAGAAGGACACCAGCCCATGACCCAGGCTAAGCTCTGTCATGGGCAGGATGTATAACCACCACAAGTCATTTCACTGCTATAAAATAGAGATAATAATCCCTCTCCTGTTCACTTATGGGCTTACTGTGAACATCAAATGAAATAACAAGCACAGAAGTGTTTAAATTGTAAGGTATGGTGTCAAGTTGAATCATCTTCTGGTTCTTGAACCACAGGGACCATTTAACCCAATTTCCTCATATTCCAGAAGAGGAAACAGAAGTTCAGAGTGGCTGTGACTCGTCCAGTGTTCTCTGTGGCAGAACTGAGACCAGCTCCTAGATGCGATCTCTTCTCTTTAACCACCGCTGTGGCTGCTATGATTCAGAGACCTGACAACATTTTGTCATAGAAAAAAATTCAACCACCTCCCCGCCGCCACCCCCCACCCTGCTGACCCTTGGCATGGAGTATCTCTCTGCCTTCAAAAGAAAAGAAGAAACAAATTCCAAACCCCAAACCCCACTAACTGCAGAGCAGCTGCTTCTCAGGGAAAGCGGCCACCCGGAATGTAACGCGGCAGAAACCGGTCTCACTGCCTGCCACCAAGCAAACGTGGCCTGTTCTGATGGCTCAGTGGCCAATGTCTTCCTGTCACCAAGCTCCTCCAAATCGCGGGGGAGATTGTTTTGACATTTGATTAGCCACAGAGTGTAACTTGTGAGTGCTTGAGCAAGCCGACTCTCAAGCAATGGCATCGCTGAGTGCTTTAGCCTGTTAGAGATACCATGTATCAGGGAAAGCGATGGCGGGCAGGGCTCCAAGAGGGAAGATAAGTGGGCTGTTGGGAGAAATTAATACGAAGAAAGGAAGCGGCGAATGAAGTCAAACGAAAACAGGGTCCTGTGATATCCATGACTCATAAATTTCATTGATACCCAGAATGTGAGTTCCCTGCTCTCCCTCGAGTTAGTAAACTGCTTGTCCTCAGGGTGACCCTGCGGGAAGATTCAGGGGCAGGAAGGAGGTGGGAGGAACAGGCTGGAAAGCCCGCATAACTTTTAGGTGGAGCTTGCACAAAATGCTTTCTCTCCTGCAGGGAAGAGCCTATGAAGATGGCCCTGAGAACAGATGAGTGCCTGCCTAGGGCGTGATTCAAGGGGGAAGAGGTCACCAAAGGAAGGCAGGAAGGTGATAATTGTGGGGGTGGGAATGGAGATTGGAGGGACCCAAGACAGAAGTCACAACTGAATCCTTATTTCTTTTTTTTTTTTTTTGAGATGGAGTCTCTCTCTGTCTCCCAGGCTGGAGTGCAGTGACGCGATCTCGGCTCACTGCAAGCTCTGCCTCCAGGGTTCACGCCATTCTCCTGCCTCAGCGTCTCCGAGTAGCTGGGATTACAGGCGCCTGCCACTACGCCCGGCTAATTTTTTGTGTTTCTAGTAGAGACGAGGTTTCACCGTGTTAGCCAGGATGGTCTCAATCTCCTGATCTCGTGATCCGCCCACCTTGGCCTCCCAAAGTGCTGGGATCACAAGCATGAGCCACCGCGCCCGGCCTGAATCCTTATTTCTTAGCAAGGTTGTTCAGGCCACCCTACTCCAAACTATTTATTGCCATGAGTCCCTTCATTATCTTTAACCACCATAAACCCCCTAATGTGAAAGACTGAGTCTGCCAAATGAATTAGGTTTTGCCGACAGCTCAGACCGTGGAGTTCCGTAAGCCTGCGGTGAGAGCTAAGTCTAATCTATGGGGGGTTCTCAGTAGGATGTTTGACATGTTGGAAACCACTTGGGGACCCCTCTGCTTTCTGCTGGACTCAACTTAGGCTGGCAGCTGTTGATCCTGTGCTGTCACCTCCACCCCTCCCGCCGGTGCCCATGCCTCGGGAGCCATGATGGAGAGAGGTCAGCAGGAAGGGGAGTGAAGTAGTGGGAAAGGCCTGGCCTGGGAAGCTGGGGAGGGGTGTGGTCCCAGAACATAAGGAGGGGGAAGACTAGGAGAGGTGTCATATCAGGGGACTTCCTGGAGCTGTGGATTTGCTAATGCTGCCCTCTCTTCACTCTAAGGCCCTGTCTGTGACATCAAGTGACCTCCCTATATTAGACTCTTGTGTGCAGAAAAGGCTATACCTTTGTAGCCAAGGAAAACCCATTTCAGTGGGCAGGAACCCACATCAGAGTCCGCAGGTAAGCACCCCTAGTAAGGCTAAATGAGGAATAGATTGGAAGATCCAAGAGATCTGGAAAAGGGGGCCTTTTATGAACCTTAGACGCAGGAACTGCCATTGCCCAAACCCAGCTCCAAACCCAGCTCAGCAGGATGGGGCCTCCCCATACTCCACCCCAAAGCCTGCAGTGGAAACCTCAGAACTGACCTTCCAGATTGACCAAGTTGGTAGTCTTAGCTCTAGATTGCACCTGAGGAAACTGAGGTACCTAGAAGTCAAGTAATTTGTTCAGCATTACATGCTGGACTCTACGTCCAGCTTTGTCTGATTCCAAGCCAGGGCTTGCAATGCTGCACCATGTACTGTGTGGAGGTTTTAGTGCACTTCAGAGTTTCTATAGCTATCTTCCCAACTATCCTGTGAGCACGTAGAAGGCAGAAGCAAAGTTTTCTTTACTATTTGCATGGCTTCATTTTAACACATTTACTGGGGGCTCACTTCATGTCGGGCATTGCGCGAGGTGGGAATAGCTACATGATATCATATTTGGGGCGTATGTTCAAGAATTTCAAGATGGTGACAGCAGAGCATGAAACCAAGTGCAGGGTCTTTCTGAGAGCAGCTCCCGAAGCCAGTCCAGTCATCAGAAGAGCAGAGAGAAGAGCACAAAACCAGACACAACTGCAGTGTCCTCTGAGAACGGGGACAGCTGTAGGCGCAGGGCTAAGGGAGCTCAGAGGAGAGCACTAAGCCCAACAAGCACTTGACTCGATGGCGATACTACACATTTGCAGCTTCTCAGCGGGTGCTGAGGAAAGCACCTCGGTGCACGTGACCTCACAGTGACATAATGAGGCAGACATTATTTATGTAACAAGAAAACAGCATAGATCCTATACTACCTACCAGATACTTCCCTCTTCCCCAAGCGTTTGTAACTATTAACCACTTTGCTCTTAATCTTTTGATGTAGTTGCTTTGTTATCCCCATTTTACAGAAAAAGAAGCTGAGGTTCAGAGACATTAAGTGACTTGGCAAAGTCGAAGCTTCAACCTCAGATTAGTCTGTTTCTGGGTCTAGAAGTTTTTCTACCAGAGCAGCACTTCCATGCAAGTAACCTCGGTGAATCAGCTTTAGAAAACATATGATACGCAGACATTGTGTGAAGGCCTCTGGGGTCCCCTCCTTGCTGGGATGAGATGACAGGTCCACAAGGGGGCCAGGGGCAGCTGGTGCCCAGGGAGGGGCTGCACAGTGAGCCCCAGGGCCTGCAGCTTAGAGAATCCTTTGTCTGAGGATCAGCATGTGTAGGGGTGGGACTGGTTAAAACAAACGATTGCACCTTTCCTCCTTTTAAAGGGGAAAACATTGGGAAATGAAATTAGAATAAAACGAAGGGGAGAAAAACATCCATTGTCCCAGTATCCAAATACTACCGCTGTTAATATGTTGAAATATTCCCTGCCAGTCTTGAGGGATGTGGGGAAAGTGTGCCTTCTTATATTTTGGGGGAAATGCAAAGTGGTATAACTTTTACTGGAAGCAATCTGGCAACATCTATTAAAATAAAAAAAGTATATACTCTTCAACTCAGCAGTCTAACTCCTGGGAATCTAGCCCACAGAAATAAAAGCTCCGTTAGGTAAAAATGTAAGTACAAAGATGTTTATTGCAGCGTTATTTGAGTGGCGTTCATGCATGTGCACACACACAGGGAACACAGTGAATGCCCATCCCAGAGAAAGGCTGAATAAATGAGGGTACATAAAACATGGACTATTATATAGCCATTAAAAAGAATGAATTAGCACTATACTATTTGACTGGGGGTAGGGAGGTACATTAGTCTATTTTGTGTTGCTATAAAGGAGTACCTGAGACTGGTTAATTTACAAAGAAAAGAGGTTTACCTTGGCTCACAGTTCTGCAGACTGTTCAGGAAGCATAGAGCTGGCATCTGCTTCATGCAAGGACCTTCACACAAAGAAGCTTATACTAATGGTGGAAGGTGAAAGGCACATCACATGGTAAAAGAGGGAGCAAGAGAGAGAGGAGGAGGTGCCAGGCTCCTTTAAGCAACCAGATCTCATGTGAACTCATAGAGTGAGAACTCACTCATCACCATGAGGACAGCACCAAGCCATTCATGAGGAATCTGCCTCCATGACCCAGACACCTCCCACTAGGCCCCCTTACAACACTGGGAGCCACATTTCAACATGAGATTTGGAGGGGACACAAACCATATGAGGAGATATGTTGAAAGGGAAAAGATAGATGCAGAAAAAGGTGTGTAACATGATTCACTTTTTATAAAACAATAACAGAAATGACCTGCCTTTGCGTTTGTATGCATATACATGTATGTTGACACAGGTCTGTACAGGATTATACAAATCTGCATATAAACATGGAAAGACACATAATAAGCTGTTAACATGTGTTACCTGAGCAGGTATAGAGGGTATGGGGTGGGGTGTCACTTAATAACATGGGACAGGAAAAGAGGAGAGGGAATTCTCAGAACAAAAAGGAGGAAAACAAAGACTACTTATTTCCCACCAGTCTTTTTTCACTATATAATCTTCCTCCAGCCAACTCCCTAGCTATATAATCGGTGCTTCCCATGCAGAGCAGTTTGGTGGTAAAAACAGGGTCACAACCACACAGTACAGTAAACATCTACATCTAACTCCAGGCCCTACCAGATCTCCAGCCCTGCCCTTTTTTTGAGATGGGGTCTCACTCTATTGCCCAGGCTAGAGTGCAGTGGTGTGATATCGGTTCACTGCAACCTCAACCACCAGGGATCAAGTAATTCTCCTACCTCAGCCTCCCAAGTAGCTAGGACTACAGGTGCACACCGCCACACCTGGCTAATTCTTTCGTATGTTTTGTAGAGATGAAGTTTTGCCATGTTGCCCGGGCTTGTCTTGAACTCCTGGGCTCAAGCAATCTGCTCACCTTGGCCTCCCAAAGTGCTGGGATTACAGGAGTGAGCCACTGTGCCTGTCTCCAGCCCTGTTTTAAAAATTCAGTCCACCACTCTGGGAGTCTGCTCATCCAGTGATCAGGCACTGCTAGTCATTTTGTTCCTCTACTTCCAAAGCCTCCATTGCCTGCCAACCCAAACAAGTCTCCCTTGCACCCTGCTGCTGAACATGAGAGCACCATCTCCAGTTGTTCCCAAACATGAGGCGTGGCCTCTGAGATCTTGGAAACTGCTGGAGCTGTAGGAGCTCCACACATAGCTGCCTGATCTCTTCTTGGTCCCTCCTCCCCGGGCTGGTTAGGGTTTGGGGGCTGTGAGCAACAGAAAGCAAAATGGGCAAGCGCAACCAACATAAAAGGGAACTTGGTGGGAGAATTTGGGGGAGGTCACAAGATGGAGAGAAGGATAAAAACCGAGCTGTAAACTGACAGGAAGCGGTGGCTCAAGAGTCTCTCAGGAGCAGAAACTCTGTCCATCTCCCTAGCTGGTCATTCCTGGGGAACCGAACGAACGCCAGCCCTACCTTCTCCCTTGCTTCTGCTCAAGATTCAGGGTCCCAAGAGAATGTGTCATTGGTTATGTGTGTACCCCCTGGCTGAAGAAGGGCAGTGGGTGGAAGGTTCCAGCAAAAGGAGCCTTTGGGCCCCCCTCCATCCTTCCCAGTGAAACACAGACGTTTGCTTTCTATAAATTGAGACTGCATGCTGTGAGGGGAGCACTCTACACAAAGGAAACTGGGGGCTGCCGGGGGAGGGGAAAAGTCTCTGCGGTCTCAAAAAAGTCAAATCTCTACTTCTCACACCCTCCCCATTCAGAGTCTAAGGAGATGGGCAGGGTTGGTTTTTACTTGAGATTCTTCTGGTTGCAAGTGACAGAAACCAACTCAAGCAAGCATAATCAGAAAAGGGGGCTTTCTCTTAAGGAATCAGAGGAGCTTGAAGAACTCAAGCCTCGGCCAGGCGCAGTGGCTCTCGCCTGTAATCCCAGCACTTTGGGAGGCCAAGGGGGGCAGATCACCTGAGGTCAGGAGTTCGAGACCAGCCTGGCCAACACTGTGAAACCCGTCTCTACTAAAATACAAAAATTAGCCGGGTGTGGTGGCTGTTGCCTGTGATCCCAGCTACTCAGGAGGCTGAGGCAGGAGAATCGCCTGAACCCAGTAGGAGGAGGTTGCATTGAGCGGAGATCATGCCACTGCACTCCAGCCTGGGCGACGCAGCCAGACTCCATCTCAAAAAAAAAAAAAAAGAACTCAGGCCTTAGGAAGGGCCATTTGAGGACCAAGCTTCTCTCTGGCTTCTCTATTTAAAAATACATGGTCTCTAAATCTGCTCCTTCCCCCTCCCCCTGCACTTGTCTGAGCCCTTCTCTCTCTCCAGACTGACTGTCTGCCCTTCATGCCCAGAAAGTTGGAAATCTTCCAGCCCACAGCTCCTGCATTTACATTTTTCCCTAGCTAAAAAAGCAGTCCAGCTGTCTGGCTGTCTCTCGGCCTCAATTAGGAATCTCCCAAAGGGACAACTGGATTGGCTCTGCCTGGGTCAGGTTTTCATCCTTGCTCCAATCAGCTGTGGCCAGTGGGCGGGGTCACCTGGTGGAAATATGGCTGTCGGGAGCCTGGGGTTGGGGTAGGAAGGCCTCATCCAGGGCAATGGGAACCAAGGGAGAAAATGGAGGGAAAACTTTAATTCAAGTGCAGAGTCCAGCAAACCAGGAGCATTTTTGGAACCACAGAAAGTGAGAGGCAGAAACTCAGCGTCCTGTATGGAGTTAGGGGTCAGGGCAACGGATAGAAAAGTGAGAGAATCAGGTTGGGAGCAATAGGGAGCCATAGCTTCAGAAACTGCTTGAAATTACCGAGGTAGCAAGTCTTGCTGCTTGCTTTTAGTAGCTGCACTGGAACATGATATGGGACTGGGTTAATTTGGCTTTAAGACCCAGGCATGGAGCTGACAGTTGTGATTAAAATGGGGAAACAATTTTGAAAAATTAATTTTTACTTTTTCCAAAGTGATACATGGACATAGTTCTAAGAAATCAAAAAACACAAAAGAGGCTTCCGGTGCAAAGCGGCTGTCTCCCACCCCAGGGCTTCTCATTCTCTCACCACTCCTGAGAGGAAACAATTTCAACTCCCTTAGGCATTGCTTCTATTATTTATCTTCATATACTTCTAAATAATTTGCTATGCTGCTTTTCCCCCCATTATCTATTGACTTCATGTTCTGGTAATTGAGGATTTAGCTACTTTATAAGCTCTCTCCTCCATTTCTCCTTTGATTATCTTACTATGTTATATCATAGTTTGGGGCTGTGTTTACATTATTATGGCTGTGAAAATATTATTCCCCCATGACCCAAGTCAGGTACATTCCTCCATTTGTACATCACTTTGCTTTTTTGTTTGCTCAATTCTCTGTCCTCCAAAAGAAGTATCAAATGCCTATCAATATTGTTTTCCAAAAGTTTGAAACAACATGCTGGATAATATACAAATTTCACCTCCATGCCTTCCCACTTCACCCCTTATTTGGACCGGCTGCTCTCTGGTTATCTCTAAAATCCAGCCAGTTTCTTGGGTGAGATCCCCATTTTCCTGTATCCCATGTATTCCTATTTATTGGTTTCTTTTCTTGTTTGGCTGAAGCACATCCTATGGTAATTTCCTAAGGAAAGGTGCAAGGGAGGTCAATTTTTTTGCGTGTTTGAAATATACTTATTCCACCATCATACTTGATTTATGATCAGGCTCTGTGTTCAAAATAGGGTTCCTCTCTGCATTCATGTTTCCATTGTCTTCTATTTCTCAAGTTCTAGTTGAAGTCTGACACCATGTGGATGTGGTGGACATGGGGAGGGTACCCTGGGTCCCTAACTCCTCTGAATGTAGACTTTAAATTAACTGCAGTGCCTTCCACTCTGCACATCGCCATGGATTTTTGCAGACTTGGAGCATTCAAGCTCTGAATCTCTCAGGAATCCTTTAAGATAAATCAATGTGCTTCTCACTGGTCTGCCTTCCGCAAGTGCTGAAGTTTGTAACTTTCTCCACTGTGCTGAGTCATTACCACTCATCCCTCTGCTTCCCAGAGCCCAGGTATTTGTTGAAATCTCTTATCTCCTGATGTCACAAACCACTTTGGACTTGGCATTTCATATATGTCTCCCCATTTACTGTCAATTTAATAAAATGTTGCCAGTGAGAGAAGGTCAAGGTATATTTAATCCATCATATTTAACTGGATTGAAATTCTTATTTTTCCCTCATATATATAATATACAATATTTATATATTAATATATGTTGTATATTTATGTATTATTTATAATATATTATAAATATGTAATATATAATTATATACTTATAATATATAATATAATTACATATTTATAATATATAATAATATAATATAATTACATATATTTATATATTCATATATATGAATCTTACAAGCAGATTTCAGAGGGTGATTTCTCAGTCTGTTTTGTGCTGCTGTAACAGAATACCTGAGACTTGATAATTTGTAATCAACAGAAATTTACTTGGCTCACAGTACTGGAGGCTGAAAGTTCATATATATGTCCATATCCATATTATGGAAGTTTTACGGATTTCTTTTTAAATTGCTGTATAGTATTTTACAATCCATTAAGAAGATGTGGGATGGTTTACTTACCCAATCCCTTATTGATAGACATTTAATTTGCTTTAATTTTTCACATAATGAACACCTTTATGCATATGGCTCTTTCTGTATTTGGTATTGTTTTCTTGGGATATATTCCCGTATCCAAAGGTTGTGAACCTTTTAAACATATTTTGATAAATGTTGCCAAACTGCTTTCTAGAATGTGTGTACCCATTTTACCCGTAGGCAAGAGAAAGGAGTAGACTGTTGTAACTGCCTGGCCTGGTCTTCTGTGGCTGTATATATCTTGTTTAGCTTCAGGTCTCCTGCAGTTTGCCCCAGCACCAAGTTCTGGTGAATCTGTGTAAGTTGATAATGGCATCCATTCCTGCTGAGAAATGCCCACATTCTTATCTTGACCAGCTTAAAAAAAACAATGTGGATGAGGGAAGAAAGAAATGTGAATTCCTTTTTTCTCTTTCTTAGTCTTACTTCTGTGGGTGGTAGGGGAAGTGCAGGGAAAAGAGAAATAATTTTTTAAAAGTTATTTGAAAAAGCATGAGGTGAAACCAGTCTGGAAGGTCAGTAACTGTAAACAGGATAATTTTACTACTTCGCCTCCTCACTTCAGGAACAAAGGTGTCTGAATATACCAGTAACGTCACTGTTATGATTTGAATGTGTTCCCCAAAGTTTGTGTGTTGAAAACTTCATCCCCAGTGCAACAGTACTGAGAGCTAAGACCTTTAAGAGGTGATTAGGTCATAAGGACTATGCCCTCATGAATAGATAGTGTCATTATTGTGGGAGTATAAAGTGTCATTATCGTGGGAGTTTGTTATAACATTAAGTCTGGCCTTCTCTAGTGCATGCTGTCACCATGTGATGCCCTCCATCATGTTATGATGCAGCAAGAAGACCCTCACCAGATGCAGTCCCTTAATCTTGGACTTCTAGCCTCCAGCACTGTGAGCCAAATACATTTCTGTTGATTGTAAATTACCGAGTACTCTGTCGTAGCAGCACAGAACGGACTGAGATAGTCGCCTTCTGAAATCAGCTTGTAAGATTCGTAGACCTTCAGTGCTGGAAAACCTGGTGAGGTCATTCATTCAGGGCCCCATTTTACAGATGAGGAGACGGAGCCTAGAGAGACTCAGTCCACAGCCACAGAGCAAGCCAGTGGCAAGGCCTTAAAGAGAGCCCAAAGCTCTTGGTGCTACACAGACTAAGATACTTCCCTCTGAATCAGGCCTGCCTGAATCATGCCTGGCATTTGTCAGCATCTTGTTCATGATAAACACGATCTCAGTGGTGGCACAAGGTGCACTGTGGGCCTTTCCCCAGCACAGTGCTCTGGAGGAACTGCAGCAGTAGCAGCTGAATCAATATCACACTTTGCAGGGAGTCTGTTGGCAGCTGGTCATGCAGTGAATTGTGGTTCTTGGCGTTTGTGGCTGTCAGAGCCTTTCCTGTGGGGAGGGTGGCCTTCCTGTGTGGAAGGCAGGCTCCTGTGAGGCCGGCTAGGCTTTACAGCTCAAAGGGTAGGTCTCAGGGCCCCCAGAGAGACTGGTAGCTCTCTGAGGTTGCTGTGCACAGCCCTAACTGTCCACTGGGCTCCTCCACTTACAAAATCTCACTTTGGGTCAGCTGCAGTGTCTCACACCTATAGTCCCAGCATTTTGGGAGGCTGAGGCGGGAGGATCACTTGGGCCCAGGAGATAGAGACCAGCCTGGGCAACACAAGGAGACTCCCATCTCTACAAAAAAATTTAAAAAATTAGCCAGGTGTGGTTGCATGTGCCTGTAGTCCCAGCTACTTGGGAGGCTAAGGCAGGAGGAAGATGAGGCTTCAGTGAGCTATAATACAGCCACTGCACTCCAGCCTGGGCAACAGAGTGAGATTCAGTCTCTAAATAAATAAATAAATAAACCAACCAACCAACCAACCAACCACCAAAAAAAAACAACAACAACAAAAAAAACACTTCACTTTGACCCTTACATTTAGTCCTTCCAGACTTTTAACTGAGTCTGACCAAGTGTTTCTGGTGCCAACAGGTTTGAATCTATTCAGGGGAACAGGGGACCAACCTGTGAAAGCAGGACCCGTGGTGGTTGTCCTTTATTCCCTACGGTCTGGGGGCTTCTCGTGGGCCTGCTGTCCCTCCACATCAAGCCTGAAGCCAAGAGGCTCCAGTGTCTACTGCCAGGAGCCATCTCAGCTCCACTACTGGTCCAAGTACCCGATGTGAGCACATCAACATCCCCAGCCCCAGGTGCCTCATCAGTAAAATGGAAGATGTTAGATGGAACATATGAAATTGCTAGTAGTCAACCATTTTTGACCTACAACAGCAACACAGTTCATATGGCTCAATCTACTACTAGCACCTACCTTATGGCATTTTTAAGATTAAACTAGGAACATTCATATCCAATGCTTAGCACACATGTGAAATGTAGGAACCACCACCGTCTGTGCTTATTTTCTAGACTCAGGACTTGGGCAAAAAACAACAAGTGAGCTAACAGGAACTGAGCGTCTACTATCTGCTGGTACTATACATGCCATATTGTTTCATCTTCTCAACAGTTCCAGGGAGGGTTGGCATGGTTAACACCATCTTATAGATGAGGAAACCGAGGCACATGGAGGTTAAATAAATTGCCCCAAATCACACGGCTAGTTGACAGCTGGGCTGTGATTGAAATCCAGATGTTTCTAACTCTGGAGGCTGTGTGCTTTCCTGAAGCACTCTGTCACTTTCTGAGTTCCAGTGTTGGGCACTTAATAGTCTTTCCCCAAATTTTGAATTTGGAAAATATAAAAGAGGATTTTGAATTACCACTAATGAATTAACAAGCTTCATGCATGTATTATTTTATTTGAGCTCATAAAATGTTGTGACTCCTCATACCACTCCATGAAAGAGGAACTCTTGCTTCCATTTTACAGGTGAGAAGCTGAGGCTCAGGAAGGCTATGGGACTTGCCTGAAGCCACACAGCAGGAAGCAGAATAGCTGAGATCCACCTCCAAGTCTGCTGGACTCCAAAATCTGTGCTTTCTCTCTGCTAGGCAAGAACCGTGGCTTCCTTCCTCTTAGGGGAAGGGCTGCAACACAGCCAGGCCGCTGACTGAAATCTTCTCATCCCAGGGGATGCGGTGGCCACTCTCCCCATCCTCTCCGTCCTGTGTGCGATTCACCTGCCTATGACTGGGGCAAGGCCTAGATTTGTGGGAAAGGATCCCGGCGCTGGGATCATGATGAACGGCAACCTCCCTGCAGCAGCCCCCTCCCCCAACAACACACGCACATCAGAGCTCGGGGGGGAGGCAGAGGGCCCTCCTTGCTCAAAATAGCTCTGTGTTATTAGCTGCATTTAATTGAAGGTGTTTCGAGGGCAGCCTCCACCGGGCCCAAACCAAATGGAAAATGACACACTGTCAAATTAATGTCCCCAGACCATGATAAATGTCCGGGCTTGGTGAGTAATGCTTCCATTTCTTGTTTTAAAGGAGAAGGATGCAGCCAGGCTCCGCGCGTCTGTCCCTGTTGTGCGGGGAAAGGTCAGGGGCATCCTCGGGATAAATAGCATTCCTCGCTGGCCCGCCCACCCAGGCTGGGCTTCTCCGGCTTCTGCTGAGCTCTGCTTTCTCTCTCTTCCTGTCTCTTGAGGCTGGCAAGATTGCTGAACAGCTTGTGAGCCTCCCGGCCAATGTCCAGGGAGGAAGGAGCTGGAGATAAGACTAATCCTCACCATCCACCCGTACTTTATACCTTCCAGAGTGCAGTCACCTCGGTTATAGCGTGTGTTAGTTGGCATTCGAGGCCTGCTCCTGACCTCCAGCTGCACGCCTCACTGCCATGCCCTTGGTTCAGCCATACTGATTCCTCAAACCCGCCCTGCACACCCCAGCCTCTTGGACTATGTGGAACACAACTGCTAAAGCGCCTGCTCTGTGCCGGGCTCTGGGCTCTGGGCTCAGCCCCTGCCCTGGAGGACAGACAGCCCCTGAGAGCCGGAGCTGCCCTGGCATTCCCAGCCTGGCTGCGGTAATCTCTTATTGAACATAAACAATTTCCCAGAATATAAACATCAGACAAGGCCACAAGCAAGACGAAAACAAGACCACTCCGTAATTGTGTCTGAACACAGACAAAAACAAGAACACTGTCCAAACCACAAAGATCACCAAACACCCCCCTGTCCTGGCGAACATCAGGGACTACTGCTTCTTTACCAATTACAGCTTCAGCTGTGCTCTCTGCTTCCCTCCTTCTAGATAAGATCCCCAGACACAGAATTACTCCCCACCACTTTCTTCCTGATAGCACTCCCTCCAGAACCAAGCTCTGCTCCCTGGAGCACCTCACACTAGCCCAGATCCTGTAACTCATTTCCAGCACTCTCTCACTGAGCTGCCTCGCCATTCCCTGTGGCGCGTGTTCTCCCTGTTGCAATGGGTAATACACCCGCCTTTGTTCAAATATAGATGTGTTTCTGGCAGCTTGGGCTGGAAGGCACTGGCACCACCAATATGGCCACAGAGCTGGGCAAAATGATAGAAGAGCTAAACTGCCCCACAAATAATCTGTTTCAAGAACAAGGGGGGCAGACCATTCATTCTGAATGGGGTGGCTTTGTGGAGGAGGAGGCATGAGCCTGTCAAAGCAGGAGAAAGTGAGCAAATGAGGCCCAGGGAACAGGTGGCCGGGACCCTCCAGGTGACAGGACCCTGAGCAAAGGCCGCCAGGTGGGACAGGCATGGGCAATGTCGTGTTTCCACCCCCCTCTCATTGTCTCTTGAAGTGGGGGAGATACTGGTTGTCCTTCAAGGCTCACTGGGTGTGTCCTCCCCCAGGCTGCCTTGGAGTCCCATCGCTGCCCTGGGGCTCAGTTTCCCTGTTGATAAAATGAGAGGATTGGACTCTGTCAGTGCTTTTTATACTTTTCTTTTTAGAGGACAATCCTTTGTCCTCTATCTTTGATAGCTCTTCTATCGAAGGCGATCTTACCCAGAAGCCCAACATAGAAAAAGCATAAAAGATGTAAGTGATGCTGCGGTGGTTGAAGTGGAGGCTGGGGACGGAGTCTTCGGGTTTTGGGCAACTCTGAGGGGGCAGTGCTCCTGGAGACTCCTAGGGCTCCTCAGGGCCAGTTGGAAAGGCAGGCAAGGGGAGAGGGGTTGCAGTTTCCTCCAGCCCTCTAATTTGATCTCTCTTACTCTCCTGGAAGCTCCCCAAGGCCTGGAGTCACCTCATCAGCTGTCTAGCTCGGTGCCCTGCAGGCTGAGGAGGCTAAGTAGATGCTGCCTGAATCCATGTGGTCTTCACGTCAGTACTGATGGGTTCTTGCTCCCCCATTCTTCAGACATGGCTGGTGAGGACCCCAAGGAAGCCCAGGTTAGGAAAGGGCAGTGCCCCAAGTTGTGTGGACTGTGGATGGCCTGCCAGCTTCCCTGATCTCTCCCCTCCTTCCAGCACTTGTCCCACTGTGCAGGGATTAAAGGCTCAAGGCACCCTCTGTCCCTCTGTCTGTCTGTCTGCCCGCCCTGTGGGCCCAGGCTCCTTTCCTTCCCTACTGACAGCCTGAAACAATATTGAGGGCACACAATGGCTCTCCCAGCTCCATTATCGCCAACTGCCCTGCTGCTGAGAATGGACCATCAGTCCCTGATGATACATAGCAGAAAATTGGTTGTCAGGCCAATAAATGTATCCGATTGGATTTTTGACATCCGGGCAAACCCATTCGTAAGGCATTTGATTAAAGTGCTAAAAGGTAGTGCAGAGATAGCTGGGCAGAGCTGCCCTTGGTCTGGCCTAAATAGGGTGCTGTCTTCCCTCTGGGCGAGATGCCCCCTCCTCCCCTGTCTGCTCATTCTCCTCCTTTTCCATTTTCATCCTTCACTGCTCTGAAAGTGCCGCACTCAATCAGGGCTCCCAGTGGCAAGAAGGACAGCCGAGCCAAGCCGGAGAGGGATTGCCTTCCTTGGCTGCCTGTGTGGGAGGCTCGGGCTGGCCTCAGTCCCTGGCCCGGAGCCCTGCCTGCGCTGGCCCTTCCTCCCGAGCCGTCTGTGGGCATCAGTCACCAAGTCTCAGCCATTCCTCTTCCCGGGGCGCGGAGTGGAAAGAGCCCCCATCCGAAAGGCTGCTTCCAAGTCTCTGCCCAGCCTCTCCTGAGCTTGGTGACCCTGAGAGCGTTCCTATCCATGAGCCTGTTTACCCAGCTGTAAAGCGAGGATCATAAACACGGGTGCTTCCATACCTTGAATTGGAAATGATAGGGCTGATTAATTAGAGAACATGAGACATATGACTGGACTGCTATTGGTGATGACAGTCACAGTGGGTGATGACACATGCACCCTGTATGTGGGGAACATGCTGTTCGATTATTTTTAGCTTGCAGCCACAAAATGCAAGTTTGGCTATAAGGCATTTTAATTGTTGGATTACTATAGAGAAAATAAATTTACTGTGAGTCCATTTTTTTTTTCATTCTAGAATCTCTCCTTTTTCTATTGCAAATGTTTTTTTGTGTGATTTTTTTTTAACATGATGTTTCTTAGGAAGCCAGTCGTCCCATTTTAATGGTGGTTGAGAAGATTGGATGAGAGGTATCATGCCGAGTGTCTGGCACAGAGTGGATATTCACTAAGTCCTTTTTCCTTCTCTTCCTCTTACATCCTTTTCTCTCTAGCCCCAGAGCCACCACCCTTGTTTAAGCTCCCATTATCTTTCTCGAGATCTGGTCAACAGCCTCCCAACTAGCCTCTCTGCCCTGTTCTCTCCTGCTCCCCATTCTATCTGACACGTGGCCCCTGTATTGATCTTCCTGAAATCCAGCCCAGTATTGTCACTCACAAGCTGTAAGCCTAGGTGGGTGGTTTCTGGGCCCCTACACCACCAGCTTCCAGCCTCAATCCAAAGCTAATTTCTCTACACAAACCTCCTTCCAGGTGTCCCCCAAATACCCAGAATGCTTCCTTACCACACCACTGTCCTGTGCCCCCTGCCCTCCAGGCTGTGCTCTGTTACATCTCTTTGTGTGCACAATTTCTGTCTAGTCGGCTGCTCCCTGACTGCGGAGACAATGACCCCTGCCTTTCTTCCCTCCATGCTCTCCCTTTTAGAGCCAGGCCATGGTGCTCAGTAAATTAGCTGCTCAGCCCAGAGCTCATCCTCCAGTCGTCTGGAGCAGGAGGGCCCTATGTGTTCACTGGCATGTTTTCAAGACCCCAGATCTGAAGGCATGCTTGCCAAGGGCTCTGATAATGATATAAAGTGCTCCAAACTGGGACAGATGTGCTGAACCTGGGCTCTGGGGGCCTGTGCTTGGGCTGGGAAGAAAAGGTGGTACCCACCAGAGTGTGTTTGAGTTGTACTAGGAAGTTCCACCATATGTCCTTCTACTGTGCCTGGAATCCAACTCTTAGGCGCCCACCCTGTTCACCGTGCTGGGACCCCTCCGTGTCCTTTGGTGTGAGAGGGAGTAGTTTGATTGCCCCAAGTCCCCTCCAGGCTTGGTCATTCCAGTCGATGGAGTTGAATTAGCTGGCTAATTTGTCTCTGAGCTGGATGATGGCTGCTGGTGCCTCCCCAGAGCTGGAGGCGCCTCTGCAGAAAGGCTCCCTCCCTCCCCACTCCCTCCCAGAGTGTCTCTGCTCTCGGACTGGGCCGAGCAAGTGAGAAGCAGGCTGACCCTCACTTGGGACTTCCCACCCAGCTGAGCTGAGCTGCCAGAAGACTCTGACTCCAAGAGCCACTGAGTGTGGAGCCCTGGCCCTGGGCTCCCCAAGATTCTGCTCTAGGGTGTTGAATGGCGGGCCCCAAAAACATATGCCCATGTCCTAATTCCCAGCACGGGAATATTATCTTACTTGGAAAAATAGTCTTTGCAGATGTGATTAAGTTAAGGATCTTGAAGAGATCATCCTGGATTATCCAGGTGGGCCCTAAATCCAGTGACAAGTATCCTTATAAGGGACACACAGAGGGAGATTTGAGAGAGATGGGAGAGGAGGCAGTGGGACTGTGGAGGCAGAGATTGGAGCGATGCAGCCCCAAGTCAAGGGATGCCCAGAGCCTCTAGAAGCTGGAAGAGTCATGGAAATGGATTCTCCCCTAGAGTCCCTGGAGGGAATGTGGTCCTGTCAGCACCTTGAGTTTGGACTTCTGGCCTCCAGACTTATGAACTATAAATTTCTGTTGTTTTAAGGCACCCAGTTTGTGGAACCTGTTAAAGTGGCTATAGGAAGCTGATGCATCTGCCTCCAGCAGCTGCTTCCCTCTGCACCCTCTCCACGGCAGCCGCCATCTTCGCCAGCTGAGCTGAAGGGTTGTTGGCCTCTCAGGGTCAGGGCTCCTGTTCCCCCCACCCAGCAGCCTTCTAGGGGAGCTTGGGTGAGAGTGCCTTCCTCCAGGCAGCGCCCCCCTTGCTGAAGCAGCCTCTCCACTCCCCCCCAGCCCCCCACCTGCAGATGCTGCAGACCTCTGACCATTTTTCCTGTGGTTCCAATGCAGGCTGCTTTGTCATTGGTGTCCCTTATCTACCACCTTACGGAGCTAAGTGGAAGCTTGAGGGACCCCCTGACCACCCCTGTCTCATGCCTCAGATGGAAATGGGGCCCAGAGAGATGAAGGGCCCCAGCCCCCTCAGCCAAGGCCCCACAGAGAGTCTGAGGGACAGGACCCTGCTTATGGCACCAAGAAGTCCCACTTCCTCCTGCTACACCGCACGTCCTACCCCGGCCCCCACAGGGCCTCCCACTGACCGTGGCTCCTCATGAAATGCTTGATTTCTGTGCATTCCAGAAGGCATTTCTCTTTCCTATGCATGAGTTTCTTAACCTCTCCTTGGGCTCTAAGCTGGCCCAGAGTCTCTGGCTTCCTGTGAGGTCAAGTACACAGGTGCTCAGGGGACACCCTGTGCCCTGTGACTGTGTCCTGGACTGCCCTGGCTCAGGGCCAAGGGCTTCTATGTAAAACTGGGAGCAGATGGGGATCAGGGAGGATGCAGTCTCTTCATTCTGTCTTTGTCACCGTGCAACACACAGGAAGTTCCAGTCCCTCTCTGGACTTCGACTTTCTCATCTGCAAAATGGACAGAGGTTAAATGAATTACCTGCTCAGGGTCTACCACAATCTGTAAGATAAAGGCAAAGATATTGAACCAGAGTGGGGGTCTCTAAGATCCCCTGAGGACCCTCAGCATTACTGCAACTAGGAGGCATTTGATAAGAACAAGCTAGTGAATGAAGGAAGAAAAAGTGTAAATAGCTAAAGCAAATATAATAGGGGCCCTAAACCAAATAATCTCAAAGCTCTGGGCAAAGGAGAGTTAATCTCTCCAACCCTTGTTTTCCTTATCTGCAAAATAGAGATAATAAATATTTACCACCAGGGCCGTCTTGAGGACTAAGTAGAAGAATAGAGGGAAAGCTCAGAGCCCAGAGGTTGGAGTATATTAAGTGCCCCCAGGGTAAGGGGGCTGTCCTGCTCATCACCTCATGACTTGTCTGTGGGAGATTAACAGAACCTAGTGCCTGGTATACAGAAGATGCTTAATAAATGCCCATTGCCTACAGTGAGAGTCATGTGCCAGGGCTGACTCACTCAGAAGTCTGCATGACTCAGTGGAAGGTCAGGCCTGAAGGTCATGGGGTGAATAAAGGAGGAGATGCAGCCAGTCCAGAGCCCCATGAGGTCCTCATCCAGACACTGGGAAGAGGGTGTATTTCTAAGAGCCACCATGAAGTCGAAAGAGGGCAAGGTTTGTCCTCAGACTGACCTGGGTTCAAGTTGTAGCTTTGCCATTCACAAGCTGTGTGATCTCGGGCAAGTTACTTAGCTTCTCTGAGTGTCAGTTTTCCCCTCTGTAAAATGAGGGTGGATAATGCCCACCTCTCAGGATTCCTGGGAAGATTATATGAGGGTTTGTGTGCACTTCCTTGCCCTTCTCTGCTTCTCTGCTCACAAAATTGAGAATAAGGGGCCATTGGCACGTTGTACCGGGAAGACTCCCTGGAGGAGACTCTGCCTTGGCTCTGAGGAGGCCAGGGGAGGCAGAGTGCTGGACTGCAAAGCTCCTTCTCACGAGGGCATCTCTGTGTCACTGTGCAGTGGGACAGACGGCTACCCCATCAGGCTGCCTCTAAAAATAACCTCCCCTCTTGCTGACAGCACTGGCGCTTGCTCAGGGCTTCCTCTTGGCAGTGCCCCTGCCCTGGCCCGGTTCTGTTTATGGCTCTGCGTGGGGTTTCTGTAGAGCAGCTCCAGCAGAACCAGAGACCTGGGAAAAGGGGGCAGTGCTTCTCGGAGGAGGGAGGGTATAGGCTGAGGACGAACTGGACCAAGCCCAAGGGTCCCCTGCTAATGCAATCTGAATCTCACACCTGGTATCACGGGGGCTTGAAGGAAGAGGCTCCTTGGTGGCAGGGTGGTCCATAGGGCCTGCCAGCAACCTCTGAGCCTGCAGGCTCCTCCTTCCTGGCATGGCCATCCAGCCAAGGAAAAGCCCTCCTGAGCGACGCAGCGAGGCAGGTGGGGGGCGGAGAGGTGGCCACGCGCTGTCCTTGGGCATTCGCAAGTGCTTTCCTATCCATGATCTTACCTGGCCTTGACACCTCCCCAGTCACCTGGGACAGGGGGACTGTGCCTTGAAACGTCTTGCTAATCCTCTGCCGGGCAAGGTGTCTGGCACACAGTAGGTGTTCAGGGAACACAAACTGAATGAATGGATGAAAGCAGGCTTCGTGCCTGCACAGAGCTCATTCTAATGTGTGTCCAAATTCTTACTGGCCTTGGGGCTTTTAGGAAAGTGACTTCCCCTCTCCGAGTCTCATCTTCTTCATTTAAAAGACGGGCATAGTCCAGGTCTCCACTTCTGAATGAACCCCTCTGCACCCCTGCCTCCAGTAATTCCCATGTGGGAGGCTGCAAGGAGGAAAAATAGGCAGAGTGATCCCTGTGGAGCACCAGGCTCCATGCGGGCTTGTCCCAAAGACTAGCTAGCCCCTCTCCTGGCCTACCCTGCCTGGCTACAGGGCTCATTAGCTTCATTTTGAGGATTAGGAACCAAAGCTCTGGGCACCAAGTGACTTGCTCAGGGTCACACAGACAGTAGTGGGGAGCTAAAATATTGAGCCCTGAGTCTCCTGACCCCAATGCTATACCTGTTTTATTTCTGGGTGAGGAAGAGGAATGTTGAGAAAGAGAGAGAGAGTGTGTGTGTGTGTGTGTGAGAGAGAGAGAAAGAGAGAGAGGGACAGAGAGAGAGAGAGAGAGAGAGTGTGAGTGTGTGAGAGTGTGTGTGTGTGTGTGTGTGTGTGTGTGTGTGGTGGTGGTGATGGTGGGAGAGAGGGCGTGAATAAGAGAAGAGGGAGGATGAAAGACCAAGTAGGCTGGAAGAATGACCGAGACCCAGGCCCTGATTGGTTTCAGATGCCTTTGGGGAGGGTGGGTTGAGAGATGGATCAGCCCTGCTGGGGTTGGGTTGGGCTGAAAGCCACAACCAGAAGCAACGCAGCTCTGGATGGGTCAGGCCTTCTCTCTGGAGAGTGGGATCTCACACTTGCCCCCCAAGCTTTAGTTTTCTCTACACCCCACAGAGCAGGGTGCTTAAGAGCACTGGCTTGGGGGTCAAATGGATCCGGATTTAAAACCTTGTGTAGCCACCTACTAACTGGGGGAAAATCACTTAGCCCCTTGGGGCATCATTGCACCTTCTGAGGTTTGGTCAACACTATGAGGGTGGGGGACTCCTGAGAACTCTCTCACGGGGTTGATGTGAACCATGGGAAGTGAGGCTACACATGGACGGCATTTAGCACAGTGGGGACATGTCATGAGGATTATCAGTGATAGGTATCATGCGATTATTGCGGGGACAATATGAGACATGAATGTGAACATCAGGGCACAGCGCCTAGCACCCGGTAGTGCTCAATTTATTAATTCTATTGAGGACCATAGCCTCAGCCACATGTGGAGCTGACAGGGGTCCTTCTCTTCCTGGAGTGGGCTTCCAGGCAGCTGCCCGGAGGACAATAGGCTGTGAGTGAACCATGCAGGTTCATTCTCAGCACCCCCACCACCCCAGTCCTGCCAGCTCTGAGGTACAGCACTCCTCTATATGCTGGATTCGGAGCACTTGATGGGAGCACTGGAAACATCTAAGGAGGAAAAGGAAAAAGTGAAGCTGGTAATCAGCTGCTGAGGATGCTGGGAAAGTCTCTCCTCAGCTCCTCTCGGGGCTCAGGTTGCTGAGGAACCAGCCCCGGAGGTCAGGCCTGGCTCAATCTCTCCTTTCATTAATGCAGTTTCCACTGGCTGTTTCCACACTGGAGTTTTCATGCCAGGTTCTCTGCTTCCTCTGGGAGATAACAGGCAGTGTGGGAGAAATGGCTGTGGCTCTGGATTCAAATCGCAGCCCTGACACCTACTAAATGTATCTTCTTGGGCAAGTCACCTAGCCTCTTGGAGCCCTGGTTTTCTCATTTGTGACAAGGCATCCCTGGTGGCATTGTTGTGTCAATTAAAGCAGAGTGTTTACATTGTACCAGGCCCACACTGAGGGTTCAGCAAGTCTTAGGTTTTGTTTCCCCTGCCTGGTTCTTAGCCTCACTGAAAAAGGAAAAAGAGAGGCTTATCCTCACAGAGATTGAAGGAGAGTGGGTGCTGGGCGACCAAGAGCTAGGGACCCAGGAGAGAGAAAAATGCACACCCAAGAGATGGCAAAGGGGCCCCTTCTGATGACGAGCTAGGGGCTCTACTATCCTACTGGGGTCTGGCCCACCCTCGTTACTATGGGTTTCTGGTTGCAGGAGACCTTAGAGGGGCTGATCCTGCCCCCATCTTCCCCACCCACACACCAAGGAAGGCTGGTTGTGGATAACTGAAATCCCAGAGTCTGCTTCTGCCATGCTCTTGAGGCTGAGGAATGGGCTCAGACAGGTGGGATCCCTGTTACTACATCAGCACTAAGACAAAGGGACAAGCTCTGGACCAAGAATTAGGAGGCTGGCTCAGGGCTAGTTATTTTTCTGGGTCTTGGATTCCCCATCTGGGAAACATGGAACCAACAGTATCTATCTGCTTGGACTACCATGCAAGTCTGCACATGATCTAACTCCAAAGGAGTTGGTCACCCAGATGTTCCTTTTGGGGCTCCTGGGGGCTTCCGGTGCGCTCTTGCACTCGCGCGCTCTCTCTCTCTGTCTCTCTCCCTGAGGTGAAGACATAAGAGGCAGCAGATGGCCAGGACCTTTGCTGTGGTCCCAGGAGCCCTCACTGGGTAAATAACACTGACTCCCAGTAAGCCTGGAAATTTCCATTCTTTAGGGAGAACATTAGTGAGCATAGTGCCAGCCACTATTTTAGTCACTTTTAACCCAGGCTGCCTGGCTCCAAAGACCACACTCTCTTGCCCACTACATGGTATTGCCTCTTGTGAAGCACACACATAATATTCAGTATGTGGCTCTGGAGTGGGACTGTGTATCAGTTAGCTATTGCTGTATAACAAGTAAGTCTAAAAACTAAGTGGTTTATTTTTCACAATTCTATAGGTTGTCTGGGCAGTGCCTCTGCTGCTTTCTGCTGGGCTCATTCGCTCAGCTGCATTCAGCAGGAGGGTGGGCTGGAAGGGCTGCTGGACTGGGGAATCCACCGTGGCTTGATGCACATGTTTGATGCTGGAGTGCCTCAGTTCTCCTCCAAGTGTCCTCTCACCCTCCAATAAGATAGACAAGCAGCCTTGGGGCAGCATCCCAAGGGCAAGAGCAGAAGCTGTCAGGCCTTTGGGGCCCAGGCTGCTGAACTTGCTGGTACCTTTCCATCACATCCTGTTAGTCATGGTGAGTCCAGATTGACTGGACGAGGGAAACAGATCCCACCTCTTGATGGAAGGAACCTCAAAGACATTGTGGACATATTTAATTTGCCACAAGATGCCTGGGTTTAACTCTCAGTTTGGACACTTGCTAGTTGTAAACTTGAGCTTTTCACTTAACCTGTCTGAACCTCAATCTCCTTCTCTGCAAAATGGGGACAATCCTAATCCCCCTTGTCAAGTTTTATGACGACTAAGTGAGAAAAGGGCATGAAGTGCTTTGCCCAGTACCTGAGACATAAGCGCCCATTGTGATTATATTAATAGACCCTGCTCTTACTCGTCCATGACCTCAGGGCAGAAAAGGACTTTGAGGAATTCAGAGAGGCCTGGTGCCCTGGCCAGCTGACAGCAGAGCCTGACAATTAGCTAGGTCTCCCGACTCCCCGTCCAGTGTTCTTTCTGCCACACAAGCTGCCACTCTTAGACTGAGCACAAAAGACAAATCTTCCAGTCTGGGGATGGCAGATCGATTTTCTCACCCTTGCTGGCTGTGATTGATTGGTGGTGCTGCCCTGAGTTCTGCAGTGAGAAAAGCTGTGAGGTCTGGCCCCAGCTCAGTGGGAAGGAGGGCCAGGATCGATCGGTGATGTTTGCCCTGGGTGCAGTCGCGGGGCGGGGGCACACACGCAGTTTGCTTGCCATTCCTGCTCTGGTCTTAGCTCTGACCTCACCCCTGTGGCTGTACTAGGTGCTGGGTGAACAACGTGCTCCAGGCCTTTCATGTCACAGAAGAGGACGCAAGGTCCGGACTGGTCAGGAGATTGGCCTCATGGTCACACAGCAGGATGTTTCCTGGTCAGTGACTTTCCCATGTTTCCATTCTTCCCAGATCCCTGGGGAGTCTGGACAAGTGTGTGTCTGGCTCCTGTGGCCTGAGTTTCCAATTCCCAACTAAGAAAGGTAGAGATTCCAGGGCTTTCTGCTCTGGCTCAGGCCTCAGGCAGGGGGTCCTTAAAGCACCAGCATGGGGAAAAAGGCTTCTCGGCTCTTTGTTTGGATTCAGACAGGGCATTTTCAAGTTTCTTGAGATCACAGTGGAGGCCAGCCAATTCTATTTTCACTCGAGGCTCAATCATCTCTTTCCCTGGTCTTCTGCACACACGGGCTGGCGTGAACTCAGATGCGGCAGGCCCACAATTAGGAGAGAGGGAGGAGTAGTTACTCAGGCGCTCAGGGCCAGCAGGTTTGGAGCACCCTTTCCGAGGCAAAGACATGACACAAATCTTCCCACTGCCCAGCCAATTCCTCCTCGTGTATCTGCCTGGGGTGACACTCAGACAAGGTCTGCACTCAGGCCCAGCCATTAAGGAATTCATTAATCAGAATCCTGTTTACAGCTCTCTGGCAAGCGATCATAATTTACTGGCTCAAGCCAGACCCTGGGCCTTCCTGCAAACTGCTGTGACATTTGGTAAAAATATCAGCTGGGGACTGGGCCAGGCCGGGAGGTGTGTATGCAATTCATGCTGACTTGTGAAACAGAGGTGCTGTGTGGGTCACAGGCACTAGGGAAGGCTGGAGGACAGGCTGTCACTGGTTCCAGGTGTCACCTTGGACAAGTCACTTCCCTGTCATCTCACATCTGTATTGCAAGAGGTTTGGAGTAAGTCAGATGGCAAGTCTGTCAGCCCACAGACTCGCCCCTTGTGCTCTGCACAGGATCCACTAGCATGGGTTTTTTTTTTTTTTTTTAAATAAAACAATAGAAAATGGAATCCCTTGCCAACATTTACAAACTGCAAATTTCACTTGAAAATCTAGATTTCTGGTACATGGGGAGTGTACTCCTATCTGGCAATGAGAGCCTGAAGCTGAGTATTTCCCGACATCTCCAGATGGGTCTGTGGTCTCAGGTTTGCCAAGGTTAGCAACGATCCCTGCTACAAGGCATGGGCCCAGGGCCTCCATGTACGGCCGTGCAGGTTGCACACTATTGTGGAGCCAAAAGGGGGCTGAATCCCTACAATCTGCTGGCATGCCGTGGGCACTCGTGGCGTTTACATCTCCAGAGGAAGGGGTCTTTTTTATAATTCTCACAATGGCCTTGTTTGGGCCAGCCATGGTCCTGCCTGGGCCCACAGTTCTGTAGTTTGCATTCCACAGAGGGCCAGGGTGGGGCTTCCCTAGCGCCACAGGCAGGGACACTGGCAGGCCATGGGCTGGGAGGCCTTGGGGAAATCTCTACTCTTCTCTGGGCCATAGTTTCCTCACTTAAAAAACAAGGGCATGCGCTAGCTGATCTCAGGGGCAATTCTAGCTGTAGAATATAATTCACCGGAGGGGAAGAGGTCATGGCCGGGGCACACGAGTGGGGAGCTGGGCTGTGTGGCTCCGCTCTGGGGAGAAGGCTCCAAAGCCTAACAGGAGCCAGCAATAGGGGCACAGCACAGACTGGGCACAGCCCTCCTGCCCCCAGCCTCATCTTTCAGTGCTCTTCAAGGCAAACTCTGGCCATCGGTGCTGGAAAAATTTATAATCTGGCCTTTTCCAGAAAAAGTTTATTGACCCCTGCCCTAGACCCACCAGTGCCCATGAAATTGGAGTTCGGATCAACTCAGCCCATTTTTCATATTTTACAAATGAAGGAAATGAGGCACAGAGAAGTTAAGCAACTTGTCCAAGGTCACACAGCTAGTGAGAGACAGAGTTAGCATCTGAATCTAGTGAGTCTGACTCTGGAAAAGCACTTTTCCAAAGTAGTGAGATTTCAAAGAACAAACCAATGCCCAGAGCACAGGCTAGAAAATGGACAATGTACGGCCCCTGTATTGGGCATTTTATTCCAAGGCACTTTCCTCCCTGGAATATATATTTTAGTTGATCATCAGAAGAGGGTTTATACAGGAGAGGGTATGTGTAATTAATGCTTTTTGTTTTTGAAGCTTTGAAGTGGGGCCATGAGATAGTCTAGTCTATGAGGCTCATTTGGAAAGTGGCTATTTGCACATGGCAGCCAGGGAGAGAAGGGTTCACTAAGTGACTGTCTAGGGCAGGGGGAATATTTAACCTATTTAGGAGAATGAATGGGATACAAGCACTCCTGAACCTATGTTTGTAGTTGATCCACAGTGTAGGTCCTTATAGAATATTGTTTGTTTCATGTTGATTGATGAATGGGTTTTATTTCCTCTATAAAAAAAAAATAAAAGAAAAGCATTCCTTGTAACAGGTCCTAAGGAATACCACTTAGGCGAACTTACTTAAAATCTGATACACCTCATAATGTTAAATATTTCATGTAAAATACACTTGTTACACAACACCATGTAGCCATTTACTATTAACCAATTTTTTCAGAATACTTTTATTATTTAGGTAAAATAGGTTGATATAATGGATTGCTATCAGGATGTCTTATGTGCAATATATTTTATTGCTCCTCATACATGCTAGTGCTCCTTCACCTTGAACACTATGGAAACATGTTTGAGAAAAGGAAACGCATGGAAAGTTAATATCACTACACCGAGTTAACATTTAAAATCAGAACCAGGCCAGGCACGGTGGCTTATGCCTGTAATCCCAACACTTTGGGAGGCCGAGGTGGGTGGATCACCTGAGGTCAGGAGTTCGAGACCAGCCTGGCCAACATAGTGAAACCTCGTCTCTCCTAAAAATACAAAAATTAGCTAGGTGTGGTGGTGGGCGCTTGTAATCCCAGCTACTTGGGAGGCTGAGGCAAGAGAATCTCTTGAACCTGGGAGGCAGAGGTTGCAATGAGCTGAGACCACGCCATTGCACTCCCGTCTGGGCAACAAGAGCAAAACTTTGTCTTAAAAAAAAAAAAATCAGAACCATATACCCAAGTAGATGCTACACCTCTTCCTGGAAGTCACTCTTTAAGATTCTGATGTCTAAAGGCAAGCCCCTAAAGGCAGCACCAACAAGCAAAACCTAGCACCGCTCAGGACCATCGTTCCAGTTTACTTGCCGAACCAAACAGGTTTATGTCATTGACAATATACTTCATTACTACCAAATCACAAATTGAATGCCAATCAAGGCATAGATTTGAAATATGAAAACAAACTTGTAACTTGATAAGTCATCTTTGGGCATTTTGGAATCTTCTGGAAAATGATTTCCTGCACAATGGTTTGTTCTCCAGCTTATACAGAAGTTACTCATACATTATCTCATAGTCCATACTCTATTGGAGTGTGATGGATGTTACCATCCCCACTGGACGGCCAAAGAAACTGAGGCCCAGAGAGTCCAATGGCTTCACCCAGCAGAGCGGTCTTCACCAGCTCATCTGCGGGTTGGGTCTGTGCTCTTTGAATGTGCCAACTCTTTGGTTGAAAATAACACAATCGTACTTCTTTTCATTTTGTCCCCAGTTGTCATTAATTCCGAGGGCTTCTTCCAACAAATCCAGAGGAATGAGTCTTGAAAATACAGCCCACAGGCTATACTTTTTAGAGGCCAGGCCCTGGCAGGCAACATGCGAGTGTTGGAAGAGCCCCTCTGAAGGGAGGCAATGGCAGAAGGGACGAGGAAAGGTGTGTGGTTTGGGAGCCAGAGTGAGTCCTGTCCAAATCCTAGCTCTGACACTGGCCCACCTGGTAACCTTGGGTGAGTCACTGAGTTTCTTTGGTGCCTCAGAAGGTTGAAATGGCAAAATCAGCATAAGGCTCCTGGCCACTCAGGGCTGGTCCTTATCATTGTGTATCCTGGTTTGTTTACTACTCTGCCCCGAGATCAGACTCACACAGCAAGTCTATACCCAGTTCTTCACTTAATGACTGGAATTTGTTCTTGAAAACTGCTGCTAAATGAAAATCTATTAAATGAAAAACTCATTCCATACATTTTAATAGGGAAAAATGATTCCTTCCATCCCCATGGCCTGTTTTAAGGCGGCCTCATGGGCAAACTCTCCAAGGATATGGTCTGGGAATTTATGTGTCTGCAAAGCTCCACAGGTGATTCTAATGCATGCCCAGGCCTGAGAACTCTCCTGACTCCTTTCTTTTTCTTTTTTTTTTTTTTAATTAGAGATGGGATCTCCCTGTGTTATCCAGGCTGGTCTGGAACTCCTGGGCTCAAGTGATCCTCCCGCCTCGGCCTCCCAAGTTGCTGGGATTACAGGCATGAGGCACCATGTCCACCCAACCCCTTCCTTTTCCCTTTGAAGAGCCCAAGATTCCCTCACACCGGCCCCAAGATCTGAAATGTGGTAGGGGTTTTACACCAAATAGTGCTTTACAATCATACCCATTAGCTTCCTAAACCCCATTTTACAGATGGAGAAAATATTTTACAGACTGGAGGCTGGCTCAAGGCCACCCAGACAAAATGGCAGTGCTCTGGGCTGAATCACAGGTGGGTCCATTCTGAGGTCTGTGCTCTCTGACCTGTGTGTGTGAGGAAGATGGCTTTGCTAACCCAGGCCTCCCTGATATTAGACCTGATGGTCTCAGATCATCATCTGCCAAGGATTGAAGGTTCGAGTGTGCCTGGCCTCTGCTGCAGCTCGCACGTACACAGCTGAGGGGCCCCAGCACTTTTACACAGGGTCCTGGCTCATGGTTTCCTCAGAGATTTCCCAGTGAATAAATCCCAGGCCCTCTTGGTGTAAACAGGAAAAGATGACTAGCCGGGGCATTTGGTGGGTGCTGCCTGGCCCTTGGACACCTCATACATCAAAGCGGGTGCCCCGGGAGCTCTGGCATGGAGAGGGGGTTGATTCAGGGCAGCCAGGTAGAATTGAGCTCTTCCCAACACCTGTGTCCCCTCCCCAGCCAGCTGGGCTTCTGTTTGGAGGCCGGGGCAATGAGTGCTTTCCATACCGTCTGGGAGACAGTGTGTTCCTGTTGTGATGGGGCTGTGTGTGTCAAGAGGTGAGAGATACTCCTGCCGCCAGAGAGTTTGCAGCCTCCCTGGAGAGACCAGACACGCACTGTAAAAGGGAGTGAAAGAGGTGCATGTGCATGACTGTGTGTGTGTGCGTGTGTGTGTGTGCACCTGCACAGAAAGTGCACCTATGGTCTGTGAGCTAGGAGAAAGGCTAGGGAGGAGGAGGAAAGGCATGGAGAGAAGGGGAGAAAAGAGGAAGAAAAGGGAGGGCAGGAGAAGGAAGAGAAGAGGGAGGAGTGGGAGAGAGGCGAGGAGAAGAAGGAGAGGAAAGTGCAGGGAGCTGGAGCCAGAGGCCTCAGGGGCTTCATTTTCCAGCTGACCACCACCCCCTTGGTTGGATGCAGGATCAAGACTATTCCTTCAGGCCTGGGGTTCCAGGTGCACTGCCTGGAGGGTACAGCAAGTAGTAATATACAAGAGGAAGGGAGGGTCTGTGTGGTGGCTCCCACCTGTAATTCCAGCACTTCGGGAGTCTGAAGCTGGAGGATCACTTGAGCCCCGGAGTCTGAGCCCAGGAGTTCGAGACCAGCCACAGTGAGACCCTAGTATGGTGACCTACACTTGTGGTCCCAGCTACTTAGGAGGCTGAGGCAGGAGAATCACTTGGGCCCAGGAGGCAGAGGCTGCAGTGAGCTATGATTGTGCCACTGCACTTCAGCCTGGGTGACAGAGCGAGACCCTGTCCTCCCCAGCCCCCCCTAAAAAAAAAGAAAAGAAAAAAAAAGAAAAAAGTGAGGTGGGCCAGTTGCAAAATTGGAGTGGACCGAGGCTGACTAGAGAGTCTTGTCCAAAGGTCTCAGCCTCCGGAAGCTCCAGCTTATTGTTGCCATGTGGAACAAGAACTCCGTGTTGCCAGATTTTCCAATTTTCTAATCCAGAAGCTGAATTCCTGTAAAAATTTCCAATTTTTAAAGCCTCACTTGGACCAAACAACACACATTTGTGGGCCGGATTCTGCCTGCTCAGCATCTGACCTGGTCTCTTGGCTTAGAAAAGAGCACGGCTTTGGGGTCAGATGAACTGTGTGTGTATCTTATCTGCCACTTTCTGCCTGCAGGGCCCCAGACAAGTTATTTAATCTCGGAGCCTCTGTTTTCTTATCTGCAAGATGTGGATAAGAATGGCTCTCTCCAAGGGTTGTGGTGGGATTAAAGATAACACGTGCAAGAGTCCCCTACAGGGAACTAGCAACTAGCACGTAGTAAGTCATCGACAAACAGGTCTGTCTGTCTTCAGCTTGCTCTTCTCAGGCAATACTTCTTAGAAAGGCCCCCTTGAACATCTTTCCTCTGGAAACAATCTCCCTTGGTTTACAGTGAAGAGATAGACAGTCTATTCATTTGAATCTGGGACTGTCTGGATGGTAGTTTACTGGCTGATGTGTTTGAGAAGGCTTTCTTCCCAAAGCGGAGGGCACAAGTAACCAGACGTGTGCAGGCAGGCATAACCCTCTCTACCCATTCCACCTTCCCCCTCTGTAAGAGACTGAAGCTCAGAGAAGGGAAGGAAGGCTTGCCCAAGGCCACCTAGCAACTGTCAGTGGCAGAGCTAAGAGGAGAATTCAGTTTCATGGCTCCCAGCCCATGGCTCTCTGCACCCCCTCTTTCAGCTGGGAATGAGTCTCCAGAACTTGGGAGGCCCTGGTTTTCTCGCAGAAGGTACTGTCAGGCTGCCTCTGGGTGAGCTGGAGCCTGAAGAAACTCAAGCCTGCAGATGTGGCAGGTGCTCCTGCAAGCTCTCTCAAGCCTTGGAGCCCTTGAGCCAGGGAGGAGAGCCTGGGAGCAGAGTCTGGCCTGGGCCATATCTGGGCCTGGGCTCCACCCTTCCCTGTTCTGGTCCTGACTGTGCATTGCTCCCCTACCTGGGCATATTCATTCCCTCGGCCTCCTTAGCCAAAGTGTGCACTTGCTCAGAAAGGGGGCCCTGTCTTGCCATCTCAGTACTTCCCATAACAAATCAAGCACTCAAGACCTAGTAGGTGTTCAGTGAAAGCTTGCTGAATGGAAAAAATGGAGGAAGAAGGACTGACTGCTTGTCTACCAAAGGAGCAAAAACAAATTGAGAACACCACCACCAAAAGCTGACAAGATAGTAGTGGTGAAACTGGTATACCCAACTCCTGCTGGTAGCATTTGGAATTATTACATCTTTTAAGAAAGCGCTTGCACCATAGATAGGATGCACTCTACAGATTCTCCTCCCCTTTGACCTAGTCATTCTACTTCTGGGAATATGCAAATGTTCTCTCCTTTCTTAAGTCATCATTTTTTCTCCCTACGGCTCTACCTATTATTTGAATAACCTTTTCCTCTTTCTTCCCTCCCAGAGATTTCTTGCCCAGAGACTTCTTGAAGTGCTTTTGCTGTCCTGGTCCAAACTGCTTTTAAGGGAACATTAACTCATGAGCAAGGCTGGCACTTTTAAGCCCATTAACATTAGACACACATGAGATGGCAGCCCCGAGTCTTGGAAGCCAGGCATGACAGCAGGGCTGGTTTTTCCTTCTGTTCCTGGGGCTGCCCTTGGGCTTACAGCGCAGTCAGCCATGTTTGCCTTTGGTGCTCTCCTGCCATCTCCTTCTAAGTCCTCTCTGCCTTTCCCCTTCAGAAATCTTGTCCATGTCTCAACAGATGAGAACCTTGAAGGCCTCCGCCCAGGAGGGCCCAAGATGTTTTCCCTCCTTAGGGAATTGGTCTAATAGGATGGATTTCTGGGGAGAGAAAGGGAGAGCATGCTGGGTAAGTATCAAGATGGGCGTAGGAGGCAGGTATAGCTGGAAGGACAAGAAGCACCTTTCCAAGTAGCTCCTTTAGGAGCAAAGACAAACTGAAACAGAGAAGTCCAGTGAAATAAGTACCCGATGTGAGATTCACAGAACAACTCAAAATATTTCTAGCCAGTATTATATTGTCACCCCAGATTCTCCTGTTGAATGGAGCACAGCTTCTGATCAGATTTGTGTCTTTGGGAGAAGAGCTTGCGAACAAATAAACAAACTTGTTTCTGAGAGCCAAAGGAGGGATTTCGTAAGACAAGAGTTCACAGTGAGTCTAGGGTCTCTCCCTTTCCATGCCAAGTGTATTGGCAAAGCCCCTGCTTTCTTTCTCCACACCAGCACAGTCAGATGCATTGGCATAGGGGCTACTGATCTTATTGCTTCTTACTTTTCCATGAAATGCTGTGTCCTGGAGTGCTATTCATCTTTTCAATGTACATCTAGTGTTGGCTTCCAGTTGCTAGAGTCTTCTGGAATATGCACTTACCATATTCTCCTTAACTTTTCTGCATGAGGAACATCTAGGCCACCTACACATCCCCATATCACAAACATCACCGCAATCCACCTCCTGGACATGGACCTTTATGTACCTCTTGTTCCCTACAAGGGAGAGCCAAATCTCTACCTCCCCTGAGAAATTTACCTGTGAACACATGGGTATTGGAGAGGTCCTCAGAGATGGTTTCATCCAACTGGTCAATTTTCCAGATGAGGACTGTGAGCATCCAAGAGGGGAAATAACTTGCCCCCAGTCACCCATACATTCAATTGGTAGCAGACCCTGACTACAACCTTGGTCTACCTCCTCCTCTTTCCTCCTCCCCAAGCTTAGAAAATTAGAGGCAGCAACCAGGTAACAAAGGATGTAGCCAGGTAGAGACACATAGATTCAGAGCAGGACAAAAGCTTGACTAGATGGTAGCAAGGGGGAACGAATGAAAGACTTTGAACCTCCAGGTTTATCTGTCTTATGAAAGATACAGGAGTCTGGCTGAAGCTGCCTGGTCACTGAAGGGGTGTGTACGTGTGTGTGTGAGAACTCTGTTTCATCCTGAAAAGATAATGATACCAGCAGTGATGTTGCCTCTACAGAGAGAGCAAACAAGCCTGGAGCAGACGCAGAGGGAAGACATTGAGGAACAGCCAAGTCAAGCCAGCTGTCCTCTCAGCAGCCAAGGTGGTTTCCGATCCATGTGCTGTGGCGTGCTCCTGAAGCCAGAATTGCCTGTGTGTGAGTGACAACTCAGGAGGGTCTCTCCTAGACACTTGTTAAGTCACCAGGGGGTTTCTAGTAAAAATAACACAAGCCGTAGAGAACTCTGGACTTGTCAAAGTGCCTTCTTATCCCTTATCACATGATTTCATTTCAGGCCTGGTGTAATCTTTTTTTTTTTTTTTTTTTTTGGAGACAGAGTCTCGCTCAGGCTGGAGTGCAGTGGCGCAATCTTGGCTCACTGCAACCTCCGCCTCCCCGGTTCAAGTGATTCTCCTGCCTCAGCCTCCCGAGTAGCACCTGCCACCATGCCTGGCTAATTTTGGTATTTTTAGTAGAGATGGGGTTTCGCCATGTAGGCCAGGCTGGTCTCAAACTCCTGACCTCGGGTGATCCTTCCACCTTGGCCTCCCAAAGTGCTGGGGTTACAGGTGTGAGCCACCATGCCCGGCTGTAATCTTAAATGCTTTAAATAAATAAATGACTGTGTTTATTGTTAAAAATCTAAAAAAATACAAACAGACATAAGAACAATAATTTTAAAATTTCATGATCCTTGAAGTATTTGTTTTGTCAAAATATTAGAAAATTTTATTGCTATTGTTATAAAATTTATTTTTTCACCAAATATTTTATTGTTTCCTTTCCTTTTTTTTTTTTTGAGACAGTGTCTCACTCCGTCACCCAGGCTGGAGTGCAGTGTCATGATCTCTGCTCAGTGCAGCCTCTGCCTCCCAGGTTCAAGTGATTCTCCTGCCTCAGCCTCCTGAGTAGCTGGAATTACAGGCAGGCACCACCGTGCCCTGCTAATTTTGTATTTTTAGTAGAGATGGGGTTTCACCATATTGGCTAGGCTGGTCTCGAACTCCTGACCTCAAGTGGTCCACCTGCCTCGGCCTCCTAAAGTGCTGGGATTACAGGCGTGAACCACCGTGCCCAGCCAGCCTTTCCTCTTTATATGTCTTTAAATATTCTTCACAAGCATTATTGTAAAAGACTATATAATATTCCATGTGTGACTATATCATAATTAATTAAACCATTCTCCTGCAGTGTCATGTTAATGGACATTTATGTGGTTTTTGAAATTTTGCTATTATAAATCTGTGACAAGCATTGTGTGACATATATATATCTTTGCCCCCAATTCTGACAATTTCCTTGGATTAGATTCCTAGAAGGAGACTTACTGTGTCAAAAGATTTTTTGGGGGCAGGGTTCTTAAAATGTAGCACCAAATTGCTTTCTAATGTAAGGTGCTGTTAGTTTATACCTGTGTCCACATAGAGTAATATTACTTTTTTGAAGTTTTTGCTAACTTAATAGTTTAAAAATGACTTAAAAATTATTTATGGCACATTTTTATTTGTTTGTGTTTTTGTGGTCATTAATTTGCATTTATCTTGTGAATTTTCCATGTATATTTTGTTGATTTTTCCATTGGCATTCTAGTTGTTTTCTTATCAATTTGACTGACTCTATATATTCAGATCAATCTTTCTTTTTATTACAAATGTTTTCAAGTTTGTAATGAGGCTTTTTAGTTTACTTTATTATGTTTATGAGAATTTGAAATATTTCAATTTTTCTTTGGTCAAAGGTATTAATTTTTCTTTATCTTTCTTACTTTCATGTCTTTTATCCTTCTAGAGCTTGTTTCACTGCATTTTAAGAGCCAATATTTATCTTTGCTTTCTTCTAGATTTTTATGGCTTTGCTTTTTATGTTTAGCTCTTTAATCCTCTGTAATTTATTTTGGAATCAAGTATGACGTGAAGATCTAAACTTATTTCATTTTCTAAATTGTTAACCAATTGCCTTATTACCAGTTAATCCATAATTTTTTTCTTTCCTTGCTGCTAGGAGCTGCCATTTTATTATCTGCTGACTCTACATATGTACCTAGCATGTTTATGTCCTAAGCTCTGCTGTTAGGCTAATTTTCTTTTTCCTCTTTCATTGACTTATCTAATAATTTTTGCGCTGCAGCCATACTGGTTTCTATAAGGATTATAACCTTGTATTATAATATTTTTTTGCAGGGACAGTCTCCTCTCATTTCACTTAATTCTCAAAATCTTCTTGGCTACCTTCATCTCTTCATTTTTTCCAGATGAAAATTAGAATAATTTAGAAATTTAGAATAACTTGATCAAGGCCTAGATTTCCATAGTTTAAAAAAATTGCATTACATTTATACATTAATCTGGGGAAGAATGAACATCATTATAATATTATAATATGTCTTATAATAGTTAGAAGTCTTATAATAATTATTATAAGAAGACTTATGGGCCGGGTGTGGTGGCTCATGTCTGTAATCCCAGCATTTTGGGAGGCTGAGGCAGGTGGATCACCTGAGGTCAGGAGTTCAAGACCAGCCTGGCCAACATGATGAAACCCCGTCTCTACTAAAAATACAAAAATTAGCCAAGTGTGGTGGCGCACACCTGTAATCCCAGCTACTTGGGAGGCTGAAGCAGGAGAATTGCTTGAACCTGGGAGGCAGAGGTTGCAATGAGCCAAGATCGCACCACTGCACTTCAGCCTGGGCGACAGAGTGAGACTGTGTCTCAAAAAAAAAAAAAAAAAAAAAAGAAGACTTATAATAGGCCTTCTCCTCTGAGAATATGTTGCATCACCCATTTATTTAAGTCTTCTTTATATCTCTGAAATGTTTTATTATTTGTCCATGTTGTCCTGCTCATTTACTATTAAGGTAATTCACATTTACAATATTTGTGGCTACTGTCAATGGTATCTTCTTTTCCAAATGTTATGCTCTTACTTGTTCTTGTTGGTACATGGAAAAAGTAATTTTAAAAAGTATACTGTACATATATATTTATTTTGCATTTAGTATTAGTAGAATTTGAGTATTATTATTCTAATAGGTTTTTTGGGTTTGTGTTTTGAGAAATTTTTTAGGTAGGCAAAAGTATGCTATCTGACAATTGTATCTCCTCCCTTCTGTTTGCTATCCCTCATATCTTCTCATGTCTAATTGTATTATATTTGCTGAGGCCCACAGAATAGTGTTACATAATGGGAGTATTTAAGTAATAATGGGAGTAATAATCCCTATTAAGTTAATATATATTATTGATTTTTTTTACATTTTGATGGAATACTTCTGGTTTCTCACTAGGTAGTATGTTGGCTGATTTGAGAAAGGTTTCTGTTTTTGTTTTAATCAAGGTAGGAAAGTGTCTTATTTCTAGTTTACTTACAGGTTTTTTAAATGAGTTCTTTATGTAACATTTTATTGAATCTTCTTTTCTATGTTTTTTTTTGTTTGTTTTTTTTTTTGAGAAAGAGTCTTGGTCTGTCACCCAGGCTGGAGTGCAGTGGTGCTATCTTGTCTCACTGCAACCTCCACCTCCGTGGTTCAAATGATTCTCATGCCTCAGCCTCCTGAGTAACTGGGACTACAGGGGTGCGCCACCATACCTGGCTAACTTTTGTATTTTTTAGTAGAGATGGGGTTTCACCATGTTGCCCAGGCTGGCTTTGAACTCCTGGCCTCAAGTGATATGCCCGCCTTGGCCTCTAAAAGTCCTGGGATTACAGGCATGAGCCACCGTGTCCAGCCTCTTTTCTATTCTTTTAAAAATAATTGTATGGTGTTTCTCATTTAACTTATTGATATGATGTCTTATATTAGCAGGTTTTCTAATATTAAATCATGTCCACATTCCAGGAATAAAAATTACCTGATCATGGCCTATTCATGTTTTCATTTAAAGCTGCTTTTGCTTTGCTAGTATTTTACTTTGGATTTTTGTGTCAATATAACAGATTGTTAAGAAGGCAAGATCTGGAATGAGGCTGCCTGGGTTTGAATCCTGGACTTGCCATCTCTGGCTGTGTGCCCTTGGGCAAGTTCTTTCCCTCTCTGATTCTCCACAAAAAATGGGATAGTACTGGCATCCAGCTCAGCTCCTAGGGTTATAAGAATTCAATAAGAGCAATATGTGTAAAGTATTTCTACATTTATCTCATCCAAACCTAATGACCTTATGAATTAGGCATTGCCAGCTTCGTTTAATAAAATAGAAAACTGAGGCTCAGAAAGGTTAAGTGACTTGCTCAAAGTCACACCGCTGCTGAATTGCTGGTGAGATATGTCTTCTCCACTTCTCTTTGCCATCTCTCAGTAATTGAGAGCCATTTGCAGTTCTTCAAGGAGCAAACAGTTCAACATCTGCTTGCCTTAGACATACAATTTCCCTTGTTCTGAAGGACCATATTTTCTTTGTCTGAAAAACTTCTACTCATCCTTCAAAACCCAGGTCAAGTATCTCTTCCCCTATGCAGACTTTGTGCCTCATTGGAGAGATTCTGTAAGTTACCATGGCATCTAATGCTTATATTTTTATACCTGTCACACCATTTTGCAGTGGTTTCATCCTCCCCCAGGGTCCTAGGCCTCCGAGAAGGGTTCACCCCCATCTGTTGAACTGAGTGGAGAAGGAGTGTGGCATGGGAGAAAGGGCCCATGTTTTGGAGACCAACTGGAATCTAATTCTCAGCTCCACCAATACCAACAACTTATCTTTCTCCTCCCCAGACTCATTTTCCTCTTCTGTAAAATAGGAATAATATCTCAACCTCACAAGGCAGTTGTGGAAATCACATGTGGGTAAAGCCCTCAGCTCAGCACCCAACACATAGTAAGTGCTCAATAAACATTGTTCCTCTTTTCCCCCTTTTTCCTTTTCCTTTTTTTCCCTCTCCTCTGACACCTCTTTCTCCATGGGAGAACCACAAGCTTCCCGGCCAGGGGCCATTTCCCACACATCTTTCTCCCCACTAGCATCTGGCATGAGCCAAATAAGAAATGCTTCTTGATCAAGTCTCCCCACAACCTTGTGAAAAAGGAAGGGATTTGTGTACCCATTTTACAGAAGATGAAACTGAGGCCCTAAGGAGAAAAGGACCTGCCTAAGGTCACAGAGGTGAGTAAGCAGTAGAGCCAGCACCAGAACCTAAATTCCTTGACCTAATTTCTACTCAAAGGCATTGTTTCTCTGGCCCTAAAATGGCTGCACTTATAGAAATGCATTCCTCAACTTGCACCCTCTGGGACTGTGCCAACAGGTAGATGTTGAAAGAAAAGCAATGAGCCAAACCACACTCTTCCATTGTTTTTGGCATTTAATTATGTTACCCTCTCATAGCATCTGGGGGCTGAGTTCAGCACTGGGGCTGTGGTGTCAGCCAATCCTAGGATGAAATCCCAGCTCTGCCACTTTATGAGTTGAGTGATAAAAAACAAGTGACAGAATCAGGAGTTTTGTTTGACCCTTTGTTTTCCAAACTTGGCAGCATAATGAACAACCTGAGCAAGACCAACAACAGCAACACCAACAATCGGACTTGCCTAAGAGTTTCAGGAGACACATCTTTATCCTGGCTTTAAAGATGAGAAAATCAAGGCACCAAGATGCTAAGTAAATTGCCCGGATTTACAGCCATGGCACAGAAGAGCTAGATTGCAAACCTGGGCCACCTGGCTGCAGACGCTACTTGGTTTTTCTCGTGAGGGATGGGCTAGAGTTCTGAGGAAACGCTTGTGGGTGTGTGAGAGACCCTTGCTGGATGACAATTGGCCCCTTTCTGTCCAGAGTTAACACCCGAATCTTCAGAGGTACAAAAATCAAAGCAGCAGTAAGGAGCAGTGTGGCTCCAGGGAACTGACTGGCCTGGAGCCTGTATTACCAAAGGCAGCAAGAAAACACCAGGCTCTGGCCAGGCAGGCTTCGGTTCTGATCTCAGATCTTGGACTAGCTCCGAGGCCTGGCCCAGGGCAAGTCACCTCATCCTCAAGCCTCAGTTTCCTTGTCCAAGAAATGGGATAATAATAAGGAGCTGGTGTGAGGTTTGGCCCCCTTTGCTTTTTCACACCCTATAGTGGGTCATAGCCCAGGCTTGGCAGTTTAGCTTTAGGAGGAGGTCCTCTCCTCACTGCCCTCCCTCGCCAAGTCCTCAGGTACCTGCCTTGTTCTTGCCAACGTCTCAACAGTGCTCTTTCCTCCTGTCTTTGATCTCCAAACCACTCTGCCTCCGCGACCAGAATCTTCGTCTACCAGTGCCATTCCCCAGCCAGGAAGTCAGCAACTCCCCGCCTCTACCCGTCCTGACGCTGACCCTCTCCACGTGCACACACGTGCATCCACATACAAATGATCTTGGTTTGGGTTCTTCCAAAAGCGGAGTCAAGGACTCAAGGGCAAGTAGTTCGTTTGAGAGATGTCCCAGAAAACACCAGTGGGGAGAAGAGAAGTGAGAGTGAGAGGGAGGGTGCCCAGTACAGACGGGGGTATTCTCAAGCCAGTGGCCACTGTGGGTGCCAGGGCTCAACCCTCCTGGGAAATCCCAGGAAAGAGTCTAGAACTTCGATCTCAGAGCCGTGCCATTTGAGGGCCAGGGGGCTGGGCTATGACTCACGAGCTCTTGCCAATCACTGGGTGAGGGCTGCTCCCCAGGGTTGTTAATTCCTGGCACTACCAGTCTTTTCATGCCTGGGGAGCGCAGACTCCAGTGGCCACAGTTAGGTTCCAGCTGAAGGGATTCTGACGGTGGCAGACGGAAGCTGGCAAGACAAAGGGCCAGGGCAGGGCACCGACAGACTCTGCTACAAGGGTGGGCCTCGCACATGGAGGGCATTTGCATCTCTTGGACGGCCTGATAAGCACAGATTTCTGGGCCCCACACTCAGAGTGTCGGCTTCAGGAGGACTGGGGCGGGGCCCGGAGTCTGCATTTTTACCAAGTGCCTAAGTGGTATGCTGCTGGTTGTCCAGGGTCCACAGTGAAAACCACCGTGCTGCGCACACACACACACACACACACACACACACACACACACACACACACACACACAACCTGCCAAATAAAGTCCAAATGTCTCCGCCTAGTGTTCAAGCCACTCTGTCATCTCCTCTAAATACAGTTGCAATGTTATCTCCCGCAGGCCCCCTGCAGATATTGATGGCTTTTTTGTGCTGTCTCTGGAACCTGCTCTCTTCTTTCTGGCCTCTATATCTTGGCTTGCTCTGTTCTCTGCTGAAATATCCTTTGTCTGCCATTCCTGCCTTTTGAGACTGTGCCCATCCTTTAATTTCAATAGCTTACCTCTTTTCTTCAGTCCTTCCCTTGTCCCAACTCCTTCCCCTCGTCCACTTGCTCTGGGCCTTCATAACCCCTTATCTGGGCCTCTCCAGCAGCACTTGTGGCTGCCTACCTTTATCCTTAGGAAATAAGTGCTTGATTTATCCTCTTCGTAACACCCTACAAATCACTCTGTCAAAGAAGATCTCTTGATTTTCAAAGCCACCCTGGGACATAGGGAGTTGGGTGGTATTATTAGCTCTATTTTGCAGATGAGGTTGAGAGAAGCCAAGTAATTAGCCCAAGGCCACACAGCTGGAACTGGTTGATCAGGCTTTGACTTTGGGTCTTCTAGGTGGAAATTCTGCATTCTGCTCTCCCTCTTGTCTCCTCCCTGCTCTACTGGCAGCCCTCGAGGGCAGAGGCGGAAATACCTTCAATCAATATTTGTTGGATGAGTGGATGGGATGAGTTGGAATGGACTGGAATCTTCTTTGAGTTGTTCCCAGAATAGGCTCTTATAGAAAAGCTTGGCCTTTGGTTGACAAAATGCCTTAAATCCTTCATGTTGCCTCAGAGAACAGTTACCCATCTTCCCCTCTAGAACCCAGAAATTGCAGACTCTAAAATCCCTGTCTGGGGTCAGACCACCCTTTCTCAAGCTTTGCTTCATGATGAACCAACATCCTTGAGCCATCCCCTTCCCCTGCCAGCAAGGCTGAGAAACTCCATGGTCATCTTATCCCTCCAGGTGGCCCCCAATCATCTTCCCATCGTCCCAGAACCATCAGCAAAATCCTAGGAAATGTGGTTACTTCCAGTGAGCAAGGGATACCCATGACTTGTGACTTATAGAAATAAAGGGTCTTGGGGAGAGTGAATCGAAACAAGGGAGAGAAAGGGGTGGGTGGGTGGATGGTGCTTCTTGCAGGGATTGGCCTTTGTCTGCAATGTCTGGGCAGAGGGGGACCCTGTTCGTGGTCCTTGAAAAGGGAGTTCAGTGTGAGGGGACCTGACCTATAGTCAAGAGATCTGGGCACACTTTATCTCTCTGAGCCTTGATCTACCTGTGTACCCTGACTTCCTCAAAGGGCAATTTTAAGAGCCAGATGAGATAATGATTATGCAGGTAGTTTATAAATCACAAAGCCCCATACTATATCAAAACCAAATTCTTATTATACAGACAGGGAAGCCGATTCCCATAGAAGTGACCCAAGACGCACAGTTGATCAGCATCCCAGCATTCACTGGGATATGCCTTACCATCCCCAGGCTCCCAGCTTCTCTGTGCTGACAAGGGATGGAGCCCTGGAGTCTGGGGCTAAAGCTCCAGATCTGGCGCCACCTCTGGTACCAGCCTACCGTGTAATCTCGGGCCAGTTACTTCATGTCTCTGGACTTCAGCTTCTTCGTTTTTTTCTTTTCAAAGAGCCCTCTTTCCTTATTTTCCTGATTGTCCTCCCTGCCAGCTACCTCATTCATAACATCTTTAGCCACCATCTTTCTCTATGACCTCAAATCCATATCTCCAGCCCCGTTTTTATTCTTTGCCCCAGAACCTACTGTATGCCTATGAAACACTCAACAGGTACCAAATGGAACCCAGGTCTTTCCCCACAAACCTGAACCTCTTCCTGTATTTCTTGTCTTAATGAATAATATCATTTCATGTGACTCAACCACATGACAGATGATGAGGAAACTGAGGTCCAGAGAGGCTAAGAGGCTTGCCCAATTTACACAGCAATCGGTTGACAGAGATATTAATAGAACTAGAGCTCAAATTTCCTGACTCAGGGCCAGATGTGCCATTCTACTCTCTTCCATTTGACTGGGGAGTGACTTGAAAATATTTTCATTAGTCTCTCAATGACAGGTTTGTGTTAGTCAGGATAGGTTGGGCTATGGTGCAGGAATAATAAGCCCTGGCATCTCAGTGGCTTAGCACTATAATGATGATTATGTTTTTCTTTCTTTCTTTCTTTCTTCCTTCCTTCCTTCCTTCCTTCCTTCCTTCCTTCCTTCCTTCCTTCCTTCCTTCCTTCCTCTTTCTTTCTTTCTTTCTTTCTTTCTTTCTTTCTTTCTTTCTTTCTTTCTTTCTTTCTTTCTGTCTCTCTCTCTCTCTCTTTCTTTCTTTCATAGAGTCTCTCTCTGTCACCAGGCTGCAATGCAGTGGCATAATCTTGGCTCACTGCAGCCTCTGCCTCCCGGGTTCAAGCGATTCTCCTACCTCAGCCTCTCAAGGAGCTGGGATTACAGGTGCCCGCCACCACACCCGGCTAATCTTTGTATTTTAGTAGAGACGGGGGCATCACCATGTTGGCCAGGCTGGTCTCAAACTCCTGACCTCAAGTTATCCACCTGACTTGGCCTCCCAAAGTGCTGGAATTATAGGGGTGAGCCACCACGATCGGCCTATAATGATGATTTCTCATTCATGGATGGTCCAATGTGGGTTGGGTAGCTGTATTAGGGAACACCAGGTAAACAGAATCAATAGGATCTGTCTATTATATATAGTATAAACGCGTGTGTGGCACACACACACATATAAATAGGATCTATAAAGAGATTTATTATCAGGTACTGGCTCACATGATTATGGAGGCTGAGCAGTCCCTTGATCTGTTGTCTACAAGCTGGAGACCCAGGAAAGCTGTGGTGTAGTTCAATGGCCTGAGAGCCAGAGAGCTGATAGTATAGATTCCGGTCTGCATTTGAAAGCCTGAGAACTAGGAGTGTCAAGGGCAGGAGATCAGTGTCCCAGCTCAGCAGTCAGGCAGAGCGGAGCGAGTCCTCCTTTCCTCTACCTCTTTGTTCCATTCGGGCCTTCAGTGGGTTGGATGATACCCACCTACATCAGGCAGGGCAGATGCACTTCACTCAGTCGACAAATTCATATGCGAATCTCTTCTAGAAACACCCTCACAGTCACATCCAGAAATCATGTTTCACCTGATATCTGGGCATCCTGTGATCCATTCAGGTTGACACATAAAATTAACCATCACAGTAGCTTTCTTCTTCTGTAGGTACATTCATTGAAATACATGACCAGGACAGAGGGCCAGAGAGAGGAAGAAGACATGCTGGCTCCTAGCTTCAATCTGGAAGCTACAGACCATCGGCCTGAACTAGCAACGTGGTCTCAACCCTTTCACACAAGAGTCTGGGAAAGGTAGCATGTGGTCACACAGTGAGCATGAACAGTCCTTGCTACAGGTATTGACCTACCATATGCCAGGGGAGACCAAAACCAAACCATGCAGAGGAAAAAATACCCTCTGCTGTCAAGAAGGTCACTGCATCTGGGCAAGGCCAGGTATGTTTTTGGTGTCTAAGAAAGGGCCCCACCCTGGGGAAGCCCTGAAGGAGTCTGGGGCCTGCACACAGATGATGGCCAGGGCTGTGGAGGGGTCTCAGTTGGAGAGGTGGCAGTGGAGCAGGGCTGGATGAAGGGGAGTGGGCTGCAGAGGTGAGAAGCAGAGGGGAAGGTGGTGGGAAGGAGAGGAGGAGGGAGGAGGAAGAGCTTCCTGGAGACCTGGTGCATCTAAGCCAAGTTAAGTCCCATAAGCCTGCTGTCAGCTGGGGTGGCTGGGTGGGTTGTGCTGGGGGCTGGCCCTGCCCCTGTGCTGCAGAAAGACCTCAGGGCCTTGTGCTCTCTCAAGGGATGGGCTGGGAGGCAGAACTTGATGGGGCCTGTTAGAGATGTTACAGGCCCAGTGCGGGAAGCTGTTTTGATTAAATTTGGGAGCATAATTGCAGGGTTTGTGCTGCGGTCTCATTATGGCTTTTTAAATCTTGTTAACCTCTCCTCCCCATCTCCCAGCCCCCCTCGCTTCCCTCCACAACCACAGGCTGTGGCCTTAGAACAATACCAGGAATAGTTTCTGTCTCTCCCTCACGGCTTTCTCCTACTCCCCCAGATTAGATCCTGGAGGCCAAATGGACTGAAGGAAGGAAGCAGGGAGGAAGGCCCAGTGAGCGGAGTGGGGGTTTCATGGGGCTTAGTCACCTGGAGTGCCTCTTGGTTCGGTCCCCTTGCATCCAGCAGGGTGTCTGGTGCTTTGAGAGACACAAAGGGGTATTAGGCTTGATTTTAAGTGATTGTCCGAGTGAGTGGAGATGGGTTCAGGAATTTGAGAGTGGCTGGAAGGGATGGGCTCAGGAGGGGTGGCAGTGGCCTGGAAGGTTAGGAGGAAGTGGAGAACAAGGGAAGAGCTTGGAATGGGCAAAGGTGCGAGGTGCCAGCTCTGCACAGGGATTCCATTAGGCAGGAGAGGCCAGGCTATGGCGCAGTCACAAATAAGCCCTGGCAGCTCAGCAGCTTCATACAATAATGGAGGTGCACTTCTTGTTCTTGAAAAGTCTTGGTGGATTGAGTGCAGAGGGATGGCTAAGTGTGGCTATGGAGTAGGGGTGGACTGAGAGAATGGACTGTTTGGTGCCCAGGGAGGGCGTGCTGGCAGATGAGGCCAGTGCAATGGGGCGAGGTGGGGGATGAGGGTCTCCAGGCCTCTGGCTGCCATGGCTTCAGTGGTGTGGCACTGGTCTGTGAGCTCCCCTGGGGAGTGGATGCCACCCCCAGTGGGGCTGAAGGGGCAAGGTGTTGCCTGGGGAACCAGGGCTGAGGCAGCGGCCTGGGCTGTGGGGAGAAGGGGAGAGCAGGCTGGGTGGGAAGCCTGGCTCCACCCCTGCGGCTGTCTCTCCCCAGGGGCTTTCTGGCCACTCCTCTTCTCCATCTGCTTCCCCTCCCACCTCATGACTCAATCACTGTCTTCAGTCCTGACTCTGTCCTGAACTCGCCAAGCTGCGCCCATTGCCTCCCTGTAGGGTCATGGCACTTTTAGCCATCCAGAGTGCAGGCCTCAACCCAGACTTTCCATCACAGATGCCCCTCTGGCCCCCACCCCATCATCCAAATGTTGATTTTGTGGATTCCTCCTGCTAAATCTCAGCTGCATCCAACCTTCCCTGTCCTGGGCCATCTGCTCACTGCTGGGCCATGTGGTCACCTTCTCACTGGTCTTTCAGCAGCTGCCCTTGCACCCTCCTCCCCCCAGTTCTTGACACTGTAGCCATAGAGGGTTATTTCCAAAATCTGGTCATACCATTTCCTGCTTCGAACCCTTCTCTGACTCCCTCCTGGCCCCCAAGGTCCTTCACCGCAAGTTCCCGCGTATTTCATCTCCAGCTTCTCAAGGATCTCAGCAGTCTAGCAAACCAAGTCGTCCGAATGCATCATGCTTTTTTTGCAGCTCTGAGCAGCGTCGTGTAAAGCGGAGCTTAACTAGTCCTCAGATGCCACCTCTTTAAGAAGCCCCCCGGGTCTCACAGATAAAACAATCTCCCCCATCCTTTAAGCACTTTGCAATAGCCCTCACTTTCTAGCCTGTATTGCAGCAAATTACATCCATGTTTCCTCTGTTCCACCAACTGCAAGCTCCTCACGGGCAGGGCCATCCTATTCACCACCAGCATGCTTGCCCAGATTCCACAGCCGGCACTCGGAAGGAGTGCAGGAGGGCCCCCACCTTACTGAATGAGTGAGTGAGTGAGTGAGAGCTGCTGCTGGGGCTGGGCTTTCTGTGGGAGCTGGCAGGGAAGAGTGATCAGGGACTAAACACTGGGGAACCTTTAGGGCAGAGCCTGGGCGTCGGAGCTAAGGCTTGTTGAACACTTCTAGAGCTCCAGACACTGCTGGGCAGGGAGGTCTTTCCATCAGAAGACAGAGAAGGCCCGGTCAGAGGAGGAGGAGGAGAGCCAGGGGCCACGGGCAAGCAGCACGCTGCCTCCTAGCAGGGTCCCACTCACATGGTGGGGGAGGACACGTGTGTGGGCAGCTCCCTTGGGGCAGGAGCTGAGCCAGATATGGGAATATTGCCCTCCCCCAGGGCTGTCCTGCCGGTGTGGGGCTGTGCCTCAACAGCCATCTTGGGAAACACTGGCTTAGTTCTTCACGGCCCGGGGTGTACTAGGGGCATTCCCCAGAGCAAAGAACAAGGGGCAGCTAAGCCATGATCCCTACTCTGTGCCAGAATGTTCATACCATCCATGGGGTCCTCTGTCTGTCCATCAAGGCCTTTGCCTCCTGCCCCTCAGCCTGTCTCTTGCCTCAGCCCAGAAAGCCTCTTCCTTCATGCATTGAGCCAGGTCTCACTCACCTTCAAGGCCTTTCTTCCAGGAAGATTTATGGGACTTGCCAACCTCCTCCTGCCACACTCTCGCCCTGTCAGTGCCAGTATACTGGTCTACTCTAGCTGCATAGCTGTCTCGGGGAGACCAAGCAGAAGGAAACAGAGAGCAAGCATTCTCTCTGTGTGGCCCCAAGAACAGCCGGCTCTTCTGTCTTCTCTGCACATTTGTGAAACTGAGCTGGGGTGGTAGGATGAGGGCTGGACCGGGAGTCAGGACACCTAGCTCCTGGACCTGGCTTGGTTGAAGGCCTGAGCAAGCCACTTTCCTCTCTGACCTTCAGTTTCCCCATCAGTAGAATGGTGAGGTTGGGCCTGGGGGGCCTCGAAGGGCCTTCTAGCTCTGACATCACTGAACATAGACGCCTACCACAGCAGCAGCTGGTTGACGAGAGCCCAAGGGATGGTCACTGGTTACCCCAGGCAGGGTTGTCTGAGCAGTGTTCCAGATGCAGGATGGCTGGGCCTCCCCAGGGGTGCAGATTTTCAGTGCCAGGAGCAAGATGCTGGCCAGGAAAGAGGGAGCAAAGGTTACTGGAGGTCAAGAGCAGAGCAACAGGTGGAACCAATGGCCTGTGTTTGCCAACCCAGGCTGGGGTGAGAGGGAAGAGAGCACTGGGCAACCTGGCCAATCAGAATGAGCATGACACTGGAGGTCTGGGTTCGAGCTGCGCTCTATCACTCAGTAGTGACAGGACTTTGGGTTAGTCATCCAAATACCTCTGGGTCCAGGTTCCCACCGTAAAATGGGGGAGAACAATTTCTACCTCACAAGGCTGTTGTGAGCATTAAATGATAGCACATGCTTGAAATGGTTTAGTAGCATCTGAGCTTAGCACATCATAGGTGCTCAATAAGTCCTCATTCTTTCTCTCCTCCTACCCTCTCCAGTTTCCACCAAATACATTTGCTGATCTGGCACCAGTGAGCCATACGATGGTGAATGTCAGGTCTTCCATTCCACCTGCCAAGGTGTCCGCTCAGCATGCCACAGTCCCAACACTGTGCTGTGCTTGCTTTCTTGGGGTGTCTGGTGTGGTCTTTTCCTTCAAGGCACTTAGAGTCTGCTGGAGAGACAAGACCACATTCATACTTACACAGACTAAGAAATGGATAAATGACATTTCTCCATTACCTGGCTTTGTTGTAGGCCTGGGAAAGCCAATTTCAATGTCATTGTCCCAAGAAATGGATAAATGACATTTCTCCAAGAAATGGCCCATGGATAATTCAGAGCGTGGTGGTTCCGTATGAACCATAAGCACTAGAGAGATGGGGGTTTCAGAAAGCAGGGTTCAGTCTGGATGGGAGTAACCAGAGCAGTGGAGAGGCTAGGCTGCCTGTAGCCAGCTGAGTTGAGAGTAGCAGGGCTGGATTGGGACTGGGACGGGCTAGACATGGGTCAACTGCTGAGGCCAGAGGGTCTCCAGGGCACGGTGAAGCTAGGGCTTGAGGCATGCTTCTGTGGGGAGAGCCCTGGAATGCTAGATTGCAGGAGTCCAGCTCTCATGGCTAAGCCTCCTGAGCTCAGGCATGTGGAGCATGATCTTCTTCCAGGTAGCAGGTGGACAAATGGCCTTTCAACTTTTGCCAGGATTGGCTGGCATAGGATGGAGCTGATGAGAACAACTGTGGGCTATGAGGAGATGGGAGGGTGGGGCAGGAGCCAAGGTGGGGGCTACTCCCTGGACAGAAATTCAACTCCACCTCCATCTGTCATGGACCACCCCTGGCCACACAAAGGCCAAGGAAATGGGATTAACACGTGCTCAGCACCTATATGGTGCCAAGCCCATGCCTGACACTTCACCTTCAGAGGCCCATTTTCCTCATGCTGGCTCTATTATCTTCAGATCCCAGATAAGGAAACTGAGGCTTAGGGGGGGTCAAGGCCCAGAGTCTTGCAGAGAGGTGGTAGATTGAAGCCCTGCAGTCTTCCTCCTGTACCATGCTGCATCTCCATGACTTAAAGGTTGCATGCTAAGGCTTAGCATGGACTCCAGCTCTCCGCCATCTACCTCCTAGGTTGAAACTCAGCCCATCGCTGTTGAAAGCTTGCACCATGCCCTAGGCCGTGTTCCTCATTTCATCAGCCACAGTCCTGCTGGCTCATGCCTGGTTACACACGCAGCCCCCTGGAGGGCAGGGGCTGGGTCTCATTCCCGAGCCCAGTGCAGCCCTGGCACAATTCCTTCCCAGAAGCGATTCTGGTAATTGGAGTGAGTGGTGGGTGGAACTACCCCACCCAGGCAGGTGTGTTTCTGGAATCCATGGCTGAGGTGGTTGTTGACAAGTCCGGGAGGGAGAGAGGGCGAGGAACTGCCTGCTTCCCCCAAACAGGAATTTTTCCTAATGGGCTGAGTTCTCAGCTGATGAGAGAGATGTTGGACGGACCCTAACAAGAGAAGGCTCTACATGCAGCACCGAGTGAGTAATTAGATACTAACTAATTTGCATTTCACAAGAGAGTCAGGGATGTTGGGGGAAAAAAAGCTGCAAAGGCCTATTGGAGAAGGGAACGCTGGGGACAAGAAGCCCCGACAGAGCCAAGGAGGAGCGGCGGTGCAGGCGTGCTGCCGGGCATTCGGTGGCACAGCTGTGGAGATGGCGGGACGGGGGCAGAAGGTCTGAAGGTCCCTGCAATGCCCTCGATGGCTCCAAACAGCAGCCTGGGCTGCCTACCATTGCCTTGGGATGCTTTTTTATTTCCATTTGGAATGGCCAGGAGGGAGACAGGAAGAAACTGAGACAGAGATGCATAGATAACTCCCAGTTTCTAGAGTAGGGTTAACAAAGTTTATCTGTAAAGGGTCACCTGGTAAATATTTTAGGCCTTGTGGGCCGTACACTTTCTGTCACATATTCTTTGTAAAAGGTACAAAAATCATTCCCAACCAAAACAGACCACTGCTGGCCTTGATGTCTGGGTCTAGAGCTTCGTTCTCAAAATGGAACGTAAGGCCCAATATCCATTCTGCATGTCTAACAAGTTCCCAGGTGAGCATAGAACCCACTTTAATTACGGAGAGTGTGAGATCACTCTGCAGTGTGGGGCCTGCACTGGGAGGCCAGCCATTTAGGAACTGCTGATGGAAGATGCCTGCCTTGTTTGCAGAGCACAGTGGTAGCTGTAGGTCCACACACTCGGAGCTCCTTCCCGAGAAGGCCCTGCTGCCCATCTGCAGGGAGTGTAGCAGGCAGGCAGCCCCAGCTGTCAGCTCCTTCAGGGTGTCTACCTCAGCTGCAGACACCCACCTCCTTTGAAGTCATGCCCTCCCTGGGGTAGCCTGCATCTGGCGACTGAGCAGGATGCGAGTGGAAAGTCCTGGCTACTTCAGCTAGACACAGGATGACCCCCTGCTAGGTGACTGGGGCTTGGTCAAACCCGCATTGCAGTTTGCCTTCAATCTCCTTTGGCTTAATCCAACTTCTCTCCTTTTCTTTCACTGGTGCAGATCTTTAATAAACCCCTGGGACCCCAAACTCCCTCCCAGAGTTCACTCCCACAGAACCAGCCTGTGACATAGGCAATGGGAGCGCATCCTGGTTGAGGGCAATGGTGGCCACAGGTTGGGGCTTGGCACCAGCAAGATTCGCCTGGGGGCAACTACACACCACTGTGGAAACTAGAGGCATCTCAGGTCTAAGACCTCCCAGCAGTCCCAGCATGGCCAGGAGGAGGCGGGGCAGATGGAAGCAGGAGCGCAGTGGTTCAGGGTCTGTTAACCTGGTCTGGCCTCGGCCAAAGGGGCTAATGTGCTGTGTGGCTCTGTGCAAATCACTGCTGCTCTCTGGGTCTGTATTTCCTCAAAAGTAAAATGGGCCTCACGAGCCACTATACTGGCTGGTTTTCCTGTGGCTGCTGTAACAAATCACCCCAAACTTGGTGGCTTAAAACAACAGAGGTTTATTTCACAGTTCTGGAGGACAGAAGTCAAAAATCAGCATCACTGGGCTAAAATCAAGGAGCCGGCAGGGCTGTGCTTCCTCTGGAGGCTTTAGAGGAAAATTTATTCTCACTTCTTCCAGATTCTGGGAGCTGCTAGCATCCTTTGGCTTGTGGCCTCATCACTCCGATCTTCAATATCAGCATCTTCAGATCTTTCTCAATTCCCATCACTGTCTCTCTTCTGTGTGTCAAATTTCCCTCTGCCCGTCTCTTGTAAGGACACTTGTGATTGCATTTAGGACACACCCTGATCATCCAGGATAATCTCCCCATCTCAGATTCTCTAACTTAATCACATCTGCAAAGACTTTTTTTTTTTTTTCTCCAAATGAGGTCACATTTACAGCTCCAGGATTAGGACCTGCTGTCTTTGGGTGCCGCTATTCAGCCGACTCCTCTTGCCATCTGTCTTCCTCATAGGCTTTTCAGCTCTGCTTGAGTTCTCCTTCCTGAGCTGCAGTTCTAGATGCTGGCCCATACCATTTGCTTGCACAGCTCAGATATTCTCATTCTGCCAAAAATTATTTTTAATGTATATTGATTAAATATATGGCTGTTCTGCTCACACTGTTGGTCTTATTGGCAACTTCCACAACTAATATTTACTGAGCACATACTGTATGCTCCGTGTTTTACTCGAATTATCATTCTCCCGCCCAAGGAGGTAAGTACTGTTATAATCCGCATCATGCAGGTAGGGAGACCAGGGACAGAGAAGTGAAGTGGCCCATGTCCACCGACATGGTGCTGGGAGCGGGAACGCTCTGGTTGTCTGAGTAAAGGTCCTTCTCATCTCCCACACATACTCCCTCCCCAGCATGAATAGGGCTTCTATTTGGAACTATTTACAAAGTCCGGTTGTTTTTGAACTTTGGAACAAATTTCCTATCAGATTCTACACATTGCAGACATAACACAGGAAGGGCTGTTCTAGAAAGCTGAAGATCCAATTCTAAGAGCCAGGGGGATGCGGTTCGTTTTGGGCTGCATTTGTGACTTCTGCCATCAAGCCAAGCCCAGGCAGGGAGGAAGGGGCATCCCAGGCTCTCATCTGCCCGTTTGACAGCACATCTCCATGGCTCTTAATTACTCTTCCAACTTTGAACTGTTTGGGACTTTGAAGATCAGCCCTTGTTCCTGTTAAATGTTTAGGTTGAGCTTCTGGGTTCAGCGATTTATTCATCAGCAAATGAGCCAGCACACGTTGCTAGTCATAGACACTTGTATTTACGCTTTGTCCTGACTTCAATTTCAGACCCTAGAAGTACTTATATGTAAAAAATTGTGTCAGTCCACGTAAGAAAACTACTGTGGGAGTGTTTACAAATGATTATCTTGTGCATAAGCTTCTAAGATTATCTTCTAAAACCATAAAGTGCTCGCATCAGCAGCACACAGACTAAAAAACTGGAACAATACAGAGAAGATTAGCATGGCCCCTGTGCAAGGATGACAAAACTCATGAAGTGTTCCATATAGATTTTTAAAATCCCATAAGTAGAAAAGTGGATGGGCCCCTTTAAGAGTATCGCCGTCGAGAGGGAACTGAATTTTAAAAACAAGCATGCAAGCAAACCTCAAGGTTAAAACGTATGAAGCTGGTCTATGCACATCTTATTGCTCTGGATGGGAAGAGCAGCAGAGCAAATGGGCTTCAGGGGGTTGGGGGCATGGAGCATTTGCCAAGCTGGTGCCAAGAATGGATGCAGGCACATGGGAAGGAAGGGTTGTGCTGGCCATGGGGGGCTTTGTAGACAACACCGAGGGCTTGAACTTAATTTTCAAGGCCACAGGGCACCTCTGCAAGATTTTAAGCTGAACAGTGACGTGTTCATGTGCTTTAGAAATATTTTTCTGGCTGTGATAATGGCCACAGCAAGAGGTGAAGAGGGCCTGGATTCCTGTTGATAAACAGTAAGGACTGGGTTTGAGCGAGAGGCCAGTCCAGCTAGGAGTTGGCTATAGAGGGGGAGCAGGGGGAGAAGGGGAGAAAGACGTCCCTGTGCAACTTGAGTGAGTGTGGGCACGGTGGAGTCTTTCCCAGAGATGGGACACCAGGATGCAGAGAACCAGCCGGACCGTGCACGTGGGAAGAAAGCGCAAAGGCAGTTTCACCAAGAGGGGAGCTACAGGTTGGGAAGAGGCTATGGCTGAGATGGATAGAAAGTGCATGCTGTCCCCTCTGTCATGAGGCAGGATGCCGAAAACTGCAGCTGGGCAGAGGCACAGATTGAGGAGGTGGCCGCAGCAGGCACCAATGGGAGAACTCTGGGTCAGAAGCCAAAAGTCTAGGCCTATTCCGTCCTGACTCACCACACACCTTCGGCAAGGCACATTCTTTCTCTGCCTCAGTTTCCTCATCTGCAAAACCCCGGAGTTGAATCACATTGAGGGTTCCTCAAAGGAGATGGGCTGGTGAGGGACATCCTTGAGCCCCTGGAAACGATGTGCAAAATTGTGTGCCTATGCCCCCTTTTGCAGAGGGGCTGGCAGGGCCACCTGAGGAGGGAAGTGACATCAGATGTCATAGGCCACACCTGCAGTTGGAGACATGCTGGTAAAAATTGCTCTCTACGTATGCCCAGGATGAGTCTCATCTCACCCAACCAGTTCCTGGAAGGCAGAGATCTAGGTCATAGGATGTGTCTCGACACCCCATGGGGGTCTTGCAATACCTGTGGAGCCAAATGTGCTGGCATGGAGGAGCCTCAGCACATCTGGGTCTTCTAGGAGAGACCCCGTCCCCTGGTCAGTCCAGGCACGTGCTCCCTACTGGAGCCCCTGGGGCCTGTCTCTCCCTTCTCCACCCTGCAAACTCCTGCTCCTTCTCCGTGCAGCCTTTTCTGTTCCCCTGGAGCAGCCCTGATTTCTCGCTGCATTGGGATTTCCCAGGCGAGGTGTCTATACCTCATGCGCAGCCTACTTTTCGCCTATCTGGGATGGAGGTTGTTTGCATGTTCCCTCCTCTTTCCTTCCTTCCTCTGCCACATAGGCCTGTTTTTGGCAGGGACCATGTCTTAGGCACCTCAGTGTCCCTAAGTGTCTCTCTCAGTGACTGACACATACTTGGTACTCCATAAAAGTTTCTGTAGTTGTCTTAACTTATGGAATGACTGCCAGCAAAGTATTTCTTGTTTCCAACCCAGGCTCCTCACTTGCCCTGCTTCCCTGAGAGCTGCTGGGAGGACCAGCAGCAGTGGCCAGCACTTGCAGTGCCTGGCAGCATTTGCAAGGTCCCTCATGGGTCCTTTCCCACAGGGTCCCAGGATGATGAGCGTGAAATGAGACCAATAAAAGATTGCACAAATCTTGTTGGACTCACACATAGGATGGAAAGCAATATCCATGTCTGAAACATGTTGGAGCAGGCCTTCCACCAAGCCCTTTAGAAAAAGGGTTGTATGTGTTGTGTAGAGCAAACCTGGCTGACAGGCATTAGCATGCCCATTTTACAGATGGTGAAACGGGATCTGAGAATTTACGAGCCTTGCTCAAGCTTCCACAGCTATGCCAATGCCGCCAGCCCGCCATCCCTGGGGTTGGAGCCAGGGCATGTGGGGTGATGTTTTTCTTGGTCGTGAGCAGATGGGCTAGTGCCCTACCTGCACAGTCTCACCGTAGCTCACCCTCCCATACATCCTGTTAAAGGTCCAGCCAAGATCCACTTCCCTCCCTCGTTTTCTTGCCTGGGTTTTGCCTAGTTCCTTCTCTTCATGCACCACAGGACGCACTCTGAGCAGGCGGGGAGGCCCGTGAGCCTGGCAAACAAGCTATTTGCTCTGGGAGGTGGGCTGCTTCTGAGGACAGCACAGGGTTTCTGGGACAGTGCTGAGGAAGTCACCCACAGCCTGGCTCCCTGGCTGAGTGGACGGTTGAGGTGGCCAGAGGAACTTAGAAGTGGCCCTCCAGTCTCAGGGGGAAAGGCTGGAGGGCTGGAAAGAAAGCAAACTCTGTGATTGAGCTGTGGGAAGCCTGGCCTGAGCCCCAGGGCCTTGCTGATGGCAGGCTGACTGCTGGGGCACCCCCAGACAGGCCAACGGAGCCAAGCCGACAGCCGGGAGAGAGGCCTGCTCTCCCACACACGTGGGAATGAGGGCTGCTGAGTCACTGCCCAGCTGGACGCAGCTCCCACTGAAGGCTGGAAGGAAGGCAGGAGAGTATTCCCAGCCAGGCTGGTGGCCTCAGGACACCCTGAAGTTAGCTGAGCCCTCTAAATGGGCCATGGTAGCCCGGGCTGCCCCTCGCCCTGCTGAACTGATGCATATTTGCCTCTTGCCGGCTTCTGGGGAGCTCCAACCAGGCAAACAGCCCTTCAGACAGGACATTGGATTAGAGGTCAGATCCCTGAACTTTGGAAAAAAACAATCCCAGGGCAAGTCACTTCATCTCCCATGTCCTCACCTTTCCTCTCAGTTACATGGTGAGGCCAACAGGGAATACGGGAAAGGTCTTCACAGGTTGCCCTGCATATAATAGGATTCAGGCAGGCTAATGGCTCTGCTCCAAGCCTTCCCCTGAGGAAGGGACAGCAGCCCGGCCCCCTCCTCCCCTGGCCTGCCACTGTTCCCCCCTTAGCCAGTGTCATCCCTGCCGTGTGCCCTTCAGAGCAACCAGGCCCCTCCCAGGGAGAGTTCCTGGGGAGGAGCTGGGGTCACCTCCCGACCCGGGCCTGGCCTGGAATCCACCTTTCACCTCGGGCAGTGGGCAGAGGAGGGCACTGGCCCTGCAGGCGGAGGCTTCTCTCCCCTCCAGCACCAGCAGCACCCGCTGGGAGGCCCAGGTGTTGTGCAACTTGAGAAGCAGCTAAGCCAGTGGACCACTCTGCCAGGACAAGAATCAACAGGAAACCTCCCCGCGCATCTCGTTCACATTCCAGGGGCACCGAGTCCAGCCCAGAGACACCGTAACAAGACACCACTCTGGCTGGCGTTGCCTGTGACACAAACCAATCTTTTATCTGCCATCTAAGCCTCCCAATTTGCATGCCAGTGACGTACCTTCCACCGCAGGGTGCTTTCCAAACCTTCTAGTGAGGCTGTGCCTCCTGAGCTCTGAGCAAACAGGGAGTAAGCGATCCTTTAGACACAGGAAGGCTTTGCTAATGATCGTCAGGCATGAGCCCTTCAAGGAAGGGACCCGTCTGTAGGCCCCAGCAGAGGACCTGACACCAGTGGGTGCCTAGGGAGCACTTAGTGGCAGTTCACTGAGCAAGCCACATCTCTGGGGATTAAAGAAAAGAAGGTGAAGCAGAATCTGGTTAAATGGGCCCATGTGTGCTTGGAGGAATCCCCCCCACCTCTCTCTCTCTATCACATATGCACGGGCCCTCCCCCTCCACACACGCATCACTGAGTTATTTCTCATGATTGGAGCATGATGCTGTGGCAATACGGAATTCAAGCCTTTTATCTCTCAGGCCCAGGATGGGAAAAGGACTCACTCAAAGTCACCCAGCAGATTAGTGACAGCACTTTTGATGTTTATTATTTTGTATTTTCCCATGTCCTGCCATTTCATCGCACAATTGTCCTCCTTCTCCATCCCACTCCCAGCCAAGTCCCTGCATCTGCTGCACTCGCCACTAGTTCCCAGTACTGTGTTTGAAATGCTTAGGGAAAGGGGATTGCTGGCAGAGGGAAGAGCACGTGCAAGCTCCCTGAGGCAGCAGGGAGCAAATGAGGTGAGCACCCCACTCCCGCCAGTGAGCAGGACTCAGAGAAGTGGGGGTCAGTGGGGGTAGGTGGGAGTCGGAATAAGATCCGACTTCATAAAGTTTGTTTCTGGATGTGGAGCTAGCAGCCCATGGGGCCAACTTGCTGCCTTCAGGCAGGTGAGTCTCCCTGCTTGTGACTAAGGAAGCTTCTGTAGTCCTGAGGCACGGAGGATCTGGGCATGAGCCTGCTGGGATGTGGGAAAGGGGCGTGTGAGAGAACCCACATCTCCTGCTTCCTAGGTCAGAGCACCAAGGAAGGCTTCCTGGAAGGGGCAGACTTTGTGTGGGGCCCAGAGGAGAGCTGTGTGAGCACCCTGGACAAGCTCTACGGATCTGGGTCAGGAGTGATGCAGGAGGTCACACCACAGGCGTCTTCCTGGACTGAGCACAGCTGCCCCCAGGTGTGCCTCAGGCACTGGGCCCAGCCTGACGTGTCTCAACAGGGTGGGGTTGGCCAGAGGCTGGCATGGGTGTGTGTTAGGGGAAACCAGCGGAGGAAAGGTGAGCCAGGGCTCCCTGACGTGACCTGAGAGATAACCCTGAGGTCAACCTGTAAGGGCCCCGGGGAGGAAAGGTGAAGGGAGCCTGGCGCCCTTGCTGGTTGTGAAATGATGACATCTGCTGTGGGTCTGGAACAAACACATAGTTTGCCACAGACCCTGATCCTTGGGGACCCTGCGGTCAGTGCAATTGGAGTTCAATACACACACGCACACACACACACACACATGCACGCATTGCGTACCTACTGTGGCCAGGCATTGTTAGAAGTGGTGGAGCCTCTAGGAACTCAAGAGTACAGAGAAGACCCATGCACTGCTCAGAGAACACAGGCAATAGAGTTTTGCTCGAGGAGTATTATTTTTAAAGTGCTACTGAAGCTCTCAGGAGGGAGAAAGGAATTCTGGTTGGAAAAGGCCAGGAGCAGCTCTGGTTAGATGCAAATGAGACATGAGTTGGGGCTGAACCATCAGGGTGGGGAGGAGGTGGGGTGGGGCAGGCATTTCTGGCAGTGGGAACAGGTTAGGCTCAGAGCATGGCGGAACAGGGAGGGGTCTTGTGTGCATGGAGCTGGAAACTGCGGTGAGGAGTGTGGGAGGTGAGGCTGTGCAGCTGAGAGGGAGGGTACCAGAGCTTTCTATTTTCCCGACATCCTCTGTTTTAGGCCAAGCCATCACACTTTTGGGATCCATAGCCTCAAGACTTCCACATCTGGGGAGGATATTCAGGGGTGGGCTGGATCCAGACTGTCATTCTCAAACCCAGGCGTGCATCCAAAACCCCAAGGGGTCCATTGAAACAGAGTCTCCCCCATATTCCCCCAGGGATTATGATTCAGTTGGTTGGGTGTAGGGCCTGTGAGTTTGCATTTCAAACTAGTTCCCAGGTGATGCCGATGCAGCTGATTGGTCTGTGGACCACACTTTTAGTAGCACCGGTCTAGTTTGCTCCCATGGGATCCCCTGGGCAGTTCCTGTTGGGAGGTCTCACCCCACTTAGCCCAGTTGTTTCTGGGACTGTCTTTGGGGCTCAGAGGCCTTGTGTGGGAGAAATGAAAGGGTACCCTGATTGTCCCCTTCTCCATGGCCCAGACCAGGCTGTGATACCCGGTAAAGCCCCAGGTCACTTCGTGGATCAGGAGCAGTGACAACCATGTGAGAATGAAGTTTTCTGGCACTCTGGGAATGGGGCAGAGGAGAGGAGCTCTGGTCCCCAGTCTCCCATCCAGAACACTGGCAGGGAGTGCTTCAAAACCGGGAGGAAGGAGCCAGGAGGCCCAGTCAATTCATATAGAGATGAGAGTGGGAAGAGGTGTGTATGTACATGCACACGTGCAGCCCAATACCCCTTGCAAAAAAGAACTCAGGGTTAGTTACAACCCTGGGCAAGTCTCTTCCTTTTTCTCAGGGTCATTTTCCTCCTCTGGAAAAAATAAGGGAGTTGGATTAGATGGTTCCTTCTGAGAAAGAGAGACCTGAGAGACTGTCCTGGTAACAACGTCATCATCTGATTAGCACTCAATTTAAAACAGCTAACAGACTCTCAAATTTTGCAAGCCTTGGCAATTACCGGGCAGAGCTGAAGCAGAAGCTTCGTCTGTGGGGACCAGCCCATCTATGAGGGTGTCATCAGCCACTCAGGGGACCTTCAGCATGAATAACATTGCCCCGAGGAAGTTTGTAATGCAAAACAACAGCAGCTCTTTCCCCAGCAGCTCCCCGATGGTCCTCAGAGGTGGTTTTCTGGAGTCCCTACCGGGCTAAGGGAGAGCTGTCTCAGGGGTTCTGCTGAAGCTGGCAGAGGCCGGCCCCTCTCCCCTCCCCACTTTCCCCCAGGGCTCTGCCCGCTGACACTAGTGCAATTACGGCAGCCTTCTGAGAGGCTGACAAAGAAAACGAAGGCTCTGAAACCAAGAGAAGGACCCCCAGAGAGCCCCCGGGCTGTGGAGGCGTCAGGAAGGGCAGACACAGGCGTGGCAGTCGGCCCTGGATTGAATCCAAGTTCTACTTTCATGAGCTGTGTGACCCTGGACAGCATACTTGACCTCTCTGAGTCTCAATTTTGTTATCTACAAAGACATCCTCTTGGTTGGTTTTGAGAATTGGCTAAAATGACAGAAATGCAATTATTTTGGAGAAACGAAAAAATTAAATCTACTGAAGCCTTCAACGGTGCCATGTTGTAGATGAAAGCTGTGGTTAAGGGCGTGGCATGTGGCATCTCAGACCTGAGTTTGGGTCGCAGCTACTTGCTGTGTGACCCTTGGAACCTCACTTAACCTCTCTGAGCCTTCATGTCTTCCTCTGTATAATGGAAATATTTATGGCATTTTCCACAAAAGGCTAACAGAATGAAAATTAAAAGAGGAGAGCATGTACAAACTGCCTGGCTCACAATAGTCCTCAAAAAGTTGTTCTTCTCATATTCCCCAGGCAGCCTCGCCTAGGAGAGAGGGTGGCACTGCCGTTATCCACAGCCAAGCGCCCGCCTCAGCTGTGTGCCACCACACCGCCCTGGGCAGGCCTGGCCAGGCTGAGGGGCACAGACAAGCCCACAGCAGGCTGCCCGCCCAGTGGTTAGCTCAGGAAAGCCTCAAATTATACAATTTATGAAACCCAATCCAGTTTTCCGACTGGAACGTGTGATTAGAGAGATTACACATTCACTGTTGCAATTATGGTAATGTTGATGTGTGGACAGATAACTGGCAGCAGGGCTGTTCTGAACTGTCTATTTATAGGCTGAAGATGCTTGCTATCTCAAGGCAGACATATGGGCCATAAAGGCAGGCGACAAAAAACAGGAGGGGGAGAGCAAGCCTCCCCCGGAATGAAAAGACACCAAAGGAAGCCATAATTAGGGCTGGGATCGGCTTATGTAAATCAGGTAATACTTTCAAAACAGAGATGAGATCTGGTTTTAATAAAGCGCATTGGAACAAATGGTGGAATAATGACTTAATAAATCTAAATACAAATATTTTGTTCCGTCTCCAAAATGAACAGCCCTGGCATCTGCCGAGCCTGGGCCTGGGCGAGGGGGCGGCACCGTAGTGTTACTGTATTCTTTCACTCCCTCAGCAGGCTCGAAGATTTTAATTTTTAGCCTTCTGCTAAATTACATGGGCTGTCAGTCAACTGTGGGAGATATTTTGAGTAGGGAGATTTATACAAACACACAGAGCACACTCGGAAGACTCCGCACAATATCTTTTACACCGGCCGGGATGTAAATCATAGGTTGTTGGGAACCCGATTACAGCTCTTCTGGAAATAGACTGCAGAGAAACCATTAGTAGCAGGAGGAATCTGGTGGCCCTCTTTGGTGCCCACTCACCCCAGTAGTAACCAGAGAAGCTCTTTGCTTGTTCTTTTTAGTACCTTTTCCCATGACTTCCCATCCCAACTCCATCCTCCTTCCCATCCCAACTCCAAACACACACACACACACCTGCGGGTTGGGTTTGGCCCAGGTGCTATGAGTTTGCAAACTCTATGCAAAGCCATGGCACACGGCCCAAACCCGACCCACAGGTGTGTGTGTGTGTGTGTGTGTGTGTGCGTTTTGCTCGGCTAAACAATGTTGGCCTGCACACAGGGCAATTTAAAAAAATTAATGAAGACATTTTGAAATCAAGACATTCCCCATAAAATGTATATTTCCAGCTTCTCCTGATAGATCTGAAAATCTAGCCAGCAACGTGCAGTTTGCTGTCCTGCGTGGTGACAGTGAGTGGAACTGAAGATGTCAGGTGAATGTGGCTTCCACTGCTCCTCACTGCCCCACAATCCCCATGCTCCACCTGCTTTACTTATGTTGTCTGCCTGGTCTCCAAGGCCATGACATTTTTGACCACTGGTATAAATTCATCCCTTTTTACACATGATGGTCTGTGGCTCAGGAAATGTATTTGAAAATCACAAATAATGTATGCATAAATCACTAATGCATATATTATTATGCACTCAAATCTGGGTTTATTAAATAAGAAAAATGAAGACAATATAATATATAATATTAACGTAAAATTAATGTCACAGATATATACGTGTGTGTGTGTATATATATGTGTGTGTGGGTGTGAATGGAGAGAGAGACAGGGAGAGAGAGAAGGGAGGTTTCAATGATTCTTGCTTGGGAAAGACTGCTCTTTATTCCATTCTAGTCTGTTTCATCTTTTTCAATAGATGCTGGTTGTTACACTGATGTTCTTAACTTGACAGAGTTAAAAGCTGGTAACTTTATGCCAGTCCCCTATATTTTACTGATCTGTGAAATCCCAAAGAATGGGTATTCCTTGCCCCAGTTATGAGATATTTGTGGATTCTCAGAATAGGAGGGCAGCTCTGAGGGCATCCGCTCATCATCCATCCATCCTTACATACATCTACCTGTGTGTCCCTCCATCCACCCGTTCACTGATACTTGTTCATCCATGTGTCCATACATTTGTTCAACTGTCCATATATACATACATACATCTGCTTGTCTATCTATCCATTCATACATCCGTTCATCTGTACATCCATCCTTCCACCTACCCATCTATACATTCACCCAACTGTCCAATGCCCAGAGCTCCCCTTCCTGCTAGTCTGCCCTCTCCAAGTAGATATCCAGTAAGTCTTCCTGTTCTGGGCAGCTCTGGCTGTTAGAGAGTTCTTCCTGTGGAAACCTGTGTCCTCACTGAAACACGTGTCCCTGTGACTTCCAGCTGTCAGTCTGCTTGAGGGCTTTGCAAATACTCAAACCTCATACCTCTGTCAACTCCTTAACAGAACTCTCTATCCTCCTTCCTCAAGCTTCATCGCTCATCAAAGGCCACAAGTCTTTTCTTCTCCTGGACAGATTCCTTGGAGCCCTTCCATGAATCCTTCTGTAACAGGAATTTGGAACTTCTTGGCCAGGCTCCCTGTTCTTCCTCATGATGGCATTTCACTGTGGGCCCTGAGCATCCCAGAGTTTAGTGGGCTCTCTGCTCTCTCACCATGGATGCTGTTTCTATGGCCTCATTTGGGGTCTGGATGTCCTCATCTCACTGGTGACATGTGGGTTGTCAGGTCCCCCAAGCCTGCTAGTTATTTTCACACATACCACTAATTTCCCATGTGGACATCAACAGTGACCATGGACCCAGCTGAAAAAGTGCATTTTTGGGGTTTTATTTTCCTGCCAGAAGGGATTAAAAGTATTTCCTCCTGTTAAACATTATTTTCAACCACTTGCCATCAATGTTAACATCCTCAACAAGACCTGGCTTTATGCAGCATGAACTGGTTGGCTTCCCTACAAAGAGGAATTTCTGGGTCTGAGAAGGCCTCTCCATGCCCCAACCCCCAATACTTCTCTTGTCTGCAGGTGAAGCTTGGCGTTTCCCCATTAGCACATCATTGATTTTGTAAGGCTTTGGGCCTGGTTAGGATACTCATGTGCCCTTGAATGGGAGGTGGGTTTACATCATGCTCTATTCTTGGTCATTTATGCCACGTGTGGGGACATGAAGGTTTTTAAGGTCAAAGTTTGATAGAAGGTGAAAGAGAGCCGCTAGGAAGGCCTGGTCTTGAGCTGGGGTGGGAAAATAGACAAAATGGAAAGCACAAAGTTCAACTTCACTCTTTTGCCTTAAATGAGGTTGAGATGGTTCTCTCAATACTCAGTGAATCTTATGCTTTTCAGTGCCCATTGTACAATGCCACCGCTTCTCAGAGGCTCTGCCTTCCTCACAGCATGCTAAGGTCCTTGGCTTCTCTTGTGTTCCTCTCTGAGCCCCACTCCAGGCCTGGTGCTCCTTTCTCACACATTCCTCGACTAGGACCAGATGATCCATGGAGACTCAGCCCTGGTCTTCCTATGGGCTGCACTCCGAGATGGGGGGACTCATCCACTCCGAATCACCAGCAGCTACCTCGGGGCCCCCTGCGACACTGATGAGCCAACCAGCGTGTTTGTTTATGTGCCCACAGTAGTGGGAGGGCCTTTTGTGAAGGGGAGAGGCAGCTTGGCATTACTAGAAGGACATGTTCAGACACCCAAGGATGTGTGTGCCAGGACCAGAAACACTTCCCTTCCTGGGAGACAGGAAGGGCTGGTGGAGGAGTTGGAACTGCTGGAGGACATTCCAGGCACAGCATGGGATATGACTTGTGAGCGGGATGGAGCTCAGTGACAGGAAGGAGGTTGCCACAGTCGATTTTATGTATCAACTTGACCAGACCAAGAGATGCCCAGATAGCTGGTAAAACATGATTGCTGGGTGTGTCTATGAGGGTGTCTGGAAGAGATTAGCACTGGAATCCATAGACTGAGTAAACATGATTGCCCTCACCAATGCAAGTGGGCATCATGAGGGCCTCTGAGAACCTGTTTACAACAAGAAGCAGAGGAGGGGCGAATTTGCTCTCTGGGACATTCCTTTCCTCCTGCCCTCATACAACGGTGCTCCGGGTCCTCAGGCCCTCAGACTCAGTCTAGGACCAACAGCATCAGCCCCACAATTCTCAGGCTTAGGACTCAAACTGGGACTTACCCCACTGGTTCCCTTCTTAGGCCTTTGGACTGAGATTGAATTACTTCACTGGCTTTTCTTGGCCTCCAGCTTGCTGACAGCAGACTGAGGGACTCAGCCTCCCTAGTCACATGAGCTGATCCCTCATCATAAATCTCATTTTGTATATCTCTATACATCCTACTGGTTCTGTTTCTCTGGAGAACCTGCTAGCACAGAGAGAGATAGACAGATGGGGGAAGTGATGGTGGGAAGGGTGGCGGTGTGGAATGGGTCTGAGTGAACTAGCAGGTTCACAACAACTATTAATGATGACTCTTGTATCTCAAGCACTTCCTATGTGTCAGACACTGGGCTGACTGCTTAATATAAATAATCTAATTTCACCCTCCCTGCAGATGCTTAGGAGTGACAGGATGAAACTGATTTCCTCATTTACTTGGGAATATTCACATAGTAAGCTGCTCTACCTTCTTCCAATAGAGAATTCTGAATATACCCTCTGAGCTTACCTCCTCCAACCTTCTCCTAAAGTGGAGGGAGGGGTAGGGAAGGGGAGGAGAAGAGTCCTGTGCACATGGCACTGCGGGGAGCACTTCATGATCACACTGTGTGAGATGTTTCAGAGCAACTGGGGAGATGGCAAGAGGATTGGGGAGTGAAGAAAGCGATTTTGCGGGGGAAAGTTATTGTGTATAATTTGAGAGTTTCTAGTAAAAATGGAATTCCTTCTCAATTATTTTTGGCTGCAGAATTGGACTGGACCACATGGGGCCCTGAATTTATAAAGGTTACATAGTTGTGATTGTCTTTATTTATAGATGAGGCAACGAATGCTAAGAAAAGTTAAGTGATTTCCTCAAGACCACGCTGCTAGAAGCGATGAAGTCAGGACTTGAACATGGGCCGCCTGCCTCTGCGCAATGCACTTGCTCTCTCTGCTGCATATTTCCCGGGTCTAAATAAGTGAGAGAAACATTTCCTCATAGACATTTAGACACAGAAAAGACACAGAGCCATCCCTCCCAACTGTTTGATCAGTAGAGAAACCAAGGACCAGAGGAAGGGAATGACTGGCCCAAAGTCAGATGTGGAATGCGACCTCGGATGGACCCCAGCTTTCTGCCCCAACGAGTGTGATTCTCTGTGCTGAGGGCTTACCATGAAGCAGACACTGTGCCTAGGGCTTTACAAGCAACATCTCTTTAATCTCTAACAGTTCTCAGAGGCAGGTGACACTATCCCCAATTTATAGAACAGGAAACCTAGTGGCTTGCCTGCATTCATACAGCTCAGAAATAGCAAGGCTGGAATTTGAAACCCAGCCTCTTTGACTCAAACCCACGCTTATCAACAGCTCTTTCTCCCCCTGGCTTTCTTGCTTATGGTTACTAACATAATAGAATGCTTTTGGTTCTCTAATTTCAATGTCTAAAACAAAATTATACTCTATTTATAGTCAGGTCAAACATCTAGGTAGAAACAAACACTTTTCATGCAGAATTTGAAATTGTTTGTAATTATTTTCAGAGAGGAAGGATGGGGAAGGTTGGGGTGTAGACAGGGCGAGGGACTAGCCTGCTGGGTGAGGTTTCTCAACCAATGATGCAGAACTGGACAGAGAGAGGCCTCTGGGAGTTATTTGTTTCTTCTTCTCCCACTGGAATCATGTTGACAAATTCATTCCTACTGTAAGGTGGGTGATTGACCTCTGCTTTACCCTGAGGATGCTGGACACCAATACTGACACACATGTGCATGAACACATATTTTATTTATTGAACTGTACCATGCACAAAACAGCACATAGACATGTGCTCACCACACATAGGCCATTTCATTGCCTCATCTCTGAAAGAGCAGATAGGCTGGATGAGCTCACAAAAAGCTCCCAGCTAAGGTGGGAAGGGATGTGCCTTTAGACAGGGGTAGATAAAGGGAGAGAGAAGGCTCAGAGGACCAAGTCATCATATCCAGCTGAGAAATCTGGAGGACTTCCTGAAGGACGTCAGATTTTTTATCAGGGCTTTAGAAGAAGAGAAATTCCTTGGCTGTCAGAGATGGGGAGAGGTGGATAGTGCAGATTTAGGGATTCTCCATGTATGTGTATATTTCTTCCTTTAAAATATTTCCTTCTCTATCTTCCAGTTAAAAATCCATCAACAAAATTCCTTCAAGCGCTTTTGTCATCCTAAATTCTCTGATCTTTTTTTTTCCTTTGCTGAAGTTTATTGTTGATTTCTTGTGAAATAAATCATAATTGCCTACTGTCACAACATGAGAAGCACTTGACAGGCATCTATCCTGAGATATCACTCAATGTCTGTCTCAGCCAGCTGGCTCTGGGGCTGGAGTAGGCGAGGGGAAGAGTCCAGCAGCCAGGCCCAGGGTCCCACGGCCCCCAGATCACCCCCCATCATCAGGCAGGATAGTCCCTTCCCCCAGCATGCCCTGCAGCAGGGGAACAGACGTGTGCTACAAAGGCGGTTGACAAACTCCCACTCCTAAAAAAAAAGGCTATTTGAACAGCCCAAATTCCCATTCTCCTTCTGGGCAATTGGCAGTTTGTAAACCCCAATCACCAGATGACAAATTATTATAGGGAATGATCAATACATTTTTCAGTAGAGTTGGCATTTGGGGAAAACAGACTGACATACAAAGAGACAGTCTTGGAAGTATTAATGTGCAGAGTCTACCAATTAATCAATAAGTAAATATTTCTTGAGTGCTTATGTGGATAAAAAGGAAGCATTGTGCAGTAATTAAAAGGGCTGGCTATGAAGTCAGATGGATCTGGGTTTGAATCCTTGATCCACACTTGTGAGGTGTAACCTTGGGCAGGTTGCTTAACCACTGTGCACCTCAGTTTTCTTGTTTATGTGAGGATGCTATTACTGCCTACTTTCTGGGATTGTTGTCAGGATTAGACAAGATAATGGGCTTGCATTACAATGTAGCTACAGGAAAGGATTTTAATTCTTCCACCACAAAGTAATGATAAAAATTTGAGGTGATGGATATGCTAATTAGCCTGATTTGATCCTTTCATAATATATACATGTATCCAAATATCACATTGTACCTTATAAATATATACAATTACTACTTGTCAATTAAAAATAAGATAAAACATTAAAAAATATAATGTATATAAAGTTGGACAGTTCCGGGCATGTGATGGGCTCAGTAAATGCTGCTGCTGTGGTCGATGTCACTGTACCTGCGCTCCAGGGGATGTTCAGGAGAGGACAGAGTTTGCAGCCTGCCAAAGTCTAAAATCAAACTGGAGAGACCAAACGCTGACATCACAGAAAATGGTAGAAAGCATCAAGTCAGAAATGTTTTGATTCTCATTGTGGATGCAACAGAAGCTTTGGAAGCAGTTGCTCATTCTGTGTGGCTGGATCGATCAGGGGAAGCTTCTGGAGAAAGCAGAGACTGACTGGGAGGATCTTGAAGGAAAACATCCATTGAGTACCTGTGATGGGTTGGCTGCTTTCAGGAGCTCTTCAAGGGAAGTATTCTTCAATCTCCAACTCACCCATGGGGAAGCTGAGGCTTAGAAAGGTTGAGTCAGAGAGTTAGGAAACAGTGGGGTCCTGGTCAATGAGTTTATGGGGTTTCCATGATACTCTACGCTGGTGTATAGGGTGCAGGAGAAGGCATCCAGATCAAAAGTCTTAGCATCATCCTTTTCCTGTTGCTACCACCTTGAGGCAAGCCAGCACCATCAGCTCTCTGCCCTGGGTTCTTGCAGTGGCCTCCTGGATCTACCTCAGCTGCCCAATCTTAACAGAGCAGCCAGAGTAAGTGTACAAGTTGGGTCCTGGAACACTCAGAAGAGGAGCGTTTCAAAGAAGACTCCATTAGCCAAGAAACCAGCCAGGGATGGTCAAGCTCCTGGGGCAACTGGGACCCAGCAAGAGCTGGAGCTGTCAGAGGGGCCACCCACAGCAGCTGTGCCTTCAGTTGAGAGACACTGCCACCACCAAGACAATAAGCACCCCAACTGTTCCCTCCCCATGCCCTCCCATCTCCTGCCACAGCTGCCCCTGGCTGAACCCAGCTGGAAGCCAGAGGGCAAAGAAGCTTGAATAGTATTGTCAAAGCAAATTTAATAAGACGTTAAGGAAGCTTAAGCCGCAGGCCTCTCACTTGCAGGTTTTTGTTTGTTCGTTTTGTTTTGCTTTAATTTTTTAATTTTTTATTTTTTATCTTTTTTTGAGCTGGAGTTTCACTCTTGTTGCCCAGGCTGGAGTGCAATGGCACAATCTCAGCTCACTGCAACCTCCACCTCCCAACCTCAGGTGATCCACCTGCCTCGGCCCCCCAAAGTGCTGGGATTACAGGCATGAGCCACCATGCCCAGCCCACTTGCAGGTCTTTTACTTGTAATTTTGTATTCTTTGTTTCTTTTTTCTTTCTTTTTCTTTTTCTTTCTTTTTTGGAGATGGGGTGTCACTCTATTGCCCAGCCTGGAGTGCAGAGGCGTGATCTTGGCTTACTGCAACCTCCACTTCCTGGGCTCAAGCGATCCTCCCACCTCAGCCATCCAGGTACCTGGGACTACAGGCATGTGCCACCATGCCCAGCTAGTTTGTTTGTTTGTTTGTTTGTTTGTCTGTTTTGTAGAGACAGGGTTTCACCATGTTGCCCAGGCTGATCTTGAACTCCCGGCCTCAAGCGATCCACCTGCCTCAGCCTCCAAAAGTGCTGGGATTACAAGTGTGAGCCACCACACCCAACCTCTTTTTTTCTTCTTTAAAACAAGGCCACACAAATTGTCTAAACTTTAAGCCTCCCAAAATCTGGATCTGCTCTGGGATGTAATTGTCTCAGATCCATCAGTCTCCTGGGGCTCTGAGCAAGGTAGAAAGGATCTGATGAGCAGTGGGAAATTTTCGATCGGGACCTTCTTTTAAAAACCCAAGTTGTATCTTGCTATTTCTCTTCTTAAAACCTTCTAATTATTACTTGGAAAAAGCCAAGGACCTTACTATGCCTACTAGGCCCTACATGGCAGAGTGGTGTCCTCCTTTCCCCTCCTCCCCGAATCCCTCTTGCTCATACAGCCCCCACCATGCGGGCCTCCTCGCTTTTCCCCAGTGAGCCAGACATGCTCCTGGATCCTCGCTCTACCCGCAGCCTGGAGTTCTCTTTCCCAGCTTGTGCTTACAGCTTTCAACTCTTGGTTCTAATGTCATCTTCCCAGGGAGCCTTCCCTGACCTCTGCCTTGAAATTGGGATGCCTCATCCCTGCTTTATTTTTCTCCACAGCACTCACCATCTTCTAATTATTCCATGTACTGTATTTATTTGTTTTGTTTCTTACCTGTCTCCCCTCACTCCATTGTCGGCTCAAGGAGGGCAGAGATTTGTCTATTTCATTCACTCCTGCATCCCCAGTGCCTGGAATAGTACCTGGCTCATAGTAGGCACTCCATAAATGGTAGCAGAATCAGTAGGTGCTCAGTAAATGCTGGTTGCGTAAATAAATAGACTGATGAAGGAGGGACAATGAGACAAGTTTCTGGGTCTAATAGGAGAACAGATGCACCAGACCCAGGGCTTTCAGTGCAGCAGGACTCCTGATCTTGTGGCTGGAGTGCCACAAAGGGCATGTGGGGGAAGCCCAGGGCTCCGGCTCAGGCAATTTGTCACTGAAGACTGGGCCTTCTCTATCAGCGCTTCTCAGACTCACCCATGCTCTGGGGGTGGTGCCTCAGGGAAGAAGAGGGAGTCCACCTGCTCCAGGCAGAACAGATCTGTTTGGACTTGTTTTATATGTAAGGTTTTCAAGAACTGTTTTATTTGAAGAAAGATCTCTGGTTCAGAAAGGATTGAGCCCTCCATGATGCCTTGTCATTTCTTGAAGAGGGTGTCCCAAGGTGAGGACATGGCACGAACAAAAGCCTGAAGGGGAGGCAGGGGAGAGCGAGTAAAGCTTCCCGGTGTGGCCGAAGCCTGTGGAAAACCCAATTATGGGGATGGCAGGCTGAGCACGGGCCTCCAATGCCAAGGAGTTTGGACCAGATGCAGAAGGCACTGAGGGGCTGTGTGGATTCTTAAGGAGGGAGACGTGGCAGAAGCAGCTGCTTGGGAAGACAGGGCTTGGCATTGCTATCCAAGATTGGATATCCAGCCGAGAGGACAGGGGAGGAGCTTAGAAGCAGTGAGGGATGTAGGGGACAGCAGAGGTAATGGGGAAGAAGGGGCCCATCAGTATTTCCAAGGACTCCCCTAAAGGTGCTTCAGAGCCCCCTGGTGCCCAGACCTGTACTGGGCTGTGTCTTTTGGATTCTGCTCCATGCTTGGTATCACCTGCCTTTCCCTCGCTTCTGAATATTGAGCAAACAGAGGTAAGACCAGGGCCAGGATTAGAGCATGCCTCATGCACAAAACTTACAAGGAACCAGAAAAATTTAGTGATCAAGAAAAATAAAATTTAAGTGAAAAATTTTAAAAACATCACAATTAATGCAAACAAAATATCAAAATTTCAAATAAAGACAGGGATCAGAAGAAACCAAGATGTCCTTCAGTAGGTGGAAGGATGAATAAACTGTGGTACATCCAGACAATGGAATATAATTCAGCCATAAAAAATGAGCTCCCAAGCCACAGAAAGACCTGGAGGAACCTGAAATACACATTGCTAAGTGAGAGAAGCCAATCCAAAAAGTCTACAGACTGTATGATTCCAACGATAAGACATTCTGGAAAAGGCAAAACTGTGGAGACAGTGAAAAGATCAGTGGTTGCCAGGGGTTGGGAACAGGGGAGAGGGGAAAGAGATGAATAAGTGAGATCAGGGGATTTTGAGGGCAGAGGAACTATTCTGCATGATGCTATCATGGTAGAGGCGCATCATTATAAATTTACCAAACCCACAGAATATACAACACTAAGAATGAACCCTAATGTAAACCGTGAACTTCGGTTACTACTAAGGTATCAATACTAGTCAATACTATTGATATTAATCAATATCAATTCTAATGTGTCAATGCATACATTACAATACATTCATGAATTGGATGCATTCAATTGGATGCATGGGAACTCTGTATTTCCCATTTAATTTTTCTGTAAATTTGAAACTGCTCTAAAAGAATTGTCTATTAATTAAAAAAAAATCAAAATTAAAGCAAAAAGGAATCCGTGATGAATAAAATATCAAAATTTCAAATAAAGATAGGACCGCTGGCCAGGATTAAGGTGAGAGAAGTGAGGCACTTATTTTCAAACCTGTGCAAGTACAGGGCCCAATTCTGCACTTCCTGAACTGCAAGAGCCTTTAGAAGCCTCCTAGTCCAATCCTTGTCTTTTACTGATACAAGGGATGCTGAGGCTGGGAGAAGGAGGGAGGGTTGCCAATCTCACCTGGTGAGGTTGCTGGAATCCTGGGTCAGAGCCACCCTCCAGCCCGGTCCCAGTCCTGCGCTCCCTGCTGCAGGTGGGTGACTTACTGTCCCATGCACCCTGTGTGGCCATGAAAAGGAAGGAGGAGGCTGAAGCTTAAATGACCCCTTGATCAAGTGCCAAATGACCTTGGATCTCACCAAGTGTTCAGGGGTTGCTTTATGAGAAGGCTTTCTTTGTGTCTCTCTTGGATATCACATCATAAATGGAGAAGTGGGACCAGTCCCCACATTCAGCACGTGGGCTGGGTGGGTCCTGACATCTTCCTGGGCTCTGCCCAAGCCAGACACTCCACGCTCCTGGGAAAAGCACCAAAAATGCTGCCTTTCCACTTCTTCCTCTCAGACTCCTAATGATCCGTTTCCAGCCCAGCCGAGAGCCTTCCCACTCTCAGAACGGAACAGTCCGGATGTTCAGAGGACACGCTTCCCCACTTGACGCTCACTTAGGGCACTCTTCAAGCAGACGCCTGACTCAAGTGGGTCTCTGGACTTCCCCTTGACTCATAGGGGCTTCCTTTCCATCCAGGCCTGTGCGAGCCGGCCTCCTGTGCCAGAACACTCCCCGCTCTTCACAGACATGGAAGCCAAGAGGGGCTCTGAGGGCAGCTGGGCCTGACCTTGACTCCCGAGGGTCAGGAGGACGAGGCAGCAAACGCAGCCATTAGCTTGCCCACCTCCAGAGTCCTCCAGGGATCTGAAGAAGTGGCCTAGTCATGCCTGCTTGGTGTGATGGGCCGTGTTTCCTCTGATGAGCCTGTACCATGAAGGTCAGATTAAGGGGAGATTACAGGAGGATTCAGCCACGGCCACTGAGGTTGAGGATGGGCAGGAGACCCGCATGTCAGAGAGCTCAGGGATGGCGCTGCAGGGGTGGGAGCTAGACTTAGATGGCAGGAGCAGTCAGATTTGGAGAGGAAGACACAAAATATGCAAAGACAGTTTGGATTCTGAAGATTACAGGGGTGACAGGAAAGGGCCCTGAGCCAGGGGAGGGAGAGGAGGTGGATCTGGGGATTTCCCTTGGCGAGGACAATGGATGCTCTCTGACTTTGGAGATAACAGAGGATTCTAGGTGCAAAGAGCCAAATATGCAAACGAATGTAAAAGAAGAGGTGGGAGGGGCCCGGGAGAAAGGATTTCTAAAGGCATCCATCTCCGGGTCGGTCCTGCAGGCAAGGTGCGGGAGGCGCTGACACACGAGCAGGACCCTTGCTGGAGACCAGGCTCCCTGGCCGGCTGGTGTTTCTCAGCTGTGAGGCACCTGCTGTTCATTCTTGCTGTTTTCGTAAGCCCCACTATCTTATATTTGCTCAAGCAAGCTTTCTTGCTGACACAGAGGGTAGGAGACAGTCCATAAGGTGTGATTCTGTGGGCATCACCTTAAAGACCATCATAATGACTTGGAGTCTGTAGGGTGGGTGACGGTCCCTGCTGTAGAGAAGAAGAGGCCAAAGTGCTGGGGTGTGCGTGGCTTGGGGTCAGAGAGGTCTGGAATGAAGCACCAGCTTGCCCCTGTGTGACCAAAGCCCCCGGCCACATCCCATCTTGGTTCCCCTGTTGCTCATTGAACTAGATTCTGTTTTAAATGGTAAAATCCAGAGAAAGTAAATAGAATACAACCAGGAACATCACTGGCAGCCCCACCCTACCACCCAGATTCCCTGAGCATTCACATTCAGCCTTATCTGCTCCAGCCTGTCTCGGCTTTTTTCCTCCCCTTTCCGGGTGGGGTTGAAGGTCCCTGTGCATCCCCCACTGCACATCCAGGTCCCCACCTCCCTCCTTGGAGTTGGCTACTGGGCGGGCTGAAGCAGGTACGAACTGCCCCTCAGCTCTGACAGCCGTGAGTCAGCTGAGATTGCCGCTTCTTCAGTCTCCCTTTAGAGGCTGTGGACACAGGGGCTTCCATAGCAAGCTCCAGCCCCAGGGCCCTTCCATCCTTCCCAGACATCTCCTGAGGATAGAGGCCAGGTCCCCTGTGTCTTGTGTTAACCTCCCTGCTCCATGGAGGCCTAACACACAGTCTGTGTGTCATGGGTGTGGTTGGATGACTTTGGCTGAAGGCCCCACTCTAGGCCCCTCCCGACTCCCTTTCTCCAGAGCTTGGCCCCAGGCTGGCTGCAGCGGGAATTGATTTCAGGGCCAACAGGTAGCAGCTCCTAAATGTCGGTTGCTCCCCTAATCCTGTCTCTGCAGTTCCTAGGTTACTGACACCCTCTAGGTTTATCATCCCTTTTCCAGAGAAGGTGTGGGTTTATTCTTCTAGAGCCCTCAGATGTCTTAATACGGTACATGACTTGTAAAGTTCACACAGCAGAGACCTCACACACCGGGAACTTGGCTTCCAGCCAAGGGCTGAGCCAGGACCTGGAATGGTGGGTCCCATATGTGGGGTCTAAGTCAGGCCACATGAGCTGGGAGAGCCCAAGGGACAGCCAGTAGGGACCCAGGGTCATTGCTAAGTGAAGCCAAGGTCCTGGGCAAAGAATTTCAGCACACCTGGAGGCCTCTTTAGGTAGCACAGGGCTCTGTTTCACTGCTAGGGGAAGTGAGGCTCATGCCAGCGCCATCCACTCATGTCTTTGCTTAGATAAGAAGTCAGGGCTGCTTCTCCCGCTAAATGTCAGTCTCCCAAGCTGCCTTTCTCGCCTCTCATTTTTTGTCCTTAAGTCACGAGGACAGGATTCGCTGAGGCCCTGACTAGCTGTGACCCCGAGGATGATAGCCAGGCCACATTTGCTCTCTGATCAGAGGGAAGGATGATCCCTTCCCAACCTGGTCCTGCCACAGGGTGGTCAGGAGACACATAAGAGATGAGGTGTGTCACCCTAGGGGTGCTGTGCAGGCAAAGAGGATTAGAATTATTGCCCCCACCGTTGCAGGAAGACAGGCTCCTGGGCAGGAATGTTGTGAGCTCCAGGGGCACAGTGAGCAGGCCAGCCTGCAGGCCAGGGGTTTTCTGGGTAGTACCCAGGGAAGGACTAGGGCCTGGGGATCTGAGCAGGGTCTGCATTGCCCAGGTTTCTGGGGACCTGTCTGATGCCACCGCACGGAGCACTGGAGAGCTAGGCCCAAGCCCAGGGGTGGCCTGTCCCAGCAGCTACCTAGACCACTTGGAGAGGCCAGGAACCTCTGGGCAAGAAAACCTGATGAGATCCAGTTCAGGGCAAGGGCGGGGCAGGCACCGGGGTAGGGGGACAGGGATCTGCAAAATGTTAAGGGACCTCCTAGGGTGACCAGCTCTCCCGGTTTGGTCAGGACTGAGGAATCTCCTGGAATGTGGGACTTTTCTTGCTAAAATGAAAACAGTTCCAGACAAACTGGGATGGTTGGTCACCCTAAGGCCACCATTGCCTGGCCATTGTTTCCTTGGAGACGAATCACTGACTGGTTAGGGGAGCTGGAGAGTTTGGGGGGAAATGCGCACATCTAGCCTGCCCCTTCTGGCTCTGGCCTCCAGCCCTGCCTGCCTGCCTGCAAGGAGGGGCCTTCTGGCCTCTTGTGGGCCTTGTGATCAGATCCTGTTAACTGGGCCAGAACTACCTGGGCAGTGGGGAAAGGGGCTGAAATTTCTTAAGGCTCATTCAGGAGGAAGAATCAGGAAACCCACTGATCCCCCCCTGCTCTAAGCCAGGACCTCAGATCCAGCTTTGGACATAAGGCTGACATTTTCATCTCCATTGTCTGCCTCCTGGACTCTCTCTTAACTAGGTTCTAGACTTGGAAGGAGAGAGGGGTATTATTTGTTGGCCTCCTTGACCTTCCAATTGGCACAGAGTGGTAGGGGGTGTGGAACAAAACACTCAGGCCTCAGAAAGTTGTGTGAGTGACAATGGACTTGGGCAGTGGTGATACAGTCTCACCAAGAGGCAAGATTACAAGCCTAGGAGCATCCAGTGCAGCCCAGGTCAGGCCCACAGTTAGCATCTAATACATGGGAGCCACTATTATTATTCTTGCTATTGTAATTAGACTACCGGCTTTTACAGCGTTTTCATACTCATCACCTCAAGGCTTTCAGACAGCCCCAGGGAGTAGGTGGGAGGACATTTCTTTGTCCATGTTTGCCAGTTGAAGAAACAGGCCCAGAGAGGGCCCGTGAAAATCAGTGGCAGCCCCCAGGTCACAGTCTGGGGCTCCTGGCTCCAGGGCTGCCACAGCCTGTCTGGGCTGTGTCTGGCTGGAGGATGTCAGGGTAGGGGGTCAGGGTGTGAGTGTGTGGTGGGAGTGTCGGGAATAGGAGAGAGGGAGAGGGCATGGGGATGGAGAGAGAGGGAAGAATGGGGGGGGCTGCCGTTTTAGAATCTATGGTTATATTGAATTAAGATGTTTCAGTAAATCTTTAAGAATGAACGTGTGAGGGGCGTGGCTAAAATGAAGGGCCATGGCTAAGCTGAAAGCCAAGTGGGCCGGGTTGAGGAAGAGGCTGAGTATTGACATTTTGCAGTGAGCAGCCCCTCTGCCCCTCTTCCTAAGGGAGCCAGTGTGGAACAGAAGACAGAGTATGCTTCAGTGTCACAGAGACTCAAGTTCGAGTCTTAGCCTGGGTCACCGAGGAGCTCTGTAAGCTTAGGCAAGTGAGCCTGTGTCATCTCACCCTTCTGGGCCTCAGTTTCCTCGCCTGTGAAGTGGGGACATTCGAATCTACCTCTTAGGGTTGTTGTCAGGGTTACAACATCTGGCACATAGTCAGTGCCCAACAGAATGGGTCCCTTTTGCACATGGCTCACGTGTCCTCTTGTGAGCTGGAAGAGGCCCCGCTGGTTCTATAAGGTAATGGAACCTGCCCTTCATGCCATGGCGTGCCAGGTAGGCTGATAACCATGGAGGCACGATCTTCAGTGGGGCCTTCATACTCAGGAAAGTTTTAAGTATTAATACTCATGAATGTTTTGGTCTAATACTTAGCTTAGTCAAAGAGAATTGAGGGAGAAAGTGTGGTGCTCTTTGACTTCGGGAAAAACAAGTTGCCAAGGGCTATGCCAGGGCTGGGCTGGGTGGCCTTAGCAGAAAGGACAGAGTCGCTCAGTCCTGCTGTCCCTCCTTCCTGCAAGGCTTGGATTTTTCCCCTCCACTCCCTGTGCTTCCCTTCACTTGCTACATGGCCTCCTCCCCCAAAAAGGGGGAAGGCTGGATCCTGAAGCAGGGAAGTCCAGCTGGGGAAACAATCCATTAGGCAGATGAAAAGACATTTTTCTCCACTGCTGTTATACTGTCCGCCCCAGACAACACACTCATTACAGTTATATCTCATTCAGCTCACCTAGAGAATAAAATTAGAAATCAAGTCAACTCCCCAAAGTCTTGTTATATCAATCTGACTTACACAAAACAGGCCAGACAGAGTGTGAGGTTTCCATAAAATTAGGCTGTCTCCCCAGGGGCTGCCTTGAAGCTACACAACATTTCAGAAAACTGCCAGGCGCCCTTTTGCATAATTTATCAATTACACACAATTCAATTTATCACAGGCAGGAGGCAGAAGGCATGGCTTAGGATGAAGGGGACCCTGGGAGCAGCGAGTGGAGGAGAAAGGAAATCTAGATTTGAAAGTCCACCCCGACGCTGATTGGTTGAATGAGCTTGGACAAGTCCTTTATCCTCCTGGGATGCCACTTACCCCAACCACAAAACAAGGGGACCTAAATGTTTTTTATCCCATTCTAGAATTAGTTTGAATGCTGAAGTTCCAGATTTGTAGAATCTGAACACCGTGGTGGGAGGAGATGCCCAGAGCATGGGCCCTGCCTGGCAGGGCTTTGGAGTGTTCAGTGACCCAGGTTGGCACAAGGGTGTGGATGGTGCCCAGGTGGCAGGAGATCTGGAAGCCACACGTAGGTCTACTTGTCCAATTAGCCTAGTAGTTGCCATGCTTATAATGCCACTTCTTACATCTGTCTATCACATTAACTTCCTGGGCCACCTCCACTTTATTTCAATTGCTGCTCATAGCTCCCTGGGGAAGTGGGCTGGGCTGACACGGGCAATCCTGCTTTCTGATGCATGCTGAGGCAGGTGCCTGGGGAGCAGGAGTGATGTGCCCACAGCCACTGAGACCAAGTACCATTGATCCTGTGGCATCTCTCCATCCCCACCACACAATTCCTCTCTCTCCTGGACCCCACTGCCCCTGGAGCACACTTTTTCATGGTACAAACAACACTTGTTATAATTGGCTACTTGACTACCTGAGGGCAGAGAGCAGGGCTATTTCTCTGTCTCCCAAGCACTCGGTCAAGGACCTTCCCCAATTGTGGATGCTCAGGAAGTATTGTGAGATGAAGGAATAAATGAGTATTAAAGACACAAAAGAGATCGCTTGGGAATGCCAGTTTCCTCACTCCCTGTCCAGTACTCCTGGCTCTGGGACCTGGCAAACCATTTACTTGCCCCTGACTTCTATGGCATGATTGAAGGCCCATTTGCAGGCTCAGATGCATGTAGTTCTGAGCCACTAGAGAAGGGACAAGACATCTTTCTCCAACCTCAACCCTACCATCTTGGAAGCCTACACTTGGCCATTGTGTTCACAGCAATAGAACTTGTGAGACAGCCATATTTGACCCTACTCCTGACCAGTCTCCAAATCTGCACACCCTATAATAAGTCACCGTTCTGACACATTGTCCTGTAAGTTTCCAAGTGCCATCTCACTCCATCTCTCACTTCGATCCTTACAGGATCATGGCAGGCAGGTATGTAGGTAGGCAGGGATTGTCAGCCCACTTTAAGGATGAGAAGACCAGAAAAGCAGAGTGACTTGTTGAAGGCCACACAGCTTGTGACAGAGCTGAGACTCCAACCACACTACAGATGAAGGACAGAGACTCAGACAGAACCAGTTATTTGCCCAAGGCTCACAGCTAGCAGGTTGTGAGGCTCAAGCTCATACCTATGCTTTCTGATTCCAAACCAATTGTTCAATACCTCATTGCTGGCTGGCGTTTTTGTTTTTTGTTTTATTAAAGCATTGAAAAGAATTTGTAGATCTCCCCCAAGAGTAGTTCTCTACTGCAAAAAGATCAGAGTGGGATTTCCTAACAGAACAGGAACCCACTGAGCCACTGAGACTAAACCAAAGGCAATTTTGCTATGCTGAAGTATCTACTAAATTATCTGCCTGGCAATTATCAGCTCAAATAATGAAACCTAATAGGTCCTCATTATTGTCCTGGAGGAGGGCCACGGTGCGAGAGAAAGGATGAAGTCACAAGGGGGCCTATGTGTTGTCCCCGAATGGAGGGTCAGAAAGGTCAGGGGTGGGTTATGGGTGGGAGGAAGCTGGGGGAGCCTCCAGCCTTTTACTGAGAAGGCTTCCTGAGAAGGCTCTGGAAGCACTCAAGGGCTGCTTTTGTTCCTGGTCTTGGAGCGTGCAGGCAGCTTTCTGGGGCAGTGTGTGCAACTCTTGCTCAGCTTGGCCCCTCGGCCTGTGTGTGTGAGAGCTGAAAGGCTTAACCAGATGAGGTAGTGCCAGCCCCGCTTTGAGATGTCTTTGGGGAAAATGTTTGCTGCTATTGTCTGGAAGCAAAATCCTTAGCCACTGTTTTCTCCAGCCTCCACAGAAATTAAAGCCAGGAAGCTAAGCGGTGGGTGATTACGGGGTTCAACTTGCTTATTGACAGCCCACAAAGGATTATCATGGGGCTTCTAGGCAAAGCCCACAGAGGTTTGGCAGTGCAGTGGCTGCTTCCCGGCTTTGCACACTGCTCTCCAAGAGCACCACCTCCTCCAGGCTCCACCCTGTGGGCTGGGGCGCCCCTGCCCTCCCAAGCCACAGGACGCTCACAGGGACCAACAAAGGCAAAGCCCTTTGTGAAGGGTGTCTGCAAGGGGTGTGGAATGAGCAGGGAGAGAAAAATGCCCACCCCATGGTACAGAGTGCAGATATTTTAAGAGGTCTTGTTGAAGAGGGATCACTTAGGTGAGTTGTTCAAGTAGTGAAGGCCAGGGGTTAGTCAGCAAACTATAGCCAAATCTGCCTGCTGCCGGTTTTTATAAATAAAGTGTTGTTGGGTACCGCTGTGCCCATTCCTTTACAGGTGGTCTATGGTGGCTTTCAAGCTACAACACCGTGTCCACAAGGGATTGTTTTCAGGAGCCCAGTGGAGGCCAAAATCTGTGAATACTCAAGCTCTGCATGGGCCCTGCAGAACCTGCATATATGAAAAGGCAGCCCCCCTTACGCTAGGGTTTTGCATTCTGCATACACTGTATATTTGGCCCACGTTTGGACCTGCACAATTCAAATCCATGTTGTTCAAGGGTCAACTGTAGTTGCAAGAGGTTCTGTGGCCTACGAAGCCTAAAACCTAAAATATTTACTGTCTGGCTCTTTAAAGACAAAGTTTGCCTACCCCTAGGAAGGGGAAAGAATTTGAATTTCAGAGTTGACTGGATACGGATTCAAACATCAGTTTCACTTTTGCTCTTTATTGCCTTGCACTCATTGCTTTCCTTCTGTGCCTCAGCCTCTCCATTCATAAAGTGGAGACGATCATCTATTTAATACACACTCAGCGTAGTGTTCGCCCTGTAGCAGGCACTCTTCTAAGTGCTTTCCAAGCATTAACTCATTTAATTCTCACAACAACACGATGAGGTAAGTGCTATTATGGTCATGCCTATTCTATAGCGGGGGATATCATGAATGCTGCTGTGTGTTTTCCCAGTGCTCTCTCCCTCCTGCCTCCTGCCATGGTCCCCCTCCCACTGTTTAGTTAATAATAACATATCATGTTTTGTCTCAGATGCATATCAGTTGTGTGTAATTATTTATGGAGAAATAGACAGATGAGTCCCTGCTTGGACCATTTTCCCAGGCAGCCCTACCTATCACTTAGCATCCCTCTCTCCCCTAGTCTAATAACACTGTCCACTTTAGATGCTGGGGCCTTGATTTATTAGGTAATTTGTTTCTTCTCTGTGGCTTGGGCCTGCCTGTCATCAATATAATAGAATGATGGAAGTGCAAGCTATAGACACCAGACATTAAAAACTAGGCAAATATTACCCATTTCAACTCCTTGTCAGCCACAGCCAATCCGTAGCAATCCTTGGTCTCTGCTTATCTGGGGAGAGGAAAAAAGAGGACACCCAGGACCTGACTTCTCACAAAATGGTTCTTTGCAAATTGGACTGGTTGCTCTGCTAGCAGATGCTAAGAAGAACACACACATGCACATGTGTGCATGAACACATACACACACACACACACACACACACAGAGCAAAGGAGTCTAATCAGAGAGACTAAATATGCTGAAGAGGGAAAGGGACTGAGCCCCATTCCAGCCCTGCCGAGCTAATCAGCTGAAGGGACCAGGGCAAGTCACCTCATCTCTCTGGACCTGAATTGCCTCATTTGTCAAACAAGAGGGTGGATGAGATGAGCTCCAAGTGGCCTTCTAGCCTTCACAAGCTGTGATGTGGCCAAGGTTACACAGAATGGAAGAGGCATGGTTGGAAACTGAACCCTTGCTGTTTGATGCCAAGATGAGTGCTTTTAACACTCCATCATGCCAATTCCATCGATCATAATTGTAATCAAAATTATCGGTCTCTTCACTATCAATAGCTTTATCACAATCGCTGACATAATATCACCAATAAATGATCTTAACTGCATCATCAAAAAAGTCATCAGTGCCATTATCTCCAGGGGCATCTCACCATCATCACCATCATCATCATGTTAATTTCACTGTTTTATGTATTCCAGGCTTTACATGCAGGATGTGATTTAATCCTCACATCAGTCCTAGAAAATAGGCACCATTATAATATCCTCATTTAATAGATGAAGTAATGGAGGTACAAAGTGGCTGGCATTTTTGAGGTCACACAGTAGTAAATGTCAGACTTTGGATTTGAACTCAAGTCTCTTTGGTGCCAAAACAAGCTCTCAATCATCATGCTATGTATCATTATCACAAATGCTATCATCAGTGTCAGCATAACCATTATCATCTCCATCGGTGTTGCCAAATCACACAGCAGCAGCTTTTAAACCACTCCCAATGTCATCACCAGAATCAATATCATTGCTAATGTTGACATTGCCAATATCAGAATCCTTATCACCAATATCACTATTACTGATATTGTTTCAATATAAATACCATCATTAATCATTAGCAATATTGTAATTGCTACTGTCATCAATATATCCCATACCAATGTCATCAATATCATCAAAAGCATTGTCTTTAGAGTCATGGCTAATACCAACATCACTATTCATACCACCATTGTCACTAGCAATAGCAATATTATGGTCACTGCCACCAACCTGTCCACACCAACATCATAATCAATGTTATAAAAAGCAGGATCATTAGGGCCATCACTAATCTCACCATCCATGGGGAATCACCAATATTGTGTCTACAGTATGATCAATATCTTCAACCGCATCCTCACAAATTTTATCACCCTCAGTTCACCATCATCGATATCCCCATCCAGACAAAGTAAATAATAGACATTTCAATTAAATAGATAACATAAACATCAATATGTTTGTCATTGCTATAGACATAATCTGCTGGGTCCCTGCTCTGCGCTAGGTTTTTTCTCCCCTGGTACTACAGATATCCTGTGAGAAATATGGAATGTATAGATATTTGATTTTTTTGATATTTGATTCATTGCCACACAGCCCATTCAGATGTTGCCAGGGTCATCAAGAATTTGAAATTTCTCTATTTCCAGGGTTAGGTGATTCCTGGTTCAGGAATTTTTGGCCATTTAATATCCTTAAATGCCACCCATTCGTCAAAGTCAAACTACTGAATAGTTTCCCAGTAGGATTCCAGCTCCTGCTTCCTTACATTGTTTGAATCTCTGTTCTAACATTCACCAGTCGTCTCTTGTCCAAGCTGTTTATGTGTCTGTCTCCTTCTCTGGGATGTAAGTTCCTGGAGATGGGTTAGATTTTCTCTGTATCCTTTAGAGGCTCTACACAGAATGTTCTCAATATTGATGTTTGGGAGATGGAAGGAAATAGCTAGTCCATAAGAATCATGTGCTGATGCATAAATGACATCAGGCTGAACCACGATATCTAGAATTTAGTCTGTGTTGTCCCTAACTGTACAACCTGGGATCATTAATTTCCCCCCCTCTACCCTACCCCCCCTTCCTTCCTCCTTTCTTTCTTTCATCTCCAAACCTAAGAGTCATCCCTTTTCCACACTTGACCCATCACCAAGTTCTGTGACTCTACCTTCCAAATACACCCTCCAAGCTGCCCATTTCTCACCCCTCCTCTTCTGCTCCCACCCTAAGGCAGGCCCCACGTTTCTTCCTAGAACCACTGCAGTTCTATCTTAATTGGTTTTGCTACTTTCACTTTGCTCCCCGCTAAACTCTATCCCCCAAGCAGAGACCGGAGGATAAATCAGTTCGCATTACTTCCCTACATGACTTTGAACCTTGCTTAAAATAACACCCAGGCTGTGTCCCTTGGTCTGCAGAGCTTCTGAAGTCTGACCCCTGCCCCTCCTGCCTCCCCTCAGGCCTCAGCACCTCTCCCCTTCATCCCAGTCACACCATCCTTCTCGCAGCATGTTGAAGCTCTGGAGCTTGCTTCTGATGCTAGGCCTTCACCTTTGCTGGTCTCTCTGCCTGGAAAGTTCTTTCTTTGGCCCTCCACGTGGCTTGCTCCATGATATTGTTCAGTTCTCCAAGCAATGCCCTTTTCTCAGAGAGGCATCTGTGACTACCCTCTGTGAAATAGGACCCTTCCATAGGCGTTCTCTTCTCATTAAATCCACCCGCCCAACACATATTTATTGACTCTCTACTACAGGCTTTCTCAACCTCAACACGTGACTTTTTGGATGGATCCTTCTGTGTCGGGGGGATGGGGAGGCTCTCCTGTGCATTGTAGCATGTTCAGCAGCATCCCTGGCCTCTACTCACTAGATGCTAGGAGCATCCTCCTCCTACTTGTGACAATTAAAAATGACTCCAGACATTGCAAAATGTCCCTGGGGGGCAAAATTGCCCCTGGTTGGAAGCCACCAAATAATACAGATTCAGCACTCTTTACAAACCTGGGATGCTTCAGTGACTAAGACAGACCCCACTATTAGCACCCCACACTTTCTTTTCCTGGCCTTCTTGGAGTACATTCTGGTGGGAGGAGACAGACAATAAATATAATAAATACCTAAATTATGCTATTCTAGAAAGTGGCATGTGCTATGGGAAAAACTACAGCAGCTGAGGGGTGATCACGGGTGCTGGACGGGGTTGTGATTTTAAATAGGGTGGTTAGGGTAAACCTTGTTGGAAAAGTGCTTTAACATTTACTTTTTTAAACCACTGCATATATGACAATGTGAAATTATATCACAGCTTGGTTCCCTGGTTTATTGTCTGTCTTCTCTCCCAGCAAGTAAGCTCTATGAGGGCAGAAAATGTTTCTATCCTGTTCAAAACCTTGTATAGTTAATATATAGAACAGTGTCTGGCCTACTGTGGGTATTCAGTAAACATGTAGGTCATTTTCAAGAGCTGAGAATATAAAAATAAATTAGAGCCTAAACAGGCAGTGTTTAGTCCTACTCTGATGTTTAGAGATACCCCTTACCTCCCCATTCTACCCACCACCAATAGTGAGATATCCCCAGTACTAACTTATTTCAAGGGTAATTAAGACCTTCTGTAATTTTAGTTTATAATCAAGAGTTAATTTCAAATAAGTAATTCTCTTACTGGAGTATTAGTCTTCCTGTATTCAAGCAAATCTAGCCACAGAGAATCTTGTTGAGGAAAGTCCTTTCCATCCTGCTAAACTGCTTCCCACCCTGACATCTTCTCTCCCTGCCCCTCGCCCCCCAGTTTCAGCTCTTTCTTCTGAGACATCACTCAGCAGGAGGAAAGGATGCTTTGGAAAGGGAAAGGAGAGAGCTTCCCAACACTGAAGGTGTTCAAGGGTGGATTCCATGGCCACTTGCAGGATCCTCTCAAGAGGACAGGAACCTGCAGTGGTAGAGACACAAAACCAGTGATTCAAAATGTTAGTGAGCAGCAGGGTCACCCAGAGAGCTGATTGAACAGATTGCCAGGTCCCACTCTTGGAATTCTGACTCAGCAGCTGGAGGGAGTGCAAAGCCCAGGTAACACCTGGTGCTACTGTTCTAGGGACCACACTTTGAGCCATTCCACAGTCAAGTGCCCCGCAGCCCCTCTCACACCCGAGGGTCTGCAATGGTGTGATGCCTCCTTTTCAGGCATGAAATGCAGCTCTCTGGTTCCTGCCTTTTCCTCGCCTCCTGTTAAACTCCACTTTGAACTTGTCTTCCCCTGACACCTACTATGGTTCTGCTTTGGATCTTAAACCTCTCATTTTTATCCCCGGTATCTCTTGTCCACCCCTCTTCCTTTTAAACAAATAATTCCTGCCTTCCTGCCTCAGTCAGTAATTCTTTTAAAAGTCAAAGATGGGTAGTAACCTCTGCTGTGAGGGATATGGGGCCAGGAGGCTTTGCCTGGGAGGGAAGCGTATGACATTGGCACCCTAGAGAAGCACCAGAGATAGCCCATAAGGAATTGACAAGCTGGGAAAGGAAGCTCTGGGCTTTTTCCGAGGAATGCGTGCACTTTGTGCCCGGGTAATCATGGATGGTTCATGCAGAGGTGTGGTCTGAGCTGAGATCTGCAGGCTGAAACGAAGGGAGCTATCGGGTTGAACCGCATGAAATTGCTGCTATTCAAGCGTTCTTGGCCTAGAAAACCTGAAATTTCATATGGCTCAATCTAAGAATATTATTTTAATTCCTCCCACGAATCAGGTATAATTTATTTTGTAGATGAGAAACTGAAGTCCATAGAGATTAAACAACTTGCCCAATGGCACAGCGTAAGAGGCAGAACCAGGAACCCAGACCCGTTTGACTCTACGCCCTAGATTTAGGATTGATCTAGCTCAGTGGGTCTCAAGCTTTGGAGAGAGCTTCTGAATCCCCCGGAGGGCTGGTTAAAATCCAAATTGCAGGGCCCCAGCACGCAGAGATCCTATTCAATAGTTGGGAGGGCAAACTCCCGACTCCTAGGAAGTACTGATGCTGGTCTGTGGACCATACTTGGCATTGTACTGGTCTAGGTAGACAAGAAGGAGGAGGGCATTCTTAAAAGGGCCAAAGGTGGTGGCAGGATGAGCAAAGCCCCAGAGGCAGGAGTGGGCATGGGTGGGGGGAGGTTGGGATGGTGGAGAAAATGGAACAGGCTGGTGGAGAGTAGCAGAGACAGGTTGTCTCCATCCTTCCTGTCCCAGTCCCTCTCACTCTCATCTTGTCCCATCCAAGGAGACAAGATCTGGCAGCATCCCTCTCCCCCGCAGAGGCCCATAGAGGGTTTCTTAGCCTGGATAATTTCTCCAGCGCCACTGATCCCTTCTGCCGAGTGTGATAAACCCTATTTCATAAAGAAGACATGAATGGCTGTAATCAGATACAATGTTTGCCACGCTGAACAAAATGAGCAAAAGAAAAAAAATATGCAGCCAGGCTATAATTATGGGTGTAATATTTCAGCCCATTAGCAAAAAATATCTCAGAAACCTGCTGCCCCTCCTTCTCAGCTAAAAAATTGGATGCTAAGCTGGTGAAGGCAAACAGAGAGAGCAGAGCACTGAAGCAAAGGCCTAATTAATTGCTGATACCATTTTTTTGTTTGTTTTTTCATTTTTGGTCGGCGGCGGTTCTGAGAATTCTGGGTCTTTTGCTGCACCGGATAAAAAGAGAGGTGGCCACTCCCAGCCGCGCTGCTCTAAAGGCCTCTCTAGGTGCCGGTCACTCTTCCTCAGCTCCATCCAGCCAGGTCTAGTACTCATCAAGGGCCTAGCACTTCCTAAACACTTGGTGCATTCAGCCTTTTTGGACAATCATAGCTATCTTTTATTGCTTGCTGTGTGCCAGGCGCAGTGATAAAGCCTTTACAAATTTGATCTCAGTCTTTCCTTTGGGAGCAATGTGAGGGAGTATAATGGATGTTGTTGATGGTCTTCAGGTCCCTTTTGACTTCTATTGTTTATTTTTGAGCCCTAGCACCTGTGACTATCTTTGGAGGATGATCCATGAGCTGCTAGAGTCACTTTGTGTGGGTGAGAGAGTCCCTATTACCTGGGAGTCTGTGCCCTAGGGAGGGGTCCTAGGCCTGTGGGCAGCAGGGTGGGGGTAGGAAAGCCTGCCTCCTGTCAAGGGCAGAGTATCAGAGAGAAACTTAACACTTCTGAGTTCCCCAGGAATCCCGCTAAGGGCAGTAGGAGGCTTTGCCTGAAGTCACTCCTTGCCTGGCTTCCTCCCCAGCCCTGCCCTGCTCCCTCTAGTCTTCCCTGGGAAGCTTTCCTCATAAATCATTTGCACATCAATCTTTGTCTCAGAGTCAGCCTCTGGGGCACCTGACCACCATTGTACCCCAGAGGAAATGGAAGTTTAGAGGAGATAGTAGCTCACTCAGGGTCCTTAGCTAAGAAACTGGGGACTGGGATTAGACTCCAAGTCATCTGATCCCAAGGCCTCTTCTGTGAATCCCTACACGGTGACACCTTCTGTTAGCAGCATCAGCAAGATAGTCCCGGCCTGCTCCTTCCTTTTCCCACCATTTGCAAGTCTCTGCTTCCCAGAGATGTTTTTCCAGTATGTTCCCAAACCCTTCACCAGTACTGTTGTGGAGTATACAGATGTCTGTCATATTTCCTGCAGCAATCTGACTCTGTGATGTCTAGAAATGTGAGTGTTCCTCCCCAACCCCGCTAGACTGAGCTCTTTTTTTCAAATTTTATTTTAGGTTCAGGGGTACATGGGCACATTTGTTATATTGGTAAACTTGTGTCATGGGGGTTTGTTGTAGAGATTATTTCGTCACCCAGGCTCTAAACCTAGTACTCAATATTTATATTTTCTGCTCCTCTCCCTCCTCCCACCCTCCACACTGTGGCAGGCCCCATTGTCTGTTGTTCCCCTCTTTGTGCCCATGTGTTCTCATCATTTAGCTCCCACTTATAAGTGGGAACATGCGGTATTCGCTTTTCTGTTCCTGTGTTAGTTTGCTAAGGATAATGGCCTCCAGTTTCACCCATGTTCCTGCAAAGACAAGATCTCATTCTTTTTTATGGCTGCATAGTATTCCATGGTGTACATGTACCATATTTTCTCTATCCAATCTGCCATTGATGGGCATTTAGATTGATTCTATGTCTTTACTATTGTGAATTGTGCTGCAATGAACATGCATGTGCATGTGTCTTTATGGTAGAATGATTTATATTCCTTTGGACGTATACTCAATAATGGGATTGCTGGGTTGAATAATAGTTCTATTATTAAGCTCTTTAAGGAATCACCATACTTCTTTCCGTAGTGGTTGAACTAATGTACACTCCCATCCTCAGTGTATAAGTGTTCCTTTTTCTCTGCAATCTCACCAGCATCTATTATTTTTTGACCTTTTTTTTTTTTTTTTTGAGACGGAGTCTCACTCTGTTGCCAGGCTGGAGTGCAGTGGCGCGATCTTGGCTCACTGCAACAACATCCGCCTCCCCAGTTCAAGTGATTCTCCTGTCTCAGTCTCCTGAGTAGCTAGGACTACAGGTGCGTGCCACCATGCCTGGCTCATTTTTTGTATTTTTAGTAGAGACAGGGTTTCACCATGTTGGCCAGGATGGTCTCGAACTCCAGACCTTGTGATCTGCCCACATCGGCCTCCCAAAGTGCTGGGATTACAGGCGTGAGACACCGCGCCCAGCTGACTTTTTAATAATAGTCATTCTGATTGGTGTGAGATGGTATCTCATTGTGGTTTTGATTTGCATTTCTCTAATGATCAGTGAGGATGAGCTTTTTTCCCATATGCTTGTCAGCCGCATTATGTATTCTTTTGAAAAGTGTCTGTTCATTACACTGACTTCTTACAGGAGAGTGATTCTGAATTGTGCATCTATAAATTCCCACAGTCCAACACAGGGACCAGTGCCCAGTAGGCCCTCGGGAAATACATATGAAATAAATACATTCATGTGTTAGTGGTAGAGTCATTTGGCCTTCACCTGTGAATGTAGCACCCAGCCCCATGCCCTTCCTAGGCTCTGGGATCTATATGAAACCAGGGTAGGTTGGAGTTCAGCAGCCACCACCCTACCCTCTGGAATGTGGCCTTGTCTGGGCAATTTTAATAATTAGATCCATATATGTTTTTCCTGGGCCTCTCTAGTTACCTGTCTTTTACTTGCGGCTCACCAAGCTCTGCAGGAGTCTGACCAGTTCCTGTGTATACATTCATTCATTAAGTCATTCATTCACTCTGTAGTCATCTACCCATCTAATCCCATCCATTCATCTAAACTCATCCATCCATCCATCCAACCGTCCATCCATCCATCCATTCATCCAAGCTCTCCTGAAGCTGGCTGTGCACCAGGCCCTGCCCTCAGTAACAGTCTAGTGGGGAATATGGATATAATAAGGAGTCAATCATCAAACAGTGTGACCTGTGCCTAGAGGGGGAAATGTATAGGGTACTATGGAAACATAGGAGGGACACCTTCCTTAACCTCAGTGATCACAAGGCCCCTGAGCTATGATCTGCCAGGTGAGTGATGAAGACAGTTCAGGAATGGGGTAGATTGTTCCTGGCAGAGAGAGCAGCAGATACGATGCCAGAGAAGAATGAGTGCATGGAAAGTTCAAAGGAAGAAAGAAAACTCAACCTGATAGGATCTCTTGTTGTCAGGGGAGTGAGAGTTGAGGCTGGAAGGGCTGGCCGGAGCCAGATCATAGAGCGCTTTGTCCCTCAATACATGTAAAGGAGAAGAATCAGGATCTGAGAGCAGTGGGGGACCCTATAAGGAGAATGTCATGATCAGATTTGCATCTTTCAGAGGGTCACTCTGGGAAGAAGAGATTAAAAGAAAGGAGACCAACAGTAGGACTGGGATTGGGAAGGTGGAGGAACCATTTGAGGGAATTTCAGTTGCCCAAGTGACACTGATGGAGACAAGGGTTGCTGTGGTTGCCAGGAGAAAGAGAAAGTGGGTTCCTGCTAGAGGAAAGAAATATTTATAAATGAATGGGATTTTGTGATTGATTGTTGGAGGCAGGTAGAAGGAGAAGTCAAGGATGAGTGCCTGTTTCTGGCCTGTGCAATGGGGCAGATGGAGGTGGCACTGACCGAGACAATGAGAGAGAGCAGGTGGGCAGGGGGGATAGAGCCTGGAGTGGAGAGAGACACTGTGCTCAGTTTTTGATAGGGTGAGGTGGAGATGCCTGTGGAGCTTTCCAATGGGGTTTTTCAGAAGATAATTGAATATCTGGATCTGAAGCCCCAGAAAGAGACAAAGACTGGGAACAAAGGTGTAATGCTCACTGGACCAGGAATGGCCACTGACTTTTTGGGGTAGGTGGGAAGGCCTAGGAAGTCTGAGTCTTCCTCCCACAGCTTCCTCCTTCTCTCCAGAACCCACTGGGCCTCGGTTACATGGATCAAGCCTGGATGTGTTTCTCTATGCAGCTACCATGGGATAGACTCTCCTTCTAGAGGGTTCTTTCCCTTGGAGGAAGGAAAATTGTCCTTCCGAGCATGGCTGCTCACCAGAGAAAGGAGAGAATGAACACACATCTGAAATCAGAACCTCAGGGGTCGAGTCTCCTGCCACTGCTTTTAATTACTATGTGTGCATTGTAAAAGAGATATGCAACCCAGAACAAACACAAGATAAATATGATAGACTGTTCACCCACATCCTGCCAATATTAGCCCCTCTCTACCCTATTCCCTAGTGACAATAATTATTGTAATTCCAGATTACACACACACACACACACACACACACACACACACTACGTACTACTCAACAATGGACTTTTTTGTTTTAAAAATATTCTAGACATATTTCAACATCAAAATATGTATAGTTATATTACCATTTCTCTCTCATTTTTATTATAAGAATCATACAAGTTTATGACAGAAAATGTGAAAATTAAGAAAAATACAAAAAAAGATCATAATCTGCCAGTAGCCTGAAATCTCATTATCCAGAGGTGATGACTAATATTCAGAAAAAATATATAAAATTTACTTTTACTGGGTAATAATAGAAGAAAAACTCTAAAGTTAGAGACAAAGAATTAGAGAACTTCAAGCAAATTTTTCTTCAACATAGGAGATATTGGTCTTTACATAATTTTTCTTTCCTTAATTTGAAAAGAATTGAAAGTTGAAGTTGTGGTGTTTTATTTTAACTATATACTTCTAAGAGGTTTTTAGTTTAGGTAGAACTTAGTCATTTCTCTTTCAAAAATCAAAAGATGCAACTTACCCCTAAACAAATAGATGAATTTATCTACATATACATTTTAATTAAAAATAATATAAAGAGGTAAGCCCATTGTTAGGATAATTTGTCAAGAGAAATTACTGAAGTACTCAATCACTTTCAAAAAGAACAAACATATCATGGGGAAATAATTATCACTTTTTCCTGATACAGATCCAAACAGATGATGTGTGAATTTAAAGCATTCATGGATTATCTTCTTCTTACATTACCTGACCAATGGCAGGTTGCTTCTGTGAGTTCAGAAAGCATGACTTCCTACACTTCATTGGTGGCTCAGACTCTTGCCACAAGTTAGTCCTCATTATATCTGTACCATGAGTTTCACATACAGTTCTTTGTTTTTCCCAGAGTTCGCAATTGCCTTTGTTTTTCTTGTTTCTGAGAAGTGTCTCATACCTTGCTTTTCTTGTTTCTTAGAAGTGTCTTATACCAGCATGTCAGCTTCTTACTCATAGGATATGGTTAATGCTTTTTTCTTCTTTAGGTTATTTTTTATGAGCCCTCTGATTTCTTGTTCTAATTGCTTATTAGGTCAGCTGCACAACTGTCCTACTAGTATTCCTTTCCATTGTTCTTCTGGGTTAATTCTATAATTTTTGAATCTATTGTCTCCCTCTTTCTTGAATTCAGTTTTCATTTTGCCAGAGTATATCTTCAAGGAATTTTTCAGAAAATGTGCATAACAGGGGTGGTGGTGCACCAAATAAATCCAAATCCTTGAACCTCTAAATGTGTCTTTACTATGCCTTCACACTTGTATAAGAGATTCCAAATGATTTCCCTTCAGAATTTGTAGACATTGCTCTGTTACCTTCTAGCAAGCCCATTGCATATGAAAAATCAAATGCTACTTTGATTGTTGTTTCTTTTTAGGTATCCTAAATATTTTCCTTAAGAAGTTTTAAGACTTCCATCTGATTGTTAGAGTTCTGAAACTTTCCCAATTTTTTGAGAAGTGTGTGTCTTTTTCATTACATCTGCTCTATACTTGGTGAAAATAGCAGATGGCTACGGCTTTGTTTTTTTGGTCCGGCCTGCTTCCCTTTTCCTTGAAAACTGCCAATAACTCACCCACTTCACATGATTTTGGAGGTGCTGTTAATGAAGGGTCCCTCTTTCCCTGCCCCAGAGTGGCCATCAGAACATTCCGTCTTTCCAGCCAAGAGATCAATTCAGGGCTGGACATGCAACCAAGCCAGGCCAATCAGTGTATGTTTTACAGACTGATCTGGATGCTGGAAGAGAGGGGATTTTGCTCTTTTCTCTGGGTTTGGTACAAGGATAAAATAAGACTGGAATTTATAGAGGCCTTCTTGGTCACTATACATAGAGAACTTGCCTGGGAATGAACCCAACACATAGGAAAGCAGAGGGGAGGGGTGGAGAGTGAGACAGAAAGGGAGAGAGAGAATGAATAAATAATTTTCAACATTCAAACTTCTAGATGCAGGCAAGACTAAAGCCAGATTAGCTAATGTATTCACTTTTTTTCTTTCAGCTCTTTGAATTGGGTTTCCTTCAAATGTAACCCAAAAAATCTTGATAATATAGTGATCCCTTTTAACCTCCAAATTCATATCTTTTATCAGCTTAAGAAAATTTTCTTTTGTTATTTGACAATTCCTTCTTTTCTATTACTTCAGTTCTCTCTTTCTAAAATTCCTATTAGTTGAGTATTGGCCTTCTCGTTGTAGCCTCCATGTTTTTTTTTTTTAATCTTTCCTCATTTAAAAAGTCATATTGACATTTTAGTCTATATTCTGAGATACTTCCTAAACTTTATTGTCTTTATATAATTTCTCTGATTTGGTTTCTTATTCTTCCCTTCCATTCCAGCCCTTTTTTTTTTTAATTTCAGCCAATATACTTTTAATTTCTAAGAACTTTTACATGCTCTGCTTGTTTTCTTTTTTCCATAGTGTGCTGCTTTTGTTTTATGGATGCAATATCCTCCCAATAAATTAACATCCATTTTCTTCTGTTTGCTGCATCATCTCTGTTTTTCCTCTGGGTTCCTTTGTTCACATTAGTCCTTCTCTTTTATGTGGTTTGTTTTCCTAACAACTTGGAAATCCTCAGAAAGCCATTAGAATGTTTGAATAAATAGTGAGGTTGTTAACTAACCCGGCTGGGGTAAATTGTTCCCTCTGCCGCTTGCACAGGTCTGCTTGGAAAATAGGCCTCTCTCCTGAACAGGACAGGGGCCCTGGAGGTGTCTGAGTGAGGATTGCTAATAGGGAACAGAAATGCAAGCTCATGAGCCACAACCATTGCTGAAGTAAGGAAGGCATTCCTTTCTAAGTGTGGAGAGCATTAGTGTACATGAGTTTTGACATACAATATATCCCAAATCCTTAAAATATTCAAAACTGCATATTAAAAATAATAGGACTAATGAGAAAAATAGAATTAGAAATAAACTACCCAAATTTCTTGCAACATTATAATCAGACCATTAACAAAAATAATAATCCTAACAAAACAAAAGGCTCATATTTTAAGAACACATTTTTAACTTTCTAATAAGTAAAAAATACTACAGTAAATATAAGGCTTTACTTTTATTTTTTTTGAGACAAAGTGTCACTCTGCCACCCAGGCTGGAGTGCAATGGCATGATCTCGGCTTACTGCAACCTCAACCTCCTGGGTTCAAGCGATTCTCCTGCCTCAGCCTCCTGAGTAGCTGGGATTACAGGTGTGTGCCACCAAGCCTGGCTGAATTTTGTATTTTTAGTAGAGACGGGGTTTCACCATGTTGGCCAGGCTGGTCTTGAACTCTTGACTCAGATGATCCACCCGCTTCGGCCTCCCAAAGTGCTGGGATTACAGGCGTGAGCCACCTCACTCGGCCAGGCTTTACTTTAAAAAAAAAAAAAAAAGTGAAAGTAGCTTCATAGAAGGAGGTATGAGATAGGGTTTAGGCTTCTGAGTTATGAAAATGAGGACAAAATGCATCAAGAATGGGGATAACTATTTAACAGGCCTTTCCAAGACAACACAAGTGACCATGAGGAGGAGTGTAGGTGTGTGCGGGTTGCTTCTGGCACCACATCTCTGGGTTCAGCTTTCTTTGCATTCAGCTGCTGTTACTGACATCGTGCTCCTATGCATCAATTGTGTATGAGTAATGCAGATCATAGAAACACACACTGTAGTCAAACAGACCAAGTTTATTCCTCTGTGGAGTTCCTTTCCTTTATCTTTTTTCTCTGAGTCTGCTAAGGAGGTCAGGAAGGGTTAGTCGACAGAAATGCCTGCAGAACCCTCATTTGATTTTGAGAGTTGTTCTCGTGACTCTTCCCTGAGGGTGAATGCCAAAGCCAGCTGTTCCGTCTATTCAAGAAAGCTCTGGGACAACCAGGAAAGCTCTTCTTCAAGTAGTTTGGGGTTGCCCCATAGCCTGCCTGCTTTTACTGGAGTTTCCCGGAGTCTGCTGAGATAAAGGGCTGTGGCTTCAGCCACATGCCTCGTGCGGTTCTACGCTGACTTGTCACTTCCTTGCTCTGGCTTCTCAGTCAGCTGGATTTCATTGGCCTACCACCTTTCAGAAATTCCTCAACGTTTCTGGTGCACGGATAACATCCTTTTTTAATTTCCTAATAGGGATTTATTCATTCTCTTATGTCTTTTCTGACACTTTTTCAAATACGATTTTGGCATAGAGAGAAGCTAAATTTCGTGTACTCAATCTGCATCTCTAATTGGAAATTCTCTGCACTGCTTTTTTTCCCTTTGAATCTGGATAAGTCTTTTCATCATCTTGATCCTTGGCTTATCATCTGGAAAATGGGAAGATAGTAAGACCACTTCTGCCTACCTCATAGTGTTTGGGGAAGGATGGAAGAATTTGGGAATCATCTGTGAATGTAAAGAGTGGCATAAATTTAAGTTGCTATTAGATTGTGGAGGAGAACCCCCTAACTGACAGATGAGAAAATGAAGCCAAAAGATTGGAAGCAATTTTTGCCCAAAGTTACTCAGAAACCTCCAGCCTCTTGGTGCCCACGTCTTGATCTCCCCAGGCCCTGTTACTCCTCAGCCTGCAGACAGCCAGGGCTGCAGTGCTGGAGGAAGAGCAACTGAGAATTCGGAAGAGGCAAAGATGGCATAAATAATTCAGTGATTGCCAACCACGGGCCATTAAATTTTCCATGATCTGTTTTATTGTATCCTCTATGCAGCGTTAGTCACTCCAGTTCAGATGCAAACCAGGCAGTTTACTCTGGCTACAGGAGCTGGCCACTGCTCCATCTCGGGACCCATGACCATAAAAGCACTGGCTTTGGGCCTGGCTGGGCCTCCTTCCTAAAAGGTGGCCAAATAGAGGTTCACATCACAGCAGGTGTGAGTGTCAAGCCTCCCTGTTTCTGTTCCTATTCATCACTAAGCCACTGATAGAATGGTGATGATCACCACTCAAGCACAGGATATAGTTGCAAACACATCAACTTTAAACTTTGCTGCTGTCTCTACAATCAGCAAAAATATAGTGTGTTGGGCAGGGATGAGGGGTTTCAGGGATTATGTTCCACATAAACATTAACAGTTACCATCATTTTGACACCCTATTTTGCCTTTTTTTAAAAAATATTTCATCATATACTGGGAGCCTCAAAATCTGACAATGGCCCAGATCTCACATAACTCCTGGGAAACTAAGGATCTTGAGCTCCAGGGTCAGGCTATTTAGAATCCTAAAGGTGATGAGGGCATCTTTGCAGATAAAGAAATGGAGGCTTGGAGAAGGAGCTGGCCATGCTCAAAGACACAGCCAGCTAGTGGCAGGGAGGCCCCAGGACCAGGTCTCAGGAATCCCAGTCCAGAGGCCTCCCCAGGGCCCCGGTCTTGGGAGGGAGAATTTCCCCCAGCTCTGGGCCATCATCTGAGCTACTCAGGGTCACTGTGGTTTGTCAGGTTTGCAATTAGAATTGGACACTTTCTTCACTGCTCTGAGGGCCACATAGCTTCCTGAAATCACACTTCCCCAAGTGTGCCCCCCAACACCCCGGCATCACATCAGAGTGCAAAAGGGAAGAACTGGGTGCTGCAGGCCAGGTTCACCCCAACGTCTGTGGCTCAGGAGGCTTGGCCACTGAGCGTGACCACATCTCCCCCATTCTACATGCTGACTTGATACCTGGGTTAGGAGAGTGTCTGAGGCCAGACAAAGGCAAGAAGAGTCGTTGAATCACTTAAGAATACAGGATGTGTAGTCAGATGGCCTGGCTCCAAATTCCAGACTTATTGCCTATCAGTCATGTGCATAAAAGAAATCTCATCCCCTCCTCAATCCTCAATTTTCTCACACATGAAGTGGGGAGGCCAAATCTGCATCCAAGGGGTTTTTATGAAGTTCTGAGGTAATGATAGTTGTGACTTGCCAAAGTCCTTTTGACACCTCTAGCAGTTAACCATTGCTACATAACAAAACACCTTAAAACTTGGCAGCTTAAAATGACAACTATTACTGCTCAAGACTCCATTGTGGTTCCTGAGGACTCATCTCATCCTGTGATTCATTGATCTAGGATGAGCCTCCTCACATGTGTGAGGCCTGCTGATTATAAACTGGCTTGGGATGTGAAGCCTCAGCTCTCTCACCCTCCAGCAGGCTAACTCAGACTTGTTCACTCAGCAGCTGCAGGGTTCTGCAAGAGAACATGAATGTACACAGGCTTTTTAAGGGTTGAACTTGGAAGCGGCACACTGCCACTTCTGCCACATCCTGTTGGCCAAAGCGACTCTACTTTCTTGATGGAAGGAGATGCAATGTCTCATTGCAAAGGACATGTTTACAGGGAGGACTGAAGGATTGTGGTCATTTTTGCAAAGACAGTGCTGAGTATGCCTTTCAAGATAGGAAAAATAGCTTGTCCAAAGCCACACAGTTGGTGGATGGTAGAGTTGCCATGAGAAAGCAGGACTTTTAATGTCAAGTACCATATGTTAAAACCAGCCTCAACGCCATTTCTACTATTGAATTTACTCTGGGGAAAATCTAGTAGATAGTGATTTGGGGTGTTCACATTTGTGTTCCTCTTTATTCATTTTATAATCTCAGAAGGTAAAGGAGAGCCAAGGATTTGATTTCCTGGCTCTCCCTTCTGGAAGGAACCCCTGAGGAAGAAGGAACAGGTCTTGGGGTGAGACTGAGATTCAGATTCCATAGCTTGAAGAACTTCACTTATGCAACTTTATCTTTTCCTTTTAGGGTGGTGGCACTGGTGGCAGTGGTTGGGGATGGGTTATACCTTATGCATCATAATCAAAGAAGAGGTTAGTGTGTGTATGTGATTGTGTGTGTGCATGCATACATGTGCTGAGTAGAGGAGAAAAGGATGAACACAGGATCCCCAGTCCTGCTGCTTCAGGTTGGAAATCCATCATCTGTTGTGATAGTTTCCTACTTGAGTTGCTTGTTATGAGTCTGCATTCCAAGTATGCTCCTGCCCACATGGCCAAAGTGCAAAACCAATCATATCACTCTCTGTTTAAAACCTCTTATTGTTCCTCAGTACCCTGGGGCTAAATCTACTGTTTTAACTCAGCAATCAAGGCCTATACTCTGAGTTCTAGTTCCTCATGGAGCCTATATCCCGGCTTCAGGATCCACCACTGTGTCCCCAGAATCTTTACACCCCTTTCTCATCTCCATTTCTTTACATAGCGTGTTCCCTCCTTCTCTACCTGGGGCCTCTCCCTCATCCTTCAGAGTTCAGCTTCAATGTCTTCACCTCATGAGGTTTCTCTCACCACCCTCAATGAGCTGGCTAAGTGAGGGTCTCTTCTCCCTCTCTCAAAGTGTCCCATGTCCTGCACATACCTTTAGTAAAGCTCCTGGCATGGTGTCTTGTGATTGTAGATTTACCTGTATGTCTCCCATGTAGACTGTGAGATCCTTGAGGTCTTGCACATAATAGACTGAGGATACATGTATGAGTGAATAAATGAATGTATGATAATCTTTCTGATACCTTCCTCCCTGGGTAAGTCCTGTTTCCAGAGCCAGAGAACTCACATCCCTTCAGGTGTAGGCATGAAACCCCAATATCACTCATCTTACTCCCCTGTCCCTGGAAGACTTGGGTTAGGAAGTGTGAGCCACGGAGAGGTGTCAGAGAGCAGGGGAATTGATATTCTGGCACCACATGGCAGAGGGGCCCAGTTCTTCAGCTGGCAGGGATGGGGGTGCCAGTGGCAGAGCCCCAGGCATTCATCCCAAGTGTTCTGGAGCTTTGTGGAGGCATATTCTTATGTGGAGGCTCCAAAATTGTAGCTGGAAATTTCTGACTTCCTGGCCCTTCCAGAAATTCTGTGAGCCAACCTCTGTTCATTTCTACTTAAACCAGCCAGTGTGGATTTTATTATTTGCAACCAAGAGCTCAACCAATTCAATGAAAGGGAGCAGGAAAGAGTTTAGTGGATTAGCCAAATCCTAGATCTGCCATTTACCTAGCTGTGTGACCTTGAGCAATTTACTTAACTTCTTTTTATCTAAATTTCCTCATGTAAAGTGGAAATTGACAATAATAACCATCTCTAGGGATTACTGAGAGGATGGAATGAGTACAGAAGTTATCTATTGCTGTGTAACAAAGCACTACAACACTTAGTGGCTTCAAACAAAAATGTATTATTATCTTTCATGGTTCTATAGACTGACCGAGCTTAGACCGGCAGTTCTTGCTTGTATGTCTCCCATGTGATTGTAGTCAGATAGCAGTGCAGGCTGCTGGGGCTGATGACCTGAGTGGCTACACATGGCCTCCCCATGAGGCTGGAGCTCTTCCCAGCCTGAAATCCTAGAGGGAGCACACTGAGACCAAGTGTTCCAAGAACCCCAAGCAGAAGCTGCAAGGCTTCTTGTGACTTAGCCTCAGAAATCCCAGAATGTCGCTTCCACTGCATTCTAGTGGTCCACTATCTGGTTAAGCAAGTCATTCAGGCCAGCCCTGATTTAAGAATGACACCTCACCTTTTGATGGAAGGTGTGTCAAACATTGCAGCCATCTTTAAACTACCAAAAGGAGATGCTGCATAGAAAGCACAGTATCTGACACGTGATACATATTCAATAACTGCTAGTTTTGGGGTTGTCTCCTGCCTGCATTTATTTGACCAGTTTCCAGCTCAGCGAGGCCGGTCCCATCTATCCACCAGATACCCCTCAGCCTTCCTAAGAGAATGTGTAGCCTTACTAGTCAATGTACAGAGAGGACAGGCAGGCAGGGTGATGGGTTCCACAAGCAATCCACACTGGCAGCAGAAAGATCCAGGAGAGATGGTTTCTAGCTCTAATTACCCTAATAAGTTATTCAGTTGCCTTGAGCAAGTCTATTGCCCTCTCTGGACTCAGTTTCCCCATTTGTCAAAGGGGGGATGGACTGGATGAGCTCTAAGGCCCTTTCTGCCCCTATCATTCTTGTTTTTCTTTTTTTAATTTTTTGAGAGAGAGTCTTGCTCTGTTGCCCAGGCTGGAGTGCAGTGGCACGATCTTGACTCACTACAACCTCTGCCTCCTGGGTTCAAGCAATTCTCCTGTCTCAGTCTCCCAAATAGCTGGTACTACAGGTGCCTGCCACCGTGCCCAACTAATTTTTGTATTTTTAGTAGAATGGGGTTTCACCATATTGGTCAGGCTGGTCTTGAACTCCTGACCTCAGGTGATCCACCCGCTTCGGCCTCCCAAAGTGCTGGGATTACAGGTGTGAGCCACCACACCCGGGCTTCTGCCCCTGCCATTCTATGATATGTGTTCCTCAGCACCATCTCAGGGACTCTGGGGGCTCATAAACTGATGGCTAGGATGTGTGACTTGATATTGTTTCTGTCCTCATCGCAGGGACTGTCCCAACTCATCTTTGGTGTCACACCTGGGCCCAAGCTTTCAGAGGCCTCAGAGGTGTCTGAATTGTAAGCCAGTCCCAGCCTGACTTCCCCTTATGAACTCAGTCCCCCGAAAGTCCCTTTTGTAAATGAAGCATGGTAATATTTAGGTGATGGGACGTCCCCACTTCTCCCTGTTCTTCCTGGAGAAACTAAAGGCTTTGCTTAGGTCAGATCACACTGTAGCTACCCCCGCCTTTGGTGGGGACTAACCCCACTGTTCATTTGATGGGCTTTCCTCTTGATTTCTTGGGAGTGTTTTGCTGAAGTGAGATGTGGTTCTCAGCAGGGCTGACACCACCTGGAGATTCTCCGGACCTTACCCGCACTGTGAGCAGGGAAGTTTCTGTCTCTGGAAATACAATCAAAACATGTGCTTTTATTGCTCAGGTGCTGTCTACCAGGGACCACCCGGCCATGGGGAATTGAGAATATTTTCAATATGGGGTAGAAAAAAGCTTCAACACATAGTGTCTTCTTCCAGCCATCCTGCTGGTGACTGTTTGATGGTTGTTTCTTAGACTCTAACATGAGCTGAACCTTGGAAGGAATGAAATTTAGCCAGATGCAGGAAAGAGGGGAGTGATGTATAGGATGGAGGTGAGGCAGGAGTGGGCACAGGCCGGGAGATGGGACGGAGGAAGCTGTCTTGGGAGTAGTAAGGAGGCCTGCCTGGCTGCAGTACAGCCCTCAACTGGTGGAGCAGGGATGAAAGTGTTCAGACTTAGGCCCTCTTTTCTTGCTCACATTCATTCATTCATGTATCATTCATTCATTCTTCATGGAGCTCCTGCTGTGGAAGGCACAGGGCTGGCTCTTGGAAATAAAATGGCGAACCAAAGCAGACACCTTCCCTGCCTTACAGTCTAGAGGGGGAGATAGATGCGAATACCTTCCCTGCCTTACAGTCTAGAGCAGGAGACAGATGCGAATCAGATGGCCTTTCCGACAAAATGGACAGTTCCAGCCAGGACTAGTGGCGTGCATGAGCGGCATACAGTGTGTGAAGGCCTTGACTATGGGGGACTGGCCTGGTCAGTGAGGTCAAGGCAGACTTCGTCGATATTCAAAGTATGACCTGAAGGATGAATAGGAGCTAACTACAGGAAGGGGGAGAGGGAAGAATGTTCTCGGCCGAGGGGAGAGCATGTGCAGAGGCCCTGGGCAGGACAGAAGGAAGCATGTCAGGCACAAAAGGCTCAGAGGGACAGGTGGCGAGGGGGGAGTGGGATTTTTCCTCCATATTAATGAGCTGCACCTTTAACCCCAAAATAATGGGAAACTACTGTTGGTTATGAAGGCCACGGGCTATGGATTTGAGCTGACTTGCATTTTGGCACTATCGCTCGGGCAGCATTATGGAGAACAGATTGGAAGGAGCCATGGTGAGTTTGGGAAGAGCAGCTGGGAGGCTACTGCATTTGTCCAGCCCGGGGACAGACTCAGGGGCAGAGATGGAGAGGATTGGAGGAAGCTGAGAGATCTTGAGGAGGCAACACTGCCGCGATTCGGGGGTGGATTGGCTATGGAGGGTGAAGAAGGATAAGTTGAAGGCCTGGTCCCGTGTCCAGCTTGGGCATTTGGATGAATGCTGTGGCCATTGGCTGAGACAGGGAAGGCCCGAGCGGGGGTTAGCCAGCAGACTCACTTTCATAAACTTATGTTCAAGGTCTCTGTAGCCACACAGGTGGGGAAGTTAAGGAAGCAGGTGGCTCTTTGGATCTGAGTCTCAGGATGGCTGCAGGGTCTGAGAGCCACCTCTAAGCCATCTTGTCTGGGTGGTGACTAAGCCATTGCAGTGGAGGTCAGGGCCTCCCCTACCCCCACCAAGGAGGAAGTGGATGGGATTAACCAGAGAAAGTAGAGTCAAGGGAAGAGGCACCCATTTGCCAGCATTTGCCACCCAGGGGAGGCCTGGCCTGCAAAGGAGACCGAGAAGGAAATGAAAACCTCAAGGATGAGCAGGTTGCTGGGAGGGAGGGTTTACCGCTGCCAGGTCCTGCCAGGCTCAAGGAAGTAGACACTGAAAATATCTGGCTTTAGGTCATGGTGGCCTCTCTGCCTGGACACTATCATCCACTCCCAGGATGCTAACAAGCCTCTTCTTGCCAGTGTCGTCTGGATGTTCTGCTCCAGCTCCCGGTTCGTACCTGATCTAGAGCTCTGCCATCCTGACATTATCAGTACTCATGCACGCCACCTGCAATCCGAACAGAGAACTTTCAACTGACTTCTTTTTGCTTCTGGGAATGAGGTTTTTTGGCATTTTAAAGCTTGAATTGGAAAGGTGGGGAGTGCTGGAGAGTGGTGTTTTTCAGAGGAAGCCATCACTGAATCCTATTCCCCTTGTCCCTTCTCCTGTACCCCCATTTCCCTGCCTACCTCCCCGAGGAGGATTTGGAAACAAGGGATGAAAATTTGCCTTTCTGATCTATGGACCAGCATTTAGAAAAACCAAATTTCTATGGGCTCCGATGAAGCCTGTAATCTGGCATTTAATTCAACTCACTTCAATAAGATTCAAGTCAATTCAATTCAAATCAGTCAATTCAAATTAATCCAAGAAACTTATGAGAGTCTTTGTGTTGGGCAGGGTGGGAGACAGGGAGACCTCAAGGCTTCAGGGAGTAAAACGATTCAGTGTCTTGAGGGAGCCAGCTGGGCTGCTGATGGCAGGGCCTTTGTGGCAGTCCAGGTCCAGGGGAAAAGGGGCTTCCCCGCATCCAGGAAGGAAATGGGTTAGGGCCGGCATTCTGCAGAGAACCACCTCTTTGCTGGGCTGTGAAGCAAGGAAGTGGGAAGGTGGGCCATGTGGCACAGACACGCAAGAGATGACTCCGCCTAGCCTGCTGCTTGCCTAGTTCTCAACAAAGCAGCCCACTGTTCACATCCCACCTGTGCTTCTCCAGAAAGCTGGAAAGCACCAAAGGCCCTTTTCACTCCTACCTGCTCTGCCACCATTCATCCCCGGGTCCCCGAGGCTGGTGGGTGATTCAGCTTGGAAGACTGTCTCTCACCCCACCCTGCCCCTGCCAGCCCAGAGCTCCTGAAGCCTGGCCTTCTGTCTGGGGCTCCTCCTTAGGGAGGAATTCACCAATGTCTCTGGAGCAGCAGGGGTTTTGCTCCAGGGAAGGGCTTCAAGAAACCTGATCACACTCTTCATTGGCTCTTTAGTGGTGTCCTCTGGCAAAGCAATGGAGTTTTGCTCATTCATTCATTCAACAAACACTTCTGCATGTCTGCCAGGTGACTGGGCGACAGAGCTAAACAGGACCCACGTGGCAGCTGCTCTCCTGGACCTCACGGGAGTAACCGCAACTGGTGGGTGCTGGTGGGTGAGAAGCAGGATGAAGGAGCATTAGACACTCTGGGAGGGAGGCCTGGGAAGGGGTATCACACCCCAGAGTGGTACTGCTCTGAGTGACAAAGGACACAGACACTATCTGACCCAGTTCCTTCCTTGCATTTGAAGCCAGCAAGGTGACAGTTGTCCAAGGAGCCTCTGCAAGTTGATAGCAGCACTTCTGGCTCCAAGCCAGAGCAGCTCTGTCCCTTTCTGCAGGGCTGTGCCTCCCTCTCCAGGATTCCTGGGCCTGAAAACATTTCTCGGGTTTATTTGACAAAGCAAGAGGGCAGTGGCGGGGCCAGGCCCTTGCTGGGTGCTCTTTTAGACAGTTTATTCAAGGACGCATCAGTGACCAGCCTGGTAAGGAAGGCTCAGGCCCCTCTGAGGGGAGGGCAGGTAGAAATTCTCTGCTCAGTCTGCAAGAGGTTCTGCTCCCCAAGCAGCGCCCTAATGAGGCCCCCACCCCAGGACTTTGGCTGGACTTCTCCGCTGAGTAAGAGCTGCTGCTTTCTGGTGGGCCAGCCCCACTTCTCCAGGGTGTGTCATGTAGACAGACCTCCGTTTCCTCCTCTGTCGTAGAGCAATAACATTGGCTCTCACCCCCATGGAGTTGCTGGGGAGAACAAAATGGGTTTGTGTGTGGGGGTGGTGACAGTCAAGTACCTGTGCAGGGCTGGACATATGGGAGGGCTCTGTAAATGTGAGATGTTATTAACAGGCATGCTGCCTTCTGGAGCTTTCCAGGGCCTTGGCCCAGGTGCAGAACAGCACACTGGGACCCAGGAACCCTGGGTTCTCTTTCTTTCTGGTGACCTTGGGCCCCTGAACCCCTCAGACTGCTTGGACCTTCTAGGTGTTGGCCTCCCTCTCATAGGATGATGCCTGGGCCTGGGGCCCTGGAGATCTGGCCAGGCCAGAGTGGGCTCCCCCAAGCCACCTGCCAGGGCAGGAGCTGTTGGAAGCCATTTCTCTTCTATACCGTCCCAGCCATACTCTCCAGCTCAGAATAGACCCAGTCCTCCACTGTTACAGCCTAGAGATTCCACCCCCTTTGGGTTGGTCACTCTGGGCCACTCCTGCAGAGAATGAGAGAAATTAGCTGAGAAATAAAATCGCAATTCGTATTGCAAAGAAGGGATTAATTTCTTTATTGTATAAAGATCTCCTACCCAGCAACAAGAACAAACCAATAACTCAATTTAAAAAATGGGCAAAATATAGGAAGACCGTTTCAAAAGAATATATAAGTGGCTCTTAAATAGATGAAAAGTTACTCAGCCTTACTCATAAAAGAAATGCAAATTAAAACTTCAATAAAAGACCCTCTTTTAGGCCGAGTGTGGTGGCTCACGCCTGTAACCCCAGCACTTTGGGAGGCCAAGGCAGGCAGATCTCTATTAAAAATACAAAAATTAGCTGCGTGCAGTGGCATGTGCCTGTAGTCCCAGCTACTCCAGACACTGAGGCAGGAGAATCATGTGAGCCTGGGAGGCAAAGATTGCAGTGAGCTGAGGTCGTGCCATTGCACTCCAGCCGGGGCAATGGGAGAGAAACCCTGTCTCAAAAAAAAAAAAAAAAGACCCTTTTTGAACCATTATATCAAAAAGATCAAAAGTATGGCACACTCTGCTGCTGAGGGTGCAAGGACAGGTGCCAGAGTGTGGGGCTGGCAGGAAGAGGAATCAGCGTGTCTGGGAGAGCCACTGGGAGCCCCTGCCAAACCACACCTGCTCTTCCCTCTGACCGGCACAGCCAACCCTAGGATTTCATCATGCGGATACACAGGGGACGTGTGTGCTCCTCATTCACTGTGGCATTATTTATCAAAGCAAAAGATTGTCAATCTCCAAATGTTAATCAATAGGGGACTGATTAAATAAACAATGATGTCCGTACAATGGGACTCTACACAACTGTTAAGCAGAACCAACATACAGATGACATTAGCTACGTCACATGGAATGGAGGACCTCCCAACTGTGCCTCTTCAACCCACAGAATTATACGAAATACATATTAGTATTGATTTAAACCACTGAAGAAAGGAGAATGGACCCTGTATGTTTCTATAAGGAGAGGGTTCCAAGGTATATTGACATGCTACCATTTGTGTAAAAAGAGGAAAAGAATGAACACACACATGTTTGCATTTGGGTTTCTAAATGCATATACAAACATATATGGCTTTAAAGAAACTGGTAGGAGTGGAGGCCTCCAAGGAGGAGACTTGGGGGCAGAGGAACTTGATAGTGAAGAACAGGGGAGGGGAGGAGGCTTGATTTTCACTTTTTTTTTTTTTTTGCAATATGCCTGTATTTCCTATTCTAAAGATATACATACTTACACTAATTAATGAATCAAATGATCTCTTGGCAGAGATACTGAGAGTAAGACAGAGACATACCAGGGTGTGAACCCCAGGCTGCAGCCCTCTCTTTGTGTTGTCATGGGGTCAAGGGACATGCCCTTGAGCTGAGGGTCAAGGCCTGGGAAAGTTCCCACCCAGCCCCAGGGCCCAGCCCTCACAGGGTGGTGACTCATGGGCACCCGGGAAGTTTCGGTTCCTGTGGTTTTTGCTCTGTTCCAGTGGCCTCCTCTGCTGGGACACATCACTCTCCTGGCTGCTGGGATTCTAGCAGCCCACTGGGCCTGCTGCGTCCCTATCTCTGGGTATCTTTAGATGCTGTCTCTGGCCTGTCCTAGGAGGGACTCAGACCTTTAGAATGCCAAAGCAGAGGGTCCCCAGCCCTCTCAAGTGCTATCCTCAATGTCTGGCCCATCACAACCCTGCAGCCCCTGCCACGAACACTGACCTCAAGGGGTCACAGCTGCGGTGGCTTTGCTCAGAGCAGCCCCTGCCAATCTTAAAGTGGATGCTAGAAGGGAAGGCCAAGTGAGAATCCTGGGCGAGCCATTTCCTGTCTTTCTGTGGGTGTTGGAGCAGGACGGCGGGCGGCGTGGCCGGCTTGGGGGTGGAATCCTTGCCCTTCTCCGCCTCCTTTGCCAGGTGCAGGATGGATGCTGAGAGTCTATTTTGCAGATGAGGCAACTGAGCCCATTGCGTTCTGCCTGTTAGGTGTGGTGCAGGTGCCTGGGCAGATGTGTACTCCCGAGCCAGCTCCTCAGCCGCATGACCTTAGGTGAGTCACATCGCTACTCTGGGCCTCAGTTTTCTCATCTGCAAAGTGGGAACAATAATATTTTGTTTTTGACTTGCTGGCCACAAAGGCCCTGGATGAAAGGTAACTTCATGTGGTTGACTGCTCTGAGCTCCCTCCTCCTGAACCTCTAATGTGCCCGCTTCCTAGGGAATGCAAGCTTCCAGAGGGCCAAGCTTTTGCCCAAGTAGTTGCAGCAGGGGCCTGGAGCAGTCAGACCTACTGGGGAAGCAGGTGAGGGGGTTAGTTCCTGGGCACCAGGGTGACATTGCTCAGGGATCATAAAATTCACGTCCTCACCCACGTCCTTCCTCTTTATTTTGACTCAGAGCCAATCCTTGCTTGCTCTTCACTGAGACCAGCCTTCATCTGCAGAGGTCTCTGGGAGGGAGAAAGGTGCTAAGGAGCTAGGCTTCCCTCTGGGAGGCCCATCTGAATAAAAATAACCAACTTGCCTCACCATCAGGTCTCGTTCAAGTACCTTCTGGGTGCTTTACAGAGGTTAGCTGATTTTCTCTTCTCAGCCAAATGATGGGGAGAAATGCCCCATTTCATAGATCAGGAAGCTGAGGCACAGAGAGGTTTATAGCTTGACGTCACCCAGCTAGAAAAGAAGGAGCTGGCATTTGAAATCAGGCAGCCTGGCTCAGAGTGGAGAGGAGACAGAGGTGAAGTCAGCCAGGAGGTGGAGACACCAAGAAGAGCAGGGGAAGGCCCTGGGCAGGGAGGTGAGGAAGCCCCAGGTGAGTGCCATTGCTAGCACCCGTACTTGGGGTCCCCAACCAACTCATTTCTCTATGCCAGCCAGATGGGGGAGGTGAGTAGAGGAGAGGACGCTGTCTTGTCCGTTCAGGGCTTCCTCCTTATTAAAGCCTGTCAGATTTTCCCCGGAACCTCACAAGGAGGAAAGCAGGGGTTTCCACCAGCAGCCTCGGGTCTGCTCGCCACACAGGGTTTTAGAAGTCAGAGGAATGAGGCTAGGTTGGGTTTAGTCTCCATACCAGGTTGCCTCATGCCCACAGTCCTGTGTGCAGGCCTGTGCTGTGTCCCATGTCACACCCCTGGGCCTGCCAGTATTCGTGTTCCTGCCCCTCTGTGTAAATGTCAGGTCTCCTGGGTTATAGTGAAGAAGTCAGTGAAATGCACAAGGAGGACCTGTTGAGAGCCAGGCCTTTCACCCTCCTCTGTTTACAGGTGAGGAAACTGGGGCTCAGGGAGAAGTCACTTGCCCAGGGCACCTGGTTTGAGGGAGGAAAGCCCAGATCTGGGATTTGGGCCCTGAAGACAAATCCTTGCTTTTCTCTCTGTGAGAGGCGAGAGGGGCTGAACCCAGCCATGCTCGACATAACCTTGAGCCTCAGCCCACCTCCCACTGCCCACCCCCAACACTGGGGGCCTGGGAAAGGAAACTTTTCCACCAGGTACCCACATCACTTTTTCCGTTCTCATTTGCATAGGCCCTCTCTGTGCCGAGGCCACTTCACACGGGGTCACTGCGGGGTGGCCTCTGGTGGGCTGCATGTAGCTGGCTGCGTTGCTGCTGAAAGGCAGACCACAAAAGCCACACCAGGGGGTCCCGAGGAGGGGCTGCAGTGTCACATGGTGGCCTTGGCCTCTGCAGCCTGCAGCATGAGGCGGGGGAGCTGGGGAAGGTTTGAAGGGAACCTCTGCCTCTCCTCAGCCCCACTTTCTACAGAATAACAGAACAGTCACAGAGGCAGGAAGGAGTTCCTTTGTCCACACATCACCTGCCTAAGAGCCTTTGTCCTCCTCCTCACTGCCTCCATGGCCAGTCTAAGTTTAGCTGTGGTTTCTAGACCTTTCATGACCTGTATCACCCTTTGATCTTTTAGGCCAAGCTGGTTTCTCCATCCTTCCTCTCTCATTCCCGCATTTCTATCTCTGTTCCAACCACTGGTGCTTCCTGGAATTCCTGTCCCTTCCTCCCTTCCTCTGCTCAAGAAAACACTTCCAGGTTTCCTTTAAATCAAACAGAAGCTCCGCCTTCCCTGAGGCTTTGCTTCAGTGGCAGCCCCAACCCTCTTCACCCACCAAGCCCTTCCCCAGACTCCGCCCACACATAAGGTTTCTGCCTGCTTGGGGGCAGAGCTGCTGGAAGCGGGTTTGGAGAGGCTTCAGGAGGGTGTGAGGGGGAGGCCACCCAGGACAGAGCAGGTTCAGGCTGAAAACCCTAACCACACAGTCCCAGAGAGGGTAGAGGCAAGTTACAGTCACAGTGAGAGGGAGGAAGGTGGGCTCCTGACGAGGAAGATTGTAAGACCCATCTCTTGGCAGGTGCTTTTCTTAGATCCTAAAGTGGTTCCTGTGCCTGGGCTGGCCAAGGTACAGCCCTGCCCGGGTCAGAGAAATCATTTCAATGGCCTTTAAACTCTTTCAGTGATTGGTTTGCTATTGAAATAAGGACGATTACAATTTATAGTTTTAGACTCAGTTTTAAGATACAAGTTAGGTGGGCGCGGTGGCTCATGCCTGTAATCTCAGCACTTTGGGAGGCCGAGGCAGGCAGATCACGAGGTCAGGAGATTGAGACCACCCTGGCTAATATGGTGAAACCCCGTCTCTACTAAAAATACAAAAATTAGCCGGGCATGGTGGCACGCACCTGTAGTCCCAGCTACTCAGGAGGCTGAGGCAGGGGAATCGCTTGAACCCGGGAGGCAGAGGTTCCAGTGAGCCGAGATCGCACCACTGCACTCCAGCCTGGGTGACAGAGTGAGACTCCATCTCAAAAAAAAAAAAAAAAAGCAAGTTAATCCTCCCAACAGCTCATGAGGCCTAACAGATGTGGTGCCCATTCTTCCCTCGTAGGGATGGGAAGCTCAGTCTCATCTGGTGGGCAGCTCCCTAGGGCCCCCAGTTGACTACAGCATCTGGTTTCCAGTTTGGGTCCTTGCCTGCCCCTCCAAGACTCTGCCTGTTAGACATCTCCTCACCTTTAGAGCCTGAACTTTGTGGAAGATGGTGGCCCGGAAGCAGACTGGCCTCCGCTGAACTTCCTGCTCCTCCACTCAGACCAGCTGCGTGACTGTCAGCAGGCCCTTTAACCTCTCTGGGTTTCTGATGGTTGACCCGGAAATGGATGTAGTGGAACTCATCCTGAAGGGTGGTTATAAAGATTACACTGGTGAGGAGACTCCCTCTGCACACTCTGGCACCTGGCAGTGCTCCATCAATACTACCTGTTCATACACCCTCTGTGAAAGCACACTTCCTTGCCGTGACAAGTCCTGGCCCCTTCTCGGAGGCCAAATGCATCCTGTCGTGGGCATGCATGCACGATAATAGCCCCCCTTCTGTGTGTGGGCTTGTAACTAATTGTTTTTGTGTGCTGGATCTTCCACGGCTCCCTTGGGAAGTTGGTGCAGTGGGATTATTTTCTGCGTTTCACAAATAAGAAGACAGAGAGGCTTGGGAATGGGATCAAGTAACTCAGCAAGGGAGGGTCAACCAGGACTGGATCCAGAGCTGACAGCCCCCAGCTCGTGGTGGATTTTCCTGCCATACTTTCCTGTTCCTCATTCACGCCTTCATTTGAAGCCTTTCCAAAACCTGAAACAAAATTCCCCCAAACTTCTCAAAAACCAGGCCAAATGGACCGTCGCGCCCCTGCCTGGGCTGGTCCGAGTCAATGCTGACACTGCACATGCTTGTTTAAGGCCTCGTGCCTCCCTGGTAGCATCTTCCCGCTCACAGGCACCAACATGGCAGTTGCCATCTGTCCAGGTCTCACGCGCAATCCAGGGTGGCCGCTAACTCTGTCTTCCAAAGCACAGCGTTTCTTCTCTCGGAGCCTCTGGTCCCTGTTCTAGAAGGCCTCCTAGGTCTCACCCGGCTCTGCTCCTCCATGGTACCCAGCGTGGGAGGTGGCCGTGTTGTCACAAGGGAGGAGCTTCATCATTTCCACAGCCCGCAGGCCTCCCCCGAGAGGGGACTGCACTGAAGCCAACTTGCTTGCAGCCCCGGGGGAAGCCACTTTCCTCTCAGTAGGACCCAGGTGGCCAGGACGAGCCTCTAATCAGAGAAGCCCCCTGAGGACTCCCTGCCAGCATCCCCTGCCTCTTCTCAAGGAGGCAGGCAAGGGAGAGGGATGGAGAGCTGCGTCAGCGCAGGCACAGAAACACACCCTCCCCAGCCCAAGTTCAAGGGCTGCCCTCTGTCTGAACTGTTTCTAGCAGATGAGAGAGAATCAGGCCCAGCCGTGGCCAGACGGTCGTCTTATTTTCCAGAAGCCTTTGGAAGCAGGGACTGTAACCGCCTGCTCCTCTCTAACTTGCCCCAGGAGAGATAATGGGATACTGCTGCCCAGACCTCCCTCAGGCTGGCCCCCACAGCCTCCTGCCCTGCTAGGAAAATAAATCACCCTAATCAAGTCCCAGGAGTCCTGCATAGGCCGGGGGCTGTGGAGAGGCTTCTGGGCCTGCTTCTGGTGACAGTGGCAAAGCTGCACCCCCCTGGCCTCGGCTCCCTCAGCTTCTCTTCCTCAGTGTACCATGTACCTGGTGTTTGAAAAGTATCTGATTCTTTTAGAAGCACATTCATGAAGTCGACAATGTAATTCTGTCACTGGCTCAATCATTCACTGATTTAGCATAGGTGGAGAAGAGGGTTGGGGGAGCTAGGCCTGGCACCGGCCCTCAGGGAGCGTGACACCATTGGATGGTTCTGGCATCAGCTGACTGAGTGAGCGATGGCGGCTCAGAGTCCGACTGTGGGTCAGGCAAGGCCCGAGATCTAGAATACTCTGCTCTGCAACTTTCTGTGTGACCTTGGGCAAGTTACGCAGCTGCCTTGAGCCTGTGTTTCCCTGCCTGAAAAAATAAGTTTGTAAGGATAGAATGGGACAGGAAAGCCCAGGGCTTTGCATATGGTGAGGTCCCTTAACTAGCAGCTACTATTTCACCCTCATTTCACAGCTGGGGCACTTGGGGGCAGGAGCTATGACCTGATAAACTTCCTCCCTCAGCCTGTTTACAGAGAGCCTCCACATTCAGGTCTCACATGAGCTCACCTGGAAGAGGGTGGGGCCAGGAGCTTGCAGGTAGAGTCTGCCCAGCTCTCAATGGGAGCTCACAGCCTCAGAGGAGAGGAGAGGAGAGCCTGAGACCAAGAAATGGGTACCTAACTAGGAAGACAGAAACTGCAGGTCTCTGATGGAATGCCAGCCAGTAGGAGAGAGACGTGGCACCAGCGTGAGCCTGTGGCTTGCAACGGCTTCTTGGATGCTGCCAGCCCGGCTTTTGGGGTCAGAACAGCTTTTTAGGGACTGGAAGGGGAAGGCTGTTTCAGGGGATTGGGAACAACACAAGCAAAGTTCGTTTTAAATACATGATACAGAGAAAAGGGGGCTTTGGCGACAGCCAGGAGGCATGGTTCTGCCTTGGGTCCATCCTCTCTGGGCTGCAGAGGGAATAGGCCTAGAAATCCTAGCTTGTTTCCTGTATTCTTCTTATCTGTGGGCATGGTTCTAAGTGCTTCACAGAGATTACCTTATTTAACCCTCACTGCACCCTGCGAGGCGGCACGGCACACTGTATCACCCAGGGAGCTAAGGTCCAGGGCTGGTGGAGCATCTTGCCTGGGCTCACAGGTTTTCAAAGGGCAGAGGGAGGAGCATGAACACAAGCAGCCTAACCCACTGCCCTGTGACTTGGGACCCTCTGGCACTGGAACCGTGAGGCCCCTGGACCACGGCAGGGGAGCTCTGGGGCGCTGTGGTTGGCGCTGCCTGCACAGACCTGCCTTAGCTGTTGATAATAGCGTCTCCGTGGCAACCCTGCCGGGCCTCCCTGGAGCCCAGCTGGCAAGCCGTCCTCGCCAGGCTGTGTGGCGTGTCCTTCTCTACGCAGGTGTGCAGAGACAGCCTGGGATTTGGAAGGCCGGGGTCTTCTGCCTAGATTCTGTGGGAGCCGTGCCGCTTAGCCTCTCAGACTTCAACTGTTCCCATCTGCACAGGGACATCACAGTGCCCTCTTCACTGATGATGCAGGGTTGGGGCACTTGTGGATGGGCAGCAGGGCCCAGCACCCCCTTGTTTGAGATGCCAAGGGATGTCTGAGCTGAGCCGGGCACTAGGATCACAGTCAACACAGACATTGGCCAGATGAGGAAGCTGCCGCTCAGGGGTGCTTATTGGCCACCCCAAAGTCACACACATAGGAGGTGGCATAGCTAGATAACTCCCAGAACAGTGCCCTCCCTGCCCACTCTCCCCAGGAGGAGGACTGGTCCTCTGCTTAGCCTTAAAGAAGGCCTCAAGCTCACCAGCGCACGTGGGGCTGGAGGTGTCCCCAACTGGCTTCAGCACAGGCTGGGTCTACAAGAGGAAAGAAAGCCACACAAGGCATCAGTGGTGACCTGGCCCAGTTGTGGCAGGAGGCCACTCAGGGGGATGGGCGGCTGTGGACAGATGAGGCATTTCCCTGGGGAAAGCCCCTCCCCAAGTCCCTATGTTCTTTCCCAGCCCTCTTTCCTTCCAAGCACCCCCGGGGGCTGCCGCCCCAAAGCGAGGGCATGGGGGCAGAGCAGAGGTTCTGCAGCTCTCATGTGGCCTCGCAAGGCCAGGCCTCTGGGTTAGGACTGTGCAGGAACTCATTTTGTACCCACACAAAGTGGAAACACCCTAGCAGCTGGCACTGGAATTCATCTAAGAGAGAGAACAATTTCTGTTAAGAAAACTCTGTGGATGTGTTTGGGGTAGGAGGGAAACTTTTCACAGGAGGGAGGCTGTTCTGCAGAGATGAGGGAAGAGAATGTGGAGCTGTCCCAGCAAGCATTTGAGGGAGGGCGGAGAAGCAGCTAGAGGGAGGGCATGGTACCCCAGGGTGACTCCCAGACACCCCATCATCCGCATCTTGCCTCCCGTGCAGCCCTCGTCATGGGAGCCTAGAGGCAGCGGGGCCTGGAGGACTGCGCCCCACCAAGCACTCAGGAGTTAGCCGGAATTTGGAGGACAGGCTAAGACAGGGGAGGGATGCAGGTTGCACTGAATGCTACTCTGCAGGTAGAGATCTATGGAGGCCACCTCCCAGCTGGTAACCAGAAGTGGCTTCAGGTGTCAAATCCAGCGTTTGGCAAGTTTAGTCTGGCTGATGGCAAATGGTTGTCTTCAAACTCACCTTCTCTCTTTTCTGTCCTTCTGGCTCCTTAATAACTCTCTCCCCTAGTTCCACCTTGACTCATTCAGAGATGAAAGGATGCTACAGTCTCATGTCGCCTGAGGTTTGGTGCATCCCCTCCACTCTCAAAGGGGCTATTAGACCTTAAAACTGGCTCCTGAAGAGGGAAATGCCAGACCCAAAGTCAAAACTGTCCAAGGGGTCTTGCAGGTCTCTGCATCAGGGAGGAGAGAATCCCAGAGTGGGGCGGCCTCTTCTGAGGGGAGAAGCAAAGCGACGGCATGCCGGGGTGCCATAAAGCTCAGTCTAGCACAGCAAAGTGGCAAAAAGGAAGAATAAAACACCCATCTATTTAAAAGAGTAACGACAGGGAAAAATACATTTTCATCAGTTTGTCTTCTCGTGGCTGAATCCCCGCAGCAAGCTCCAAATTCCGACGTTAGGAAATAAATCAAAATAACTTTGCTGTGTTTAGCCTCATTTTGCCGCGCCGCTCGGCTCCGAGTTAAAAAGCAACAGGTACCGTGGTGTCTCTCCCAGAAACACAGGAACGGTTTTAAAATGCAATTATGGGGGTTGGTGGAAGGGAAGGGGAAAAATGTTTTTCTTCGATTGATGCATGATTGCCCCCATGCTGTTTGGAATCGTATTTTCGCTGAGCTCTGCTAAGAAGTGCTATTTACAGGGAGCCTGACAGACGGAAGCGATTGGGTTTGGCGGGTCTAAATGTATTATTTTAGCAGGCCTCCAAGGAAAGATTCTGGGAGGGGCGCTGGCCTTTTAAAGTGCAGAGGACAATGGAGCTGCTCTGCCTCAACCCTGCTTGTCAAGACCAATCAGCCAGCCTGGAAACAGCTCCTGCTTTCTACAGAGGCCTGCCTCCTGCCTCCTGCCTCCTGCCTCCTGCCTCCTGCCTCCTGCCTCCCCGCCTCCCCCGGCCGCAGCCTATTCTCCCCTCCCCTGCAGCCCTTGGCTCCCACTTGACAAATCCCATCAGTCAGTCGTTCACCCAGCTAGGACTTCCTGAGTCAGTCTAACAGGCTTGGCTCTTTTCTAGGCACTGCAGGGCTTCTGCATTAGTCCATTTTTTTGGTTACTATAAAGGTAATTTATAAAGAAGAGAGCTTTAATTGGCTCATGGTTCTGCAGGCTATACCGGAAGCATGGTGCCAACATCTGTTCCTGGTGAGGCCACAGGAAGCTTCCAATCATGACTGAAGATGAAGGGGAGCCAGCGCATCATGTGATGAGAAAGAGAGGTAGGGGTCGGGGGCCGGGGGGAGGTCCCACACTCTTTTCTTTTCTTTTTTATTTTGAGACGGATTCTCGCTCTGTCCGTCACCAGGCTGTAGTGCAGTGGCGTGATCTTGGCTCACTGTAACCTCCGCCTCCCAGGTTCAAGAGAGTCTCCTGCCTCAGCCTCCCAAATAGCTGGGATTACAAGCACCCACCACCACGCCTGGCTAACTTTTGTATTTTTAGTAGAGATGGGTTTTGCCATGTTGGCCAGGATGGTCTCGATCTCCTGACCTCATGATCCACCCACCTCAACCTCCCAAAGTGCTGGGATTACAGGCGTGGGCCACCGTGCCCGGCCTCTACACTCTTAAACAACCAGATCTCATGTGGACTCAAAGCAAAAACTCACTCATTGCCATGACGAGAGCACCAAGCCATTCATAAGGAATCCACCCCCCATGACCCAAACACCTCCCACCAGATCCCCACCTCCAACACTGGGGATCACATTTCAACATGAGATTTGGAGGGGACACACATCCAAACCATATCAGCTTCTAAAAGGTCTCTGGTCAGATGCAGGACAAAGGCTCCCTGCAGGAGCCCAGGGAGGACAGCAGCTGGCTGAGAAGGGTATCAGCACAGTCTAGGAAGCCCAGAGCATTTGGCCCCAGGCCCCAGGAGATGAACGTGCAGGAGGACATCAGGGACGGAAAACAGGTAGCAGGGAACAGTGGAAGGCAGTCATGGTTCCGAGATGATGGGTCTATGAAGAAATGGGACATGGTGGGCACCCAAGGCAGGATTATGGCATGGGTAGAGAATCCTACCTGATGATCAGCAGTAACTCTGTTTGAACCCCTGCTGTGTATCAGGCACTGTTCTAAGCTGTTTCCATCTATGAGGTCATTTAATCATCATGACTATGTGATAGGTTTCATTATTGCCCCCACTTCACAGATGAAACACGGAGAGGTGAAGCATCTTGCCCTAGGTCACTCAGCTAGTGAGTTGCAGGAGCTGGATTTGAACATCCCCCACCCCTTAACTACTCTGCTGTGGGAACCCAACAGTGTGAGTCCTGGATGAGGCTGATGCAAGGCGGGAACAGCAGCCAAGAGGCAGGACGGGCTGAGCTACTGACTGAGCCTCACAAGGTGCCAGGCTGGAATACGAAGTGAATAAAACCCAGTCCCTGCTTTCACAAAGTTGATGATCATATGAAGAAAGTGGTCATTTAAACAAATAACATAAAATACGATGCGGGGTGTCAGTACAGCAGCAGAGGGTTTTGCAAGAAACAGAAGTATCACAGAGGGTGTGACTGGTTACACTGGTCCTCGTGGAGGATGAGACAGGGAAGGCTTCCTGGAGAAGGTGATGTCTAATCTGAGTTTTAAAGGACGAGTAGAAATTTGCTAAACGGATAGAAAGGGGCGGTGCAGGGAAGAGCAAGTGGGTGGAAGAACACTTGGGTGAGAGGTGAGATCTGGGGTGGAGGGAGATCCTGAAAGGATTTGTGAACCATGCCGAGGAACCCAGGGGTCTCAGTGATGGATGAAGTTGTGAATGAGAGAGGGAGGTTGATCCCGGCTTGAAGGGTTAGGGGTGCTGGGCTGGGAGCCCAACAGATCACTCTAGTGGGAGCAAGAAAGCAGTCTATTCTCTAGACCTGGGCTTCTCAACCTGAGCATTCCTGACAGTTTGAGCCAAATTCAACCGTTGTAGGAGGTTTCCCTGTCCATCGTGGGATGCTTAACAGCATCTTTAGCCTCCATCCACTAGATACCTATAGAAGCACCCCACCCCCACCCTTCCAGTTTTGACAACCAGAAATGTCTTTAGGCATCGCCAAATGTCACCTGGGGGGCAAAATTGCTTCCAGTTGAGAACCGCTGGTCTAGGTTTTCATCATCTGGGAGAAATGCATGAGAAACAAAACAGCCATGCAGTCGGTGGAGGCTATGGAAGAGTTCTGTTTGGGCAATGTCTTAGATGAGAGATGGCTTGTTCTAGGGAACTTGAGAGTAAAGGAGGGAGGACTGGAAGAGAATGGGTTTCAGGCCTCATGGGCAGATATTTAGATACAGGATGGCAAATACAGACTATGTATGTCTCATCCCCTGCCCAAGGCAGACATCGCTAATCAATCACAGTGCTCTTTCTCCCTAAGTCCGGACACAGTCAGCAGTGTTCTAGGGAGGCAGCCACCACAGCTCAGGAGGGAGGGGTGCAAGACAAAAGATCCCTTGCCCTCCTAGGTGTAAGATTCTAAGAAGACCTCTAAGAAGAGGTCTTTCTATGTTACCCAGGCTGATCTCGAACTTCTGGGCTCAAGTGATCCTCCTGCCTCGGCCTCCCAAAGTGCTGGGATTACACACATGAGCCACCACGCCCAGCCAAAATTGTTTTTTCTGACCTGAGGGACTCCTGAATTCAAAATTCCCCTACCCACAACTATCCCACCCCCACCTACCCAATCTAGACAACCTTGATTCCAATAGGAGAGCGGCAGGCTGCATTTTCCTGGTGAGGCTAAGAATTGCTGCCTTCCATCTTCCTCTTTTCAAAGGAAGAGCTGGTCCTGAGGGCCCCAAGGTCCAGGGTGAGGAGGGCATGTGGCTGCTTCCTCATGACAGGAAGGACTGGGTAGTGACACAGGACACATGGGGGCAGGGGCACAAAGCGACTTCCGTGAGACCTAGCTCAGGGAGCTGGTCATATGGCCTAGCAAGGATGGCTCCTCAGGCTGGGCTCGTGGTCTCCCATCTCACTGGGTGTCTGAGACTCAGGTATTGCTGGGTGGTTGGGGGAGCTGCAGCGTTTCCTTACCCAGGGGCCATCTGAGGGGTTCAGGCTTGAGTGCTTTTGGTCCTGCATTTCCTGAGCACCTGCCAGGTGCGAGGCACCCACAACTTCATTGCTCCCACAAACTTCCTGCAGGTAGACCTCATTGCTCTACATTTCAGGTGAGAAAAACTAAGTCTCAGAGAAGTTAACTAACTGCCCAGGGTCCACAGCCAAGGGAAAGCAGAGCAGGGTGGAAACCCTAAGTCACCATCTGTGAGCTGGTGCTCACACACGTGGTGGTCCTCCACCACGCCATGTCCCTTGGCCACCTGGGGCTCATCTTTTAGAGGGAAAAGCTGTGAGCTGGGTGCTCCTCCACTACTCCATGTCCCTTGGCCACCTGGGGCTCTTCTTTTAGAGGGAAAAACAGAGGGACAGAGAGGATAAATAAACCGAGGGGCCATTTAACAAAGTGGTGAAGGGCTCTGGACCAGACTGGGTTCAAATCCTGGTTCCGCCACTCAGTAGCCAGTGGCCCCAGGTGAGTTATTTAACCTCTCTTTGCCTCGGTTTCCTCATCTGTAACATGGAGACAGTGGGTCCTAACTCAGGTGCTGCCAGGACGTTAAGAGTTGCATGCTTGGCACAGCGCCAGAAACGTGGCGAGTACTTGGTGGTCGTCAGCTGCCACTGCTGCCATGACAGGTAGACAGCATGGTAGTCAGAAGCCGGGCATCCCTTGCTCCACCCCTGACTCTCCTGCCTGCACAAGATGCAGCCCTCTCCTCTCGGAGCCCTTCTTAGAGGAAGCTTGCGGGGTGGTGTGTGTTTCTCTCACTGAGTCTGAAGCCGACCTCAACCCCAGCCTGAGCCAAATGTCACCGGAAAGGCATGGCCTGTGGTTTGCTGACGCCCCCGCCTCACCAGCCCTGGAAGCCTGCTGTGCTCTTGGGGCCCCAAAGGCAGAGGGCCTGGCTGGGCCAGCTCATGAGGTTGGAGGCTCTAGAAACCAGGCGGAAGGGACGAGGGTGGCAACCAGATTGGGTCCTCAGTGAGGGGCTGGAGAGGTGAGTGGTTAGAGCAGGTCAGGCTGTGCAGAGGGCCCAGGCCGTCTGGGGTGCTGGGCCATTTGTCCATCTTTCTGCCTACTTGTTCTTCCCTCTGCCTGGGAATTCCTCACGTGTGAGTTTCTCGCTTCTAAGGCAGCTGCCACTTACTGGTTTTCCTGCTCCTCGGCAGCCAGAGCTCAGTCACGTGACCTCAGCTCTGCTAGCAGATATGCTCACGTGGGACCTCAGCCTGCAGTCAGGCGTCTGAAGAAGCAGATGCTGTGAGACCCCCGTCCAGCAGGAGTGCCAGCTGCTGGGCCCCCTCTCCCAGGGGCAGCTGTGGGCGGGACTCAGGGTTGGCACCCGGTGCCCAGCGTCCATGGTAGAAAGTGTGCTGGCTGAGAGTACCGTGGTGACCCCATGGCCAGTCCTACAGGGTGGCTTTAGGATTGGGTCCTGGTGGTGTGGCCTTTATGTTTGGGTCTCTAGTCCTCGCAGAGACTGACCAAGGGCTCAACTGAAAATCATTTAATAAATGCCTTTTTTCCTTAAACAGATGGGATTTCTGTTGTTTCTTCTGTCCTGTGTGCCTCCCCCACTCCCTATCTAATGGATTATCTTTGGGGAAATTCAAACGGGCTTCTGAAGGACAGCTCCATGCTGTGCTTTTTGTGCCTGGCATTTATACAGATGAAATCAAGTTGAAATCAACATGGAGGGCTGCCTTGACCTGGAGGTGTGTGTGTGCCCGCATGTGCACGGGTGTAGCCACAAAATGAGGATGTGCAGCTTGAGAATGGGGTGTGAGAGAGGTGGGTGCAATCTCAATGCCTGGCCGTGAGGCAGGTGGGTTTGGGACTGAGTGTGTGAAGCCATGTTCTTCCTGTACCAACTGCTGCCTCCCCATTTCTGCATCCTGGTGCAGGGCCTTGGGCTTCTAACTCCCACCGTCTACCGGGACCTGAGCAGCACCAACCACAAGAGGGCAGACAGACAGACCACCCACAGGCTACCTCCGGGCCTCCTCTGGATGACCAACTCCTTTATGCCCAGGCCTGTGTCAAGCACTGGGTAGGGCTGGGGTAAGGCTGGGGAAAAAAAACCAGTAGGGACTCATTGCATTATAGGATTCCAGGGAGGGAAGGTACCTGTGTGACCATGCATTGTGCTTTAGCCACAGTGCTTTGCTTTCCAGTAAAATCTATTTCAGCCCAACCAAAGCCAAGCTGTTCTGGGGGGCATCTCCCCAGCCCTTCCCAAGGACTCTGCACACCAGGACCAGACAATGATCTTTGTTTCAGAGAAAGGAAACTGCAACCTGGAGGTGGGTGGTGACTTGCTCAAGATCTCCCAGTGAGTTACCCACACAGCTCCCTCTAGTCTCCAGGGTAGAGAGTTTATGTGCATATGTGCGTGAGCGTGCAGACACACACAGGCACATATGTGCACACTCAGACAATGGACTGCGTGAAGGGTCTTCACCCTCTGTCTTCCACAAGGCCTGCTGTCCCCTCTGCTGGCCTAGACACTGACCACACTCATTCTGCTGCTGCAGTCCAGAGAGTCCTGTTCTCAGGTCCTAGGGGCTTTCACAGCCAGGCCACAACATCAGCAAAGGAGAACATTCCAGAAGTCTGGTGCGGCAGCCCTAGGGTTGGAGTTTCATGGGTTGGAAGGTTTGGTTCTAGCACAGGAGAGGGAACCAGACACTGTGAGGGAAGGAGATTAGGAAGGACCCAAGCAAGGGGAGGGAGGAGAGAGTGGGAACGAGAAAGAGAGAGAGGAGACAGAGAGAGATGTCAGGCAGGCAGAGCGTGCAAAGGAGCAGTGGGGCAGGAGGCTGGGAGAGAGGGTGACGAGATGGCAAGGGTGAGGCAGGGTGCACCACAGCGCAGTCCTGGGGCCACACCCCTCCCCAAATGTAGCCTGGTGTTCGCAGCCCGGGCCTGGCCAGAGCCTTTCCAGCTGAAAGGTGAGAAAGGGAAAGGGGACCCAATGAAGGCACCCCTGCAGTGGGTCTCTGGGCTCTGTCCTTGAATGTCACTGGTGCTAATGGTGATCCACACCTCCAACCACCTGCACAGGGCGGGAGCCTCCCAGCCCCTCCAGGGCTTTGTAAACACTGCCCCAAGCACTTGTGTGTGTGTTGTCTGTGAGGCTGTGTGCACTTGGATTTGAGGGTGTGTGTGCTTGTATGAGTGTGTCCAGGGGTGATGGTGTGACCATATGTATTTGTATGTTTGAGTGTGGATACGTATGAGTGTGTGTGGCTGCCCTGAGTCCACGTGACCTCACTGAAGCTTATTTTGCTGTAAAGGCAGTTGGGCTGCTGGGTTGGGGCTGGGCCTAGGGACAGTGGGGCTGGAGGGACAGGGAGAGGCACAGTCCTCTCCTTCTCCCAAACCGTGTAGAGAATGAGTGTGGAGCTTTCCCCAAATGAGACACCAGGAAGGAGACACCTCTACAGCGACAAGGGTACTGAGGGAAGGGAGGGCAGGGACAGGGGCTTCAATCCCAAACTTGCCATGGTTCCCTAACCATCTCCTCATGGTGAACAAGTCTTCATCCAAACATGTGGTGCCCCAACCCATTCTTCTCAACCCCTCTTCTGTCCTCCCCATCTCGGTACCTGATGCCACCTCTCCAGTCCCCTGGACTAGGAGGGGGACAGCTGCTATGGGGCCTTTCCCTGGCATCCAGGCCCCATTCCCATTCCTCTGTGGTCTGTGTGGATCAATACCGGAGCATATGTGACTATTTAAATTTCAATTTAGGGTTAAATAATATTAAAAATCCAATTCCTCAATAGCACTAGCCACATTTTGAGTCCTCAATAGCCACACATGGCTGGTGGCTACTGGCCTGGGCAGTGCAGGTCTGGAACATTCCCATTATGGCAGGAAGTCCTATGGGGCATACTTGGGCTCACACACCTCTGGACCTTGGCTCATGCTGATATAACCACCAGGACTCCCGCCTCCCTTTGCCCACCTATAGAAGCCCTTCTCCAGGCTCAGCTCAGGCACCACCTTCCCTGGGAAAGCTTCCCGGTGCCACCAGGCTGGAATGCTCCACATCCACCTTCCTGCTCTGCTCTGGGCCTCCTTCTCACCTCTAGGCCATCAGCTCCTCCAAGACAGTGGCTGAGTCTTATTGATGTATTTTTCTTTGTACACACACCTTTCTTCTTTCTAGCCATCCCATCTCTCTCCTTGCCCACCCACTCTTGTTTTCTCTCCCCATCCCCTCGGTTTTTCTCTCACAACCTCTTGGTCTGTCTTGCAGGCTCCTGCATTTCCTCTCACTGTTTCTCTCTTCCCCTGTCTCCCCTCCCTCTCCCCCTGCTTTGCTGGAAAGATGTTAATTGCACCTGCAATTACCTAATTGCCATGGCAATTAGCCAGTTGCACTCTATTTTGAAGGTGCAAATGGAAAATTGCAGGCATAAGGGGTAATTTTTGGGCACAAAACTGTGCCCAGAGAACTTTGGCCTTGGCCCCGGGGGCCCAGGGGAGACTGGAGAGCTGGAGAGAGCCAGGTCTGGGGTGTGAAGCTCTTCTCCCAGGTGGGGTGGGACTTGGGGGTGGGGAATTCCCCTATAAGCAATTCACATCATCTCTAATGCAGAGCAAGACCAACCTGCCAGCTCTAATTATAGTGATTTTCATATTATCACTAGTGCTGATGAGAACTCATCATCAATACTCAGCAAGGTCATTCAAGGTGCTGAGAGAGGGTGGGAGCCCGACCTCCAAACTTTCCAGGCTGGTGTGGAGGGCTGGGTCACAAGCCTACCCCAGAAGGCCACTTCCGGGGTGCAGGACGGAGCCCCAGAGCAACAATCAGGCTGCCTGGCACTTGCTGGCTGTGAGCACCTGGTGAGCAGTGGTGCAAAGAGGCCTGAAAAGTAAATGCGCTGAATTTCATGGGTGAAGTCCAAGGCTTAGCCCCTTTCAATCCCCTTCCTCTAGGAGTCAGCACTGCCAGGGGAGAAAGGAAGCAGGATGTCCACTTCTGTCAGGAGACATGTGACTCCAAGAGTAGCCCCTCCACATGACCAGCGCCTGGCCAGCTGCCTGCTTTGGGAGCAAGTGGTTGTGAGCCTGGACAGTGGGTGTCTGGGGCCTTGGGCTTGGGTGGGGCTTGTGAGCAGTGACAAGAGATGACCCCCAGGGGTGCCCTTGTCCAGAAGCCTGCACTGGAGGTCAGAACCTGGGATCTAGCTTGGATAGGGGAGAGGGCTCTGGGATACAGGAGAGGCCATCTGGGGGTAGGAGATGGGGGCTCCTAGGGGACTGGCATCGATGTTGCATTGACAAGGCCAGGACTCCATTTCTATATGGACTGTGTGTGTTTAGGGCAGCCTTGGGGATGCTGATGGGGAGTTGGGGGAGGTGGTGGCTGGCATTGCTTATAGTCCTTGTCTCCTTAGGAAACCTGAGACAAGGAAGTCCCCAAACGATAACTGAATCCTACCATGTGCCCAGCATTGGGCTAGGTGCTTCTGGCAATACAGAGGCGACCAATCAGTGGACGTTATCCTCACTGGCTAGACACTGGCTCCCTACTAGACAGGGAGTGTAGAGGGGTGTGTACAAGCAGACAAAGAAGGTTTGCGACAAGTGCAGGGACAATCTAGCTCAGCATTCATCTACACACTGGGGAGTTTACAAATGCTATTGAATGAAGAAATGAACCAATTAATTAATGAATGGTTGAACAAGATGCTGCCTCTCACTTGAGGAGGCTGGGTTTGAGGTCCTGGGCATTTCTCACAGACTTGAAGTCCATGCTGATGCACCCCGCTTCTCCCTGCCTTTTCTGGAAACGTCCTCCAGCCTCATCTCTCCTCCCAGCCCTCCAGGGAACCCCTGCCTGTGGGATACAGCTTTCAGCCTGCGTTGCTCTGGCCCAGAGATTTTTGGAGCTTTACCTCTTGGGCCCTTGCTTTCCTGCTGAGAGGAAAGGATGTACTTTTTTTTTTTTTTTTTGTCCTAGTACGTTGTCAAACTGGCTTTTAAAATCCCAAAGCTCCAAGGCTCTAAGCAGTGAAGCTGCGGTACAAGTGACCCCTCAATCCTCCTCTGCCATGCATGGGAGTGGCTTGCGGGGGAGCTCAGAGCTGGAGTGAGGAAGATTGACTGCAGGGCTGGGGGCAGCCAGCAGCCCCGCCTTCCAGCCTACTCCACTCCTGCTACCCGCTTCCAGCACTGGCCTCCACACAGACATCCAACTAAACACAATACTGTCCAAGGCCTCAAGTACAAGTTAATTAATTCACCAGAGGGAAGGCAGGCTATAAATAACTGATGGGAGCAGAGGGGGCAGCTGGGGCAGGTTTATTCACCAGCGGTTTCGCAGTCTCTGCTCTGGCAATACAGGTTAATGAGCACAGGCCTCCTTGCCGACATAATAGCGACTAAAAATAAAAAAAGAGGAACGAGTCACCCTCCCTGGTGAATCAGACGCCTCCAATTGTAGTTTCCATGCTGATACTGTAATTTTCCTGTTCCTCTTGCTCCTCCAGGGGCTGATGGAAACGGAACCCCCCCACCGCCCCCACCCGAAACCCCGCCGCAAAGGAGGCAGATCCCTTTCTGGTTTGTTTCCCTTCCTTTCAGGAAAGAGAGAGATGGTGGGTAGGCGGGAGGGAGGGCGACTGAAATCCAAGCCCAGACCCCAGGACATGTCAAAGTTGCAGACCCAACTCTGTCTCCTGTGACTAAATGCATGTCATTGCCCTGGTCTATTCCCTCCCTCTAGATTTGTCAGATGAAGAAACTGAGGCACAGGGAGGAAAAGCAACTTGCCAAGAGTCTCCCAGGAGTGTCCCAGGAGTGCAGGAGCCAGGCCCAGCACTCCCCAGCCAGTGCTGTCATCTCTGTTCTGTTCACTCCTCCTATCCTGGCCACGAACCTACACTCCTAGGTCCTCCCCAACGCCGGCTCCTGCCCCACCCTCACTCCACCCCACGCTCCACCCTGACCTCTCCAAGGGACCTATAGGTTGGAAATCCTCCAATTCCCAGCCCTCCTCTGGCCACTTGAGCTGCATATGCAGGTTGCCAGAAGGTTCTTGTTACAGGCCTTTGACCTGGAGGTCCCCTTGACCCACCTGGCTGAGGATAGGTGTGTGGAGCTTCCCAGGCACACGCTCCAACCTTTGGAGGAGTCAGCCAGCCTATACAACGCCTTCGTGTGAATTAGAAAAGGCTCCTCCTCTGGGCAGACACAGCCCATACCAGGGCTTGACCAGTGGGCCTAGGGTGGGTTTCAGGTCCCACTTGACCCAGCCCCCACCAGGTGCCTTTGAGCAGTGCACACACTGGACAACCTTCTCCAACAGGCCTGCCTGCCTCTGTCTTCCTGGAGGCCAGCCAAGCCCCCAAAAGTGTTCCAAGAGAGTAGAACTTTCATGAAAACTAAATGAGTCTCCCCACCTTTGTCCTCACCCCCGACCTCAGCCCCCTCTCCCCAGTGTATATTATGAAAGGAAGAAGACAGACAGGAACTGAATTGCCCATGGGGACCACAGCAGCCCTTTCCTGGAGGGAGCAGGGGGCTTGGGGACCCAGCACCTAGGGGGCTAAGAAGCGCACCACGGGAGGTGGATACAGAAACAGCTAAAGCCAGAGGGCAGCGCCAAGCCAGACTCCAGTTGGCTGACCCCGAGGCCCAGCCCTGCCCCCTGCACATGGGGATGCTTTTGTCCCACTAGGGCTCGTGCCTTAGTGACTGTCACCTGTTGGAGGAGAGAGGCCTCATTCTGGAGAATGGAGAAGGAAGATGGGCAGGAGGAGGGTTGCTCCACCTGCTGGGGGATGCAGTGACACCCTCTGGCAATTCTCTGGGTGCTCCATGACCAGCCACTGAGGACGATGACCATCTGGCCACCGGTTCAGCCACATCATCATTCTGTGACAATTTGCATGGCAGATGTCAAGCCCAGATGAAAGGCCAGTCTGTCTTCTATATTCCTCCTCTCTTCTCGCTCGCTGAAAACTCCCTGCAGAGGAAACTGGCTCTACCTTGGACCACGGGGCCCACGGACCTGTGGAGAAATTATTTTCTGTGGCTTTTCTCCACAGCTCCTTCCTCCAGCCTGCCCAAGCCTATGCGCAGTGAACCCAGGCACTCTCCTTACTCCCCACACCGTCAGCTTCCTGACTCCCTCACCGGCTCTCATCCCCCCACCACCCCCTGCTCCCCCACAAGGTTAACACTGCAGCTCTGGCGTCTTCCTCCCAGGCAGCAGCCTTCTCAGGGCTTCCTTGCTTCCCCTCTCCATCTCTGCCAGTGTCACCAGCACCGTGAGGCCAAGGGGCACCAGGTGAAGGCCCTTACATCTTCTTGTCCTCTCCAGGATGTGAGGCGGGGGCAGGAGAAGGAGAGGAGAGTGAGGGGTGAATTGAGAAAGGCAGAAGGCAACAGTGGTATAGCTGGAGGCCCACCATGACCTTCCACACAGGCCCAGCCGCCCAGACTCAGCACCCTCCACAGCACGACTCCAGAGGCCCTCGGGTCCTGCCACCCAACCTGTGGACTGACGGCTGCGCCCACGCCCGCCTTCCGCCCTCCTCCCTGTCTCCACCGCAGCAGTTTCCCTAACCCTCAGAGACCGCTCCTTCCATCAGCCCCTATCTGCTGCATCCCCAAGCTCCCTCCCTCTCTCGTGGCTCCTGGCCAACAGTGTTGCCACAAGTTCAGCCTCTTCTGGAAAGCATCCCTTTCTTGGCTTCCTGACCCCTTCCCGCTGTGGTCCCACCCCCGCTTTTCTTTCACAGCCAAACCTCTCACCTGGGGGCATCTACACAAGTGTTTCCCACTTCCTCACCTCCCACCTCCCTCAGTCTGGCTGCGGCCCCCTCCAGGCCGCTGAGGCTGGCCTCTGACAGCTGCCTCTGACCTCCTTGTTGCCAAATCTAGCGGACGCCCTTCCTCCCCCATCGCACGTGGGCTATGGACCCGGCCTGGCACTGCCGACACTTCCTCCTCCTTGACACACTTTCTGGCCTCAGCTGCTGGACACCCAGGCGTCACCGCTCTCCTCCCTGATTGTGGGCAGCTCAGCTTCCTCCTAGACGTGGGTGTTGCTTAGAGGGCTGTTCTGGACTCCCTCCTCTCTCACTCCACACCCTCCCTTTTGTTTTCACATCTTCACAGTGCCTTCTCTAAGATAATGACCCCCACATCATCAGCAGCAGCCTGGACATATTCCTTTGTGGTGGGACAAAGGCAGGCCCAGCCAGGGCCCTTCGGCTCACTCTTCCCAAATGGCTTCTGGGTCAGCCCGGAGCCCAACTGGGATGAAAGGCCCCTGAGGTCAAAAGTCATATTCTCTTCCCTTCTGTATCCTCAAAGGGCCCAGAAAAGTGCTAGGCAAAGCTTTAGGCCCCTGCTCTGTTGAAAAAAGAGGTTCAATCCAAATAAAAACCAATTGCAATGTCAGAGACTTACCAGAGGCTAGGGTAAGTGTCCCCTTGGACAAGCCATGGTCCCCCAGGCACCTCACTCTGATCCGCTTCTGCCACAGCTATAATTCTGAAGCAAACCCACATGCCACTCGCTGCATAAACCCCTCCATGGCTCCCCACTGCCTGTCCCCTCTGCCTGGGCTCTCCTGACAACCTGGCCCACTCTCCAGCCTCATCTCCCATGGCTCCTCTCCAGCCTCATCTCCCATGGCTCCTCTTTGAGCATCTTCTTTGTGCCCCAGAATGTGTGCTGTTTCCTAGACACACCCAATACTTTTTGGCCCTCTCTTTTATCTCCTGACAAACTTCTAACTATCCTTCAAGGCTTTCTCTAAAATGTCTCCTCCAGATAGCCTTCCTTGATTCCTCCAGCACACAGTGGTCTCTCTCTCCCCAGCACACTCTAAGAAGTCCATGCCCAACTAAGAGCAGGTGATGTTTGCCACCTTGAATGATAATGATCTGTCTCCCTGCTCTCCCCCATGGAGAGCTCTCTGAAAACAGGCCCATGTCTTCTTTGTGCCCCCATCACTCAGTACCTGTCTTGGTTTGTCTTGGGTGAGTGGATGACGAGAATGAATGAATGAAGGGCCAGAGAGCACAGTGGTTGGGAGAGCAGGCTCTGGAGTCTGACAGACATGTGTCCAAACAGAAGCTCTGCAACGAACTGTGTACATGACTTAGGGTGAGTCATTTGCCCAAAATGGGCGTCAGTATCCTCGTCAATGCTCTGGAAGTACTCGTAGTCACTCCTCCATAAAGCTACTGCAAGAACTCAGTAGAAGCATGCATGTAAGATGGCTTTGCACAGAGTGGGCACCCGGCAAGCATTCCACAAACACAGGCTCTTGGGGTTGTCATTAATCATTGTAGATATTCCCATTAAGAGGACGGGCAAGTGGAGGGTCCAAGGACATCTGGGGAGCTCGTCCATGGGAGATGCATGCCTCCTTATCTCAGCTCACTTCTTTCACTTCCCAAGCTCATCGGGCCATGTGCACCTGGGGTGACCTCAGCTCAGTTCATCAAAACCTGAACAAGTGCTCTCAGGGGCCAAGAGCACCACTCTCCTTGTCCTGAGACCCCAACCCTCTTTCCTTAGCATTTCTCTCTCTGCCCCAAGCCTGTATGAAGCAAAGATGGCTTTATAGTGCCTTGTAAGTCCTACAAAGGGAGCAGCAGGGGCTTCTCAGAGCTACCACCTCCTCGATCAATATCTCTTCTTCCACCCTCGAGGGCTCAATAGGACTCATTCAGCAAACTCTGGAGGGCCGACATCACCTGGACAGTGTCACTCGTGGGCCTGCTGTTTATTTTCCTCCCACTTTCTCTTGGTGCCTCCAGCTCTCACCGCTAACCTGCACCCCCATCCCCAGGTGGCAGCCAGTGTGACTGCTGGCCTCCCTGCAGCCGTGACCTCGGCAGGCATGAGGAGGAGGGCGGGCTGGGGCTCTGCCACCCTTCAGCTGGCTAATGTGGAGGTCTTAATGAATATGAATCGCCTCCTTCTCCACGGAGCTGGCCCCATCAGATTCCTTCACACCTCGCCGAGCCCAGAAAGGTTACTCAGAATTAAATGTAAATCACATATTTACTGGTATGAATCAGATCATAGTGTCACTTTCTCACAACAGAGAATTTAATCACACTGCAGCCCCGAGGGCTTCTGCTCTCCTGGGGCCGTCCCCACCCCGTCGCCCTTGTGGGCCGCACCTGGGAAAGAAGCTGACTGCCCTCCCATGTCGGGGTGTGCATGGGGGTGTTCCCAGAGGCTGTGAAAGGACAGTGGCCACAGCGGGAGACCTGACGCTGGTGTTCCCAGTCCTTTGGTACCCAAGTCACGGCTGCCTTCTAATATCATGTCAATCTGAAGCTGTCACGATGGGCTAGGCAGTGCTTCACATGCTGTGGACACTTAATAACTGTTGAGTACAGGAACGTCTCTCCTAAAAGGCTGCTGGCAGTCACCTCTCCTTCCTAGGCTCACTTGTGTTTCAGAAGCCAAGGGGGAAAGGAGAGAGATGCATGAAAGGTTTCACCCATGTTGCTCTGTGTTCAGAGGCGGCGGAGTGGAAGGAGAACTGGCTTTGGAGCCAGGAGGCCCAGCTCAGAGCCTGGCTTTGCCACTAGCTCTGCCAAAGGACGGCGGGCAATTCACGGTAACGGCAGCTTCTTTGTCTATAAAGCAGAGACACGATGCAGGTCCCACCAGCTCCACTGACAAGTTGCATGTGGAAGCATTTGCCTGCAGTAAAGTGCTTTGCAAATGTCAGGAGCAATGACCATGAGCCCAGTACAAAGGTCACTGGACAATAAATAAAGGGGGCCAGATCTCAGCCTCTGATTCTCCTGCCTAATGGCTACATGGTCCTTAGGGTGAAGGACCATGCAGCCATTTGAAAACAGGCTCATGTCTTCCCTGTGCCCCCATCTCCAGGGCGTGCACTGTCTGCTCAGTATCTGTCTTGATTTGTCTTGGATGAGTGGGGGATGAGAATGAATGAATGACAGGCTGGAGAGCAGAGTGGTTAGGAGAGACAGACATGGGCCCAAACTGAAGTTCTGCCACTAACTGCATGCATGACCTGGAGTGAGTCAGCTCTCCTGCGCTTCAGGTTCACATTAGCAAACAGAAGTAATGAGGTCTTTTTTTGATGGAGAAAGGCTCAAATGAATGCCACAGAGACAGATCTCTGTACAGACTATAAGGTGCGGCACGCAGCTAGGGAGTTGTGCATGGCTCACTTCCCTCAGCCATGGCAGGATGCCAAGGACCTCTGCTTTCCTCAGGATGTCACAGTCCCTTCCCTTCCCAAGCCCATTTCTTTGGGGGCCAGTCTCCAGGCTAATGGCTGTGCATTTGGAGAGCTCTTTACAGTTTGCAAAGCATTGTGCACGGCAGGAGCATGCGGTGGACTTAGGAGGACACACTGTGGTGTTGGAGCTCCTTGGTGGCTTCCAGCTCTTCAGGTAGAAGCTTGCTGGGGATGTTGGTGCCCACTGGTAATCCACAAACTGAACGTGCTTCTCCAGCAGACATTGTCTCGGAGTGCCCTCCCCAGAGCTGAATGGCCTGGTTGGGCTTTCTTGACTGGAGAATTTCCTAACTGGGTAACTATTTTCCGGAAAACTGAGCCCACATTGTCTGCACAGGAAGCCAGTCTACATTGTGTGTGTCTCGTGTATGTGTGTGTGTGTATGTGTGTATGTGTGTGTGTGTGTTTAACCCAAAAAACAGATGTAATTTCTTCATGTATCAGGAAGCCTCCCTTTTCGCAAATGTTAAGGAACACAGCTCCCTTGGGCATAAAGTCAAGGAGGTTTCTTTTTATAGCAGTCTCAGTCGCAGCTCTGGCTTTGCTTATGAACTCGAGTTAGGGAAATTAGAATTAAAATTCCACCCCGACGAGAACACGGATTTGTCCTCCTGGGTCCTCCTACCCTCAGTGCCTCCACCGACACATATGAAGGCTCACAGAATGCCTTCTCCACCTACATGGCAGCGCCTACGTCAGTGACTCCTATCAAGGGTGGGCCCTACTGCAAAAGAGGTATGACAATGGGCACATGGCCATGGACTCCCCTAATCTTCTTGTGTACCCATTACAGAGAAGCAGTGGCCCATGACAATGGTGAAATGGCCTGTGAAAGGCTGAGCTCAGGTGCTAGCTTGGGGACCACCCCCTGTGGGACTGGAGGACTGTCTTTAGCATGTTGTCTATGCACCTAACCAACAGGCAATAAATGGTGCTGTCTTCCTACTGCTGGAATCCATGGGTCTGGGAAGCCAGGGCTGAACGTCCATTCCCTGTTGCCATCACTCCTAGTGACCCTCTAGCAGGATTTACACTTGCCACAAACCTTAGGCTCTGTGAGGTTAGGGGTCATGGTCCACAGACAGCCAATGTTTCTGTTGTGGGGCTAGTATTTCCTGCAGGTGACACTGTAAAGGTCCCACTGGATTTGAAGCTGTGACAGCTACCTGTCACTTTAGTTTTCTAGTGGACTAGCAGTGATGAAAGGAGTTACCATCCTGGCAGGATAATTCACCAGATTATTGTGAGGGCCAAGTCCTGTTGCTTTTCACAGCAGGGATTCTCTGCGAGTCTCTTGGTGTTCTTTTGCCTGATGAAAGGGACTTGTGAGTCAGCAATTGCAGCAACAACAGCTCAATAAGAACAGGACAAGCCAAGGGCTCAGACCTCTTCGGGATGAAGGTCTGAGTCATCCTGCTCAGTAAGCAGCACAGAGCAGACAAATTGCCGGTTGAGGGTGAGGGACATGGAGACTGGGGAATGGAGGGGAGATCTGATGAGTACCCATAAGGGCCTCAGGACAGGTGCAGGCACTGTGTCTTGTTTTATTAACCTCTTGCCTTAGGTCATCTCAGAGATCCCAAGGAAACTCTGTAGTCATTGGACTTGTACCCACTTCTTAGAGAAAGCAGGGACATTCAGTTCACACCAAACACAGAGGCCCCAGATTGTATGGGAGCTGGATGTGATGGAAGGGTAGATGCCTCTGTGGGTGGTACAGGGTGACACAGAGACACTTCTTACACCATCCTCAAAGCCTCTCAACCACCCATATCTCTGGGGTCTTAGACCTTTGCCCCTCACATTCCCCTGCAATGACCAACTTCATGTGACTCTGAACAACTGAATGTAGGTACAACCTCAAAGCAGTGCATCTCCTGTCTGTGCACACATCACTTCTGCTGTGGAGCTTTCCTCTTGCTGGTGACACTTGAAATGCAGCAAGACCCACTCAGCAGGCACACATGTGCAACCAGGAGACCTGGGGGAGTGAACACACCAGGGGCAATCCTTTGAGCCATAAGATACTGGAGCCCACGGGTAAATTCCTCTTCTCACCTCTTTCTGGATAGACTGTCTTAAGAAGTAGTTGCTACGTAGGGTCCTTTTTTTTCTTTTTTCTTTTTTTTATAGACAGAGTCTCGCTCTGTCACCTGGGCTGGAGTGCAATGGCATGATCTTGGCTCACTGCAACCTCTGCCTCCTGGGTTCAAGTGATTCTCATGCCTCAACCTCCTCAGTAGCTGGGATTACAGGCTCCGGCCACTATGCCTGGCTAATTTTTGTATTTTTAGTACAGACGGAGCTTTGCCATGTTGGCCAGGCTGGTCTTGAACTCCTGACCTCAAGTGATCTGCTCTTCTCAGCCTCCCAAAGTGCTGGGATTACAGGCATGTGCCACCGCACCTGGCCTACATAGCCTTTTGAGAGACCTTCTCATGACATCAAGCACTCAGTTGCTCTTGATGCCACTGGGTGGCTGAATTCTCCCGCATCCTTGCGTTGGCTTTTCCTGTCTCCAGTTTTGCCTATCGTTTCCCTCACTCCTGCGGCCCTCGCATCACACTGCTTAAAAGAGCAGTAGCACACAGGCCTTTACCTCAGGCCTTGCTTTGTAGAAAACTTTGGCTAAGACAAGATATTCAAGCCCCTTTAATCTTTGCCCCAAAGCAAGACAGTCAGTACCGTGATCCTCTCTCATTTTTGTCTTAGGAAAGTAAAGCGGAAAAAAGTTCAGTCCTTGATCCAGAACCAGATAACCAAGGCACAAAGACAGAGCTTGCGTCTGGCTCTGATTCCAAGCCTGGGGCTTGTTCCGGGGTGGGAGACTGCTGCCTCTGAGCAAGGTGGCATGTGAGAGGGTGCTGCAAAGGATGAGGGGAGGGGCTTAGGGGCTTACCCAGGAAGAGGGGAAGGGGGCAAAGGTTGGCTGGGGCAATGACACAGGGCCTGGTGAGTGTCATTGTGGCCAGAACAGGTTTCCTGGACAAGTAGTGGTAAGGTCAAGTCCCCAAGGTGGATTTTGAGTGCCTCTGAACAAAAGCATGGTGATGTTCAGAGGAAGTGAGTGATCCAAGCTTAAGGCTAAGAGGATGTCTCTAGAGCAGCCTCCTTTATTTCTTATCTCTTGGAGTCACAGAAGTCCCAGAGTGTGACACAGAGGAGACCTAGGCCCCATGCCTGCCAGAGTTTCCCATTCTACGCTCCTGGGAACTCTTGTGCTTCAAAGGACTTGATAAAATTGCCATGAAAAAAAAAGCCTCCTCTTAGAGGGTCTGCAGGTACTCTGTTATAGGAAAGGCCCAAAGCACACATGTTGGACAATAAATAAATAATGGTAACAAAACCCTGATTAACTTGAATCCAGCAAACTCATTAGACTCTGTACACTTTCAAAAAATTGCAACCTCCAATCCACCTCCTGGGTTCAAGCGATTCTCCTGCCTCAGCCTCCCAGCTAGCTGAGATTACAGCCGTGCGCCTCCATGCCCAGCTAATTTTTGTATTTTTAGTAGAGAGGGGGTTTTGCCATGTTGGCCAGGCTGGTCTCGAACTCCTGACCTCAAGTGATCTGCCCTCATCTGCCTCCCAAAGTGCTGAGATTACAGGCAGGAGCCACCCCACCTGGCCAAAAGCATTCTTTTCTGAATAACAAGTATTTCCATCTTTTTGCATACTGTATTCTACAGAGGAGTTATAGAATCATGTTTGGAAAAACACAGAGCTAACCCAGTCCCCTCATTTGACTGTGGAGAAAAACCACAGACCAGAGAGGTGATTCAACTTATCCAGAGACACACAGCAGGAGCTCACACACATCCTGATTCCCCAACCGGGGCTCTTTCTTCGACCTGGGAGAAATTTCCACTGCGTGATTGTTGCCAAGCTATTAATGAAAATGAGACCTAAATTAGCTTCAGAAAATGAGGTTTTAGCATTGGAAAGTTTTTGACTATTGAAATTGTGAATGCAAATGAGTCTATGTGCTAGAAATCTGTTAGCAAGTAAGAAAGAAGCTCCACAAATTCCAGCCTTTGGAACCCGTGGGGCCTTTTGGAGCCTCAGTTTACCCTTTTGTGAGGTGAGGTGGGAGGGAATAGGCCAGCCAATTACTAAGTAAGGTTCATCTCAGATGTAATGAGATTCTGCAATTTCAAAGACAAGTGTTGAATAGCAGAGAGGTCTGGGGACCAGGGGTGGGGGAACCCCCTTAAGGAGGGGGAGACCAGCTGGCCCAGCCTCTGGCCTCTGGCAGACTTCTCAGCTGCCCACTGAGGAAGGCTCTTTCCCCAGATGCAAAGTGTGCATCTCACATTAGCTTGCAAGGCAGCTCTGATTAGTAATTAAATGGTTTTTTAAAAAAAATAAAGCCATTAAAGCTAATGCCATCAAAATCAGAACCTCAGACGCTGGCTCATAATGATGAGTGTGCCTCACGACTCACAGGAGAGGACATTTACATTTTAACATGCACATTGCACAGGCATTAATATTTCCCCCACCCACCCCTCCTCCCATCATTATGGAACCTGCTGATGAATCCATTTGTTTTCCAGCTTTACTCTGATCCTAGAAAAAGCAGGTCATCCTGCAAGAAGTCAATGTGGAGGGATGAAAAGAGGCTCTGCATGAAGTCGGCTTTAGCCCTGCCATGCCTAGATGTATAACTTCGAACAAGTGACCTAATCACCTTGGCAAACCTCATTTTGCTCATCTTTTAAATGGGGATAAGAATGCCCATCTTGTGGTGCTGTGCCAAGGATTGAATGGATCAATGCATTCGTAAATGCAACTCATAGTCAATTCTTGTTAATGACTAGCCATTATTAGACCTGGTACTTGGCATACCGTAGGCACTTATCCAATATGTCCTTAATTGAGCACCTACAGTGTGGGCAGTCCTATTGCAGGACACTGCTGGGGACCAGGGAGAGGAATGTGAGGGCTTCGAGAAGATACATTCTTCCTGGAAGACCAGATGAATGAACATAGAATCACTGGGCTCATCTCAGCCAGGGGCTCAGAGGCTGGCCTGCAGTGACAGGTAGTCACAGTTACAATGCTGTGGACTGGGGAAGAAAGGTTTGCAGCCCTGGAGGGATGGGTGACATTCATAGCACCTGGTACAAACCTGGCTTCATCCTGGGTGCTTTACACACTATCACTTTTAATCCTCACAACCATCGCTATTTAACAGACAAAAAGCACTGAGTCTAGGAGAAGTCAATCAGCTTGTTCAGTACCACAGAGCTGGGAGGTGGAGGAGCCCTTGGTCAGTTGGGATCTGTGAGGTCAGCAGCCCATTGTCTTTTCATGGTATCAGGCTTCCTGCTAGATAGGAGGAGCGACAAGTATCTGTACTGCCCCTTGGCTGTCAGGGTTGCAGAGGCAGAAAGGGCAGGTTTCAGAGGCTCCTGACGACAGGCTGCGATGCAGACTTGGCCCAGGAGGTCTGAGAGGGAACAGTTGGCCTCCATGGCTCACCAGACCTCACAGTCTTGCCTCTGAGACATAGTGACTCCCTTCATCCAGCGATTCGTCCTCCACTGGAGGCAAACCTCCTTGTCAGTCCCCCTGGCAAGTTTCTGTTGGCTGTGGAACCTGGAGTCTCCAGGCCCTCCCTCGACTTTTGCGGGCAGCCACTTGGAGAAGGGAGCCAGCCTGGTGAATCTGGAACATAGTCCATTGCTGTGTGACTTTGGGTCAGTCACTTCCCCTCTCTGGGCCACCACTTCCTATTCTGTAAAATGAGAAGGTGGGATGAGACAAGCTCCAGGCCTAACTCTCTTATTCAACATGAGCCTTTGCATCTTCTGGATTTTTTTTTTTTTTTTTTTTTTTTTTTTGTAAACCAAGTACCTGCGCTTGGTGCATTTGCTCAATGAGACTTTCAACTCTCATTATTTCCCCCTAAGACTTAACTGTCCAAGGGCTAAGAAACAAAAGTTTGGGTGCCTTTTAAGAAATATATAAAATATCAGGGCCAGACAGGCCATTTTCAGACAGTCCCTGGGGCCTAGTCAGCTATTAAAGATAGAAATTATATATTCATAACACAGGATATTGCTGCTTGCTTATTTATAACTTGCTCCATTTCAAGAATATTTATTCTAGACGAGGAGGCTTGATAATTTTTTCATCTAATCTACTCCTCATAGCTCAGGGCAAAAGAAGAAAACAGCTCAATCGAAGGAGCAGCTTTCTATTACAAGCAGGTAAGGAAGGAACACACAGCTCCCTTTTCACAGGCCAGGAACCCAGCCAGGTTGCGGCTCTCAGCCCTGCTGCCCCTCAATCTGCACCAGCCCCTGGGGTGCCCCAGCCAGGACCTCACCATCCCTGGGCACAGTCCTCTCAGACAAGGCAAAACTCCACATGAGAATGGGTAAAACACATAGGCTCCAGGCCCCTCCTTTGACCCAGGAAGAGGCTGAGGCCCAGAAAAACCATATGTGCTCGCTCAAGGTCACAGGGACCAGGATACACATACACAGAGCTGGGGTGTGAACCCACTCACCCTGGTCTCAGGCTTGGAAGTCTTGAGGAGGGAAAGGGAGCTACTGAACCTACTATGAGACAGTCTCTAGACTAGGTGACACATTAAGCAAGTCAACAAGATTTTATTGAGCACCTACTGTGCTAGACAGTGTGCTGGGGATTAAGGAAGAGGGGATGGGTGCTTCAAGGAAGGTTCCCTCGGAGAAGGCGAGAGCAAAGCACACTGCGTCACCAATTTGGACACCCTTCTCCCCAGTAGGTTCATCAGGATTATTCCCACTGGACTGAGGACAATGAGGAATTGAGCCAAGGTAACAACACTGGTGAGGAAAGGATGGAGCCTGGATTTGAACCCACGCTGGTCAGATTCAGGAGCCACGCTCTTTCTGTAACCCCTGAACCCTCTCCTAGTAGAACCCCATACAACTAAGGCTCCCTCTCCCCCAGTTCCCGAGGACACTCAGGCTGTGAGCACTGCCATCCCCTGCAGGCACCTGGAGCAGGGGTCCTAATGCAGAGAGAAAAACCCAATTCGCAGAGCCACTTTGTGATTGTTGGAAAAAGGCTATGGGCCGAGAGGTCGCTAAGTTCAACCTAAATGTAATTTCTAACTCCCATATACCACACACTTGCAGCAGGCACACATGCACAAACACATGCCAGGTCTGCCTGTCATGCTCCACTATCTGAACATCCTCAGTTACACATCCCCTTGTCCATCAGTGAGGCTGTAAAATCTATTCAGGATAAGAATCGCCAAAACTGAAAAAGTATGTGTTTTGTGTCATTTATTCATTCTGCAAATATTTATTGAGCACCTATTACATGGCAGGCCCCAGGCAGACATGTGGGTTACGGGGTTGAATGGGGAGCAAAACTGACCCAGTTGCTGCCCTCCTGGAGAATGTGGTTTGGTAGAGGATCCGGATTCACGCCTGGAGCTCTGGGATCTGTGAGAGGTGGCGACTGGTGAACTGGGCCTTTGAAGGGTCAGGAGAGCTCTAAGCAGTGAGCAGGAGTTTAGCTCAGCCAAGTGGGGAGCCGAGCAGAGAGAGCTGCACCCGCAGAGGCCCTACAGCCAGGGAGAGGGCTCAAGGGGAGGCCCCAGGCCAGACCAGACCTACAGGTCCTCCTACGCCACATTAGGGATTAACGTCTTTGTCATCAAGGCAATGAGAAGTGATTGAATGAAGAAAGGAACAAAATTAGATTGGTTTTTAAAGTATGGCTGAGGGTTGAGGAGGAGGGTGCCAGGGTTCCCTACCATGGATGATGTTTATCCTAAAGCAGCCTATGACATGTGTGAGACTCAGGGATCCCCTCATTTCTATGTAGCCTGGCTACAAAGCCTCCCGGAGCTGGTTAAAGAAGGGCCGAGGACCACCTGCCTCGGAACCAGGAATCTTGGAGCTGATTTTAAATGTGCATTTCCAGGTCCAGGACACACCTTCAGAATCAGAAGCTCTGGGGACGTCCCCAGATCTGTATTTTAGGAGCTCAGCAGGAAACTTGGAAGTAGATTGAAAGTTGTAGACCTTTAATTTGGTCTCTATGAGATTTAGTCTGTCGAGAGAGCCTGAGATTCTCTGGCCTCTAGGGAGGAGGTTCTCAACCTACACTGTTCATTAGAACTTCGGATGGCAGAGCTTCATACTCAGAGATTCTGATTTACTTGGTCTCGCAGGGGTCTGGGCACCATTATTTCTCCCCAGGTGATTTTGTGATGCCAGCAAGGCAGGAGAGTAAGGGAGGAAGAGAGAGAGATGTGGGGAGCTCTGAGTCTTAAATCAGGGCATGACGGGGCCAGGATGGGGATGGGGGAGTGGGGAGGCTGCAAGAGCACTGCTTCAGCTGCTTTAGCCTCACCTTTTCCACACACCCCTCCTTCTGTCCCTGCTTCCACAGCACCTGCTCCATGCCAGGCCCTGTGCTGGGCACTGGGACACTGATACAGTTATTGCTGGAGTGTCCAGTCCTCAGAGGAGCTTGGTGTGTGTGTGACGGTTCCTAGACCACTTCCCAGCTCACCACGGTCAGGAAATGTGCATGTTGAGAATGACCAAGCCAGAGGAGTCTCTCACCACCTCATTTTCCTGCCTGAGGCCCGGGGATGAGAAGGGACTCGCCCATGGTCACATGGGTGTAAGGGCGAGAGACAGCTGAGCACATGATGCAGGTGAAGGTTCCCAGCCTTTCCCAGGTGCCTGGGCAGCGGGAAGGACTGAACGCTGCATGAGGGTTTAGGGGCAGGGAGGGGGAGGAGTCAGGGGGTGAACTTGCAGCAGAGAAGGGGGAGGATGGAACCCGTCACAGCCCCAACACCATAGCTGAGCATCCAGTGCCCTCCAGAAATGGGAGTCCACTTAGTGCTCAGCGCCTGTGTTAGCCCATTTCGCATTGCTGTAAAGGAACACTGGAGAGTGGGTAATTTATGAAGAAAAGAGGTTTGATTGGCTCATGGTTCTGCAGGCTGGACAAGAAGCACGGCACCAGCATCTGCTCAACTTCTGGGGAGGCCTCAGGGAGCTTTTACTCAGGGCACAAGGTGGAGGGCGGACAGGGGTGTCACATGGTAAAAGAGGGAGCAAGAGGGATGCCAAGCTCCTTTAAACAACCAGCTCTCACGTGAACTCATAGAGTGAGATCTCGCTCATTACCATGAGGATGCACCAAGCCATTCATTTGGGATCCACACCTATAACCCAAACACCTCCTACTGGGCCCCACCTCCAACACTGGAGGCCACATTTCAACATGAGATTTGGAGGGGACACACATCCAAACCATATCACGCTCATTGTACAAATGTGGGAAGTGAGGCCCAGGAGCAGTGGGACATGTCCAGGGCCACATCCACACTCAGACATGCACAGATGCACATGCAACATATGCACATACACACAGGCACACAGCCACATACACATGCACACACATACAGATACACACAGTCACACTCACATACACACAGGCACACAGACACATATACATGCACACACATACAGATACACAGTCACACTCACATACACACAGGCACACAGCCACATACACATGCACACACATACAGATACACACAGTCACACTCACATACACACAGGCACACAGCCACATATACATGCACACACATACAGATACACACACAGTCACACTCACATACACACAGGCACACAGACACATATACATGCACACACATACAGATACACAGTCACACTCACATACACACAGGCACACAGACACATATACATGCACACACATACAGATACACACGCAGTCACACTCACATACACACAGGCACACAGCCACATATACATGCACACACATACAGATACACACGCAGTCACACTCACATACACACAGGCACACAGCCACATATACATGCACACACATACAGATACACACGCAGTCACACTCACATACACACAGGCACACAGCCACATATACATGCACACACATACAGATACACACGCAGTCACACTCACATACACACAGGCACACAGACACATATACATGCACACGCTCACACAGATACACAGTTACACTCACATACACACAGACACACTCATACACACACAAATGGACACACAAATGCACACATATACACACATCATACACACATTTACACACAAGCACGCAGACACATACAACATGCACCTATTCACATATAGATACATACAGACATACATATACACAGCCACAGGCACAAATGCACACATATACACACAGACATGCATACATGTGAACACACACAAATACACACATACACCATACACACACTCACACAGCTTAGACACCTATGATCTCCAGAGTTCTTTCCACACACAGCTTTGTGTCTCAGCCTGAGTGTAGGTTATTGATTCTTTGGTATTGAAAAATTTATTTCTGCATTTTTAAACCACAGTTCTGGCTGAGGATACCCTAAACCTTAACATCAAATGAATCATCGTGATGTGAGGTTTCGGAGGGTGATCGTCTTTTCTATTTCTCTTAATCAAGAAATCATTTGTAATTGCCTTTAATAGAGATAAATGAAAACCCACCTTTACCTTATTATAAAATTGGTATTTTCAATCTTTAAATATAAAGTTTCTCAGCCCAGGAGTCTATAGATTCTGTAAAAACAGGAAGCTCCTCTTCCAGGAATTTGAAATTGCTTCAACCTCCTCATCGACTGAGATGGCCAGGCTCCTCTGTGTGCCTGGCTAAGGTTCTAGAGCCCAAGCAGGCCCGCCTCCTGCCCACTAGGGGATCTGCTGACATGCACCCCCAACAGGGCAACAGGGACTAAAGATAGCCCCTTCGCCCACAGGGATACTCTCACATATACTGACAGACATTCATCTGCGTGAACACACATTTATCCACACCAGCTTACACAGAGAAACGTACACACACACACACCCATGCAGATACATGTGTGCCAAGACACACACACGTATGCTTCCATCACACACTGTGGGCCTCCTATACACACACTCCAAGGCTCCTTATTGCCTACAAATATAGAAAGGTGTGTGTGTGTGAGAGAGGGAGAGAGAATAAGAGAGACTTTATTTTATAGGAAGATGGGGAACAATAATTTGGGGCTCTATATTTTAAACTCTAAGTCCTAAGATTTAAAACAATCTATTCTTAATTCTCACCTTCTTCCCCTCCCACCCTGACCGCCACGCTTCATTTTCTAGAAAATCAACAGGTGAGATGCTGAGGATCTGGGGTGACATCAGCAGGTGATACAGGGCAGAATCAGGGCCTTCCTCCATCACCTACTGTTCAGAGAGGAGCAGCCAAGGGTCTTCAAGCCAAAGGGGCTGCCTGAACAAACAGACATGTAGAACTCAAAGCAGGTGGAAGGTTAAAAGGTGTTGCTGCTTTCTGCAAAGCCCACTGTTAACATCTCCTCCAAGGCCAAGAGCAATTCTGTAGCAGGAAGGTGCAGAGGCCTCCCAAGACAGTCTCCTGGAAAGTAACCACTCACGTGGCATCTCATGGGAGGAAAAGTTAACAGAAAAGGAATCTCACAGGAGGTGAAGGGCACAGGCTTTGCTTCTTCAGACCCCAGGGACAGGGTGCCCCTTTTGCTATGAGTCGAGCAGCAGAAACATCTTTGCTGCAGCCCTGACAAGCTGCTCTGTTTATGAGTCACTAGGGAGTCACTCTGGCTCTCCTTCACATCTAGAAGAAACCGTATTCATCTCTGATGACCTTCTACTGAACACGGCAGCAGCAGAACCCCAGAGAATGTCAGAATGTCTGACCCAACTTCAGCCTCTCTCCTGGCACAGCTGGCAGCCAATAGTGTCAGGGACTGGCCCTGGACCAGAGGCCTAAGCATTGGCTTCTAAGCCACTTGCAACCTCAGCTGCCACTTAACTTTCCTGGGTCTCAGCCTCACTTCTGTTACCATGGGGAGGCTTATTACACAGGCACACATGAGTCTCTAGGGTTCCAGAGCAAACCTATCACCCATGACAATGAAGCTTGTAGAAGTTGTTCTTATCTGAGGCTCACTGATCACAACAAAAGCAGAAGATCACTTCCTCAAAGATGTGACAAATGGACTCGCAACTTGATATATGCCCGGAACATTAGAGTTTACAAAGCTCTTTAAGAAAAGTATTTTTCTTTATGCTCCCAACACCCCTGTGAAGATTACATAAGACATTTTTATTCCACCTCTGAAGATGAGAAAATCGAGGCCCCAGAGAGAAAAAGTGTGTTTTTCTGAAGGTCACACATACAATAGATGTACAGAGGCGAGACTCCAACCCAGCACAGGCTCAGAACATTCCAAAGGGCTTCAGAATTCAGGGTATGTCCTCACAAATCCTTTTGGGGTGGTGCAAGAAGCATGACCCTCAGCCAGAATGCAATTACCTGCCTTTATCCAAGGGGGCCTGCAATGTCCACTCAGCACACTGAGAAGGCAGTGACCATGGCCATCATTGCTCTATTCCTGGCACCTGGCATATGGTGCCTGCCACAGAACAAATGATCAGATTATATTTGTAGAATAAATGGGAGAATGGACCCTGGCTGATTGGATGGATGGATGGATGGATGGATAGATAGATGGATAGATGGATAAATGGATGAATGGATGAATGGGTGGATAGATGGATAAATGGATGGATATATGGATGCATGGATGGATTGATAAATGGATGAATGGGTAAATGGATGGGTGGATGGATGGATGAATAAATGGATGGATGGATGGATGGATGGATGAATCAATGGATGGATGAATGGATGAATGGGTGGATGGATGGATAAATGGATGGATATATGGATGGATGGATGGATGCATGGATGGATTGATAAATGGATGAATGGGTAAATGGATGGATGGATGGATGGATGGATGGATGGATGGATGGATGAATCAATGGATGGATGAATAGATGAATGGGTGGATGGATGGATAAATGGATGGATATATGGATGGATGGATGGATGCATGGATGGATTGATAAATGGATGAATGGGTAAATGGATGGATGGATGGATGGATGGATGGATGGATGGATGGATGGATAGATGGATGAATAAATGGATGGATGAATGGATGAATGGGTGGATGGATGGAGGCATGCCTGCATAAATTGACAAAGAATGGTTACAGACTTTGGAGCTGTACAATCTTAAACTTTAATCTTGCCTCCGTGTTCCTAAATTTGTGCCTCTGAACAAACCACTTAACCCCTGTGAGTCTCAGTTCTCTCATCTGTAAATGGGTAGCGGTATCTACCTCATACATGTGATAAAGATGATGTTAGCAACCCATGCAAAGCCCAGAGCACAGTACCTAGATGAAGCTATGCTTCCATCATTGGACTTATTTCTATCTGCTCCTGCAGGACCTGGGTTTGTCCACCATGGCACCATCTGCTTCCACTCCTGCCCATTTCTGCCCACTCCTGGTCTCTCCAGCCTGTTGGGATCCCTGGCCATGCCTGGCAGATGGTCAGTCATTACTGTGGCCCTGCCTGACCTAGGTAGCTCATGGGGGCCAAGCCCTGGCTGTGTTTCCCTGCTCTGCACCCAGCACAGTCACCTCCGTTGTCAGATACCCAGGGCCAGAACAAGTACAGCTACTGGATTCAACCTTCTAGAATTCAGACAATGGGGATATATGTGCTCTAGGATATATGTGTCTAGCCACCTTCCCTGTGGCTGACATCAGGTATTAGGAGAGAAAGAGAGGAAGATCCTTCCCTGTCTCCTCTTTTTCTCACTTCCAACTCTCCAGGAAAGGTGCCAGGAAATGAAAAGGACCCATCTTATCAGTCAGGATGCTTTCTCCTGCATGAAACGGGGAACCCCTACCCAACTGGCTTGAGTAATAAGAAAGCTTGGCCGGGCACGGTGGCTCACGCCTGTAGTCCCAGCACTTTGGGAGGCCAAGGCAGGTGGACCACTTGAGGTCAGGAGTTCGAGCCTAGCCTGACCAACATGGTGAAACCCCATCTCTACTAAAAATACAAAAAAATAAAATTAGCCAGGCATGGTGGTGGGCGCCTGTATTCCCAGCTACTTGGGAGGCTTAGGCAGGAGAATCACTTGAACCTGTGAGGCGGAGGTTGCAGTGGGCTCAGATTGCACCACTGCACTCCAGCCTGGATGACAAAGTTAGACTCTCTCTCAAAAAATAATAATAATAAAATAAAAATAAAGTAATAAGAAAACTGTGAGAGAACAAAAGGCCCAGAGGTAGGACTGAGCCAGCGAGATCCACACTTGGGTCACGAGATGGCTGCTGAAACATCATCCAGGCTCCACGCATCACATGTAGATGTGAAACAGACAAGCACAGGGGTAGGCCACTCATCCGTGAGAAAAACCTTCCCCAGAGGAAACTTCCTCTTTCATTCACAAACTCAAGGTCTCGTAACCCCATGCCAGGATGGCTGGACTCCAGGAGTCTCCCTGCTTTGAAGTGTCTGCGGCCCCAGCTTGACCTGGGCTGCAGGCCTTAGGTAAGGACCTTGGAGCCCTACTCTCCTCCATAAAGGTAATGCAGTCACTTCAATATTCGCTCAATATGTCCTTTGATGGGGACGGACCTGCTGGGCTGGCCTGGAATATTAGCTGGGTTAATTGTCCCTTCAAATGAACAACCAGTTTAATCAAGGACTTAATGCCCTCAGCTATTCAATTATGCCTGCCTCTGGACATGCAGATTCCATTACCACCCAAGCACCTTGCATGGAGGGAGAATGAGATTGTCTGGTGCGTGTGTGTGTGCATGTGTGTGTGTGTGTTGTCATTGCCCACAGGCATTTGTTAAGAGCAAACTGTGGGCCTAGAGCCCAAGCTGGCAGGCAGCACCTGACCTTGGCTGTTGGCTGCATGACCTCATCAGGTAGCTCTGCTTGGTTCTGCTCAAGAGGGTTTTGCCACCACATCTCACTTGCAAATAGTGTGTGTGTGTGTGTGTGTGTGTGTATGCAGCCATTCCAGGACTGACATGTAGCTCTATTCATGAACATGCACATTACACATTACTGAGTTTAAAAAGAAGGTTGCAGACTGCATGCTTACAGCATGATCTGTGGATGGGAAACTATGCTTATCCAGATCTATATGAATATTGATGGACAAGGACTTATCTGAAAGAGTAGTCCTCCCCATTTTCCCACTGTTTACATCTGGGTGGTGAGATGTTAGGTTATTTTGTTTTATTTTTATTTTCTTTATATTCTGGCTATTCTACAAGAACATATACAGTCAAATGAAGACACTACAGCAATTTTTGCTTGGGGACATTTTCTCATGCCTTTCCAAAGCCCCTTCCTGTAAGTAAAGATCACACCTATCTCTCCTCCTGAGAGGTCTCAAGTGTTGCATTGGGACTCAGGAAATAGCTGTGGCCCTTATTCTGTCATCACCTGTTTTGGACACTCTGGGACTTAACTGGCTCCTTCAGAAAATGATTCTGTTATTTATTTCAACAACTTGAAAGGACTTTCATTGGCTTGTGATTATAGGCAAATACATGATCACTGGTAAAAATTTGAAAAATGCAGAAAAGCATATAGAAGTAAACACCACCCACAATCACATCAACCAAAGAGATCCACTGATACCATTTTGTTGTATTTCCTTCTAGTCTTTTTTCTGGGCAAAATGGGGGATTAGGACCTGGAGGCAGGCTTAAGTGTGGGTGCTGACTCTTCAGAGGCAGCCAGTGTTCTGGACCCAGTGCTGCCACTTACCAGCTGGGTGGCCTTGGCTGGGGACCCCACCCGCTCAGCCCGGTTCCTTATTTGTAATGTGGGAATGATCATCACAATGCCTTTCTCATACGGTATTAATGGAAATGAGGACTAGAAAGCTTCAGCACTATTCCTGGCACAAAGCAGAACATTATTGTTAGACTATAAACACTATTTTAGAACCCTTTCTCTCTTTCTGTACACCAGCCTCATATCACTTCTCCCATTGCAAGCAGTTGCCATGCGGATGACAGAAGATGAGGCAGTCGGTGACTCCTGGCTCTGGCTTCACACCAGAATTATCTGGGAGGCTTAGAAAACACTGGTGCTTGGGCCCCACCCCAGCCTAATTAAATAAGAATTGTGGGGGTGGGGCCCTGGCATTGGTTTTTCTGGAAAGCTCCCCAGAGGATCCTAATGTGAGCCCTGGCTGAGCACCACTGGTGCATGTCAAAGTGCTTTAGAAAGGCCAGAGAGCTACATAAACAAAGGAGTTATTATTATTCATTAAGGATACTTCTCTGGGGGTGGAAATGAGTTCATTGACTCCTCCTCACTCTCACCTGATCCTTCTAGTGGGACACGTTGGCAGAATCACAATCTCCTGCTCAGAGTGGGGCTTTAGGGCTCATAAGGCATTCTTACCACTTCTGGAGCTGAGGGCTGCATGGTTTTCTGAAGTGTCGACGCTGTCCCAGGCACTGTGCTAAGCTGAGCACTTCACATGCAGAACAAGGGAAAAGGCACTTCTTCACATTGCACCAGCCTCTACAGAGGGCACTTGGTAACATTCATCAAAAATGTAATATGTACACACCAATGCTACTCCCAGATATAACTAATGGAAATGAGCTTTAATTAGTGCTCCCCCAAAGAATGTATATGGCAGCATTATTTACAATAGCCTAAAACTGGGAGCAACCCAAATGTCCATCAAGGGTTGAATGAATAAATAAGTTGTAATATAGTCATACAATGAAACACCAGCCAGCAATGGGCGGGGGGGGGGGAAGCTACTGCTAAACACGACATGGGACATGGGGTGAATTTCACTAATGACATCTTTTTTTTTTGTTTTGGATACAGGGTGTCACTCTGTCTGTCACCCAGGCTGGTGGAGGGCAATGGCGCAATCTCAGCTCACTGCAACCTCCACCTCCCGGGTTCAGGAGATTCTCTTGCCTCAGCCTCCCGAGTAGCTGGGATTATAGCTGTCCACCACTATACCCCACTAATTTTTGTATTTTTTGGTACAGATGGGGTTTCACCATGTTGCCCAGGCTGGGCTCGAACTCCTGACCTCAAGTGATCTGCCTGCCTCGGCCTCCCAAAGTGCTGAGATTACAGACATGAGCCACCGTGCCCAGCCCACAGATGTCATCTTGAACAAGAGAAACCAGATACAAAGAGTACATCAATTCTTTATGATTCCATTTATACAAAATTCAGAAACAGGCAAAACCAATCCTGGTGGTAGAGGTCAGACTAATAAATTGCCTTGGTACAAATAAATTGTCCTGGATATCCACCAAGACAAGCCATGAGATGGGGCTGGAAACATTCTATGGTAACCTACACCTTCATGTGGGTGGTGATTGCACAGGTATATACACAGCCTGTGTATCACATGTATCAAATTTATTTGGCTGTACACTCTTCTTTTTGCAAGTTAAATTTCAAATCAAATTTTTTAAAATGCAAATAAAATTGCATATATCCTTGACCCTCATGGCTCCATGTCTAGAATTTCTTTTTCTGTGGGTGTATTTGCACAATGAGGATACTACATAGGTACAAGATTATTTATTGTAACACTTATTGTAAGAGCAAAAAATTAGCAAGAAACAAAAATGTCCATCAATAGGGGCAGGTTAGATAAAGTACGGCTCTTTACCATGCAGCATGACACCGCCATGCAAAAATAGAAACAATCACCAGCATATGTTCTTAAAGTGAAATAAAAAGCAATGTGCAGAGATGCATAAAGAATGGGCTATCCTTGGGGTTAAAAAATATAAAGAGAGAGAGAGAGAAAGAGCTTAGTATATGTAAGAGTAAAATGAAAAAGCTCTGGAAGGACTTATAAGAAACTAGAGATTAGTTGACCATGAAGAGGGGACCTGGGTGGCAGGATAGGGTTGAAGGAAACTTTTCACTGTATATTTTTTATGCATTTTGAATCTTGAACCTATTAAAATTTCTTTTAAAAAAAATCTAAAACAGCCAGCCCCACATTCACCTTCTTCAAGGCCTATTGCTGTGATACAATTCCAACGTTCACCTTGGCTAATACAATCCCAAACCTAGCCCCATTGCCCCCGCCCTGCCATCCCTTCAATACTCTACTTCCTGATGCCTTGAACATGTGACATGACTCTCATACCTTCCCTAGGCCTTTATATCTGCCGTTCTCACCTTGGGATATGCCCCATTTCTGCCAGGTGTCACCTCCTCCAGAAAGTCTTCCCAGACTTCCCCAGACACCTCCGGGCTCCTGGAGCCCGTATTTTTCATATATCATTTCTCATGTGTCATTTGTCATACAGTTCACAATAATTGGTTTCCAGGCCTATGTGCCTTACTGTAATGTCAGCACCCAGCATAGTGCCTGAAAGTAGGGATTATGGAATGAATGAATGAATGAATGGGTGGTTTTTACCAGGATGGGAGCTGAGGAACAGCTTTTGTCTTTTACACATCCTGTTGAGTTTCCAAATTCTGTATAAGCATGAGCTGTGCCTCAGTTTTCTCATCTGTAAAATGGGAATAATAACAGCTCCTACCTCACAGAATTATGTAGTGAGGATTAAATGAGTTACTACAGGTAAAGCATGTAGCAGTTATTATTATTTCCAAATCACGATATTGTGATAAAGGAAGAAAATATATTCCAGTGAGTCTGAATCCAGACCCCCAGGCAGTGTCTCCATGACTAACTTTTCTTTCCTGTGACTTTTCAACAGACTAGGGCAGGCATTGTAGTTGAGGGCTGGCAAGGTTGTCAAAGGCCCCTGATCCTCCAGACTTCAGAACCCCTTTTCAGGCCTCTCTCTCCCGTCAGTGACTACACTGGGTAGGGTGGAGGAGCGGGGAGGATCATTTAAATGAGAAGCCCAAGTCAGAACACAGCACAGTCTCAATGGGTGAGTTGGACAGTTATACGTCAACCTCCAAATCTGACCATGGAGAGAGAATTGGGGGCACAGACCTTTCTTTGAGTGTCTTCAAGCCACCCCCCCCCCCCCATAGATCCCTGCCTGGAATGAGTCAGGGGAATGTCTTCGCCTTGCTAAGGTCCAGTGTCCTCATCTGCCAAGTGAGGATAGTGACTGTAAGCAGGAAAGGAAATGACAATTCAATGAAACCATGAGGAAAAGAGCTTTGGAACCGGTAATGCATTGGCAGAGGTTAGCAAACGGTCAGCCTGAGGGCCAGAACATTGATTTGCATTTGAATTACATCGGACACATCAGGACTCTCCAGTTGCCCCAGTCCCCACCACTCCCTGTTACTTACTCCAGCCTGCTCCACACTTTCACTCCTGAAGGCATGTGAGTTTGCCACCCTTGCTACACAATATTAGTTACCAAGGTGCCTGCTCTTCTGTCAACTGCCTGCCTTGAAGAGGCAGCCAGCAGGGGAGAGAGGAGGTGTGACTCTTTGAATGCCTGGGGCCACTCTGCTCCACCTGTCTTGGCACTCCACTGAGGTCCAGGCCAAAGCCCCATCAGTCTCAGCCCCAGTAGTTTTCCATGAGCTGAGAAGTCGCCAAACCTGCATGCTGCCAAGAAGACATGCCTTCCTTTAGCCTCTAGGTACGGAGAATAAATCTGCAGTCTCCTAAACTGCCAAATTCCTGGTCTGCTGGAGTCTGGGAGGCTAAATGGTGCTTACTAGTCTGGCTCCCAGATGCCCCAAATTCCACCATTATCAACACATTCCTCCATGTTAAGCATTGCGCTGTAAAGTTCAACGATCTAGTGGGAGGGGCAGGAGAGTGAGTCCAAACTAGGCTGGAGCAGATCTTTAAGGATAAGCTTCGGAATGGGGGGAGGCAGATTCTGTAAGCTGAAGACAGAACTGGTGGAGGAAGGGGAGAGGGAGAGAGAGACGGTGAGGTGTTTGAAGAGGAAGTTCCCAACCTTTTCAAGGGCAAGGGTGAGACAGGAAGGGAAGTAGAGGAGGAGAAGAGCCAAGAAGCAGGGTGGGCACCCAGGCCAGTATGGACAACCAGTCCCATGTTGGGAGCCGGCAGAGTCCACTGTGTTGTTTGCTAAGTGAGCAAATGACCTCCTGCAGGAACAGACGTGGCTGAAACCACCCCAAATTGCTCTCCCCAACCCCTTCTCCTGCTCTCTTCCATCCAACCCCCATACAAACAAAGGAATATCAAATGTCCCCTTGCTAGGAGGATTCTACTCCCACTGGGATAGAAAAAGGATATGTCGGACCCCCGGATCAGAGCATATCATCTGCTCTCTCATCGAAGGCAGGGATAGGCTTATAGGCCCCAGGAGATCACCCCAGGTCTGAGGACCTGTAGGTCTCATCGGCAACCTCCAGCCCAGGAGGAGCCACCTTTCTTAGGGTCTGTTCTGACAGCAGACCCTGACACATGCCCTTTTGTCCTCAGGGAGAAAGAGTCTTTGGGAGTAGAAGGGGAGTGAGGTGGAGAAATTCAGCTGCCTCCAGATTCCTTGACTTCGCTGTGTGGATCCAGGCAAGACACAACATCCATCCTCAGTTCCCTCATCTGCAAAATGTGCACAGCTATAGTATTTGCTTCATAGGGCTGCTGAGGATTCAAGGAAGGGGCTCTAGGGTAGGGATTTGAGTTGAACCTGATAGGATGGACCAGATTTTGATGGGTGTTTCAGGCAGGGAGCCAAGGCTGAGGGCAGGGGCTGAGGAATACAAGGCATGTCTGGGGCATAGCCTGTGGTCAGAGAAGAGAATTCTGGAAAGGCAGGCTATGGCTTTATTACCGAGTATCTTCACTGCCCAGCTAAGGACCCTGGACTTGATCCCATAAGCAGCGGAATGCTGTTGAGGGATCCTTGCATCTAATAGAGGCTACCAACGCCCGAGGGCGTGATTTGTTCCAGGCCCCAGGGGACGCTTGGTTGCAGTTTTATCTGTCAAATCAGTCAGAGGGAGTCCCCTCCATTAGGGTCAACAGTGACCCCCAACCCCTTCCCTTCTGCCTCTTCTATTTCTAGGACCTGACAGTGACACAAGATAGACCTGGTCTCAGACATTGGTTCTGTCACATCAGTAGGTGACTGGGCAAGACCCTTAACCATAGGAACCTCAGTTTCCTCATCAGAAATATGGGGGAATAACATTGTCCTCACAGGGTTGTGAGAATGACATGAACTGGCTCATGTGGGGTCCAGGCCCAGCCACCCCCTGGCAGATGCTGGTGGTACCAGACATGTCCTTTTCCTGCCGAGCGGGCAGGGCTGCTGGCAGCAGGCAGCTTTCACACTAATTGCCCACAGCCTTCTCCTCTGTGGCTCTGCGAGCAACAAGACAGCGAATGACCCGTGACTGGAAATCTCGAGGCCAGGCTTAGGCCTATTAGAAAAATATGGAACAATTATGAATGGCAGGAAAATTGTTTTTCTTTGTTTGCTTTGGCAGAGAGAAGAAAACCCTCCTGGAGCCTGGATTTAAGGTGGGGAGAAGACAGGGAGGAGACTGCAGTGTGTGCCAAGTGTCCTGGGAAAAGAACTCATGTTTTTTGTGGCCCTGCTAAGGCATGGTGCAAGACACCTTCATCGATGCAGCAGGGGCTCCCCAAGCACCTTCTGCACACCTAGCGCTGATCTGGGGGCAGGGACACAGCCAGACTGTCTGCCCCAAATCTGGGTTAGTCCAAAGTTGGAGCAGACAGACAAGGTCCCTGCCCCCAGGGAGGAGGAAAGGTAAGATGAATGAAAGCAAACAATAAGGAAGAATCTCAGCGATGACTGCTATGAGAAAGTGGAGCCAGGTGAGCTGTGAGGGAGGGGCATGCACTAGGGGCTGGCGGGGGGTACCTGAGAGAGGAGATCTAGCCTGCCATTCCAAATGGGAAGAGCATTTTGGGTGGCAGGAACTCTGCCAGAATGCTCACCTGCACCCTGGCCTCTTGGCCTCACCCGAAGCCTAGGCTCTGAATTTTGTTTTCCCCATTGTACAGGCAAGGAGACTGAGGCTTAGAGAGAGAAAGTGCTTTGCGCAAGGCCCAGGGCAGTGGGAGGATTGGAGCCAGCACTCTAAGGACTGCAGTCCTTTCTGCGTTCTAATCTTTGTGCCTTGGATCCAGACCAAATGATCGGGTAATTGACACGTCACTTCTTCCCAGGCCCAGTGAAGGGGGAAAGTTGGTGTGACGTTTTCCAGATCCTCCGCAGGAATGGCCCACAAGACCCAGAGCCTGGCAAACTGCATGGGCAGTGCCCAAAATTGCCACCCCAGGAGCAGAGGCCACTGATGTGCAGCAGTTCAAATGTTGCCCTAGAAGGTGCTTCTCCAGGACTTCCCCTGCGAGCCTGTGTGGCAGGAAGCAAGACAGGATAAGGGCAGGTGTCTGTCTGCCTGAGCAGCATAAACCGGGGAACCTTCCGCCGTGCACAGACCTGTCTACTGGAGGGCTCCTGGCTCAAAGACGGACTGGCCAGGATCCCAGGGGATCCCCCAGCACCTAGTCTCTGTGGTCTGAGAGGTACAGGAATATTTGGGAGTGGTGAGTTCCCCCTCCCTGGAGGTGACCAAGCCCAAGCTGAAGGGGAACCCTGCATAGTTAATGGCCACCCTCAGCCCTCCAGCCCCTTTTATGGGGTTAGTCCAGAGTTGGAAGCATGTGAGCCCACAGGGCATGGAAATGTGCAGAGGGCTCTGCAGACCTGTGGATTCACACTGACGATTAGGTGATGGGACCCTGGGGAAGTGCTGGGATCCACGGCCAGAGATCTCCTGACCAGTTTCTGATAACTTATTTATCCAAGGACAGCATGTCCTGTTACAACATAATTCCACAAAAAAAAAAAAAACCTTTTAACATTCCTTATGCTAATGAAGAAAACCTAATGTATAGATAATAATTTATTTATTCAGAAACATTGTATCACTATTTTAAGTTGAATTACCACAAGAACAGTTTAACACCTAAGTGGCATCCGTGGACCAGCAGCATGGACATCACCTGGGAGCTTGCAGAAAGATTCTCAAGTCCTACTCTGGACCTTGAATCAGAATTTGTGCCTTAGCAAGATCTTCAGGTAATTTATATGTACACGGAAAAGAATCAAAAGGAGGTATAATCATGACTCTCATACAGATATAGAATGAGCCTGGATCAAAAGTTTTATTTCACTCATTCATTAATGAGGAAACCACTAAGATGTTACAATCAATTCAAAGGAGAATGCAAAAGTAGACACATAATATAGGTCATCAGGAATCTGAAGTGAATTTACAAACAGATGCAAAACTGGCAAAAAAAAAAAATCTATAGGGCAATAATCAGTTGCATTGCATTGGACATAATTTATATTTATATGGACAAGAATCATTTGCATTACCATCAGTTTTTTACAATTTGCAGAATTGTAAAATAGCTCAGATAATGAAAGACTGAGAAAAAACAAAACCCCCAGAAGGGTACGCTGGGACATCCAGTAGTCTATCTCTTTCCCTTTCTTTTTTCCCACCATTTTAGTCTTTTACAGTTTTTCTTGACACGCATTACAGCTTGTTAAGCACCTCTTAGATCACTTCTGGTCTCTGGCATGCCTGAACACAGAGAGTTTCTCCAGACCAGGACTAGAGCAAACTTTTGAGTAAATCCCAGTGCCTGTCATGCTCTGCTTGGGAATGAGCCTGGGGGTGGGTGTGGGGCAGGGGCAGGCCAGGCCTACTGACCTGGTAAATTCTCATTTGTCTGAATCCATTACTACTATTACTATTGCACGCTGGGCCCAGGTGGAACTTTCATTCAAGATGCTATCAGAACATCTGAAAGGACAGAGACTCAGGTCTTCACTGAGCTTATGCAGTGTGTCTGGCTGTTTGGGACTGCTTGCAGTAATTGCCAGGACATGAAACTTGATTTTGTCTGTGCTTTGATATCACAGTGCCTGGTGTTGTGCCTGTAGGGGAAGATCCAAGCTCTCAATGGCCCCTTAATTATTGGTTATCAGTATTTATCAAAAGGAACTACTAGTTGTGAATAAGCAGAGTGGCTTAGGGGGCTGGAGAATGAGCGACTGGTTAGGACCCTCATGTCTGGTCTGGGTCGTTGCTTTTCTGGGGCAGTCCACCATGCAGGTTTAGAAGTAGACCCGGTATCAGACAGGTCTGGGGTTGAATCCCGGCTCTGCTCGTCTCTGGCTGTGTAACCGGACTGCTTGTTTAACCCCTGCTGGGTGCCAAGCATGGGGCCAGGAGTTGTGAGCAACCCAGTGGACACAATGGACATGAGGCTCGTAGTGTAGCAGGGAAAAGACATGAAACAAAACATCACACATGTTGTTTTGTAAGTTACCATCGTAGTAAGTGCCACAGAGGAAACATCTACTGTGCAAAGGAGCGTGCAATGGGAAGACCTTTCCTTGTCTAAAGAGTCAAAAGACATCCCAGGGAAAGCTTAGACTTAAGAGTGAGTTGCAGATGAGGTTGTTCAGCAGGCAGAGGAAACAGTAGTTGCAAAGGCCCTGGGGCGGGAAGGGTTGGTCTGCTCAAGTGATGCAAAGAAGGCTCCTGGGAGTGGTGGCTCTCAATTGTTTGTGGGCTTAAGAATATTGGTTAAAATGTACTTTCTTGAATCCTACCTCCAGAAATTCTGATTCCACAGGTCTAGGGTGCAGCCCAGGGATCTGCATTTTTAATAAGCATTCCAAGAAATTTAGAGAAAAATATTTCTTAGAGCCACATGTTGAGAAATATTAGGTTAAAGCCTAATGAGAATGGCACAAAATAAGGTGAGTCATTTAACTTCTCTAAGCAGCTCTTAGCTAAAGTATAACATAGGAGACAGGAGTTACAGGGTGGCAGGAAGATTGAAGGAGAGAAGCCACACACAGCATCTAGCATAGGGCCTAGCAGGCAGCGGGTGCTCAGCAAACCCCTGCACGTGTATTACTGCCCTTCCCAAGTCAAGCCTATGGAACCCTCGAGGTGTGAAGAAATGAGCACAAGGCCAGGAGTCAGGCAGCCCATGTTCTAGCCTCAGCCAGGGGCCACTGACTTGCCACCCCACCTTGGGCAAGACCCTTTCCCTCACTGGGCCAGTTTCCCCACTGTAAAGGGAGAGAATGTGATTAGGTGACTCCTACCCCTTACCTATCCATCCTCCCATCTTGAATTCTCATGCCTTGCCACCCAGGGCTCCCTCACCAAATTCAGTAGTCCTCAGCCAGGCTGCCCATTAGAGCCACCAAGAGGGCTTTTTCAAACGCCAGTGAAATCAGGAACTCTTGGGGGTGGATCCCAGTGTTGGTAACTGTTTTAGCTACCCAGGCAAATCTAATAAGAACCAGCACTCTCATTTCTCAAGTATCCCTCTTGTCCATAAGAGTAAAAAGGGGCTCGGAGGAAACATCCTGCTCCTCAATTCTGACCTGAAATCTCAGGAAGAATCCAAGCCAGTAGAGCCTTAAGCTCCATCCAACACGACACCCCCACACAACACTGTTTCTTCACAGACAGGGTCTTACTCTGTCACCCAGACTGGAATGCAATGGTGCAATCATAGCTCACTGCAACCTTGAACTCCTGGGCTCAAGCGATCCTCCCACCTCAGCCTCCATAGTAGCTAGGTTCATGCCACTATGCCCAGCTAGTTAATTTATTTTTATTTTTATTTTTTGTAGAGACAGGGTCTCTCTATGTTACCCAGGCTGGTCTGTGACTCCTGGCCTCAAGTGTTCTTCCTGCCTCAGCCTCATGAAATGTTGGGATTACGGGCGTAAGCCACCATGCCAGGCCTAAACTCTGTTTTTTAATATCGTTTTAAATATAAATTTAAAAAACATTGTTAAAGTAAAAATCCATATTTAAACAAAATCAAACAATAAAAAGTGGCTTCTCACTCACCCCTGCCATCTCTGAAGGCCACTATATTTGGATTAATCAACTTTATTGAGGAATCATTTATATACCATAAAATGTACACATTTAAATTATAGAGTTGGGTGAGTTTTGACAAATGTCTGCTGCTGTGCTCCCACCCCCGGTGAGACATCACTGTTCACAGTTTTTGTTTTTCTTCCTTTGGTGGTTTTTTCTCCTCTGGTGTTTTTTCCATGTCATGTGTTAATACTGATGTTTTTCATTTATCAACTTTAGATCAGGTAGCAGATAATTAATCCTTCAACCAGGAAACTGTTGAAAGTGAAAAGAGACAGAACTAATAATCACAGGACAACAGTATAAAATAAGCCTGTCCTGGGCAACTCAGGGTGTGCAGTCAACCTCACATCATCCATTTATGACCAGCCACGGTGGAGAAGGACTTAATTCATACGCCCCATCTCTAGCTCCCTTCCTCTGCCCAATGTGTGCTACTTTTGTACCTATTTTAATGTCTCTATTGTTTAACTTTGCATATGTAAATAATATTTCTGGGCCTCTATTTCTGGAGCCATTCGGTAAGATAAGAATATTAGTATTCCTATTTTCCCCCCATCTTTGTCCACCTCTATCTCCCAATTTCTTATTTCTTTCATCTTTGTCTTCTATTTTGTCCTTATTATTAAGCCTTTCCTATTTTGTCTATGAAAATGAGGCTCAGTGTTTATGTTGTTGATTATGTGACTTTGTTCCCCAAGGAGTGTATTGTGAGTGATCATAGTTCCTTCTCTATGGTTACAATATCATTACTCCTGTGCCTCTAATAATCAAATGCTTCCAGCATCAACAGTAAGAGAATTGTCCTTTCTTACTCTCTACCAAGTCTTCCAAATCACGTCAAATTTTAGTTTGCTTTATATTTGAACCATTAACTTCTTTTTTTTGAGAGAGAGAGAGAGAGAGGTTCTCATTCTGTTGCCCAGGTTGGAGTGCAGTGGCACAATCACGGCTCACTGCAGCCTTTATCTCCGGGGCTCAAGCAATCCTCCCACCCCAGTCTCTGTAGCTGAGACTACAGGCGTGTGTCACCACTACCAGCTAATTTTTGTATCTTTTTAGAAACGGGGTTTCACCATGTTGCCCAGGCTGCATTAACTTCTTATCAAAGGTTTTTTTCTTCCTCCTTCTCTTTTGGTGTTTCTGATTATTTCATTTGCTTTGGAAAGAAGCACAGGCCTCTTCACCATATTCCTAATATCTTCCAGCCTCTTTTTGTATATTTCTCAGAATCTATTCCTCTCTTCTTTCCTGACATTCTACTGGGTCCCTGATTCTCTATTCTTGTTTGTTCAAAGGGTTTCCTGGACCTGCTGCACACAGGTCATTCTGGAATTCCTTTACATTATTAGATCCTTGAGTTAATTCTACCAGTTTTTATCCTGTAACATTCTTCCTCATGGTTTCTAAGCTGAAATATACATTCAATAACTTCTCAGAAAGGAAGCATGAGAAGTAAATTTCTGAGTCCTGGAATGGCTGAATATAACTTTTTTTTTTTTCCTTTACCCTTGACTGATAGTTTGGCTGTCTGTAGAATTCTAGGTTCAAAGCCATTTAGACTTAGCACTTAGAGATGGAATATAGTGATGAGGTTAAAATCCGATCTCTGGCATGAGGCTGCCAGGGTTTAAATTTTAACTTTACATTTCCTAGAACCCAGCAAGTCACTTAATCTCTCTGTGCCTCGGTTTTCTCATAAATAAGCTAAGATAAAAATAGTACCTACCTCATGGAGTTGTGATGAGGATTAACCAGTTTACATATGTAAAATGCTTAGAACAGTGCCTGCACATCGTGGGCGTCATGTTAAGTGTTGGCTATTATTCTCTGGGCCTCTATCGTTGCTATAGAGTATTATGATGTCACCCTTATTCCGGTTTATTTGTCAGAGTCAATGTTCTGGTTTTTGTGAGCTGATGTTCTAGTTTCCATAGAAATATCCAGGATCTGCTTTAATCTTTAATATTCTTAAATTGCTCAATTCTATATCTGCTTGATATTCTCTTAGCTCTTTCAATTTAAAGACTCGGTGTCCCTTTTTGGCTCTGGGGACTTTTAAAATGTAATTATTTCTGCAATAATTCCCTCCCCTCCATCTTCTTTCTTTTCTTGTTCTGGAACTCCTACTCTTAGTTGGATATTGGGCCTCCTGAATTGATCCTGTTTGAATATTTTTTTCCTCCCATACTTTATGCCATTGTCTCCATGTTCTGGGAGATTTTCTTAACTTTGCATTTCAAGCTTTCAATTGATTTTTTAAAATAATTTTTAGCAATAATCATTTCCAGGAGCTCCTTCTCATTTGCTGATTGCTTCTTTTCTGTGGCACTTTCTTTGGGCTTTTGGAGCATTGCTACTCCAGCCTTCCTGTCAGCTTGTGGGGACCCCAGAGATGTTTCTGCAGAATTCTTGGGCTTTTGGAAATAAGATTTGAAAATCTCTGACCTATGCATTTGATCAAAAAACTTTATGGGTTTATTGGGCCATTACCAAGATGAATGAGTTATAATCTATAATCTCAGCCCTCAACAAACTACTCTGATGCACAGACAAACATGGAAAGAAATAATGACAATAGGACAGGTGCACAAGAGGTCCTTCCAGAGGGAAAATAACCAACAGCCTGTTGGAGATCAAGAAAGAGAAAGCCCTTGAACTCTTCTTAAAGTAGTGTGCAGGAGAAGCTCATACGGGTTCATGAACGGACTGGTAAAATTTCAGGAATTTCGTGAGCTGGTTGTCAAACAGTTATTAAAAATTAACTTAGGCAAATTTACAATTAAATACATTATAACAAAAACAAAGCTAATGAATGCCAAAAATTCATCACTTCCTATTTATCCCATCTTTCAATTACCTATGCTGTTGAGGTTGTTTACATCTATTGTATATGTATGGCAGAAATACCATATGAAGGTGCGCTACTGAGCATCTCTGTTCAACACCTCCTGCAGTAACTCATGTTGGTGGCTTGAAATCAGCGATGGTGGGAATATTTACATCAAACAAATTGACAAATGCTACAAATCAGAGCCTGATTATTGTTTTGTTGATAGTCTAGAGTTAAGAAAATAATGGAGAAAATGTTAATGTAGATTATACTTAAAAGTATGTTGTGCTGGTAGCCTTTAATTGTAAATAGCATGAAAAAGAATTGAGGACATATTCTTCCAATATTCAAAAACTATTCTTTAATTCAGCAAATAAGTCACTTGTGTCATTGCCAAATGAATGAAATTCATGCCTCCATTGCTCCATTCCTATCAAACTTATTAATGTAAAAGAAAACAGCAAACATTCACACAGGAACTATACTTATTTGGTAATTGTAATAATAATTTAACTATAGATACAAAAGTTTAGGAAGTATCAACAAAAGCATCCTGTGAGAATCAATTTACTAGATAAAATTGATAATAAAAAATACGTATATTTTATTATTAGTTGTAAATTGTGTGCTACAATCCTTGATGGCAATAAACTTTATATTAACTTATGTGTGTATATATGTATACATATATTTGTTTCTGGAGAACCAGTTGATAACACTTACCAGCACACCACGGAGAATAGTGGAGCGTGCCCAGGCCTGTAATCAGACAAACCTGGGCTGGAGTTCCAGTGCGTTCATTTATAAGCTGTGTGACCTTGGGCAAGTTATTTTACCTTTCTAAGTCTCATCAATAAAATGAAACTGTGGATGCAATGTGCTAATATTGATTAAAAAATAGTATGTTGCAGAGGTTAAGAATTCATGCTCAGAGATTGGGCTGCCTCCATTTGAACCCTGGCTCCCCGCTTACTAATTGTGTCACACTGGCCCAGTTGCTGTTAGATGGTATATTAGTCAATGTTCTATCTGAGAAAGAGAGCCAGTAGTAGATGATATACATCAAGGAATTGGCTTATATAATCACGGGTTCTAGCAAATCTGGTCTGTAGGGCAGGCCATCGGGCTGGAAACTCTTGAGCAGAAGCTAATGCTATGGGTCACAGGTGGAGTTTCTTCCTCCTCAGGAAAACCTCAATTTTGCTCTTAAGGCCTTTCAACTGATTGGATCAGGCCCACCTAGATTACAGATGATAAACTCTTTTACTTAAAGTCAAGTAATTGTAGGTGTTAACCATGTCTACAAAATCCTTCACAGCAACGCCTAGATTAGTGTTTGACTGAGTAACTGTGGACTCTAGCCTGGCCACGTCAACACATAACACTAGCCTCACAGATAGGAATAGTGAAAGCAAACACTTTATGGGGTTCTTACAAGGATAGAATAGAGCAGTACTCAGAAACCACTCAGATAGCACCTGGCCCGAGTAAGTGCTCATTAAGCTACAAACCTCTGTTCTCGCTAGAACTAAAGCTTGCTTCCCAGGCAGCCACGGCACAAGGAAGGGCCAGGGACCCTGCATAGGAAGGTCTGGTTGGAGCCCCAGCACATCACTGACTGGCTGTGGAGATGGCTGCCTGAGGCCTTGCCCAGAGGAAGCTGAGAGAGAAGAGATGGAAGAGAGCCCACGGCTCTGGGACCCAGCAGAGCACATTCAGATGGAAACCAGCTATGACTGGGTGACACCTCTCAGGGCTCCTTGCGGGGCAGGACTGTCTGGCTTAGTGGTGAGAGACTCATGGCCGGAAGATGAAGTGGTTACAGGTGTCAGACAGGAGGGCTTGCCGACGGCGGGTGGCTGTGGTGCATGTTTCATTAGCTGCTGACTGAGGATTTCTGTTGCTTTCATTTGCTGCCTCAGCCAGTAGCTAGGTTTAAAATAAACTTCAGGAGATCAAACTCAAATCCCCAAACCAGCATCCCTAGGCCCCAGGCAGGCCTCTGGCACAACCATACAATCTGCAGAGTTTATCTCAGGCAGCTCCAATAGATGTCACCTTAAATGTCCCACTCCCCTCCCTTTGAGCCCTCTCCTCCAGCTCTGAGACCTCTGGCTCTTCCTTAGATTCCCTCCTCAAGTCTCTGTCCCAGCAAGCCCCATTCCCTCTGGGGCCTGCTCCCAGCTGCTAGCCTTCCTTACACCTGCTCAGCCTCTCACAGCAGAGCTGCGCAGACCTAAGAGGGCAATAGACAGAATTGACTGCTCTTGGTTCATGGCTTAAGGTGTCACCACTCCCAAGAAGATCTGGGGGCCCAGGAGAGAAGCCTGCCAGAAGAAGGGAGTCATATCGCTCAGTGGGGGGATGCCTGACCCCTGAGCCTCTGTGCAAGGCAAGACTCGAGCACAAAACACACTTGCACACAAGTGTCAGTCTCCTAGGAACTACCAGAGCTGGGAAGAGCCCAGAGCCATCTTGCCTCACTCTTGTCATTTTCACAGATGAGGAAAGCAAAGCTCAGGGAAGCGAAATGACCTGCCCTCCCTCTCACAGCTAGGAAGCCACTGGGTAACTGAGCCCACATCCAATTTCCTGGGGCGTGGACCTCGCCCTGCCACAGTCAGCAAATGAGCAGGGGCAGCTTCCCAAGGCAGGGAACCACCAAGAATTCCAAGCAGGCCACACAAATCTCTGATTCCTGCCTTCCCTGGGCAGCCCCACCCTGGCCCTGACCTGGTGGCCTTGGCAGCCTCCTGGCCAACCCTGCTTTCTAACTCGGAGCTGAACAGGCTGGGCCTCCAATCACTCCAGACGCATGAGGACTGAGCAGTTTTACTCTGGTTTGCCAGGGCATGGGGGAGTTGGAGCCAAGCTGTGCCCCTCCAGGGACAGATGGCCAACCTGGGAGGGCACTGCTGAGGCCAGTCAGATAAGTCCTGCCTATGGTAACCTCAGGCCTCACCTGCTTTTCACCTGGCTGCCTCACCAGCCCCACCACCCACTCACTGTGTCCTCTCCAATGGGACCTACCCTATACCCCAAGCCATGCTGTGGCTTTAAACATGCAGCCATGGCTCCCTTGGTCTGCAGCCTATTATTTCACTAACCCTCCAGCTTTCCTTTTCAGGTCACTAAATTCAGTGGTGCTGCCCCCATGCCAACTCCCACCTCTAGTTCCAATAGCACTTTATCTATTCTTCATAGTAGTTTTTGGTGTATTGTTTTAGTTTACACTTTCTGTTCTTTTAGACTGTGAGCTACTAGTCTCATATGGTTCTATTTATCATTGAATGCCAGAATCTAGCTGGGTGTTTCTGGTACCAGCTGTGCTCAAGATACTGTTTTGTGAGTAAGAAAAAGGATGGACAGAGGGTAGATGGATGTTGAATAAATGAATTGATGGATGATTGTTGGATAGCTGGATGCAAGGATAACAGAATGATGCAGAATAGATAGATGGGTGGATAGATGTTGGATCAAAGCATGGATGGATGGATGGATGGATGGATATAAAGATGAAAGTGCAGATGAGTAGATGGGTGGATATGAGATGAATGGGTAGATGAGTGGATGGATAGATAGATATGAGATGGATGGGTAGATGAGTGAATGGATGAATATGAGACGGATGGATAGATGAGTGGGTGAGTGACTATGAGATGGATGGGTAGATAAGTGGTTGGATAGATATGAGTGGTTGGAGAGTGGTTGGATAGATGAGGGGATGAGTGACTATGAGATGGATGGGCAGATGAATGGATGGATGGATGGATATGAGATGGAGGGGTAGATGAGTGGATGAGTGAATATGAGATGGATGGGTAGATGAGTGGGTGGGTGGATAGGAAGTGGATGGGTAGCTAAGTGGATGAATGGATGGATGGATATAAGATGAACGGGTAGATGAGTGGAGGGGTGAATATGAGATGGACAGATAGATGAGTGGGTTGGTGGATATGAAGTGGAGGGGTAGATAAGTGGATGAATGGATGAATGGATATAAGATGAATGGGTAGATGACCATGGATATGAGATGGATGGGCAGATGAATGGATGGGTAGATATGAAATGGATAGATAAATGTGTGAATGGGTGAATATGAAGTGGATGGGTAGATGAGTGGATGAACGGATGGATGGATCTAAGATGAATGGGTAGATGAGTGGGGGGTGAATATGAGATAGATAGGCAGATGAGTGGATGGGTGAATATGAGATGGATGGATAGATGAGTGGATGGGTGGATATGAAGTGGATGGGTAGATGAGTGGCTGAATGGATGGATGGATATAAGATGAATGGGTAGATGAGTGGAGTGGTGAACATGAGATGGGTGGGCAGATGAATGGATGGGTGGATATGAGATGGATAGATAAATGAGTGAATTGGTGGATATGAAGTGGTTGGGTAGATGAGTGGATGAGTGAATATGAGATGGATGGGTAGATGAGTGGATGGGTGGATATGAGATGGATGGATAAATGAGTGAATGGGTGGATATGAAGTGGATGGGTAGATGAGTGGATGAATGGATGGATGATAAAAGATGGATGAGTAGATGAGTGGAGCGGTGAATATGAAATGGACAGATAGATGAGTGGGTGGGTGGATATGAAGTGGAGGGGTAGATGAATGGATGAATGGATATAAGATGAGTGGGTAGATGAGTGGAGGGGTGAATATTAGATGGATGGGCAGATGAATGAATGGGTGGATATGGGATGGATGGATAGATGCATGAATGGGTGGATATGAAGTGGATGGGTAGATGAGTGGATGAATGGAAAGATGGATATAAGATGAATGAGTAGATGACTATAGGGTGAATATGAGATGAATGGGTAGATAAGTGAAGGGGTGAATATGAGATGGATAGGTAGATAAGTGGATAGGTGGATTAGTAAATGAGTAAGAGGACAACCAAAGTGAACTTCTACCTCTGTTGAGCTTCTGTTTTCCCTGCTCATTTGAAGGCCTAGAGTATGACTTTACCATATGACGTTTCCAGAGTACCTCCCCATTCCTCAGACCCTACTGAGCCACCTCTAAGAGAAGGCATAGCACAAAGTATTGGTACCACTTGATGAATGAGGAAGCTGAGATCTAGAGCTGTTAAGGCTTCTTTCTGTTCAAGGACACCCAGCTAGTGCAAAGCAGAGTGGAAATCAGACTGCTGGCTTCTCACCTCCACTCCACCGCAGGCCTCCATTGCCTGTCTCTGAGGACTGGACCTGGCCAAGTTGACCCCACACACCTGTCCCCACTGTGGCCCAGGCCCCCGTTTGGCGCCCAGTTGGCTGCATGTGCATCATGACTTGTGAGAGAGCGGTCAGCCCCACCTTTCCACACAGGCCCTGTCTGACTGGGTTCTTTGATTCCTCCAGGAAGGAAGTGTATTGAGAGAAAAATTAGGAGAGATTAGACCCCTCCTCCCATCCCCACTGGACCAAAGCTGGCCCTGTAAGTCCATGGCTGCACTGAGGAGGCAGGCGCGGACACCACTGCACCTTTCTTCTCTATCCCTTAACCTTGATGGCCATGTCCAGGCCTCACTGTGATCCTGCATGAGGGCAGCTCTAATGAGAAAGCCAATACAAAGCCATTTTGAATTACCCATTAGAGAAGTACAGTCTATTAACTTTTTTCTATTAATTTTAATATTTTAAACTTTATAAGAAATACTTTTAGATTTACATATTTTGCAAAAATATACAAAGAAATCCCCAAATGTTAGCATTTTACCACACTTGCTTAATAATTTCCTTTATAATTCTCTTTCTACATATATATGTATATGTGTGTATATGTCTACCTATACAAATATGTATATATACATATATGCATGTATACATATGTGTGTATTATTTTCCTGAAGCATTTTAAAGTAAATTGCAGAAGTCTTTTTGCCTCTAAATACTTCAACATGTTTTTATTTGAAAAAGGACATTCTCTTACATAATCACAGCACAATTGTCAAAGTCAAGAAATTAACATTGCTGCAATAGTAACTACCGACTTTATTCAGATTTTACCAACTGTCCCACTAATAACCTTTTTCTAATCTGGGATCCAACCTAGGATCACACTTGCATTTGGTTTCTGTGTCTCTTTAGTCCTCTTTAATTGGCAACAGTTTCTCAGCCCTCCTTTGTTTTTCATGGCCTTAACATGTTCGAAGAGAACATTTTGTAAAAAGTCTCTCAATATGGATCCGTGTGATGATGTTTCCTCTAAATTATATTCAGAATTGCCGGTTATGCAAATTTGGCAGGCTGCCATAGAAATGATGCTGTGTCCTTCTCAGTGCATCGTATCAGGAAGGGAACCATGTTGCTCTGTCCCTTGCTAGGGATGTTAACTTGGATAACTTGGTTAAGGGTATTGCCAGGTTTCTCCACTGCAGTTGCTCTCTTTCCTTTCGTAAAATAACCAGTGTCTTGTGAGAAGACACTTTGAGATTATATAAATATTCTGTTTCTTATCATACATTTGCCCACTCATTTTAGCATCCATTGATAGTTCTTGCCTGAAACAGTTATTGCTATGGTGGTTGTCAGGTGGTGATTCTTCCAATTCCAACATCCCTTCTATATTTATTAGTTGGAATCCTTCTATAGGTAAGAGCCTCCTTCCTCTCATTTATTTATGTATGTATTCATTTATATCAGTATAGACTCAAGGATTCTTCTTTCAACTGTGGATAATAATCTGATACTGTTGTTATTAATTTTAATGTTTTCTTTTTAAATAATTATAGATTGTCAAGGAGTTGCAACATTAGTGCAGAGAAGTCCTGTGTACTCTTCACCCAGTTTCATCCAATGGTTGTATCTTACATAACTATAGTGCAATATCAAAAGCAGGAAAATAACATTGAGACCATGTACGTGCATAATTCTGTCCTTTAATCACCTGTGTAAATTCATGTAACCACTGCCATAAAGACACAGAACTATTCTGTTACCACAAATATCTCCCTCATGCTATTCCCACCATCCCGAGTCCCTGGCAACCACTAATTTGTTCAGCATCTCTGTATTTTTGTCATTTTGAGAATGTTTTATAAATGGAATTATAAAGTATGTGACCTTTGGAGATTGGATTTTTTTGTTGTTGTTCAGTATAATGTCCGTGAGAGTCATTTGAATTCTTGTGTGTCTCAGTATTTCATTCATTAATAAAAATGAAATACTCCGCAATAAAGCTGAGTGGTATTCCGTGGTATAGATATACAAAGTTCACTTAACCATTCACCTATTGTAAGACATTTTGAATGTTTCCAGTTTGGGACTATTACAAATAAAGCTGCTATGAATGGTCATGTACAGTTTTTTGTGTGGATATGTTTGCATTTCTCTGGGCTAAGTGCCCAGAAGTACGATTGCTGGGTCGTATGGTAAGTGTATGTTTAGACTTTTAAGAAACCACCAAACTGCTTTCCAGGGTAGCTGCGCCATTTTACACTCCCATCAGCAGCGTAGAGTAATCCAGTTTCTCTGCATCCTAGCCAATATTTGTATTTTCACTGTTTTTTATTTTAGCCATTCTGATAGGTGTGTAGTGATATTTCATGGTGGCTTTAATTTGCATTTCCTTTTTTAAATTTTTTTTCTTTTTAGAGACAGGGTTTTGCTCTGTTGTCCAGGCTGGAGTGCAGTGGCATGATTATAGCTCACTGCAGCCTTGGACTCCTGGGCTCAGCCAGTCCTCCCATCTCAGCCTCCCAAGTAGCTAGGACTATAGGTACGCACCACCATGCCCATAGAGATGGGGTCTCACTATGTTGCGCAGGCTGATCTTGAACTTCCTGCCTGAAGCAATTCTTGTGCCTTGGGCTCCCAAACCACTGGGATTACAGGCGTGAGCCACCATGCTGAGCTTGCATTTCCTTAACAGCTATTGATGTAGAACATCTCTTCATGTGCCTATTTGCCATCCGTATATCCTCTTTGGTAAAATATCTCTTCATGCCTTTTGCCCACTTTCTAATTGGATTGATTGCCTTCTTACTGTTGAGTTTTGAGGGTCAGATAGGTGGTCTGCAAATATTTTTCCCTCATTTAATCTAATGTTCACATTGCTACTGTTGGCCCTTAAAAGAAAGTTTTCATTTATTCATCTGACAAATAGTTTCCTAGACCCCACTGGATGCTGAGCACTTGTCTAGGAGCTGGAAATAGATAAGACAGATATAGCAGGGCCCTGGCCCATGGAGGCTCCCACTCTGGGGTCAAGGTGTGGAGCAGAAAAAGAAACAGATGTTTTCAACACCATGCAGTCAATAGCAAAAAGAGGCAGAGATGGGCTGTGTGAGAACACAGGAGTGAGGAAAATTGGCCAAAGTCTGAAGGACGAGTCTGCACCTGTGAGACGGGCAAGGGAATGAGGGCATTCCAAACAGAAGCAAGAGCCCATGCAAATGTGCCTGAGTATTCAAAGTTCATGGAAGCAAAGATTTGGAGGCCACAGGGCCCTGTGTGGTGGATGCTTTGGGGGATTCCTCGAAGTTGGGTTGGAATCTTGGAAGGCACTCACTGGTTGTACAAATGCATAAATGATTATGTTTAACCAGTACAAATACATAAATGGTTACACGGACTAGATATTTAACCTTTCTCAGACTCAGTTTCTCATGGGCAAAATGAGCTCAGTAATACCTACTTCCCAGAGACTACAGGAGGATTAGAAATAATGTACATACAGCATCTAGAACAGTACTAGGGATGGAATTATGTGCTTGACAAACACTAACTTTGGAAAATCAGGATGGAAAAACAGAGCACATTTAAAGATTGGCTTGGACCAGGCACAGTGGCTCACACCTATAATACCAGCACTTTGGGAGGCCAAGGTGGGTGGGTCACGAGGTCAGGAGTTTGAGATCAGCCTGGCCAACATAGTGAAACCCCATCTCTACTAAAAAAAATACAAAAATTGGCCAGGTGTAGTGGCGCATGTCTGTAGTCCCAGCTACTCAGGAGGCTGAGGCAGGAGAATCGCTTCAACCTGGGAGGTGGAGGTTGCAGCGAGACGAGATCGTGCTACCGCACTCCAGCCTGAGTGACAGAGTGAGACTCCATCTCAAAAAAAAAAAAAAAAAAAAAAAAAAAAAAAAAAAAAAGATTGGCTTGTAAGAGGGAACACCCATCAAAGCTGTGCTTCTTTTCAAGGGTCTCTCTCAGGCTCATCCCTTCAGTGGTTCCTCCTACCCTTGGGAGGGAATGAACCTCCTCCTATCTAGTCAAATCTATTTCCCTGTACTCTCCACCATACCCTTCCACCCTGCTGGGACCAGGGATGTTCTTCATCAATTAAAACACACTTCCTTTTGCTTCCTTCCCAGCAAGGTCTAAATGTCCTTTGGCACCAGCTTACAACTCTCCTTCCTTTCTCAGCCACATTTCTTGGAAGAGTTGTTTATTTTCACTTTCTTCACTTCCTCCTCAACTCACTCTTTAACTCAGTGTGGTCTCCCCCTCTGCCCAAACCCCAACCCCAGAACTGCTCTGGTCAAGGTCACCCGTGGCCTTTGTGACACTGACGTGAGTCATTATCTCACTGATCGCTGTGCAGCATTTGAGAAGGTGACACTTCCTCCTTCTTGAGACATTCTCCTGGCTTGGCTCTCAAGGGGGGTGCCTTTGCAGGTCTTTTCCTGCTGTCCCTGGGGGCTCCTCTCGTGAGTGCTTTGGCAGGCTTCTCTTCCTGCACCCACCTCAACATGAGAGGGCCCCCAGGGTTCATTCCTGTTTTCTGTTCTTCTCACTCAGCATGCTCATGTCCTCTTCCTGGGGTATTACCTGACCCCCATCCATGCCTTCTGTTAGTTTCTTCGGTTGGAACACTCTCAGGTCTCTATCCAAGCCACCCACAGGCCTCACTCCTGAACTGCAGACCACTGGATCCAAATGTCTACTGAATACAGATCTACATCTCAAACTCAACATGAATAAAATTGAGCTCACCCCCTCCAGAGACCAGACGCTTCTCTCTCATATCTCATCTTTCACAGAACAGTTCCTCACTCTTCCAGCTGCTGAGAGCACAATGGGAAGACACACAGAAAGGAGTAGTTGGAGAAGTGAGTGACGAGGTCAAAGTCCACTTAAGCCCCAGGGGAAACTGAGGCGCGGATGTTAGGGAGCAGCGGTCCACATGTGGCTGGAGTTCCGGAAAGGGATAAGGGCAGGAGATGTGATTTTGCTGATGCTCCAGCTGCTTCAGAGCAGACCTAAAGTCCTGGCTGGAAAACACAGCTCCTCTCCCACAAGCCCCTCGGCCAAATTGTACTTGAAGGCTCGGGCCCCCTCATCTAGGCTTGTGGGCTGCCAATGCAATGATCTACAAGGGCAGGAAATGAAGGAGAGGAGAAGGAAAGAAGGAAGGAAGGAAGGAAGGAAGGAAGGAAGGAAGGAAGGGTGAACTCTGAATATCTGAGACAAGTCTCAGTCAACTTAGGAAGTTTATTTTGCCAAAGTTAAGGACATGCACCCGTAACACAGCCTCAGGAGGTCCTGACAACAGGTGCCCAAGGTGGTCTGTGCACAGCTTGGTTTTATACATTTTAGGGAGACATGAGACATCAATCAATATATGTAAGATGAAACATTGGTTTGGTCTGGAAAGGTGGGACGACTCAAAGTGGGGAGGGTGTTCCAGGTTGCAGGTGGATAAGAGACAAATTGGGGCTTTGAGTTTCTGATTAGCCTTTCCAAAGGAGGCAATCAGATGTGCATGCATAGGGATGACTTTGAATAGAATGGGAGGCAGGTTTGCCCTAAGCAGTTCCCAGCTGGACTTAGTGATTTTGGGGTCCCAAGATTTATTTTACTTTCATGGAAGGAAGGAAGGAAAGAGGGAGGGAGGCAGGGAGCGAGGGAGGGAGGAATGATCCTGCTTGGTTCAGTGAGGGGAAAGGAGTTGGCCAAGGGAGAACTGAAAGGTCGGAAGTGAAAGTGGCCATGGGGGAGTGGGGAGGGGGATGCACGGGATTAGAGGCTAAAACAAAGTGACCTTGATGTGTTGATGAGGTTTGGAGAGAAAAGATTGAGTTACCCTTCTCCCCAGTCCTCACTGAGAACAAGTGAATTTGCACTTCCTGCCTTAATCTGGGTGGGGTGGGGTGGGAGAATCACTAATGACAACAGCAAGATAAACAAAAAATAAATAAACAAAAACGACCTCTCACAGGTGTAGAGTGAAGAAAGGACATTTGTTGGGCAAAAAAGAGAAAGCAAACAATTGTCCTGCTTTGACTGACAGTCAGCAAACATTTATTGAGGGCACACTAGTTCTTAGCACTTTAGATACTTATCACATTTTATCTTCACAAACATCATGTGCAGTAAATGCTTTTATCCTCATTTTACAGATGAGGAAACTGAGACTCAGAGACATTCTTGTTGGTGCCCACACAGTAAGAGGTGGTGGTGTCTGATTCCGATGCCTATGCTCTTGTTGTCATTGGTTTGTTAAGTCTTTATTTTACCTTTTAAAAAAAACATAAAGTGATACAAGTATGTACTTTAACAAGTCAACCAGTTCTACAAAGTTTGTGTAAAGAAAAACATTTATCAGACTCCCTCATAGAGGACCACTTGCAAGTTTTTTAATGAATTCATTTAATGCTTACCTCCATATCCTTATATGTTTGTATTGCTATTTATTGATATTTCTATTTGAAGCATTGTTTATTGACTTTGTATTATGGAAGAATGAGTTTTAGCACTTTCTCCCTCTTTCTCTCTCACTCACTTGATACACACATGCACATGTCCTAATCTCCATCCTTCCAATACAGTCATATAATTAATTTTCTTAATCAGTAGTCACTGGTGGCCAGGCACCGTAGCTCATGCCTGTAATCCCAGCACTTTGGGATTACAGCCAAAGTGGGTGGATCACTTAAGTCAAGGAGTTCGAGACCAGCCTGGGCAACATAGTGAGACTCTGTCTCTATTTGTTTTTAAGTAAAAAAAAAAATTATTAAAAAGAAAAAAAATCAGTCAGTGGTGACATTATTATGACTAAGTAATTACCATTCCTCAGAGCTGATTGACATAGTAAATTAGGATTCCTTTCCCTTTCCCGCATACCTTTTGTTTTCTTCAGAGTTGACAACTACTTTTGTTTTTCCTGGTGTTTGCATAGTTTTCTATTAACTTGTTAATTCAACATTCAAAATGGCTACCAGCTGTCTAACCAGAGTTAGACACATTAATACACAGTATTCTATCAGTTTCATTTCCATGAACAAATGTTTCACAGAGCTTTCTGCTCTTCTCCAATCGGGACTAGCCACCATCTCTGCCTGGGTCATGATTCTCATCCTGGGCTTTTCCACAGTCTTCATTTTGGGAACTCCCCTGGGATCTTTCTGTTTTGTATCTTTTCTTTTCTTTGTTCATCCCCTCGTTTTGTTTAGTATCTATGTTCTTCAGGAGTTTTCCCGACAAAAGATGTGCAGGAGTGTAATTTTGAACCCTCGTGTCTCTTCCTTCCTGGGCCCGTTCCCCCCAGAAAAGAGGTTTCTAGTGTCTTTCCTAGAGGGTATAAAACCAGATGCAGCCTACTGGGAGATTATGAGAGAAGATGGCTAGGGGACCTCAGCATTAACTATGAAAACGTTCTCTTACTCGTCCTGTTTTCAGCTGAGCCTCATGCCCCTCATCTCCGAGCAGAGACTTCACTTTATCTCCAGGCTTTGGCCATGGTACGGACTGGGTGGTTGCCTAGCAGTATGCAGTGGAGGCAGGGATCTGGGGTTCTAAAGCCTCTGAATGAATTGCTTTCACTTACAAATCCTTATTTTTGGCCCATCCCTTCACTCACTTCCAGAAGTACCTGACGCTGCCAGCTCCTGAGGCTTCTAAGGGTTCTGCTGTGTAAATCAAGTTGGTTCTCAGCTTTTCCCAATGCCAGCTCAAGAATCCTTATTTCTCCTGCTAAGTTTGTTACCACTTGTCTACCTGCTTTCCAGGTTCCAAAATTTTGTGATAAGACTCTTATCTCTTCTCTAGTTCTCTCCATCCTTATGGCTTTGTGCCTTCTAGATGCTTGTCTTCCTTATCTGTCCTTACCTAGGAATTCAAAGCCCCTGTTCCCTCCTCAATCACAGGTATTTCATGCTGAGAGTGGGCAGGCCCTATGTGCATGGGTCACTTCTCAGCCATAGAGCATCTCAGAGAGAAAGAAAATGAGCTTCTGGTGTGAAATCAACACGTTTCCAACAACAGAGTCAGGACATCTGAGACAAAGACTGACTCAGCCACAACCTCCCTGGGCAACCTTGAGCAAGTCATTTTGCCTTTGTTGCTGGATGTCAGTGTTCCCATCAGTGAAACAAAGCAAATGCCCCCTGCAACTTTCCATGAGAGTGATGAGAATCAAATGAGATGATGTGGAGATACAGCTCTCTGCATAATTTCAGGTACCACACAGTTATCTGGATTAATATTACTGGTCTTGAATCCAGGAAGTGCCAAGTATGCACCTGTGCTAAGTCTTCAAGATTCAGAGATGGGCAAGACCTCCCTTTTCCCTTTTCTTGGTGAAGTTCATGGCATAGCAAAGGAGGCAGATGAATAAACAGAGTGAAATAAGCAAGACCGGAAATTGCATAGAGTGCACAGAAGAGAGAGACACCACTGCTGCCAGCTGGGGTAGGGGAGCAGAAGAGCTTCATAAGAATCGGACAGGAGTCCATCAGTCAGAGGAGGAGAAAAGTTTTCAAGACAGAGACTCGTATGAGCAAAAGAAAAGATATGTGCATCTGTCATGCTAGAGCAGAGTGCTGCAGCTTCATGGGTCTGGAGCTTGGCAGCCTAGGGACCACCTTGCACTTGCAAGTCAGAGATGGGGTGTGACATCGGTATGGCATGGCCAGATCTGCCTGTGGGTAGGTTGCCTCTGATGATGAGATGAAGGGTGGTCTGGAGAAAGGCCAGTCGAATCTCACAGTTCTGTCAGGATGGTATTCCCATAGTCGGGGGGAAGTAATGTGGTCCCAAATAAAGCAAGAACAGGTAAGACAGAGAGAAGACTATGGGTCTCAAGAAGTGAGTAAGAGGTCAAAGCATCAGGACTTGGTAATTAACTGGCTGTTGGGGATAAGAATAGTTGGAGGATGTAGCTTGACTCTTGGGCATCAGCTCTGATGGTTGGCTGGCTGGCTGGCTGACTAGAGGGGCTGTTTCCCAAGCCAGGGAATACAGATGAAAGTAAAGGAAGGGCAAAGAGAAAAGAGAGGAGGTCAACGGCTTGAGTGCAGGCGTGTAGAAGACTGATAGGCCTACATGATACAACAGGAGATGACAACGGGGGAGGTGAAAGTATGAATCACGGGAGAGGCTAGAGGTAGCAGCCATTTTGGTGTCAGTCATTCAAGCATAACTACTACCACTATCACGATCACTACCATCACCATCATCATCACCATCGTCATCACCACCCCACCACCCTCATCATGACCACTACCACCACCATCACCCTTACCTCCACCACCATCTGCCATTAATACCATCACCACCACCAACCCCACCCCACCACCGCTATTCCCACCACCTCCAGCACCACTGCTGCCACCACTACCACCATCCTAATAGAGATTATTTACATTCTCTCAACTTCACAGAAACTTGTCTCTCTTCCAGGTCAGAGAGAAACCACCTGGGCCCATGCCTGCCCCATGCTGGGTATTCAGAAACTATGAATATTACATCCAACTGATGATAGATATCAGTGTCAAAAACAGAGTCCCTGCCCTGCAGCCCAGCTCATCCAGCCTGCCCAAAGTTTCTCTTGAGTGGTTTGTGCACCAACCCTCACCCAGGGCCTGTGTCTGCAGACTGCAGTCTGCCCTCTTCACTTCAGCCAAGTATGCTGAGCCAGGGCCTGCCCTTCTCACAGTGGCCAGGCTCTCATGCTTCTCATCGCTGTGTGAATTGGTCAGTACTGAAGGTGTATATGCCCCCTTCTGCTATCTCTCCCCTGCCTGCTCTGAACTTCTATGCCCTCTAAAAGCCCACCTCCTACACCTTCCCTGCCAACCCTTCCCTGGTCTTCCAGACTCCCTGCTTCAGAATCAGCAACTCCTCTCCCTGTTCGTCTGAGCTGTCCTTCCACTATCAGCCTTACCAGGAACATGCTTCTTCCCTGAGGCTATGTCCTCTTACAGGGCCCTCCTATGAGAGGCCCCTTGGTGGTGGCATGTTTTTGTAGTGAGCCCTGAGTCCTCCTGAAGTTTCTCCAGATTCCTGCAACTGAACTCATCCCTTCCTCATCTTGCCATGGCAGCATGCTCTCACGCCTCCTTTGGAGTCAGGCTTCAACATGCACCAGCTGTGTGACCATGAGCAAGCCACTGGCTCCTCTGAGTCTCAACTCCTTTATCTGAAAAATGGGACTCTGTCACTGACATGAAATGACGTAGCATATATAGGTTGACTCGGAAATGGCCTTGCACATCCTAGGTGTGAGATACATTTTCATTATCTCTTTATTTCCCTAACTCACAGCCTATCACCTACAGGTTTTGTAATTGTTGTTGTTATTTATGGTCTTGCCTATTCTATCCTTATTAGGCTTTAGTTAGTTAAGTGCAGAATTGTAAACCAGAAAGTATCTGAGACAGGTCTCAATCGAGAGGTTTATTTTGCCAAGGTTAAGGACCATGGCTCATGATACATTTTCAGGAGGTCCTGAGAACACGTCTTGGTTTTATACATTTTAAGGAGACGGAAGAAGTTACAGGCAAAGAAATAAACCAATACATATAAGGTATATATTGATTGGCCCAGAAAGGTGGGATATCTCGAAGTAGGGTGAGTGTAGGCTTCCAGGTCATAGGCGGTTTCAAAGATTTCTTGATTGGCAATTGGCTGAGAGAGTTAGGCCTTGCCTGAAGAGTTGAATTCAGCATAAAGAGACCTTGAGTTTAGATAAGGCAGGATTGTGAAGCCAAGGTTCTTGTCATGTAGATGAAGCCTCCAGGATTCAGAGAGAAAAGATGGTGAATGTCTGTTATCAGGTGTCAGTCTCTCCTGAAAGAGCTAGTGAGGGAAGGAGATTTTCTACAGAATGCAAATTTCCCCAAGAGAGAGCTTTGCGGGGCCATTTCAAAATATGCCAAAGAAATATATTTTGGGGTAAAATACTTTTATCTCCTTCAAGGCCTGCTATTTGTCATGGGACCAGAGTCAGGTTGGAATTTAGTATCTCATTGCTATGAAGAGTCTGTTTTGTCAGCCTTCAGATTTCTGTTTTCATGTTAATGCTGGTCAGCTGAATCTAAACTCCAAAAAGAGGGGGCTACAATGAGGTATGTCCAATCCCTGCTTCCTGTCATTCCCAAAATTAGTTTTTCAAGTTTCTTTGGGGTCTCCTTGGTGAAGAGGGGGGCTCCATTCCGTCATTTAGGGGACTTAGAATTTTATTTTTGGTTTACAGAGACTATATCAAATATGCTGTGAATCTCTCATTGCTCTTTATCCATAATAGGTGCTCAATGAATGTTGGTTAAATGACTGAGTGAATTGATTTTGTGGCTGTCCAGCAGCTGCAAATGCTTGTTCATTTGGAAGTTAAGCTCAGAGAAATGAGAAGGTACATCCTACATCCTTCTGTGTCCTCTTCAACCAATTCACACTAATGGGGGTTATTTCACCCCATCCCCCTCCAATTGTATGGATACATCAGGGCTGGCTGATTAGAAAAGGTGACAGTTCCACTGGGCTCATAGATTAGCATCAGCTAATCAGAGGTGGCTTCCTGGAGAAGCTAAGATTCAACCTGCAGTTTTGCAACCCCACTGCACATAGAATCACTTGGGAGCTTAAAAACCCCAATTTCCATAGGCCACACCCCAGGCCAATGAAATAAAGATATCTGGGGCTGGGGCAGAGACATCAGCAATTGTTACAGCTCCCAGGTGACGATTGGTAGCTGAGTTTGAAAACCTCTGGGTTAGAGGCTGGTTTTGAAAGACAGGGGTGACCCATGGGAGGGGCAGAAGGGTATCTGCCCTGGGGGGAGTTCTGCCACTCTTCTTGCCTAGATGCCTGTGTTCTTTTTCTTTCTTTCTCTCTCTCTCTTTTTTTTTTTTAAACTCAATTCCAGCTCATTTTCCCTGCTGACAAGTGGGAACATCTCCTTCCAGAGCCTACATTAATAACGCCTTGTATCCCCAGGGACATTATGAGCCTCTCTCTGTTCAGAGCCCCCTTCCCTGCCCATCAAAGGCCATGGGCACCAGGAGGAGACAGGTGGGATTTACATGGTAACTCCAATTAAGACAAATGTCAGCTCCTTCTCTGCAGGCTGCCCACACTCACCCGGTCATGTAGCTCCTGCTCAGCGTGGGAGTTCAAGAATGCTTTGCTGTAGTTGTCAGGCTCCCATGGAAGCAGTCAGAAGGAAGCAGAAGGAGATGGTGAGCAAGAGGGCAGGGCCGGCCCTGGCAACCCTGCTAGGAGGTGGCTCCCAAATCCCATATCTCCTTAGTATCATCCTATGGGGGCCACACTTAGAAGCTAACTTTAAGGGCTCCTGCAGGTCCCAGTCCCAGGGGCCGCAGGGCTTGCCGTTTGTTTCTCTGAGCCTGCTCAAGGGACCCCTACCAGCTGAAGGAGACCCTCAACCACAGTGAGGCCCCATGACCAGCGGCTTTGACTTCCCTCGGAGGACTGCCAGAAATGCAGAGCCTCAGGCCCGCCTAGCCCTCCTTAATGAGAACCTGCATGTGAACAAGATCTCCGGTAATGGAGACACATATTAACATTTGAGAAATGCTGGAAATGTGAAACTGGACCCAGGAAAGATGAACAGCTGCAGCATGCTGGGGATGGGAGCTCACCGTGGGGTCAGGAGCTCAAGGCTTAGCTCTGCTCAGTCCTTCCTGGATCACCTTGGGCAGGTAGCTTCAGTGCCCAGTTGCCCAGTCTGTAGAATGGGGACATAATGCCTCCACGTAGGATGAGCAAGTCAAGGGCACTTATGAAAACATTTACGAATGTAGATTGCTGTAACGACAGAGGTAAGAAAAATAGCGATAGGCTGGGCACGGTGGCTCATGCCTGCAATCCCAGCACTTTGGGAGGCCAAGAAGGGTGAATCACTTGAGGTCAGGAGTTCAAGACCCGCCTGGACAACCTGGTGAAACCCTGTCTTTACTAAAAATACAAAAATTAGCCGGACATGGTGACAGGCACCTGTAATCCCAGCTACTAGGGAGGCTGAGGCAGGAGAATTGCTTGAACCTGGGAGGTGGAGGTTACAGTGAGCTGAGATCGTGCCACTGCATTCCAGCCTGGGTGACAGACTAGGACTCTGCCTCAAAAAAAAAAAAGAAATGGTAATCCGAGCCGATGTGTGTTAGGCACTGGAAATGTGCCTGGACCGTGCCGATGGCTTTGTGTAAATTCTCTCTCTCAACTCAGTATTTCACTGAAGAGCTCTCATTAACCCATTTGTAAATGGCAGCTCACGATGGTAATATAATCTACCCAACTTCACACAGGTAGTAGAGGCTGGAGCCCCTTGGAACCTGGTACTTTCTAATTCCAGAGCCTCCATGCTTAGCCATCATACAATTACTACAGTTTCCCTTTAACACCACCTGCTACCGCTACCTTCCCAAAAGCAAAAGCTTCCCCACCCAGCCATCCTTGGGCTCCCTTCCAACGATCAGGATATCAACACAGGGATAAATTGCATTGCATTACAAGTCAGAAGGCTGGTACCAGGTCCAGTTCCACCCCAGTGAGCCTGTGAGCCTACTGACTGCACTTTGCCTCGGCAACGGGCAGAGTTCTGCTCATCTCAGCTTCCTATCACCCCCGTAAGACTGTTTGGGTCAAAAGAGAAAATAACAGTGGGAGCTTTTGGAAAGCTACAGAAACAGGGTGGTGGATACAGTGGACTTTGGAATCAGAGAAACCCAGAGTTCAAATTCCAGTTCTGCTATTTCTTGTGGACACAGGCAAGTTACTATAATCTCTGTGGGCCTCCGTTTACTCCTCTATAAAATGGGAATCACAAAAAATATGCTTCGTAAGGTTGAAAAGATTAGAGATGGTTTGTTTAGAGGCTCTGGCACAATGCCTGGCACACAGAAGGCACTCAATCAGGGGTAACTGCTCTTCTTTACCATCTTCACCATCATCATCATCAAACTCTTCCCTAGAAAGGAATCCTGGGAGTCCTGTGGGGTAAAATGGGAAGGTTCTGGTACCAAGGACATCAAAGAGGGACTGGCTATGCTCATTGTGTCCTGAAGCTGAGTGTGCTTGGCCAGATGGCTGGAGCGGGGCCTGGAGTGGACACGGAGTTTTGGAAGCTCCCTAACCAATGGTTGCCTGGTTAGCACAGTACCAGAGAGTTGCCAGATTACCTGGAGAAACTTAAATGTTTGTTTTTTTTGTTATTTAAATTAATTTATATGAAAATTACTTCTAGAATTTTCCTTTTCACATTTCCCTATCATCTTGTCCTCAGCCTTTTCATAACGACTTGTAGTCATGCCCAGGAACCAGCTGGTTGCACTGTGCTGTGATATAACATGCCCGTGGTGCCCTGGGCAGTGCAGAGATCCAGACAGCTATAGGTGGCTACCAGCAGATCCACCACAGCTCTGGCCTTCCAGTTCAGACACTGAAGTCCCCTGTAAAAATGGAAACGTGAGTGGGAAGCACATAAAGTCATCATGGTCCATGCCTTCCTGAACCAACGAGAGAGAATTGATTTCTTGGATTGATAACAGGTATTTGGCTAGGCCCCAAAGTAGGGGTGGCCTCAGTTTGGGAAGCAACAAGAGGGAGGAGAATAGGACTGGGCCTTGGGGCTGCATGTGGTACAGACAGGAAGGGATTCAGACCTTCGCGGTGAGTTCAGTAGTTTAGAAGAGGCCACAGTTAGGGTGGCTGAGGGGTGAACTCTTGTTGTCATCAGTGAAAACACTCTGAGATCCAGGGACAACATACGAGCGTCTGTAGTGGGTATGTTCAGAAAAGGCTTAAAAACTGATTGAGGATCAAGAGCCCCTGCTTCCCACAAGATAAAATCCCCACTGCTCAGCCTGGCATACAAGATCCCTCTTGATCTATCTAGTGGCCTATATCTCTATCTTTATTTTTATCTGTAAAATAGCTTTTTTAAGCCCGTGATCTGAAGATATGGAAAGCATATGCATTAAATTTGCAGATGACTCAAAGCTGGAGGGGATGAGAGAATTAAGGTTCAAGATGATCTCGACAGTCAAGAATGCTGGGTCAAAAGCAACCAGATGAAATGTAGCATCAATAAATCTAATGTCTTGAATGTAGTTTCCAAAAATCAGTTGCACAAGAACAGGATGAGAGCAACCTGGCTGGACTGCAATTCACATAAAAAAAGATCAGGAGGTTTTAGTCTGCCTCAAGTTCAACGTGAGCCAGCTGAGTGATGTGGCGGGCTGGGGAGGGAAAAGAAACTTACAAAACACTCAAGCGAAAGCTTATGTTGCATTAACCCTTGGTGATGAGGGGAGAGAAAGAGATGATACTCTTTGTCATGGAGTGCGATACCCAGAAGGGATACTAACTTTAAGAACTGATCCTTACTGAGAACTCAACATGCACCAGGAAGTACATCAGTTCATAAAATCTTCACAACATCTCTACGAGGTTACAGGCCAGGAGAGCAGGGTGCAGAGGGTGGATTTGCTTGCTTGTCCTAGCTCACACAGCTAGTGGGTGGTGGATCCGTGCTCTTGACCACCCCACTCTGTTGCCTTTCTGTTAGACAACACCTTGTCTACTTTCTCTTCCCCATTTCACAGATGAGGAGACAGGACCGGAACTGTGAGGACAATCTGTCTATAGTTAGGCAGTGAGCTGACTGCAGACTCAGGCTCTCCTGGGACCCTCTTCAGTCCTCCTTCCCTCTGCCATGCTGGTTGGTTGCCATCCTGTTAGAGGGTTGAATACTTACGCTTAAAGATCTAAAGACTTCATTAAATTTCATGTGGCACTTACTCCACAATGTATCCCACCTTACCCTGCCTTATCACACATAGTATAATGCAGAAGATTTAGTTATTCCTCTGTCCTGCGGAGTCCCACTCAAGGACGACAATTACCATGGCTCATTGAACTCCAGTGAGATATTCACAGTACAGAGGACATTGAGACCCTCACGGTACGACCCTCTACTATGTGTCTCCGTTTATGTTTCTAGGTGTTTTTAAAAATGGTTTTCCAGTTAAACTGCTCATGGCCACCTCTCAGTCTTTGACTTCTTTCTAATTTGTCATAATTAACTAGGCTTTCAAATTAAACAGAACATTAATTGTGTATCTGCTATGTGCCAGGCACATTGCCAGGTCTTCCAAATATATTATCTCAGTTAAAATTATAACAACCTCGTGAGGTGGGTTACTGTTATCCTGATATCACAAAGAGAAAATTGACTGAATAGGGTGACCAACATGTGCTAATTTGCCCAGAATGGAGTGATCTCCTAGGACATGGGATTTGCGGTTTTAAAACCAGGACAGACCAGGGCAATTTGGGATTGGTTAGTCACCTTAGACACTAACTTTCCTGAGGTCACACAGCTAGAAAGTGGCTGAGCCAGGATTTAAAATCAGTTCTCCTGATACTAAATAAAATCTTGGCAGAAATGAATGTAAAGGAAGAGTAAATAATAGACTCCGGGTGACTTTCTGGCCTCTGCTCAGCGTCCTTAAAGACTTGTTTTGCTTACTTCCTTATTTTCAGTTCTATGTCAGAAAACCAGGTTCCTCCATATGTGAAACAAAGAGGAGAGTATCTACTTCCTGGGGCAGTTCTGAGCCCTGAGTGTTTAGAAAGAACTTGGCTAGCATTGCAGGGGTTCAAGAAGACTTCATTCCTTCCCTCTTCTCTGGCTTACATGGCCTGGATAGCTAAGCTGAGTTTTAGAGATGAGGAATTAATGGCACAGGGCTCAGATCTTAGAAAGCAATTCAACTGTAGTGCTGTGATGAATTTGGGGGTATCGTATGTTAAGACAGACATTGACCAACTAGGATGTGTTGGACATGGCAAGGAAAGGTGACCCCAGTGATGAGGGACCAATGAATGAAGGCCCCCAAGAAAAGAACAAAGGAACTGAGGAAGAACAGACAACGGAAGGCAGACAGGGAGGCTGAGTTCTAGCCTTTAACGTGCTGTCGTGGGAAAGAAGATACCCAAGCTGTGAGGCCCTAGAGACCCATCCAAAACCAAGGGCAAAGTTACTGGGAGGCAGTTCTGGCTCAATGTCAGAAAAACTTTCCAACGATAAGATCAACAGAAAGCACTTTCTCAGAGGAAGATGACCTTCCTTCCCATCACAGGGACCAGGAAGGGGAGGCTGGGTGACCACTGCCAAGGGCTCTGTGGAGGGCATTCCTATAGTGAATATGAGGCTGGGCTAGACAAGCTCTCAGCTCCCTTCCAATTCTAGGACCCTCCAGCAGCCATTGGCTCCCTTCCCTACAACTGTAAATATTTGTGCGTTCCCAAGTTATAAAGTAGAGCTCTTGGCTTACAAAGGTCAGGACGACAAGGAACAATTTGCTTAGTGTTTCTTTAGGCTGTGTTGCCAAGACTTCTTGTCAACTGTGTTTGGAGTGGACACAAGCTGCAGGAGGTAGATAGATAGATTTGGTGAAGGGAGGATTATTCAAGAGGAAAGGATGCAAATGAAGATCATTCAAGAAAGCAGAAGCCAACCCAGAAAGGCAAGGACTCTTCCTCTGTGTGGCCACAGTATGTCACAGCAGAGCCCTGGCTCTCCTGGGTAGGTTCAGCCTTGGGGGCTTTTGTCCCCTTCCATAGGGCTTCCTATGGGAGTCATAAGGGTTACCCCCACCTCAGTGCCATGAGACAACACCCTTTGGCTTTGATCTGCGGACTAATTCTCCATGCCCATCTATGGGGATGAGGATGGAAGGGAGGATCACGTACTAAGTCAGGTTTTGGTGCCCACAGAAGCAGGCCTGAGTTTCAGCTCCCTTCCTGGGAGCTGATGCAGGGTGGGGTAGGGAGATGACAGGAGCACGTGGTGATTGGAAGTTGGAAGGGAGCCTTATTTTTGTTGCTGGCCTTTTGTTCCTTCTCAGTCTGGCTCCTCCACCACTGTGCTGTCATTCTCCTAAAAACAATCTGAGCAGGTTACTTCCCCACACCTTTCAAAGGAGCCCCTCCCCATTGTCCATCAACACAACCTACTTTCCCAGGAGTGTGTCCTTTCCCACATGCCATTTCCTGGTCCAGAAAGCTTCTCTTGTCTTTGCACTTCAGCTTCCTCATCTGAAAATTGGGGTAAAAATAGCATCTGGGCTGGGTGCAGTGGCTCATGCCTATAGTCCCTGCACTTTGGGAGGCCAAGGCAGGAGGATAGCTAAAGAAAAAAGCATCTGCCTCATAAGATTGTAAGGATTCTATGAATGCGTATGTGTAGGGCCCTTAGAATAGCACCAGACATTTTGGGTTAGCTATTTCTGTTACCGTTTTGCTAGGGTGGCCAACTCCTACTCATCCTGGGAGACACCGCATCACCTCCTCTGTGAAGACTTCCTTGTTCTACTCAGACAAAGCTTTTGGTTTTTGGTTTGGTTTCGTTTCATTTTTCTCTTGTTGTTTTGTTTTGCTGTTTACTTGGGGATTCCATGACGTTTATTTTTCAAGACGTTTTGTTGTTGTAATTAGCCTACATGCTGGTCTTTCCCATTAGACTGGAGCTCCTTGGAGTGGGCAGAAACAGGTCTTACTCTGCCCTCGGTGGCCAGCATGACGTCTGGCACCTGGCAAGGGCTTCAGAAACTATTGTTTCCCAAAGGAATGGAAAAATGAATAGATTAGAAAGCACCTCAGTGGTCCAGGGATCTGTTCCGTGGTGCTTATTAGGATGATGTTGTCCCAGCCTCAAGAGACCTGCTCCTTTCCGCACCTCCACCTCTGTCCCTCCCCTTCATCTTCACGTCATTGGAGAGACATTTCATTTTCCCACTTCCTCAAAACGTTTTGAATTTGGAAAATAGCAATCGTTTAGGAAAATGGGTAATTACCAAAGGCACAATCATGGAAAACATGTAACTCCTTGAGTCTTACTGAAATGTCAAGGACTTGATTAGAGGGAGCCCCGGCCCTGGTGATCTGAAGAAAATATGATCTGTTTGTCCTAGAGGGGAAAGAAGGATCACTCTTTATTTACAAACCAGCCAGGCTAATCCCTTCTGACAATATGGGAAGTCATTCTGCTCTGCCGAAGCACTGTTTCAGGGCTCCCTTAAGGAAGAACTATCTTCTACTCAATTAAAGCAAAGCCTGAACTCGCTTTGACCCCGTCATTCCACAGCCAGGAAAGCAGGCTCCGCTCCTTCCAGCAGGGTGGCTGCCCGGGCTCCAGGCCGAACTCTTTTTCATCAGGATGTCTCAAGCATTTACTGGGGTGAGAAACTGGGGAGTGGAAACCATCCCTCCCTGGTTCCTTCAGCCTGGCCCAGCCTTGGGTGCTAAGAAAGAGAGCTGCCGGAGAGGGAGATGGATAAAGTGTCCCTCGGGCCACCTCGGCCTGCCCAGCTCCTGGGGAGGCCCCAGCAGTCAGAATCAATGAGCAGCCACCAGCAGCAGGTAGGGGTGTCCCTGAAAGGCCTTCAATGCCCCACCTGTTTCCCCTGTCCCCTGCTCTATGTAGGTCAGTGCCTCCAACTCAGACCTGCCTGCCAAGCCCTGCCTCTGTCTGCAGGAGTGAGCAGTACCATTATTTACTGGAGACCAAAGCAAGACAGGCCGCATAGATGATCTTACTGGAAAACCACACACTCAGCCAGTCCCCCCTCCCCTTCTCTTCCCCAAACACCACCAACCCCCAGGGAGGGAAAGAGCTTAGGCAGGCCAACTGCTGTAGGAAGCGGTACTTTAGCTGGGAAGATCATCTATACAGAAAAGCATAATTTTCTTCTTGCTCCTCTCAATTACAAAATAATAAGATTGTTAAAAATCCAATAGCATGAATGTCAATATTGGCAGGGACAGCCACAGGAAATTTAATTGCACAATGGGTGCCAGTTAAAGATGGTATGTGCTCTTCTCGGCTTTTCTTAATTCTAATTAGGATAAAATTTACTGATCTTACAGACTCACAAACAGAGGGTTGTCACTCCGCCAGGAATGGATCCTAACACTCTTGGCTTCCTTTTCTGAGCCTCTTGCCTTTTTTTTTCTTCCTCAAAACATCATCCCTGATTGGGACTTTTAGCTGATTTTGAACATCAGCTCTCCGGTTTCTTTGGCATGTCAGAGGGCCAGATGTTTTTTATTTGAGAGCAAATTGACACATTAAATTACACTGTGCAAACATTAAAGCCAGCCGAGGGTAAACAGGCCGAGATTCATTGAATTTTACGGGTCACAATAATGTTTATGTAATTTAACAAATTCCTGCCCTGCTGCTGAGTCTCTCCAAGAAGTATTAATGTAAGAAAGATGAGACCTGCCCCGAGGCTGTCGTCCCATCCACCTCACTGCGGCCTCTCAGAACCCTTGCCCAGCAGGTTTTAGAGTTGAGTAACTGAGTTCCCCTATGCAGAATTACTGCTTAGTCTGGCTCTGTCTTAAAGACACAGCCTAGTTTCTTCCACATGAAGCCTGATGAAATACTCTTGGTGCTGGACATCTGCTGAGTTTGCCTGTCCGGGATGCCTCCACTCCTACTTTTGATAGTGGCCCTATGATTTTTCTCTAGGAATCATCATCCCATCCCATTTTCAGTTTCCCCAGTTCCTCTGGGGAAGATCCCACTCTCCGGCTCCAGGGATGAGCATGTGCCTCAGGCCTGGTCCATCGGGGCCTTGCATCCCGCCCGTGGCCTTGGTGATTGGTTCAGAGATGGGAACGAGATCACATCTGGGTCAATGAGCATCCACCCCAGGACTTTCACAAAACTGGCAGAATAAGGAGCTCTCTTTCCACCAGTCTTAAGTGGTAAAATGTAAGTTGGGAGCTGCTGGGCGCCATCTTGCCACCAGTTGGAAATGGCTGTTGGGAATGAGGCCAACACAGAAGAAAGTACAAACGGAGAAGGGCACATTCCCAGTGAGATTTTTTGAGCCCCTGGGTCCAATTACAGCTGAAGTCTAACCTGGGGTTTTTGATTGTGTGAGTTAACAAATCCACTGTTTTGGTTAAGCCAGTTTGAGTTGAATCTCTATCATTTTCACCTTTTATTCAACAAAACAAAAGATTCCCCTATAGGTCTCTGTAGAGAATAGGACCTCTCCTCCACATTCCATGTGACACTGGGCTCCATGCTCACCTCTGACTCCCTAAAGCATTCCTAAGACTTCCTCCACCTCCTCTCCAGTCAGGCTGTTCTGTTCCTAAACACACACTGCGTATCTCACCTTGCTGCCACTTTATTTTCCTCCTGTTGCCTGCAGTGCCATTGTCCCCTATCTACCACCCATCCTCTAGGGCCAGGCTGAATTCTCCTTTCCACAAAGACAACTCCCTACCACTCAGAACTCCCTCCTCTTAACTCCCAGAGGGCCTCAGTAAGTTCCACACCTCCTGGCCCTTAATTATATAAATTAAAAGTTATATTAATTATATTAATGTTTTGTTGCTTCTTGTATTGTATGGTTGTGTCTTCTCTTCTGTCTATTTATAGCTAGAAAAATGTCTGGCATAATTCTGGGCAAATGAAATCACAGATTATTAATATTTAAAGGTACCTTACAGATCATAAAAATCACCCTGCCCCCACAATTAGACAGATGAGGAAACTGAGACTCAGAGAAGTGAATTGACTGACCCAAGGTCACACAGCTGGTTTATTGCCAGACCAGAGATAAAATCGCAGCTCAGTGTTCTTTCCACAACACGGAGCTCTATCAATTTGCTTGATTGATTTTCCAGTGAAGCATATGTAGAGTTTGAATTGGGTTGGCATATTACCATATACTAATGGTACTAAGTCAGCACATTCAGAAGAAAGAACAGTAGACTTAAGAGAATCAAAAGGTATGTTTTCAAGTTCCAGCTGGGCTGCACGACCTTGGACAAGTCCTTTCACCCTTCTGGATCTCTATTTTCACAATAGCAAAAAATGAGGGTCTTGAACCAGGTCTGAGGACAAGTACTTTTTTTTGTGAGCCACCTCCCAGTGACTGATGGGGCAGCCCACAGCGCTGCGTGGGAAAGATCTGAAAGTGTATCTGAGCTCAGCAGGAAGAAGTGCTTTGAGTGATCAGCACTGTCTCTCTCAAGTTTGGGAGCCGGGGTCAGGGAATGTCAGGAAGCACTCCAGGTTGTGCTTCTTTAGATGATTTTTGAGGTCTTTCCTACCCTGTCATTTGAGGTCATTTAAGTTGTGGTGAAAATGCAAATACAGAGCTCAGATACAACTTCAGGACCCCCATCCTGTTCTACCAACAGTGGCCTCCCTCTCACACCATGAAACTTCTGGACTCCAGGGACCCACAGCTGCACCCAACGAATTTCACTTTGGCCTGATCTTGGATCCACTGAGCAACAGAAATTTGGGATGTGAATTTGGTGGAGCTGGTGTGGACTAGGTCAAGCAATGAGAAAGGACACAGGATCATGGAGAGAAGTGGATGAGGGGAAGTCGGGGACCTGAGAACTCACTTCTATGTTTGCAGTGTTCAGCCCCTGGTAAGAGACCTCCTCCTGACATCCAAGGGGAAGCATGGATGTGGTACAGAGAGCCCCACAACTCTGGTCTGGGCTCCCGCAGAAGGCCAGGGGCCAGCACACAAAGGCCACTGTGAGGAGCAGACATCCGATGGACCAGCTTCTGAGGTGTCAGAGAGAGACTGACTCAAAGGCTCCATCCCACATCTGAAGGTCTGGACTTTCACCGGGAGCTCTTTCTTCCTTATTTTATGTAAACTTCAAGTGGAGATCGTAGTCCTAATACTGCAGTGCTATAATGACTGAAATAATTTATATAAAGTGCCCGACACAGAGAGCTGATAAATGCCCAACAACGCACTTTCTTCATTCACCCCAACTTTATTTTTTTCTTTTCTTTTCTTTTTCTTTTTTTTTTTTTTTTGTGACTGAGTTTCACTCTTGTTGCCCAGGCTGGAGTGAAATGGCACTATCTCGGCTCACCGCAACCTCCATCTCCCGGGTTCAAGCGATTCTCCTGCCTCAGCCTCCTGAGTAGCTAGGATTACAGGCATGCACCACCATGCCTGGCTAATTTTGTATTTTTAGAAGAGACGGGGTTTCTCCATGTTAGTCAGGCTGGTCTCGAACTCCTGACCTCAGGTGATCCACCTGCCTTGGCCTCCCAAAGTGCTGGAATTACAGGCATGAGCCACCGTGCCTGGCAACTTTATTTCTTTCTAAAGACACTCAAACATTCATTGAACATGCATGCTCCTGTGTGCTGGGTGTGCTAGAGATGCAAAATTGAGTGAGACACATATTACTTGGCTCTCTTTCAGTTACAAGTGGCAGGAATAAAATCTAAAGTAGTTATAGGAAAAGAAAGGAAGGAAGGAAGGAACAAACGAACGAACAAATGAAGGAAGGAAGGAAGGGAGTGGGGAGGGAAAGAGAAAGAAAGAAAAGAGAGAGAAAGAAAGAGAGAGAGAGAGAAGGAGGGAGGGAGGGAGGAAAGAAGGAAGGGGAGAGAGAAAGAAGGAAAGAAAGAAAGAAAAAGAAGAAAGAAAGAAAGAAAAAGAAAGAAAAGAGAAAGAAAGAAACAAAGAAAGAAAGAAACAAAGAAAGAAAGAGAATAGAGATTATTTCTATTCGCTTGTAGAAGTAATCTACCTACCTTCAGGATAGCTGTATCCAGAAACTCAAATGATAGCATTGAAGATGGCCATCTCTCTCTCTCCCACCTCCCTTTATCTCTCCTACTGGCTCTCTACATGTCACAGGCAAGATGAGTATTGGAAGCCCTGCCACTTTAGCAAGCCCAGAGCAGAAGGAAGGAAGGCTTCTGACTGGCCTGGCCTCGGGTCATGTGGCCAGGGAGCAGGCAGGATCAGCCCCATCCAATCCTGGTGGAAAGAATTCTCTATAGGAAGGAAAGGTTCTACTCTAAGAGGCAACAAGTAAGCACAGCTCAGTGAAGTAAAACCACAGAGGTATTTACATCATTGTTTCTGGAGAGGAGGCATTTCCTCTTTTAGGAAACTCACATGCACACTGGAGTCCCTCTGGATTTTCATACCAAGTGCGTCCTCTTCCCCCCCCCTCCTTCTCCTCGACCCCCTCACCATCCCCACCACCCCCATGAGGCAGGGATGGTTACAATTCCTAGTTGACACTTAGTCCCTGCCTGTCCAGGGGCAGGGAGCCAATGGCAGTGTAACCGGCAGGTCTCTGGGTCTCTAGTTTTCTCCAGAGAGCACAATGACATGATGCTGACCGCACCGGCTGTGGACCGGGGCCCAGCAGTGCAGATGCTTCTGAGGCTTGTGGTTTAGTTCCAGCCAATGTCAACTTCTTTCTGTCTAACTTTAGAAATCCATGGTTGGCTTCCCTTGCATCAAAGAAGTCAAAGTATTCAACTCCAGAGGGTGTGCATTTTTAAAATGAAAACAATAACAACAAAATCAAAACAAAACCAGAAAGAGGAAAAGACAATCCAATGATCTTTTGGAGTCAGAGAGACTGTGCACAGAGAGCCCTGAGCTTCACAGAAATGCTCCATGACGGTGGTGAGCCTGAATTAAACATATCTCCTCTGTTTTTAAAGCTAAAAAAAAATCCTAAATGACATTTAATTAGTAGACCTACTTCTTTCCTTCCCATCAAAGCCAAGTGTTTCATGCAGAGCTACATTTCCTAAAAAGGCCCAGGGCTGGAAGCTGAGCTCCTTCACCTTGCGCATGATTCTACCCTGCAGACAGCATTCCCTCCCCAGTCCTCACGGCTGATCTGATGAGTGTTGGTGAGAGAGCAAAGGGGGAAAAGAGTGCCCAGGGGATGTCCCCCACCCGAGGAAGAGGGGTGGCCATCAGGAAATCTGGCCAGATTCCCACTTTGTGCTTTCACTTGCTATGCCAATTTGAACAAGTGCCTGAGCTTTCTAGCCTCTGTTTCCTCATCTGTTAAAAGTGGGGAGTCCTGATACCTGGCCAGGCCACCTCATGGCATAAGATGTGGGCATTTTGAAAAACACTAAACCCTCTACAAAAGGATGAAATTGTTGCTAGTCAATCCCATGCCTTGAGAGGCCAGCAACAAAAACTTTCCCTTCTGATTCCAGAAGATCCTTTTCTTTTTGTTTAAGCATCGCTTCCCCTTTCTCCTGCCTTGTCCGTCTCCTTGGTTCTTCTCTTCCTTCCCCCCTTGTCCTGTGGGCACGTCATCTATCTGGTTTCCCAGCAATGGGAAGCTCAGAGAGGCGGTGTGAAGGCAATGCTGGCACTAGGGAGGTGGGGGTTCCCGAAAGGACTGAACTGGACTTGTGTAGGTGTCATAACTCGGAACCTCTATTTGTGTATCTTTTCCAGGTCATCTGGCCCTCCTCCCTCCCCTTGGACATGAGGGCTGTAAGAAAGCTTTAGTCCTTTTAGATCCAACCGGTGGCGTAACCCTCCAGGAAATTTTCCTCTGTTGGCTGCCCAAGTTGGCCAGACAACTTATCCTCTGATTGGTGGGGTCACACATCATTCCAAGGGAATGGTTATTTTTTCTGAAGGCCATGACAGTGAAGGAGAGGGAGGAGCCTTAAAATAAAATACACATAGACTCAGAGAAGACCAGCATGTAACACTGATGGGCTTACACAGACTTCAGGATTAATTTATAGACACTTCTGAAGTTAAAGTGACTCGTTCAGGCAGCTGAGGACAGGACAGGCCCACAGGCTTCCCAGGCACCCAATCTGCTGAGCCTTTCTTTCCATAGTTCCAGCTAATGCAGAGAAAGAAAAGCACTGACCACAGCCCCACTGTGATTAAGCCCTAGGTGTGGGCACTCAAGACTCCTGGAATCAGAGTCCTATGTTTTTGTTTTTTAACTTCCTTTGTTTTTCCTTTTAAAATTGGCTCAAAATTGACACACAGTGAAATGCACATACGTTATCTTTGGATAAACATGTATACCATGTCAACCAAGGTATAGAACACTTCCATTGCCTCAGAAAGTTCTTTTGTGTCCCTTCCACTCATATCCACCTCAAAGGCAACCATTCTGATTTTTATCACCAGGGCTGAGTTTTGCCTACCCTAGGTCTTCACATAAATGGAAAGCAAACTATACTTGTTCTTTTCTGTACTTTGCTTTCATGATGTCCGTGAGATTCATTCATGTTGTTCTGTGCATTGGTGATTTATTCCAATCTCTGCTGGGTACTGTTCCAGTACATGAAGATACCACAAATTGTTTATCCAGTAGCTCTGTTCATGGACATTTTGGTTGTTTTTAGTTTTTGGCTATTGTGAATTAAACCATAATAATGATCATTCATATACAAGTAGTTATGTAGACATATTTTTGTTTCTCCTGGATAAATACCTATTGATGGAATTGCTAGGTCACAAGTAGGCAAACGATTCAATTAATAAGAAATGTATAATTGAAGTGGTTGTACTATTTTACACTCACTGGCGGTGGATGAGGGTTCCAGTTGCTCCAGATCCTCACTAACATTTCATGTTGTCAGTCTTTATCCTGATGTGTGCGTAATAGTAGCTCATTGTAGTCTTAATTTGCATTCCCCTGATGATTAATGATGTTGAACACTGCTTCATGTGTTTATTGGCTATTTTTATGCCCCTAGGTCACAAATACATTCTCCTAGGTTTTCTCCAAAAATTTTTATAGTTTTAGCTCTTATCATTAGGTCTATGATATGTCTAGAATTAATGTTTGTGTGTGGTGATACATAGGGCCCTAAGTTTATTTTTACCATAGATTTATCCAGTTGTTTGATATTTGTTGCAAAGACTTTCATTGCCCTGTTAAGTTGGTTTAGCACTTTGATTGAAAATCCATTCATGGTATATATGTGGGTCTATTTCTGGTCTTTCTATTCTGTTCCATTACATGTCTTTCCTTATACCAATACCACACTGTCTTGATTATGTGGCTTGACTGTAAGTCCTGAAGTCAGGTGGTATAAATTTGTCTTTCTTTTTCAATATTGTTTGACAATTCTTTAGCTTTGTTTTTCCATATAAATTCATAATGACATGTTTCTTGTCATTTTCTACAAAAACATTTTGAGATTCTCTTTGGGATTGCTTTAATCCATAGATATATTTGGGAAGACTTGACATCTTACCAATATTGAGGTTTTCAGTTTATGAATATGGAATAGCTCCTCACTTATAAGGTCTATTTAAATGTCTTTTAGCAATATTTTGTCACTTTATGACAAATATTCTTTATATTTTGTTACATTTATTCCTAAGTATTTTGTGTTTTTAGATATTAATGTAAAATGGCTTTAAAAATTTTAATTTTTCAATTTTTTGCTGCTAGTATATAGAAAGACAGTAGACTTTTGTATGATCTTGTATCCTGTGACCTTTAAAAATTCAGTTATTAGTTGCTTTGTTGAGTAAGTGGTTTAAATTTAAGCTTTTGTGCATAAAAAATGATACTGTCTATAAAGACAGTTTTACCTCTTTTGTTCAAATTTTAATGCCTTTTATTTCTTTATTGTTCTACTATTGCACTGTCTAGTATTTCCAGCACAGTGATGAATAAAAGTGGTAAGAATAGACATTCTTGCCTTATTTCCATCTTGGGGGGAAGCATTTAATATTTTATATTAAGTTATATTTATATAAAGTGTGAGTTTTTGACATATCCTTTATTAAACTGAGGAAATTATCTTCTCTTCCTAGTTTGATAAGATTTTTATTAGGATTGGATGTTGAATTTGCCAAATTATTTTTAGGGATCTATGGAGATGATCACATATTTTTTTTCCTTTCACATTTTTTTTTCCTTTATTTAATCAATATTGTGAATTACATTGTTTGCCTTTTCAAATGTTAAATTAACTTTACATTCCCAGGACAAACCCCACTTGGCCATGATGTATTATCTTTTTGTGTTACTAAATTCACTTTGTGAATTTTTTATTAAGACATTTTATATCTGTGTCTATGAAAGATGTTGGTATGTACTTTTGTCTTTGTCAATTCTGGTATCAGGATTATGCTGGCCTCATAAAGTGAGCTGGGAAGTGCTCTCTCATTTTTTTTTCTTCTAAAAGCATTCTTTAATAAGATTAATATTATTCTTTCCTAAAGTATTTGATGAAATTAATGAGTGAGATCATCAGACACTGGAGTTTTCATGGTTAGAAGATTTTTACATTAAAGTCCATCTTTTTAACAGATACAGAGCTGTTCAATTTTTTTGTCTCTTTTTATGTCAGTTTTGGTGAGTTGTGCTTTTCAGATAATTTGTCCATTCTACCTACGTTATAAAATTTGATAGTATTGCTGTTCATAACATCATCTTATTATCCTTGAAGTGTTTGTAAGATCTGTAGTGATGTCACTTTTCTCTCTCTCCCTCTCTCTGTCTCTTTCTCCCTCTCTCTCTACATGTATATATACATACACACACACACACACACACACACGTATATATTTGCAATTTATATTTCTTTTTTCTCAACTAGTCTTACTAAAGCTTTATCAATTTTGTTCACCTTTTAAAAGAACCAGTATTTTCTTTGCTAGTTTTATCCATTGTTCTTCAATTTTCTATTCATTATTATCATCTCTAATCTTTATTATTTCTTTCTAATTCTGGGTTTTTTTTTTCTTTTTGTAGCTTCTTAAAGTAGATGTTTAGATCTTTTTTTCTATTACAAGCATTTATTTATTTATTTATTTATTTTTTTGAGATGGAGTCTAGCTCTGTTGCCCAGGCTGGAGTGCGGTGGCGCGATCTCGGTTCACTGCAAGTTCTGCCTCCCAGGTTCACGCCATTCTCCCACCTCAGCCTCCCGAGTAGCTGGGATTACAGTCACCCGCCACCATGCCTGGCTAATTTTTTGTATTTTAGTAGAGATGGGGTTTCACCATGTAAGCCAGGATGGTCTTGATCTCCTGACCTCATTGATCCGCCCGCCTCAGCCTCCCAAAGTGCTGGGATTACAGGTGTGAGCCACTGTGCCTGGCCAAGCATTTAAATACATAGTTCAAGCACTACTTTAGCTATATCCCACAAGTCTTGATATGCTGCATTTTCATTTTTGTTCTGTTTAAAATATTTTCTAATTTTTCTTACAATTGCTTTTTTATGCAAAAATGTGTTGTTAATCTCCAAATATTTGGGAGTTTTCTAAATATATAAATATCTTATTGCCATTGATTTCTTATTTCATTCCATTCTAGTCAGAGGACATACTATATATGATGTCAATCCTTTCAAATGTATTGATATGCATCTTTTGGGCCAGCACTTGGTCTGTTTTATTGATTGCTTCTTTGTACCTGAAAAGAATATGTACTCTGCAGGTGTGGGGTATAGTGATTCATAAATATCAGTAAGTTCAAGGCTGTTGGTACTGTTATTTAAATCTTTTTATGCTTACTGATTATTTTTTGTGGGGAGGTGCTGGTGGTTTTAACATGTTATGAGAGAAGAATATTAATGTCTCCAACTACGGTTGTTCACTTTTCTAGCTCTGCCTTTAGTTCTCTATGTTTTTCTTCACATATTTTTAAACTCTATTATTATATGTATCACATTACAATTACAATTTCTATGTCTTTCTAATGAATTACCCCCTATATCATTGTGAAATGATAATTCTTCTTGTCTTAATGCCAGTCAAGCTGTCTTCTGCTAATGTGTCTTTTTTAATACTTCTACTTTTATTGATCTGTGTCTTCGTATTTAGAGTTTGTCCACATATTTTCCACTTCCAATGATCTCCATTTCTTTTTGCAGATTTGAGTTTTCTTTTCTTTCATCCTGAAGAACTTCTGCTGGTAACACATTCTCTCAGCCTTTACTTATTTGAAACTGCCTTTATTTTGTCCTCACTTTTGAATACTATTTTCACTTGATACAGAGTACTGAGTACATCAGTATTTTCTTTCAGTATTTTAAAGATGCCATTTCATTTTTAGTGCTTTAAATTGTCATTCTGTTGTATTTAAAAGGCATTACTATTATAGTTTCTCCTGAGTATGTGATATGTCTTCTTTCTTATGACTGTTTTCAATGTATCTCTTGATTTTTGGTTTTCAGCAGATTCACTATGATGTGCCTAGGTATAGTTATTTCTTCATATTTATTTTACTTGGGATTCACTGACCTTCTTGCATCTGTAGTTTGATGTTTTTCACCAAGTCGAAAGATTTTCAGCCATTATTTTTTCATAATTTTTTCTATCCCTTTTTTCCCTGTGTTTTTCAGATTGAATTTCTATCGATATGTCATCAAGTCACTGAATCTTTCTTCCGTAATTTCCAATCTGCTATTAAATCCATCCAGTGAATTTTTTATTTCAATTATTCTTTTCAGTTTTAATAGATTCATTTTGTTATTTTTTTATTTCTCTTCTGAGATTCCCTATCCACTCATTGTGACCATACTTTCCTTAATTTTCTTGAACAAACTTAAAATAGATGCTTTAAAATTATCATCTGTTAGTTCCAACATGTGAGACATCTTGGTATCTTTTTCTATGGACTGTTTTTCCTCTTTGTCTTAAACCACATTTTCTTTTTCTTGTAATGTCTAGTAATTCTTTTAAATGTATACTGGACATCGTGGGTGATACGTCGTAAAGACTTTATATTCTGCCATCTTCTTTTGAATTTTTGTCCTGGAAGGCAGTTAAGTTGCTGGATGGTTGCTTTGAACTCATGGAGGCTTAACTTTTCACTTGTTTATACAGCATGTAATATTTGGTTTACCTTAGTTTTAGGGTGAATTCCTTGGTTCTGGAATATAAATTTTGTTCTGCTAACTTGGTAGAAATAAAACTGCGGATTTTATCTCTGCAGCTGCAGGTGAGCCACAGCTGAACTCTCTGCTCAGCTTTATGGACTTCTAGCTGATGTTTCTGCTGGGCTTCTTGATGTCATTCCCATGCGGGCACAGTTCAGGGGTCAGTCAATAATTTGTGGGTCATTTATATGCAGATTTTGAGGCTTCTTCCTCAGAGGTTCTTTTTCAGGATGTCTCCCCTTTATTCCAGGTTCTTCTGGCGCCCTTGAGCTCCAACCTCTGATACCCAAAGTCAGAAAGACCACAGTTTTCTACTTGAGTTCTAGTTACCCCATGCCATGAAAACAGGGGCACTGTGTGCTCAGGGGAAAAGCCAATTAAACATGAATTTCACCCAGTAAGGTTATTTTCTTAAGCTCACTCTAGTTTCTGCCTCATTTTGGCAGCTCTCTAATGCTTTTGAGTGTTTGTTTTTAATACTTTTTTTCATGCATTAAAACTGTTTTTTATGGGATAATCTAATAGAAGCTATTCTGACACTACCAGCATAGGAACTTAGCCACTTCACTATCAAAGTTTTGGAAAAGTGATGCCCAGAGGGAAACAGTGACCTGCCCAATATCACATAGTAGTTATCAGCTGAGCCAAGTCTTGAAACCAGGTTTCTTTGCTACTCTTGTTGTATCTTGCTGCTAGGCGACCTTTAATGCTTTAGAAAGGGCTACTGAATAAGATTCACATAGCGTCAGGAATCCTTATCATAAGTATGTGGAGGAAGTCAAAAAGGAACATGAGAAATTTCGATGTCTAGTAGTTTTAGATCATTCAGAGCCATCAGGGAGCCAGGTAGTAGGTTACAGAGACAGAGGCTCAGCCTGTGGGCACTAAAAGGGACCAGAAATTCCACAGTGCCATGGCTTTAAGTACCACCAAGAGGCTGGTATCTGCCCAGTTTTATATCTGTACTCCAGACCCCCAGGTACCTTAGACTCAATCCATTCAGAACTAAACCATCCCGGTTTTCCCCATCCATGATGCATCTTCTCCTATGCTCCCCAGCTCTGATCAAGGTCTTACCATGAATCTACCTGGTTGTCCAAACTAGAATCTGAGAGCTCGTTCTTGACTCCTCCCTGGTTCGTTGTAGAGATTGACACAGATTCCACATCCTAAAAAGCTCCATCTCTTCCTTTCCATCTCTCTGGGCCCTGCTTTTATTCAGGGTTTCTTTCCTACTCCCTGGTTTATCATGATATGTCCCACGTCTGGTTAACTCCTACACACACCCCTGTCCAAAATTCCTCTATTGCCAGATGCAGATGTGTTGCTCCCTGATCTCTCACAGTCTACTGGGGAAAACAGGCAGATTAACATCTGGCTATAATACATAATGATAAGCCCTAATAGAAACTGTGAACTTAGACGGCATCAAATCCCCTGCATGGGGAACCCTCCTCTCTGCCTACAGGGGAATTCTGAGCAAACATCAAAGGGAGAGGAGTTTTCTCAATTACTCCTGGGCTCTACCCCACCTTGACCAGACACCCCACCTACGCTAAGTCAGGGCGCCTAAAATTGAACATTTTAGCTTCAAGGCGGGTGGGGAGAGAAGAGAAGCTTACATTTCAGACACAAAGAGAATAAAGAACAAAAGAAGCAATCGGGTATTTAAATATTTGTATTAATTAGCACCTAAAATCAGTTTCCTAAAAATAAAGGTAAAAATTCTTCCTGACCATCCTCTCCAAGTGTCTCATTCTAAAAGTGAGAGTAAGACTGACTTCCTGTTTTTAAAACTTCAGAAAGTGGAAAAGGCAGAAGCAAGACGTTGAACAAGACATAGAGCTGCTCAGCACCTTCATTTCCTCCTCCTTAAGGAAGAAGGTGATCATAATCTTCCCAGGCAGCTCATAAGGCTACTGCTTATTTCAAATAAGACAGCAAACGCCAAGGCCCTTTGAGAAATTCAAGATGCGATGACAAGAGGAATTATTATACCAGACACCTTTATGTTCCTTTTGCCTTCTCCGAATCTGTTGCGTCACCCCTCCAAGACTGATTGATATTCCAAAGACACAAAATAACTTAAACAATTCAGAGAGAGGCAGATCTGGAAGGTGGAAGTCTTCAATATTTCCAGGAGACAATGGGAGCCATGAATAATTCTAGGAGACAAGAAGACCATACAGAAATCCTCCTACTTGGTTTCAGTGTCCTTGATAACAAATGCCAAGACAGGCTATGAGATCTGGGAGAGTGGAGACCTGTGTTCTCACCTGATTTAAGGTCAGCATCCCTGGAAAGGATCACACACCCAGATGAGAGGGGAGCATCCTGCTCTACTGCCTCCCTGCTGCACCATGTTGGGCACGTCACGTCACTGCTCTGAGCCTCAGTTTCTGACCCCCCTCCCTCCTTCCCACTTTCCCATAGTTGTTGGGAGGGCAAGAGGAGATCAGGGATGTGGAAGCTCTTTGCAAACTATAAAAGGCTTCATACATTTACATTGTTGTCATCACTATCTGCGTGACTTGTGCTTTGGTGGAATAAGTCCATCTGTGCAAGGCAGGCCTTTGAAGGTATTCTAAGCCCTGCAGGCCTCCAGCGGCCCTCAACGTAAGCCAGTGGTGGAGTATGGTTTTTATCAGGAAGGCTGGCGGGAGACCAGACGCCACATAGCCTGCAGAACCTCAGGATACAGGCCGGCCCCGCCAGGGCTACTTGACCCCAAACCATCCCAGGGTCCTGCTCTGGCCTTTGCAGTCCCCAGTTTCCATGTGGTACTAGGTCTTGGCGTGGTGTGGAGAAGGAGGTGTTCTCTTTCTCTCTGTTGCAAAGGAATATTAGGAAATGCATCCGGATTTAGATTCCCAAATGGAACTCCAAGCTGTCCCCTTAATTGATTTCTTTTGCTTCCCTCAAGTCCTCAAAAACGTGTCGACATCCATTTGGAGTTGCCGTCCACCAGGCGCACACTGGCCAACTTTCTTCAATTAATGAGCTGTGACTGAAATTGAGAGCCTCACTTTCCACAGCCACGGCAGGAGATTGACCCTGCCTTGGCGATTAAACAAAATGTCAGTGCTGTGTCTGTGAAATATAAGTTATTAAAAACTGGCCACTCCAGCTAGCTCGGGCAGCACATTATCACTGATGACTATTGTCTTGGCTGTGGCTGGACATCCCCCGACACTCACCTCCAAATTTGGCCTGTTTGCTGCTTGTGCCTTTGCTCAAGTCAGTCCCCCTGCCCTGCACGCCCTCTCTATAGCTATGTGCTTGTCAAAACACAGCCAGCCTTCAGGACCCAGTTATTTGGATTTTTTATTCATTCAGTAAACATGTGTTGAATGTTCACTGTGCACCAGACTCTTGTCATTTATTCATTTCTATAAAAATGTATTAAATGAACAAGACAAACACCACCTTTATCCTCACAGAGCTCGGAGACTTGGAGGGACACATTTTGAAAGATGACTCTTGGCCGGGTGTGGTGGCTCACACCTGTAATCCCAGCACTTTGGGAGGCTGAGGCAGGCAGATCACTTGAGGTCAGGAGTTCAAGACCAGCTGGCCAACATGGTGAAAACCCGCCTCTACTAAAAATACAAAAATTAACCAGGCATGGCGGTGGGCGTCTGCAGTCTCAGCTATGCAGGAAGCTAAGGCAGGAGAATCAGTTGAACCCAGGAGGCAGAGGTTGCAGTGAGCCGAAATCACACTACTGCACTCCAACCTGGACAACAGAGGGAGAGTCCGTCAAAAAAAAAAAAATTTACTCTAAGGTGGCACAGTGGATTTAGGGCAGTGACAGATATGTATGAGTGCTATGGGGTACTGGGAAGGGGCACTGACTTCTGGAGAAAGTGCTATATTTTTTAAACATTTTTGTAATTAAAAATTTCAAATATTTATTTGGAACTGTTTGACGAACCCCTCGGTGCCCACCACCCAGCTTTAGCATCATCGATCATCTCACAGCCAGCCTTTTATCTCTAATCCTATCTGCCTCCCCACACTCTTGTGTTATTTTGAAGCAAATCCCAGACATCATGTTATTGTCTCCATGAGTCCACACCCCTTCTAATCTGTACTGCTCAGTGGCTTTAGGCCAGCTTTATGTCAATAAGGGAGCCACCAAAGTGTCCAAGGAGCACTGACCAGCCTTGGCGTCAGACAAATCTGAGTTCAAATCCTATTTCCCACACCTGCAAAGCTGCTGACTGTGCAAACGACTTACCTACTCTGGGCCTTGCATTCCTCATGTACAAAATAGGGATACCATTTCTGAGTTTCTAGAGTTGTTCTGATAATTAAATGATGTAAAGTATATAAAGTGCCCAGCATGGCACCTGGCCCTGAATTGGTGCTCCATAAATATTCCCTCCCTTACATCACACACCGGGGCCTGTTGTGGGGTGGGGGGAGGGGGGAGGGATAGCATTAGGAGATACACTTAATGTAAATGACGAGTTAATGGGTGCAGCACACCAACATGGTGCATGTATACATATGTAACAAACCTGCACGTTGTGCACATGTACCCTAGAACTTGAAGTATAATTAAAAAATAAATTAATTAAAAAAATATATTCCCTCCCTTGTCTTGCTGTGTCCTGGGTCACTGTGAGAGTACCGTGAAGCAGCTGAGTATGTTTGACTGATATTTCACTTCGGACATGCTAAGATGTGACTGGACATTCCCAGAGGTCAGACTCCTGACCACAGTATAGGCCCAGCCCAGACAGCTATTACAGTAAGACTTCTTTAATGTCAGCCTCTCTCACCTACTCTTTACATAGTGTGGACTACTCTTTAAGCAGACCACTGGTCCACACTGTGTAAAGAGTAGGTGAGAGAGACTGACATTAAAGAAGTCTTACTGTAATAGCTGTCTGGGCTGGGCCTGAACCACCGTCACGTGAGTTCACTGCAGAGAGATGTTGCTTAAGTTTTGCAAAGTTCAAGTCGTGACATTGGCCATTCCTTTCACACTTCACAGTGCTTTGGGAAGAAGGGAGACTCTAGGCAAGGGAGAATGTGTGCACCTAAACTGAGCACTTGCAAGCTTGCTTTTCAAAGGCTCGACCTGCTTCTGGCTGCTGCGAGCACCAGCCTCCTCTCTACTCTGGGTGGCAGCTGGTGATAAAGCCCCAATAACTCAGACAAATGTGGTTGACGCCAGAGAGGAGTCAAGGGCCTGGCTGCAACGTCTGGGGCCAGCTTGGTCTTGGACCTCGCTGTATGTTTACAAGTTTCCTTTGACAATTCAGTTTTGAAGATGGGCTTCATTAAAGGGCAATTATAGGTTAAGTAACTTGTTGGCTCATTGCCTAATGTGGAAAACTCGACTATGACAATCAGATAATTCTGAGATTAAGCAAGACAGCAATTGCTACTGAAAGAAGAAGCTTAGCAAGAGGATAAAAGACTCTCCAGCCATGACCTCATCCCAGCTGCCCGTCTGGGCAGGAAGTCTGGATTCAAGGGGCCAGCAGGCTCTGGGAACCTCTGGCATCGGGGGTGACCTCTTCTGGGAAAGGAGACCACAAAAGGCAAAGTGCTCTCCCATTGAGTGGCAAGATTCCCCTCTTCCTATAGGGCTTAATTCTCCCAGAGGCCTTCTCCTGGGTGCCAGGAGTGAGCCAAGCTGGTCTGTGCTGTGGCCTCTGTTTGTACCCGGCTGTTTTCCATCAGCCCACCCTTGCTAATACCTCCACTTTCCCTCTCCTTCCACATCTCTGACCATCCATGAAGCTTCCCTAATGCAGAAGGGGTGAATTACCTCAATATTCCTTGAGAACTTGGTGTCAGATAGGAAATTTTCTATTATGTGTCAGAAAATCCCACCCCAAACTATGACTTGTACAGAAAGGGGGATTTATATCCTCATCTACTGATGTAACTAACAGGCTCAGAGGGTGTTGACCTCAGGAGTAGCTGGATCCAGGAGCATTAAACAATGCCCTCTCCTCTGCTTGTCCCTTATAAGCCCCATTTTCAGAGCTCTTTCCACACTGTGGCAAGATGGCCACAGAAGTTCTGGTCCAGCTGGAAAAAAAGCCTTGTTTCCTGATGATTCCTGCCAAAGTTATCTTATTTGACCTGATTGGACCAGTGTAAATCATGTGACTGGGTAAACTTCACATCCTGATTGGATGTTCTTTGGTTAGGTGTATGCTCTACTCTACAGCAGGTGGGAGGCTTATTAGGAGCGCATAGCCTGAGGATAAAGGAGGGACAGACCCTCAAAAGGAAATCAGAGTGCTGTTCTCAAAAGAAGGGGAAAGAGATGCCAAGAACCAAAAATCTAACTAATATACTTCTGGCCTCTGTCATGCATTTATTTATTTATTTTTGTTACTATTATTTATCTTTTTTTTTGTTTCTTGAGACAGAGTCTAGCTCTGTCACCCAGGCTGGAGTGCAGTGGCGCAATCTCGGCTCACTGCAACCTCTGCCTCCCCAGTTCAAGTGATTCTCCTGCCTCAGCCTCCCAAGTAGCTAGGATTAGACATGCACACCACGCCCAGCTAATTTTTGTATTTTTAATAGAGACGGGTTTTCACCATGTTGCCCAGGCTGGTCTCAAACTCCTGACCTCAAGTGATCCACCCACCTCGGCCTCCCAGAGTGCTGGGATTACAGGTGTGAGCCAATACACCCTGCCTGTCATGCGTTTAAATGTTAACTTTGTGATAATCCTGTCTCTCAGGTAGATTTTTAGTTCCTGTGGGGCTGTGGTTCTGAAAAAGTGGTTCCCAACAGGCAGCAACAGCATCACCTGGGAATGTGTTAGGAAGTTTCCGGCCCAATCTGGCTCTCCTTGAGCCCCTGGAGTCCCTCAGGTTGGTGGCCACATGTCCCAGGTCTCCATGCCCCTGCTGCATGGAGGGGTCAGTGCCATCCTGACTTAGCCCAGCTGATATTCACAAGGGCAGCATGGGGTGACAGCGAGAGCTGTGGATTAGCAAGGTCAGAACAAGGCTCCCAGACCTGGCCTGGGCCCTGCAGGACACATTCAACCCTCCTGAGCCTCACTTTCCTCATCTCCGAATGAGAGGCTCGGGAGTAAGGATTCTGGATCCACACTGTATGACACTTGGGTCTGCGGAGCTCTCTGCTGGACCCTGGGCAAGAGGCTGAGGTGGGTGCACGGAAAGATGGAACGGTGGTTCCTGCCTTCGCTGACCTTATAGTTCAGTTACATGCGGAACAGTGACACTCGGGTGACTAAAAACCAAGCCAGCTGCTTCTATTTCCAGGTTCAGGAGCAGGACACAAACACATGAGGCCCTATAAGCAGCAGGATACCACTGTGGGCTTTCTGGAGAGGGTGAGCCTTGAAAAGGGAGTTTGATTAAAAAGTAAAGGGAACACCCTCGAAGGAGGTGGGGAAACTGCTGAGCAAGGGCATGGAGACGGGGTTTTGTCGTGTGTTTGGAAGTGGGGACAAGACTCCCTGGCTCTCCCTTGCTTAATATGACACAGGCTGTGTCTTCCTCCCCGCACCTCGTAAAATCTTGCCTCTTCTGCCCCAGACAGCTGAGGACCTGTTTTTTCAGAGTATGTGCTCAGAATTACTTCTAGGTAGGCTCAGAGATTGGGTGGAGGCGGGGTGAGTGTGATGCTGTGATTAGATTCACCTTCAAGACTGAACCAGCCTCCCCACCGTTCTGATCCAGGCAGCAGCCCCATAACACAAGAGTTAAGAGGAGTTTGGAACGTGGATCTGGACTGTTGAGAGGAGGTGGAAGATGAGAAGTCCTAGGCCAGTGTAGGGAGGGAGAGAGCAGAGGGCATCTCTCATCGATTTGCTCATTTGTTCAATCAACAGCCAAACATTCACTGACTGTCTGCTCTGAGTTAAGGCCTATTCTGGCACTAGGACTGCAGAGCCTCCATAGTTCTGGATATCTGTTAATGCTGAGCGTTTGGAGAGTTTGTCTAAACCCCCCATTTTACAGATGGGAAAACTGAGGCTCAAACCCAAGGCACACAAGAGGTCAGTGGCCTGGCCAAGATAGGCCAGGCCCAGGTATGTTCCCGCCAGCAAAAAGGGAATGACTCCAAGAGGCTGGAGCCTGTATGGACCCAAGCGTCACCTGGCAGGAGAGGGAGAGTAAGCACAGATGCAGCCTCAGGGCCTGAGAGGGGTTGAAGTGTCCAGACGCAGATTCCCAAGAGTGGAACAATTAGCAACAGACGAAATTCAGACAACTGGCCCCAGGGCAAGTTCAACAAACAGCCACCACAGGGCAGAGGTTTCTGGGAGTCTGGCCCCAAGCAGGATGGGGGCAAAGAGACCAGGTACTGTGATTAAGTGCTGGAGGGGTTGGGGTTGTAGCCCCGGAGAAACTGATGTGCCTGGTCCTATGTGACAAAGGCAGGCCTGCAGGGTCCCAGAGTGAGGAGCCAGCCCCTCTGCAGCCCCTTTTGCCAGAGGCCACCGCTGATGCAGGGCTGAGCCTAGGAAAGGGCCCAGCACTAGAGCTGGGATGGAGCAAACCTGTGGCAGATCTGCTGGTGGCCCACAGCTGCAGAGCTGGAGGGCCTCAGCCAATAACAACATCAATATAATAACAAGAAGGATGAGACAAGGCTTACCATGCAACCAGCACTGTGCTAAAAACCTGTGTGCACTGTCTTGGTAAATCCCAGCAACAAGTATATCTCCATATCACAGATGAGGAAACTGAGGCACAGAAAGGTCAGGTCCTTGGTCAAGACCACACAGCTAGCAAGGAATAGAGCTGGACTTAAACACAGGGAGCTGGATTCTAGGGCCCATGTCTTGAAGGAATTCTCATCTCCTTTCTATGGTCCAGCCTTTTGATTATGTACATTTTCAAACATACATGAAAGAAGAGAAAATAGATATATGGACCCGCAGTGTATCTGTCATCCAGCGTCAGTGTCGATCCACATTTTGCAATCTTATTTCTCCACAGACCTCACTATTTTTAGGAGAGGGCTAGGGTATTTTAAAGCAAATCACAGATATCGTATCCTTTCAACCTTAAGCACTTCAGTCTGCATATGGAATAGATAAGCATATTTTTCTTTCTCATACCGACTATGCTGTTATCACACCTAACAAAATCAGCAGTGACTTCTGGATGTCAGGGGTAAGTCTCTCTGATCATCTCCAAGATGGCTTTTTACAATTGCATCCAATCAGGACGCAAATTAGATCCACCCATTGCGTTTCGTTGCTCTGACACTCAGGTCTCTCTGATTCTCAAGTTTCCTCTCCCCACTTTCCCATGCCAACCAGTTGAACCTCCTTTTATAGATGGGAAATGAGGCAGTGTTCGCGGTCTCTTCCAGGACTAGGCCCCAGCCAGCTCTAGTTCATTTCTGCTGCCGCCGTCGTGGCAGACCCTTCTCTTATTTATTCTTTTCTATTTGTGAACTAGCAGAGAAGTTAGCAAGAACGGGCATCCTCAAGCTCTGTGCGTTCTCAGGATATAATTCACTTTAATCTTTTAAGCATTTGACAGTATTTGCTCGAAAGAAGGAGCAACAAGTACATAATTATTGCACTAATTAAGCTGCCAAAACACAAGCGTGAGGCAAGAGCACCTTTGAAACGGGGAGCCCACGACGCATTAGCATCTGCTGTAAGCTTATTAATCACCTAACAGGCAATTAGCAAGCTGTTACTGTTTGAGGCTGCTATGTAAATAAATTCTTGGGTTAATTTCTTCCTCTGATAATAAAGAAAACATTATGAAAATTAGCTAAGCGACAATGTAAATGATCTTCACTGTTAATTATATGACAGCGTTACATATGCAAGGACCCCAGCGCTGATAAGGGACAGGCTCCCTCCTTCCCCATTGCCCATCCCCAGCCCCCACCTTGGCTCTGCCACTTTAAAAATAAAAGTGTTGACACAGGTAAGGAGGGGGAGCTTTGGGGACTGGAGTCACAGCTGTTTGCTTGCAGCTTGCCCAGAGCAACTGCCAACTCCTGCAAACTGGGATGTTTTGTCACCTGAACCTCAAGTGGCCTTGGGCTGGACCTGTGACCCCAGCTGGCAGGAAGGGAGCAAGGAAGGGGCAGAGGACCAGGCCTGGGGTTCTCCCCACCCATGGCGGCCTGCTCCCTGAGGCCTCGCAGCAGTGCTGAATAGACTCCTGGGTTTATGTCATTGTCACATGGGGGAATTCCTGGGTACTACTGCGCATGTGGCATTGCTAGACAGAGGCCACCTAGCTCACCCATCTGGGTCAGGTGTGTGGCATGAGGCAGGTAGAGGCCCTGTAACTCAAGTTCAAATCCTGCCTCCACCACTCAATGTCTGTGTGACCTTGGACAAGTGACCAAACTCCCCTCAGCCTGTTTTTTCATCCGTGAAATGGAGATGATGGTACCAGAACCTGCAGAGGGTCGCTGTGAACAAATATAAGGGATAATTCTCATAAAGCCCTTAGCACAGAGCCTGCCTATGGTGAGCACCGGATACATGCTCACTGGCATTATCATCACTGATCTGGTCATTCCAAAAGACATTGATCATATGCCAAGATCTGTGCCAAGTGCAAGGAACCTCACAGCCTTGCCATCATGAGATGGGAGAGCCAGGGCATGCATGTCAAAATAGCCAGCCCCGCCATGCAGCCAGGCCACGAGCCAGAGGAGAGGGACAGACCAGGGCCCGAGGTGTTGTGGCAAGGTGGGGAAGGGATGAAGCCAGTATCTGGCTTTCTCAGGGGCTGGGTCTTGGGCACTGTTTTGGTTCTAAGCAAGTCCTGTAGTGTAATGGAGGGAGGATGGCTTTGGATCAGATGATGGTTTGTCTTCCCTTAAGGAAGCTCACTGCTCTGAGCCTTGTTTCTCACTTGGTTATGGAAGCAGAGGTAAGTGACAGGAAGCATCCAGCACAAAGCCTGACACGGTGGATGCACCATGAGGATGGGTCCCCTAAATTGTAGGATGGAGGGCAGACCAGAAAGCCTTCCAGCCAGGGTCAGCCTCTGAGACCTTTAAGGTCCTTTGAGCAGGGCAGAGGGGTCTGTGTACTACTGTTGATGGTTGCCCAGATGCCAGCATCTTGCTTGACCAGGTCCTGATGCGTGTTCCCTTACAAAAGCAATTCCCCGAGTTAGTCCTATCAGATACTCAATGAGGAAAGGGGTTCATGGTCAGTTGAGTTAAGGAAACACCCAGTTAAAAAGGTTTCTTTGCCAGGCGTGGTGGCTCATGCCTATAATCCCAGCACTTCGGGAGGCTGAGGCAGGTGGACCACAGGGTCAGGAGTTCAAGACCAGCCTGGCCAACATGGTGAAACCCCATCTCTATTAAAAATACAAAAATTAGCCGGGCAGGGTGGCGGGCGCCTGTAGTCCCAGCTACTCAGGAGGCTGAGGCAGGGAATTGCTTGAAACCAGGAGGAGGAGGTTGCAGCGAGCGGAGATCACGCCATTGCACTCCAGCCCGGGCAACAGAGTGAGACTCTGTCTCAAAAAAAAAAAAAAAAAAAAAAGATTTCTTTGCTGCAGGGCTTTTCTGAGCATCTAAACACTAATATGCCCATATCACAAAGTGCAAATGCTTCCATACATGAAGAGACCCTACAATCAATAACAAGACCAGCAATCTATTTTTTTTTTTTTTTTTTGAGACTAAGTCTTGCTCTGTCGCCCAGGCTGGAGTGCAGTGGCATGATCTTGGCTCACTGCACCCTCCACCTCCCAGGTTCAAGCGATTCTTGTGCTTAGCCTCCTGAGTAGCTGGGATTACAGGTGACTGCCACCACACCCAGCTAATTTTTATATTTTTAGTAGAGACGGGGTTTCACCATGTTGGCCGGGTTGGTCTCGAACTCCTGACCTCAAGTGATCCACCCACCTCAGCTTCCCAAAGTGCTGGGATTACAGGTGTGAGCCACTGTGCCCAGCCTATATTTTTTAAATGGGCAAAAGTGTATTATCTTGTTCCCTGAAGATGCATACAACCTATGACCCAGCAATTCCAGCCCTGGCTATATATACTCTGCTTTAGAAGTTTTTGCCCATGTGCACTAGGAGATATGTACTAGAATGTTCCTAGCCACATTGTAATAACAAAAATTTGAAGGTGACCCACAAAGCCATCAACAGGAGAAAGGGTAAATTGTGGCATATTCATACAATAAAATATGTTACAGCATTGAAAATTAACAAACTGTAGCTATTGTAACATGGACACATTTCAAAAACAATGCTGAGGACTTCGAAAAATGTTGAATAAAATAATATCAGTTATAGAACTATATATATAGTTCAATACCATTTATATAAAGCCTTAAACATATACAATAATATTTTGTTTAAGCAAATATATAATCTCTTGATAGGAAGATAGATAGAAGATAGATAAAGAAGAATGAGCAAAAGTTATAGACAGTTCACAGAAAATAAAATGTAAATGGCATTATATGTAAATGTAAAAAAATGTAAATACTGGAAGAAAAAAGGCTCATTCTCACTATGACTTAACACATGAAAATTAAAATCACAGTGAAATATAATTTTCTACCTTTTACATTGGCAAAGAACAAAAGTGTGATAATGCATTGTGCTGGTAAGGACAGAGGGAAACAGGCTTGCGCCTAAATTGCTGGTGGGAGGGAATCTGGCACAACTACCCTGGAAGGCAATTTGGCAACATTGATCAAAACTGAGAATGCATATTCCCTTTGACCCAACATTCCATTTCTAGGTTTTCTGCCTTAGAGATAACCTCCTAGGATTGCAAAATGACTTGTGTACAAGAGTATTTACCGCCATGATGATTGCAATAGCAAGAGATTAGAAGCATCCTAAATGTGCATTATAGGACATTTAAATAAATTATGGTACATCAGCTGGATGAAGTGCTATATGGTCATTCAAATGCATGAGACGGCTCTATGTGTACTGATAAGGAAAGAGTGCCAAGATACATTGTTATGTAAAAAAGTGCTATGCAGTATAGTATGCTCCCATTCTATGAAAATATGTGCATATATAATTACCTATGTCATATATTTATATGCGTATAGGCTCACCCATGCATGACTGTCTCTTGAAGGCTTCCCAAGAAAACAATGTGTTCCTCTGATGCGGGGACCTGGGTGGTGGGACAGGAGAGGGAAGGAGACTTACTTTCTGCTGCATGTAAATCACAACTCATAGCAGACCTAGCCCGTCCTTTCCACCTTACCTGTCTCTTCTTCCAGCCTCAAGCAGTGACAGCACTGTGTGAGCATCAGCCCACTTCACAGAAGTGCCATCCTGCTCTTGCACTTCCTCTTGCTTCCCCTTCAGGGCATCTCTGTGGACCTTACCACTTCAGGACCACCCCTAGTGCCCACGATTGCCCAACTCAGACACAAGGGAAAATTATCTTCCATGGAGCCAATCTTCAGCCAATTGGAGACTGGACCTGATGGAAATTTCTTCTCACTTGTCCTTTGCTATAGCAACCCTGAAACACAGTTTAATATGGCTTCTCAGGGAACAGTCCCTTGGGATCCAGCAATCAGTTGCACTTAGCGGCAGCCAGCTCAGTGTCAAATTCTCATGTCGGCTCTTCCTCCTCTGTGGCCACTCCCTAACCCTCTCCCTAGGACTGCACTTCTAATCAAGTCATAGCATCTAAGCTCTGTTTTTTAGGGGGCTTGAGCACAGACAAGCTCTTTTGCACCTTTAGATTTCATCCCTTGTAATGTACCTACTAATACATATGTATATAATATACATATTATACACATTAGCATATATGTATGTGCTAATATGCACCTTGAATCTGCAAGAGGGGATAGAGAATAGCATATATACATTTCCTACTCTTGGTTGACTGTGGACCCTTTCTTGGGTACCCGCTGTCTTCTTGGCATTCCATGGGAAACAGTTGGTAATCCACCCCACACTGCTTTGCGTCCCAGTTCTGTCCTCTGGGGCCCCCTAGACGAGCCTCTGCCTTTATTCCATGACAACCACCTCATAAACTGAAGGCCATTATCCTTCTCCTCTTTTCCAGTTAAGGGTCTTCTGCTACCTTAATAAGGTCTCTGACAGGCTCCCCCAGACCCCTTGACAGCTCAGCCGTTCTCCTCTCTACAGTCTTCAAACCTTGATGTGCTTTTTAATCTATGACACCTAGAAATAAATAAAAATCTTGGAAAGTGGCCGATGAGCACAGACAAAAATAAGGCTGTCACTCTTCCGGCTCTGGACGCGTTGGCTCTGCCCAGTCCGTGGAAGAGGAGAGACTTCCCTGTTTAGCGGCTGCATCACACTCTGGCTTCTATTGATCTCGTGGCCAACAGACTCCCCCCGGTCTTTTGCACAAGACCGGCTGCAAGCCAGCCTCCCACATCCTGTACTTAGGCAATCGATTTTTCTGAACCTGAAATGCAAAGCGCACACTCACTCATCCCTGGTAGGCTGTATCCTGCTAGAATCAGCCGCCGGCCCAGGCCTGCCAGGATCATGTGAATCCTAAATTGGCCAGCACAGCACAGGGAGGTGGAGAAATTTGCCCTTAGGCTGGTCTGCCACAAACTGACTGTGTGACTTTGAACAAGTTCTGTGTCTTTGTAGAGTGGGAAGGGGTGATCTCTAAGGTCTCGCCCAGCCTGACACTCTGAAACACTTGAATGATCACTCTCTCTCCCAGCTTTGTGATCAACCTGCCCTCTGTGTCTGCATCTACCAGGCTGCTGATCCAAGTGTGCTGATGAGTTCAGGGCCAAGCACAGACCTTGAAGGCAGGCTACCAGTGACCCCCTCTAGGTGGAAATGGAACCATCCATCAACCTATTTTGGCTAGGTTTGTTAAATGAGCTATGAAACCAGTAGCTGATTTATGACCAGCCTACATTTGGGTCTGTCTTCTGTTTACTATCCTGCCTTTTCTCATCCATTGGCTTGTACATGTGAAAACACCTGGCCGGGCGTGGTGGCTCACACCTGTAATCCCAGCACTTCGGGAGGCGAGGCAGGCGGATCGTGAGGTCAGGAAATTGAGACCATCCTGGCTAACACAGTGAAACCCCGTCTCTACTAAAAATTAGCCAGGCGTAGTGGCGGGCGCCTGTAGTCCCAGCTGCTCGGGAGGCTGAGGCAGGAGAATCACTTGAACCCGGGAGGCAGAGGTTGCAGTGAGCCAAGATTGCGCCACTGCACTCCAGCCTGGGCAACAAAGCGAGACTCTGTCTCAACAAACAAACAAACTAAAAAAAAAAAACACCTAACACAGTGTCTAGCCGGAAGTCTAAGCAAGGTATGTGCACACTTCTTTTTGCTTCCTTCTCAGCTCTGCTATAACTATGTTCCTGCTCTGTATCTCCTGCCTTCTTTTATACCCAACTTGCCATGTGACTCCATGGCTTTGTGAAATGGACACGGGCTTTGTGACAACCGTGTTTGTCCAGCCGACCACTAAATTGGGCTGAGTGGTCACCAGGAGGTCCCCAGAAGACTGACCTCTGAAAAACTCCATATTAATTCCCATTGATCTTGGACCAAGGAGAGAAAACTTTACACTTGTTTTGCCTTAGTCTTGGGGTAGGAACTAGGTTTTATTTCCATTCTCTGTGTTTCTAAATCCTAACCCCATTGGAAAGATTATGGTGAGCACCTCAGGAAACTTTGCTTCCAAAGGCACATGGAACACACATCCAGGAAAATTAAATTTTACATTTAAATTTAAAAATTTATAAAATAAAAATAAAATGGAAATTCTTCCACCAATGTATTATCTAACAGGTGAAAAAATAATACAGACTAAAGAAAGAGAAAGATGGAAACACTGGTCTTTATGAAATGGACAAGATTCTCCCATTGAGTTACTGGAAAGATTGAATGCAATTCTATGTGGTCTCTCCTGGCAGATTGGCACATTGGGGGTGCTTAATGTTTTGCTTTTGTTTTTGTGTACGAGGGGTATTGGTTCTAATTATTCAGATGTTAGAGAGTTGGAGAGGTCTTTAAAGATCTGCTAATGAATCCTCTTTTTTTTTTTTTCAGACAGAGTCTCACTCTGTGGCCCAGGCTGGAGTGTAGTGATGATCTTGGCTCACTGCAACCTCCACCTCCCAGGTTCAAGCAATTCTCCTGTCGCAGCCTCCTGAGTAGCTGGGACTACAGACATGGACCACCACACCCAGCTACTTTTTTTTTTTTGTATTTTTAGTAGAGACAGAGTCTCACCATGTTGGTCAGGCTGGTCTCAAACTCCTGACCTCAAATGATCTGCCCGCCTCGGCCTCCCGAAGTGCTAGGATTACAGGCCTGAGCCACTGTGCCTGGCCATGAATCCTTTCTTAGCAGATAAGGACCCTGAGGCCCAGAGAGGAGCAGAAGGAGAGGCAGCCACTTGCTAGCTCTTCGTCCTCCCACCGGGAGACCATGTTAAGTTGCTAATGATAGTATAAGGTAGTGATAATGGCTAACACGCATGGAGTACTCACTATGTCCTACCACTGTTCTCCCACCCCATCCTCACAACAACCTTACGAGAGAGGTATGATTATTTTTTCAAGTTTCTAGATGGGGAAACAGAGACACAGAAAGGTTAAGCAATTTGCTCAAGGTCACACAGCAAGTAAGTGGCAGGGCAGGGCTTCTACTCCAGCAGGCCAGCCTCAGAGGCTGCAAACCCAAAGGGCTAAAGCAATGTCTGGGAAAGAACACTGCCTCCCTGCTTCTCCTCTTGCCACTGAAAGGGACTCTCCTCACAGCTGCAGCTCCTGTCCTCGTCAACCATTAGCTGGCCAATGCCATTCCTCCACTCAGCCCCCTGAAGGACCCCTCATTGGGTGAGAATCAAACCACACACCCGCTTTCCTCCTCGGTCCACACGTGACTCTGGCCTGTCCGAGCTCCTGCTCACTGCCCTCCAGCCACACAGGCCTCCTGGCTGTTCCTTGAACCCACTGAGTTCATTGGCTACTCAGAGACCACACACCTACTGTTTCTTCTGCCTGGAACACTCTTCCCCTGGGTTTAATTCAGGTCTCTGCACAAATGTCACCTCCTCAGAAAGGCTTTCCCTGAACCATTGAAAGTTCTCCTCTCCCTCCCTTGACTGTCATTCTCTTCCCCCTCCCTTGCTTTATTTCTCTTCCCAGTGCTTATCCTGACCTGAGGGGTTTGCATGATCTATTTGGGCCTCCATTATTTGCCTCCCCCACTAGAAGGTGGGAGGCCGTGAGCTCCCTGCTGCATCCCTAACACCTAGCACAGTGCCTGGCACATTGCAGGCATCCAATCCATCTTTGTTAAAAGAATGACTAGATGCAATTGCCTCACTCTCCTGACATCCAGGCCAGGGCTCAGGCACCAGGATCACCTGCTGGATGAACACAATCAGCACAGGCAGGAGGCAGCTGTCTTAAACATCCCCACCCTGGACTCCTCCTCCACATGTTGAATCCTGGAGAACAGACAGGGGAGAGCTGGCTTTCTAGGGTGCAGTGGGCAAGAGCAGCCCGGGGAACTCATCATCAGGGTCTAAAGGGCACATAGGGAACAGACTGGAGCCAGGGGCCAGGAACAGGGGAGGAAGCAGCCCCCACAGGGCTAACCAGGCCCAAGACAGCATCATTTCCAAAGGCCCATCCACGAGGATCCTAGTATGTAGAGCCAAGGCTTGAAAGCACAGACTCCAGAGCCAGCCCACCTATTCCTGGTCAGTAACCTTGGACAACCAGTGCTCAGCTGGCCTCCTCATCTGCAAGGCTGCAGTGGAATGAGCTGCTGGACATGAAATGCCCAGCCCAGGGCCTGCAGGGCAGAGATGCTTGTCACACACACCTTTCTCCTCTCTTTGGTTCACCTTTCCCCTTTTCTCCTTCCCCTAACTCTCCAATACCTTTGCCCTTCACACTTTCCTTCAGAGTCAGGCTGGCTAAGGCTTCCAGGCTGATGCATTGTCCATGAGGGCAGGGAAGACACTCCCCCAAAACTTATATGTACTGTATTGAGTCTTCCAGAGACCCTGCACACTTTCTCCTAAGCTCAAGAGCTCCTGGAACATGGCACTGGAGGCGCCTTGATTACATGCAAGAGGAGAGGAAGGGAGTCCACAGTACTTCCTTGTGTTTGTTTCTGTACTTGAAGTAAAATTCACGGGACATAAAATCAACCATTTTAAAGTGTACAGTCCAGTGGCATTGAGCGCCTTCATGGGGTTGTGCAACCATCACCTCTATCTAGTTCCGGAACATTTTCATTGCACCCAAAGGAAACTCCATACTCATTACACGGTCTTTCCCCATTCCCCCTGAGCCCCTGCAACCCCGAGCCCTCCCCGAGCCCCTGCAACCACTAGTCTGCTTTCTGTCTCTGTGGATTTGCCTATTGCGGACATCTCATTTAGATGGAGTCATACAATGTGATCTTTGTGTCTGGCTTCTTTCACTCCATGTAATATTTTCGAGGTTCATCCACATCGTAGGAGGTATTAGTACTTCATTTCTTTTCAGGGCTGAATAATATTCCCCAGCAGCACTTCTTAATTCATAAGAAAGACAGTGGCCATTCCACATTTGGGCAGGGCTTTTCCTGGAGCTGGGCAGGGGCATGTGGAAGGAATTCAAAGAAGGAGTAAGGAGGGAAGACAGGGAGTAGGAAAGACGGAGGAAGGAGGGAGGGAAAGAGAGAGGGAGGGACGCCACCCTATAACAAGGATGAATGCAAGCAGCAGGGCTCAAGAGGATGCAGCTTCCAAGCCATGAGGGTGCATTTTGGTGACACTCAAAGATCAGCGAACGGTAAACACCTGAGCTAGGCAGCCCCGGGCTGGGCACGAAGCCCCAGAAGTTACAGCTTCTGCCCTGTGCATCTCGCCCACTCGCCGTTCTCACAACTTTCTCTTCTTGCACATGGGTCCTTTGGCAAGGCTGGCACCCCTGCCACCCTGCAAATACAATGAACACCCCACTCTTTGGAGAGGCCTTTCCTCTCTTCCACTGCTGGGGGACCTTGGTGCGCGTCAGGGTAGCTGCAGGGGCCGACTGCACTGTCCTGGCACCTTTGCCAGATCACAGAGGCCTGGACCCCCCACTACTTAGCTGTGGGCCAGAGCTTTGGCTTTGCACTTTGTGTCGAGGAGACATTCAGGGGACAAGCCAGGGCAGACGGGACTCCCACGTTCTTCGTTTGTTCCTTCACAAGGGTGTGGGGGTGGAACTGCAGGATGGGGCTTCCCTGGGATGGTTTAATTCAGTACAGAGACCCTTGTTTTTCCTGGAGCTTGGAAAGCCAGTTCTCCACACCTGGGGCTTAGCTGTGTCATGCCAGGGAGCCCAGCCAATCGAAATATTGACTGAAGTCAGGTTTGAAGGCTTTTGATGACCCAGCTTTGTTTGTGTTTAATGGGCTTGGAAATTTAGATGCCCTTCCAATTCAAACTGGTCTGCCAAGGGTCTTTTCCCCCTCCCTGTTTTGTTTTGAATATTGGTTTGTTAAGTGGTTCACAAGAAAAATTCAGGTTTGGGTTCGGTTCAAGGATCAACAAATGTGTGCAGTTAGTTCTGGTCTGGGGTGCGCGGTTCAGACCAGTCTGAGGCTTTGGTTCAGAGAGAGAGGACAAAGCCCGCCGTTCACCGGGCAGGAGGAAGCACCGGCCCCCCTGCCCCTGCGGCCCCGCTGTGGGCCTGGGCCCGGCCTCTGCTGCATTTAGACTGGGAGCTTCAGCCCTCCAACCCCGGTGTGTCTCCGGAGGGCAGCACTGTTTGATTGATTTTGAAAGTACGACAGTAAAACAGTTAATAAAAACCCGATAGGTCTGTGCAGAGGCACTCCCCATACCACCTAAATGAGCGCTATTCATCAAGGCTGGGCACAGACGCCCGGAGCGCCTCATACAGAGGAGGGGTTGGGTAACCACTGCCCAGCGCCTCAGGGACCCCAGCTTCCCCTGTCTGCTCTCAGCCCCCAGTGAAGATGAAAACGTCTGCCTCTGGAATTCCAGCTTCCCCTTTTATTAAGGCAGAGGTTCTCAAAGTGTGGTCCCAGAACCGCCAGCAGCATGGCCCCTGGGAACAGGTTAGAAATGCATATTCCTGGACCCCACTCCTTGCTAAGCCTGAACTCTGCGGTTGGGGCCCAGCTATCTGTGTCTTGTCAGGCCCTCCAAGAATTCTGATGCAGGCTCCAATCCAAGAATCCTGCTCTATAAAGTCTCCTCCACACTCCAACTCATCACACACCTTGAGTTTTCAAACCTTGTGTTTCCTCTCTGTCAAAAAATACTTGACAAATCCAGATAACACTAAGGCTGGAAGTTTTGGAACAGAGGATGAAATAGCAACCCTCCACTCAACACTAGAGATCTGCGTGGCAGCTGATGAGAAGGAGGGTCTTTTGGGGGCTGGAGTGGGCTGAAGGAGCACTGTCTGCCCCAGCTCTTTCTGCTTTTTCAGAGTACTGGGACAGGAGAGGTGGAAAAGGTTCAGGGTGTGTATCTGGAGCTGGAAGGCCTGGGCTCAGGTCTCCACTCAGACCCGTGCCTGCTGTGTGACCTTGGGCAGGTCATGTCACCCCCTGTACTTTTTAGTTCCCTCTTCTGAGAACTGGGGACAATAATAGGATGCATCTCATAGGACTGTTGTCCGTGAATAAATGGAAAGTTCTTGGGACAGGCATCTGCTCCTCTCATGGGGACCACCAGGTGTGCTCTCGAGCTCCCAGCAGCTCCCCTTGGGTCCAGGCGCCTACACCTCTGTCCACAGCCAGTAGATATATGTGAGGATGTGTGTTCTTGCTGGCCAGTGTGGGGGTGCTCCTGTCCTTGGAGAGGCAGAAACTCCACTGCATGATCTTGAGGATGGGGCAGTGGCTCCATCATCATCACTCTCACCCTGGTGGGGATAGCAGATCCCTGCACTGCTGGTCCTGTGGCTGTGGTCACCCAATGGTGGCCCCGACAAGTAGCCCTGCTGCCATATATAATTCCCCAGAGGAGACAAGAGAGGAGAGAACAGGGGTAGTGGAAAAGTAAGAATGGATATGAAGAAGGAAGAGAGAGAAGCACATGGAGACAAAGAGAAGGATATGGGAAGAAAAAGAGGGGAGGACTGGAGGAACAAAGGCATGCAGAGATGGGGAAGATGTGGAGATGGACGAGAGAGAAAGAAGAAAGGGACGAGAAGGCGGGGCTCTGCTCCTCTGCACCAGTCCATGCTCTGCAGTCTGTGAATTAGCCAGGCTGTGTATGTGAGTAGAAGACCAGCCTCTCAGAGCACCTGACCTTTGAGAGAGGCAGGTGAATGCCTTTACCCTGATCTTGGAACCTGAATGTGGCCACACCAGCCTCACCTTGACCAAGGAGCTGGAGTGTGGCTGGTCAGCCACTGCCCACATGTCCAGAAATGGAGGCTGAGGGGTCCCCTATGAGGAGCTGTGCCAGGAGCAGGTCTCACGCAGGGTGAAGGAAGCTGGCAGCTGTCTCTCCACATCAGCCACAGGTTCCGGTGGCACCAAGTTTCCCCTCCCTGCCCTACCTGGCCATCTGCCCTGCTGCACTCAGGCCCAGGCCTCTGGGCTCACTAGAGGACCTGCTGTGTGGGTCCTGACATTGCTGCCAGTGGCTCTGAGACTCTCCTGCCTGAGACTGCCACGTGTCAGCTCTACCGTAGCTTTTGCCTGCAGTTTGTGGAGTGAGAGGTTGTGTCATTTGAACAACAGCAGGTCATGGGGAAAATGCCCAGGCATGGCAAGAATCAGGGGCGCCCTCCAGTAGGGCACAAGGAGCACACCTGTGCAGTTGTTTACATATAAGAGCCCCTGCCAAGGGGCTCAGGGGGTTGCTCACCAAACAGGCATCCTGGAGTAGGCTGCATCCACCCGGGAGAGGGACCCGCTTTCTAATTGTGCAAAGGTGCCTGATGATTTGGCAGAACCCTGGATTCCAATAAGTGCTGTGCTAAATCTGGAGAAAGCCCAGCCTGCCCCTCCTGGACACCACCACGCAGCACTTTACAAAACATCTATGTATTCTAGTCCGCACCCTGGGTGAATCTAGCCTGCAGAGTGGTTTGTTTTTTTTCTGTTGTCATTGTTGTTTGTTTGTTTGTTTGTTTGTTTTTCCTATTCAGGTTCCATTTCTTTCATTCAGTTGAAGTGCCTTGAGAAGGGGATGCACCTTCTTGTAGGTCGCAGCCGCCTCCTCTCCCTCCTGTCCCAGCCACCATCCCTGCAGGCCCTGGCCTCTGACTCATCTCCTAGAGCAACCGGATGGCCTCGGATAGGCCCACTGGTCTTTGGAAAAGTCATGAGGGACACAAGCAGATGTCCAGCTCAGCTTTGTGGTCCTGGCCTGGGCAACCCCCTGCTCCCTCAGAAGAGGCCTCTGGGGAGGAGGGGTCTACAGGGAACAGAGGAGGGGGTGGGAAAGTGGGGTGGATGCAGGAGAAGCCAGGGAGGTTTGACTGGCTCAAGAGGTAATGGCGCTGTCTGGAGGCCAGGACGCTGAGATCTCTGGGATCTTTGACCCTCGGAGACTCTGCTCCCCAGTTTGTTCTCCCTGTTCCCCTCTGGCCATTTCCCTGGAGATGTTAGCAATCCAAGCCCTCAAAACACAAAGGCTTGTGTGTTTGCCTTCCCAGATCTGGACTGTATTCTGTGTTGTGGGGGAGGGGATGGCTTTAGTTCAGCGCGAAAGCTCATTATAACCCCAGAAAGAAAGCAGGGGTCAGTGTGGGGGCCATCAGGGACTGAGGGGAGGCACTGGGGGATGTGTGCAGGGGGTCCCCATGCCACCCAACCCTGGGCTGAGTGGGCCCCTGCAGACCCTGGGGACGCAGACTGTCCCACCCCAGACCTGTGCTCACACCACCCCTCGGACACCACTGGGCAGACGGGCGTTCTATGGGCCCCCGCTCTGTTGATCCAGGCCAGGCTGATGTGCAGATGGGTGATGGCAGTGATACCATGCCTTGTCCCCTCCCAGATCGCCTGCTCTGCCTGGTGGGGGACATAAAGCCTTACCCAGGCATAAAGATTCCTAGTGTTTGCCAGATGCTTCTCACTGTTACCTGGATGCATTTGTTTTCATTTTAGTTATACTTTTATTTTTAGTGTGCATGAGAAAAATAAAATGAATACATCAAACAGTGGTTAAATGGATTTATGGCCTAGGATGGAACTAAGTTAAATGTTAGTTGATTTAAGGAAATACATTAAGTAAATAATAGTACAGGTGGTAGACAGATAAAGTTAAAAAATGTGTTGGAACGCAAAAGGCTGAAGTTTGGTGAACTCTTTGTTGTCCCAGGCAAGGGTGAGGCTCCCCAACTGCACTGTGCCTTGTCCCATCTTATCCTGCCCTGCCCAGTCCCTAACACAGGCTCAGCCCAGGAGACACTGAAGGAGACTGGCTTTCACAAACACAGAGGACACCACAAGCCCCAAACTTGCTCTGGGGCAGAGCAGCTGCTGGGGGTGGGGAGCAGTTTATGTGGCTTTTGTCCACATCTTTTCTCCAGCAGCCTTCGATCCACCCTTTCAAGGGGTGCATTTAAGAAAGCTGGATTCCTAGGGAGGCACCACAGTCTTGCTCCCCCCAAAACAGAACTGGAGACAACAGAGCTGCAAATAAAAAGAGGCTTTGGAAACACACTCACTCTGAACAACCCACTCCTTAGGAGCCAGAAGGTCCAGACAGTGGCTGGGAGACCTCCACGCAGCCCCTTCACCTCTCCTCCTCCATCCAACACGATCACATCGCCCATTTTGTGCTGAGTGGGGAATGAGAGGATGCATGAAATGCTTTGGGAAGTCCAGGGTGCATGGCAAGGGTTCCGATTTCTCCACTCCCTGCCACTGCCTGCGGGTCACCCTTGCCCACTCTGCTCCACAACCCAGGGCTCCTGGGATTCGGTGGAGGGAAAAGCCCGTGAAGGGGACAAATGGATGAGGAAACAGCCCCTACAGCCCCTCTCAGCAAGATCAGCGCCGCAAAGGTAAACTGCCCACAATGCATTAGCTGGCTTTGTCAGGGAAATTGCTTTAGCCTAGCATCATTTTTTATGTGCCTGTTCAATAAAATAATTATTGATAGCCTCATCCATTTAAGTCACAATCAAAATAGCAGCCAGGATGGGGCAGCCCTATATTATATCACCAGACCGAGAACTATTTTCTATAAATTCACAAATACATTCACATTTAGGTGAAAAATTATGCCGTCTAGGATCAAATATATCAGAGGCTGGGAGCCGGGAGGGAGAGGGCCGGGGTCTGAGGGCTTCTTCATTATTCATTAGTGAAACACGCAGGAGCGGGAGGAGCAGCCCTGTGCCTGCCAGTGGGCATCATGGATGGTAGAGAAGAGATGCCAGTCCCCACTGGAGGCGAGCGATGCTGGCCCTATCTGAAAGCCAGGCAGGCAGAGAGCACCAGCTTTTCCAAGGAGGAAGAAATGAATACGTGTGAGTTAGGAGAGAAACCCATGATTCCCCAGGTGTTAAGAGCTGTGTGCCAATTATCCAGCAATTATCACCATCCAAGATGGTGGGGCAGCTGCAGAGAGAAAAGAGCAGTAGGGGTTGGGGGTGGGAAGGTGGAACCTGAGCCAGGGTAGAGTGAGAGCGAGTGGAAAAGAACAATGGCCAAGCATTGTTGTGTACCAGGCCCTGTGCTGGGCCACCAGTCGTCTCATCGATCCCTCCAATGGGCCACTGCTGAGGCGAGGGCCTGAGGCTCAGGGGGGGAATTCACTCCTCCAAATGTGCACAGCTTGTAAAGGGCAGAGCTCGGCTTTCTCATCTAATCTCTCAGAGGCCAAGTTGTGTTCTGGAAGGGCCTCATTCAATAATTTATTGGTAGGTGTGGACTGGAGTTGGAGGCGTTCAGAGTAGGGGCAGAATGGGGATTGCTTGTTTATTAAGGTTTCTTGTCTGCTTGTGTGTTTGGAGAAAAAATGTGCTTGGCCAAAGCACCAGCACTACTTTCTGAAAGTGAGAAGGTAAGGGAATTCGGGAGAAATCAAGAAAACAGCTAACTTCTGCATCATGGAGGTGGTGTGGGCCTGGCTGGGTGCAGGCTGTCCAGGGCCAGGCCTAACTTATCTGCAGGGCTTTCTTCAAAACCCCATCCACTTAAGGATAACCCCAGCAAAGGTCCCTTCCTGGTCTGCCTCTCCACCCCACCTCTATTTTTAATCGCTTTCCCTCCCACCCCCATGCCACCCCCACCTCCCACCCCAGGAAGCTCCTAGTGCTCATGTACCAGTGCAGATGGGTTCTCTCTGCCCGGAAGTCTGCATTTTAAATGATTTCTAATTATGACTTGAAAGGCTCTGACTCTGGAGATGGGATTTCAGGAGTTGGCAAAGTATTCTAAGGTCTGGAGATGTCTCCCCCTTGTTGCCCCTAAAATCATACCCTATAGAGCACTGTCTTCCCACTTCTGTTCAGGGCCAGTCCTGAGCCTGTGCCTTCAGTGACACACAAAGTTCAGGGGTTCTGGTGTTGGAGGCATAGATAGGAAGACTTTGGACAGGGAAACTCTTAAAGCTTGCTTCCTGGTACTTGACCCTCCTCTTGCCTCCTTTAATTAACAAGAGCCCATTTCATTACCTGTGATCTTACCTGGCAAGGCATTTTACTTGTAGGATTTATCTTGGAAAATCCTGGCCTCATGCACAAACAAACTCAGGTCTTAACCTGGCCCTGAATACCCATCTTTCCTGTTTGGAGAACTGTCAGCAGCCTCATCAAAATGATGGGGCCCCTTTGGAAAACAGCCTGGCCGTGCCACAGATGTTAAACACAGAGTTACCACAGGATGCAGCAATTCCTCCCCTGGGCATAGATACCCAAGAGAATGGAAAACATGGGCCCACACAAAGGGTTGGAGAAGAATGTGCAGAGCGCCATTATTCATGATAACCAAAAGTGGGAACAACTCAAATGTCCATCAACAAATGAGTGGATAAACAAAATGTGGGATAGCCATACAATGAAATAGCACTCAGTAAAAAAGAATGACGTGTTGATTCATGGCACAAAATGGATAAACGTCGAAAACAAAGCGAAAGAAGCCAGTCACTAATAGACCACATATTGGATGATCCCACTTCTGTATAATGTCCAAAATAAGCAAAGCCATACAGATAGAAAGTAGATTTACGGTTGCCTAGGGTTGAGGTGTATAGGGAAGAATTGTTAGAAGGAAATGAGGAGTGAGTGCTAATGGGTATGGGGTTTCTTTTGGGGGTGATAAAAAGGTCCCCAAATTGATGGTGGTGATGGTTCCATACTTCTGAACACACAGATTGTACTCTTTAAATGGGTCAATTGTATGACATGTAAATTATATCTCACTCTGTTAAAAGCAAATAAAGATTATGCCCATTACTTGGCTGCCAAGGCCTCTAAAACCTTGCTCCTCCTGATGGCAGCCCTTCCACCTGCCTTCCACTCATGCCCACAAACCTGATGCCTAGTTAGCACCCATCCTCCAATGACCCACCTTCTCAGCACGGCTCGCTGCTTCTGCCCACACCAGGGTTGGAGGGTGGTTCTCCACAAGCCTCTGCCCCCTGATATTCAGGGCCAGCAGCTTCTCTTCTTCAAGGCCTGTTGCTCACCCCAAAGGCAGCCACACTCCTCAGGATGTCCATCTTTTAGGAAAACCATGTTTAGGGACTTGTCCAGAGTCCCAGCCTTCTGCAGCAGAAGGCTGGCATTTGTGACTCTTTTTTTTTTGAGACAGAGTCTCGCTCTGTCGCCCAGACTGGAGTGCAGTGGCTCGATCTCGGCTCACTGCAAGCTTTGCCTCCCAGGTTCACGCCATTCTCCTGCCTCAGCCTCCCGAGTAGCTGGGACTATAGGCGCCCACCACCACGCCCGGCTAATTTTTTGTATTTTTAGTAGAGACGGGGTTTCACCATGTTAGCCAGGATGGTCTCGATCTCCTGACCTCACGATCTGCCCGCCTCGGCCTCCCAAAGTGCTGGGACTACAGGCGTGAGCCACCACGCCTGGCCATTTGTGACTCTTATCTACTGGATGAGTAGCCTTCCGTGGCAGGCACTGCCATGAACCACAGGCCAGAAAGAGAAGGAGACCTTCCCAGTACCACGTGGTTGGTCAGGGGATGAACCAGGGCTGGCCCTCCGTCCCTGGGCTTTCCATCGACGGTTCCCCTCTACCATCACTGGGCAAGGCCCCTAAAAGACAGCCTCGCCCACCCATTGGCTCCACGACAGGCAACTTTTTACAGATAACGACATGACAGCCCCTGCTGGAATTAAAGCAGGAAGGTTGGGGTGGGGAGGGCAGTTCCCCCACAGGCTTTCGTTGCTAGGCCCTCTGCGGTGTAATAACTCTCCACACACCTGTCCAGCCCAGCTGTTACAGAGCACTTTCCCACCATTAACTCGTGCCTCTGGGAGATGCGCAAATGCCAGCTCGATTTGGGTGGTGGAAGGTGGGTGGGGAACCATCTGAAGCTTAGGCCTGACAGATGCAGAAGGCTCCAGGCAGGGTGGAGGTAGCCTCTGGGGAGCCTATGGGTTCCCCATAAATGTCCCAAAGTTGGGCAGATGAATAAGGGTGGGGATGCCACTGGGCTCAAGCAGGTCAGTCTCTTTTAGGGTCAAGTATTGGCCACCAAGGTCACTTGGCCAGCTTTCCCCCAAGCTGATTTGATATCCCAGGCTCCAGGTCAGATTCCAGTTCCAGAGTCTCTGCCCTTCTGAGATGCCCACAGCAGGGAGCAGCCACATTGATCCAGGAGGGCCTGACCCCAGCTGCATTCTCCATCTATCATCCAGAGGGCACACCAGGTAAATACGCCCTCCCTGAAGCCAGGAGATCCTGAGGCCTCCCGGAACAGGATGTCCATACAGTGATTGAACAAATGCCTGTTTACACAGCATCCTCGCTGCAGACATTGCTGAAACAACCACATCAGGCTCCCTGCAGCCCCCCTGGATTGAGGTCTTTGACCCTCTGGGCTTGGCTAGAAGGGTGCAGTGAAGGTACAGTGTGGCTGTGTAGGGTATGTCTCAAATCACAAAGGCATGCTGGGGAGAGAGGTGGGAGTAAGGGGCTCCTCCTCCCAGGAAAGGCAAAGGGCCCAAGATGAGCCCCAGACATCCTCTGCTTGAGGATGGTCCTCTCCATCCCAACTAGGCCCAGAAGGCAGGTCCAGATTCAAAGACAGGTGTGGAAAGGAGGCGGGTCCACCTGCAGGGTCTATGGTCTTTAAGGGAAAGACCATAGATGGGTGGCCCATGATGGAGAGGGTGGACACAGCAGGGAGACCCAGGGCATAGCGCTCCCAGCCTGGAGAAGGAGGAGAGGAAGGGAATCTTCCCCCACCATGTGGCCATGTTGGGCTGCTGCACCTCCTGGCCCACCAGCTGGGCAAACGCTGGGGCTGGCCTACCACGCCGGGAGCCAGCCTTTTCCCGGTGTAGGGCACCTGTGTACAGAGTGGCTGGGGCCTGGATGCACATTAGGGACATCCCCTGCATTGGGGTGGGGCTCACTCCATCATAGGAACACGGGTGTGCATCCACACATGCTCACAAAAACACATTCATTCAAGAAATATTTATCAATTAAAAGCTTTCTAGAGACAAATGAGAATGAGAACACAATTTACCAAAACCTATGAGAGACAGCAAAAGCAGTCCTAAGATGGAAGCTTATAGCAATGAACGCCTATATCAAAAAAGTAGAAAGATCTCAAATAACAACCTTACCTCATTCCTCAAAAAACTAGAAAAACAAAGACAATCTAAGCCAAAAACAAGTAGAAGGAAAGAAATAATAAAGATCAGAGCAGAAATAAATAAAATAGAGATGAGGAAAATGATGCAAAACGTCAACAAAATAAAAAGCTGATTTTTTAAAAAGACAACAAATCTTTAGCTAGACTAAGAAAAAAAACTCAAAATAAATCAGAAATGAGAAAGGAGACATTACAACTAATACCACAGAAATACAAACTATGACTACCACAGTAGTTGCAACAGATTACCATGAACAACTATGCACCAACAAATTGAAAAACCTAAAGGAAATGGATAAATTCCTATACACATACAACCTACCATGAATGATTCATGAAGAAGCAGAAAACCTGAACAGACCAATAAATAATGAGTAATAAGATTGAAGCAGTAATAAAAAGCTCCCATCAAAGAAAAGCCAAGGGCCTGATGGCTTCACTGCTAAATTCTACTAAACATATAAAGAAGAGTTAACACCATTTTTTCTACTCAAACTATATGTATTAGTCTGTTCTCACACTGCAAATAAAGACATACCCGAGACTGGGTGATTTATAAAGAAAAAGAGGTTTAATGGACTCACAGTTCCATGTGGCTGTGGAGGCCTCACACTCATGGTAGAAGGAGAAAGGCGTATCTTACACTGTGGCAGGCAAGAAAGAACGAGAGCCAAGTGAAAGGGGAAACCCCTTATAAAATCATCAGCTCTTGTGAGACTTATTCACTATCACAAGAGCAGTAGGGGGAAACCACCCCCATAACTCAGTATCTCCCACTGGCTCCCTCCCACAACACCTGGGAATTATGGGAGCTACAATTCAAGATGAGATTTCGGTGGGACACAGCCAAACCATAGAAAGAAAGAAAAGAAAGAAAGAAAGAAAGAAAGAAAAGAAAGAAAGAAAGAAAGAAGGAAGGAAGGAAGGAAGGAAGGAAGGAAGGAAGGAAGGAAGGAAGGAAAGAAAGAAAGAAAGAGAAAGAAAGGAAGAAAGAAAGAAAGAAAGAAAGAAAGAAAGAAAGAAAGAAAGAAAGAAAGAAAGAGAAAGAAAAAATGAAGAGGAGGGAATACTTTCACATTTATTCTACAAGACCAGCATTACTCTGATACCAAAACCACACAAAGATATAACAACAACAAAAGAAAACTACAGGATAATATCCCTCATGAACACTCATGCAAAAATCCTCAACAAAATACTAGCAAATCAAATTTAATAACACATTGAAAAGATCAGTCACCATGATCAAGTAGGATTCATCCCAGTGACATAAAAATGGTTCAACATACACAAATCAGTAAATGTGATACATCACATTAACAGAATCAAGGACAAAAACCATATAATTATTTCAATAGATGCTGAAAAAGCATTCATTAAAATTCAAAATCCTTCATGATAGAAACTCTCAACAAACTAGGAATATATAATACCTCACCACAATAAAGGCCATATATGGCAAATCCACAGCTAACATTATACTGAATGGGGAAAAGTTGAAAGTTTTTCCTCTGAAGTCTGGAATAAAAAGGGATGCCCACTTTCACCACTTTTATTCAACATAGTACTGGAAGTTCTAGCCAGAGTAATTAGACAAGAGAAAGAAATAAAGGGCATCCAAATTGGAAAGGAGGAAGTCAAATTATCCCTGTTTATAGATGGCATGATTTTATATATAGAAAACTCTAAAGATTCCACACACAAAAATGTTAGAACTAATAAAGTAACTTAGTAAATTTAAGGATAAAAATATCAACATACAAAAATCAGTAGTATTTCTATACACTAATAGCTAGCTATCTGAAAAAGAAATCAAGAAAGGAAATACATTTACAATAGCTACAAAAAAATACCTAGGAATCAACTTGACCAAGGAGGTGAAAGATCTCTACAATGAAAATTCTAAAACACTGATGAAAGAAATTGAAGTGACAAGTAAATGGAAAGATATTCATGAATTAGAATAACTAATATTGTTAAAATGTCTATATTACTAAAACTAGTCAATGGATTCAATGCAATTCTTATCAAAATATCAATAACATTCTTCACCAAAGTAGAAAAAAACAAAGTTGTTTTTTTTTTAAGACAGAGTCTGACTCTGTCACCAGGATGGAGTTCAGTGGCGTGATCTCAGCTCACTGCAACCTCTGCCTCCTGGGTTCAAGCAATTCTCCTCCCTCAGCCTCCTGAGTAGCTGGGACTACAGCTGCATGCCACCAAGCCAAGCTAATTTTTGTATTTTTAGTAGAGATAGAGTTTCACCATGTTGGCCAGGATGGTCTCGATCTCTTAACCTCGTGATCTGCCCACCTCGGCCTCCCAAAGTGCTGGGATTACAGGTGTGAGCCACCGTGCCCAGCCAAAAAAACAATCTTAAAATTCATATGGAAAGGCAAAGACCCCAAATAGCCAAAGCAATCTTCAACAAAAAGGATAAAACTGGAGGCATCACACTACCTAACTTCAAAATATACTACAAAGCTATAGTAACCAAAACAGCATGATACTGGCATAAAAACAGACGCATAGACCAGTAGAACAGAATAGAGAACTCAGAAATAAATCCCTGCATTTTCAACCAACTGATTTTTGACAAAGACACTAAGAACACACGTTGGGGAAAGGATGGTCTCTTCAATGCATAATGCTGGGAAAACTAGATATCCACAGGCAGAAGAATGAAACTAGAGCCCTATCTCTCACCATATACAAAAATCAATTCTAAATTGATTAAAGACTTAAATGTAAGATTCAAAACTATGAAAATTCTAGAAGAAATATGGGAGAAATGCTTCATAAAATTGGGCTGGGCAAGGATTTTTTGAATAAGACCTAAAAGGCATAAAAGCAAAAATAGACAAATGAGATTACATCAAGCTAAAAAGCTTCAACAGCAAAGGAAACAATCAATAAACTGAGCAGGTAATCCACAGAATGGGAGAGATTATTGACAACTATGCAGCTGACAATGGGTTAATATTTAGCATATGTAAATAACTCAAACAACTCAATAGCAGAAAAACAAATAATCCAATTAAACATGGGCAAAGACCTTCTCAAAATAAGACATACAAATGGCCAACAGATATATGAAAAAAAGTTCAACATCACTAATCATCAGAGAAATGCAAATGGAAACCACAGTGCAATATTACCTCACCCCAGCTAGAATGGCTATAATCAAAAAGACAAAAAAAAATAACAAATGCTGGCAAGGATGCAGAGAAAAGGGAATTTTTATATTCTGTTTGTGGGAATGTAAATTAGTATAATCATTATAAAAAAAAACAGTATGGAGGCTCTTCAAAAAATTAAAAATAAAACTACAATATAATCCAGCAATCCCATTCCTGGGTATACATCCAAAGGAAATAAAAATCAGTATGTCTAAGAGATATCTGCACTCCCTTGTTTATTGTGGCATTATTCACAATAGCCAAGATATGGAATCAACCTAAGTGTCCATCTAATGATAAATAGATAAAGAAAATGTGGTATGTATACACAATAGAATACTATGCAGTCATAAAACAAAATGAAATCCTATCATTTGTGACAACACAGATGAACCTGGAGGACATTATGTTAAGTGAAAAAAGCCAAGCACAGAAAGACAAACCCTGCATGATCTCAATCATATGTGGAATCCAAAGAAGTTGATTTCATAGAAATACAGAGGAGAATGGTGGCCACCAGAGGCTGGGGAGTCTCTTCAATAAATGTTCTCTTCAATAAATGATGCTGGGAAAACTAAATATCCACAAGCAGAAGAATGAAACTAGAGGCCTCTCACTATATACAAAAATCAACTCTAAACGGATTAAAGACTCAAATGTAAGATTCAAAACTATGAAACTTCTCCCAGTGGAGAGACCGGGAGAGGTTGGTTAACAGGTTCACAGTTATAGTTAGACAGGACGAATAAGTTCTGGTGTTCTATTGCACCAAAGAGTGATCACAGCAAATAACAATGTAGTGTAGATTTCAAGATAGCTAGAAGATTTTGAATGTTATCACCATAAAAAAAGATAAATGTTTTAATTGATGGATATGATAATTACCACAACTTTTTCATATGTATGCATGCATTGAAACATCACATTGTCCTCCTAAAATACATATTATTATGTGTCAATTATAAATAAGAATTAAATATGATAAAAGAAATATTTATTAAGCACTTACTTTGCACCAGAGCTTCTTCCAAGTTTTGAGAATACAGCAATGAACAAAACCATCTCTGCCCTCATAGAACTCACATTATTGACAAAAGGGTGCCAATTAGAAAGGAGACCCTATTGCAGCCCACGGAGGGCGAGCCACAGCAGGGTGGGGTGTTGCCTCACCCGGGAAGCACAAAGGGTCAGGGATTTCCCTTTCCTAGCCAAGAGAAGCCATGACAGACTGTACCTGGAGGAATGGTACACTCCCGTCTACATACTGTGCTTTTCCCAAGGTCTTACCAATCGGCAGACCAGGAGATTCTCTCCCGTGCCTGGCTCGGGGGTCCCACGCCTATGGAGACTTGCTCACTGCTAGCACAGCAGTCTGAGATCGACCTACGACACTGCAGCCTGGTGGCGTGAGGGGTGTCAGCCAATGCTGAGGCTTGAGTAGGTAAACAAAGTAGGTAGGGAAGCTCAAACTGGGCAGAGCCCACCGCAGCTCAGCAAGGCCTACCACCTCTCTAGACTCCACTTCTGTGGGCAGGGCATAGCTGAACAAAAGGCAGCAGACAACTTCTGCAGACTTAAACGTCCCTGTCTGACAGCTCTGAAGAGAGCAGTGGTTCTCCCAGCACAGTGTTCAAGCTCTGAGAACGGACAGGCTGCCTCCTCAAGTGGGTCGCTGATCCCCATGTAGGTTGACTGGAAGATACCTCCCAGTAGGGGCCGACAGACACCTCATACAGGTGGGTGCCCCTCTGGGACGAAGCTTCCAGAGGAAGGATCAGGCAGCAATATTTACTGTTTTGCAATATTTGCTGTTCTGCAATATTTGCTGTTCTGCAGCCTCCACTGTTGATACCCAGGCAAACAGGATCTGGAGTGGACCTCCAGCACACTCCAACACACCTGCAGCTGAGGGGCCTACTGTTAGAAGGAAAACTAACAAACAGAAAGGAATAGTATCAACATCAACAAAAAGGAAATCCACATCAAAACCCCAACATCAAAGACCAAAGATAGATAAAACCACAAAGATGGGGAGAAACCAGAGCAGAAAAACTGAAAATTCCAAAAACCAGAGCACCTCTTCTCCTCCAAAAGATCGCAGCTCCTTGCCAGCAACGGATCAAAACTGTACGGAGAAGGAATTTGACGAGTTGACAGAAGTAGGCTTCAGCAGGTCGGTTATAACAAACTACTCTGAGCTAAAGGAGCATGTTCTAACCCATCGCAAGGAAGCTAGAAACATTGAAAAAAGGTTAAATGAACGGTTAACTAGAATAAACAGTGTCAAGAAGTGCTTAAATGACCTGATGGAGCTGAAAACCACAGCATGAGAACTTCGTGATGCACACATAAGCTTCAATAGACGATTCGATCAAGTGGACGAAAGGACAAAAGGATATCAGTGATTGAAGATCAAATTAATGAAATAAAGTGAGAAGACAAGATTAGAGAAAAAAGCATGAAAAGAAACACACAAAGCCTCCAAGAAATATGGGACTATGAGAAGAGACCAAATCTACATTTGATTGGTGTACCTGAAAGTGACGGGAAGAATGGAACCAAGTTAGAAAACACTCCTCAGGATGGTATCCAGGATAACTTCCCCAACCTAGCAAGGCAGGCCAACATTCAAATTCAGGAAATACAGAGAACACCACAAAGATACTCCTCAAGAAGAGCAGTCCCAAGGCACATAATTGTCAGATTCACCAAGGTTGAAATGGAGGAAAAAATGTTAAGGGCAGCCAGAGAGAAAGGTTGGGTTACTCACTAAGGGAAGCCCATCAGAACTAACGGCAGATCTCTCAGCAGAAACCCTACAAGCCAGAAGAGAGTGAGGGACAATATTCAACATTCTTAAAGAAAAGAATTTTAAGCCCAGAATTTCATATCCAGCCAAACTAAGCTTCATAAGCGAAGGAGAAATAAAATCCTTTACAGACAAGAAAATGCTGAGAGATTTTGTCACCACCAGGCCTACCTTATAAGAGCTCCTGAAGGAAGCACTAAACATGGAAAGGAACAACCAGTACCAGCCACTGCAAAAACATGCCAAATTGTAAAGGCCATTGATACTATGAAGAAACCCCAACAATTAATGAGCAAAATAACCAGCTAACATCATAATGACAGGGTCAAATTCACACATAGCAATATTAACCTTAAATGTAAACAGGCTAAATGTCCCAATTAAAAGACACAGACTGGCAAATTGGATAAAGAGTCAAGACCCATCAATGTGCTGTATTCAGGAGACCCATCTCACATGCAGAGACACACATAGGCTCAAAATAAAGGGATGGAGGAAGATCTACCAAGCAAATGGAAGCCAAAAAAAAAAAAAAAAAAAAAAAAAAAAAGCAGGGGTTGCAATCCTAGTCTCTGATAAAACAGACTTTAAACCAACAAAGATCAAAAGAGACAAAGAAGGCCATTACATAATGGTAAAGGGATCAATTCAACAAGAAGTGCTAACTGTCCTAAATATATATGCACCCAATACAGGAGCACGCAGATTCATAAAGCAAATCCTTAGAGACCTACAAAGAGACTTGGACTCCCACACAATAATAATGGGAGACTTTAATACCCCACTGTCAATATTACACAGATCAGTGAGGCAAAAGGTTAACAAGGATATCCAGGACTTGAACTCAACTCTGCACCAAGTGGACCTAACAGACATCTACAGAACTCTCCACCCCAAATCAACAGAATATACATTCTTCTCAGCACCACATCACACTTATTCTAAAATTGACCACATAATTGGAAGTAAAACACTCCTCAGCAAATGTAAAAGAACAGAAATCACAACAAACTGTCTCTCAGACCACAGTGCAATCAAATTAGAACTCACAATTAAGAAACTCACTCAAAACCGCACAACTACATGGAAACTGAACAACCTGCTGCTGAATGACTACTGGGTAAATAATGAAATGAAGACAGAAATAAAGATGTTCTTTGAAACCAATGAGAACAAAGACACAACGTACCAGAATCTCTGGGACACATTTAAAGCAGTGTGTAGAGGGAAATTTATAGCACTAAATGCCCACAAGAGAAACCAGGAAAGATCTAAAATCAACACCCTAACATCACAATTAAAAGAACTAGAGAATCAAGAGCAAACAAATTCAAAAGCTAGCAGAAGGCAAGAAATAACTAAGATCAGAGCAGAACTGAAGGAGATAGACACACACACACACACACACACACACACACACACACACACACACACCCTTAAAAAAATCAATGAATCCAGGAGCTGATTTTTTTAAAATATCAACAACAAAATAGACTGCTAGCAAGACTAATAAAGAAGAAAAGAGAGAAGAATCAGATAGACACAATAAAAAATGATAAAGGAGATATCACAGAAATGCAAACTACCATCAGAGAATACTATAAATACCTCTACACAAATAAACTAGAAAATCTAGAAGAAATGGATAAATTCCTGGACACATACACCCTCCCAAGACTAAACCAGGAAGAAGTTGAATCTCTGAATAGACCAATAGCACGTTCTGAAATTGAGGCAATAATTAATAGCCTACCAACCAAAAAAAGCCCAGGACCAGACGGATTCACAGCCGAATTCTACCAGAGGTACATAGAGGAGCTGATACCATTCCTTTTGAAACTATTCCAATCAATAGAAAAAGAGGGAATCCTCCTAACTCATTTTATGAGACCAGCATCATCCTGATAACAAAGCCTGGCAGAGACACAACAAAAAAAAGAATTTTAGACCAATATCCCTGATGAACATTGATGCAAAAATCCTCAATAAAATACTGGCAAACTGAATCCAGCAGCACATAAAAAGCTTATCCACTGCGATCAAGTTGGCTTCATCCCTGGGATGCAAGGCTGGTTTAACATACGCAAATCAATAAACATAATCCATCACATAAACAGAACCAACGACAAAAACCACATGATTATCTCAATAGATGCAGAAAAGGCCTTTGACAAAATTCAACAGCCCTTCATGCTTAAAACTCTCAATAAACTAGGTATTGATGGAACATATCTCAAAATAATAAGAGCTATATATGACAAACCTACAGCCAATATCATACTGAATGGGCAAAACTGGAAGCATTCCCTTTGAAAACTGGCACAAGAAAAGGATGCCCTCTCTCACCACTCCCATTCAACATAGTGTTGGAAGTTCTGGCCAGGGCAATCAGGCAAGAGAAAGGAATAAAGGGTATTCAATTAGAAAAAGAGGAAGTCAAATTGTCCCTGTTTGCAGATGACATGACTGTATATTTAGAAAACCCCATCGTCTCAGCCCAAAATCTCCTTAAGCTGATAACTAACTTCAGCAAAGTCTCAGGATACAAAATCAATGAGCAAAAATCATAAGCATTCCTACACACCAATAACAGACAAACAGAGAGCCAAATCATGAGTGAACTCCCATTCACAATTGCTTCAAAGAGAATAAAATACCTAGGAATCCAACTTACAAGGGATGTGAAGGACCTCTTCAAGGAGAACTACAAACCACTGCTCAACGAAATAAAAGAGGACACAAACAAATGGAAGAACATTCCATGCTCATGGATAGGAAGAATCAATATTGTGAAAATGGCCATACTGCCCAAGGTAATTTATAGATTCAGTGCTATCCCCATCAAGCTACCACTGACTTCCTTCACAGAATTGGAAAAAACTACTTTAAAGTTCATATGGAACCAAAAAAGAACCCACATAGCCAAGACAATCCTAAGCCAAAAGAACAAAGCTGGAGGCATCACGTTACCTGACTTCAAACTATACTACAAGGCTACAGTAACCAAAACAGCATGCTACTGGTACCAAAACAGATAGCCTCAGAAATAACACCACACATCTACAACCATCTGATCTTTGATGAACCTGACAAAAACAAGCAATGGGGAAAGGATTCCCTATTTAATAAATGGTGCTGGGAAAACTGGCTAGCCCTATGTAGAAAGCTGAAACTGGATCCCTTCCTTACACCTTATACAAAAATTAATTCAAGATGGATTAAAGACTTAAATGTAAGACCTAAAACCATAAAAACCCTAGAAGAAAACCCAGGCAATACCATTCAGGCCATACGCATGGGTAAAGACTTCATGACTAAAACACAAAAAGCAATGGCAACAAAAGCCAAAATGGACAAATGTGATCTAATTAAACTAAAGAGCTTCTGCACAGCAAAAGAAACTATCATCAGAGTGAACAGGCAACCTACAGAATGGGAGAAAATTTTTGCAATCTACCCATCTGACAAAGGGCTAATATCCAGAATCTACATAGAACTTAAACAAATTTACAAGAAAAAAAACAAACAACCCCATCAAAAAGTGAGCAAGGGATATGAACAGACAGTTCTCAAAATAAGACATTTACGCAGCCAACAGACACATGAAAAAATGCTCATCATCACTGGTCATCATAGAAATGCAAATCAAAACCAGAATGAGATACCATCACCAGTTAGAACGGCGATCATTAAAAAGTCAGGAAACAACAGATTCTGGAGAGGATGTGGAGAAATAGGAACACTTTTACACTGTTGGTGGGAGTGTAAATTAGTTCAGCCATTGTGGAAGACAGTGTGGCGATTCCTCAAGGATCTAGAACCAGAAATACCATTTGACTCAGTGATCCCATTACTGGGTATATACCCAAAGGATTATAAATCACGCTACTATAAAGACACATGCACCTGTATGTTCACTGTGGCACTCCTCACAATAGCAAAAACTTGGAACCAACCCAAATGTCCATCAGTGATAGACTGGATTAAGAAAATGTGGCACATATACACCATGGAATAGTATGCAGCCATAAAAAAGGATGAGTTCATGTCCTTTGCAGGGACATGGATGAAGCTGGAAACCGTCATTCTCAGCAAACTATCACAAGGACAGAAAACCAAACACTGCATGCCCTCACGCATAGGTGGGAGTTGAGCAATGAGAACACATGGACACAGGGCAGGGAACATCACACACTGGGGCCTATCGGTTGGTGGGGAGAGCTGGGGGAGGTGTAGTATTAGGAGAAATACCTAATGTAAATGTCAAGTTGATGCGTGCAGCAAACCAACATGGCACATGTATACCTATGGAACAATCCTGCACGTTGTGCGCATGCACCCTAGTACTTAAAGCATAATTTTAAAAAAGCAAAAGAAGAAAGGAGACCCTATCTAGTCATATGCTGTCCACCAATTAGAGTCAGTCCCACGGACCACTGATTTCTTATGTGCTCTTCTTTCTGTTCAGAACCCATCTGCAGAGCCTCTGGAGCCTTGAAGGCAGTGGCCGGCAGTTCCCACCACAGCCCTCTCTCCTGTCTCCTCCCGGATTCTCTTTGCTTTTAACATTTCTGTTCCCTCTCCGAATTCCCTGCTCTGTTATCTGCCCCCCACCTCTCCATCCCCTCCACCACCTTGAGGTCTCTCCCCAGAACTTTCTCTCTCTTAGCAGTGGAAGCTGAGCACAGGGGAACCCTGGTCTGCAGGAGCTGAACTGGCCTTGGCACCCACACCTGCCTGGGGACAGCCAGGAGGAGCTCCACCCACTGCTAGCCAAGCTGTCCCTCATGACCATCATGGGGCAAGGGCTGGCCACCTATGGAGTCAGCCAAGTGGGTTTCTTGTGCCTCTAGGAACATCCAGTAAAATCTCTTGGTTCCCAAATTAAAGAAGCCACCATTTCGTGAGTGCTTCCTATGGGCCAGGCTCTGGGCTCAGCCCCTAGAAGCATTACCTATTTTAATGCTCCAACAACAGCAGGCACAGTTATTGTAACTTAATTCCCCGGAGAGCACACAGAGCATGAGGGGACTTCTCAAGGTCCCAGAATAGGAGAAAGGCAAGGCCAGGCTTAGACCCCCCGACATGCCTGCTGTTGGCCCCTGTCTCTGCTGCCTCCCCCATACTCTGTCCCTAGACTTTCCTCCATGAAAACTGCTTTTCAATTTAATTTTTGTTTAACTTTTATTTTATTGGGCAACACTTTATCCTATAAAATAGACTGAGTGTTCCCTACACGAGAACTGCTTTTGTCCTCGAGTGGAGTCCAATGAAACCCACTGAATTTGTCACTGATAACAGCTGAAGGTGTGCCCTTCCCAGGGCCGTTCGCGTGTCCTATACTATATTCTTCTAGGCCCAGACAATACATCTGTGATGGCAGAATTTCAAACAGACAGGGAGTGGAGCAGATCACTTTGATTTGGGAATGGGGCAGCCCAGAGGTCCCGCAACACCCCCTCCAGGAGGCTGCCTCCTCTGCTGTCTCATAAAGCTGCCCCATCCGCCCGCCACAGTGAAGCAATCAGACCCTCTGTTCCCTTGTTCACTGCTCACCTAGCTTGGCTCCGAGACCAGTGTTGTAGACCTATTAATTATCAGGATAATTACGGACGGGGAAATCCAGACACAGATACAATCAGTGCCCTCCTCCACCTCCCCGCACACGCCCCTCCCGGTCTCCCTGACATCCTGGTGTGCACTGTGTTCCCCTGCCATCTCCACGCTGCGGCTCCTACTAGACCCACCCCTGCCGGTGCCAAAATGCCCAAAGGAAGGCTGAGTCATGCTCTGGCCTGCCCAGCCGCAATAGTCATGCTGCAACTCCCACGGAAAACCTCCTTTCACCCACTCCAGAGGTCTGAGACACCCTAATGGGCCAAGTCCTTTCCCCTCACCCATAGAGCTCAAACTGCCTCTCACCTTGCCCCCTTCCAACTCAGGCTGTAGAAAACACTGGATAAAGTAAGGCTTACTAACCAAGCATCCCTGCACCTAAAAATGGACCGCTTAATTTCAGGACCCCCTGAAATTGTCAGCAAAAGTTTCTCTGTGCACATCTGTACATTTAGCTGGGAAGACTCCACAGCTTATATCAGATCGTCACAGAGTCCCAAGCCCCAATGGGGTAAGAATCTCTGAATCTAACATGTCACAGAGACCACCCCCTATAACACTTTACCAAGAACTTAATCCTCCATGAGCTCGCCTAATGCCTGCTCCTCTGTGGACAGGCAAGCCATCACTTGGGTTGGGAGCACCAGCCTGCAGCCAGACTACCTGGGTTTTTCATCCCAATACTGCCACTTTCTAGCTATGTCACCTCGGTTTCCCTGTCAGAAAAAAATGAGACCACATGGCATCTTGGTTTCCTCCTTGGATCACTACAGGGAGTGGCAGCAGCCTGGCTGCTCCAATTGGAACTTAAAAATCACTAGGGATCATGCAGGTCATAAACAAAAGGAAGAAGCACTACTATGGACTCAGGCTGCAGTTACAGTCAACAACCCTCCCTCCACCAAGATCAGCACAGAGAGTCTCTCCCCAACATCCTCATATCACAGCACGCTCCAGGACTGGGGAATCCCTGAGGATGGCTCAGGGCAGCCCAGCCTCCTTTCTGAAAACAGGATTCAGAGCTCATAGAAGCCTCCCTGCCCTGGGAGTCTCAAGAGAGCACTTAAGCACAGACACCTGGTTTAGCTTGGTAGGCACCCCTAGCCTGCGGAGCTTACCCCCGCCGCACACATCTGGAGAGTCAACCATTACAAAGAGAAATAGCAGGACTGGTCCTGCCCCTCCGGGATGGTGCCGCCAGTCTAGAGTAAAATGCCAAGCACGGGCTCAAGACTCCTGCTGAGGCCAATGGTAAGCCAGGCTGCTTCAGGAAGGGAGGGAGGAGAAGGGAGGGAAGAAGAGAGGGAAGAGGAAGGAGGGAGAAAGGGATGGAAGAGGGAAGAGAATCAGAGAGGGAGGGGAGGAGGAAGAGAGAGAAGGCGGGAGGAAGGAAGAGAGGGAGGGGAGGAGGAAGAGAGAGAAGGCGGGAGGAAGGAAGAGAGGGAGGGGGAGGTAGAAGGGAGGAGAGGGAGGGAAGGAAGGAGGCTCTCCAAGCCTCTTCAAGCCTCTCCATCCCTCCCTCTTCAAGGCAAAATATACTTTCTCTAAAAAAAAAAAAAAAAAAAACAACAAAAAAAACCCCCCTTCATCCTTTTCCTTTCTGAACAAGAGCTTTGTAACACTAGATGGTTGATCCGAAAATAACTATTTAGCCCTTAGACAGAGGTGTTTTTTAACAGGAGAAGCTGAGATATTTTGAAAGCCACCCCTGAGGCGAGAAAGTTGTGCAGAAGGCACTAATTGTCAACGCTCCCCAAGGACAGCCTGCCTGTTCCAAGGCAGGAGGAAAGGGCCGAGCTGTCAGCGCCCGATTCCTGGGGGAGTCTGCCTCGCCCGCGCTCAGCCAGCCAGGCCAGCTTCCTGCCCGGCATGGAGGAGATAAAACACAGGAACACAGACGATCTTACATAACCGAAGCGGGACTGAACATTTTCAGCAAATTACCTCTGTTATGAGCTCTGCCATAAAATCGCCTCACAAGTGAATTTAGTTTTTCTTCCCTCCGTGCCCAATCAATTAGCACATGAGTAATACCAAGCCCATTAGGACAAACTGATGCCGGGGGAGTTATGTCATCTGCTATAGAAATGATTGCTTAATATACCAGTTGGCTCCGAGGAGCTCTTAGCCACACACAATCTTGCCATAATCGATAGCAACAGTCAAACAACGCTGTTTCCAACGAGAACACTGCTGGGCAGAGCCTGAGCCAGAGCCAGTGTCGGGGACACAGAAGCTGAGTGGGCCCCAAATACCAGCTCCCTCCCTCCACCTTCCTCCTCCAACCTCCCCTCCCTGCTGCTGCCCTTCAAAGCCAACAGGAGAAGCCTGATGGTGGCTCAGAGAAATAGAACCCCGGACAGGTGGGGTGGGGGCAGCGACGGTGAGAGGGAGTGTCACTGTGGGGGCAGGGGAGTGTGCAGAGAAAGCCTGGAAGACAGGGCTTGCCAGAGCCTGGGAGTTGTGGGAATTCCTATCCAAGAGAAAAAGGAAAGGCATGGAACTCTTTCTGCCTCCATATTTCCTAGCAACTGCAGAATGGGCTTTCAAAAGGAATATTGAAAGATGTGTGAGATTAAACCCTCCGTGGAGCTGAGCATATGTGCATGCTCAAGGCATGTGTATGTGTGCACGTGTGTGGGCACATTCACACATATAAGCATAAACAAGGACAGGTGCCCACACCTACAAGTATATGTTTACATGTATGCATGTACAGTTGGTGGGGTCAGCATGGAGGGCTCTGTGTGTGTGTGTGTGTGTGTGTGTGTGTGTGTGTGTGTGTGTGTGTGTAGCTACTGGAGTACTGCATACATGTGTGCATATGAGTATACATTTGTGTGCAGGTATGTGCATGTGTTCCTATTATCCTAGAATGCAGCCGTCCTGCAAGATTAGCCGGCCTCCCCTATCACGTTGTTCAATCACAATTCTGGGCTGCAGAAACCAAAGGTAAAAGCTAAAAGCCTTTTCCCCAAGATGATAGGGAAGAGAGACAGCGAACTGCAGCTGGCAGCCACCTGAGCGTGGCATCATGGAAAAGTACCAGCTTGGTTTTGGAGCTAGATCGCCCTTGGATCTGGGCCCTGCCCTGCCATCTAGAAGGGCAAGTTCTTTAATTTCCCTGGGCCGCAGTTGCCTCATCTGTAAAACAGAGATGTCAGCGTGACCCCAAGAAGGCTAGGCTAAGGGTTGGTGCGCAGAAAGCACTTAGCAGAGCCTGCCAGAGGAAGCATGCACTCAACTCAGCTATTGTGATTCACTGCTGTGCTCCTGCCATCTCCTTGGTTGCCCAGACAAGGACCCAGATCTCCAGCCCCTCCCTGCTCCAGGCGAGGCTGAGGGAGCCACTCCATTTCCCTCCTAGCACCTCAGAGAAGAGTTGCCATATCCCAGAGTGTGAGCACATCTCACTAGCAGTGTTTGCAGCCTTAGTCTCCACCCATCTCCTCTGGGCAGGCCCCTCGCCCCCTGGCTAGCTGGATGTCTCGCTGGCAAAGTAATTCTTGGCCTCCATAGTCAGGCAGAGCTGCTTTCAACTAGCTACAAGCCCATGGGCCGGGGGCAGAGAGGGTGAGGGCCCAGCTTACATGGGTGAACCCAGGAGTCTGGCATCTCACACACAGCAAAAGAGACACTGGCCTTGCAAACCTTAAATCCTTTACAGATGAGGAAACAAGTTCCCAAGGTCAGCCAGTGAGTTAGAGCCAGGGCCCGCATCAGACCCAGAGATGTGGGTGTGGAAGTGGGATTTTGTTCCCATGTCAGTGGCAGGGTTGGGGGTAGGGGAGGCTGGACCACAAAGCATGCTGGGAGGGAAAATGGACCTGTGGCTATGAGGAGGGGCAAATTAATAACTGGGTATTGTGGGGAGCAGAGGAATGGGTGCAGAAATGAGTGTCCAGTCCTCTGAAATGTTCCATGTTTAGAAGCAAGTTGAGTGCCCTCTTTTCCTCCCTAGCCTCATTTTACCCATTCATAAAATGGAAGAATGGACTCTCTAAGCCTACTCTCTCTCCCATGTTTGATGCTCTGGGACTGGGCTGTCGGGTCCCTGGGACATGGTTGCATGAGCTATAATCTTGCTAGCAGCCGTGGATGGAGAGGTGGGAGTGGAGAGATTCTGGGGTGGTGCAGCTGTGCTCCTGCCCTCCGCTCCTGTTGTAGTGTGGAAAAAAGTATTCTTCCTACTTTCCGAATCACACACAGGCAACTGTAGAGAGGCAACTTGGTAGGGAGACAGGACGTATCCTCCAGCCCCTTCCCTCACTGACGGTGCAGCCGCGGGTGTTGTGTGGTCCCTCTACCCCTCTGCCCATCTTAGAGGGCATTAAGGGTCGCACCTACACCAGGGTGGTTAGGAAGATTCAGAGAGGTTGTTGCATCAAGGGCCTTTTAAGTACCGGTCTACATGGCACAGACACAGCAGTGAACCAACAAAACAAACATCTCTGCCCTCTTGGAACTGACATTGGAAATTAGACATAGTGACAAATTAAATAAAAAAATAGAAAGAATATCAGGGGTGGTAAGTGTCACAGATAAAAATCAAACAGGGAAAGGGGGAGTGCAGGAGGGGGCACAGGGAAGGCATGGGTGCAGTTCAGTGAACAAGGCTGCAAGAAAAGAGATCTGTTTCTGCGCCTCGATTTCCTCATCTGTAATGTGGGCACAATACCACCCACCTTATCTATCTCCCAGGTTCCTTCTAGGGAATAATTATGGTCTAAGGGGCTTTATGGAGTTTAAAGTCTAGGGGGTGAAAGAGGACCTGGGGGGCACTGGCATGAAATGGGCAAAGATCATGTTAACGATTGTTAGTCTGGGTCAGGACCATGGCTCAGGGCAGCGACGTCCCCAAACTGACCCAGGCCCTGTTACTATTGAGCCAGGCCATCCTGGGCCTCCTTGTTGGGCCCTGTCCCTCCACTCTCCTCCAAGCCTCAGGAAGCACATGGCTTCCCGGCTCAGAGCCCTCTCAGCCCCAGGCACCCCATCTGACACTGACTCCCCACAACACCCCTCTAGCAGACAGAGCTGGGGGGACTTGGGTCCTGGAGCCTGCTGGGCTCTCCGGCCCTGTGACTCCTGGGGAGCCATCTCCTCCTCAGGGCCTCTTCTTTCTCAGCTATAAGACAGGAGTCCCTGTGCGGGTGGAACAGATGATGTGTGTCAGGCACCTCATCCCACACATGCTGGCAGATATCGGGTGTCCAAGGTTCCCCTCCTCATGTGTATACACAACTTCTTCTCTCAGGAAGTGGCGAAGAATAAATGAGATGCAATCATTAGTTAACTCAAGCATTTACTAGGTGTCAACCACCTGAATACCTTTCATTTGTATTTCATTTAACCCTAAAAACAATCCCACCATGGTGTAGGCACACTCACAGTTCTGCAGGTGCCATGAAGTCACTGAACTCTTGGAGCTTCTGTTTCCTTATCTCTAGACCCCTGAGAGGGCGAGACCTTTCCCAGGCCACACAGGAAGTAGGGGCCCAGGGTGCCTATCTCCAGGGCCCTGAGAGTGACCACTCTGCAGTTCCTCCTCAAGATTGTGAATGTGGAGAATGCCTTGTGGACTGGGAAGTATTCAGTGAATGGCAGTTACCACCCAGCTTCATCTGCATCCAGAGAAAGGAAGGCAAGGAAGCTGGGTGGTGCCTTGGATGAGAGCCACAAGCTAGGTTCCCCTCCTGGTCCCCAGACAAAATGAAATTCCTCTGATGAAGAGCAGCTCATAGTCACCTCCAGAAGAGCTGTGGAAATACTTTGGTCTCCAGCTGCCTAACTCTTTTCTCTCTCAATGAGTCCTAGACTCAAGGTGTCTTGGTTAGGGTCCCTGCATGCCCCAAGATGTGTGATGTCCTGGCTTCCGTCTCCTCTTCCATAAAATGAGAGACTTAGAAGAAAACAGCCTCATATCGCTTCACTGAGAGGCAGCATTTTTGGTGAGCGGAGCTTTAGGCTGAAAAACAGGAGTGCTGAGTTCCAGTTCTAGCTCTGCTACAAGGTGCCGTGAAGTCACTGAATGCTTGGGGACTCAGTTTCCTTATCTCTAAATCAAGCATAATACCACACACCCTACCTATAACACAGAATTCTCATCAGGGAAGAATCAACCCTTAGCTCAAGGTAGGCGGCTTGATGAAATAGAGAGAGCATGCTCTACCAAGAGAGAAAGGAGACCGCCTGGGTTCTAATTCTGGTTCAGCAGCTTCTGCACTGCTGGATCTTGAGTAAGCCCTTTTCTAGCCTGCTTTTTCATCTGGGAAGGAAAAAAAACTTCCCTAAGGCTGTTGTAAAGGTTAAATAAGCCAAAGAGGTGTTTAATTATTATCCCCCCCTTTATGGAGCATCTACCATGAGCGATATCAGATGTAGCCGGCCTCTGAGATGGTCCCCAGTGCCTGCTGGGACTGATGTCCTTAAGCAGCCTCCTCCACCCTGAATAGGCTGACCTTTGTTAAGAGACAGAATTTGCAGAAAAGATGGAATGTGACCTCTGAGGCTAGGTGGGACAAGACAGTGCTGCTTTCTCCTCCTTTGGATCCCTCACTGTGGGGGAAGGTAGCTGCCATGCTGTGAGGACACTCAAGCAGCCCTATGGCGTGTGGTTCCACGTGACAAGGAACTGAGGCCTCCTGCCAACAGCCAGCATCAGCTTCCCTGCTGTGTAAGAGAGCCATCTTGGAAACAAATCTTCCAGCTCAGTCAAGTTTCCGATGACTGCAGTCCCAGCTGACATCATGACTGCAACTTCTTGAGGGCCTTGAACAAGAACCCCCAGCTAAATCATTCCTGAATACCACTATACTGATGGTAACTCATCATCAGTAACTCACATGCCTAGCTCTATTAGACAGTTTCAACATTTACCATTGAAAAAATGCTACACACACCACACTGTTAAACACAGCATTTCACACAGATGTCTCTACACTGAGGCACTCATTCATGCACCAACCTCCATTGAACACAGAGTGTCAGGACTCCTGACCCACAGAAACTGTGTGAGATATAAATGTTTATTGTTGCTTTAAACTATGACATTCAGGGATAATTTGTTACGCAGCAATAGCTAACAAATACAGATGTGGTCTCCGCTCTCTTTAACCTGGATTTAGAGGAGAGAAAAGCACATGGGGAGATGGTAACATAAGGTGTGTATGGTGAGAGCCAACCTTCAGCATCACAGGCTTCTCCAAGGCCAGGGCACAGATGACCTCTGCTATCATTCCTTTCAGAGGATGTCTGGGAGGCCATGGGGGAGAAGTTGCCCTGAAAAGCAGACCATACTTTCTGCTCAGATGTGAAGGGTTGTTATTAAAAGAAGGGAAATGTCTGGGAGATGTTCCAAGCCTGACGGTTTGACCCCCGAGCCTAGCCACTGAGGGGAGGGTGAACAAGCACAGTAGCCCACATCTGAAGGGCACTATCTAATGTCAGGCACTGGTGGGCTCCATGCTGGCCTGGCACTCAGAGTCACAACCGTGAGTCTTACAGAAAGGGCTCCTTTACTGTGACTTGAAAAAGAGGAGGAAAAGGACTCCTTAGCTCTCCTAACGGGCCTGGCCACTCTCTGATTTTCACACGTAATGGGGCAGGAAATTGCCCGTGGTGAATGAGCGAGACCTTCTACCTGTGGGTGGAAATGGGTAATGAGAACTTAAATCCAGGCACATCACTGGATCACATTAGGGAGTCAGCTTGCAAAAATGATTAGGAGGGTTTTAATATCCAGCGATTGGATGGATACCCATCTCCCGCAGCGACCTCGGACTCATTAACCTAGCGGTCCTGCGTGGGCAATCAATCATTTGTGCTTGTGGAGTGGCCTCCATCCCAGATCTCTTATGGGGCCTTCCAGAACCCAGAGATTTGAAATAATTAAAATCCTCCTTGGCATGATGCAACCAGCTCCCCTTAAGTGCAGCTCGGATCCTCCTTCAGACCTTGCCTTAGCGAAGAGCTCTGAGCTTAAAGCCCCATCTGGGAGAGTGAGTAGAGGAGGCAAACTGCTGGGCTCACCTCTCGCTTCCTTGTCTCTGTACAGGTGATGTTAAGAGGCAGTGCGGCCTAGTGGTAGAAGCACTAAGCCCATGGTGGGAGTGCCAGGGCCCTGGGGCTGCTCCACTGCCAGTGATCGTGTTATCAAGTCATGTCCCTTCCCAGACGTGTGACCCACCTGGTCCAGTTCTCTTCATGAGCTCTGTCACTGATCACCCATAGACCCTCTCCCCATGACTCCCCAGAGTCAGTTCCTCATGTTTCCTCACCCAAAACTCCCCATCTCCTCCCCAGCCACCGTTTTTCTTTCTGCACTCACTTTGGTACTTCCTTCTTTAGATTTCTTCAGGAAATTCTATCATCTCATCTCTGGAAATACTTAACCCAGCTCTACCCCTAGGCCACACCTAAACACATCAGCCGAAGGCTTCCTCCGTAGCTTTCCTATCCCTGGCCTCTTCATTCCAGTAAGTCTTGTCTTGGACATTGCTTTCACATCATCCTTCTGCTCCAAGACAAGCAGGGGCTCCACTGAGCATCGCAGCTCTCCATAAATCCCCCAGCCTGGCCCAACCCACCGCTCACCCAACACATGCTCAGTGTACCGTTGGTGGAGTGGCCTCTATTCCAGACCTCTTATGGGGCCTTAGAACCCAGAGATTTGAAATAATTAAAATTCTCCTTGGTGTGGTGCAACCAGCTTCCCTTAAGTGAAAGTTGGTTCATCCTTCAGACCTTGCCTTAGCAAATTGCTCTAAGCTTGCGGCCCCTCCTGCGAGAGTGAGTGGTGCACGCGCTCAGTATCCCACTCACCATGCCTTCCCTCTCTCTCTGTCTAGCAGACCCTGCCATCTCAGCATCTTACTCAGCCTCTCTTCCTCCCAGAAGCTGGCCCTGCCAGCTCTGGCTCCTGTGGGTCTCTCCCCAACTGGGAACTCCTGCAGCACTTGCGGCCCTGACCCTGCAGCTTCACACCGACTCCTACCAGCTGGAGGGCCCTCACCTATCTACGTTAGGCTTTCTGCAGACTGACAAGACCTTTGAGAATTCTGTCATCCACATCCCCTTGCAGGGCCTGGAGCGGGGCTTGTTCAAGGTAAATGTACAGCAAATGTTTCTGTTCATAATGACTTAAGATAGGGTCTCTGCCATTGAGAATATTCCTTGAGGAATATTCTGCTACATTTGTATTCATAGAATTTAGAGCTCAAAGGAGCCCAGGAGACCCCTGTTCTATCCCCTACAGATGAAGAACTAAGCCCTGCCCGGCCCCACACCTCCATGCGGGGCCAGATTGTACAGTAAAAAGCAGCATTTATTTTTTTCTGGATCTCAAACACTAGATAGGAAAAAAAACACCCTAAAATATTATTATCTAGGTATCAGGAGAGCTGGTTTTGGGTCTAAGGTGTGCCATTTATTTGCTGTGTGACTTTGGGCAAGTCACTTAACCTCTCTAGATCTCAAGAATGGATTATGCTTTATAGTCTGTGTGTGTGTGTGTGTGTGTGTGTGTGTGTGTGTGTGTGTGAAGCTTTTACATATATAGGTGCCTATATACGTGTATATAGGTGCCTATATACGTGTATATATATGTACATATATATGTGTGTATATAGGTACCTATATATGTGTGTATATAGGTACCTATATATGTGTGTATATAGGTACCTATATATGTGTGTATATAGGTACCTATATATGTGTGTATATAGGTACCTATATATGTGTATATATAGGTACATATATATGTGTATATATATATATAGGCACATATATATATATAAAAAAGGAGCTTGCAGAACTTCTAGGCTGAAGCAAGAGGGGTGGAGGAATGTCACCTTGCTGATAACCAGCAAGCGCCCCCAAATCCAAACTGCTCAGAAGCGGCACTGACCCATCTGCAGCCTCTTGTTCCCACACACCATCACTGCCAGCTGCCCTTTTCCCACCTCCTCTTCCTTACCACGATGCCCCCGAGCTGGCCAGGTCAGACCGCCCACACCAGGCCAGGCCAGACCGCCCACACCAGGCCAGGCACCTCGGCAAACCCAGGCTGTTCCAGATCTTCCTGAAACCTGCCAGGGGCAAGGATCCTTTCCAGATAGGATCCCTGTGGAGAACTAACTGGGGCTAACAGCTTGGAGGCTTTGTAATCATCTAGAGAGGGAGCAGATGATTGAAAGTTTTCCACAGCCAGACAGAGGGCAACCTCGCCTGGCCAGACCCCCCCTTAGAGGCAGCCTCAGGGCTTGCAGGCCAAGATCCTTCTTGGAGTCCTACAAGCCTAGCTCTCTGACACTACGTATTTCCTAAACCAATCCCAGGGGATTGCAGGGTTGCATGCATGATGCCCTATTTGCAGGTAATAGGAGGAGCAAAGGTTCCTGTGATTGTACAGTGAAAGGAGGTTCTAGGGAACATGACGCCCAGCCCCAAGTCACTCACCCAGGGGCTCCTCGAGAGCATTCCTGGGACGGGCTGCAAAGTGGGCCCACCAGAGAGAAGAACACTCAGGTTCCGCAGCTCTGCATTTTGATAAAAATGGCTGGCCATGATTAATGCATGGAGCGCTATAGAGGAGGAGGCCACTGGATACTTTCTGAAGCAGCGCCCAACTTCCAGAAATATGGAAGGCCATTAATTATTGATTCTCAGGCAGGAGATGTGCCTCCCTGGGCAGAAGCAGCTCTGAGATGATTTCCTATGTAAATCTGCAAGAACCCACTGGGAACACCAATGCTTGGTGGGCAAGAGGGGGCCAATCGCAGGTGGCCAGTGTCCCCATAGGCCCCCCGCTTCCCGGGCCATTCCCGTCGGGCAAGGGGTCAGGCCCAGAGGCAGAGACCCACCCCCAAAGCCAAATTATTATTATCATTACCATTATCATCTATTAAAAGTAGCCCCCACCAAGTCAGCTGACCCTCCTAACAGAGGCGCCTCATTAAATTCCTGTTGTGACAAGGCCAGAGCTTCGAGATCAAGAAAAACTGGGTGCTGAGAAAGGAACAGACGCCACCATGTCCTTATTTATGACACAGAGTGTTTTATATATATGAAAAGCCGGCCATAATTTGCTTATAAATAATTGACTTCTCCTAGATTAAAATCTCTAGAGGGAGTCTCAGTTTATTCACAAGGTGCTTCTGCCTACAGTGCAAATTAGGCCCTTTCAAATCTGTCTTATCTCAACCCCGAACGTTATGAAGAGTGATTTTTTTTCCTTCATCCCCTGTAATAACCTTCAACTAACCTTTAAACCAGAGTGAATAATTTAAATCTTATTTTCATATCAATGGAGGAGTCAAGCCAAGCAATTATCTTTTATCTGTATACTCTGTCGTCAGAGCGGCAGGCATAATCAAGTTTTCCCAAGCGAGCCAGATGAGAGAGAGAAAGAGTGAGGAAGTGAGAGATGGTATCTGAAGACATTAACGCAACAATGAATTATTCAATAATGAGTACAAGATCTGTCATAACACACACACACACACACACACACACACACACACACGGGAAGCTCTACATCTGCCCAATGTTCCAGGCAGGCCAAGGCTGGCAGTATGGGGGAGGGGGTGCCAGGAAGGGGGTCTGGGCTAAGCATGACAAATCGGCAGATCATCTGCTCAATTAGGACAGAGAGCAGGTGCATGGGGCACATTTGCAGCACAGGACGACACTGTTGTGGGCCAAACAACAGGCTGAGGGAAAACACCTAATTTGTGTGACAGTGATTTAGAACAGCTCTAGCTATGATTTTGCTAAAGGGGAGGGGCTCGGGCAAGAAAAAGATTTCAGAGGGGGGCGTGGAAGGAAGAAGGGAAGATTTTTTAAAAAATAAAAACAAAAAGCGAGAAAAGGTTGAAATTCCCCACGGTGCTCATTAAAATTCTACCGCACGCATTTCTTCCCTGGGTCCCCCTGGACTGCCCGTGATCATTTTTATTAATTCATAAAATATCGCACCAGTGATTGAGGCTGATGATTAGTGGAGCTGACAAACACAAGAGCTGGTGAAATATTGCAGCAGCTCCTGTCGGGTCTCTCCAAGTGAAAACACAGACGTCGCATGAAAATTCATCCTTCAAAGGCCTTGAGCAGCCAGGCCGTGCTGAGGGGCAGGCGGAGGGACCAGTGTGTCTACTGCGGCTCCTGCCACCCCAGGGGTCTCCCTTGTTAAGACACCCAGTGGCACCAGCAGACATTTCTCATCCCTATCTCTTGGATTATGGGAAATGCCTGCTTGAGACAGAGATGTCCTTTAACCTCCCTTGGGAAATGGACTGTCAGGCATTAGCAAGAAGCGGGTCAGAGGTTTCCACTAGAAACTCAGCTCCTGGCTTGGCAGGTGCAATGGCTTAGAAACCAGCACCCACAAGAGCCCGGGTGCTCCCACACTTATCCCAGGCTCTTTTCAAAATGTCCTCATCCTCTGTCCCTTCCCAGAAACTCAATCAGTGGCTATGGAGAAACTCCATTTCTGTGCATCATGTATTAGAACTCTCATTTTACCAGTGAGGAAACTTGTGTCTGGCAATGTTAAATAGTAAGAACAAGGCCTCAGGGCCAGCAGAGATGGAGGTCCTGGTTGCAGGAAAAGCAGAGTAAAATTCTGTGTTCAGTTATAATGACTGTGCTTGCAGGTTTCTGCTGTGATTGTCTTTTTCCTTCTGGTTTCTGATGCCCTTTTCCTTTTTTTACTGATTATTCTATTCCACACTTGCTTCTACATTTGAAGACGTAGCACCTACTTTGTGACACTAGGTGGAAAGAAAGACTAGGTCAGTTGCTCTCAACACTGACCTGACCTGCAGAGACTTACTAAATGAGAATATTGAGGAAGGGGATGAGGCCCAGGAATCTGCATTTCAACCAGCTTGCCAAGTGAGTCTCATGCACTAGAGGTGGAGAACCACTGGCCCAGAGACATCAGAGCTCAAGGCCGTGACTGTACCCTAGAATCACTGGAAGACCTTTTGAACAAAAGTAATCCCCTAGGCCCCACCCCAGAGATTCAGATGCAATTGTTCTGGGGTGAGACAAAGGCATAGTATTGTTCAAAGATTTCCAGGTGTTTACAGTGAGCACCCAGCCAAGTTGAGAAACACTCAGATGTGACAACACTAGAGCAGAGTCTCCCTGATTCCACCCTCAGGTCCCATCAACTAAATATGATCCCACTCCCCAGACCCCTCCATTTATACGGCACCAGTAACTAGACAGGAACAAAAAAGAGGTAGAATACATTCCTTTAAAAATATTCATGATTCCATTTGTTTTATGCCTTGGGCACAGAGTCCAGACTAATTTGCATGCATAGATGAAATATTTCAGTTTCTACTTAGAAAATAGCAGTGCTATCTATAATGTGGGAAGAAAGATATACTAAGTGCTTATGTGCTAAACTCAAAATCTTTTCTCCTCTCAATTAGCTCATATAGATATCAAGCTTGTGCTATACGCATTTTGCATTTAATGTATTTGTACAGCTTCTACTGGGATCATTTTAGAATCCTGAGCTCCCAAGTCTAGAGAAAGTATGCAAAGGCAGTTTTCATCTTAGGAGCTTGTTTTCAAAGTAAAGCTTATTTCTCTTGAGAAAATACTTCAATTTTAGACTTACTGACAATGTAAATTGTAAAACTGATTGGGTTGCCTTCTTTGATTTAGCCACTGGGAAGCTCAGAGCCAAATTAGCCACTTCCCTCAAACAGGGTTATGACTTACACTGTTTATACTCACCTTCATGTCCCTCTTCTGCCCTTCTGTCCTAGTAAGTACATAAATATGGATAAAAAAAATAAAGGAAGTAGGAGCTCATTTTGGTGCCTCTTGAACACTCATCTATCACCTCCTGCACCAGAAGTCCTGTAGGGATCAGGCAAGTACCATAAATGTGTGGGATAGGCCAGGGGTACCCCAGTGAGGGGCTATGAAGACTGTGGAGAACTGGAGAGCACATCCCCCAGTTAAAGGCTCAAAAGTTTTAAAAACAAACAAACAAAAATGGTAATCACCGTGCTGTCAAAATGCACCTACGGGCCACATCTGCCCACTGGCAGCCCCCTTGCCTAAGCCACAGAGAGGAGGCCCAGGACCTGCTTCAAGTCAAGTGACTCTAGGAGAGATATGTGAGAAACACTTCCATTTTGGAGAGATTGTTTACACCAGCAGTCAATCTCCATCCTTTAATTTTCACTTTGGAATAACTATTCCAGCCTGAATAGGAGGAAAAGTGTTAAATTCCTGATTGAAGAGAAGTGGATGCTAAGGAAATGTTTGGTAAATGAGCTATTGAATGAGGCTCATTCTTTCCGCTCCCAAAATCTGCTTGAGTGTTGGGAGTTATCACTGAAGCAATCCATGCTCATTGTAGGCAAGATAAACATATGGACACAAACCAGAAAGAAAACACAAATGCATATAGGCAGGACGCAGAGGTGACATAGCCACTTAGCACCTCAGTGTATGTATTCCAGGCACGTATGTGTGCTTGTGTGAGTATAGTGCATATGCCTACTTTTATTCCCAACTTGCGTTTTTCTAGGAACTTCTTTCTTCCAGGGAAAAATTTATTATTTCCCTAAATTATTTTCCTAAACTCTTAGGAAATATGGCACAGAAGATATGGCAATCACAAAATCTCTTCCAAAACTGTATTAATTAAAAAACAAAAATGACTAAAAAGAGCAAACACAATCAGAAAAATACTTTACAAATGTTAGAAGAAAACTTTCCTGAGATTAAAAATAATAAATCTATATTAATAAAAGTGCAGATCAAATAATATAGCTTGATATATCTTGATTAAGTAACTGAACCTTCAAGAATAATAAAGTCTTTCGGTTATTCAGGCTAAATATGTAAATTACATTTAAGATGCAAAATCAGGATGTCCTCAAAATTCACAGAAACATTCCATGCAAAAAATTTGTAAAAATATCTAAAGTTTGGGAATGGGGAAGTAACTCCCAAATTTTATACTCAGCAACATTTTCATTCACATATAAAGAAAAGAAAGGCCAGATGTGGTGGCTCATGCCTACAATCCCAGCACTTTGGGAGGCTGAGGCAGGAGGATTGCTTGAGCTCAGGAGTGCAAGACCAGCCTGGGTAACATGGTGAGACCTCGTCTCTATGAAAATAAAAATAAAATAAAGAAAGATACATCCAAACCAGAGTTAACAAACAATGGATTATAGACCTAAAGATAAGAACTAAAACTATAAAAGTTAAAATATATATATATTATATCTATACATATATGTATATATGTACATACAAATATATATATATAATATATACACCAGAAAATCTTTGCAATATCATTGCAAAGTTTTCTTACATAGGAGTAAACAAAAATTTATTAGCTGCTTTACAAAAGCAGAAATCATAAAGGAAAAAATTGATGAAGTTTATAAAAATTAAGAGCTTTTGCTCTTCAAAAGTCAGCATTTAAAAAATGAAAAGGGCAGACCCAGAATGGGAGAAAATATTCACAGTATGAATATCTGACAAAGGGTTTGTCTCCAGAGTATAAAAAGGACACTTATGACAACTCAATTTAAAATAAGCAAAATATTTGAACAGACCCTTTACCATAAAAGATATATGAAAGCTCAATAAGCACATGAAGAAATGCTCATACTTGTTAGTCATAGACAAATGCAAATTAAAACCACAATGAGATAGCACTCTATACCCCTAGAATGGCTAAAATTAAAAAGACTGATAATACCAAGTGTTGACAAGGATATGGACCAATTGGAACTCTATGCACTGTAGGTGGGCAGATAAAATGGTACAATCACTTTGGAAAACATCCTGGCAGTTTCTTATAAAGCTAAACATACATCAGTCATATAATCCATTCTACCACTTGGCATTTACCCAAGAGAAATGAAAACATAGGTCTACATAAAGATTTTGTAAAAGCAACTTCATAGCAACTTTATTTGCAATAACCCGAAGCTGGAAAGAACCCAACTATCCATTAACATATGGGCAGTTATATAATCTATGCAACAGTAATAAAAAGGAATGAAATTCTGATAAATGTAACAACACGGATGACTCTCAGAAGACATTATGCTGAGCAAAAGAAGTCATTTACAGAAGAGTACATACTTTATTACTCTTTAAATATTGAATTTTAGAACAGATTAAACTAATTATAGTGATGGAAACCACATTAGTATTTGCCTGGCGTAGGGAGTTCAGGGAGACTGATAGTAAAGGGGCATGGGGAAGCTTTGGGGTTAATGGAAATGTTTTATATCTTGGTTGTGGTCACAAAAGTTACATAGATGTATACAGAATATATATTTGTCAAAAGTGAACAACTATTTAGAATTGTGAATTTTATGTACAGAAAGTATACTCTGGCCAGGTGTGGTGGCTCATGTCTATAACCTCAGCACTTTGGGAGGCCGAGGTGGGTGGATCACCTGAGGTCAGGAGACCGAGACCAGCCTGGCCAATGTGGCGAAAACCCATCTCTACTAAAAATACAAAAATTAGCCAGGTGTGGGGGCTCAGGCCTGTGCGCCAGCTACTCGAGAGGCTGAGGCAGGAGAATCAGCCTGAACCAGGGAGGCAGAGGTTGCAGTGAGCTGAGACTGTGCCAGTGCACTCCAGCCTGGGCAGCAGAGTGAGACCCTGTCTCAAAATAAATAAATAAATAAATATACTTTAATAAAGGCATAATCTAATTTCATTAAAGTCCAAATAACAATGATAATACATATGGTGGATAATAAGAATTCACTCACTTAAAATAAAGATATCTTAAGAATTTTTAAAAACATCAGCTTAATAGATAAATGGGTGATGGATGTGAACAAGTAAATAAAAACAAGTCAATGAAGTACAAATGAATATTTGAAAAGATGGTCATTTACTTATATTAAAAGCATAAAATAACAGTCAGACATCATTTCTTGTCCGTTAGATTTTTAAATATTAACACAATTTGGAATGTATTGTGTTTTCCAGGACTTGCGGAAGCAGGAACTCTTCCACACTGTTTGTGGAGGTACACATTAGTACAGCCTTTTCGGGCGCAATCTGGCAAAATCTGAAAGTGTGTAAACCCTTTCAACTGGAAAATTCATTGCTGAAAATTTACCATACAGTTATACTCAGTGTGTGCTCAAAGGTTTAAAAGAAAATGTTGGAGTTTTGCTTGCCAGATTTAAAAGAAAGGAAACAAAATAATGTCCGTAAGTATGGAAATAAGTAAATTCTGTTATATCCATACATTATACTTATACATAGCAAAAAAGAAGACAAATTTATATGCACCCATATGAAAAATAGCCATTCACTAAGTAAAGTAAGCTAATAGATATTTAATGTAATTTTATTTTTGTGAAAAATGTATATGTTTATAAGTGCAAAATAAGTGTATAAATGAGTACCCACCACTGTTCAGGGGCTTTCTTGGGATGGGAATAGGATTGCAGAGATGAGGACATGGTGAGGACTTTATTCTGTTTTCTTCAAGCAATTCTGTATTTTTTTTACAAGTCTGATTTATTTTTATAATTAAAAATTTCAAAACAAAATCAGTTCATCCCACTCTTTTTTCCCAAACCACTTCATGACTCATCATTGCTTTTGAAAGTACACAGGCCTTAGCTTGGCAGTCAAACCCTCCGTGCTCATATCTAATTTATCATTATTATTTTTTTTTTTTTTTGAGACAGAGTCTCACTCTGTCTCCCAGGCTGGAGTGCAGTGGTGTGATCTCAGCTCACTGCAACCTCTGCCTCCAAGGTTCAAGAGATTCTCCTACCTCAGCCTCCCAAGTAGCTGGCATGATTACAGGTGCCCACCACCATGCCTGGCTAATTTTTGTATTTTTAGTAGAGATGGGGTCTCACCATGTTGGCTAAGGTGGTCTCAAACTCCTGACCTCAAAGGATCCACTCGCCTCAGCCTCCCAAAATGCTGGAATTGCAGGAGTTAGCCACCACACCCAGCCTCAGATCCAATTTAACAGCTTCAGCAGTGTTTACTGATACACATATTCTCTCAGTTAATCTTCACAGCAGCCCTACGACATTGGGTCTGCGTAATACCTGGCTGGACTCTGAGGACCTAGCATCATGTCTGGCACATGGTGGGTGCTCCAATAAATATTCATAGAAAGTGACCTGAATACCCTCCCTCACTTTCTTCTACTGCCAACCTGAAATCCCAGTGCCTCTCCCCTTTGTGATGTGTCTACTCTGTGCACAGTGCTGTCTCGATGAAGGAGTGAGGAGAAAGAATGGGACACAAAGATGAATAAGACATGGTCCGAACCAGGTGCAGTGGCTCACGCCTGTAATCCCAACACTTTGGGAAGCCTAGGCAGGTGGATCCCTTGAGCCCAGGAGTTCGAGACCAGCCTGGGCAACATGGCAAAACTCTGTCTTTACAAAAAAAAAAAAAAAAAAAAAAAATTGTTTTTAGTTAGCTGGGTGTGGTGGCGCATGCCCGTAGTCCCAGCTACTGGGGAAGCTGAGGTGGAAGGATGGCTTAAACCCAGGAGGTGGAGGTTGGAGTGAGCCAAGATTGCACAACTGCACTCCAGCCTGGGCAACAAAGCCAGACCCTGCCCCCAAAATAAATAAATAAATAAATAAATAATATATTTTTTAAAAGACATGGTCCTTGCTCTTGTGGCTGTGGACAACAAAAATCTCAGCTATAGGTAGTCTCACAATTGGATCACACTACCTCGACCATCTGCCAAGTACGGTCAGGTCACCAAAGGTAGCACCCAAGATGACCTGGAGCAAATAAGCAGAACTTTCTCGAGTTTCTCTCATCTCTGAAGACATTTTCCCAGCCCTCGTAGCCATCGGGGCCTCTGGATGTTTGACTGAAGCATCACCCTGTTCTCCTTAAATACAAGGAACCTCCAAAACCTTATTTTTCTCTACTCCAAAGCCTGCTACCAAATCTGCGTTCCAGGAGAGAGGTTGTTAACCCAGGCACCTCTTTGACTAATAGAATGGGTCTCCCCTGATGGTGGTGGTGGGAGATGGTATCTTTGCATAAAAAGAACCTTCTTTCTCCTGTATTTTCCAGGGACACAAGGTTTATCTGAACACAGCAGCTCATGCTGCTCAGAATCAGGATTTAGTCAACTAAACTAGTTGGCCGGACAGCTGTCCCCACCTCCCACATCGCTCCCTGAGCATTGAGCCCAAAGGTTGATGAATGGAAGAGGACAAACCCTCCAGAGGGCAGAGAACCCATCCTCAGTCAAAAGGCTGTAAGCACTTTGGGAGGCTGAGGCAGGAGGATTGCTTGAGCCCAGAAAGTTTGAGACCAGCCTGGGCAACATACCAAGATCCTGTCTCTACAAAAAAATTAAACATTAGCCAGGCATGGTGGCACTCACGTGTTGTCCCAGCCACTTGGGAGACTGAGACAGGAGGATGGCTTGAGCCCAAGAGATTGAGGCTGCAGTGAGCTGTGATTGCACCGCTGCACTCCAGCCTAGGCAACAGAGTGAGACGCCGTCTCAAAAAAAAAAAAAAAAAAAGGCTGTGCGTAACTGGACAGATCTACTAAATATGTCACTGCAGTGCTGCTCTCAGCTCAGCCATCAGTTGAAAGTCCCAAGCTGAGAATGGTATCCTGAGCTGTGGGCCACCAACTTCTCCCAGACCCTCTCAAGCGTGTTTGGGAAGCTCTCCTGGGAATACAAAGAAGCAGACTAAAGGGAGCATGAAGTAAGTCTCCAGACAGAGGCAGGAGTGAATAAGCAGTTTCAGAAACTGGTGGCTTATGAGCACTGAAATCCGGAAGCCCAGGAGGAAGGCTTTTAAGGAATACATGTCTCTCAAATGCCACCCAGGTTTCATTTAAAGAAGTGATTCCTTCAGAAGTACAGGCAGGGGGCTCCTGGGGTCCAGGTTGCTTGGGGCCAATTGAAGAGAAGCCTAAGGCTGGAGGCACAATGGAAGGAATCAGAGGGGAGGTGGAATTCCTGGGAGAAGGAAAGAGGTACTGGCAGCAGGGCTGGCACCGACTCAGCCGCAGGAAATGAACAGCACAATCTGAACCCTCCAGATGAGGTGGGAACAGACAGAAGGACACAGGGAGATACAAAAATGTATCCATTTGAAAGCGGTTCTCTCTGGAAGCCCACTCTCCTCCCAGAAGACACGTGCACCCGTGCCCGCAGAAGCACTCCCTGCCTGCAGCGTTGAGGTCCCATACACCAGCCAGACTCAGTGCCCACTCTCACCGGGCACCAGGCTGAGCAGGCACGGACACTTGTTTTGTCATTTCATGCTCCTGATGACATGCGGGGTGAGGACCATTATCGTCCCCATTTGCTGGTTGTGACACAGGGCTCACAATGTTTAACAATTTGTCTGAGGTCATGTGTCCAGGGAGTAGAGGCGTGAACCGAGATGTGTTCAGGCATGTCAGGTGCATGCTCCTCCTGGAACCCTGTCTGAGAGGGCCCCGGGTGAGGGGCTGTAAAGCCCACATGGCTCCTTCCTTCCACGGAGACAAATGAGAAGGTTAACAATCCAGCTACCCTCCTGCGAGGTTTGAGGGACACAACATCAACGTACTTAGAATGCGTGTAACGACGGCACTTCATTAGGATGAAAACAGCAGCGCAGAACAGCATCACCTTTACTCTCAGATCAGCTTCTCATGACAGGAGCAGAAGTTCAGAAAGTTACAGGTTGAGGTAGGGAATTCTTTTTCAACAGAATTTCAGAAGCAGTGAGTTCTAGTCCTAATTCTGCCCCAACCTGTTTTTGGGGTAAGAGAAGGTGAAATTTAAGCTGGGCCTTGGAAGATGGGGAGGATGGGGGTAGGGCTGATAAAAGCAAAGATCTGAAGGTGGGTGGGCCTCTCCGTTGAGAGCGAGGGTCTCTATTAGCAGAGGGAGACGGGCTCTGCCCACAGTGCTGTCTTCAGTGTTGCTGTTTCTCCCAAGAATTTACCCTCTCCACCCAAGATGTTTAGTCTGTCTCTTGTTGACATAATACCTGTTGTACCTACCATGATGCACAATGTTTTTCCATTACACCTCCCATCCTCAAGCAAATTGGAGAGCATAGCATAAAAAGCTGTCACCATAGATGCATGGTGACCACTGTATTAAATGCATTGGATGCAGAGGAAGTTATTCATGTTCACCCAGGAGTCTCTCTTGAAGCCCTCCACATCTGAGTGGAGGCTGGGGAGCAATAGACACCCGCAGCATGCAGGGAGATGGGGGCTTATAACCTTCCTGACAGTTACAGTATGATGTCAGACCTTGGGTGCTGCCTCACACTTTCAAACAACATCAAACTTGGACTCTCCGAGTACACAGACCTAGAAGGAAGAAACTGCTCTCTCATCCTAAAGAACCCTCCCAGTCTCCCAGACCTTCCTTCCCAATTTCTTAAAGAATGGTCTCGGTGCCAACTTAAATATTGCATTTGGTTGGGAGAGGAGGAACCGCGAGCCCAGAATGGAAGTCAAATTATTCCACAAATATTGCTTATTTAAATAACATTTAAAAAATACATCATGTTCAGTGGTGAAGAACTACTAAATTATTGAATTCCCCAAAGCATCCTATAAGCTTTAAAGTGGCTCATGAAGCCCTATAAAAGAATATAATAAATAGACAAAAAGGAACGCCGGGCTCCATGTCAGAATGCCTGTGTGCGCCAACGCTAAACATCTTCATGTAATCTTTCCACTTAAACCAATGATTAAACAGATTAAACAGATGATTAAACAAATAAAGATTAATGAAACAAGTAAAGTAATCAAATCTGTATGGGTGTATAAACGCATGATTCCAGACAATATTAGAACAAATTGTCTAAAACTAATAGCGAATGCGTCAGTTCAGCTCCAACAGCTTTTGTTGGGCTCTCACTTGGATGTAATCAAAACATTTGTTTAAACTAAGATGGATATGAGGCGCTAAGATGTCAGTTTTTTGAAAGAGAAAAATAAAACAAAAGCAATGTCTTTGGTGAGGAGATTGGCACCGCCAATAGGGCTGCATTACTGAGGAATCTGGGAATGTTGCGTTAAGGGATACCCTGAAATTTAATATCTCTCTATTTTTGAAAATAGGCTCTGCCCAAATTATAAATATAAGCAAGCCAAAAGAAGACGGTGATATCTAAAGTACTTGAGAATTTGAGAGGGATAGAAAAACTGTTCAACCACCCCTCCACCCCCAGTGCTTTAGAAACCCCTTTTTAATTATTAGTCATTGATATGCTAATTACAACACATGCTTATCATTTTCTTCTTTCCTTGAGAAGCAAACTATTCCCTGTGTGCTCTTGCAAGGAATAAAATGGGATTTCTTAGCAAGAATGTTCTATTCAGATTTTTTTTTTATTAATTAAAACTAGTGAATTTTTTTTGTCCTACTTAGGAGTTACTTGGTTTCAACCTGCTGACGGGTACTGGGGTTTTAATTGCAATTTGTTTGTGATTCCTGGCAGAGGAAGTCTAAACCCTTGCTACTCCAGGCGTGGCCCTTGAACCAGCAGCCTCACATAGAAGCCCATTGGAAATGCAGGTTCTCGGGCCCTGTCCCAACCTGCTGAATCGGGATCTTTGTTTTAGTATTTTTCTCAGATAGAATTTGAGAGGCACTGAACCGTGTAGTTTGGGCGGTGGAAAATTCTCTCAGCATGTCAGCAAAGAGGTAAAGAGAGAAGGGCCATTATCTTTCTTCAAGGTAAGACTCTGTAAGAAATGCTTTGAAAACATTATTTTGGGAAGAGTGGCTAGCTGGGGGTCTGCTGCAATGTTTCAGCTGGGACCACAGGGCCTCTCGGGGTAAAGAGAGCAACCTCACACTGTGTCTGTCCTGCTCCTGGGGGCCTGGCCGCTGCTGCCTGCTGGGACAGTGGATGCAGGCTGTGAGGGGAGGTGTCTTGGTTGACACTGTCGGATTGCGAGCAACAGAAATCAGACTAGACTAAGAAAAAACATGAGTCGTTTGCTTGTTTCTTTTCTGTAAAGATGCAAGGAAGCTCCCAGAACCTACAGGCAAAATGCTGCTTCACAAAAGTACTGATGCTATCGCCCAGACAGCCCCATGACTCTCTCTCTTTCTCTCTCATTCTTTCCTCTGCCTCTCTCTGAGTCTCTGTTTAATGCTGTCTCTTTGCAAACCAGCTTGCTCTGTCTCTAGCTTTTGTCACAGCTATCTGCCCAACTATACCCATGGGAGACATATTACTTCCAGCTACCTACAGACTTTGTCTCTTGGCCAAGTTCCAAATTCAAGGTGAGACACCACAGGTGGCTTTGTTTAAGTAGTGACTACACAGTCCAATCAGCTATGGGGGTGAGACCATGTCGAACAGCCATGCCTATGGGGAACATAGCCCTGTGCATGGCTGGTGTGTGTGTGTGTGTGTGTGTGTGTGTGTGAGAGAGAGAGAGAGAGAGAGAGAAAGTGTGTGTGTGTTCTCAGACAGATGGAAGCACAGTAACTCACCCAGGGTTAGACAGTAGTGACAGAGAAAACACTGTGGGCCTCAGCCTCCTCTGAGCCCTCCTCAGTAGTCTTCCTGGGGTCCTGTATGAGCTAAGTGAGCCTCATTGTCACTCCCCTTGCCCTCTCTCCATGCCATCACCTCCCTTTCAGCACCAGAGTCTGGTCTTCAGTGCTCACAGGCTGTCCCCTCACTGTTCAGAAAATACCGTACCTGTTGGGGTTCCTTAGTGTCTTGAAATGTGCTGACAATGGCCAAAATGCCAACATCCTCAGACCCTGATCTCTGAAGGAGGTTTGCACCTAATAGCATAAAGCAGTCTGTGTGATGCCACGGATGGCAATGCGTGGCTGCACCATCCCTCCAGGGTAGCTTGTGGGTATCTCACAGGGGCCTCCAGAAAACGGCACCTGCTCTGGAAGGTGGAAGTGCAGTTATTTGGGGAGATATTTGAGAGAGGAGATATTTAGGAGTGGAATTGCTTTTTTGGAATTCCCTAATCATTCCCAAATCAGGGGATTGAGAGAGGGAGAGATCAAGAAAGTGGAGAGAAATCGATTAAAACTCAAAGAGCCTGTTAAAAATACAGAAGCCTGGGCCCCACCAGATGGTCCTGAATCAGAATCTCTGGAGGTAGAATTTGGGAATGTAATTACTAAACTTCCCTTAGCACCACTCCCCCACCACCCTTCACCCAAGTGACTGACTTGGCCTAGCCATATGGGCACCTAGAAACCACTAGACTGGCCAGACAGGGACCCAGGGGGCCAGGAGAGGTCCCTTGTTCTATGGTCAAACAGCAAGTTGGTGGTGGGCTTGAGACTGAAGTCTGGGTCTCTCAACTCACATTCTAGTATGTTCCCCCAAGCAGGGCAAGGCTCAAAGACAGGGGAAGGGGAAGCCAACCAAGAAAAAGATATAAACTTCTTTAGATAGGAACAAAAATATTCAGAAGTCAGAAAGGCTTTAGTGTGCACAGCTGCTGGCACCAGGTTAAGGATGCCAGGACTGCCCCTCTCCTGGGCCAACTAGAGTCCCCTCCCAGCCCACCCCAGAGTGCAGACTTGGTCACACTCCCCACTCATTATTAACTCAGGACCTGTGGCAAGGGAAAAGACCAGAGACCTTGGAGTCAAAGGGGCCTGGGTCCAAGCTTTGGTTCTGCTCTTTGTGTGATCTAAGAACAAGTTCCTAAATGTCTCAATGTCTCAGTTCCTGTCTGGACATCAGTCCCCTCCAGAGCAGAGTCCAAGAAACAGGCTTGTCTGTAGGTCATTTACCTTGGAAAGGATCCAGAAGGAAGGACCAGCCAGGGGAACGTGGGAGGTGGGAAGCTCATACAAGGATCCATTATGGAGTAAGCCACTGCTACAGTCACCTTCTGAGCCACCCTAGAGAATACATCACAGAAACATCCATGCAGGGAGGAATGGAGAAAACATTCCTCGCTGGCTTCTGTTCCTCCCTGGTTAAGGGCAGCTCCACAGCTCCCTCCCCTGCCCATGGGGTCCCCAAGCCACCTGATGCTTTGGCATCAGAGAAGCCCTGGGATAGGAAGTGAAAGCCCCCAGAATAGTGGGTAAAACCTGCTTGGAACTGCTCATCACAGTGGCTGGAGCAAGAGGTGGGACCAAGATTTTCATAAGGTATCTGATAGAGTTCCCTGTATGGTTTTTATGGGATAAGAGCAGAGTAACAACCCAGAATCAGGGCTGCAAGCAACAGAAACTAGCTGTGGTTATCACAAGCAGAAAGGACCTCAGAATCAACAGGGAACTGAAGAGCAAGGCTTGCAAAATGGAGAAAACGAACGTAGCTGCTGACAGCCAAGCGGTAGGTGGCAAAATGAGCAGGTCCACTGCTGTGGGGCTCTGTCATGAGTCCACTCTAATGGTCCCTTTACCTTTGATGATTTGCTCATGATTCAGAATCCAGGTGGGAGTGTCTGAACTATAGGAAGTAGGCCAGGTGTCCTCACCAGAAATGCCCCCGGATGACTAGCAAGGAAGCATCTTACCCCATTTGCTTTCCAAGGTGGAAGGCAGGGCTTTACCTTCCACCAAGACTCATCGCTAGGAGAGGACTTAGGTTTTGGCAGCCCAAAGAACGAAAAATATTACTATTTAATACATACCGCATGTGAAATGTGCCCAATAGAGAGGCTGATGCTTGGTTGTTGCTCAAGAAAACTCAAGGAAGCTGAGTGATTCACAGCACATGATGAAGTTGTCTTTCTGACTTTCTCTGGTCCCATGCCTCACACTGTGACTGACCAGTGGGTTTCTATAAGGAACCGCAGGCCTCATTAAAGCCAAACCCAGAACCCACCAGGGAAGCTTCCTGGTGAGAAGAGGCCACTGTACTGACAAGTTCCCAGCTGTTCTCCCTCAGCTCTGCCTCCCTGCAGGATTAACTTTGATTTCTGCTGCCCAGAGAGATCAAGTCTCTTTCAGAACACTTTGCTCCTTTCTAGCCCTGGAGAGTTTAAGGATTTATGTTTGTGTTGATGAGGGAGGTGCTTTCTCATACCATCAGGGAGCCCTAACATGAGAGAGCTGGAAAGGATCCTAGAGAGAGTCTCTCCATTGTCTGGATGGGGACACTGAGTCCAGAAAAGGTTGTCCAAGATAACATAGCTTGTGAACATCAGGGCAAGAACAAGGGACTCAGTTACAAAATCTCTCAACTCTTCCCTCTGGATTGGTCAGCTCTCCACACACACCCGCCCCCAACCCGCCTCCCCCAACAATAGGATGCTTTAACTCAATCACATCTTTAGAGACTGCCTTTAAAAAGAGGCTCTTTCAAGTATCAAGCCCAGCCTTCTCTTGCTTCCCCACTCACTCCTGAGCTACTTCTGAGCCATTTCCCTTGTGTGCAAAGGTTGGCAGTGATGGTGTTTTGAGTGCTTTCTATGACAAAGAGCCAATTTGAAGACCATGAAGATCTGCAAATGTGCCAAGACAAGGACATTTCAGCAGAACCATGACACCACGTCCTCTTAGACCTGGAAAGAATTTTGGAGAATTCCAAAATTAAGAATGAAGCTTTATTTTGCCAATGAAGAAACAAAACCCATAGATGAAAAGTGACTTTCCCAAGGTCCCACAGCTAATCCGTGGCAGATCCAGGCCTAGAGTTAAATTCCGTTCTCCAAGTATGATGTTCCTTCCATCCCATTATGCTGGAGAATGCTTCCCCATCCCAAATGGCTTATCCGTTGAGTCATCTCTGGCAAAGTCCTTTGGCAAACTTTCGCCCTTCCTTTGTCCTCAAAAACAACATCTTTCCACACCACTTTGCAAGCATCCATTTGCTGTCCTAAAATTACTGCAGCCTCATTTGCTTATTTTAGCTACAATGGGTCTGCAATTTACACTCAGCTTGTGTGAGTTGCCCAAAAGCCAGAATCAGTCCCCAATCCCCAGGCAAGCCTGTCTTTGAGTGGAGACCATAAAATGCAGGCCAGTTATGGCCAAAAAAAATATCAAGGAGGAAAGGATTTAACGGGCTTCTGCACTTTCCACATTCCCTGGGTCACTAAAGAAGCTACTTCCATTAAGAATTCTCACTCGTCTGTAACCCAAGAAATAAATCAGGTGCTCAACTGAACCACACTTCCAGGGTGGCTCCCCATCATGCATCAGGGAGTTGGCACTGCGGGCACCAATATTTATAGATCAGGTCAAGCAATGACACATTAAGCACGTTCTAAGAAACAGAGGTCTTTGCATGCTCGACACCAACAGGGAAGGAGTGAAAGAAATGGAGCACTGGAGACCTGCAGAATGTTTCAAGCAGCCTTGAGGACCTGGAGGGCACTGTGGGAGGTAGACAGGAATTCCCAAGTGCTTTTCAATATCCATTTAATCATCCAATAGTTCCCATACTTTAAGGTGGTTGTCTGAATTGTGGGTTTAAGCAAACAGCATGCTTTTCAGCTTCAATCCATCCTTGTATTCCTGCAGTGCCCAGCACAGTAGCTGGCACACACTGTCTGCTGAAGGAATTAATTAATCCCTTTACAAAATAAAAGTGATCCAGTCTTGCTCATAGTTCTACCCAGCGAGGGTACACTCACTGAGTAACTGCTTGGTAAGTAGCTTTCCATAGGGTGCCCCATGGCTCCTGCCTTCAAGGCGCAGGCAATTTAGCAGAGGAAACAAGCAGCACACATGTGGTCTGATGATATTTTTAGTCTTTAATGTGCTTTCTTTTTTGCTTTCTTGGAGGGTGACCTTGGTCCATCTCAGGGAACTGTCTGCCTGGAGAGAGATTAGACTTTGTTTCCAAAGGGATGCAGAAAGAAAGATTGAGGCAATATTCAGTTATTGACAGACAAAATAGGATTACGCATGAGAGCACTAGTCTAGTGGTGAACCCAGCTATTGTCTCAGAAAGGATATTTAAAATTCCTTTATCTTCTCCACTAGCATGCTAACCACCAAGACCAGGGGATAGTTCACACTCTTCCTAAAATCAGTGGGCAAAACATGGGCCCCGTTTGCCATTAAGGCTCAAGCAATCTGGTCAAGCAATGACACATTAAGACCCAGCCAAAAGTTGGAGGTGGAAAGAGGGAGAATACAATGGGTGTGAGCCCCTCACTCTCCCCCAACATAGGAATGGCTGCAGCAGGGGGTGATGAACCCTTCACCAAGGCTAGGGGTGGACTGCAGGCCAGAGGGCTAGACACAGGACTGGCTGACCTCAGCAGGTCTGCATCCATGGGCATTGAGAAGAGGCAGAGTCAGCCAAAAGGTGCCACTGAACTATGGAGACCCATCACAGTCTTCCCCTGCCTCAGGCTCTGGCAGCAAATGATCCCAGAGCAAACAACACCCAGGTGGACAGGGCAGAGGAGGACAGGACACCCCATCCAGGGGCTTAGACTCATCCCCCACACTGTCACCATATGGATTTGTAAGCCCATCTTCCCATGTATGTGGACCTCACCTTAGCAAGTGCAACAGTTGAGTATTTTTACTCCAATGAGCAAAAATTTTCCTAGGGGGGCTGTTCAAAATTATTAGAGCCAACTACATTCAGTCATATTAAAAAATTCAAATTGTTTTTTTTCCCTGCTCACCAGTATTGAGAGGAAGATCTGGTTATTGAAAAATAGCAACCAGTTATATTTTCTCTGCATATAGGAATACATATATCTCCTGTGCAGGGGAGTGTGTGATGATGGCCAAATGAACGGAAGGATAGGAGGCCAGCAGAAGCCCAGAGCAAGACCAGGCAAGGAGAGAGTGGGCATTTCTCATTCCTGTCTGACCGGCTCTACTTTCTCACTTCCAGTCATCTGCTCTTCCTTGGAGGACACACCTCCCCCAGGCCAGGTGGTCAGGGTGAGGTTATCAGTCACAGTCCCCTTCCTACCAAGACTCAGGTAAGTGACCCCCCCTTCACTGGCCAATCAGAGAGGTGGCGCCTATGTGAATGTAGTGATTGGTTCTAGGCGGCTGCGTGAGCCAAGCAGGACTGCTAGGGTTTCCTCTAAAAACCGAGATGCTGAGGGGGGAAAGAGATGCTGGGAGAGACAGGAAACTTCTTCCTTTTGACTTTCAATCCATAAGGAATCAGGCTTCAGGCTACCAGGGGCCATACTCCTTACCCCACATAAAGAAGGACACTGACTCAAAAAGGGAAGCCAAGAAAAGAGATGGCTAGAGAGAGACAAAGTCCCAATGGCATAATTTGTTCCCTGGATCCATCTGTGCCTCAGGTTAACCATAGACTCCTCAGTTACATGAATCACTAGCTTCCGTATTTTTCTTCTCAACCTAGCTTGAGTTGAGGTTTTTATAGTTACCACCAAAGACAGCCTTACTCATATGGAGATATCAGGAAAGCTTCTGGAGCAGATGTCTCAAGCTAAACCTTGGAAGATGAGTAGTGCAGTGGGCTGAATGTTTGCATCCTCTTGGAATTCAGATGTTGACATTTTAACTGCCCCTGTGATGGAATTAGGAGGTGGGGCTTTGGGAGGTGATTAGGTCATGAGAGTGGAGTCCTTATAATTATGCAAATATGGCTGAGATCGGGTGGCTCATGCCTGTAATCCCAGCACTTTGGGAGGCCAAGGCAGGAGGATCTCTTGAGCCCAGGAATTCAAGACCAGCCTGGGCAATGTAGCGAGAGCCCTTCTCTACAAAAATTATTAAAAATTAGCCAGATATGGTGGCTAATGTGCACCTGTAGTCCTAGCTACTTGGGATGCTGAGGCAGGAGGATCACTTGAGCCCAGGAGTTTGAGGCTGCCGTGGGCTATAATCACATCACTGCACTCCAGTCTGGCTGACAGAATGAGACCCTATCTATTAAAAAAAAAAAGAAAAAAAGACGCAAGAAAGATGATCCCTGTCCACCACATGAAGACACAGCAAGAAGGTGGCCCTATATAAACCAGGAAGAGGGCTCTCACCGAGAACCCAACCATGCCGGCACCTTGACCTCAGACTTGCAACATCCAGAGCTGTGAGAAAATAAGTTGTTGCTGTTTAAGCCACCCAGGCTATGGTATTCCATTACAGAAGCCCAAAGTGATTAGGACGGAAACTTGTGTGTTCAATTTTTGGGCTGGTGACAGGGATGGACAACACGGAAAATGGAGGAGAATGAACGCCAATATGCAAGGTGGTATGTGGGATCTGGGTGAAGCACAGGAGTGCAGAGAGAAGAAGTGGAATGCAAGGTCCAGAGTGAGGCTAGGCCCAAATTATGGAGACTCTGAATAGCAGAGAGAGGAAGGTCCTCCGTTTTCCTAAAGGCAGTGGAGATTCATAAAAGGAGTTTGAGCAGAATATGGCTCAATTAGAATGAGCATCCTATGAAGGACCTTAAAAATCACTGGGTCCAACTCCTACTTTTACCAAAGAGGAAACTGAGGGCCAGAGAAGGGACATGACTTGTCTGAGATCACTAAGCAAGCCAATGGCAAAGTCAAGATTAGAGTCCAGGTCCACATGTACCTAGACTGTAAAAGAAATGTCAGAATCTTTTAGCAACTTTTCTCATAGGTAAGTGGGAGGCCAACCATCTGTATTTATTTTCTATTGATGCAGAACAAATCAGTACAAACTCAGTGGCTTCAAATAGCATCTGTCTACCAGCTCATGGCTCTATAGGTCAGAAGTGGGCACAGCGTTGCTATTGCCTGATCAGGTAATGACACAACTGACATCAAGGTGTGGCCAGGCTGAGTTCTCAACTGGAGGCACTAGGGAGAAATCCACTTTCAAGCTCATTCTTCTTGTTGGTAAAATTCATTTCCTTGTGGTTGTAGGACTGAGGTCTTTTTTCTTACGGACTATTCTCAGCTTTCAAAGGCCACCCAAATTTCTTGCCACATGGACTCCTCCATTTTCAAGCTAGAAATGGTGTATGGAATCATTCCCATACTTCAAGTTTCTAACTTTCTCTTCTGCAACCAGCTGGAGAAAACGCTGTACTTTTAAAGGACCCATGAGATTAGGTCAGTCTCCCTCAATAATCTCCCTGTTTTTAAGTCAACTGTTTAGGGACCTTAATTACATCTGCAAAATCCCTTCACAGCAGTACCAAGAAGGGTTTGACAAACAGGGGAAGGTGTGTGTGCACCAGGGTAATCCTAGAGATCATCTCAGAGTTCTGCCTCCCACAGCGACATACTGCCATCCCCCGGCATGGGCCACTAACTGGGGAGTCTGACAGCTCATGTCATTGAAGTGGGATGTGTGTTGGGTGGTATATAACCACGCAGAAGACAAGCCCATCACCTCAAATAAAGAACCAGAACTCAAAGCTCAAAGCAAGGGCCCCTTGGCCCAGGGCAGCTATCTGAGCTAAGCAGCCCACAGCTGTATCTGTCTGCATTGGGCATCTATGTTTGTTTAGGGGATTCTCCTCATGATTGGCAGCACTATCTGTGACCCACATAAGTGTGCTGGCAAGATTCAGCATGGTCACTTGCACTTCCTTGGTAACTCCTTCAATTGCATTCCCTGGATTTGTGACATCCTACCATTAGCTGGCCCGGCTCATCCCCACCCCTCTCCTGCAACTAACTCATGGCCCTGAAAGAATCTGCACCATCCTCCACTCTCCTGGGCCAGCCTGAGCTGGTCATTGTGCAGCCTGGAAGAGCCATCAGTGTGATGATGACCCATGCCCTCTGCTGAATGACCACACTGCAGCAGCATGGAACCCAACACCTCCCGGGTCACTGGCCTGCGTCATCTGGATTCAACTAATCCAGCCCAGCCAAGCACCCTTATGTCAGCAGGTTTACCCATAAGCCACGTGATCAGTATTCAATAAGTTCAGCACTTAGCTTGTTTAATCAATTCCTTTACAGAGAGTTCCATGGGACTGAGGGGAAAAAAAACTACCCAAATACAGAAATCCAGGGGGAAACAAAGTAGAAAGAAGAACCCATTGTTATTCTAATTCCAGTCCCTGACTTCCCTCCTCCCTACAAGGAGAGCTTGCCCTTGGGAGACACCTGCTTCCCGCTGCCCTGGGACAGCTCTGGAAGGTCGGCACCCCCAGCGGGCCCCCCTAGCAGGAGCCACTCAGTCTGGGAGAAGCAGCAACTGCCACACTGTCTTGTGCTCCAGGAGAGGGCTGACTCTGATTCTCCCAGGCTCCAGCAGGTCGGCTCGGCTCCGAGCAGTTTGTTTTTTGAAAGTCTCATAAATTTCCAAGAAACTTCTCCAGACAACTGTCACGAGGCTGCACCTGCCAAACAAACACAAACAGAGCTCTCCTCCACCAGATTAGTTACTTAATTAAGAAGAGAAAGAGACAAGGCACATAACGTGGAGATAATTACCCATCTTGCCAAGTCTCCAAGTGTAGCGTGGCACACGCGAGCAAATTGCAGCACCGCCGCTAATGCATATTCATCCAAAGTTGTAACTGCTGTGAACATTTTCCACACAGACAGCAATATGTTCAACCAACAATCTCAGCTCCTTCTCAGATTCCAGCATCTTCCCACACCATTATCCTGCCTTCCCAGACTCCCTCCCTGTCTTTCTGTGAAGGAATTTGCTAAACAAAGCAAATAGCAAACCAGTTACGAGTGAATGTGACCAAAATCCATTCCAGGTGACACTGTTGGGAACAATCAATTCTGGACCCAAAAAATGAGGTGTTTGAGTTCTTTCCCTAACCTGTTTACTCATTCAATTTAATTTCATGTAATTGAATTACAAGGATTTATTGAGCATTTACTGTGTTAGGCCCAGTGCCAACCAGTACTAAGACACAAAGATGAGTGCATTGAGGTCTCATCCCAGGAGGCTCACAATCTGTGGATAGAGGAGCTCTCCTCCATGAGATAAGGTGGGTGGGTATTATTTTAATCCTCTTTGACAAATGAAGAAACGAGGCCAAAGAGTTAAGTAAACTGCCAAAATAACAGAGTAACTAAATAGGTAATTGGGCCTTGATCCTAGATTATCTGACTCCAGTTTCTATGTACAAGGCAGACAAGGGGAAATTCCACCTTGGAGACAGAGGAGAACAGAAGAAAGAACAGAGCCTGGAAAAGCACAGGAGATGTGGGCTCTGCCACCTTAGACAAATCACTGAACTGTGAAGGTTTTCAATTTCCTCATTAATAAAATGCAGATGGTGAGATCTAAGAAATAGAAGTGCTGATAAGATTAAATAAAATCAGATTCCTAATACTACTACCTAGGACAGTGACTGGCACTTGGTAGATGCTTAATAGTCGTGTGCTTCCCTTGGCTAAAATAGAAGGGCACAATGGGCACAATGGAAGACCAGGGGAAGGAGAGATCTAGGATAATGGGTGAAGCTGGGGGACCTTAGGCAAGAAGTGTGATTTGAGTAGGTCTTGATGTGGGTGTAAGACCAAAGCTGATAGAAATGGAAGCAAGGACATTTTAGGTGCTGGCAATAGCATGAAGGAGAGACACACATTCAGGACAAAGCAGCAATGCTGTGGCCAGAACCTGGAGTTCTGAGGGTGAAAAGGGAGATCAGACTGGAAGAGTAGGCTGGGGTCAGGTGGTGTGCAGTCCTGATTAGAAGAACAATCCAGGACACTTGAAATATAGTTTGGAAAAGTACAGTTAAGGTCACCCCATTAACAAGCGGACAGTCAGGCCTTTAGAGAAGAAAGACCATGAGGAATCCCATATACCTGGAGACAAAGGAATGGTTTGATTACTTCTAGACCAAGCTCAAGTGGTGGGGAAATTGACAATGTTGTCAACTGGGTTTGAAAACGCACTTGGCCATCTTTCTCAGATGCCCTACTCCTCTCTATATAGCCTTCTTTGCCCTGGGTCAGCCAAGAGATCCAATGGGAAACCATGCTAAATTTCTTTAGAAAGATGAATACATTGGCTCACTCTAAAGAAACTCAGAATTGCCTTTCCCATCTAAAGTTAGGCCCTGAGGACATCCAAGGATAGTTAGAAAAAGACTACCATTACCACTGACTTTCTTGATCGAAACTTAAGCAATCAGGGCATTTCTATTTCTGCTTCTTCTAGCAGGAGTAACAAATACGTTCAACTAAGATGCCAACTCTAATTGATTGGATCTGCCTGGAGCAGAGTAGTGAAACATTGTGAGACGCTTCTGGTTCAGAAAGAACATGTACCACTATTGCTTAGCAGTGCCTGTCAAGGTCATGGAATGGAGTGGCTACATAGCTATTTGCTATCCTTGGTCTCTGGCTAGTTTAAGCCTACATTGAGTCTTGAATATTTTTTCCCCCATTTCTAAAGGAGTGGAGATCAGAAAAAGAACAAAAGAACAACAGTAACTACCCCATATGTTGAATTCTCATGGTATTAGAATGAAGGGAAAGTAGCTTTGTTCTCAAATTGCTCTTTCATGGCTAAGAATGAGGATCAGCCTATTATACTGGCTCTCAGTCTCCACTGTGCATCAGAATAGCCCAGGGAGCTTTTGACTTGGTTACCCCACAGATAACTGGTTTCAGTTGATCTGGGGCAGGGACAGGTATCAGCATTATTTTGGTGTGTGTTTCATTTTTTTTCTGTTTGTTAGTTTTTTTAGACGGAGTTTCACTCTTGTTGCCCAGGCTGGAATGCAATGGCACAATCTCTGCTCACTGCAACCTCTACCTCCCAGATTCAAGAGATTCTCCTGCCTTAGCCTCCCAAGCAGCTGGGATTACAGGCACCTGCCACCATGCCCGGTTAATTTTGGTATTTTTAGTAGGGACAGGGTCTCACCACGTTGGCCAGGCTGGTCTCAAACTCCTGACCTCAGGTGATCCGCCCACCTTGGCCACCCAAAGTGCTGGGATTACAGGCATGAACCACTGTGCCTGGCCTCATCAGTGTTATTTAAAACTTCCTAGGTGGTTCTCATGTGCAGCCAAGTTTGAGGGTCTTTGTGCCTACTTAAGCTCAACTGACGAAGCAACATCCAACATCCAGTTCATGACTTAGGTCCCACCATGAGGTTCCTGTTCCTCATTTGAAGGAAAGGCCATCGGAAGGCTCTAGCCTTTGCCCTGCATGTGCATTAAGGCTCAGCTGATGATAGATATAAGGTGATGAGAGTTGTGAGAGGGAGAGAGCATTCTGCTGGTATGGTCAGGGAAGGCCCCACAGAGGCAGGCCTGAGCTGGGCCTTAGGAAGATGGGCAGAATTTGGACAGACAGAGTGACTTGCAAGGAAGGCAGGGCATCATAAGACATGAGCAGAGGCTGGAGGCTGGCAGGAGCAGAGGCCCTAGAGCAGAGTGGTGAGAGAAAACACGAGGGACCAAACCCATGTGGCCACAGAGAACTTTCTGAGAAATGAGGTCAGGAACCTGGGGCCAGCTGCTGCCAGGGGTGAGCTCTCCCTAGACTTACCTGCCTGCCAAGTCCTCCTTCTGGGGGCCCCACATCTAGCCAGCTTCTAGCCCCAGGTACCCAATTGTCCTTCTGACCACACTCTTTCTATAAATTTCATTCCAAAAATAAACTTCAGGGTGAGACTTGACCTGACCTGCCCTTAAGAGTTCACTAGAGCCTCCCTCCCTCCCGACAGAACACTGGGCTTCCTTAGGCAGTGTCTCCCCTGCCTGAGCCTCAGGGCCCCTCCCTGCCAGTGTGTGTGCCTGAGGCTGTCAAGAGCCTGATGTTTCAACTTGAGACATGTCCACATTGTTTCTCTTGTCTACCCCTGTCTTCCACCTGTTCACAGGGACTTCTATATTAGTCATCCGTTGTCAGGGAAATGCTCAGCTTCCCCCAAGGTGTAAATCCTGAGGAATTCAAAATGGGGAAGAGGGGAAAATGATTTACTAGGCTGGCTTGGTCCATATATTCTCCAACACATGGATGGCAAATGCTGGAGTGGGGTCTCGCAAGATGGGGTCCTCCTACCCCCAGCATTAGCATTACCAGAAAGTCTTGTTAAATGCAGGCTCCTGGACCCCCGCCCTGACTTCCTTAATAGAGGGTGGGCCTCAGGATGCCTGGTAACCTGGTAAAACGGGCATCTGGAGGTCAGGAAAAAAAATCATCTCAGGCTTTGTTGGTATACAGAATATGGTTCTGGAGGGCTGTGGCATTTTCTCTGGCTTGACCATGTCTGAGTGTTTTTAACAGTGTGTCTTCCTCACTTGCCATCCGTAGGGATGTGTGTGTGTATGACACAGAGCTGGAGAGGCAGAGACACAAAGAGTAAATAAATACAGAAACCCAGACTTGTGCTTTGGAATGTTTTCTCTGGGCCCCCGTAAGCTACCTCCTATTTCCTTGCAAATCACTTAGAGCTCTCATGGTGAAAAGGGTGTTTCAAAGTTGTTAAAGACAAATCGGTATTTAATTAAATCTCCATTCCTGATAGAAAGAATAGTAGTAGTCAGAATCATTTTGTGCCAAGATCAAACACTCACAGCTCTGCCTGTTCCCCGGAGAACCACAGAACCATTCCCCACTGTCAAGTGGACCAAAGGCTGTCTCTCTTTCCGCTTAGGCGTCTGTTAATCATTGACACTTAATTAGCCCTGTAACATATTAGAAAGTGCTTTGAAAATTGTAAAGTCCTATTCAAATATGCGGGATAATTATTACACGGACCTATTCTCTCCACTGACCCTCCTTAAGCGTCTACTCCAGGTCATGTGCTCTGCCATGCATCACCTTGTGTAATTACTGTTGGAGGCCCTGGATTCTCATCCGTTTTACAGAACCAAGAAGACAGCAATGTAAATGACTTGCCCAGGGTCACATAGGCAGTGAGAGGCAGGTTCTGTGTGCTTCTAGAGAAACCCTCTTTCCACTTTGCATTCTTCAGTGCAGTCTTTTCTTTCTTTCACCAAAGCCAGGATTCTCTCCACTGGTTAGTGACATTCCGCCTGACCATCATTGTGTCCAAAGAGGCAGTGACATTTCCAAAGCAACTCATTTTAATTTCTTCTGATTAAAAATGCCTGCTGGCATATATGCTATGGAGACCATTAGGAGGCAAAAAGCAATGGTGTGAAAAGCAGCAAACCGATCACAGATGGCTGTCAGGTCACTCGGCCCAGGGACATAGGCACGGACGCCCCAGGTTACGGGGATTGTGAGCCTGCCTCCTTCCACCATGTGTTAGCTGGGGTGTCTGCTCTATGGGGGTCCTCTAGGGCAGGAAGAAGAGATGGAAGACACAGCCTGCCACCCAGGAATTTGTCTTTGAATAGCTTCCATTTGTGCAGAATGTGCACTCAGCCGTTAGGCCTTCCTTTACAAGGTGGTTAGTGAAGAAGGCTTATTGGGAAGGGGGTGGTGGCATCTTAGTGATAATGGTGGTGGTGTAGGAGAGCAAAGCTGGATGGTCCTGGAGGCTCATGCCTGAGATGGCACCCGGCAGGTAGATTTGGCTCCAGGATCAACAGCCAGACTCCAGGCTCTGCACATTGGAGGCACTCACTTTGCAATAAGACCTCTTCATCACCAGGAAGACCCCAGGTGGGGCCCAGGAATCTGCATTTAACAGGCCTCTCCAGGAATGCCAATGCTGGGGGTAGGAGGACCTCACCTTGCAAGACCCCACTCCAGCCTTTGTCATCCAGGTATTGGCAAAGTACTAGTGATCTACAATGACTATGCCACCTCTGTAGGCTCTGTAGTCAGGGCTCATTGACTAGATGTTCCCTGGCCCCTTTCCCATAAGGAGGTAAAGCATCACAAAGGTGGGAGTCTTTCAAGGGCACATCCAGTGTGGTGAGCATGGCCTAAACAGGTGCTCTGAGAGATCATTCAAGCTCTGAGGTTGGGTGTGCCCTGCTATGTCTCTGCTTAGAGGTTGTACTCTGGGACACCCTATCTTACTATATACATAAGCATGCTTCCTTTGCAGGGCAAACATGATGGTAATTGTATTTTTGTAAAGTGGAGTGAGCAAACAATATGCAAAAATCATGAGACTCTGTCTTTGCCTGGGGGCTGGTTCCAATGGCTGGGTTGACTATTGCTATGGGAAATGCTTTAGAAAAGATTTCCTGGTTGGGCCCAGCCAACTGCCAGGGACACAGCAGGAGAGCTAAAGGCCTTGTTTCTCCCATGGGAGTCCTAAAGGGCACCTGGAAACATTGGGGCACTGCGGTAAGGCTTCTGACCAGGAGAACGCCCTGGCCTTGCTGAGGGCTCTGGATGGATGAGGAGGAAATCCAGGTCTAGCCATGGTGATGGGTGGTTCCCTTCTCCATGTGTCAGAAACAGGCCCTGACCCCCTACTCAAGCAGAGCTGTGTCTGCTTCCTTCAGTGTTGCCCTGGGATGCCTCATTCACCATTTCCTGTTTTCATCCCCTCCCCAGATTGGGCTCACCCGGAGCCTGAGAAGTCAATGAGCTCGGCCCCCATCTCCCTCCCTCTCCTGCTTCATCTAGGCTCTTCTCCTTAGGGAGGTGAGGCTCACTCCCTGAGCCGTGGCTGCGAGTGCCAGGCATCGTGCTGGGTGCTCTACGTAGGTCTTGTTTAATCCTCAAAACAGTTCTAGTGATCTACGCTAACTATGCCACCTCTGTGGGCTCCGTAGTCAGACCTCATTGAAATTCTTGCCTCTACCACTTGCAGTCAGCAGTGTGCTCTTGAGAACATCTCCTAACTCCTGAGCCTCCAGTTTTGCATCTATGAAATGGAGCTGTTCAAATCACTGACCTCACTGTGTCATTGTGAGGACTGACAGATGCTGCCAATTAAAGAACCAGGCACAAGACCCAGCATATGATCAAAACATTGGCACTATTATTATTCTTATGAGTTACTATTATTGTGTATTTGGGGGGGTTTGAATGACTTGCCCTAAGTCACATAGCTGATAAACAGCAGAGTTAGATTTGAACTCAGCTCTGACTAATCCCAGAGCTCTTCTACCGGAACACCTCAGGGCAGCGGGTCTCAAGATGTGGTCTCTCAACCAGCAGTATCAGCATCACTGGAAATGCAAGTTCTCGAGCCTGTCCCCAGACCTCCTGAATCAGGAACACTGGGGTGGGTCCAGCAACCCACATGCCTCCAGGGGATTGATGCTGTTCAAGCGTGAGGGTCCCTAGTATAGGGAGGTTCAACAGGACACTCACACACCTGCCAACCACCCCTGCTCCCACCCGCAGATAAAATTTCAGAACTTTGGCCAGGTGCAGTGCTTCACGCCTGTAATCCCAGCACTTTGGGATGCCGAGGTGGGCGGATCACGAGGTCAGGAGATTGAGACCATCCTGGCTAACACGGTGAAACCCCGTCTCTACTAAAAATACAAAAAATTAGCCGGGCATGATGGCGGGAGCCTGTAGTCCCAGCTACTCGGGAGGCTGAGGCAGGAGAATGGCGTGAACCCGGGAGGCGGAGCTTGCAGTGAGAGGAGATGGCACCACTGCACTCCAGCCTGGGCGACAGAGCGAGACTCTGTCTCAAAAAATAAATAAATAAATAAATAAAAATTTAAACAAATTAAAAAAAATTCAGAACTTTTTCAAGCCTCGCATGCGTTTTCTTCCAATCTACCTTGGAAAAGTGGTTAACCTTTCCTTTTCTGGGTCTCACTATCGCAGCTTGGACCCCATCACCCCCTTCCTCATGATGAAGAAATATCATGCAAAGAAATATCAGGCAAAGCAAGTCTCTGAGAGCTGAGTGGATGAGGCGCAAGGCAGCAATTAGAACCAGGGAGGAAGTTGGCAGGAACAGGAGGATAGTTATTTTGAGTGCATTTTTAAAAAACAACAACAACATAAGGTGAGTCATATCTTTATAAATTCATAAAATTTCCCTCCCACCCGCCTTGGTTCCCAGTCCCAGGAAGGGCCACTGGATTGTGTGAAGACTGTGAGCTGTGTCCACTGCATTTCTCCAGCCCATGCAACCCGGCATCACGAGGAAGGGGGTATGGGGTCCAAGCTGCCACAGTGAGACCCAGGAAAGGAAAGACGAACCTCTTTTCCAAGGTAGGTTGGAAGAAAACACTTGTGAGGCCTGACATGCTTGTCAATGGAGGGAGCATGTGACCCCCCTGGCCAGGACTAGAGGGTGACAGGCAAGTGCCTGGAGCACAGCATTTAAGGAGACCCTTGCCTGGCCTTGCAAGTGAATACTTTCTAAAAGTTTGCACCCCAGCCCCACCCTACTTGAAGGTCAGCCCATAACTTGACATTGAAATTTTGGTTTCCCCCAAAGAAGTCACCTGAGTCAGAACCATTGTTTCATTCCATGATCTGAAGGAGACACCTGCACAATAGCCAGGTGACGGCCCAGAAACCTCTGTTAACACCTGCTTGCCAGTGGTCCCGCCGTGGGGAGCAAGCCTGCCTCCCCTCACCAAGGCGGGATTCATGCTGCTGGTACAGTGTCCGGGGGACTCCCGCCCGGCCCTCCCAGCTGCCAGGAGGCGGTGCCCGCCCACGCCAGCTGCCAGGCTGGCCTCTCCGTGCTCCAGAGCCGCACAGCTCTGAACAGCGGCAGCAGGTGGGAGCCCCACCGGGGAACGCAATGAAACTCACAGCCGTAAACGAGTTTATTATTGTTGTTAACTGGGGAAATAAATGTCTCAAGCACTAATAAAACATTGTGTTTTCTGCTTTTATGTCTTGAAGCCCCGGTTTCTCCCAGCACCTTGGCTGCTGGAGCCGGGTTGACCCTAGGTGTCTAGGTCAGGGTCTGGTAACTGGATTCCCTGGTGACCCTTTCTCCCATCAGCCCCAGCTCAGGCCCTCCTGGCTCCCTTAAAAGGTGTCAGGAGAGAATGGCACAGCAGGGGATCCTTGAAGGGAGACTTTGTTTGTATGGAGGAAATAGACACAGACCTCCAGATGCATACATAGAAGAGCCATCTTCTCCCTTCTGTTCTTGTGTGGTGAGTGTTGCACGTGCGTGCTCCGGTGGGTGAGGGTCCTACTTTTATCTTGCAAGCACCTGACAGGGAATCATGATGACAGACAAGCTGCTGCTCTCTCTGGGCCTCAATCTCAGCATCTATAAAATGAGGGACCAGGTGGAGATTACATAGGCCCTTGAGGCATTGAAGTTTTATGAGTCCGCGAGTGGATTCTAAGACGCTGAGGACAGGGTCCCCTCAGCCAGATGTACCCTGGGCAAATGCAGGTGAGGACAAATCATTCAGGAATCTTGAGCTCTCTATTGACCATAGGTTGTGTTTTTGTCAGGCCAATGCTAGATGCTGTATCAAATAAACTTGAAATCATCAGGAGCTTAACATAAGGTAAGTTTATGTCTTGCTCCCTGAGGGTGTTTCTGGTTGATAGGCAGCTCTCCTCCACAGAGTGATTCTGGGATCCAGGCTCCACTGGTCTTGTGGATCTGCCCACCTCTAAGGCTTCGCAGTCTTCTGTATCCACTGGCAGATAAGGGAGGAAGACCAACCAAAGGTACAGAGGCTTCTGAGAATCCTGACTGGCTCACCCCATTGGTGGGAACTGGAGACATGACCTGTGATGTTGAAGGGGAGCCTGGGAGAGGAGATGTAGCCCATGATTGAGCAGTAGCCTCACATATGGGCTGGGGGGTGTAAATTTATGGTGGACAGCTAGTCCTCTTTGCTGTGGGCTGTAGCCACCACCTCCACATGTCCTGGCGTCTGCCCCACGAGAGGGCACCATTGTCACCAAGGGGCCAGGGGAGAATGATGGTGACTCCACAAAGATGCTCTTTGCTGCCTCAGTTTTTCCAACTGGAAAACGGAATGAGTAAGAGTATCCACTCCCTCAGGTTGATATGCAGTTTAAATGGGATGGTGCATGTTAGCACCCCCCACACGTGGTACCTGCACAGTGAAAGTTAATTAAGGAAGATAGGGAGGGCTGGGGCAGGGGAGTCTGCCTTAGAGCCAGTGAAGCCAGGGAAGAGGCAGTTAATGTGATCGTGGGAGGGAGGCAGTCTGACCTCTGTCCTAGCAGGCATCCTTAAATTCCAGCCTGTGGTTCTCATAACTGAGCCTGGCCACAGCCTAGTAAGGTAGAACTGTGTGTGTATGTGTGCTTGGTTTCAAATCACTCAAGCAAAAACAAACTGATACCAAACACCTTCCCTCAGACAGTGAATATGTACACACAATCACACAGAAAGAAGAGAAACAAATAAATAGACTTTTTTTCCAGAAAAAAAGATGCAGTTTTAGCCATAGATGCTTATGTACTATATTTAGTGTAGGTTTGGCACAATCATATACTGCCTTACATTATTTGAGGGTTTAAGCAAGTATTTCAATTCCAAAAATAATTACCCGGCTAAGAGTTTTGAGAGAGACAAAAATAAGAGATGTGTTGTCCAGCTCCCAAAGAGCCGACAGAGTGGAGGGAGACGGCAGCCTATGCGGGCCATTTAAATAAAAAGCCCTGTCCCTGGAACCAATGCTGGCACCACAGCTGGGACAACTCCAGGGGAGAGCAAGGGATTCTGCTGTGATCCAGCAAAGCACTGGTTCCTTTACCAGGTGACAAAGTCACCTTCCTGGATGGCCCCTTTGCTTGATGATGGGCATGGGATGAGGAGGGAATGGCACCGTGAAATTAGCCTGGCTCAGCGTCATACAAGCTGGCTTTCTGATCCTCTCTGGGTCATTTGAGAACCGCATGACCTTGACAGTTGTGAGAATCAGAGTCAATCTGTGTAAAGAGTACATTCAAGGGTCTGACACCTGGTCGGCCTTCTACAAGCTGCACGAAGTTTCCACTTGATGAGAAGGGAATGGAATGTTCTGGTAAGCTCTCGGGAACTGCCTACATACTCTAGAGACTGCTGGGCACACAGTAAAGGCTTAATGCATGGTTGAATTGGATCAGTGATGCTGCAGGCCAGTTCTCTCCCCACCTGCCTCTTCCTTCCCTCTTCTCTCCCTCCTCCTTCACCTCTTCATCCCACTGCCAGCATCCAGGCAGTGGAGACACCCCACATATGGAGAACATCCTTTGCTCTACTGAATTCTGCTGCACTAACCTGAAGGCACCAACCCACTGGGAGCCAGAATGGGGTGTGTGTCTCCTCCTGATAGGGTGGGAAGCATACAAACTTAGGATTCACGTGGACCTGGATTCCAATCCCAACTCTACCACTTACTCGTCATAGCTTTGGATGAGTTATGTAACCTCTCTAAGCCTCAGGCTCACCGTGAGCAAAGTGGGGGGAATACCTATCAGGAGAATGAATACAGGGGTTCAACAAGACTACAGATGGAAGCACCATGTAGTGATTTTGTAGATATTAAATAGCTGTCAGTCCCCTTTTCTCACGTGTAGTTTTTCCTGGGATCTGGGTAGCTCTGCAGCCCCACTTCTGCTCTCCACTCTTGAATCTCCACCGTTGGAACTTCATCTCTTCAGCATTTGATCCTTGTGAAAATACGACGTCCGTTAGGAGAAAACCTGGCGGGCTGTGCATGGTGAAAAGAGTGCAAAGTAAGGAAGGCTGGGGGACATCAAAAGCAAACTCATAACTACTCTCAGGCTGGATGGCAAGTAGATTCACCCTGAGTTCTCATGCCAACCAATTGCTAGAGGCTACTGGGGGTGTTGTATTGAGGATATTGTGCTGAGAAGGATTCCACGGTCACATCCAGCTTGGGGAGAAGGCATGCGTGATCAACTGGTGGTGTGTGTGAACAGGGCAGGGAAGTCCTTGGCTCTTGTAGGGTGTAGGGGCAGAGGGCTGAAGAGCCGCAGCTTGGGTGCTTTGGTTCTCGCCCTCCTGTGCTGAGGTTCCCTGTGCTCAGCACTCACTGGCTTGTCCCTCCCACCCTGATCATTCCTCCAGGAGGCCCTCCTGATTGCTCTTCCTAAGCATGTCCTGGCCTGTGCTTTCCTTTCTCCAGGCTGGTCTAGCCGCCTGGCTACCGGGCATTGATATTCCTTCACTGTAAGCCCAGCTGCTTCCAGCCAGAGCTGGCTCTTGCCACCAGAGGGAAACGGTTTTGAGCATGCAGCGCCATGCCCCAGAATTCTTCTCCCTGAGCCTCATTATGATATTGTCGATATTCCCCGCGAAAGGGCATCTCTCTCGACGCCTTTGCTTTTTTTATTAATGTGTGTGAAGGCAAGTCAAGCCTGATTATCATGAAGACAATTGCTGCAATCCCTCCTGGAGAAGGCTCATCCAGACTGTGTAGGCGGTTTAATTTCAGAGACCCATTAATTGGCAAAATTGCTTAAGCAGCTGCTCTCGGTGTCATTTCAGGACCACTTTGTGAGAAGCAGAGAGGAGGGGAGAGGGAGGGAGGAAGCAGGCTTCCCGGCGGGCCAGCCTGCCCAGCCCCGCATAGTCCCATTTTCTCTGGCAAACAGACACCAACGCTGAGGGAAGATATGCTATGGCTTGGGCTTGCTGCTGCCTGTGCCCCGCTCCTAGGCAAAGTCACTCGGCCCTCAGACCCGCATGCACACACTACCATTCTCTCTGCTGCCTCTTCCTTCTCCAACCATGTCTAGCCAGCAGCAAATTCCCATTCACTTTCAACATCCGGTTCAGAGTGGCAGCTCCTCCAGGAAGCCTCTTGGGATTTGATCCATCAAGGACAATTTCTTTTTCTCTACTATTACTACTTTTTAAAAAATCTGTCAACACTTATGCTATTTCAAATATCAGGTTGTATAATGGACAGGGCTCATGGTGTCTTTATCTCTCTACCCCAAGAACATAGAGCCTGTTATAACGAATTGACTGAATGAAGGCTTGTTACATAAAATGTGCAATGCTTAGGTTGCGGTGGGGAGGTCATACAGTTGTTCATTCATTCAACAAACATGCGCCAGCCATTGTGCTCAGAGTAAGTGATGTGGGGCTCATTCAAGGTCTGATATGCTATCAAAGGATATACAGCTGGGGACATTCTGGGTAGAGAGATGACATGTCCAGCTCAGCGGATTGAAGAACGTTTTGCAGGAGACAGGCTTAAGCTGGGCCTTAGGAAAGGGATGCTAAAGTATTCCACAAAGCAAACAAGTAGAAATAGAAAAATGTGTGTGCATATTCTGACTAATTCCTAGAAGACAGATAATTCTGAAATGAACATGCTTTTAAAAATTATTGGAGCATAGCCAGTATACATAAGGTGCATAAATGTTAAATGGATGCCTCACTAATTTTTATATTAGTATCCACCCATAACTGCCACCCAGATCAAGAACTAGAACATTTCCAGCTCTCCAGAAGGCTCCCTAATGCCTCCTCCTAGGCACTGACACCCCTCCACCACAAGTAACTCCTTTGACCATTGGCACCATAGATTAGTTTTGACTGGAATCACAGTAATCTTTCCCATCAGGCTTCTTTTGCTCAACCTTTTCTGTGAGACTTATCCATGTTGTGTGTGGCTTTTGGAACAAATGGGCTTTTAATAAATGCCTCCTGTGAACCCAATTCTAGCCACACCCAGTTTACCCTTCCTTCTTGCTAACAGAACTCCAATTTATAGGAGGTGGTAAAATGTGCAGCTAAAGGACTACATTTCCCAAGCTTCCCTGCAGCCAAGGGTAGCCAATGAGATGTCCGTGCAAGCCCCTCAGCAGGGCTCCTGGAAAACTCTGCAGGAGATTGAGTGGGCTGGGAGGCCTCTCTGCCTCCTCCTTTTTGTGCCTGGTATATGGATGTGATTGGAGCTCCAACGGCCATCTCGGGTCATGAAAAGACTTGAGAATAGGGCCATGCGATAATGTGGAACAGAAAGCTAACAGAGCCTGGACCCCTAATGGCATCCTGGAGGCTCCATGTGAGCCCTGGACTGCCTTCCTCCAGGCTTGCTTAAGCCACTGTTACTTTGGTTATTGGTTATAGGCAGGAGAACTTAATCCTAATAGTTAACCAAATTGGTGCATAAAACCTTCCGATGGCATGCAGAATAAAATCCAGATTCTTTGCTGTGGCTCATATAGTCCTGTGTGATATGGCTCCTGGCTTCTTTTCTGATCTCTTCTCCTTCCATTCCCCCACTTGCTATCCACTCACATTGACCTTCTTTCATCTCCTTAAATAGCTCCTTTTTTGCCCCAGGGTCTTTGCACAAGCTATCTTTCCGGTAGGAGCACTCTTTCCTCTACAACATCTGCCTGCTTTCTCCCCCTCTTTCAATTTCACCTTAAGTGCCGTCTCTTTAAAGAGGCTTTCCCTGAGCACCTGATCTAAACTAGACGTCCCTGGCACTTTTCATCTTGGCACTTATCCCACTTGGTAAGTGGCTTATTTGCTCAAAGCCTGTTTACTTCCACTAAATCCTCTGTACTATGAGGGCAAAGATTGTGATTCTGTTTTGTTAACTTTAAGGTCCCCCGAGCCTACCATAGTACCTGACACATGGAAAGTGCTCCAAAAACATTTTTGAATGAGTTAATAAATGAAAGAATTTGAGAGGAATACAAAGGAGACTATAGCTCCCAGCTCTACAATAAAGGAGACTACAGATCTCAGCTCTATAATAAAATAAAAGCAATAATGCATATAAGATACCAAGATGAACAAAACAAACAGAACTTAGAAACCAAGGCCAGATTGGTGGGTGGATATCAAGGACTTATACAAACATGAAATGTCCTGAGACTCCAGAAAAAGGGAGGGGAGAGTAATCAGGGAAAGCTTTGAAGGATGGGGACAACTATACTAAATAAAAAGGTGAAAAGCAATCAGCGTATGGAAGAAAGTCTATTAACTAGAATTGAGTTCATCTGTGAGTAACAGAAGTGCCAAAATAACAATGGCTGAAAGAAGACAAAAGTTTGTTTTACTCTCATATAAAAGAAATTAAGTTGCTAGGGACCTAGGTTCTTTCTATCTTGCTTCTCCACCATCTTTAGTGTATTGCCTCGTGGTTTAATATGGCTGCTTATGCTCCAGCCACTACATTCAGAATCCACACACCAGGAAGAAAGAAGGTAAAGTGAAAGGGACAAAGAACTTAGGCTAAGTTCTTTTACCATTTTGTTGGACAGAACCTATTATATAGCCTCTTCTAGTTTGAGAGGAGGCTGGGAAATATAGTCATGATTCTGAGCCCAGATAAATGTCAAGGCTCTGTTATTAAGGAAGGAGGGCAGAGTGGATGTTGGGGTAAGCCACTGTAGTATCTACCCTAGGACAGGGAAGGATGGTATGGGTGGAAAGGGTACAGGTGAGAACACATTGGAAGTGTTTGGGGTTGTGAGTGGAGAGGAAAATCCTTAGGAGGCTGATGTCAAGACTGTTTCTCCCAAGTAACCCCACTGATGTTTGTTTAATGCATTGATTCCAAAATGAGAGTGTCTTCCCGAGAGTCAAAATTATTCCAGTTTAAATAGCCCTGTAAGAGGGATTCAGGAGTCCCAGGCTCCAAAACTCAACCGTCCACAGCTATGGTGGGGCCTGAAGCAAGTTTCAGCCCCTCTCCAATCCTCATGGCCAGCCATGGTGTGGACTTCGGAGGTTACACAATAAGGCCAAGTCAGCTGACACGGAAGCAAAGAAGACCAGGCTGGGACTCAGAGAGATGAGACATGGTAATGCAGCTTTGGAAACCCAACAGTGATCCCTGAGCAGTCAAAGGAACATTTGCTGGAGACAGAAGGAAGAAAGAGGGCTCAATGCAGCCTCCAGCATTGCCTTCCTCTGGGGGTCTTTTATGCTCCTTATAGGCAATATTTGCCACCTCCCCTTTTCTTTTCCTGGCAGAATCACAGAGACCCAAAACAAAAAGTGACTTTGATCTGCTTAAGGCCACTCAGTGAAGAGATGACAAAGCTCACCTTCGGCCCATATCTCTGGATTTTGCTCTACTGCATTCCCTACCACACTAATTGTCTTGCCCCCATGAGGCAGAGTGATGGTTGGTATAGGACTCTTGTGGCCCCAGAGCTCCAGGATGTCTGTGATGTACCAAATCACCCCTCCATCCAGTTGGGATTGGGCCCTGGGTCTCTATAGCTCCTCCACATCAGAGGGGCAGACAGCCAAGGGACACCCCGCTTCGCTGAGGAATGACTGCATCACTGCATGCTCTCATGGTCACAACAGCTTTCCTTCCAAAGTGGGAGGCGATCAGTCCCCATCTCCCCAAACCCAGCTCTGGGCATGAGACACCAGACCAAGAGGGCATAGCCCTGCTTTCCCATCCCCAGGAGGGGAGTGGGCACATCTGCTGCTCCTCTGCCCAGTAGCCTGCTGAACTCAGCTCCTGGGGGCTACATTCCCCACCCTAACTCCCACTTAGTGGGGCTCATCTGCTTTCCTGGCTTCTGCCCATATCCCTGGTCAAAATACCTGGCTCAGCTGAACCTTGTGATCAGCAGTGCCCTTGAGAGTGAAGGAGCAAATGGTCAGTGCTCAAATTCCAGCTCTGTTACTTGCTAGCTGTGTGATCCTGGGCACTTTAGTTAACCTCTCTGAGCCTCACATGTAAAACAATCATGATACTAACTCACTCACAAGATGGTTGGAGGGATTCAAAATTAACCTTCAAACAAGACCATGTATCATCACCGATCATTCTGGAATGTAGGGGGGTACCTGTGCCCAATAGTTTATGTTAGCATCAGCAACCACACTCTCTGGTCTTCACTCTTTACCCCCGAGGCTACCCCCTGGGAACTACATTTTCCAGGCTCCCTTGCCTGCTGGCTTCCCGTTAGGTTCAGCCAACAGGAGACACTGGTGGGAGATTAGAAGGCGGGAAGGAGGGAGAAGGCATTTGTCTGCTCCTGGCAGAGGCCCTTTGGCACTATTGCAGGCTCCCCAGTTCCGAGGGTGGGAGCTCCCAGCAGATGGGTCTTGTGGGCCCCATTGCCCAGAACAGGAGCAGCTTCCTCCTGGTCTAGGGGTAAGAACCCTCATCTTCCTTTTGCCCCTCTGACTCTTTTAGCCCCCTTGTAACCAATTCCCCTTATTAAATCTGCTTGAAACATCTAGAGTAGCTCTTCTCTTCCTGCCTGGGCACGGACAGATGCCATAGACAATGGATGCCCACGTCTGGAGGATTTCTCACTTACCCTGTGCATCCTCCACTGAACTGTAGCTCAAGCCCTCCTCAGTGCCAGAGCCACCTAGGCACCCCCACATGACTGACACTCAGAGCAGACCCAGACTCGAGCCTCAGTTTACCTTATTTCTAGGATCAGTGACTCAAGACCTTGGCCCTCCTCTCCACGAGGGGACAAGCCTTTCTGTTCTAATTAGTCAGATACCACACAACAACATCTCAGTCAACCATGGACCACATATACAATAGTGATACCATAAGACTATAATCCCAAATTGTTACTGTACCTTTTCCATGTTTAGCTATGTTTAGATACACAAACACACATTGTGTTCCAGCTGTCTGTGGTATTTGGTAGAACAACATGCTGTACAGGTTTGTAGACTAGGAGTAATAAGCTATACCATTAGCCTAGGTGTGTAGTAGGCTACACCACCTAGGTTAGAGTAAGTACACTCTATGATGGTCACACAATGATGAAATTGATGCATTTCTCAGAACACATCTTTGTTAAGCAACACGTGACTGCACTTTCTCCCACCAACCCCAGCCTTGGCCCCCGCAGTCCTCAGCTCACTCATTCCCCACCCCTGTCAGGTGCTCCCAGCCATTCTGGTAGGACAGAATCCTAGAATGTGTGCAGCTTCCTGCTGACCCCTTTGACAAAGCAGAAAAGAGAACAGCTCTGCTATGAGGATGGGTGCCCAGCACAACTCAGAGGTGACTCTGAGGCTGGAGCAGCCCTGTAGAGATCTTCTAGTCCAGGCTTTGCTCATAAGAATGGCAAGATATTATTATGCCCATTGTTCAGATGAAAACACTGCTGTGTGAGTCTGTTTGCATTGCTATACAGGAATACCTGAGACTGGATAATTCATAAAGAAAAGAGGTTTATTTGGCTCATGGTTCTGCAGGCTGTCCAAGAAGCATAGTGCTCGCATCTGTTTGTGGTGAAGCCTCAGGAAGCTTCTTCCAATCGTGACAGAAGGCAAAGGGGAAGCCAGTGTGTCACATGGTGAGAGAGTGAGCAGGAGAGGGAGGAGGTGCCAGACTCTTTAAAACAACCACATTTCATGTGGACTCACCATGAGAACTCACTCATTACCACAAGGATGGCACCAAGACGTTCATGAGGGATCTGCCCCCACGACCCATTCATCTCCCACCAGGCCCCACCTCCAACCTTGGGGACCACATTTTACCATGAGATTTGGAGGGGACACAGGTACAAACCACATCAAATGAGCTCTAAAGTGACTTGCTCATGGCTGTCTTCTGGGAAAGGCTCCCATCTGCCATCAGCACTCACCACTTCCTCCTGTCAGTTCCTGACAACTCCTCTGCCCTATTTCAGGTGTTCTTGGGGTCGACACGCCCCTCAGCAACACACAGCCCTCAACTCAGGCTGAGTCCCATATTTTGGACTTTTCCAATCTTGAATCCCAAAACAGCACAATGTCTTGGATTCTATCTCTGTCAATTGCTATTTTCTGCCAAGGAAGTGAAAAAACCTAATTCATACTAAAGTATCAGCAGGTCAGTGTGTCCTTTCTTCCTTAGAAACACACTTGTTTCTTAGCTGCGGCCTTCAGCAGGGCCTCTCTGTCCAGCTGTGCAGGCTGTGCTCTGCACCACCCTGGTAGGTCTCATCCACGGCATGGGCCACGTGAACAGCCCTCCTCATCCACCTAGAGTTGTACATTGCACATTTAGACAGTGCCCTGCCTTTCCAGACACAATGTTGAATCCAAAGGAATACATTGCTAGAAAGAGCTCATGACAGGGGGTTGAGAGACCCAGGCCTGATCTGGGATCTCACATGAGCCATTGACTCTCTCTGATATTCTGTTTCCTCTCCCAAAAAATCAGAGCTCTGCAAAATATATTTGTGCAGAGCTGAATACCTTAAAATATTTATGCACACACTTTCTCATTCAATCACATAGCAGGCAAGGCAGGCCCCATTCTCCCCATTGCAAAAAGGAGCGAACCGAGGACCAGGGTGTTGAGGACTTGCCCAGCATCTCACAGCTCAAGAGGACTGGAGCCTGACCTTGGACCAGATTCTCAGGCTCTCTACCGAGTCCTCCCACACTGACATGGGGAGGAGAAGCTTTCTAAGCTCTAAAGTTGTGTGAAGGTTTGTGCCCAAGTGGCATGTTGGCCATCTCCAGCAGCACCATGGCCAGTGTCATGCCGCCTCGGGGGCCCGTCGACTCACTCCCCAGAGGTGCCTCTGCCTCCGGCTTCGGTTCAGCGCTGGCTCCTCGAGGTGCCAGGTGGAATCCCAACATTTTTTCCGCCTTCCTCAGGCCTGGCAAGTGGAGCCCAAAAACAGATGCCTAGCACCTTGTTCTTGGCGAGAATGACAGATTTTCGAGTCCCCTTCCAGGAGCCGTGCTCGCTTCCCCGGCATACATACTGTGTCAGCCCATCCTGAGCTAGTGAAAATAAACAGTGTCATTATCCCTCCGCTGGCTGCTGCACAGTCTATCTATACCACTTAAGACACGGGATAAATGGCTTCTCAGTTTCATAATGAAAGGAATATTTCATTTTGCAGAGCTGAGGAACTGTTTATTGAGCATAAAAACAATATTTATACTGTGTTTTGATAATAAACTGATCTAGAAGTTGGTTCATTTAGGTGATGACTTGGATGTGACTCACTCCTCTCCTCTGGAGTTGGTATGGGTGGGGAGTGCACAGAGCCTGTGATCTAGGGGGTCACAGGGCCCTGAAACAGCCTTTCCACTTTCTGTGTTAATACTCAGAGTCTTCACAATGATTCTAGGAGATGGCTGTCACTATTACCCTCAATTTACAGGTGGGGAAACTGAGGCATGGAGCAGCTAAGTAGCTTTCTCAAGTCATAGGTCTAGTAAGTGGCAGAGCTGTGAATTAAATGTAATCAGATAGGCCAAGCACAGTGGCTCATGCCTGTAATCCCAGCACTTTGGGAGGCCAAGGCGGGAGGATCACTTGAGGTCAGGAGTTCAAGACCAGCCCGGCCAACATGGTGAAACCCCGTCTCTACTAAAAATACAAAAATTAGCCAGGCATGGTGGCAGGTGCCTGTAATCCCAGCTACTTGGAAGGCTGAGGCAGGAGAATTGCTTGAACCCGGGAGGTAGAGATTGCACTGAGCCGAGATTGCGCCACTGCCCTCCAGCCTGGGTGACAGAGTGAGATTCTATCTCAAAAAAACAAACAAACGAACAAACAAAAAAATGTAAGCAGACAGGCTCCAGAGCCCATTCTCTTAAACATTTCGCTGGAGATTTGTTCTCAGCCTAAGAGAAGTCTAGAGCATGGCAAGAATACACCAGCAGGAGGTGAATGAGAGACTTTCATAGCTTATGAACATTGAGCCCAGCACTAGGTCTTTGCCCCAGCATTGCTCTGCAGTCCTGATCGCAGTTTCCCGAAAATGGAGCCAGTGGGGGAGTGGGTGCTGGGACCTTGCTCCAGACGACTCCCCCTTTCAGGATCCTCCTGTCCCTGCTTTTTGCAGACAATGCCTCCCATTCACAGGTTCTGCCTCTGTAGCTCTGGACAGTTACAGCCAGGCCCTTCACAGGACTCCTGCTCAGAAATGATGGAGCCATCCTTGCTGCTGGATGTGACCTGCCTCCACCCCTTGCTGATGTGGGTCCCTGCTGGAATCTCCACTCTGCCTGCACCTCCCCCATCGATGCTCTGGTTCACTCACAAAGGTACCGGATAGGGAGTTTATGATAATACTTGCAGCCACCAGGCGTTGCTAGGTGCCAGGCACTGTGCCAAACAGTTTTCATGGGTTATTGTTCATCTTTACAGTAGCCAAGGAAGTTAGCATGACTTTCCTTGGTTTAAAAGACAGACTCAGGAAGGTAAACTAACTTGCCTAAGGCCACACAGCTGGTAGCTAACAGAGAAGAAATGCAAATCCAGGCCTGTCCCCTCCCAGGCCCTTGGGCTTTCTCTACTGTGTCTCCTCTCAAAGGCTTCAAGAGTGAGGCCAGATTAGATAGATTGTGCTGGGTTTCCTGCCCTTTACCCTCTACTCCAAAAAAGTGTCTAAATTTCCTCTCGCTGCCTCAGTCTGTCCCTGAAGTAGGCTGAATAATGGCCCCCAAGGATATCCACATCCTAATCTCCAGAATTCATGAGTATCATCTTACATGGCAAAAGGGACTTTGCAGATGTGATCAAATTCAGAATTTCAAGAACAGGTGATTATCCTGGATTATCCAGGAAGACTGTACCTGTAATCACAGGTATCCTTCAAAGAGAGAGACTTGACTGCAGAACAGAGGACGGCAATGTGACATCAAAAGAAGACACTGGAGAGTTGTGGCCAGGAGCCAAGGAATGCTGCCAACCACCTTAGATGCTAGAAGAGCCAAGGAACAGGTTCTCCTCTGGGGCCCTCAGAAAGAACCACCTCTGTTAACACCTTGATATTAGCCCTGTGAGACTCATTTTGGACTTCTGACCTCCAGCATTTAAGAGAATAAATGTGTGTTGCTTTAAGCCACGAAACTTGTGGTAATTTGTTATAGCAGCAATAGGAAACTAATACAGTGCTATTCAGCCCAATCTTCCAGTGTAGTCCTGATGCCAAAACAAGTGTCCCGTGGACTCCATAGATACACCAGAATTTGTCACTGTCCCAGTATAGAGTCAGGAAACCACATCTCTATTTCCATAGTGTTACCACTGAGGAGAATCCTGAAGTTCAGAGAGGGGAAGTGACTGCTTAAAATCCATCCTAAATTCACAATGATGAAGATAGGACTCAAATCCAGTGCCTCTTGCTTCCATATGAATCTTTTATCTACTTTTTAAGGCAATCAATAACTCTAAAAAGTTACAAAGAAAAAAATAACTGTGGGATCTCAGAGTTATTTCTTTGTGTGAGTGAGTGTGTGTGTGTGTGTATGTTTCTCTCAGCATTATTTTGTTTTGTTTGTTGTTTTTTTTGTCCCCACAGCAGATTATGGGCCTATGGTATAAGTAAGAGAACATTATTCTGAGTTAGCAACATTATTCCACTTGCCAGTTTAGGGCTTTTTTGATGAGATAAGATAACACTAAATGTTCACCCAAACATTTCGTGTGCCTCTACGCAGGACTATGTGACTAGCTCTGGTCAAAAAATGTGGTGTGGTGGAAGGGAGATTTGCCACTTCCAGGCCTTGCCCCTAAAACCTCAATAAACTCCCCTTTTTAGATGCACCTTGCCCATTGGCTGGGCCGCTAAAGACCTCGAGGAAGACTTGGAAATACTGAGGGCCTGCTAAGGGTTAGCAGAGCCTAAGCTATGTAAAAAGAAACTAGATCCCTGAGTCACCACTTGGAGGAGAGGTGCCCAGCAGAGCCGTCTGACAGCAATACCCACATTGGACCTTGCAGCAGTGATAAATGAACTATCATTAGGTTAAGTCACTGGGAATCTGGGGCTTGTTACTGCAGCACAACTCAGCCTATCCTGACTGACAAAGATGGGAAGATGGTACTCAATGCCTCTCAGGTACTCAACAAATGGCATTCATTACTGGAAGGGCCTTTAAAATGGAACCACTTCTGTGGGTGAATATCAGATAGGATCTGTGGTATATGTCTATATACACCTTTCTAGCTTCACCTGGAAATTCACTGAAGGACTGAGAATTAATAGCCAAGAGTGGTTACAACAACCTAAGAAAAATGGCTTGTTAACTTAACCAAACTTTCCTTCTACTGTTTCCCCTTAGACATCATCCCATCTGAGAGAGACCAGGACTGAGGTTTCTTGGTCCTGGCTTGAGTTCTTCTTGATGGGATTTTCCTGTCTACCACTCTTGAGGATCTCCTCATAAAGACAAGTTATTCCCGGAGAGAGGGTCAGGCCCTAGGAGAATGGGTGTGGCCCTGGAGGAAGAAAGAGGAGGGGAGCAAGAGAGAGGGGCAGGGTCTATGTAGGCAAGAGTGGGGGATCAGTCCTGGGACCTTCCTTTCCTCTGTCCCCCATCTCTGCACCACCACCCTCTCCATCCTCATTTTGAAGGAGATGCCATCAGAGACTTTGGGAAGTAGATCTAAGCTTAGCAGACTCTGGAGGTTGAATGGGCAATAGACATAAAAAATCATGTTCTTATGAATCATGTCCCAAGGAATCCTGAGAAATGGGAATTACAACATACCTAGGGAAGGTTTAACCTACTGTATCTTATCAAGTGTAAGACACGTTTCACAATCTGACATTGTGAAATCAGAATGTGTATTACAGCCAATAGCATGTCACAGTGTCATCAGCAATGCTTTAGATTTTTTGTGGAACATACAATAATCATGTCTTAGATTAGACAAAAATGTGGTAGAAATGTAGTCAGAATCTTTTTTTTTTTTTTTTTTTTTTGAGGCAGAGTTTCACTCCTGTTGCCCAGGCTGGACTACAATGGTACAATCTCGGCTCACTGCAACCTCCACCTCCCAGGTAGAGTGTTTCTTCTGCCTCAGGCTCCCGAGTAGCTGGGACTACAGGCGTGCACCACCACGCCCAGCTAATTTTTGTATTATTAGTAGAGATGGGGTTTCACCATGTTGGCCAGGCTGGTCGTGAACTCCTGACCTCAGGTGATCCACCCACCTTGGCCTCCCAAAGTGCTGGGATTACAGGCGTGAGCCACTGCACCCAGCCAGAATCATTTTTAAAAAGAGCATTCTTGTGTTCAACTAGAAATTGTAATGGGGCATTTAAGTCTCTAGGTATATATTAAGATAGCAGGAGCTAAATCTCTGAGTCACCACTTGGAGAAGAGTGGCCAAGCATAGCAATTTTCAGATTTATAAAAAACACCTACATGGTGGTATTTAACAACAAAAAAATTAAGATTGCAGTATTTCAGAGTAGAATTATACATGTGATATTGGAGTAGTGAACACTGGAACTACAATTTTTATATTGGGACTATCTTTAGGTAAATGGGAAAATGGGTAGGACATGCCTTTCATGTAGTAGACATTCAATAAATGGTTGTTTAATTAATTATTTTTAGAGTCTAGGTCTAATAAGTAATCTTTATTTAATTCTCTTCGTCTTAAATTTTGTTTCTCTTCCTTCTCCCCTGCGCTTTCTTAATTTTCTATCATGGGATGCATGGGGAAAACTTCAAATTTTTAAACATTTCAAGAAACTTCTCAGCCTTCAGGTCCACTTCTTTCCTATTTCCCAGCCCTTCTCTGAAGCTCGTAACTATTGCCAAAATATGAACATTTTCAACTTGTCAGTGTTACAGGCTCTTTGAGTTGTCGATTTTCTTCCTGGAAACCTCTATGGCCAGTGGTGCCTTTGCCCAAGTTCTCATCCTGTGTCCAGGAAGAATGAGGTACGCAGACAAGCGAAGAGTGAAGATGAAGAGGAGCTTTATTTAGTGTTACAACAGCTCAGAGGAGACCCGTATGGGTAGCTCCTCTCCATAGTAGGTCATTTCATGGTGTGTTCAGCTCTCAGCAGAGAGGAAGCCCTGGAGGGGTTGGCTCCTCTCTGCAGGCAGGTCATTCAGACATCTCTGCAGGTCTCTGAAGCTCTCAGCAGAGAGGGTAGCTCCTATCTGCAGCTGGTCATTCCATCTCTCCATCCTCTGCCCTGCTCTGGCTGAGCCCAGGGCTTTTATGGACCTCAGAGGGGAGGAAGTACATGCCAATTGGTCCATGGGCGGTCACGGATGGGCCTGCAGGAGGCATCACAGGTCCCCTCTCCACTGTGACTGACAGCCTAGCCCTCAGCCTTCAGGCCAGGGGACCTTACTGGGGACCTGCCTCCTTCCACCCAGGAATCTGTCTGCTTCCCATGGCCATTCATGGTCCCAGGGCTTGGCCCCACTCCAAGATCAGAGAAGGCACCAGGAGAGGAGAGAGGCCAAGCAGTGGAAACAGATACCCCTGAGCCTGCAGGGACAGGGAGGGGCCTTCCTGGGTCCCCAAGGGTGTAGGCTGCAGAGATGCCGGGTCCCATGCCTGGGAGGGTGGCCGCAGCTGCACCCAGGGAGCTCCCACCACAACACAGAAAGGGCGGGACTCCCACCAGCTCCATGGAGTGTGCAGCCCCAGCCGTGCCTCCTTGCTGCAGCCTGTGTGATAGCAGCAGCCACTGGCATCATCAGGTCCAATGCTCAACACTTTCCATGCATAGTCTAGAATTTTGTGAATCCTCTTTTTATGGCTCTTAACTCACCCTGCCTTGAATTTTAGCTACTTCTCTGCTTGTAAATCTCTTAAGGCAGGAGTTAGGTCTTTGGGTCTCTGTTAAGAGAGTTAAACCCCTTCATCTAAGGTTGTAACTAGCATTTAGCAAGTACAGATGCTCCTCAACTTACAGTGGGGTTATGTCCTGATAAACCCATTGTACACTGAAAATGTCAAAAGTTGAAAATGCATTTAACACACCTGACCTACCGAACATCAGAGCTTAGCCTCCCCTATCCAAAACATGCTCAGAACACTTATATTAGCCTACAGTTGGGCAAAATGACCTAACAGAAAGCCAATTTCAAAATAAAGTGTTGAATATCTTATGTAATTTCCTGAATCTTGTACTAAAAGTGAAAAACAGAATGGTTGTATGGGTACTCAAAGTACAGTTTTTACTGAATACATATCACTTTTACAGTGGTTCAAATTGTAAGTTGAACCATTGTAAGTTGGGGACTGTCTGCGCTCTCATGATTGCGTAGATAAAGGGATGACAGATGAATGGATAGATGGATGAGTGAATGGATGAGTGGATAGCTGGATGGAATTATTTTTATACTTTTTACTCTTAAGTCATTGGAAAGAGACCAAAACAAAGGTCCCCTATGACATCAGAAAGTTAGAGGTTCCTGAGGCAAGGATGGATTTCGGAAGGCACAGCCTTCTGATGTATTGATGTATTCAATACTGCAAATGAGTAAAAATGATAAAGTTCCTGCAAAGTCCAGAAATCCAGATGGGTGTCTGCCCCTGGCCAAATACACATGATATATTCTTATTAATAAAGCCAGACTAGTGTCCTCAAATTATTCAAGGAATACATTTGCCCACCCACAGCAGTGGGGGAAGCGATTACTTATTAATAAAGCAATAGCTAAATCTAATTATATCCCCATCAGAGGCAGCTGGTAATAAAACCAGGCTGGTCTTCCAGAGCTCGGTGACCCTGCTGACCTCAAATCAAAGTTTAAACCATCAGTCAGCTTCCAATGCATTCCCAGCACACCTACCAATTACGAGCGCCCTGGTGCCGCTGTCTGCCAGGGGTCAGAGGTCACCGCCTGCACTCGATAGCTGGGAGCTGGAATGGGGCTTTAGAAATCTCATTATCCTGTTAACCATACATTTATCTGACAAGATAAAAGAGACTAGGTGACCAAGCTATCATTAAAGATTAATAGAAAGTATAAAAAATTCAGCTGCAACCAGCATTGCTGTTTAGAGCTTGTGATCGGCATGACAGGGTTATTAATCAGGAAACCAAAAAGATTTCGGTCTTTGCTCTTGATATTTTCTATTTTTATTTTTAGTTTTGTTTTTTCCCTCCCTCTGTCTGAAGTCATTACCTCGTCTCCTATCACCCCAAACTGGAGGTCAAAGGAGACTCCTGCTAATTGGCTCTTCCGGCTTCAAATCATAACCCATTGGGCTAATTAGAAAATTGCCAGGACTCAAGGTGACATGGGATGCAGCAGGGGACGCTGGTGGACTGGGACAGCGGTGCCAGCTGCTTATTGGGCTGCCGCCCTTCTCGCGTGCCAGGCCTGTTAATCAGCAGGGGAAATCAATACATTTTAAATTTAATTCAGTCCTGTAAGGCACACCCAAGCCCCAAGATGATTTCTCCTCATTCGTGATTCCATTTCAGTTTTACATGAAAGATTTTCAACCCACGCCTACCCAGGAATCAGAGGGCAAGCTCTGTTTTTAAGGCTTAGGGATTCTTTTTATTCTTTCTAGTTCTCTCTTATCGCCCACCCACCCCTGCCGACCAGCGTCCTCCCCACGGCATCCTCCTTCGCCTTTTTGATCATAAATCAATGTCCTTTTCCTCTGCTGCCCTGGAAGATGCAAGCTTAGATGACAACTCAGCTGTTCCCCTTCCGCCCCCAGGGCCAAGGCAAAGAGAAGCCAGGAAGATGAGCCAGTGAGGGAAGGTAGAGGGTTTCCAGAGCAAAGAGGCAGCTTTAGTCAACCCGTGGAAGGGACTTGCAGACCCGGACGATCCTTAGAAGGCTGATCAGGAAGCGACATTGACCAGGGGTGCCTGGCATTCTTCCCTGCCCTGGGATCAGCGTGGCCTCAGGAGTGCACCCAACAATGCCATCAGGCTGCCAGGACCCTCTACTGCCAGCTGGGTGACCTTAGGAAAGTCAGCTGGCCTCTCTGAGCCTGCTTCCCTGGGTGGACAATGGGGAAAACCCCTCCTTCTTGGGGTTGTTTGAAGATCAAATGGAATTCTTGAGCACAATCTCTTCCATTGTAATGGCTTCCTGGCTTGCTCCTACTTCCTCCCTGCTCCATTAAAGCTTAATCTGATAAATCAATTAAGGATAAAATACTATTGGCTGACCTCTGGTTAGTTGCCAGAGTTCAAGGACAACAATTTATTCCTCTGTGCATCTTCCTACCCCCAACCACCCCCCCGCTCCACCCGCGCGCGCGCGCGCGCACACACACACACACACACACACACACACACACACACACAGTGAATTGTCTAATGGCCTCTTCTTCCAGATAGGAGACACTCTTTGTGCCTCCATAAATGTAGCCTGGCACCAGTAAGTCCTGTATAAGTACTTAGTAGATAAAGGAATGAAAGCCTGGCCAGAGGGAAAATCCAAACCTCCTGCTAGGAGGAAAGCCAAAGGTCAAAGTTGGGTAAATAGGGGAAAGGAACCAGCCCCAGTAGCCAAGGTAGGTGAAACAGAAAGAAAAATCAGTAGAGAAGAGACAGGTTGGGAAGAGGAGTACAAGGTAGGTCAGGAGAGTTGTCCAGGTCATGCAATGAACAAGGTCTTCTGGGCTTTGAAAGACACATGACTGTAGCTCTGTGGCTTAAGGCTGGACTTCATGGTTTCTAGGACCAGACTGCTCTGGAGACCATGGAAATTGCACTGCCCAGCTGCGTGCTGGGGAGTCCTGGTGAAAAGACTGTTTCATTCCACTGAGAAGCCAAGGAAGCAAAGACGCGAAAGGGAGAAATAGGGAGGTTTCTGAGCAAGAGTGGCAAGAGGAAAGTGCTATTTCAGGGAACAAATGATTAGTGATGTTACACAGAACAGGTCAGAGGAGGAAAGAATGCAATTGGGGAAACTAGTGAGGATGCGGCCCAGGGAAGACTCAATGAAGACTGAGGCCAGGGTGACGAGGGTGGGAAAGGACACAAAAGAAGTAAACAAGAAAGGAAATCAAGACACAGACTCCCTCTCTGTGCTCCTCAGCCTGCTTCTCACCTTCCCTGCACCTGTCTCAGCCAAAGCCAGCCCTCAGGGCCCTCCCAGCCCCATGCCCCCGGGGCCAGGCCCAGTTACATCAGGTAAATAAAAAGGAAGTATGTGGTTTCTTCTTTCATTTCTCTCTCCTGACTTCCTCTGACTGCCAAAATTTGTCTGTCCCATCTGCAAAAATGTGACATTTTATATTCAAAGCAGTGCATGTCTAGTTATTTACTAGATGTGCAGCTAAGACATAATTACATTTAAAGTATTTTCCCCCAGGAATAGTCTTCCTTTAAGCAACAGTGCTCATTGTTTGAAGATCCTACATTTGGCGAAAAGAGTTCATAATTGCCTTGTAAACAGGTCTTGCAGACAGACACAGCAACAGCTACTTCTAAAACCTCCTGGAAGATTCTGGGGCTGAGAAAGTTGTGTATCTGTGTGTCTGCACATGTGTGGGTCCATGTGTCTGTGCATGTCCATTTGTGTGGGTGTGTTCTAGGTATGTGTGTGTGTGAGAGAGAGAGAGCACGTGTTTATGGAACACACGTCTGTGTCTTGTGTGTTGTGGAGGGGCAGAGCATGAAGAAGGAAACTAGTGTCTATTGAGAGCCTACCATGTTGCAAGTGCTTTGGGCATGGCCTTATTTAATCTTCAAATATTCTTGTCTCAGTTTAACAGCTGAAGAAACTGAAACTTAGAGAAGTAAAAGAACTTGCCCCAAATTAATCTGCCCATAAGTTTCAGAGATAGAACTCTGCTTCTCATAGTCTGTCTAGTTTGTGCTAAAAAGACTGAAGAAATAAAAGTACCATGTTGTGTTTTCACTCAGTGGCATACTTCATATTTTCTCAGATTCATTCATATATAATCATGTATATATCATTTTCTGAGTCCCTCCTGTCCTAGGCATTGTGGTAGAAACCTTACATATGCAATCTAATGCAATGCTTACCACCTCTCTGGAAGCGGGTTTATTATTGCCATTTCAGAGATTTAAAAAAATGAGGCATCAAGGGATTAGGTAACTCCCCCTCACAGAGCTGTAATGCAAAGGCAGCTTTGTTCAACTCCAAAGCCCACGCTCTTGCCCTTACATCCCACAGACTGGCTTCATTATTACTCAGTTTTGAGTCTTGAGAATTTAGAGTCTAGGTAGGCAGGAAAAGCATACATGTGACAACCAGAGTTATCACATGGTGGTCTGTATGTGAAGGCCAGCAGCTACCTTACATCACCAAAACTCAGATTATCTCCATCTTCCTGCTCTGCTACCCTCAGTCTGTCGGCTGCCTCAGACTAGTTTTCCTCATGGTTACAAGACAGTTGCCAGAGTTCCAAGCATTGCAAACAGCCTTGACTATACCCAGTGAAAGAAGGTAGACTAGTTAATTCTTATTTCTCTGTCTTTTTTCCTCTTTTTAAATCTTCATTTATTTTATTTTATTTCTACTATATCCTTCTAACTTTTTGTCTGTGTGTATACATAGAGGAAGTTTGGGAAGATGTTTACCTGTTGAAAAGGCATCTTTGTGTACTTTGATGCATGGTTTGATTTGTTTTTGTAATGAACATACAGAATTTTTTAGAAAAAATAGTATCTTTTAAAAAATGATGTCAGTATTCAAAAGAAATGAAACTAATCTCACAGTGTCATTCACCTGCTTAAGGTGCATCATTGGCTTCCCCACCACAGACCGGATGAAGGACAAACTCTATGGCAGTTTATAAGCCCTTCTGTCATGTGGCCTCTGTGTTCCTGCCGGAGGACTTTGGTCCTCAAACATGCAGATGTTTCTGTGCTTCCCGCCTTGGTTCCGGCGCTCTCTCCTGCTGGAGAACCTCCCTCCACTGCTCCGTCAGTGGAAACCCTGTGCCTTCCTCAAGGACCAAACCAAAAATACCTTGCTCCTTGCAGCTTCTCCAGGAAGCTCAGTCAGGAGATATTGCTCCCCTATCTAGAGGCCAGATTTTTGTGCATTTTGCATTGTGGTGAGTTTGGGTCAGTGGCATGCTGGAGCCGGTGGCTTTTTTCCACTCTTGAGACCTGAGCCTGTGCATCTCTTCCCAAGATGTCATATTGGTGTCTTGGAATCGGCCATGGAGAGAATATTTATACCATGGGAAATGACAAATGCTACAATTTTTTTTTCCTTAGGGAAGTTAGTTGTTAAACATTTACCAGCACACCTTCAGTTTGGGTAGGGGTCCATCTCAAAAATTGACTCAGAATTAATTCAGGGAGGCCTGTCTTATTTCGCTCCAAACTCCATCCCTCATGCTGCTAGCACAGTGCTGTGCTCAGTTCTAGAAAATTAGCTTTTGCAAGCAAAAGGGCAATCCAGGACTCCACTGTCATTGCCCCGCTATGGGAGCCAGCCAGCCCATGGCCCTGGGCTGGGGCTATAAGAGCTGCTGCAGTGCAGATTTCCTTCAGGCCTCCTGGAGACCTTGGGCCCCACCTGTTGGAGAGGGAACAAGCAGGGCTTAACAGGAATGATGGAGATGTAAAATGGCCCCAGGCCATCCCAAATCCCTAAATCTTACACAATAGAGAGGCTTAAGTGACTCAGTAAATGAGCCAAGGAGTTCAGGTCTTGGAAAATGCAAAGTGGTTTGCTAAACCATCCCGAGCAGCATTGATCATCAGCTTACTGGTGGTGTCAGAGGGGCCCATCCAGTTCCCTCAGGCACTGTCTGTGCTTTTCAAGAGAGATTGCAAGTGACAAATGAGCACAAGAGGCAGGCCCTGGCAAAGCTCAGACCGGATCCCTGAATCCACAGATTTACAGCTTCAACCTGCAGCAGGCCCGGTCTGTGCATGGCCGGGGTGGAATTAGGGGGCTGGGAGCCCTTCAGAGAACTAATACAACCATGAGTCCAAGCCACTCACATCACAAAATCGTGTGGCCCTCAGAACCCATACCTACATGTGGCCCCAAAGCCGTATGAGAGATCTGGAACAGTATCCTTCAGAGGCAGACCCCAGAAACTGGGGTTCTGACATCCTTAGTCCCAGAAAATGCCCAGTCTGCAGGTCATTCTGAATCACATTTGTTGAAGAAATAAATCTGAGTTCTGGCCTGGCCTTTGCACTGTGCAACCTTGGACAAAACGCTTCTCTCTGGGCCTCGGTTTCTCCATATGGACAATGAGGCACTTATCGAACTTTATGGGCTTAGTGACACCCTCTCCCCACTTCAGCCCTGTCACCTTCTGTTCCTAGGTATTTCGAGCTGTGTGCCCCACATAAGAATGCAGGGCAAGACTGGGCGCTTGCAGAGGTTTAACTCACCCAGCTGGTCTGCACAGGCCAAAGCTTGGGGAGCCCCAGCTTCCCTGGCTCAGGCCCTGTGCAAACCAGTCTCTCGCCCTGTCAGAGGGAGGGACTGCTCCCTGGAGCCCACCCAGCTGGCTGGGAGCTCTCTGCGTGCCTGCCACTGTGTGACAGTCATGCGATGAGAGGGAAGCTCAGCACATGTCCCCAGCCACCATCAGTTGGCGGTTCCTTGAGTGGAGGGATGTCAGAGGCACGTCAACACTTTGGCGGCTGCTATTCCAGGCGGGCGAGGCAGGCAGAGGGCCTGTGGGCGCCTGAGTCTGCAGAGCCAGCCCTCGGGGGAAAGGAGCCAAGACACAGAAGGGGCTCAAGCTGCCCTGCCCCTCACCCCACAGCCTTTGGGGGGCTGGGGAGAAAGTCGGGGATCAGAGAACTATTTTTTCCTGGGTTTTTCTGCCCATTAAACACTTTATAATTTGGTCTCATTTCTTTCTTGATAACTCTACAAGGTAGATACTATACCATTGCCCCCATTTTTCAGAAGAGGCTCAGTGAGGTGGCATGTCCTGCCCAAGGTCACTCAGTCCTCGAGAGCACAGAACTTTCTGGATGACAGCCACAAGCTACTGAACACCACACTCTCAATAAACCCAGTGTTCTGGACTGCGCGTTCACGTCTTCCCCAAATTCCTATGTTGAAACCCTAACCCCCAATGGGATGGCGTTAGGAGGCAAGGGCTCCAGGAAGTAGCTGGGTTCAGATGAGGTCGTGAGGGTGGAGCCCACATGATAGGATCAGTGTCCTTAGAAGAAGAGAAAGAGATAAGGGTGCACTCTCTGCCTGCACAGACCAGGGAAAGCCACGTGAGGACACGGGCAGGAAGAGGACCCTCACCAGAGCCCAGCCATGCTGGCACCCTCATCTCCAGCCTCCAGAGCTTCGAGAAATAAGTTGTCATCTAAGCCCTCTGGTTTGTGTTATTCCTTTACAGCAGCCTGAACTGACCAAGACATCTAGGAAGTAGGTGTCACCCATCCACTTGCTCAACACCCCATATTTCACCTGTTAATGGCGGGGCCCATCTACTCCTAGCCTAGCTGGAGGTGCCCTGGACCCCAGTGTTCCCCAGGCTCCCCAGTGTCTAGAGTATCTTGTGGGGATGTCCACTTAGGACAGGGGGTTTAGTTTGGGAAGCCTGGGTGGGGTTCCCATTCATATGAGGTCCAGGGCGGGTGGGGTCAGGCAGGCTGATGTAACCAACCCCCAGTGGGGAGCCAGCCTGGGACCCAGATTTCGGGCCAGCCTTCCCCTGGCACACAGCCCCAGTGGGGACCCAGCTCAAGGGACAGGCTAGGAGGCTCTGGCTCCCCCTGCCCCCCACCTCGCACGCCTTCTCCACGCTCCTCCCACCAAGCCTCTCCAGGCCCCCACTGTTGCCCATCTCATCTCTCCCACAGGAATAAGCCCTCCATCTCCTTTCCTCCCAGTAAGCTTTAAAGGTCCATCAGAAATTGCTTTAAGACCCATTAGGCAACCACCCCAAAATTGGCCCAGTAAAAACAGGTTTGCCTGCTTTAGAAACCAGGCCACCCCACCCTGCACATGGCTCTTCCCTCAGAGGGCTTTTCTAGAAGGGAGGGGGACAGGGATCACAGATGAACCAAACCAATTTTAGTTCTCTTATCCCTCCTAGGAGGAAATTCAAGCTCAGAGGCTGGCCGGCTCACCTAAAGGCACCCAGAGGGCAACAGCAAGAGCTGGAATCCGGGCCATCCGGGCTTGCCTGTTCCAAAGCCCCTATTTTCACCAGACCCTGCACGTGCTGCCGCCATTGTCCAGACTCCAGTTGCATGAGGCAGCTCTGTGAGTTATCGCTTCTCCCAGCCTCTGGGGACCCCCATCGTTCTCCACAGTTAATATCAGGCCTGCCTTGGGCATGGCCCTGGGACCCTTCTCAGCCTGGGGCAGTCCCAGCTCCCATACTCTTCTTTCTTTATCCCCCACCCTCCATGTGTCCAGGGCTCCTTGTTGCCTCTCTCTCACTTCCATCTTCAAAGCAGGTATTGAGAGCCCAGGGCAAGCTAGAGACTCCGGTTGTGCTGGAGATAGAGGTGACTAAGCAGAGTAAGCTCCCTGCTCTCAGAGTTGATATCCTACTTGGGGGAGGCAAGGAAATGAATACATCAGTAAGATCATCTCTCACAGTGAAGAGTGTCAAGAAGGTGGCAAAAGCAAAGTGAGCTTTCCAGCCTGTCCCCGGCTGTCTTGCCCTGCGTAGGGCCTCACAGGTCCCCTCACTTCACCTGGGTAGCAATCACAGGAGGGGAAGAGGAGGGGGCCAGGAAGACAGGGAAGGAAAGAAACGCCAGGCCAAGCCCTTTGGAGTGTGATGTTGTATGGAACTTCCATACTGACTGTGGAAAGTAGAGATTCTCCCCAGTGTGACATGACAAAACTGAGGGTAAGAGAGGCTGCTCAAAGGCGTAGGAGCCAAAGCAAACTCCAGTTCTCCTGACTCCCATCCGGTCCAATGCTGTTTCCAAAACACACTGCCTCCCATGCTCAAGATGGGGCTGTAGCCATTTCTCCTGTTCCCAGCCCGCATAGCCCCTAACCTGTGACAGCCTCCCTGCTCCTACCCCTGCTATAAATGGCCATGATGTGCAGCCATGGCTGAAAGCACTCACCGAGGTATGCCAGAGACAGTCCAGCTGATGGAGCCATCTCATAGGAAGGCATTCAGAGTTGTCATTTCTTCATGGGCAGTGCTCTCCATCCAGCTGTGTATATGCATTTGGCATCTGCTGTGTGCCACTCTCTCGGTGAGGTGCTGGGCATACAATGAGGCAGGCAGAAGCCTGGCATTCCATAGCTGGGCACAACAGCTCATACCTGTAATCCCAGCAATTTGGGAGGCCGAGGCAGGAGGACCACTTGAACCCAGGAGTTTGAGACCAGCCTGGGCAACATGACGAAAACCCTTCTCTACAGAAATTACAAACATATTAGCTGGGCATGGTGGTACGTGCCTGTAGTCCCAGCTACCCAGGAGACCAAGGTGGGAGGATCACCTGAGCCTGGGGAGGTGGAGGCTGCCATGAGCTATGATCATGCCACTGCACTCCAGTCTGGATGACAGAGTAAGACTCTGTCTCAAAAACAAGAAGCAGCAGCAGTCTGACACTCCAGTGAGAACACAACCATCCGGCCCACCATCACAGAAGTCAGTATGGAATCCCAGACTGGGCAGGGGCTGTGGAAGACAAGACAGGGTGGCACAAGAGCGTTTGATAGGAGAACTGTTGGATTCCAGAGGGTCCCTGAGGAAGGAACAACGATCTGGCATTGAACAGGCAAGGGGAGGGTTAGAGGGAGGAGGAGACACAACAGAAGGAGCAGCCTGTAGGAAGGTACATGGTGTGTTCTAGAAACTGGGAAAAGGATGGGTGGGCTTAGAAGTAGAAGCAGCGAGGAGGGATGGAAGAATTTGGAACCGGGGCTGTCAGCAGGGGCCACACCATGTGTGCAGTGGGCTGTAGGACATGGGGAAGTATTTGGCCTCGATCCTGAGGCCACAAGGAGCCCCTGGAGCTCTTCGACGTGCCTGAGCTTTTAGAAGATGGCCCGGCAGCTGCGCGGGTGCAAATCTGCCAGAGACGGCAGCAGGACATCTGTCAGGGTCTATGAGTGGTGCCCAGGAGAGACGATGGTGCCTTAGAGCGAGGAGGTAACAGTTAGAGGGGGACAGGCGATAGGTTCCAGAGACGTGAAATCCAGGAGGTGAAATTGAGAGGTGGGGATGAGGAAGAGGGAGACTAAGGGTGATCTGAGTTCTACTCTGTCAGTGAACACAGGTGGGAAGATCTGATTTTGGGAACTGCAGCCCACATGGATGAGACTTGCTCGAGGTCTCACTGCCAGGCTTGATCCTGGATTCCGGACTCCAGCTCTGTTTCTCGGCATCTTTCTCAACACGCAGCCCATGCCGAGAAGAGCAGGGTGCCACTGGCTCTTTGTCCCCCTAGACCAAGGGCCCTGGCAGACAGAGATGGCCCCAGTCATCCAGGTGGGCCCCCACCCCTGTTGCCCCATGGCATCACACACAGTCCTGGCGTACAGGGGCCCGATGGTGCATGTGTTGGGTTAGTATGGTTGACCAGGGATCCAGAGAACATGTCTGAGTTCTAATCTGTCCCCAGGGAGTCATACCTCTTGGGAACCCTGTTTAAAATATTGTTTCTGAGGATGAAATCATATCAGGTTATGCAAAAGCCCTCTGAGTAGTACCAAGCCATGGAGGAATGTAAAACATTTTCATTGCACAGCACAGGGAGGAGCTGCCTAGGAAGCTGAGAAGGAACGGCATGACAGGGGCGGGTGCAGCCCAAGCAAAGGCATGAGGTGGGGAAAGCGCGAGGCCACTGCAGGGAGGTGGCAGGTAGATCACAAGGGGCTTTTGTATATATTATCCTGCGGCTCGATCTTCACAACAGCCCTGTTCAGGTAAAATCACTCTTTCCTTTCTCAGATAAGGAAACGGAGATGAATAGCACTGCAGCAGATTTCCCCAGCTCACCAGATCCTAAGCAGCCGAGCCAGCTCCTCTCACCCGCAGGTAGCCAAGCCCTTAATAGATGGGAAATCACTTGCTGAGTTAAAAGTTAAAAGTGACTTATTGATGACAACAGTCTCCCAAGGATCTAGCTAAGGAAGAATTTTCAGTGGCCAGGACCTCTGAAGGTCCAGTTTAATCTTCCAAGGCAATTTGGAGAAAGAAATTGGCCTTTCTTGAGATGGACTGGAGCAAATACATGTGCTCTCTTCAATTTTGCAAGCACCTGTCTCCCAGAAGCAGGGGTGGAGGCAGACTGGAGGGTGAGGAGGGGCGTCCCTGCCAGTCTCTGCCTGCACTCTTCCCCTCCCCCAGCACCTCCGGAGGGGTAGACAGGGAAAAAGAGTCAGCGGTGATACTGTGTGCTGATCAGCAACTTGAGCAAAACTTAATTGCTTCCCTGAACCTGAAAAAATATCAAACTGCATAAATAAATGTGCTTTAAATTATTAATAAAGGCATTCACATCTGGAGTTGGAGCATGAAAATTAATTTAATTTTTTATGCTAAACGGGCTGGTGTGGCATGTGATTTAAGGATTCAGAGATACAAAGGGCAGGGAAGAAAAGGGAGACAGAATGTATGCTATCTTGGGCATTTTGCATTTAAAATCTCAAAAACATAAGAAAGAGGAACGAGTAGAAAGAAAGGGCGGGAGAAAGTTCTTTTTCAGACGCAGACTCAGGCAGCTTTAATTACTGAGAAACAAGAACATGAAGTTACCTCAGGGCTTCTGCAGTTTGAAGTGAACCTGAAGACTGGCAGAGCCCACATTTCTGTGAAGGTGGTAGTTGCCCGACTTCCTCAAGGGGCAGGCACAATTAAACCCGAGGTTGGGATGCCCATCAGATGCACTTGGAAAGTAGGTCTGAGAGCATCAAATAATGTCTGTGTGGCTTCAGGGAAGGGACCCAGAGCCCACCGACCCCTGCCAGCAAGCCGGCCTGACACTTGCCCGGCTTCTGGAAAAAGGGTGGTACCAAACAGCCCTGGGTCTGAATCCCAGTTTGGCCACTAACTGGTTGAGTGACCTTGGCCCAAGCTTGTCCCCTCTGAGCCTCAGTCTCTTCCTCTGTAAAGTACGTTAATAACGCCTGTCTCACAGCATTTTTGTAGGGGCGTAACATGGCATCTAAACATTGCTGAGCCAGAGGCCAGACACTGTTAGGGCAGGTGATGGCCCCATCTACATTTCCCAGGCCCTTTGAAATCCCTTGATGTGCCTAGGTGTTTTTGTTTTGTAAGGGAGAAAGGAAAGGAGATGTGGGGTAGGGGGCTTGGTTTGAGGGGCGAGAGGAGAAAGAGAGAAGATACGGGACCCCTGGGACTGAGTGGAGCTCTGAGATCCAGATGCTTGAAAAATACTTCGTAAGACGATGGAGAGAGAACCGCATGCAAAGAGGTGAAGTCTCATTGCCTCCGGTCTAGTGAGCAGAAAAGTTGGGATTTTAGCAGCTCCGGCCAGAGGCCATGCCCTGAATGACAGCCCCTACTGCCTCTCACTTAGCAAATTCACAGATCTGGCAACACTGAACTTGCAGAACTGTGTGAGGACCAAAGAGGGCCACAGGGCACCTTGCACTGAATTGGGCTCTCAAAAAAAAGTGTTCCCTTTCCTAGGCCATGGGGCTTCCCAGAGCCAAGCTGGGACAGAAGGACAGAGATGAGTAGCTGAGCAGGAGTTCCTGGGGAATAGGTGCCCAGCTCCAGGATGGCCAGCATCGGCCCTTCCCCATGGCTGCCTCTCAAGCTGGAGCGCACTCCAGGACCTGAGCATCTGCCTCTGTCCTACCTTGACCTTTCTGCCTTTCAAAGGGTCAAAAACACAGCTGCTTCTTTTTCCAACAACTTCCATTTTCATTGCAATTAATTCATGCCAATATCCATTTTTCTCTGCTTTTTGCTGTTCCTTCCATGATTTCTGCCAGTATCTGAAAGGCCATGGCTTAGTAGAAAGTGTTGGCTGTAGAGTGACGCAGGCCTGCATTCGAAACCTGGGGGACTTGGGCAGGTGCCTCTGGGCACCCTGGGTTCCTGCCTGAAAAACAGAGATGGTAACGGTCCCTACCAAGGTGGTTGGGAGGGGCAGGCAGGACTTAAAGGTCAGCCACCTCCTGGTGCAGGTCTGCCCCGTGCCATCACTGCTGTTGGTATCACTGTTCCCCCTGCTTGCCCCTGGGACCCAGCCCAAAAGGCCGCAAAGTACAACAGAAAGGGCACGTTTGCTGTGGGAATACATCGAAAAGAAAAAGGAGGCACCTGCTGCAACTATTTTTTCGTGGTTTTTGTTTCTCAAATATTGACAATTATGCCTTCAAGAATGCTTCCAAAATTGTTAAAAAAAAAATTCTTTAAATAAAATTTTAATTAACCCTTATGAAAGATAGTACATTAATTAGTTCAGGTTGAAATTATAATACAGCAGAGGTCCATTTTATTGTCTATCTTTAGATTTTATTGCAAATCAGGGCTCCTCTTGTAATCACAGTGTGAAGTAAACATTTACATCCATTTTATAGGACTTGAAGCACAGTTTTATATTTTACATGACGATAGACATCTACAGCTGCTGCCTCCATTATGACACAACTATTGGTCACTGCTTTGATTTAGTTGTCATTGGGATGTTTGTTGGCAACATCATCCCCAATCATTGCATGGCTCTTTTGGAGAAGTGTCTTCCATTTACTTTCTAAGAACAAACTATTAAGGGAATCAAGGTGTTTCTGAATTACACGTGTTTTGTGTTGAGCTTGAGGGAAAAAAATCACATTTTCTCAGAAATTGCTTTAACTGTAAGTGGGGTCAAAAATTTCACCTGGGGCCGGGCACGGTGGCTCACACCTGTAATCCCAGCACTTTGGGAGGCCGAGGCCGGCAGATCACTTTAGCTCAGGAGTTCAAGACCAGCATGGGAAACATGGCAAAACCTCATCTCTACAAAAAACACAAAAATTAGCCAGGCATGACGGCGGACACCTGTAGTCCCAGCTACTCAGGAGACTGAGATGGGAGGATGGTTCAAGCCCTGGAGGTGGAGGATGCAGTGAGCCGTGATCACACCACTGTACTCCAGCCTGGGTAACAGAGCCAGGCCTTGTCTCAAAACAATAAAAAATAAAAATTTACCTGGAAGTCAGGAAGGGCTGAGCCACCCATCAGCTTTGGTATTGTCCTCCCTCACTTTCTGGGACTCGCTCCTTCCCAACAGGTGAGCACCTTTGAGCCTCTAAATTGCCTGTAAACCCACACATACCTTTTTCTGGGGACACAGAAAACAGTAAGAACCAGACCCCCAGTCAAGCAGGCTGTGACTCCCCTCAGCCCCACACTCCTACATCACACGATACCAGCTCAAACCTTCCTGCCCCTTTTCCTTCTCTCAGTTCAGGGGTTCATTAGCCCAGCTCATCTCACAGGTGGGGTTTGAGCCCAGCGAGACCTCATCCCAGCCTCACCATACTCTGTGACCTTAAGCAGGTCACCTCCATTTCCTCATCTGTAAAACAAGGATGGGCACACCTACTCCATGGGGTTGATGGGAGGCTCAGACATGATAGTAGATGTGAAAGTGATTTGTAAACTGCAAACAGTCAGACTGTTATCATGATCATCATAATCATTATTATTAAGTGATAAGCACACACCCATCTAACTGTATTCATCTCTCTTAAAATACCCAAAGGATCTCCACTGGAGAAGCACTTGTGTTTCTAAAGATGCAGTCATGGAAGAGTGAGCTTCCTCCTCCTCTCCCCAGGCTGCATCCCTGCTCATAGAGTATGGGTGTCCCCTGCCCACTTTAGAAACGAGTTGGGACTGAGGACCTGGACAAGCTGCTAATCTGAGCTGTGAGCCCACCAGTCCTGGCCCAGTTCAGGGTAGGGAGACACGTCTTTCACTTCCTGCGCTCACGTGGAGGCCATGCTCTTTTTCCAAGGATGCCAGGTGCCCACTGCCCTTTAACATACAGGCTTTGCCTCCTCTGAACTGTGCTCGCTGTGTGTGGAAGCTTCACTGGTCAGACCCTGGAGGGAGGAAGGAGTGCAGGGGCCTTGAATCCCTGGCACCCTTGCTGAGCCTACTATATCTCCAGGTAGTAGGATGTCAAATGCTGAGTTCTTTATTTGTTCAATAAACACTTTCTGAGCAGTTGTTATAAAGCACTCCCCATGACAGTCATCAAGAATCAGGAGATCAGAGGAGGAGGATAAGAAAAATCTGGACTAATTGTCTCTTTTCCCTCTCACATAAATTCTTCTCTGTCCGTGTCATACTGGGTTTCTGTCTCTCCCTGGCACACACATTTGCTCTCTTGAGAGGCCCTCTGGCTGAGGCCGAGGCATGCCTTCTGGACAGGCTGGAGCAAGTGGGAACCCAGTTGGAAGAATAGGTCCACTGTGCCTCTGGCAGGCACCCCAACCCTGTCACACCCCCAGTCCACTCCCCCTACCCAGCTTTCTTCCAAACAGAGCTCCCCAGGCCTCCTCTGACCCTCAGGCCCTCCCTGGACCTGCTTGCCCCTGCCTGGCTCTGCTTCACTTCCATTTCTAAGATTTAGAAGCAAAGACGGAAAGAGAAGCTTGGCGGGCCCAGCTGGGCTGCGGGAGGAGAGGGGAAGGGGCCCCAGGCTGGAGCAGAAGTTGCTGGTGCGCCGAGCTGCCTTGCGGTTTAGGCCCAGAGGTTCACGCGAGCGAGCGCGCTGTGGTGAGCGCGATAACCGGCGAGCCGCGAGGCGATTCGGAGAATTTCTGAAGGCTCTGTAATAAAAGGTGACAGCACAAAGCCCATGATAACAAGGCCGAGGCACCGTGCCAAGAAGTCGGCAGCAGTGACAAGGAGGGCTTGGCGGAGGTGGGGAGCCAGCCGCTTCCCCTCTGGCAAGGGAGCACACACAGAGGATGCCTCCCCAGCCTTTGAGCAGAGACAATGAACCCACTTGGAAGAACTCACTTGTGCGTGGCTGGGGTGAGAGTGTGACAGGAATAGAGATGAGCCCCTGCCACGCCTTCCCTGGGGTTCCACATGTGCCTGCCACCTGCAGTGACAGTCAGCTCCAGACCGTCCCAGCAGTTGTCCCCTCACCTCCTCCTCACTATCTCAGGATGGACATGACCCCAGCCTCCAGGGTAGCAGGCCAGGGTGGACAGCACAAGGATGATGCCCGGGAGGGAGAGCCTGACAGGGGCCCAGGTGGGTGGTTTCAGGCACACTCAGGGAGGCCGGGAGCCACAGATAACCCAGGGCTAGGGGATGACAGCTTCACTCCTTAGCATGCACCCAAGTCCTGCCCACCCTGGTGCCAGCCTGCCCTTTCAGCACCCTCTCCCCACGCTAGCTCTGATGCCACAGTGTTTTTGTACCTGCTGCTTCCTCTGCCATAATGCTCTTCCCTTTCCTTCTTGCCTGCCTGTCCTTCAGGACCCTGCTCAAATGTTTCTCTTCTGTAAAGTTTCCCTTGACTCCCAAGGGCAGAACACAACCCCAGCAGCCATCTACTTTACACACCCCTCCATCAAAACCATCTGTTTTCCTGTCTGACTCCCTTCCAAGTGCTGAGAAAAAGGGTTATGTCTTTGTTTACCTCTTGTTCCCAAAGTCTAGCTCAGAGTCTGGAATGTAGCAGGCACTCAATGAAATGATGATGGAGGGAGGGAGGGAGGCAGGGGGGCAGGGAGGGATGGAGGAAGAGAAGGATGGAGGGAGGGAGGAATTGAGGGATGAATGGATGAAGGGTGGATGGAGGGGTGGATGGATGGAGAGATGGAGGGAGGGAGAGATGGAGGGATGGAGGGAGGGAGAGATGGAGGGGTGGAGGGAGGGAGAGATGGAGGGATGGAGGGAGGGAGAGATGGAGAGATGGATGGAGGGCTGCGTGGATGGATAGAAGGAAGGAGGGAGGGAAGGACTGATGAATGGATGGAGGGATGGATGGAGGAGTGAGTGGATGTATAGAGGGATGGAGAGAGGGAGGGATGTATAGAGGGATGGAGAGAGGGAGGGATGGATGGAGGGATGGAAGGAGGGATGGGTGGATGGATAGAGGGGTGGAAGGAGGGAGGGATGGATGAATAGATGGAAGGATATAGGGATGGATGGATGGAGAGATGGAGGGATGGGTGGATAGAGGGACAGAGGGATGGGTGGATGGAGGGAAGGAGGGAAGGAGGGAGGGAGGAATGGATGAATGGATGGAGGGATGTAAGTATGAGTGGATGGATAGAGGGATGAAGAGAGGGAGAGGTGGATGGAGGAGTGGATGAATGAATGGATGCATAGGGAGATGGAAGGATGGGTGGTTAGAGGGATGGAGGGAGGGATGGGTGGATGGGTGGATGGATGGGGAGATGGAAGGATGGGTGGATACAGGGATGGAGGGAGGGATGGGTGGATGGAGGGATAGAGGGATGGTTGGGTGGAGGGATGGAGGGATGGAGGGATGGAAGGATGGAGGGAGGCAAAGGCAGAGGGATAGAGGGATGAATGGAGAGAGGGATGGAGGGATGGGTGGATAGAGGGATGGAGGGATGGGTGGATAGGGGGATGGAGGGATGGGTGGATGGAGGGATGAGTGGATGGATAGAGGGATGGAGAAAAGGAGGGATGGATGGAGAGATGAAAGGATGGGTAGATGGATGGAGGGAGTGATGGGTGGATGGAGTGATGGGTGGATGGAGGAATGGGTGGATGGGTGGACAGAGGGATGAGGGATGAGTGAATAGTGCGAAGAAAGGATGAGTGGATAGAAGGATGGAGGGAGAGATGGGTGGATGGCTAGAGGGGCGGAACGAGGGAGGGATGGATGAATGGATGGAGAGATAAAGGGATGGGTGGATAAAGGGATGGAAGGGTAAGTGGACAGAGGGATGGAGGGATGGAGAGAGGGATGGGTGGATGGATGGGGGTGGAGGGATGGATGGATGGAGAGATTGAGGGATGGATGAATAGAGGGATGGAGGGATGGGTGGATGGAGGGATGAAGGGATGGAGGGAGGGATGGACAGATAGGAAGGATGAAGGAAAGATACAAGCAGGTAAACGTCTTCATAAGCCCACCAAACCCCCCACCTCCCCCTCAGGCATAGTCTGAGGACCTGTACTATCTCCAATGCTGGAGGCCTGAGTCCCCCCATCTGCCATAAAACCTCTGCTTTGTCTCTGACATCAGAGGCCCTGGCCAAGGTCCTCTCCTTGCCACCCTTGTAATCTCATGCCTTGGATCTCTCGTTAGTACTTTATCCCTGTGAAGTGGATTGGACCCCATACCTAGAGGGGGTCATGGGAGCCCAACTTTCTCCTCAGAAATACACCAGAAGGTTACAGACCCTTCCCCTTGGCAAACCCTGCCTGCTCTACCCAGAGATGGAAGGTGGGACGATTGGCCCCAGGTCAGCTCCAGCAACAACTCCCCACGCAGGCCTCAGTCAGTGCTCCCTGGGAATCCTCCAGGCCCTCCATCTCCCCACTAAAAGCCCTTCCTGCCCAGGACTGGGGTCACATCAGTGCCCAAACCCAGGAAGATCCTTCACCTCAGAAGTGCAGGCATCAGCCAACCAGAGCAATGCCAGCCATGAGCCAGAGTAGATAGGCAGGGGCCAGGAGGTGCGCAAGGCTGACAGGAATAGGTATAAGCTAGAACTAGCCAGCTTGGCTCTGTCTGGTTCTGAGCACTGGAGGAAGGAAGGGATTCACACCTAGGAAGCTGGAGTGGCCAAGGGTGTCTGGAAGCCTGGGCATCTTCTCTGCTGGATCCATTGCTGAACATACAGACAGAGCCAGCCCCCACTCCATGGCTCCTCAAGGGACACAGCCCAATATGGACACAAGAGACACTCAAAAACAAAACCAAGACTTCCTGTCCCCAGCTCCCTGCCTCAAGGGACCTCAAAGCACCAGGGAGCTCTGGTGGCTGTCCCCAGAATTCTGTCCACAGCTGTGTTCTTTCCCTGGCCTCCCTCAGAGAACTATTTGTGTCCCTGGCTTGTGGGCAGTCAGACTGCCTCAGGTGTCCTCCCTTCTGGAAGCTTCCATCTCCTCCACCATGCACACTCCTTCCTCCAGGGAGCATCAAAGCCACGCTGCAAAGACACAGCCAGGCCTCTGCCCGACGGCCCACCCAAGCTGACAGAAACAGGCCTTCCTGCTCTTCTCATTCTAGAAAATGGAGTGAAATGCTCCTCAGAGAAGCAAATGACAGGGGAGGCCCCCTACAAAGACAGGTCAGCCATGGGACTGCAGACAGAGCTGGCTTGGGTCCCCACTGAGTGATGTCTGGCAAATGAACTCCTCTGAGCCCCTAGTCCCTGTCCTGTAAATAGAGGTAATACCAGAATGCCTGCTATATGGCGCCAGTGGTAAGCAGTAAGTGAGGTAGTTTCAATCCTGAGCTTAAAGGGTGCACTGCACAGTAGGGCTCAACAGGCCACAGTTCTCTTCGTGTGTGTGGGTGGATTCAGGGTCTCCCTCATGGACAGCTCAGGCTCTGGGGTCAGACATCCAGGTTTGAATCCAGCCCCGCCGCTGACCAGCTGTGTGTGCCTTCAGCAACTAACTCAGCCTGCCTGGCCCTCCACCTCCTCTTGGTGATGAGACCCAGTGACAGTCCCACATCCGAGGGCCATTAGGAGGGGCCAGCATAGCATTTAACACAGCAACCGGCATGGAGTAAGCGCTCAGCGGTTCTTTTGTTATTTTTATTCCACGCCAATCACAAGCACCAGGGTCTCTTCTTTTGTTCTGGAGCGCCAAGTGCCTTGGCCCCCAGGCCCCTGAAAGAGCCAGGTGGAGGGGCCGCCCGCGCTGGAACCCTCAGAGGCTGTTTCACCAACCACACCTCCTGACCAAATCAACATCACCTGTGGGACACTTGGCACCACTGTGTCACCCATAGGGAACCAGCTCTTAAGGTCAGGTCAGGAAACTGTGCTTGCGAGTGAGTTCCCAGAACAGGAGAACATTTCCCTGAAGCTCCGCCCCCTGGGCGCAGGTGCTCTGCGAGGTGAAAGGGGAGGCAAGCTGCGGGTGCACAGCGTCTCTCTCGCTGAGGCCCCGGTGGGACATCAAACGCTTGGAGCAGGCGCAGCCACAGCTGGGATAAAGCTAGAGAGTGGAGAAACCGGCTCAAGAGAGGGCAAGTGACTGTCCCAGTGTCACAGCGCAGCCAGTGCTCGGCCACATCACATGACCCTGTGTCACTGCTTTGCTACCTTTCCGCAGGCCAGAATTCTGAGGGATCTTCCTTTACATGTATGTGCCATTTTCATCACTTTTGAAAAGGCATATATATGTTTTTTTTGAGGCAAGGGCTCATTCTGTCACCCAGGCTGGAGTGCAGTGGTGCAATCATGGCTCACTGCAGCCTCGACCTCCTCCCAGGCTCAAGCAATCCTCCCAACCTCAGCCTCCTCAGCTGGGACTATGGGTGTGCACCACCATGCCTGGCTAATTTTTCTGTTATTTTTTTTTTTTTACAGAGACGGGGTCCCCCTGTGCTGCCCAGGCTGGTATCAAAACTCCTGGGCTCAAGGTATCCTCTTGCCTCGGCCTCTCAAAGTGCTGAGATTACAGGCATGAGCCACTGTGCCTGGCTTAAAAAGACATCTTTTTGTTTTGTTTTGTTTTTGAGATGGTGTCTTGCTCTGTCACCCAGGCTGGAGTGCAGTGGCGCAATCTCAGCTCACTGCAACCTCTGCCTTCTGGGCTCAAGCGATCCTCCTGCCTCAGCCTCCTGAGTAGCTGGGACTACAGGAACATACCACCACATCCGGCTAATTTTTGTATTTTCGGTAGAGACAGGGTTTCATCATATTGGCCAGGCTGGTCTCAAACTCCTGGCCTCAAGTAATCCACCCGCCTCGGCCTCCCAAAGTGAAAAGGCATCGTTTTTATACCTACATCTGACCATTTTGTTCCTTAACTTTTTACTCAGATCATTTTTTTTAATTGAGATGACATTCACATAACATACAATTAACCATTTTAAAGTGCGCAATTCAGCGGCATTTAGTGCATTCCAAATGTTGTGCAACCATCAGCTCTCTCTAGTTTCAAAACTTTTTTATCACCCCATAAAAACACCTCATACCTATTAAGGAAGCACTCTCCATTCCCTCTCCCTCCCCCAAACCCCTGATAACCTCTAATCTGCTTTCCGTCTGTCTGGATTTGCCCCTCCCCTCCCCTTTTCTCCCCTCTTCTCTTCCCCTCCCCTCCCCTTCCCTTTCCCCTTCTTTCTCTTTCTTTTCTTTCTTTCTTCTTCCTTTCTTTCTTTCTTTCCTTCTTTCTTTCCTCTTTTATTCTGGTTATATTGTATAAAAGAAATCATCATACAATATGTAGTGTTTTGTGAGCGGCTTCCTTCACTTAGCGTGATGTTTTCAATGTTCATCTACTTGTAGCAGGCATCGGTATTTCATGCCTTTTTGTAAGTTCATCCACTTGCAGCATGCATCAGTACTGCACTCCTTTTTGTAAGTGCATAACAGTCCATCATATGGGTCTATCACATTTGTCTATCCACATTCATTCGCTGATGGACATTTGGATCATTTTATCTTTTTTAAGCATACAGAAGAGTTTAAAGATAATATAATGAACACTCATTTTCTCACTACCCAAATTCAGCCACAGGGCCAGGACTAGGGTGAGACCAGTAAAGTGCCTCCAGCACCGCACTGAAGAAGACACTCACTCTTGGGGCCTGCAAGGGGCAGGGTGGACCCTGCAAGGTCATGGCTGAGGCACCTCGCTGGCCCAAACATAGCCCAGGCCCTGTTCAACAATTTTAATATGTTGCCATACTGCAACATATTTCATTCTACAAACATTTGTTTTGCTGAACCATTTGAAGACAGGTTACAGACCAAAAAAGGCTTCATCCTCAGTTCCTTGAGTCTCCTTTTTATAGAAAACCGTGTTCTTAATATGTTTCTATTTACTATTTCCTCTTCTGTAGAAGAACAGAAGAATGTTCCCCTGCATAGCCATGGACCCATTCTCACGCATGACCACATCAACCATAATTCTATATAGTTTCTGCCTCCAGTCCATATTCACATTTCCCGATCCTCCCAAATATGTCTTTCATACGTTTCTTGTTTGGTTGGTTGACTGTTTTGTTTATTTATTTATTTATTTTTGAGACGGAGTTTTGCCCTTGTTGCCCAGGATGGAGTGCAATGGTGCGATCTCAGCTCACGGCAACCTCCACCTCCCCAGTTCAAGGGATCCTCCCGCCTTAACCTCCCAAGTAGCTGGGATTATAGGCGCATGCCAACACACCTGGCTGATTTTTGTACCTTTGGTAGAGACGGTGTGTCACCATGTTGGCCAGGCTGTTCTTGACCTCCTGACCTCAAGTGATCTGCCCGCCTCGGCCTCCCAAAGTGCTAGGATTACAGGCTCATGAGCCACTGCATCTGGTCTTGTTTACTGTTTTCACCAGGGTCCTATGTTGTTTCCCACAGCACTTGTGGAATTGGGGCCTCTTTTATGCTAAAATATCCTCAAATTTTATCTCCAGACCATTGACTTTTTGAAGAATCCAAACCTTACAGTCTTATAGAATGGCCCACACTGTAGATTTGCCCTATTATTTTCTTTTTTTAAAATAAATTTTTTTTGTGTTTAAATAAAATTTTTTTGTACATTTTTGTAGAGTTTTTTTAAATAAAAATTTGTTTGGTGGGTGCATGTTTTGAATGCACTAAATGCCGCTGAATTGCACACTTTAAAATGGTGAATTTTATGTTATGTGAATGTCAGCTTTTTTGTCAATTTCTTTTCTTTTTCTTTTAATAAAAATTTTTTGTCCTACTATGTTGCCCAAGGTAGTGTCAATCTCCTGGCCTCAAGCCGTCTTCCAGCCTCGACCTCCCAAAGTACTGGGATTACAGGTCCAGCCCGATTATTTTTTCTTGTTGTCATTAAACCTGTTCCTCCATACCCTGTAAATCCTGTGATCTGAAAGTTGGGACTAATGCCTTAATTATATCAGGCTAAACACTTTGGCAAAAATACCCACAGGTGATACTGTCTTCTCATCACCTTACATCAGGAGGCCTGAGATGTCAGCTTGAGAAACTAACAAAGGATACTAAGTCTGAGCATGTGGCTAAACGCATGACCATCATCTCTCCCTATTATAATGGTACCTCTTCCCCTTTGTACTTAGTAAGTAATCTGGGGGGAGTTTCTTTGCAACTGCACAAATATCCTGTTCCCTAATAACCCTTCACCCAGTGGTATTTAGCATCTATTGATGATCCTGCCTGAATCAAGAGTTACATTGGAGGTTGCAAAATGGTGGCTTTCTGTCTCATTCCTTCTACACGTATCAGGTGGCGTTCTTTTGCAAAGAACTTTCCTCCTGCCTACTTCCCTCCCCCACCCCCCCAACATACACTGTGAACTCATGAATTTTCTATTTGTTTAATGCATTTTAATTAACTATAGTCATTCTTGTTTTGTTTTGTTTTGTTTTGAGATGGAGTCTCACTCTGTCACCAGGCTGGAGTGCAGTGGCGCTATATCAGCTCACTGCAAACTCCCTCTCACAGGTTCAAGTGATTCTCCTGCCTCAGCCTCCCCAAGTAGCTGGGACCACAGGGCCCACCACCATGTCCGGCCAAGTTTTGCATTTTTAGTAGAGACGGGGTTTCACCATGTTGGCCAGGATGGTCTCGATCTCTTGACCTCGTGATCCGCCCATCTTGACCTCCCAAAGTGCTGGAATTACAGGCATGAGCCACCAAGCTCGGCCCCCTTACAGTCATTCTTTTTGATGCTCAGTAGTCCCAAAACTTAGTGAGGCAGATCCCTCAGTCAGCTTCCGTGTCCTTTCCATGTGACCTCAGTAGTTTTTAAGCATATCCTTCCTTCTTGGGACCATAAGACATCCCAGGCTTGACATGGAGCTTCATTTTCATGGATCTGGAGTCAGCCATTTCTGCAGAAAATTTTAGTTCCTCCTGGTGGGTAACAGCATTTAGAAATCAAGATCTGGGTACTAGCTGGTCTCTCTGCTCCTGGGCTGTTATTGCGTCAAGGCTTTTTCAGTGGACAGAGTTAGGAAAAATAAAATGAGCTCATAATTATAGAATCTGTTCAAATTTAACATCCGGGTGGGTTTTTATTCATTTTCTTAAAACTGTAATACTTGAGTCTCTTTTACATAGAGAATCTTGTTTCCTAATATATTCTTATTTACTAGTTTATTTTTTTAATATACATAAACTTCCTTCAAAATTACCATATCATTACTATTTATCATAAACCTACTAGGTAAAGCTTAAGACATCATTGTAGTTTTATTTGTCCTTAAAATATATCCCACCACAGATGTATAGTTAGGGTATTTTTTTCAAAATTATTTGAATAGGTTTTTGGTCGTGTGTGTGTGTGTGTGTGTGTGTGTGTGTGTGTGTGTTGGTGTTTTTGTTTGTTTTGCTCTGTGGTTAAGCTCTCTAATTTACAATTAGGTTTATTTGTTTCTCTTCGTGCACAATTTGGGGAGGGTTTCTTTTTCCTATTTTTTAAATTTGATTTAATTTTTTGAACATGTAAATCATGTACAAATTATGTACAAATGATTCAAAACACAAAACTATATTTAAAATCCTATTTGGAGACATTTCATTCCCATGCTAATTCCCTCCCATCCTCCTCCATTAGTTTCCAGTTTATTCTTCCTGTATTCCTTTACGTGTGTGTTATTCATGTGAGTACATACATAAATACATACTGTGGTTGCCTCTTCTTTCTTACAGAATTCATGAAAGAATTTACCTGTATGACTGCATTATATGAGGTACAGAAAGAAACAAATGTAATCACTAGTGATAGAAATTAGAACAATGGTTGCCCTTGGGTATTGACTGGAAAGGAGCCAAGGGAACTTTCAGGAGCAATGGAGATGTTTTATGTCTTGATGTGGGCAATGATTACACAAGTTATATCTTTGTCAGAATTCTTCAAACTCCACACTTGAGACCTGCATATTTTGCTGTGTGAAAAGTACATCTCAATTAAAAAGACAATAAATTAAAAGAACATATATAAAGAGCTCCTAAAATATCAATAAGAGGATAATAAGTATCCTGGAAAAATGTGCAAAGACTATGAACAAACAACTCATTAATGATGAAACATGCATGTCCAACAAACAAATGAAGAAAGATGTTCAGCTTCACAAGTAAGCTGGGAAATGCATGCTCAAACATTAAGATTTTATTTTTACCTATCAGGTGGGCAAAAGTTAGAAAAGATTAATAATATCAAATGCTGACAAGAATTCAGAGAAATAATAACTTTCATGTACTATCAATTGGTGGAGGTTATTGAAAGGCAATTTGGCAGTGCCTATCAAAATTTAAAACTGCATGCCCTTTGATACTGCAATCTGACTTCTAGAAACCTATACAAAAGAAGTTATTTAAACTATGGTATTTCTGTACCATAGAATGAAGTGGATCTATATACACCAATATGAAAGGACCTATAAGTGAACAAAAGCAAAATGCAGAATAATATATAGCATAGCACAATCCCATTTATATTATTATAAAACCTAAGTGTATACAGCTACATACATACCTATATAAGTATTCAGAGAGTGCACAGGAAAAATGTACCTTAAGTATTGATAGGGTTACTTTGGGGACGGGGGGATGTGAGGGTGTTTGGTAAAGCAGAAGTTTCTCATATTGTATTGTATATTTTTAGTATTGCTTTTATTAAGTCGGTGCACATGTAATTGCAGTTTTTGCCATTACTTTTCATGGCAAAAGTTGAGCACACAGTATTACTTTTAATGGCAAAAGTTGAGCCCACGGTATTACTTTTAATGGCAACAATCACAATTACATTTGCACCAGTTTAATACAATAAGAGTGTTCCAGCTGGGCACAGTAGTTTACGCCTGTAATCCCAGCACTCTGGGAGGCTGAAGCAGGTGGATCACTTGGGCCCAGGAGTTCGAGAGCAGCCTGGGCAAGTTGGCAAGACCCCATCTCTACAAAAAACTGAAAAATTAGCTGGGAGTGGTGGTCTGTGCCACCACTGTAGTCTCAACTATTCAGGAGGCTGAAGTGGGAGGATTGCTTGAGCCCAGGAGGTCAAGACTACATTGAGCCAAGACTGCACCACTGCACCCTGCCTGGGTGACAGAGGGAGAACCCAGCCTCAAAAAAAACAAAAAAATAAAATAGTGTTCCTGCATTCTTGGTGTAATTTTAAAAACAAACAAAAAAGGTTTTCGGCAGTCTCTAATGCTAAGGATTTGTTAAGGAATCACTAAACACGGTTAGTGCTTAATAGATGTCCAGCATCATGGGACGGGGTGAAGGAACCTAAAGAAGTGGGTCCCATTCAAATCCCTGTACATTTACCTCACCATGATCATGAGGTATGAATCATTCTACATACAGTCACTGCTGTCATCCAACATGCACTTGAAAACATTTGACAAACATTTAAGTGCATAAGGACAGGGTCTCACTCTGTTACCTAGGCTAGAGAGCAGTGGTGCAATCATGGCTCACTGCAGCCTTGACCTCCTGGATGCACGCAATCCTCCTGTCCTGGCCTCCCAAAGTGCTGGGATTACAGGCATGAGCCACCATGCCCTGCCCATTCAAATGTATTCTTATGTGTGTGGCAGGGATAGGGAATCTTTTCCTGAAAGTTAGTAAATAACATGGGTTAACCCCTTATCCAGAACGCTGGGAACCGATGTGTGCTGAAAATCAGAAATATGATGTTAGTAGGTGCCACTGTGCAAAATCTGTATGTTACACAATACTCCTAGCATTCTGGGGAAGCACCTTGCAATCAACACACAACATTTCCACAGCAAAATGCATGAATATTTCTACTGAATATAAACACTACAAATAGTCACAGGTCAGTTCAGTTCCAGTTCTGCTGCCACGTGAGTTTGTGCCAAATTGACAAAATAAATTTTTGGTTTTGAGAACTCTTGGGATCTTGGAATTGTGGATAAGGGCAAGACCCCTCACTAGGCCTTTCCTTTTAAAAGCCATTTCTGATTGCATAATGCTCTTTCATTTCAGTCTGTCCTGTCATAGTTGAGCACACAGTGGATGAACCCAAGTCAAGGGAGCAGAGCGGTGCTGTCCCAGAGGCCTGGCCTTAGTCATGTGGAGTGATTTCCATCTTTGGACTAACTGTATCATGAATAGGAAGGCTAATTGAGGGCATGGGCTGGGTAAGATGGCGCCTTGGGAAAGGACACCACACCAGGGTCAGTGTGTGCTGAGTGCAAAACGTGGCTTTTGGTAGCCAGGTAACTGCCTTTTGTAGGGATGGGTACACGCACTGCTGTCAGCCAGCTCTGGCTAATTCTAACTGGATTTACAGAGCCCCACCGGGCTGGCTTGATGAGTCCCTGAATTAAAAACACCTGAGTGCCTGGTACCTGAGGTCTGTTTTGCACATACAAGAAGCATGGGAAAAGGTGTGTGCTTGACATACGCTCCTGGACTCCAGAGTAGAAGACCAGGAGAGAAGAGGAGGTCAGAGGTCATTTGCACTTCCCTGCCAGCCGGGTGGATGGAATCCGCCTATTTCCACAGGGGACCTGGTTTGAGGATTTGAGGAAAGTTCCGATCACCAGCATTTGGCCTCTTTCTGTTTTTGTCTCACTTCCAGGACCTGATGCAGGAAGCACACTATGACATGGTCACATGCAGACACACGTGGTGCAGGATGGACTAACCTCAAGCTCCACTGAAACCCTGGCTCCCGGCCGACCAGCCGTGGCCAGTGACCACGTGCAGTCTCCGATCTTCATTTGTGCGTCGATGTGGGGAAATTCAAAGTCAGCATGTGAAAGTCAGCTCTAGGGCATCAGGATTTAATGCGCAAAATTTTGCAAAATTTCGCAAAATATTTCACACGAGAGGGGGGTTTGAGTTGACGCTACCCACGTGGGTGGCGGCCTGGGTTGGTGGTGCCCCCTGGTGGCTGGCAGGAGCAAACGCAAATCTCCTCTGTAGAGAAGTGTTTTGTCTGATTTATCAAAGAGAACAAACAAACAAAACACTCAAAAGGCCGGTGCGGTGGCTCACGCCTGTAATCCCAGCACTTTGGGAGGCCGAGGCGGGCGGATCACGAGGTCAGGAGTTCAAGACCAAGCAATGAGTCACCATTAGCAAGAGTGCAGATGCAGAGCCAACAAGCAACAGATTGAAACCAGGATGTCTTAATGTAAATGCTATAAACATTTCGGACCAAAATCCTTTACTGTGGGGATGCTTAGCAGCAGCCCTGGTTTCTACCCACAAGATGCCAGTAGCATCTCCACTGCCACCTCCAGTCAATGCCACCAAAACTGTCTCTAGACATTGCCAAATGTCCCCTAGAGGAAAAAACTGCCCCCAGCTGAAAAACACTGATTTAGATCGTCAAAGACTTCAAATAATACAATAATCAGATAGGTTATAAAATAACAAGGTATTAAAAAAGTAAATGATGGAATAGAAACAAAGGATCGAGGAATAAGGGACAACAAAATGTACAGGCAGATGTTTATAAAAGGATCAAGTAGAACTTCTGGAAAAGAAAAAAAGAAATCTTTGAAATTAAAAATTAAATGGATGTGCTTGACACACAGATAAAGAAAGAATTAATGAATGAGAAGAGAGATTTGAAGAAATTACCACAAATGCATCAGGGAAGCCAAAGAATGGAAAATTTGAGAGACAGGTTAAAAGACAAGGAAAATATGAGAATGGTTAAGCTATGATTAATCTGTGCTCCCTCAAAAAAGTAAAAAGACAGTGGGAAAGAGGCCATATTCGGAGAGATAATGCCTGAGACTTTCCAGACCCACATATGCAGGAAAACTGAAAGATTCCAGGCAGGATGAAAGTGCAGGTTGTTGTGAGTTGCATGTATTAACAGAAAAGTTGAGGACTGGCTTGGGTGTGGTGACTCCCTCCTGTAATCCCAGCACTTTGGGAGGCCAAGGCAGGTGGATCATTTGAGGTCAGGAGTTCGAGACCAGCCTGGCCAACATGGTGAAAACACATCTCTACTAAAAATACAAAAATTATCTGGGCATGGTGGCATGTGCCTGTAATCCCAGCTGCTCCAGAGGCTAAGGCAGGAGAATTGCTTGAACCTGGGAGGTGGAGGCTGCAGTGAGCCAAGATTGTGCCATTGTACTCCAGCCTGGGTGACAGAGACTCCATCTCAAAAAAAGAAAAAGAAAAAGAAAAGAAAAGTTGAAGACTGAGCCTCCAGGGTTCCTCATTGAGACTGAGGCACAAATTCAACCCAGGGATCCATGGGAGGGCCACCCTGGCATCAACAGCAGGGGCCATGGAGTCCTCAAAGGGAGAAATCACTGTGGACAGCTGGCCAGAGCACAGCCTTGAAGGATGGGCTTGTCCAATGATGAATCAAGAGACCTTGGTCTGAGCCTTGTATTTTACAGGGCACCCAGGAGGTTCCCTGGGGATGGAATTTAGAAGGGTGAAGAGAGTGAAGAGGAAATGGGATGGTGTTCTAAGCAGGGAGGAAAGCATGGGCAAAGGTGTGGAAGCTAAACACTTCCTGAGCCAAAAGGGAGTCCTGTTGGGTCATACTGGGGAACACTCAGGGGAGTAATTAGAAACTGGATTGGATGAAGAAGGTAAGACCAGGCTAGGGAAGTCCCTTGAGAGAAAAGCAGAGGCTTTGGACTTGAAACTCGAGGCCAGGCATTGGCAACTATAGCCTGAGGGCCAAATCTGGCCCACTGCCTATTTTTATAAATAAAGTTTTATTGGAACAGAGCCACACTCATTCATTTGGTATCATCTATGGCTGTTTTTGAGCAACAAGAGTGGAGATGAGTAGTTGTGGCAGAGACCACATGGCCTGCAAAGCCTATAATATTTATCCTCTGGCCCTTTACAGAAAATGCTTGCTGGCCACTGCTGTAGGTGGGCACAGCCAGTCAATGAGGCTTTTCAGCAGCCACCAAGATGGTAAAGACAAGCCTAGCAGTGGCTGAAGGACAGGGTGTATTCTAAGAGGAAGGAGAAAAGTGCCTAACTTCTATTGAGTTCCTGCCCTATGATTTTCCTTCACCCACATTATCATTGTTACTTCTCCTAACCACCCTGCCCAGAAGCTGTTACTATCTCCATTTCAGAGATGAGGAAAATGGGGTCCGGAGAGGTTAAGTGACTTACTCAAGGTTACCCAGTGCTTCAGGGCAGAACTGAGATTTAATTTCAAGTCGGTCAGATTCCAAAGTCAACGTTCTTCCCACCACACCTCATTGCCTTTCAGGGCACTGAATATCCCAGGTGGGAGGGGACAGCCCCAAGTCAATGAATTGGCTACTGTGTGTCACAGCCTGCAACAGTCCAAACTGGGGAGATGGTACGTGTTTCACTTCCCTGAGAACAAATGTAGAGGCCAAGTCTGATCTGCAGAGGGGACTTCTGCCCAGGGTTCTTCCAGCAATTGCTCTCAACTTGTTCAAACATGGACTCCACCCTGTCCCCTCCACCCCATGCCTCCGGAGGCACTGGCTCTGCCAGGAATGCATATCGTTCCATCTTCCCCCAGCCTCATCTCACAGCCAGATGCTAAAGGCAGTTGGGAGATACCATCTCCCCATCTACAAAACACACACACACACACACACACACACACACACACACAAGGGTTGGAAGGCCTGCATGGTGTCACCCACAAGAGATGACCCAGTTGATTTGCAGTGAAATTGCAACACAGCCTCTGCTTCCACCCCAGCTGATCCTAAGCCCTGGAGCAGAGGGGAGCTGGCCTTGTTTCCACCCCTAGCCTGGCTCCTGTTCCTCTCGTGACTAATTCAGATCCTCATCTGACAGCCACCCATGACCACTTCATCCAGAGAGGCCCCAACAGACCTGCTTCTTGGTTTTGCGGTCAAACTGGTTCTTGAAACTTCCCCAGAGGTCCAGCAGGGTTTACTCTGTCTGTGGGGAACTGTAACTGGCTGCCCCTTGGGGTTGAGCTGGTTGAGGACTTGAGAAACCATGAGAAGGAGGTCAGGAAAGTACAACTTCTACCTGAGACCTTGGTTATCTGTATGGTGTGTAAGACAATAGGAATCCACCCAGTAGATCCCAATGGATGGGTCTGTTCCTTATCAGCTCCCCATTGGCCCAGAAGCCAGGCCAGATAAGCCTCTGACCCCAGTGTTTCTATCAGGAAATGAACACAAATATAGGCAGACAACCTCCCCAGAGTAGGTGGGAGGAACCCTGTGACCCCCTAGGCTCATTGGCTGGCTCTAACGAGCAATTGCTACACCCTCCTACTCTCTTGCCTTGGGAAACAGTTAGAGTTACCTGTCAGCTCCAGGGGAGACTAGACCCACACCTACTCATGAGCTGGGGTGTAGCTCTTCTGGATGCAGAGGGAGAGGACAGAATGAGAGACACCTGCCCATGCTACCCACCAGCCTTCCTCAGACATGGTTGCCAGCTCCTTGTCACAGCCCCACTTTGTTCTGCTGTGACCACAGTGTGTGCTCACATAGGAGAGTAGAAGGAAAAAGACCAAGAGAGGATAAGGCAAACAAGATTTCATGAGCATCTATTATGTGCCAAGCTCAAAGCTGGGCACACACAAGCATCATCATTTTTTTTCCTTATGCAGTGACACATCCATGATTTTTTAGACTCTGCGTGTGCATCATTAAGACACAGCATAACATAAACGTGAAAGGCAGCTGCAGAGACAGCCCTTCCTAGATCCCTGCTCTGCTGCTAACTATCTGCGTGGTCGCAGTTTACACATCTATCACATAGGAACTAAACAATAATAATTATTTCATACGGTAATTACAACGATTGAATGAGGTCATTTATATAAAGTACTTGGAATAATGCCTGACACATTGAGAATAAAATAGTAGTGTTAATTGTGATTTTTTTTTTATCATTACCCTCTTTTACAGCTGAGGAAATCAGACAGGGCTAGTGACCTATGTAAGGTCACACAGCTAGAAAACCGCAACACAATTAGCCAGGCATGGTGGTGCACGCCTGTGGTCCCAGCTGCACCAGAGGCTGGGGTGGGAGGATCCCTCGAGCCCGAGAGGTGGAGGCTGCAGTGAGCCATGATCTTGCCACTGCACTCCAACCTAGGTGACAGAGCGAGATCCTATCCAAAAACCAGCCAAACAAAAGAGAAATGGCAACACTGGTATTCATATCCGGGTCCATCTGATACCACTACTCCCCATTCAAAGATTTTAGTCCTTAAGGGTCAAGTTAAGAAGAGAAGCTCTGGAGTCCTTGAGCCCCAGAGCAAGGCCCCTGCAAAGGCAGCTGCCAGAGACTATGGCAGTCCCCAAAGAAGGGAGAGAGTCATCTTGATAAAGTCATGGGGGTAAGGCACTCTAGAAGGGCCTTGGGACTTCTCAGTAGTCCCAGGGCAATGGCTCTGGAAGAAAGCCATTTCCAGAGGTTGCCCATCCATGAAGACCAGCCAATGATTATGCCGAAAACACTCAGGGAGACAGCTCAGCAAGGCCAGTGGGTGGTGAAGGGCAAAGTCAGTGGGTGGTGAAAGGACCCCTGACCACAGATAAACATAAAACCCCACTGCCCAACACCAGAGCAGATGCATGACTAGCACCCACCTGTAAATGGTGGTAGCTGAGCATTGTATCACTCAAGACCAAAGTGGCAGAAGCCACTTCTGGTGAAGCATCCTTCCGTGGCAAGCCCACATCTAGACACAAAGTGGGCCAGGTGTCTGGAACCTAAGGGGAGCTTCCCAGCTCCCTGAGTATCCATTTTTCCAGCTGTGAAATGCAGATGATCAGACCCAGCTTCCAGGGCAGTTCTGAAGACTAAGGTTGGGTATACACAAGACAGAGTAGAAGGTAAGGTACAGAGTGTGATTAGCTTTCCTCCATGCATATCAGGGTGCTGGTAAGGTGTACTTGTGACCCTCTGCTCACCACTGTGCTCCTAATGCTCCTGCCCAAACCTGCTTCCCATTCCTTCAGAGAACTGGCTTCAAGATGGGCTTCTTCTGAGCTTCTCTCAATGTGACCCCCACACCTAATGGAGAATAAAACTGCAACTTGAATATCCCTGGACAGGTGTAGCTGATAGTTTTGTCTCCATGTTCTGGGGACCAATAAACATAAAAACCCTGACTTCCTCCAAAGATACTGAGTTTTCCATCATCAGTAGGTTAAAGGCAGAGGCCAGCACCACTTAGAGAAGAGACTGCAAAAGGGATTCATTCATTGAATAGAAGCCTTCAAAATCCACAAGGGTCGTCCTGAGCCTCTGATGCCCTGTGGTTGGACTTCATAACTACTTGGAAGGCAGAGCTCAAAGCCTTCTTGATAGAGGGCTTTCTGCCTATTGAAGGTATTTATGGGCACACAAGTTCAAAGCCAGTACAATATTGGCATGCAAGAATGAGAGAAGAATGAGGAGACAGGGTAGGAGTAGGGTGCCCCCATGGCCCAGCAGACCTTTCTGCGAAAAGGGCTTGCTCACTTCTTGAAATTCCTGAAACTCCACCTCTACAGCCCCAGAAGGCTGAGCTGTGATAAAATCTACCCTCTCCCAAGGCCTGAGGCACACCAGGTATCCAGGAGGGAGATGAACTCACACTCACTTCCAGAAACATCTTAAGATTCCACGATGGTTGCTCTGAAAATCTGTTGGAGGCTCAGAAAGGCACCAAGGCCGCTCTTTGGAAGACAAGCAGACAGCAGCGAAGGGAACCAAATCCTCAATGACTCTGGGGACTGGAGCCTTTGAAAAGAGATGGTTTAATGAAAAGGTGCTGTCAAGAGCTAGCCGCCTAGAAGGCAGCTAGTCCTCGGCTGGCTGCTTTTTCCCTGTTGCCTCCCTTCTCGCTTAGTCAGGAGCTCCTGCTCAGCCCTGCAGACCCCCAGACCTCAGTGCCTGAGAATTAATCCTTGCTGGTTTGGACAAGAAGGAGCCATAGCCCTCAAATGCACAGGCCTCCTTGATGCCTGGAGACTGTCCTGTTACCCAGCCTGTGGCCCTGGGTTCTAGACCTGTTGTCCCTGCCGACGCTCCATCTGCCACTTCCCCAGCCAGGTGGTGACCATGGCAACCGTGGCTTGGAGAAGACAATGCAGCCACAGATGGTTTTCTACAGATGGGTCAAGTGCACAAAGTTATTCATTGTTTGGCCAAGGGGACTTCTAGCTTAGAATTAGAATGCACCTCTAGGGAGGACTTAACCTTGACAAGTAATTTCTTATTTAATTTTCAACACTCCTTTGATATGGGTACTATTATGATTCCCATTTTAGAGACAGGGAAACTGTGAAGGAATTTGTCCTTGGTCACACAGCTAGGAAGTGACAGAGCAAGGATTTGAACCCAGATTGGTATTATTACCAATTATTATTACCAATCTGGGTTCAAATCCTTGAATCCAGTTCAAATCCTTGAATCTGACAATAGATAGATTGGCTTTAGAGTCAAGCTCACACACTTTCCTCCTTGCCCGGAGCTCCCTAATGCTGACACACTGTCTTGGAGCACCCTCTAGATGCTCATCTGATGCCTGATTCCTTGGCCCCATCTTTAACCTCCAAGTACTTCCAGGCCTGGCCTTCCCCCCGGGCTCAGCCTCCTCCTCTACAACTGCTCTCCCTGCTTCTGTTCTGCCTCTGCTCTTCTTCCTGGGTTCTGGAGCTGCTGCCACCTGCAGGCCTCATGTGCAAAGATGCTTGAGCTCTAATACAGGATGTCAGAGCAGGAGGGCTGGGGACTGAATCCCTGCTATGTATGCTCCGCCGTGGTGGCCAAGTGAGGGCAGAGGCCCAGGAGTTTTAGTCTCCTGGAGAGATTTGCATCTGGGCTATTCTGCAATGACAATCTGGATCCCACAGGAAAAAATGGGGGTGCACTAAAGTCAAGTGCACATAAGCAGTAGGAGGCATTGAGATGAGCTCCAAGGGAGATCTTACATCTGAGATGAGTCAGTCTCCTGCTGTAGTCCTGCCTAAATGCTCTCAGAAGGAATATTTTGTGTGTGTTTCTATACTACCTTTCTTTTCTAGTTCAGGAAGGTCTTTACTCACTGGACCATAATGCAGCTGGAGGAATGTATGAAGCTATGAGATGTCCCCGTGATTGAGATTAGGATGGGCTCTTTCCCTCCAAGTCATAGATACAATCAACACTGATCAGTGAGGGATCAAGAGAGCCACAACCTCGTGGTGACAAACAGATTTAGAATCTGCGGCTGAAATTCAGACTGCGCTGCAGAGCTGGGCATTGTCTGCCAAGGGACCCAGTCCAGTAGGAGAGAAAGAATAAGTCTACATAGCTCTGGTTTTATTTCTAGATTTGCCACTGGGACACTGTGCCAGCCTCGGTGGCCACCTCCCTTGCCCTCCATAGGTAATTCACATAGAGGAAGAAAGTGGGTGGAAGAAAGAAAGAGTAGTGGTTAACTTTGCACCCTGTAAGAGGTAAGCACTACGGGAGTTGCTTTACATAAACTACCTCCCAATCCCCTAGGGGGCAAGTAGCAGATTCCCACTTTAAAAAGGAGGAACTGGGCTCAGAAACATAAACCCCAACATCACACAGCGACTTAGTAATATGTATGGAATGCAAAGCAATAACAATAGCAATAATAGTAATACCAATCTGGCAACAGTTGATATGTATGTAGAACAAGCTGTGTTCTGGACAATATATTGATTCCTTGAAACCTCACCCAAAATCCATCAGGTCAGTATTATTATCCCCATTTTACAGATGAGGAAAATGAATATCGAGATCTGTGAATCCCACCCAGTGCCAGCCGCCCTGACATCTTTCCTCTTCATGTCACAGAATTGTCATGAGGACCAATGGCATCGGGCAGCAGAAAACATTGCATATTCCCCAAAAGAAAGTGGCCCCTGGGCTTTCCTTTGCTTCCTTCCCAGAGTGAGCCATGCTCTGGAAGGGATATTTCCATAGCTGTCCTCTTACAGCATCAGTAAGCACCATGACTTTCAGGAGTACAGGATTGCACCTTTGACGGCTCCAGGCCCACAACCGATTGCATTCCTAGACCACAGGGAAGGGCAGCAGATCACTGCCTCATCTGCCCAGAGCTGTGGAGGCAGCAAAGGGTGTTTAACCTCTGCTGGTGAATTGAAAGCCCAGGAGCTGGTGCAGATTCATTTTGTTTTATTTCTTCTGTGCTCCCATAAAACGGAGTAGGGGGTTTCACAGGTGCAAGTACTGCTGGGGAAAATCCTGGGGGTGGGGGCAGGGTAAGGGTGGGGAGGAAGAACTGGCTTAGCTGCCAATCTGGAATGGGTAAGCAAGTGGGAGAACGAATAGGAGATGAAGGACTGAGGATAAGAAGGGTAGGAGAGGGAGACAGACAGACAGAAAGAAAGACAGAGATGGAGACATAGAAACAAAGAGACAGAGACCAAAGCAGAGAGATAGGGAGAGAGAGAACACCAGGGCCGAAACTCTCCTCACTGACGCTGCTACTAGAAGGTTGGGCTGGGCCTGCGTCTGCCCAGGGCATGTGATTCTTGGCCTCTACTGGTCCTAGAGTTCTACCACCTTCCAAAGAACAGAGCAGAAAGGCTGCTTCTAGTCCAGGAACTTGCAGGATGAGGCTCCATCACGGTGACTGTACTCTAGATCAGCCTCACCACACTACCTGCAGCATGCATGGCCTCCTGAGCATGCTCATGTGTGCCATGCAACCTCCTACAGGAATGAGGTTAGAGAATGGAAATTTAAGCTTAGAAGGAGAGGCAACATGTTTAGGGTCACCCAGGAAGTTAGTTTCCTGCAGAGATTGGAGCCCCAGCCAAGGAGTTCACCATCCTGCAGGACCAGGGACCTGCTGATTCTTGGAGGTGAGTCAAGGGACAGAGTGCCTAGAATGAGGGCGAGGGTGCAGAAGTCTCTCCTACCTCCCTATCCCACTCCAGCCAAAAATCCCAGCCAAATAAAACACAGGAGCCGAGGTGTTTGCATAATCTCCATCTCTCACTATGCACTCCCATGCCATGGTATGGTGCAGTCCACTTGGTCCTTGCCGCCTGCTCACTCACACAGTCAGGGACCCAAGAGCATACCTGCCCACCAATCCCTCCAGTGCCCCAAACCCTGCTCACTCTGCAGGTTGAGAGGGGACTGAGTACTTCACTGCATCACTTTTAACTCCACATGGTCCCAGCATCATCCACCCTCAAAAAAACTCCTCCATGGCCCTGCCCTTACAGAGCTCACCAAGTAGCAAGAGACAAACACACATCATAACTCACCCGGCACAAGGAGAGAGTACAGAACAGAGTGCTGGGGAGGACAGGAAGAAGCAGGGGACAGCGAAGCTGGCAAGGGCTGGGGGCTCAGTGTGTGCAAAGGCACAAAGGAGAGGGAACAGGTGGTCTGGGGTGGCTGGAATGCAGACTGCATACTAGGGTGGAATGGAAGGCCCCAGGGGCAGGAGTCCTAGAGGCAGGGTCAGAGAGATGGCCTGGGGCCAGCTTATGAAGCATCTGGTCCCCTTCTCTCCGTTCTCCACTGCCATGGGGTCGAGGCTCATTCCTAGAGGCAACAGCCAGATGCAGAGGGTGCACGGGCCGCAGAGCGAACGACACTTTCCCACAGCATGAACTCAGGGCTGTGTCCAGGACCCGGTGCTCAGCCAGCCCCTGTTGCACAACACACTGCCTTCTGCATCCCCCATCCTCCCTCAGCTCCTGCATCCTCACCCCCTGCTGAGGATCACTGATGCAGGGGGGACCGAGCCTTGGCTCCCTGCACAGCAGCCCACACCACCTGCCACCCTTCGTAGTCAAGAGATCATGTTGAAAGGGAATCTTTTTAGGGAGGTCTTTCTATAGGAGGCAAGCCTGCGGCTGCAGGAAAACCGTCAGCATTCCTATCTCCTATGTTAAAAGCTGCTAAGTCCACCAGCTGATTCCTCAGCGGTATTAAAATGTGCAATAAGAACTGGCCCAGTGGGTTTTCCTAGCATTGGTATAGAAAACCCCAGGGTTTCCTCTGTGTGTTCCTGCATGTGTCTCCTAGCAGGGTGGCAAGCACCAGCAGTGTGCAGAGTCGGGGTGGACGAGAGTGGCTGAGATTCTTGATGCCAGCTGTGAATCCCATAGAAGTCCCAATACTCAATAGCCAAGCCTGGGGAGACTGGTTTTTATTGTGGTGGCTTTGTTTGTCGGGGCCATGGTACCAGTGCTGGGGCCTTAGGCTGTCAGGCTATGCCCCAAGGGCTTCAGGCAAGATTTCACAGGAGTCTGAGTCAGAAATCCTGTCCTTCCAATGCTTCCCCCTGGCCAGGACACAGATGCCAGGATCGGGCCATCATCTTCTGCTCCTTCTTTGGGGTCCCTGAAACTGGTCAGGGAATCCTCCATTGTGTGAGCGTCTGTGTCTCCTGACCTAGGCCCTGACCCTACTCTTGGATTCCTTCGGGACTGGGATCTACAGGATCCAGGATCAGGCCAGAGGGCATGGGAGAAACCTGAGGCGGAAGTCAGACAGAACTGCACTGTGAGACACACCTCTTCCACTTACTCACTGTGTGGCCCTGGGTGGGTTTCACAACCTCTCTTGGCCTCAGCTCCCTCACCTGTAAAAGGGAGATTCCATTGTTCCCCTTCAGGGATGATGTGTGGGCTGAACAAGGTGATGTCCAGACAGTCCTAAGCACAGCAGTAACTGGCCCCCAGCGGAGCTCAGTAAACTTCGGCTGTAATTATAAGCTGTTATAAGGCACTTGGCAATGGAGTAGATACTCCATAAACAAGCATCATACAAGTGTAAATAATTATTAATTATTATGATGACTAATCATCATTATTATTGATGATAAATGTGAGAAATGCTACCCAAACACCAGCTCCCCCACTCAATCTGTTTGCAGACAGACATCACTCCTCAACCATGCAGAAAAAGTCTGGGACCCAGAAGAAGAGCTGGTTCCAAGCACCCCAACAGGGAGCACTGTCCTCCCTCCAGTCTCCATGCAGCACTGTGCAGGCTGGTGTCACCCAGGCAGGTGACATTCACCCAAATGCATCCCATCTGTCTGTTCAGTCTGCTTATGGCCTGCGTCTTTTCAGCTTGGCTCCTCTGTGTCTAAGTTGTTAAATATTTTGGATATCACCTCAACAAGAAATGTCTTTGTGATTTCTTGAGTCCTGGCTCATGAGCAGCAAGGCTGACCTGAGTGCAGAAAGTGACCTGGGGAAATCCTGGTCAAGCTCCCAGAACTCTGCTTCTTAGATGAAGTCAGATAGACAAGGAGTGAGCTTTGCCGAGCAAGCAAATTTTACCACCATCCTGAAAAATGAATCAAGGCAAGGCCCACAGAGGTACCCAGGGCCTAGCTCAGCACCCAGCAGTGCAGGAGCTCAATAAGTACATGGATGGGTGGATGGGTAAGTGGGTGAATGGATGGGTGGGTGGGAGGATGAAGTATATTAACCATGCCTTTTTTCTGTAGCCCTTGTGCTTTGACATCTGGGGCCTTGCTGACCCTGGAGAGACTGCCGCAGTCTCTATAGATAGTCCAGCCAGTCCTACAGATCGTGAAGGACTTGCCTACGAGTGTGCCTTGCTTATGTGTCTGAGTGCAGTCATGCTGCTATAACAAAATACCACAGACTGGGTAATAGATAAAGAACAGAAATTTATTCCTCACAGTTCTGGAAGCTGGAAGTCCAAGATGAAGATGCTGGTGGGTTCCATGTCTGGCAGGTGAGGACTAGTCTCTGCTTCTAAGATGGTGCCTTAAACACCGTGCTCCAGAGGGGATGATACTGTGTCCTCACACAGCAGAAGGGCAGAAGAGAAAAAGGACAAAAGAACCTAGCTAGTTCCCTCCGGCCCTTTTGTAGGGCACTAATCCCATCCGTGGGGCGGAGCCCCCCTAAAGGCCCCACCTCCTAATATGATTGCATTGGAGATTAAGTTTCAACATAATTTTGGAGAGGATGCAAATGTTCTAACCATAGCAATATGCAAACAGTCCTGAGACTACCCCCGCCCCCCACCTCCTCTACTGGGCTGTCACACTCAGGGCCCCTATGCCCCTTCCCCAGTCACCCCAGGGCCAGGTACCAAACAACTAGGGACTGTGTCCCAGAACCTTACATTATTCAAACTAGCCGATCCTAAACCTGCTTGCCCTGCCCTGCCCATCCATTCCCATAGAAACCACCACAAAAGTTCCTGCCCATGTTTTCCCCTCGCCCCCTGCCTCCTGACTGCCCCTGGTGTTTCCCCACGTGGCCCCGCATGGTGTGGCATGCTCCCTTCTCCTGGAACTGTGAGTAACAAGTTTTCCATGGCATCAGCTCCTGATTTATTGGCCGTGCCATACCTGAATGATAATAAAGCCTACATCTTCAATGTAGAGGGAAGGAGGAAGGGAGGGAGGGAGGGGAAAGGTGGATGGAAGAAAAGAAGGAAGGAAGGGGGTTAGATGGATGGATGGATAAAAGGAAGAAAGCAAGGGAGGATGAAATCAACCTGGGCCTCAAGTTTCCACAGGAATGATCTGACTATAACTTTGCTCCATGGTTGAAAAGAAGCAGCTTTCTCCTACCAAGTTTTGGCTGTGTTTGGGAGAATGTACCTTCACAGTGCCACAGGCCAGCAATCAATACAGCATCTTCTCACTCCCTTTGCAGACAGAAAGACCTGGATCTGAATCCTGGCCCTGCCATTCACTGGCCATGAGACCATGGCCAACTGACTTAACCTGTGTGCGAGACACACACATGTATATGTCTACCTTCCGAGTTCCCTGATGCTAGAACCAGAAGATGCAGGCATAGCATGGTTTCCAGCACAGAGTACGCACTCCCCGACATTCATAATGAGTATTATTATTCGGCTATTCTGCAGTCCCGCACCCCAAGTGCCATCTGTTAGAAAGACTGTGCTATTTGGTCTAAATGTCTTCCTCACCCAGAAGCCCCTATTTGGGGCTCTTGGTCTCTGCCTCACCAAAAGCCATGCTAATCCCTTCCTGGTCCCCAGTCCGGAGTTCAGGGCTCGGCAGGCAAACGCGTGCTCCCTATCCAAAGGACTAGAAGGGCCCTACAACGCACCACATGCCTACATTTCACAGACCTCTCTTCTGGAGTTACGCTGACCCCTCCCCATTGAGAGGCTGCTTGGCTTTCCCTGCTGCTTTTAAAGTGAGAAGGGGGAGGACCTTTACGCTGGAATCGCATTTCAATTTCCCCATCTCCCCTGTACACCATCACTCAGTAAAAATAGCTAATTTTAAAATGGCTGCTCTTATGATGGACGAGATTAATGGATCTTGAAGAGCAGCCAGTATACCAACTGCTCCTGCAGCCATGATGAAAGCTAATAATGTAGAAAATTCTGCCAATTCCTTTAATTCATGAATATTTAAGCCTGTGAAAAATCTGTCAGATTATATCATTTTTTTCTGGTGATTTTCCGCCTAAGTACGTTCATGGCAGCCTGCCAGTTGCTCAAGAAACTTCAGCAGGAGCAAAATCATTTTTGTTGTTGTTGTTACTATGGACGGCCGTCTTCTCCTTGCTGAATTTATCCCCTCATCCCCGGGTGGAGGATCAGGTGCACTCGAGACAGCTAAAGGCAACCACGGTGATTTCCCCCAGCAGGCACAGATTCCTCTCCCAACCCAAAGGCTGGCAGGGGCTTTTGTGAAAGGAGACCATGGTTTTCAAATTGTGTTCCACGGCACCCAAGTCTTCCTCCTTGGGGCCCGGGGGGATCACTGGGAGGGGTTTGGGCTGGACATGCTGCGTGCATGGGGCTGCCGGACCCAACTCCCACTTGCACCAAGCAGTTCTGTTTGGTGCATTGAGATTCCCTGCAAATAAGTGTTGCCCCAACTTAAAACAATTTGAAAGGCATGAGCATGGAAACCACAGCTCTAACCCACCCCTCCCGGCTTGAACAACAAAGGGAGAAACTCAGCCCCCATGATGGTAACTGGTAAGCCCACCTCATGGGAAGCACTAGCAGTGGCACCTGAGCGGCAACCAGGATCCTTAACTGCAAGTGAGCGCTCTCTCCCCATCTCCAGCACACTCTGGGTGACCTCTTGGGCTCTGCCTGTTTGGGGAAGGCAGGAAATGAGGCTCAGATGGGCCACGCTCCCCAGCCACAGTGGAAAGTCCTCTCTGAAGCCAAGATGTTTCCTTGCAAAGACAAGAGAGAGCGAGAGAGAATGAGCATGTTTAGTGACTTGAGAGGGAGGGAGGGGTGGCCAACTTCAGAGATGATTATCATTCAGGGACTTGTTGGCTGGAGGAAGGAGCGAGCTTCTTTTTATAGGAGCTCCAGTTCCTCGTTTTGTTCTCTTCGGGTTATTCTCCAAAGAAAGCCGGCTCTTGAGTCAGCTGGCAGGAGAGCGAGGCGAATGCGCTGGTGCTGGCCGCAATGGCCCCGGTTCAACGCTCGCTCCAGCTGGTCACGTCCTCACCGGGGCGGCCGGCGGCCTGCCTGCCCACGCTCTGCCAGGAGCCCAGGTCAGCCCTTGCCTCGCCGGGGCCGGAGCCCGTCCAAAATCAACAAGTCTTTTGTGCCTCTCCTTTGGACGCTGTATAATTACAGCAAACATGTATTGGCGGTGCACAGCGATTGTGAGGCAATTGTTGAAGGATCTCAAATGCGCTTGGCATTTGGTCTTGGAGAGCAATTCGAGGAACCACAGCTCCAGTTGGCTCATGCTGGCCAGAAAACAAGAGATTTTCAGAAGTCGTGAGTGGTGTGTTGGCACAGCCTCCATGTAGTTCATCAGCTATTTCCTTGATAGTGGGTTGCGTTTTACCACCAAGCCAACTGACTGACTCATGAGTCAGGGACTTAAAAAATAAATAAATAAGGGAGGCCATCGGTGCCCGCTGAGCAAAACACGTCAGGCTGCCGACAAAATGGGCCCCTGCTGCTTTCCGGGTGGTTTCATTTTTCCTCTTTTTGTCTTTTTGTTTGAAAACTATGAAAGTGAAACTGCACACCTCCCCCCTCAAGCTATTCTGTTCCCATGGGCAGCCAGAGGAGATGGGTGGGTGACGGGGTCTCCCAGCAACACCATCTCTCGGCAAATTCACATTCCCATCAACCAGGCTTGAATGAGGTGTCTAGTGTGTGCCCGGCTTTCAGAGGGCCTCTGTGGAGGGAGATGATGTTCATTGAGCTGATATTAATTGAACACATGACATGGCCGAGGGCACTCACCCAGGTGTGGCTTGCTTTAGCCTATCGAGAGCTTAATAAGGGCAACAGCTTTAGCCTCAATTTATAGACGAGGAAACGAAGGCTTCTGAGGCTAAGATTCATAGGTCACACACTTAGTAAGTGGCAAAACTGGGGTTGGAACCCAGATCTGTCTGATTCCAGTACTCCTCCTACCAATATTCATGTCATTCCAAGGCTCACTTTTCCATAAATATCCAATGTTTTCAGTGCAGTGAGTTCCTTGAGCTTACAGGGGTGATTCAGACTGACATGGTCCTTGCCCCTCCAAGGCTGACATTTAAGCTGGGAAGACAGAGTCAAGGATGAAGTAGACAATTGATCCTTTCATTGCAATTGTGGTTCTTGCCCTCAAGGAAAAGGACAGAGTGGTTACAGCACAGGGCAGGGAACTTGGCCTGGCCTCACAGGCCTAAGAAATTTGAGGGATGATAGGAATTCAGTGGATAAAGCATTCCTGGAAGTGGGAACCACTGGTGCAAAGACCCCTGGGTGAGAAGAAGGGTGTGGTGTTGTGGGGGAGCTGACAGGAGGTCAGGGAGCCTGGAGTGCCCAGGGTGAGGGAGCCATGTGGGTGGAGAACCTGGCCTGGGCCCTGAAGGCCAAGGAAATGACTGCAGGGGTTTATCCCAACAGCAAGGGGCAGCCATTGATGGGGTCTAAGCAGTGCCATGATCAGATCTGCATTTGTAAAAGGACCCCCCAAAGGACCCCCTTGGTTGCTTTTATGAACAATAGACTAGAGTGACAGGAGTAGGTGTGGGGAAGGTCACTGAGAGACTAGTGATACTAGTGGCTCATGGTCTAGGGTCTAGTTCAAGACACACGCTGCTGAGCACAGCCAGGCCTTCTCTCCCCATCCACCTCATCTCCCCTCAAAGGTGCTCCCAAGGGTCCACCCGCTAACCAAGGTCATCTCATAATTGGGGAATAATCTTACAAATGCAGAAACAACGCCCAAAGAGCAGAGTGACTAGGCTGTGGCCTCACAGCCAGTGAAGGACCCCTATTCCTTGCACCTCTCAGTCCTGTGCCCCAGCCCCTCATCAGCACCTCTGCTGTGCCGGGAAGGGCTCCAGTGCATGCACCCAGCTCCCACTGAGGCCAGGGTTGTGGCGGCTGCAGAAGCCATGTCCCCTTTCTCTCCTCCCTCCTGGCTTCACACTGTTGGAAGCCATTCTTCTAGGCAGTCCCTTGTGGACCCTTCAAGTTGGCTTTTGAAATGGCTTAGCCAGATTTCTTCAGAGTTGAAAAGTGACTCCTTTCACATCTTCCTGCCTTTGCACCTGCAGTTTCTTCTCCAAGCAGTGTTTTTACTGTCTTACCCATCTGGTGACTTAGTGTGAAGTGGAGATCCAGGGTCCAGCGAGAGCTCAGGGATCCTTCCCCCAACTCCCACCCCAACCCCACTCCACCTCACCCTTTACTCTTGCCCAGGATGAGTCAGTCACAAGGGACAAATTTCACATTTTGTAGGGTGCAGGTTTCAAGGAGAACAGAGGTCACAGGACTATAAATGGGTCTCTTTTCTTTTTCCTCCCTGGCAAGACTATCTTTGGATCAGTCAATGCCTGATTGGCATGCTCTCCCCTCCCTTCCCATTCCCTCCCTTCTCTTTTTCTCCTCCCTCTCCTATCCTCTCTTCCCCCCTCCCCATTCCCTCCCCATAGCAGCTGGACCCAAGACCCTCTTTTCAGGACTAGGAGGCCGCAGGCTAGCCAGGGCAGTAGGCTTGGGGCAAATGCCTTCTCCTGCCCTCTGTCTTGTCCTCCCTTTGCTGCTCCCACTCCCTTAGAGGCCAGAGCCAGACTGAGATTTTGTCCCCATGTGGGTTAGGGGGAAGGGGCTCCTAGAGCTGTTCACTGCTGGGTGCCAAGCTTCTACCTCTCTAACGTGTCACTTTGGCTGTTCTGTACCATTGCTATGAGGAGCCGTCAGGGAACTCCTGGGGAAGGGCAGCATCCAGGGTCCCTGGAGCTTTTGACCTAACACCATCCTCAGAGCATCCCAATCTTGCTGCAATTTCTAATCCCCATTTTGCAGGAGGCTCAGAGGGGCTAAGGAACTCTCTTCCTGCTAAGTGGAAATGAGCACGTGAAGCTGAGCCTGTTCTATTGCTTCCCGGATCATGGAGGAGGAGGAAGAGATGGAGGAGGAGGAGATGGAGGAGGAGGAGATGGAGGAGGAGGAGGGAGAAGAGAAGAAGGACACAAGGCTCTGTCCCTATCAGCCATCTGGTGCCCAGAGTAGGGCTGTGCCCCTCAGAGCACATGAGCCCTGCAGAAAACTGGGACATGGAAACGAGCCTCCCCGCCCAGCACCCCACTCCCAAGAGCCCACATGGCAGGGCAGGGCCTGGAGACTGGAGGGCGAGCCCCTGAGACCCCAAAGAACATCGACCAGTCCCAGGAGGGCTGCTGAACCCTGTTCAGGCTCCCCGGCCAAAATACCACTGAGGGCATCAGCTTGATGAGGTGCAGCGACTGGGATTTGATTACTCTGGCCCTGCCTCAGGCTTTTCCCACTCTTTCCTGTGGCTCCAGACAGGAGTACCCGGCCCTTCCCACTCACTGCCCCTTAAGTCTCCCTCAGCATCCCTCCCACCCCAGCGCCCCAGCCCCTGCCAGCCACCTGCTCAAGGCAGGCCTCTCTCCCTCCCTCCGGGCGCCTGCCCTGCCCTCTCCGCCTCCCGATGGCTAGGACAAGATGATTTACAAGAGCGTGGCGGGAGGGACGGCGAGCCAGATTAATGCACCAGTGAGCGGCCGCCTTGCTCACCAAACACACATCATGAAAACTTATTGCTCAGAAAACAGCACAACGCCACTAATTCATAAATGTTCAATGCCCCCCACAGTGGAGCAGCCAGGGCTTATCGCCTCCAGGAAAGAGGAGGCTGGTTCTCCCCAGGCCACCCTCCTCCCACTCGCCCTGCCTGGCCTGGTGGCCTTCCCACCGGCTCCTCAGCCAGGCACCCGCCCATGTGCTGAGCAGGTGGTTTCACTTCCTGGTGGTTTTTATTTTATCTGGCCCGAGGATGCTTCTGGCTGAGCCCTGGGTGGTGTCTTGGGGCAAGGAGGTGGCACTCAAGATGGCCTCCAGGCCTGCTCAGTCAGCTGGTCCTCCACAGACACCCAGGCTCAGGGAGAGGGGCCTGGAGAACGGGACAGAGGAGGGCAGACAGAAACCAGGAGGGAAACCACAGCTGTCACCCCTGCACAGAGGGCCTGCCTCAGCTGACTGTTCTGGAGAGGGGAAGACAGAGACAGAAACAGAGAGAAAAACAGAGACACACACACACAGAGAAACAGAAGGAAACGAGAAAGAGCGGCAGAAACAGAGAAAAGAGAAACAGACAGAGAGAGAGAGAGAGGGAGGAAGCGAGACGAGGGAAAGAAGCAGCCAGCCCTTGAGCAGGAAGACTGGCCTTCAGGCTGGGGCGCTCTCCTGGGTGAGGAAGGATTCATCTTGCCTGGAAGCCTTGGGGACTTGGGGAAGAATGGCAGGCCCGCTGATGGTCCCGTCCTGTTTAGGACAGGCAGGAACAAAAGAGACACGGTCCTCACTGATTCTCTCCCATCCCATGGGTCTAGCCACACCTCTATTGTTTCCACAATGGTGGATGGCGTAACCACCCACCCGCCTCGGGTCTCTGTGTGGCCAGTCTCTGCCTGCCCCTCCCTCCCATTCTCCAGCCCCTGCAGACTGAGCTCTCTGGAGTGCAGCTTCCCAGCTCCTTTGCCTGCTGGCTTCAGTTGGGGTTCAGCCATAGGGAGTCGCCAGCAGGAGATGAGGAGGTAGGAGAGAAGTTAGGGGGTGTCTCTGGCATCCCTGCATCCTCTGTGCCCATGCCTCCTCCTCCAGGGGTCCCACTGTCACCAGGTTTCCATAACAGGCCAGGGCTGGTAGCAGCTTCCCACCGTCGCCGGGCTCTGGAGGCAGCTTCCCGCCGTCGCCGGGCTCTGGAGGCAGCTTCCCGCCGTCGCCGGGCTCTGGAGGCAGCTTCCCGCCGTCGCCGGGCTCTGGAGGCAGCTTCCCGCCGTCGCCGGGCTCTGGAGGCAGCTTCCCGCCGTCGCCGGGCTCTGGAGGCAGCTTCCCGCCGTCGCCGGGCTCTGGAGGCAGCTTCCCGCCGTCGCCGGGCTCTGGAGGCTGCAGCGTCTCTCCTTCACCCCTTCCACCCTGCCCACCCCTCGGTAAGAAGTCCCTGCATTCACTCTCCTCATTTGAGCCATCCGAGTGAATCCGTTCCCTGCCAGGACCCTGACAGGGGCTTGCTTCTACTCTACCTCTCACTTCCTCTTCCTCTAGGCCCTAAGAGAGGAGGTAGAGAGGGCAAGGTCAGGTGGGAAAGAGGGCCAGCTGTGGGGATCGGGCAGGTCTCGCATTGAGTACTGGCTGTGTCATTTAATAGCCATGAGAACTTGGGCCAATCCCTTAATTTCTCTGAGTCTCAGTTTCCTCGTCTGTAAAACAGAGATCATGAGAGCAGCTTCCTCTCGAGTTGAAAAGATGAACTAAGACCCCTGTTCGCTTGGATTCTTCACTCCTTTGCTCAGCACGCGGCCAGTGGGGAGTGGGCAACGCTGCAGAGAGGCCCAAAGGCCAGGGCTCCCCAGCCACTGTTATGGGTCCTGCAGAATCCCCCTGCATCTCCTAGGCCCAGCAGGCTGAAGACTTTCCCCTATGGGCCCCAAGTGTCTCAGGAACCCTCACCCCCCACCCCCAGACCTCAAAGCCACAAAGAAAGAGATGACTATCGCAGTTCCTGATGTTGCCCTCAGACCACAGGGAGACAACTGACTCACCCTGATCCCCAGAAATGAGGCCACCCTGAGCCAACTCTGGGCACCCCACCTGCCCCCAGCCCAGGGAGCTCCCAGGATGAAAGGAAGGGGACTACGAAAAGAGTCTGTCTGCCTGCCCCAGTGAGTGGCCTTTCTCCCTGTTTCTGCTGTGTCCCATCGCCAGGCTGTCTAAGAGTAATAAAAATAGCCTCTATGTAGATGCCACCTCTGTGCCACATGTGGAGCACAAATGCAGTGAGTGGGTGAGTGGGCAGAACGGCACAGAGATGAAGAGATTGGTTCTCAGCTCAGCCTGCCTGGGTTCCAATCCCAGAGAGAGGCTTATCAAAGGGTCATCCTGCTTTGATGAGCCTGCATTGCTGCTCAGAACACAGCAACAGTCACATGTCAGCTCCCAAGGGGCCCTGAACCAGCCTCAGTATCCAGGAAAGCCACCCCTGCTGCTTTGTTACTTTTTTTTTTTTTTTTGGAGACAAAGTCTTGCTGTGTCCCCCAGGCTGGAGTGCAGTGGTGCTATCTCAGCTCACTGCAAACTCCACCACCTAGGTTCAAGCAATTCTTGTGCCTCAGCCTCCCAGGAAGCTAGGATTACAGGCATGCACCACCATGCCCAGCACGTTTTTGTATTCTTAGTAGAGACGGGGTTTCACCATGTTGGCCAGGCTGGTCTCAAACTCCTGACTTCAAGCAATCTGCCTGCTTCAGCCTCCCAAAGTGCTGGGATTATAGGCATAAGCCACCACTCCCGGTGGTCCGCTACTTTTTTTTGAGATGGAGTCTTGCTCTGTCACCAGGCTGGAATGCAGTGGTGCAACCTCAACTCACTGCAACCTCAGCCTCCCTGGTTCAAGCGATTCTCCTGCCTCAGCCTCCCAAGTAGCTGGGACTACAGGCGCATGCCGCCATGTCCAGCTAATTTTTGTATTTTTAGTAGAGACAGGGTTTCGCCATGTTGGCCAGGCTGGTCTCGAACTCCTGGCCTCAGGTGATCTGCCTGCGTCAGCCTCCCAAAGTGCTGGGATTACAGGTGTGAGCCACTGTGCCCGGCCCCACTACTTTTTAATAGTCAAAATAATCTGACCAACTGGCCATTTCTCTTATACCATATGTTCATTCACTCAAAAAGTATTTACCAGGCACCTACTATGTGCCAGGCACTGCAATGAATGTAAGACAAAGAAGCAAGCAGAGGCCTGACCACGCATGCCTTGTACATCTTGCACAAGTTTTCTCTTTGTCAAGAGCAGTGGCAGGCATTTTTTTTTTTTTAACAGAGTTTTGCTCGTTGCCCAGGCTGGAGTGCAATAGTGCAATCTCGACTCACTGCAACCTCTGCCTCCCGGGTTCAAGCGATTCTTCTGCCTCAGCCTCCCGAGTAGCTGGGATTACAGGCACCCGCCACCATGCCCAGCTAATTTTTATATCTTTAGTAGAGACAGGGTTTCACCGTGTTAGCCAGGCTGGTCTCGAACTCCTGGCCTCAGGTGATTTGCCGGCCTCAGCCTCCCAAAGTGCTGGGATTACAAGTGTGAGCCACCGCGCCCAGCCTTTTTTTTTTTTTTTTTTTTGAGACAGAGTTGCACTCTTGTCACCCAGTCTGGAGTGCAATGGCGCAATCTCAGCTCACTGCAATCTCTGCCTCCCAGGTTCAACCGATTCTCCCCCCCAGCCTCCCGAGTAGCTAGGATTACAGGTGCCTGCCACCATGCCCAGCTAATTTTTGTATTTTTAGTAGAGACAGGGTTTTGCCATGTTAGCCAAGCTGGTCTCGAACTCCTGACCTCAGTTGATCCGCCCGCCTCAGCCTCCCAAAGTGCTAGGATTACAGGAGTGAGCCACCGCGCCCAGCCTGGCAGCCTTTAAAGCATCATGGGAAGGAAGGCTGCGTGATCAAGTTTGCGTTATTTCCTTGGCTGCAGCATAAAGAACAAATGGGTGGAACTGAACAAGGAGGGAGGGCATGGGGTGCCTCACAGCAATCAGGTGGGACACAGTGGCCACGTGGACCAGTGATGGAGATGGCGATGGAGCTGGAGAAGGGTGGATGGATTGGAGACTAAATTAATAGGGGTTGCTAAAGGACTTAAAATGGAAGGGTGTGGCACAGAGAAGAAAGGGTCAAGCGAGACTCTTGGGTTTCTGGATCCTATGACCAGATGGATGGTGCTGCTATTCAGTGAGATGCAGAACTCTGGAAGGGACCAGGGGTGGAGGGAAAAAGGTCATGACTTTGGTTTTAAGCATAATAAATTGGAGATAATGTTGAGGTATTCTTGAGAAGATGTCAAGTAGACAGCAAAACACGTGAACGTGGAGCTCCAAAGCAAGTCAAGTCTTCTAGGTGAAGGGGATCGTTCAAGGCAAGGCAGTGGATGAGATCTGCTGAGGAAAGAGGTCCACGCCCTGAGAATCTCCAAAATGCGAGGCCAGGTAGAAAAGGGGAAAAGTTGCAAAGGAGCCAGGGAAGCAGTAGTAACGCAAGAGGTAGGAAGGAAGTCAGTTAAACGATGTGTGCTTGAACCAAGAAACATGTATTAAGAAGGACAGTGCAGTGTGAGAAGCAAGGTTAAGGAAAATGAGGACTGAAAAGTGTCTACCAGATGGAGTAACATGCAGGTCACTGGGGCCCGAGCAAGAGCTGTTCTGGAAGGATGCTCAGGCTGACACCATCTTCATCAAAAATTTGCTCCTCCCCTACTCTGCCAGGCACAAGGTATATGATGGTGACTGACAGAGCTGCTCACCAGATCCTCTGGCTCCCCATGTTCCAGGTACATGGTGAACTCACACCTTCTAGTCCCCTCCAGCTGGTGGTGCCATGTGACTAGTTCTGGCCCATGAGTTGTGAGCAGAGCAGAACTCACAGAGGTCACCTGCAGACACAGCATTTAATTGCAGGTGCGAGACCCTCCAGGCTCTGTTTTCCTTCTGGTGTGGAGACTGGTGAGGGTCAAGGTGATGGCTGCTCTCTCAGCCCGAGCCTCAGTGACTGATGAGCAGAGCCTGCTTGCCTCATGCTTTGGGACTGCCGTGATTTTCTTCTATAGTAGCCCACATCCAGCTCAGTGTTCTTCCTGCTGACATCTCTCTCATAGTGGCACAAAAACAAACAAGTAAATAAGCTTTACCCATCAATTGAGGTTTGACTTCTCACAGCTGAGAAGGGTCTGTGGCACAAGAGTGAGCCACAGCCCTCTGGGTGGGAATCCCTGCTTGAGCAGATGGCCTAGGGATATAACAAAAGGAGGAGGTGCACCAGGGAGGAGCGGCTGATAAGAAGAGGAAGGAAGAAGCAGCAAGAAGAAAGATCATTGACAAGCCTAACTGGGAGCTTCCACACTGAAATACGCTTTTCCTGGCCAGGGAAAAAACTCTCAGAAGGCAGGGGAGTTTTCAGAATGCAGGCTTTGTTACTGGGCTGACCTGGGTTCCAATCATGTCTCTTCCACTTAGTTCCTTTATGTTGGTCAAGGAATGAATGATCTCTCTAATCAGTAGTCCAGGCCCCATCATTTTCCTGCTTAAATTCTTCCCATGGCTCTGCAGCTCTCAAAGCAAAGCAAAACTGGAAAATGCATGACATGCAGGTTGTCGCTCCAAACTCCCTGTCCCATGGAAGATATCACCCATGGATCAAAGCACTTTTTCCTAAGACCAGATGCAGCCTCAGAATCTTTCTTAACACAGTGCTTCAAGCAGTCACCACTAATCCAACACAGTTGGCTTTTAAGATAAAATGTTTTTGCCATCTTTAGCCTTCCAAATGTCTATAAATGTTGTAATTTAGGTCCCATCTGCTCTCCCCGCCTTAACTCCCAGAGGTCTTCCTCACTTATTTTATCTTCCAGTCACATTGAATTAGCTGTCATTCCCTAATTAAACCAGGTTCTCTTACCCCTCTTTGCCCTTGCTCATGTTGCTCTCTCCATCCCATTCCACTCCCCACCCTGAGCCCAACCTCAGATTCCTGGAGACCCTGCGTAAGTGTCAGCTCAAGGGTTCTCCACGTGCTTATTGCACCCTGTGTGTATTTCTGGTGGGGTGCCACGCTGGATGGCAGCTGTGCACTGCTGTGACAGTGACCCCCAACAACCTGAGGTCTCCTAAGGGCAGAACCATGCCTTTTCATGTTTAGATGCATCCCTCTACCTCTCCCTAGCACTGCTAGGGAGTCCTCCCAGTGAGTCCCAGATAAAGATGAAGAGAGTAAAGAAATGATGAAAATGCCAGGGAGCAGGCAGAGACTACAGGGCCCACACTCCTCCTCTGTCAAGTGAGGGTAAGGACTTCTCTGTCAAGACTGGCATAAAAGAGAGATAACATATGTAAAACACAGTGCCCGGGGCATGGGAGGCACTTCCTAAATATTTGTGGAGGAAATTAAGGCATGAAGGAAGGATTAAATAATGAAAGATGAAGAGAGGAAGAATAAATTGGAGAAGGAGGAAACTAAAGGCAGAAGGAGAGAAGACAAATTCTGAACAAGCACCTATCATGTATCACGCACTGTTCTAGGCCCCAGGTATACTCAGTGGTGAAAAACAACCCCAGATACATTGCTGCACCTAGGAAGCTCACAATCTAAAAGGAAGAAAAACCACCTTCTTAACCCAAGTGTTGGATCTAGGCCCTGCCATCCTTTCCCAAGACTTGAATCTCTTCCCATGACCTTCAGAATCAAGGCCAATCTCCTTAGCTCAGCATTGCAAAGTCAGGGTAGGTAGACTATGCTGCAGTAACAAACAGCCCTCCACATTTCAGTGACTTACACAAGTGTATTTGTCATTCAGACAAACCCACTGCCGTTCCAGTGTGGACTCCAGAGTGCTATCCCCACTGTGTTGACTCAAGATTTTGGGGTGTTTTGTTTCAGTGGCACCTCCATATGTCATATTGCCCATTTCTCTTCTGCTCAAGACAGTGAGGTTGAAACTCCAAGCCTCATTACAGAGCATTTGCTGGGCTATCTCTGAACCATTGCACAGCCTTGCCTCCTGTAGAGAAGAGGTACAACCCAAGTGTCCCACAATGGATAATTAGATAAAGATACCATGATATCTTTATCTATCTATCTATACACACACACACACATACACACACACACACACACACACACACACACAATGGAATTCCATTTAGCCATAAAAAAAAATGGAATCCTGTCATTTGAAGCAATGTGGATGAACCTGGAGGACATTAAGTTAAGTGAAATAAGTCAGGCCCAGAAAGATACATACCACACAATCTCATTCATATGCAGAATCTAAAAAGTTGATCTCGTAGAAGTAGAGAGTAGAATGGTGGTTACTAGAGACTGGAGAGGAGAGGGCGAGGAGGCATGGTGAGAGGTTGGTCAATAGGTACAAAGCTACAATCAGGTAGCAGGAATAAGTTCTGCTGTTCTATTACACAGGAGGGTGACTATGGTTACAATATTATATTGTATATTTTAGAGTAGCTAGAAGAGAGGATTGTGAATGTTCTCACCACTAAGAAATGATAATGTACGCGGTGATAGATGTACCAAATACCCTGACTTGATCATTACAGAATGTATACATGTATAAAAACATCACACTGTACCCCATGAATATGTACAATTATTGTGTCAATTTAAAAATTAAAAATAAATAAGTAAATAAAGGCATGGACAATTAACAAGAAGACACAGCCAACTCACTCCCACCTTGCCCAGCTGGAAAGTGTTGAAAGATCCTGAGATTCTGATGCCATGAGCTCAGCTGCACAGGAGGGCATGGGAGAGAGAGGCGGAAGCAAAGTGTCCGGCAACTTCCCTTTGGGCCTCATCTTCTCCACTGAAAAATGGGTAGATCTGCCTCTGGGAAGGGTCATACAACTCCAAGCAGCTGGAGTCTACCTCCCTGCAGATAGTTCCTACCCAGGGGCAGCTATGAGCCTGGCCTGTGAAGTGGAGAGAGGGAAGAAATTCTTCTTGAGGTTGGACATTCTCAGCCCATGGCCACCATGTGTCAGCTGAAGGGAAGCAAGCCAGGGAGTTCAAATAGAGAAACAGGAAGAAAGCAAACCAACCCATCTCCCTGGTTTCCCCCACGCCGCTGCAATGCACTAGAGGATGAACCAGCTCGTTCTCTTCACTTCTTTTTCTCTTGGTGGTAGCGGTAGGGCCAGAGGGTGAGTAAGCCAGAAGGTTCCCCAGTGTGGTCTCGGTTAAGGTTACTGGATACTTGCTTCAGTCCCATGGGTGATGAGTTCAGTGTCAACTCACACCTACCCCACCCCACCCCTGGAGGCCCTCTCCTGGGTTTTTCTTTCCTCTCCCAAGTTCAAGTCAAAACATGGTCAACCCCCCACACTTCCCTCACCCCTGGCCCGGCCCAACCAGCCCCTAACCAGAGCACAGGGCGCAGTCCATAACCACATCTTGCAACATGATTCACTGCGTCTGTGGAGGGACTGATGCAATTGTGGGTGAGGAGTCATTTCTACTGATGGGGAAACCACAGCAACCTGGCCAGGGGTGGGAGGGCAATCCATGGGGACCTACCCTGAGACAGGCCGCGATCAAGAACCCTCAGCGTCCCCAGAGCAACCCAGCCACACCATGACTGAGGCCAGAGAGCAGAGGCCCAGGACATGCTGTCCTCCTGCGGAGAGGCAGTAGGCTGGGGGCCGGGAGGAAGGCAGGGGTCTTGGCAAGAGAGGGACTGTTCAAAGACAGCAACTCTTCCAGGAACCCCCAGAGTGATCCATCTTTCTCTGTGAGCAACATGGACGTGTGAGGTTCTTGGAGGAGGCCAGGAAACCACAAGCAGGAAAATCGCTTTCTCTGGGTGCTGGGTCCGTGCCTGGACCAAAGATTGAAGCCACATTGCTGCTCACTGCACTACATGGGAAGCACACACACATGCCTGGAGAGCATGTACTCCCACCGCCAGAGCAGGTGCCCAGGAGACACACAGAACTGAATCTGAAATTGCAGGGGCCCAGCAGCCTACATGCTGTGGCCTGGATCAGCTGGGCACACCTGCCTTGGGTGCCTGATCTACTGTTCATTTCCAATGCCCAGCTCAGCCACCTGCCCAGTGGACCCTGCGCTTATCCCTCTGGCTATGTGAGCTCAAGCCAGCAATTTCCCCTCTCTGGACTGCCCTCTCTCTCTTCCGAACCCTAGTGCTCACTTCTGCAACTTAGCAAGGGATTATATGATGCCCCGTGACAACACTTGCTCTTTCCCTGTGTTTCTATCTTATTTCTCCATTTTCATCATAAGCTATTCTAGACAGGGCTGGGCTAGCCTCGAGAAGTTATCCCTGCCCCACCTCTACTCACTGATCTTGACGCATCTCTGCAGAGGAGGTATTTTTACCCTATTCCACTGAAGAAGAAACTTAGGCCCAGGAGGTAATAGAGCCAACAAGGACACTAGTAAGGGGCAGACTTGGAGCTAAGACTCAAATGCGCTTCAAAACCCCTGCCCAGCATTCTCTCCAAACCCCAGCCACCTAACCCAATTCCTTCATGGAGTCTCCTGGTGAAGGGCCAAAGAGATGAGGATCTCTCCAGAAGGTACCAAGCAAGATGTAAATATGAGAGAGAATAACGTCTGACCTCCCAGATCTGCAGGTCACAGACCTACAGCTCCAAGATCCACATTTTTTAAAATGTGCCACCCCCCATCCTCACCGTCCCTTTGGCTCACAGTCTGGAGGCTCCCTGGAGCACCATAAAAGACAGAACTTAGCCATCCGTGTGCAAGCCTGACCCCTGGTGACCAGAACCTTGAACTGCATGGCCAACCAGGCAGGCCCAAGAAATTAAGAGATCTGGCACTCACTCACTTGCCCAGCAAACTTCTGACCAGCACGGAGCTTATGGATTAGGCCACATCTACCTACCCTTCAGCCCAGGTGACTCTGGAACCACAGGCAATGGAGCCTTATTAACCTAACCCCTCACATGGCTAGCACATATGTCCATGATGAGCATAACTCATGCATCATGAATCCCACAGCCACCTGGGAGGCAGATGAAGTCCTAGCCCCCATCTAGAGAGAAACAAACTGAGGCCAGAGCAGTGAAAGCAATGCTCTGAGACGTCACAGAATCAGTGACAGATGCTACGCTCAAACCTACAATTTTCTGACTTAAAATACCATCCCTTCCAATTTTCCTAACATCCCCACCCTCTGGTCACTAAGGGGCAAGAAAGAGATGAGGGAACATGGTTCCCAGGACACCCCACTTAAAACAAGCGGATTTTTCCAAAAAAAATAAATTTACTTAAAATAGATATACTTATTTAAAATAAAATACATGGAAGATAGCTTTCCCCCTTCTCTCAATCAATAGCCCAGAAGCACAAGATCCTTGACCTGAGAGATTTCAGGTCCAGAGGGGATGGACTAGACTAGGGCTGCCAGGTTAGCAAACGACCATACAGGATGCTCAGCCACATGTGAATTGCAGGTGAGTAACACCTACACCACTTGGGATATACTTATACTTAAGTGTGGTTTACCTTGAAGTTCAAGTTTAACTAGGATCCTCTATTTTATCAGCCAACCCTAGACCAGATGCCACTGGGGAATGGGAGAGAGGGGCAGCCAGGCCAGAGGGGTGCAGGAAGAGCCTGAAGCCCTGCCGCGCGGGGAGAGAGGTGGGAGATGAAGCAAGAGACCTACATGGGAAGGTGGGAGTCACGGAGGCCTTGAGTGGGATGAGTGTTTTCTTGAGGATTATTCTGACAAACATGTGAGGAATAAGCTGAGGGGGGAAGTGGGGACGTGGGGGGTTCAGCTGGTTAGGGAGGGATGCCAGGGTGCCTATGGGATGGCGGTTTGTGCATGGTTGCCTGGCGGAGGTTGGGGGAAGGAGTGGATTCTGGATCCATCCCGAAGGTGGAGCTGGCAGAAACGCCGCCTTCCCCTGCAGCTCCCTTTGAATCTCTGGCCTTGGTCCTTCCCAGTTCTGCCCCTCAAACACCCGCTGGGTTCCCAGCCCCAGTTCTGACTTCCCCTCTCTTTCTTCTCCCCTGTGTCCTCCTCACCCCATTGCACTCTGAGTTAACAAAGGCAAGGAGAAAGAGTCACTTTGTTCTTTCTTTCCCCAGCTCAAGGCCTCCATGCCCCTCAGAGGATCCAGCGATATGGCCCAGGTCCCACTTTCCTGGGAGAAGCTGTCTCCACTTCTCCCCAGAACCCGGTGCCAGAGTAGGAAAGGGGTCCTGCCTGCCATCCCCAGAAGCAGGAGGCTGAGGCCCTCGAGGGGCTATGGCTCACCCCTTCCTGCCTGGGGAGGACTAAGATACCAGCGCACCCAGAAGCTCAGCACTTACCAGCCCCACTGCTGGGAAGTGCTCCCTGCTATCCAACCCCTGTTTCTGCTGCACTTTATACCCATCTCCTCGGGGCCGAATCTCAGAAGGAGATGGAGAATGCGCGTCCTCCTGCTCTAGACCAGTGGTTTCAGATTTGTTCCCCAGTTAGGCCACTGTAGGGGTGGGGAGCTGAGGGACAGGTCCCACTCCAACCATCCAAGTTCCACTTATCCATACCTAATAAACTGGGGCCCCTTGCAAAATTATCTTTTTTAAAGGGATCCACTCGTGAAAATATCCACCCATGTACATGTGAAAACCACAGATAGATGTGTAAGGGATGCTCTGCTCTCTACATAAAGACTCCTCAATTTCAGCTTTCCCAGCTCCATGTCATCTGACCCCTCCTCCCTGAGCCTCTATGCCTCCTCCTGTCACCGTCCCTGAGGCTTGGGCTCACTGACCCTCTCTCTGAAGATCTCTCTATCAGAATCCCTAACACCACATTGGGCGTGGATTATTGCCCCATTTTACAGATGAGATCACTGAGGCCCAGAGGTTGCAGAACCTGAACTGGATCCTGGGGGTCTGGCTTTGGATGCTGGCCCCACATGGGCTTCTGCTGCATCCCCAGCCCAAGCTGCCCATCAGGATACGGACCCAGGGTTCAGGAGTCCCAAGGCTGAGGGTGGCCTGACCCCTTCTGGAGGAGTCAGCCTCAGAGCTGGGAGTTCCCTGGGGGCCATGCTGTCATCAGTGGGGGCCAGACTCTCCAGCAGGGAGAAGAACAAGGTTTCTGCGGTCTCAGCCCTGGAGACCAATCCCTGGTGTGCCCTCCTTCCTACAGCACCCAGGGACCCGCCGCTGCCCCTCACCTATGAGCTGATGGGAGAGAAACGTCCGCCATGCTGGGAGACAGCTTCCAGCTGAGCAGGATGCTCCATCAGCTCTGTCGCTCACCCACACACATGCCGAGAGAAGCACAGCCCAGCTAACAGCAATCTAGTGAGGTCCTATGTCGCTGTCCTGTGCCAACCATCAGGGAGCCCAGAGCCATCCAGTTCAGTGCTTCTTGCCCTTCACTGGGCATCAGAATCAAAACCACAGAGGCTCAGAAGCACCCACAGAGGTTCCTTGACCTAAGGTGAGGCTTGGGCCTCAGAATTGTTTAAAAGTCGCCCCCGTGATTCTCCGGGCAACCAGGGTTGAGAACAACCATCTGGTCCAAAGCGTCCGTGTCACAGAGGAGGAAAGTGAGGCCCAGAGGGAAGACCTGGTGACACATCAAGATAGGGCCCAGGACCACTGGTCTGGATTCAGCAATCTTTGCACCCACAAACCAATGTTCCCACGTATTCATTCAGCCCTGGGTTGTGAAAGGTGCGGAGGGGAGGGGAGAATGGCCACTGTGGAACCAGCGTCTGAAGGAAATTCTGGCCTTCCCTCCTGTCCTCAACCCAAGTCCTCCCTCTCAGATACTGCTCCATGAGTCACACAGTGAGAAGGTGATTCTGTGTAGGCAACCACAGCTGTTTCTCTGCCTCAGTTCACAGTTCTAAGCACCTACTTCATGCAGAAACTCTTGCTAAATGCTTTGCTAGCATTATCTCGTCTAGAAGATCTGCTGTTTCCAGCCAGAACTGCTCCACTTTCACCAAGAGAAAAACACGAGCTGGCTTCACCCGACTTAGTAGTCTTGCCCTGCTTAACACAATCCAAAAGGTCTCTCTTGGACGTTGTGACAGCCAAGAGGAGCCGCAGTTCCTGCTCAAGGCAGGCAGCATCCGGTCTGACTCTGAGCCCCACCATCTGCCTGGGCAGAGCTCAGGAAGGCACAGAGCCAGCCATCAGGACCCCTGAGTTCCAGTCCCAGCTGTGTCACTGGGCAGCTATAGGGTCTTGGGTAGGTCATTTCCTTCCCTGGGCCTAAGTTTCACCATTCCATAAATGGGAACATTGAACTCAATCAGGGATATTGAAATGTGTTTTGTGGGACAACACTTTCTTCGCATAAAACCGCAAGCGGAACACACAGACCCCCATGGGAGTGGTAGAGGAGCAGCCAGGGTTCCAGAGTTGGGCACTTGGCCCCTCCCAGCCACTTGCTCTCTGAAGACACTCCCTAGAACTCTCCAAAGCCTCCTGGTTTGGTCTATAAAGTCTCCTTTGATTCCGTCATGTCCTCCTGGTGTATGACCGGAGACAGGGGTTCGGAGGAGGGCAGTAGGGAACATAGGGGTTCTGGTAAGGTAAGGGACAACTTAGGGAAAAAAAAAAAGAATATCTGCCGTAGGGTAGGGTCCAGAGTTCCTTTTTTCCGATACAATCAGGAGAAGAAATTCCATACTCATTTGGTGTGACTCTAATGGCTGCAGAGGCAAGACGGGAAGGAGGTGACAAGGCCCCCAGTGCACCCAGGTAAGGGGAGGGGGCCCCTGGGAGGAGGTGGGGCCTGCCAGCATCCTCGGTTCACACCTGGAAGAGGTCACCGATCTGTAATACGTAGGCCGGGGCTCCCATCGTGGATCCCCAGGAATACTCTGGTCTGTTTCCTATTCTGTGAGAGGGGCATACCGGGGCTGCTGGAAGGCTATGGGAAACATGCAGAGGCTCAGAGCAGGGCCTAGCCTGTCTCCAGCAGTTATGACTTCTCAGCTGTGGTTTTCTGTGTTGTTATTTTGCTCGCTTGTGGTTTGTAGGCTCCTTTGATTGGGTGGGGGCAGGGCAGAGTCATCTAATTCTTAGAGCTGGTGGAAACCTCATTTTAGAGATAAAGAAAGAAAGTGAGGCTCAGAGAAAGAAAGGTCCTTGCCCAAGTTCACAAGCTGGGGCTCAAGAACCCCAAGTCAGAACCAAGCTGGGCTCGGGCCCCAAACTCCAGACTCCACGAGACCCTCCCCACAGGCCAAGCACAGGCCTCCCCATGGCCACCGGCTTCCTCCCTGCTGCTCAGCCCACTGCCTGCCTGCGTGGACGCGTCCTCCCATACACCCTCCACCCACCCGGCCAGTGGTGAAATCACTAACCCCTAGGGCAGCCTTGGGTTCCCGGGTCCTGATTCAGCCTCCCACTGAGAGCACAACCCCCTGGCCTCACTGTGCCAGGGCCTGTAATTGCTCTAACTGCCCCCTGGGGAAGTGGGGCAGCCTGGTCTTTGTCCACATGAGTCAGGTTTCCAGAGCAGAAACCTCAGGCAGAGCCACATCGCACAGCCCAAGCCCTGCCACCACTCCCCACAAACCACTTCCTGCCCCTTTCCTGGCACCACCGGCCTGAGGCTCGTGGCAGCTGCACGGCCCTAGTCTCTGCTGCTCCACTGGCCCCAGCCCACCCCTAGCCCACTACCACCCCACCCACCCACAGGCGGGGCAGGGCAGGACTCTGTCTGTCCAGGTGGGCGGGCCACAGGCTGGGTCACCCAGGCAGTGGAAACCCCCAGCAGGAAAAGCAGGCCTGGCTGTTCATCAGTCCTGTCACTGTCTGTAATTTGGTTGTCCGCAGGTCCTCCACGTCTGTCCACAGCAGAGAAAGGAATGAAGATGCTGGGCTGGCAGCTCCCACCCATTCACCCAGGGCTGGGGCCCAGCTGTGCCAGTCTTTCCAAAGGAAGCTTCAAGGAGAATGGAAAGAGCACTGGATATAGAGTTAGATAGATCTGGGTTTCAACTCCACCTACCTCATTGCCTTACTGTGATCCTGATCAAGTGATTTCAGTTTCTTCATCTGTAAAATGGGGAGCATAACATCACCCCTTCCAGATGTGTTGGGAGGAGTAACTGAGCTAATACACAAGCCTACACAGTATCTGGCACATAGTAGATGCTCAATAAATATGAGTGTCCTTCTTCTGCAGCACGATGACAGGGGTTCTGGTGAAGCAAGGACAGGCAGCAAAGTGTTGGGAAGAGCCCTGCAGTGGGAGTCAAGAGGCTTTGGATCCAATCCTGGCACTGCCTCCAACTTGCTGTGTGGTGTTAGGCCAGTTGGAGCACCTCTCTCATCTTTAGTTTTCAAGCATAAGTCTGGGATATGGGAGCAGATGGTTTCCAAGGTCTCCCTCAGCGGTGACACTCTAGGACAGGGGCTTGGTGCTGATAGGATAGTGACACTGCTCAGGGTGATGGGAACGGTGAGAGGGATGTGGTCGTGACCATTACTAGGTGCACGGTGCAGCTCATCGGCAACAGTGAAGACAGCAAAGCCAGTGGTGGCCCGGGCTGGGGCCCAAGCTCGCTCAGGCAGGGCCCAGGAGGTATCTCCAAGGACACTATGCTGAACAGTGAGAGTGGCCTGCGCTCAGGACAGGTGGGCACCCTCCACCAGCCAGCCTAGCCTCACCCACCATGCTCAGGAATCAGGCCCTTGTTCCCACCCAACAGGTGAGCACCAAGAGTCCCACGAAAGACTGAGGACCTCCTCTACCTTCAGGGAGTTTCTGCTGATGGAAGACAGACTTCACAATGCATGCTCATTAATTATTAACCATCATAACCACACATCAGAACATTGATTTACTGCTTGAGGTCGTGCCCTGTGTTAAGCCCTTAATGAGCATTATCTCATTTAATCCTCCTGACAACCCGGGATGAGGTCATCACTATCATTATTTCTATTCCGCAGCGGGAGGAAAATGAAATGCAGAGAGGTTATGCTCCCTGGCTCCACTGTAAGCAGCAGAATAAGGATTCCACAGAGGCTCAGGGGGAGCCTTGGGGCCTCCAGAGGAAAGGATCTTTCTGCTGGGAGATTGGGAAGGTGTCCCAGAGGTGGGGACATGCGAGTCAGGTGATGACAATCCTGGTTCTCATTTATCAAGCACTTGCTAATGTCACGCACTTCTAAGTCTTTAGGGGAGATTCTCATTTAGTCCTTACTTCCACCCCTGTGGCAGGTACTATTATTATTCCTGTTTTACTGAGGCACAGAGAGGTCAAGCCCTACCCTGTGCAGGGGAAAAGGAGGCCAAGCAGAGCGAATGGCTTGGAAGGTACCATGCTCAGGAAATGACAGGCGGTTGGTGTGGCTGGAGGCTTAGGTGCTGGCAATAGAGGTTAGAAAGGCAGGCAGGTGGGGCCAGGTCATGATTCCCCCACCTTCCCCCACAACACCCCCTGGGAGGAAGGGACCCAGGTCCTAGCCTCGCTCAAGAAATTGGCATTCAAACTTAGGGGCCTCCCCTTCCCGCCCAGTTCCCAAGGAGGCAGCCTGTTAGTCACCCTGTGACTGATACATTCAGACTCAGAGTAAGCAAACAGATCATAGGGGCCCCTAATCCCCTCACACCCAGAAAGCTGGGGAGAGGCTAGAGAGACAGGCCTGGAATCCATGGCCTCCGGGGGAGATAAGGAAACCTCATTCCACCCTCCTTCCCCAAACCAGTAGAGCAAAATGCCAGCGTGATTCATTTTTTGAAGACAGAATAAACAAGTCCAGAGAAGAGATTAAGTCTTTGTTTCACCCGACTCAAGACAGTTGGAAAAGCAGAATTAGAAATGCTGCAACCCAGGGTTGGCAAACAGAAAATTAGTGGCAGATTAATTTCATTGTCTCACTGGGGAACAGAATCCTGTATGTTAAGTATAGGTTTCAAGGGAGATTAATTTCCCATCTCACCAGGTTGGAGGGAGTCGCCTGCAGGGAGTTCACTGGAGTTCTCTGCCTCTGGAGAGCAGGGAGACCAGTTTCAATGGGGGAGAAGCAAGAATCCCCAGGGTATCACGACGGGGCTGAATGGGTTGCTGGGTCCAGGCCTCTCCTGTCAGCCCTGATAGCTGGAAGGGAAGCTCTGAGCTTTCAGCAACCCAGTGTACTACATCACAGCCCCTCTACATAGCTTTGCCTTCACGCGAAGGTATGCTCAGACCCATTCCTTCCTACTCACAAGCCCTTCTGTGCTCATTCTGCCCTTCCTTGGAACAGTCTTTATCTAGTGTTTACTAAGTGCCAATGCTTCCCTTAGAATCATTCGGTTAACTCTTGCAACAAAACCAAGAGGAATAACCATTATTATTTCCACTTTACAGATGAGAAAACTGGCACACAGAAAAAGATAAGTAGTAGAGCTGGTAAGTGGCAGAGCCAGGATTTGAGCCCAGGCCATCTGGAAACCAAATCTGTGCTCTTCACTTCAAGTTTATGCCGCTCCAAATACAGGGTTTGCTTAAAATGGAGCATGCTTGTACTACGTGGTGTTTCTCTGGGCTATTGTAGTGGCCCGTCTTGGAATGGTCCCCACCCTGCCCATAGGCTCTGCCCAAACTGGAAGCTTCTCGGGGAGAGATTGGAAAGTGGTCATTGGACCTAATGTGGTGGCCCCAGCTGCAGCTTCTACAGGTGGAGAGTAAACCAGGCTGGGCCACGCCAAACCTGCTCCTGTAGGGGGATCTGCCCACCCAAGCAGTCCAGTGCTGGCCAGGAATGGGTGTGCCACTGCCCTTGCTGTGGGGAAGGCAGGGTGGAACAGCCCAGGCTCAGCCAAACCTCAAATGGCAGGCTGCTCCGGCTGCCTCCCAGACCATGGGTAGGACAGATCCAGAGAAGGCCAGCATAAGAAAAACAAAAAACTATGTCTTGTCAGCCAACTGAAGCCAGACCACAGTGTGGCAAAGACAGGAAGGGTTTGATAGGACTCCCAGCTGGGTGCAAGGATGTATGTCTGGTTTCAAGAAGGACCAACGTCTAGTTCTCACCCAGAGGGGGCAAACAGCCTTCAACTTACATGTCAATGCCAATCAGTTGGTAGTGGCTGCTGAGAATGATGCTAAAGTCACATCCTGGCTCAGCAAGGACACATTCTATCATTGATTAGCAATGTCTCCTTGGTTGCAGCATCAAGGTGATGGCACGACTGCAGCTTATTAGCCACCCGTTAGCTCCATAGTATGACACTTCAGACCCTCCCCAACAGCGCCACAGCTTCATCTCCCCCTCCTCTCCGTCCCTCTCACCTCTAGCCCTTTAAGCTCCAGCCGCATCTAGCTGTTTATTGTTTTCTGGTAATAGTCTCAAAGGCAATGTGGACATGCTTTGGAGAGGCCTTTGTTCCTGCTGCCTTCAAAGCCCTTCCACCCTTACCTGCCTGGTGAACTCATTTCATCCTTCAAAACGCTGTCCTGGCATCACAGCCCTCAACCCCTACCTTGACAGAGCTCATCACTTTCTCTTCTGTACATTACAATCAACAGAGTCAACATTGCTGAGTGGTTCCCAGGCCCGGCCTAGCACCAAGTTCATTACATGCATCATCCTTATAACCCTGTATTACCTTCTCAGTTGATGCCCATTTTACAGAGAAGGATGTGACACTAAATGGTGTTGAGAACTTGCTCCAGGTCCCCTAGCTGGGCCATGATGGGACAAAGATCTGAACCTGGCTTGTCTAATTCCAGAGCCCAGATTTTAATCATTGTGCTGTGACGTGGCAGCTGTCTTCTCTCACTCTATTGGCCCGAGCTGTAATTTATTATGTACATATCTATCTTCCTTTATACATAGTTGTTTCCTAGATGGCAAGGGCCTTTACTTTATCCCATAGCCTCCGCAGCTAGCCCAGAGCCCTGCATACAGTAGGCACTCAATAAATGCTGGCCGAACTGGATTTGACTGAGTGCAGAGAGCTTTCTTGTCCTGTCCCCGGCCTCACAGGCCAACCCAGTCCTCCTCCCAGGAATCCCCTCAGCCCCACCTGTCTATTCTGGGTAGTGAAAGTTTACTGGTGCCTAATGGGGTGGAGTGTTTGTGGGTTATCTCAGGATGGGCGAAGGCAGGAACCTTTTCTGTGTGGGTAATTTATCTACCTAGAAAGATTACAAACTCACAGCAGAAGAAGGCAAAATATACATCTTCCCTTTTCTTTATTTTCTTCCTTGCTCTTGCTGCTTATTTATTGAATGCTTCCATTGTATGAGGCACGGGCTGAGTCCTAGGGGAGCATGCCTCCCCGCTAAAGTAGCGTTACACCAAGTGCACTCTGTGGACAATCCACTGGTTTAAAACAGAGTCCTTGACTTGCCACCAACCCTCCAGATTCCAATTCTGCAGGGCCAGCCTGAAGCCCTGCCCTGCCTGGCTTTAACAAGCCATTTCTGACGTGAAGCCATCAACAGCTGCTGAGCCATAGAAATCCCCAAGCTGGCATCTAAGCCATCAGCGACATGGCAGTTCGGTGATTCACTGAAGGTCTGACTGTACAGGGAAGGGGGCTTTGGGCATCCTGGCCCCCTTGCTGCCCACAGGGAACTAGGGCCTCCTATCTCCAACTGGCTCACTTGAAACGTCCCTTCCCCCAGGAAGTTCTCTGATTTCTCAGGCCAGGTTCCATGCACCCTTCCTTGTCCATTCATAGGCCCCACTGCAATGGCCTGGTCATTTGCCTCATGCCTGCGCTGGACGGTGAGATGCTGGAGGGCTCTGATTCACTAATGCACGGTGTCTGGCCCACGTTGCTTGTTTGTCCAAATAAATAAAACATTTTAACCTGCCCAATACAGCCTGGCTTGAAAACATATGAGCCACCCATCCATCTGGGTTCCAGAGGGCAGTCAGGGTGGGGGTGGAATCAGAGAAGAGGAGGGACTCAGTGGTGCTGGCACCAGCTCCCAAGGGGGAGTTGACAGGGAAGCCCGGCGGAGCTCCAGGCAGATCAGGTGAACACGCGCAGCGACATGCTCTGGTCTGAAATGCAGCCCCAAATTCTGCCCCAGAGAATCCTGAACAGCCAAGGCCAAAAGGGACCTCAGGGAAGCCAGCCCCTATGGTGGTCTTTTCCCCGTGAACTCCACGTGGTAGCTGCCTTTGTCTGCCTGGGGTTTGTTGAATTGTCACTTGGCTTTTCCACACTCGTTATGGAGAGAGAACACTAACTGGCAACTCCATTAGCAAGCACAACCAGGAAAGCCACATGCCCAGGACACCATGGAGCAGGGGAAATAATGCAGGCCTCAAAACCAAATAGATCTCGGTTCTCCTCCACAGTTTGGCTCCTAGCTGTGTGACTTCGGGTCATAATGTGCCCTTTCTGGGCCTCTATTTCCCCACTTGTAAGATGGAAATAATCTTTGACTCAAAGTTGGGGTGAAAAATAGATGATAAAGCAATTCTAGAGGGCCTAGGAATTCTTCCCCACCCTGCTATGACTGTGTCCCACCTCTTGTTTGAGGACTTTCCCAACACTGATCATTCATCTGCCTGAATGTCCTCTCCCAGTGGGGTCTTCCACTGGTTTTTGGTCCAGTCCTCCATGATGTGGGCAACCTGTTGTTGCAAAGCTCTGGTTAGGGCAGAGGTTATCTCTGCACACCCCTTAGATAATGCATCACTTCTTCCGAGGCTGAAACATGTCTTTCCTAAGTGGAGGAGAGCACAGGGCATGATCCCCCAAGAGGTCGTGAGCTCCATACACCTGCACTGGGCTCAGTGACACCTCTGCAACCTGGTCAAATTCTTAGTGATGTCTCTTCCTCAGACAGGCCTCAGAAGAAGGGTATCTTCCTTTCAGTATTTGTAGGGGAAGCTGAAGCCCCCGGAGACTTTGAGCCAGGGAGCACCCAGAATTATTAGCACCCTGGGGTGTGGAGGCCCCTTCCATCACTGACATGCACACATCTGATAAAGTGGTGTGGGCTCTTCCTGGGCACAGCAGAGGCCTCATGGTGGCCAAGGAAGACCCTGAACCACTCCCAACAATGGCAGACAGGCCCCTTCCCTTCCACAGAGCTGCAGTGGGCACAGATGATCATTACAGCAAATCGAGAGGCTGAGAATTAAGGGGAGTGTCCTCTGGATGGAAAACATAAAGAGGGGATAATGACGTGTGTGTCACGAGAGCCTCCTGCATGCCAGGCCCTGGGCTAAGGCTGTTTGCAGACATTATTTTCTGGCTGACCCTCACGCCGATCCTTACAGGGAGGAGCTGCCACTTGCTCCATTTTGCAAATGAGGACACTGAGCTGCACAGAATGTAAGTTACATGGCCCACCACAAGTTAGCGAACACTCACGATCCAAAGCCCCCAGGCCTGATTCCAGAGCCCTAATGCTTTCATCCCCCAAAGTGCAAATTCAAGGAGCTGGTTCTTGTGGGCTGGAATCTCGTTTTTCAGCTCCTCCCTAAACAAGCTCCATTCCACCCACCCTCAAATAGGTTCCCATCCACATCCAAGGGAGGAAATTGACATCCCCAAGCCAGGTGGCCAGGAGCCAGCATGTTCCAAACCTGGCCCTGTCACCCAGAAGCCATCAGCGCCTGCTGCTCCTGCAGGAGCCACACAGCACTGTGCTCACAGACCAAGCCTTAGTGCCACCGGGACCCAGGCCTGTGTCCCGGCTCCAACAGCCCCCAGCTCTGTAACTGAAGGAAAACAACTTCAACTCTCTGAATGTCAGCTTCCCACCTGTGATATTTGGACAAGAATCTTTATTTTAGACTCATATAAACTAAATAAGATAAAGAATACATGAAGAGTCTGGCATGTAGCTCATGCTCGGCTAATGCTAGTTCCTCACGTGAGTTCCCTGTAAGGCAACACCCCCCCAGACAAAGCACATCATTCCATCAGCTGCTTCTGATTTTTTCTGGTACCCCTCTCCCTCACCAAGAAAGGAGATAACTAAATATTTCTGGGTAGGAGGCAGGAAATAACTAGGTAGGCCCCAGCTGCCTTCGCATATTACTTTAAATTTTTATGAAATGAGGAAATTCTCTCTCTCACCTCCAAGTTCCTGGGCTTGATGAATCCAGCCCCGGAGGAAAACATTCGCTGCTACTCTCTGGTGGGTGTGTGGGTGGAAAAAGCAGATATTCCCTGGTCCCACCACCCCCAGGCCCACCGAAGCAAAAGATGAGTCCTTTGTCTTCACTGATGCCAGGCAGGGAGGTGGGCATATCTTGAATTATCCTACAGTAGAGCTCACACCGAAATGCACTTCTAGGCTTTAGGAATATCCAGGATATTAAAAGCCAAATGTACAGAGGAATTCTATCAGGAAATGGGCAGACGCCATCCCCATTTCAAGGGAAAGGACATGGACATGCGTATAAAGACTTGGAGAGTCCCCAGACGTCAGAGGCACCAGCAGCCTCCTCTGACTGGCCCTGCGACCATTCCTCAGGCCAAATGTCTTGACAATGTGCATCAGAAAGCCTGAATCTGCCCGGGCACAGTGGCTTACCCCCTGTAATCCCAGCACTGTGGGAGGCTGAGGTGGGAGGCTCTTGAGCCTAGGAGTTCGAGACCAGCCTGGGCAACACAGCCAGACACTGTCTCTATTGAAAGTTAAAAAAAAAAAAAAGAAAAAAGAAAAAAGAAAAAAAAACCCTGAATCTGCCCATGTAGATGTGGCTTCCACGATCAGACAAACAGCCCTTTATAAAAACTTGTAAGAAACAGTTCCTTGTGGGGGTGGTGGAGTGGGTAGGAGGGTTCCAGGGCATGGGGGCAGCAGGCGAATAGAGGCACCCATCGTCTCCCACTGAGAGGATGCCCAGGCACCCACATGCCTGCCCTCTATGCCTAGAACCCACCCCCTCACCCGGACTGGCCAGTCAGAGTGGTCGCGCTCCCACAGACTCCTCAGGCCTGGTGGTATATAGTGTCTAAGGGTGGTAGGGTGGGGATTGGGCAGAGGGAGGAGAAGGAGCCTCATCACTTGTTGGTGCTTCAAGAGCATGAGGCTCCCACACATAAATAGCCCAGAGTCACCCAAACCTGGCTCTGGAGCCAGACTGGTTTCAGATCCCAGCTCTGCCACAGGCTGTGTGACCTCAAGCAAGTCACTTAACCTCTCTGAGCCTTAGCTTCCTCTTCAGAAAAATAGGGACAATAAAACTACCTGCCGTGTTGTCAACATGGATTAAATAATAATGAATGTGCCTGAGGTATTGTTTGAGATCATCTGGAATCTATTATTACGGTAACGCTTCTGATCAAGGGGAAGGGGTTGGGCTGCCCCTCTACTTCCTCCCCCAGTGCCCACAGTTGCTACCCTCCAGGGGCTTCTTCCCCTTTCGTGGCTGCCCTGTCTTCAGTGTCCATTTTACCTCAATGTCACCTGCATCTTGGGTCATCAATTGGCCTCAATTCACCTGCAGAAAGCCCATGAAATGTCCCAGCATAAGCCTCCTGGCTGCAGGAAAGGTTCAGCTCTCTGTGCAGATACCAAGATGGGCTTGTATGAGAAGTGACAGTGAACACCAGAAAGGACCTGGGTAGTCAGGGAAGAAGAGGCCCCATACCAGGAGTCAGGGCCCGTGGGCGCCAGCCCCAAGTCTGAGCCACTTCTCCGCTCTGGGTCCAGCTCTTCTTTGAATAAAACAAGAAGGTTGGACCAAAGCTGTAGATTTCAAATTGTGCTACTTGGTGACACCTCCATACCCACGGGCCCAGGAGGGCAAGGCTGAGATGGCACAACTCTCTCTCTGGTCTGTTTGATATGGTATTGGGGCCCCATGGGTGTTCTCACTTGAGACAAAATCAGCTCCTGCAAAACCACCACTCCACCAACTGCCCTGGACATCTGCCTAGACCCTGGGCCAAGTCAGGAGGAGGTGGTCAGTTCAGTTGCTGAATGAATTATGGGAAGAGCGGGCCACTGATATGGGAAGAGCAAGTCCTGATGGAAGTGCATGGAGAAAGGAAAAAGAAGAAAACCCGGTAAGCAAGAAAGAGGGTGTCTAGAAAAGAAAAGGGATTGAAGTGGAGGGGGCTTCCAGGGTCCCCATGCACCAGCGCCCACACCAACCTCACGAGGGGCTGGCCAACCTGTACGCCAAAAGGGGCTGCTCTCTCTCTCCCAGCAGCTCCACCATCTTCTGCCCTGAATGTCTGATGGCCCCGCAGGAAGGACGGTGCTTCCCAGATCTGGAGCAGTGGAGGCCGAGCCGGTAATGAGACCCCCTGGGTCCCCTCCTGCAGTAGCCATGCTGCATCTGGCAACCAGCTGGGCCCTCCCTCCCTGCTGCCACCCCCTCCATCCACGCCATGCTTGTTTGTTTCAACTGAAGCTCACAGTGTAAGAGCCACAGATCTCACTGACGGCTAATGGCCAGGGCTGGGCTGCCCGGCCAGGTTCCCATGGCGGGCTGGTCAGACCGCCATCCCACCTGTGCCCACACCAGTCCCTCCACCTACTGCCTCCTCCACTTAGCATTTTTTTCTGGGCAGAAGAACCTTCTAGAGAGGTCTCAATGCTCAATAATGACAGGCACTGGCACCTGCCACTTCTAGCATCTGAGAGATAGGTAGGTCCATTTAACAGATGAGGAAAATAAGGTCCAGAGAACAACTTGTCCAGGTCCACACAGCTACTTGGGTAGAAGCAGCACTTGAACCCCGGTCTTCTGATTCCAAAGCGAGCACCCTTGCCAACAATAACAACCACTGCATATCAGCCATACTCATGTCAGTCTTTCTGACATTCATTTACATATTTACATCACAAGGTGAAAAAGAAACTAGTCAAAAGTAATAGGCAAGAAAACTTGAGACACTGATTCTCACAGTGTCACATGGAAGGAGAGAAGGGGCCTTCCATTTGTCACCACTTTCAGAGTGGGCCTTTACATCCTCAGTATTCAAATGTAGAAACTGAGGCCCAAGGAGGTTAAAGAACCGAAGTCGCCCCATGTTTCATGCAGCAAGACCATCACAGGCCAGAAAGTAAGCCATTTCCACTCCCCAAACCGCCCCCCAAGCTGGGCAGAGCGCTCACTGTGCACCTTCTGTGCTCTCTGCAGACAGCAGAGTGCTGGATGCTGAGGCTCCTGTCTCAGGGGAGCTGATGGTGTGAAGGAAGGGGTTAGAATAATGTCGCTTCCTGCAAGAAGCTTCCTACAAGAGTCCCCTGGCTCCCTGGCCTGGGGCCAGGACTTGGTCACACCCTTTCCTCGCACCCTGTCCCTTTTCTTCACACCACAAATCACAGCCTGTCATTCTACATAGGGGGGGTTAACCAGGTGAAGCTTCTGTCCCTTTTCTAGAGTGTGCAGAGACCCAGTCTCTGCCCAGCACAGAGCCTGGCACAAGGAGACACCCATAAACAGCTGAATGAATGAATGCATGAAGGAACAAATGTTGAAGCAGGCAGTGAAGTGGGAGGGCAGAGAATAGAGAGAGGGGTACAAACGCAGCCGCCCAGGGAGAGCGTAGAAGAGAAAGGTTGCATTTATCTGTGGGCGGGGAAGACAAGCCATGGCGGGTATCCACAGCAGAGCTCACCCCCGAGACCAGCCCAGGGCCTCGCGGCTGCTCTTCTCTTAAACAGGCAGTGGAAGACAGGGGAGCGGGCTCCATTTCCACCGTGCTCCCAGCCTGCTGGAGACCTTGCTTGGGGGCCTTTGCTCCTCTGGGCCTCAGTTGCTTCTGCTGTAAACAGAGGATGGAGTTGTCTTTGTCAACCTTTGAAAACACTTCTATTTCTGAAACCTCACAGCTGGGCCCAGCCTGCAGCTCTCAGGGTTTCTTCCCTCAGCACCAAAAGCCCATCCCCTAAAGCCTTGAACCCCAGCAGGGAACACTGCCTCCAAGACAGCTGGGATAGGGGCTGACCCTGAAGTGGCCACGTGGTTCCCAAAACTTGTAAGAGTTCCCCTAAATTCCCCTGGGTCTACTTATGGCCCCAGGCCAGCTGTGCCTTACTCACAGCCACAAGGCCTGGCTCTGCTGAATCTCAGCTCTGTGGTCTTGGGCAAGTCACCATGAGCCTCAGTGTTCCCATCTGTGAGACAGGAGAGGAGCCTTATGCCAGCAACACCCCTCCCCAAAGTGACTGTGAGCTCCAGGTGGAATCAGTGAAGCTCTGCATGTAGAGGGAGGACATCAGGACCAGGGAGGAATGTGTCTTTGAGGTGGCCTCCCCTCTCCACCCCGTCTTGTTCCCATGAATGACACGCTGTGTCCTGGGGCCTTTCTTCTTTGTAATCCCAGTGTCACTGAGGGCAGCTGAAGTGCTGCTTCTTCCCAGAGCTGTGTCAATGTGGGGGTGGGGGAATCTCCTGAAAGCCAGATCAGCACCCTCTAACCTCAAGGTTCCTGGCAGTCATCAAGGGAGCGCCTGGGGACAGGAAGCACTGAGCTTCCTCCACCAGCTGCACACTCGGCCAGCTCCTGAGAGGCTCTGGGCTCAACAGAGCCCAACGTCCGGTGTGACCTGCAGAAGCTCCTCCCCCGATGCCAGCACCTGAACCTCGGGGTACTGCCTGGTGACGAGTGGCGGAGCTAAGATGCCAGCTCCAGAATGTTCCTCAGGGAACCTCTCACTGCACAGACAAGGGGGCATGAGCTACCCAGCGCCCCCCGGCGAGGCAGTCCCAGGCCCCGACATTTCAGCTGCATGTGGTGCCCCACAGGTGCCCATGAGGAGGAGCTGAGACTGCAGAGGGGAGCGGCCCGCTGGGTCCATCTGCCCACCTGCGGCACGGGGGCGTCTGACGGGCACCCCCACGGCACCCCAACACGGGGGCTTAGGGACTCCCACATCTCCATTATGAGGGCTCAGATTTGTGGGCCAAATTCAAGCCTGAAGCTTCTCTGTTATTTGGCTGCAAAAGAATTCCTGGTGGGAGTGAACACCACCCACCCCTAACAAGGTGTCAGCCCTTTACCTTCTAGCTCCTGCTGCTCCCAAACCCCAGAAAAACCCACTCTGATTTGGCCTTGAAAACCAGAACAGTGACCCTTGCTGGCAGCCAAATGTTTGCACCACAGGCTCTGACATCCAGGCGTCTTAGGGTTGTCTTAGACATCCAGACAGCAAGACAGGCAGTGGGCAGCAGACCAGAGGTGATTGAATGGCCAACTACACCCCATGTGAGAGCAAAGTCCATGAGGGATACCCCTCTCCCCAATTCTTCTGGGGCCTTCCCTCCCCATAACACTTCCATCTGCCCAGACAAGGGCTTCTGGTGCCAGGGGCAGCTCCCTTCTTATCCTTTATACTTGGCTGTTTGTGCAGACCACACAAAGATGAGTCATGCTGAAAGGCAGAACCTGCCCAGGGCTCCGTGAGTAATTTAGGCACTCACTCTACTTCTATTAAATCCCCTTCCCTTGAGGATATTAATGGGAAAGAAATCTGACTAAAGTAATTCACACTCAGGTGTAGCTGACTAATAGCACTATGCGGGTGGGGAGAGGTGGGGAGGATTACCTTTTAGGTGTCTTGCTAACCCCAGATAGAGGAAGAAATCTCAGGCAGTTGACCAACCCATGATATCAGCCCTGAAGGCAGCTTAAGAGAAAAGGCAGGGGGTTGCATTAGTTCCCCAACATCTCTGCCGGGAAAGGACCTCAAGATCCATTATGCATTTGTGAGGTTAATCACAGCATCATAGCTGCTCAGAGTCAGAAAGACCTCACAGGCCAGGCAGACCCCTGGGGTATGCAAATGTGTGCAAACTAACATCCAGATTGGCATTCATTATTCTGTGGTCACCAGCTGAGGGACTTCTGTGTGGAGCACAGCTACGCTGCTGGCAGGAGCCCTGATGTGGAGCAACAATATCCTACTGGAAATGCCCAGGGTGGCCTTGGAGAAACTCCAGAGGGGCACAGGGATTGGCCTGCTGGACCCAGCTCTGGAGGACCAGCCAGAGATGCACACACACTCACTCAAGATGAAGTGCAAGCCTGTGTGTTTTAGTAAAAGGCAAATCTGAAACCGCCTTTGCAAAAATCATAACTAAGGAAATTATGACAGTGAGAGAAACCTGACAGGGCTGACTCCATCTTGTCTCAAGCCTCACAAGTTGGCTCTCTTTGCTCATTCTTGGGCTTGGGCCAAGCTAACTCTGGGAGACATTTATAGTTTAAATAACAGCTCTTCCCAAAAGCTAACGTGTTCTTGTAAAACAAATAAAAGGCCACCAAGTTAGGATAAGAGGGGCTTGAATTCTAATTATTATCAGCTATTGTTCTGGAGGTCATAAGATTTACAACTTCTCCAATTACTCTTGAAGATAACATCACTGTTGTAGAACCTAACATTGGCCTTTTGAGATAACTTTTCAGTTTTTTGCATGTCTGGCAACCTGATGGCCCCAGCTGGACCTGCCAACCACTTCTGTGGCCCCCACCCAGGAACCGCCTCAGCATAAGAGGACAGCTTTGACTCCTTATGATTTCATCCCCAAGCCAACCAATCAGCACTCCTGACTCACTGTCCTCCTACCCACTAAATTATTCTTAAAAACACCGATCCCTGAATTCTCAGGGAGACTGATTTAAGTAATAATAAAACTCCAGTCTCCCGTACAGCCGGCTCTACATGAATTGAACTCTTTCTCTATTGCAACTCCCCTATCTTGATAAATTGGCTCTGTCTAGACAGCAGGCAAGATGAACCTGATGGGCAGTTACAAATCATGCAAAGATGATATGAAGCAAATTACAGGGGAATGACCACAAAACAATCACCATCTCTCCCTGCCTGGTAAGGGTCCTACAACCCTGACAGAGGCGGTATAGAGCGGCAAATCAGGGGGAAGGGATAGCCTCTCACCACACCCAAATGTCCTCCAGCACCATCCTCCTTGGTCTGTTGCCCAGCAGTGCTCTGGGCCAGATACCTGTGCTCGGCACTGAGGGGCACCCAGTGTGACTCAAGCAGAGTCTCTCCCCCAGAAGGGGTTACTGGAGCCACATGTCCAACCACCAGGTCAGGTGAGAACTGAAGCTCAGAACCTCCATGCCAGGATGGGTCTCCATCTGTCCATTATCCACTACTGTTGTGTAGACTGTGCAAAGATGAGTATCAGGCTGGGCGCCGTAGCTCATGCCTGCAATCCCAACACTTTGGGAGGCCAAGGTGGGTGAATCACTTGAGCCCAGGAGTTCAAGACCAGCCTGGGCAACAAGGAGAAACCCCACCTCTACAAAAAATACAGGCACACACAAAAAATTAGCAGGGTGTGGTGGCACGCACCTGTAGTCCCAGCAACTCAGGAGGCTGAGGTGGGAGGGTCTACTGAGCCTAGGAGGTTGAGGTTGCAGTGAGCTGTGATTGTGCCACTGCACTCCAGCCTAGGTGTCAAGATGAGACCCTGTCTCAAAAAAAAAAAAAAAAAAAAAAAGAAGAAAAGAAAAGAAAAGGAAAAGATGAGTAACAGCTCTCCAAGGCAGGGCTCACCCAGGGCCTCACAGATAACCACTCATGTTGAACAAACCTTGCCTCACCAGGCTCTTAAAAGTGAATTTCAACAGAGGGACAAGTGAATGGAATGAATAAATAAATATTTACCATGTAGTATGAGTCAGGCACAGCAAATAGGGTGTCTTGTTTACTCACAGTGGCCTTAGGAGGAAGGTATTAGCATCTCCAATGGACTATTGAGGAACTAAGACTCAAAAAGATTAAGTGCCTCACCACGTCACACAGCTAGAAATTGATATGACCTCCACATTCATGGAGAAGTGAGGGGAAGTGGAGGGAGCTAAGGTTAATGTGGGTGATGTCAGAGGTACTGGTGACTTGCAACTGCCCTCCCCCTCATCTGGCCCCTCCCACTTCCAGCATGCACTCTCTCACCCACCTCATGCCCCAGCACTCACACACAATTCATGCTGTAGAGCACAGTTGGGCAAGGCAAGTGGCAGCTTTGAGCTCCCTCTGGAAGGGGCAGGGGAGGGGGAAATCATGCCCTTAGAGGCCCCTCCCCAACCCCTCCCTCCCCACCCCCAATCTGCTGCAGCATCTGCCTCCCCAGTGTCAGCATCAAAGATTCATCAAAGCTGAAGCCCAGCAAAGTGTGTGCTTCACATCTCTAAATGTGCTTCTTCCCAATGAAAAATTCAGTGGAAAATGCAGGGAGTTAAAGAGGGGAGAAAAAAACAGATTTGAGAAGGAAACAGGGAAGGAAGAAGAGAAAAGAGAGCTGCCTCTGCACTGTGGTTCCACTGAATCCACCCACACTTACTGAGCATCTGCCTTATTTAGGGCACTGTACCAGGCACAGAGGTGCGACCGCCAAATACAGCCTCATAGGCTGCGCACTGCACAACTTTGGGGGAACCATTCCCAGAGATGCATTCTGGCTCCTGTCCAAATGGCGTGGGAGTCAGGAGGCCTGGGTGTCTGAGTCTGCTCCGCCACTCATTAGTCATCTAACATTCTTGAGTCTCAGATTTCTCACATCCAAGCCAGAGGTTCCAATACCCACCCCTCTCTTCTTCCAGTGCCCTGAGGAACATGTGCACAGGTTGTAAACTGTTGTGATAAAAAGAAAGTAGATAACTCATCCTACAGAGAAGCCCAAACAATGGGTTCAGGAAAAGAAGAGGAAGGGACCATTTCCAGTGGGGACAGTAGAGGGGGCTGCTTCCTGGAAGAGATCTTTGATCCCAGTTGTAAAGGATAAGGAGGAGTTCAGCAGACAAGCCACTGTGACAAATGAGCAGCTACTGCAGGTCCAGGCAGAGTGACAATGTGGGCAAACACCCAGATAGAGGAATGAACAACTTGGGCAGTGAAAGGGACTGTCTGGTTTGGCCCAGGAGGAGCTGGTGTAGGAAGTCCAACAGAAGGATGGACTTAGCTGATAATAAGATGAAAAAAGATTTTATCACTACAAGGAAGGCCTTGAGTGGCCTGCAGGTGTGGCAAGGAATCAGGAGATTGCTCGCCTCCACCTCTCATTGGTTTTGTCACTTTAGATGAGTCACAGCTTCCCTCAAACCTCAGTTTCCTCATCCATAAAATGAGGACATCAGACCAAGTGATCTGCAAGTTCCTCTTTTGGCTCATTTGGTCTGTACTTCTAGTTCTAAGAAGTTGTTCCGTTGGCCATGGGGGTATCCCAAGAAGCTCAGGTTGACAAGACTTACCCAGGGCTTCCTCATAGGGCACCCCCAACCCTACATCCTCATTTCAAATCAGTCTCTTGTTGCTGTGCTTTGGACAGAGGATCCTCCAAGTACATGTGAGTGAGCCTTCCTGGACGTGAGGCTTTACCTTCCTCTACAGTGGAGACTCAGCACAGCTCCCACCCCACCCGGCAGACAAGCCAGGAGCACCCACACCTAGAGCAGCCCTGAGTAAGCAAGCAGCACTCACAGCGCTGGTGTCACTAGCTTAGGCCCAGGAACGTCCAGGGTGAGCAGTTGTACCCCACAGGCTGCACACTATGCCCTGCACACCAGCATCCCCAGCCAGGTGTGACCTGAAGATAAGTCTCCACATCCTAGCCAGTCACATGCCTCTCAGACAGAACCAGAGTGACACTGTGAAATAACAGGTCCCTGAGCAACCTACACATGGGCAGGGCTGGGGAGCTTCCAGCTTCTGTGACTAAACCTTCCCTCTCCTCCCCTGTGGGAAGTGTGGTGCCTCCCCAGCCCAGCTCTGGGAGCAGCACAGAGGAGCGGTCTCTGGCTTGGGCCTTGGGGTTAGTTGTGTGAGCTGAGAGTCTCAACTCCACTCCTTGCTAGCTAGATAATCTTGACCTTGAACAAGTTCCTTATCCCTCCTAAGCCTCAGTTTGCTCTTACCTGTAAAATAGGAATAATAACATCCCTCTTGTAGGGTTAATGTGAAGATACAATGTGATCCTGCTTTTAAGGCACCCTACCCAGTGTCCTGCTCAGTGACCTGCTCATAATGAGAGTCCAAAAGATGGTAGAATTTGCTGGTAGAAAAAAATCAAGGAGGACCCTTCCTTAACTCGTTCTATGAAGCTGGCACCATCCTGATACCAAAATCTGGCAACGGCACAGTAAAAAAAGAAAACTATAGGCCAATATCCTTGAAGAACATAGATGCAAAAATCTTCAACAAAATACTAGCAAACCAAATCCAACAGCACACAAAAAAGTCAATTCACCACCATCAAGTAGACTTTATTCCTGGAATGCAAGGTTGGTTTAACATACACAAGTCAATAAATGTTATTCGCCCCTCATAAACAAACTTAAAAGCAAAAATCATATGATCATGTCAATAGATGCAGAAAAAGCTTTCAATAAAATCCAACATCTCTTTATGATTAAAAAAAAACCCTCAACAAACTAGGCATCAAAAGAACATACTTCAGAAGACTAAGAACCATCTACAACAAACCCACAGCCAATATCAAACAGAATGGGCAAAAGCTGGAAGCATTCCCCTTAAGAACAGGAATAAGACAAGGATGCCCACTCCCACCACTCCTATTCAACATAGTACTGGAAGTCCTAGCCAGAGCAATTAGGCAAGACAAAGAAACAAAAAGCTTCCAAGTAGGAAAAGAAATCAAATTATCTCTCTTCACTGACAATATGATTCTATACCTAGAAAGCCCTAAAGACTCTGCCAAAAGGCTCCTAGAACTGATAAACAACTTCAGTAAAGTTTCAGGATACAAAGTTAATATACAAAAACCAGCAGCATTTTTATAAACCAATAATATTCAAGCTGAGAGCCACATCAAGAACTCAATCCCATTTACAATAGCCACTCAAAAAAAAAAAATACCTAGGAATACATCCAACCAAGGAAGTGAAAGATCTCTAAACAGAACACTACAAAACACTACTGAAATACTGAAAGAAATCATAGGTAACACAAACAAATGGAAAAATGTTCCATGTTTGTGGACTGGAAGAATCAATACTGTTATAATGGTCATACTGCCCAAAGCAATCTACAGATTTAATGCTATTCCTATCAAACTACCAACATCATTTTTCACAGAATTAGAAAAAAATTCATATGGAACACTTACAACCATTTGATCTTTGACAAAGTCAACAAAAATAAGCAATAGGAAAAGAAATCCCTATTCAATAAATATTTGATGCTGGGATAACTGACCAGCTATATGCAGAAGAATTAAACTGGACCCCTACATTTCACCATATACAAAACTTAACTCAAGATGGATTAAAGACTTAAATGTAAGACCTAAAACTATAAAAATCCTAGAAGAAAACCTGGGAAATACCATTCTGGACATCAGCCTTGTCAAAGAATTTATGACTAAGTCCTCAAAAGCAATTACAACAAAAACAAAAATTGACAAATGGGACATAATTAAGGAACTTCTGCACAGCAAAAGAAACTATCAACAGGGTAAACAGACAACCTACAGAATGGGAGAAAATATTCACAAACTATGCATCCAACAAAGGTTTAATATCCAGAATCTATAAGAAACTTAAACAATTAAACAAGCAAAAAAACAAATAACCTCATTAAAAAGTGGTCAAAGGACATAAACAGACACTTCTCAAAAGAAGACACACAAGTGTCTGACAAACGTATGAAAAAAATGTTCAATATCACTAATCATCCAAGAAATGCAAATCAAAACCACAATGAGACACCATCTCACACCAGTCAGAATGGCTATTATTTAAAAGTCAAAAAATAACAGATGCTGGCAAAGCTGTGGAGAGAAAGGAACACTTATACACTGTTGGTGGGAATGTAAATTAGTTCAGCCACTGTGAAAAGGCAGTTTGGAGATTTCTCAAAGAACTGAAAATAGAACTATTATTCAACCCAGCAAGCTCATTAGTGGGTATATACCCAAAGGAATATAAATTGTTCTGCCAAAAAGACACATGTAGTCGTGTATTCCTCACAGCACTGTTCACAATAGCAAAGATATTAAATCAACCCAGGTGCCCATCAGCAGTGGATTGGATAAAGAAAATGTGGTACATATACACCATGGAATACTATGCAGCCATAAAAAAGAATGAAATCATGTCCTTTGCAGCAACATGGATGCAGCCAAAGGCCATCATCTTAAGCAAATTAATGCAGAAATAGAAAACCAAATACTGCATGTTCTCACTTGTAAGTGAGAGCTAAACATGGACACATAAACACATGTCCATAAACACATGGACATAAAGATGAGAACAGACACTGGGGACCACCAGAGTGGGGAGAGAGGGAGAGGGGCAGGGGCTGAAAAACTACCTATTGGATACCATGCTTATTACCTGGGTGACAGGGTCATTCATATCCCAAACCTTGGCAACATGCAATATACTCGGGTAAGAAATCTGCACATGTAACCCCTGAATTCAAAATAATAGCTGAAATTTTAAAAAAGAATTTGCTGGTGGGGCACCCTTCGGAGTTGGCAGCAAACCAGGCGGTCGTCCCAGGTGAATCCTTGAAGGTAGGGCTGGCCCTACCCAAAATTATGTACTCCATGCTTGGCTCTACAGCACCCTCTTCCTGCCAAGTCAGGCCACTACCACTGTCAGTGCAGCCCAGAGACTTGAGCACCCCACAGTGGCCGCACCTCTGCTCTGCTGGCCCCAAGTAAATGGCACACACAGCATAGTGGCTCCAACACTGAAGATTTTTCCTGGACACAGCAGCCCGTGGCCCTTTGTTGAGCCACACAAAGACAAAGCAGCTCAATTGCGATACCTAGCAGGCTAATGTAAGCTTGTACTCCCCCAAATTAAAAGGGATCAGTGGCATATATTAGTTATGCTAGAAAAAGAAACAAGATAACATTTTTTTTTTTAACAGAAAAGCAAAAATGACAGAGGTGCAGAGTGGGGAGAGGTGGGGCGAAGAATGAGGGGAAAAAAATCAATTTTCCACAAACTACATTCCAGGGCACAAAGTGGAGAATGGGAAAATTAGTTTCCAGAACGACTCCTGTCTACTTTGTCCAAAAAATAAGGTTGACCTAGGAAAGTCTAGTTGGGGCAGAGAAGTGCAAACCGCGGTGGGATAGCAGCCTGGCCGGGTCCTGTGCGAGCAAGGGGGCACACACTTCACCCAGCCCTACGCTCTAAGGGATCCTCACTACCCAGCCCCTGCTCAGGAACCTTGACTGCCTTTGTCATTGGCTGCAATCGGCACAGGGCCCTCTGTCTAGCAATGACAGAAAGTGCCTTTAAATGCAGAGTTTTAGAGTGCCCCCCAAATGATCAAGTACAAAGGGCTGAGCACTGCCTGTGAAATGAGAACTGACAGATACATTCTCTACCCTAAGTGCTCATACAAGTAACCCAAATGCCTTCAGCCCTCTGGATTTCAAGGGTCACCTTTCCTCTAATAACCCAATCACTGCCATCCAAGCAGCCATCTCATATGGCAGCAGGGAGGCCAGTGTTCCCTGGGATTTCTGGGCCTCCTCATGGGCTCCGAACATGTTCAATAGGATCAACAGGACACTGATTTTTCCTTATTACCTCCACCCCCAGCTATTTGGTCCCAGGCTGCACCTGCACTGCATGGGGGTCACCTCCTGCCATCTCATAATTTGATTCTCCAGGCCACCGCATGCACCACTCCCTGACTGTTTCATCTCAGTCCTGGATGCGAGCCAGTGTCTCCACCCTCAAACTCAGCTAAGACCAAACCAGTATGTTAACACAATTTTACTGAAGGTTTAGGCATGATTTATGTACAACATGGAGGTTAATTTACAACTGCTGCTAGAAGTTACTAGTCTTAGAGCTCATCATCGAAAAACCTGACCTCAGAATGTTTGCCCAGCTCCCAGCAGGCTCCATATGGAGGGGAGCAGCTCTGTCTCCAGGAGCCACCACACCCCACCGTCCATTCTTTTGGCCCCAGAGGGAGAAGAAAAGCCTCCCCTCCCCAGGCAAGACCTGCCTCCTTCCATGCCCCAGGACATCCCTTTCCTTCAGGAGAAATTGTAGGCCTCCACAAGGTGTGGTCTGACCACCTGGACCCAGTCCCAACGATCAAAATGACTCCTGGTTTTAGGGGTCACCCTATTGAATAAGGGAAGTACAAGGGCCGCCCAAGCCCAGTCCCGTGCACAGTCATCTGAGAGGAAGAGAGAATGCAGCTCGCTCACCTCTTTTGGCCTAGTTCAGTCTTGGCTTCAGATCTCCCCAGAGAAAATTCAAGAAACGAGGATGAAAACAGCCTAGCGGACAAACAGTAATTTTCCAACATGAACTATTGTGAATCTAGATGTTGGAGGTAAGCAGGACTCTGATGCCACAAGATCAGGCTCTGCTAACACACTAGGTACATTCTAAACAGACACTGAACACCACAGGCTGCAGCCTCTGCTTCCAGGGCGCTTCACTGACGTTTCAGAGATTCCTCAAGAAAAATGGGCAGGTATCTACTGCCTCGACTTAAAGACCTCACCAAGTGGGACTGCCAAAATGATGAATTCCAATCTGCATCCTAGATTGCTGCAAATGTTTGCAGGTCCCCAGGGCAGTTTTCCAGCTCCAACTTGATTTTATAATCCAGTGTCTTATCAGATACTCCACATTAAATACATGGAAAATTGAGAACCCCTTTGTCAAATGTATCCAGGGGAAGAACAGCTGCAGTCCACACTCTTATTCTTCATCTGTCTCCTTTTCATCCAGGATCTGCCTCTGGATCCCATTCTGTCTATCCATCTAGCTTCCTTCTCTTTATCTATGTATCTACCTGTCATCTATATCTACCTATTATCTCTATGTATATCTGTCTACCTATCATCTATATCTACCTATCTATCATCTATATCTGATATGGTTTGGCTATGTCCCCACCCAAATCCCATCTTGAACTGTAGCTTCCATAATTCCGACGTGGTGTGGGAGGGACCCAGTGGGAGATAATTGAATCATGGGGGTGGTTTCTTGTGGTAGTGAATAAGTCTCACAAGATCTGATGATTTTATAAGGGAGTTCTCCTTTCGCTTGATTCTCATTCTGTCTCGCCTGCTGCCGTGTAAGATGTGCCTTTTGCCTTCCACCATGATTGTGAGGCCTCCCCAGCCACATGGAACTGTGAGCCCATTAAGCCTCTTTTTCTTTATAAATTACCCAGTCTCCGGTATGTCTTTATCAGCAGTGTGAAAACAGACTAGTACACTATTTATATATAATCCCATGCTAATCTTTGCTGAAATGGTCACCTTTCTGCATCAAAGCATTCTCAGGCTCTGTCTGTGACTGCTCACAGGTTGGACTTTAAATTCCTAGTCTCACCCATTGGATTCTACATCATTGTCCAGCTCTGTTCCTAGCACTTCCAAAGACTCAGTCAACACCAAGAATTAAGATAGCTTGTTTCCCTTCTAAGTGTGCCTCCTGCAAAATGCCTGCTGCTTCTTCATTTATGTCATCTTATTAAATTTATAAGTTTTCATTTCTAAAAATTTGAAAAATGCAGAAAAAATACTGCCTTGAAAAATATCTAGTTTGTTTAACAGCAATACAAAAATTTTTTAAAAAGGAAAGAATCCTATTCCCAAGACCCAGAATTAAACACTGTTAACTCCTTGGTATAGTTGTTTTCAGGGTTTTCAACTTTAAAACAAACAAACGGAAAAAAAAACTCACTGTATAAGTATCATTTTTAAAAAATAAGTTCATTATAAAGAACTTAAACAGGCTGGGCATGGTGACTCACACCTATAATCCCAGCACTTTGGGAGGCCAAAGCGGGTGGATCACTTGAGCCCAGGAGTTCAAGACCAGCTTGGGCAACATGGCAAAACACCATCTCTACAAAAAAAAAAAAAAAATATATATATATATATATACACACACACACACACACACACACACACACACACACACACAAATTAGCTGGGCATGGTGGTGCATGCCTGTAGTCTCAGCTACTCAGGAGGCTGAGGTGGGAGGATCGCTTAAGCCTGAGAGGTGGAGGTTGCAGTGAGCTGAGATCATGCCACTGCACTCCAGCCTAGGTGACAAAGTGAGACTCTGTCTCCAAAAATAAATAAATATAAATAAATAAAGAGGGTTCTCCACCCAGTTTTGACCAATTGTTGCCTCATGAGAAGGATGCAGGACCAATGTTCCTAATTCTTTCAATTTTCAAGAGAAGCCAGAAATACGGATTTTACATGGAATTTTCAAAAGTGGGCAATGAATTCAACAATTTTAAAATGTGCTGACCCCTCCAAAAAATGTGGGACTCATCCAATCCCCAGTCACATATTTGCAAGTCAGTAGTAAACGCTCAGTAAAGCAATGTGCTGATGCTGGTCATGCAGTTTGCACATTTGTTGAGGCTTTGGTGAGCCTCACCTGGAAAATAATATGCTGTGTCCTTTAACAGCTGCCCTCTGTTCGAGTGAAACAGCTTGAATTTCCACACTGGATAAACTCCATGCAGTTCTCTTGGTTCTGACTCTGTTTACCCCTGGCCCCTCACAGTCTTCTCCAAGGCCGGACTGTCTTGGCCACCCTCAGAGCACCTAGAGTGAGCTCAGGCTGGAAGTGGCAGCAGGAGGACAAGGGAAGCCACCAAAGGCCAAGAGCTGCAGAGGCTCCATTGCCAGCAGGTGGCCTGCACCAAGGGATCTATGGAATGCTCGGAGGACTCCCTGCTCTATCTAGTCTTCTCTCGGGCAGCAACTTCTCCACCCATATGTTGAAAAAGAGGAGATGCCATACACAACTGAAGCAGCAAAATCACTGAGTCTGTGTGACTTGGAGCAATAAGGCCAAGTCCCTAGCCATATCTGTGAAAAACATACCGAATTCCAACTGTCCTGTGGTGTGTACCTGTGCACACACCCATACTCACAAAGACGCACTCGGGGACAGTCATGCGTGCACACACACACACCCACAAATGCATAAGCACAGGAGCACACCCAGATTCCCACCCAGACGCTTCCACCTGTGCCCGCTCCTGCCACCCCACCCTGCATGCCCACAGGCACATAGCATGCACTTGCCTGTGTACACACGCGCCAGAGAGGAGAGGCTTCCTGGAAAGTCTGGTCTGCAGCACTGCCCTAACTGGGAACCAGCTTTACCAGCAAACCCCCTTCCCCCAGCCCTGCCCAGGGAGTCTGCCCCAGGCAGGGGCGCACATGGTGGAGTTGATGACCTCAGGTTCATAGAGGAGTTTCTCTAGGACGTGACGAAAAGAGGCAGAGAAGAGGAGACAGAAACAGAGCAAGCATGAAAATGAGAATGCGTCCTCCATTCCTGGTTAGGCACCCCCTCCCAAGCCTTTCTCCAACACAGACTTCTCTCCTCCCTCACAGCTTCCCAGGGACTTTTACTCCAGTCTGTCTTTCTCCCCCTACCCCCAGGCCCCCAATTAGCACCTTAAACCAGTCCTTTCTAAGCCTAGTGTCTTTCACTGAATGTGAGTTCCTTACACTAGGCCCCTGCAGTTTGCTCATTCCTGCTAAAAGGTCTGCAAGAGTTGTAATCGGTGCACTTGACTTCCAACCCTCCTGCACCCCTCAAAGTCTCCAGGAAAAAACACCCTACCTGTCCCTCCACTGCTGAGGTTCAAGAGCACTGAGTGAGGGTCAGGGAAGTCACCCAAGGATGATGTGCCCCCAGCCACAAGCATCTTAACAACCACGGGTCTTTATCATTTATTTTTCCTTTTTTTTTTTTAGACAGTCTCGCTCTGTCTCCCAGGCTGGAATGCAGTGGTATGATCTTGGCTCACTGCAACCTCTGTCTCCTAGGTTCAAGCAATTCTCCTACCACAGCCTCCCAAGTAGCTGGGATGACAGGTGCCCACCACCATGTCCAGCTAATTTTTGTAGTTTTTAGTAGAGACAGGGTTTCACCGTGTTGGCCAGGCTGGTCTCAAACTCCTGACCTCAAGTGATCCGTCTGCCTTGGCTTCCCAAAGTGCCAGGATTATAGGTGTGAGCCACCGCGCCTGGCTGAGTCTTTGTCATTTCTCAGGTCAGAATAGGAGCAGACAACTTGTGGACACAAGCGGGAGAGGTCCCCTTGCTAAGAAGGTTTGCCTTTCCTCGCTTGCCAGCCTCTGTTCATGCCTGGACAGACAAGCCAGGCGGGACACAGGGGAGGCTGCCTTCTGCAAATGCGTCTCTGTGCCATCACCTCAGAGCAAACAGGGTTTTTGGGCTCCCCCTGCCTCCTGGGAGATGTTCACCACACCCAAAGGAGCCAACAGAAGCCAGCTGCCAGGCAGGGCCCCAGAGCCCCAAAGCCTTCCCAGTTACTCATGGGCTCCTCCAGACTCCTCTAAACTCTAGGAGTTCCCGACCACGCCCTCTAGCCCTAAGTCACATCAGTCACTTCCATTAGCTGAGCAGTCATTATCTGCTGTGCAGTGAAGTGTTTTGAATCCATTCTCTTTCATCATCTCAACCATCCTGCAAAATAGGCGCTTTCATGCCCATTTTGCTGAATAGAAAACTGAGGTTAAAAGGCTGGCTCTCAGCCAGTCAATGGAACATCTGAGATTCAAACACAGTTAAGCTGCCTCATGGAAGTCTTATCTCTCCAGTGGGGACCCTAAACTCAGTGGAGTCAAGGAGTGGCTTTTCCTTTTGAGTCTGAGCAGTGAATAGCATGCAGTACACTTAAAATTGGCCCTGTGTTCCGAGAAGGGTCACGCTTGTGCGCCCTCTCCGCCCCCTGCCTTTTTCCCCTTAGAATGAGATCTTCCCATGAGGTCCTTCTAGTCTTCATGCACATAGACCCCCAGTGGCCTGAGCTCACAGCTCTGCAGGGCAACCCGCTTTCTGTGGCCTTGGCCAGGACAGATGGGGACTCACTGGGCAGCGGGGTCCTTTTCCATCCACTTTCCATCCAGATCTTGCCTGTGACCTTTAAGCAGTTGCCACCATGGACTCCTAATCACCCCTCCACACCACTAAGCACTGTGCTAGTGCTAGAAGGCTACAAATGACTGGCCCACACAGCACGATTGCAGAGAACACACATACACACACACACACACACACACACACACACACACACAGTGAGAAGTTGCACTCTAGAGGCATCAGTTGGGAATCTGTGCTCAGAGCCATGTGCATGATACAGGGAAAGAGAAACACAGAGGAGGGACGTAAAACTTAGTTCAGGTTGGGGCTAACCAAGGAAGGCTTCAAGGATGAGGTGAGATTAGAATTCAGCATGAGACGTTTTGTCAGTCTTAGATTGAGGCGAAAAGTGAAAGGAGAACCAGGTGGGCCAAGGTGCCGCACTCTCAAGATGCTTAAAGCTGCAGCTTCCAGTTAGAGGAGAGAAAGAGAAGGTGATGCTGGCCAGGGGATGATCAGGCTTGGTCCCGGGGCTGCTCCTTCACTCCTCCACTCCTCTGCATGTCCTGGCTCATTTCATCCCTGCCTGGCACCAGCTACTGAGGGACAGTGTCATGGGCACCAGTGGAGTGACTACCCCTGGACTCCCATTCTCTGGGAACAGCCCTTGATGGATACTGGGCTGGGGCCAAGAATCGTGATGATGCCCTAAGCCCTGCCCTGGGTAAGGATCACACACACACACACACACACCCCAATCTGGGCCACTCAGATTCTCTTCCCTAGTAGATTAAAAAGGAAAACAAGGTTATCAGGTGCTAGCAGGGGCAGAGTGAAGTCTCACCAGCTGGAGGTGGAACACAATCTGCCTTCTGTCTCTATGGATTTGCTCACTCTGGGCATTTCATACAAATGGAGTCACATAACATGGACTTTCATGCCTGGCTTCTTTCACTTAGAATAACGTTTTCGAGGCTTGTTCATGTTACAATGTGCACCAGTACTTCCTTCCTTTTGAAGGCTGAATAATATTCTGCTGCATGAAGATTCCACATGTGTTTATCCATTCATCAGTTGATAGACATTTGGGCTGTTTCCACCTTTTGGCCGCTGGGAATAGTGCTGCTATGCACATCATGCACAGGGTATTTTTGAACACCTGCTTTCAGTTCTTTTGAGTATACACAAGGAGTGGATTCCTGGATCATATGGTAGCTCTATGTTTAACTTAATGAGCAAGCAAAATAGTTTTATATATTTCTTCTCTTGAAAATGTCCACAACATTCCCCCACTATTGTAAGACAGTCTGGCAAAGGACAAAGAAATACGATGTTCAGGAGACAAGAGAGAATCTCCTTAAAAATTTTTGAAAAGCAAACAGTTTCTACTCCTAGGTGAAGGCTTATAATGTATAGATAGAGCACTGAACACTTTATACAACTTGTTTCAAGTGCCCAGAACCTACAGGAGCAGAGTAAACTCTTCCCCAACCACCCATGGGACCTGGGAAGGCCTGAAAGGGTGCTCCGGCCAGGGACACACAGCATCTGCATTAATGTGCCTCCCAGCACTCCAGCAGAGCATGAGGAGAAGGGGATGGTGGGTAATTGCAAATCTGCATTTCAATTCCCAGATACAAATTAAACCCAAAGTTGTCATCAAAGAAAAGATGAAGATGAGGATCAAAATGATTCCACACTCTTGGAAAAGCAGAGATTAAACACAATTTAAAAGAGGTTTTAAAAGGTGTTAATGCAGGCTAATGTAGTTAATGAAGGTTAAAAAAAAAATAAGTGGCTGCTCAATTAGCATTTTCAGCTAAAAGAAGGGGAGCTTTTTGTACCTTTCCTCATATCAAAGCCTGGATTCTTCCTCTTATGAAAAGACAGCCTCGATTATTTTAAAAGGAAGAAGAGATTAAAAATAGATTTGCAATAATTGCTTCATCCATAATAGCAACAATGTATTTCTCTGCTCCCCAAACTCAGCCTCATGGCATATGGTCTTTGAACCAGCCCTGTGGGGGTTGGGGGTGAGCTTTGTAAAACCATTGATTAAGATCAAACTTTCTGCAGACTCCCTTCTTCCCTGGATTTGGTGGAAAGGGATCCTAGATGGACCCAGAAAGTGATGGATTTGCATCTCTTCTCCAGTGTTCACTGTTGTATAGCAATGTACATGCAACGAACAAGAACCAAACAATCGGCCCTCCAGCATCACTGGAGGTCAGGGACTCCACGTGGCACTTTCCAGGAGAAGGTAAGGTTGGGTATGGGTGTGGAGGGTCTCCTGGAAGCTCCTCCCAAGACAAAATAAAGTCTGGGGGAGTAAAATGCAGCAGCATACCACATTTGGTTAGGTTTTTTGTCTGGGGAGGGATGTGGAGGCAAGGTCAGCCAGGAGTAAGTGCTTAGGGATGAAATCAGATGTTGGTAATAAGGGGCAGTGAACCAAGCAGGTGGAACCCCAGGTCGGAGTGGCAGCAGGTGGTAGCGGCTTGTCACATATACACAGTCAAGTCAGGGAGGTAGGTGCCAGGGCAGTGTCCCAGCAGGTAGGGGTACCGGGAGCAGGTAGGACGCTAAGATCCCAGAAGACAGCATAGCGGAGGTGAAACAGCAGGTGTGGGCCCCAGGCAGGATGTGATCCCTGCAGGAGAGGTCTCGGGAGACAGGCGAACCCTGGTCTCAGAGGAGTTCAGGTTCCAGACAGGTTGACAGGACATAAGGGAGTAACACAGTGTCCTGTGTTTCGTCGTCGTGGTCATCATCAACAGATAGCTAATGTTACCTGTTGAACACTTCTTATATGCCAGACAGTATTCCAAGCACTTTACAAATATCCCATTTAATCCTCACAGCAATGTTACAGGGCTGGTACTTTTATCATTCCCATCTTACAGAGGAGAAGCTGGGGCTCAGAGAGGTAGGTAAGCAGCCCTCAGTCTGAGGAGGTGGGGGCATATTTCAGATCACTGCTTTTCATCACTCCCTGTCCCAGGCACAAGGTCAGGGCCGGCCCCCAGTTACCATGGAGGGCTCCTTCAAGACCTCACCCCACCCTACCAGCCACTAGGGTGCCAGACCTGGAGGCTGGAGCCTGGAGGGAGTGAGTGGGGCAAAGCTTCGCTTGCGGAATGGGGGCAGGTTTTAGAGTCATAAGACCATCACCCTCTAAAGGCTCCTTCACTCCCTGAGCTCACAGCTCTTACATACAGGAGCCACCTGTGGGGATCCCAGGAGGGACTGAGGGAGCTGCGGGCAGGGAGAGGATAAGGAGATGCCTGTGATCTTTCAGCAGCATTTGCTGAATATGTGCTTATTGGGCATGTAACTTCAGCTGATTCCATATTCATTCAGTCAAGTCAGTCAGTCAACAAACAGTCATTGAATGCCAATAAAACACAGTTCCTGTCCTCAAAAACTCTCAGAAGAGAGACTGTGAAGCAGACAGGATAACATGTAACACAGTGGGATAAGTGGGATGGTGAAGGAGGACACACAGGCTCTCGTTGAAGTACTGAGAAAGAACACCATACCCAACAGGGGAGGGGCATTCAGGGAAGACTTCCTGAAGGCGGTGACAATGGGGCAATGTTCATGGTAGGACTCACCATGGGGCCCTCAGCACCATGCACAGGCTCCAGATATAAAAAGCTGCTCATGCAATTTCCAGTGCATTAAATATTAGAAGAGCTTCCAGGGCTGGACTATCCACTAGGGTACCAAATAAAGGGAAGTGTACCACCTCCACCATAAAGTACCTTAGGCCTCCTCAGGCATCAGAGACATGGGCATCAATCATGAGCAAACCCTTCTGCCTGAGGCACCTGCCACCACAATTTATTTCACTTGATAAAAATGCCCTGCATCCTGGAGAGGCAGTGGAGAAGCAGGCACACCAGTCCCTGCCCTCATGGGCCTTATCACCCAGGAAGCCTGAGCTACCTCTTATTTAGTGTGTTAGTCCGTTTTCACACTGCTATAGAGATACTACCCAAGACTGAACAATTTATAAAAGAAAAAGGCTTAATTGACTCACGGTTCCATATGGCTGGGGAGGCCTCAGGAGACTTACAATCATGGTGGAAGGTGAAGAGGCAGCAAGTACCTTCTTCACAAGGCAGCAGGAAAGAGAGAGGAAAGCTCAGCGGAAACTGCCGTTTATAAAGCCTCATGAGAACCCACTCACTATCAGGAGAACAGCATGGAGGAGGCCGCCCCCATGATCCAATCACCTCCTACCAGGTCCCTCCCTCGATACATGAGGATTATGGGGATTTCAATTCAAGATGAGATTTGGGTGGAGACACAGCAAAACCATATCACTTAGTGTTTTGGGAGCTCAAGAATTTGGATTAATAATCTTAGATTAAAAAAAGGAAAATTTTCAGAAGTGACCACATGGCTTTTCCCTATTGGTACGAACAGCCAACTTTTGAGAGCCAGTTCAGCTGTTGGGCAAATGGCATTCAGAGGAGCTGATGATTGGATACACTTGGGCAGGGCCCCAGGACTAAACTAGAGCAGCGGTTCTCAAACTGTAATTCTTGGACGAGCAGCAACAGCATCACCTGAGGAGTCCTTTGAAATGCAAATGATCAGACCAGAGCCACCCCAGACCTACTGAATCAGAAACCCGGCAAGTGGGGCAGCGCCTGTGTTTTAACAAGTGCTTCCGTTGATTCTGCTGCACACTCAAGTTTGCGAGGCACTGAACTAACAGGAAAACTGGTCTAGGGCCAGTGTCTGTGCTAAGGTGAGAGTCCAGGAGCTGAGGAGCCATGCAGAAGACCCTATGGGGGCCTCAGCCATCCTCCCCCCTACTCCTGGCCTTCAGGAGTCAAGAATGATGGCGGTCAAGATGAAGATGGAGACGATAAGACGCTGCTGCTAGTAACCATTTATCGAGCTCTCACTGTTGGCTCAGGGTGCATGCACTATCTCACTCATTCCTTACCTATGAGGTTAGTGGTGTTGTTACACTTATTTTGCAGATGAACAAACTGAGACATGAAGAGATTATATTTCTCACCCAAGTTCACACAGCTAGTCAGGTGCAGAACTGGGATTTTTACCCAGTTTTGCTGACCGCCAGAGTCCCCAGTGTCATTGACCACCAAATTATCCAGTTAGGTGTCTGCAAAGGAAAAACCATTGCTTTGTCACACCATCTGCACTTCTGAAGTATCCACAGTGCATAAGGTTCAATGAGCAGGAGCCAGATGGGGGGAAAAAAAACTCTCCACCCAGCCCCCTAGGAATTTACAACATAAATATTGTGTGTCGCATAGGCAGATGCATCCTTAGAGGATAATTGACCCTTGTTATTTGCAGATTTACTATTTTTGGTTTTGACTGTTTGCTAGCAACCCCCAGATCCCACGGTCTGTAATCAGTTGCAGGTCTGCATGTAAATCCCAGGCCCTGAAAAGCTGGTGTGGGGGAAGAGACCATTGAGCGGGCGTGAGCGAGAGCCTGGTTCAGGTGCCTCTCAGTTCCCATTTCTTGTTCTCCCTCATCAGTTGCAATGACCATTGGAAAGTGATCCAGAGTTTGCTTCCTTTTGGAAAATGACCCAGGAAAAAAGGCCCTTGTCAGTGCTGTGGTGATATTCGTGACTCTGGGGCTTTGCACAGATTCAGGACATCTCTCTCCTATTTACAGGGGTCTTCCGCATTCTGTAGTCTGTTCTTACTACAATAATGTTAAAAGTTACTCTTCTTTTCAACTTCCCCCAGACATAGAAAGCTGCAATGCGTCTCCTACCCTCTCCCACCTTCCATCAGAAGCATGTCCTGCGTGCTCTGAGTCCTCTGAGTCCTTGCTCATTCCGCTTTAGTGGATGTCACCTGCCACACTGTCCTATTTGCACATTCCTCCCACGTGAAGCTGCAGGCCACTCGAAGGTGAGCCTGGTCCCAGTTTTTTTTCATCAGCACTGAGCACAATGCCTGCCACCAAGGTGCCATGGAAAAGTGTTTCTTGGATGGACACATAAATTAGTTACTTAGTTAATTCATTGATTCATCATTTCATTATAGCCCTTTGGAGGGAGTAAGGGTAGGTGTTATTGCTATTTTGAGGCAGGAAAATAGGGTCTGGAAGCAGGGAACATAAGACTGATTCACACTTCAGCTATGACAGGAAATATCCTCTCCATTTACATGGGGCATTCACCGAGTAAATGACTTTGTTACTTTACTTCATCCTCTCCATTTACATAGGGTGTATGCCAAATAACCAATGGAAACCTCTAGAGGATATTTAAACCCCCAAAAAAATCTGTCATGGGGGCCCTTGAGGCCCCTATGCTCAGGCCCACTGCCACACTGTGGAGTGTGCTTTCCTTTTCAATAAATCTCTGCTTTTGTTACTTCATTCTTTCCTTGCTTTGTTCATGTGTTTTGTCCAATTCTTTGTTCAAGACACCAAGAACCTGGACACTCTCCACCAGTAACACTTTGACTGCTAAGGAAACTGAAGACCAGAGAGGGTAAGTGACTTACCCAAGGTAACACAGTCACTGAATCCCTAACTCCTGGTCCAGAATTCTTATAATAAGTGTCGAGCCCAATACCTGCAATACCTCATAAACTCAATGCATTCTAATCTTCACACCACCATCCCTTTGCCTGTGCAGTCTGTGGGCAGAGCTGAGGCTAATTCCCTCTTTATCAGTTATTCCTGCACTTGAGATATTTGAGTTAAGAACCTACCTCTTAGGGCATCCAGCCAATTGCAAAGAGAAGTCAGCACCCAGTGCCTCTATTTCTTATCACAGGTTGATGTCGAATCTATGCCTGGGGCATCAAGGGATGTTAGTTGGCTGGAAACTTACACAGTGAATGAACGAGTATATTCCCGCACACCTCCAGTGATAGGAAACTGTGACATTTTCAGATAAAATCAACGTTGAGAAAATGTTCCCAACTCATTCTGCTTCTGCCTTCTCCTCGTGGGTCCTAGTGAGGTGTCGAGAGACCTCAGAGAACCAGTTCAATGCCTCTGCCCACATGGCCTCCCCCTATTTGAAGACAAACACTTTCACTGCAACAATATCCCTACAGAATGTAGGTCTTTCTGTTATTATCAGTCCTACTCTGGCTTGAACTGCTTAGCGTGGTGGAGGAAAGACATGTTTATGTTCTGTATTCGTCTCCCAGGTTGGAGTCAGAACCCTTACTTTATGTTAAGGCCATGTCTCCTTTCCATTTCTGGCTCCCTGGGGCCGAGGTCTCTGCCTTCCCCTTAATGAAGTCCATATAGCATCCAGATCTCCCCAGATGGGGACCTGCCTGGAACTGGCATCAGGCCAGGGCACATGCAGGAGTGCAGAGGAACATCCCTTGGGGGAAAATCCGCCTCTCCCTGTGCCACCCACACTTTGCAAATCACCCAAATAACTCTCTGCCCAGGAGCCACGTCTTTGCTGGGGGAAGGGCAGCTTAAATTGGTAGCTTCCGCACATAACAAGCTCAAGACCAGACAAAGCCTGCCGAACAGCCCCCGGGGGAACCAGTGGTTTTATGAGCCCATCATATTTACTATTATCCAATGAGTCATCGGCTGCGTGCTTTCATTTTGAGGCTGCAGGACGAATAGGCTCTCATCAGAGCCACTCTTAATCCATTATTTATGCCCGCTCTTTGTCCTCTCAATTGTACCTTTGCAGACAGGAGCTTCAGTCCACATCTACCAGCAGCATTTGCCAGACTAATGCACATCCTTAGTTCCAAAGTCTGTGGTGTTTAAAAATAGCAAACGAGGCAAACACTCTGATTATGAAATTTCTAGCTGATATTTCCCTTGCCTTTCATTAGGGAGAAAGCTAGCATTAAGTGAACCCACAAGTCCAACGGGTAGAAATAAGGAATACTGTGTTTTTGACTTCTGCTCAGATCCGTTTCCCAGGAAGCTTATGTGGGTCTTGGAACAACGGGGATCAACAATGTGAATATGTCTATTGTGCCTGCAGATCCCATTGCTAATGCCCGGGAAGGACAAGTAATTAGTTTATGAGTAAATTGTCCTCAAGTTTGCATTTCTAGTACAAGAACTAGTCACTAAGCTTTGAGAATTGACCTACGCATTTCATGCCATGGGAAAGAAAACATAAGGTTTGTGATTTAAAGTCACTCATTACTTTCTACAATGATGGATAAGCAGAGGACAATTCCCTTGGTAGCTAATTGTCCTACTGCTGCTTGTATCACTGCTCAGAAGGATGTGTTACCTGGGCTAGGCAGAAATCCAGCACCCTCATGGAGGCAACCCTGGAAACCCCTTGTGGGGTGCTCTATGCATGTCTGGGTGGGTATCGGGTGATGGATGGGACTGTGAGGGATGGGCAAAAACCAGGAAAGAATAACAGGGATAGAGCAGCAGATGGTGAAACAGAAGCACATGCTAGGCCCACTTGGATTCTCCCTGGAGTTTGAATCTGCAGCAGAGTGGCAAAAAGACAAAATGGTCGACACTCATTAGCCCTGGCAGTAGGAGCAGCAATGGCAACCCCTTAAGAACCTGTCCTTTCAGGCCAGGCGTGGTGCCTCACACCTGTAATCCCAGCAGTGTTTTTGTTTGTTTGTTTGTTTGTTTGTTTGAGATGGAGTCTTGCTCTGTCGCCCAGGCTGGAGTGCAGCGGAGCAATCTCAGCTCACTGCAAGCTCCGCTTCCTGGGTTCATGCCATTCTCCTACCTCAGCCTCCTGAGCACTTTGGGAGGCCGAGGCAAGCGGATCACTTGAGGCCAAGAGATTGAGACCAGCCTGGCCAACATGGCAAAGCTCCCCATCTCTACTAAAAATACAAAAATTAGCCAGGCATGGTGGCGTACACCTGTAATCCCAGCTACTCAGGAGGCTGAGGCATGAGAATTGCTTGAACCCGGGAGATGGAGGTTGCAGTGAGCTGAGATCACGCCACTGCATTTCAGCCTGAGTGACAGAGCGAGACTGTCTCAAAAAAAACAAAAAAACGAAAAAACAGTTCTTTTATCAATAGCTCCTGTTTCTGAGCCCCACACCCCACCCTGTTTGTGATCCCAATTCTAATTGCTCTGAGTTGGTTCTCTGCCCTCCATTCAGTTCCATGGGCTCTGCTACATGCTTCCAATAAACTCCTTAACGCCTACATTAGCCACAGGACTTCCTGTTGCTTACACTCAAAGCACTCTAGCAGATAAGAGCTGGAAAGTGAAAGCAAAACAGGAACATAACCCAAGATCAAAGGCCCAGTCGCCCAGAAGAAGGCTTGAATCAGAGAGGCAGGCACTGACCCAGGGCACAGGGTGCATGAAGCCGGGGGTGAGCGCCCAAAGGACAGGAGTGCATGCCTTGGAGCTCAGATGTCACCCTATCAGGCAGGTGACATTGTTGTTGACATCTTAGATCAGTGGAAGTCAACCGTGAGGCACCCCAACCTTGGTTCTTAATGGTGTCAGATACAATATGACAGGCCAGGTCTTAATCCGCCAAGTGTTTATTTTAATTTTGACCAATATGAGAGGTAATTTTGGAAGGTAAATAGGCATTTTTTTTTTTTTTTGGCCTAGGATGACTTGAATGTCACTGTAAGAAAGCAGGGCACTGGGTTAGAATTATATATTCATTCATTAAACAAACATTTATTGAGCTCCTCTTCTGTGCAAATATCTGCTCTGGGCGCTGGGGAGACCAAAGTGACTAAGTCATAGGCTCTGCTTCTGAGCATGAGGAGGGACGGCGGCCAGCACACAGCATGCCCCAGCAGTGCATGGTAAGGACCCAGAGACTGGAACACATGGAGTTCAGATGCAGAGAAACCTCTTTGAGCTGACAGGGTCAGGAAGGTGATGTGGGGCCAGCATTCAAGGTGCTCCTTGAGGGAAAGAGAAGGTTTCACTGACAGCAATTCCAGATGCAGAGGAGAAAAAGAAAAATGGCAAGTGGTCTGAATTGGCTGGCATGCCTCCAGGCCCAGGCAGGATGAGGAGGTAGGCTGACGTCAGATTGTGGAAGATCAGGCTGAGAAGTCTGCATTTTACCTGTAGTCAATGGAGAGCCAGTAACAATTTGGAGCTGGAGAGGGACATCATCAAAGCAGCAAACTGCAGAGAATCTTGTCAACAATCTGCTTAGCAGATTGGGGAGGGGAGAGTCTGAGCAAAGTTCAAGCTACTTGGAGGCTACTGCAATAGTCCAAGCAGGACCCTTCCCCTAAAGTGAACAACAGGAAGATGGAGATGAAAAACCCTGACGTGAGAGCTTGGCATTGAAAACTAGATGGGCATGGTAGGAGGGGGCAAGCCAGGGGGCCTCAGGGTTTAGACTAGAACGGTTTCTCAGTTCCATTCGAATAACACACATTTTCCTGGCACCTCCTATGTGCACAGCATGTGTTAGCAGGTGGTGAGATGGCAAGGAAAATACTGGAAGGCCCAGGTCCTTATAAAAGGCCAGGGCTTTTCTAAAATGTGCTCCATGCATCCACATCTCACCTTCATCATTAGTGAGTGGACACTGCACCTCTCAATTTCCCCACTGCCAGGTTACCTGAGTGGAGGCTTGGAGGCAAGAGAAGAGAATTGCAACCCAGAGGAAAAACTACAACTCTTGTTAGCAGTGGCTACTCCTTAGGCCTAGGGGTATAAACCCAACTCCCAGCCAAGGCCTTCATCTGGCTAGTTTATGCCCTGCCTTCTAGACTGCCTCTGACTCTTACCCCGGATTAACTTCACCCCAAAACAATTGACAAGGCCAGCCTCTATTTGTTTCAGAGCCACAGCTATACTCTGCAGAGTTTTAGCCCAGACAAAACACTCAGAAGAGTGCACTGTGCATTGTCCCAAATCCCTTCCACATGGCATCTCTCACAAGAGGCTGGCAGCACAGGCAAGGCAGAGCTGTGCCAAGCCAGGCCATGCCTCTCCATCACTTCCAGCACGAAGGGCCAAAGCCCAGCCCACACGCCACTCCTACTTTGGTGAGGTCTTCACCTCACATCTCCTGGGAACAAAAGTGCAGACAAGAACAGACACACACAGATACAGACACACAGACACACACACACACAGACATACACTGACACACACAGACACACACGGGCACACAACACACAGACACATGACACACACACACGGACATAGACACAGCCACATAGACACACACAAACACACTCACAGTCACATAAACACACACTCACAGACACACAGATACACAACACACACAGACACACACACGGACACACAGACACACACAGCCACATACACAGACACACACAGACACTCAGACACAAACACACAAACACACTCACACATGGAGACACACACTCACACACACATGCTCCATACATACACCCAAACACCATCAAACATGTCCCTAAGATAAATAATAACTTCTAGGTAGGGAACACACTTCCTCAAATTTAGAGGGGCATGGTTTTCTTTAACTCCATGGGACAGCAGCTCCACGCCAAGGGAGATACAGAAAAGAACACTTGATGCCAGCTGGAAGCACCCTGTGATCGCTGAGTGCTGGTGGCCCTGGCTTAAAGCGGCCCGCACAGTGCCCACTCTAGGAGGCAGATGGCTTAGTGTCTCTAAAATGATATTTCTTCCAGCTTAAAGTTTCCATTCAGTCCCCACTGGACACCTAGTGATAAACAGGTGAGGAAACTGTGGCTCAGAAAGCTTGAATAAATAGTAAAGGATCAAACACTAAATGCAGAGCTGAGATTCAAACTCAAATCTGCCTGTTCCCTCAGCCAGCGGGCATTGGCACCCCCATGTGAGGCACTGACCAGCACGGTGAGCTGTGGACACTGAAGCAGAGCTTGGGAGAGACAAACGGACCTTGGGGAGCTCAATCAGTAACGAGACAAAACAGGACAGGAGACGCTGTGTTTCCACCTTGTCCTGGGACTCAGAGTCTAAGTCTTTCAGATTCAATGTGTGGTCAACTCTGGACCTCGTAACAGGTGGCCCTCACTCCCTGGACCTTGTGTGATCTGGCCCGAATGGAATAAGCAACTTTATCCAGGCTTGAGTGCCAGCGACACCATGAGGACCTGCACCAGACACTTGCATTGGCTTTCTCATCTCAAACATCTTCCCCTCTGCTTTTTATCCGAGGAAAATTAGGGACCAAGACCTGGAGAGCTTAATTTCCTCTCCCTCCTCCAAAAAGAAAGGAGGGAGGGAAGGAAGGAGGGAAGGAGGGAGGGAGGGAGGGAGGGAGAAAGAGAGGAAGGGAGGGAGGGAGGAAAGAAGGAAGGAAGGAAGGGAGGGAGGGAGGGAGGGAGGGAGGGAAGGAAGGAAGGAAAACAGTCATTTTTGCTTTCCATTTTCTCTGATTAAGGTAAAGGTGAGGAAAAGTCTGTTAAAAGAAAGGCTGATCAGAAGGCTGGTTGGTTTGTTTCCAGGCTGTAAACTCACTGGGGCCAAAATGGACCAAGTACCTTGTCCAAGATCACACAACTAGTGGGACTGGAATCCTGCTTCCTGACACTCAGTTATTCCTGCCTCCCTTCCACTGCCTGTGTCTGTCATTACCTTGAAGACCACACACATGCACACACACACAGCCTTTCAGAATAAATTAAATAGGCTCTGGGGTGACTTGTCAGAGCATCAGTCACAGCATCACAGGTGGGGAGCTCTTGAGAGGTTGTTAGCAAACTAATGAATTATATAATGGCTGCTCAGTAATTCCCAGGGCTAAGGTAAGGTCCTGGAACACACACTTTCATTCGAAGAAGATTAAGTTAAAACCATACGTGTAATTCTCTTGACAAGCTCTGAGCACTGTCCTTTTTCCTGAGAACATTTGCACTCTGAAGAACCCATGGAGGTGGAAGGTCAAGGTTATTGAGGGAGGTAGATCTGAGGAAAGCACCTGCATCAGGTGACCAAAGGGCAGGAGCATCTCCAATTCAGCACCAAGCCCCCTGCAGGGGTCCCAGGCAGTCGACAGTAAGCTCTGAGGATCCGCTGTGTGCAGGGATCAGTCCTGGACACTAGGAAACAGTGAAAAATGTGGCACTGGGACTCAGTGGCACCTGCTTTGTTGGAAAGACACTGTCCTTATTTTGGAAAAATTCCCAGGGAAGAGAGCACTTCCCACCCTTGGGAAGCTCTCCAATTTGTTGAAGACATATGACCTTCTGAAGCTCCCGGTCTTGTGGAGAAGACACTGACTATGCCCTTGGAAAAGCCCAAACTGTCTGTCAGATGGAGAGAGGGGAGACAGACAGCACCTGCCCTTGGGGACCCTCCAGACTGATAGGATAGAGGATAGAGGTTGGGGCAGGGGCTGGCCCTTGACCTCATGGGACAATATCATCCCTGAAGTCCCCACTCCAGTATGGAGTTAGATCCCAGGAGGTGGTGCCCACACATGTGTACATCTGCCCTACAGCACCTTGCCCTGGCATCATTCCTTTTTTGAATGGCTATGAATAGTGATGATTTTCTTTGAACTTTGTAACCCACCTCAGAGCACACCTGTTGCCTACATGCCTCTGCCTGCACCTGGCACCTGATTCAGCCTAGCCCATGAAGACTTTGTGTGTGGGTCCACAGAAAAGCCAGTCTCTGTAGGGCAGGACACTGGGGCCTCATATCCAGGCCCGACACAACAATCCTCTTATCCCAGGCAAGTGGCCCTGGTAGCTGGCGAGTCCAGGAGAGGAGGGACCATGATCAGTTTCCCACAGGCAGCCATGGAGGTGGCATCCAGCCCTCTGCTCAGGAGCCATAGAGCAGATGGTGGGGAGACGCCAAGGGGACAAATGGAGTAGGCTTCTGCTTCTTCACACTTCTGTCTCTCGTGATGCCAGATTCCCAGACCCTACCAGCCACAGCACCAGCAGTGACTTGGGTACGAACCACAGGTTTCTGGATTTGTACCCCACCCAGCTCCCTTCCTGGGCTCTAGGTCCCAGGTCCCACCCTTCCTGAAGGCCAGGGCCCTGTTGCCACCACAATATGACAGAAATCTGTTTCTCCAGCTTACACTCTCCCCAGCCCCTCTGCTATCGTCCTCCCAGGCAGCTGTGCCTCTTTCCACCACCCTTGGACCAGCTGCTTCCCGGTGACTACGGCTTATTTCAAGGGCCCGTGTACTACTCCCCAGGCCACTTTCCTAGGAACTTAGGACAAGGGCCTCACACAAGGCTCAAAGTGCCCTTTGAAAAATGTACTCACTGACTGGTGAGAAACCTAAACTGGGCACAACCCAGGGTGTCAGGGAGTTGATTCTCTCCTACTTCTCAGGTCCCAGCCTTCAGGGGTCCCAGTCACTGCCTCCTGGCCCCCTGGACATATTCTAACTCCCCTCATTTGTTTGAAAGTCTCGGTTCCAGAGTAGAAATGGCTGCTCCTGTGCCCCAGCATTTCTGAAAAGTGATTTCCAGATTGTACCCCACATCTTGACTATACAACTTTTTTTACTTAATTAGGAATTTACTTTATTAAGAACTACTGCCTGGAAAAAAATCAATAAATAGTTTAATAAGCCAGACAATTTAGTCCAATCATCAGGAGTTAAAGTTTATTGGAGGATAAAGTCTGTACGAGTTGTTGAATAATCTAAACCTTGGCCTAGTTCTAAGTAAAAGTAGGTTTGTAGCAGGTGCAAACCTGAGCCCTCTCTCTGCTACCAAAACAGCACAGGAGGATCTTCCTGGGCAGCTTCTACAGAGAACACATGGCGTCCTGTTGCTCTTTTGCACCCAAATGCACGCTGACCACTGATTCTAACCAGGCTCTCCTACCACTGGGAGCAGGTTAAAAGATGTCTGGGATTTCAGAAAGGTGGAAGAAGGAAAAAAAAAAAAATGACTCAACTGGGATCCTGAGGAGCTGATTCCAAGCTGTTGCCTACTCTCATCACCTTCCAAGGAAGTCATCCAAACCCTCTGTTTCTTTAACCATAAAAAGCAGGAAATGATAACCATCTTGTGGATTATTCTAAGGAATGTGAAGAGACACAAAGGAGCTTAGCCAGAGATATTCACAATGAGCATGGCCATGTCTTCCTCCTCCAGCCAAAGTCTCCTGCAGTTACTGAAATCATGCATTTTGAAGGATGAGGAGGAAAAACAACAGAAGGAAGAAGAGGAGGGGAAGGAAGAGGAGGAGGAGAAGAAGAAGAGGAAGGTGAAGGGGAGGGGGAAGGGGAAGAAGAGGAAAGAGGAGGAGGAGGAGAAGAAGGAGGAGGAGGAGGAGAAAGAAAGAGAGAAAGAAAGGAAGGAAGGAAGGAAGGAAGGAAGGAAGGGAGGAAGGAAGGAAGGAAAGAAAAGAATCTGTCTATTGCCAGCACTGCAAAGAGGAAGGAAGCAGGGACAGGGGAGGTGCGGAGGGAACAAGGAGCAGGGAGGGAGAGGAAGTGGAGCTAAGCAGACCAGAAATATTGAGGAATTCCTGGAAGATAGAAAGCAGTAGGAACTGAGCTGACAGAGGAACAAAAACAGAGAAAAATCACAGCCCAAGACGTGAGGAGTTGCAGGAGAAACAAACAGGGATTCTCGAGTACAAATTGAAAAACGTGAATAGACGATGAAGAATCACCAAGCATTAGAAAAACCAGCAACGTAATCCCTGAGCTCACGCAAAGGATGAACACCCAAGGGAAGAGCATCAGCAGAGGAAACAGACAACGAAGTAAAAATAGTAATGAATATTCTCAGGAAGATTCACGATGATGATACACAAATAAAGAATCACAAGTTGCAATGCAAAGCCACGATTCTCAAACTTTAAAATATGCTTATAAGAATTAAAATCATAATGGACAGACTGCATAAAGGAATGAGCACAGTGAAGATCCAATTAGTGAGTTGGACGGTGGAGCTCAGGAAAGTCTCCTAGGACACAAATGGGAAGGCTCAAGAGAGTCTAGGGGTTGTAGGGCCGGGGGGGTGCCTGGCAGGAAGAGGGAGCTCCATCTTTGTTGCTTGAATCTGAAAGGCATTTGATGAGAGGCAGCCCGGTGTCATGGAAATGATTCTTCCATCATCACAGCAACACTATTCATGAGCGTATCAAGTTTTTTTGTGTGTGAATTATGCAAAAGTAGCTTCCAGCCTAGTCCAAGTCAAAAAAATTATACGTTCAGAATCAATGGAGTCTGAATTAGCTACATTTGAGTGCTCAGGGACCTCAAAGGACACACACATGCACACACACACACACAGACACACACATGCACACAGACACACGCACACACACAGAGCTAAACTGAGCTTACTGAGCAGAAGGGTCTCCTTCTAGGGATTATACAGCCCAATGCTCTTGTTGCAGAGAAGAGAAAACTGAAGCTCAGAGAGGCAGAGTTGGCCCCAGACTTCCTCTGACGCTCCAAGCCTCAGGCCATCCTTTCAGAAGGATCCTCGATGTCTCAGGTCCACCAAGCTGAGCACAGTCTTGACCTCTCTTTCCCATTGGCTGGGGGCAAGCCCAAGGACCCTGAGAGCAGCATCTGCAGCATCAGCTCTAGGGAGCAGAACTCCATCAGAGGAATCCAGTGTCCTCTTCAATTTGGGCCACAAAGAAGAAAGGAAGCCAGCTGCGGTCTTTTCTGCCGCATTCAGCTCCCTGCAGGGGCCCCACAGGCTTTGTCACGTGGCCTTCCGGATCCAGTGTGTCTTATTCTCACCCATTTACCCAACCACCCCATTTTTTCAGTAAGCACATCTTCCCTTCAGTTTTTAGTCCCCCTAGGGCACCATCTGAAGCCAGTTTCCTGTTCTCCCTGCCCCTTTATCCTGTGGGTTCTTCTAGAGGAAGGAAAGAATTCAACATTGATCAAGCCCCTCCCATGTACCAGACTCTGCGGGGCATTTGACACACTTGACCTCTTTTAATTCTCACAGCAATGGTGTGATGCAGGCATTCTTTCCCCCTTTTCCAGATGGGAACACTGAGTTCAGAGAAGTTAAGTAACTGAGGGAGGGCCACACAGCCAGCGGACGGGGAAGGCAGGAATAAATGCAGGCCTCTCTGATGCCTTGCTCCTCCTGCACCCAGGCCACCCTCCAGCGAACTTTAAGTCTCCTGAGACTTCTGGGAAAGGGCATTCTACAATAATTGGGGCAACAAAGCTTGGGAATGATATTAACTTCAGGTGGCAGGTAGGTCATGGCCAAATGGGGGCCTTGCCACAAGATTCAAAGCCACTCGATCAGGGAAGCTGCCTAGAGGAGGAAGATTCTGAGCTCATTCCTAGAGGGAGACAGGCAGAATTTGAGGAGCCAGGGAGAAGAAAAGAAGACCTTCCAGGCTTAGCAGGCAAGATTTTAAATTGCTTTAAAAAGTAAAAGACAGTAACTCCATCTGCCTTTAAAGGGGGCAGGGATGTGGAATAATTTATATCAGAGAAAGACTACATCGTGGCCCAGATGCCTTTCACTGGCGGAGTCTGGTGGGGGAGGGTGGCCGCACTGGAGAAACTGATCATTGTAAAGGGAAGATTGGCAGGTCAGGCCTCTGCTGGGTCCAGCCTGTGATTTTGATGTACAAAAATGGGTCCCAGCCCAAGTAGTAGATGTGGAGAGCTAAAAGCTGCTCTGCTAAAGACAGCGAAGGAAACCTGAGCTTCAGGAGGGCAGCCCACGGGAGAGAGGTAGAAGGGCCGAGAAAACAAAGAAAGGGAGAAATGTGAGGTCCAGGGAGAGTGAGGAGCTGGGAGATCCAGACGCCTGGGGGAAATTTTCCCAAGGAAGGTGTGGCCAGGATCTTTAGGGACCAATGAGTGACATTTAATTTGAAGTTCCCTCTGCCATGCCATAACACAAATATACACTCCATGATCCACCTGTCATCAGCAGAACATGTGACAGCGTAAAGCTGTGGTTGCTTTAGGGCCTCAGTGGTAGAGGGGATCAGGCTGTAAGTTTCCCGTTATTCATGAAATGGGGACGTGCAGCACTTTTATTAAATAGGAAAGGGTGACTCCATGACAGGAGAGCGTGGGGACAGCCAAGTGGCTGACATACAGGTTACAAAAGCAGGGATAATAGTGGAGACAATACGTATGAATGAGGTTGGCGGCTTTGATTCACAAGTAAAAGCCCCATCCTCATCCATCCACGTAGGCCATTTCCATCTCATTTTAGGTAGTAGGTCTGTGGCACTTGTCCTGGAGGCAATTAAAGTTGTTTCTTAATAGTAACCGAAGCTCTTACATTGCTGAGTACCAGCTATATGCTGGCACTGTTCTGAGCACTTCCCAAGTATTAAGTCAATTAATCCTCACCATCACCCAATCACGTAGGTTACCATGCTTACCCTCATTGTGCCAATGAAGAAACTGAGGCACAGAGAGGTTACCTGCCAAGGTCATACAGTAAGGGGCATAGGTGAGACTCCAGTGCGGGCGATCTAGCTCCAGAGTCTCAATCTGCATCTCTTCATTATATCATAGAATCTCCCTGCAGAACAGCTCAGCCTCTGCCTTGCTTCATGAGACTGGACAGAAGGACTAGCTGCTTAGAGAACAATAGGAAACCTACAGACCCTCTTGATTCCATAAAAAGTTACCCTTGTTCTTGGTTAATCCAAAGAATAAAATCAGGATCGATGAGTGGGAGAAATGAGAAAATCGATTCCAGCTCTGCAGAAGACTTTGCTAACATGTTGAGTGACCCACACAAATGCATGGTCTCAGTAGGTAGTGAGCTCCCTGTCATCAGAGTGGTGCAAGTAGATACTTTCCAATGACTTGCACACTCAGCTAAGGGGTCTTTTAAGTTTCTCTCTAATTTGAGATTCTATGACTCCAGGAAATTTTCCTGATCTAGAAGAAACTACTTAAAAGAGCGACACTGGGGATCACAGTTTCCGTGGGCTTCAAGTTACCGAAGGTCTGTTGTGTTGGCCATTTCTGAAATCCCCTTTCTCTCCTTGTCCACTTGGTTAACTCTCAGTCCATTCCCACTAGACATGGGGTCTCCCAGGCCCTCCCCACCTCCTGCTCCCTGGTTGACTTTTTCCAATCATCACATCTTTCTGATTACAGCTCACCCTCCCTGCCTGCCCAGTGAGCACCAAAGGGCAGAAATCAAGTCCCATTTGTGGTTCTAAACCCACAGCACTAAGAGTGGGGAAGGTGGTCAATGGGATCAATTCAATTCAGCAAATATGTCTTCCCTCTCAGTCTATTATCCTCCAGTACAATTATCTGTGTTTACCAACAAGCTGTCTCCCTAGCACTATCTTACTGTCCACTCTGAACATCAAGCTCTCTGCCCTATGCACATTCTGTAAATGATTCATGGATGAACAATGTCAGAGATTCCCTCCCCTCTCAGGTGGCTTCCTTGTGGCTTAGTTTTCCAGGGTCCACAGGAGGTGATATGGCCTAGAGTGGCCAGATTTCCAACAGCAGGGATCCTTGTCATTCTACAGCCATATTCATCTCTGCCTGGGGTGCAGACTTAAATGCAGAGTCCCCCTTAGAGGAAGATCTTGCTGGCAGAGCTGGGAGCAGGCAGCTTTGTGGTCAGCCCCTGCAGGGATGGCCTCAGCTGTACTGGGCAGCCACACACAAGGTCACACCTCTCCCCAAGGAGGACCACATCCAGTGACCAATGATCAAGGTGGAGGACTGTGCAGAAACGTGTTAGCAAAGCCACATGAGACTGCTCTCCTTAGAAAGTCCTGCTGGCCAGGTTGGCCCTTGGCTGGCATCTGGGAACCTGGATTTGGGGAGGTTTCCCACCATTCCCTGATAAGAATGTCTCACTGTGCCTATACTGTCCAGACAATACCACGTGTGCTGAGCACCTGCTTTCCTTCTGGGAGCCTGGAATTTAGGTACATGGCAGGCAGAGGGTGCCTGTGTTCCTGGCCCTTCGCTGTCCTGACAAAAGCCCTAAGCCCTGAGTCTCTAGTGAACTGGCAACATTCGACACGTGCAGGCACAGCTTGTTGCTGGAGGAATGATGCTTTCCTGCGTGACTCCGCTCGGAGAGCACTCCCGGGAGTTAGTGCCTGGTTTCCTCTGGACTTCTCTTGTGACTTTTCCCTTTGCTGACTTCATTTTGTATCCTCTGACTGTAACAAGTCACGGCCATGAGTGCCACTATATGCTGAGTCCTGTGAGTCCTCTTAGCTAATCACTGAACCCAGGTGTTGTCATGGGGAGGTCCAGCACAGGGTGCAAGAGACCATTTTGGCTCCAGAGCTCCCTGGGAATCAAGCAAGGCTGTGATTGGGCCTGCCTCACAGATAACCTCCCCTTCTGCCCACTGCAGCAGACTCCTTCCCTCCTTCTCACTGCTGTTGATCCCAAGGGCGCTCCCTAATTAACTCTACCAGAGTGTTAAACTCTGTCTCAGATTTACTTCCCTGAGAACCTAACCTGCAACAGATACAAAACCAGCATTTCAGGACCTGCAATTCACAGGGCATTTTGTCACGTGTTAATTTCATCGTCACAACCTATCAGGTTTTTACAGAGGAGGAAACAAGAACTGAGAGACGTTAAGTGACATGCCCAAGGTCACAGAGCAAGTGAGAGTTGGAGCTGGGACTGACCCCTGGGCAGGATGTTTCCGAAGTCTATGGCCTGTCTCAGAATCAGGCTGCCTCTCACCTGTGGCTCTGAGGCTCCACAGTTCTTCCAGGCCTGGGGACATTCATCATACATTTTCCCACTAAGATATTCCAAGAGGCATCTGGGGACCAGATCTAGGAAGCCCTGAGTGGGAGAGAATTCCAGCACCAGGAAAGGAGGCCGGGTATTTTCTCTCTCCCTGAGGGATTCAGAGGAGAGGATGAGGAAACTGAACTTCTTGAAAGAGGGACACCTGTAATTCTCAACTCACTCCCCAGCAGATACAGGTCATGCACATGCACACACCTGCACACTCCAGCTGGGACCTCTGGCCTTCCAGGTCTCGCTCCCAGGCCCTGGAGTCTGTGGAGAGAGGCCTGTCCCTCCATGTAGAGGACAGGAGTTCTCCATGGTCTCGTTAGCCATCCTGCACCCCCTCCCACTGCAGCCATAGGAATCCATCCAAGCAGGGATGGCAATGAGAGGGACTTGGCCTCAGGCACGGGAGCGTTTGCCACGGCCAGGCCAGCTGTCAACTCCAAAGAAGCCGGAGTTGCTGGAGAAAGTGACAGACGACGTCCCGGGGAGCTCACGAACCCCATCTGCCCATGGCCAGGCGGAGCAACACCCTTTCAAGACATCCAGCTGAGGCATCTCAAGCCCCCAGCTGCACAGCTTGGTGAAGCCAGCAGCTCCTCCCAGGTTCTGGGAATTCCCAGAGCTTCCCCTGCTGTGGGATCCTGGGGCCATCACCACTTCACATTGAGGGGGGCCATCACCACCTCACATTGAGTCGATGGAAACTCCCCTTTTCCACATAATAAATAAAGAAATAAGCCAATAAATAATCACACATACTTGCCTGGTCCATCACACCAACAGCTGAACTTACTGAAAACACTGAGGTCCTGAAAAGAGACCACATCCACACCTTATTGCCAGCAAGTTAAAAAGCTTCTTAGTTCCTGACACACGGTGAGTGTTTCTCCCCAACCTTCATGGGCTCTTCTCTTCCACCCTTACTCAGCCTCTCTTCTCGCTCATCCTGCCCCACCCTCAGGAGCAGTGGAAATGGCTCCCCTGGCCACATTGCAGCCAAGCTCCTGCCACATTCCAGCAGGGCTATGTACAATCATCTCTCACTGCAAGGACCACCTTTGGTCTGCTCCTTCACCCCAATTTATTTATCAATGTATTTTCCCTCTTTTTTTTTTTAACCTATAAGTTTCTGCATGTTTCTGTGTGCTTAAATTCTACATAAGATTTCTTCTAAGTTTGAAAATCATGCTGCCTTTTTCTAGCCAGCATAGGTGAGGTTGCAGCATAGGTGAGGTTGCAGCATAGGTGAGGTTGCAGCATAGGTGAGAAATATGCTGCCTTTTTCTAGCCAGCATAGGTGAGGTTGATAGCAGATTTTTTAAAATCCAGTTTTAGAGATGAGAATCCAGCAACTCAGAGAGGCTAAGTACCTTCCCCAGGGTCACACAGGCAGTCAGTGGAAGAGTCAGGACTCCCACTTGAGTGTGGTTGCCATTGCAGCCGGAGATCATGCAAATGAGCCACTCCTTCTTGTCACCTCACCACTCCTGAAACAGAGTCAATAATTTATCCAGAACCGTTAATTTTCTAAAAAAAAGTCAGACATTTCTATCAGCATTAGTTTCTTTCATGTTCCATCTGTGATGAGGACAAGCAGAAATACCATGCTGCTTACTGACATTCTTATGTGGCTTTAGGGGCTCCTTGGGGCTAAGCTGCATGTTCACTGGGTTAGAGACAAATGACACTGCCCTGCACCTACAGTTTCAGAGTGAGAGTAGAGGCCAGGGGCTCGGAAACTCACAACCCCAGACTGCCAGAGTGGGGCCAGGTCTAGAGTACCTCTGGTCTGGCTCTATGAATTTTAGAGATGAGGAAACTGCAGCCCACTGTTGTAGCAACACAGGCAGGAGCCAGGGATTCCAGGAATTTGTAACCTTCTGTGTGTCCTGGCCTGCTCTGGTTCTTTCTTGTTCTCAGCAGGTAAGTAGGAGAAGCATTGCCAAGTATGGGGTAATGAGGAAGGTTGTCTTGCTCTTCAAGCCTGATGGAGATGCCTGATTGTCTGAGACCAGCCTCATCCACCACTCCCACCATTTCCATTACTCCCTACCCTGGCTTTCTTTGTGGGCAGAAGCTTGCAAACATCCTTGATTACCCGGTGATTACCCTAATCACCCAATTACCTTTACCCAAGAAGTGAAGGGCAGGAGAGTATGTTCACATCAGCTTGACTTTAGTTCAAGCTCCTGTAGAAAATGGAGAGAAGTAACAAGCATAGCTGAGATCTCTCTATTTCCTGAGGCTAGAATAAGATTAGGAAGACTTCAACTCCAATCTTTGAGCATTAACCCTCACATGCATGTGAGGAAACTGCCCACGGCTGGGCAAGGAGTAGGTCAAACAATCCCCAGAGCTCACACAGAGCCTGCAATAATTTTTAATCCCAGCTTCCAGAGTGAAATAGACCTCCGTATACACAGGGCATCAGGTAAAATCCTCAGAAAACTATTGCCTTAATAGTGGAGTGAAATTAGCCCTAGACCAAAGACTGTCAACCCATGTCAACAAAGTGTAAAAACAAGTTTTAAAGGGATCAAACTGATTTCAAGCAACCTAACTGCAATCCCAGAACAAAGCCCAACAATAATTAAAGGAATGCAGCAAAATCCAACACCCAACACAGTAAAATCCAAAATGTACACAGTCAAAAATTTCCAGGCACATCTGCTCTCTCCTCTCCTATTTGACATTGCACTGGAGATTCTGGCAAGTATATTAGGCAAGCAAAAGAAATAAAAGGCATCCAGATCATAAAGGAAAAAGTAAAAGTATCTCTATTTACAGATAGTGTGATATTATATATAGAAAACCCTAAGGAATCTACAAAAAATAAACTATTAGAGCTATAAACAAGCTTGGTAAAGTTGCAGGACACAACAACAGTACACAAAATGTATGTAAAAATGTAGCAATAACAACTATAACATGAAATTAAGAAAGCAATTTCATTTGCAATAGCATCAAAAAGAATAAAATACTTAAAATAAATTTAACCAAAGAAGTGCAAGACTTGTATACTGAAAACTAGAAAACATCGTTGAAAGAAATTAAAGAAGATCTAAATAGGTGGCAAAACATCTTGTGTTCAGGAACTGGAAGTCTTAATATTTTAAGATGGCAATACCGGCTGAATATCTCTAATTCAAAAATCCAAAATCTGAAATGCTCCAAAATCTGAAACTTTTTGAGCATTGACATTATGTCACAAGTGGAAAACACCATACCTGTCCTTATGTTATGGGTCATAGTCAAAACGCAGACACAGAACACATATTCAGTGTAACCAAGGGGAAAAGACCCCTCAGCCTCCTTCAGCTGTGATAGATCTTTTCTGCACACAGCATGATGGTAATGCCAAACAACCATAGATTGTCCACATGAGTGGCTGAGATGGTGACACCTTTGCTTTCTTATGGTTCAATGTATACAAACTTTGTTTCATGCACAATCTTATTTTAAAATATTGTATAAGAATACCTTCAGGCTGTATGTAATGTTTATATGGAACATAAATAAATTTCATGTTTAGACTTAGGTCCCATCTCTGAGATATCTCATTATGTATATGCAAATATTCCAAAATCCCAAAGAATCTGAAATCTGAAACACTTCTGGTCCCAAGCATTTCAGATAAGTGATACTCAACCTGTACTACCCAAATGGATTACAAATTTAGTACAGTCCCTATCAAAATTCCAACTCCTTTTTTTTTTTTTTGCAGAACTGGACAAGCTGATTCTAAAATTCATATGGAAATGCAAGGGACCCAGAATAGCCAACACAAACTTTAAAAAGGCAAACAAAGTTGATTTCCTGATTTCAAAACTTACTACAAAGTTACAGTAATTAGGACAGTGTGGTGCTGACATAAGGATGGACATATATAGATCAGTGGAATAAAATTCAGAGTCCAGAAATAAATCCATACATCTATGGTCAACTGATTTCAACAAGGATTCCAGGACAATTCAATAAAAAAGGAATACTAATTTCTACACATGATGCTAGGACACATGGATATCCACATACAAAAGAATGAATTTGAAACTCTACTTTACACCATACACAAAAATTAACCCAAAATGGATCAAACACCTAAATGTGAGAGCTATAACTATAAAATACATAGGTGTAAATTTTTGTGATCTTGACTAGGCAATAGTTGCTTAGATGTGACAACTAAAGCATAATCAACAAGTCAAAGAATAGATAAATTGAGCTTCTCAGAGTCAAAGGACACTATTAAAAAGTGAAAAGACAACACATAGAATGGGAGAAATTATTTGCATGTTATATATCTGATAAGGGTCTAGTATCCAGAAAATATAAATAACTTTTACAAATCAACAATAAAAAGACAACTCAATTAAAAATTGGGCAAAGGATATGAACAGACATTTCTCTAAAGAAGATATATGCCAATGGCCAGTAAGCACATATAAAGATGCTCAACCTCATTAGTCGTTAGGGAAAATGCAAATCAAAACCACAATGAGATACCATTTCATATCCACTAGAATGGCCACAATCAAAATGACAAACAATGACAAGTGCTGGTGAAGATGTGGAGAAAGTGGAACCCTTACACATTGCTGCTGGGAATCTAGAATGGTTCAGCTTCTTCAGAAAATAGTCTGGCAGTATTTCCTCAAAATGTTAAATATAGACTTACCATATGACTCCAGCAATGCTACTCCTAGGTACATACCCAAATGAACTAAAAACATATGTTCACACAAAAATTTATAGACAAATGTTCATAGCAGCATTATTTATAATAGCCAAAAAGTGGAAACAGCTCAAATGTTAATCAAATGATGCATGGATTAAAAAAAAATGTGGTATCATCATACAATGGAATATGATTCAGCCATAATAAGGAAAGAAGTACTAATACGTACTACAACATGGATGAACCTGGAAAGCATTATGCTAAGTTAAAGAAACCAGACACCAAAGGCCACATATTGTATCATTCCATTTATATGAAATGTCCAAAATAGACAAATTCACAGAGACAAAAAGTAGATTAGTGATTGCTAGGGCATAAAAGGAGGGGGAAATTGGAAGTACTGCTATCAAGTACAGAGTTTCTTTTTAGTGTGACAAAAATGCTCTAAGTTAAATAGTGGTAATGATTCAACAACCCTGTGAATATGCATATTAAAATCCACTGGATTGTATATTTTTAAACAATGAATTTTATGTTATGTGAGATTTGATGGCATGTAAATTATATTGAAACTCATATAACTCACAAAAAATCACTAGGCATGCAGTGAAACAGAAAAATATGACCCACAACCAGGGGAAAAATCAATCAATAGAAATATACCCCAAAATGACACTGATGATTGAATTAGCAGACAAAGACATTAAAATACTTATTATAATTATACTCCATATGTTCAAAAAGGTACAGAGGAGCATGGACATCATGCAGGAAAAGGTGAAAGACATATAAGAGAACCAAATTAAATTTCTAGAAGTGACAAATATAGCATCTGAAATAAAAATACACAGACAGGTCCACATTGATGAGCCTAGAGTAGCCAGGGTCTCTACATTGTATTGCTTCATTAAAGTGCCTGTACATATGACCAAAAAGCATCTGGTTGTGGACCCAGAGATTCTGCTTGGGCCCAGCACCTATTCCCCACTAGCACTGGGTAGACATTGCTTTCTAGGTAGACCTGAGGGTGATAGGAACCCAGCTGGGGACTTTTCCCTTTGGGAATCTAAGGGTATGTTGCCCACCTATCCTCTTGGAAGAAGGTGTGACCCATGAGCTCCCATTAGAGGGTCATGTTGGTGGGGTTATAGGGGATACCCAAGCCATAGCTGGTCAGGGGCTGCGGGTAGCCAGCTCCAGGGTGGCTTCTCAGAAGAGTCAATAGCAACCCCTATGAGAAGGAGTGGGAGGGGGTATGAGAACAGGCATGGGGCTGAGATGGGTATCCAAGAAGGCAATGAGGAATGCTCTTCTAAAATAACAAATCCATTCACAGCTATTGCCGTACCCACACCCACACAGATGGAAGGGCAGATTTGACATTGCAGAAGAAAAGATAATTAAACTTGAAGACATAATAATAAAAACTATACAAAATGAAACACAGAGAAAACAGACTGAAAAAGATGAACAGAGAATCAGTGACTAGTGGAACAATATTAAACAGTCTAACATATATGTAATCAGAGCCTCATAAGGAGAGAAGACAGAAAACAGAAATATTTCAGGAAATAATGATGTGCTATTTTCCAAATTTGGTTTAAAAACTATAATATTACAAATCTAAGAATCTTAATGAATTCCAAGAAAAAGAAACATGAATAAAACCACAAGACACATCATAACCAAATTACTTCAAACTACTGATAAAGAGAAATATCTTAGAAGCAGTCAGGAAACAAAAAAAGGCCCATTGCCTACAGAGAAGCAAAGAAAAGGTGACAAAAGAATCCATGTCAGAAATCATGCAAGCCAGAAGATGATGGAGCAACATCTTTAAATAACTGAAAGGGAAAAAAAAAACACAGTCAACATAGAATTCTATAATCAGCAAAAATATCTTTCAAAAGTGAAGGCAAAATAACTACTTTGTTAAACAACAGAAATAAAAGAATTTGTTGCCAGCTGCTCTGGGCTCAAGAAATACTAAAGGAAGTTCTTCAGGCAAAAGGAAAATGACATTAGATGGAAAAGGTAAGCTAAGTATCTCCCAAACTATCTTTTCCAAACCATAAGAAAAGACAAAAAGAAAAAATTTCTAGAAGTGACAAATACAGCATCTGAAATGAAAATACACAGATAGGTCCACAATGATGAGCTTGGAGTAGTCAGGGTCTCTACATTGTATTACACAAACCACACCATCAGCATAGCTGGAAGACAAAGAATGTTTAAACTGCAAGATAACCGTGAGTGAAAACAGAAAAATCTCCCAATTCTAGCATGTGATCTGTCATGCTACCATTCCACCCCCTTATAGCTGTAAGGCTCTGTGGGAAGAAAGGGCACATGAAGAAAATATATAGGAAGTAGAGAAGAACACTAGAAAAGGGGCCTAAGGATTATCTGAATGACTGACAAAATATTAAATAATTCTAACTTTGAAAATACTGGAAGAGTGACCAGGCAAATAATAGCAGAGTACAGAAAAGGGAGTTCCTCCTCCACCTCACCAGTAGCATTGAGCACAGCTACCACCCAGATCTTGGATTCTGATATGGTTTGGCTCTAGGCCTCCACTCAAATCTCACCTTGAATTGTAGTTCCCATAATCTCCACCTGTCATGGGAGGGACCTCACTGGAGGTAATTTAATCATGGGGGTGGTTACCCTCATGCTTTTCTCATGATAGTGAGTGAGTTTTCAGAGACCTAATGGTTTTATAAGGGGCTTTTCCCCCTTTTGCTGGGCACTTCTCCTTGCTGCCACCATGTGAAGAAGGATGTGTTTGCTTCCCCCTTCCACCATGATTTTAAGTCTCCTGAGGCCTTCCCAGCCATGCAGAGCTGTGAGTCAATTGAACCTCTTTCCTTTATAAGTTATCCAGTCTCAGGCAGTGCTTTATAGCAATGTGAGAATGGACTAATACAGATTCTCAATACCATTCTCTAATCAAAAACAAAACAAAACAACAGGGCTCCTTGGAGAAGAGACTGGTTCTAGGACTGGGACAGGGAAAATGTAAGATAACCCTGGAACATCTTATGATGCCAGAAAAGGAAGAAGTACTTGAAAAAGGATGGGAGCATGTCAGAAAGGACATGCCAACCAAAAGGAGCTCCCAGTGGCCAGAGCTGGGACAGTATGAGCAACAAATAATGATAGTACCCATATTGGATTATAACCCTTAGAATAAAAAGAATATCCATGAGTCCATACTGGTATACAGAATAATTCTAACTAATAAATGTGGAAAGAATGAGAGAAATACTAACTCACAATTAGAGAAACACCACAGTAATAATTATTAAAGACAAGATCCACTGATGGATATTAAAATCAGTAAAAGTAAGTTTGAAGGTAAACAGGATACTAGCATACTCTCAAAGTATCTCCCCAAAGATATTTATCAATTACAAAGAAGGGAAATAGTAACTACTTCACAGTGGAGAAACTCCAAAGAAATCACCTTAGCCAAGTGATTAAGGTTAGCATCACCAGTTATGAGACATTTCAGTATTATGTATTCACTGATACATTGATATGATGCACTGAAAAATACACAACATCAGCTCTGTGGTATTCCTGCCAAAAATGCATCATCTCAATCAAATCATGAAAAGATATCAGACAAACTCAAATTGAGAGGCATTCTAAAAAGTAATTGACTAGTATTCATCAAAATATCAAGGTCATGGACTAAAGGAAAGAATGAAAAACTCTACAGATTAAGGGAGACTAAAGAAACAACTCAATGCTGTAGGATTCTGAAACAGAAAAAGAACATTAGTGGGGAAATTGGTGACATTTGAATAAGATCTGTAGTTTGGTTAACAGTATTGCACCAATGTTAATTTCCTGGTTTTGATAACTGTAATATGATTATGTCAGCTAACAATAGGAAAATCTGAATGAAGAGTATAGTGAATTCTGTAGTTTAAAATATATAGTTTTCTTCTTCTTCTTTTTTTTTTTTTTTTTTTTTTTTTGATACAGGGTCTCTGTCACTGAGTCTGGAGTGCAGTAGCACGATCACAGCTCACTGAAGCCCTCAACCTGCTGAACTCAAGTGATCCTCCCACCTCAGTCTCCCAAGTAAATGGGACCACAGGCACGCAACACCATGCCCGGTTAATTTTTGTACTTTTTGTAGAGATGGAGTTGCACCATGTTGCTCAGGCTGGTCTCGAATGCCTGGGCTCAAGTTATCTGCTGCCTCGGCCTCCCAAAGTGCTGGGATTACAGGTGTGAGCAACTACACCTGGCCTGGTTTACTATTACTATTTAAAGCAAAAATAATGACAGTATATTTTGGGGCTTATAATATATGTGGAAGTAAAATATTAAAACCATTTAACACAAAGGATGGGAGTGGGGAAATGAAAAAATATTTGTATAAAATTCTTAACAATACATGGGAAATGGTAAATTATTTGAAGGTAGAGCATAATTAGTGAAGAGTTATATATTTTGAGCCTGGGCCAACCACTAAAAAATGAAAAGCAAAAGCAGTGTAACTAGTAAACCAATGGTGGAGATAAAGTGGAATTATTAATATAAAAATACTCAACCCAGGCTGGGCGCGGTGGCTCACACCTGTAATCCCAGCACTTTGGGAGGCCGAGACGGGCAGATCATGAGGTCAGGAGATCGAGACCATCCTGGTTAACACGGTGAAACCCCGTCTCTACTAAAAATACAAAAAAAGTAGCCAGGTGTGGTGGTGGGCGCCCGTAGTCCCAGCTACTCGGGAGGCTGAGGCAGGAGAATGGCGTGAACCCGGGAGGCAGAGCTTACAGTGAGCGGAGATCACGCCACTGCACTCCAGCCTCGGCGACAGAGCAAGACTCCGTCTCAAAATAAATAAATAAATAAATAACCCAAAAGAAGGCAAAAAAGGAGGGAAAAAGAACAAAAAGGACAAAGAACAAACAGAACAAGTAGAAAACAAGTAGCAATATCCTAGATTTTAAACCAACCATATCAATAATCACATTACATGTAAATGACCTAAACACTCCAAATAAAAGGAGGTTGTCAAATTGGATAAAAAAATGGAAACTTAACTATCTGCTATCTACAAAAAACCCACTTTAAACATAAAATCAGATGTGTTAGAAGTAGAATAAAAAAAATTATGCCATGCAAAAACCAATCCAAAAAATGTTAGATTGCCTATAATAAGATCAGACAAAGTAGAATTTAGAGCAAGGAATATTACTTGAGACAAAGAGAGGCATTACGTAATGACAGAGAGATTACCAAGAAGACAAAACTATTCTATATTTTTTCATTTTTTACGATCCCTTCCACAGAAAAAACTATTCTAAATGTATGTACATCTAACAACAGAGCTTTAAAATACATAAAAGAAAAACTGATAGAACTGAATAGAGAAATATCCAAATCCATAATTACATTTGGAGAATTCAACACTTTTAATAATCGATATAACAAGCATACAGAAAACTGGTCAGAATATACTGAACAACACTAGCAATCAACTTGACCTACTTGACATTTATAGAGCACTCTGCCCAACAACAGAATACAGCCATGCATTACTTAACAATGGGAATACATTCTGAGAAATGTGTCTGTTAGGTGATTTAGTCATTGTGAGGACATCATAAAGTGTTTTTGCATAAACCTAGATGGTATAGCCTACTACATACCTGGGCTATATGGTATAACCTATTGCTCCTTGACTGTAAACCTGTACAGCATATTACCATACTGAATACCATAGGCAATCATAACACAATCGTATTTGTGTATCTAAACATAGAAAAGGTACAGTAAAAAAACAGTATAAAAATTATAAATGGTACACCTATAGAGGACACTTACCATAATTGGAGCTTACAGGACTGGTAGTTGCTCTGGATGAGTGAGTGGTGAATGAATGTGAAGGCCTAGGACATGGCTGTACACTTTTTTTTTTTTTTTAAATACAGGGTTTCACTCTGTCACCCAGGCTGGAGTACCATGGCACGATCTCACTACAGCCTCAACCTCCCAGGCTCAGGTGATCCTCCCACCTCAGTCCCCTGAGTAGCTGGGACTACAGGCACATGCCACCATGCCCAGCTAATTTTTTGTATTTTTTATAGAGACAGGGTTTTTACCATGTTACCCAGGCTGGTCTTAAACTCCTAGGCTCAAGCGATCTGCCCACCTTAGCCAAAGTGTTGGGATTACAGGCGTGAGCCACCCACGCCCAGCCTGCTGTACACGTTTATATAACTGGCAGTGTGATAGGTTTGTTTACACCAGCGTGACACAAACACATGAGTAATGCAGTGTGCTACAGTGGTACAATGGCTATGACATCACGACATGATGGGAATTTTTCAGCTTTATTATAATTCTATGAGACCACCACCATATATGTGGTCTGTCATTTATCAAAACACTATTGTGCAGTGCATGACTGTACACCTTTCAAGTGCACATGGAACTTGTGCACCAAGAAGAAGGATATTTAAAAGAACTGAGCTGATACAAAATATGTTCTGATTACAACAATATAAGCCAGAAGAAAGTTCTCAAATCAATAATCTAAGCTTCCACCTTAAGAAAGTATAATTTAAAAAGAGCAAATTAAACTCAAATGAAGCAGAAGGGAAGGTCTGCAGTACAGGAAGGGCCTGCCGGCCACTACCTAATTTTTCTTAAGAAAGCGATATCTGAAATTACAAATAACGTTACAGACCAGGCATGCTCCTGCATCATCGCTAGTTTTCCATGCAACTCGGATGAGCCATCTCGTTCAAATATTTATTGAACCCTAGAGAAAAAGTGGTGAACAAGATATTCCCTACTTTCACGGAGTTACAATCTATTAGCAGAGAGAAATGTTAGCTAATTGACAATTGTTTAATTACAATTATCTTAAAGGCTATGATATCAATGAGGGTAGGCTGAGGTCTGATAACAAAGAAACCCACTTTCTTAGAAAACTTATTTCTTCTTCAAGATAAAATCCTATGCAAGATGTTCAGGTCAGTGAGGCGGCTCTCCTCCATGAGGTTATTCAGGGGCCCATGTTGATAGAGGCTGTGTCAATTTCAACATATGGCTTTCCAGTTGCTCTGGGTATATTACCCCAGTAAGCTGGAAAGGGAAAGACCCAAAAGGCGCACTCTTGGGAGGATTCTATAGGCCAGATCTGGAAGGGACGAACATTGCTTCCGCTCATATCCTATTGTGGAGAATTTAGTCACATGACCCCACCTGACTGCAAGACAGTCTAAGAAATACAGTTCTCCAAAAAAGAGGAGAATACATTTGGATGAATACCCAATAGTCTCTATGAAAACAAGGAAAGTAACTTGGGGGAGCTAACCTAGGGACTGGAGCCAGGAAATGTTTCCCAGAGGGAATGGCAGGCATTTAAGCTAAATTCTGAAGGATGACTGGGAAAAGAAGGTGAGTATTTCAGGCCATAGGAACAATATGATCAAGCCCAGAAGTGTGAAAGAGCAGGACAAAAACAAACATTTGAAAGATGGTCAGTATTATCAGAGCTTGGTGAGCAAAGGAAAGGGTGACATGAGACAAGATTAGAGAACTAGGCAGAGGCCAGGGCACAGAGTACCTTGTGGAGTATGTCAAGGATTTGGGTCTTTATCCTACAAATAACTACTGAAGGGTTTTCAGTTGGGAGAGAAGTGTGACAACATGACCCAACTTGTATTTTTAAAGCACAGTACACAGTGACTGCTAAGTGTAAATAGACTGAAGATAAGCAAGAGTGGATGTGGGTAAACTAGGTTGGAAGCTGTCTTAGTTTGTTTCCTATTGCTATAACAGAATACCACAGACTGGGCAATTTATAAAGCAATTTATTTCTTATGGTTCTGGAGGCTGGGAAGTCCAAGGTCAAGGGAGACCTGGTTAGGATCATCTGCTAGTGGGGACTCTGCACAGTCCCAATATGGTACAGGGCATTACATGGTGAGGGGGCAAGAGCAGGGCCAAACTGGCTTTTCTTTTTTTTTTGTTTTTGACAGTCTCACTCTGTCACCAGGCTGGAGTGCAGTGGCGTGATCTTGGCTCACTGCAACTTCCACCTCCCAGGTTCAACCAATTCTCCTGCCTCCGCCTCCCAAGTAGCTGGGATTACAGACACGTGCCACCACGCCCAGCTAATTTTTGTATTTTTAGTAGAGACAGGGTTTCACCATGTTGGCCAGGATGGTCTCAATCTCTTGACCTCATGATCGCCCACCTCAGCCTCCCAAATTGCTAGGATTACAGGTGTGAGCCACTGCACCCAGCCCAAACTGGCTTTTATAACTGACCCACTTTCATAATACTAACCTATTCCTATAGTAACCCATTAATCTATTAACCAGTGGATTAATCCATTCATGAGAGCAGAGCCCTCATGACCCAATCACCATTTTTGTTTGTTTGTTTCTTGAGACGCAGTTTCACTCTTTTTGCCCAGGCTGGAGTGCAATGGCGCGATTTCGGCTCACTGCAACCTCCGCCTCCCAGGTTCAAGTGATTCTCCTGCCTCAGCCTCCTGAGTAACTGGGATTACAGGTGCACGCCACCACTCCTGGCTAATTTTTCTGTATTTTTAGTAGAAACAGGGTTTCTCCATGTTAGCCAGTGGTCTCAAACTGTTGAGCTCAGGTGATCTGCCCACCTCGGCCTCCCAAAGTGCTGGGATTACAGGCATGAGCCACCACCCTGGCCCCAATCACCCTTTAAAAGCCCCGTCTCTTAATACCATTACATTGAGTTTCAGCAGGGACAAACACCCAAATGATGCAGAAGCCACTGTAGCTATCCTGGTGAGAGACACAGGTGGCTTGAACTAAGATGGTATCAGTGGAAATAATGCAAAATGACTACATGGAGGTATATTTTAGAGGTAGAATTTGATGATTGATTGATTGATTGTGGAGGGTGAGGGTTAATACTATGTGAAGGATGATCCCAGGCTTGGGGCAGGCTGATTTGGGATGAACATGAGTTCAGTTTTGGATAAGCTCATTTAGAGATAGATGCCTATGAGATAAACAGAGATGCTGATATAAGTAGCATGTAGAATTTATAATATGGCATTCAGAAAAAAGTTCTGGGCTAGTGAAATAAGTGTAGGATCCATTGGAAAGTGAATGGAACTGGAAACCATGGGAGGGGGTGAGATCATTTAGCGAGAAAGTGTAAAATGAAAAGGAAGGTGGTTCAGGAGCAGGCCCAGAGGGTTCCAACCATTAAAAGTAGGTTGGAAGAAGAGAATCCCTAAAGGAAGCTAGGAAGAATTAATCAGATGTGAAGAAGGTAAAGCAAGAGAAAGGAGAAAGAAGGCAGTGTTTGGTGATGTGGAATGTTGCTGAGATATCAAGAAAGTTGAAGACTGAGTATCGCTCCTTGGATTCAATAAAGCAATTGATAGTACTGGTAATGAAGATTGAATCAAATTGAAGAGGACAGTCAGTCTGTCAGTCAGAAAGTCAAATAATGTTATTAAACATGAGCCTGTGCCAAGCATATTTTTGGATACCACAAATACAACGGGAAAGAGATAGACACAGCCTTGCTCTCCAGAAGCCTATATTCTCATGAGAGGGAAGGAAGAAAGAGCAAACTTGGCTGCCGAAGGGAAGGATCTGTAAGAGAGATGAGCTTAGCTATAGAGGAAAGGGAGTAGGCAATGAAGTGAGTTTCTAAGATGAAACCGAACATGTGTGGAAGATGTGGCCATTGCCAGGAAGAGGGGACACTTTCTCCACCCCAGCAAGATGGAAGAAGAAAGTGATGAATGCAGACAGACCTTTGCCAAGATGGCTCAGGAAGCTGGGAGGGTTTCCTTCTTGCCAGATTTTTCTATCTATAAAAGAGATGGGGGGTGTCCATTAGCTGAGGGTATAGGGGGTGGAATTTGAGGATGAGTGGTGAAGGAATGTAATGGCTATTTTGGAGAAGAGGGTGCAATGAGCTAACTGAAATACATCATGAGACTTCCAGGAATTGTTGAGAATCCCAAGTGCATTGGTGATTTGTGAGTTTATTATGATGCCAACAGGACCAGTGGTGAGAGTTTCTGCAGCAACTCTTAGCCACCCAAAGGCAGCCTCAGAACAGTAGTGTTGGTCAGCTTCATCTGGAACTGAAGTTTAGCCAGGCACATGCATTAGGACAAAGGGGCTAGGACACTCAGGGTATTCGTCAGAGAGTCATCGCAAGGGGGGGACAAAATAATCGAGTGTAGATCAGGAGAGATGGGCAACATAGGGTCAACAGGAGGAAATTTGGGAGAGGGTCTGTAGGTCAGAGGTCTTGATGAGGTTGAAGAACAGTTGCACTGAAGAAGCCTGAGCAGGTAAGCTGGAAGATTAGTCAAGGTTGGCTAGAGCATCTGAACTAGTGATTTTGGAGATCATGTGGTTTGGGATGATGACACTGACTCCTCTATGACCTGACCCTAGGAGTGGCTGGATGAGGTGGGAGTGACAAGTAGATCACTGGGGTCCAAGAATGAACAAGTCAGAGTGTTGGCTGGGCCACCCATGTAGAGGCTACAATTGCCTGTGATGGTAGGAGCTGATGGGGAGAGACTGATCCAGGACCTGCTGGGCAATCGCAGAAAACAGCTGGTGGGCTGGTGGGTGATCCCAAGGTGGAGAAGGACAGAGCCACATGGCAGAAGTCTTGAAGGAGGGGGGCTTTTTACAAGACACAAGGAGGCACAGTGGAGACAAAAAGAAAGCAGCTCCACTGGATCGAAGAGAATGCCCACACTTCATTCACTCCATGGCTGCAGGGAGATGGTGTCCTTGAGAACAGCCCAGCCTCAGTTAAGGATGGGATGGGGGCCATAGATGGGATTCTCTGGGAAGCAGACTGGGACAGGGTTTAGTGTTCAGGGTGTTTATTAAGAAATATTCTTGAGTTCAACACCTAAGGGTGTGATGGGGAGGAAGCAGCATCGGGCAGAGAGAGAAGTAGAGCTGGGATGCAGGCCCTTGGCTAACCCCACAGGGAGCTCTGGAGGGAAAATGGTCCATCCATCAGAGTTGTCCTGCACTGAACCAAAATAACCAGGTTTTTATACCTTCACATTGATTAGACATCGGACATGGCATGCCCTTGGGCAAGGCAGCTCTCTGCAGCTAAGGTGGTCCTCCAAGGGGGCTAACGGCTAAAGGCAGGCCACTGGCCACCCTGCCAGCTGCTGGGGCAACAAGTCCCTCCTTGGTGGAGAATCTGGGTGGTGCATCTGCATGTCCCCCTGCAAGTAATGAAGGGAGTCGTCTGTCCACTGAGCAGAAGCCCTGAGGCCCAGTCAGAGGGTGTGAGGTTTGGGAAGGAGAAGAGTGGGTACTGTCATGTGTGAGTAGTTGAACACAGTTCTAGAGCACTTCAGAAGCACAGCCCCCAGAGCTAGCAAAGCCGGGGGTGGCTGGAGCATGGCAGACAGGAAGTGAACAGACTTAGACTGCAGCCCACATTCTGCCACTAATTAGTTGTGTGACCTTGAGCAGGTCCCTTGACCTCTCTGGCCTTAGACTCCTGAACAGATAAATGAGAGGAAGAGAGAACCTAGACAATCTCTGAGGTGTATTCGGAGCCAATCTAAAGGAATCTCTCAACCTAGAAGGAAATCACTGGGGTGGGGAAGATTCTGAAGCCTGTTTTCCCCTCCCAGAAGGTCCCAAAAGGCAATCCAGGGCCACCCAGGGTGCTCACTGTGCCCAAGCCTGCCACTCCCCGCTGCTCCCACTCTCTCAGGCTCTAGCTGCAAATTGGTTCACATGATGAATGCAAGCTGCCTGAATCACTCATAGGATGGCTTGAGAAAAAGCAATTAAATGCTTTCTTAATTGTAGGATGGCAAGAGGTTAATGAGTTACTATAAAAACCAGTCCCTACCATCTGGTGGCTGTCACCAAAGCCCACATGCAGGGAGAGATCCCAATTTGTAAGACAGAACAACAGGATCACTCCAAGTCAAGAGAAGGGATGCAGGCATGAGGTGCTGAGGCTGGGGGCCCCGAGCTCCAGAGCCCAGTTAGCATGTCCCTGGCAGTCCCAAGTCCTAGCTGCAAGGCGGTTCAAAACCAAGATGGAGGAAAACACAGACAGGGAGCCAAACATTTATCAGTTCAGACCCCGTTTTTCTCTAAGATCCAGCTTTTGCAAGGGATGGCCCTGACAGCCACTTTGCTCAGCATGAGCCAGGAGAAGGAGAGAGAAAAGTGACAGACTAAGGGAGAGCCCGGCCAAGCTGAGAGAGGGACGGACAGAGGCAGGGACTGGCAGGCCCGACGAAGACAAAAGACAAAACAGCCCAGACAGACAAGAGACAAACGGAAAGGAGGAGAATTGAAATGCTCAGAGATGAAAACAGACGGTGACAAGTTGTGAACTTGAGAAGCAGATGAAAGGGCAGGTAATTTTCTACAATCAGAGACAGGAAAAAAACTTCTGAGGGTTTTGCTTTGTTCTGTGCAAACGTCCCTTCAGTATTCCTCAGCCCTCTGCGTCATCAAGAGAAATGGCCCTTCTCCCTCGGTGGATGTGAAGAGGAAATATAGAGCAGGTAAGCCCCTCCTCTGCACACAACCACCATATGCACACATACACACCTTTGAGGACAAAGCAGGTCTAGGTCTCTCTCTTTTTTTTTTTTTTTGCCCATGCCCCAGAGTAAACAAACAAACAAAAAACAGGGATCTACAGCTGGAAGATTCCAGCATCTCCCTCTTCCACATTATCTTGAGTCTTCAATTTTCTTTCTCCTCCCTCCTACTCCAGTCCATTTGGCCAACTCCCTTCTCAGGAGACTGCCCCTGTGGTACTGGGAAGAGAAGTTGGACCAATAATCCATTCATTTTACGAGAGATTAGAGATTCCCCTAAAATCTGTATGAGAACTTAGGAAGAGGGTTGCTGGTGTTGCAAAATAAAATGAGAGTTTGAAATTCCTGATCTACACTCTGTATTCAACCAGTATAAGAGTTGACCATAATTGTCTCTTTAATTTCCAACAATATTCCAGAATCCCAGGGCTGTGTTGGGCCAGCCTCACCTATCCAGCTGGGTTCTCTGGGGACTCATGTCACCTCAGCCTCCCAGCAGAGGTATGCCAGGTCTTTGAAAAGCTGCCTGATTCTGGTGTCAGCAGCAGCCAGGGTCCAGCAGCTGCACAGCAGCAGTGCCAGTAGGCGGCATCCAGGACCCAGCAGGGTGCCAGCAACGGTGTCCTCACTGGCCTGTTCTGGGATATGATTCTGCCTTTTGTTCCTGTACTTTTGAAGGCCTGAGTGCTCCTCTTTCTGGTGATTCTGTGAGCCACTCAGTAGCTTTTCTGCTTCAAAACAAAAAGAGCCAGCATGCACACACATGCACTCATGCCAAGAGCAAGAAAGAGAGACGGAGACTGGAGGAGAGGGAGAAGTTGAGAGAGAGAGAGAGAGATGGAGAGATGCAGAGATGGAGAGAGAGAGACAGAAACAAATGGAGAGAGACAGAGACAAAGAGACTGGAGAGAGAGACACATAGAGACAGAGACAGAAGGAGAGAGAGACACAGAGATAGAGACAGAAACAAATGGAGAGAGAGACAGAGACAAATGGAGACACAGAGAGATGCAGAGACAGAGACAGATGGAGAGACAGGGACAGAGACAGATGGAGAGAGAGACAGACACAGATGGAGAGAGATAGAAACAAATGGAGAGAGATAGAGATAGAAACAGATGGAGAGAGACAGAGAGATAGAGACAGGGGCAGACAGGTGGAGAGAGATGGGGAGAGACAAGAAAGACAGAGGCAGAGACGGAGAAAATAAGACCCTAGTTCTTAAAACTCAGTCATTAAGTCATGGGCACTGGTCTCAACCCCTCATCTGCTTCCTCTGGACTGAGCCTCCTCTCCCAGCCACACTCCTTGGAGGCCCCGCCAGGTCAGACTTTGAGTTTTGTCCTCTGGCTTTACATTTCACTTCTCAGGCTGCAACCAATACCAATACCAATACCCCCTGCTCCTATTAGCAGCCTCCCTCCTACTGCTGCTCCACACCTCCCCTGACACCGCATGCCTGTGTGCACACACACACAACAGTACACACAGCAACTCGCACACACACCACAGCACACACATAGCTCACACACACACAGAACACACAACTTGCACACAAACAGCTCACACACACACCACAGTGCACACACACAGCACAGCACACATAACTTACAAACACACCACAGCACACACACAGCAGCTCTCACACACACACACCACAGCACACACAATAGCTCACACACACGCCGCAGCACACACACAAACCACAGCACACAAACACTACAGCACACACACACACAGCACATACACCACAGCGCACACACACAACAGCACATACACGACAGTGCACATGCACAACAGCACACACACAATAGTTCACACACACAGCATACACACACCAGTGCACACACATACCACAGCGCACACACACACCACACACAGCACATACACACCACAGCATACACACAATAGCTCACACACACCAGTCCATACACACACACGCCACAGCACACACACCACAGTCCACACAAACAGCACATACACAGCAGCTCACATATACCACAGTATGCACAATAGCCCATGCACACCACAGCACACACACAACACATACACTCTACGACACACATACACACAACACACACCCCTCCCCCCACCTACACACAAACATACACTCTTATTTTTGCCCCTGTTCCATCTGGCATTTTCTGGAAGTCATTGCTGGAAGTTGACGCGTTCCACCCTCCAGTCCAGGCTGCCTGTGTTCCGTCCTCCACAGCAAGCCTGCGGGTGCAGGAAATGAGAGGCCACAGGGTTGTGGGCTGGAGACAGAAGGGGAGGGAGGGGAAGGCAAGCAGTAGTCTGAGTCTGAGCTGTCACGTGGAGACAAATCAAATGCCACCGCAGAGTTTACTCGAGTTTAAAACATGGGAAATGAGCACCCCAAACATTGGACCCAAAGATTTTCCTCTCAGTTACCACTTTTGAGGAGTAATTTCCACCCAAGTGTGGCGTATGCACAGCCAGGTGTCACTGCCAAGCCATTTGATGCCCCCGAATTCCTTTTGAGGCACCACCTGCCTTTCTTCTTTGGCGCAAGCTGGGTGCTGCTTTGTGAAGAAGGCAGCTCAGATGTCTCTTGGAATGAATACATCAGAGGAAAGAGTTCAGTTAGAGGACTGATCCTGAACATTTCAGTGAATTTCAGTAAGCTCAACCCCGTGAGAAAACACTCAAACAGAATAAGCCACCCACAGATGAGTCTAAAACAAAATATAAACAAATGCAAGATGCCGGGGAACATTCTGTGTACACCAGTGTCAGGGAGCTCAAGGTAAAAGACAGCTGGCTGCCGAGAGGTGAAGTTAAAATGCGTGTGTCCCCTAGACGTAGCTCCCTCAGTGACTTGCCATGGGTGGCTGCTACCACTCCTCTCAACCCTGGTCCTAACCACCCAATCACAAGTTCACACCGGTCAGATACCCAGGGCTGGCTGCTGTTGATGCGACTCCCTCTGACATCCTCTGGCGTGGCAGGTGAGGACTGGGGCCCTGGAGTAAGAAGGCTTGAGGTTTGAATCCTGGCACCATTGCCTGGGGACCAGCCTGCCTTCTCTGTGTGCCCGCTTAAATGGGGATAGGAACCGTAACTCTCACCATATTCTTAAGGGGATTAGGTAAGTTGATCTGTATGAAGGTGTATCAGCCCAGGTTCAACCAAAGAATAGAACCAGTAGGAGATATAGATTAAGAGATTTATCTCAGGCGATCGGCTTATGCAATTGTGGATCTGGCTAAGCAAGTCTGGAATCTGTAGGGCAGCCCATCAGGAAAGGCAGGCTAGAACTCTCAGGCATAGGCTGAAGCCACCGTCCACAAGTAGAATTTCTTCTCCTTCACGGAAGCCTCGGTTCTACTCTTAAGGCCTTTCCATTGATTGAATCAAGCCCACTCAGATTGTCTAGAATAATTCCTTTTATGTAAAGTCACTGACTTTGGACTTTAATGGCTTCTATAAAAGACCTTCACAGCAACACCTACATGAGTGTTTAAATAACTGGAGACCCTGGCCAGGGCAAGGTGACATGTAAGACTGACTGTCACAGAAGGATTAGCACAATGGCTGGCTCATGGTAATTATCCACTCAATAAAGCTCAGCTGTGATTTTTTTTTTTTTTTTTTTTTTTTGAGGATTCTAAAGCATTCACTGATGAAGTTGACAAAATAAGTCAAGCATTTCCCCTTTTTAGTTCTCATCATACATGGCCAATAGCGCCCTCTTCCTCACTTCCAAAATCGTTCCAACTTCTTTGGAATTCCTCAGTTCCAAAGAAGGCTGAAGGCTCATCCCAAGAAGCCAAAAGGAAGGTGACTTATTTTTCAGACATTCTCAGCCACATTTCCTGAACACACTGTGCCAGACTAGCACCACGGTTACAGATACAGATGCAGGTACATGTTGGTCCCCACCCTCCTGGATCCTGGGTGCAGGGTCCCACTCTCCTTCTGTTCTCTTCCTTGACCAGATGCCTCCCGCTGGGCCTACTGCAGTACCCAGGGCCTCCTCCTACAGCTGTCCCACAAAGGCTCTGGACCAAAGGAGACAGACAGGTAGAAATCCAGCCCATGCTCTGATTGGTGCATCTGCCCAGAGGGCCACCTTTTCTCATCACTCAGAGGAGCCATGAAAGCTAGTGATGGCCAGTGCAATGCCTGCATGGCATAGCTGAATTTCTACTGGGTCCTGACTCTGCTTGTCTTTGAGAAACAGGATGCCTGCAATAAAAAGTTCCCTTTGTAACCAGACCAACTGAGAGTGGTTAGAGCCAAGATAGCCCACCCTCAGGCTTCATTCTAATCTCATCTCCTTGCTAAATGATGCTCCCACCAGTGCCATGACAGGTTGACAATCACCATGACAATGACTGGAAGAAGCCATCAAAGGACAAAAAGGAAGGCAGCCCTTCAGCTCCAAGGCAGTTCACCACCCAATTCCAGAAAATATGGGAATATTCCTCCCCTGGCTTTTAACATCCAACTCCTTCATGAGAGAAAATCCTATATTCTCACCCCTTCACCCCTCACTTGTTGAGAGGTCGATTTGTGAGCCAGGCTCCCGCTCCTCCAATTCCATGGCCATTGAATCAGTCCCGCACTGCTTGACACTCACTTTCGGCTTTGTGTATATTGGCTTCATGACACCAAACAGGGAAAGACCCCATCTTTCGGAGGACCAGCTTTGTCCCCTGGCAGCACATATAACCACAGACCATTCTCCTACTGACAGAAGGGGGCTCCTCCAGGAGGCCACATTCTCTTTAAAAGGGAACGTCCCATTTCCAGCCACAGGGTTCACATGTGATGCAGTGAAGAGCATCTCTCAGCCTCCCAAAGCAATTCTCAATTCTCATCTACAGGGCCTCCTAAGCACCGATCTTGGTGGCCACTGCCCTCCCTTGCACATCCCCAATTCCCCCATCCTGTTTCTTCCCAAGTCTCAGAGAAGTGATGCTCTGCCCTGTGGCCATGGTCATCCCACACCTGCACCTGAGCCTGAAGCTGGTCTGCTCACAGGCATGGGGATAGCGCCCACTAACCTAGGATGAACCAGTCCCCAGATCCATGACGAGCCTCCTAGTCTACCTTCGTTCCATTCACATTTGCCCCGATGAATCCATAAGGCCCCAGGAAGTCCCCCATGCCCTTTCCGGAGCCTGACTTGGGTTATGGCAAACCTGGGGTCCAGTCCCAGTTCTCCTAACTTACTAGTTATAAGAGCTTGGCGAAGTCAATTAACCTTTCTGAGCTTGAATTCCTCCTCTACAAAATAAGGATGATCATAAAATTCACTCCAAGGAGCTGCCATGAGAAACAAGTGAAATATTGCAGAAGAACCGCCTGACAGCCAGCCACGGTGGTTCACACCTGTAAACTCAGCACTTTGAGAAGCCGAGGCAGGCAGATCACCTGAGGTCAGGAGTTCGAGACCAGGCTGGCCAACATGGTGAAAGCCCATCTCTACTAAAAATACAAAAATTACCCCGGCATGGTAGCACATGCCTGTAGTCCCAGCTACTCGGGAGGCTGAGACAGGAGAATCGCTTGAGCCCGGGAATCAGAGGTTACGGTAAGCCAAGATCACGCCACTGTACTCCAGCTTAGGCAACAGAGTGACACTCCATCTCAAAATTAGAAAAAAAAAAAGAAAGAAAAAAAAAAAAAAGAGCTGCCTGACACATGGTATCCAATCTGTCTCCTGCCTGCCCAGCCTCTCTGGCTGATCTCGCTGCCTACCCTTCCTCCAACCTTATCTTTATCAGGTATGTGAAACCCACACTGAACCCATCTGACTTTATGATATCCTAGCTCCAGCCAAGTTCACCCCCCTTTGCCTCACCATGGCATTGGGTAAAAGAATGTGTTTGGCCTGGCATCTGGTGGGGAAGGCTTCCAGTAAGCAAAGCTTGAATTCAGAGTTAGGATCAAAGTGGGGAACATGGAGAGTTTTATCACAGGAACTCATTTCATGGGAGAATGAGAAGTAGGTGTAGTCTCCCCACTCCCCCGTCTCTTCTCCTGCCTCCAACAATATGGGGGTGGTGTAGAGGACCCCAGTCTGTAGGGAACCCACGCACAGGAGGAAGCACTTTGCCACCTGCCAAGCACTGTATCAATGTTCATCATGATTAGAACTTAATTCCTGCCAGCTCCTTGTAAACACAGCCCTCTAGGGAGGATGGAGCTGGCTCTTCCCACCTGGCCTTGGAGAAATCTGCTTCTCTTCAGAATCTGAGCACAGCAGCTAAAGAACTTCCTTCCAGATGTGGAACCGTCAGGACCCTCACCCCCTTCTGCTGCAGAAAGGTCTAATCTGGGCAGGTTTTGAAATCTCAGCACTGCTGAGATCTGGGGCTGGATGATTCTTTGTGGTAGAGGGACTTTGTGTGCATTGCAGGATGTTCAGCAGCATCCCTGGCCTCTGCTCACTAGATACCAGTAGCACTCCCTCCCCAGTTGTAACAACCAAAAGCATTTCCAGACATTATAAAATGGGGAGCAATGACCTTTGACTGAGAACCACTGGCCTAGGCCTGTCCAAGCTGCTTTACATGGCTCTCATGGCCCACTGTGGCGTGGCCACTGCCTTCCAGCTTCAGCACTTACCTCTGTGGCCAGGTTGTGCTGAACTACTCTGAGCTTCCAGCAGCATGCGCCAGACAGTCCACAGAGCCCCAGGTGCCTGCCATGCCCGGAGCATCCCTGTGTGTCAAGCGGCTATAGATCTCGTGGCCACCAGCAAATGGACCAGGATCTCCACCCTGGACTTGCCTCCTATGTCATCCCCTAATCAAGTCAGGGCACTTCAATTGTATGGTGACTCCCCATCCCTGACCAGGGTTGCTCTCTGGGTTTGGAGGATTGGAGCAGGATGTCATGGAAACAGGATACTGGGAAGAAAACCAGGAGAGAAGCAAATGCAGCATGGATGGCATGGGAGGCAGAAGCTTCCTAGAATCGACAAGATGGCCAGTCCACCCCATCAGCCCCTTCCACATTGTCTACAGAGGCAATAGGCCACTTTTTCAATCACGCATTTTGTTGTTGTTCTTGTTGTTTGAGTCAGGGTCTCACTCTGTTGACCAGGCTAGGGTACAGTGGCATGATCATAGCTCACTGCAGCCTTGGTGATTTATCTACCACTATATAGTAACTCAGCTCTGCTTCCAAACTGAGATTTTTGTTTCTGGCATAAACTGGGTGTTATTTTTCAAGGATGTATTCTTATCACCAGATGGGGTCATTTTCTATTTTATTCAAGTCAATCGATAATGAAAAATAAATAAAAACAAAGGACTGAGAAGGCCGTTTTCTTTTTTAAATCTCACTACTTTTTTGGAAGAAACTAATCTATTCCCACTTCCCCTCCAGTCATCACCACCAAATTAATCTTTTTATTTTTTTGATAATGTAGACATATATATAAATAATATAGGTTATATACATTCACATATATTTTAACCAAAATGCAGTTATGCTACATCTTGCTGCAATTTGCTGTTTTATCACTTAACATTTAAACTTTATCTGTGACCCTTTCCAAGTGGGTGCCTCAGGAAACCCACTGCCTCATTCTAATGCCAGCTCTGACTTCTCACAGCTGTGTGACCTCGTGCAGGCTAATAACCTTTCTGGGCCTCTTGTGCATCATGTGGATGACAACATTGCCTACTTCATAAAGTTGTTGAGAGGGTTAAATGAGGTGACATATATAAAACACTCACATCAGTGCCCAGCACAAGACAAATGCTCGGAAAACAGCTCTTACTACACAAGTCTACCTCATTTCTTTCAGAGACTAGAATTTCATTGCCTAGATATTCCTTAATTTATCTGACCCATGTTCTTTGATGGAAATTTAAACTTTTAGAAACTTGGCTCTTAAAATAAGCAGTAATACAGTGAATATCCTTGGACATATATCTTTATACATTTATGCTACAATTTTTGGAGGGTAAATTTCTGGAGGAGAGACCGCCAGATTATTCAGTAAGCACATTTTAGGTTGATACGTCTTTTACTAAATTTCCCTTCGAAGGTGTGTGGCACTTTACCAGCAGTGTGTGTGTGTTGTGTTCATTTCTTCATTCTCACCAGTTCTTTTTAACTGGACAAGCAAAAACTAATGCTGCATTGCTGTTTTCATTTACATTTCTTTAGGCATTAGTGAGGCTATCTTGTAATTGTTTCCTCTTTAATGAAGTGGTTGTATATAACGTGTGTGTGTGTGTGTGTATGTGTGTGTGTTGCCCACTTGTCCATTTTTGCTGTTTCTGATCAATTTGAAGGAATACATTCTATAGTGTGGACATTCACAGTTTTCCTGCTAGAATATGTAGCAAATACTTTCTCCCAGACTGTAATTTATGTTTTGATTTATTTAAGGTACCTTTGACAATACAGTTTGGGTTTTTTTCTTTTTAGGTGGTCCAATCTGCCAAACTTTTCTATTGTGGTTTCTGGGTTTGGTGTTAGATTAAGAAAGGCCTGGTCGGGCGCAGTGGCTCACACCTGTAATCCCAGCACTTCGGGAGGCCGAGGCGGGTGGATCACCTGAGGTCAGGAGTTCGAGACCAGCCTGGCCAACATGGTGAAACTCCGTCTCTACTATAAATACCAAAAATTAGCAGGGCGTGGTGGCAGGCGCCTGTAATCCCAGCTACTCAGGAGGCTGAGCAGGAGAATTGCTTGAACCTGAGAAGCAGAGGTTGCAGTGAGCTGAGATCACACCATTGCACTCCAGCCTGGGCAACAAGAGCAAAACTCCGTCTCAAAAAAAAAAAAAAGAAAGTCCTTTTCCCCACCACTACCCTCCCAAAACACACACACACACACACACACATATACAGTTTGTTAATAATTTTAATGTGCAGTTCTTTAATTTATCTGGGACTTCCTATTGTGCACATTACAAGGTAGATGCCCGATTTTATCCTTTTGCATGTAGATAGTGATTTCTGCCATAGCTCAAAGTGTCTCTAGACTCCAAGTGGCTCCCCTATAGGACTAAGGCTCTCTGAACTTGAGTCGGTCTAGCCTGGGCAGGAAGGTGGGCTGCCGAGGAAGCAGTTCCCTCCCCCGTCCTTCCTCCCTTTCCATTTATTGTATCCAGCGACAGCCAGTGTTGGAGGCTCCTCCACTCAGACAGCAGGGGAGCAAGAGGGCTGCCGAGAGAGCTGTGAACACTACATCACTTGAACACAGCATTACGGGAATGGTCAGAGCCTGAGCTACAGTTGTCCTGGGAACGCAGTAACTTATGTGCCCAGAGAAATCATTTTCCTGGAAGATGCATTTTAGGCAGCACGGAGGCTCAGGTGACCCTTATATCATCTGGTCACAGGTTTCTGTGGATTTACACATGCTGGCTTCCCACAACAGAAAGAAATCTAATTACCGGTGGAATAACTTACAGGTAAGGGGACCTCCAGTGGGCGCCCAGCCTGGCTGTAAATCCTCAGAGCTAGATCCTGAGGAAAGTGAGCTGGTGCTCGGACCTGGACACCTCGCAGCTCAGAGGACAGCCACCACCTCGAACCCGGGGCTGGGTGGGAGAGCAAATGGGTGGCAGAGCACATGTGGGTTTCCAGGGCTTGGAAAGGTAAAGAACATCAGACTGGGCCTCCAAATGCCTGGGCTCTTTCTGCTACTAACTGCCAGGATGACCATAGCTTCTCATTTAACATATTTTCTCAGTTTCCCTGTGCTAGATTATTGGTTAGCAGGTATTAAGCCACATCCCAGGGGCCATGTGATATACTTTAAATACATATCCCCAGTTTGCACAACAGCCCTGGAAAATGAGAATTAGGATTCCCATTTGACATATGTAGAAACAAGATCCGAGAGGTCAAGTGGATTCGTTCAGAGTGACTTTGGAAGAAAGTGGCAGAGCTAAAATTGCAATCCTCTCACCCAAGCCTCACACTGCAGCGTGTTCCACAGGATCCATGTTTGTGAGTGTGGTGGGCAGGGCCCTGTGCTGCTGGGGGACCTTAGAATGTGCATGAGGAAGCTTCCCTGGGCCTCTCACAAAGACCTTGGGGTGACTCCCAGGACTTCTCCCTTCCTTGGCCTCGGCGTGGCCTTCGCTCCAGTGACACGTATACAAGGCAGCCGTGGCCTGGTCTGCACAGTTGCCCGGCATCCTGCTCCAAGGCCTTCTGCCATGCCAAGAACCACATCCTTCTCTGGCTATGCGTAAAGATGAGAGGGCCGGGCACGGTGGCTCATGCCTATAATCCCAACGCTTTGGGAGGCCAAGGTGGGCAGATCATGAGGTCAGGAGTTCGAGACCAGCCTGGCCAACAAAGTGAAACCCTGTCTCTACTAAAGATACAAAAAATTAGCCGGACATGGGGTCATACGCCTGTAATCCCAGCTACCTGGGAGGCTGAGGCAGGAGAATCGCTTGAACCCTGGAGGTGGAGGTTGCAGTGAGCCGAGATCGCGCCATTGCACTCTAGCCTGGGCTATAGAGAAGAGACTCCATCTAAAAAAAAAAAAAAAAATGAAGAGAGTACGCAGGCCTGCCCAAACAGCCCAAACATTGGCAGGGGCCAGGGAAATTGACAAATGGGGACCACATACCATGTGTCTACATGTGTGAGTTACCACTCAGGCTGCCATCTCATAACACATGATGTTCTGCTGCTACCTTGACCCACAAATACCTTCATAACAATTTTAAAGGATGAATAAAGTTGTGGTTTTTAGATACGACTGAAAGTCTTAGCAATATCAAAGATGGATTCAATTATTGTACATGTCTGTGCAGCCCATTGATGGATGGGCTGTTGATATTTGGATGAGTAATAAAATAGAGACATAATCCATATATTATTTCATATTAATATACACTTTTTGCCTTCATTTTAGCAAAGTCTTCAAGTACATTAATCCTTACAAAACTTTGTTCCATTGATAATAATTGTCAAAGATTTAAAAATAAAGTATAACTGTATTCAAAGAGAATAAACTGTGATTATACTTTTATTTTTTAAATATCTTAAAGTTATGTACAAATTGAATATTTTTCAAATATGATTTCAGCAAGTTATTTTTCTTCTAAAATATTCTAAATTGCTATAAAAAGCAAAATATAAATCATAATTAATGGATATGAATATTTTTAACCAAAGGTACTTAAAGCTGAAACAAACATTTAAAATTAGATATTAAATATTTTTATACAAATAAAAATTTACAATTCTAGTATTCAATATATGTTTGCCAATGTTACACTTTACACGTCACGTCTTGAGCTGCATACATAGTAATTTAAGAGTAATACGAATCATTGATTATTGCAAAATATGCCTCAGCATCCATATGCAAGTGTTGTGAATTCTGTGTTCATTCTTATCTCCAGAACCAGGAATTAGAACATGCAGAGAAGCAAGAAAATGAATGTTTGGCACTACTGGGAAACAATAATTTGTTATACAAGAATCTATTGCATTCAAGCTGAGAGGAAGGATTTGACAAACTCATTAATTTGCCTTTTCTCTTACCCAAGCACTTCTGCTCAAATTCTCCCTGTTCTCCGAAGCAGTGTCTCTGAGGCTGTTGGAGTGAACAACACACAGCCTTCATGGTGTTTGATGCAGTTTTCCAGGACCCAAGGCAAGAAATGTGCGGAAGGGTTTCCCTGGGGTCTGAATGGTCATAGTCATGAGAGCTGGTCCTTAGAGTTGCAGGTTGTGCTGGGCTAGCATTGAGCTTCAGATTCTAAGTGTCGAGGCAGCCATGCGTTCTTTAGTGTGTGTGTGTGTGTGTGTGTGTGTGTGTGTGTGTGTGTGTGTGTGTGTGTGTGTGTGATATGCAGGGGCCTCTAAAGTATAAAGTGCAAAGCACAAGCTCCTCTATTCAGTGGCTCCCAGTGGTGTGGAAAAACAGAGGGTTCAGAGGAGGGTTGGGGTCCCCAAGACCACACCTAGGTTTGACATTTCTTTGGAGGACTCAGGAGACTCAGCAAAGAGTCACACTCATGGCTATGATTTATTATACCAAAAAGATACAGCGCCAAATCCCCAAAGAGAAAGGCCCTTGGGGCAAAGTCTAGAGGAAACCAGGAATAAGTTTCCAAGAATCCTCTCCCAGGGAGTTGCACAAGACAAGCTTAATTCTTCTAGCAAGGAGTAGTGAGAACACATGTCAAATGTCTACCAAGGAAGCTCATTAAAGACTCTGTGCCCAGGGTTTCTGTTGCCACTAGAGGGGGAGCTGGTTACATAGGCACCCCTATGTCCAGCACATACCGCAATTCCAGACTCTCAGAAGGACAGCGCTGTTCCACATAAAGCATATTGTTGGGACAGCTTAGGCACAGTGAGCCATTCTTATTAGGGAATGGTGGAAACCCTCCTGAAATCCAAGTTCCCAGATGCCAGCCAAGGGCCAACCTTTCAAAGCAGGCCTTTCCAAGGAGATCAGTCTCAGGCAGCTATGGTGACTCTCTGAACAAGAAGTAACTGGGGTTAAAGGTGGAGGAAGGAGAGCCCTTTTAATTTCATCCACCTTTTAAATTCCATTTCCTGAGGCAGAGGTGAAAGCCGTTGGCCTGAGCAGAATGAGCATTGGAGACCAGCTTCTGGCCTCACACAGATCCATCCAAGCTGTCACGTGCAGTCTGATGTGTTCATTTTCACCTGGAATAACATCTGCTGTGTACAACGTAGACCGTAATTTATTTATCTAGTCTCCTAGAGGATACTAACAGTATGACAGCATTTTTATTAAGCAAACCTAAACAATATGCTGTTTAAGAACGTCATAGGTGGTTATTTTTAAATGCAAGGGAATTCAGAGTAACTCTTATCTGAGGAAGGGAGGGAGCCATGGGCTGAGATCAGAGAGGAGCACACAGTTATTAGTAATGTTCTTAAGGTGGGCAGTGAGTTCACAAGTTGACTTTATAATTATAGTTCAGGCCGGGCATGGTGACTCACACCTATAATCCCAGCACTTTGGGAGGCCAAGGTAGGTGGATCACCTGAGGTCAGGAGTTCAAGATGAGCCTGAGCAACATGGTGAAACCCCATCTCCACTAAAAGTACAAAAATTAGTCAGACATGGTGGGACGTGCCTGTAGTCCCAGCTACTCTGGAAGCTGAGGAAAGAGAATCTTTGAACCCAGGAGGTGGAGGCTGCAGTGAGCCAAGTTCGCACCATCGCACTACAGCCTGAGCAATAGAGGGAGACTCCACCTCAAAAAACATAAAATAAAATAATTATAGTTCATAATTTTACATAAGTGATGAATACATATGTTCTTTCAAATGTACCAAAAATATGCACTAAAGCATTTTAACTTTTTTTTTTTTTTTTTGAGACAGAGTTTTGCTCTGTGGCCAGGCTGGAGTTCAGTGGCACAATCTTGGCTCACTGCAACCTCCACCTCCCAGGTTCAAGTGATTCTCCTGCCTCAGCCTCCCGAGTAGCTGGGACTACAAGTGTGTGCCACCATGCCCAGCTAATTTTTGTATTTTTAGTAGAGACAGTGTTTCACCATGTTGGCCAGGATGGTCTCAATCTCTTGACCTTGTGATCTGCCCACCTTGGCCTCCCAAAGTACTGGGATTACAGGTGTGAGCCACCGCACCCGGCCGGCATTTTAACTTTTTAAAATTTACCATCTGGGTAATGGTGAGGTGCCCTTCCTAACTATGGAATTCTCAGGGCTGGCTACCATCAAAACTAACAAACATTATAATTTAATTGACATAGAAACCCATTATCATCTCCAATCAAGTGACATCAAGCTTAATATTTTTTATTACTGGCTGCTCATTTTTCTCACTGAGGATCTCATTTTGTGAATGAATTCAATTTTGTGAATCAACTCAATTTTATTACTCAATATTTTATTGTTTAATTCTTAGGGGAATAACATTATTTCATTTTCAGTATCTTTATTTTTACAGTTATGCTTTATTTATGATAAATGACTCTGGTCTTCTATTTATGGTAGAGATGCAAATGCTTCCTTTTAAAATAAGTTTACACAAGCTAAAAGTTGAGACAAATTAAATACAAACATTAATCAAATGATAGCACAAGCAGTATAGGAATGTGACGATAGTTGTCAAAGAGTTGAACGAAAGTGCTGGACAACACTGGCTGGTATGCAAATATCTAGCATCCAAGTTATCTTTGCTAGATCCAATGGGGGGCCAGAGAGTTACAAAGATGTGTATGTGTGTGCTTGTGTGCGTGTAACGTGATCTTTTTCCTCAGAGAGTTTCCACCTAGGAAAGCAACACACTTACCAATAAGGAAACAGTCACCGGTAAGGCCTCAGTGTCAGTGCCTGCAGGAGGCACATGTCAACCTGAAATCGGGAAAGGGCCAGGCTTTTAAGAAGACAGGTGTGAAGCTACAAGTCACAGTGCCTTTCAAAACTCTTCCTAAATATTAGGCTGCAACCAACCCTAGCACTTCCAAGAGTACAAACTTATGGAGTATAAACCAGTTGGCATCACTGGTTTATGGTACTGTATAGGCGTTTCTAATTTTAAAATAAGCCAGCAACATCTGGCAGGATGTAGTAGGGGGCTGTCCCATCTCTGTGCTGTGTATGTCAGGGCTTGCGGAGAAAGGCCCTACGAAGCACGTCCATCCTACCTGCCTATAGAAACGAAGAGCACCGTTCACCAGCTATGAACCACATGTCAAACACACAGACATACATAGTATGTGATGATCATGCTATGTAATGATACCAAGCTCTAAGAGGTAAAGAGCTCAGGAAAGGGATAGTTCACCCTGCAGGAGACTGAATCCGAAAAGGCTCATTAGTCATTATGATTCCTATTGCCTAAAACAGTGCCTAGCACATAGTAGATACTCAACTGATACTTGTTGTAGTAGCGAGTAGGGAAGTGGAAGGATTAAGCTGGCCATGATGAGAGGCTGAATAACGGTCCCCCCAAAGATCCATGTCCCCATCCCTTTCATGGAGCCTATAACTACTACTTTACATGGGAAAAGGGATTTTTCAGATGTGATTAAGTTAAGGCTTCTGAGATGGGGAGATTACCCTGGATTATCCAGATGGGCTCCTAATGTAATTATAAGTATCTTATAAGAGGGAAGCAGGGGAAGATTTCACTACAGGGAGAAGAAAAGGCAATATGACCACTGAGGCAGAGACTGGAGTGATGTGGCCACAAGCCAAGAAATGCCTGCAGCCCTGAGAAGCTGGAAGAGGCCAGGAAAGAGAATTCTCCCTGGGAGCCTCCCAAGGAATCACAGCCCTGCTGCCACCTTGATCTAGGCCTATAAGACTCAGTGTGGATTTTTGGCCACAGAACTGTAAGAGAATAAGTTTCCGTTGTTTTAAGCCACCAAGTTCGTGGTGATTTGTTACAACAGTACAGGAGGCAAAAGCAGCCACGATCTGGGAAGAAGGTAGAGTGAGAGGGAGCTGTGAAAGCTGTCTGGGCAATGCCAAGGACATTAGAGAGCCTAGGGGTTTTGAGCTGAGGCCTCCTAAGATGCAAACAGAGCTTGAGAAAAATGAATCTGTCTTGGCTGTGCAGAATGGATCAAAGGTGGAGAAGCCAGAGGCAGGGAGCTCTGTCAGGAGGTTCTTAAACAGTTCAGAATCACAGGGCTAGAGACAGGCCCCGGGATTAGCGGTGGAAAGGAGAGAAGGAGACCAGTACAAAAGAAATTTCAAAGGCAAAATTGATGGCGCTTAGTGAAAGGCTGAATATAGCAGATGAAGGAGAAATTTCTTCCAGCTGTTAGAGCAGACACCGGCAGAGAGAGGGAAATTGCGGCAAAGGGGGAGACATTTCTAAATGTTTCTAACAATGTTGAGCGGGTTAGTCTAAACTATAGCAGTGCCATGAACTGAGCTGCTCGAAGAGTTGGAGAAACAACTCATGGATCAACCCTTTTTATGGCTGGCCGCCGATGGCAAGAGGAAAATACTAGTGCCTGGGCTCCTTGTTATAAAGTGTGGAAGAATTCTTTCCAGAATTCTTTCCTCCCTTGACCTCTCCTCCCAAGGCCTCGATTTTCAGTGTGGAGGTGGGCAGGGGAATGGAGTGGAAGAGAAGGAGAGGAGTACAGATAGAAAGTAAAAAGGGAGGAAAAAACAATAGCATGGGTCAAACATGGCATAGACATATCCCAGCTGCCCTCTTGCCCAGGCGCTGACCAGTCTCAACAAGCCCGTCAGAATGAGGTCGACGCCTTCACAGCTCCATCGGCAGAGCCCTCTCACTGGGTGCCACTTCCATCCCTGTAGACCTTGAGCGTAAACAACCTTCTTGCCAGAAATGCAAGTGGATTCCGGCATGGTGGAGGACTGCAGAGCAAGGAGAAGTCAGTGGATTGAGCAGGAATTGAACTTGAAACATCTAATTTAGGGTGTATCCTAAAACCAAGCACTACCCACAGCAGGGAGCACTGCCCCAGAATAGTAATCCGTCAACCCTAGAAGCCATCTCCAGAGATCTGGGCTACAGATTGGGAGAATGTGAATCACAACAGTGCCCTGCCCCATGCACTCTGTGATCACCGGCCCCCAATGGGGAATTCTGCCACAATGCCTCCACCAACTATATCGAGAAATTTTCTAAGAAGGCCACAGCTCTGAAGCCTGCCTTTGTGCAGGAGCTGTCGAGTCTCATGGTTCAGCTTGGCTTGGTAAGGGGGAGAGAAAAGGGAAAGAGTTCCCTGCATTTACCACTAGTTATTTACTGTGCATCTCCTGTGTGTCAGGCACCTGCTAGATGCTTAGAATACTCAGTAAATAAGACAAGCCCAGCCCCTGTCCCCATGATGCTGATAAATATTATCAAAAGCAGCCTTTGAAAAAAGCCTGAGTGGAAGCTTGAATCAGAACCAAATCTCTATTTTCCAAAATGATTGAACTGGCAAACGTGCAAATGTTCTCAGGACCAAAACAGGATTTTGTTCCATTTGAGTCTCTCCTCTCTCCAGGGCCTCAAACAACCTGCTGAACAACAGATACTCACATGGCCTGATCTTCTGACAAAGTCCCCTGAGGAATTGCTGAGATTACTGAGAAATCAATTTGATCACACCATTTTCCAGCAATATTACCCTCTTCCTTTCCCAAGCCCCTTCACAGGTTCATCTGCTCATTTGACAATGACTTACTGAGTGCCCGGCCTGTGCCAGGTGTGGATAAAGGGTGCTGCGCTGCCCAGTAGGGCTGCCAGTCCACAGGTGCACACCATTTGTATTAGTCCATTTTCATGCTGCTGATAAAGACATACCCAAGACTGGGTAATTTATACAGGAAAAGGGGTTTAATGGACTTACAATTCCACATGGCTGGGGAGGCCTCACTATCATGGCAGAAGGCAAGGAGGAGCAAGTCATGTCTTACATGGATGGCAGCATGCAAAAAGAGAGCTTGTGCAGGGAAACTCCCGTTTTTAAAACCAGTAGATCTTGTGAGATTTATTCACTATCATGAGAGCAGCACGGGAAAGACCCGCCCCCATGATTCAATCACCTCCCACAACACATGGGAATTCAAGATGAGATTTGGGTGGAGACACAACCAAACCATATCACCATTCATCAGCTCTTGGCTGGGGGACAGGACAGGAGTGACAGCCCTGATCAGACAGGCAGAGAGCTAAGGGTAAACCTGAAGAGGAAAAAAGCCCAGGGTTGGAAAGTGGCAGAGCTGGGGGAAAAAAGCCCAAGATCCCTAATTCCTATTCTAACACCTTCCTCCAACACTCTGTCCAATTTGGCCACTGAGAAACTTTCACGGATGGGCCGTTAGAATTTACCAAGTGTATTCACATCCATGGTCTCAGTTGAGCCCCATGGCAACCCTAAGGTGTGCTTTTGCAACCCCATTTTACAGACAAGTAAATGGAGGCACAAGAAATCTCAGGATTTGTAAAGTTAACCAGCTGGTAGGTTGCCAAATTGAGGCACAAACCCAGGTCTTGTGATTTCAACGTTAGTCGTCTTTTCGCTGGACATCAAACTCTAGCTCTTTGTTCCTGGCATCTTGTCCCCCCACACCAAACCACCAAAAATCATACACACACCCCAATCCCCAAAATAATTAAGTTAAATTAAAAACAGAAATGTCTTTCTCCACTCTAAGATCTGGCAGCAGGCAGCAGGCAATTCTCCCGGGAACACTTAGTGATTTCCAAGGGGAAATCTGACCATCACTAACGTCCAAAGACTCCACCGTGGTTTCAGTTAGGGGCCGGAGCGCTCTGGTACTGGAGGCGAGGGAACAATGGACCGTGCTCCAGGAGAGAAGGTTGACCTCTCTCAGAACCCCCTCTGTTCCTGGCTAATATGTCAATAGCCTCTTAAATGGAACGTTATGTGTCTGGGATTTTACTGTCAGACCCACCCCTTTTTGGTAGGGTTTAGCTTTTTTTTTTTTTTTTAATCTAAAGTTGATTGCCTCTCTCATTATCAAAGCCACCATCCATCTGTTTCCACTTTCTCAAGGGCTGTAGCAAGGAATAGAGCTGGAAATGTGTTTTTACTTGAGGTTTCAGGATTCCCCCTCCTCCCTGCTTGTTGAGGGTTGTTCAAGTTTTAATGTTGTCACTGCAATATGATCTTCCAGTAGTGGGTGGCCCGGCTGTGCCATTTGAAACTAATTTACAGCTTCATCTGAGACTATCATCACTTGAAATTAATTAACCAGAGCAGACCAAAAGTTTATATGATGGGGGGAGGAGGAGAGAACTTTTACCTCGTAAGAAAAGACTCCCCAGACTTTGCAAGATACTGTCCTTGGGTACAAAGAACAGTCTTTACTTTCCTGTCCACCCACCGCTTTTTTGAAACTAAAACACACACATAAGCCATAAAACATTCAGGATGTTGTTTTCTGAAAGCTTTCTTTGGGAAGATAAGAACTCTGTGGCGGTTTTCACAGACCCCGAGCCGTGGCTGTTACCAGGAAGAAAGGTGAGTAGACTCATCACCAGCTGATAGGGATTTCTGCACCCCATAATGAATGCTAGAGATGAAAGAATGGGGAAGCAGGAAAGAGTTGGGTGGGCTGGGCAGGTCTCGGGGCATTTACCACAGTGCCATACAAAACAGATTCTTCACAGGCTGCAACAGGGAGACATCCGTGCCTCTCACATTTGGTAAGTATATAGTGACCCCTTGTTATGTGCCAAGCACTGTGGGTGAAGGAAACACCCTCAAGAGGCTTATATGTTTCATCAAAATGACAACCAATACTTGTAAAGCTCTTGGCAGTCTACGAAGCACTCTTACATACATTCCCACTTAATTCTCACCATGACCCCATGAGGCACATAGTACTATCATTCCATTTGATGAGGAAAGAAGCCCAGGTTCAGAGAAGGCAAGAGCTTTTCCCTGGGTCACACAGTTGGGAAGTGATGGAGCACGAATCCAAACCAAGGTCGGTAACAAAAATCAAATCCTCTTTCCACCAAACCTATAGCTAGGGCTTATAAACACAAAGCAACAGGGACAAAAGGGGCATTAAGTCTTGAGGTACCCCCACATGAATGTGATTAGGAGTCAGCAGGCATCTTATTTTTCTGCAATAAAGGGTTCCAGCCACTGCCATCATGAGATTTGAGCTAGTGATGTGGCCAGAAAAGGCAACTCTCTGACCAGCTCTAGGGAGTTCTGGGCCCTCAACCAGACATAAATCTGTGGGTGACAAAACTATGCACATCATTCTTGGGCTCAATTTGACTTTCTAAAGCTGAAACATGCAGAGTGTTTGGGCGGCAACAGATTATAATCTCTCTGCTCTTAAACACCAACGAGTATGTGAAAGTAATTTGAGAGCCATTAATGGATGCTTGCATAATGCCTGGCTCCTACTAAATACTGAAAACACACTGGCTGTGATTGTGATTCCGCAAATCCTCTCCCTCCTCGAGTCTCAGAGTTGGAAGGAAGGGACCTTAGACACAAAGACTGGTCCCTGATCCAACCAAAAATATGGATATCTATTATAGAATTATATAATCGATTGTAACAGCTAACATTGGGCACTTACTGTGTGGTAAGTGCTCTTCTAGTATTTTGAGCAAATTAATTCTCAGGACAACCCTATGAGGTCTTTGATTACCCCATTGGACAGATAAGGAATCTGCAATAGAGATCAGTGACATATCCTCTTGCCCAATCAGGATTCAAACTCAGGCAGCTTGCCTCCCAGGGAGAGCCCTTAGCCACGATGCTATTCATCCTGTCCAGGTCCTCCCTAATGTGCTGAACAACTGAGTGTGTAGCCTTTGCTTGCACATCACAGTAACGGGTGCTCACTACCCATAGAGGCAGCCTCCTTTTGCAAGACTGAGGATTTAAAGTGGAAAATTCATCTCTATGTTGAGACGAAGTTTCTTTTCTCTTTTTTTTTTTTGAGATAGAGTCTCACTCTGTCACCTGGGCTGGAGTGCAGTGGCACAATCTCAGCTCACTGCAACCTCTGCCTCCAGGGTTCAAGCGATTCTCCTGCCTCAGCTTCCCAAGTAGCTGGGACTACAGGCGCCCACCACCATGCTGGGTTTTTTTTTTTTTTAAGTAGAGATGGGGTTTCACCATGTTGGCCAGGCTAGTTTCAAACTCCTGACCTCAGATGATCCGCCCGCCTCAGCATCCCAAAGTGCTGGGACTACAGGTGTGAGCCACCACACCCGGCTGGGCCTGAGATTTTGCATTTCTCACATGCCCCCAAGTGATGCTGATGCTGTTGGTCCGAGGACCACATTGTGAGGAGCAAGGGTCTAGCTCAGAGTAGGGCTGAGCAGGCCTGCCACCTATCTCTGTAAACGGTGTTTTATTGGCACACGTCTAACCCATTGGCTCCCACATTGTCTGTGGCTGCTTCCATGCCGCAACTCAGTTGAGTGGTCGTGACAGAAACCATGAGGCCCACAAAGTCTAAAATGTCTGCCCCTTTATAGAAAAAGCTTGCCTGCCCTTGCTTTAAATGACCACCCTTCAAATTTTGAAAAGCTCTGCCCCGTCCTCCACCCATAGCCTCTGAGCCATCTCATCGCAGGCTGAACATTCCAGGCTTCATTACCCCTCCCATCAAGTGCCCTGGGCATCCTGGTGTCTAACCGTGAGCACACCCAGGTTTGCCAGGACCCCCTCTGAAGAAAGAGCCTCATCCCCCAGACACTCCACTATAGGAGTAACTGAGATATTTCTCTTCGTGGGAAGGTCAGCACGTGGCGCCTCCATGGTCCTGCCGAGCCTTCTGCCCTGGGTCTCAGCCCCCGAAAGACATCCTGCCCTGCTCCCTGGCACTCTCTCCCTCCTCCTCTCCTTCCCACACTCTCTGCTGCCCCACTGGCTCTTCAGCTTTCTGCTGAACAGTTGACAGTAACTGCCACCGGATGCTGGTTACCACTCTGGTACTCAGGCCATTAGGAAGTTGGCACCCAGGCCACTGCAGAATAGGCCTTCCATTCTAGAGGCTATCGGGGGAAGCTCTACGTGGTTCCGTCCTTGTGGAGTAGGTGTATCTGGCCCCCGGCTGCTCTCAGAACTAGAAGGCAGGATCTCAGGGCTGGGAGATTACCAGGAGCCTTATTAACCACTGCGTCTGTGACCTCAAGGCCCAAGCTCACTGCATGGGCATCTCTAGTGACTAGACATGGCTCAGAGGGGTCTCCTTGCAACTCAAGGGGGTGGCCTTAAAGACACGGCCCTGCCCTTAGGCAAGGCAAGAAACCCCTTAGCTGGAGTGATCTAGGACTGAGAAGTTCCTGATATGCTCCACACCTTTTTATTTCTTGAGACAGAGTCTTGCTCTGTTGCCCAGGCTGGAGTGCAGTGGCGCTATCTCAGCTCGCTGCAACCTCTGCCTCCCAAGTTCAAGCGATTCTCGTCCCTCAGCCTCCCAGGTAGCTAGGATGACAGGCATCCACCGGCACACCCATTTTTTCTTTTTTTTTTTTTTTTTTTTTTTAGTAGAGACAGAGTTTCACCATGTTGGCCAGGCTGGTCTTGAACTCCTGATCTTAGGCAAGCCACCGCCTCAGCCTCCCAAAGTGCTAGGATTGCAGGCATGAGCCACCAGGCCCAGCCCACACCTGCTTTTTAAAAAATTCGTTTCTGGCAGCTATTGAGCATTTAAAATGTGGCTCCCGTAAATGTAGTCCTGAAAGACTACATTTATTTTATTTAACTGTAAAAAGCCACACATGATGAGTGGCTACTAAATTGGACAGTACAGTATCTAGCTCAGGTATAAAATTCACACATCAAATTCATTAGAATTTGATCTAATTCTGTGACCTCAAGGACGGAGCTCACTGCACGGGCATCTCTAGTGGCTGGGCATGGCTCAGAGCGGTCTCCTTGCAACTCAAGGGGGAAGCTTTAAAGACCCGGCCCTGCCCTTAGGCAAGGCAAGTTCATTAGAATTTGATCATTTCTACTCTTTGGGGCTTGGTCAAAAATTTCCCCGGGGAGAAGTCACCTATGGAGCTATTCTGAGTCACTGGTTCCTCCATATGAAACAAGGCACTAAGAATAGAGTTAATTTGGGAGGCCGGAAAAGGGGGCCCTGGAAGTCACAGGAATCCAGGAAAGAAGGAAAAGAACAAGCTCAGGCCAATTGGAGATCAAAAACACCAAACAATTAACTCTGCCAACCTGGGGACCCCACTAGGACCTTGGTGGTGGCCAATCCAGTTGGAGGACATCAATTTCTACTTGATAATTGGAAGGAAGGGAAGGAGGAAGAGAAGGAAAGAAGGATGGAGGGGAAAGAGCCATTCCTCATTGTCCTGACCCTCAAGGAATTTGTAATCTAGTTCAAGAAACAGAATCACAATAGCTGAAACCGCTGGAGAACAATGAGGTGCTAAGTTGTGGCACTGCCATGTCTAAAGCAGAAATCCCAGGACTGGGGACATGGGTGGGGGCTGAATCGCACTGAAGAAGTGGGAGTGGGCTTGGGCAGGAAAACAAACAGATTTCATTTGGACTAAAGGGAAAGAGAAGACACCCCGGACAAGAGGCAGGCTGGGACAAATGCAAGAGGAGGAGGCATCAGGGCTCAGTGGCAGCAGATCCTGTGCCCCTGATTAGGGTGAAGGGCTGGGGTTGGGGGAAGAGAGGATGAGGGTGGGGTGCCAAGGCGAAGCTGGGCTTGGGGGTCCTGGACAGCACAAGGGCGGGAGTTTGGGCTTCAGTCATTTTCTAGCTTTCTGAAAAGGAAAAAGAAGTTGTCCAGGGCTCCTGCAGAGGCTCCTTCTGCAAAGTCCGTGCAAGCAATGCCAAGGGTCAAGGGGTGGGAGGAGCCAGTGGCTGAGCCGGTGGGTCCTAGCCCCCTTGTGCAGGATGCAGCTCCTGTGGCTGCTCTGAAAGCAAACAGCCCGGCTAAAACGTCTTTAGAACCACTCCGCACTGCGGTGAACCTTCCTATGCAAGCGCCCTCCCTTCTCTCTTTTTGAAGGTGTCAGACTCTGGCCAGCTCCTGCTCCTTGCCCTTGAACCCTGCACCGGCGTTTCCCATTTGGCACATCTAATTCTGTGGTCGAGTCTGCTTCTCATAGGACCCAAAATAACAAAAGAGGGATAGAGAATTCTATTCTCTCCAAAGAGATTACATCCTCCTTGAGGGTTGAGGGCTCTCCACGACCAAAGCAGCCCCTGACAATATCTGCCTCTGGAACACAGGAAGTGCTCAAGGCACAGGAAGTGGGGCTCAGGCCACCAGGAGCAGGGGTGTGGCACAGGCAAGCTTCACACTTTGCCAGAGCAAATCCCAATGATGGCCCCTGCCGGCAGCCTCCCCTACCCTGTTCTGGGCCCTCCCCTTTCTGATAGTGACCCTCCCCAGTTTTGAGCAATGAGCACGCTCATACATCAAAGTCCCCTGGAGAAAGTGAGGCCAGCATGCTCGCACCTGAGACTCACCCCCACGCTGCTCAAATATGGGCACCAAATGTTGCAAACTTTTGATCCTGAAGCGATAACAGAAGTGTGAGGAATGGACAGGAGCACAAGGAGACCACAGAGAGGAACCAAAGCCCTGGTCATGTTTTTCGGGGAGCGGGGAAAGAAGGGGAAGTGGAGGGGGTAACTGTCACCCCCCAGTCCCTCCTCTGTCACAGGCTGCATTGCTGAAGAGGAGTCAAAGGCCATCGGGGAAGACACTTCCACAAACCTCACTCACCCACCAGGCTCACTAGCTCCATCCTTCAAACCCAGGATTCTCAACCTCAGCACCAATGATACTTGGGCTGGAGATCCCTTTGCTATGGGGGCTGCTGTGTGCATTGTGCCACATTTAGTAGCATCCTTGGACTCTACTGACCAGGTGCCAGGAACACTTCTCTAACTCCAGTTGTGACACCCACAAATGTCTTCAGATGTTGCCAAATGTCTCCTAAGGGCTAAAATCATGCTGGTTGAGAAGCACTGACTTAAATCATCAGAAATCCCACTTCAGACAGAATAAAATAAATACGTCTATGGACTGTGTCTCTTCCATATCAACCTCCTTACACTCAGGGCTAACCAGATCTCTGCTAACCTAAAACTCCCAAAACAGCTCTTTCCTGGGCTAGGCCTGGAGGTTCCCAGCTCGTCCCCAGATCCGGCACCTTCTCACTGTGCCCATCCCCCTTTTATCAAATCCCATCAGCTAGGCAGCCCAGCGAGCCCAGCAGACAGCCCCAGAGGTGCTGCCTGGATATAGTCTTCAGGTTGTCTCACTTATACATGCCAGTGGTTTCTGGCATGGATCAATAATATAGCTCTGCTTCCCCTCACTGCATTTTTTATTTTTATAGGTTTAGGGGGTACAAGTGCAGTTTTGTCACACGGATATATTGCATAGCCCTTACTGCATTTACAGGAAACTAATCCAAGTGGGTATCACATCACACTCACTGCCCATTGCTGAACGCCTCTTGATTTATTTATTCATTCAACAAATAGTTATTGAGTTCCTACTAGGTGGCAGGCACTACGCTAGGAGCTAGGGATATAAGTGTGAATCCAATAGACACGGCCCTACCCTTCCCAGCGGGTAGAGGTGCAAGGCTCTGAACTCTGACTCTGGACTCCAAGAAAGGTGAGAGAATAGATAGCGTAGGATATAAAATCTGCTTAGCATGGTGCCTGGCACATGGTAAGGTAAAAAAGAGCTCACCCTGTGGTAGGGGTTGACGTTATTGTTGTTATTCAAGATGTTGCAGCCTCGTGGGAGACAGACCAATTTAACATGCAATTACATCAAGTGTGATAAATACCCTTGGAGACAGATGCATAGAACTCATTTGGGGGTAACCTATGAGGTTCAGGGATGTTTCTGCCAGGAAAAAATGCTAGTAAGTTCAGATCTGAAGCTTAAGTACGAGTTAGCCCCTCTCCCCACCAAAAGTGAGGTGGTCAGGAGGGTATTGCAGACAGAGGGAAAAGCATGTGTTAAGGCTCAGACACCAGAGCATCACAGCATGGCAGGGGTGGGCTGAGAGTGTTCAGCGTGACTAGAGCATGGATGCTGATGATGTGAGCAGGGCTCACACCAGTCACTCCTGTGAGCCATATTAAGGCATTTGGACTTGACCCCAGAGCAATGGGAAGCCATGGAGAGTTTGGCAAAGGAGGAGTGTGATCATATTTCATTTACAACATTCACTCTGGCTGGAGAGGGAAGAAACATTGGAGAGACAAAGTTGGCCACTGCTGTAGTCTCCCAATGAGAAGGGATAGTGGCCTGGCCCAAGGAGTAACAGCAGGAACAAGAAGAGGTGGATAGAGCAACAGATTTGTGAGTGACACAGTTTCAGGCACATAGTAAATGACTAATCACTAGCTGGAGAACAAGTACACAAGTGAGGAGTAACAGTCAGATCTTTGGAGGACCATGTAGAGCCTCAGAAGACCTCCCAGCAAATTATCATAACATCCAGCCCGGGGGGGGGGCATCTATGGCCTCAGAAGATGAACTGAATGCTAGGCAGCTTCAGGAGACTGATTAGAAACAAAATAGAAGATGCCTTCCTCCCTACATAGGCAGTCTCCCCTTTGGCAGTCATGATCTGTACTGTCAGAGAGAGGATGAATGATGAATGTCAGGGCAGAACAACAAAGCGTGCCACGGCTTCAGGGGCTGCCACATGTGGAGAGGCTCAAGAAATCAGAGTCTGGAAAGGCAGGAGCTGAGAGGGACCAGATCAAAGGCTCCCAAAAGTCCTGCTGCAGTCACCTATGGCTGACCAATGACAGATGAGCTCACGCAGTTAAAGGTATTACATAAGGTGTTCTGCAGGTGTTTGGGGTCTCCAGGATGGACTGGGCACAAGCACATCCCCCAGAGTGCAGAACTTCAGCTTGGAGCTTAAAACAGGAGGTCTGGGGGCCACTACAAGAAAGGCCAAATTTTTAAAAATACTAATTTTTAATGATGTAACAAATTCTCATAAAACATTTAAACATTACAGATAAGGCTAAAGTCCCTCAGCACCCATCCCCAAATCTAGCCCCTTCTTCGCCTCTCCCCAGAGGTTCCTATGTTTCCAACATTTTTTTTTTTTTTTTGGTCTCTCAGGCTGGAGTGCAATGGCATGCAACCTCCGCCTCCTGGGTTCAAGCGATTTCTCCTGCCTCAGCCTCCCGAGTAACTGGGATTACAGGTACCTGCCACCACACCCAGCTAATTTTTGTATTTTTGGTACAGACAGGGTTTTACCAGGTTGGCCAGGCTGGTCTTGAACTCCTGACCTCAGGTGATCTGCCTTTCTCAGCCTCCGAAGGTGCTGGGATTACAGGCTTGAGCCACCACGCCTGGCCCTTTTCTATTTATTTATGAATGGGTATATACATACCCAAAGAAAGTGTGTCATCTTGTAGGGAGTTTGCTTGCTTGCTAATTGTTGCTGTGAATTAATCTGTCCTTCTGAAATTTACTATTTTTCATTCTACAATATATCTGGAGATTTGCCCACATGGGTATATAGGGCTCTATGTCGTCCTTCCTAACCATAGCACGGGATCATATATTATACTATGTTGAATTTGGCCATTACCCCATCATGGGCACTTTATATAATGTTTAGAAAATCCACAATATCTTACCCTGTAAGGATACTCAGGGCCAAACATAGAAGTTTCTTCAAAAAGCTCAACATAATGGTAGAGTCGGGAGGGGCCTCAGGGCGAGAGGCAGGGAAAGTGGGGGTTAGTCCTCCAGCCTCAACAGGGAGGAGCCCATTCTGGGCAATAGTTATTAATAAAATGGAAGGTTGAGAAGAGTTGCAGTGGGTGAGAGAGGACAGACCAGTTGCTTCATGCTTGTTCATGCTTGGCTTGACCGATACCACACGCTGAGTGGTAAAAGAAGGTTCTCCTAGCCTTCCCTGGGGGTGGAATTACAACTCAACACTGGGGCTAAACCTGATTTCAGAACTCAAGCAGAGAGAGATCCTTCTACCATGTTGGCAGAAGGCAAGACGGGGGTGGATGCGAGTCAATAGTCTCCATAAATGTCTTCATTGGGCCACGGCTTACCTGCCTCCTCACCCACCCCAGCCACAAGCACACACTCCACTTGCTTCTCCAAGTTAGGGGGCCAGAGGGGAAGTGTGGGAGGCTTTTGATTGCTATGGCTTCTGTATTGAGTTCTCCTTCAGATCACACCTGAGTTTAGACGACTCAGCCCAGGCTGGATCCTATAAGACATGTCCCTCTTCACTTAACAGATGGGGAAATTGGGCTTTAGGAGAGGAGAAATAAGCCCAAATCACAAGCTAGCAAGGGGCCACAAGCCTTTTGACCCTCGCCCGCAAAGTAAAATCAATAAATTCCACCTGGATTCCTTTTCAGCAAAACGCCGTCAGACACCCGTAGGCAATTCTTTTCTAAGTGGAATCACTTGTGGCTTAGGCCTTTGATGTGACTCATCTGGGCAGAATCCCTGTAAACAGTGGGCCTGACCCGCGAGGACTTGGGGGCTGCTCGGGTCAGAGCCCCTCGGCCCCCGTCACAGACCCCGGGGGTCTGGGGAGGGGCGTCAGGCCTCCACCAAAGAAACAGCAAAGACAGAGCAGCGGGACCCGGGCGAATCCGCGCCCGTCCCTGCCCAGGCTGCCCGGGTTCCGCCGCTGGGCGACCCCAGCATTTCCTTTGAAGTCTGAAGCTCTCTTATCCCCGGGCCCCTGCCTCCCGGTACCGCCGATGCGCAGCGATTGCCAGGCAGGTCTCCGCCGGGCTGGGAGAGCCGCCGCCGACCCTGTGCGGGCCCCTCCCCTTTGCCCGGGTGCGCCGCGCCTTTGCCCCGGTGCGCAGCGCCCCCTGCGGACCGAGCGTGGACCCCTTTCCAGCCCGAGCAGGGTCGCTGCCGCGGCGGGCACCAGAGGCCGAGCCCCGCGGGTGAGGACCCCTCCCCCGGCAGCAGCAGTTCTCAGGAGCGCAGGGTTTCAGCGTCAAGGGGTTCTGGGTTCCAGGCGGGACTGGACAACTTGGGAGCTGGGTAGCTGGGACGCGCTGGTCCCCTCTGTGAACGCGCTCCATCCGCAGATGGAAATCCCCTTCCCCCCTCCCCCCCTCGACCCCAGCCCACAGCTAACTTCCCGAGCTCTCTGAGAACCACAGCAGTCGAGGTAACGTCTTTGGCAGCTCCTCTCCTCCCCGCCCCCAGTCTCTGCACAGTGCCCTGTCACCCCAGGTGACCTCACCCCTCCCTCTCCAGAGCCTCCTCTGTCTCTCTCCCCGCAGCCTCCCCTGAACTCTGACCTGTACAACCACGGGTAGTTGTTGCGGAGCACTTACTTGAGAGTCAGGAGATTGGACTCCAGTCAGCTCAGCCAGCCTTTTAGGGCATCGTTCTGTTCCCCAGGTTGGAGTGTCCTGACGCAATCCCTGTTTACTGCAGCCTCAACCTCCAGGCTCAAGCGATCCTCCCGCTTCAGCTCCCACCTCCGCAGTCCCCCACTAGCTGGAACTACCGGCACCGGCCACCACAACCGGTTAATTTTTGTATTTTTTGTAGAGACGGGGTTTCGGTATGTTGTTCAGGCTCCTCTCCAACCCCTGAGCTCAGATGATCCGCCTGCCCTGGCCTCCTAAAGTACTGGGATTATAGGTATTGTGTCCCGAATTGGTGGGTTCTTGGTCTCACTGACTTCAAGACTGAAGCCGCGGACCCTCGCGGTGAGTGTTACAGCTCTTGAGGTGGCGCTTCTGGAGTTTGTTCCTTCTGACGTTCAGACGTATTCGGGGTTTCTTCCTTCTGGTGGGCTCGTGGTCTCGCTGGCTCAGGAGTAAAGCTGCAGACCTTCGCAGTGAATGTTACCGCTTTTAAGGCGGCGCGTCTAGAGTTGTTCGTTTCTCCCGGTGGGCTCGCGGTCTCCCGGGCTTGAGGAGTGAAGCTGCAGACCTTCCCAGTGAGTGTTACAACTCACAAAAGCAGTGTGGACCCAGGGTGAGCAGTAACAAGATTTATTGCAAAGAGCGAAAGAACAAACCTCCCACACTGCGGCAGTGGACCCCCAACTGGTTGCCAGTGCTGGCTCGCGCAGCCTGCTTTTATTCTCTTATCTGGCCCCACCCACATCCTGCTGATTGGTAGAGCCCAGTGGTCTGTTTTGACAGGGCGCTGATTGGTGCGTTTACAATCCCTGAGCTAGACACAAAGGTTCTCCACCTCCCCGCTAGATTAGCTAGATACAGAGCGTGGACACAAAGGTTCTCCAAGGCCCCACCAGAATAGCTAGATACAGAGTGTTGATTGGTGCATTCACAAACCCTGAGCTAGACACAGAGTGCCGATTGGTGTATTTACAATCCCTGAGCTAGACATAAAGGTTCTCCAAGGCCCCACCAGAGCAGCTAGATAGGGAGTGTGGATTGGTGCACTCACAAACCCTGAGCTAGACACAGGGTGCTGATTGGTGTGTTTACAAACCTTGAGCTAGATACAGAGTGCCAATTGGTGTATTTACAATCCCTGAGCTAGACATAAAGACTCTCCACGTCCCCACCAGACTCAGGAATCCAGCTGGCTTCACCCAGTGGATCCCGCACCAGGGCTGCAGGTGGAGCTGCCTGCCAGTCCTGCGCCATGCGCTCGCACTCCTCAGCCCTTGGGCGGTCGATGGGACTGGGCACTGGAGCAGGGGGCAGCGCTCGTCGGGGAGGCTTGGGCCGCACAGGAGCCCATGGAGGGGGTGGGAGGCTCAGGCATGGCGGGCTGCAGGTCTCGAGCCCTGCCCCGTGGGAAGGCAGCTAAGGCCCGGCGAGAAATCAAGCGCAGCGCGCCGGTGGGCCAGCACTGCTGGGGGACCCAGTACACCCTCCGCAGCCGCTGGCCCGGGTGCTAAGCCCCTCAGTGCCCGGGGCCGGCAGGGCCGTCCGGCTGCTCCGAGTGCGGGGCCCTCCAAGCCCACGCCCACCCGGAACTCCAGCTGGCCCGCAAGTGCTGCACGCAGCCCCGGTTCCCGCTCGCGCCTCTCCCTCGCGCAAGCTGAGGGAGCCGGCTCTGGCCTTGGCCAGCCCAGAAAGGGGCTCCCATAGTGCAGGGGTGGGCTGAAGGGCTCCTCAAGTGCCGCCAAAGTGAGAGCCCAGGCAGAGGAGGCGCCGAGAGCGAGCGAGGGCTGTGAGGACTGCCAGCACGCTGTCACCTCTCAGCGTGACCTACGTTGGACAATTCAGTTGTCCCACTCAGAGCTATTTCCTCCTCTTTAAAAACGGAGAAGATCTGCTTGGGTCTGGCACTCCTCATTCCAGTTCACTCTCCAAACTCCATACAGAACTAGGAGCACGCATCCCTATTCCCCTTGCCCAGGGATGCCCCTGCCCCTCCTCCTGGACTAAATTAGTAAAGAGCACCACCAAACCTCATCACCCAGACTACAGAGCTGGGACAGGCAGTATAGACTCTCCTGCTACATCCTGAGAGTCTTCAGAGATGCCTCCCCACCCCCTACCTCTCTGCCTTCTGTCTAAGCAAAGCCACCCCCACATCGCTGCCGGAATGGCTATGCAAAACACAGTTCAGACCAGGCCACTCCCTGCTTCAAACCCTTCAGTGCCTCAGCCTTCAGAATGAAGGCCAAGGTTCGTACCCAGGCAGAGAGAACCTTGACCATCGACCCCTGCGGATGTCTCCAACTTCACACCCCATCCCTTCCCACCTTAGACTGGTCCCCATAATACAAAACGGCTTGTGATTCCACACACTATCCCTCACTTACAGGGTCCCCTTTGCAGAGGACGTCCTCTTCCCTCCCCACCCCACCTCATGCGATAGACACACTGTCCTGTGATTAACTCCTGCTCCTGTGCCTCCTCCCCACCCCACCTCTGCTTCAAAGCCTCCTGTGCTTGCTTCGATTGCTTCCTCTAACCACATTATATTAAAACGTAATTCAGTGTTCTTGTTGTTCCAATTACTTATCTGTCTTCCCTTCTAAATTGTGAAGTCCTCAAGTGCTGTCTTATTCATATAACCCAGATGATTCCTGGGATCTCCCAGCCCACTTAGTTCTAGTTTAGATGAGTTTGCAGTAGACACGGCCAATTGCCCACCCAACAGCCATTTTCCAAGTCATCTTTAATGATAGAATCTTGATTTTGTTCAGGAAGACAATAAGCCCAGCTAAAATAGTCTCCTTCCCAGATTCTCTTACCACGAAGTGTGGCCACGTGACCCATATGTGGCAGAAGTCACTGGATGGCACTCCCAGAAAAGCTTTTCAAAAGAGGATACATTCATTCATCTGTCCTTTTTTCCCCTCCCTGTTCTTCTTTCCTGGAACATGGGCGAGATGTCTGGAGGAGGAGCAGCCATCATGCAACCAAGAGGACAGAAGCTGCACACAAAGGTAGAACAGCAAGTGAAAAGGAACCTGGGACCCTGGTGACAACTTCCAGACACTGTACCAGCCCCTTGATTGTTCAAACCTCTCTTTGGAGGTTTTTCCTCTTACTTGTCAAAAATTGCAATCATAACTGGTACAAACACAATTTCCTCACCCAGAAGTTCAAAGCTCTCCCCTACAAGATGTCTGCCAGCTCCCAGTGGGCTCACATTCTCCTGATCACCACTGACATTAAGCTCCTGCTCACTTTTCTCTTTAACTCTGGAACCTGAAGTGGCAAACCACTAGACTTCCATTTTTACAATTTCACAGGAAGCATTGCAGAGGGAGGTGGGTTAACTGAAAATGTTTTATAGTAAAGAGACAGACAGAGGCATGCCACATTGCAACATCTCACACATAATGAGACAAAGGAGTAGGAAGCCTCATTCTTAGAAATTCTTCAGCCACCCCAGCCCCCTAGAGAAAAGATCTTGACCACATCAGCCCATTGTGGTCCCCAGCCTCACACCCTCTGACTGCCCTCTCTCTCCCTCTCTTCTCCTCTGATCCTCCCTTCCCAGCCCTCCAATGAGTAAAAACCAAATTTTCATGTTCTCATGCATGGCAACTTAACACATCATTCCTGTGGCTTGGACTCCTATATGCACCCTCCCCCTCTATCCCAGTGGCTTACCACACTATTATTCCAAAGACAGTTGCCTCTCTATGGGAAACTGTTACTAGAGGGTAGGATCAGTAATTTTTCACTCTTACCACATTTGTCTTTCCAATATACAGTAAAGGGGCTCCATGAAGATGGGTCATATGAATGGGCCAGAAGGGAATCTTGAGACACCCCCTCGCCTGCCATGAGCCATCGCCAATACTCACCTATTTTAAGAGGTGCCTTGGATTCAGATTCAAAGGAATAATTCTCCTGTAGAAATGGCAGACCAAGTGAAAGGAAAAGTTGCTGTGAAGGCCAGGCAAGTGCAAGACGTGACAGATAAGCACAGCGATTCTCTGTCCATGTGCAAATCACATTAGTCTCTGGGCTCAGGTTTGCCAAGAAGAACTTAGACTGAAGTTAGAAGGAATTTTAAATCTCATCTGTAAAATAACTAAGAATGATATGGACCTCTTGTAAACTGGGGATATTTTTTCATTCCAAATACTATGCCTGGTTGTTGGGTTTTTTTCCAGTCAATCTTGGTAAATTTATTTTATTAATCTTTTCAAAACACTAACTTTGAAGTGGTTTTGTTCTTTTATTGTTGTTGTTTCTTTTGTTTGGTTGTTTTTGTTGTTGTTGTTGTGTTGTTTTGTTGTTGTTTGCTAGAGTCTCACTCTGTTGCCCAGGCTGGAGTGCAGTGGCATGATCTTGGCTCACTGCAGCCTCCGCCTCCCAGGTTCCAGCAATTCTGCCTCAGCTTCCCGAGTAGCTGGGATTACAGGCCTGCACTGCCACACCCTGCTAGTTTTTGTATTTTTAGTAGAGACGGGGTTTTGCCATGTTGGCCAGGATGGCCTCGAACTTCTGACCTCAGGTGATCCTCCCACCTCGGCCTCCCAAAGTGCTGGGATTACAGTCGTGAGCCACCACGCCTGGCCTGAAGTGTTTTTATTATATCGACTGTATGCCTATTTTCTCTTTCTTCACTTACCTTTATTATCACCTTCCTTCACTTTCTGTTTTTATTCTAACTCATTAAGTTTCATGTATGCCTCATTAATATTCAGGTTTTCTTCATTTCTAATATAAGTGTTTAATGCTATGAACTTCCCTGTAAATACTGCTCTGGTGGTATTATCATGTTTTGATGTGTAATATTTTCATTAATGTTCAATTATAAATATTTTCTAATTTCTATTATAAGTTTTTTAACCCGTGAGTTGTTCAGTGTTCCCTTTTCTAACTTCCAAAATAATGGGAGTTTATAATTTCTTTTCATTGTGGTTGTTGATTTCTAACTTACTTGCATTATGGTTAAATAACATGGCCTGTATAATAACACTCCTTTTGAAATTGTTATGGCTTGCTTCATCACTTTTCTCATGATAAATTTTCATAAATGTTCCACATGTGCTTGAAAAGAACAATGGGCCCTTTCAGAGAGTGGAGGGCGGGGGGCGGGAAAGGATCAGGAAAAATAATTAATGGGTACTAAGGTTAATACCTGGATGATAAAATAATCTGTACAACAAACTCCCATGACACCAGTTTAACTGTGTAACAAACTGACATGGTTTGACTGTGTCCCCACCCAAATCTCATCTTGAATTGTAACTTCCACAGTTTCCACGTGTCATGGGAGGAACCCAATGGGAAGCAATTCAATAATGGGAGCGGGTCTTTCCTGAGCTGTTCTCGTGTTAGTGAATAAGTCTCACAAGATCTGCTGGTTTTAAAAATGGGAGTTTCCCTACACAGGCTCTCTTTTTGCCTACTGCCATCCATGTAAGATATGACTTGCTACTCCTTGCCTTCTGCCATGATTGTGAGGCCTCCCCAGCCATGTGGAACTGTAAGTCCCATTAAACCTTTCTTTTCTAAGTTGCCCAGTCTTGGGTATGTATTTATCAGCAGTGTGAAAACAGACTAATACAGTAAATTGGTACCAGTAGAGTAGGGCGCTGCTGAAAACATACCCAAAAATATGGAAGAGACTTTGGAACTGGGTAACAGGCAGAGGTTGGAACAGTTTGGAGGGCTCAGAAGAAGACAGGAAAATGTGGGAAAGTTTGGAACTTCCTAGAGACATATCGAATGGCTTTGAACAAAATGCTGATAGTGATATGGACAATGAAATCCAGGCTGAGGTTGTCTCAGATGAAGATGAGGAACTTGTTGGGAACTGGAGTAAAAGTGACTCTTGCTATGTTTTAGCAAAGAGACTGGTGGCGTTTTGCCCCTGCCCTAGAGATTTGTGGAACTTTGAACTTCAGAGAGATGATTTAGGGTATCTGGCAGAAAAAATGTCAGCATTGAAGAAGTGACTTGGGTGCTGTTAAAAGCATTCAGTTTAAAAGGGAAACAGAGCATAAAAGTTTGGAAAATTTGAAGCCTGACAATGTGATAGAAAAGAAAATCCCATTTTCTGAGGAGAAATTCAAGCCTGCTGCAGAAATTTGCATGAGTAATGAGGAGCCGAATGTTAATCCCCAAAACAATGGGGAAAATGTTTCCAGGGCATGTCAGAGGTCTTCACAACAGCCCCTCCCATCACAGGCATGGAGGCTTAGAAAGAAAACATGGTTTCATGAGCCGGGCCCAGGGTCCTGGTGCTGTGTGCAGCCTAGGGACTTGGTGCCCTGCATCCCAGCCACTCCAGCTGTGACTAAAAGGATCCAAGGTACAGCTTGGGCCATGGCTTCAGAGGGTGCAAGTCCCAAGCCTTGGCAGCTTCCACGTGGTGTTGAGCCTGTGGGTGCACAGAAGTCAACAATTGAGGTTTGGGAACCTCCACCTAGATTTCAGAGGATGTATAGAAACGCCTGGATGTCCAAGTGGAAGTTTACTGTAGGGGCAGGGCCCTCATGGAGAACCTCTGCTAGGTCAATACAGAAGGGAAATGTGGGGTTGGAGCCCCCACACACAGTCCCTACTGGGGCACCACCTAGTGGAGCTGTGATAAGAGGTCCACCGTCCTCCAGACCCCAGAATGGTAGATCCACTGATAGCCTGCACCATGGGCTTGAAAAAGCCACAGACACTCAATGCCAGCCTGTGAAAGCAGCCAGGAGGGAGGCGTTACCCTGCAAAGCCACAGGAGTGGAGCTGCCCAAGACCATAGGAACCCACCTTTTGCATCAGCATGACCTGGATGTTAGACATGGAGTCAAAGGAGATCATTCTGGAGCTTTAAGATTTGACTGCCCTGCTGGATTTTGGACTTGCATGGGGCCTGTAGTCCCTTTGGTTTGGCCGATTTCTCCCATTTGGAATGGTTGTATTTACCCAATGCCTGTACTCCCATTGTATCTAGGAAGTAACTAATTTGCTTTTGATTTTACAGGCTCATAGGTGGAAGGGACTTGCCTTGTCTCAGATGAGACATTGGACTGTGGACTTCTGAATTAATGCTGAAATGAGTTAAGACTCTGGGGGACTGTTGGGAAGGCATGACTGGTTTTGAAATGTGAGGACTTGAGATTTAGGAGAAGCCAGGGGCAGAATGATATGGTTTGCGTCCCCAACCAAATCTCTTGTTGAATTGTAACTCCCACAATTCCCATGTGTTGTGGGAGGAACCCAGTGTGAGGTGATTGAATTATATGGGCGGGTCTTTCCTGCTCTGTTCTCGTGATAGTGAATAAGTCTCACGAGAGCTGATGGTTTTAAAAACGGAAGTTTCCCTACACAAGCTCTCTTTTTGCCTGCTGCTATTCATGTAAGATGCAGCTTGCTCCTCCTTGCCTTCCACCATGATTGTGAGGCCTCCCCAGCCATGTGAAACTGTAAGTCCCATTAAACCTCTTTCTTTTGTAGATTGCCCAGTCTTGGGTATGTCTTTATCAGCAGCATGAAAACAGACTAAATACACAAACCTGCACATGTACCCTGAACTTAAAAAACAAAAAAGAAAAGAATGTGTTCTCTATTTGTGTGTAAAAGTCTATTAGGGCAAACTTCATCTTTGTGTTGTTCAAATACTCTAAATTTTTGTTAATTTTTTAATCGCACAGATTAATAAGAGAAGAAAATTAAAATCTATTTTGACTGTGAATTTGTAAGTTTTTTCTTATAGTTCTGGCAATTTTTGCTTTACATATTTTAATGTTATTTTTATTAGGTTTATTTTGGTTTAGAATTGTTACATCTTCCTAGTGAAGAATGTCCTATCATTATGTAATGGAACTGTAAGTCTGAAGTTATCCTTTTTTCCTTAAATACTATTTTTCTTCTATTAATATCACCACATCATTTATGTTCTTTGGCTTAGTATTTGCCTGGTATATATCTTTCTAGCCTTTTACATTCAGCTTTTATGTATGCTTATATTTTAGTTATGTCTCTTGTAAAAAGCATATAAACTGAATTTTGCTTATTTAAAAAATAACTCCAAAAATCCTTGTCTTTTACCAGAAATTTTAGTTACTTTACATTTATTGTGACTGTTGGCATATTTTGATTTATTTTTGTTATCTTATTTTGTACTGTACACATTTGTCCCATTTTTTTCTCTTTTTCTTATTTGGTTTCTCTTTCCTTGTCATTTTTTTGGTGGAGGGAGGGTGATTGATTTGTTTTTCTCACTCAATTTTTTACCTCTGTTATTATAGTAGCTACCCTAGAAAGTTCAACAAGTATGTTTAATAGTGTCTAAAGCTAATTAGTATCCTTACCCCTTTTCTGAAAAATTCATGGATTTTTAAATACTTAACTCTGATTACACCTCCCAACTTGCAAGTTACTGGGATCTACTTTTTATCCTATTTTTCCTTTAGCCAAAAAATAGACATTATGTCTTATTTTATACAATCATTGCATATTTAGATATGACCATACATGTTCACCAATTTCTTGCCTCTTAATTCCTCTTTGTATATCATATCTGAGATCTGGGATCACGTCTGAGATCACATTCCTTCTATAGGAAGTATATTATTTTAGAATTTCCTTAAGTGAAGATTTGCTGGTTTCAACTTCTTCATTTTTTTGTCTAAAAATGACTTTATTTTGGCCTCCCATTTAAAAGATATTTTTGCTGACTATTGTATACTCAGTATTGTGTATAAAACTGTATTTTAGACTGTTATTTTCTTTCAACAATTTTTCTATTATCTTCTGGTTTTTATTCCCCTTGCAAGGGTAATTGTTTTGTAGGTAATTCATCTTTTTCTGGCTGCTTTTGTAATCTTTTCTTTGTCTTTGGTGTTCTGCATTTTTCCAATGATATGTCTAGGGGTAAATTTCTTATCCTGCTTGAAATTCAGAGCATCCTAGTTCTAAAGTTTACTGTCTTTCAACAATTCTGGAGAATTCTCAGCTATGATTTTTCTATCTTCTCTTCTGAAACTCTGATTAGAGATTACTCATCTTCCATGTTGCTTAACTTTCCTTTCATACTTTCTGTTGTCTTTTCTCTCTGGGATACATTCTAGGTAATTACTTCGGATCTATCATCTAGTTCATAATTCTCTCTTCAGCTGCTTCTAGTATATCACCCATCTACTCAAATTTTAGATTTCAATTGCTGTTTCTTATTCCTGAAAGTTTTATTTGGTTCTTTTATAATTCATCTTGGTTCTTCCTTTGATATTCTATTTTCTTTTTTCCCTTTTCAAAGTACTTATGTTCTTTTATCTCTTTCTTCGCTTATTTTCAAGTATCTCTTTCATTTCTATAAATGTATTAAACATACTTCCTTAATACTCTGTATCCATTAATTCTGATATGAAAGTCTTTTCTGGACTAATTCTGCTGTCTGTTTTTTCTGCTGGCTCTTGCTCATGGTGTAATTTTTCATGCCTATTTTTTGATTTTTGACTGTGAGCAGAAATTCATTGGAATTTTATCTGTGGGGATTCTTTGAGCCTAGGGTTGAAGTTGTGTTCCTCTGGATACTTTACATTTGCTTCTGCCAGCAATTCAAACCTAAGACTGCTTTAAATTCAATTCTCTGTTTAAGGTATTTCAGACCATATAAGCAGAATGAATTTGGGCTGCAGACCTACAGGGCCAGCCTGCAATTATAATTTCACAAAGAATACTTTTTCTTTCCACCCAGTGTCCAGTCTTGTCAGGCAAGGGCAAGTGTGCCTGCTGTCCCCTCCTTCCTGGACATTAGACATTTACCTTTACATTAGAGACACAGCCCTTTTGAGTCCCAGCTCTATGTGAGGGTCTCTATTAGATTTATCAGCCTGAGTGGAATTAACATTTTACCTCCCATACCATACCCAGCTTTCAAAAACTGAAGTTCAAGGCCATTGTTTTTGGCATATACCTTCAAGGTGAACTGGCTTTTCTGCTAGCTTACTTATCTGCCTTCCCTGTTATTGTTATGACTGTCGTTGTTATTTGTCTTCTTTTTCTTTTGTTTCTGTGCATTCATTATTTTCTTATCTGCTCAGCTCTTCATTTAAAATCTTTTTTTTTGTTCAAAACCATTTATCCAGTTGTCTTTTTTTCTTAACTGTTTTCTTCTTCTAGGATATAATTCAATGTGTCCAATTCACCAAACTCCCTGAAACAAAGTCTGGAAACATTTTTGGATTGGGCATAGTTGTCCCCAGATGGATTCATGATTCACATTATCTTCACCACCTAGGTCCCACAATCACCGCAGTGACTTTATCGCATTGCTTTCATGCCTCCCTCAGCTTTACTAACACCAGACCCTGTGGATGACAAGTGACTTTTATCTTGTCTTTGAGGAGCCCAGGAACTGCACTAAAATTGCAGAAATAACAAAGTTCTTCAGAACATCTTGTAATAGTGATCATGATAGCTAACTTTTAGTGGGCACTTCTGAATGCCAGGCATTATGCTAAATGTTTTGTGTGCATTATCCCATTTCATCACCACAACTGCACTATGAGGTAACACAATTATTATACCCATTTAAAATATAAAGAAACTGAAGTACAAGTGGTTACATAAATCACCCAATGTCACCAGCCAGGCAGGGCTGAAGTTTGAACCTCAGTCTGTCTGACTCAGAACCAGAGCTCTTAAACACTGGCTAAACTGTATGAGTAATGGCTCTTTGGCCACAATGATCAACAACTCACAAAGTGGGTGAGACTAGTATGGGGGGGAGGGGTGGCTGCAATGGAGCCAAAAGCCCATTGATCCCAGAGCACCTTCAGCCTTCAGAAGTCTTTAAAACTAGAGATGTATTCTTTTAGAGTAAGGCATTGTGTCTTCAACCTTTTACTTCCAGAATTGGCAGCACAGAATGATTATTAAAGGAAGACAGAAAAAAGACTATTAGGTATGTGCCTTTGCTATGTACCAGATACTGAGCCAGGTGCCTCTACATCAACCCTGTGAAAAGAATATTCTTACCACATTTTGCAGATGGAACAATTGCAGCTCTCAGAAGTTAAATGTCTTACGATGAGTGGGCCCAAGATTCAGATCCAGAACTTATTTTAAGCCCATGGTCTGTCTTCTACACAATACCGAAGATATTGAGGCAAAGGAATGAGATGTTAGCCACAAAGGTATGAGGATGAAAAGAGAATCAGAGAGACCAGGCAACCATCAATTAGGGGTTTGAGGTCAGCCATTGCCCCCAGACTACATATTGACAAGGAAAGGAAGGACACTTTTGCTAAGGACTGATCTTCCCCAGAGGAACTGCTTGGCTGGAGCCTGTTCAGCCTTGGTGTCCCTGGGAGAGGAGAGAGGCAGTCCTGCCCACAAAAGCAAGTGGGTGCTCTCTGGGACACCCACAGGTGCCCTCAGCCTCAACGGGATATCCAGGTGGTGTCAAGCGCTCCCAGGGAAGCATGGATTCTGTCCTCACTCTCAAGTCACTCGTAGTCCATGAGCAGCTGGACAGAGGCCAGGAAAGGCATCTACAGGGGCAGGAATCTGCAGAGATTCAGCACATACCATTCAAGGGCTGGACAGGCAGCAGTCGGATGCTGTTTGGCACAGCTGAGACAAAAGCTTCACGGAAAAGGGCCATTTCATTGTAGTTTAAATTATTTTTTATTTTAATATGCAAGGAAGAATACAGAATGGGACCAGGCACGGTGGCTCATGCCTGTAATTCCAGCACTTTGGGAGCCCAGGCTGGCAGATCACTTGAGGTCAGGAGTTTAAGACTAGCCTGGCCAACACAGTGAAACCTGTCTCTACTAAAAATACAAAAATTAGCCCAGCATGGTGGTGGTCGCCTGTAATCCCAGCTACTCAGGAGGCTGAGGCATGAGAATCACTTGAACCCAGGAGGCAGAGATCACAGTGAGCCAAGATTGCGCCATTGCACTCCAGCCTGGGTGACAGAGCAAGACCCTGTCTCATAAAAAAAGAAAAAAGAAAGAATACAGAATGGGAGGAATGACTACTCTGACAAATGGTAACAAAAATAATGCTAACCTTTAAAGAGCCAGTGTGCGCCAGGCATGATGGTAAGCATTTTACATGAAGAGGATATTCCACATTTTGAAATCCCTACAGCCAGTGCTTAGAGCTGATATGAAGGAGAGACCAGATTACATGGTAATTTCTAAAGCCTGAATTTTAATTCCAGCTGCAGCATTAATAACTGTGTGACATCAGGCAAGTAACTTAACCTCTCTTGGCCTCAGTTTCCGCATCTGTAAAATGGGTTTATACTATATCTGCCTCTCTCGGTTATTTTAAAGATTAAATAATTCATGTGTAGAATTTCCACAAATCAAGCATTACAAAAAATACTTGTTATTGGTAATATTGGTTATAATAGTAATTAATATTACAATAACTTTTATATCTAGGAATCTGTGTCGACAAATTTGGGCAAAAAGGAAATATTTTATTTACCAGCCTGGGTGGAAGATTACTGTGCCTATTTTCCATAATTTAGCTTAAATGCTAAGTCTATACACCCTCTTCCCTTCTGCCAAGCTGGAAGATGTTTTAACCCCAGCCATTACTGGGGTCTCACTTCCTCCTCCCATGGGGCCTGAGGCACTGGGCATGGTGGGAGGAGGCTCTGGTCATCTGCCCACATAGACTTCCTCTGAGATGTATCTAGAAGCCTTCGCTGCTAGGACCCGCAAGGTTGGAACTCCCTAGCATCCCATGTACCCTGAAGTCAATCCTCCCCAGGGTGCGACACTGCCCAGAAGTAGGCCTGGCTAGGACACAAGAGCCTTTCTCATAACCAGCCTCCAATGCCAAGGAATTCTTCCCAGCCTCTTCTCCTGAGACACCAACTTGACTCTCAACCTCCCTTCCTTTCACCTCCCCCTCAGGCCCTCTGACCTTCTGCAGACTTGGCTTTGCATAGCAGAAGCCTTATAGAGATTTCTTTTTCCCACCTGGCCACGTAGCTCCCAGGAGGCATTGAAGTGCACAGTTACCTCCCTGCTTGACTGGGGGACAGGAAAGAGGGAAACCCAGCCAGGTACTGACACCATCTTCCCTCCTGTGGCCTCACCTGTTTGCAGAGCCTTTCTTCAGCTCCAGCTTGGCGGCTCCTCAGAATCAGCATTTCCAAGCTCAGCCTCATGATCACCCTAAAGCATTTTCCTCTTTAGACCCTATGGCTGCCATGCACCCTTGCCCAGCAGATAGAGATGCCGGCCACCTGAGAAGAAAATGATTAGAGTAGCCTTTCCCTGCAGGAAAGAGTAGGATTAGAGTAGCTCCCCAGCCACCCGCTAGGCTCAGGCCTCCCACTGCAGCCCTGGCCAGTCATGTTCAGCCCCTGATCTTTCTGCTTCCATGTGCCGCTTCTCACTTCCACCCACAGACCCTACCAAATTGTCCTACATTGGCTCTTAGCATTGAGTCTTCCTAGTCCACAGACTTCACCTGGTTCCTCAGCTACCTACTGAAGACCCAAAACTGATTCTAAAGTTTATATGGAGAAGCAAAAGACTGAACAGCTATACAGTATTGGAGGAGAGCAAAAGTGAGAGAACTTAAACTTACTGACTTCAATTCTTACTATAAAGCTACAGTAATTGCAGTAGTGTGGTATTGATGAAATAACAGACAAACAGATCAATGGGACAAAATAGAAAAATAGATCCACATAAATACAGTCAACTGATCTTTGACAAAGGAGCAAAGAAGCTATACAATCAAGAAAATATGTCTTTACAACAAATTGTGTTGGAACAACTGGGTATCCACATGCAGAAATATGAATGTAGACACAGAGCTTCCATCCCTAAGAAAAATTAACTCAAAGTAGATCATAGACCCAAATGTAAGGTGCAAAGTTGTAAAACTCTCAGGAGATAACACAGGAAAAAATCCAGATAACCTTGGGTTTCATGATGACTTTTTAGTTATAATACCAAAGGCACAATCCATGAAAGAAATAATTGATGAGCTGGGCTTCATTAAAATTTCTGCTCTGCCAAAGAAGACACAGTCAAGAGAACAAGGAAACCAGCCACAAACTGGGAGAAAATATTTGCAAAGGACAGATCTGATAAAATACTGTTATCTAAAATACACAAAGAAATCTTAAAACTCAACAATCAGAAAATGAACAATCCAGTTAAAAACTAGGCAAAAGAGCTGAACAGACACTTTGCCAAAAAAGACATACAGATGAAAAACAAGCAAATGAAAAGATGTTCATATCATATGTCATTAGGGAATTGCAAATTAAAACAACAGTGAGATGCCACTACACATGTATTAGAATGGCAAAAATCTGCAACACTGACACCACTGAATGCTGATGAGGATATGGAGCAACAGGAACTCCCATTCATTGCTGGTTGGAATGCAAATTAGTAAAGCCACTTTGGAATACTGTTGCAGTTTCTTATAAAACTAAACATACCCTTACTATATGATCCATCAGTCGTAGTCCTTGGCATTTATTCAAATGAATTGAAATTTTATGTGCACATGAAAACACAGATGTTTATAGCAGCTTTATTCATAATTGTCAAAACTCTTAGAAGCAACCAAGATGTCCTTCAGTAGGTGAATGGATAAATAAACTGGCACATCCAGACAATGGACTATAATTTAGTGCTTTAAAAAGTGAACTTTTTACTTGAAAAGTACATGGAGTGGCCTTAAGTTCATACACACACACACACACACACACACACACACACACACATATATATATATATTTTCGAGATGGAGTTTTGCTCTTGTCACCCAGCCTGGAGTGCAGTGGCACAATCTCGGCTCACTGCAACCTCCACCTCCTAGGTTCAAGTAATTCTCCTGCCTCAGCCTTCTAAGTAGCTGGGATTACAGGTGCCCACCACCACGCCCAGCTAATTTTTGTATTTTTAGTAGAGACGAGGTTTCACCATGTTAGCCACACTGGTCTCAAACTCCTGACCTCAGGTGATCCATGCACCTCGGCCTCCCAAACTGCTGGGATTAGAGGCGTGAGCCACCACCCCCAGCCTAGTGCATGTTACTAAGTGAGAAAAGTCAATCTGAAAAGGCTACAGACTGCATGATTTTATAGATGACATTCTGGAGAAGGCAAAACCATGGAGACAGTAAAATGATCAGTGGTTGTTAGGAGGGTAAGAAGGGAAGGAAGGATGACTAGACAGAGCACGAAGGATTTTGAGGATGGTGAACTATCCTATATGATGCTATAATGGTGGATACATGTCATTATCTATTTGTCAAACCCCAGAGAATGTACAGCACCAAGAATGAGCCCTGATGTAAACTATGGACTTTGGGTGAAAATGGCATGTCACTGTAGGTTCATAGATTATAACAGAGATCTCTGTAGTGGGGGATGTTTTTAGTTGGGGGGCTGTACATGTGTGGGGGTGGAGGTTATCTGGGAACTCTCTGTACTCTCAATTTTTTTTTTTTTGTGAACCTTAAACTACTCTAAAAAAGAAACTACTCTATTACAAAGAAAGAAAAGAAAAGAAAGTGACAGGCCCAGATCAGGTAGCAGTTAACTCAAGGTTCCCCGTGAAAGCCAGAGGGTCTCTGTGGTGCATTTCAGATCTCATGGCTCTTACCCACAGGCACCCCTGGGATAACCCTCAGGCCCAGGATCTAATGGTAAAGGTGGCAATGCTGTTAAGAGGACAAGTCTCCCATGTCAATATCAGAGGCTTCACAGGAAAAGAGTGGGACCCTGAGGCCTGGAATGGGGATATTTGGGTAAACAAGACTGAGAATTTGGAACCCCAGATAGCTTGAAACACCAAGGCTGGAAGAAGCTCCCTCCCCTTTGTTAGAGAAGAGTGGCCTCCTGCTGCATGGAGACCATGCAGAAACCTCACCTGACTCAGGTTCCTTGCCAAATGATGCTTGACCTCAAGATCTTCCCCCACCATCAATTGCTGCCTTAGGCCAATAACCAGGGTCAGGATACCACACAGTCCAAGCAGAGAAACACAGCCTCACATGGGAACACATGTGAGGGCGGATCTTGGGAGTTTAGGCTCAGTGTGGTTGGCTAAAGATAAGGCTGAATGTCTTTTATATTGACTGATGAGGGAGCACGTCATAACTCAGGGCTCAGTGTCTTGACAAGGACTCTGGAGCCAATCCTAAGATACTACTGATGGCTTCTTCAGGCCTGGAATCAAGGAAGGACCCCTGCGTGGGAAGTCAGCACCCAGCTGCCTTGGCCCTCAGCCTATTTCCTTTCCCCATGAGACCCCACTTCCCTACTCCTCAGCCCCTGCCCCTCTGGACAGGGCCACCTCCAGCCACTGTCCCCAGGTGGGATGCCAGACTCTAGCCAACTCGGCCTCTAGGGCTGCAGGGCTGGGCCATCCAGAGGACCTCCCTGCTTGAAGGGGTACAAAGCCCCTCCCTCAGAATAGACCTCCAGGTTCAGTATTTGAGCACCCTTGCCCCACTATAGCTCAGAGCTCCACCCTCTGTCCCCTTCTCCCATTGAAGACCCTCAGCCAGACGGACCTCTGCTGCCCCTGTTCCTCCCAAATACCCCAAAGGACCCACTGCCACCTCCTTGAGTGCTAATCAGCCCTCCAAACCCACCCGACAATCAGAGACATGTCTCGTGGAGCCCAGTCAGCTGTGGGTTGGCCTGGAGTCTTGTTTGGACTTATAGTTTTCAAAAGGTTGTCAGATGTAAGTTGTTCACTATTCCTTAGTACACAGCACACGCTCATGGGCCCATGCAAGGCCGCTCTATCTGGTATTTCTCTTCACATTCTTTTTTTTCTTTTTGCCCCATAACCCTGATACTAGCACCTTTTCTGCTCCTCAGCCCTTGTTTTGGGCCAGCACTCTAGTAGTTTTGCTATAAGTCTTCAAATTTGCATGCATGCAACCTGGTAAAATGAGCTTTATACGTGTGTGTTTTTAAATTACATAAATAGCATACTAGAAAAAAAAAACTCTGTGGTCTAGGAGGTGGAGATGCTGGGATGTTTGGCGTAACACTGAGAAAGGAATAGCATTCTCAGGAGGGTGGGAATGGCAGAATGGACTTGTTATGTGAAAGCACAGAGCTCACTTTGTTTCCTCTAAGCAACCAGAGCCCATGCCCCCTGTAAGGCAATAACAATGGCACAGGACAGGGGGCCGCCAGCACCCTTTAGGAGTTCAGTGGTGGTGGCTGTTTTTTCTGGGACAGGACAGGGTTGAGGGTCGCAGATGCTGCCGTGGACCTGGGGGGCCCAGAATCCTAGGTGGGGGCGATAGGATTCCAGACAGGCTGATGCTGAGGAGAGCATTTACTCAGCAGCAGGAAGTGAACAGAATGACTGTAACAGGCAGCAAGGCTGGAGTGGCAATCAGGCCGCCCCGACCTGCGGCAATCTTGGTGATTGCCAACTGATCGTGCTGTTCTTCTGAGGGGCACAAGAGTGCTATCTGACTTATATAACAACAACTACAACAAAAACCATAGAGAGCTGGCAAGCAGAAGCTGCCATCAGCTGCCCCAGTAGAGTACAATGGCTCTGTACACAGCTTCCAGATCTAAGTCAGTTTACAGACACGGGACCCACCACTTGAAGGGGAGGCCAGATCCCCTCGAGGAAGGACCCTGTAATGCCATCACAAGTATATGTGATAAATCATTTCCTGATCCCTTCCCAAAGAGTCCTGCAGCCAGTTACTTGATAACTGCACTGGAAAAGGAGAACAATCAGACTTTTAGAGGAATTCTGGACAGGGGGGTCTGAGCTGACACTGATACCAGGGAAGCCAAAATGCCACTGGGGCTGTCCAGGTAGGACTGAGGGCTTGTGCAAGGCAGGAACTGTGGGGTGGTAGCAGGAGTGGACTCTCTCACATCATGCCCACGGTCTCCCTGCAAAATGGGGTCATAATAGTACTGTCCTCATAGAATTGTGAGAACTCAATGAGATGCTCATGAGAAAAGGCCGCATAATCAGCTTGGCCAGTGAGATATATATATATATATATATATATATATAGAAAGAGAGAGAGAGAGAGTTATATATAATATTTTATTTATATTTTATATAAATGTGTATATATATATATATATATATATATATATATATATATATATATTTGCTTTGTAGCTTTGCAGTAAGAAAACTGGTCCATAAACCATTCACAGAAAAGCCAGAAAGTTAAAGAAATACTGGGCCAACAGTCATCTTAGTTTGCCAAATGAGGGCACCACCCTCACACCCAAAGTTTCCTACAGGAAGGAGCCATGCCTTCTCCTCAGCCTTGCCCAGTAGTCCCTGGCTCCAGGCAGGCTCGGTCCTCTGCTCTCCAATCTAAGAGTTTGTTTTCCCTTGGCATCAGCGTGGAATGGCTCACACCTGACTAGGAATCAGGTGCTGGGGGCCCACCTCCTGGTTTTCCCCCAGCCAGCTGCATGATGCTGGGAAAGTTCCTCACCCCTTCTGGGTTCCTCAGTGTAAAATAAACAGGTAGATCAGAGGCTCACCAAGGCCTCTTTCATGCCCAGAACCTACAGACTTACCTAGGCCAAACCCCAGTGAACGCATCTTTGAGATCTCAGCATCTCTCAATAGAAGATGGGGTGAGCAAATCAAGAAGTTCAAAGAAACTAACCGTAGTTATAATTGCCTCCTTGCAAAGACCTTCAGAGTGTCTCAACTTACCTAACACGAATGAACAAATTGTTCCTGCTAGTGGATACCCCGCTAAGTTCTTGAGTACACACAAGCAGAGCAGAGGGGCCCTATGGGACGTTTGCTGTGGAGCCTCCGCTGTACAGTCCGTTTCCCCCCAGGAGACTTTAGCACACCTCGTTTCTCCCTTTCAGTCTGTGCTTTCAGCCGCCTTTTAATTCTTCAGCAACCCTGAACGTGCTGTTTGTGTCCTCATTGTGGTGCTGTTTGCCAGCCAGGCAGGCAGGGAGGTTCGGGGAGAGCCGGAAGCCACGGATGCCCCAGCGAGTCATGCTGTCAATTCTGTGCCTCAGTCCCGTCTAACCAAGGATAAGCCAGTACCTTGGCAGCCCAAGAAGGCAGTCCTTAGGCAGACGTCTGCTGCCCGCAGGAAACTCTCAGAGCAGCCACGCTCTCCTCTCAGACTTTTGGCAGAGCCCCCGCCATTTCTTCATGTTAATAATGAAGAAAGAAAACCCCTCAATGAATGTGCAGTGAAATGAATCTGCAATTAACTTTAAATAAGCTTAAAATCCCATCGCAATGCCCTCCCTTGGTATTTTTATGGGAAATGGTTTTCAGTAGATATGCACACCATAAAGATCCTGAAACGTACGACAGACAAAATCCTCTTAGGCATGCTAAAGGGTAATTTGGTTTTTCTCAAAGCTACATTAAAAAAATAATAATAAGGGATAGAAATAAGCCAGCTTTTAAGAAAATATTAACGGTTAACCTATAAACCATCCCCCAAAGCAATCTCCCTACTCAGGAAATTTAGCGTATGGCTTTAAAAGCTTAACCCTTTTGCTTTTTCACATCTTTATGCATCTCTTACTTAAGCGGAATCACTTAAAATCTCTTATCACAAGGGGCTTAAGAAGGCCTTTTCTTATGGATCTAAAATCAGCAACAACCCTTAGGCCAGGGGGGTCATCCTTTTCGGGGTCTGCCCGGCTGCAGTTCAGCCCCACCAGCCTGGGAGCTGCAGGCCTGACTCAAGAGGAGCAGCCGCTCCAAAGCTACAGGAAGCCCTTTTTCTTCCCAGGCCTCTGGGACAGTTTCCAGCTCTGGTTCCCAGCCCACTGTCTGTCCCCTCCCCCTGTCTGATCCCAGGCCAAACCTTGGCTCCAATAATAACAAAGAGGCCCAGAAGATGAAAAGCTGAAGTCCTTTCCCTTCCAGCTGAAGCCAGGTGTGATGCTGGCAGGGAGAGGTTCCAAGCTTGGCCAAGCCAGATGAAGGCATGCTAAAGCAATAACCCAAAAACGAGCCCCACATGGGGCCGGATGCCCAGACCTTTCACTTATTTCACTATAAATGAGTTTCCTGGGGCAAAGTAATTTCTTTCTTCAAAGAAAATCGCAGTCAAAGGCCAAAGAAGAAAAGGCGGAGCGCAAGAGGGAGGAGGTGAACTGGGGACCACAGAAAGACAGCAAGAGAGGAGCCCCTTGGTGGATATTCATTCCAGGGCTTTCCAGAGAGCTCAACCAAGCCCATAAAGAACTCGCTGGCCTGTAAATGGGCACTCTGATGTTTGCAATGATCAGCCCCAGAGTTTTGTCCAGCCTTTGGCTGACAGTGTGTTTCTCAGCAGAGAGACAAGCTGTTGGGATGTTTTTCTGACCTCCCAGAGAGCTGAACATCCTGATGCCCTAGGGACTGGCAGGCTCCCCAGGGAGGTGTCCAGATCCTAAAGAAAGACTGGAAGGGTGGGTGCAGACTGCAGGCTAGATTTGAAGGCTTCTCTCTGATCTTCCTTAGCCCTTGGTGGCTGCTTAGATATAGGGACTTGAGAAGGCAGCCTCCAGCCCTGCCTGCAGGAAACCTTCAATCTGATTTTATAATCTCAGGGTGACCTATATTTGAGCTTCTGAACCCAACCTCAAAATGAAATCCAGATGCCATGCCAAGTGCTTCTGCCTGGTCATTTAGAGTGGACAGCGCTTCAGGTTAAATCAGACTTGTGGGCTGTCCATCAGCGTGAAAAAGGGCTGATGTTTACTATGGTGGCCAGAAATAGGGACATTTCTCCCATTGCCCTTGGATATAGCTCATTCAGGTGGGCACAGGTGGCCTGGCTGGTGGCTGCCCCACTTCCCAAAGCCTGGATCTTGAGCCGCTATCTGGAACACAGCACACTCAGCTCCAGATCAACCACCCAAGCCCTCTGGTGAGCATCAAGCTCTGAGGCCCTTTGATATTTAGAGATCAGTTGCGCGGGGCGACTGAGAAGAACTGGACTCTGAGAAAGGGTGAAAATTGAAAGAATGTGGTGCTGGCGAATCTGTGCCTCGCTCCTTTCCATTCCCACCTCCTTGCCATGTGCCTCACTGCCCACTAGAAGCCAGGAAGCTAAAGAATATCTCTATGTGACACTTCTCTAGCTCAGATGTGCACCAGACCTAGCTTTCTCCCAGCAGGTGCAGATTTGGAGGCTGGGACATGCATGGGTCTACTGCACCTCCTGGCAAGCACAGCCATGGGGGCATTTGGTTTTTCAGCAGAGGGTCCCAGAGAGTCTCTGGCTCTGTGAGTGGAGCCTCAGAGAGGCTGGGGTGGAGCCTTGGCTGAGTTGGCAGGGTCTGCAGCAGGGCAGCATGGACCTGGAGCCAGAAGTTGTAGTGAGGCATCCCAAGCACAGCAGAGGCAGTAGCGCCTGAGGTGGGCCAGTTCCTCTGTGTTATTCTAGCAGGCATTTATGCTGGGTCATATGTGGAGAGTGACAGCCATCCGATGTACCTCCAATTCCTTCCAATCTTTTTTTTTTTTTTTTTTTTTTTTTTTTTGAGACAGGGTCTCACTCTGTTGCCCAGGCTGGAGTGCAGTGGCACGATCTCAGCTCACTGAAACTCCCAGGTTCAAGTGATACTCCTGCCTCAGCCTCCCAAGTAGCTGGGACTACAGGCACCTGTTACCATGCCTGGCTAATTTTTGTATTTTTTTAGTAGAGACAGGGTTTCACCATGTTGGCCAAGCTGGTCTCGAACTCCTGACCTCAGGTGATTCATCCACCTCGACCTCCCAAACTTCTAATCCTTTTATAAAAGCTAGACTTCCTCTTTGAAATCCCTTTCAGCCTGAGTTAGCTAGGGTGGATTCTGTTGTCTGCAATTAATCCCCAAATGAATCAGAAGTAAAGGGAAGAAAGCATTTCATAAAGGAGTAGCCACTCTGTCAAACACTGCAGAGACTTTAAGAGGAGCATAGGAAAGCATCTTGGATTTGTCAGCATGAAAGTTATTGGTAACCCTGATGTGCAGGATTTCCGTAGGAGGCTGGAGAGTGAATGGGAAGTGAGCAAGATGAGACAACCACTGGAGAAAACTCTTCTGAGAAGGGTTGCTGAGATGCAGAATAGAAAATGATGCAACAGCTAGAGGAAAATGTGGGCTCAAGGAAGAGTTTTTTCAATATGGGAGACTTTGGAGCATTTCACCTGCTGAAGGGATGCTGCAGAAAGAGAGGGAGATAAATAATGCAAGGAAAAGGGGATATCAAAGGAGAAAAGTCTTTAACCGCAAGGAAATAGGATCCAGAGTGAGTGGAAGGGCAGGTCGTTAAAAAAAAGAAAGAAACTTCTCCATGGTAACAACCTCTTGGCATTCAAAAGATAGAGCACAGACCAGCTGGGCTGAGGGCTTGCGTAGGGAGCTGAGAGGGAGAAGGAAGAAGAAATAAGAGGAAGCCAAATTGTAAAGAGCCTTGGATGTCAAACCAAGGAATTTAGACCTCCTCCTGCAGACACTGGTCTTTGGAAACAAATGCTTTCGGCCAGAGGATGACGTAAGAACAAATATCCAAGGGAGACCCAAACCAAGTCCACAGGAAAGAAAACCATCACCAGCCTAACTGACCTGGTGTATTGCCAGTGTGTGGGCTGGCATCAGGACAGGGGTCGAGTTTTGGATTAAGGAAAGGGCAGCATGATGAAAAGAGCTCCAGCTTTGGATTCAGATAAATCTGGGTTCAAATCCCAGTGCTATTAAGCTGTGAAACTTGGGGAAAATTATTCAACTTTTCTGCACCTCTTCTGTAAAATGTGAAGAATTCCTCCTGGAATGAATGTTGTAAAGATTAAATGAGATTACATACCTGGTCTAGTAAATGCTTAATGAATAGTAGCTACTGAATCTGAATTCCTGGAAAAGGCACCTGGGGTCTACATTTTTAACACCCTCTATGAGGTGACTCCACTGTTAGGCTGTGGGGCCTACACAAAAAAGAAAAGCCCAGAAAAACTTGTCTTGGGCTTTTCTCATGACTTGGTAGATAGTAGGTGGTCAGTAAGTATTTGTTGAGTAATTAGATAAATAGATAAACAAATAATAAATAGAATATATATAGATAGAACTGGCTGTAAAAATTTATAGTCTCAATTTGGAACATTAAAATTTAGAATGTTGGTCCAGTGTGGTGGCTCACGCCTGTAATCCCAGCACTTTGGGAGGCCAAGGCGGGCAGATCACAAGGTCAGGAGTTCGAGACCAGCCTGATCAACATGGTGAAACCCCGTCTCTACTAAAAGTACAAAAATTAGCCAGGCGTGGTGGTGTTTGCCAGTAATCCCAGCTACTCAGGAGCCTTAGGCAGGAGAATCGCTTGAACCTGGAAAGCGGAGGTTGCAGTGAGCCGAGATCGTGCCACTGCACTCCAGCCTGGGTGACAGAGTGAGACTGCGAGACTCTGTCTCAAAAAAAAAAAAAAATTAAAATGTTAGTCTGGCATGGTGGCTCATGCCTGTAATCCCAGCACTTTGAGAGGCCAAGGCAGGTGGATCACTTGAGGTCAGGAGTTCAAGACCAGCCTTGCCAATGTGGTGAAACCCCATCTCTACTAAAAATACAAAAATTAGCCAGGCGTGGTGGCACACACCTGTAATCTTAACTACTCGAGAGGCTGAGGCAGGAGGATTGCTTGAACCCGGGAGGTGGAGGTTGCAGTGAGCCGAGAAGGTGCCTCTGCACTTGAGCCTGGGTGACAGAGCAAGCCTCCATCTCAGGAAAAAAAAATAATAACAATAATCAGGCTCTTAAGGGCTTGGAGGCCAGATTGTGCCTCCTCCAGTTTCATCTCTTTGGGCAATTGGTAGATTTCCCCTGGCAGCCAAGCCTCCCTCTAGGAGGGCCCTGATGGCTGCAGGGGACTGTTGTTTTCACTTTTCAGTGAACATGACATTTTGAACCCAAAGCTGGAATATTAACAAAGTCTGCATACAGACTGGAGATCAAAATGACCTGAAATTCAGGCTCAATCTGGAACAGTAATTGTTCCTGCAGTTATTTTCTGCTGACTGCTTCACAGTGTCAAAGAATCTTAAGGAGGGTGGGGATACCTTTCAGATGAGCTCAAACTAGTTGGATTCCTCTGAGGCCTGGGATAAAGTTTCAAAATATTTTTCAAATTGTGTTTGCCTGCAGCAGTTCAGTGTGATAACAATTATCATATGTGTTGGAATCCTAGCAAGTCCATAAACGGGCTCTGTGACCTTGGGCAAGCTGCTTTAATCCCTCCAGACATCAGTGTTCTCATCTGTAAACTGGGTCAGGCGTGACGCCTGCTCTGGGAGAAGTGTGAGAAATACGAGAAACGGCGTCGAATCCCTTGCCGGGGCCCTGACACGCGGTAGCTGCTCTGTCCATGCTAGTGTCACCCTCCCACCCTGACCTTCTTCCCAGGAGCCTAGAGGGGTCAGGACAGGTTCTTCTCAGAAGATGCCCACCACTCAGAAAAGTTCTCTTGCCAAAGTTTTGTCCCTACATAAATTCAGCAAGGAAAGACTCCTCTGATGCTCAGAAGAGCAACCCTTTCTGTATCCTCACCTTGGGTAAGAGTAAGTTCAATATCAGCCCCTTGCTTTACAGGAAGAGAGACAAAGGCATTGTAATTTAAGTTCCTTTTAGGGCTACAAGATAACAATCAACATTTGCAAAAAGCACTGACATATTAATTTTTTAACCTTCAGGGATTATCTTTTCCTACAGTAAATGAACTACACAGTAAGTGTATTTTCTATACACAGAATTTCTACACAGTAAGTGAACTCATTTATTTTTCTTCCCTGAAAAGGCCTCTTATCCTTGGAATGAAGAATGCAATGCAATTCCCTTCTAACCCATCTCATTCCAGGATCCCCTTGGGGACATACCTCCGCACACACTGCTCAGACCCCACTAGCATCCATCCAAACAGTGCGTGTTCTTTTTTAGGATACAGTTGTACTTTTGTCTTAAGAAATAGAAGTACCAGGATTCCTGAAAATGTTTTTTTAGACCATGCATAAAATCTCATATGTGCTGAACCACTGGATTTCCCAGCCCCCACATGCCCCCACATGCAAAAATATACCCTCATTAGACTGTCCTGTGCCCCCAGTTCCTCCACTATGGATCTAATCCTTTGGGTTAAGCATGCTTTTTTATTTGGCTCCTGGGGAGCTGGGGAGTCCTAGCTGCTAATGGCAAGGTAGTAGGAGTAAATCCCTACTCATAGATGTACCAGTGCCACACATATAATTCCATGTATTTTTCTCAATTCAGGCCAATTCCAGTCCCTGGAGTCCTGAATCCTTCCAGAGAGTCCCTCCCTTCTGGAGCTTCCTGCCTGTCTCTCTGAGGTCATGCTGAAGTTCTGGTTTCTAACAACACTTGGGGTAGGAAGTGGACTCCAACTGATAGGTGTCTACCTCATTTGCCTAATTCACTCCCCTAGTGAAAGGCCCTTCACGTCCTCCCTAAGGTAAGCAACGCTATGATGGACATCTTAGCACATGTAACCTCCTGAGGCTGTCTGGCAATCAAGAGCAGATGACTAGGTCCTAGGATACATGAATACCCAGTTTGACTGCATACTGTTAGACTGTGCTCTAAGACCACTAGCATGATAAGGGCTCCCGGCTCCTCAGTCTCAAGAACATTCGGCATTGCATGGCTTTCCAATGTTTGTCAACCTGATGGGAATAATGTGCAGCTCATTTTGGTTTTAGTTTTTCCTTTCTGAGATTGTCTGTGACATTGGGCATCCCTTTATGTGCTTATAACCAGTTAGGTTTCCTCTGCTGTGAATTGCCTGTTCATGTCCTTTGCACACTTTTCTATACTGTTCTTCATCTTTTTATTGTTGATGTTCAAAAGTCACTTATATATTCTGTACATGACTTTATTGCTATTTTCTCCAACTTTTGATTTTGAAAAATTTCAAACTAACAAAAAAGTTATATAGATATTATAACAGGTTTACCTATTATTAATATTTTTCCACACATTTTATTTTTTGAGATGGAGTCTCACTCTGTCGCCCAGGCTGGAGTGCAGTGCCATGATCTCAGCTCACTGCAACCTTCGCCTCTTGGGTTCAAACGATTCTCCTGCCTCAGCCTCCCATGTAGCTGTGATTACAGGCATGGGCCACTGTGCCCCGCTAATTTTTGTACTTTTAGTAGAGATGGGGCTTCACCATGTCGGCCAGGCTGGTCTCGAACTCCTGACCTCAAGTGATCCACCCGCCTCGGCCTCCCAAAGTGCTGGGATTATAAGCATGAGCCACCGCACCTGGACTCCACACGTTTTATATCACTTTCTATACCATAGCTATAGATATATAACACACACACATCACACACACATATATACATACTATATATATATATATATATAGTATATATATACACACACTATATATATACACACTATATATAGTATATATATATATACACACTATATATATAGTATATATATATACACACTATATATATACACACTCTACATATATATATATATATATATATAGTGTGTATATATATAGTGTGTATATATATTTTTTTTGTTTAATGTAATCCAGCCCCCAGCTGACTGCAATCCTCTGGACCACATGATAAGTTGTGTTGTTTTGTTTTGTTTTGTTTTTTGTTTTTTAATTATGGTAAAAAATACATAACATAAAATTTGCCATCTTAACCATCTTAAATGTATAATAGTATTAAATATATTCACATTATTGTGAAAACATACAAATATATTCTGTTGAAATATTTAAAAATAAGTTGCTGAAATTTTGATACTTCGCCACTAAATAGTTCAGTGTAGATCTCCTAGGAACAAAGGCTTTCTCCTACATAAACCATAATAAAATTTCCTCACTGAATACATTTAACATTTATACAATACTAATGTCTAATTAAGAGCTTACATTCAATGTTATCCATTGGTCCCAATAATTTTTAACATTGTAAAAATTACCTCCCAACCTGTGACCTATTTTTTAATTTCATCTATGAACACCTTCAGGTAACAAAATGTTTAATTTTGCTGTCATCAAATATGTTCCTTTTTTCCCCTAAGGGCAGAGGTTTTGAGGGTCTTACATATGACGTTCTTGGTTATCCCTAAATAACAAAGATATTTTTCAACAATTTCTCCTTTTAGCTTTATAGTTTCACCTTTAAGTTTCACCCTTAAGTCTAAGGGTAAGAAGTAAGAATTCAATGTTTTCTTCATAGTGAACAAGTTTTTCCAATGCCATTTAATAACCAATCTGTTCTGTCCCAAGTTACGTGTGGCAGTCTCTTAACATTCCCACGTATATGGCCTGTTCTGGGACTTCCCATTCTTTCCATGTGTCTATCTGCCCATTTCTGCGCAGGAACCAGGCTATTTTCATTTCTGTGGCTTTGCCTTGTGTTTTCCTATCTTTCTGTCTGACACATCAGTGTTTCTCTTTTTGCTCTTATTTTTTAAACTTAATAGCTATTGGGAAACTTTTATTCATCTGTATAAATTCTAGGTTGTTTTAACATCTTCAGGCATTCTGCCCATGGCCAGCCATTGTAATAACCTAGATACACAGCTGCCCTGCTGGCCCTGACCTTTCTGCCTCACAGACTCCTAAATTCTATGTGGCAGAGTTACACGTGATGATTCTATTCCGGAAAATCCATTTCATGCCATACCACAAAAATCCCCAAGTTTCTCCTGAAAGTAAATAAAAGCAAGTACTTGCAAGGCACAGTGGCTCACATCTGTAATCACAGCACTTTGGGAGGCCAAGGTGGGCGGATCACCTGAGGTTGGGAGTTCAAGACCAGCCTGACCAACATGGAGAAATCCCATCTCTACTAAAAATACAAAATTAGCCGGGCGTGGTGGTGCATGCCTGTAATCTCAGCTACTCGGGAGGCAGAGGCAAGAGAATCACTGGAACCCAGGAGGTGGAGGTTGCAGTGAGCCGAGATTGCGCCATTCCACTCCAGCCTGGGCAACAAGAGCAAAACTCTGCCTCAAAAAATAAAAATAAAAATAAAAAAATAAAAATAAAAACAAGACTTTAAAGTGGCTGTGAATCTCAATTCACAAGTTCAGATATGTAAGAAAGAACAATTTTTTTCATATCCCAAAACTGAATTGAATTTCTTTTAGGAGCCCCTAGTCTGCTGGAGTAGCAGAAACACCATTTCAGTTAATTTAGGGACTCTTCCTACTTTCTCTGGGGTGAAATTTACAAAGGACTTGCAGAGAACCAAGGCTCCAATGGGAGGGGTGATCTTTTAAGTCCTCAATATCATCGAAGCGTGTCACTAACTTGTCCATTGTCCCATCTAGTCCTCAGTCAGTGGTCCTTAAAAGTCTCTCTGCTACTTCTGTTCCACTCTCAAGCTCCTGGCAATCATTCTGTTCTTGTGACATAAGAATTGAGAAATGCTGTGAGATCTCATCTGCCTAGATGCTCCATACAACTGAAGCCATCAGTTCTCTACGATCTTGCCACCCCTTGAAGCCCTACCAGGAAACACAGACATAGGTGCCCGTATTCTCAGATCCCGCAAATCTGTCAGGGCCTCACCAGGGCTCATTCTCTTCTCCCTGGGACCCAACAACAGCTACCTGTCTGTATTAGTCATGGTTCTCCAGAGAAACAGACTCAATAGGAGATAGACAGATAGATAGATAGATAGATAGATAGATAGATAGATAGATAGATAGATAGATAGACAGATAGATAGCTAGATAGATAATAGAAAGATAGATAGATGATTTCTTCTTTTTTTGAGATGGAATCTCACTCTGTCACCAGGCTGGAGTGCAGTGGCGCCATCTCGGCTCACTGCAATCTCTGCCTCCTGGGTTCAAGTGATTCTCCTGCCTCAGCCTCCTGAGTAGCTGGGATTACAGGTGTGCACCACCACACCCAGCTAATTTTTGTATTTTTAGTAGAGACAGGGTTTCACTATGTTGGCCAGGATGGTCTCAATCTCCTGACCTCATGATCCACCCACCTCAGCCTCCCAAAGTGCTGAGATTACAAGTGTGAGCCACCGTGCCTGGCCAAGAGATTTCTTATAAAGAACTGGCTCACATTCACACAATTATGGAGGCTGAGAAGTCCACAATCAGCAGGGAGGGCTGGAGATCCAGGAGAGCTGATGTTTCAGTTCAAGTCTAGAGGCAGTCTGCTGGAGAATCTTCTCTTGCTCAGGGGAAACGGGAATTTTTGTTCTATTCAGGCCTTCAACTGCTGGGAATAAGGCCCACCAACACTATGGAGGGCAATCTGCTTTATTCAAAGTCCGTCAATTTAAATGTGAATTTCATCCAACACACCCTCACAGAGACACTCAAGATAATCTTTGACCAAGTATCTGAGCACACTGTGGCCCAGCCAAGTTGACACAAAATTAACCATCACACTCTCCTTGATGAATGCTATATCAACCAGGATCCAGTCAGGCATTCCAACACAGAAGATTTATATTTTTACAGACGTAATTCACATACCCTGAAATTCACCCATGTAAGGGAGTTTTAGTATATTCAGAATGTTGTGAAGCCATCACCACTATCTAATTCCAAAACAGTTTCATCAACCCTCACCCCCTACAAAAAAACTCATACCTGTTAGCAGTCAACAAGGGGATTTAATATAGGGAATTGGCTGGATGGATAGCAAAGGACTGAAAGGAAGAAAAGGAACACCTGTTATCATGCAAACGTAGTAACTGCAGGAAACAGCCACCACTCCTAGGACTAGAGGAACAGAGGGAAAGGGCTGGGGCTATGAGAACCCAGAATCCTGGAGGACGCCCTCACAAAACTAGGACAAAGACTTCTCAGAAAAGGGTAACGGCCTGCTGGTATCGGTACCTCAAGAAACTCGAGGAGGGGGTTCACAGAGCTGGGACCTAGATCTCTCAGGAGGGGGCATGAGCTAAATGCGGCTGCAACACAAGAGCTCAGAGGGAAGGTCTAAGTTAGGACTTGGTCTTCTTAGGAGAGGGTGCTACCTGGATGCTGCTGGTAACTGATGGGGTGAGATGGGCTGATCGTGGGAACTTAGCAAAACGAAGGAAACTGGAACCAACTCCACTGCTGGGATAACGGTGACAGGAACAGCAAGCATGGGGAAGGAACATCTCTTCTCCATCTTCCTGTTGTCTGGTCTCCTTTTAGCATCCCCTATTATCAGGACCTAACAGGCAGCAGCTGGCAACAAGGAAATTGGGTTGCAAAGTCACAGCCTCACCATTGCAGAGCTGAGCACAGAAGAGTTATTAGGAGCTGGAGACAGTAGCTTTATAACACCATGCCTCCCTACTCTCTCCATCTAACCACAGCCCAGGGAGGGAACATTCTAATCTGGAGGGTTGGATGACAACCTATCTTGCTCTTTACTCATCTTGTTAGTCCATTCTCACACTGCTATGAAGAAATACCTGAGACTGGGTAATTTATAGAGGAAAGAGGTTTAATTGACTCACAGTTCTGCATAACTGGGAAGGCCTCAGGAAACTTACAATTACAGCAGAAGGGGAAGCAAACATATCCTTCACATGGCAGCAGGAGAGAGAAGTGCTGAGCAAAAGGGGAAAAGCCCCTCGTAAAACCATCAGATCTCATGAGAACTCACTCACTGTTATGAGAACAGCATGGGGGTAACTGCCCCCGTGATTCAATTACCTCCCACCAGGTCCCTCCCACAACATGTGGGGATTATGAGAGCTACAATTCAAGATGAGACTTGGGTGGGGACACAGCCAAACCATATCACCCATGATGTTTTCTTCCAAATAATTAGTCTCTGTTGCAAGTACTTTTGTAATATATCATCTTCCTGATCTAAGAGCCTATTAGCATGATTCCTAGAGACACCTGGGAAGCTAAGCTTGGTTCTAGCCCACAGCACTGGGTTTAGCCATACATGGAGACTGGGCTGTTTGGGCATGGGGAGGCAAAGGATGATAAAAGAGGATTGTCTTTGTGCTTCAGTGGATTGAATAGAATGGAATGTGGACTGTATGAAATATGTTCTCATATTCCATGTAATGAGACCCTGAGATTGATGAGGGGCATCTGGCTTATGTGAGGTGGTCCCCAACATATAATTACACTAACTGCCTGCAGGACTGCACCAGTTTTAAAGCTGGAAGTATCTTCCTAGATTAAGTAGGTAATGACAACAGCACCAGTTTTAGTAAATAGAGCTACACTCACCCTCAGCACATGCAGCTGGCACAAATGGAGCAGTCAAGCTTCTAAAGGTCTGATGTGAGCCCCACATGGACACTGTCATGCACAAGCATGAGCCAATCACGTGTGCACCTCTACCTGTCTCAAATAACATTGCTCTTCTCTCCAGCCTGTGTCCTGACTGCATGGCCCCTTCTGTTTACTTTAGATAAGTAAACACTGTTTGATTTAGCCACGGAATGTCTGTGTCTGGATTTTCCTTTAATCTAAGTCCACTATTGACATTTGTCAATACAGTATAGTGGTCGTGTGGTTTTTCCATTACCTGATGGGCTTAAGTTTTGAAATGTAAAAAGTTGGGGTGTGGGGGGATGTTGTTTTTTCTTTACATTTTCGCAATCATCTCCTCTGCAGAAGGAATCAGCACAGAATGCCCTAGTTGCTTCACAGTAGAAGATGGAATGGAGAAGAGACACATCCCAGTTGCTTTTTTACAGTTTTATTTTTTAATATTATATACATCAAGTTCACAAACAAAAATGTGCAGTTACATCATGAGCATCCATGTAGTCACCATCCAGGGCAAGAAACAGGACATCATCAGCCCTCCAGAAGTCCCTGGGTGCTTTGTTGCTAGCATCAATCTTCTCTGTACATGTAGCCACCCTGTTGACTGTGGGATCTGGACTGTGTCAACTTGGCTAAAATGGAATTAGGATTCCTGGAATTCCTGAGTTACTTGTAAAATAACTCAACTAGATTTGTTCCTTCCCTACTCCACCCCACTCCCACCACCTAATTTTTATTTTCTTTGCAAGATGGAAGGCAGAAGTGAACAGCAAGTTTTGTGTCATAAAGGCTGTCACAGTTAGATGTGGTGACAGACAGACACAGGTGTCCCTGTCCTTGTCCTCCCATGCTGCACATCCAGCTCTTCTTTCCGAGGCAGGCCACGCTGAACCAACAGTTTTCCCAGCTCACCACTGGATATTTGGCTGCCAATCCTCAGGTGTGGTAGCTATGCAGAGGCTCTAGTCTTCAACTGACTTCTTCCCTCCACCAGCCCTTCACAGTCCTACTCCAGCAGCCTCACGTGCCTGATTTCTGGATCTTCTAGAAAGCTCTGATGTGTTCACTCCACGACAAACAGACCTTCAGGTGGTTGTTTAGTAGCTTTTCTCTACCCTTGAACTCTTTTTTGAAGCTATACTTCCCCAGCTTCTCTCGTAACTGCATAGGGTCTATTTCCTCTAGTTAGAATGAATGTTGCATTCTACAATATTCACAGGGTTCCTCTTCCCTGATGGAACACTGACTGATACAAAGATTTTCACAATAATTACTTTCTTCTTTTTCTTTATAGTGTTATTATCAATGAGGCACGAGTTCATAAATACTGTAGTTTAGTTTTGCCTGTTTTTTTTAAGAATATATAAATTCTTACATATATTATTATATATTATTATATTATTATATACTATATATTATATAATTATATAATATATATAATTATATTATATAATATATAATATATAAATACATATTATATATTAATTATATATTCTAATTAATTATATAATTAATTAATTAATTATATAATTATATAATTAATTAATTAAATAAATAATTATATATTATATAATATATATTATAATATATAATATATAATATACATTACATATACTATATAATATATAATATACATTACATACACTATAATATATAATATACATTACATATATTATAATATATATATTATTTAGTATGTCTTATTTTGTGTCTAGCTTTATTTACTCAACTTTATGTTTGCAAGATTCATCCATGCTGTTGTTTGAATCTGTAGCTTATTCATTTTCTTTGCTGTGAGAACTTCTTTGTATGAATAACTCACACTTAATTTTTCATTCTATTGTTGATGAGCATTTGGGTTGTCCATTTGGACTATTATGAATAATGCTGCCCTAAACATTCTTGCACATGTCTCGGTACATCTATATATGCATTTTCGTTGTATATATATTTAAGGGCAGAACTGCTGAGTCATTGAGTATGTGTGTCTTTGTGTTTAGTAGATAAAAATCTAACTGTTTAAATGTCTTTTTACCAGTCTACATTCCAATCAACATCGCAATTAGTATTACCAACCTTTTCATTTTAGCCATCCTGTCTGGTGGATGCCTAGGTGGACACTCATTTGTGTCTTAAATTGCATTTCCCTGATAATGAGGTTGCATACATCTCCATATATTTATTAGCTATTTTGAAGTTTTTCCTGTTCATTTTTCCATTAGGTGTTTGTTTTGTTTTTTTCATTGATTTTGAATAATTCATAATATATTTTGAAAGTAAGTGAATGTATTTTAAATATGAGCCCATTTCTGTCTTAAGCATATAGTTTGATGAGTGCTGACATACATATAAATCAGTTGTTGAGGCTGGATGTGGTGGCTCATGCCTGTAATCCCAGCACTTTAGGAGGCCGAGGCAGGTGGATTACTTGAGGTCAGGAGTTCAAGACCAGCCTGGCCAACATAGTGAAACCCTGTCTCTAGTAAAAATACAAAAAAAAAAAAAAATTAGTGGGGCATGGTGGTGCACGCCTGTAATCCCAGCTACTTGGGAGGCTGAGGCAGGAGAATCACTTGAACCTGGGAGGCGGAGGTTGCAGTGAGTCGAGATCACACCACTGCACTCCAGCCTGGGCGACAGAGGGAGACTCCATCTCAATAAGTAAATAAATCAGTTGTTGAATAGTGTTGGAAGTTCTGACCAGGGCAATCAGGCAGGAGAAAGAAATAAAGGGTATTCAATTAGGAAAAGAGGAAGTCAAATTGTCCCTGTTTGCAGACGACATGATGGTATATTTAGAAAACCCCATCGTCTCAGCCCAAAATCTCCTTAAGCTGATAAGCAACTTCAGCAAAGTCTCAGGGTACAAAATCAATGTGCAAAAATCACAAGCATTCCTTTACACCAATAACAGACAAACAGAGAGCCAAATCATGAGTGAACTCCCATTCACAATTGCTTCAAAGAGAATAAAATACCTAGGAATCCAACTTACAAGGGATGTGAAGGACCTCTTCAAGGAGAACCACAAACCACTGCTCAATGAAATAAAAGAGGATACAAACAAATGGAAGAACATTCCATGCTCATGGATAGGAAGAATCAGTATTGTGAAAATGGTCATACTGCCCAAGGTAATTTATAGATTCAATGCCATCACCATCAAGCTACCAATGACTTTCTTCACAGAATTGGAAAAAACTACTTTAAAGTTCATATGGAACCAAAAAACAGCCTGCATTGCCAAGACAATCCTAAGTCAAAAGAACAAAGCTGGAGGCATCACGCTACCTGACTTCAAACTATACTACAAGGCTACAGTAACCAAAACAGCATGGTACTGGTACCAAAACAGAGATATAGACCAATGGAACAGAACAGAGCCCTCAGAAATAATACCCCATATCTACAACCATCTGATCTTTGACAAACCTAACAAAAACAAGAAATGGGGAAAGGATTCCCTATTTAATAAATGGTATTGGGAAAACTGGCTAGCCATATGCAGAAAACTGAAACTGGACCCCTTCCTTACACCTTATACAAAAATTAATTCAAGATGGATTAAAGACCTAAATGTTATACCTAAAACCATAAAAACCCTAGAAGAAAACCTAGGCAATTACATTCAGGACATAGGCATGGGCAAGGACTTCATGACTAAAACACCAAAAGCAATGGCAACAGAAGCCAAAATAGACAAATGGGATCTAATTAAACTAAAGAGCTTCTGCACAGCAAAAGAAACTATCATCAGAGTGAACAGGCAATCTACAAAATGGGAGAAAATTTTTGCAATCTACCCATCTGACAAAGGGCTAATATCCAGAATCTACAAAGAACTTAAACAAATTTACAAGACAAAATCAAACAACCCCATCAAAAAGTGGGTGAAGGATATGAACAAATACTTCTCACAAGAAGACATTTATGCAGCCAACAGACACATGAAAAAATGCTCATCATCACTGCCCATCAGAGAAATGCAAATCAAAACCACAATGAGATACCATCTCCACCAGTTAGAATGGTGATCATTAAAAAGTCAGGAAACAACAGGTGCTAGAGAGGATGTGGAGAAATAGGAATGCTTTTACACTGTTGATGGGAGTATAAATTAGTTCAACCACTGTGGAAGTCAGTGTGGCGATTCCTCAAGGATCTACAACCAGAAATACCATTTGACCCAGCCATCCCATTACTGGGTATATACCCAAAGGATTATAGATCATGCTGCTATAAAGACACATGCACACGTATGTTTATTGCAGCATTATTCACAATAGCAAAGACTTGGAACCAACACAAATGTCCATCAGTGATAGACTGGATTAAGAAAATGTGGCACATATATACCATGGAATACTATGCAGCCGTAAAAAAGGATGAGTGCATGTCCTTTGTAGGGACATGGATGAAGCTGGAAACCATCATTCTGAGCAAACTATCACAAGGACAGAAAACCAAACACCACATGTTCTCACTCATAGGTTGGAACTGAACAATGAGAACACTTGGACACGGGGGGAACATTACACACCAGGACCTGTTGTGGGGTGAGGGAAGGGTGGAGGGATAACATTAGGAGAAATACCTAATGTAAATGATGAGTTACTGGGTGCAGCACACCAAGATGGCACATGTATACATATGTAACAAATCTGCATGTTGTGCACATGTACCCTAGAACTTAAAGCATAATAATAATAATAATAATAATAATAATATAAATAAATAAATCAGTTGTTGAAAAGATTACCCATTATCTAATGAATTATCTTGGCAACTTTCTCAAAAAGCAATTACTCATATATATATATGAGTTCACTTCTCAACTCTCTTCTGTTCCACTGCTCTATATGTCTATATACCATGCTGTTTTGTTTATTATAGCTGATAGTAAGTCTTGAAATCAGAGAGTTTAAGTCCTCCAACATTTTTCTTCTTTTAAAAATGTTTACCTGTGTAATGAACCTGCACATCCTGCACATGTACCCTGGAACTTAAAATAAAAGTTAATGAAAAAAATTGTATTTGTTATTTATGGTTCTTTGTCATTTCAAATTTTAAAAATCAATTGTCAGTGTCTGGTTTGAAAGCTTGCTTGGATTTACATTGCTTCATATATTAAACATCCCATTTTGGAGAGAATTGACATCGTAGCAATGTTGAGTCTTATGATCCATGAACATGGTATATATGCCTATTTATTTAGATCTTTAATTTCTCTCAGCAAAGTTCTTGAATTTTTACTGTACATATCTCTTGTATTTAATCCTAAGTTTTATGTTTTTGACATTGTATTAAATGAATGTTTTTAGGATATTTTCCACTGGTTTGCTGCTAGTATAAAATAACTATTAATTTTTGTATATTATACTTGTATCCTACAGGTTTGCTAAATTTGTTTTTTATTTCTAATAGCTCTTTCATAAATTCCTTGGAGTTTTCTACATAAACAGTCATATTACCTGCAAACACAGGCAGTTTTACTTCTATTTTTCAATCTGTATACCTTTTATTTATTGTCCTTGTCTTATTGCAATGGCTATAACCTCTAATACAATGTTAAATAGTAGCAGTGAGAGTTACATCCTTACCTTGTGCTCAGGCTGAGAGGTAAAGCATTCACTATTTCACTATCAAATCAACCATGGTGTTAATTGCAGGTTTTTCATATAGATGACCTATAGAAATGTGAGGAGGATCTCTTTTTTCCTACTTTACTGAGAGATTTTATTATTAATGGATTTTAAATGTTTTCACTTGCATTTTCCACATCTATCAAAATTATCATATTGTTTTTCTCCTTTCTTTATGTTGTTAATATGGTGAATTACATTGATTGATTTTCAAACATTAAGCCAACCTTGCATTTCTAGGATAAATCCCATGTGCTCATGGTATATTATCCTTTTTATATACTGTTGGATTCAATTTGCTAAAACTTTTTTTAGGAATTTTATGTCTATGTTCATGAGGAATATTGGTCTGAAATTTTATTTTATTTTATCTTTGGAATATCTTTCACAGATTTTGGTATTAGAGTTATGCTAACCTCAGATAATTAAATAATTGTCCTACTTTATTTATTTTCTTAAGGATTTTATGTAAAATTGGTATTATTTTATTTTATCCTTGAATTTTTATAGAATTTACCAATAAAGCTATTTGAGGCTGGAATTTTCTTTGTGAAGAGTTTTGTGTGTGTGTGTTTTGTTGTTGTTGTTCTTAAGAGACAAAGTCTTGTTCTGTCACCCAGGTTGGAGTACAGTGGCATGATCACTGCAGCCTTGAACTCTTAGGCTCAATCTTCCCACCTCACTTCCTGAGTACCTAGGACCATAAGTGTGTACCACCATGCTTGGCTAATTTTTTTAAATTTTTGTAGAGATGTGGTCTTGCAATGTTACTCAGTCTGGTCTCAAACTCCTTGCCTCAAGTGATCTCACCTCAGCCCCCCAAAGCAGGAAGTTGTTTAAAAAAAAAAATTAAATTATTTAATAGATATAGGCTACTCAGAGTTTCTGTTTCATCTTATGTCAGTTCTCATGAATTATATTTTCAATTTTGTCTATAGTGTTGAATTTGTTGGTATACAGCTATTTATAATATGCCCTTCTATCTTTTTAATATCTGTATCTGTATTAATTAATTAATTTTCATTTATTCCTGGTGTGGGTCCTTTGTCTCCCCTCTATGACCAGTCTAACCAGGGATTTACCAATTTCATTCATCTTTTCAAGGAAACAACTTTGGCCTTGTTAATTGTTTATATTACCTGATCTCTTCTCTACTGATTTTTGCTTTTGTCTTTATTGTTTTTTCCTTCCACTTATTTTTGGTTTACATTGCTCTTTTTTGTTTGTTTGTTTTCTCTTAGCTCTTTGGGCATTGATTTTTCAACACTTTTTTCTTTTCTTTTTTTGCGATGGAGTCTCACTGTGTTGCCAGGCTGGAATGCAGTGGTGCGATCTCGGCTCACTGCAACCGCCGCCTCTCGGGTTCAAGCAATTCTCTTGCCTCAGCCTCCCGAGTAGCTGGGACTACAGGCGCACACCACCACGCCCAGCCAATTTGTATTTTTAGTAGAGACGGGGTTTCACCATGTTGGCCAGGATGGTCTCGATCTCCTGACCTCGTGATCTACCTGCCTCGGCCCCCCAAAGTGCTGGGATTACAGGTGTAAGCCAGCACACCTAATAAAAGGATGTAAATCATTTTCCTCTAAACACTGATTTAGCCAAATCTCACAGATTTAGATGTTGTTATTTTCATTATCCTAATGTCTGAGATTTTTATTATTGTTATTATTATTATTATTTTCAGATGCAGTCTCACTCTGTCACCCAGGCTGGAGTGCAGTGGCACGATCTCGGCTCACTGCAACCTCCGCCTCCTGGATTCAAGCAGTTCTCCTGCATCAGCCTCCCGAGTAGCTGGGACTACAGGCACGTGCCACCAGGCCTGGCTAATTTTTGTATTTTTAGTAGAGATGGGGTTTCACCATGTTGGCCAGGCTGGTCTTGAACTCCTGACCTCAGGTGATCCACCCGCCTCGGCCTCCCAAAGTGCTGGGATTACAGGCATGAGCCACCGTGCCTGGCCTAAAATATTTTTTAATTTGGGGTAATTTCTTCTTTGACCTATGGGTTATAGAAAACCGTATTGTTGAATCTCCAAAATGTGCGTTTTTCATAGATGTCATAGTTGTTGGTTCTCATTTAATTCAATTTTGGTCAGAGAACATGCTCCAAAAAGCCCAAATTTTGAATTTACCTCTCTGGGTTTCTGTCATCCTCCAATATGCTTCTTTATCATATCAGCTCACTACAGCCTACATGTAGATCTTTTAAAAAAATATTTTGTCTGGTTTTCCTTATTGTGCTAATGGGGAGAATTAATCCAAATGATCAAGTCATTCATTATCAGAAGTCACTATATATGCTTTTCAAACATGTGTCAGACAAAACCAATTGTTTAACATAAAAGTTAAGTCATAAATCTTTTGGTGGAATTTTTCTGCCTGGGATAGATTGGCTCTTTCCTTAAAACATGAGTCAAATGAAGTTTGAGCCAAAGATATTTTCTCCCTGTCCTAGAACAAACTTCAAAATCAAGTTAGGCATTCTTTTTACAAGAATTTCCAAGAGATGCTCAAATTGAGGTCCTTTTTCACAATTGTTCTTCATTGCCTATTTAGTTTATAAGAATGTCTTTGACATTAATTGCTGAGGAAGGAGAAATCTCACTTCTTCCTCTTCTTCTTCCATTCCTTAGTCTCTGTTTTATCAACCTAAAAAACTAATTTTGGACTGCATTCCTTTTCAACAATTAGATATACTATTTTCTAGAACTTCTACAATGCTCTATCTAGTCCTACAGTTTTCCTCAAACCCCGATGTCATTGTTAGGAGGGAAAGATTATTCTCACTCGTTTATCATTCTATGTGGAGGGGCACCATTCTTTGTAACACTTCTGGCCTCACTCCAACTGGTGAGTTAGAAAAGAGGAACTGGGAATGTGCACTTCAGCTTCTTCTGTCCTCTCTCTCTGGAACAGGTTGCCCCAAAGAAGCACACGTTCTGTTATGCTCCTCCAAGAACAAAAATTCACAAGCTAATACTTTTGGGTGGGTATAATTATCAAAGTCTGATAGATTATTAAACCCAAATATCAGGTTCATCATTAATAAGGGAACTATTCTGCTGGCTCCCTTGAATCCAATAGATATGCCAATCAGTTCTCTTCCTGAAGTGATCCCAAAGGAAAAGAAAGCATTATATCAAAAAGAAACCAGATGGATGGATCACCTGAGGACAAGGGTTCAAGACCAGCCTGACCAATACGGAGAAATCCCATCTCTGCTAAAAATACAAAAATTAGCCAGGCATGGTGACGGGCGCCTGTAGTCCCAGCTACTCAGGAGGCTGAGACAGGAGAATTGCTTGAACCCGAGAGGCAGAGGTTGCAGTGAGCCGAGATCACGCCGATGAACTCCAGCCTGGGCGACAGAGCAAGACTCTGTCTCAAAAAAAAAAAAAAAGAAAAAGAAAAAGAAAAGAAAAAGAAACCTGCCCTCATGTATTTATCATAGCACTAGTCACAATAGCAAAGATATGAAATCAACCTACGTGTCCATCAAGAGATGACTGGATACAGAAAATGTGGCATATTTACACAATGGAATACTATTCCACTATTAAAAAAAAAAAAGAATGAAAACATGTCTTTTGCAGCAACAATGGATGGAACTGGGGGCCATTATCTTAAATGAAACAATTCAGAAACAGAAAGTCAAATACCATATGTTCTCACTTATAAGTAGGAGGTAAATAATGTGTACACAGGAACATAGAGTGTGGAATAATAGGCACTGGAGACTCAGAAGGGTGGGAGGGTGGAAGGGAGTGAGGGATAAAAAATTCCTTAAAGTGTACAATGTACATTATTTGGGTGATGGTTGCACTCCAAGCCCAGACTTTACCACCATGCTATATACCCATGTAGAAACACTACACTTGTACCCCTTAAATTTATGCAAATTTATAAAAAAGAAAAATAGAGGTTTTCAGTCTCCAGTGTGGTGTAATAGGACAGAACTGAACCCAAATCCCAGCTTTGTGACTTTAGGCAGACGGTGGTTGTTCAAAGTCCCAGTTCCCTCCCTTGTGGAAACAGAGACAAACAATGACCGTCTTCAAGGGCTGGTAAGTGGGTGACATACTGGCAAGACTGAAATGTGGTGAGTACTTGATAATGGTAACTATTTTTTTGAGACAGAGTCTCACTCTGTCACTCAGGCTGGAGTGTAGTGGCATGATCTCTGCTCACTGCAACTTCCGCCTCCCAGGTTCAGGTGATTCTCCTGCCTCAGCCTTCCAAGTAGCTGGGATTATAGGTTCCAGTCACCACGCCCAGCTAACTTTTGTATTTTTAGTAGAGACGGTGTTTCACTATGTTGCCCAGGCTGGTCTCGAACTCCTGGCCTCAAGTGATCTGCCCACCTCGGCCTCCCAAAGTGCTGGGACTACAGGCGCAAGCCACCATGCCTGGCCTCTGATAATGGCAAATTTTTTTTCTTCCAAAAAACTAGCCCAAATTTCCTTGATTATTTTAGGAAGTCTCAGGGAAGACTCTCAATAATACTGAAAACCAAAGAAACAGGAAGATTGGCAGAAACAAAACAAACAAGACAAAAACAACAGCGTTTAGAGAAGGAATGACCCAGTAAACATCTTCCATTTCTACAACTTGATGCTTTGCCAAAGGGCTCCTCTCGCTGTTATTTGATTTGAGCCTTACAATTGCGCTATGAAACTGATGGGCCAAATACTACTGGGTCCATTTGGAAATGTGAGGAAACTGAAGTCAAGAAATCATGTGATGATTGCTCACGGCACCTCAGTGTCTAGTCCAATCCATTTCTCCTCGGGAACCCTCGACATGTTCTGGTCACTCTGAAATGATGGCCATCAAGATGCCACCCTCACACATATACGGCACTTTGCAATGTGCAAATAGCACATTTATTTTCTCACTGAGCTCTCACAGCAATGATTTCTGGCCATTTCACAAAGAGGAGCCCAAAGCTTAAGAGAGGCTAAGCAGCCAACCCCATATCACACAGCCGATGCAGAGGCTGAACTCAGGTCTTCTGGCAAGGCTGGGGCTCCCGTGCTCATGGATTTTAATTACACTAGGGCAAATGAGGATACTGAGGGCAAGTGAGGAGGTGGACTGGTGTCAGGGCGAGAACAGGATGCACATTTTTTCAGCCCTGGAGGAGCGCCGCACACGAGCAGCTCTGGCTTTTGTGGTCACAGCAACTGGCACAGCCAGCTCTCTGCCCAGGTCATTTAGTATAATCTGCAGCATCGTTGTGATTTATTGATGGCTTTTATTCCCCACTGGGACGGCATGAAAATAATCAGATGAATAATGAGCTTGTGAAGATGGATGCACTCTGAGCCAGCTCCCGCAGAAGGGAATTATACGCTGGGATTCTGCCTGGAGCAGCACAGGACGATGGATGTTGCTGCAGAAAGCTGGGCCTCATTTGCTCCTTTGGCAGTGAGTTGCTTCTCTCTACAGACACAGAGAGCTTAAGAGGTAATAGTGCTGGCATGTCCCTGTTCCAAGAGTGGAAATGAGATGAGCATTGATGGTCTCAGGGATGGAAAAACAGAACCTCATCCTGGGGGTTAGTGGTAGGAGGCATAGCTGCACTTAACCCTGTGGTCGCTAGCAGGAAGGCCACCCACTGTGAGGTTTTGCAATGGATGGGTAGCCACCCTGCATGATCACGAGCCTGGCACGTTCCTGCTGGTGCAGCCATGCTGTTTCAGTTATCTATCGCTGAATCACAAACCACCCCAAAACTTAGGGCTTTCAAACAACAGTCATTTTATTACTCGCAATTCTCTGGGTCAGAATTTGTGTGTCTCAGCAGAGATAGCTTATCTCTGCTCCAGTTGTGTTGGCCACGGCAGCCCAACCAAGGCTGAAAGAGCCACAAGGGCCTCTCTTCCTCTCTTGCTTGCCTGGGGCCATGGTGCTGGCTATCTACTGGGCTGCCGCAGTTCTCCTCCATATCATCTCCCTCCAGCAGGACAGCCTGGACTTGTTTACATGGCGCTGGGTTCCCAGAGTGAAGGTGAAACTGCAAGTCCACTTAAACTCGGGCTCAGAAGTCCCAACCGTCACTTCTACACGTTGTCTTGGTCAAAGCAAGTCACGAAGCCAGCTCAGATTCAAGGTGGGGAGAAATAGGCTGCCCCTCTGGAAGGGAGGAAAGCACAGTTACTGTGAAGGGGTGGACATAGGCTGTGATTCACTGGGGCCAGTCAGAAGCCGATTCTGAGATGGAGCTTGGTGAGCAGGATTTTTGCTAAAGAGTGTCTTTGGGACGAACGCCCGTGGAAGGGAGAGCTCTGGAAGGAAGGAGTGGACAGGGAGAGAGATGGAGCTGTCATCAGGTTCACAGAGAGCCTCGGTGGATGCCGCAGGAGCAGTGAAGCTTCAATGGTCCGTCAGATCTGTCCCAAGGTGGGCCAAGGTGGTCAGGACCTCGTATGCCTGCACCAAGGATGTAGGCACCCTGGAAAGGGGCATGACCTTGGCTGAGGCAGTCCCTGAAGGCTGCCTGCCCACAACCCTCCCTGCATCTGACAGCGCTGCAGGCGGCCCTCACAATGTCCACCCAACCTTCTACCACACTTGCCTTCAAGAAGCTACCTTCCTCCCCAGCCCCACAGCTCCCTCAGTTCCCATCCATACCGCTGCCAACCCAGAAAATGCCATAGATTTCCCCTGACGCCTCCTCCCATCCTTCCAGGCCCCACCGACCTCCTCAGCACCCCACGATGTCCCTGTACCCTCTCCTTTCCCCCCGAGCCCTCTCCCTCCTCCCTGCCCTAGCCCTGAAGCAGCCTCCTGACCCCATGTCCTCGCTTCCGCCCTTTCCCCTTCAAAACCAGTGCTTCTGCAGCAGCCCCAGCCTTCCTTAGAAGACAGAAACATGCCCCCGAAGCTTTCCTGTTTAAAGCCCTTCCCTGATCCCCATCACCTCAAGGCCAAACCCCGGCTTCTCCACATGGCTTCCTGGTCCTGGCACATGACTCCAGCCGCAGCTCCCTTCACATTCAACCCTGACCCTCGGAGGCTTCCAGAGATCTCTGTCTCTGAGCTGCCACACAAGCTGTTCTGAGTGCCTGTGTGCTCTGTCCTGTGGTCCCCTCCCTGCCTCTGTCAGCACCCCACATCCCACTCTTCATCCAGCCTACTCTTCTGCTAACCCTTTGCCCTGGGAGCCTGCCCCAGTCAGCCCCGGAGCCCACCACATCCCTCACAGGCCCACCGCACCTCCGTTTCCCCATCCCGGCTCTCTGCACATAGGGCACAGGTGCCAGTGATGTCTGTCTCCCATCCATCAGGTCGTGGGCCTCACAGGGCGGGCCCAGGTTCACTGCACCTCGGGGCCCAGAGCACAGCACCCTGCAGAGCCGCTGCTCAGTGCATAGCAGGGGATCCGCCACCTGTTCTCTGTGCCAGGCTGCTGAACTGAGAGCTGAAGGAGGAATGAGGAAGGGAAGAGAGGGCTGCAGCCTAGTCCTGCATTAGGTAGACAGGCCTCAGGAGAGGGGCACACTCCAGGGCCAGAAAGCTGCTCTGGAAAACAGGCCTGGCCCACAGACAGTCCCGTCCACAGGGCACAATGAGTGCTTCACCTGGCAGCCCAGGACAATGGAGGCTTGGAGGATGCCCTGCACTGGTGGACAGGCTGTGGAAGGCGTCACATCCCTTAAAATAATACCCAGATTCCACTGTCTACTGGGATTTTCCCTGAACATGGTACAGACCTCAACATTTCGTGTTATGGGGTGAAATGCACAGTCCATCTTTCCCCTGCCCCAGAAGAATGCTGCCAACCCACAGTGCCAGAGAACTGCCTGTCATTTCTCCCAGTTCTTACTAGGGTCCATGCCCTGGCAATGCACTTTATGAGGATTATTAGCCTCAGTTTTCAGGCTAAGAAACTGAGGCTCAGAGAGGTTAAGCAGCTTACCCAAGGTCTCCAGAATTAGGAAGTGGTAAACGTGGGGTTTGAAACCAAGTCCTGTCTCCTGTCCACCATGAACACCTGACACTTTGCACAAGGCCCAGGCAGGGAAGTCTGCGAGAGTCAGAGAGTGAATGCCTATGGAAGCAGCCCACCACCAACGAGAAAAGATCACAAAGCTCATATTTCTAACCTCTGTGAGCCGCTCTGCCCACGATTGAAAGGGAACTTGGAAACCATCCTGGCCAACTACCTCCATTTATATTTCATTTTATTCTGTGGGCCCTCGGGTCTATGGTTTTAATATTCATTTATGTTTCTATGTGAACATCTGGTCCACTGCTTTTAAACACTTCTAACTGCTGCGTCCACTGTGGTTTACTGCCCACTGCTGCAGGGACAGGGGCCCGGGTTACAGCTCGCTCCACAAACTCCACTGCAATGGACACCTACAGTTGTGTCTCTGTTTTTAAAGGTGAGAAAACAAGGTCTAAGGAGTGGAAAGAGGTTTGCGGCCAGTATTTATCCAGGGTAGGTATTTCTAGTTAGCTCTTAGCAACTCCGGGGAAAGGGGCATTTTTCTCTGCCAATATTTGCATGTCCATTCAGAAAAGAACTCCAACTGGCCTTGCTTGGATGTTCACACCCTTAACTAGTCCCTGTGGCCAGGGACAGGGCATCCTGGTTTGGAGTGAGTGAGGCAGTTATTTACCTGCCTGTAGAGGACAGGTGGAAAAGGGGGAGGACATTTAGCTCTTCAAAGAAAAATAGCAGGTGTCCACATAGGGACCTACGAGCTTTCCCAAACTGGGGACACCAGTGCTGGCCATGGGAAAGGGACCTTTGTTGGGGTGGAGGCACAGGGGAACGCCTGAGGAGTGAAGCTGTGATGGGGCTCGGGGCTGCCTATCCGGAGGTGTGCATTTCCCTGCCTGTGCTCCCAAGAAGGAGCCCCAAATGTTTCTCTGGTCTCTCTAAAGTGCTCAGCAGGGAGCAGCAAAATTACCAAGTTTAGCATAAACTCCCCTCCCCACCTTGTCCCAGGACAAAGTAAAGAGCTGGTGAAACTGCTCACAAACATTGCCAGGTGTGCACAGAAGCAGGCACACAACAATGAGAGTCTCCGGACCTGGGGCAGGGAGTCCCATCCTGCCAAATGCAGAGTCCTATCTTTGTTGACAACTTAATCTCTCAGAAAGTAGGGGAACAAGAACAACTGCTTCCACAGACTTAATTGTGGTCAACAAAGAACTGGCTGTTGAAATGGCAAAGAAAGGAAATTGAGAAAACATAACCATACACTCAGAATGTGTTTGTGGACTAGGTATGTGTCCAGAGCTGCCGCTCGCCCCTTCTATTTTGGACACCTGAGACCTTGCACATTAGGTATGGGCAGGGCCACCTGGAAAAGTCAGATTTAATGCCTCCAGAAGCTGCCCACAGTCATCTAGGGATCGAAGTTTGGTGAATCAGTACCCCAGCCCCCCAGCTTCCTTTTCCTTTGTCAGACAACTCTGCAGTGTGCTCTACAGGATCTCCCAGGGGTCCCCAGCAGGTTAAGCTTTCATTGCCTACAGCAGTAACTTGCATGATAACACACACACAGCAAGCAGTAACTTGCACACACACAGCGGTAACTTGCGTGATACACACACAGCAGTAACTTGCACACACGCAGCAGTAACTTGCATGATAACACACACAGCAGTAATTTGCATGATACACACACAGCAGTAACTTGCATGACATACACACACAGCAGTAACTTGCATGACATACACACACAGCAGTAACTTGCATGATACACACACAGCAGTAACTCACATGATAACACACGCAGCAGTAACTCGCATGATACACACACACAGCAATAACTTGCATGACACACACACAGCAGTAACTCACATGATACACACCCAGCAGTAACTTGCATGACACACACAGCAGTAACTCACATGATAACACACACGGCAGTAACTTGCATGACACACACAGCAGTAACTTGCATGACACACACACAGCAGTAACTCGCATGATAACACATGCTGTATGCACTTCATTTCCTTCTTGTCTCTCGTCTCCACTCCTTCAACCATTTCCTTTCTTAAAAAACTATTTGCACTTACATCCTTCTCTCAGGTTTTATGTCTGGTGGGACTCAAACTAAGACAATGCAATAGCTACAAAAGTAAATTCTAGGAACCTGGAGACATAGTAGTACAGTGAATAATTGGATAGGCTTTATAGTCAAACCATCTATGCTTGCATACACCACTAGTGTGTAAATATTTAATATTCAAACAATTGTTGTATATAAACTTTAGGAAGTAGATTTCAAGAAAGGCAGAACTGGAAACTCTAGAAAAAGGAAGATGACTCAAGAAGGAGAGGGGACTTGTTAAAAGTCTGAGAATAGACAAATAATTCATTCGTCAGAGGTAACCACAGAAATACAGTGACTTCCCAGGACAGGTGTTTAAAGGACAAAGGGCAGAGGGAGTAGTCATGAGCCAGACAGAGAACAAAGGCCCCCTGCCCCAGCCTGCAAGATGCTGGGGAGACCAAGCCCCAGAATGCGCTGCAGCTTGCAGATATCCCAAGGACAATAGAAAGAGCTTTGTTAAAGTATGCCCCAAACAAAACAGAGAGGGAGAAAGGGACACACTGGCGCTTGGAGCGGAGTGTGCTGTTCACGGGTGATGGAGAAAAAACTGAACTATTCAACTCCCGTCTTACTCCTGTCTTTCCCATCAAAGCAAACGATTTAAAACATAAAAGGTGAAGACAAACAGAGTTAAGAGGAAATCAGCAGTCAGCTAAAATCCCAGCAGGCTCTCTGGCTTCGCAAGTTTCCTAGACTGGTAGACAGACATGCGGGTGAGCCAAGGAGGCTGGGCTTGGGCTCAGACGCTGACAAGCTCTCTTGGTCAGCGGGGCAAGTGATAACCAGAAGTGGGCTGCAGGCTCTGGCCTCAGCCCCAGTGTGTTTTCCAAGAAACTGAATGAAGATACTAAACACAGGGCTTATCACAGAGATGCCTCCAAACCAGCGGGTCTCAACAAGGGTGATTTTGCCTCCCCAACAAGGGAAACTTTGGCAATGTCTAGAGACCAATTTTGGTAATTGCAACAAGGCTATGGTGGGGGTGCTACTGCTATCTAGAGAGTAGAGCCCAGGGATGTGGCTGAACTTCCTGCAAGGCACAGGGCAGGTCCCATGACAAAAAATTATCTGACCCAAGATGTCAGTAGTGCCAAGATTGAGAAGCCCTACTCTGAGAAACCCCCCTCAAGAGATGGCTGTTGAGTGAATTAATGAGACGTTGAGCATCCACTATGTGTCCTGAGAAAGCACAGATGACTAAGACACATTCTCTCCGCTCACGAGCTCATACTTTCTTCCAAGAAACAGATACAAGTGGCTGTGTTACAGTATACAACATGCTTTAATGGAAACGCTATGGGAGCAGAGACCAAAGAACCACTGATCCCACTAAGCAAGGCATGATTTGAGCTGGGTCCTGATAAACAAATGGAAGTTTGGCAGAAACACAAAGTGGGGATGAAGGGCGGATGGAGGCATTAAATGTGCCTGGTGTGTTGGGGACACCTCCTCTTAAGGAGAAGCAGCTGGAGGGGGGCTGGGGAGGCGCTGGATGCTGCGGTAAGGCCTTGGCTCTGTCTCACAGGCACAGGGTTCAAGAAGGTTAAGCAGAGGGTAACACAGTCAGATCTATTTCTTTAAAATAAGAATATATTAGGGCCCGGTGTGGTGGCTCACGCCTGTAATCCCAGCACTTTGAGAGGCCGAGGTGGGCGGATCACGAGGTCAGGAGTTCGAGACCAGCCTGACCAACATTGTGAAACCCTGTCTCTACTAAAAATAACAACAACAACACAAATTAGCTGGGCATGGTGGTGGGCACCTGTAATCCCAGCTACTCAGGAGGCTGAAGCAGGAGAATCACTTGAACCTAGGAGGCAGAGGTTGCAGTGAGCTGAGATCGTGCCACTGCACTCCAGCCTTGGTGACAGAGCGAGACTCTGTCTCAAAAAAAAAAGAATATATTTATTATCTCTGGTTTAAAAAAAAAAAAACTTCCCTCCAACAAATAATTAGCATAACAATCACCTTTGTAAATCCGCCATGATGACCTCACACCAAAACACAGTGGAATATGCTGGAACCTTGGAGAGCACGCCAAAACACTACTCTGTCCACCCTCACGCACCCCTCCCTTGCCCTGTGCATGTGCCAGATGTTTTGTGTACAATTTAATAATTTTTACTAAATTCGTGGAGTTGTACCACCATCGCCATCATCCAGTTTTAGAACATTTCTGTCACCCCAAAGAGTCCCCATGTGCATTTGCACTCAATCCCTATTCCTACCCCCAGCCCCTGGCAACCACGAAGCTGCTTTCTGTCTCCATCGATTCACCACTTCTTGACATTTCCTATAAATGGAATCATACAATATGTGGTCTTTGGCCTCTGGCCTCTCTCACTTAGCATGACGTTTTTGAGGTTCGTTGTGTGGTAGCATGAATCAGTGGTGTGTTCCTTTTTATTGCTGAATGATATGTCAGTCAGATGTCTATTTAAAAGACTATGCTGGTTATAGAATGAAAGATGGGGTAGGAGGAGGAAGAAAGTAGAGGCCAAGAGACCAGTTAGGAGACACTGGTTGTTGTTCAGGCCGAGACAAAGAAGGTGTGAGTTGGTAGAGAGGCTGTGGGCATGAAGAGAGAGGACTGGGTGGGAGGTTACAGGTCTGGGAGCAATTAGTGTACAATAGGACCATTGGGGAGGCTTGACCAGAGGCCAGGAGCTACATAGGGAAAGTGAGAAGCCCAGGAGAGGTCTGAATTCCCACAGGGCTAAGAAACAGGACCTGAGCTGATTGCACCTCTGGGCAGATTCATACCTGGCTGAAGGAACAGAGTGCTCTAAGGACCCACCAGCCCTGCGGACCCTCCTGGTGGTCTGCTGCCAGGCTGGCTCCTTGGGCTATTGGGATGAAGATAATGAGAACATGTTTGTCAACTGTGCAGGTGACACAAATCTGGAAAGAACAGCAAATTTGGGATAACAATGTTCAAAAACATCTTGGCGGGCTCCAGTGATGGGCTGTGGCAAAATCTGGGCAGCTCCACGGGGGTGAGACCTAGTGGATTATGAGTCTTCTGGTTACCTGTCTGTCTTCCTAGGATGCTGTGAGCTTTGTGAGAACAAGAACAGTGTCTGCAGGACACAAGGAGTGTCATCTGAAAAGGACCCCAACAACTTGCTCTGGGTCTCAGCTCTGGGGGTTTCCCCAATAAAACCTGATCCCTAACCCATACTGTATGATGTGCAGAAATTTATCCCAAGCCCTGGTAACTCAACAGGTGGTCATCACAATAGTGACATCTTCTTCTTCGTATCCATTTATCAAACCAACTGTCATGCCAGCCCATGGACAACAGAAGGCACAGACCCCTTGGATGATGGGCACCTTCACTAAACAGAGTCAGCTCAGATTTCCAAATACAAGTATTAAGCAGGGGCCCCATTACTGCACTCTGTTTACGGTGTCCTCATTCTTGGAAACTGGAAATTCTGATAACATTTACTGCACTGTCTAATGATATAACTAGCATATGCTCTCTGAGGCAGATCTGGAAAATATAAGCAAGATTAACTTTTTGATTAATCTCTCTCTCAATACAGAATACATGCTCAGCATATTCATTCATTCATCCATACACATAGGTACACAGACACACACACACACAAACACATACACACCACAGATTCTTTCTACATATTTGGGATCAACAGTTTGGCTTTTAGTTTCAAATTAAAAACATTTTTCTGTCCTTAAGACTCTTTGAAAACAGTCTGTGCACTCAGGGCATCACACCCCACCCTATGCAGGTTCCATGACTGATGTGCCCATTCCCCTCTCATTGCCGTGTAGGTGGTTTTGGATTTGGGGATTGGCTTTGGTAAGCCTAAGTCTGCAACCAGTACATCGGCTGTGTCTCTCACGTGAGCCCATGAGTCCTTCCCCCTTTAAGCAACCTTCTCTCAGAACCTGCAATCCTTCCTCTTCTGGTCCCCTTGCTCCTGGGTGTGTGTGTAACTTCCCTCTGTTCCTCACCTCAAGGGCAAGTTATGCCCTAGCCCCCTGCTTCCCCCTGGCCAGCTAGCTTCTGTGACTTCACATCTTCACAGTCCTGCGAGACCACAAAAAAGATCCTTCCTGGCTCTCTCCTGCCATCTCCTGCCCACTCACATCTCTAGCTCCCTGGCTGAAGCAGTACAGTGCTCGAATGAATTAGAAAAGCAGGACAAACCTAAATCCATGTGAAAACATGCAATAGGTTTCATTGTAAAGTCCCATGGTTGCTTTGTTCTCAGCTATCTGCATATGACATTATGACAAGCCTGATTTAGCATCTGGAAAGAGACCTAGAGGCATAATTGGTTAATAAGCTAAAGAAGAATCAATAGTGGAATGTGGCTGTCAAAAGAGAAAGTTAGGCTGGGCGCGGTGGCTCACACCTGTAATCACAGCACTTTGGAAGGCGGGTGGATCTCGAGGTCAAGAGATCGAGACCATCCTGGCCAATATGGTGAAACCCCATCTCTACTAAAAATACAAAAATTAGCTGGGTGTGGTGGCGGGCACCTGTAGTCCCAGCTACTTGGGAGGCTGAGCCAGGAGAATCGCTTGAACCTGGGAGACAGAGGTTACAGTGAACCGAGATCATGCCACTGCACTCCAGCCTGGCGACAGAGCGAGACTCCATCTCAAAAAAAAAAAAAAAAAAAAAAAGAAAAGAAAATTAATGCCATGCCACTCACAGCCACCTTCGTGTACCATGTTCGGGCTCAGGACCAATAGGGAAGGCACAGGAAGGCAGATTTCTGGTCAAAATTAAGAAAAGGCTTTGTAAAAGGGGTTGACTGATGAAACGGACTGGCAGTGAGTTGCCCACCACTGGCGATGTACATGAAAATATGGTATTCATTATGCACCAAGATTTTCTTGCTTCCCACATAAATGTATGACCCACACTTCTTAAGAAGTGACTACAGAAAGAGAATACCTAAACAGTCTATGGGAAATGTGAGCTCTGGCTTCTGTGTGAACCTCGGAAGACTGCAGTGAGGTGTGTGGTTGCTCCCTGAGGCGGGTCTTGAACAGGCCCCCAAGGAGTGCTTTCACCAGCGCTTGGGACTTGACAGAGGGAGGCAGCATTTGATCTCATTAACTAGGACAATCACAGGTGGGGGCACAGCGTCCTCCACTCTTCCTGAGCCCTGGGCTAGGAGAGGCCAAGGCCCTATCCCCAACCCTCACGTGGCCCATGATGTTTTGCTGCAGCCCCTGCACTGTCTGTGCCCAGATGAGCCCCAGCAACTCCAGCAGATACTCACTTATCACTCATTCAACACACGTTTCCATCCTCTGGCCTGTTGCGGAGAATGGTTTGCAAGGGTGGTACACTCCTAGGTATACCTAAGAAAATGGTTCCATTTACCTTGGGGAGAGGCATCAAGAAAGCAAAGTCTTACTGGGTCAAGGCAGCGGACGTGTGAGAGGGTGTGTCTGCCAGAGAAAACAGCAAGTGCAAAGGTGCGGGAAGTGGAGGGCCTTGGGACAGGGCTTGGGGAGGAAAGCATACAATGTGGCCAGTAGCTTGGCTGGTTGGGGCTGAATGGGGGTGAAACGTGAAGCTGGGGAGGCAGATGGGGTTCAGAAAAAGAACAGCCATGCTAAGAAATGGGTTTTAATCTCCAGGCCGTGGGGAGCCGCTGAAGGAATGTAAAGAAGGTAATGATGGAAGCAGATTTTCATTTTCAAAAGACAATCTGGTAACACTTCACAGTGAAGTGGAGAATGGATTGAAGCAAAAGAGGCTAGACACAGGATGGCCAACTGAGGGGAGACTGTAGACATTCACATGAAAAGTGCCCGGTACCTTCACTAAAGCAGTGTGGTTTGGGAGGAGAAAGAGGGAAGGCTTCTATCTAGAAATATTGCAGCATGGTTACAAGTGGGTATACAGAGCAGGATGGATTCGGGTGGACTCCCATGCTTTCTGACTTAGGCAACTTCATAGATGGTAAAGTTATTTCCCGAGGCAGGGCAGTGATGATTTCAGATGTTGTCTTGTTGCCCTTGCTTATGGGAATATATGTCTTGATTTGGATTAGAAACCAATAATGTCCATGCAACATATATGATATTTCTCAAGAGTGTTGGATGCCACGTATCTGAGCCATTTCCTTGGTTTAAAAATTTCCTGCATGGTAAGGCCAGACAGGAAGCTTGCTTTACCTGGATTCCTTGCATGTGGTTGTCCTGGGTTCAGCCAATCAGCTACTCCTGTCCTGGACTTTAAAAAAGGACATGGCGACATGAAGAAGCAAGAGCCATGAGACTCTCTAGCAGGGGCAGGGGCTGCATCATCATGGAGTTTTGGGCCTCAGGGCTGCCACATTAGCAGTGTCCTCCTGCATCAAGTCACAGTGGTGCCAACAGTAGCTGCAGTCTTCTCACTCAACCAGGCCTGTGGCATCATTCAAGTAGCCCCTGAGCCTAGTACTCCAGCCCTTCTGGTAAATCTGTAAGCTCCCATGCAATCTTTCAAAAACTATTTTTTCTCCCTAAATTAGCCAGAATTGGTTTCTGTTACTTGTAATTAAGAACCTTCAATGTTACAGACATTGAAACCAGGAGTAGTTGTAGGCAACAGATCCTGAGGGAAGTGGGGAAATTGTGGCAGGGTTTGAGGAGGTGAAGGCTGTGAAACTCTAATATTAAGCAATGGGATTCTGGCAGTCCATGCATACAGAGAAGAAACAGTAGATTAAATTATCACCACTTTATACTTAGAATGAAGTACTGATTGAAGACAAGGCTGTAGGGTACTGTGATAGGCAGGATTATGGCCCCCAAAGATCTCACACCTTAAACTCTGGGACTGGGAATACGATGCGGTATCATTCCCATAAATATGTTACCTTGCATGGTGAAAGAGACTCTGCAGGTGTAATAAAGTTTGCTAATCAGCCAACCATAAAATAGAGAGATTATCCTGGATTATCTAGGTGGGCCCAGTATAATCAGATGAGCCCTTAAAGCAGAAGAACAGGGCAAACCAGAGACGTTGGATGCCCAGGAAGGGTTTGATGTGTCATTGCTGGCTTGAAGACAGAGGGGCCACGTGTCAAGGAAGGGGACCCCAGTCCTACGACCATGAGGAACTGAATTCTGGCAACAACTGAATGAATTTGGGAGTGGATTCTTCCCCCAAAGCCTCCAAAAAGAAACACAGCCCTGCCGACTCCTTGGTTTCAATGTTGTGAGAGCCTGAGCAGTGGACTCAGTCACATTGTACCATACCCCTTACCTACAGAACTATGAGATGATAAGTGAGTGTTGTTTTAAGCCACTGAGCCTATGGTGATTTGTTATGCAGACATAGAAAACAAATACAGGTACTAGGGAGGGGTCATTGTCAGAGAAGAGATGAAAAGCCTGAAGAATTCAAGGACTGTGGGGTGGGTGGTTCCTTCTAAGGGCAATGACCAGGTGAAAGAAAGGACAAAAGTTCTGATTCCTGAGTTCTTGGTCTAATGGGCTCCACTTGCCAGTAGCAGTGAACAACCTAAGATATCACACAGCACCTCGTGGAGAAGCTGGTGTTTTTCTATCCTGAAACACACTTGGGCTTGCTTTCACACAGCACCTCGTGGAGAAGCTGGTTTTTTTTCTATCCTGAAACACACTTGGGCTTGCTTTCACACAGCACCTCGTGGAGAAGGTGGTGTTTTGCTATCCTGAAACACACTTGGGCTTGCTTTCACACAGCACCTCGTGGAGAAGGTGGTGTTTTGCTATCCTGAAACACACTTGGGCTTGCTTTCCACTCCCATTGTGCTGCTGCAGCACAGGCGTCTGCGGACTCACCTCACACAGGCTTGGTATCAAAAACAACATTGCTTTTAAGAAATCTATTTTTCTGCAAAATAAAAAAAAATGGTTGGTGGTCTTCATTCATTAGTTTTACCATGTACCACATACCCGTAGGCAGCTGGCCTTACAGAAGGATGCATTAACATATTGCAGACTCAAGTGATACCATCAATGGAGAGACAACAGCTTTTGAGGTTAGGGTGCTGATTTCCAGGGTACAATGTACGCCTTGAACCAGGAGCCAGTACATGGGGCCTAGAACCAAGGGGTGGATGTGGAAATGTTGCTTGTCACTGTCACACCTAATGATCCATTCACAATGTTTTTGCTTCCTATCCCTACAACTCAGGGCTGTTTGGGTTTAAAGGTATTAGTCTTGAAAAAAGAATGCTTCCAACAACAGACACAATGGTTTCAAAAACATGGCCATTTCAAAAACATGATCATTTTAGCTCCCCATAGTACTGTGGTTGTAACAAAACTACTACATCATGCAGGCAGAGAAGGGTGAAGATGGAACCTAGGAGTCTCCTGGGACTTCTCCCAGTACTTTGATGTTCAGTAGTAAAAATGAATGGAAACTCTAGCCAGTGGCACTGAATTTTAGTGTTTGCTAATTTCCTTGATGTAAAAACCCCCACCATAGCCAATTTCAATCTATCAACATGACATTACTGAACACGCAGTTGGGATAAGATGCACGGCAGCAAAGCATTATATAGTATTTCTACTATACATATAAAGACATACATCATCTCAAAAGGAAGGATATATGCTAGCAAAATAATTAGAGTGATGAGTGCGGGGGTATTTATTACATTTGTTTTTAATAAACTGTATTTAATTGTAGGCTTATATAATTTAATTTTTGTTTTGTTTTGTTTTTTTGGAGATGGAGTCTCGTTCTGTCGCCCAGGCTGGCGTGCAGTGGCACAATCTCGGCTCACTGCAACCTCCGCCTCCCAGGTTCAAGCAATTCTCTGCCTCAGCCTCCCAAGCAGCTGGGATGACAGGCACCTGCCACCATGTCCGGCTAATTTTTTTTGTATTTTTAGTAGAGACAGAGTTTCACCATCTTGGCCAGGCTGGTCTTGAACTCCTGACCTCATGATCCACCCACCTCAGCCTCCCAAAGTGCTGGGATTACAGGCATGAGCCATTGCACCCAGCCTATAATTTAATTTTTAATAATGGCTGTTTTTAACAAATGCTCATAACATTGTTGAAAATTTACTAATCCACTCTCACAAGCTGGTACAAGATAGATCCAGCACACCACTGACAAAGCTATTCTATAGAGAAGTCACTGAGGTCCTAGATCCCTTACAAATGAAGGTTGGGTCACCTTTCCTAGTTAAATAATCCAGTTGGTTGAGATTCTAGCTAAAGACAAAGTGGATCCTAAATATTGAGGAGGAGAAAAATCACCAACACCAATTCTGGCCTTGGGTTCAGTTGCAAAAACTAAGGCTACCCACATTTTTTTTTCCTTCCATATATCTATTGATGAGTTTTAATTAATTTCCTTTGTCTTCCCTTTCATTATCCCTCACTCTTGGGAAAGGTGACTTTACAATTTAGTCTGTAAATCAGATCACAGATTTTTGAGAGAGAATGTGACATACGTTGAGGAGAGCTAGACAGCCCCAGAGACCCTGAATGTGGACTTAAAGCTGGTCACAGTTCTTTCTTTTTTTTTTTTTTCTCGGAGACGGAGTTTCGCTATTGTTGCCCAGGCTGGAGTGCAATGGCGCAATCTAGGCTGACTGCAACCTCCGCCTCCCAGGTTCAAGCTTTTTTCCTGCCTCAGTCTCCCAAGTAGCTGGGATTACAGGCATGTGCCACCATGCCCAGCTAATTTTTGTATTTTTAGTAGAGACGGGGTTTCACCATGTTGGCCAGGCTGTTCTTGAACTCCTGACCTCAGGTGATCCTCCCACCTTGGCCTCCCAAAGTGCTGGGATTACAGGCGTGAGCCACGACACCCGGCCAGAGCTGGTCACAGTTCTTATGAGATGTTGGATTGCCTCCCTTCAGGGGAATGGATGAATTTGGTTTTTATGATATGATGGGTAGGAGGGAGGGATTTTTGTTTTGTCATATTTTGGTTTTGAAGTATAAATGTAGAAAGAAGAAATATTGTTGATAAGGTAAAATTTCTAAATAACGCACCATCTCATACTGCAAACTTGAATATAACACAACTAGTGATTGCCGCTGTCCTCTGCCCAACCCCTGTTTAAATGCAGGCAGGCTAAATTTCTTATCCTCTGCAGCAGGACTGAGAAATATGGAGGAAGGATGAAGCCAAGTAGGAAATAGCAGACACCAGGCAGCCCTTGTTTGGGAAGGATGAGAGATGGAGATTATGCTCCTACATCCTTGGTATTCTCCCCGGATCAGGGCAATGAAATGGGAACCAATCAAGTGGGAGAGTTTTAGAAGCACTGTAACTGTTCTGGAATCCATTCCGACTGCAGAATCCAGAATCATTTTCTTGATATTTAAGCTAGGGGTTGACAGCTGCCCCAAATGGTACCAGATGGCACCCGGGACCAGGACACAATTAAATCCTGCAGTAGGACTCTCAGAACTCTCGTCCAGCTAGCTGTGCTGTCTCACTCAGTTATTTCACAATAATACAACCCCTCCTTCTATAAGCTTTGATTCGTTTTGGAACTTACTATGGCATTAGAGCAGGGTTTATGGTATCAGCTACCAAAGGGAAGGGCTTTCATAGATATTTGTGTTTTGTTTTTAATTTTTGGCTTCCCAAAGCTTGAGCCCACTTGTGTAATTAGGAAATTCCCACCTTATGAATCTTAGTATTCCCACCTTATGAGTCTTATGAAGCTGTGCTGATAATGCCCAGAACCCACTTCTCCAGCCTCCTTTGCAATTAGTGTATAAGCCACATGGCCGAGGAATAGCCTGGATGGCAAACCCGCCCTGAATCTGGCATTCAGTGGTAACAATGGCATCTCCACCGAGCCCTTCTGACGGTTTGGCTGGATAGCCTGCATACAGTCTTTCCATCTTTTGAGTGATTCCTGAGTTACCTAATATTTTTCCAATAATTACTTTTCTTCTTAAATCAGACGACTATTTTTGTAATTAAAACCCTTAGTTCATGCTACACAAATATATTCTAAGGGGAAGTAGCAGAGTCCCATTTCAACTTTTGGACCAATGACCCAGGAAGTAAGCCAGGCCACTTGGAAAAACTATGGAATTCTTTTTGAATGAGTCTGCTTGTAATGTCACTCTGCTACTTCCTTGGTGAGCTATTTGAACTCTCTGCCTTTAACCTCCCCTTTGTTCATAGGGCTCGTCCTCCAGTCACTACTGTAGAGGCAGGAGGGGAGCTCTTATATCCATAGCTGCTTGATTCCCCCTGTATTTTGTCTTTCTGTTAATGCACATAAGCACATCATAGACTACATAACAGCAGTGTGAGGAGTTCAATACATGCATGTAGACATACATCTCAACCAAACTTAGTGTCAGAAAAAGCAACTTCAAAATTCCTAATTCAGTGAAAACAAGAAGAACATGGTTGGTCCAAATGCCACGACAAGCTCAACAATCACACCAGGAATAGAACCTCATAAAACTCTTGTGCTAAGAAGCAGTTTTGTGATAATCAAAGCATCTCTCTTTTCACTCAGGTCTAGGTACTGAGGTTAAGTTAGTTATACAAGGTCACACCAATAATTAGGAGTATACCTAGGAGCCAAACTCAAGTCTTGTTTACATTTGTACATTTCACAAAACTTTATAAATTCTCCATCATTAAATATGTCCTGGATTATCTAATCTACACACACACTGTCCAGTAAGAAGAAATTTCTGCAGAAAGTCTCAACTTCCAGTGAGCCCACTAATCTCTAAAAGACATGTCTTACTTGATTTAATGTTAATTTCTCCCCACAATGCATTCTCTTCCTCTTCCACGCAGTTCTATTTTGATGGATCCTGATAAGCCTTGTACCTAGGAAATTCTTCCAGGCTAGTTTTTCCACTACAGGCGCTGGCGTTTCCCACTGACCATCATCATAGCCGGTGCATAATGAGCCCACCAAGCTCTTGAATATGTCCAGAGCCAAATGCAGAAGAGAAAGGACTGACCTGGGCCACTGTTCAGTGTTTTACTGTAACACAAAACAATAGAAAGTGCTCTTTTATTCACTCAAGTCCTAAAGGTGCTGTACTCTGGATTAAAGAGGTAGCTTGGGGCAAACAGAAACCCCAAAAGACTCATGTTTTTCTTTGGCCTTAGGAAGCTCAGACCTGACTTTGTAGGCCAAGTTTGGTTATGGTATGAGGACTTTACACTTAGCTTTATCTTAATCCTCAATTGCCTAACATAATTACTTTTGTCTTATACATATTTCTGTAAGTCATTGTTTATTTTTCTGAAGAACAAGGTAAATTACTTTCACCATTTTTTTTTTATTTTGAAATAGTCACCAAAAGTTTTCAAGATATTACAGAGAAGTTTAGTGTGCCCTTTACCCAGTTTCACTAAATGGTTACATTTTACATAAATAATCAAAATCAAGAAATTGACACTGGTGCAATATGTATATGTGTAGTTCTAGGTCATGTTCTCACATATGTAGATTCCTGTAACCCTGGAGGCACCCTGTAATCAAGATACACAACTATTCCATCCCCACAAAGATCTTTCCTGCTATCTCTTCATATCGTACCCACTCCCTTCACCCCCCGTGTATTAGTCCATTCTCAGACCACTATAAAGAAATACCCAGGACTGGGTAATTTTTAAAGGAAAGAGGGCTAATTGACTTACAGTTCTGCATGGCTGGGGAAGCCTCAGGAAACTTATAATCATGGCGGAAGGAAAAGCAGGCGTGTCTTACGTGGCAGCTGGTAAGAGAGAGAGTGTGTAAGAGCAAGGAAAACTGCTTTATAAAACCATCAGATCTCATGAGAACTCACTCACTATCATGAGAACAGCATGGAGAAACTGCCCCCATAATTCAATCACTTCCCTCCCTCCACACATGAGGATTACAATTCAAGATGAGATTTGGGTGGGGACACAGACCCAGACTACATCACCTGGCACCCACCAATCTGTTCTCCATTGCCATAATTTTGTCATTTTGAGAATGCATATAAATCAGTTCATGTAGTATGTGAAGGTAAATATATTTTTGAAGTACATTTATTTTTTCACTCATCTTTTTTTCTCTAGATCATTTTCATTTACCATTTTATTAACATATCCACTTATTCAAGCAGAAGACTTGGCTGGGAAAGCCACCACTGGAGAGATTCAAAATGTTCTAAGACCACTCTTACTTCACTGTAGCATATAATTTGGTTTAGTAACTTACACGTAAAAATTTTATAGATGATAGGACAGATAACTATATCTTTATTCTCTGTGGCAGATTCGATAATGGCTTCCCAAAGATGTTATCCATGCCTTAATCCCTAGAACTTGTGAATGTCACCCTGTATGGCAAAAAAGGACTTTGCAAGTGGGATTAAATTAAGAGTTTTGAGATGGAGTGATTATCCTGGATTATCCAAGTGGACCCTCCTAAATGCAAGCACGTATTCATATAAGAGGGAGACAGAGTGGAATGTGACTACAGACAAGAGAGGAGAAGGCAATGAGATAGTGTGACCATGGAGACAGAGGTTGGAGTGACACATGCACAAGCCAAGGAATGCCAGATGCTACCAGAAGCTGAGAGGCAAGGAATGGGTCTTCCCCAGAGCCTCTAGAGGAAGTGCAACCCTGCTGACACTTTGACCTAGTGAAACTGATTCCTGACTTTTGGCCTCCAGAAGTGTGAGATACTACATTTCTTTCATTTTAGGCCACTAAATTTATGGTAATTTGTTTAAAGTGCTCATAGGAAATGAATATACTCCCCAACAACTAAGATGGTGCCTTTCTGATATATTGCAAGTGCTCAAGAAATGTTTCATGAACTTCATTGAGTTCAGAATGAAAGAAAAAGGTTTGTAAAAGGGAATTTCTGAAAGGCTTAATGGAAGGAGGATTTGGGTTGTCCCTTGAAGAATTAGGTAAATTACAATAGGAAGAAATGGAGCAAGAGATTATTTCAAGTGGTGTGAATAAGATGGGCAAAGCAAGGAGGCAGGAGAGCCCAGTACTATGAGGGCAATGATGCTGGGATATTGTCCCAGCTTGGCTGGAATAAAAAAGGTCCTCGCTGGGAATCAGTGGGGGAAGCACCACAGTACAAATGGCTAGCTACTTCATTGATCAGTGCATGTATGGGTTTTCACTGGCTTTCCTCCAGTGCAAGTAATCCTGCCAATATGGGAGACTCTCAAATGATTCTTCTAAGACCCGAGCATAAGCAGCGGTGTTCTGTAGTGTGCTGTAGAAATCCCACTTCAGTGGGTCCACTTGGCTCCCCTGCCAGGAAGCCATTTGGAGCCCAGTAGGATAGAAAGAATGTGTTTGCTCCTCTGGGAGATGGCTCTGTCAATTACTGACCAACTGTTATCATTGTCTTAGTTACCATTCTGTAATAGTTCTAATGCACAAATTTCATTCATTAGCTTGGTGTGGATGTGGTAATCTATGTAGCAAATGGATGGGCTTGTCATCTGTCTCCAAAAACTCCAACACTCACTTCACTCCCAGCATCCAAGAAGAAAAACACGGTCAACTCTATTTAACCCAGTATCCTGTTTGGGCTCCGTTCATGAGCCCATCAGCACATCCATTGCATAATGATAATCAGTGTTGTGATGTTGTTGATGATCCTGAGATACTATAAGGTCTTGACAGTCCTTGTGAATTCTCAAAGTACATTTCTTCAACACAGTTTCTTATTTAACAGAATTCTGTGTTTTAACCAGAACATTTTATTCTCTGCCCACACGGCAATCTCCAACTGGCAGGCTTCCCAAATTCATGCCTATTTATCCAAGATTGCCTTTTGTTTTCTCAAGAGCAATTGCAGAAATATTTGGAACTTGTGAGAGTATGGATTTTGGAATAGAGGTAAAAGATAGGTAGACTAATGGAACAGAATGAAGAGTCAAAAAATAGCCCCAGATATATATAGGAATTTGATATGTGCTCCAGGTGGCATCACAAGTCAGTGGAGAAGACAGAGAGCACTGAATTAAAAAAAAAAAAAGATAACTGAATTCAACAAACTGTATAGCAATTTGGAGAATAATTAAACTGAATCTATCCCTCACACAATAGCATAAAACAAACTCCAAGTGGATTATGTGTTTAAATATAAACAATATCATACAAGCACTAGATAAAATATGTTGGGAAAGAATGTTTAAGGTGTAACACTAATGTCAGAAACCATAGACTGATAAATTTAACTGTATACAAATTTCAAATTTCTGAATGAGAGAAAAACAGTTAAATGACAAGTGAAAAAAATCAGGGGAAAAATTGCAGTCTATATGACAAAGAGTTAACATTGTTTTACAGGTAATTCTTAAATTAGCTACAAAGGTTAAAAGCCATCATTCTTCCTCTCTTGCCCACATAGTCCAATTCAATTAAGCACTCTTAAGCCCAGACTCTTAAAACAAGGATTGGAAGCCTATTTATTTGATGCCCTGGACAAAGATGGAAGTGGCCCCAAAATTCTGCTCCATTATTATTTTTTGAGACAGAGTCTCGCTCTGTCGCCCAGGCTGGAGTGCAGTGGCGCAACCTCAGCTCACTGCAACCTCCACTCCCAGGTTCAAGCGATTCTCCTGCCTCAGCCTCTCAAGTAGCTGGGATTACAGGTGTGTGCCACCATACTTGGCTAATTTTTGTATTTTTAGTACAGACAAGGTTTCACCATGTTGGCCAGGCTGGTCTCGAACTCCTGACCTCAGGTGATCCACCCACCTTGGCATCCCAAAGTGCTGGGATTACAGGCATGAGCCACCACGCCCAGCCAATGCCCCATTATTCTTCCTCAGAAAACTCTTCCTTGGAATAGATGCATCCAACATATTGGAAAAGATAACATCAAAGCACAAACAGTGATTATCTGTAGGCTTGGAGTGAATTATTTTTGCCTTTTTCCTATCTGTATTTTCTGAAATTTTCTAAATTGACTATGCTTTGGAAATTAGAAGGAAAATTTATCAGCCCAGGTTCTTAATTATAAGCAATAGAAATCAATCTGGCTGTTTTAAGCAGGCAGGGATTTATTTAAAATGTACTGGCTATCTATAGAGAAGGTAGAAAATCAGGCTTAGGCCTGAGCAGACAGAAACAAGTTTCCAAATTATACTCCAAAGCCTATCGGTGAGAAAACAGCTGTTCCACCAAGCATGAGATGTTCATCTTTTGACCACCTCCATCTCTGCACTAGGAACCTGATCGTGCAGTAACCCCAACTGTCGTTGCTGCCAGAAAGACGAATATCACCCTTGCCTCTTACCGTTGCTTAGTCCCCTAGTCAAAGTTGAGGGCACATTTGGCAGAAAGTGCTGGCCTGGGTCATGTGCCTGCACCCCAATACCACCTCTGTCAGGGAAAAGCAATCGTTTGGCATTTTCAGCCTCTATAGTGAGCAGATGTCTCCACATCTTATCAAGACTCATAAGGCAGAGAATTCCCAAGAGGTAGAAAGGTGGTTCGTATGCTGCGTGGTCAAGAGAACAGTAAACGTCCACTACACACTACACTTTTAGAAAAAGATGTTTATAAAAATACAGAGAAATGGAGCACTCTAAGGAAAGCAGTAACAGTTCAGGGAGAACTGTGAAGGGGTTGAGCATAATTCAGGTAGAGATGATGCCTCTACTTGTTGAAAATCATCTTCCTCTCCCCCTAAAATATGAATCATTTCCCTTCATTTTATTGTTTTTCCTAAGATTATCTGCCAATTAATACATTATTGGGGGTTAAACATGCTTTTCAAAAATAGTGTACAGTGGGTTATCAATAACTTACAGCCAGTGTGAATTAATTTAGTCACACTGATTTTTAATTCCTGCCTCAAAGCTATACCAATTCCTATCTTTGAAGGAAGTGAGCGAGAGGAAAGAAAACAAGAGCACATGCACTTAGGGCCTAGGTAAGAGGGTACAAAAATGGGGGACTTACGGTATGGTGAGCATGTTAATGAAAAAATTATTCAGTGACATTTGTGAAAGCACATTAAGAAGGTTTTATTCAGGACCATCGTGTTAGGATAGGGACCACTGCAACAGAGTTTGCAAAAGTGGAGAGAGACTGGGATTGACTCTGAATATAGCATGGGCAAGTGGACATTTATAGCCAAGGAGCATGGTTGGAGGGGTGGTCACTGGATGGGAAATTTCTACAAGACAACATCAGGAGTAAGGCTAAACTAACCCACAGGATTCTTACTGAAGACAGATGGGGTGATCAGACATCACCTGTGGAAGGTGGAGTATGAGGAATCGGATCAGATGTCAAGAGTGATCAGCTATCAAGGGTGAGGGCTCTTGCTAAACTGACTTGGTAGGGTTCTTTGCTAAAACTGGGTTGTACAAGGAAGTGCACAGATGGGCCTAGGAGAAGGTTGAATAGCTTGACTAAAGTTTGGCCAGGCAAAGAATTTTTGTCATGTGCATAGAAGGCCAGAAGGGAGTGACACAGAAAATGAAAAATAAATAAAAGGCAGGCAAAAAACCAACCAACCAACCAAAAACAACAGATACAGATATCTACTTAAGAAATTTGTTTGAAACATCTGTGACCCAAGAATAAGGCAAGAAAAAAAAAAAAACACGGATTTTTCCTTATGGACTCAAAATGTGGACTATTACCCTGGGTCAGTCATCTCATGGACTACAAATTATTCCAAAATAAAAATGTTACTAAAAATAGCTTTCTTACCATTAAGTCCGATGGAAGCACTTTAGGAAATGTGCCATTTTTATCCCACGGCATGTGCCCTGAGGCACTGCGTACTCCAGCTTGAGATGTATACCAATTGATGTGCTGGCCCCATGGAGAACACCACGCCAATTTCAGAACCAGGAATAACTGTGTTCTGCCTGACACCGTGCCTCACATATGTGATGTTTTCATCATTACATTGGCCACTAGGAAGTTGAGAGTCAAACTGAGGTCAGCCCCAGAAAAGCAGGATATTACAATGTTAAATGGCATATTTCCTGCATAACAAGCTGCTGCTTGTTTTTCCTATCCTTTTAGTATTTATCATCCCCATTCTCCTCTCCCATATTAAGAAAAAAAAAGTCAGCCATCTTAAAATCCTTTTTATAATGAGGAAGGGCAAAAATAATAAATATGCATATTGACATTTGCTTGGAAACCTAGAATATAAATTCAAGGCACTAGCTCCTTATTCTGGTTAGACATCAAATCACAATTAAATCTTCCTCAAATTCTCTGTTGTCCTGGTAACTGCTCTCTACTTAGAGAACATGGAGGGCGAGATTGCCCAAAAGGGTCTGGAAGGAGAGCAAGAGCTTATTAAGGAATTCTTTCTGATGTTCATAACCACACAACAAGCTGTGCCAGAACGACAGCGCGGAGCTGGAGAAAAGCCCTCCTTCAGGTTATCCCAATTGCTGTGATATATTTTAGGCTCTGCCGCCGTTAAATGCTATGGACATTATAATAATAAGATTGGCCATGGCACACCAAAAACATTGACAATAAATAGTATTTTGGATAATCAGATTGAAAATCCTCTTAAGACACATTTGACTCTAACAGCTATATTTAGACTTAGATGAACAGTGGCTGGGGGATTTTAAGTGTCAATTGGTGTGAATGAATAAAGATGGTTTTAAAGGAGCTATATTGCTTAGGGATTAAGGCCAACTGGAACAATTCACTTAAAAAAAAAGCCTCCACACTCAGTAGTGCAGCTCACATTTATCTGATTGAGGCAGATACACTTTAATCCTTAGGACTTGTATTGGTAGTCCTGGGATGGTTCGTCTCTCCATTTGTACAAAGCATAAATGAGATCTTGCAACTCCTGTAACTGAGACAATGTTTGCAGCAACAACAAAGAGGAAAAAAAATTTAAGTAGCAGTCATTTTTATTTTGGCTTAACAGATTTTCAGCAGGAAGACTCTGAATATGAATCGGCTTCATTTTTAAATCCTGAAGAAAATTTCTGAAGCAGCCCATAAGGTGCCACTTTAGTCAGAGGCAATTTAAAAAAGCCTAGAATAGCAAGAAAGAAAATCACCAAATTTGTTTGGACATTGTAGGGGGAAAAAGTTACAAATTATATTAACTCCATTCTCACATCCTCCCTGAGTCTATTTGCTTTTATACTCCTAGAACTCTTCCCCTTTTTGGAGGTAGGAATGGGGCAGGAGGCATGGTGTAAATAGTAAGAAAAACTTACATTAAGATATTGGTTACTTCCAACAATGGCATTGTGATAAGCACTTAATAAAGAGAATGGTGCAGACTTTCTTCCAATAGGCAAGTGATTCTTCTCAAGGGTCAAATTCCACTCTCTCATTGATAATTTGAGCATTGCTAGAAAAAGTAAACACTAGAATTCCTCTCTGGGTCTTTGTTTTCATGGTCCTTAAGGACCACTGAAGAAGGCATTTCCAAACTTAAATTCCTAACAATATATAGCAACCTTAAGAATCCTGGAAACTACTAGAAACACAGTTTCTCTAAGTGAAATATCAACAAAGGACATGTACCTACTTGGATTTCCTGCAGGTACCACTTTTAAAGTGGGATTCACCATATTCTTCTAGCCAGTAAGCAAGCTACTTAATGATGCATAAAACTAATTATTGTAAGACTGAATCTGTTTGGTAGCTGTTCACAATGTGGAAAATCACACTTTTTCATGGCCTATTTTCTTTTAAAATGTGTGCCCCTTTCCCATCCTTAATGGGTTCTGTATATGTAAAATAAATACTCTTCGCAGCAGGACCCTGGCTTCGAGGCCTTAAAACCCAATAGAGTCCTGTAGTTTAATGGTCCTTAAATGCTCAACATCTTTTTCACTTAATGCAAAATCCATCTGATCTAATAGCTGTGACTGAATTATAGATATATAATTTTTTTCTATTAAATGTTAATCTTCTGACTTGGCAGAGCAATAGACGCTCTAAATTATTAAGAAGGCAATAACCTCTCTAAACTCTTTCCAGAATTCAGAATATTCCCAGGACTGCTATCTCGAAAAAAACTGCGAACTTGCTTAAAATATAAGTCAGGCCGGGCGTGGTGACTGATGCCTGTAATCTCAGCACTCTGGGAGGCTGAGGTGGGTGGATCACCTGAGGTCAGGAGTACAAAACCAGCCTGACCAAGATAGTGAAACCCCCATCTCTACTAAAAATACAAAATTAGCCAGGCATGGTGGTGCATGCCTGTAATCCCAGCTACTCGGGAGGCTGAGGCAGGAGAATCACTTGAACCCCGGAGGCGGAGGTTGCGGTGAGACGAGTCCGAACTGCGCCAGCCTACGCAACAAGAGTGAAACTCCTCAAAAAAAAAAAAAAAAAAAAAAAAAAAAAAAAAAAGGCCTATTAAGTACAATTTGATGCCAAATATCAATTATAAGGGGCATTGTTTTTATTGATGTCTCTTCCATTATTTTACTGAATGGAATATATATACATATAAATTAGACTGAAATATATATATATATATGAACTGGAGAAGCAACCCTCACCAGTCTTGCTCTTTTTCATTTACATATGACATTTTTGTAACCTTCTCTTTTTGGTTGAATTAATTCATCATCAATGTTTGTTCATGCAGGCATAAATAATGAAAATGCCTCTAATATATAAGTGATGTCACATGCCCAATTACACTGAACACAAGCACCCTCACTGCCCAGGGAGTCTTGTTGGAATGCCATCGCTGATACAGCTTGATCTTTAAAAAAAAAAAAAAAAAAAAAAAAATCTGTACATTCATTACTCACTTGAGCCCAAAGGTCAATATATTCAGTAATAATCAGAAACCATGCTAAGAAGCAGGTTAATATTTACCTGGAGAGGCTGGTCTAAAGAGTCCTGTTTCAAATAGCTAAGATCAAAACACGGGAAAGAACTGAATTTCCAGCAACAGTCTCAGGTTCAGTTTCCAGTTTAGCGGGGAACAACACTGAATGAAATGACAGTTGAAATGTCTATACTAATTTTCATTTCGTATTTTGTGCACAATCTATTTTATGGTGCAAATTCTGCCTTTACTTCTCCAGTGCTTTTTATCCTCCCTCTGAACTTATTCATAAAACTTAGGGGCCAAGGGTAAGATCTAGGTCAGCCACATCTTTCATGTTCATCACAGGCATTCTCTTTCAACCCGTATTTTGGTGCCAGAGGAGCTACCATTACTTTGGTGCACAGAACCAACAAGAAAAAAGATCGCAAGGTTGCAGAATCCAGTGATGAAAACAGAGGCAATAAGAAGTAACTGTCTTCTACCATGGTGAAGCAGATGTCAAAAGAAGCTTGTAACCACTGCTAGGGTCTGGCACTCCTGCAAGCAGGCACTGATGTATCTAGTCACCATGAACACCAAAAATTAACTAGAAACTCTTCCCTTTTTTACTTTGAAACGAGTCGGTCAAAGACATGAACATTCAGGTAGGGTAACAAGCACATGTGTGAGAATAGTTTTTAGGTCCTTCCTTGTCAGAGGAAAGCTGATAACACTGGAGAAAAAAAATGCTCATGTTCTAAAGCTACAAGATTTTTAAAGCAGCAATGAGCCAATGCATTTATAAGAAGAGTAGAAAATTGTAAACTATAAAATTTGGTTAGGGTCAAGAGAAAAGGTTCAACTAAAAAGCCATAAAAAAGACAAAGCTAAATTCATCTGGAATTCTAGAACAATGCTGATACAGTTAAGTGATTATAGTCACCATAATATTAAAGATTTAAGATGTTCAATGCATGAATATTTGATTTTATTTCAAAAGACAATTATTTATAACACTGACCCTCTATCAAAAAGAATATGCTTTTCTGATGGGGAAGTGACAAAAAAAAAAAACTACACAGAACAAGAGTAATAAAGTTCTCAAGTAAGGATTGCACTCCAATAGGAATTGAGTGATTCTCTCAGAGAGCACTCATTACATCTTAGACAACGTCACTCTTCTTTCCTCTTGGCCATATGTTCAGGTCTCATAGTCTTTCTGAACACAGAATGGCAGTGGCCAGCATTGTCCATTATCTATGTTCCGCTTGTTTACTAATTAAAAAGCTTTGGTCTTCAGTGTTGTAAACGCAATTTCTGCCTTCGATATCAAAAGGTGAGTGAATGAGACAAGATTAGTTGAAGGAAGTACTTGATATTTTACTCCAGATAGCTGAATGAAAATGGGTATTCTCCCTTGTACTTTGGAGTCCATCGTTTCCTACTCCCAATGCTCTCACAGACAGTAAATAAAATAGTTTAACTCGCAAATCTTTTACAAGGATGTTCAAAACAATATTCTAGAGAAAACTTTATTGATGGTTGAAAACAAAATAAAATACACATAAGGTTCCCTTCCCATCTCTAATATGGAAAATAAAACACTTAATATGAATACTCAGTTTTAAACTTTGCTCTAAGTTTTATTTTATTTTATTTTGAGATGGAGTCTTGCTATTGCCCAAGCTGGAGTGCAGTGGCGAGATCTTGGCTCACTGCAACCTCCGCCTCCCAGGTTCAAGCGATTCTCCTGTCTCAGCCTCCCGAGTACCTGGGACTACAGGCACCTGCCACCATGCAGGGCTAATTTTTGTATTTTTAGTAGAGATGGGGCTTCACCATATTGGTAAGGCTGGTCTCGAACTTCTGACCTCAGGTGATCTACCTCCCTCAGCCTCCCAAAGTGCTGGGATTACAGGCATGAGCCACCACCCCCGGCAACTTTTTTAATTTATATTTTATTTTTTATTGAAATAGGTGGCCCAAAACTTGTGAAACAGAACTCATGCTGAAGGACGACATTAATCATAATAATTAAAGAGACAGATATTGCTTATGTAAACCGTATAAAGAATTAAAAACAAATCCAATTCTGACTTTCAATGTTGTTTCAACACCGAAAAAATATGATGGCTTATTCTTTGGTATGAGAAGTCATTTTGATGGTATTTTTACCCTATTAAACAAAAATGGGATTTAAAAATCTGGTTCGGGATGTTCAAAGATAATTGCTAAGGCAAATTTTGCAATTTGAGAAAACCTAACTGTAATGATCCATTTATTCAGTTATTTGTTAATACTCAAATTAGTAATTTTCACTCTGAATGGTAAATAAAATGTTAATAAAAAATAACAAGACATATAAACTTTCCCTAATGAGATGCAGTTAATAAAAACGGTTGTTTACTTCAGAGTATTTACTATAAACATGTCCACTTATGTTATTTTATTGCTATCTATATACTCTTTCAGTTTACTGTATTACTGTACTTTTCTCTAAAACTTTAAAAATCTGTTATCTAAAATCAATTCTCTAATGCTAATTTTGCAGGAAAACTGTATTTCACATTATTAATCTCATTAATATAACTTTCCTATAAATAAGCATGAAACATTTGGAGGATGCATATATAATGAGTGCTTGGTTACTATAGTAGCGAATGTCAAACTAATTGCTAAAAAAAGTCTAAAGGTTTTCACACTTTGAAAAATCTAGTATATCATCTATCATTATTCTCCAATATTGTGGCAAGAATAGTCACCGCAAGTAAAAATTAAGATACTGTTGTAGAGATTAAGGCAATTTTATTATAAATTCCTGATATATTCCACCCCTGCCTGTTCTTAATCTAAATGTAATTTAGCACTGCAAACCATTTATGAAAATAAATTTATTTTAAAAGGCATAAAAGTTATTAGTGTAAAAAGAAAAAATATCTATACCTACAAAAAAGGCCAAAGACACTAATGAAGTTACCTCAGTAAAGATACTGTAACATGTAACTTGGCCAGCCAAGTTACAACACATTCCTCACAACTGTATTATGTCTCAAGGTTCTGAGGATCTGAAAGGTCTTTTGATCCACCTAAAAGTGGCCACCAACCAAATTAATTTCTCTGAAAGACATCTTTAAGCAATTATTTCAGCCTAACCTCGCTTCATATGGACTCACTCAGATGGCTCATGTTTTATTAGGGACTTGAAGGTTTAAAAATATGTAGTCAATCCAGGGCAAAGTTATGTTGTTTGCCTATTTGTAAAATTAACACATACAGAAAATAAGATTCAAACTGATATTGAAAAAGACTAACATATTCATCTAATTTTAAAAAAAAACCTACCAATAGAACAAAATATATTTTATTTTAATTATACCAGCACAGTAAGGCCCAGAAAGACCATGGAGTTGCACAAAGAATGTTCAGCACCAGCAAGATAAAACAGATACTGGCAGTCAGTGCTAACGGCTAGCACACAAGCCCCTGCCGCATTTGTATGATCTGGAGCAGAGCCTCCTGAACATCTTCATCCATGTGACCCTTCGGAGAAAGAAGAAAGAGGAGCATTATTTTATGTCATCTTTGTTTACATAAGAATTCTAAAGATAAAGCTTTTACAGAGCATAACTAGTCATTGATTCATCAAATGCTAAATCCTCATCATTGTGATTTCTAAAGGAATTACTGGAAAAGGGAGTACAGCCCTATCATGAAAATAAGATCAATTAATAAGGAGTGCACGGCCGGGCGTGGTGGCTCACGCCTGCAATCCCAGCACTTTGGGAGGCTGAGGTGGGTGGATCATTTGAGGTCAGGAGTTCGAGACCAGCCTGGCCAACATGGCGAAACCCCATCTCTGGTAAAAATATAAAAATTAGACGGGTGTAATCCCAGCTACTCGGGAGGCTGAGACAGGAGAATCGCTGGAACCTGGGAGGCAGAGGTTGCAGCGAACCAAGATTGTGGCACTGCACTCCAGCCTGGGTGACATGGCGAGACCCCATCTGAAAAAACAAAAAGACTAGTGCACAACAGCTGCTCTAACTTCCATTACCAGAAAACAAATGGATAAACCTCCCTCTTTCTCTTTTTTAATAACAGCCTTGGATGATAGGGGCAGCATAAGTTATAAATGAACAAAGTAAACTACAAGGAAATCTGTTGTTGTTGCTGCTGAGGTTTTTTGTTTGTTTGTTTAGAAAACTAACTGATGGCTGAACATGGTGGCTCACACCTGCAATCCCAGCATTTTGGGAGGCCAAGGTGGGAGGATCACTTGAGGCCAGGAGTTTAAGACCAGCCTAGACAATACAGTGGAGACTGTCGCAAAAACTTAAAAAAAAAAAAAAAAAATTAGCTGGGTGTGGTGGCATGTGCCTGTAGTCCCAGCTACTTGGGAGGTTGAGGGAGGATGATCACTTGAGCCCAGGAGTTGAGGCTGTATGAGCTATGATTGTGCCACAGCACTCCAGCCTGGATGGCAGAGCAAGAATCTGTCTCCTAAAAAAATTTAAAATTTAAGTAATTGATTTAAAAAACCCATATTTATGTTTTTACGTAAATAAGATTATATAACACATACTATTTTGTAACTTGTTTTTTTATGTAGTGTCACAGAAATCTTTCCCTTGAGCTACCCAATTATTTTAAATTATTGTATAATATCCACTGCATGGACATATTACATTTCTTTACCCATTCCCCTAACGATGGACATTTAAGGTATTTCCAATCTTAATGGAAAGATTACTAGAGAAGAAATTGCTGGGTCAAAAAGCAGTCTCAATTTTTAATTCTGTTAAGTACTACAAAATTTCCCTCTACAGAGATTGTAACAATCTGTACACTACCATCAATGGAGTGAAAATGCCCATTTCCCATACACTCTGGCTAACACGATAGACTATAATCTTGTGTAATATTGCCAGTCCCACAGGTGAAAAATGGTATGTTCTTATTCATTTGCATCTCCCCCATTACTGATGAAACCAAGTATCTTTTTTACATGCATGTTAGCCATTTATATTTTTAAAAAATACTTTAAACTTAAAATGGTGGCACGAGTTGATTAAATGCAACTCAATATGGTGGGCTTATTAAAATACCGCACCCCCTCCCAACACACACATTTTTTTTTTCCTGGAGTACTTAAATAGGTTTCAGCACAACACTTCCTATTAATATGAAAAGTTTTGCTTCCAAAATCTGTTTCTATAACAGCAGGATGTTTACATTTCAAACATTAGCCATAGTTGACTGAACTGAATTTCTTAGTTAACTTTATGATGCCAGAAGGCAAGACTATTTCTGATGTCAATTGCTTTTGTTATGTTTCATTAGGACACAGTAGAAAATAATTTCAAATTCCGGAAGTGCATATTATACAAAGTGGAAAGGCTTGTTAGTTTGCTGTATTTTTCATTAGGAGCAACCTCTTCCTCTCATGGCCAATACTAGTGAGTTTCTCAGCCTCTCTAATACAGATTTTCTGCTATTTCCCCACTTGAACTTCCTATTCACTGTCCCTCAATAATCTTCTCTAATAATTGCAATAAACTTTAAGATTCTAGTTTATCTCTGATTTGCTCAAAAGAGAGTAGCTAAGATCCCTTGTTCTATCATATCATTCATTCTTTTTCATTAGTTTCCCCTCCATTTCCTATAGAAGAGGCAGGTCTATTGATTTTAAGAATTTGATATCATAAAGTATCTTTCTTTTTATTATTTTATCTAGTTCTCTTTTTAAAATTGTTCTTTTTTTGAAGCTTTCTCTCAACATCCATCTTTCCCTTCTTCATTTTTTGTTTGTTTTTTTTTTTTTTTTTTTTTTTTTTTGCTTGTTTTTACAGTGTGGCCTAACATACTTCAAATCCAAATAATTCCCAGGATCTCTGTCATTCTAAAATTTGTTTCTTTTAGTACATTTTCTTCCTGAAAAAAAATCTATTCTGAGAATTTTGAAGATGCTGCTCACGGGGTTTCTACAGGAAATTAAGCATAGTATCCTTTATATGTTAGTAATTTCTTAGTATGATTTTAACAATAACTTTCTCAGTACACCCCTAAAAAAGGGAATTCATACTGTTATTCCTTAATTAATCCTTGGCTTTACCAAGCCAAGTTAAGGCTTGGTAAAACAGATCATTTTTAATTACTACAATCCTATACACATAACACCCTGCTTGTCACTTTTGTACTTTTCTAGTATTCAAAGCCATTCCCACTCTCCTCTTAGATGACAGCCACACGTGGATGTCAAGGCATTATCTCCAGCTAGCAACACCATTAACGTGTGCTACCATCACATGTTACCAAACTGTCTATAAACTGAGTGACAAGCAGATGGAGACGACACTAAATTTAAGATGTTGTGTTGCCATATAGCTTTGTAAATTTTTCTGGGAGATCCACAAACAATGATTAAAAGAAACATAATTATTTTTAAATAAGCATAGGGGGTGCAGCTACTTTAAACATCAATTACTTTCACATAAATTTATTTGAAAATAAAAAATTATTATCTCTAAAGCAATATTCTTTCCAAAGGAGAAGTAGTTCTTTACCTGTGCAGCACTAAGAAGGTGTGTCCGATAAATTGCAATTACTTCTTGGTGCTGTCTGTCAGCATCCTAGAAATGTGGAAAGATGGACAGATGTGACTATCAGCGTTCACATTTCCAAACTTTGGACAATGCTCAGGCTTCATGCTACAAAACTATTATTATTATTAAGGCGATCCTGCTACTTCTAACAACAAACTACCTTGGACCTACCAGATGCAGAATTTCAAAACGTAACAATATAAACTTCTGTAAAGAATGTGTGGCTAATGACAGTAATGCTACTTTCCCTAAGCAACATCAAATTATTGCTTTAGTTCATATCTAGTGCCATGAACTTCTGAAGACACTTATCACATGTCTGGATTATTGCAAACGCTTCCCATCCTGTCTTACTATCTCCACACTATATTCCTTACCATGCCTCTGAGACTAAGGTACCTATTTCCTCACATCACTTTTGGCTCAAAAACCTTGAGTGACACTTCTTTACATACATGAGAGAATCCAAATTCATCAGTTTGGTTCTCAATGACTTCCACAGTTTGGCTTCAAACATTAACTTTCAAATACAGCAGTCCCCTCTTATTGGCAGTTTTGCGATGAGCAGTTTCACTTTCTCTATTTCTGTTGCCCATGGTATAATACAATATTTTGAGATATAGAGAGAGACCACATTCACATAACTTTTATTACAACATATTGTTATAATTGTTCTATTTTATTATGTTGTTATTAATCTCTTACTGTGCCCAATTTATAAATTACTCTTTATCACAGGTATGTATATCTGGGGGGAAAACATAGCTTATATAGGGTTCATTCAGCAGGTCCTATCCATGGTTTCAGGCATCCACTGGGGATCTTGGAACATACCCTCAGTGGATAAGAGAGGGACTACTCTACAGGCAGGGCTTTTACTGCCCTCTGGCCATGCCACTTGTATTCCATCTCCACGCTTCTTTTACACTATTTTCTTTAGATGGAAGAGCCTCTACTTTCCTTTCACCTACCAAAATAGCATCTACGTTACAAGTTCAAGCCAGGTACTCCCTTCTTTAAAAACTAGCTTCTACCACACCACTAATCTTTCCTTCCTGGAAACCCCTATCACTTAGAATCTGCATTCTCAGTTCTACATTTGACATCTCTCATCTTGTGATTTTTACTTTTTATGAATCTGTATTTTGCCTCTCTAACTACCCAGAACTCCTTGGGGACAGGAATGGCATACTTTCTTTATCCCACTTAGCACAGGGTCATGAACATAATAAACAATAAACAAATATTTCCAATTATTAAAGGGACACTATACTCTTTGGATAAGATCCAAATCCACAATTTGCCATCCTTAATCTGTAGGCCTACAGTGTTAAAAAATAAACACTAAAAAAGAAACAAAACAAAAAACCTTTCTTCTATTAAAAAATAACTCAAACAATTCTATGAAATAGGGAAACATCAGCAACAATTTACATGTGACTGGGCCGTTTTACTTAGCATTTCAATGTGTATTAGTGCATAATTAAAAGCATAGTCCCAGATACTCAGGAAGCTGAGGCAGTAGGATCACTTGAGCCCAGGAGATCAGCCTATAGCAAGACCCCATTGGAGACAAGCCTAAGCCACATAGAAGACCCCATCTTTTGACAAAATTCAACAACTTTTCATGCTAAAAACTCTCAATAAATTAGGTATTGATGGGACGTATCTCAAAATAATAAGAGCTATCTATGACAAACCCACAGCCAATATCATACTGAATGGGCAAAAACTGGAAGCATTCCCTTTGAAAACTGGCACAAGACAGGGATGCCCTCTCTCGCCACTCCTATTCAACATAGTATTGGAAGTTCTGGCCAGGGCAATCAGGCAGGAGAAGGAAATAAAAGGTATTCAATTAGGAAAAGAGGAAGTCAAATTGTCCCTGTTTGCAGATGACATCATTGTATATCTAGAAAACCCCATCATCTCAGCCCAAAATCTTCTTAAGCTGATAAGCAACTTGAGCAAAGTCTCAGGGTACAAAATCAATGTGCAAAAATCACAAGCATTCTTATACACCAATAACAGACAAACAGAGAGCCAAATCATGAGTGAACTCCCATTCACGATTGCTTCAAAGAGAATAAAATACCTAGGAATCCAACTTACAAGAGATGTGAAGGACCTCTTCATGGCAAACTACAAACCACTGCTCAATGAAATAAAAGAGGATACAAACAAATGGGAGAACATTCCATGCTCATGGGTAGGAAGAATCAATGTCATGAAAATGGCTATACTGCCCAAGGTAATTTATAGATTCAATGCCATCCCCATCAAGCTACCAATGACTTTCTTCACAGAATTGGAAAAAACTACTTTAAAGTTCATATGGAACCAAAAAAGAGCCTGCATCGCCAAGTCAATCCTAAGTCAAAAGAACAAAGCTGGAGGCATCATGCTACCTAACTTCAAACTATACTACAAGGCTACAGTAACCAAAACAGCATGCTACTGGTACCAAAACAGAGATACAGACCAATGGAACAGAACAGAGCCCTCAGAAATAATGCCACATATCTACAACTATCTGATCTTTGACAAACCTGACAAAAACAAGAAATGGGGAAACCATTCCCTATTTAATAAATGGTGCTGGGAAAACTGGCTAGCCATACGCAGAAAGCTGAAACTGGATCCCTTCCTTACACCTTATACAAAAATTAATTCAAGATGGATTAAAGACTTAAATGTTATACCTAAAACCATAAAAACCCTAGAAGAAAACCTAGGCAATACCATTCAGGACATAGGCATGGGCAAGGACTTCATGTCTAAAACACCAAAAGCAATGGCAACAAAAGCCAAAATTGACAAATGGGATCTAATTAAACTAAAGAGCTTCTGCACAGCAAAAGAAACTACCATCAGAGTGAACAGGCAACCTACAGAATGGGAGAACATTTTTGCAATCCACTCATCTGACAAAGGGCTAATATCCAGAATCTACAATGAACTCAAACACATTTACAAGAAAAAAACAACCCCATCAACAAGTGGGCGAAGGATATGAACAGACACTTCTCAAAAGAAGACATTTATGCAGCCAAAAGACACATGAAAAAATGCTCATCATCACTGGCCGTCAGAGAAATGCAAATCAAAACCACAGTGAGATACCATCTCACACCAGTTAGAATGGCAATCATTAAAAAGTCAGGAAACAACAGGTGCTGGAGAGGATGTGGAGAAATAGGAACACTTTTACACTGTTGGTGGGACTGTAAACTAGTTCAACTATTGTGGAAGTCAGTGTGGCGATTCCTCAGGGATCTCAAAGTAGAAATACCATTTGACCCAGCCATCCCATTACTGGGTATATACCCAAAGGATTATAGATCATGCTGCTATAAAGACACATGCTGCTATAAAGACACATATGTTTATTGCGGCACTGTTCACAATAGCAAGGACTTGGAACCAACCCAAATGTCCAACAATGATAGACTGGATTAAGAAAATGTGGCACATATACACCATGGAATACTATGCAGTGATAAAAAAGGATGAGTTCATGTCCTTTGTAGGGACATGGATGAAGCTGGAAACCATCATTCTCAGCAAACTATCGCAACGACAAAAAACCAAACACTGCATGTTCTCACTCATAGGTGGGAACTGAACAGTGAGAACACATGGACACAGGAAGGGGAACATCACACACTGGGGCCTGTTGTGGGGTGGGGGGAGGGGGGAGGGATAGCATTAGGTGATATATCTAATGTTAAATGACGAGTTAATGGGTGCAGCACACCAACATGGTCCATGTATACATATGTAACAAACCTGCACGTTGTGCACATGTACCCTAGAACTTAAAGTATAATAAAAATAATAATAAATGTAAACAAGTAATCAGTTATTATTCTATTTTCTTGATGAGAAAACCAAGAGTTAAAGGGAATGTTCCTTGCCACTTCCTTGTAAGTGGCAGGACTTAGACCAGACCTTCCAACATTAGCTTCTAAATCCAGGCACTTATCCTTCTATATAAGGTATAAAACCATAGGAATGCCTCTTTATTCACAAAGATAAAAGATTATTTTAAAACCTCCTTTAGTTTAGTGGACCAATATTTTAGAGAGCACCCTGCAATGAGAAAGATGCTGGATTTGGAGTCAGCCAGTTCCAGGTTTATACCCCAGCTGAATGACCCCAGGCATCAAATATGTTATTCTTTGTTTCCTTAAGAATTAAATGGAGGGAATAAATCTGCTTTGTGAGATCATGATGAAGATAAAGTTTATAGATAAAGTACGTAAAATGTTTAATATGGTGCCTGGTGTATAGTAGGCATCAAATAAGTATTATTACACCACCAGTATAGGTAACTTTTCGCATATAAAAATAATTATATTCTTGGATCCGAACATAGCTACAGAGCACTTTAATTTCTAAATGAGCCTTACAAACTAACTACAGGGAGCCAGCACATATTCCTGCAAAGCCCCGTGTGCCTGGTTACTCACGGCCAGCTGTTGCTCCAGAGATTTCACTTGGTGCTGCAGAGTGTCAATCAGCTGGCTCTGCCTCTTGGTGGGGTTCCCACTTGTGTAGGTGAGTTGGGAAAGGCCATTGAGTGCCTGTTTTAATCTTTCCACATCATTAAGCAGTTCAGTTATCTTTAAAAAAATGTTGTAGGAGAAATATATTATTCACTTATCATGTACAATGAACATCTTTGTACAGAAATCATTCCTTTTTGGAGACAGAAGCTTTATCTTTATACACCAGAAAATTGAGGTATGAATATTGCCAAGACTGTTACCAAGGATGTATACAATATGTAATTTATAATTAAATCCCTCTCCAGAAATTATTTACAAAAGCAATACCAAATTAAGAATAAATATTACATATATCCTAAGATGTGAGTATAAACATAGTCTTACTTTTAGCTAATATATAAGCATCTACGAAGGCACATGAACTATCTTCCAGGTAACATATGGAACACAGGAAGGGAAGGGGGATTCCCAGCAACAAAGTGTGAAAAGTAAAAGGGTGTGGCCCGTGTAAGTCTAGGATTAACATATGTTCCTTTTTCCTTTCAAGAGTTGTATTATTTAAGACCACTTTGTTGTAGAGAGAAAAAAAACAAGGAGGCTTGTTTATAGGAATAGGAAGTGCCTAGAAACATAGCATTTTTCCACCCTGCTTTAAAGTCAGACAGAGTCAACTTGTATGAGCTTGGCTAATTTACTTTTCTGAGCCTTAGATTCCACATTGGTGAAAGGTGGACAATCTTTCAGAGTTAAGAAAATCAGGTTGGGCACAGTGGCTCACACCTATAGTCCCAACACTTTGGGAGGCTAAGGCAGGAAGATTGTTTAAACTCAGGAATTCAAGACCAGCCTGGGCAATAGAGCAAGATACCATCTCCTCCCCCACAAAATTTTTTATTGAAAAATAATAATAGAAAAAAAACAAAGAAAATGAAATGCAATTACATGCACCCGCTCAATAAATGGCAACAAGTAGATATTAATAATTAACTCTTATATATTACTATATATATTCATAGGTACCTTCTGAACAAGCTTAGAGCATTTAAATTCTCAATCACAGAGATGGTGTGCCAGAGGACAGTATGTACAAGTACTTTCCACTGGGGAGGGCAGTCTGTGTCTGTGTTTACTCCACTGTATCCCCAGCACATGACATGCAGAAGGCATTTAATCATTACATGTTGAATGGATAAAACTGCAGCCAATCTTTATATGTCATATCCATAGTAAAAACTTTATGCAACATCAGTGTCAAAAATATTGTTGAGTACCTATTCTGTAAATTGTACCATGAGAATTAAAGCTAAGATGGAAAGTTAAGTTATAAACCCTGCTCATAAAAACTGATTGGGAAGATCAACTACATAATTCTAACAAGGTAATATAAATGTTTTAAATGGATGGCAAAGCCACAGTAAAACATCCACCTTAGAGGAGGAACTGTTTACTATAGACTAGATTGGACAGTGAGGGCTTTAAGAAGGAGGATAACATGTTAATGAATGTATAGGATTCAACTCAGTAGAAAGGAGGGAAAGGACATTCTGGGTGAGGGGATGTAGACTTTCTAGTCTGTAGAAAGACATGAGCAACAGAACATAAAATGAATTGGAGGGCTCAGTTTACTACTATGGGTGAGTACCGAGATCAACTCTAGATGCTCCCCAGTGTTCTTGGTTTCTTGCAGCCCAGAAAGAGAGCTTCCCCACCACCCTCTTCCCCATCTTTCATATGCCACAAACCCACTGGCTTTTGACTCTTCATGTATGAGACAAGTGAGCCTTAAGTCTCCCCATCGTTCCTGAATTCTTGGCTAGAACAGCTAAAGAAACAGAAGGAAAAATGCTTTTGACTTTTGTGTTACTTCACTTTTTTTTTCAATTCGGAATTTTTGCACGCAAGTTGCTAAACTGGAAAGGGTCACTTTGTTAATACCTGTGTCTACTTTCCTGTGAGATTCTGTGGTAAAGAGCACTGCTCTGGGGTTTCCAACACATAGCCGTGCAGACTACTTTGTACCTACCTTATTATCTTTTGCTTCTATTTGTTTAGCAGATTCTTGTATTCTTCTTTGTAACTCTGTGATTGTTGTTAAGGACTTATCACATCGTTCCTTCTGATCCTTAATTTCTTGCTCAATGCTGAAATGCAGTAATTCCTTCTCATCTTTTGCAGATATTTCCTTCTTTTTGGCATGCAAAACTTCCTCACATACTTCCTCATACTTTCTATTCAGATTGGCCAATTTTTCATTTAAGCTAGAAATCTGTGTCTCCAAATCACTTTTTGTTGCTTTATATTTAGACAAGTCAACTACCTCTCTAGTCTCTAATTTTTTTAATGCTTGTTTAGTATTCTGAACCTCCGACTGAAGTTTGGAGACTTCTTCCATTTTGTTTTGGCTTTCTTCTTCCTTTTCTCTCAAGCTGGCTTTTATGATTCCAACTTCTTTCTCAAATGCTTCTTTAATCTGCAAATGCTCTGCCAGGGGTACAGAAGAGTTCTTTTGATTCTCCAACAATTGATGCAGTTTGGTCACTGTCTGCTGCTCTTTCTCGTAACACCTTTGCATACTCTTCAGTTCTTCCTTTAGATTTTCAATTGTGCCATTAAGAGATTTTTTCAGAGCCTCAACCTGTTCCAATGGAACATGTTGTTTTTGCAAAAGATTTTGCACTGCAAGTATCTCAGAAGTCTGTTTGGCATTTTCTTCTACTAGCTTCTCTTTCACATTCTTTACTTCCGTGTATTTCTGTGACAAGTCTTTTAACTGTTTGTTTAGCTCGTCTGTTTTTCTGCTTAATGCTCTTTCCATTTCATGAGACTTCTCAATGAGAACTGTCTTATCTCTCAAATCTTTCTGAAGGGTAAAAATCTCCTTCTTTAACTTGTCATTCTCTTGCTTGTTTTTCTTGACTTCTTCTTCACTGACACTATACTTTTGTGTCTGCTCTGATAACTGGTCTTTTAGTTCTTTCTCTGTTGCTTTAAATTTTCTCTCGCACTCCTCAAAGCTGACAATTGGGGCGTATTTTACCTTAATGCATTCTTGTATTGTGTCGAGCTCCTTCTTCTGGGCTTTAATTTCGGCATGCAGTGTCACAATCTCTTCTTGGCCTTTTCTGTAGTTGGCCAAGATTTCAGCATTACTATCCTGCACCTTTCTCATGCTCTGACTTAGCGAGCTCATCTTTGCCTCGTGCTCTGCCAGGCTGATGTACTCAGCTTTTATTTGGTTCTGAGTGTTTTCCAGGTTTCTTTTTAATATTTCATTCTTATCTTTTATTTTTACAAATTCCTGATTTATATCTTCAAATTTTTTCTTCACATCTAATAATTCTCTGTTAGTTTTGGCTAACGTGTCATTCAGTGTCATTTTAACCTCTTCATGGGTTTTAACTGGCACATACTGATTACTCATCATCTTCTTCAAGTTAGTGTTTTCAGATGTGAGAGCGTGTATTTTCTCCTGGTCTTCACCACATTTTTTCTTAAGTTCAGACAGCTGTTTCTTAAGTTCAACAATATTGGATTTCAGAGCTATTATCTCTTTTTCATGTTTCTCAGGAGGTACAAACACAGTTTCTAGGCGGCTTACATCCTTACTTAAGCTGTCATTTTCCAGTAGCAATTTCTCCATTTCCAACTTCTTTTCTGTATATTTTTGTGTTACATCTAAAAGCTTTCTATTAAGATCATCAATAATTGCATCATGTGACTTTTTCATGTCTTCACTTACTTTTAAAGGAACATAATGATTTTTCATTTCAATTGTTAAGTTATGTGCTTGCTCCTTGAGGAGCTTATTATCCAAATAAACTTTTTCAATTTCCTTTTGTAGTGTCTGATTTTTCAATGTTAACTCAGTGATCTTCTTCCCAAGTTCTCCTGATTTCTGTTCTAATCTGCTCTTAACCTGTTCATGTTCCTCTGGTTTGACGTGCTGAGCAAGCTTGGCCTTAACATTCTCAAGTTCTCTCTTTAACTGTCTAATTTCACTAAGTGATTTTTCATGTTCTCTTTCCATTTCTACTAATTTTTTTGCTTTCTCATTCACTTCATTTGATAATGAGCTCTTCATGTTTTCAAATTTTTCAGCTGGAATGGAAAGGGCCAACTTCGCTGACAATTCTTTTGCCTGGCCTTCCATCTCTGTGACCTTTCTTCCTTTCTTCTCTCGCTCCATTTCACACATACTAAGTTCCTTCTGTAATCGCTTATTTTCTTCTATCAGCTTGCCTTCATCCCTCTTAAACTCTTCTACTATCATCTCATTTTGTTTGATTTGGTTTCTTAATTTCCCCACTTCTGCTGAAGCACCTTCATATTTTACTTTCAAGTCTTTCAACTGATCCTTCAGTTCCTCGGTTAGTCTGTGATTCCCTGAGGCTGCTTCACTTGTTAAGTGTTCTTTAAGGGCAAGAAAATGGGTCTGCATTTGTTTAACTTTACCTTCTGACTCATACATCCTCTTCTGCACATCTTTTAATGCATCTTCTAATTGCTTTATCTGTTCATCTGAATCCTCCTTGACCCTTTCACATTCTAATGCTAAAGCTTTGCATTCTGCCACTTTGTGTGCCAGTTCATTTTGGAGCTTCAGTCGGTCTTGTTTTGCTGACTCACAGAAAGTTCGCATTGCTTCTAACTCTTTCTTTAAAATTTCATTTTCAGAGTATGACGTTTGACTGGGTAAAGATAGTTCCAGAGGTCTTAACATAGATCTGCTTTGCATATGGGCTGGTATACCTGGGGAAGTACACTGAAAAGAAAAAAAAAAAGACATCAATCACAAAAGCCTAAATGAGACATTTACTATACTTATTTGCCAAACTTAGAGAAAGTTAGCACATCATCAGGAATCAAAGGGTTTTCAGATTAGGCAGTAAGATGGAAAAAAAATCACAATGCTGATTTTTGTGGTAAGGAAACAGTTCTGGATATGATTTCCTTAATACATTCACAACATTTTGAGAGTTCTGTTCACGTAAGTCTATTTCTGGCAGAACAACGGACAATGGCCATGGCTACTGGGTGCTATTTTGTCTTTCTTCCCCCATTCATTAACACCTACCCACACATGAATATCATCAACTTTATCAAAACATATTTATTATTTCTATGTTTTATGGTACATAATGTGCTTAGAACTTTAAATTCTGAAGAAAACCATCATATCCTTGAATAAAAACAAGTACTGCGATTTTAAATTTGCAGATAATTTCATAGAATTATAGATTTAACTAATAAGATTTTTGACTTCTGCGTACCTTCACTGTTAATCCAACAGAATATTCTCTGAATTATAAAAATACCACGAAAAGAAACCCAGCTAGTTATCAGAGTTGTCAAGAGAATGATTGGTCACAGCCAGCACCAGGGAAAGAGAGTCTCCCAATAGACAGAAAACACCTGGAGCTGGTGACAGCGGCTTCCTGATAAGATCTCCGGAGCTGGGTGAGCAGGCTCAAGCATGCGCACTAAGAGGCAAAATGGTGGATGTATGACCTTCTTCAGGGAGCATTTGACTGGTAAAGGAAAATAGCCCCTAGAGAGCAGGTGCACAACCTTAGTAAAGGCACTACACATGTGGCCCCTCCTAAGTGCTGACAGGCCACTATGCATGCAGATAGCCTGCCCCCAAGAGAAGAATCAAGGGAGGAGAAATGCAAACCCCAAAACCAAGCCAGTGCATAAAAATCCCAAGCCAAGGGCTGAACAGGGTACTGGGATCTCTCAAGCCGCCCACTTGGCCTTCTTCCAAGTGTACTTTGCTTCCTTTCGTTCCTGCTCTAACACTTTTTAATAAACTCACTCCTGCCCTAAAACTTCCCTTGGTCTCTCCCTCTGCCTTAAACCTACTTCTGCCCCTCAGCCGAATCCTTTCCTCTGAAGAGGCAAGGATAGAGCTTGCTGCAGACCCCTACAGATTTACTGTTAGTTAAATCTGAACTGCCTTTCCCCTGGATCAAGAGGAAAAAAAAAAACCAAAAAATTATATTTTGGATTATTCATATCTGTCTTCCCCTTTATATGGGCAAATATGAAGAGTTAACTAATCACTGTTAATGAACAGAAACTTAGCATCAAATGCAATGAAACTATAATTCAAATCTCTTATTATAACCACTATCATCAAAAACACTCTAGAGGGCACCAGAAACAGCAATATCTGTTTTTATTAAACTCAAGAAAGCAGGACCAACTTGTCTTTGATAATGAAAACCTCACTCTATGTATATATACTTAATGTACAATGCCGCTTTCTCCTCTCTTTATAAAGGCACAAAAATTTTCTTTAAATGTTTTTTAAAATTAAAAAAAAAAACAGTTATTACCTGTGAGTCTGCCATATACATCTGACCTTGTTTAAGAAGCATATCTTCTTTTCCTAAATAAATGCAAATGAATGACATTTTAACTTCAATATCCATACTAAAGTAGGCTAAACATTAATTTGATGTTATTTCCTTTATTATTCAAATAAAAGAGAAGCAAGAGGTACAACACAAAAGTATCCTCATTCTAAAATACCCATTTTCCCCTTATTATTTCTATAAACAGAAGTACCTACAATCTACTGAACAACAGATACTAGGTTGGTTTTTTTTTTTCTTATTTTTTTCTATGCTCTCTCTCAGCAGAATCACTAAAACTTCAGAAATATTGAGGACTCTTAAACTAGGCTACATGATAATAAAACATATATCTTATAATCAATCAAAACAAAAATGATGATTTAAATTTATAGCATAAATATTACTGTTGTAGGAGAGAATAGTTTAATAGTCACTAGGAAACAAAAACAGATTTTCTAGAGAAACTGTTTAACATTGCAGAATAAAAAAGATTATGTAGGGTCTAAAAATAATTCATAAATGTAATTTTAAAATGCCTACTTGCATTAAGACCGATTTCTCCAAATTAGAAAACTATGTTTATGTTCTTTCCATAAAAAAATGAACCCTAAATATCACAAGACAAATGTCTATGTCTACTAATCAACAAGGCAAATTTGGTAATTCATACAATATACAATTTTAAAATACAGGTAGCTAAGGAGAATCAGAGCTTCAGTAATTATCAGAATATGTTAGAAGTTACAATAGTCATCTTAACGTCTTCCTAGTTCCATGTGCTGATGAAGTTTAGCAGCAGGAATATCTTGTACAGTTATTCCTGTATAGTTAAACAAGTAAGAATAAACATTCTTCTTTACTTGAACTAGGTGAACTGTAATGATAATCCATACTTTTATACTTACGGTTACTGAAATGACTTCCTGATCCTAAATGATCACTCTGAAATCAGAAGCATAAAATATTTTAGGGTGAATGCTGCCTCATTTTGTTAAATTCTGTATCTATTTTAGCTCTAAATCATGCAGTCATTAAAACTACATTTTTGACATTCTTGTTTCTCCAGAGCATTATTCTACTCAAACCCACAAAAAGAAACAACACTAGCAACACTTAGAGAGATCAGCTGGGAATAAAGTACTTCACTAAGCATTTTAATAAAAGCAGCCAAGTGTTTTAAGAAAAAACTTTATTGCTCAAAAGAAAAAAAAAAGTGAGCCCTAAATGAACTGAAACAACTTTCAAAGACTACTGTTTGCTACTGCTTTACCTCAAAAGGAAGGAAGTGGCCACATTCATGTCAATAACTCATTTTACTTTACCACTGTAGGAAGCAGAAACCCTACCTCATTGACTATGAAATATCAACATAACCACTTCTTCCAGAGTTTATAAAATACCAAGTACTTTGAAAGTAAAAAGAGAGAGAGAGCAGGAAATGAAACTGAGGCAGAGACCTACACATAGTAATAAATCCATCAATCCATTAGTTAGGAAATAATAGAGAACTCTAGCTACAGTGAATCAAAATATACTGGGTTGTTCCTTTTCCCAAGTAAGCCAAATACAAAGAATCTAATATATAAATTAAAATACTACACTTCAAGGGTAAGAATAGGCCAGGCACAGTGGCTCACACCTGTAATCCCAGCACTTTGGAAGGCTGAGACAGGCAGATCACTTGAGCCCAGGAGTTCAAGACCAGCCTAGGCAACGTGGTGAGACCTCGTCCTTACAAAAAAATACAAGAACGAGCTGGGTGCGGTGGCTCATGCCTGTAATCCCAGCACTTCGGGAGGCTGAGGCAGGTGGATTGCCTGAGGTCAGGAGTTCAAGACCAGCTTGGCCAACATAGTGAAACCCCGTCTCTACTAAAAATACAAAAAATTAGCTGGGTGTGGTGGCGGGCACCTGTAATCCCAGCTAGTAGGGAGGCTGAGCCAGGAGAACTGCTTGAACCTGGGAGGCGGAGGTTGCAGTGAGCCGAGATCGTGCCATTGCACTCCAGCCTGGGCAACAAGAGTGAAACTTCGTCTCAAAAATAAATAAATAAATAACAACAAACACACACAAAAACATTAGCTGGGCAGGGTAACCCAAGGTACTCAGGAGGCTGAGGTGGGAGGATCACCTGAGCCCGGGGAGGTCAAGGCTACAGTGAGTGGTGATTGCACCACTGCACTCCAGCCTGGGTGACAGAGTGAGATCCTGTCTCAAAAACAAAACAAAACAAAACAAAAAACCCCAGAGTGAAATGAAGAGTAAGGACAGGCAGATGTAGTTCATATTTGTATATTTAGGTGTATCAGTCCTAAAAGCTACATACCAAACTCTGAAGTAGTTGACCATGATAAAACAGTCCACAATTCCATGACTAAATTAATGCCACCTCCATTAATCATTAGTGCCCCCACAGTATGAAAAAATACCTATAAGCTTAGTTAAGCTCTTTGTTCTATGGAATATTTAATACTAAAGTTTACAATAACTACTAAATGGCCTCATACATGTATTAGGGGGTGCTATGCACATAAGGAGTTCAAAAAACTTAATTTGGTCTTATTATCTCTATTACTCAAATGAAAACAAATATAAAAGTTGTAACATAAAATCAGTCTCATTCTAAAATATCCATTTTCCCCATATTTTTATACATACAAGGGAAATAGCTACATGTTAAGTTATTATACATAACTCGTAACAGTAATTCCTTTGACAGTTAAGCTTTTTTAAGCATGTGAGATAATACAGCAGTAGATATTCAATGTTTGTAAATGATGAATTCTTAGTAGTTTGTTGGTTGGTTGGTTGGTTGGTTTTGAGACAGGGTCTCACTCTGTTACTCAAGCTGGAGTGCAGAGGCATGATCTCGGCTCATTGCAGCCTCCACCTCCTGGGTTCAAGTGATTCACCTTCCTCAGCCACCCAAGTAGCTGGGATTATAGGCATGCACCACCTCGCCCAGCTAATTTTTATGTTTTTGGTAGAGACGGGATTTCACCATGTTGCCCAGGCTGGTCTCGAACAACTGAGCTCAAGCGATCCAATTGCCTCGGCCTTCCAAAGTGTTGGGATTACAGGCTGAGACACCACACCCAGGCAAATTCTTAGTAGTTTTTAATGGTTGCTGTTATAAATACTGGGTCACATATAAAGTGGGACCTGTAATTTTCTGTTTGAAAGTAAAAAATCATATCTAGCATAAAATTTCATCACAATGAATACGTAGTGACTGAGGAAAATGTCCCCATCATACTGAATGGGAACAGTTACAAAACAGGATGTACTATATGATCCCACCTGTTGAATGAGTATATAACACACAAATTATGTACAAATGTCTGAAAGGATTTCAGTCAGGTGCTAGCAGAGTTAAGATTATAGGTGTCTTTTGCATCTGCTTTCAGTTTAAATATACTTTCTTATTTTTCTAAAGTAAATAAGTATTTTTATAAGAAAAATAAGTTACTTTTATGACTATTGTAAGTTATAGACTTGACATTTTAGACAAATTGTTTGTCTAAAGCTACAGAAAAACATCTTTTTTTTTCTTCCCCTTGAAACAGAGTCTCACTGTCACCCAGGCTGGAGTGCAGTGGCGTGATCTCACTCATTGCAACCTCCACCTCCCAGATTCAAGCAATTCTCCTGCTTCAGCCTCCTGAGTAGCTGGTATTACAGGCATGTGCCACCACGCCCTGCTAATTTTTGTATTTTTCGTAAAGACGGAGTTTTGCCATGTTGGCCAGGCTGGTTTCAAACTCCTGACCTTAAGTGATCCACCCACCTTGGCCTCCCAAAAGTGCGGGGATTACAGGCGTGAGACACTGCGCCTGGCCTATACCTTACACTTAAGACATGCGAAAGTCTAGCTCCTAGAAGAAATACATACATAAATAGTACCGAAATTATATTATACTTTGATTAATACTTAAAAGGCCCTGTATATACTCCTAAATTTTCTCATTCAAGTAATTCTAAGTGTAAAACTAGCATTGTAGTTAAAAGCACAACAGATGCTTGGGTTCAAGTCCTGACTCTGTCACTTATTATTTGTGAAACCCCTCATGGGTAAACCTCTCTGTGCCTCAACCTCCTTACCTGTGAAGTCAGGTAACAATAAAACTTATCACATAGAGTTGATTTCTTTTTTGAGGTACGACAAGAATGCAAAGTACATGGTCAGTGCTATTAAAATATTAGCAATCACCAGTTTCACAATTAGCCTAAAAAAGAGTCTTCAAATGTGAAGAAGATAGAAGCCACTACAGCTAGATCATTCTTTGGGTTATAAAATGGTGTTTCTGAATAATCTTGAAAATTCAGTCACATAAATATGTACACATATTAAGTGTGTATAATACAATGAATTTTTGCATATGCATACCTTTTGTAATTATACACAACCCAGATTAAGATATAAAACACTTCCAGGACACCAAAAGTTTCTTCACACACCTTACTCAGTAACCCCTCACCAAACGGCGGTCTCTATTCTAATCTCTAACATCATAGATTAGTTTTATCTGCTTTTGAACTTCATAAAAATAGAATCGTGCAGTATGTACTCTTTGTGTCTGACTTATCTCTTGCAACACTGTCTGTGAGATTCATACATGTTTTATATTATTTTTCATAATGCACACATAGTTTTTTATTTACAAAGAAGAATATTATTTTTGCTATGGTCTGAATGTCTGCCAAAATGTGTTGAAACTTAAATTCCCACTGTGGTGGTATTAAGAGGTGGGGCCTTTTGGAAACTGATTAAGTCACGAGGGCTTCACTTAGGCTCCTTTTTGCCCTTTCGCCTTCTGCCAGGTGAGGATGCAGCAAAAGGCCCTCACCAGACATGAACGCCAGAGCCTTGATCTTGGACTTTCCAGCCTCCAGAAATGGGAGAAATAAATTTGTTCTTTATAAATTTTCTTTATTTTGTTACAGCAGCATGAACGGACTAAGGCACTTTTTTAGTGTACTTTGGGGCTGCATTCACCAACAAAGACAAAAGATTCATGCTGAATCAGCTGCCTTCAGTGATGCCCAGTGATGAATCCTTTCTGAGATAATCCTGGACATATCATCATTCATTTATATGAATGCTTTTTATTATCATTATACTCACTGCAAATTTACAGGTAGAAATATGATGTTTTAAAAAGGTAAGGATGGACAATGAAGAGAAACTAGAATGACACTAAATGTCAATTACATGCTAGTCAATTTAAATGATCTCACTTAACCTTTATAACTATGTGGAGAAAGAGACAATCACCCCAGTTTTGCCAAAGAGGCAACAAGTTTGAAGACTTTAAATAAGCAGCCCAAGGTCACACTATAAATAAGAGATTTATAATTCAAATTCAAGTCTGATGCCAAGAGCCTTACCATTACCCATTATGAATTACAGGAAATAATTTATCCTTTCTATACCTCAAAATATTTAAATCTATTTTTCAGAGCCTCAATAGTCCTTAAGCTTTCTTCATGTTGCTTTTCTTTAGCTGCCAAAAGGGACTTCAGCTTTTCTCTCTGAAATGAAACAGAATAAATACAGTAAAATCACCCTGTGCTTGGAATTGGATTAAAAATGTGTTTTAGAAAACGTGAATTGGAATTGCATTGAGGACTGGAGTTAATGAATTCTCCAACCTGGTGAACTTTAACTACTAATAGAGTTGATAATTTCTACAAATATACTAATGAAACATACAATATCTATAAACAAAATCATAAAAAATTCAAATCTCTGTTTTCAATCTTAATGTTTTCAGACATTTTCTTTATGTTTAGAATTTTATATTATTTTCAGGACAAGTTTCACAGAAAGTAAGACTTTCAGAGGCAATAACAACAAAATGCCTACAATAATCTATGCCACTACATTCAAAACATCCTTTTTTAGTCATCTATAGATTTTGAATTTCCCTTTAATAACCAGAAATAGAATCCTGGTCTCTATCTCAATTCAGGACTTAAACCTTTACTACTATATCATCTTCAATTCCTAAAACAATTTTAATGGTTTAAAATAAAATGTCACCCTACCTCGCTTTCCAGATCATCAGCAACCATAACTTCCTAAATTTAAAAAGAACACAAAATATTTTAATTCTTAAAAGCCTATTTTAAAAGGCATGAACTTGGCAAAGATATTTTAAAAAGATTGGCAAATGTCTTTAAGACTAGGGCCAAGGATATGAGAAGAAAATTATGTACAATTCTGTTGTATGAGTTGTCATTCATTCTTCTCACTATCCAAATTCAGAAGCACTTTTGATTCTCTTGAGAACCTATCAACCACCAAGTCCTACTTGTTCTTGGTCCTCATATCTTCTGTCTACTTTTTCCTCTCCAATCCCATGGCCCTAACTATAGTTCAGCCTTTTGCTTTTGCATATGTTCAATTTTAGGAAAATCTAACATAGATAGCAAGATATTAAAGTGATACGGAAAATTAGAATCACAAGGACACAGCTGTACCAATCACGCAGTTACTTCTTACTTTTGAAATGCAAATATCACATAAGATTTCACCTGTGGTAAGTCCTGTACATAATAAAATGTATATTTAAAGAGCAAACTGATGATACTAGATTTCATATATATTCTACTTTCCCTCTAAAAAATGATTTATGGATATTTCTTGTATTTCCAATTTTTTTATACAACAAGGAATATATTACAGGTCACTGTTTCTGTGATTTTGCTCATCACAGTGTTCTCTGGAATGCCCTCTGATTCCCTCTTACTTCCTTCAAAATTCAACAGAAGTACCATCTCCCACAGGAAGTGCCCCCCTCAGAAGCGGCAGCCCACAGTGATCTCTCCTCACTTCCCTGAACATTCTTTACACTGTCCTTACTTGTTAGCTTATGGTACTTTAAATGTAAAATTTCATGTAAAAATCCTGGTCCCCAGTAAGATTTAACTCCTCTGAAGTGCAATGAGCTAATTTTACCTTCTTTAGCACAATCATTAACAATTTGCTATTGATATAGTAAGACAGTTTATTTTTCTATTATGCAGATTTATTTACCTCATTCAGCTGTAACTGTAAACCATTGACTTTATCCAAAAGTATTCTTTGTTCTTGCTGAATTTTTCTCAACCTCTCTTTCAAATCTTCATTTTCAATCTCCAAATCCTTAAATAATAAAGACAACAAGGTGCCAGGCCAATCTTAAAAGAGCAAATTCTTAAAGGAGAAATTTTTAAAAGCAGTTCACTACCATACAGGTACATACATATGTAAAACACTAAGTACAAAAGATACAATAATTTCAATGATATGCCAATGATTTAAAATCTACAGATCATAAATAAAATAGAAAATTACTATCCTATAATAGCTAATAAATACAAGTATATACTACAAGAGGGCAAATCATCCTAATTCCAATAAAGAAAAAATAAAAAGCATCTAGACACAGAAAAGAGCAAAAGAATATGCCATTTTAACTTTTGCTTAAGACCTCCCAAATTTATGAGACTCTTCTAATCCTTTTGTTGAAATAATCATCATTTTCAGTGCTCTGGTAAAAGATAAAGGCTCGAATTTAAGGACATAGTTCATTTTCTTACACTACATAGTAAACTAAGAAAACCCAAATAAAATGCTTTTATTATACTGAAACAGCTATTCAATTTATCATTTAACGGTGTTTCAGTCATAAAATTAATTATGGGTCCTTCCTCTAAAATAATCCTCATAATATTCTTTGGAAACTTTGACCAATATAAAAGCCAAAAAGTACTGTGTGGTTAGTTTAACAAAATTATTTTTCTCAATCAAAATAGAAAATACTTTAAGAAAAAAATCAGATTTAATTTACATTAATGATCATTTTTAATACTATAATTTTCTAAAATAAACACAAATGTATGGTTTACATCACAAAACAAACACATTTAAATCAAACAGTTATATAAAGTTGCTTTTTCTAATATATATTAAAACAATACTTTCTACACCATACTTCTAGCGTTACATAATTAAATTTTATAATACTGGACTCAAACATTGATAACAAAAGTCAATTCTTAAAGAAGAGATTAGGCAGCCGGGTGTGGTGGCTCACGCTTGTAATCCCAACACTTTGGGAGGCTGAGGCGGGTGGATCACCTGAGGTCAGGAGTTCAAGACCAGCCTGGCCAACATGGTGAAACCCCGTCTCAACTAAAAATACAAAAATTAGCCAGGCATGGTGGCACATGCCTGTAATCCCAGCTACTAGAAGGGCTGAGGCAGGAGGATCACTTGAACCTGGGAGGCAGAGGTTGCAGTGAGCCGAGATCATGCCACTGCACTCCAGCCTGGGCAACAGAGCCAGACCCCATCTCTAAATAAATAAATAAATAAATAAATAAATAAATAAATAGAAGAGATTAGGCAAAAAAAAAGAGAATCACAAACAATTTTAACGAGCTTCCCTTTCTTTGCCCCACTCATTTCACCCATTCTCTTGCTTCCTCTCTTCTCTCTCAATCCCACTACAAATACTGGAATTGTTTTTAAAGGAAGACACCATTATTTTTTTCTTTTTACCTGAATATTTTGATGCTCCCTCTGATGTGACTTCACATTTACTTCATCTTGCATGTGTGTCAAATTTCGCTTTGGTAAAACATAAGAAAACACGGGTCAGCAAGTGTAAGAATACAGAAAAGTATATTTTCCTCAATTGGCAATACACCCAGTTAGTGATTTTCAGTTTATCCAACATTAGCTGCACATAACACAAGGTGGCAGTGTTTCTATTTAAAACTCCAAAATGGAAAGGACCTTTAAGACTATGTTTTAAATAAATCAAGTATAACTTATTTAAAAATACTAAATAATAACAAATTTTAAAATATTATTAAGGATTTATTTTAACTAAAGTCACAAAATTTTAAAAAGAATTTGTAATAAATGCATAACAAAAGTTGGGCTATAAAGCACTGCATTGCCAACTACTAAAAGAACTCAACTTAAAAAAAAAAAAAAAGGAAGAGGAAGGGGAAGTCACATTAATTTGTAAAGACAATACAGAAATTATTTACTTCTCTGAGCACCACCAAAATAAAATATCAAGAGGTATGGTAAGGAAGAGACAGACAGTCCCTCTGACCTGAGCAATATAAAAAGGTCTTTAAATAACTTGGTTGGGTGTATGTTCTGTTTTTGTAACTTACTGCTTTGAAACTTTATTCCAGCTTAGAGATTTGCTTTAACAAAAACAACATAATTATTAAACAAGAGAATAACCCCCCTTTCAAAAAAACCAAAATGATCTTTAAATCTCCACAATAACTAATGTAGAAAGCTATTTATTTCTTCCTAATTAGGTTAAAAAAAAAACTACTGCTTTAATTCTTCGAGATGATTTTCTCATGTTTTGTATTATTTGTTTACCTTTGCTTGATCAAGTTTTTAAACTATCATTCAAATGAGTTTGGATCTAGAACTAGAGGAACAACTCCCATTTAAAAGATATTCTATATCCACAATTTGGCCCTAACTATGTTTACAGCCTCATTCCTTCTACCAAAGGACTGTTCTTCAAGTGGAATCTGACATCTTCTCACAGCTCACCTGATCATACCACTTTCATTTCCAGCCTTCACTTCAGCATCCTCACCCACTGCCTCCACTATATCCTAACTCAGACATACTAAATCAACCGCATCCTTTAATTAAGATCCATCTTCCTGACAAGCCTTGTTATTAGCACACTAAAAGAACCTCTCTTGCACCTCTGGCTCCACTTAGCAGCGATCTGATCACGTGCACCACTGATTGGGGTGCACACGTCCTGCCTTCCGCCATCTGGTAGTCACTGGTGGGTACATATCAATAGTCCTTATCATACAAGGTCCTTCTTAATCTAGCCCTTTGTTACTTTAGCAGCTTCTTCTGCTCCCTCCACGATGGGCACATCGCTCCTGTCACACTTGTCTGCTGCTGCCCCATGAACATGTCTAACCTGCTCCCTCATCAGGGGCTGGGCACCTGCCCTTCCCTCAGCCTGTGAGGCTTCTCCCACAGACTTCCACCCACTCCCTCTTCATCCCTTAATTCTGTTTTGTTTTTCTTCACAGCATCTGCTATGATACTAAATATTCCTTTGCTTATTGTTCATCTCTCACTAAGCTAGGAGTTCCATAAGGGCAGAGACTTCGTACACTACAATATTCCCAGCACTTAGAACAGTAGTTGGCATGTTGTAGATGTTCAGCAGATATCTGTGAACAAACAACTGAGTGAGTCTTACATTTGCAACTATACTGTAGGCTTCTTGAAAACAGAGATTACATGTGCCTTAGTATTAAAAAAAAAAAGTCCTATTTACAGCGTATATTTAGTAAGTGTATTCAATAAATGACGGAAACACAGTAATTAGGAGCAGTGTGTCTTTCTGTTCCTAGTAGAATATTAACTCCTTGTATTCACTTCAATATTTCCTAGAGCACTGAGCAGAGAACAATTCCCATATTAATATTCAATAATTCTTTTTATTTTAAATATCTATATATTTCAGAAATCATTTTTCTCTGATTCTGTGTGAGATGGCTAGTACAGTCATAGCAGTGTACATTTTTTTTCACTCTACTCACACTTAGGTTATATGAGGCACAGGGAAGAAGGCTGGAACAGTTGCTCCAGATGGAAAAGTGTCAACAGACATGACCCATATATGAACATATTAATTCAGATGGATTGAAAAGGAAAACAAGCTTTAATATAACTTTCATGATAAGTGCAGCAAACCACCACGGCACATGTATACCTATGTACAAACTGGCACATTCAGCACATGTATCTCAGAACTTAAAGCAAAATTTTTAAAAAATGTAGCTTTCAGATTCAGGTGAGAGGTACAAAAATGACACAGGATGATGATCAGAATTGCTCAAGGTACCTGATTACTTTCTCTTCAGGGTTTGCAAATGCTTAGGTTCCTCTCACTAGAGAAAAGCTGAAAGCCTGGAAGGGAACAGTCAGCAGGAGAGGAAAGCTGCCTACACTAGCTTTTGAGCCACGGTACTGTAAACCAACCCTGCTTACTTTAACACAAATAGATTAGCAGAAAACATAAGACATTTCACAACCAGGATATCAAAACAGGGTTAAATAGTAATTTAATAATAAATGTAGTGCAAAGCATGAATTATTTCAAGTGTTGTTATTCCGTAAAGTCCTCAATTAAATACACACAGAAAAAAAGACTGAAGAAGAAATAAAAACACTAACAGTGGCATTGAAATCACAATATATAATCAGTTTAGAACTCTGTTTTCTTCATTTCTTAATTACACTGGAAGAATTTTCCCATAACAGTCAATATTTTGTCCTGTTATTAAGGGAGACTGGGGGAAACTGTCTATGATCTGCCAAGCTAAAGTTCATCATTTAGCAAGTTACAATGTCTCCTACTTGAAAAAACTGAATGCTCACGGCCCTAATCAGGAGGCTATCTCTTTCCCACTGGATACCTTCATTGAAACTGAGATCTAATGTGTCTCAAGCTAAGTGATAGTATCTTGATAGGACCTCATGATCTAAGTATCCAGAATCTACACGGGCTTGATTAACTGAGAAGAGAGATAGAACGCATTTAAACTCAGAATAGTTATGCTAACTATTAACTAGTTTTACTAAGCACTTTAAACTATACAATACATATAATTATTTAAAATTAAAATTAATATCTACCTGTTGCAAAGATGGCCCTTTCTTCCAAAGTTCTCTCCCTAAGATTTAGAGAAAAAGAGAAACAACAAAATGGCAGGTTAACTTGGGGTAGGTACGCATTCCCTAACTATACAATTGAGTCAATATTAAATAAATAAACTTTAGAGTTTCCTCTAAAGCTTACAACTTTTTAGTTTTATTTCTAAAACGTATGCTTGAAACAATAATGACATCTCACTTTTGCCTATCAAATTAGCAAAATTTTTATAACAATATTCAAGTAGGTAAGATTAAAGACTAAGGATTGGAGGCAGGTAAAAAATGGGAAATTTATTTAGGCTGGGTATGGTGGCTCACACCTGTAATCCCAGCACTTTGGGAGGCTGGGGCAGGAGGATCACTTGAGGCTAGGAGTTCAAGACCAGCCTGGGCAACATAGCAAGACCCCATCTCTACAAAAAAAATATAAAAAATTAGCTGGCCATGGTGGTACATGCCTGTAGTCCCAGCTACTCATGAGGCTGAGGCAGGAAGATAACTTGAGCCCAGGAGTTTGAGATTGCAGTGAGCTATGATGGCACCACTATACTCTAGCCTGGGCAACAAAGGGAGACCCCATATCTAAAAAAAAAGAGGGGAAGAAAATTTAAAAAGCTCCTAAATTCGAAGGCAATTTGCCAACATAGACCAAAGGCTTAAAGAAATGTGCATGCCCTGAAACTCAGTGATTCAATTTCTAGGAACCGACCCTAAAGGGTAATAAAAATATACTAAAATATTTATGCATAAGGACAGTCATAACCTTTGTGTATTAATGAATAATTATAAATAGCTTAAACACTACATGTAGAAAACTGCTTTATTAAATGAAACTTAAATAAATGGAATCTCATACACCAACAAAAATCATACTATAGAAAAACTATTTTTGAGGGAAAGGCCTTCAAAATAGGTTACATAAAAAAGTAAGCTACAATTCAGATTTACAGTGAATTCAATTTAATGGGAAAAGACTAGAAGGATATTTCTCAAAATGTTAACAGAGGCTTCTCAGTGGTAATGAGTGACTATTCATTGTGCTTTTCTGTATGTTCCTGTTTTTTTTAAAAAAAACATAAAAAATCATGGCATAGGCATTTGGTAAATATCAGCTGACTATTTTACATACATGTTTAAACAATGATTCTTTAAAACTTCGTAAGTATAAAAAGTTGGGAGGTTCACCCCTCTTCATCAAAAAAAAAAAAAAACTTAGTAAAACACTTGACTCTTCCTTCTCAGTTCTGAAGTTATTCCAGTGTCTTAGTGTTCACTGGATAAACTAGATTATATATGCAACACACACTGCCTCAAAGCAAGTGACCATAATGTAAGTAAGCAAATCCATGTTGTAGAGGGAGATGAACCAATACTGTTTATCAGTAAGGAATGTTTTGCTTCTTATAAACTGTAGTTCTACTACCTAAGTCTTTTAAAAAGTGGCTCTTTGTTAATGTGGACTTTTCTAGTTACAGAAAACTGCTGATACCTTTGTTGGTATTTTCCGATGCAGTCTTCAACAAGGTTAGAATGTCCAGATTGTCACCAATTCTTGCATAGTAAGAACTATCATGGCCAAGCGCATCCAGCAAGCTTATATCAGCACCATTTTTAATTAAGACTTCTACTGCATCTCTGCAACCATATTCGCAACCTAGCATGAGGGCAGTTCTAAATGGAAAAATGGAAGAGCAAAAGACTGAGAAAACTCCAAGGAAATATTGCAGAAATATTCTGCCCTATTGTTGAACACTGTCTTAGTGTTCACTGGATAAACTAGATTATATATGCAACACACACTGCCTCAAAGCAAGTGACTATAATGTAAGTAAGCAAATCCATGTTGTAGAGGGAGATGAACCAATACTGTTTATCAGTAAGGAATGTTTTGCTTCTTATAAACTGTAGTTCTACTTGAACACTAAGTTCAAGTAAGTGTTCAACACTACTTGAACACTTACTTGAACACTAAGACATGCTCCCTTCTTGAAGAATAGACACTACTTTAAGAAGTCATGCCTGTTACAGATATAGATTTTACTTTATATTCATTGCATTTATAAAAACATTTGCTTTGTCTTCTATATCCTTATATCCTTTAATTACTTCTACTACCAAACCAACCTCATTTATTCCACTTCTTCAATGTCCTACACGTAAATAATCACCACAAAAATTTTCCACAACTGATACTGTCACCCCATGTGATCAAAACCCAACTTTTTCAGTCCCTTCATGAACTGAACCACATCATGCAAACCTCCCCTAAGAATCCCTTCTCCTCCAAGAGAAGTATCAGATTCCATTCCTGATGTTCCTGCTTAGAAGAACCTTGATTCTTCTACCTGAAGACCTTCACATCTTCAGACTACAACTAACGCCATGCAACATGGATCATTGCTTTATTCTATTGCAATAGAACCACTGGCACTCAAACATCTCACAGTACATCAGCAAATACTAATCATGCAACAAAATAATTGTCATGAAAATCTAGAAGGACCCTAGAAATTATTTTGTCTAATCCTCTATTTTTTAGGATGGGGCTAACCAACACGTAATGAAATGAAATGACATATCCTATATCTAACTCTGTCTTCAATTGTGAATATTGGATCTCTTAAGGAAACTGACTCTTGCCTTTTCTCTGCTATGTATGCTGTGTTTCTCATATTCAAGCCTTGTCCCCCAACTCCCCTGTAGTTGCTGATAAGAAATTCTGTACAAAACAGGCATTAACAAAGTTTTTGTTATTTAAAAAATGCTACATATAAAACAGGAAAAAAAGAAATGAATATAGAGTATTAGAAACTAAGGTTATAAATTATGTTGAAAACCATATGCTATTTAGTCTATACAATATACACTGCCCTGCTTCATTGGCTTTTTGTGAATGCCCAATGAAAAAACATAGATAAAGTGCTTTGAAAAATGTGAGAGCTATAAAAAATATAAAGCACTGTATGTAGATCAACCAGATTATCCCTCTGTGATCCTAAAATTAAATTTAACTTTTTTTTTTTTGAGACAAGAGTCTCGCTCTGTTGCCAGCGCAGTGGCATGATCTCAGCTCACTGCAACCTCCGCCTCCTGGGTTCAAGGAATTCTCCTGCCTCAGCCTCCTGAGTAGCTGGGATTACAGGCACGCACCACCACACCTAGCTAATTTTTGTATTTTTGGTAGAGATGTGGTTTCGCCATGTTGGCCAGGCTGGTCTTGAACTCCTGACCTCAAGTGATCCGCGCCCAGCCGTAAAATTTAATTTTAAAATCCAATTTTCTTCATCATGCTTGGAATCAGATGATAGTATCCACAAAAACAAAGTAATATTAAAAAGCCACTTCTTAATCACATCTTTTTTTTTTTTTTTTAATATTTAAAGAGGTTTATTCTGAGCCAAATGTTAGCAACCATGGCCCATGACACAGCCTCAGGAGGTCCTGAGAATGGGTGCCGGAGGTGGTTGAGTTACAACTTGGTTTTATACATTTTAGGGAGACAAAAGTTACAGGCAAAGGTATAAATCAATACATATAAGGTATACATTGGTTTAGCTCAGAATGTCAGGACATTTCAAAGTAGGGGCTTCCAAGTCAAAGATTTCCTGATTGGGAATTGATTGAAAGCATTAAGCTTTGTCTGGAGAATTGAAGTCAATATAAAGAAATGCTTGAGTTAAGATAAGGGGAGTTGTAGAAGCCAGGGTTCTTTTTTTTTTTTTTTTTTTTTTTATACTTTAAGTTTTAGGGTACATGTGCACAATGTGCAGGTTAGTTACATATGTATACATGCATCATGCTGGTGTGCTGCACCCATTAACTCGTCATTTAGCATTAGGTACAGAATTTCCTCCTTTGAGATGCATAAAGAAAACAATTACAGCTATAAAATCTGACAACTAAAGACTATTTTTTATACTTTTATACTTCTAATAAACTACAAACAATAGAATACATGTTTGGAAGAATAAAATTAAGTCAAAAGAAACCAAAATTTTTACTAGTAACTACAAAAATCCCAGAAATTTTAGTTTAATTTATTGTAATACTTGAATTAAATGGAAGGGGTGTGTTTCAGATACTTTGTGACCATAAACTTCAGAATTGTAATACAACAAGCACCATGATACATTAGACCTACAGACAGAGATAGGGAGAATTCTGGATAGAAATTATTAGAGCACACCAACTAAAATAGTATCAAATACAGAAGCAAAAATAAAGCAAGGGACCTCTGCAGTACAGAAATGGACAGGTTCAGAGTAGGAGATGGCACTGTACCCTGGCAGAGTAAGGAGAGAAAACACCTTGAGAAAATCTATACTGACACATGTCAAGTTCCAGAACACTCAAGAACCACTTTACTCAAAAGATTCACTAATGAAGAAGTAACTACAGATGTACTTTTTAAATTCTTCTCCTATGTATCTTACTTGCACCCATTTCATTAAAGAGTTTTTTAAGCTTAAAACACCTGGGATGTAATTCCTCTCTCCTTCAGTTCTTTGATCCAAACATAAGGCCTAATCACTGCTTTTATTCACATTAACCCTGTCATCTTCCTCTATTTCCCTCTCCTTCTTTCTTCAGCAGACTCTGAAGAAAACTGACAAGTAGATGTTAATTCCAAGGAAAAGCAAGCCAGGGAAGGGGAGAACCCACAGGAAAGAAAGGCCAAGTCAGAGAACAGAGCTGCTGCTTTGACTTGGCCTTTCCATCCCTGTGTATCCAGCTGGTATCTGGGAGCCATGATAAAAGAATTACCTGTTTTGTTTGTCTCTGGAATTAACATCCGCTCCTCTATCTATCAGCAGTTGACATATTGTTGGCCTACTCATCTGAGTAGCCAGAACAAGTGGTGTCCGCCCGTCCTAAGCAACAGGAAAAATAAAACAGCATTAAGACAACAGATCTCCCAAAATGTAGAAGTTAGAATGCATGAGTTGAAATGAGAATAAACATAAACTAACTTACTACATCTTTGGCATTCACAGAGGCCCCATGGTCACAAAGCAGCTGTATGCTAGAAGGACAATCTGCCATTGCTTTAAGGAACAAAAGAAAATGATAAATGGTGAACATCTGTTGGTAAGACACATAGTGTTTTTCTAGGTCCATATAAGGAATAAGTTTTTCAATTTCTAAATTACCAAGCTTCACGTCCTTCACTCTTAGTTTAGCATTATAAGCACAATTTTTCATCTGAAAATGGATTAGACAAGATTATAAATTGTCTACAATTTATTAGGACCAAGGAATAACGTCAACCTTGTAGAAGACAAGAACACACTACTATTCTAAGGATAAGCACAGACAATAAAAATCAAAGCTAAATTTTGTACTTACAGTATATTTTTAAACATGGCTATAACTGACTTGATCCTTGAAGTGTTGGCTCAGTTTTTTTAAAGAATCATATCCATTTTTTATAGAATAGTCACAGTAAGTAAAGTATGAATCATACAATTCATATTTCTCATAAAAGCAGAGATTGCAATGTCTACCTTTATGCAAAGTAAGGTCATTTTGCTAATAATTATAAAATCACATTATGCTTCTTTGACTAACACTATAGTTCATATTTATATTAGGAAAAATTATTGTTAAATTCATAAAGTAGGATTATGTTTACAATCCCCATGAATTTTTTAAGCCTTATGAGTTGACATACATTATAAGCACAAAAAGTACTGACAAAGTGAGCATTCTTTTTTTTATTGGTGAAATAATAGAATTAAACCAAACATAAGAAAATCAAGTAAATTTTCACTTTTCGTCTCTAATCCAGCAAATCTTTTATATAAAATGTATCATCAGCTTTAAGAAAAAGATAAACTGAACCTGAAAACATTAATTCAGGAACTGTAAAATTAGCGACCCTTTACGTCCAATTATAAATGAGAATTTAAAAATGTAAAGCATAATAAATTCCAGAGTTTACAGATTACTAGATCATGAAGAACCGCTTAAAGCCAAAAAGAGAAAACTGCAAACCACCCAGAAATCCTAGACTTTGAGCTAGATGAAGTAAATGAGTTTGTTTATATATCCTCTCCTTTGGGAGTATGTGGGAAGTAGGGGCTTTGGAGATATTTGGAAGGCCAGAGAGTTGAACTGTAGCAGAAAATGCAGTATTTTACCAAAATTTGTTCTCCTCTTCTTCTACTATAGAGTAGGTTTCGGAATATGACTAGTCACCTAGAGAGTTTATTTCTGAGCCTCCCTTGCAGATAAATATAGCCAATTGATTTTGCTCCTATCAGTAGAATATGAATGGAGAATAATCTACTACTTCCAAGTCTGAGTTCCAGACTTTGGGCATGTATTCCACTAGGCTCTCTCCTCCTTCCTGCTAGCTAGAATACGGCTACGACCACAACTCTGCTTCAACCTTGCAGTTAAGGAAGATACTCACAGGTAAGTGGAGAAACAAGATAGAAAGAATTCAGTTTTAAAATGACCATGAGTGACCTGTCAATATATATCACTCAACAATTTTTTTAATAAGCAGCTGATATTGGAGTTCTTTTGTTATAGCAACTTAGTTTCCATCCTAGCTAATGCATCTAACTAATAAGTATAAAGATTTCAATTGGTCAAGTTGTACCAGTTTTTAAAGCAGGGATAATAAAATATATGGTTAACTTACAGGGGTCATTGTGAGGCTCAAATGATAATGGAAAAATGCTTTGCAAATACAGTAATACCCTTCTATATTAAAAAAAAGAAATGCATTGTGTGAGAAATTATCATACAAATAAAATACAAAAAGCAAAATTTTTAAAAATTAAGGTATAAAATTTTGAAGGAAATTTGAAGTATAATATGTCTTCAGTGCAGACCACCTTAATCTACTGCATATATTCCATATACATGAAAAGAGAAAGTAGACTGTTTTTTTTCCTTTGGCCTTATAGTTAAATGTAGGAATATCAGACTTAGCAAGAGGTCAGGCTATCTTACATTCCAAAAATACCTAAATATATAACTTTTTTCAAAGTACTTTCTTTAAGACACCTAAAGAATAATGCAAATAAATTTAGACACACAAGTATAATAAAATCTCTAAAAATCAGTATAAATCTCTTTTAAAATATAGCACATTACAGTGATATGAAATTCAGCACTGACATCTCTAAAGGAAAACAACTACCACCATTAATTAAGAAATTATTATGTGCCAGGCACTACTTATGATTTGATTATACTTATTAATACTACTTATTGCAGTAGTATTATTAACTTCATTTTGCAAATGAGAAAAAAGAGGTTCAGACATGTTAATTAGGTAAACATAGTTTAAGGAAAGTCTTCTTCCCATTTCTCCAATTCCCAAAGACATGAAACACACACACGCACACACATTCTCTCTCTGTTTCCCTCTCTCTCTCTCTCTCACACACACACACACACAGCTTGGAGCTCCTTGTGAGCAGGATTATAGTTTATCTACCTTTGTACCTTTAGTATCTAGCAAGCTGACTGGCCTGTAAATACTGACTGAATGAATCTTTTTAAGCGGTATAATCTAATAAATCTCTAATTTGTGCAAACAGGTTTTTAATATTCTTTGTTTCTCCATGAATTATATAAATATCTATGTGTTAAAACCCTGAAATTAATTCAAATGACTAGACATTTTAACAAATATTTGTATCCAAGGGAAACCACTGCTCACCGGCATCGTGAAGTGCAGTTCTTCCCTGCAGGTCTGCATGCTCAGTGGGACAATTGTACTGTTAAAGTAAAGAAAACTTAGTAAAGTAGGAGAGTTTTATTTTAAAATTAGATATCCAGACTCAGATGAACAGCTGTTATTTAATCTTAAAATATTCCACTTATCAAAGAAGCTAAAGACTATCCGACAATCCATGAAATATGCTGACATGGAACAAATACAGTAACATTATATAACTAAATTAACAATGTTTCACCAAACAGGAAACATATGGTACATTATAATGAATGGCATGAAATACAGGAAAATATGTATTGTTTGGGGTTTTTTTTTCCACCAAGAATTAAAACTTGAGATACTGAATCAGAAAAGCAGGTGAGTTCTGCTATGAAACTTAGTGAATATGTTTATAAAAATGTATGACTGAAATATTTGATGGGAACTTTAGCCAACTAGTTAGAATTTTGTGGTTATCTGATTAAAAATGTAATAATATTATGTAGTATAAGTTATCTGTGTTTGAATAGAAATATACAGGTCCTATGTTGTATTACTTTATCTTCCACGATAGTCTAGACAACAGAAAATTCCAACCTTCAGCTATGTCAACAGGAAGGTCAAGCCTTTGTTATTTATTTTTAATACACTGAGTTATGCAATTCACTTCCCTCAGTTTTTGCTCTTTATTGTTCACATTCCTTCACAAATGATGGAAAAAATATGTAAGCTCATAGTCAAAGTTAGTTTACTATTCTCTTTGATCTAAAATTCCAAAAACACATTAAAAGTACATCTATGATTTGTTGTCAAAATAATAAAGCTAAAGTATTAACCACTTCCACTACCTGTAGAAGTTTTTGTAGGCACAATGCATGTCCATACTTAGCAGCCAGGTGAAGAGCATTTCTCCCTATAAATAATTTAAGATACATGTGAAGGATTATTTTCTTCATATGTAAATTGAGGATTTTTATAGAAATATGATTCTTTTTTCCCAAAACTAGTTGACAACATACTTAATCTGTAAGTATACTTTCAGTTTCCAAAGATGTTTCATCTAGCTTGATATTTTAGTAAGAGATGATATACGTACCAAAACAATGAAGGTAGAAAGAAAAACTAATTATAGAAATCTATAACAAGCAGGAACTTTGTTGTATTCACTACTATATCCCCAGCATGTAGAACAGTACCTAAAACACAGCAGATAATTAAATACTGGCACAGAGAAAAGGGAAAGGAGAGAAAGACAATGAGGAAAGAAGAGAGAGAAAGAAATACCAAGATTTCACATTACATATCCAAATAGGCAGTGTGGACACTGAAAATTGAGAAAGTTAAGAAGCGTAAGGCATAGAAAGGGTATTCCTTAACTGATTTTTCATGCTTTGGCTAAAATTCAAAGTTTATTATGTAATTCTATCTCTGAAAATCAGACAACTCATGCAAATATAATTTGTATAAAATGTGCATTTTAAAGGAAATGCCAAAGGGGGTAGGGAGGAGAGGTTACCAGGTAATCTGAAAGGTTAATTCTGAATACCAGAAAAGAAACTTGTAGGAACTATCTACCTCCAAACCCTATTTTTCCTAATTATATTTCTTTATACAAACACCTCTTGGATGGTGAAAGATATAAGGATTTAACCAGGCTATTCCAACTTCTAACATTTAATGCTCTTAATTTCCCTCTAATCTCACAAACTTCTTTTCTTTTCAATTTATTCTTTTAGAGATAAGGTTTCACTCTGTCACGCAGGCTAGTGTGCAGCCTCATAGCTCAGTACAGCCTCGAATGCCTGGGCTCAAGCGATCCTCACAGCTCAGCTTCCAGAGTAACAGGGACTATAGGCTCGTGCCACCATGTGCAGCTAATTTGTTTAATTTTGTGTAGAGACAGGGGCTCACTGTATTGCCCAAAGTGGTCTTGAACGCCTGGCCTCAAGCAATCCTGCTGCTTTGGTCTCCCAAAGTAATAGGATTACAAGCATGAGACATCACACCTGGCCACAAACTTCTTAAAATATAATTTGGGGGCCGGACACTGTGGCTCACATCTGTAATCCCAGCACTTTGAGAGGCCTAGGCAGGTGTATTGCTTGAGCCTGGGAGTTGAGACCAGCGTGGGCAACATAGTGAAATCCCATCTCTACAAAACATATAAAAATTAGTCAGGTGTGGTGGTGTATGCCTGTAGTCCCAGCGACTCAGAAGGCTGAGGGTAGAGGATCACTTAAGCACAGGAGGTCAAGGCTGCAGTAGCCATGATTATGCCACCACACTCTAGCCTAAGTGACTGAGCGAAATCCTGTCAGAAAAAAACAAAAACAAAAACACCATAATTTGATTTCACAAGTAGACCTTTTTGCTAGAAGAGTAATTTATGTTTTATTCATCTTGGAGGGATAAATAAATTGGCTTTCAACTCTCTGGTCACTTCCACGTAGCTGACTAACCAGGTTGCAGAACAAAACATAGTGAGTCCAGGTCTTTCAGGTTTTTCAATAAGTACAGATACAATACATTCAACCACACCCAAACATCCTCTAATTACAAGTCAATCAGATGTGATCATTTCAAATTTCAATTTGCTCCTGTTCATGGACAAGTGTCCTAGAAACATTTCACATTGTGAAAAGTGACTAAAATAACTGTCATTTACATGTAAAGTAAGAGATAGCATGGAGTGGAGATGGTAGGGTTAGGCACAGTGGCAACAGTACCTGGTGTTCAACAAAATGCTACAGAAACTTGGTCACATAAAAATGTCAGATCAGGGATAAGGAAATATCAAATCTAGCCACTTGAGATACGGCAGCAAAAAACCAAGGAAACACCAGATCTAAAGCATACCAACATAAATTACAACACAGGTGCATACCTGGTAAGACCTAAGTAACAAATATCTCAAAACTGCACTAATTTGAAATCTGGTCATTTTAAATACACTTTAATATTAAACAGCACTTAAGATAATACACATAAAGATGTGTATTCACATTGTTCAAATATCTACATCTGGATTATAACAGACATTATAGCAATTGAGAAAAGACCCTTGTATTCAATAAAGGACAACTCTAGGGACAAACATTATAAAACATATCAAATGAAAATATAAATAGCAGCAAAAACAAAAGACAGAAGAGTTAAACACGGTATGTTGGGGTGCAATATATGAAATAATGTCTGCTGAGCTTGGGGAAGCATTTGAGCTTGATCTGCAAAGAAAGAAGGCAAGCAGAAGTCACTAGATTAGCCACTAGGCAAAATGTCCAGAGCAGAAAGAATACAGACAAAAACAAGAAAGATACCTGTTTGAATTGGGATCCACACAATAAATAGTCTTAAGAGCTCTGAAGAGGTAAGGTTAGTCCAAAATTTCTAAAAATAAATATTCTTCTACATCAATGGAAAGCATATATAAGCAATAAACACATTTCTTTGTTCACTCAAAGGTAGCAGATAAATTGAATTTGGTCTTCTTAGAATCTGATGTATTCTTAAGTAAAGATTTACCTCACTAATTCAATTGTGATCTGTCTCCCTCTCCCTCCCTTCCATTTCTAAACACAATGCTGGGTAAAAGTAATGTATTTATTTGCCCCTACATGGAATCACAGGATAAAAAACTGTAAAAACTAACAAACAAAAGCCTTTTAGTTCTGGGTCAACTCCTGTATTTAATAGAAAAACAAAGTATAACTGCAAAGAACTAAGCTGTCAACAGTCCCAGAGAAGTGAGAATGTTTATCCTGATAGATAGAAAACTAGCACTCTCATGGAACAAAAGAGATAGTTATATTCAAATACTTAAAGGTCTACATTTGATGTACAAACTTCTTTGATGTACAAACCTTTGTTGTAAGATTTTAAAGGACAGACAAAGGTACAAATAAGTGTAAGCAGAAAACTGAGTTAGAAATATATTTCGATTCTCTATAAAAAATGATTTTTTTATAAATATAGCTAGGCACAGAATGGGTTCCTTATGAGGCATAATGGTTAAGAATACAGATTCTGACTGCGACTTAGCTACTGAAGGGCCTTGGGCCAAATTACTTAACAGCTCAGGGCCTCAGAACTTCTCTGGGTTCTGAGAGAATAAAATGAATGAGAATAAAATGAATGGGTAAAGTGCTTAGAAGAATAGCTATTAAATGTTATATACATGTCAGCTATTCTTGTTATTATTGTTGTCCTTGATGATAATGCTGTTAGGTAGCAGTTAGTTCTCCATCACAAGAAACATCCAACCAAATGCCAAATGGTCCCTAATGGTTCTTCAAAATCTGAGATTCTAGGATTCTGTAACACTACTAGGACCTGCACTAGAATTCAGGTCTCCAACTGCTCGTCAGTAAAGCAATCCTTTCTCCTAAATTCCCTATACTTGACCTCTCCCACAATACCTCAGAAGTAAACTCTTTCTCAACTATTTTAAAAACAGAAAATTGAGGACATCTCTCTTTATATCACATTTAGGTCTGAATAAAAATGTTAGCAGTGGACAATGTTTGTTTTCACTTTATGTTTTATAATTAACTATGGAGGCAAACATACCTGCAGTGTCACTGGTTGTAATATCAACTCCATGTATAAGGATGGCATTCAAACACTCAAGATTCCCCTTTGAGGTCACAACATGGAAGCTAAACAAAAAAAAAATATTTGTTGTGCTAAGGAAACAACCAAAGGTCACCTTAAATGCTACATTAATGTCACCCTTTTTCAACACACACACACGCACACAAACACACACACATTTTAAAGGCTACATTAGAACACCTACATATTTAATTAAAATTAAAAAAAGAAACCTATCTCATTTACATAAGGGGCCAATACTTTCTAAAAATACCTGCTTAGAACCAATGAAATATACTAATGTGCAAAAGCCTTAATAAGAGAAAATTTATACTATAATATCATTAACTCTAAAGTTTATAGCAAAAGCATTGCTGCTTGGATCTTAATAAATGCACTGAAAATTTTCTATCAGATTATTTTATTTAGTTTCAAATAGTTTCATTATTTTATTTAGTTTAGCAGAATGCTGAGGCCAAAGACAGATCCAAACACTTACCTTTTCTCTTTAGAATTATCAAACTAAACCTGCTTAGAAAAGCCTTCAAAACAACAAGCTAAACTACCCTTAAAATCACAAAAGAATCAGCGCCTTCTTCCCAAACATTACCAACTAATTACCAACTACCAACTAATTCTTCCTTTTGTTCAAAGGCCTGGGCTTGTATGATTGGCTGAAGTTTCACATGAACAGGAATAACTGAATAAGTTTCCTAATAAGGCAAGTTAAAGTTAAAAAACTAACTTTAAGCCATCAAGTATTCAAAATGCTAGTTAACAATATTTCATTATTTATTTAGTCATCTAATATTTTATTAATCAACAAACATTATAGAAATATTTTGTGTGCAATGAGAACTGACATTCTGTAAATCTATGAATTATGCTGAGTTTAACAAAAAGAACTGCCACTGACATTGAATATTACTCTACAAATCCAAACAGGTAAATACAATAGTTGTTGGCAAAGGATGTTGAACTCAAGTAGAAATAGAACTGAGGCCTTAAGTAAGTGCAATAACCATTCTAGAGATGCCAGGAAACAAAAAATGTGAAAGTGCTCAGCAGGTGCCAGGATACAGATACACTCTTGTAGCCCACTCTCAGCAGAGGTCTTCCCTGACCACACCATTAAAATTTTTTACATTTTCCCATTCACCAAAACCTTAGTACTCCTAGTTCCCCCAATCCCTGCCTTTATTATTCTATAGAGGATTTAATATTTTGGAATAGAATAAATTCATTACTTTCTTTATAGTCTATCAATCTCTTCCCACTCAACTATAAACTCAATGAAAGCAGGGATTTTTGTCTAGTTTTGCTTCCTATTACATCCCCCGAACCAATAACAGTGCCAGTCAAATGACAAACCCTCAAATATTTGAATAACTGCATGCTTGGAGACAAAATCTGAAGATAGCTTACAAATTCGTTTCCAGATATTACAAGACTCAGTCTTGCGACGCTATTAGTATTACGATGGATATAAATGCAAACTATAGACAAAGCACCACCAAGTAAAGCAGGTTTGTGTACAATCCGAATTAGAAAGCTGTTTCTGGTAAAAGGAATATAGTATTCTTAAGAGTCAGGTAAGTTCTCCTTCTACTAAATTAAATCGCTATAAGGCTGAGTATCTCTGCCTTATAATCTCTCTGCCACAATGAAACTGGGAATTATACTATGCAATGCACCATTAGAACCTTTTGAAGAATGCTAATTTCCTTTAGCAAAGGTAGTCTCCCAACAATCTTAGAGATATCATTGTTTTGTTGTTTGCTTGTTTTCATTTCTTAGCTCACAAAATGTGGAAGACCTCTTTCTTCAAAAGAGGTCAACATTATAATGATGATGTACAAAAGGGCAGAAATCACAACAAATCTACAATGCATTAGTAATGCTGATGTGCTATAAATAGATGTGCTTTGGAAAGAAGATACATCAATCATTAAAACATGCAAAGAATTGTATAGGAAATATGAAAAATTGCTTTATAAAAAATACTATTTTGCAATTTAAAAATCAACTCTATGTTTTCTTCTTTTAAAAACAAGACATGGACTTCTATAACAGGAGATATATGTAACCTGGACAAATGTTACTACTGAGGACAACTAGAAAAGCTGCAAAAAATATGAGACATATGCTTAAAGGTGTCAGTGAGCTAACAAAATAGTAAAAAGTTACTAGGCCAAGATGCAAGGTAGGAAGAAGGCCCAGAGAAGTGCGCTTAGTATTTCAGGCCACTTTTTCCCTGGGAACATTTGCTGATTCCAGAGAAACAGGAGACTGAACAGCACTTTGACAGCCTTGAGGAAATGGGGAGACACAAACTGGAGTCCACTGTTCTCCAAGTAGCAATGGAATCCTTGGTGAACCTTCCCCATCTTGGATTGGGCCCTGGAAGGGCTGTACCTTAGGAGAGAGGCGAACAGAAAGAAAACAGATCCTTGTGGTAACTATGGCTAGGCTTCAAATATTTCATTTTTGAAACCAAATTGAGCTCAAGAAGCACATGTTCTTTTGTCTTAAATTTAGAAATAAATTTCAAAATTAAAAACAATCATTTGAAACAAATTGTTTTTGTAATTGTAAATACAGAAAATATATTTGTAACATGTCCCACACTTGACTAAATACAACATGCTTTAATTAAGAATACAGTTTGTGTGTGAGTAAAAAAAGGGAAATACTTTATTCTATGAATCCTAGAAAGAATTCTACTCTTGGCCGGGCACAGTGGCTCACGCCTGTAATCCCAGTACTTTGGGAGGCTGAGGTGGGCACATCACCAGAGGTCGGGAGTCCAAGACCAGCCTGACCAACATGAAGAAACCCCGTTTCTGCTAAAAATACAAAATTAGCCAGGGGTGGTGGTGCATTCCTGCAATCCCAGCTACTCAGGAGGCTGAGGCAGGAGAATCGCTTGAACCCGGGAGACAGAGGTTGCAGTGAGCCAAGATTGTGCCATTGCACAACCAGCCTGGGCAACAAGAGCGAAACTCTGTCTCAAAAAAATAAAAAAATAAAAAAAATTCTACTCTCTATGATGAAAACTTCAAGACTAACACTCCTCAAATAGTTCAAAAACTAAAGTTCACAGTTCATCAAATTACACCACTATAACTGACTATTTAATGTCACTCAAAATTGAACCTTATATCAAGAACTCCAAACAAAAACTCAAGCCACCAGTCACTCAAAACATTCGAAGTATGAATGGGCAGAACTGATTTCAGTGATATAGGTTTCACTGAAAAGTTCCATCCCAAAAAAGATTCACTTCATCTTTTAACATCTTAGCATTTGAGAAAAAAGAAACATGAAGAACAATATCACTTTTGGATATTAAATTTTCACAATTTATGCTGTGAGCCCTATAAATAGCTTAAAATTCAGTAATGGGGCAAGATTCAAAATAACCAGTGTTTCCATAGCTATCAAACTGCTACTTGATAAAAGTGAAACATTATGAACTTGAAACTTTTCCAACTTTATTGCTCTTAAAAACTACTTAATTTATAGTCCTGCTGTTATCTTTACTATATTTAATACCTAAGCATTCCAAGGCAGTGACCCACATCACACATTAACTATTCACTTCCTAATATTCATTTCTATATTTAGTATCTGGTTTCCAGTTATAATATTCTGAATAAATTCATGCAAGTAAAGACTGAGAAGAATTTTAGGAAATGAGACTTTTCACCTCTAACTTTGAAAGGGTTCCCAGATAAGGTTTTAAATGCTATAAGTATAGAGGGTCATAACAGGGACTAGATCTACCCTTTAACCCAACTGCTCCCCACCTACAACAAGAAGGAAAATAATGAAGATTTGAGACGGGGAAGGGGAGAAGACAGACACATCGTTCATAAGCATATATACAAGCCAACAGTTCTCCTCAGTAACAAAAAAACAAAAGGGTGGGATTATTACCTGTATCTCCCTAAGCCACAGTAGTTATCCTGCCTCCTTTCTGCTCTAAGCATTCTCATTTAAGTGAATTACCCAAGTATAAAAATGGATTGGGGGTTGGGAGAAAAGACAGGGTAATTTACAGAACTCTTCGAAGACACAAAGCTTGGGTTCACATTCCAGCTCTGTGACTTTACCTGAAATGAGACCAAAGTATTTAACCTCTGCAAACTTTTTCCCACTTCTTTTATCAGGCTGCTTCAAAGAGCAAATATGATAAGGAATATAAAAAGGCTTATAATGAAAATGCACCAAATAACCACAGGCTGTGGTTTGCCACTGGGCCTAAACAATTCTAGACCACTGGATAGTATTCTAGTGTTCCCTCTCTAGACTGGAAATATTTTAAATTGAGAACAATTATTAGTTTGTTTGAAAGATTTTATAGTGCAGGTTTTGGCAGAATTTCTTAATAAGTAAGTTGATAACTACAATTCACAAGTTTCATTTGTATCCCAAGACTATCCAAATTCCCTTCAGACATGCTTTTATCATCAATAATACTTACACAGATCTGCCTTCCACATCTAGTTTGCCTGGATTGACCCCCTTTTTAGCAAGGATTGAGGTCACTTTTTCTACATCCCCCCTTTCTGCTGCTTTCATCAATCGGTCATCATATTTATTCCAATCTGCTGCATGCTACAAAAAGGAAAAAAAAAAGTAAATATGGCATACTACATTAGTTAAGATTTTTCTAAAGAAAGAAAAAAGAGAGAAAGGAAAGCAGTACTGCATAATACATCACTTATTTTCCAGTTGCATTCCAAATTTCCTTCTCCCTTCTGTGCTAACTTCATTAGGAGAGCAGAGTTATAAAATCTTCCCAAAACACATGATATACAAGAAACATTTAAAATTATACTTTTGAGGGAAAGCATGTTTCTTTTGTTCTCTGTCCAGTTCTCTTTGCCTTTGAGGCAAAAAAGGAAATCAATAACTACTGAACACCTACCCTGTACCAGGCACTAAAGTCCCAATCAACCCTAGTAAACTAAAATTATCATCTCCATTTAGCAGATAAGAAAAGCCAAGGCCCCAGAGACAGTAAATGTCTTAAGTGTTCAAAAGCCCAACCATGACTTCTATAGTTCCAAAATCAGTGTGCTTTTCCCATACCCTTTCAGATTTCAAATCACACTTTTAGATTTGGCTCTGGTTACATAGCTCCTAGGACTCTTAGATGCAGTGGAATTCTACATACATTTTAAGAAACTACCCCCCCCCAACACAGACATTTATTTAAAAAGTACTGTTGGAAATATATTTATGGAGGCAAATTGTATATATATATATATATACACACACACACACACACACACATTCTATACAGAAAGCAATTCATTATGTTTATATATTAGAATAAAATAAAACTTTTACATAGAAAAAACTAAAAATGACAGACTCTAAAGTATTAACTGCTTAACATCTAAAAATATTAAGATTACAAGTTACTTTCATTTTCTCCCTTTTTACATTCCACATGTATTGTTTTTATAAAAAATGTTTTTTATTTTAATAAAAATTCTGTGTATGTGTATTTAGATTAAAGGTGGGGGTTTTAAGAAGGATGTCTCATATAACATACATTTTAATCGTATCAAGGTTACCTCTAACTTTAGAGAAAATACATTCAAGGTATTCTGAAGCCAATAACCTAGATCTTTTCTCAATAAGCATAAATGTCAGAAGATAGAACTAAAATACATGTTACTTAAACAGGTGAGATTTTAGCCTTTTAAAATATTATACCAATTTACTAGTAAATTCTGTGCTAAATCCAGTATTATTTCTAGAACAAAAAAAGATCTGGATATTTTTCACTTAACTTACAAAATGAATCCTATGGCCACAAATACCCTAACAAATCTGAGAAAAAAACTGAATCACCTGTATATCCTCTACATGTTTGATCAATATAATTTTATATCTACTATTCCCTATAAACCAAAAAAGAAAAGTTAAAAAAAATCACCATCACTAACTTTCTTGTTAAACAAGTAATGTAAAATTAAATACTTGATGTAGAAAATGAATATGAAAACTGAATATGAAAAAAAGACAAATACATTAAAATTTTAACTCACTTCTGAAATTTAATATTTTAATGGAACCTGGTTCAAGTACCTACACAGATTTCAGAATTGTCTCTAAATTACTTAAATTTGGTGATGAACCTACTTCCTCCTAACTTCAAAAGTTTAAACTGCCAACTATGAGTACAGAATAACCCTACCTATGGGCTCCAAGTCTAAGCTACATTTTACGCATCACCTTTCTTAAGCTTTAAAACAAAAACAAAACAGTTTACTGACTCTAATTTGGGGAGTGGTCGTGGACATAAGCTTACAAGACATTGTGTTTTCAAATGCCTAAAGGATTAAATCATGTTTAACACACAAATGCTTGTTCTAGATTTGATTAGTCTATCCTTACAATTAAAACAATCTCCAGTTTATTTCCAAGTAAACTTGCTGGTGGAAAAAAGAGCCATTTAAATCACCACAAAGTTGTAAAAATCCAAAAATAAGGCTTTCTTTAAAGATAATTAAATGTGATTAAAGTCTCACATTATCATATGATTTTCAGTTCTACACCAAGCACCATTTTCAGCTCTGATTCACTGTCAGTTAACAGTAACACTGTACAATTATTAAGATTTTATCATGTGCTTTTTAAACCCAGAGAAAGAAAGAACTTTTGTTTACTATTACTAACCCCAATCTGCTAATCAACTTAATCAAGAAGAAAACAATAAAGCAAACCAAATTAATAAAACAGTAGTGCATTTTAAAAGAACACAGTTCAGAAAGTCTAACCAAGAATCTTTTGTTACACTAGACTACTGGGATACCTACTCTGTTCTTAGGAGTACAAGAAAACCAACAGTTCATCATAGACAGGATTTAGTTTCTTGTTGCTAATGGCAAACTACTTTGCATTAAGTTACAAATCTCTGTAAGCTCACAAAGCAAACTCTCAGACAAACTCCTGACAAGTGACTCAGTCCCTCACATGCTGTGCTACACTTAGCTTGGATCTCTAACGATATTTTCTTCGTCTTCAGGATCCTTCTCCGCCTTCATAACGCTCGAATATTATCTTCCTTGCAATGCAGAACTTGATTAAGAGCAGCCCCAAGTCAGGTACAGTAACTCTATCTATTTCTTATTCTTTGGAAGCTAGCTATCTTTCAAAGTTGTCCCTTTGAGGGACCCCACTGGAAAACTTGAACAGCACTCTGCATCCTGCTGCCTCAACACTGCAACACAGACGCTGCAGTGCATGATAAAACTGTCCACATCCGAATTGTCCGGTAAACAGCGTGGAGCCTGTCTCCCATTGGTTGAGTTCTACTTTAGATTCCATAGGACTTGACAGCTGAATGATAGAAAGGAGCAGCTAAGAATATATTGTAAATGCATGCTTTTCCTCTGAGTAATAAATTTCAGGTCTACTGGGGAAAATGACTCAAACATATTGTAAAACATGCTTATTATATAAAAACCAATTGTGTGACATAATGACAACATTTTAAGAGACAAATTTGGTTATTCCACAGAACAATATTTAAAACCAGTTTCAGTCTTAGGATCATCTAACATGAAGTTATAATAGCCCTGACAAACAGAATATAAAATTCTATTTTAAGCAAACGTGTCACATTTTAATTTAAGGAAACGCACACACAGTAACACTTTCAAATTTTCTCCATTTTATTTTGTACCCCTATCAGTCTCTCTGCATACAACCAGGTTTCAGCTTACAACTGCTGCCAGTCTGTCTCCTAGCATGTTAAATGAGAAGAGCCAGAGGCACTGCCAAAACATTAAATAGAATACATAGTGATGCATACTTTTCAACAAATTTTAAATTTAACTCTGTACTTTTAGTTTCCAAGTTTAGCACCCTGCCTAATATAACAAGTAAATATTTTATCAGTGAAAAGTCAAATTACCTGGATTCACTGGATGAAAAAAAAAACTGGTTAAACACTAAAGGAGGCAAATACACATTAGACAACGAGCTAGACTATTAAAAAAATCTCCATTTGGGGACAAAGCAGATAACTTCTCTGCATTCTCTACGATAGCATACTTGTATCAACATTTCTTACATTACCAAGGCCGGTGCAAATTCAGGGTGGTTTTTTTGTGGTGGCTGTTGTTGTTGTTTTTTAACCATGTTCTCATTACCACAATAGCATGAGAATAATTTACACTTCCTCTAAAAAGACACATTTGTGAAAATTGTTTCATGGGAATGCAAAACATTCCAACACAAGTGTTTACAGGAAGGAAGTAGCTGCTATATTATAGATCATGCTGCCAGTTAAAAATTCTGCTATGTACTTCCACAAGAAATCTGTTTCCTACTAAATTTACAACATTAGGCCCATATTCTAATTATAAAATATATAAGGGTCATATACCATATCTCATTTTTGAAACAATGATTGTTTTTTCCCCCAAACCACGAGATATCACAATGGATTCATTTGGCTAAACCCAGAGACTCCGCCCAGTCTGTGTCACCATTCTTTGAGGAAATCTTTGTTAGAACTCAGACCTTGTCCTTTGGGTAACAAAGCAAGCACATTCTTTCTAGAAATAGGACAGCAAAGGCGAAGGAAGAGGGAAAACAGTAACAAATAACTAAAGCCATATAAGGAGCGGCCCATGTTCAGGAGATAGGATTGTGTGTCCTAGTATTATGGATGTCCTGAGCTGCCTGCCACCTCCCCAGCCTCTGTGGCTTAATCTTCTGTGCCTGCTTTCACACCTTCCTTCATAGCTATTTCCCAAGAGCCCTACGCAAATTCCCACCTTTGCTGTCCCCTGTACCTATAAGGTTCTTCCCTCCCCTACTTTCAGGTTCTTCTCCAATGTCACTTCCTCAGAGAGGGCTTCTCAGACCTCTACATCTAAACGGCCCCGTGTCCCACTCTACCCCACCACTCTTTATCCTTGCACCGTTTTACTTTTCTGCAGGGAGCTCATCAGTATCTGCCATTACATCAGATGTTTATCTGTTTATTAGCTTACTGCCTGTCTCCTCAGCTCCCCTCTAATTTGACTATATCTAAGGTTTCTTCTGTGTCTGGTTTGAAACTATAAAACTAATTTTTCAATAAGTAACTTGGTAGTCAGTCACTAGATTCTCACCCATCTTAAGAACCAGAATCCACATCTGCTTCATGAATCCTCTTTCCTCTTGGACTAAATTGTTAAATAGGCTAGATCTGTAACACACATTTACCAGCAACATTGTTCCCCAGTAAACTATCCACATTCAGATAACAAGTATCTATTGACCTGAGATGAGGGCAGTTAGCCCATGAGTGGTTCAGCTGATTGCAACTGAGCAAACAGATCCTACTGCTCATGGTCGATAAAAGATCCTTCTTCACACATACTCCTGCACATCCCACACCGCAAGTCTTTCTTTACCAGCCTACAAATCCACTGGACTCCTCAAAAAGCACTTTAGTTAAAACACATGTTCTTCAGAATTTTGCCTGACTCAAAAGTCTACCTGCTGTATGTATACTAGTAGGATAATTTATTTATACTTTCTAGGCACCAGTGCTCTCAACTACAAAGCAAGGATAACAATAGAGAACCTATATGTGTAAAATCAAATAGCTAATAGATATGAATGATCTCAGCACCATGCATGGTAGATGTTTATGCCCAAAAATGGTAGGCACTGGCGAGAGTCACAGGTGCTCCTGCTCCTGGGTCAGAGTTACTCTTAAAAGAAAAACTTCAGCTGAATTAAATTTAAAGTTGTTTAATTGAGCAATGAACCATTCAGAAATCAGGCAGCCCACAAAATCACAGCAGATTCAGAGAGACCCCAGGGATGCCTTGTGGTCAAAACAAATTTATAGATTAAAAAGGGAAGTGATGTGTAGAAATCAGAAGGGAGGTACAGAAATAGCTGGATTGGTTACAGGATGGCGTTTGTCGTATTTGAATACAGTTTGAACACTCAGCAGTGTATGAGTGGTTGAAGTATGTGACTGCTGGGATTGGCCAAGACTCAGCTATTGTTACGGGCGCATACTCCTAAATTAGGTTTTCAATCTTGCCTATCTATTAAGTTAGGTTATGGTTCATCCACAAGGACTCAAATATAGAAGTACAGAGTCCTTCTCAAGGCATATTTAGTTTGCTTTAATATCACTAATCAGAAAAACACTCTTTAAAAAATTAACAAAGAAGTGGCTGGGTGCGGTGGCTCACGTCTGTAATCCCAGAACTTTGAGAGGCCAAAGCAGGCGGATCACCTGAGGTCAGGAGCTCGAGACCAGCCTGACCAATGGGGTTTAGTAGAGAAACCCCGTCTCTATTAAAAATACAAAATTAGCCAGGCATGGTGATGCATGCCTGTAATCCCAGCTACTCCAGAGGCTGAGGAAGGAAAATCGCTTGAACCCGGCAGGCGGAGGTTGCAGTGAGCCAAGATCGCAGCATTGCACCCCAACTTGGGCAACAAGAGCGAAACTCCATCTCAAAAAAATAAAATAAAATAAAAAAATAAAAATCCAACCAAACCTCTAGAAGTAACAATTTACAAGAAATACAGGGGACAGAGAAATATAATAAACTATATCACAAAGATTGCATCACAGGATGCAAACAGAAAGATCTACCATCGAGTAAACCATGGTTTCTTAAACAAAATACGGCAAGATTAAAAAGACAGAATTTAACCTATAAATTAAAAGTGACTTCAGAAACCTATCAAGCAATCATAAGTCACAGAACTTAAGTACCCTGATTAAACAAACTATATTTATAAAAATAAAACAATTGAGAAAATATGACTACTGACTGGATATTGGATGGCATTAAAGAATTATAGTAAACTGAGATTTCTGATGTGATAATCTTATAATTATTTCTGAAAATCCCCATGTTTTAAAAATACATACTGAAATATTTTTAGATCAAATGAATCAAGTGATAAGATGCCTGGTATTTGCTTCAAAAATAATCAAAACAATCAGAGGGCAAACCTAATCTAATAGCACATTTAAAAGATTATACACCATGATCAACTGTATAATCTTTATTCCTGGAATGCAAGGACGTTTCAATATATGAAATTCATTGTAATATACCACCTTAATAGAATAAAGGACAAAAATCACAATGATCATATAAGTTGATATAGAAAAAGCATTTGACAAGACTCAACATCCTTTCATGGTAAAAATACCCAAAAAACTGTGACTAGAAGGAAACTGCCTCAACACAATAAAGACCATATATGAAAAGCCCACTGCTAACATTATACTCAACTATGGAAAACTGAAAGCTTTTCCTCTAAGATCAGGCAGAAGACAAAGATGCTGCTCTGGCCATTTCTATTAGCATAGAACTGGAAGGCCTACTCAGAGAAATTAGGCAGGAAAAAGAAATAAAAGACATCCAAATCAGAAAGGAAGAAGTTGAAATCATCTCTGTTCTCAAATGCAATGATCTTATTTGTTAAAAAAAAAAAAAAAAAACTCTAAAGATTACAGATACAAACATACTCATACACACAAACAAAACAAAAACCTGTTAGAATAAATTCAGCAAAGGTGTGGGAGAGAGTACACAAAAATCAGTTGCATTTCTATATAATAACAATGAACAATCCAAGACAAAATTAAACAATTCCATTTACAATACCTTCAAAAATAATAAAATACTTAGGAATAAGCCTAGTCAATTAGGTGAAAAATTTGTACACTAAAAATGACAAAACATTTTTGAAATTAAAGAAGTGACAAATCTAAAGACATCCCAGGTTCACAAATTTGGAAAACTGAATACCGTTAAGATGTCAATACCACCCAAGGCAATCCAGAGATCAGTGCAATCCCTATCAAAATCCCAATGGCATTTTTGCAGAAATAGAAAAGTAAATCCTAACATTCACATGGAATCTCAAGGGACTTCAAATAGGCAGTCTTGAAAAGGAAAAAGAAAGTTGAAGACCTCACACTTCCTGATTTCAAAGCATATTATGAAGCTATAGTAATCAAAACAGTGTCATAATGGCATAAAGACAGACATATAGACCAGTGGAATAAAGTAAACAGCCCACAGATAAACCCTCATGTAATAGTCAAATGATCTTCAACAAGGTGCCAAGAGCACTCAATAGAGAAAGAACAATCTCCTCAACAGTGTTGGGAAAACTGGATAGCCACATGCAAAAGAACAAAGTTGGACCTTTATCTTACATCAGATGCAAAAAATGACTCAAAATTGATTGAAGACCTAAACATAAGACCCCAAACTATAAAACTCCTAGAAGAAAACACAGGAGAAAACTTCGTAAATTGGATTTGGCAATGATTTCCTGGATGTGACACCAAAAGCTCAGCTACAAAAGCAAAAATAGATCAATGAAACTATATCAAACTTCTGTGCAGCAAAAGAAACAATCAACAGAATAAAAAGGCAACCTACAGAATGCGCAGAAATATTTGCAAATCATATATCTAATAAGGGGCTAATACATAAATTACATTTTTAAATTACTATGACTCAACAACAACAACAACAAAGATTTTAAAATGGGCAAAGGACTTGAATAGAAATTTCTACAAAGATAATATACAAATAGCCAACAGGCATAAAAAGATATGTTCAATGTCACTAATCATTAAAAAAAAAGCAAATCAAAACCACAGTGAGATATAACCTCACACTCATTACGAATGCTAACATCCCAAAATAAGGAATAAGAAAAGAACAAGTGTTAGCAAGAATGTGTAGAAATTAGAACCCTTGTGCACTGTGGGGATTGTAAAATAGTCCAACTACGATGGAACACATATGGTGATTCCTCGAAAAATTATAAATAGAACTACCATATGATCCAGCCATCCTACTTCTGGGTATATATCCAAATGAGTTGAAAGCAGGGTCTCCTAGAGATATCTGCATATCCATATTCATAGTAGCATTATTTATAATAGCCAAGAAGTGGAAATAATCCAAATGTCCATTGATGGCTGAATGGATAAACAAAATGTGGCATATGCATACAATGGAATACTATTTAGCCTTAAAAAGGAAGGAAATCCTGTCACATGCTACGACATAGATGAATCTTGAGAGACATTATGCTAAATGAAATTAGCCAGTCAAAAAAAGACAAATACTGTATGATTTACTTACATGAGGTACCTAAAGTAGGCAAATTTACAGAAACAGAAAACAATGGTAAATATCAGGGCTGTGGCAGGAGCAGAGGTGGGGAGCTATTGTTTAATGGGTATAGAGTTTCAATTTTGCAAGATAAAGTTTTAAAGATCAGTTGCATAACAATGTGAACATACTTAACACATGAATTTAAAATGGTTGACAGTAAATTTTTATGTTTCCAGTATAATTAAAAATAATAATAAAAACATAAGTGCAATCTCTCACAATACTATCTTTTTTTTTTTTTTTGAGACGGAGTTTGTTCTGTCACCCAGGCTGGACTGCAATGGCACAATATCAGCTCACTGCAGCCTGCAACCTCCACCACCCAGGTTCAAGCTATTCTCCTGGTTCAGCCTCCCGAGTAGCTGGGATTACAGGTGCACACCACCCACACCCGGCTAATTTTTTTGTATTTTTAGTAGAGACAGGATTTTGCCATGTTGGCCAGGCTAGTCTTGAACTGCTGACCTCAAGTGATCTGCCCACGTCGGCCTCCCAAAGTGCTAGGATTACAGGTGTGAGCCACTGTGCCCGGCCAGCCTATTGCATGATTAATACTAACAAATATTAATTTTTTTAAATCAATCAGGGGTTTGTGAGTATAGATAAAACAAGATTGGCCACAGGTTAATAACTGTTAAAGCTGAGTTACAGGTTCATGAGAGTTCATTATAGTAAACTATTCTCTCAAGTTCTGTAATTTCATTCACCGTTAATAAAATGGCTGATGTATACATATTTAAACTGCAAAACATCGTTATCACCAATGCCTTTCACTGAGTCATCAATGTGGCAGGAAAAGCAGCACGTCCTTTCCACTCTAATCCTTTAACAAAAGATACCTCTCTGCTTCAAAAGAAAGTATTAACATATCAACATATCTTGGTGAGTCCACAGTCATATACTTACAAGGCAAGCCCCATAATATCAAATGAAAGCCTTCTAAAAAGAAGCAGTAAATTTTTTGAGTGGTATTAATGTTTACCATATATTATAACAAGTAAATTTCTACAGTCAGTTATTATGTTGGTTTGAAAAAGAGACATTCATCCCATTCAGAAAGCAGCAAGCCAAAGTATCTATGGTAAAAGACAAAATATAGTTGTTTCTAGAGAACAAACATTTTAACACAAATCAGTTATTTCACCTGGTAGATCTAACTGGATAACGTTAAACTCTAAATCAACATAAAAGAAATCACAAGTTTTGACATTGACTCTCATATTAATATCAATTAGAAATTTGTAACTATTCCAGATATATAAAATTTGAATTTGAAAAGTAATGTATGTTTAGTGTAGAAAGCCTAGAATACATTTAAGTGTATAAATGAAAAGAGATACCCCATAATTCCACCATGCAGAAATAACCATTATTAAAAACTTTACATCTAGACTCTTTTCTGTTAAAAAGTCTGAACAAGATTTATTTAAGCCTATGAGTCCAATACTGAATATTAATTTATTCAATATTTAAGACAGAAAGTCTCCTAAGAAATTTGTAGATGCAAATAAGTAAGTAGACTTTAACATATATGCAAATCCATATGAAATACCTTATACTGTTTAATGGCTAGTCAACAAATCATAGCTAAAATGATTAGGTAACTAGTTTTAGCCTAAAGGTAATTTATATAGGATGATAGCAAAACTTTGATAAAAAACTGCTTAAAGCCAAGAGGAGTCATCCCGAACAAAAGTATCTAATTCACTGATCTTAATAATTTTGGTGTCATGGATCCCTTTAAAAATCTAATGAGGCAGGGTGTGGTGGCTCTCGCCTATAACCCCAGCACTTTGGGATCACTTGAGCCCAGGAGTTGAGACCAGCCTGGGCAACATGACGAAACCCTCTCTCTACAAAAAATACAAAAAAATTAGGTATGGTGGCACACACCTCTAGTCCCAACTATTTGGGAGGCTGAGGTGGGAGAATCACCTAGTCCTGGGAAGTCGGGGCTGCAGTGAGCCAAGTTCGTGCCACTATATTCCAGCCTGTCTGTTACAGCAAGACCCTGTCTCCAAAAAATGAATAAAAATAAATAAAAAATAAATCTGAGAAAAGCAATGGACCCTCTTTTTATTTATAATTGCATATAAGCACTCTGTGAGATAGGAAAAACCAAACTTTTCCCAACTCTCACACTCACCACAAAATACTTCCGTGACCAAATGCAGAGAGGTTTTCCCCACTTACAGAGCAATTCTCCAGCACACAACATCTGGGTCTCCTACAATTTAACTCATTTTTGACACTAGCTACCTGGAGATAGTGTCAGATCGCACAGACCTACAGACTCAGTCCCATAAGACTGTCACTCCCACCCTTCAGATGCCAACTGCAAGCCCCAGCTTGTGACCTGTGCTTCTGACCAACTGCCTGTAAATCAGGGTTCCCATGACCCATGATTAATTTGCTAGAGCAGCTCACAGGACTCAGGGAAACACTTTACCTATGCTTACTCGTTTATTGTAAAGGATGTTACCAAGCTTGCAGATCGAAGCGATGCAAAAGGCAAAGAATGTGGGAAGGCGTGAAGGGCTTTTTTGCCCTCTCCTGGTTCACCATCCTCCAGGTGCCTCCACATGTTCAGCAACCAGGAAGCTCTCTGAACCCTGTCCTTTTGGGGCTTTCACGGAGGCTACATTGCATAGGCATGACTTTTTACATCACTGGCCATTGGTGATCAACTCAACCATCAGCCCCTTTCCCCGCCCCTGAGGCTGGAGTGGGCTGAAAGTTCCAACCCTCTAATCATGGCTTGGTCTTTCTGGAAGACCAGTCCCCATCCTGAAACTATCTAGGGGCTCCCAGTCATCTCATTAGCATACAAAAGGCACTCTTATCTCTCTGGAGATTCCAAGGGTTTTAGCAGTTGTTTGCCAGAAACCAGAAACAGGGATCAAATACATCTTTCTTGTTACATCATAATATCAAAAGCACATATTCAGAAAAATTTATATTTATTTTCAAAGGGTTCACTGACCTCCTTTGCACAATATAGAATCCATAAACCCCCAAAATAAAGTTTTAAACCCTAATATAAGGAGAGGCAGCAAAAAAATGTGTATTTTACATAATGTTTATAAAATAAGTACCAAAGAACTGCCAGAAGCCTGGATAATTCATTTGTTCAATAAAAATTAGGCCGGGCACGGTGGCTCACACCTGTAATCCTACCACTTTGGGAGGCCAAGGCGGGCAGATCACTTGAGGTCAGGAGGACAAGACCAGCCTGACCAACATGGCAAAACCATCTCTACTAAAAAAAAAAAAAAAATTACAACAACAAAATAATTACTAAACACCTATGCGCAAAGGGATATAAATATTTCACTCAACATTCAAATATGTATGATCAGTTGATAGTGCCAAGCCCCATTTACAGTGCTAGATATACCAGGGGAAAGAAAATAGACATGATACCTGGCCTCAAGCAGGTGACAGGAATTAAACCCAGTTACTTTCTTCAACTGATCTCAAAGTATAATAAGGCAGACAGATACATATATAAACATGCACAAAACAATTACAGTATACTATAACACCACCACAATAATTATGTGTGAAATACTGAAATAGTTCAAAAGAGGGAAAGTCAGAAAAGTTCTATAGAGATGACTAACCTATCTATTAAAAGGTAAGCAGAAAATCACCAGGTTTGAAATATCATCACAAATTTAGGAAACGACAAACACAACGTATGGCCTTTTATGGTCTACAAAGCACTTTATATTCATGATATATGTATCAATTAAAAGCTACATGCAAATGACTCAGAAACACATCTGCAACCCAGGCTCCTCTAAGCTCCAGGCATATATATATATATATCTCCATATACCTTCTTCATGATTCTTCTTGAGTGTTTTAAAAGTACCTACATGTCCCAAACCAAAAACATGCTCTTCCTCCTGAATTCTGATCCTACTCCAAGTTTCATTAACACAGCAAAGACACCAGAATCCATCTGGTTATCTGGTTGTGTGTAGACAGAAACCTAGATATTAATCTTGACACCTTCCTTTCCTTGGTCCCCATCACCAAATCCTGCTGATTTTACCTCCCCATCTTACTGAAATCCATCTGCTCATCTCCATGTCCATCAAAATTACCCTATTCCAAGTTAGTACCATCCCTCACCAGGATGGCTGCATTTATCTCCTAAATGGTTTGTTCTCGTTCATTCTAGCCCCTTTCCTTGTGTTCTCCACACTGCGGTCAGTAATTTTTCTAAAAAGGAAACCTAATCATACCACCACCACCACTTCCCTATATCCTGTCCCACCTCAGTTAAAATCCTTTCAGTAGCTTTCTATTGCTTGTAGGATAAATACAAAGCTCTTTAATGGAGTCCAAAACTCCCTGCACAGTGCTGCCCTCACTTGCCTCCTTATATCATACGGAAAGTTAACCCTGTTTCTCATTTTATACATGCAGAAATGGAGTCACTAGGAGATTAGGGGATTTGGTCTGCTATAAGGCAAATGTAATTAGTTGCAGAATGATTAAAGAATCCTGTTGTTTTGACTTCTTGTCCAGTGCTCTTTGTACTAGTTAAGCTATTTCCATTTCTCTAATCATCTGGAAAAAAATCTTCAATGTAAAAGTATCTTTTTAAAATTTCCACATAATAAACTTAGATATCCTTTATAGCAAAAAGGATGAAAACTTCCATATTTGCATATGCAAACTTTTATGAAGCATCTACTACTGTCAGGCATGGAAGACAGCCCAAGTCTCTCTTCCCATGGAACTTGATGTTCTAATGAAGAAAGATAAGTAAGCAACCAAGGAAAACAAACTATCACGTAAGAATAGGGAAGGAGAGCCGGGCGCAGTGGCTCACGCCTGTAATCCCAGCACTTTGGGAGGCCGAGGCGGGCGGATCATGAGGTCAGGAGATTGAGACCATCCTGGCTAACACAGTGATGTATTTTTAGTAGTCTCTACTAAAAATACAAAAAATTAGCCGCGCGCGGTGGCCGGCGCCTGTAGTCCCAGCTACTCGGGAGGCTGAGGCAGAATGGCGCGAACCCAGGAGGCAGAGCCTGCAGTGAGCCGAGATCGCGCCACTGCACTCCAGCCTGGGCGACAGAGCGAGAAAGAATAGGGAAGGAGATGTGATGAAAATGCTGAGAGTTGACTGTTAGGTTGGGTAACTGAAAAAGGCTGTTGTAAGAATGTGATCTTGACGGTGATAGCCGAGTGACAAGGAATTTACATCCCAGACAGTGGGAACAACTAGTGAAAGGAGCTTGGATGTCTGAAAGAAGGCCAATGTAGCTGATGCATAATGAGTAAGACAATCCCAGGATGAGATAAGAAGGCAGACACCACCAGATCTATAATATGGGATTCCTCAGTTTTATCGTAAACATTTTTCAAAAGGGACTTCTTGAAGGATTAAGGCAACTGTAGTTTCATGAAGTTCTTTTGGTCACTTTGGAATCAAGTCTACAAAAATAACTCATCCTGACATACTATTTTTTTTCACTTCCAAGAATTTATATTGAGCAATATTACCAGCTGAATCTTAACTTGCTTTGAAATGTTTATAAGATGGATCAATTACCTTAATATAATAGATATCTTATATACCTCACCCACTTCAAACCTAGAAATCTAAATAAACTTTACAATGAACCATGCTAAAAAAACAACCATAAAAATAGCACTCCCCAAAACAGAGTTTCATAAAGTCACCATCCTCCAGATAAGGCTCCAAGAAAAGAAAGTCTTCTCCAATGGGAAAAATATATATCCTAAATAAAACTAAACATCATTGATGTTTAGGCAAATTCCCCCAAAACACCTAATTAAAAAAGTACACAGGCTTCTATAGTACCCTATAATTACCAACATTCTCTGTTACACAAGCTCTATCACAATTCAAAACAGCAGACAGCAAAGCTTACGAAGCATAAACATTCCTTGAAGATTAGGCTGCACAATTAAGAACTGTTCTACAGTTCACTGGATTGATGATGGCTAGAAATATTTCCCCCATTCCATTTAGTCCAAAGGTTATTTATTACTCCCACTTACATAACAGCAAATTAGAGCTTATGTAATAGAAAAGGAAAAGAATGTTAAAATATACCGGGGAAACAAAAGCTGTACAGCCAGCTTCTTTCTCCCTGACCCCTGACTCTCTTCTCTTTATTATTTCCCTTATCCTTAGTTAATTATGCCTCATTCACTTCTGTTATCCTTCCACTGTATGATTTGAAAGTATGTAGTTTGGACTCAATGGAACAAACAGAAGAAAGGGAAAATTATATCCTATCAATCATTTTCCTGACCAAGGCAAGAACAGGCTTAATCTCACTTTACCGGATTCTTCTACATAAAAATATAAAGGACAAAAAAGATGATGATGTTTTAAATAATAAATCTAACCTCTTCAGCATCTAAGGTGGCCATGAAATCTGAAAAAAAAAATTGAAGAACTGGAGTCAGAAAGACTCAGAAACCACTGCTTTGCCAAGATTTCCTAACCACCCGGTTTGATTCTATTCTAGTCTGTTGTACAAATACCAGACTGTCTGCCCCTCCCTAATGCAGGTATTTGTTACTTTATTAGAACTGTCTGGGCACTTAAAACAGTTTATGTAAAATATAGACAAGATGTGGCTTCTCCACGTTTAACAGTTATCATTTGTACTGTAATATTACTTATTTTACCCTTCCTCAAGAGGAGATGCATTAAATTACTAAGTAAATATATACATAGATCTTAAACAGAACAAATTATAATGTGTATCATACAAGAATGAAGCTTTCAGGCTGGATAAGATTTTGTTTAATATTCCCTTAAAAATACTACACAATTGGTTATTTGGAAAAAAATAAATTTTGTTCCTTGGTATTTTTTGAAAAGTGTATTCGACAAGAGTTCTTAAAAAGCCTAAATGTCATAAGTAAAATTTTTTAAATATAAAGCTAAAAACCAAGGAGGGTCACTGTGCCTTCTATCCCTATATATACCAATGAACACAGTAATAGTTACGGTGAATTTTAACAAATATTTTTGCCAATGTTTGATATGTATCTCAAAACAGGAGAGTTTTAGAAAGCTATGTTTATTCTCAACAAAGTAAAAGGCAAAACAGATACACTTATTAAAGAGCCTCTGATGGGGTTTGATTACAATAAAAACAAACAAAAGATATTTTTGTACCTTTGGCTTTGTAAAGAAATATTAATTAAACAAAAATAGGTTCGCTACAACTCAAAAGACTCTTCAAGTACTAAACTGAAAACAAACATTACACTATTAGCCAATATTTTTATAATGTAAAATGGGAATTATAAGGTTATATATATAAAAGCAGAGGGTTACAGGAAAGCATATGTTTTTGTAAACATATTAAAAGTTAGCTGCTCTTCCTTTTATTTATTAAATGAATAATACTTCTGCACCAATGCATAACTTTCCCCCAAACACAGCTATTTCACACAGGATTTCCTTCCAGTGAGTCTTAATACATGTCTCCCATATTAAAAATACATGGCCAAATTAATAATGAGAAAGAATGTTTGTTCTCATATTTAGATCTATAATAAAAACACAGCATTATAAATAAGGATTATATTTCAAAATTGTTTAGAAAAAACCTCTTAAGTGTTGTATATACACAATTCTTAAACTTGAAGAAGAACCCTTCAAGTTAAGTCAAACTGTTATTTCTACTTTCCAAATGGGATATAAAGGAACTAATTTAAGGCGGTGGATGATGCAGTGGATGATGCAGCCACTATCCATTTCTTTCACTGCTATAAGCCCAGCCCTTTGCAATGTGATTGTGCCACTCCTGTCATCAAGAAATGACATTTATTTCCTCATCCGTTGAATCCTTGAATCCGGCCTGGACTTGTAACTTAATTTGACAAATACAATGTGGCAGAAGTGACCTTTGTAGGAGATCCTGCTGCTTCTGCTCTACTCTGGGAATGCTGCTAGCACACTGTGAACAAGCTAGCCCCCTTGAGGGTAGGAGAGCATGACAGAAAAAGAGCCCAGCCACCCAGCCACACCAGCAAGCATCATGTGCCAGACATTATCAGTGCTGCCATTTTAGACCATCCAGTCCTCGTGCAGCCACCAGACGACTGCAGCCACATGAGTGACCCCAGACAGACCAGACCAGCAGAACAACCATGTAGCAGAGTCCAGCCCAAATTGCTGACCTACGAAGTCATCAGCAAATAAAATAGTTGTTATAAGCCACTAAATTTAAACCTAGGACTGCCTGAATCTAGAGCCTAGATTCTCTCCACTAACTACAGCTGCAAGTATTCTTTGGTTTAGAAATACAAACATCTTACCTCTTGTAGTCTAATTCAATTTTATAGATATAAGAGCAGCCAAATTGAGAAATAATAGTTTATAATTTTTTTATCCATTATCTAAAAATAGGGGATGAGCTGGGAACAGAAATGTCTTTTTACCCTCCTAAAAGAAGGAAAATAGATACAATATTAATAATATTATGCTGATAAAATTTTATTAGAAAAAGTATTTTTCCTCTTTCCCAAAGATATGCAAGTATTCATTTAAAACCTAACAGTATTCATCTATGTTTTATCAATAAAAGCTGAACTCAGCATCTGATCTAAAAGACAATCTGAATGGCCATGCAATAAAAACTAAGCAGTTAATAATTTTTATTAATAAATTTGTGGCTTCAAACAATGAAACATGGCTGGGCACAGTGGCTTATGCTTGTAATCCTAGCATTCTGGGAGGCCAAGGCGGGCAGATCACCTGAGGTCAGGAGTTTGAGACCAGTCTAACCAATATGGAGAAATCCCGTCTCTATCAAAAATACAAAATTAGCCAGATGTGGTGGCGCATGCCTGTAATCCCAGCTACTCGGGAGGCTGAGGCAGGCGAATTGCTTGAACCCAGGAGGCGGAGGTTGCGGTGAGCCGAGATCACACTATTGCACTCCAACCTGAGCAACAAGAGCAAAACTCTGTCTAAAAAACAAACAAACAATGAAACACTGCTACTACTGTAATGTCTAATCAGTATACATTCACACTTGAATGGAAACACTAAACTAGGCATGGACCATAACAGAGCAAGAACCATAAGAGCCTTCTCTATGTGTAACCTTTAGAGTTTGGCAAACTTTTTCAGTAAAAGATTACATAGTAAGTATTTTAGACTTTGCAGGCCATGTGGTTTCTGTTTTAACTATTCAACTCTGCCACTGTAAACTAAAACAGCCATAGGCAATATGTAATGAATAAGCATGGCTGTTTTCCACTAAAGCTTTATTTATAAAAATGGGCAGTAGGCCACAGTTTGCCAACCCTTGTTTCAGGTACTCACTGAACTTTGGCAAGAAGACACCTAGTTTATTGGCTCTGATCAAGCTAATCTGCATGCTGCCTTCTCATAAGACCTACCAGAAAGTACTCTCCATACTCATATTTTACTATCTGCAAAATTGCACAATGTATATGTGATGGTTAAATTTTGTGTCAGTTTGGTTCTGCTATGGTGCCCAGCTGTTTGGACAGATACAAGCACAGATGTAACTGTGAAGGTATTTTGTAGATGTGATTAACATCTATAATCAGTTGAGATTACCCTCTATAATGTAGATAGGCCTCAATCCCTTAAAGGGCTTAAGGGCAAAAACAGGATTCCCAGAGAAGAAGCAATTCTACCTCAAGACTGTAACATGAAAATCCTGCCTGACTTCCCTGCCTGCTCTACAAATTTCAGATTTGCCAGTACCATAATCACATCAGCCAATTCCTTAAAATAAATTTCTTTATACACACACACACACACACACACACACACACATATATATCCTATTAGTTTTATTTCTCTGGATAACCCTGATTTACATACTAGGTTAGTATATCCTTACATTTAAAAAGGGATATACTCTGATTTTTTGGTACATCAACAGAAAGTTATGATATATTGTATTACTATTTGAAATTATTTATTCTCCTGCTTCCTTACAAGGTGAGAGAGAGAGACAGAGGAACGGGGGGGAGGGAGGGGGAGGAGGGGGAGAGAGGGAGAGAGGAAGGGAGAGAGGGAGAGGGAGAGAGAGAGAGAATGTGTGTGTGTGTGTGTGTGTGTGTGTGTGTGTGTGTGTGTGTGTGTGTTAGGAGTTGACATCCCTAGGTTATTGCTTTGGGGATCAGCCATGTGATATGTTTGGCCAATAGAATGTGAATAGAAGTGAGGTACAATGCATGTTACCAAAAGCTTTAAGCAGCAATCTGAGTTACAGCCAGCCTTCTTGCTGTAGTACTTTGTGAAGAGACTGGCACATATCTTACGAGGCCTGTTCCTTCAGCCTTGGTTCCCAAATGAGAAAAAGTCTGGAGCAGAGCCACAGGTCAGGGCAGAACTGAAGTTGAATCACGGTCTATAATATAAAGTTAGTGGGAAATATAAGTTTGTTATCTTGAGAAGCCACTTAAATTTGGAGGTAATTACTATAACATGGCTGAACACTGCAAAATTTGGTACCAAAAGTGGGGTGCTACCTTAACAACAGCTACCACCAAAAATAATTTTAAAATATGTGATATAGGCTTTGAAACCAGGTGGCAGAAAGCAAGAAAACTGTTACTGGAGAATGGAAAAATAGCAACCCACATAAAGTGGTGGTAAATAAAACTGTCACATAAAAAATTGAATAACTTGGCAAAAAGATTATAAAAGCTGAACTTTAGTTGTCATTAAGTAGATTTAATAAAGTACCATTAGATTAGCTCATTAAAGGAAAAAGGAATCCCCCAGTCATAGGAAGGAGGAAGGAAGGGAGGAAGGAAGGGTAGAAAGAAGGGAGGAAGGAAAGAGGGAGGAAGGAAGAAAGAGAAAGAGAAGATGAAGAGAAGGAGAAGGAGAAGAGAAGAGAACAGAAGAGAAGAGAAGAGAAGAGGCTCAGAAAAGGGGCCTATGTGCAAGTAAGGATAAAAAAAGAGAGAACCTGAAATTCCTGGACTTGCAAGGTAGAAACTCCCAACTATTTCCCATTTCCAACAAGTAAAAAGGGTTTACAAAGGCCAATTATGACATAAACCCAGGGCAAAGACCAAATCATAAGTGTAGCCATCATAGTGTCTAAGACCTTTGAATTAATGCTGCCCCCAGTAAATCCACTCAGTGGAACAAAATGGCTTGGTGGGGGATTCCCCCGACAGGCAGACTAAGAATGTGGACCCACGGAAGCTCAATAAGCTCAAGATACCTGTACTGAAAACCAAAATAAAATGCACATCTCAACGAGTTGAGGATGTAGCTACTGGCACATGGCTCTGACTGAAATCAAATAGATAAAAAGAAAAAATACAACCACCAAAACATCATTCTGTTTGAATTAAGGAAACATTATTCTTCTAGATTACCTTTGGGCCCTCGATTTTCTATAGGCAAGAAGTGGGTTGAGAAAGGTGTTCAACCCTTATAACACTCCCTGACCAAGAAGAGCATATCCTCCAATACTCCATTCAAAAGTAGACAAGAATGATATATTAAAGGAAACACCTTACAGAGTACCCACCCAAGAATCATGGAAAACAACAAACTGGGTGAATAATCGAGGAAAATCCCCTAGGGCCAAGAAAAGTTACCCTTCCTACATTTATCCAGTAAGATTTTCATTGCTAAGGACCCACAATTGTTATGTGCTTCCTTTCTTCCCCCTTATTTATTTATAAATTGTTTGAGATACAGGGTGATATGGTTTGGATCAGCGTCCCCACCCAAATCTCATGTTGAATTGTAATCCCCAATGTTGGAGGTCAGCCTGGTGAGAGGTGACTGGATCATGGAGGCAGATTTCTCCCTTTGGTGCTGTTCTCATGAGATCTGGTTGTTTAAAGCATGCAGCACCTCCCCTCTTTCTCTTCCTCCTGCTCCAGCCATGTAAGATATGCCTGCTTCCCCTTCACCTTCTGCCCTGATTGTAGTTTACTGAGGCCTCTCCAGAAGCAAATGCCACTATGTTTCCTGTCCAGCCTGCAGAACAGTGAGCCAATTAAACCTCTTTTCTTTATAAATTACCCATTCTCTGGTATTTCTTTATAGCAATGTGTGAATGGACTAATACACAGTGTCTTGCTTTGTTGCCCAAGCTGGAGTGCAGTTGTATGATCATGACTAACTGCAGCCTCAAACTCCTGGGCTCAAGTGATCTTCCCACCTCAGCCTCCCAAAGTGCTACTACAGGCATGAGCCACCATGCCCCACCCATTCTTCCCCTTTCTTAACAGGAATGTTTATTGTGGATATCCTGTCTCTGTTCCACTACTGGGAGAGATGGATGGCAGAACTGGTATTTTAGTTCATTGATCTCTGGATCAAGAAAATCTACATAGATAAAAGACGTAGAAATCCTAAAGAGGTTTAGACTTCAAGACTAATGTTATTGAAGGAAATTCTTAGAGTATTTTCCTTGAGGAAGAGATAAATATATTTTGTATGCCGAAGCAAAGTAAGTCAATATTTGTGATCAAGAGGACAAACTGTGGTAGATTATATTACTGTTTGGTATTTACCAGCCCTGTCTTTGAAGAATATGCGCCCCTGCACCTCACTGACTCTGCACCTGACCATGTGACATGCTTTGGCAGTCATGAAGTACTCCACTCCTGAGCAGAAGATTTAACAGTATCACAAGTTACAGCCAGCCCTGAATTCTGCTCACTACCATGAAAATGGCAGGTAGAGACAGAGGATGCTCCATCATTCTGGATCTTAGGATGAAAATGTGGAGTGCAGCCACTTGCACAGTCAGCCCAAAGCCTACATGTGCCATAATGCTGACAAACCACCAAGATTTGGAGATTGTTTCTGCAGTGAAGTTGATTAATACAGAAATCAAATGAAACAAAAGGTTAAAGGGGGAGGAATGGCGTTACATACAAGTATAATTCTGGTAGTTGAATATAGTGTGAGATGCCTTAGGTGGCAAAATGAGTACAGTTAGTGAGGTAAAGAACACCCATTCCCATTCTGTTTCTAGAATGGCTATGGGTGTGGGTAAATATAGATTCTTTAAAGGATAAATCAGTTCAGTTTGGTTGTTGGATGTGATGGGTGGCAAAATATAAAACTACAGTTGCGGATGGGCGCGGTGGCTCACGCCTGTAATCCCAGCACTCTGGGAGGCCGAGGTGGGCGGATCACAAGGTCAGGAGATCGAGACCATCCTGGCTAACACGGTGAAACCCCGTCTCTACTGAAAAATACAAAAAAATTAGCCGGGTGTGGTGGCGGGAGCCTGTAGTTCCAGCTACTCGGGAGGCTGAGGCAGGAGAATGGCGTGAACCCAGGAGGCAGAGCTTGCAGTGAGCCGAGATCACGCCACTGCACTCCAGCCTGGGCAACAGAGCGAGACTCCATCTTAAAAAAAAAAAAAAAATTACAGTTGCAACCCTAATAAACTTTTATTAACCCAGCGCTTTGCACAGTCCTCAACTATAATCAACACAGGCTTTTATTACCATCTTCATAAAAAGAAAAGAAACTTAGAGTAAGTTCAGTCACCTGCCAACATTACACAGTTACCAAGGAATAGTTAAAACTCAAACCTGAGATTATCTAATTCTAAACTTTAAATTTTTTCTATACCATGCTGTCAAAAAACAAGGGTACAGATTATCTGGTAAACATTCAATTAAAGTGGTTACCTGATTTTATACCATTTGCCCATTAGATGCAAAAGAAAGGTGATTCCATGAACTCAGTTCTAAGTCTGAATCCTATTTAAAAACATTCTGTATCTCTATTCAGTAAGTTCTCTTAAATTTAGACTATACTAATTCAGAATTCTGAAAACTCAGATAAGGGATGGCCTTTTCGATATGAAAAATATTTCCCAGGCAAATTAATAATGCATTCAAATGATGGGTGATGCAGTTTGGGCATTTTAAACACTTTATAAACCCCTTAACGGCCTTCAAACTCCTTATATTTACTATAAATGTCATTTTTATTATACAATAACATATAGTAGAAAAATAATACTAATACAAACTCAAAAAAAGAGGAAAGGAAGGCAAGAGGGAAGAAAGAGGGAAAAGACAATCTAGCAAAATCACTTTTTTTTTTTTTTGAGACAGGATCTCACTGTGTTGCCCAGTCTGGAGTGCTATGGCACCACAGTAGCTCATCATGGCCTCGATCACCTAGGCTCAAATGAGCCTCTCACCTCAGCCTCCTGAGTAGCTGGGACTACAGACATGTGCCACCACACTGAGCTAATTTTTTTATTTTTAGTAAAGAAGAGGTCTTGCTATGTGGCCCAGACTGGTCCTGAACTACTGAGCTCAAGCAATCCTCCTGGCCTCCCAAAGTGCTGGGATCTGGCCTGCAAAACCACCATTAAAACAGTAACTTTATTTTTTGTTATACGTCTTTTCAAACTTCTTTTCAATATCTAGACATACATTAAACTTTTAAGTCAAAATGAGAACATACTATACACATATTCCACTTTAAGGAATATTCTTAATATGAGTTCACTGGAATTGCTTACTGATGAATATTCCTGACTGAGCATTTCAAAGCTCATTAAAATCTCAATCTTTCTGGCTCCCTCTGGTGGCAACTAAGAGAAGCTATTTTTTTCTTCAATTCAGTTTGAAAAAAATTAAGGTGGCACCACTCAGAAGCACTAACTTATCATTACTAAAAACATCTTTAAGAACCTATCTGAATATAGAATTTGTCCAGAAAGAAAAAAATGGACAATTTTTGAGTGAATTTCTATTAACCAACAGGGATTTGACATCAGAAAAACCTGGACAGAGTTCCTGACTTTACATTTGTTTGCTAGTTTACCTTGATCAAGTTACTTAGTCCCCCTGAGCGTCAGTTTCCTCATTTTAAAAATAATGCTAATAAAAACCACTTCATTTGTTATTAGAGTTAGGGTTAATATATGTGTACTCTGAAAATGCTCCACAGTACTGACACAGAAAAACAGTAAACAGCAGGTGCAGCGGCTCACGCCTGTAATCCTAAACTTTGGAAGGCCTAGAATGGAGGGTCGCTGGAGCTCAGGCATTTGAGACCAGCCTGGGCAACACAGTAGACTTTGTCTTCACAAAAAATTAGCCAGGCGTGGTGGTACACATCGGTAGTCCCAGCTACTCAGGGATACTCTTATAATAGACTTACTGTTCTTAAGACCAAAGTCCTTAATGACGTCTAAGATCCTCCATGGTCTCACCCCTCCTTACCTCTAAAGTATAATCTTGAAATGGGTACTCTCCCTCTAGCCTCCAATCTCTTTTCATAGCGAAGTTCTTCAAAATTACCAAGTTCCCTCACAGAGTACCAAGGTACAGTGCTACTCCCTTTGTGCTTCTTAATCCTAACTCATTTTTCAGATCTCATCTCAACTTTTTCCTTTTTTTTTTTTTTTTGAGACGGAGTCTCGCTCTGTCGCCCAGGCTGGAGTCCAGTGGCGTGATCTCGGCTCACTGCAAGTTCCGCCTCCCAGGTTCACGCCATTCTCCTGCCTCAGCCTCCCGGGTAGCTGGGACTACAGGTGCCTGCCACCACACCCGGCTAATTTTTTGTATTTTTAGTAGAGACGGGGTTTCATCATGTTGGCCAGGATGGTCTCGATCTCCTGACCTCATGATCCACCCGCCTCGGCCTCCCAAAGTGCTGGGATTACAGGCGTGAGCCACCACGCCTGGCCTTGAACTTTTTCAAAGAAACTTCCTCTGACTCCCCAGATTTTGTCAGGCCCTCCCTGTTATATATTCTGGTATATCTCTACTTCGTACACTTATTACATAGAGCTGTAGCTTTATATTTTAAGTGTGTTAGCTTTCTAATCCTGTCTCCCCCCACTTTTCTGTCTACAAATTTCTCAAGAGCAAGGAGTACATGTTCGAGCTTAGCACTCTATTTGTCTACATAGAGTAGGCACTTAAGTATCTGTTGAGCAACTGAATAAACTGAAATTAACAAATACTGCAATTAAAGAATTCTTTCTAAACCTACTTCACATAAAAGATGGTCATGGAAATGTAAAATAATATTCCAAATACTATGCTCCATATTTCTTCTCAGGCTATCTAGTGTTCATAAAGGCTGATAGAAAATAATACTCAGAAATATATTTAACCCATACTCACAGAAAAAGTTACACCCTTCAGAGAAGAAACTTTAAGAGCACAGAACCTAAATATATAATGATAGTCCTTTAAACATCTCAGTTTTAATTTTTTTTCAAATTTTAGTACATATGTGGTTTGCTTTCTGTAGCAAATATCTAACTGAAAATGTGTCTGAAAATGGAGTGTTTTTAACTGTACTACACAGTTTTACTTTTCAAGGAAAACTGGTGAATGAACTAGTACAGCTAACAATCACTCGCTAAAAGGTGTGCTTCATGGCTTCCTTGGAAGGTATGCACTGAACTATTTTAAACCAAGGCACACTTATAATTGCCTCAAAGAGTGTGACCTTTTTATAGATTAAACTCTTTCTCTATATAGTAGGCATCCCCAAGCACATAGTAAATTTTCATCCCAAATGGCTTTGTTCTCTATTCATCTGCACCAAGCCAGAAAAAAAAAGATATCTAGAAATCCCCAACCAAAGAAAGTTACAAAGTTTGCAATACTCTTGCCCAGAAGTTTGAGACCAGCCTCAGCAACATAGCAAGACTCTGTCTCTACAAAAAAAAAAAAAAAAATTTAACTAGCCAGGTATGGTGGCAAGCACCTTGTAGTCCTAGCTACACCAGAGGCTAAGTTGGGAGGATCACTTAAGCAAAGGAGGTTAAGGCTGCAGTGAGCCATCACCATGCTGCTGCACTCTAGCCTGGGCAACACAGCAAGATCTCAAAAAAAAAAAAATCTTCGTTTGATGGAATATTTGATAGATTTATCTGATAGATTTTTGGTAAATCCTATGACTCCAAAACAGCAATTATTTTTCCCCAAAAGCTGCATAATGATATAAAAAATCTAAAAATTAATTTCTTCCCCTGTTAGGTTAAAGGAAAATAGAGTTTAAAATATAGCTCATATTTATAATAGAATAAAATCCTTGAGGATCATCTTGTCCAGGAAAAGTAAATATTGGTACTATATGTGCCCTCCCTCCCATGGTGAATATGGATAAATCAAGCTTAGCACTCTTTCCTCTGACCAAGAATGTCCACAGACCTCCCAGGTTCCTTAGGATATGGCACTACTCAGTAATATAAGAAAAGCATAGTCATTTTAATTGTCAAAGGGAACATTTGCCATCAATGGTTGTGAAAGGAAGTAGCCAATACTTTAGGAAAACTTCCCTTCTCCCTGTCTGAAAAGAAAATCTTTCAACTTTCACAGTGTCCTTCTAACCTTAAGGAGGACCTCTCATGGTGGATCTCTTAATTCTCCAGTCTCTAGGAAGGCAGATAGAACTGTGATCTTATTAATAATATGTTTCCTATGTTATCATTGAACCAAAAAATAAAAACCAAGAGTGGGGATACAAATGTACCTGAGTGAAAGCAGAGGTATATTAAGAAGGAAGGTTTTCAAGAATTCTGGCACTGGCCATGCAGAAACAATCCAAGGAAGATGAAGGCGACACCAAGTCATCAAGATAACTTTGCTAGAAGAAAGAACCTGAAATGTACCCAACACATAGAAATGATAAACACTGAGGTGATGGATGCCCTAAATATCCTGACTTGATCATTACCCACTCCATGAATGTAGCAAAATTTCACAGGTACCCCATAAATATATACAAATATAATGTATCCAAATAAATAAATAAATAAAAATGGGATGACTTTAAACATCTGAATCTTATTCATTCCCACTGTTCTGCTTGCATCTTCTCTAAGCAAGCTTCCAACAAACTTGCTTTCCTACAGGAAGTGACTGGATGGAAGTATCCAGCCCCTAAACCAGCTATTTAGTTCTCATTATACATTAATAAAATGATTTAATACATCAGTGAACTTTCAGGGTAACTCAGCACCCCCAAATCCAATCAAGATTGAGTTTCTGCTTAAATAAGCATAAGGTAAATTTACCAAGATGACAAAAGGCCTTCACCTGGCAACAAAGGATTGGCTCTTCCCCAACAAAACTTCTCAAACTTTTACAAGATGTATATCTGAGCAGCATGGAGGAAATTGTTTAAAAAAAAATGTAAACAGCACTGATTTTCTCATTAGCTTAGAATTAGAAGCATATTCTTTGCTATTCGTGTATAAAACTAAATCTCTCTAAAATACAGATCTTAAAAATATGTATTCACGACTTTCTCCACTTATTTTCATTTCATTTGGCTTTACTTTTTCTTCTGAAATAGAAATAAGATCACAAAGCTCAGCATCCTGAAAAGGTTTTAAGATCACATGTTAAGAAATAAACACTCAGAATACTAATGAAAGGGAATAGCCGAAAAATTAACAGCTATGGGATGTGGTATTAGAGAAGACATTTTTTCTTTATATGTTCGGTACCTTCTAAATTTTCTACAATAAATATTGTTCTGTTCAGCCTCCTTTATTTGGAAGGAACAAGTACCTGTCCAATTTATTTGTGATTTATCACAAAGTTATACAAAGAATCACAAAGGAAATCTCACAGGAAATAATGGGAACCACAACTGAGCTGAGCCCTATAAAGTCAGGAGCTAGAGGGTGGCCTGGGAGTCAATTCTGTTCTGGGAATCTCAAGCAGAGGATGAGTGGTGATGTGGCCAGTGCTCAGCCATGCACGCTGCTCAGAGCTCTAATCCACATGCTCTTCCACTCTCACTATCAGCTGGAAACATTCTTTTTTGCCTTCATCTTAAACTCTAAATTCCTTTCATTTTAAGTATAAGGCTGTAGTATAAGAAGGTTAGAAAAATATGCAGCTTTTTCTTAAGGGTTAAATTTAATGCTTTTTAGATTATATAAGGAATACATAATCGCAGCTTTTAAAAAGATCCAACAGTATAAAGAAGGGTATATAAAAAGGAAAACCTCCTTCCGCCCATTCCTCTTCCCTGGCATATTTTGGGGAGAAGAGAAAGTAATCTATGACAGAAAAATTTATAATTAATGCATGTTTCCAAAAATCACAAAAATATTATTTAATAAACCACAATATCCTATAACTTTTTTCTCATTTTATTAAATTAAAAATTGCTGTATAACCAGAAAATAGATAATCAAAAAGCAAAAATAGTTCACTTTAAAATTACTTGATACTGCATACTGCATAAAAAATAAGAAGCACTTTAAAATTGATTGGTTCTATTTTAAATAGACATTTTTATTAACTTTACTGTCCATGGAGTAGATACGTTTACATTAACAACCTATTTATAAATTATATAAAATGCCTCATCATTGTAGAAATATTTCAATTCCTATTAAACTTTTTATTTGTCTCGTTCAGGTTTAATTGGTTAAAATTAAAATAATTGTGAAACTGTTCTCAAAAACTAAAAACACCAAATAAACATAAGGCAGTGATGTTTAATGTATTAATTACTAAATATCTTAAACTGTTCTAGAACTTCTACTTAATATAGCCAGTAATCAGTGGTTTTCAAACCTTTCTAATTTTAAAAATTTTCTTAAAAGCCTTGAAATGAAGAAAGAAAGAAGGGTGGCTCTGTTTGAAAGTAGGGCCTCTTCACTGCCTATATTCTTTCCCTGAACCACCTAAGGCTCTTCACAGAGCAGCTCAAAGTGTAGTAGACAAACCGTTTTCATCAAAATAACCTGGTGCATAACACTAACCAAACTAACCAAAACAGCATTGATACTGGTACAAAAACAGACACACAGACTAATGGGGAACAGAAGATAGAACCCAGAAATAAAGCCACACTCCTATAAACATCTGATCTTTGACAAGGCTGACAAAAATAAGCAACAGGGAAAGGACTTCCTATTCATTAAATACTACTGGGATAACTGGCTAGCCATATGTAGAAGAATGAAACTAGACCCCTACCTTTCACCATATACAAAAATGAACTCAAGATGGATTAAAGACTTAAATGTAAGATCTAAAACTATAAAAATCATAGAAGAGGCCAGGCGCAGCGGCTCACGCCTGTAATCCCAGCACTTTGGGAGGCCAAGGCAGGCAGATCACCTGAGATCGAGAGTTCGAGACCAGCCTGACCAACATGGAGAAACCCCATCTCTACTAAAAATACAAAATTAGCCAGGCGTGGTGGTGCATGCCTGTAACCCCAGCTACTCAGGAGGCTGAGGCAGGAGAATCCCTTGAACCCAGGAGGCGGAGGTTGCGGTGAGCCGAGATTGCACCACTGCACTCCAGCCTGGGAAACAAGAGCGAAACCCCATCTCAAAAAAAAAAAGAAAAAAAAAAAACATAGAAAAAAAACCTAGGAAATAGCATTCTGGAAATCAGCCTCGGCAAAACATTTACAACTAAGTCCTCAAAGGCAACTGCAAAGAAAGCGAAAATTGAAAAGTGGGACCTAATTAAGCTAAAGAGCTTCCACACAGTAAAAGAAACTCAAGAGAGTAAACACACAACCTACAGAACAGGAGAAAATAGTCACAAACTATGTATCCAACAAAGGTTTAATATACTAAATCTATATGTAACTTAATGCAACAAGCAAAAAACAAATAACCCTATTAAAAAGTGGGCAGAGAACATGAACCGACACCTCTCAAAAGAACACATACAAGTGGCCACCAAGCATATGAAAAAATGCTCAGCAACACTAATCAGAGAAATGCAAATCAAAAACTGCAATGAGTTACCATCTCACACCAATCAGAATGGCTATTATTATAAAGTTAAAAAATAACAGATATTGGTAAGGCTATGGAGAAAAGGTAATTCATATATACTGCTGGTGGGAATGTAAATTAGTTCAGCCACTGTGGAAAGCAGTTTGGAGATTTCTCAAAGAACTGAAAATAGAACTACCATTCAACCCAGCAATCCCATTACTGGGTATATACTCAAAGGAAAATAAATCATTCCACCCAAAAGACACCGTACTTGTATGTTCACTGCAGCACTATTCACAATAGCAAAAACATGGAAGCAACTTAGGTCCCATCAAGAGTGGACTGGAAAAAGAAAATGTGGTACATATATACCATGGAATACTACTTAGCCATAAAAAAAGAATGAAACCATGTCTTTGCTGCAGCTTGGATGCAATCAGAGGCCACTATCCCACGCAAATTAATGCAGAAACAGAAAACCAAATCCCACATGTTCCTGCTTACCAGTGGGAACTAAACACTGAGTACACATGGACATAAAGATGGGAACAACCCTTCCGCCGCCTGTGAAGGGACCCACCGAGCTCCCAGGGCCTTTCTGCTGCTTCCTCTACCCCTGTATTTTGCTCGGCTCTGTAACTTGACTCAGCTTCAGAGAGTGGTTAAAAATTCTCAACAAGAAAAAGCTGTGGAGGGAGGAGCCAAGATGGCCGAATAGGAACAGCTCCGGTCTACAGCTCCCAGCGTGAGCGACGCAGAAGACGGTGATTTCTGCATTTCCATCTGAGCTTTGAAGAGAGCAGTGGTTCTCCCAGCACGCAGCTGGAGATCTGAGAACGGGCAGACTGCCTCCTCAAGTGGGTCCCTGACTCCTGACCCCCGAGCAGCCTAACTGGGAGGCACCCCCCAGCAGGGGCACACTGACACCTCACACGGCAGGGTATTCCAACAGACCTGCAGCTGAGGGTCCTGTCTGTTAGAAGGAAAACTAACAACCAGAAAGGACATCTACACCGAAAACCCATCTGTACATCACCATCATCAAAGACCAAAAGTAGATAAAACCACAAAGATGGGGAAAAAACAGAACAGAAAAACTGGAAACTCTAAAACGCAGAGCGCCTCTCCTCCTCCAAAGGAACGCAGTTCCTCACCAGCAACAGAACAAAGCTGGATGGAGAATGATTTTGACGAGCTGAGAGAAGAAGGCTTCAGACGATCAAATTACTCTGAGCTACGGGAGGACATTCAAACCAAAGGCAAAGAAGTTGAAAACTTTGAAAAAAATTTAGAAGAATGTATAACTAGAATAACCAATACAGAGAAGTGCTTAAAGGAGCTGATGGAGCTGAAAACCAAGGCTCGAGAACTACGTGAAGAATGCAGAAGCCTCAGGAGCCGATGCGATCAACTGGAAGAAAGGGTATCAGCAATGGAAGATGAAATGAATGAAATGAAGCGAGAAGGGAAGTTTAGAGAAAAAAGAATAAAAAGAAATGAGCAAAGCCTCCAAGAAATATGGGACTATGTGAAAAGACCAAATCTACGTCTGATTGGTGTACCTGAAAGTGATGTGGAGAATGGAACCAAGTTGGAAAACACTCTGCAGGATATTATCCAGGAGAACTTCCCCAATCTAGCAAGGCAGGCCAACGTTCAGATTCAGGAAATACAGAGAACACCACAAAGATACTCCTCGAGAAGAGCAACTCCAAGACACATAATTGTCAGATTCACCAAAGTTGAAATGAAGGAAAAAATGTTAAGGGCAGCCAGAGAGAAAGGTCGGGTTACCCTCAAAGGAAAGCCCATCAGACTAACAGCGGATCTCTCGGCAGAAACCCTACAAGCCAGAAGAGAGTGGGGGCCAATATTCAACATTCTTAAAGAAAAGAATTTTCAACCCAGAATTTCATATACAGCCAAACTAAGCTTCATAAGTGAAGGAGAAATAAAATACTTTATAGACAAGCAAATGTTGAGAGATTTTGTCACCACCAGGCCTGCCCTAAAAGAGCTCCTGAAGGAAGCGCTAAACATGGAAAGGAACAACCGGTACCAGCCACTGCAAAATCATGCCAAAATGTAAAGACCATTGAGACTAGGAAGAAACTGCATCAACTAATGAGCAAAATCACCAGCTAACATCATAATGACAGGATCAAATTCACACATAACAATATTAACTTTAAATATAAATGGACTAAATTCTGCAATTAAAAGACACAGACTGGCAAGTTGGATAAAGAGTCAAGACCCATCAGTGTGCTGTATTCAGGAAACCCATCTCACGTGCAGAGACACACATAGGCTCAAAATAAAAGGATGGAGGAAGATCTACCAAGCCAATGGAAAACAAAAAAAGGCAGGGGTTGCAATCCTAGTCTCTGATAAAACAGACTTTAAACCAACAAAGATCAAAAGAGACAAAGAAGGCCATTACATAATGGTAAAGGGATCAATTCAACAAGAGGAGCTAACTATCCTAAATATTTATGCACCCAATACAGGAGCACCCAGATTCATAAAGCAAGTCCTGAGTGACCTACAAAGAGACTTAGACTCCCACACATTAATAATGGGAGACTTTAACACCCCACTGTCAACATTAGACAGATCAACGAGACAGAAAGTCAACAAGGATACCCAGGAATTGAACTCAGCTCTGCACCAAGCAGACCTAATAGACATCTACAGAACTCTCCACCCCAAATCAACAGAATATACATTTTTTTCAGCACCACACCACACCTATTCCAAAATTGACCACATAGTTGGAAGTAAAGCTCTCCTCAGCAAATGTAAAAGAACAGAAATTATAACAAACTATCTCTCAGACCACAGTGCAATCAAACTAGAACTCAGGATTAAGAATCTCACTCAAAGCCGCTCAACTACATGGAAACTGAACAACCTGCTCCTGAATGACTACTGGGTACATAACGAAATGAAGGCAGAAATAAAGATGTTCTTTGAAACCAACGAGAACAAAGACACCACATACCAGAATCTCTGGGACGCATTCAAAGCAGTGTGTAGAGGGAAATTTATAGCACTAAATGCCTACAAGAGAAAGCAGGAAAGATCCAAAATTGACACCCTAACATCACAATTAAAAGAACTAGAAAAGCAAGAGCAAACACATTCAAAAGCTAGCAGAAGGCAAGAAATAACTAAAATCAGAGCAGAACTGAAGGAAATAGAGACACAAAAAACCCTTCAAAAAATCAATGAATCCAGGAGCTGGTTTTTTGAAAGGATCAACAAAATTGATAGACCGCTAGCAAGACTAATAAAGAAAAAAAGAGAGAAGAATCAAATAGACACAATAAAAAATGATAAAGGGGATATCACCACCGATCCCACAGAAATACAAACTACCATCAGAGAATACTACAAACACCTCTACGCAAATAAACTAGAAAATCTAGAAGAAATGGATACATTCCTCGACACATACACTCTCCCAAGACTAAACCAGGAAGAAGTTGAATCTCTGAATAGACCAATAACAGGCTCTGAAATTGTGGCAATAATCAATAGTTTACCAACCAAAAAGAGTCCAGGACCAGATGGATTCACAGCCGAATTCTACCAGAGGTACAAGGAGGAACTGGTACCATTCCTTCTGAAACTATTCCAATCAATAGAAAAAGAGGGAATCCTCCCTAACTCATTTTATGAGGCCAGCATCATTCTGATACCAAAGCCGGGCAGAGACACAACCAAAAAAGAGAATTTTAGACCAATATCCTTGATGAACATTGATGCAAAAATCCTCAATAAAATACTGGCAAACCGAATCCAGCAGCACATCAAAAAGCTTATCCACCATGATCAAGTGGGCTTCATCCCTGGGATGCAAGGCTGGTTCAATATACGCAAATCAATAAATGTAATCCAGCATATAAACAGAGCCAAAGACAAAAACCACATGATTATCTCAATAGATGCAGAAAAAGCCTTTGACAAAATTCAACAACCCTTCATGCTAAAAACTCTCAATAAATTAGGTATTGATGGGACGTATTTCAAAATAATAAGAGCTATCTATGACAAACCCACAGCCAATATCATACTGAATGGGCAAAAACTGGAAGCATTCCCTTTGAAAACTGGCACAAGACAGGGATGCCCTCTCTCACCGCTCCTATTCAACATAGTGTTGGAAGTTCTGGCCAGGGCAATCAGGCAGGAGAAGGAAATAAAGGGTATTCAATTAGGAAAAGAGGAAGTCAAATTGTCCCTGTTTGCAGACGACATGATTGTTTATCTAGAAAACCCCATCGTCTCAGCCCAAAATCTCCTTAAGCTGATAAGCAACTTCAGCAAAGTCTCAGGATACAAAATCAATGTACAAAAATCACAAGCATTCTTATACACCAACAACAGACAAACAGAGAGCCAAATCATGGGTGAACTCCCATTCACAATTGCTTCAAAGAGAATAAAATACCTAGGAATCCAACTTACAAGGGATGTGAAGGACCTCTTCAAGGAGAACTACAAACCACTGCTCAAGGAAATAAAAGAGGAGACAAACAAATGGAAGAACATTCCATGCTCATGGGTAGGAAGAATCAATATCGTGAAAATGGCCATACTGCCCAAGGTAATTTACAGATTCAATGCCATCCCCATCAAGCTACCAATGACTTTCTTCACAGAATTGGAAAAAACTACTTTAAAGTTCATATGGAACCAAAAAAGAGCCCGCATTGCCAAGTCAATCCTAAGCCAAAAGAACAAAGCTGGAGGCATCACACTACCTGACTTCAAACTATACTACAAGGCTACAGTAACCAAAACAGCATGGTACTGGTACCAAAACAGAGATATAGATCAATGGAACAGAACAGAGCCCTCAGAAATAATGCCGCGTATCTACAACTATCTGATCTTTGACAAACCTGAGAAAAACAAGCAATGGGGAAAGGATTCCCTATTTAATAAATGGTGCTGGGAAAACTGGCTAGCCATATGTAGAAAGCTGAAACTGGATCCCTTCCTTACACCTTATACAAAAATCAATTCAAGATGGATTAAAGATTTAAACGTTAAACCTAAAACCATAAAAACCCTAGAAGAAAACCTAGGCATTACCATTCAGGACATAGGCGTGGGCAAGGACTTCATGTCCAAAACACCAAAAGCAATGGCAACAAAAGACAAAATTGACAAATGGGATCTAATTAAACTAAAGAGCTTCTGCACAGCAAAAGAAACTACCATCAGAGTGAACAGGCAACCTACAACATGGGAGAAAATTTTTGCAACCTACTCATCTGACAAAGGGCTAATATCCAGAATCTACAATGAACTCAAACAAATTTACAAGAAAAAAACAAACAACCCCATCAAAAAGTGGGCGAAGGACATGAACAGACACTTCTCAAAAGAAGACATTTATGCAGCCAAAAAACACATGAAGAAATGCTCATCATCACTGGCCATCAGAGAAATGCAAATCAAAACCACTATGAGATATCATCTCACACCAGTTAGAATGGCAATCATTAAAAAGTCAGGAAACAACAGGTGCTGGAGAGGATGCGGAGAAATAGGAACACTTTTACACTGTTGGTGGGACTGTAAACTAGTTCAACCATTGTGGAAGTCAGTGTGGCGATTCCTCAGGGATCTAGAACTAGAAATACCATTTGACCCAGCCATCCCATTACTGGGTATATACCCAAAGGACTATAAATCATGCTGCTATAAAGACACATGCACACGTATGTTTATTGCGGCACTATTCACAATAGCAAAGACTTGGAACCAACCCAAATGTCCAACAATGATAGACTGGATTAAGAAAATGTGGCACATATACACCATGGAATACTATGCAGCCATAAAAAATGATGAGTTCATATCCTTTGTAGGGACATGGATGAAATTGGAAACCATCATTCTCAGTAAACTATCGCAAGAACAAAAAACCAAACACCGCATATTCTCACTCATAGGTGGGAATTGAACAATGAGATCACATGGACACAGGAAGGGGAATATCACACTCTGGGGACTGTGGTGGGGTCGGGGGAGGGGGGAGGGATAGCATTGGGAGATATACCTAATGCTAGATGACACATTAGTGGGTGCAGCGCACCAGCATGGCACATGTATACATATGTAACTAACCTGCACAATGTGCACATGTACCCTAAAACTTAGAGTATAATAAAAAAAAAAAAAAAAAAAAAAAAAGATGGGAACAAAAGACACTAGAGGGCAGACAGAGGGATGGGGGGAAGGGCTGAAAAACTGCATACTGCGTACTATGCTCAATACCTGGGTGACAAGATCAATCATACCACAAACCTCGGCAACACACAATACACCCAAGTAACAAACATGCATATGTACCCCTGAATCTAAAAGTTGAATTTTTTAATGCAGATTCATAAACAAACACCATTCTAAATCTAAATCCATCTCTAAAAGTGTTGTCTAGGAATATATCTGAGAAGCTAACATTCCTAAACCCCTTAAATATAGGAAACTATTTTAAGGAGTCTGAAGAATTGATGTTTATTCTCTCAATTAAAAAAAATATCACCACTAACCAAACTGGGATTATACTAATAGTCCTCCAGCTTGCTTCTTTTTACATATTTTGACATCTTGGCATGTCACATATATGTAAATATGGACAATTTGCACATTCCAAATAATAATTTACAATTTCCTACAACTAGAGAAAACAATGTATTTTTGTTTGTTTGTTTTTGAGACAGGGTCTTGCTCTGTCACCCAAGCTGGAGCAGTGGTGCAATCATGACTCTCTGCAGCCTCGACCTCCCAGGCTCAAGTGATCCTCCCACTGCAGCCTCCCAAGTAGCTGGGACTACAGGTGTAAGACACCAAGCCCAGCTAATTTTTTAATTTTCTGTAGAGACAGGGTCTTGTTATGTTGCCAAGGCTGGTCTCAAACTCCTGTGCTCAAGTGATCCTCCCACCTCAGCCTCCCAAAGTGTTGCGATTACAGATGCAAGCCACTGTGCCCAGCTGAAAACAAAGATTTTTAAAAAAGAAATGAATAACAAAGGTTTTTTTTATACTTTTGTAATTTCAAGTACTTTTAATTGATTTTTGAATTTAATGTTGGGATTATAATAGTAATATTATACTGATAGATGTCTTTAAGGGAAACACCTCTGGTGTGGAAACTGAAAGTTAATGGCCAGATTTCTAAATGGGTTTAATTTTCATGTTTTAGAAATAGTAACACTTAAAAACAAGTTTGAATGTTTCACATCATATTTTACATCAGTCAAGTAGCTGTATATAAAGAATAATTTGAATTTGGCACGAGTAAGTAGTTTCCATACTTCTTAGCATGCTTCAAGTATTTACGTTTATAGTCAGATTCTTTATAGCAAACTACTCTAAAAATTATATTTTATTATACTACACAATTGGGATAAAATATGTTATACTGATTTTAATAGAATGCTTAAGTATTCAACATGCTTTTTTTGGGGGGTGGGATGGAGTCTCACTCTGCCGCCCAGGCTAGAGTACAGCCGCACGATCTTGGCTCACTCTAACCTGCACCTCCCAGGTTCAAGCAATTTTCCTGCCTCAGCCTCCCGAATAGCAGGGATTACAAGCACTCACCACCACGCCCGGCTATTTTTTATATATATATTTTTAGTAGAGAGGGGCTTTCACCATGTTGGCCAGGCTGGTCTCGAACTCCTGACCTCAAATGATTTGCCCACCTCAGCCTCCCAAAGTGCTGGGTACAGGCGTGAGCCACCGCACCCAGCCTCAACCTGGTTTTAAATAATATTTTCTGTATTTGAGAAATTATGGAACTTAAAGTTCAACAAATTTATCATTTTAATGTAAGACTGCAGTCATCTATATTGACGTGTTTATTCTAATTGTAGTAAATAAATGCTTATACTTGTAAGCTCTTGGCTGATGGTGACAGAGCTCATGACCTTTGCTTATGGCAGGGCTTGGCATTTTATGTAACCGGAGTTTCAGTTTACTAGTTATCAAATGCTAACTCAGGACACTCTTTGGTTATAAAAGGTATGAGGGTGTCTCGTATCCATCCTATTATTTTTTTGAATTTCAAGGATATTGAAAATGTTTAATAATGAGCAGATCTGAGATCCAAAACAGTTATAATGCTTTAAAACCATTACTGTTCTGAGCTGATAACTTAATTTGAATAGGTGGCCATCGGGGCTGAGTGTTTGAAACCAAATGTCTTAGGAAATTTCCATCCCTTTTAAGTGTAACAGTACCCTACTTGGGAACTATTCCTGTATTATCAACAGATTAAAGAGTGGGCAACTTCATCCGTAGTATTATAAATGTGTACATTAAAGAATAAGAGACTGTGTTGTTTTTCTTGAGGTCTAAGTCTTAAATTTTATATTAAATTCTAACAAGTTTTATTCAGTTCTAAATTTGCACAGTATTTTTTCCATATTTAAAAACTTGGCTGGGCACAGTGGCTCATGCCTGTAATTCCAGCACTTTGGGAGACCATGGTAGGTGGATCACCTGAGGTCAGGAGTTCAAGACCAGCCTGGTCAACACGGTGAAACCCCATCTCTATTAAAAATACAAAAAATTAGCCAGGCATGGTGACGGGCACCTGTAGCCCCAGCTACTCGGAAGGCTGAGGCAGGAGAATCGCTTGAACCAAGAAGGCAGAGGCTGCAGTGAGCTGAGATCGCGCCACTGTACTTTAACCTGGGTGGAAGAGTGAAACTCCATCTCAAAAAATAAAATAAAATAAAATAAAATAAAAACACTTGTTAGTCTATTTGCTTATATTCATACAATATAACTATTGCTATATATTAGACATTTGGATTTTTTGAATGTCATCTGTACCTCAAGCATAGCCTTTTACTTAAAGTAGAAGTGGAGCATCAGCCACAGTACTTACACAGACACCAAACCACATTTCCAGGCCCACTCTACAATTCAATAATTTGCTTGCTTAGACTTTTCCAATAATAGAGACAACACAGCCTTACACATTTTTGCAACTTGTGATTCCCTTCCTACATCTTTCCGGGACTTCCCATTAATGTTTTGAGGGGAAGATGAATTTTTAAATAGACCCATAAGTATATTATTTTTTAAAAACCAACTTTTCTATTTTATTATTTCTTAAGTAAAAGACTATAGAAAAAGGCAAAAGAACATTTTTTAAATATCCTGGAATAAACTTCATTTATATTCATCAGTAAAAATCAGAATTACAATCACTTATTTTTCTTCCGGTTTCTGCATCCTGGACTATTATAATAATCTATTAATTGGTCTCCCTGCTTCTGCTTGTACCCTTGCCTCCCCCTACAGTTTATTCTCCACACAGTTGTCAGAATATTCTTTTAGACCATGTCAGATCATGTTACTCCTTTGTTTTAAAACCCTCCAGTAGTCAGTATTCTTGCCATAAATGTTTAACCTAAACCTAATAACTAGTAAGTCATCAAACCCAAATTGTAGGAAGTTCTTTTAAAACAAAACAAAACACACCTGGCCTGGATTATTTAGATTGGCATTCAAACACAATCCAAAATCTTCACCCATACATGATCCAGACCCCTAAGAGATCACTGACAATAATCTCCTTCTACTTTCTCCCTCTTGCTCACTTTAATTTTCATGGCTTTAAAACATGGTTTTAAAACATGAAGACAAATAAAATCTCATCTCGGGATCTTTTAACATGCTATTCCCTCTATCTGGAATTATTATTTATTAGAGGAAAAAGCAGAAACATTCATCCAAAAAAAAGTATTCTATGTCTATTGCTGCAAAACTGAAACAGTGATTTAAAATAGCTACAATTTATTATTACTTATGACTCTGCAGGTCAACTGAGCAGTTCTGCTGGGCTGGGCCAGGTATAGTAATCTCGGCTGGTTCATCTCATGCATTCATGCTTGTGTCTACAGTCAACTAGTAAACAGGTTGGAGGTTAGATGGCCCAGCATGGGCTTGTTCCCAAGAAAGAATGGAAACATGAAAGACTTTTTGAGATGCAGGTTCAACATCACTTCTAACACATTCTATTGTTCAAAGCAAGTCATGAATCCAACCCATATTCAAGAGGTAGGGAAACAAAGTCACATTGCAAAGACTATGGATCCAGGCAGGGGTAGAGAAATAGGGCCATTTTGTAATCAATCTACCATCTCTTAAGAGGACTATTTTAAAACAGTGGTTCATCTAAGATGGGAGAAAATGAAATGCACAAAGGATAAAAACTATACTTTATAAATCCTATAAGGCAGGGTTTCTCAATCTTGGCACTACTGACATTTTGGGCCAGGTAATTCTTTATTGTGAAGAGGTTGTCCTGCACATTGTAGGATGTGCAGCAATACCCATGGCACCTCCCCACTAGATACTAGCAATACTCCTCAAGCTTAACAACCAAAAACATCTCCAGACATTGCCAAATGTCTCTTAAGGAACAAAATCACCCCTAGTTGAGAACCACTGTTATAAAGGGATGAATAAAGGGATGAATTAAGGGAAAGACAACTCGGTCTTACAAACTGGCTTTATATTGGCAAGAATATAATTGCTTTAAAAGGCTGTTAAAATGATTCTAAAGTGCAAACTTTATTTACAGGCATGTATGATATATACCAAATTTTCAATAGCTGACATATTAAAAATTCAAAGTTTTATTGACAATTCCTAGGCCACTCTCAATTCATATAATTTAATAAAAAACATTACCATACTCTTGAAGTCAATATAAAAGAAGATAATGGTGTCAGATGTTAAACTAAATTAATACTACTGGCTCTAGATTTTGATATGTGGTGTATATATAAGCCCCAGATTGCAATAAACAGAGTTGTTTCTCTCCAACTGCCAAATATAAAATTCTGTCTTACAACTCTATCTCATCTCCAACCCTTCTCTTCCCACTTCATGCATGACCCTGGCAATTTGCCTCCCAAATCCACTTCTCATTCTTATCATCAATAACAAATGTAAAACACAGCACAGAAAACTGCTGTAAAAAACAACAGCAGTAGAAAGTATTAATTTTTTAGTAAGTACAACAAATCAAAATATACCTTAGAGAACTTTTTTAAGTCAAAAAGTTAGAAAACCTAGAGTAAAAAGCAACCAAGAAATATTTGTTAATCTAAATTGTTTCCACAATACTTATGTTGTTATGAAACTATATAAATCAAACTACTTTAAATACATAAGAAATACTGTGAATCTTATAATATTGTAAATTGTAATCTTGTAATTTGTGAATATTATAAACCAAATATTCTCTAACATTCATGTGCAAATCTGTGATAGCACTGGCCAAGTAAAGTCATATATACAAGAACCAATTTAAAAACTTTCTTTTGGGCCAGGCACAGTGGCTCACACCTGTAATCCCAGAACTTTGGGAGGCCAAGGTGGGAGGATCACTTGAGCCCAGGAATTCGAGATCAGCCTAGGCAACGAAATGAGGCCTTGTCTCTATTAAAAAAAAAAAAAAATTCAATCTATCAATCAAAAAATCAGCTGGGCATGCTGGTGTGCACCTGTGGTCCCAGCTACACGGGAGGCTGAGGCAGGAGGATCGTTTGAGCCCAGGAGGTCAAGGCTACAGTGAGCCATGTTTCCTGCCACTGCACTCCAGCCTGGGTGACAAAGCAAGACCCTGTCTCAAAAAAAAAAAAAAAAAAAAGCCCTTCATTATGGAGTTTTAGGGCAAAAATAATAGTTTCTCCCTTAGAGAAAATAAAATGGGGTAACTTGCTAACGCAGTAATACACAAAAGAGCTGGGCTGGCCGGGCGCGGTGGCTCACACCTGTAATCCCAGCACTTTAGGAGGCCCAGGCGGGCAGATCACAAAGTCAGGAGTTTGAGACCACCTGGCCAACATGGTGAAACCCCGTCTCTACCAGAAGTACAAAAATTAGCCAGGCGTCGTGGTGGGCGCCTGTAGCCCCAGCTACTCAGGAGGCTGAGGCAGGAGAATCGCTTGAACCTGGGAGGCAGAGGTTGCAGTGAGCCAAGATCACACCACTGCACTGCAGCCTGGGCAAAAGTGCTCAAAAAAATAAAAATAAAAATAAAATAAAATAAAAATAAAAAGGGGGGGCTGGGCTGAGAGTAGGGAGAGGAAAGTGCCTACGGTACAAAATATATAAGGAGGGACTCACTGTCAAGGCCAGGCAATAAGCCAAAATGTGAGGCAAGAGCCTGCTGTTCTCACTTCACCTCCAGTCCAGCAGGAACTGCACTTAACAGCAGGCAAATAACACAGCAGGCTGATTTCTGCACTCCCAAGGTCTGTCCTGTACTAAGCCTCAGCACTTACATCTTACTCTTCACTATCTCTGTGTCCCTTCAAAGAACCACAAGGCCTATCTACATGTGCTGGATCAAACAGGGATCTGGGGCATGTGCTGATTCCCTGTTTGATACATGTGCTAGTACCAAACAAGGAACTGGGGAGCCCAGCAGAAAGAAAGGGTCATCAACAAGCATACAACTGGGATACTTGCCAAAGTTTTGAAACTATGAAGGTGGAAAAGAGGGGCATTCCAGGAAGTTTCCAAAACTCTGTTCTTTATAAAGTTGGCTTTGTGTTTAAAAGTAGTTTCTAATTTAAGCATGTGTATTCACAATTTCAATGAAAATGTTATTTTAATCATTTTTTTCTAATTATTGCTATTTAACTGAATCAATGTTATTACTCATGAACAATGAAAAGCAATAGTATACTATGTGATTAAAACGTTAGTTTTAATAAGTCAGTTCATGCAAAAATGACTACAGAATAGGGTTTCATCCTCACAATGCAAAAGTATTCCTTCACTACTTTTGGTCCTCTTTCAGGAGTATCTTCAATACTAGCAGTTAGAAGCAACCACAAGAAATTTCACCTTACAGGTTAGAATGAACAACAAAAACCTACCTGATAGCCTCCATGCATTAAATGAGATAATTTGTTCTAGGATACACACAAACACATCACCACACCCAAAAGTGTTTACAATGGATCATAAGTGTAGTTCCTTCCTCTTTTGTGACTCACCCTTTTCCAGGATGTCAAAACAGTTCAACAGCAGGAATGTAATTAGATATGAGCAATTAGAAAACTTGCTGATCTATTTTCTCAATGTGCATACAAAAAAAGTTCTGATTAATACAGCCTAACTTACAGAACTCCCTGCAATACGGTTCTTTCATTAAGGCTAAATTACTTAACATGGTTATAAGTAATAATAGGCACAAATCCTTTCACATCTTCATTTTAAAGGCCATACATAACATAAGCAACTTGAAACCCATCTTTCCAACTGCCACTTCTACTACCTCCACACATCATCTATTTTCAAAAGCTATTTCCTCAGCAAACTAGTCAACTGGTGAGTGTCAAGGAATGTAGGATTTTTAGTTTATTACCTACAGGTTTTAAATAACATTTATCTTACTGACATATTTAGTAATTACATAAAATTAAGGAAAACACACAAGTTTTTCACATCTAACACTTGACAGCAAGAGTCTTTTAGGTATATGAATTTGCATGTTCCCAGTAATAAATTCCCAAATAAAATTAAGTTCTTAGTTTTATATAAATATGTTTATTATAAGTTGCATTAATATATTTTAATTATAAAAAGGAGTATCATAACCAAAAAATGAAAAATAAAAAACATTTCATAATTCTACCATAACTCCATAACTATGATCTTTGTATATCCCCTGCAGGTCTTTTCCCATGTGAATGTTTCATATGACTATTATCAGGTTGTACCTATAATTTTTATTTTGTTTTTTTCACTCATGAGATTTCCATTTCTTCCATAGCATTTATTCACATGGTTGCCAAGTGGCCTTGCATATCAATTTTCTATTGCCATATAACAAACCACTACCAACTTAGAGGCTAAAAAACAACATTTATTTAAAATTTTTCAGTTCTGTAGGTCAGAAGTTTAGGTGGAGCTGACTGGGTTCTCTGCTTGGGGTCTGATCTCTCAAGGCCAAAATCAAGGTGCCAGCCAGGCTGGGTTCTTGTCTGGAAAAGAATCTGCTTACAGGCTCGTTTGGTTGTTGGCAGAATTCAGTTCCCTTAAGGTATAGGACTGAGGTCCCCGTTTCTGATGGGTTGTTAACCACAAGCCTCTCTTAGCTCAAGACCTCTCACATTTCTTCTCACATGGCCCCGTCCATCTTCAAGCCAGCAACAGGAAAAGTCCTTCTCATCTTTCAAATTGCTCTGACTTGCAGTTCTGCTTTGAGCCAGAGAAAACTTTATGTTTTTAAAACAGCTCATGTAATTAGAATAGGCACACCTAGGTCTCCTTTTTAAACTAAAGTCAAATGATTAGTAACTTAATTACATCTGCAAAATGTCATTTGCTACGTAACATAATATAATCATGGGCATATTTCCTCATCATATTCAAAGTCCTGGGGATTCAGGTGGAAAATTAAGGCCATTTTTAAAATTCTGCTTACCACATCTCTGGATGTGTATTTTTCACTGCGCGTTGCAGTCAAAAAGCTTAAAGAGCATCTAGCCACTGGACTAGAAAACTTTAAGGTCACTTCCAGTCCTAAAATTCTAAAAATCTAACATGTAAAGCTATTTTTTTAATTGGAAAGGAAAAACAATTATGCAAATTTCAAAGTTAGTTAAATCAAAAAGGGTGCTGAAGATTTTCTTTTCCTAGTTTAAAATAAAAAGGACATGTTTTAACAAAATTGTCATTTTGGGAGGGCCAATTTCTAGTCCCAGTAAGAGGCTGAACATCTAGGGAAGAATACAGTATGAAAGTGAAAATAAAAGTTGGTGCCAAATCGTAATGCCTGGAAAAGCCAAAAGCAAAAGACTCTGAACCAGTGGCAATTTCCACACTACAAAACTCCAGTTTCATTTTAAGTATAAAGATTAGAAAAGGTAAATAGGCCAAATGAAAAACTAGGTCATAAACAGACTGTTCCACCCAAGGTTCATTAACAAAAACTAGGACGGCAGGGCACGGTGGCTCACGCCTGTAATTCTAGCACTTTGGGAGGCCGAGACGGGCGGATCACGAGGTCAGGAGATCGAGACCATCCTGGCTAACACGGTGAAACCCCGTCTCTACTAAAAATACAAAAAAAGTAGCCAGGCATAGTGGCGGGCGCCTGTAGTCCCAGCTACTGGAGAGGCTGAGGCAGGAGAATGAATGGCGTGAACCCGGGAGGCGGAGTTTGCAGTGAGTTGAGATTACGCCACTGCATTCCAGCCTGGGCGACAGAGCAAGACTCTGTCTCAAAAAAAAAAAAAAAAAAAAGAAAGAAAAACTAGGATGAAGGATACAAACCTTAGGCTGTTGGGTCTCTTAACATACAGGGATCCAGCTGACTGCCTTTGGTATAAGACAGTCCCCATCCCTACCACATAAATCTAGCAGAAGGAAGGAGGGAGGGAGAGAAAAAAGTACCTCACATATACCCGATGCCTCATAAATATTTGTTGAGTAAAGTTATAAGATAATAGACTATAAACTTATTAGCCTTCAGAAACTTCACCTCCCTAGCCAGAGAAGAGAACTATTTCTAAATTTCAGCTATTAATGGAATAAAAGCTACCTATACCAAGCAAGGCTGACACTTGATCAAAGGTAAGACAGTCTGCAAGAGGGCTGGATAATGGTCCTCAGGGGTGACAGAAGAAAATGGGAGCAGGTAGTGTTAAGACCAAAAAACAGTCTTAACAAATATTAGTAGAATTGAATTTTGCTGAAATTTTTAGCTTCAAAGTAATTACAACTTATATAATGGCAAATATACAAGTAGATACAGTGTCCTCAACAGAATTCCCAAGACTTGTTCTCAGCAAAATTAGTCAGGATTCTGCCTACTGGTATTAACCAGTAGAAAGAACACTTTGATAGCTATGAGTGATACCATAGAATGAGAACCTCATAACAGCCATACAGAGAATACTAACCATAGCTCCAACTCTCCATCAAATACACAAGTGTAATGTTTTCCATAGCTTACAAAACACTCTTAAGTCTAGAGTTCTCATTCATTGCTCTACTCTATAATAAAAATTTACTGGGGAAAAATATGTATTTTGACCTAGGAATACAACTTACAAGGGATGTGAAGGACCTCTTCAAGGAGAACTACAAACCACTGCTGAAGGAAATAAGAGAGGACACAAACAGGCCAGGCGCAGTGGCTCACACCTGTAATCCCAGCACTTTGGGATGCCGAGGCAGGCGGACCATGAGGTCAGGAGATCAAGACCATCCTAGCTAACATGGTGAAACCCCTTCTCTACTAAAAAAAAATACAAAAAATTAGCCGGGCGTGGTGGTGGGCACCTGTAGTCCCAGCTACTTGGGAGGCTGAGGCAGGAGAGTGGCGTGAACCCGGGAGGCGGAGCTTGCAGTGAGCCGAGATCGTGCGTGCCACTGCACTCCAGCCTGGGCAGCAAGACTCTGTCTCAAAAAAGAAAAAGAAAAAAAAAAAAAAAGAGAGGACATAAACAAATGGAAAAACATTAATCATACACAGGAAGAATCAATATCATGAAAATAGCCATACAGTCCAAAATAATTTACAGATTCAATGCTAGTCCCATGAAGCTACCACTGACTTTCTTCATAGAATTAGAAAAAACTACTTTAAATTTCATATGGAACCAAAAAAGAGCCTGCATTGCCAAGACAATCCTAAGCAAAAAGAACAAAGCTGCAGCCATCATGCTACCTGACTTCAAACTATAATATAAGGCTACAGTAACCAAAATAGCACGGTACTGGTACCAAAACAGGTATATAGACCAATGGAACAGAACAGAGGCCTCTGAAATAACACCACACATCTACAACCATCTGACCTTTGACAAACCTGACAAAAACAGGCAGTGGGGAAAGGATTCCCTACTTAATAAATGGTGTTGGGAAAACTGGCTAGCCATATGCGGAAAACTGGCTAGCCATATGCAAAAAACTGAAACTGGACCCCTTCCTTACACCTTATACAAAAATTAAATCAAGATGAATAAAAGATTTAAACGTAAGACCTAAAACCATAAAAACCCTAGAAGAGAATCTAGGCAATACCATTCAAGATATAGGCATGGGAAAAGACTTCATGACTAAAACACCAAAAGCAATGGCAACAAAAGCCAAAACTGACAAATGGGATCTAATTAAACTAAAGAGCTTCTACACAGCAAAAGAAACTATCATCAGAGTGAACAGGCAACATACAGAATGGGAGAAAATTTTTGCAATCTATCCATCTGACAAAGGGCTAATATCCAGAATCTACATGGAACTTAAACAAATTTACAAGAAAAAAACAAACAACCCCATCAAAAAGTGGGCAAAGGGTAAGAACAGACACTTTTCAAAAGAAGACATTTATGCAGCCAACAAACATCTGAAAAAAAAGCTCATCATCACTGGTCATTAGAGAAATGCAAATCAAAACCACAATGAGATACCATCTCATGACAGTTAGAATGGCAATCATTAAAAAGTCAGGAAACAGATGCTGGAGAGGACATGGAGAAATAGGAATGCTTTTACACTGTTGGTGGGAGTGTAAATTAGTTCAACCATTGTGGAAGACAGTGTGGCAATTCCTCAAGGATCTAGAACTAGAAATACCATTTGACCCATCAATCCCATTACTGAGTATATACCAAAATGATTATAAATCATTCCACTATAAAGACACATGCACACATATGTTTACTGCAGCACTATTCACAATAGCAAAGACTTGGTACCAACCCAAATGCCCATCAATTTTAGGCTGGATAAAGAAAATGTGGCACATATTCACCATGGAATACTAGGCAGCCATAAAAAAGAATGAGTTCATGTCCTTCACAGGGACATGGATGAAGCTAGAAACCATCATTCTCAGCAAAGTAACACAAGAACAGAAAACCAAACACCACATGTTCTCACTCATAAGTAGGAGTTGAACAATGAGAACATATGGGCACAGGGAGGGGAACATCATACACTGGGGCCTGTCAGGGGGTGGCAGGCAAGGGGAAGGCTAGCATTAGGAGAAACAATGTAGATGATGGGTTGATGTGTGCAGCAAACCACTATGCACATGTATACCTGTGTAACAAACCTGTACGTTCTGCACATGTATCCCAGAACTTAAAGTATAATTTTCAAAAAAAATGTATTTTGTCACCTTTACACTGTTCCATCTCACTTGTGCTGTATTCAGCTATTCAACTCAAAATTACTTTGTGCAGAAACGAATGGTGTTTGTTTTTTGGGTTTTTTTTTTTTTTTTTTTTTTAGATGGAGTCTTGCTCTGCTGCCAGGCTGGAGTGCAGTGGCGTTATCTTGGCTCACTACAACCTCCACCTCCCAGGTTCAAGCAATTCCCCCGCCTCAGCCTCCCTTTTAGGGGTTATTTTTGGGAGACAAGGTCTTGCTCTATCGCCCAGGCTGGAGTACACTGTCATCATCATGGCTCACTTCAGCCTCAACCTCCTAAACTCAAGGGATTCTCCTGCCTCAGCCTCCCAAGTAGCGGGGACTACAAACACACCTGGCTAATTTTTTTTAAGATGGGGTACATTTCCATTTATATTGTTTTAAAGCTTTCAATTATTTCCATTCTTCCTAGTAGCTACAATCTCTGGTAGGGTAGAAAAGCAAGTGGTATTGGCCCCATCTTATAAGAGAAATAATTGAAACTTATTGAGATAAAGTGATTAGACCAAAGTTTTTCAGTAGCAGTGCCTGGACTGAAACCAAAATTTTCTGACATCCTGTCATCCTTGATCTTTCTGCCTATTGAATATCTCTACTTAAATAGTATTGACACTAAAATGAAAGATGACATTTTTTAAATTGCATCAAATTTCTTTTTATTTATATAGAAAAAAATAAAATAGAATAATTTATGTCCCAGAGAAACACTAATCCTATCTTAAAAATCTGAATGAAATAATATATTCTTAAATACAAGTCCAGGTGATTCAGTTTAGAGAAAATGAATTCTCTAATTCATATAATTCTCAAATATTCACGAATATATGCTGAATTTTTTGTTTACGCTTTTTATGCAACCTAGTGCCTGGCATAGTACTGTATGTATACACCTACACCAAGCTAGGCTGACACTGGACCCAAGGTGGGGCAGTCTGCAAGGGGGCTGGATAATGGTCCTCAAGAGTGACAGAAGAAAATGGGGGCAATTTAAATGGCTTAATATTTAATTAAGAACTTCAATAAATTTCAATTCTTAGCTGTAAAGAAAAGTCAAAAAAAAATTCAACCCACAAACAGGAAAGTATTTACTTAGCAGCAGAATACAGAAATTGAGCATCTCTCTAAGTGTAGTCTATACACCACTATGCACGTGACCCTCCTGCTGGCACAAGGACAAACATGGGTGACACAGTCTTCTGGCAGTTCCTTCTACAGTTCCAGAGTGTTCTGCATCAGTCTGCAGCAGGGACAGATGCAGCAGTGAAGCCTGGGGCATGAAGTTAGAAATTAAAAAGGAATAAAAGCCCAACAGAAGCCAGCTCCAAAGCTCCGGTACTTGGCTCACCCTAATGACAGGACAAATTTATAGAGTGCAGGTCCTTGCATACAGCCTGCAGTCACATGCCTGCACACCAACATTCTCTTCCTACCTGCCCCTACCCCTCCCTTTCCCTGTTCATTCTACCCCTCCCTTTCCCTGTTCATTCCCTAGAGATGCTCATCATAGAAATGCTCTCTGTAGCTCAGAGGAACACTAGGCTCCGATTTCATACACTGTCCTGCATACAGTTTCCTTTCTAAATAAATGTACTGATATTTAAGTGTTTATAAGTGAGATATTTAAAAGAATATTCCAATTATTAATAGCACCAGTATTTCATGGATGTGACAAAAAATCAAGATAATGCATTAATATTAATGAAGTTTGTAAAAAAAATTATTTCTTCCAGCTCTGCTTCATCTTCACAAGTCCTATTACCCTTAAGTTTCCTCTTAAAACTAACTTTAAAAGTTAGTTTCAAATATCACTCATATTGTAGATACATGCTATAGTATTTAATGGTAAAATATCATTCTACAACTTCCTTCCAAATGGTTCAGTGAAAGATATGAGTGAGTGTGCATTTATTATGCTTTTATTATACATATATAGAGTGAATGCACCAAAATGTTAACTTTCGGATCTAAGTAGCATGCAGGTGGATCCTAGTTCATTGTGCTATTCTTTCAAATGTTATGTATGTTTCAATTTTTTCATAACAAAAAGTTGGAGAAAACAGGGCCGGGCGCGGTGGCTCATGCCTGTAATCCCAGCACTTTGGGAGGCCGAAGTGGGCGGATCACCAGGTCAGGAGATCAAGACCATCCTGGCTAATATGGTGAAACCCCGTCTCTACTAAAAATACAAAAAATTAGCCGGGCGCGGTGGCGGGCGCCTGTAGTCCCAGCTACTTGGGAGGCTGAGGCAGGAGAATGACGTGAACCCGGGAGGTGGAGTTTTCAATGAGCCGAGATCACGCCACCGCACTCTGGCCTGGGCGATAAGCAAGACTCCGTCTCAAAAAAAAAAAACAAAAACAAAAAATTAGCCAGGCGTAGTGGTGGGCACCTGTAGTCCCAGCTACTCAGGAGGCTGAGGCAGGAGAATGGCGTGAACCCAGGAGGCGGAGCTTGCAGTGAGCAGAGATCGCACCACTGCACTCCAGCCTGGGCGACAGAGGAAGACTCCGTCTCAAAAAAAAAAAAAAAAAAAAAAAGTTGGAGAAAACAAATTAGCTACCTGCTAAAAATCTGTGCTTATAAAGATTATTAGCATAGTAAGTTAAACTTTCAAGGGTATTTATCAAACATCATCATCAGAACATTGAGCTATTCACCCGAACTGAATATAAATATGTGCACTTCAAAAAAAATAAAATAAAAACACTAAATTGCTAACATACAGGAAGATATGGACAGTGCTCTCTCTCTCCCTCTTACAGCGTAATTACCATTCAATCAGGGACTGAACAGTGCATCAAACCCAGGACATTTGGAAATCACAAGGGGCTAGCAGGCTGGGTTTCTGACCACGTGTCTGTTGACTGTGACTTTGGTAAGTCACAACTTCTTCAGGGTTTCAGGTGGCCTGTGTTTCTCCAACTTGGGCCCTCCTCTCCATCCCTTCCAGCATTGTAATGATGCAGGCCCTCACTAATTCTTGCCTATAATATTTCAGCAGCTTCATAACCAATCCACCTGTCTCCAGGCTAGACCCTCTCAAATCCATCCTCAACAGAGCTACCACAGTAATCCATCTAAAACACGTTTGATTTTGGAATTTCCCACTTCTGGAACCACAGGAAGAAGTCCCAACAACTCTTGAAAATGGCCATTTTTAAAGCTATTCCAAGATCTACCCCCAAACCTCTACTTCCTACTTCCCACCCAATCCCCTTGCTATTGTTCTAGGATCCTCCCTTGCTATTTTTCTAGTATCCAATTTCCCCTTCCCCCAGCTCTGAGCTCCGTGATATTTCCTCTTCTCTATGCCTTTGCTCTTGTTGTTAACTCTGAAAGAAATTTAACCTTTCCTAGATCACTCCTATCCACTTCTTTCAAATCTCAAGAAGCTCACCCTGGCCAGGTGTGGTGGCTCACTCCTATAATCCCAAAACTTCAAGAGGCTGAGATGGGAGGATCGCTTGAGCCCTCAGGCGTTCGAGACCAGCCTGGGCAACACAGTGAGACCCCTGTCTCTACAAAAAATAAACAAAATTAGTCAGGCATGGTGGCGTATGCCTGTAGTCCCAGCTACGCACTTGCTGCAGTGAGTCAAGACTGTGCCACTGCACTCTAGTCTGAGTGACAGAGCAAGGTCCGGTCTCAAAAAAAAAGGTCACCCTGCAGATTGGTGTCTCAGGAGCTAGAGAAGAGTAGGTGGAAAGCAGTTGCTTAATGGATACAGAATTTTCTTCTAGAGTGATGAAAATGTTTTGGAAGTACGTAGAGATGGTGGTTATACAACAATGTGAATGTATTAAATGTCATTGAATCGTTCACTTTAATATGACTTATTTTATGTTTTGACAATCTCATCTCAATTTTTAAAAGACAGCAGCAGCAGCAGCTTATCCTACAAAAAAAACCCTCAATGACTCCCCACTCTTCTGCCCCAGACTAGATCAGTACCTTGTACAGTCCTCTATCACAGCACTTATTACCTTATATTATCTGCTCATGGAGCTCCCCCACAAAACTATGAGCCTCTTCTTATCTTCCTCATCCTCTCACCCTGCAGTGCTTAGCCCAAGTGCTCAATAAATTTTTTTCATAATTGAAAAATAGAGATACCACTTATCTCCCTCAGGAAAAGGGCTAAAGCAGGTGGACTTTTGAAGATCTAGGCTATATAAAAGCCTATTAATTGGAAAGGAAAAGATTAGGAAGATTGCTGTCAATCTGGTTATAAAGGACAACAATGGCATGACCTCTGGTAAGACTTTTCAGTTAGCAATATAAACATGTATTGAGTTACCTATATAAAGCACCGTATTAATATGCAAGCCCTTAATATGCCTTGTATCATTTAATGCTCACAACTACTCTATGAAATAAGTATAACGATTAATCCTATTTTCCAAATGAAGAAACAAACATATTTAAGTAACTTGCCTAAGGTCACAAAGCTGGTTACCAGGAGTGGCAAGGCTCACACCCAAGACGTGCAGGCTGCAGAGTTTGACCCTGTATCATCAATGTGCTAACCTGCACCTTCATGCTGCTCCAGGTATGATTTCAAGAGCTATGAATGGACATTCTCTGGCCCACAATTGTCTTTTCTAAGACTGAGAAACACTTCATTTTCCTTGTTTACCTACTTATACATGGCCATGAATGCTATTTATATTTCATAAAGTGCTTTTTTAAAATATAAAATGTTAATTTTTAAAAAAAAACAAAGAGAAGAATCATTTAAAAAGGATTTGTCATTTAAAAACCTCTAACATGGCCGGGCACAGTGGCTCACGCCTGTGGGAGCCAGCACTTTGGGAGGCCGAGGCGGGCAGATCACCTGAGGTCAGGAGTTCACGACAGGCCTGACCAACATGGAGAAACCCTATCTCTACTAAAAATGCAAAAAATTAGCTGGGTGTGGTGGCGCGTGCCCATAATCCCAGCTACTCGGGAGGCTGAGGCAGGAGAATCGCTTGAACCCGGGAGGCAGAGGTTGCGGCGAGCCAAGATCACGCCATTGCACTCCAGCCTGGGGCAACGAGAGCAAAACTCCATCAAAAAAAAAAAAAAAAAAAAACTTCTCACGTGTAAATCAGGAAGTGTTTGTGGGCTATTCTTATACACAGCTGAAAAGATCAGAGTGTACTGGCTTTACTACAACCACACCCACAGGGCCTCCCCACTGGGACTCATTTTCAAAGTACCTCAACATCTGCACAAAGTAGGCACCCTGCTAATGCGAAAACCATATGAAATAACAGCATGCTGGAAGAAAAGTTAAACACTCCTACTTTTTTAAAAGTGTAGAAAGCATGATGTATTATATGTGTTCTTGTTCTCTCTCCCCTCCCCCCCACCACTTATCTCTCTCTCTCTCTAGAGCTCTCTTGGAATGTCTCTCTCTAGTAAAGAGAAAATGTCACAATCTGGTAAGAAGAAAATTAAACAAGAGTCAATGAGATTTTTTTTTTAAAATGATTTGTGCATCTGCAAGGGAAAACCTTACTACAGAGGTAATATAAAAAACCTTGACAATATATAAATATGGTCAATATTAAAAACGCATCATCTCCTCAAAAGTGTACACAGTTGTAGATACACACACACACACCCCTCCAAATAAAACCAAGGATGACAGTATAATATACTGGGTAAGTATACATGCATACAAAGCAAAATGACAGAAGGGGCAGTGTGACAGTATTAATATCTAACAATGTAGAATTCAAAACAAAAGTTATAATGCAACAAATTAGAGGCTTTTATACGACAAGTTACACTCTACAATGAATATAAAATAGCCAAGAACCTTAATGTATCAATTATCACAAAATTAAATACATGAAACAAAAACTGTTTTAAATATCAGGGAAGGTAACAGAAGCACAGCTATAGTGAGACAGACATTACTCTAAAGCGACGGCTGGCCAAGTAGCAAAAATAAGGACGTATAAAGCTCTTACAGATCAACATGAACAGGGCATCAGCAGAAAAAATGGTCAAAGAAAATGAACAATTCCTAAAACAAGAAATGAACGCAGCCAATAAGCACAGAAATATGTTCACCCTCCCTGGAAATCAAAAACATGGATTAAGCCAAACTATTTTTTTCTATCACATTTAAAAATGTTTTAAATAACAGAATCTATTATTGGAAGGATATCAGGAATGCAACAATTCCACATATCTCTGGAGGGAACACAGATTGGTTTTGGAATTTCCCATAAAATGCCTCCTCTCTCCCCTTCTCCAATTTTTTTGTATATATGGCTTAAGGTGTAAATCCCATAGCATTAAATTTGAAACATCAGTTCACAATGGTAAGGACATGGGTTCCAAAGCCAGGCTACCTAACTCTTCACTTATTAGCTATAGTGTCTTGGGCAGGTAAATTATTTAACTTGCATCTGAAATGATGGCAATAGTACCTACTTCTTAGGGTTGCGGTGAGGATTGAGTTACTAGCACTTAGAACAATGCCTGGGAAATACATGCTCAATAAATCTTGGCTATCAGCACATGGATTTCTCACAAGCAGTTTCTTTCTAAGTAACTCACTAGCATTTACTGAGTACTTCTAATTGGGACATTTGTATGTGCTCAAATAATTTCAAATTACTTATAATTTTTTTTGTTGCTGTTGAGACAGAGCCTCGCTCCATCGCCCAGGCTGGAGTGCAGTGGCGCGATCTCGGCTCAATGCAAATTCCGCCTCCCAGGTTCACGCCATTGTCCTGCCTCAGCCTCCCGAGTAGCTGAGACTACAGGTGCCCACCACCATGCCTGGCTAATTTTTGTATTTTTAGTGGAGACAGGGTTTCATCATGTTGCCCAGGCTGGTTTCGAACTCCTGACCTCAAGTGATCCGCCCACCTCGGCCTTCCAAAGTGTTGGGATTACAGGCGTGAGCCACTACGCCCAGCCTATATTTGGTTTTCTACAATGAACATGTATGACTTTTGTGGGACAGTCATTTATCCTAACTGGTTGAGACATTCACCTGCGCTCTCTCAAGGATACCTGGCCAGGTCCCATTCAATTACAGACAGTCCCCAACTTATGATGGTTAGACTTAGGATTTTTTGACTTTACAACAGTACAAAAGCTACATGCATTCAGCAGAAACTGTATGTACTTTGAGTACCCGTACAACTATTCTGTTTTTTCACTTTCAATAGAGTATTCGGTATTGAATTCATGAGATATTCAATACTTTCTTATAAAATAGGCTTTGTGTTAGATGATTTTGCCCAACTGGAGGCTAAGTGTTCTGAGCATGTTTAAAGAAGGTTAGGCTAAGCTATGATGTTGTGTAGGTTAGGTGTCTTAAATGCATTTCGACTTACAATATTTTCAACTTAAACTGGGTTTACCAAGACATAACCCCATAATAAGTCAAGGAGCATCTGTATAAAAATACAACTCATCGATCCTTTGCCAGTGCCTTTGGTCACTCAGCTACATCAGTTCATCTTCTGCATATCATCTTGGAGACTGTATCATTTGAAAATAAGTCAATGTCAACAATATTTAGGATTTCTGACAATAAAACAAAGCCAACAGACAAAACTGTTTGTGTGACTACAAACAATCCAATTTATTCTTGTGTTTTGGGGCTACATTTTTAAGCCTGGAAGAGACATTATCTTTTCTAATGATATAAAAGCTATATAAAGCTTTTAATTGTATTATGATTAAGGAAAATAAGGCAATGAGTATTATATCCTATTGTTCCATTTATAATTTCAGGCAGCACATTTCAACCATCCATTTTTAGGCAAATTCCCCACAGAAATCAATTTGACTTCCTTTGCATAAATAAGCACGTGCAGGTGGAAATTTCAATAATATGCTGTATCCTTTAGGTGGCAGGACAAACATTTGCAAAACTGTAACAGGACAGTAAAAGTTTCCATATGATAGTGATGAAACAATACATGTTATAACGTTCAAATCTATTATTCTTGGATCTAGTTTACCAAAGATACAAACATAAGTTAAACAGGGCTGATAAAATCAAAATTTTGCTGGCTATTAGCTAATTCTAGAGAGGAAGGGAGAAGCAGAAAGATGAACTTATAAACTCACTAATAGGATAATTTCTGAAGATGAAACTTTCATGACTAGTCAGTTCTCTCTGAACAGTGATCTAAACTTGTCAAGTAATTTAAATTTTAATTCAAGGTTTAAAAAAAAAAAAGAATGAGGCCGGGGGCAGTGGCTCACGCCTATAATCTCAACAATTAGGGAGGCCGAGGTGGGTGGATCGCCCGAGGTCAGGAGTACAAGACCAGCCTGGCAAACATGGTGAAACCCCATCTCTACTAAAAACACAAAACTTAGCCAGGCATGGTGACAGGAGCCTGTAGTACCAGCTACTCGGGAGGCTGAGGCAAGAGAATCTCTTGAACCCGAGAGGCAGAGGTTGCAGTGGGCCAAGATTGCGCCACTGCACTCCAGCCTGAGCGACAAGAGGGAGACTTATTCTCAAAAATAAAAAAAAAAAAGAATGAATGAAAACCTTCCTTTACCACAATCCCCAAGCTGCACGCCCTCTAACTCCCTATTTTCAATAGAATTCTTATTTGAAGATTTGTCTATGCCTCATCTGTGCCATCCTCTACCATAAAACCAGAATTAGTTTCCAAATCTGATGCTCCCTCAGCTGTATAATTTCACAGCTCCATACCACTGCATTTGCTCTTCTTTTGCTTGGAAAGCCACTGAAATTGTCTTTCTGGCCCAAGCTCACACTCTACCTTTCAACCTTTTTATGGGCTCACTCTACACTCTATGTGCCCCCACAGCAATTTATACCGACTTCTATAATAACTGTTAACATGCCATATTCATTTATTTTTTATATCTAGCTCTTAAAATTCTTGAAGGCTGTGACTAGCTCTTTCTAATTACAGTACAGAAATTTTAGGACATACGCTAAATACAACAGTATCACAAAAGTGAATAAGCATCATGAACCACCCAGCCGCAATTTTTTTTTTTTTGATGGAGTCTTGCTCTGTTGCCCAGGCTGGAGTGCAATGGCATGATCTCAGCTCACTGCAACCTCCGCCTCCCAGGTTCAAGCAATTCTCCTGCCTCAGCCTCCCTAGTAGCTGAGACTACAAATGACCATGCCCAGCTAATTTTTGTACTTTTAGTAGAGACAAGGTTTTACCATGTTGGCCAGGCTGGTCTCGAACTCCTGACCTCAAGCGATCTGCCCACCTCGGCCTCCCAAAGTGCTGAGATTACAGGCATGAGCCACTGTACCCAGCCCCAAATGCAGTTACTAACTCAAGACCAATCCTATTGCAACTATACCCCCAACTTACTATCCCCACCCACCCAAAGATTATTTTGAAGGAAATCCCAGACTCCAAAATATTTCTTTGAAAGATAAAGACTCAGCTGGGCGAGGTGGCTCATGCCTGTAATCCCAGCACGTTGGGAGGCCAAGGCAGGTGGATCACCTGAGGTCAGGAGTTCAACACCAGCCTGGCCAACATGGCAAAACCCTGTCTCTACCAAAAATACAAAAATTAGCCAGGCATGGTGGCGGGCAGCTGTAATCCCAACTACTCGGTAGGCTGAGCCAGGAGAATCACTTGAACCCGGGAGGCGGAGGTTGCAGTGAGCAGAGATCACACCACTGCACTCCAGCTGGGGCAACAGAGTGAGACTTCATCTCCAAAAAATAAAATGAAGGATAAAGACTCTTTATAAACACAGCCACATTACTACCACTGTCACATTTAAATGTTTCAAATAATTCGATATCATCAAGTATCCAGCTGATGATTATATTTCCTCGATTGTTTCATAAACTTTTACTTTTTACAAGTAGTTAATCAGGATCTAAATAAAGTCCATCACGGCAATTGGCTAGTATGCATTTTAATCTCTTAAATCTCTTGTAATCCATAGGTTTCTCCTCTTTTTCCTTTTCTTACAATTTATAATTTTTAAGAAACCATTTCATTTTTCCATAGATTTCCACAATCAGAATTTTGCTGATTGCATCCCTATCTTCCTTTGTTCCCTGTATGACAATAATCAAAATTATTGTATGACAATAAACAAAATCATGGTTATAGCTAAAGGGTGATTATTTTGGCAAGACTATTAATAGGTGGTAATAAGTATTTCCACCACAAGATATATTATGCCAGCTTGTCTTTCTTTTTGAGACATTAGTAGCCTCTGACAATCATGTCTATAGACTCTAGATTCATTAATTCATTAGGAGCTGTAAAGTTATGATATACTAACTCTATCACCCCTTCTTCATATATTAGCTGGGACAGAATACATGATATACTAATTACATCATCCCTTCTTCATCTATTAGTGGCAGTAAAGTATAACTAAAACAGACACTTCCTCTTATCAGCTATTTGGCTACCTTGAGATACAGTTCTCACAGGAAATGCACAATAAATGTTTTATTATTTCCCTTTATTTTCCTGATCTTGAAAGAATGCATCACTTTCCTAGCATCCTCCAAAAGTCAAGAGTTGTTTTTATTCTTTTGGTCATCATTACAAACTCATGGATTTAAGGATTTCAGTGCACTACAGTTGCTATTCTTACTGATGATCAAACTGTCCCATCTTTGGGCAACTGAGAGCCTCTTGGAGTTGGCTCCAGAGTCCTAATCTTTGACAGCCTCTTTACACTCCAGCATGACAAGGGCACTCCAAGTTCATCCTCCACACTTTCTGCTTTCAACTTGGAATTATCCATTTCTTCGAAGAGGACCTAATTAATCCATTATTGAGCCTATGTGTTCCATAAATGTTTTCCAAACTAAATAAGGCAACTGCTGAGCAAAGTCTACTTCCTGAACTAATCATTTTTAATTTGAACAATGCATATGATGTACCATAAGTATATATAATCATTACACCATCCTTATTAAAAAACTAATTAAAATCCTTTACTCATCACCTAAAGTTCCTGGACTCATTATGCACCAAAAGACCCACCAAACCACTCTGCTTTGGTATTACAATAAAATTCAGCAATTCAAATCAACATAATGTTCTGAATAAACTTGCTGCAGGGTGAGGGTTGAAATCAAAAACTATAAAAGAAGGGTTTCTTTATTGTAATCCTCCTTCAAGAAGCACAAGAAATTCAACGCAGGGATAACCATAGGAAGTTGTCTGAATACAGCTTTAATTAAGGTAAGCATTTTTAATTTAAGGTTGGAATAGTTAATGACAATGAGTAAACAGTGCTTAAGTATCATGAGTTTAAACTAAACATAACAATTTGTTATCTTATTTACATTACCCAAAAGTCGCTGTTATGAGAATAACATTAAGATCTTTTCAAATGCACCCAAATCCCTCAGTGGAAAACACAAAGCCCTCATTCTCAAAATCAACAACTAAAACAAAATCATGTTTAATCCTTTATGCTTTCTAAACATCTCAAACTAATGTTATTAGTGGAAACAGAAAATGTTTTTGAAGATTTTTTTCAGTTGCTATATTTGTAACTCTAAATTCTTTTAGAAATACCAGTATTTTTTCGCAGTGCTGAGGCATTATAGCAAGATGCTTTAAAACATATTTAGTTCTGATTTATAAAATTCACTGCCCCATTTTAAGAGCAGCCTAGAGAAAGGGCAGCAAAAATAATCACTACAGAACCTCTCAGGTCAGAGATTACTTCTACAATCAAAGTACTCTGCTACGACTTTGTTTGTTTGTTTTTGGAGACAGGGTTTCCCTCTATCACCCAGGCTGGAGTCACAGTTCACTGCAGCCTTGACCTCCTGGGCCCAAGTGATCCCCTCACCTCAGCCTCCCAGGCAGCTAGGACCACAGGCATGCACCATCACGTCGGGCTAATCTTGTATTTTTTGTGGAGATAGGATTTCACCACGTTGCCCAGGCGGGTCTCGAACTCCTGGGCTCAAGCAATCCAATTTAAAGTGGAATCCCCTTCTAAAATGTCTGCTTACAATATCTGTTTGCAGCACTTCTACTACTTCTGGAATTACAGTCCCTTAATTTATATTAAATTTCCTAAACTAGGTGAAAATGGAACAAGCATATTCTCACTATACATATAACTGAACACACAATTAACCAGATCTGGTACAGTATTTATAGTCATCTAATTATCCCTTTTAGAAATCCGAAGCTCCAACTTAGTAAGTGATTAAAAATAAATGTAACAGGCTGGGCACGGTGGCTGATGCTTGTAATCCCAGCACTTTGGGAGGCCAAGGTGGGCGGATCACCTGAGGTCAGAAGTTTGAGAACAGCCTGGCCAATGTGGTGAAACCACCTCTCTACTAAAAATACAAAATGAGCCGGGCATGGTGGCAAATGCCTGTAATCCCAGCTACTTGGGAGGCTGAGGCAGGAGAATTGCTTGAACCTGGGAGGCGGAGGTTGCAGTGAGCCGAGATCACGTCATTGCACTGCAGCCTGGGCAACAAGAGTGAAACTCCATCTCGAAAAATAAATAAATAAATAATAAATGTAACAATAAAAACACTCTTCATTTATGGTTAACAGATGCAGCCATCTCCAGATTTGCTAGTAAAGGACTAATCCACAAATGTAGTTTATCCAGAATTTGTAATTGTGAACTACATTTATATGTGTACAAACATTCCCATTTAGTAAACTCTAAATTCATTGGCATATTTATAACAATAGTACTATTCAGAATATTCAAAATTACTACTTTTGCCCATAATCTGCACATAATTCTAATTTAGCATGCTAAGCTAATATGCTGTATTCCACATATTATGTAATAAAATACTGCATATGTCACATACCTCAGTCTACTGCTGTGTCTTCTTCAGATAATAAGCTTAAATACACAAAGGAAATTATTTATGAAATAAACATTTTAAAATTTTATCTCAAATCAAAGTTGTGCAAAGTAAATAGTGACTATTTCCAAAATAATTAAATGAACAGTTTAAGACCCAAATTAAGTACCCATAGAGGAAAGAGAAGAAAGTAAGATGTACTTTAACACCATAATAAGTATCTTATGTATCAAAGACTTAAATGTAAAAAAAGAAAAAAAACTAGAAGAAAGTTGGGGAGGGGGGTTGTTTAATATTAAATATCGCAGAGTGGAAAGGCCAAGATATTACATAAACCTAAAAATCATAAAAGGTTATAAATTCAATTGTATAAAAATAACCACCTTCTCTGCACAGCAAATGCCACCATAAAAATGTCTTAAGACAAACAGCCAATTAAGAAATAATATTATTCAAATGAAAAGGGCTAATTTCCCTGATATAAAGTATATACAAATGAATAGGGAAAAATATCGACAACCCAATAGAAAAATGGAAAGGACAGGCCAGGCGCAGTGGCTCACGCCTGTAATCCCAGCACTTTGGGAGGCCGAGGCGGGTGGATCACAAGGTCAAGAGATTGAGACCATCCTGGACAACATGGTGAAACCCTGTCTCTACTAAAAATACAAAAATTAGCCTGGCGTGGTGGTGCACGCCTGTAGTCCCAGCTACTCAGGAGGCTGAGGCAGGAGAATCACTTGAACCTGGGAGGCGGAGGTTGCAATGAGCCAAGATGGTCCCATTGCACTCCAGCCTGGCGACCGAGCGAGACTCCGTCTCAAAAAAAAAAAAAAAACAGAAAAAGAAAAATGGAAAGGATAAACTGTTCTTACCTATCAGGCTAGCAAAGGTCAAAAACTTTGAACAGACTTCTATTAAAAGCTTGGAAAACATTTCTCATATGCTGGTTCCATGATGCATGAAAGGAAACTTGACAACATCCTTCAAAATTACAAATGCACATATCCTTTAACCCAGCAATTCACTTTTAGGAATTAATCCTACAGGTACAGACACACACTTGAAATATGAATATTAATCACAGAATTGTACATTACAGCAAAAGATATGAATGGGGAGCCTCTATTTACAGTTTTAAAAAAAAAAGTCCAAGATATGAAACAGCAGCTACAGTGTGCTAGCATTTCTATAAAGGGTGACTATATTCATATTTGCTTGTATATGCTAAGCTCTCTCTGGAGGAACATGCAAGCAACTGTATCATCAGTGGCCTCAGGAAGTGGGGGCAGGGTGGCTGAAGCAGGGGTTAGGGAAACACGGTGTCGATATTTTGTTGTAAATATTTTTATTCCTTTCCAATATTAAACCATGTGCTATATTACCTATTCAAAAAATAACTGTTTTTAAAGGCAAAAAGAAAAAAAAAAAGGGTGGCCCAATCATACAATAAATACATATACATGTGACCAAATCTGGGATTATGGTTTATAGATTGAAAAGCAGAAAGGGTCTATTTCTCCTGTACATGTGTTTTATTCTATCAATGCTTGGTTTGGTTTTATTCATCACTACAGTTTTATTTTAAAATTTTACAGAATTCATTCTAAGTTTTATTCCTCATTACGCTTTTATTTTTAAATTGTACAGAACTTATTCTAATATTTAAACAGAAATGTTTGCTTTTTCTACATAAATAGGTTAATATCATGTTTATCTTTATTATGTCATTTTGAGAAAAATAGAACGCTCAATTGAGTGCTAAAGATTTAAGCTCAGAGATATGCACTTTATGTTCCAAATGTATAAAATGCAAACTATCATGCTGATAATACCTACTAAATACTCTGCATTTCTAGAAAACTGGATAAAATTAAGGCATATAAACCTCCAAGTGGGATTTACATCCTTAGTGCAAATCAAACACAACCAGGGAAAACAAAGCTAATAAATCTAGAAACTTGTATCTTCTATAAGGCTAAAAACACAACTTGCATTACAGAAGTAGAATCTTAACTGTAATGAACTCCAATATCACTAAATGACATTTCTGCCAGTTACTTTTTTTAAAAAAAAAAGTGAAACAAAGTAATCTCTGTTTTCCATGAGCTTATAAAACGACTTCATGCTTTATCAAAGAACATCAATTACGTCATCTGAATCTACTCTCTTTTTTTGAAATAGGAATTTAAGTCTAGGTAGTTCCTCCACAATTTCCTTTATGTCCAAGTAAAATAATCCTCGATATAGGTGGAGAGAAAGGCATAACTGAATTAACTCAAAAAAGCAGAAGCAGATTAATTAGTATTCTGATAAAAAGAATATAATCATTTGGTAAAATCTGCGTTGAATTGTAAAGGTTCATTTTAATTACCCCAACTAGGTAACTGTGCAGTTGGAGCATAACAACTCCTTTACGTTCGACTCTTCCAAGACTTTGTAAGTGGCACTTATTTTAATGATATAGAATTTTGATGATATCGCCATTCTTGTAACGTGACAAATTATCTAAATCACAACATCTGCGGTCAGGCTGTTTCTCAAGATTTCTGTTCTCCTGCCAACTAAAGAGGCCCCGACTACTCCTTGGCGCGCACACTGAGGCCGCGCTGCAGGTCAGCACCGAAAGAGCCCCGCACGGATCCCGCCCCACAGGTGCGATTTACACAACCCACATCACCACCACCCCTCCCAACTTCACCACCTCTAGGGTCACCACCCTGTGGGGTTTTGTCTTTACGACTAAGCCGATTCCCTCTGCCTCGCTGGGGAATCAAACTTCCCAGTGACAACGACAGCGGCCAGCACGGGACGTCCACCAGCCCGGCAGGGCTTGACGCTGTCTCAGACCCGGGGAAGGTCCGGAGTCCGGGCACGGTGGCGCGGGGTGCGCAGCCCTGCCCACCTGCCCTACCTGGTGCGAGCCCCGGCCCCGGGGACTGGGGAGCCAACACGGCCGAGCGGGCGTGGGCAGCAGGGCGAGCGCCGGGAGAGGAGAGCGACGAGGGGGGGTCAACGGAAAGAGCGGAGTAGGGGTGCCAATCGAGGAACTTTGGATTTAGGAGGAGGGGGCCAGAACCGCCCCACTGAGGTTTCTTCCAGAAGTTCGGAGGCTTGGGAGAAAGGGGTGGGGAAGAGACCCGTAGAGGCTCGGGTGCGGCGGCGGGGAGGATCCCCGGGGTCTCTGGGCTGACGGAGTCTCCGGCCTCAGGGAGGAGTCGCCAGGGCCGCCGAAGCCGAACTGGCAGAGGAAAAGCAGAGGAAGGCGGCGCGCGAACTCGCCAGCAAAGGAGGGCTGCGCTGCTCCCGGAGCGGAGCGCCTCGCAGCCCGGACCGCGGGACTCACCGCGCTGGCGGCGGCGGCGCCAGACGACGCGGGGCCGGGCACGTCCTGCCTCCTCAGGCGGGACTTGAGGCTCTTCATGGCTAACTCTTGCCTGGCCCCCGCGCGAACCTTAAAGGCTGCGGAGTGCCAGCGCGCAAGGAGTAGACGGCAGCGGCTGCAGCAGAGGCGGCGCGGGCTGTACCAGCCCCACCTGCCTGCCACCTGCGGGCCCCGGGCAGCAGACGTCGACAGGCCTGAGGCGGGGCTCCCCTCCCGTAGCCAATTGACCCGCTGCCCTGGCGGGGGCGTGGCAAACCGCGACCAATCGGAATGCGGGAATGGGGCGGGACTTCCCTTTTAAACTGAGTAACACCCTTCCTCTCCCAGCTGGAGGAAAAGTTTGGGAACTTTAGCCCGGGAAGGGGCGGAGGAGGTGGGCGGCCAGAGGCGTGGAGATGCGCGCAGGCCGGGCTCCAGGCCACCGGCGCCCGCCCACCCGGAGCTTAAGATCTAGAGAGAGCACGGGGTCCCGCCTTTGCCACCTCTCATCTTCCCGGACTCCCCTCCTCTTTCCACCCACGCGCTCTTTACCAAGTAAAGTTCCTTCCCTTCCGTCTGGTCTTAGAAATGACTCTTGGTTACCTGCACACAGAACAGCTTTCAGGAGCAACTTCTTTTCAGTCTCCTGTTTTACTACCAAATCCTGGTGCCTGGAAACCACCACACGCATCAAAAATTCCAGAAATAAACAGTCTCTAAGAAATAAGGTGCTGATTGTGCAGAAAAACGTACAGTTAAGAAAGACCTTGAAAGACGTTATAGTAAGTTACAGTACAAGTTACGTGCTCGTTTATTTGTTGAGTGAAGAATCCGCCGTATTGGAAGCAAAGGGACGGAATGGGGGCGGGGAGGGAGGAGAAGAGGTGCCATCAATTAAAAATGACTCCCACAGCCAGTGATTTAAGTTGTCAAAAAAAGTTACGCCCTTTTTTCTTCAAAAAGGTTTTTTGTTTTCTGTAGAAACACATTACATGTAAACGTATACGATGAAGTTAAATCATCTTACCTAGAAATCTGGGTTAGTAAAAATTATTTAAGAGGATGAAGAAACAGGAAGGTGCTCAGCACCCAATAATTTGCTGTTCGGGTGACATCTTCAAAAGTCTTCTTTGGAGTCATTTTTCCCCCCAGCAAAACGTTTATCGTAGCATGCATCCATTTGAAAAGACAAACGGTCCACATTTTCTGACTAACAAAGGACTCTTTTTTGTCTGAAAGGTCAGTTGCTCTCTTTAGAGTTTCTTTATAGTAACGCAAGGTTTTCTTCAAATACTGTAAGAAAGTTTTCAGAATTTCTTGGAGAGGCAGCATTCAAAGACTGTGTTAACCCTATACAACAAGTAAATAACAACTAACTACCCAAAAATATTATTAAATTTCATCTTGATTAGATCTTTGGAAGAAAATTTTCTTTGATTCCTCCCCCTTCCTCTAGATCTCCAGTCATTTAGTTCTTGTTGGCTCTTTAAAGTGTCTGTGTATGGTCAGTTACTCTGTTCTCACTGCCACTGCAGAGCCAAAATTACCTCATACCCGGACTATTATTACAGAAGCTTCCCAGCCAGTCTCCCAACCTTCAGTCTCTTAATTGTCCCATCACCAATAAATTATCAGCCATCATCAATAAGTCTTACAAAAATACTCCTCTTGCTCAAAAGCCTTCAGCAGCTAACGAATAAAATCTAATTCTTTGCATTTAAAGCTGTATAACGTGGACGCGACCCTGTTCTCTAGCCAACACCCCAAGCGAATTACTCTTCAGCCCATTCTCCAAACATGGGTCATGGCTTTCAACTTCCACATCTTTATGCATACTGATCCCTCCCCCAATAATCTTCTGTCTGTCTACATTCATCTCAGAAAATCCTACTCCCCCAAGAGTGATTGGTAGGGGATGTCGGGGGCTTCTGGAATACTGTACTATTCTCTGTGGGTGCTGGTTACATATCTAGTGTTTTCAGATTGTGAAAATTCAATGAGCCTGTACTGTATGCAATATATTCTCTTTTATGTGTGTGTTATGCTTTAACAAAAAGTTTGTTTTTAAGTGTATGTCCCTTCCAAGTGCCCTCCTCTCTATAGAACCTTCCCTGATCAAGTAACTGGAAGTGATCTCTCCATCCTCCAAATAGTTACAGCAATTATACCTCTCATATGATACTAACACATATGAGCTGAGCAAACCTTATTTCATTACTGGACTTCAATTTACTTAAAATTGGGGAATAACTGACATATATTTGAATTCCCTAGAATGCTTAGCATGTTATAGGTGTTTAATAAATATTTCTGAATGAATTGATGCATTCTTATTGACTACTATAGCAAATTATGGTTGTTTGTTCTATGTATTTATGTGACACAGGATTGGGATTCCCCCTATTGTGAACACAGATGGAATGATCTGAGGCTATGGTCCTGCTCAAATATTTGTGTCTCAATCAACTCCTTTCTCTGGGCTTAAGATAAGCACCCATTTACCATCTAGTCCTCTGACTGAATCTTAAATGTTAATTGCTTACAAGAGCACTGTCTCAGTAATTGGCTCTTGAGTTATTAATTGCAGTGTTATGTTGTACTGGTTGTCTCCTGTAACATCCAAGTTATCATAGTCCTGGTGACTGGCCTCCTTTTCTGTTGTTACTGGATAAAGCAAAGGAAACAGACAGAACCACAAGTATAGCTTGCATCAGGTTCCAAAAATGTTGGGCAAGTTATTTTTATGAACTGTCTGGATGATGTCCCCATGGTGTCTGTGTCCAGTGGCCTTTATGGATTTTTCCAGCCTAGAAACTTGATAGCTGATGTCTGCTTATTCCCATTTGAGAGCAGCTAAGTAAATAGCACTGGTCTGAATATTCAGTAAAGCTTTTTTACATTGATCTGGAAGCTGCCTATATGAAGTAAAGTCACTATTATTAGCATTCAACCAGACAGGTTGGGTTTTATTTTGTTAACTCTTATCACTATTATTTATTTTTATCTTCCCTTCAGAGCAAAGGGCACTTATCAAACCTAGATGACCTTTTGTTTGTTATCACACTGAGCCTATATAAAATATTTTTTTGTTTTACTTCTTTTTTTTTTCCAATATTTATTTATTTACAATATATACCAGGAAGGGTAATGCATTTTTTAAAATTACTTTACTAGATTATATATACACATGGTAATCTCAAATAATACAAATGGAGCAAGTTGATCTGCTTACCACCCCTATTTTGATCCCTGCTGTCAAGGAACTTGTGTTCTGGATTAGATAACAAATGTGTAAGCTGTATGCTAACACATACAGTTTAACTGGACAATCGCTTACTGAATCGTGTAGTAAGATTGCAGATGGTATTTAGGGAAGGAAAAGATCAACAGATAAGTTTGCCTGAAGGGAGGCTATCCAAGGTTGAGTATCCATTCAATGAATACCAACAGGTGAGAAGTAATACCAGATGGGCAGAGGATACCCAGGGGACCTGCCAGAACAGGGAAGAGAACACAGTCGACAGATGCTCACTGATAACTCAGATGATGATAACGGCAAAAACGATGACAAATATGATTTCTCAGAAGAAGAATAAAGAATCCACACAGAGGGCCGGGCACAGTGGCTCACACCTGTAATCCCAGCACTTTGGAAGGCCGAGGCGGGTGGATCACGGGGTCAGGAGATCGAGACAATCCTGGCTAATATGGTGAAACCCCGTCTCCACTAAAAATACAAAAAATTAGCCAGGCGTGGTGGCAGGCACCTGTAGTCCCAGCTACTCTGGAGGCTGAGGCAGGAGAATGGCGTGAACCTGGGAGGTGGAGCTTGCAGTGAGCCGAGATGGCGCCACTGCACTCCGGCCTGAGCGACAGAGCAAGACTCCATCTCAAAAAAAAAAAAAAAAACAAAAAACAAAAACAAAAACAACAACAATAAAAAAAAGAATCCACACACAGGCCGGGCATGGTGGCTCACAACTGTAATTCCAGGACTTTGGGAGGCCAAAGTGGACAGATCACTTGAGGTCAGGAGTTTGAGACCAGCCTGGTGAACATGGTGAAACCCCATCTCTACTAAAATACAAAAATTAGCTGGGCGTGGTGGTGGAAGCCTGTAATCCCAGCTACTGGGGAGGCTGAGGCAGGAGAATCGCTTGAACCCAGGAGGCAGAGGTTGCAGCGAGCCAGAATAACGCCACTGCACTCCAGCCTGGGTGATAGAGCAAGACTTCATCTCAAAAAAAAAAAAAGAATTGACATACAAAGTCTAAAATTTGCACATAAAATGAGTCCTTTTCAAACATAAAGATCTCCTTCCAGACAAGCTTTAGTTATGAATTCTATATCCAATGACTTCCCTCTTCATTTTCAGAACTTCTTGCTGCTCCGAGTAGCCCTGGGGACCCAGTGAACAAAGCCAGTGAATAATTTCATGAAGGGGCCCATGACATCAGTCATTCTCTCAGATGCCAAAGCAAATGGCTGGCAGAACCACGTGTGGCCACAGAGTCATGAGGAAAGGCACTTCTACCCAGAAATCATAGGCAGCCCAGGAAATGAGAGACCTGAGGCAGTTCTCACACCCTCTTCTCTTGCCACATTGAAAACTAAAACATTGCATAAAAGAGCTTTAAAAAAATAAATAGGTCATCTTCGGCACTAACTTTAAAAGAATCTGTATTTTTAGTAAGCTCACCAAAGGCTGCATCTTAGAAAACTAGAATGAGAAGAAGAAAAAGGGAAAGAAGATGGTGTCTGCTCCGCATAACCATAGACCCTCATGTAAGTTTTCTTAGTTACTCAGCACTAAAATTTCAAGTGGTATCAATTCCTTCTTACAGAAACCACTTCTTTCATCTCCCCTGTTGAGGATTGTTATGCGTTTAGCTATAGCAATCTTGAGTTTACCACTTATCTTCCAAAGAAGGCTGCTTTCTACCTCTCTCTGTCTTCCTTGGCATTTACAGACTGTCATTCACTTATGACATATCGAGTGTGCCATTAGTTTCGATACTGAAAGAAAAAGTGAAAAAACAGGAAGGATCATGGTCAGGAACAAAACTAGACTTCCCCAGCATAATTGACCTTATACCTAAAAGCAGTTGAGATAACCACTGTGTTTTCTTTGGATTCAGGTTTAACATCAAGTCTTGATTACACACAATCCAGAAGTACCCTTAGCTTCACTTTAATGATAAGACTGATGGCCCTGAGTGCTTATGGTTGAAAGGCAAAAAAAACCTCTTGATTGCCTCTTTTAAAACAGGCTACTCAGCCTGGAGCCCAGATAAACACCAGGAATTTGGTTCTGGGATCAGTAACCATCTGACTCCATAGTAAACTTTCCTGGACCTTGGAGTTTTCTTATCTTGGCCAGGATACCAGGATATGTGCAATGAGCCGAAAAACTTTCAAAACTTCAGCACTGTCAAATAAGTTGGATAGAAAAGTTCCTTGATTTTAAACTTAAAATATGGCAGATAAAGGCTATCTCTATAGATTTTAAATGATGGTTTTACTTGTCCTGCTTGTATTTTTTCCCCTCCAGATTTCCAAGGAGACTTTTAAAATTCTGGCAAGGTGTTCGATACTCTTAACTGAATGATCAATTACGAGTAAATTACATGGCTGGTTCAATACCACCAGTTACTCCATCACAACCTTTGCTACTCATGCTAACAGAAGAACACGGCAGACAGAATAAGTTAAGATAAATCTCACTTTCGGGCCCGGCGCGGTGGCTCACACCTGTAATCCCAGCACTTTGGGAGGCCGAGGCGGGCAGGTCACGAAGTCAGGAGATCAAGACCATCCTGGCTAACACGGTGAAACCCCATCTCTACTAAAAATACAAAAAATTAGCCGGGCGTGATAGCTACTCAGGAGGCTGAGGCAGGAGAATGGCGTGAACCCAGGAGGCGGAGCTTGCAGTGAGCCGAGATGACACCACTGCACTCCAGCCTGGGCGACAGAGTGAGACTCCGACTCAAAAAAAAAAAAAAAAAAAAAAGATAAATCTCACTTTCAAATGTACTTGGGAAATGACCCGAGCTTTATGGTAGATGATGAACAATGACTTTACAGTCATTTAAATTGAAATTGCTATTGACTACATTGGTTTCAGTTATGGGAAAGGGAAAGGGAAGGTCATAGGTAAAATCTGGATATAGAAATGTTATAATAAAGTTATATATAAACATATTTTTATTATATTTTATATCATATAAAATTATCAATAATATATGTTTTAAATGTGCTATTTGGAATTCTTTCATCAAATATCCTTATAAATTAATACATCTTTAAGTAAATCCTGATTTTTACATTAAAAAGGAACCCATATAAGTGTAGATAAAATGTGTATTTTAGGCCAGGCACGGTCACATCTGTAATCCCAGCATTTTGGGAGGCTGTGTCAGGTGGATCATATGAGATCAGGAGTTCAAGACCAGCCTGGCCAATATGGTGAAACCCCATCTCTACTAAAAATACAAAAATTGGCTGGCTGTGGTGGTGGGCACCTGTAATCCCAGCCACTCAGGTGGCTGAGGCAGGAGGATCGCTTGAGCCTGGGAGGCAGAGGTTGCCATGAGCAGAGATTGCGCCATTGCACTCTAGCCTGGGCAACACAGCGAGACTCCCTCTCAAAAATAAGTAAATAAAAAAGAAAAGTGTATTTTAAAAGGTTAATTTAAAAAAATACTTACTGCATGATATAATACATGGTTGATTGATTGATTGTTTTTTGAACATTTGATTACCAAAAGAACCATTCCCTTCCCTTTCTGGAAGGAAATAGTTCATGAAAATTATTTTCTGCATGCTCCTTCTTCAAAACTACTTGAATCAATGTTTGTTTTCATTAAAAATTAAAATATAATTTTGTACCCAATTGTTAAGTAATATTTAACTCCAACATTTATTTGGCAGAAACGTTTAAATTAAGGTACAATTCTTATATACAGTAGCATTATTCTGCATTGCATTTAGGCCATCAGGACTATTTTAATAGCATATTTTATTCAAAGAGATTTGTCCACTCTTATGTCTTCATGGATTAACCAGGTATATATATTCTTTACATCATCTATATCTATTTAGTACAAATATCAAAAAATATTTGATAATAATGAATCAGTGTATACTTTCCCTCTTGCTGTTTTAAGAATGTTGTTGCCACAAACAAAATATTTAAAGTAGCCAATAAATTAAAATACCAACACATGCTGAACTTCAAAAGAGCTACATTTTAATTTTGCCAGGCTAGGGAGAAGCATGTTTTATGCTCCATAAACTTCAAAACCCTCCCTGGACCTAAACAATAATTAAGAACAGTTCCTTTGAACCTTAGAAGGGTGTAGTCCATGAATTTACTTGAGATCAAGACATCGCATTTTAAGGCTAAACTAAAAGGCATATTTCTTCTACTACTGAGACATTGAGCTCTAAGAGAACGATAAACTCTCAAGATCCATGAACTTTTTGGCTCATAACTCTGAAGTGGCACTCATCAAGTCAACAAATACAAAAAAGCCTAAAACCCCTAACACCCAGAGGGTTGAGCTCTTTTTAGGCAAGTCAAACCCCAGCTAAAACTACCTTGGGGAATTCCCAAATATGAATCACAGCAAATCACCTAACAACAATAGAGGTTGCTCATAAACTCTTACAGCCAGAGAGCTCCCATTCAATACTACATGACTCCAAGTCAACATTCCTTGACAGGTAGCTGTGCGGTCTATGCCAGAATGTTAACACTTTGAATGCTTTTGTTTAAATCACAATTCCATCCAGAAAGAAATTGAGGCAACTTGTGACAAATTTCATTACCGTGCTTCCTGACAACAAAGGGAGGAAATCAACCTCAGGAAGGAAGAACTTATGTTCACTATTGGAGATACCGTGATATTCATCCTTGAGTTTGAAATTTGGCTTTCAGCTTCCTAATAGCCAAGGCAAAACAAAAAATAGAAACTGACAGTGACAGCTTTGAAACCAGAAAAGGAAAAGGCACTGAATATTCTCAACAGAGATAATGCTTTCCTGCTGCTACATTCTGCAATAAATTTCTCATAAGAGTGTGCCTTTACTTACAGAACAGTGAGCAGTGGAATAGATAATCCCCTCAACTATTAGAAATATCTTTGTTGGGTGTCCAGAGTGTTCATTCCTCCAGCAAGTATTGGTTTTCAGATGATGTGTGAGATGATACTGAGGAATCAGCAGGGAACAAGTAAACAAGCAAATAAGTAAGCGACCAAGATCAATTCAGAGAATGGTATATGGGGAAAATAAAAAGGGTAATGTGCTAGAGAACAAAGTGGCAGGCAGGGATGGGGAGAATGATTGTAGATTGGGTAGTTGAGGAAAGTCTTTCTGGAAAAGTGACTTTGAACTAAGGTCTGAATTACAGAAAGGAGCCTGTCAAGCATAGATGTGGAGCCAGAACACTCCAGGCAAAGAAAACAGCAATGCAACGGCCCTAAGCAGTGTGGTATGGCTTGGCTTGTTGCAGGAGCATACTGAAGGCCAGTGTGGCTGGAGCATAGTGGGAGAAGAATATGGGCAAGAGGAGGTTGGAGAGACAGGCTGGGGCCAGCACAAAGAGGGCCTAGTGGACCAAAGAAGGATTTCGAATTGTGTTCTAATAGGAAGCTAACTAAGTAGGGGATGATGTGATCTTATTTATATACTAAAAAGATCTTTCTGCAGCTAGGGAGATAACTGATCATAAACGACCAAAGGGGAAAGCAGGAAGCCATGAGCAGGACTGGGATATAGTCTAGAAATAGAGCTGCCTCACTGGTAGACTGGATGCAGGGAGTAAGACATTAAGAATCTAGGTAGTAAGATATTAAGAATCTAGGGCGCGGTGGCTCACGCCTGTAATCCCAGCACTTTGGGAGGCCGAGGCGGGTGGATCATGAGGTCAGGAGATCGAGACCATCCTGGCTAACACAGTGAAATCCCGTCTCTACTAAAAATACAAAAAATTAGCCAGGCGTGGTGGTGGGCGCCAGTAGTCCCAGCTACTTGGGAGGCTGAGGCAGGAGAATGGCATGAACCCAGGAGGCGGGGCTTGCAGTGAGCCAAGGTTGCGCCACTGCACTCCAGCCTGGGCGACAGAGGGAGCCTCCATCTCAAAAAAAAAAAAAAAAAAAAAAAAAGAATCTAGGTAGATGGTGCTGCTTACTGAATGGGGATGACTATGGGAGCTATGTTTCCAAGGGAAAGTCAAGAGTTCTGTTTGGTCATATTGGTTTGAGTCACCCACTGAGCATCCAAGTGAGGATATATTAAGTAGGAGGCCTAGATAGCAAGAGTGAAATTCATTAATTTGGAAGTTATGGCCAAATAAATGTAATTTAAAGCCATGAGGCCAGATAAAATCTGTCATGGAAGAAGAGGGCCAAGGGCCTAGATGTGGGTACTGCAACATTTAGAAATCAAAGAGAAGGCTGGGTGTGGTGGCTCACGCCTGTAATTCCAGCACTTTGGGAGGCCAAGGTGGGTGGATCACCTAAGGTCAGGAGTTTGAGACCAGCCTGGCCAACATGGTGAAACCCCGTCTCTACTAAAAATACAAAAATTAGCTGAGTGTGGTTGTTGGCACCTGTAATCCCAGCTACTCGGAACGCTGAGGCAGGATTGTGTCACTGCATTCCAGCCTAGGCGACAGAGCAAGACTTCATCTCAAAAAAAAAAAAAGAAAAGAAAGAAAGAAATCAAACAGAAAAAAAAAGGTACCAGCAAAGAAGACTGAGAGGAAATGGCTAGAGAATAGGCAGGAACTAGACAATGTGACACAGCAGCCAGGAGAGGATGGTTTTTCAAAGATCAACCCTACCAAATACCACTGAAAGATGGAGAAGCACAGAGACAGAGGAGCGACCACTGGGTTTGGCAGCACGGGTGTTATTAATAGCTTTCACCAAACAATTTCCATCACTTTTGGGGAGAGAAGCTAATGAAAGTAGACTGGAGAGACAATGGGAGGTGATAGGGTGTTCTGAAGGAGAGCAGAGAAATAGGGATAGCAGCTGGATAATGACAAGACATCAGTGGAAAGTTTTTTAGTTTAAGGTGGGAGAAACTAAAACATTTTTTGTAGGCTGGGAGGAGAATGATCCAGTAGAGGGGAAAGGACTAATGAAACAGAGAAGGGGACATCTGTAGGAGTTAAGTCTTTGAGGACAAAGGGGATTTGATCCCTCAGTTAGGAGCTTGGACATGTCATCCGCAGTAACAGGATAAAGGCAAAAAGATGCAGGTACAGATAAGTGTACGGTGGTATATTCAGTGGAAGGAAAAGAAGGTCCCAACTGGCCTGCTTCTATTTTCTCATGAATCATGATCATGACTTTACAGGGAGATGGGCAATGAAGAAACACCACTTTTGGAAATTTGAGGACAGATAAGAAGATATGAAATAGCCAATATTTTTCAGTCTTACAATTCCAAAATATCAACTTGGTCTGCCTGATCTATGAAATACCCAATGTGATTTTGAGAGTGTGAAGAATTTCTCAATTGGTAATTTCTCAGTCTTTCTACTAGCAAAGGGATTAGCTTGTACAGGGACTGCCAATATCTAAGCCATCAAATAGTAACTGCTTAATTAATGTTCCTAAGCTATAGAAGGATTGGCCAAAGCATTTCTTCACCAAAGCACCACATCTCACCCTTTTCTGTATGTATACCCCATAGCACAAAGTACTGCTATTACTATTACTACACAATCACTAAAGTTTATTGAGATATTACCATGTGCCAAGCACTGTGCTAAGTTCTTTACATGTATCTCTTTTAATACTCCCAGCAAAGAAATGAGCAATATATACTACTATTATCCTAGTTTTATGAATGATGAAGCTGAAGCTTCCAAACGCTAAGTTATATCAATATTAAAGACTGGGCTGGGCGTGGTGGCTCACTCCTGTAATCCCAGCACTTTGGGAGGCCGAGGCGGGCAGATCACGAGGTCAGGCGATCGAGACCATCCTGGCTAACATGGTGAAACCCCGTCTCTACCAATAATGCAAAAAATTAGCCAGGCGTGGTGGTGGGCGCCTGTAGTCCCAGCTACTCGGGAGGCTGAGGCAGGAGAATGGCGTGAACCCAGGAGGCGGAGCTTGCAGTGAGCCAAGATCGTGCCACTGCATTCCAGCCTGGGCAACAGAGCGAGACTCTGTCTCAAAAAAAAAAAAAAGACCACATGCAGTTGTCCATGAAATGGGAAGGACAGATAATTAACTATTATCAATCGTGTCATGTAGTTATGAGTGGAGTTGTATAAATAAGTGTAAAACCAAAACCTAGTAAGGTATTTATGCTTGTAAATAGTTTGCCCATATAGAAAAAAACCAAGACTTGATTAAAATGATTTATACCTATAATGATTCACTATTGAAAGTTAAAATAGGCTGGGTGCAGTGGCTGACACTTGTAATCCCAGCAATTTTGGAAGCCAAGGTGGGGGGATTACTTCAGGCCAGGAGTTCTAGACCAACCTGGGCAACATAGTGAGACCCCATCTCTACAAAAATAAAATAAAATTAGCCAGGCATAGTAGCACACACCTGTAGTCCCAGCTACTGGTCGGGGGAGGCCAAGGTGGAGGATCACTTGAGCCTGGGAGGCTGAGGCTGCAGTGAGCCGAGATCACGCTACAGCATTCCAGCCTGGGTAAAAGAGTGAGACCCAGTCTCAAAAAAGAAAAAAAAGAAAATTAAAATACTTCAGACAGAAAGTCCCAACTGAAAAATGGAAATTTGGGAAACCCTGTTGACAGAACAAGGTCTATTGAAGAAGAGACTCAACCAGTAGTATACTGGTAACCTATTAGACAGCTGTTTTTTTATAGGTGGGAATTGGGGGGCTAATTTATAGCAATCGTCAATTTCAATGGTATAAATACTTACACCATGGAATTCAAACTGTCAGTGTGACATTAGTCATCCCTCAAAAATTCTTGAAAATCTACCAGTCAGCTCTTGTGAGTCAGTTCCAGCACTCCACTGGAAGAAGCTAATATGAACCCTCTGGCACCACCAGACCTCATGTTCCCTTGGGTATGTCTAGCAAGGATCACTTTGGGATCTCAGAACTGCAGTCAGCCTGAGGTTTTAGCCCTTCTCCTATGGACCAAACAAATGAAGTAAAAAAGGAACACCGGGCATGAATTATGCTGATTCTAATGTATTTTTGATATTGGAGTTAGGAATAGGTATGAGAGACCATCTTGTTTCAGTCTTTGCTTTTTGCTTGTGTTTTCTCTCTTTTTTTCCAAAGTATTCAAAAGATTAATTGAATAAAATATAATCAGATATTAAAATGAACATTAAAAACTGGATATAGAGATTGTCAGAGTGGTCACTTCCTGTGTTTCAACATGCTTGTGTGATTCCATGCCTGTATTCCTAAACAGTACTTACACAGCTTCCCCATGTGAGCGCCTGAGAAGTTGGTATTGATTTATTTGATAAGTGACTGAGTTTTGTGTATGAAAACAATTCACGCATAGAAATTTAACTTAATGCCATCTTAAACAAAGGATTCATTGACCTAATTTCAAGCTCATGGGTGATTGTTACGTGAACTTTCAGAATTATGTCTTTCCAGTTTCATTCTTGATTCACAACCAAACAGGTATGGTTTAGACTCTAGGATTGAAACAAGGGTCTAGGGTAGAATCAAGTTTTCTTTCAGACTTGTCCCACAGATTTTTAAAAATATCAGAGCTCCTGGTGTTATATGAACACTGCATTCTTTTGTCACCTCCAACAAAAAAACTAATCAATGCTGCCTAAAATTGAGATTCTAGATAAATATCTCAAAAAATAAATGAATAACAAATAATGTTATTAAAAACAGGGAAAATTTAAGCAACATGAGAACTTACGACAGAGAAAATTAATTAATTTATTTATTCATTAAATATTTGCTGAGTATTTACTTACTAAGTGCCAGGCACTGTTTAGAATCTTTGGGATTCATCATTGCCTCCAAAGGACAGAGGTTCCTGTTTTCCTCGGATATATCCACATGACTAATTGCCTTACCTCCCTCAAATGTCTTTTTTTTTTTTTTTTTTTTGAGATGAAGCCTCACTCTGTCACCCAGGCTGGAGTGCAGTGGCGTGATCTCAGCTCACTGCAACCTCCGCCTCCCAGGTTCAAGCGATTCTCCTGCCTCAGCCTCCCGAGTAGTTGGGATTACAGGCAAATGCCACCATGCCTGGCTAAATTTTTGTATTTTTAGTAGAGATGGGGTTTCACCAGGTTGGCCAGGCTGGTCTCAAACTGCTGACCTCAGATGATCCACCTGCCTCAGCCTCTCAAAGTGCTGGGATAACAGGCGCGAGCCACCATACCTGGCCTAAATGTCATTTTTTAATGGAGTCTTTGACCTATTCTGCCTTCCCCATCCCTGCCGCTTCTGAGTCCCCTAATTTTTTTTCCATAGCACTGGCATACATATCACCTTCTGAAACACTAAACTGATTATATATAGTGTATCAAAAAGTTATAAGTGCTAGACTGATTGGAACAGGGTGAGAAAGGGTAAGAGAGGGAGGAAATGACCCAAGAGATATAGTAGGAGCAGGAGTCTAGATCATGTAGTGCCTAGCAGGGTATCATAAGGGCTCAGGCCTTTTATTTGAGGGGCATGGGAAACCACATCATCGTTTTGCAGTAATCCAGGTGAGAAGCAATGGTGACCAGACCAGGTTAGTAGCAGTAAAGAAATGATTGGATTCTAGACAGATCTTGAAGGTTGAGCCAACAAAAATTAATGCGAAATGTGAGAGTCAATTATGCATCTGAGCGCCTGGAAGGACAGAGTTGTCATTAACTGAGATGGGGAAGGCTGTGGGTGGAGAGGGTTGTGGGGAGGAAATAGAGAAGGTCAGGAGATTGGTATCAGCCATGTTTATTATGAGATGTCTATTACATATCCAAGTGAAGATGACAACTAGCAGGTTTGAGAAATGATTCTGGAGGCCAGGAGGGACATATGAGATGGAGAGATAAATGTGGGAGTCATCAACATACAGCTGGTAGGAGACTGCATGAGGTCACCAAACGAGGAAATATAGAGGCCAAGGACTAAGCTCTGGGAAACTCCAGTATCAACCAATTGGAAGACAAGGATCCTATAAAAGAGAAGGAAAAGTGCCATACAACGAAGAAAAAGGAAAACCAAAGGGTATGGAGCCCTGGAAACCAAGTAAAGTATATCAAGGAAGAGCTCATGGTCAGCTGTGTCACTGCTGCTAATCAGTGTGCTGGGTGAGGACTGAAATTACCATTGCATTTAGCATGATGGAAGCCATTGGTAACCTGGACCACGGGCAAGTAGTGTTGAGGGGGAAGTGAGAACAAAAGTGACTCATTGGCTTTAAGAGGAAATCGGAGGAAAAGAACTGGAGACTACATTAATAAGCAACTTCTTCAAGTTTTGCTGCGACGGGGAGGGAGGAAATGAGGCAGAAGTGGTGGAGAAATTTTTCTAAGATGGGAGATATTAACAGAATGTCTTCAAGCAAATTTTATATACATGGTTACAGGTACACACCCCAACTTTAGCACTTGTATTATTCCATTTACATGTTTGTCTCCCCCAATAAATTGTGATAATATATACATTCTTCCAGCCTGGGCAACATGGCAAAATTCCATCTCCACAAAAAACACAAAAATTAGTCAGGCATAGTGACATGGGCCTATAGTCCCAGCTACCCAGGAGGCTGAGGAGGGAGGATCACCTGAGCCCAGGAGCTCAAGGCTGCAGTGAGCTGTGATCGTGCCATTGCACTCCAACCTGGGTGACAAAATGAGACCTGGTCTCAAAAAAAAAAAAAAATATTGAGAACAGGAACCTTTTTTTACTCAAACTTTACATGCCCATAGGCTAACCCAAAGTACTCATTTTGTATCATAGCTGCAGCAAATCACCAGAAATTTAGCAGCTTAAAACAACACAGCTCTGTAAGTTAGAAGTCTAACACAGTCCTCACTGAGCTAAAATCAAGCTCTGGCAGAGTGTTCATTTGTTGCCTTTGTCTGCTTCTAGAGGCTGCCCTCGTTCCTTGGCTCATGGCTCCTTTCTTGTCTCCAAAATCAGCATCCTTCCAACTCTCTGACCATGTTTCCACAGTCACATCTCTCTCTGACTCTGAACTCAGCTAGGAAAGATTTTTTTATTTTAAGGAGGCAGGTGATTAGATTGGACCCACCCAGATTATCCAGGGTAATCCCTGCATGTCAAAGTCCTTAATTTAATCACATCTACAAAGACCCCTCTGCCCTGTATATGGTAATTTATTCACAGGTTCTGGGGATTACAACATGGACATCATTGCATGTCATTATACTGCCTATTATATCTGGCGACTCACACATAAATAAACAAATGTCTGGAATACAAACCTTATATGTTTTTTCTCTCATGGCCATTTGTCTACTGCATTCCAAAGGCCTGACTTCCTTAAGAAATGTAATCTCTGTATGAGAGCAGAAACTGTTTCACTTTTGTTCTTCACTGTATTCCCAGCACCTAGTACAAGACATGAAGTAGGTGCTTAATAAATATTTGTTGAGTGACTGAATGAATAAATAAGTGAGTAAACCTATTCTATCATGTGAGCTGCCCTAGCCGATCTCTTCTTTGGGCTCAGCAGATAATCTCACTCCCTTAATGGAATGTGGCTCCTTCTCCAGGAGCGGGGTCAGTTTATCTTCCCTGCCTTGTTACTTCTTTCAGCGTCTGAGTCTACCTTTAGCACATCTTTTCCCTGAGGCACGCACTGAGTTCATGCCATCTGCTGTGCTAATTCACATTAAGCTGTTAGTGACATTATGACGGAAGGACATGTTTAATTTTTATAAACATGGAAGGACATGCTTACTTTTTAAATTAATTTTCATAAATGTAATATATACATGGCATTGTCAACCCCGAAAACCTGAGACAGGTCTCAATTAATTTAGAAAGTTTACTTTGCCTAGGTTGAGGACATGTGCCTCACAAGGTCCTGACGACATGTACCCAAAGTGGTAGGGGCAGAGCTTGGTTTTATTTCTTTTTTTTTTTTTTTTTTTTGAGATGGAGTCTCCCTCTGTCACCCAGGCTGGAGTGCAGTGGCGCGATCTCGGCTCACTGCAAGCTCTGCCTCCTGGGTTCAAGCGATTCTCCTGCCTCAGCCTCCCGAGTAGCTGGGACTACAAGCGCCCACCACCACGCCCGGCTAATTTTTTATATTTTTAGTAGAGACGGGGTTTCACCGTGTTAGCCAGGATGGTCTCGATCTCCTGACCTCGTGATCCGCCCACCTCGGCCTCCCAAAGCGCTGGGATTACAGGTGTGAGCCACCACGCCCAGCCCCAGAGCTTGGTTTTATACATTTTAGGGAGACACGAGACATTCAATATGTGTAAGATGTACATTGCTTCAGTCCAGAGAGGTAGGACAGCTCAAAGCGGGGAGGGCGCTTCCAGGGCATAGGTAGATAGGAGACAAAGGATTGCATTCTTTTGTGTTTCTGATTAGCCTCTCCCAATGAGAGAGTCAGATATGCATTTACCTCAGTGAGCAGAAAGGTAACTTTGAATAGAATGGGAGTCAGGTTGGGCCTGGCGTGGTGGCTCACTCCTGTAATCCTAGCACTTTGGGAGGCGGGCAGATTACGAAGTCGGGATCGTAGACCATCCTGGCTAACACGGTGAAACCCCATCTCTACTAAAAATACAAAAAAAAAAAAAAAAATAGTCAGGCGTGGTGGCAGGCACCTGTAGTCCCAGCTACTCGGGAGGCTGAGGCAGGAGAATGGCAAGAACCTGGGAGGCGGAGCTGGCAGTGAGCCAAGATTGCACCATTGCACTCCAGCCTGGGCAACAGAGCGAGACTCCGTTTCAAAAAAAAAGAAAAAAAAAAAGAAAAAAAGAATGGGAGGCAGGTTGGCTCTATGCAGTTCCCAGCTTGACTTTTCCCTTTAGCTTAGTGATTTGGGGGCCCCAAGATTTATTTTCCTTTCACAGCACAAAAAGTTTTAAGTACAAAAGCACATATATTGAAAAGCAAATTGGTGTTCGCTCCTGTTCCTGATACCTAGTTTCCTTCCAGAGGCAACATCTTCTACTCGTTTGTTTGCTTGTTTTTGTTTATTTTGAGGGAAGAAGTCTAATCTAATAGGCATACTCTATGCACATGCAACTTTTTTATATAAACACAGAAGCCTCCTAAAAAAAGAAAATCCCTTTTCTACACCTTGCTTTTTAATTAACAGTATCAATCTTTCCAACAGCGGCTTAGCATATCATTAAATAGAGGTACAACAACTTAGCAAACCTTTATAAATCAGGCCCTCAAGCGATGACTTGAGTGTGGCAGAATTTCAGCATTCGAGGCAGAGAGAATATGAGCAGTCCTGTGTGTGGGAAAGGCAATGGAGACATCTGTAGTGTTGGTGGGGCACTTGGAAGCCTAGATACGTGTCACAAGAAAATCTCAAGGAAAACAACGTAGACAGGGTTGCAATGACTAGAAGGGAGTAGGAATGCAGATGCCAGAAGAGGGAACGCCAACAAAAGGCAAAAGGAGTGGGCGCTCAGGGCTCTTCACAGCCATCTGCACCCAACCTGTCCCGATGCCCCGATGCATCTTCTTTTTCTTTTTCTTTTTTTTTTTTTTCTGAAATGGAGTCTTACTCTGTCACTCACGCTGGAGTGCACTGGTGTGATCTCGGCTCACTGCAACCTTCGCCTCCCAGGTTCAAGCGATTCTCCTGCCTCAGCCCCCTGAGTAGCTGACATTACAGGTGCCCACAACAATGGCTGGCTAATTTCTATATTTTTAGTAGAGACGGGGGCATCACCATGTTGCCCAGGCTGATCTCAAACTCCTGACCTCAAGTGATCCGCCCACCTCAGCCTCCCAAATTGCTGGGATTACAGGCCTGGGCCACCGCGCTTGGTACCGATGCATCTTCCTCTACTTCTCTGAGTGCCTCGCCCCTCTGAGCAGGAATGTTTCCTCTCCCAGCCCCTAGCCCTAAGCAGGCACATTCCAGGACCTTTGCTCATGTCCTCTTGCTTCCTGGGATGCATTTGAAACCATTGACACACCCTCCCTCCTAAGCTCTCACCTGTCTAGTTCTCTGGGTCACCTTGCTCTACTAGTACTTCTGCTACCTCTCTGAACTTTCTTCATTCTCTAAATTCATTGGTTAGGGCTGCCATAACAAAGTACCACAAGCTGTGGCTTAAGCAACAGAAATGTATCATCGCACAGTTCTGGAGGCCAGAAGTCTAAAAGCGAGGTGTTGGCGGAGCCATGTTCTCTCTGAAAGGCATAGAAGAGAATCCTTCGTTGCCTCTTCTAGCTTCTGGTGTTTGCCAGCAATTCCTGGTATGCTGCCCTTGTGGATGGGTTGCTCCAAGCTCTGCCTCCATCATCACATGGCTGTTTCTCTACATAATCTTTTAATAAACATGTCTTTTTCTCATCTTATGAGGACACCAGTCATATTGCATCTTACTCCAGTATGACCTTATCTTAACTAATTATATCTGCAATGACCCTATTTCCAAACAAGGTCACATTCACAGGTACCAGTGGTTAGGACTTGAACATGTCTTTCTGGGGGACACAGTTCAACCCACAACACTTCCTATAAAACAGTGGTCTACAAAATAGGGCGGGACCCCTCTCAGAGTGTATGAGATAATCCTTTGAGAAAAGGGAAGAAATTTCTATTTCTACTTTTTTTTCTAAAAGATAAAAAAATTAAGCATTACTAATATTTAATATGTGGACTGATAACGGTGGCCTCTCCTGTATTCTGTTTGTCAGAGCCCCTTGTCATGCCCAGTGAGTGGTGAAAGCTAAAGGAACAGTAGACTTTCCTTAGCACTGAGGGGATGACAATGGGGCCCCTGATTCTTGTTCAATTTCAGCACGTCGCCACATATTGCAATTGGAGTGCTTTAGAATATCACTAATGTGGCTACTTTTATGAAAACAAGACCTTTAAATAGTAGACTCTTTACACTACTTTGTACTGAGATGAAGCATGATCATAAAAGTACTTTAAAATTCAATTTAAACTTGGGGTTGCCCTCTATTTTACAAAATTACAAATTTTCCAATTTTGCTAGTCTTTTTCATGATGGCAAATAACAGTAAGTAGTATGCTACCTAGAGCAAATGGTATGGAAAAAACAAAACTTCTGAGTGTATCCCTTCAAGATAAATGCAATATTTTAACAATGAATAAGAAATAGATTTTTTTTCAAAAGGCACTCATAAGGAGAGCATATTGAAAATGGAGATTTGAAAATGTTTCCATTGTTACATAAAATAACCACGTTTCTTTCCAAAACTCTTATAGCCTTCCATTTCCAGCAATAAGGAAGACAAAATGACCTTAAACCTCTCATGCTGGGCGGGCACAGTGGCTCATGCCTATAATACCAGCACTTTGGGAGGCCAAGGCGGGTGGATCACCTGAGGTCAGGAGTTTGAGATCAGCCTGGCCAACATGGTGAAATCCCACCTCTACTAAAAATACAAAAATTAGCTGAGTGTGGTCGTGGGCACCTGTAGTCCCAGCTACTTGGGAGGCTGAGGCAGGAGAATCACTTGAACCCGGGAGGTGGAGGTTGCAGTGAGCCAAGATCATACCCCTGCACCCCAGCCTGGGCAACAGAGCAAGATTCCATCCCAAAAAGAAAAGAAAAAAAAAAAAAGAAAGAAAGAAAAGAAAAAGAAAAATGAAAACTATCACGCTATAAAACACTTAGTGATGTTGAAAAGAATAATTATTGCTAATGAATAACAGAGTTTCTAAGAAAGTCAGGGCAATTCCCAGGGCCAAAACCAAAGAAGGAAATAAAGCCCAGAGCTGCCAGTGCAGTCACTGCAGCTTCCTGGTAAAGGCTGGAGGCAGGAGACACCACCTTAGGGTGGTGCCTTGAGGAAAGGTACAAATAAAAATAAAAATTTCTATTTCCAATTATTTTCTTTCTAAAAAATGCAAAAAAAAATCGCTTCTCTAATATTTCATGTGTGGACTGATACCGGTGATCTCCTTTGCATTCTATTTGTCAGAGCCCCATGGCATGCCCTGTAAGTAGTAAATGCAATATTTTACAGATATATTTTATCAGGTATTTTATCAGAAAGCTGAGTCTTCTGTGAAAGAACGCCCTGGAAAATATCCACCCGCCAGCAAAGGGACACCTGGGGAAGAGTATCAGTGGTGGAGTCACAGCTCACTGCAGCCTTGACTTCTCAGGCTCAAGAGATCCTCCCACCTCAGCTTCCCGAGTGAGTGATTAGCCGGGACCAAAGTGCTGGGATTACAGGCGTGAGTCACTGTGCCCGGCCGGTATTTCAATATTTCACTTAAACAATGTGAAGAGCAGAAGTTGAATATTATAGCAGCAAATCCTCTATACTACCAAATGCTTAGTCCACTGATATGGAAACCACAGGTTCATCTAAATGATGGAGAAGTCTGTAGAATGATGTTTCCTTCAACAAAGCCTTACAGGATCCAGCAAGTCTTTGAAGTCATGCATGCTCATCTTCCTGGCATCTGTCCTATGCGCATAACACATCTGCAACTGACTGGCTCAGTTCAAACCTAAGGTTAGCAAATTCAGAGCCAAGGGACCAGTTAGTCTATGTTTCTCATTCTGTAGCCACATCTTAGCCTATTCCCATTGCACTTTACATACAACTTCTACCCATTGCTAAACATTCTTCGCTAATTTTACTGCCGGGCACAAATCTTTCTTTGGCCATTTCAGCCTATGGGCCTTTTTCCCTCCTGTAAACTTTCATCACATTTTCTGTCACTCAGCTGATTTTTGATAATATTTGGTTTGATATTGACTTCACTGGATCTTATTTCCCCTCCAAGTTACTTGCTGTCATCAGGAAGCATATTGAAATCTTTGGCATCTTTTATTTATTCTTTTAGAAGCTTAGACCCACCTCTGTCCTTGGTATAGATGTTTAGTTATTATGTAACTATTATACTAATCATATAATTATATATACAATATAGATATATGATCATATATGTACATGATTATGACATGTTTAAAGTTTTGAGGTGAAATGCCATCCTAGCCAAGATTGGTTTCATTCTGAAGAAATTTGTTAATTATTGAGGAATAGAGGTGAGGAAGGTGTAGAAGAACAGACTAAGATCATATCTAACCTGTACAACACAACTTACGCACTTCTTTCATACATTAAGGTTAAATTTCAAAGAATCATATAGTATAGAATGACAGCATGCTGGTTATCGATTTATCACTTCCCATCTTCACACCTCCTCCTCACTTCCCGTGCTTGTGATACTGGTGCTGAATCCCAGAAACATTTCTCTTCACCTGATGACATAATGTTAAGCTTTGTCAGTGGAGGGTTCTGGAGGGATACTGCAGGAGAAAGGGGCTTCTCTTCCTGGTTCTCAGGTGCTTTCTTTTCTTCCTCCTCCAGTGGCTCTCCTGTGGTCAAGGGTGGGACTCACCCTCAGCAAGTTTCACTTTAACCCCACAGGCAGCTTCTGGCAAGTTCCACAAGTGTCCTGGTTCTTGCCTGCCAACCCCAGTCTGTCACACCCAGCAACTCCCTCCACCATTCATTGGTGACAGCTATACCTTCTCTGTAAGGTCTCTGTCTCTGCATCGGGATGGAGACTCTCCAAATTTGTCCCTTTCTTGGGTTCTCTGTTTCAGCCCTAGGGTGGACCCTAAGCTGCTCCCTCTATCTGCTAGTCCTGTATTCTTCAGAGTTCACTTTACCCTTTAATAGCTAACTGCCTGCTATTAGTTAATAATTTTTTTTTTTTTTTGAGATGGAGTCTCGCTCTGTCACCCAGGCTGGCGCGATCTCAGCTCTCTGCAAGCTCCGCCTCCCGGGTTCATGCCATTCTCCTGCCTCAGCCTCCCGAGTAGCTGGGACTACAGGGGCCTGCCACCACGACTGGCTAACGTTTTGTATTTTTAGTAGAGACGGGGGTTTCACCATGTTAGCCAGGATGGTCTCGATCTCCTGACCTTATGATCCACCCGCCTCGGCCTCCCAAAGTGGTGGGATTACAGGCTTGAGCCACCACGCCCAGCCAATTTTTTTTTCCCCAGATGGAGTCTCACTCTGTCGCCCAGGCTGGAGTGCAATGGCTCAATCTCGGCTCACTGCAACCTCTGCCTCCAGGTTTCAAGCCATTCTCCTGCCTCAGCCTCTGAGTAGCTGGGGTTACAGGCACGCACCACCACGCCCGGCTAATTTTTGTATTTTTAGTAGAGACGGGGTTTCACCATGTTGGTCAGGCTGGTCTCGAACTCCTGACCTTGTGATCCGCCCGCTTCAGCCTCCCAAAGTGCTGGGATTACAGGCGAAAGCCACCACGCCTGGCCCTAGTTAATAATTTTTTATGTTAAACTTTTGTTCCAAATACTGTGTGATTGCTGTCTCCTAACCGGACCCTGAAGGATACAGATAGAATCAAAAGGAACCATTTTCTACAATTCCATCACCTTATAGGTGAGGAGATTGAACCAGAGGGGCAGGGAGAGGGACCAGAAAAGCAAATGTCTTGCCTTTCACACAGTGAGAGGTAGAGTTAGAGGTGGAAGCCATATCACCTAGTAGGCAATATCAGCAGTGGCTACACTATACGCACCTAGCTCAATGGCTGGAATATAAGACGTGTTGCATAGAAATGTGTTGAGTGAGTGAATTAATGAATTATGGCTCTGAGGGCAAGGTTTGGTTGGGGAAGTTCAGGGAAGAGGAAGCATGAAGGTGTAGAGTCTTTCATAATGATAAAGTAAGTTATCAGTGAGATAAGAAAACTATGCAGGAGAGACCACGATCTCTTGGCAGATAATTTGCCAGTTACTTCTTAATGGAACAGACTAACCCAGCAGCTTGACTTCAGCCCATAGATGATCTGGTGATTTGGGGTTGATTTTTTTTTTTCTTTTCTTTTTCTTTCTTTCTTTTTTTTTTTTTTTGAGACAGAGTTTCACTTTTGTTGCCCAGGCTGGAGTGCAATGGCATGATCTTGGCTCACTACAACCTCCGCCTCCTGGGTTCAAGCGATTCTCCTGCCTCAGCCTCCTGAGTAGCTGGGATTACAGGCACCTGCCACCACACCCGGCTAATTTTTTGTATTTTTAGTAGAGACGGGGTTTCACCATGTTAGCCAGGATGGTCTCAAACTCCTGACCTCAGGTAATCCACCCACCTCGGCCTCCCAAAGTGCTGGGATTACAGGCCTGAGCCACCGCACAATCCCCCCCAGTGACTTTTCAGATCACCCAGGCTGCCCAAATATTTCCCAGATGGAGGCAGCTTCCCTGGAAGGGTTCCCAACCTAATTGGTTTGTGGCATCCAAGAGGAGGCAGCTCAGCCTGTCGTGGGCAACATGGTGAAACCCCATCTCTACTAAAAATACGAAAAATTAGCCGGGCGTGGTGGCAGGCACCTGTAATCCCAGCTACTCGGGAGGCTGAGGCAGGAGAATCGCTTGAACCTGGGGGGCAGAGGTTGCAGTGAGCCAAGATTGCACCATTGCACTCCAGCCTGGGCGACAAGAGCAAAACTCTGTCTCAAAAAAAAAAGAAAAAAAAAGGAGGCAGCTCTCTGTTGTGGCCAAAAATCAATGGCAATAAAGGAGGCCCCTCCAGAATTGGCCCCATCTCCCACCCACTCTCTTGAGATCCCCACAACCCACAAAGCAGTGGTTTGGATTTTGTAATTAGCAGTTTGTCTTTAACAACCATGGTTTTAGCATTGCGGGTGCCAATACAGTTTCTTTGAGGCATTGGCCAGGACCCAGGCGTTGCTCCTAATTTCTAATTAAGGCCTGTTCAGATAGTAAGCGAATAAAGATCAGTCTAGCATTTCAATTAGAACAGGGTGGTGTAATGGATTCGGCTTGGGCAAACTCCTTTTAGACAAATTGTTTTGACAAGTTCAAGAAAAAGGAGGGGATTCTAGGAGTAACAAGATCAAGTGGAAAGAACACTAGCCCTGAAGTCCAGCTCTTAGAGGTCAAGTCCCAGCTCTGCTGCGAACTAACTGATTGTATGATCCTGGCCAACTCACTTCACTATTGAAGCATCAGTGCTCTCTTCTGTGAAAGTTTCACCTAAACAATTTCTGGACCCCAGCGACATCTTAAGAGATCATGGGATTCAGGGCACATCTCCTCTTCATCCACTGCCACCTTCAAAAAATTGACTTCTGTATGTTTCAGAGTAAATGTTGTTCTTTAAGAGTAAGGGTTTCACAGCCAGATGCATTGCCTCACGCCTGTAATCCCAGCACTTTGGGAGGCTGAGGCGGGTGGATTACCTGAGGTCAGGAGTTTAAGACCAGCTGGCCAACATGGCAAAACCCTGTCTCTACTAAAAATACAAAAATTAGCCAGGCCTGGTGGCAGGTGCCTGTAATCCCAGCTACTTGGGAGGCTGAGGCAGGAGAATCACTGAACCTGGGAGGCGGAGGTTGCAGTGAGCTGAGGTCGCTCCACTGCACTCCAGCCTGGGCTACAGAGCAAGACTCCATCTCAAAAAAAAAAAAAAAAAAAAAAAAAGTAAGGGTTTCACTTTGTGCCTATCTTGGAGCAAATGACCAAAAGTGTTTCTCTTATGCATGTATTTGTTCAGTTACTCTCTGAGCACCTTCCAGGAGTTGAAAGAAGTGCCTGAGTACTAATCCTTTTTCAGGCTCACACACTCAAACCCCTCTACATAGTTTTCCAGCTCAGCAGCATACTCTTAACTCCTCCTTTTCTGTACTCATAGCAGTCAGCATCTGTTCAACTCATTTCCTAATCTATCCCATAACCTCTCTTTCACTCTGAAGTTTAGCCATTAAATTGTTACCTCATTTCTCAAAGGCATTTGCCATATCTCTAACCAGATGTGAGATCTGAAGGGCAGAAACTGGACTCTGCACTTCCTACCTCCCACAGAATCTAATTCAGTGTCCTCCTCATGGGTAGTGCTCAATTAATGGTCCTTAATTGATGGGTCCATTAGCATTGTGGGTGTACAAAGGCATATAAGTGGACGTTCCTGTCCTCAGGAAAGATTCAGTGTAATTGAGGGAGATGGTGAGACCTGAAGAGTTAGGTGACAGTTGCAAGCAACATCACCAGGACTGTGATTCATTGTCAATAAATGCAATAGGTCAGTGGTTCCCAACCTTTGGACCCTAGACCTCTTGTAAACTATGGGTTATGCTAAGCATCACAAATCCTTATATCTGTAAGATGACTCAGACATGTCTCAAATGGTAGTCTCCTCCCCACTTATCTATGGTTTGGCTTTCTGATGTTTGTTACCCACAGTCAACCAAGGTTTGAAAATATGAAATGGAAAATTCCAGAAATAACCAATTCATGAGTTTTAAAATGTGCACTGTCCCACTTTATCCAGCCTGGGATGTGGACCCTCCCTGTGTTCAGTGGATCCACACTGCAGACACTACCTGCTCGTTAGTCACTAGATAGCCATCTCTGTTATAAGACGACTGTCACGTATCACGGTGCTTGGGTTCAAGTGACTCTTATTTTACAGGATAACAAGGCCTTGAATAACGTTGTCCTTTTTTTTTTTCTTTTTTTTCTCTGAGTTGGAGTCTCACTCTGTTGCCCAGGCTGGAGTTCTGGAGTTCAGTGGCATGATCTCAGCTCACTGCAACCTCCGCCTCCCGGGTTCAAGCAATTCTCCTACCTCAGCCCGGAGCAGCTGGAATTACAGGCACGTGCCACCACACCTGGCTAATTTTTGTAATTTTAGTAGAGAACCCTGTCTCAAACTCCTGACCTCAAGTGTCTACCTGCCTCAGCCTCTCAAAGTGCTGGGATTACAGGCATGAGCTACTGTACCCGGCCTCTGTTATAATGTTGATAAGAAAAAAAAAAAATAAATTCTTGTCTGGGGCCGACATCTGTGTGGAGTTTGCTTGTTCTCCTCATGTCTGCGTGGGTTTCCTCCCACATCCCAAAGATATGCACATGAGGTGAATTTGCATGTCTACCTCATCTCAGGATGAGTGAGTGTGGGTGTGAGTGTGGGTGTGGCTGCACGCTGTGAGATAATGGCACCCTCTCCAGGGTGGGTTCCCACCTTGCACCCTGAGCTGCTGGGACAGGCTCCAGCTACCCATGGCTCTGAACTGCAATAAGAATGTAAATAATTATCTTACTTGCTTTTAATAATGTTTCTTAAATACATGCATAGCTCACATTTATTGTAAGGTTTAATATGAGTAGTTTGGCATATATTTAGAAGTTTGATGACAGTTTTGTCACCAGAAATATGCTGAGGGAACTTAACTATTGTTTGTGTCATTAACCTATGGTAAAATTGATTTCCTTATATGTTGTTTCACTTAAAGTCCTAGTTTCTTTTTTTTTTTTTTTTTTTTGAGATGGAATTTCGTTCTTCTTGCCCAGGCTGGAGTGCAGTGGCGCAATCTCGGCTCACCACAACCTCCGCCTCCTGGGTTCAAGCGATTCTCCTGCCTCAGCCTCCCGAGTAGCTGGGATTACAGGCATGCGCCACCATGCCTGTAATTTTGTATTTTTAGTAGAGACGGGGTTTCTCCGTGTTGGCCAGGCTGATCTCGAACTCCCGACATCAGGTGATCCGCCCACCTTGGCCTCCCAAAGTGCTGGAATTACAGGCGTGAGCCATGGCACCGGGCCTAAAGTCCTAGTTTCTGAGAACCTATTGATGATGTTAAGTGAGGACTTACTGTACTTAATGGCCCCAAAGCATAAAGAGTAGTGGTGCTGGCAATTTGGGTATGCCAAAGAGAAGGCATCAAGTGCTTCCTTTGAGGGAAAAGATAAAAGTTCTCCACTTAATAAGGAAAGAAAAGATACTGCATGATGAGGTTGTTTAGATCCATGATAAAGGCCAGGCATGGTGGCGCACATCTGTAATCCCAGCACTTTGGGAGGCCAAAGCAGGTGGATCACTTGAGGCCAGGAGTTCGAGACTAGCCTGGCCAACGTGGCAAAACCCTATCTCTACTAAAAATGCAAAAAAATTTAGCTGGGTGTGGTGGTGCATGCCTGTAATCCCAGCTGCTCAGGAGGCTGAGGCACGAGAATCGCTTGAACCTGGGAGATGGAGGTTGCAGTGAGCCCAGATTGTGCCACTTATCCCAGCCTGGGTGACAGATCAAGACTCTGTCTCAAAAAAAAAAAAAATAAAATAAAATAAAAAATAAAAATACCATGATAAGGAGTTTGTACTAGTTTGGCTGTCACACACCAAACTGCAAAAGTTACTGCCACAGTGTGTGGTAAGTGCCTAGTTTAGATGGAAAAGACATTAATTTTTGTGGGTGGAAGACATGTACAGAACATGTTTCAACTGATGGCAATTGGGTTTGGTATTATCCAAGGTTTCAGGCATCCATAGAGGGTCCTGGAATGTGTCTCCCACAGATAATGGGGGGACTATTGTACTTATTTTTCAAATGTATGTTGTGATTGGCAAAATATATAGCCTCTTAAAAGCCTAGGATTTCATGCTATCCTTTGTTAATCGTGGACATTTAAGACAGATGCTACTCTTCCTGTCCCAGGAGCTTTAAAGCTGTGGGTTATAACACAGACATGGCCAATTCCATGAACCATACCACACACAACCAGTCCCCCAAATGGCAAAAAAAAAAAAAAAGGTATAAATAAACCCTGATCACAAACATGTGAATCTCTTAAGGGGGTGGACGGACCTCAAGTTCCTGAGGAACATGTGCTTCAAAGCACAACAAGAAGGGTCTGAAGAAGATGCAGGCCAGCAATGCTCATGAGTACCAGAGCCAAGGCTATTGAGGTCCTTGTAAAACCCAAGGAGGTTAAGCCTAAGATCGTAAAGGGTGTCAGCTGCAAGCCCCATCAACTTGCCTGCAGTGCCCACCCCAGGCTTGGAAAGTGTGCTCATGCCCACATTGCCAGGTGTCTCAGGCTCTGCTGACCAAAGGCCAAGGCTCCAAACAAGGCTCAGACCACGGCTTCAGCTCCAGCCTCAGTTCTGGCTCCAGCTCAGGCTCCCAAAGGTGCTCAGGCAGCCGTGAAGGCTCCCGAGTAGAGGCCTGTGTCTGCCAGAATGAGTACAGAAGGACTGGTGTGACCTCTGGGCTGCTGTCTGCTTGGGGCTGGTGCCCTCCTGTGCTATTTGCATGAATAAACGTGAGGAAAAATACATACATACATACATACATACATACATGCTAAAAGAATAATTATGCAGGTTCTGTGAACATTTTTTGAAGTTAAAAACCATCATGCTCAAATAGAGTTTGTTCAAACTACTGGCATAGATGGCTAGAATTTAGAAAACAAAGTGAACACTTTAGCCTAGGTGGTTCAATAGATTTTTTTTTCCCTGCAAAAGGTGGGATTTGAACTCAGCTTTGAATAATGATTAAGTTTTTAACAGCAAGGATATGTCTGAGGTTCAACCCATTTCAGGTGTCCCAATATATATGAAAGGAGAAAGCTTCATACCTACATGTTATAATTCTCTTCCTGACAGGCATACCTCAAGATCAGTTGAATTGGAGCACAGCTGGATGGAGGCCTCAGGTTAATTAACTTCCTTTGAGAGCATCCAGAAAATTAGCAAAGACATGAGAAACCATTCACTCAGGACGACCAATCAGCCAGGACACTCCGAAACCTATTAAATCAGATTTTTAATCTTCTAAGCCTGTAGACAACTGTGTGACATCAGCCACATCCTCAAATCTTAAGGGAAACACGAATACAAGAATACATGTGTGCAAGGAATCATGCATAAAAGGATTGTGCCTTCAGATCAAGTCCAACTGTTTTTATTTGTCATCAAATGTGAACGGAGATATGGGTACTAGTCCCAGGAATGCCATAAACTAGCAGTGAATCACTTCTTGAATAAGCCACCTCATTCTTCTAGACTTTGATCTGATAAAGGGAGGGATTGGACCAAAGAATCTTTAAGGTCTCTTCCTACTAGTATGTTTCTGCCTTTTGGATGATGACTATGATGAGCAGAGCCATCTGTTCCCAAGAAGCTGGCTGGTGCCACTGCTCTACCCCTGTGTTCTAGGAGAAGTGGATAGAGGATTTGCCGAGGGAGGAGAGCAGAGGAAGAGATGACTTCCTCATTTGATGTGGAATAAGTCTCAATAGGCTGTCATTTCCATAACCGTTTCATAAAAGTTGTTTCTTTGCAAGAAGTAAAGCTTCACTTTCTCCCTTTTTTGACCTGTCCCTTTAGGCTAAAATTTGCCGGTGAACCTGATCCATCCCTCCCTCCCTTCCTTCCTTCCTTCCTTTTTCCTTTTTCTTTCTCTCTTTCTCTCTTTCTCTCTCTCTCTTTCTTTCTTTCTTTCTTTCTTTCTTTCTTTCTTTCTTTCTTTCTTTCTTTCTTTCTTTCTTTCTATTTTTGAACTTGATTTCACTCACACAAGAAACGCTGCCTATTCACTCCCTGCACTGCTGGGAGGAAATCATGTAAGATGACCCAGCTCTTTCAAAAAATATTATGGCATGAAAGATCACAATGCTTAAAAATGTTCATAGCCTTTTATCTTATAATCTTACTTCCAGAAATCAATCTGAAGAAAGTAATTCTAAATGTCATTACAGATTTAGGCATGAGGATGCTTATCATTGAGTTGTATAACTACAAAAACTGGAAGCAACTTACACTTCCAGAACAGAGGAATGGTGAAGAAGTCATGGCATGTTGAAATGATGAAATATTGTGTTAACAAATGGTGTTCGACAGTTTGAAATAGAGACTTAGAGAACACTTATTTCGAAAAATGGTAAGTCAAGAATATGAGACACAAAATTAGGCCGAGCGTGGTGGCTCAAGCCTGTAATCCCAGCACTTTGGGAGGCTGAGGCGGGCGGATCACCTGAGGTCAGGAATTTGAGAACAGCCTGGCTAACATGGCAAAACCCCGCCTCCACTAAAAATGCAAAAATTAGCTGGGTGTGGTGGTGCATGCCTGTAATCCCAGCTACTTGGGAGGCTGAGACAGGAGAATCCCTTGAACCCATGAGGCAGAGGTTGTAGTGATCTGAGATCTTGCCACTGCACTCCAGCCTGGGCAACAGAGTGAGACTCCGTCTCAAAACACACAAAAAACAAGAAAAAAAAGAAAAAGAAAAAAGAAAACTCACAGGGCAGGAGACCCTACCAGGAAGATAATTGTGGGGCTCCCCTAGAAGCTCTTCACCCGTATGGGTAACCCTGAAGAGATGGAACATGTGCACACTCATTAGTGGATCCATGACCTGCCAAAGTGGCCCAGGCAGAAGGTGCTCTGCTGTGCTTGTCACTAAATTTAGACTACAGGTGGCAGGAAGGGCACAGGAGGAAGGATTAAAGATCCAAGAGGGCGGCTGCTTAGGACGTTTTAGGAACCTAAATCTGGGTTGTGCTGTTGAGTGGAAACACCAGTTCCAGACATCCCAGCCAGCTGGTGTGGCACTGTTTGTCCTGAGAACTGGAGGTGAACACTCCCTTGTCCACACAAATACCCAGCCTGCGCACCACCAGCAGGAGTCTGCTGAGACCAGGAGCCAACTGGCCAGGCAACCCCACTAGAGACTCTCGGAGTGCTCTGCTTGCTCTTGTAGGCTGGCTGATCCCAGCTGCTGGGAAGTCAGATCCCACGGGCAGACGTTGCAGGCAGCCTGGACAAAGCCTGGGAAACACCTAAGAGAACTTCCCTTCATTCAAACATCTGGCATAGAGGTGAAGTGTGAGGGCTCTGGAGTGAGAGCCCTCACACTATTGTCTTCCAGCTCTTCTACTAACAAGGCTGGAGGATAAACCTTAGATAAGCTGCTTGATTGCCTCACTTTCCCCAGTTAGCATGGAACCTTGGACCTGACATATGGTGGATGCTTGACAAATGCTGTCGAATGAAGGACAAAGAGTAGGATAGGGTGGGCCTCATCAAGCAGACCCCTGAGGTAGGTTCACAGGGGCTTCTCCCCTTTGGGAAGAGACACATGGTGTGTCATGCATGGTTCCCTGCTCTCCCACACCCCTTCACCGCTCAACTAAGAGGGAATCTCCTTCTATCCATGCAGGCATGTTTCTGGCTTTCCTCTTGGTGGGCAGGCACACATCCACAATCTAGGCCACAATTAGGCATGGCTCAGTTTTGTCAGGGTTTGGGGCTGCAGAGTCCTCACCATCGGTTGGTGGGAGCTTCTTTCCTACATCGGTCTCACAATCTTGCTTCCTCTAACATATTTCCATCTTAGCCACAATGTTATTATATTATCTTTAAGAATGTAGGAAAACCCTCCCCGCTAATTCCCACCACCCCTACTCTGCCTCTGGTCACAGGCGATGGAGTCCAGGCTTGAGCCAAATGTAACCAGCCCGCAAGGGTCAAGAGGGCCCCAGGGGGGCTTAAACATACAAGGAAAAAATAAGAGCACACCAAGGCCCTCCCAAGGGGCAGCCGAGAGAATGTTGAAGCCCACGCAGAAGTTCTTTAACAATTGAGAGGGGGTGGGAGAGCCTCCCTCAAGGGTGACTGAGAAGGATAAATAGGAAAACCAGCATTCAAAGGAGAGGATGAGGGAATGGAGGCTATCCCCAAACACCCAGGGTGAGTGGTTACACGAGATCTCACAGTTCACCCACAGCTCTCTCTCATTCTAAATCTCTCTGTGACCTCTGAAGCTACAAGTTTCTCTACTTTTAACCTCTTGAGCAGAGACAGAGGCATGTCAGGCGTGAACCACAGTAACCAGCTCACGATGGAAATTCAAGGAGAGGGAAACATCTCACAAATTGCTGCCCGGGCTTTGTGGGTGGAGGGGCTGAGGGAGGGTGGGGATGGGAGATGGGGTTTATCCACCAGCTGATCAAGCCTACCAGCAGCAAGTCCTCCGGGTGTTGGGGATTTGGGGGCTTCTTCCCAGGCCAGTGTAGCTAATTTAAGTCATCTGTGTGCCGAAATTCAGTTAAAATGGAGTTTTAGCAGAATTCTTCATGTGGATGCTGTGGTTAAACAGAAATTCCTTTTCAATGATGTTTGAACAGTGAGTCAAAATAAGGCCAGTAATAAGCTAGTGATGAGTAACTCCAGGACAGAGCAAGACCTGGGTGGAGAGGATGTTTATATGGAGCACACGGGCCAAAGTAGAAGGGAAATGATTCCTTCTCCAGGTCTCTTAGCAGGAGGTGGCCTCCTGCTCTCCTCCCACCCACCCCTGTTCTATAGGGATTATTGTTTCCTTACAGAATTCCTGAGCCTGACTGAACTTCAATGATCATAGTCAAGGATCTGTCTTTTTCAACATAAAATTTCTTTTATCGCTTTTTCTTATTAAAAAGTACCACTGCTCCACAGGCGCGGTGGCTCATGCCTGTAATCCCAGCACTTTGGGAGGCCGAGGTAGGTGGATCACTTGAGGTCAGGAATTCAAGACCAGCCTGGACAACATGGTGAAAGCCCATCTCTATTAATAATACAAAAAATTAGCTGGGGGTGGTGGTGCGCACCTGTAATCTCAGCTACTCGGGAGGAGAGAATCTCTTGAACCTGGGAGGCAGAGGTTGCAGTGAGCTGAGATTGAACCACTGCACTCCAGCCTGGGCTACAGAGGAAGACTTCATCTCAAAAAAAAAAAAAAAAAAAAAAAAAAAAAAAAAAAGGATTACTGCTCATTACAGAAAAATCAGAAAATACTAATACAAGTAAAAAGAAGAAATGTTAAAGTATTCATAATCTCTCTTAAACATCACTATTAATGCCACTTTAGATTATTAGTATGCCTTCCTAGGTAAACATATATATATGTAACATATTTGGGTATATATAAAATATATGATACACACAAATGCACTTTTTTCCAAGAAAAACAGGTCTGTCCTGTAGTATGGCTTTGTGCTGTATTTCTCCTCTTTTACCTAACATTTCCTGTGGCTGTAGATACATTTGACAGCATCATTTAGTGGCTGCATATTTTCCTACCACCTGAAGTACTAAGTTGATTTAGCCAGTTCCCTGTTGTTGGACACTTAGGTTGTTGCAACTTTTTCTCGATTATAATTGTAATGAACATCCATGCAGCTAAATCTTTGCATAAATTATTTTTTTTCATGCCTCAGGTTTATTTGTACAAATAGCACAGGAGGACACCAGCCCCATGCCGATGGCAGCCCGGGGGGGTCGCACCAGTCCTTCTGTCCTCACGTTGGCAGACAGAGATCTCTACTCTGAAGCCTTTGTAGGGGGACTGGGCACCTTTGGGAGCCTGAGCTGGAACTGAAGCCGGAGCTGCAGCCTGGGCCTTGGTTTGATCCTTGGCCTTGGCCTTTGGCCGGCACAGCCTGAGCGCCTTGGCAATGCGGGCACAAGCATGCTTCCCAAGCTTGGGGTAGCCAGTGTAGGCAAGCTGATTGAGCTTGCGGCTGACACCCTTTGGGATCTTGGGCTTAACCTCCTTGGGCTTTACGAGGGCCTTGATAGCCTTGGCACGTGCACTCATGGCCTTGGCACTGTTGGCCTGCATCTTCTTTAGGCCCTTCTTGCTGTGCTTCTTGGCAAAGGGCATGTTCCTCAGGAATTTGGGATCCACCCCCTTTAGAGACACCGATCTTTGTGACTGAGGTTTCTTGATACCATTTCTGTGCCGTTTTTGGAACTGGTCATGTGTGTTGTGGTTCTTGGACTTGGCCATGTCTGCACCGTAAGCCATGGCTCCCAAAGCTCCTAGAACCAGAAGAGCTTGCATAAATTCTTAACCCTTTCATTGGATAAATTCCCAGAAGTTAAATTGCTAAAGCTCCTTCATATTTATATGTTGGGAAAAATAAACCCAGACATTGGCCTAAAACACTGAATTAACACTAAAAGGTTACCACCCTTCAGTGGGGAGTTGGACAACCCATGCCAATGAGCTCCAGGGGCCGTGCTATTTGCTCTGTACAAGGAAGAGACTCTCCATCCTCATGTGACTGTTGCAGTTACCAGCTGTGAAAATGGAAGCCACAATTATAACTTCTTGTAAAAGCAAGGGCTCTTCATTAAAAGCCATCTATGGGAGTTACCCATCTTCTGGATCCTCAAGTGTGGGATACTTTGGAACGCATGTATGTATATCAGACCTGTCATACTTACCTTCCTTTAGCATGTGTGGACATTGCATCCTTCTTTCTCTTCTCTTTGCATACCTTCTTCTGCTGCTGGCCACAGGTGAACGGTTTTTGGAATTCTGTAGGAATGTCCTGGCCCATTATCAAATAGTGCCTGCTTCTCACTTAACACCTCTGCCCTGAGGATATTTGGAGTGCAATTCAAAGGCCTCAGAACAGAAGCACAAATTGTCATATCTAGTAGAAAGCAGATCAAAGCTGCATGAGGTGGCTCACACCTGTAATCACAGCACTTTGGGAGGCCAAGGTGGGCGGATCACTTGAGGTCGGGAGTGCGAGACTAGCCTGGGCAACATGGTAAAACCCTTTCTCTATTAAAAATATAAAAATTAGCTGGGCATGGCAGCAGGCACCTATAATCTCAGCTACTCAGGAGGCTGAGGTACGAGAATCTCTTGAACCCAGGAGGCGGAGGTTGCAGTGAACCGAGATTGTGCCACTGCACTCCAGTCCAGGTGACAGAGTGAGACTCTGTCTCCAAAAAAAAAAAAGAAAAAAAAGGAACAGGTCGAGATCCCCACCCCCACCTTAGAAACACAGTTTAAACTGAGTCAGCTTGTGGCTAAATCTGTAAGCTAATAATCCTCCTCCAGGGAGAATGGCGGCTGGGTGAAGGGTTGCTGGGGCAGGTAAGGATTTGTAGAGGAATACAAGTGGGGCTGTAGCGGAAAGAGGAAGGTGCACATTGAAGTTGAAAGAGAGTTGGCTTGGGAGTGAGGAAAATGGGTTCCAGTTCTGCCAAGGACATGCAGTGTGTCTTTGAGGAAGTTGCCTCCCTACTCTGCTCCTGTTTCTTCATCATTTAACCAGGTGCTACCATCCCGTCCTGTTCTCACTACTTTGCTCTTTTCCTCATTCATTTAATAATTTTCTAGTAACGTGGTTCAGAGCATTGCTTCATGACTTTTGACAGTCTTTTACACTTTCTGAATCTTGTAGATGGGCTGCCCAGTAACTGATCGCATCTGAATGCCTTGGAGAGTTAGCAAGTCAACCTCTGGCTTTCACTATTGTCAAAGCCCTTCAGTTTCCAAAGCCTCTCCTATAGCAGCAAGCTCTTGTTTATAGGTGAACATGCTCCCTTGCTTTTAAAGCCTAGAACATAGGGGCCTCCGGGAGCTAGGAATGTCCACCTCATGTATACCTGGAGAATTCCCCCACTTCTACTCACTTTCTGCAAGGCCTTTGGCCACCAGGAACTAGAGAGTTGGCAGATAGATTTCATCCAGCATGCCAGCCTAATCAAGTGGTGGTAGCTGCCTCCACGGTCATACTGAAAAGCACTCTAAGGCCACTTCCATTCTCAACCAGAAAGATTGCCACGTCTGCCACGAGCAAGGAACATGGGGAGGAGGTGCCATTACTGCCATTTCTCGCTCTTCCTGACCTAGTTTATGAGAATCAATAAATTTGCAGATCTCAGCTTTCCAATAGGTTCCTGTGCTCCAGGGCGGGGATACAGAAAATCATCCCTCTTAGGGAACATGAGCTTGAGCAGAAGATGACCAGCACTGTAAAAGGTGTGCGTCTCACTCAAAACCGTCTAGCAGCATGGAGGTGAGGTGTCTCCTCTCACCTGGACACTGCATTTTCTCAAACTGTGTTTTACCCTTGGTTGGTGGCTTATCCTCCCCAAGCCTTCTCTGGATGTTAATTTTAACTTTTATCCTGTTTTATTTTGAGTAGGTAAGGTGAGAACTCACAGTGAAAGTGGCTTTGAGCCTCTGTTTTCCAGCAGGAGAAACTAGCTGGACCACTATGGGCTGGAAGTTGGGACTTCAAACACAATCCATTATTTTCTGGAAGGAAAATGTTTAGAAGCTAGCACCGAGGGCAGGGTTTGATGTGTTCTCCTCATTCTTTTGATGTGAGTGGAAAGTAAAAGAAGTGTGGGGTAGTTATTAGAGGAACTCTAAGGTGGGGAGCAGAAAACTCCAGAAGGATTTGTTTGTTTGCTTGTTTTGAAACAGAGTCTTGCTCTGTCACAAGGCTGGAGTGCAGTGGCACGATCTTGGCTCACTGCAACCTCCGCCTCCCAGGTTCAAGCAGTTCTCCCTGCCTCAGCCTCCCGAGTAGGTGGGATTACGGGCGCCTGCCACCATGCCCGGCTAATTTTTGTGTTTTTATTAGATATGGGGTTTCGCCATGTTGGCCAGGCTGGTCTCGAGCTCCTGACCTCACATGATTCACCTGCCTCGGCCTCCCAATGTACTGGGAATACAGGCATGAGCCACTGCTCCTGGCCTCCAGAAGGGTTTTGAAAGCAGGCTTCCTAGAACTGGAGCTAGCATGCATCTGTGTTCGTGGCAGTGTGGTCTACAGGGCAAACCAAGGCGTGGAATCAGGAAGCCAGAGCTCTATCTTCAGCCTTGTCCCCATTGAAGAAGTCAACTCGCCTGTCTGGGCCTCAGTTTCCCCGTCAGTTAAAACATGCCCTGCCCACCTCAGTTTTGGGAATAATCTGATGAGAGAAAGGATGTGAATATTTCTTGAAAAAAAAATAGCTAAAGAGCTATATAAATGGAAGGCATGATTGTTTGTTTTCCTAAGTGAAGCTGTCTCTTTGCCATCACTGCTGGAGAGGCTGTTTGGATTGTAAGTATTTGGCCTCTGAACTTTCATTCTGGACTGGAGCAGCTGTGGGTGGCAGGAATGCAGAGAGGGAGGAAATATCAGAGTTAGCAAGCCTGGGCCTCAGTCTCAGAGTTGGCCAAGTTTCTAGGGGAAAAAAATAATCTCAAGTAGCTCTTTGTGGTCATGAAGGATACACTTATGCAATTGTTTTCAATATTTTAAGAGTCTGAAGAAAAGCTTTAAGGAACACTTATCCCAATGGAAAGCAATAGAGTTCCTCATTCAACCTAGACCGAACAAATCTGCATAAAATGGCGAATAGAAGAAATTATCTAAATAATTCAGCACTCCCCTTTTTTCTGGCACACACACATACATAAACACGAGGATTATTTCACCCACAGTGATTCCACTAGGGCATTTGCTGTGTTCTTCTTCCCCCTTTCCAACAAGTTAGAGCTTTTCCATTCTTCAAAGTTCTTCCCAATTGCTTTGTCTTTTTATACTCAGTGCCAAGCACAGTATAGTAAGCACTCAGGAAGTTTCTGATAAACAAAGTACCATCCTGTCTGGGGTGTATCTGACCATAATGGCTCCCAGCAAATCATGCCTCTCTCAATCCATGTGCTTATGGAGTCCCTTTCACACTGACTCTGGGCTCCAGCACATAACTTGCTTTGGCCAATTGGACCTTAGCAAACACATTTTTTTTTTTTTTTTGAGACAGAGTTTCACTCTTGCTGCCCAGGCTGGATTGCGATGGCACGATCTCGGCTCACTGCAACCTCTGCCTCCCAGGTTCAAGCGATTCTCCTGCCTCAGCCTCCCTAGTAGCTGGGGTTACAGGCATGTGCCACCACGCCCGGCTAATTTTGTATTTTTAGTAGAGATGGGGTTTCTCCGTGCTGGTCAGGTTGGTCTCGAACTCCCGACCTCAGGTGATCCGCCCGCCTCGGCCTCCCAAAGTGCTGGGATTACAGGCATGAGCCACCGCTCCCGGCCAACAAGCACATTATAAGCAGGGACTTGAAATGCACTTATACACTGAAACATAAATATCATGTGAAGAAGTCTAAGTGAGCCTGCTGCAGATACCTGGCCCAGTCAACAGCCAGCTCTAACGGCGAGTCATGTGAATGAGGCCATGTTAGAGCGTCCAGTCCTCATCAAACCACCAAATGATTGTAGCCAGACAAAGTCAGCAGAATTGCCCAGCTGAGCTCAGCCCAAATTGCTAACCTTTAGAATCATGAACAAGTAAAATTGTAGTCTTAAGCCACTGAATTTTTGTGTGTTATGGAGTAATAGATCACTGGGATGCCACTTCTTTTTAGAAAATTAATAGAAACCTTTAAGTCAGAAATGGTAAATATTGTTATAGCTCATCTATCGACTTTGGTAGTGTCTTTTTGGATGACTGCCATAAGAAGAATTTGACAGCTAAATTAATGGAAAAGAAAGGCAGCTGGGTGCAATGGCTCACTCCTGTAATCCTAGCATTTCGGGAGGCCAAGGTGGGTTGATCACCTGAGGTCAGGAGTTTGAGACCAGCCTGGCGAACATGGTGAAACCCCGTCTCTACTAAAAATACAAAAATTAGCTGGGCATGGTGGTGCACACCTGTAGTCCCAGCTACTCAGGAGGCTGAGGCAGGAGAATCACTTGAACCTGGGAGGCGGAGGTTGCAGTGAGCCGCGATCATGCCACTGCACTCCAGCCTGGGTGACAGAGTGAGGCTCCATCTCAAAAACAACAACAACAATAAACAAACAAAACAAATGGAATAGAAAGCCAAATTCATTAGTGGTGTGTGCAAAGAACATGGGCAGGAGTGGAGACAATATATATGCTAAATATTTGCCATTCTTGTTCCATATTATCAATCACAGGTCAATGAATTTAAAAAGCAGAACTATTTTTTTTTTTGAGATGGAGTTTCGCTCTTGTTGCCCAGGCTGGAGTGCAATAGCGCATTCTCAGCTCACTGCAACCTCTGCCTCCCAGGTTCAAGAGATTGTCCTGCCTCAGCCTCCTAAGTAGCTGGGATTACAGGCACCTGCCACCATGACTGGCTCATTTTTGTATTTTCAGTAGAGATGGGGTTTCACCACGTTGGCCAGGCTGGTCTCAAACTCCTGATCTCAGGTGATCCGCCCGCCTGAGCCTCCTAAAGTGCTGGGATTACAGGCATGAGTCACCACGCCCGGCCAAAAAAGCAGAATTATTAAAGTTGAATGTTAGTTGGGCCAAGACAACTGGTAAGGAATTTTTCCAATGAGTTAGGTCACATTTTCCAGAAACAGTGATAGTGAAGGCAGAACACCTTGAGTAGATGCAACCAGGCATTATTTATGTCACTGGAGAACACAATTATATACTGAAGAGGCTCACAATTTGGGACTATTTGGTCGACTAGCAGGTTACCTGGGGCAGTGTAAGAGTGCGTTTACCATGGCTCCATGGTGTCATCAGCCTCGTAGGTCCAGAAACTCAGTGCCGTTAGTGCATCCAGAGCTGATTGGACTCTTGGGAACAGACCTACAAGAACCATGTTCATGAGAGACTGACAGCAAAATGAAATGCAAAGATGTCCTGGGATACGACAATTCTTATCTGCTCCCCAGACTAAATTAGTCATCAGAAAGGCTTGGTCCTGTGAAAAGGATGGAATGAAAAGAAAGGAAGTGGGAAGACTCAGAGGGAATGTTTCACATGAGTCAAGAAGGCCGGATGGAGCATCTCTGCCCCACAACAGTGCTCTTTCCAGCAGTGGGAAAAGCCCTGACCTCAGGCCCAGCGCCTCTGTCCCTTGAGCATAACTAGAGGCACACTGACCACTTGCAGACATTGATTCCCCTTCTAACATCTCTGCAGACCTCATTTCTTCTGGGAGATCTGCTTCCTCCAACACATTAACATAATTGATTAGGCCATTGCTACTTTTCTTTTTTTTCTTTTTTTTTTTTTTTTTTTTGAGACGGAGTCTCGCTCTGTCGCCCAGGCTGGAGTGCAGTGGCACGATCTCGGCTCACTGCAACCTCCACCTCCCAGGTTCACGCCATTCTCTGGGCTCAGCCTCCCGAGTAGCTGAGACTACAGGTGCCCACCACCATGCCCAGCTAATTTTTTTGTATTTTTAGTAGAGACGAGGTTTCACCGTGTTAGCCAGGATGGTCTCGATCTCCTGACCTCGTGATCCGCCTGCCTTGGCCTCCCAAAGTGCTGGGATTACAGGTGTAAGCCACCGCGCCTGGCAGCCATTGCTACTTTTCTGTTCAGAAACACCTTCTGGGGATTACACCATAATTAGAATTTTGTTTTTCCAAATCCCTGATTATCCATTACCACTTTGATTTATTTTATTTATTTATTTATTGTTTTGAGATGAAGTCTCGCTCTTGTCCCCCAGGCTGGAGCGCAGTGGCACGATCTCGGCTCGCCGCAACCTCTGCCTCCTGGGTTCAAGCGATTCTCCTGCCTCAGCCTCCCGAGTAGCTGGCATTACAGTGCCTGCCACCACGGCCAGCTAATTTTTGTATTTTCAGTAGAGACGGGGTTTCACCATGTTGGCCAGGCTGGTCTCAAACTCCTGACCTCAGGTGATCCGCCCACTTCAGTTCCTCAAAGTGCTGAGACTATAGGCGTGAGCCACCGTGCCTGGCCTACCACTCTGATTTATAAGACATCTTACGCTTTTGAAGATTTCCATATAATGCAATGATTTTGTCCATCCATCCTTATATCTATTTTTTCTATTTCATCTGTTTATTCAATAAATTCCTAATGTACACTCAGTTGGTGCTGGAGGAGGTTAAGAGGAGTAAAGCATGGCTCTTGCCTCCAAGGAGCCTCAGAGGTGAGAAAAGAGATAGGAGTCTAGGTGAGAGACCAGCCCTAGACAAGAACAGGGAAGAAATGAGAACATTCTGCCTAAGGTGGAGCCGGTGTGGTAGGGAAGCAGTGGCAGGTATCAGAGAAGGAGAGACGCTAAAGACAGAAAATAGATTTAGTGGCTGCCTTGCGGGTGGGCAATGAGGGAGAAGGGACCAGGATGATAAAAATGAACATCAACTACTAAATATTTAGTGTCATCATCATCATTATTAACAGCCTGCATTTATTTATTTGTTTTGTATTTTTTTTTGAGACGGAGTCTTGCTCTGTTGCCCAGGCTAGAGTGCAGTGGCGCGATCTTGGCTCACTGCAACCTCCACCTCCTGGGTTCAAGCGATTCTCATGCCTCAGCCTCCCGAGTAGCTGAGATTACAGGCATCTGCCCCCATGCCCAGCTAATTTTTGTATTTTTAGTAGAGGTAGGGTTTTGCCTTGTTGGCCAGGCTGGTCTCAAACTCCTGACCTCAAGTGATCCACCTGCCTCGGCCCAAAGTGGTGGGATTACAGGCGTGAGCCACCGCACCCGGCCTAACAGCCTGGACTTATTAAACACTTCCATCATACCAGGTGTTGGGAACAGGCCCCCAAAACCTGGCCATAAACTGGCCCCAAAACTGGCCATAAGCAAAATCTCTGCAGCACCGTGACATGTTCATGATGGCCATAACACCCACACTGGAAGGTTGTGGGTTTACCGGAATGAGGGCAAGGAACACCTGGCCCACCCAGGGCGGAAAACCGCTTAAAGGTGTTCTTAAACCACAAACAATAGCCTGAGAGATCTGTGCCTTAAGGGCATGTTCCTGCTGCAGATAACTAGCCAGACCCACCCCTTTATTTCGGCCCATCCCTTCGTTTCCCATAAGGGATAATTTTAGTTAATCCCATTTCCCATAAGGGATACTTTTAGTTAATTGAATATCTATAGAAACAATGCTAATGTCTGGCTTGCTGTTAATAAATACATGGGTAAATATCTGCTGAGGCTCTCAGCTCTGAAGGCTGTGAGACCCCTGATTTCCCACTTTACACCTCTATATTTCTATGTGTGTGTCTTTAATTCCTCTAGCGCTGCTGGGTTAGGGTCTCCCCAGCCGAGCTGGTCTCGGCAACCAGGCACTGTTCTAAGCACTTTATAAGCATGAATTCATTTAATCCTCACAACCCAATGAACCAGGCACTGCCATATGTCTGTATTTCAGGTGAGGAAATGGAGGCAGAGAGAAATAAATAACATGTCCAAGGTGATGCAGCTAGTCAGAGGCAGGGGCGGGGTAACTCTCTGGTATCTAAGTGTCCAAGAGGTTGTCTCCCACAAAGATAGGAAACTGGAGGGAGATACACATTAATAGTTTTAGAAATGTGTGATTTGAGATGCCTGGGGTCATCCAGTGGAGAGTTCCAGGAGGGAGCTGTATGTATAGGAGGGAGGCCAAGCAGAGCATCTGCCTGGAAATAGTTTAAACACCACCAGCATCTCCATGTGGCAGTGGAAGCTGTAGGTCTGGTGTGGAATATCACGGATGGGGCCAAGGTGAAGACCCAAGAGTGAAGAGGCATTAGGAGGAAGAGGACCCAGATAGGGATTGTGAAAATGAGTGATTAAAAAGCTAAGGTATGAACCAAGAACAAGCAGTATCATAGAAGGTGAGGGAGTGAAGAGTTTCCAAAATCAGGCAATGCTCAAGTGCATCAGATACCACCACCAAGACAGCATTCAGATGAAGCTTGAAAAGCAGTCACTAAGGTAGACATTCAGGAAGTTTGACAACTAATGGTCTTGACAAGCACAGTTTTGTGGCATATGAACTCTAGCTCCCAAAGCACCCAGATCAGTGGTTTTCAAACTCTGGTACAAGAGAATCTTTTGATGGTTTAAAGAAATGCAGATTCCTGGAACCTATGAACCTGGGTTCATAAGGTTGAAGGCCAGGCCCAGGAACCAGAACTGTTTAAAAGTTGCCCCACCAGGTGATTCTGACATCGGTGGTTTTGACAAGCATGGCCCTGAAGACACAGCATTTCTTTTTCTACCTGCCCCAGGTTCTGGTTTCTTATTAAATGATCTACAACCTCTCTCTGGGAAATCAACATATGAATGGCCAACCTTTCAGTTCACACCTTCCCCCAAGGGCTTTGCACACTTATGTGCATACACAGAATAGGTAAGAAAGATATTTATACCTGACAGAAACACTTATAAGTAAGTATAAATACCTATGAGTAATCCAATGAAAGAGGAGACTAGAATAATAAAAATGGCTCTCAAATACATTTATATTTACTCTTCAGGACAAAGTGTAGAAGGAACATAGAGGAAAGAGTAGTAAACTCAGCTTGGAGGTGTTGGCTAAGGCATTCCTGAGAAGGTGACATTTGAATTAGGCCTTGAAGGATGAATAAGAGTCCATGAAGCAAAGAAAGGGAAAAGGATTCCAGGCAGAGGAAGAGCAGGTGCAGAAGTACAGAGACATGAAGGAGCACAGTGGTTTCGGGAAAGGTGAGAACTGCACTGTGGCTGGAATAGAGGAAACGGGGTGGAAGAGAGGGTGTAGAAACAAATGGAATAATGGTGAACCAAGTTGGAAGGCTTCATTGGGCAGCCCTTTGGCGGGTCCTCACCCTTAGGTATTTGGGCTTCATCTTGAAAGAAATGGAGAGTCCACACGGTTTTCAAGCAGGGACTTGTAAATTTGATAGCTAAGGATATCAACGGTGGGAAGGCTAGGAGACCTCTTCCTGTTCGACTTTTCCAGCATCCAGCAGAAGAGGGATCTCTACTAGAGAGAGAATCCTGGAATTCACATGGTACTTGCAGACACAGCTTTTGAGTTTGTTTCTTCTAAGCTATGAAACCTAAAGATTCTAGTTTTGGAAATGAAGCATGGGAAAGAGGAGGGAGATAAAGAGGGGGGAGAAATAACATTCAACTCCAATTCCTCAAAGGAAAAAAAAAGTATAATGTCTCTTTATCGAAACATGTATTTAAAATAATCACAAAAAATTAAGTTCAGTTTTTGCAGAGTGGGCTACTGGAGGAGAACCATAAATGACCAAAGAACAACAAAGCAGAAAAAATAAGCAGAGGAGAAAGAATATAAAAACAGGAAGTCAGCAGGCAGCAGTTCCCCATGAGGTCACTGGCAAAGGCCCAGGGGCCTCTTCTCTACAGGTCACGGGTGGGGAAGGGAAAGCTGGGACGCAGGCCTTTTCTCATAGTCATGGGCACCGAACAGGGCAGAACACAGGGTCAATGCCAGACACACCTGGCAATTTTCAAAAACTGTTTCTATGTGGGATGGGGGTGGGGTGATCTCAAGGCTGCCCCGCTGGAGGCAAAGAAGCCTGGTTCAAATCAGGAGCTGAGTCGCCCCTCTGGGTCTGTCATTAAGCGATTGTGTGACCTGGGCAAGAGCCTCCACCTCTCTGGCCTGTTTCCTCACCTGGGATTTAGTATGATTGGCAAGGCCTCCACGCATGGGTGGCCAAGGGGCATGTTGAAATCCACTGTGCACTCTGGCATGAGCTGAAACCAGGAAGAACAATTTTTCCAATTTATACCAAAACATTGTTCTGCCAGCCAAACCCACAGCCTCCGGAGATGGGACCACTCAGAGAGGTCCCTTTTTCTCCTTCATATGTAGGAATTTCCTGGGCAAACAGTGGCACTGAAATGAGGTGGTGTGGAGGCAAAGAGGACCAGGTCGGAAAGAAAGGGTGAAGCCACCCTGGGGAGAGTCTTGGATGCTGTGATAAAGAATTTAGACTTGTTGTTGAAAGAAATGGAGAGCCAGATCTGCCTAAGGTCACTTGCCTGCCCCCAAGGCCTTCTCCTGACCACTTGCACAAGGGAGAGCCCCTGCTTCCACCGACACCCCACTTCCCAACACAGCAGGCTGTCTCAGCCACCCTGGGGGTGAGTGCTGGGTTTTGGCATGAACTTCATTATGCCTGCTGCGATGGGAAGGAGCTGAAACAGCTCCAGCACCCACTTCCATGTCCAACCTTACCTAGGTCCGCTGAGGCTGGCCCAGGTACACAACCCAAAGTAGGGGGCAGCTAATGCCCCATGGTGTGAACTTTGAGCAGTGAGAGACCCAAGTAACAGATAGGTTCTTGATGATTCTCCCTAACACACTGCTCTGAGGTGCAATGGCTTTATGTGGCCTCCCCAGAGACTCTAGTGTGGCTTGGTGATTCTTTCTATTTCATGGGGTGCCACAGCCAGCTTTATTATCCCACTTTGTTGGTTTTCACTATTTCTTTTTTTCTTTTCTTTCTTTCTTTTTTTTTTTTTTTTGAGACAGACTCTTGCTCTGTCGCCCAGGCTAGAGTGCAATGGCACGATCTTGGCTCGCTGCAACCTCCGCCTCCCAGGTTCAAGCGATTTTCCTGCCTCAGCCTCCCGAGTAGCTGGGATTAAAGGCATGTGCCACCACGCATATGCCACCACGCCCGGCTAATTTTTTTTATTTTTAGTAGAGACGGGGTTTCACCATGTTGGTCAGGCTGATCTTGAACTCCTGACTTCAAATGATCCACCCGCCTCAGTCTCCCAAAGTGCTGGGATTACAGGCGTGAGCCACTGCACCTGTCTGGTTTTCACTATTTCTCTGCCTCATTTCCTCTTCCTCTCACACTTCATAAGCTTTATCATGCGAGTGCTGCCTTTTTTTTTTTTTTTTTTTAGGAGAAATGGGTTATGATAGAGGGCCGGGCAAGGTGGCTTATGTCTGTAATCTCAGCACGTTGAGAGTCTGAGGCAGGTGGATCACTTGAGGTCAGGAGTTTGAGGCCAGCCTGGCCAACATGACAAAATCCCTTCTCTACTAAAAATAAAAAAATAAAAAAAACATATACTGGCCATCTTGCTGGCCCTGTCTAGTGAGGGTTTGCCACATTCGTAATGTTACATTTCTTGCTTTTGAGTATGTTAGAACAAACTCATACGCCTTACAAATATTTGGGCAGTAGAATCAAGAGAGCATGGAGTCAAACAGGCCACTCTTCGAATCGTAGTCCCATCGCTCACTATCTCTGTAAAGTTCTCTAAGAAGACCTGACTTCTCCATCTCTTAGTTTCCTCCTCCATGAGATGAAGATAATCAAACGTACTCCATTGAGTCAGTGGTGATCAAATTAAATGAGATGATGTACGTGGGTTACTTAGCATATTGCTGGACATACAGGATGAGCTGGCAAGGGTGTTTTTGTTGTAATGATTAGGAAAATTGAAGCGTAGGAGACTTTTGGGTCAGTGTCCTGGGAACAGCAACTGCAGAGAGGGACTGCAGGACTCAGGCCTGAGGGAGGGGCAAAACGCCAGTGGCTGAGGCCAGTCTGAAAGATTTCCCAGACTAGATTCCAAGTGTGGGGATGGGGAATGACATGAACAATAATCCAGGTCTCCTCTGGAACCCATTTCATCTCCAAGGCTGCATAGGCCCACTGAGCCACCCACGCTGACCTCAGCCCAGAGCAGATCTGCCTCCTATCCCTGAATGATATTTCCACCGCTGCTCCTGTCCCCATTTTATCCTTAGAAAGAACAGGCTTCTTGCCTGCTTGTTTTCACTGTGGCCTTGGTATTGAAAGCTAAAGGCATGATTTGGCAGAAGGTAAAGCCCGGGGAAACCTAGGACAGAGGCTCTTGCTGCCCACAGCCTCAGCAGCCTGCAGACACATCTGATGCCAGCTTGGATGTCAGAGACTACAAGGTCATTGTCACACGTGCATGGTGGTGCTACCGCTTGAGCCCTTTGTTTATTTTTATTGTTCTACTGCTACCGGTGGTAAGAGACTACCAGTGGGGAAAGGTGGGAAGGAGAGGGGAAGAGATTTCTACCCCTTCCCCATTTCCCTGTGTCTTTACTGCTGCCCCACATCTGGAGCTAAGCAGTTGGGTTTGAGGGAACTGAAGCAGGCTGGAGAATGTGGTACTATGGGTCATAGACAGGCTTAAGGGAGGCCTTCGTTTTGTTCTGTTTTTGTTTTTTTTTTTATGATGGAGGAGTGTGCACATGGAAAGAGCCAGAGAGAGAGAGAGAGAGAGAGGGAGATGAAAGCTGGTAGAGCAAAGACCCCGAGGAAATATGTGAGGGGTGAAGGCACTGGAATCCAGGGCACTGGGGAAGAGATTCTGGTGTCTATATAGATGGCGCACCCAGTTCTCTGACACTGGTGGGGAGGATGTGAGGGCTGGCAGACCTAAATATTTTTGTGGGAGGGAGGCTGGAAGTAGAGGGATTTCATGCCAGATGGTCTCAATTTTCTTTCTCTTTCTTTCTTTCTTTCTTTCTTTCTTTCTTTCTTTCTTTCTCTTTCTTTCTCCTTCCTTCCTTTCTTTTTGACAGAGTCTCACTCTGTCACCCAGGCTGGAGTGCAGTGGCACGATCTTGGCTCACTGGGCTCAAGCAATTCTCCTGCCTCAGCCTCCTGAGTAGCTGGGACTACAGGCGCACGCCACCATGCCTGGCTAATTTTTGTATTTTTAGTAGAGACAGTGTTTTGCCATGTTGGTCAGGCTGGTCTCGAACCCCTGACTTCAGGTGATCCACCCACCTCAGCCTCCTAAAGTGCTGGGATTACAGGCGTGAGGCACCGCGCCCAGCCAGGCAGGATGGTCTCAATTTTTGCTGGGAGCTAGGAGGCAAAGCCATCTGCTGAGAGGAGACTTGAGGTAAGGATGGAAATTAAGGAGTAGTGGGGAAGGTCTGGAATAGCCATCGTGGGGACAGGAAAGGATGCTTCCTAGAGGCAGGTCAAAGGATTGTACAGATGCACTGAGGACTGTGAATTTACAATTTATCCCTGAGCAGCACTGAGCAGTACAGACCTGGGGTCCAAAAAGGTAGAGGATGGGATTAGCCCCAGGATTGCTACCTATGCATGAGACCTACAGACATTATTGTGGAAAGTATCTTGAGCAATGCTTCATGTCTAAATAGTTATTAAGCCCAGACCTTTCTAATTCATCTCCTGGGAGCAGTCAGAAAGTAAGTGGCTCGGTCAGAAGGTAAGTGGCTCACACCATCGGGCCATCCCACCCCCGTGTGCCACTTCATCTTCCTCTGCCCCCAGGGTCAAGTGACTGGTATTGCGGGCAGCTCAGACGCTGCAGGAGCAGATGGCCAAGTAGGTAACCCCTGCCTCTTTGGCATGATCTGTCTGTCTGTGACCCCTGCACATGGACCCCAGGGGCCACACACAGCCAACACAGAGCGGGGGCCCTGATTGCCTGAGTTTATGGGCTCTTTAAACACCAGGCTTATAGTCCTTCATGTAGCCGGGCCCAGATCTCAGCCAATCAATCAAAAGCCGGTCATGGGATGTCACTGTGCTTCCTCTCCAACACATGGAGAAGGCCAGCCTCCCCGGTGCCAAGGCCAACATCCCTGGTCCCAAGGCCAGCTTTATTAAGTGGAGCTTGTTCTTAGAGGTCTTATTAATTGATATACACCCAAATGTATCTGTGTTTCCACAAATCAGTTGTTTCCCAAAAGTCCCCCTGTGGATGAAAAAAGCTAGGGGACAGGGTGACTTGGAAATATGTCTCCTGGCATAAGGCAGATGATTTATTGGTAGAAAAACCAAATTGGGGTCATTTACTGTCCTTACATAAAATAGTTTCATGCTTGGTACTGACCTACCTTTCCAAGATCCTGTGAGCATGCAGATGTCAACCAAGCAGCTCAGCCTTCTAGGAGAGACATGAGCCATGTGAACTCACTATGTTCTCACTTTTTTTTTTTTTTTTTTTTTTTTTTTGAGACAGGGTGTTACTCTGTTGCCCAGGCTGGAGTGCAGTGGTACAATCACGTCTCACTGCAGCCTTGACCTCCCAGGCTCAAGCAGTCCTCCCACCTCAGCCTTCAGAGTAGCTGGGACTACAGGTATATGCCACCACACCCAGCTAATTTTTTTAAAATTATTTTTTGTAGAGATGTTGGTCTCACTATGTTGCCCAGGCTGGTCTGGAACTCCCGGGCTCAAGCAATCCTCCTGCCTCGGCTTCCCAAAGTGCTAGGATTTACAGGCATGAGCCATTGCTCCTGGCTCCACTTATTTAAAAAGATAAAGGGTGAAAAATAAAAATCGAGGAAAACTCACCTAGCTTCGTCGTTTATCAACCGTGCATCCTTTTCATTTTGGCAGTTGAGACTTGAGCATTGTTCTAGAGTGAGTCTTGAAATGTTGCCATCTTGTGGTAGAAGAGAGTAACTGCTTGTTTACTCTCTGTGGTCGTATTTATTTCAAGTACTGTATTTGTTGAGGTCCGCTCTGTATCAGGCACTGTACAATAATTGCAGTCATAACTTTACATTAAGAATAAGGGTCTGCTAGCCGGACGCGGTGGCTCAAGCCTGTAATCCCAGCACTTTTGGAGGCCGAGACGGGCGGAACACGAGGTCAGGATATCGAGACCATCCTGGCTAACACGGTGACACCCCCGTCTCTACTAAAAACACACAAAAAATTAGCTAGGCGTGGTGGCGGGCGCCTGTAGTCCCAGCTACTCGGGAGGCTGAGGCAGGAGAATGGCGTGAACCCCGGGAGGCGGAGCTTGCAGTGAGCCGAGATCGCACCACTGCACTTCAGCCTGGGCGACATAGTGAGACTCCATCTCCAAAAAAAAAAAAAAAAAAAAAAAAAATAAGGGTCTGCCTATGCTGTGGGAGCCTCTTCCTGGGATTGGTGGTGACTGCCATTCCAGACCCTCCATACCAACTGCATCGTGGGAAGCCAGTACCCTCACACCCCATTCTATTTGAGGTTTTACCCAGAATCTTGGATGCTGAAAGGAGCCTGATGGAACAATGCTACCTTAGTCTGCATCATTCATTTCAGGTGAATCAAAAGGTGACTTTTTCCAGCTGTGGCAATTTCCCAGTGGTTCTCAGTCCTGGCTGCACATTGGAATCACCTGCAGGCTTTTAAAAACCACAATGCCCAGGCTTTACCTCCCAGAGACTCTGATTTAATAGTGCAGGGTGAGGCACTGGTATTTTTATAGCTCTCTGGGTCAGGAATGAGAGATGCTATAACATTTAGGACGGGTCAGTCATCACCATTTTTATTGCTATTATAACTGGAAGAATTACCCTCCCAACCTTCCTGCATGCGCATACACACACAGACACACACACACACACACACACAGACACACACACCTCTGCCCCCTCACCACATTGGGACAGAAATTGGAGAACAGCATGCATGGCTCCATCATCTAAAAACTTCATTTGTCTCTCACATTATAAATAATACTTTCCAAGCTTTTGGGGCAATGGGGCGGGGGGGGGGTCTTTGAGACGCTTTACAAGTTACTAGCAAAGGTATATGGCCAACAGGCCCCTTTTCTTATTCTTGGTCAGTCGAAGGGAGCACCATTTGAAGGTAGGATGGATGGAAAATTGAGCAAAAGAATACATTCTGGTCACCAAAACGATGTAAAGTGAAACTCCAAGGCACAGCCTGGTAGAGTATGGACAGTTTGGGAAAAATAAGGTTTGTTTTCTTTTTAAAGGTAAAATCTATGCTATTTCTGGGAATTAATGTTTGTCAGGGGAGAGTGTGTGCATGCACCGACTATTATTCCAGGAGCATTAGGAGGAATAAAGACATCTCTTTTCCATTCACTTTGGTAGGGACAACTTAAGGGGAAACAAGCATGAATCCCTGCATCCCCGACAGCTCGTCTGGCTCTGAGGGACTTGGAGAGCCCAAGTTTGTCTTGGACCAGTTTGATGAGCTACCAGGTGCAATTCTGAATGGAATAACTAAGACTTGGCTAAATCAACTCTCGGGGGGAGTTGGGTAGGGTGTGGGAGAGCCTTGTGTGACAGACCAGTCCCTGTAGGTGGGAGGTGAAGTTTCTCAAACACAGGAGAGGATACATACCTGTCTTAGTGGATTTTTTGCTGCTACAACAGAATACCATAGACTGGGTAATTTATAATGAACAGAAATTTATTTGGCTCATGGTTCTGGAGGCTGGGAAGTCCAAGATCAAGTTGCCACATCTGGGAAGGCCTTCTTGCTGTCATAACATGGCGGAGGGCATCACACAGGCAAGAGTGCACACACGTGAGAGGGAAGGGGGCTGAAGTAATCTTCTCAGGAGGAACTCATTCCTGCAATAATGAACCCAATCTCATGAAAACAGTATCAATCCACTCATTGGGTACAGCCCGCATGGCCTCATCTCTTAGAGGTCCCACCTCTTAATACTGTTACACTGGGGATTAAGCTTAATGCCTTTTGGGGGACACATTTGAACCACAGCAACATTCCAGAGGGGGAAGGTTTGAAGGAGGCTGTGTCTCTGAAAGGAAGGTAGATATAAAGTCAAAAGAACAAGATTAAAAACTGAAAGGCACCACCTAAAGAGTCTCCAGTTTTCCATGGAAAACCATTCAATGAAATGTTTAATTCATTGAATGGTTTTCCTTGGGAGCACAAGAAAAATGGTATTGATGGCCATTTAAAACTTTTCTCTGATATGTTGTGACTTTCTTTAATTTTCCCACCTTGAGTAAAGTTGGATATATTTATTCACTTTTGTGTGGTTATGTCATGAAGACAGGAGAGACACATTTGCTGCCTCCCAATGCTCGGAGATCATTGTGCAGGAAGCAGCAGGATGCTGGGGCAGGCTTGCCCAGTGATGACCTGAACTGGGGACCACAAGGAACCAAGAGCTGCCAGAAGACAAAAGAGCTCAGAGGGATGGAGGCCAGGGGAAAACTGAGATGTGGGAGTAGGAAGACAACTCCACCCCACCACCACTAAATACAGGAGCACGTGACCCTTAAGAAGAATGGGAAAGCTGCCATTTAGGTTACAGCATAAATTCCTTCTTTACTGAGATAAAGGTGTGAACCCTGAATATTTGATACAAGTCTCAGTTCATCTAGAAAGTCTATTTTGCCAAGATTGAGGACGCAGGCCTGTGATACAGCCTCCAGAGGTCCTGATGACATGTGCCGAAGGTGGATAGAGCACAGTTTGGTTTTGTACATTTTAGGGAGACATGAGACATCAATCAACATATGTAAGATGAACATTGGTTCCGTCTGGTCCAGAAAGGTGGGACAACTGGAAGCCAGGGAGGGGGCTTCGAGGTCGTGGGTAGATAAGAGACAAATGGTTGCATTCTTTTGCCTCTCCAAAGTGACAATCAGATATGCATTTATCTCAGTGACTTTGAATAGAATGGGAGGCAGGTTTGCCCTAAGCAGTTCCCAGCTTGACTTTTCCCTTTAGCTTAGTGATTTTAGGGGCTCAAGATATTTTCCTTTCACAAATGGGAAAGAGAAAGGTGGTTGACAGAGAAGGCTGATCTAGAGTTATGATTTTTAACTCAATTCATTTTGGGTGGCAGCAGGATATTCAAGCAGAGACTTCCCATAGATATGAAGACATATGTGATAAGGAGAAGGTGCGAATTTAAGACCAGTGGTAAAAATTGGAAAATGTAAGTAAGCAGAATGAAAATTGTCTAGGTATGACAGGTTTGAAGTCATAGACCAAGTCCTAGCCCTTTATTTTATACGTGAGGAAACTGAGACCAGAGAGTGGCAAGGACTACTGACATCCTTGAGACAACAGAGCTACTCCTCCTGGCATCCATGGTTTGACTCCGCCTCTCCTCACTCCCAACTCAGGTCTTGTTTTTGTCTTCTGTTTGCCCAGGTGTCATTTTGGTCCTGGTAATCTGAACACGGACAATGGTGAACACATGAAAAGCACTTCGCGGGACATGCTGGGGAACCCACTAACCAATAGTCTTTTATTGACTTTCCTTGTGTTACTGGTTTAAACAAATTTTTTTTGCTCTTTTTGTTTGTTTTCTAGTAGAGTAGTCACCAATGTTTGTGTAGACAGAGGGTTAAATCTCTGAGTCAGAACTCCCCGCTTTCTTTCAGCATATTCAAAGATTTCAGGATGCATGAGCAAAAGGTATCAAATGGTTTCCATTTAAAAGGGGACTTGAAATTGAGCCATAGGGCTTGGCTGCAGTCCTCATGCTAAGAGATTTCAATGGGGACAGGCTAACCTTTTTATTGAGGAGATGTTTGCCCATTACCAAGAGGAGAAATAAAGCAGGAAAGAGGTGCAGAGGCATCCCAGGAACCAAATGAAATGGCCTCTTTAAATGGCCATTGTTACTATTTCCAACATATTTTTTTTTTTTTTTTTTTTTTTTTTTGAGACAGAGTCTCGCTCTGTTGCCCAGACTGGACTGCAGTGGTGTGATCTCGGCTCACTGCAACCTCCGCCTCCTGGGCTCAAGCGATTCTCCTGCCTCAGCCTCTCGAGTAGCTGGGATTACAGGTGCCCGCCACCAGGCCCGGCTAATTTTTGTATTTTTAGTAGAGGTTTTGCCATGTTGGCCAGGCTGGTCTTGAACTCCTGACCTCAGGTGATCTGCCTGCCTTGGCCTCCCAAAGTGCTGGGATTACAGGGGTGAGCAACCGCGCCTGGCCTCTAACAGATTTTTAAACTCATTTTCTTGTTTTTTTCTTCCTTAGGTAGAAGATTATGAAATGTGCAAAAATTGATCATCTGGTTTCTTTTCCTAATATTTATATTTCTTATTTATATTTCTTATTTCATTCTCTTGCTTAGTGACTTTGAAAGCACTTCCAGAAGAGAATACAAAAGCAGTGCTAATGCCAGGCGCCTTTGTCTTTTCTCTGATGCCAGGAGAATGCTCATGAGTGTCTTCCCTTGAGCGTGATGCCGGCAGTCATTTGATGTGCACGTGGAAGTTTTTGGTTATATTATGCAACTACCCTTCCATTCTCTTTTTGGTGCTCTGGTTGCATGGAAAAGTTATCTGGTGGTGATTTCTGAGACTTTGGTGCCCCCATCACCCAAGGTATCCTTCTATTCTTATATAAAACATTGCTATTAGGAGTAAATGTTACTTTTAAAAATTGTTTTTATGCATTTATTGAGACTTTTTTCTTTTTGTGTTCACAGCCTGTCAAATTTTGAATAATCTCACAATTTTTTGCAGCTATCCCGCAACCGCAAAGGAGGAGGAATCGGCCTCCCTCAGCTCAGGCTGAAGTCTTTCTCTTTTTAAAAATCAGGATTGATGTCTTTGCAGCCATTTTATGAATAGACTTGGGGGTTTGGGTTGGCATTTTTGCTGCCAGCAGGAGGGTCCAGCAAACAGACTCCTCTGTTGGCTCTCGACTTGTCATCTCCTGTCTGCAGTGCCAGCCATCACATGTCAAGCCCCTTCAAGCAGTGATTCATGGGGCTCCCAACAGCCTTGACCACACTCATCTTCCAGTGTTTCTGAGGTCAGAGGTGCTAGCCCTACCCATGAAGCTCAGTTCCCCATGGTTAAGCCTCATTTGTCCATGAGGACTTGGGATGGCCTAGAAAACAGCTCCAGGAGGTGTTCAGACTTGCTTGGGCCTCCTGTGTCTTGTGTTTATAGCAACAGAGCCCAAGCTGTGACCTGTGAGAAAGCTTCTGTGTTCTGGATCAGGCCACCCTGAATACCTGGGACCCCCTGAATAGCTTGGAGATGTCATATTTGTTTATTCTGAAACAGAAGGCCAAGAAAACACATTGGAAGAAGCCCTGTCCCTGCACCAGTGGAGCTGGCCAAACAAGGAAACTGTAACCACAAAGCTAAACCTCATTTTAAAGGCCAAACTGTTTTCTTCTCCTTCCCAGTCCTCAGTCACAGTTAAATGTTTCAATTATTTGGATCTGTCTTCTCAAAACATGATTACTTTTCTCTTTAATCACTTTTTAAAAATGAAAAAGCACCTTTCCCATAATTTACTATTATATACCCATTCTCCACTTAGTAGCCAGAATGATCTTTAAGAGGCATAGATTCCTTTCCAAGTGTTTCTATGGCACTACATGGGCTGGCTCTGCCCATCTCTCTGACCTTGCTGTGTGACACTCTCCCCCAAGCTCTTTGAGCTCCAGCCACACTGGCCTTTAGTTTATGCACTGAGCACTTCAGGTTCAGGGAACTTACAAGGATAGGTGGCTGCATACACACCTGAAACCACAAATCAATCATTTTTATTACATTTATCTATTTATTTATTTTGAGATAATCTCACTCTATTGCCCAGGTTGGAGCGCAGTGGCGCGATCTTGGCTCATTTCAACCTCCGCCTCCTGGGTTCAAGCAATTCTCCTGCCTCAGCCTCCTGAGTAGCTGGGACTACAGGCATATGCCACCATGCCGGGCTAATTTTTGTATTTTTATTAGAGGCAGGGTTTCACAATATTGGCCAGGCTGGTCTCAAACTCCTGATCTTGTGATCCACCTGCCTCGGCCTCCCAAACTGCTGGGATTACAGGCGTGAGCCACCACATCTGGCCCTTTATTACTTTTAAAAACTTACAGTAAACTTCACTCCCATTGTTGTCCAGTTCTATGACATTTCACAATGCATAGAGTCTTGTAATCACCACCACAAACAGGATACAAAACAATTTCAATATCTAATAGAATTCCTTCATGCTGGCCTTTTGTAGTCAGTCCGTTTTCCTCCCATACCCTGGCAACTACTGGTCTGTTTTCTGTTCCTATAAGTTTGCTTTTTCCAGACAGCCATACAAATGGAATCAGACAGTATAAATCTTTCGAGACTGGTGTCTTTCACTTAGCATAAGGCATTCAATATTCATCTACATTGTTGAGTGTATCAGTAGCTCATTCCTTTTTATTGTTGAGTAGTATTCCATTGTGTGGATGTACCACAGTTTGTTTATCCATTTATTTGTTGACAAACATTTGGGTAGTTTTCAGTTTGGTGCAATTCTGAATAACGCTACCATTATTGTGTACAGATTTTTCTGTGAATGTGAGTTTTCATTTCTGTATGAGACATACCCACAAATGATATTTCTGAGTCAAATGGTAAATATATGTTTAATTTTGTAAGAAAATATCAACCTTGCCAGGCGTGGTGGCTCACGCCTGTAATCCCAGCACTTTGGGAGGCCGAGGCGGGCGGATCATGAGGTCAGGAGATCGAGACCATCCTGGCTAACACCGTGAAACCCCATCTCTACTAAAATTACAAAAAAAATTAGCTGGGCATGGTGGCGGACGCCTGTAGTCCCAGCTACTCGGGAGGCTGAGGCAGGAGAATGGTGTGAACCCGGGAGGTGGAGCTTGCAGTGAGCCGAGATCGTGCCACTGCACTCCAGCCTGGGAGACAGAGCAAGACTCTGTCTCAAAAAAAAAAAAAGGAAAATATCAGCCTTTTCTAGAGTGCCCAAGAATCCTGTACCATTTTGCATTCCAACCAGCCACTTATGAGACTTCCAGTTGCTCCACATCTTTCAGCACTTGGTATTATCAGAATTTCTTATATTAATCATTCTAATTGGTATGTAATGGTATCTCATTGTGGTTTTCAATTTGCATTTCTCTAATGACTAATGATGTTGAAGAACTGTTCATATGTTTATTTCCCATCTATATATTTTCTTTGATGAAGTGCACTTTCAAATTTTTTATTCATTTTTTAAAAATGTATTGTTTTCTTATTGTTGGGTTTTGAGAGTTCTTTATATACTCTGGGCACAAATCCTTTTTCAGATATGTGATTTGCAAATATTTGACTTATCTTTTCATCTTTTAAGTGTCTTTCACAGAGCAAAATATTTTAATTCAATGAATTCTAGTTTGTTTGTTTGTTTGTTTGTTTTGAGACAGAGTCTTACTCTGTTGCCCAGGCTGGACTGCAGTGGCGTGATCTTGGCTCACTGCAACCTCTGCTGCTCAAGTTCAAGTGATTCTTCTGCCTCAGCCTCCCAAGTAGCTGGGATTACAGGCGCCTGCCACTACCCCTGGCTAATTTTTGTAGTTTTAATAGAGATGGAGTTTCACCATCTTGGCCAGGCTGGTCTTGAACTCCTGACCTCATGATCCACCCGCCTCAGCCTCCCAAAATGCTGGGATTACAGGCGTGAGCCACCACGCCTGGCCTAGTTTATCTTTTTTAAAATCTTGTTTTGTGAGCCAAAATCACAGTAGATTTTCTCTTTTTTTTTACACTTATAAAAATAACAGTTTTATAGCTTTAAAAATTTACATTTAGTTCTATGGTTCATTTACAGTTAAATTTTGTATATTATGTGACGTATAGGTTGAGACTCAAACTTTGCATATGAATATACAATTGTTCCAGCACTATTTGTTGAAGTGTTTTCATATCTTTGTCAAAACTTTGAACATTCAATTCACTAAAGAAGATAGATGACAAATAAGCACATTAAAAAATCTTTAACATTCAGAAAAGACCATCAATATTTGAAAAATGAAAATTAAAACCATGAATTACCACCACACATCTTTTAGACTGGCTAAAAAGACTAACCATACTAAGTGTTGGTAAGGGTGTAATGAAGCTGGAACAATCATACACTTCTGATGGGCATGTAAGATGATACAACCACTTTGGAAAGCAGTTTGCCAGTTTCTTTAAAAGTTAAACACATAGTTACTGTATGATCCAGCCATTCCAACTCCTAGATATTTATCTAAGAGAAATGAAAGCACATGTCCATACAAAGACTTGTACATGAATGTTCATATCAGGTTTATTTGTAATAGCCAAAATGGTATACACCTGAATGCCCATCAACTAGTGACTAGATAAGCAAAATATGGTACGTGGATATGATGGAATACCTCAGAGCAATAAAAAAGAATGGACTATTGATACATGCTACAACATGGATGATTCTCAAAGGAATGATGTTGAGTTCAGAAAGCAAGACAAAAAAGTACATTCTATATGATTCCATTAATATAAAGGAATATATTATATTCAAGGAATAGTATATAAATTAATATAAAGGAATATTTTATATTCAAGGAATATAAACGAATATAAATGATATAAAGCAGATCAGTGATTGCCAGGAGATGAGGTGGAGAAGTAGAGAGGGGAGGAAAGAAGGAATTACTAAAGGACACGAAGAAACTTTTGGGGATAATGTTTATGTTCACTATTTTGATTGGGCTGATGGTTTTACATATGTATACATATATCAAAATGTATCAATCTTTATACTATAAATATGTGCAGTTTGTTGTAAGTCAATTATACCTCAATGAAACTCATTAAAATTAGCATATTTTGGGGATCTATTTCTAGAATCTCTATTGGGTTTTATTGATCTCTGTGTCTATCCTCTAGTCAATACTATACCGTTATGATCACTGTGGTTTTATTTTATAGTATGTCTTTTTTTTTTCCTTTTTTTTTTTTGTGACGGAGTCTTGCTCTGTCGCCCAGGCTGGAGTGCAGTGGCACCATCTCGGCTCACTGCAAGCTCCGCCTCCCAGGTTCACGCCATTTTCCTGCCTCAGCCTCCCGAGTAGCTGGGACTACAGGTGCCCGCCACCATGCCCAGCTAATTTTTTGGATTTTTAGTAGAGATGGGGTCTCTACTGTGGTCTCGATCTCCTGACGTCGTGATCCTCCCCCCTCAGCCTCCCAAAATGCCGGGATTACAGGCATGAGCCACCCCGCCTGGCCACTATTTTATAGTATGTCTTAAATTGGGTAGTATGAGTCTTTAACCTTGTTCTTTCTTCAAAATTGTTTTGGGTATTCCAGTTCCTTTACTTTTACATATATTTTATAATGAACTTGCCTATATCTACAAAGACTCATGCTGGGATTTGTTTGGAATTGCCTTAAATCTACAGATCAGTTGGGGGGAAGTCTGGCATTTTAACTCTTCTTTTTTTTTTTTTTTTTTTTTGAGACAGAGTCTCGCTGTTTCGCCCAGGCTGGACTGCAATGGCGCCATCTCGGCTCAATGCAAGCTCCACCTCCCGGGTTCACGCCATTCTCCCACCTCAGCCTCCCGAGTAGCTGGGACTAAGGCGCCCACCCATGCCCGGGTAATTTTGTTTTTGTATTTTTAGTAGAGATGGGGCTTCACCATGTTTAGCCAGGATGGTCTCGATCTCCTGACCTTGTGATCCACCCACCTCCGCCTCCCAGAGTTGTGGGATTACAGGCGTGATGCACTGTGCCTGGCCAATAACTCTTCTAATGCATGAGCAGGATATCTCCTCATTTATTTAGGTCTTTGATAATTTGTAGTTTTTAGCACATAGATCCTGTATATATACTTTGTTAGAGTTATGGCTGAGTATATCATGCTTTTTGGAGCTATTATAAATGGTACTGTCATGAGCCACCGTGCCCGGCCTATTTACTTTTCAATAGCATGTTATATTGTAATAAAGATAATTTTTTGAAAGATGGAAAAACAAGCACCTAAATTCAGTTACCAAATTCTGGTGATTAGATTATGGGCTATTTATGTAATTTTTAAAATGTTATTATATAATGGTTAGTAATCATTTTATAACTTCTAACTTTATAATTATATGAAACAATTTATATAACAATAATTACCATTAAAATGTCAAGTTATATTATATTATTATATCATTTATAAGTTTATAATTTATAGAATATAATTTTTATGAATTGCAAATTTATTTAAGCCAGTTCTTTAAAACCTTGTCTGGCCCTTAGAGATGCATACTTAACATATATAGGGATGTAACGAATGATGGTTGGGATTTGTTTTAAAATACTTTAGCAAAAAAAAAAAGAGAGAAAGATAGGAAAAGGGACAACAAAAGTAAATGTAGAAAAAATGTATAATTGTTGAATCTACGAAACATACTAGAGTTCATAATATTCTCCATTTTTATGTCCTTGAAAATTTTTCATAATAAAAATTAAAAATAGCTCTGCACTCTTACTTACTGTCATTCTCTACTCCTTTACATGGTTTTATTTTTTCCAAACGATTGTCTGAAATTATCTTGTTTATTTGTGTATTGCCTGCCTCCCCCCAAGAAGAATATAAGTGCAATAAACACAGGATGTACCTGAGTCTTATTCATTCCTCTTTCCCTAGCAACTCAGTTCCTGGCAGGGAGCAGATGTTCAATTAATTTTACCAGCACATTACAAGTAACATGATTTTTCAAGCAGGTAGTGTGTTGTAGTTGATGGGTAATTTATTTTTGATGTTTTTTAAACAATAAGACCTTAGTACAGCTCTACTTTTTGTGCCAAAGGGATCCCCGCTCTTTACATAAGTGACCCAGCTCTTTTCTCCTTGCATGGACAGCATGATTTGGATTGATGCAGAGACGAAATCCCCTCCAGAGTTCTTTACAATCGTTTCATGGCCCCAAATCTGGTTATTTGCCAATCAGTAAAGGCTACAAGGCCCAGCACTTTAATTTGACCAACTGTTAAGTTCCCCTGTGAGGTTGTTATTTTCTGAGAACTTGGAGGTTTTATAGCCTCAATCTTCCTTTAATTGTTTTAAAGTTATACTAAACGAACAACAGATGTTGCACTCCATAAATCTGTTATTACTGGCTTCTGATCAGTTCTTAATGTCAAAGTCCGCTTCTTCCTCTTGTGAAGAAGACTCCGTCTCAAAAAAAAAAAAGTGAAACTGATCTACTCATCTGTCTTGTTTATTTTCTTTCTTCTTTCCTTTTTTTTTTTTTTGAGACAGAGTCTCGCTCTGTCCCCCAGGCTGGAGTGCAGTGGCACAATCTTGGCTCACTGCAACCTTCACCTCCCGGGTTCAAGCGATTATCCTGCCTCAGCCTCCCGAGTAGCTGGGATTACAGGTGCCTGCCACCATGCCTGGCTAATTTTTGTATTTTTAGTAGAGATGAAGTTTCACCATGTTGGCCAGGCTGGTCGCGAACTCCTGACCTCAGATGATCCAGCCGCCTCGGCCTCCCAAAGTGCTGGGATTACAGGCGTAAGCCACCGTGCCCGGCCTTGTTTATTTTCTTTTATTTACTGTGGGTTTGTAGACTTATAGTATTAGAAGAATAACTTTTGTATAAAGAAAATATCTATTCATGTTCATAAGAGTTGCTATATGTTCTTCACTGAAGTCTGAAGTCATGGCCGACTTAACATATGACAGACTCAATTACATTTTTTTCTTTTTTTTTTTTTTTTGAGACTGCGTCTCAGTCTTGTTGCCCATGCTGGAGTACAATGGTGCAATCTCAGCTCACTGCAACCTCCGCCTCTTGGGTTCAAGCGATTCTCCTTCCTTAGCCTCCTGAGTAGCTGGGATTACAGGTGCCCGCCACCATGCCCAGCTAATTTTTGTATTTTTAGTAGAGACAGAGTTTCGCCATGTTGGCCAGGCTGGTCGCGAAATCCTGACCTCAGGTGATCCGCACCTGCCTCAATTACATTTCTATAATTGAAATCATCTGGGCATTGTTGATTGAGTTGGCCCATCAGAGTGTATTCCAGGGGCTTCAGGATGGGACCATCACTCTCATTTTACACTTAAGAGAGGCAATATAGGAGGTCTCTTGGGTCCTGACTTCTGAAGGTCCCTACTGGCCTTTGGCTGCCACTCTTATTAACGAAGCTCTTCCCCATTTATCCCAGGAGCTCACTCATTTTTTTCAGATGCATCAGGGGGTCAGAGCTCAAGAGTTCTCATCCCAGATTTTATCATGCTGAATATGCTTTTCCATAGCTTACAATGAGACCTACAGCTACCCCAAGGTATATTCCAGAGCTGGAGTATTTCAGGACAAGGAGAAGTTGCCAAACAGTGTTGAATTATAGAGTCCTTAGGATTTACATGCTCTCCAAGAGAGTCGGCTTGGATATTTGGAAACCATGAATTTATATTACATTGTACAATATTTTTAAGGCCAGGAAAAATTCGTTTTATTCAGTACCTATTCAACAAATATTTTCTGAGATCTTGCCATGGGCCAGGCACTATAAGATGTGTGGAGATACATGGTCTCTTACCTCATTGTTCATAATTCAGCAAGGAAATGATGCATAAACAACTGGCTAAAATGCAGAGGGAGGAGTGTGCTAGATTAGTCTTTCCCATCCTTCTTACTTATGATGAGTTTATGTCTGGGAGCTTTAGTGATGGTATATTTTTGGGAGCTATTTCTTTATGGTAGGATGGTGTCATGCTTTCCACGTATCATCCTTTTAATTCCTTACAAAAAAACCTGATGTTGTAGGCATTATCATCCTCATTTTACAAGTGAGGGAACTGAAGCTTAGAGAAGTGAGACAGCCCTGAGAGTTCTGCAAGTGGCAAGGTTGGAATTTCAACTGGTCTTTCTTGTTCCCCAACTACAGGAGCATACCCTCAACTAGGAGCAGGTGCCAGGTTATCAGCTGTTTAGATAAGGCTATGTCCCGGTTGGACACTAGAGGGCACTGAGATAGCAAAACAATCGGAGGAATTTGCCTCTGGCTACCACTTTGAAAAACCATAACAAATTGAACTTCCCAAATTCATCTTTGAAGGCGAGTTAACTGTAAATACAGCATTGAGAAGGCAGGTCTGCACCTACTGCACTCTCTGGTTATAGGTAAGGAAAAGGATCACCTAGGATTTATCTTTCATCCAAAGCACTTCAGCCTGCTGCTTCTTTTACCCATAGTAGTTGCTCAGGAATCTTTGTGAATATTTTTTTTTTTGAGACGGAGTCTCGCTGTTTCGCCCAGGCTGGAGTGCAGTGGCGCGATCTCAGCTCTTTGCAAGCTCCGCCTCCCGGGTTCACACCATTCTCCTGCCTCAGCTTCCCGAGTAGCTGGGACTACAGGCGCCCGCCACCACACCCAGCTAATTTTTTGTATTTTTAGTAGAGACGGGGTTTCACCGTGTTAGCCAGGATGGTCTCGATCTCCTGAGCTCGTGATCCGCCCGTCTCGGCCTCCCAAAGTGCTGGGATTACAGGCATGAGCCACTGCGCCCGGCCGAATCTTTGTGAAATTGAACTGAATATCTGGGTGCCATCACAAGGCACGTATCTAGCTGGCTTCTGCTCATCCCACAGCTGATTCCAAATCTGGGGTGTTGTGCAAACAGCTGCCCAGCCGGAAATTGGTCCAAATAAAGGTAGCTTGGTTCACCAATGGGCTGTCTACACACTCCAGATATATCTCCCACTACCCAAAATGAATCGCAAAGGACTGATGCAATCAACATGACTGTCATCCTGAGGGATGCTTCATGAGGCTGAAGTACTAAGATTGTAGCTTACAGGATTATTATTATTATTTGAGAGGGAATTTCCCTCTTGTTCCCCAGGCTGGAGTGCAGTGGTGCGATCTCGGCTTACTGTAATCTCCACCTCCTGAGTTCAAGTGATTCTCATGTCTCAGCCCCCGAGTATAGGCGCATGCCACCACGCCTGGCTAATTTTTTGTATTTTTTAGTAGAGACGGGGTTTCACCCTGTTGGCCAGGCTGGTCTCGAACTTCTGACCTCAGGTGATCCGCCTGCCTCAGCCTCCCAAAGTGCTGGGATTACAGGTGTGAGCCACCATGCCCGGCCCAGGATTATTTTTTCATTAAGGGAATTAGCACTCACCAGGATCTATGTCAGTGTTAGGAATAAAAAGTCAACAGTCCTTGTTGGTTCAATCCTTTCTTCCTTAGATCTTTGCTGTTAGTTTCTAGGTAGCTTTTCTGTCATGTTTACAACTTACAAGAAGTAGAGTATATGGATGAAAATTACTGGGAAAAGCTAGCTCACATTTTATGGAAAAAGTATTTAAAAATAATCGATGAACAATATGTCTTCAATGAGTACTTGCTCATGTGTCTGTCTTGTGTGGCAGAAACCAAACAGAGCCTTTTTCAACCCAGCCACACCCTGGAGTGATGCAATAGTAAATGAGACACAGGCATGGTCACATATTCGGGATATGAAGCCAGCCTGCCAGCTCAGGAAGTTACCCCAGAGTCAGACGGGTGGTGGATCAAGGAGGAATGTTCAGAGAGCCTTCCCCACAAAGCATACAGCACAGCAGGGCATAACAGGCAGTTGGGCTCTTTTTCTCTGTACAGGAAGAGGCAGACTGCAATTTTTTATTTTTATTTTTTGAAGTAAGGAAGTTATGTGACCAGAGCCCTATTTTAGTAAGATAGGTTTGGTAGCATGATGGGAGATAAGTTAATGCAGAGGCTTAGAGACAGAGAGACCTTGGGAGGAGGGTATGTGGAACTAAGTAAGCACTGGGGAAGAAGGGAGCGTGTAAGAAATATTTCAGAGCCAAAAAATGACAGTTCTGGATTGTTGATTGAATACGGGAGATTTGGAAGGGAAAGGTACAAATATGGTAGCCTCACGTTCTTTGAGCATTTACCATGGGCAAATTACTAAGCATTTTACAGGTATTGACTCATTTTAATTCTTTTTTTTTTTTTTTTTTTGAGATGGAGTCTCACTTTGTCATCCAGGCTGGAGGGCAGTGGCTCGATCTCGGCTCGCTGCAACCTCCGCCTCCCAGGTTCAAGTGATTCTCCTGCCTCAGCCTCCTGAGTAGCTGGGACTACAGGCATGCACCATCAGGCCCGGCTAATTTTTGTATTTTTAGTAGAGTCAGAGTTTCACCATGTTGGCCAGGCTGGTCTTGAACTGCTGACCTCAAGTGATCCACCTGCCTCGGCCTCCCAAAGTGCTGGGATTACAAGCATGAGCCACCACGCCTGGCCTGACTCATTTAATTCTAACAAATTGTATGAAATAGGAATTATTATTATCTACTATTATTATCTATTATTTATTGGAGAGGAAACTGAGACATAGGGAGGCTCAGTTGTTAGTCAAAGGTCACTTGGTCTTCAGAACCTGCATTCTTCACGTATTCCACATGGCCTCATCTCCAGTCTGGGTGACATGGGAGATGGTGATGCCACTGGCTGAGATGGGGAAGTCAGGAGAAGGAGCAGATGGGCATGTGTATGGAGCGGGAGGGAGGGTGGACAAAGTGGTGTTTTGGATATGTGTAGCGTGTAGATGTTCTGCCAGCACCTCAAGCGGAGATGGTCACCAGGCCTCGTGTCCCAGTGTGGAGAAGGAACTGGTTTTCATTAAAAATAATGAAACATCTGTAAAAATACCATTGGCTGAGTTTCTCAGTCAAGCTATTCAAGAAAGGCCGGCTATGCTAACAAACAGGAAGCCCATGCCCCAGCTGAAGATTTGGCCAGAGAGTTAGAAGGAGCAGGTTCATCAACAAGGTGCTCAGACCCCTGGAATGCCTACAAGAGACCAGGACTAAGCCTTGAGAAAGGAGGAGGGAATTAATGTGCTCCTCATTCCAGTGGCCAGAGCTTTCCAATGCTGCCTGCCTATTAGAATCACCTAGGAGATTTTATTTTTTATTTTTTAATTTTTTTTTGAGATGGAGTTTTGCTCTTGTTGCCCAGGCTGGAGTACAATGGCACGACTTCGGCTCACTGCAACCTCTGCCTCCCAGGTTCAAGCGATTCTCCTGCCTCAGCCTCCAGAGTAGCTGGGATTACAGGCACGCACCACCATGCCAGGCTAATTTTTGTATTTTTAGTAGAGATGGGGTTTCACCATGTTAGTCAGGCTGGTCTCGAACTCCTGACCTCAGATGATCCACCCGCTTTGGCATTCCAAAGTGCTGGGATTGCAGGCATGAGCCACCATGCCTGGCCAAGTTTTTTAATTTTTATTTTAATTTTATTTTTTTGAGACGGAGTCTCGCTCTGTCACCCAGGCTGGAGTGTGGTGGGACTATCTCAGCTCACTGCAACCTCTGCCTCCTGGGTTCAAGCAATTTTCCTGCCTCAGGCTCCTGAGTAGCTGGGATTACAGGCAAGAATCACCAGGAGTTTTAAAAAATACTCATGCCCTGGCCTCACCCCAGAACCAATTAAATCAGAATATCTCAGGGATGGCCAGAGGTAGTTGGTTGTTTTCTTTTGTTTTGTTTGAGACAGGGTCTCACTCTGTCACCCAGCCTGGGTGCAGTGGCATGATCTTGGCTCACTGCAGCCTTGACCTCCTGGGCTCAAGCAAGTCTCTCACCCCAGTCTCCCTAGCAGCTGGGACTACAGGCGAACATCGCCCTGCCCAGCTAATTTTTTATCTTTGTAGAGCCACAGTCTTGCTATGTGGCCTAGGCTGGTCTCAAACTCCTGGCCTCAAGCAACTCTAAAGTGCTGGGATTACAGGCATGAGCCACCATGCCTGGCCCATAGGCAGGTTTGTTTATTTTTATTTTTATTTTTTTGAGATGGAGTCTCATTCTGTTGCCCAGGCTGGAATGCAGCGGCGTGATCTCGGCTCACTGCAACCTCCGCCTCCCAGGTTCAAGCAATTCTCCTGCCTCCGCCTCCCAAGTAGCTGGGATTACAGGTGCGTGCCACCATGCCCGGCTAATTTTTTTGTATTTTTAGTAGAGACAGGGTTTTACCACATTAGCCAGGATAGTCTCAATCTCCTGACCTCATGATCTGCCCGCCTCAGTCTCCTGAAGTGCTGGGATTACAGGCGTGAGCCACCGTGCCCAGCCCCATAGGCAGTTTTTAAAAGCTCTTTAGGTGACTCTAATGTGAGGCCAGGGTTAAGAATTGCAGCAAAAGGAGGCTTGCCTTTGGAGGTGATGATCAGACAGCAGGATAAGTAGTGACTAATGCCTGCAAAGCACTTTTCCATTCAGAAAGCACTTGCACATATATGACCTTATTTAAGGAACATCTTCTTGTTATCCACTGGTTTGTGGGAAGAACTGTGAACCAATAAAATAAATGACTTGCTGAAGGTCACAGTTGCTTAGTAGAAAAGCCACGACTCGACCTCAGATCTGCTGACCCCCACTTCAGGGTTCTTTTATAATGTCACACAGGGCAATACGACCAAAGGAAGGCCAAGTTCATCTGTATTCACATGTAAAGGTGAGGGTGTAGGTATTTTTAAAAGTAACTATGATCCACGAGGGTTAATCTAAAAATAGAGCTGTGACTTGTGTAACAGGCATAATAGGGTGGAACAGCCTTGAATGTCACAGGCCAAGAAGAGCTGGTGAAGCCCAGATGGCCCGATGGCCAAGGAGCAGGTGGAGTGGCTGCAGGGAAGGAGCAGGCAGGGGGTGATGGGAGCAGAGTCAGGGAGGGAAGCATAGGGCGGGGCTGGAGGGGGCCCTGACATTGCCCAAGGTCAGGAGTCCTGGTGGTCTAGGCACAAGCCTTCAGGCTACCTACAGCTGGTAGTGCTGGAAATGGCAAATCCAGAACATTGCTGGAGGCATTTGCCAGTTAACACGAACTCTTCTGCATCTTAAGGGACAAAGCATCTTACTATCCAGATCACAATCACCTGCTAATTTGTATAGAGCCATATCATTTAGGATATACTATCTTTGTCCATTTTCACAAGTTTGGGATATTATTTTCCTACTTCAGCAGCTGCATGTGTGATACTGGCATAATAATTCCTTATGATGGACACTGAGAGTAAGTGAAATGTGTCTAACCCAATGCCTAGCACGTAGGAAGGTGCTGAATAAATATTAGCACCTTTTATGGTGGATTCTTTTTTGAATATGGATAGTAAAGATCAGAAATGTTGAGTACCACTTAGTGGTTAAACAGTGTGGGCTCCAAAGCCAGACCACTAGTTTCAAGCCCAACTCTACCAATTTAGCTGTTAAGCCTTAGACAAGTTAATTACCCAAGTAAAGTCTGTTTTTTTCTGGAATAAAATAGAGATAATACCTGAACATTTCTCTTGTAGTTTTTGGGCAGATTAAATGAGATAATGCATGGAAAGCTCTTAGCATAGTCCCTGGCACCTAATCACTGTTCAATAATTATTAACAAGCTCTATTAAATCCTGCCAAATAGCCAGAGCATAAGCCAACACTGGAATCTAGGCCAATGCTCTTTCTGCTACACCAAGGCAGCTCCTGATGATAACAAACATTAACCCAAGTGAGAAGGAAAGAGAGCTAACATTTATGGAGGGCCAGCTGCATTCCAGACATGGACATCGTAACAAAGCAATTCACAGGGAGATGATGAGGTTCACGGGGCTTAGTAACCTTCCCAAGGTCACAAAATAGTGAGAGATTGGGGGTCAAATGGACTGACCTCAAGTCCTGCAGCCTTTGTCCATCCAGTGGTTCTCCAGCGTGCATCAGAATCACCTGCAGCGTTTGTTAAAACCCAAATTCCAGGCCTTTCTCCCAGACTTTCTAATTCAGTGGGCCTAGGGTTGGCCTGAGAATCTGGATTTCTAATAAGTTCCCAGGTGAGATCAATGCTGTGGGTCCTGGACTGTACACCCTCAGTATACGCCAAGCTGCCTTTGCTCAGTAAAATTCCCTGTGATGAGACACCACTCAGGCTGCCAGAAGCCCAAGGAGAGCCCTGGGGCTGCCCTGGGGTACAGTGAGAAACCCTAAATGCCCTGACTTGATCACTATGCATTATAAACATGTAACAAAGTTTCTCATGTAGCCCATAAATGTGTACAAATAAAAAAATTTTTAAATGTTCTCTTAAAGAAAAGAAAGATGTCTCTGCTAAGCTCCTCAGGGCCTCATGACATACCACCCACAGCTCTGTCAGACAGGCACAGACTTTTGTCAGGCACAATCTATAACCTCAAAGTCAGCACTCCCAGTTGGGTGTTTTATTATTTATTTACTTGACAGGTAACATCGATTTGGTCCTACAAGACACCATGCTATAGGCTTAGCTACTTGCTGTTGCACAAGAGAACTTTCCTGAACTCTCAGGAAGCCCTTGCATGGCCTATCGAGGACAGCTCAGTCACTGAAGGGAAAAATTCCATACCAAAGAAGAGAGAAAAATTCCATACCAAAGAACAGACTTCCCCCAGGGAACCTCCGTCCTACAGCCCTTCAGGGCCATCACACTCACACACATCAGCCATCATCAAAATAGTGGCCATGCTGGGAAGAACAGGAGTCCTGAACTAGAAGGTGGTCTTCAAACCATGGCGTACCGATTTATGTATATTACAGATAGATAAATTAAGAGGTCTACATGAATAAAAAATCTCTCAAAGGGGAACGAATTCCATTCTGTCATGCCAGGTGTTTGTCAGAACCTTGAAAACGAAGGTGGTTTTCAGTGGAGCTTGTATTAAAAATAGAAGGTATTTATACACAGGCCCTGCTCCTCTCATGGCCATGAAATCCTCTGGTGTTGTCAGGACCCCTGGGCAACCTCAGCACCCCTACGGGTAGCCCATCTGCAGTCTGCATCTTCCGGGAGAGCAGGGGACTCGTACCGGGGCTTTTCTCCTGGGTCCCCATCTCGGCTTGGCGACGCCTCCGGACCCAGGGGCTGCCAGAGGGAGTGACGCTGCTGTCAGAGGAATAATCCATACACTTGCGGAAGATCTCAGGGCTGGTGCTGCAGTTCAGTCTACCTTCCTCCGCCAGTGGGGACTTTCTGGAAACGCCTTTGCGTTGGGCCAAGGGGCTGCTCCAAGGACTTGTGCACGGGGAGGCATTTGGACTCAGAAAGAGATTCTGGTGGCCAGACGGGCTGAGCTTGTTGGTGGCCGCGTGCCGTCGGCCCGCCATAGGGGATGTGGGGTTGCTCTCGGGGTCAGAGGAGCTGTTGGCAGAAGACTCATCACCCATGTACTGAAGCTCCTCGACTCTCTTGTTCAGGGACTTGTTCAGGTGGATGCTCGCAGTGGGCTCCTCGTCATGATTTTTGTCTTTGGCAGGTTTCTTTTTGGGTGGCTTCATACCAATCAGGACAGCTTTCATGTTCTCTTTGCCCTGAGATTCTGTGATCATGAACTCATGGGCTTTGATGGCTGCTTCCACCTCCTCGAACTCCACGATGGCGCACTCCTGGGTCCCCACTTGGCTGTAGCGGCTGCTGATCCTCCGGATGTCAGGGGGCAGCTCTCTCCCAGGTTTGAGGATCCGCACTGATGAGATGACTCCAAAAGTCCCAAAAAGCTTGAGCAGGTGTTCCATCACCTTCTCTTGCACCCTTCCATTCTTCTGGGGGGTGGCCAGAGCCCACAGCTTAGGAGACAAGTAGAGATCATAGACCAGGAGCATCTTGCTGGGGAGGTTCTCGTTGGGGAACAGTGGGACGGGGGTGGTCCTCCTCACCTTCCGGTGGTCCTCATTCAACTCAAGGACCACTGAATACTTCAAAGCATGTGCTGTGGTTCTCCAGTCCCGTGTAAGATGTTTCACCTGCAGAACATAAAGCAAATCTGAAATAGTATCTAATGTCCTTGTCCATCCTTGTGTATGCTATAAGCTCCCTCCCTCACTTCCTTATCCCTGTAACACTAGAATCCCTGTATTCTAGTGTCTAGAATCATACGTGGTATGTGTAAACACTCAAAAATCTAGTGAATGAATAAGTGAATGAAAACAAGTTCTACCATTTCAAACAAGGGCACCACAGCAGTGTTGTCCAACAGAACTGTCCATGAAAATGGAAATATTCCATTCTGTGCAAGTTTAGAGGTTAAATTTGCAGGCTCTGGAACAAGGCTGCTGTATACACAAATCAAAGGCCCACCTCTAGCTTGAAGTAAGACTTGGAAAGTTATTCAACCTCTTAGTGCCTCGACTTGCCCTGGAAAATGGAGATGTTAATAGTGCCATCTCAAAGAGCTGTCCTGAGGATTAAACGAATCAATATATACATGTACATATGTATGTACAGACACATACAAACTCATTTACACATAAAACAGAATAGTGTCTAGCTCACAGTGAGTACTAAGTAATCATGTGCTATCATTACTTCCAATATTACATGCTATTATTTTGATAGGATTTGGAGATTTTAACATTCAAATGCTTCTCTAAAGCAGTATTTCTGCATTTCTGCATTTGATACAGAGAAGTTTCCAAAAGATCTTTCGCATTTCACTGCAATATCTCCTGAGAATGACATGGACTACTTCAACTTGAAATTAAATCCAACTTGGGCCTCACTAAGAATGGTGAAATAATCCCTCCCTCCTCCTTTGTTGGTGGAAATTGTATCAATGTTGCAGTATATGGAAGCTATATTTATACTGTAAAACAGTAATTTTCTAGAGGCCCACTTCCGGTGAAGGGAATGCCAGGGGGAATGAGTCATCCCAAACAAATAGTGAAGGTGGGTGGGGTGGGTAACCTGAGCCCGTAATGGCGAGATCCCCCTGAGTCCTCTGAGAACAGGCCAACAAGCTGCTCTGCAAAAGAACTGGGAACTCCAGGTGCCTCTGAGCATAAAACAGGAACTTCATGAAACTCAAGAAGGAAAGGCTCACTCACTGGGCAAGATGGGGAAACCTTGGCAGACCCATTACTATACACAGGCTCCTAGAGAGAGAGCACTGTCCACTGTAGCCTGTGGTCTCTGGGAGAAATGGCTCAGACTTAGGCTACTAGAAGAACACGGGTCCAAGGGCACAGAGAAGCAGGCCCAGGCAAAGGGTCGGATTTCAGGTGGACAGAGTCCATGAGGAATCCAGAAAGGGTGAAGCTGATGACTGCGGGTGCGTGTGAGGCTGTGGGAAAGCCAGGCAGTGGCTCACTGTGGGGTGAAACATGGTGAAGCCTTCTCCGAAAACAGCTAGGGAGGGAGCACTTGGGAGATAAAAAGAGACAATTTCCTAAGCCTGAAGCTTGAGCTAGGAGCACCTGGGAAAGCACAGCACTGCCTTACTCAGAGGGCTACAGAAGTCTGTGGGGGACCACATCTCACTGCAAGAGAAGCAGGCTCTGGCTAGGACTGAATATCCCTCCTGAGCCAGAAGCAAGGTCCACTGGGAAATCTCGGTTACAGTCTGAGCATCCTAAGCCTGGGTCCATGACCATTCATAAGGAAGGTCCAGGTAGCACCTGAGAAAAGGGACCAGGGAGCGTTCATCCTTGTGCAATTGCTAGAAGAACTCTAAGGTTTCCCTGTGCTTTTTACCTTTGTCATGTATGTTCCCCTTTTGTGATTAATAGGAAATCCTTCAGAATGAAAAGGATCTTTGCTCTGATTTTGGAGGTGTTAGGGAGTCTGTCTGTACTCTGCAGCCAGGTTTCAACAGAGAAGAACATTCCTAAATAGGACCATAAGTGGCAGCTTAAAGAGGAAAGCAAAACAGGCTGACTCTTGGGGTCCCTGGGGAGGAATAAAGAGACGTGCTGGATGATTCCACTGGCTGCTTCATTTTGGGATCCCCCACAAACACTTTTCATATGAAGGTTTGCTCACTGTTCTCTGACCATTAAAATATCCCTTCCATTCCCCTGTACCTAGAAAACTCCTACTCATCCTCCAAAATCCTATTTCAATGTCACCTTCTCTGGGAAGACTTCTCAGTTCTCCAGGCAGGGTTAGTTGCTCTGATCAACTAGTTCCCAATAATACTGTGTTCTCTCTTTTGTCCTACTATATGTGGTCACATTGTAATCTTTCAGATCTCTCTCCTTTATTGGACTGTGAGCTTGTCAAGGACAGGGGGAGTACGATCTTCACTCTGTACATCCTGCGCCTAGCACAGCACTCAGCAGAGACAATGAGCATATTTGATGAATGAATAAAGGAAAAAGAGCGACAGGGCCAGGCAGAGTACACCAGTGGGTGAGGCAGGGAAGAGGTCCAAGGAGAAAAGCTCTCCTCCAGTGCACTCTGACAAAGTACACAGACAACTTGGCCGGGACCCACTTGTTACGCATCCCGTTATGCAACAGGCCGCGTAGTGCTTTTCCATTCTAGTAAATGCACTTCCCCTAAGGGAGACACAGAGTTCTTACTCCAACTAGTCTGTCAACTCTCTGAGAAGTAGACAGTACACAGCCCAAACACTGGATCTATATATGGCAGGGACAAGCAGTCTGCTGCCCAGATGGCAGCAATAATTACAAATCTCATCTCCCTATTGTATAGATAAGGATGATGGCGTCACACAGGCAGAGCATGTGTGTCTTAGAGAAGGCTCATTTCTGAGAGTTCTGGGTGCTCATTCTCTCCCTTTGCTTATTCAACTTGACAAATGAAAAGCTTGAATTTCATATAATTTTAGGCCTGGCAGGTATCTCTCAAGGCCTTCGAGTCCGTCTGTCCTGGTATCACATCCTCCTGGCCACCCACTTGCCTGGCAAAAGTGCCTGAACTTTACTAAGAACAAGTAACATTGTTTCATAACTGCTGCCAGCTGAGATTTGTCCCAATGCCCAGGACCCTTTTAATAGTGTGGGAGTATATTCCTAACAATACTAAATCCCTTCTCCTAGCCATTTTTCTCTTTTTCAGGCACAGACTTAATTTTAAAAATTGTTCGTCATCAGGTTTCAAGGGAGTTAAAAAAAATGTTTAAAACCACAACCCAAAACAAACTTGAAATCCTTGAAGCAGCTTCTGAGAACCAAGCCTCACCTTTTTGAAGGATGTGAGTAGCTTAACGCTCACATATCCCAGCTTGTTCCTCCTCACGTGTTTTAGCAAAAAGGCGTCCTTCTCCAGGTTTTCATCAGAAAAGTAGAATTCGATCTGATCCACCAGTTTCTTGATCAACTCCTCATCCGGGGGCTTCCACTCCTGCTCCAGGTCCTCACGCTCGTTCTCACCTCCACTTGCAGTGGTGCCACTGAGACCAGAAGGAGACACCGGGTGTTAGGGTCAACGTTGAACTGTGTCCCCCAAAAATTCATATGCTGAAGTCCTGACCCCCAATACCTTGGAGTATGATGTTATTTGGAAATGGGGGTCACTGCAGATGCAATTAATTAAGATGAGGTCTTACTGGAGTAGGGTGGACCCCCTAATCCAACACAACTAGGGTCCTTACCAAAGGGGTAAATTTGAACACAGACATGCACACAGAGAGAACATCATGTGAAGGCGAAGGGAGAGACTGGGGTGATGTAGCAAAACTCAAGGAATGCCAAAGACTGCCACCAGAAGCGAGGAAAGATGCTTAGAATGGATCCATTTCTAGTACTTTCAGAGGGCGCATGGCCCTATTCACACCTTGATTTCGGGCTTCAGGCCTCCAGAACCATAAAACAATATATTTCTGTTGTTCTAAACCATCCAGCTCATGGTATTTTGTTACAGCAGCCCTAGGAATTGACACTGGGTCACATGGCCACAGAAGGAGAGGTTTGCCCCCAAACAGCTAAGAAGTCAATCTTTCATTTTTAACAAGCATGGAGGATCATAAAAATAATAACTGGCCAGGCATCGTGGCTCCCATCTGTAATACCAGCACTTTGGGAGGCTGAGGTAGGTGGCCTGAGCCCAGGAATTTGAGACCAGCCTGGGCAACAGAGTGGGACCCCTGTTGCTACAAAACAACAACAACAACAACAAAAATTAGCCAGGTGTGGTGGTGCATGCCAATAGTCCCAGCTACTTGGGAGGCTGAGGTGGGAGGAGAGCTTGAACCCGGGAGGTCTAGGTCACAGTGAGCCAAGATTGCACCACTGTACCCCAGACTGGGAGACACAGTGAGACCCTGTCTCAAAATAATAATAATAATAATTATTATAATAACACCCTCTGCTGACATATATGTGGCGCTCTGCCACGGGCAAAATGCTTTTCACATATACTCTCTTATTCTTCCTTCTCTACTCCATCCCCTCAAATCCTGGTTTCTAGAAGACAGTATAGCAGAGTTACTTGACCTTTCGGTAAGATCATCCATATTTATTAAAGAATAAAAGCTTGATTTCTTAGCTGGTTCAGGACAAGATCTGGAGTGCAGTGGTGCGATCTCCATGTGGATACATGACCACTGCCTCTCAGGAGTCACTGCAGTGGTGCAATCTCCATGTGGATACATGATCACTGACTCTCAAGCCATCTGCCTTGGCCTCCCAAAGTGCTGGAATTACAGATGGGAGTGTAATTTCCTAGGGCTGCCAGCTCTAGGAGTCCTGGCTTTAGAGTTAAGATTGCCTGGGTCCAAATGCTTGGTTCAGACTGAGTATCCCTTATCCAAAATGCCTGGGACCAGAAGTGTTTCAGATTTCCAATTTTTCCAGATTTTGGAATATGTGCATATACGTAATGAGATATCTCAAGGATGGGACCCGAGTCTAAACGCAAATTCATTTATGTTTCATATACACCTTATACAGATAACCTGGGGTAATCTCATGCAATATTTTTAATAATTTTGTGCATGAAACAAAGTTTCTGAACCATCAGAAAGCAAAGGTGTCGCTATCTCAGTTTTTAACCCATGTTAAATCTGTAGTGTCATGGTGGCGCTCAAAATGTTTCTGATTTTAGAGCATTTCAGATTTTGAATTTTTTGATTAAGGATGTTCAACCTGTACCATTGTTTATTAGTTAAGTAAATTTAGGCAAGGAACTCCACTGCATCTCACTTCAGTTCTATTACCTGTAAATTGGGAATCATGATAGTCCCTACCCTCATGTGAGTGTTGTGACAATTCAATGAATTAATACATGAAAATATCCAGAGGAGTGCCTAGCGTACCGTTAAAGCTCAGTAGGCACAGACAAATTCCTTCGCTAATTCATAAGAGGCAGATCTAGGATTTAAACTCAAATCCTCTGTCTCCAAAGCCAGTATACATAATACCTTATATGTTTTGCTAGGACCCTGTAATGGACTCTGGAAACAATCCCATCACGGGGTCTCTTCTTAATAAAGCCCACTATCACCAGCAGCACCACCTGGGTAGACTTCCTCCTCTCCCTCTCCCTAAGATCATTAGGTGATGAGAACAAGCCAAAGCAATCCTGGACAGAGCTTCCTTAGGAGGGCTAATCTTTCATAAGGGGATTATAACAATTTCAAACCAATAAACATTTAGAGAATACTGATTATCCGCATCATAACGGATGCCATTATTAGAAGTTAGCAGAAAGTTGCAGGTAGGTAGTTATAAGAGTTGGTTTAGCAACTCAATGTCAGGACCAGTAATCTTAACAAGGCCTATTACTGTGATCGCTTAAAGCTGGAAAAGACACATACATATATGTCCTTCAACAAAATTTTCACTGGCTCTCAGCCTCACAAAAAAAAAAAAAAAGAAAAGAAGCAACTGTGGAATACTCAAAATGAGGGAAAAAATATTCTGGCAAGAGAGAAAAAAGCAAATAAATCTATTTAAAAATTTTTCAAATTCAGAAATTATAATTAGTATAAAATATAGGCATTGGTTGATTAAAAATAAAGAGTTTTAGCTATTTGCCTGTAGGCAGCCTGGAATGGCTTTTTAAAATACCTTACTGATGTCTCAAGGTAAATGTAGAGTGAAGAAGCCTGGCACGGTGGCTCACACCTATAACCCAGCACTTTGGGAGGCTGAGGTGGGCGGACGACTTGATGTCAGAAGATCGAGACCAGCCTGGCCAACATGGTGAAACCCCATCTCTACTAAAAATACAAAAAATTAGCCGGGTGTGGTGGCACATGCCTGTAATCCCAGCTACTTGGAAGGCTGAGGCAGGAGAATCCCTTGAACTTGGGAGGTGGAGGTTACAGTGAGCGGAGATCGCACCACTGCCCTCCAGTCTGGGTGACAGAGTGAGACTGTCTCAAAAAAAAAAAAAAAATGTATAGTGAAGAAAATAATAGGGAGACTCAATTTTAAAGTTTTTTAAGTCTTGTTAAAATGGGATGATAAAAGTCAGACATTAAGCTGACTCACCCAACATCCAATAACAAACACTTTCTCAATTGCCTTTCCTTTTGTTTTTTTTGAGACAGAGTCTCGCTCTGTCGCCCAGGCTGGAGTGCAGTGGCGCAATCTCAGCTCACTGCAAGCTCTGCCTCCCGGGTTCACGCCATTCTCCTGCCTCAGCCTCCCGAGTAGATGGGACTACAGGCGCCCACCACCACGCCCGGCTTTAATTGCCGTCTTTACTCTAGAGGCTATAAAAACTTAATGTTATGGCCACTAACACTTAAGTGAAAATCTCTTGGCCCTGTCCCTTCCCCTTTTGTCTGCTTTGAATGTGGATGTGATGGTTGAATCTGCAGCAGCCATTTTACTACCATAAGGAAAAGGCCAAGAGAATTGGCTTGGCCTGATTTGTTGGCATTATTGGCCCTGACATGATTGAGTTGTTGGGCCAGCTCTTATAACTATCTACCTGCAGATTTTTTATTATTACATGAGAAAGATCAAATCCTATTTGTTTAATTCACTTGTTGGGTTTTCTGTTACTTAAACAGCCAAATACAATAGTAACCGCAGCAACACTACATGGAGAAAAGAGGTCCTCAAAACATGCCGAAGGGAAAACATCAGTGGGACAACCAATAGGATGAAAAAGGAGATGCAAGATGGACAGAACAAATTTCACTTTATTAGGGAAAGTTTATCGCCTAAATAGTAGTTAAAACAGATGGGTTGAGGCCGGGCGCGGTGGCTCACGCCTGTAATCCCAGCACTTTGGGAGGCTGAGGCAGGGGGATCACTTGAGGTTAGGAGTTTGAGACCAGCCTGGCCAACATGGTGAAACCCCATCTCTACCAAAAATATAAAAATTAGCTGGGTGTGGTGGTGGTAGCCTGTAATCCCAGCTACTCAGGAGGCTGAGGCAAGAGAATCGCTTGAACCCGGCGGGCGGAGGTTGCAGTGAGCCGGGATCGCGCCACTGCACTCCAGCCTGGGTGACAAGAGCGAAACTCCGTCTCAAACAAAAACAAACAAACAAACAAAAAACAGATGGGTTGGATATAACAGACAAAATAACTACAAATGCAAAGGGAATTCCCGGCCCAGCTAACAAAGATGTCAGTAAATCACAGGGGATGGGGCCGGGTGTGTGCTAATGGCCGGTGAAGAGTTTTGAGCAGACTCAGGGGTATTGGCAAATGGTCTAACTTACTACAAATAGCTAGTATCTCAGAAGTGACTGCACTACGAAAGGGACCCCTGTGGGGTCCTACTCCCAGGACAAGTTAGTCCTACTCCCAAACTAGAGCAATAGATGCTATTACAAAAGGTAAACTCATAAACAAATAAAGCATAATAGAAGGAAGGCAGTATAATTTCTCTTTTCTCTCTTTTTTTTTTTTTTTTTAAGAGACAGAGTCTCGCTCTTTCGCCCAGGCTGGTCTGCAGTGGCACTGTCTCGGCTCACTGCAAGCTCCGCCTCCTGGGTTCATGCCATTCTCCTGCCTCAGCCTCCCGAGTAGCTGGGATTACAGGCGCCCGCCACCGCGCCCGGCTAATTTTTTGTATTTTTAGTAGATACAGGGTTTCACCGTGTTAGCCAAGATGGTCTCGATCTCCTGACCTCGTGATCCGCCCACCTCGGCCTCCCAAAGTGCTGGGATTACAGGCGTGAGCCACCGCGCCCGGCCGGGCAGTATAATTTCTCAATCTCTCTAATGCTTATTCCAGAGCTTCCCAATCTTCCCAAGGTCGGCCATGTCTGCTTTACTGCCTGCAGATGATTCTATCTCAGACTGGATGGAGAGGATAGAGTTCATCCAATCAAGCTTCTCTAGACCTCCGTTGGGCAACTCCTTCTCCCTTTTCCTAACCTTCGCTCCAGCTTGTTCTGTGTCTCTAGACATCCATCAAAGAACTTGTAGCCATATCCAGGTGTCTCTTCTCCATCTTGGTCCTTGATATAGTTTGAATGTATGTCTTAGGCAGATCTCACGTTGAATTGTAATCCCCAGTGTTGGAGGTGGGGCCTGGTGGGAGGTGATTGAATCATGGGGTCGTTTCTCATGAATGGTATAGCACCACTCCCTTGGTGCTGCCCTCTTGATAGTGAGTTCTCATAAGACCTGGTCATTTAAAAGTATGTGGTACTCCCTCCCACCCCCACCATCACCAACTCTCTCTCTTGCTCCTGTTTCTGTGATGTGATGTGTCTGTTCTCCCTTCACCTTCCACCACAATTGTAAGCTTCCTGAGGCCTCCCCAGAAGTGGATGCTAGTGCCATGCTTCCTATACAGCCTGCAGAGCCAAGAGCCAATCAAGCCTCTTTTCTTATAAATTACCCAGTCTCAGATATTTCTTTACAGCAATGCAAGAATGGCCTCACACAGTCTTCTTGCCCCTGATGCAGGATCTGACACTATTGACCACCTTCTTCTTGATACTCTCCCCCCTGGGCTTATGTGACTTACTCTTTTCTGATTCTTCTCCCCATTTTATGTCTCCTCTTTCTCTCTCCATTTCTTTTCTTTTCTCTTTTTGAGACTGGATCTTGCTCTGTTGCCTCAAGTTGGAATGCAGTGGCATGAACACAGCTCACTGCAGCCTCAGCCTCCCAAGCTCAAGCAATCCTCCCATCTCAGCCTCCCAAGTAGCTGGGGCTATAGGAATGTGCCATCATGCCTGGCTAATTTTTCTGTTTTTTTTGTAGAGATGGGGTTTTGCCTTGTTGCTCAGACTGGTCTTGAAACCCTGGGCTCAAGTGATCCACCCACGTCAGCCTCCCAAACTGTTGGGATTACAGGTATGAGCCACCATGCCTGGCCTCTCTCCTCATTTCTAAGTGTAGGTGTTACCCAATAATCTATCCCTGACACTTTATCCCCTAGCAACCTCTACACTTCAGCTCCTATAAGCTCATCAAATTCAAATCTACCCCCCAGCCTGTCCACCGCCCCACACCTTCCTCTCCTTCCTGAGCTGCAGTCCTCAATTCCTAACTGCATGCCAGACATTTCCACTAGGACAATCTGATGTAGCATCAGATTAAATATGTCCACAATCTAACTTCTCACCTTCTGCAGAACCTGACCTCAGGCAGGACTGAAGCCTGGGCCCATCAATAGGCATTCTATCTGGGAAGCTGACCTTCCTTTCACACAGTCTCACAGTAGACTATCCATAATGTATTGGGGGTGACTCTGCATCAATTATTTGCACCCACTGAGCAGACAGGCAGATAGCCAGAGATTCCAGAACAGGTGGATGATACTGTGGAGGTGATATAAACCCCTATACGAGTGCAGAGGTGAGCTTCTTGTGCTTGGAGGACTCCACCCTCTGCATGAGTGCTGTCAGCAGCAACTATGCATCTCCAAAGGGGGATCTTGGGGGAGTTGAAAAGCCTATGTTATATCCAGGAGCAGGCTGCATTGTTTCCTGTTTGTGAAATAGCCTTCAAATGGGAAAAGATACCATATCTTTTATGAATATTAATTTTATATCCTTTAAACCTGAATATTGTCAACTTATTGCCGATTACAACCATCCTGTGACAATCATTTATCTTCCCTTCCAACCCACCCCCCAACTACTTTCCCTATTCACTCTTCTATGTACTTAAGCTCAAGACCTAGGATGTGTCCTTTCACTCTCTCTTTTGCCCCCACATTTAGTCAATTATAAAGTGCTTATTTCATTTTGCAGGGTCTCCCATCTGTTCTCTCTTTGCCATTCCAACCATCCTCATTATTTCTCCCTTGGATACTTATTAATAGCTCATCAAAACATTTTTCCAAAAAATTAAAGTAATAGATAAACATAGCAAAAACTAGAATAAAATAGTAGGGAACTTATAAAGAAATCAACAATTCCCCATTCCACCTTTCCTCCCTAGAGGTAACTTCTCTTCAGCCATTTAATTCTTAGGAGAGTTATCTCATAGCTCTATAAAATATGCTTATAGCTCTATTTCTCACTTGCCAACCGTAGTCATTCTCTATTCATGTCTTACTACATAAAATGAGTATTTGGGGTCACTTATGACTTATGTCCCTAAATAACCCCTTCTTCAAATTTTCTTTTAGTTTTGGTTCTTCTATTAGCCTTTTATTTATGGTTTTGGTGTCTTTTTTTTTTTTTTTTTTTTTTTTGAGACGGAGTCTCACTCTGTCGCCCAGGCTGGAGTGCAGTGGCATGATCTTGGCTCACTGCAACCTCTGCCTCCTGGGTTTAAATGATTCTTCTGTCTCAGCCTCCTGAGTAGCTGGGATTACAGGCGCACGCTGCCACGCCCGGCTAATTTTTTGTATTTTAGTAGAGACAGGGTTTCACCGTGTTGCCCAGGCTGGCCTCAAACTCCTGAGCTCAGGCAATCTGCCCACCTCGGCCTCCCAAAGTGCTAGGATTACAGGCGTGAGCAACCGCGCCCGACCTTTTTTTCTTTTTTTTTTTTTAAGACAGTCTCACTCTGTCGCCCAGGCTGGAGTGCAGTGGTGCGATCTCGGCTCACTGCGACCTCTGCCTCCCAGGTTCAAGCAATTCTCCCACCTCAACCTCTCAAGTAGCTGGGACTACAGGCACACACCACCCCACCCAGCTAATTTTTGTATTTTTAGTAGAGACAGAGTTTCACCATGTTGGCCAGGCTGGTCTCAAACTCCTGACCTCATGTGATCTGCCTGCCTCAGCCTCCCAATGTGCTGGGATTACAGGTGTGAGCCACCATGCCCGGCCCTATTTGTGTTTTAAAATAATATACTTTAAGTGGTTTCTTATTCCATAAACATTAAAAAGTATTTTTCAATTCCTTGCTACGTGATATATTAATACACACTATTGTCCTACTCTCTCTTCCATCTCACCTATTTCCAACCTTCCATATTGCATCAGATGTACTTTTATTTCATTTTGCCATGGTTCATAATATTTCATTCCATTCGGTAACTAATATTCTATATTTTATCTATAGATACATACTGAAAGTTGAAAGTCAATCAGTTGTATTTTATTATTATGACTATGTAAACACTGTTCCCTACAGGGCTAAGTCATTTGCTAAGATTACATTTCTTGTCTCAAAGTCCTATTAGTTGACTGACCACCTGGATTGGTCCTCTATGTTTATTTTTTCTTTCATATGCTCTGTCTTTGTCTTTGTAATTTACACACTAAGAGATTTCTTTGACATTATATTCTAACCTTTCCTACAGAATTTTTAAATTTTAGTAGTTATTTATTTAGTTTCTAAGAACTGTTTTTGATCCTAGATAATTCCCTTCTAAGAGCTTCCTACTCTTGTTTTGTGGATGCAGTATCTTAAGTTCACTCTCAGGGTGCTAGTTGGAGTATACATTTTTGAGTCTTTTGTTTCAACATCATCACCTCTGTATCCTTTGGGGTCAGTTCTTCCATTTAACTTTCATGCCACTGATTTTCTTCAAGTGACTAAGAAATAATTCATTTTTTCTTTATTAAAGGGTTTAATAAACTTATTTTAGAATAGTTTTAGATTTACAGAAAAGTTGTGAAAATTGTACAGAGAGTTCCCATATATATACACCCAGGCTTGCTCTGTTATAAATATCTTGCATTAGTATGGTACATGTGTTACAACCAATGAACTAATTACAATTAGTTCATTAGTTCATTATATATTATTATTACCTAAAGTCCATATTTTATTCAGATTTCCTTAGTTTTGCCTATTGTCCCTTTTTCCGTTCCAGGATCCCATCCAGGACACCACAATACATTAACACATTAAGCTGTCATGTCTCCTGAGGCTCCTCTTGGCTGTGACAGTTTTCCTTGTTTTTGATGACCTTGACAGTGTTAAGAAGTACTGGTTAGGTATTTTGTGGAATGTCCCTCAACTGGGATTTTTCTGATGTTCTCTGTCATGATTAGACTGGGATTATGGGTTTTTGGCGGGAGGACCACAGAGGTAAATTTCCATTCTCAGCACATCCTATCAGGGTAGATGCTATCAACATGAATGATCACTGTGGATGCTAACCTTGATCACCTATCTGAGGTAGTGTTTGTCGGGTTTCTCCCCTGTAAAACCACTCCCTTTATCCCCACTCCCATACTGTGCTCTTTGGAAGAAGGCCACTGTACACAGCCCACACTTAGGGTGTGGGGAGTTATACTCCACAGCTATTCACTGTGAAGACAAAAGGTACATGCTGCTTTTTCTTAGTGGGTTGTATGGGTTCCCTCTGCAGTTGCACACTCCCACTGGTTTTCTTCCTAGATGGCTCTATGTACACAGGTGGGGCATGCCAAGTGGCAGGCTTCACATGAGGGTGAGCAGGCAGGGAATGATTAAGCTGGGGGCTCTACCCAAATGGCAAAGGCTTTACTCTGCGGCTGCCAGCTCTGCTTTCGCATCCCTAGATCTCCGTAGTGAGCTCATTCAATTCCTTTAGAAAATAATCTTGTCTCTTTTTTTTCCCCCTTAAAAATAAAATACCTGCTACTTTCCACTGGCAGACAGAAAGGCTAGGAAATTGTTCTAAAGGAAGAATTTAAATTACCTTTCAGATATTTGTAGCCCTTTTTACTCCTGCATCTTTGGTATATTTCCCAACCAGAGTCTTTCTAGGGTTCTGTCTTCCCACCTCCTGCCACCTCCCATGTTATATTTTAGGCTACAGCCTCCTCCACTCTGTGCCATATTACATGTTTTGAAGAACAGCTAGAGTATGTCACTGCTTTACTTGATGTCACTGATTTACTTTAATAATAATAATAAAAGCTTTTCTATTTCCTGTTAAATAAAATTCAAACTCTTCGGCTCCCAACCAGGCACGGTGGCTCACGCCTGTAATCCCAGCACTTTGGGAGGCCAAGGCCGGAGGGTCATTTGAGGCCAGGAGTTCGAGACTAGCTTGGGCAACGTAGCAAGACCCTGTCTCTACAAAAAATTTAAAAATTAGCCAGGTATGGCCGTGCACACCTGTAGTCTAGGCTATTTGGGAGGCTGAGGTGGGAGGATTGCTTGAGCCCAGGAGGTCGAGGCTACAGTAAGCCATGACTGCGCCACTGCACTCTAGCCTGAGTGACAGAGTGAGACCCTGTCTCAAAAAATAAATAAATACATACATACATACATACATACATACATAATAAAAAAAAAACCAACAAAGTCTTCAGCTCCTTATTCAGACTCATTTAGAATCTGGCTGTAACCAGCATCAAAACTTATTTCCATCGGTTTCCTTTCAGATCCTTTGCTCCAAACAAACAGAAAGACATAGTTATCTGTAAGTGTCACAAGCTTTCTGGACTCTGTGCCTTTGAGCTTGCTGTTCCTGTCTCTGAATGCCTTGCTCCTCTCTCTCGGGTCTAAATTCTAGTCACACATTAAGGTCCATCTTAAATGCAATTCTCCTAGGAAGAAAAAATCATTTCTACTTCTCCCAACACTTATCTATATTTGTATTATAGCTACTTGTGTGCACATTTTATTAGCAGCCCGAACACTGAGTTGAGAGTAGAACTCAAGCTGGTTTCTTTCATTATAGTATTACCCCAGAGCCTTGCATGTAATGGGAATTTAAAAAGTATCACCAATGTAAAGCAAATAGTTTTGAGGGCAAATCATACCTATCAGGATCCTTTGAGGGAGGAAGTATGGTTTCTGATGAATATGCTCTTAGTGGCCTTTCAAGGAGGCTTGAAAAAGTTTTACACTTAAGGTTTTGCTTTGTTTTGTTTTTTAACAAAACATTGTAAACTGGGAGTGATGAGGTCTTTTGTTATAGCTATAAACCTGTGAGAAATGGGTAGAAATAAAGGGGTACATTTTAAAACAGGTAATTGGGTTCCATGAATCAGTGCTGAATTTTTTTTTTTTTTTAAATATGTTGTCTCACTCTATCGCCTAGGCTGGAGTGCAGTGGCACTATCTTGGCTCACTGCAACCTCTGCCTCCTGGGTTCAAGCGATTCTCCCGCCTCAGCCTCCTGAGTAGCTGGGACTACAGGTGCGCACCACCATGCCTGGCTAATTTTTGTATTTTTTAGTAGAGACAGTGTTTCATCGTATTGGCCAGGCTAGTCTCAAACTCCTAACTTTGTGATCTGCCCACCTTGGCCTCCCAAAGTGCTGGGATTACAGGTGTGTCATATTTGTAAATGATTTAGAGAAACAAAAGGATTTGTAGCATAAAACATCCAAGGCTACTTTTTTCATAAAATATCGAATCTGGTTACACTGATTGCGCAGTTAATCGAATGATACCCTATAGGAGGAGAATATCCAAACTAAGATGGTGGAATAATGAGACCCTCACTACAGCTTTCAATCCAGGAATGATTTTTCAGACTCATTGTCTATCATTGCAGATGGTGGAATATGGTATTTTGACCACCAAGACCAAGAAAATGGTGGACACCAATAAGGAAGGTACCAAACACAAAAACATCATTTATGAAAAACACTAGGGTCCAGGTCCTGTCTGTGTGAGATTTCTTTTGACTCACCTCTAGAACAAGATAATGAATGTGAAATGGTTCAAAAAGGGCAAATTGATAATGCAATATAAAAACACCAGGGCAGATTCAAAAGATAAGGATTTTTCACTGAGACAGATTGAAAACATATACAGGTATGTTCTCAACTTTGTTAAAGGCATCACCCTTTTACAAACCATATTTTGGATGGTGCTAGCAGGGGGCACATGTTATGCTTGCGTGGCCCATGGGTTCTTATATATTTATTACAGAGACATGAACTTCCTCTCTGACCCTGTCTTCTGCCATGCTGTTCTGGCATAAGCCTTTGAGCCTGGGAAAGGGATATACAACTAGTGGATGTCTCCATGGGTCTAAATAATGATTCGTAGTTTGGAGTAGAGACTACGTATATCAGGCACTTAGTTCTACATCTGACAAAAAAATTGACATTAATAAAAAAGCAGAGGCCAGGCGTGGTGGCTCACGCCTGTAATCCCAGCACTTTGGGAGGCCAAGGTGGCCAGATTACTTGAGGTCAGGAGTTCGAGACTAGCCTGGCCAACATGGTGAAACCCTGTCTCTACTAAAAATACAAAAATTAGCCGGGCATGGTGGCAGGTGCCTGCAATCCCAGCTACTCGGGAGGCTGAGGCATAAGAATCACTTGAACCTGGGAGGCGGAGGTTGCAGTGAGCCAAGATGGTGCCACTGCCCTCCACCCTGGGTGACAGAGCAGGACTCTGTCTCAAAAAAAAAAAGTAGAGGCTTTCATTATCACCATCCAAAGCAGGGAAAAGACAGCCTGTACAATGTCCCAAAAACATCATGGAAAAAAAGAGAAACCTAGAAGATTGTGTTGTTAAATTAAAAGCAGGTGGCTCAATGGTTTTTATTGTTCATATTAATATTTAATATTATAACTTTGAATCATTTTTACACATTGTAATACAAAGAAAATAAGTAATTATGTTAATGTTATTAGGAACCAAGATTTTCAGTATAATAAATAAAAGAAGTAAACAGCAAAAATCCTGTAATGTAAATTTGAATTGGAATTATTGATATAAGTGTTTTTTAAAAAACATATTTCTTGGCCGGGCATGGTGGCTGACGCCTGTAATCCCAGCACTTTGGGAGGCCAAGGCAGGTGGATCACGAGGTCAGGAGTTTGAGACCAGCCTGGCCAACATGGTGAAATCCCGTCTCTATTAAAAATACAAAAATTAGCTGGGCATAGTGGCAGGCGCCTGTAATCCCAGCTACTCAGGAGGCTGAAGCAGGAGAATCGCTTGAACCTGGGAGGTGGAGGTTGCAGTGAGCCAAGATCAGGTCATTGCACTCCAGCCTGGGCGACAAGAGCAAGACCCTGTCTCAAAAACAAAACAAACAAACAAACAAACAAACAAAAAAATATATATATATTTCTTAGTTCTGTCCACTGAAAGGCTCTGAAAGCAACAATACCCTGGCAGAAGTTAGCTTTCCTAATTCCAGGTCTTAGTTTCTAAATACTTTCTTACTGGTATTTGAAAAAAGCAGAGATTACTGTGGAAATGGCTGAATTCCATGACTGGAGTAGGAAAAGTACAAATTATGCCTGGAATACTAGTACCAGAAAGCAAAGAAGTGCTTAAAGACTAATGGGCATGTTACAAAAAGACACAAGGAGGCCAGCTTCAAGGGGGTCTGCTGGCTGCAATATAGACATTTTGAGCACCAAAAATGACTGTGATGAATTATTAAAAAGTGAATAAATACAAATCTATGAATTGGAGAGAGAGGAAGAGTATAAGCTTGAGGAAGAGCCCTCATTTAAATTATTTAGTGTGACTATTATATCAAATTATCTCTTTGAAAACTGTAATTAAAGGGAAATAATTAAGCATTTTTTTGCCTCTTTAGGAGAAACTTTTGTTCAATCCAGATGATGAGACAAAGCTTTTTTTAAAAAAAAATAGAGCAATGCTGGCTAATAAGTGTACAAAAAATGTGAAAATTAGAAAATCCTCAATTTCCAGTCCCCAGTGAAATAACCAACTTAGGTAAGGATCATCAATAGATGCTAAAATAATTAGGTGAAAAGTCATTGGGGAAAGAATATTGCAAGAGGAATGGAAAACTTGGAAGAAATGCATACATTCCTAGAAACATGAAACCTACCAAGACTGAATTATGAAGAGACAGAAAATCTGAACAGACCAATAACAAGTAAGGAGATTGAATCAGGAATCAAAAATCTCCTATCAAAGAAAAGCTCAAGGCCTGATGGCTTCATTGCTGAATTCTACTAAACATTTAAAGAACAACTAATACCAATACTTCTCAAACTCTTCTAAAACTTTGAAGAGGAGGGAATGCTTCCAAACTCATTTCACAAGGCCAGCATAACCCTGATACTAAAGCCAAACAAGGAAAACTATGGGCCAATATCCCTGATGAACATAGATGCAAAAATCCTCAGCAAAATATTAGCAAACTGAATTCGACAGCATCTTGAAAGGATCATTCACCAAGATCAAGTGAGATTTATCCCTGGGATGCATGCATGGATCTACATATGCAAATCAATAAGTGTGATACATCAACAGAACCCAGGATGAGAAGCCCACAAATAACTTGTTAACTGCAAAGGGAAAGACAACCTGTACGATGGAGAAATCTCCTTAATCGAATGGTCAAATTTAGCATCACTAAGGGTGGGATGGCTCCTGAAGTGATGGAACATCAAGTTCCAGGCACAGAGTATGAGGCATTCTTGACAAAAGGTTTAAACAGAATCAAATCAAAACCTTAGCCCTATCTTTCAGTTTATAAGAAGCACATGGTACAAAGGAGCAAGTAAAATAAGATCATGAGAACATTACCAGACTAATCCAAAATGTGAGACATTCAACAAGATGTCTGACCTCTTCTGTCCAAAATAGCAAAGCATTAGGGAAAAAAAATGGTGGAAATTTCTAGATTAATAGAGTCTAGAGACATAAGAAGCAAATGCCTCAACCCAGACCATATTCTGGTTTGAGGGGAAAAAAGAAACAGCTGTAAAAGACAATTGTGGCACAATTTGGGGAATCTTGAATGTGGAACTTGGCTATTAGCTTATCTTCAGGATTATATTAGGGAATGATAGTTAATTTTCTCAGTTGCAATAATAGTGTTAGGGCTTTATAGGGAATGTCATTAGGAGTTACAAAATGAAGTATTTAAGGTATAATCTTGTGTAAAACATACCTCAAATGGTTCGGGGAAAACACATACATTGTATATCCATTCACCAAATATGGCAAAATGTTGTGTTAAATCTAGATGATGGGTATATGAATGCTCATAGTACTATTTTTTCATATTTTCTTTATGTTTGAAAATTTTTATGTTAAAAAGGTGAGAATAAAAGGAAAGGCATCTTTTTAATGAAGGAGATGTGGGGAGATGATCAATAACATTTTAGAGGCTGTAAAGACTTTTCTTTATTGTTCATTTATTCTGTTCCCTTATATAAGCTAGGTATTAGGCTAGGTATGGAAATACAAAAAGGAATAAGATAAGGCAGCTGCCTTCAAGGATCTCACTGTCTAGGGAAGGGGAAACACAAATATCTCAACACCATTGAGTGAGTGTGATGATAGAGATACGCATTCAGTCAACAAACATGTCCTATGTGCTGGGTGCTGTGCTAGGTGCTGAAGATACAATGAACGAAGCAAGCATGGTCCTTGAATTCACCGAGCTCCTATTCCTGTGAGGGAGACACAATGATAGAATCACAATTGTGGAAGGTGCTAGGCATAAAATGTACAGAGTACTACAGCAACAGAGAAGAAAGGAAACACAGCCAGCTCTGGGGTGGGGATTGGGGGTGGTGGAGAAGAGGCAGCGAAGTTTTAAAGGCTGACTAGAAATCAGTCAATCAGAGGACCTAGAGGTGGGGGTGCAGAGGCATGTAGACACAAAATAGCCCCCTATGCTCAGGGAACTAGCTGGAATCACGGGAGCGTGAACTGTTGACAGCGTGAACTGTTGAGGCAATGGGCTGAGGAGATGATGTGAGTGGGTGTCACATCTTAATGAGCAGATTGAGGAATCTGGGTTTTCTCCTGTAGGCTCCAGGAGCTGAGAACATTCACATCGGGTGATGGCTGCTGCCATGCGAGCCTGGGTCCAAACAGGGGATAGTGTGGATCCTGTTCTTGGCTACATCTCCTCCTGCTCTGGGTGCCTGCCCACTGGGCTCTGTCAGCTCACCGAAGAACCCCAGGGATTTTCTGGGGTCAACTCTATGCCAGTGGGCAGCAGGAAGGGCTTCAGACTGAACACTTGCTGAGACTCAAGCCACGGGAGCTGGGCAGTTCTGGAGGAAGAGCAAGAGGGGTTCAGGCAAGAGGCCTACCCATACTGAGGCTTGGTTTCTCCTAGACCTCCATAGGGGATCTTTCCAGGCCTTAAACATAAGTAGAGCTTTAATCCTGGCTAATGATACAATCTCACAAATTTAGCCCTCAGGATAGGGATGGCTATTTGCCACTGCCACAGGAAAATAAAGTTATAAGGATAAACCACTTGGGGCTATTTTACATACTCTGATATTGTCTGACTAGGGGACTGCCTTCTCGAGACTGTGAGCTGTCAGTGACTAAGGGTTCATCATTTTTATGCTCTCGGTACTTGGCACAGAGCTAAACGAATCAGGCCTTGCATTATAAAGCACTGATCTATCTACTTTGTCATACACTATGGTCCAGCTTTCCTGCCCTACCCTGGTGGGCTGACTTTTCTCCCCTAACAACTGTCTCTACTGGTCTGCCCCGAATCTCTGGGTCCAGAAGTCTGACCCTTTAACCTGGGGAAGGGTGAGCCAGTAATAGAGAATGGCTCTGGGCCCAGTATTCTTCCACCCTTGAGTTGAGTATTCTCCCAGTGAAGTAGATATACGCTTGCCAGGACAATCCTGCAGAACCTTAACAGCTAAACGCCTGGGACAGGGTCCTAGAAGAAAGAGAGCTCCTAATAAGTGCCTGTTGGCATCCACCAGAATGTGCAAGTTCTGTCATTTCCCCACTCTCATGTCTATGTCTATGTTTTATCTCCTTTCAACAGCAGGAACAAAACACCAGTCCTTAAGGGCCTGGGCATTAGTGGACAGGAGCCAAGGTGCCTGAGGACAAAGCTCGGGACCCGGGACAAGGTTAAACAAGTGCCATAGCAGCTCCAAACTACCCAAAACCCAGGAACACCCCCCCCCCGCCCCCCGCAAGGCAGCAAGATGATGCAAACATAAAGGTCTGGTGGGAAAGGCTGTGTGAAAATGGGAATCCCCCAGGGCGGAGGAAGTAAAGCAGCAAGTCCTCTATCCGTCTCAAATTACCTTGAAATCCCACCTCCTGGAATCCCCCATCAGCAAGTGTCCGCTGTACCTGGCCTGCTACCACCTAAAGACTGAGCGCAGCCAGCAGGACTGGGAAAGGCAGGGCGATGATGGCAGTGAAGGGTAAGCGGGACCACTCGCAAGGGGAGGGGAAGGCGGGTAGGGATGGACTTTGCGGCGATGGGGAGGTGGTGTCTTGAGGGAGCCCACAGAGAAGAGGCCTCCTCCAGAGGAGGGGGTGGCTTGGATGGCCCGTGAAAGTCCTCCTCCTGGATCCCTGAACATCCCCACGTCCAGGCCCCTCAGATCCCGGCCGCCAGCCCTGGGAGCCTCGGTTGGGCGACGAAGCTGCGGGCTGGGGCACCGGCTGCCTCCACGGGCCGGTTCTGACTCAGGGGCTCGGCCCGGAGCTGCTTCCCCGGCGGCGGGGCTGACTCAACCCCCTCTGCCCGAGGAGTTGTCGCGCGCAGTCAGCGCCCCGAACTCGCGCGCGGCCCGGCGCCCCCTCGGGGCCCACCTCCCGGGCCAGCCGCCGCGCCTACCTGTGCCCGCGGCTCGGCTCCTCCTCGCTCGCGCTGCCCCAGCCGGGGCTGAGGTACCGGGCCGGGTCCCCGGCGCCCCGAGTCTCCGCCCCCTCCTCCTCGTCCTCCAACTCGTCCACGTCCTCGGCCTCCTGGATGGCGACGCGGATCTGCACCGCCGTCTTGGGCCCGGGCCGAGCCTCCCCGCCGGACTGGGCCATGGCTCGCGGGACTGCGGCGCCGCCGGGGTCCTCACGCCGCAAGGCCCAGCCAGCCGGTCGGCAGCGACTGCGACGAGGGGGCGGGGGCGGTGCGAGCGCGCCTGCCGCTCGGCCCAGGGGAGGGACAGGGGTCGCGGCGCCCCGCCCCGCGCCGCCGCCGCCGCCGCCGCCGCCGCCACCACCCCGACCGCTAGTGGAGCGCCCGCGCAGGCGGGGCCTCGGAGGTGGAGGGCGGCTTTCCGGAGCTCCTCCGACGGAGGCCCGTCCCGGAAGGATCCCCGCGACCCCCGATCACTCCCTCCGTCTTTTCGCCGCTGTGGGGCCCCAGCCCGAGAGGAGGTGTCAGGGCTCCCTCCTCCTGCGCCTTCTTTCACGGCGCCGCAGGGATGGGCGCAGCACAGCTGACTTCTGTTTGTGCTTGACTCCGGGGGTGGCAGCCAGAGACCACAGCTCCAGGGGCTTCCAGGCCTCCTGCGTGTCTCCCCCACTGGCCTGCCAAGATCAGAAAATTTCCATCGTTAGTCTCCTTGACATAATAACCACCCTAGACCGCGTCTTAGGAGGTCAGGGGCTTGGCTCCTGCCTTGCCCTGTATCAGTTTTTCTCCAAGTGTGGTTCCCAGACCAGGAGCATCAGCTGCACCGGGGAACTTGTTAGAAATTGAATTCTCAGGGCTCATCCAGACCTCCTGAATCAGAATCTATGATTCAGAACTTTGTGTTTTAACAAGGCCTCTAGGTGATGCTGAAGTTCACAAAAGTTCGAAAGCCGATGGCCTATAGAGTATGCCCTGCACATAGTATGCACTCAGATGTTTGTTGAATGAATAAAGGGAGCTATTGAAATGTCAGGATGTTCTAAAACACTGCCACCTTTTCACGTGTAACTTCAAATTGAGTTCCATCTCACCTCTCCAAATGTGACCCAGAAACTAGGGACAGGAGCATAGAAATGAATAAGACCGGCCGGGCGCAGTGGCTCAAGCCTGTAATCTCAGCACTTTGGGAGGCCCAGGCGGGCGGATCACGAGGTCAAGAGATCGAGACCATCCTGGCCAACATGGTGAAACCCTGTCTTTACTAAAAAAAATACAAAAATTAGCTGGACGTGGTGGCACGTGCCTGTAATCCCAGCTACTCGGGAGGCTGAGGCAGGAGAATCACTTGAACCTGGGAAGCAGAGGTTGTGGTGAGCCGAGATTGTGCCACTGCACTCCAGCCTGGGCAACAGAGCGAGACTCCGTCTCAAAAAAAAAAAAAAGAAAAAGAAAAAAAAAGAAAGAAGGAAAGAAGAAAAAGAAATGAATAAGACCTGAATCTGCTTTCATGTAGCACTTTATTTAGAGCCTTAAACATAATTTATCATATTAATTTGCCACACTGGGACCCCAAAACAACAGAACCCTGGACCAATACATTTGTTTTGATATAGAAAGACAAGTTAGGATAGGCTTAGGAAATGAGGTCTCCTGGAGGGCAGTGTCCTTGTAAAAGAACACCATGTATAGGGTCCTGGGTGTCTGGGCAGGGCTGGGGAGAGACCCAGGGGCCCAGCGAGGACAGCCCCTCTTCTTAAGGACACTAGAATCTGTGTCCCTTTCTTTGTCGGACCTCTGTTTTGATAGAAGAGGTCCTAAAATAAGTAAGTAAAGGAAGAGAGAGAGACCTTTGGTGCTATTGCTGTTTCTGCACCAGAACAGCTCACAGCCCTGGATCTGAGCTACTGGGAAAGGAAGAGGCAAGAGGCTGACAGTGTCTTTTTCCAGCCAGCTGTGCCTCCCTCCAGGGCTATAGATCCTCTGCAAACACCTGTGATGAGGCTCAGAAGGAAAGAGCTGCAGCAGCCACCATGCCTTCCAGTTTGATAATTTCGGTTCCTGAATTTCACAAAGTGATACCCATTATCTATCTCATTTAAGCCATCTCGTGTGGCAAAGACATCAGGGGTTGTTATCCTTACCCACAATGATGGCTCACATTCATCTCAGGTTTTATAGTTTATGAACAATTCATACATGTCTTTTCAGGGTTTCCAAATGCCTGATCATAAGAGTCCCCTGGGGACTTTTCTTAAAATATAGATTCTGAAAATACAGTTTGAAAACTGACAGTTGGTGGGTGAATCTGGGCTGTAGAAGCGTTTTACTTGGTGAGAGTTTTGAAAAAAAGAAATTGAATTTATATGTCCTTACATTCAAACATATCTGCCTATGTTGTTTCTGTTATTACTTATTTCTGACTCCTCATAAAGGAATTTTGGATCTAGAAAGAATGTCAGACATCATCCAGCTCGGAGCTGCTCCTGGTAGGGAATGGGTAGTCTGGCAGAGTACCCAAGAATGGGTACTCTTAGGGGTACCCATTAAGTCATAGCATAAATATGGGGCATCTTTCTGGGGTATCAATTTTACTTAGCTATTTGAGAGAACAGCCACAATGTATATATTAAAACAACTTGGAATATCTGTGAAATCAAATGCAAAACTTGCACGGAATGTTTAAGGCAACTCACATAAGTTTCTCATTTATAGTAGTTGGCTTAGAATAATGCCTAGAGGAGCGGAGGACAGAAACCCTCATTTGCACTAGGGGTATTTCATGGGAGAAGTCCAACTCGATCACGTTTGCAATGAGGAGAGTGAGTCCCAGTGAGGCTTAGAGGGAAGGGCCTCTTCTTCCACTTTGTTGCACCCGATTTTGTCTAGCAGGGAGCCTTCATCTAGGAACACTTGCTGATTTGCTTTGATTAGTCCTACCCACATACCCATCATTTGTGTCACTGGTGAAGAAACCAGGGCTTTTAAAGGGCTCCTTTCGATTTCCAGCTTATTCCTCCCCAGAGCCGTGGCAGGGGAAGGGAGGCCAGTCCCACCCAGGCCTGTCTTGAACATCATTGCAGGGAGTTTGCATCACCACTGAGATGATTAGCAAAGCCTCTTTAAACAAAATCATGACCTCAGCCTGGAGTTGGCATCTTTCCCTTCCCTGGAATCTTGACAGCTCATTTTCATAGTAAACTCACAAGGGGAAACAGCTTTTTCCATAGCTCCTGAGGATGAAACAAAAGGAAGCACATTGACAAGCCATCAGGATGGACTGAGATTAGGTTGAAGGAAAAACTCAACCCTAGAAGACCTTTCCAGTATATACAAGGGTGTTGTTTGGAATCAATTGGAAATATTTTTGAGTGTGCCTGGCACTACAGCTGGAAACCAAGGACTTGGAATAAGATATTGTGGTGAAGCTGGGAAGTTGGGACAAGGCTAAGCGTTGAAGAGAAGAAGAGTAGTCCCAGCTACTCGGGAGGCTGAGGCAGGAGGATCCCTTAAGCCCAGGAGGTCGAGGCTGCAGTGAACCATGATGGCACCACTGCACTCCAGCTTGGGCAACAGAGACCCCATCTTCAAATTAAAGGAAAAAAAAAGGGGTCTGTTTTAACTGTAGGTTCAGAGGGCATTTTTATCTACTCATTTAATCATTTGTTTAAGCATGTCCCAAATACCAGGACCTGTGCTATACTCAATTTTGTAAAATGCCTGAGACATGATCCATGAATACCAAGAGATGGAGGGAGCCTAGGAAAGACAGCCTTCAATAATAAGACTGTGTCTATGCACTAAATGCTGTAACAGAAATCCATATAGGGAGGCACAGCCAGTGAAAACATCCCCAAGGATGCTTTGAAGCTGACTAGAAAAGCTCACACATAAGCAGCAGGGTATAATGGAAACACGCTCACTTTATTATCAAATAGATCTGAATTCAGACTCCAGCCTTGCTGCTGCTTAGCTTCATAACCTCTCTGCTGTTCAGTTTTCTTACCTGTAAAATGTTCTGAATGATCCTCACTTAATTGAGTTGGGCTCACAGATAAAACTAGGTTGTTTGTGAAAAATGTCTAGCACAGACCTGGCCCAGATTAGACACTCAGTGTATGCTAGTAGATTATGATGCAGCGTTCCAAGAACCTTCATACCAAGAAAACCTTAGCCTGAATGGGAAACACAAACATTCCAGTTGCTGAGTATGTATATTGCTCCATTGTAAATTAATAAATCAGTTTTTTTCTAGATGCCATACTCTTAAAAGTTGAATCTGGTCTGCAGAAGTGTTTTGCTTCAGAGCCAACCTAATCCTGAATACACTGACAAAATCGAGGACTTCCCTGGCCAGAAACCAGCATCTTTCTATAGTTTCTTTTTTTCTTTTTCTTTTTTGAGACAGGGTCTCACAGCTGGGTGCAGTGGCTCACGCCTGTAATCCCAGCACTTTTGGAGGCCGAGGCGGGCAAATCACTCGAGGTCAGGAGTTCGAGACCAGCCTGGCCAACATGGCGAAACCCTGTCTCTACTAAAAATACAAAAAAATTAGCCAGGCTTGGTGGCGGGTGCCTGTAGTCCCAGCTACTCAGGAGGGTGAGGCAGGAAAATCGCTTGAACCCGGGACGTGGAGGTTGCAGTGAGCCGAGATTGTGCCATTGCACTCCTGCCTGGGCGACAGAGCGAGACTTGGTCTCAATTAAAAACAAAACAAAACAAACAAAAAAAGGACCAAGAAGCAGCTTCTCTGCTCCTTCTGGAATCTCCGCCTGGTTCAGCCCGCCTGCCTCCACTCCTGCCTCCACCATGTCCATCAGGGTGACCCAGAAGTCCTACAAGATGTCCACCTCTGGCCCCCGGGCCTTCAGCAGCTGCTCCTACACAAGTGGGCCCAGTGCCCGCATCAGCACCTGAGATTCTCCCGAGTGGGCAGCAGCAGCTTCTGGGGTGGCCTGGGTGGAGGCTGGGTGGTGGGGCCAGTGGTATGGGAGGCATCACCGCTGTCACGGTCAACCAGAGCCTGCTGAGCCCTCTTAACCTGGAGGTGGACCCCAACATCCAGGCTCTACACACCCAAAGAAGGAGCAGATCAAGGCCCTCAACAACAAGTTTGCCTCCTTCATAGACAAGGTATGGTTCCTGGAGCAGCAGAACAAGATGCTGGAGACCAAGTGGAGCCTCCTGCAGCAGCAGAAGATGGCTCGGAACAACAAGAACAACATGTTCCAGAGCTATATCAACAACCTTAGGTGGCAGCTGGAGACTCTGAGCCAGGAGAAGCTGAAGCTGGAGGTGGAGCTTGGCAACATGCAGGGGCTGGTGGAGGACTTCAAGAACAAATATGAGGATGAGATCAATAAGCGTACAGAGGTGGAGAATGAATTTGTCCTCATCAAGAAGGATGTGGATGAAGCTTACATGAACAAGATAGAGCTGGAGTCTTGCCTGGAAGGGCTGACTGACGAGATGGACTTCCTCAGGCAGCTGTTTGAAGAGGAGATCTGGGAGCTGCAGTCCCACATCTCGGACATATCTGTGGTGCTGTCCATGGACAACAGCTACTTCCTGGACACGGTCAGCATCATTGCTGAGGTCAAGGTGCAGTAGGAGGAGATTGCCAACCGCAGCCAGGCGGAGGCTGAGAGCATGCACCAGATCAAGTATGAGGAGCTGCAGACGCTGGCTGGGAAGCTTGGGCATGACCTGCAGCCTATAAAGACTGAGATCTCCGAGATGAACTGGAACATCAGCCGGCTCCAGGCTGAGATTAAGGGCCTCAAAGGCCAGATGGCTTCCCTGGAGGCCACCATCGCAGATGTGGAGCAGCGTGGGGAGCTGGCCGTTAAGGATGCCAACGCCAAGCTGTCCGAGCTGGAGGCCTCTCTGCAATGGGCCAGGCAGGATATGGTGTGGCAGCTGCGTGAGTACCAGGAGCTGATGAATGTCAAGCTGGCCTTGGGCATCAAAACTGCCACCTACAGGAAGCTGCTGGAGGGTGAGGAGAGCCGGCTGGAGTCTGGGATGCAGAACATGACAATCCATACGAAGACCACCAGCGGCTATGCAGGTGGTCTGAGCTCCACCTATGGGGACCTCACAAGCCCCGGCCTCAGCTACAGCCTGGGCTCCAGCTTTGGCTCTGGCGCAGGCTCCAGCTCCTTCAGCCGCACCGGCTCCACCAGGGCTGTGGTTGAAGAAGATTGAGACCCGTGATGGGAAGCTGGTGTCCAAGTCCTCTGACATCCTGCCTAAGTGAACAGACGCGGCAGCCCCTCCCATCCTACCCCTCCTGCGGCTGCCCCAGGGCCCTGGAGGAGGCCGCTGTGCATGGTATCACAGGGAACAGGAGACCCACCTGAGGCTCAGCCCAAGCCCTCAGCCCACCCGCGGGGGAGTTTACTGCCTGGGGACACCCCTTACCCATGCCTCCAGCTACAAAACAATTCAATTGCTTTTTAAATAAAACCTCAGCTAGCCCTACCAACTGTCAAACAAACAAACAAACAAAACCAAAAAACAAAAAGGAGAGATGAGGTCTCACTCTGTCGCCTAGGCTCGAGTGCAGTGGAGTGATCATAACTCACTGTATCCTTAAACTCCTGGGCTCAAGCTATTTTCCTGCCTCAGCCTCCCAAGTAGCTGGGACTACAGGCATGCCACCACACCTGGCCAGTTTAAGTTTTTTGTAGAGATAGGGTCTTTCTATGTTGTCCAGGCTGGTTTCTAACTCTTGGCCTCCCAAAGTGCTGGAATTACAGGTATATGGCATTGCACTCTGCCCTATAGTTTATTTCTAACTTCAATATGAATTAAGATAGTTATCCATAGGTGTGAGATTTTTATGAGTATTGTCCATTAATATTTATTCTTTCTTGTCTAACAATATCAATCCCCAGTTTTAGATGGCTATATGGCCACCTAATTAGTGATTACATTTCCCAGCCTGCCTTGCATATTGGTATAATCATGTAACTAAATTCTGGCCAATAGGATGTGAACAGAAAGGTTTTCTGGCCCTTCTGGGTTGTGTGTCTCTGGCTTTTTCCTCTACCCATTGGCTAAAGTGGCCTTGTCGAACCCAAGGATGGAAGTCACATGTTGAGGAGAGTTGAACCAGCAAACACGCTCTGGATTTGTTTGCTGGGCTGTAATGTGGATCATTATTTTAGAAAGAAAGAATCTCACACTTTGTCTAATAGACTGTATTTTGATATATTTTTGTCACAGACTTAACCTATATCCTACTTAATGTCTAAAGTATTAGATATTAATGCCTAATATTAATAGAAGATTGAATTATATAACACATGGAAGTACCTAGTTCAGGGCCTAGGATATAGTAGCTACTCAATAAATTGGTGTTGAATTTGAATGTAACAACTTAAACATTTATTGCATGGCAAAAGCAGGCAAATTATGTGGTACAAATGATGCAGGAGTCCAAAAGGAATAGAATGTAGTTCCCCCTATTAGCATAGGAGCTCGTGTTCTAGTGGGGGAACCAGATTCTTTATTCCTTCTTCTTCTCTCCCTTCAGAAGAATAGCATTATCAGCATTATGAATGGAAGTCGGGTCATTGCTGCAGGTGGTAAAAAGAGTAGGGTTTTCTAAAAGGCCCTCAGTACTGTCTCCCACTCCCCTAAGTTTGAGGTGCTCCCCACAAAGCAACAACATCCCCAGTTTGGGTCCCACCATTTAAAGATAACGTCTTGCTCTCATAATATTAATTTCTTTGTGGCATATTATCAAATTGTTTTGACACATACTTTGGAAAGTATATTCAAGCTTTACCTGCCATTTATGTCTTGTGGAGGACTGGTTTATCAAACTGATGAGGAATGTCACAAGTTAAAAATAGATGGAGACCCTTAGCCGGGCATGGTGGTGTGCGCCTGTAGTCCTAGCTACTCGGGAGGCCGAGGCAGAAGAATTGCTTGAACCCAGAAGGTGGAGGCTGCAGTGAGCCAAGATCACACCACTGCACTCCAGCCTGGGTGACAGAGTGAGACTCTGTCTTAAAAAGAAAAAATAGATGGGTTTTATTTTAGAAGGGTGAAAGAAGGACTAGATCTAGGCGAGTGATCAGTAACAGCAGGTATGAAAGTGATTGGTAGAAATTCTAAGAAACACAGGCACAGGTACTCATTTTTTTCTTGAGGGAAAACCTAAAGAATTTACACAAAGCTGGACCACACATAGCAAGAGAGCCAGCTGCCTACTCCGGCCTGAAGGGCGAGCCCACCCTGGTCCTCCATTCCCCAGGAAGACACACAGCAGTCAATGCTTCTCCCTGATCAGGGTGAGGGCTTCATTAGGTCAGAAATTCTCAACTTAAGTTGCATGTTAGAATCTTAGAATCACCTGGGGGGCTTTTAAAAATTCTGAGGCTGGCCGGGCGCGGTGGCTCACGCCTGTAATCCCAGCACTTTGGGAGGCCGAGGCGGGCGTATCACAAGGCCAGGAGATCGAGACCATCCTGGCTAACAACGTGAAACCCCGTCTCTACTAAAAATACAAAAAATTAGCTGGGCATGGTGGCACGTGCCTGTAGTCCCAGCTACTCAGGAGGCTAAGGCAGGAGAATCGCTTGAACCCAGGAGGCAGAGGTTGCAGTGAGCTGAGATTGTACCACTGCCCTCCAGCCTGGGCGACAGAGCAAGACTCCGTCTCAAAAAAAAAAAAAAAAAAAAAAAATTCTGATGCCCTACCAATTAAGTTCTGGGGTTAAGACCTAGACATTAAGCATCAGGCATTATACCTAGCTTTCAAAGCTCCCAAAATGATTCCAACATGCAGCAAAATTCAAGAACCTCTGTGTTCGGTCTTTCAAGCCATATTTTTCAGGTTCCTCCCAACAGGTCTGGAGACTCAGGCTAGTGGTTCATCTGATCTCCAGGTGCAAGTAACCAGCACAATTCAACCCCAGCATCTTCCTAGAGTTTACTGAGGGACTGGGTGACTCAAAGATGCATTTCTCATGTGCACTATTTCTTAGCAGGAGCAGGCATCAGACCAGCCTGCTGCAAACAATTGTTCAGGTTGTACACAGCACGAGGATGCTTGGCATAGGGGATAAAGGGATGAAATGACTGCCTAAACTCTGCTCACCAAGCTGTCACCCTGGCCTCAGACTTGGTGCAACTAGAGGGGAAAAGGGTAACTATTTCTAATTCTCACAAATGAGCTAAAGTGGTCCTTTGTGCCAATAGTGGCCCTGGTTCAGGCCTGCCTAAGGTAGAGGCAAACTGAAATTCAAGGACCACGGGCATCAGAATTACTAAGGAACTTATTTAAATGTATAGTCCTGCATCTTCACTCCAGATCAAATGAGTCATATCTCTGAAGATACAGCCTAGAAATCTGTGTATTTAATAATCTCCCAAGTGGTTTCCATCAAGCTGAAGTTTGGTGGCCACTGACCGAAGGTATGGGATGGTCTTTCAATAAAAACAACAAATTGAACATCTCCTACATGCCAGGCCCATGCCACCATTCAAGGATATGAGAGCAAACAAGACCCCATCCTTTTCTCAAGTATTCTGGTCTAATAGAAGACAGACAAAAGCTGTGGGTCCCAGGAGGAGCCCAAACTATGACCTCTGCTGGAGTTCAGATATCTGGCATATTCAGAGAACCAGTTAGCAGATTCAAAAATCCCTACAGGAGGGACTGAAGCTCCTCCCAGAAGAATAGTCATCCCAGAGAAATAGGAGCCAGGCACCACAAGCCTGACTCACTAACAAAGCCTCCATTGTCAGAAAAGATGAGTGATTTGGGGGACAGAGTAGCGTCTGATATGTGTTTGTTTGCCTGTGGGCCAAGGCCCTGCTACCCAACCTCTGTGGTCATGTATCTGAGCCCTGTGGAAAGCTAGGGGGACTGTACATGAAAACTGAAAAGCCTGTTTTCCTATAACCCCTATAAACTATTTCAGCACAAGGAATATGACTTTGGGATCCCACTATCTGAGGGTGCACATCACGAGGGGAGGCATTTTTTGCCACTGCTCAGAATAACATCTCACAGCTTTGGCACCTTCTGTGCTGCTCATCAGCTGCAGGAGGAGACTTTGGTGCCTGGTGGACACAGTTGTGCCCAGGGAAGTGCCTGTAGTGCCCATTGGATAGGGTATAGTCTAGCAGAGGAGGCTGGGGCAGTAAAGGAGGGACAACATGCAGACACCAGGTGGTGACTAGCTAGATTCGTCTATGAACACACATGAGACACCCCCGGGGAATGTCCACAGATACTTGGGCAGTGTTTGAGGGGCTAGGTTTGTGTATTAATAACATTAGTGGGTAAAAGGGCTCAAGTGGAAAGAGCTCCCCCCAGAATGGGTGACAGACTCAGTTTCTCTCCATTTGTCATCACTTTTACAGCAAGAACTTGGTGCCTAATCAGGATGACTTCTAATTTGTAGCCCAGACTGCACATTCTAAAGACACCGAGAGGCCCTGAGGCATGGGCACCAGGATGGATGAGGCATTGAGAGGGAAGAGCAGGGCCCTGGAGTTCCCAAGGGGAGAGGTGTGGGTGATTTCCTTTGCCTAATTTGGAAGGCCTAGAGCATTCTGGCTCCAGGCTGCCTTTCCACCCTCATCTCATGTCCATCTTGCCCTCACTCCCTCTGCTCTGGCCATACTGAATTTCTCTTAGTTTATCTGAAGGCACCACTCTTCTGTCCTTTAAACGTGCAGTTTCAGATGCGTGACATGCTTATTCTCTCCTTTTTACCTGGCAAACTTCTAATCTTTCAGGTTTTAGCTAAGATATCACTCAGGGGAACTTTTCTGGATTTGCCAGTTTAGTGTACGGGACATTCAATGCTGTCCATAAACTCAGATGTGGAGAAAATGTAACTCTTTGGGGTGATGGAAATGGAATCTCAGTTTCAGTTTGGGTTCTTCTCATAACTTGGGCTAGGGTCAAAATTCCAGGTGTCTGTTCATCAGTCATCTGTGTATCCGGGAATCTAGCAACTGAGATGTCCATATCATTAAGTCAGGGCTCTCTTAGCTGCTTCAGTGCCAAATTTGGGGCACTAGGATCTTTGCTAGGCCCTCTATAACCCCATATGCCTAGAGTCAACACCACCAGCACAGTCATTTTCTTCCTTTTTTCTCCTGCTTCCATTCTGGAAGAAGCCTTTTCCAATTCAGGGACAAGTTTCTTTCATCTTGAACTTGGGTCCTTCAGCAATCCTCCTGCCTCGGCCTCCCACAGTGCTGGGATTACAGGTGTGGGCCCCATGCCTGGCCATTTCTCTTAACCCAAATCTCTATTCTGCTTAGTGGTTACTGGCTTCTTTCCCAAAACTTTGTATTAGTTTCGTAAATACAGAAAGGTTGAAATAATAATAAAATGAACATTCTTATGCACTCTACTGAATTCAAAAATCGTTAAAAATTTATCACCATCTTTTTTCACCTCTCAGTACTTCAGCCTGTCTTCTAAAGAGAAAGACATTCACCTACAAAACCACAATATCATGGTTGCGTCTAACAAAACTGTTGATAGTTCCGTAAAATTATCTAATAGCGAGTTCATATTCATTTCCCCAAAATGTTTCATTCCAAGAATGTTCATTATGCTTCAGAACAAAAACCAGGATCCAATTTAGAGTCACACATTGCATTTGATGTTTATGTCCTTCTAATTTATTTACATCGAGAATAGTCCCTTCACCATTTTATATTGTTATTGTTGCTTCATGACATTGAATTTTTGAAGGATTCATGTCCGTTATCCTAAAGAATTTAGGCTTTTGAAAACAAAAGCCAGAGAACTCTGCCCCAGACTTTCCCTGAGGCAAGAAGTATAACCTACCTGTCTGGTTTTTTGAGGACTGAGAGTTTTCCCTGGCCATGGGACTTTCAGTGTCAAAACCAAGAAAATCCTGGGCAAGCCAAGATGAATTGGTCACCCTAGAGGCAAGGAGGTATGGACTTGGATATTTGCTTGAATGGTTGCAAGGCATAGAGTGAAACATTTTTTAAAATGAATAATCCGATATTATGCAGCCACACTTGGTTAATAAGTAGGTTCATAGCATCCTGTGTTTATACTCTTGCAATATGCATCATATTTTTGACTCTGTTTAACATCTGAATTTCCCAATAGACAGTAAACTCCATGAAGGCAGAGACATGTATATCTTTCTCATTACTCTAATCTCATTGTATCCCCATAGTTCTGGTACATGTAAAGTATTTATTTATTTATTTATTTATTTATTTATTTATTTATTTATTTATTTTTGAGATGGAGTCTCGCTCTGTCACCCAGGCTGGAGTGCAGTGGTGCGATCTTGGCTCACTGCAACCTCTGCCTCCGGGTTCAGGTGATTCTCCTGCCTCAGCCTCCTAAGTTGCTGGGACTACAGGCGTGTGCCACCATGCCTGGCTAATTTTTGTATTTTTAGTAGAGATGGGGTTTCACCATGTTGGCCAGGATGGTCTCCATCTCTTGATCTCGTGATCCGCCCGCTTCAGACTCCCCAATTGCCGGGATTACAGGCGTGAGCGACCACGTCCGGCCACTAAGACATGTTTAAATAGTGAGGCTGCAGCCCACTGGTAATTTCCATACCCCTGTTCACTGAGTCTTATTAGGTTAGGTTTCTGCATGGAAATCTTAACAAACATTCTGTGCAACTGTCCTGGCCTTACAGATGAGACTCCAGAAGTTTAAATCATCTTCAAGATCAAATTAAGACCTTAACTTCTAAGTCCTCAGGGTCTTCATGCAGTGACGGGATATAGATAAGGGTAGAAAAATATCTGGGAATCTGGAGATACTTAACCCATTGGCTAAGCAGCACTGGACCATATACCAAGGTCCTAAGGAAATCAATCACACCTTAAGAAAATTTAACTAAATTGGACAGAAATTAACACAATTTCATTCAGTCCTTGCCTTATTCTCCAGATTTGAATCCCCCAGGGTCATTAAATGATTGGCCAAGTAGAGATTGGGGTTGGAAAGTTGAAATAAGGTATAATTATGAACCTGGCCTGAACTCCAGATCGACTCAAGGCCAAGTCTGGCCTTTGGAAAGTCTTTGGGGTTAAAGATTTGGTAATGGACTTAATGTAGCATTGGGTACCTGATTATAGAGAATTCAAGTGGAGGCTGATCGGAACGGAATCCTGATGGCCAAGTTGCCCAAGGCTATCAAGGTCCAAGCAGAAGACAGCACATCTCAATGCCTGCTCTCTCATTCCTTTCACCCTCTTTGGAAGAAGGTCTACTTGAGAACTGTGCTGAGTCATGTAGGCCTGCCTTTGTGACGGGAATCCTCATATCAGACACTCTCCAGAGAAAGAGGCTTGTAAGGGGCACCATGAAGTATCAAAAGAAAGACTGAAAGACAAGAGCATAGAGAAGAAAAGAACTTCCTGTGAAGAAGTTTTGAAATGCATGATGAGATTTGTTTTTTTCTTCTGAGCATCAACAGAGTATTTTTTGTGTCCTTCACATCAGGGTGAAGAAGACACCAAAGTACTGTCCAAGAGATGACGGGAATGGCCATTTTTGGAGCAATTACTGTGTTCTTGGCCTATGACCTCATTTAACCCTTGCAGCAGTCCCAAGTCCCAATGATCCCAGTGAGGTATTGTTAGAAAACTAAGGCTCAGCAAAATTAAGTAACTTGCTAAAGGTTATACGGCTGGGATATGGAAGTGCATAAAGATTTATCCTCACACTGTCAGACTCCAAATCTATGCTGTTCCCATTATCCCACCCTGCACTCTTCTGAAGATGCCATGGGCCTAACAGTCCTTAACAGTCTCAGAAGTGGGGGCATTATTAAATCCAGGTGAAAAAGACAGTCATTGCTGGCGTGCTATATGAAGGGCACTGGAAAGACTTTTGCTCCCCAATTTTCTCTACCACATCTACCACAATGCCTGCAATCTTGTCACGCATTTCTTTGAGATGAGTATTGGGGTCCTGCTTCTGAGAGCCATTCAAAGTGGACTAGTCTGATCTAGAGGTTGTGGGGTGAGGTGCTCTGTACTCCTCTCTGTCATCTCTATTTTGACACATCGCAGATGCTCCGGCAGCTCCGTTTCTGGGTATTAGCTGTCAAGTTGAGAGCAGAGTGTTTTTCCTTCTCTTTGGCTTGATTGTCTTTCACCCTTGGGGGAAAGGGAGGGGGGTGCTAATGGCTTGGAGGGTGGCCAGACTATTCCATTTTGCAATCTCCAGCCACAGCTGCTAAAGAAAACTTATATTGTATTTTCATTCTGTGGGGAAAACATGTTTTGTTTTGTATTCTTGTGTAACCATGAAACATCTGGGGTAACCTTAGCTAAAACTTCCTTCCAGTGTTCTATTGGGGCTAAATGATATAGAGAAATTTTCACCTTGAAATGTAAGCTATGACAGTGTAATACGTTATTATGACATGCGCTTGGATACGTACCCAGTAGGGAGCCATCCAATTATTACAACTCAGGCCCTCTAAACTAAAATCCCTTATACTTATGTTACATCACACTGTCCCTTATAAATGGTCAGGGCCAAGAAAATGATATTTGGTCACTCAAAATTGGGGAAACACTGTGAGGGCTTAGGCAGAACTCTTCAATGCTTTCAACTGGTGGCTCTCAAAATTGAGCATGCATCAGAATCACCCAAAGGGCTTGTTGAAACTCAGATTTCTGGCTCCCATTCTCAGAGTTTCTGACTCAGTAGGTCTAGGGTAGAGCCTGAGAATTTGCTTTTCTACCACGTTCCCGGGTGATGCTGATGCAACTGGTCTGGGGACCATAAGAATCTCAGCTTTAAACTTGGGTCACCCCAAATGTGGAATTGAATACAATATACAGGAGAGGCAAAAACTATATACAGTGACAAGCTTCAGTGTCATGCTTTGTTTCGTTTTTCTAAATAGGTAAGAGCTGATGCTAAGATGAGATAATCCCATCTAATCATTGTGGGTGGTAGTACAAGTTAGTATAAACATTTTAGAAAACAAATTGGCAGTAAATAAATATTTGTAGGCATTGATCCCACTTCTAGGTACCTCTAAGAAAATAATCAGAAATAAGCACAAAGATTAAAGTATAGGGATGTCTATTGCAGCTTTATGTAAAATGATAGATACTTGGAAATCACATGAATATTCAGTAGTTTATCAATTATAATAATATCTCTACAGTGGAGTATTATGCCACCATTAAAGTAATTGGAAAAAAAATTTTAATGATAAAAAGAAATGTTTATGATAGATTATTATAATACATGAAAAGCTCAGGTCACAGAGCTTTATTTATCATTTATCAACTATATAATACATATATACTTCTACAAACAGCATATCAACTAAGGAAACACACTGACATGTTAACAGTAATGATTTCTGGATAGTATTATATTTGTTCTATAGATGCCATTCACTTCTTCCCTGCCTAATCTTCTAAAATAATCTATCCCACTCAAAGCCTCCCCTCTTCTGGAAGGAGCTTCTTAGACTGCCATATTTAAACCAAATGATCCCACCCTTTCAGTGGTAGGCGATTGGCTGTAGGGACATGTGATCCAGGGTGAACCTACTAGTGAGTGTCTATCAAACACTGTACTGCTAAACCCAGAAACTAGGGCTAGACAGCTGTGGAATGTACATATATTTAAGTAGGGCTGGTGGGCATTTTAGGCTGTGTGCAAGCAGAGGAGGCTACTACAGATCCGCTGCTTTATCAGCGATTACTGTCAGTACAATACAGGCCCAGGAGCTGACCAGCACACACATGCAGCAGCCCACCCACACAGGCACAAATCCTTCTTAAAAAGCAGGCAATGGGGAGAGGTTGTAAATATTAAACTGTAATACCCTTGTCCCTGTTATGCTTCCAATATTCTCCCTTTTTGCCTTGAGCTAGTGAAAGTGGGTTTCTCCTCTTTGCAATTGCGTCCTAAATTAACAGGTGATTTTTATTTGCTTATTTGTACGTGTTTGCTTTTTTAAAATCAGCTTCCCACACTGAGTTTATTACTGATTTTATTAACAGAAAAATATTAAAATTAAAATCTTGAGCTGCAGCTAAAAAAAAAAATTATTTAGTGCAAAGTTTCCTATTTGCTCACTAGCCCCTACATCCAGACCCTCTTATTTCTGACACTCTGAGCTTCAGAAACTGAGAGGTTTTCTTTGGTTTCTTTCAGTTTGGTACAAAATCCAGAGGACAATTTAAGTTTGGAATGTGTCCAAGCAAAATTCTTTTTCTGTACTAAGCTAAGAGGATTCCAACAGCAAAGACTGATGCAGAATAAAAGATATAGAGCATGGTTTTCTCCATTGATTTATAAACATGAAGATTGGAATGGATGAGTCATCAGCAAATTGAATTGGGAGGGATTGCTGCAGAGCAGCCCACACTTTGTCATAAAAATTCTGCTGCAGTATCACACTAGCTCAACTGTGGTTTACCATTTTTAGAAACATGAGCAAATGCACTATAGTTGGTTACCACTTTTTTTGTGACACTTGAGGTTCATGTGAAGTTGTATCAATCCCAAAGAGTGATACACTTCAAGACAGGACCATTTGGTATAAGCAGTAGGTAATTGTTTTTGTTTTGTTTTGTTTTGTTTTGAGATGGAATTTTGCTCTTATTGCCAAGGCTGTAGAGCAATGGCGTGATCTTGGCTCACCAAAACCTCCGCCTCCTGGGTTCAAGCGATTCTCCTGCCTCAGCCTCCCGAGTAGCTGGGATTACAGGAATGTGCCACCACGCCCAGCTAATTTTGTATTTTTAGTAGAGACAGGGTTTCTCCATGTTGGTCATTCTGGTCTCAAACTCCTGACCTCAGGTGATTTGCCCGCCTAGGCCGCCCAAAGTGTTGGGATTACAGGTGTGAGCCACCGTGCCCAGCCAGCAGTAGGTAATTCTTAACCCTTTCAAGGTCATCATCTCAATTTCTTCCCCACTGGGAATCAAATTGTAACTAAAAAATGATTGCAACTTATTTTAAGAATTTCTAGATATGCTGCAAGATATTTGAGGGCAGGGACTGATTCTGCCATGCTTAGTTTTTTTTTTTTTTTTTTTTAGTATTTATTGATCATTCTTGGGTGTTTCTCGGAGAGGGGGATTTGGCAGGGTCATAGGACAATAGTGGAGCGAAGGTCAGCAGATAAACATGTGAACAAGGGTCTGTGGTTTTCCTAGGCAGAGGACCCTGCGGCCTTCCGCAGTGTTTGTGTCCCTGGGTACTTGAGATTAGGGAGTGGTGATGACTCTTAACGAGTATGCTGCCTTCAAGCATCTGTTTAACAAAGCACATCTTGCACCGCCCTTAATCCATTTAACCCTGAGTGGACACAGCACATGTTTCAGAGAGCACGGGGTTGGGGGTAAGGTTATAGATTAACAGCATCCCAAGGCAGAAGAATTTTTCCTAGTACAGAACAAAATGGAGTCTCCCATGTCTACTTCTTTCTACACAGACACAGCAACAATCTGATCTCTCTTTCCTTTCCCCACATTTCCCCCCTCTCTACTCGACAAAACCCCCATCGTCATCATGGCCCGCTCTCAATGAGCTGTTGGGCACACCTCCCAGACCAGGTGGCGGCCGGGCAGAGGGGCTCCTCACTTCCCAGACGGGGCGACCGGGCAGAGGCGCCCCCCACCTCCCGAACGGCGCGGCTGGCCGGGCGGGGGCTGCCCCCCACCTCCTGGACGGGGTGGCTGCCGGGCAGAGACGCTCCTCACTTCCCAGACGGGGCGGCTGCTGGGCGGAGGGGCTCCTCACTTCTCAGACGGGGCGGCCAGGAAGAGACGCTCCTCACCTCCCAGACGGGGTGGTGGTGGGGCAGACACACTCCTCAGATCCCAGACGGGGCCGCGGCCGGGCAGAGGCTCTCCTCACATCCCAGACGGGGCGGGGGGGTAGAGGCGCTCCCCACATCTCAGACGATGGGCGGCCGGGCAGAGACGCTCCTCACTTCCTAGACGGGATGGTGGCCGGGAAGAGGCGCTCCTTACTTCCCAGACTGGGCGGCCGGGCAGAGGGGCTCCTCACATCCCAGACGATGGGCGGCCAGGCAGAGACGCTCCTCACTTCCCAGACGGGATGGCGGCCGGGCAGAGGCTGCAATCTCGGCACTTTGGGAGGCCAAGGCAGGCGGCTGGGAGGTGGAGGTTGAAGCAAGCCGAGATCACGCCACTGCACTCCAGCCTGGGCAACATTGAGCACTGAGTGAGCAAGACTCCGTCTGCAATCCTGGCACCTCGGGAGGCCGAAGCTGGCAGATCACTCACGGTCAGGAGCTGGAGACCAGCCCGGCCAACACGGCGAAACCCCGTCTCCACCAAAAAATACAAAAACCAATCAGGCGTGGCAGCACGCGCCTGCAATCCCAGGCACTGGGCAGGCTGAGGCAGGAGAATCAGGCAGGGAGGTTGCAGTGAACCGAGATTGCGGCAGCACAGTCTAGCCTCGGCTCGGCATCAGAGGGAGACCGCGGAAAGTGGGAGACGGAGACGTAGGGGAGAGGGAGAGGAGGAGGGGGAGGGCGAGGGGGAGGGAGAGGTACTTAGTTTTATCCCTGGTTTGTTGAATGACTGAAAAAACATTCATATTGGTGCTAAGAGATGAGCCTAGGGAATAAGTGCTTGGGAAGTAACTTTCCAAAGGGTCCGGTTCTGGGACTGGGTTTAGAAGCTTGAGATGATGTCAAAGATAAAGTTGTGATACGCTTTAGGGTTTCCAAAAAGTGTGTGTTCTAAAAAGATGAGAAAATTGTCAAGAAGGAGAAATTGCTGGCATTTTTAAAAAAGAGAAAATTGAGACCAGACAAGTTCCATAGGCAGCATCTCAGAAAGCTCTCATATCCACTGAGGAGAGTGATTTGCATGTACAGCCATGGAGACCCTAGAGAGAAAGAGGACGTTTTCTCCAAGAGATTCCAAGACTTGTGAGAGAAATGGCTCTGGCTCAAAATATCTTATAAACTTGACATAACTTTTTTTTTTTTTTTTTTTTTTAGATGGAGTCTCACTCTGTCGCCTAGGCTGGAGTGCCGTGGTGCGATCTCGCTCACTGCAACCTCCACCTCCCAGGTTCAAGCAATTCTCTGCCTCAGCATCCCGAGTAGCTGGGATTATAGGTGCCCGCCACCATGCCCAGCTCATTTTTGTATTTTTAGTAGAGGCGGGGTTTCACCATCTTGGCCAGGCTGGTCTTGAATTCCTGACCTCAAGTGATCCACCCGCCTTGGCCTCCCAAAGTGTTGGGATTACAGGAGTGAGCCACCTCGCCCAGCCAACTTGACATAACTTTTAAAGATGGATTGCCAAGCTGAGGTAAGTCTACACTTTCAGTTGACATAATTTTGTATAACAATTATACTCTGCTATCCCCTCACTGAACTAAAACATCATATACGGTCAAAATACTAACTAAAGCTATTATACAAGAATGAAAAACTGAGGGTCATGGTGAGGAGGGAACAGGAAAATAGTGATTGCCTTTTCCTTAGGGAGTCTTTACCACTAGTGTATCAGGTAGTGCTTGCTGCATGACAAACAACCCCACAATTTAATGGCCTAAAATACAACCATTGATTCATCTTACAGTTGCATGGGCTGACTGGGCAGCTCTTCTCTCTGGGCATGCTTGGCGGATTTGCTGGACTTCCTCATGCTTCTCTGGTCAGCTGGCATGTTGGAGGCAGCCAGATGATCTAGAATGACTTCCTTCATGTGTCTGACAGTTGGAGGGCTCTTTGCAAGGGACCAGCTGCTTCTCCACATGGAGTCTCCTCCATAGGGGGCTAGCTTGAACTCAGTCACATGGTAGTCCTAGAGTTCCAAACACAGCAAGAGGACAAGCCCAGGGCTCAAGCACTTTTAAAGCCTCAGTTTATATTACCTTTACTAATGTCCTATTGGTGAAAGTAAGTCACATGACCAAACCAAAGTCAAGAAGTGGAGAAATAGATTTTACCTCTTGATGGGAGTGGAAGAATTTTTGGCTATTTTTACAATCTACTGCAACTAGGTGGTAGGCTTAGTAAAGAATAAACCAATAGGTACATGGAACTGTAGAAAGGGATTGAGATGTCAAGGATACAGTCCTTGACTGTAGAAACTCTACATTTCCTGGGTGTTGTTAGTAAACCAGTGTGTGAATGTCATTTAGTCCAGCTAGGGAACCTTCTGTTTGGGGATTTCCCTGGGTTATGTTATCTCAGAGCCCAACATAACTTTTGAGACTCTGATCGGAACTGCAAACGCCATCTTGGAACAATCCTGGAAGTGTTCTAGATGTCTGGGATCCTTCTGTTCTGACACTAACGAGGGAGGGATGAGCTCCCTGGAATATCTGCAAACCCATCCCTGCTGGTTTAGGTGAGAAAGAGGATCTACCTTTTCTTCTCAAAGACAGGGATTAAGAGCCAGGAGGTACAAAGGGCAGGTGGGTGGGCAGCAATGATAGAATAGGCTAGTTATTTGAACTGGGATCAAGAAAAGGAAGGATGTAAATAGTAAGCCTGCTCCAAGTGGGAAGCAATCAAATTGATAATTTGATAATAAGCTGGAGACTATGACCTGGAGACAAGTTGGGGAACATTTAAAGAGCAGGTGGAAGAAGGTTGACAGTCTTTTGAAGCGGTTTGCATTTTTTGGTTTTTAGATGACAAGCTACAGAAAATTCAATCTCAGCTCTGCCACTAATCAGTTATGTGAGTATGGACAAATTGCCTCAGTTAATTTCCTCATTGACAAAATGAGGCATTTTAACTGGAAGATTTTTCCAGCTATAACACCTTCAGGGAATCTAGAAAAAGAAGAAAAGGACTGACATATATGTGAAAGGAATAAGTCTACATGAGGAGGAATCCCCTTCAGAAAGCATTGGAACAAGTACTGAGGAAGATTTTCAATCTCTAAAGCTTTAAAAACATGATAGATCCCTATCATTCTTCAACAAATATTAACTGAACTACATGCCAGGCATTGTAGACAGAGCAGTCAGCGAACAACAGCAGCATGCCCCTGTGGGGCTTACAGGATTGTTTGAGTTTGATCAAATGGTTCTAGATGATTTCACTAAGTAAGAGTTGCAAGCACATCCAGCTTCATTATTCAGTCATTTCTGATGAAGAGTGGGATCAATTTTGCCAGAAATGGAGACATTGGATTGCTAAGACAATTTGCAGGCTGGGATTATACCAGATAACTTCTCTGATCTTCAGTTTCTTCATCTACAAAATAAAAGTGTGAACCAGACCATCCCTAAAGTTCCATTCAGCTCCAAAATTCCAATTCGGCTGCCCAGCAGTTCTTTGGTGCTTTAGCTCAGCAACTCCATCTAGTGTCTCTGTGAAATGAACTTAGAAAACATCCAGTGTACTAACTATTGACTAAAATGAGAGGCCACAAAAGAGACTGGACATAACTAAAGGCAGGGCTCGGAATCAAGATATATGGGTAAGGGGTTGATGGGTTATAAGTCATATTTAACATGATGTTTACAATGTGTCAGGTGCTGTTCTAAGTGGTTAGCATACATTTAATTCTCACAACAAACCTATGATCGAGGAACTAAAAACAGCCGTACTTTACAGATGAGGGAACGGCCCAAAAAGGCAAAGTAACCTGCCTAGTAATTGGCATAACTAGAATGGAAGCCTAGGTAGTGTGTTACAAAGTCCATCCTCTTAGGCAATATCCTTTCCTGCCTCTAGCTAAGAGTTATGGAACACTTACCATGTGCCCAGCAGTGTTCTAGGTTTTTCATATTGTAATCTTCTCAACAGAAATATGTTGTAGGTACTAAAATCACAATTTTGCATGGGAGTAGACTCAGGCCCAGAGAGATAATGTAATTTATCTAAGTACACTATAGCCGATAAGCGTCTTGGAGCCTAGATTGGAACTTCGGTATTCAGCCAGGGTGAAAGAAGCATCCAGGCTGTTGCCATGTCCCAATAATTTTTTCTCCCACTTTCCTAAATGTCACTGATCATGATTCTTGGTACATAAAGGGAAGATGCAAGGAGCAAGTGCTAGACAGTTTCTTTCTTTTTTCTTTTTTTTTAGTGGATTATCTGCAGAGCCAACTCTTGAATATTCAGAAGTTAATTCAATTAATGGATAAGACAGGCTTAAGTGCATGTTCTTGGTCTCTCCAGCTTCTCATTTTCGATCACTTTTGCCAGGTAAATAATGAAGACTTTAAGTGCCACAGGAAGTCTAAAAACTCTCCTTTAGGGATCCTACATCATGGTTTCAACGATCACTTTCATGTAAATGCCTCTGAAAGCTACATCTCTACACCTCACTACTCGAATTGCCTGAGAAACACATCTGCTTTCCTGTTTCATTATCTTCTGAAACTCAACATTCAGTATTCATTTAGCAAATGCTTGTAAAACCTTACCATGTAGGAAGAACATTTGGAAACCCCTTAGACCCTTAGAACAGTGCTTGGCACAGTGAACTACTGTCTTTACCTTCAGGCTGTGTAGAGTCTAGTGGGGGAGATTAGTAAACAGTCACAACACAAGGTGATAAATGCCATGATGGGCTATGCATGACATGCTTTGGTAGTATGCAGTGACATTTCATCCAGTCTTCAGAGAGGGTGAGGGTAGGGTCAGGGTAGGTTTCTCAGGCAACTCATTTCTAAAATTGAAATCAGCACCTTTCTCCCGAGATTGGCTCCTTCTTATAGTACTAATAGTACTGCCAGTTCTTGTTACCCACACTTGAAAACTCAGTCATTGTTTACTCTTTCCTTGTTCACAAATCCGTAAAGTAACCACCATGTCCAGTCAATTCTTCCTTTTCTATCTTCTCCATTTTTTGCCTTTCCTCACTCTAGGTCAATATTTTACCTTCTCAAGCCAGGACTATTGCAAAGGCATGCCATCTCTAACAAATTTAATCCATTCCAATTCTTCTTGTGCTATGCTCCAGATTCATTTGCCTAACATACTTTCCTGACCCCAAATCTGAAAAGTTCATTCAGTGCCCAAAGGTTAAAGGCCATTCCGCTTGTTCTGGCAACATTCTGCTTGTCTATCTGAATCTTTCAGAACTCCTTTGTAAATCTTCAGTCTAATGATGCCACTCTCCTTCTCACTCATCCTTTGCTTTTTATGCATCCGTGTCTCTACTGACTTTTTCTGGGCCTTCAGTCCTTCCTGTTGGTTTTTAAAGCATATTTATATCCTCTCTCTCCTTAAAGGACCATTACAATTCCACCTATTTTGTGAAGCCTACCTTAAGAAACTACAGAATTTATTGCTTGAACTATCATTTGGCAAAATAATAGTGTATTGCTTTTTCTTTAACATGCTTTATAAAGGTATAATTTACATACAACTATTAATACAATGTATGTATTAATGTAACCCTCATCACATTGGGGTATAAAACATTCCATCTCCCCTAAACATTTCCTTGCGTACTTTTGCAGGGAATGTTCCTCTGCCCTAGTCCCAAGCAACCACTGATGGATTCCTTTCTGTCACTATAGATTTTTTTCTTTTCTAGAATTTTATACAAATAGAAATATAGAATGTGTACTTTTATTTGTGCCTGGATTTTTTTCACTCAGCATAATACTTTCAAAATTAATCCAGGTTGTTTTGTATATGTTTGTTTTATTTCTAAGATAATTTCATTATTTGGATATACTTCAATTTCCTTATCCACTCACCTGTTGATGGACATTTGAGTTTTCAGATTTTGGCTCTTATGAGCATTTGTGTAAAAGTCTTTGTGTGGACATGTGTTTTCTCTTGGTAAAGTACCCAGGAGTGAAATTGTTTGGTTGAATGATATGGGTATGTTACCTTCATGAAAGTTTACCACATTGTTTTCCAAAGTGCTTGTAGTATTTTGTATTACTACCAGCAATGTAGGAGAGTTCCAGTTGCTATTGCTCTCCAACAGTTTGTTATTTTAAATTCTTTGTGGCTGGGCGCGGTGGCTCACGCCTGTAATCCCAGCACTTTGGGAGGCTGAGGCAGGTGGATCACGAGGTCAGGAGATTGAGACCATCCTGGCTAACATGGTGAAACCCCGTCTCTACTAAAAATATGAAAACAAAATTAGCCGGGTGTGGTGGCGGGCGCCTGTAGTCCCAGCTACTCAGGAGGCTGAGGTGGGAGAATGGCGTGAACCCGGGAGGCAGAGTTTGCAGGGAGCCGAGCTTGCAACAAGCCAGGATCACGCCACTGCACTCCAGCCTGGGCGACAGAGTGAGACTCTGTCTCAAAATAAATAAATACATAAATAAATAAATTCTTTGCATTTTCCATATTGTAAATGAAACCAGTTTTTTTTAATCTCAGTTTCCAATTGTTCATTGTTAGCATATAGAAATGAAGTTGATTTTTGCATATTTGGTTTGCTAAACTGATTTATTGGTTCTAGTAGCTTTTTAATAGATTTCTTAGGAGGTTCTACGTACATAATCATATCATCTCTAAAAAAAGGACAACCTTATTTCCTCCTTTTAAACATCTGTGCATTTTGTTTTGCCATTTCTTCCTTTTTGCCTTCTTTCCTTTTTTTCCCCTTGCCTTTATTGCACCAACTAGGATCTTCAGTATGATGTTGAATAAAAGTATTGAAGAATGGACATCCTCACATTTTTCCTGATCTAGGGATAAAGCCTGTAAGGGAACATTAACTATGGATTTAGTGGCATACATTCATGGCTGCTATTAGGTGAAGAAAGTAAATTCCTTTCTATTCTTAGTTTATTGGTAGGTTTTTATCATAAATAGATGTTGACTTTTGTCAAATGTTTTTTAAATCTAGTAAGATGAAGGTGACATGATTTTTCTCTTTCGTTCTCTTAATATGGTGAATTACATTGATTGGTTGTTGAATGTGAAACCAGCCTCGTGTGGCTGAGCTAAACTGTACTTAGATGTGATGTATTATTTGTATAATGTATTGCAGGATATGTTTGCTAATAGTTTGTTAAGATACACACATAACTTTACAAGGGATGTTGGTTTATAATTTCTTTTCTTGCAATGTCTTTGCCTAGTTTTGGTAATAGGTTAATGCTGAACTCATGAGATGGGAAGTGTTCTCTAGTCCTTTTCTCTTGGAAGAGCTTGTATAAGATTGGTATTCTTTCTTATGTTGTTTGACAGAATTTGAAAGTAAAGTCGTCTGGGCCTAGAGTTTTCTTTGTGGAAAGGATTATAATTACAAATTCAATTCCTTTAACAGATATAGGCGCTTCAGACTTTCTGTTTCTCCTTGTGCCAGTTTCGATAGCTTGTCTGCTTTAGCTCTAGAATTTCCATTTGGTTCTTTTTTTAGTTTCCATCTCTCTGTTGAGATTCCTCATGTCTCTTCATTATGACTACATTTTCCTCTTGGAATATATTTATAATAACTGCTTTAAAGTTCTTGTCTGCCAGTTCCAACTTCTGGTCATCTTGGGGTTGGTTTCTATTGATTCCTTTTTGTGTTGATATTAGGTCACACTTTCTAATTTCTTCACATGACTAGTCATTTTAAATTATACTGGACATTTTGGATGATAAATTGTTAACTTCTTCCTAAACACTTGAATTTTGTTTTAACAGCTGGTTAACTTGGCTGGACTCAAACTCCAAACTCCATTTCCACTGTGATGAGTAGCAGCTAAGCTAAGGCTTGCAACCGTTGTTTTATGCCGGGCCCCCAGAGGTCACAACACAGGCATAGCTCATGATTAGTCAGAGATTTGGGTGGAGTTTATGAGATTTGGGGTCTCCTCCCCTCTGGCTTCCTCTTTTCCATGACTTGCCCCATCACTTTTCACTCTGGCAGCACTGAATTCCTACCTCTGATTCCTTAGGCCAGTAAGCCTGCAGCTTTCCAGAAGTCCCACAGAGGAATATTTTTGACTGAATAAGCTTTACATTCACATACTCTTGACATGTCTCTCTTCTCTCACCTAAAGTCCAATGATTTTTTAAACTTACTTTTCCAAGTAAGTTTAAGAAATAAATACTGGCAGATAATTAAACCAATCATAAGAACACATTTAAAATAGAATTTAAGCCCAGAATAAAACAAAAATTCCAGATTGTAGCCTCTGATACCGTAACATGGTCTGGTCCTATATACCATTCCAACTTCATCTCTTACCATTGTTTGCCTCATTCATTATCTCTAGCCACCCTAGTCTTCTTACTGTTCCTCAGACACACCAGAGAAACTGCTGTTCCTATCACCTGGAATTCTCTTCCCTCAGATCATTGCGTGGTCACTCCTTCTGATATCCAGGTCTCTGATCATATATGCTCTCCTCAGAGAGGTCTTTTCTGATTACCCTATCTAAAACAGCTCAACAAACCTCTCCCCCCACCTCAATTAACATCTTCTCCTACTTTGTCTTCTTCAAAGCACTAATCACTATCTCAAATTATCCATTCATTTTCTTGTTAATTGTCTGCCTCCCCCACCAAAAGGTAAGCGCCAGGACAGAATCTTTGTCTTAATCACCAATGTATCCTTAGTGAACACTTGTCTGGCACAGAGTATATGTTTGATAAATACTTATGAATAAATAAATTGAATAATGATATGGGAGGTACTAAGGTAAATATAACTTTTCCCCCCACTAAACTGGTCTAGCAACTAAATAAATTAAAAATATTTGTGCAAAAATCAAACAATATAATATAAACTATAAGTTCCTTATACGTCATTTAAAATAAAGCCAGTATTTCCTTTTACTGTGAAGGGCAGTGAAACATACACAATAAATTATGAGATCATGCAAATCAGCAAATCAAGTATAAATACTCAATTGGTGGAAGAAGAAAACTAAGTGAAGAGTAAAAAAAAAAGTGTTGACATGGCTGTCAAAACTGTTTAACATGTAGAAATGAAGTAGATTCATGGCAGTGAAATTTGGGGACAAATGGGCATGTAACTTCATTATGGTTTGAATTAAGGAGATAGGCTATTTCAAAGCTCAAAGGGTACTTATTGATGGGATTTAGCTTCAGAAGATTTATGTGATTCATTTTAAAACATAATGCTCTCTTAAAACAGGCCAGGTCCAGTGACTCATGCCTGTAATCCCAGCACTCTGGGAGACCGAGGTGGCAGGATTGCTTGAGGCCAGGAGTTTGAGACCAGTCTGGGCAATGTAGTGAGACCCCATCTTTACAAAAAATTTAAAAAACAAATTAGCTGGGTATGGTGGCACACACCTATAGTCCTAGCTACTCAGGAGACTGAGGTGGGAGGATCGTCTGAGCCCAGGAGTTTGAGGTTACAATGAGCTATGATTGCAGCACTACATTCCAGCCTGGGCGATAGAACATGACCCTGTCTCTAAAACAAGCAAACAAAAAACAGTCATCTCAAATTCAAGTCAAAATAGCAGTAACAATAATGAAAGTAATAATAATGCTATGTTTTTACACAATCATTGTTCAGGCTCACAACTCCTATTAATATTTTATTTTATTTTCCTTAAAGCAGACATAAAATTACATTTGGAAGAAAATAACTTTGATGTATTATTTAAACCTTCTAGGATAAAAATACATGCAAGTTCTTCTAATCATTCAGAACTAAGAAGACATATGAGGTGTAAAATTGATATTTATTTTTGTTATTCTCAATGGAAGATCAGAGTTATAGTATGCTTCTCAGAAACTATTGTAACAGTTTACTTCATGGTACAAAATTGCCATAGAAATTTTTCCTGGTGAATGGCAGACGGGGCAGCTAATATTTCCATGCTTATTTCTCAAATGTAGAATTCAAAAGAGAGGTGTTGACAGAAAAAATACCTAACACCTGCAATGGGAATACGTTAGAAATGTAGTACTTTTATTTTTCATGATGTTAATGATTCTAATCTAAATTAATCAAGCTAATTAATGTGTCGCAGTAAGCACTGATGCAAACAGATTTCATTAATAAGTTAATGTAAGTATATGAAAACTCTATCTCTAAATTGATTCCTTTGAAAAATTTCTGTAAGAACCATAGATTCATCAGAAATGCTCACAGGACAGATCTATACATGTTACAAATGGACAAACTAATAAATAAATAACATAAAAAATAGTCAAGGGTAGATGTCCTGGCTTCACTACCAAATCATTTAGTAGTGTCAGGCTTGGCTGTGCTCACTGTTACTGTGTTACTGCTCTATACTTTCAAATTATTTAGAAGAGTAGGGATATTCTAACTAGCAAATGTCAAGTCCTGTAGGAGCGTTGCTTCTGAACTAAGCTTAAACAAATATTCAATGCTTAATTTTGATTAGGAAGTGTTGCTGATATTGTGGTTTTGCTTTGTAACCTGATTTCTACCAAAAGGATTAAAAGAAAAAAAAAGGTGAAAGTAGAGAATAGGGATGTTTGTGGGTAGGTATTATCTTCATTGTGTTGGCAAGCAAGCAAACTTTTGCCTTAGAGCTAAACAAATTATGCTGATACTCAACTGTCAAATTATCTTGAAGTGAAAGATTTACAATAGCAAAGAGATAATTATGTGAGTAAAGATTTGAAAATCTATAGCACATCAGAGCATTTGATGTTGAGTTTTTAACATGTTTCTTCTTTCACCTGTACAGCCATATAAGACAAATCACTCTGTTCACTCTTGATATCCCAGTCTGTATCTGTTTCTGAATCACTGGAGTAAATGTCAAAGAGAGAGGAAGTTCTAGACCACAATTCCTCTGTCTGAGTAGTTGCATTACACAGTCTTTTTCCAAACGCTTTCACTTTGGCTTGAATACCTGAAAGAGAATAAGCATAAGTACCTATGAGTTAGACTTTGCTTTTCATATATCTTTAATATACGAAAGATCAATTCAATTGCTTAATCCATTGAAGAGTCAAAACATACCCACACTACGGTGACGGGGCCTTTTCAAAGAAATTTGTGTACTTTTATGCACTGGGCCTTCTTCACAGTGAGTAGGTACTGAAGTGACAGTATTAGATGGATTATCAGCATGGGGTTGGGTTTGCACAAGTTCATTTTCACACGTAATCTAAAAATACAAATCAGAGGAGAAACATATTAAAGTGTACCTTATAGGATTTTATCTTTCAAAAGTTACAAGTAGTAAGACAGTATAGCTGAAAATTTTCAGTCACATATTAGTAAGGCTGATATTTGAACCTAGGCAAGGTGAATCTATAGTCCAACCTTTTATGAATTCTGCCATATTGTCTTTTTTCCACTTATAAATCATGAATTCTGGTCAGCCAGAATGCATAAGCTATTTGCTTACAACTAATTTTTTTTTTTCTTAAATCAAAAGCTAGAAGAGATAATACTTTTTTTTTTTGAGATGGAGTTTTGCTCTTGTTGCCCAAGCTGGAGCGCAATGGTGCCATCTCGGCTCACTGCAATCTCCGCCTGCCGGGTTCAAGTGATTCTCCTGCCTCAGCTTCCCAAGTAGCTGGGATTACAGGCAGGCGCCACCACGCCCAGCTAATTTTTTTGTATTTTTAGTAGAAACAGGGTTTCACCATGTTAGCCAGGCTGGTCTCGAACTCCTAACCTCAGGTGATCTGCCCGCCTCAGCCTCCCAAAGTGTTGGGTTTACAGGCGTGAGGCACCTCGCCCAACCAAGATGATACTATCAGTATTAACTTATTTGATATCTTAGCAGTCATATTATTCTAGAAAACCTAATCATTTGTTCTTTATACTTTATAGAAGTCTCCTTTAATAAGATAAGTGACTTTTAATACTTTCCTGAGAAAAACTACATTGTGAAATGGAATTTTTTTTTTTTTTTTGAGACAGGGGTCTCCCTCTGTCACCCAGACCGGAGTGCAGAAGCATGATCTTGGCTCACTGCAACTGCAACATCCACCTCCCGGGTTCAAGCAATTGTCGTGCCTCAGCCTCCCAAGTAGCTGGGATTACAGGTGCCTGCCACCATGCCTGGCTAATTTTTTGTATTTTTAGTAGAGACAATGTTTCACCATGGTAACCAGGCTGGTCTCAAACTCCTGGCCTCAAGTGATCCGCCTGCCTCAGCCTCCCAAAGTGCTGGGATTACAGGCGTGTGCTATTGTGCCAGGCGGTGAAATTTGATTTGTAGGGGAACTAATATGGGTGAGAGGTAGAAAGAAGGAGGGTTTTGATATGTAAAAGGTAATATAAGACAGGGTACCTAGAGATTATGTGGAAGACGGTAAGAAAAGATATCTGGAAAAGTTAAGAGAGCCTGGGAGGAGAGAAAGTAAGTGATAGAGAAATGAAAACAAAATTAAAGTGTTTAGCAGTAGTGGCAGCTGCCTTCAAACCACTGAAAAAATATTTTAGTAGGTGTCTTTGGTGGCTGTATCATAGGCTATTGATACCCAAGTTAAAGAAACTTTGTGGCCACACACAGTAGCTCACGCCTCCCAGCACTTCGGGAGGCTGAGGCAGGAAGATCACTTGAGGTCAGGAGTTCGAGATCAGCCTAGCCAACATCGTGAAACCCCACCTCTACTAAAATACAAAAATTAGCTGGCATGGTGGTACATCAGCTATTCGGGAGGCTGAGGCACAATAATTGCTTGAAGCCGGGAGGCAGAGGTTGCAGTGAGCCAAGATCACACCACTGCACTCCAGCCTGGGCGACAGAGTGAGGCTCTGTTTCAAACACACACATATATACACACAGAAAAAAAAAAAAGAAAGAAACTTTGTAAAGAAATTCCTGTGAAGAGTCCCTTTGTAACACAAATCTTATTTAAAGGGTTTATCTCCACGTTTATTAAATCATGACCAATTTTCACTAGCTATATCTACTTCTAAGCCAAGCATTGTCAAAGTCCAGAATAAACACATATTTCTTTACAAAAAGGTGTATTCTGGATAAAATAGAGTTTTAGAAATTTAATCAGGGTTAAAAAAATAACTTTTATTCCCTTTATAACAATAATACATTTTTTACTGCAAAAATTTGCACCATACAGAGAAGCAAAAAGAAGCTAAAAATTAGTCATAATCTCACAATCCATAGCTAAAACTTTATATTTTGATGTTGTCTTTTTATGTGTATTTTTAAAAACTGAGATAATATAATGCTTTATAACCTAGTTTTCCCACTTATTTTATATATAATCTGTTATTAAATATTCTAAATCATAATTTTTATTGCCACATAGGAATGTATTCTACAGATATACTACAATTTATTAAAACAATCCATATTACTAGGAATATTTGAACATAAATCTCTTGTGTAGATATCCGATTGCTTCTTCAGATTAAAAGCTTAGAGGCAGAATTTCCAGGCACGTATTAATCCACTAGAACATGAGTCAAAAGAAAATATCTAGAACAAGGCAGAAAGAGACAAAAGGAAAATAGAAAATACAGAAAATGTCATAACAGACATAGGGGATAAGATTTAAAAGTATAACATAAAATGGGGCAGACGCAATATTTGAACAAATAACAGCTGAGAGTTTATCAAAATGGATAGAAGGCATTAAGACATGCCTTTACAAAAGTACTATAAACCCTTTCTATTTATCAAAATAAAAACAACAGAAACCAAACCTATGCACACTACAGTAAAACTGGAAAATGAAGAGAAAAACTTAATAGCAGCCAGAGGAAAAAAGATACATTCTCTTCAGCGGGGTAACCATAGGACAGAATAATGCCTAAACTTTTAAGGACACAGAAAGATTGAAAGTAGAAGGATGGAAACAGATGTACTATGCAAACACTAAGTTAAAGAAAGCTGGTGTTGCTATATTAGCACTACATACCTAATAACATAGCTTCAAAATATATACATACCTAATAACATTGCTAATAACCTAATAACATAGCTTCAAGATATATACCACCAAATAGGTAGAATTTGAAGATTAATATGTAAATTCAAAATCGCAGTGGAAGATTGCAACATCACTTTCTTAGTAATTAAGATAAAAATTCCAAAAGGATATAGGAAATTTAAACATGATTAATAGACATCAGTGGAACACTATCCAAGTGCAGTACGCACATTCATCTCAAGTACATATGGAACATTTAAAAAACTATTTTGAGCATGTTACAAGTTTCAACAAATTTCAAAAAATTAAGTCCATATATTGCATTTTCTCTGGCAGTAGTGTAATTGACCTAGAAATCTATTGCAAAAATTTAACTAAAAAATGCCCAGAGATACGGGAATTAAAAAATATACTTCTAATTAACCCACGAATAAAAGATAAAATCACAATGGAAATTAGATATTTTATACTAAATAATAAAAATACTGCATACCTAAAACTTGTAAGATTCAGTAAAGCCATGTTAGGTGGGGACTTATAATCTTTAATGCATATATTAGGATAGGAAAATTAATTGGGCTTAATTTAGGTTAGAATTATTAATATCATGCAAAAGGTATTCCACAAAATATCTCTAACATAGCCCCCTCTCAGGACCCAGATTTTCCTCTATCAACACCACTTTACTGAATTCTACATTTGTGAAATAAGCTTGTGAAACTTAGCTGCACCATTTAACATTCACCATAAAAATTCTGAAAATCAATGATATAATTTAACTTCTTAAGAAGTTAAAGACAGAGCAGTGGACAAAATTTTAAAAAGCAGAGGAAGGGAATAATGAATAAGTGAAATAAATGAAAAAAAAATTCTAGAGAGATCAACAAGGCAAAGTTTGTTCTTTGGAAAGACTAATAAAAATTGATAAACCGGTGGGGTGCGGTGGCTCACGCCTGTAATCCCAGCACTTTGGGAGGCTAAGGCAGGTGGGTCACGAGGTCAGGAGTTCAAGACCAGCCTGGCCAAGATGGTGAAACCCCATCACTACTAAAAATACAAAAATTAGCTGGGTGCGGTGGCAGGCACCTGTAATCCCAGCTACTCGGGAGGCTGAGACAGGAGAATCGCTTGAACCCGGGTGGCAGAGGTTGTAGTGAGCTGAGATTGCGCCACTGCACTCCAGCCTGTGTGACAGAGTGAGCCTCTGTCTAAAAAAGAAAAAAAAAAATCGATAAACCATCTGGTGAAGCTGATCAAGAAAAAATGAAAAAGCAAAAATTACCTCAGCTCAAACAGAATTTTTTTCAAATACAAGATTATCATGAAGGTTTTGTGTCAATACATTTAAAAATTTAGATGGAACAGACAAATTAAAAAATACTATTAATCAAAATGGATAAACAAAATACTATTTATCAAAATGGATAAACAAAAGAACTCTGAATAACCTTATAACAAAGAAATTGAATCCATCATAAAAAACCTTTCCAAAAGGAAAACTCCTGTCTTATCAATGAGTTCTACCAAATATTAATACCAAATTTATTAATGGATATATGCCATTTTATATAAACATTTCCAGAGAATGAAAAAAGAAGGAACAATTCCAAATCTGTTGGCATAATCTTCATACCAAACCTGAGAAAGGCATTCCAAGAAAGAAAAAAACTGTAGAACAGTTTCACTCGTGCACACAGATACAAAAATCCTAAATATTTTATTTTAGCTAATATTTTATTAAGCAATATGAGAAAGGAATAAAACACTTTGACCAAATTGAGTTTATTTTAGCCATGCAAGTTTGACTCTACATTTTAAAACCAATCAATATAATTTACTATATTAACATAATAAAAATGTTATCCTTAATAGATTCAGAACAACCATTTGATAAAATTCACCATTATTTATAATCTAAACTAGAAATAAAGGGGAACATTTCTTTTTATTACAAAGAGAGCTATAAAAAACTATAGTAAAAATCATAATCAAATGGGGAAATATTAAAGGCTTTCCCTCTGAAATTAGGAATGAGAAAAGGATTCCCCTCACCTCTTCTGTTCCCACACTGTACTGGACATTCAAGCCAGTGCAACAGGAAGAATACGAAATAAAAACACGAATATCAAACGCTTTTCTCAGATGATATTTTTGTACATGTATAAAATTCAAGAGAATTTATAAACTATTGAAATTAATAAGTGAGTTTAACAAGGTTTTTGGATACAAGTTCAACAAAAATTAATTTATCAATATGCACTTATAGATTATAAAATTTAAAATACCATTTATAGTAGCAAAATCAAATAGCTGTGAATAAATCTAATGAAAGATATGTAAGACCTCTACATCAAATGCCACAAAACACTTCTAAGAAAAATTTAAAAACCCAAATAAATGGAGATATATGTTCATGGATTAGAAGAGTCAATATTGTCAATATGCCATTTATTCCCATATTCATTTATGAATTCCATGGAGTCATAATCAAAATCCTCGTGAGTAACTTGTGAAAATTGACAAATCAATTCTGAAATGTATCTAGAAATCTAAAGAGCCCAACATAGTCAAAATATCCACAAACATGAACAAGGTAAGAGGTATTAATCAATTGAATATTCTTAATAAAGCTATATAAGACACTGTGATACTTTTGCTTAGGCAAACAGATAAGTGAAACAGAATAAAGTATGTGGAAACAGACCTATGCATATAAAGGGCACTTGATTTATGACAAAGTTGACATTGCAAGGCCAAGAAGAAATGCTAGTAGTTTCAATAAAAGATGCTGAGTCAAATGGGTATCAATGTTGGGGAAAATGAAACTTAAATCCTACCTCACACCAAACACAAAAATCAATTCTGAATTAGATCTAAATATAAAAAGTAAAAACAACAAAGTTTATTACAAACAGCATAGTAAAATGTTTTAAGTATTAAGAATAAGGAAAATTATTGGTAATTTGGACTACATCAGAATTAAGAACTTCAGTACATCAAAAGACATTATTAAGAACCAAGAGGCAACCCATAGTGGGAGAAGATAAAAACATTTAACTGAAAAAGGACTTCCAGGTAGAATCTATTAAAAATTCTAAATCAACAAGAAAAGACAGACAATCCAACAGAAAAATGGGCTAGATTTAAAAGGGCATGTCACTGAAGGCTACCTAAATATCCAATTAATATTTGAAAAGGTGTTTCCTTACTAATTTCATCAGTAATCGGGGGATGAAAAGCAAAAACATTACTACGCACTCTGCAAATGGACTCAGATGTGAAAGACTAGAAATCCCACGTATAGGCAAGAATGTGGAACAATGGAAACTATCAAACTTGTGGTAGAAGTGTAAATTGGTACAAGTATTTTAGAAAACTATTTGGTATTATCTACTGAAGTTTAATGTAATACTATGACCCAGCAATTCTAGGTATATATCCTCAGAAATGTGTGCACACGTGGACCAAAACACATATACAAGAGTTTATGGTAGTATCACTTATGATAGCCCCAATGGGTAAAAACCCAAATGTTCAACAATAGACAGACAAATTTTGGTATATTCATACAATGGAATACTACATAATAATGAAAATGAACTACTGTTCTATGCAACAATATGGATGAATCTCAAAAATGTAATGTTGAACAAAAGAAGCCAGACACAGAAAATGGCTACAGTATGATTTGATTTATATGAAATCCCCCCCCCAAAAAAAAGCAAACTTGGTTACCTTTGAGGAGAGGGGAGGGGCTGGATATGGGGTGATATAGGGACTCCTGGGGTGCTAGCAATGTTCTGTTTCTTTGACTTGGGTTGTGGTTACACATGTTCAGTTTATGATAATTTAATGACTTGTCCACTTAAGATTTGTTCACTTTTCTGTGTATTTGCTATAGTTCAAGTCAACAATTTAAAAAATTCAGTTGGGTTTTTTAAAAAAGAATGCAAAATTAACAGTTAAGGGAAAACAATAAATAAGCCCCTTTCTTTCCTTGGAAGTGGTGTCTTATCTTTTTGGAAGCCCCCTAAAGATATGTAACACTCATATTTATATTGATCCATATATAGCACCAAGCACCCAGAACAGTGTCTACAATAGCTCTTCAATAAATGTTGCAGAATCACTGGAAATCTGATTTTTAGACAGTTAGTCCTGGGATTGGGAAGAAAAACATTGGGTGGGGGAAGAAGTCAGATAGACAAGCCAATTTTTTAGCGATGTGGTTAGGGTTCTTTATCCAGACCAGGCTAAACATTTATTGCTATCAACTCAAAATCTTTTTAACCTTATATACTTTTAAAGTGACTATTTTAGAACTCACAGTTTTCTAGTAATTCAGCAAGTATATTAATGTACTATGGATTGTTATAAATGTTGGCTGGTTATACTTACTAAATGGAAAACAGATTTATTATGTATGCTGGATCTGTTTCCCAACGGTTAGTTTTTATGGGTTATAAAGACTTTGGTTGTTTGACTAGCTTGGCTTTTCTTCTCCCAATTTTTGATTAGGTTGTGTAATTATGAAGAAGAAAAATGGTGTAGGGGGATGTGTGTGGCACATGTTTAGTATTTATCTCTCTTGCTACACACATATATATGTATGTGGATGTATATGTTTGGGCAAAGTTTGTATAGGTGGTGATGGTGGACAGATGGTTCAAGGAAAGGACAGCTATCTTGACAGGTATACAGCTTGGTGAGGAGGGAAACTGGCAGATAATTGAAAATTCAATTATAATGCAAAAATTTGTTCTTATAGTCATGTAATCATTCCATAAATATTTATTGAATTACTTAAATTTGTAAAATATTGTTTTAGGCACTGCAATACAATGGCAAAGAAATCAGACATGATCCTAGCTCTCATGGAGCTTACATTCTAATATGAGAAACAAATATTAAGCAAACTACACAATTATTTCATGGCAATTATGGTAAGTGCTACTGAAGTATCTGTGCTATTGAATCACATGGAGTACACGAAGAATGAGAGTACATAACTAAGGGATCAAGGGGAAAGATGTTTAGCTGATTTTTAAGGGAAAAAGACTTAATTGGCAATGATGGGAGTGGGAGGGGCATAGTTCCAGGATATTATAATACATGCAACAACTGAGCAAAGTCTTGTTGGTAGGAAGTAATATAGTATAGTATGTCCAAGAACTGAAAGGTCAGCATGATGGTACACAGTGAGCAACAGGGACAGTGGCCTTGGTTAGGGCTAGTGTGGTATGCAGGGGGAAAAAACATGCAGGGCCATGTAAATTGGGTTAATAATTTTGCTCTTTATCTTAATAATTGCAAGATGCCATTAAAGGGTCTTAAATACCCACCCCAATGTAGGAAGCAGGTTAGTACTGCAGAAAGAGTGTTGGTCTGGCAACCGGACCTAAGTAAGGATTACAGACCCCTGAGGAAATTACTAACCTCTTGCTATAATTTAATCTGTGTAATGGTGGCAAGGCTGAAGTTTATCACAAGGAAGGCTGGAAAGTTTTCTTTAAAATGGTACGTGGGGAAGAAGGTAGTAGTAACCAGATGCAAAATGAGTGCAAACAATGTTTAGAAGGAACAGAAAAGTAGGCAGAAGAGAGCAAGATGGGGAAAGTCAGCTCACTAGGGATACTGAACTTAAAGGCAGCTGGAGCTAGTTATCAGTCATAAAGGAAGCTTGGGGTGGGAAGGGATTTATTAGCAAGCTCCATCATCTTCATCTGTAGCTCCACATCTCCTTCGCCCCATCATTTGTGACACAAATAAGGGACTTTCCTCAAGCTTATGTAATGTTATGCAACACAGTTTCAAGCACTCCAATCCTGGAGATTTGCTCAAATTAAACCCTTTCTATTTAAAAACTCTGGAGCAGCGAGTGAAAGCAACTCACTACTCTGCAGGACAAGACTCTGTGTGTGTGTGTGTGTGTGTGTGTGTGTGTGTGTGTGTGTGTGTGTGTGTGAGTTTTGGGGGAGGAGCAGTTAGAAGGAATTAACTGGGTCACTTAATTCCAAAGTGTTAATGATAAGTGGGACCTTGGAGATCACCTCTAAAGCACACCCCTAACTTTGCAGATTAGAAAACAGGAACTTTCGAGATGAGGTGCCTTTCCCAAGGTGACACTAAGTGGAGGAGCCCAGCCAGAGTCCAGGGGTCCTTACACAACCTTCGGTGGTCTCTCTTTACCTGTGAAGCTGCAGCCTGCTTCCCAGCTCGGGGGCGTGTACAGGAGACTGGACCTGGGGCAGCCTCAGAATGCCTGGCTGCCTGGAGCTCTCCTCGCGTGTCCAGGCGGCCTGCTTGGTCTCCCTCCTCTCCCCTCTTAGGTGCCGGGGCGGGCACCCGGTGCAGGGTGGGCACGGCGCCTGCCACCAGCCTCAGGCGCTGGGAGAAGCGCAGGTTCTTCTGGATAACCGAAGAGACGTCAAAACAGGCTGGGGCAAAGTGGTCAGAGCAGATGACCGAGCGGTCATTGCCTCCGTACCAGTCGGCGCGGCAACCCCGCACGAAGCGGTCCCAGAGCAGCCGCACGGCCCGGTCCTTGGGAAAGCGGAACAGCGACTTCCCAGACTTGGTGGTGTTGCCGCAGTGGGCGGCCACACAACGGGCCGGCATGGCGGCCGTCTTCGGTGCGCGGGAGCCGGGTTCCCTGGACCTTCGCCCTTGGGCACGCTCCTCGCAGCGGCCTCGGCGAGGCAAGTCCTCCCCTCCTCACCTGTCCACTCCGGGTCGGGATTGTTTCCTTCCCTACCTCTGGTCACCGGAAGTGGCGATCTGGGGCCCCCAATGGGAGGGCTCTTTGATATCTTCCTCCTCCTCCTCCCTGCGCTGCTCCCCAGGAGCCAGTGGACACAAGCAGAGGGATACAAATTTCGCGCGGGCAGCGCTGAGGTGGGCCGTAAAGAGGAACGGACCGGAAGTGGTGGTGGTTATAGCAACCAGTGTGGCCAGCCTCTTCCCCAGCTTATCCTCCTCCCAATACTCCCGCTCTGTTTTTATGAGGCTGGGAAAATAGAACGAGGAAGTGGTGACGCACTGGGCTCTCACGAATACAACTAGAAGCTGCAACGACTGTGTGGCTCTATCGATTCGGGAGAGGTCCAGACCGGAAATGGTCGTTTCCATGGTAACCCTGAGCAGGTTGCCTGGGAGATGACCTCTTTCGGGTCTCTTTGAATCTCCGCTGTAGCGTCACCTGGAAGGCAGATCTAACAGAGAACCTGGACTGTCTCCTATCATGATTCCCGGGAAATATCGCTCTGTTTCTGGCCGGGCTGCGAACAACGTAAGTTGGGCCTTCTACTTTCTCTTTCTTCCCACTGGTACTCTTTCTGACTGGCGTCTTTGTCCTAGGAGATGGGCTGTATTATTAGGACCGGCACCGCTGGGTCTACTCAAGCTATTGTCTGACCAGGGTTTGAGGTTCGTGGGCTGGACCAAGGCACAATTTAATATTGTATGATGGGTACTCAAAGTCTTGTCCAGGATCTGGGCTCCCCAGAAGGTGGAGCTGGTCTGCTGTGAAAGGCTTGGGTTTATTTAAATTCCTTTGGCCAGTCAATTCCTTTTTCTTTTCTTTTCCTTTTAACTGTGAAGAGAATTTATCATTAGGGACTCCCACCTCCTTCACCTGTCTCATTGAGATGTTTATTTAGACCTGAATGGCAAATGTCGAAAGCCTGAGGTACTAACTAGAGGGTTAAATTGCTGCCGACATTTTGGAAAATAAATCAGTGAAACCTTTTAATTCTTAGATGTGATTTTATTGTTTTCAGCAAATCCTCAGAACAAGATCATTTACCAGAAACAGAAATAGAGCATTGTGTTCTATTTTTTTGTTGTATTTCTGTTTGTACCTTTTTTTTTTTTGGAAATATGTGTTTGTGTATTAAGAGCAAATTTTATGGTTTAATTTTTACATTTCAGGTGAACTGCGGGCTTCATCTGGTTATTCAAACATCATCGCTTCCTGAAAAAAACAAAGTAAGATTTAAGAAGGTTGGCATTTAAATTGAAGATTGTTTTAAATTCTACACAAATAGCAGCATGACTTAAAGTGTAGATAGATTCTAAACTGAAAAATTTAAGTAGATTTGCTTTGATTTCCAGTTTAAAGCTAGTTCTTACTTTCTGCCTACATAAAGCTAAAATAGCCCTCTTTAAAAAACTTAATGTGATTTTATTGATTACAAAAGGGTAAGGGTTTTTTTGTTTTTTTTTTTTGACATTTACACTTTTTTTTTTCTTGAGACAGGGTCTAGCTGTATCACCCAGGCTGGGGCGCTGGGGTGCAGTGGCACAATTTTGGCTCACTGCAACCTCTGCCTCCCAGGCTCAAGCGATCCTCCCACCTCAGCCTCCTGAATAGCTGGGACCACAGGTGCATGCCACCACGCCCGGCTAATATTTTTGTATTTTTTGTAGAGACAGGTTTCACCATGTTGCCCAGGCTGTTCTCGAGCTCCTGAGCTGAAGCAATCCGCTTGCTTTGGCCTCCCAAAGTGCTGGGATTACAGGCAACAGCCACCGCACCCAGTGATATTTACACATTTCTGAAATCAGGAGCCTTCTTAAAATTGATGGCATGTCATAGTTTAATTGGGGAGGTTTTTTTTCTTTCTTAATAGAGGGTAAAATAATGGTATGTCTTACTACTAATGACACCTTAGATAAAATGGTAATTGGGAGGGCATATCCACACATCCCATTTAAAATCAGGGAAGAAAAAAATAGGTTAGCAGTGGACACATGTTAGACTTAACGTTATTTAGAAGTTACGATATGAATATGAGATTTTTTTCCCCAAGATTATTTCCCCATAATGTCTCTAGCATTTCTAGAATTTCTGGCTTTTGATTTAATTTTTGAGATTTTGAGATAAACATGTTTTTCTTTCCTTTCTGTCTCACCTCAGCATTTATACTTACCTACTTTCTACACACTATGTCTCAAGACACAACATGATTTTTCCTCCTTTGACCAAGTTGGAAACCTCTAACCATCACAATTCAGGTGTGTCCTAAAAAGTTATTAAATAGGCGTCACTGGAAGAACTCTAAAGTGAAGGGCAGAGTTCACACATAACAGCATGAAGAAGGGTAAGAAAAGGCATGAGGAAGGTAAATGGAAGGACATCGTTAGTCAAGGAGGCAGCTGTTGATTACATTATATATGAATATGAAAATGGTAAACACTCAGAAAATAGACAATTTGATCATCTCAAATAAACAGCAGTTAGATTAATTGAAAATATTATTTATTATAATTGAGCATAATGGATTCTCTCCAGAGCTTTCCTAATTGATTTCTCTGGACAAATCCTTTTCCACCATTATAATGTTTCTAGAGCTGTGTGCCTCATCTAAATATTTTTTCCAAACCATTCACTTTCTCTTGTGTGGACATCTATTCTGAGAAAATACCTTTAGGTCATATAATTCCTAAGGATATAATGCAAATGCCAACATAATGTTTATAGTATGGATACATTAGAAGTATCTTAATTAATTCAAGATACATATTTGGGGTTTTTTGTGGCTAATCATAAGAAGTTGTTCTGGTTTTGTTTTTCTCAGTCCTCCCACCAGATAATTATTTTAGATCAGTTTTAGATCAAGTGAAAACCTTTCTTAGAAGGCTTAAATATACAATTTTATTATATTATAATAGGACATTTAAAAGGATTATAATGATCAAAACAGTGATTTTTTCAACAGCATTTTATTTATATTGTGTGTTTTTTTTTGAAGCAAATGATTCTTTTAATCATTGTATTTGTGGTGAGAGCGTGGAGGGATTGGAAGTGTCTCAGCTTGGAATATCTTGTATCTGACCTCATAAAATTGATCCTGATTTTGTGGGTGGTAAAATACAATGATAGAGGTGCAGCCATCACCTCTATCTAGTTCCAGAATTTTTTCATCATTCCAAATGGAATCCCTGTACCCATTAAGCAGTTACTTCCCATTCCCTGCTTCCCTTAAATGCCTGGAAGCCACAAATATGCTTTCCATCTCTATGGATTTGCCAATGTGGTATTTTGTGTCAGTTTTCTTTCACTTGGCATGATGTTTTCAAGGTTCATCCACATTGTACCATGTGTATCAGTTATTATATGTTTTTTTAATTTATCTTCACTGCTTGGTGTTAAATTTGTCTCCAAATATTTTTTTCTTTAATAATGTTTTTCAGGTTGAATTCAAGCTAAATAAAGACACATCGTCATTCCCCGGTAGACTTTTACAACATGACCTTGAAAGAAACTACTCAAGTAGGCAAGGTATTGTCAGTGAATAGAGATCAGATGTGGTTCATCATCTTTGAATAATATTAAGTGTTTAATAATGTTGAATTACTAGATCCAAATAAACTTGAATTTAAAATGAAATTGTTCATTGGGACCAAATTGGTTTGGTATTTTTTTAAATCATTGGTTATATATATGTAGCATAGTAGATTATTTCCAATACAGAAAAAAGCTGTTATTATTTTACTTTGAGGGTGGGCTATACACTAGAGAATGGAAAAAGAATGTTTCAAATACTGTATTAGAACAGTATTTGGAAGTCGCTAATTAGAGTAAGAGTATGGGAACACAAATATTAAGGAAATCAGGAAAGAATGTAAAGTCAGGAGTAGAGAAGAAACAATCTTTCCCTGTTACTGTCACATATAATTATAGATTTTATATTAAAGGCTTTAAACTCTAGTGTCTATCACTTGGGATCTTGGGATCTTGTTAAAAATGCACATTCTTAGTGCTCCCCCTCCATCTTCCCCATTCTGATTTTGTAGGTCTTGAGCGGGATTTGGAAATGTGCATTTTAATAATGTCACAGGTGATTCTGAGGTATATGGTTTGTGGGTCATCCTTTGACAAATACTGCCTCACATGATCTGGTTATATTTCTGAAATATATTTTTCAAATCAAGGAAAACGTTCCTTCACATTTGAATCTTGGTTTGTTGCTGACAGCCATTAGCTTTCTGTAATGTGCTCATGTTAAACACTTCTGAATCCACATATACAAAACTGCCTCTACCTCTTAGGAGTTTATATGAGAGGGCTGATCAGTATAGGCCTTTCTAGGTTGTTCATGTTATTACTGTGGGAACATATGGCAATTTAAAATATTGGTTAATTTTCTCTCTCTTTTTATTTCTGGACCTACTTCTTGGACCCATCTAATCTGACATATCTTTTCTCTTTCCTACATTCTACACTCTTGTCTTGGCCAATTGCTGGACATGACGTCAGCCTAACTGCAGTTCCACAGTGTGGAAAACATCTGTCTTTGCCTTATTTGATTCAGTTCAATACTTATTTATAAAGCAAGTATTGTGTGCCGATCACTGTTTTAGGTACAGAATTATAGATGTGAAGCCTCAACTAGGGTTTTTATGCTTGCATTGTCAATTTCCTTGACATTTTTGGTAACAATATCTTAAAAGTTTTCCCGAAACCATGAATCAAAATTAAGTACTTTCACTAAGGTTTTCTTGAGTTAGAGTAGGCAGTTAGTAAACAGATTTGAGGACGGCTGGCCAGGCAAACTTATTTAAGTGGTAAAGTATTACTAGATATTCGCTAATGAGGAAATAGTATGGATGTATTGAATTTTGTGAACCTGAGAGATGAATAAAGTTTTATACATAAGTAATGACCCATTCAGTATGAATTAACTCTTTAGGAAAAAAAACCTAATTGGTTTTTCATTTAAAAAATTTATTCAAAATTGGTTTCTGTGACAGGATACTAATTTGAAATGTCTTAAATGTGTACCTGGTTACTTTCAATGTGCTCCCTCCATAGTTCCAGGCAGTTTCATGCAAAGAAGGCCACACAACTTATTTTCTTGACTTTTGTACTCAAATTTTACTTCCAAGGGTATAAAATTTTGGAAAAATTGTAAGTAGCACCTCATCAGGAAAAGTTTAGGGATGTCTGTCTAATAAACTGTATCTTGATACCCAATCATTATAATTAATTTCAGCCATTTCTTATTTTTCAAAATTAATCAAACATATCATAGCCTGTCCACAAAAATTAACCAGTGGTACTCTCAGTCAAAAGTAAAGACACTTGATATTTTCTTTAAGCTAGTGAGTTTAAAACTTGATATGTGATTTCTTTAGGCTTCTTAGAATATTGTTAAGAGTTAACCCCTGTCTTTGAGATTTTATAAGTGCCATATATTGCAGGAACTACTATATAATAAAATTTCAGTTAACCTGACCTTATTGATTAAATCCCTTAATTAGGAATTTTAAAATGTGTGTGTAGAAGGGAAGAGGCAATACTTTGCTCTTAAGATAATGATAAATCACTGAAAATCTGGAGTTAAGATTTTGGTTACCAAAACAATCTCAAAGACATGGCCGAGTGGACACACATATATGGCAATATGTACTATGCCGTCCATCCATCCACCTGTCTGTCCATCCACCCATCTGTTCATTTATCTATCCATGCATCCATCTCTTCATCTATATAGTCATACTTCCAACCAGCCATCCAGCCATCTCTGTATCTAGCATACAGTGCAGTGAACATTCTTACCAAATTTAGACCATTATACTTCTTAACACTTTGAGATGCTATTTGTATTGAGATTTTAACAGAAGTAACACACGCAAAATAGATTTTCAATTAAATCTTAGTAAACTGGAAAAACAATTAATTTGTCTATTGATTGCCTACTGAATTTAGATTTTACCAAGAATATAAAGAATGTAAAATGAGGTCCATCACCCAAGGAGCTTGTAGATTTATTTGGGAAGACAAGGGCTACATATCTGGTAAGTTAAATAGTAATATAAGAAATAAATAATAACAGGCCGGTTGCTATGGCTCATGCCTGTAACCCCAGCACTTTGGGAGGCCAAGGTGGGTGGATTGCTTGAGCCCAGGAGTTCAAGACCCCATCTTGAACATGGGTAATATGATGAAACCCCATCTGTAAAAAAAATACAAAAATTAGCTGGGTGTGGTGGCACATGCCTGTAGTCCCAGGTATTCGAGAGGCTGAGGTAGGAGGATCACTTGAGCCTGGGAGTTTGAGGCTGCAGTGAGCGGTAATCATGCCACACTAAATTCCAGCCTGGGTGACAGAGCAAGACCCTGTCTCAAAAAGAAAGAAAGAAAAAGGAAATAAACAGTAACAAACTGTTATGATGAAAATTTTGCCACATAGTAATGTAGTTTTTTTGTGGGTATTTATATACCCACATATATATGTGGATATTTGTATACCCACATATATATGTGGATATTTTAACTGCGGATCTCTCTGGTTCCCAGTTATTTAGAAGGTCTTGTTGTATGGTAGATTTAAGGCCTTTTACCCTAATCATTCTTATGTCTTTCTATTTATTGTAAGCAGTATATCACATCGATAGTAAGTTCATTATGCTGATAGTGATTATGACTTCTGTGTATTAAAAGAGCTAGAAAGTTTAAGGATAAAATTCCTTTATTCACTGAGTGTAAATTTAATCTTTGGTTATTGCCTCTGTATCTCAAGTCTTGTAAAGTTTAAATTTGCCTCTTAAAAATTGAGGATTGCCTTGAAGCCTTAACAAAATCATTCAGAAAACCTAACTAATGCTAACAAGAGAAACTGAGGTTGTCTGCTGCTTGGAGTTTTTCAATCTTTTGTCTTTAGTTGACCAATTAATCTTTAACTAGTTAATTCTTAGACTGCAGTCAGTCTTTAGACTGGTTTTTGTTTTGTTTTTGTTTTTTTAACCATCTTGACTTGATTTCCAAATCAATTTACTGACTTGTGGTTGCTTTTAGGTATCCTGCTAGCATGTGGTCATGCCAGAAAATCAGTTTATTGGTGAATATGATGTCAATTCTGAATGCTTATACTCTAGAACATCATTATTATCTTGATATTTTGTAATATTCAGAAAAGTGGGATGTGAGCACTGATTATTTTGTTCAAGAAACTAGGGGTGAGATACTTCAGTTTATGCCTTGCAGACCTGAGGTAGCTAGCAAATGCCATTGCCTTATAGCTTTTTAATATGATTTATATAGAACTTGATTTTAAGTTGTCATTATATTGTCTGGTGACCTCCCAAAGAGTAGGTTAGCTTTCCAGATTTGGTTTTCATCTTTTTGTTAGTTTCAACAGCAGAATTCTGTGGTAACATCAGGTTCTGTTTTACTATTATACTTAGTGCTCCCTTCAGGCATTTCAACATCAGTTGCTGCTTTCAGAAGATTTTCTTTTCATAGAGGAAAATATGGTAGATTTCCTCTGGCATTCAAACTGTCACGTTTGACCCATTACTCAAATTCTTACCTCATTTCTGGAACTTCTCATTGTTTCTTCTTGACCATTTACATTCTTCTAGTTCTTTAGAAAATATCTTAATATTCACCTCCCCTCAAACCCCTCTGTAACCACCTTCATTAAGTAAAAAATAACCAGACACACTTATGTGCAAACTTACAAATAGGTATTCTTTTTATTCTGCATTTATGTATGTTGTTCTATTTATGAATTTCATATGTGTATTTATTAATTTCAGTCTGCTAGATTGAAAGCTACATAATGGCAAGGACACCATCTAACAAACAGCCTATAAACCTTAGAGGGGTGTCATATACTTTGTGGACCCTAACTACGGTATGCTAGATTTACTGACATCCACTTTGGTATCTTGGCAATATTCTCTACTAATAGTGGCTGAACTTACAAAGAAAGAGATGATGCGAGGTTTACATCTGCTATCCAAAACTACTTTTTGTGTATTTCCTATGCATCTCATCCACAACAAATGTGACAGAACTATATGGGCTGGAAATGAAAACTGCCACGAGGTCCTTATCAGCATTTGGAGATTCTTCCATTAAGACACCTTCAAAATCCAGAATCCAGCAGGGCTGTCATAGTGCTGGCCCAAATATATCTGGTAATGAGGAACTATCATTTTAGTTATAGACAGTTAGAATTTAAGACAAGGAGTCAGGATTACAAAGGGATGAAGATAGCACTGGACTAGTTCTGTACTTTCAACCAATCTGTAAGGCAAGGGAAAAATTATTTGGCATACATGGAACACATAGTTTAGGTTTAAGAAGGAAAGAAACAAATTCAGCTTAGTAATTAATTTCAAATATGGAGAGCTATGGAAACTATACTTTCTAGATAAGATATTTATGGTGCTAAAATTCTCCAAATATAAGATGACTTTAGTTTCAGACTTCGAAGGTTTTTCTTAATTAAGTAATTTGTATATCATTTTTAATAGGTGATCATATTAATTTGGTGAGCTCATCATTGTCATCATTTCCTATTCTTCAACGTTCTTCTGAAGAGAAAATTCTTTACTCAGACAGGTTGAGCCTAGAAAGGTGAGGACAATTTCTTTTCTTTTCTTTTTTTTGACTAGGTAATACATAGACGTGGTACAAGACTTGAAAGATGCAAGTCTCCCTCCTTCCTCCTGTTCCCCAGTTATTCAATTCTCCTATTTAGATATAATTTTTTTAACCAGTTTTTTGCTTCTCCTTCCTGAGGTATGGTGAGGAATTTTATATCTATATAACATAAAAGAGCTTGACTATACTTCACAAGAGTACTACAGCAATTCTAAAATATGACATTGATGAAAAATGGATTGTAGTATAGAAAAAAACCACAGTATAATCCTCACATGAGCTTCCCAGGCCCTATCCAGTCTAGTTTCCTGTTACTTCACTGGCTTCATCTCTTCCTACACTCTCCTTCACTCACTGCTCCAATCATACCTGCCACCTTGCTGTTCCTTGAATACACCAAGAGTGATTATACCTCAGGAATTTGGTGCTTACTATCCCCTCTGCCTGGAATGCTGTTCCTTCTCATATCTCTAGGCTTATTGCCTTCAGGTCTTTGCTCAAATGTCATCATTTCAGGGATGATTTTTCTCTGGCCATCCTCTCCAAAATTGCAACCCCTTCCACACTGAAGTCTCTAGCCCCCTTCTCTGCTTTCATTATTTTTCTTCTTAGCATTTATTACCCTATAACATAATAACTATTTACTTATTATGTTTAGTGTCTGTCTCCTACTAGAATATATGTTCCATAAGCACAGAAACTTTTGTCCAGTTCTGTATTATTGGTATTTAGAACAGAACCTGGTACAAAACACACTCTTGATAAAATTTTTTTTAATGGAAGAATATATTTAGAACTCGATCCCCATCTTTACATCTAGAAACTATCCACAGTAGCATGGTGGGTGAAGGATCCCAATCTCTATCTACCCCAGTGGTATAACCAGCAGAGACAACATCTCTGTTTTGCATACCTTTAGCTTAGCAGTGCACACCTGACAACAAATTATAATGAACTATCTGTGTTTATAGTTGGGAAAAACTGCTGGAGGTTCTAACATGTTCTTTTGTAGGAAAAGTAACACTGAAGGGCAGTATCTCTCATGACATCTTTGCGGTATAAGTGGTTTATGAGAATGCTGTCTAATATTTATAACTTTCATGGTATTATTTTAATGTTTTGAGGGATTTTTTTGGTAACTTTTCTCTTGATCTTTGAAAGACTGGCCAAGAATAGTACCTCAGCCCTTCAGTTTCATGTTACTTGACATTAACAGGAGCCAGTATTTGTAAGACTGTGACATAACAAGTTAGGCACTTCCTTTGTAGCTTGGGATGACTCAGGCAATTGTGAAGATGGGTCCTTAACAGCATGGGCCTCTGGGGTGGAGAAGCAAACTTTGATCAGGCAGAGACTTGCTTATCAAGAAAGTCAGGATTGAGAGAACTGACTCCGCTTCAAAAGTTGGTTGTAAAATGACAGAATCACAAAGATATCATAAAGTTAGGCATCATTTGACAAGAACCAGGATGTGCAGTCAAGAAAGGTTGGCTAGCAGCAAGGAACTAACTCAGGTATCATTTCTGAGAGCCAGTGGGTAGTGCCAGTGATTTCCAAAGGCAGATCTGCCATGCTGTGCAGCTTCTTAGCTAGGAGCCTGAGGGGTCAAGGGCAGAAGCCAACCCTGAGAAGTAGTACTTGGAAGAGCTAGGCTCTGGCTGTTTTGGGAGTTAGGTTAGGCCTGGAGTACCAGGAAGGCAGCCTATCAGCACCAAGAAGGAAACACAGAAGCAAAGGCATAGTCTGTTAGATGTATCAGTAATGGGGTAGGATGTAGCAACTCAGGAGTTTTGTAGGCCTAGAAACTCCCCTTGAGGGCAGTGGGTCTCTAGTTATTATGTATGTTTGCTTGCTTGTTTTGTTGGAGTGACAGGGGTTTGTGGGGTTAAGCAGTATACAAGTGAGCCTTGGCACTGGGACTTAACCACTGTGTTTAGAATCAGAGAAAGTGACTTTATTTCAATCTACGGTAGTTTAGGTAAGAGGGAGGATGGAGGTTATTTATTTTCCTGTCTTAGTGATGACCGATTCAAGAATTGGATGAAATAGAAGTTGGGGGGTATCAATAAGTTTAACTAAGAGAAAAAGAAAAAGACTGAAGCAGGAAAAGTGAGATGATTTAAATTTTTTGCAAAGCTGATGCACAAAGATACAAATTTTAAGGTAGAATACTTATAATTTATTAATTTATAATTTATATACTAAATTTATTGATTTATCACAGTTCTGATAAAATAGTTGGATAAAATATTGTGATAAAATAATTGAATATATGAAGTGAATTTTAAATATTCTGTGAAAAAATAATTGAATATATGAAATGAATTATAAAATTAACCACACATTAAAATAATTAAACTATTGCCCAAAATTTCCTTTTCTTTTCCTCTATCTTAAACAGGTTTCTTCAGAATCTATATTTTTAAACATCATAGATTTGTTAGCCATTAACATTCAGTTATTTTTTTTTCTGCGAATCATTCTTTTTTCTCTTTATCAGGAAGATTCTGATCACTGTCATAGTTTCACTTATGCTAGTAACACTCTGATATATTTTCTTTAAAGCTTTCATTAACTTGATTTCTACTGAAAGAGAATATTTCTAATAAACTTCCCTATTAGAGTTGTTCACACTCAGATAGAGCTGTATTTTCCTTGAGCTGTATTTTAACCTCTCAGAGTAGAATCACGCAGGACCTCATGTCTGCCCCTATTATTTTACTACTAGAATTCTTAAAGGGCCCTGAACTTATTTACTTCACGTGTAGTATGTTACAACATTTTGCATAATAGAGGCTTACTGTTTTAAATATAGCTCAAAGCATATATTTTTAAGGTTTCATCCTACCCTGTAGCACTCTAAATGTTCTGCAAAGTTCAAAGTGTTGAGCATGTAAACATATACTTAAAATCTTAGTTTCTAAGGAAATGTTAAGTAAGGACCACTTTGCCATTAATGGATCTCAGGTTGAATTTTTTTTTTTAATCAAAGTGAACTCTAGATGACTGAATTTCTTGCTCTTTTGAAGATGTCATCTGGCTCAAGAGTCTATGATTCTCTGAGATTTTTATATGTTTTTAACTCTGATGACTTAGTTGCCTGGGTAATCGTTACATCGGTGGATTGATGCCAAGGGCATTTGTCTGGTTATGTGACAAGATTCCTTCAGCCATTTAAACCTCTATCACAAAAGGAAATTATGTTGAATGTTTTCTCATGTTAAGTCAATTTCATGTGAAATAACTTATATTCGAGTTTTTTAAATACAATGAGACCTTAGACATAATTTTAATAATAAACCCTGTCAAAGTCTATTGGCTTTTTTTGTGTGAATGATTTACAATTAAATATAGGTCGCTTAGTTCATGGGGGTTGGAAGTGGTCCAACTTATTTTTTTCTCCTCACAGAATGGGAGCACAAAGATACTACTAATAATATTTGTAAGAAGAGGTAAGTGGCTGAATCATAACCTAATTAACTTTTTAACATTTTTTCTAGACAAAAGCTGACCGTATGTCCTATCATCAATGGGGAAGACCACCTTCGTTTGTTGAACTTTCAACACAATTTTATAACTCGGATACAAAATATTTCTAATCTACAGAAGTTAATATCGTTGGATTTATATGATAACCAGATTGAAGAAATTAGTGGGCTTTCGACTCTGAGATGTCTTCGTGTCCTTCTGTTGGGGAAAAACAGGTATTCTTTGTAGAGCAGTTTTTGTAGCCTAATGTTATGTGTAGGATTAATGTGGAGATGACAACTTAGAATTGAATAATACTTAAGAAATGAATAGGCTAAAATTTTTTAAAAATTATTTGAATTAGTTGAATGGATTAAGATCCAGTCATAATTTGTTTCATGAGATTCAGTATGACAATTTGTCACACCAGATAACGTTTATTATGTATTTTACTTCCATTGCTTTCCAGTGTTGTATCTTATAGGGAAGTAAATAGCAGACTTTGGCCTTGATTTTGTTTTCTTAGAACTTACTTTAGACATGTGTATTCACTTTAGGCTTATGTGTTTCACTTGTGACTCTTCCCAGTGTTTGACTGAGGGTAGACACTCGATACTTTGTGATTATCTCACAAATTGATTCTTTTTCAGACAGTAGTTTCAGTTTGTATCTAACATTACATCCTATATGAACTTTCCCAGTTCCTTTTATACAACTCTATTCCGTAGTGCAACTATACAGTTCTTGACTCATTTCTTTGAGATTCATTCACTACTTTTCATTCTATTTTACTGAATAGCTTTTGCAATGCCTACAAAGAAGGGCTTTATAGTAAAATCCAAAAATGATTTTTATATTATCAAATGAAGACTTTAGATATATATTATAACCAGGCTAGGTTCTCCTCCTCCATCTTTCCCTGCCTCCCACCCTGGCATGGGTCTTGGATTACTCGTTGCAGGAAAAAAAAGTATTATCTCTTCCTTACCCATCTCAAGGTTCATGGCCGACACTCTATAACGAAGACAGATTAACAAGAGAAAAGCATTAACAATTTATTTAATACAACTTTTACATGACACAAGAGCCCTTATAAATGAATATCCTCCAAAACAGGGAAAACTGTGTATTTTTAGGCTGAGGCTTGATAACAAGTGGACAGTATGATTGGACAAAAGGAGGTATGATCTAATGGTAATAAACTGGGGGAACTTAGCAAGGCCTATTTGTTCAGATTCTTCTTGGTGTCTCTGTGTCTTCATTCCCTTTTTTGGGGTATATTATGTATTTTACTTCCATTGCTTCCTTCCATGAGCGTCATAAGACCCTCATTCCAGAGGAATCCTGCCCTATATCCAAAAAGGGAAGGGATAGATCAGATACTTCTATCTATCTGGAAAATAGATCAGAGAATTCTTTTTATGGCCTCGGGGAGAAAGGTGAGAGAAGCTCAGACAGTGAGCTTAGGAAAAGTATCTTAAATTTAAGGTAGGGTAGGTAGATCAGAGAATTCTTTTTATGGCCTTAGGGGAGAAAGGTGGGAGAAGGTCAGAGAGTGAGCTCCCTCCATTTTTTTTTCTTTTTTTTTTTTTTTTTGAGATGGAGTCTCGCACTGTCACCAGGCTGGAGTGCAGTGGCGCCATCTCAGCTCACTGCAACCTCTGCCTCCCGGGTTCAAGTGATTGTCCTGCCTCAGCCTCCCGAGTAGCTGGGACTATAGGCACGTGCCACCATGCCCAGCTAATTTTTGTATATTTAGTAGAGATGGGGTTTCACCATGTTGGCCAGGATGGTCTCGATTTCTTGACCTTGTGATCCGCCTGCCTTGGCCTCCCAAAGTGCTGGGATTACAGGCGTGAGCCACCGCGCCCAGCCACCCAGAGATTTCTTTACTAGTTTCTGATCCTCAGAGTTACTGATTTATTTGCCTTGCTTGCAGTTATTCTTTAATATCATTATCATTATTCCCTGCTTTTAGTCCTGAGTTAATATTTTTAGTGATATTTAAAATCACTTTCTCTCGTATTTAAGCACTGCTCCTGGTTCCTACCATTTTAAGTCATCTTTCCATCTATTCTATTTTCCTATTTGTACTTTTCAGCTTCTCTGGCTTCTTAGAATTTACTCATTAAGTTGTTGTTTTTGTTTTTGTTAACTTGTGCCTTGAAGGTACCAGTCTATCTGAGCTTCTGACTTTATTTAAGGTCTTTTTGTTCTTTCAACTCTAAGAGACTTAATGCCTTTCTACTATGTCATTATTTAGTGAAGTAAAAGCAATCTAATGCTGTGTCTTTTTCCTCTTTCTACTCCTCCATCTTTTTTATTTGTTATTTGTTTGGTTTTAATCTTATTTTATTTTTCACATAAAGGAATAGCTGTGGAACAGTTCTAGAACTATTAGTGTTCTTGAATCAAAAAGAAAATGAGTCAGAAGAAAACTTTCCATATTCTCCCCTATTGCATGTTTTTCAAGTGTCAGTGAAATGCAAGTCTGAGCCCTAAAACAAATGCCAAGTGGCCTCCAGCCAGCTGACTTTGTCACAGCAAGGGGCCTGTGAGCTGTGAAGATGGAAATCTGTCCTGGGTTAGTACTTTGTGAACATTAAGCAAACCTGGCTGAGGATGCTGGTAAAGAGGGAAGTACATCTGCTACCCTGTCTCTTCATGCATTTGTGTTAAATGACTTGTTGCTTCCTGTTGGTCAAGTTCAGAAAGCTTTCTCCTTCCCACATTACAAAGCTCTGCATTGCCTTTTGGTCCAAGGCAGTGGAACCATATATGGAAATCCAGGGCAATCATGCCTCTGGGTTCAGGCAACTCCAACAAAGATTTCTACTCTAAAGCTAAGAAAGAACCTTGCTCAGGTTCTGTATGTGAGGTTTCCGTTGATACTAAAGAACTCCCGACCCCACATTGCTGTCAAAGTTCTTATTCTCTAATTGTTCTGCCTTCAGTATCTCCTGCTTATCCTCTCCAGGTCCTCTGCCACCCTCGTCATTACAGGCTAATGCATAGAACTTCTCTGCATTTTCTTCTGATCACCCAGGATTATAGATCAAAACTCTTAGAACCTGGGATTCTCTGTTTCCTTCCTTTTGACTCCTTGAAGTTTCCCACTTAAGGATTTGTTTCTGACACCTGAAAAGCTAAGCCTTCATATAGGTCCTGTAGTGAGGTCTTTATCCTGGCATCAGTAACATAATGTGGCCTGCGGAGACAGGCTGTGATATATCCCTAGAGGCCTCAGGTGATGGGTGAGCCTCATCTTTTTCTAGTTTCAGTTTCTATTCAATGGAAGAACTTCTTTTTTAAATAAATCTTTCAGGTCACATTGGTGTTAACGTAAAAATGGTCAAATTTGGGGGCACTGGCTAGGATTCTGCAAATTCCTCACATCAATACCTAATCTGACCAGTAGGGGCCTTCTAGGTCAACTGATGCCTTCATTTACCTCTGAATTCTTTAGAATTGGGTAAGTTTTTAGGTCATTTCAGGTGTTGGGGGGTGGAAAGAGAATTTATGCCAAAGGCAACTCATGAGAACAAGAGAGCAAGATGTTTGGTTGGTCTTGGGTTTAACTGATTGAACGACTTGGCTGTTTTTCTTCCTGTTCACCTGGGCGATCCGAATCTGATGTGAGAGTCATAAAGCAGCTATGTGTCAAAGCTAACGAATACCAGAAGTCATGTTATAGCCCAATGGGTTCTTCTTGCCTGCTGCACAGAAAAGCCAATACACTGAGACAGCAGGTGTTGCAACTGAGTAAGAGTTTAATAATCACAAGGCAGTCAAGTGAGGAGGATGGAGGAGGAGATATTTCTCAAATCTGCCTCCCTAAGAAGTTGGAGACTAGGATTGTCAAGGGTTGTTTGGCAGGCAGGAGGCTAGGGAATATGGGTTCTGCTTATTGGTTGGATTGGGGATGGAATCACAGGGAGGTTGAAACTGTCTTCTTGCACTGAGTCAGTGCCTGAGTAGAAATCACCAGTCTGGGTGGTGTCAGTTGGTCTACCAGAATGTGAAAATATATCTGAAAAATATCTCAAACACTAGTCTTAGGTTTCACTAACAATGTTATTTATAGGGGAAATTGGAGAAGTCACAAACCTTATTACCATTGGCTCTGTGATTCCTGAGCAGTAAGCAATTACAAAAAGGTAGGTTAGAAAACAATGACTGATTATCATTTAATTATGCCTCCGTATTAGCAGAATTCAGGCCCCTAACATAATTCTAACCTTATCATCTTTCATTAGTTTTATGAAGATGTTTTTGGTTCCTGAACAAAGATGAGGTTAGTTTCAGGAAGGGACTGTTATCATCCTTGGTTTAAAGTTAAACTGTAAACTAAATTTTTCTCATAGTTAGCTTGGCCTATGTGCAGGAATGAGCAAAGACAGTTAGCTTGTATGATTAGAAGCAAGATGGAGTCAGTTATGTTAGATTTCTCAATTTTGCAAAGGTGGTTGCAGTCACAACAGATAGGGAGTGAATATGTGAGGCCCTGGTGGAATTCTGAGGGAATACATACTGCACATGATGGTTTCTCTGATTGAAGGGCCTTAAAGGTGCTCAGGATTTCTCATAAAGACAGAAACAGACTACATTGATTCTTCAAATCGGAGAACTTTGGGGTGATACAATCTCCATTATCCCTGATGTATAATTTTCAAGGTGTTAAAAATATGATTCTCAGACAAATAGTAATCACAGGCCAGCATTTTAATTAATTCAATAATATAGGAACCAGCAGGATGACAAAGCTGGTTCAAAGGAGAGTAAGAGGAACTCATAAATAGTCAGTGTTTTTACAAGCACTCTGGGTGATTCTGATAAATCCAGAAATTTGAGAACCACTGTTTTAGGGAATGTGAACTTGGAAGTATAAAATAATGGAATAAAAGGCTTCTCTAATAGCTATTAGAAAGCATGGCTCTGTCCTAAGCTGTATGATTACAGTACTATAATTTTCTGCAACTGTTGTAGGTATCTCAGGAGCAAAGCAGGCAAAGGAAAAATTGTGTTGAAAGTTGTACCTGGGCTGGGCGCGGTGGCTCATGCCTGGAATCCCAGCACTTTGGGAGGGTGAGGCAGGCGGATCACCACGTCAAGAGATCAAGACCATCCTGCCCAACATGGTGAAACCCCGTCTCTACCAAAACTACAACAATTAGCAGGGTGTAGTGGCTCGCACCTGTGGTCCCAGCTACTCGAGAGGCTGAGGCAGGAGAATCACTTGAACCTGAGAGGCGGAGGTTGCAGTGAGCTGAGATTGCGCCACTGCACTCCAGCCTGGTGACAGGGCGAGACTCCATCTCAAACACACACACACACACACACACACACACACACACACACAAAACAAACAAAAAAAGAAAGTTGTAGCTGTTTTCCCATCTGGTTGGGCTATTAATTTAGCTATTTGAGAGATTTAAATTCTAGATAGGATAGTATTAAATGCCTGGCACTAGGTGAAGGCTAGTGAAAGAGTCCAGTGAGTCCGGAAGAATGCTGATGATTTGGATGAAGTGAGGTAGGAATAGGGTACAGATTCTGTCAGGGTGATGATGTGAGAGGAGACTGATGAGGAGGTGGTGGTCATAAGGCAGTGTGGTATGTGCGTGTGTGTGATAAGGGAGTGAAGAAGATCTACAGCTACATAGCGATGATACATGGTGGGCATATGAGAAATATTTTTATAAATTAAATTGGATTGAATTGGCTTGTGGTAGTAAAATTCTTGATTTGGCAATGATATAACTGAGATAAAGTGGAGACAGAAATTAATGAAGTTTAAGTCTGCATTATGTTTACATGGTAATGATCAGTATGTATGTATATACATACACACTACATATATATATCACATATATACACACTATATATAGATAACATGTATATTATTCAATGGATGATCCAAGTTCTGAAAACAGAGAGGTGGAAGTGGTTCTTTGAGGCAGTAAACAAGGACAACGAAAATAGATGGTGATAAATATATGGTGATAAAGATGGGTTGTATGAACTTAATTTGTTGTTCTTTTTTTGCCATTGCTCCCATCTGGCATATCAAAAATTTCAAATAAATATAAGCATTTTACAAACTGAGCAGGTCCCAGTAGAAAGCATTTAGGTGGTATGCAGTTTGTCTCTGTCATAAAGGATCCTATTATGAATACCCTTGTGCGTACAACTTATTCATTTAGTTAGTATGTTCGTTCATTCATTAAACTAATATTTATTGGGTACCTACTTGGCACCAGGCACTGTTATGAGTGCTGGGGATAGAGTAGAGAACATGTCAGAATGTCCTTTTAAAGCTCACATTTTGATTTGGCAAGAGAGATTTTTTAAAAATATAAACACAAAATAATACAATTTTAGGCTACGATCAATTCTGTGAAGTCAAAGCAGAAAAAGGAAAGAGTAATGGGGACAGGAAGGGAAAGGTATTTTAAATATGGTCATCTGGAAGCAACTTTGAAGAGTTGTTTGATCTGAGACCTGAATAATGTGAAGTTTTGAGGGAAGAACATTAGGGGAGTAGGAACAGCAAGAATAAATACCCTAAGGTGGAAATGTACTTGCCAGGTTAGAGACACAGCAAGAATGCCTCTGTGGCTGGAGCAGAGTGAGTGAGCGAGCCTGTGGTAGGAGATAAGGCTGGCTGAAAGGTCAGCAGCCAGGTTAGTGCCTTGTAGGCAGAAGTAAGGAGTTTAGATTATATTCTAATGTGAAGAACTGCCTTGAATAAGTGCCTTGACTTAAGGTTCTTAGACATAGGATTGCTCTTTTCTAATGATGTGACATTTAAACTCTCTTTCTCTTGAGTGGTATTGCATTTTTTTTAAATTATAATAAATCAGAGGGAAATATATTATTGTTGAATATATATATAACTATATATGTAGATAGAGTAAATTAAAATGAGTTACACCTTTATGCCTTAGCATACTTTGATTTACAGATAGATGTGATACATCCGTATTTCTATTCTACTTATTCTGGTTTTCAGAATCAAGAAAATCTCAAATCTGGAGAATCTAAAAAGCTTAGATGTCTTGGATCTTCATGGAAATCAGGTATTGTAAAGCCCTTTCATTTCTTTCTTTTTTGAAAAAAAGTCCAGGAAAATGGTATAAAAGTTTTAAGAATCATACTCGCATTGAATTTTTCAAGAGTTTCTTTATTGATTCACTGAAATTTCTAAGGTATCAAGCTTATTTATAGAAGATTTGGTAACTCCTCAGCAGTACATGACAGATACAGCTTATAAAACATTTCAAATTCTTATAGTTATGACAATTTTGTTTTTTATTAACTTATTTTTAAAGTACACATTTTGCAACCCCAATCCAAGACCTAGAATATTACTGACTTTCTTCTACTTAGGTATTTGTTTTTTTATTCCATCTCCTTATTTCTGCATCACAGGTAACCACTATTTTAGGTTTCATGCTTTTCATTCCTTTTTGGGTTTTTCAGTTGGTTTTATCACATATAGGTGTGTCTTAATAATATATCCTTTAGTAGTATTGTCTCTTAATTTAAAAAAGGTATACTATATGTTGTCATCTAGTGTTTACTTTTTGAATACAGCATTATATTACTGAGATTTAACTATTTCAAGTAGCTATAGTTTTATTTATAGTTGTATGTTCCATGGTAAGACTATACAAAAACTTTTTGCTCCAGTTTCTTATTGATAGACATTTGGATTGTTTCCTGTTTTTATTGTTGTTGTTGTCTGTTTGTTTTATCTTGTTTTTTGCTATTATGAATAGTACTTCTAAGAACTTTCTTGTACAAGTCTCCTGTTCTTCATATTCCATATGTACTCTAGAGTATATAGGAGTGAAACTGATGAGTCATAGGCTATTTAAATGTTTAACTTTAAAAGATAATGCCAAATTGCTTTCCAGAGGGATTGTACCAGTTTGTACTCGTACCACTAATACATAATCATGTTGCTTCCTATTCTTTTCAACATTTTGATTTGTCAGACTTCTTAATTTTTTTCTGATTGAATTGGTATAAAGTGGTATCACTTTGTGGTTTTGATTTCTATTTTCCTGATTACTATATAATCTGGGCTCCCAATTATGTTCAATTTGTCTATTCCTGTATCTGTCTGAATTTCTATATTTATTTTATTTATTTATTTATTTATTTATTTTTGAGACGGAGTCTTGCTCTGTCGCCCAGGCTGGAGTGCAGTGGTGCAATCTTGGCTCACTGCAAGCTCCGCCTCCCGGGTTCACGCCATTCTCCTGCCTCAGCCTCCTGAGTAGCTGGGACTACAGGTGCCCGCCACCATACCCGGCTAATTTTTTTGTATTTTTAGTAGAGACAGGGTTTCACCATGTTAGCCAGGATGGTCTCGATCTCCTGACCTCGTGATCCACCTGCCTCGGCCTCCCAAAGTGCTGGGATTACAGGCATGAGCCACCGTGCCCAGCTCTATATCTATTTTTTTATGTTCCCTCTCTTTATTCTTCTCTGTCAGATCATATTGGCTGTTTTTCAGTCCTTTGCTCATCCATTTAAATATTTGTCTTTGAAATGTAATATTTATAAATAGTTACATGAGCTACATACTTATGCAGAATGTAAAGTCTCTTCTGCAGTGATAAGCCTACATCCTGGGATGATCGGGGAATCCCTGCCTGTTGATGAACAAGATCTTTCACAGCTGCTTACAGTTGGTCAGGTGAAAACCTCAGTGTGGTCTCTCTAGGCTTTCTAACAGCTGTTAGTTCCAGTAGTTTTGGTGAAAAGCTAATGTAATTAATAAAAACCTTGATAGATTTAATAGGCCACATCTATTAGGTTCGAATCTAGTTCAGCCTGATGTGTTTGTCTGTGTGTGCATGTAGTAAGTGGGAGGAGTGTTGGTGGCCTGGGAATTGTCTGGCTCTGCAGGTTAGTTACTGTCTGTCCAACAGAGGGGAAGTTATCCAGTTAGATGGTGCTAGAAGGGGAAGAAGAATTAAAGAGTATTGACAGTAAAAGAATATCATATGCAAAGGCACTGAGATGGAAAACAACACAGTAAGTATTTACCACCAGAGAACAGAGCATGTGTGGAAGGATGCTGAGAGAAGAGACTAGAAAGGTAGGCAACGGCCAGATTGTGGAGGGCTTTGTATGCCAGGCAAATTAATTGGTGTTTTATCCTGTATTTTAAAAACTGTTTATAACTATAAATGAAACATTTTATGATAGCAGTATTTTTCTTGTTTATTTTAAAGTGTATACATGAGAAATAATAAACATATGATTTTCAAATTCTAATATATCTTTAAGAGTTTGTGAGTACTACCCAAGATCTTCAAGAGCACCTGATAAATGAATACCATATCATTTGATCTGTACCTTATGTATAGGCATTATTTACCAATCATTATGTTGATGAAAAATGTCTGTTCCTTGTTAGCTGACCTGTGTTATATATTTTATAATTTCAGCATATGTTTGTGATATTGTGTGTGTTAAAATTAAACATTTGTAGTGCACAAATTACTTCTCAAGGTTCTTCCAGTTATAGAACCTTGAGAAGTAATTTGTGCAGTACAAATGTTCTATAACTGGAAGAAGAAAGTTTTAAATGAAAATCTGAGTCTTGTTTCATAATATATGAATCCAAATAGCAAAAATTCACAGTATTTCAAAGCAAAGATACAGTCTTAGTTACCTTAGGTTTCTAAAAAGCCAGGAAGGAACTATTCTAGATGAAACAACTAATGTCCAATTCTAAAAATTTAGCATCTTATAGTAAAGAAGCTAAAAGACATTAAGTGAATGTTTTTTGTCTTTTGAATTTACTTCTATTGGTAATAAAAATATGCTTGGTGCACATTGTGAAATAAAACATAATTGGTTTATGGATGTGAAATCATTCTGAGTAATGATGATGGTGTTCAGGAAATGGATTGGGAAGTAGAGATGGAAGGAGGGGAAATGGAGACAAAACAGTTGGGAGAAACTAATTACAATAATCTTGGCGAGAAGTGATGGTGGCATGAACTAAAGTAGTAGCAATAAGGATATGATAAGGGGGCAGATTGGATAAATATTTAAAAAGTAGAAACATCAAGACTTAGCAATTAATTATATATGAGTAGTGAATACAGAGGAATCTAGGAGGTTGAGTAGGAATTTCTAACCTAGAGCTTGTGTTGGTTAACCATAATTTTTTCTCTCAGTGAATTTTTGCTTTAACATAGACACAGATGTGCTTCAAGAAGAATCTGTTCTTTCAGTGATCTCTTTTCCTCCAGGGAGAGCCTGCTATTTCTGTGGCTGCTTACCTGAAAGCAAACACTTGCCTTTTCTGTATTGGTAGGTAGGAAGGTTATCTTTATCCAGGCAGAGCAATCTAGGTTACTCTCATACACAAAGGTTAAGACTGGAGTATCCAGCTTTCCTAGATGTATTAAGAAGCCTTGCAGACTATATTGGGACACTCTCTGATCTGTATGACCCATAAATGGGCTTTCCAACATTCCCATCATCTTTTTTCTTGCTGTGAAGTATATCAATCAATCAAGACCTATGCTGTCACTTTATACAACCCTTTGCCTGAAGCTTCTATTATCTGCTTTATGCTTGTGACTTTGTCCATGGCTGTAACGAGTAATTGACTTTATTCCATAGCAGATGTTGTACATGATTCTGGCCTGTTGGGTTGCAAACCAAGAAGCCAGATAATATTCTTAGTGATTTTTAAAATATGGGTCTATATACAAGAATTAACCATGTTTCTTTTCAGACTTTTCTAACTAGAAGGTAACTAAATGCAGGCATTCTAATTGTAAGCCCCACCAGGACCATGTGGAAGGGTAGTTTTCTAAAAGAAATGTCCAGAACTATTAGCAGAAGGGAGAAAACACACCGTGCAGATCATACAATTGTCCCCCATAACTCTATATATTTATATATTTCTTGAGCTCAGGAAAGTTTTCTATATTTAAACACTGCTTCTTTTCCATTTATGTTTGTTATATCTGTATTGTTTGTCTTCCATCTCTCCATCTTATCTTTTATTCTTCCTCTCTGTTTTTCCTTAGCATTTTGGGAGGATTTCTAAGCTTGCGCTGACATTACTGATTACTTTTTCTACAGTATCTATTTTCCTTTTTACTGGCTTCTTGCATTTTAAATTCTATCACCTGTTTAGTTTTAAAATATTTTACTCCATGTCTTATTACACAGTTTTATCATCTGTTAATACTCATAATCTTGTTTCTTTTTCAACTTTTATATAATTTTATCTTTACATTAGTTAAATCAAAAATCTTAAAACACATTTTAAACGTGGTCATAGGTTACTTTTATATATTATTGAATTTATAATAAACATGTTTCTTTTCTGGAAACTGGATGGAACCTAGATGGTGTTTCTTGAATATAAGAGTGTCCAAATAACAATGTGAAATATAGATTAGACATCTGAGAAAAGTTCTTTTAGCTAACATCTGCTTTGAAGTGTTAGTAAGAAATTTCAAATATACTGTGATGGCAATACAAATGAGCAAATTAATCTCTAGTGATTGTGAAATTCATTTTAATGTTCATCAGGTTTATGAAGTCCTCCATGAGGACTTCTATTTTGTGTCATGCAGAAACTCATCCCATTGTGCTACACTTGCTCTATTATAATAGTGGGGCTTAACATCACTTTGAGCTCTCATCACTTCACAGTGTTAGTTTTTACTTACCCTCTCCTTAGTGTGCAGCTCAAACTTCTCTGCTGCAGTTCAGTGCTGATTATTTATTATTATTATTATTATTTTTGAGGTGGAGTTTCGCTCTGTCGCCCAGGCTGGAGTGCAGTGGCGTGATCTTGGCTCACTGCAACCTCTGCCTCCTGGGTTCAAGTGATTCTCTTGCCTTAGCCTCCTGAATAGCTGGGATTACAGGCCCATGCCACCACACCTGGCTAGTTTTTGTATTTTTAGTAGAGACAGGGTTTCACCATGTTGGTCAGGCTGGTCTCAAACTCCTGACCTCAAGTGATCCACCTACCTCAGCCTCCCAAAGTACTGGGATTACAGGTGTGAGCTACCGCGCCTGGCCTCAGTGCTGATTATTAACGGCAGCAGCAGGCCATCTGGAGTGGCTGCTGCCATCAGGCCAGCTGCAGCAGGGAGGCGTGGCTGGGGCTGTGGGCTCCATGGAGCCAGGTGGACCTGGGGACAAGTGGGAGCCCTGCCCCTTCCGAGTTGGGGCGGGAGCTCCCCGGGTGCTGCTGCAGCCACTCAAGTCACGGCTGCAGACCTGGGCATCCCTGTGCTGTTGGGGCCAGGAAGCAGGCAGGAGCCCCGCCCTCCTGGGTACAGCTGCAGCCTCCCAAACTGCAGCTGTGGACCCAGGCATCTCTGCACTCTTGGGGACGCAGAAAGTACCCCCCAACCCTCACTCTCCCGACAGGTTCTGAAGTGTTTGTTTCTGCTGTCTGGCTTCTCCCTGCTGTTGGTGCCTGCTCCAATCTCAGAGCAAAGTTGTGGTTGAGCCTGGGTGCTGTGGCAGCCTGGCCAAGTGTGCACATGCTTGGGGCAGTGCTTACACACCAGTCCCTTGCCACCTCAGCTCCCTCTGAACTTTTGGTGCCAACAAGCATAGAAGGGAATCTGAGGGGGGCTGAGGGCAGCTAGGTGCTGGCCTGCAGGTGCCCCTTCATACTTATAGCCTGGGCACCATGAACAGCAGCAGGAAGCAGACAGTTGCCTGAGCAGAAGGGGGCAGGTCCCTGGTGACTCCCTACCTTCAGGCCAGACTGCCACTCCCACCGACTGGAGTGGGAACTTGTGGTACCTTTTCTGGGCCTGCCTGTGGCCGCCCATGGGCCAATCAGCACTCACTTCCTCTACCCTGAAGCCCATAAAAGCCCTGGACTCAGCCAGTGCTGAGCAGACATTGGGATAACCAGCTGTAGAGAGGACCAAAGTACTCTAGGGCCCTCTCTCTGTTGACAGCTGTAGAGACATTGGGATGACCATCTGCAGAGAGGAGCAACTCACTCTAGGGCTTCCTCTCTGCTGAGAGCTGCAGAGTTGATGGGATGACCAGTTGCAAAGAGGGGCTGCCCTTTCTGCTGATAGCTGAACACTTGTCAAGATGACTTTCCTAGTACAGAGGAGCTACCCTCTCTGCTAGGAGCTGAACACTCATCAGAACACCCTGGCTGTGGAAAGGAGCTGCTCCCTGTGGGTTTCCTCTGAGCTGTTCTATCACTTAAGAAGCTCCTCTTTGTCTTGCTCACCCTCCACTTGTCTGCATACCTCATTCTTCCTGGTCGCAGGACAAGAACCTGGGACCCACAGAATTTGGGACCCCAGAATGGCAAGGCTAAAAGAGCTATAACACAAACAGGGCTGAGACATGCCCCTTGCTCGCCATGTTGCAGGCAAAGAGAAGGAAACTGTGGCCCTTCAGGTCACCTAGACTTGAGAGCTCCCCAAGCCAGGGCTGTGACTCCCTCTTTGGGACCCTGCGGTTCCTCGCATATCCAAGCTTCCGAGTGCCACTGTGTTCTCAGTGCCAGCTGTGGAAGCTGCTTGCAGTGTTCCTGGTCCAGCCATAGCCTCGCAGAGAGCTGGTGCCTGTGCCAGCACCTGGAGCTGCCTGCCCTGCTGTAGCAGCCAGCATGTCTGACTGTGCACAGTGGCCAGACCCCATGCTCACTCACACTCCCTTCTCAGTTCCACACCTGACTTGCCCTTAGCAGGCGTGGGACCCAGGCCAGTAGCATGAGCTGAGTGCAGCCTGCCAGGGTGGGTAGGCAAAATGAGCCCAGCGGGCCAGAGCAAAACTTGGGCAAAGGTACCACTGGCCACAGAGGTTTCTGGTCAGAAAAATGACACCCCAAAGATCCTGTAACATTATATGTACATGCATATTCCATGATTCAAGTCCTCTTGTTTTAAACAATGTTCACCATTTTGTACCCTCACTAAACATCTTCCATCCTTATTAATGGAACAGCTTTCCATTAATTAAAAAAAAATTAACCTCATCTTCTACTGGGAATCCTAGTTCCTTGACTCTTTCCATTCAGACTCGACTGCTCTCAAGATCTTGCAGTTTAAATAGAATTAATAAGGGTAACTTGATGTCATTCCTTTCCCTTGCCTTTTCTGTCAGAGGGCAGACTTGCTTTGTTAAAACATGATGAGCTTATGCCTTGGGATCACAGTATGTTTCTATTTGGCAGGTAGTATGTAGCCTTCACAGAACCTGGGACAGACTGGGCACGTAAAGTTGCCCAATGGACTCATTGACTATTTGATGACGTTTACGTCAAGTGTTTACTATGGTCAAATTGTAAAATATGATCTTTTAGCTAATGTTCACAAGTTACGTGACTTCATGTTATCTACAGCATAGGAAATTGAAAATAGATTTTTAAATGTCTACATATAAACTTGCCACTAAATCTAGTGACTTCGAATATTTTATTTTTAGGGTTTTTAGAACATGTATATTTCAGGTTTTTGCCTGCTAATCACCCTTCTCCTATTTTCTTTAACAGATTACCAAAATTGAAAATATTAATCATTTGTGTGAGTTGAGAGTTTTAAATCTTGCCAGGAACTTTTTAAGTCATGTTGATAATCTTAATGGGCTGGATTCACTAACTGAACTTAACTTGCGACACAATCAAATCACTTTCGTGGTGAGTATTAAAATGGAGTTGATATGTACTTTGTGGCTTTCTTTCAAGGAATTGAAACAAATGTTGTAATATGGCTTTCTGCAAAGTAAGAATCTACGGTTATTTAGGTTTTTTCTGAATTTAAATTGTGGATGTAATTATTAAGCTCTGTAATATGTTGGTTTGGGAGGTATTGAGGTATTTTCCATTTTAAAGAATAAATATAATGTTAGAAACACAACAGAAGTGTTATCACTAAATGAATCATTTGGTGTAAATGAGTAGTAAACCCTCTTCTGTTTTGTCATGGGTATAGAATTAATAAGAAAGAGGGTTATTTGTGACTGAAAGTTGAGAAATTATTGTACCAAGAGGGAAAAGGCACAGAGAGGAGAGATTGAGAGTTGTGAAGATACACATACTGTATGCTTTGCAGTTTTTAAAGAGGAGCTTGGTATGGTGGGAAAAGCATTGCACAGGGCATCAGAGGCCTAGTTATGGTCTTAGCTTCATCTCTCATTAGCTGTGTGACCTTGGGTAAATCACAACTCTCTTGGCCTCAGTTTAGCTTTTTCTAAAATGAGGACATTGGACCAGTTTGACTCTAGGGTGTTTTTTGGTTTATTGACTCTGAAAAAAGACATGAAGATGGTAGAGAACTGGCATGTGAGCAGGAGGAAAAAGAGTTCGATTGTGGGGGCAAAACTACACAAAAGGGGATTCTGGAACTCTGAGATGAACTTTGTCAAATTTATGATTTTGCTGAAGGTCAGCAACTAAATAGAAGCTTGATGCTGAGATATTTTGTATTCGTACATATGTGAAGAGCATTAGAAATATAACTGTTCTGCTTTGTGATATGATACAGCTAATGAGGAACATTATTTGCTCTTTTAAGAAGTTTCCTTTGTTTAAATGCTATAGAAAAACTGCTTTAAGTTCTCTCTGGTATCATTTATGCACTTTGAAAGACACAATATAACTCTTAGCTGTTTCAATACCTTGAGTTCCCTTGTAAAGAACTAAGTGTACTATAAATGGTACACTTGAAAAGGCTGGGGGACAGAGGATACCTTATTTATAGGTCTCATCGTACAGATTGGTTTTATTTTGAAGGTTTCCCAGAAAATATGAGTCAGGTAATACTCATCTCTTCTAGAAGGTTAGAATAATTTTAGCATGCTATCCAAGACACAGATTTATTCCAGAACTTCTAAATTCTGTCAAGCCCTTCCCAGATTAGATACAATACTGGAACTGGACTGTTTATTTAGAAGACATTCAGATTGGGTTAACCTGTTATGTTGCTAAATCTCCAAGAACTGCTCAGTCAGGACTTAGTTTGTCCTTAGGACCTTGGGTCTGGTAAGATTCCAAAAAGCTTTGTTAGAGTAGGGAACAGGAATCTATTGGCCCTAGCATATTCCTGCCTATATTTTGGCTTTCATTTGGAAAGTGCATAATGCATATTTAGGAAATTGCTTACTGAATTTCCCGTTGAGTATTATGTTTAATCATTACTGTTATAGTTTAGGCAGCAGTAAACAACTTATGGAAGAGGAAATTGTATTAATTTCTAAAAGTTAAGAAGACAGTAGTAAGTATCATGCATATTAATTACAGTCAATTGTGAAATTTGCTATATATCAAATTTACTATATCCATATATTGTGAAATATATGGACAAATAAACTTCATCCAACTCATTTCTTTTTCAAAGCATCTCTTTTTTAAAAGATTCAAGGGACTTTAAAATCTGAGAATACTTCTCTTCCATCATTTTTTTCTCCAGTATCAGTTACCACACTTATTCTTCTTGCTTTTTTTTCTTTCATGGTTTTGATTTTCCTCAGTAGCTGGTAATCTTTAAATGAAGGACCATGTTAAGGAGTATCTGGGTATCCTGTGCAGTTGAATAGATCTTTTTAACCATAAGATCTCACTCTAGAATAATCACTAGATTTGTGTAAGTTCTTGAATCCCACACATTTGTGAACTTCCCTTTAGGGTAAGTGAAAGGGAAAGTCACTCAGTGACTGCCAAAATAAGACTTTACTTTCAGGGGTAGAAAGACTTTGTTTTCATTTGTGCCAGGTGAAACTGCCATTTCTTTTTTCCCTCTGATTCTTATGTAGAGGTGGTTAATAATCTCTATAGATAAAACACCCACACTTTCCACCCTTTTTTGACAAATACTCTATTTTGTTTGGAGAACAGTTCCTTAGGCTCTAGCTGAGGATTTCTTTAGCCAGATGCTCTGTACATGTTTATGTTCATGACAGAAGTGGGAGTGGGTGGGTTTGTTGGTATTCCAAAAATAGCTGTTGAGTAGACAGATCTTTGATTATACACTACTTGATTCAGCACAGTTCACCGTAGTCCATGCCTGCTCATTGTATGCACTGACCCAGCATGGAGTAAGATGGCATTCAGTCAGAAAGAATTGCTGGCTTTGAGTGCAGCATCTCTCTTGCAGTTCTGAGCTGCAGTTCTCTCTGCTCAGGGTTATCTCAGTAAGATCCCATCAGCTTTTCAGCTGCTTGAACTTCATCAGAAGTGTTGGTCAGATGATGATAACTCTTTTGTTAGGGTTTTCATGAATGTACTCATTTGTGTGTATTTTTATTGCTTCACCCATTGAATCTTGGAAAGAAGGTGAAACAAATGCAACCTACTTACCGTCTTGAACAGACACCTTCTCTGATGTTTTTGATGTAGAAAAGTTATTGCTTGTTTATTTACCAATCTTTGTTTTTGAAATTTTATAAATTTCAAACCAAGTATTTTTAGTTTGTATGGCATCTTTCTCTTTAAAAATTATGAAGTGTCTTATATCCAAAAGACAGGCAATAACAAATGCTGGCAGGAATGTGGAGAAAAGGGAACCCTTGTACATTGTTGGTGGGAATGTAAATTAGTACAACCACTGTGGAAAACAGTTTGGAGGTTCCTAAAAAAAACTAAAAATTGAGCTACCATATGATCCAGCAGTCCTACTGTTGGGTATATTTCCAAAAGAAAGGAAGTCAGGACATGGAAGAGATATCTGCATCCCTATGTTTGTTGCAGCACTGTTTACAATAGCTAAGATTTGGGAACAACCTAAGTGTCCATTAACAGATGAATGGATAAAGAAAATGTGGTACATATACACAGTGGAGTAGTATTCAGCCATAAAAAAGGATGAGATCCAGTCATTTGCAACAACATGAATGAACTGGAGATCACATTAACCGAAATAAGCCAGGAATGGAAAAACACATATCGCATGTTCTCACTTATTTGTGGGATCTAAAAATCAAATCAATTGAACTCATAGACATAGAGAGTAGGAGGATGGTTATCAGAGGCTGAGAAGGGTAGTGGGGGGTTGAGGGGAGGTGGAGATGGTTAATGGGTACAAAAAAATAGAAAGAATGAATGAAACCTACCATTTGATAGCACAATAGGGTGACTATAGTCAATAATAAATTAATTGTGTATTTTAAAATAATGTAAGTGGATTGTTTGTAATTCAAAAGATAAATGCTTGAGGGGATGGATACGCCGTTGTCCATGATGTGCTTATTACACATTGCATGCCTGTATCAAAACAGCTCATGTACCCCATAAATACCTATACCTACTAGGTACCCACAAAAATTTAAAATTAATAAAAAATTTTAAAGCAAAAAATTAATAAAACTCAAAAAAACCTGAAACATTTCAGATATCCCCAAAATAATAGGAACTAATATTACCAACATTTGTATATATCTTTTATTTTATCTGTTGCTGTCTCAAGTTTTGTGTTGGATATTTCATATATTAGTTTTCAGTCTTTTAAATTTTCTCATAAAAGCATTTAAGCCTATAAATTTCCCTCTAAAAATCACTTCAGCTTCTTCCCATAAGTCTTGAAATTTAGTATTTTTCTTATTATTTAGTTCTAAACATTTTGTAAGTTCCATGTTTTACTGTGATTTCTTTTTTGATCCATGTGTTATTTAGAAGTACACCTTAACATTTTGAAATGTATGGATTTTTTATTCTATGGCCATTCTTTTCTAGTTTAATTGCATTGTGACCAGTAAATGTAGATTATGTGTAATTGGTACTTTAACGTTTGCTGAGGTTTTTATTTACTTATTTATTGCCTGGTATGTGGTCAGTATCTATAGTTGATGCTTACTATCAATGTATTTGTCTAGTATTTGTCAGTATTTTGAAGCTATGTTTCTAGAAGCATACAAGTTTAAAATTAATATATCTTCTTGGTAATTGTTCCTTTTATTGTTATGTATTAACTCTCTTTATTACTAACTCCTTCATTAAGCAAGTATTTTATGAGCATGGGCTATATGCCAGGCATTGTTCTAGGTAGTTGGGATATAACAGGACACTAATAATACTTATTACCTTAATGTTTATTTAATGTTAATACCAGGCTTTTCTGGTTATTTTTCTTTGGTATATCTTTTTTATTTCCTAACCTTTTTAGAAAAATTTTTAATTTGATATAATTTCAGAAAATGTTGTAATAATAGTATAAAGAATTCCCAGTACAAAATGCACCCGGATTCTCTAAATGATAACATTTTGCTACATCTGCTTTATCTTCTCTCTTGCTTACTTTCTCCCTTTTTCCTTCTCCATATATCAGTTAATATATACTTTTTTTCAACCATTTAAGAGTAAGTTGCTGGCATAATGCCTCTTTATTGCCACATACTTCGGTATGTATTTCCTAAAAACAAGGAATTGTCTTATAACAACAGTACCACTATCAAACTCAGGAAATTAACATTGATATGATGCCATTTATCTAATCTATAGATCTTATTTGGATTTTGCCATTTGTCCCAATAATGTTCTTTATAGCAAAAGAAAATACAAGATCATGCATTGCATTCAGTTGTTATATCTCCTTAGTCTTCTTTAATCTAGAAGAGTCTTTTTTTGTATTTCATGACATTGACATTTGTGAAGAGTATGGCAGGAATGTCAGAGAAAAGATGCTGAGTTTTTTTCAGTGTATATGAAGTATGTATTCTTTAACTTCCAACCTTTCTCTTAAAAAGAATGCATAGCCCCCCTTTTAAACATATAATCTGAGAATCTGTCTTATTACCAGAGACTTTAGTCTATTGTACTAATTGTAATTACTGATATGTTTAGATTTTTTACTTAGATGTTATTTCATGCTTCCTATTTGTTATATTTTCCCTATGTTTTTATTTTCTTCTGTCTTATTTTGGGTTGATAGTGTTTTCTCTGTTCTTTCTTATTCACTTTAATGCTTACTCTTAGCATTTTAAAATATACACTTGACTTAAATCACAGAGTTAATACACATCTCTACACTCTTATCAGATAAGGACCTTAGAATCATTTAATACAGTAACCTTTCCATTTTACATGTTTTTGTTGCCTAGTATTTTCTTTTTATTCTTTTACCCCCAAAATTAGACATTTTAATTGCTATTGTTTCCAGTCAGTGCTTATTTGGATTTGCCCACATGCTTGTTTGGGTTCACCACTCCTTCTGCATCTCTGTCTATCCTTCTTCCCAAAATATATCATTTAGAAAAAGTTTCCTTGAGATAACTCTGAAGTCTCTCAGTTTTTGTTTATCAAAAAATGAGTTTATTTTGCTTTTATTCATGATTGATGGTTTGACTTGACTGACAGTTATTTTTTTCCCAGACGTTTGAATATCATATTCCATTGCCTTTGAGCTTCTGTTATTGTCATTAAAATGTCTACTATCATTTGTGTGTGTCTAGGGTATCTTCTTTTCCTTCCTCTGGTTGCCTTTAAGATTGTAAGATTTCTTTTTGAAGTCCTTCAGATTTACTATGATATGTTTAGGTGTGGAACTATCTTATTTTATTAATTTGAAACAGACATTTTCCATATTCCAACTCTGAAATCTAGGTATGTCTTACAATCTATAGCATGCTTAAATCAATGTTATACAGGCTACAGCAATTTCATTGCCTAAATATATGTGGACTTGGTTATGCTGTTTGTACTATTGTCATTTCAGTTGTTGGTACTGTATGTTTTGAGTTTAATCACTGTTCAAAATGCATTTTAAAATATTACACCATGATTTGGCATTGAAATGAAACATTCTATTCAAAAAGTTATGGAAATAGGGCAGCAAAGACATTAAGTTTAATATTAGTGAGACAAATTATTTTTCATTGGAAGAATGGCCGCAATTCTACCTTCTCTTGCTAATTAACAATCAAATACTTTAAAAGGAAGATAGCCATGTATTACTGAAGCTGTATTACATTTGTTACTGAGATAGATTCAGAGAGATTTTGCCTATCATGTGTCAAGCAATGCAACTGAAGGCAGAAGAAATTGAGGAAACCCCTTGGAATAGATGAAAGAAATTTCAAAATAACAAGAAGCTGTGTGAACAATTCATATTGGTGCTTTCTTTGTCTTATAGTATCAAAACATACAGAATGGGTATCAGTATTTGGAAGAAAATCCCATATACAATAATGGAACACACTTTTAGGATATACTGCATCATCAATGTTCTTAATGGCATAGAAGACAATATTGTGTGAAAAGCATGGACATTATTAGTTGAAAAGTGATTGAGAAGTTTAAATCTAAATATGAAGACTTTTCCTTCATACTTTATTGAGGGATAATTTAGGTACAATAAAATACACAATCAACTGTACAGTTCAATAGCTTCTATTTAATCTGAGTAATTTCATGTGACTGATATTTCTATCACCTCAGAAAGTTTCCTTGTGCCTCTTTCTAGTTAGTACCCTCCCCTGCCCCACAGGTATTCTGACTTCTATCCCTGTGGATTAATTTTGCCTGTTTTTGAAAAGTACATATATAAAGATTATGTACTCTTTTGTATATTCAACATAATGTCTTGATATTCATCCATTTTGTTGTGCATATCAGTAGTTTAAAAAATTATTGAGCTGTATTCCATTGTTGAAATATCATACAATTTGCTTATTCATTTTTCTGTTCACAGGCACATTGGTTATTTCCAATTTTTGGCTCTTACAAATAAAGCTGCTGCGGATATTCTTGCAGTTTTTAAAAATTATTTATTTATTTAGAGATAGGGTCTCATTATGTTGCCCAGGCTCGTTTTGAACTCCTGGGCTCAACTGATCCTCCTGCCTCAGTCTCCCAAAGTTCTGGAATTACAGGCATGAGCCACCAAACATGGCCATAGTTTTAAGTTTACATATATATTTTGGTGGACAAATGCTCTCATTTCTCTTAGGTAAATATGTAGGAGTGTTATTACTGAGCCATAGGGTAGGTGGATGTCTAAATTTATTAGAAACTACCAGTTTTTTTGTTTTTTATTTTTTATTTTTATTATACTTTAAGTTTTAGGGTACATGTGCACAACGTGTAGGTTAGTTACATATGTATACATGTGCCATGTTGGTGTGCTGCACCCATTAACTTGTCATTTAATATTAGGTATATCTCCTAATGATATCCCTACCCCTTCCCCCCACCCCACAACAGGCCCCAGTGTGTGATGTTCCCCTTCCTGTGTCCATGTGTTCTCATTGCTCAATTCCCACCTATGAGTGAGAACATGCGGTGTTTGGTTTTTTGTCCTTGAGATAGTTTGCAGAGAATGATGGTTTAAATTTTTGCAATCTACTCATCTGACAAAGGGCTAATATCCAGAATCTACGAAGAACTCAAACAAATTTACAAGGAAAAAACAAACAACCCCACCAAAAATTGGGCAAAGGATATGAACAGACACTTCTCAAAAGAAGACATTTATGCAACCAACAGACACATGAAAAAATGCTTATCATCACTGGCCATCAGAGAAATGCAAATCAAAACCACAATGAGATACCATCTCACACCAGTTAGAATGGCGATCATTAAATAGTCAGGAAACAACAGGTGCTGGAGAGGATGTGGAGAAACTACCAGTTTTATGAAGTGATTATACCATTATACTCCCAGCAGCAATAGAGAGTTCTCATTGCTCAAAATCCTTGCCAAAGTTTGTCAGTCTTTATAATTTTAGCAATTCTATGATTCTCATTGTGCTTTTAATTTGCATTTTCTTTATTACTAATGATGCTGAACATCTTTTCAAGCATCTTTTCATCTTTTATGAAGTATCAGTTCAAATCTGTTACCTGTTTGAAAAAATTAGGTTATCTTTTTATCATTCTAGATGCAGGTCCTTTGTTTGATATATATATATTGAGTGTATTTTCTCCATGTAAAAAGGCTTGCCTTTTTACTCTCTTAACAGTGTTTTTGATATGTAGAAACTTCTAATTTTAGTGAAGCTCAGTTTAGCAATTTGTTTTTGTTAGTTGTTATTATCTTTTGTGTTCTGTCTGAGAAATCTTTTCCTGTCCCAATATCATGACTATGTTCACCTACATTTTCCTCCAGAAGGTTTATAGTTTTACCTTTCTATTTAGATATGTGATTCATTTTTATTTTCATTTATTTGTTTATTTATTTGAGACAGAGTTTCACTCTGTTGCCCAGGTTGGAGTGCAGTGGCTCGAACATAGCACACTGCAGCCTTGACCTCCTGGGCTGAAGCAATCCTCCCACCTCAGCCTTCCATGTAGCTGGGACTACAGGCACATGCCACCACACCTGGCTAATTTTTTTATTTTTTGTAGAGATGGGGTCTTGCCATGTTGCCTAGGCTGGTCTCAAACACCTGGGCTCAAGTGATCCTCCCATCTTGGCCTCCTACAGTGTCAGAGTTTACAGGCATGAGCCACCATGCCCAGCCAGTCATCCATTTTTAATTAAGTTTATGTATGCTGTGAGGTAGGGGATCATAGTTCATTTTTCCCACATAGGGATATCTATTTTCTTCATTATCTTTTATTTAAAAAACTTGCTTTCCCCACTGAATTAAACTGTTGTCTTTGTTGAAATCGAGTACTAATCAAATGGATCTTTTTTCTGGACCCTCTATTCTGTTCCATCTATTCGTCTACGTAATATATACCAGATCCAGTCACATCTTTAGGCTCCACTTTTAGTTCTAGCTCTTTTGCCCTTTCTACCGCATCTATATAGTAAGTAGAGATATTCTGGAAGTTCAACAAATTTATTTTGTGTAACTTACTTTTTATGTATGCATAAAAACGATATTCAGTAAAAAAATCTGGTTAAGTCTAAAAGAGCTCTTTCAGTAATAAACACAAATTTTAAGTGATATATTATTCTACTATAAGTTAATTTTAAGTTTATTTTCCCCAAGTGCTGAATAAAATAGTTGTAAGATAATGTTAGATTTAATAAAATGTGGTAATTTTATTAGCATACCTAATATTTGTGTTTCCTAAATCTGCAGATTCATAACTTTCATTTATTTATTTATTTATTTATTTAATTTTCTTTTATTTATTTATTTATTTTTGAAACAGAGTTTCACTCTTGTTGCCTATGCTGGAGTGCAATTGCAGTCTTGGCTCACTGCAAGCTCCACCTCCCGGGTTCAAGTAATTCTCCTGCCTCAGCCTCCCGAGTAGCTGGGATTACAGATGTGCACTACCATGCCTGGCTAATTTTGTATTTTTAGTAGAAATGGGGTTTCACCACATTGGTCAGGCTGGTCTCGAACTCCTGATCTCAAATGATCCACCCGCCTTGGCCTCCCAAAGTATTGGGATTACAGGCATGAGCCCCCGTGCCTGGCACATATCTTTCATTTATTATGGGAACATTCTGAGTCTTTATATTTTCAAATATTGCACTTCCATTTTATCTCTTTCTACTTCTTAAACACCTGCTAGATATAGTATGGACCTTTTCATTCTATTCTTTGTTTCTATAATTTTCATCATTCTTATTTCTCTCTGCTTCATTTCTTCATTCTTATCACTTATCTGGTTCTACCTTTGAATTCACTAACTTTATCCTCAATTTATCTAATTTGATTTTCAGTCCATCCATTGAGTTTTTAAAAATGACCGTAGTTTTTTCTTTGTAGAAGTTCTACATGAATTTTTTTCATAAATGCCCAGATGTCTTTATTTCTAATGCAGGTATACCTTAGAGATACTGTGGGTTCAGTTCCAGAGCACCACAATAAAGCAAATGTAGGAATAAATGTAGGAATGAGTTACATGAAGTTTTTAGTTTCCCAGTACATATAAAAGTTATGTTTACACTATACTGTAGTCTATTAAATGTGCTATAGCATTATGTCTAAAAAAACTATGTACATACCTTAATTCAAAAATACTTTAGTAATAAAAAATGCTAATGATCATCTGATCTTTCAGCAAGTTGTAATCTTTTTGCTGGTGGAGGGAGGGTCTTGCCGTGATGTTAATGGCTGCTGACAGATCAAGGTGATGGTTGCTGAAGGTTGGGATGGCTGTGGCGTAAAACTCAGACAAAAATGAAATTTGCCTCATTGACCCTTCTTTTCATGAAAGATTTCTCTGTAGCATGAGATACTGTTTGATAGCATTTTACTTACAGTAAGACTTCTTTCAGAATTGAAATCCGTCCTCTCAAACCCTGCTGGTGCTTTATCAACTAAGTTAATGTGATATTCTAAGTTGTTTGTTGTCATTTCAGCAATGTTCATAGCATCTTTTCACCAGGAGCAGTTTCCATCTTAAGAAACTATTTTCTTTCCTCATCCGTAAGAAGTGACTCCTCATCTATTCAAGTTTGGTCATGAGATTGCAGCCATTCAGTCACATCTTTAGGCTCCACTTTTAGTTCTAGTTCTTTTGCCCTTTCTACCACATCTGCAGTTCCTTCCTTCACTGAAGTCTTGAACCCCTCAAAGTCATCCATGAGGTTTGGGATCAACTTCCTCCAAACTCCTGTTAATGTTGATATTTTGACCTCCTCCCATGAATCATGAATGTTCTTAATAGCATCTAGGATGGTCAATTCTTTCTAGAAAGTTTTCAGTCTACTTTGCCCAGATCCAGTAGAGGAATCACTATTTAAGGCAGCTAAAGCCTTATGAAATGTATATCTTAAATAATAATCCTTGAAAGTTGATATTACTCCTTGCTCCATGGACTGCAGAATGGATGTTGTGTTAGCAGGCATGAAAACAACATTAATCTCCTTCTACATCTCCATCTGGGCTCTTGGGTGACCAAGTGCATTGTTAATAAGCAGTAATATTTTGAAAGGAAAATTTTTTCCTGAGCAGATCTCAATGGTGGGCTTAAAATATTCAGTAAACCATGCTGCAGACAGATATACTGTCATCAGCATACAACTTTGTTGTTCTGTTTATAGAGCACAGGCACAGTAGATTTAGCACAATTCTTAAGGGCCATAGGATTTTCACAATGGCAGAGGAGCATTGGCTTCATCTTAATGTCAACAACTTTGTTAGCTCCTAACGAGAGAGTCAGCATGTGTTTTGAAGCTTTGAAGTTAGTTATTGACTTCTCCTCTCCATCTATAAAAGTCCTAGATGGTATCTTCTTCCAATAGAAGGCTGTTTCTCTATATTGAAAATCTGTTGTTTAGGGTAGCTACCTTCATCAGTTATCTTAGCTGGATTATCTAGGTAACTTGCTGCAGCTTTGACATCAGCACTTGCTGCTACTTCACCTTGCACTTTTATGTTCTGGAGATGGCTTCTGTCCTTAAACCTCATGAACCAACCTCTGCTAGCTTCTAGCTTTTCTTCTGCAGCTTCCTTATCTCTCTCAGCCTTCATAGAATTGTTGAGAGTTAAGGCCTTGTTCTGGATTAGGCTTTGGCTTAAGAGAATACTGTGGCTGGTTTGATCTTTCCAGACCATTCAAACTTTCTTCCTATTGTTTTTATTTATTAATTGTGTGTTCCACTGGAGTAGCACTTTTGATTTTCTCCAAGAACTTTTCCTTTGCATTCATAACTTGGCTAGCTGGTGAAAGAGGCCTGGTTTTCAGCCTATCTCAGCTTTCAACATGACTTTCTCACTAAGCTTAACCATTTCTAGCTTTTGATTTTAAGTGAGAGACTTGTAACTCATTTTTTCACTTGAGCACTTAGAGACCATTGTAGGGGTTATTAATTGGCCTAGTTTTAATATTGTTGTGCCTCGAGGCAAAGGTAGGACCAAGAAGAGGGAGAGAGATGGGGGAAGTGCCAGTGAGTGGAGCAGTCAGAACACACATTTGTTGATTAAGTTTGCAACCTTCTATGGGCACAGTTTGTGATGCCCCAAAACAATTGCAATAGTAATATCACAGATCACTGATCACGGATAATCATAACAAATATAATAATAATAAAATTTGAAATATTGTGAGAACTACAAAAATGTGACCTAGAGACGAAGTGAGCACATGCTGTTGGAAAAATGGCACTGACTTGGTTGATACAGGATTGCCACAAACCTTCAATTTGTAAAATTTAAAAAAAAGCACAATATCTGCAAAGCATAATTAAACGAGGCATGCATGTACCTTATTTTTTCTTGTTTTTAATTTTTTTCATTGCTCTTATAAATTTAAAGATAAATATTCCATAGTCTTTATCAAGTTACTATATTTTCTTAATTTTTTGGCATTTCTTCATCTGTTGCCTGAAAGTTCTACTGACTGTTACTCATGGTAATTTTTTCTTTATAGTTTAATAGTTTGGAATAGTCAGGATGTTGCAAAGCCTGAGTTGAATTCGTGTCCTTCTAGACAGTTTTGCCAGGAGTGTTAGGGTCATGAATGCCAGGTACCATTTTTTATGAGGGGTCTTTTTAGATTATGTTTGTGATGTAAGTTTGAACTGTAAATTCCAGTGAGGGAAAGCCTATGGTTATGAAATTGAGGCTTTTTATTGATTTCCTCAAAGCTGTTAAATCTAGCTCTCCTAGATTATAAAGACTGGACATTTCCCTAATTAGTCAGCATATCAGTGCCTTCTTACTGGTCTGGTTTTAAGTTCCCTTTCAGTTTTTGCTCTGGGGTATTAAAACAGTGTGTAGAAGAAAATCAGACTGGTGAATTGACTGATATCTATTGCTGTGTAATGGGTAGTAAACAAGTACAAAAACCAGATAAACCCATTAATGCCTTTGGATAACTGCCAAATAATGGACTTTTTTCATTGGCATTTATATATATGATTAGAGTTTTAATATGATGGCTTGCAGCTATTAGTCCTCATATAATAAGTGTCTGTGTCACAAAGTGATAGGTGAAGCAAGTAGTTATTTTGGAATTAATTTAATAAGTCTTTTTTTTAAAAAGGAATACTTCATTGTTTTTTGTTTCCAAGCTTGTTTGATGCTTTGTGAATGAATCTGTTTACAGCTCTCAAAGTTAGAATAATTACCCCTATATATTTTTACTCTAACTTGTTTTGTATGAAAGCCTACATAGTAAAAATGAGAGTAGCTATGATTTTATTATAGACATCTTTGCCCTACTTGTTGCATGTCAGAATCCTTGGTGCATGTCAAAATCTGTTCACCTTTCTTCTTCCTTATTCCTCTAGAGGAAGCTGCTCTAAAAATAGCTCCAGTGATAGATATTCCCCACGTGATCAGATTGCTGAATCATTTAGTTCTTTTCTTTTCTTTTTTCTTTCTCTGTCTTTTTTTTTTTTTTTTTTTTTGAGATGGAGTCTTGCTCTGTTGTCCAGGCTAGAGTACAGAGGCGCAATCTCGGCTAACTGCAACCTCCGCCTCCCTCGTTCAAACAATTCTCCCGTCTCAGCCTCCCAAGTAGCTGGGACTATAGGCACACGCCTCCGTGCCTGGCTAATTTTTGTATTTTTAGTAGAGATGGGGTTTCACCACACTGGTCAGGCTGGTCTCGAACTCCTGATCTCAAATGATGCACCCACCTCACCTCCCAAATTGCTGGGATTACAGGCACAAGCCACCACACCTGGCCATTTAGTTCTTTTATGCAGTTTAGGGATATGGACAACAGTGCCTGAGCAGAGTAGGACAAGCATTTTTCTCAGAAAACAAATCAGTATTTTTTTGGAAAATAAAGAATTATAATCCTCTCAAATAATCTTGTGGTAAATAATTTTTTCTATTTTTTAAAAGATTATATTTTCCAAATACATAAAATAGTTTTGAATTTTACTTCAAAAAATGTTTTGAATATTATTTTCAGTATTATGTTTTATTAAAAATAATAAATTTAAGATAATGAGGAAATTAATAACGAGCTATAAATATTCCCCTACATGTAAACATTTTATTTCATTTTTTTCCCTCTCATCTTAGGTATGTTAACATTCTGGCTTCTTTGTTATAGTTTCTCTGATGCTGAAATAGTTACCTCCAGAAAGGATATGTTAGGGGTATTTAATGCTTGACAGTAAAATAAATACTTTTTCTTAAATAGATGAGAATTTACCTTTCTTACATTATCCCTAACCCCCATTTCCACTTTCCCTGTCATTCCGAAATAATTTTTAGGTAAGCAGATTGTTGAGTGCTGGCTCCTGCAGAGTACCGCCAGAATGACTAGTTGATAAAGCAAAGGAGAAATTACTACTGGCAAGTAAAAGCACACTGCCTTGACATAGCCTTGGCTGTATCTTCGAAGGCAGAGACAGGAGATTTAGTTTGAAATTTCTTGGGGTTCTGGTTTAGGGTGGGTCTTTCAATGCAGGGGCTTAATGAAAATGGATACATTTATGATAGAATAGATTAGGATGGTTGACAAAGCACGGTGAGGTTTTCAAAGTGAGTCTTGGACCATGATGTTAAACTTTTGTTTTCCCTGAGATTAATAGCTGTCTCAATTTAGGGCTTGTTTAACTATCATTAATGTCCAAACTCTCCAACAAAACCCTAAAATCCCTTTCTGTATAGGCAAAGACTTCAGGTGATCTGTGTTTCATTTTTACCTCTTGGAGATACCCTTCTAGAGCCTCCTGTCCCCTGTCTAATGAAGTCTGCTTGCATTTAGCCCTGCTATACAGATTTCATCCTTGGATTTCTCTTTGCCTCTCCTAGATGATGAATTGTACTCCCTGAATCTTATATATATCCCATCTTTTGTTTACTCTCTTATATTAGAGGAGCCATCCCCTAGTAGTTTTTAACAGGTCTTTCTTCTGTAAATAATGCATGCATAGATAATTGATACGGTAAATACGGTGTTTTCTTTTTGTCTATTATAATGCTAGAATTTTGTTACAAAAGTATATCACAGAATTGCTAAAAAATTGGAGAAAAGTTAACATTTTCTTACAGAAATGAAATTTGGAACAACGAAAAATGATTGTGTATAATTATTTGCTTTTTAAAGTTCTGGAAAGGGTATCTATGTAAGTGATTATGAGGATATATAGAATTGAATTCTGCATTTTAGTGTTTCAACTTGTGAATATTTTTATATTTTTGATAACTCTACTAGGCAATGACATTTAATGATTTTTAAAATTTGATAAAGACGTAAAATTTTGTCTCATAAACAGAGATTAAATAATTATAATTTTGTCAAATAAACTTAAAAAACTTTTTCTCACAAATTATATCCTGATGGAATTTGAGTTTTCTATTTTTATTGAAAAAAGTTATGTCTTAGAAGGTGTTTATAATCTCTGAAGATGGCATGCTGGAGCTCAAAGGGACAGATGTATTTTTTAAATGAGATGCCTTGATTCAAAGGATTTAAAATGTATTTTTAAAGGCTGCTACCTCTCAGTTTCTCCAGGTTGAGTGCCAATAACAATGATTGTGCCCAGAAATATCTCAGGTAGATTCCAGGAAGAATCTGGGAGAAGAGATTTCCCCAGGAATACAGAGAGGGTTTTCAGTCTGGCTATGACTTCATGTTTCTAGAGACCAGATAGGCAGCAGGCTGCCATTTCCTTTGGAAACTAGGGCCCTGGAGTGAAATGAGCCCTACCACTAGTCTATCACTCCTCCTCCATTTATGGGAATATCAGAGAGAAGTAGCTGAAAGAGATGATTTTAAAAGTTTGCCAACATATGAAGTATATCACCTACTGAGGGAAATTTGGCTGCCCTCCTGTTTCCACAGACTTACTCCTTGGCCATGAAAAGCTCTAAAAATCATTATCTCACATCTGTGGAATAGGCTTCATGGGAGTGGGCCTGAGAATGGTAATGTCAAATGAATGGTATACATAGCCAGTGTATTGATCATGGGCTATTGTATTGATTTTACACTGTTTAGGGTCTAAAGGGTTGAGAGAAGTTTGGAGAATAGTACATAGGGTAGGTAGAAAAACAAGGCAGCTTCATTTTTCCTTTGCTCCCTGAAAAACCATTAAAAAGTGGTTCTGTCCTAATTCTATCACTTTTATATTTTCTTTGAATAACAAACTTTAAAAAAATAAATACAGCATTTTGGGAAAAGCTAGGTTTGTCAATAATTTTAATGCACTTGCCTAAACTCTTACTCGGGTCTTAGAAATGGTAGTTTTCAGATGGAGGGAAGAAAAGGAGGGAGGAAGAAAGACGATGATTTATGGAAACAGTAAAACAAGTTTTGATTTAGGATTAAATATTGGTCACAATAACATATAAAATATACTTATTTTTGTATTATTCAAATTAATGTAACTGAGAATTACTGCAAATGATACTGCCCTTAAAAACGAAAAACATTTTATATGAGACATGGCAGTATGTAACACTTTGAGGATCAGAGCACTGGAAGTCAGGATACTGGAATCTTTCCCTGTCTCAGCCTCTAGGGACTGACTGTATGTACTCCTGGGCCACCTTCCCACCACACCCTTATTCTCCCCCTGTAGTAACCTCGATTGGTCACTTTTCTAGGTGAATAATAAAGTTGTAGACTTGGTAATTACCAAGCGTCTGTAAGATTCTGTTACTCCATTATATATAAATCTTTTCAGAAGGTTTATGTCTTTTCATGAAATGAATTAGGTAGCTTTTACTTTATTTTTTGTTGTTTTTTTTTAAATAATTTGGTCCTAAGCAATTCAATATTTGTTAAGGTTAACTGTATTTAAACAGCAGTGGTATGTTTTTGGGGTGGTGTGCATAAATATAATAGGGTAGATTTCCTATTTTAAGAACCTCTGATATGAGCTTAGATGAGAAATTGCCCTTACAGTACCCTTCAGTGACACTTACCATGATTTGCTTTTAGTTTTATGGGGGAATCATTAGTGTATTGGTTCATTTGTAACTGATGGTTTATTTCCAAGGTTTTGAGACCAGTGAGTTAAATAGCTTTAAAATTCTCACTATTGTTTAGAAAGCTAATTGTATAAATTTAAATGTTAAAGCTTTTGAATGGCTTCTTTTTAACAGTGATTTTTAACAAATGTTTGATCATACTGTATTTGTGCTACAGTTGAAGTGCTGAAGTAGCATTTTGGCATCTTTCCCAAAAGCATGCTTAAAGAGGCTAGCGGCAGCGTCTCTCCCTGTCTCCTCAGTGCTTTTTACCTTGCGAGTGGTGCAGCTTGTTCTGCGGATGTACTGAAACCCTCCCATTTAATCTGCAGTGGAGGAGAGTGGAGCTCACTGTCCAGTAGAAATCAGTGATGTAGCAATGTTGCAGTAAATAGAAATGATTATATATTTCAATAGCTTAGCAAGAAGACATTTATAATATTTTTTTCTTTCATCTGATTAAGTTTTGCTGTCTATTTTCTTCCAGAGAGATGTGGATAATTTGCCCTGCCTCCAACATCTCTTTCTCAGCTTTAACAATATATCTAGGTAAGTGGAAACTCCCAAGTTGTCATTCATTATAACTTGATTGTGTGAGTTCTAGTGCTTTAGATTAAGATTGTAAATACCTTGGAGAATTTTACTAGCATGGAAGATTTTAAATTAGAAAATGATAAGACAAAGTTCTTTGTGGAAAAGCAAAGCTCTTGTGTGTATTCTTGCCTGTAATGCTAACATGATGAAATTAATATAGCATGTGCTTTTGATTTAATTATGCTTTAGAGTTGCTCTTTTGTAAAACATGAGTACATAGAAATTTCAATGTATATTTTGCTGTCCTTTGTTTGACATTCACGGCACTGGTCAGTTGAATTAGAATTTCTTTCATAAATTGTCAGCTACAATTTGTATAGCTACTAAGCAATTTTAATACAGCAGGCTATATTTGTCACTGAGCCACTTGCTAATTAGGCCAAATTGCCTTCTAACTTAGTATCTCTGCTTAGAATTAATGCTGCTAAGAGACAGTGGATTAGAATATAGAAATGTATAAATTTAGTTTTCTAACTATTTGAAGCATATTATCCTTTATATTGTGATGATGTCTCATTTAGAATTGGAGCTGAGACGTACAGTAAGACTTTTCAATGCAAAAGGGCCCCTACTTTTTCCCTAATTCTTTCCTTCTCCTCCTTCCCAGGAGCCACTTAGTTTGAACTGGGCTTTTTAATGCCCTCAGTTCTTTAGTTTCACTTCAAAGCTGTTCTTTGAATCTGCTTTTATAAGAGGGTAAAAAATATATATAAAAAGATTTAGAGCATATCTTTTTCTGAACTCCAGGTCTATGCTTCTGTATTAAAAACTAGTTTAATTTTTGTGTGTTGTCTGTTGGCATGTTTTTTGCATGTCTGCCATCAGACTTGTTTTAACCCAATCATCCTGTACTATGTCTCTAAAAGACAGAAATTATCTGAAGACAGTGAGCTTTGCAAATAGACATTATTTTGAAGAAAATACTCTTTCTCTTTTTTCTCTTCTGTGGGAAAAAATATTAAAGTTTTTTTGATAGACTTTTCATATTCCTCTTAGTATATTTTGAATGCAACATTCCAGGTGCCATTATTCTATCTTGTTGGGGAGGCAGAATTTCTTTTCAATGGCAATGGAAGGGTCACTCATTTTTTTTAGGGGAATTTCCTCCTAAAAATCATTAACAACTCTTTAGAGAAGATAGTGTCTCGTTTTTACAATATGCAAAATATTCTCTGTTTAAGATACAAACTTTTAGATTCCCCCAACCTGTGGTGGAACTCATTACTTCTTTTGCTTCTTGTTTATGGGGAGTAATTTAAAGAGATATATAAATTTGGTTATATAGGGGTTATGATGTTCCCAGGTCCCCAGGATATCTGAATTTCTAAACTCCTAAATTCCTAGCTCTGTAGGAAGTTGGTTTTGGTTGCCTATATCTGGGAAGTTTTCTTCCCAACCTGGAAAGGAGTTCTGCTCACCCAGCAAAACAAAGTTAAGATTAATGAGATTAATATTTACAACTTTCTTTAAAAAGTGTGATTTCTCAAGAAAATAAAGATAGAAGTCAGCTGACAATTTTGAGGCTTTTAAAAATTCTCTCTGTGATTGCTTTCTTTGTGTTTTTATATGGCTTTCACAGTATACCTTCCTCTAGTGTTTCCAGCGGATCTGCTTTTGAGGCACAGTATGTTTCCTGCTCTGTTTTTGTTGATGCTTGTGGTCCAGGAGGTGGTATAGTGAATATATTGGGTCTGAGGAGGGAAAAATCAGAGAGAACAACTTTGAAAACATTTCTGTGAACTTTACTCAAGATACAGATATCTCAGATAGCTGGGCTGTCAGATAACCTGTAGTGATAGCTACAGTATATATTCAGGGCACAATTGTTCTTCTATATCCTGGCATAATAGAGTTGCCAGGTTTTACAGTGCCAGCTTTCTGGGACCTATCTTCCATGGACTCTAATTCAGTAGTTTTAGGTAGGGCTCAGGAATTTGTACCTTTATTTTAAAAATGCAGCTGACTTAAAAATACCAGTGGTCTGTGTTATTCAAACTTCAGGTCAAAACCCATATAGGGATCCTAAGATCAATTTAGTGATTTAAAACCAGACAAATTAAAATGGAATGGAAAATATCAGAGTTTGTCACACATTTTAAAAGCATACACTGTTGCATAAAAATTTTCCAGTTTTAATTATATATGGATATGTCTATGCATATGTGTGTATGTTATTTTACTATAGACAACATGGAAACTGGGTTACAATGTAAATATGTTTCTTACTATGGGTTAGATGAAAAAATTTGAAAAATTCTGTGAGATATAGCTTCTTATATTTCCACTATTATTGCAGTGTTAGAGTTTATTGTACTTTCATTTTATATTGTCCCTTCTGTTAGACTGTAAACTTGACAAAGGCAGAGGAATATGTCTGTACTGCTTACTACAGCCTCTTCAGCATCTAGCATGTATGTGTTCTTAGTACAGGTATCACTAGTTGTATTGAAAAGATTTATAAGGAGAACTTAATTCCTCAAACAGAAATATTTTTCTGTGTGATCTAAGAACTCTTTTTGGTGTGTCCATTTTTATGTTATTACTAGGTCATTTAGTCTGTGTTTAATGTGTGGACCTGTGAGGTTTAAAGCCATAAGCAAATCAAAGTTCTCTTGGCAGTTGTTTTGGGCTTCCAGGTTAATTTGCTGATTTGTCAGTAAGGATCTTGCCCATAATTTCTAGAGAAACTAAAACTTTTATTTATGCAGTGGGGTATATCAGGGTTAGGGTGGTGGGTGTGGTGTGTCCCAGGGTACAGACAATGAGGTACGTTGTCTGTAAGACATTTAAAAACAATAAAACTGACAAAAATAATGTTGCTTTTTATTGTCACTTTGCATTGGAATTTCTAACCTACGTCACTGTTAAAATAGTCTTCTCTGCCGGAATGACCTCTCATACCTCTTTTCTTACTTTAGTAAGACAATGTTATTTGGACTCAGCTTTTTCTTTATGATATCACTGAAAATTTTAAACTAGGTTTTTTTTTTTTTTTTTTTTTAGGAAGGAATGCTGTTTTAAGTTCTCTAATGACCTTTGTTAGTACATATGTTAGTACATATAGTATGGTTAAAGGTCACTGAAGCACACGCTTTGGGGTGTGACTTTTCCTTCATCACTATTCTCTAAGACAAGATAATCCTCCGGGCTGTTTTCAAAATTTTACTGAAAATGGTTTATAATTTTACCTTTATCAGGAAATCATTCTCCTTGCATTTTTCTCAAGTTATATTTCAGCTTGATAAGTCACCCTATATCAATTATATTTCTAGAAAAGAATCTATTTCTATTTAGGAAACCTTAAACTGCCCTGCAGTTGTCTAATTTAGTACTAGTTGGTATTTTAAGGAGGAAATTATTTCACTGACCTTCAGAATATATGGATTTTTTTTTTTTTTTTTTTTTTTGAGACGGAGTCTCGCTCTGTCGCCCAGGCTGGAGCGCAGTAGCGCAATCTCAGCTCACTGCAAGCTCCGCCTCCTGGGTTCATGGCATTCTCCTGCCTCAGCCTCCTGAGTAGTTGGGACTACAGGCGCCCGCCACCATGCCCGGCTAATTTTTTTGTGTGTGTTTTTAGCAGAGACGGTGTTTCACTGTGTTAGCCTGACCTCGTGATCCTCCCGCCTTGGCCTCCCAAAGTGCTGGGATTACAGGCGTGAGCCACTGCGCCGGCCTATATGGATATTTTTTATGAGCTCAGGTTGTTAGATAGTATTCCTGTAGTTGAGATACAAGGTTTTATTCTTGTGCCTTCCAGGATTGCAAGTGTCACTTACATTATTTTGGCTTGAAGGAAAATCATTTCCCTTAGTTCTAGTATGCAGCATACTGTTAGAATGCCTTTACTTTTCCTTTGTTAGCAGATAACCAATGATATGCAAATCTTCTTACTGAGTTAAACAGAGGAAATCAACTATTGACAGATCTTTTCTGACCATCTGCTAAGTTTTAAATTTGAGAAATGAGTACATGCTTGTCAAGGAAATTTCATTATCAGTACCCATTTATCTACTGAACTCCTCTTGAGGGGTTTACCAAATGGTTGACACGTGATTCGCCTTCAGACAAACATTTAATTGCATTTTTCTAAATGTGATGGGCATAATGTAAGGAGGACCCATAAAAACAAGATTTAAAAATAGGGGCATTTGTTTTCATCCATGCTGCTTTATTCCTTCTTTGTGAGTAAACCCCTCTGAGTATAGTAAGGTGGCATATAGTGCCTTAGTAGGTCTGACTGTAAAGCCTAGCTCCAGCTTTTGAATTCTTTTAGTCAGAAAATAGGTGAAAATAGATATTCACAACTAATGATAGATATGTTCTACCGCTTCAGAAAAATAGACTTTGAGGTAAGATCAATTTGTTTGATCATCCTCAGGGCTGATGTAATTATTGGGTCTAAATTTATTTTATTTGAAACACAGCACTTATACTAAAATAATTTTTCTATGGTTTTTCATTGTATATCTTATTTCAATACTACTTTATTAAAGTGCTGTTTTTCCTTTTAGAGATCAAAAGCAAAAATTATTCTAAAATGTTATAGAATGATAGTTTCTGAGGACGATTTTCCACAAGCCTTGCAATTTACTGAAGAGTCAGAGTTCATGGGGCAGGGGTAGTAGAGAGTAAAAAAAAAAAAAAGAAAAGAAAAAAAGAAAAGGGGGCCAATGTACAACGTAATGGGGAAACTGGGGACCCTCTGTTACATTTGTTGTATTCCTTTTGCATTACCTTTGAAGCAGCAAAAAGCAAAAAAATCTAATGGATAGCAGTCACTTTTTAAATTATTATTACATAGCTTCTTTTATTATCCTCCTTATATCAGCATCTATAACCATTTAAAGCATTAATGCTGTAAGTACAAAAATACATACAGATACTCTCATGGATTTTATTTATAACATTATAAAGTGGAGAGTGCTACCGTGTATGCTTTCCAACTTCATTTTATAAAATGTTGTTGAAATTAATCTTTGCAAAATTGTAATCGTTTTCTATTAAAAGATTGCCTTTCTTTAATGGACATTATGAGTCAGTTGGAGGGTTTTTTACCTGTACCTTCTCAACCAACTTATAAATATATATATGATTGCAAACTCACAGGAAATTTTCCAGATATTCTTCTATAATTGTAAGCCTCCATTTTTATTACTGTAAAGGTTATGTGTGTGTGTGTGTGTGTGTGTGTGTGTGTGTGTGTGTGTAAGCGAGAGAGAGAGTTTTTCTAAAAAGAAGGCTTCTGGAACTAAAATTAAACTAAGGCCTGGGAGCAGGCTGCTTGCATACCTTGTGTCAGTCTGAGTTCACACATACATATTTGAGAGGCTGATAGCTATTCATAGCAGTGAGTTAGCAGTTTTGAAAACACTGATGTACCAAAGGTCCCTTTGGATTTTATTCACGTGAAGGTTCTAAAAGTTGCAGGAAAAATTTTGGTGCATAAGGGCCTTAAAATTAATTACTCATGATTACATACTGGGTGGTGTTCAGAAACAAACAAGTATGATAAATTGAGACCAACATACGTTTTATGATTTCCTTTGTATTTTGTTTTACAAAGGCATGAAAATTCAAAGAATATTCAGAAACAAAGTATAAGTATATTAAATTCAAAATCCACTTAGAAACAAACTTAAGATATATAACTAGTTTCCCCTAGTGCATTTCTTGTACTTATATTATAGAAATACTTCCAAAAGGGATTTGAGGTAGTATCAATGAAGAGAGTCAAACTCTGTAAAATATTTGAAGAGATTTATTCTAAGCCAAATGTGAGTGACCATGGACCGTGACACAGCCCTCAGGACGTCCCAAGAACATGTGCACAAGGTGGTCAGGGTGCAGCTTGGTTTTATACATTTTAGGGAGGCACGAGACATCAATCAAATACATTTAAGAAATACATTGGTTTGGTCCAGAAAGGCGGGACAACTCGAAGTGGGGGGAGAAAAACAGAGATCTTGCTTCAGCTGTTTCCTAACTCATTTATGAAAAGGTAAGATAGCCCTCTGTCAGAAGCAAAAATATCTACGTGATTGTATAGATTTTAAAAATCTATATAAATAGCTGTTTTAAAGTTCTTATCTACTAATTCCAACATTTGTGTCATCTTTAGTACTGTTACAGTGACTTTTTTTCTCGTTAATATATGTTTCAATTTTTATTGCTTCTTCCTCATCTGGCAATTGTTTTGATTGTATTCTGGGCATTGTGGATGTTCTGTTGAGAGATTTAAGGATTATTGAGTTTTGTTTTGATAGCTACTAGAGAATCAGGTTGATCCTGTTGAGGTTTATTTTTAGTTTAGTTTTTTTTTTAAGGAAGATCTAAAGTGATACTTATTATAGAACTAGAGTAGTATATTTTTATATCTGTTACCAGCGGCAAATCTATATGGGTCTGCAGCAACCTCAATTCTTGCCTCCTCAGAAGAAAGAATTTGACTGAGGGGCATAAGGCAAAAGGAGAGACCAAGGCAAGTTTTAGAGCAGGAGTGAAAGTTTATTAAAAAGCTTTAGGGCAGGAATGAAAGGGAGTAAATTACACTTGGAAGAGGGCCAAGTGGGCAACTTGAGAGATCAAGTGCCCAGTTTGGCCTTTGATTTAGAGTTTTATACGTTGGCATACTTCCCAGGTCTTGCATCCCTTCTCCCCTGATTCTTCCCTTGCAGTGGGCTGTCCATATGTGCAATGGCCTGCTGGCATTTGGGAGAGGCCGCATGCACAGTGTGTTTACTGGAGTTGCACACATGCTCACTTGAGGCATTCTTCCCTTACCAGTCAACTGTTCCTAGAAGGTCATATACCAGTTAAACTCTGACATTTTGCCTCTTAATGCACATGCTTGAGCCCACTTGCCCAACTCCAGTGTGAAGCCACTAATTATCAGTAGATCTTATTGGGAAACTACTGAGTATCAGTTTCAGGTTTTTTTCTATCTATTGGGAGACTGCCTTTCCCTGGTGCCTGCTGCAACCAATTCTTATTTTAGAGAAACAGTGTAACAACTGCCTGACCATCACCTGAGGGTCGCCTGACATTCCTGGTTGCTGGGGAGCCCTCTCCAGCCCCACTGGAGCCTGGCTAGCTACTTACTGTAACACATCCATATTTTTTTTGTTACGACAGTAAACATAAGATTTGTGTATCTGAGGCAGACTGATTATTTACCTGCAGAATATCTTGTATTAGTTTCCCATGCTCCATTTTTTTCCCATGGTGCTGTGATAAATGCAGATGTCACCTGCATGTATGAGGAGGGGCCTCTAGTACATGAGAGAAACCCCAAATTCTTAGTCTTGAAGCTTATATAGAAGCTGCTTACATAACTGCACCTTCTCCCCTCCAGGACGGAAAGAGAGAACACAGAGAGAAACTGAGACCTTGTCTTCCTAATGTAAACAAATCCTCTCTGAAGAGAAAAGTCAAAGGTGTTTTGGCCAATAATCTTTTGGAATATAAACAAATGGCTCCACATTTTTGATACCCTTTGAAATGTAAACACATAGTTCTTAGAGATAAATTTCCATATTGCTCTTTTTTTTTCTTTGAGACCCAGTCTCACTGCTCTGTCGCCCAGGCTGTAGTGCACTGGCGCGATCTCCGTTCACCGCAACCTCCGCCTCCAGGGTTCAAGCAATTCTCCTGCCTCAGCCTCCCGAGTAGCTGGGACTACAGGTGTGTGCCACCATGCCCAACTTATTTTTTTACTTTTAGTAGAGTCAGGGTTTTACCATGTTGGCCATGCTGGTCTCAAACTCCTGACCTCAGATGATCTGCCTGCCTTGGCCTCCCAACGTGCTGTGATTACAGGCGTGAGCCACTGCGCCCGGCCTAAATGTCCATATTGCTCTTATCATTTCTATCTATTCAGTCACCCTTTAATCAAAGTGCCAATTTTCTTTGCTCAGAAGGCCATTACCATGCAGAAACATGAAAATATTCACATTGTTTCTTGACACAGAGTCGCCTCACACCTAAGGCATGGCTGTTCTTGGACTTCAGATATATAATCTGGGTATTCATTGAGGTCTCTTCACTCTATTTGGTTGGAATTGCAATGTCTCCCAGTTCCATGTGACCCATAGATACTCTTCATCTCACAGCCCCTCAATAGTTATATTTTGCTAGGCTTTGTGGAATTATACCCTGTGTACCCACATCCTAATATTTAGCCAAATACTCAAGAGACCCCTATGCAGACTTCTGGAGTTCCTTCTCTACAAGGTTCCCTCCTCTCCATTCCTCTTCACCCAAATTCCAGTAGCCTCAACAGACCCAAATTCTGACTTCTATTTCATCTACCCAGTGAGACCTCTGTTCTGTCTCTAGCTCCACTTCCCTATGCTATGATCTGTAAGTACCCTCAGGCAGAAAGCCGAGATGAACGTGGCTTTTATATGTCTGTCTTCTCCCAAGGATCACAGCCCTGAGCTAGTCAACATCTGCTTCATATATTTTGTCCAGTTTCATAGTTGTTTACATTGGGAAGGTGAGTCTGATGCTGTCATGGCAAAAACTGCAAGCTCTATCTACCAGATTTTCAAATTGTCATGATTGTATATCATCTCTGCCATTTACCTGTCTGGTACTTAAAGAATATGGAATTCCCCTTAAATCAACAATACATTCTTTCTGTATTTAACAACCTGTGTGTGTGTGTGTGTGTGTGTGTGTGTGTGTGTGTGTGTGTGTGTATCTGTCTGTCTGTCCAGGTTATTAGACGGGTTGAATTTGTTTCCTTTTTATTTGTTTTTAGTATTAAAGATGTTTTTTTTTTTGTAGGACTGAAACTCAGCTTGCTCAGGAAGGAAAATAATTGCCTGACCATTAAGGGCATTGGGCTTGGTTAAAAGAGGAGGGTATTTTCTTCTTTAAAAAATTTTGCTTCCATGCAAGTAAGGAAGTTGGGATTCTCCATAAGGAGGATACTTCTGGAAGTGAAACAGTTAGGCTTGTTTATCCTGGATGCACAGGAAGGTATCACAGTGACTTAATTATACACCCCAAAATATCTTAAAAAGTAGTTTAGAACTGTCAACTAGTCTCTGGGCATTGTTTGGTTTTGTTTTAAACATTTTTTAAATCAACAAATAAAAGTTGTATATATTTGTGGTATACAAGATAATGTTTTGATATATATATATACACACATTATAGAATGACTAAAACCAATTAACATATATGTTACCTCACATACTTATCTTTTTTGTAATAACATTTAATGTCTTATTTAAAGATTTTATTAAAGAACATTTAAAGTCTTAGCAGTTTTCAAGTATACAATACATTGTTATTAAATATAATCACCATGTTGAACTAATTCCTCCTGTCTAACTGAAATTTTGTATCCTTTGACCAACATCTCCCCAATCACCCTACATGACCATAGCCTCTGATAACTACCATTCTACTCTCAGCTTCTATGAGTTCAACTTTTTTAGATTTCTCATATGAGTGAGATCATGTTGTATTTGTTTTTCTGTGCCTGGCTTATTTCACTTAGCATAATATCCTCCAGGTTTGTCCATGTTGTCAAAAATTACAGGATTTACTTCTGTTTGAGGCTAAATTGTATTCCACTGTGCATATATATACCACATTTTCTTTATCCATTCATTATTTAAAGATGCTTAGGTTGATTCCATATCTTGGTTATTGTGAATAATGCTGCAATGAACATGGGAGTACAGATACGTTTTCAACATACTAATTTTATTTCCTTCAGAATATACCTGGAAATGGGATTGCTGGTTCATATGGTAGCTCTAATTTTAATTTTTTTAGGAACCTCCATACTCTTTTTTATAATGATTGTACTAATTTATATTGACAGCAACAATGTACAGGGTTTTCTTCTCTCCACATTCTCACCCACACTTATCTGTTGTCTTTTTTATAAAATACCCATCCTAACAGGTGTGAGATGATATCTCATTGTGGTTTTAATTTAATGAATTTCCTTGATGATTTTTTTCATCTACATTTTGGCCATTTGTAATCCTCTTTTGGGAAATGTCTATTGTAGTCCCTTTTTTTTCATAAAACTTCCTTTTTATGGCTTAAAAAGAAATAGACAATGTCAATTATAGACCCCCAGGTTAGAGACCATAGTTTTTAGTTTAGGAATATCCTGGGAAGCACTGAGTAAATGTGAAATAAGATTAATAATATTTTTCTGCTAGTTTCTTCAGACTTGTTTTTGGGGCTTGCTTTTTGGCATTTCATGGGTATTGGCTTGTTATTCTTCAAAATGACCTACTTCAGGGATTATGAGTGATGCCAGTTTTTCATAGCTGGGTGGGTTTAGGATCTAAGATTATCTTAGGGATATCCTGAGGATGTGTTATTTTTACCTCAATAGTGATAGCTAGTAGCTGATCCTCCTCCTTCCTGTCCTTTACAATTTCATTAAAATACCTTCTCCATCTCTTTCATCTAAAGAATTCAAGTTTTTTTCCAAGTTGGTTGTTGAAGAACATTGATTATGTATCTTTATGTTTAAAACACCAAAAAAGGCATTGTGGAGAGTAACAGAAGTTAAACATATGACTTTTGTTTTCCATGAGTGTATAACCTAATGACAGAGAACATACAAAGACGTGAGTGACAGAAACATGAAAAAAAAACCTTGCAGCTTTTGGAAAAGCCAACAGCTTGAGAATCACAGTCTGTCACTTAGCAGTTCTAGTATAAAGAGCGCTTCATCTCTGATTGCTCTGGCAAAAGGTTCTGAAGAGCCTTAATGTTCAAAATTGTGTCCTTGAACCAGCAGTATTAGCATCACTGGGAAGCTTATTGGAAGCCCAGGATCTCAAGCCCTACCCTAGACATTCTGGGTGAGAACTGTCATTTTAAAAAGGTCTCCTGGTGATTTAAATGCACATTACAGTCTGGGAAGCACTGCTGCAGAGGATTCTGATTGTGTTCATTTAGGTCAGGTGCCCACTTGGAATGAATCGCCGCAGCCAGGGACATACAGGACATACTGAATGCTCAATCCTGGGACATATGGTCCTTATCCCCTAGGACAATGGGTGTGGGATCAGTTTGTGGAATGGGTTTACTACAGGAAAGGGGTGTTTTATTACCAAGGGAAGGGAAGTTGGGAAAGAAGATAATAACAATAGTTGTCCAATAAACTTATTTCCTCTTTCATGCCTTTGCTCACATTAATGTTAGAACTAGCTAACTCCTTTACTTTGGGTCATTTCATCCCATTTCCTGTGTGTGTGTATGTGTGTGCACACGTGTGTGTTCGTGTGTGTTCTACTTTCAATCTCCCCCACCCCTCATTGCCATCTGTCTGCCTGACCTAGATATCAGAGGTTCTTCCTTATTCCACAGCATGGTTCTCCTGTCCCTCTCAGAGAGTTCATATCTTTCAAATATATATAAACACGTTATGGATAAGCACACACATACCTCTGCCTAAGTCTAACTTTACTTCATTGCACTCCTGATAGAGCATGTGTGCTTCACCTACTGCTTTTCATTCTACCACTAAGGCATTAACCCTTGGAGTCACGCCTTTTAAAGCTGTGAATATCTGTTAAAATGTACTTGTATTAATATTACAGGGGGTCATACTTTTAGCCCTCAGGAATTCTGATTCCATTAGCAAAGTTTTTTTTTTTTTTTTGCATACAGGGAACAAAAGAGGGATGTAATCCTTTACTATTATTATTTATTTTGATGTTCATATTTTCTCTGATTTCTCAAGAAGGGTCCTGTGGTCTTTTGATGTGTCCTCATTCTTTAAGTACTTCCTTCCTTTCTGGCCCAACAAGATGTTCCAGGCTCATCTTATACTTTTGCAGTCCTAGCTCTGGAATCAGCCATTTCTCCAAGGAGTTCTAATGACTTTTAGTGGAGAATGCTGTTTAGAAACTAAGATTTGAGTGCAAGGTGTGCTTATCCTTTTTGAGTTATCATTGTTTCTGGGCCATCTCAGTGGATAGAATTAGGAAATATGCATGTGTATATGTATGTGTGTATGTGTGTATTTAGATAACTTAAATTGGTATCATATACATGATTCTTTGCAGGCCAGTTGGTCTCTGTTTCAAGTACTTAACTTTCCCTTTGTAACACAAAAGCAGCCATAAATAATATGTAAATGAATGGGCAGAGCTGTGTTTCAATAAAACTTATTTATGGACCCTGAAATTTGTATTTCATATCATTTTCACATATGACATATTCTTCTTTTGACATTTTTTCTAACCATTTTAAAACATAGAGGCCATTATTAACTTGTGGGCCATACAAAAACAGGTGATAGAGCATATTTGGCCTGTGGGCTGTAGTTTGCCAAGTCCTGGTCTTTCCGAAACACTTTCAGTTTACATACAACACACATACCTATATAGTCATACACTGAGTAACAACATTTTGGTCAACGATGGACCACATTTACAATGGTGGTTACCTAGACTATAAAGGAGCTGAAAAGCTCCTGTTGTCTAGTGATATCATAGCCATTATAACATCATACCGCAACTTATTACATATATATTTTTGCTGATGCTGATGTAAACAAACCTACTGAGCTGCCAGTCATATCAAAGCGTAGCACATACAGTTATCTATGGCACACAATACTTGTTAATTATAATAAGTGACCCTGTTTTTGGTTTATGATGTACTATATAGTTTTCCCTCCATATCTTTATGGGATTCCTTCTAGGAACCCACTCGACCCCTCCCGTGGATACCAAAATCCACCAATGCTCCCCAATATAAAATGGCATAATATTTGTGTATAACCTATGCACATGCTTCTGTATACTTTAAATCATCTCTAGATTTCTTACAATACCTATCACAATACCTACACATCACTTCATTTGTGTGAATACAGTGTAGTACTTGGCACACAGTAAATTCAAGTTTTACTTTTTGGAACTTTGTGAAATTTTATATTTTATATTTTGTTTTTATTTATTTTTAAAATTTTAAGTTCGGGGCTACATATGCGGGTTTGTTACATGGGTAAATTGTGGGTCGCTGAGGCTTGGTATATGAATGATCCCATTACCAAGGTAGTGAGCACAGTACCAGATAGGCGGACTTCCAAGATATGCCTTCCCCTCACCCTCCCCCATCAAGTGGTCCCCAGTGTCTTTGTTCCCTTCTTTGTATTCATGTGTATTCATCGTCTGGCTCCCACTTATAAGTGAGAACATGCAATATTTGGTTTTCTGTTCTTATGTTAGTTTGCTTAGGATAATGTCCTCCATCTGTATCCATGTTGCTGCAAAAGATATTTCATTATTTTTTATGTCTGTGTAGTATTCTATGGTGTATATGTACCACATTTTCTTTATTCAGTCCATCGATGATGGACATCTTGGTTGATTCCGTGTCTGCTGTTGTAAATAGTGCTGTGATTAACATGTGTCTTTTTGGTAGAATGATTTATTTTCATTTGGATATATACCCAATAGTGGTATTGCTGGGTCAAATGGTAATTCTGTTTTAAGTTCTTTGAGGAATCTCCACACTGCTTTCCACAATGGATGAACTAATTTACACTCCCACCAGCAGTGTATAAGTGTTCCCTTTTCTCCAATGTATAAGTATTCTCCCTTTTCACCAGCGTATCATTGTGGTTTTGATTTGCATTTATCTAATGATTAGTGATGATATGAGCATTTTTTCATATATTTGTTGGCCACATGTATGTCTTCTTTTAAGAAATGTCTGTTCATGTTCTTTGACCATTTTATAATGGGGTTATTTGTTTTTTGCTTACTGATTCAAGTTTTTTATAAATTCTGGATATTAGACCTTTGTCAGATGCATAGTTTGCAAATATTTTCTCCCATTCTGTAGGTTGTCTGTTTACTCTGTTGGTAGTTTCTTTTGCTGTGCAGAAGCTGTTTAGTTTAATTAGGTCCTACTTGTCAATTTTTTGTTTTGTTGCATTGTTTTTGAAGACTTAGTCATAAATTCTTTGCCAAGGCCAACGTCCAGAATGGTATTTACTTGGTTTTCTCCTAGGGTTTTTATTGGTTTAGGTCTTAGATTTAAGTCTTTAATCCATGTTGAGTTAATTTTTGTATATGGTGAGAGGAAGGGGTCTGGTTTCAATCTTCTGCATGTGGCTAGCAAGTTATCTCAACACCATTTATTGAATAGGAAATACTTTCCCCATTGTTTGTTATTGCTGACTTTGTCAATGATCAGGTAGTTGTAGGTGTGTGGCTTTATTTCTGGGTTCTCTATCCTGTTCCATTGGTCCATGTTTCTGTTTTCATACCAGTACCATGCTGTTTCAGTTACTGTAGCTTTGTAATATAGTTTGAGGTTAGGTAATGTTATGCCTCTGGATTCATTCTTTTTATTAGGATTGCTGTGGCTATTCTAGCTCTCTTTTGGTTCCTCCATATAGATTTTTATAATTTTTTTTCTAATTCTGTGAAAAATGACATTGGTAGTATGATAGGAATGGCACTGAATCTGTAAATTGCTTTGGGTAGTATGGTCATTTTATCAATGTTGATTCTTCTTATCCTTGAGCATGGAATGTGTTTCCATTTGTTTATGTTGCCTCTGATTTCTTTCAGCAATGCATTGTATTGCTCATTGTAGACATCTTTCCCCTCCTTAGTAAGCTGTATCCTTAGGTATTTTATTCTTTTTCTGGCTACTATAAATGGGATTGTGTTCTTGATTTTGCTGAGCCTAGACATTATTGGTGTATAGAAATGCTACTGATTTTCTTACATTGATTTTGTATCCTGAAACTTTACTAAGGTTGTTTATCAGTTCTAGAAGCCTTATGATGGAGTCTGTGGGTTTTCCTAGGTATAGAATTATATTGTCCATGCAGATAGACAGTTTAGCTTTCTGTCTCCCTAATTTAGATGCCTTTTATTTCTTTTTCTTGCCTGATAGCTCTGGTTAGGACTTCTAGTACTATGTTGAATAGGAGCAGTGAAAATGGGCATCCTTGTCTTTTTCCAGTTCTCAAGGGGAATGCTTCCAGCTTTTGCCCATTCAGTAAGATGACATTGTCTATAGGTTTATGTTATATGGGTCTTATTATTTTGAAGTGTTTTCCTTTGATGCCTAATTTGTTGATGGTTTTTAACATGAAGGGATGATGAATTTTTTTGAAGGCCTTTTCTGTGTCTATTCAGATGGTCATATGGTTTTTATTATGAATTCAGTTTATGTGGTGAATCACATTTATTGATTTGTGTATGTTGAACCAACTTTGCATCCCAGGAATAAAGTCTACTTGATCATGATGAATGAGCTTTTTGATGTGCTTCTGAATTTGCTTGTATTTTGTTGAGGATTTTTACATCTGTGTTCATCAGGGACGTTGGCATGAAGCTTTTTTTTTTTTTTCTGTGTCTCTGCTGGGCTTTGGTATCAGAATGATGCTGGCTTTGTAGTCTGAATTAGAGAGTAGTCCCTCCTTCTCAATTTTTTGAAATAAATTTAGTAGGATTGGCACTAGCTCTTCTTTGTATATCTGGTAGAATTCAACTGTGAATCCATCTGGTCTAGGGCTTTTTTTGGTTGGTAGACTTTTTATTATTGATTTAATTTCTGAACTCATTATTGGACTGTTCAATATTGATTGCTATTTTTATTGTGCTGTTGTCCAAGTGTGTGGTTGATTTTATTTTGATTTTTGAATTTGCTGAGACTTGCCTTATAACTGAGCATGTAGTCAGTCAGAGTATGTGCCATGTGCAGATGAGAAGAATGTATACTTTCTTGTTGATGGTTGGAGTGTTCTGTAGATGTCTATTAGGTCCAGTTAGTCAAGTGTCAAGTTTAAGTCCGGAATATCTTTGCTGGTTTACTGCCTTGATGATCTGTCTAATGCTATTAGTGGGGGTTGAAGTCCTGAGTATTATTGTTTGGTTGTCTGAATCTCTTCACAGATCGCTAAGAACTTTTTTTTAAAATCTGGGTGCTCCACTGTTGGGTTGGGTGTGTATATATTTAAAATAATTAAGTGTTCTTGTTGGATTGAGCCCTTTATCATTATGTAATGCCCTTTCTTTGTCCTTTTTGATCATTGTTGGTTTAAAGCCTGTTTTATCTGATGTATGAATAGCTACCCGTTTTTTGTTTCCTATTAGCCTGATAGATCTTTCTCCATTTCTTTACTTTGAGCCTATATATGTTGTTACTTGTGAGATGTGTCTCTTGAAGACCATAGTCAGTTGGTTTGTGCTTCTTTATCTAACTGGGCACACTATCCCTTTTAAGTGGGGGCATTTAGTCCATTTAAATTCAGGGTCGGTATTGGACTGTGAGGATTTGATCCTGTCATCATGCTATTAGCTGGCTATTATGTAGACTTGATCATATAGTTGCTTTATAATATCAATGAAGTATGTGCTTAAGTATGTCTTTATGGTGGCAGGTATCATTCATTAATTTCCATGTTTAGCACTTCCTTTAGAAGCTCTTGTAAGGCAGGTCTAGGGGTAATGAATACTCTTAGCTTTGCTTGTTTGAAAAGGATTTCATTTCTCCTTTGCTGATGAGGTTTAGTTTGGAATGATATGGAATTCTTGGTTGGAATTTCTTTTCTTCAAGGATATTGAAAACAGACCCCAAATCTCTTCTGGCTTATAAGGTTTCTACTAAAAGGTCCATTGTTAACCTGATAGGGTTCCCTTTGTAAGTTTTTCTCTAGATGCTTTTAAGATTTTTTCTTTTGCATTGACCTTGGAGAATCTGATGACTGTGCTTTGGGGATGATCATCTTGCATAGTATCTCACAGGTGTTCTCTGAGTTTCTTGAATTTGTATATCACCCTCTCAAGCAAGATTGGGAAAATTTTCATGGACTATATCCTCAAATACGTTTTCCAGGTTGCTTGTTGTTTCTCCTCTTTCTGGAATGCAAATGAGTTACAGGTTTGGTCTCTATGTAATCCCCTATTTCTCAGCTATTCTGTTATTTTTTTAAATTATTTTTTCTTTATTTTTGTCTTCCTTTGTTGCTTCAAAGGAGTGACCTTCAAGCTGTGAGGTTTTTATTTTTCATTTTTATTTATTTATTTATTGAGACAGAGTCTTGCTCTGTCTCCTAGACTGTAGTGCAGTGGCGTGATCTTGGCTCACTGCAACCTCCACCTCCTGGGTTCAAGCGATTCTCCAGCCTCAGTCTCCCGAGTACTTGACTCTACAAGCATGTGCCACCATGCCCAGCTAATTTTTGTATTTTTAATAGAGATGGGGTTTTGCCATGTTGGACAGGCTGGTCTCAAACTCCTGACCTCAGATGATCCACCTGCCTTGGCTTCCCAAAGTGCTGGGATTACAGGTGTGAGCCACCATGCCTGGCCAAGCTGCCAGATTCTTTTCTCAACTTGGTCTATTCTGCTTTTAATGCATCCAATTGTATTTTGAAATTCCTGGAATTTTTCATTTCCAGAAGTTCAGTTTGGTCTTTTTTTAAATGGTTATGTCATCTTTCAACTGTTGGGTTGTTTTACTGTTTTGCCTGGGTTGGGTTTCAACCTCTTCTTGTGTCTCAGTGTGCTTCCTTATCATCCCGATTCTGAATTCTCTGCCTGGCATTTCAGCCATTTCATTCTGGTTAGGATCCACTACTGGGGAGCTAGTGTGATCATCTGGAGGTAAGAAGACATGCTGGTTTTTAGAGTTGCCAGAGTTCTTGTGCTGGGTCTTTCTTCTGTGACAGCTGATGATTCTTTATTATTTGAAGTTATTGTCCTTTGGGTGAGGCTTTTTGTTTTTATGATCTTTATTGCCCTTAGGGTTTTTTGACTGTGGTGTAAGCTGGATATAGTTGAATCACTTCATTTCTGGATGCTTTTAGGGGGCAAGACTCAGCTCCATACTGCTGGGATGCATGCTCTAACCCTGTGGGACTGGGACTGGGTCAGCAGCTTTGTCCTCTGGTCTCTCACTGTTGAGCTTTGGCTGGGATAGAGAGGCTGGGGTGTTCCCAGACCATTGACAGGGCATGGGTGTAGGTGCTCCAGCAGGGGCAGCAGGGGCACTGTGGGCAGGATATGCTCCAGTGGGCAGGGCTGTGGGCGAAAGGCACTCTGGCAGGGGCACTGAGGGTGGGAGGTGCTCTGGTAGGGGGCACCGTGGGCTTGGGAGGTGTGCTCCAGCAGAAGTGGTGGAGGCGTTGTGGCCGGGAGGCACTCCAGCTTGGGGTGCTGTGGGTAGGGTCGCTTCTGCAGGGGGAAACCATGGGTGGGTGGGTTGCTCTGGCTGGAAATGCCGCAGGCAGGAGGCCTGGAATTTACTTTTTTTTAAATCTGAGGTTGATTGAATTCATAGATGTAGAACACATGGATATGGAGGGCCAACTGGACCATATTTTTACTGTTATTTTAGAGTGTATTCTTACTTATCAAAAAAAAGTTAACTGTAAAACAGCCTCAGGCAGGTCCTTCAAGAAGTATTCCCAAAGAAGGCATTGTTATCTTAGGAGATGACAGCTCCATGGATGTTAAAGCCCCTGAAGACTTTTCCCTGGGACAGTTGTGGTCTGTGGTTACAAGTAATAAGGGAAGAATTTTCTACCCTTTCTAGTCTTAGCCCCAAGCTTTGAGATAGGCAATATTTCAGGGGCTGTCAGTAAGAAAGTTTATAACTAATCCAGTTTTGAGGGTCTTGCTCTTAGGGTCCCAGATTTATCAACAGGTGTCTACTAGTTAGACTCTCCAACTTGAGTGGCTCCTAGGATTGTCTTCTATCTCTCAGCCTTGAAGATCATGTAAACCAAATCTCAATTTCATTAGGTTTAGCAAAATGCCATCACAGCATAAAGGTCAGTTTCTACATTCTATTTACCTCTCTTGGTTCCTACGTTTATTTATTGATTTAGTTTTCTATGTAGTCCTCATTTGTTTTTTTTAGCAGATCATGAATGCATTTGAGACCAGTAGTTTTAGTTCATCATTCTCTCAGAATACAAACACCTGTATTATGTGTACTTTTCTTTAACTGTGCATTACTCTTTAATATTTGATCATATATTATACATCTTTCTAGTTATTTTATGTTTGTCAGTTGTGTATATTTCAGTCCTTGTGAGCACGCTTGATGATTTATTCTATTGTTCCATTTCACTTCAGCCCTCTAGGCAAATAGTAACTATTCAGAAAAATCCTCACTGATCAATATAAAATAAGTGGCTTTTCATTAAGATTATTTCAGAGATCATGGTACCTTGCTGGTATAAAAGAGTAAAAGCCCTTTTTCTAAAGTACTTAGCTTACTTAGGGGAGGAAAATTTCTAATTGGAGAAATTTGACTGATATTTAGGAATTGTTAGTTAAATATCTATGCTGTGTGATACATGCATATATGGGAATTTTATTTCTTTCTCTGTATTTTATTAAGTAAGCATAAAATGGACTAAAATATTTTCTTTTCCTTTCGGGATATGAATTTTGGTCAGTAGGGACAGACTGTTTCTCTATAGGTTCTTTAGCAGATAGGAAGCAGATGTGGCAATGTGAGGAGACTACTAGGGGAAGAACAAATGTATGAGTAATCTGGAAAAAGATTAAAGTCAATTATAAGTTAAATGTCAGCCTTTGGACCAAAGCTTTTTCATTCTTGGTACTCTAAAGAGATGAGAGCAATTGAGTGTTCTTAAACCCTCTGCCAAAAAAAAAAAAAAAAGGTGGGGTGGCGAGAGAGAGAGACTGTTTTTAAAAGCCAGTATTTCACTATACTTACTGTTTTATTTCCAGGTGTTTTTTTTTAAACAGTCTGCTTTTGATTTTGTTTGGTTAGGTAAAATATAACCCATCATTAGCCTGTATTTGTACTTAAGAGTATTGTTTTATTTGGTTAGAGAATGTCTTTAAAATCATATGGTCTTTGTCAGTGAACTTCTAGGAATGTCTGGCATGGTTATTGGTCAAATGCCTGGCAGATGGAAATGAAATTTTGTGAGGAATCTTCTGGATCAAATACAGATTTATTTTTACTTTAATAAAACTATTCAAAGCATAAAGACTTCAGTCTGAGTGTCAACAGTAGTAGCTGATGTGGGAGCAGTTGCCCGGATAGTACTTGCTGAGGACTGCAGTGATGTTCCCATTCCTGATGCCACTTTTTTGTTGTGCTTGAATTACAGACATAGACCATATGGGCATCTACAGGTCTTTTAGATCTCTGAAGTTCTTTATAATGTATACTGGGCATACTGTTTTCTTCTATACATAAAAAAGTGCTTTGTATTTAATTAAATGAAGATACTGTTTAGTTTTGTGTGTGACACCACCCATTCTTAGACCAATTCCATTGGCAATTATTAGATCAATTTAATTCCCCAAAGGAATACTTGAGAGACAGGGCTGAGAACAGTTACAATCATTTTAGTTTAAAATTCTACTTAGCAATGAGAAACAAATGATAGACTCTACAATCTGGCTTGTAAATAAATAGTAAATAGCAATAAAATTAGAATCTATCTATAATAAAATTAAGTTTTCCAGCTTGTCTATGCTTTTGTACATATTATTTTCACTTTTAAGTGCATCTGCCTAATTAGTAATATATAGGGTCATAATGCTACTTAAATATCATGTTATCCTTTAAATAATAATTCCAATAAAAGTGTAAGAAAATTCACTCATTCACTTTTTTTTTAATCAAGGATAAGCCTTTTGGAATTATTCCAGTTCATCACATTTTTTTCATTCATTCACCGAAACTTTATTGCACACTTACTAAAGATTGGTCTTAAGTTAGGTGTTGGGGCAGTGGTCACAGTATCTTTCCAGTCTTCAAGAAACTTACAGTTTAATTCTATTGAGTTAGGTTGAGTATTGGAAAAAAAAATGCTCTTCAACATCTACTGGCTCTGTTACCTCTGCTCTTCACATTAGTTAATACCTTAAGGTGGAAATTAGTGAGCCCATCCTATGGTAGTTGGAGGAAAACTTAGTGAAAACCCTTTTGAAATGTATCTTAATGGCCATTGGCCACCAACATAACAGTGTTCCAGGAAAAGGAGACTTGATAGATGAAAAGATAATCTGTCAAATATATATTTTTTATAGTTTAAAATTTCTCTGTAAATTAATTTTTAAAGATATAATTTACATATAATAAAATGCACACATTTTAAGTGTAGAGTTCAATGAATTTTGACAGAGTATGTACCCTTGTAACCATAACTCTAGTTGTTCACCTGAGAGAGAAACTTGGAGTTATTCTGGATTCCTTTCCTTATCACATCCAAATGATTACTAATTTCTGTCCATGCTACACTCTAAACTTCCATAGAACATCTCCCCTCTTTACTCTCCTGACTACTACCTTGGTTTTTGACATGTTAAGCCCTGTTTTTCACCTCTGTTACCGCAATCTGCTTTATAACTAGCTTTTGATTCTTATCTCTTTTCTTTTTCGTATACCCTTCATGACGTTATTAATTTGTGATTTTTCTAAAATACTATTCTGATCATATTAACTGCCTTGCTTAAAATCCCTTCATGACTCTTTACAGTTCCCATTCTTAATTATTGTTTTGATGGTGGCATCATTTATCAAGTAGAAAATACACATAGAAAAGCAGATTTGTGGAGGGAAAGTGATGAGTTAGTTCACTTTAACAAAGTGGAAGAAATAAAACATTGCCTTCAGAAGCATTTTTATTTGATTCAAGCTTTATGTACACAACTATGGGGGAAGGAGAGAAAAGCCATCACAAATACCAGAAACTGTTCTGAGATTTTTATACTGATGAAGAAAATGAATTTTGGCAATGCTGGGTAGGAAAAATTATGTTTGTTCAAGCTTGTTTATACTTTAAGTGATGATTAAGTTTAAATTTATAAACTCACATCTTCACCTTCATATACTAGTTTGTTAAAAAATGCCTTCCAATATTTATCTAAACATGTCTCAAACACTATGAGTTGCGTATAAATTGTGAGGTTTACCTTTTAGATTGGTAAAGACAAGCTCTGAGGTAAAATAATTAATAGCAGGGTATCTTTTTACCTTGAGTGTGAGGAAAACATAGAAGAAATATTTAAATATGACAATAAAAGCAGTGAACTTTATTCTTGCTGTAGAACTTGCCTCAACCTTGTTAGTACCTACATTATTTTCTATACCATGAATATTCTATATCATCTAGCTTTTCTTGACACAGTGAGAAGAGATATTTAATTTAGTGCCTGAATAAATAAAGTATTTATAGTACTATAAAGTACTGGTAATTTAGTGCCTGAATAAATAAAGTATTTATAAAGTATTTGTGTACTGAATGAGAATGACTCTAATATAAATGAGTTTTACCAAGGTGCCCTGTGGTATTATTTAGAAAAGTGATTATTTCTTTAAAAAATAAAAATCCCGGCTGGATGCGGTGGCTCACGCCTGTAATCCCAGCACTCTGGGAGGCCGAGGCGGGCGGATCACCTGAGGTCAGGAGTTCAAGACCAGCCTGGCCATGGTGAAACCCTGTCTCTACTAAAAATACAAAGAATTAGCCGGGTGTGGTGGTGCATGCCTGTAATCCCAGCTACTCGGGAGGCCGAGGCAGGAAAATCGCTTGAACCAGGGAGGCGGAGGTTGCAGTGAGCCGAGATTGTGCCATTGCGCTCCAGTCTGGGCAACTAGAGCAAAACTCCATGAAAGAAAGAAAGGAAGGAAGGAGGGAGGGAGGGAGGGAGGAAAGGAGGGAAGGAAGGAAGGAAGGAAGGAAGGAAGGAAGGAAGGAAGGAAGGAAGGAAGGAAGGAAGGAAGGGAGGGAAATTCCAGTCAAAATCCCATAGGTTATTTATAGATATCAACAATTGGATTCTAAAGTTTATATGAAAAGGCCAGAAAGAAAGAAAATCCCAATCAAAATCCCATAGGTTATTTATAGATATCAACAATTGAATTCTAAAGTTTATATGAAAAGGCCAGACCTGGAATAGTGACACAATACTGAAGAAAAAGTTAGAGGAGTCACACTAACCTTTTGCAAGACTGTTTTGTATGGTTAAAATAAACAGATGATCAAAGTATGTTTTCACAAATCACACAGTTTATTGCCATACAAAGAGCTTATCATTTTTATTCATAATGCTCAAAGAATGGAAGAATAACAGGAAGAAACATCATAGGGAATATACTCAATAGATAAAGTACATTATCCACATATTGGATGAGTTCCAATTTAGTTTAGAGTCCAGTTTTTAAAGTCTAGTTGCTAAATTAGGATGGAAGCTTGCCTCTGTGGATGTAAAGTCTAATCAAAGTTTGGAGAGTACTTTTCTATAAGTGGTTTCAGGAGGGATGGTTTGATCACCACAGTGTACATCCATAACAATGTGCAATGTCCCTCAACACTAACAAGCAGTGCCAGTGTTACTGGGCTTTGGAGGATAGTTCAAAGGCTGACAGAGAGCAACCCTGCTAGTCTGATATTTTGGTCTTTGGAGAAGTGTCTGACATAGAGTAGCCCTGACAAAGCCTAAGTTATCAATCTGTCAAAATCTTGGGTTTATATGTGTTTTTAAAGTCCAGTCGTTGAGCCCAATAACTCATGTATGTGGTCTGATGAGGAGTGATATAACAATCTTACAGGGAGAGGAATTAAACTTCATGTTCTTATCAGAGCAAAACGTGTATCATTCATGTAGTAAATAAACTAAGTGTTTAAATCATTTCAAAGCTATATAATAAAGATTCCTTATAAAACTACAGTAATCATGACAGTGTGGTATTGGTGAAAGAGTAGACACATGTATCAATGGAACCAAATAAAAGGCCCAGAAATAGACCCATACAAATATATTCAGGTGATCTTTGATAAAGGAGCAAAAGCAATTCAATAGAGAAAGGATAGTCTTTTCAGCAAATGGTAATGGAACAATTGGATGTCCATATGAAAAAAAGGAATATAGACATGGGCCTTACACCTTTTACTAAATTAACTCAAAATGGATCATAGACTTAAATGTAAAACACAAAACCATTAAACTTCTAAAGAAAACTTAGGAGAAAATCCAGACAACCTTGGATTTGGCAATTAGTTTTTAGATACAGGACCAAAAGTAGGATCTATGAAAGAGAAAATTGTTAAGTTGGGCATCATTAAAATTAGAAACATCTGTTCTGTGAAAGACACTGTTAAGAGAAGGAAAAGACAAGCCACAGACTGAGATAAATATTTGCAAAATATATATCTAATAAAAGACTTGTATCCAAATTTTAAAAAAATCTTAGAATTCCACAGTAAGAGAAGAAAGAATCCAATTTAAAATAGGCAAAAGAGCTGAAAACACAAAGAAGATACATGGATGGCAAGTATGCATATGAAAAGATGCTCAGCATCTTTTGTCATTAGGGAATTGCATATTAAAACAGTGAGATACCACTATGTACCTCTTGGAGTCACTGAAATTCCAGAACACAGATACCAAATGCTGGTGAGGATGGTGAGCTGTTAAGATTGCAAGATGATACAGCCACTTTGGAAGATAGTTCGGCAGTTTCTTACAAAGCTAAAATAAACATAGTCTTACTGTAATATACAGCAGTTATACTCTTAGGTATTTATCCATTTGAATTGAAAACTTATGCCCACACAAAAAGTTGCAGGTGAATATTTACAGCAGCTTTATTCATAATCAACAAAAACTGGAAGCAGCCAAGATGTCCTCAGAAGGTGAATGGATAAAGAAGCTATGGTATATCCATACAATGGAATATTGCTCAGTGATAAAAAGAAATGAGCTATGAAGCCACAGAAAGACATGGATGAAACAAATGCATATTGCTAAGTGAAAGAAGTCAATCTGAAAAGGCTACATATTACATGATTCCAATTATATGACATTCTAGAAATGGCAGAACTATAGTGACAGTAGAAAGATTTGTGGTTGCCAGTGATTTGGGAGGAGGAGAGAAGATCAAATGGCTAAAGTACAGCAGATTTTTCTAGTGTCATGAAACGGTTCTCTAAGATACTTTAATGGTGGATACATGACATTAAGCCTGTAGAAATTTACACAATTAAAAAGTAAGCCTTAATATATGCAAATGTTAAAAAATCACTTAGGAGTTTAGAGGATCTCAGAAAGGAATGCAGACCGACAAGAGAATCTAACTGTATTAAAAATGTATGAAACAACCTCCCTAAGGGGGTGGGGGAAAAGGCACTGATCTAAGAAACTTCGGAAATGAGCCTGTAAGACTAAATGGAAAAGCAATTATACCTAATCATTGTACTTTAGTTGATAAAGTTGTTTCTCATTGGGGGTACACATTAAACATTCTGATACCTCTATACATACATATTGGAATTGAATAATTAAGTAAATGGAGAGTTGATGGTTTGAAGCCAAACTTCTTGTTGAAGTAGAAATGTTCAGATAAGCAAGGGAAGGAGGCTAGAATGATTCATTTGGTGATGGATTAGAGTTGGAGACATCAGTATAAACTCATCTTTAGCTTAATATAGACACAGATGGCACAGATGGACAGATGGTTACTTAGAGAAATATTTATAGATATATGCATATACACAGGTTTCTGTACACACATATATTTTCTTGCTGTGTCAGCTGAGAGGGACTAAAGGAAATGACCCCACAGTAGCAAGAAGTACACTTAGCCCCCAGATCTTTGTTTCTAATACTAGTCTCCAATAAAAGGAACTATGGCTCCTCAGAAATGGCCGATTCTAGGACCAGGACCGGAATTAGTCTAGAAAATACATGAGTATAGAAAATCTTATAGTGCCAGAAAGTAAGAAAGTGCTCAGAAAAAGAAAAAAAAAATCCACATCGATGGGAACCAAAGGGACATAGAAGCCAATTGAAAGAGCTTCCAATGGCCAAAGCTGGAACAATTTGAACAACAAAATAGTAAAATTGTATTGGATAATAACCCAAAGCATAGAATAAATATCCATGAGTTCAGACTCTGTGTCCTCAAGGAGGAGGAGCTTAACTTCCCACTCCCTGAGTGTGGGCTGTACATGGTGACTTCCTTACAAATAGTTGAGTATGAAAAGGAGAGGATGCAATGGTAACTTTACATTGGAGAAACCTGAAGAACATAACCTCAGCCTCAGCCTTGAACATGTTGATCAGGGTCAACATCAACAGTAATAAGTCATATTAATAATATATACCACCTGGGCATAGTGGTCATGCCTGTTAATTCCAGCACTTTGGGGGGGCAAGGTGGGAGGATCGCTTAAACAGGAGTTCGAGACCAGCTTGGGCAACATAGTGAGACGCTTTTTATTTTGTAGACAAAATAAAAAGTAAAACATTAGCCAGGCATGATGGTACATACCTGTAGTTCCAACTACTTGGGTTGCTCAGGTGGGAGGATTGCTCGAGCCCAAGAGTTTGAGGTTAGGATTAGCTATGATTGCACCACTGAAACCCAGCCTGGATGACAGAGTGAGACCTGGTCTCAAAAAAAAAAAAAAAAAAAAAAGTAGGTATCTTAACCCCCATCTAATCATGAGAAAAATATCAGACAAATCCTAATAGGGGGTCATCCTACAAAATAACTGATGAGTATTCCTCGAAACTGTCAACTCATCAAAAACAAGGCAAGTCTGAGAAATTGTCACAGCCAAGAGGAGCCTCAGGAGATATGACAACTAAATGTAATATGGTATCCTCCATGGGATCCTGGAACAGAAAAAGGACATTAGGTAAAAACTAAGGGAAACCTGGATAAAATACAGGCTTTAGCTACTAAGAATATGTTTACTTTGGTTGATTAATTGTAACAAATGTACTATACTAACACAAGATGTTAGCAATAGGGGAAACTGGGTATGGGGTATAGGGGAACTCTGTACTATCTTCTCAATTTTTCTGTAAATCTAAAACTGTGCTAAAAATAAAGTCTATTAAAAATGAAAGTATTATCTTAAGGCCTCAGAATAATCCAGTGGTTTCTGTCTCTCCTGCAGTTTTGACAGTGTTTCCTGCCTTGCTGACTCTTCTTCCCTCTCGGACATCACCTTTGATGGCAATCCCATAGCTCAAGAGTCATGGTACAAACACACTGTCCTTCAGAATATGATGCAGCTGCGCCAGCTAGATATGAAGAGAATCACGGTGAGAACCCTTCCAAAGTGTTCACCATGTTGTTGTCCTTAGTGTGGATTAGGAAATTGGGATGCATATTCTTTGCTTGAAATGCTTCTTAATTTTAGTGAACTATGGGTTATCATGATTGTATACTTCATAATTGCAATTATGTAGTTTTTACTGCCTGATCCCATCCCAAGTTTAATTGAGCAAGACTTTTAAAATTCCTAGCCTTCTGTTTAAATTAATCATCGTGTTTATTTTTCATTCTTGCTTAATATCCAAATAATAATTTATTTTGAAATGAATGAGTGAGAATTTCTTTAAGTTATGTAGCATAGTGGTTAAGAGCATGGACACTGGAGCCAGATTGCCTGCGTCTGAATTCTGGCTTGACTGCTTTCTAACGATAGTCCTTTGGCAATGTATTTAATCTTTGTATACCTCATTTTCCTCAAAGTAAAATGGGGATCAGAATTAAGTCATAGGTTTGTCGCGAAGATGAAATAAAGTACTACACCTTAGAAAATAAGGTACTACACTTTAGACTGCGAGGCTCCTAGGAGGCATTTGTATGTAGTTGTTATTGTTGATGTTATATCTCCCAAAGTAGCTACCTCTTTTTATTCATCGTATCTCCATGTTAAGATATTTTCTACACTTAGATGTTTTAATATGGTTTCTGATCTAAGGAAATGCTGTGCATAATATCCCCCTCTTTTTAGGTGTACAATGTGTATTAGCATATTATAGGATCCAAGAAGTTCTGTAATTAAATAAACTTGTTTAACTTTGTTTCTTTGACCAGGTTTATTTGTTATGAGAAAACACATTTTAATAATCTCAGTTTGATAGTCTCTGACCTAGAAAAATATCCTAAGCCTCTACCTATTTTCTCTCTTCTGGACTGCTGATTTTCATGTGAATTCTGTTGATCACCTAGGTTTATGCAGTTGCCAACTGACCTATTTCTTTGTATATTAGCATCACAATGTGTGCAGTTTTCATTTATGCGTTGGCAATACTGTGGACCTCTAAGGTGGCTAGCTAATAGCTAAAAGTGTGGATGAATTGATGGATACCAGAGGTCTTCTAGGGTTCTGCCTCTCTCTCTATTCCATGGTGGAGCTATGGTTCTTTGTCCTCTTAGTTAATTCAGCTCTATAGTGTCAACACTGTTTCATATTTTTGTGGTGACTCTTTACCCTTATCTCCATGTCTTTCTTAGTTAAGCATCTATGCTACTTCTTAAATTGCTCTTTCTAATGAGGTTGAGATGAGTGGGATAAGATTTAGAGCTAACTCGTTTATATAAATTAGTACTTAATTATATGGTATGTTCCTCATAGTGAATTTATTTGTCAGTCTTGTCTACCCAAACAATATATAGTCTTTAAAGGCAGAAACCATTCTTCTTTCTTGCCTGGCACCTACAGATTACTAGCATCTAATTCTCACACCACATTGAACTTTTACCAGTTATATCAATATTGTTCTTTACAGCAAAAAGATGCAGTTTAAAATTATACATTGCATTATAGCTGAATTTTGTTGTCATGTCTCTAAAGTCATCATTTTTCTGGAACTATTTCTCAGTCTTTCTTTGATTTTCATGACTGATATTTATGAAAATTACAGGTTAGTTTTTTTGTAGAATGACCCTCAATTCAGATTTTTTGATGTTTCCTCATGATTAATTTTTACTTATAGGTTTTTGGCATTAATATCATAGCAGTGATTTTGTATTCTTCTCATTGCATCTTAGACCAGCATGTCTTACAACATGTTCTTCATATTTATCTCTTTATTGAGGATGCTTACTTTAGGATGATTTCTGCCAAGCTTTTCTTTGTGAAGATTCTCTTTTTCCCTTTGTAATCCCATTCCTCATAAAAATGTAAATTTATTCATTCATTCATATCTATATGGACTTATGGTATTTAGTCTCGTCTTTTATTTATAACTTTTTAGTAACTTTAGTGTGGAAGCTGTACCTTTTTTAAGGACTTTTTATAACAAATGTCAACAAACAGCCTGTGAGCTGGCTACCTGTTTTTGTAAATAAAGTTGTATTGGAACACAGTGATGCCCATTCATTTATGTATTATCTATGTTTGCTTTGATGCTGCAATGGCAGAGTCAAGTAGTTGCTATGGATACTATGTGGCCTACAAGCCCAAAATATTTATTATCTGGCTGAAAAAGTTTGCTGATGCCAGTAACTATTTTTTCTCTTTAAGAAACAATATCTTAATTGAATTTTTGTGTAAATTACCATATAAACATTCTCACTGTGGTGGATTACACAAATATTTAATGAACTTCTGTGCACTGGGGCAGTGGTTCCTAAACTGCGTGCAGAGGATGCTGCAGTGAACTCATAGGGAGTGATTTTTAACTTCCAGGGGAAACACAGTGAGATTTGACATCTCTGAGACTGTGGGCAAATTAGTAGCTCAAATAGTTTACCATTTCAACATGACCTCACACTATATTTGTTTCAATCACTTCCTATCTTTGAAAAGCTGAATTTTCAGTAGTTGTTGTAATAAAAATAAATACCTTGCCAAAATCAGTATCGAACAGGAAATGGGGATGGCAGTGTCCAATGTGATTCTCTGTTTGAGAAATTGTATAACGTCCTCCTGGTTCTACACATTCCATTGATAAGTAGTTGTGGTTATTTAAAAATGATATAAAATATTTTTTCTTTCTATTTACATATATTATTTTTTAATTGCTACTAAAGTGCTAGACCATGAATACTTATTAAATTGTTTGGACCAAACTACTTAGTAAACAGAGTTGTCACATATTTCTTTTGGCCTAGAGGCACTGTGAAAAAATCCCTGAGACTATTAGGTATCTTGAACTCACGAGTTTCTGTACTAGGATATATATTAGACAGTAGAGATGAAAAGATCAAAATCACAGTTCATGCCCTAAAGTTACTTGCAGTTGTCTGCAGAGGCAACCATGCAGCTGGATTACAGTGCAAAATGACAATCTAGAGAGATAAGATTACTAGATGGATCAATAGAGATATATGTTTGTGTCAACACACTTACACCCAGGGCAAAATGATATCAAAGAGCAAAGCAATCCCAAGTCTACCTGAAAAACAGAAAAGTTCCAAAGGAGAAAATAATTGACTCAAGACTTTAAGGGTGGTAAAGAAGAAGGAGGATGTATTTGTGGAAAATAAAGGCATGCAAAATGCAGAAGGAAGCTGAGAGAATATAGCAGCTGACAGGAGTTCAACATGGCTAAGCATTGAGTGTACATGGCTGAGGGACATAGAAGGAGACAACTATGTCTGACAGGCAAGGACAGGCAAGGACTAGGGCATTTTATATCATAATAAGGAGTTTAGATTTTTGTCTTGGACATAATAGGAGAAACCCTTGAAGAGTTTAAGGTAGTTAAATTGGATTTGCCTATTAAGAAGACTGTCTTTCTGGGTTCAGCCTTGAAGATAGATCGGAGAGGATGCGATGGGTGATGAGATGAGAAGCAAGGAGATTAATCAGAGTAAGAGTCTGGGAATCTGATCCAGAGGAATGGCAAGAGATAATATGATGCCATCTATCACTGGCCTCAACTCCTATTTTGCTTTATCTTTCTTCAGAAGAAGGGGTTTTAGTTTGTAAAGATTAGCATAAAGATTAATAAGATAAAAGTGAAGCTTAGGATAGGTAAATAAATAAGTTGGAACTCAGGCCCACATCTAGAGCAAGGGTTGGCAAATTTTATCTATAAAGGACCTGATAGTAAATATTTTAGGCTTTGGGGCCTGCATATTGTCTGTTGAAACTACTCAGTTTGCCCATTGTAGTATGAAAAAAGGCATGGACAATACATATATGAATAAGCATGATTCTGTTCCAGGAGAATGTTATTTAGAAAAACAGGTGGCTGACTTTGGCCTGTGGCCTAGAGTTTGGCAGTCCTTAATCTAGAGCACTGAATAAATCGCTGAACCACTGAGAGTTTTGTCTAGGTAGGGTTATAGAATAATGGAGCAGCTGAAAGGTAAGATGAAGTAACTTTTTTTTTTTTTGCAATATTGCTTTATTTATTTATTTGTTTATTTTTGATTATACTTTAAGTTCTGGGATACATGTGCAGAATGTGCAGGTTTGTTACATAGGTATACAGGTGCCATGGTGGTTTGCTGCACCTATCAACCCGTAATCTGCATTAGATATTTCTCCTAATGCTATCCCTCTCCTTGCCTCCACACCCCAACAGGCCCTGGTATGTGATGTTCCCCTCCCTGTGCCCATGTGTTCTCATTGTTAAACTCCCATTATGAATGAGAACATGCAGTGCTTGGTTTTCTGTCCTTGCAATAGTTTGCTCAGAATGATGGTTTCCAGCTTCATCCATGTCCGTACAAAGGACATGAACTCATTCTTTTTTATGGCTGCATAGTATTCCATGGTGTATACGTGCCACATTTTCTTTATCCAGCCTAAGATTGATGGGCATTTTGGTTCCAAGTCTTTGCTATTGTGAATAGTGCTGCAATAAACATACGTATGCATGTGTCTTTATAGTAGAATAACTTATAATCCTTTGGGTATATACCCAGTAATGGGATTGCTGGGTCAAATGGTATTTCTAGTTCTAGATCCTTGAGGAATTGCTGCACTGTCTTCCACAATGGTTGAACTAACTTACACTCCCACCAACAGTGTAAAAGCATTCCTATTTGTCCACATTCTCTCCGGCATCTGTTGTTTCCTGACTTTTGAATGATCACCATTCTAAATGGCATGATTTGCGTTTCTCTAATGTGGTTTGCTTTGCATTTCTCTAATGACCAGTGATGATGAGCTTTTTTTCATGTTTGATGGCTACATAAATGTCTTCTTTTGAGAAGTGTCTGTTCATATCCTTCCCCCACTTTCTGATGGGGTTGTTTGTTTCTTTCTTGTAAATTTGTTTACGTTCCTTGTAGATTCTGGATATTAGTCCTTTGTCGGATGGATAGATTGCAAAAATTTTCTTCCGTTCTGTAGGTTACCTGTTGACTCTGATGATAGTTTCTTTTGCTGTGCAGAAGCTCTTTTGTTTGATTAGGTCCCATTTGTCAATTTTGGCTTTTGTTACCGTTGCTTTTGGTGTTTTAGTCATGAAGTCTTCGCCCATGCCTATGTCCTGAATGGTATTGCCTAGGTTTTCTTCTAGGGTTTTCATGGTTTTAGGTCTTAAGTTTAAGTCTTTAATCTATTTTGAATTAATTTTTGTGTAAGGTGTAAGGAAGGGGTCCAGTTTCAGCTTTCTGCATATGGCTAGCCAGTTTTCCCAGCACCATTCATTAAATAGGGAATCCTTTACCCATTGCTTGTTTTTGTCAGGTTTGTCAAAGATCAGATGGTTGTAGATGTGTGGCATTATTTCTGAGGGCTCTGTTCTGTTCCATTGGTCTATATATCTGTTTTGGTACCAGTACCTTGTTGTTTTGGTTACTGTAGCCTTGTAGTATAGTTTGAAGTCAGGTAGCATGATGCCTCCAGCTTTGTTCATTTTCTTAGGATTGTCTTGGCTATATGGGCTCTTTTTTGGTTCTAAATGAATTTAAAGTAGTTTTTTCTAATTCTGTGAAGAAAGTCAATGGTAGCTTGATGGGATTAGCATTAAATATATAAATTACTTTGGGCAGTATGGCCATTTTCACTATATTGATTCTTCCTATCCACGAGCATAGAATGTTTTTCCATTTGTTTATGTCCTCTCTTATTTCCTTGAGCAGTGGTTTTTAGTTCTCCTTGAAGAGGTCCTTCACATCCCTTGTAAGTTGTATGCCTAGACGTTTTCTTCTGTTTGTAGCAATTGTGAATGGGAGTTTGCTCATGATTTGGCTCTCTGTCTATTATTGGTGTATAGGAATGCTTGTGATTTTTGGATATTGATTTTGTATCCTGAGACTTTGCTGAAGTTGCTTATCAGCTTAAGGAGTTTTGGGGCTGAGATGATGGGGTTTTCTAAATATACAATCATATCATCTGCAAACAGAGATAATCTGACTCCTGTCTTCCTATCTGAATACCCTTTATTTCTTTCTCTTGCCTGATTGCCCTGGCCGGAACTTCCAATACTATGTTGAATAGGAGTGGTGAGAGAGGGCATCCTTGTCTTGTGCCAGTTTTCAAAGGGAATGCGTCCAGCTTTTGCACATTCAGTATGATATTGGCTATGGGTTTGTCATAAATAGCTCTTATTATTTTGAGATATGTTCCATCAATACCTAGTTTGTTGAGTGTTTTTAGCATGAAGCGGTATTGAATTTTTATCGAAGGCCTTTTCTGCATCTATTGAGATAATCATATGGTTTTTGTCATTGGTTCTGTTTATGTGATGGATTACATTTATTGATTTGAGTATGTTGAACCAGCCTTGCATCCCAGGGATGAAGCTGGGTTGATCGTGGTGGATAAGCTTTTTAATGTGCTGCTGGATTCGGTTTGCCCCTATTTTACTGAGGATTTTCGCATTGATGTTCATCAGGGATACTGGCCTGAAATTTTCTTTTTTTGTTGTTGTTGTGTCTCTGCCAGGATTTAGTATCAGGATGATGCTGGCCTCATAAAATGAGTTAGGGAGGAGTCCCTCTTTTTCTATTGTTTGGAGTAGTTTCAGAAGGGATGCTACCTGCTCCTCTTTGTACCTCTGGTAGAATTCAGCTGTGAATCCATCTGGTCCTGGGCTTTTTTTGGTTGGTAGGCTATTAATTACTGCCTCAATTACAGAACTTGTTATTGGTCTATTCAGGGATTCAACTTCTTCATGGTTTAGTCTTGGGAGGGTATATGTGTCCAGGAATTTATCTGTTTCTTCTAGATTTTCTAGTTTATTTGCATAGAGGTGTTTATAGTATTCTCTGATGGTAGTTTGTATTTCTGTGGCATCAGTGGTGATCTCCCCTTTATCATTTTTTATTGTGTATATTTGATTCTTCTCTCCCTTCTTCTTTATTAATCTGGCTAGCAGTCTACCTATTTTGTTGATCTTTTCAAAAAATCAGCTCCTGGATTCATTGATTTTTTGAAGGGTCATTCGTTCTCTATCCCCTTCAGTTCTGCTCTGATCTTAGTTATTTCTTGTCTTCTACTACCTTTTGAATTTGTTTGCTCTTGCTTCTCTAATTCTTTCAATTGTGATGTTAGGGTGTCAATTTTAGATCTTTCCCACTTTCTTCTGTGGCCATTTAGTACTATAAATTTCCCTCTAAACACTGCTTTAGCACCCAGAGATTCTGGTACATTGTGTCTTTTTTCTCATTGGTTTCAAAGAACTTCTTTATTTCTCCCTTAAATTCATTATTTACCCAGTAGTCATTCAGGAGCAGGTTGTTCAGTTTCCATGTAGTTTTGTGGTTTTGAGTGTGTTTCTTAATCCTGAGTTCTAACGTGATTGCACTGTGGTCCGAGAGACTGTTTGTTGTGATTTCCATTCTTTTGCATGTTTTACTTCCAATTATGCGGTTGATTTTAGAATAAGTACGATGTGGTGCTGAGAAGACTGTATATTCTGTTGATTTGGGGTGGAGAGTTCTGTAGATGTCTATTAGGTCCACATGCTCCAGAGCTGAGTTCAAGTCCTGAATATCCTTGTTAATTTTCTGTCTTGTTAATCTGTCTAATATTGACAGTGGGGTGTTAAAATCTCCCATTATTATTGTGTGGGAGTCTAAGTCTCCTTGTGGGTCTCTAAGAAGTTGTTTTATGAATCTGAGTGCTCCTATATTGGGTGCATATGTATTTAGGATGGTTAGTTCTTCTTATTGCATTAGATCCCTTTATTATTATGCAATGCCCTTCTTTGTCTTTTTTGATCTTTGTTGGTTTAAAGTCTGTTTTGTCAGAGACTAGGATTGTAACCACTCCTTTTTTTTTTTTTTTTTTTTTGCTTTCCATTTCCTTGGTAAATCTTCCTCTATCACTTTATTTTGAGTCTATGTGTGTCTTTGCATGTGAGATGGGTCTGCTGAATACAGCACACCAATGGGTCTTGACTCTTTATCCAATTTGCCAGTCTGTTTCTTTTAACTGGGGCATTTAGCCCATTTACATTTAAGGTTAATATTGTTATGTGTGAAATTGATCCTGTAATTATGATGCTAGCTGGTGTTTTTTGCCCATTAGTTGATGCAGTTTCTTCATAGTGTCGATGGTCTTTACACTTTGGTTTGTTTTTGTAGTGGCTGGTACTGTTTTTTCCTTTCCATATTTAGTGCTTCCTTCAGGAGCTCTTGTAAGGCAGGCCTGGTGGTGACAAAATACCTCAGCATTTGCTTGTCTGTAAAGTATTTTATTTCTCCTTCACTTATGAAGCTTAGTTTGGCTGGATATGAAATTCTGGGTTGAAAATTCTTTTCTTTAAGAATGTTGAATATTGGCCCCCACTCTCTTCTGGCTTGTAGGGTTTCTGCAGAGAGATCCAATGTTAGTCTGATGGGCTCCCCTTTGTAGATAACGCAACCTTTCTCTCTGGCTGTGCTTAACATTTTTTCCTTCATTTCAACCTTGGTGTATCTGATGATTATGTGTCTTGAGGTTGATTTTCTTGAGGAGTATCTTTGTGGTGTTCTCCGTATTTCCTGAATTTGAATGTTGGCCTGTCTTGCTAGGTTGGGGAAGTTCTCCTGGATAATATCCTGAAGTGTGTTTTCCAACTTGCTTCCATTCTCCCCGTCACTTTCAGGTACAGCAATCAAATGTAGGTTTGGTCTTTTCACATAGTCCCATATTTCTTGGCTGCTTTGTTCATTCCTTTTCATTCTTTTTTCTCTAATCTTGTCTTCACGCTTCATTTCATTAAGTTGATCTTCAGTCTCTGATATCCTTTCCTCTGCTTGATCGATTTAGCTATTGATACTTGTGTACGCTTCACGAAATTCTTGTGCTGTGTTTTTCAGCTCCATCAGGTCATTTATGTTCTTCTCTAAACTGGTTATTCTTGTTAGCAGTTCCTGTAACCTTTTTTCAGGGTTCTTAGCTTCATTCCATTGGGTTAGAACATGCTCCTTTAGCCTGGAGGAGTTTGTTACTACCCACCTTCTGAAGCCTACTTCTGTCAATTCGTCAAACTCATTCTCCATCCAGTTTTGTTCCCTTGCTGGTGAGGAGTTGTGATCCTTTGGAGAAGTGGCATTCTGGTTTTTGGAATTTTCAACCTTTTTGTGCTGGTTTTTCCTCATCTTCGTGGATTTATCCACCTTTGGTCTTTGCTGTTGGTGACCTTTGGATGGAGTTTTTGCGTAGTTATCCTTTTTGTTGATGTTGATGCTATTGCTTTCTGTTTTTTCCCTTCTAACAGTCAGGCCCCTCTTCTGCAGGTCTGCTGGAGTTTGCTGGGGGTCCACTCCACACCCTGTTTGCCTGGGTGTCACCAGCAGATGCTGCAGAACAGCAAAACATTGCTGCCTGCTCTTTCCTCTGGAAGCTTCATCCCAGAGGGGCACCCGCCAGATGCCAGTTGGAGCTCTCCTGTATGAAGTGTCTGTCAACACCTGCTGGGAGGTATCTCCCCATCAGAAGGCAGGGGGGTCAGGGACCCACTTGAGGAGGCAGTCTGTCCCTTAGCAGAGCTCGAGCACTCTGCTGGGAGATCCGCTGCTCTCTTCAGAGCTGGCAGGCAGGAACATTTATGTCTGCTGAAGCTGTGCCCACAACCGCCACTTCCCCCAGGTGCTCTGTCCCAGGGAGATGGGAGTTTTATCTATAAGCTCTGAGTGGGGCTGCTGCCTTTCTTTCAGAGTTGCTGAGCTTAGAGAAGAGGAATCTAGAGAGGCAGTCAGTCTGGCTACAGTGACTTTGTGGCACTGTGGTTTTTTTAATGTCAAAAGTACAGAATATAAATTCCACAAATTGTGACAGTCAACTTGATGTTGATTCTGAAATAAATTTAAATTGCATTATTAAAAGATGGTTTGTGGCCCAGTGCGGTGGCTTACTCCTGTAATCCCAGTACTTTGGGAGGTTGAGGTGGGCGGATCACAAGGTCAGGAGATTGAGACCATCCTAGCCAACATGGTGAAACCCCATCTGTACTAAAAATACAAAAATTAGCTGGGCATGGTGGTGCGTGCCTGTAATCCCAGCTACTCGGGAGGCTGAGGCTGGAGAATCACTTGAACCAGGGAGTTGGAGGTTGCGGTGAGCCGAGATCGCGCCACTGCACTCCAGCCTGGCAACAGAAGGGGACTCTGTCTCAAAAAAATAAAATAATAAAATAAAATAAAAAGATGGTTTGTGAGTACTTAGGAATTGGTCACTAGGAGGCAGCATTAGCTCACTAAAAAACAATTCATGCCAGAAAAGAATTAGTTTCCTGACCTAGAAATTACAAATAGACCTTGTTAGAGGAGTGCTATAGACAGTGTTTTGGTATTTAAGCAAAGCATTTGGCAAAGTCTTTTATGGCATCATTTTGAGTAAATTGTATGACATGGTTATGTAGATTTTTGATTCAAGTATACTTACAGAACATGAAGTAATGGATTAATGCCAGCCTTTAGAGAAATCTGTACTGGCATGCCATGAGGCTTTTTTCCTCCAGTCCATTCTATTCACATTTTTATTAATGTCTAGGAGAAAATATTTGTTATTCTGGTAAAGTATGTGAATGACAGAAACTAGAGAAATTAGAGTTCTTGGTATATTGGTTGATCAAATGAGAATCCAAAAGTATCTCCATAGTCTAGAACAGGGTTTGGCAAACTACAGCCTATGGGCTAGATCCATCTGGCAGCCTGCTTTTTGTACAGCTCTCAAGCTAATAATGGCTTTTATGTTTTCAAAGCATTGTAAAAAAAAAAAAAAAGAACAACAAAGAAGGATATGAGATAGAGATCACATACAGCTCACAAAGCCTAAAATATTTACCATACTATCTGACCCTCTACAGAAAAAGTTTGTTTATGCCTAGTCTAGAAAAGTAAGCAGAATTTAACAACATAAAAAATAGATGAATTGAACATCCTGGACTTTATTCCATAACAACAATCAAGCAAAACAATTCTTAGCACAAATTCAGTATTATACAAGATTAGACTTAGCAGCGTGTGTTAAAGTGACTTGGAATTGCTAAATTCAAGTTCAATTAATTATGAGATGTGATTATTAAAAGTTAATATGGCTTAAAACAATATTCATTTATAGAAAAAGAGAATTCAGACAATGGAGACAGTCCCATCCCATTTTTTTCTACAGTGGTCAGATTACACCTGAACTATTACTAGTTTTAGAGGGCAGACAATAAACTAGAGCATTTCCAAAGAATCTGACATGATTAGTTGACAAAGGAGAAGACATAAGGAAGATATCCCAGTGATCTTCACCTGTTTTCACAACTATTCAAAAAAAGAGAGAACAGACACATGTTGAGGGGCTAGAACAAGGACCCTTATATAGAAAATTCTGGGAGGCAGAATTTTCCTTTTTATTTCTAAGGCAGCATTTTGTGAATGCAGGCAGTATTCTCACAATTCTGAAACAGGGTTGGGCGTGGTGGCTCATGCCTGTAATCCTAGCACTTTGGGAGGCCAAGGTGGGCAGATCACTTGAGTCAGGAGTTTGAGACCAGCTGGCCAACATGACAAAACCCTGTCTCTACAAAAAATACAAAAAATTTAGCCGAGTGTGGAGGCACACGCCTGTAGTACCAGAGACTTGGGGGACTGAGGCAGGAGGATCGCTTGAACCCAGGAGGTCAAAGCTGCAGTGAGCCAAGATCTCGCCACTGCACTCAAGCCTGGGGGACAGAATGAGATCCTGTCTCAAAACAAAACAACAACACAATTCAGAAACAAACAATGTCTAAAGTTTTCACCTCAAGCTCACATTTAATTGGCTTAGTGTGAACTTGTTTACAATTTGCTCTCCAAAAAAAAAAAGGAGCTCATCTCATGTGTACGTTTTCTGTTTTGGTAGACATTACTAATGTTCACCAATATGCTCTGGTTCTCCTCCTTTTTGACATGTGGGAAGATGTTTGGCCAATGAAATGTGAGCAGAAATAATGTATATCATTTCCAGGCAGAAGCATTTAAAAGCATGATTCTCATGCTTCCTTCCCATGTGGTAGTCACTGCGGAAGCCTATATAAAGTTGAGGATGCCATCAGATCATAGCACTCAGGAATACTTAGCCACTACATTGAAGACAGGTGCAGTGTTCTTTGCGTGATCAAGAAATAAACTTTTTTAAAGTCATAAGCCAGTGAAAGTTTTGAAGTTGTTACAGCAGCATAACCTATCCTGTTCTGACTATTTCCCTCCCCAGTATTTAACAGCTAATATCCCTGGACCAGAAGTCAGGTGACATGGCTTCTAATCTTCACTCTAACACTAGGTGTGACCCTGCAAAAAAATCAGTTTTGTTTGCTAAAAGTGATTGTTTGAGTAAAAATTATTGACCACCTCTTTGAGGGAAAAAACCCTGTGATTTTAAAGTCTGTTTTAATATTTTATATGTTCAAAGAAAATAATGTTTATAACTAAAGTATATGGTTAAAACACACCTTGCCATTTGATTTTTAAAATTTCATAAAATGCTGCCTATATTAGGACTACTATTATTTATTTTGGATCAGTCTTTTTCTTGTGTGATATGTGCATTGTTTTAGGCCTTAATATCTGCTAACAAAGTATAATCTAGGTTATCAAACACCTATTAAATCACTGCATGGCTTAATTGACTTGAAATTATTTCTATATTGGGTCTTCATGGCCAAAATGAAGTGAGGAAAAAGTAGTTTTTTGTCCCAGATCCCAGATTCCCCCCCCAACTTATTTATTTTTTTATTTTTATTTTTTGCTATGTAAAGGATATGGCTTTTGTCCCAGAAATTGGACTATTATCAAGAAGATACCAGAATTTTAGTTTTTCTTTCTTACCAACAGATTTATAACTTATCTTCACAATTAGAGGTTTTTTTTCTAAGTTTAGTTACTCTGTAATTATTTGGGCTGAAATATAGCTCTCAGATACATAAATTCCTTAAAATATTCAATATTTGAATTGATTTGGTGTAAATCCAGTTTTCCAAGGTTTAGCTTTCCTTTTAAGCCCTACTGCCTTTAATAGAAGCTCAAATTCTTTTCAAAAATCTGATGAAATCATCTCGTAAGTATGTGTAGTACGTGATCCATACAGTTTCCAGTACTGTTTGAAATTGGCTCTTTGAAAAAACAATCTGTTTCTAGTTCACATTTTATAGATGAGTCAACAATTGAACATCAATGTATTTTGCTCTTTTAAACACTTTATTCTGAAATAGATTGTACTCTGTAGGTACCAAGTCAGTATTTACTGAATAAAAGAATTTAACAGAATTATTAAACCAGATATTTTGTGAAGCTAGGATTCAAAGTTCTGCATTTTTAATTTAGTTTATTTCTCCTCATTACCTCTATTTAGTTTTTAAAAGTTAAGAATAATTATTTTCCAGCTGGGCATTGGTGGCTCACGCCTGTAATTGTAGCACTTTGGGAGGCTGAAGTGGGCAGATCACATGAGGCTAGGCGTTTGAGACCAGCCTGGCCAACATGGTAAAACCCTGTCTCTACTAAAAATACAAAAATTAGCCTGGCATGGTGGCACATGCCTGTAATCCCAGCTTCTTGGGAGGCTAAGACATGAGAATTGCTTGAACCCAGGAGGCGGAGGTTGCAGTGAGCTGACATTGCACCATGGCACTCCAAGCCTGGGCAACAAGCAAGACACAAGACTGTCTTAAAAAAATAATAATTATTATTATTTTCCATATTGTAAAAGACACTTTAAATTCACTAAAATTACATTACATTTCCATTTCCATTTCCTTTAAAACAACTAAATCATATGGCAGATCACTTCTGAGTTCTAAACTCTTCTTTATCTATCTAAAATCAGTAAAATTAATTTAAATACATCTTTATTATAAAAAAAATATGAATTTTGTTTCTAGCAGGCCATGGCTTCTGGTCCTGATCCTGGCCTTGTCACTAGCTATGTGACCTCATACAAGTTACTAATGTCTTGGAGCATTTGTTACCTTATTTCTAAAATTAGAGTTGTCTAGTATATGCTTTCTTAGTTTTCTTTTTAAACTCTGTGTTGGTTTCTGTTTGTGCATTTTTAAATATAATTATTTAATCTAGGTTTTTTCTTTGTTTTCAGGAGCATGTATAATGGCCCATCCTCTAGAACACATTTTCATAGTCTCTTTGACCTTCTTTAATTCTAATATAACATATATATACTGGTCAGCATAGGCTAGATTGTGCTGCAGTAACAGCTTCTCTAACTTCAGTGAATTAAAACAACAAAGTTTATTTCAGGCTTCTAATACCTGTCTGCCTATGATGTGTGATTTGGGATCTTTGCTCTATGTTGTCCTCATTCTAGTACTCAGGCTTTCAAAGTACCCACCTGTGGAGTTTTGCAGGTGCTGTAGCAAGGTGAGAGAGAGAATAGTTGTATCATACATTGTCTTTGAAAGTTTTCAACCAGAAGTAAATACATGTCACTTTTGTCCATATGACATTGGCCAAAGCAAGTCACATGGCCACATCTAACCTCAAGGGGGCTAGAAGTGCTATCTCACAATGTGTCTTGGATATGCAAAGACACAAGAATATTTGGTGAACAGCTTTTATGAATAACCATCAGGTTTTAAATCAAATGTTGAAATCTGGTAGGAGTATAAATTAGAACTGCATTTATGGAGGGCAGTTTGCAGACATATCAAAAGGATAGAAATATGTCTACCATTTGATACAGCAGTTTCGGTTTTAATAAATTACTGAACAGACATGGTTCATACATTCATAGAGCTTATTTTATGGCGTGGGAGGCAAGAGGGATAGCACCAGAAAAAATTAAAATGAAACAGGTTAAGTGCTATGATAGAGAAGTATGTAGGGTGATACTAAAACATATAGAAAACATTCTCATCCTCTATTTTCCAGTTGACTGATTCTCTCTTCAGCTGTGTATAATCTGCTATTAAATCTCCCTTTGTTGAATTTTAAATTTCAATTCTTATAATTTTTTGTTTCTAAAAGAGTTATTCTTCAAATCTGCTAAGTTACTTGTTATGGTTTCCTGTCTCTGAAGATGTTTTCAAGCTTGTCTTTTATGAATAAATTGTTTTCTCAAATTATCGTATTATTTTGAGTATCTACAAATCTTTTGGTAATGAAAATTAAAAGTTACGTGGTTATAATTTATTAAAATCTGACAGTCTTCGGGGGAAAAATTGTCCAGATTGTGTATATAGATTATAACCTTTAAAAAAATTGCTCATAGTGAATATTATAAACTGATACACAGAAATTGTAAGATTTGAGTTAGGTGTTTGGGATTATGACTGATTTTTAAGCATTTTTCTAAACTGTTTGTAAGGTTATTTTGTCATTTCTACTTTTTCCAGCTTTGTTGAGGTATGATTGATGAAACTATATAAAATTAAGGTGTACAGTGTGGTGATTTGATGTGTATGATAAAATGATTACCACAATCAAGTTAGTTAATATTTCTATCACTTCACCTGATTATCTTTTTTTTTTTGTAGTTAGAACATATAAGATCTATTCTCTTAGCAAATGCCAAGATTACAATACAAGATTATTAACTACGGTCATCATGCTATATTTCATAGCTTTTAGAATTTAAAAAATGAGACTGGGCAACACAATTTAAAAACAAACCAAAAGTAATTATATTAATGGGGAGTAATTTATTAATATAATTGGAGTTTTAAAAGATATTTACCCTGGTTTTTTCATCAAAAAGTTCTGATTTTCTATCACAGATCCAGTCAACATTGTTAGATGTATCACTTTTATCCTTCTTACCTTGATGATAGAAAGTTTAAACCTATGTGGAACCATGATGCACAGCGTACAAAAGGAAAATGATGCAAACATACTTCTCCTTTTCTTCTCATTCTTTTTTCTTTCTTGTATGAGCTAGGTTCACGTCACCTCCAGAGTTGGGAATAGAGTTAGGAATGCACAGATTTTTAGCATTAAGAGGAAAGAAGAAAATAAAGAGAAACATACTAAATTTTTCTTTGAGAGTATATTTTCTGCTAGTAAATACTATGCCTCTCAAGAAGAAAACTGTGCTTAATAGGACCAATGATATTTAGCATTAAAAAATGGTTAAACTCTTCATAATACTTTTCGGAAAATGTCTTTTAGGAAGAAGAAAGGCGTATGGCATCTGTTTTAGCCAAAAAAGAGGAAGAGAAGAAGCGGGAAAGTCATAAACAATCTTTGCTTAAGGTATTTTCTCTGATGTCTACATGGATGTGTGTGCACACGTAGACACACATACCCCAAAGCCAGCTAGCTAGTCTACTGGAAAAGTGGTTTCTAAACTTTGTAAGTTTTTTGTTCCTATCAACAGAATGTACGTACCCCTAAAACTTTTACAAGTTATTACCTATAAATAAACCTGTACTTAAGAAATAAAATATGATATACATTATAAAATAAATGCAAAGGCTAGTTTTAAAAGGAAGAGATGATAAATAAATATAATTGAAGTTATAACACTTTTATTTCATACCAGTGCATCATCTTGTGTATCCCATGGCCTATTCACTTCCTTTTGGAACGTACTGTAATTGACTGTCATCTTTACTGATATATTTTAATGAGCTCTGCTACGTTTTTTTTTTTTAATGATAGCTTTTTAAATTTAAAAAGTTTATGATATAGAAGTGATAAAGATTTTGTGGAACTTAGGAATGAAAATTTGTTTTAAACTGGTTTTAAATGATTTAGCAGATATTAATTTCCTTAAATAAAATATTCTCTTTTAAATATTTTATATTAACATTGCAAAGTATAAGTAAAGGCAGCTTTAAGTTTATAGTTCATAATATGCATCATGCTGTGTTCTAAAATTAAGGACATCACCCTGATTATCATTACTCATTCATGTTCTATATAGATGCTTTTCTTTTTAAAATTAAAGTGGCACTCAGAATTCAAAAAAATGACTAGCCAGGCAAGGTGGTATGTACCTGAAGTCTTAACTACTTGGGAGGCTAAGGTAGAGGATTGCTTGAGCCCAGGAATTAAGTCCAGCTTGGAAAATACAGTGAGACAAAACAAAATGTCACTAAATAGGACTCTTTAGTTACGAGGTTTACTTAGTATTTTTATTTTTAGTAAGAGGAAAAGCATGGGGAATCAGGAGACCCAGGTTCTAGCCCTAGCTCAGATTTGGAATCATGATACAACAGACCCTCAGCATTTGCTGAGGATTGCTCGTGCAACTCTACATATTGATCATTAAGAAAATGGGATGGACATTCTCAGCAAACTAACACAGGAACAGAAAACCAAACACTGCATGTTCTTACTCATGAGTGGGAGTTGAACAATGAGAACACATGGACACAGGGAGGGGAACATCACACACCGGGGCCTGTTGGAGGGTGGGGGGGCTAGGGGACGGATAGCATTAGGAGAAATACCTAATGTAGATGACGGGTTGATGGGTGCAGCAAACCACCATGGCACATGTATACCTATGTAACAAACCTGCACGTTCTGCATATGTATCCTAGAACTTAAAGTATAATTTAAAAAAAAAAAGAATGCTAAAAAATAAAAAAAAGAAAATGGAATGGATTGGTTACAGGAAGAGTGTATAGATACTGTCTTCTGCCTTGTTGCTTTTCTATTTTTTTTATTTTCCTTGTAACCTTAGAAGTGAAGGAAAGTGAAACTTATGGCATATACTGGTATGGTCTTGCCTGGACTATGAAAAGTAGACTCAAATGGCAGAAACTGGAATTTGGCACCTTCTAAAATATTTGTCACTTTAGCACAGACTTGGCCATTTATTGGCACCTAGCTATTAGAAACATAATTGTCGCTGATATCCCAAATGCTTCTGTGATCTTTACACTTTACTTTGGGTACCCCCTTATGCCTTGCAGAATCTCTAGCATTCTCTAACCTTTCTTTTGCTTCTTCTTTTTTTTTTTTTTTTTTTTCCTCCACAGATGCATAGAGCCCTTATGTGTCCTCCTGGCCAGCCATTAATCCCCACCTGACATTAAGACAGGCTATACTCCTGTCTTAAAATATGTCTTCCCTTTTCCGGGCCCCAGTAAAATTAATCATTCTCTTAGTCAACCTGGTAATGATCTGATTTTAATAACCCAAATTAAAGAAGCTTAACTTTTGCACTAATATAGGAAAACGTTTGCATTTTCAAAGATTATCTTATTATAAATTTAACATACTCAGTGGTCTAAAGATATTTTATGCCCTTTTTCTAAGCACTGCTTTATCTATGTCATTCTGAGTATTTCTTTCGCCTACCCCTGCCAGCCAGAAATCCAAAAGCATGAAGCCAACTGAGAACCATCAGCCATTAACTCACTGCCCTGGCCTCTTTCAAAGTGGCCTTGATACTGAGTAAAAAAAACAGAGTTGCTTAGATTACAAATTGGGTTGGCATAGTCATCAGCAAGTAACTTAAATAGAATTCCTTAAGGTAAGAAGCATTTTTATTATAGAATGGGGAAAAAATGTTTTTACAATAGGAATTGCAGATTTCTACTTGCTTTATATAAGGAGCACATACATAGAATGTCAGAAAGTCTCCAAAGTATATACATATTAAATATAACCCACTGAATTGTACACAAAATTTTGAAACACCAAACAACAGAAAAAAAGAAAGCCAGGCCCAAAACATTTTTTTTAGAGATGGGGTCTTGCTGTGTTGCCCAGGCTGGAATGCAGTTCACAGGTGTGACTGTAGCACACTACAGCTTTCAACTCCTGGGTTCAAGCAGTCCTCCTGCATTAGCCTCCCAAGTAGTTGAGATTTCAAGTGTGCACCACTGCACTCCCCCAGAAAACATGTTTAAAACAGAAATAGAACTTTTAAAACTTTAGTTTTAATTAAGCAAGCCATATCACTTTTTATTCCTATCTAATGCCATGCATACATGCTAAAATCTTAGATAACCAAAAATTATGCAAACATATGCAAAGAGGTACAACTAAAAAGAATTATTCTACATGTACTGAAGGAGTGGACAGAGAATCTTCCTACTAGCCTTCTGTGGCTTCAGGGCCAGCAGGTGAAGAGGGGTCAGTATCACACTCAGCTGATTTTTCAATGCAGGATTGTAGTCTTAGTAAAGAGGAAAAGGAAAGTGTCTGTTTTCAGCATTCTGATCTAATTGACAAGCTGTAATTAAATATTATCTTTTGATAATGGAAACTTTACCAGAATAGGGATTTTTTTTTCTATTAATATATATAAATTGAATAGAAACGTTTCAATTTAGCACAATTTCTTTCAGTAGTCTAGATCTGCTTTTTCACAAGAGGGTTTCTATGAGATGACTGAGCTCCAATGCTGGAAGTCAGTGGTTCTCAAAGTGAGGTTCATGAACTAGCAATATTAGAATACTTAGGAGAATTCAAATTCTCAAACCCTATGCCCAAAACTCTAAATCAGCAATCTGTTATAAGCTCCAGGTGATTTGAGGTACCCTGAAATTTGAGAACCACTACCTTAAGACATCCGTTGCTTATAATGAATTAATTTCTTTCCTACTCATCTGGAATGGTACTAGTTATCTAGAGACATTTCAACCTAGTACAATTTCTTTTAATAGTCTAGAGAATAATTTTTAAATTTCAGACAGTATAATTTATTCTGAGAAACTTGGAACATTGATCAACTCCTTCCCTTCCCCCCCTCCAAGATTATTTCACCTTACCAGTCTTAATTATTGAGTAGAAAAACTAAAATATCATTAGTTTTTTCTTACTGTGTTAGAGGCATATAAATTTCTGTTTAAAACTTCAGATAACATTAAGTATGTAAAAATTTATGTGAAATTAAAACTTCAGATTTTGAATTTTTAATCTCTAGTTGGTTGTATATTTATTTTTAATAAAATTAAGTTCCTAAAGAGCAATAATTGTTTGCATTTTTTTCCTTTAGAGTTAGATAATTATTGAGATTTTTGGATGCAGAGAGTAAATACAGGCCTCTTGAATCTTGTTTTAGAATGTATTGGGTATCTACTTAAAAGGAACAGGCTCCTTTTAAAAGTATTATAAGAAGGCACAAACAATATGCCCCTTAGATGTCACTTCTGCTACAAAAATTGCATTATATAACTTTTGTCACAATTAACTTTTTCATAGGAGAAGAAAAGGTTAACAATTAACAACGTAGCTCGACAGTGGGACTTGCAACAACAACGAGTAGCCAATATTGCTACAAATGAAGATAGAAAAGATTCTGACTCTCCTCAGGACCCCTGTCAGATTGATGGAAGCACCCTCTCTGCATTCCCAGAGGAAACAGGGTATGCAATGGTATTTTTTCAAGATACAAGCATCTTTGATAATTGAATTTGGAGTGGGAATTAGAAACCATTTTACATATAATTATTTTAAAAGGGTTTTCTTAAGAAAACTTGCTGAAATTAGAAATTAAGATGGAAAAGTTGAAAATATAAATCTTACTATAACATTCTCCAAATTAAAACATGCTTCATAGGGCATTTCATATTTTTTATAGGGAAAAGTCTAGATTTCTTAATATAGTCTATGATGTCTTTTGCCCACTTCATCTCTTTTATCTCATGCCATCAACCATGTTCTTCTGCTATTGCAGCATCACTGTCTGTCTTTCAGTTCAGTTACTTCCTACTTCAGAACATTTCTTTTTTATTATTATTACTATTATTATTATACTTTAAGTTTTAGGGTACATGTGCACAATGTGCAGGTTAGTTACATATGTATACATGTGCCATGCTGGTGTGCTGCACCAATTAACTCGTCATTTAGCATTAGGTATATCTCCTAAAGCTATCCCTCCCCCCTCCCCCCACCCCACAACAGTCCCCAGAGTGTGATGTTCCCCTTCCTGTGTCCATGTGTTCTCATTGTTCAGTTCCCACCTATGAGTGAGAATACGCGGTGTTTGGTTTTCTGTTCTTGCGATAGTTTACTGAGAATGATGATTTCCAATTTCATCCATGTCCCTACAAAGGACATGAACTCATCATTTTTTATGGCTGCATAGTATTCCATGGTGTATATGTGCCACATTTTCTTAATCCAGTCTATCATTGTTGGACATTTGGGTTGGTTCCAAGTCTTTGCTATTGTGAATAGTGCCGCAATAAACATACGTGTGCATGTGTCTTTATAGCAGCATGATTTATAGTCCTTTGGGTGTATACCCAGTAATGGGATGGCTGGGTCAAATGGTATTTCTAGTTCTAGATCCCTGAGGAATCGCCACACTGACTTCCACAATGGTTGAACTAGTTTACCGTCCCACCAACAGTGTAAAAGTGTTCCTATTTCTCCACATCCTCTCCAGCACCTGTTGTTTCCTGACTTTTTAATGATTGCCATTCTAACTGGTGTGAGATGGTATCTCATTGTGGTTTTGATTTGCATTTCTCTGATGGCCAGTGATGATGAGCATTTTTTCATGTGTTTTTTTGGCTGCATAAATGTCCTCTTCAGAAGTGTCTGTTCATGTCCTTCGCCCACTTTTTGATGGGGTTGTTTGTTTTTTTCTTGTAAATGTGTTTGAGTTCATTGTCGATTCTGGATATTAGCCCTTTGTCACATGAGTAGGTTGGGAAAATTTTCTCCCATTTTGTAAGTTGCCTGTTCACTCTGATGGTAGTTTCTTTTGCTGTGCAGAAGCTCTTGAGTTCAATTAGATCCCATTTGTCAATTTTGGCTTTTGTTGCCATTGCTTTTGGTGTTTTAGACATAAAGTCCTTGCCCATGCCTATGTCCTGAATGGTAATGCCTAGGTTTTCTTCTAGGGTTTTTATGGTTTTAGGTCTAACATTTAAGTCTTTAATCCATCTTGAATTAATTTTTGTATAAGGTGTAAGGAAGGGATCCAGTTTCAGCTTTCTACATATGGCTAGCCAGTTTTCCCAGCACCATTTATTAAATAGGGAATCCTTTCCCCATTGCTTGTTTTTCTCAGGTTTGTCAAAGATCAGATAGTTGTAGATATGCGGCGTTATTTCTGAGGGCTCTGTTCTGTTCCATTGATCTATATCTCTGTTTTGGTACCAGTATCATGCTGTTTTGGTTATTGTAGCCTTCCTTGTAGTATAGTTTGAAGTCAGGTAGCGTGATGCCTCCAGCTTTGTTCTTTTGGCTTAGGATTGACTTGGCGATGTGGGCTCTTTTTTGGTTCCATATGAACTTTAAAGTAGTTTTTTCCAATTCTGTGAAGAAAGTCATTGGTAGCTTGATGGGGATGGCATTGAATCTATAAATTACCTTGAGCAGTATGGCCATTTTCATGATATTGATTCTTCCTACCCATGAGCATGGAATGTTCTTCTATTTGTTTGTATCCTCTTTTATTTCATTGAGCAGTGGTTTGTAGTTCTCCTTGAAGAGGTCCTTCACATCCCTTGTAAGTTGGATTCCTAGGTATTTTATTCTCTTTGAAGCAATTGTGAATGGGAGTTCACTCATGATTTGGCTCTCTGTTTGTCTGTTATTGGTGTATAAGAATGCTTGTGATTTTTGCACATTGATTTTGTATCCTGAGACATTGCTGAAGTTGCTTATCAGCTTAAGGAGATTTTGGGCTGAGACATTGGGGTTTTCTAGATATACAATCATGTCATCTACAAACAGGGACAATTTGACTTCCTCTTTTCCTAATTGAATACCCTTTATTTCCTTCTCCTGCCTAATTGCCCTGGCCAGAACTTCCAACACTGTGTTGAATAGGAGTGGTGAGAGAGGGCATCCCTGTCTTGTGCCAGTTTTCAAAGGGAATGCTTCCAGTTTTTGCCCATTCAGTCTGATATTGGCTGTGGGATTGTCATAGATAGCTCTTATTATTTTGAGATACGTCTCATCAATACCTAATTTATTGAGAGTTTTTAGCATGAAGGGCTGTTGAATTTTGTCAAAGGCCTTTTCTGCATCTATTGAGATAATCATGTGGTTTTTGTCTTTGGTTCTGTTTATATGCTGGATTACATTTATTGATTTGCGTATATTGAGCCATCCTTGCATCCCAGGGATGAAGCCCACTTGATCATGGTGGATAAGCTTTTTGATGTGCTGCTGGATTCGGTTTGCCAGTATTTTATTGAGGATTTTTGCATCAATGTTCATCAAGGATATTGGTCTAAAATTCTCTTTTTTGGTTGTGTCTCTACCCGGCTTTGGTATCAGGATGATGCTGACCTCATAAAATGAGTTAGGGAGGATTCCCTCTTTTTCTATTGATTGGAATAGTTTCAGAAGGAATGGTACCATTTCTTCCTTGTACCTCTGGTAGAATTCGGCTGTGAATCCATCTGGTCCTGGACTCTTTTTGGTTGGTAAGCTATTGATTATTGCCACAATTTCAGCTCCTGTTATTGGTCTATTCAGAGAGTCAACTTCTTCCTGGTTTAATCTTGGGAGGGTGTATGTGTCGAGGAATTTATCCATTTCTTCTAGATTTTCTAGTTTATTTGCATAGAGGTGTTTGTAGTATTCTCTGATGGCAATTTGTATTTCTGTGGGATCGGTGGTGATATCCCCTTTATCATTTTTTATTGCGTCTATTTGATTCTTCTCTCTTTTCTTCTTTATTAGTCTTGCTAGCGGTCTATCAATTTTGTTGATCCTTTCAAAAAACCAGCTCCTGGATTCATTAATTTTTTGAAGGGTTTTTTGTGTCTCTATTTCCTTCAGTTCTGCTCTGATTTTAGTTATTTCTTGCCTTCTACTAGCTTTTGAATGTGTTTTCTCTTGCTTTTCTAGTTCTTTTAATTGTGATGTTAGGGTGTCAATTTTGGATCTTTCCTGCTTTCTCTTGTGGGCATTTAGTGCTATAAGTTTCCCTCTACACACTGCTTTGAATGTGTCCCAGCGATTCTGGTATGTTGTGTCTTTGTTCTCGTTGGTTTCAAAGAACATCTTTATTTCTGCCTTCATTTTGTTATGTACCTAGTAGTCAATCAGGAGCAGGTTGTTCAGTTTCCATGTAGTTGAGCGGTTTTGAGTGAGTTTCTTCATCCTGAGTTCTAGTTTGATTGCACTGTGGTCTGAGAGATAGTTTGTTATAATTTCTGATCTTTTACATTTGCTGAGGAGAGCTTTACTTCCAACTATGTGGTCAATTTTGGAATAGGTGTGGTGTGGTGCTGAAAAAAATGTATATTCTGTTGATTTGGGGTGGAGAGTTCTGTAGATGTCTATTAGGTCTGCTTGGTGCAGAGCTGAGTTCAATTCCTGGGTATCCTTGTTAACTTTCTGTCTCATTGATCTGTCTAATGTTGACAGTGGGGTGTTAAAGTCTCCCATTATTATTGTGTGGGAGTCTAAGTCTCTTTGTAGGTCACTCAGGACTTGCTTTATGAATCTGGGTGCTCCTGTATTGGGTGCATATATATTTAGGATAGTTAGCTCTTCTTGTTGAATTGATCCCTTTACCATTATGTAATGGCCTTCTTTGTCTCTTTTGATCTTTGTTGGTTTAAAGTCTGTTTTATCAGAGACTAGGATTGCAACCCCTGCCTTTTTTTGTTTTCTATTTGCTTGGTAGATCTTCCTCCATCTTTTTATTTTGAGCCTATGTGTGTCTCTGCATGTGAGATGGGTTTCCTGAATACAGCACACTGATGGGTCTTGACTCTTTATCCAGTTTGCCAGTCTGTGTCTTTTAATTGGAGCATTTAGTCCATTTACATTTAAAGTTAATATTGTTATGTGTGAATTTGATCCTGTCATTATGATGTTAGCTGGTTATTTTGCTCATTAGTTGATGCAGTTTCTTCCTAGTCTCGATGGCCTTTACAATTTGGCATGATTTTGCAGTGGCTGGTACCGGTTGTTCCTTTCCATGTTTAGTGCTTCCTTCAGGAGCTCTTTTAGGGCAGGCCTGGTGGTGACAAAATCTCTCAGCATTTGCTTGTCTGTAAAGTATTTTATTTCTCCTTCACTTATGAAGCTTAGTTTGGCTGTATATGAAATTCTGGGTTGAAAATTCTTTTCTTTAAGAATGTTGAATATTGACCCCCACTCTCTTCTGGCTTGTAGAGTTTCTGCTGAGAGATCTGCTGTTAGTCTGATGGGCTTCCCTTTGTGGGTAACCTGACCTTTCTCTCTGGCTGTGCTTAACATTTTTTCCTTCATTTCAACTTTGGTGAATCTAACAATTATGTGTCTTGGAGTTGCTCTTCTCGAGGAGTATCTTTGTGGCATTCTCTGTATTTCCTGAATCTGAATGTTGGCCTGCCTTGCTGGATTGGGAAAGTTCTCCTGGATAATATCCTGCAGAGTGTTTTCCAACTTGGTTCCATTCTCCCCATCACTTTCAGGTACACCAATCAGACGTAGATTTGGTCTTTTCATATAGTCCCATAGTTCTTGGAGGCTTTGTTCGTTTCTATTCTTTTTTTTCTAAACTTCCCTTCTTGCTTCATTTCATTCATTTCATCTTCCATCACTGATATCCTTTCTTCCAGTTGATCGCATCGGCTCCTGAGGCTTCTGCATTCTTCACGTAGTTCTCGAGCCTTGGCTTTCAGCTCCATCAGCTCCTTTCAGCACTTCTCTGTATTGGTTATTCTAGTTATACATTCGTCTAAATTTTTTTCAGTTTTCAACTTCTTTGCCTTTGGTTTGAATTTCCTCCTGTAGCTCGGAGTAGTTTGATCATCTGAAGCCTTCTTCTTTCAACTCGTCAAAGTCATTCTCCGTCCAGCTTTGTTCCATTGCTGGTGAGGAGCTGTGTTACTTTGGAGGAGGAGAGGCGCTCTGCTTTTTAGAGTTTCCAGTTTTTCTGCTCTGTTTTTTCCCCATCTTTGTGGTTTTGTCTACTTTTGGTCTTTGATGATGGTGATGTACAGATGGGTTTTTGGTGTGGATGTCCTTTCTGTTTGTTAGTTTTCCTTCTAACAGACAGGACCCTCAGCTGCAGGTTTGTTGGAGTTTGCTAGAGGCCCACTCCAGACCCTGTTTGCCTGGGTACCAGCAGCGGTGGCGGCAGAACAGCGGATTTTTGTGAACCGCGAATGCTGCTGTCTGATCGTTCCTCTTGAAGTTTTGTCTCAGAGGAGTACCCGGCTGTGTGAGGTGTCATTCTGCCCCTACTGGGGGGTGCCTCCCAGTTAGGCTGCTCGGGGGTCAGGGGTCAGGGACCCACTTGAGGAGGCAGTCTGCCCGTTCTCAGATCTCCAGCTGCGTGCTGGGAGAACCACTGCTGTCTTCAAAGCTGTCAGATAGGGACATTTAAGTCTGCGGAGGTTACTGCTGTCTTTTTGTTTGTCTGTGCCCTGCCCCCAGAGGTGGAGCCTACAGAGGCAGGCAGGCCTCCTTGAGCTGTGGTGGGCTCCACTCAGTTGGAGCTTCCTGGCTGCTGTGTTTACCTAAGCAAGCCTGGGCAATGGCAGGCTCCCCTCCCCCAGCCTCGCTGCTGCCTTGCAGTTTGATCTCAGACTGCTGTGCTAGCAATCAGTGAGACTCCGTGGGCATAGGACCCTCCGAGCCAGGTGCGGGATATAATCTCCTGGTGCGCCGTTTTTTAAGCCCATCGGAAAAGCACAGTATTGGGGTGGGAGTGACCCAATTTTCCAGGTGCCATCTGTCACCGCTTTCTTTGACTAGGAAAGGGAACTCCCTGACCCCTTGCACTTCCCAAGTGAGGCAATGCCTCACCCTGCTTCGGCTCATGCATGGTGCGCTGCACCCACTGTCCTGCGCCCACTGTCTGGCACTCCCTAGTGAGATGAACCCAGTACCTCAGATGGAAATGCAGAAATCACCCGTCTTCTGCGTCACTCACGCTGGGAGCTGTAGACCGGAGCTGTTCCTATTCGGCCATCTTGGCTCCAGCCAGAACCTTTCTTATAGGGATAGTGTTTTTCTGCCCTAACACCAATCACTTCCCTGCACTATTTCTCTGATCCCGCCCTAGCTAACTTCAGCAAACCCACAGAGGTCTGAAGTTTAAACTTCACATGTTCCAAAAAAGCCTTCCCTAACTCCAAGTTGGTAGGTAGTTGTTTCATGTGTGTCTTCCCCATTAGAATGTAAGCTTCATGAGGAAAGGAATCCTGCTTGATTGACTTGACTCCTGCTGTGTCCTCAGCAGCCAGCACAAAACCTTCCTCTTTAACTACTGGTAGTAAGCAATTGGGCATATAATCTGAAAGTTACTCCAGCTGTGATCTATACTATCTGTCTATTCCAGTGGCTCACAACCTCTTTTCTTCTATGATACATTTATCACATGATAATATATCCCTAGGTTTATGAGCAATGCTGAATGCATTATCTAGACTCCACATGTTTCTCTTCCTCTTAGAAAAGCATATTGGAATCAAGTAAATTCAGAGGGACATAAAGCATTTATATCTTTATAGTGCATGTATAATTTAAATATATATTTGTACAGCTGTCCCTCAGTATCCACAGGGGATTGGTTCCCTGCAAATACCCAAATCTGCAGATACTCAATTCCCTTATATAAAATGGGATAGTATTTGCATATAACCTATATTCTTCCTGCCATATACTTGAAATCATCTCTGGATTACTTAAATAGTATTTAATACAGTGCCTACACATCACTCCATTTGCATGGATTTGGTATAGTACTCAGCATGTGGCAAGTTCAAGTTTTGCTTTTGGAACTTTGTGGAATTTTTTTCGGATATTTTTGATCCATTTGGTTTAATCTATGGATGCAGAACCCACTGATACTGAGGGCTGACTATATTTACATAATTTTAAAATAAAGCCTAAAAATCAAAGATAGAATACATTTTAGTTTTGTTTAATTTGATGAAGCATATGTGTCTTATTACCTTAACTAAACTCTGAAACACCTTTTAAAACTAAATATAATATAGCTTTTACTTCAGGTTTTTAGCTGGAATTCTTTAAGCCTTTCATATGCAAAAAATATATAGTAAAGGAAGTAATTTGAGTGACATGAGAATAATGTTTTGGAAATTGTCTGTAGTTAGAGTCTAACATATATTTAGGCAAATATGCTTTTTAAATTTTAGTTATAGAATTAACTTATATCAGTGTATTTCCTTCAGCTCACTTGGGATCCACATGTAGACCTTGTCAGCTCTTTCAGCTACAAAAATAAATCAAGAATAAAAATTCAATCACTGATACCCTTGCTTCCAGTTGATTGAATTGGCTGCTGAAGCTTGTGCATTCATCACATAGTTCCCGTGCCATGGTTTTCAGCTCCATCAGGTCATTTAAGGACTTCTCTACACTGGTTATTCTAGTTAGCTATTTGTCTAATCTTTTCTCAAGGTTTTTAGCTTGTTTGCAATGGGTTCGAACTTCCTCCATTAGCTCGGAGAAGTTTGATCGTCTGAAGCCTTCTTCTCTCAACTCGTCAGTCATTCTCCGTCCAGCTTTGTTCCGTTGCTGGCGAGGAGCTGCGTTCCTTTGGAGGGGGAGAGGCGCTCTGATTTTTAGAATTTTCAGCTTTTCTGCTCTGTTTTTTCCCCATCTTTGTGGTTTTATCCAACTTTGGTCTTTGATGATGGTGACGTACAGATGGGGTTTTGGTGTGGATGTCCTTTCCGTTTGTTAGTTTTCCTTCTAACAGTCAGGACCCTCAGCTGTAGGTCTGTTGGAGTTTGCTGGAGGTCCACTCCAGACCTTGTTTGCCCAGGTATCAGCAGCAGAGGCTGCAGAACAGCAAATATTGCTGAACAGCAAATGTCCACTCCAGACCTTGTTTGCCTGGGTATCAGCAGCAGAGGCTGCAGAACAGCGAATATTGCTCAACAGAAAATGTTGCTGTCTGATTGTTCCTCTGGAGGTTTCGTCTCAGAGGGGTACCTGGCTGTGTGAGGTGTCAGTCTGCCCCTACTCGGGGGTGCCTCCCAGTTAGGCTACTCGGGGGTCAGGGACCCACTTAAGGAGGCAGTCTGTCTGTTCTCAGATCTCAAACTCCATACTGGGAGAACCTCTACTCTTCAAAGCTGTCAGACAGGGACATTTAAGTCTGCAGAGGTTTCTGCCGCATTTTGTTCAGCTATGCCCTGCCTGCAGAGGTGGAGTCTACAGAGGCAGGCAGGCCTCCTTGAGCTGCGGTGGGTTCCACCCAGCTCGAGCTTGCTGGCTGCTTTGTTTACCTACTCAAGCCTCAGCAATGGTGGGTGCCCCTCCGCAAGCCTCGCTGCCACCTTGCAGTTAGATCTCAGACTGCCATGCTAGCAATGAGCGAGGCTCTGTGGACGTAGGAACCCTCCTAGCCATGTGCGGGATATAATCTCCTGGTGTGCCATTTGTTAAGACCGTTGGAAAAGTGCTGTATTAGGGTGGGAGTGACCTGATTTTCCAGGTGCCGTCTGTCACAGCTTCCCTTGGCTAGGAAAGGGAATTCCCTGACCCTTTGCCCTTCCCAGGTGAGGTGATGCCTCACCCTGCTTTGGCTCACGCTTGGTGGGCTGCACTCACTGTCCTGCACCCACTGTCCAACAAGCCCCAGTAAGATGAACCCAGTACCTCAGTTGGAAATGCAGAAATCACCTGTCTTCTGCACTCACGCTGGGAGCTGTAGACTGGAGCTGTTCCTATTCGACCATCTTGGAACTGCCTGGCCTAGTGTCAAGAATAAAAATTCTAATGAAGTGACAATTTATGTAACTAATATACCACTCTTATATAGCCCTAGAGCTATATTTAATATTATTTAAATGGCAAAATATAATTTTACTTGGTTAGAACTATAATACTTTATAATGTTAAAACTTTATAGCATTGGGCTTTAGATTTATGAAATAATACAGGTCAGTTCTATTTCTAATTTCTTTTTTAAAAATTATTTTTCAGTTTCAAGTTTATCCAAGTAATATGGAATTTAATATTCTAAAATTATAATAAGGTTTTAGAAGTTAGTCCTTCAATCCGTCAAATTTTTTTCTTTCTTCTTTTGGAGATGGAGTCTCGCTGTGTCTCCCAGGCTGGAGGGCAGTGGTGCGATGTTGGCTCACGGCAACCTTTGCCTCCCAGGTTCAAGTGATGCTCCTGCCTCAGCCTCTTGAGTAGCTGGGATTTTCCAGGTGCCCACCACCACACCTGGCTAATTTTTGTATTTTTAAAAGAGGCAGGGTTTCACCATGTTGGCCAGGCTGGTCTCGAACTCCTGATCTCAAGTGATCCTCCTGCCTCGGCTTCCCAAACTGCTAGGATTACAGGCTTGAGCCACCGCACATGGCCTCAAACTTATTTTTATACACAATGTTAGATAAGGGTCTAACTTGATTTTATTTCAATTGACTAGTCAATTTGCTAATAACCTTTTAAAAATTAAACTTCTTTTTTCATGAGAATGCCATCTTTATCTCATGTTAAGATTTTGTAAATATGTGCACATATTTCTGGACTATCCATTTCACTTATCTGTTTTAATGCCAACACCAGACTCTTTTGATTATAGTAATTTTGTAGTAAGTTTTCACAACTTGTAGGGGAAATAGGTTTCCACTGTTCTTTTCAAGTTTCAATTGTCACACACCTATTCTTCCATATGAGCTTTATTTATTTATTTATTTATTTATTTATTGAGACAGGGCCTCACTCTGTCTCCCAGGCTGAAGTGCGGTGGCATGATCTCGGCTCACTGCAACCTCCGCCTCCCAGGCTTGAGCAGTCCTCCCACCTCAGCCTTCCAAATAGCTTGGACAATAGGTGCACACCTCTATGTCCAGCTAATTTTTGTATTTTTTGTAGAGATGGAGTTTTGCCATGTTGCCCAGGCTGGTCTTGAACTCTTAGGCTCAAGTGATCTGCCTGCCTTGACCTCCCAAAGTGCTGGGATTACAGGCATGAGCCACTGTGCCCAGCCTCATGTGAACTTTAAAATCAGTTTACCTAAATAGAAAAGAAATGATGAGAATCTTGTTCAAATCACATTTAAGTTTACTTATTAATTTCAGAAGAATTAACATTGTTATGACAGTAACGTCACTTTAAGAAACAGGTCTCGTTTGATATCCAGAGGGAGCTAACTGGGAAAATGTTGAAAGATTGAAGGAAAATTCTGAGGAACTAAATGAGGTTAGAGACCATGAAATTATAGCAACTTTAGCCTGAATGGTTGAGTGAGTTTATTCCAAGATCGCAGAGTAGCTAAGTATAACAGAAGAGAAGCTAAATGTCTGAAAAAGAACAAAGAGACAAGGGATCAAAGGCAAGGAATTAAAAAATTCAAGTGTGATGACAAAGGAAAAGATAGAAATGATGGGTCAGATAGTCTAGGCGAGATTTTTAAAGAATTAAAAACCAGAAGGTTTGCAACAGATTGGAAGAAAATTTTGTTTCTGGGACTGTAAGTCTAATTAAAGTTGCAAATGAGGAGCATATAAAGTAAGAGCATTAATAATGAGCTGGAATAGTGGGAATTTATGGTCAAAGTAAGTTTTTGAGGTTAAATATTTTAGAGGTAGAACACATTTAAGTAATGAAATCTAAGCAATATGGAAGCCATTGTTGTGGTTATCAGAGTGGATTGTTGGAAAAGAGTAAAAGCAAAAGGTCACCAGAAGAGAGATCCGTTGAAGCCATTATTATAGATATTGAAGTTACTGATGGTAGAACAAGGTATGCTACCAGAGGCCGTACATCCTGTTCTCTTGTGATAGGGCTATTCACTGTATAAGTTTTACTAGTTTTGGCAGCTTCAGTGAATGCAGGAGTATCTTTTTTATTAAATGACTCTTTTATCTGGCAAAACTACCTCTGATCAGTGGATTGCAGACTATTAACGTGACTTTCATGACATTTTGAACTTTTAAAGTGGCATATGGCCAAACATTTTATGACCCTCTAAAATAACTTAAAATCATAGCGTCTTTATGGTCTCAAAACAAGCAAGCTGTTCCAAGAGAAAGAGGAAGTATCTGTTAGTGAAAATTGTTGTGCCTTATGCTTACTGCCAAGAGTTTCAGAATTTTTATTAGGAGTTCCACAAAGTCGTTAGCTTTTAAGAAGGGAGCATAGAGAAAGAGTTTGGGAGAGATGGGAGAAGTGATGTGGGGGGTTCAATGGAGAGGATGTAAAAAGTAATGATGAATAATTAGGAAAGGGATCCACAATTTCTGGCAAAAGATTTACTTTCTACAAATGTATGTTTAAAGTGTCATGGAAACACTATTACATTCTCTTAGTTTGATTCTTTTTTTAATGACCGGAAAACTAGCAAGTTGAGTAGCCACAGAAGATATTTATATATGAAGGTAGAAAAATAAAATTTTAGGGATAAATAGTATATAACTGGTAGAGATTATAATGCAAAATCAGTTACTTATAACTTCTACTGGTTGTAGATTTTTCTTCAGTTTATTTTGTAGTTATCTGATTCCTTTAAAATCTCCTAGAACTGAAATTTAGAGATATTTCTAAAAGAACTTTTTATACCTTGCATTTTATCTAAACAAGGAACTCTTAACCAGTGCATTCAGTTTGGCTTCTTGAATTTTAAGTCCTTATTTTACTTGACCTCCTTACAGCATTTGACGTAGTTGAAACTCCTCATTCACCTGATTTTCCTTTTATGTATGTGGCTACTCTCTCTTTTTTTTAAGTGGTATCTTACTGGCTCCTTCTCTACCAAATCTTTAAATGTATATTATGCAGTTTTTTAAATTTGTAAGATTTAGATATACTACTTGCTAAAATAGATGAAGATTCAGCTCCCTCACCTCTTTTCCTCCCAAAACTATATATCTATAGTTGCTTTATTGGTAGCTTTTGTAATGTGTATCTAAATCTCTGTTTTTTTGTTTCATCCACTATAGGCAATAGGCCTCAAGTCTGCATTTGCAAGATGAGTCTATCCTTTTTATTTTTCCCACTTTGTACATTGCAACTTCTATCAGCTACACTTTTGTAATTTCCCTTGTGATTTCTTCTTTTTCCAGTGTTTGTTTAAGACTGCAGTGTTTAATTTGTGAATTTACCAGATTTGTTCATTGTGGTCAGAGAAGACATTTTGTAGAATTTAATCTTTTTAGATTGATTGAGACTTGCTTTATGGCTGAACATATGGTCTATCCCAGAGAATTTTCCATGCGTACTTGAGAAGAATATGTATTCTGTTGCTGGGTGGGGTTTTCTATATATGTCTGCTAGTTGGTTTTATAGTGTACTTCAAGTCCTCTTTACTTGCTGATCTTCTGTCTGGTTGTTCTATCCATTATTGAAGGTAGGGTATTGAAGTCTCCAACTATTATTGTAGAACTGTTTCTTCTTTCAACTTTGTCCATTTTGCTTCATGTATTTTAGATGTTAAGTGCATATACCTTTATAATTGTTGTACCTTCCTTATGGATTAACCAATTTTTCAATATAAAATGTTCTTCCTTGACTCTCATAAAAATATTTGATATAAAATCTATTTAACGTAATATTAGTAGCTACTCTGGCTCTCTTTTGGTTACTGTTTGCATGGAATATCTGTTTCTATTCTTTCCATTTCATTCTATTTGTGTCTTTTAATCCTGTAGAAAGCATATACTTGGAGCTTTAAAAAAAAAATCCTGGCTGGGAGTGGTGGTTCACACCTGTAATCCTAGCACTTTGGGAGGCTGAGGCGGGTGGATAACCTGAGGTCAAGAGTTTGAGACCATCCTGGCCAACATGGCGAAACCCCGTCTCTACTAAAAATATGAAAATTAGCCAAGCGTGGTGGTGCATGCCTGTAATGCCAGCTACTCAGGAGGCTGAGGCAGGAGAATCACTTGAACCCAGGAGGTGGAGGTTGCAGTGAGCCAAGATTGTGCCATTGCACTCCAGCCTGGGCGACAGAGCATGACTCCATCTTGAAAAAAAGAAAATCCTTTCTGCTAATTTCTGCCTTTTAATTTGGGTAGTTTAATCTTTGAAGTCCTGATAAGGAAGGACACACATCTACCATTTTGTTACTTGCTTTCTATCTGTTGTATATCCTTTTTTGGCTCCTCAATTCTTTTATTGCTTTCTTCTTTTGTATTTAACTGATTTTCTTAGTGTACCGTTTTTGATCCCTTTCTTGTTCCTTTTACCATACATTTTCTAGCTATTTTCTTAGTTGTTACCCTGGGGATTACAATTAACATTTTAATTTAGCTAGTTAGAATTAATACCAACCTAGTTGTAATAGTATATAAGAACTTTGCTTCTGTTTAACTCTACTCCCTTTTCTGTTACTATTTTCAGAAATTACGTCTTTAAACATTGTGTGCACATTATAGATTTATAATTAATTTTATACATTTTTCTTCTAAATCATATATTAAAAAGAGGAATTACCACCTTAAAAATTCAGTAATACTGGCTTTTATTATGCACCTGTGTAATTACCTTTCTTGATGTTATTTCTTCGTATGACTTCAAGTTACCAACTAGTGTTCTTTAATTTCCAGAGAATTTCCTTTAGCATTTCCTGTAGGTCAGGTATACTAGTAATAAATTCCCTCAGCTTTTGTTTATCAGGGAATGTCTTAATTTATCTCTTATTTGTGAAGTCCAGTTTTGCCATATATAATTTTGGGTTGACAGGTTTTTTTTTTCTTTCAGCACTTTAAATATATCATCCACTACTTTGTGGTCTCCATGATTTCTGATGAGAAATCAGCTGTTTTTCTTAGTGAGGATCCCTTGTCCATTATGAGTAACTTCTCTCTCACTACTTTCAAGATTGTCTCTTTATTTTTGTCTTTCAGTAGTTTGATTATAATGTGTCTTGGTGTGGATCTATGAGTTTATCCTAGTCAGAGTTCATTGAGCCTCTTGGATATGTTGTTTTATGTCTTTTATCAAATTTGGGAAGTTTCTGGCCATTGTTTTTTCAAATATTCTTTCTGCTTTTTTTTTTCTCTCATGTCTGTGCTTCCGAAACTCCCATTATGTTTATATTGGTATGCTGGATAGTGTCCCACAGTTTTCCTGGTTCTGTTCATTTATCTTTATTCTTTATTTAACCTCACTCCTCAGACTACATAATTTAATTGACCTATCTAAGTTTACTGATTCTTTCTTCTGCCTGCTAAAATCTGCTGTTGAAACCCTCTAGAGAGCTTTTCAGTTATTGTACTTTTCAACTCCAGAATTTCTATTTGATTCCTTTTTAATTTCCATTTCTTTATTGATATTCTTTATTTGGTGAGACATCATTCTCCTGGTTTTCCTTAGTTATTTCAGCATATTTAAAATAGTTGACTTAAAAGTTTTTGTCTAGTAAGTCCAATGCCTGGGCTTCCTCAGGGACAGTTTCTGTTCATTTCTGTTTTTCCTGTGAGTGGGTTAGTCTTTCTTGTTTCTTTGTATGCATCATATTTTTTGTTGAAACTGGACATTTATGTGACAACTCTGGAGATCAGATCATTCTTCCCCCCTAGGGTTTGTTGTTGCTGCTTGTTTTGATTGTTGTCTTCTATTTTTTTAATGACTTTCCTAATTATTTCTGTGAAGACTGTATTATTTAGCATGTGTACCCACTGAAATCTCTGTTCTTTTAGCTTAGTGGTCAGTTAGTGATTTTCAGAGATTTTCTTAAATGCCTGGAGAAAAAAGGAAAAAATAAACCTCTCCCAGACTCTATCGATTGGTTCTGTTTTGAGGCACTCTTTCACTGCTTATCTAGGCAGTTTACCACTCTGCCTTAACCTTCATTCCTGCTTGTGTGGAACCTGAAGATCAGCCAGGGGTTAGGGTTAGGGTTAAGGTTAGTGTCTTCTCAGGTCTTTTCCAAACATGTGTCTGACCCTGGACATATATGTGGCCTTTTAGATTCCCTGGACTCACAGGAGCTTCTCAAAACTCTATTCTCCCAGACATCTCTTTCCCTAGCCTCTTCCTTCTCAGCCTTTTTGGTCTGTCTGTTGCTTGCTGCAGCTACTATCCTTTGTCCAATGTGGTGGCAGCTAATACATTTTTGCCTTTAACTACTTTCAACAAATGCCACTTAGAAGCCACCTCAGCCCTAGGGAAGCTCCAGGGCAAGTGATACAAAGGCAAGCCCTTGAGCTAATCCTTCAGAGAGCCACCAAACATGTCAAAACACACAACTACAACTTTTTGAGAATATGGTCTGCATTGCTTCCTCTGTTGCCAGCAATCTGCACCAGGAATGTGGGCTGTTCAACTTCAAGGCCACCACCAAGCTGGGGAGTGGGGAATGGTAACAGGGTAAGTTAAGATGCTTCAGAACTCTCTTATTGAAATTCAGCAGTTTTTCTTTTCTTCATTAAGTGTTTCCCTGGTTTTGTAATTTATTAGATTCCAGATTTCTGAAAAAGTTGATTTTGTTTTTGGGGTTTTTTTGTTCCTAGCATATTTGTTGCTTTTGTGGAGGGATGGAGTGTTTCGGAGTTCCCTACTCTAGCATTTTTGCTCTCTCTTTGGGATTCCAATTTGGCTTTATTCTATGAGTTATACTTTTAAATTTCAAGATTAATGTCATTTATATCTGTTCTATAATCATAAAACTTTGTCAGTTGGTAGGATTTAAAACTTGAAAACTGGTAAACAGTATTTAAGTCTCTATAATATAACAATTTTTTACTTTACAGTAAAGAATTAAGCTATGTTTGTCTCCTTTTCCGCTTCCTAAGCCACTCCAAGAATAGTCATAGCATCAAATTCAAATGGACCCCTCTTCATTATACCTTAAAAGTTGTCCAAACCCATGCCACATTTTAGTTTGCCCCATATTTGAGCCATGCCTTTCATATATAGTTTGTTTTTTTCTGGAGTTTCTGATTGCCTTTTTAAAAAATTGAACAAAGAAATTTACTGCTGTTTCTACATTTCTGACTTCTAGAATCTACTCTTTTTGAAGCCTGTCTCCGTGATCTAATTTAGACTCATCATTTGCTTTTGGGCCATTCTTTATAGTTTATTATTTTATATCATATTATTAGTAGCCTTTGATTTTTTTCTTGTATTATGTGTCTTTCTCATATCTTCAAGTATTTCTGTCCTCTCAACCTCTCGATGGTAGAGTTCTTCGGATTTTGGTCCTGGGCTCTGTTTACACTCTCTGCTTTCCTCCTAGGCAGTCTCGTACATGCCTTTGACTTTAAATACTATTTATATACTGAAGACACAAAAATATATACCTGTTCCTTTATGGTTTACCCACTTAGATTGTGTTTAGGAAAACAAGTCCTTTACCACATTGAGATTTTAAAAACATTCTCCCATTTTGTCTTCCTAAAGTTTTAACATTTGGCCTTTTTTATTTAAATTTTTATTATACCTGTAATTGATTTTTATATTTGAGGTTAAGTTCTGATTTGGGTGGGGAGGGGTTTTCCTTCCATAGGAATAATCAGTTACCCTAGTGCTATTTATTGAGTGTTCTTTCCTTTCTCATTGAACTGCAATGCCACTCTGTGAGACTTTTGTTGGCAGTGAGAGAAGTAGGTGGGAGAGACCTTTTGCAGATCTTCAATTAATGCCCCTGTGTTCAGTCTCACTTCTCATTCCCATCCTCCATCATACTTACTGTTAGTTGCTTTCCAGAGTTCCACTGAGCAATTTGGCTGCCATCTTTTTCTTATTTCCAGTGCATATTTGAGAACACAGCCCTTTTTTATCCTTCTTCATCACTTAACACTTTTTCTTTCTAGCTTCCAGAAATTTTCTGAAATCTCCTGCTGCCAATAGTCTTCCCCTACTGCACTTGTTGTTGTTGTGGGTTTATGTCTTTTTCATTACTTTACTATTCTTCAATGGGGTCTTGGAGGGAGAGCTTTTAAACACATGTGCTTAGTCTATCTGCTATTTTTTTTTTTGTGAGACGGAGTCTCACGCTCTGTCCCCCAGGCTGGAGTGCAGTGGCACAATCTCGGCTCACTGCAACCTCTGCCTCCCAGGTTCACACCATTCTCCTGCCTCAGCCTCCTGAGTAGCTGGGACTACAGGTGCCCGCCACCACGCCCGGTTAATTTTTTGTATTTTTAGTAGAGACAGGGTTTCACCTTGTTAGCCAGGATGGTCTCAATCTCCTGACCTTGTGATCCGCCCACCTCGGCCTCCCAAAGTGCTGGGATTACAGGCGTGAGCCACCGTGCCCGGCTGTCTATCTGCTATTTTTATCTGAAAGTACAAAGTGAAGAATTTTAAACATTAGAGGTTATATTTCTACATTTTCTGTAAGTCTTCAAAAAGATAATTAAATTTTATCATTTGGGACCCTGAATGATACAATTTAACTATTTCTGAACATAAAAAGCTAGTCAGAGGGCCGCAAAGTTTCTTACCTAGTGTTTCGATTTGTTTTTTAATACTGCATAGGGTTTTCCATTTTTAATAATCATTTATATTTATAGTCTTTAGTATTTCATAATGCCAAAAAAGTGGATATTTCTTGGGTTACAATGTCTATAACCTTTGGCTTATGGGGGGGGCGTGTAACTAAATGCCTGGAAACAAGTCTCTATGAAAAAATTATAGACACAAAAAGGGAAGAAATTCTCTAAAACTTTGCTATATCCCACTAATGATTTCACTATTCACTGTACTTGGGACAGCTCTACAGTAAAATGACATATTGCAGGTTTCTTTTCTCTGGCAGAAATTGGAAAGTACTTGGTGTAATGTTTTTTTTTTGCTTACATTGGATGCATGCAGTGAAGCTGGGTTATTTTTGGTCATTTCCTGTCTATGAACACTGTGGTATTTTAGCCAACACTACTATAATAAAATATAATGCATACAATGAATTTTCACACCTATGAATGTTGTAATAGAAATTCATAAAATAAATTATTATAGGAATCAGCACCACTTATTCATTGGGAAAAGAATCTTCCGAAATATTTTAAGTCTTTCTGTTCAGGCCTGTTACGAAAAGCCTAAAGGTTAAAAAAACAATAATAATCCTCCTAAATAATGTCTCTTTTCATCTAGACATTTAAGAGTATGTTCTACATTTAGCTGGGCTTTCAGAGTCATTATTGCATTGAGCTAGTCACCCTGTCTTTTCTTAGGGTCCTTTATTGAAAAGGCATAGGATATTTTCTGGCCTTTTTTTTTTTTTTTTTTTTTTTTTTGAGACAGAGTTTTTGAGGCTGGAGCGCAATGGTGCAATCTCAGCCCACCGCAACCTCTGCCTCCCAGGTTCAAGCAATTCTCCTGCCTCAGCCTCCCGAGTAGCTGGGATTACAGGCATGCACCACCATGCCCAGCTAATTTTGTATTTTTAGTAGAGATGGGGTTTCATCATATTGACCAGGCTGATCTCTAACTCCTGACCTTGTGATCCACCCACCTCGGCCTCCCAGAGTGCTGGGATTACAGGCATGAGCCACTGTGCCCAGCCTCCTGACTTATTCTTATGTAAAGATCAAGTTGAATTGATGAAACTTTGGACTTAAATTAACCACTAAAAATCTTGAAGAGAATTCATATTTGATTTCATTCTGCCTGCTGTTATATAATTAATATTTCAGTTGGAGAATATAATTGGAAATGTATTGGACTTTATGGGAAAACACATTTTAAACAGATCCTCCAGAGAAGAATACCAGCTTTCTTAGAGTACAGATTTAGACTAGACAGAGGTAGGAAACTGGGTCAGATGACCAGTTACCCACTCTAGAAATCTGACTCACACTTAATTCCACCCTTTCCTTCATTCTCCAGTCAACCACTAAGTCTTACTTTTATTTATTCTTGAATGTCTGATAAATCTGTGTTCTCTTTTATTAATAATAATCATGAAAATGTACTGAGCTAAGTATGAGGCATAGTTTAGAATATTTTTTTCTAATCTTCACAACAACTCTGAAAATATATGTATTATGATAATCATTTACATACAAGCAAACTGAAACTCAAAGAATTGAATAACTTGCCCCAGAAGTCATCAGTTACCAATGGCAGATCTGGAATTTGAACTAAAGTCTATCTCACTTTCTTGCCATTGCCATTTTGACTACACCATACCCTTTTTTGTTATGCCAGCATATGGTCTAGTTGACACTTTTGCAATGGTCTCTTACTCATCCCCTACATTCAGCCTCTCCCTACTATGTCCTCCACAAAGTTGATTGACTTATCTGTCTGAAGTGGGGCTTTGAGAGCAGAGAGCATATCTTATTCATCTTTGTATCCCTAACACCAGTACCTAGATCCATGCATGATACTTTGGAGGTGCTTAAAAACTTGCATTGAATATAATCTCATCACTTTTTAAATTTAAAAACCTTTTTCTGCTTCTGAACCATGCAGGATAAAATCTGACTTTTCAGGCTCATCTCCAGCTCCTACTCCCCTCCATGTTTCAATGTTCCTGCCCTGTATTTTAGTGTTCCAGCCATAGAAATATTGTTCAACCCAGCAATCCCATTATTGAGTGTATACCCAAAGGAATATAAATTTCTCTAGTATAAAGACACATGCACATGTATGTTCATTGCAGCACTATTCACAATAGCAAAGATGTGGAATCAATCTAAATGCCCATCAGTGATATACTGGATAAAGAAAATGTGGGAGGCCGAGGCAGGCAGATCACTTGAGGTCAGGAGTTCGAGACCAGCCTGGCCAACATGGTGAAACCCCGTCTCTACTAAATATACAAAAATTAGCTGGGCAAGGTGGCATGTGCCTGTAATCCCAGCTACTCGGGAGGCTGAGACACAAGAATCTCTTGAATCCGGGAGGCGGAGGTTGCAGTGGGCTGAGATTGTGCCACTGCACTCCAGCCTGGGTGACAGAGTGAAACTGTGTTAAAAAAAAAAAAAAAAGAAAGAAAGAGAGAAAATGTGGTACATATACACCAAGGAATACTATGCAGCCATAAAAAAGAATGAGATCATGTTATTTTCAGGGACATGGATGGAGCTGGAGGCCATTATCATTAGCAAACTAACACAGAACAGAAAATCAAATACCGCATGCTCTTATTTATAAGCAGGAGCTAAATGATGAGAACACAGGGACACACTGAAGGGAAAGACACACCAGGGCCTATTGGATGGTAAAAGGTGGGAGGAGGAGGAAAAAATAACTAACGGGTACTAGGCTTAATATCTGGGTGATGAAGTAATCTGTAAAATAAACCCCCATGACACAGTTTGCCTGTGTTACAAACCTGTACATGTACCTCTGAACTTAAAATAAGAGTTAAAAAAAGAAATTATTCTTACATAAATATATTATACATAATCAGGTTTTATTTTCCATACAAAATAATGTCTGTGTCAGGTTTGCGCATGTGCCCCTGAACTTAAAGTAGTCATTCCTGCGCCCTTCTTCATTCTGTTTTCCCAACTTCTGCTCCTGATAAAAATCTGCTATTTATCTCTCAAGGATCAGTTCAAATCCAACCTTCCTTTTTAAAATTGACTTTTCCCCTCTGGAAGAATTAGTCATTCCTTTCTCTGTGTTCCCTTAGCATATGGTTTAAATATTCGTTATATCACAATAAGCACATTATATTATATTTAATATATATATTCATCTTCCTCTCCGCCCCACCCATCCAGATTGAGAGCTCTTTGAGGGCAAATATATCTTGATTTATTATATCCCCAATGCTTAACACAATATCTGACACATAATAAATTCTCCACAAAAACCTATTTGTTTAATGAGATATTGAGGTCATTTTAGTTTAGAAATTATATCCCATGTGTTTATTAGGTTGATTGCAGAGGAGGATTAGAGCAGTTATATTTCTGAAACTATGACCCAGTAAAAGTGAGCAATAATTTTGCTATATCCAGAAACCTTTGTATGATCTCAGTGTTGATTGTTCTTATCAATACAGATGATTTAGTGGCATGTGCCAGAATTCTTAGCACAGTGTTTTGTAGATAGTGGGCTTTGAGGACATGTTTGGTGAATGAAAGAAAGAAAGAATTAATTAGTTAATTAATTAATATGTGTGTATGTATAACTAAAAAGATGTACCCATATCTGCTAAGGATACAAGGAAAACTAGAAGAACAATCCCCAAAATATAAACATTGTTTGGCAAGCTAAGTCACTTTTTAATGGAGCTCAGAACACACTTTCCCAGAGGAGCAAATTTGTAAACATTGACCAGAGTTTAAGGCTAAACTCAAAAGCTTCCTTCAGAAAATAACTGAAATGGGTTAGGTGTTATATGGCCTGTTTACTAGGTGCTAGTGAAAAGGATGAGCCTGTCTGCAGCCCAGGAGACTTGCCGTTTGTTTTTACCAAATGGGCATGTGATAGCTATATAAATTGGAAATTACTTCTGCTTTGTTTTGTAACCATGTCACTGTTTTACTGAATGTAGCCTTGTTTATTATGTCACTTATTTCCTGAAGAGTTTACTTGACAAGCCCTTTACACAAAATAAATAATCCCTTTCTGATGACAGACTTTTTATTGTGGAGCTTATATTCTTAAACTTTTAATTATGTGGAAAAAGAAAAGCAAGACACTTTTAAATATATGATGTGGAGCAACATCATTTCCCAAAGGGTTTGTTGATGTTTTTGATACATAACTCTGATTCCCCATCATTTTTACATTAAACTTTTTTGCTGGTTACTGTGGCCATCAGGCGTCCCTATGTGGGTAAACCTTCTTGCTAAACCTGATTCTGTGTCTATATCACTGATTCTGCCCCTTTACTGAAACTATAGCTTATGGTTCAAACATCCTTCTTAAGATATAATACATACTCATTAAAAACTTCATCATTGTCCCACTTCATTAATTCATCCAAGAAATATGTATTGAGCAGAGCATAGGCTAGGAGCTGTACTAGATGTTGGATCTACTATAGTAATCGTGACAAAATTCAAGCCCTCAAGGATCACTGTGTTTAGTAAGAGAGATATAGATAAGGCAACAAGTAATTGCAGTACAATGTGGCAAGTATTGTAATAGCAGTATGCACTCTTTTCATCTTCTTTGTTTTAGTGGCAGTGAAGCTGTCCTTTGTTCTGTTCCAGTATTGATTATATAAGCAACCTCAATGAGATATAATCTAACTCAATGTATCACACAAAGCACAATGTATGGAACTAATTGTTAAGTTAGTTTTTCCTATTATCAGCCTTCACCTTTCTAAGATTATTATCTAAGACCATTCATGTACTACTACTCATTGGATATTTGATTTTTGTCACATAATAATCATTGTCTTAAGTGCTAGTCTGGTAGAAATCAAGCCTTTTTGTATTTTCTTGGTTGCATATTCACTTAAAGTAGACTGATGTCATTATTCATCTTGTTATTGAATAAACAAATGTGTAGAAGGTTAACTGGTACCTCTGAAATAAGTATGATAAACAACAGGGCAGCGCTTTCTTAGTTTTATCCCTTAACATCATTGTAAATGTTTGAAGATATTTAATAATTCATTCAGTATACATTGTTAAAAGCTGATTACTAGATTTTGGGTCCCCAAAGATGAAAAAATATATAATCTTTAGCCTCACTCACTATCTGGAATAACAGGCAAAATTGTAAGCATAAAATTGTAATATAGTTATGAGAAGTGTGTTCCAGGAGTATACCAAAGACCATGGGAGCACAAATAAGAGCGAGACACTAATTTTAGTAGGGGCAAATAAATACTGGATGAAAGGAGAAATCCCAGAAGGAAAATGCAGAAACAAAAACCATGCTTTGTTTAAGTTTTGAGGTTGGGTAAAACAAATAGTTATGTCTCTATTCACAAAGCAGATAATATGAGTTGGATTAAGATATTTCATTTATTCTCTAGCTATGATTTAGATAGCCTTATATAAAAAATGTGGCTTCTACCTTGGAAATAATAATTACCAAATTCAGTGCAGTATGAGAAGCATGTATATATATATATATATATATATATATATATAGTGTGTATATATAATATAAATAATGATTCCTTTTCACTGTTTCTTATTTCAAAGTGAGGAGGAAATCTACACTGATTTTACTGATTATAACTGTAGTATACACTTTAAAAATTTCAAAAACCATTGAAGTATCCAAAAGTAGAAAGTTAGAGTTACCCCCTAATACAACCTCTGAGAAATAAACTATTTTTAGCAGTTATTACTTGGTTCATAAACATATTTTTATATGTATGGTTCTTACTATAGAAATACTAATTTGTAAACTGTACTTTTTTCTAGTCAGAAAAGTTTATAGATTGGGAAAACCTATCTGTGTTGACATGGAAAGATAACCATAATGTAGTAAACGGCTTGTTTTAAAACTAAAGGGAATATTAGTTATCTTTCATGGATAGAAATAATTTGGGTTTAGAGGTGATCTTTTTTGTTCATAACATGCCTCTTAAATTAAAATATATGATTAGAATAATACAAAACTGCTAGATAGTCTATTGAAAATTAGTCTTTAATGCTCTAGGTTTAATTACTGAAATGAAAAAAGAATATAAAATTGTGAAGAGCTTTTCTGACAGGTCATTATACTGTTAGGTATTCTGCATGATATCTTTCATTTAAAATTATACTTTGGGTTTTCCAGGCCTCTAGACTCAGGACTCAACAATGCTTTACAAGGTTTATCTGTCATAGACACATACCTTGTTGAAGTGGACGGGGATACACTTTCCCTATATGGCTCAGGAGCACTGGAATCTCTGGATAGGAATTGGAGTGTTCAAACAGCAGGAATGATCACAACAGTCTCCTTCACTTTCATAGAATTTGATGAAATCGTCCAAGTGCTTCCTAAACTGAAGATTAAGTTTCCTAATTCTCTGGTAAATATTTCCTTTTAGTAGTATATTTGAATATTCTTAGTCAATGACTTGTGTGTTCAGGCCAAAGACCTGTTTTAACTTGTATTTATGTAGTTTCTATCTGGCAGGAAGATTTAAGTTTTGTGTTGATTTTCTTGAGCTAGGATTTAAATTAGTATTCATAAATGGCCTTGAAGTTTTATGTTAACATTTGAAATTCTATCTCAAAAAAAATGATCCTTTGTGGAGTAGAAAAAGACTGATATAATTTTATTCAAGTTATATATTTCTACTTTATAAGTGATTCACCTTACCACATAGCCTTATGTATTCACCTATGGTACCTGGTAATGGTGAAATGTATATTTACTGTATAATTTTTACAGTTGTCCCCTAACAATGTTGAAAATAATTTTAATAGCTCATTAAAATTACTTTGAGAAATTAGCCTTCCTCAATTATGGTGTCATTGTATTATTTAGTATGCATTTGTAGAAACTGTGATTTCTGTAATGAGTTCTCTCTTGAGTTTCTATTATTGTTGTGTTTTTCTCTGTCAGCCAAGAGACTTCCCTCACCTGCCTTTTTGGTGGGTTTTTGTTTTTATTTTCACTTCATTCTCCCTAAAAAAGATAGTTAGAGGTGAAGACAGTATGTTTAGAAAAGAGCATCTAGATTCACAGACAGAATGCTTGCGTTAACATTGCAGTTTTAGTGATTTGATTTTTCTATAGCCAGTATAACTATCCTACGTAGTGTTTGGCAAGATACAAGTAATAATAACTAACTAGTTCTTCTCAGGAAAATTGTGGGGGCCTGTATTTATAAAGTTCTGAAATTTTCATTTCCAGTCTTTTTAAAAAAATTTATTTAATGTCAATGTAAAGCATATAAAATCAATAATTCCTGAAAGAATCTGCATTATTTGATATTTATGTATCTTTAAAGAATGTTGGTTTATAAGTGAGACTGTCATTTGTAGAAGGAGTCACCCAGAATTCAATATTGGATGGATTCCATCAATGGTGCATTGGATGAATTAAAGTTATGTAAGTTTAGTACATTCAGTTGATTTAATGTAATTGAAAACATATTTGCTAAGCCTAAAGTTTACATATTTACCTGGGGAATGATTAGTGAAGCTTTAATGTTAATATTTCAATATGGTTAAAATCAATGTTCTGATCTGTATTTGTGTTTTATCATTGCAGCACCTTAAATTCAAGGAAACAAATCTTGTAATGCTGCAGCAATTTAACGCACTAGCCCAACTCCGTCGTATTGACCAGTTGACAATTGATCCTCAAGGAAATCCAGTTGTCAATTTTACACTCTGGAAATACTATGTACTGTTTAGGCTAAGCCATTTCAGTATGCAGAAAATAAATGGAACAGAGGTAAGCTAAAAACTAGATGAACTATAGAATAAAAATATTCCTTCTTAGTGAAAATAGTTACTTTAAATGTTTAGGAATTTAAGTAACCATGATAGAACATTTGAGATATAATGGTTTTTTTTAAATTGACATTTAAAATGTCAAAAGGCTAAGAATCTATTTTAAAACTTCCAAAGAACTAAATAAATTGTAAAAATAAAATAGTAACCAGGTTATAGTAAATGGCAAATACTTATACTGTTGTTTGTAAGCATTCAGTGAAATAAAATGGTGGGGTGACAGTTAAAAATAAAAATAAAAAATAACTCTTTTATAAGTAATGTGATCTTTGTATTTCTCAAAGTACTTTGCAGACTGCCTGCTATGCAAGAGGGGATAAGGAAGTAAAACCTAAATGTCAACTAATAAGGGTATTGTGGTAGAGAAAGGGAAGAATAAAATGGAAAAAAAAGGGGAGGAAGAAGATGACTTACAAAAAGAAGAGATGAAAAGGAGAAATAAGCCAGGAAGAAAGATAAAATAAGAGAAAGTGAAAATAAGAGAAAAAGAAAATAAAATAAGTATAAGTAAATGTCTGGAAAGCTTTGTTAATAGCTGGTAGCAACCACTGTGCCATGACTACATTGGGTAACTCAGGTCTGGAGCTGAATAGCTGGAAAATTATTAGTGAAAAGTTATTTTTAGATTGATTCTGCTAAGCTTGTCACAAGGTAATCCCCCAGCTACTCAAAAGCCATGTTCTTTTAAAATATTAATTTGGAAGGAAAGAGAGAAGCTATGCTTCCACCTCTACTAAATTTAAACACTCCTCCAGAGGAAAAAAAAAACATCTTTAATATGTTGTTAGTCTTATTACAATATCTCTTGAAATTCAGAAGACCTCTTTATTGTAAGATTAACTGTAATCAACTTTCTGGCACAGTAACTGTGTTTCCCTGCAGCTGATACAGTACAGGTAGATACTTAACTCCAAAAATTCAGCATACTATGAGGAGACTGTACATCTCTGGATCAATGTACAAGCAGCTATATGAAATTTGCATCAACCATGGTATTTCTGTAACCTCAGAATCAGCCATCTGCTGAAGATGTTGGGTAAATCTGAATCTTCAGATGACTTTTAATTTCTCCAGCTAGTTCTCAAGAGGGTTGGCTCAGTCTTGTGTACTCATGTATACTATTTGGTACTTCCCCCGAGGTGAGGTTGTGAGTCCCTGGAAGGACCTAATAATTAGTCCTAAAGGTTTTCAAAGTTAGCCCAGACTGGAAATAGAATGGTTATTTTTACTGTGGGTGACTGAGTCTCCCTTAATTGAGGTAACACACCGTTACCTCAGTTAACCCTAAATGGTGTATTTACCCAGATATGGATTATTACTAGAATAATACCCATTATTATCAAACTTTGAATCAGGAAGGAATAGTGTAGTTATATAAAGTGGAGAAGAATTAGAAAGAATTAGAAAGAACCAATATAATTTATTCTGATTTAAATTTCTGAAAATCTCAATGCCAGGGATATTTGACACTTTATTAAAATACCTAAAATATATTCCTGTTTGTTAGGTCCTTGACCTTAGATAGTAATGTTACACTGCATTTTTACTTCTCTGTGTATAAAAAAGAATGATATTGCTTGAGGTAGAATTAAATTGAATTAATAGCATCAAGAAAACATGGAGTAGTGGCCTGCATTGGCCACTAGGTGACTATATTGGACCAAACACTACTTAGTTATTAGCTAAGGAAGAATTTGAAGTCTCCTTAACTGTGAAGATCCAGGGAAGGGAAGAGAGTTAGCCTGCACTGATTCATAGGTATGTTTGTGAATTATTGGTTTGTTTTAAAGAAAATGCCTGTGAAGAGTATTACAGATAGTGTCAGGAACAAATTTTCAAAAGATCCAAAATTTAATTATACCAGGGTTTCTAAACCTTGGCTCTGTTGACATTTTGAGCCAGATAATTCTTTGTTGTGGGGGCTGTCCTCTGCATTGTGACATGTTTAACAGCAACCCTGGTCTCTACCCACTAGATGCCCGTAATGTCCAGAAATAACTAAACATGTCTCCAGACATTGCCAGTTGTTCTGTAGGGGGCAAAATGGCTCTTGGCTGGGATCATTGAATTATATATAGACAAAAAAACAGTATTTAAAATGTAAGCAACCCTATTTTATATTAAAGAAAATATCCCCAGATAGTAATACAGGTACTGCTTTCAGCTTTTAGTACTTTCTTGGTTAATGTAAGAATGGGTCCTCATAGGGTATACTTGTGACAAGTTATTCTTTTTGGGGAGAAAGACTGATAGAATGAACAGGAGCATCCTTGCTAATTCAGTGAAAGTTCCATCTCTCAGGAAGGGACAAAATTATCCCTATAGGAGCAAGGTATGACCAACACCTTGGCTTACCTTTGACACATTATTAAAATGAATCTATCCCATTGATACTTGGGAATTTTTTCCTCTAAATCATTCTAATCCAAGAAGCTATAGGATTTCTGAAAAAAAAAAATACTAAAAATTGAAGGTACCTCAAGTGTAATTCTCAGGAAAGACAGCTTCTAAATCAGAGCTGACTCATCACCTCCAATCAGCTTCCATCATCATGAACCACAATTATACGTCTTCATTTTAACTCAAGAAAGAAAAATATCAATGAAAACTCTTCTTTCCACAGCACAGGAGAATGTGCTTTTGTGGGCTTAAAAGATAATATTTAATTTGGATCTCTCTTTGGGATTATATCAGTTTTATTCAGCTAAGAGTTGGTGTCATTTTTTTACCCCTTTCTATTGTGTCTCTTCAGGTGACACAGAATGATATGATAATGGCTGAAAGGCTCTTTGGAATCCTAGCACATGTAGCATCTTCTGAGTTACCCCAGTATCGTCTGATTTCCATTCTGGGTGATGCCAGGTAACCTTTAATTTTTGTAGTTTTTTATAGAATTACTGTTACACTAGAAAAAGAAATAAATTCCACATACCTCCTAACTATGCTAATTATGTGTTCCATAAACATGTATCCTAGACTGGCCTATTGAAAGTGTTGGGGATCTTAAGATAAATAAGATGAAGTCCTTATTCTCGTATGGCTTATAGTCTAATAAGTTAAAGATATACACATACAATTAAAACGTAATGTTTCAGGTGCTATAAGGGAGGGCTGTAGGAGGGACTAACCATATTTTGGAATAACACTGGGGAAGGCTTCACAAAGGAGAAAACATTTTATCTAGTTCTTTGGGAATGAGTAGGAGTTTTCAGGTAGAGGATATGGGGAAAAGATATCTGCAAAAGCACAAGTAATTGTAAATAGCTCAGTATAATTGGAACATGGGATGATTATGAATAAATGATAGGAAATGAAGCTAGAAAGACTGATTGTGGTCTGACTTTGAAGAGCTTTCCAATCCATGCCAAGCAAAAATGAAAACTTGTGTTTTGTAATGAAGCACAAGCAATCATATAATTGGATTTACATTGTAGAAAGGCTGCCATTTGAGCAGGCAGAGCTTGAAGTAATGAAGACCAATCAAATGGTTACTCTGTAGGCCAGGAGAGATTATGAGGGCCTGAGCCAGGGCAGCAAGATGGAGAAGAGGAAACCTGACAGAACACACTAACTGACGAGGTGGAGCATGGATGAAGAAATAGTCAAGGATGGTTGACCAGTCATGATTCAGTTACAGATCATACAAGTCACTCTGGTTAGAGTAAGCAAGGAATTAGATATCTACAAAATATTTGAAAGCGTTGAGGAAGCAGTTTCTAGACTGAGCCTCCAGAGATATCTCCCAGAATTATACCATAGAACAAGCCCACAAAGGAAACTGCCTCCTTGCTATGGTCATGGAGCACTTTGCTACAGTCAAGGACAACAGGAGACTGTTGTCCCAGCTGTGAGCACCAGGATCATACCGCTTTAGCTGCGCTGAGGATCAGGAAGTTCCCTACTCTGCTCCCCAGAATCTGGCTCCAGAACCATGTTACCCTACTATAATTTACACTAACAAAGTGAGTCTTTTGCATGCTACTCCTACTTCCCCACTTAGCCCAGTTCTGAATTCAAATCTTACCCAAGTGTATCGGATTGATGGAATATAAATCCCATCTAAAACCCACAAAACCATTCTGAAAAAAAAGGAGGCATTGAATTCAAGAAACAATGATGTAGAAAGAAATCGGTAAAAATTATAGTTGTCTGAATAAGTATTAATGTATAATGTTAAAAAGATTAAATAACCTACAAGGAAAAATCCAAGAAAATCCTAAGAGAATGTAAGTTAAAGTTTACTTTCTTTCCCTGTTTAGGTGAGATAATAGGTACTAATTAACAATAAAAATTGATGGAAAAATACACGTTTGTGTGTATTAAAATATTAAGGGTTTTCATAGAAAAAGATTAGATGGATAATTTCTAAACTACTAAAAGGAAAAAAGTGATCAACGAAAAGCAGGAAGGAAAAAAAAGCATTTGGGTTATCACCATAAATATTAATAAAGTCTTCTATTAATAGATGCTCTCAGATTGAATTAAAAACATGTTTTTCAGAGATACCCCTAAAAAACCCCTAAAGGCTTAAAAGAAAGGGATGGGAAATATATAATGAACTAAATGCCAACAACAAACAGATACAGGAATATTAGTGGTTAATAATGATAGACTTGATGACACTAAAAACTACAATCCACCAGAAAATAGTTATGAAACAGTGTAACTAAGACTACAGCTTTTAAACATATCAACAAATACAGGCATATATTGACAAATTTTTCAGTTATTATAATAGTCATTAATATGCTTCTTTCATAAATCAGATCAAATCAACTAACATAAGAAAGACTATAGAGGATTTGCATAACATAGTTAACACATTTTATCAAATAAATATACTTAAAATCTTGTGTTGACAACCTTATTCCCAATTCAGAAAAAAACATATATTTTATTCAAACATCTATGGAATGTTTGTAAAAGTTGAACATCTATTAAACTGAAAGTAAATCTTCAAGTATCTCAAAAAGCATACTCATACAGATCACATTTTCTAATCATAATATTATAAAATTAGAAAATAATGGGTCAGGATAGCCAAAAACTTATCTAGTTGGAATTGGGATGGGTAGTGGGGTAGACAGTGGACACAAGCTTCCAGAAAACAAAATACAAATGCCTTTAAACTTTAAGAAGAGGATGTTTGGTCAAAGTTATAGACAACCAAATTTTAAAATAATGAGATAACTTTGTGGGAAAAGACTAGAAGTTTGATGATATGCAGCGGCAGTCCTCAACCTTTTTGGCACCAGGGACTGGTTTCGTGACAGACAATTTTGCCATGGACGGTTGGGGCTAGGGGATGGTTTTGGAATGAAACTGTTCCACCACAGGCATTAGATTCTCATAAGGAGTGGGCAACCAAGATCCCTGGCATGTGCAGTTCACAATAGGGTTTGCGTTCCTATGAGAATCTAACGCCACTGCTGATCTGACAGGAGGCGGAGCTCAGCGGTAATGCTTGCCCGCAGTTCACCACCTGCTATGTGGCCCGGTTCCTAACAGCCATGGACAGGCCTGAATAGCACAGTTATTTCACCATGCTATATATCGGGGTCTCCAAGCCCCAGGCTGTGGACTAGGGCTCGGGAACCCCTGATATACAGCATAGCAAAATAGAGTTCTTACATACTTTTGGTGGTAATGAAAGTTACTGTAATACTTGTTCATAGTAACTTAGCAATATCTAATAAATTGTAAATGCACATACCTTTACACTTAGCAATTTCACTTAAAGGAATTTGTTCTACAGATAATTTTCTTTACATGAGCACAAATATCTATGTGCAAGGATTTTCCTTGCAGCCAGTGTTTATATTAGCAAAAATATGAAAACTCACTAAATGTCCATCAATAGAGCGAGACGAATTACTTGCAGCTCTAAAAATAATTGGATGTTCTTATATGAAACGGTTAAGGTGTTTCAGAAAATAAAAATATAAGGTACAGAACAATTGTATAGTATGCTGCAATTTGTGAGAAATGGGGCATATGTGTCAAAGATACTCTTGTGCAATTTAAAAATATTTGATTTTTTCAATATGCTTGCCTCTAAGTGTTGAACTGGAGGGAGACACTAGGATTCCAAAGTACATAGATACTTTTTACTCTATGTTTCTATGAACCTCTTGAATTATCTTCTTGCTTTTTGTTCTATCTTGTTTTTTTATTTTTTATCCTTTTTAAAAAAGCATTTAAAAATACTTTAATGCTTCTGAATTAAAGAGGAAATAAAGCTAAAATAATAAATCATATATAAATGAATTTGATAATAAGAATACTATATGTCAAAACCTCTGGGATGTGACCAAAGCTGTGCTGACAGGAAATTATACATCTTTAATGTACTTATTAGAAAACAAGAAAGATTAGAAAGTAATGAATGAAGCTTTTACTTCAGGAACCTAGAGAAATACCAAAGTAAGGCAAAATTTTAAAAAATGGAAAAAAGAAGTTCATAAAGATAATAGCAGCTTCTAAAGAAATAAGAATTTGAAAGAGAATAGTTGACCAATAAAAGCAAACACTGACGCTCCAGAAAATCCAAGAATTCAACTATTACACTTTTGGAATTAATTGGAATATATAACAATGAGGCCAGATACTAGATTAACATATCAAAATAATTAATATTTCTTCATACCAATAATAAGCTGTTGAAAATAGTATTAGAAAAAGTACCCCATTTATAGAGGCAAAGAAACTATGAAATATCAGAAAATACACCTTATAAAAAGTAACTCTGACATACACAATAAAATTGGGAACAGGCCTGGCATGGTGGCTCACGCCTGTAGTCCCAGCACTTTGGGAGGCTGAGGCAGGTGGATCACTTGAGCCCAGGAGTTTGAGACCAGCCTGGGCAACATGGCAAGACTCCATCTCTACAAAAAATACAAAGACTAACCAGGCATGTGGCTCGCACCTGTGGTCCCAGCTACTTGTTGGGCTTGAGGCAGGAGGGAGAATCACTTGAGCCTGGGAGGCTGAGGCTGCAGTGAGCCATGATCTACACCACTGTACTCTGATCTGGGTGACAGAGCAAGACCCTGTCTCTAAATAAATAAATAAATAAAAATACAATTAGGAACAAAAAGGAAGCTTAAAAATGAATATTTACAATGTTAACAAATTCCAAGACTTAATATTGTAAAGATGCCAATTTATCCTAATTAAATTACAAATTTACTTAATTCCCAATCACAAATCCCAATATGATTTCTCAGGACCCTAAAACAAGATACATTTTATATCTTAGAAAGGCATTTATCATCTCATGTTAATGAAAATGTTCTACTATACTTTCTCATACTTCCTGAAGGTTTGTAACATGTAGCTCACAAACATTTTTACAGTTTTATATGATGAAATACATCATAAAGTGAAAATACATAAGCAGACAGGAGAATATATTTGCAGCATGTTTAACAGAATTTTTAAGAAATCCTACAAATTTAGTAAGAAAAAAGACAGTTGAGATAATAGAAAAAAAAAGGCAAAGCATATAAAGAGAAAACTCACAAGAAGAAATATGAATAGCCAGAAAATGTAAGCCCAACTCACTTCTCATCAGAGAAATACAACTTAAATTAAAATAATGCGATGTCATTTTTGCCAATGAGATTGACTTAAAAATTTAAAAACCAATAATATCAATGACTTATTAGTATTCAGGACAATGTACACTGTACATGTTGGTAGAAGTGTAACATGACTTTTGGTGGAAGGTAGTTTCACAATGTCTATCAAAATTTAAAGCATACATATATTTGAACCCAGTAGTTTTAGTACTAGGAATATATTCTAATGAAATACACATATGCACAAGTTATTTATGTAGTAAGCTGCCATGCTTTATTGTTTGTAGTTACTTAACTTTGGAAAGTAACCAAATGCCAAATAATTGGTAAAACTAAGTATATCATAGTACTTCCACATTTATAGATGTAGAATCTATATGATACTGTTTATATTACAGTAGATAATATGACTGTAAAAGGAGGAGGAGGAGGGGGAGAAAGATTGAGGTAAATCTCCTGTTCTAACATGAAATGATCCAGAGACAGTTCATTGAATGAAATATGGCATAAAACTATTTATATTATGACCCAATGTTATTTAAAAACAACATAATAAATATGTAGACATTAAAAATATGGAAACACAGAAAGGGAACTGACAGGATGAACACCTGGGAGGATATAGATATGAGGAGTAAGGTAGAGTAGTTGAAGAGTGCTTTTCAGGTTTTATTCTATGTCTGTACGGTTTGAAAAGAGTAGTTTTTGAGTTTTAATCTGTATAAGATTAGGAATATATTGAACTTCTATTTCTGACAATGATGAGTTTGGTTGTTTTTACCATTTCTTGAGTTAAAAACAATACAAAATGCTAGACAAAATAAAAACCTTCATTAAAGTTTTGGGGAGCTGGTAAGGTATAACATAATTACTAGGCCAGGATCTATGGGAAAATGAGAACATTGAGAATTAAGGTAGACACAAAGCTCTTAGAACCGAACTTACTTTTCCTGCTCTTACACACCATTCAACACAGATATGTGAGGGGGTTTTCCCTACACACTAGCCAGGCAATTCAGCAGCAGACACCAGCTGGGTGCCCTCTAATTCAATTTAATTCTGACACTGCCTACCTGGAGATAGTGTCAGATCCTACAGGTTGAAAGATCATTCCCACAAGACGGCTCCTCCCCACCAAACCCAGCCTCCCTACATCACATGCCAGTTGCAAGCACTAGTTGTGACCTGTGCTTCTGACTGACCAGCTAAGAATTGAGATTCTGACAACCCCCTTCTTGGGGGGTTCTATTAATTTGCTTAGAGTGGCTCACAGAACACAAGGAAACACTTTAATTACATTTACCCGTTTATTATAAAAGATATTACAAAGGATACAGATGAACAGCCAGATAGAAAAAATGCAAAGGGCAAGGTATGTGGGAAGGGGCACAGAGCTTCCATGCCCTCTCCAGGCATACCACCCTTCAGGAACCTCCACATGTTCATCTATCCAGAAGTTCTCTGAATCTTGTCCTTTTGGGTTTTTGTGGAGACATCATTATGTAGGCATGATAAATGAAATCATTGGCTATTGGTAATCAAGTCAGTTTTCAGCTCCTCTCCCCTCCCCAGAGGTTGGGGATGGGGCTGGAGGTCCCACCCCTCTAATTATGCCTTGGTCTTTCCAGTGACCAGCCCCCATCCTGAAGCTATCTGGCTCACACACCCCAGTTACCAGCCATCTCATTAGCATAAAAAACATTCTCGTTACTCTTGCAATTCCAAGGGTTTTAGGAACTTTTTGCCAGGAAATGGGAATGGAGAGAATACAGGGATGGACAAAGACCAAATGTATATTTTATCATATCACAGAGACTGTTTGATCCAGAGGCATTTCAAGGAAACATAAATTTTTGTTCTGCTAGTCTAGAACAGTAGAAATGATGGAAATCAAAGCCCAGGGCTCCATCTAAAATGGTAAATGTGAATTGACGTCTTCCTAAGGGTTAAAATGAAACCCCAGTGGCTATACCATCAGGTCAGAAATAAACCTACCTCTTCTCCCCACTCAGGAATTTCCAAGGAAGGTTGCCTTGATATGAGCAGAAAAGAGGAAAGTTGTCCCTAAGCAAATGTAAACAAAAAGCAGTCCTCATATAGATGTGCAGCCTGAATTCATAACACATAACTAGTTTAAAATAATATAAAGATTTAAATATCACTGTCTCTAAATATCTGGAAAAAGCAAATATACCTCCTCTCTGGAAGAAGTTACTTTCATCTTGTCTCAAAGAATCCTCATGGCTAATTTTTAAGGGCAATTACCAGCATACAATGAAAAAATAAATAACCAGTCACACAAGAAAATAAGACATCATGTAAAAGAACTGGAAGGAAAAAATAGATTACAGAAACAGACCCATGAATACTTTAAATATTGGTATTATCATGCATAGACTATAAAACGACTGTGCCTGCTATATCTCATGATATACAAGATAAGCATGAAAATATCTGAAGAGAATAAGAAATTGCAAAAAGTGATCCAGAAGACCTGAAAGGAAACCAAAAGAAATTATATAAATGAAATATGTAATACACAAAGTTAAAATTTAATGAGGAGGCTTAACAGCTGACTAGACACAGTTGAAAAGAGATCCATAAACTGAGAAACAGACTAGAAGAGATTTTCTGGAATGTAGTACAAAAAGAAAAGAAGATAGAGTATATGAGAAAGTGGCTAAGAAATTTGGAGGATAAAGTGAGTTGGGAGGTTTAACATCTGACTGAAGTTTCTAAAAGACACAATGGAGAGCATAGGGTAGAGTCAGTATTAAAACAGATAATGGCAAAAATTGTTCAGAACTGATGAAATACACAAACTACATATTAAATAAGCCCAGCTAATCGCAAAAAGGATAAATGAAATCTACACCTAGTCACATCACAGTGAAACTACAGAACTCTAAATATAAGGTGAAAAAATTTAAAAACAACCAGGAAAAGAGAAGTTACCTTCAAAAGAGTGGAGATCAACAAATTGATTTCATAACAGCAGCGGTGGAAGCCAGAAGATAGGATAATGAATGATATGTTCAATGTACTGAAGGAAATTACCAACCTAGAATTCTATGCACAGCAAATATGTCTTTTAAGAATGAAGGTGAAATAAAGACATTTGAAACAAAATAATAAAAACAAAATCTAAGAGAATTCCCATTAGTATTCTTACACTAAAAGAAATTATAAAGCTTATAATTAAGGCAGGACAGTGACCCCAGTTAGAAGGTCTGAGATGCAAGAAAAGCTAAAGAACAAGGAAAGTACTAACTATGTTGGATAAGGCTAAATGAACATTGACCATATAAATTAGGAGTATCCAATCTTTTGGTTTCCTTGGGCCACATTGGAAGAAGAATTGCCTTGGGCTACACGTAAAATACACTAACACTAATGATAGCTGATGAGCTAGAAAAAAATCACAAAAAAAAAATCTCATGTTTTAAGAAAGTTTACAAATTTATGTTGGGCCACGTTCAAAGCCATCCTGGATCCCATGTAGTGGCCCGTCAGCCACAGGTTGGACAAGTTTGATATAGATCAACAGTAACAACATTTTGTGGGGTTTAAAAATATAAAATTAAAATACACTGCAACAGAAGCATATGTAGTCGGAAGGAGTAAATGGAGATATTGTATTCTAGGACCTCGTATTATCTGGGATGGAGATAAATATAGTGACTAACTTTAGATATTAGTGGGTTAATGTTGTTCATGTTGTAATTTCTATGGTAACCAAATAATAAGCAAATATATAGCTTCCAAATTAGTAAGGTAAGGCAAAGAGAAAACGAAAAATAGAACATGTGGATTAAACAGAAAGAAATGAAAATGGTAGATTTAAACATAAATAGTGGTATATCAGCATGTATGTTCCTGTCACTTTGCCAGTACTGTGTGACAAACACCCCAAATCTTAGTGGCTTAAAACAGGAAGCATATATTTTTTTCTTTGAGACTATAGGTCAGCTAGGTGGATCTTATGCCTTCAGCTGGGGTCCTCATGTGTCAGTAGTCACCTGTGGATTGGATAGGCGGCTCTGCTGATCAAACCTTGGCTCTCTCACTTGTTTGAGGGTTGGCTGGCTGTAACCTGGTCTAGGAAGGCCTTAGCTGGGACAACCTGTCTCTGCTCCACATGGTCTCTCATACTCCAGAAATCTGCCTGGGCTTGTTCTCATGGCAGAGGCAGGGTTCAAAGAAAAAGCAGAAACATGCAAGGCCTCTTGAGTCCTATGCTAAGAACTGACATACCATCATTTCACCCACAAACTTTTGGTCAAATCAGATAACAGAGCAACACTTAAGGGGCCTGAGAGTAGGCCTTACGTAATTGTAAAATCACATTTTAAAGGACGTGGATGCAAGGAAGCCATAATACAACCATCAATGTAATGAATCCACCTCAATGATAAAATGCAAATATATTAATTGTTCTGATTAAAATGCAAAGATTAGCCAGGCCTGGTGGCTCATGCCTATAATCCCAGCACTTTGGGAGGCTGAGACAGGCAGATCACCTGAGGTCAGGAGTTCAAGACCAGCCTGTTCAACATTGTGAAACCCTGTCTCTACTAAAAATACAAAAATTAGCTGGGTGTGGTGGAACGTGCCTGTAATCCCAGCTACTCAGGAGGCTGAGGCATGAGAATCACTTGAACCCAGGAGGCAGAGGTTGCAGTGAGTTGAGATTGTGCAACTGCACCCCAGCCTGGGTGACAGAGCGAGACCCTGTCTCCAAAAAAAACCAAAAAAATAAAATGCAAAGATTGTCAGACTGAATAAAAAAATGAAGTTCAACTATATGTTGTTTACAAGAGATACATCTGACATATGTTTACATAAATATTGAAAGTAAAAAAGTGAGAAAAGATAAACAACATAAATACTTACCGAAATAAAAATGGAGTAGCTATTGAGGACTCAATAGACTTGAAAGTTGAAAGTAATACTAGAAATAAAAAGGATCATTTCAAAATGATAATAGGTTCAGTTCACTAGAAAAATATAGGACATTTAAATTTGTATGCACTTATTAGCATAACCTTAAAAATGTATAACCCCAAAATTGACAGAACTACAAATCCACAATTACAATTAGTGGAAAGTTTTAACACATCTCTGAGTAATTAATAGAAAAAGGATATAAAATGCTTGAATAATGTGATAAATTTGACCTAATTACCACTTAGAGAACATTGCCCCCAGCAACTGCACATTCTTGTCAAGCATACATGGAACATTTATAAAAATTGACCAAATACTGTTCATAAAGCAAATGTCAAGAGATTGCAAAGAATTGAAATCACATGGAGCATGTTTTCTATTCAAAATGTGGTCAATCTTTAACCTGATTACAAAATGATAACCAGGAAATTCCCATATATTTGAATTAAGAAACACATTTCTAAATAACCCACAGGTTAAAGATAATTTCATAATAGAAATCTGAAACTACCTTGAACTGAAATATAATAAAAATACCCATTTCAAAACTTGTGGGATCAAGTTAAAGTGGTGCTAAATGGAAACAGCCTTGCAATGGGTATAGTGGGAAAGAATAAAAGCTGAAAGTGAATGCGCTAAAACACTTATCTCACCAAGATAGCAAAAGAGCAGCAAAATAATCCAGAAGAAAGTTAAAGAAAAGAAATGATGTTCAAAGAGTATTAATGTAAAGCTGATTATGTGAAAAGACTAATAAAAGTGATAACAAATGTGTACAGACATTGCTTCTGTAATTTTAAAAAAATCAGTAAAGATAATAAATGGAAATAGGGGCCAAGATGGCCAACTAGTAGTAGCTGTGGTTGGAGACTCCCACTGAGAAGAACAAAAATGGTGAGTGAATCCTGCACCAGCAACTGAGGTATCCAGGCCCTCTTATTGAGACTGACTTGGGCAGTTGGCACAACCCATGGAGAGAGAGGAAAAACAGGGTGGTGCGATGGCCCACCTGAGAGCCACACAGGGCAAGGGGAGCTCCCACCCCCAGCCAAGGGAGGCATTGAGTGATTGTGCTACCCTGCCTGGGAAACCACAATTTTTCCATGGATCTGTGCAACCCACAGATCAGGAGATCCCCCTTATGAGCCCATGCCACCAGGGCCTTGGATCTCAAGCACAGAGCTGTGCAGATTCTCAGTGACCACTCGGCTGGAGACTGCCTAAGACTACTGAGTTCCTCGGGGGAGAGGCAGTCACCATCACTGAGGCTGCCTGCTGCCTAAGACAACTGAACTCCTTGAGGGAGGGACAGAGGCCATCACTGCAGCTGCCTGCTGCCTAAGACGACTGAGCTTCCCAGGGGAGGGGCAGATGCCATCACTGCATCTGACTGCTGCCTAAGACCACTGAGCTCCCAGAGACAGGAATGGCAGCCATCACTGCAGTAACCCATCCCTGCTTACTAGGTAGGGCCTCCCTGCAGGAATTTCAGCAACTCCAGCCAGGGGTTTAGGGACAGACCTCTGATCTCCCTGGGACTGAGCCCCTGAGGGGCAGCCACAGTCTCCACAGATCAGCCGATTTAGTCTTTCTCCTGCTGGCTCTGAGGTATCTGGGTAGTCCAGACAAGTGGGATTCCTCCCAGTGCAGTGCACCCCTTCCACTAAGGGACAGCCAGAGTGCTTCATTAAGCGGGTGCTGGATCCCATGCCTCCTGACTGGGTGAGACTCCCCTCAACAAGGGTTGCCAGACACCTTATACTGGAGCATTCCCACTGGCATCAGATTGGTGCCCTTCTAGGACAGAGACCCCGGAGGAAGGAGCAGGCAGTCATCTTTACTGTTTTGCAGCCTCCACTGATGACACCTCCAAGTGCAGGAGGGACCCAGTTGAATAGTGTCTGGAGTGGACCCCCCACAAACCACAGTAGCCCTACAGAAGAGGGGCTGACTGTTGAAGGAAAGCAACAACAACAACAACAGCATAAACAAAAAAGTCCCCATAAGAACCCCATCCAAAGGTCAGCAGCCTCAAAGATCGAAGATAAATTAACTCACGAAGATGAGAAAGAATCAATGAAAAAAAAAAACATTGAAAACTCAAAAAGCTAGAATGCCTCTCCTCCTCCAAATGATCACAACACCTCTCCAGCAAGGACACAGAACTGGGTGAAGGCTGATTTGGATGAATTGACAAAATAGTGCAAAGAAGCCAAGAACCATGCTAAAAGATTACAGGAGCTGTTAACCAGAATAACCAGTTTAGAGAGGAACATAGCGACCTGATGGAACTGAAAAACACAAGAACTTCACAATGCAACCACAAGTATCAATAACTGAATATACCAAGCAGAGTAAAGAATTTCAGAGCTTGAAGACTGTCTTGCTGAAATAAGAAGGCAGACAAGATTAGAGGAAAAAGAATGAAAAGGAATGAACAAAATCTCTGAGAACTATGGGATTATGTAAAAAGACAAAACCTACAGCTGACTGGGGAACCTGAAAGAGACAGGGAGAATGGAACCAAGCTGGAAAACATACTTCAAGATATCATCCAGGAGAACTTCCCGTACCTAACAAGACAGGCTAACATTCATATTCAGGAAATCCAGAGAACCCCAGTAAGATACTCCATGAGAAGATCAACCCCAAGACACACAATTATCAGATTCTCCAAGATTGAAATGAAGGAAAAAATGTTAAGGGCAGCCAGAGAGAAAAGCCAGTCACCTACAAAGGGAAGCCTATCAGGCTAACAGTGGACCTCTCAGCAGAAAGCCTACAAGCCAGAAGAGATTGGAGGAAAAGCCATTACCAGCCACTGCAAAAACACACTGAAGTACAAAGACCAATGACACTATGAAGCAACTACATCAACAAGTCTGCAAAATAACCAGCTAGCATCATGATGACAGGATCAAATTCACACAAAACAATATTAACCTTAAATGGGCTAAATGCCCCAATTAAAAGACACAGAATGGCAAGCTGGATAAAAAGTCAAGACCCATCGGTGTGCTGTATTCAAGAGACCCATCTCATGTGCAAAGACACACAAAATAAAATAAAATGAAATAATAAAATAAAACAAAGGGATGGAGGAAAATTTACCAAGCAAATAGAAAGAAAAAAAAAAACAGGGGTTGCAATCCTAGTTTCTGACAAAACGGACTTTAAACCAACACAGATCAAAAAAGACAGAGAAGGGCATTACATAATAGTAAATGGATCAAGGAGAGCTAACTATCCTAAGTATATATGCACCCAATACAGGAGCACCCAGATTCATGAAACAACTTCTTAGAGACCTACAAAGAGACTTAGACTCCCACACAATAATAGTGAGAGACTTTAACACCCCACTGTCAACATTAGATCATTGAGACAGAAAATTAACAAGGATTTTCAGAACTTGAACTCAGCTCTGGATCAAGTGGACCTTATAGATATCTACAGGTATTTCTCCTAATGTTATTCCCTCCCTTAGCCCCCCACCCCCTGACAGGCCCTGTTGTGTGATGTTCCCCTCCCTGTGTCCATGTGTTCTTATTTTTCAACTCCCACCTATGAGTGAGAACATGCAGTGTTTGGTTTTCTGCTCCTCTGTTGGTTTGCTGAGAATAATGACTTCCAGCTTCATCCATGTCCCTGCAAAGGACATGAACTCATTCTTTTTTATGGCTGCGTAGTATTCCATGGTGTATATGTGCCACATTTTTTTATTCAGTCTATCACTGATGGGCATTTGGGTTGGTTCCAAGTCTTTGCTATTATAAATAGTGCTGCAATAAACATACATGTGCATGTGTCTTCGTAGTAGAATGATTTATAATCTTTTGGGTATATACCCAGTAATAGGATTGCTGGGTCAAATGGTATTTCTGGTTCTAGATCCTTGAGGAATCACCACACAGTCTTCCACGATGGTTGAACTAATTTACACTCCCACCAACAGTGTAAAAGAACTTCACCCCAGCCTGGGTGACAGAGCAAGACCCTATTTCTCCACAGCTTCGCCAGCATCTGTTGTTTGTTGACTTTTTAATAATCGCCATTCTAACTGACATATTATCTCATTGTGGTTTTGATTTGCATTTCTCTAATAACCAGTGATGATGAGCTTTTTTTCATGTGTTTGTTGGCCACATAAATGTCTTCTTTTGAGAAGTGTCTTTTCATATCCTTCACCCACTTTTTGATGGGGTTGTTTGTTTTTTTCTTGTAAATTTGCTTTAAGTTCCTTGTAGATTCTGGATATTAGACCTTTGTCAGATGGGTCGCTTGCAAAAATTTTCTCCCATTCTGTAGGTTGCCTGTTCACTCTGATGATAGTTTCTTTTGCTGTGCAGAAGCTCTATAGTTTGATTATATCCCATTTGTCAATTTTGGCTTTTGTTGCCATTGCTTTTCATGTTTTAGTCATGAAGTCTTTGCCCATGACTATGTCCTGAATGGTATTGCCTAGGTTTTCTTCTAGGGGTTTTGTGGTTTTAGGTTTTACATTTAAGTCTTTAATCCATCTTGAGATACTTTTTGTAAAAGGTGTAAGGAAGGGGTCCAGTTTCAGTTTTCTGCATATGGCTAGCCAGTTTTCCCAGCACCATTTATTAAATAGGGAATCCTTTCCCCATTGCTTGTTTTTGTCAGATTTGTTGAAGATCAGATGGTTGTAGATGTGTGGTGTAATTTCTGAGGTCTCTGTTCTGTTCCATTGGTCTATATGTCTGTTTTGGTACCAGTACCATGTTGTTTTGGTTACTGTAGCCTTGTAGCCTAGTTTGAAGTCAGGTAGCGTGATGCCTCCAGCTTTGTTCTTTTTGCTTAGGATTGCCTTGCCTATATGGGCTCTTTTTTGGTTCCATATGAAATTTAAAGTACTTTTATCTAATTCTACAAGGAAACTCACTGGTAGCTTGATGGGAATAGCATTGAATCTATAAATTACTTTGGGCAGTATGGCCATTTTCATGATATTGATTCCTTCTATCCATGAGCATGGAATATTTTTCCATTTGTTTGTGTCCTCTCTTATTTCCTATTTGATTATTTGTAGTTCTCCTTGAAGAGGTCCTTCACATCCCTTGTAAGTTGTATTCCTAGGTATTTTATTCTCTTTGTAGCAATTGTGAATGGTAGTTCACTCATGATTTGGCTCTGTGCTTGTCTGTTGTTGGTGTATAGGAATGCCTGTGATTTTTGCACATTGATTTTGTATCCTGAGACTTTGCTGAAAAGTTGCTTATCAGCTTAAGGAGTTTTTGGGCTGAGACAATGGGGTTTTCTAAATATACAGTCATGTCGTCTGCAAACAGAAACAATTTGATTTCCTCTCTTCCTATTTGAATACACTTTATTTCTTTCTCTTGCCTGATTGTCCTGGCCAGAACTTCCAATACTATGTTGAATAGCAGTGGTGAGAGAGGGCATCCTTGTCTCGTTACAGTTATCAAAGGGAATGCTTCCAGCTTTTGCCCATTCAGTATAATACTGGCTATGGGTTTGTCATAAATAGCTCTTATTATTTTGAGATATGTTCCATCAATAACCAATTTATTGAGAGTTTTTGGCATGAAGCGATGTTTAATTTTATCGAAGGCCTTTTCTGCATCTGTTGAGATAATCATATGGTTTTTGTCATTGGTTTTGTTTATGTGATGGATTACGTTTATTGATTTGTGTATGTTGAACCAGCCTTGTATCCCAGGGATAAAGCCAACTTGATCATGCTGGATAAGCTTCTTGATGTCCTGCTGGATTCAGTTGGCCAGTATTATATTGAGGATTTTTGTATCAATGTTCATCATTGATATTGGCCTGAAATTTTCTTTTTTTGTTGTGTCTCTGCCAGGTTTCAGTATCAGGATGATGCTGGCTTCATAAAATGAGTTAGGGAGGAGTCCTTCTTTTTCTGTTGTTTGGAATAGTTTCAGAAGGAATGCTACCGGCTCCTCTTTGTACCTCTGGTAGAATTCAGCTGTGAATCCATCTGGATCTGGGCTTTTTTGGTTGGCACACTATTAATTACTGCCTCAATTTCAGAAGTTGTTATTGGTGTATTCAGAGATTCGACTTCTTCCTGGTTTAGTCTTGGGAGGGTGTATGTGTCCAGGAATTTATCAGTTTCTTCTAAGTTTTCTAGTTTATTGGCATAGAGATGTTTATAGTATTCTCTGATGGTAGTTTGTATTTCTGTGGGATCAGTGGTGAACTCCCCTTTATCATTTTTTATTGTGTCTATTTGATTCCTCTCTCTTTTCTTCTTTATTAGTCTGGCTAGCAGTCCGTCTACTTTGTTAATCTTTTCAAAAAACCAGCTCCTGGATTCACTGATTTTTTTGAAGGGTTTTTCATGTCTCTATCTCCTTCATTTCTGCTCTGATATTTGTTATTTCTTGTCTTCTGCTAGTTTTAGAATTTCTTTGCTCTTGTTTCTCTAGTTCTTTTAATTGTAACGTTAGGGTGTCGATTTTATATCTTTCCAGCTTTCTGTTTTGGGGCATTTAGTGCTATAAATTTCCCTCTTAACACTGCTTTAGCTGTGTCCCAGAGATTCTGGTATGTGTCTATTTGTTCTCATTGGTTTTAAAGAACTTCTTTATTGCTGCCTTAATTTCATTATTTACCGAGTAGTCATTCAGGAGCAGATTGTTCAATTTCCATGTAGTTGTGTACTATTTTCCCAGTAGTCATTCAGGAGCAGAGTGTTCAATTTCCATGTAGTCCCATGCAGATTGTTCAATTTCCATGTAGTTTGGAGTGAGTTTCTTAATCCTGAGTTCTAATTTGATTGCACTGTGGTGTGAGAGACTGTTATGGTTTCTCTTCTTTTGCATTTGCTGAGGAGTGTTTTGCTTCCAGTTATGTGGTCAATTTTAGAATTCATGCTATGTGGTGCTGAGAAGAATGTATATTCTGTTGATTTGGGGTGGAGAGTTCTGTGGATGTCTATTAGGTTCGCTTGGTCCAGAGCTGAGTTCAAATCCTGAATATCCTTGTTAATTTTGTGTCTTGTTGATCTGTCTAATATTGACAGTGGGCTGTTAAAGTCTCCCACTGTTACTGTGTGGGAGTCTAAGTCCCTTTGTAGGTCTCTAAGAAGTTGTTTTATGAATCTGGGTGCTCCCGTATTAGACGCATATATATTTAGGATAGTTAGCTCTTCTTGTTGCATTGATCCCTTTACCATTATGTAATGCCCTTCTCTGTCTTTTTTGACCTGTGTTGATTTAAAGTCTGTTTTATCACAGACTAAGATTGCAACCCTTGCTTTTTTTGCTTTCCATTTGCTTGGTAAATATTTCTCCATCCCTTTATTTTGAGCCTATGTGTGTCTCTGCATGTGAGATGGGTCTCCTGAATACAGCACACCGATGGGTCTTAACCCTTTATCTGATTTGCTAGTCTGATTATTTTAATTGGGGCATTTAGCCCATTTACATTTAAGGTTAATATTATTATGTGTGAATTTGATTCTCTCATCATGATACTAGCTGGTTATTTTGTACATTAGTTGATGCAGTTTCTACATAGTATCTTTGGTCTTTATATTTTGGTATGTTTTTGCAGTGGCTGGTACCAATTTTTCCTTTCCATATTTAGTGCTTTCTTTAGGAGCTCTTGTAAGGCAGGCCTGGTGGTGACAAAATCCCTTAGCATTTGCTTGTCTGTAATTTTATTTCTCCTTCACTTATGAAGCTTAGTTTGGCTGGATATGAAATTCTGGGTTGAAAATTCTTTTCTTTAAGAATGTTGAATATAGGCCACCACTCTCTTCTGGCTTTCAGGGTTTCTGCAGAGAGATCCACTGTTAGTCTGACGGGCTTCCCTTTGTGGGTAACCTGAGCTTTCTCTCTGGCTGCCCTTAACATTTTTTCCTTTGTTTCAACCTTGGAGAATCTGGGGATTATGTGTCTTGGGGTTGCTCTTCTTGAGGAGTATCTTAGTGGTGTTCTCTGTATTTCCTGAATTTGAATGTTGGCCTGTCTTGCTAGGTTGGGGAAGTTCTCCTGGATAATATTCTGAAGTGTGTTTTCCAACTTGGTTCCATTCACTCCTTCACTTTCAGGTACACCAATCAATCGTAGGTTTGGTCTTTTCATATAGTCACATATTTCTTGGAGGCTTTGTTCATTCCTTTTCATTCTTTTTTCTCTAATCTTGTCTTCATGCCTTATTTCAGTAAGTTGATCTTCAATCTCTGATATCCTTTCTTCTGCTTGAAAGATTCAGCTATTGATACTTATATATGCTTCATGAAGTTCTCGTGCTGTGTTTTTCAGCTCCATCAGGTCATTTATGTTCCTTTCTAAACTGGTTATTCTAGTTAGCAATTCCTGTAACCTTTTATCAAGAACATTGGGTTAGACCATGCTCCTTTAGCTCAAAAGAGTTTGTTATTACCCATCTTCTGAAGCCTACTTCTGTCAAATTGTCAATCTCATTCTCTGTCCAGATTTGTGCCATTGCTGGGGAGGAGTTGCAATCATTTGGAGAAGGGGCATTCTGGTTTTGGGAATTTTCAGCATTTTTGAGCTGGTTTTTCCTCATCTTTGTGGATTTATCTACCTTTGATCTTTGAGGCTAATGACCTTTGGATGGGGTTTTTGTGTGGGGATCCTTTATGTTGATGTTGCTTTCTGTTTGTTAGTTTTTCTTCTAACAGTCAGGCCCCTTTTTTGCAGGTCTGCTGCAGTTTGCTGGAGGTCCACTCCAGTCCCTGTTCACCTGGGTATCACCAGTGGAGGCTGCAGAACAGCAAAGATTGCTGCCTGCTCCTTCCTCTGGAAGCTTCGTCCCAGAGGGGCATTGGCCTGATGCCAGCCAGCACTCTTCTGTATGAGGTGTCTGTTGGCCCCTGTTGGGAGGTTTCTCCCATTCAGGAGGCACGGGGGTCAGGGATCCACTTGAGGAGGCAGTCTGTCCCTTAGCAGAGCTCGTGCACTGTGCTGGGAGAATCCCTCTTGTCAGGATCAGCTGCTGTCTTCAGAGCTGGCAGGCAGGAACGATTAAATCCACTGAAGCTGTGCCCATAGCCACCCCTTCCCCAGGTGCTCTGTCCCAGGAAGATGGGGATTTTGTCTGTAAGCCCCTGAATGGGGCTGTTACCTTTCCTTCAGAGATGCCCTGCCCAGTAAGGAGGAATCTAGAGAAGCAGTCTGGCCAGAGTCACTTTGCCATGCCCAGCCCAGACCTCCCAGCCTCCTTAGCACTGTCAGGGGAAAACTGCCTACTAAAACCTCAGTAATGGTGGACACCCCTCCCCCCACCAAGCTCGATCATCCCGGGTCAACTTCAGCCTACTGTGCTGGCAGTGAGAATTTCAAGCCGGTGGTTCTTAGCTTGCTGGACTCTGTGGGAGTGGGACCCACTGAGTGAGACCACTTGGCTTCCTGGCTTCAGACCGCTTTCCAGGGGAGTGAACGGTTCTGTCTCACTGGGGTTCCAGGCGCCACTGGGGTATGAAAAAATACTCCTAAAGCTAGTTCAATGTCTTCCCAAACAGCTGCCCAGTTTTGTGCTTGAAACTCAGGACCCTGGTGATGTAGGCACATGAGGGAATCTCCTGATCAGCAGATTGCAAATTAATGGGAAAAGTGTAGTAACCCAGCGGGGTAGCACAGTCCCTCACGGCTTCCCTTGGCTTGGGGAGGGAGATCCCTGGCTCCTTGCACTTCCCAGGTGAAGTGATGCCCCACCCTGCTTCTGCTCACCCTCTGTGGGTTGGACCCATTGCCTAACCAGTCCCAATGAGATGAACTGGGTACCTCAGTTGGAAATGCAGAAATCACCCGCCTTCTGTGTTGGTCTCGCTGGGAGCTGCAGACTGGAGCTGTTCCTATTCTGCCCTCTTGGTTCCTTCTATTCTGTACTATTTCTTCCAAAACTATTCCAAACAATTGAAAAGGAGGGACTTCTCCCTATCTCATTTTATGAGGCCATTATCATCCTGATACCAAAACCTGGCAGAGGTACAACAAAATAGAAAACTTCAGGCCAATATCCCTGATGATCATTAATACAAAAATCTTCAATCAAATACTGGCAAACCAAATCAAGCATCACATCAAAAAGCTTATTCAACACCATCACTTTGGCCTCATCCCTGGGATGCAAGGTTGGTTCAACATAGGCAAATCAATAAACGTAATTCATCACATAAACAGAACTAAAGACCAAAACCACATGATTATCTCAATAGACGCAGAAAAGGCCATTAATAAAATTTGACATCCCTTCATGTTAAAAACTTTCAATAAACCAGGTATTGATGGAATGTACCTCAAAATAATAGGAGTCATTTATGATAAACCCATAGTCAATATCATACTGAATGGTCAAAAGCTGGAAGTATTCTCCTTGAAAACCAGCAGAAGATAAGGATGCCCTCTCTCACTACTCCTATTCAACATAGTATTGGAAGTTCTGGCCAGGGCAATCAGGCAAGAGAAAGAAATAAAGCGTATTCAAAAAGGAAGAGAAGAAGTCAAACTGTCTCTATTTGCAGATGACATGGTCCTATATCTAGAAAACCCCATTGTCTCAGCCCAAAAGCTGCTTAAGCTGATAAGCAACTTTTCAGCAGTCTCAGGATACAAAATCAATGTGCAAAAATTGCAAGCATTCCTACACACCAATATTAGACGAGCAGAGACCCAAATCATGAATGGACTCCCATTCACAATTGCTACAAAGAGAATAAAATGCCTGGGAATACAGCTAACAAGGGAAGTGAAGGACCTCTTCAAGGAGAACTGCTTGTTCTATTTTCAAGAAGAACTACAAATCACTGCTGAAGGAAATCATAGAGGACACAAACAAATAGAAAAACATTCCATGCTCATGGATAAGAAGAATCAATATCATGAAAATGGCCATACTGCCCAAAGCAATTTACAGATTCAATGCTACTTCCATTAAACTACCATTGACATTCTTCACAGAATTAGAAAAAAACTACTTTAAAATTTATATGGAACCAAAAAAGAGCCCATACAGCCAAGACAATCCTAAGCAAAAGAACAAAGCTGGAGGCATCAAGCTACCTGACTTCAAACTATACTACAAGGCTACAGTAACCAAAACAGCATGGTACTGGTACCAAAACAGACACATACACCAGTGGAACAGAATAGAAATCTCAGAAATAAGACCACACATCTACAACCATCTGATCTTCAACAAACTTGACAAAAACCAGCAATGGGGAAGGGATTCCCTATTTAATAAATAGTACTGGGAAAACTGGCTAGCCATATGCAGAAAATTGAAACTGGACCCCTTCCTTACACCTTACACAAAAATTCTCAAGATAGATTAAAGACTTAAATGTAAAACCCAAAACTATAAAAAGCCTAGAAGAAAATCTAGGCAATACCATTCAGGCATAGGCACAAGCAAAGATTTCATGACGAAAACATCAAAAGTAATTGCCACAAAAGCAAAAATTGACAAAGGGGATCTAAACAAACTAAAGAGCTTCTGCACAGCAAAAGAAACTATCATCAGAGCAAACAAGGCAACCTACAGAATGGGAGAAAATTTTTGCAAGCTACCCATCTGACAAAGGCCTAATATCCAGAATCTACAAGGAACTTAAACAAATTTACAAGAAAAAAACAAACCCCATCAAAAAGTGGGCAAAGGACATGAGCAGACACTTCTCAAAAGAAGAGATTTATGTGGCCAACAAACATATGAAAAAAAGGTCGACATCACTGATTATTAGAGAAATGCAAATCAAACCTCAATGAAATACTATCTCATGCCATTCAGAATGACGATTATTAAAAAATCTAGAAACAACAGATGCTGGAGAGGATGTGGAGAAATAGGAATGCTTTTACACTGTTAGTGGGAATGTAATTTAGTTCAACCATTGTGGAAGACAGTGTGGTGACTCTTCAAAGACCTGGAACCAGAAATACGATTTGACCCAGCAATTCCATTAGTGGGTATATACCCAAAGGAATATAAATCATTCTATTATAACATGTACATGTATGTTTATTGCAGGACTATTCACAATAACAAAGACATGGAATCAACCCAAATGCCCATCAGTGATAGACTGGATAAAGAAATTGTGGTATGGATATGCCATGGAATATGCCATGGAATACTATGCAATCATAAAAAGAAATGAGGTCATGTCCCTTGCAAGGACATGGATGATCGAGATGGAAGCCATTAGCCTCAGCGGACTAACACAGGAACAGACAACCAAACACCACATGTTCTCACTTATAAGTGGGAGCTGAACAATGAGAACATATGGTCACAGGGAGGGGAACAATACACGCTGGGGCCTACCAGAGGGCAGGAGGAGGGAGAGCATCAGGATAAATAGCTAATGCATGTGGGACTTAATACCTAGTGATGGGTTGATAGGTGCAGCAAACCACCATGATAAATGTTTCACTGTGTAACAAAGCTGCACATCCTGCACAGGTATCCTGGAACTTAAAATAAATAGAAGAAAAGATCTATATGTTACTCATTTTTTTCTTTACAAAGGTGAGAAAATTATACTATGTAACTATCCTATAAGAGGAACCAATTAAGTAAATTGTGATATATATCACAATTGATTTTTATTCAGGTATTAAAATTATAATTTTTAATGATACAGAAAATACTTATATAGCATTAAGTGAAAACAGTATACAAAGTTGTATGTTTAGTATAATCTTAATTTTTTACAAAAATTTATAGAAGAAGTTTGCAACGAAATATGTCAAATGTGAACATTATTATTGTTTTTTTTAAAGATTTATTTTTTTTTATACTTTAAGTTCTGGGGTACATGTGCAGAATGTGCAGTTTTGTTACATAGGTATACACGTGCCATGGTGGTTTGCTCCACCCATCAACCTGTCACCTACATTAGGTATTTCTCCTAATGGTATCCCTGCCCTAGCCCTCCACCCCCTGACAGGCCCTGGTGTGTGATGTTCCCCTCCCTATGTCCATGTGTTCTCATTGTTCAACTCCCACTTGTGAGTGATAATGTGCGGTGTTTGGTTTTCTGTTCTTGTGATAGTTTGCTGAGAATGATGGTTTCCAGCTTCATTCATGTCCCTGCAAAGGACATGAATTCATCCTTTTTATGGCTGCATAGTATTCCATGGTATATATATATTCCACATTTTCTTTATCCAGTCTATCACTGATGGGCATTTGGGTTGATTCCATGTCTTTGTTATTGTGAATAGCCCTGCAATAAACATACATGTATATGTTATAATAGAATGACTTATATTCTTTTGGGTATATACCCACTAATGGAATTGCTGGGTCAAATCGTATTTCTGGTTCCAGGCCTTCAAAGAATCATCACACTGTCTTCCACAATGGTTGAACTAATTTACACTCCCACCAACAGTGTAAAAGAACTCCTATTCCTCCACATCCTCTCCAGCATCTGTTGTTTCCTGACTTTTTAATGATCGCCATCCTAACTGGTGTGAGATGGTATCTCATTGTGGTTTTGATTTGCATTTCTCTAATGACCAGTGATGATGAGCATTTTTTCATATGTCTGTTGGCTGCATAAATGTCTTCTTTTAAGAAGTGTTTGTTATATCCTTTGCCCACTTTTTGATGGGGTTGTTTGTTTTTTTCTTGTAAATTTGTTTAAGTTCTTTGTAGATTCTAGATAAGCCCTTTGTCAGATGGATAGATAGCAAAAATGTTCTCCCATTCTGTAGGTCACCTTTTCAAATATGAACATTATTAATTTATGAAAACTTATGGGTGGTTTTTATCCATTTCTTTATACTTTTCAAATTTGCACTTCCTAAAAATCTCTAAAATTATTGTGTTATACTTTTAGATCAGAGAAAAATAAATGTTTAAAAAAGTTATATTCCTCTTCTGCCCTCAATCTTCAGTACACAGTTCACAGTAAGGTAGTAGTATCATTTTGAGACACCCTAAGTGGTGGAAACCAAAAATCCACCTTCATGGAGGACGAATCATGGCTGATGGCTCTGTAAGTGATACTATGAGCACTATGTATGTTCCTCTTCACAATCAAATGAGGCTTCTTGTTTCAATATTTAACCCCTACTAGAATCTTGCCATGATATGCTCACAATTGGAGGTTTTTGGTTTTTGGGTTATTTTGGTTTTGCCTAAACTTAAGCCAAGATCCAATTCCATTTTCTAGCTATCAGTAATATTGCCAAGCTGCATAATGGAATTATTAACCATTTGTGTGATTTATAAGTGGTAATTAGCATGTTTTATGGGACATGAAGACTTTGAAAGTTTGACCTACTATATCTTTTTGGGTTGTTTTGTGCTCTGTGATTAATTTTTGTGTTGATTTTTATTAAAGGAGAGTTTTTTCATTTTAGAAATGTTTGAGACGTATTTTCATTGATGATTAGTAGTTATGGAAAAAATAATTGGGGCTGAATAGCTTAATTAGTAGAAAGTTTGGGGTACCAGACTGAACTCAAATAAATCATAAACTCAAACTCATTAAAATATATATTCAAAAAAGTATATGTTCTCCTCTAAAGTCAACAAAAAATAGACATGTTTTAGTAAGTCTGATAAGTAACTCTCTAAATCTCTTTACTGTCTTTCTACAGGAAAAAGCAATTTCGGTATCTACTAGAATCCAAAGGAAAAAAACCTGGTATTATCAACGAAGAAAATAATGACAGCAAAAGACTTGTAGGAGAAAACACAAATCGTGCTACATTAAATTATACTACAAGAGACTTTTATAATGAAAAGCTAGAGGTAAAACTACTGTTAATCTTTGCGATCTAATGCCAGGATATATCCCACATGGCTTGGAATTTGGGGGTTGTACATTTTACCCTTAGTTAAGATAACTTTTTTGTTCTGGAATATTTGTCAACCTTATATTACAAAGCCAGGGACAGTAGGTACCCAGGCAATTAGGGAGAAATAGAGCCCTGAGATGCAGAAGAACCCAGGGTTTCAGTATCGTTATTTCAGCAGAAAAAAAAAATGCTCAAAAGAAATCTGTACCATAAATCTGTAGCAAAAATCTAGTCCAAAGCAGGACCAAGGGTCCCGATCTATGTAAGAAATAGGTTATAGGCTTGCTGTAGGTACTTAGCCACATCATGCCAGACCATCAGAGAACACAGCAGGACCTCCGTTTTTGTTCTCCTTACTGGGACCATTGATGTTTTAATTCATACCTTTCATTCTACACCATTTTTTTTATGATTACTTAATCATATAATTTCAACTTGTTCTATTCCTAATATAGCTACTTAGCCAGGAAAATGGTAACTAAACCTTTATGTTTTATGTGGTCAGAGGTTCAGAGTGTTTTGTATAGGGGAATACAATGTTGTGGTGCTGCAGGAACTACAAAGAAGAAAACTATGTAGTATTTACCTTGATGGAGCTCATAGGAAAGCTGAAGAAACAACTTATCTACATAACAATACAACGTTGTGACCCTTCAAGAGATTTTGAGGGAACAAAGGGGCAAAAGAACAAGAAAGAGAAAACACATTTACTGAGCATCTATGACTCATGTGCAAGGTGCTGTATGAGGTGATACATCTATATCCAGATATAAGTATATCTATAGATCCCCTCACACAGGTTATACGATTGATATATAATAGATATCTTTCAATATCTACATATGTATCTCTAGATATATAGATATAACATTTAGAAGTGTGTGTGTGGCAGGGCGAAGTGTGTATACTGTAGATGTGAAATGGCTAGTCAAGTGGTTTTCAAATGTTTTTAACAGTTTTGGACCTCTTTATTCAAACCACCGTATTATAGCTGAAAACCCAGTGTATCAGAAGAAAGCAAAACAGCAGAGCTGCTGTTGTTATAGAGGAAAAGTAGGAAATTCAGAGTTTCATTTGATTGGGTCTTCTTTTCCTTTTCCTTTCCTTTCCTTCCCCACCCCCAATCCTGAAGTGTCTCTTTGGAACCCATAGGGCTGTAGGCATTACAGCTTGAAAATTACTTGAAAACTCAATGCAAGACTATTTTTAATAGTATCCTACAAGATGTTCTACTTTAAGTTCTTCTAGTGTGAAAGGTCAATGTTTCATGACATTGTTGTCTATCACAGAACAACTCTAAACGTGAAGAAATTCTTACTGATATTAAGCTTAAATCTGCCTCTTAATAACCTTCACTTAGTGATCCTAGTACCACCTTACATAGTAAAAAGAACAAGTCTGTTCCTTATGAAAATGCTTCAAATACTTGAAGTCAACTACCTTTTTCATCTCAGCACTCTCTACATTCATACTTTCATTCATTCAAAAATCATGTATTGAACACCTGTCATACACAACACACTGTGTAATATACTAGGGCTATAAAAAGACACTGTCCTTGCCCTCATGGATCTCACATTCTAATGGAGGAGATAGACATATATACGGATAAGTATCAATCAGTTTATCAAGAGCATAGAGAGATAACTAACCCAGATCAAAGTAGGGTTTTAGAAAAAATGATGGCCGATATGAGTCTTAAAAGATAAAATATAGCTATATTAAAAAGGGGAAAGAGGCAGTTCTGGCAAATAGCACAGTGCAAATAAGGCATAGAAGTATAAAACATGTAAGGAGAGGGCCAGGAACTATAAGCAGGTCATTGTTGTGGAAGTTCAGAGATTGAGGTAGACAGTATTAAAAGATGAGACCAGAAAGATAGTAAGAGAACAATGTGAAAGAGATTGAACATAATCCTTTGGCCAATAGGGGTTTCCTAGTGTTGCCAAAAGAAGAAAATGAAAGCCAAGGTGGCAGGATTATGTCTCCTCTTCCTGAATACAGCTGGTTCTATGAGTGAAAAAATTAATATGTATATAGTTGTGTTTGGTTTCTATGGACGATTGGTTTCAGGACCTCCTGCAGATACCAAAATGCACAGATGCTCAAGTCCCTGATAAAAAATGATGTAGTAACGTAGTATTTGCATGTAGCCTATGCACATCCTCCCATATACTTTAAATCATTTCTAGATTACTTATAATACTACAATGCAAATGCCATGTAAATAGTTGTTATACTGTATTGTTTAGGGAATAATGACAAGAAAAGTCTGTACAGATGTGTTTTAAAAAAATGTTTTCAATCTGCAGTTGGTTGAATTCACAGATGCAGAATCCACGGATATGGAGGGCCAACTGTATTTAGTAAATCTAAACATGCCAATTTACATTAAAGAAATTTAGTAAAATATCGAAAAGCTGCATTCAAACCAAGGATTTCACAGTAAAATCTACCAACTTTTTAAGAAACAGAGAATTCTAATGATTTTAAAATTGTTTGAGAGTATTGAAAAAGAAGGAAAACTCTTCCATGTTTTCAATACAGACAGCATAACATTGATTCCAAAAATGCCAGTATTGCATAGGAAAAGAAAAGCCAAACCATACATTTAAAAATATTGGTGCAAACCCCTTTTAAAAATATTGTCAGCCAGAATACAGCAGAACATTAAATGAATAACAAACATTATAGCCAAGTGTAGTTTATCCTAGAAAGGCAGGGAAGATTCAATATTAGTGAATTAATAGATCTAATGTGAAAAATCATGATTATTTCTATAGACATTGAAAATAAATTTCACACAATTCAATACCTATTCTTAATTTTGTAACTCAATAAATAGGATAAATGGAAATTGCATAGTGTTATGCTTGATGGGGAAACTCTGGAAACATTAGCATTAGTAGTAGGCAGAATTCTAACTAAGGTGGCCTCTGTGATCCCCACACCCCAGTATCCATACCTTATATAATCCCCTCCCATGGGTGTAGGTAAAACCTGTGTCTTGCCTTTAACCAGTGGAATATGGCAAGGGTAAAGGGGTTTTGCAGACATGATTAATATCCCTCATCAGTTGACTTTGAGTTAATGAAGAGAGAGATCATCCTGAGAAAGTCTAACTTAATCTGGCAAGTCCTTTAAAAGAGGATTCAAGCGGCCGGGCGCGGTGGCTCACACCTGTAATCCCAGCACTTTGGGAGGCCAAGGCAGGCGGATCATGAGGTTAGGAGATCGAGACCATCCTGGCTAACACGGTGAAACCCCGTCTCTATTAAAAATGCAAAAAAATTAGCCGGGCGTGGTGGTGGGTGCCTGTAGACCCAGCTACTTGGGAGGCTGAGGCAGGAGAATGGCGTGAACCTGGGAGGTGGAGCTTGCAGTGAGCCGAGATTGCGCCACTGTACTCCAGCCTGGGCAACAAAGCAAGACTCCGTCTCAAAAAAAAAAAAAAAAAAAAGGATTCAAGCTTTCCCTGAAAGATTTTTCTGTTGGTCTTAAAGAAATAAGTCACCATGTTTTGAGAGGCCCACATGGCAGGGAACTGCAAGAAGCTTTTAGGACCTGAGAACAGCCCCAGACCAACAGCCAACAAGAAAACAGGGACTTCATTCCCACAGCTGCAAGGAACTGAATTCTGCCAACAACCACTTAGGCTTAGAAGAGGACTCTGAGCTTCAGAAATAAACACAACCTAGGCAACACCTTCATTTCAGCTTTATGAAGTCCTGAGCAGAACACCCAGCTAAGCCGTGCCTGGGTTCCTGATACATGGAAACTGAGCTAATAGATGCACGTTGTTTTAAGCTGCCAAGTTTGAGGTAATTTGTTAGACAGGACTAGAACACCAGTGCATCACTGAAGTAAGTAACAAGACAAGGATGCCTAATATCACTATTATATTTTTCTCAATACAGATAATGCAATGAAACAAGAGAAGGAAATCAATGGTCATTTGAAAAGAAGGAAGTAAACTTATATTTGCAGATAATATTATTGAATACCTGGAAATCCCAAGAATATTAATTTAGAAATCATAAAAAGCTATAAGAAAATTCAGTAATATAGCAGAAGTCAACAGCTTCCATATTACAGATAACAAGCAGAAAGAAGATATAAGGAAAAACCTAACTCACAGTAGCAACACAGAAAGATAATGTATCTTGTAATAACCTAATAATAAATATGCAGGATCTATAAATAAACTTTTCAAACATTAGTGAAGCATACAAAAGATTTATACAAATGGAAAAACATGCCATGTTTTAGATAAGAAGAATTTCAAGCAAACTTTGTCAATTTTCTTTAACTTAAAAATTTCATATAATCCCAATGAAAATACCAAAAACTTTTTTGTTGAGGCTTTTTGACAAGTTGATACTATAGTACATGTGGAAAAATAAACATAATTAGCTACAAAAACTCCAAAAAAGAACAATGAGAAGAAGGCTAGCACTATTAGATATTAAGGCATATTATAAATACCTATCAATTAAAACAGGGTGGTTGTAAAGAGATAGTCTAATGGGATAAATGATACTGAGGAAATGGGATATTCAATCAGAAAAGCATATTGAACCCCTTCTTTGCACCATGCAACAAAAAATTAACTCCAGACCAAATAAAAACCCAAGTATTAAAAGCAAAAGTTTCAAGTTTTTATTTTAATAAGAAGAGAAAATCTTTATGATCTTGATTGGGTTGGCTATGATTTTTTAACACCATAGATGCACAAACTATAAAGGAAAATGTTTTGGTAAATTGGACAGTCATTCAAGGTGATTGTGTTTTTTGTTTTTGTTTTTTTCTATGTTGCCCAGTCTGTCCCTGAGCTCCTGGGCTCAAGAAATCCTCCTACCTTGTCCTTCCAAGTAGCTGAAACTACAGGCATGCAGATTTTTAAAAACAGATAGCTTCAGTGCAGTCATGTAAGCAGAGTCTTGATTAAAGTGATATGAGCAATAATTAAGCTATAAGAAAGTAAAGACAGGGAATGTTGACTCCTGCTTTGAGAAATTTTAAAGAGGAAAGAAGGAATCTGAAGCCCCAAAATATTTGGAAAGAAACACTAATCTAACAATCAGGAGATGTGGATTTGAGCCCCTGATTCTACTTCTGAGTACTTGAAAGACCTTGCTGAAGTCCCTTAATCACTCTCTCGACTCACAGCCCAGCATTCCTTCACTTATACCATGCTCCTTACATCTTGAAAAATACTTAAATCACTGCAGCACAAAGTGCTCAGTCTCTCTTCCATACATCCTGAGTTGTTGAGAAAATTAATTGAGGTAAGTTCTTCACAAATCAGGTTAAGCAGACCCTTTCATTATACATGTCATAACTCTGTTGCTTGGTAGTTGTCCATCTATTCTCCTGACTCATCTAAAAAAGATTTAAGATGGACATAGAATCAGAGTGCTGAAAGGGACTTTAAAGAATCTAATGCTATTCTTAGATGAGGAAAACTGGAAACTCAGATGAGTTACTGAGGGTCACGTTGAATTATTGACTGAGCCGCCTCTAGAATGGAGTCCTAATTCTGACCTTGGACACGTTCACAGTATATCATGGTGCTCTCTCAAGTTTTCTTGACCACCCTAGTGCAAAGGGCTCTCTCTTTTCTGAACACTGTTTGTAATTTGCTGTCTGAACGTTTTACTCAGCATGTATCTACTGTTTTATGTTTTTAGTTGACTTTTTATATGTGCATGCCATCTCCCAACTAGACTGTAAGTTCTTCAAGGACTAGATTAGAGAGTTTTCTCTATGGAAGTATTAATAGAAGATGCTTAATCCTGAGCAGATCTCTCAATCTCTATAGACCTTGTTTCCCACTTATAAAATGGAGATATGGATTAAATCCTAATACAAGTACCATTATAGTTAAAATTGCTCTATAACAAACCCCACTGTTGACCTTCTTTTTCCCAAACCATCTTCATAACAACAAAATTCTAGTTTAATGAAATAATGTAAACAATATTGTATATAGTTTATCTCATCAGAATTGAACTTGTAAAATACTTGCTTTATGAATCCCACAGGGATATTGTGAGACAAAAAGAGATGAGTATATGAAAGCATTTGGGAATGGAAAAAGCATTACTCAAGGAGCAACAACTCCTTGACAGGTCAGGGCAAGAGAGGTGTCTCTAACGTGCTTTCAATGGGATCATCCTGGACAGGCAGAGTGAGTCATCCTGGCAGACACCTGATGACTTATAGGGCATATTGTAAGGAGATGCAGAATAGTTGGCTTGGAGGAGAGGAGAAATCATGAAGTAGAAATGCTTTCAAACACAGTTACTAAATTAAGGATTATTATAGCAGATACAATTCTATATCAACATGTCCCTAGAGAAACAGTGGAAGTAACTATAGCAGAAAATTTTAAAGCACTGTAAATTATACTGTGCCAGTTATGAAGAATTTATTTTCAATTGTATAATACATAAATGATTTAACAAAATATATCATTTAATTGTTTTAATTTTTGTTATCCCTAAATTATTATAAAAAATCTTCCAATCTTAATAATAGAATTTTGTCTTTTTAAATTCAAAATCCTATTTTAAGCAATTTGGAAATCTGTAAAAGAAGCATTCACTAAATATGCTCTATGCTTTCTACTTGTAAATGCATTGCTTGTAAAATATTGCTCATTTTAGTTGCTGATCTCTAGTGACTCACACTTGTCCTTCTTTGTAGGAGTTCCTATGTAGTCCAGATTTACTGAGTGCGAAAAGGGAGCAGCTACATTCTGTTCTCATCAACAAGCTAACTTAGTATAGGTGGCTAATGTTCAGACTATAGTATTTCAGAGTGAGGGAAGATCTTCAGAGAAGAGGCCAGCTGGAACCATTTGTTGCTTATCACACATCAAAAATCTGTACATACTTTTAAGACTGGTCAATCTATGACCTATTGTTTTAGTACATGACTATATCAAATCAGCATTTTGACCTGTGAATGGTGATTGATTGCTTAGAGATGCCTTATATGTCATAAGAAAATTCTTAAAATATGCCTCTGTTAAGGAAAGTTAGTGCAGGTTGGACTTATTGTTAACTTACATTAATTAATCAGGAATTTAAAACATATTTTATTTTAAACATCATAAGCATTTGGGCCAGGTGTGGTGGCTCATGCCTGTAATCCCAGCTCTTTGGGAGGCTGAGGTGGGTGGATTGCTTGAGTTCAAGAGTTTGAGACCAGCCTAGGCAACATGGCAAAGCCACATCTTTACAAAAAATAAAATTAGCTGGGTGTGGTGGTGCACGCCTGTGGTCACAACTGCTGGAGAAGGTAAGGTGGGAGGGTCGTTTGAGCCTGGGAGGCAGAGGTTGCAGTGAGCGGAGATCATGCCACTGCACTCTAGCCTGGGCAGCAGAGTGAGACCCTGTCTCCAAAAAATAAATTAATTTAAAAAATCATAAGCATTGGGAAACAGAAGAAAATATTAAAAAGGAGGAAAACATACTAATGTTCTCAGAACTCAGAAACAATCTTTTTTTTTTTTTTTTTTTTTTTGAGACGGAGTCTCCCTCTGTCACCCAGGCTGGAGTGCAGTGGTGTGATCTTGGCTCACTGCAAGCTCCGCCTCCCAGGTTCATGCCATTTCCTGCCTCAGCCTCTCGAGTAGCTGGGACTACAGGCGCCCACCACCACACCTGGCTAATTTTTTTTGTGTTTTTTTAGTAGAGACGGGGCTTCACCATGTTAACCAGGATGGTCTCGATCTCCAGACCTCATGATCTGCCCACCTCAGCCTCCCAGAGTGCTGGGATTGTAGGCGTGAGCCAAGAATTCAGAAACAATCTTAATGAGACTTCAATATATTTTCTTCAATAGTTTTTATGCATTCTTTTCTAACTTTTTAATAAAAATTTCAAACATACAGCAAAGTTGAAAGAATTTTACAATAAACATCCATACGTCCAAAACCTACACTCAACTATTAGCATCGTACCATACAGTGTACTTACTTTATCACATATCTATGTGTCTATCCATCCATCAGTCTACCTTCGTATTTTTTAAATTCATCTCACAGTCATTGCAGACATTAGTATGCTTCTGCCTAAATAATTCAGCGTGCATTTCATTAATTGAGATTCAGTATTCTACAGAGTATTTTTCTTTGTAAATTTTTCCATTTAGAGGTAAAACTTATATACTGAAATGTAAATCTTAGGTGTACAATTGCTGAGTTTTGACAATTCATACATTCATATAACCCAAACCCTATCAAAAAAAATTTTATTTTTTTCACATAACATTATGATTTAAGCATTTTTTCTTATTATGAATCTTTATTTTATTTTATTTTTAAATATTTCACCTTTTAGATATGGGGTACAGTGCAGATTTGTTACATGAGAGTATTATGTGATGCTGGGGTTTGGAGTATGGATCCTGTCACTCTAGTAATGAGCACAGTACCAGACAGGTAGTTGTTTAGCCCACACCCCTACCACCCTCTATGTTGTTCCCATATTTATGTTGTTCCCATCTTCCATGTGTGCACAGTGCTTAGCTCCCACTTATAAGTGAGAATATGCAGCATTTGGTTTTCTGTTTCTGCATTAATTTGCTTAAGATTATGGCCTCCAGTTCCATCTATGTTGCTGCAAAGGACAGGATTTCACTCTTTGTTATGGCTATGTAGTTACTATTCCATGGTGTATATATACTATATTTTCTTTATCCAATCTACCATTGATGGGCACCTGGGTTGGTTCTATGTCTTTGCTACTGTGAATAGTGTAGCAATGAACATATGAGCGCATGTGTCTTTTTGGTAGAATGATTTATTTTCTTTGGAGTATATACCCAGGAATGGGATTGTTGGGCCAAATGGTAGCTCTGTTTTAAGTTATTTAAGAAATTGCCAGACTGCTTTCCACAGTGGCTGGACTAATTTAATTATATTCCCACCAGCAGTGTATGAGAGTTCCTTTTTCTCCACAGCCTCGCCAGCATCTGTTGTTTTTTCACTTTTTAGTAATAGCCATTCTAACTGGTGTGAGATGGTATCTCACTGTGGTTTTGATTTGCATTTCTCTGATGATTAGTGATGCTGAGCACTATTTCATATCCTTGTTGGCCACTTGTATGTCTTCCTTTGAGAAGTATCTGTTCATGTCCTTTGCCCATTTTTTACTGGGGTTATTTGGTTTTTGCTTGGTGATTTAAGTTCCCTATAAATTCTGGATATTAAGCCTTTGTCAGATACATAGTTTGCAAATATCTTCTCCAATTCTGTAGGTTGTCTGTTTGCTCTGTTGATAGTTTCTTTTGCTGTGCAAAAGCTCTTTAGTTTAATTAAGTCCCATTTGTCTATTTTTGTTTTTGTTGCAATTGCTTTTGGGGACTTAGCCAAAAATTCTTTGCCAAGGCCAATATCAAGAAGAGTCTTCCAGAATTTTTATAGTTTGAGGTCTTACCTTTAAATTATTAATCCCTTTTGAGTTAATGTTTGTATATGGTGAAAGATAAGAAAGGTCCAGCTTCAATCTTCTGCATATGGCTAGCCAGTTATCTCAGCACCGTTTATAGAATAGGGAGTCCTTTCCCCATTGCTTGTTTTTGTCAGCCCTGTTGAAGATCAGATGGTTTTCGGTGTGCAGCTTTATTTCTGAGTTTTCTATTCTGTTCCATTGGTCGATGTATCTGTTTTTTACCAGTACCAAACTGTTTTGGTTACTGTGGCTTTATAGTATAGTTTGAAGTCAGATAGCATAATGCCTCTGGCTTTGTTCTTTTTGCTTAGGATTGCTTTGGCTATTCGGGCTCTTTTTTGGTTCCATATGAATTTTAGAATTTTTTTTCTAATTCTGTGAAGAGTGACATTGGGAATTTGATATGAATAGCATTGAACTGTAAATTACTTTGGGCAATATGGCCATTTTTATGATATTGATTCTTCCAATCCATCAGCAGGGAATGTTTTTCCATTTATTTGTGTCATCTCTGATTTCTTTCAGCAGTATTTTGTAGTTCTCCTTGTAGAGGTCTTTCACCTTCTTAGCTGTATTCCTACGTATTTCATTTTCTTTGTGGCTATTGTAAGTGGGATTGTGTTCTTGATTTCACTGTCAGCCTGGATGTTGTTGGTGTATAGAAACGCTACTGAATTGTGTACATTGATTTTATATCCTGAAGTTTTACTAAAATTGTTTCAATTTGAGAGCCTTTTGGCAGAGTCTTTAGGATTTTCTAGGTATAGAAATCATATTGTCAGCAAAGAGAGATAGTTTGACTTCTTTTCCTATTTAGATGCTTTTTAATTTCTTTCTCTTGCCTGACCGTTCTGGCTAGGACTTCCTAGAAATCTTCGTAGGTATAATTTTAATGACACTATCTGTGATTTTTAGGATTTCATTTGTTTGTTTGTTTGTTTTGTTTTGTTTTTTGAGACAGAGTCTTGCTCTGTCGCCCAGGCTGGAGTGCAGTGGCACGACCTCAGCTCACTGCAACCTCCACCTCCTGGGTTCAAGCAATTCTCCTGCCTCAGCCTCCCGTGTAGCTGGGACTACAGGCATGTGCCACAACCCTGGCTAATTTTTATATTTTTAGTAGAGATGGGGTTTCACCATGCTGGCCAGGCTAGTCTCGAACTCCTGACCGCAAGTGATCCACCCACCTTGGCCTCCCAAAGTGCTGGGATTACAGGTGTGAGCCACTGCACCGGGCCAAATTTTTTTTTTTTTTTTTTTTTTTTAGAAACAAGGTCTCACTCTGTTACTCAGGCTGGAGTGCAATGGCATGATCATAGCTTAAACTGTAGCCTTGAACTCCTGGGCTCAAACGATTCTCCCACCTCAGCCTCCCAAGTACCTGGAACTACAGGCATGTGCTATTACACCTGGCTAAATTTTTTATTCTTGTTTTTCTGTAGAGATGGGGTCTCGCTATGTTGCCCAGGCTGGTCTTGAGTTCTTGGCCTTAAGCGATCCTCCTGCCTTGGCCTCCCAAAGTGCTGGGATTACAGATGTGAGCTACCATGCCTGGCTTATGATATTTTAAATTTAGCTCATTTAATTTATCTTGAAATTATTTTGGTGTTTTGACTTGAGTTGGAGATTTAAATGGATCCTTTTTCTAGTAGTTAAATGTATTGTCTCATTGACATTTATTACTTTCCTTCTTCATTGATGTGCATTACTTCCCTTGTAATTCTGATTATCTGATGTGTTACATTGATTCTTCCATGTATATTATACATTCCATGATTATGCCTTGATACTATTCAGAAGTATCAATAGCCAAAATAAATGTTAAATTCTTGATTAAACAAAATCACTTTGTTTTAGTCTCTGTGATGAAATTGGGGCACAATATTCAAATATCCTCAGCTCCAAAATTCCTCTGTTGTGTTTAGGACCAGGTTTTTCATTTTCACACTGCCAGACCCAGAAGTTGAGTGGGAGACCTGTTTCTTTAGAAGGCAACGTCCTGGGTCCCAGGTTTCTATATGTTTACTCTTCCTAATTGTACACTTCCCCCCAACTTTCTCCAAATGGTCAAGGCTGCGTAAGTCAGTGTAGTGTACCATTTTATGCTTTCCCATAATAGAGGGTAAATTCAGAGTATACATACTTAAAGTATTACATAGATATTAACTAATATCATACCAATTGAAATTGTCACTATCTGTATCCTGATACATTTACCACAGGAATCTGTGAGTCTGCATTCAGCTGACTTGTGTGAGCTAAATGACCTGAACTGAGATAGGAGAAATAGTAGTTATGATTCAACAATTCCAGTAAAGAAACACATTTTCTAGCAGAGCTGTCCAACAGAGGTAGGAGTAGACTGAGAAGTACTGAGACCCTTGTTGTTATCTTTACTCAAGCAGAACTCTGTCAGCAGTGACTAGGAAAGAATTCCTGCTCTGAGGAGTAGATGGGGGAGGAATAGGGGGTCAGAATAAATTATTTCAATTTTCTGTGGTTCAGCTAATTGTTGCTTTGACTTTTGGATTAGTTATGATTTAATACAAAACTTTCTCTTTTTTTTAACAGGAAATAAAGGAAAAGAAGAAATTCTGTAAAACATATATAGAAGACCTTGTGAAGGAAGCCACAGAAATCAACATGAAAAATGAGGCTTTGCAGAAGCTTTGGCCACAGATGTTCATTGAGCTTGTTAGGGATGCAGTCATAGAAATTCGCAATAAAAATTCCTATATGAAGCTCTGCCTACAGCAGATAACAGACCAAAAATAAAAATGGCCTTTAGTTACAGTTGATTTTGGCAGTTTTATTTTTTGAAGGTTGAAAATATGCAGGTTATACATGTTAAAACAACAACAACACTATCCTATAAACTAGAAAGACTAGTATAAAAGCATTATTGCCCACTGTTCTCATAGCTAAAAGTTAAGAAGGAAGGAAGGAAAGCAGGAGAAAGGAAGGATTAATTGCCTGTATGTGAGGACCAAACAACCTTTGGGAACTAAACAGTTTTCAGAGATGGCGTGGCACTGCATCCTTGGTTCTTGCTTTGATTGGTGCCCTGCTATAGCCCAAAGCACGTAGTATTTGCTGATGATTCAGCATGAGCTGCATCTACCTACTTTTAGCTGATAATTTTCAGTTATTTCCCTTTTTATTTTATGTCATGATTTCAAAGCCAAAAATATGTTCTTTTTATGAGTGAAGAATAAACTTACTAACAAATTAGTCAAAATAAAGTATGTTTGCCTCCTTAATTCAGTCAGAATTGTCATATTTATTGTATGTTCCTCTTTAGTTAGGTACGGTTCCTGCTATTCACCTATATGGAGGATGCCCCATTCTTCTAGGAATGCATTCTCAGGGAACCACAGGAGGTCCTGGGAATCACTATGGGCAGAGAATATGCAAATGAGTCAAAACTGGGATAGGAAGAAAATGTTTTGTCTTAGGAGATCCTGAATGACTATAAAATGCTGTTACAAAGCAGTAAATCTGCTTCTCTGAAAGATGTTTCCTTCCATTGTTAGCTCTCAAATGCTCTTTTAATAGACATGCATGTGTACCTGTGTCTCAGAAGTATTAGGGATGCATGAGTGAAGGGTTCTAATTTTTAAAATTTCATTTGAAGATCAAATTCATGCTGGTGAGAAGGGTAGTAGGAGCCTATTACCATAGCTAGAGATGATGCCACTTCAGAAAAACAATCTTAGTCAATAAATAGGAATTTTTCGGTTTGCTTAGATTTTACCTAGCAGCTATTATGTCAGCAGGACCACCAGGATATGGGAAAACAGGACTAGAAGATGTACGACAGCAAAGACATGCAGAGACATGCAGAGACACCTGGAAGGAAGCTAGGTAAGCTGCTATTGCGGTTCTGAGAAAGACCCACATCCTTAAGATCTCTTGATTACTCTTCTCCCAAAAGGCGTGCTTAACTTTAACAGGTTACCATTTTTCTGATCATAGCCTTAAAAGGCTGTCCTGGTTTTTTCTTTTTCTTTTTTTTTTTTTGAGACAGAGTCTTGCTCTGTCACCCAGGCTGGAGTGCAGTGGCGCGATCTCGGCTCACTGCAAGCTCCGCTTCCCAGGTTCACGCCATTCTCCTGCCTCAGCCTCCCAAGTAGCTGGGTCTACAGGTGCCCGCCACCATGCCCAGCTAAGTTTTTGTATTTTTAGTAGAGACGGGGTTTCACCATGTTAGCCAGGATGGTCTCGATCTCCTGACCTCATGATCCGCCTGCCTCGGCCTCCCAAAGTGCTGGGATTACAGGTGTGAGCCACCATGCCTGTCCTGTCCTGGTTTTTTCATCTTGGCACTTAGGCCATCAGCTTACTAGTGTGTAACCTCAGTTTCCTCCTGATAGCACACACTTCGTAAGATAGTCATGAGAATCAAAAGAAACAATGCATGTAAAGCATTTCTCATCATGCCTGGCACACAGCAAACACCCAATACGTTGAGCTTTAATTATTACTCTTTTGGCTGTAGGTTGAACAATAGGGTTGGTGCCCTAGGACAGAGGAGCTATTAGCATTGCTTTCTGATCCTTTAGCCTCTCCAAACTGAAACATATGGACCATTTCTCATCTGGCTAGTAAACACTTATCTCTCCTGGGCTTATATCTTGTTTGGTATAGAAATGAGATCCCAGCTTGAAGGTGATGTTGAGAGGAGAACCAAGAGTATATTGTCTGTGGGATTCTGGCAGATTGGAAAGATGTAAGAACTTGTGACTCTTTGGGAGTCTGGGTAACTGTTCCCACTCTAGGCTTTGCAGATGAATGGACCTAGCTGTTTAGTAATCTGTCCAGCTTCCTGCATGTCTGTTCTCCCCTAACCCTCCCATCCCTGCTGCTAAAGAGACTTGACACTCACATGCTTTCTTGGCCCAGTCACCCTGGGAATCTTAGGAACACTAAGTCAGCACTCAATGAAATGGCAGCAAGCCATCCCAGCCACTGCTGGCTCTATGCAGACCTGCTTCAGGCCTGGTAATAGGGTCTCTCTCTTGTTCCTGAAACCAAGCCTCTTTATTCCTCAGCTTTGGTCTCTGCTTCCTTCCTACCTGAGTTCCCTTTCGCTCCTACCTGCTCCCACTACCCCATACTGATTTCTACTTCTTGAATCCTTACTTTGTCGGGTCTCAAACGTCGAATGGCGATCCTCCCATCTAGTTCTACACTCCAAACTCATTTTGCGTTCTGAAGTTCCTTGGTGAAGATAATCCCCAGATAAAAAGACAAGGAGACCTGGGTCTGCTGGGTTAGGGATCAAGTGAGGGTCCTATGTTGTAAGTGAGTGGTGATCTAGGGAACAAATTGCCATTTCTTCTTGGAATTTTCCAGGGTTTTCAGGGAAGGGGAAGAGATGCAAATCCCATAGTCTGAGACTCTCTAGGCTAGTGTGTGCTGAAGAATTGCTTTTTTTCAAAAGGGATCTCACGCAGAAACACTATTGCATTTGCCTCAAAAGCAGAAACATTTAGTACCCCCATTTAGGGAGATACTGTACCCGATGTTCTGGTACAGCAGCTGGATGGTGAAGTGTGCTGCTACACCTGAGGATGGTTACCAAGTGTGCAGGTGGACCTGAGGCTTGTTAACTGTGCTGCTGAGTCAGAGGATGGTGCTGGTATCAGCTCCTCACTTCCTGAGCTTCATTCCACTGAAGGCCTGGCATGTAAGACAGTGCAACCCTACCATGCTCCTGATCTATTCCTGATTGGGCAAGGAATGCACTGGGATTCATATTCTCTTCAATGAGTAATCATCATAACAACAAAGATTCATTGAGCAATGTCTTGCACTATTATAAGCTCTTTGTATACATTCTCATTTAATCTCCTAACACTGCGATATATATATGATAGCAATCCCATTTGAACACTAGAAAACTGAGGCATAGAGAGGATGAAAAAAAACGTAACTAAGGGTATTTCAACCAATAAATAGTAGACAGTACCCACATTCACTGTTAGTCTTAAGGATCTGGCATCTGGGAAGAATTTTGATGTCCATGGTCGTTCCTAATCCACTTTCATGTTTTGTCATTATGCTGAGGAATAGCAAATAAAAGATGAGAATTTCTCAACTGTGTCTACATGTGAAGCATATCGTAGACATTATGTGCGGTATAAATACTAACAAATGTATAAGTACACATGTACAATATTGTGTATTATTTAAGGATATACATATTAAAGTGTAAAATATTGGCAGCTGGATTCATTGCAATAATGTGTAGAGAATCAACTTCAGGAGGGGGCAATAATTAAATTAGGGGGACCAGTTGGGAAGGTACTGCATTATTCTAGGCAAGAGATAATTGTGACTTGGATCAAGGTGATAGCGGCAGAGGCGTCAGAAAGTAGTTGGATCTTGGGTATATTTTAAAGATGAAGCAACAAGATTTACTGACAGAACTGGATATGGAGTATGAGAAACAGTAGTCAATGATGGCCACAAGGTTTTTGGCTTGAACTACCGAAAAGATTGAGTTGCCATCAACTGAGATGAGAGCAATCTGTGAATGGAACATCTGCTGGGAGGAAGGATCAGGAATTCCGTCTTATGGAATACACAATGCATCTCAACATGTACAATATATACAAGATATACCACACATCTCAGCATATGTTGAGATGGTTGTTAAATATCCAAGTGCAGGTGTTAAGTAGGTGTGAATATGAGTTGGGAGTTGAGAAGTATAGATTGGGCTAGAATTATAGAATTTGGAGTCATTGGCGTATAGCAGTACTTGTTTATGCTATCTTTATATTTAAGAGAATAAACCTATCACTTGCTAAATAAGATTATCATAGTGTACTTGCGGTTTTTTTGTTTGTTTGTTTGTTTTTTTGAGACGGAGTCTCACTCTGTCACCCAGGCTGGAGTGCAGTGGCACAATCTCAGCTCACTGCAACCTCTGCTTCCTGGGTTCAAGCAATTCACCTGCCTCAGCCTCCCGAATAGCTGGGACTACAGGGGCCCACCACCACACCCTGCTAATTATTTTCTATTTTTAGTAGAGACAGGGTTTCACCGTGTTAGCCAGGATGGTCTCAATTTCCTGACCTCATGATTCGCCTGCCTCGGCCTCCCAAAGTGCTGGGATTACAGGCATGAGCCACCGCGCCCAGCCTGTACTTGCCTTTTTATTTTGATTGTTATCTGAGTTTTTCCTTCTGTTTTTCTTTGTGATTTTCCTTCTGTTTTTCTCCTATTGTTTTTCTTTGTGATTTCATTTATTGTAATTCAGAATTTACTGCTTATTCAGAAAGCAGTTAATGATTCACCTATATTTTCTCTTGGTTTGATTCCATGATTTTCTATCATTAACAGTTTGTTGACAGACCAAAAAACATCCTATTCATCTCTTTGGGCAAACCTGGGCTTTATTCTCCCATCTCACAGTTTATTTAATAAATTAAAAAAGGAAAGAAAAGAGAAAGAAGGGGGACAGAGAATCTGGCTAGTTAGCCTCAAGGCAAAATGCAAAATAGAATAAAGAGAGACTACTCAGGAAAATATTTTATTTAAATCTTGAAGAACAAAGGTTAGTTTTTATAATCTGCTTTTATGGGTCAGATGGAGATGGAGTGGTTACTGTTGCCAAGAACTTCAGAGCCAAGTTTGAAATTTAATCACAGCAACTGTGTTAACCAGTATTGATGGAATGTTTAGTATATTTGATCCTGATTTTCTACTTATGTTTATGTTTTCATGATTCATTGTATGTGTCTTTTGTTGCAAAATACCTCAAATCCTTTATGGAAAGAGTTAAAGTATATTCAAAGCTCCAAAGAATAAATTACTCCTAAAGAATAAATATACTCCTTGGGGAGTGGAATAGTTTGCAGTTTCTCTTCAGGAGACAATGAAACTATTTATTAATTCCTTTTACAAGTGCCCCTAAGCCTGAGTCCTCAGAGAGTCGACTTCTTCTCTTTGTTTATCTTGAAATGTTTCAGTGTGCAGAAATGCCTGTAGAATCATATCTCAAATAAATGCCCTATATCTACCACCAAGCATAACATCTTAATATTTTTCCACACTCGCTTCAGATTTTATAAATCAAACATTGCAAGTAGACATGGAGCCCCTATGCACCTTCTTTCCCTCCCTCCAGGTAACCACTATCCTGAATTTTATGCTTATTCATTCATGTTCTTCTTTTTTTTTTTTTTTTTTTTTTGAGACGGAGTCTCCCTCTATCGCCAGGCTGGAGTACAGTGGCGCAATCTTGGCTCACTGAAATCTCTGCCTCCTGGGTTCAAGCGATTCTCCTGCCTCAGCCTCCTGAGTAGCTGGGATTACAGGCGTGCACCACCACGCCTAGCTAATTTTTGTATTTTTAGTAGAGACGGGGTTTCACCATGTTAGCCAGGATGGTCTCAATCTCCTAACCTCGTGATCCGCCTGCCTCTGCCTCCTAAAGTGCTGGGATTACAGGCATGAGCCACCACACCTGACCTCATTCATATTTTCTGGCTGTTCCTATTTATGCATAAATGCATAGGGAGCTTATTGAATTAAGTTTTTATATTTTCTAATTTTATATAAATGGGGCCATGCAATATGTATTCTTCTGCATTTTTTCACTCAATATTATGTTCCTGAGGATTATATTCATTGATGGGAGTAGTTCCACTTCTTTCATTTTTGCTGCTATTTGATATTGGGTTGTACAGCCCATGAGTGATTTATGTAACTGTTTTCCTGTTGGTGGGCATCAGGAGTTTTCTAGTTTAAAACTAGTACAGACAATGCTGCATTGAATATGCCTGTTCACATGTGTGCTTTAGGAGTACACAGTAACTGTGGAATTGCTGAGTCATATGGACACATTCAACTGCATTAAATATTGTCAAATTGCTTTCTAGAGTGATTCGTATCAGTTTACACTCCCACAAGTAGAGAATACAACTTCCAGTTGTTCCATATATTCACTAACAATTAGGACTTTCATTTTTTACAATCTAATGTGTTAGTGAACCTGTGTGTGTGTGGGGGGGGGGGCGTACGTGAAAGTGGCTTTTTGTGTAGAGAAGAGATCTTTCAAGGATTTTTTTAAAAGACAAAGTTTACATATGGTGAAATGCACATAAGTGTATAATTTGATGAATTTTGAAAATATCAACATCCCAATTAAGAATTCCAACATTTTAATCACTTCAGAAAAGTTTTCTTAGTCAATCCCTGGCCATCCCCTACAAGCAAGTATTGCTCTAATTTCTTTCACCATTGATTAGTTTTGTCTGTTCTGGAACTTTCTGTAAATGGAAGCATACAATAGGTATTCTTTTGTGTCTGACTTGTTTTACCCAACATAATGTTTTTGAGAATCATTCATATTGTTTCATGTATCAATAATTTTTTATTTCTTAGTATAAAGGTATCATGGTTTTCTTATCCATTCTATTGAGTTGTTTCCAATTTGGGGCTCTTGTGAATGAAGACATGTTTGTACAAATCCTTTTGTGCAGTGGAGCTGTTGAGTCAGAATAGTTGTAAGTTTAACTTCATAAGAAACTGCCATTAATTTTTTTAAATAGTGGTTGTACAATTTTACACTCCTTCCAGCAATGTATATAGAGTTCTGGTAGCTCCACATATGTGCCAACATCTGTTGTTTTGAACTTTTTAAATTTTCAGCTATTCCAGTGTGGCCTTTTCAGGTTGTTGCTTTAATTTTATTTTCCTTGGTGTCTAATGATGTTGATCACATTTTTATGCATGTTTTGGTCATTTTTATATCTTCTTTTATGAAGTAAATATTCAGGTCTGTTGCCTACTTTTCTAACTTGAATTGTCTTTTTATTATTTATATGTGTAAGTTCTTGATACATACTAGATACAACGCTTTTGTTTTGAATTATGAGAAAGTCCAGTTCATCAATTTTCTATGTCAAGTGCCTTTTATAATCTCTCTAAAACAGTTTTCCTGCCCCAAGTTTGCGAAGACATTCTCTTCTACTTTCATCTAGAAGCTTTATAGTTATTACATTCATGACCATAATTATTCTTGAATTAATTTTTGTGAAAGGTTTGAGGTAGAGATACAATTTCATTTTCTTTTTTCTCTATAGAAACCCAGCATTCCAGCAAAATTTGGTGCAAAAAGTGTTCTTTTGCCCATTGAATTGCTTTGGCAATTTATTTTTGGAAAATTAATTGACCAATATATGTGCAGGTCTCTTTCTAGACTTACTATTCTATTTCATTTATTTATTTTTTCTATTTTTACACCAATTTTACTCCACAGTTTTGATTGCTGTAGCTCTATGTAAGTCTTGGAGACAGGTAATATAACCCCTCAAATTTTGTTGTTTTACAAAATTGCTTTAATTGTTTCAGTGAGTCTAGGTCTTTGCATTTCCATATAAATTTTAGAATCAGCTTGGCAATTTATTTTAAAAATGACTTTTAGGATTTTTAGTGGGATTATATCAAATTTATAGATGAATTGGAGAGGATCTTCCAATCCATGAACATGGGATAACTCTTCATTTATTTAGATCATTTTTAAAGCAAAATTTAGTAGATTTCAGTTTAAATTTTATTCTGAAGTAGATTTATTCCTAAGCATTTTATATTTTTTGCTATTTTAAAGTTATTTTAAATTTTCATTCCCAAGTTTTTTTTGCAAATACATAGTAATACAGTTGACTTTTATATATAGTTGATCCTCATTATTTGCAGATTTTGTATAATTTGCCTACTCACTAAAATTCATTTGTAGTCCCCACATTCATTTGTGGATATATACAAAGTGATGACAAATTTGAGCCCCCAATGCACATGTTCCCAGCTGAGGTTAAGCAAGGCAATACTCTCCCTTCTTGTTTCAGTTATCAGAAAGTAAACAAGTATCCTTTTCACAGTATATTTAATGCCATGTTTATTGCATTTTTGTGCTTTTTGTTGATGACTTTGCTCTTTACAATGCCCCCCAGGGGTCGGCCTGAAGTGCTCTCTAATGCTCCTGAGCACAAGAAGGTGGTGATGTGCCTGACATCGCAGATAAATGACATGTGTTAGATAAGCTTTGTTGAGGCATCAGTTACAGTGCTGTTGGCCATGAGTTTGATGTTGATAAATCAATTATATATATATATATATATATTTAACGATGCCATTTAACAGAAACACACATATAACAGGGTTAAGTATTAATTGACTAAAAATATTGTCCCAGAGTCTCACAGGAACCTAAACCTGCATTTCCCATTGGAGCAAATGTTCAGTAGTATTCACTAATTTCATGTTTAGGACAACTTTATAGACCATATTCACCATAAATAATGAGAATTTACTATATTGACTTTGTATTCTGTAAACTTGCAATATTAATTGCTTAGGATTTTCCACACAGACAAAATCATTTTTTCTGCAAATAAAAATGGTGTTGCATCTTCCTTACCAGTCTTTACACATTTTGTTTCTTTTTCTTGCCTCATTGCACAGGCTAGGACTGCCAGTTCAATGTCTTAAAAAAAAAAGTGGTAAGAGTGGTCATTATTGTCCTTTCTCTCTTTCCCTAATCTTAGAGTAAACATGTTCAATCATAAGTTTACTTGTAGGTTTTAATTTTTCTTTTCTTTCTTTCTTTTCTTTCTTTTTTTTTTTTTTTTTTTTTTTTTGACAGGGTCTCACTCTGTTGCTCTAGCTGGAGTACAGTAGTGCAATCATGGCTCACTCTAAAGCCTCTGTCTCCTGGGCTCAAGGGATCCTCCCACCTCAGCCTCCCAAGTAGTAGGGACAACAGGCACAACCACCATGTCCAGCTAATTTTTGTATTTTTAGTAGAGATGGGGTTTCACCATGTTGCCCAGGCTGGTCTTGAACTCCTGGGCTCAAGCAGTCCACTCATCTCAGCCTCCCAAAGTGCTGGGATTACAGGCATGAGCCACCATACTCAGCCAGCTGTAGGTTTTTCACAGATAGCCTTTATCAGGCTGAGAAAGTTTCCTATTATTCCTACTTTGCTGATAATTTTTTATCATGAAAGAATACTGACTTTTGTCAGATATTTTTCTACATCTATTGAAATAATCATATAGTCCTTCTCCCTTATTCTTATGTTATTGATTACATTGATTGATTTTCAAATGTTAAACCAACCTTGCATTACTAGGATAATGTAATTATATATTAACCTTTAACATATTTCTGAGTATTATTTGCTAATATTTGTTTAAAAGTGTTTGTGTTTATGTTTATTAGTGATATTGGTCTGTAAAAATTTTCTATTGTGCCTTTGTGTTGTCTCCTATTCTGTTTTCTAAAAGAAAAGTGGAAAAGCCATATTCTTTGAAATACATCCTAAACTTTCTTGTGATTTCTTCCCTAACTCAGAGGTTATTTATAGGCATATTGTTCAGTTTCCAAGCATTTGGCCCCATTATGTAAGTAATAAACCATTTTGTGGCTTATTTGGTGTATGTGTTTGTGTGGTGTCATCAGTATTAACATCTGAACCAAAGTTTGACTGAGGGGCCTGTCTCATTCCCAAAAGGTGACCATAACATGTGTATATATTAATTAGGTCAAAATTCTTAAGTATAGTGTTCAAATCATCTGTCTTCTTTTCTGGTTGTTCTTATCAATTATTGAAAGACTAAAATCTCCACTGAGACTGGATTCGTCTGTTTCTCCTACTACTCTATTATTTTTTGCTTTATGCATTTATTAAGGGCATGTTATTAGGTACATACAAATTTAAAACTGACATATCTTCCTGTTGAACTGATGTTTTTGACATTGTGAAATGAGTCTTCTATCTCTAAAAATTCTTTTTGCCTTAAATTCTAATTTGTTCAATATTAACATAGGTATACCAGCTTTTTAAAATTAATATTTGAATGAGATATTTTTGCATGATTTAATTTCCACCTTTCTATATGCTTATGTTGTAGTTATGTTTCTTTTAAATAATATATAATTTAAATTTATAGTTGTATCCAGTTCAACAATCTAGCCTTTTAAAAGATGAAGTTAGTTTTTTTAGAACAAAATCAACCAAGTTTAAATTAAACATTTTGATATGTGTTTTTACTTGTGCCACCTATTCCATGTTTTGTTTTACTTCTTTTTTCCCTTCAATTACTTTTTTTAAATTACTGGGTATTTTTTAACCATGTTTTCCCTCTATGAATTTAGAAGTTATACACTCAGTTTCTAATTTTGTAAATGATTTCCCTAGAACTTATATCATAGATCTTTACCTTCTCATTGATTAACATTGGTTTCTAATGTTAATATCTTTATCATCCTTCTGGAAAATACAAGGACCTTGGAACACTGTAACTCAAATTACTTCCCCTCTTTTTTTTTTTAATACGGCATTTTTTCTTTTTATTTTTAGTTGATACATAATAATCATACATATTTATGGGCTATTGAGTGAATTTCTATGCGTGTATACAATGTGTAATGATCAAATCAGGATAAATAGCATTCCATCACCTCAACATTTATCATTTCTTTGTGTTGTGAGCATTCAAAATTCTCTCTTTTAGCCTTTTGAAAATATACAATAAATTATCATTAACCATGTTTACCCTATAGTGCTGTAGAACACCAGAACTTACTCCTTCCATCTACCTGTAATTTTGTATTTGTTAACAAACCTCTCCCCATGCTCCCCCCACTACTACCCTTCCTAGCCTCCAATACCCACAATTCTACTCGTGACTTCCATGAGCTAAAAAAAAGTTTAGCTCCCACATCTGATTAAGAACATGCAGCATTTATCTTTCTGTGGCTAACTTATTTTGCTTAACATAATGTGCTCCAGGCTCATCCTTGTTGCTGTGAATGACAGGATTTCATTCTTTTTTATGGCTGAATAATATTTCAATGTATATATATATCACATTTTCTTTATTCATTTGTCTGTTGGTGGACATTTAGGTTGATTCCATATCTTAGCTATTGTGAATAGTGCTGCAATAAACAAGGATACAGGTATTGGTATTCCTTTGATACACTGATTTTCTCTTTTTTGGATAAAAATCCAGCAGTGGGGTCATTGGATCATGTGGTAGATCTATCTTTAGTTTTTTGAGACATCCCCACAGTGTTTTCCATAATGGCTGTACTAATTTAAATTCCCACCAACAATGTATAACAGTTCCCTTTTCTCTGCATCCTCACCAGCATTTGTGTGTGTGTGTGTGTGTGTGTGTGTGTGTGTTTGATAATAGCCATTCTAATTGAGGTGAGATGATACTCATTGTGGTTTTGATTTGCATTTCCCTGATGACTAGAGGCGGTTGAACATTTTAAAATACTTTTTTGGACATTTGTATGTCTTCTTTTGAGAAACATCTATTTATTTCCTTTGCCCACTTTTTAATTGGATTTTTTTTCCTGTTGAGTGGTCTGAGTTCCTTTCATGTTCTGAATATTAGTCACTTGTTGGATGAATAGTTTGCAAGTGTTTTCTTCCTTTCTACAGTTGTCTCTTCCCTCTGTTGTTTCCTTTGTTGTATGGAAGATTTTTAGTTCATATAATACTATTTGTCAATTTTTGCTCTTGTTGTTTATGTTTTTGAGGTCTTATACATAAAATTTTTTCCAAGATCAATGTCGTGAGGCACTTCTCTTATGTTTGCTCCCAGTAGATTTATAGTTTTTTGTTTCATGTTTAAGTCTTTAATCCATTTTATGTTGATTTTTATATTTGGTGATAGGTAGGGAGTCTAATTTTATTCTTCTGCATATGGCTATTTAGTTCTCCCAGCACTGTTATTGAAGAGGGTGTCCTTTCCTCAATGTATGTTTTTGGTGCCTTTGTCAAAAATCAGTTGGCTGTAAATATGTGAATTTATTTCTGGGTTCTCTATTCTGTTCCATTGGTTAATATGTTTGTTTTTATACCAGTATCATGCTGATTTGGTTACTATAGCTTTGTAGTATAATTTGAAGTAAAGTAGTGTAATGCCTCCAGTTTTGTTCTTTTTGATCAGTATTGCTTTGGCTATTTGGTGTCTTTTATAATGTCATATGAATTTTAGGATTTTTTTTCTATTTATGTAAATAATGTCATTGGTATTTCGATAGGGATTGCAATGAATCTGTAGAATGCTTTGGGCAGTGTGATCATTTTAACAATATTAATTGTTCCAATCCATGAGCATGGGATGTCTTTTTATTTGTTTGTTTCCTCTTCAAATATTTTCATCAGTGTTTTACACTTTTCCTTGTAGAGTTTTTTCACCTCTTTGGTTAAATGTATTCCTAGGTATTTTATTTTTTCATAGCTATGATAAATGGGATTTTTTTCACTTGGTGCATAGAAACACTAGATTTCTTTTTCAGCTAGTTCATTATTGGTGTATAGAAACAGTGATTTTGGCATGTTGATGTTGTATCCTGTATCTTCACTAAATTTATTTATCAGTTCTAAGAGTGTTTTGATGGCGTCTTCAGGTTTTGCTATATATAGGATTATGTCATCTGGCTGGGCACAATGGCTCACACCTGTAATCCTAGTGCTTTGGGAGGCTGAGACAAGAGGATCACTTGAGGCCAGGAATTCGAGACCAGCCTAGGCAACATAGCAAGACCCCATCTCGACAAAAAACAATTGTTTTAATTAGCCAAGTGTGGTGGCATGGCATCTACAGTCCCAGCCACTTGGGAGGATTGCTCAAGCCCAGGAGTTCAAGGCTACAGTGAGCTATGATTTTGCCACTACATTCGGTGAGCTATGATTGTGCCACTGCACAGCCTGGGCGACAGAGTTAAGAGCCTGCCTCTAAAAAAATTAAAAATAAACATAAATAAATAAATATTATGATAAATTGACTTCCTCTTTTCCAATTTGGATGCCCTTATTTCTTTATCTTGCTTAATTGCTCTGGGTAGGGCTTCCAGCACTATGTTGAATAAGAGTGGTAAGAGTGGGCATCTTTGTCTTGTTCCAACTCTTAGAGGAAAGGATTTCAGCTTTTCCCCATTCAGTATGATGTTAGCTGTGGGTTTGTCATATATGGCCTTTATTGTGTCGAGTTTTGTTCCTTCTAAGCCTAGTTTGTTGAAACGTTTTATCATGAAGCAATGTTGAATTTTATCAAATGCTTTTTCTGTGTCTATTGAGGTGATCATATGGTTTTTATGCTTCATTCTATTCATATGGTGTATCACATTTATTTGTGTATGTTGAACCTATGTGGCATTTTTTTAAGTTGCTGTCCACAAGTTTATTGTCTTTATCTGAAAAATCCTCATAGAAAATTGTTTGGTTTAGCTCTCAGCAGCCCACTCCTGAGCTCTGAGGAAGCTTGCCTTCTTCTGAGTTACCCGATCTTTCTTCTGAGCAAGGGACATTTTGGGACAGTGCCACCTCTTCTTTTTAACTTTTTTTCTTGGGCTTCTTTTCATAGACTGGATTCTCTTGTATAGCAGCATGAGCTTTCTAACACATCTCCTCCATCATGTCTGGAGTTATGCTGTTCTTTATGTATTGAGAGAACTGTTTCTTGTAAGCATCTTCATCTTCTTGCATTAAGTAGCACGTATAATCTGCAACATTCTGGCCCATGATGTGCTTCCAGTGTACTTCTGCATTAAATTCCTTGCTTTCAGAATCATAACCAGGGAATCGTTTGGTACCATGAGGGATAGACAAGCCTCCATCCACAGCCCCCTTCAGGGCACCAAAAACTTTATTGCCACTGGTAGTTCTGGCAAGGCCTGCATCCAAATAGCACGTAAAGGCACCTGGCTGACCATTAATGCTTTCCACATTGTATTCATCGCCAGTCACCTCCACTTGGGCTTCATAGATCTTGTCCATGCCAAACATATTGAAAAGCCTGCGGGCCAGCAGCAGGCCAGTACAATATGCTGCAGCATAATTTGACAAGCCAACCTTCACACCATATTTTGGCAGTTCGTGTGCATATGCTGGCCAGAGTATCATACCCCCTCTATACAGGCGTAAGCAATCTGACAAATGATATCTCTGTTTGTTACATGAACTATCATCCTATATTTGAGTGTATTGTATTTATTTTTATCCTGTATCACCAAGCGTTTCCAAACTTAGTAATCAGTTTTACCCTCTCATTGTCTTCTAAATTTCACTTGGTATCTCTTAAAGTAGGCCTTATTCTTAACAACTTTAACAAACCACATCCTGGGGAACAAAAGACCCGCGTCCGCGGCTCAACAGAGACCTGCAGGCCCAGCAGTGCTAGGGGGCGGAAAGGCTACATGGCATTATTAATGTGTATTTTAATCCAATATATTTCAATCCCATTGGATATTGTTGTTTTTTTAAAGTCAGTAATCATTTAGAGCTCCTCATATATTCACCACTTATTTTGCTCTTCATTCCTTCTTATAACTCGGAACTTCCTTCTGGAATCACTCTTTTATAGTCTAAATATTATATAGCCTTTAGAAATTTTTAGTGCTGTCCTTGTGATGGAGAACTCACTCAGGTTTTTTTTATTTATTTATTTTTTTTGTGAGACAAAGTCTCACTCTGTTGCCAAACTGGAGTGCAGTGGCGCGATCTCAGCTCACTGCAACCTCCCCTTCCCAGGTTCAAGCGATTCTCCTACCTCAGCCTCCTGAGTAGCTGGGACTACACCCATGGTGTGCACCATCATGCCTGGCTAAAGTTTTTTGTATTTTTAGTAGAGATGGGTTTCACTATGTTAGCTAGGCTGATCTTGGACTCCTGACCTCGTGATCTGCCCACCTTGGCCTCCCAAAGTGCTGACATTACAGGCATGAGCCACCGTGCCCAGCCAGGTTTTTTAAATCTGAAAGTATCTTTATTTCACCTTCATTTAAAAAAAAAGTGTCATTAAAATATAACAATCATATAGTAAAGTCTACTGTGGGGTAACTACTAGTATGGGACCATCTTAAACCCAAGTTCAGGGCTTGAAATTTAATTTTATGGCTGTTGGATTCTTATTTCTGTTTCCATCTCTCTGTGATATTATCAAAACAAAAGTCCTAGTTTTCCAGGATTGGCAAGCATCAGAGGATCAATGTGGCTTCCGTGCTCTTTTACCTTTCTGGATTCACATTTTTACTTTACTTTGACTTTATAATTCCTTACAGTCATGTTTTGTCTTCGATGCTTTTTAAATGTTTTAATATATTTTATCTAGTTGTTTAAAATTTTTATCCAGTGGGATAGTTAATTCAAATAACATAGTCCTCCATTACTAAGAGCAGAAAGTCCCCATGTTGAATTTTTAATTTTTTGCTATTATAATTTTAATTTTTAAGAGCTGGTTTTTGTTTGTTTTTTGTTTTCTGAATGCACTTCTTAATTAATATCCTGAGCTTCTTTCACAGAGTTTATTTGTAATTTCCCTTTTACCTACATGTCTCATCCTCCAGTCTGTAAGTTCCCTGACCATGTCTGTCTCCTTCCTTCAAGGCTGTATCTCCAACACTTAGAAAAATATCTGGATGAGGCCAGGCACGGTGGCTCACGCCCATAATCCCAGCACTTTGGGAGGCTGAGGTGGGCAGATCACTTGAGGCCAGAAGTTTGAGACTAGCCTGGCCAAAATAGTGAAACCCCGTCTCTACTAAAAATACAAAAATTAGCTGGGAATGGTGGTGCGTGCCTGTAATCCCAACTACTCAGTAGGCTGAGGCACAAGAATTGCTTGAATGTGAAAGGTGGAGGCTGCAGTGAGCTGAGATTGTGCCACCGCACTCCAGCATGGGTGACAGAGTGAAATTCTGTCTCCCCTCCCCACCCCCCAAAATAAAAATATCTGGATGAGTAATAAAGCTTTATCTTGGGTTTTGCCTAGACAAATTAGTCTCATTAAAGCTGGATTCCTATTTCAGAGACGGTTCTCAACTTCTGACTTTTAACATCCTACATCCTGCAGTTTTGAGTCCTATGCACCTCCCAGATGTGAAGTTCAGGCTTTTATAAGCCAGCCATCAAAGAACATTATGAGCTACCCCATCGTGGCTCTGCATAGCAGCCAACTGTTCAGTCTTGTAAGCATCATCATGTGTGCACAGCACAGAGAGTAGAAAAAAAGTAAATCTGATAAAAAATAAAACTCAGTTAAAAAAAAAGAAAAGAAGTGAAACTTCACAAGTACTACAATAGAGTAAAAGATAGGTATCATTAAGCATCATGGAAGTGCCATAAAGAGCAAGAAAAGAACAAAATGTAAAGAACATGTACAAAATGCTGGAAATATATTATCAAAGATGGAATCCAAAAGGCAGGACATGTTACTATGGATTTTTTTATTTTTTATTTTTTATTTTTTGGCTCTCTGGGAATGAAAGTCTTCCATAACACATAAATTTTCCTCTTGAACTTTTGGATTCTTAGCAGATATACAGGAACTCATTGTGCAGTAAAAGATAGGACCACCTATACTAAATAATGTGTGAGGCTCATGAAGAGTCTACATTAGCAATGCAGGTGAAGTTTAATAGTGATCAGGTGTCTGTCTTGAGAACTGATGTTGACCATGGTGACAGTAGGACATGTGGTCTGAGAGGAAAACTTAGATGCATCTGTACCTGTCACAAGCGGGGGATCATACAGGTGTTTTTAAAACTCGCAAGACACCTTGTAAGCAAAGACCTACTGTCATTATCCTGGGAAACATTTCTTAAAGAATGGCCTGAGTAATATGCTAGTTACACTGTATACATGTTTCAATGCATGTATTCAAATGTAACACTAGACCCCATAAATATGTGCAATTATTATATGTCAATTAAAAATAATAAAACTCATCTTTTAAAAAAGAATGGCCTTGGGACACCTACCTCAGAACCACTTGTGGGAATCTTACAGTTTGGTTGCCTGCCTCCATTCCATTTCCTCAGACCCAATCTCTGTGGGTGGGTCCCAGCATTTTTAATAGGCTCCCAGATGAGTCTTCTGCATACCAAGTTGTGGGTCCAATGCTTAGGAAGATGCTGACACTAGACCCATTACCCCTTTGTCCTCTCCCTGAAATCTGGAAAGGAGTCCACTTTAGACTTACCACCATGAGAGTCAAGAGCCCCAGTGATACAAGTCTCAATTAACAAAATTAACAATTTGCAACAACAGAATCAGAAGAAGAATCCAAAGAAATTTTGCAATCAGCTTTGAAAATGCTAACTTTACACATTTTTAAATGTACAAAGCCTGTGCCGTTCTTCCCAAGCCAACATTGGAGTAGCAGATTTGGGAAGTCATTCTTCCAACACTTTTTTGTGAATCGCTAGTCATGTGTCCAGCTGAACATGAACTGGTGTATGGGAAGAGAAGGTGGCCAGTAGCCAAGCATTTCATAAGACTGTGATGCAGACCGAAGGCTTTAAGTATTAGTAAGATTCATGTTTCTGACTTCCACCCTGTGGAATAGACTGCTGACAGTGATGAACATGGTGACATGATAGGACTCATCAACCATGTGTGCGGCAAGCAAGACCTTTGACTTTCAGCTAATCCCAGCTAATCCCAGCACGAAATGTAAAAATGCACAGGTCATTGGCACCATGGTTGGTGGGAAGTGAGGTGTAGTAGCTGAACTTACAAAGCCTGTTACTCTACAATGACCTATGAGATGGACTTGAAGATGCTGCAGCCAAACATGAGCCTGATGATTGATACCCAGCAGAGCCAAGCAAAAGAGAAAACGGAAATATGTCCCTAATCCCACAGAGCTCAGACCTTAATTTGTCTATGTCATACATAATGGATTTGAGTTCAGCTAAACCCATTCAAATCCAGCTGGTTGTTTCAGTCAGTGAATTTACAGCTTGTATTTATGGTCCAAAACAGAAACTATATGAGCATATTTCTCTCTTTTTTTATCTTCTTTCTGTCCACTTTTCTTCCTTTACTCTCTCCACATTGTTTTTTCATATCTTCTCATATCTTGCTGCAAATCCTCTCTCAACGTCAATCATTTTCTCCAAATCTGTCATCTCTTCCTTTGTCTTTTGTCCCAAATCTCTCTGTAGCCCTCTTGCTATCTTCTCTTCCATCCCCTCAGTGCTTGCTCTCCCACACATTTCTCATCATGAAAACACAACTCCCTCCCTCTCATTCCATTATTCTCTGGATGTCTTTGTTTTGTCCCTTTGTGTCTGGGTGTCTCCAGATTTCAGTCTTTCTTTGTGTCCTCATCTTCCAAGACCTTCATGGCCTTTAAAAAAAATCCCTGTATTAATCTCAGTCTCTACAAAGTTATTTCCAGTGGTATTATGTGGCAAGGCATGTGAGCTATTCTGACAAGGAACAGCTAAGGCCCTATGGCAAGGAGAAGAGAGGAACGTGCTATATCCAGCTTATCTCATGCTATCCTGCAGCCCTCAAGGCAGAGACAGTGCTTGGACTGTATTAGGGCCATATATGTTTATTGAACTGGCTGCTGTTACTATGGAGAAAGTCTTAGTATCAGGTAATACCATTTACTGTAAGAAAAGTAGGGTTCAGCAATATAACATTGATATGGCTTTGTGTCCCCACCCAAATCTTGAATTGCAATCCCCGTAATTCCCACATGTCAAGGGAGAGACCTAGTGGGAGGTGATTGGATCATGGGGGCAGTGTCCCCCATACTGTTGTTGTAATAGTGAGTGAGTTCTCATGAGATCTGATGGTTTTATAAGAGTCCGACAGTTCCTCCACACTCTCTCTCTCACCCACTGCCATGTAAGACGTGCCTCTTTCCCTTCCGCCATGATTATAAGTTTCCCGGGGCTTCCCCAGCCACGTGGAACTAGGAGTCAATTAAACCTCTTCTCTTTATAAATTACCCAGTCTTGGGCAGTTCTTTATAGCAGTGTGAGAATGGACTAATACATACATCTTTAAATTTGAAAAATCTTTGGAAACCATGATTTATTTTTTAAAGTCCCATTTTCAAGTGCAAGTAGGTCAACAGCTTTGGCAGGACTTTTGCCTATCTCCTTTTTTATGCATCCACCCATAACTACTATTCTAATACTATTGTCAAGTAACAGAAACCAGAACTCTACAGAGGACAGATGACTCTTTGTTCAGGGAAATTTAAAAAAAATCAGAATGAGCCTGGAATATCCTGTTATTACCAGAAAGTAAAAATCTTATTTTTAAAATGTTAGGAGCAACATCAAAAAGCCAAAGATCCAATTTAAGGTTTCCGCGGACCAAGCTGTGATAATTTTAGCGTGAAATATTATTATTATGGTTATTTGGAACATGTTAAGTCTATAAAAAGTCCATGGATTCATAATTATACTCAACAATTAACATAATTAGTACAAAAATATGGTTGTAATAAAAAATAGGTAACCAATTATGAATATGTTTTTGATAATGGATTTTAACAAGTGAACATTGTTTATATATGGTGATTTTATTTATCCTATTGAATTACTTTCTTATAAAAGATATAAATATATATGCACATATTTATTTCTGAGGAAAAAATAAAATTATGGAACCAAGTAACCTCCTTCAAGAAGAGGGAAGACTGGATTGGTCGGTACTGGGATTAACATATAATAATTTAAGTGAACAAAAAATCCAATATTTAATCAAGATTAATGATCACACAAAATTACCAAGTAGAAGAAAGATCCAACAGGGTTGTCTTAGTGCATTTGGGCTGCTATAGCAAAATGCCATAGATTGTGTGGCTTATAAACAACAAATACTGATTTCTCAAAGTTCCAGAGACTGGGAAGACGAAGATCAAGGTGCAAGCAGATTTGGTGTCTGATGAGGGCCTGTTTCTCTTAGATGGCACCTTCTTGCTGTGTCCTCACATCGTGCTGGGGATGAACAAGCCTCTGGGTTTGCTTTCACATGGGCACTAATCCCATTCATGAGAACAGTTATAATTTAATCACCCCCCAAAGGCCCCTACCTCCTAATCTCATCATATTGGGATTAGGATCTCAGCATATATATCTGGGGGGAACACAGACATTTTATCCATAGCCAGGGTCTTCCAAACAGAGGAATTAGTCAAATGTCCCAGAGAGAAAGAGTATACTACACACATGCAACATCTCATCTCACAGGAAATGAAACCACTAGATGGCCCTGCTCATTTTAATAAAACATCAATAAGGAATATGTAACTCTTTAAAAAGGTAGCCGACCAAGTCAATATATCATACTGATAGGACCTTGGGTTTTGTAACTTTGGCTAAGTGAGATTTTAAAAGTACATCATTTCCTGAAAGACACCAGGTTGTAAAAAAAATAAAACCTAAGTGAAGGTGTGACTTTAAAAATCGTGTTGTAGTAACACCAGGAGTTAACTCAGCCTGATGATGAGTCCTGAGGCCAGACCAAAAATGGATCAGCCAGTACTCCAGATCCTGCAGCCTTGGCTGGGCCAAGCACGTATACTTTTTCTTTCGGGTCTAGTAATATTACTCCACCCCTGGGAAGAAATAAAAATATATTACTGAAACCCTAGGAAGATATTAAAATAAGTATACTAATATCCCCCAGGAAGGTATAAAACAAGCACATAAATTGTCAAAGAAATGAATAAGTCCATTGTTCTGAGACTTTAGAATAGGTTCAAGTGTAAGTATAATATTAATAATAAGCTTTGTAGTCATTGCATTTGTGAAAGTTTTATGATATTTGAAGTGTTGGGGAAAAAATCGGCCATAGTGAATTTATAATTGCATTTTAAATGATTTAAGATAATGCAATCAAATTATAGTCATCTTAAATCATCAAGATAACTTCTTTTTAAAATTTGTATTTATTAGGTAAATGGGTTCAATAATTTGAGCATTAAACAAAATATAGGTTTTTAGTTCCTGAACAAGAAAATTAAGAAACCTGGGCTATAAGGTCCCTTTCCCAAAATTGACCCAGTAGAAATTACAGACAATGATTGAAAACCTTTGTTGCCCATTAGAATCACCCAAGAAGCTTTGAAATCTATTGCTAATCTGGGGCCCTCCTTGGACCAATTGTATCAGAATCTCCAGAAGCAGAATCTGGACAATGGCATTTTAAAAATACCTTTGAAGTCCTTCTAATAGGCAGCCAGGGTTGAGAAACTGAAAGTGGGAAAGAAGCCATGGTCTGAGGAATTAACATAAAAACTCTGAGAAGGCCAGAGGAGACCAAAGACAGTTGTGAGCTGGTTTAGAAGCTCATAGCAGTCTGGGATTGGGACACAGTGGGGCAGTAGGTGCAACGTGGTGGGTAAATTTTGCTTTTAACTGTCCCCTACATTGCTTTGGCAGGATCACTTTTCTGGCCTCATCACTTCTGCAGAACAGAAATTAGCAAGAGCAGCCCAGATGCCAGGGGTGTGTGTGTGTGTGTGTGTGTGTGTGTGTGTGTGTGTGTGTGTGTGTGTTGGAAGGTGGGACAGAAAGGTTGGGGAGGTGGGGAGAATATCATTGCAACCTCAAGATCCTGCCAGGTTGAGAATCTGGTGAGAATACATGTTATGATGACTAGTTGCCCTAAGGCATTTATTTCTTCATTCCCTTTCTCTCCAGGCCCTCAACAAATTGGATTGCAACCTAATATTTAAGGAAGAGTCCCTGAAGGAGGAGACGCCTGGTGCAGACACTGGGAATGAAGTTGGTCTGCAGGTTCTGTGGTGTGTGGTGCTTGAACTCGTGGAGACTTTCCCCACCTTTCTGCATAAATAGTTCTAAAGATCTACATTGTACAGACTATGTTCTCTTACCACAGTGCAATTTTGTTAGAAATAAATTACAAAAGAATAATTGCTGGGAGAGAATGCTGCATGGATTTCTCATGTTTCTGTATGTCTTTTGAGCAGAGGCATTGTTAGCTTTTGTTCTGGCCTGTATTTTCAAGGATGTTTATATAGCAAACAGCCTTGGAAAATAAAAATAGTATCTCCCTTCATGGCAGAGGGCAGGTTTATTTGCTGTCCAGTAAAATGAAGATAATATCTCCCACTGGGGCAGAAGTTGGGTGGGTTGGCTCACAGCCTCCTTATTGGAGTTTCCTAAACTCAGGGTTCCTCAGCTGTGACTTAACCCCACCTCCAGCATCCTCCTGGACCCAGGTATGTATCACTCTTGTGGGGCTTGTGAAGCAAGGGGAACTAATGAGAAATGAAGTAATTAAGTTCTTTGTCTCTGATCCAGGAGTCTCATGTCTTCTGCCAGCATTTTTGAAACTGTGACTGGCTGGTTTGTTAACTTGCAAGTAAGATCAAATTTAATACTCTTCACAGTTCTTCGTAATAGGTTTTTAAAAATTCCATAAATCTGGATATTAAATAGCATAAAACTAAATAATCATTAGATTAAAAAGAAACTCACAAAAATATTAAACAGAATAAACTGAAAGCATTTAAGCCAAAATTTATGAACATAGCTAAAGTAATAGAGGGAAATTTATAAATCTAAATAAATTTATCACGAATAAATAACGATTGAAAACTAATGAGCCAAATGTTTAATTCAAGAAGAAGAAGAAAAATTAGAACAAACTAAAGATACTAGAAATAGGGAAATATTAAGGGCAGGAACCAAAGTAAAGAACATGAAAAACAGTAATACTGAAGTGGCGTCATTTGGGGAAATACCCGAGGTTCGTTGTCTTGGGCTAAGGAAATCGAAGATGTGGACACACAAGGTGTGAGTTTAAAAGCAAAAGTTTAATAGGTGAAAGAAAGGAGAGAGAGCTTCCTTTTGCAGAGGAAGGGGCCCGAGCGGGTTTCTGGGAGATGTGGTTGGTTTTATAGACGAACTTGAGGAGGCAGTGTCTGATTTACATAGGGCGTAGTGGATTGGTTGGACCAGGTGTGCCATTTACATGGCCTGTGAAGAGCTGGCAGGCCCACCCTAATTTTTTATTATGCAAATGAGGTCTTTACCTGGCCAGCGCCATGTTACCTGAACACGTGGTTACAAAGAAAAGGGAAGAGGAAACCTCCATGTTGAATACACTTGGTGTCCAGGTATTCCTTTTCTATTGGCACAACTGCTGGCATTTACCTATACAAGTTTCCAGCTTGCTTATCTATGCTTGCAGCTTGATTTTTCTGGCTGCTTTTTGTTAGAAAAGAAATTAGTTTTGAAAAGGAAAACCTTACCGAGAACGAAACAACAAAATTTAAAATTGCTTCTTTAAAAAGATAAACAAGATGGTCTTCTGGAAAGACTCTTCAAGATAAAGGAAAGATGATATAAATAAACAAAACAGAATTATAAATGGGGAAATAATAGCAGATGCATAAGAATTTTTTTAAAATAAAAGAATATTGTGAATAACTATATTTTAATATATTTTAAATCTTAGATTGATTTTGTTCTACAAGTATTTAAATTACTCAACAACAGGTAAAGCTTGGGCACTGACTAATCAAGATGGACACCTGACCCACCAGAAAGGATGCCATACTAGTATGTACAAGCTCTGTATTTCTGGGATCAAAATTAAATTCCCAATTGGCCCAAGAAGAAATACAAACATCAACTAGAACAGCAAGCATTCAAAAAGTGAAATGGTAATCAAAGCTCTCCTGTTCCCAAAACCTGTAACCCAGAAAGTTTTCCATGTGGAAGTTTTCCAGGTGAAAGCTTTACAAACTCAATGGGATTAAAATCAATTAGTTTTAGAGAAAGGTGTAAAAAAAAATCTTACATATTAAAATAGTCTCTGCCCTTTAAAGGGTCATGGTACACAGATATAGTATGTCTGTGGTATTAAATTTTATGGTGGAAGATTAGAAAAAAATATGTCTAAAAAGGCCCTGGGGGAGGGAGAGAGTATAATGAAAAAAGAATGGTTAAGAAACATTTCCTAATCTTATTCAAGAAAATGGAAAAAGAGAAAAAACTTCCCAGCTCATTTTAGCATTTTAAGAATTTTCTAATCTAAAACTGGATAAGAACACACACACACATACACGTATCATATACTTATATACACATATGTATGTATTTATATTCAAAAGTAAAATGTGCTCCTCTACATATATAAGTCATGGTCAGTTATAAAAATGAATTGAAAAATCCCCCTTATTAACTCAAGGAGTTCAATAAAGTATTAAAACTATATCATGGAACCAGATTTACTCTCTTGCCTTAATGAGAAAAACTGGAAAAACATGTGGAACAACTGTTTTAAAATATTGGACAATAGGGATATTAGGACTGTAATGCAAGAAAGAAAGGAAGCAAATGAGGTAAGTCCAATATTCTCTGTGCCTTTCTACCCCGAGGTACACTCTGTAAAGCAGAGTGAGTAGGATGATCCCAAGCAAAACACAGTGGTCTCTCTGCATTGAGGAGCAGAGATTTGAGTTCAAAGAGTCTGAGGTAGCTAGAAGCTGTAAAGCAGAATTTCAGAGAAGAGAGAATTACGTAAAAAACAGCTCCAGACTTTTTTTAATACTAAGATATATAGGCATAGAGTGAAACTCTTCAAGAAATACATGCACACACACAAACACACACATTTTAGTGTATACATGTGTATATACATAATATTATTTAAATGTAGATTGTGATAATTAGAGCTTTTTGCAATTAACCCTAAGACAACTATTAAATATGAAACAGAGTTATAACTAGTAGTCCCCCAAAGGAGGAAAAAAAGATTTTAAAATATTTAATTAATTCAAAAGAAGTCAATAAAATGGAAAAAGCTTTACATATAATAGATTGAATAAGTAGAAATCAAACAGTAAAGTATAAACATAGAACCAATTGCATTAAAGGTAAATGGTATAAACGCCAAATTAAAAGGCAGAGATGGTCAGACTGGATAATAAAACAACATCTAACTATATCCTGCATACAAACAATCCGCTTTAAATGTAAAGACATAATAGATCAATAGCAAAAGAATGAAAAAATACATCAAGATAATTCTGATCAAAACAAAGTTGGAGTATCTATACTAATACCAGACAAAGTAGATTTCAGGACAAATAATATTAGCAGAGATAAAGAGGGCCATTTCAAAATGATGAAGGGGTCATTTATGTCTCAAAGGACATAACAATTCTTAATTTTTTGCACCAAGTAACAGAAGATCAAAATATATGAAGTAAAAACTGATTGAACTTGAAAGAAGAAATAGGCAAATTTACAATTAGAGTCAGAGATTTCAGAATCTTCTTTCAGCAATTGATAGCACAAGTAGAATATCAGTAAGGACATAGAAGACTTGAAAGACACAATAAATATCATAAACCAAACAATCTTTCTGTTTATATTCATAGAGTATTCCACTCAACAACCACATAATACACATTCTTTTCAGGTGCGTAAGAAATATGTATTAAGGTAGACAATATTCTATGATACAAAACAAGCCTTAATAAATTGAAAACAATTCAACTCAAAGTATGTTTTCTGACTATAATGAAATTAAATTAAAAAACCACACACACACACACACACACACACAATAAGATAGCTGAGCATAGTGGTGCATGCCTGTAATCCTAGCACTTTGGGAGGCCAAGGCAGGTGGATCACTTAAGCCCAGGAGTTTGAAACCAGCCTGGACAACGTGACAAAACTCCGTGTCTACAAAGAATACAAAAATTAGCTGGGCATGGTGGTGCACACCTGTGGTCTCAGCTACTCGAGAGGCTGAGGTGGAAGGATCTCTTGAGCTCAGGAGGTCGAGGTTGCAGTGAGCTGAAATTGCGCCACTGCACTCCAGCCCGGGCAAGAGAGTGAGACCATGTCTCAAACAAAGCAACAACAACAACAACAAAACAGTAAGATAAAGATACCTGGAAAATCCCCAAATATTTGGAAAGTAACACACATAAAATTAGAATGCATTTTGAAATTAAACATATTATACCAAATAACAGTCTCAAATTAATAACCTCTGCTTCCACCTTAAGTAGAAAAAGAAGAGCAAGTTAAATCTCAAAACCAGAGAGAAAACCAATGAAACCAAACACTAGTTTTTTAAAAAATTAATAAAATTGATAAATCTCTAGTCAGATTGATTAAAACAAAAGGAGATAAAACATAATTTACCAATATCAAGAAATAGGAGGTGACATGATTAGTTTCTACAGGCACTAAAAGGATAAGGGAATACTATAAATAATTATACACATATGAATTTAACAACCTAGACAAAATATACCAATTGCTTGAAAGATACTACTAAAGTTCATTCAAGAAGAAATATATAATCCAAGTAGCCCTATAGCCATTAGAGGAACTGAATTTTTACTTAGAACCCTTCCCACAAAGAGGCTGAGTATGGTGGCTCATGCCTGTAATCCCAGCACTTTGGGAGGCCAATGTGAGAGGATTGCTTGAGTCCAGGAGTTTCAGACAAACCTAAGCAAAATAGCAAGACCCTGTCTCTACAAAAATAAAAATAAAAATTAGCCAGGCATGGTGGTGTGTGCCTATAATCCCAGCTACTGGGAGGGCTGAGGTGAGAGGATCACTTGAGCCCAAGAGGTCAAGCCTTTGGTGAGCTATGATTGCACCACTACACTCCAGCCTGGGTGACAGAGCAAGACTCTATCTTAAAATTAAAAAAACAAAAAATCCTTCCCAGAAAGAAAACTCCAGGCTCAGATGGCATCACTAGTAAATTCTATCAAATATTTCAGAAAGAAATAATATTAATTCTACACAAACTCTTCCAGAAAATTGAAGAGGAGAAAATACTTCCTAACTCATGCTTTAAGTTCAATGCTAGTCTAATACCAATACCAAACATGTTATAAGAAAGAAAATTTCAGTCCAAAATCTCTCATGAACATTGCTACAGTTTGAATGTGTCCCCCAAAAGTTCATGTGTTAGAAACTTAATCCCCAGTGCAACGGTGTTGGGAGGTGGGGCTTATTAAGAGGGGATTGGATCATGAGGGTGAAGCCCTCATGAATGGATTAATGTAGTTATTATGGGTAAGTTATCACAAGAGTGGGCAGATATAAAAGTGGGTCCAGCACCTGGTGCCTCTGTCTGTCTCACATGCTCTCTTGCCCTTCTGCCAAGTTATGATGCAGCAAGAAGGCCCTCACCAGATGTGGGTAGCATGCTATAGAACTTCCCAGCCTCCAGAACTGTGAGCGAAATAAGCCTCTTTTCTTTATAAATTATCCAGTCTATGATATTCTGTTATAGCAACACAAAACAGACCAAGACAAATGCTCCGCAGTGAGCAGGTATAAGTAAACCTGCCCGCAAAGGCTGAGGGAGATGAGAGGCTGAATAAAACAGCTGAAAAATCCAGTTTCTTAAAAAGAAATATTTAATAGGAGCTTATGAACAGGAGAGATGTCTTGGGTGGCCATTAGGCAGTGGATCTCTGCACTCACCTTTTAGAAAATATCTGTTATATTACAAGTTTTTTGGTAAAATATGTGGTAGCTAGTCACATCTGTGTTTCTTGTTAAACTCAAGACTACTGGGGAGGTTAGATAAGCATCTTTATGAGGGGTTATCTAAGCTATGAGCATTGTTTAAAGACCTTGCTGCAGACCACCTTGGCATGCAAGAGTCAAACAACAGTCATCATGGGAGTTTCAATTCAAGATGGCGCCACTCTTGCCATGTAATTGGCTATTTTCCTACGACAAGCATAGACACAAAACTTCTTAGCAGTATTTTAGTGAATCAAATCCAATGATACATAAGAAGACAATAGGTCACGACCAAGTGGATTTCATCCCAGGAATGTAAAGTTGGCCTAACATTTGAAAGATCAATCAATGTAACTCACCATGGTAAGAACTAGAAAATAAACATTAAATTATCTGAATAAATACAGAAAAGATACTTGTGCCACCCTTCCCAGCTTCCCCTGTGTCCCACACACATGGGAAGAATATCAGGGAACAGAATCTATAAGAGCCTTGGGAGGGACAAGAATCATTCCTCCATGTAGACACCCAGGTTGCTTCTGGGCTTGTGCTTCTGGACTGGCTCTACCATCACTGCGTGGACAGGGAGGGCTTCCTATTGCCTTGATAGGAACATCCCAGGCCTGCTCTGTGTGATGGGCCACTTGCAGCCTGGTCCATCAGTTTTATCCCCCATTTAAGGCTACTGGTTTCCTCAACTGAGCTGAGACAATAGGATTTCCGGTGGCCAGATACTTCAGCCAACCCTCACTGCCCTGGTTAATGAGACTGACACCACCCCCGCCCCCCGACCACCAGTATCAAAGAGCTGCCTCTCACCCTGATGGTGGTTAAGTGTTCATTTTAGGGCTCTGCACTGGCAGGTGAAGAGTGTTGACCATTCAACCATGCACCCTTGTCAATCCATTCAATCCATGCCATCCTGGATTGATTACAAAAGTGAGTTTATGTTTTATTTTCTATGTATTCTGCCTAATGCCAATAGCTTCTTGCTTTTACTCTCAAATCACCCATAATTTTTCACAGAATAATCTCCATATTTTACCATTTCCACAGCACCCTCTAGCCAAAGTTTATTGTTAACATGGCTCTTCCGTGAGAAGAAGGAGCCTGCTGGTAAGATTACCTGAAAAGGACTGCCGTGTTGCATCAGTGGAAGCACTTTTCGACTTTATACAGGTAATTCTTGGCTAAAATAAAATGATATTAAAAAAAAAGAAAAATACATAGTACACTTGTTGCTCTCCCCTGCTTAGCCCTAATGCAGGCATTCCTAATCCATAGCCCTGTACCTTTCCTCTGACTCACGGCTTCACAACCCTTCTCAGTACCGTACCCCAGACAGGTACCACCAATCAGAGTTGATGTGAAACCTGTTTGCCTTTCCTGATCTTACCCATTGGCTCTGCAAACGGGTTTTGATTTTGCTTTTCTAGCTCTGAACTTTGTGCCTTTTCCAAAGTGATTCTAGGGATCAGCCTTCCAGTTTCCTACACAACAGCCTAAGGCATCTACAACTCCCAAACCAGTCCATGCCTCATTGCCATGGAGCCTGCTTCGGCCACATGCAGTGCCTGCTCAACAGAGGCAGGGATGTGCATAGCTGTTGTGTGCAGGAGCTGATTTATTAAGAAGTCCAACTGGCCAGAGCCCCCAAGAGAAACTCTCTTTGGGAACAGTGGGTGCTGTTGACTGCTTGCACGTGTCATTGCTTCAGAGGTCTTTAGTCTTTTCTGTCTGAACACCCTCAAAGTGGGGAAGTGACCTCTGATCATTGGATACTTTCCTAAGGGGAGTAGCAACAGTCTACAGGTATTCCTCCTGTGGTTATTCTGACAGTGGTAGGCTTAAACCCGGTAGAGAGGTCTTGCATTCTATCTGGTGGAGTGTGTGGCACAGAAACAGTTACGAAAACAAAAGCTTTTACCCTACTCTCCCACCCATCAGAAAGAGCACTGACTTTTAAAAAATATTTCCCCTTGCAAATCCTCAGTCTCAGAAGCAGGGCATTCGATTATGTTGTCAACACAAATAGATCTCATAAAATTCAAAGTTAAAGTCACTTCTGACAGTTTCTTAGCCTATAAAATGAGGGGGTTAGATCAGATAATCTCTAAAGGTCTTTCCGTCTTTCACAGCTTGTGACTTTATGGCTTTAGTCAACAGTATAAAACAAGGGCAAACGGCAAAAAAAAAAAAAAAAAAACAAGAAGCCTTAAAACTTAGCACAGGCTCTGGAGAATCTACAGGTATTTCAAAAAGACAGTTGACTTGAAATGTAGGAAGCCCAAATGAATTCTGAAATAGAGTAGAACCGTGAGAACGTGCTTGTAAAATGTGTCACCACCCACTGCCTTCCAACTGGCTCTGGGGCCTTTCCAGCACTGGGTGGTATCTGACTGATAAGTATCATTCTTTGTTAATGTAACCATGGTTTGTCATGTTTGCCAAAGGCTGGAAGAAAATTGAGCCAAGAGCTGGAAGCCAGAAGTTCCCCATGCCTGCCCTACACATCCAGGCTCTGAGTTTTTACTTTTTCTACTATATTGCCATGCAAGTAACTTTAACTTTGCTTCTCTGTTCTCTGTCACTGAGAAATACCATGTCTCCATGGCAATAGGAATGCATTTACCTTCACCAAACCTGCTCAAATCCTTGCTGAACAGGACGTAGCAGGAGTTGACTTTCCAATGGTGGAGGTTCAGAGTACAGCCTGTAGCCACAGAGAAAAGTTGCTTGTTCCTGAAATGCAGACACACCTCCAATCCAGAGAGCAAGTCATCTCGTGGAGGAAGTGGTAGCTGTAAAAATTCAAATGGAAAAGGCATAGGTAAGAGACAAATTTTCTGAAAAGTTTGCCTTAAGTTTGGCACAGAATTTGGGACCATTGCTTTGGCAATCAATGACACTCAGAGGGGAACAGAAGCCTCCAGGATGGGTGAGGTGGCTCATGGAAAACAAGTGTGTGCAGGGCGGAGAGGAGAGGACCAGGACAGAAGGCAAGGGGTTGAGGGGGTTGCCGTTCTGGGTCTGTTCCTAACAGGCATGCTTTTTCCAGTCTTTTCATGCCCTCATAAACCTTCACTTGGGCTGGTGGAGTGTTGCATTTCTTCATTTAGTCATTGAGTCATCCATTCCTCACTTACTTACCAGCTCATTCATTCAGAAAGCCTTTATTCCACACCTACCATGTGCCAAATAATTGTATTCAGCACCAGTTCACTCGGATGAATAGGGCATGGTCCCTGCCCACCAGGCTCACAGCCTGGGTTGAAGAGGTAGATGACTAAACAGGCGCATGCAATTCAACATAGTACGTGCCTCTTTGGAGTAAGCACGGATGTGGTGGGAGCACAGTAGAGGGGCAGCGAAGCCCACCTCGGGGAGGAGGTACAGTGGGGTTTTGAAAGGAGGGCCTCCCTTAAGGCTGCTGAAAGATGTGGTGTTATTTTTTATTTTTTACTTTTTTGTAAGAGACAGGATCTCATTGTATTGCCCAGGCTGGAGTGCAGTGACTATTCACAGGCATGATCACGGCTCACTGCAGCCTCAAACTCCTGGCCTCAAGTGATCCTCTTGCCTCAGCCCCACAAGTGGCTGGGACTCTGGCAAGTGTAGTGCTATTTAGTGGGTAAAGAGGGGGATAGGAAAGAGTCAAAGGGTATTCTAAGTTCAGGGGCAGCTTTCACAATGACTCAGAGACAAGGAAGAACATGTAGGGCTTGGAAGTCTGTAAGTGGTTCAGACAGCTCAGCTGATGAACTAACCCCACACACATCATGGTGGGCGTCACTGAAGCATTTACTGGGCAGCTCCTGTGAAGAAATCAGCTTGCTTGAGCTAAACATGTGAAATGAGTTCATTTGGCTTGACCATATTTAACTCCATGTGGCTGGGTTAAATGAAATGTTTCATCCTTTGGAAGGAATGCAAAGTTTTTGGGGTTTTGTTTGTTTTTGAGAAGGGTTTTGCTCTGTCGTCAGGCTAGAGTACAGTGGAGTAATCATAGCTAAGTGCAGCCTCCAACTTCTGGCTCAAGCCATACTCCTGCCTCAGCCTCCTGAGTAGCTGGGACTACAGGTATGTGCCACCATAACCACCTAATTTTTTTAAATTATTTTTTGTAGAGACGAAGTCTTGCTTTGTTGCCCATGCTGGTCTCAAATTCCTGGGCTCAAGTGATCCTTCTACTTAGGGATCCCAAAGAGCTGGGATCACAGGCGTGAGCCACCGCACCTGACCACACAAAGAGTTTTGAACCAGGAAGGAACCTGGAGAAATTATGCAGCAGTGGACAAGGTGGGTGGCCTACTGAAAAGACTGAAGAGACCCTCAAGAGAATCTGGTAGCCATCAGAGTCAGAGACATTTAGAATGGCACAAACACAGCAGGAAGGGAAGCAGTGATTCTATCAGGCACCAGGAGAAATATGATACACAGGTTACCCCATGTCATTCTCACAATAACCTAATGGAAGTTGGCATTATTAAACCCACTTTACAGATGAGGCACCAGAGGTTTGGAGTTTGTTGAAGCCACTTGCTCTGAAGCATTTTGAAAACTTTGTCCTGGTTCTTGTGACTTGAGCAGAGACTGAGCTGCCTCATCACACCACCGGGTTCCTCAGGAGGAAGATCCGTGGCAGAGGAGATGGCATCTGGTTAGAGGCTAGTGGCACAGGAGGAGCATGGGCCAGAACAGCTCCCATGAGCTGGAAGATGTGACAAGTACTAGTATCAATATCAAGAGCAGGGAGGTTGGGAGTGGTTGTGGATTTTAGCAGATACATCCACTCCTTCATTCATTCTATTTATTTAATAAAAGGTTCTGCTGGAGACTCATCAGCAAAAACAAACAAGCAAACAAAAAAGAGACAAGTATTTGTACCCTCATGGAACTTACATTCTAGTGAAGGAGGGGAGCAGGAAATAAGCAAGACAGTCAATTTCCTCTATAATAGGTTAGATGGGGAAAAGTAGCAAGGTGAGAAATAAAGGAAGGAAGGGAATTTTTTTTTTAATTTCAAGATGGTTGCAGTTTTAGATGGAGCGACCAAGAAAGTGGCATTCAAGTAAAGACCTGAAGCAAGTGAGGGAGTGAGCTGTGAAGACATCTGGTTGGGAGAGTATTTTTGGAGGAGAGAATCACATGTCCCAGGGCCTGGAGATGAGAGAACTAGCATGGAGCCCATGTGGCTGTAGCGGAGCTTAACAGGGCTCTCTAGGAAGAGAAGAGGCCAGAGTTAACACAGAGTTAACACAGGGCTAGACCACTTGAGGCCTTGAAGGCCATCGTAAGGACTTGGGGTTCCCTTCTAGGTAAGACTGGAAGTCTTTTGAAGGCTTTGAGCAGAGATTGCCCTCTGACTTTCATGTTAACAATATGGGTCTGATGACTGTGTTGAGAATCCATGGTCCAAGGGGGCAAGGGCAGAGCAGGAAGGTGAAGCAGGAAGCCCGTGGAATAAGCCAGGTGAGAGATGACGAGGGTTTGGACCAGGCGGGAACAGGGGAGGGGGTGAGAAATGGTCAGGTCCCGATGTATTTGGAGGGTGGAGCAGCAGGATCTGCTGACAGATTGGATGTGTGGTGTGAGAGAGAGAAGTCAAGGATGACTTCAAGGTTTTGGCCTGAGGAACTGGAAATGCCTTTCACTGAGGGGGAAATAAAGAAATAAGCAGGTGTGGGAGGAAAATGAGGACCTCAGGTTTTATTCTGTTAAGCTTGAGGCAGAAATGTAGGAGGAGCATGAAGAAAGGACAGTTCCACAGAGGCCAACGGCAGGAGGAATGGATCAGATGCCACGGAAGGGTCAGGGAGACGTGCGTGGAGGGAAGGTCATTGGACTTGGCAGGCAAAATGGTCATGAGCTCACAGAAGAGGCACATGGTGTGCTTTGTGAATTTCTCCCTAGTCCTACACTCTCCTTCATTAAGCACAGGATTCTTTCGGCCAGTTTCTTCTTTCTATTCCCCTCCCCAGCTCTTTTTAGACCAGGGCTGGCCTGTACCCATCCACTCCTCTAATGCTGGCTTCAAAGCCTGTTTAATTTAATGGTCACTCCAGGGATCTCTTGGAAACCGATGGGAGGGTACCCTGTCCCTCGTATGGTATTTTTATGTTCATTTTTATTGGGCATTTATTTTTCCTGCTAAAAATATCTCATGCCTTTCTGGGGGCAGGGGAGGGGGGAAGTGGAGCGGAAAAATTATTTCAGCATCTCGCTTACAAATCTGCTTGGTGGAGCTGGAGTCTGTGGGTTGAGCACTGGTTTTCCATGCCCATTTCTGGATGTGCTCACTAAGATATTCCAGCCCAGGCCCTTCCTGTTTTAGTGAAAGGAAAGCAGTGAGGTCCCACCCACTCGTCTTAGAAGCTCCCTCCGGATGGCCTGGCCAGTTTCCATTCCAGTAGATGGCACGAAACTGAGTTCATGAAGTACAGAAAGTCTGAACATCTGTTTCTATGGGTCTACATGATGTCATTTGTCCTGAAACACCCCCAGCCCCTCACACACAGACAGTCCAGATCCTACACTTGGAAAAAAAAAACAAACAGAAGGGGAATTCCTACTGAGGTAATGATCTGAGTGTGGAGGGGCTCCCAATTTGGCCTTTATGAATGGACTGATTGAGCTAGGTAGACAGAAAGGGGTAATCTCCCCCTCGCCGCTTCTCTAACGCCGTCCTTTGAAAAAAGAAAATAAACTGGGCAAAGTCATCACTGTGTGAAATGGGGCTGAGGATTAGGATTTCCACAGGTCCAAGAGCAATCAAGTCATTACCATTGAGTAGATTCGAGGTTGACTTCAGGGTGGTTCAATTTGTATATCACAGAATATTTGAACAACTGTCTAAAGAAAAGGTCACTGTGCCCCAGCCTGAGCTGGGTTGACAATTTGCTTCTGAAGGGCAAAAGTAAGACAATAATGTCTCAACTGTAGAAGGAGGTGGGGGAGCAAGGACAGAAGATGGAGCAGAGTAGAGATGCCTTTAAATAACTCAGAGGGAAGGGCTCTTTTCTGAGCTTCACTGTGCTCAGCCTCCAGGGGAGTCCTCTGAAGCACTTCTTCAGAGCTGTGACCTCCTCTGGGTCTGGGAACCAGGGGTGAGGCCATGCTGATCAATTCTGGCTTGGGGAAAGGTGAGAAAGAGACAGTTTGTGAATAACATTTAGCACCCCAAATCAGGTGGATGGCTTGAAAGCTCGAACTAAGGATACAAGGAAGTGGTAGAAAGGAGGGGTGGGATTGAGGTGGGTTTTGCCAACTTGGAACACTAGAATATTTATTTATTTATTTATTTATTTATTTATTTATTTATTTATTTATTTATTTTTAGACACAGGGTCTTGCTCTGTCACCCAGGCTGGAGTTTAGTGGTGCAATCATAGCTCACTGCAGCCTCGAACTCCAAGGCTTAAGTGATCCTCCAGCCTCAGCCTCCTGAGTAACTAGGAATACAGGCATGCACCACCACACTTGGCTAATTGGAGCACTAGAATCTTGTTGGCAGTAGCACATGGGCTCCTCTTGGTGGAAAAAAAAATATATCCACATCAATATTTGGAGGAAGGCTTTGTCTTGGGACTTTAAGAAGATAGCAAAGGATTTGTTCATGCTTGAACCTATGCTTGTGAGTGAGAACTTTATAGTGTTACTATATGGATAACATGAGTTTAATTGTATACACCTGTGCAGGAAACAGTCACCATGGCTGCCTGAGACTGCTCTCCTTAGAAAGGTCTGCTTGGAAAGTTGGCCCCTGGTGGGCATCTGGGAGCTTGGCCAGTGAATAATTCCCCACATTGATAGAAAACTTCTATCAGTGATAAGCGTGGCTCATTGGACTTACACCATTTGTACAAACAAAATGGTTTGTGCTGAATGCCTGCCTTCCTTCTGAGAGCCTGGAGTTTTGTTACATGCTAGGCAGCAGGTGCCTACATGACAAAACCCCAGTATAAAATCTTAAGCACTGAGTCTCTAATGAGCTGTCCTGACAGACAATACTTCACATGTGTAGTTAGAATTTGTTGCTAGAGGAACTAAGTGTGTCCTGTGTGAATTTACTAGGAGCAGACTCTTGAGAGCTTGCACCTGGCTTTCTCTGGACTTCTCCCCATGTGCCTGTTCCCTTTGCTCATGAAACAATTGCTTTGTATCCTTTTGCTGTAATCAATCTTAGCTGTGAGCATGGCTATATGTGGAATCCTGTGAGTCCTCCTAGCAAATCACTGAGCCTGGTGGTGGTCTTGGGGACCCTTGATACAACTAAATCACCCATATTCTAGGGCAGAGTTCTAAAATTAATGACCTGATTCCTGTTTACTAAAGAATTTGTAAAAAGGCTTTAACCAGGTGGGGTGAAAAGGGGGTGTTGACTTCAGTCTGGATAGTTCTGTTAACCTTGTGCTTGGTGCTCTTGTCCCATGCCCCATCTCATGAAGCAATTGCAGGACCCTCGCTCCTGGGTGCACACCGTTCTCAGTCTCAACCTACCTATCATGGAAGCAGAGGCAGAGCAGAGACAAGAGAAGAGTGTTTTGATCTATCTGTGGTAGAGGCTGGGGACTCCACGGGTGTTTTCATTTCCCCTCCTAAGCCAGTGGGAGGGCGATTGAACAGCTGGCCTCTGCTACAGTTCAGGATTGACTCCCTTAGCAAGGCTTTCCTAAGTGTGCCTTTCTGCTTGAGTTCTTTCTAGATTCCAAGCAGACATAGTTCTACCTGGTTTCCACAGAGTCTTTCTTTAGATATGCTAATGTAATCAATTAACTAACGCAGAGCCTTGCTGTGTCCTGTGAGCCTCCATTTCTGTAAGGTCTGTAACCTGCTGTGTTAATTGTGCTCTCAAGGCAACTTGATCCACGTCCTGGGGGCACTCCTCACTTGTGGTCCCTTCCCCAAGCTGCAATTACCACCTTGTATGCAGAATTGCTTTGAAGCATGGTATTCTTTCTGGACCATCCCACAGAGAAAAGCAAGATTTTAGCTTGTATGTGCTGCCCGGGGTCTCAGAAATCAACTTGCTATGTACCCAGTTCTGGGTTCCCAGACAGCCACTGTGATGTGAAGGCTTCCTGGCAGGGTGGGTCTATTTCTTCACCCTCACCCCCTTCTGCAGACATAGCAGACATCAATGGGGAGATGAGAAGAAGGCAGAGGAGTTGTGCTAAGAGGAGGACATTCTTGAAAATCTGAAAGATTTCATTATCTTATAGAACTTTGGCTTTTAGAGCTGCTTTTCTAAATTTCCTCCTCTACCTTCCTGTGTCTGCAGCCCCCATTTACTCATCTTTAAATGAAAGCAGGACATGGTTCTGACAGCCCCCATAGAAGGCCAAAGAGATGTGAGACTCCTGAGTGGGGAGCTAAGGGGAGTGAGGGAGCAGGAGTATCCAGGTGAGCACAGGAAGTGGTGAGGGTAGGAAAGAAAGAGTGTCCATGGGTGACACAGCTCCCAGGGGACAAGGGAAGGGTATGTGAAATTCCCAAGGGCTTTTCAGAACAAAGTCTTATCATCCTACTGTGCGGTGGAGTTAGATCAAGGGACTCCTTATGCTTTTTGGCCCAATGTGGGCCTTTGTGGGTTGTTATAGGTGGGTTGTTATAAGTAGCTTCAGGTCCAAAGTGAGAAACTAGTCAACATACTCTCCTGCCTCTGTGTGACTGATAGGCAGAGAGTAAGACTCTTGAGTAATGTACTGACCATTCTTCCAACATTACAAGCATAGCAGGAAAATCCCACAATTCCCACTGCAGGAAGTGCTAGATCACCAGGGGAATATACTAAAACTCCAGACTTCCAAGATGGAAGCCTCCACTCATTGTTAACTTCAAAAGTCTTTTTATCAAATTCTTTGAAATGAATGAAAACAATCTTCCAAAATCTCTGGGACGAGGCAAAAGCAGTTGTTAAGAGGGAAGTTTATAGCACTGAATGCCTACATCAAGAAAATAGAAAGATCTCAAATTAATGATCTAACATTACATTACACATAAATGAACTAGAAAAACAAAGAACAAGCTAATCTCAAAACTAGCAGAAGAAAAGAAATAACTAAAATAGAACAGAACTAAACAAAATTAAGACCCATCCTAAAACATACAAAGGATCCACAAAATGAAGAGTTGGTTTTTTGAAAAGAAAGAAAGAAAGAGAGAGAGAAAGACAGAAAGAAAGAAAGAAAGAAAGAAAGAAAGAAAGAAAGAAAGAAAGAAAGAAAGAAAGAAAGCAAAAAGAAAGACCCAAATGAGCACAATCAGAAATGACAAAGGTGACATTACAAATGATCCCACAGAAATACTAAAGATCCTGAGAGACTATTAGGAACGCCTATATGCACACAAACTAGAAAACCTAGAGAAAATGGATAAATTCCTGGAAGCACACAACCTGCCAAGATTGAATCAGGAAGAAAATGAAACTCTGAACAGACCATTAATATGTTCTGAAATTGAATCAGTAATAAAAAACCTACCAACCCATAAAAGTACTGGGCTAGACAGATTCATAGCCAAATTCTACCAGACATACAAAGAAGAACTGGTACCAGTCCTACTGAAACTATCCTGAAAGACTGAGGAGGAAGGATTCTACCCTAACTCATTCTAGGAAACCAGTATTATCCTGATACCAAAATCTGACAAAGACACAGTGAAAAAAGAAAACTACAGGCCAATATCCCTGACGAACATAGACATGAAAATCCTCAACAAAATCCTAGAAAACCAAACCCAGCAGCATATCAAAAACTATTTCACCACAATCAGTAAGCTTTATTCCTGGGATACAAGGTTGGTTCAGCATACGGAAATCAATAAATGGATTCACCACCTAAGCAGAATTAACAAAAACCATGTGACCATTTCAGTAGATGTAGAAAAAGCTTTAGGCGAAATCCAATATCCCTTCGTGATAAAAACCCTCAACAAACTAGGAATTGAAGGAACATATCTAAAAATAATAAGAGTCATTTATGATAAACCCACAGCCAACATCATACTGAATGTACAAAAGCTGGAAACATTCCCCTTGAGAAATGAAAAAAAGACAAGGATGCCCATTCTTACTTCTATACAACATAGTAGTGGAAGTCCTGGCCAGAGCAATCAGGCAAGAGAAAGAAATAAAAGGCATTCAGATAGGAATAGAGGAAGTCAAACTGTCTTCATTCACAGGCAATATAATTTTATACCTGGAAAACCCCATAGACTCCACCAGAAGGTCTAGAACTAATAAACAACTTCAGTAAACTTTCAGGTTGCAAAATCAATATGCAAATACCAGCAGCATTTCTATACACCAGTAACATTAAAATTGAGAGCCCAATCAAGAATATAATCCCATTTATAATAGCCACCCACCAAAATAAAATAACTAGAAATACATCTAACCAAGGAAGTGAAGGTTGTCTATGATGGGAATCACAAAACACTGCTGAAAGAAACCATAAACAACACAAACAAATGAAAAATATCCCATGCTCATGGATTAGAAGAATCAATATTGTTAAAATGGCCATAGTGCCCAAAGCAATCTACAAATTCAATGCTATTTATATCAAATTACCAATGTCATTTTTTTAACAGAATTACAAAAAACTATTTCAAAATTCATATGGAACCAAAAAAGAGCCTGAAAAGTCAAAGCAATCCTAAACAAAAAGAACAAAGCCAGAGACATCACATTACCTGACTTCAAACTATACTACAAGGCTACAGTAGCCAAAACAGCATGGTACAGGTACAGAAACAGACACATAGATCAATGAAACAAAATACAGAACCCAGAAACAAAGCCACACACCTACAACAAACTGATCTTTGACAGTTGACAAAAATAAGCAATGGGGAAAAGGGAACAGGGAAATAGGAGAAAGAGGATAAGCAATAGCGAAAACTACCTATTCAATAAATGGTGCTGGGATAGCTAGCTAGCCATACGCAGAAGAATGAAACTGGACCCCTACCTATCACCATATACGCAAATTAACTCAGGGTGGATTAAAGCTTTAAATGTAAGACCTCAAGCTTTGAAATCCTAGAAGAAAACCTAGGAAATACCCTTCCATAGACACTGGGGACTCCAAAAGGAGGAGAGAGGGAGGAGAACAAGGGCTGAAAATCTTCCTGTTAGGTACTCTGTTCACTATCTGGGTGATAGGATCAATACAAACCGAAACCCCAGCATCACGCAACAGACCCTTGTAACAAACCTGCACATGTACCCCCTGATTCTAAAATTTAAATTTTAAAAAATCTTTTTATTAGCAGTATTTGGGGGTTCAGGCCTCAGACTTCAGGAAGAAGCCAATGAGAGAACATGATGTGAAGAGGGTCTCCTTTTCTCTCTGGGAGATCTGCTCTCCATCTTTAACAACTGTGAGCTGCAGGCCCTGTTGTTCTTTGTGCTGCCACTCCTTGACTGAGCTTCTGGAGTGGTGGGGGAAGCCACTGAATATTGACTAAGACACGACCACTTCCTTCAGGGAACTTGCCGCCTAAGAAATGGTCATGTCATTGAACAGACACAGAGTCAATGGACCCGTCCCAGTTCTCAGTAGTGAAGCATCCCATCAGGACAGGGTTCCCGCCTTCAGACCGATCTTCTTAGGACAGTCCCAATACTGTCTGTGGAGGTTGTAATTCCTTCCTCAGGATAATGGTTTTCTGCACCATCTGTAAATATCTTTTAAGCAGATCTTCAACAAATGATTTTAGTTTCTCATAATTCCAGTCAATCCAACGTTTATTGAAGGCATGCACAGATGGAAGAGAATGTGTTCTCTGACCTCCTGTCCCTGCTTTTACTCCCCTGGGATTGGCTGTGAACCCCAAATCATTGCTTGGCAGGCAGCACAAAACCTTCAGCTCCAGAAGAGCCATTTAATAGGTGCTTAAGATGAATTTTTGGAAATTTTTAAGAGGAAAGCAATTTCCCTAAGCATTCAGGAATGTTTCTTGTGGCTGTATTTTTATCCTCTGCATTTCTTCCTGCTGCAAGGGATGGCCTGCCACAGCCTTGGTCCAGGGCATCTGCCACCTGTACACAGGGCCCTAGCCCTCTTTCCTATTCAAGGACTTGACATCTTTCTCTCGTATCATTGATTTTCCTATTTCTTGTGGTTCATCCCATTGGCATACTAACATGCGATAACATCCTATATTAAATTAAACAACTAACAGATCAATAAATCTCTTTTCAACCTCCAATTCCTCTTTCATCTATTACTGTATTTTGTACTCTTTATAGCAAGTACTCATAAACCACTTTATTTATGAGAATAAAGTATTCTCATTGCATGGCTTTCATATTTCCTGCACCCACTTCCTAGAATGCTGTCCCCAGGATCCTCGCGTCCTCACTTCTTTAGATCTCTGCTCAAACACTTATTATTAGCTGTGTTTGTCTTCTTTTTCATTGCAATAAAGAAATACCTGAGGCTGGGTAATTTATTAAGAAAAGAGGTTTAATTGGCTCTCAGTTCTGCAGGCTGGACAGGAAGCATGGTGCTGGGATCTGCTCCTGGTGAGGGCCTCAGGAAGCGTCCAATCATGGTGGAAGGCACAGGGAGAGCAGGTGCGTCACATGGTGAGATGTGGGGGCAAGAAGAGAGAAGAGGGAGGTCCCAGACTCTTAAACAAGCAGATCTCACGTGAACTAACTGAGGGAGAACTCACTCGTCACTAGGGGGATTCTTAGACAGTCATGAGAAATCTGCCTCCATGATCCAGTCACCTCCCAACAGGTCCCACCTCCAACATGGGGGATTACATTTCAACATGAGATTCACAGGGGACACACATCCAAACCGTATTATTACCTGAAATGATAATGGTTAGTTATCAACTTATTTTCTTGTTTATTGTCTGTCTTTAAGACAATAGAATCTAAATTTTATGACAAATTAGATTGAATCTATCTCAATTCATTGGTGTATCACTGGTGCCTGAAACAGGGCCTGGCACACAGAAAATACTCAATAAATATTTGTAGAATGAGTGAGAATATTAGCCAGAATTTATTTAGTGTTCATGCTGTGTCAGATACTGTGATACAAGAATTATCTCATTGAACTCTCACAGCAGTTCTATAACACGTTTAATATTATTTCACCCAGTTTTACAGATGAGGAAAATTCAGCATAAAAAGATGAAGTAATGACCAGGTGTAGGGGCTCTCACCTGTAATTCCTGCACTTTGGGAGGCCAAGGCAGGAGGATGGCTAGAGGTCAGGACTTTGAGGCCAGCCTGGGCAACATAAGGAAACTCTGCCTCTATAAAAAAAAAAAAAAAAATTAATTAGCTGGGCACAGCAGTCTGTGCATGTAGTCCCAGCTACTTGGGAGGCTGAACTGGGAGGATTACTTGAGCCCAGGACTTCAAGACTGCAATGAGCTATGGTTGCACCACTGCACTCTAGCCTGGGTGACAGAGTGAGATCCTGTCTCTAAAAATAAATAGATAAATACATAGATGGTGAAGTAATTTGCCTAAGTTTATATGGTTAACAAGGTATGGAACTAGACCTTGACCCCAGTTTGGTCTCACTCCAAAACTCCTGCTCATAATCACAGGATTATACCGCCCCCAATGACAGCAGCCTACCAGTGAAAGTCCCAGTGACATCAGTTTAAGATTCCCTGCTAATGAATGCTGCATGAGGCACCATAAGTGCTCCTTTCACTGTGTAACAGCACTGAACTAGCCTTCAATTCTCCCACACTCTACTCCATAAATGGGTACCTATTGCAAGTGGAGTGGTTGGACAGGAGGGTGCTGGAGTATGAGTGGAAGGGGGGAGAAGCACTCTATCCTAGAAGCCCAAATTTCTAATCTTCCAGGTTTCAGCTTTGATGTAGGGCAGACGCCACATGTTTTCCAGATGTCTTAATTCTCCACCTTCACTTTCCTCTGCCTTCTCCCTCTCCTTTTCTGGAAGTTGGGGGAACTCTCTTTTGAAGGCATTTTGGTCCCCCAACCTCATGCCCTGGGCATGCCCTAGAGGTTGCCCGCAAACAGTTCCTCAGGCCAGGGGTGCAGGTAAGTTAAGGCTGTCGGAGTGAGCCTCTACCGCGAGGGACAGGAGTTGGTGAATAAAACCCCCTGCTCCACCCCTCTCAGCGGCGCCACTCTGAGGGTGGTTGCACAGTTTCCTAGAGGGTCCTTAGGGGGACTGAGGCCCTGTTGCCCACGAAAGTAACCCTCCCAAGAACACACTGTGTATGGAGTCTCCTTCCTTCCCAGCCTCACCCCCTTGCTGTTTCCCATGCTTCCTGAGCTCACCTCCCAAGTAAGTGATAGGTCCTGGATTCCTCATCTCAGGATCTGCCTTTGGGGAAACCTGACCTGAGGTGGACTTCTTCTCCTAAATCTGCATCACCTGTGGAAACAAACCATATCCAGGAGTCACATCCCAAGAACCAGACCATCTTCCCCCAAACATAGGTTAAATTACATCTCAGTAAGCTGGAAGGGCACAGCTTCGGCCATAATTTCATTCAGTGTCCTCAATCATTCTGCAATAGATACTAGTTAGGTAGGGTCAGCTCACTTCACACACACAAAAACTGAGGCTCAGGGAGGTGAATTAAGTACCTGGCTATCAAGACTCCAGGTGAGCGGCCATTCATCCTCAAGGGTTTGCGTAAGAATTCAATAAGCTCTTTTCTGTAATGCACCTAGCAGAGAGCTAAGCATGCAGTGGGTGTTCAATCCATGTAAGTTCTCTTTCCTCTTTTGACTTTTATTATTCCACTAAATGGTCTAAAAATTATGTTGTCGCTGGAGTTGGGCCCATATTTCATAAACAGAAAGATAGATGCAACTCCAGCCATTCCTTCTCCTAGGTGAATAGGTGCACATGGTTCAGGAATGTCCCACTGGAGTCATCCCTCTTCTTTTCACAGGTGCTGTTTATAAACCAGCCCAGCTTTGGCTCAGGACAAGCCACCCATCTCCAGGGGCTGGCGTGTGTGCCTCTGCTGACCGCAGCTGCTGACCTGTCTCCTGTACACTCTGGATGCTGTGATGCCCAGACAGCAAAACTTCTTTTCAGGCTCCCCAAGAAGGCAGGGACCCCAGTTCTCTCAAGAGCTAACATTAGAGCAAATCAGTCTCAAGAGGGAGTCCCAGAATCAAGAGGAAATATGGGCTTGCTCCTTGATCCTGGAGTAGAGCACATCTTCCCTGCCTGCATGGCCATGCTGTGAATCTGCAGCTCAGAAGTTGGTCTCCCTAATGCCACACTCTGGAACCATGTCAGCCACATGATTGTGGCTTCCCGAGGCCACGGCGTGTGCACTCTGCCTGTTCATGTTGTGTTTTCCTGGTGACTCCTTCCTTTGCTATTCAGTAATAAGGCTGATCTGCCATAGCAACGCCCACAGCCAATGGCACCTGCACAGTGCGTTCCTTCTCTACTCCACAATATTTCCTTAAAGAAACACACACCTGGAAATTGAATTTCTGGAATGATTCCCAGATGCTTTCCAGAGGAAGCCTGGCGACGTGGGCAAATAGCCCTTTATTTTCCACCACGGGAACAAATATTTCTGATCTTTCTTTAGTGTTGGGGCTGCATGCAATAAATACTCAGGTGACACTTTTCTGGGTGGCAGTGGTGAGTGATGGGAATGAGGCTAAATAAATACTTGTCAGTTTGTGTCATTTCCACCAGCACTGAGAGGGTGACTGTTTCAGTATCCAAGCGGAAATTGTGGACTCAGGGCAAAAAGACAGAGATGAAAATTCAGTAGTTATCTTCAGAGGGAAAGAATTTTAAGCTGTGGGGATGGATAAAATCTCTATGGAAGGGAAAAAAAGAGAGACAGACAGATGAAAGGAGATGGGGCCTTTGATCATATAATTCATTGCCCAAACTGGAACAACTTTGAGAGTGAAAGGAGGTCACTATTAATAGTGACACTGGGGCCTCAGATGTAAACTAGGATTGTCTTGGGCACACAGGGACTTATGGTTGCCCTAATGCTAGGGTCAGTCTATTGAAGGGGCCAATGATGATAGCCTGACCCTTGCCACAGCCCTGACACTTGCCACATAACAGTAGGGAGTGGTAATGAGGCAGTCACTCAATATAGCTCAGAACATAAGACCTTCTGGTAGGGTCTTCACTGGGGGTGGGGGATGGTGCTTCATGAACTCCTGAAACTTGTCTTCCCTTGGCTGCCAAAGGCCTCCCTCCCTTCTCTCATCTTCCTCTTTCCATGGGGATGAGGGAGGTACCGTGAGGCCGGGACACAGATGTCCATGTGCTCTCCAAATGTCTTGGGGGAGGGGAGAAAACTATAACTCTTGGAAATTTGATAGAATTGTCAAAAGAATATAATCAGCTACATACATTGTTTAACCAAAGTTGTAGTTCTATGATAAAAGATAAAAATTTTCTTTTATGAGAATAAAATACCTAGGAATCCAACTTACAAGGGATGTGAAGGACCTCTTCAAGGAGAACTACAAACCACTGCTCAAGGAAATAAAAGAGGATACAAACAAATGGAAGAACATTCCATGCTCATGGGTAGAAAGAATCAATATTGTGAAAATGGCCATACTGCTCAAGGTAATTTATAGATTCAATGCCATCCCCATCAAGCTACCAATGACTTTCTTCACAGAATTGGAAAAAACTACTTTAAAGTTCATATGGAACCAAAAAAGAGCCCACATCGCCAAGTCAATCCTAAGCCAGAAGAACAAAGCTGGAGGCATCACACTACCTGACTTCAAACTATACTACAAGGCTACAGTCACCAAAACAGCATGGTACTGGTACCAAAACAGAGATATAGATCAATGGAACAGAACAGAGCCCTCAGAAATAATGCCGCATATCTACAACTATCTGATCTTTGACAAACCTGAGAAAAACAAGCAATGGGGAAAGGATTCCCTATTTAATAAATGGTGCTGGGAAAACTGGCTAGCCATATGTAGAAAGCTGAAACTGGATCCCTTCCTTACACCTTATACAAAAATCAATTCAAGATGGATTAAGGACTTAAACGTTAGACCTAACATCATAAAAACCCTAGAAGAAAACCTAGGCATTACCATTCAGGACATAGGCATGGGCAAGGACTTCATGTCTAAAACACCAAAAGCAATGGCAACAAAAGCCAAAATTGACAAATGGGATCTAATTAAACTAAAGAGCTTCTGCACAGCAAAAGAAACTACCATCAGAGTGAACAGGCAACCTACAAAATGGGAGAAAATTTTCGCAACCTACTCATCGGACAAAGGGCTAATATCCAGAATCTACAATGAACTCAAACAAATTTACAAGAAAAAAACAAACAACCCCATCAAAAAGTGGGTGAAGGACATGAACAGACACTTCTCAAAAGAAGACATTTATGCAGCCAAAAAACACATGAAAAAATGCTCATCATCACTGGCCATCAGAGAAATGCAAATCAAAACCACAATGAGATACCATCTCACACCAGTTAGAATGGCAATCATTAAAAAGTCAGGAAACAACAGGTGCTGGAGAGGATGTGGAGAAATAGGAACACTTTTACACTGTTGGTGGGACTGTAAACTAGTTCAACCATTGTGGAAGTCAGTGTGGCGATTCCTCAGGGATCTGGAACTGGAAATACCATTTGACCCAGCCATCCCATTAATGGGTATATACCCAAAGGACTATAAATCATGCTGCTATAAAGACACATGCACACGTATGTTTATTGCGGCATTATTCACAATAGCAAAGACTTGGAACCAACCCAAATGTCCAACAATGATAGACTGGATTAAGAAAATGTGGCACATATACACCATGGAATACTATGCAGCCATAAAAAATGATGAGTTCATGTCCTTTGTAGGGACATGGATGAAATTGGAAATCATCATTCTCAGTAAACTATTGCAAGAACAAAAAACCAAACACCGCATATTCTCACTCATAGGTGGGAATTGAACAATGAGATCACATGGTCACAGGAAGGGGAATATCACGCTCTGGGGACTGTTGTGGGGTGGAGGGAGGGGGGAGGGATAGCATTGGGAGATATACCTAATGCTAGATGACGAGTTAGTGGGTGCAGCGCACCAGCATGGCACATGTATACATATGTAACTAACCTGCACAATGTGCACATGTACCCTAAAACTTAAAGTATAATAAAAAAAATGGCAAAAAAAAAAATTTTCTTTTATATTAGCACTAACCATTACCATTTCAATATAATCCCCTAAGGTAATTACAATATACATTTGATCCTGCTTGGTTTCCAACCCAGTCCCTCTAGTCTGTGCCCTCCTACCTCTCTGGGGACTTTTCTCCATATTTAAAAACAAACCAACAAAAAATCATCTCTTGACCCTGAGTTTCTCTCTCAACCTGTATCTAGATGAGTATAAATGCAATACCTTTCATTTTCTCCCACCTCCTTTATACTCTAACCCTGTTGTAATCTGGCCTTCTAGCATTTCCACATTTTTGTGTTTCAGACTAGATGGAAGAGCTGCTGTAACCTCACTCAGTGTGGTTCACAATAGGCTCAGATGAGCTAAGCCATTCCGAACATCATATTTCTAAGGAAAGCCAACTGGTTTTTTAAGAAGCAAACTGATTCCAAGTTGGTTAAAACCTGCTTACATTGATTCTAATCAGGTCAAGCCAACCTTCCTGGGTCATATTGGGTAAAGCCAGCTCAAACAGGATAAAACAGTCCCAAACTGACACATCAGATTCCAAGCAGTTCCTGCTGATCGAGACCAGATAAGCCTGCATCTAACTTGTCCTTACTGGATCAGACCAACGTGAATTGAATCACAGCAGTTCAGAAAGAGGAAACTGGATTCAGGCAAGTGATATTGCTTTATATTAGGGGAAAACAGTGTAAAGTGATTCTTAGTAGAGCAAACAGATCCTAATGAAATTAAAATGGTTTAAAGTCACATTTGTCAAAATAGGCTGATTCAAACTGGATCAAATCAGCTCTGATTTCAATAGCTTTTCCTTTGTTTGGGAAAAGTTATTGAAACTATTCAACCAGCTTTGAATAGTTTAAACCAGATCAACCTGGCAGCATTGCTAAATAGCTTCAAAAATATGTTATTAACTATTTATTGAGGTGAAAGGCTGGGCACGGTGGTTGACGCCTGTAATACCAGCACTTTGGGAGGCTGAGACGGGTGGATTGCTTGAGCACAGGAGTTCGCAACCAGCCTGAGCAACATGGTGAAACCCCGTCTCTACAAAAAATACAAAAATTAGCCAGACAGTGGTGGCGTATGCCTGTGGTCCCAGCTACTCCGGAGGCTAAGGTTAGTGGATTGCTTGAGCCTACGAGGTCAAGGTTGCCGTCAGCCAAGATAGCACCTCTGCACTCCAGCCTGAGTGACAAAGCAAGACTCTGTCTCGAAAAAAAAAAACAACAACAACCAAATGAGACAACAAAGAAGCCTCTTTATTGAGGGGGAAAAAAGAGACAGATAGGTTACAGATGTTGTTATACGTTATATCTTATAATTTACATTTTGCTTTCATAGGTCACAGAAAGATGTATATATATATATATATATATTTTTTTTTTTAAGTCCAAAGCAAACTCTTTCCTGATTCATCACACAATCTGTAATGTTCATTGCTCTATAGATTACTCTTGACACTAAAATTATTTCTTACACTGATCACTGTCGTGTGTTTTAATGAAACTGAGGCAAGTTTTTTGCCAAAAAAATTTTCCCCCAATTATCTAGGTATGAGCGTCCCTCTGTGGGAATAAACTTCATGCCCAGTGCTGACCTTCTCGCAGTGATGTTTTTGGGGAAACATCTTTTTTCACAGGGACAATACACTTGCATTACTTCATAGGAGCCAGACCCACAATAGGACACATTTTCAAAGAGAAATTGTTTCTCCAGATCTGTGAGCACACTGTGTCCCAAGGCAGTGCTGCTTTTATAGTAAATATGTTGACTATGTGAGCTGCGGAACAGTTCTTCTATAACCTGAATATAACTTTCCAATAAAAATTCTTTCACTTTTTTTTTTTTTTTTTTTTTTTTGGGGGGAGAGAAGGTCCCGCTCTGTCACCCAGGCTAGAGTGCCATGATCATGGCTCACTGCAACCTCATCTTCCTGGGCTCAGGTGATCTTCCCACCTCAGCCTCTCGAGTAGCTGGGACTATAGGCCCGTGCCACCACCACCCAGCTAGGTTTTTTGTATTTTTGTAGAGATGGGATTTTGTAATTTTTGTATTTTTGTAGAGACATGATTTCATAATTTGTGTATTTTTGTAGAGACAGGATTTTGCCATATTGTCCAGGCTGGTCTTAAATTGCTGGGCTCAAGCGATTGGCCTGCCTTGGCCTCCCAGAGTGCTATGATTACAGGTTTGAGCCACTGCACCTGGCCCCACATTTTTTATTTAAAAAATTTATGAACTAGATCATCATTGGGTATAGGGACATTCATCATTTTTACTTAGTTGCAACTTCCTGGCTGATGGGCAGTGCGAAAATGAATGCAGAATTATGTTGACTGCCTGGGAGACACCTGGACTGATATATAATATACTCATCCAAATGGTAAACTAGTGCAGAAGTGGAAGAAAACATGTAGAGACTCAATAAGAATACAAGTTAAGTTACAATGCAATTAATAGTCAAACTGAAGTAGAAAGGTAATTTATATTAACTACATTAAAAATATATATATTTCCCAGGCAGAAAATATTGGATTTTGTGTTTCAAAATCAGACACCTGCAAGCCTAAAATCCAGGTCTGATCCAATCAAACTTGCTTGAATACTTGTATGCAAATAAAATTTGTTCTCAATTGTTTAAACTGGTTGCAATTGGATTACAATGAGAACTACCTTTTCATTTCAGTTTGCACTCACCAAGGTCTCACAGCGACCTTTAAGAGAGTCAGGGATGGGTTAGAGGGTGAAGTAAGAAAATGCCTCCTACTCCACCCCATGACCACCACTTTTATATTTCTCTGGCCACAGACCTTGCCTCCTGGTGGTCTGGGGAAGAGTTGTATTGTGCATCAGATGCCCAAAATGTTCCATGTACACTTGAAAGAAATGTGTATTCTGCCACTGGGTGGACCTGTAAATGTCCATTAGAATCAATTAGTTGGTGGTGTTGCTCAGTTCTTCAATGTCTTTGCTGATTTTCTGTCTACTTATACTATCAGTTACTGAGGGGAGAGCTTTGATGTCTTCAACTTTATGGGCTTGTCATTTCTCCATTCAGTTCTATCAGTTTTTGGATTTTGTATTCTGAAATTCTATTGTTAGGTATACATACATTTAGGATTGCTATGTTTTCACAGTGAATTGGCTCTTTTGATTATTATGCAATGTGTCCTCTTTATCCTTGGTAATTTTCCTTGTTCTAAAGTTGATTTTAATAATAAAATTATATTCCAGGTTTCTTTTGATTAGTGATTATATGGTTTAGCTTTCTTTCCATATTTTAATTTTTATTCTGATCATAAATATATTATTATATTTAAAGTGGATTTTGCTGGGCATGGTGGCTCACACCTGCAACCCCAGCACTTTGGGAGGCCAAGGGGGGCAGATCGCTTGAACCCAGGGATTTGAGACCAGCCTGGACAACATGGTGAAACCCCTTCCCTACAAAAAATACAAAAATTAGCCGGTCGTGGTGGCACACACCTGTGGTTCCATTGGGAGGCAGAGGTGGAAGAATCACCTGAGCCCAGGAAGTCAGGGTTGCAGTGAGCTGTGATTGTGCCACATACAGTCATCCGGCCTGGGTGACAGTTTTCTTTGTTTGTTTGTTTTGAATTGAGATACTGTCTCAAAAAATTAAAACATAATAAAGTGAGTTTCTCTTAGGCAGTATGTAGTTGTTTCTTAGTTTTCTTTGTTTGTTTGCTTTGAATTCATTCAGTCTCTGTCTTTTAACTGGTAGGTCTGTTGGACAGACTCCAAAATGGCCTCTATTGAGTCCTACCTCTTGGATTTATATTGTTGTTTAATCTCCACTCCTTAAGTATGAACAGGTTTGGAGAGGTCCTGTGAGTTGTTTCCAACCAATAGAATATGGTAAGGTGATGGAATGTCACTTTTGTGATTGTGCTATCTAAGATTGTAACTTCTGTCTTGCTAGCAGTTTTTCTCCATAGACTCACTCTCTTCCTGGCTTTGATGAAGTAAGTTGCCATGTTGGGGAGGCTCACATGGCAAGAAACTGAGGCCTTCAATCCAACAGCCCAAAAGAAATGAAATTGTCTGAACAACTGTGCTTGCAAGCTTAGAATCAGATTTTTCCCCAGTAAAGCCTTCAAATGTGACCTCAGCCCTGGCCAACACCTTGGTTGTAGGTACATGAAAGACCCTGGGGCAGAGGACCTAGTTTAGCCATGCCTGCATTCCTGACCCACAGAAACTGAGATAATAAACATATGTTCTTTTGAGCTAAGTTTGTGATAATTTGTTACATAGAAACAGATATCTAATATTTATATCATTTATGTGTTTATACCATTTAAATTTAATGTAAGAATTGAGGGCTGGGTGCAGTGGCTCATGACTGTAATTCCAGCACTTTGGGAGGCTAAGGTAGATGGATCACTTGAGCCCAGGAGTTTGAGACCAGCCTGGGCCACATGGCAAAACCCTGTCTCTACAAAAAAATACAAAAATAGCCAGGCATGGTGGCCTGCACACCTGTGGTCTCAGCTACTCTGGAGGCTGAGGTTGGAGAATCACCGGAGCCTGGGAGGTTAAGGTTGCAGTGAGCCATGATCACACCACTGCCCTTCATCCTGGGTGACACAGTGAGACGCTGTCACACAAAAAAATAAATAAAAATAAAAAGTAAAATAAAAAATAAAATAAAATAAAATAAAATTGATATGTTTGTACTTAGATCACCATTTTATCACATATTTTATGTTTGTTTCTTCTGATTTTCATTTTCCCTTTCCTACTTTCTTCTGAAATATTTGAATATCTTTGTCTTCTATTTTAATTTTCTATTGATATTTTTACTATATCTCTGGGAAAAAAATTTTAGTAGCTGTTCTAGAGATTACAGTATATGGTCTGCTATTATATTACTATTATATTTTATAATTTCAAGAGGAGTACTCAATTCTTGCATTAAATTTAAATGGTATAAACACATAAATGATATAAATATTAGATCTTCTCACCATATAGGTACCTTTGGCATCCCCTGTTTACGTAGTCATCATAGTATTATGTATTATGATGACTACATACATTGAAAATTCCATCAGTCAATGTTACAATTTGTGCTTTCACATATTTCAAAGAACTTAAAATCTATTATATTTTTCCAGGTATCTACCATTTCAGTTGCTCTTATTTCATTACTATTGTTAAAGTTTCCCTCGATTTAATTTCCTTGTAGTCTGAAGAATTCTCCTTAGCATTTCTTATGGAACAAGTCTGGTATCAAGGAATTTTCTTACTTTATCTGAGAATGTCCTTATTTCATTGTCATTCATGAACGATATTTCCACTGGATATAAGATTCTGGATTGGTAGTTTTCTTTTCTTTTTTATTTTTTTTTTTTGAGACAGAGTCTCACTCTGTAGCCCAGACTAGAGTGCAGTGGCATGATCTCAGCTCACTGCAACCTCCATCTCCCAGGCTCAAGCGATTCTCGTGCCTCAGCCTCCTGAGTAGCTGGGACTACGGGTGCATGCCACCACGACTGGCTAATTTTTTGTATTTTCGTAGAGACGGGGTTTCACCATGTTGCCCAGGGTGGTCTTGAACTCCTGAGCTCAGGTGATCCGCCCCCTTGGCCGCCCAAAGTGCTGGGATTACAGGCATGAGCCACTGTGGAGGGCCGATAATTCTTTTCTTTCTGTATGTTAAAAATGTTATTCTACTTCCCTCCAGCTTCCATGGTTTCTGATGAGAAATGCACAGTCATTTAAATAATTGTTTCTCTACCTGAAATGAGTCATTTATCTTTGATTGCTTTCAGGATATTTTCTTTATTTTAATAGTTTTCATAAGTTTGATTATAATGTGTGGATGTCTTTGATTTTATCCTGTTTGGGATTCACTGAGTTTCTTCAATTTCCATGTTCATGTCTTTTGTGAAATGTGATGTTTTTCCACCATTATTTCTTAAAATATTTTTTTCCCATTCAACATCCTTTTTCTTTTCCTTCTAGGAGTGTAATGACACAAATATTAAACTTTTTGGTATTTTTTCCCACAGGCCCCTAAGGTTCTGCTGGGTTTCTTTTTCAATTTTCTTTCCTTTGTTGTTCAGATTAGATAATTTCTATTGATCTATCTTTAAGTTAATTTTTCATCCAGTTAATCTGAAATTTAAGTTAGTGTCCTTCTCTTTTTCTGTTCTAATATTTCCATTTGGTTTGTTTTTATATCTTCCTTTTTTTTAAATTTTGAGACAGTTTTGCTTTTGTTGCCCAGGCTGGAGTACAATGGTGTGATCTTGGCTCACTGCAACCTCCACCTCCCGGATTTAAGAGATTCTTCTGCCTCAGCCTCCTGAATAGCTGGGATTACAGATGCCTGCCACCATGCCCAGCTAATTTTTTGTATTTTTAGTGGAAACAGGGTTTCACTATGTTGCCAAGGCTGATCTCGAACTCCTGATCTCAGGTGATCCACTTGCCTTGGCCTCCCAAAGTGCTGGGATTACAGGTGTGAGCCACTCCACTAGGCCTGTTTTTATATCTTCTTTTTTCCCCCCTGAGAATTTCGGTATTTCCATTTGTTTCAGGAGCACTTTCCCTTACTTTATGGAACATGGTTATAATTGCTGCTTTAAAAAATGTTTGGTAATTCTAACATCTGTATCTTCTCAGGGTTAGTGTCTGTTGATTGTCTCGTTCCTTGTCAGTTGAGACTTTCATGGTTCTTCATATGCTGAGTAATTTGGGATTATATCCTAGACATTTTGAATATTACAGGACCCCAGGTCTGACTTAAATCCTAAAAAGAAGGCTTTTTTTTTTTTTTGAAGCAGGAAATGAAACAGATTATATTATTTTTGCGAGTCCAAACCTGCCTCTTGGGCTGTGGTTTCAATATCATTTCTGATTTCAGAGTGCAGTGCTATTCAGATCAGTCCTGTGTGTGTGCCACCCAGTGGCCAATCATGGGCCTGGACTGGGGTCTACCTTGCAGTTTCAGTTCTCCAAACATGTGGTATGGTGTTTAGGATCAGATCCATACATGTGTAGCCTGGAGGTGAGCCCAGGAGCTAAAACATAAGTTTGTGGGATTTCTGACTTAAGCTCCCTACTCTCCGTGATCTCCCCAACACCCTCTGGCTCCTTGGGGCCTCCCTTTTCAGCCCTCCAGTGAGCAAGCTTGGGCTTCAGTTTCTCTGCTCTGCCACACTTACCATGACTGTTTCTGTGTTTGGAGTCAAGTGGCAGGAGGAGAAAGGTGAAAAAAAAAGGAAGAAAGATTTGCCACACACTCTTGTGAACACTGCTCCTCCAGTCAAACAGAATAATTCCCCTCTCTTGGAATCTTAGATGACTGCCTAGCTCCACTCCCACCCCCTCAGCCTCTGCCACCACCACTGCTGCTACAATATTGCCTGTGGGCTGAGGCTGGAAAGAAGGAAAAAAAAAAACACCAGGAGTTCCCCTGCACCCCACTCTCTCTCTGACTCTTCAGAATCTCCTTTCTTGTGTTTTAGAGAGGACTTCTCTTGCAGCTCTTTCTGTCTTCCTCTGGTGCACACTTCCAGCTTTATGGCTGCCTTTTAGTCTAGGCTGGCTGATACTGGGAGGGAAAAAAATTCACTACTGATTTAGTGGGACTTTGAATTCTGGTCTTCTTCCCAAAGCCACCTGCTATGATTTATGTTTCAGAACTCTCAGATAGCTCCTCCATCCATTCTGTCCAGGATTTATAGTTACATTTAGTGTGTCCTTACTTATTCCATCTTTTCTGGAATAAGGCTCTCTTTTTGCTTTTTAAATCATCAATCATTTGCTATGTGGGAAATGATATCTTTGTTTATATGTATGGCATTTATTGTCTCCCCCACCCCCGGCCCCTGCAAAGTTTCATAAAAAACAAAACTTATTGACCAGCAATAACTCTTTATTATATGGCCGGAAAGAATTAGGCAATCCATCTGGAGAAAACAGACTGTTTCTCTTCGCTCACACAATACTTCTGACAGCAAATGTGTGGGGCTTTTTCTCCATCCCAAGAAGTTCTCCAATTCTGCTCCCATCAGCTGCATGCCCTACGATTTAATTCGATTTTGACACTGTCTACCTGGAGCTAAGCATCAGATCCCACAGGGTTAGTTCTCAGTCTCACAAGATTGCCCTGTTAATGGAAAAACCAAACTCTGAAAATATTTTAAAGAGGTTTCTTCTGAGCCAATATGAGTGACCATGGCCTAGAGAACACAGTCTCAATAGGTCCTGAGAAAGTGTGTCTGTGGCAGTCAGATTACAGTTTGGTTGTATAAATTTTAGGGAGGCAGGAGTTATAGGCAAAGACATAAATTCACACATGGAAGGTATACACTGGTTCGGCCCGAAAAGGTGTGATATCTTGAAGTGGGAGTTTACAGGTTATAGGCGGATTCAGAGATTCTTTAATTTGCAATTGGTTAAAGGAGTAGAGCTTTGTGTAAAAATTTGGAGTCAACAGAAAAGAAAGTTTTAAGTTAAGATAAGGAAGTATGTGAACCAATATTCGAGGTCAGAGTGACCCGTAGGGCTGAGTGACTTAGCCCTTGTCCGGCACGGCCTTATGTCCTCTTTATAATTTGATATCTTATTGTCACAAGGAGTCTGTTTTGTTAGTCTTATGGTCTGTATTTTAATATTAATGGTGGTCAGTTGTGCCTAAACTCCAAAAGGGTGGGGATATATCACCTCCCTTTGTGTCATGCTGGGAATTCCATTTTTAAGGATTTTCTAGGGTCCCCTTAGCCAAGAGGGGGTCTGTTCAGCTGTTGAGGGGCTTAGGATTTTATTTTTAGTTTTCAGCCTCTACTTCAGATGTCAATCACCAGGCCAGGTCTCTAGTACTTTTGACCAACCAGCTGCAAATTGGGGTTTCCCCTACCCACCTTCTCAGCAATACTTTGCTGGGATAGCTCACAGAACTCAGGCCATTTACTCGTTTATTATAAAGGATACAGATGAAGACTTAGGTGAGGTCTAGAAGGGTCCAAAGCATAGGAGCTTTTGTCCCTGTAGAATTGGGGTACCCCTCTCTCCCAGAGTTTTCATAGAATTTAATTTCCTCCCATCCCATTCCTGGAGGTCAGTGGGTAGGGCTGAAAGTTTCAACCTTCTAATCCCTTAGTTTTTCTGGTGTTGAGTCCCATCCTGAGGCTATCTGGGGTCCTACCCTAAATTACCTCATTAGCATAAACTCAGGTGTGCTCCAAAGAGGCTCCTTAAGAATAAGAAAGGACACCTCATGACTGAGGAAATTCCAAGGGTTTTAGATTCTCTGTGCCAGGACCACGGACAAAGACCAAATATACTTCTTATCACACTACACTATCCTATTTTCTTTTCCTCTACATTTCATCCTATTTTCTGAGTCCACAATTAGAGGCATTCCACCCAAAGACGAATTCTCAAAGGAACAAATTCACACCAAGATTGAACCACAACCTCACCTGGCCTGCACAATGCCTTCAATTGTTTTTCTGGCTTGCATTTTCCCCTCTTATATTAATAGAGAAAAAAAGAGCATTCCAGGGCCATGAGCCCTCTTGAGATGTTGAGCTTGAATGATTGGGAAGATGATAGCTCCTCATCCAGATATGGAGTATGGAATAGGAAAGAGGGTTTGGGGGGTGGGACAGGAAGTGATATGTTCTATCCATAACACATTGCACTTGAAGCACCTGCCAAAATATCCGGGAAATGGGAGCCTGGAGGTGAGGGTCAAAGGCCAGACTTAGGTGGCATAAAGAATGACTTGGAATAAATTATTGTGGAAGGTCTACAGGAGAAAATTATTATGGGAGGACAGGGTGTGTATCATGGTGAGAGAAGAGGGCCAGGGATCTCGTGCACAGTGTGCTTAACCTTCAAATTGCAAGGACTTCCCACTGTGACGCAGGCCTCAGTTCTACACAGCTGCTCTTCAAGACCACTCCCACTACTGTGCCTCCCCACCATTCCTGAGTATTCTCCACTCCCAGAGCCTGATGACTTTCCCTAAGCTCCCACCTTCAGTACACAGATTGGCCTTTATCTCAAAGGCAGAACTGGTATTTGGGTACCATGGCAGATCTGTTGGGGGAGTTTTTTCAGATTTTCCTGATTCTGGCCCCTGGTGGAGAAAAATGATCTGGGGTAAAGTTGCAGCCTGCCTGACCCATGCAGGAATTTATCCCTTAACTTGGGCCTACTAATCAGCACAATTACCTCTGAACACTAAAATAACAAGGCTTTCTGATCACTTTACCATTGCCAAGTTGTATTTACAAATGTCATCATACTTTATTGTATCAACCATTATATCAGTCATGGTATGCTAGGTTTTGCTGCAGTAACAAACTCAAATCTCAGTGGGAGATTTGATGCTGTACATTCAAAGAATGGTGGGGGTGCTTACAGATCACAGTCCTCTGAGACCCAGGCTAACCAAGGATTCCACAACCCTAGCACCAGTGGGAAGGAACACGATGATTTGTACATTGAGTCTTAAAGCAGCTACCAGCTTTAAAAAAAAAAAAAATTTAAAAAGAGAAGTCACATTCCATTTGCCACAGCAAGTCACCTGGCCACATTTAACTTCAAAGGGAGGGGAAGTGAAATCTCGTCCCTGAAGGCGAATTGGTGAACTTGAGTCATGATTACCACAACCATGCCCTCTAAAATCATTATAGCCACATGACAGTTGAAAAACTCAGACTAGTAAGTCACTTTTCCAAGTCACACAGTCAGGAAGTTAGCACAGCAAGGCTCCAAGTGCACATTTGTTTAACTCTAAAACCAATGTGCCTTTCACAACCTGATGTGCTGTCTTCATGAAACCGTTATCCAGAAGAAAGTTCTTATTAGCTTCAAGGAAACTTCAGATGCTGACAAGTAAAAAGTTTGACATGTGCAATTAACTTAATCAATCAAAAAGAAACAATGTGTTCCTGTTTTCTTTCCTTTTGCAATTACCTGTTTTTAGAAGGAAGGAAAGAAGGAAAGAAAAGAAAGAAAGAAGGAAAGAGAGAAGGAAGGAAGGAGAAAAAGAAAAGAAAGAAAGAAAGCAAAAGAAAAGAAAGAAAGCAAAAGAAAAAAAGAAGAGAAGAAAAGGAAAAAGAAAAGAAAGGAAAGAAAAAGAAACCAAGCCTTTTGGCCCACCCTTTGACCTACACCACAATATCTGATTGCATGTCAGGGTGATTTGGTTTCTTTCCCATTGTGTGGTATTTTCCACTCACAGGACTGGGTCAGGAGAAGTTTGTATCTTAATCTACACGCTTGTTCTTGCTCATGTTTGCCTCTGCTTGATCCCATACCCTTCATTCATCCTTTGGAATGTTCCCGTGACAACGGAAGAATGGCAATATAGCTAGCCAGAAAAAAGGGACGGACCAAGAACAGACCAACTTCTCTCAGACTGAGGATGCTAATGGGGAAGGCACAGGACATGAGAGTGTTTTCTCCCCATTTTCCCCCTTGAGAGAATTCAGCAGTTAGTGAGTGTCAAGCCTGCTCTGCAGATGAGGAAACTGAGGCTCAGCAGGGTTAAGCCACTGCTCAAGGTCATAAGGCTAGTACCCAGATGAAAACCAGCTGCTATTATTTTTTCCTGAATCACTGCTTCGTTTTCTGTCCATTCCACTCTGCAACCTTCCATCTCTCCTCCTAGGAAACCTGCGCCCAAAGCATGCAGCCAATGCAGGGCTCCTCTGCCTCCTCTGATGTCTTCCACCTCCATGTGGCCTGCTTGCTGGCAGATACAAGGATAGGTGCAGCTCTTTACAATGGAGACATTGAGATGAGGTGGCCACTGTAGGGCTCAGGCTGCTGGGGCCTGGAGGTGGGAGCTGTCCCAGTGCTATGGAAGAAATGCTTCTCAGGCCTCAAAACTGTTCCTGAACAAACCCAAGGTTCATAGAAGATGAATTCTGGCAAGAGGCTGAGTTCTGGAAAGCGGCATGAATAGTAGCAGAGACTGGGGTCCACATTGCTGGGCTAAGCTTTGGGACAAGCCCATGAGGGAAAACCCACAAGGCTTCTTCTTAACTCCAAAGAAGAAAAATAATAACCTGATTAGATTAAATATGCTTTGAGCCGGGAAGATCCTTAGCTTTAACATGTATGATATTTGGAATTCAAGATGTCCTAAGTAGTTTCCATGGCTATTTCTGACAGCCTGAAGCCCCTGGTTTTCTCCACCCATGGACTTCCAAGGGACAGGACAATGGGGAGGGGGCTCACTGGAATAGCTCAAGGCCCACCAGATGGGTTCCTATTTCTGATTGACCACATTCTCACGGTGTGAATGTCTGCAACTCATTTTTTCCCCTGGGCCTCTGTTTTTTAATCTGAATAAGAGAAAATAGGGCCGGGCGTGGTAGCTCACGCCTGTAATCCCAGCACTTTGGGAGGCTGAGGCAGGCAGATCATGAGGTCAAGCGATGGAGACCATCCTGGCCAGCATGGTGAAACCCCATCTCTACTAAAAAAATACAAAAATTAGCTGGGTGTGGTGGCATGTGCCTGTAGTCCCAGCTACTCAGGAGGCTGAGGCAGGAGAATTTCTTGAATGTGAGAGGCGGAGGTTGCAGTGAGCCAAGATCGCACCACTGCACTCCAGCCTGGGCAACAGAGTGAGACTCCGTCTCAAACAAACAAACAAACAAACAAAAAAACAAACAAAAAAACAAAAAGAGAAAATACTCTCTTCCACCTCTAGAATTCTGAGATTTTTAAATAAAGAAAGATGAACTTAGGAAGAAGCTGGTCCTGAACACTGATCCTGTAGCTTCTGGATGAACACCTAATACCAGAGGAATAGAGGAGCCATTTCAGGGTCACCCACTCAGGTGTTCTCTCATCCTACCCAAGTCAACAAACAGCAGCTCTATCAATGTCTTCATGACTCAAGACACATCGTGGGGAGTTTTGTCTGTAAGCCATGATGTGGCACTAGAGCTGCATGGTAATTCTCTGCATTACAGGGAATAAAAGAAGCTATTCCAAATGCAGCTTGAAATTTTTAAAAAAGAAGTCACATACTTCTCTGAGTATGTCATCTTTTCCCAGATGGATCCAAAACGAGCCACATAATTTCCCTGTTGCAGAGTTTCTGAGAGATTCGTGGATCTGAGAACTGGAAGGGGCTATACAAGTTGGTGTGAGCCCGTCCCATTCTCTCCCAACAGGTATAATTAGGTTCTTGCCATTCCATAGGGGAGGCGACTGCAGTTTGGAGGTTGGTGACTTCTACGATGGGATGGCCAGAGAGCAATGGCGGTGTAGTGTTTGGGGGACTGACTGCTTTCTTTTATGACACCAAACTGCTGCTCATAAGCAAAAGTGTCCACCATCACACACAGAGTGGTGAAAGGAAACACTAAAAGAGAAAAAAAAAAAAAAGGAACGTGGGACCCAGGAACACTCTGGCAGCACTGTCTGGTGAGCCGCTACAACTAGCACATAGTAGGTGGTCTGTGTGCTGAAGAGAGGCAGGATGAAGGTGAGTGAGGCAAGGCAAAGCCATGAACTTGGAGACCGTGTGACTTTGTCGTTTGTAGTGCCCTGGTTTTATACATAAGCCATATCTGGCCAGTGTTCATTGGATATGCCCTATCTCTGAGATTTTATAAAAATTAATTCATTCAACAAGAAAGCCGGTTTGCTGAAGAGGGAAAATTGCCAACAAGGCCAAGGTGACAGCAATTTCAAGCACAATGTAAGCTGATTAGCCTCAAACAGAGAAGCTGCTTCCTGGCTGAGCTCTCCCACCCTGCTCCAGTTGTCTTGGAGATTTGCAGTCCTGGTCACAAGGGGTACCAGGCGGCAGTGTGAGCAATGGGTGAAGGACAGGACCTCATTATGAGAGTCTCCCAGGAAGGAAAAGGCAGACGCAGGATATTCTTTCAGAATGATGGATTTGCTTAAGTTTGCATTTATTTTTTTCATTACAAGAGAATTGTGGAATGATGCTTTTGCATTACCTTTTTTGAAAAATAAGAAATGTTCTTTTTCTCCCTCTCCCTTTGGAAAAACACAGATCTGATTACGTCAGTCCCTGCTTAAACCCCCTTAGAGGCTTCCTCTTGCTCATTTGAAAATGACAGAACTCATAAAAACGGCCATAAGCATCACTGGCATTGAATGGAATTGCACAGCACTCCTTTCTCAATTGTTAATAAAATGACATACTTCCATATCAGCTGATCAACAGCCACTACGTCAAGCTGTCCCCTACTTCTTCCACCCTGGGAACACTGGGCCTCCCCAAGGCCTCCAGGACAGCAGCGGGCTCCAGGGCCTGCTCTAGCCAGTGTCCTGTATCTGCTCTCTTTTGTGGACTCTGAAGCCACACAGCCCTTCTGCTCCTGGAGAGTCCCCTGCCTTCCTCAGGGTCTTTGCAAAGGTGTTTCCTTCTGTCTAGAACAGTCTCCCACGCTGTCCCCTTTGACTTTGGGTGACTTTTCTCATCCTTCCTTTAGTCGTTCATAGTTGGCTTCAATAAATGAAGGATAGACGGGAAAGTGACTGATCAGCCATGCTTGAGAAGAGGAGGCCCTGGGCGTATGCCGTAGATCTCCATTGTCTAGGCCTAGTTAATCATCGCCGGAAGAAGAAAGGGAGGCTGTGGACTGGAGGCTGCCAGCCCCGCCTTCTCCTTCTGTCTGCATGTCCTAAGGAGAAGCAGCCTCGGATCCGGGTGATGCCTCTTGGCTGTGAGTATTATCATTTGCAAAGAGGAAAAGGGGAAATAATCTGAATATCTGGGATTCCAAAAGTTGTCTTGTACCAGGTAACAAGAACCTTCCTATCTCCTCTGACCAGATGTGGGGTGAGAAAGAGGATGAGAGCAAGTGTGAAGCAGAAAAGGGAAAGAGAAGGAGATAACCTGAAGTGTGGCCTGAAGACTCCCTGACACTTCATGGGAATCCTTGACATTCCGTCTGGAAACCATTTTGCTCATGTCCTCAGAGCTGTGGCTGCAGAATTTTCTCTTGCCCAGTTGTGGGTTACAGGTCAAGTAGAGAGTCAGCCCCAGGCAAGGGCACAGGAACTCAGACTGTAGGTCAGCATTCCAGAGTTCCTGGAGGAGGAAGAAAAAGGACTGGGTTAAGGAGGCAAGCAGGGGAGGGAATCTACCCTGAGATTTTTAGAAACAGCTCAAAATAACAGCAAGTTGACCAACTCTCAAAGTGTTTTGTTTTGTTTACCATGCCTCCCTTATTTTCTTATTATTTGCTGGGCACAGGCTTGCCTTGACTTTACAGTCTGCATAAGTTTACAACCAGGAAAATGAAAGGAACAATTTTACAAGCATCGTGATGGATCCTGGTACCTCCTTCAGAGCTTGAAATTAGGGGTTTGAATGTAGGTCCATTTTCATCCCACTTCCAAATGCTAGCAACGTAGGGAATTATACGGGGGTTTCCTTTCCTGCTGGGACACAATTCTCTGAAGCACAGTTAGGATGAAAACACGAGGTTTGTAAGAGCTGAGAGCAGTGTTTTTCAAAGTGCAATTTTCAGAACTCTAGGCCCAAGAGATGTTTCGCTGGTAAAAGGATTCCACGTCAAATACATTTGGGACACTCTGCATCATCTCTCCCCTCTCAGGCAATCTCAGTGCTTATAAGTAAGAAAACTGTGTTCCCCATAAGTTTCCCCCCAAAGGGTCCAGCTGTCCTGCATTGCCTTCCTGTAATCTGTTCACACGTTGCTCTTATTCCAGTTCCACATGCCCTGAACTCCCAGAAGGTTGCTCTCAGCAGTGAGCCATTCATTCCTCAGAGATTTGGGAGCCCTCACCACGTGCAGACGCTGTGCTGCAGGCTGGGAACCACAGGAGAAATGGCTGAATGTTCTGTGGGTGTGGCTGTAGGCAGAGGGCTGATCAGTGAGGTGGGGTGGTGACAGTCTTCTATAGGATGTCGTATGCATCATTTATCAACTTAACTAGGACAAGAGAATGAAGGGGGGTACTATTAATAATTAATTAATAATTATAATAGGACAACAGGTGTAAGCTAGAGCTGTCTTACATAGACAGAACTGACACATGACAGAAGAGTTATGTTTCTTGTCTGTCCCTTTAGGAGCTGCCTCTAGGGCCAGTGGATAATAATTACAGGGCAAAAGGTTTCAAGTCAAAATTAAAAGGGAATTTCTAACAAAGAGCCTCTAAGAACAATGTGGCTATTTTATGAGGTAGTGAGTAGCTCACCACATCAGATATGCAAAGGGGTGACCCACCCTCCAAGATGCTGTGTATAGCTGACACTGACATGCCAGGCAGGCCCCCAGCCTAGGTAAGCACAGGCTAGCCTTTGACTGTGATCTGAAGCACATATTCTTGGCTCTCTCTTTCGGTGAGGGTCAGTAAGCTATTTTATATGCAAGGACCACATTCTGCTCTTCTGATTCATACGTGACAGACACATTTGGATAAAAGCAGAAATATAACAGGACTGAAAGATTAAAACTTGCTGTCTTAGCATACTTAATATTCACTGATGCTTACACATAATGTAAATATCTCTTTGTTTAAAATGAGTATAGGCTGGTCTCTGTGGCTCACGCCTGTAATCTCAGCACTTTGGGAGGCCAAGAACGGAGGATCACTTGAGCTCAGGAGTTTGAGACCAGCCTGGGCAACACAGCAATACCTCCTTTCTACTAAAAATAAAAAATGAAAAAAAAATTAGTCAAATGTGGTGGCGCACGCCTGTAGTCTCAGCTACCTGGGAGGCCGCAGTGAGAGGATTGCTTGAGCCCAGGAGGTGGAGCCTGCAGTGAGCTGCAATCATGCCACTGCACCCCAGCCTGGGTGACAGAGCAAGACACTCTCTCAAAATAAATAAACAAATAAAACAAGTATTATCTTGACTTTAAAGAAAGAGACTTTCTTGTGACATATAAGCAAAATATGGTCAAAACAATTTGACCAAGGTTGAAAATGGACTGGAATCACTTCTAAGGAGCCAGCCTAGGTCTGTCGAATCAAGTTTGCTCACTAATAATCATACTTTGGTTATGTCGGATGTTAACATTAGAGGAAGAGGGTGGGGGATATAAGGGGATTCTTTGTACTATTTGTGAAACTTGTCTAAAATTATTTCAAAATTAAAAAATAACAAACAAAACCACATCCTTTGCTCCTGAGCCCTGTTCGCCCCAGACATTATGTGATGAACTCACTCCGTTCTTTAAGATCCAGCTCTGCAGAGCATCTCAGATTCCCTGTCCTGAGGCAGGTACTCCTGTATGAGCTCTTAAATACTTCTGCATTTACCTACCACCTACTGGTATGGTTTTCTGACTATATTTCATCTTCTTCGCCTCACGTGGAGTTTCTTTTAGAATGGAAAGTTTTCTTCCTTTCCTCTTTGAATCCTAGCACCAAGGCCACACTCGGCACTGAATACCTGTCTCGAATGAATGAATAAATCAATCTTGTTTGAACAAATCTTATTAGTTTTGCTTTTTTAAAATTATGGTAAAATGTACATAACATAAAAATTTCCATTTTAACCATTTTTAAGTGTATAATTCAGTGACATTAAGTACATTCTAAAGTTGCGCAGGTTTTTTTTTTTAAATCAGTTCTAAATGGTTTAAACTGGCCAGTATTTACTAGAGCTGTTAGATCGACTTAATTTGGACCCATGAGACTCGTGACACTCAGAATTAATCTAATCCCATTTACACCAGGTGCCTCCCATCAAAATCTGTTTGATCAAGTGTGGAATTATTTCATCCCATTGGAACCAGCTCTTGAATCAATCAGAACTGGCTCTGCCAGGCTCCGGGCCAGTAGTCGGTGCTCAAAATGGTGTTTCTTTCTTTGGCCTAATCTCTTGAGTAGCCTCTTTCCCTTTTGTTAATTTTTTTTTTTTTCTGGAGGACAATCTTCCCTGGGAGCTCCCTTCTGCTCCCACGAAGCGCTCTGCACCCAGCCCTGGTGCTGCCTGGCTCTGGGGCAGGGAGCTTGCATTCTGCCACCTCCTTCATTGTCCTCTCGGTATACCTGCACTTTCAAAACAACCCCTGCAGGCAAGCTTTAGAGGCAGCGATAAACAAACAGGCTGACTGAAATTTAGGGAAACGCCTGTATCTGGACAGCCTCTTCAAATATTTGTCACCCCCTCCCTGCTCTGGGGAAAGAAGAGACAGTTCCTCACAGTCACTCTATTTCCTGCCTTCCCAGCTCTGAACACCTTGGCTCGAATGTAAAGAATTTGGCTCTGAATTAGGACTCAAGAAACGGGGCCCTAGCAATTTTCCCTCCATTAACTAAACGCGTCACTTTGGTCATGCCCTTTTGGGGGCAATAATTTCCCAATTCGTAAAATGAAGGGATCAAAGTTTGATTTTTATCATTACTAATGAGAAGAATTATTATTTTTTTGCAGCAGGCTTTTTTTTCCCCAACAAAATATTACTCTGAATAAGACAAGAAAGAATCCCGAACGGCTCTGGCCGTCAGGGTGTGTGTGTCTCCTCCCCATGCTGTCTAACCCCCGTTGGAATTTGGAGGGCTCTTGTCCTTTCCCCTTGGCCTCAGAAGGAGCCCAGCGCGTCCTACCTTGCGTGGGAGTGTGTGTGTGACCAGGGCTCCTTCCTGCCCTTAGAGTCACCGCCCCCTTCTCGCACAGGTTTACAGCACCACTTGCCTCGCCCACTCCCCGCTTTGCCTCCGCCCCATCCTGATGCTGCCGGAATGGCTGTTCCAAATGGAAGGATGCCCGCGTCCGTCCCCTGCCCCAGTCCTTCAACAGGTCCCCACAGACCTCAGGATAAGATGAACGCGGAATTCAGGGCCTGGTCTCAACCGCCCTCTCCCTTTTCCTCTCACTTAGACGACCCTGGCCAGCTGGGCCACTCTCCACTCTCGCCCCCTCCCGCCCTCGTGGCCTCTGTCTAGACCGTACTCCCTCCTACTGGGTGATGTCTCTTCCCCTGGGACCCAGGGACCATCCCGTTGTTGACCTCCGGGGTCAGGGGTGCGGATGGGGGCCGGCCCTTCCCGCGGTCGCCGCCAGGGGGCGGCAGGAGCGGCTCCAGATGACAGCGGGAGGCCGCAAGAGGGGAGGGAGGAAGGACCGAGGGAGCGCGGATCCCGCTCTCGGATCGCAAACTCTGAGCCAGAGCTCTCCGCGCGCGCCTGAACCGCTGGCCGCCCGCGCAGCCCGACGCGGAATCGGGGCACAGCGGGAGCCCGTGCAGGGCGGGCGCGGGGCGGCTGGGCGGCGGTGGCGGCCGTCCATGCGGCGGCGCTCGGGGCTGCCCGGCGCCGGGAACCACGCGGGGGCGAGGCGAGGCGAGGCGGCCGCCGGTCGCTCCGGGACGCGGACCGCCAGGTGAGCAGAGCCGCGCGCCCCGCGTCCCCTGCGCGCCGCCCGCGCGGCCCCGACCCGGCTTCCGCTGCCCAGGCTCCGGCTCCCGCTCTCTGGCCGGCGGGGCGGGCTGGCGCGGGCTACCCAGTGGGTGTGTCCGGGGCGCCGCGGGCTGCGCCGCTCCGGGCTCGGGGAGCCAGCGCGCGCCTGGTCCGTGCGGACGGCTGCGCCTCCTTCTCTGGTTCTCTTCCTTGCTGGGAGTCTTGCTCTGTGCTGGCGCCGGCGCTCATCCCTCCACCCTCGACTCTAGGGACAGTCTTAAACTCTAGGGACAATCCACCTCAGTCGTCCCCGGGTCGGGGCCCCGTGCTCCCCGGGTCGGGTCGGAGGGGACCGGCGAGTGCACACCCAGCCCGTGCGCCCCCCACCTCAGCCTCGCCTCCCTCCCGCCTGGGGCCCGAGAGCCGGGCAAGTCTCGGTCAGCGCTCCTTGAGTCCTGGCCTGGGGCCTCGGATCTGTGTGTCTGTCTGTCTCAGTTTAGTTGCTGCAACCCAGCGAGCGCCTGGAGCCCGAGTGGATGGGTTGTTTCCGCCAACTCTGGACACTTCCTCAAGTGCAGCCTAAGTACCTGCGGCCCCTTGGCGCACTTACAGAAGTAGCTTTTGCACAGCGAGCTCACCTTGGAGCTCTACAGATCTGGAAGTTAAGTTTTCTTTTTATTTGAAATAACATCAGCCCTCACTTGGGAAGGGGATTTTAGGGCGTTCTCGGGCCCACCTAAGTATCTGGAATTTGTGGTCTAGTAAGTTTTTTAAGCAGTCCGCACCCAGCACCGTACCTCCCAGCCTCCTTTGCCGTCTTACTAAAAGTGCATGCTTGCTTCTCTTCCTGTCTCCTTTGCGATCTCTACCACGCTGCGCTTCGCCCTTTTCGGGCTATGAGTCTAAAGCTTGGACGTGGGTAGCAATCATTGGATGCCTGTTGGAATTTGGAATTAGAGAAATAGATACCCGAGAGAGATCTAAGGAATCGCCTTGTCCAACCCTCCTTTCACAGTTGGAGGCACCCAGGACCCCTGACAGTCTGAAGATTTTTCAAGGATCACACAGCTTTTAAAATCCGCGTGTCTTCTACTTGATTAATATTGTTGGAGGTGATGGAGTAACTGGGCTTACTAGGGTCTTACTGGGTCTCAATATACAAAGAAGCAAACATTTTAAAAATGTGACTTAAAATACGGAACTCTTCAATTCCTATAGATTTTTGTTGGCATCATAGTTGAATTCCTTTAGAAAACAAAATCCTAGCCCTGAAATTAATGTGAGGAAGCAAGCAGATGGGCGTCCTGGGACTTTCCTATAAATCTCTGCAGGGCTGGAGCAGGGATTTCCCAGAGGTCTGGGCCTGGGAAATGAGTTTGGGTGATCAGGATACTGGAGCCCCTTCTGAATAAGCAACTGGGTTGGTTTCTTGTGGGGAGGCTGGCCAGTGGAACTCATGTGATCTCCTCTGTGCCCAGCACTGGGCGGGGCACCAGCTTGGCATTACCTTCTTTTTAGTCTCCTATGCCATAAAGAAATATTTCTTACTGGCTGTTAGCGAAAGAAAAATACAGCCCAGAGTTTGGGAGGAAGATCAGGGGTGGGGAGATTTTTGACTTGGAGTTTGTTTTTGTTTTTGCCTCGAAAAACTTGTGGAGATTGCAATCAGTTATCCTACACAGAGGCTGTGTATTGCCGTCTTCTCCATCCCCCACATTTCTCTCCATGGTACCACTTTTATCCTAATTGCTGGGAGTCTCAATGTTTAAATGTTCCCAACACTCCCATTCTGTCCCCCACATTTATAGCTCATTCATCGCAAAATCTCTTCCACATTCTTTTGTGATATCTGAGGAATTATTTACCTGTCTCCATTCCCACTGCCCCCACCTTCAACCATGTCCAAATTACAGTAATAATCTCCCCTCTTGACTCCCAGCCACGAGTTGCTTTCTTCATTTTAATCCATCTTCTTTCATGCTGATAGATTAATATTTCTGAAATTCTGATTTCACCACATCATTTCTCTCAAGAAATCACAATGGCTCCCCAGTATTCACTTCTATTTAATTTATCTCCAACAGATATTTCTGAGCGTCTGCTATGTGCCAGGGACTGTTACTATGTGCCAGGGACTGTTACTATGTGCTGGAGCTTACGCTATGAACAAGACAATATCATTGCCTTCAGGGAGTCCACAGGCTAGCAGATGATAAATAACCACCCAGGGGAGAAAGGGAAGTAAAGAAATAACCGCAATACAAGGGGGATGTGCAAAACATCAAGGAGATGCGAATGAGGGAGAAATTGATTCTGCATGGGAGGAGCTAGGGCAGTTACCACTGGGCTTTGAAGCCTAAGGAGGAGTTCAAGGAGATGGGAAAGGCTGGTGGGGAGGGAGGACAGGCCAAGCAGAGGAAAGAGCTCGAGGAAAGACTGAAAGATAGGAAAGTACTGTATGGACACGGTTGAATCCAGGTTACTTTTCATCAGGGCATTTAAAATGTTTCCTAATCCCAGTCTACTTTATTGATCCAAGAGCCATCCCAACGCCTTCCTGCTTGAAGGCCATCCCTCCACTCACCCAGTCTCTATCATGGTCTTATCTGCCCTCCCCACACCTCCCATCCCCAGCTCAGAAATTCAGATTTCCCCTCTTCTGATCTAAATTTTGCCAGGCAGTGTATCCCACCCAGCCTTTCTTGCACACACTCCTGTGTCTCTTCCCTGCATTCTTTGTGCCTGCTCTATGTTCAGCCTGGATGAGCCTCGCCTCCCCAGCCACTCTGAGGTTTCCCCCGAGCAGCCTCCTTGGGCCTCTCCAGGTCATGGAACACACTGTCCTCATGTTAGTGGCCCCAGCACACTTGAAAGCACATGACTATTTGCCTGGGTTTGACCCCTCATCTCACTTTTCTCTTCTCTCTCCTCTTCTTTCTGGTTTTCCCATCTTTTTCTTTGCGTGTGTATGCAGAATCGTGATGTTTACTTATGCGCAGATATAAAGGTTTCATGTGTATTTGTTGAATATCCTCGCTGTGAAAATGGATTAAAAATGTTATGCTGGAAGCCAACACATGATGCAGGCTGACGCAGGTGAGGAGAAGATTCAGGGGAAGCTCTGGCTTTAGGCTGCTTTGCTGCCTCTGGCCCCCTCTTGGGATCCCCCAATTTTACTCCTCCTCCGCAGGACCGCTGTGCTGAGGCTGGGACACCCCTTCATCATCTAGGCCTGTTTTGCTCTCTTTTCCTCCTCCTGTCAAAACTTACTTCTGTGCCCACAGCCTCGCTGGCTTGTTAGCCTCACTGGGGCCATGCTTAGTGAGCACTGGTGTGTGCAATGCTTGGGGCTTTCAGTGGTTTCTCTTTTAATCCTCCCAGCCACCTAGAAGGGAGACATCAGCATCTGCCTTGTACAGGAAGAAAGTTGAGGCTTACTTGCCTGAGGTCAGCAGCTCAGGTTTGGAGCTGAAATCTTAAACCCAGCTCTCTAAATCTGGTGTTCTTTCCACTATATCATTATTTCCTGAAACAGTTGTCTTAGGAACATCTGAATCAAAATTCAGATCTGGTGAAAGAAAACACAGGCTCCAGGGTGGAAGCAGGGCTCGAGAACTGGCGTTTTTAAGATTACCTCAGGCGATTCTTCCGCACACCCAGGTTTGGGGACCACTGCCCTGGGCTTCCTTTACAATGTGGTTCTAGCGACAGGTGGTGGGTTAATACGCCACTTTATCCCAGGCAGCATGTTCCTTTTTGACAGAGGCCCTGACTTTGACTCTAAGGAGTGAGCAATGGAGAGTTGTGGCCAAGGCCAGGAAGAGGGTCCTCTCTTTTGGCCCGAGGGGTCTTTAGTTCAGTCCTGAAGGCCCAGCCCCCTCAGCTTACTCGAAGGCATGTAAACCCACCTGCCACCAGACTCACTGTGAATTTCTTTTGGGACCTGAGCGAGTGCTCAGGGAGAAAGACCAGGGTGGGTTTGTTCAAGAGCCCCAAGTTGCTTGGTTTGGGACCCCCCGAATAGGGCTGGACAGGCAAAGCCAGCCCCTTCCTCCCTGCAGGCACGGTGAGTTGAACCTCCTTTCCCAGAATGGGATCTGGCCGTTGACAGATCTCTTTCATTCAACTGGCCTTGCTCCACTTCCTACCCACCCAGCCTCAGTTTCCCCATGTGTAACAAGAGGATGGCCAAAGTCTGGAGGGCTGGTGGGGGACCAGTGCATGGGTATGCAGAGCTTAAGGCAAAGCCCTAAGGCACATAGCAGGCGCTCAGTGTTAGTTCTCGCCCCATTTCTTTACTCTGTGCCTGATCAGTGCTTGAGACAATTGGAGCTCAATGTATTGCTGTAACAAAAATGTATATGTAATCTCAGGCCCCCTCAAATCCAGGGTTTTGTGTCTGAAGGGCACAGGGCTGAATGTTACAACTGTGTATTCAAACCCAGCAAATGAACACTCCCAGCTGCGCGGTGATAGTAATAATGAATTACCCATCCAACATCCCTGCTCGCCCCACTCCCCTTCCCCAGCTTCCCTTTAGATTGCCCAAAGAAGAACCCATGGAACAAGAGGCAGCAGTTTTGTGTATTGATGCGTTGTCTTGGGAAAGTGGTCTCTTTCTGTTGACCTCTTTTCCTGTCTACCCCGTCACCCAGCTGAGTGTACTGCCTATGTTGTCTTCTCCTACCAGCCTTTCCGAAGCTGATCACTGAGGTGTCATCCCAGGCATTGGCGCCCATTAGCCCTGCTTCTCTAGGGCGTGGTCCGAGGGCAGTGAGCCAGGTTCACAGTGCCGCTGTGTCTTGTCCCAGGAGGGTGGCACTGGGCACCCCACAACCGGGTGGGCAGCATGTGGCCTGCTCCACCCTCCTGGCCCTTGGCCAGCTGCCTAAGGCCTGGCCAGCAGTGAGGACAAAAGCACGGAGTGATTAATGGGCACCCCATCTAATCTCCTGCCAGGGGAAATGAAGGGCCAGCCATGGGCTGGGAGCTCGTCATGACCTGCTCCAGGTGGGCTTGGAATGCACCCAGCTCAGGATGGGGATTAAGGCTTGAAAGACAAGAGGAAATGAGATGTTAACCCTTTAGGCCTTGGCCCTCTGAGCCCCAGTAGGGAAATCACAGGGGAATTATCTGCAGGCATCTGATGAAAGGGGGCATCAGCTTTGATTTATGGTGGGGATGCAGCCATGTGACTACAGGGGTGGGAGGATGACGAGCTTTGACTTAACCATTTTTCTTGGAGGCACAGTCAGGAGAGAGAAGAAGATTAATTTCCCATGAAAAAGGATAAATGGACTGCTGGGAGGCTGCCCTACCTGCTTCCTTCTTGGAAACCCTCCGACCATATCAGCAAGCTACAAATTTGTAGTTGCCAGACATACTTTTCCCCCTGAAATGTCGCGTCTCTGATCACTTGTGATGTGAAGGAAGAGGGAGCCCACCTCCTTTCCCCGGCCAGGCAGCAGCGTGGTGGTGCTGAGGAGGAGAGCACTCTGGAGCCAGGTCCTGAGTTTGAGCCTTGGCTCTACCAAGTTTTGGGCCTTGAACAGGTTCCTTGGCCTCTTGGGCTGTAGTTTTTCCACCTGGAAAATGCTCAAAACTATCTCAGGCGTGTAGAAAAGTGCCACTTGAATGTTAGCTATCACTTTTTTTTTTTTTTCCCCACTTTGGCTGAGTCCTGAGCCTGCATCTCCTTTGGGAAGCACAGAAGCAACTTCTCTTCCAGGGCGCCAAGGCTTGCTTTGGGTAAATTGACAACTGACTCTTTGATTGATCTCCCTTGTTTGACCCCTGACCCTCACATGCCTTGGATTCTGTCTGGCTTGCTCCTCCCTTTGCTCCAGCTCCATGGTTTCCAGCTGCCCCTTTGATGACATTACCCTGCCCCTCGTCTCCTGCCCTCATGCTAGGTTGTCAGACTACTTGTGGGCTGGGCTGTGACATCTGTTGGGTCCTCCAGTGGTACTGGCCAATTCTGCACTGGCTCTGCTCCTTGCTAGCTTTGTTGTGACCTGATAGTCCCAAGCCAAGTGGCTGAGGGTAGAGAATGCAGCTGTCTTGAGAGGAAAATCAGGAGCCGTGGAGGCCGTCTGGCCTGGATGCAAATCCCCACTCTGCCCTGTTTTCTGGTTTCTCTGCCCTCTCATTGCCTTGTTCTTGGTGGGGGATAATAATAGTTATACTTACCTAATGATTGACAGGAGGATCAAATCCAACCGTGCACATGAGGCCGCTTGGGAATCATGTAGGGGAGTTTATTGCTGGTTGTAAGGTGAGCCCTGAGGGTAGAGCTGTGTCTTCAAGTTTTGAAGTCTCATTACAGGGCGTGTAGTGACAGTATAGCCTTTAGTTCCATTTAGTTTCTTTTCCAGAGCAGACAAGTACCCAGGACCTGCTTGACTTTAGCGATATTTTAGTTGAGGCCCAGGATTTCATTCTGCTTGAAGTTCAGAGGATCTTCTGGTCAGCTAAGCGGGGAGGAGCTGCCATTACAGAGCTCCGTGTCAGGTACTGGGATTTACCTGCGTTCTTTTATTTAATCCTCTCAACAACCTGTGTGAACTAGACACTATTATTTCTACTCTACAGCTAGAAAACTGAGGCTCAGAGAGGCTAAGGAATGTTCACAGGCTCACACAGCAAGTAGACATCAGAATGATGTTTCAATTTCAAGTCATCTGACTCCAAAACAAATACTGGCGGTGGGGCCGGAGGGAGGAACTCTCAGGCCAGTTAGTGAGTATCTCAGTGAGGAAAGGTCTCTCCCTGCTCTCAGCCTCTTACAGGATGCTCTGTCTTCTTGGCCTCTTTCACATGAGCGCATATACGCATAATGCCACTGCTAATATTGCTCTGTTTTCTCCTTGATATCGGCTTATGTTTTAATTTAGCACATGCAGATTTGTCTTTTCAACTAACAGGATTTTGTGTCAACATTTCCCACTTGCCACCTAAGCAGGGTTCCCATTTTTTAAAGCACAATGATGCTTTTCATCATTTTGCTCCATCACGGTTTCCTTAGCCATTCCCCACCCTCTATCAGGGATCTAGGTTGTTTCTAGTTTCTCCCACTCTAAAAATTGGCACTACCAACGTGAATGTTCAATTTGCTGATGTTTATTTATTTCTGATCTCATGTTCTGCTTTGGAAATACACTTCCCAGCCATGTGATTACCAGGTCAAAAGCAAGAGCTGTAATAAGAGTGGTCCGTGCTGCTCATGGGGTCTTCAGAGAAATTGCACTTGGGAGGCCCAGACAAGGGGGACCCAGAAACAGAACAGGTGCTTGTTTTCTGCCTACCCTTCCTTTCCTCACTAGTTACTGTTCTTTCCTGAGGCTCAGATTGGAGGAACTTGATACCTCACTCTTAGCAAGGGGTGTGAGAGGTACTGTTCGAGTGGTGACTTTCTGAGTTCCAGAGAGGGAAGTTATTTCAGTGTCCACAGAGGTCTCTTGGAGTGGAAGGTCTTGGCTGCTTCTGAGATTGCGCTGCTGTGCGTTAGTGGTCCTGTGTGGGCATTGCTATGCAGTCATTCACTCAGGCATCCAGTGCTTTCTGAGCCCCTACTGTGCATCAGGTGGCAGTGCCATGCACTGTAAAGTGTGTGAATTCCAGACCTGACTCTGCATGTGTGGCTTTGGGTAGATTAATCTCTTTAAGCTTCAGTTTCCTCATGTATGAAATGGGCTAACAATCTCTGTACATGCCGTAGGAATTAGAGGAGAGAGCATAGGTAAGGTGTCTGCTCAAGCCTACAATGCATGAAGGGCCAACTGTTGTGCAGGTGAACACTAGAACTTCTTTCTTCTTACAGATGAAGAAGGTGTATTCTTGCCTGGGAGTGTGAGAGGCGGGGAGTAATAGTATACTTACAGCCTTAGCAGCGGGCAGGTGAGAGGAAAATCACTGTGATAAACATGCCGTAGAGAGGCTGGGGGACCCAGACAGGCATCAGATTCAGATTGGTGGGAATTCAGAAAGACCTGGGGTGGGATCTGCCTCCCAACAGGAGGAAACAAGGTTGGGGGAGAGGGAAGAGGGAGAAAGGAAGTAGAAGCCTGTTGTGTTTTATGGGAGGGCTACATTCTTGAAGACCTCGCGGTATTCAGATCTCTCATAATTCAGACTTTTCCCCCTACAGAATAAATGTGGAGCGTGCATTTACTTGATATGGTCTCAAAACACATAGCTTTGCTTTGCTGTTGCTTCTCATATGGTCGCACTCTCTCTCACATTGCACAGTGGGCTCACTCATAAATTACCCACTTGGTATCTCGTGATGCTTTTTTGGCTTTCTCAGTTGCCAAGCTGGTGGTCGTGGTTGTTGCTGTTATCATCACCATCATCATCATCTCTGTGTGTTTTCAGTCTGACACCAGCACCACCATTTGACAGACTGTCAAGATTGGGGGTCCGCATATTTTCTTGGAAAGGGCCAAACATTAATATTTTGACTTTGCAGGCTATGTGGTCTTTGTTGCAACTAATCAGCTTTGCCTTTTGAGTGCAAAAGAAGCCATAGACAATAGATAAATGAACAGGCAGGACTGTGTTCCAGTGAAACTGACTTATGGGCACTGCAATTTTAATTTCATATAATTTTTATATGCCATAAAATGTTCTTTTCTTGATTTTTATTCAATCATTTGAAAATGTGGCAAAAACAGGCAGAGGGTCAGGTTTAACCTGTGGGCCAGAGTTTGTGGACCCCTGGTCTAGACGCTTACAATATTTGAAAATTGTTTTAAATTGTAGGAAGAGTGAATGTTAAAATATCCTGATAGTCAACAAAATCATTCACGGACATTCCAGTGCTCATAAGAAAAATGCTTAATTCACAAGTTCTGTCAAAAGATTGGGGTATTTATCAGCTTGAATGGTACCAACATAGGCGGTTCCTTTAATACAATTTTAAATTATTTAGGTAGTTATTCTAGTGAATTAAAAATTTTAAATCATATTATTTCAAAATTTTGGTACCCAATAACCTTATTAATATTGTTATTGTCATTCTATTTCGTGACTTAAATTGTGTACCCTGGCTAGGCACGGTGGCTCATGCCTGTAATCCCGGCACTTTGGGAGGCCGGGATGAGAAGATCGCTTGAGCCCAGGAGTTCGAGACCAGCCTGGGCAACAAAGTGAGACTCCATCTCTACAAAACATCAAACTATTAGCCAGGCATGGTGGTGTGCACCTGTGGTCCCAGCTGGTGGTGTGCACCTGTGGTCCCAGCTACATATATGGGAGGCTAAAGTAGGAGAATTGCTTGAGCCCAGGAGTTTTGAGGCTGCAGTGAGCCATGTTCATGCAACTGCAATCCAACCTGGGTGACAGAGTGAGACCCAGCCAGAAAGAGAAGAGAAGAGGAGAGAAGGTGAAGAGGAAGGGGAAAGGGAAGGAGAAAGGAAGGCAAGGAAAGGGAAAGGAAAAGAAAAGAGAAAAGAGAAGAAAAGAAAAAATTTTATACCCTACACTGGTTTATTATTGTGTACTCTCCTGGAGTCCAGCAGCTCTGCCTGACTCCCAACAGCCTGCTGGCTGGAGTTTGGAACTTGATTCTAGCTGGAATTTTTTTATTGTAAAAGGCAGGCGAGAGCATAGACGGAGCACCAAGGCTTGTGTCTGGCACACAGTGAATGTGGAATAAACTTTTGCTCCCTCTTTTCCCTTTTCTTTCCTCCTCACTCAAAAGTTCTGTATATTTGGTCAGATCCAAAACATGCTGAGCCTCTTTGAAATTGTTACTTTGGTTCTTTCCACATGCAATAAAGTCACTAACCTTTTTAAATGGAAACAAAAACAAAGACTGTTAGAAAGCAGAGTTTCCCCTCCCGGGTCACCAGCTTTCCCTTACTGGAGAATAAGCAGGGCTGTGCTGAGACCGCGGCTGGCCAGCCAGGGCCAGAGGGAGGCCCCAGGTCCGAAGAAGGCGCCTCCAGCTGGGTGCAGACCCAGCTCTCCAGTCAGGAGGGGGGCGCCAGGCCTGCTGGCTGCTCCTGGGTGTATCTTGGTTTCAGAGATTCCAACAGTAGGAAAGCCAGAACCTCTCCAGATGGAAGACCACCAGCCCCGAAGGTGACTGTGGTGCTGTGGTTCTTGGCTCGGGAACATGTTTTTGCTGTGTATGTTGGATGGGAGACCCGTCTTAAGTAGACGTGTGTTTGTGTTGTTTAGGGGGTGGTGGCGCACAGCCACATGTGCTTTCTGGCCTGGGGTCTGGCAGGATGTGAAGGGAGGCAGCCGCTCGCTGTCCTTTGGCTGGTGAGATCTTTCATTATTCTGTTGGGCAGGGGGCTGGCATTCTTCCTGTGTGTTTGGTTTAGAAGCGAGTGGTCTTGCAGCCAAGGGCATGGGCGTTGAGCCCCAGCTTTGTCACTAACTTGTTTGACGTCCAGCAATCCATTTCCATCTCCGGGACACTAATTCTTCATTCCTACTGGCGTGGTCAGAGGAGGCCTAGTGGACAGTCAGGGCTCTTACCACCACCCAGCAGTAACGAAGCCATGCATCCCTCTGAGCCTCCCTGCTGTGGTACCAGCACAGGCCACAGGAGGCTCTCCTGCCCCTCCAAGCCAGGGACATGTCATTGGGGACCTGGTGGGGAGCTGGAACTCCCACCTCTACCCAGAAGCAATGACGACTCCCCTTTCCCCCTCGGGTGTTACTAGAGGCCAAGTGGGGAACCTGGCCTTCTGTTCCCACGTGGCCATCATGTTGGGGGCCCCCTTCCTTGCTGGAGCAGTGTCAGAAGAAGCCAGGGAATAGGGAAAGTTTAAATAAGATCTAGCACCTCATACCATAATACCTAAAATGTCCAGGTTTCAATGGAAAATCACTCATCACACTGAGAACCAGGAAGATCTCACACTGAATGAAAAAGACAATCAGTTGATGCCAGCACTGAGTTGACAGAGATGTGGGAATATCTCACAAAGACTTTGAAGCGGCCATCATAAAAATGCCTCAAGGAGCAATTATGACCATGCCTGAGGCAAATAAAGAAAATATAAATGAGAAGTCTCAGCAAAGAAATAGAAGAATCAAATGGAAATTTTATTTTCAAAAAATTGTAAAACATTTTATTGTAGATTGACAATTTATAACTGCATTATATTATGGGGCACAAAGTGATGCTATGATTTATGAATACAATGTGGAATAATGAAATCAACCTAACATATTCCTCACCTCAAATACTTATCATTTTTTGTAGTGAGAATATCTGAAATTTACTCTTAGGAAGTTTGAAATGTACAAAATACTGCTATTAACTATTTTCACTGCACTATGCAATAGATCTCAAAAAAGGCTTATTCCTCCTGTCTGAGTCTCTCTACCCTTTAACCATAACCTCACCATTGCCCCCACCCTCCAGCCTCTGTAGCTACCATTCTACTCTTTGCTTCTGTGAGTTTGATGTTTTAGATTCCACATATAAGTAAAAACATGTGGTATTTGTCTTTCTGTGCCTGGCTTATTTCATTTAGCTTAATGTCCTGCAGGTTCATCCATGTTGTAGCATGTAGGATTTTCTTCCTTTTTAAGGTTGAATAATGTCCCATCATATGCATAGGTATACCATGTTCATCTGTTGATGGACACATAGATTGATTCCATGACTTGGCTATTGTGAATAGTGCTGCATTGAACATGGGAGTGCAGATCTCTCTTGACAAACTGATTTCAAATCTTTTGGGTAAATACCCAGAAGTGGGATTCCTAGATCATATGGTAATTCTATTTTTAGTTCTTTGAGGAAGCTCTATACAATTTTCCATAATGGCTGTACTAATTTACATTCCCACCAATAGTATGCAAGATTTTCTTTTTCTCCACATACTCACCAACACTTGATTTATTTTATCTTTTTGATAATAGCCATTCTGACAGGTGTGAGATGATATCTCACTGTGGTTTTAATTTGCATTTCCCTAAAGGTTAGCAATGTTGAGGATCTTTTTATATACCTGTGGGCTGTTTGTGTATCTTTGTTTGAGAAATGTCTATTCAGGTCCTCTGCCCATTCTTTAATTGGGTTTTTTATTTTCTTACTGTTGAGTTGTTTGAGTTCCTTATATATTTTGGATATTAACCCCTTATTGGATGTTTGGCTTTCAGATATTTTCTCCCATTCTGTGGGTTGTCTCTTTACACTATTGTTTCCTTTGCTGTGCAGAAGCTTTTTAGTTTCATGTAATCCTATTTGTCTATTTTTGCCTGCACTTCTGGGGTTAAATACAAAAAATTATTCCAGGCCAGCGTCTTGTAGTATTTCTCCTATGTTTTCTTCTAGTAATTTTACAGTTTCTAGCATTACATTTAAGTCTTTAATCCCAAATGGAAATTTTAGAATGGAAAAATATAATAACAAAAATAAAACTTCACTGATGGGTTAAACAGCAGAATGGAGATGACAGGAAAGAATCAGTGGATTGGAAGATGTAACGATAGAAATTACCCAACCTGAGCAACAGATATAAAAATAGACTGGGAAAGAAGAAAAAAAAAAAGAATAGAGTCTCAGGGACCTGTAAGACTATAACATGTAATCCCAGCACTTTGGGAGGCCGAGGTGGGTAGATCACCTGAGGTCAGGAGTTTGAGACCAGCCTGGCCAACACGGTGAAATCCAATCTCTACTAAAAATAGAAAAATCAGCTGGGCATAGTGGCACATGTCTGTAATCCCAGCTACTTGGACGGCTAAGGCAGGAGAATCACTTGAACTCGGGAGGCAGAGGTTGCCATGAGCCAAGATCACGCCACTGCACTCCAGCCTGGGTGACACAGTGAGACTCTGCCTCAAAAAAAAAAAAAAAGGCTATAACAAAAGATCTAACATTTTTGTCTTTGAAGACAAAGGAGGAGGAAAAAGAGAGTGGGATGAAAAACTACTCAGTGAAATACTGGTTGAAAACTTCCCAAATTGAGCATAAGACTCAAACTTAGAGATTCAAGAAGCTGAGCAAACCCTAAATAGAAAGAAAGTTATACCAAGACATATCATAGTCAAACTTTTGAAAACAAATTTGAAAAAGAAGAATAAAGGAGGGGGAATGAGTGTTTCTGGTTTTAACATGTACATAGCTATAACAATGAAGAGAGTGTTGTATTGGTGAGGGAAAGGCACATAGATTAGTGGAATACTATAGACAACCTGGAAGTACACCCATCTGATTTTTGACAAAGGTGCATAGGGAAATCAGAGAACATTAATTGCAATTATCTGGATGATGGTTTAGATGAGGCTGGTGGAGGAGGCTGGTGGAGGATGGAGAAGAAAGTACATGAGAGATAGTACAAAGGAAGAATTGAGAGTTGGCAAGAGACTGGGCCCAAGGCATACAGGAGAGGGTATCCCAGAGGCCCAGGCAAGCTTTGAGAGTCATTTCCTGGAAGGACGGTTATGCCACCGCTGAAGAAGGAGGGCTTAGCATGAGCTGGTGACGGCTCCTTTTATTCACCTTGGGCCATCAGCAGCAGGAGGAAACTCGAAGTACAGGGAAGCTGCCTGAATGAGCGTGCAGGTCTTGAGGTGTTGAGTTTTTGAGACCTTAGCATGAAATAATAAAGAGGTTGGAGTGTAAGAGTATTTCTCCAGAGTACACAGTTTGATAGTGAGGGTTGCTTATTGTTGACATTTTTCTAGTTCTGGTTTGAGTCATAGGGAGAGCCAACAAGGAAGACAGAAGAGACAGGAAGAGAGCAGGTTTGTAGGGCATCGTAGCCATTGATGACAAAGTTCAAGAAAAAGGGGGATAGTGACAGCCTATTCTTTCTAAACCTAAATGCCCTTTATTGTCCTTCTTGACCTCTGGGGGACCCTTGACCTCCAAGGATGTGCCTCTCTTGGTTTCCTTGAAAACATTTTCTAATTTATGTGATGACTGACTTTTTCACATTGTCATAATCTTTTAATCACAGCACCTGATTTTAGCCTTACCTAATACTGGCCCATCACAGAATTGTGTCAAGGAAGTCAGACTAATTTGCTAGGTTTCTCCCTCCTTCTGTAAGGATAGACAGAGTTTTTTGGCATACGTTGCACAGTGGTGATTGCTACAAATCATTGACTAGATTTCTATCACTTAAAAAAATAATGACATAACTCAAACGTCAATGCGCAAGCCTCAGGAGCAGGGCAGGATGAGGCAGATCCTTTCCCTTGATATTCAGAAGCATTGAGGGCAGCATGTGTGGTTGGCTGATTTATGGTGGCCGAGGCACACTGAGTTGGGATGTTTTCTGGATGGTCAAATGCGTGGAGGCACTGAGAAAATATCCTGGACTCAAGGGCGGAGCTGTTCCAGAGTGAATGGGGCAGAGCACAACCTCACACCCTACATCTTGCCTGGCAGGGGCCCAGGCTGCAGCCTGCATGCTGTGTACCAGGTAAATGTGAACACAGGCAACTCTCCTGAAAAGGTACATTTGATGCAGTGTGTCAGGAGACTCAAGAGACAGTTTATTTTTATTTTTTTGAGACAGAGTCTTTCTCTGTTGACCAGGCTCGAGTGCAGTGGCATAGTCTCGGTTCATTGCAGCCTTGAGCTCTCCGGCTCAATCGATCCTCCCACCTCAGCCTCCTGAGTAGCTAAGACTACAGGCATGTGCCACCACACCCAGCTATTTTTTTGTATTTTTTGTAGAGATGGAGTTTCGCCATGTTGTCCAGGCTGCTCTCGAACTCCTGAGCTCAAGTAATTCTCAACCTTGGCCTCCCGAAGTGCTGGGATTACAGGCATGAGCCACTGCGCCCGGCCCTGAGAGGCAGTTTAATTTAGTGCTAAGACAAGCCATGACTCCAACAATTAGGTGAGCTTGCATTCAAATCGTGCTGCTGCCACTTACTACTTGTGTGACTCTGAGTAGGCATACTGTTTTAATTCTTACAGCCTCAGTTTCCTTCTATGTAAAATGGGGATAGGAATAGCACCTGCTTCATAGGGTTGTCTTTAGAATTAGTTAATGTTTAAAAAGCATTCAGCACAACCTGTCACATATTATACACCTAATAAATGTTATTTATTTAATTTTTTTGAGACGGAGTCTTGCTGTGTTGCCCAGGCTGGAGTGCAGTGGTGCAATCTCAGCTCGCTGCAAGCTCCGCCTCCCGGGTTCACGCCATTCTCCTGCCTCAGTCTCCCGAGTAGCTGGGACTACAGGCGCCCGCTACCACGCCCGTCTATTTTTTTGTATTTTTAGTAGAGACGGGGTTTCACCGTGTTAGCCAGGATGGTCTCAATCTCCTGACCTCGTGATCCGCCTGCCTTGGCCTCCCAAAGTGCTGGGATTACAGGTGTGAGCCACTGTGCCCGGCCAATAAATGTTAACTTTTAAAATCTTTAGTCCTAGCTTTGCCTCTAAGTAGCTGTGATACCTTGTACCAGTCACGTGGTTTCTTTACCTATTAGTTTATTCATCTTTGAATCATGATGACAAAATAATGACATTGGGGAGTTAGATTAGAATTGCCCAGTTTTTGTGTGTGTAGGTTTGCTTTGGGATGAGATGTCCAGCAGAAAATCACAATGGAAATAATTGATTTAAAGACACTAAATAAAAATGTATTTATTTAATAATTATAAATAAAATTAGAAGATGAAAAGCAAACGAAAACAAGGTCCTAACTTGACAAAATAAGGGCTAACAATGTTAATGAAGAAAGAGCTCTTAAAAATCATTTCAAAACATGGCCGGGCACGGGTGGCTCGCGGAGCGAGTCTCACAGAGCGAGACTCCATCTGAAAAAAAAAAAAAAATCATTTCAAAACATTATGAGCCCTATAGAAAAATGGGCAAATAAGGTTGTAAAAAATTCACAGAAGAGACAGTATACATGACTAATAAAAATGAAAATCGATTCCAACTTTACCAATAATCACAGGAGTACATGTTAAAATGACTTTTACCATTTTTTTTCCCTATTGTGACAAACACTGGCTAGTTTTTCACCAGAAGATTTCCTCCTGGGAACAGAGATAGACTGTGTTTCCCACACTCCTTTGCAGACAGGTATACTGCCATATGACTAAGCTGGGTAATGGAATATGAGTGGCAGTGATTTAAGCTACCTTAGTGAAGCTGCTAGCTCAGTCCTCTATGCCTTCTCTTTCCCCTTGTTTGTTCATGGAATGGAAAGAACCCAGGTGGAATTCCACCCGGACGATGGTGGAATCACTCGATGGAAAAAGGGTCCCCAGATGCCTGCATGACTGTGTGAAGTAGAATGTTCCCGACAACCTGCATCAGATAGTGACTTGAGCAAAAATCCTTTTACTATGTTAAGCCATTCACATTTTGAGGGGGTTTGTGGCAGAGTAACCCTACCCTAACTAATTACTTATCAAATTAGGAGAGATTGCAATCATAGCATTATTGGCAAATGTGTTTATTTCATCCACTACATGTGAGATTCTAGGTTGATACAATTGTTTTTGAAAATAATTCATTGTGAAGGACCTTAGTCATACCTTTTGGCTTAATGATTTCATTTTTTAGGAATTTATCCTAAGGAACAAGGAAGAGTAGCAAATAAGGAATTTTATACAACGGTGTTCATCATATTTTCCAACAATAAGGGAACATTATTAGATGTGTTATCAGGCATTCATAGGGTGGACTATTTTGCAGTGATTAGAAATGATTTTGAATATTACTAATGAGATGCTTATGAGGTAAGGTAAAAATAGAATACAAAGCTACATGTGTGATTTTGTTTTGTAGAAATAGTATATGTAAAATATGCAGATGATATGTATAAGCATTATGCATAGAAAAAATAAACAAGAACATCAAAAGGTTTAATGGTGTTGGGTTATTAGGTAATACAATTACAATTACAATGAGTAATTTTGGCTTTCCTCTTTGTATTTTTCTGTAGTTTCAAACTTTCCTTAATAAATAGATTTCCTTAATAAATAAATTTTATAGACAGATTTATTTCCAGAAGAATACCTCATTGGGTGTGTTCCACTCAGCCCTGAATCCTCACCTTGTGAATGAATGTGGTGTTTACTGTGTTTATTCTTTTAGTGTCAGTGCACTTGTTACACCTTCCTTCCCCAACACACGTATGTGTGTGTATGTGTGTACGCTCATGCACAGATGTACACACGTGCTCACCAGAGTGGCAAGAGGCCATTTGTAGGCAGCAGAACTGAGGCCTTGTATTGGAAAGCAGGAAGGAAGGCCTGAGCCCCCAGCTGCCTTTTCCTCCCCTGGCCACCTGCTTTTGGCCAAGGCAGCTGGAGAATATTGGTTTTTGGAATGAGATGGGTCATCATCTCGGAGAAAGGGCAGCACATCAGAAAAGCTGCAGCTCCCATGCAGAGCTCAGCCGTGGTAGTCTGATGTTTTTTCCTTTGGTAGCTATGACCCAGGGATTATAAACTGCTCTTGGCAGCGGATGCTGGGAAGAGGTTGAGTCTGAGAGTGGAGGAAGGCTGGAGTGTGTCTAGGTGTCTTTGATTCCTAGGTAGGGTGACCTGCATCTCATCACGGCTGTTTATTTGTGTGTTGTGGTCTTTAGGAGTAGGGTGGAGAATGTCATGTTAATTTCAGAAACAGCAGAAGAATGGAGTGGCTGTTTGGATCCTGGGCTGCGCAGTGGTGCCTCAGACAGGCAGCACAATCCTGCATGGAAAAGAAAGCCCCCACCTGAGTTTGAATGGAAGACCTTTCTGTCATCGGGAACACCTGCTGCACCCCAGGTGCTATTCTAGACACCAGAAATATAACAAATAAGTCTTTGAGGAAGAGGTCCTGTGTTGTGAGGGAGGAAAGACAAGCACAAATCATAATGATACGCTTTGACGATCCCTAGTTCTGCATCTGAGACTTGCACAGAAGCAGAAATTTAACCAGGTTAATCAAGTGCTGTAAATCAAGCAACGAAGTCAGTCATATCTAGGGAAGAAAAGCGCTCTTACTCCAAAGGTTTTTCCCCACTTTGATCTGCAGTATCATGTCATCTGAAATTGAAAAAGCAACTTTATACAGAAGCAGGAACAAATGGCTCATTTATTTTAAGTATCTTACCCGCCTGATATTTCTGCCCTTGAATATTTTCTTTAGTTACCTGGGAAACGTTTTTTTAGGACTGAAAACAGATATAAACCACACCACTGTTAATGACCATGAAAATGATGCAATTTGCATTGAAATCCTTAACTAATCTGTGCTGATTACCTAATTTCTCCAGGTGAGGACGGAGAAGCACGGTGTTTTCCTTAATGAGTAACAAAACCCACTGTAATGTGTTTGCTTGAAAGCTGCCAGGGAGTTTTAATAGATCTTCTCAAGGTTTAGTCCTAATCCAGATTCTGTGGGTTTTCACGCTGCTCTGGGCAAGCCAGCCAGTCTGCAGTGTGGGGGTTCCATGGGAAGAAATGAGTTCTGCAGCTGAGTTTGGATATGACAGGAACAAAAAGGACAGCCTCTGTGAGGTGGTAGGAGAAAGGACTGTGAGCCAAGGACATGTTGGGGGAACATTCCTCTGGCTGTCCTCATAGGCAGGGAGCAGCTGGAAATGTGACCGGGCCTGGGGCTCCAAGGTCAGCGTCCCTGAATACTTCTGGCCTGGGGCAGGATTTCCTGAAAGGGCTGTGACGATTGATGACCGCCACCAGAGAGCTCAGGAGGGTGGGACCTCCACAGAGGCAGCGTGCATCTGCAGTGGCTTAGCGCCTTCAGCGCCTTCATTCTCTTCCTAGGGCAGTCTAGACATTGGCTGAACATTGGCAAAAGCAGGGAGAGAGAAATCACATGGAGGCCCTGCTTTCTAAGAGGGAAAAGTCTGTAAGAAACTCGTGCCGTTCATTCTTCACCCATTCACCCATTCATTCGTTCATCCATTCATTTGTCCAACTGTGATTGCATGCCCGCCCTGTGTCGGCAGCATGTCTAATGGAAGGGCATTTGTAAAGAGGACTGAAAGAGTCTACCTTTAAGAAGCTTCCCTGAGGAATCGCCACACTGACTTCCACAATGGTTGAACTAGTTTACAGTCCCACCAACAGTGTAAAAGTGTTCCTATTTCTCCACATCCTCTCCAGCACCTGTTGTTTCCTGACTTTTTAATGATTGCCATTCTAAGGGATCTAGAACTAGAAATACCATTTGACCCAGCCATCCCATTACTGGGTATATACCCAAATGACTATAAATCATGCTGCTATAAAGACACATGCACACGTATGTTTATTGCGGCATTATTCACAATAGCAAAGACTTGGAACCAACCCAAATGTCCAACAATGATAGACTGGATTAAGAAAATGTGGCACATATACACCATGGAATACTATGCAGCCATAAAAAATGATGAGTTCATGTCCTTTGTAGGGACATGGATGAAATTGGAAACCATCATTCTCAGTAAACTATTGCAAGAACAAAAAACCAAACACCGCATATTCTCACTCATAGGTGGGAATTGAACAATGAGATCACATGGTCACAGGAAGGGGAATATCACACTCTGGGGACTGTGGTGGGGTGGGGGTAGGGGGGAGGGGTAGCATTGGGAGATATACCTAATGCTAGATGACGAGTTGGTGCAGCGCACCAGCATGGCACATGTATACATATGTAACTAACCTGCACAATGTGCACATGTACCCTAAAACTTAAAGTATAATAAAAAAAAAAAAGAAACTTACTAAATGACAAAAAAAAAAAAAAAAGAAGAAGCTTCCCATGCAGTGAGGGGCAAGTGTAAACAGGTATGTCTAGTATCTATTAAGGGAGATGATCTCCTCTCTTTCAACTTCTAGACTCTCCTGTGCCTGCCATTGTCAGCTAGCAAGTCTGCCCACCATATTGTTTATGAGGATGATTTAAAGCCTATGCCTTCCTCCGTTTTTCCCACTTGCTGTGGATAATAGCCATTTATTCAGGGGGTACCTTGAAGAAATAAGAGCATCCCTTTTTCTGCCTCTTGCTTTTGGGCCATTCTTCTTGGCAGCCTTCTCCAGCCAAAGCTCTTTCTCCAATGTACTGAGTTTTCTCAGATGGGGGTGGAGGGGACACTCCGCACATCTTGTCCTGGGCCTGCCCCCACCTCCATGCATTATGGGGCAGCCTCCTCCCAATAACTTCCTTGGCTTCCACCTCCATGCTTGCCCCTTCTCCTCCTCCCCTGTTGGCTCTGAGGGCCTTATTGGATCCCCGGTCCTGTCCTCTGTCATTCACACTGGGCTCTTTCTCCAGTATGGGGTTTGTTCATTCCCCAAACACACAAGTCCTTTGGTTTTTTGTTTAGTTTAGTTTTTTTTTTTTTTTTTTTTTTTTTTAAGACTCCAGAAGCTTTCCTGTCCACTCAACCAATCATCTTTCCCCAAACCCCGTTACTTATCCAGGTGCTGGTTCCCTGTGTCTGAGCTACCCTAGACCCGCTGTGTGGCCTTGGTTTGTTGTGAGGGTTGTATAGCATGACTTACGTCCCATCTCAGGTGGGACGATCCAGTAAAAGCCAATTCCCGACTCTTTTCTCATCATGCAAGAAAAAAGTGGTTTGGAACTGCCCTGATGTCGGGAGCCAACGTCCTGATGCTTTTATCCACCACCACCTAGAATGTCAGACTGGGGACGGTAGGGGCACTGCGAACAGATGGTCAAGGTTGCATAAGGAGAGTTTGCGTAAATGTCAGCAGGACAGGAGAGCATATTGGTGATGTTGGTACAGACAGGACAAGGCTGCAGTGGTGGAGGCTCCTGTCTTGCCCTGTTGGGACCCTCAGAGGCAGCTTTCCTAGGCAGGTTCTGAGAACGTGTCCTCACCACATGTGACTGGGTGCTGGATTTGGGGTCTGGAGCTACTTCCTTCTAGCATCTCTGGTCCTCATTCCTTGCCAGTGAGTCACTTCCCCTCCCCAGGGATGAGTGCTTTTGTTTGGGTAGTTGCTTTAGGCTGCGGGAGTTCCAGAGGACAGCGTGTGTAGGAGGGAGGGAGGGAGGGAGGTGGAACTGGCGCCTGCAGTGGGGCCTTCCTGAACCCCGACTTGAGAGACTGAGCAGATCCTTGTCTTCTGAGGCATGGGTTCCTCCAGGAGGGGGTCCTCCAGGAGTTCTGGTCAGGCCCTGAGGAGAAGGGGCAGGAAGGATACTCAGAGGTGGGCCTGTGTGTAAGGGGCGGCAGAATGGTGTCATAGTTCAGGCAGCATGGCATCCCTTCGGCTCAGGGAATCCTTTTCCACCCTTAGTTTGATGATCCTGACCCTCTGTCTGACCCCACCGTCCTGAGCCTTGGGCCTGCTGCTGCCTCCTCCTGGTGTGTGGGGATGGCCACTTTGGCCTGAACCAAATCAGGTGACTCATTCAACCTTCCTGTAGGATCTTTGTGGAAGGGAGAGAAGGTGGGGCCTCCATCTCCCAAGGAGCATATGTTCTAACAGAAACTAGATTGTTAGATTTTTTGTTCACTGTGAAGAAAGGTTATAAATCAACAGGAGCAAACCTCAAAAGGCGGACAGAGCTCCGCAGACAGCACGTGTGCTCAGCCCTCTCGGTGCACCCTTGCCAGACGGATATTTGGGAACCCTCACTCTTTCCAGGTCCCTCCCTGCTCTACAACCTACAATGGCTCTTTCTTGCCCATCTTGTCAACATTGGCCTGGCGCCACCTTTCAGGGCCTGAGATAATGTTTGGCTTTGCCTTGGCTTCTAGGTTTAATTCCCCACAATCACAGTTCTAGGCCTCCGCTGCCCTCTGGTCTTCCAGAATGAGGACTTTTAAACTTTTCTGGCTGGGATCCACAGTAAGAAATACCCTTATTATGCGTGATGAATGCAGGTATTTTTTTCTCTTATCTTTCATTCTTTTTTACTTATTAAAAAATGCTGTTCGTGACCCAAGAAATTAATTTCATGGCAGACTCATGAGTGGTGACCCCCAGTTTGAAAAGCAGGGCTGATTTAACACAATACTAATCACGGAAGCTCAAGTAACAGCCAAGAAGAATGGCAGAGCTGGAAACTGCCAGTGCAAGCTCATCAGCCGTATCCTGAGGGAGAAGTGACCAATCAAATCTGATAAGAAGTTGGTCCAAAAACATACTAGAGCAGTGGCCTCCAATAATTTTTTTTGATTGCACTGATTGTAACAATTTTTACATCAGTAAAAAAATAAGCATACAACTTCAATATATGTCTGGTTATTTATTTTGTTACTATCAGCAGTAAGGTTGCAAATCTGTTTTCAAAGGTTTTGATAATTTCAGATGTTTTTCCGGTTGACATCTTATCAGATCTGTTCAGGCAGTCTCCTCACTCTGGGGACAACTGCTCTCCCCCAAACCTTCTTCCTTTCATATTGCCCTTCCTTTCCTGACACAACCACTGTATCAGTCTGTTCTCATACTGCTATAAAGATCTACCCAAGACTGGGTCATTTATAAATAAAGGAGATTTAATTGACTCATAGTTCTGCATGGCTGGGGAGGCCTCAGGAAACTTACAATCATGGTGGAAGGGGAAGCAGGCACATCTTACATGGCGGCAGGTGAGAGAGAACAAGCAAGAGCAGGGAAAGCTACCTTATGAAACCATCAGATCTTGTGGGCACTCGCTCCCTATCACAAGAACAGCATGGGGGAAATTGCCCCCATGATCCAGTCACTTCCCACCTGGTCCCTCCCTTGACACGTGGGGATTATGGGGATTACAATTCGAGATGAGATTTGGGTGGAGACACAGAACCAAACATTGTCAACCACAAAATCTCCATTTGCTCCTTCTGTCCCCCAGAAATCTGGAGGGAGTTGTCTTTGACACCTCTCTTTCTCTTGTCACCTCAACCATTCACTTACTGTGTTCTGGGGACTTGACTGCCCAGTAGACAGTCAGCTCTTCCCACCTTCTCCTGCCACATTGCTTCCTTTTTCCTCCCACTCCTCACAAGAGCCTCCCTCTCCCTGGGATGCTTCCCTCCCCCCTCCACAAGGCCAACTCCTACTCACCCCTCAAGCCACCACGTATAGGCCACTGCCTCAGAGGGATCTTCTCTGATCACTGCCCAGGGCACTTTCTGAGGCACCTTGGACTTTCATGGCTCTTAATGCAATTTTATTTTTATACTTATTTATGATTTAGTTTGTTTAAAGAGTGTAGTTCTCCAGCATCGAGGCTGTAATTTCTTGGTGTGTGTGTGTGTGAGTGTGTGTGTGTGTGTTTGTGTTCAGCACTCAGGCCATACAGTCTAGATAAATATTTAATATAACAACCCTATGAGGTAGTTACAAACAGTATCCCTCCCCCCCCCATTTTACAGATGAAGAAAGGTTAATTGCCAAAGGTCAGCTAGTTAATAAATGTGAATGCTAGCCTCACACCCATTTCTTTCCAATTACAGTGTGCACACTTACCAACAATTCTAGATAGTTGATTTACTATCTCATTAGGCTAAGGCTTGAATTTAAGTCCCATCTACCTTGCTTATGCCAGACCATCCCTCTACAGCGATTCTGCTAGTTTGAGTTGTACTTAGGGTCTGAATGAACAGTTTACCCTGTGTTGTTCTGGATAATAACACCATCATTTTCCCCATGGTTCATCTCCCAGACCATTCCCACAGCACTGGAGAGGACCTGAGCCTACCACCTATTGAGTAAATAATTACTGATTAGTTGATGGTTATCAGGGACTTGGCAAAGACTTCATTTGACTTCCAAGTTAAATCCCCTGACTTGGTGCAGACCTGTTCTGCAGCCAAGAGCAAGAAGACCACACCTCTGATTCAAAGGCATTTTAACTGTTCCAATTTGCACTTGTTGGCCTTCTTCCTGGTGGATCTCAGTGTAATTTCTGACTGAGAGCCAAGAATTTAAGGGTCTTCAATACCAGGAGTAATTTCATGAGTTGCTGATGGCTAATTAGGGATGATTACAGTTAAGAGGCTTTACTTTCTTAATAACCCGCAGAAAGGGCCTGTGGTAACTTAAAATCTTGATTCTTTTTCCCTGAGAATGGAATTGTCTGGTTCTCATGACTATCTTTTTGTAAATCCTTGTCCTTTATTTTCCCACCCACATTTTCTGGTGAAAAGGAAGTCTGAAGTCTCTGGAAGAAACAAGAAAATAATGATCTTAGAGAACTCCACCTTTATTAGAAAGGATCCCTGGCCCACCTTGGAACCTTGCTTCATTTGTCTTTCCCTTCAAGGAGTTGCAGCAGGAGAGGAGACTGGGCCATGTTCTGTTTTATTCTCTAAGTTTTACTACGTTGCAACCAACCCGCCCATCCTGGGCTTTCTGTTGCTATTCATAACTTGCCTTTGAAACTATTGGCTCACTTGACAATTTTTAGAAATTTTGTTTAGTGAGGGCTTCTGAATGAAGTAGTATTTATGGGCGAGAGATTTTACCTCCATGTTTTCACTGTGACAACGTATTTTAAGTGTTGTTTGACCTCTTCTTGCATCACCATATTAGTTCATTTTGCATTGCTATAAAGGAATGCTTAAGACTGGGTAATTTATAGAAAGGTTTATTTGGCTCCCAGTTCTGCAGGCTGTACAAGAAGCATGGTGCTGGCTGGCATCTGCTTCTGGTGAGGACCTCAGGAAGCTTTCAATCATGGTGGAGAAGGAAGGGCAGCCAGTGTGTCACACGGCAAGAGAGGGAGTGAGAGAGAAGGGAGGAGGTGCCAGACTCCTTTTAGGCTCTTTTTAACAATCAGATCTCACCCTAACTAATAGAGTGAGAACTCACTCATTACCACAAGGAGGGCATCAGGGCATTCATGAGGGACCCACCCGCATGACCAGACACCTCCAATGGACCCCACCTCCAATACTGGGAATCAGTTTTCGGCATGAGATTGGAAGAGGACAAGTATCCAAACTCTCAGTATCATCAGAGCAACCATTTACTGAGGGTGACGCTGCCCCAGCCACAGTCTAAGCATGTCACATGCGTTCCCTCATTTAATCTTTATAACAACCTGCAGGAGTTCTTTAGACAGTATTTTCTAAATAAGTTTTATTGAGATATAATTTATTTCCCATACGTTTCACAATTTCGTGTACAATTCAGTAGTTTTTGGTATATTCGCAGGGTTGTACAACCATCACCACAATCTAATTTTAGAACACATTTATTACTCCAGGAAGAAACACTGTACCCTCCCATGAACTCCTCCCAACCCCCAATCCCTGGCAACCAACGAATCTACTTTCTGTCTCTATAGATTTGCCTATTCTAGGCATTACCTATAAATGGAATCATATAATGCATGCTATTTTTGTATCTGACTCTTTTCACTTAATATAATGTTTTCAAGGTTCATCCCCATTGTAGCGTGTATGAGTACTTTATTTCTTTTTGTTGTTAGACAATATTTTTACTCAACTTGCACTGTTAGGGAAACCAAGACACATGAATGTGACATGACATCTATGGTCAAATAGCCTGTAATAGATGGGGCTGGATTTCCAGCACAAGTGTGCCTAGCACCAGCTCCCCTGTTAGCTCAGAGTCTGAGGTGATCGTTCTGATAGTAATTTACTGAACATCTTCTGTGGGTCAGGCACTGTGCTGGTTGTCTTGTAAACTTGTTACCTCATGTTCATAAATAATCAGATTTCAGTTGGGAAATCCTGGGAACCATAACTGGGCACTTTTGTTTTAGTATCTTCCATTTGCTCATTTCTGGTTTTGTTGACCGAGTTACGCTTCTAGAATCTTCCTAAGTAAATGTTGCTAAAAATAACATTGTTCATTTCCATAGGACTTGAACGCAACTCCCAATTGCAGAAAATTGGCAACGTCTCTGAAGAGCCCTTGCTTTTGCCTGGACCCCCAGCATCATGGTTTCCCATTTCATGGGGTCTCTCAGGTAAGTGAAGAAACTTTTTTTAAAAAAACAGGAGAATAAGAAATTTGATATTTGCATTTTACTCTGTCATTTCTTAAAGTAAGTGATCTTAAGGGTCTGCAGCTGACTGATATTTTTGATATAATACGTCCACTTGTGTAAAAGTTTGCTATTCAGAAGGGCCTCCAAGGCCTTGGGAGCTGTGTGCTGTGCTGAGTGGCTTGGGGTCGAAGTCAATCTACTATCTTCTGGGAGACCTTCTGTAGGCTTCAAGAAAATTTTTTTAGGCCGGATGCAGTGGCTTACACCTGTAATCCCAGCATTTTGGGAGGCTGAGGCAGGCAGATCACCTGAGGTCAGGAGTTCAAGACCACTCTGGCCAACGTGGTGAAACCCCATCTCTATTAAAAATACAAAATTAGCTGGGCATGGCGGCAGGCACCTGTAATACCAGCTATTGGAGAGGCTGAGGCGGGAGAATCACTTGAACCCTGGAGGTGGGGTCAGATCAATGTATATTTACCGTGGTTGCATAATACAATTTTCTAAAGAACTTAAAAAAATTGTTCTCTGGTTGCAACGCCATAGATTTTGACTGAATCTGGTATTTTAAAATGGTGCTCTCTCTTGTCCCTTATGTACAAAACATTTTTGACTTTCACCTGCGTTTTAAAATTCAATCTTTATATCAACCATGCGTGGCAAGTTGAGTAAGTACTATTATCCCTTTTGTGTAGATCAGAAAACCAATGCTCAGAGAGCTTACATCATGGCTGTCACCTTCCTTTATGTGCAGAGTTAGAATAAGGGCTCTGAGCATTGCAACTGTAGTCCATGTTATCGAAGTTGTTTTCAAACTTTTTAAAAAGGCTGACAGAGCCTTTTAAAAATTCTTCAATCAAAATCCTATGCAAAATCTCAATATATAAAATAGACAATGACAGTATTTTATTAATATAAATTTACTTTATAAGTTTAAATTTATAATATTTATACATTATGAGATCAATGCATTAATTTTGATAAATACCGACATTTGAAATCAGGATTTATGGTTGGCAGCTTAAATATCTGCCCAAGCATCTAGTTTATTTTGCAGCTGTTTTAGCTGTGTAGCATTAAGAAAATCCTAACCCATTACAGGTAAGTACTTGCAATTGGTAACAATTCTGTGATGAAGCTCATCTTACTATTTTAGGATACTATTTAAATAAATTGACTGAGAATCTGGAATGAGGGGAAGGAAGAACGTTTTGTTTCCAAGTTGAATCATTATGATATCTTGTAGTCTTTTTTCCATACCTGTACATTAGTCCCACATGCCTAGAACTTATAACAGAAAGTAAAATGGTCTGTAATATATAGCATATTACATATGATGGTGCCACAGGTGGTTGGCCAACCAGGGCTAGAGCATTTGCCAAGCAGATGCCCTTGGGCTAATGCCTGGCATTTAACTGAGTGCAGTGCATGTGTGTGAGCTTTAGTATGTAGTTGCTTGTATAATTTTACATGGGCAGACGTGTGCAGGCCTGCAATCCAAATACCCGCAGAGAACTACAAACCTCTTTATCAATGACATATTCACATGCATGTCAGATATGGTCAGAAAAGAAAGAAAAAGCTTCATTCTGAAGGCTGTATGATATTGAGCCACGAGGAGGACAGCCCAAATTAACGTTTGGTGATCTCTTCAGGATAGAAGTTGGCATCTAGTACAAATTAGCATGTGTGCTTTTTTAAAACTATAGTTTAAAAAAGAGTTTAAAAGATATTTCAAGACATGAAATATGCATCTAGTTTGTGGAAGTTCCAAAATACTGTTATAAAACTATAGGGTAGTGAGAAATGCAGTTGGCCCACAGGGTCATTGTAGGACCATGGCATTTTAAGCACCCAGGACCCCATGTAGGACAAAGAAGTGGAGGTCACAGTCGGTTATTGAACTTATTCGAAAAGGGCAAGCAGATTATGAAAGGTAGGTTCGCCATGTGCTAAGCTTGTGTAAGTCTGGCTGTCGTCAAAAAGGCCCCTAAAAGTGCTTGAGGACCCTCAAAAATGTGGCCACCCAGGCTGCACAGGCAGGGAGTTTCTTGGGAGGAAATCCCTTTTGCAAAGTTTTTTCTTAATGTCTTGGATTTTTTTCTTTCTTTTTTTTTTCTTTCTTTTTTTTTTTTTTTTTTTCAAAAGAGACAGGATTTTGCTTATCACCCAGGCTGGAGTACAGTGGCGCAATCATAGCTCACTGTAACCTTGAACTTCTGGGCTCAAGCGATCCTCCACCTCTGCCTCCCAAGTACGAATAGCCATGTCCTGGAATTTTAATTAATGCCCCTGCAAACAGTCTCCTGTAATGATCTGAGCAGGGTGTGTGGTATGGAGATCATCTCCCTTTGCGGGAGGCCTGGGGAACTCACCTCTAAACTGTGCATTATTTCAAGGAAATTGCCCACAGAAGGGAAATTAGCAGGATGGGAGTAGTTGAAAGCTAGATGCTACCCTTGTGGTGGAGCTCTGGAAGCCTTGACAGGCCTCCAGCACGAGAGTCCTGCTGCAGGGATTGTTTGAACAGAGCTGCTCAGCGGGACATTTTGCCAAGAATTCTGCTGTCAATACTAGAGGAAGAAAATGTGAATTATGAGGACAGCTGATTCTTTAGGAGATCTCAGCTTGAGATTCCCATCAAACTCCCTTCTTCATAAACCAGGTGCACATCAACCATTTTGCATCCCTGTTTTTAGGGCCATGTAAATATATTTTTAAGAGAAAAAGAAGCAAAAGTAGAGTGTCTTCTGTTTAAATGCTTTTCAGAATGTTATGGGGAAAAGGGCTGTGGGTTACTTGAAGCGTGAGAGGTCTTTGACAAAAGTGGTAGATGAGAAGCACACACAGACGCACACACATGTGAAGGGATTTTTAATATTTATCAAGGCAACTAAATACATAAAGATCAATTGGAGAAGCTGGAGAATTTCTCTACCTTAAGAGAAAACAGGTTAAAATTAGGAATTAGCTGCCAAGAAAATCCCTGAAAGAACATTTAAGGGGAATCACAACTCTGATACACAGAGATTTCATTTAAAAACCCCTCCCCATTTTTTGCCAAGCCACAGAGAAACAGAAAACCAGCTTCCTTCTCATTGAAGGAGACAGAGAAGCCTTGGGCATTAACATCGCAAGAGTATCTCTGCCTTGCTCAGAGTGTGTAGTAATAAAAAGAATCACAGTTAAACCTAGTAGCAGAGGAGGCACTAAGATTCTAACTCTCGATGGATCTGGTTGGGAATTATCATTGAATCTTGGACAAGCTCTGGATGCCATGTAAAATTCAGGGCAATGAAAGTCCATGTGGACCAAAGTGTAGGCTAATCCTTAATGAGGAATGTTTGTCACCTGTTAAAAATTAGAAAGGAAATGGCACTAAATGATACAGAATTATTTATGTTTCTTAAAGACTTGCTCCAAATTATGCACTTTTTTTTTTTTGGATGCACAATTACATCTTTATTTGTTTGTTCAGTGAGTGATAGGAAGGAAACATAATTTTGTCCCTAGAACAGTACAATAAATGCTGATGGCTACCTGACCTGGCCAGCCAACAAAATCTCTGGAGCCAGTCTGCTTGACCAGGTGCTTCTTCCTTTACTTCAAGGAGTGCTTTTGTATGGTTGACGTATTTTATATTTCAAGTGAAAGCAAAGAGAAAAACAGAACTATCAAATGCCAAACAAGTAGTGAAACTGGCAGGAAATAAAATTGATTTTGGTGATTTTTATTTTGAACAGTAGTTTTTGAAGAATTACAGATGTAATGAGAGTGATTACAGAGTTAGAAGGTGATTTTTATAGATCTTATGAGGGAGACTTCTGGATTATTTTAAGGGTTTTATAGGTTGATGGCCCTAGGTCAAGTGTCTGGTTTTAGTCTTCTGAAACGTAAAGTTTTTCTTTTCCTTGATGCATACTTCAGTAAAGTATTATTACTTTAATGCCTGTCAGCTACTGCACTTAGAAATACAACCAAAAGGGTTGAGGAAATGAGAAAGAGAAAGGTGGCTGTTCTTAGGAGTAATTGAAAAAGATCCTGAATACAGAAAGGAAGAAAGGGGTTAAGAAAACGTGTTTTTATGTGTGAGAAAGAGAATGCCCCAAGTAGTGATATTTAAGGTACAATTGATCAGTGAAAACTGAAATTTCCCTTGGGGGTAAAGAAATATGTAATAATTGTGTGGGGTCATGGAGTCGATCAGTGTCCCTGTGCCAGTGATCAGGAAATGGGGAGAAAGAGGTTGGGGAGGAGGGAGTGGAGGAAGGAGAGGGAAGGAGAAGGAGGAGGAGCAGGAGGAGGAGGGGAAGAGGAGCAAAGGGAAGGGGAGGCCAGGCCTGGATCACAAGTATTAAACTTCATGGTATTAATAAGGCAGGCCAGAATTTGTGTAACTGACATCTAAACTACTACTTGGTTAATGCTTAATAAATATTTGTTGAAGAGTAAATGAATAAATTAATAACTACCTTTTATGTACAACAGATAAGGTTGAAATTTTCTCTTTCCTGACCAGGATAGTTAGCTAGTTAATTACAAAAGTAGGGTGAAGCATGGAAATCAAACAAATAACACACACACACACCTTCAACAGTTTACTTTTAACTTAAAACACATGTACATCCATTCACCAGTTTTTGATTTGGGGCCATGGGCCTTTCTTTGCTCATGAACCCGATTGTCTTTCTTGCACAAACCACACCCATAAGCATTATGTGAGGTTTCCATTTGGGTTTCTTTAAAGTGCAGTGAGAATATAAAGACATTTGCAAAGCAGTCTGAGTACCAGAATGATTCTGGATTTTTATTATTTTTGCCCCTAATCATTTGCAGTTGTCTCATCCACACCTAATTTGCCAGTAGTTTTTTTTTTTTTTTTTTAATCTTGGCTGCTTGCCTTTATTGAAACTTTCCAAAGCAATTAACTTCATTTTTGTAGAAACAACTAACAAATGTTCTTTCTTCTTGTGCTTGCTTTCATGGGTTTGTGTACTATTTGAATACTTATGTCACTACAAAGCAATAGCAACTGGCATAAACAGGTGTGGAAACATGGTTGACACTATATGAACACAGTACATCTGGGGGGTGCAGAAGTGTGCAAGTGTCCAGGGAAGAATCGGCCGCAGTCTTGTCTGTGGGAAGCCCGGGAGGAGCCATCTGAGTGGTAGGCATAGAGGCTAGGAGGAAATAAAATAGATTTTTGGAGGACTGCCCTGGCAAACCCCCATCTGTAAAATGACGGCAAGCATTCAGACAGTATTGATTTTTCTTTATGCCTGGCACAGCCCTGTACCTGGATCCTGTCCTCATCACTCACTCCTTGACTGTGGGATTTGCTAGAACATTCTGTACCCAAAAAGGCTCAATGGAGTCAAGGTGTGATCACTGGGCTGCCAATTACCCATTCCTTATATCTCTAAGTGTATTTTTATGCCTTGGGTTAACATTGACCCCTCCTCTTCCTGCCAGGGATTAGAACCAGTAATTCCAATTTGTAGAAATCTGCTTTTTACCATTGTCTTCCTTTTCCCAGCTCTTTGGCTTTTCCAACAGGGAATTCTGGGATGCACTTAGAAAACATTTTCTTGATGAAAACTGTCACAGAGCAGCACTTTTTGTTTTTGAATTTTTATTTTTTAGAGACAGGGTCTCTCTCTGTTGCCCAGGCTGGGGTCCAGTGGCACAGTCATAGCTCACTGCCACCTCAAATGCCTGGGCTCAAACGATCCTCCCACCTCAGCCTCCTGAGTAGCTGAGACTACAGGTGTGTGCCACCAGGCCCAGCTCACTTTAAAAAAAATTTTTTTGTAGAGATGTGATCTCACCATCTTGCCCAGGCTGATCTTAAACCCCTGGACAGCAACACGTTCTTTAGTGACTGATATTTCCTCCCTCCTCTCTTTCTCCTTTTCTTCCTTCACTTTATTCTATCCTTCCATTCTTTTATTCAGTTGATATTTATTAGTCTTGAGGATGGGTCAAGATTATGCGGATTGTTTTGTTTGCTGCAAAGGTGTATCAGAAACCATTTCTTCAAGAAACCTGCCACTGAGGAGGGAAATTTACCAAAGCGTGTTGTGTCTTTAAAAGCTGTGCTGTGTAGGCCAGAAAGGTGGCTCACTGTAGTCCCAGCACTTTGGGAGGCCGAGGCAGGCAGTTCACTTGAGCCGAGGAGTTCAAGGCTAGGCTGGGCAACATGATGAAACCCTGTCTCTACAGAAACAAACAAATGAACAGTTAACTGGGTGTGGTTGCATACACCTGTGGTCCCAGCTATTCAGGAGGCTGATGTGGGAGGATCACTTGAGCCTGGGAGATAGAGGCTGTGGTGAGCTGTGATCTTGCCACTGCACTCAGCCTGGGTGATAGAGCAAGACTCTGTCTCAAAAAAAAAAAAAAAAAAAAAAAAAAAGCTGTACTGTGATAAACCACCTCACATTGCCAGAAGTACTGGTCGAGAAAATACAAATGGCTGCAAGACCTGAGAACCTGGAAACAAGCAATAAAAACCAATTTGCAGTTAAAATATGTGTCCTTAAGTCCATGCTCTATAATGGAAATATTTCACTCTGCGCGAGCCAGGCAGGCCTTTTCCCGGGGCCTGTTGGTCTTGGTTTGGCTGCAGCTTAGTTATCTGAATGTTTCCAAGACCAAGGCAGATCCAGAGGGAGCCCAGTTAAGAGGACACAGGGTCACTGACAGTACAGTAAACAACACCTGATAGCAGGAAGGAGACAACTAAGTGCCAACCAGATTCAGAAAGCCCTAGGTGTCTGGAGTTCTCAAGCCGAAGGCTGCTGTGCGCCGAAGACCTCCACCTTGGGCTGCACAAATTGATTGATATTCACCTTGGTGCCTCTGAGCCATCTAAGAAAGGTTTCTTAAGCTCAGATGAATTTGTGTAAGAAAACAGAGAAAATAAATAGAATGCATTTTTTTTTTAAGTTTGGGATTTATATGGTCAGCTTCATTTATTTTGAAATTTAGAATATCCTCTGGTGGGACTGGATGAATGCAGCTTTATTGCGTCCACCTAGTTTCTGATGATTCTTGCAAGCAGTGGCAGAAAATAAAGGAGGCTGTGAAGCCACCAGGCTTCCCCACCTCATACAGAGTGAGGAAGAAAGTGGATGTAATCAGATGGCAAATGCTTGTTTTGTAAAAATGTGTTGTGTCCTAATGAGGCCCCGCAGCACAGTGGTTAAGAGTCCAGGCCAAGGGTCTGACCGCCTGTGTTAGAAATCAGGCTTTGCCACTTAGTAGGTATGTGTGGCTGTTTGGTAAATGACTTAGTCTCTCTTTGCCTCAAATTCCTCACCTGCAAAATGGGTATAATAAAAGTGTCTGATAGGATGGTTATGAAGTACTACTTGTGAGTGCTGAGATCAATGGTAGCCATCAGCTCTTTGTTGGCTAATGTCATTGGTAACCCATCCCCCTTCCTTGCTGCCTTTACTTTTTTTTTTTTTTTTTGAGACGGAGTCTTGCTCTATCACCCAGGCTGGAGTGCAGTGGTGCGATCTCAGCTCACTGCAAGCTCCGCCTCCTGGGTTCATGCCATTCTCTTGCCTCAGCCTCCTGAGTAGCTGGGACTACAGGCACTTAACTGTTGTCAGAAGAAGGCAGAGGGCTGAGCTGAGCATAGTGAAATGCATGCTTAGCAAACATTTTTGTTTTTTTGAGATGGAGTCTCGCTGTGTTGCCCAGGCTGGAGGGCAATGGCGTGATCACGGCTCACTGCAAACTCCACCTCCTGGGTTCAAGCGATTCTCCTGCCTCAGCCTCACGAGTAGCTGGGATTACAGGCACACACCACCACGCCCAGCTAATTTTTGTATTTTTAGTAGAGACGGGGTTTCACTGTGTTCGAGACCAGGCTGGTCTCGAACTTGTGACCTCAAGTGATCCGCCTGCCTCGGCCTCCCAAAGTGCTGGGATTACAGATGTGAGCCACTGTGCCTGGCCAGCAAACATTTGTTATCTCCAGAGTGCACTAGGCAGGATTTCACTTCAATGCTAAGATTTTGGCTCTCTTTTGCTAAGGTCGATATAATTTTATTAGTGATCTGGTTGCTCCCAAAATATCTCTTGGGTTGTATTAACTGAGGAAGAAAGGAAGTAGTTTTTTTTTCTTGTTTTCCTTGTTTTGTTACTTGATATGCCCAAGTGGTGTTGAGTTCATTGAGGTAATTTGAGGTACACAGGGGCTGTGACAGTATCCACCCTCACTGCAGCTGAGATGGTAGCGGGGGTGGAGAGTGGGATTGGCCAAGGCAAATACAGAAGCCCAGAGCTCCAGTTCCATGATGTAAATCTTGTACCAAATTTCAATGAGCATTATTTTCTACATGGGGAAATGAAATGATGGAGTGTTTAAAACCTAGAACAGCACTGGGTAGATGGCATAACTTTTTTTTTTTGTTTGGTGTGAAATGTTAGGTTATTTCAACTGCAAGGTGAATCGGAAAGTCTTGGTAGGAATGTAGCTTCCCCCACGCCACTTGGAAAGGAGTGTGGGATTTGTTTGCCAAAGGCCCTGGTAGCCTTCAATCTGTCAAAACGTTGCAAGCTGGGAGCGGTTTGCCAAAGCAAACTATCAAAGTGAAATAACACACGAGTTGCACACACAGAGACACATGCATGCTCTCTCATTCTCCAAACATTAATTTTGAATTGGGTCAGGAGGAACAAGGATTTGGGCTAGATTGTTGGTGTTTTGAAAAGAGGTGGGCACAGCTACAGATACCAATTAGCTAAGTATGCGCAAGCAGGGTGAGGTATCCTAAAACAGAGTGTGCTGAGCAGGGGTGGGAAACTTTCAGCCCTTGGCAGAGTTTCCTCTGGCCCCTGGGGTTATATATTGCTGTGCCTGCTGTTATTGTAGCCCAAAGAATAATTGCCCCTCTGGGGGAATTTATTCTATTCCATTCAGAGCAGAGACCATTTAATATCTCAGAGTTTACTCCAGAATGAATTTTGTTGGGTACCCCTATGCATTTTAGCTTCAATAGGGCCCAGTAAATGAAGAGAAGAAGCATTTGAACATCTAAATGTAATTTGTGTTGCACTTTTGTAACAAGAGGCACCAGCAAACATTTTGCTGCCATATCTTGTGATCTTCTAAGGATGGTTTTTTGGAGAGGGGTAACATAGAAATTCAAAAGCAGAACTGATTTTTATAAATCCCTCATAAAAGAAAATTTTAAAAGCTCCCGAAGTGGCTTTGGACATTTTCAAATATGTTAATTCACAGTATTTTCACTTAATCTTGAAATTTCAGGGGTCACCAAGATGGTGAAGCATCATTCTTTAATTCAGTGAATTAAGCTCCTACTATATAGCAGCCACTGTGCTAGGTGCTGGGGAATAAAGTAGTGACAAAACAAACTCCCTGATCTCATGGAGCTTACATTCCATTGGATAGAGAGAGAAATTTAAATAAAGACATAGTATGTGAGACGGTAAATGCTATGGAGAAAAGGGCTGGGCTGGGAGAGGGACCACTGTTTTTTGTAGGGTCAAGGAAGCCCTGTGAAGACAAGATCCTCTGGGCAGAGACCTTAAGAAGTGAGGGAACGAGTAGAATTGACCAGGCAACCTGGAATGCAGTTCCTCGGAGTCAGAGGAAAACCTAGATGTGATCTCACTCCCTTTCCTGCCCCAAGTCCCCCTGAATGCTATGAAAGTGCAATCTCAGATCAGTGATTATCCAAAACTGCTCCTTACAAATATGTGGCTACTGTGTGTGCCAAGAGCTTTGAGGCACTGAGGTGTAACATGTTTATGGAGCTGCAGCTTTTTTTTTTTTTAACAAAACCACACCAATCTGGTTTTCTTTTTAAATGAGTAAGCAGTGCCAGAATGTGTTACAAATGATTCACATTTTTAGGCCTGGGTGCAAGAAAGCACATTAACTCATTTGAGGTAGGAGGACAGGTTATACAATTCCCATTTTACAGATGAGGAAACTGAGGCACAGAGAGACGGTGATTTGCCCAAGGTCATGCAACCATGGAGCATGGACTTGTGAGTTGTGATGCACATGTTCTTGATTTAGAGGTCAAATTGGATCCAGCAGGGATACAGCTAGAAGATTACTGTCCTTTTGCCACCACTGTCTGGGAACCCGCTGTCTCTAATTCTCCTGCCCTATTGCTGGAAGACATCTTGGGCAATATTTCCAGTACATTCTGTGTGTAATGAACAGGCTCATTTTCAAGTATTAAAAAGTCCAAAGGAAGTTGTGTGTGATGGGAGTGAGAAGGTGAATCATTTTCGAAGTTATCCAGGACATCAGTAGCATCACCATCTAGACCTGTACCATTAGCTTCCTGTGTCTTGAATAGCACAGATCTGTGTATCTGCACTGGACAGTACCGACAGAGAATGTTTCCGTCATCATAGAAAACTCTATTGGACAGTGCTGCTCTAGATCCTCAGCAAGTTATAATTCAACTCTTTTATTCTTCTCCCCACTAATTTCATATTATTGTCCCGAATACACCCCTTGTTTGGAAGAATGTTGTTACAAATACAGTATATTAAAAGGAAAGTCTAGGCTGTGCATGGTGGCTCATGCCTGTAATCCCAGCACTTTGGGAGGCTGAAGTGGGCGGATCACCTGAGGTCAGGAGTTTGAGACCAGCCTGGCCAACATGGTGAAACCCCATCTCCACTAAAAATATAAAAATTAGCCAGGCATGGTAGTGCTGCCTGTAATTCCAGCTACTGGGGAGGCTGAGGCAAGAGAATCACTTGAGCCCGGGAGGCAGAGATTGCAGTGAGCCGAGATCAAGCCACTGCACTCCAGCCTGGGAGACAGAACGAGACTCTGTCTCCAAAAAAAAAAAAATAAAAATCAACAAAAGGAAAGTCTAGTCAGATGTAAACATTTTGATCTCTCATCCAGTTAAAAGCTTCTTTTCTCCTCTAAGCTGGGCCTGTTGTAGCCTCAGACCCCTGTAGTAGGGAAGAGGCGGCTTGGTTGGTTCCTTCACACTCCTAGTTCCCTGCCCGGCCCACTCACTGCCATTGTGAATTCCTCCAGGGTGAAGCAGAGGAGAGGAGAGGTAACTGGCAAAGACGTTCCCAGCGGGACTGGTGTTCCTTGTAATCTGGTGCTGCTGTCCTTGGTTGGCAGATGTCCAAGTTCCAGATTCTCCTCTCTCAGGGCACTTTGGAGAATTTCCCCCTCACTGGGCTCTCCTGCTGCGCCATGCCCTGGTGCAGGCTGTGCAAATCTGGCTGACTCCTTAAGATCCACCTCCGCACCCCCAGCTCCCGTACTCCATGGGTATAAGCTGTACATTTACTTTCTAGGAGGGGGGTCACCTCATTCTGGTGAAAATCTTTGGTGGAGTCCTTTCCAGATAACCTAAGTTCCATGTCTTTCCATGGTGCTAAAACATAACATCTCCTGCCCCTCCAGGCTCTAAAAATACAGACTGTTCCCACCCTAGCCCTCTCTCCAGTCTTCCCTCCTGGATACTCCAGCTAGGGTTTGGCCTTTAGATGTTTTTCAGAGGAGAATCAGGCACCAATCCTTGTACCCCCAGATACCAGGGCATCCGGATCAAGCTCTGAATGTTGTCCCTCTTGCTTGGCTTGGGGGAGAGTTCCTACTTTTCCTTCCCCATAGGGGAGTGGAGGGGCTGTATGCAGCACTCCTACATCCATCTTCAGGGAAATTCACACCTAGCAAACTCCATCCTCCAGCCTCCTTGTGCATACAGGTGGGAGGTGAGTGAGGGATGGCGCGCACCCGCTTTGTAGTTTCTGAACAGACAGGGCAGCCCCTCTCTTTGGAATGTGTGCATACTTAGTATCCATGTTCTCAGCTCTGGATCCTCAGCTGCAACTCCATGACAACAGCAAGAAGGATGCCTGCAACACCATATTACAGAGACCATCTTCCCTGCTTCTCACCACATTGCACAGTCTCTAGCCAGTCTGTCCATGTCTGTTCTGTGTGATCTCCTGGGTCACTTACATACAAAACAGGAGCTGGGGTGGAATTTTGGATTCTTAGAAATGGTGGAAGCTTTATCTAACTCCACAAGACCTAACCCCCGGCTTCGGGCAGGTTTTCCTCATCTCCACCCTGACGTGATGGTTTTTCTTGGTTCGGGGCAGTGTTTCACATCTCTCAGTTGTGTTGGAAGCCTCAAAAAGGTTGGGAACCACTATATTATTTAACTTAGGTTAAATACGATTTGACAAATGGTCAAAAGATGTAGTGGCCTTATTGCAGGGATGCTTAAAATAATGACATTGATGATTTGAAATCATGAGACTTTGGGCATTTAAATTAATTGACAATACTTGTCTCACCTTTGGTCCGAGGTTACATTTCCAATCACATTCAGCGGGACTTGGGGCAGGAGAGGGAGTGAAAGATCTAGGTTTTCCTCTGACTCAGAGGAGCTGCATTCCAGGTTTCCTGGTCAGCTCTACTCCTTCCCTCACCTTCTTAACTTACTAACCATGCCAGGTGTTTTACCTCTGTCATATTCAGTGATCCTCACAGAAGGTGAGAATGTTTGAGGCATGGAAATGCTAACGTGGAAATGTGACCCAGGATCACCCAGATGGGAATGATGGAGCTGCGATTCTAGCCTGGCTCCATGCCCTCTCCAGCACACCCTGCTGTCTCAGCCGGCTCCTATTTCCCCACCTCCTCTTTATTTGATGACATTCTCTAATCAGGGCTGGTGACAGTGAGGCTTAGCACAGCTAATCCCACCCATGGAGAACATATGTGACATCAAAAGGCTGGAAAGAGGCAGAGGAATGGTTCCCAGGAAAGCATGAGCTGTAAGGAGAGGAACTTCCCTGGCAGGCTCAAAGCCCATGCTTTTCCCTGACCTTACCACCCGTGAAGGACCGCATGTGGGCTACACTAGCACTCCCTCTGCCAGGCACGGTGCATCCTCTTACTCAGTTCTCCCCTAAACCTCTAAGCCAGTTCCCGTTGTCATCCCCGTTTTTCAGGGGAGGAGACTGAGACTTAGAGAGGTTAAAGCTCTGATCTAGAACCCCTGCGGGTAAGCAGGAAGGCTGGGATGTGATCCCACATCTGCCCCATGCCATGCCTTGCCACAGCACCATGCTGCCTCCCTCCTTTGGGGCCAACACTTTGTGTCTTCACTGGGTCACATCCCAGGGCCTGGGTTGGGCTGTTCCCCCCCCATCCACTGATGAGATGGCGATGCTGCCTTCCCTGGGTGCTGCTGCCTGGAACATACTCACCATCCTGCCTGTTGCTATTTTCCCTTTTCAGTGTCCTGTGTTTCCTTCTGCTGCTTGGATTCCAGTTCGTCTGCCCACAGCCCTCCACTCAACACAGGAAGGTAAGCCATGGCCATCCAGAGGTTTTCTTCTCTGCCCAAGGGGCTAGGGCCACTGTGGTCACTGCCCTGAACTTTGTTCTGTTTGAAGGTGAGTCACCACTGATCCTGAAAGGAAGCACCATTTACAGAATATGGAGTGTACTATTCTGTTCTCACATTGCTATAAAGAAATATCTGAAACTGGGGAATTTATAAAGAGGTTTTATTGGCCCACAGTTCTGCAGGCTGTACAGGAAGCATGATGCTGGTCATCTGCGTGGCTTCTGTGGAGGCCTCAGGAAACTTACAATTATGGCGGAAGACAAAGGGGGAACAGCACTTCACATGGCTGGAGAAGAAGCAAGAGAGAGAACGGGGAGGTGCCATACACTTTTAAACAACCAGATCTCATGAGAACTCTTTATTGCCATGACTGCACCAAGGGGGATAGTGTTAAACCATGAGGAACTATCCCTATGATCCAATCACCTTCCACCAGGCCCCGCCTCCAATATTGGAGATTACAATTCGACATGAGATTTGGGTGGGGACACAGATCTGAACCATGTCACGGAGCTTAAAACATGAAGCTGGTACCTGCAGTTGGTCTCTGATCTGAGAGCAGTGCCAGCTTTGCAACATGTGTTTGCTAGAATGGACAGTTGAGAGGTCAGTGAGAGCACTCTACAAAGGCATGGGCAGGGCTTAAGGAACCCACTTGGGAATGGAGGAGACCAGTATGGAGCTTTTACCCTCTCTTGGGGCACCTTCAAGGTCAAGGGCAGGGATAGAGCTGCAGCTGTAGCTATGGCTGTTGCTATGCAAGAGAACCCCCTGATAGGGAGTCATGATCTTCAGTAGAGGGACGCAGTCACTGCCAACTGATGGCCGGCAGGGATGGAACTGGAAGATAAGAACCTGGCCTTCTCTTTCCTCTCACCCCTTATTTCCTGCTGGTGACTCCCTTTGGCCAAACCAACCAGAAGACAAGAAGGCTTTGATGCAGTCCCCAAAGGCCAGCCTCCCGGGCCATAGGACTGGGTGGAGAAGGAGCAAATGGACAGTATTGCATATGCTTCCCTTCAGGCTTTGTGTGTTTTATAGTAAATGAACCATCCACCATTGCCTGAACAAGCCTAATGCTGCTCTGCAACTGAGCAGATCCTTGATCAATGTTTCCTTAGAGACAATGCATGATAGGACTCTTAGAAAGTCCCTAGAAGCCCTTTCTGCTACCTAGGAGCTCCTCCTGTTTACCTGGAATCAAATTCAGACTCCTGAGAAGAGATCAGTTATTTGTATCTAAGTGTGAGCAAGTTGGTCGGCTCCTTTTCTGAGAGGGGGTTTTCTTTTTTTTTTTTTTGAGATGGAGTTTCGCTCTTGTCACCCAGGCTGGAGTGCAATGGCACGATCTTGGCTCACTGCAACCTCCGCCTCCTGGGTTCAAGTGATTCTTCTGCCTCATCCTCCCAAGTAGCTGAGATTACAGGCCTGCGCCACCACACCCAGCTGATTTTTTTTGTATGATCAGTAGAGACAGTGTTTCACCATGTTGGCCAGGCTAGTCTCGAACTCCTGACCTCAATCAGGTGATCCACCCACCTCGGCCTCCCAAAGTGCTGGGATTATAGGTGTGAGCCGCTGCACTGGCCTGAGAGAGGGTTTTCATAGGGGAAATTCAGGACAGAAGGGGGCCAAGAAAAAAGAGTATGTGCACATATTTGGCTAAACATGACCCTTCTTGGGAGCAGTTCTTTGCGTTCTTATCTGATTATAGTCTAATTTATTTTCTGTTTGGGCTCTGTTTTTCTGGGCCAGGTATAAACCTCTATTGTACTGTATCTCCCACTAGGATGTCAACTCCGTGAAAGTAGGAACTTACTGGTCTTGTTCATGGCCCTATTCCCAGCTCCTAGAATACAGCCTGGCATGTTGTAGGTGCTCAATAAAATCCTTGTTGAATGACTGACTGAATGGAAAACCTGGCCAAGGTCTAAGCATCATTTCAATGGATTCACCTGGAAATTGGCACCCCCCTCCCCTGCTTACTCTGCTGCATCATCTCTATTCATAATATCAGGAGTCAGAAAGGACAACTGCCTACTTTTATTATGAAGTTATATTATTTATTAATGTTTAGAATTATCAGGGTTGTTAATCCTAAGAGTTGAGTCAATTTACTGTGTTCCTCTTGTTGTTGTTGCTCAAATAGGCTATCATAACGGAAAATACTTTATACGTGATCAATTTACTTTGCTGTCTCCTGTAATTTTTCAAGTTAAGCTGAATGATATGTGCGTAACCTGAACAAAAGGTCCCCAAATAGGTATCACTCTCATCTTTCTTCAAGTGTTTGCTCTGAGAGATGGGGAAAAAAAGATTTATGAGTTATTTTATCATTAAAATTTTTAAATTGACACATAGTAATTATACATATTTATGCATACAATTTGGTGGTATTTTAATACATATGTATTATATAATGATCAAATCAGGGTATTTAGCATTCTAGTCACCTCATGCATTTATCATTTTTTTTTGTGGTGAGAACATTCAAAAGCCTCTCTTCTAGCTATTTTGTCATATATAATACCTTACTGTTAACCATCATCAACCTACTGGGTAATAGAACACCAGAACTTATTCCCCCTATCTATGGTAACTTTGTACCCATTGACCAACCTCTGCCCACTCTCCCCTCTTTTCTTTCCCCTCTTCTCCTCAGTCTCTGGTAACCTCTGTTCTCCTTTCTGCTTCTATATCAACTCTTTTTTTTTTTTTTTTTTTTTTCAGATTCCACATATGAGTGAGATCTGTGGTATTTGTCTTTCTGTGTCGGCTTATTTCACTTTAAACATAATAACCTCCAGGTCCATCCATGTTGTCACAAATGACAAGATTTCATTCTTTTTAATGGACAAATAGTATTTCCATTGTGTATATATACACCACATTTTCTTTTCTGTTCATTTGTTGTTGGACAGTTGGGCTGAATACATACCTTGGTTACTGTGAATAGTGCTGCAGTAAACATAGGGGCACAGATGTTTCTTGAACATTCTGATTTCATTTCCTTTGGATATATATGCAATTGTGGGATTGTTGGATCCTATGGTGGTTCTATTTTTAGTTTATTAAGGAGGCTCCTACTGTTGTTCATGGTGGCTGTACTAATTTACAGTCCTACCCACAGTACGTAAGTGTTCATTTTCTTCCACATCCTTACCAACACTTATCTTTTTTTTTTTTTTTTTTTTTTTGAGATGGAGTCTCACACTGTCTCCTGGGCTGGAGTGCAGTGGCGCGATCTCAGCTCACTGCAACCTCCACCTCCTGGGCTCAAGTGATTCTTCTGCCTCAGCCTCCTGAGTAGCTGGGATTACAGGCATGCGCCACCATATCTGGCTAATTTTGTATTTTTAGTAGAGACGGGGTTTCTCCATGTTGATCAGGCTGGTCTTGAACTCCCGACCTCAGGTGATCTGCCCACCTCGGCCTTCCAAAGTGTTAGGATTACAGGTGGGAGCCACCGCGCCTGGCCAACACTTGTTTTCTTTTGTCATTTTGATGATAGCTGTTCTAACTGGAGGGAGGTGGTATCTCACTGTGGTTTTGGTTTGCATTTCCCTGATGATCAGTGATGTTGAGCATTTCAAAATATATTTTTTGGCCATTTGTATGTTTTCTTTTGATAAATGTCTATTCAGATCATTTGCCTATTTAATCAGATTGTTGAGTTGGTTTTTTTTTTTTGATGTTGAGTTATTTAAGTTCCTTACATATTCTGGATATTAGCCCCTTGTCAGATGTATAGTTGCAAATATTTTCTCCCATTCTGTATGTTGTCTTTTCAGTTTATTGTGGAAATTTACACCCCCTCACTTCACTGTTTCCATTGCTGTGCAGAAGCAAAGTTTGATGTCATTCCATTTGTTTATCTTTGCTTTTGTTTCCTGTGCTTTTGAGATCTTATTTCTAAAATCTTTGCCCAGCCCAGTGTGCTTTATGACACTGAATAAAACCTTATGTTTTGTTTTAGTAGTTTCATAATTTTGGGTTTTATGTTTGAATCTTTAATCCATTTTCAGTTGATTTTAGTAGGTAGGGGTCTAGTCTCTTCTTCTCAGTTGGATATCTAGTTTTCCCAGCATTATTTATTGAAGAGATTGTCTTTTCCTCAATATGTGTTCCTGGCATCTTTGTTGAAAATCAGATGATGTTTGAATTTATTTCTGGGCTCTCTATTCTGTTCCATTGGCCTATATGTCTGCTTTATGCCAGTACCATGCTGCTTTGGTTACTATAGATGTGTAGTATATTTTGAAGTCAGGTTGTGTGATGCTTCCAGTTTTGTTCTTTTTGCTCAGGATTACTGTGCCTATTTGGGGTCTTTTGTGGTTCCATATGAATTTTAGGATTATTTTTTCAATTTCTGTGACTAATGTCATTATTATTTTGATAAGAACTGCATTAAATCTGTAAATTGCTTTGGCTTGTATGGCCATTTTAACAACATTAATTCCTCCAATCTATGAACATGGGTTATTATCCTATTGTTTTTAAAGTTTTCATTGTAGAGCTCTTTCACCTCCTTACTTAAGTTTATTCCTAGGTATCTTATTTTTGTTTGTGTGTACCATTGTTAATGTAATTATTTTCTTGATTTCTTTTTCAGATAGTTTGCAATTAACATATAGAAATGCTACTGATTTTTGAATTTTGATTTTTTGTGTCCTCTGAGAAGAATTTGTTTATTAGTTCTAAGAGTTTTTTGGTAGAGTCTTTAGGGTTTTCTGTATATAAGATTGTGTCATTGCATACAGGGACAATATGATTTCCTTCTTTCCAATTTGGATGCCCTTTATTTTTTTCTCTTGCCTAATTGCTCTGGCTAGGAATTCCTATGTTGATTTGGGTGGTGAAAGTGGGCATCCTTACCTTGTTCCTGTTCTTAGAGGAAAAGGTGAAAGCTTTGCTCAGTATAATGTTAATATAATTTATACTATTCTGTATACATTATCCAGTATAATGTTAGCTGTGACTTTGTCATATACGACCTTTATTGTGTTATGGTACATACCTTCTATACTTAATTTGTTGACAGTTATTATCATGAAGGAATGTTGAATTTTGTCATTTGCTTTTTCTGCATCTTTTGAAATGATCATATGGTTTTTGTCTTTCTTTTTGTTCATGTGGTGTGTCACATGTATTGATTTACATATGTTGAATCATCCTTCCATCCCTGGGATGAATCCCACTTGATATTAGTGAATAATATTTATAATATGCTACTGAATTCAGTTTGCGTCTTGTTGAGAATTTTTGCATCTATGTTCATCAGGAATATTGGCCCATAGTTTTCTTTTTTTTGTTGTATCCTTGTCTGGTTTTGGAATCAGGATAATGCTGGTCTTATAAAATGAGTTTTGAAGTGTTTCCCCTTCCTCAATTTTCTGGAATAGTTTGAAGAGAATTGGTATTGAGTCTTCTTTAAATTGTTTGTAGAATACAGCAGTGAAGCTATCTGGTCCTGGGTTTTATTTTGATTAAAGACTTTTTGTTACTGATTCAACTTCCTTATATGCTATTGATCTCTTCAGGTTTCCTGTCTTTTCATAATTTAATCTTGGTAGGTTGTATACATCCAGGAATTTATCCATTTATTCTGTGTTTTTAAATTTATTGGTGTATAGTTGTTCATAATAGTGTCTTTCTGTGTTATCAGTTGTCATGTCTCCTTTTTCATACCTGATTTTATTTATTTGAGTCTTTTCTCTTTTTTTTCTTAGTGTACCTAAGGTTTGTCAATTTTGTTCACCTTTTCAAAACACAAACTGTTTATTTTGTTGATCTTAAAATTTTTTTTTTTTTAGTATCTTTTGTTCATTTCTGCTCTGAGCTTTATTATTTCCTTCCTTCTAGCAATTTTGGGTTTAGTTTGTTCTTGAGGTTCATGGTTAAATTATTTATTAGAAATATTTCTTGATTTTTGAGGTAGGAGTCACAGGAGGTAATGGAGAAAAGCACCAAAAAACCTATTAACTATTCTTGCTTGTCTCAAGGAAATTAAAATTTCCCTTTTAATTTCTTCATCAACCTACTGGTTGTTTAGAAGCATCTTGTTTAATGTTCATGTATCTGTAAGGTTTTCAAAGTTTTTCTTGTTGGTTTCTAGTTTTACACCATTGTGGAATGAAAAGATACATGTTACATTATCTTTTTAAATTTGTTAAGACTTGTTTTGTGGCCTGACGTGTGATCTAACCTGGGGAATGTTCCATGTGCAATTGAGAAGAATGTGTATTCTGCATCTCTTGGATGGAATGTTCTGTAATTATTTGTTAGGTCCATTTGGTCTATGGTGCAGTGTAAGTCCAGCTTTTCTTTGTTGATTGTCTGTCTAGGTGATCTGTCTGTTGTTGAAAGTGGGGTGTTGAAGCCCCCTTCTACTATTGTATTGCAGTCTATCTCTAATATTGATACAATAATATTTGCTTTATATATTTAGATGCTCCAGTGTTGGGTGCATACGTATTTATAATGATTATATCCTCTTATTGAAGTGACCCCTCTTTCACTATATAATGACCTTCTTTTTACAGTTTTGGATTTAAAGTCTATTTCATCTCATGTAAGAATGGCTGCTCCTGCTTGCCTTTGGTTTCTGTTTGCATGGAATATGTTTTTCTACCTCTTCACTTTCAGTCTGTGTTTGTCTTTAATGGCGAGGTGAGTTTCTTTTAGGCACCATATAGTTGGATCTTGTTTTTTTTTAATCCATTCAGTTACTCTATTTTTTTTAAATTAGAGCATTTAATCCATTTACATTCAAGGTTGTTATTGATAGGTAAGGTTTTCTGTCATTTTGTTGTTTCCTGGTTATTTTGAAGATCCTTTGTTTCTTTCTTCCTTGCTTGTTTACATGTGTGGTTTAGTGGTTTTCTGTGGTGTTAAGCTTTGTTTCTTTTCTCATGTTTATTTGTGTATCTGTTGTAATTTCTTTCTTTGTGGTTACCATGGGGATAGCATAAATAGTCTTAGTTATAATAGACTATTTCAAGCTGAAAACAACTTAACTTTAGTTGCATTAAAGTACTTTACATTTTTCTTTCACCCCCCAATTTGTGTTTTGGTTGCCTTAATTTACATCTGCATCTTTTGTATGTTCCTCAGCCACTAATTGTAGTTGTTTATGTTTTTGACTTTTTTTGGCTTTAAACCTTCATACTAGAGAATTGAAAGATTTACATAACACCATTACAGCACTAGGGTATTCAGAGTATGACTATGGATTTACCCAGACTGGTTTTGTATTTTCACATGTTTTCATGATGGTAATTATTGTCTTGCTGTTTCCAGCTATAGCAATTCTATAAGGATTTCTTGTAAGGCCAGTATAGTAGTGATGAATTCTCTCAGTTTTTGCTTGTCTGGGAAGGTCTTTATTTCCTCTTCATTTCTGAAAAACAGCTTTGCTGGAAATAGTATTCTTACTTGGTTGACAGCTTTTTCTTCTTTCAACACTTTGAATATGTCATCTCATTCTCTCCTGGCCTGAAAGGTTTCTGCTAAAAAAAAAATCTGCTGGTAGTCTAACGGAGATACTCTTGTATGTAACTTGATGTTTTTCTCTTGAAGGTTTTAGAATTCTGTCTTTGACTTTTGGCAGTTTGTTTATAATGTGCCCCAGAGAGGTTTTTTGGGGGTTGTATCTCACTGAAGACCTTTGACCTTCCTGAATGTGGATGTCTGTATCTCTCCCAAGACTTAGAAAATATTGTTGTTGTCGTTAAATAGATTTCCTGTGCCTTTCTCCATTTCTTCTCCTTCTGAAGTCCTATAATGCAAATATTTGTTCCCTTAATGGTGTCCCATAAGTCCCATGTGCTTTCTTTGTTCTTTTTAATTCTTATTTCTTTTTTTCCTTCTGACTGGGTTATTTCAAAAGGCTTGCCTTCAAGTTCAGAAATTCTTTCTTCTGCTTGATCTGGTCTGTTGTTGAAGCTCTTAATTGTATGTTTTAATTCATTCATTAAATTCATTAGCTCTAAGATTTATTTGGTTCTTTTTTGTATATCTGTCTCTTTATTGAATTTCTAATTCGGCTCACGAATTGTTTTCCTGATTTCATTGACTTGTTTGTCTGTGTTCTTTTATATCTTACTGAATTTCCTTAAAATCATTATTATGAATTGCTTTTTGGGCATTTCATAAATAGCCTTTTCTTTGGGGTCAGTTAATGAAGACTTATTATGCTCCTTTAGGGGTATAATATTTCCTTGCTTTTTCATGTTTCTTGTGTCCCTGTGTTGATGTCTGTGCATCTAGTAAAACAGTCATTTTTTTTTTTAAACCTCTGCAATTATTAGTTTATTAGTATCATCCAGGACTCAGATGTTCAGTATTCCTCCTGAAATTACATAAACAAATGCAAATGGAAAGAATCCAAGTCAAAATTATATAACAAAACAGCACTCCATCACAAAAGCGTGTAAAATTATAAGAACGCTATTTTAAAATACTGGCACTTTAAGAAAACGATAATCTCGAAAACCACAAAATTGCCAAATTGTTCCCTAAACTGCTAAGCAGATAAACATGACTAATGATGAGTTTGTTTTGTAAAGAAAAATCATTCAAATAAATTGAATAATTCATACTGAGATGCAAAGTTTAAGTGTCTTCTTTCCTCCTATCTACTTGGATTTATAAAGGGGCAAACCGTAATATAGGAAAATATACCCTATTTTGAATGTGGCATCTTTGTTTGAAAAGCTGGCCCAATTAATTAAAAATACTTGTAATGGAAAGTCTCGTTTCCTGAGCAGTCCATATTTAGATAAATGGGAAAAGACATCTATAGCCAGCATTTTCATAGTCTTCACTGAGACTAATGTCAACAAAAAATTTAATATGGCAGTCTTGTATTTTAAGCTCACGCTTTTGGGGATACATTCTCAGGTCTTCTTTAATGTGGGAACTGCAAAATATAACTGCCATTACATGGTAATGGGAGTTAAAGAATAGAGTCCTCATGTAAAGGTTAGAACATACTTTTCTATTAGTCCTTCAAGGACAGACTTTCAAAATGTTTGATTCTAGTAATCCCATGCTTTGAGTAGATTGATTACTCTTCAGTTTGTAAATGTAAGTGGGCTATGTGAAATTTCTTAACTGATCAAGATTTTGGATGTTCAGTTATGGATGAAAACTATCTCAACTTAACTTTACCCTCATTATGATATGCAGGGTGGGTAGACAAAAGCTTTTTATTAGCTAACTATATGAAAGGATAAACACTGTAATAATTCATGTGATTCAAAATGGGCAAAAGCAAAAGACTAGCTTCCCCTCAAGAAGAAAAATTTCAGACCTATGAAAAGGACAACAATACTAATAAAAAAATTGTATTTACTTAGAAGCATTCAGAATGTCAACAAAACAGCTGCAACTTTTTTTTTTTTTTTTGCAATTACAGAGTGGTATTCAGTTAACAGAACAACAATTATTTCGTATAAGCTGCATCAGAGACAACTGAAGATGAAAAAACTACCATCCCCATATATAACTAATTTGTGCTGTGCACCAACAAGAACCTGCTTTAAATTTCCATGCCAATTTACAACCCCCATACTGTACCAAGCAAGGTTAGTGGCTATTGAAAATACCACCAGGACAGGGCTATCTAAAGACACATTCGGTAGTGTGTTAACTATACAAAAAAAGACACTGTACAGTTTAAAAACAAATCTTACACAGCCTTACATTTCAGTTTTTTTCTTTAAAAGGAGTGAGTTGTGTACAGGGGGGTTAAATGCTTTATAGACAAGAAAAAAAAACTGCGCTAGAACCAACTTATTCATCATCATCATCTTCTTCTTCATCTTCATCTTCTTCATCTTCCTCCTCCTCCTCATCCTCTTCATCTTCCTCATCTTCCTCCTCTTCCTTCTTTTTCTTGCTTTTTTCAGCCTTGACAACTCCCTTTTTTGCTGCATCAGGCTTTCCTTTAGCTCGATATGCAGCAATATCCTTTTCGTATTTTTCCTTCAGCTTCGCAGCCTTCTTTTCATAAGGCTGCTTGTCATCTGCAGCAGTGTTATTCCACATCTCTCCCAGTTTCTTCGCAACATCACCAATGGACAGGCCAGGATGTTCTCCTTTGATTTTTGGGCGATACTCAGAGCAGAAGAGGAAGAAGGCCGAAGGAGGCCTCTTGGGTGCATTGGGATCCTTGAACTTCTTTTTTGTCTCCCCTTTGGGAGGGATGTAGGTTTTCATTTCTCTTTCATAATGGGCCTTGTCCACCTTTGCCATATCTTGAAATTTTCCTTTGTCTTTAGCAGAAATGGTCTTCCACCTCTCTGAGCACTTCTTAGAAAACTCTTGAGAAGTTGACTGAAGCATCTGGGTGCTTCTTCTTATGCTCCTCCCGACGTTTGCACAAAAAATGCATATGATGACATTTTGCCTCTCAGCTTCTTAGGATCTCCTTTGCCCATGTTTAGTTATTTTTCCTCAGCGAGGCACAGAGTCGCCCAGTGCCCGTCCGGCTCTCACTTGCCCTGGCGCTGTCTCTGTGGAGCTCAATGTACTGCCAAAACAGTCATTTTTGTAATTTTATGGATTAACTTTCATAGCAAGAGCCTTTTTCCTGTAAATGGATCCTGGGTTGTTGGTCGGGAATGGTATGTTGACTTTGGTTCTGGGTGGACTCAGTAACATGGTCTCTGTACAGATTTTTCAACTGTAATCTTCATCTGTGGTGTCTGCAATTTTCTCAGTGGCCTAGGCTGCAGGAATTTGTGATGCAGTGGTGCAGGTTTGCTAGTGGTGGGGGTGCCAGGTTGGTTGTCAGGCTAAGCATGTGTGGGTGTGGTGGGCCAGCAGGCTGTTTGGTGGGCTTTCTAGGAAGGTGGAGCCACTGCTGCACTGGCTGTTGAGTTGTGGTGTGGTGTGCTGTGTGGCTGCATGGGGCTCTTTCTGAGCCACCTCCAGTCAGGCTGTCAGGCCAAGGGTGTGTGTGGGGTGCCTGAGTGGTTATGTGGTGCTCTCTCTGTAGGGAGAGGGAGGTGAGACATCTCTAGGCCAGCTATTGAACCAGAGGTGGCTGGGCAGCTGTGCCAGGATCTCACCAGTGGGGTAGAGCCACTTTCAGGCTGGCTGTTATGATGGGTATGAGAGCATATGAGCTGGGTGACTTCACAGGGTTTCCCCACTGTGAAGTTTGCTTATTTCCCTAGGGAATAGGGTACCTGATGAATTCAGATGTTGTGGTCTTGGTTGTTCCTTTAGGCCTAGGCTCTGGGCAGCTGGCGTATTGGTGCTGTAGACTCCCTTATGAATGTACTGGAATGACGGTGGAACCTCAGAGATGGAGGGGATTGGTGGCTACTGACCCCCAACACAAGATGCACTCCAGCAATGGGTCAAGTTTCAAGATGGCACCATGCTATAGCAGCTTAGGTCATGGAGGTTGGAATGCTAAAGTGTTTCCTGTTCTGGGGCAATGCAGCCACATGAACTCCCAGTAACTGTCCACACTGGTTTCTGGTCCTGTGAGGACTGGGAGACCCTTTTATAGCAATGACTGTTCCTGTCTATGGAGGTGATGGGGCAAAGGATTCCAGCTTACTTTTTCCCCGTGAGAAGAAGTTTCCCTGGCTCTGAGCTGGTCCTGGTGGGGGATACCATGTGGCAGAGGGAGGATATCTCACTTCCCTCTCTGTGGTGCTATCCTGGGCTTCCATGCTCTATAGAAATTTTGTTGCTCCCCCGGTGCTTTCCAGTGTACTTCATCAGTAACTCCAGTCAAAGTGTAGTTTATTTATTGTTTTGGTACCTTTTTGTGTCAGGCAACTCTAGTTGGCCATCATGCTGACATCACTCTATAAGTTACTCTAGAATGTTTAATTTAAAAACTGAGCAAAGTGTATCACATCTTGGGATATGGTACCTCCTTGTCAAAGCATTATTAAGAACTTTGTAGTAGAAAGATAGATTAAACTTTTTCTCAGAATCATGTGGAGATTACTTTATATAGAGAACATATATTTTAGAATAGTTTTTCAATATAATAAACGTGTATTTATTATCTTGGCCACCAAGATCATTGCCATTCACTCAAGACAAGAAAGGATTCTCTGGTTTCCTTGGTGGTGAGTTTCTTTTTGATGTTTTATCAGAGCTTTGTGGAACTGTGGTTGTCATCCTGGTTATGTGCTCAAAAACTTGGCAGCAGAAGCAGTACTAGTAGTAGTAACATCCATTTATTCCTGCAAGATGTGAAATGAGGAAATGCTTATTAAAACAGGAGTCAACATGTTTTTAAATAAAGGGTTGTTGAGAATATTTTAGGCTTTCTGTGCTATAAAGTCTGTCACAATTCTTCAACTCTGCTTTTGTAGCACAAAGCCAGCCATAGACAATGTGTAAATGAATAAGCATGGCTGTGTTCCAATAAAACTTTATTTACAAAAACAGGTAGTGAGCTAGATTTGGCCCATGGGGCACAGTTTGCCAACTCTTGCTCTAAAGTCAGGATAGAAAGGTGTTAACTGCAAGTATACGTGTTTTGGAATTTGAAGTGGGAAATTTTCTGCTCCTGGGACTTTAAGAAACACAGAAGATTTTGGGTAAAAGTATTTTTTTCATCAAGGCATAAGACTTACCATTGTGATCAAATTGTTTTCATTACTTAGATAATCATAATTCAATTTTTGCTGACCCACTGTTTTGTGGCAAAATCTACTCACAATCTTTAGCAGACAGCTGGGGCATAAAGAATTAGAAAACCATTTATGGTAAATTCTTAAGGGACAACATTATTAATTTGTGTACACTGTAGTTTAGTATGTATATGAAAACTGCTACTAAAAGACATCACTTTTTTTCTCAATACAATGGTGTGTCCAACTTTAGCATATGGAAGCATTTCTACAGTGTAAGTTATTCTGAGGAAAAGACATAATTTGTAAATGCTGTCAAGTAAACTATGCATTTCCAAATGCTGCTCAGGTGACTTGATACATCTCTGCAAAAACTGTCCCACAACAGTGCAGGAAAAGAGGACGCTGGTACAGAGTTTAAGTAGCTCTTTCCAGATGTTTCTGCCCAGAAGTCGTCCTCATGTTCCTGCAATATGAACAGTATCACAAAGAACTATTCAACTTCCATTCTTGGCAATTAATTAAAGATACTTGGCAAATGACTACATTTTTAAAACTTTCTGTGGCTTCATTTGTGGATAAAGTGAAACCAAGAGTAGGAAAAAACTTGAGCAAGACTTTAATAAAACAATAAGTTATTAGTAAGGGAAAATATGTCGATTGTAGAATGCTTTAAAATTAATGAACTATTCTACTGTCTGCCTAGCAGACACTCCATGAACAAGTTTTTTTACAAGTCATAATGTGTATGGTCAACATACTGTATGCAGGAAAGATTGTGAGACATTGTATTTTTTAGCTCCACATATGAAAAATCACACATACACTTTAATCACAACTGCTCAAACTTTTTTTTTGTTAACTTTTTAAATTAAAAATATTTATGTTTATTATAGAGAATTTAGAAACAATGAAAGCTACAGGAACTAAAAACTCATTGTCACGGCCACCAGCCAAGGGGAACTGCTTTTTTAACCTGTTATTTATAGAAACTCTAAGAGAACAGAGATACTGCAGAATGAAGTAAGGGTGAGGTAAAATATTTGTGTTGCTAACTGATAAGCAGGTCACGATGCAAACAGCAGAGGACCTCGTGATGGGTTACAGGCACTATTAATGCGGTAGGATGTGCAACCAGTGACTTCAAATTGCCCCTTGACAATGTCTTGCAGTTGGATATTGAACAGAAAGCCTATAGAAGGGGAAAAAAATTTTAGGCTACATAAAACTCAAATTATTGCTGCTATATTCAATAAGAAGAAAGGAAAAAACAGTAATGCTCCTAGAGGAAAACATTTGAGAATAGCTTCGTAATTTGATGTAGGCAAAGGTTTCTTAAACAAGACACAAAAATCAGTAACCATAAAATTGTACTACATTCGAGTCGAGGTTGTTTAAAAATTGAAACACATCATAAAAACAGTGAAAAGATACGCCATGGACAGGGTAAAGATGTTTACAACAATATATTTGGTAAAAGATTTTTATTCAGAATATATAAAGAACCCCTTCAGATCATTAAGAAAAAGTTAAGCCAGTCAATTTAAATGGCTTAAACAGACAGTTCATGTGAGATGATATCCAAATGGCTGATAAGCATATGAAAAGGTAGTCAATCAAAATCATTAGTCCTTAGGTAACTACAAATTAAAATCTCAGTGTGACACTACCAGAATGGCTAAAATAAAAAACACTACCAGTGTTGGTGAGGATAGGAAGCAATTGGAACTTTCATACACTGCTGGTGGGAGTTTAAATGGTAAACCACTTTGAAAAACTGTCAGTGTATCTTAAAGCTAAACATTGCCCATGCTATGATCTGGCTACTGTATTCCTAGGTATTTACCCAAGATAAATATGGACATATATCCACCAAAACACATGGATAACAATATTCAGAGTAGTTTCCTTTACAATAAAGCTAAACTGGAAATAACCCAAAAGTCCATCAATAAGAGAATGGAGAAATACATTATAGTGTGTTTATACAAGAGAACACCAAACAACAATAAGGAAAAAATAACTTGTTTCTAGCCAAGATGGAGCACCAGGGATTGGATTTACCTTCTCACTTGAAACAACCAAAAATACCCAGATAACATATATGAAATAATGTTTTTCAAAACCTTGGACTTTAGACAACAAAAGATAGTTATCACTCAGAGATAGAAAATAAATGAATTGAGTCATAAAATGTCCCCAGCTTACTGCCTTGAGAGTTTCCTGGTCTTGGTGCAGGGAGGGGTATGCTAGGCAGAACCTGTTAGACATCTTGAGTTAAGGAGATAGACTTAAGAGTCCAGCAAGATGGCCAGGCATGGTGGCTCAAGCCTGTAATCCCAGCATTTTGGAAGGCCAAGGCAGGCGGATCACCTGAGGTCAGGAGTTCAAGACCAGACTGGCCAACATGGTGAAACCCCATCTCTACCAAAAGTACAAACGTTAGCCAGGCATGATGGTGAGTGCCTGTAATCCCAGCTACTCGGGAAGCTGAAGCGGGAGAATCTCTTGAACCCAGGAGGCGGAAGTTGCAGTGAGCCGAGATCTCACTGGGCAACAGAGTGAGACTTTGTCTTGGAAAAAAGAAAAAGAGTCCAGCAAGACCAAGTGATGATGGTCTGCAGGATAGAGTACCAGAGAGGAGAGAACTACACAGACAGAAGACTGTGGAGCTCTGCAGGAGATCCTCCATAAGGATGCAGCATACTACTGATCAGCACACACATTTGAGGAAACAATCTGAGGTTGAGGAAAGAATCATCCAAGAGAATGAAAAAGAACAGTGCCCAGCATTCATTCAGGACCAAGAACAGTGACTGTTCCCACTAGGCATACTTTAAAAACTCATAATCCAGGAGGCATTGAATAGAATACTCAGGAAGCTCTCACCTCAGTATTGGGGGAATAGTTAACCCTAGACTGTGTCCTGCTCTGGATCTAACAAATTAAAACAGCAGTAATGAAATGATTAATCTGTTTCTAAATAACTTAACTGTATCCTAGCATAAAGTATGGGAATATAAAAATATCCAGCACCCAACAAGGTAAAATTCAAGATGTCTAGCATTTAGTCAAAGGTTACCAGGCTTGCACAGAAGCAGAAAAATATTAACATTATTCCCCATAATGAGGAGAATAATCACTGAATTGAAAGCAATTCAGAACTGGCACATATTTTAGAATATGAAAACAAAGATATTAAAAATTACTAAAACCATATTCCATATATTCATAAAGTTAAGTAGAGGCATGGAAGATATTAAAAAGACACCCAAATCTAACTTCTTGAGATGAAAATGACAAGATCTGAGATGAAAAATATACTGGATGGGATTAATGGCAGATTAGACATTGCAGAAGAAAAAAACAAGTGAACTTGAAGATATTGCAGTAGAAACTCTCCAAAGTGAAATATAAAAAGGAAAAATAGAATTTAAAAAAGATGAACAGAGCATCAGTGAACTCTGAGACAACTTCAGGTTGGCTAATACATGGGCAATTAGAGTACCAAAAGGAGAAGAGATAGGGAGACAGAAAAAATATTTGAAGAAATAATAGAAAAGTTTCCAAACTTGATGAAAACTATGAATCCAAGAATGTCAATGAACTCCAAGCACTAGAAGCATGAAAAAAAATGGCATCAAGTCACATCATAATCAAATTGCTCAAGACCACTGGTACAGAAAAAAATTTAAAAAGCCCTTAGAAAAAATAGACATATTACATATATGGGAACAAAGTTAAGAATGACAGTAGATTCTCTGCCTCCTGTCATTCATGCAAGTGAAGCAACATCTTTAAAGTACTAAAAGAATAAAATTGTTAACCTAAAATTTCATACCCAGCAAAAATATCTTTTAAAAATGAAGGTAAAATAAAGACATTTTCAGACATACAAATGCTACACTACACCTGCCCCATAAGAATTGTTGAAGGAAGTTCTTTAGGCAGAAGGAAGATATCAGGTGGAAATATGGATCTTCTCAAAGGAATGACTGCACCAGAAATGATAGCTACATAGGTAACTATATTTTAAAAGTTTCTCCTAAATTAAGCATCTTTTAAAGATTGACTCTTTAAATACAAATAATAATCATCTGTTGTAGGGTTTATAATATGTGTATAAGTAAATTATGTATGACAGTAATAGTATAAATGCCAGAAAAGGATAAATTAAGGAGGTGAAAAACTTGTCCAATGAAAACTACAAAGCATTGCTGAAAGAAATTAAAGAAGTCATAAATAAGTATAAAGACATGCCATGTTCATGAATTGGAAGACGATCATAAAAGGAAGTATGATATTATAAGGTTCTTTTTATAATGCATGTAAAATGGTATCACGTTACTTGAAGGTATACTGTGGTAAGTTAAAGATGTAAGTTATAAACCTCAAAGAAGCCATCAAAGTGACAAAATGAAGCATTTTAGCTTATATGCCAAAAATGAAATAAAATGGAATCCTAAAAATATTCAAATATCGCCTGTAATCCCAGCACTTTGGGAGTCTGAGGTGGGTGGATCACCTGAGGTCAGGAGTTCGAGACCAGCCTGGCCAACATAGCAAAACCCGTCTCTATTAAAAATATGAAAATTAGCTGGGTGTGGTGGCACGCGCCTGTAATCCCAGCTACTTAGTAGGCTGAGGCAGGGGAATTGCTTGAACCTGGGAGGCAGAGGTTGCAGTGAGCCGAGATCATGCCACTGCACTCCAGCCTGGGTGACAGAGTGAAACTCTGTCTCAAAAAAAAATAATTATAAATTCAAATAAATGGATAAATGTATGATGTTTATGGTTCAAGAAACTCAATATTGTTAAGATAACCATTCTCTTCAAATTGACCTATAGATTTAACACAATTCCAATAAAATTCTTAGCAGACTTTTAATATAAATTGACAAACTGATGATTAAAAATTCTTATGAAAATGTAGAAGCCCTAAAATAGCCAAAACAAATTTCAGAAAGAAGAAGAAAATTGCAAGACTTGTACTCCATAATATTTATATTATTAGCTCCAGTAATCAAGATAGCATGTTATTGGTGTAAAGATAGGCAAATAGATAATGGAACAGAATACAGCATGAAAATAGACCTATACATATATATATATATATATATATATATATATATATATATATATATATATATATGTGGACAATTGATTTTTTATAAAGGAGAAAGGTAGTCTTTTTAACAAATAATGCTGAAACAATTGGATATCTATGTGCAAAAACATGAACTTCAATCTGTATCTTGTACAATATACGAAAACTAACTCAGACTCAACAATCTAAGAATAGAAGGAAATTACCCCAACATAATAAAGACCATATAAGAAAAACCTACGGTGAACATCATACTCAATGGTGAAAGCAAAAACAATACAAGGATGCCCACTTTTGCCACTTCTATTTAACACAGCACTGGAAGTTCTAGGAGAAGCAATTAGGCAAGAAAAAGAAATAAAAGGCTTCCAAATTGGAAATGAAGAAGGAATACTTTTTCTCTTCACAGATGATATGATCTTGTATGTTAAACCCTAAAATATCTGTAAAAAGATTGTTAGAACTAATAAATGAATTCACCAAAGTAGCAGGATACAAGGTCAACATGCAAAAATCAATTGCATTTCTATACACTGAAAAGATCAATCTGAAAAGCAAATAAAGTAAACAATTCTATTTACAGTAGCATTGAAAAAAATAAAGAACTTGGTGATTAACTTAATCAAGGAGGTGAAAACTTGTATAATGAAAACTAGAAAGCATTGCTGAAAGAAATTAAAGAAGACATAAATAAGTATAAAGATATCCCATGTTCATGAATTGGAAAACTTAATATTGTTAAAATATCAGTACTATGCAAAGCAACCTATGGATTCAATGCAATTCCTATAAAAATCCCAGTTGTTATTGGTGTAAAGGTAGGCAAATAGATAATGGAATAGAATAGAGCATAAAAATAGACCTACACACACACACACATATATATATATATATATATACATTTTTATATATATATGGACAATTGATTTTTATACATATATATGGACAATTTTCTATTTCAAAGAAATAGAAAAAAGCCATTCTGAAATTTATATGGAGTCTCAAAGGACCCCAAATAGTCAAGATAATCTTGAAAAAATAACAAAGTTGGAGGACTCATACTTTCTGATTTCAAAACTTACTGCAGAGCTATAGTAACCAAAACAGTGTGACACTGACAGCCATGGAGACCAATGGAATAGAATAGAGAGCCCAGAATTAAACCCTAGAATATATGATCAAATGATTTTTGACAATGGTGCCAAGACCATTCGATGGGAAAAGATGTCGTGTATAAAAATTAACTCAAAATGGATGAAACATCTAAATGTAAAACCTGGAACTATAAAACTCTTAGAAGAAAATGTAGAGCAAAATCTTCATGATATTAGTTTTGGCAGTGATTTCTTGGATATGACACCAAAGGCACCAGGAACAAAAGAAAAATAGCCAACTGGACTTCATGAAAATTAAAATTTTGTGCCTTAAAAAGACACTATCGAGCAGAAATAGGAGCCAAGATGGCCGAATAGGAACAGCTCCGGTCTACAGCTCCCAGCGTGAGCGACGCAGAAGACGGGTGATTTCTGCATTTCCATCTGAGGTACCGGGTTCATCTCACTAGGGAGTGCCAGACAGTGGGCGCAGGCCAGTGTGTGCGCGCGCCGAAGCAGGGCGAGGCATTGCCTCACCTGGGAAGCGCAAGGGGTCAGGGAGTTCCCTTTCCGAGTCAAAGAAAGGGGTGATGGACGCACCTGGAAAATCGGGTCACTCCCACCCGAATATTGCGCTTTTCAGACCGGCTTAAGAAACGGCGCACCACGAGACTATATCCCACACCTGGCTCAGAGGGTCCTACGCCCACGGAATCTCGCTGATTGCTAGCACAGCAGTCTGAGATCAAACTGCAAGGCGGCAACGAGGCTGGGGGGAGGGGCGCCCGCCATTGCCCAGGCTTGCTTAGGTAAACAAAGCAGCCCGGAAGCTCGAACTGGGTGGAGCCCACCACAGCTCAAGGAGGCCTGCCTGCCTCTGTAGGCTCCACCTCTGGGGGCAGGGCACAGACAAACAAAAAGACAGCAGTAACCTCTGCAGACTTAAGTGTCCCTGTCTGACAGCTTTGAAGAGAGCAGGGGTTCTCCCAGCACGCAGCTGGAGATCTGAGAACGTGCAGACTGCCTCCTCAAGTGGGTCCCTGACCCCTGACCCCGAGCAGCCTAACTGGGAGGCACCCCCCAGCAGGGGCACACTGACACCTCACAAGGCAGGGTATTCCAACAGACCTGCAGCTGAGGGTCCTGTTTGTTAGAAGGAAAACTAACAAACAGAAAGGACATCCACACCGAAAACCCATCTGTACATCACCATCATCAAAGACAAAAAGTAGATAAAACCACAAAGATGGGGAAAAAACAGAACAGAAAAACTGGAAACTCTAAAACGCAGAGCGCCTCTCCTCCTCCAAAGGAACGCAGTTCCTCACCAGCAACAGAACAAAGCTGGATGGAGAATGATTTTGACGAGCTGAGAGAAGAAGGCTTCAGACAATCAAATTACTCTGAGCTACGGGAGGACATTCAAACCAAAGGCAAAGAAGTTGAAAACTTTGAAAAAAATTTAGAAGAATGTATAACTAGAATAACCAATACAGAGAAGTGCTTAAAGGAGCTGATGGAGCTGAAAACCAAGGCTCGAGAACTACGTGAAGAATGCAGAAGCCTCAGGAGCCGATGCGATCAACTGGAAGAAAGGGTATCAGCAATGGAAGATGAAATGAATGAAATGAAGCGAGAAGGGAAGTTTAGAGAAAAAAGAATAAAAAGAAATGAGCAAAGCCTCCAAGAAATATGGGACTATGTGAAAAGACCAAATCTACGTCTGATTGGTGTACCTGAAAGTGATGTGGAGAATGGAACCAAGTTGGAAAACACTCTGCAGGATATTATCCAGGAGAACTTCCCCAATCTAGCAAGGCAGGCCAACGTTCAGATTCAGGAAATACAGAGAACGCCACAAAGATACTCCTCGAGAAGAGCAACTCCAAGACACATAATTGTCAGATTCACCAAAGTTGAAATGAAGGAAAAAATGTTAAGGGCAGCCAGAGAGAAAGGTCGGGTTACCCTCAAAGGGAAGCCCATCAGACTAACAGTGGATCTCTCGGCAGAAACCCTACAAGCCAGAAGAGAGTGGGGGCCAATATTCAACATTCTTAAAGAAAAGAATTTTCAACCCAGAATTTCATATCCAGCCAAACTAAGCTTCATAAGTGAAGGAGAAATAAAATCCTTTACAGACAAGCAAATGCTGAGAGATTTTGTCACCACCAGGCCTGCCCTAAAAGAGCTCCTGAAGGAAGCGCTAAACATGGAAAGGAACAACCGGTACCAGCCGCTGCAAAATCATGCCAAAATGTAAAGACCATCGAGACTAGGAAGAAACTGCATCAACTAATGAGCAAAATCACCAGCTAACATCATAATGACAGGATCAAATTCACACATAACAGTATTAACTTTAAATATAAATGGACTACATTCTGCAATTAAAAGACACAGACTGGCAAGTTGGATAAAGAGTCAAGACCCATCAGTGTGCTGTATTCAGGAAACCCATCTCACGTGCAGAGACACACATAGGCTCAAAATAAAAGGATGGAGGAAGATCTACCAAGCCAATGGAAAACAAAAAAAGGCAGGGGTTGCAATCCTAGTCTCTGATAAAACAGACTTTAAACCAACAAAGATCAAAAGAGACAAAGAAGGCCATTACATAATGGTAAAGGGATCAATTCAACAAGAGGAGCTAACTATCCTAAATATTTATGCACCCAATACAGGAGCACCCAGATTCATAAAGCAAGTCCTGAGTGACCTACAAAGAGACTTAGACTCCCACACATTAATAATGGGAGACTTTAACACCCCACTGTCAACATTAGACAGATCAACGAGACAGAAAGTCAACAAGGATACCCAGGAATTGAACTCAGCTCTGCACCAAGCAGACCTAATAGACATCTACAGAACTCTCCACCCCAAATCAACAGAATATACATTTTTTTCAGCACCACACCACACCTATTCCAAAATTGACCACATAGTTGGAAGTAAAGCTCTCCTCAGCAAATGTAAAAGAACAGAAATTATAACAAACTATCTCTCAGACCACAGTGCAATCAAACTAGAACTCAGGATTAAGAATCTCACTCAAAGCCGCTCAACTACATGGAAACTGAACAACCTGCTCCTGAATGACTACTGGGTACATAACGAAATGAAGGCAGAAATAAAGATGTTCTTTGAAACCAACGAGAACAAAGACACCACATACCAGAATCGCTGGGACACATTCAAAGCAGTGTGTAGAGGGAAATTTATAGCACTAAATGCCTACAAGAGAAAGCAGGAAAGATCCAAAATTGACACCCTAACATCACAATTAAAAGAACTAGAAAAGCAAGAGCAAACACATTCAAAAGCTAGCAGAAGGCAAGAAATAACTAAAATCAGAGCAGAACTGAAGGAAATAGAGACACAAAAAACCCTTCAAAAAATCAATGAATCCAGGAGCTGGTTTTTTGAAAGGATCAACAAAATTGATAGACCACTAGCAAGACTAATAAAGAAAAAAAGAGAGAAGAATCAAATAGACACAATAAAAAATGATAAAGGGGATATCACCACCGATCCCACAGAAATACAAACTACCATCAGAGAATACTACAAACACCTCTACGCAAATAAACTAGAAAATCTAGAAGAAATGGATACATTCCTCGACACATACACTCTCCCAAGAATAAACCAGGAAGAAGTTGAATCTCTGAATAGACCAATAACAGGCTCTGAAATTGTGGCAATAATCAATAGTTTACCAACCAAAAAGAGTCCAGGACCAGATGGATTCACAGCCGAATTCTACCAGAGGTACAAGGAGGAACTGGTACCATTCCTTCTGAAACTATTCCAATCAATAGAAAAAGAGGGAATCCTCCCTAACTCATTTTATGAGGCCAGCATCATTCTGATACCAAAGCCGGGCAGAGACACAACCAAAAAAGAGAATTTTAGACCAATATCCTTGATGAACATTGATGCAAAAATCCTCAATAAAATACTGGCAAACCGAATCCAGCAGCACATCAAAAAGCTTATCCACCATGATCAAGTGGGCTTCATCCCTGGGATGCAAGGCTGGTTCAATATACGCAAATCAATAAACATAATCCAGCCTATAAACAGAACCAAAGACAAAAACCACATGATTATCTCAATAGATGCAGAAAAAGCCTTTGACAAAATTCAACAACCCTCCATGCTAAAAACTCTCAATAAATTAGGTATTGATGGGACGTATTTCAAAATAATAAGAGCTATCTATGACAAACCCACAGCCAATATCATACTGAATGGGCAAAAACTGGAAGCATTCCCTTTGAAAACTGGCACAAGACAGGGATGCCCTCTCTCACTGCTCCTATTCAACATAGTGTTGGAAGTTCTGGCCAGGGCAATCAGGCAGGAGAAGGAAATAAAGGGTATTCAATTAGGAAAAGAGGAAGTCAAATTGTCCCTGTTTGCAGACGACATGATTGTTTATCTAGAAAACCCCATCGTCTCAGCCCAAAATCTCCTTAAGCTGATAAGCAACTTCAGCAAAGTCTCAGGATACAAAATCAATGTACAAAAATCACAAGCATTCTTATACACCAACAACAGACAAACAGAGAGCCAAATCATGAGTGAACTCCCATTCACAATTGCTTCAAAGAGAATAAAATACCTAGGAATCCAACTTACAAGGGATGTGAAGGACCTCTTCAAGGAGAACTACAAACCACTGCTCAAGGAAATAAAAGAGGACACAAACAAATGGAAGAACATTCCATGCTCATGGATAGGAAGAATCAATATCGTGAAAATGGCCATACTGCCCAAGGTAATTTACAGATTCAATGCCATCCCCATCAAGCTACCAATGACTTTCTTCACAGAATTGGAAAAAACTACTTTAAAGTTCATATGGAACCAAAAAAGAGCCCGCATCGCCAAGTCAATCCTAAGCCAAAAGAACAAAGCTGGAGGCATCACACTACCTGACTTCAAACTATACTACAAGGCTACAGTAACCAAAACAGCATGGTACTGGTACCAAAACAGAGATATAGATCAATGGAACAGAACAGAGCCCTCAGAAATAATGCCGCATATCTACAACTATCTGATCTTTGACAAACCTGAGAAAAACAAGCAATGGGGAAAGGATTCCCTATTTAATAAATGGTGCTGGGAAAACTGGCTAGCCATATGTAGAAAGCTGAAACTGGATCCCTTCCTTCCACCTTATACAAAAATCAATTCAAGATGGATTAAAGATTTAAACGTTAGACCTAAAACCATAAAAACCCTAGAAGAAAACCTAGGCATTACCATTCAGGACATAGGCGTGGGCAAGGACTTCATGTCCAAAACACCAAAAGCAATGGCAACAAAAGCCAAAATTGACAAATGGGATCTAATTAAACTCAAGAGCTTCTGCACAGCAAAAGAAACTACCATCAGAGTGAACAGGCAACCTACAACATGGGAGAAAATTTTCGCAACCTACTCATCTGACAAAGGGCTAATATCCAGAATCTACAATGAACTCAAACAAATTTACAAGAAAAAAACAAACAACCCCATCAAAAAGTGGGCGAAGGACATGAACAGACACTTCTCAAAAGAAGACATTTATGCAGCCAAAAAACACATGAAGAAATGCTCATCATCACTGGCCATCAGAGAAATGCAAATCAAAACCACTATGAGATATCATCTCACACCAGTTAGAATGGCAATCATTAAAAAGTCAGGAAACAACAGGTGCTGGAGAGGATGTGGAGAAATAGGAACACTTTTACACTGTTGGTGGGACTGTAAACTAGTTCAACCATTGTGGAAGTCAGTGTGGCGATTCCTCAGGGATCTAGAACTAGAAATACCATTTGACCCAGCCATCCCATTACTGGGTATACACCCAAAGGACTATAAATCATGCTGCTATAAAGACACATGCACACGTATGTTTATTGCGGCACTATTCACAATAGCAAAGACTTGGAACCAACCCAAATGTCCAACAATGATAGACTGGATTAAGAAAATGTGGCACATATACACCATGGAATACTATGCAGCCATAAAAAATGATGAGTTCATGTCCTTTGTAGGGACATGGATGAAATTGGAAATCATCATTCTCAGTAAACTATCGCAAGAACAAAAAACCAAACACCGCATATTCTCACTCATAGGTGGGAATTGAACAATGAGATCACATGGACACAGGAAGGGGAATATCACACTCTGGGGACTGTGGTGGGGTCGGGGGAGGGGGGAGGGATAGCATTGGGAGATATACCTAATGCTAGATGACGAGTTAGTGGGTGCAGCGCACCAGCATGGCACATGTATACATATGTAACTAACCTGCACAATGTGCACATGTACCCTAAAACTTAGAGTATAATAAAAAAAAAACATTAAAAAAAAAAAAAATAAAAAAAAAAAAAGACACTATCAACAGAGTATAAAGGCAACCCACAGAACGGGAGAAAGTATTTGCAAATCATATATCTGATAAGGGATTGATATCCAGAGTATATAGAGAACTTACAAAATTCAACAACGAAGCAGACAACATGATTCATAAATGGGCAAAGGACTTGAATAGACGTTTCTCCAAAGAAGATATGCAAATGTCCAATAAGCACATTAAAAGATGCTCAATGTTTAGGAGGGATGATAGTAAGGGAAGAAATGAAGGTTACCAACGGCTACAAAAACTTTTGGGTGATGGATATGTGCATTATCTGATTGTGGTGGTGGTTTCAGGGGGGAATACATATGAGAAAACTTATCAAATTGTATGCTTCAAATATGTAATTGATTATGTGTCAATTATACCTCAATGAAACTGTTAAAAATGAACTACTGATATAAGCAACAACCGAAATAATTTCAGAGCCATTATATTGACAATAAGAAGCCAGATGTAAAAGTATGTACAGTATCATTCCATGTATATTTAGTTCAAGTATAGACAAAGATAGTTTTTGATGAAAATAAAATCAGAATAGTGGATACCAACAGGGGGTGAGGGTGGCTATTCAATAGTGAGGGGCATGAGGGAACCTTCCAGGGTGTTGGAAATATTCTAAGTCTTGAGCAGGGTTGGGATTACATGGATCTTAAAAGTATAAGAATTCATACATTTACAGTGAGCATACTTGGTGTACTTTATGTATGTTATACCTCAATTAAAAAAAAAGAGGAGAAGGAAAAGGAGGAAGAAGACAGTGCAGTGAATCAAATACCAGTACTGAAATGGCAATAAAAGTCTCTGGAACAGTGTGAGATTGTCCCTTGGGAGTGACCAGAAAACAAAGATGCTCTTTAAAGAATAGCACAGGGCGTGCACTCATTTGAGGGTGTCCAGCCCAGAACCCCTACAGAATTGGAAGCTGATTCTAAAGCAGACACTGTGTCTCTTCCAGCTGGTGTTTGTCAAGCCTTCCGTTTCTAATGGCATAAATATAACTGACTGCTGCTGAAAAATTAAGAGCATTTCTACTTATGAAAAAAATAAACTGGAGTAAAGAGACCTTATTAAGAAAAGAATTTCAGTGTTCACTAATTTGTGCTGCTCTAAATTTCTTGGATTCAAAGTCAACAGCAGAAAAATCTAATTTGCTTCTATTAAAAATGGAGCAATAAGCTTAAAACTTTGTGTTTGTGTTTGGAAGGCCCTTTACAATGTTGCAGAAGGAGAACATCTTCAGGCTTTTAGTTTGGGAATAATGGTACGGTCCTGGCATCTTAGCCTCTTCTTTGTTTAGGGCCAGGATTCCCCTTCAAATCTCTGACTTCTTTCTGAGTATGCTTGTACCCATGAGTTGAAGGCAAAAAGTGGAACATAGAAGGAACATCTCTGTCAATGCTTATGGACTTCTCCACTGTGGACAGAGTCCCTCTTTGCCATCCCCAGCTTTGGCTGACTTGACTTTAATTGGTATTTCATTCTCCCATCCTAGTGGTATCTACCAACTCTCTCCTGTGGAGGAGTCTTGGTCCTGGCCATCCTAGTGTTAACCTGGTGACAGGAAGACCAGAAAGAAGCCATAATCATTCCTCTTCCATCAAGGCAGATCTGCCTGACTCCTGTTGTTAACTCTTGCCTCCTTCACATCCCTCCATCTCTAGATTGTGAAAGGAGTTGTCCTCTGGTGGGTGATCTCCAAATCAAGAAATGAAATATGAGACCTAAAAAAATCTTGGGTCACAGATTCTGTTTGCAGAAGATGTTGAGAGATCATCAGAGGAAGCGGACACTGGGGATGATGTAAGCTGGAGACACAAGGATAACTGGGGCTACCAGCCCCATTTTTTTATGGCAAAAATGATATACATTGACTTTTGAGTGTTCCTTCTCTATGACACCCTCTGCCCTGATTTCTTAAAGAACTCTTTTTGGTATTTAATCACTACTAAGTTCAAGGGCAAAAAACCTTTGTTTTTCTATATATGAATATTTCTTTTGTTCTAGAGTTTGCCTGCTTCACAGAAACCCACACAATCTGAGTGTATAAATTCCTTCCTTTGGACGTTTGTCATTCCATTTATAGCAATATTGAAAAATAAATACATTATAAATTTGTTATTAGTGTCTGAACAAACTCTACTCTGGTACCCATATCTTAAATGTGGTCTTCTTATAAATAAACCCAAGTTATACAGAGTAGATATTTTTGTGCGCTTCAACCATAATGAAGTGACTTTAGGACTATAAATGGTTCTAAGAAAAAATGAGTATTTTATGTACTTTAATTTTTTTCTCAAAATTTCCATTCCCTCCCACACTTATACACATAAAACCCAAACCATAAAAAGGTGTTTTTTAAATAACTTCTAAATTCCCACTATGTTATGTTTCCAGGCCACATTACAGTTAAAACAAAGTTTTGACAGACAGAATAACTTATCACTTAGGCCACAAATCTTAGTCTTTGGGGAGCAAAATGAATCATAGCACAGTCTTCTGGGCACTGTCTTTGTATGTTAGTGGTCTATCTTTTCCTCCCAGTGATGATGTGATCTGATTTTTGATGATGTAGGAATTTGGCAAGTGGAGCCTTCCCATGTCAGCTGTCTTCCTTCCCTACCAAGGATGCACACTCCTTGGTTAGTTTGGAGAAACAGAGCAGAAGTCAATGTCCTTTTGTTCCTAATTGTATTCTCTTTGTATTTTTTTATACATTTGATGCATGCTTTTGCTTATAGCCATGTCCATTTATTTTTCCCCATTAACTCATCACACATGTATCAAGGGCCTACCATGTGAACCTGGACTCTGTATTAGTCTGTTCTCATGCTACTAATGAAGACATACCGGAGACTGGGTAATTTATAAAGGAAAGAGGTTTGATTGACTCACAGTTCCACATGGTTGGGGAGGCCTCCCAATCATGGCGGAAGGCAAAGCAGGAGCGAAGGAATGCCTTACATGGCGGCAGGCAAGAGAGTGCTTGTGGAGGGGAAATCCCATCTGTAAAACCATCGGATCTTGTGAGACTTAATTCACTACCACGAGAATAGTACGGGGGAAACTGCCCCAGGATTCAGTTACCTCCCACTGAGTCCCTCCCACGACATGTGGGAATTACGAGAGCTACAATTTAGAATGAGATTTGGATGGGGACACAGCGAAACCATAGCAGACTCTGAAGCCAGATTGCCTGGTTAATACCTCAGTTCTACTGCTTAGTAATTCTGGACCTTGGGCAAGGTCCAGTGCCTCAGTTTCCTCATCTGTAAAATGAGGGTGATAATAGTACCTATCACGTAGGTTGTCTTGAGGATTGCATGAGTTACAGATAAGGGGTTTAGAATGTTGTCTGACTCATAGTAAATACTATATAGGTGGTGGTGTTACTGTTGTTGCTGCAACACATGCCAGGCCATGGAATTTACCTTGCTGGCACATAAACGTCCCTAAGACCAAACTCTTTAAAGTTGGGTACCCAAACATGTTTCTTCTCAAGGTACTTTCCTTCTATCTACCCAGGCCTGATTTATCCACATCAGAGTTCCCCAGCCTTGAAACTGTTGGTTTTGTGGACCAGATAATTATTTCTTGTGGGATTGTCCTGTGAGCCGTTAGAATTTTAGCAGCATCCATGGTCTCTACCCAATAGATGCCAGTAAGAAACTCTTGCGTTGTGACAAGCAAAAAATGTCCCAGACTTTGCCGAATGTCCCTCTGGGGACAAAGTTGCCTGCAGTTTTGAGAACCATCTATTTAAACTGGTAAATCCGCCTGCAGAGGTGGCACTATAGCTGCCCCCTGCATTCTAAGGTGGCTGCTGGTTACATGTTGTCATCTTCTCTTTTCCCTGGGCTTGTTTTTGAAGAGTCATGTTAGATCTGCCTCTTAAACCACATGTTTGGAGGCACAGGGTCATTCCTGCTGTTACACTGAGGTTTCTGTAGTAGGAGGGGCTCCTCTTTAAAGTATTCTCCCTCTTCTCAATCTCAGGATTCTCTGGAAAGAGGAAGAAAGCACATAGCCTTCTTCAGACTTCTGATTGTGGCTACCCTTGAAGACAAGCCTCCCAGCCTTTGTAGCTTAAGGAATTTACTGCTTATCACTACGGAAAAGAAGCAGGTGTCCCAAAATCTCACACTTGGGAAATCTTGCTGTGTGAGATGGGACAGCATGGTCCTTGGTCCAGGTTCTCCATGCCCCGTGCCCTTGTTAAGAGTTACACAGATGGTTAACTTTGATGGAATGCTCACCATGTCCCAGACCCTGGGCTAAGCACTTTATAAGGATTGGCCTGTTAACTTTTCACGTTTACCATCTAAAGCAGATATTTTTGTCTCAATTTCATAGATGAGGAGACCTCAGCCTAGAGACATTAAATCCACTGCTACCCAGAGGTAGAAGCATGGATTTAAACCCAGGCATCTGGCTGCAAAGCTGAACCCCAGTGATGCATATCCTCCCATCTGCTCACATGGCACCATCTCCCTTGGTCTCTAGAAAGTGGCAGCTTCCTCCTTGGACTGTCCCCTGTTCTGCTCTAGTTAGATTTAAGCTCCTACATTCCATCCTGGTCATATACAACTGTCTATCATTAGGTTACCCTCACGCTGTCCTGAAATGTGATGGAAGTAGTTTCGTTTTGTTGTTTTGTTTTGTTTTCATGTTAATAATGTCACTGAGACCCACCCGCTCCCCAAACCCTTTGGTTTTTTTTGGCTCTCCCTATGCTGAACACTAAACCCATTTCTTCCCTGCCTTTAGGCTGACCTTGAGCTTCTGCTAACTGATAAGTCTCCTTTTGAGGCGTAAACCGACCTTTTAAATTGCATCAAAACCTTTGAGCTAAGCCCATTGGCCACAGAGTTTACCTTGCTGGCACCAGGTTTCCTAATACCTACATTTCCTAAGACCAACTTCTTTAAAACTGTTAATTCTCTAAGCAAAGAGTGGTCACTTTTAGTACACATTCAGCTCCATCCCAGATACAGGATTCCTTATAAGCCAAATATAAAGATCTTAGGGTGGAAAAAGAGTTATACCTAATTTAAAGGGCCTTTACTGGAATTTTATTGTATTGAATATTGTTCAAAATATGTTGGCCATTGGAAAGTGTGGTGTCTTTTTCCTCCTGTGACATTGGTAGTTTGTGTGAACAGGTTATGATTTGGACCATAAATCCATGCATTACCTGATTTCTCTTTGGCCTACCTTGTTTTCGTTATGCTGAGGCCACATGGATCTGCTTTGATTTTCCAATTTCTATTACAACCGTGGCTTTGAGAGCATTGTCCTTAGAGTGAAAAAAATAACAACAATATCTGTAGAAAGCACTCAGAGAAAATGAAGGCCATAAAATGTCAAAGTACAAATGAATTATGTAGAATCTTTGTTTGAGAATATTTCTGAGTAGCATCGAGAACATTCTGTTCTCTTCCTTTATTTTCTTCCTGTGCCTTTCACAGGGAAGACGTGTCACAGAGATACAGACCCGCAGGAGGAGGGCTTATTGTTTAGTATGGATTTATTCGTTGATTCAGATAATGCAGGAGGTTTATTGAACACCTACTGTGTGCCAGGCACTGGAGATATGCTGGTGATGTACCCACCCCTCCCTGGAAGAGCCCGGAGCCTAATGGGGAAGACAGGAATAAACAAGTGCAGTGCAGTCAGGAGGTGCACTGCAATGGTTAAAGTCTGGCCAGAGTTTGTGATCACAGAGGAGAGTGACAATGATGACAGTGACAACCAACGTTTGTTAAACACTTTCTGTATGTTGGGCACTGTGCTTTCTACACATTATCTATTTTTTAATCCTGGCAACAACTTTGTGTCGTAGAAGCTACTATTGTCCCCTTTATACAGAGGAAGAAATTGAGACTCAAAGACAACATTTCTAAGCTGAATCTTAAAAGCAAAGTAAGAATTATCCAGGGACAATTTTGTAATTAATAAGTAAGATGCAATGGGGGGAAAAGAGGCATTATCCACAGGGAAGAAGGAAGGGGCCATGATTCTGGGATGAGGAATAGCAAATACAAAGACATGGAGGAAATGGATGAGATGACCTTTGTGTGCCAGGGTGGCAGTGGGAGCCAGGGCAGCTGAACCTCATTTACACAACCTGGTCCTGCCCATGGTTTTGGGATTTCAACTGTGTGACCTGTTGTCATGGAAGAGCAACCTGTGTTTCCCAATACCCGACTTCAGCTCTCCTTGCCCCTCAAGTGGCAGAGCCACTTAATTAGATAATGTTCCCATGTGATTGGGGTGACGAATTCAACCTTGAAGTGGTTGTTCCAGTGACTCTGAGATTAAGCTCAACAGCTGGGCGTCTCTGGGAAAGCTGGCAGGGCTGGCAGGATCCACAGGGATGTTGAGTTCTTAGTCTTCCAAGCTGGACTTCAAGGGGCCTTGAGCAAGTCACTTAACTTCTGTAACATTTGCTTTGTCCTGCAGATGGCCTGAAAGCATGTCTGGTTCAAGTCTGTATTCCCAGAACCTACCGCAGAGCCTAGTACATGATAAACTGTAAAATGGGGATACCAGTTATTATTGCAAGGCATTTCAGGTGATTAATGATATTTCCAATGAAAGCCTCTAAACTGCTCAGTGAAAGGTAAGGAATAAATGAATAGTCCCCTTTCTCAAGTTTGCTTAATTAACTAGTCATCATTGATCTAAGTCTTTCTATTTAGAGTTGGCAGATATTCGTTGTACTAGGAAAACCATCTTAGCCTCTGCTTCATGCAATTTTAGTTTGCAGTGGGTGGGTACAAACGAAAGCAAACCAGAGGTAGAAGTTTTTTCCATACATAGGGCATGCCTAGTGGAAAAGCAGCCTTTTCAGCAGAGGAAGGCGGGTCGAATGTGCAGCAGGACAGAAAAACCCAGAGCCCTGATTGTGCCCATTGTCCAATGACTGCTCCTTTGCAAGGGCTGATCCCTGACATTGAATGGCGGGAGGGTGATGACTGCATTGAAATATCTGCTAATAGGCAAGGCCCTCCCTTCCTCCACACCCTTTCTCCTCCGTTAAAGACTTTCTGGAAAACAGAGCAAAAACAATGCGGCAACCCCAAGGGTTGATGAGAATTGCATTCTCCCTGCAGCTTCTATTACTCTTGTGCCTTTGTCCCCGTGGACTTGGTGAAGGGTATAGCTGTCAGGTGCCTCTCTTCCCTGGTGCAGGGTAATCTGGACTGATTGACTTGTCCATTGTCCTAAGGTTGGAGCTAAAAACAAAACAGGAAAAGCTGCTTGATGAGGATGAAGAGGAACTTGGTGGCCAAATGCTGTTGCTTTCCAGGCATTGGACACAAGGCTCATTCTCTCTGAGAAACTTACATCCAAAGGCAGTGACTTTGAAAGGACCGTGGCTGTGGAATTAGAGACAGATGCGTAGCTGACCATGAGTAGATATTAAATTGTATTAAACTATGCAAACCGCATTTCTCATGCAAGGCTTGTTTCTACCTTACATCAGCCCTTGAGCTGCATTTGCATTTCTATAGAGAACGAAATAAAAGCAGCATGTCACTTACTCATTTCTATTCATAACTGTGAGCTGTTATTCTAGCTCTCATCTACCCTACACAGCACTGCCAGATTAATCTTCCTGAACCTCCATCAACAGCGAGTTTGGTTCCCAGCATTTCACTGAATCAACTCATGTTTATAAGGCCCAGGTGCTGAGAGGGATATAAACAGACTTAAGACGGGACTAATTTTAAGGTAACCAGACATCCTGCTTTGTCTGGGACAATCATTGCTTATGCTTGTTATCCTGATACAATTATTAATAGTGCCTCTTTTCACTCTCAAAAGTGATCCTGATTAGACAATGAATTACAAGGTTGCCCTACTCATGTCTGTCAAGTGTTCATAAGATAAAAGGGGTGGAAAGGATGAAGGTAAATACGGTAATTTCAAAACAAGGTAGAGATTGGAGGTAGAGGAGTTAGGTGTTTGCAGAAGGAAGGGAGCCATTGAGGCTGAGAGTGATAGGGGAGGCTCATTTAATTCTAGGACTTGGCCTTGGCTTCGAAGGATGATGATGACTCAAAAAAGGGGAGAGAGGCTGGCGAAGGTGTGGGAGCCGTGAGAGTTAAGGGTGTATTCCATGACTCTCAAAGGGTCACCTAGATGGAGCTTCCTCTGGGAAGAGGAGAGCAGGAGCTGTGAGATGGGAGGGACAGATCTGGAAGGCTTGAAAGGCAGGTGAGGAACTTGTGCTTTACCCTGGGGGCTGAAGGAAGCCATAGAGATACTGGTGTGAAATAGCCAAGGTGAACAGGAGGATTCAACTGGTCCTGGCGTAGGACTGGTCATCTCATCACCAGTGAAGACAGAGGATCTGACCTGCAGAAGCTGCCTCCAAACCATCACACCATGCTGCCTGCCCCTCTCCCATGGCCTGCATGATTTCCTAGGTAAATTAAAAATTTTCACCCATGACAGGGTGAGGCAAATGGATGTTCTGGTGTCTTGGTTTCCAGAAGCCTCCAGCCAAGAGTTGACATGAGCTTGCTGTTTTAACATCAGTTAAAATAATTATTGTAGCATGATTTCTGACAGGAACAAAACAAAAGGATACACTTACAGGAGCAGGCTGTGCAGTCAGGACATGCGCGATCCTTCAGAGGGCCTTTCGGGAGTGAGTGACTCGCCACAGGGTGTTTATCTGTCATCCATATGGGGAATCATCTTCTTCATAATTTTGCTCAACTGGAATCAGAGCTAAGGCTCCATGTGCACAGCGGAGAGATTCATTTTGTCTTGTGCCTGCCTCTTCCTCCTTTCTTCCTTCCTTTTTTCTTTCTTTCAACTAGAATCATTGAGTACTCAACATATGGACACACCCTAAGCCAGCTGCTCTTACTCCGTGGTTGCCACAGCAACCCAGTCTCGTGAGATCAGAGCATCTTCATTTTGCAGATGAAGAAAATAAGCTTCTGAGAGGGTAGGAGAACTGCTGGAGGTGACCAGCTATATGCATTGTTGAGCACCTTGCCAGGGTAATTACATCAAGCAGGTCTCTATGAATAGTTTGATTATTTCTAGTAATGCTGTTGAGGAAATGAAACCAACAGAGAGCAATACTAGGTCAGTGGTATTCAAGCCTGACTGTGCATTAGCACCATTTCAGCACCAGGTGCTTAAAAAATACGTTTCTGGCTGGGTGCGGTGGCTCACGCCTGTAATCCCAGCACTTTGGGAGGCCGAGGCAGGTGGATCACAAGGTCAGGAGATCGAGACCATCCTGGCTAACACAGTGAAACCCCGTCTCTACTAAAAATACAAAAAATTAGCCAGGCGCAGTGGCGGGCACCTGCAGTCCCAGCTACTCGGGAGGCTGAGGCAGGAGAATGGCGTGAACCCGGGAGGTGGAGCTTACAGTGAGCCGAGATCGCGCCACTGCACTCCAGTCTGGGCGACAGAGCAAGACTCCGTCTCAAAAAAAAAAAAATACATGTTTCTGGGCTCTGTGCCCCAAATGTTCTGTTTTAGTGGCTCCTGGTGGAGCTTAAGAATCTGTGCATTGTTTTTTTAAGTCCGCTAGAGTAATAGTTCTTCAACCACAGTATGTATCCATTGTTAAAACACAGATTCTGGGCTTCCACCCCTTGAGTGTCTGATGCAGGAGGCCTCTGGTGGGCCTAAGCATTGCATTCCATACTGCTACTCTGAGGAGGATACTCAGAACTGCTGCGGGAGAGGCTGCTGATGCTCATCCCGCCCACGCACTGCTGGGGTGGAAGGCTCCTGGACTCTGCATGCTCAGATGGTTTGAGTCTATTTTGTGGAGGGCATGCTAGGATTAGAAGAGCTAGACCCGGGATGGCTACATATGAGCCATCCCCCCTTCCTCGAAACCTGGGGTAGACATCATTTACTGACCACTGTGCTCTTTTTAACTGAGTCCTGGCTCAAGGTCCCTCTCATCTCTCTGTAGCCTGCCCATACCAATCAAATGGTGTTGGCTCACAAGCCAAACCTTTTATTGTTTGCTAAGCTAGACATTCTAACCGACACTTCCAAAATCAGTCATTGAAAAATTCTGTTTGTTTGTGGAACGTGTGCCTTAATTGTTCATGAGAGGGAACCCCCTGGGGAGTGGTTCTTGACATTGGCTGCACATTAGAATCACCTAGGAAATTCAAAACAAAAAGAAAACCAGACTATTGGGCTCCCTTCCATGTCTGAGGTGGGCTCCAGCTGCTAGCAGCTTTATGAGCATTACAGGTGATTCTAAGGTACGGTTAGGGCTGACAGCTATCGGACTGAGGGGGTTGCTAGAAGCTGTGCAAACTCTAAAACTAGTTGCTAACTCCTGTCCTGTCGCTGAAGATTCCCCTTGCAGAGCATCCCCTTTTCTTCTATGCATCTCTTTATTTTTCTGACAAACAGAATAGAAAGGAGAAGCAGCCAAAGGCCTGTTGACACCATTTTTGTCTCAGAGGCTTCCTGACAGGAGGCTGAAATGGGTGGTAGCCACTGTCCTAGAATAGCTAGAAAGGAACCATTTTTCTGGAGCAGTTCCCAAAAAATTCGTCTCTAACAGCAGAAGGTGTCACTCCCCTCGCTTTCTTACCTTTTGTGAATTTTGGAATGCAGAAGGTCCCATCGAGAGGAAACGTTTTCACACAGAGACTCCCCAACTCTCAGCCCCATGGTTTTCCTCTCTGCTCAGTGCCAGCCCTCCCAAATTTAGACTCGCGTCCCCCTTCATGGCTGCCACTCATGCTTTACTAAATTGCTCTTTGTGGAAGTCACCAACACACCCTAAACAGCAATTCTTCTCTTTGTTCTCCCTGAATCATCCGACTCTGTTGATCACTCTCTCTGTTCCTGGGAACGTAATTTTTCTGCTTCCTCTCCATTCCTTCTCTGTGTCCTTTACTAACCTCTTTGCCTTCTCCTGCTCCTTAGTGGGAGCATTTCCCCAGGGCCACCATCTTTGTCCCATAGCACTTTTCTACACACCGTCCTTCCCCTGGGATCCCTTCCCCAGATCCATGGCACAGGTCTGACTGATGTTCTGAGTCCCAGTCTCCCAACAGTGTCTGTAGAACTTCTTGTGCCCACCAAATTGGCCCTGTCTCTGGACTCCCCTATTTTTCTTCTGGGCACCAGTGTTTATGCTGATCTCCTAGACCTGGGCTGTTGGTCGCATTAAACTCTGTTATCCGGTTCATGTCTGGTTTGCCTTTCCTTTGTGCTGCCTCTCACATTGGCCATTCGTGCCTTTGCCCATCTGTTAATTATTTGCTGCGTGCCAGGCATAGTGCTAAGTACATCTGTTATTCTACTTAAACTTCACAGCAACCTTATGAATCAGTAGGCAGGATTATTATCATCCCTGTTTTATCTCTGAGGAGACAGCCTTTGAGATGGATAGGAACCTTGGCTGACTAGTGGTGGAACAGAAATTCAAGCTCATACTGAGCCCCTGAGCTCTCACTCTTCAGTGCTGTACTTGGTTGTTCCCTCCTTGCCGCAGCCCACTGTTGCAATCTCATCTCCTTTTACCCTTCCACATATGAGTCGGCCCCACATGAACCGGTTTACTCCCAGGTCTCCGGGTCTCTTCATTCTTTTCCTCCTCTATATTTTTGCCCAAATCCTTGGTGATATCTGATACCCCAAGGGCAGCACCACCTCCTATGCTTTGCCTTCTTCTTCTTCTTCTTTTTTTTTTTTTTTTGAGATGGAATCTCACTCTGTCACCTGGGCTGGAGTGTAGTGGCACGATCTCAGCTCACTGCAACCTCCGCCTCCCAGGTTGAAGCGATTCTCCTGTCTCAGCCTCCTGAGTACCTGGGATTACAGGTGCCCACCACTATGCCCAGCTAATTTTTTGTATTTTTAGTAGAGACGGGGTTTCACCATGTTGGACAGGCTAGTCTTGAACTCCTTACCTTGTGATTTGCCCACCTCAGCCTCCCAAAATACTGGGATTACAGGTGTGAGCCACCGCACCTGGCCTTCTTGACCTTTCCAAACTGTCCAAATTCCAAAAGCCTTTTTTTGATGTGTACTGTCTTGTGTTTTAAATTCCTTTGGTGGATTTATTTATTTATTTATTTATTGAGATGAAGCTCTGTCACCCAGGCTGGTGTGCAGTGGAGCCATCTCAGCTCACTGCAGCCTCCACCTCCCAGGTTCAAGTGATTCTCTTGCCTCAAGTACCCGAGTGGCTGGGATTACAGATGTGCGCCAACACGCCTGGATAATTTTTGTATTTTTAGTAGAGGCAGGGTTTCACCATGTTGGCCAGGCCAGTCTTGAACTCCTGGCCTCAAGTCTGCTTGCCTTGGCCTCCCAACGTGTTGGGATTACAGGTGTGAACCACCGCGCTTGGCTCCTTTGGTGAATTTTGAAGTGAACCTGTTCTCGACAGTTTTTTTCCAGGTATTTCAGCATTATTCTCCTAGACGGGTTATAAACTCTTTAGGATAGGAACTAGACTTATTTCAGTGTCCTGCAGTTCCTAGCATGCTTCCTTGCTAGAGCTGACCTTCCTAGAGTTGACTTATTTTGACTTCATACTCTTGTCCATGACAACTGTCTGTGTGCAGGACAATATGAATAAGGATGTGAGATGCTGCCCTACCCTCGGGGAGCTGTTCTGCTAAGGTGCCCGGATTCCCTAACAGCCCTCTGCACAGCTGTAATCTCTTGTTAGATTAGTTTTCCATCCTTCATGGGAATCGTTTTTCTTCCTACGTTTCTGTTTTTAAAGTTTGCATAAAATGGAGACTTGGCTGCACACCAGGGAGGTTTAGGAGAGAAATGAGCAGTGGGACCTCCCCAGCCAAACCTGGCTGCAAACCGCTGACTGCACAGGAATACGAATGACTTCTAGTGGGATGGGCGGGGATCCTGGGGGGATGCTCTTCATTCCTGCTTTTGATCAGGAGCTGGGCCAGCTTTGGAAATCTGAGTGTTGGCACAACTCTCAAATGGTCCTGCTGCTGTTATTGTCTGGGGTTTCTTACTGGGCGTCCACACTCAGAAAGGACCCCCTCTTTCCTGTAAGCTTGCTTCTCACTGACTGGCACAGCTTGGTGATTGGGGTGGTGGTAGAGACGTGGGCCATACGGAACTAGGAGCATAATTTTCACAAGCACTTAAACTTGAACAGAACAAGATTAGCAATATTAACACGCATTACACTGAGATATGACGCACAGGGAAATACCTCTAGGTACCCTTGGGATAACTGTAATGATACATGACTTAGGATTTCCAGATCCTCCTAGCTGCTTGGACTGTGGTTCCAGGCCCAGGTCACAGAACCTTGGTTACCTAAAGGAAGAATGGCCAGGGTTGGTGATATGGTTTGGCCCCCATCCATATCTCATCTTGAATTATAGCTCCCATAATTCCCACGTGCTGTGGGAGGGACCCGGTAGAGATCATTGAATCATGGGGGTGGTTCCCCCATACTGTTCTCACGGTAGTGAATAAGTCTCATGAGATCTGATGGTTTTTCTTTTCTTTTTTTTTGAGACGGAGTCTCGCTCTGTTGCCCAGGCAGGAGTGCAGTGGCGTGATCTCGGCTCTCTGCAAGCTCCGCCTCCCGGGTTCACACCATTCTCCTGCCTCAGCCTCCCTAGTCCCCCCTGGGACTACAGGCGCCCGCCGCCACGCCCAGCTAATTTTTTTGTATTTTTAGTAGAGACGGGGTTTCACCGTGTTAGCCAGGATGATCTCGATCTCCTGACCCCATGATCTGCCCGCCTCCGCCTCCCAAAGTGCTGGGATTACAGGCGTGAGCCACCGCGCCCGGCCTGAGATCTGATGGTTTTATAAGGGGCTTCCCCTTTCACTTGGCTCTCACTCTCTCTTGCCTGCTGCCATGTAAGATGTGCCTTTATCCTTCTGCCATGATTGTGAGGCCTTCCCAGCCACGTGGTACTGTGAGTCTGTTAAACCTCTTTTTCTTCATAAATTCCCAGTCTCGGGTATGTCTTTATCAGCAGCTTTAAAAAGGACTAATGCAGTTGGTGAGAATATGGAAGTACAGTCTAGCTATGTTCTGTTTCTTCTGTCCAATAGATGACAGAAACAGATGCCTCCATCTGTTTTCACAAACCGAGGTTGCTCTTCTTGCCACTGAGTAGAAGTTGCCTCCTCCAGCTTTGCCCCAGCCACCTGCTACTGAGAAGCCCAGCCCACTCAAGTCCTTGGTACTAAGGGCACTGCGGAGGGGTCTGGAGATAGTTTGCCATTTCCACACTCAGGGTCGGGGCATGGATTTGGCCCCTCTGGGCACCTGTGGGAGTGTAAGGGTATAATTTCTCTAGTGACCCCATCTCATGTGGCCTGTTGCCCTCCTGGGCCCGGTTCCTACGTGTCACTCATTCTCTTACCGAAGACAAGGCTTGACCTTGCATGCAGGTCCCATTTGGAGAGGCCCCTACAAATTCATTTAGATCCTACCAGTCCCATCTCCAAAGCAGCCCCTGGTTCATGATATCCCTTAAGTGCCTCAAAAACTATGCATAACTCTGGCTTCTGGACACCAGCTGTTCCTGGTCTTCAGTGCACATTCACTTCGGTGGCTCCCACCTGCACTGTTGGATTGTAAGACACAGCCCATGGCTCTTCTGCAGAGGAATGAAAACTACACATAGTTATACCTTGTGGGATGTTACATCTGGAATTCCAGTTGGAGAAGCTGCCCTGGGAAAGTCGGCGGCCACCAGAGAAGCAGGAACAGGAATGAAGCACAGCCTGGTGTTCCGAAGCCCAGCACGGGGCTGGGACCATGTCTGTCATAGTCCACCATGTGGAATGGGCCCTCCACACTCTCACTAGGGGCTGTTTTTCCAAATCAGTGAATATGTATCCACTACTTTTATGGGCAAGGCCTCGTGTTAATTCATTGTAGAGGGTAGAAAAGCAATAATGTTTGGGAAGGTACGTAACTGTACTCAGTCTACGGGAGACATTAAGAAATATTAAAATCTATAGAGATGTATATGCATCCCTATATGGGTTGTTTTCCATCCCAAAATATTAAAAGAGGATGAAGTCAAAATAAGTCAATCCTAGGAAGGGCAACTCTAGCATATATAAAAAGGCAATGGAGAAATGTTGAGTTTAGCAAAAGACAACCTCTCTGCTGGGATGCAGAGTGGTTTGGGATGGCAGAAATGGGAAAAGTCCAGTAGATGGAGCCAGGGAGGAAGGACATTTATCTTGTCACTAGAAGGGTGTAGTGGGAAGGTGAGAATGAATGAGGTTTTCTGACAATACCAAGTGGACCCCTCTAGGGGGCACAGAAGGAATTTGTGTTTGTAGATTGGAGGTAGGGGGTGGCCAGGGGAGGGCCAATAACAAGTCCAGTTAAAAAGGCAGGTTGAGTCCATACTAGAGAGACCTTAGATACCAGGTTAGGCGAGATAGACTTTATCCTTCTGGTACTGAGGATCCACTGAAGCCCTTCGAGCTAAGGGGGAGACACTGATAAAAGTGGTATTGTCGGAGGGTTGCTCTGGAGGTGTGTGTTGGGTGGATGGGGTTGGGGGAAAGACTGGTGGCAGGGAGACCACCTGGGAGTCATAATAATACTGGTGATAGCTACCAATTATTGAGCATTCCCTACATGCAGGACACTGTACAATGTGATATCTGTCATATTCAATAACCTGCAAGCTGAGTACACTTGACCAATGAGGAAACTAAGGCTTATTCATGTTGAATAACCACTGCATCCACCCATTTGTGTTGCTATAACAAAATGCCTGAGACTGGGTAGTTTATAAAGGACAGAAACTTATTTCTTACAGTTCTGGGGGCTGAAAAGTCCAAGTTCCAGGTGCTAGCATCAGGTGAGGGCCTTCTTGCTGCATCCTCACATAGTGGAAAGCAGAAGGGCAAAAGGGCCGACTGCTGAGTCCTCACAGGGCAGAAGAGCAAGCCAGCTGAAGGTGGCAGAAGCCTCTTTTATAAGGCCTTTAATCCCATTCATGAGGGAGGGATCTTCAAGACCTAATTACCTCCTAGAGGCCCCACTTCTTAATATTATCACATTGGCAGCACCTGAATTTTGAAGGAGACACATTGAAACCATAGCAGCCACCCAGAGTCCCAGAGCTTATAAATCACAGAACCAGCGTTTGAACTCAGGACTGCTTGCTTTCAAAGCCAGGCTATAGTAGGTAAAGTTTTCCACTAAGAACTGTACGATCCAAATTAGGGGAATTATAATCAAATTGAAAAAGAGAGATTATTGCAAGAATCCAGAAGACTCGATAACTGACCAGGTTGGAGGAGTGAAGGAGACAGAGAGAGAAAAAGAATGACTCCACTTTGTAGCTGTGGCTTTAGGGACAGTGGCAGTATTGCCACCAGACACCAAGTATCATAGGAGGAGGTGCTCTTGAGTGGGTCAGATGAGAAGATAGTGAGATGAGTTTCAGAAATGTGGCAATCAAGATGGTGGCAGAAATGCCAGGCAGCTATTGTCAGTCATATTCTCTGGCTTACATTCTAGACAAGCTGTGAGCATGGGCAAGCAGGAACACGGGAAAGAGAAAGCTTCTGGTGTTAGGGGGAGATTCTGGAGGAAGTAAAATGAGGAATAGCAGCAGAAGCAGCTGTCAGAGAGGCAGGGAGAGGAGGAAGATGGCATCATGGTATGCGTGGCAGAAACCAGTGGAGGAGTTGGTTCCAGGTGGATTGTCAAGACTGCCATACATTTCAGGGAAGTCAAAGCTAGGACTCCTGCATGAAGGTGGAAGGACTCATTCAACCCACTATGCATTCATTAGGTAGCTTCCATCTGCCTGGCCTTGTATTTGGGCAAGAGAAAGAGAAAAACAAGTCTCTCTGCTCTTGAAAGCCCCAGGAAACCTTCTTAAAACAGACCTGGGTCGCAACGTGCCCTTCAGCTTAGTGCAACAGAACTATTCTCTGAGCTTCTGTTTCCTCTACAAACCTAATGCGACCTGCCCCACAGGGTTATCCTGGGAATCAGGGCTGATGCATGGCCAACACTCAGCACAGTACCTAGAGTGTGATAGCTCGATTATGCTTAGAACCCATAAGGACAAATAAGAGAGGAAAGGACTGTTTCTGGGGCCTTCCTGCCAGATGCAGGGAAGCCTGCCTTCCTTGGAAGTGGCCATCTCTTCAATGGTTTGGGCAGTTCAGTCCATCACCCTTGATTTCTGCTGCCTCATGTGGCTTTTCAGTACTAAAAAGAATCTCCTGTTTCTAGAACTCATGCCTTAAATGTGTTTTGAAGCCCAGATGTTCCAACAGTGCTCCCTTTCACTTTCATTTCCCAAGTTCAACGACCAGACCCCCTTCCACAAGTTGGTAGAGCTCTCATTTGTCATCGTGGGAAAGCACCCAGTGTGCTTCCTGGCAGATGAGAGGGTCCCCAGGCTGCTCCAAGGCTTAGGACAGCAGAGTGAGCTCCGCTGGCTGAACTCGGTGCTCCATGGGCTGTGTGGATTGGCCTTTGTTCTCCAAGGGCCACCAAGAAGAAGGTCGCATCTGCTGCCCCCACTGGACTGTCAGGTTCTCTGTTTCTCTGCCTGAGGGTCCCACTGAATACCTGCTGCCTGTCTGCCCCCTGAATATCCTTACTGGGCTCTGGGAAGTGAGCAAGTGGTTATAGGGTGCTGGCCCTATGTGTGTTTGGCACTCTTGGGTGATTGGGGTATGGGGATGGGGTTGATGCCACAAATGGAAAGGCTCTCAGAGGAATATACATGTGTGGCTTAGAAGCTGGAGAATGCAGTCAGGCATGGTGGCTCATGCTTATAATCCCAACACTTTGGGAGGTCAAGGTGGGAGGTTCACTTGAGCTCAGGAGTGTGCGACCAGCCTGGACAATATAGTGAGACCCTGTCTCTACGAAAAATAAAAATAAACAAATTGACCAGGCATGGTGCCATGAACCTATAGTCCCAGCTACATGGGAGGTTGAGGCTGGAGGATTGCGTGAGCCCAGGATTTTGAAGCTGCAGTGAGCTATGATCACAGTTGTGCCATTGCACTCCAGCTTGGGCAAGAGAGCAAGACACTGTCTTTAGAGAAAAAAAGGGCTGGAGAATGCGGTGGGGAAAAGAAATCAAAGCAGGAATGGGAAAAGCCAACAAGGTTGTGGTTCCTGAGGCTGGCACAGAAGACTGTGCTGCCCAAATGCCACTTTCTTCACTTGGCTCTTCCTGGCAGGCAGCTCTGTCCCCTTTCTTTGTAGTGAGCCTGTCTTAGGCCTATATCCAGGACACTGAGAATTCTTGCATATCAGGCTGGGAGGACCTTCAGGGGTCACCCATTCCTCCCCTACTCTCTCCTCTTCCTAGTTGAACAGTTGCCTCAGTTTACCCAAATCACTGTCTTAGTGTCACTTCAAGTGTAGCTTTGGCCTAGAGGGTGTTATGGGTCAGAAGGATGCTCAAATCCATCGTAAGGAGGTTGCTAATCTTTCATGGTCTGCCTCCTCCTCCTGGCCAGGTATCCCTGGCATTCAGGAACCCCAGCTGGCATATGTGGGCTCTAGGTAGAGTTAAGTCTTGTAGCCATGCATGTGGGGACACTCCACCATTCACTGAAAGGGATGATCCCTATGTCTTTGAATAAAACTTCACATATAACCCAATTATTGCAAGGGCTCTGCCTCTACCATTTAATGAATCAGAGCGACATTCCTTTTCATCCTACTTGGCCAGCCCTAGTCTGAGTATATTCACAATTTAACTTCATTAATAGCAAGTTTAGTCAACTGGCTTAAGAAGTTCTCCTAATAGTAGATTCCCTGGCAATCCCCTACTGTATATTTTATTAGTGACCTTGTTTAAAAATAGCCTATGTCAACAGCCACTAGTGATGCACCAAGAAGCAAACTGGCCTCCCTGGACTCTGCATGGATGCCACAGCACATTAGAGGCAGACTCAGGGATACCACTCGGGGTCCCCATGTGTCCTCCCACAATCCCATTCCCTTTGGACCGTTTCTTTTTGGATCTTTGCTCCCTATGATTTTGTGCCCCATCCCTTTCCTCCTTTCAGTTTCCGTCCCCTTCCTCCTTTCAATTGCGATGGCCATGCTCTGGGGACTAGATTCTTTTGCTTTTCTCTTCTCTGCACAAGTCAGAACTGGGGCTTTGCAGAGAAGGCTGAGAGGTGTTCAGGACATGCCTGGCTTATCGTAGAGTAGGTTTTCTCACCCTAGACACTGTTGACATTTTGGGCCAGATAACTGTGTGTGTGTGTGGGGGGGGGTGTGTGTGTGTGGTGTGTGTGTGTGGGGTGTGTGTGGTGTGTGTGTGTGTGTGGGGTGTGTGTGGGGTGTGTGGTGTGTGTATGTGTGGTGTGTGTATGTGGTGTGTGTGTAGTGTGTGTGTGTGGGTGTGTGTGATGTATGGTGTGTGTGGTGTGTGGGTGTGTGGTGTGTGTGGTGTGTGTGTGGTGTGTGTGTGTGATGCATGTGTGGAGGGTGTGTGTGTGTGTGGTGTGTGTGGTGTCTGGGTGTGTGGTGTGTGTGTGTAGTGTGTGTGTAGTGTGTGTGGGTGTGTGTGATGTGTGTGGTGTGTGTGGTGTGTGGGTGTGTGCTGTGTGTGTGCTGTGTGTGTGTGATGCACGTGTGGGGTGTGTGTGTGTGTGCTGTGTGTGATGCATGTGTGGGGTGTGTGTGTGTGTGGTGCATGTGTGGTATGTGTGTGTGGTGCATGTGTGGGGTGTGTGTGTGTGTGTGTGTATGGCAGGGTGTCTGAATTGTCTGTTGTCTCCTGGTGGGCAAAACTGCCTCTGGTTGAGAACTGTTGTTCTAGAAGCAGCCACAGTCATAGGTATTTCAGAGGCCTCTGTAGCCATCCCTAGGCTTCTCCTTCAGTCGGGAGTATCAGAGTGCTAGGGGTGGTGGAGAGCATTTTCCAGCGCTCCCTGCACATTCCTGGGCGCAGCATGCTTCCCTTTCATTTTTGTGACTCTTCTTTTAGCCAGAAACCACATTGCTTCTCACATAGGTCTGTTGTTCACCGAGTCATTGTTGGTCCAGACAGGCTGGTCTGCAGCTTCTCTGACTTTGCACCTTATGTTGACTAGGGGGAGGGTGGTGGATGGAGCATGGGACATCCTGAGCTGCTGTCCTGGATTGGCTTCTCACTGGTGGTATGGCTCAGCGTGCTTTGTCTGTAATGTTGGCACTGGATCCTGGTGAGCTTTTCACGTCATCAGATGGTATTATGGCCGAGGACCCTGAAATGCCTGAAGCCTGCTTGTGGGATTCTCAAAGGAAAGAGAATCTGAGAATAGTAGCAAATGGGAAACAAAGTCTGATGTGTCTTGTAATAAGGCACTAGTTATGTTCCTGAGAGGTCTTGGGCTAAATATCAAGTGCTCAAAGCCATTGTTCCGAATAATGGTTCTGAAAAGGGTTAAGTGTTTGAAGGTTTTATACTTGCAGTAACCAAATAGTTTTTTTCTCTATGGATTTAGTTAATGCTTTCAGTGGCCACAAAGTATATTTTAGTAAACTTTATAGGCCATGACCATCATAATCCATTGTTATAATCAATAAAGTATACAATTGAAATAAGATGTGGGGATGCACAGAGTGAAAATACAATGCAACTCCATCCACAATCACCAAGGGCAACAGATGTGTGAGATGCCATATTGGTGGCAAGCCCAAAATGGAGCTGTGCCATGTCTCGCGAGCAGCCGCCTTTCCCATGCCCCAAGCTGGCTTCCCTTTGTGCCCTATATCCATGTGATGGTGGCTGTGCTCACTTATAATCATTCCCATTATACTGAGTTCACAGTAAGACTTACGCTGTGAATCAAATGCCTGGAAACACTATCTGGGTTGGTGCCTAATGACCCCCAGTGCCGACTTCCATTAAAGTCAAGTGTCATGTGTAGCTTGAACTTGAGGCCTAAATAGAGCCTTCTGTCTTCTTTAGGCCCAATGACCAACACTCCCAAGTGGTTGTTTGAAAAAAAAAAGAGATGGAGGACCCCGTGTTGTAGAAGAAAGGGCCAGGAGGATGAGGGCTTTCATAATGGTACTTCTGCTCACCAATAAACATGGTCTATTTGGCCATCTGGGATGCTAAACAGATTAGCGACTCTCCTATGGATAAAATGAGGATGATATTGATCTCACAGGCTCAGGGTGTGGATTAAATGACTTTATGAATGTACTCATGTAGTATTTTTAAGATTAAACACACTGGATCTCAGGCCTCAGACAGCTAGAAAATCCAAAGTTACCTCCCATCTCTCCAAACTGGTACTGCCTGTAACGTGGCAGAATCGGCTTGCCCACGCAGTGCCTCCAAGGGCACCTTTGGTCTCCCATGTAATTGACTGTGAGCATTGGAAATAGCTGTGGTTTTTAATACAGTGATATTTCCTCTTCAGGGACTCCAGCCCCTCGTCTAGTTTCAACAACTGCTAGCTCAGTCCCAAGGCGTGGTTCTTGTTTCTTCCTTGTCTAATGGAGAGAGTGTTTGCATTTGCACAGGGTTTTTAATGGGCTGTAAGCTGTTGGCTCTGAGAGGGATTCTTGGCTCGGAGCCAGGGGGACTTGAAATGTTTGGGGAAGCCTAGGAGGGCTGCTGAGAGAGGCTCCTTTCTGCTGTACATATGGTTCACGTCGACATGGGCAGAAGGCAAGAGGAGCCCGCCTTGGTAGCACAGGCACTGCTGCAGTGCTCAGTTCTTTGCCAGAGCAAGGAATCTGGCCTGGGAAACTTCTTCTGTGAATAGCTGGGGCCAGAAGGTTCAGATCAAGCCAAAGATCTGTTAAGAGGGGCCCCTTTTTCTCATGGCAGAAATAGTGGTGGGAGCTCCCAATTTGGCTGTTGGTGGTGGTCTGGACCGTAGAGTTCTTGAGATGGAAGTAATTTCCAGAGATTTTCTCTTTCAGGCGAGACCACACCTAAGCCATCCCTGAAAGACTGATCCGTTCAATCTGGAACTGCTCTGGGAAGGGGACTTTGCACATCCCCTTCCTTGGAAACATCATCTATTTGTAGTGATCTGTGTCTTTGCCTTGTCACCCAAATCTCTTTAGCTGAGGCCTGTTTACCTTTCTCTCTGTAGAACTGCTCTTTGTGGCCTTGAAAGTCGTTGTTTAGGGTGGTCATCTCTTGGCTACTTTCCTGTCTGCTAATTCATTTCAACTCTAGCACTTTTGGGTAGTGGCCAGGACAGTGCAGTGCTTCTCAAACATCTCCACCAAAATGCCCCACCAGCAAAAGAGTGTGAATATATGCACCCACACACACACGTACACAGATGGCCTGCAGAAGCCCAAAGTGGCCTACTGAATGCTGGGAATTTTCTTGAAGGCTACTGTTTTATTTAAACATTCCTCAGAATGTGACATCTGTTCCCAAAAGATAACTGGTTGTTCTAATTTTTAAAACAATGTTTTAAATTACTTATCATAAGAAAAAAAATTCAGCCGTTTTCCCCCATTTTGTAAAAAGCCCTTGAGGAATCTGATAACCTGGGAAGATGCCACATGCTTTGTTGGGGGACTCTCTGGCGCTTCTTGACATGCTGCTAGCAACCCCAGCTAGAGAAGCCTGGTGGTTGCGGGGAGGGGGTGGGCATCTCTTGGCTTCTGGAGCAGGCCGATCTGAGTTTGAATTCTGGCAGCACTGCTTCCCAGCAGCGTAACCTTCAGCAGATTGCATCAGCCAGGTGACAGACTCTCTGTTAGAGAGAGCGGGCAGAACACAAAAATAAATAAGACATGATTCCTGCCCTGGGGAGCTCACATTGCTGGTGGGGACGTAGCTGTGTACAAAGATAATGACAGTGCCAGGTGGTAAGTGCTATGGAGAAGGGTGTGTAATGGCCCTGGAGAATGGGAGAGAGCCTGCTTGATCTCAATGAGAAAGGTATGTTCATAGGCAGAGTAGAAGAGAGAGCATTGGAGCTGAGAGAACAGCCAGGTGAAGGTGGGCAGGGAGAGAAAGTGTTCTTGCGTGGTGTGAGCATAGGGGGACAGAGATGGAGTTGAAGCTGGAAAGGAAGGCTGAGGCCAGATGGTGACAGGTTTGGGATGCCATGGCAAAGAGTAATTTTGGATTTTATCTTTTGGAGAGTGAGGACCCAGGAGACATTGGTAAGCAAGAGAGTAACACAGTAGGGCTAGGTTTTAAGAAAATAGCTTTGGCGGCCAGGCGTGATGGCTCATGCCTGTAATCTCAGCACTTTGGGAGGCCAAGGTGGGCAGATCACTTGAGGTCAGGAGTTCAAGACCAGCCTGGCCAACATGATGAAACCTCGTCTCTACCAAAAATACAAAAAAAAATTAGCTGGGCATGATGGTGTGTGCCTGTAATCCCAGCTACTCAGGAGGCTGAGGCAGGAGAATTGCTTGAACCTTGAACTCAGGAGTCAGAGGTTGCAGTGAGCCGAGATTGTGCTACAGTGCTCCAGCCTGGGCGACAGAGCAAGACTCCATCTTAAAATACCTTTGGTGTTACAGGGAAGCCTGAGTGGGTGAGGGAAAGGCTAAGGCAGGGAATCCAGGTAAGGTCAAATCTCAATCCATTTGCAGCCTCTTTCACTCAGCAGGTGTTTGTTGAACACTTGCTGCGTGCTGTGTTCTCTGCTGGATGCTGATGCTTTCCATGAAAATGCTTTCGGCTTGCCTTTGTTAAGCGGCATGCTGAACTCAGGGGCTTTCTGGGGAGTGCTGAATATTGACCCAGATGCAGACAGCCAAGTGACCAGGCAGACTCTTCTGCTAGAAGATTGCTGTTCCCCGAATCAGCCTCTGGGTCCAGAAGCCAGCACTCTTTATTTCATGCATTACTCATTATTTTGACTGTCCTGGTTGGCTTGGGTTGCAAATAGCCACTTGCCGTGGAGAGCATGAGGCTATCACAAAAACCACACCAGGCACTGCACAGAGACATCTGCTTCTGTTTCCTGAGTAACTGCACAGCAACACAGGGCCAAGTGGGTACCAAGGCACATGCCCTGTGTTATTTTCTAGTTATAACGAAGTACAGTTTCCATGTGGCTGGTGATGAAAGAGTCAGGTCAATTTCAGAAAGAAGAGTGTTTCCGATTATGCAGATCACATCCAAATATTTACCTCATTGCATCGTAGTTTTGGCTGGGCCCTGCTTTTAAAGATCATGGAAATCCATCCGGGCCTCCTTTGCACTGCGTTTAGGGAAGTTCTGTGCTCAGAGCCTCTTTGCTGGCAGTGGGGAGCCCTGGGTACAACCTGGGATTGCCTCTCCCTGTTGTGGTACTTGAAGCGAATCAATAAGTGGCAAGAAATGTAAGTGTGCTTCCAGGAAAAATCAGAGGCTGTTAGCACTGGAAGGGACCTCAGCCCTCATTAAGTCCAACCAGCTCAGTTTACTGATATGGAAACTGAGGTCCCGAGCCACAGACCAGCTGGCCTCAAATCACAAAGAGAGGGACGGCAGACTTGGGACCAGCCTGCAGGGTCCAGTCCAGAGCTTCCCACGAGTCCACCCTTTCCTCTTCTTTCATCTTTCTACATTTCCTGTTTGCTGTTATACCTCTTTTATTAAAAGTATACGGTATTTCCAGTGGAATCTGCTTAGCTTACGTACCATGTGAGGGGCAGTTCTCAGTCCATGAATGTTTCCTTGTCTCGTATGAGAAATTCTGAGTTGGCCTCAACTTGAATGGCAGAAGTAGAAGGGGTGGTTCAAAATGCAGGAAATTTGAGGGTAATAAAATCATGTGGCTAGAGCATTTGGGGGCTAAGGAAGTAGCAGCCTATGAGCTCAGTTTAGCCCTTTTCTTTTTGAGTAGCCCATAGGGGTGTCCAGTGGTCAGTGATTCTCAAACCAGAGGATGCATTCAAATCACTGGGGAGCTTATTTAAAATGCATATTCCTGGGCCTTTCCCCAGAGGTTCTTATTCACTAGGTTTGGTGTAGGAACCAGGAATCTGCATTTCTCAAGTTATACGTCAGGTAGATTGTGTTGCACATTACCCCGTGGCTCTCACCTTGAGAAGCGTAGCACAGCAGCAGGAGAGATAGGGCAGGGGCATGTCCACGTGTTCAGGGTATACACTCAATAACATATACTTGGAGAAGTATGGTGCAGTTTGTGTGTCTGAGATCATTTACTGTGAGAATTCTCCAACTGGGAGGACACAGGTATTGAGAGAAAGCCTTCGGGTAGAGCTGGAAAGTGCAGAACACCAGACTCAGAACTACTTAGCTGCTGGGTGGCTGCATGTCAGTGGTGCTTTCCTCTGCATGGTTCATATTTTCTCTAAAGCGTGGCTGTCTCATTCCTCATTTATCTTGGTTTCCCTGGGCCTCTACCCACTCCTCCTTTATTTTGGTTTTGTGCAAATACATCATTTAACTGTTCCTGAAATGCATTTGTAGAACTCATTTACATAATAATTTCTATTGGGGCAATTCTGATCCAATAATCAAGGCTGAATGTATTGTGCTCCCGTCTTCCATACTGTGAGGTTCTTACACTGATACTGCAGCTGCTGGCATTAACACGAATGCTGAAAGGTAAAATTTGGGGCCTTTTGCAATGTGTCATGTCAGAGTCTAGATAGTTGATCAAGATGTAACATTAAATCATCTGTCTCAGATGATTTATCACCATAGTGATAATACTGAATTTAGATCTGGCTGGAGTCTGGAGATTCTCTTTTTTTTTTTTTTTTTGAGATGGAATTTTGTTTGCTGTTGTCGCCCAGGCTGGAGGACAATGGCACAATCTCAGCTCACTGCAACCTCCTCCTCCTTGCTTGAAATGTAAGGTTTCACTGGTTTCTAATTCTCTTTCTACAAAATAAACCTCCCATCTGTTCTTCATAGAAAACGAGTCACATGCAAAGTCTGAAATTCTAAAGTCTTGTTTCAAGTCGAAAGTCTCCTTCTTCAGGTTCAAGTGATTCTCCTGCCTCAGCCTCCCGAGTAGCTGGGATTACAAGTGTGCACCACCACGCCTGGCTAATTTTTGTATTTTTAGCAGAGACGGGGTTTCACCACGTTGGCCAGGCTAGTCTTGAACTCCCAACCTCAGGTGATCCGCCCACCTCGGCCTCCCAAAGTGCTGGGATTACAGGCATGAGCCACCGCGCCCGGCCACGTTTGGAGATTCTCTATGAAGTGGTCCCACCTCCCCGAGCTCCTGCACAGGCCCCAGGTTGTCCTAGCTGAGCAGCCAGCTATATGTTCCTGCTTTCATTTGCTCTCAGGTTCCCAAAACTTTGTTCTCAGGGCTCAAACTCCAAGGTGTATTTTTGAAACGTTTGCTTTAGAGTGTTGACTTGGTTATGTGGCTAAAACTAAACCTACTTTTTCCAGTCTCTCTTAGAATGAGACTTTAGAATTTCAGACTTTGCATGTGACTCGTTTTCTATGAAGAACAGATGGGAGGTTTATTTTGTAGAAAGAGAATTAGAAACCAGTGAAACCTTACATGATTTCACATTAGTACAGAAACCAAATCCATTGAAAACATTGAGAGCTGTTCTGGTTATGAATTTACTGGTGGCGATGAGAAATTTCCAGGGTTTTCTGTGACAAGACTATCACCAACTCTTAGTTCACTCTGTGCCTCCCACTCTCCACAATCTGCTCCAAATCTTTCTCCATTTAATCTATTTATTTTTATTTATTGAGCAAGCAATATTGTAACCATGACTGAAATTTTTTAAATTACGAGAAAACTTATCCTGGGTCCAGCTTCAGTAACAGATCGTATGTTTTCATTTTTCCATGTCACCTTCCAGGCTCTGTTCCTATGCTACAGAATCTTTACATTATTATAATCATGGTGTCGTTATAAGTTTATATTTGACATTTTTCAATTAATATTGTATTACAAGACTATTTCCATATTGCTCTGTATTATTCATGATTATGATGTTTCATGGACTCATTTGACCCTCATTTATTTGACCATCCTTATATTTTGGTCATTTATGTTCATTTCCCTTAAAAAGGCTATGATGAAATAAACCCCATCCACAATTGCTCTGATAATTACCTCTCCTGTTCTTCTCAAAGCTCGCCTGCTGTCTCTCCTGTGAGCCTCTGATTCACTTGGCCCCATCATGTTTCATGGAGACCATGGTTCTGTAGTTACTCTGGCTGTGGTCAATTACTGCCGCTAAATGACTCTTTCTGCCCTGGGCTCGCTTAATCATGAGGCTTCTGCCAAGTCCAGACCACCTCCCTCTTCCAGCCTTTGCTCGTTCCAGGAGCTGCTTTCTGTCCTCCAAGTCCTGTGCCAAAGGCAGACCCAGTTCATTTCACATTATCTTGATTACCACATTTTATGCATATATTGTAATATTTGCAATCATTTAGATCAGGGATCTTCAAACCCTGGGCTGTGGACCAGTACTGGGCCGCAGCCTGTTAGGAACCCAGCCGCACAGCAGGAGGTGAGCGGCGGGTCAGCGGGCATTACCATCTGAGCTCCACCTCCTGTCAGATGGGCAGCGGCATTAGATTCTCATAGGAGCGTGAACCCTATTGTGAACTGTGCATGTGAGGGATCTAGGTTGTACGCTCCTTATGAGAATCTAATGTCTGATGATTTGAGATGGAACAGTTTCATCCTGAAACCATCTCTACCCCCGCCACCACCACATCTGTGGAAAAATTGTCTTTCATGGAACTGGTTCCTGGTGCCAAAAAGGTTGGGGACCACTGATTTAGATATCATTTAGGGTTCTTTACTGCAAGCAACAGAAACTAACATAAGCGATAAGGAATTTACAATAACGAGTCTAGGAAGCAGGTGGGAAGTGAGGCACATCAGAGAGCAATTGCACATGATTGGTCTCAGCATAAACAGCAAGTTCAAAGGAGCTGCTGCTGGAGCCAAGGACTCAAAGCCATTTGGTCTGCTGGTCAATTTGCTGGAAATTCAAATTCCAGGGAGGAAGTGTCCATTGATCCACATTGCCTACCTTGGCTTTAGCTGGCAGGGCCCCTGAATACATTTCCACCACACTTAATCCAATGTGGAGAGGTGACTACAGACCTAAGGAAAGGGGAATGCTGCCCCATATATACACCTTCCTATGGATATATATTTATGCAAATGTCCCTGCCTAACATTAACCAACACTTCCATAGAGCCGATCTCAAAATGTGGTCAGTTAGGGCATCCAGCTCCAAATCCAAAGTCTTTGGCAGGGGTTTCAGTTTCCCTCTAACACTGTCACAGTCTCTTGCACAGCCCAAGTTGAGTTAAATGGGAAGGGGACTACACTGCTTCTCTAACTTCTCTAGGTGCTGTTTCTTTTTCTTTTTTTCTCTTTTCTTTTCTTTTTTATTTTTTTTTATTTTGAGATGGAGTCTTTCTCTGTCGCCCAGGCTGGAGTGCAGTGGTGAAATCTTGGCTCACAGCAGTCTCTGCCCCCTGGGCTCAAGTGATAATCCTGCCTCACCCTCCTGAGTAGCTGGGATTACAGGCACCCACTACCATGCCCAGCTAATTTTTGTATTTTTAGTAGAGACGGGGTTTCACCATGTTGGCCAGGCTGGTCACGAACGCCTGACCTCAAATTATCCACCCACCTCAGCCTCCCAAAGTACTGGGAGTACAGATATGAGCCACCGTGCCAGGCTCTGGATGTCGTTTCTGTTTCCTGCTCCCTGGCTCATGGCCCATCATGACTATTTAGAGAGGCACCATAATATCAAGCAGTAGTTTTTAAATGAGGAGGGGGATATCAGGTTTGGAGGATTTCATCCAAAATACATGGCCCCCTTAACCCTAGCCTCACCCCATGCAGGGCAGGTCATAATCTCTTGGGGGAAGGGTCACGGCATGGCATGTGTGCTTTGAACAAGCTCCTCTTCTAATTCTGTTATGTTACCCTGACACCCACCTCACCCCCATCCTTTAAAACCTCCAGTGAAGCGGAGAGAGCACTGATTTGATTCTTGGGTTGGACCTGTGTCTTACACATTATAAAGCTTCTGAATGGTAGTGTACATTCTCCCAGTGAAGGGACAAAGTGGAGATTTCCTCTGTCCCTGCTGGGGGACATGTTAGATGCCTTACCTAGCCATTTCATTTCATCTACCAAGTAATACTAGCAGATTCGCATTCTTTTATCTCACATATATTTTTAAAGCCCACATCATCCACTAGACCACACGGACACTCTGAACCTCAGTGACTACATCTGCAAAATGGAAATATACATCCTTGAAATGAATCTTGTGAGTATCAGAGAGTTTGTGTTAAAGTAGTTAGGGCAGATAAGGGGTATTTTTGCTCTTCCACTGGGCTTCTTCTGTCTGTAATCCTCCAGCATATCTCTTCCCTTCCCTCAGTGGCAGACCTTACCTCTTTCATAGAAGGCTGAAGCCATCCAATGTTAACTTCATCTTCCACTCCTTTCCTTACACCAACATGTCGTTTTCCATAATGGAAGATCTCTTTTGTTTGTTTTGTTTTTCTGATCATTTAAATAACTTTACCCTAGATTTTCTTAGGACCCAGCAGTCTATGGGTGATATGGTTGTGTCCCCACCCAAACCTCATCTTGAACTGTATGTAGGTCCCACAATTCCCATGTGTTGTGGGAGGGACCTGGTGGGAGGCAACTGAATCATGGGGGCGGGTCTTTCCTGTGCTATTCTTATGATAGTGAGTAAATTTCACGAGAGCTGATGATTTTATAAAGGGGAGTTTCCCTGTACAATTTTCTTCTCTTGTCTTCTCTTCTCTTGTTCTTCTCTCTTGAGATGTGCCTTTCACCTTCCACCATGATTGTGGAACTGTGAATCCAGTAAAACTGTTTCTTTTGTAAACTGCCCAGTCTTGGGTATGTCTTTATTATCAGCATGAAAACGGATTAATACATTGGGTATAAAGTCATTTAAACGCTATCACTCCAATTTTTGTGACCTTCTGTTCACATGTACACAGTGCAGAATCTTAGCTACCCCTAAGGTCACTCTAATCGTTGCTGGAAATCACAGGAGGTATCCTGGGTGCTCATGAACTGTTACGAATTTTTTGAACTCTAGAAATAAACTCTAAGCCTCAGTTTTTCATCTGTAAAGGGAGGTGATGATAGTTTCTTTAGGTGGGTGTTTTGAGGATTAATTAGATAATATATATAAAGTAATTAGCCTTCGGTTGGCCTGTATTCTGTTACTAAATAAATAGTTGTTATTGGTGTCACTGTTAAACACCTGCTAATAGGCCTTGCCAGCTGCTGCAAGGTGTGGATGTGATCCCCAGGGCAACTGGCTAGTATAGGAAGTTGGTGAGGGGTGGGTGATGAGGACACACTGCATTCTGCCTTATTTTTCTTGCTGCTTTGTTTGGTGGGAAAAGATTTTCTAGTTGGGCTCTGTTAGTTGCCAAGGTCAGAAAACTACTCATATTAGATTGAATCATATGAAAGTATTAATCATATGAAATTGTATTTTTATAGATCAAAGATGGTCAAATATCAGTGATTTTTTAATGTTTCAACTGAACACTTAAAGAGTGATATCAACAAATAGGTTTATTCTCTTACACTGTCCTATAGTTTTGTTTTTTCACTAATTAATATAGTGAAAAAATATATGGAGAGCTGTTCCTTTTAACAGATATGAATCTACCTCATCCTACCAGATAAATTACATTCCATTGTTTGGATAGATTTCATTCTAACTGGGCTCCTATTCATGAACATTTAGGTTGCTTCCTTTTTTTACTGTTGTTCTTACAAAATATGATGCAATATGTGTCTTTATGTATATATATATAACTTTATATAGTATTTTTGAGTATATCTGTAAGATGAACTACTAAAAGTAGAGCTGCTGGTGAAAGAGTATGTGCATTGGAAATTGTGATAGGTATTGCAAAGTTCTCTCCCAAGAAGTTGCCCAAATTTAGATTCTAATCAGCAGTGAACATTCTTGCCATATCAGTATTGTCAAACTTTATAATATTCGGCAGTCTAATGGGTTTTAAATAGAATTTTGGTGCTTTATTTTGCATTATTTTCATTATATGTGATGTTAAACAATTTTCATATGTTATTTATTTTCCTGTTGTATATTAGCTTGAGCAGCTATAATAAACCATAGACTGGGTGCTTAAGCAACAGGAATTTATTTCTCATAGTTCTGGAGGCTGGGAAGTCCAAGATCAAGGTGTTGAGCGATTTAGTTTCCTGGTGAGGGTTCTCTTCCTGGCTTGCAGAGAGCTGCCTTCTCCCTGTGTTCTCATATGGTGGGGTGGGGAGTGGGGCTAAGAGAGAGAGGGAGAAAACTGGTTTCTCTTCCTTACTCTGGTCTCTCTTCTGCTTATAAGGACATAAATCCTATCATGGGGGCCTCACCCTCATGACCTCATCTAAACCTAGTTACCTCCCAAAGGCCCCACCTCCAAATACAATCATACTGAGGATTTGGGCTTCAATATATGAATGGTGGGGAGGGACAGGTTCAGTCCACAACACCTGTGAACCACCTGTTCATACCCTTAGATCCTGTCTCCACTGGGTTGTCTGTTTCTTATTGATTTGTTAGAATTATTTATAAATGAAGAAAACCAGCAGTTTAGGGTGCATTTTAGAACAGGTTTTCTGCTTTGGTCTTCACATGTCAGTATGTATTGGGGACGGAGCAGCACGCTGGCAGGTTATAAAGCTTCGAGGTTCAATTATTTTTGTCTCTTACCATGATTTATTATTTGGTTTTGCTGCCTGTCACTAACAGAGGTCCTGTTAGTTCGTCCTAATTTTAGGAATATTATGTCTCAAAACACTTGAAAGTTGTCCCATCTTGCATCTTGCCTTACAGAAAACTCCTTGACTATCAGAACAGAAGAAGGGGAGAGGGTTGTCAGGAGGATCAGGAAGGAGTGGAGGGAGGCTGGGTGGTCAATGCAACTAGCAGGCTAACATCTCAAGCCCTCATCCCCTCATTTTTTCTTTGATTGGCTTTTTCTTCCTTTCTCTTTCTGTTTCTACTCCTTCGTTCCTTTCTGTTTTTCTGTGTTTTTGTTTGTTTGTTTGTTTCTGGCTACATACTATAAAAATGCAATTCTGGAGCATGTGGTTAGTTTCTCACCATGGGGACTCAGATGGAATTTCAAGTCACTCACCATAATTCGACTATAAATTAGAGAATTATTATGAATAGAATAGGACGGAATGTGGCTTCATGTTTTCTTCCCCCAGGGACCTGCCCAATTTGGCAATAGGAACTAAATTAAGGGTGAGATTAGTTCTAGGAAGTGGATTTTGAGTATAGCTGTATGTCTAATCCAAGTATTATAGGCAGTGTCTTAGTTATCTGTGTTAATGAGAGATCAGGAGGCGGTGGATAACTGAAATCTCCAAATGTGCCAGAAACATATTTCTGCCTTTGTTCGTTTATCCCAATGATCCTTCCACCAGGACAATTGTCGAAGTGGTTTTATTTCTTCTCATTTTAACCTTCTGTTTTCTAGCAACAATGTAGGCAGGGAGGCCACATGCTGCAGGGAGAAAAATGAATTTAGACCAGAAGTCGGGAGACAATTTTAGTCCTGTCTGTGCCCTGCACTAGCCTGAGACGGAGGACAAGACATAAAGTCTCCTAGGTTCTCAGTTTCTTCCCTCTAAAAGGAGCCATATAACATCAACCTCTCTGGGTGGCTGGGGGAGCTGAGGGGCCCTGGAAAGTGTTAACTGGCGCTAGTGCTGCCTGTGTCACAGAGCCGGGCCATTTACACATGTGCCATCTGGGCAGCATGGGACACAGAGGAGGAGTGTGGCCCGTGCCTGCCCATTTTCCTTCCTTGTTCTCCAAGTATGAGCACACTCCATTATTTTCCTAGGGCTGCCATAATGAATTACCACAAACTGGATTGCTTAAAACAACAGACATTTACTCTCTTGAAATTCTGAAGATCAGCAGTTCAAAATCTGTGTCACTAGGGCCACGCTCCTTCCAAAGTTACTAAGGGGAGAATCCTTCCTTGCCTCTTCCAGCTTCTGGTGGCTCCAGGAATTCCTTGGCTTGTGGCTACACCACCCCAATCTCTGCTTCAGGGGTCACATTGCCTTTGTCTCTGTGTCCGTGTCTTCTCTTCCATGTCTTATAAGGGCACTTGTCATTGGATTTAGGGTCCACCTGGCTTACCTAGGATGATCTCTTCTTGAGATGAGCTATGTAATCTGGCACCGAGCAGGTGCCTGAACAATTACAGTTATGACTGTGACTCCCGTTTCCTCTTCTGAGGTCTTTTCAATTCTCCCCGCCTTCACCCTGCCCAGCCAGGACAGCCAGTCCCTTCCAAAAGCCTCCCACAATCTTGTACTGGCTGCATAGAGCTCATCTGCTGCTGGGTCTAAGCACTTGTGTGGACCTGTGATGTGTTTTCCCTTGTCTTCTGGGCCTGGCTCAGCACTGGCATACAGCTGGTGCTCAGAGCATGTCTTCATAATGAATAAACTACAGTGTGCTTGCTCTTGGCATGGAGCCTGGCACAGTAGGTCTCTGAAATGACCAGTTAAATGAGGGTATAGATCACTCTTTGGATAGAGCTTTTGAACCTTCTGACATTTTTCACCTCTTCCAAGTCACCATGGCAGCAGGGACATTATTATCATTACTAACAAATATTTGTTTAGTGCCAAGCTCTCTGCTATGCACATGGATGGCCTAACCTAAATCCCCTTACAGCTTACAAGGTAGGTACTGGTACTATCCATCTTTAAAGCACAGTGAGCCTCAGAGAAATTCAGAAACTTCCCAGTCACACTGCTATTGAGAGGTGAAGCCAGGGGGACTTCCTAGGTCGAGTGGGGACTTGGAGAACTTTTCTGTCTAGCTAGAAGATTGTAAACGCCCCAATCAGGGCTCTGTGTCTAGCTAAAGGATTGTAAATGCACCAATCAGCACTCTGTAAAAACACACCAATCAGCACTCTGTGTATAGCTAGAGGATTGTATATGCACCAATCAGCACTCTGTAAAATGGACCGATCAGCACTCTGTAAAATGGACCAATCAGCAGGATGTGGGCGGGGACAAATAAGGGACTAAAAGCTGGCGACCCGCCCCACTCCCTCCAGTCCCTCCAGTCCCTCCCAGCCAGCAGCCGCAACTTGCTGAGGTATCTTTGTATGCTGTGGAAGCTTTGTTCTTTTGCTCGTCATAGTAATTCTTGCTGTTGCTCACTGTTTGAGTCAGTGCTACCTTTGTGAGCTGTAACACTCAACAGCGAAGGTCTGCGGCTTCATTCTTGAAGTCAGCAAGACAACGAACCCACTGGAAGGAAGAAACTCCGTGACACCACCTTTAAGAGCTATAACGCTCACTGTGAAGGTCCGCAGCTTCATTCTTGAAGTCAGTGGGACCACGAACCCACCGGAAGGAACAAACTCCGGACACACTAGGAAGTGGTGGCAGGGGTGTAATCATAGGCAGTCTGGCTCTAAAGCGGTGGCCTCTCAACCACAGTGTCCATCCAGTTCCTTGCCTTTCCGGCAGGGTGACACAAGGCATGTCTTCCTTGCAGTTTATGGGAAGTCCAGTCCCTCTGGCGGGAATCCGGAAGACCGAGTTGGAGGTTAAAGGGGACTCCTGAAACCGCGTGAGCCCTCCAAGGCCATGACACCCAAAGCCAGGGCCGCATTATGACTTTCGCGGGGCCTAGGCATTTTTGCCTTCGCGGGGCCCTCTTTCCTCCAAAAACCGACTCTAAGCCAGGCTGGATTGTATTAATACTTATCTTTGAAACAGACTGTGCCTACTTGTGCCTGATGGATAAGTCGACCCTGCTCAAAGCTTTTCGGGTGAAGAGAGGAGCGGTGTTCTGGTCCCCTAACCTGCCTCTGTCTCCGCAGGTCCCGCAGCGGATGGCGGCGGAGGGCGCCCCCGAGGACGACGGCGGCGGCGGCGCCCCGGGAGTGTGGGGCGCCTGGGGCCCCTGGTCGGCCTGCTCGCGTAGCTGCAGCGGCGGCGTGATGGAGCAGACGCGGCCCTGCCTGCCCCGCTCCTACCGCCTGCGCGGCGGCCAGCGGCCTGGCGCCCCTGCGCGCGCCTTCGCGGACCACGTGGTGTCGGCGGTGCGCACGTCGGTGCCACTGCACCGGAGCCGCGACGAGACGCCAGCGCTGGCCGGTACGGACGCCAGCCGCCAGGGCCCCACGGTGCTGCGAGGCAGCCGGCACCCACAGCCCCAGGGCCTCGAAGTCACTGGGGACAGAAGGTACACGCCCGCCCTTGTCTGTGCCGCTCCCCGTCCCTGTCCCAGTATCTGCCCCTGTCCCTGCCCCTGCCTCGCACGCTGCTCTGCACCACAGACAGTGCGACTAATGCATTGCTCTGCCAGGTGGCAAGGAGCTCTGGGCTCCACGAAGCTCCTTTCACCTTTTGATTTATTTTGCAGCCTTGTAAAGTGTTGAGGCCACTCCCACCTCACTCTGTGGTTCTGAATAATCTTCAAAGCCAGGCTAATTCTGAGAATGCCCTTAGGAAGAATTTTAGGGAGGCCTCCTAGAGGGGTGAAAGCAGGAGGGGAGTGCTGTCCGGGTGCCGGGAAGGAGAGATCCTCAGCCTGTGTGGATTAAAGCTGAGGACACAAGACGAGAAGAAGTGTGTCTAACCGGAAAGCTGATATGAGTTGCCAATCCTAGGATAAGTTGAATGTTTGGAGCCTTAGAATGCTCCCAAGCTGTAGGCTTCCAGATTCTGTGAACTTTTCTAGTAAGTTTCTCCGAAGTTTTTTGAGTCAACACATTGGTTTGAGGATATGTCTAAGGACCTAAACTGTTTCAGAGTCATAAAATGTAAACTCTAGAAATGGCATAGTGTCATCAGAATAGTGGTATAGCTCTAAGAAGCATAAATATGCCAAAGTAGGCATTGCGGTGCTGAGAAGAGCTTGTCAGTGAGTGAAGCAATAGATACTAACAGATCACTGCATTCATCCGGCAGTATTTGTTGGGTGTCTTAGTGCCTAGGTTCCTGATAGATCCTGGGAGAATACTAATGCAAAAACAGTAACAAAAAACAAATATGGACAAGAACAAAAAGTGTAAGATGTGCTCTCTTTGCTTAAGAAATGCGTAATTCATTTGTCAAGCCCTGTTAATGCCCAGCAGGCAGGGCCTGAGCTTATCAGGTGGGCTGCCTTGCCCCCTTGCCCACTCACAGTTCAGCATCAGTCTCCATGGCCACCCTTTGCCACGGTGGCCACTTGCTGCATGAGAGTCTGTCTTAGCTCAGTGATGGAAGCTGTCACTGCCAGCCGCCTGAAGGTGGAAAGGAGATGCGACACATCCAGCCTCCCCAGCCACATGCTCTTTACCTGGTGCAGTAGGGGTTTGGAGAGAGAGAGGACCATTTCGGGAAGAAGGGTTCTTCAGCTGAATTCTGAAGGATGAGTCAAGTTTGAGTAGACAGAAGAGAGGAGTGAAGAACAGTGAGTTCCAAGACTGAGCATGGAGGGGGAAGGAGAGAGGCAGCCCCAAAGGAATGCTTCCTTCTCTCTCTCTTTCTACATGGGAACCTGAGCACCCTCTAGGACGGTCTGCTCCTAAAGCCGAAGGCTAGATGTACGTTGTCTCTTTTGATCCCAGCCACAATGCCGTAATAGCATAGCTCCATAGTCCCTTATTTTTTTGAGACAGAGTCTCACGCTGTCACCCAGGTTGGAGTGCAGTGGCACCATCTGGGCTCACTGCAGCCTCCAACTCCGGGTTCAAGCTATTCTCATGCCTCAGCCTCCCGAGCAGCTGGGATTACAGGCATGCACCACCATACCCAGCTAATTTTTGTATCTTTAGTAGAGGTGGGGTTTCGCCATGTTGGCCAGGCTGGTCTTGAACTCCTGACCTCAAGTGATCTGCCCACCTCGGTCTCCCAAAGTGCTGGGATTATAGGCATGAGCCACTGCGCCTGGCCCATAGTCCCTTATCTGAAATGCATATGGCCAATATGTTTTGGAATTCAGAACTGCCCAGATTTTAGAAAGGTAATTCAGACATATTTCACATGTTAATAGCATTTCTTCCGTCGTATGGGACAGCATCCCATAATCAAACACATTATTATTTCTGCAATGAAACATATGGATGTTCTCACCAAGCAGGATACAACAAAAAGATCATAAGTAGCCTGATATCGGTTAAGATCAGGTTTGAGGCCAGGTGCGTTGGCTCACTCCTGTAATCCTAGTACTTTGGGAGGCCAAGGCAGGCAGATCACGAGGTCAGGAGATCGAGACCATCCTGGCTAAACGTGGTGAAACCCCATCTGTACTAAAAATACACACACAAAAATTAGCCAGACGTGGTGGCGGGTGCCTGTATTCCCAGCTACTCGGGAGGCTGAGGCAGGAGAATGGCGTGAACCCGGGAGGCAGAGCTTGCAGTGAGCCGAGATCGCACCACTGTACTCCAGCCTGGGCAACAGAGAGAGACTCCGTCTCAAAAAAAAAAAAAAGATCAGGTTTGTTGGCCAATGAGTTTTGTCACCAAACTGACAAAAGCCTGAAAAGGAAAGACAAATCTTGATTTTCAAAACTCTTAATTTTAGAATTGCAAATTTATAATAGCTAAGGTTTATTAAATATCCATCCTGTACCAGGCACTGTTCTTTTTTTTTTTTTTTGAGATGTAGTCTGGCTCTGTTGCCCAGGCTAGAGTGCAGTGGTACCATCTCAGTTCACTGCAACCTCCACCTCCTGGGTTCAAATGATTCCTGTGCCTCAGCCTCCCTAGTAGCTGGGACTGCAGGCATGTACCACCACGCCTAGCTAATTTTTGTATTTTTAGTGGAGATGAGGTTTCACCTTGTTGGCCAGGCTGGCCTCGAACTCCTGCCCGCTTCGGCCTCCCAAAGTGTTGGGATTACAGGCATGAGTCACCGTGCGTGGCCTCCCCAGGCACTGTTCTTATCACTTTACACTCATGGTCCTATAAGAGAGTTGCTAATAGCATCTTCATTTTAGAGGTAAGGAAATAGAGTCAGGCTTGAAACCCAGGCCATCGTGGCTCTAAGGACGTGACCTGATGAAGTAGATGTTACACCTGAGGAATCAGAGGACCTAGAGCCAGTGGACAAGCTGAGTTTTGAAGGCGGTGCTGCTCACCCCCAGATCCCTGCAGTACTCATCCTCCTGCGGGTGCCAACTGAAGGGATGGAGGGCTGGATTTGGGTGAGGTCTGAGTGGGAAAGAGGCTTCTTGAAAGCCTCTGTGGTGGAGAACCTAGAAGAGCTGCCTGAGGATCAGGCTCTTGTTGGCCACAGGCCTGTGCTGCAGGCATTGTGCCTGTGTGTTTTGGCAGCAGGAAATTTTTTTCTTCAAATGTATTGACGGGGGCCAGTTAAACTGTTTACTATGAAGTTCCTGCAAGTTTTTATCATGCTCTTGTGATTTGACAGTTACTGATGAAATAATCCAAATATTAGCCTAGGAGGCCTGTGCTGCCTACATATGTCATGCTCCTCCCGGCTGATGAAAATCACATTTGCTTATATTCATCAGTCATTAGGTACTTGCATAGTATATTTGACCCCAAGGAGAAATGTCAGCATATTTTCAGGATGGCTGTCCGCTCCACTCTCTGTTTCAGGTTTGAAGTTTGAGGAAAAGGCTGTTGGAGTTTAGATGTTTAAAAAATTGTTAGGTTGCTCTGCTAGGCAACAGGAAACTTCATTGGAGTCAGATAACAAATGAAGCTATTCAACCTTCCACCAGATATTTATTAAACATCTACTATGTTGTAAGGCCCTGGGACATACACAAAGGTGAATAAAAGCCAGGTTTTGGGACCTCATGGCTCTTACTGACAGGCTAGAGCAGTTGTTTGCAAAATTACCATTTTTTTTTTAAGCAGAAGAATCCGTTCTGCAAAATCAATCTTAGATGGAGGCTCAGTTTATGTAATAACACACGTAAAATCTGAGTTGCTCTGGTTGAAGCCTCAGAGGTATTGCTATAGAAACCTGGGGTCAAGATCCAATGGAACAGTGGTTTTCAACCTTGACTGACTGTTAGAATTTTTTTTCCCATCTTTTAGAAACCCTGACACCCACGTCACACTCCAAACCAGCATCGGAATCTCTAGGGGCCACCCTCAGATGTTGGTCTGATTCCAATCCAGCCAAGTTTGGGAAGCACTGGTCTGGATGAAGCTCTTTGGAGACTCAAGTTTCCATGGAAAAGATTTTGGGAATCAAATATTGTCTAGCAGAATTTTCCAAGTTTGGTGAGCACGTATCAGAATCACTTGCCGTGGAGTGGGTGGCTTGTTAAAAAGAGAGTTGCCAAGTCCCCACCATCTCCCATGCCTAATGGGGATTCTGATTTGTAGGTCAGTTATATGTTCTACGTTTCTTCATTTTAAATGCTTCTGATATACCCTAGAGTTTGAGAACCACTCCTCTAGAGGGTTGGAAAAGATGCACATGTAAATGCCTTCAATATAAGGCAGTCTGATGAGATAGTAGTGACAATGGCTCCCATGTTGAAGCACGTCTCCTGTGCAGGCATTCTTTCAAATGCATGACAACATTTACAGTTACACAACCCTGTGAGGCAGAAACTATTATTCACATTTTATAAACAATGAAACCGAGGCTGGGAGGAATGAAGTGACTTGCTCAAGATTACCACTTGAGAAGCAACAGCACTAGAATTCAAAAGAGGTCTGCCAGAGTCTGACACTAAAGTTCTTTTCACTGAAATGGGTATTCTGAAAATGAAGCTGCTGACTTCCAGCTGGTGTGTTCAGAAAAGCTGTGTGGAGGTTGGGCTGTCTGAGCTGTGTCTTGACAAATGGATGGGATTTAATAGTGAAGGCTTAAAATGAGCTGCATCTCTTCCTTTCAATGTTCAGCTCCTTTAACCAGGGTAATCTTCTTTGCATCTAATCCTAGGCATCACGTGAGTTCAAAAAAAAAATTAGAAGTCACAGTCTCTATTCTTGGGGGCCTTACACTTTGGTGGTGGAGAAGGGCAAACCCAAAAAACACTGCCCACTCTGGGAGATGGTAGAGATACGACCAGGGTTCAGGAAGAAGGAATCCTTGTGGAATGGAACAGTCAGGGAAGACTGCACAGAGCAGGTAGGATTTGATGAATAAATAGAATTTACTTAGCTGGAATATATCTGGAAACTTCTTGAGTCCACTTGCTTCCATATCAGGCCTTTGTCTCATTAAAACAAGCACATACGTAGTATAAATCCTACTCTAAAAGCCTCAAAAATAACGTCAATCTTCATTGGAGCTCTCCCAAGGATTCCGAGCTTAGGACAATTAAACTTCTCTGAGCCTCAGGGGCTTCATCTTTCAAATGAGAGTAATAATAATACCTATCATGTGGGGTTGTTGAATAATTCAATGAAATAATACATTCATATTGCCTGGCCCATAGTGGACACTCATTAAATACATTCATATTGCCTGGCCCATAGTGGATGCTCAAAGTGAACGCTGTAACTCCCATTATGGGTCTAAAGGCTGGTATTAGATAGTGTGTTAGAGAGAGTACCAGTTAGAACTCAAGTGCAGCAGAAGGGATCAGGTGAACTAGGGCCACTCAGGAAGACAGGGAGCCAGGAACTGAGCTCCCGTCCAGATGGGTGGGACTCTGGGAAGCATAGACTGGGTGCAGCCAAGACCCTAGTGTCTGTGCTCCCTGCTCTCTGCCCCTTCTTAGTGTGGCTTGCTCAGAAAAATCCTCCACAAAGGGTGGCATTCTCCTGTGATTTAGTGAGGGCAATGGCAGCCTGGGGAGGTTCCAGGCTAGGGGGTTCATCCTTCAGGTCTTGGCCAACAGATTCCATAATGGCACTCAACCAAGTCATCTTTCACTCCAGGCCCAAGGCTGTGTCCCCGTGATGGCTAAAGGGGAAGGGGCGAGTAGGGAAGAAAGGTGTTTAGGTGAGTCCTGCAAAGCATGCCGCATTGTAGCAACTCACACTTGTGAAACTGAAGAGACTCCTTGGTAGGGGAGACTTCCCCCTCAGTTTCTGGAAATGGGTACCTGTAGACTAGAGGGTGCTGGAAGGAGCCCCTGTTACTATAGGACTCCCCTTCAACTTTTCTTCCTCCAATTATTTTATTGTGTTAAAATACACATAACATAAAATTGACCATCTTAACTATTTTTAAGCATATGGTTCAGTGACACTGAGTATATTCATACTGTTACGCTACCATCACCACCATCCATTCACAGAACTCTTTTTATCTTTCAAAACTGAAACTGTACCCATGAAACAATAACTTCACATTCCTTCCTTCCCCCACCGCAGCCCTTAGCCAACCACCATTCTACTTTCTTCCTCTATGATTTTGACTACTCTTAAGTATCTCATGTAAATTGAATGATACAGTATTTGTCGTTTTTGTGACTGGCTTATTTCACTCAACATAATGTCCTCAAGGTTTATTCCATATTGTAGCATATTCCTTTTTAGGGCTGAATAGTATTCCATTGCATGTATAGACCACATTTTGCTTATCCTTTCATCCATCAGTGGACATTTAGGTTGCTTCCACATTTTAGGAATTGTGAATAACACTGCTATGAACATGGGTGTTTTCAGTTCTTTTGGGTGGAAATTGGGAAGTGGAATTTCTGGATCATAGGGTAATCATATTTTTAGATTTTTGAAGAACTGCCATACTGTTTTCTATAGCAGCTGTACTATTTTACCTTCCCACAACAGTGCACGAGGATTCCGTCCTCACCAACACTTGTTATTTTCTGTTTTTTTTTGATAGTGCCCATCCTAATGGGTGTGGGGTGGTATCTCATTGTAGTTTGGTTTGCATTTCCCTAATGATCAGTGATGTTGAACATTTTTTTATGTGCTTAATGGCTGTTTATGTATCTTCTTTGGAAAAATGCCTGTTGGAAAAAAAGTCCTTTGAAGACCTTCCCTTTTATAACTCTGAAAGCAGGGTGGATTTCTTCCCATTCCCAAAATGTCTGGGGAAAATGGCATCCAGAAAGACTCCCTGTGGCCCAGAACCCAAGTACACAACCTAACAGAAATGTGTTGTAAATGTCTGTTGGTCAGTTTCACCCAGCTTCCACAAAGACAGGGTATGAGAGCAGTGCCCTCTCTTATTTGAGGACTTCAGGTGATTTTTTTCACCACTCTCATGCTAAAGGGCCCGATATCAGGCAAGCTTTCCTTCCCACTGGACTTCCTTACATTTGCCTACATTAGCCAGCTTTTCTGGTCATTCATCACACTCATTAACCAGCTGGAATCTGGGGAATGGGATATTTGATGGCTTTAATTCAGATTTTCAAGTATGAATTTGAGCCAAGCAGTGCCAGGTTGACAACTTTCTTCTCCTGGAGACAGCTGTGGGTGGCTGGGATATGAAAGCCTCAACTATGAAAATCATGACCCTGTTCCCACTGAGGGGAGTGTGTCATATTCCTCAGGTGTTTGGGGGTGAAAGAGGTTGAGGAGGGTGGGCTTCCCAGAACTTCCCAGAGCAGTTTCCTATAGACGTTTTTCTGTGGAGCTGATTTCCTGTTGGGAAGGAGTCTGGTCGGGTGAGGAAAACTCTTGCCCAGGCGTGCAGACCCACACTTCAAGAGCAGTTTGTGGCCAGCTCTCAATGACTGGGGCTTTGAAATACAGTGCTTTATTAGAATCTAGAAGAACAGGAGCTACACACCCTGAAAGGCTGTAAACTACAGGATAGTTATGAGTGCAGCTTCTGGGATTGACAGGTTTGGATGCTCCATCTGACCCTGCCACTTGCTGGCTGTGTATCCTGCCGATGTTACTTAACTTTTCCCTGGTGGGAATAATAATACACCTACCTCACTGAGTTGCTGTGAGTTGGATAACTCACACCACATGCTTAGCACAGTATCTCCTGAGTGCTCAGTAAAGGCGTCTCAATGCCTTCCACCTGCCAGACACACTGGCAGTTGTTTTGACCTGCAGCATTTTATCGTGTCTTCATTACAACCTGTGTGACAGATGCGTGGTGTTCTCATTTATGGATGCCAAACTCAAGGGTCAGGGAGTAAATATCTCCTTCAAGGTCACGCAGAAGGCAAGCAAGAGAGCACAAGCCTGTGCGACATCATGCTCCTTTCAGACCTGCTTTTCTAGAAAGCCCTTTTCAAAGTGAAAGGTAACACTCATTAATTTAGCTAAGTTTGATAAACTAACACCTCTTTGAGATGGAAAATGAAATATTTCTCTAATATTTATCCCAAAGCTTTTAGTGTTACATAGGAATACTGAAACTGGCTCTACTGTGAACTCCAGAAGCCCAGAGGAAACACTACCCGCTGTCATTAGAAGTTGGCCCTGCAAAGTCTTCATTCACATACTTATTTGCTGTTAAGGCTGCCTCTGGATCTCAGGGCTTAATAGACATTGCCTTGTTTAAAGTTTTGTTGTCATTTGAATTCAGCCAATATTCTTTGTGTATTTGCTTTGGGCCAGGCACTGTGCTAAACACAGGAGGGGTAGACAGGTGAAAGAGGCGTGGTTTTCCATGACCTCCATGTCTGATGAGGAAACAGCTCAGGTATGAATACCTAAGGGAGTGTGCTGAGTGTTCTACCTGGGGGATGAGCCGAGGGCTGTGGGAGCAGAGAGGTGGGACTAATTCTTAGGGAACAAGGTCACTTCATGGTGGAGGGTACTTTCTTGAATGATTAGTTTGCATTTTTTAGGTGGAAAAGATGGGAAAGAGCTGGGAAAGGCTTGGTGTGGCTGGGGGATGTGGTGGTTTGCTGACACAAAGTGGAGAAGAAGTACTCCTTATCCTTGAGGGGCTCATGCTGGTGGGGTGGAGCAGGAAGACAAGCAGACATTTACAAGTCAAGTGCCCAGGGAGGAGAGGGGAAGACAACGGAGAACTGGAGGAGCCAGGGAAGGCTTCGGAGGAATAATTGAGCTGTGCTTTGAAAAGGAAAGATTTTAGCAGAGCCCAAGAGTGAGGAGGGCCTTCCTGCAAAGAGCAAATGGTCAGGGTGGAGACCTGGAGGCATGAGTGAGCATGTCATGTTCATAAATGGTTTGGTGAGGCTGGAGCACAGGCTGCAAATGAGGGAGTGTCCAGGCGAGACTGGGGAAGTCCACAGGCTCCTTTCCAGAGAGGAACTTTAAAGCAGTCCTAAGGGGACTGAACAAGAAATTCTTAGAGTAAGACAGTCCCTATAAACATGGATGGCCAACATTTTTTCCGTGAGATGATGTATACAGTGTAAAGCCCATCTAAATTTCTCCTTAATGCCTTGTGCTTTTCAAGCTGTTTGGCTATGCCATCTACCACCCCGTCTCTGTCAATCCAAGAAGCCGGGGTTAACTGGGGACTAAGGCTTGACCCTGTAGTTTTGTTACAGGTGTATTAGTTTCCCATTGATGTTGGAAAACTCACTACACACTTAGTTGCTTAAAAAAAACACACCAGTTTATTTGCTTACAGTTCTGGAAGTCAGAAGGCTGAAGTCAAGCTGCTAGTAGGATTGCACTCCTTCTGGGGGCTTTGAGGAGAAACCGTGCCCTTCCCTTCTCCAGCTTTGAGAGGCTGCCTACTTGCATTGGCTCGTGGCCCCTCCTCCCATCACTCTAATCTCTTGCTTCTGTAATCTCATCTCGTTCTCTGACTCTTATCCTCCTACCTCCCACTTATAAGGAGGACCCTTGTGATTACACTGGACCCACCCAGGTAATCCAGGATAATCTCCCATGTCAAAATCCTTAATTTAATCATCACCACAAAGTCCCATTGCCATATAAGGTAACATTCACAGGTTCTGGGGGTTAGGATGTGGACATCTTTGGAAGGGAGGGGGGACATTATCAGCCTACCATAATAGTACTTGCATTTTGGGGTCTTATGATTACTCAAGCAATAGGACAACTTCTGTGCCAGCAGGACCACCTGCCACTTTCCCCCATCCACTCTGGTTGTTTATGGGAAATTTAGTGATCCTGTTTCCCAGAAAAATGAAGAAGAGGAAAAACCATGCATCCCCACCCTACCCTTAAGCATTCTTCTTTAGAAGTGTTTATGAAGGAGAGTGACAATAATGAAGTTAAAAATAGTAAATGCCCAAGGCAGCCAGTATAGAATAAAGAGCTTTGTATCCCAAGTTCAGAGTTCAGTCCTCAGCTCTTATGAATGCTTTGATCCTGGACAAGTCACCTCATTTCTCTGGGCCTGAGTTTCTACATTCATAAAATAAAGAGGTCCTTATTCTAGTTATTAAGGGGTCTTGCTTTTTATTGATGCATTATTGAGACCAACTGCTGTTTTAAATGTTCCTGTCATCTTTTCTGCCACCCAGAGTAATGAGAAGAGAAGGTGACTAGGAAGCACAGCTCTCAAACACATTTTCTTTTTCTTTTTTTTTTTCTTTTTTTTTTTTTTGAGACGGAGTTTCGCTCTGTTGCCCAGGCGGGAGTGCAGTGGCACAATCTTGGTTCACTGCAACCTCCGCCTCCCGAGTTCAAATGATTCTCCTGCCCCAGCCTATAGCTGGGACTACAGGCACGTGCCACCACACTCAGCAAATGTTTGTTTTTAGTAGAGATGGGGTTTCACCATGTTGGCTAGGCTGGTCTCGAACTCCTGACCTCAAGTGATCTGCTTGTCTTGGCCTCCCAGAGTGCTGGGATTACAGGCGTGAGCTACCGTGCTAGGCCTCAAACACCTTTCCAAACATGCTTCTGGAATGTGCTGGTTTTTCTCTGTAGATGCACTGACATTGTAACTCTTCAATTCCCTCCATTCAGACTTCTGTCTCATGAGTTTTTCTTTAAAGTGTTGTTCACACGTCTGTCCTCCTTTTGCTAGTCTCTTCTTGGACAGCCCCCTTCCATGGAAGGGATCACTATTTCGTGCCTTGTAGAAACCCCTGGGCTGGGAATCATTAGACCCCACTTCCTGTCTCAGCTCCATCATCTGCTAACTGGGTGGCCTATGGGAGTCACTTAATGTAATCTATAAAATATGAATAATTATATGTCCTCTGCCTACCACACAAGCCTGTTGTGAGGGTCAAATGAGGTAACAGCTGTAAAAGTACTTCAAAAAACATAAGACACCATTCAAAAACAACATGGCTTGATTATTTTATTACTATTGACTAGATAATTTTTGGGATTTAGAGACTTGTGTCCCTTTCTATAATTTGTTGTCTGTGTGTCCATGTTCATGTGTGTACAGGAGTACGTGTGTGTGTTTGCATGTGCACACATGGATGTATGTGTGTTTGTTTGAAAGGTTCGTTCATTTTGAAACAGGACAGCCTGGATCAGGCCTGGATCACAAGTTTTACCCACACATTCCCACCTCCCCTGGAAACTGTCCCTGGCTGCAGGTAGGAATCATTTGTTTTTTCAGCTCCTCCTTTCCCATGCTTTGTTGGAGGCTACTTGCATTTCATCGGTAATAACTTTGGAGCAATATGTTGTTTCTTTCCTGGGGGCCCCTAGAGCTGACTGGGCCTCTTCGTGATGCTGGATAGGAAAACTTGCTGTTAATTAAACTTCACAAAGCCACATGCCGATTTCCTGACCTTCAGTCAATACCCAGGGAGTCTTGTTACCTACAGGGGGGCAGAAACCACATAGCAAGAAGTGAAATCTTTGGCCTTATCTGTGTTTCTCCTTGGAAAGCCTCCCTGGCCATCCTGGGTAGTTAGCCGAGAAAACGGATACAAGTGTTTGAAATGCATACTCCTTGTTTTTGGTATTTTTTGTTTTCCTACTTCAAGGGAATTTTTGTGTGTTTTTTTTTACCTTCTGAAGCAGGAATAGCACTTAGTCCCTGAATCGTTTGACAAGAAGTTACCTGTTGATGCTAAGCAGATAAACGGTGTTCCAATATGCTTTGATTTCTAAATCAGAAACCTTAGCCCTTTTCAGTAACAGAGTTTGTAGCAGAGCTAGGCCTGATGGTATGTACATTTCTGCCTGTAGGTTAGGAAGGATTGGAGCCAGATTTTAAGCTTGAGTTACTCTGATCTCAGACAAGGCTCCGAAGAGCCCTTGTTCATTTCTTGCGGTATTTCATTAAGTGTCAGAAGTATTTCATTAGTTATCAGAACAAAGATCACATTCGCCGTAAGAATGCTGCATTGAACTTTCTCCAAGTCATTCATAACTCTGGTTCCAGAAGAAAGATGCGATGGGCTATGGAAAAAGCCTGACTGCAATATGTGTGTCCCAGAAGGGGGATCTCAGTTCTGCATCTGGAATCCGCTAGGGCTTTTCCTCCAGCGCACACCTAGTGCCAGCCTGCGATGCCTTCATATGAGGATGGGAGGAAGGAATTTCCCGCATGTGGGGGTTGCTATCGTTTCCTTTGCTCATCCTACCTGCAGGAGCCTGCACATATTGTTGATTCAGTCATAGTAATCACAGCCATTTTTGCAGGACCTACTATGTGCCACATCATTGACATGTACTATTTGAGCCTCAACCAGCCCCAGTTTACAGAGGACACTGAACTAAGGTAAAGAAGTCCCCAGCATCCTGCTCCAGGAAGGGACGGAATGGGATTTGAGTGCAGGGTTCCCTGACTCTAACATCCTTGCTCTTCTCATTGCCACCCCGAGCCCACAATGTGGACACGGGTAATTTACGTGAGGTTTAGGGGATACCCGCTGTGGTTGACCTGTAATACACATGGCCTGCCTGTTGGTTCTCAGGATAAAGTGCTCACATCCCTCAAGGGTTTTTTAGGTCCTCACTTGCTTGTCAATCCATAAGCCCTTTTCTGGATGTGTAGTCCTTTTGTCTTGTCTCTATTAATAGTAACAAGAGCAATGACAGCTGATGTTTGTCGATGGTTTCCTCTGTAGTAGGTTGAATAATTCCCTGCCCTCTCCCACTCAGTCCTCAAAGATAGCAGGCCCTAGTCCTGGAGGCTGTAAATGCTAACTTATTTGGAAAAAGGGTCTTTTCAGATGTGATTAAGTATCTTGAGATGGGGAGAGTATTCTGGATTATTCAGGTGAGTTCTATGTGCAATTATGAATGTCCTTATAAGAGACAAGCAGAGGGAGATGTAACATGCAGGCACACAACAGGGTGGCTGATGTGAAGATAGAATAGAGAGAGACTTGAAGATGCAGCTCTTGAAGACTGGAGTGATATAGCCACAGCCAAGGCATGCTGGCGGCCGCCAGAAGCTGGAAGAGGCCAGGAAACAGATCCTCCCCCAGAGCCTCTGAAAGGAGCATGGCCCTGCTGCCACCTTGATTTCAGCCTAGTGATGCTGATTTTAAATTTCTGGCCTCCAGAACTGTAAAAGAATAGATTTCTGTTGTTATAAATCACCAAGTTTGTGGTACCCTGTTACAGCAGCTACAGAAACTAATGCACTGTAAGAGGCTCTGAGCTAAACCTCATAGGACCCTTATGCATAAACTATCTTTAGTGTGTCTTGTGTAACATGAGAAGAATTCTGTGCTTACAGCAACAATGTGATGAGCTCTGGGTCCCAGAGCCAGTAGGCTGCAGAGCAGGGATTTAAACCAGAGAACCTGGCTTTAAAGCCCAGCTTGTAACACTGAGTTATGCTCCCTTCCTGCTCCCAACTCCATTCTCGCCCTTATGCCCCAGGTCAGGCCTTGCCCCAGAGCCTTCCTTTCCCCATTTATGGTTTAGCTTCCAAGCACACAATATATTTTATCTTCCCTCATGAATCTTTTTTCATGCAGAAACATTTGGTTCTCTTGTGGGCCACATGGATCCAGCAGCAATTAATTAAAATTGCCCTTTTCCTCAGTGATTGGACCACAGTTCATTGTGGGCTAGTGCTGAAAACGTTTCCTTTCTCAATTTGGGGGGAAACAATAATTTTTCCCATTTTCCAGTAAGTCCTCACTTCAAATAGTCTATCCCTGTAATCCTCTGTGAATGGGAATTTGGTATTTAAAAGCTGTACTGTGTTGCAGTTGTTAAGCTCTTTAGAGGCTTGCCCTTATTCATTCAGTCACATTTGTTAATATCTGTTCACACAGACTTAGTAGCTTGGACAGGTTCTTCAATGTCTTTTAGACTCAGTTTCCTCATCTATAAAATAAAGTAACTTTGATCTTTGCAGTGATGGTTAAATGGGATTACACACATAATTCATTTAGCAGGTATTTGATACAGCATAGCCATCTACATACAGAATGTATTATTTAAATACAGTTGTCCCTTGGTGTGCAGTGGGGATTGATATTGATTCCAGGACTCCCCTGCAGATACCAAAATCTGAGGATGTACAAGTCCCTTTTATAAAATGGTGTAGTATTTGTGTATAACATACACACATCTTCCTATACTTTAAATCATCCCTAAATTATATATGATACTGATACAATGTAAATACTTTGTAAATAGTTGTACTGTATTGTTTAGGGAATAATGACAAGAAAAAAGTCTATGCATGTTCAATATTGAGGCAACCATCCATTTTTTTCACAATATTTTTGATTCGTAGTTGGTTGAATCCACAGATGCAGAACTCATGGATATGGCTGACCGTACACTGTGCTAATTATTTTTATGGATAGGTAAACTCGAGTAGAGATCTCTCCTGGCTTTAATTAACTGAAGGTGACAGACCTGCATCTAAATAACTTCCTCTAATGCAAGGAAGAAAGCTATGCCTCTTCTTATTATCATGATTGATAATTATGCTTGCGATGCTTCATACTTATAATAAAGAAAGAAATAGAAGTGATATAGAGTAAGTGGGTACATAGGCAGTGATATAGAAATTGAGAGTGGGAGAAACATCCAGCATATGAGAGAAATACCATTGCTTCCTCTACGAGCCTTTCACATAAAAGATGCTCAAGAAGTGTAGTTGTGTTATAATCATTATTGCTGTAGTATTAATGTATTCAGCAGAACTTACTGCTGAAAATAGTTCTTCAGGTTCCTTCAACCTGCCGGGGGTCAGCCTCTAGGGCAGAGGGCACTGTTTGACAGTCCCTGGGAGAGAGGGGATAGGATCTCCATTTGCTTAGCACCTGCCCTGGTCAGGCACTGGACCCCACAGGTAAACTCATTTGGTCTCCTCTAACCCCCGTAGTCCTGGAGGGCCACACAGGTTCAGATTACAACCCATACTAACAACAGGCATGACTCCTAAGAGGGCTCCTCTTAGTTACTCTGGAGAAATGAATGCATTTACTGTTCTTTCATGCAAAGCCGCCTCCGTACTCCTCAGTCCCATGTTTGGCTACCTGCCTCTGCAACAGTTCGCACATATCACATTGGAGGCTCTGTGTCTCTTACCTTCAGGGCAGTGCAGCCGTCACGGTAACTACCATTTACAGAGCGTTCACTGAGGGCCAAGCCCTGTGCTAGGCGCTTTCCCTGAATCATTGAGTTTATCTGTGCGACAGCCAGGGGAGGCAGGCATTGTTATCTCCATTTTGCTGCTGGAGACAGGGTGTGGAATGACTTGCCCACAATAACACAGGTAATTAGTGGCTGATCTGGCCTGTCTGATGGAATACCTGGGCTCTCTCTACCATCCTATGTTACCACCTCTGTCCCTGTTGGTCTCTTCTTCTCTTCACCTTCAGAGATATCTTGCCCAGCACAAAATACAGCAAGAAAAATCATCTTTGCTCTGAGCTATCTAATATTCTCTCAGCCTTAGCTGGAAGCATCTCTCTTTTAAACTTCCACTGACTGATTTCTTACCTTTGTGCGAATCCAAAAAGATGCCTCTTCCTCTGGTCAGATTCATCTCCTTGCTGGGAGGACACACTGGATTTCAACTCCCAGGTGTCCTTGTGCAGTGAGTAACCTGCTCAACTGTAGGTGGCATCCTTGCAGCCTCTCCACCATTGATTTCTGTGGCACTCAAATGGGTTCCTTGAACACTCACTCACTTGTCCGTATTCCACTCCTCCGGGCCCACACTGAATAAGGCACCTGAAGGTCAGTTCTGGAAACCCAGATCACTCTGATGCACAGCAGCACCCGTGAGCACTGTGGTTGGCTTGTTCTTAGGGAAACTTGGCTGATTTTCAAACACAATCTTAGAAGAAGAGAAGCCACCTGATGGCAATATCTGGGGCTGTGAGTCTAAATCATCTCCTGGGGTCGTTTCCCCCAGAAGGCCTGAGTCTTTTATTCTTAAGGTTGCTGCTCTGTTTTATTTTGGCAGCTGGGGTTGGGGGACAGCCCCATGGAACTCACATCCTGGGAGGCTGACGGGTGGGTCACTGAGTATAGGGTCTTCTAGAGGCTTGGCTTCCTGGTGCAAAAAAAGCCCTTTAACATCTGAGTGACTCTAAAACCACCTTTCTGCTTCCTCTGCCTAGGTGGCTTGCCTCTTGACTTCTGGAAGAGCTCCTGAATCCATCTGTGAAAAGACCTCTCTCTTTTCACTTTGTTGGAACACATTTGTCATTCCTTCCTGTGGCCATACCCCCCATAAGCCTGTGGGGTCCTTCTTTCCTAAAGGCTCAGAGCAAACCTGTCAGCTGATTCTCATGCTGGCCTTTAAACTCGGGTCTTCAGCACATGGTGGGGAGCAGCAGCAGATCTAGTCAAACCTGCAGCTAACGTATGTGACACTGTGTGCTGCACAGTAGGCGACCAGGGAAGCTTTCGTTTTCATCTTCTTAATTTTTATTTCCCTAAGTGGTCAGAGTTTTGCCTCTTATCTTCTGTAGACACCAGATAATTTATTACCCAGAACAGCCCTGGCAGGAATTTCAGTCTTAGAACTTCTAAGAAGACATCTGCACTCAACCTAAACCATTTGCTCGCAGGCTCTTTGAACTTAGCACATGATATCCTTTCTCCCTTTGGCAGGTGATCCTAGTGGAACAGGGTGGGTTTTAGGAAAACAGGGCTCTCTTTCCAGCTCGAGGCTGCACACTCCCTTCCTCCCAGCTTGCCTTGGCTCAAGCGGCTCCTTGGTGAACACACACGTTTCTGGTCCTCAGCTGCTGCTCCCTCCCATTTTTCCTCCCTTTAATTTGGGCTCTCAGGTCGCTCTAGGTAGCCACTGGCTGCTGATCTAATTTTCCTAGCTCCCTTTAATTCCCACCCAGATGTGTGGGGCTGCCTTGACTTCTTGCATATGGAAACTCCTAGCCTTTCTGTCTCTTATGAATTAATCCAAAGCAGTAGCCTTTATTGACCCATTCGTTACAAATGCTGAGCAACGAGGCTCTGGGCCCACCCATATGTCACTTCAGCATACATTCCCAGGGTGCCTCTGTGTCAGACTCAGAGCTAGTCTCAGGGATCATGCACACACCAATAAGAAACAGGGAGCATAGCCCTGGAGAATGAAACTTACTAATACAGTGTTAATGTGGTAAAGGGGTGTGCAGACTGCCCCCGAGAGTACTAACAGTGGGGAAAGCACATGGGCGCTGGTGTTTATGTTGGGCTGGAAGTACAGAAGTAGGTAGGGTAGGGTTCCAGGAGGGAGTCTTGCCGCACAAGAGCCCCATGTGTTTGGGAAATGGTGAGTCATTAGTGATGGTTGGGAAGGGTTGTGAGCAGGATACAGGGGAAGGGAGACGAAGACCGGAGTTGAATCTGGGAAGATAGACTGAAACCAGATGATGAAGGGTGGAATGTGACATCAAACCAAATATGCCCTAAAACTGTCTTGGTTTGAACTTTATTTTCTAGGCAGAAATGAGCCAGGTGGGTCTTTCAAATAGAGAGTAATGACCAGGGCTGTGCATAGAAAGACAAATCCAGTGGAGAGGGAAGTCAGAAGTGTGTGAGATTCCTTACTTGGGTACCTGACAGATGGGGATGCTCTTAGCCTACTGGGAATGCGCACTGGGGTGTTTGTCATCACTGAAAAGATTGGACTGGACATCATAAAGTCATTGTTCTTCTTCCCACAGGCTATGAGATTCAAGCATATTCAGACTCTAAGAAGCTTCCGCCTCGGTATGAGCTTGATGCTGGTCTGTGCTGATCTAAAATCTTTCTGGGAGTATATGACTTTTCTGTTCTTGATGAGACAGTTCAGAGGAATATTTTGTCCTTGAGCTATTTCTGTCCCTCTGGTCTTTGGGGCTTACAGTGTATTTATAAGTGGGCATTTTATGTCCAAATTGAAATGTCTGCATATTTAGGCGTTAAGATTACTGATTTGGTTTCTCTTTTTGACTCTGCTTACACAGCAGTATGAAAGGGTAAGAAATGACAAATGAGTCTGCTTCAACTGAGCCTCACTGGGTCTACTGCCCAGGGGAAATCATTGCCCAGAGTTTCCTTTTGGTCAATTTGGAAATATATTCTGTATATACTGTGTACATTTTTCATATACTGTATACATTTTTTCTTTAAAAAAAACACACACGCACAAATGAGAGCATGTTTAGTGTCCTCAGCTTAGTATCTTTACTGTTTTATTCTTTTTCACTTAACTATGTTTATGAGAGCTTTCTATATCAGTATATACACAGCTGCCTCATTCTTTTAAACAGCTTCATAGTACTCCAATATCTGAATGCACCATAATTAAACTAGCTCCTTATTTTCCTGTTTAAGGATACTTAGATTGTCTTTCAGATTTACAATTTACAACCACCACTCAGGTATGCAGAACACAATTTATTTTTCTATAACTAGATGTGGTTCATGAGCCTCTGCTTCTATTGCTGAAGGAAAACTTTGCCAATTCCAGGAGACTCAGATGCTCAGACACTTCGTGTTAAGCATGATCAATTCAGGGTTTATGTTCAGCTCAGTTAGGACTCTCTCCTCTCTCTCCTCCCCTCTTCCCAGGAGGTGTGACCTGGATCCCCTGGTGAGGGGCTCCTGTGCAGGCTTGGCAAAGGAAGCAAGCTGTCGGCTGTGCTTCAAGCTGTTGGCCACCTTCCACCCTTGCTGTGGCTGCTGCTGAAATCTCTGCATGTACCCTCCTGGCCTTCTGTCACCAAGGGCCATATACTCTGTGGAACCACAAAGGGGTGATCCACCCACTCTCAGGTGGGCCCCTCCACCTTGATGCCTCCCTCCCACATCCTAGTCAGGTGCTATGTTGGACACTGGCTTCCCCATAAAGCGTGCAAGTCCCTTCTGTTCTCAGGCCCCTAAACACATCTGGGATTTCTACTGTTCCCCAGCCCAGGCCACTGCATTCTGTCCTAATCTCTGAATACTGCCTTTTGGTTCCTCCCTCATCTGCCTGCTAGTCAAACTCTCCACTCGCCCAGGCTGGAGTGCAATGGCACGATCTTGGCTCACTGCAACCTCCACCTCCCGGTTCAAGCAATTCTTGTGCCTCAGCCTCCCAAGTAGCTGGGACCACAGGCATATACCCACCACGCCCAGCTGATTTTTGTATTTTTAGTAGAGATGGGGTTTCACCATGTTGGCCAGGCTGGTCTTGAACTCCTGACCTCAGGTGATCCACTTGCTTTGGCCTCCCAAAGTCCTGGCGAGCCACCACATCCAGCCTGCTAGTCAAACTCTTAATTTCCTTGGGTTCAGAAAGGTCATTCCAAGGTCATAACACTTCTTCATAGTCTGTAGTGTAAGCTCTACCTCTGCCTACTGTTTTCCAGACTTTGGCTCTTGACGGATAAAGCTCAGTTTTTCCAATTTAAAGAAACCTTTTCCCTCCTCATACTGATCTTTGAGTCTTCCCTTCTCTGGCGCTATCATCCTCAGTCTCACTCTAGAAGAACTGTGTGGAAAGAAGGAATGACTGAAGTGCACTGGCCAGTTCCTCAGTTCGCCGTCCTGCTGTGGTTTCAGGTGTCCTGCCAGCTCCCCAGGGCTGCACTGAGGATCCCCACACTCACATCTCTGTGTGCTCTTACAGGCACTTGAGAAGGACTATTCCTCGGTATAATTTCTACCACCTAGTGTTGTTTTAATGTCTATAAAAACCTTTTTAAAAGATACGTGTGGTCATACGAAAGTATTTTGGCAAAAAGCATTTCCCTTGATAGTCATTGTGAATTACATCTCCCTCCTCCCTCTCCTAGCTTAAAGTGCCAATGCTTTGTATCAATGCCAGGAGAAATAGAGGAGTATCTGTCCACATTTCGGAGGCTGGCATTGAGGCAGCCCTCAGATGCAGCATCCTCACATTTGTAACCAGGACCCTGTGATACTTAGTCTCCGGGAAATTTGCCCCAAAACATTGGCTTGGGAGTTTAGCCTTGATATATAGTAACAGTTCAAAGTGCAAATGTGGCATAAAGGCTCTCTTTAAGCCACATGGACATTATTCATTAGACATAGTAAAATCCAGTAGTATCTTAGATTTTCTCCACAGAATCTAGTACGGGGACTTAGATTCCCCACTATTCAGCTTTCTCCAACAATAAATAGGCTTTCATCTCATGAGCTTCCTTCTCATCTTCCCTATGGAAGAATTTATTTCTGTTTCTGTAGCAACTCAACTTAGGTAGCAAGATGCAAGGAATGCCACCTCTCTCTTTTTTTTTTTTTTTTTTTTTTGAGACTGGGTCTTGCTCTGTTGCCCAGGCTGGCGTGCAGTGGCACGATCTCAGCTCACTGCCACCTCCGCCTCCCAGTTCAAGCAATTCTTGTGCCTCAGCCTCTCCCGAGTAGCTGGGACCACAGGTGTGCACCCATCACGCCTGGCCAATTTTTTGTGTTTTTAGTAGAGATGGGGTTTTGCCATGTTGGCCAGGCTGGTCTGGAACTCCTGGCCTTAAGTGATTCTCCCACCTCAGCCTCCGAAAGTGCTGGGATTACGGGTGTGAGCCACCATGCTGGCTGGAATGCCACCGCTCTTAATGCTATAAAACTCAGGACCTTCAAGGTTAAGCAGTGCAAGGAGACTTTCCACGCGGGCAGGGGTGGTCAGCCTCATTGCCTATCTGCCTTCGTGGAGTTCCACTTTACTGTGGGGTTCTCGGGCTCCACTCCTCTGGTTCCTCGAGGGCAGTCCCCGGGGCTGCTGCTCTGTGGGATGCTGTGGCCCGTGTGGGGTTCATGTTAGCACAGCTGAGAGAGGCAGGGCCCCTCAAAGGAACTTGCCTGAGCTCTAAGGGAAAACAAGATGGAAATAAACACGGAGAGCCTAAGAAACACAAAACAGCCTGGCTCCGGAGGGCGGGGCTCTCACTCTGCCCACTCCCCTCTGTCCTGGAAACTGAGAGGAGGTAGGAAGCCCCCCTATAGCTGCAGGCTGCTGACAGCTTTGCCTGGGTGGCTTTCCAGCTCTGACAGCTCTTGAGCTCTTAATTCTTCACTCCTTTTGAAAATAAAGGCTGAGTCTTAGCCCCTGCTGGGTCCCTCTCCATTCTGAGGACCTGTCTCTTCTCTAGGTGTTTGATACCAGAAATGCTCTCACACAATAGATGAGACTTCTGTTCCTACATAGAAGGAGGTGGCTTTGTCCTCAGGGCCATAATAGTTTAACAGTCTTTTAATAAGATATAATAATTCATATAACAGAAATTAAACAGGCACAATAATGATGAGGGGAGATTTTTCTCCCTTTGGCAATAGTGGTTTGAGCCATTCGTTTGTTATTTCAGCTTTTCTAGGGTCAATTAACTGAGCACCTATTATGTGCTAGTCATTGTAGTAGGCTATAGGGATATAAGAAATAAGGCATAGTCCCTGCCCTGAAGGAGCCTGCAGCCTGGTCAACTAAGGCAGGTGTGCAAACAATAAGCATAATAGAAGATTGTGCTGTGACAGCTACATGAGGCCCAGTGGAAGGACAAAAGAGAAGGGCATCAGTTCTTTGAAGGAGAGGGTTGGAGGGCGGTTTGGACCAGGAAAAACTTCATTGACACCAAAATGCTTCCGTTGAATCCTGAAGGGTGACTAGGTCATTATTTTGGGAAACGATGCTGGAGAAAGCAGCTGAGGAGGAGGAAACAGCATAGGTCAAAACATGGAGAATAAAGTCCCTTGGCCTACTGAGGAGGTACAAGTGGTGTGGGTGGTCCATGCAGGGCCAGGGCTGACAAGAGATGCAGCAGGAGCCAGGCTGTGTAGGTTGAGTGGGTAAGCCAAGGAGTTTGGGTGGAATGCAGAGAGAAGGGGTGGGTGGAAGAGCCAGCCGTCTTCAGGGGATGGTGGTACTTGGGAGTAAGACAGAACAGTGGTTCTCACTGTGGCCCACAGACCAAGAGCATCATCATCATCTGAGAACTTGTTAAAAATGCAGATTCTCAGGCCGTGCCCTAGACCAATGGAATCGGAGTTTTTGCAGGTGGGGCTTCACAGTCTTTTGTAACAAGTCTTCTAGGTGAGTCTGATGCTTGTTCAAGTTTAAGGACTACTGAGATAGAGAATATGGGAAGAGCTAGAGGGGCATCAGTTTTGTGGAGGAAAGATGGTCAATCCGGACTTGAGTGTGTTGACTTCGAAGTGACACGTGGAGCTATCAAAGTGCAGTCCCAGGACCCACCACATCAGCTTCATCTGGGAGCTTGTTACAAATGAAGCAGAGGCCTGTGCTAGACCCGCTGAAGCAGAAGCTGGATTTTAGTGAGACCCCCGGGTGACTTATGTGCACTTTTCAGGCTCTAGTCTGGAGGTTAGCTAGGCACATGGGGTTGATGCTCGGGAGAGGGATCTTGGCAGGAAACAGAAAGGCGGGAGTTGTCAGTTCCAGGTGATGATTGCAGATGACACATTTCCAGGGTGAGTGTGTAGGGAGGGAGACTGGATGGAGTGACTTTGCTTGAGTCATGCTGACTGCTTAGCATTATCTTTGTAGAGCTGTGGAAGATCACACATAACCAGCCCTGGATGGCAGCCAGCCTGTTGTAAGGAAAACATGCTGTTTGCAGCCATTATCTCAACAACTATTATAGCAACAGCAATTTTCCCAGACGCCCGTTGGATGAACTGGGCCTGGAACCTGGACTTAGAACCCTTACTGTGCACTGTCATGTTCTTCTCATAGAGCCCTACTTTATGGTGGTGTGGGGGCGGGGTGGGGGTGTTCCATGTACTTACGTTGTCAGGGCTGGAAATGTGAACAAGTGGAAAAAAAAATCACACATGATGCTCAATAGGCACTCATAGAAGTTGCTCAATAAAGGTTTGTTAAATATTGTTGAAACAAATCATTAAAAATTGCTTTCAGATTTAAAAAATGCATTTCTATCAGTAAGTTCAATTTGACTTTACAACATCCTTGTAAGTAAACATGCTTTCTTAAAAAAAACTTTATTGAGATATAACTTACATACCGTAAAAATCACCATTTAAAAATACTATGTAACTCAATAGTTTTTGGTATATTTACAAGGTTGTGTGACTATCACGACTATCTAATTGCAGAACAGTTCCATCATCCTAAAAAGACACTCCATCCCTTTAGCAGTCACTCTCTTTTCCCCTCTCTCCCCAATCCCTGGAAACCACTCTCTGTCTCTATGGATTTGCCTATTCTAGACATTCTATAGAAATGGAATCATATGTGTCTGGCTTCTTTCACTTCTTTCACTTAGAATATTTTGTAGGTTTATCTATGTTACAGTATATATCAGCACTTATGGCTGAATAATAATCCACTCTGTGGGTATACCAATGTTTTATTTCTCTCTACATCAGTTGATAGGCATTTGGGTTGTTTCTGCATTTTTGGCTATTATGAATAATGTAGCTATGAACATTCATGTATAAGTTTATATACAAATGTATGTTTTCATTTCTCTTGGGCATATACCTAGGACTGCAATTGCTAGGTCTTGTGGTAACACTACATTTAGTCTTTTGAGGAGCTCCGAGATAGTTTTCCAAAGTGACTACACCATTTTACCTACCCACTAGGAATGTATGAGGTTACCAATTTATCTTTCCCAACACACTATTATCTGTCTTTTTTGAGTATAGCCATCCTAGTGAACATGAAATGGTCATGCTCTCATTTTACAGCTAAGAAAACTGAAGGTGCATTATTTGCCAAAGTTGGTAGAGCTATTAAATAGCCAAACTAGAGCTTTTCTTACATAAAGGCAAATACTTGTATGATGCATACTCTGTGTGAAGCATTAGGTCATTTGCTCTTAAGTCATTTAATCTTTGTAACTATCTATAACAAAGGTACTATTATTGTGTTTATTTGTAAATGAATACAAGGCCAGAACTGGGCTTGGAGTGCAGCTAGGGAGGTTCTTAGGGTGCAACATTTAAGAAGACATTACTCTCAGGTTCCTACCAGCACTTCCACGACCCTGACTGTTATCTCCTTAAATATTGCATCCTAGTTGCTTCACTGGCCTCATCTTAATCCTGGTCCTGTTTGAAGAAACTGAGGCATACAAAGATTGGGTAACTTACCCAAAGTTTCCAAACTAGCAAGTAGCAGAGCTGGGATTCAAACCCCAGAAAGCTGGCCTCAGGGTCCATGTCGTGAACCACTAGCCTACACTGACTCCCACATCTCTGATCTGCAAACTGTGCCTTTTCCATTTCTTTCTCAAGACATAACTTTCAGAAATTAGCCAGTGCTTTGACAAGTGGAGCACCTAAAGTAAAATCCCAGAGATGGGTTCTGGGGAGACTAAGCCGAACTACTCAACAGCTCCCCTGGGCGCCTACCACATGATTCTCCTGAAGGAGTTTACTGGCCACACAGATCGCCTCGCCACATCTGTACTTATCATAGCTCTGCATAAATCTCCCCAGTTCCGTGGAGGCCCCCCTGCAAGCGGCCAGATGGACTCTGTCCTGTTGGAGAAGAGGCCATTCAGACCCGTCAGGATTATTAGCTCTGACCAGCTGTAAGGAAAACAAACGTTCTCCTGGCCAAGCCAGAATGAATCTGCCACTTGTCCAAATGTTCTGAGTCAAATACCTAGAAATCAGATCTCTCATAAACACACCCAATTTGGTAGCTCATGCTCTTTGGTCTTTTAGAATTAACTGGTCATTTGCATTCATTTCGTCACCTTTCCAATGCTGTTGCTCTGTCATTGGGTTTTGAATGGTTCTCCAATTTAGGCAGAGCTTCCCACAAGGCAATATGAATACAAAAATATACATTGGTGCTTGTATATTTTACCCCCTCAGGCCTTTGGGAAGATGTTTACACAAGTCATCAGCCAACAGCAGGTTCTTCTTCTGCTCCCCAAGAGGAAGCTCAAGTCAGTTTTGGTTCATCAGTGCTGAGTGAGCTCCAGCAGGGCAGCCTGTCCCGGGCCAGCAGATCTTTTGTATCTGCCTCAAACTCAGAGGTTTTTGGTTTGAATTTCATTGCCATTTTTCCTTCATTAAAAATGGTAATTTGCAGTGTTGAATTTTCACCCTTTTGTTTGGAATTTCTATTTTATTCTATGACTGATTATCAAAGCTGTGGGTCTGTGGACCAGCAGCATTGGCATCTCCCAGGAGCTTGTTGGAAATGCAGACTCTCAGGCTGCACCCTAGATGTCCTAGATCCAGAATTTGCAACTTAACAAGATCCCAGGTGATGCCTGTGAACACTCAAGTTTGAGAAGTGCTATTCCACATGTCCATTTCTCTGTTACCTTCAGCTAGGGTCTCCATTCAGTACTTACTTTGAGGCTAAAATTTTTTGGTAGACTTTCAGATCTTAAAAAAACACACATACGCAGAAATTCTTTCCTTTGCCTTTGCATGATGTCATTCATTTTACCTGGCCTGCCACAAGAAAGAAAAAGGCAAATTATATCCAAGTTTTATATATATGTGTATACACACACACACACACACACACACACACACACACACACACATATATACATATATATGACTAACTTCTTAATTGCATCTCTTAAAACCCCCATCGTTAACAGAGTCCCAAGTGTTGCCAAGATTAATTGAGAAAGACCTAAATGCAAAATAAACACTGTGGCGTGGTTTAATTCCATATCAGCTAAGAATGAAGGTGCAATTAGTAATAAAGATGTTAATAATTAGTTGTGGTCTATTAAATTTTATGTTCAGTAATTATGTGGAGAGTGAAGAAAGAATTTTCTCATGAGGGCAGAAATCAATGTTTCACCTTGATTGCTATTTTAATGTGCTTATTTTAATGGGGCCATCCTGTAGAAACCCTTGGGCACATTTCCAATTTTACGTAAATGTAGAATTAATTATTATGGAAGCATATAATTTTAGAGTTGGAGCGACCTTGGCGGTCATTTAATCCAGCTCAGTCATCTTAAAAGTAAGTAAGAGTTAGTTGACTTACTTAAGTCCTTCCACAGAGATTTGGAACCTGCGCTCCTCAACTCTAATGCCAGTGAAGGCGAAACCTTTTCTGATCCCTTCAGACAGAAGTGCTTTTTCTTGCCTCAGAATTTCCCAAAGCAACATTTATTGTATGGCCTCTAAGGCCCTTACCCCGCCCTGCATTGTGATCTAGTTGCTTTCAGTTGTAAGGTTGGGGTCTTGAAAACTATGGATGATTAATTTTTGTATTTCTTCATCATTGCTAACTCTGTGTTTTGCAAAGAGTAGTTGCACAATAAATATTCATGCAGTGGTGTTCTGGAGCTGGTTTTTACCTGCTCACCAGAGCTCACTGTGTCTTCACATTGGTAGCTTGATATCAGCCATGATGGAAGTATTTACACCATAGGAGTGGGCAAATGCTACAAATCAGGGCTTCTACCCTGTCCTGCCCACGTCCCCCGCCCCACCCCACCTCAGGGCAGTGGGTCTTTACAAAAATCTAAAGATCTAAACCAGGCTTGTCCAACCCATGGCCCATGGGCGTCATGTGGCCCAGGATGGCTTTGAATGCAGCCCAACACAAATTCGTAAACTTTCTTAAAACATTATGAGATTTTTTTTTGCAATATATTTTTTTAGCTCATCAACTGTCATTAGTGTTACTGTATTTTATGTGTGACCCAAGACAATTCTTCTAAACCAATGTGAAGATGGCCATTTACCCATTGCTTTGCCTGGGCTACTTCAAGAGTGGTGAAGGAGCCAAGTATTTAACGCCCTTGAATATTTTCAGGATTAAAGTCAGTGCAAGTGAGGCCTTGGGACTGCACTAGAATTTGGTTGCTTATCTAAGTTCCATTACGTAGAAAAGCTCTTTGAGTATGAATAGTGAAGGAAACAGGGTCTGAAATATCACAGTTAGTTGAAGGAGCAAAAAATACATGATTAGAAAAAAAAAGTGAACAGGAAAGTTTCCTGTGGCTGAAATTGCAATCATATGTTTGTACTTCTCTGAAAACCTTCAGTGGCTCCCAGTGACCTACAAAAATGCCCAGACTCTTTGCATAAAAATTACACGCTGACCATAGTTTACTGTTCTAATCTCATTTCCAACCACTTGCATCATCCACTGTTCATCCTCTGTTGATTCCCTCTTTCATTCTACTTTCCAACTTCTGTGGAGCCTCTGTTCCAGCCTCCATGATGGTGCCTTCTAAAATGCGTTCCCCCTGCTTCCCAGTTCTACCATAGACCCTTTCCCAAGCTTCCGTTCCTACCTGGTCCTCTCTACCACGGACCAGAGCTTCTGAGTTAACATGAAATTCATCCGACTCTGATCATCTCCTCTCTTGTCTATCTCTCTTTAGGAGCAGGACCCGTGGTACCATTGGCCCTGGCAAGTATGGCTATGGTAAGGCCCCATATATCTTACCACTGCAGACAGACACTGCACACACGCCACAGAGGCTCCGGAGACAGAAGCTCTCATCCCGCCATTCCAGGTCCCAGGGAGCATCTTCTGCTAGGCATGGCTACAGTTCACCAGCCCACCAGGTCCCCCAACATGGGCCTTTGTACCAAAGTGACAGTGGCCCTCGCTCTGGACTGCAGGCTGCGGAGGCCCCCATCTACCAGCTACCTTTGACCCATGATCAAGGCTACCCTGCAGCTTCAAGTCTCTTTCACAGCCCAGAAACAAGCAACAACCACGGTGTGGGGACCCATGGGGCAACTCAGAGCTTCTCTCAGCCTGCCCGATCTACAGCAATCTCATGCATCGGGGCCTATCGGCAGTACAAGCTGTGCAACACCAACGTGAGTACACACAACCCATACCGGGCCTGGAAACAGCTGCCCCTCGTTTTTCTGTCATTTGGCACTAAGCATGATGAAGACAGCAAGGATATGGTGTCTGGGCCATGTTAACACACCTTTTAATCTTCCTCCTTTCTCTTTGCTTTCCATGTATTCTCCCTACATAGTTTTCTTTTTTTTTTTTTAAAGTTATTGCTTTAGTAACTTATACATTGCTTCTTGAATTGCTTATTGACAATCGCTTAATGGTGGTATTAATTATTAACAGCTATTGCTGCAAAACAACCTCCAAATTCTCAGTGACTTATATTAACAATATTTATTCTTTGCTCAAGTGCAATATATAAGTTTCCCAGAGGTTCTCTGCTATTCCAGGTGTAAACACTAGGTATTGTAGCATGAAGAAGTCTGAGAGTGAAGTTGTGAAGAGTCTTCTCTTAGGGGAAGAGCTGGGACAGCTAAGGTGATAGATGGCACACAGAGGCCTCTGGGCAGCAGTAAGTTCCTAACTGGTGTGGAAGTATGTTGTTATTTTAAGGACCTGTATAGCTGTACTCATGCATATATATACAGGTATACCCACTTTGGATATCAGTTCAATAAATATTTATTGATTTTATCTTCATGCATTTACATAATATCTACCATTATTAAAAACTCATAAGCCAGGCCTTGTGCTCAGCACTTTTTTTTTTTTTTTTTTTTTGAGATGGAGTCTCGCTCTGTCACCCAGGCTGGAGCACAGTGGCGCGATCTTGTCTCACTGCAACCTCTGCCTCCCAGGTTCAAGCAATTTTCCTGCCTCAGCCTCCCGAGTAGCTGGGACTACAGGTGCGCACCACTATACCCAGCTAATTTTTCTGTTTTTTTAGTAGAGACGGGGTTTCACTATGTTGGCCAGGATGGTTTCGATCTCTTGACCTTGTGATCTGCCTGCCTCTGCCTCCCAAAGTGCTGGGATTACAAGTGTGAGCCACCGCACCTGGCCTGTGCTCAGCACTTTTTCTACTAACTCCATTTCATCTCCTTAACCATGAGTTTGCTCTTCTCTTCATTTTATAGTTGCAAAGAGAGGTAAAATAACTTGCTGAAGATGCCACAGCTAGTGAGTAGTAGAACCAACTATCAATGTTAATTGTATATGGTGACCAAAGGAATTTTTTAAAATATCAGTTTAAAGACTGCGTATTAAAGAGAAGTGAATGAGAGGATGTTAAGAGGTTAAATTTCTGAGCCAGTATATTTTTCATTAATAATTTAATCTGCCTTAATACTCTGTTGCTGGGTAACAGGACAGCTGTTCTATATTAGCTTCAATTTCCTCATTAAAAATATATTTCCTGCTATAGAGTCCATAGAAATGACTTAATTTGTGATCTTAATAATTTCATTGAATGCCTGGGTTGCTTTTTAGCTTATTCTTCCACTGTCAGACTTCAGGAATCATTAATTTTAAAAAGCAGTAATTTTTCTAAGGCCATTGCTGATCAGTCAACCAGTAAGTCTTCATTGAGCATCATTGCTTGTCTTGTAACAGAGTAGGTGTCACGGAGAATAACAGAAAAGTCGTGGTATCTACCTCCTAGCATTGCTTTGAGGATCAAATGAGGGATGGTAGGAAAGTGCTTTGTAAATCAAAAAGTAAAGAATTGTTTGGTTTCATGGTCAGACATGCCCTTGTTCCTGAATATCTGTTGCTGTTCTTTTAAAACGAAATGAATTCATTTGTAATATACAACATATTCTCCCATTGAGTAGTGTATCTCTTAATTTTGAAGACCAAGCAAACCATAGAGAGAAAGTAAAAGAGAGGGCATTTGGCATCCGTGTGGAGCTGATGCCCGCTTAGCATTCCTTGCATTTAACTTACATTTGTAAAGCCCGCCCCTTTTGCCAGACCTGTGCTGCCAACGGCAGGGTTGTTCTCCCCATGTAGAAGCTGTGGCTTCCCTGAGTGCTGGGGTAATGGCACCACTGAGGAGACTGTATTGCAAGGAATCCCAGGAAATTCTCGTGAGGTCATGGTGTCTTCTGGCATTTTGGATGAAGGCAAAATAAAGCCTCCAACCCAAGCCAAAGAAGTACATGTTGACACGGGATTGTATAGGTGTAGTTCCCTTCTCTTCCCTGTGACATGTGCACAGTGTCCTCCCCAGTGCACCCCACTGTTCCAAGTCCACATCCTGCTTACCCTTATTGAGAGATGTCATTCCTTAGAGGTTCCATTATTGCATGTATTTTTTTCATAAGCCCATGTCTTCTTGTGACTTGGGCCACACCCCCATGATCTCTTTAAAATTCCCTCTTTCAGAGGTCCCCAAGACCATTCCTGGGTTTGATGATTTCCTAGGAGGACTCATAAGACTTAGCATATAGTCACACTCACAGTTACGACTTATTACAGCCAAAGGATTGAATAAACAAAGCAAAATCACTAAAGGAAAGGCTCATAGGCCGAAGAGCATAGGAAACCAGGCATAAGCTCTCCAGAATCACAGTGGAGCCACATAGGACTTGCTTAATTCCTCTGCAATGACTTGTTATAACATGTAAAAGTTCTATACCAGAGAAGTCTCCCCTGTGCCCGGGGTTTTTACTGAGGGCTGGTCACATAGGCACCCTCTGCCTGCCACATATCAAAATTCCAGACTCCTAAAAAGAAATCAGGTGTTTAGCATAAGCTATTTTAGGCACGGTGAGCCACTCCTATCATTTAGGGAGTGGTGAGAACTGCCCTGAAATCCAAGTTCCCAGATGCCAGCCATGGACCAGCCTTGCAAACAGGCCTTTCTAAGGGGAGCAGTCTCAGTTCAGCTATGTTGCTTTTTTTATATACTCCCCAGATGGACCCATATGCCCCAGCATCTCAGCATCAATGACCTCATGTAGACATTTATCTGTCCTCCCCAGTGTCCAGCATCAAGAGAGGACATGAATGACCCAATTATGTAAGTATTCCTACTGAAAGAGGAAAAGGTATACAGATGCCGAGCTTTGACACGGAGGAACTGAGTTTCCTTGGGCAAGTCACTTAACACCCTGAGGACCATCTGTAAAGTGGGCTAATGATCCCTACCGTGTAGGGTTGATGTCAGGTTCAGACAAGATGGAGTATAGAAGAGCTGGCATGGCAGTGACACATGGAAGGCATGGTGCTGACACATTGTTGGGAAATAAACGTGACTGGCATACCCCCCTTTAGATAGGAATGGAGTAAGATCTCCCCTATCTGAACATCTTCCAGGTTCTCAGTGGTAACTGAAGAAATACGTGGATGAAATGATCAGACTTGCTCAGAGTCATCCTCAGTCCCACGTTAGCTGCGATTGAGGCTCCTTTACCTTTACGCAGTGACAAAACGAGATTGCCAAGAGACCCAACAATTCAGCTGTGATTTAGTTTCAGTGTGATCACCCTTGGGTCATGGTGACTTTAAAGTGATAAGAGTTAAATTATAGATAACCAGCTTAATAACAGTGAATTCTTTATGTCTTCCGATGTGCATGTTTAATATTAAGACCTATCTTATGGTGTGATCTAGGAATTTTAAGCATTCCAGCATGTCTCTGAGATTGTTCAATTCATGTAAGATTTCTGAATGTAGACTTTAAAGATAAGGAAGTATTATTATTTTGTTGCCTACAATGTGTACGAGGAAGTTCAGGTGACACATCCTAGTACAGATAGAGAATCTATGGTCTTTTCAAGCACCAATCTCAAACATCTGCTGGTGCAACACTCTCCTTCAGACTGTATGTGATGGACGCAAGACTCAATCTGGTCCAAAGTCTTTTTTTTTTTTTTTTTTTTTGAGATAGAGTCTTGCTCTGTTGCCCAGGCTGGAGTGCAGTGGCACGATCTCAGGTCACTACAACCTCCACCTCCCCAGTTCAAGGGTTCAAGCCATTCTCCCACCTCACCCTCCCAAGTAGCTGGGATTACAGGTGCACAACACCATACCTGGCTAATTTTTGTATTTTTAGTAGAGATGGGGTTTTACCATGTTGGCCAAGCTGGTCTCCAACTCCTGGCCTCAGGTGATCTGCCCACCTCTGCCTCCCAAAGTGCTGTGATAACAGGCATGAGCCACTGCACCCGGCCTTGGTTTTTTTGTTTGTTTATTTTTGTTGTTTTTTTGTTTTTTGAGACAGAGTCTCGCTCTGTTGCCCAGGCTGGAGTGCAGTGGCGCAGTCTTTTAAACATTCTCAAGAGAAGGCTTTTGCTTGAAGTCCATAAGCATAACATTGACGTTGATTGCGTGGGGTGAGGTGTTAGGCTGTGGTTGGAGACACTGAGATGCGAGCAGGCTCTTGCCTTATGCAGCTTGAGTCCAGTAAGAGGGATAGACTCATAAAAAGGCATTAACAGTGCAGATCATATGTGCCACCGCACACGCCACATAGGTCCTTTCAAATCACCACACAGTGGAAATTAACCTGGCTTGGGTGGAGTTTGAGTGCAGATTATCCAGGCGAGGGAGGATGTTTTAGGAAGAGCAAGTGACAGGGGTCCTAGAGGCCCTTTGCAGTCCTGTAAGGGCTGAGGAGCAAGAAGGAGGCACTCAAGGAGCTCTTGGTGGAATCAGATGTGTTTTCAGTGAGTGAAGGCTTCACCTGCAAGTTTGTCTTCAGCAGTGAAGGGGCAACACAGGGCGGAAGTCATGATTAATCCGCAGCCCTGCACTTTCTTGATGAGGGCTAAAAGTAATAGGAACTCAAGGAATAGAGTAAACAGTTAAGTTTCTTATTCATGGAAGCTCATTGAAGCCCAAGGCTTGATAGCTAGAGTTTTTGTAGGGATTGCAACAGAGGAAGGAGAAATCAAACCTCAATTCCTCTGGTGCCTGAGGAGATGCAGTTGAAAAAGAACAACAACCCTTTTCTGGCCAGACTCAGTTGGGCTTGATTGGCTCATGCCTGTAATCCCAGCACTGTGAGAGGCCCTGGTGGGAGGATTGCTTGAGGCCAGAGGCCAGGAGTTCAAGACCAGCCTGGGGAACATAGTGAGACCTTGTCTCTACAAAAAATTTAAGAAACAGCTGAGGTTGGTGGTATGTGCCTCTGGTCCCAGTTACCCAGGAGGCTTGAGGCAGGAGGATTGTTTGAGCCCAGGAGTTGGAGGATGCATTGAACTATGATCACACCACTGCACTCCAGCTTGGGGGGCAGAGTAATACTTTGTCTCTAAAACAACAACAACAACAAAAAATCCTTTCTGCCTTTGTCTTGGGGACTTAGGTGTCTCTCTTCCCACTTTCTCTTAGGGACTCCGAATTCAACACTTTCTTTTAGGTGCTCTGAATGCAACACTTTCTCCCTGGAGAGGAGACTGATTGATACTCTGACCTCTTCTGGAGGAGGGAGGCTGCAGTGCAAGGCAGGGACAAAATTATGAGTTTTTAAGGGTCTTTGCTGCCAAAGGAGGCGTGATCCTGAGTTTAGACAGAGTGCACTTAACATTATGAGGGAGAAATTCCTGGGGCTAAAAGCAGCTTTTAGCAAACATGGACATGATGAGTACTGGTATCAATGACTCTCCAGTGAATTTCCCTGGGGTAGGACTGGCTTTTGACAATGGATTTATCCATATGGAGTTGTTTCTGCCCCAGAGTAAGTGCAAATAAGGGGAAGATGTTGGCCGAATCTCAAATCTAGATTGGCGTGCTCTCTGCAGGCAGATTCTAATTCTACTCCATCTCTAGTCTGATATTGAATGAAAGAGGAGCTAATAACTTCCTGACTGCAATTTTAAGCAAAAACTTAGTAAATGGGCCAGGTAAGAATCGAGTACAGTTCTGTAAGGTGTAAAGCTTGCCAGGAACCATGAGGCCAGTTACTGAATGGACAGAATGGGGGTTTCAACACTAGTTTCTCTTATCATGAGCTTATCATCAGCCTCCTTATCTAGGAAATATGTGCGAGTATCAGTGTTTTTGCAGCATTTGTCTTTCTGTCTTCTCAGACCACTTGGAATTTCCACAGAAAATTCTCTTACTGACCTTTTCATACATATATATATACACACACACACGTATGTATATACACTTATATGTGAATCACACACATATGTATATATATGTATACATGTATACACACCACACACACATATATATGTATACATAACATGTGTGTGCATATATATACACACAAATATATACACACGAGAATTGTTAACAGTTGTCATTTTTCATGATTATAGAAAGTTGTTCTCTTATTGACTTCATATATGTATATATACACACACTTTTATATACACAAGAATTGTTAACAGTTGTCATTTTTCATGATTATAGAAAGTTGTTCTCTTATTGACTTCATATATATATATATATACACACACATTTATATACACAAGAATTGTTAACAGTTGTCATTTTTCATGATTATAGAAAGTTGTTCTCTTATTGACTTCATATATATATACACACACACATTTATATACACAAGAATTGTTAACAGTTGTCATTTTTCATGATTATAGAAAGTTGTTCTCTTATTGACTTCATATATATATACACACACACACATTTATATACACAAGAATTGTTAACAGTTGTCATTTTTCATGGTTATAAAAAGTACAAACAAAGAGTAAGAAATATCAGAACAGCAAAGACATGTATATCCTTGTCTGTCTCTCAAGATGTAATCACAGCCAGTGATTTTTAACTTGTAGTTCTTACGTTCATTCTCTCTATAACTCTAAATGGCACATTAATACCCCTGCTTCTTGATATATCAACTTAAATTTTCTCCATCAACTCCTTATTCTGGAAGATGAAGAATTGACCCCCTTTCCTTCCACTCCTGCTGATCTACACTAGCCACATTTTTATTTTCACTTATATTTTTGGCTATATGTAGTAAATTAACAATTTTTATTTTCTTGATTTTTCAACATTAGGAAAAATCAGTTAACTCCTTCCTTTGCAAGGTTAGAAATGTTGTGTCCAAACAACTCACTACATTCCTTTCCATGCATTATACATTTTTGTTTATGCATTTTTCTCGTGTTGGGCTATAAGTCCCTGAGGGAGGCTATTATGGCAAATTTTTCTTTGTATCCTCATTACTGTCAACACCTCACACATGGAGCGCTGCAATGAATATTTGCCTTTGAATGGAATTTTGCACCCTGCCTCAGCAGATAGCAGAGGGGAAGGAAGCCAGTCTTATTAATGTGGTACCGGAAATAGCCACTAAGAAATGTGTGCTCCTTGGGAGATTAAGGTGGTTTGGTTTTCGTTTTTGTTTTTGCTTGAGTCAGGGTCTCACTGTGTTGTCCAGGTTGGAGTGCAGCGGCATGATCATAGCTCACTACAACCTCAAACTCCTGGACTCAAACAATCCTTCTGCCTCAGCCTACAGGCATGCACTACCATGCTCAGCTTATTTTTATTTTTTGTAGAGATGGGTTCTTGCTATGTTGCCCACGGTGGTCTTGAACTTCTGCACTCAAACATGCTCCCAATTTAGCCTCCCAAAGTGCTGGGATCACAGGCATGGGTCCACCACACCAGACTAAATTTTTTAACAAGTTTACATTTTGCCATGTGCTTCCTGATTAGTTAGGGAAAAAAGAATTCTTTTTTAGATCTTCTTACAGACATAGAGATATGTAAATAATATAAATAGGCAGTCATAAGTAAGCACTCTTGAAATAGGCCTAGATTTGAAGGGATCTCGAATATTTAAAAATCTATGATTGGCCTGGGTGAAAGGCTGGGCTTAGTGTCATATTAACATCCTTTGGGGCTTTGATGTAGGTATTGAATGAGAGGGAAACACCTCTCCCTAGGAGAACATTATGAACTTCCTTGGATGAAAAAAATAAAAAAAGCATTTGAGAATTACAAAAATCTCAGATAAAACAAAACAAAACAAAACAACAACAATGAAAAACATCCAAAGCCTTTCCCCAACTCTTTGGACAAACTAGTTAATTCACTGACTGGAGAATTTCTGGAAGTGGTGGGAGGTGGCAAAGGTTTTTGTGAGGTTGAGTTTGTTCTGTGTAATTTGAGAAAGGAGATATTAAACATATTTGAAAAATGTGCAAGATAACTGGAGCGAAATTTTGGCCCATGGTTTTATTTCTCTATAGCTAGAAAACAAGCCCATTTTCCAGCTGTAGATGAGAAAGGAAGGAAGGGCATGTTTGCTTAGAACACATACTTTTCAAGCAATTACGGCTTCTGGAACTACTGGATTCTCCACAGTGGACATTTGGTGTCTCCACTTCAGCAAACATTTATTCAGCATTACAGAGAGCTGGAAACATTAATGTATTACCACTTAAAAATCCCCATAAAAACCCCTGGGGATTGGGGCCTGGAAGGTGGTACAGGGCTTGTTATTCAATTGTGGTAGTTTAGACTTGGAGAAGCAAAATGTTTTTCCCAAGGTCACACAGCCACTTTCTCATGGCAGTGCAGGGACATTTTCTAGATTTCTTTTTTTAAAAGGTTTCATGACTGTGGTGACATTAAATACATCATATGTTGCTATGGTAGCTGGTCTTTTGATTGAATCCATAGCAGTGAAAAGGATAAAAAAATTACATATCTGACGCAGGCAGCCTTCAAGGTCATGTTCCTTGGCACCGCTACATTGGAGATGATGCTGTCCGTCTCCTGGGGAGATGACAGTAATTAATTACCATCAGTGTGATCACTGATGGTGGCTCTTGAGCAGTGAAGTTGGGTACAGGCAGTTGTCATTTCAGATTAACCAGGGTCACTAGAAATGTGGCTGGAGTTTCCATAATACTATTTGTGACTCATAGCAACCCCAGGCAATTGTCTAGATAGAACTTTGGATAGGGCTCATATTGCTTTATAAGGATTCAGCTAATCATATTAAAGTACGTCTTTATTTCTCTTCCATTAAAAGTCCAGTGGAAACATCCCTCCCTCTTTTGGGTGGGAGTCATTTGAAGGGAGGTTATCTCCCAGAGGCATTACTTGGCTCTAAATCTCCAGACTTTGTTGGTCTCATCCTGAATGAGCCTGATCTCTATCTACATGGCTTTTCCCCTGTCTCAGTTTTCTGGCCTTAAGATTACAAGAATCTCTGCCCATGAAAAGGATCAGCTATCTGCAAGAAACCTGCCCCCAGGGCCAGTTCACAGTGTAATGTACAGACAATTACTGATAAGGTGAAGGTGACTCAGTCCATGACATCAGGAAACAACCAATTTAAAACCTAAGAAAGGGGTAAAAGGATCTGTAACCTGGAAGTTTTCACTTCAGAGAGTCTGTTAAAATGAGAGATCACATCCCGATAATAGTATGAGAAGTACAAACAGATGTAATCTATAAAAGAGACATGAAACAGGATTTCCCAGGCCCTGCTTGGTTTTCATCCTCACTCCGCAGCTCCCTGCTCCTTGTGGTGGAGGCCAGCCACTTCGCCAGGCCTCGGGGGCTGATTCCGGCTTTGGCCTCTAGCCCTATCCTGACAAGACACAGTTATGGCTCTCTTGTCTGGGGACCCATCACAAATTAACTTTGTTGTCTACACAGTCACGAAGGGCACCATGGCATAGTGGTTACTATGATGGATTCTAGATGCAAAGTGTCAGGGTTCAAATCTTGATTTCACCACTTATGAGCCCTATGACCTTATGCAGCTCATTTAACTTTTTGTTGCCTTGGGTTCCTCATCTGTACAATGGGTATAATAGTTATTGTGAGGATTAAATGAGCTGAATATATGTAAATCACATAGTGGAATGTCTAACATTTAATAAATGCTCAATAAAAGTTAGGTATCATCATCATCATCATCATCATCATCATCAGTCCAGGCTTCTGCCTTCCTTGCCTGTACCACAATGCTGCCTCAATAACCCACTTCCACGTCCGGGCCCAAGAAGCCTTGCATTTCTCTGGCCACATCCCTCTGCCCTCCAGGCTTGCAGTTTGCCTGGCGTCATGTGAGTCCTTGCTGGAGTCATACACAGGGCCATGCCCATCCACCAGGACACCTTGTTACCTTGTTACCTCCTGCTGGGCTTAGCTGACTCCTGGCAACTGCAGGTGGATCTGCTGATCACTGTGGCTCTAATGCCATGTTAAGCTTTTCTGCCTTAGATGGGAACTGGACTACGCTTAGATGTAAATGACTTATTGGTGACCAAGGGACAGGGTATCCTAAATGACCCACAATAAGTTGGGTGGCAGATGTGTATGGATGTAAGAGCACCAGGCATTAGTGGAGTATTAAGCCGTACCCTAAGATTATAAACTGCAAAGATGTGCAAAGTTGGCTAAGGGCTGGTGTATTTGGCAGGGCTCTATACTTATACATTGTCACTTTTTTTTTTTTGGAGACAGAGTCTTCCTTTGTCGCCCAGGCTAGAGTGCAGAGGCGTGATCTCAGCTCATTGCAACCTCTGCCTCACAGGTTCAAGTGATTCTCCTGCCTCAGCCTCCCGAGTAGCTGAAATCACAGGTGCATGCCACCATGCCCGGCTAATTTTTTGTATTTTTAATAGAGACAGGGTTACACTATATTGGCAGGCTGGTCTCGAAATCCAGACCTCAAGTGATCCGTCTGCCTCGGCCTCCCAAAGTGCTAGGATTATAGCCGTGAGCCACTGCATCTGGCCAATTGTCACTTTTATTACATAAATATTACATGTTTATTGCAGAAAAAATTAAATAACACAAATAGACTAAAGATTAATTATAAATTAAAAACATCTATAACATCACCTTCCAGAGATAACACTTTTAACCTCTCTCTGTGTATGTATACACACACTCCACACACATAATCTTTTTAACACTTAGTGGATTGTGGACTCCTTTCCAAGTCGTGAAACAGACATTTATGTTGTCAAGTACTGAGCAATTCTAGATGATTCTGAATGTGCATTGGTTTGTGGTCTAGCCTATTAGCCATTTTACTCATTGAGAGAAAGGGGTTAAGCAGACTGTTAAGTCTTTGTAGTCTACAGCTTCCAGTTCTGGTAACTGCCACCAGGTTAATGAAGGGTGGCTTCTGGCTGGAGCCTCACTGTGGAGCAGCTTGGCTTTACTTAGTTGTAGTTATTTGAGGAACAGGACCTTCAACCACTTGTGCTGGTCTGTTTCTGCTACGAAGACCTGCGGCCCGGCAGCCGATCTCTAGTTCTGATTATGGACAGGGTGGGCCTTCAGCGCTCTGGGCTCTGCTTCTGTGTCACTGTGGAGCCTTTGGCAAGGCTTGCCACATCTCCAGGTCTCAGTTCCCTCATCTGTAAATGAAAGGGGTTGGATTTGATTCTCTTTTGCTCTAGCACTCTGTGATTCCACGTTAAGTCATTTGGAGTGGAGTGAGATGGGGCTTGGGCGTGGCCCTTCATCGCTGCTGCACAGGTTAGGATGCACAGGCCACACCAGAATCACCCAAGGAGCACTTCAAGCATATATTCCTGGGCTCTCATCCCCACTCTTCTGCCAGAGTGAGGCTTGAGAATCTGCATTTTTAACAAACTCCTTAAGGTTTCTTTCTCGAAGCCGTACTTGGGGACTGCTGCAGGGATGGTGGCCTCTCCAAGTCACCCAGCTGTTCACATCCTACTTGAACTCTGGCTCAGGCCAAAGGCATGTGAAAAGCATCTTAGTTAACTCAAAAGCCTTCATGGAGACAGCTGGTGTTGCTGGAAGCTTACATGGGCCCAGCTTTAGGGTTGCCAGCAGGTTGGCTTCCAGAGCCCTAGGAGACAGGCTTCTGTGGCCTGTCCGCCTCTCCCTGATTGTCAGAGCTCAGCCCACCCTGCTTGTTCACCCTGCCTGTTTTTTCCTACCAGTTTCCATCATTTTCTGCTTTAGGGGGCTTCTTGCTCCATATGGTTCGGCTCAGGCCACAGCAGGGTAATGACCACGCTGGGCATTTGTACCAGCAGCCTCCCCAACTGCGACTGTCCTTAATCAAGCAGGAGATGTTTACCCTCACACCTGTTTTCAGTCCTTCTTCTGGTCCCTCATCTTCCGGGAGACCTAATATTTCTGATACATACAGTAGATTTCTCTACAAATCCTTGAAGACTTTGAACTATCCTATTAGCAGTTTATTCCAGAGACTTCTACACAGTACTGTTTAATGTTTCAGGGGCCAGGCTCCTTTTCCTTCTGATTATTCACACACACACACACAAACACACACACACACATACACACTCTCTTAAACAGAGTATAGCTTGGGTTCAACAAAGCTAGATCATACTTTATCCACAATATGAATTAGAGATTCTGATCTTGTTATTTTCTGTCTCATACTTATTTACTTTATGCCACACTTTGCTCATATTTACCATTTATAAATGAGGAAGAGATAAGCCAGAGGGAGCAGTATGTTTTCCTTGAGTAGTCTAGTGCATCAGGATCACCTGGATAAACTTGATAAAATACAGATCTCTGGATCTTATCCCAGATTTACTGAATAATAATCCTTAAGGGAGGGATCCAGAAGTTTGCATTTCCAGAAAGATCTCTGGGTGATTGTTTTGCATGCAGAAGGTCGGAAATTCCTGCTTCATGTGGGACAGAATTTAGACTAGAATTTAGAGAAGATGGGGCGGACAATGAGAGACAGCCTGGTGGGAACCAGGCTGCTTGCATTTAAATCCAGGCCCCACACCTCACTGGCTGTGTGACTCCTCCATGCCTCAGTTTGCTCTCATGAAAAATCTGTAAAACTACAGTGTTTACCTTATTGGTTGTTGTGAAGATTAAATGAGTTCACATGTGGAACATGTTTAAAGTAGTGCCTGGCAAAGGTAAGGGCTCTGAACATGTCTGCCGTGGCTACTATTCCATGCAAGGGGAATGGCATGAACAAAGTCAAACAGAAGCAGATGGCCTCTTTGAGAGAATGGAGTAAACTGATTTGTCAGAAGTAGAAGGTTTAGATCAGTGGTTTTCAAATTATAGTGTGCAAAAAAATAACCTAGGGAGCTTGTTAAAAGTTTCTTGCCCCTATAACGATTCTGAGTTGGTATACATGAAGCCTGGGGATCTGCATTTAAACTTTTTGATGCAGGTTTTGAGCAAATGTTCAGAAACCCAGTAGTTTAGGTAGAAGAGGGCTGGTATTTAAAGTTGGAAAGGGGCCCGGCGCGGTGGCTGACGCCTGTAATCCCAGCACTTTGGGAGGCTGAGGCGGGTGGATCACCTAAGGTCAGGAGTTCAAGACCAGCCTGGCCAACATGGTGAAAGCCCATCGCTACAAAAAATACAAAAATTAGCCAGGTGTGGTGGTGGGTGCCTGTAATCCCAGCTACTTGGGAGGCTGAGGCAGGAGAATCACTTGAACCTGGGAGGTGGAGGTTGCAGTGAGCCGAGATTGGGCCACTGCACTCCAGCCTGGGCGACAAGGGTGAGACTCCATCTCAAAAAAAAAAAAATAAATAAATAAAGAATAAAAATAAAAAATAAATAAAGTTGGAAAGGTATCCAGGGTTTGGAAATGTATCCTGGAGCTATGAAAAGTATGGACACTAATTGCATATTTAATATCTGCTTTATTAGGTATGTCCAGAAAGCAGTAGAAGTATCCGGGAGGTACAGTGTGCATCCTACAACAACAAGCCATTCATGGGCCGGTTTTATGAGTGGGAACCATTTGCAGAAGGTAAGAATAGACCCAGCCCTGTCCATAGAAGTTACTTTAGTCTGTTTTCCATTCTTGTTGACTTCTGATTGATGTTGGAGGTATTGGTGTGATCCTGGCTGGGGTGTCAATAGGGGAGAAAGTGTGACTCCAGGGCAAAGAGAAGCCTGCATGGGTCTTTACCAAAGGTAGCATAGCTCAGGTGACGCCTGGACCATCTTCGGCATGAGTCAGATGGATGAGGCACTGATGGAAACAAGCAACATCCAAGGATGGCAGGGTGAGGGGGACAGAACAGGGTTCAAGGAATCAGTTGGAGAAGAGGTTCAAACATAAAGTTGTGAGCCGTGAGTGCAGATGGAGTTTCCCTTTCCTTGGTTCCTGCTACAAGGGGTAGTATGGGAGCTTAAGAGAACATGTGGGGTTGTACAGTTGTATGGTTCTCACCTGTAGGGGGCCTCACATGCTGATTCCAAAGATAATAGTAGGCAGGCATTGCCCGTGAGTACAAGATCCCCGTCATTTCCAGATGACAGAAGATCCAGAGTTGGTAGAGCAAGTTGATCCCACTCTGCATGCTGGAGTCACTTTTCTTTGTTGAAATCCAGATGATAACATGGCTTGCGGACTGAGAAGTTTTAACATTCTGAGATATTTCTACCCACCCCTGGAGAAAGTGGGCTCAGAAGAGGTGTTGGGTCAAGCAGAATTTGTGGGGGTTCTATGCTCACAGCCAAGTTGGCTGGAGAGGGAGTCCAGCTGCCTTCAGGGCCCAGTGGAAGAGCTCTGCCCAGCCAGCCCTTCTCAGCTTCAGCCCGAGGCAGTGGCTGGACAGCTAAGGTTGGCCAAGACCCAGAGTATGGAGCACTGCACAATGTGCAGGATCTGGAGAAATTGCCTTGGAAGAGGGATTGATAGTGAGTTGTGATGATTTTATTGCAGAATCAATGCCTGGGGAAGCCAAACTGTGCAAGGTGGTTCTATACTTAGAGGCCCTTGGGGAGGAGGGAAGTGGATTAGTATCTGACTGCTCTGAAATTGGATGCTAAATTGTTTTTATCTGTGCAGTGTTCTCAGAGACTCCATAGCTTCTATTAGATTCTCAGAGTGGTCCCATGACCTCAAAATTGTTAAGAACTAACTTGACTGAAAAATTGAGACTATCAAATTCAAGCAGGAAGGATGTACAGAGGAAACATAGAGCTAGCTGAGTGCACATACAACGGGTGGGGAACAGGGTGAAGGGTGAGCAAAAGAAGGATGCCAAAGTGAAATTTTGATTTGATTCTGTGGATAGAGCTTGGTTCTGACCTTTTTCATTTTTAAGGGCATTATGTTAAATTTAAGGTGGTATCCTGATTTGGATCCTGAAACAGAAAAAGGGCATTGTTGGAAAACCTAGTGAAATAGGCATAAATTGTATAGTTTAGTTAATAGTATTGTACCAGCGTTAATGTCTTAGTTTTTATAAATTGTTTGTTTTTTGTTTTTGTTTTGTTTTTGAGGTGGAGTCTTGCACTATTGCCCAGGCTGGAGTGCGGTGGCGTGATCTCAGCTCACTGCAACCTCTGCCTCCCAGGTTCAAGCGATTCTCCTGCCTTAGCCTCCCGAGTAGCTGGGATTACAGGTGTGCAACACTACGCCTGGCTAATTTTTGTATTTTTAGTAGAGGCAGGGTTTTGCCATGATGGCCAGGCTGACCTCGAACTCCTGATCTCAAGTGATCCACCCGCCTCAGCCTCCCAAAGTACTGGGATTACAGACGTGAGCCACCGCACCCAGCCTGTAAATGGTTTTGTAACATGTTAACATTATGCGAAGCTGGGTAAAGAAAGGGTATACAGGAACTTTTGTACTATCTTTGTAACTTTCCTGTAAATCTAAAATGATTTCAAAATAAAACGTCTTGAAGGCATTGTACTCCCAATTAGCTATGTCTTACATGGATTCTGGTGAAGACAAAGTGTAATACTCACTTAATATGGGTGAGGAAGAGTGCACTGGGTTAAATACTGCCCCCACCCACCACCCAAATTGGTATTCTTCCTGGAACCTTAGAATGTGACCTTATTTGGAAATAGAGTCATTGCAGATGTAATCAGTTATGTTGAGTTCATATTGGAGTAGAGTGGGCTCTTAATCTGGAATGACTTGTGTTCTGATAAGAGGAGAAAGTTGGGAGGCCAAGGCAGGTGGATCACCTGAGGTCGGGAGTTCAAGACCAGCCTGACCAACATGGAGAACCCCGTCTCTGCTAAAAAATAGAAAATCAGCCTGGCGTGGTGGTGCATGCCTGTAATCCCAGCTACTTGGGAGGCTGAGGCAGGAGAATCGCTTGAACCTGGGAAGCGGAGGTTGTGGTGAGCTGAGATCACGCCATTGCACTGCAGCCTGGACAACAAGAGTGCAACTCCGTCTCAAAAAAAAACAAAAAACAAAAAAAAAGAAGAGGAGAAAGGACACAGACATACAGGGAGTATGCCAAGTGATGATGAAGACAGAGATTGGAGTGATGCTTCTACAAGGTAACAACAAGGACTGCTGGCAGCCACCAAGAGCTAGGCAGAGACAAGGAAGCATCCTTGCCTAGAGCCTTCAAAGTGGGCGTGGTCCTGCCAACACCTTGATTTTGGACTGCCAGCCTCTAGAACTGTGAGAATAAATTTCTCTTGTTTGAAGTCATCAAGGTTATGGTATTTTGTCATGCAGCTCTAGGAAACTAATACAAAGAAGAAGGAACAAGGTTCTGGATTGATTGAGATCTACTCGCTAGAGTAGATCCAGAGGTGAGTTTGCTCCAGCTGATAGTAGCAGATGCCTTAGAGAAGTGAGGCATGTATCCAAAGTGAGCAACTGCCTCAACTGGCTCACAGATGTAGGTCTGTCCAGCACAGTGGTTCTCAGCCCTGGTTGCTCTTCAGAATCACTGAGGAGCCTCCTAGAGACACTGATGCCTAGACCCCTCCCCAGCGATTGTGATTTAATTGGTCTGGGATGCAGTCTGAACATCAGGATTTCTTAAAGATCCCAGGTGATTCTTATGGGTAGCTAGGGTAGAGAACCTCTCATCTAAGAGGGGATGACTCAGCCTACATTGAGGGACAGAATCATGGGTATTTGATAAATCCTGAAATACATTCTTGTGTCAGAACAACAATGCTTTCCAGTGAACATTTAGAGAAGAAGTGACCCTGTCTTTTGTCTGAGCTGCACCCTTGCTTTATGGCTGGCTGTGGATAATAGCTGCTTTATTGTGATTACCTGGGGGGAAAGATGAATTCCACACTACACTGAGCAGTGTGCGTTCTGTAATTTCCCCAGGAGCAGAAGCTGCCTTGCCAGACCTTTTCTGCGTGGTCTGAGGTGGCCATCAGCCAGCTGTTGTTGTCTAAGACCTTGAGGTCTGGTAGATGCAGGTCTAATATTGATAGCCCTATGCAAACCACAAAGAAAACTTTGCTAATGTTTTCATGTATTACATGTGAATGCCTGCTGTTGTCTGGCTTATGTATGGGTCTACTTTTTCTGTTATTTTTTTCCCCTCTGATTTGTGCTAGACTTTAAGACCTGGAAGAACTTATTTTTTGAACATTTGATTTAACTGATTTTTTGGAAAATTTCAAACATAGGTAAAAGTAGGGAGAATAGTATAATAGTGTGATAAGCTCCTATGTACCCACTTAATTCCATTAGTTATCAGCCCATGACCAATCTTTTTCACAAATATTTCCATCCTCTCTCTCCCACCCAGATTATGGGAAACTGCTTGAATTCACATTACAGAGCATTATTCATTGGTGGATATATTAATTGGAACTCTTGGTTGTAAGTGACAGAAACCCAAACTAAATACATTTTGATCAGAAAGGTATTTTGTTGGTCATGTTACTGGGAAATGCAAGAGGTGGCCTGGGATTCAAATGTGGCTGCATTCCAGGGAATCAGTAACATTAGGACCCTGCCTTTCTCATCTTTCTCCATCTCTAGGTTCTGTTTACTTCTGTCTCGGGCAGGCGAGAAGGCTTACCATGGGTTTGAGCTTGCAATCATACTGGGAGGGACTCTCTCACCTGGTCTTGAGGGCTGAATTGCACCCCCAAAAAGATTTATTAAAGGTACCCCTAGGCCAGGTGCGGTGGCTCACGCCTGTAATCCCAGCACTTTGGGAGGCTGAGGCAGGTTGATCACCTGAGGTCGGGAGTTCGAGACCAGCCTGACCAACGTGGTGAAACCCCATCTCTACTGAAAATAGAAAAAATTACCTGGGTTTGGTGGCACATGCCTGTAATCCCAGCTACGCAGGAGGCTGAGGCAGGAGAATCACTTGAACCCAGGAGGCAGAGGTTGCGGTGAGCCGAGATGGCACCATTGCACTCCAGCCTACCCCTGGTACCTGTGATGTAACCTTCTTTGGAAAGAGGGTCTTTGCAGATCTAATTAAGATATAAGTTTAGATGAGGTCACAGTAGAGTAGAATAGGCCCTAATCCATTGTGACTGGGGACCCACACAGAGAGCACCATGGGAAGACACAGACAGGGGGAAGACAGCCCATGTGAAGGCAGAGGCAGAGACTAAAGTGATGCAGCTATGAGCCTAGGAACGCCAAGGATTGCCAGCAACTTCCAGAAACCAGGAAAATGCGTGGAAGGATCCTTCCTCCAGAGACTTTGGAGGGAGAGTGACCCTACCAACACATTGATTTTGGATTTCTGGCCTCCAGAACTGTGAGAGAATACATTTCTCTTGTTTGTGTTCAACAGGACGCCAACCAGTTTGTGTGATATATTACATCAGTCCTAGGAAACTAATATACCTAGTGACTGTTCCAATCCCAGACAAACTATACCATGGTCTTGTTTGGATCCTGTTCCCATCCCTGGAACCTAGTTTGGGGGATGGGGTACTTGGGTTAGCTCAGGTCATGTGACCAACCCTATGGTAGGGGACCCACATCGCATGAAGAGGAGATAGGGAAGTGGGGATTGAGACAGACAGGAAAACATTCTTCTACCAAAATCAGTGCATACTTCTTTACTGGAAGCCACTGAGATGTTGAATCAACTAATTAGCATCCTAATGTGGATTAATCAGCTATCCTTTACCATGTGTTACTAGAAAATAATGCAGTCTTTTAAAATGGTCACTGACATTGATATTTTTCACATGCCTAGAAGGAGAGAGGAAGCCTATGGTCACTGAAGTTGAGTTTACTTTGGCTTTGTTTAAATAATTCTTTTTGCTGCTAAGATTGTTTTCTTGATTTTATCCTTCCTCCTCTTAAATGGCTCCCAGGCTGACCGGCGGGAGGAAGACACTGCTAATGCTTCTGCAGGGCTTTACGGCTGGATTTTGCATCGGGCTCTTGGTTTTGTTTGGATGTCTACTGCTATTCACATGTGCCTACTTAGGGAAACAGCTGCGCTCATTCAGTGCAATGCCACATAGAATAGTAAAAGCGGAGTATACTCTCTGATAAACACATTAATTTTACCAGATGGTTCTTCTTAAGCCTTTAATTGCATTTCCTGGATTTGGTGACCTATCCTTAGATAATGCCTCCAGGAATTTTTCTCATAGCCTGGGACCTATTACTGTAAAGATGGCAAAAGTGGAATTAGGGTGCCCGTGCATCCCAGTTCACCCAGGACAGTGATAGTTTATGCCTGTCGTCCCAGTCCCCTTTCACTCTCTGTCTTGGACAATAAATATATATGTCCATTACACCGAGCATGGGCAGTTTCATAGGAAGCCACTTGTTTAGGTGCTGAGATTGGAGCAAATTCTACCTGTTTTCATGCCAAGGGTAATGGGGCTGCAGCATGAGACTGGAGTTTTGCTGGGTTGCTATAGGCTATAGGGCATCAGATATCAGTTTTAATCCTTAAAACTGCTAGGGGGCAGCTTTATGTTTGGGTAGCTTGAGTGCACTGTGTGTCCCTGAGAGCTGAACTAAAGAGTGGCAACTGAAAAGCCAGAGGGGAGGCTGAGTCAGAAAGTGAAGGTCGCCAACTGGTGACATGAACAGTGATTGTATCTGTCAGCAGTGGCTGGCTTATGTTACAGTAACAAATAACCCCCAGATCCAAATGACTTAACATGACAAAAGCTTGCCTGCTGTTCACCTTCCACGTGTAAGGGTGGGTGTATTTTGCTTACCTGGGGACCCAGGCTGGTAGAAGCTGTATCTCAACTCATGATTTCACTGAGGCAGGGAAAGGGAACAAGTGACCTAGGCTCAAATTCTTTGTTTTTGTTTTTTTTTTTCTAACTTTTATTTTAAGTTCAGCGGTACATGTGCAGGATGTACAGGTTTATTACATAGGCAAACGTGTCATGGGGGGTTGTTATACAGATTATTTCATCACCCAGTTATTCAGCTTAGTAATCCATTAGTTATTTTTCCTGACCTTCTCCCTCCTCCCAGTCTCTGCCCTCTGATAGGCTCCAGTGTGTGTTGTTCCCCTGTCTGTGTCCATGTGTTCTCTTCATTTAGCTCCCACTTATAAGTGAGAATATGCAGTATTTGGTTTTCTGTTCCTGAATTAGTTTGCTGGGGATAATGGCCTCCAGCTCCATCCGTGTCCCTGCAAAGGACATAATCTCATTCTTTTTTATGGCTGCATAGTATTCCATGGTATATATATATATATACGACATTTTCTTTATCAAGTTTATCATTGATGGGCATTTAGGTTGATTCCATGTCTTTACTATTGTGAATAGTGCCAATGAAAGAACATACATGCATATGTTCATAATGCATGCATGTGTCTTTATAATAGAATGATTTATATTCCTTTGGGTATGTACCCAGAAATGGGATTGCTGGGCTGAATGGTATTTCTGTCTCTAAGTCTTTGAGGAATTGCCACAGTGTCTTCCACAATGGGTGAACTAATTTACACTCCCACCAACAGTGTATAAGTGTTCCTTTTTCTCCACAACCTTGCCAGCATCTTGTTATTTTTGACTTAATGATAGCCAGCCATACAGACTCAGGTTCTTAAAGCTTCAATTAGAATTGATCCACATTGTTTCTGCTCACATCTCATTGGCCAAAGCAAGTCACAAATCACACCTAACTTCCAAGGGGGAAGGGAGGTACCCTCCCACTATGTGCTCAAAGGAGGAGAAATGGAATATCTGTGGCTGGCCCTAGTGACTAGCAGGCAGGAAGCTCCAGTGAAATTCCCTGAATGCCTTCCTCGTTAAGTCCAGGTGACTTTTATTAGGTTGTTTGCAAGAATAGTAGATGTTGCTCCAGGGAATATTAAAGGTGCCACCACACAGTCTGATATCCACAGAGCCCTGAGCCACTTCAGTCAAGATCTACCCCTTGCGTGCTTCTGACTCCTCCACCAATCCAGCAGTCTGCCCCAACACAGACGCCATGGTGGGGCATGATGGGGCAGGGGGCGCTGTCAGATAAAAACATAGACAATATTATCAGAACTGTAAGATATGAGGGAGGGAGGCTTGTGACTAAGTGCTGGTGGACCTGGAATTAGAGTGTTCGTGTTTTACTGAAGCGGCTTTATTCATAGGCACTCTCATTCCCGCAGCCCACCCCTGTGCATAGATAATCCATAATCCTGTGAATGTTCAGAGTGGAAGGGGCAGACCTTAGAGAAATGAGAGGCGGTTTCTATTTCACTGGGAGTGGATCTGGAATGCTCCCCACAAGATCCATTCTCAGAGCTCTCTTTTACATGCCAGGGGATACCTGGCAAGACTAGGCCATGTTTGCTTTGGGGATGAGCATATCATTGAGGACAAAGCCCAGAGGGCAACCTCTTTGTGAAAACAAAATGATGATTTTGGTTTTGTATATGTTGAGTCTGAATGAATGGTGGGACCCAACAGGAGGTTAGGGATGCAAGGTTCTGAAGTTTAGGGAGATATCTTAGGGTTGTAGACCCATACTTGCAGTCATCAACCTTGGTGAGATTAGTGGATAAGACCTTCAAGAAAATGTAGAATAACAAAATGGATTTTACAAGGACCAGGAAATGAGCTTTGGAGTATGTTACATTAAGGAAGCAGGGGAAAGAGTCTCAGCCATTAAAGGACACTGAGAAGGTGATCCAGGTATAGGAGAGGCACCAAGGCATTATCATCCCATGTATCATTTCTTATGTTAATAAAGCTTATTGTGGTTTATAAAGTTCTGCTAATACACACAGCACAATGAATGCTATGGACTAAATGTTTATGTCTGTCTAAAATTCATAAGTTAGAGCCCTAACCCCCAGCGTATTTGAAGATGGGGACTCTAAGGAACTAATTAAGATTAAATGAGGTCTTAAGGGCAGGGCCCTGATCTGATAGGATTAGTGTTCTTATAAGAGGAACACTAATATTACCTGGGGACCCAGGCCGATAGAAGCTGTATCTCAACTCATGCTTTCACTGAGGCAGGGAAAGGACACCAGTGTTCCTAGTGGAACACTAACAGTGGTGGCTGGCAAGATGGTCAAGTAGAAACGGCTCCGGTCTGCAGCTCCCAGCAAGATCAATGCAGAAGGCAGGTGATTTCTGCATTTCCAACTGAGGTACCCAGCTTATCACACTGGGACTGGTTAGACAGTAGGTACAGCCCACGGAGGCTGAGCTGAAGCAGGGTGGGGCTCTGCATCACCCAGGAAGCACAAGGGGTTGGGGAACTCCCTCCCCGAGTCAAGGGAAGCCGTGAGAGACTGTGCCTTGAGGAATGGTGCACTCTAGCCCAGATACTACGCTTTTGCCGTGGTCTTTGCAACCTGCAGACTAGGAGATTCCCTCGGGTGCCTACACCACCAGGGCCCTGGGTTTCAAGCACAAAACTGGGTGGTCATTTGGGCAGACACCAAGCTAGCTGCAGGAGTTTTTTTTTCGTACCCCAGTGGCGCCTGGAATGCCAGTGAGACAAAACTGTTCACTCCCCTGGAAAGGGGGCTGAAGCCAGGGAGCCAAGTGGTCTAGCTCAGCAGGTCCCACCCCCACGGAGCCCAGGAAGCTAAGATCCACTGGCTTGAAATTCTCGCTGCGCGCACAGCAGTCTGAAGTCGACCTTAGACGCTTGAGCTTTGTGGGGGGGGAGGGGCATCTGCCATTACTGAGGCTTGAGTAGTTAGTTTTCCCCTCACAATGTAAACAAAGCCGCCAGGAAGTTCAAACTCGGCAGAGCCCACCGCAGCTCGGGAAAGTCACTGTAACCAGACTGCCTCTCTAGATTCCTCCTCACTGGGCAGGGCATCTCTGAAGGAAAGGTAACAGCCCCATTCAGGGGCTTACAGACAAAATCCCCATCTCCCTGGGACAGACCGCCTGGGGGAAGGGGCGGATGTGAGCGCAGCTTCAGCAGACTTAAACATTCCTGCCTGCTGGCTCTGAAGAGAGCAGCGGATCTCCCATCACAGCGCTCAAGCTCTGGTAAGGGACAGACTGCCTCCTCAAGTGGGTCCCTGACCCCTGTGCCTTCTGACTGGGAGACACCTCTCAGCAGGGGTTGACAGACACCTCATACAGGAGAGCGCCGGCTGGCATCTAGTGGGGGTCCCTCTGGGACAAAGCTTCCAGAGGAAGGAACAGGAAGCAATCTTTGCTGTTCTTCAGCCTCTGCTGGTGATACCTAGGCAAACAGGATCTGGAGTGGACCTCCAACAAACTCCAGCAGACCTGCAGCAGAGGGGCCTGACTGTTAGAAGGAAAACCAACAAACAGAAAGGAATAGCATCAACATCAACAAAAAGGACGTCCACGCAAAAACCACATATGAAGGTCACCAACATCAAAGAACAAAGGTAGATAAACCCACAAAGATGAGGAAAAATCAGTGCAAAAAGGCTGAAAATTCCAAAAACCAGAGGCCTCTTTTCCTCCAAAGGATCACAGCTCCTTGCCAGCAAGGGAACAAAACTGAACAGAGAATGAGTTTGATGAATTGACAGAAGTAGGCTTCAGAAGGTGGGTAATAACAAACTCCTCCAAGCTAAAGGAGCATGTTCTAACCCAATGGAAGGAAGCCAAGAACCTTGAAAAAAGGTTAGAGGAATTGCTAACTAGAATAACCAGTTTAGAGAAGAATATAAGTGACCTGATGGAGCTGAAAACCACAGCACAAGAACTTCATGAAGCATATACAAGTATCAATAGCTGAATTGATCAAGCAGAAGAAAGGATGTCAGAGATTGAAGATCAACTTAATGAAATTACAGCGTGAAGACAAGATTAGAGAAAAAAGAATGAAAAGGAATGAACAAAGCCTCCAAGAAATATGGGACTATATGAAAAGACCAAACCTATGTTTGATTGGTGTACCTGAAAGTGACGGGAAGAATGGAACCAAGTTGGAAAACACTCTTCAGGATATTATCCAGGGGAACTTCCCCAACCTAGCAAGACAGGCCAACATTCAAATTCAGGAAATACAGAGAACACCACAAAGATACTGCTCGAGAAGAGCAACCCCAAGACACATAATTGTCAGATTCACCAACGTTGAAATGAAGGAAAAAATGTTAAGGACAGCTAGAGAAAGGTCGGGTTACCCACAAAGGGAAGCCCATCAGGCTAACAGCGGATCTTTCTGCAGAAACCCTACAAGCCAGAAGAGAGTGGCAGCCAATATTCAACATTCTTAAAGAAAAGAATTTTCAATCCAGAATTTCATTTCATTTCCAAACTAAGCTTCATAAGTGAAGGAGAAATAAAATCCTTTACAGACAAGCAAATGCTGAGAGATTTTGTCATCACCAGGCTTGCCTTACAAGAGCTCCTGAAGGAAGCACTAAATATGGAAAGGAAAAACCAGTAACAGCCACTGCAAAAACATACCAAATTGTAAAGAACATCGATACTATGAAGAAACCGAATCAACTAATGGGCAAAATAACCAGCTAGCATCATAATGACAGGGTCAGATTCACACATAACAATATTAATCTTAAATGTAAATGGGCTAAATGCCCCAATTAAAAGACACAGACTGGCAAATTGGATAGAGACAAGACCCATCAGTGTGCTGTATTCAGGAGACCCATCTCATGTGCTAAGACACACATAGGCTCAAAATAAAGGGATGGAGGAATATTTACCAAGCAAATGGAAAGCAAAAAAGGCATGGATTGCAATCCTAGTCTCTGATAAAACAGACTTTAAACTAGCAAAAATCAAAAAAGGCAAAGAAGGGCATTACATAATGGTAAAGGGATCAATGCAACAAGAAGAGCTAACTATCCTAAATATATATGCACCCAATACAGGAGCATCCAGATTCATAAAACAACTTCTTAGAGACCTACAAAGGGACTTAGACTCCCACACAATAATAGTGGGAGACTTTAACACCCCACTGTCAATATTAGACAGATCAACGAGACAGAAAATTAACAAGGATATTCAGGACTTGAACTCAGCTCTGGAACAAGTGGACCTAATAGACATCTACAGAACTCTCCACCCCAAATTAACAGAATATACATTCTTCTCAGCACCACATCGGACCTATTTTAAAGTTGACCACATAATTGGAAGTAAGGCACTCCTCAGCAAATACAAAAGAACGGAAACCATAACAGTCTCTCAGACCACAGTGCAATCAAAATAGAACTCAGGATTAAGAAACTCACTCAAAACCGCACAACTGCATGGAAACTGAACAACCTTCTCCTGAATAACTACTGGGTAAATAACGAAATTAAGGCAGAAATAAAGAAGTTGTTTGAAACCAATGAGAACAAAGACATAACGTACCAGAATCTCTAGGACACAGCTAAAGCAGTGTTGACAGGGAAATTTATAGCACTAAATGCCCATAGGAGAAAGCAGGAAAGAGCTAAAATCAACACCCCAACACTACAATTAAAAGAGCTAGAGAAGCAAGAGGAAACAAATTCAAAAGCTAGCAGAAGACAAGAAATAACTAAGATCAGAGCAGAACTGAAGGAGATAGAGACATGAAAAACGCTTCAAAAACAATCAGTGAATCCAGGAACTGTTTTTTTTTTTTTTGAAAAGATTAGCAAAATAGATAGACAGCTAGCCAGACTAATAAAGAAAAAAAGAGAGATGAATCAAACAGACACAATAAAAAATTATAAAGGGTAGATCACTGATCCCACAGAAATACAAACTACCATCAGAGAATACTGTAAACACCTCTATGCAAATAAACTAGAAAATCTAGAAGAAATGGATAAATTCCTGGATGAATACACCCTTCCAAGACTAAACCAGGAAGAAGTCGAATCCCTGAATATACCAATAACAAGGTCTGAAATTGAGGCAGTAATTAATAGCCTACCAACCAAAAAAAGCCCAGGACCATACGGATTCACAGGCAAATTCTACCAGAGGTACAAAGAGGAGCTGGTACCATTCCTTCTGAAACTATTCCAAACTACTCCTCCCTAACTCATTTTATGAGGCCAGCATCATTCTGATGTCAAAACCTGGCAGAGACACAACAAAAAAAGAAAATTTCAGGCCAATAACCCTGATGAACATTGATGCGAAAATTCTCAATAAAATACTGGCAAACTGAATTCAGCAGCACATCAAAAAGCTTATCCATCACAATCAAGTTAACTTCATCCCTGGGATGCAAGGCTGGTTCAACATACACAAACCAATAAACGTACTCCATCACATAAAGAGAACCAATGACAAAAACCACATGATTATCTCAACAGATGCAGAAAAGGCCCTTGATAAAATTCAACACCCCTTCATGCTAAAAACTCTCAATAAACTAGGTATTAATGGAACGTATCTCAGAATATTAAGAGCTATTTATGACAAACCCATAGCCAATGTCATACTGAATGGGCAAAAGCTGGAAGCATTCCCTTTGAAAACCAGCACAAGACAAGAATGCCCTCTCTCACCACTCCTGTTTAACATAGTACTGGAAGTTCTGGCCAGGGCAATTAGGCAAGAGAAATAAATAAATGGTATTAAAATAGGAAGAGAGGATGTCAAATTGTCTCTGTTTGCAGATGACATGATTGTATATTTAGAAAACCCCATCGTCTTAACCCCAAATCTCCTTAAGCTGATAAGCAACTTCAGCAAAGTCTCAGGATACAAAATCAATGTGCAAAAATCACAAGCTTTCTTATACACCAATAATAGACAAATAGAGAGCCAAATCATGAGTGAACTCCCATTCACAATTGCTACAAAGAGAATAAAATACCTAGTAATACAACTTACAAGCGATGTGAAGGACCTCTTCAAGGAGAACTACAAACCACTGCTCAAGGAAATAAGAGAGGACACAAACAAATGGAAAAACATTCCATGCTCGTGGATAGGAAACATCAATATTGTGAAAATGACCATACTGCCCAAAGTGATTTATAGATTCAATGCTATCCCCATCAAGCTACCACTGACTTTCTTCACAGATTTGGAAAAAAACACTTTACATTTCATATGGAACCCAAAAAGAGCCCATATAGCCAAGACAATCTTAAGCAAAAAGAACAAAGCTGGAGGCATCACACTACCTGACTTCAAACTATACTACAAGGCTACAGTAACCAAAACAGCATGGTACTGGTACCAAAACTGATATGTAAATGAATGGAACAGAACAGAGGCCTCAGAAATAATGCCACACTTCCACAACCATCTGATCTTTGACAAACCTGACAAAAACAAGCACTGGAGAAAGGATTCCCTATTTAATAAATGGTGTTGAGAAACCTGGCTAGCCATATGCAGAAAACAGAAATTGGACCTCTTACTTACACCTTATACAAAATTTAACTCAAGATAATTATTGAGCACTTACTATATTATAGGCACAGTTCAAAGTGTTGACTCATTTAATCCTCACAATTACCCCATCAGGTGGGAACTAGTTTTTACCTTCATTTTACAGATAAAACAAAGGCCTAGACTAGTTAACTAACTTGCCCACGGTCACCTAGCTAGTAAGTGATAGAGCCAGGTTCAAACTCCAAAGTCTGGCTACAGGAATTTCTACTCATATGTATATGGAAGCCAAGAAAAGGGTTTCCAGAAGGAGAGGTGGTCAACACTGCTGAACATCAGAAGAGGTCAAGGGAAATAACTGAGAAAATAAGACAAGGATGGGCTGTTGGGAACCCTACTGGAAGGGAATTAGAGTGGTCAGGTAGCCATCTCTCTTTTTTTTTTTTTTAATGGCCATGTAGAAGGCATATTAGGAGTGTATGCTACTTTAAGGAGAAGGGAAAGGTTTGTCTAGAATGATAAAGGAATGAGGATGTTCTGTAGATGTGAGGATGTAGCTTGTAGCAAGGGAGTACAGATTTAATAGAATGATATCTCTGAACCTGTGCTATCCTAAAAGAAAAGATGCAAAGTGGGCATTTTTTCTTCCTGTAGAATGTGTATTATTGCTTCTCTGCAAGCTTTTATAAAAAGCTTCTTCATCATTTAATAAAAATTAATTCATTCAAGAGAAATGAAAGTAATCGTTTTGCCATAAAAAAAAATTTGCCCAAGAATGTTCACAGCACCTTTTTTCATATTAGCTTCAAACTGGTAACAACCCAAATATCCATCAACAGGAGACTGAATAAAAAAATTGTGGTACATTCATACAATGGAGTATTACTCAAAGTAAAAAAAGAACACACTACTGACACATGTAAAATCCTGGATGAATCTCAAAAACTTTATGTTGAGCAAAATAAGGCAGATACAAGAGCACATACTGTCTGATTCCATTTATATGGTATTCTATAATAGGAAAAATTAGGCTGTGGTGATAGAAATCAGAACAGTGTTTGCCTATGCAGGTGGGAGGAGTATTATAGCTGGAAAGGGAAATGATAGAACCTTCTGGAATGATGGTAATGTTTTATGTCATGATTGGCATTATATACACATGGGTGTATACAGTTATCAAAATCCATTGAACTATACACTTATGTGCATTTTATTGTATATAATATAAACTATATTTTTAAAACCTTATGATTCTCTTTTCCCTTTTCTCTTTCTTTCTCATTGTCTCACTCTCTGCCTCTCTCTCTCACTCTGTCTCTCCAATTCCTGAAGGAGACTTTTAGAGCTAGTATTAATGTCACATTGTGAACTATTCTAAGGCTTTCTAGTTTCTCTCTTTTATTAGACTCAAAAATGTGTAGTATCAACTATACAACTACTAGGAGAAAACATAGGAGAAACACTACAAGACATCAGTCTAGGGGATGATTTCTTGCATATGACCTCAAAAGCACAGACAAAAGCAAAAATAGACAAATGAGATTATATCAAACTAAAAAGCTTCTGCATAGCAAAAGAAACAATGAATAGAGTGAAAAGACAACCCACAGATTGGGAGAAAATATTTACAAATCATACGTCAGATCAGGGGCTCAAATCCAAAATATGCAAGAAACTGAAACCACTTACTAGCAAGAAAACAACTCTTAAAAATGGGCAAAGGGGCTGGGTGTGGTGGCTCACACCTGTAATCCCAGCACTTTGGGAGGCTGAGGCGGGCAGATCACGAGGTCAGGAATTCGAGACCAGCCTGGCCAACATAGTGAATCCCTGTCTCTAGTAAAAATACAAAAATTAGCCAGGTGTGGTGGCACGCACCTGTAGTCCCAGCTACTCGGGAGGCCAAAGCCGAATTGCTTGAACCCAGGAGGTGGAGGTTACAGTGAGCTGAGACCACACCATTGCACTCCAGCCAGGGGACAAAGTGAGACTCTGTCTCAAAAAAAAAAAAAAAAAAAAAAAAAAAGAAAGAAGTGGGGAGGGAGGGGCAAAGGACCTGAATAGACATTTCTCAAACGAAGACATAAAATAGGCCAACAGGTATATGTTAAAATGCTCGATACCACTAATCAGCAGGGAAATACAAATTAAAACTACAATAAGCTATCATCTCATGCCTGTTAGAATGGCCATTAGAAAAAAGATGAAAGATGGTAAGTGTTGGGAGGCCGAGGCAGGCAGATCACTTAAGGTCAGGAATTCAAAACCAGCTTGGCCACGTAGTGAAGCCCCGTCTCTAGTGAAAACACACAAAAAATTAGCCAGGTGTGGTAGCGCGCGCCTGTAATCCCAGCTACTCAGGAGGCTGAGGCAGGAGAATCACTTGAACCCGGGAGGCGGAGGTGGCAGTGAGCCAAGATCATGCCATTGCACTCCAGCCTGGGTGATAGAATGAGACTCTGTCTCAAAAAGAAAAAAAAAGAAAAAGAAAAATGGTAAGTGTTGGCCAGGATATGGAGAAAGGGGAACCTTTGTCTACCGTTGGTGGGAATGTAAGTTAGAACAGCCATTTTGGAAAACAGTATGGAAGTTTCTCAAAAAAAACTAAAAATAGAGTTACCATCATTCTGCAGTCCCACTTCTGGGTATATAGCCACAGGAATGTAAAGCAGTGTGTTGATGAGACGTCTGCACTTTCATGTTCACTGCAGCGTTATTCACATGCCAAGATATGGAAACAACCTAAGTGCCTATCGACAGCTGAAAGGATTTAAAAATGTGGTCTGTGTACATGAAAGAATACGATTCAGCCTGAAAGAAGAATGAAATTCTGTAATTTGTGACAACATGGGTAAACCTGGAGGGCGTTATGCTATGTGAAATAAGCCAGGCACAGAAAGATGAATATTAGATGATCTCACTTTTATGTGGAATGTAAAAATTTGAACTCAGAAGAAGAGAGTAGAATGGCAGTTACCAGAGGCTGAGGAGGGAGGGAGTGGGTGGTGAAAAGTAAAATGTTGGTCAAAGGGCACAAAATTGCAGTGAGACAGGAGGAAAAAGTTTTGGTGATCTATTGCACAGCAAGGTGACTATAATTAATAATAATGTATATTTCAAAGTTGCTAAAAGAGTAGATTCTAAATGTTCTCACCACAAAGAAATAAGTATGAGGTGAGGGATACGTTAATTAACCATATTTTCTTATTCCACAATGTATACACGTATTGAAACCCCATAAATATATACAAATATTTATCAATCGAAATAAAATTTAAAAATACACAGTATCATTTTGAGACTCATTTAGAATTATAGGGCTTTGCTGGGCGTAGGAATCCTCTAATAGGTCAGAATCCGAGGAAGCAAGCCAGACATCTGTGTTAGTTAGCTTTCTTATTTTGCAAGCAACAGACACCAATTTTGGCTAAGTCAAACACAAAAGGATTTTATCAGGAGGATATCCAATAGCTCAGAGACCCAACAGGAAGTGTGGAGAAGTAGGCTTGGTAAAGGATGGAAACTGGGAAGCCCTGGGCTTCCAGGTGGACAGAACTCACAGTCTCATTAGTGTGCTGCTGCTGCAATGGAAAATTCCAGCAGGTTTCTCCATCTAAGAGTCAAAGTCCTGGTAACAAGGGTTGGATTGGCTTAGCTTAGGCCACATCCCACACCTTGGCCAGGGGGAGCTGGGACACCCTGAGTGACAGTCTCGCCAAGACTACACACAGAGGGGAGAAGTAATTTTCAAATAAGAAATCTAGAAAGAAGGGAAAGTGGATATGGGATGGACAAAAATGATTGGTGTCTGTGACTGAAACTCATGACATGTCAGGGTAGCCACCTGGCTCATCAACTGTCATTTCATCATTCAGCTGGTAGGGCTTCCTGACACCTTTGGGGGAATTGTTGAAATTGAAATGTAACACGCAAGTATCATTCATTCCTCCTTCTTGTTGTGTTTGCATTTCTGAAGATTGTACAGACAAGACCTGTGTAGATCCCCTCTGATCCCAAATGTGATGCTGGTGTAATTCAGGTTGACCAGTGTGTATTTACACAGGCGCATGGGCCACTGCATCATAAGGGGGCATGACCTTAGGATGGGAGTGAGGAATGATTCCCTCCTCCCTGATTCCTATAATCCTGGTTGCTGGTCTAGTTCTTCTCCCACCACTGCTGCCAAGTAGGAGTATATGTGTGAAATGTCTCTGGGACAGGCCTCCTTCTCACACCCACACCATGTTTCTCTCTCTAGCTAAAGAGGAAGGAGAATGCAGGATGGGGCAAATGGTTATTACCTACCTCTGTAAGTCTTTCCACTGGAAAATGTAGGATATGAGAAAGGAAAGATTGAGGGAGAAAATTGCCTCTATTCTAGGGTATTCTAGCAGGTGTAAATGATTCTTTAAAAAGCTGTTTCTTTCCTGGCACTTGAACCCATGTCATTCTGGGTAGTTAGTAAAGAAAAGCCTCAGGGTGTATTTCAACATCTAATGAGCAGATTAGACTAAATAGGAATGATTTTAAGGACTTGAAACCAAGCATAGAGCTTAAACTCACTGCAAAATATTAAATACTGAGACCCGATCCTATTGTTTCTCTCTTCCAAGAACTCAGCTTTCTACAAAGACTGCCTTGCTCAGTTGTCATCGTGTGGCTGGTCGGGGTGTCAGTATTCTAGTGTTCCTACTCAACAGATGCAGGAATAGAGACTCACAGGGGTAGGATGGTCTGCCCTGGGTCACAGAACAACAGAGAAGAATCAGAGTCACCGAGAAGTTACATAAGCACAGCCCACCAAGCTGAGAGCAGCGATTTGCCTGAGGGCCTGCAGAAGAATTTCTCCCTCCATGCATCCAAGCCATGACTGATTCATTTCCTTTAAAAACAAACAAATGTGTTTTTACATCAAGACTACTAAGACTTCTCCAGGAAATCCTGGGTCTCTGTCTTAATCTCTTGTAGCACAGTTCTCTCACTCTCCGAGCAGAGGTCACCATGTTGTAAATTGGTGGGGACATGTCCTGAAGGAGTGGTTGGGACATTTTGTTGTACCTTGCATGGACCTTGAGATATTAGTATCTGGTGCATATCAAGAGGTTTTCAGAGTTAGATTTACAACTACGGTGTGATCAGTGAATATGCAACTTATATTTAAATTACACATTCAGCCCATGCTTTATATATTTATCAGACATTCTCACCCCACTGATACAGTCTGATTTGGCTTGGCTCTGTGTTCCCACCTAAATCTCATCTTGAATTGTAGTTCCCATAATCCCCACCTGTTATGGGAGGGTCCAGGTGGGGATAATTGAATCATGGGGGCAGTTACCCCTTGCTGCTGTTCTCGTGATAGTGAGTTAGTTCTCACGGGATCTGTTGGTTTTATAAGGGGCTTTTCCTCCTTTTGCTTGGTGCATCGCCTTACTGCCACCGTGTGAGGAGGGCTGTGTTTGCTTCCCCTTCTGCGATGATTCTAAGTTTTCTGAGGCCTCCCCAGCCATGCTGAACTGTGAGTCAATTAAACTTCTTTCCTTTGTAAATTACCCAGTCTAGCGTAAGTTTCTATCAGCAGCATGAGAACGGACTAATACACTGTCCTTCCCCCAAAGCTGTTAAACAGCTACCAAACCTGCCAGTCTCCATTTCTTAGAAATTTCTGTGAGAACACTCCATGAATCAGTGGGAGTTGTTTACAAAAGATTAAAAGAAAAATCACTTGTGTAGCTGTAGTCTGAGGTGGGAAGGTGCACCCCTCTTTCCTTTTATCTGGGTAAAATCTGCCTTGGTACATTCTTGTGATGCCACCATGTTTACCCTGGAATAATTATTTATTGCCTAGTTACCCTTTGGAGCCATGTTGAGCACAACATCCAGTGTACCTCTTCGGATATTTTAATACAATCATGTTGTCACCCCGCATCTTCTTTTTGCCAGCCTGCTGAATAATTTTATTTCCTTAAACTGATTTCTGTGCTTTGGGGCTTGCTGTTTATTATCCTGACTCTTCCCTTTAGAGTGTGGTTAATGAGTCATAACGCGCAGGTCTCCTCACCTGTGTGAGCTCTGATGTGCTGGGCTTGGAAACAAGGAATGTTATTGGGATTGATTAGTGATGCCTTGATTGGGCTTGGGAAGGGGGAATGGCTACATCTGTGCTGCCTCTTTGCCAGTTCTATGGTTTTTCAATCTTTCCAATCATGGTTACCTAGGTGCCGATTAATCCTGCTAGTTGCTCGAAAATTTGAGATGAGTCTCTATTCTTTATTAAAGACGATGAGCTTCATAAATGTTTACAATATTTCATTATATTTGACTACAAATGCCTGTATGCATTCTTTAATGGCAGGGAATGATGCAAATAAATATGAACAGGTTATCGTACATTGTCTAAATGTATTCACATTTAAAATGTAAGTAAAAAACAATATGTAGCGGATTGTAATTTTTCAAGAGATGACCTTAGGATGGGTGAAATTGTCAGGGGCTGGCCTGGTTTCCCAGAATAATCCTTTAAATTAAGAATTCTCTCATTGGGGGCAGTGTATCCAGAGGTGGAGGAACTGAATCAAGGATAGTTTTAAAAACTGGATCATCTGATGGCTGTGTATTAAATAGGTTTAATTCTTTTGATTGTATTTCCTGTCTGCATCTGAGGCCGTATCCACTGCAGAATAATAAAATGGAGGTACTGGCAACTATTTGTATTTGAATTCTTCTTCTTCTTTTTTTTTTTTTTGAAACGGAGTTTCACTCTTGTCACCCAGGCTGGAGTGCAGTGGTGCATTCTGGGCTCACTGCAACCTCTGCCTCCCGGGTTCAAGTGATTCTCTTGTCTCAGCCTCCCGAGGAGCTGGGATTACAGGCGCCCGCCACCACGCCCACCTAATGTTTGTATTTGTAGTAGAGACAGGGTTTTACCATGTCGGCTAGGTTGGTCTCAAACTCTCGACCTCAGGTGGTCTGCTCACCTTGGCCTCCCAAAGTGCTGGGATTACAGGTGTGAGCCGCCGTGCCTGGCCTGTATCTGAATTATTGTTTCCAAACCCAGCTGCCTTCAGCCTAAACAGTGGCAAGCACTTGTCATCATATCCTGAAGTCATAGACATAATTATCACACCTCTTAGCTGCAAATCTAGGCTTCACCATCAGTTAACTGTTTGAGGCCCTTTTACTTAGTAACCCAAATACTTGGTAATTGAGTATATGTAGGGATATATTTTTCTTTAAGATTACTACGTGTGACATACATTACCCTGGAATAGAATGCTCTCATTCACAGCCATTTCTGTTTAACGTGGGAGACATTTCTGGGTTTTTGCTTCTCTCTGTCTTTCCTATTCTGTGACTGTCACTGCTCTATTGGAATCACTTTTCTCCTGGTGGTGTCCAGTGATCTTTGGATGGTCCACTGAAGGTAGATACCTCCCAGCCCTTTCTGTGCTGGGACTAAGATGGCACATACAGTATTCTGTAGCTCCCTCTGGCCAAAGCAGAAGCTATCATCACTACCCACTGTGTAAGATTCCTCCTGTACAGCAGCACCCTTCACTGGGTAGTGCTTAGTTTTTAATCTATATTTTTTATTCTTTCTTTTGGATTTCCAAATATAAAAATACCACCACTACTGCCTCCCGCCAGCACTCCGCCTTGTGAGGAAAGCACTGTGTAACTTTGTTGACAAATGTCTGCTTAATTATGTTTAATGATTCAGAAATAAAACAGGGAGAAGTCCCACATTTTAATTTCAAACTAAAGACTGCTAGAAGCCAACAGAATTTTTGTTTGCTTGTTTTTGTTTTGTTTTGCTGAGACAGGGTCTCACTCTGTCACCCAGGCTGGAGTGCAGTGGCATGATCATGGCTCATTGTAGCCCTGATCTCCCTGGGGTCAGTGATCCTCACACCTCAGCCTCCCAAGTAGCTGGGAATACAGCCATGCACTATACATTTTTGTACTTTTTATAGAGACAGGGTTTTGCCATGTTGCCCAGCTGGTCTTGAACTCCTAGGCTCAAGCAATCCACCTGCCTCAACCTGCCCCGATACAGATTTTTAAAATGTAGGTGATTAATAACTCACTTGTAGCTCTGGAGCTGTTCAACAGAAGTTGCAACTCAAGAACGCTATTTAGTAATTAATAAGAAAAGTTTGGGGAAACAAAGTTCTACATTGTGCTCTGCTGATCTTTTTCTTTGAAATCTTACTGCAGATGCTGTTTCTCTGCGGAGGCAAGGAGGAGGACCTTGACTAGTCTCTGATGGGGCAAGGAGTTTGTTCGATTGTGCCAGTCTGAAATATGGCAGGTTAGAGGGGTGGAGAAAGCCAAGTATTGCAGGGGTAAGAAACGCTAGGCAGACAAACCTTGTCACGAGTTTAGTGAGCCCAGAAGTCAACAAATGAGTAGGGGCAAGAAACTGGCAGGGCGACCATAGATTTCATATGGTTATTGGATTAATTTATTTTTGCTTTAAAATTTTATCGAGTGAGCCATAATTTATTGGGCTGAGTTGAGTTTTGTCCAGGGGATTGAAGTTTGGATTTATCCCAGGAAACAGCTTTCATCTAAAGTCATGCTCCAGCAAATTATGCTGATTTTAAACGGAGCAGCCTATTAAAAATAGGTCAGATTTCAACAGGACAGTGGAACGTTTGGTTTGAGGAAACTTTGAGTACATCAGTAACTATTATGAGATGTTCTGCTGTGATCACGTGGCCTGCCTGTCATCAGGAAAGGGAGAAAATGGAGGGGAGGACTCTTACATTCCAGTCAATTCACGTAGCCTCTTGATGCCAAAAATTAGAAAGGGGAAGCATATCAGATGTGTACAGCTCAAATTCCATTTGTACTTAAGGTTACGTAACAGCTCATAGTGTAATAGCTTTGGCCCGTGTCCAGTGAGCCTGTAGATATTGGCGGCTTTGCGTGCTTAAAAGGCCCCCATCAATCAGTCATGATGCCTGGTCCTACACCCAGTTGCCATGTTTGTTTAAGCCGGCTTTGGAGGTTGTATAAATAGTGTTAGCAACCTGCTCTCCCACCCTTGGTGATAAATGGCACCTTTAAAAATCCTTTGGCACATTCTTAGGATGCGAAGGAGTAGAACTGGATCCATTGACATCTTTGGTGGTTATCAGCCTCCTTCTGCATATGTTCTTGTGGCATCTCCAGGAGGGAAGTGTGGAGGGTGCCTGGGGCATCCGTACCGCCCTGGCTTCTTGGGCCTCTGCAGCCTCTGCCTGTCTGAATCAGCTAGTGGAGTATCCTGCCTCGTGGAAACTGGCAAGGGCTGCACAGGGGCTCCCAAATGAAACTGTGACTCAGGACTGGACAAGCGAATTCGAGTTCACACAGAATGGAAAGGTGTACTTTTTCCCCTTTAAAAAAAAAAAACACAAAGATTGCTACAACATGTTGGCATTGATTCATGCAGTCACTTTTTGTTCTGTACAAACAGTGGCCTTGGGGTAGCAGGAAGAGCAATGGGCAAAGGACACAACCTCAGTGCAAAAGCCCTAGCTCCCTTGGACCACAGTTGCATATCTAGAAAATTAAGAAATAACTTCCTCTTGTTGTGAGGTTCCGGCGAGATGCCATGTGTAAAGCACGTGTATCAGTGTTGGACATTCCACTATTGGTGACTGGGTGCCTGCTGTATGCTTATCCTCCAGGTAGAGCTTCCAGGAGCAAGTGGGACTGGGCGTGTGCAGATGTAGGGGAAGGGTGTTCCAGGCAGAGGGAACCACAGAAGCAAAGGTGCTTGGGCAGAAAATACAGGTGTTAGGAAACATCGGCGAGTGTCCTTCCTCTGGAGCAAAGAACTTATAAAGGGGAACAGTGTAGGACGAGGTTGGCCTGGAAGTTTGGGGCCAGATTATAGAGGGCCTCAAACAGGAGGCTAAAGAAACTGGACTGCCTTTTATGGGCAGTGAGGAGTTATTGGGGTTTGTAAGCAGGAGAGTAGTATGATCAGAGCTGAGCTTCAGGAAAATTAATCTGGCAGCAAAATCCTGCAAAACCTCTTTGGAACAAAAGGGGTGAAAATAAATAATTTGAAAATTTGGCAGTCATGTTTTCAAATATGTTCTGAAATGTGTAAGCTATAATATGTATTTTGAAATGATAACATCTTTCTTTTTCTGTTCCTGCACAGCAGCCAAATTCCTTGTTCATTCTTTATTTCTTTTCCTCATTCCCTCCCTCCCTCCCTCTCTCTCTCATTTTTCCTGTGTTTCTGTTTCTTTCATTGTTTCTCCTGGTTTCAGTGTGTCTTCCTTTCTCACTCACCCAGTCCCTCCCTCACTCTTTGCCCTGTTCTGTCTTTCATGGTTAGTGGTGTTTTGGAGGTGTGTCTAAACCGAGCCAGGGACTGCGAGTTCCAGGACAGTCCTTCAAAAAGGTCCATCTGCTGGTTTTTGTGCCCAGCATACCCGCTGTGAATGGACTACATTACTGAAGGCTGTGAAATCACCCAAATTTGATCTTCAACTCTCATCATACAAAGTATCGGTATTTTGAATTTGTAGGTGAATCATTTGTAATTCATGGGGGCAATGTTTCTACAATTGAACTTTCTGGACTCATCACCAAAAGGTTCAGTCAGCTTCTGTAACTTGTGGGTTAGCAAGTGGATTCTATAGATACGCCCCATGTCCCTGCCCAGGCAAACTTAATAAATGTGTTCAGACCTTAGGTGTTCATGGATTTAACTCACAGGTTTGTGATTCTTTGTGGGTTCCCCTGTGGGTCTGTGGCACAGAGTTGGGCTGAGGTATGAATCCGAGAAGTCTACTTTGCAAGACACATGTTATGGAAAAGGGTCATTTATCCTTATTGTTCTGCGCATTCATGCATTTGTAACAATGCTTGTTAATTAAAACATTGTGTTGTGTCTGTGAAAAACAGCCATCAGGTGAGAGCAACATTTAGTGAAATCTGAAAGTAGGGTTAACTTGTAGTGTGAGGCTATGCACAGGAAAACGCATATGGCTCTCCATAGAAATGTGATTCAAGCGAAAGCTGGGAGCCTCTATAAACATTCTTGTATTTGTGGATCTGGGAATTCAAGAAGGTTTCAGATGTATGCCTCAGGAATGTCAAGAGTCTGCTGTATATCCAAATTTACAAAACAGATAAATTATTGAATGACTATTCAGGTTGCAAAACGATTCTTCATTTTATTAAATATTTACTGCACATTTACCCTAGAGAAGTTCTTTAGTAAATATAGTACTTGATTTACAGAAATTCAGTGCGTATGACTGTTTCTGGATATATGTATTGTGTTAAGTGGGATCCTTTCTCCATAGCATGAAGAAATTTTAAGATAATCTTTTCTCCATTTGATAAATGAGTTTGTATATATGAAAGGCACTTGTTCAGTAATTATAGAGTTGGTTTTTTACCATGAGGAATTTTGTATCTTAGATGACTAATTTTCAAAACTGATAAAAAATGTTCCTATTTGTCGTGTTCAGCCATCAGCAGTTTCACTGTCCTTTGGCTTTGGCTCATGTAGTATAACCATTAAAACCCTGACTCTGATGTTCACCTGCTCCGGGACTAAAGGCCTCAGATTCCCCATTAGGGAAAGGAGGATAATAGTAGTATCCCCCTCAAAGGTTTGGGAGAAGATTAAATGAAATAGTTCCTACACCTGACACCTGGTATGGGCTCAATAAATGTTAGCTATTATTACTATTTACTGTTATTTTTCTAGTCCCAAAGATGAGGTCAGCTAACTTATGCTGAGTAATATTTTATTTCCAAAGGAGTGTTTTTTATTCAACTTTTCACATTTTGATTTTGTTCTCTCTGTGGACTATTGCGCATTTTCCCAAATGAGGAATGTTTGGCATCTCACTTAAACCGTGGCGTCCAGCAGTCACAGGAAATGCTGCCTTATTTGGTGCTTGGATTAAAAGTGTTCTCAGAGTTCACTGATTTATATCCCTGTCCAGCTGTACCATAACCTGGTATAGTTGTAAGAAATAAAATTTAAAAAAGGAAGAAATAGGAAAAAAGAAGACAAGGAGATGTGTTACTTGTTTGTAAATGTGAGGTTGATCCTGTAGCTGTCAACAGTCCTGTTTCTAGGGGTAGCCATTGCTTGTCCAGTGCTGCCTTGGTTCCGACATATCCTAGCTAAGCTCTGCTCCTTGACTTTGACGGTCCACATAGGCCAACACCCACAGTTAACCCACACTTACTTTCCCACCATTCCACTTTACACTCTACCAAGCACTTCACTCTGAACTTGCTCATGTAGTGACTTCTGCTAGGATTCCTGCCAGTGCTGTTCATTTACCCAGATTCTATCTAATCTTCAGGGTCCAACTCAAAGCTTACCAGATCCATGAAGGCATCCCCAACTACCTGACTCCTCACTGATTTCTTCCTTATTCAACTTGCGTATCCTTTTCAGCCTGGGCCCTATAACAGAGTACCCTATTTTAATTAATTGTAGTCACAATAATACTTACAAACATGCACATAAAGTTCTCTAGCCCCCAGAGGATTTTCATGTATATTATTTCTTTGACCTGTGAGGTGGGCAGGTTAGATTTTTTTTTTTTTTTTTTTTTGAGACGGAGTTTTGCACTGTCACCCAGGCTGGAGTGCAGTGGCACAATCTCGGCTCACTGCAGCCTCCACCTCCCGGGTTCAAACGATTCTTCTGCCTCAGCCTCCCGAGTAGCTGGGACTACAGGCGCGTGCCACCACACCCGGTTAATGTTTTGTATTTTTAGTAGAGACGGGGTTTCACTGTGTTAGCCGGGATGGTCTCCATCTCCTGATGTCACGATCCGCCAGCCTCGGCCTCCCAAAGTGCTGGGATTACAGGCGTGAGCCATCGCGCCCGGCCAGGTCAGATCTTTGTAACTCTGTTGTATACAGTTGCTTGGTCAAGCTCATATGGCCAATGAGACTAAGAACTTGAACACACCAAGTCTACCAGCCCTGTTGCTCACATATGGTTTTACGTCACTTATTTCTTGAATGTTAATATTAAATGTTAATATTATCTCCTTAAGTAGTCTGTAGTATTTTTGATGTTGAGAGAGATGTCTTTTACTTCAGAACCTGTTAATGGCGTTTGACCCTGAACCCAGCTCATTAAAGACTTGGTCCCTAATAGTAGTAATGTTTATTGAATATTTACTATGTGGCAGGCAGTGTGCTGGGCTGCTTTACAAGAAGCATCTCACACAGTCCTCCGAGCACTTCTGTAAGACAAAGGACATTATTAAGTTTAGGTTTAGGGAGGTTTAGCAACTTGCTAAGATCAGATAGATCCAACAGCTAGTAAGCGGCTTTAACTCATCACAAAGATTGGTCATCATGGGAAATTTTTTGCCCTATTTTTAAAATTCATATTTCTACATAGCTTAAAAGTGGAAGGTATCGTTGACAGTGGGCTGCATTGCTGGGTTTGGGGGCAAGGGGAAGATCTGCTCTGTTGAGAGCTCAATGCCCAGGGATGGTAAATGGAGACTCTGGTGGGGGAGGGAAAGAGCTAGCCCTTTGTCCTGTTGGGATTCTTTACTTTAGAAAAGAGCAGCCTTATGTATCTCTTGCCAGAATTTCACATTTTAGTTGGATTAAATTATGTCAGTACCATCATATTCTACTTAAACAAGAGGTACAATGCCTTTTCTCTTAAGTGTCCTTAGCTCTAGACTCGAATGGATGAGAACCCTGGAAATGTGGCCCCAAGTAGTACAAAGAAAGACTAGAGATGTCTACACATTCTTATGAATGCGTGTGGGATTTTCATTGTGCACAGTAGTGTATGCCTGTTTGTCTTAATAGAAAAATGCTTTTATATTCCTTGCTATTGAGGAAAAAAGATATGATTTTTGGATATTTTAAAAATTGGGTTGATAAAAAGAGTGCTAATGCTACATTATAATAAGTTCTGGGTCCAGGCAGCCTCTCTCTCTTTGTTGGTGTTATATATTGAGAACAGAAATTCATACACATAAGTGTTGGGGCATTCCACACAGGGAGATATTCAGCATGTTGCCAAAGAAGTGGTTCCATGCTACATTTTCAGGCATAGGAATTACATATAGGAATTTCGGTAGGTATTTCTTCATGCTGAGAAGCCAAGTTACTTCTATAATATCATGGACCCAAAGTGTTTCTGATTTCAGTAACGACAACTGTTGCTCTTTATTTTGACCCATGTAAATAATTATCTTGTCTTCACATGTAAATAACCTAACTCAAAGACTTACAGACCTCTGGATCTGAGCTCTTCATGAAAAACTCTCAAACCTTTTCATATTAGCTCTTCTTTGCAATGGTGGGTTTCAGCTATGAAAGAAAAAAGTTTCCTAAATAAGTCAATTTCTGAATAATAAAATAATTCATTGTATCCAGGTCTTTACTTTTGTGTTTTGAGAACATTTGTTTTCTCATTAAAAAAAAACAATTCAACAGTAAGTTTAAGAACACTAGTCATGACCTACCCAGTCCTTCCCCCTCCCCATAGCTAGTATTCGAGTGGATAAATAAAGCAAGCTTTCCTAGGAGGCACTTTTTATTGCAATGTTTCTACAAACTAATATTCAACCACTGTCTGCATTGACTCGTTTCTTTTTTTGAGTGTGTTGTTCTCTACTGAAGCTGTCTGTGCCTTCACCAGCCTCTGTCCAGGCTGCTATTCTCAATTTTAACCATCCGCTCTACATCTTCAGAGATGTAAGTACCATTCTTACTATGAATGGAATGGAATAATAATACTTGATTAAATATTACTCCATTAAATAATTTACAGCTAAGCATTTTGCACACTAATAAGCCTTCACAAATAATATTATAAACAGAACAAGCAAAGATCATTAAATGGACTCATCACTAATATAAAGCCTCCCAGCCAACTGGAAGGTCCTGTGACTATTCCTTCACTTGTGTCTGTTGAGTAGTTTAAAATGTGTTGTTTGGTGGTATTATTGATTTTTGGCTTGGCTGTCTCTTTTTGCTCCAAACCAGGATAGTTTGTGTCTACATGACAGGGCTTCACCAAATGTTCTCATGAATTGCGCTTCACCTCCTAAAGTGTTTCTGAAACTAACTCCAAATAAAATTTCAAGCAACTAAGTACTTCACTAATTGTTTTCCAATGAATTGTTCCAAACCCCAACTTTTCTCTTTTATTAAAAAACAGCCGGGTGTGGTGGCTCATGCCTGTAATCCCAGCACTTTGGGAGGCCAAGGTGGGTGGATCACTAGGTCAGGAGATTGAGACCAGTCTGGCCAATATGGTAAAACCCTGTCTCTACTAAAAATACAAAAATTAGCTGGGCGTAGTGGTGTGCACCTGTAGTCCCAGCTATTCAGGAGACTGAGGCAGAAGAATTGCTTGAACCTGGGAGGCAGAGGTTGCAGTGAGCCGAAATTGTGCTACTGCACTCCAGCCTGGGTGACAGAGCGAGACTCCGTCTCAAAAAAAAAAAAAAAAAAAAAAAAAAAAAAAATTCTAGTGATTTTTCTTTAAAAATGTGCGTAGTTTCTTTATTAATATCATTGCAAGAATTTTTTTTTTCATTCAGCTAATACTCAGGTTTTTTTCTACCAATTTTTTCAAAGTGAGGTTTAGGCGCATTTATATATCCACAGTGATAAACACTTTATTTGATGTATTTGTTCTACGCATCTTAGATTGTGACCAGTTTACTCTAAGTTGGGTTTGGGGTCATGCTTTTACTGTTGTTGTTACTATTACTGTTATCTGTTATCAATTTTATTTTTAACTTTTAAGTTCAGAGATACATGTGCAGGATGTGTAGGTTTGTTACATAGCTAAATGTGCGTCATGGGGGTTTGTTGTACAGATTACTTCATCACCCAGGTATTAAGCCTAGGATCCATTAGTTATTTTTCCTGATTCTCTTCCTCCTCCCACCCTCTGCCCTTCCATAGGCCCCTGTGTATGGTGTTCCCCTCTATGTATCCATGTGTTCTCATAATTTAGCTCCCACTTATAAGTGAGAACATGCAGTATTTGGTTTTCTGTTCCTGTGTTAGTTTGCTAAAAATGGCCTGCAGCTCCATCCATGTCCCTGCAAAGCACATGATCTTGTTCTTTTTTGGCTGCATAGTATTCCATGGTGTGTATGTACCACATTTTCTTTAGTCAGTCTATCCTTGATGGGCATTTGGGTTCCATGGCTTTGCTATTGTGAATAGTGCTGCAATGAACATATGCATGCATGTGTCTTTATAACAGAACGATTTACATTCCTTTGGCTATATACCCAGTAATGGGATTGCTGGGTCGAATGGTATTTCTGACTTTAGGTCTTTGAGGAATTGCCACACTGTCTTCCACAATGGCTGAACTAATTTACACTCCCACCAACAGTGTATAAGCATTTCTTTTTCTCCACAACCTCACCAGCATCTGTTATTTTTTGTCACTTTGATAATAGCCATTCTGACTGGTGTGAGTTGGTGTCTCATTGTGGCTTTGATTTACATTTCTCTAATGATCAGTGATGCTGAGCTTTTAAAAAATATGCTTGTTATTGTCAATTTTATAGTAGGGAAATTTCACTATAACTTTTGCTGATGTGGGGTTATTCCGAATTTTGCCTATTATCGTTCACATTTTTGGTCATGTATACCTCAAATTTTCAGTCTTTAACAAACAACATTCCTATGAGTAAACATATTCCTGTTTAAGAAGAATGATATTTGAGTCAAAGTCGTAGTCACAAAGAAATTAATACTAAACAGTGTGACTGCCTGGAAGATATGCCCGACAAAATGAAATACTTAGGATGTAAAAGTACAGGAGTAGACTTTTGGGTGGCTTAGTATGGCAGTGTTAGATGCTTGTCTTTACAGAAGGAAATGGGAGAAAGTTCATTGTTTTTATCATTTCATCATGCTGTGTTAATACTTGATATTTAGAAAATTGTACGTGTCCAAGAAAAACTGAAAATAATCTTATTATCCCATGATGTTTTTATATAAACCTACAGATCTAGACTTTTACCCATTGCTATATCTGTAATAAGCATTATGGAATAATGCTGATGTTCTTCCATTCTTTGATATGCATGAGGATATTTTTAAATTTAGATGTTTTATATCCAAAACAGTTCCAGACACTACCCGCAAAAATAATCAAGCTTCACGTGGTGAAGAGAACGAGGGATATGTTCCTGGGAAAAGCCCTTAGCCAGAAGGCTTAAAACCAGATAGAAACTTTAAAAATAGCCTTTTGTGAGGCAAATGTAACTTGCTGAAAATCGTCTTGCACAGTTTTGAAACTAGGATGAACCCCCTGCCACCCAGGAGTCCAGGACCACTCTGTGGTCTGATGCCAGGAGGATGTACTTGCATATTTCAGATGCTTCATATTTTGTTTTTGATGTTCTGAGCTGGTAGAGTTGGGTGCAGCTCTTCTTGGATTGATAAACCATGTTCCCAGATGTTGAATTCAAGAAGGAATTTTTAACTCTTCCATGTTTAAAAATGATTTCTATGGCTGAGAGCTAATACACTCCCTCAAATCAATTTGGGAAATTTTTTTGAGAAGAAATTGAGTCTTTTTCACATTTGAGTAACTTTATACACGACGCGCAACATGCCCTGTAAATATAGATAGGCCACCTACAAAGTGCACTGGGTGATATTTTATACTGCAGATGTTCTAGTTTGCACCTGATGAAACATGTAAAATGCTTATCAAAAAAAATGAATTATACAGTCCCACACAACCGTTTGCTTGGTATTTGCTAAATTTGATTCGGCCTTTAGATGATAAAAATGAACCAGTCCACAGTAAACACTTAATGTGAAAAGAGATAACGGCAAACTGGAAACTTTCTTATCCTGTCATTTTGATCCATTTTTGAAAGAAAGCATCCTGACAGCAACAAGGAAATACCAGCTTGGAATTCATACCTATTTGATTTGGCAAATGTGAATAAACTATTCTTTCAGAGGATCCAGGAAGTGAAAACATGGGCCAGTGACTGAAAAACCACCTTAGAGATTATCTGATTAACTCTCTCATTGTACAGATGGGGAAACTGATGCTCAGAGGTGTCTAATGAGCTTCTAGGAACAAGTGAGGGTGGGGGCTGAAAGTCAAAATAAATACCCTGACTTATCTTACCATTCCATCTCCTGCTGGTCAAATCCAGCTGGAAACCAAAGGGCAAGGGCTCCTTTCTGGGACATAGAATGGGACAAATAATGGCAGAGAATAGATCCGGGAAGGCAGAGAACAATCAACACAGTGATTACAGAATAAAAAGATCCTTTAGGAATGCAGTCATCTGTTTATTCAGTAAATTTCCGTATCTTACTAATCACAACAGCATCCACGTACACTTAAAATAGTGCCTATATGTATGTGTGATACTTGTTTACATAACAAGCTTGCTGATGTTTGGTGCAGTGTATGGGTTCAGGCTTCTCTGACAACAATACCAAGACCTTCCGGGGATCCACGGTCTTCTGCATGGGGGATTTCTGCAGAAGGAAATATAACACTCAATGGACAAATCCCCAGCTGGAAGAGGTCTCTGTTTATTAGTACTGCTTTTTGAATATAAAATCAACTCTATCTTTTAGGAAGATAGCTAAATGTTGCTGGAAGTTGGAATGAGAGTTTTAATTACGAGCTAGACACTGTATGAGACATCTTTCCTGTGCTGCCTCAGGTCCTCTTGACTGTAATCAACTCAGGAGTCTTGGCTCAGTCCCTGTGAAAACTGTCCTCATGTGGACAAATGCCACAGCTCCTAGCCTCATGTCTGCCACCCTGGGGCTCCCTGTTGACTCTGAGGGGCAAGACTCCCAGGACCCCATGGATGCTCAGCCATGTGCAACCAGGAGGGTAGGGAGGTGGCACTGCTGGGAGATGGGAATTAGTGAAGTTCTTTTGCTTACCCCTCTCTGAACGGACTGTCCTGATGCTGCCTTTATGATGGTTCCTCATGATCCCAGGCTCAGTTGCACTGGACGCCAAGCAGAGGTCAGTTGGGGAACATGCCCCATCCTGTTTTCTCTCCCTCCTTCCCTGCCGCACTCTCCATTGCTCTCCACCCTGAATAAAGTAGTGGCTCTGCTTCAGGGAACCCAGGCTGAGATAGATACCAGGGCCTCCCTTTTGGGGGTTCTCTTTTGAGGTCCAGTTTTCAAAGGAACTGATTGGGCAACTGCAAAATGAGTATGTGAAGACATTAAGTGGACCAATTTGTAATTCGATTATTATAATTATCTGGATACCTCTTTGGCTCAAAAGGCAAATGTTGATCTGTTTTAAGAACAGAGAATCATAACGCGTAGAGCCCTAACCTGCCTTCCTAGCCTCACCTGATGCCTTCTCAACCCTCATCTAGGGCTTATTCCTTTCCTTTATGACTTGCCAGGAACAAGGGAAGAATAGGAAAAGTCAAAATAAATACCCTGGCTTCTCTTGCCATTTCATCTCCTGCTTGCTGCTAGCTTCCTTCTGACAAGGGAGAAGTAACTGGGATTCACTTTTCCATTTTCCTAGCTGGATGATCCCTCCCTGACAATCCAGAATGAGATGATGGTGCCCGGGCATGGGGGGAGTATCCACGTGTGCTGATACCTCCTCACCTACCCTTCCCCAGAGTAGATACACATTGCCCCCAAAGAACATTTCACAGTTCTTTATTTCCAGCAGTAGATGGAATCGGGAGAAGTGTATTGGAAGTTTTGCTTGGGATCCAGCTGCCTTAGTCTCCCCTACTGTGTCTTGTTACTACATAGTGCTGGTGACCATGGGCAACAGTGTATGAGACATGTCTGTAGCCTTAGGCCTGGTGCTGGCACAGCAGGTCCTCTGTTCCTGGCTAAGTAGCTTCAAAGCTGGCTCTCCTGGAGGTTCTGCGAGCTGCCTGATGTCCTTTAAATATATTTTCCCCTGGAACCAGCTAGGGTGGGTTCTATTTGCAACAGACCAAGAGAGCACTTTTAAAATCCTTGAAATTTTATGCGAAGTCCCAGGCTTTCATTTGTATGTCATTTAGATTTTTTTTTTCCCCTCTGTTTGTCCTGTTAGTGTCTCTTTGGGATCTCCACATCTATCAACGGATTGCTTGCATTGCTTTTAAAAACTGTTGTTTACAATGACATTCAACACTTGTAAAAGTTATTTGCTGCCAAGAGGAAACTAAATGCATTGTAATTAAATTTATTTCAGGCTTTGATTACTAAGAAGTGCAGAGATACATCATTCACTTGTGCTTAATTTAAAAAGTATTTTGGTCATAATACATAAATTAGTTACCTTTGTAGTTTGCTTATAACCCATAAGACACTCAACTGGATAAAAAGCTGCTGGCTACAAATAAGTAACCTTGTCATCACATGCTAAAGGTGGCTAATAGGTTTGTCCCTACTGCCAACTATAATCAACTTATTTTTAACATGTATAGTCACATTGTAATTGATGTCTGGAAACCTGGTTTCCTTTTTTCCTTTTTTTTTTTTTTTTTGTTAACTTTTATTTATAGACACATGCATATAATTTAAAAGTCAAATAGCCCAAAAAGACTTATAATGAAAAACATATTCCCCCAAATTCCATCCCACTCCCCAGAGGCAAGTGTCTTCTGGCATTTACCTTAATTTTTCTAGACAATGTGAATTATCCAGTTAGGATATTCCTTCTTGACTTCTTGTAAGGTAACTGGATTGAGCACTCCTATATCAACCACTCCCCCAGCTTCACTTTGGCACCCTAATCACCCCCATGTAGTTACAACTGAACTTTTAAATAGTTATTGTTTACATTATGACTATGGAAAAAATAGTTCACTACAGTTCTTTCATATGTTATCACATATATCACTTTCTAAACATTTCTATATATCTGTATTAGTCAGGGTTCTCCAGAGAAACAAAACCAATAGTATGCATATATAGAAATAGGTTCATTATAAGGAACAGGCTCACATAGTTAGGGAGGCTGAGAAGTCCCAAGATCTACATTTGGCAAGTTGGAGACCCAGGAGAGTCGATGTTGTGTTCCAGTCTGAAAGCCTGAAGTCTTGAGACCCAGCCAATAATTCAGTTCAAGTCTGAAGGCAGGAAGAGACAAATTCCAACACAAGCAATCAGGCAGGAGGAGTTCCCTCTTACTTGAGGGAGGGTCAGCCTTTTTGTTCTATTCTGGCCTTAAGCTGATTGGATGATGCCCACCCACCTTGAGGAGGGCCGTCTGCTTTATTCAGTCTACTGATTCCAATGTTAATCTTGTCCAGAAACACCCTCAAAGACACACATATTATTACCAGAATAATGCTTGACCAAATATCTGGGCACCCTATGACCCAGTGAAGTTGACACATAAAATTAATCACTGCAATATCTTTCTGACATCTATCCATTTTTCTGAGTACTCAAACACATAACCTACCATTTGCATTTTGCTTTTTCTTGGAGGCCTCCTACCCTTAGTCTTCCACCCTCCTACTCCAGTCTGGACTAGTTGTGTTCTAGGCTGGGAGCATAGCTAGCATCCTCTATTGTGGTGGCCCCTGTCTACCACATCCTGCTTTCTTGGTTACTGAAAGCACATCCTCTAATAGCTTCTCAAGAAAGGGTGCGAGGGAAGTATTGTTTTAGCTTCTGCATATCTAAAATGTGTTGATTGCACCCTAGACTTGACATAATTAAACCAGTTTTGGAAATCAGTGTTGGAAATCATTTGTTTCTTAGAGTTCTGAAGGTATTCCACCATTGTCTTCCAGCATTCTGCTTGTGGTAAGACCAATGCCATCCTGATGCTCTTTGTTTTGTGTGTGATTGAATTTTGCCTCTGGATGCTTTTCAGGTCTTCGGTTGATTTCTGGCATTCCGGTACGTTGTGATGAGGTATCTCGGGGAGGGCCTTTGAATATCCATTGTCTCCTATGCATCCCTTTTGATGAACCCTTTCAAGGTAGAAACTCATGCTTGTGTAGTTTCTTCCAATATTTCTTTGATACTTTCCTTCTTTGTATATTCTCTGTTCTTTATTTCTGGAATGCTGTTTTGGACAGCATCTCAAATTTCCTTGTCTTTCCTATTTTCTGTTTTTATTTTTGGTTCTCCTTTCTGTGGTATTTGCTCGACTGTCTTCTAAATTCTCTGTTGAATTCTTTAATTTTTATGACCATGTAATTTCTAAGACCTTTCTAGTTTCTGATTATTTCCTTCACATAGCATTCTGTTCTTGTTTCATGGATGCACTATCTTAACATACTTTAATTAACATTCTTTAAGAATATAACAGGATTTTTTTTTTTTTTTTTTTGAGACGGAGTCTTGCTCTGTCGCCCAGGCTGGAGCACAGTGGTGCGATCTCAGCTCACTGCAAGCTCCGCCTCCCGGGTTCACACCATTCTCCTGCCTCAGCCTCCCGAGTAGCTGGGACTACAGGCACCCACCACCACGCCCGGCTGATTTTTTGTATTTTTAGTAGAGACAGGGTTTCACTGTGTTAGCCAGGATGGTCTTGATCTCCTGACCTTGTGATCCGCCCATCTTGGCCTCCCAAAGTGCTGGGATTACGGGCATGAGCCACCGCACCTGGCCAAATATAACAGGACTTTTGAAGTTCTTTTTATTTTCCCTGCCTATCCCCTCACCTCCAAGTTCTTTTTGTGTTTGTGTTAACCCTGCCTTTCTTGTCAGGGGCTTTCCCCAGATGGCTGTCAGCTTTTAGAGTATATCCATATTGGACAGGTCGAAAGTTCTACGTGCATGTGCTGCAGATGCCCTGTGCCGTGCAGCTCAGCATGCATAGGTGGGGTAGTTGGTTGATGAGCTTTTCTTTAGGAGAACAGATTTTGAGCTATCTTTTTTTGTTGGAACCCTGCACACAACTGTCATTATGTAGATGGTTTTCCTCTCAGGTGGTTGGTTTTCTCCAGAGAAGAACCCTTGAATCTCCTGCCTGTGGAGGTGGACGTGTGGTTGGTGTTCTGGGTGCCCCTTGCCCTGAGCTCTGTTCTCCATGGTGCCTGTTTCCTGGGTCTGCAGCCCCTTCTCAGTTTCTCTGAAGAGTAAACCTCTCCCCTGCTTGGGGAGGAGCATGGGGGTTACGTAGTAGCCTGGCTGCATAACATGGGCTTAGTAGCTCAGTTTTCCATCATGAACCAGAGCCTCATCTTTCATGGTTCCTGTGCCTCCGAGGGCTGGGCTACTGGGGTGTCTGTCAGTCCAGATGGCTTTGTTCTCAAGTTTCCTCCACAGTGGATATGAATGTTTGCAACTTACACTCAATTACAACGCTTTCCTCTACTTTTCTCCAAGTTTGCTGAAATCTTTATTTGTGGATATCTCCTCTCTTTTTGCTTTGTCCTCATAGGTTAAAACGTTTTAAAATTCCCTAACAGTAGGAAATTTAGTAGGGTTTTGGAAGGGAGAGGAGGTGTAAGATGGTCACTCTTCCATGTTTAACTGGAAGTGGAAAGTCTAGGCTTTTGCTTCAGGCCTGGGAGGTGCACATGAAACAGTCCCTCCCAGTGGCTGCCTGGGGGGTCCCTGAAGGGTGTGAGACCACCGTGAATCCTGGGGCAGGGCACTTGCAGTACATGTGCTATGTGTTTGCTAGTATTGTTTTAGATGTTTGATCTCCTAGCCTTTGCTTTTCTTTGTATTTTTCCTGCTTTAGTCCATTTCCCTTCTAGCTCCTTCTGTTCTCATTTATCTTCTGCTGCTGCTTGGAGTTACATTTTCAGCAAGTCTGTAACACCTCTCTGAACCAAAGGCTCTCAAGTTCATCTTTCTTTCTCCAAGCCTACGCCTGTGCTGCTGTCATGAGTGGCGAGCTTCTGTTTCTTCTGTCTTCTTGTCAGTCCCAAGTGCCCTTTTACAGAGAATGCCTGTTTTTCACTGTCTAGCTCAGTTACCAGGAGTCCCTGTGAATGACACCCACAGGTCCCTCAAAGAAGTCAGATTTCTCTTGGACCTGATAAAGCAAACAAAATGTGACCCAAGCAGGCTGAGTTGGACGGGTCCCTTCTTACCTTCGCCCTCTGCCATGTTGACATTCTTATCTGATGGCACAGGCTGGGAGTTCAGGATCCACTTAGATGGGGTCCGTTCAGGGGATACCAGCGTTCACATTTTTCCTTTTAAGAAAGGGTCTTGGCCTGAATGTTCCCCATCCGGACACAGGCTGCATGTCTCTGTGAGTGTCAAAGCTGCCATGACCATCTCGGTAACCTACTCTTACTCCACAATGTCTATATTCACTGCAGGGCTCTATGATTAGTCCATAATGTAAATGCCTGGCCCAAGACGTATGGCCTGAGTTTATCCAAGGCCCAAACGATTACCAAACATTCCTCTTAGATAGAAGACAGATTTCTTTCCCTTGGCAAAGATCTTCTACTAAGATATGTTACAGGATGTTTTACATTCTCTTGGTCTTATAATAACACCACGCCCAATCCAGTATTTGATGCGTCGGTGGTCACTCGGAAGGTTGTTATTTTAAAAATACTTATTGTTCTCAGTCTGCAGTTCTCACAGCTGTAAAAAAAAAAAAAAAAAATACAGTCTTGTTTCCACCTTTCCAGAGTTTTATGGCACCTGGGAACTGGGATCAAGCTGGGACTGGGTCCAAGATTGGGGTGGGTGAGTGGCGCTTGCGTCAGGGAATGTGAGTGCCCTGCAGGCTGGAAGGGATGCTCTGGTTGTAGCCTTAAGATAAACAGATTGGGCTGGACATCTGTGGTTTCAGATTAGGCAGGAAGGAAATCATCTCCTACCTGGATTACTCAATATCTTCCTTACTGGTCCTGCAGTGATCCTGGGAGGGTGATATGATCGGCTTTGTTTACAGATGGATGAACCAGATGAGTCCCTAGGAAGTGAAGTGACTGGCCCAGGATCACGATGAACTCTCAAGGCCAAGTTTGAACCCAGGCCTTCTGACTCCAAGCCTGTAGTCCTTTCACTGGCCTACAGCTGCTTCCTGAGCCCCTTTCCTGGTTCAGTCAGGCAAAACAAACCAGCTTCCTGCGAGTTAAGGGGGAAAAGGGTTTAATGGGGACTGACTCATTGAGATTGGCAGTCCCCTTTGGTTAATTTCATCAGGTCATCTCCTAGCGTTCCATTTCCTTTTGTGGAGACACAGATCAGAGGCAATCTGGCTCTGTATGAACTCACTTTGTGACTCTGGGTGAATCATTTCCCTCTCTGGGTTTCAGGTTCCTCATTGCACAGTAAGTATATTGGAATTCAGTGGTTCTCAAATCTGCTGGAACGTCAGAATCACCTGGGGACATTTTCTTTAAAAAAAAAAAGCCAGCTCTATTGAGTCACATTTTACAATCAATGAGTTTTAGTAAGTTTACCAAGTTGTGCAACTATCAGCATAAATCAGTATTAGAACATTTTTATCATGTCAGTAATATCCCCATCCACTCCCACTCCCTGCCCTAGGCAACAAGTAAGCTATGTACTTTCTGCCCCTGTAGATTTACCTTTTCTGGATGTTTCACATAAATAGAATCATGCACTGTGTGGTCTCTTGCATCTGGCTTCTGTTACTTAATATAACATACTTGAGGTTCATTAATACTGTAGCATGTATTGATAGCCTATTCCTTTCTATTGCTCAATAATATGGCAATTGTATGATATGTCACATGTTATTTATCTACTTATCAGTTGATGGATATTTGATCCAGTTGATGAGTCATGAATGATGCTGCTTAGAACATTCATGGACACATTTTTGTGAGGGCGTATGTTTTCATTTCTCTTGCGTATATACCTAGAAGTGGAATTACTGGGTCAAATGGTAACTCTTATGTGTAACTTTTCAGGAAATAGCCAAACTGTTTCCCAAAGTGTCTGTACCATTTTACATTCCCATCAACAATAGATAAGGGTTACCCTCTGGAGAGCTTTTTAAAAATTGTCATTTCTGTGCCCTACCCACCTGAGGTCTGGCATGGGGCCCAGGAATCTGCATTTTATGAGCTCCCCAGGTAATTCAGATACATCTGGTTCGTGGATATGTGTTTCGGCCCACTAAGACCGGATGACCTCTGAAGCCTCCCTAAGGCCTGTTGTCTCTATTAGTCTGTGCCTCTCGGGCAAGACGCACCTTCCTGCCAAGTCTCTCTGGGTGTTTGTCTTTGGATCAGAGAATCAGTACGCAGAGCAGGGCTGAGGGAGTTGGCCAAGCAGCGTGCATAACTCTGCGCAGCACCTGTCCTGCATTATCCTCCACACTGGCCAAGGCTTTGTGTCCCTGGCTTCATGGACATAAAATTTTATCACAGGTTTTTATGTGTTATCACATTGTAAAAGTGCCATAAAATCAAGGGTCCAGTTTTCAGTGCATCTGAAAACGTCGTATTCCTTTAAGTTATAATCTTGGTTGCAGTCATTTTGGTAACTTGTTGAGAAGCCTCATCCCGACCCTGCCATTTATTAGCTATAACTAGATTTTTAATTGCTCCGAGCCTCTGTTTTCTCATCTGCAAAATGAGATTAATAACATCGACATCATGAAGTCTCTTGAAAGGATTAAATGAGATAACCTGTGAAATGCTACTGTAATGGACCTCAGTGCTCTTTTCTTTCTTTTGGCTGTTTCTGCCCCATCCCTGCTTCCATTATTATACATCTTTTCATGAGCTTATTGCCCATTTATATGTCTTCTATTGTTTTTAATGAGGTGAAATTCACATAGCATAATATTAACCCATTTCCTTCACATCCTTGTTATTTATTTTTTTTTAATTATATCCATCCTAGTAGTGGGTGTGAAGTGGTATTCATTGTGGTTCTGATTTGCATTTCTTGAATGGCTAATGATGTTGAGCTTCTTTTCATGTTTTTGTGTGCTTATTGGCCATTCATATATCTTATTTGCAGAAAAATATTTATTCAAGTCCTTTGCTCTCCTCTTCTTTTTTTTGTTTGTTTGTTTGTTTGTTTGTTTGTTTCTGAGACGGAATCTCGCTCTGTAACCCAGACTGGAGTGCAGTGGCGCAATCTCAGCTCACTGCAACCTCTGCCTCCCAGGTTCAAGTGATTCTCCTGCCCCAGCCTCCTGAGTAGCTGGGATTACAGGCACGTGCCCCCATGCCTGGCTAATTTTTGTATTCTTAGTAGAGACAGGGTTTCACCATGTTGGTCAGGCTGGTCTTGAACTCCTGACCTTGTGATCCGCCTGCCTTGGCCTCCCAAAGTGCTGGGATTACAGACGTGAGCTACCACGCTCGGCCTTTTCCTCCTCCTTTTTAAAGACAGTAGGGTGGTCTCACTATGTTGCCCAGGCTGGATTCCACCTTCTGGACTTAAGCAATCCTTCCACCTCAGCCTCTCAAGTAGCTGGGACTACAGCTGCACACGACTGCACCCTGCTCTTTTGCCTATTTTTAAATTGGGTTGTATGTCTTTTTGTTGTTCAGTTTTGAGAGTTTTTTTGTGTGTTCTGGATACTGGAACCTTATCAGATATATAATTTGCAAACATTTTCCCATTCTGCCATTTGTCTTTTCACTTTCTTGATAGTCCTTTGATGCACAAAAATTTTTATTTTGATGGTTTATCTGTTTTTTTCCTTTCGTTGCTCATATTTTTGGTGTCGTATCTAAGAATTCATTGCCCAAATCTAAGGATGTAAAGATTTACCCTTGTGTTTTCTTCTAAGAGTTTTATAATTTTAGCACTTAAATTTAGGTCTTTGATTCATTTTGAGTTAATTTTTGTATATGGTGTAAGGTAGGGTTCTAACTTCATTTTTTGGAGGGGCTATTCAGTTGTCCCAGCATGATTTGTTGAAGGGACTATGTCCCTTTGAATGGTCTTGGTACCTTTATCCAAAATCAACTGATCATAGATACAAGGATTTCTCTGGACTCTCAATTCTATTTCATTAATCTATATGTCTGACCTTACAATAACACCACACTGTCTTCATTACTGTAGCTTTGTAGCACATTTTATATCAGGAAATGTAAGTCTTCCAACTTTGTTCTTCTTTTTAAAGGCCTCCTTCTGTTATTAACCAGCCATCCCACTGTTATTTTGCTACTAGACCGGGGTATCAGCTATGTATACTGTAAAATTAGCTATACATATCTGGTGTCTCTATTCTTTTTCCACCAGATGAGGCTTTATTTCTTCTCTTCTAGTCCCCCCCTTAGATATTTCCCTCCTTCTGTGAGACTGAGACTGACCCCTGGATATGTGCTGACTTTTTTTTTTTTTTTTTTTTTTGAGGCAGAGTCTTGCTCTGTTGCTCAGGCTCGAGTGCAGTGGTGCGATCTCGGCTCACTGCAATCTCTGCCTCCTGGGTTCAAGCAATTCTCCTGCCTCAGCCTCCTGAGTAGCTGGGACTACAGGCACACGCCGCCACACCCGGCTAATTTTTTGTATTTTAGTAGAGACGGGGTTTTACTCTGTTGCCCAGGCTGGTCTCGAACTCCTGAGCTTGGGCAATCCACCGGCCTCGGCCTCCCAAAGTGCCAGGATTACAGGCGTGAGCCGTGCACACAGCCCAGTGCTGACCTTTTATTTCAATCACCTCAATGGCTGGAGAAGCAGAACCTTTGTTGTTGAGTCCCTGGTACACCCTCAGCACCTGCCTGGTGATCTCAGGTTCTGCCCTGTTATTTCATGAGTCTCTAGTCTGAGTCGCCTTTATCTTACTGAGTTGGACAGGAGGAACAATAACCACATAGCAGAATGACCATTAAAAGAGGCGGGAATGAGGTAACATGACTGTTGATGGTACTCATCTAAATGTTTTAATATATTTTGAAGTTTTAAAACTTAAGCCATTTGCAGTTTTAGTTTAAAATTCTTGGTTTCTTCATAGCAGCAAGTTAAGAATTGTGGATGCTTCGATATTCAACTATTTACACTGTTTAGAGAAGAAGCTGTGCTAGGAGAAAGGGGAGAAAGGAAGACCACTGGAGGCAGCCACTCCTCTGTTCTGGGTATTTCACCTCTGCTCTGAAACTTGCAGGCTGCATTGAGCAAAAGAAAAACAATGTGCTTTGTGACAGCATGCGTGAATGTAGAGGACTTTATGCTAAGTGAAATAAGCCAGGCAGAAGAAGACAAATACTGCATTATCTCACTTGTATGTGAAATCTAAAGAGTTCAGTTCATAGAAGCAGAGAGTAGAATGGTGGCTATAATGGGGAAGAGGGAGCTGTTAGTCAAAGGGTACAAAGTTTCAGTTAGAAGGAATAAGTTCTAGTGATCTATTGCACAGCATCATGACTACAGTTAATAACATATATTTCAAAATTACTAAAAGAGTAGACTTCAATTGTCCTTATCACTAAGAAATGATAAGTATCTTAGGTGATGGGTATGTTAATTTGCCTGATTTAATCATTTTGCAATGTATACATGTGCCATAACACATATTGTACCCCATAAAATTCATACATTTCTTATTTGTCAATTAAAAATAACATTGGGCTGGACGTGATAGCTCACACTTGTAATCCCAGCAATTTGGGAGGCCCAGGCAGGATTGTTTGAGGCCAGGAGTTTCAGAACAGCCTGGGCATCATAATGAGACCCTGTCTCTACCAAAAAAAAAAAAAAAAATATATATATATATATATATATATATTAGCCATGGGTGGTGGCAGGCATCTGTGGTCCCAGTGACCCAGGAGGCTGAGGTGGGAGAACTGCTTGAGCTCAGGGTTTTGAGACTGCAGTAAGCTATGACTGCGCCACTGACTCCAGTGTGGCAACAGAGCAAGACCTTGTCTCTTAAAAAAATAAAATAAATTTAAATATAAAATTAGTTTTTTAAAAAAGAACAGTTTAGCAACCACACCCCTTCACCAAGAAACAAAAAAATAATGTGTTTAAGGGGAAGAAAGCAGAAGGCATTTTGATGAACCTCTCCTGTCACTCAGGCATACCTCTGTGGTTGTCATGACCAAAGGCCCCCTTATCAGAGGACTTGCAACCATTTACAGAGCCCTCCTTGGAAGGAGTTCTGGAAAATAGTAGTTTCTCTTCTGGTTAGGTTTTCTTAACGTTCAGGGGCTTTCAAAGCCACATAGGGACAGCTGGGAACTTGAGATAGTTTGATTGCTGATTGTGAAGGATTGGCTTGGTTGATGTTTTTGGATCAAATGCTGTATTTATAGAAGTTTCTCATCACTTTTCTCACTAAATTCCTCAGCACATATTCTAGGCAGGGTTCAGCTTTTTAAACTCTTATCAATCCCCCTCAAAATTATCCATGAAGATGCTGTAGTATAAGAGTAAAAACTATAGTAAAAATCTAGAATGTATAATGTGTTCTTTTTGATTGCATTGTCTAGTTTAAACTCTCAGTGAAATGTCTGGCAGGAGAACACTATATGAGAACTCGATTAAGTTCCAGATTAAGAAATTACAAGCAAGATAAATAAATGCATTGTGCTGGCAAGTTCTAATAGAGCATCAAAGTGACTTTGATAAACCTCTTCCTGAGGAACCAACTCCCAGCTTCTGAAATCACAGCCAGGGGAATCTTTTTGCTGAGATTTTATCGTTGTCCAAAGGAATATGGGTTTAATTAGATAATTTTCTTTTAGGACACAAGAATTTGCTAAAGTAGGTGTTGTCTGGACAGGTCCTGTTTTATTTAAAATAATCTGGGCCTTTGCTGCAGGACAAGGGAAATTTCTCTGCCCTAAGATTATTTTCTAATTGCCTAAAATTTTTCTTTCATTACAGGTTGGAGGGTTTTTCTGTTGTTGTTTGTTGTTCAGCAGAAATAGAGACTAAAAGCAAGAGAAAAAAATCAGCTCCAGTTTCACCACTCAGAAATAACTTCCATTAATATTTTGTTCTACACATTATTTAATTTTTTAACAAAACCTATGTATATAATGTTGCTTAATCTGTCCTTCTGCATTTAACAATATGTTGTAAACAGCTTTTAGGCCAACAAAGACCTGATTTTTCACATAATTTTTCACATGATTTTTCCGTGATTTTTCACGGCTCCAAGTATCTCATTTATATTTATCATAATATATTTTATTATTTTATTAGCATATTGCTATTTAAAACAATGTGACTATCTTTGAACATATACCGTTGTGTGTTGGGGATAATCATTCTTTCCATCTTTGCTGTTCTATTGGGTAAAAAATGAGATCTCTTCTGTAATATGTGTTAATATCTGCAAGGCCTAGTTCCCCTCTAGTACTCTGCCTTTTCCAAGATTCTCCTAGCTGTTCTGGGCTGTCCTTTCTCCAGATGAACGTAAATTGATGCTTCTGTTTTCTTTTGAGAAATAATTTATTTTTAAAAAATAATTTTCTCTGGGCTACCTGGAGACCTCCTCCGGTAATATGAGATTTGAGTTACAATGCAGAGTTTCGAAGTTGAGTGTGTGCTTAGTTATACTTATATCCTGCCTGGATACCTCAAGGGAGATATCCTCTCTTCTGGCCAGTGGAACTTGTAGGGAGCAGAGGAAGCATCACTCAGTCTTTGCAGTGCATGATGTTAGATGGGATGCCTTTTGAGCGAGCCCTTTAGTGTGGGGGGCTCCTGGGGGACTGAACTCCACTGCCTGATGCCCACACTGGTCCACCACAGCAACTTCAGGGCCTTCTGATTTTTTGGTCAGACTAGGTCTGCCTGTGGGAGCAAGCTTAGGGTTGGTTTATTTTGGGATCTATTTCTAGAGACTGAGGTTTGAAGTAGCATGCTCAAACCCAGAAACGCATTCCACATGTAAGAGGTGAGCTGCCAAGTGTCGTTGTGAGTCTCCTTTCCCTGGCAGCGTTTTCCATCCTTGTTTGATCAGATTCCATGGGCTTGGGGCTAGACAGACAGCTTCTCATCCCAGGTTGGAGAGCACACCAGAGGTGGCGGAAGGGTAGGGGTAGGCAGAGCAAGGCTGAGACCCAAATAGAGAAGACCAGGTCTGATAAGCCCACCAGGGAAGGCCAGGAGATCACCAGAACCAAAGGGGCTGATGCAGGCACTGAGCCAGAACACACAGCTGGAAATGGCTGAATCAGGGACACAGCAGAGCAGCAGCAGGTCCCATCCCACAGGGAGGCTCTGGGTTGCTGCTCAGAGCCGGCCCCATTTCTGCCTTGATGCATGAGATGTGGCCACACCAGCTGCAAAAGAACCTCCTCACATCCACTTACTTTGATTTTTCCAAGTGGAATGGTTTTGTTGGGTGGGAGTGGGGGTGGGGTGCTGGGGGCAGTGAGCAAGGGAAGCAGGCAATGCAGATTTTTGGATCTGTATCCAAACATGCTCCTGCCCATGCTTAGCCCAGTGGGTGCTTCTCTTCCTGGGGCCAGCAGGAAGTCCGCTTGGCTGGTGGGGCAGTGGCATGTCATGATCTGTCACCCTGCTTCAGCTGATAGAGATTATCAGCTGGAGAACTGAATGGTACACACCTTCCCCCTTCTTCCAACACCATGGCCCCCAAGATGCTGCACCTGCCGCCGCCTCATTTAGCCCTACAACCCCCTGCCACTCAACATTATGCAGAGGGCCCAGGAGGGTCTTGCAGTCATCTACATACTTCCCTGCGAGTTCTTGGTTTGGTCCCTAGAAATGGCAGCCTGCATGTGGAGAAGGCTGCATGCAGCCTCAGGCCTGCCCACCCGATACGAGGTCTGCATGTATGAGTTGTGTGCATCACATAGCTCCTCACCATGCTTTCCTACCCAGGAGGATAAGCTTTCCTACCCAGGAGGATAAGCTTTCCTACCCAGGAGGAGACTCAAGGCAAAACACTGGAAACTGTGTTTATACAAACTCCCCAAGTGATTCTGGCAGCCAGCACAGAATGACTGTGCACAGACACTCAGGCATCACTAGCTCTGGGCGCCGCGCATTTGCCTGCTTCATCCAGGACAGTGGCTAACACTTCAGGTAGGGCCCACATACACTCAGAATAAAGAGCTGCCTGGTCAGGAGGGGGGCAGTCAGCATGGGCTAAGTTTTTTACAGATCTCTGGCAGACAGTGTTGTCTGCTTTGGCTAAAGAGGGAATGGGAAGGCAAATGACAAATGGCCTCTAACGTTGCAAAGAATAATGTGTTATGTGGAACTCAGACAAGCCAGTTCTATGGAGAAAGCAGTACATTGAGGATGAGATTTCTGCTTGTTTCTTTTTGTTTTTGGAGGAAAAGCCAGGGCTGTGGGCCTGACAGAAGTTGATATTTGGGTCTTGAATGTGTTCTCTTCCAGAATCTTCTCTTTCCAGTTTTCCCAGCTTACTATTGATACCATTCACAGAAGTCTTGCATTCAGTGCCCTCTCTAGGTGGTACCTCCTTATAAACTGGGCCTTATGCTGGCATCTTGGGTCCTTGGAAGGATAGTTTCCTGGTGCGCTGGATTAGTCATAGCCTATTGTAGTGACTCTGGCATGGTTACCTCAGGAACACCACCAGACAAATATAGACCCTTTAACACTGGCTGGCCCTTGTGTCTCCAGACCCCTCCCAGGAGTTCCTCACACTAGGAACCTTGGGCTGCTCCACTTTGGGTCACAAGGACCCCTTTGCCTAGCCCAAAGCAGGCCTCTTTGGTTGCTTTTCTCTGGTCCACTCTGGCTATGACCTTCAGGATCAGAGGGCAAGAAGTCGAGAAGGACACGTCTCCAAGATAGAGCACTAAGAGCTAATGGGCAGAACTGGCTGGAGCTGCTTATTCTTGGCCTTTTTATGGGTGAGATGCCTCTAGCAGTGTTGGACATCTCATCCCAGATACCACCAGGAGGTGAGCTTGCTCTGGGAGGCATATTGAAAGGGCTGCACCATGCAAAGGTCAGGAACTCTCTCCACTGCATGAAACATGGCACAAGCTCTGGCCCATCTGGCTGTGACCAGCTGGGCCTTTGCTCAGGGCTGTCTGTGCTGCTCCTCACCAGGTGAGGAGTGAAGGGGAAAGAAGAAGGAGTCTTGTGCTCCTTTCAGAGGTTGGACAGTGCCATGACACTGTTCAAACTGTTTAGTTTCTCTGGGGCTTCTGCTTGGAGTTTAAGAGAGACATAATTTATTCTGAAGTTTGCCATGGAGAGAATAGCATCTCTATTCCAATGTAGTCATAATATATGGTATCATCCTGCCTATTTAAAAATATGTTTGGTAGTAAAATTTTCAGTCTTATTAAAATTTTAGCCCAAATTCTTTTCCTCCTTTCTTGTTTTTCCCCAATCGGAAGATTCGGTCGGTATTTCCCCCAGGGGAAACACAAGAACATTACCTAAGAACTTTGAAATTATTTTCAGAGAATTCAGGTGCTGCTGGTTTTGAAGATGCCTAAAGGAGTTTCCAATGTTCTCCAACCTCGTCTATGGTAAAATAAATTCCAAGTAAGAGATTCCTTCCAACAAAAAGTAACCAAAATGTGTATTTGCCCCATCTTAGGTAATTAAACTCCCTAACAGACTTGCAGATTTAGGCAAAAAGAGTGGTAGAATATAAAAGCTCATTAATCATCCTGGCATCATGAGCTCATATTGTTATGAAATAAATATGCTTACTAAATGGATCCAGATGCCATCAAATACATGTTTCCAATAAAGACTATTTTTTGTTCTTGCCCAGGCAATAAACACACGAGGCTTGTTTATAACACCTCTTTTCCGTGAATCACAGTGGTCCATCCAACACATATTCTTTTCACCTCTTTCCCTGGTGAAAAGTGGGTACGTTTTCTGATGAGGATTCTGGGGAAAACCCTAACGAGGTAGGAGATGTTTCCCTGTAACCCAGAGCTGATGGGTGATAGGAAAATGGAAATCACTTGGCTAATCGTATACCAACATGGAAGACATTTGTCTCTATTAATCTTCTTACCCAACACATCAAAGTACCAATTTCAATCCAAGACAGTACCAGTCCCCAGAGGACAGACTTGAGTCTAAGAGGACCCCCTGCGATCTACTCTGTAAGGATGGAATGGTAGAAAGATGAAGATATATTCAATTATCATCAAACCCCAGGCTCTTGATGTGGGTGAGCTGTCTTCCCAAGATCACCCCCAGGAGTTGGCTCAGGACTGGAAAGCAGAGGGGGCCCATTGGAGGGAGGATGGAGTTCATAGTGAGTTGAGGGCAGTAGTTAACGTGGGGTTGGAGCCAGACACATACAAGTTCCTATCCTGATTCTGCCACTTAATAGTTATGACCTTCAACGGTATTCTACCTCTCTGAGTCCGTTTGCTTTATTCAAAAACTCCAAGTTGCTGGGAGGATAAATGAGATTGTTATTGTAAACTGCCCAGCACCTAAGATGCACTAAGATGTGGTAGCTCTTATCACCCTTCCTAGAAAGGTTATTCCGGATGGGGACTGATGCTGTCCAGGAGAAATGGATGAGTAGAGGGAAAGCTGTTTGTTCTTAATAGTAGAATGAAACTCACATGTGTCACTAACCAAGGGGCCTGCCCTGCTGGGACAGGCCTCCCCTTATAGCCCACTCCAAATCTATCCTTCTCGAGTTCCCACTCACTGGAATCTCCAGCCTTCCAGATTTTCTGGGACCTGGAGTTGGCCAGTCACCACCACCATCCTATGCAGCTTTCCCTTTATTACTGGAGGAAGTGTGAAGATAACTTTTTCCCTCAAACGATTGTAAAGAGCTTAAAGGCATTAAGATGAGAGACGGGCCAGGCGCAGTGGTTCATGTCTGTAATCCCAGCACTTTGTGAGGCTGAGGTGGGCAGATCACGAGGTCAGGAGTTCAAGACCAGCCTGGCCAACATGGCGAAACCTCTTCTCTACTAAAAATGCAAAAATCAGCCGGGCGTGGTGGTGGGCACCTGTAATCCCAGCTACTCGGGAGGCTGAGGCAGGAGAATCACTTGAACGTGGGAGGCAGAAGTTGCAGTGAGCCAAGATTGTGCCATTGCACTCCAGCCTGGGTGATAAGAGCAAGACTCTTGCCTCAAAAAAAAAAAAAAAAAAAAAAAAAAAAAAAGGGAATGGTATTATATATTTTTTGATGCCTTCTCTTATGGCCAGTATCTTACTAAACTATTTTATCTCATTTTCATCCTCATAATAACAGAGGTCACACCCAGATTTATCTTTCTTCAAAGCCTGTGCTCATTTCAGTACACTCTCTGCTTCTCAGTTACCTTTACTGAGAAATTAAGGTAAACAAAGCAGCACCAATGAAAAAAGGGTTTGGAAAGGAAGCATTTGTGTTTTATAAAGTATGGGTGTCTAGTCCACTAGTTCAGCAATTTTCTCAACCCTGGTGTCTGTTAGAGCCATACATCTCTGAAATCCTGCTTGAAAGAGAATTCTGTGGCCAAATAAAGTCAGGAGTGCTGCATATAATCTTACCATCTTGACAATGCATAGTGCAGAGTATCATTTTAAAGGTTCTGAGAAGTCCTGCAGTTCAAAACAACCCCAAAACATAAAATTGCTTAACCTTGTGTTTGCCAAACATATTATAGACCCCTGTATGATATGTGAAACATGTATTAATATCCTTGTTGCACTTCTCCTTCACAGAGCATTCTTTAGAAATACCAGTTTGAAGTACAAGCATAAATTTCTCAAATTTTTTAATTGGCCTCATGTCCCAGTCTAGGAGAATATTCAGGCACCATCCCAGAATTTTCTGCCTTGTCCTCTCTCCAGGTCTTGCTCTGCAGTCCTCCCTCAAGCCATACTCTTGGGGAAAACACTTTCCTTCCAGGCTTTGGGACAAATTTGCCTTCCTTGTTCTTGGGGATTCTTCGGAGCTCTGGCCTGTGAAAGTTGCTCTTCTTGACTGACACCCCAACTTTTCTGGCCTGTTGGTGGCTGAACACCTCCTCACTAGCCACGTGTTAAGGCTGGCTCAGTAAATATGCCCAGGTCCTCCATGATGGGAAGTTAGGTTGTCATGTAGCCATAGTTATGGCGGTGGCTGTGTGACCTCTGTGTCACCGTCTTCCCACATGTAACTTGGTATTATACCCAGTTTCTACATCTGTGTGATTGATGTGTATGTTAAGTACATTGGATGTGCCAGCATACTGAATTTTTAAGACCTAAGTGTGTCAAGGGCCCTCAAGATCATCCTCAGCCTTGATGATTTGCTAAAAGAAATCACAGTACTTAAAAACCCATTCAGGCCAGGCACGGTGGCTCACGCCTGTAATTCCAGCACTTTGGGAGGCTGAGGCAGGTAGATCATGAGGACAGGAGTTCAAGACCAGCCTGGCCAACATGGTGAAACCAGTCTCTACTAAAAATACAAAAATTAGCCAGGCATGGTGGGGGGCACCTGTAATCCCAGCTACTTGGGAGGCTGAGGCAGAGAATTGCTTGAACCTGGGAGGTGGAGGTTGCAGTGAGCTGAGATCGCACCACTGCACTCTCCAGCCTGGGCGACAGAGCTAGACTCCATCTCAAAAACAAACAAAAAATGCTTTCATACTCACACTTATGGTTTATTACAGTGAAAGGATACAAATAAAAATTAGCAAAAGGAGAAGGCATATGGAGCCAAGTCCAGGAGAAATCAGGCACAGGATTCTAGGGATCCCCTCCCAGTGGAGTTGCACAGGGATGTGCTTAATTCTCCCAGCAACAATGTGTGATGATACATGCTTCCCCACCAGGGAAGCATGCCAGAGCCTTGGTGTCCAGAGTTTTTACTGGGGCCAGTCATAGAAGCATGCAGCACCTGTGTGACTGACCTCTAGTTTCTCCCAACCCAACCTCCTCTACCCTCCAGCAAAAACAGGCATTCACCCTGAATACTGGGTGGTCTATGTTCTCAGACATACAAAAACACTCTTATCAGGACAGTATTCCAAGGACCCAGAGGTTACCTCCCAGGAGCCTCCAAGGGTCAGTCCTTGAGGCAGGCCTTTCTCTGGAATATGCAAGGTTTGAGCATCGCAGGCCTGCTGAGTTAGCTTTTTCTTAACCCTTCCCTGCCTACTCGGGTTTAACTTGTCCTTTTAAGTTGCTACTTTTCTTAGAATGATTGAATTCAAGTCAAATAACAGGTTCTTCACATTGATTCTTTTTCCTGCTAGGGTGCTTATTGAAATATGGAAGACAATATTTGGGCTTGGTTTGAAAGATCAGGAGAGCCCTGTCTCCTTCCTTGCTTTTTATTTTGTTTTCTTTATTTTTTACTGAGGTAAAATTCATAGAACATAACATAGCCATTTTACATTGTGCAGTTCAGTGGCCTTCCATGTGTTCATGTGGATCAGTTCTTCCTTCATTTTAATTGCCAAGTAATATTCCATGGTTTGGATATATCATTTTGTTTATCCATTCCTCTGTTTATGGACATGGGTTGTTTCCACTTTTTAGCTATTATGAATAATGCTGCTATGAATATTCACGTGCAAGTTATCGTGTGGCCTTGGGTATATGCCTGGGAGTGGAAGTGCCCAGCCATAGGATAACTCCACAGTTACCTTTTTGAAGAACTGCTAAATTGTTTTCCACAGCAGCTGCAGCATTTTACATTTCCACCAGCAACGTATGAGGGTTCCAAGTTTTCCACATTCTTGTCAACCTTTGTTATTGTCCATCTTTTTAACTCTAGTCATCCTAGTGGGGAGTGAAGTGGTTTCTTGTGCTTTTGTTTTTTGGAGACTCACTTCATTGCCCAGGCTGCAGTGCAGTGGCACTATCTCGGCTCACTGCAACTTCCGCCTCCCAGGCCCAAGTGATTCTCCCACTTCAGCCTCCCGAGTAGCTGTGATTACAGGCGCATGCCACCATACCCAGCTAATTTTTTGTATTTTCAGTAAAGACAGGGTTCACCATGTTGGCTAGGCTGGTCTTGAACTCCTGAGCTCAGGCAATCCGCCTGTCTCAGCCTCCCAAATTGCTAGGATTACAGGCATAAGACACCACACCTGGCCTGTTTTATTCTTAATGACTAATGTTGAGCATATTACTGACCATTGTATGTCTTCTTTGGAAAAATACCTATTCAAATCCTTTACCTATCTATAAATTAGGTTGCCTGTCTTTTTATTGTTAAAGTGTAAGCGTTCTTTATATATTCTGAATACTTACCAGATATATAATTTGCAGATATTGTCTTCCAGTGTGGGGTTGTCTCTTCACTTTCTTAATAGTGTCCTTTTAAGCACAAAAGTTTTAAATTTTGATGAAGTCTAATTTACCCATTTTTTCTTTGGCTGCATGTACATTTGATGTCCTATTTGAGAAACCATTACCTAGTCTGAGGCCATAACGATTTACACTTAGGTTTCTTTCTGAGATTTATAGTTTTAGATCCCTGACCCATTTTGAGTTAGTATTTGTAAATGGTGTGAGAAAGTGGTCCAACTTCATTCTTTTGCATGTGGATATCCAGTTGTCCAACCACAATTTGTTGAAGAGACGATTTTTCCACCATTGAATGATTTGGGCACTCTTGTTGACCGTATATGTATGGGCTTGTTTTCTGTTTCTTTCTTAATAAAAAGATATACTTGACAGAGGAAGGTGTGGCATGCAGGCCGTGTTACACAGAGAATATGGGCTGCCTGAAACAGCCCCAGTGCTGACCTCTGCTACTTTCCTCCCTACCTCATGTACTCGCAGATGGACACCCAGCATTGATGGCTCTCCACCTGTATAGCTTGTCTTCACCCTGCAAATATTTATTATTCATACAGCTCCTAAAAGGTTGGGGAAGGATGTCAGCTGACATACCATAGAAAGCTATCAGTTGGATAATGCTAGTATTAGGAGGTGATTTTCAAACCGTGGTCCTTGGTACCCTGCCTCCTCTAATCCAAGTACTTCTGCTATTATGATTTTACCTACCTATCTGTCTTTTAGCATGTTTTCATTTTAGGAAATCAGCACAGACCTTATGATTCTCTTACACTGTGGGACTAGGAGAGATCCATTAGAATCCAGTTTATCACTAAGTTGAAAGGATGCCTGGAACATATGTAAATGTCTCTGTGGGGGCCAAGGAAACTTCCCCTTTGCCTTCTGAAGGCTCATTGAGAAATCAGCTCACAAAAGCCAGATTAATTGGAGAAACATGTGTACATAGGTCCCTTCAGAACGAAGACCTAAAGATACAGGGAAAAGTGTCCATATTTTTAAAGTATCCATTTTTATGCTTAGGTTCAACAAAGTATGGACAGCCATGTAGAAACATGGTTGACAAAAAGGATGTGATCTAATGCTAATAGACTGAGTGGGGGAAACTCAGCAGGGCCTGCCTATCTAGATTCTTCTTGGCCTCTCTAAGCTTGCATTCATTCCTTCTGGGTGACCTCTCTGGAATGGAGGGGGGTTCTTATGACTGTCAAACAAGGTAGGTCAGATAATTTCTTTATGGCCAGTTTTTACACAGAAAAGCATTGGGAAAGTTAGAAATATATTTTTAGGTTTTATGGTTGGCTTTGGGGAAAAGGGGTTCTGGTTTCTATGACCCACCTGGGAGAAGAGGGATTCACTTTCTCTGTCTAGCCTTGGTGGAGAATGGGACTGAGAGACAGGGGGGCAGGAGAATGTCAAAGAAAACCTTTTACTTCTGAGGCCTTCGTTTTGGGGTGTTGTTTACTGAGCCCCAACATCTCCCCCACAACGTGCCAGTTATTCCCTAGCCTGTTGTATCCGCTCAGATTTAGTTCAGTGTTAAGTAGCAGAGACCCAAAATAAAGTGACTTAAACATGACAGAAGTGGATTAAAAGTGGCTGTGCTCCACACAGTCCTCAGGGCCTGGAGCCTTCCAATTTCTTAACTTCTATCCCTTGGGTTTGGTCCTAATTTTAACATTCCAAGAGGCCGTCAAAGTTCTAACCATCGTATTTCAATTTCAAGAGGCAGGATAGAGAATAAAAAGGGAGGACAATGAGCAAAGGACATAGACCTGCTGTTTGTTAACATAGATTTCCAGGGAGTTGTCATAGGCCACCTCTACTTATATTGCATTGGCCAGAAGTGCACCCCAGTGGCAACACCTAGCTTCAAGGAAGGCCTAGAAATGTCATCTTAGAAGGGGATAGCCATGAGCTCAGCTAAAAAGTCTATTGTTTTGGAAGATAATGGGTTTTGGAAGACATCCGACATTCTCTGGCATGGGTGCACCATTTGAACAGCTTTTAGAATCCAGCCTCTTCCAAGGCATTTTTTGAACTAATTAGAAGAGTGCTGTGCTCCCTGCCCCTCTTTGTCTGATCCCGGGGTTTCATGGTGCAGTTGCTGCTTCACTTTCTAACTGTGCACTGATCCTTGCCTTCTGCTTCCACATGTCCTCTTTCTAGACTTACAGATGACAAACCTAGCATTATATGTTGATATCATGTTTCCCTTTTATCCTTGTGTATCATATAATAAAATCTGTTTTCACCTGGGTAAATGGCACCACCATCTACCCATTGCTCAAGCCAAATGCTTGGGAGTCATCCTGAAGAGCGGCCTTTCTCTCGTCACTCCTCTTCAGTCTGTTAGCAGGTCCTGTCTTCTTTTCTTCCCATGACCTATATCTGTCCTCCTCTTTCCACCTCCATGCTGTCACCCTAGTGCGTACCCCATTGTCTCCAGCTGGGCAGCTGCAGCCACCCTCATACCTGGCCTCTGGCTTTCCCTCCTGCCAACCCCTCCCCATAGCCCGTGCTCCACACAGCACTGAAGGCAGTTATCTTTTGTGACACTGTCCTACTGCAGACCCTCCGTGGCCTTCCTGTTGTGCTTTGGAAAAATCCAGAGTTCTCTTTGTTTCCCTGCCCTCTGTTCTGGACTGTATAGTGCTCCCCTCAAATTCATGTTGAGTCCTAGCTTCCAGTACCTCAGATTGTAACTGTATTTGGAGATAAGACCTTTAAAGAGGTAATTGAGGCCGTCTGTAATCCCAGCTACTAGGGAGGCTGAGGCAGGAGAATCGCTGGAAACCGGGAGGCAGAGGTTGCAGTAAGCTGAGATCGTACCACTGCACTCCAGTCTGGGTGACAGAGCAAGACTCTGTCTCGAGGCAGGGGGTGGAGTGGGGAGTGGGGGGAGGGTAATTGAGTTAAAATGAGGCTGCCAGGGTGGGTCTTAACCTAATCTGACTATTGTGCTTTTAAGAAGAGGAGATTAGGACATACAGAGACACCAGGGCTGCATATGCACATCTGTGAGCTGAGGAGAGAGGCCTCGGAGGAAACGAGTCCTGCAGGCACCTTGATCTTGGACTTCCAGCCTCCAGAACTGAGAAAATAAATTTCTATTATTTAAGCCACCCACTCTGTGATATTTCATTACGGCAGCCCTAGAAAACTCCTCTAACCTGCCAAGCCACACATGATCATATAACCTGCCAAGCCACACATGATCAGTTACCTCTGGCCTCATACCTTCCTCTGCCTTTTCTCACTCCACTCTAGCACGACTCGGGCTCCCACTCCCCACTTCCCCACCACCCCACAGGACCTTTGCACTTGCTCTTTGTGCTTCTGGGAATGTTCTGACCCCCAGATCTTCCTATGGCTTCCTCCTCATTATTCAGGCCTCTCTTCTGATTGTCCCTCCCTGCAAGAGACCTTCACTGTCATACCTCACCACTCAAGTATCTGAAACTTTTGGAGTTGGTTTACTTATTGCCCTAGAATGAAAGCTCTGCGAGAGCAGGGACTTCCTCTGTCTTGTTCACTGCCACGTCTTCACTCGCTAGAACAGTGCCTGGCATATAACGGCACTTAATGAGTGTTCATTGGAATGAATGAGTAGATGTATGATAAAATTAAGGTTTTTTTCCTATGTGTTTATTTATATCAGTATCATTTATTTATTGATATCAGTATGGACCCATGGATATTTATTTTATACTTTGGGCTACAGTTCACTTCTACTTTATTTATTTATTGCTCAAGTTATTCAAGCCTTAGTCACTGAATTTAGTTGGCCCCTGGTATCCCTTTGGCACAACCCCGTCATTCTGTGTGTGTACATGCATGTGCTCACATATGTGTGTGTGTGCATGTGTTCAGTATTTCCTTACTCTCTGGCACTACAAGATGCTCCAGGTTCATGTTGGACATTCCCTGCCCCAGTTATCAAATCAGCCATTTCTTCAAGGAGCTCTGGTACTTTTGTATTTTATTTTTTGATATTTTTATTTTGGGGGAATAACACACACTGGAGCTTGCTGAGGGAGGGTCGGGGGAGAGCATTAGGACACACAGCTAATGCATGCTGGGCTTAATACCTAGGTGATGGGTTGATAGGTGCAGCAAACCACCATGGCACACGTTTACCTATGTAAAATTAGTTTCAATATATAGACAATTTCAAAATCTTAAAAATAATGCTTTGAGGGAAGGAGAGACTCTTTTCGTAAAAGTGTTTCTTAGGAGAAGCATGTCATTTTTTACTTTTTGATTTTTTCATACTTACCCCTCCCCAGAAGCAGCGGACCTCCTAGCTGTGTCTCGCGGTCTCCCTCCATCTCCGCAGGTTTGTACCGACTGGGGGCTCTCCGTAGCTTTCATGCCATTGCTGGTATCATTACTGGCATCAATTGTTCCTGTTAGAATGAGGGCTTAGGTAGTTAGAAAAAAACACAGCATGGGCTCCTACTAACAAAAGCAGATTAAAGCCATCTTTTCAGTTAATTAGTTCCAATGCTCTGATACGGATGATGAGGCATAGGAAGGCTTTTATTGGAGGAATTCTTCTGTCCAGAGGGGCTTTGAAAGCAAATGTGCTGAAAGTCCTGCGGCTTTTCTCAGTGGTTTGAGAATGTTTATCCTAAGAAGTGTTTCTCAGTGAGTTGGAAAAGATCATTTTAGCCATATGATTATAGCCTTTTTTAAAGGTTTAATAGTTACAGTTTACTGAGAAAGAGGTTGAATTATATCTTGATTTTTTTTTCTCTTTTGTTTGATTTAGGCTGAAGGAACTTATCTCAAAACTTAGCCTGGTAATATTAATTTTGATAAGTTACTATAAGAAAATATTATATTTTTATTCTTTTTTTTAATTATTGGCGGCGGAGTCTCACTCTGTCACCCAGGCTGGAGTGTAGTGGCTGGTCTCAGCTCACTGCAACCTCTGACTCCTGGGTCCAAGCGATTCTCCTGCCTCAGCCTCCCAGGTAGCTGGGATTACAGGTGCACACTACCACGCGCAGCTAATTATTGTATATTTAGTGGAGATGGGGTTTCACCATGTTGGCCAGGCTGGTCTTGAACTCCTGACCTCTGATGGTCCATCTGTCTCGGCCTCCCAAAGGGCTGGGATTACAGGCATGAGCCACCCACTGTGCCTGGCCATTTTTATTCTTTTAAAAGAGAAAAGTACTTGTGCTTTCAGCCTCAGAGAAACCATGCCTACAACATAATCTTATTATTTGTATCACAAAGTTGTGATCCAAGTATTGCCACACCTTGGTTCAGTGTGCTGTAGTGCAGGTTAGATATTTTGGATGCTAAATACACCTCTTGTAGCAGGTTTTAAATTTCTGCAACAGACTCAAAGAGAACCATTACTTTAAAAATATTTCTATTTTAAACAAATGTAACTTAGTATGTCTTATTTTCAAAGACAGTAGAATATAAACTTACACTGTCAAGTATTCTTATACTTTCACTCTCTTATCTAGTTTAAAACAGTTTTCTGGGGATAATTTTTCTAAAGATTCAGGCTCATAGTTAATTCAAGCTCCAGGGCTATTTTCCACCTGGGGTTCTCTGCCTCCTGCCCCCACTCCCCCAGGATGACCTCTGCAATCAGGAATATGTTGATGGCAGTGGTAACAGGGAGGACTATTAGAACACTCTCTGCCCTCTGGGTCCTTGTTGGCATCCTAGAGGTGCCCTTTGTCCTCCCAGCATGGCCTGGGCTGCCTGCCTTCATCTCTCCTCATCTCTGGCTGATATACCTGCATTCACCTGTGCTCTGGGCTGGCTCTAACTGTGCAACTGGTGACCATCCCTGCCTTGGCTTTCAGCCAGTCTGTATCCTTCTTGCCCAAAACCTGGACTTTTAATTGTCCACAGACCCCCTTCACACTTTTATTATGACACTGAGCCTTGCATGAACTGGTTCACCTCTCTCTAGGCTGTGGGAAACCAGGGAGATATTTCAAAGCCTGCATGACACTCCGTCTTCTCTACTCCACCATGGCCACCTCTTGTTAATGTAGGGCACACAGCGGGTGGTCTTCTCCCAGAATTCCAAATGGGAAGGAAAGCACCCAGGATAGGAGGTCAGCTGTGTCCTCTGTGGTCAGTCCTCCAGGCTCCGCCTCCTTGAAACCAACAAATATATTTTTATTTTCTTTTGAACAAAGCCTGATTACTGTTACTGAGGTGGCGGCGGGGAGGCTTTGTTTGCAGATAAATCTCTAGACCAGGGATTTAGAAAACACTATTTTAAACTTCAAGGATTAGGAATGACTCCCTTGTTCAAAGTTGTATCTGTCCTTGCTGTGAAGGAGGATGTAGATGCTTCAGTTTCAGGAGGTGGAGAGATTTGGGGAAATAGGAGCACAAGGAATAAAAATATATCAGATTGTATTTCACCAACACAAAAAAAATTGTCCTTCTATATTCTTAGTAGTAGAATCTACTGATTAATAACAAATGACTATATATATAGCCTCATCCTCAAAAGTGAATGTAGGATGACTTTCAAATTAGAAGTCAAGGTGAATGAGAGGTAAAATAGAAATTACAGAGGAAATCTTAGTAAGACTTTTGGGTTCACTGGGTATGAGCAGAGTAAGGAGTTGGGGATAACTTCAAAGTTATCCCTGTTAGCCTGTATGGAAATCTGCTTGCAAAACAGGCTCTTGGCTATGACTGAAGTTACACACCACTTGATTCAGCTGAAACAGTCATTTATGTCTGTTGCCATTCCTGTCCTCTCTTCTGGTCTTCATTCTCACATCTCCAACTTCTGCTAAACAGCCCCTCCTTTATATAACTCAGCTTGACTTCAAATTAAGTACATCTAAACCTAAACCCATCTTTTCAAAACAGGTAGACATTGACAAACCTTAACCCCCCTGCTCCAACCAAGGGGTTACATTAAGACGATACTGGTGGGACATCTTCAGTCACCTATTTTACAATCTTGAAGTTATCCACAAGGCATGATGGTGACTGGCCCACTTTTGTGGAATTGGTAGGCCAAGCACAAGTCTACCTTTGTTTAGGGTGAGTGATACAAAATTGTCACTCTACAGAGTTCTAGGTGTCATTTGGCTCCTTAAATATACTACACACCAACCTAGGCCTTAGGCCCATTGCTGCTAGGGAGGGGTACCCATCATGCTTTCAGGCCTGGCTTAGTGGCTGAAGGCCTAGATACAACTGAACCTGGGGCAAGCTTCCTCAGTTCCAGCAGCTGACCAGAGTGGGGCTCCCTGGACCTGGGAAAGGCTGGGCCCCCAACAAGCAGCAGGGTCTGGCTGGAAGATTTATGTTCCAAGCATCTCAGTGGAGTTCTGAGAACACAAATGTAATGGATCTTAGGGCCGAAATCTGAGGACTGAGCCCATGTTGGGAAAATACCAAAGTATTATACTTTGTAGTTATCAGTGGGACCTAATAAACCATTGTCAATGCTGACATTTATATTTTCATGTGACACAAAATGAGCCATGGGAACTGCCTTTCAAGGTTGCTTAGAAAGTGGTTGGCAGAGCCTGAAGTTTTAAAAAGATTGGGTGGGATATAAATGTTTAGACAAATTAGATTGCCTAAGTGTTTGCTTTGTATAATAATAGTCTGAATAAACTGCTAAGGGAGAATTTTCAGAGCTGGATATTGGTGTTTAAAATAGTCAACATACAAGTGACTAAGCCTCCACTCCCTTAACCTCTGAAACATATTTGTGATGGAGAGCATTAGAAGTGAGGAGTAGCCATAAAAGGAAAAAGGTTGTCGTCTTCTGTGAACCCATTTCTGTGTACACAGGGTAGAATGTTTTTGAAGATGGTGTATTAGTCCATTCTCACCCTGCTAATAAAGACATACCCAAGGCTGGTAATTTGTAAAGAAAAAGAGGTTTAATGGATTCACTGTTCCACATGGCTATGGAGGCTTCACAGTAATGGCAGAAGGTGATGGAGGAGCAGAGGCATGTCTTACATGGTGGCAGGCAAGAGAGCATGTGCAGGGGAACTCCCCTTTTATAAAACCATCAAATCTCATGAGACTTATTCACTATCATGAGAACAGCAGGGGAAAAACACACCCCCATGATTCAGGTAACTTTCACTAGGTCCCTCCCATGATATATGGAAGTTATTACAATTGAAGGTAAGATTTGGGTGGGGACAGAGAGCCAAACCATATCAGATGGCAAAATGTACCCTTTGGGAAGTTCGTTTTTTCACATGATTCCAAGGAAGAGGCTGCCTGTGTAGGGGGACAGTGGGATAGTTGAGGACTGGGAATGGTCTGGCTTCAAATCCTGGATCTATCACTTAGTATTGACATTTGACAAATTACTCAGCCTCTTCCAGGTTTATTTTCCACATCTGTAAACATGGAGAAATTCATAATACCTACCTTCATAGAATTCTCATGGCATTAAATGAGATACACTACCTAACGCAGTTGATTAGCAAATGCCTGGTATTTGGTCGGGGCTGAGTAAGTATCAGTGTCCCTTGAGATCCTCACTGCTGTTTTATTAGGTGAGGAGGTGGTGGAGCTTAGAATTTATATGCCCAGGAGGATGGTGCTTCTTGCCCAACACCCACCTACCAGTGGCTTTTGGGGGGCAGTAGGGAAGGGAGGAAGGATTCAGGGAGCATGGAGTTACTTGTTCCTAATCTGCTTGGTCCGCCTTTGAGGGAAGTTTATGAAGAACAGTCCCACTTCCTTCCCAGGAGGCATGCCATGAGCCAGAGATAAGGCAGTGAATTTGGGAAGACAGAGATTCAAGACAACTGAGCCTCCAAAGTCACCACAGACTAGGAGAGAGGCAGCATGGATGGCCCCCAGAATGAAGGCCGAGGATGTCAGGGGTGGAGACAGACAGAGAGCCAGGGAATGGCACTAGGCATAGGATGGAGCATGGTTTGAAGTGGAGTTAGTTTGGTGTTTTCTACACCTGGGACATTTGTTCCTTTACCACACTGAGAGATGGAATCTTAGTGGGAAGGAACCACTATTTGTCTTTTACTCATTAAGTTCCTAGCCCAGCATAAAGGCTCCTGGAATAAGTATCCTAATGGGAAAAGCTAAAGCCTCTTGGAGGCACTCAGGGTTTGGCCACAGTCATTGATGGTTCAAGAGTTGTTAAGGTGATTCAGACCAACACAAACCAGGGGCCTGTAGCTGAGGCTGGGACTCAGCCCATCAGCAATCAGAAGGGCCAGAACCACACTGGATCATTTCATTCTGGGTTGGAAATGACTGGAATAAAGATCCTAGGGGAAGCAGGAGCAATGAATCTAAGACTTAGAACAGAAGGAGCACAGACACCCAGGTTACCTGAAGAAGAGTCAGATGATGCCAAGTGTGAACCTGAGAGGCAGGAGGGCTGGGGAGGCAGAGTACAGCAGTGGAGAGAACACTGAGCTGAGAGCGGGAGCCCTGGCCCTGGGTGCAGTACGATTCTCCTAGCTTGGGGTTTAGCTTTGGATAATTTGTTTTATTTCTCAGAGTTTCAGTTTCCTCAGTTTCAAAATGAGGATGATCATGCCTTAGGTCATAATGTTGATTAATGGCAGAACTTGATTTAGAACCAGATCTCCTGGAAGTAACAATTACTTGTGCTGGACATTGGTGCTTGCAAAATACTTCTCTTAAGTGATCACATTTGATGACATTTGTTTCAGGCCTGTTTCAAGCACACCATAATCAGGACTGAGCACCTTAGGACACTCCTGGTATGTCTAATCAGGGAAATGGGGAACACCACAATGTTGACATCAAGGATTCTAAAGTCTATTATTATTATTATACTTTAAGTTCTAGGGTACATGTGCACAACGTGCAGGTTTGTTACATATGTATACATGTGCCATGTTGGTGTGCTGTACCCATTAACTCGTCATTTACATTAGGTATTTCTCCTAATGCTATCCCTCCCCCCTCCCCCTTCCCCCCACCCCACAACAGGTCCCAGTGAGTGATGTTCCCTGCCCTGTGTCGAAGTGTTCTCACTGTTCAATTCCCACCTGTCAGTGAGAACATGCGGTGTTCAGTTTTCTGTCCTTGTGATAGTTTGCTCAGAATGATGGTTTCCAGCTTCATCCATGTTGCTACAAAGGACATGAATTCATCCTTTTTTATGGCTGCATAGTATTCCATGGTGTATATGTGCCACATTTTCTTAATCCAGTCTATCATTGATGGACATTTGGGTTAGTTCCAAGTCTTTGCTATTGTGAATAGTGCTGCAATAAACATACGTGTGCATGTGTCTTTATAGCATGTGTTTTTCTTTGTTCTGATTCTGAATTGCCCTGTTGGTGGTGCTGCCCTGTTAAAAGTCAGTTAGGATGGCCCTGAATGTGAGTTTTGCTAGGCTATTAATGACCGTTTATTTGGCCAACAAGTGTTACAAACACGTGATTAAGCAAAGGTAAGCAAATTCTTTATTACAGGAGTTCTCAGAGCTCTTACTGTACTGACATGAATTATAAATCTTTAAAAGGACGGTATGGTAACTAGACTCCAGCAAAAGGGTCATAGAACCATTTTTAAATTGGTGGTTGTTGTTAGATCTCTTGGCACTAACATTCTTGAAAATATGCTTGGGGAAATGCTAACTCAGAAATTAACGTTTGCTGAACCCAGAGTCCACTGGGTTACCCCTAGGTGAACTTCTAGTTCCCGAAGTTGGCCTTTGGATGAGTCATCTTCCCCCATCAGGTTCAACTATGTGAGGATCATTCTGCAGTCACTCATGATAACCATTTCTCAGTTTAATGGTACAATTCCATATTGCCTTACATTTTATATAAGTTGTAAGCTCATAAAACATCTTTGTATATTTGGAATGTACTAAAGACTGCAAGTTAACCCAGACTAAAACAACCTCAAAGTTATTTGCAATCTTCTGAACATCTCCATATTACAGCAACTGCCCTTCTCACGAGCAGGTCCATTTTCCTTTTTTGATGAGGATACTAGCTTCTGGCAAGCTGAACTCTCCTTTGGATCACAAACTTTCCTTCTCCTAAAGGTCCCAGATGTTACTAAGATTTAAAATAGGTCAGCTCACATTTTTGGCCTTTTCATACAACATAGCCCACGTTAGATTGGTAAAGAGACAGATAACACATAGAAAAAAAGATCCAAGTAGCCCAAGAAAGCCTGTTCCTGGAACGTGATCAAACTTTTTGCTCCATCCATACCTTTCCTCACAAAAGCTTTTTCAAAAATGTGGGACTCGCACTGCTTGTCCCTTGATTTTAGTGGAACCAAGAAACCGCATCAAATAACACTGAATCCTAGAATGAGAAAGTCATTCCTTTTTCAGTTCTCTTTCAACTCCAGACATCTTTTTTTTTCAACATCAAGGAAGATGTTATGCTAGTTATGTCTTTAACAGTTCTCAAATTGAGCTAGTCTTCAATTGTGTCTAGCTAGGATTTAATAACATGGTTTCATTTTCTTTTGTATTTATTTTACTATAACTTTTTATCCATGGAAAGTGATGTAGCTTTTCCATATTCCATGGCAAGATAAGATTCGTTTTGAAAATAAACGTTAAAACATTTAAACAGAGTATATTGTGAAGATTAGAACTGCTGTCATAACAGCTGCCCTGTAACCTTCTAAGGTTGACCCAAAACACATGATTCCCCGTTTTATAGATGTATCAGCTGAGACTAGCAGAGATGAAATGACTGCCTCAGTGATGTGCCAGTTATTTGACTGAAATAACCAGAGCTGGACCTAAGATCTTCTGCAGCTTCATGTACTCCCTCTGTAAAACTTTTGTTATCAGGCCAGGCGCGGTGGCTCAAGCCTGTAATCCCAGCACTTTGGGAGGCTGAGGCAGGCGAATCACCTGAGGTCAGGAGTTGGAGACCAGCCTGGCCAACATGGTAAAACCCTGTCTCTACTAAAAATACAAAAATTAGCTGAGCATGGTGGCAGGCGCCTGTAATTTCAGCTACTCAGGAGGCTGAGGCAGGAGAATCGCTTGAACCTAGGAGACAGAGGTTGCAGTGAGCCAAGATGGCGCCATTGCACTCCAGCCTGGGCAACAGAGCGAGATTCCGTCTCCAAAATAACAAAAAAAGCTTTAGTATCAGCCTTCTCTTTTAAAACATAAGGTTAACAGAATCTTTTAAAATTGTTTTCCCTTCCCTGCAGCATTTTGAAATCATATTCTAAGAATAGATTTATTTAATAACTAAGTTATTAAAATATTAAAAGCAGTTATGAATGTGAGAGTGCTGAAATAAATGTAATTGCATTCTTAAAATGCTGTAACATCAGACAATTTTTTTAAGTTAAAATATTTAACTGAAAAACAGCTGAAACAACTTAAGACCTATTAAAACAACAAATGGGCTAATGTGAGCAATATTTAAAAGAATATTAAAATATTATAGTCAATTCAATATGGGCAAAAAATTTTACTTTCTTAAGACCCTGAAAAGCAGCAAAAACAAATAAAAGCCAGAGTCAACAATTGCAAATATTAACAACAATCAAAGACCATTAGAACTAAAGGGAAAATGTAGAACTGAGTAAAATGATCACATGGACTTAAAAAAAAAAAAGTGGGTCAAATTAAGTTGAAAACAAGCTTGGAGTACATTAAAATGCACCTAATAATGGTTTTTTAAAATTCATTGACGTTTATACAGTGTTATGGAATTTAGCCTGGAAGGTATCAGTGACTTTTTAGGAACTTTGAGGAAATGACCCCTTGGTCTCCTGATTTGTACCTGCTGACTTGCTTGCTAGAAAACAGGATTTCCATGAGTTGAAGAGTCTGAGAGGCTAAGACTGTAGGCGGGCCACCTAGACAACACTCAACCCTTGCTGGAGGATATTTGGTTATTAAAACCATCCAGAAAAATGTGTCAGAAAAAAGTGAGGAAATTTAGTCCAAGGAACAGATCAGAAAAACTTGCTAGGCCTGTTAAATCTTCGTGACTTCCTTCTGTTTTAAATTTTGTCTATTTGGCCTGATACGGGGTAATAGAATTCTAAAAACAGAAATGTATTCGTTGTCTATGACTGCATAACAAATTATTCTAAAACCTAGTGGCTTAAAAACAGCAATAAATATTTATTATCTTAAAACGTTTCTATAGGTCAGGAATTGAGAAGTGGCTTGGCTGGGTGGTTCTGGTTCAGTGTCTGTCATGGGGTTGCAGTCAGGTTGGCTGGTGCTGGAGGATGGACTTCCAAAGTAGCTCACTCCCTGGTGCTGGCTGTGGGCAGGAGGCCTTAGTTCTCTCCACATGGGCCTCTCCACAAGGCTGCTTGAGTGTCCTCCTGACACGGTGACTGGCCTTCCTCAAGGCAGCCAATCACAGAGGCCAGGTGGTGGCCAGGCATGGTGGCTCACACCTGTAATCCCAGCACCTAAAAGGCTTAGGTGGGGGGATCACTTGAGCCCAGGAGTTCAAGACCAACCTGGATAACATGGCAAAACTCAGTCTCAACTAAAACTCCAAAAATTAGTTGGGTGTGGTAACACACACCTGTAGTCCCAGCTACTCAGGAGGCTGAGGTGGGAGGATCACCTGAGCCTGGGAGGTTGAGGCTGCAGTGAGCTGTGACTGTGCCACTCCACTCCAACCTGGTTGTTGGAGTGAGACCCTGTCTTAAAAAAAAAAAAAAAAAAAAAAAGATCGTAGTCTTCTAATCCTTAACCTCATCTTGAAAGTTATGAAGTGCTTACTGTCATCATTCTCTATTGGTTACACAGACTAGTGCAGATTCAGTATGTGAGGAGACCACCCAAAAGCATGGATACTAGAAGGCGCCAATCGCAGGGGGCCATTTCAGAAGCTGACTACCACAACCAAGGATTAAAGGTCATGAAGAGAACATAGAAATCTCATGTTCGCCTGTGTCCAGCCTTGCAGGAGGAAGTCTAGGAACTAGACACATGGTAGCAGCTTAGAAAAGGAGAAAGAAGGAGCTTAAGCCAGTGAGGCCAACTGAAAAGAAACTGGGATTGTTCAGAGAGCCAGTGGGGGCAGGTAGAAAAGCCTGTTCCATTCTCTCAGGTTCCCTGAAAACTGGTTGAAGAGCTGCAGGGGGGTTTGGGTTCCAGGTAGTCATCTTGAGCTTAAAGCTGTGGGTGCCAGAGCAGATCCTTATCATTAACTTGAGTGGGTGTCCCGAGGTGGCAAGACACAAGCTTATTGATAGGAAGAAAGATAAAGGATGAAGCAGCAAAAATCAAGGGCTGCCTATATATTCCTTTGGCAGAACACCAGAGTAATGCAATGATCTGACTCTTAGAAACAGACACAGAGTTGTTTTTCTCATAAGGAATGTATTTATGGTAGCAACTTTAGAGAATGCAGATAAGCAAGAAGAAAGTATAAATAATCTGCAACCCCACTATTCAAAGAATGCTGCTACTATTATGGTTTCCATGTTTTCCAGTGATATAAATGTATCATTCTGTGTGTGTGTGTATTATTGTGTTTGTGTGCATGCATTTTACCAAAGTCGTGTTGCACCTCTGTAACTTGCTTTTCTCATGCGGCACTCATCTTCAGCATCTGTCTCTGTCGTGAGTGATTCTACTACAGCAGTGTTTCCCAACCCTCTCTTCATTACTGCTCCCATAGGAGCCTTTTGAATACCACCATGAAATGTTAATACCGCAGGTATACTCTGTATCTGTTTATATATTGGGGTCCTTTGGAAGGTAGCAAATAATTGTGATAGCTGTTTTTTGTGTTCTTTTTTTTTTTTAACCTCCCAACAACAAACGTTTGGCCCTTTGACAACGCATGCACGATAGCGCCGTATACAGCTTTATAGTATTTCATTATATGAGTGTGCAATAATTTTTTAAAAATATTTTTTTATTTCAATAGCTTTTGGAGTACAAGTAGTTTTTGGTTACACAGATGAATTGTAGAGTGGTGAAGTCTGAGATTTGAGCCCACCCATCACCTGAGTAGTGTACATTGTACCCAATGTGTACTTTTTTTCTTCCTTGCTCTCTCCCATCCTCCCCATTTTGAGTCTCCATAGTTGATTATATCACTCTGTATGCCTTTGTGTACACACAGTGTAGCTCCCACTTATAAATGAAAACATACAGTATTTGGTTTTCCATTCCTGAGTTACTTCACTTGGAATAATGGCCTCCAGCTCCATCCAAGTTGCTGCAAAGACATTATTTTGTTCCTCTTTTATGGCTGAGTACTATTCCGTGGTGTATATATACCACATTTTCTTTATCCAATCATTGGCCTATGGACACTTAGGTTAGTTCCATAGCTTTACAATCGTGAATTGTGCTGCAATAAAACATACATGTGCAGGTGTCTTTTTGATATAATGACTTCTTTTCCTTTGGGTAGATACCCCTTGGTAGGATTGCTGGATGGAATGGTAGATCTACTTTTAGTTATTTAAGAAATCTCCAGACTGTTTCCCATAGAGGTTGTACTAATTTACATTCTCACCAGCTGTGTATAAGTGTTCCCTTTTCACCACATCCACGCCAATACCTATTGTTTTCTGACTTTTTAATGGCCATTCTTGCAGGAGTAAGTAGGTATCTCATTGTGGTTTTCATTTGCATTGCCCTGATGATTAGTGATGTAGAGCATTTTTTCATGTTTGTCGGCCATTTGTATATCTTCTTTAAAGAAATATCTATTCACATAATTTGCTCTGAGTGTATAATTTATATAACCAACCCTTCTTGCTGAAGATGTGGGTTATGTATAGATTTGACTTGTCATGCCCAATGTTGCAAGAAACTCCTCATACATGTACAGGAATCATATCTCTCATCCAGAAAAATGAGACTGTTATCTGTAACCTCCAGTATGCTATCCTCCTTTTCCTTCCATTGCAAGACCATCAGCTTTCTCTTTATTCCTCAGTTCAACAGTCTCTGAGTACTTACCCAGTGCCAACCAGTCCTGAAGCTGACACTGGTGATAGAGAGATGGCCAAGAAACTGATTTTGTCTGCATGTATGTAGAGCTGACAGCCCAGTGGAAGGAAGGAGGCAAGTGTGGGGATGAAAAGGATGCAAGGAACCTGGATACCAGAAATGTCCAGCTAATGTTCTAAGGGAGTTCAAAACTGGGATATGTCACAGTCACAGTCCTCCCTGGAATTCAAGTCAGAGTACAAGGTTACATGATTTGTGATTATTGCAAACCTCAATTTCCACATTTGTGCAATGGACTGTCAGTACTGACTGCTTAGGAATTTTTTTTCGAACCTCTTGTGATTGAGGCTCAGCTATTGAAATGCCAAGCCCAGGTCAGAGATTAGTCAGAGGAAATGCTAAATTAGAGCCCATTTGACTTTTATGTATGACACTAATTAAACAATAACAAAAAAACTCCAAGAACTCTAGATAGTTTGTCCAGGGGACACCTATAGGTTATGATAACATCAAAACCAGAACCAAAAAAGCCCAAATATTTTTCCTGGGAACTTTTTTTTCCTCACCCCTGAGTAATTCTAATAATATGCATGTAAAATACATTATGGGAAATCCTCTAACAATTTCCACCTCTGTGATAAATGTTGCATTCGAGTAGAGCAAGAACATCTACTTAATAATTCCATATAACTATTCTGCAAAGCTGCCAGGAGCAGAATTTAGTCAGTTGGGTATAGCACGAAGTAGATGGCGTGAGAGAAAGAAAGAAATGGTTTGAACCCAGACTTGGCCACTAATGTGACCTAGAACAAGTGATTTAACCCTCCAAGCTTTGGTTTCCTCGTTCACAATGTGGAGATAAAAAATGATACATACTCTACAGGGTAGTTGTGAGGGGTCAATGAGTAAACTACATGTCAAGGGCTTAATGTCAGTAACAACCAGAGTGTTGCTGGTCCAGAGTGAACACTCAGAAAATGGTGGTGGTGATGATGATAGTGGTGGTGATGATAACGGTGATAGTGGTGGTGGCCGGGCAGGGTGGCTCATGCCTGTAATCCCAGCACTTTGGGAGGCCAAGGCGGGTGGATCGCCTGAGGTCAGGAGTTTGAGAACAGCCTGGCCAACACGGTGAAACCCCGTCTCTACTAAAAATACAAAAATCAGCCAGGTGTGGTGGCACACACCTATAATCCCAGCTACTCAGGATGAGGCAGGAGAATTGTTTGAACCTGGGAGGTGGAGGTTGCAGTGAGCCGAGATCACGCCACTGCACTCCAGCCTGGGCAACAGAGCAAGATTCCATCTCAAAAAAAAAAAAAAAAAAAAAAAAAAAATATATATATATATATATATATATATTAGCTGGGTGTGGTGGCACATGCTTGTTATCCCAGTTACTCAAGAGGCTGAAGTGGGAGGATCACTTGAGCCCAAGATTGAGGCTGCAGTGAGATATGATTATACCACTGCACTGAAGTTTGGATGCCAGAGCGAGACCCTGTCTCTAAAAAGCAAACAGGCCGAGCATGGTGGCTCACGCCTGTAATCCTAGCGCTTTGGGAGGCCGAGGTGGGTGGGTCACCTGAGGCCGGGAGTTCAAGACTAGCCTGACCAACATGGTGAAACCTTGTCTCTACTAAAATACAAAAATTAGCTAGGCATGATGTTGGGTGCCTGTAATCCGAGCTACTCGGGATTCTGAGACGGGAGAATCGCTTGAACCCAGGAGGCAGTGGTTGTGGTGAGCCGAGGTCACACCACTGCACTCCAGCCTGGGTGGCTGAGCGAGACTCCATCTGAAAAACAAAACAAAAAACCAGCTCAAACACTCCAATAGACCACTTCATTCCATTCCTTCTTTTAATTGTTCATGGTGGCCTTTTCTCCCCTGTGAAATACATAAATTCCCATAGTTATGGAGGGGCTCACACTGTCCTGCCACCGGCCTACAGTTTCAAACAGCTCCTGTCAGCTAAACCTTAGCCGCCTTCCACCAGGTTCTGGAACCTCCCTTGGGAAGCCTTCCCTGACTGACCTGACCCACCTAGAACTTCCTTTCTTGGGACTCCCTGAACCACACACTTTATAAAACCAATTCACTAATGCCTTATTATGTTTTAATATGTATAATATTTATTTTGTCTATGAAAGTTTCATTGCGTTTGTCTTCCTAATAAGTTAAAGCTCTAAGAAGTCAAGAATTCTGTTTTATTTACTTTTTGAATGCCATTTCCTTTCTTTTAGAAACCCCCATTCCCTTCTTGTCACCCCCCACCCACTGTGGAAAAAAAAATTGTTTAAAGCACAATGCTGAATGTATATGGCATTCAATGCATAAAGCTGTATTTGGATTTCTTTTTTATAAATCTTGATTTTTCTCTTGCCCCTTTTGCTTCACCCTACTCCCCATATCATGTGCCTTCAAATATACACAAACACAACCTTTTGTATTTATATATAGTGACCTGCTTGCAAAAATAAATGTGTTAACAATGTAGGGCCTAGGACACCTGATACCATTTGAGCCTCAGAATGTATTAATTCAGCCGGGTCTGTGCAAGAATGGTGATTTTTCAATTAAACATACTGTAGCAATGATGGCCTCTTTTCCCACAAACTTACTAAGGTAAGGAATGGGACAAAAGTAAAGCCACCTTCTTTCCTCCATTACAATAGGCCGTGTCCTCCTTTCTCAAACCTTGGCTCAGAGGCGAGGCTTGTAGTTCACTGCTGCATTCTGCTGGGAGAACCATGGTGACCCTCTGGGTCATGGTCCCGACTGGGACACCGTATTTTCGTGCTTCTTGTTTTTATTGTTCCTCTATTTCTTTTTCTTTTGAGTCCAATCTTCAGTCAAGCCTTCCGTGTGAATGATAGTGGCCACTTGGGGATCTCCATCTGCATTTTATTGTATGGCCACGCAAAACCTTTTATCTAATTCCTAGAAGACATCGATTGCTGCATAGCTTGGTGGGTGAAGAATGGAAAAGCACAATCTCACTTTATTTTGCTGGTGGCTTTGCCCTCCCTTTCCTACAAGCAGTCATTCAGGCCTAATGGTTCTGTTCCTCCTAATTATTCATTTGTTCATTCGTTCATTAATTCATTCAGTCTGCCATTCAATATATATTTATCAAGCATCCACTATGTTCCAGGTGCGATTCCAGGCTTCAGAGATAGAACAGTGAATCAAACTGATAATGCCCCCCTCTCCAGGAGCCAGCATTCTAGCGAGAGAGAATGACTTGCTGAATTGTTTCAGTTGGAACTTTTTTTAGACTCTGAACCTTGGAAAAAGTCCACTTTCCATGGGCTTATTAAATGTGCTGAATCAGACAGTTGGTGCTGTTTACTAGAGATCAGGGTTCAACCAGCTTTAGCTGCATGACCCAGAACATTTGATTTTATGATTTACAAAATAAAAAGTTATGGCCCTCTGCAGATGTCCCATCTAATTTGCTCATTGTGTTCCTTAGAGGCAATGTGGTATTGTGAAAAAAGCAAGACCAAGCTTTGCGGTTCAAGTGGCCCGTGCTTGCTGGGCCTCAGTTTCCTGATCTGTAGAATGAGGCTGGATAAATCTAAGTTTCTCTCCAACTCTACAGTCTGATGGTTCTAGTACTACAAGATCAAGATTTTTTTCCTAAAGAGCCATTTGTCTTATTTTAGCTTCAAGCCAAGCCAGGGCATCTGAGAAATACCAAGCCTCCGTTGTGATGTGTCGCCATGAAAATGTTGGCTGCCCTCTGGATGCAAGTCTGCTTGTGCTGTGCTGTGGCTCAGAGTTAAATTTAGATAAAAATCAGTTAGGAGCTAAGAATATTCCCAGCTTTCCTGACAGGTTGTATCCATCATTATGGGAGGAAAAACAAGGAACTGGCTGCCTGGCGACAGGGAGCGGGCCAGGCTGAGTGTGAGGTCAGGCCTCGGCTGGAATCTCACGGACTTGAAAGGACAGAGACGTTTCCTGAGATGTCTGCGGCAGAATGTGGGAGGCTTCAGCCTGAGGAAAGTTCAAGTTGGAGAGAAAGGTTGCCAGACCTTTGAGTGACCCACACTGCTTATAACTTCTAGAAGGTTCTTTTAGGGAAACCTGCTTAGAATGAAACCCTGAAACGTCCTTTGCTGCCTCCTTAACAACTTGCATTAGAGAGTTTCTTCAGCCAAAAGGCGAATGTCTGTTGAGTGGAAAGGAGAGGACGGAGTCGATGTTGTCCCCTGTGAGATGTCATGTCTCAGGCAGTATGCTGGACATTCCCGAGACGCCAGCTCTGCTCAGGTGACTTGTGTGCCCTGCCCTTGTAAGCCTCGAATTACTCATCGTGAAATTGAGGTCAAGCCACTCACTCACAGACAGGGCTGTGGTAACAATAAAATGAAGGGTGCTTAGCACATTGAAAATAACTCAGGCAGTGTTCCATTATTGCTATGGGCTGGGCGTGGTGGCTCACGCCTATAATCCCAGCACTTTAGGAGGCCAAGGTGGGTGAATCTCTTGAGCCCATGAGTTTGAGACCAGCCTGGGCAACATGGTGAAACTTCATCTGTACAAAAAATAAAAAATTAGGCAGGCATAGTGGCACGTGCCTGTGGTCCCAGCAACTAGGGAGGATGAAGTGGGAGGATTGCTTGAGCCTGGGAGGTCGAGGCTGCGGTGAGCTGTGATAGCACCATTGCACAATCTAAACTGGGCCACAGAGCAAGACCTCGTCTCCAAAGGAAAAAAAAAAAAAAGACCACCATGATTGTTCTAGTATTGTTTATTGTTGTGCCCTCCTGGGCCAAACGAGGAGGGGTGGGAGCTGCCCTGGGTGTGCCTATGAGGAGGGCCTTGTGGTCTTGTGGAGTCACTCAGATGTGCTTTCAATCTGAGCTCCCCCACTTCCTAGCTATAGGACCTTTGTTAAATTCATCTTTGAGTCTCAGTCCCCACTCCTCAGAAATGGGTATGACATGTACTTTCTAAAGCTATTCTAAGAATGGCATGCAGTTGTCATTAATTAAAACACGCAGCACACGGTAGGTATTCAACAAACATGGGGAATTGTGTATCATCGTCAGTAGAGGATGCTCTCAAATTACACTAACTCTGCTAAAATCCAGGCCAGGATTGTGATTCGTTGGGAAGCCTTGGGGAAGTTGCTTCGCCATTCTGAACTTCAGTTTCTTCTTCTGTAAAATGGAAGTAATAACAATAGTATCAGCTTTCTATAGTTACTATGAGGATTAGATGACATAAGGCATGTAAATCCATTAGCAGTGTCTGGCATGCAGTAAACCCCTCAATAACTGTTAGCGCTTTCCTTCCTGCCCCTCTCAATTCTTCCAGGACCCAGGTGAAGAGAACAGTCCTATGCTTTGTTCCTTCTGATGTACAATACTGTCATATAAACCCACTCATTTTTTTCTCACTTTCTCTCTCTGCCTCTGCTGCTGCTGTCACCAGTCCATCGCTCTGTTGGTTGCCAAGAGTAAGAGAGCGACTAGGTTGGTAAGTAATTTCAAATAAAACAGACACCAGTCTACACACAGAGCAGAGGTTTGAGTGACATGGACACTAACCCGTTTACCGGGTGCCACTGGCGATCTGGCCTTGTCGAGGAAGGAGGGAGGCTGTGCTAATTTGCTCTCCCACCTGTGTGGCTCCCGGGTGTAGACAGAGCGTTGAGCTCATTTCTCCTGCGCTCCTCTCAGTGGCCTTTGGCTGGCAAAGCTGTTTGTCTCCCCTTCTAGTTTTCTGCTGCAGCCATTTGGACAGTGTTGATTAGTTTTCCTGAGGTGCTGTTTGGGCGTCTCCCCAGCCACCTAGGTACAGATGGAGTGTGTTTGGCTTGTGATGGTGACAGAGGGGCGGCTGCCCTTCCTCGTACTTCTTCTGGCATTGAAGAAGCAGCTCTGAAATCTCCAACTGGGATAGGCCAAGAAAATTTGGATGTGGATACATGAATGCCTGGTTTCCTCTGAAGGTAGTCAGGTCTCAGGCGGCCAAGATCACTGGGAAGAAATGTGACTTTGCATTTGAAGTTCTCATTTGGGGAGACTTGGAGTTATCAGTCTCAGCTGGCTCCAGCCCAGAACAGATTAACTTTTATGAAATGATTGTCTCCAAACACACTTACTAAATGCAAAAACCTGCTGTGGCTCCACAGGCACCATGGGGCGGGGTGAGCTGCAGAGCTTCACTCTAGCTGGGATTGCTCTGCAGTCTGGCCCCCAGAGCATGGTGGGCCGGGAGGAGGAACCCCTGATTTAGATGCTGAAAACCTAGGCTTTGCTCTTGGCCCACCACTAATGAGTTGTAGGACCTAGGGAAATGGAGAAAGGCATACTGCTTCACAGGGAACACCTCAGGGCCCATCTCCAGGACTTTTTGTGGAGGGAATGGGAGGCCTCTGTGGCATTTTGATTCACAAATAGCTAATATTGAATTACAATGCATTCCTTGCCCCCCCCTCCCCACCCCGTGACATTGGACTGCCTACTTGTCCCTTGAACTTCAGCTTTTTCATCTGTAATACAGACATGATAAAATTCTGTTTGTCAGCATCTTCCAGGAAGCAGACATCAAGACAGGACTGTACATTCAAGGATTTTATTAAAAGAAACAGGTTAGGAGAATGGTCAGATAGCAATGCAAGTCTGATCTCTACTGAAGGAAAGAAGAAGGGGCAGTTGTAGGGAAGGGTCCTAGATTGCCAAGGAGGGTCCACAATGCCATCAGGGAGTCCTGCAGCCAAACTCAGCTGTCAGAGGAGTCCCATGTCTCCCAGGAATAGGTTTGTCTCAGTACCCCTGCTGGGTTCCGCTATTGCCTCTGGAATCAGCCCATGAGAAGTGCAGTCTGGTGCCCACACAGCTACAGTGATGGATTTCAGAGCACAGCAGCTGGAGCCGTTGGTCAATTTCATTGCCTGTAGTTGGAGGTCTGCGAAGAGCATTGATTCTCATGGGTACCACAAATACCTACACTGCCAGACGGCTATAAGGATAAGAGATGAATGTATGGTAAGTCTTACTTAAAGGATGATGTATGTGTGTACATGGGTACGTGTCTGTGTGTATATTCTTGGCTGTAAAATGCAGAAGGAGTAAACTAGACATGGAATCAGGAATCCTAGAAGGAGAAAAGGACTCTGCTCCTGGCCTTCAAATTTGCCCCTTAATTTAATCCTTCCCTTAACAGGGAAGTCAGGTACCCAAGGTCACAAAGTTAGACTGCAGCATGCCTCGGATTTGAACCCCGGTTGAAGTCTTGTGATGTTAACATTTTATGGCCCGATTGCTGTCACAGGCTTAAGATAGGGACCATTCAACCTGACAGCAGACGTCTCTCTCTCTCTTTTGCCATACCTAGAATTATGCCTGATATGCAGAGAGTACTCGCCAAATATTTGAGTGATGAATTCATTAACTGCAAGCTGAGCCCTTTAAACAAGCTTGTCCAACCCGTGTCTTGTGGGCCACATGTGGCTCAAGACGGAATGTAAATTTGTAAACTTTCTTAAAACATTGAGATTTTTTTACATTTTTTTTTTTTTTTTAGTTCATCAGCTATTGTTAGTGTTAGTGTATTTTATGTGTGGCCCCAGACAATTCTTATTCCAGTGTGGCCCAGGGAAGATCGGACACCTCTGCCTTTAAGCTTGGTATCTGGTCTAGCTCACCTAGACTCCATTTGGGTATTCCCCCCTTTTAGGCCTCCCTAATAGTGCTGTTCCTATGGGGAGGCTGGGATGCTTAGGTGAGAAGGACATCTTCCCTTTTTGCTGCCCACGAGGTGGGGGCATAAAGAGCCACTTGTGGCTAGAAAAGCAGGTGCATTGCAGGCATTAGCAGCTCAGCCCAAGAGTGTGAGCTTCCTTTCTCTGGAGTCTCTAGGCTGAAAGGGTCTTGGGAGGGGCATTCTGAGTTTTGGCTTTCAGAGCAGGCATTTATGGGGGAAGTGGGGAGTGGCAGAGTCAACCTAAAGCCCCCTTGTTACTGTCCTTGCAGTTGTTAAGCTCACTGTGGTCATAGAGAATTGCCCATGGAGATTCCAAACAGATGTCTATTCTAGTTTCCCATTTCTGATATGTGGGCCTCTTAGACTTTAGCTTTCTCACCCTCAACATACTCTAATTTGGCTGAACCTTTGTTTTTTTTCTTGGCCAAGAGCCTTGTCATTCTGGCATCTATAATTTTGGAGATTTGAGTGGCTGGCAACTGATAGAGTGCAGAAAGGCAGTGATCTTAGGGGACATTCCCATGGCATCAGCATGGGCATTTTTTATTTTTCCAAAAATCGGCCAGACTGAGGGTACAAATGGTTGTGACTGTCGTTAAGGACTTATTGAAGTCTTGCTTCACACTTTACTCAAGGCTATTTCCCACTCAGTAAAGGCAGCGTCTGCATCAAACACCCAATGTTTAAGGTAGTACCAAGCAGACAACAAACCTTTTTCTCTTACGGGGCTTAGTAGATGCTTATTGAAAATATATGAACTTTCGTTGACAAGATAATGCTACAGAAGGTTGTGGCTTCTTTCTTCCCTTTCTCAACCTCCCTCTGGTCTTTATCCTCAAATAACATTTTTGCCTGTTTCTTTTAAGCCAAATATGTGGAATTCAGAGATGAGTAAGACACAACCTCTGCCCTCAAGAAACTCACTGCCTCCCAGCCTGTTGTTTTAGTTTCGAGTTGAGTTGATGAAAGTATCTAAAGAAACATTGTTTTTAAGGTTTAGGATTCACATATGGAGGACAGTGTGATAAGATACACCCAGCAAACCGGAAGCCAGAGCAGTATATCAGCAACCATAACAGTCATAAACTGAGAACTTACTTTGTTCTTTTCTGCAGAATAGCCAAGGCATATTTTTGTGGATCATTTTTCTTCATGATGCATAACATGAAACATAAGGGTAATCTCTTCTCACAAATGGGGAAACAGAGTTAAAGGACTTCTTCAAAATCCTAGCTTTGAAACCGACACTCGACTACCACAGAACCATTTCTCTAAGAGGTGGACATCGGCAGCTTTCTAGATGAACAGGTCACAGAAGAATTTGGGGATTCAGCATGAGAGTGTATATGAAGCCTTTGGTACATTTTCTGAGTGCTTACTAAACATCCAATACAGTCAGTAGCTCTCATTTTTATTTTTATCATTGTTCATGTCATTTTCTCATTCCCCAGCTCTGGGGGCAGTTGGTGCATGGCTGTCACCCAGGACCCATGGACAATCCCCAAGGGCCAAATAACGCTGAAATTGGCATTGACCAAGGCTGCGGCCAAATGCCAGCCCATCAAGGCAAATGAGTCAGTTTGCCAGTGTCTGACCCAAGCCTAGGAGAAGAAACAAACCAGCCTCCCTCTCTCTAGTTCTTTGAAAGTAAGCCCTTAGCCTGATATGTTTGTTGCAGGATAGACCTGTGGCCCTCATAGTGCTCAGAACTGTCAGCAGAACTTCTTCACTGGAAGAAGGAAGATGCACATCTTTCATGGAGGTTGTGCTGTCTATCTGGGACAAAGGGGGAATCCGTTACAAAATCTGCTTCTTTTTGAAGCTGCACATTCAGAAACAGACTATGGCTAAGTGACACACTGGAGCAGATGGGCCAGGGCTGTGCTGGATTTGAAAAAGGCCCTCCTTCCTGAGCAGAATTAATGGAGCTCAGGTCTGGGGAGGGTGAGCGCACTCTTGGCAGGCAGCTGTCTTGTGTGACTTGTGCTGCACTCATCTGTGAAACATGTTGGATCTGAGAAATGAGTCTTGAATCCTGGGTCATGTTAGCATCAGAATCATCTTCTGTTAATTACATGAGACAATACATGTGAGGTGCTTAGAGCAGTGCCTGGAACACAGCTCACGTTCAGGAAATGCAAATACTTGTCAGCCCCAGCAACTTCTTCTGCTTTTAGTTGAGGGCTCTTTTCTTAAATCAGTATTGTGGGCTTTGAGATGGTATTTCAAGGAAACAGAATTTCCTACTCTGTTTAGGACTTGAACCAAGTACCCCCTAACCTCTCCCCAACCCCTCCCAACAAAAATGCACAGATTTTATTTAATTTTTCTTTTCAGAATCTTTATCCCTTAGAACCTAGACTTCTAGAATGACAAATATATTTAATATGGTTTCACAGAGTTTGTCTGGACCCCTTTTTGAGGAGAATTCTGGGGCTGATTTCAGACCCAGAGAAAAAGGATATAATGATTGATGAGTGATGTCTGTCACGGGTGCGAGAGAAGGGTGGGAGGTATGTGTGCCATGCTTTTACCATCTCTAACTAAATGAACTTCAAGGCCCAATTTCCTCGGTGAAGATGAATGCAAGGCTTATTTCCGAAGATGATGCCACTCTGGAGAGCAGCTGAGACCTCAACAGCTGTTTATCTTCCTGGTCATGTTTCTGGTTTCTGGCTGTTTCTTTTAACAAGGGGTCAGTAACTGAGGGCTTCTCCACATCTGCAGGGAGTTTCCTGCAGAATTAGGATGTGTAAAATAAACCCACAAAATCAAAGCCCCAAACAGATGCTGGAGATTATTTCACACTTGAGGTCATCCTTCTTGGAGAAGGGCATGGGGGTGGGTTGTCGGGGAATGATGTGGAAGGCCAAACCTGAGGGGCTGGACTGCAGCAGAACACAGTCAATGAAAAAAAGAATCTCAATCATTGGGGAGAGATCACCTCGGTGGATGGCCTTTCGCATTGCAATCCATTAGGAAGAGGAAATAAAGTGATGGAGGCCATCCCCTGCTCAGCCAGCACATGTGAGGCATGTTCACACACTGTCTCCCTCTCCCCACAAAATGCTCAAGCTTCTAGAATGTTTTTAATCAAGGGATTTAGGGCAGTGTTTTTCAACTTCTAGAATAAAAATGTTACAACCTTGGTCTGAGTGGTGAGGGCCCAAAGATACAGGGAAGGAAGTGGTAGATAACAAATACATTAATACCCTTTATTATGAGTTCATAATATTTTGTTAAATCTGAAATTCAGTTGTCATTTAAACAGAAGAGATTCAAATTCAAGTTATAGAAAAGTTAAAATTTCTAATTAGCAATATTTAAAGCAAGGAATTTTATACTTTATCATTTTAACTGTTAAGGGAAAAAAGTAATTTGAGTGTGATTGTTTTTCTTAAAGTTGAAGATCAGTATCCAGAATGTTTGGAGTTATCACTGGTCATGAACTATATTCCACGTGGAACCATATCTGAGTTTGTTTTGAAGTACCACATGTTCAAATCACTGAATTAGACTTTTTAAGAGACATAAAGTGTTATATTTCTGTAAGAGGTGCTTTCCAAACCCAAATCTAAAAATTTATCATTTCTGTTCCTTAAAGTATCATTTTAATTTACAACTTATTTTCCCTTATTTGGCAATTTGGATACAGTGTCTGAAGCAGTAAATGGATTTAACCCCAATCTAATTTTTCTGTAAGAAGTAGGAGAGAGTCTAAGAATGACATACAAACCTGTCAAACCTGTTAAAACGAGCTAGACTTTCACACTTTCACCGGTGGAAAATGCTGTTCCTTCATGTCAACTGAAGGTAACTTTGATCACATTTTAGTACATGCCTTAGGGTGGCAAAGGGCAGTTTTTGCAAGGCACAGTTTACTTGAGGGCCTTCCAATCCTTGGGCTAAATCAGAGAGAGAGGGGAGAGGGAGTGTGTGCGTGCATGCATGTGCTTTGTTTTGGAGAGAAGTGGGAGGCAAGGAGGAAAGAGAAGGACTGTAATGATGTAGTGACCGCCTTGGTCCTGGGCTAGGCAGAGGAAGTCTGTGCATGTGGATGTGTCTTAGTTGGGTACAACACTGAAAACATGAAGTGGTCATTTTCCAACCCAAGAACTGTAAGGGGTGGTAGTGGCTGCAGCAGCCAGGCCAGTGGTAGGGTCTAGAGTGGCCCCACCTGGACATACAGCATGTGGTTGCATTCCAGTCCAGGGGGACCGAGGGTAGAGCCAGGCCCAATGCCCTTGTGGGAGCCAGGAGTGAAAAGTGGGCAGAGCCTGAGGCAGTGGGAGGAAACCTGCCCCTGGAGGGCTTGATGCTCCTTACTCAGTGTTTCAGCCCAGGAGAAAAACCGCAAATACTTGCCTTGTGAGCCAAACCCTAGCTTAACAAGGATCAGCTAGTTAACATGTGAAAAGTTGTCCCAAATGGAAACTGGATAAACAGGTCTGGCCTGATAAATAGCTAAAAGGTTTCCCAGTCAGGGATGGGGTGAGAGAGGCTTGGACATTCTGGCCCGCAGGTCATTAATTATGCAAATTCTTACTGGGCTCTGGGAGGTTCTCAAGAACTTGGGCCCTGGGAGAGAGGGCCCCTCAGCCAGGCTGGAAGATGAGGCTCTGCCTGAACACTTGAGGAGGGCCTTTGCATACCCCAGGTGAACCTAGTAGAGGCTGAGCCCACCGGAGACGTTCCCAGCAGGCTTGAGTAAAGGTTAGGAAAGTGATTTCTGCATGCAATGTGATGTAGGCAGAAATGGGCAATTCGAAGGTCAAATGGGGCTCTCATTTACTAATGACTGTGGGCAACTTTCTGGTCCTTCCAGCCTCAGCCGCTTCCCTGTGTAAACTGGTGGAGCTGATAAGTTCCTGGAAGGATTATGAGGATTAACTGGAAAAATGTATGTAAAATGCCTTGTTGTACCTAGAAAAGAATTGTGCTCATATTTTTCTTCCCTGTTCTATCATTAAACTGTTCCCCCATCAATGCCCCAAAATCTTATCTGCTTATTTTTCTCTAAGAACTGGGTTCAAAATATGGTTTCAAACACTGAAGAATCAGAAGTTTGAGCTTTGAATCCTGGAGTTTCCCTAATTAGCTGTGTGACCTTGAGCCAATCCTACAGTCTTGGTATCCCATGAAATGGGAGGATTCTCCAGGTGATGGCTTAGGTACCCCCACCCCCCGCCCCACTCTGAGCTTCTTTCCGAACACTCAGCAGTAGGACAGGAAGATCTGAAAGCAAGGGGTCTGCTTCATGTAGCATGATAAACACTCTTTGGACCGGAGTCTGAACACTTATAGATATCAGGGAGGTTCACATTGCTCCAGTTCATACTCGCGCGTGGATCCTAGAATTGGGCCATGAGGTAATGCCGAGAGTATGTGAACTGTTATAAATTAATACACTGATCTACTCTGCAGTGAGGTTCTTTCGGCTCTGATTTCTCCTTTTATGGTGTCTTTAGAGACAGGCAGGAGGTTAGGAGGTAGTTGACAGAGGAGTTACAAACACGTGTATTCACTGCATCAGGGCTGGAGCTTAGCTTTTGTTTTTGAGTTAGTTCTGTTGTTTGGGCTTGGTTAATCTGTGCCCAAACACTGAGATTATTAGAAGGAAAAGACACCCTTAACTGGCCTCTTGCAGCAACAGACACTTGGTGGGAGGTAAGAGAAGGGGGAAATGGGACAAGGGAGAAAAGACCTTCCAACTCTACCCAACCGAGTGGACCTATGAAAGACTGAAATCTCCAGTTTAATGTAGCCAGAACTGAGGTCAGGGTCTGGCCATTGTCTGGAAACCAGAGTTGGAGTTCTGGGGCTGTCAGTGAAGACCTGTCTGTCCTAAAGGTCACCTCTGTTTCTATAGAAACAGGTGCCTGAGTGACCAGTGTTTACGAGTTAAAAGCAGGCTCCTTGCAGGACATCACACTGTGTCTTGCTCCAGCCACTGGCCATCTCTGCGGCCTCGCCTCTTCTCAGGACATTTTGTCCTGACCTCACCTACCCTGAGATCTTTTTGTTAGCTTTGTGTTCTGCCCTTAAGATATCACTTAAGAACTCCCTCTGGGTTCTTCATAGCATTTTAGCATTCTTAGTATGTTTTATCTCCATTAAACTTTTTCAGTGTTCTATGCTGAGTTTTTTGTATTTTTTGTCTCTGTCTACCCAAACTGTTACTTCTGCCTGAGCCTCCCTTTTATTGATTTTTTTAATCCAGAAATACTCCTACTCATCCTTCCAAACCCCCAAGTTTAATGACTCAGGAAATCTTTGCCGACCCTCTCAGATATTTAATTATCCCCTCCCCCAACCGTCACCTCTGTACTTTGCACAAATGTCCCATGAAGCTGATCACAGTGCATTACTTTATATTTTTTTACTTGCCTTGTCACTCTCTAACAATATAACCTCATTAAAAATGAGAGCCGTACATTATCTATTATCGATCAGGTATGGGGTGTAGTGTTTAAGAGATGGGTTGCCTGCATTAAAATCCCAGCACTACCTAGTATGGTAGGAACTTCTCTGTCATAACTTGAGATAAGTTCTTAATTGCCCTGTGCCTCAGTTTCCTAATCTCTAAAATTGGAATAATAAAAGTAACTACCTCATAGGGATGTTATGAGGATTAAATGGTAAATATGTGTAAAGCAGATAAGTGCTCAGTAAGTTTTAACTTTTTTTTTTTTGAGATGGAGTCTTACTCTGTCACCCAGGCTAGAGTGCAGTGGCGCGATCTCCGCTCACTGCAACCTCTGCCTCCTGGGTTCAAGGAATTCTCCTGCCTCAGCCTCCCAAGTAGCTGAAATTACAGTCGCGTGCCACCATGCCCGGCTAATTTTTGTATTTTTAGTAGAGACAGGCTTTCGTCATGTTGTCCAGGCTGGTCTTGAACTCCTGACCTCAGGTGATCCGCCCACCTTGCCCTCCCAAAGAGTTGGGAGTACAGACATGAGCCACTGCACCTGGCCAAGTCTTAGTTATTCTTGATGTTGATCCGAATTTCTAGGCTTCATTATTGCATTTGGACCTTAACACTTAATCAGTAGATGTTTGCAGGTTGGCTTTGTACTGTGTGTCTCCCTGACTGGACCGTGTGCTTGCTGAGGCAGTGTGCGGGTACACCTGCTCCTTGGCATATGCCTTGGCTTCACATCTTGCCAGGATGGGTCTCTCGTCCCCATTTCATAGATGAGGAACCCAAGGCTCAGAGAGGTTGAAGGACTTGCTGAAGGTCACTTTAAAGACCAGAATATGGTAGAAGTCCTGGAACTCTGAATGGGAGCTTAGACCCGGTGCTTCCAAAATGCCATCCACCCTGTAGCTTTAAGGCTCTGGACCCTGAAACCAAATCCATGAGGGATGAGCTGGAAGAGCCAGGCCGTGTGACCCATTTTCCGCTGTGCTGGGAGCTTGCGCACCCTCTGGAGCTTCCTTGCTGTGACTGCCTTCCACTTCCTAGGCTGTCTTTTGTAGGTCCATGTTTGGGCCTTAATGAGCATCCAGAGACTTTTTTTTTTTTTTTTTTTTGCGACACAGTTTTACTCTGTCACCCAGCCTGGAGTGCAATGGTGCAATCTCTGCTTGCTGCAACCTCTGCCTGCTGGGTTCAAGCAATTCTCCTGCCTCAACCTCCTGAGTAGCTGAGATTACAGGTGCCCACCACCACACCTGGCTAATATTTTTAGTAGAGACAGAGTTTCGTCATGTTGACCAGGGTAGTCTTGAACTCTTGAGCTCAGGTGGTCCACCCACCTCTGCCTCCCAAAGTCCTAGGATTACAGGCGTGAGCCACCGTGCCCAGCCCCAGAGATTATTTTCATAAGCTTTCCCTGGGAGTTCACTTATGAAAACGGGTTGGGAGGGTCTACACTGGTCCCTACAGTTCCTGGGGTAGATGTGCAGGTAATGGTCTCCCCATTGTTTCCCAGTGTCTTGCATTTCCTCTCTCTCCCATTTCTTTTTTCTTTTGTTGCCTTGCCTTTTCTTTTCTATTGTCTCTTCTGTCTTCCCTCTCTCTCCCTTTTTTTTTTCCTTTTAATTACATTTATTTTAATGCTGAATTTACTCCCGTGCCATAAGTTTTTGTTTCTTCAGTTTCTTCTGGGATATCTTTTTCTTCTGGGCAACCTCCTCTTCTGGTTTAGGAACAATCTGTTCCTTTTCCGTAAGGATCATCTCAATGTGGCAGGGAGAGCTCATGTATGGGTTAATCCGACCATGAGCTCTGTAGGTCCGGCGGTGCATCTTAGGTGCTTTGTTCACTTGGATATGCTCAATGACCAGAGAATCTACATCTAAACCCTTAAGTTCAGCATTACTCTCTGCGTTTTTAAGCATGTGCAGCAAGAATTCAGCACTCTTTTTGGGCCACCGACCTTGTGTCCAGCCCCACTGCTTGGCCTGCGCACACCTGCCAACTCCACCGTTGTAATGTCGGAATGGTACACACTGTTTCTGTAAAGTGACATCTTTCAGATACTTCGTGGCTTTTCGTATATGCATACCCTTGATGGCCTGAGCAGTTTCACGAGTGTTCTTAAAGTGAACACGAAGATTGGAACCTCTTGATTTGCCTGATTTCGTGGGGTTCTCCGGGTCAAGTGAATAGCGAACCATTTTCACAGATTACCTCAGGCTGCTTAGGAAAAGAGCTCTCTCCCTTTTCTTCCTTTTTTCTCCTACCTCCCTCACAACCCTCTTTTCTTCCTTCCTTCCTTTCCTTTCATTTGGTTTATTTCCACCTACTAGGTTTTTATTATATTTCATCTAGAATAATGACCTTAATGCTCTAACGATTTTTTTTTCTAAAAGTAGCTTGTGTTCAACATAAAGTATTCAAACAATCCAATTGAAAGCCAAGAAGACAGTAAAAAATTACTCCATATCCTACCACAGAGGATTAACTCTTGTTAACAGTAGATGAGGATAGTCACAGCTGTCTGTAACAGGAGATGGGGAGGGGTAGAATAAGTGGATTGATGGGTGGACATGCAGATGCAGAAACTGATACATCCTTTGATTGACTGAAACGCTTCTTCATAAAAAAAAAAGGTGGGGGACAGTAGGTGTTATTTAATAACATCTACTAAATCCCATTTATTTCCTGGAGTTTAAAAATAACATAGCTGATGAGGTTTTAAAATACGCTTTGGGAACCTGGAACAGAGAGAGTTTGTGTTACAGAGACTGCCACGGGGAGTGCACAGTACTCACGGTGCACATGATGCGTAGAAGAAAGAAATGGGGGCTTGTGCTGGGCTTGCACTCTTGGTCCTCTGCCTGCAGGCACTTGGAGATCCTGAAGTCAGAGGACAGCCTGAAAACAGGAGAGAAGAAACAACAGGGGTGCAGTCTCAGCATGGGAGTCCCTCCCTTCTCTGACCCCCACCTTGAGCTGATCGCCATGCAGGTTAATAGCTTTCACTCCGGGTTTCCTTGCCTTCCCCCTGCCCACCCCCAACTTCTGCCCCTGCCCTGGTGTGCCCTGGCAGGCGCAGACCCTGCAGTGGCTGCACAGTGGCCCTTGGGGACATTCCGTGGCTACAGCCACTTTGGCTACTCTGACATGTTCGTCCTTGTTCTCCAGGCAGCCGTGTTGGAGGGGATCCCACCTCAGCCATGGACGGTGCCTGAAGCGGCCCTCCCCACCCCACAGCAGCTGATGGGGGTCCTTGGATACCAACTAGATGTCTTCTTTCTTGTGGCAAATTCTCTTTTGAGGCTGTGTGTGCCAGGCACACCCAGATCCTCAGAGACAGTCCACAAGTGTTGAGCTTCAGAAGGTCTTTGAGTTCCGTTTGTGCTCGAGTTTTTCTGTTCTCTTCCTCCCGACTGGCCCATCTTGCATATAGAAGGGTCTTAAGAGACAGCCTTTGCCATATGCTAAAAGGTTCCATTTTACCCATATGCCAGAGCCTTTGTGCTTACTGGGCATGTATTATCAGAGCTGGGAGGGAAAATTATTTCTTCTCTGGACAAACAAAGTCCACCCCTAAATGATCTGCCTTGACTAAGCCAGTGGCTCATGCCTGTAATCCCAACATTTTGGGAGGCAGAGGTGGAGGCTCTCTTAAGGCCAGAAGTTCAAGACCAGCCTGCATAATATAGCGAGACCCTATCTCTAGTAGGTAGGTAGGTAGATAGATGGATATATTAGATATAAAGAGAGATAGATGGATATGTTAGATGAATTAGATAGATTAGATAGACCCTGTCTCTACTGATTGATTGATAAATAATAAATAGCCTGCCTTGCCCGCTGTATTAGTTTCCAGGGTATGCCATGACAGATGACTGTAAAGTTAGTGGTTTAAAACAACAAAAATTATTTTCTAACCATCTCAGAGGGGAAAAGTCCAAAGTCAAGGTGTCATCAGGGTTGGCTTCGTCTGGAGTCTCTGAGGGTGAATCCTCACTTTCCTCTTCCAGCTTTTGGTGGCACCCAGCAATCACTGGCCTTCCTTGACTTTTAGGCACATTGCTCAAGCCTCTGTCTTTGTCTTCAAGTGACCTTCTGCTCTGTGTGTTTCTGTGACTGAAAATCCCTGTGCTTTCTCTTATAAGGACACCTGTCACTGGATTTAGGGCCATCCTAAATCTAGGATAATCTCATCTCAGGATTTTTTTTTTTTTTTTTTGAGATAGGGTGTTGCTCTGTTACCCAGGTTGGAGTGCAGCCGCAAAATGGCTCACTGCAGCCTCAGCCTCCCAGGCTCAGATGATCGTCCTACCTCAGCGTCCTGAGCAGCTGGAACTACAGGCATGCACCACCACACCCAGCTAACTTTTTGTATTTTGTGTAGAGACTGGGTCTCACCGTGTCGCCTGGGCTGGTCTTAAACTCCTGGGCTCAAGCAATCAGCCCACCTCACCCTCCCAAAGTGATGGGGGTGGGGTGGGGGTGGGGGTTACAGGCGTGAGCCACTGCACCCAGCCAGGATTCTTTTTTTTTTTTTTTTTTGAGACAGAGTCTCGCTCTGTCGCCCAGGCTGGAGTGCAGTGGCGCGATCTCTGCTCACTGCAAGCTCCGCCTCCCAGGTTCACGCCATTCTCCTGCCTCAGCCTCCCGAGTAGCTGGGACTACAGGTGCCCGCCACCACGCCCGACTAAATTTTGTTTTTGTATTTTTAATAGAGACGGGGTTTCACCGTGTTAGTCAGTATGGTCTCGATCTCCTGACCTCGTGATCCACCCGCCTCGGCCCCCCAAAGTACTGGGATTACAGGCGTGAGCCACTGTGCCCAGCCCAGCCAGGATTCTTAATAACATCTGTGAAGATTCTATTTCCAAATAAGGTGATATGTGCAGATTCCAGGGTCAGGACTTGGGCATATTTGGGAGAAGGGAGGGCACCATTCAGCTCACCACTTCCACCTTATGGAGCATTGACGACCTCTTCAAACATGTTTCACGCCTCAGGGAGCATACATGCAGGGGGCTGGCTGGGTGCCTGTTCCACAGACCTCACATCCTTTATCCTTTATGTCCTCCACAGTACTCAGCACTGTGCCGTAAGCATATCTTTGTTTCATGCCAAACATGCTAATTTAGGAAAAATAATAAATTGGGTGAAAATTTCTCTGGGCTCCGGGTAGGGGCATTCTTTCATAATCAGAAAAAGAAATGTAGAAGCACCAAATTGTATCATGAGCATTCACAAAGATTTCTTGTGCCTACTTCCACGGATGTACAAGGTCTACTCAACAAATGTGGCCTTTGCCTGCCAGCATCTTTGGGGCCGTGGGAAGGATTTTGAAAATGGTGTACTCTCCATGTCTGTGTCTCAGGTCCAGATCGTGAGATCTGCCAAGGTGGGAGATGCCCTTTAGATATGATGACAGAAAAGTGAGCCAAGAATTCTGAGTATGTGAGTGGTCATGTGGGAGATGGGTAGCAAGCAGTGTGTGGGTTAGAGGGGGCGAAAGAGTCACAGAGAAAATCGGGAGACAAAGTCCAAAAGGAAACTGTTCTCAGAGTTCTTCATCTTTATCCTTGATCCTTTCTTAGTGTAGCCTGGGTCTGTGATATTGGCTGTAATTATATATGTGATTTCTCATTTCTGTATGGTATGTTTTTGTTCTGTTTCAGTATGCAAGTGGCGGGGGGTTGGGGGGGTGGGTAGGGGGCAAAGGGAAGGATTGATTGTGAATAAGGAGGAGTTGTATACTTGTGGCCTGCCAGATAGAAAGGGCTTTTCAAGTGCCAGCAGCTCCCATCCTGGGCCAGAGGGTATGTAGGAGGGAGTCTGATACAGGGGCAAGGTAGGGCCAAAGGCACCCCGGGCTGCCTGTGAGAGGAGAGTGCTGACCTCTGTGATTGGCCCTTTCTTCAAACGGAGCTGGTGCCGTCTGAAAGCAAATTAAGATTTTTTTTAACTTAAACCAATTGGATTTGGTAATAAATCACACATAACGAGAAATCTGGAGGTAGCCAGTCTGAGGGCTTGCTAATTTAGCAGCTCAACAATGGCAGATCTCTGGGGTGGCTTCTCTGAGTTTTTAGTGGCTTTTCCCTATTTGCAAAATAATTGTGACAGGTCCAGGCCTCAGCTTTGATGGGTGAATGTCTATGTCAGGTGGAAAGGAAGCACTTTTCCTTTAGGCAGTTGTTGCTAGAGAAGAACATCTTTCTAAGATGCCCCTAAAGACATTCCGTTAGAGTGCCTTCGCCAGAATAAGTGAACATAATTCTTTGGGTGTTTTGTTTTTTTTTTAATTATTTTACTTTGAAACAGTCTCAAACTTATATGGTAGTTAAAGCCCTGTACGAAGAGTTCTTTTGTTTTCGGACTTACTTGAGAGTAAGTTGCCAATGTGATACATTGCCACTCCCCCAGGTTTCCTGTAAACAAAAAAATTCTCATACATAACCACAAAGCAACCATCAGAATCAGGACATTCATATTGATATATTGCTACCACCCAGTCCCCAAACATTCAAGTTTCACCAGTTGTCCTGAGTGTCCCAATAATGTCCTTAGAGTGGAAGTATCTGATTCAGAATCACACGCTGTATTTAGTTGTCGCATCTCTGGTCTCCTTCAGCCTGGAAGTATTTCTTATTCTCTTGTTGACTTTCGTGACATGATCTTGACATGTTTGAAGAATATAGACCATTATTAGGTAGCATGGCCCTCAGTTTGGGTTTGTGCAGTGTTTCCTCATGATTAGATTCAGTCGATGAATTTTTGGCAGGAAAATAACAGAAGTGATGGGGTATTCTTATTGTATCCTGTTAGGTGATACAGCTTGTCCATTTGCTCCTTTATTCAGCCATTTATTGGTGTCAGCATGGACACATGGATTTCCCTTCTACTCAATGGGTTTTGACCTGTTACCATTATTATTTGCTTTGAAGCTCTAATTGCCCCGTATTTGGCTAGTGAGAGCCACTTTGGCCTGGCTTCAGTGTCTTTTTTGACACATCTCCATCACTCTTTGAGCACTTCTTCACTTTCAGGTATGACACGATGTTTCAAGCTTGTATTTTACCAGTCCTAGCCCTGGAATCAGCCATTTTTCCAAGGAGCCCTCGTCCATTTTTTTTGGAGAATAGTATTTACAAGCCAAAATCTGGACAATAAATGTACCTGTTGCTCTTGTGGTGTTGCTGCTCCTAGACCCTTGCAGTCAAACAGAGCTGGGCAATGCGTCTTATGTATGTAAGCACATATTTATTATGTGTGTATTTCTGTATTCATCTGTATATTAAAAATTGTCAGTTCACACACATCTCAAATTCCGAATAACATCATAAGTTTCATTTTCATTTTCTTTTTTTTTTTTTTTTTTTTTTTGAGACGGAGTCTCACTCTGTTGCCCAGGTTGGAGTGCAATGGTGTGATCTCGGCTCACCGCAGCCTCCGCCTCCTGGGTTCAAGCAATTCTCCTGCCTCCGCTTCCTGAGTAGCTGAGATTACAGGCGCGTGCCACCACACCTGGCTAATTTTTGTATTTTTAGTAGAGACAGGGTTTCACCATGCTGGCCAGGCTGGTCTCGAACTCCCGACCTCAGGCGATCTGCCCGCCTCGGTGTCCCAAAGTGCTGGGATTACAGGTGTGAGCCACCGTGCCCGGCTCATTCTCATTTTCTCTCTTTCTGCAGTTGTAACTCTCTTCTCTGGCCATGAGAAATCTAGGTTCCATTATCTTTTATATTTTTACTGTGTACTCCGTCACCCTGAATGTAATCAATTTCACATCACCACTGTCCCCCTGCCCTATGTAGATGCCCAGTTAGCACCATGTCACCCTCCCTCATATGTGGATGCCATCTCCCTGCCACTAGGGCTCTGACACCTTGCCCTGGGCCACTGCCAGATGGACATCTCCCTTGCATGGCTGCTGAACACACACTTGTAAAGGCAAGGAGTTTGACTTTATCAAGGTCTCTACTTTCTATCTATATACATTTATTCATTCAAGCATTTCTGCCTTACTTGACTGATAACTTTGGTGTCCCATCGATTACCCTTCTTTTGGCGGGGATCCTCCTGGTCCTCTTTAGACTTGCAGGTACAGGGGCTGCCATGGGGTTTTTATATACCTGTGCAGTCCAATGTGCTAGCCAGTAGTCCCATATCAAAATTTAAAATTCAGTTTCTCACTTGTGCTAGCTGTGTTTTTAGTGCTGAATAGCCGCATATGACTAGTGGCTACCATGTTGGACAGTGTAGATATAGAACATTTCCATCATCACAGAAAGTTCTCTTGTTCTCCTAACTTAACATTGATCCTTCTCTGACTTCAACTTAATTTTTCAGTGTTCAGATGATCAGCCGGACCACCCAAACACTCAGCAGTCCTTCATGCTAACTAGCCCGTCTCCATACCCACATAATAACAATTTCAGTAATCTTACCCTCTGCATACTCATTCCCAATACCCATGGGTCTATCCCTGTTGCCCCAGACCATCCATAATACATGATCTGCAAAGGGAACAGAGTGTTTGAAACTGAGACTATTTTGTAAAATCTTGGACATGTAGTTGCGATAATATAAAATGAGAGTAGTTAAAATCTTGCTTTTCTGAGCTTTTGAAATGCTTGTTTTCAGGTCATCCCTGGGAATCTCAGTTCCAGGTTGTCTTTTCGGCTCCTCAATACCCAACCCTTTTGTAGAGCCTCCTCCTCCAGACCAGTGCTTTTCAAACTTTAATGTGCGGAAGAACCACTGAAAACTGTTGTTAGAATGCAGGTTCTGATTCAGTAGGTCCACATGAACCTGCGATTCTGCATTTTAATGAACCTCAATTGATGCTGTTGTTGCTGCTCTGAGGACCATGCCAACAGGCCCCGAATGTCTGCCATATGGAAGCTCAGAATTGTCAACACTCCCTCTGCTTTTCCTTTGTCTTCCCTCAGAACACCTGCTCACCATGACCTGTACATCCAGGTGAGTGTTGGTTTTCAACAGAGATACCTTGCGAGTCTGTGCTCTGGCAATGCCACCACTCCAGAAAACAGCTCAGAGCTTAGCTCTTAGTTGTGTTCAGAGCCCGATTGAGCTAAAGAAGGGACAACTCTCTGTTTTATAGTCACACCTAATCTAATGGCTGTTGTAGCCTTTGATTAAAACTTATGCTTCCCAATACAAATTGTTGCTCCAGATTTGGTCCCAAAGGATACGACTGTTAGCAAAAACCAAATTTACCTGCTAAAGGATGAGCTATTTAAAAGGAATGTGTCACTTGCTGTGTAACTGCATTCCAACAAGGAGTTACATAAATGTTTTGAGACAGCAGCATCTTTGGAGTAAGTGCCAAGCCTCCAGAGGAACCCTGGTAAAGGGAAGCAGTGGTCTCATTTGGATATGCAGGTTCTTGCATTTTTGTTATGAAATCTACTCTCCTTTGAAGTTACCTCTTGTATTGTAATCTCTATAGTAATCCATTCTGTATTTCAGACATAAATTCTCTTTTTCTGGGCCATCCTTCCTATCTGTGTTCACAAGTCCATGCCATCTGCCAACATTTTGCCACGTGGAGTGGTAGGAAAACCAGGACAGGAGCAAGCTGACCCAGCTTCAAATCCCATTTCAATTGTTAGCAGTGAGATCATAGGCAATTTCTTAACTTCTCTGACCTTCAGTATTCTAATTAAAAACAAGGCTACTCTGAGTTACAGGGATTAAAGTAGATATGTTGTATACAAAATGTAAATTGGATACAGAAGTGGCCAGCCCAGAAAAGCACCTAAAATTGTTGTTTCCCTTTCTTATTTTTTTCTCTTTAGTATTAATTACTTCTTTGCTTAATTCATTCCTTCTTCATTCACATGCGTACATTTGCACAATGTAGAAAACAAAGATGACACGAGCCTGTTCACTTCTCCACATGCCTGTCCATCTCCCCCTGCCCCTATCAACATGTCTTGAAGGTGTGGCCACTGGCCGTTTGCATCACCTTTCTGTCTACGTAGCACCTGTCAGTGACCCCTGACCCCAGAGCACCTGCCCTTAGCCTTGAGAAGCCTGTATTTTCCCTGCTGGGCTCACCTCTGGGAGGTAGCATTCCCATTGTCTCTTCACTGGATGGCACTCTCACAGGTTAAAAGTGGGCCACACCCAGCAGTAGCCAAAGACCACTGTAGGAAGAACAAGATTGCTGAGTTAGTTTTTGATTTTCTTTTGCTTTCACATGTTTTGGAGAAATGGGATGAGGCTGCATGTGCTTAGGTTTGAGTTTGGGATGGGATAGGGGTCCTTACTCTTAGAGGCAGCAGGGGTTTGTAAGGGTAACAGAGATTCAGTGTGGGCCCAGGGAAGGGGGAGCTGAAACACAGCTGGTCTCAGGAAGGAGGTGGAGGGCGAAAGGGAAAGACGGGGATGGTCCATTTCAGCAGAAGCAAAGGTTTCCAGTCCATTAATTTTAACGTAATGCAAATCGGTTTATGGAAGTGCTGACATGCCGTTATTTAAAAAGCATGAGTAGCATGATAATTAAATCTCCATCTATATTTTATTCTAGCACATTTATAGTGTATCCTTGCCCAGCTGGGGAGATAGATTTCCAGCCTTATAATAATTATATAAACTGCAAATTACTAAAAAAAAAAAAAAAAAAAATGAACATTGATGCCAAAAACAAGGTGGGATATATTAATGTAAACTTCATTAAGTTGAACTCAGCTTTGTCCTTGAGTTTGACCACATTTACTCACTAAAAATATCTCAAAGTTATGCTTTTCAGCATATAACAAGAAAGGATATGGTGTCTGTTTAATGTTCGTTTTTGGCACCTTCACTTTGAAGCAGACATTCTTGGTGGGGAGCCCTAGAATTTAGTCATTCCCTGCCAAGCAGAGAAGTGGAACAGGAATGAACCCTTTACTGGGAATCAGGACCCCTGAGTTCTGCACCTGGGGCTGCCAGTGACCGCTTAAGTGACCTCCCCTCTGGCTCTCTGGCACATAAGGAACCAAGGTGTTGCAACTCCTAAAAGTGACTATTTTTTGACTTGAATTTTTATTTTTCTTCTTCATTGCTTAAAATAAAAATCTCCCAACATAGCCCTTTACAAAACTCTGAAGTTTAGTTTCCTTAATTTGAAAGAAATTCAGCTAGAAAGAATGGCCAACAAGCTTGAGCTGTCCATGGAAGTTTAGGAGGATGGTGCAGGGATGAGGAGGGGAGGTGAGCTGAGGCCTTGGGGGAGGGCACATGGAAAAATAACAGAGCTGGGAACAAGGATGTGCCATTACCAGATTCAGGGCGTCTCCTGTGTGCAAGTGTATCATTCCAGGCAAACCACGTGGCCACACTTTTGTATTAAGCTTGTTGGTAACTCTCCTAAGAAACCCCACTGGCGGTGGCTGTTTTATTACCTTTAAGCTGACCTGATACATGAGACCACTCAGGTCCCTGTGTTCAAGGTGCATAGTCAGACAAGTTTGTCACCACGCTGTGGTGGGAACAGCTTTGTACCGGTTGGGGTACCGATGACCTCTGCTTGGGAAGTGCTTTCTAAGGCCAGCTGTGGTCCTGGGGTATCAGGTCAATGGCTGGGGAACTGCCCTGAGGAGTAGCAGAAGTCCATCTGCATTCTGTGGGAAAACAGCCTCTGCAGCACAATTGAACGTTGCATGGTAAATCAATCACAGGCCATGAGCACTGCAAGAGGTTTTAGAGATCATCTGGTGCAAGCCTGTCTTTTATACAGCAGAAGCCCAAACCTAGCTAGTGAGGAGCAGGACCAATCTGATACCTGGTGCTGAGCTGAGCTTTCTGCATTTCCCACCATAATACATCATATATCATGATTGCAAAGGGAAAAGAAAAATCCCTTCTTTAGGGAAACTATACATACATAAAACAGACATGTACTATAGACCCTTAACCAACATTGCTTCTGTTGATTGATTTTACTCTGGTTTTTCCTCTCAAATTATGGATTTCATCAGGCCTTCCACCTTGCTGCATCTCCTAGCCATCTGCTCTTGAGTTTCTCCTGGTACACAAACTAAGCAAATCTTTTATAACTTCAAAATATCAAAATGCTTCTCACATGTGCTCTTTGCTCACATCATCTGTGGCAAGGCTTACAAGCTCTAGGACACAGCGATCTCCAATGTCTTATTGAGACTGTCACCAGTGAGTGGAGATGGTGTTCGCGTGGCCTCTCTGCTGGGCTGGTGATGGTTCTCTATGGCCAGATTGGACTTGAAAACAACATGGAAACAAGTTTCCTTTCTGCAACACTTCTCCCAACTTGGTCCATGCCTTTGCTTTTTATCTCCCTACTCCCTTCCAGGGGCCATATAGATTCAGAAGTCAATTACCAAATAATGGTAATGTGTTTACCCTTCTCTGCATTTAGGAAACCCACTACCTTCTGTCATTTGGCTTTACCATGCACACTTTGCCTGCCCTGGTTCTTTTCAACACTCCTTGATACACTTGTGTAAAAGCCCCTCTGAAGAACCATGTCAACCCTGTACTCTCACATCTGTCCTTTTTGGCTTCCAAAGTGAGCCTTTTAATTAAACAAAAGAAAAGACTGCCATGTCCATTTATTTTTGGCAGATTCGTGATTCCATCAGAGTTGATGCTTTCCTGTCCTCTTTGTCCTCTTTGTCTTTTAACATCCTTTCCCAACCAGGAACATGCTGAATGTTCATTTGGAAAGACTGAAGCTTCCAGGACCGTCACTTCTGGTGTCACTATTACGTGCAGCCCTCAGCCAGGTTAAGGTTTGATGATGGATCCACAAAGCAAACTTCTGGCTGAAGACACATGGCCGGAGTTTATCCAAAGCCCTGACGGTTGCCAGCCATTCTTCCTGAGAAGCAGACATGTTTGTTTCCCTTGCCAACAACTTTGTATGGAGATAAATTACAGGATGTTTCCCACGGTCATGGCCCCATAACCAAGTAGCAGGCATTACTGTGTATGCTGGAGCTGTTATGAGTGGAGTTAAAAAGTATGGGTCTTTAAAAACCAGGTAAATTTTACTAAAGCTTATAGACACCCTAGGACTTAGAAAGGATTGGCTGATATAGTTGAGTTCATTTCAAATTTTAATTTTATTGAGAGCCTATGTGGTCAGTTAGGGATACAAATTTTGGACATACAGGTCCCGTTCTCAAAGAGCTCAGAGATACCAGGGGAAAAGAAATGAATAATTGTAACACAGTGTCCTGTGTGCTATGATTGAGGCTTATCCATATTGCTTTTATGAGCCCTGATGAAAGAAAAATGAATTCCAGCCAGAGTATTGGGAGGGGATAGAGGAAAGCTTAACATTTAAGCTGAGTCCTAATGGAATTGTCCATAGGGACGGGACATGGGTGGAAGGACATTCTAGGAGAAGGGAGCATCGTGAGCAATGGCTCACAAGCCCAAACGTTCTGGGAAATGCTGCGTCATCCTTGAGACTGGTCCAGAGGTTGGGTAGGTGGGACGATTGGGAGAGGAGGCTATAAAGGCTTTCCAAGGACCTTGCAGGCGATAACTCACATTCATTCAACACTATCTCATGTACCAGACACTTTTCTGAGCACTCTATACATGAGGCTTCATGTAGTGATCATGCATCCCAGTCAGACTCTTCTGACATCAACAGACATTGACACATGAAGCAGAAGGAGTGCGTCTACACTTTAAGCCTACTTTATTTTCATTCAGGGATGTCACTCCGAGAACAGCAGTGTGGGATGAGGAACATAAAATCTGTATGTGATACAACATCTTTAGCTGGTTTGGGCCAAGTGTAATTGTTTGATAAACAAGGCATGTGGATAAAAATTGTGTCCACTTTTTATTAGCAAACACTTAATCTGATTGCAAAAGAAACCATCATGTGATTCAGCTTTTTCACAGTTTGCTTTACTAGAGCAAGTCAGAGCAGATGAGAAAGAACACCTAAACTGTGGTTTCCTTTAAAGTACTTCAAAGGTGTTTTCTGAGTCTTTATAGGATAAGTTCTTACATCTGAGGTCCCTGACCCAGAAGGAGTCATTGATGAGCTTCCAGGGATCCAGGACACCTTTTATATTGTATACAAAATGTTTTCTCTGTGAACACATTCCCATGTGCAGCTTTTCTAGAGAAGGCCCATGCTTTTATACAATTCTAAACAGAGTCTGTTAGCCCAAAGAAAGAGGAGCCAGGATTTGTAGAATGCACTGTCCCGACTATTTCAATGCCGGGATGATAAAATCCCAGCTTCTTTGCATGGGAAGCATGGACTTAAGAATCAGACTTGGTGTTCAAATGCTGCCTCTGCCATTTGCTGTTCGTGTGACCTCTGAGCTTTGGTTCCCTCCTCTCTAAGTGTGAGAAGTAATATGGGAACAGATAAGGTTATTACACGTATGAGTAAAGAGAGGAGATGAGATTGCCAGGTGATTGAGGAAGGAAGACACTGAAGATAGAACCCTGAGGAACATCAGAATTCCAGGGGCTGTCTGGAAAAGGAGCCACCTGGGTGTGGTAGCTCATGCCCATAATCCCAGCTACCCAGGAGGCCGGGGTGGGAGGATTGCTTGAGCCCAAGAGTTCCAGACCAGCCTAGGCAACAGTCAGACCTCATCTCTAAAAGAGGTTTAAAAATTTAGCCAGATGTGGTGGCATTTACCTGTAGTCCCTGCTATTGGGAAGCTGAGGCAGGAGGATCACTTGAGTCTAGGAGGTTGAGGCTGCAGTGAGCCATGCGCCTGCCACTGTACTCCAGCCTGATCGAGACCTTGTGTTTCTATAAAGAAAAGAAAAGGGAGCTGATAAAGGAGACTGAGGGGAGAGGCCAGGGAGCTCCGAGGAAAACCAGAAGGGAAAAGTGTCCAGAAGAGAGAGTGTTAAGCAGCAGGGATCACAGTGGCTTTAGACTGATTTACTTAGGTAAGGACTGAGAAGCCATCTTTGTTTTTTAATTGTCAACCCAGGTGGAGACTTTTCCAAATTGTGGCCAAGAAAGTATCTCATGACCTAAAAAGACTCTTCCTTTATTAATTTAACATAAATTTGTTGAATGCCCTTTATGTGCCAAACAAAGCCATTGAAGGAGCTTGGTTCATGAGGTCTCACCTTTAAACACTTTGGGCTCTAACATTATTTCTAGCCCTGCAGTTGCTAATAAGCATAGAATTACACCCAATCAGAAAATAGTTAGGCCTTCTATGTGGTTTTGGGCATGCCACATGACCTCTTCAGGTTAAAGCGTGAAGACTAGATTATCCTAAATTTCCTAATCCAGAATAAATCCTACATCACTGTCCAGACAAGATGTGGGCTGAGAGTGGTGGCCAATAAATACCTTCCATATACAAAACTCTGGTTATGCTTAGAACATTTCATCTTGTATGATGTCCCTCCAGTAAACTTCACACTCCTCTTGTTCTTCCTTGAATTTCCTGTGCCTGTACTTACGTTTAGTGAATGGACAAATCTATTGCATCTGAGGATTATCCCTCCTAACCCCAGGGAATCCTGTTGTTTTAACATGGAAGCATTACAAATGTTTCGTAAAACAAAAATAACATTTGCCTAATGCTGACCGTGAGTCAAGCCCTATGTTAGAGTCTTTCGTATCCATCATGTTGTTTGGGCTGAAAGTCTTCTTTCTGGAGATTTCTGTGTACTGCAGATCAAATCATGTTTCAAATAAAGGTTTTCCTGGAGCAAAACCACATGCAATAAAAGACTGATATAACACGCTTATTGCATAAGGTGAGTGTTAATCCTGGCCTGCTTACACCCAGCTCATCAAGGAGCTCTTCTTTATTTGAAATTGGCTTCCAAACCTGATGCCTTTCAGAGCAAGACATGCTTTCCTCCAGCTAGTTTAAAGGCTGTGTGTGTCATGTGTGTGTGCATGCATGTGCATGTGTGTGCGTGCAGACACTTGTTCCAAAGAGAGGCTCCAAAAGAATGTCTCTCAGTTTGTTGCATTTCCCTATCTACCCAGGAAGTTGTTTCTTGTTTTCATGACAAGTGTGGACCTGTAGCCCTGAGTATTATTGGATTGTGTGTTGTTCAGTGGTGCCTAGAGGAAGGATAATGAGGAAAAGAGGACTGTCCCGGGTGCTGGTCAGTTAGGAGAGGAAAGAGGCTGCAGGCTTGGCCCCTGCTCAGCGGAGAACATGTTCTTGAGCAGTCAGGCTGGGTCTGTGGAGAGCTCAATTAATGGATGCAAGGGGCCCAAAGAGCGTGCTGCTGGCTTGACTGCGTTTGAATCAGCAGGACCCAGGGTCAGGGATGAAGTTTTTTCTTCACAGGTAAAAAATTGAGTCTTAGAGTAACTCTTTTCCAAGTGTTCTAATTTAGGTTTTTCTTATTTTATTTTATTTTATTTTTGAGATGGAGTCTCACTTTGTTGCCCAGGCTGGAGGGCAGTGGCACAATCTTGGCTCACTGCAACCTCTGCCGCCCAGGTTTCAGCGATTCTGCTGCCTCAACCTCCTGAGTAGCTGGGACTACAGGCGTGCGTCACCACACCTGGCTAATTTTTGTATTTTTAGTAGAGACAGGGTTTCACCGTGTTGCCCAAACTGGTCTCGAACTCCTGACCCCAAGGGATCTGCCTACCTCAGTATCCCAAAGTGCTGAGCTTACAGGAGTGAGCCACCATGCCTGGCCCTAATTTACTTTCTTCTAATTAGTCTAGTGAGTTTCTTCTCCAGAAGATTCTAATTAGTTTATTCTCCCACTGAGCTGATGGCTACTCTCTGCACACGGTTGCTTCTGGGGCCCGAAGCCCTTCCAGGAGCACCTAGCCTGAGGTGGCCATGCAGTCATTCCCTGTCTAGTCCCCCTGTGCTCTCACACTTATGACACACTTATTACAGTCCAACATGGCAGGAGGGCATTTTCTCTTGTTTATTGCCTGTCTTCAGCCTCAGTGGAATGGAAGCTCTTTGAGGACTGGGACCTACTGACTTCTTTCTCTGCTGTATCCCCAGAGTCTAGAAAAGATACTTGGTACATAGTAGGTGCTAAATCAAAATTTGTTGAATGAGTGAAGAGAAGAATGGAGAGAAGGAAGGAAAGGGAGAAAAGGAGGGGAGGAAAGAGAAAGAGAGAGTGAAGGAAGGCAGGGAGGGAGGAGGCTTTAGCAGGGGTACTAACTGTTTTATTAAGCAAGCTGGGGCTGAGGAGACCAAAATCCTCAGGGCTCATGCAGGGTGCTGCCCTCTCTCATGGTGGTCCATCTATTTCCTGAAGCCCTGCCTTAGGTCAGATGGGGGTCTTTCATAGCTGGGACCTGGATCTGCTGTCTTCTCCCTCCCCCGACTTTCTTCACACTCACAGCCCCTTCTCTACAGGGAATTTTATTCCTAGAGCACCAGTAGCACTGTATGGCAGGAAGACACCAAACGACAGCGCACAGGGTGATCACTGAGTCCAGCCCAAGGGGTAGCAGAGAGAGACCATGGCTGCGCACATCAAACGTGTGAGAGATGACATTGGCCTTGTGGATTTGGGGTAAGAAGAGCATATCAATGTCAGTGCTCCCAGCATTAGTAGGTACACAGGGCATGGCAGCTGCTCCACTTGTGCCCTGTGGCTTGTGGGCCAAGAAAACTACTTCCAGGCATGCCCTAGGTGATGGAGAGAATACAAAGGAATGTCCTTCTGCCTCCTGCCTTCTTGCCTTGCATCCTAGCTGGCCCCACGGCTTGTGATAGTCTTTAGATTTGGTGGCCACTGCATGGACAAGGAGCCTACTGTAGGACATCTGCACTGCAGGGACTCTAAACTCGGTTATGAGAGGGTGTCATTCCCTGCTCTAGACCCCATCGCTGAGGTGTTGCTGAGAGGGCTGGGCTGGGAGGCCTGCGTTTCCTTGGCCACCACTCCTGTCCCTGGTGGGAGCTGACAGGCTCACTCTGCAGTGTGTATTTCAGCAAGTCCACCCAGTGGGACTCCCTGCAGACTGGCTTCTCTAAGAGGGCGTGGGCTGCAGCAGCCAAGAGCCATGGGTGCGGCTGCCAGGTTTCGAGAAAGTATTTGAGGCACTGGGGAGGCTATGCAGAGCCCCACGCCCTTGCTCCCTTTCCCCTCCTGGCTCTCCCGCCTGCAGTTTTAATAGGGGCAGGGCCTGGATTAAGTGTCTTGGGCAGAATCCAGCAACCGGAGTCCTTTCTGGCAGAGGAAGGGGAGTGCACATCAGGATCACATTCCAGATACGGGGACAGAGATTAGGGAAGGATAAAGGAAAGAGAGTGAGAAAATTAAATGTGGCGAGAAATGGATTTTCCCCTTCTGTCTGAAAATAATTGAGTTATATTATTTTGCAAAATAATCTGTTTTGAGGTTTTTCTAGTTTCCCTTCACACTACCAACTGCCTTACTTATTCAAAGAGGGGGAAAAAGCATTCATGCTGGCCTTGTGCTGCGCGATTCCTACCAAATACCTCAAACTTGGGTGAGGTTCTGAGGTGGCTTTGCTGTCTGTGAAGACTGTGGGACTCAGCTATAGACATGAGAACTGGAGGCTCAGCCTCCTTGGGAAGGGGCGGCCAGATCCCATTTTCAGGTCTTAGCTGGCTTCTCCTTCTTTTCCAGACAAGTGCCTGTAGCACGGTCTTCCTGACCTTCCCCTTCTCTGGGCTTTGAAGGGCTTAGTCACATTTGGCTGGAGAGCCTCAAAGGTGTCTCTCTCACCCCAGGGTACGGCATCGGCCTCCCTCCCCTCCTTCCAAGCTGTTCCTTAACATTCTGCCCTGGCCTCTTTTTTTGATGGTTTAATTGAGAGTTCCTATGTCAGGGTTTCCCATATGGCAAAACCTCTGTATAATCAGTCCAGGGACTATTTAGTGACTGTTAGTAACTGTATTTTAATTGTAGAGTGTCATAAGATAGGACTTGGGGCAGCCATCCGACAGAAATCCCATTAGATAGGGTCTCCATTTAGAATCATTTGATAGGACTGACCTGTCCTCATAGTGTGACAGACAGGAACAAGTGTGGGGCTTTCAAGAGCTTCAGCTCTGGGGCCAGATTTCATAAATTCATATTCTGGCTAAGCCACTTATCAACAGCATGGCCTTGGACAAGACTCCACTTCACTGTGCATGGGTTTCCCCATCTGTAAAATGGAGGCAAAAATAGGATTTACCTCTGGTTGCTGTGAGAATTAAATGAAGTAATACACGTAAAGTGCCTAGAATAGTGCCTGCTCAATTAGTATCACTTAACATCATCAGCACCGCTGTCATCATCATCTTTCTTTACTATCTGGGTGGCCCAGTGCAAGTGACTTAGCTTCTCTGAACCTTGGCTTCCTTCTGTGTAAAATGGGGATGATACTAATGGGGGTTGCCAAGAAGATTAAGAGAGGAATGTGAAGACACTCAGCTTAGGGCCTGACACCCAGTGGAAATGGCAAAAATGAGTTCCTCTGTCCCTCCCCAGCACACCCTGCCTAAGCATAGCCCACCCTGTCAGCTATTTAGGTAGAGGATTCATTTTACCATAGCAAAGCTGGCTGTGTAATGGCAAGGATAGTCCTTGTTACTAATTTTAATTTGGTACAAGTTAACGTAATCCTCAGTCTAAAGAGTCAACACCTTTTCCCACCCTCCTGTCCTCCCCTTCGCATCTTCTCTTCTGCTATGAATTACTCAGTCACAAGAACCTTGTACACACCCAGGACAGTGTGAGGAGGCGTAGGGGCACAGAAGATGTGTAAGACACTCTTTTTGTGGTCAGGCTTAACGTGCTTAAAACTCTTTTCTGACCCCCATTGCATCATTCGCATCACTGTCCTCTTATTAATCTTGAGTTATCTTTGATTCTCCCTCTATTGATATAGTACCTTCTATTTAGCAAAAACATTACTTACGTTATCTCATTGGTTTTCACAGTAACCCTGGTAGGTAGAAGCTGTATTCGTACCATTTTACAGATGAGCAAACTGAGGCTTAGTGAAGTTAAGAGCCTTCCCAAAGGTCACTCAGTAATAAGCCAAGCTGGGATTGAAATCTGGGTATGTGGCTGGGTGTGGTGGCTCACGCCCGTAATCCCAGCACTTTGGGAGGGCGAGGTGGGTAGATTGCTTGAGTTCAAGAGTTTGAGAACAGCCTGGGCAACATGAGAAAACCCCAATCTCTACCAAAAATATGAAAAATTAGCCAGGTGTGATGGTGTGCACCTGTAGTCTCAGCTACTCAGAAGGCTGAGGTGAAAGGATCGCTTGGGCCTGGGAGGGAGAGGTTGCAGTGAGCCAAGATCTTGCCACTGCACTCCAGCCTGAGATCATGCCGGTTCACTCAAGCCTGGGTGACAGAGCAAGACCCTGTCTCAAAAACAAGCAAACAAAAAAAACAGAGAAAGAAAAAGAGAAAGATGTGAGGATTCATCTTCTGTCCTTCCCACCTTGTTATCTTGTGTCTGCTGCTTCCTCTGTGTTTTAGCTGTCTATTGCTGTATAACAGACCACCCCAAAATTGAGTAGCTTAAAGAACAGTTTATTATCTTTCGTGGTTCTGGAGGTTGACTGCACTCAGCTGGGAGATTCTTGCTTAGTCTTTTCTGCAGCTGTACTCAGATGGTGGCTGAGGCTGGATTCATCCGAAGGCTTCTTGGCTCACTTATCTGGCACGTGGGGAAGAGCTGGGGGCTGATGGAGAATCTCTCCCTTCCTATGTGAGGAAGCTCGTGTTGTGTTGGCTTCCTCACAACATGGTGGTCTTAGAGTAGTCAAATTTCCTACATGGCAGCCAACTTTCCCCAGAACAAGCATTCTAAAAGATCCAGTTGGAAGCTGCAGGGTTTCTTATGACCTAGCTTTAGAATCTCAGATCTTCACTTCTAGCACATTTTACTGGTCAAGAAAGTTACTAAGGCCAATCCAGATTCAACACGATGGGTTACTCGGCTCTATCTCTTCATATGAGAAGCAGCGTATGCATACAGTGAGGGAAGAAATTGATGGTGGCCATCTTTATAGGATAAAGACCCATAAATATTTTTGCTTAAAAAAATCCCTCTTAGCCATTCTAGTCTACTACTGCCACCTTAGCAGGGTCCAGTTCTTTTGCGCATCATTTTGGGTTCACTACGGTACTCGGACTCTCTCCCCGGCATCCAATCCAATTGTGTATTTTGCTAGCATATGACTCCTCCTCAGATGCCTTTTTCATCCACAGTTCATGTATTCATAGATCCAAGAAGGGCTTTAGAAATTATCTAATCTCACCTTTTCACTTTACAAGGGAGCATATTCAAAATTGTGTGGTTAATTTTTAATAGAGTTTCAGGTCAGTCAGCACTGAAGGTGCCTTCCTTGAGCCAGAAGCATAAACAGAAAGAAGACCCTAAAGAGCCTATGGTTTAACAGGGGAGATGGATATCTTAGAGATAATTTTAATGGAAGTTTGCATATGATCCCATTGAAGCATAGTAGAGAGGTATACCATACAATTTGGGTTTCAGGGAAGATTTCCTGGAGAATGTGACACTTGAGCTGAATCACCAAGTATACAGAGAAGAGTTATCTAGGCAAAGAAAAGTGGATAGAGTGTCCTGAAAGAAAAAGGAGAAGAGGTGAGCAGGCAAGGGTGGCACATGCTGTCTGGTGTTTGTAGAGCATGGAGGGCCCTGGGTATCCTACTGAGGGATCTGGACTTGATTCTGTAGGTAATGGGGAGCCACTGAAGGAGAAGACCATACATGTCTTTTAACATTTATTGGGAAAGAGCTTAAAAGTGACTATTAGCTGACCTACTTCTCTGTGCCCAGATTCTGCTGTGATCATGTCACTTTGGATGGATTTTAAAGTGCTACCTCCCAAAAAAGGACAGTCACCCAAAAGAAAAGAGAACAAAAATGCTTCACATACAGTTCTTAAAGGTGCAAATACACACAACTGAACTGTATGAAAAGATGCTCAGCCTTGTTCATTATGAGGAAGGTGTAACCTAAAGCTATTGTCACCCCTCAGAGTGGCAAAGATAAAAAATGCTAATATCACCTGTGATCGTTGAAGATATGGGCTTCCTCATACATTTCCAATGGAAGTGTAATTTGGGGAACTTCTCTGTGGAAAGCAATTTGGTAATAACCATCAAAATTATAAATGCACTTTTTTTTGACCTAGCAATTCTACCTTTTACCTACAGCTATTTCACTATTTGGAGGCAGAAATAAATGCTCATGATCATCCATTGTAGTCTTGTTTGTCATCACAAAAGATTGGAAACAGTATCAATGCTATGGGAGAAAAAACGGGTCAAACAAATTATATTTCATCCATACAAAGGGATATGAAATCTTGAAAACAGAAAATGAGACTTTGTGTATGTGCTGATCTGGACGAGTCACCAAAATAAAGTGTTGAGTGAACACCAAAAATGTGTAAAAAGAGGCAGACAAATAAATATACATACATATTTGGTCAAATATGCATAAAATATATCTGGAAGGAAACATAAGAAATTTATATTATTCAAAATAATGAGTGGAACTGGGCGTGGTGGCTAATGCCTATAATCCCAGCACTTGGGAGGCCAAGGCAGGTAGATCACTTGAGGTCAGGAGTTTGAGACCAGCCTGGCCAACATGGCGAAACCCCATCTCTACTAAAAATACAAAATAATTAGCTGGGCTTGGTGGTGCATGCCTGTAATCCCAGCTACTTGGGAGGCTGAGGCAGAAGAATCGCTTGAACCTGGGAGGTGGAGGTTGCAGTGAGCCAAGATGGTGCTACTGCACTCCAGCCTGGTTGACACAGTGAGACTAAGTCTCAAAAAAAATTATAATGAGTGGCTGGGGTACAGAAGTAGGAGGAGAATCTCACTCTTTACTCCTTTGTACCTTTTGAATTTTGAACCATATGAATCTTAGTTTTCAGAAATAAAAATGAGACAAAACAAAGGCAAGATTGTAGAACAAATCATTACCACTACAAGCTTCTTTAAATCTGGGGTAGAATAAATATTCCATGGATTGCCTTTAATTTTATAGTCAGTTGAGAGAGAAAAGCCTAGCCTCATCTTCCTAGATTAAAGACTGTGAAAATAAAATTGGAAGCAAATATGACAAAATGTTAAAGTGAGTTAAGGTAAGCACATACATCGATCATACTGCTTTTTAGTATTCTTGAACTATTTTGCAATAAAAAAGAAAAATTGCAATAAATAAATTAATTTCCATGCATGGTCCCGGTGCTATGCTCTGGAGTTACTGCCGACAGTGAGTTCCGTTTTCGTCCGCACGCAGCACTCCCACCCTAATTTCATCCTCCCCCTCCCTCCACACATATGGAGATCCACTTTATTTCATTGTGTTTTATATTCTTCTCTATGTATACTCACTGCTTCCCTTCACCAAATTATAAATGCTGTAAAGCAGGGGTGTCTAATCTTGGCTTCCCTGGGCCACATTGGAAGAATTGTGAATTAGTAAAATTCACTAACACGAATGATAGCTGATGAGCTAAAAAAAAAAAAAAAAAAAAATCACAAAAGAAATCTCGTAATGTTTTAAGAAAGCTCTTGAATTTGTGTTGGGCCACATTCAAAGCCATCCTGGGCTGCATGTGGCCTGCGGGCGGCAGGTGGACAAGCTTGCTGTAAAGGGTACAGAGTGTGTCTAATTCAGAAGTCAGCAAACTTCTTCTGTAAAGGGCCAGCTATTGACTATTTTAGACTGTAGGCCAGTCTGTGTCACAACTACCCAACTCTGCTGTGGTCACACAAAAGCAGCCATAGATAGTACATAAATGAATGGATATGGCTGCATTGCAATAAAAATTTAAAAAAACAAAGTAGTAAACCAGATTGGGCCCAAGGGCCATAGTTTGCCAACCTTGGTCTAATTGGCTGTTATATTCCCTTTTTGCTTTCTCACCTTCTCAACTTTCCCTAGAAGCCTGCTCACTGCTCCTGGTGTGCATGTGTGTACGCGTGTGTGTGTTTGTGATCCCTGGGCAGGGGAGACCTGAAAAGGGAAGGAATGAGCATACTGTGTTTCTAGAATAGAGTAACCCAGGCTGATAGTGTCTCAGGCAGCAGTGGAAAATGTTAAAGAATATTAAGAACAAAAAGCGAAATCATGACTCCTTTTCAAAGACAAAATGAACATGCGTCAAAGATTTTATTTAACTCATTAATTAATGAGGGAACCAGTATGATGTTACAACTGGTTCAAAGGAGAGAACGGACACATATAGAGGTCATCAGGTATGCGGAAAGGAATTTGCTTAGGATAATTGGCCTCTTGGGGACCAGGCAAGGTTTCCATTTGCATCTCTGCTGACAAAATTCATTTGCATTACTATCAGTTTTCTACAGTTTATAGAGTTGTAAAGTAACTCAGTTAAAGTAATGAAAGGCGCAGACGTATAAAATGAGATGGTGCAGAAAGGGTTCCTTGAACAATGCCTCATTATTCCCCACAAAAGATATTCAGAAATCTTTTCTTTACTCTTTTCCAAGTTGCTCCTAATTTTATCTGATAGAAATAGTATTCATTAAAGTTGTGTTACTCAAGGCGATAGAAGATGGTTGAACTCTAGACAGGAGGTTTTCTGATAGAGCCTGTGGGAATACAAGGTGAAAAGAGACGCCTTCACCAGAAGTAACCTAGTTGAGGGCTGAGGTTTGGCCAGTGGAAGTGGGGTGGGGTGGACAATTTCAGAGGCTGTTACAGAAAAGGCAGCATGATGGCGTGGAATCACATGGGATGGGAGTCAGCAACCCTGGGAGCCCCAGCCTGCTACCCATCGTTCTTGCAACACTGGGCAAGTCTGGACAAGTTTGCTCATCTGCAGTTGGGCGGTAAGATGAACTGCCTCAGAGGCCATTGTATCAAATGAGAAGGCACATATTTCATTACTTAGCACTTTGCCTGGTGATAGCTGTTTCTAATACAGATTAATTTCCCACCTTATCTGGGGTACTTTAGCTAGACATTAGCTATGTGCCCTTGAGCAAGTTACTTCAGCTGTCTTCACCTGTTCAAATGCGGAAAATGATACCTCCCTCACAGAGTAACTAAAGAAAAAACTAGCAGGTCGTGGTTCTAGCAAATACTAATTTCCCCTTAGGGGTTCAAGAGGGCTTCATAGACGAGGTGACCTGTGTGTCAATTCCTAATGGGTGAGTAGCTGTTTTGTACATCAACGTTTCCAGATCTCATATTTCGAATCATTAGTACGCACATAGTTTAGTTTTATTTTATTTTGTCACCTACTCTTCAAACACTTGTGTTTTCTTTTTAGCCTTTGCATAGCGCTGAGCTTTAAAGCGTGTCTTGGTAAGGGGCACACGTTGTGGTCAAAGTAAATGGGAAACAGTATGAAATTGCTGGAAGCTGATTCTGGGGGTGGGTTACAAATGGAACTTGTATGCATGTGAATTAATGGTTTTTTAAAGCTCTGTTAAATTGCAGTTGTTTGAGACAGCCCTAATCACAAATGTTTTGACCCATTGCTTCCACCTAAACAATAAAATATCCTAAGAATTCTATTGTTTTGGCACCTAAAACTGCATCTCCCTGAGTTTCTCTTTTCCAGAGATGATACAAAAATCATTTATCAGACCCTTGGAAATGATACTCACTTGTAGTTCACGAAAATATATCCACTGCCCCCCCCATTGTGTGTGTGTGTGTGTGTGTGTGTGTGTGTGTGTATGAGAGAGAGAAAGACAGAAAAGAAGAGAGAGGGCAAGCCAATGACCCATGTGATTGGGTGTGTAGTGACTAAAGGACTTTGCATGAGGATTTCCAGGTGAAGCAAAGAAAGCTGTAGGTACTAACTTTCTCAGCTTGCCTTGTGGTTGTCAGTCTCTACCCTTCCTGTCACTGTTGCTGATGTAACAGTAACAAAGCCACCAAAATGGTAACCCAGGCATGACTCCAGAGTAGGAGCCTAACCCCAGGGCACCCCTCCACTCCATCCTTCTACTCTGTCTTTCTGCCTGCTTGAGATGCTCTCATGTATTTCCTTGTCTCCCAAAAATAGCCATAAACAGCACAATCTGCTGACGCTTTGTAAAAATACAGTGGGGCGGTGTGGGGGACAAGGAAGAGGTTTTATGAAATGAAAGGAGGTCTGTTCTGTTCTCTTGCTTCCTTGGGAGGCCTTATGGTATGATAGCATGCTGAAGTGGGTTCTGTTTGGATTGGAGATGAATCTTGTTAAGTCCAACCCACCAACTGAACAGGAAACTCATGGGATGTAGCTACAAGCAACTTTCCTCCCTCTCTCTCTCATTGTCCCCTTAAAAGTAATTTAGTAGGAGAAGTTATTTCACTGTTCTTGGTTGAAAACTCAGGTAGTCTCATGACTTTTTTGATCACTCTCAAGTCATCAAGACTCCTAGGACCACTGGAAGTTGCCAACACAGTCACAGTCGCAAGTCAGTTACTAAAAGTATCCATCTAGCCTGTGTAGTGATCAAAACTTGCTTTAAAGTTAAATTACCACTCCCCTCTCTAAACTAGAACTTCTCTCAGGTGAGAAGAGGTGGAGGTTCCTTCTTGCTGTCCTTTCACACATCCTCCCTCCTACTTGTGTCCCAGGTTTTTTTGTTTTGTTTTGTTTTTGGTTTTGTTTAGATGGAGTCTCACTCTGTTGCCCAGGCTGGAGTGCAGTGGCGTGATCTCGGCTCACTGCAAGCTCTGCCTCCCAGGTTCATGCCATTCTCCTGCCTCAGCCTCCCCAGCAGCTGGGACTACAGGCACCCGCCTCCATGCCCGGCTAATTTTTTTGTATTTTTAGTACAGACGGGGTTTCACCATGTTAGCCAGGATGGTCTCGATCTCCCGTCCTCATGATCCGCCCGTCTTGGCCTCCCAAAGTGCTGGGAAACAGCTCCCGGCTGTCCAAGATTTTTTACTCTGCTGGGTATAGGGAGGGAAGAAGAGCTGCTGCTGCTTGATGAGTACCATTGTGATATCTCCACTGGATTGGCCTGGAAGGTCTTTAGAGGTGACTCCTCCTCTCATGGGCTCTTTTGAGAGTTCTTCTGAGGCTCCTCCTGGGAACATTGAACTATATTTCCCATGACAACACATGTTGCATTTTCCTCTGGCTGTTTTTCCCAATGGCCCGCACTATATGGGCCCTCTCAGTTGGGGTCAGTCACTTTCTCATGGAATCCTCTTATGTGGGATTTCAAATCAATGCAGTCTGGCTCTCTCCCCAGTCTGCCTTCTCTTCAGCCTATGAAAAACACTCCCACATTATTTGCTCCGATCATCTCCAAGAGAACAGTACTCAACAGGCACCTGTCCTTTGCTCATACCACTGGACACCCAATCTTTTAGATTTCCAGGTGGGAATTAGACCCAGTACCCTGTGTCCCAACAATTGTAGGGAGACCAAATCGAACCCTCTAATGGTCTCAGTGAAGCGCCCTTCTCATACTGTGAAGGAGAGGACCCTGACCCTTCTCCTTGGCAGAGGGAAATGCCAGCACAGCTCTCTCCAAAGAGCTCCTCTTTCAAGCTCCATTTTCTCAAAACATATTCCATCTTCTGTGTGAACAAGGGATTCAAGAGTCGTTAGTGAGTTTTGGCTCATGAACTTTGAAATGTTTGTATAGCGGTCCTTCAAAATGTAGCTTCCACTATTTTTAGAACACAGGAACAACCCATTGTGTTATAACACCCAGTTACACAAGGTTGACCTTGATGATGTCATCGCATTTGTTGAACAATTACCTCATGCTAGGCTCTCTTTTTTTTTTTTATTTTAAAAAAATATTTTATTGTTAAATTACAGAGTCTAAACTGATTACCACTATGCCATTCTTTTTTTTATTATTATTATACTTGAAGTTCTAGGGTAGATGTGCACAACGTGCAGGTTTGTTACATATGTATACATGTGCCATGGTGGTGTGCTGCGCACATTAACTCGTCATTTACATTAGGTATATCTCCTAATGCTATCCCTCCCCACCCCACGACAGGCCCCGGTGTGTGATGTTCCCCTTCCTGTGTCCAAGTGTTCTCATTGTTCAATTCCCACCTATGAGTGAGAACATGCAGTGTTTGGTTTTCTGTCCTTGTGATAGTTTGCTGAGAATGATGGTTTCCAGCTTCATCCATGTCCCTACAAAGGACATGAACTTATCCTTTTTTGTGGCTGCATAGGATTCCATGGTGTGTATGTGCCACATTTTCTTAATCCAGTCTATCATTGATGGACATTTGGGTTGGTTCCAAGTCTTTGCTATTGTGAACAGTGCTGCAATAAACATATGTGGGCATGTGTCTTTATAGCAGCATGATTGATAATGCTTTGGCTATATACACAGTAATGGGATGGCTGGGTCAAATGGTATTTCTAGTTTTAGATCCTTGAGGAATCACCACACTGTCTTCCACAATGGTTGAATTAGTTTACAGTCCCACCAACAGTGTAAAAGTGTTTCTATTTCTCCACATCCTCTCCAGCACCTGTTGTTTTCTGACTTTTTAATGATCACCATTCTAACTGGTGTGAGATGGTATCTCATTGTGGTTTTGATTTGCATTTCTCTGATGGCCAGTGATGATGAGCATTTTTTCATGTGTCTTTTGGCTGCATAAATGTCTTCTTTTGAGAAGTGTCTGTTCATATCCTTCGCCCACTTTTTGATGGGGTTGTTTGTTTTTTTCTTGTAAATTTGTTTGAGTTCTTTGTGGATTCTGGATATTAGCCCTTTGTCAGATGAGTAGATTGCAAAAATTTTCTCCCATTCTGTAGGTTGCCTGTTCACTCTGATGGTTGTTTCTTTTGCTGTGCAGAAGCTCTTTAGTTGAATTAGATCCCATTTGTCAGTTTTGGCTTTTGTTGCCATTGCTTTTGGTGTTTTAGACATGAAGTCCTTGCCCATGCCTATGTCCTGAATGTAATTGCCTAGGTTTTCTTCTAGGGTTTTTATGGTTTTAGGTCTAACATTTAAGTCTTGAATCCATCTTGAATTAATTTTTGTATAAGGTGTAAGGAAGGGATCCAGTTTCAGCTTTCCACATATGGCTAGCCAGTTTTCCCAGCACCATTTATTAAATAGGGAATCCTTTCCCCATTTCTTGTTTTTGTCAGGTTTGTCAAAGATCAGATGGTTGTAGGTGTGTGGTATTATTTCTGAGGGCTGTGTTCTGTTCCATTGGTCTATATCTCTGTTTTGGTACCAGTACCATGCTGTTTTGGTTACTGCAGCCTTGTAGTATAGTTTGAAGTCAGGTAGTGTGATGCCTCCAGCTTTGTTCTTTTGGCTTAGGATTGTCTTGGCTATGTGCGCTCTTTTTTGGTTCCATATGAACTTTAAAGTAGTTTTTTCCAATTCTGTGAAGAAAGTCATTGGTAGCTTGATGGGGATGGCACTGAGTCTATAAATTACCTTGGGCAGTATGGCCATTTTCACAATATTGATTCTTCCTATCCAGGAGCATGGAATGTTCTTCCATTTGTTTGTGTCCTCTTTTATTTTGTTGAGCAGTGGTTTGTAGTTCTCCTTGAAGAGGTCCTTCACATCCCTTGTAAGTTGGATTCCTAGGTATTTTATTCTTTTTGAAGCAATTGTGAATGGGAGTTCACTCATGATTTGGCTCTCTGTCTGTTATTGGTGTATAAGAATGCTTGTGATTTTTGCACATTGATTTTGTATCCTAAGACTTTGCTGAAGTTGCTTATCAGCTTAAGGAGATTTTGGGCTGTGACAATGGGGTTTTCTAAATATACAATCATGTCATCTGCAAACAGGAACAATTTGACTTCCTCTTTTCCTAATTCAATACCCTTTATTTCTTTCTCCTGCCTGATTGCCCTGGCCAGAACTTCCAACACTATGTTGAATAGGAGTGGTGAGAGAGGGCATCCCTGTCTTGTGCCAGTTTTCAAAGGGAAAGCTTCCAGTTTTTGCCCATTCAGTCTGATATTGGCTGTGGGATTGTCATGGATAGCTCTTATTATTTTGAGATACGTCCCATCAATACCGAATTTATTGAGAGTTTTTAGCATGAAGGGCTGTTGAATTTTGTCAAAGGCCTTTTCTGCATCTATTGAGATAATCATGTGGTTTTTGTCGTTGGTTCTGTTTATATGCTGGATTATGTTTATTGATTTGTGTATGTTGAACCAGCCTTGCATCCCAGGGATGAAGCCCACTTGATCATGGTGGATAAGCTTTTTGATGTGCTGCTGGATTTGGTTTGCCAGTATTTTATTGAGGATTTTTGCATCAATGTTCATCAAGGATATTGGTCTAAAATTCTCTTTTTGTTGTGTCTCTGTCAGGCTTTGGTATCGGGATGATGCTGGCCTCATAAAATGAGTTAGGGAGGATTCCCTCTTTTTCTATTGATTGGAATAGTTTCAGAAGGAATGGTACCAGTTCCTCCTTGTACCTCTGGTAGAATTCGGCTGTGAATCCGTCTGGTCCTGGAGTTTTTTTTGGTTAGTAGGCTATTACTTAGTGCCTCAATTTCAGAGCTTGTTATTGGTCTATTTAGGGATTCAACTTCTTCCTGGTTTAGTCTTGTGAGGGTGTATGTGTCGAGGAATTTATCCATTTCTTCTAGATTTTCTAGTTTTTTTGTGTAGAGGTGTTTATAGTGTTCTGTGGTGGTAGTTTGTATTTCTGTGGGATCAGCGGTGATATCCCCCTTTATCATTTTTCATTGTGTCTATTTGATTCTTCTCTCTTTTCTTCTTTATTAGTATTGCTAGTGGTCTATCAATTTTGTTGATCTTTTCAAAAAACCAGCTCCTGGATTCATTGATTTTTGAAGGGTTTTTTATGTCTCTATCTCCTTCAGTTCTGCTCTGATCTTAGTTATTTCTTGCCTTCTGCTAGCTTTTGAATGTGTTTGCTCTTGCTTCTCTAGTTCTTTTAATTGTGATGTTAGGGTGTCAATTTTAGATCTTTCCTCCTTTCTCTTGTGGGCATTTAGTGCTATAAATTTCCCTCTACATACTGCTTTAAATGTGTCCCAGAGATTTTGGTACGTTGTGTCTTTGTTCTCATTGGTTTCAAAGAATATCTTTATTTCTGTCTTCATTTCATTATGTACCCAGTAGTCATTCAGGAGCAGGTTGTTCAGTTTCCATGTAGTTGAGCGGTTTTGAGTGAGTTTCTTAATCCTGAGTTCTGGTTTGATTGCACTGTGGTCTGACAGACAGTTTGTTATAATTTCTGTTCTTTTACATTTGCTGAGGAGTGCTTTACTTCAACTATGTGGTCAATTTTAGAATAAGTGCAATGTGGTGCTGAGAAGAATGTATATTCTGTTGATTTGGGGTGGAGAGTTCTGTAGATGTCTATTAGGTCCACTTGGTGCAGAGCTGAGTTCAATTCCTGGATATCCTTGTTAACTTTGTCTCGTCGATCTGTCTGATGTTGACAGTGGGGTGTTAAAGTCTCCCATTATTATTGTGTGGGAGTCTAAGTCTCTTTGTAAGTCTCTAAGGACTTGCTTTATGAATCTGGTTGCTCCTGTATTGGGTGCATATATATTTAGGGTAGTTAGCTCTTCTTGTTGAATTGATCCCTTTACCATTATGTAATGGCCTTCTTTGTCTCTTTTGATCTTTGTGGTTTAAAGTCTGTTTTATCAGAGACTAGGATTGCAACCCCTGCCTTTTTTTGTTTTCCATTTGCTTGGTAGATCTTCCTCCATCCCTTTATTTTGAGCCTATGTGTGTCTTAGCACATGAGATGGGTCTCCTGAATACAGCACACTGATGGGTCTTGACTCTTTATCCAGTTTGCCAGTTTGTGTCTTTTAATTGTAGCATTTAGCCCATTTACATTTAAGGTTAATATTGTTATGTATGAATTTGATCCTGTCATTATGATGTTAGCTGGTTATTTTGCTCGTTAGTTGATGCAGTTTCTTCCTAGCATCGATGGTCTTTACATTTTGGCATGTTTTTGCAGTGGCTGGTGCTGGTTGTTCCTTTCCATGTTTAGTGCTTCCTTCAGGAGCTCTTTTAGGGCAGGCCTGGTGGTGACAAAATCTCTCAGCATTTGCTTGTCTGTAAAGGATTTTATTTCTCCTTGGCTTATGAAGCTTAGTTTGGCTGGATATGAAATTCTAGGTTGAAAATTCTTTTCTTTAAGAATGTTGAATATGGACCCCCACTGACTTCTGGCTTGTAGAGTTTCTGCCAAGAGATCCACTGTTAGTCTGATGGGCTTCCCTTTGTGGGTAAACCGACCTTTCTCTCTGGCTGCCCTTAACATTTTTTCCTTCCTTTCAACTTTGGTGAATCTGACAATTATGTGTCTTGGAGTTGCTCTTCTCGAGGAGTATCTTTGTGGCATTCTCTGTATTTCCTGAATTTGAATGTTGGCCTGCCTTGCTAGGTTGGGGAAGTTCTTCTGGATAATATACTGCAGAGTGTTTTCCAACTTGGTTCCATTCTCCCCATCACTTTCAGGTACACCAGTCAGATGTATATCTGGTCTTTTCACATAGTCCCATATTTCTTGGAGGCTTTGTTCATTTCTTTTTACTCTTTTTTCTCTAAACTTCTCTTCTCGCTTCATTTCATTCATTTGATCTTCAGTCACTGATAACCTTTCTTCCAGTTGATCGAATTGGTTACTGAAGCTTGTGCATTCGTCACGTAGTTCTTGTGCCATGGTTTTCAGCTCCATCAGGTCATTTAAGGACTTCTCTGCACTGGTTATTCTAGTTAGCCATTTGTCTAATCTTTTTTCAAGGTTTTTAGCTTCTTTGTAATGGGTTCGAACTTCCTTCTTTAGTTCAGAGAAGTTTGATCGTCTGAAGCCTTCTTCTCTCAACTTGTCAAAGTCATTCTCCATCCAGCTTTGTTCCGTTGCTGGCGAGGAGCTGCTTTCCTTTGGAGGGGGAGAGGCACTCTGATTTTTAGAAGTTTCAGCTTTTCTGCTCTGTTTTTTCCCCATCTTTGTGGTTTCATCTACTTTTGGTCTTTGATGATGGTGACGTACAGATGGGGTTTTGGTGTGGATGTCCTTTCTGTTTGTTAGTTTTCCTTCTAACAGTCAGTACCCTCAGCTGCAGGTCTGTTGGAGTTTGCTGGATGTCCACTGCAGACCCTGTTTGCCTGGGTATCAGCAGTGGAGGCTGCAAAACAGCAAATATTGCTGAACAGCAAATGTTGCTGCCTGATTGTTCCTCTGGAAGCTTCGTCTCAGAGGGGTACCTGGCCGTGTAAGGTCAGTGTGCCCCTACCGGGGGGTGCCTCCCAGTTAGGCTACTCGGGGGTCAGGGACCCACTTGAGGGGGCAGTCTGCCCGTTCTCACATCTCAAACTCCGTACTAGGAGAACCACTACTCTCTTGAAAGCTGTCAGACAGGGACATTTAAGTCTGCAGAGGTTTCTGCCGCCTTTTGTTCAGCTATGCCCTGCCTGCAGAGGTGGAGTCTACAGAGGCAGGCAGGCCTCCTTGAGCTGCGGTGGGCTCCACCCAGTTCCAGCTTCCTGGCTGCTTTGTTTACCTACTCAAGCCTCAGCAATGGCGGGCGCCCCTCCCGCAGGCTAGGCCCTCTTTCTTGTTATCTCTTTTCAATCTTGCAACAACCTCCTTTCAGAGAGAAGAAAATCGAGAGATTCTAAGACTGGTCTAAAAATATTCAGATAGCATTAGGGTTGGGGTTGGAAACAGTTTATCTAAATAGTTCATAATTTCAGTCTTAACTGCCTCTTTAATCAAAAAGTTATTTAGAAGAATGCCTATAACTGCAAGTGGATGGATTAAAAATAATTCTTAATAATTTCTAGTTTTATTGCTTTTTGGGTCAGAAATATAGCCCTGAATAAGTCTGAACTTTTAAAATGTAGTGAATTTTGTATTATGGTCTAATACACAGGCAGTTTTAGTGGCTGTTTCATGAGTCTTTGAAAAGACTGTTATTTCCTTTCTTTATTGGGTGCCGAGTTCTCTGGCTTTCTCCTAACTTGAACTTACATGACTCCTATTTTAGGGTCTAATACACAGGATATCCCGGTGGCTGAAACAAAGACATTTTGGAGGTGCTTATGACTCAAATAGCAAATCATCATTGAAACACATTGACATACCTCAAACCCAACTATATTTTTGGGATCTTTTCTGGATCCATAAGATCTGGTGGTGAAGCTTTCCTTCAGCTTCTAAAAGACAGCTTCGAATGGTGGTCAGGAAACTCGAGTTCTTGGCCCTACTCTGCCACTGACTTGCTCCTGTCCAAATTGCCTCTCCATGAGCTACAAGGGTCCAGGCAGATGTTGTCAAAGTCCATTCTGCTTCCAAAATCTGTGACTCTGTGTGGTGGGACTCTGGCTTTTCATCCTGAAGGTCACAGGCAGTTCACGAAAGACAGTGTTCCCGTTGAGAGTGAGTGAGTGTTTCTTGGAGAAAGCATTATATACACACAAATGCTGCATGATGGTCCCTGAGAATTAAAAATCATTACTTTAAAAATTCTGAAACTGCTTGTCTGCAATCAGTTGTAAAGTCACTAGGACAACCCTTCCCTCAGGATGTTATGTGAACACTGGACTGAATTCAACTACAAAATAAGTCAAGAGGGTAGACCTGGAATGATATGCAAAATGCTGGCTTGTATTTTCTTGTGTGGAACAGCTGAGCATGGGCTGGGTGATGTTTGTCCTCTTCCAAAGTGATGCAAACACATGTTTCTAGTGCTCAGTACTACAGTCCTTCTGCCCTGATGTCCTTGACTGTGGAGTGGTAGAAACTCTCAAATGGGGGATGCAGAGGGAAGTGTACCTTTCTTTGCAAAGCACTCAGTTCATTTTCTTCATTTCAAATGTACCATGAAGTCGATATCTTCATTATTTCACTCATTTCCCATCTGTCGAGCACTCAGTATGCATCAGGGTGTGCTATCTTCTGGGGAGACAGAGCTGGATAAGAGAGAGATCAGCAAGTGAGTATCTGTTACTTCTTATCCCATCTAAAGTGGCACATGAGCTAACCACATGCTATATATGAATAATTGGATGCAATAAGAAGGGGATGTGGTAAGAAAATGTTCATCTAAATATCCAAATCAGAAAGTGGTGGTTCTAGGGGAAGGAGTGAAGTTCTACCAGTTCTGCTGTTAGAAAGGCTGCCTCTACCTCATCAGAGCTCTGGGTCTCCCTCCAGCTTCTTCAGAGGCTGCATTGAGGAATGAATCTTGAGGGTGAGCAATGGCCCTGACCTTCAGACTTTGAATTCTAGGAAAGAAGTTGCTTGCAGGAATGACCTCAGCCTAATCACTTGAAATTAAGGCAGCAAAGGAAAACGCCCAATCTCTGTTTATAAATGTGCAAAACAATTTGCTAGACAAGGCTATTACTCAAGCAAGAGACTATTCACAGATGGTGGCTTGGGCTGGGTAGACACAAAGGCTAGGACAGCAGACCATTAATCACCATGCACAGACGTGCTGCTTGGTAAAAGTGAGCCTCCCAGACTAAGAAAGGGTGTACTGTAGGGGCTTAATGTGGAATCACCTGTCCTGCGGGTATTTAGAGAAATCCTCACAGCCACAGAAATCCCCAGAAGCCCACAGAAGGGATTTCAGACAAATCCACATCTCCTCACACTCCCTTTTCCCCATTTCCCCCACTTCCTAAATGTAGAACAATTCCAGGATGTTGCAAATGTATGCATTCACTTAATAAAAACTGCATGTCTGCCAGGGACCGAGCACCACGAGGATTGTGTACACTAAAGATGATCTTTTCATCCAAGTATGTTACAGTTTACATGGAGAGATGAGGCAGAGTATGTGCATGTGGACACATATGTGTGCGAAAGGGAAATAGCCCAAGACAGTGATGTTTTCTCCCTCTTCCTGACAACTTCTCTCCATCTTCATCTCAACCTCATTGGTGCTTTCCTCTGAGCAGCCTTTTCTGACCTTCCAAGACCGAGTTGGATGCTCTGGTTCTGTGTTCTCATCGCTGCCTATGCTTCTCCCCTCCCATCACTTTCACACTGAATTGTAATTGCCTGTTCAGTTGTTTGGGTCACTCTTCCCCAGCCCCCTACTGTGTCTTTTTTGGGAGCAGGGACTTTGCCTGTCTGTGTTACTCCTGGCACAATACATGTTTGTTGACAGATTCCACAAGCAGTATTGATGATGTCCTCTGTGAGTGGAGTTGGAAGGGGTCATTTGAAGCCCAGGAGAAGGGGTTCCAGCCAGCCTTGAAAGATAAGTTAAGAACAAGAGGAGAGAGGATGTGGTTTTATCTAGTGCAGTGGTTCTCAAAGTGCGGTCCCTGGACCAAAAGCATCAGCATCACCTGGGAACTTGTTAGGAATGCAAATTCGGGCCTCACTCCCAAATTTGCTTTCACATTCCATTGCATTCCACACCTACTAAATCAGAGGCTCTGGAGGAGGACCCTGGCAATCTGGGTTTTAATAAACCCTCCAGGTGATTATGGTGAACTTCAAAGTTTGAGAACAACTGACCTAGCACTTTTCTACTATGACTCTGTATTATTTATCACTGAGACCAATGTACTGTCACATACCGACTAGGCCCTACCTGCGACTTTGTGATTATGCATAACAAATAGAGTTTGTCTCCTGCTACTTGCAGTTGATTAATGGCGAGAGTTCTTATGCAAGAGATTCTGAGACCATGACTGTGCCCAAGGTGAAAGAGTGCCAGAATTGATTAGTAATGTCTGTCATGGGTGCAGGAGGAGGAGTACTCACATCCTTTGCTCACACCTCTTGCATGTGCTGTCTCTGACTGGAGCCAATCCTGAATGTATGTAGGACAAGATGAAGGCAGTGCTCAGGTCTGAGGGCCTGGCTGCAGGCTCTCTTCTGATCTTCATGCTCTGAATTTTTAGGACCCAGCCTCCTTCCTTATGCCCTAGTTTAGATGTCCTGTTTCTTGACACTGTTCTTACCATGATTGAGTCTCCCACACCAGTCCCATACTCACCTCCTTCATACCACCACTCTTCTGGGTCTTGATTGATAGTTTGCCCTGTCACTGTTTGGCCAGACCACCAACCCTTGTTCTGACTTGCAACCTTTTTCTGGCCATTCTGTGGTTGGGTCAGATCATTTGGATCTCCCCTGGGACACACATAATTCTGATCTGCCCTGAGAAAAACAAATCTTTCCCCCTTGCTCCCATTTGCAAACTCTTTGCCCAAACCAGGCCAACTTATGTTCACAGACTCCTAGTCTCTGCTGTCTCCTCAACCTGTGCTAGTTATCCAAGAAAGGGATCCCAGGTGATGGGACCAGTATAAGCAAAGGCATGAGGTCAGAATATGAAAAATATGATTAGGTCTGTAAGTAGATCAGTCTGGCTGGGTTAAGAACTCATGCCGAGACATATTGGATTGAAACATCAGCAAACAATTGGTAAGATCAGATTTTGAGGGTCTCAATCCCCCAGCTCTGGAGCTTAAACTTCATGCCCTAGGAGGGAGCTACCAAAGGCTCTGGGTTGGGGAAGGTGGTGACACCTTAAGGAGATGCTGTACGAATACTCACCTAGCAGGTGTGTGCAGGGTGATGTGCAGGGAGGGACCAAAAGGAGGTGGCCACAGTTATCTGGGCCTGATGTGGCACTGATTGTGGGAAGAGGAAAGAAATGGACGTGAGAAAGGAATTCTGGAGACACTCCCAGGAGGGAATCAATGTGGCAGGATGGCTGATTTCATGAAGGGGGTAAAGGACAGAGAAGAGTCAAGGTGACTGGAATAACATCAAACCTGACACAAAGAGGGATGCCCAGTGGGGAAGAACAGATGTGAGAGGAAGTTGAGGACTTGAAATTAACACTAAATGAGTTTGAGGTGAAAGCAGGGAATCCTGGTGGGAATGCTGAGCAGGTGAATGGAAATCCAGGACCACAGGCAGTATGTGGGCTAGGATCAACAGGAATGTGGGTGTTCCCCATCCTAGGAGACAGCAGGAAAGGGGAGAGGGGAGGAAGGAGCTGTGGACTCTGAGCCATGACCCTTGGGGAATGTCTGCATCGGGGTGGAGAAAAAAGTAGAATCAGGGAAGGAACAACCCCAGGGGAAGGGAACCAGGGGGCTGTAGTGACAGGGATGCAAAGGGACAAGAGGACATTGAAGAGAAGGTGGTCGTCTGCAGTGTTAGTGCTACAGGGAGGATAAGGAGAAAGAGGGCGGGCGTGATGAGGCCTGCCTGTGGGTTTAGAGACAACACCCAGGGTGCAGTGGGCCATTCTGTTTCAGGGCAGCTATTCGGGACCTAAGCTAACCGTGTATCTCCAGGGAAACTCTTTTGCTGACAAGGTTGCAGGTCATCCTGGGCCTGAGAACTTTGTGATATACAGAAGTCATTCTTTAAAGTCCTGTTCTTTCCTGCTTGTGATCACACTCTTGCCTTCTTCTCTATTCCCGGACATATCCACAACACACACACACACACACACACACACACACACACACACACACACACAATTTCCTTCAGTGACTCTTCTGAAAGCCAACCTGAAAATAGCAGAACATAAATTGTCCTGCCATTTTCCACCTACTTATAGGCTTAGTTGTTCAAGGCTAGCTACTGAGATGTCGGGAAGAAATTATCTGCCTTGTACAGTTGTTCAGGTTGTGCACTGCACAGGGTACTGCATCTAAGGGGATAGCATTTACGTTGTAGATATCTTTATTTTGATTTTTTTCATATTTTATTATAACTATTGATTCTAAAGATTAGTGATGTGTATATTTATTAGAACAACTTTCTGGCAGGTAACAGTAAAGTGGCTTTTTCTAATAATATCAATACATCATACAGTTTTCTATCGGGTCAAAATAAAGATGCTGAGAAAGGGATGCCTTCACTATTCTTGTAAAGGCATGATGAAAGTGGCCTGGAGAGCTCCCACCAGATGAATGAGGGGTGGAGGCTTTTGTGAGTAGATGGCTAGCCAGCTTCTTTCCAGGTGTGGACCATCAGAATGGGCACTGGTTGATTCATTCTAATTGAACAATCAATTACCAACCACTTGTTGTGTGAGAAGACCTCTGTCTAGGCTATGAGAAAGACAAGGTCCCATCATCCTTGAGGAATTCAGAATTTCAATGAGAACACAGGTAGGAAAACAATGTAATGCAGTAATTGCATATATAAAGTACCAGGGGATGCTTCGTCCTGCCAGTTGCACTGTTCCACTCCATTATGCTTTAGTTTTTTTAGTGGAATAAGCTTAAATATTAGCCATAATTAAAGCATATTTTTTAATGAATATTTTATGGTTGAGAGTCACTGCTTAATAAACCTAATTCTTTCTTCTAGGTATAAGAAGGTAATGTTGTTGTCATTATTGTTTTTTGTTATTTTTTTGAGGCAGGGTCTCACTCTGTTGCCCAGGCTGCAGTACAGTGGTGTGCTCATGGCTCACTGCAGCCTGGAACTCCGGAGCTCAAAGGATCCTCCTGCCTCGGCCTCTTGAGTAGCTGGGACTACAGTTGCATGCCACAATGCTGGGCTAATCTTTTTATTTTATGTAGAGACAGGGTCTCACTATGTTGCCTAGGCTGGTCTTGAACTCCTGGGCTCAAACAATCCTCCTCTGTTGGCCTCCCAAAGCGCTGGGATTATAGGCATGAGCCACCATGCCCGGCCAGAGGGTAACTTGTTTTAAGCCAGTTGTTGAGATCAAAAGCTTTTTAAGGCTTCTGCTCCAGGATTAGGTAGCACTGGTGTGTGTGGGTGGGGAGGGTTTCTTTAGCTTTTCTCATTTTCTCATTGTTAAAGTACATCTTAGCTGTTGGTTACAGAGAACAAGGAAAGGTCATCCTACCCATCTTTTCAGTTCTAAGGGGATTCTGGTTCTCTTAGGTTTACATGGCTATTGTTTTCTTATAGTCAGCTGTTGTCATATCTAACTTGTCCTTCGCCAGCCCTCCATTCCTAAGAGGACAGTTTTCCTTCCAACCTCTGACTCCATTAAGTTTGTAGTTTATGACAAATTACTGAAGCAAATGGCTTCTTTTTTTTTTTTTTTTTTTTTTTTTTGAGATGGAGTCTTGCTCTATCGCCCAGGCTGGAGTGCAGTGGTGCGATCTCGGCTTACTGCAAGCTCCGCCTCCAGGGTTCACGCCATTCTCCTGCCTCAGCCTCCCAAGTAGCTGGGACTACAGGTGCCCACCACCATGCCCGGCTAATTTTTTGTATTTTTAGTAGAGACAGGGTTTCACCGTGTTAGCCAGGATGGTCTCAATCTCCTGACCCCGTGATCCACCCGCCTCGGCCTCCCAAAGTGCTGGGATTACAGGCGTGAGCCACCGCGCCCGGCCACAAATGGCTTCTTTACACATGTATGTGTTTATTTGCTGACCTTTGTTGTTGTTGTTGTTGTTTAAAAAAAAACTTCAGACAAATTAAATTTAACAGAATTTAATTGAATGATTCACAAATGGAGTAGCCCTTGGAACCAGAACAGGTTCAGAAAGACCAGGGCTGCTACATGGCTGAATAATATTTATGGACACAAAAAGGGGAGTGAGATACAGAAAACAGAAGTGAGGTACAGAGAAAGCTGGACTGGTTAAAGCTTGGAGTTTGCCTTATAGCCACCTGTGATTAACTGAAGGTTGTCTGCTGTGACCGGCTGAGACTCAGCTACTTATTACAAAGGCAAATTCCAAAGTTAGGTTTTCATTTTTGTTTACGTACTAAGTTGGTTGCAGTTATGTAAGGACTCAAGTATGCAAGTACAGAGGCTTTCTCAAGCCAAATTTAGTTGAATTTAACAATTCCCTTCTTCTTTTGGTCAGCCTCTGACCAAATTTTGAGAGATTGATCAAAACTTTGGGCATTGGTGCCACTCTCTGTCGTCATCATAAAAGGACTTATTTGGTCTCAGTACAGAACTCATAACTCTTATTTGGTCACAGTATGGAATTCACAAGTCACAATGTCATGTCATCAGTTGAATAATTTTTTATATTCTTGCTAATCTAGTCAAAATGAAACCGTTTGATGCTCAATGAATGGCTGCATACAAATATTTAAGACTTGAGAGGGTACAACACACCCAGGAGACGACTGTGATCACTATCAAGAGAATAGTATCAAAAGACCAAAGTACACTCCTTAACAAGAGCCCATACAGACCAATCTAAATCAAACAAACCAAACTTCTGGAACTTGAGGCAGTTCAATAATAGCTGAGTCTAACTGATCATAGCCCCTGTTTTGGTTTTGATGGCAATCAAGGGACCCTATCTTGTTGCAAAATAGTCTGACTCAAAGAGGTATCCATCTTGGTAGTGAGCCTGGCAACACATGTCATAGCAATCTGGAGACACAGTAGAAGAAACACAGATTGGAAACTTTGAAAAGCCAAGCTTGCCACCCACCACTTAGGATGCCTCCAAACCAACTGTTAGCTGCTTCCGTAAGCATATTATATTATGCATTCCTTTCCCTTTCTCTTATGGGAAAGGAACACATAATATGTTTATTGCCGTCCCATTGAGGGTGGCAATTTAATGTCGTCCCTCTGTAAATGTTCAAATGGCCCATCAGGTAGTGGAAATGCACCACCTAAAGTTTTGATTGTCTTCCTAGGATTATGGGCTTGACAAGCCAAACATTGGTTGTAGACCATTTTAGCAAGCTTAGAATAGTCACCACACTAATATTTTTCATTATTTATATCATTTTGCCTACTGCTTGATGAGTTACAGAGTGCAGAACTTGTAATAAGGGAAACTTTAAGGACTCAGGAAGGGCCCCAGGGCCTCCATGAGTCCACACTTTACACTGACTTTGCATCCTTTTAAATATCAATTTTGTTTTCCAATTCAGGTACTTAGCACCATTTATTAAATAGATTGCCATAGGTAATTTAATTTGGATCAATCTTATGAAGTTCATTCAAATTGCATATCTTAACAATTTTAGTATTGGCTGACTTAATATAAAAACCTGCCAAAGCATTTCCTTGGTGTTAATATTTAATTAAGTTTTGCTCTGGCTTGATGTTGGGCTAGCAGTTTTATAAAGACAGTCAGTTTCTTCCTAAGCATTCTGGGAATTATTACCCTTCCATTGGAATTATCTTAAGGTTGTCAGAAACCTGTACTTGTCAGAGTCCTTTCCATCCTTTCCATGAACCTCCTTGGACACAAAGCACTTTTGGATTATCGATAGTTGACTGTGGATGACAAAAGACTTAACATGTCCAGTTAAAAATCTAATGAGAATTCATTATAATCAGCAATTGAAAAGAAAATTTGGTTATTTCTGTAGCATAGAACATTTTAACATAACTGAAATTATGACTGCTGCCGTATTAGATTTTTAGTAATCCCACACAATTTTTGGAACAGTCATCTTAATATCATATCCATAAAAGTAATTTAAATGTTAAACATTATTTCTTATTTGACAATGCTTCCCATATAGTTAACATATCAAGTAAGTCTACTCAGTTTAATATCTCTTTTTTTAAAAGGTGAGAGATACATCCTTTGCGATTTTCCAGGGGCCCTACTGAGAAATCACAAAGTTAATTCAAGATCAAAAAGAATTAATTTAGATTTGATTTGGGGAAGTTTGTCAAAAATGTCAAAAAGTTTAAAACACTTAAATATGACCTTGGTTATGTATTTAATCAAGATGACAATAAGGTATTTTAAGGACAAATACAGAAGTTTACATAGTTGTAGGAAAAATCTTAACTTTTTAATAGAGAAGACCCAGTTTTCTTTAGTAATCAAAGACCTAAGAAAGACAACATGAAGGACAGGAAAGTGTTTCGGTAAAACACAGAATTTTTATTTTCTGGGCCAAATGCCTAAAAGGTAAAGAAAAACCTTTCACGATTTCCTATTAAGAGCAGAAGCCAATACTCCAAGAAAACGTTCTTCTTTTAACAGAGAGGACCAAATGCTAGTTTTGCATCAGTGTACTTTTGCTATTAGCACTCAATTTTAGAAAAACAATTTCCTTCTAATTTTAGCCAACTTGATCACATATAAAATTCCTTTTATAATACGCATCTTCCACAAACCTTCTACATCTTATCCATTTAGTTTTATCCAGTCATTCTTTTCTTCCTTCATTCCTTCTGAAACCACCTCCAAACTAGATAAGACTACTCTTCCTTAACAATATAACACATCCTCATGCCTTTCTTATAACTTTCCTCACCAAAAACACATCTTACTTTTACTGTTTCCCTTATTATATCTAGTTTTAATTACCTTATATTTATTAGAATTTTAAACTATTAACTTTAATTTCTCATGGAATAAATAATTTTGAAGGGAGATGATACCATTTTATAATTTTTAGAAATGTATTTTCTCATAACACAATTTTTTATGTTTCCTAATAGACCCAAATATATTTAGCTTCTCTATACTGTATTAAAAAATGCAGAAGTATATATACTCTAAACCTATGTCCAGCAATTAATGTTCCAGTATTTTAACTTACTTAGACATTTAATAAGTATCTATTACTTAATGTAACATGACTTTAAGACATTAAGTTACTGGAAAATAACTTTGAAACAATGAATTTTGAAACAAGTTTATCCCATCCTAACAAGGGGTTGGGGTTGAGTCAAGGGACCCTTCCCCCCATCATTGTTTTTTTAAATTAACCTGTTAGATTATTGCCCTAAGTGATTTCTAGTTTGCTTATTATAATTTCTGTCTTCCTACTTTTTGAATTTCTCCAAATTGCTGTAAATAGAGGAAACTGGTTTTGGACCCTGTAATTTTGGGGGACCAGCAGGGGTCCCCCTCGTCTGTCCAGCCTTTGGTAGATTTGGCCTTTGTTTTAACCTCAGAAGTCTGTTTGACTTATCCCCTTTTATCATAAGCATCTAATGATTTTTTTCCTAAATTTGCATTTCCAAAGTGATGGCTTAAGCAAAGCTAGGTAGAACATTTATATCTCAAAGGCACGGAACTGAGACTTAAGGCTTGAATACCATCATTTGCCCAAATCAAGAAAGAAGGTCATACTTTAAGGCCTACTTAAGGCAAAATGGCCACTGTGATATTGTGATATATTGCGATATAAATTTAAACCAGTGTCTTTTCCATTTTGAGAGTTTCAAATGACTGGATCCTTCCTCTGTTCCTGGTACAGAGAGGCTGACAACTTTACGAATGTGGATTTTTTTTAATTGATGTAAATTTCTTTTACAAAAGGATTTCAAAATAGCCAGCTAAATGCCAGAAAAGTGTATAGTCGGCCCTCTGTATCTGCTTCTGCATCCATGGATTCCACCAACCATGGATCGAAAACATTCAGGAAGAAAAAAACAATACAATCGTAAAGAGTCATACAAATAAAAATACAGGATAACAATCATTTACATAACATTCACATTGTGTTAGGTATTATAAGTAATGTAGAAATGATTTCAAGTATACAAGAGGATGTACGTAGTTTATATAATACGCCGTTTTACATAGGAGACTTGATCATCTGCAGATTTTACATCTGCAGGAAGTCCTGAACTAATCCCCTGTGGATATTGAGGAATGACTGTATTTGAGAGACCAATTTAGTTCAATAGGTGGTCTCTTTGCAACTTAGCTTCTGTTTCTTAGCTAAAATTACTAATTCAGGGCAGAGCTCATTAACAAATAGGGCAAAGAAACTATTTTGTGGCCGGGCGCGGTGGCTCACGCCTGTAATCCCAGCACTTTGGGAGGCCGAGGCGGGCGGATCACGATGTCAGGAGATCGAGACCATCCTGACTAACAAGGTGAAACCCCGTCTCTACTAAAAATACAAAAATTAGCTGGGCGTGGTGGCGGGTGCCTGTAGTCCCAGCTACTCAGGAGGCTGAGGCAGGAGAATGGCGTGAACCCCGGAGGCGGAACTTGCAGTGAGCCGAGAGTGCGCCACTGCACTCCAGCCTGGGCAACGGTACAGAGCAAGACTCCGTCTCAAAAAAAAAACAAAAACATGAAACTATTTTGTGTGCCTGGATTCAGCATGGATAGCACTGAAAAAGATGAAGCCTTCCTTTATCTGAAGGTATACCTTTATAAACACTTTATCCAGCTTGCTTTTTGCCTTCTGGATGAGGTAAGTAGCTAAGCCAAAAGGTTAGCAGATTCAATTTTTCTTTCAATTAGTTGCTTCAGTTTTTTATTTGCCTTTTGCAAATAGTCTTTTAAAAGAGGCAATAAAATTTTTGAAACCTTCTTAGAAGCATCTGCACATCAATAGGCTTCCCGGGTGAGCCTAGTTCTGGAGCCCACATTTTAAAATGCACTTCTTAAAGTGCAGTGCCGTTCATTTGGAACCATCCACATAACGGCATTGTAATTTTAAATTATCTTCAGTAAGACTTTGCCTTTCAGGGCCTAATACTAATACATGTAAAGGTAGACATGACAAGAAAGTGGAGTACTCAATTCTTCCAAAGTTAAGGATCCCATTTTTATGTTGAATGTTGGCCTTGGCTCTCAGATCCCCTTAACCAGCTTAGCCAATGATTTTTCTTTACCTAAACATGCAAGAAAAAGAAATGATGAGGATAGGACACAAAATCCCTGCAAATTTCTGAAAGCTGGAGTTTGCACCCCCTTCAGTAATTGCCATTTACTGCCAGTTTCCCTTTGATTCTGTCAGACATCTGAGGCCTATAGCTGGATCCAGTCCAGTTAATTATTGGATCCAATCCAATCCTGGATCCAGTCCAGTTGCTTTCGTGACTTCCGAACCCAATTCAGTTAAAAAAAAATTGCTCATATAAACTAGGAGAGCTCTAGACACAACGCTGTGGAGTTCAGAACTCAAGAGAAAAACTAACCCATGACCTCCAGTTACAAACGAGAGCAGTGAGCACTTTGGGCTCCATGGATACCTCACCTGGTTGCCTGGTGTTCCTGGGGGTCATTGGAGTCTGACTTTGAGTCCCACTTGTGACACTAATCTCTTAAAAGAAAAACCTTAGACAAATAAGAGTTTAATAGAGCAAAGAACAGTTTGTGAATCGGGTAGCCCTCAGAAGCAGAACAGGTTCAGAAAGACTTTGGGGCTGCCACATGACTGGACACTTATGGACACAAAAAGGGAAGGATTGTACAGAAAACAGAAGTGACTTATAGAAACAGCTGGCTCACTTAGAGCTTGGAGTTCGCTAAAGCGAATAAATTTGAACCTGGTTTGAATACGTGGCCACCTGTGATTGACTGAAACTTGGCTGCCCTGATTGGCTGAGACTCAGTTATCTGTTACAAAGCCAAATTCCTAAATTAGATTTATGGTTTGTTTACAGAGTTAGGTTTTGGTTACATAAGGGCTTGAGTATGCAAATATGGAGGCTTTCTCAAATCACGTTTCGTTTAATTTAACACCTTCATAAATAGGATGGACTTAAGAGATCATCCCAACCTCCTTACTGTACAGATCAAGAGATGGGGGTCCGGAAAGCTGCTGATGTTCATGCTGTGAGTTTAACACCAGGAAACAACAATTTATCAGTAGAACTGTGTGTTAGTTTAAAGAAAGCAATGGCAGAATGGAGGCAGAACTCTAAGGAAAAATGAGGAAAGTGATGCTTAAGTAGCTAGCGGACCAACAGAAATGTCAGAGAAGAAATCATATTCTCTGTCTCATAGGCACCAGTATTTCCTGGGACTGTTTACTGAGTAGGTGCTTAGTGAAGATTGAATAAATGCCAACGTACAGAAAAGCAACACCAGAAATCAGAGAGTGACAACCACAGCCTTGTTTCTGCTGCCCAAATGTTAATGGGTTGACTTCCATTAAAAATCAAAGACAAAACAGGCAGCTACTTAATGGTTTGCCAGCCAAATAAAGAAGCTCATGCTGTGAGCAGCTAAGATAATAGTTCAAAGGAATGCTACCCAAGGAGGACAGGTAAGCAATTTCCAGATTCAGCCAAGGGTTCCAGGACTAACATAAGGATGTACAATTATAAAGAAAGACTGATGAGGACCTGCCCAAAGCATGTGGAGAAGGCCAAGAGGGGGTTAGGGGAGGTGCTGCAAATACCATGACAATAGAGACCACTGGGAACCTCAGAGAAAAGGGAAAAGGGGCATATATTTTCAATAAAATACTGACACATGTAAGAGAAAATGGAAATGTGAATTAGACATAAATTTATAGAAAAATAAAGCTAACATTATCTGCCTTTAATGCAGACATTTAAATTTCCAGCAGATGGAGATGTTACCACGTGAAAGAGAAGTTTGACAGGTGGACTCAGCTTCGCTTTCTAAAACATGATGGTTTGTTTCTTAGGAGTGAGACAAAGAGAAGACCCCTAAAATAGGTAGACTCCTGAGCTTTAAATAAATAATACTTTTTAAAAGAAACTTTAAGTGTTACCTGAGTTCCTAATTCAGAGGGTTAGCTTTTTAAATGATGAAAGCATTCGCCAGTTGTTTCCTTGTTTTAGAAGAATTTGGCAAAAATCATTTGTTTTCTAAGCTTTGTGTTTGGAAACAGAACAGAAAAGGATTCTGTTCGCCTCGTAATCAACATGTATTTGCATTACACTGCTTGCTACTTTAGGAGGCAAGGTTTCCGGGTTTTCTGTTTTTGTTTGTGCTGTCTTTTTCTTTTCTGGTCTCTAGAGATTCCTTTGCAGCCTATGGGCATAGGGTCAAGTTGTTTTCAGTTTGCTTGTGTTTTGTTTTAGGCTTCTTAGGACTTGGGCCGGATGCTTTTATCACGTTTGAAGAATGAATAGCTGTGCGCTGGAAACTACCTGCTAGGCATAACTCATTAACGTTAAAAAAAAAAACAGGCTGAGAGACTATAGAAAGGGATCTTTTTGACTGACATTGTTGTCTGGGTGAACTCAGGTGTTAGGGAAACATTTACATTATCTGCTCAGGATGCTGTGATTTGGTGATTCTCTCCAAACCAAATGGTACCCAAGAATCGGGGCTTACACGGGGTTTCACTGTAGACAGACAACGTGCCTTGAGATTTAAAGGGTATCATTTTTTTATAATTTGTTTTCCTTCCCTAGAGTCTTTTTCCTAATATGTATAAACAAAATAACTCAAAATTCATTCAAATGCATTTTCAGGAAAAAAGGAAATATGCTGTTTTAGATTTTAGTCTTAGAATAAATTCCAGGTGGAGGATGAATGGGTCAGTGGGTATGAATTATGTTGCCTGATATCTGTCTTACTTTCCCAAAAGCTGTACCAGTCATATGAAGATACAACTTTCATCCCGAACTTGCTTTATGTGCTGTCCTTAAAAAAGAGAGAAATCTTTCTTGTTGATTGTAAGTATATACAACAAAGGCTTAGAAGGAAATATTATGGTCTGGTCAGGGAATCTCAGGCATGTAGCTCAGAATCCTGGTCAGCACAGCTTAGGAAAAGCATCTTAAAGATTTTTTTCTCAGCCCAGAACCCCTCTTCCAAACTGCTCTAGGTTCAAGCAAAGGTTACCCTCCCTTGGCCAGGGGACCTCTTGCTGCCTGCCAGCCAGGGATGTCTGGATCTTCTTTTGATCTTATTTTCCCCCCTCAACCCAGAGCTATTTAATCTCTCCTGGGAGAGACAGAGGCATTTGTTATTTGGCCATCAACAGTTAACTGCTTTTGTGGTTTACACACATAAACAGAAGACAAATCAAAACTACACTCAGGATATCACACTTTCTCTGTAAAACCTGAGACTTTAACAAGAACTTACTTTACCTTCTTTCACATAAATCATCCCTTGAATTCATCCAGAAAGAGGCAATCAGTTTGCGTTTTTAACACTCTTGAGGGCTTCTTAAATTTCTGCTGCATAGCTGCTTGGTTTGTTCCCTTTAGCCTGTAGGTGATTCATTAATTTGCTCACCAAACCTATATGGAGTACCCACTAGGTGCCAGGTACTTTATAGTAGGAGAATGTGGGTGAAGTGATGGAAATTTATCCTTAGTAATGGGGAACACAGCAACTTTCATGCAGGCTTTATTGGTTTTGGGTCAGTAATGTCATCTTCATTTCCAAAGGACGGCTGATTTTTCCATCTACCAGAATGTGTTCCTTACTGAAAGGTCTTCTGTTGTTCAGCTCTTCCTGTATGCCCAGCTTTAGATGAAGGGGGGAAAAATAAAAACAAGAAAGCCAGTCCCTATAGGACAGAGTGGTCTGGTAGGAGATCATCTCAGCTACTCTAATTTGCTCACCAATTTTACTTACTTGTTTCATTCGAGTATTGATTTGATTCTTTGGAGAGAGTGTGTGTGTGTGTGTGTGTGTGTGTGTGTAGGGAGGGAGCAGGCTTTGGATGTTTGTATGGACTCAGGCATATTGAGTCCTTTTTTAAAAAAATTGTGATAATATGATAAAATATATATATATAAAAAACATAAAACTTACCATCCAATATGGTTTGGCTGTGTCGCCACCCAAATCTCATCTTGAATTGTAGCTCCCATAATTCCCATGTGTTGTAGGAGGTGACCCGGTGGGAGATAATTGAGTCATGGGGGTGGTTCCCCCATACTGTTCTCATGGTAGTGAATAAGTCTCATGAGATTTGATGGTTTTATAAGGGGAAACCCCTTTTGCTTGGTTCTCATTCTCTCTCTTGCCTGCTGCCATGTAAGACTTGCCTTTCACCTTCCGCCATGATTGCAAGGCCTCCCCAGCTGCATGGAACTGAGTCCATTAAACCTCTTTGTCTTTATAAATTACCCAGTCTTTATCAGCAGCGTGAAAATGGATTAATCCACCATCTTAACCATTTTTAAGTGTACAGTAGTGTTAAGTACATTCACATTGTTGTGCAACAAATCTCTAGCATTCTTTTCATCTTCCAAAATGAAAACTCCATACCCATTACACAGAAACTCCCCATTTCCCTTTCCCTTCAGCCCCTGGCAACTATTATTCTACTTTCTGTCTCTGAATTTGACTACTCTAGGTACCTCCGAGCAGCAGAATCATATGTTATTTGTCATTGTGTGACTGGCTTATTTCACTTAGCACAATCACCTCAAGGTTCATCCATGTTGTAGCACGTGTCAGAATTTCCTCTTTTTTTTTTTTTTAAGGCTGAATGATATTCCACTGTATGTTTATATCACATTGTGTTTACCCACTCATCCACTGATGGGCAGTTGATTGCTTCTACCTTTTGGTTACTGTGAATGATGTTCCTATGAATGTGAGCGTATTCATATCTCTTCAAGACTTTGTTTTCAGTTCTTTGAGGTATATACAAAGTAGTGGAATTGTTATGTGGTAATTCTATTTTTAAATTTTTGAGAAACTGTCATACTGCTTTCCACATGGCTATACTATTTTACATTCCCACCAACAGTATATATAAGGGTTCCAATTTATCCACATCCTTGCCAACACTTGCTATTTTCTGGGTTGTTTTTTTTTTTTTTTTTGACACAGAGTCTCGCTCTGTCACTCAGGCTGGAATGCAGTGGCATGATCTTGGCTCACTGCAACCTCCACCTCCTGGGTTCAAGTGATTCTTCTGCCTCAGCCTGTAGCTGGGACTACAGGCGCCCACCACCACACCCAGCTAATTTTTGTATTTTTATTAGAGACAGCATTTCACCATATTGGCCAGGCTGGTCTTGAACTCCTGACTTTGTGATCCGCCCACCTCAGCCTCTCAAAGTGCTGGGATTACAGGTTCCATTTTTGAGGGTGAAATAATAAATCAGAATGAGCAACATATTCTGGGCAATCCCTGAATTTTCAGATAAATAGAAACAAAGCAGGAAATGCTCACATTGGCCTTTATATATACCTACTATCAAAAACCAGACAGGATGGACCCAGTGAAATATAGGCCAAGGGCTTAAGAGAGCTCATATTACACTTTCTGTCTTTTGATGTTATCTGAGTTTCATGGCATTATCTGTTTTTGGCGAACGTCCATATGACTTTAGCTGGACAAGGAAACCAGGAAGGAAATAGGAAACCAAGATGGAAAGAAATATTTCCTTCCTTTACCCTTTTTTACTTAAAGGGTAAAAGTATTGGAAGATTCAGGATTGCATAGATAAGCTGTGGCAAGTTTGACTTTCCTTTACATAAGTCTACAGAGGCTAAATCCAATTTTGGATCTTGTATCTCCCTATGTCTACTTTGTCATATAGCCCTCCTTTGACGTCTAGCCCTCTGAACCCACAGTAACAGGCCTTGAATGTCCTTGATTTAAACTCGTGTCTGCATTTGTCAGAGCTCTGCCCTGAGGAGTAGTTTACCATATTGAGTTACCTAGCAATTTTCCTTGAATCCTGATCTACAGAGTAGAGTTGGAAGGGGAGTAGGAATAACTGGGATTACTGTCAGAAAAAAATCACATCCTTTCATCTCAAATATATTGGGCTTTCAAAGAAAATTTGTCTCTTTTTCCGGGCTCCTCAATTTTTAGGTAATTATGATTGGCTAAATCTTTTTTTTTTTTTTTTTTTTTTTTTGTACAGAGAGGGCCTTGTTCAGTCACCCAGGCTGGAGTGCAGTGACACGATCATAGCTCACTGCACCCTTGAACTCCTGATGCTCAAGGGATCCTCCCATCTCAGCCACCCGAGTAGCTGAGACTACAGGCATAAGCCACCATGCCGGCTAATTTTTTTTTTTTTTTTTTCTGAGACCATGTCGCGCTCTGTCGCCCAGGCTGGAGTGCAGTGGCACAATCTCGGCTCACTGCAAGCTCCGCCTCCCGGGTTCACACCATTCTCCTGCCTCAGACTCCAGAGTAGCTGGGACTACAGGCTCCCGCCACCACGCCCAGCTAATTTTTTGTATTTTTTAGTAGAGACGGGGTTTCACCGTGTTAGCCAGGATGGTCTTGATCTCCTGACCTCGTGATCCGCCTGCCTCGGCCTCTCAAAGTGCTGGGATTACAGGCGTGAGCCACCGCGCCTGGCAACTCATGCCGGCTAATTTTAAAATTCTTTTTGTAGAGACAGGGTCTTGCTATGTTGCCAGGCTGGTCTTGAGCTGCAAGCCTCAAGCGATCCTCCTGCACTGGGCTTCCCAAAGGACTAAGATTATAGGTGTGAGCCACTGCACCCAGACTGGTTGGCTAAATATATCCAAGAGAAAGTAGAGCATCAAGCTTTTGCTACATATTTAAGGTGAAGTCAGGGAACTGAGTCTAGGGAAAAAGCCAGTGTCACACACCTGGCTATATTTATGTTCCGTGTCAGAGGAAGGGCGGGCGACCAGGGTTCATTCCAGGTATCTGAGTCTGTAGTCACACGCTTTCCATTGAATCTGAGTATGCTTGTTAGTGGGAACTTTCACTGAAGGAAAAGAATAGTGAGTCCTTCATTAAGACTTGTGTTTATCAGTGGCTGATGATTGAACTGCAGGAGACGATGGCCTCTCAGAACACAAGAGACTCTCACAAGAAGGAAGATTAAAACTAGGTCTCTGTCCAGATCCAATAACAAAATGAAACTTGCAGGTGGCTGTTTGCAAGAACCATACAGAGGAAGGAAATAGAATAATGAGACCCTCAACAGCATTTCTAGATTTGGCTACTGAGCAGCTGGAGTCCTGAAATGCAGCCAAAATGCCGTGGAACCCATCTCCCTACTCTTCTTCCAGGGATATTTTAACTTGGCCATGTTTCTATGATAATTTTCAGAGAAAATTAAAAGAACAGGCAGCTCAGAAGGGCTCTGACGACAGCCCAAGATCAATTTACTACTTAAGAGCAAGAGAATATGCAAATGAAGCCTTGAGACCACTGGGGACTACTGCCCACCCCCAACTTTTCTGCCAGGGGTTGCCACATATTGATAAATGTCGATATTTCCATGTCTGCAATTCTTATAAAGCTTCCAAATGCAGACATTCCCCTACTTCCCTAGGCATCTAGTTTCACGGGAGAAGAGGTTAACTTTTATTGAGTGCCTGTGCTTTTACAAGCATTCTCTTATTTGATTCACAGACAAATCTTTAAGATAAGCCTTGTCATACCGATTTTGACAGGTAAGAAAAGCAAGGTTCATAGACTTACTTTGTCCAATGACACAAGCTTATTAAGTAGAAGAACTCAGATTCAAACCCAGGTAAGGACTATGCAGAGATCATCCTCTTTCTCTTTTACTTGTATGCCTTTCAGTAGATTCTCCAGTGTGCTAGGTAGTTTGTCTAAAGGCCTAACCATCATCCTTCCTGCCACATTTCTTTGAATATAATTACATTTTGAAGGTTCTAATGAACCCTGAGGGCCTTGGCTATGGAACCATAATGCTGGCAGCAGCTAGTTCTGCAGAGCATCTCTGTGTCTCAGAGAGCTTGAGAGGAAAGCTACACCTCATTTAACTCAATGGCCACCATCCAAATTGTCCCACGGTCAAGAAGCGGGCTGCTTTTCATGTGTCTTCTGTACACACCCTTTGTTCTTCCTTTTTGTCTTTTCCCATCCTTTCCCTTCAAATACCACCAAATACTGTTTCAGCCTGAGGTTTCAATTAGGTTCTGGCACGATGAGCTCATGCCACACTTTGTGTGGCCACGACAAGAACATCCTTCCCAGCGCTTCCTTTGAGAGGGAGCCGGGACTGCTGAATTTGCTTTTCTTGCAGCCACAAGGGAACCTCCGTTTCTCATTTGTTCAAATCCTTGTTTGTCTTTGGGGAAGTGAAATGCTTGCATTTGATTGTGATTGGGATGGATTGACGTCTTTTAAAGTCCTGGGGAGGAATGAAAGCCAAGCTTACTCAGGGGGATTATGCCCCCTGCGTTCAGTTCCAGTTGAATGTGGAGGGCTGCATTCGTTTGGTAAATAGTGGTGGAGGGGCCCGCCCCTGCCTTTTTCTCTCGGTGGTTGTGCATATTTGGACAGAACGTGTTCTGCCTACAGAGAGGGCCTGAAATAGTCTCTCAGCAAATAACTGCGGCCTGAATGGGATGAATGAATGAGGCTGGCAAGTTTCTTCAGGGTCACAGTTTCCATCTTTTGGTAAAAATGATCACTTTCCATACTTGCCATGTAAATCCAATGAGCCTTCATGCAGGAATAAACTCACCACGCTACCAGGGAGAGAGGTGAGCCTTGGTTCCCAGGCCCTTGTAGAATCTCAGGGAAAAGGCTGGAGTCTGGTTGGTGGAATCAGCCCCTTACCCGTGTCCTTTGTGTCTGTCCCTGTGTTTGTGCGTGAGCAGATGGCTCCTACTCTGTCTGGCTTCCTATTTATTTTGTTTTGAAAGCTCCTGGGTGTCTGGGATTGTATCTATTCATCCCCCTCTGTACAGAGGCATGTAAATGAGATTGTTAATTCAATTGAGCAATTGATTAAGCTGTTTTTAGTGTGCTTAGCACTGTCCTAGGCACAGCAGGGAGGCATGAAAGAAGCCCCAGAGGAGTCTCTATCTGTGACCTTGAGCAGCTCCAGGGCCTTCCGGAGCCTCCTATTCTCATCCGTAAAGTGAGAATGTCAGACAGACTAGCTGATTTCTATAAGGAGTCTTCCTGCTCCAAGGTTCTCCGATTGAGGCAATCACTAAGATGGAATGATATGAAATCAGATAAAAATTAAGACCCATTGTAGTTAAGAATATAATTGAGTTACATAGAAAAATGTGTTATTTGGTTGTATCCAGAGTACGGTTGCTTGTAAATAATACAGGATGCCCAGTTAAATGTGAATATCAGATACACAATATTTTTTTTTTTTTACCATATTTAGTAGAAGTATGTCCCATTCAATGTGTGCTGCATATCTGAGATATTTAACTGAGCATCCTGTATTTATTTGGCAGCCCTAATCCAGAGAGATGGTGCAAACTAGACACTTAAAGGTGGGCTTCCCCTCTGGGCTGTCATACACTCTGTTGTCCAAACACATTTGTCTTTTTTTTTTTTTTTTTTTTTTTTGAGACGGAGTTTTACTGTGTTTCCCAGGCTGGAGTGCAGTCGTGCAATCTTGGCTCACTGCCACCTCCACCTCCTGGGTTCAAGCGATTCTCCTGCCTCAGCCTCCTGAGTAGCTGGGACTACAGGCAAGTGCCACCACGGCCGGCTAATTTTTGTATTTTTAGTAGAGACGGTGTTTCACCATGTTAGCCGGGATGGTCTAGATCTCTTGACTTGGTGATCCACCCGCCTCAGCCTCCCAAAGTGCTGGGATTACAGGCGTGAGCCACAGTGCCTGATTGGCCTTTTCACTCCTCCTCCTCCTGCCGCAGAGCATGTGCATAGGCTGGTGCTACTGCTTGGGATGTCTTCCTCCCTACTCCTCCTTCACAGAGCTAACTCCTACTCATCCTTCAGATTTCAGTTCAGTTCAGAAGTCACTTCCTCAGTAAAACCTTTCCTGATACCCTGGACTAAGTCGTTTCTCTATTGTATATGCCCTGGGAGACTTTGCCATCACAGCACTTGCTACAATTTGGCGTTTATACAGTTGCTTGCATTTTTGTGTATTTAATAAAATTAATGTGAGTCCCTCTGACATCTCCACCCGCTTCTACTCAGCACTAGACAGATATTTCTGAACAGATGTCAGTATGAAAGGCTTCCCAGGAGTCGTAGGTCTGGAGCTCAATGCTGAAGGTGGGTTTGTGAAGGCAGATTGGAGAACCAAGGATAGTCTGGACAGGTGAATAGAAGAAACAGAGCCACTGAGGTGGGAATGCCTTTGCTGTGTTTCTGTAACAATGAGGAGAACCATTGAGTAGTTACAGGCCCAGTTGAAGAGGGCGGTGTCCTTGAAACCTGCCTTAGGAGTCGGATGCGGATATTCTGAGGATGGTGAAGGACCGGATGGCTGTGAGGAGAGGAGTAACATGATGAAACATGTTGAAAGTCACTTGTTAGTGGGTTTTATTAAACCCCAAAACGGGGAGCTCAGTAGCCAAGAGCCCTCTGGGAGGCTGCTAAGGGACATGCCGTGAAGGTGACAGAGGACATCCAGTCTAAAAGTCCCCACTGAGCTCCACTGCCCCCCAGGTGCAAAGCCTGTGCTAAGCATGGCAGCTCACAAGGACTGGGCAGAGGCACAGACAATTCTCACTCATTGGTTTCTGCAGTCAAAAGTTGAGACTGGCCGGGTGCTGTGGCTCACACCTGTAATCTCAGCACTTTGGGAGGCCAAGGTGGGCAGATCGCTTGAACTCAGGAGTTCGAGACCAGCCTGGGCAACATAGTGATACCCCACCTCTACAAAAAATACAAAATTAGCTGGGCATGATGGTGCATGCCTATAATCCCAGCTACTCAGGAGGCTGAGGCAGGAGAATCGCTTGAACCCGGGAGGCAGAGGCTGCCAGTGAACTGAGATCACGCCACTGCACTTCAGCTTGGGCCACAGAACAAGCCCCTGTCCCCCGACTCCCAAAAAAAAGATGGTGCGAGCTGGGGTTCCTTGGAGTTTTCCCCTGAATTCCTGGATGATGTCATACCAGAACATTCTTTTGCTGAAGCCATCAAAACTCTCTTCCTGCTACAACCTTCCTTTTCCAGTGTCTCCCAAGTCTGCTTCTCAGTGTTTTGAAGAGAGACACACACACACACACACACACACACACACACACACACAAACACAGACTTTGTTGAGCACATGGCCTGTTGTTCAGGCGTCGGGATTCGCTGAGTGGACCCACGCATTCAAGTGCCAGCCTTTTCCACCTGATGAACCCGTGTGCTTTTATCGCTGTTGAGTGCTTTGGCCGTGTACCAATAGACTCTGAATGAAACGTGTGGATGTGCACACACATATCTACATATACATGTATACATACATGTAGACACATGTATATACATACACACATATGCCCTATAAATACATACTCTGATACACCCACATATCTATACCATATGTACACATGCATACATAATATACACATATGCATGTACACACATAAAACATGTACATGCGTACATATGCACACACACACACACATACCTATACGTATACATACCTATTTTACTGAGATGGTAATAGCAGGGGATAGGAAGTCAAGCCGTCCTCCCCTGGGTATTGCCTGCAGAGGTGCTACCACTTCCTCTGCCTCTGACTTTCTCTGGTTTCCAAGACCTTTACTTTATGTGGCAGTTTGTACCAGAATTCCCTTCCCTGACTTCCTTCTCAAAGCTCTCAACAGCCTCAGTTCCTGACGGGAGAAACCCCAGCCACATCATCTTGCTGGAGGATACGTATCTATTCTGTGTTTTAACACATATATCCGCTCAGATAGTTAGACATTTTCCAAAGCTGTAAAACACCGGCCATGACCTCCCGCTTCTGCTGAAGCTGTCAAGCCGCTTTCTTGACAGTTGGCCAGACTGGCTTACTACTGGCAGAACCCCTTTCCAACTTACTTTTTATTAAATATAACATTTTAAGATGTAACACAACATGTCACACAGCATGAAGAGTTTTGAACGGCATGGTGCCTTTTCATAATGGCATTTGTTTTCAGTCGTTTTTTCCTGCTTTGGATTTAATGTGACATGAGAGAAATAGGAAACATTTCAGAAAAAGGTTGGGTAACTTGGACAAGGTTCACTTAGCCAAATCCCATGAAACTATGTGTCTAGGAACTTTCTACGAACAGGAAGCTACTGCTGTTCCCTGTTCAGGTTTTAAGTGTGCAGGATGCAAGCTGTGGCACTTCCCAGGACTCTAGACAAGTTTTGCTCATTCTTTCTGTGAGAACAATGGTCTTGCATGACCTGGACTGCTGGTTTACCTCTGCAGCCTCACCAGGTATCAGCTTGTGCTTTCTACTTCAGCGATGAGGAATGTCTCCCAGCATCTTGTGTGCTTCGTGGTCCTGGCCTTTGGATATATCTCTGCCTGGAATGTTCCTCCTTCCTCCCCTCCCCTTCACATAATAAACTCCTTCTCCTCTTTCACAGCTATAATTTCACATTTATTTGTGTGACTAGTTAATTCATACCTGTCTTCCCCATGAAATTGTAGTTGCAGGAGGTCAAGGACCTGGTCTCTTTTTAAAATTATTTATTTGGTACTTACTATACTGTCTGGAATAAGATCCTCAATATGTATTTGCTGAGTAAACGAATCCATGAATGAATAAATGTTGATTGTCCCATAAGGGCAGGGACTCTGTCTTAGTAATTTGCTTATTTCTAGATCCTTGCACAGTGCCTGGCCTACAATAGGTGCTCAATAAACATCTGGTGAATGAACAAGCATTGCTTCATACATGGCACCATGCCAGGCACTGTCCTTGACCTTGAGAGGGTGAGCATTTGCTTAGGGAGAGAATATGTACTCAGAGGAAAGAATTAAGAGTTTAATCGGGCACTGAAGGTAGCATTCTAAGTCAAATCTGAATTTGAATCCTGGTGGCTCTACCACTCTCTAGCAGTGTGGGTTTTAGCAAGTTACTTAACCTCTCTGAGCCAAAGGTTTCTCATCTGTAAAATGGGATAGTAATAGTGTCTACTTCTCTAAGAGTGATATGAACTAATACATATGCAGTGTCTCACACAGTACTTGGTACAATGCAAGCACTCTAGCCAGGTTGGGTGTCATTATAATCAATTTAGGAAATCTCTGTGCAATATTTTAAGTGTGGTGAGGTCATTGACAAACAGTATGACTCTAGACAAGTATTTTCACTTTTCTGGGTGTCAGTTTTCTACTGTGTAGTATGAAAGGATTGGGTGGGGTCTTTCCAGCTGTGATGGTCCATGTAGTGCAGAGATAGCAAGATTAGTAGGATATCTTACTTATTAGTAGGATTAGTGGCTATGACAGAGGAAGCTTCCAGAAGTCACATCTGCAAGGTCAGGTAGAATTTATTTAGGCAGAGAATAGAATGTGGGACACGCCAGCCTGGGGAACAGTGTACAAAACCATGGTGGTGGAGAAGGAGCACAGGGCATTTGGGGAAGAGGTGATGGTGGGAGGGTGGTTCTTTAGGAGTGGTGGGAAAGGAGGAGTATAAAGCTACAACAGGTTCTTGAAGGGAGGGTGACCTGAAGAAGGAAGGTTTGGGGAATAATATAGCTTGAGTCAGACAAATGGGGAGAGGGCAGGAAACTTGGAGTCAGGGAGATCAGCTAGGAGAATGTGTAGCTTCTAACACAGGCTGATGAAGGCCTGAGCTGGGATTTGGCAGAAGGAGTGAAAGGGAGGAGGAGAACTCACAATGAATAAATGACATAGCTTGGTGGTAGAGCCAATAATAGGGATTGAAAGAGGTTTCTAGAATGTTTGTTACCATTGACAGAGATGCATCCTTGTCCTTGAGAAAATTGGGTTGCGCTCTAGAAATGTGCATTAGTGATTGGCAACCCAGCAGAAGATTGAAAGCTGGCAGCCAGGGGGTGCAGAAAGAGGGAACAGAAGCAGAGGTTGACAGCCACCTCCCATGTCCAGCACCAGGGCAGACCCATGCAGTTCTGCACAGGTTTCATGCAGCTGATGGGAGTAGGCCAGGGGATTGGGTAGGAGACAGGGGCATGGTGTTAGAAATCCAGAACAGAAACAGAGGCAACTTTCTGGGCCATAGGAGGGAGGCTTCCTTTATTTAACTGGCTGCCCTAGGGGAAGCAGAAAGTCCCCAGGCCCCCATGAGATCCAAGCAGGATGGGAGTAGGTAGGTGATCTGGCCTGCAGCAGGTGACTTTGTTGGGGAGGTATGCCCCAGTGGTGCCATAGCTGTAGCCCATTGGCAGCACAGCACAGCAGTGGGAAGCTCTGCTTGGAGTATCTTTGGGTTCCAGAGTGGAGTAGTGAGGTGGGGGGTGCAGTGGTAACAATGACATTTCAATCACGTGGACCTGTTTACAGCTGAGCTCTACCACTTACCAACCATGTGGTTGTGACCAAGTCACTAAGCTTGTGTGAGCCTTAGGTTCCTTGTCCTCCGTAGGCAAGGATTGGCTGAATTAATTTATATAAAGGGTCTAACATATAGTAGGTGCTCAAAAAACACTAGACATATAAAATTTACAAAAGGTAGGACTAAGCCAGTTACATCCTAATGCCTGCTAAATCCAAATGCAGCTAAAAAGGGAAGAGAAGTTCCTGTCTCCTCTCTGTTTTCTGCACAGCATAGACCATACCTGACAGATCAAAAGGAAACTTCCTCCTTGCAAGGCCTCCTGATGGCTGCAGTCTTCACTGTCTAGCTTTCAAGTATAAAACTAACCTTTCATTTAAGTAGCCAAACATCAATTTTTATGTTAGCTATGGCAGTGCATTCCCAGGGTGTCAGCTAGTAGGCTGGTTACAAGCGAGGTCTCCTTTCTCTATCCTAGTTCAGAAGCATCAGTTAGAGCAGAGGTTCTCCAGGTGTGGCTCCCGGACCAGCAGCACTGGCATCACCTGGGAACTTGTTAGAAATGAACCTTCTTGGGCTCCATACTAGACCTACTGCATCAGAAACTCCAGGGAGTGGGGTCCATGTCCATCAGCCTTTGTTTTAATAAAAGACCCCCAGGTAATTCTGATGTACGTTAGAGTTTGAAAGCCACTGAATCAGAGTGTTGTGGAAAATTAGAACTGTGTTTAAGTATGAGCAGTGCTAAGAAGACTATTGATAGAAAATTGAGCCAATGATTTTTTTTCAGGGTTTAAAAGGGATGTTTTTGTGTGTGATGACACCTCAGTAATGCTGCAGAAAGAAAAACAAAATAAAAATTTAAAAAGAAATTTTTGTTCACTGTTTCTAATCCGGATACCCAAGCCTATTAAAACAGTCAGTAAAGTAAGATTCAGTAGGGCACTTCTAAAGTTTCTAAAGGACATTGCCTTTAGAAATGCCCTTTAAAATATGTTCAGTATTAACTTCTAAAGTTTAAATTCCAAGTGTGGGATGGAAGGTTTGGGGTATTAGGCAATTGATAAGCTGTGTGTTTTTGCATTTAAGCTTTAATAATGGAAAGCGCCCAAAACCTTTTCTTTTTCAGAACAGGAAAAGCTAAGACTTAGTCTCACCCCTCTTCTGACTTTTTCAAAACAGTTTTCTAATTCCAGAGAAGAGCCTGAGCTCTGAGAATCATTCTCCTCATCTTATTTTCCATAACTTTGTCCTGGAAAATGCAGTCTGGGGGAAAGCATTTTAAATAGTAATCATCTGAGTCTAGTCCAGAATTTGGAATCCAAGGGCAGGCGGATACTTTGTCATAAACAGGAGCAATAATACGTAGATAATGCAGTCAGTGGAGGAAAAGTCTGGCGCTGCTGTGGCTCTGACTGCTCCTGGATTAGTTACTAGACCAAATGCTGCAAACTGGTCCATTGCTTTGCTTTGAGCAAGCACCTTATTTTATTTAACCCCTGCATATACACTTAAGACATTGTATCCACATGTTTCTAATTCATTTACACTTCACTCATCAGCATCTGTTGGGTAAGCACCCTGTCACCTCCAAGTTTTATGAGCTGTGTTTACTAGGCTGCAATTCTTGAACAGGGATATCGTATATTCCACAAAAAAAGAAAAAAAAAAAAAGAACTTGAGCCTGGGAAGTGAGGACTTCAGTGCTCAACTTGGAGTGAACTTGTGAAGTTTGAATGGATCTGCAACTAAGCACAGATGTTCCCTATTCTCCAGGAACAGCTTCACATGTTTATGCACAGAATCTCCTCTTTTCGTACCTGAGTTTTTCTCTCCACTGAAATGACAGTGGGAGAATGTGCAATTGTGGGAAAAGCTTGAACCTCGTTTCCTTCCACTTTTTGTCCCCTCCCATCCCTCCCAAAGTCTCTTCTTGGTGACTGAGAGCAAATGCAAACCTATGCAGTAGCAAAGCTCCCTAAAATCCAAAACCTCAACACTTTAGCAATATTTTGCTTCCCTAGAAGGCAGCATTCCCTTTTGCAAGTTTCTTCCACTTAAGCAAAATTCCTAAGAATACAGCAAGAAGTTTTGTAGTTTTTTGTTGATTTTGAATAGAGATGGGAGGGACCTCCCATTATTAATAACTGCACAGAAGGATTTTGTTTCTAAGAACCTGAATTGTTAGTGTTATTTTCTAGATTTTTTTAAAAATTGGTTTTTATTTTCTATTCCACGTTATGTGTGTACATGTTTTATAGAGTCAAATAGTTCTAAAAGTTTGCCTCTTCCCTAATCTTTCCTATTCCTCAACCATTTTAGCTGTTCTTTTGATTTTTACCTTATCTGTAAATAATACTTATATTGTTAATTCTGGGTTTTTACATTTCACATTTGTTCTGTTGAAAATGAAGATCTTCATGAAACAACAGGTGCTAGAGAGGATGTGGAGAAATAGGAACGCTTTTACACTGTTGGTGGGAGTGTAAACTAGTTCAATCATTGTGGAAAACAGTGTGGCGATTCCTCAAGGATCTAGAACTAGAAATACCATTTGACCCAGCGATCCCATTACTGGGTACATACCCAAAGGATTATAATTCATGCTACTATAAAGACATATGCACACATATGCTTATTGCAGTGCTATTCACAATAGCAAAGACTTGGAACCAACCCAAATGTCCATCAATGATAGACTGGATTAAGAAAATATGGCACATATACACCATGGAATACTATGCAGCCATAAAAAAGGATGAGTTCATGTCCTTTGCAGGGACATGGATGAAGCTGGAAACCATCATTCTGAGCAAACTGTCTCAAGGACAGAAAATCAAACACCGCATGTTCTCACTCATAGGTGGGAATTGAACAATGAGAACACATGGACACAGGGAGGGGAACATCACACACTGGGGCCTGTCGTGGGGTGGGGGGATGGGGGAGGGATAGCCTTAGGAGATATACCTAATCTAAATGACAAGTTAATGGGTGCAGCACACCAATACGGCACATGTATACATATGTAACAAACCTGTTAAAGTATAATAATTAAAAAAAAAAAGAAAATGAAGGTCTTGCCCTCTTTCATTATCCTCTCCCTAGACCTCACCATGGATACACACTCCCCATCCTGCACCCTCTCAATATAATTATTGTAATTTAGCTTAGATTAATAACCATTGCTTACAGTATGATGACTATGTACATGCACTTCACACTGGAGCCATGTGATATACTCCCTTAGGTCAGATTTCCAGAGCACTGATCCTAAAGCAGAGATTTGTGCCCAGTGTTCCTTGGGGCACAACACCTGTGATGGATGTGGGAGGCAGGATTGGACAGAGGGGAAGTTGGGCTGTGATGCAGTCACACCAAGGCCTCAGCTTGTCTTACAGGAAGCTCTGAGCAGGGAGAGCCCTGAAGAGTTACCAGCAATTGAGACAGGGTGGGCCTTTGTACCAGAGGACCAGTTGTTAGATGGAGCTGTCCCTGGAGAGGAGGCTTAACCTTGAGGGAGGCAGCTCCCTCAGGCACAGCGCAAGCTCCAGAAATAAACACCTATGAGCCAGCTCCTAACTGCTGGGGGGTGTGACTGACTGGATTGGCAGGTAGGGGTAGGTTATCTGGGCACCATAGTGAAGCATCCACTACATATGCCGTGATTATATTTCCTTTCCTGAAATCTGACTTTCCCTGTTGTTGATTAATACCTTTTGGTTTTTAGTTTGCCTACTTTTCTATATGTACTTCATGCTAATTCAACTCAAGCTCTTCTAAATTGTGTACATCATCTTTCAGTAGCTTCATGTCTCAATATCTTGAAATCTCAATATCTCAAAATGTATTGGGTATTCTACGCATTTCGTCTTGAAGAATTCTCTCCTGGAACTCTCTGACCTGCTCTAGTCTTTTCCTAGTGTACAGCTGTCTTGTTGGGATCTCCTTTCTTCCTAGTCCTGGCCATTCTCTTTGCTTCTTTTTTGGCTTAGATATTCTATCTCCTGGATCCCACACGTTCTACTTTCTTGTTTTACTCCTTTATTGTGGTAGTCTACATCCTCCAATAAGGGTGCATGACAGGTAAATTGCGTGAGAATTGCATTTCTGAAAATGCTTTATTTTCTCCTAAGGATTGATAATTTGACTAGATATAGAATTCTAATTTTGAAATGGCTATGCCTCAAAAATTATAAGGCATTACTCAATTATTGTTCAGCCATCAAAGTTATTGTTGAGAAATCCAATACTATTTTGTTTCTATTCAGGGTGCTTGTATTATCTTTTCTTTGTCCCAGTGTCTTGAAATTTCAAGTGATGTAACCTTCATGAGGGTTTATTTTTATCTATTTATTGGGAGACACTTCTTCATGGGTCTCTTGTACTCTTACAAGTCTTTGGAGTATACCAAGAATGCAAGGCCCTGACCACCCTAAAATTGGATTATTTCTCAGGCTTGTATTTGCAGTGAGCAACCTTGAGGGGTAAGATAAGTCTCCTTTCGGGACAAATAGTAGGGTTGCTTATTGCTTTCAATAAAAGCAGTAGATCTCTCAACTTCAGTGTTCCCCAGCTGCAATACAAAACCACTGTATATGCAGTATCCATGGGCCCTGCCCTTATGCATTGCCCCTATGGGACTTGGGGGCAAGGGAAACTGACACATACTAATGCTCATGCTGCTTGCTCTTTTTTATCTCTCACTCAGAAATCTTCTATCTTCTGTTTGTATCCATGAAACAGTAACAGGATAACTTATTGATTGTAAGTAGGGAAAGATCAAATCCCAGTCCTGACACCATTTTCCTGGGCACTTGATAGACTCCTGCAATCTGGAAACAGAAATTGTCTTATTTATTTGATGATTTCCTGTGAATCTAGAAAACTAATTACTTCTTTTCCTTTTTGTAAAATCACAACTTTATTGAAATAAAATTCATATATGATAAAAGTCACCAACTTAGTTGTTTTAGTATATTCACAATTATATAACTATTATCATGATATGATTGCAAACATTTTCCTTATCCTAAGAAGGAAGCTGATACCTATTAGCAGTCACTCCACATTATCCCCTCTCTTCAGGCCCTGGCAACCACTAATTTACTTTCTTTCTCCATGGATTTGAATATTCTGGGTATTTCATGTAAATGGAATTATGCAATATGTGGCCTTATATGATTTGCTTCTTTTACTTAGCATAATGTTTTGAAGATTTATCAATGTTATAGCATATATCCATACTTTAATGCTTCCTGTTGTCAAATAATATTCCATTGTATGGATATACCACATTTTGTTTGTCCATTCACCAGTTGAGAGACATTTCAGTTTCCCCTTTTTAGCTATTATGAATAATGCTGCTGCTATATCTGAATGTTAGTGTCACCCCAAAATTCAAATGCTGGAACCTAATACTCAATATGATATCATTAAGAGGTAGGACCTTTTGGAATTAAGTCATGAGGGCTCCAATCTCATTAATGGGATTAGTACCCTCATGAAAGAGACTTGAGTAAGCTCCCTTGCCTCTTCTGATATGCGAGGATAACAGCAACAAGGTGCCATGAAGCAGGCAGAGCCTTCACCAGACACTGAATCTTTTGGCACCTTGATGTTGGACTTCCCAGCCTCTGGAACTTAGAAATAAATTTCTGTTGTCTTCTCTTTCTTTCTTTTCTTTCTTTTCTTTCCTTTCTTTTCTTTCTTTCTTTTCTTTGCTTTTCTTTTTTGACAGAGTCTCTCTCTGTCACCCAGGCTGGAGTGCAGTGGCATGATCTCAGCTCACTACAACCTCTGCCTCCCGGGTTCAAGCAGTTCTCCTGCCTCAGCCTCCTGAGTTGCTGGGATTACAGATGTGCGCAACCATGCCTGGCTAATTTTTGTATTTTTAGTAGAGATGAGGTTTCACCATGTTGGCTAGGATGGTCTCAAACTCCTGACCTCAAGCAATCCACCCACCTTGGCCTCCCAAAGTGCTGGAATTACAGGCGTGAGCCACCATGCCCAGCCTTTTCTGTTGTTTATAAATGACATAATCTAAGATGTTTTGTTATAGCAGCCCAAACAAACTAAGCTGTTATGAATAGTTATGTACACATTTTTATATTAATGTAGGTTTTCATTTCTTGTGAGTATAAACCTAAAAGCAGAATTGTTGGGTCATGTGGTAGCTCTATGTTTAACATTTTGAGGAACTGCCATATATTTTAGAGTCCCACTAGCATGGTAGATATGCAAAGTTATCCCACTGTCATTTGTTGCAAACAGTATTTTTTCCCTAATGAATTGTCTTGGCACCTCTGTCAAAAATCAATTGTCCATAAATGTAAGGGTTTATATCTAGACTCTTAAGTTCTATTCCATTGATCTATGTGTTTAGCCTTATGAAAATACCACACTTACTGTTGATTCGTAGTAAGTTTTAAAATCAGGAAATATGAATCCTCCAGCTGTTTTTCTTTGGTCCCTTGCATTTTTGTGTGAATTTTAGGATTACCTTCAGAAAAATAAGAGGGCATTTGGTAGTTTGTATTGAATCTGTAGATCAATATGGGGGAGTTTGCCATCTTAACAATGTTAAATCTTCAGATCCAAGAAAATGTGATATCTTTCCATTTGTTTAGATCTTCCTTAATTTATTTCAACAATATTTTGAGGTTTTCAATGAATAAATCTTCTTTAATTAAACTTGTTCTTAAGTATTTTTATTCTTTTTAATGCTGTTGTAAATTGAATTCTTTTTCAAATTCATTTTCAGAGTACTCATTGATAGTAAATAGAAATACAATTAAGAGGTAGGGTCTCACTATGTTGCCCATGCTGGTCTCGAACTCCTGGCCTCAAGTGATCCTCCTGCCTTGGACTCCCAAAGTTACAGGTTACACGCATGAGCACCGTCCCTGGCCCTCAAAGTATTTTCTAATTTTCCTGTGTTTTTTTTTTCTTGATTATTTAGGAGTATGTTGTTTAATTTCCATTATTTAAAAAGTTACCAAATTTTTTTCTGCTATTTTTAATTTCATTCAATTGTGGTCAGAGAACATACTTTTCATTATTTTGATATTTTAAAATTTATTAAAGTTTATTTTATAGCCTAACATTTATTCCCTCTTGGAGATGTTTCATGTGCACTTGAGAAGAATGTGTATTCTGCTACTGTTGGGAGGAGTATTCTATAGCTAGCTGAGTCTAATTGCCTTATAGTATTGTTCAAGTATTTGCTATCTTTATTGATCTTCTATAGATGTCTCAGTCTAATTGGTTTATAGTGTTGTTCAAGTATTCTATTTCCTTATTGATCTGCTGTAGATATCTAAGACTAATTGGTTTATAGTGTTATTCAAGTATTTCCATATTGATCTTCTGTCTCATTGCTCCATTTATTATTGAAAGTGGGATATCAAAGTTTGAAACTACCGTTGTATTATTGTCTATTTCTTCTTTCAGTTCTCTCAGGTTTGTTTGGTGTGTGTGTGTGTGTGTGTGTGTGTGTGTGTGTGTGTGTGTGTGTGTGTGTTTGAAATGGAGTCTTGCTCTGTCACCCAGGCTGGAGTGCAGTGGCATGATCTCGACTCACTGCAACCTCCGCCTCCCGAGTTCAAGCAATTCTCTTGCCTCAGCCTCCCAAGTAGCTGGGATTACAGGCACATGCCACCAAGCCCGGCTAATTTTTGTATTTTTTTTTAATAAAGATAGGGTTTTGCCATGTTGGCCAGGCTGGTCTCGAACTCCTGATCTCAGGTGATCAGCCCACCTTGGCCTTCTAAAGTGTTGGGATTACATGCATGAGCCACTGTACCCAGCCTGTCAGTTTTTACTTTATGTATTTTGGGGCTTGGTTGTTATGTCTTCCTGATGGATTGACTCTTTTATTATTATAAAATGTACTTTTCTCTAGTAACAATTTTTGTCTTAAAGTCTACTTTGTCCAAAATATTAGTAGAGCTACTCTAGCTGCCTTTTGCTTTTATGGAAGAGTTGATTTTCAGAGGCACTGATAACCATTCTGGAAAGCAGAACCTCTAACTACTTCTTACAACTCTTAGAGATAGTTGTCCCGGTTTTAGGTCTGCTTTCTCCCCCATTTCCAAAGTTACCTTTTGGAGACTCCGTAATGCTGCGTAGCTTTGCTGCTTTTATTGCTGCTTAGGATCAGCTTTCTTGGGTCGGCTAAGTCATTACAATGAGTCCTTCTGCTTTCCGGTTTCCTAAATTTTGTAACCGTTAACTCCTTTTCTATTTTCTTTTTCTTTTGAGTTTATTACTTTTTAAAAACTCTTCACTATTATATCAATGGCTTTTCCAAGGAAACAAAATTCAAGAGTGATTTAAATCTTTAACTTGTATTCGAGTGTAAACTTTTAGCTTTTAGTTGCTTTACTCTTAGTAACCTAAATTTTCTTGTATAGTCACCAGCATTTTTTTTTTTCATGGTCAGAGGGCTTTTAAATATCAGGGCTCCAAATACCGGGTAATATCCTAAATTTAGAGTACCTATATTTGGGGTTGTATTATCTTTTAAATTCAGGCGTGGGATCTGAATATCTTTGATTCAAAATAAGAGTCAGCTGCTTCCAAGTCGGCTCACTGATTGATTTTCCTTAGAGCAATGATTCCCAAACTTGACCATGTCCTAGACCTCATCCCCAGAGTTTCTGATCCAGGATGTCTGGGGTGAGGCCCAAGAATTTGCATTTTCAGCAAGTACGCAGGTGATGCTGGTGCTGCCAGTCCCAGGACCACAGTAGGAACCACTGCTTTAGTGTGTGGACAGGATGCTAGGTGAAATGTTCCTTTTGGAGGCAGGGAGGACATTCAGGAAACAGATGAGGACAAAGAAGGAGAGAAACAGAAGTTTGTGCCCACTTCCTCTTGCTCCCAGCTTGTGGCAACCCTTGTGTTTTCCCACTTTCCCTGCACCAACAAAACCTGACAAAATCTGCTTAGAGAAGAGTCTCCTGGCATCAGAATTGTACTTTACTTAAAGGCAAAAAAAAAAAGAATAAAGTGAATATCCATGCAAAACCTTAATTTGAAACCCTTCAAAGGTTGTTGTTGTTGTTTTTGAAATGGGATCTTGCTCTTGCTCTGTCATCCAGGCTGGAGTGCAGTCGTACAGTCACAACTCATTGCAGCCTCAAACTCCTGGGCTCAAAGGATCCTCTCACCTCAGCCTCCTGAGTAGCTGGGACTACAGGCGTGCACCCTCACGCCCACCTAATTTTTAATTTTTTTGTAGAGACAGGGTCTCATTATGTTGCCCAGGCTGGTCTTGGACTCCCGGGCTCAAGCAATCCTCCTGCTTCAGCCTCCAATAGTGTTGGCATAACAGACATGAGCCACTGTGCCCGGCCCAAATGCATTCTTATGAGGAATTTTAAAGGAGGTGGGGGCTGGGGGCAGAGGCTTATGCCTGTAATCCTAGCACTTTGGGAGGCCGAGGCAGAAGGATCACTTGAGACCAGGAGTTTGAGACCACCCTGGGCAACATGGCAAAACCCCATCTCTACAAAAAATACAACAATTAGCTGGGTGTGGTGGTGCATACCTGTAGTCCCAGCTACTCGGGAGGCTGAGATGGGATGACGGCTTGAGCCTGGGAGGTCAAGGTTGCAGTGAGCCAAGAACGCACCACTGCACTCCAGCCTGAGTGATAGAACAAGACCCTATCTCACACAGACACAAGGGTTGGGGGCAGTGGGTAGGAAGTCTATGCAGGGTCTAGAGAAGTCATTACATAATTTTATGAGAAGAACTAGGGTGTTCTCTAAGGCAACAGGATGCCAGGTAGTTTTGTTAAGAAGTCCCTTGTCCTCAGGTTTATTTATCTCCTAGCTGCAGATCGGAGAAGGTGGACCCAGTGTCCCCAGTGTCTACTGGTGGGAGGAGCCCAGAGTTAAGGCCATTCCTCTGGGTTCCTTTCTTGTGGCCATTCGGAGATTCTGCTGTAATTGTCTCACGTTTAGCTTTTTTTTTTCCCCCCCCCTCAGAATGTTCTTCTGCAGTATGGTTGCAAATATTGAGGAATAAAATTCTGGCCCCAAAAGATAGTATCTCAAAAGATACAGATAGTTGGGAGGAAGCCAAGAGAAGTGAGGACCCAAAACCCTTGCCCAGATGAGGCTGCCTTTCACAAACACTTGGATTACTTACAATGCAATGCACCTGGATAGTTCTAGCGCTTCAGAAAGTGAGGAGCTGGGGAGAGAGGGAATGGGGTCTTGGTAGATGAAATGAGAAAGCAAGTTGTAGGAGATGAATTTTGCCTCCAACTTGTCACTTCCTTTCTTAAGCCTGTTTTTTAATCTATCAAATGATGATTTCGTTTGAAATAAATCCCAGAGGTGATTCCATCTTGGTATTCTTTTATTTTTTCCCCCAAATCACCTCTTACATCTTTTGGGCAGCCAAGGAAAGAAACCAGGTCTCTTGACTTCTAAGATAGAGCTCAGAGTATCTAGACGATGCAGTCTTCCTGAACCATGTGGTCCCAGAGGCTCCATGTGATTTCCTGTTAGAGGTTTTCAGTGGCTTTGGAATAGAAGGCAGTTTATTGCTGTGACAGTCAGGCAGCCACACTGGGGAAATATGCTGTATCATGTAGTGTAGGAAAAAGTCAGTATTACCCAGTCAGGTAATCTGATTTTTAGACAGCCTGTTCTAGGCTGTCTATGGCTGAGCACAGCATTAGTCTTGTCTCCAAAACAGTTTTTTTTTTTTTGTTTTTTTTACATACAGTGTGTACTTATCTTGTCTGTTTCTTTTGGATATAGAAATATATCTTGCCTGAAATTTATTTTCATTCTTATTTTGGAAGCAACTAAATTGTTCTGAGATGTTCCTTGTAGCAGTAATTAATTTAGCATTTACTGAGCACCCTCTGTGTGCCAGGCTTGGTGTGAAGTGATAGAAATGTACAGAAAGACTCTGAGGTAGGGAAATATATCTAGCAGGAGGAGGGGAGAGAAAGACAAGGGGGAGAAAAGGCCGATATTCATTTATCCATCCCTTGTTTCATTCCTCAGAGATTTGTTTAGCATTTACTATGCGCCAAGCTCTGTGCTGGGTTCCTGGGATACAAAAGTGAATAAGACAGAGACATCCTGTATTCTCGCAAAACCACACTGCAATACAGCATGGTTAACCCTGAAATAGAGGAGGCCACATCAACCTGAGAGGGGGCAGAAGTAGAGGTGGGATCCAGATCCATGGAGGGCTTCCTGAGGAGGTGACCTGGAAATGCAAGCGAAGTACAAATGCAGGCCAGCCAAGTGAGGGAAGGAACAGTTAAGCAACGGCTAGAGAGAGGGAGTGCTTAGTTGTGTGTAGACTGTGTATTTAGGAATGGGATTTAAGGAAGAACAGGAGGAAATGAGGCTATAAAGGTAGGCGAGGTTCCGCTCTTGAAAGAGGTTTTATCCCTTGCTTAGGACTTTGAACTTCAACCTAGAGTGACAGAGAAGCCACTTAAATACCTCATAATGGAGGAATTATTACAGGAAGCTGCGGCCATTTAAAAAGGCATACAGATGATATAACTGCGTAGATATTAAGTTTAAAAAGCAGAATATGGCCAGGTGTGGTGGCTCATGCCTGTAATCCCAGCACTTTGGGAGGCCGAGGTGGGCGAATCACTTGAGGTCAGGAGTTCAAGACTGGCCTGGCCAACATGGTGAAACCCTGTCACTACTAAAAAATACACACACACACACACACAAAATTAGCTGGCTGTGTTGGCAGTTACCTGTAATCCCAGCTACTTGGGAGGCTGAGGCAGGAGAATCACTTGAACCCGGGAGGCGGAGGTTGCTGTGAGCCAAGATTGCACCACTGCGCTCCAGCCTGGGTTACAGAGTGAGACTTGTAAACATAAAAATTATGTGCTCACTGTGATTGCTGATATATGAAATATATTTAGGTTGGTGCAAAAGTAATTGTGCAGTTACTTTTGCACCAACGTAATTAATTATGACAATGGCAAAGCGTGGGAGGATGTCTAAAAGTAGAATCTGTTATTTGCATGGCGAGTCTTTGAGAATTCCTTTATAATATTCACTCAGCACTGTATCACTACTATATGCAAATAGATCAAGATACAATCCCTTCCCTCTATCATCAAATATGGGGAGAGCTGATAACTTTAATGCACTTTTAAAAAGTGTGTGATTATGAAATGTCTAGAATAGGCAGATCAATAGAGACAGAAAGTAGATTGGTGGTTGCCAAGATCTAGGGGGAGTGAGGAATTGAAATGACAGCTCACAGGCACAGGGCTTCTTTTTGAGCTGATGGAAATGTTCTGGAATTATATAATGGTTGCGGTTGGACACACAACCTTATGAATATACGAAGACTTATTGAACTGTATAGTTGGTTAAAATGCTTAATTTTGTGTTATACAAATTTTTCTCAATAAAAATTATAGGAAGAAAAAAGGTGCTGATTCCACAGAGATGATATTGCTTATACCTTATCTTTATTTTATTTTATTTCATTTTACTTTGGTAGTAAAAGGCAATCGCAAATGTGAGTTGAACTGCCAGGCAATGGGCTACCGCTTCTATGTACGGCAAGCTGAGAAAGTCATCGATGGCACCCCCTGTGACCAGAACGGCACGGCCATCTGTGTGTCTGGGCAGTGCAAGGTAAGTGCCCCCGAACTGGGGTGAATTCTTAAGGTGTTTGATCTGTGACTGCTGACTCCATTGTTTTCCAGGGAGAGACTAGGCTGCTAGCTCCCCCCAGCCCACGTCAGGGCCACTCAACCATGCGCTCTGGGAGGAGTGGGCTGAGATGGGGCTGCTTGGTCAGCCCTGACTGTGCTTTTGATCTTTGGGCGTCACCAGGTCCCACTCTAGCATTCCCATTATTAAGTGATTTATGTTGACACCACATGCTTCACAAGGGACACAGCAATCTTTGCGAGTTGGATCTGGAGCTCCTTCTTTGCCTGTGAAACGGAGGTTATGGAAAGGGCACTGCTGGTTTAATCAAGAATTGGTTGGCGTCATGAGGGTGGCATTTTAAGGGAATGGCATATTTTATCTTGCCTCTCCCCAGAAGGGGCAGGCTTCCAAAGGAAAGTTGTTTCATGCCTTTTATAGCAGAAGTTGTACTTTAAACAGGAAGTTTTCAACCTCCTTAGGCTTCTGAAGTCTGTTCCAGGAACACCCCGCCTGGCGTTCTGCAAACATTCTGGGCTTCAGAGAATCCTTGTGGGATGCTCAGTGTTGACAGAAAGCACCATTTGGTTAAAAATAGGCATCTTAGATGAAATGGCACAAATTCCGTAGCTACATTAATTTGCGCTTGGACTTCTACCCTCCTTTCATCTACGTATGTATTCATGGAGCTAAGATTTAGCAGGTAAATGACTCTGGAGCCCAAACGAAGAGTCTCTCTTAATTAGCACTCTATAGCTAGCTGGCAGACCGATTTTAATCACAGGAAGAGCTCTTTGGCTATGACACCTGGAAGTTCCTATTATAGTTTGAATATAACTTGCTACAGTGTTTAATATTAGGGATATTGAGGTGTTATTTGTGAGCACAACCTACCCCCCCACCAACAACATTTTGAATGAGGAGGTTTCAGATAGGATGCAAAATAACATAAAGCAGGATTGATATTCTCAGATTTTTAAAAAGTATATTTTTAATTATTATGAGTACATAATGGATGTATATATTTATGAGGTATATGTGATATTTTGATACAGACATACAGTGTGTAATGATCAAATCTGGGTAACTGGGGTATCCGTCACCTCAAGTTTTTAGCATTTCTTTGTATTAGGAACATTCCAGTGCTACTCTTTTATTTTATTTTATTTTACTTTATTTATTTTTTTGAGATGGAGTTTCACTCTTGTTGCCCAGGCTGGAGTGCAGTGGCACAATCTCAGCTCACTGCAACCTCTGCCTCCTAGGTTCAAGGGATTCTCCTGCCTCAACCTCCTGAGTAGCTGGGATTACAGGCTCACGCCACCATGCCCAACTAATTTTTTGTATTTTTAATACAGACGGGGTTTCACCATGTTGGCCAGGCTGGTCTTGAACCCCTGACCTCAAGTGATCCACCTGCCTTGGCCTCCTAAAGTGTTGGGTTTACAGGCGTGAGCCACCGCACCCAGCTTCTACTCTTTTAGTTTTCTTAAAATATACAATAAATTATTATTAGCTATAGTCACCCTATTGTGCTACCAAACACTTGATCTTATTCATTCTAACTGTATTTTTTTGCCCATTAACCATCCTCACTTTATAATCCCATCCCTACTACCCTTTCCAGTCTCTGGCAACCGGCATTTCACTCTCAGTCTTCAGGAGTTCAATTTTGGTTTTTTTAGCTCCCACATGTGAGTGAAAACGTGATATTTGTCTTTGTATGCCTGGCTTATTTCAGTTGACAGAATGTCCTTCAGTTCTATCCATGCTATTGCAAATGACAGGATTTTGTTCTCACATTTTGAATGCAAGTTAAGAAAGGAACAAGGTGTCACTTGATATCTGATGTGTATGAAGTATCTTTGGAAGAGCAAACCCTGAAAGAATTAGGATGCGGTACAGAAGAGGCAGGAAACATCATGGGAAACATCATAGCCTCCAGTTTTCTGCTCCTTTGGAAAAACCACTGGTTTTCACACATCCTCTCTGAGCTTCAGTGTCCTCAGAAAATACTTAAGGGCATTCTCTGAGAGTTTTGTGATCTCCAGCTTTAATGTTCCCTGCTTCTAAATGTTACTGAACTAAAATGATGGGCCTGATAGCAATCTAGCTTTATCTTTCAGATTCCAAAGCAACTGTTTCATTTCCTGAATACAGGTGCACACTGTTGAGGAATGGTGAATGTAATGGTAGAGTATAATGGTTACAAACCTGCCCTCCGAAGTCGGATTGCCTGGGTTCAAGTCATGCCTCTTCCACAGATTTACTGTGTGATTTTGCAAAAGTTACTTAAGCTCTCTGTGCTTCTGTACATCATCTAAAGAATGAGGAGGATGGTACCTACGTCCTGTGTTGCGGTGAAGAGTCATGACCGTATAACAGGGTTTGGCATTCAGTAAGCATACTGGCATTTATTAGTATCACTGCATATACCTACATATATACCATTGTACTTGGATTTTCTATGCAAAAGTGTTTGCCTTTTTTTGTCGATTATAGATTTGTCAGATGCACATGCTCTTTTGGGTCAGTGCTCTCACGCTATAGTGTGAAACACTGGGGGATTGCAGATTCTGATTCAGTAGGGCCTGGGGAAGGGCCTGGGAATCCGCTTTTCTAACAAACTTCCATGTGATATTGATGCTGCTGGTCCCTGGATCATATTTTGAGTAGCAAGGTTTTAAGGGACATTGATTAAAATATAGTTAACAAAGAGCCAGAAATATAAATATATGGTGGTAAGATGACTCGGAAGGAATATGAAATGTGGTCTCTTCACTGGGAGAGCACGTTTTCTTAGTATTTCATTAAATGTCTATTAGCTGATGATATAAAAGAAAAGCAAACACTTATAAGGACATGGGTATGGATTCTTACTAATTGATGAAAAACATTCAAACTTTACGGCAACACAGTTTGCAGATAATAATTGCTAAAAGCCTGAAACAGACATTTTCCAGGATGTGAGTATATTAATAGGGTTCTGATGTTACTAGGACTACTGGATACTACTTTGCATTTGTTCTCTGCATTTGCCTGAAATTCCCTCATTGAAGTTGTTGGAACCACTGACGGCTTCAGTTTAAATAATCAGAAGTACATTTGCTTCCCAGGCTGAACTTCTGTTTACTTTGCAGCTTTCAAAGGGTAAAGTGTCCTTTTCTAAATATTTGATTGGATGCCCAGAATTCAAATTGATTTCTCTACTTCTCTGACTTGTGGCTGAGAAAGCTGTCACTTGCAGACAGTTTTCCCTAAGATGTGCGTCTGCATCTGAAATAGTGACACAAAGCCTCTCCTGGCCACATAGAGTTGAAAGAAATAGCCAGGCTTGCAAGAAAAGTTAATGAAAGGTGACAAGCCTTACATAATAATATGAACTGAGTCTACAAAAGGGTCCTCATGAGAGGAGGGCACTGTCCTCACATCAAGCCAAGTAAAGGCCGCAGGCCCACCCATTGCTGGCTTGAATGCTCTGTTTCAGCTCAAGTTAAAGCCTATGTTTATCCAGTTCTGGAGCTCCTCTGTGGTTTATTTATTTTTTAAAAATTCTTAATTTGTCATTTTTGTGGGCACATAATATATATTTATAGAGTACATGAGATAATTTGATACAGGCAAACAATATATAATAATCACATCAGAGTAAATGGGGTATCCATCCCCTCAAGCATTTATCCTTTGTGTTACAAATGATCCAGTTATACTGAGTTATTTTAAAATGTACAATTACATTATTATTGACTGTAGTCACCCTGTTGTGCTATCAAATACTAGATATTATTTATTCTTTCTATTTTTTTGTACCCATTAACTATGCTCACCTCCCCTTTAACCCCCAACTACCCTTCCCAGCCTCTGGTAACCATCATTATCCTCTCTATCTCCATGAGTTCAATTGTTTTAATTTTTGGCTTCCACAAATAAGTGAGAACATGCCAAGTTTGTCTTTTTGTTTGTTTGTTTTTTTAAGACGGAGTCTTACTCTGTTGCCCAGGTTGAAGTGCAGTGCTGCAATCTTGGTTCACTGCAGCCCCCGCCTCCCAGGTTCAAGCCATTCTCCTGTCTCAGCCTCCTGAGTAGCTGGGATTACAGACATGTGCCAACACACCTGGCTAATTTTTGTATTTTTAGTAGAGACAGGGTTTCGTTGTGTTGGCCAGGCTGGTCTCGAACTCCTGACCTCAGGTAATCCAGCTGCCTTGGCCTCCCAAAGTGCTGGGATTACAGGTGTGAGCCACCTCGCCTGGCCCGAAGTTTGTCTTTTTGTGCCTGGTTTATTTCACTTAACATAATGACCTCCAGTTCCATCTATGCTGTTGCAAATGACAGGATCTCATTCTTCTTTGTGTCTAAATAGTACTTTATTTTGTATATGTACCACATTTTCTTTATACATTCATCTGTTAATGGACACTCAAGTTGATGCAAATCTTGGCTTTTGTGAATAGTGTTGCAGATATCTCTTCGATACACTGATTTCTTTTCTTTGGGGTATATGCCTACCAGTGAGACTGCTGGATCACAGGGTAGCTCTATTCTTACTTTTTTGAGGAACCTCCAAACTGTTCTCTATAGTGGTTGTACTAACTTACATTCCCACCTACAGTGTAAGAGGATTACTTTTACTCTACATCCTCACCATCATTTGTTATTGCCTCACTTTTAGTAAGTTATTCACTCATATTAGAACTGGGGTGAGACAATATCTCATTGTAGTTTGGATTTGCATTTCTCTAATGATCAGTGATGTTGAGTAGGTTTCTATATACCTCTTTTCCATTTGTATGTCTTCTTTTAAGAAATGTTTATTGAAATCGCTTGCCCATTTTATTTATTTTATTTTGTTTCATTTTATTTTATTTTATTTTGTTTTGTTTTGTTTTGTTTTGTTTTGTTTTGTTTTATTTTATTTTATTTTATTTTATTTTCGAGATGGAGTCTCACTCTATTGCCCAGGCTGGAGTGCAGTGGTGCAATCTTGGCTCACTGCAAGCTCCACCTCCTGGGTTCACACCATTCTCCTGCCTCAGCCTCCCAAGTAGCTGGGACTACAGGCGCCCGCCACCACACCCAGCTAATTTTTTTGTATTTTTAATAGAGTCGGGGTTTCACCATGTTAGCCAGGATGGTCTTGATCTCCTGACCTCATGATCCGCCTGCCTCAGCCTCCCAAAGTGCTGGGATTACAGGCATGAGCCACTGCACCTGGCCCTGCCCATTTTAAAATCAGATTATTAGATATTTTTCCTATAGAGTTGTTTGAGCTACTATATATTTTGGTTATTAATCCCTTGTCAGATGGGTAGTTTGCAAATATTTTCTCCCATTCTGTGGGTTGTCTCTTCACTTTGTTGATTATTTTCTTTGCTGTGCAGAAACTTTTTAACTTGATGTGGTCTGATTTGTCCATTTTTGCTTTGGTTGCCTGTGTTTGTGGGGTATTACTCAAGAAATCTCTGCCCAGTCCTATGTCCCAGAGAGTTCCCCCAATGTTTTCTTGTAGTAGTTTCATAGTTTGAGGTCTTAGATTTAAGTGTTTAATCCATTTTGGTTTGATTTTTGCATATGGTGAGAGATAGGAGTTTAGTTTCATTCTTCTGCATATGGATTTCCAGTTTTCCCAGCACCATTTTTTTTGAGGAGACTGTCCTTTTTCCAATGTATGCTCTTGACCCCTTTAATGAAAATGAGTTCACTGTAGATGTGTGGATTTATTTCTAGGTTCTCTATTCTGTTCCATTGGTCTATATGTCTCTTTTTATGCCAGTACCATGCTGTTTTGGTTACTATTGCTCTGTAGTGTGATTTGAAATCAAGTAATGTAATTCCTCCAGTTTTCTTCCTTTTGCTCAGGATTGCTTTGGCTCTTCTTAATCTTTTGTGATTCCATATAAATTTTAAAATTGTGTTTTTCTATTTCCGTGAAGAATTTCATTGGTATTTTGATAAGGATTACATTAAATCTGTAATTCGCTTTGGTTTTATGGACATTTTAGCAATATTAATTCTTCCAATCCAGGAACACAGAATATCTTTCTATTCCTTTGTGTCCTCTTCAACTTCTTTCATCCATGTTTTATAGTTTTCATTGTAGAGATCTTTTACTTCTTTGGTTAATTCCTAGGTATTTTATTTTATTTGTAGCTATAGTAAATGGGATTAGTTTTTTGATTTCTTTTTCAGATTGTTTACTATTGGCATATAGAAATAATGTATATTTGCTGTTCCCATATAGAAATGTTACTGTTTTTTGTATGTCGATTTTGTATTTTGCAACTTTACTGAATTTATCAATTCTAATCATTTTTGGTGGAGTCTTTAGTGTTTTCCAAATATAAAATTTTATCATCTGCAAACAAGGGTAATTTGGCTTCGTCCTTTCCAATTTGGATGCCCTTTATTTCTTTCTCTTGTCTGATTATTCTAGCTAGGACTTCCAGTACTACATTGAATAACAGTAGTGAAAGTGAGCATCCTTGTCTTGTTCCAGATCTTAGAGGAAAGGCTTTTGGTTTTTCTCTATTCAGTATGAAACTGGCTGTGGGTCTGTCATATATGACTTAATTATGTTAAGGCATGTTCCTTCTATACCCAACTTTTTGAGGGTTTTTATCATGAAGGGATGTTGAATTTTATCAAATGCTTTTATTGACATCAATTGAAAGGTCATATGGTTTTTGTCCTTCATTCTGTTGCTATGATATATCACATTAATTGATTTGCCTATGTTGAATCATCCTTGCATCCCTGGGATAAATCCCACTTGGTCCTGATGAATGATATTTTTATTGTGTTGTTGAATTTAGTTTGCTAGTTTTTTTCTGAAGGATTTTTACATCATGCATTTGGAAGTATTCCCTCCTCCTTTATTTTTTTAGAATAGTTTGAATAGGATTGGTGTATTAAATCTTCTTTAAATGTATGGTAAAATTCAGCAGTGAGGCTATTGGGTCCCAATCTTCTTTAGTGGGAGACTTTTTATTACTGTTTCTATCTCATTACTTGTTAATTGGTCTGTTCAAGTATTGGATTTCTTCATGGTTTAATCTTGATAGGTTGTATGTATCTAGGAATGTTATTCATTTATTCTACATTTTCCGGTTTATTGACATATAGTTGCTTATAGTAGTCACTGTTGATCCTTTGAATTTCTGTGGTATCAGTTGTTATGTCTCCTTTTTTAGCTCTGATTTTATTTATTTGAGTCTTCTCTCTTTCTTAGTCTGGGTAAAGGTTTGTCCATTTTATCTTTTCAAAAACCAACTTATCATTTTATTGACCTTTTGTATTGTTTTCTTCATTTCAATTTCATTTATTTCTGCTCTGATCTTTATTATTTCTTTTCTTTTCTTTTCTTTTTCTTTTTCTTTTTTTTTAGACAGTGTTGCCCTGTTGCTGAGGCTAGAGTACAGGGGCATGATCACAGCTCACTGCAGCCTTGACCTCCAGGATCAAGCAGTTCCCCCAGCTCAGCCTCCTGGGTAGCTGGAATAACAGGTGCACGCCACCACATCTGACTAATTTTTAAATTTTTGTAGAGATGGGATCTCGCTATGATGCCTAGGCTGGTCTTGAACTCCTAGGCTCAAGCACTTCTCCTGCCTTGGCCTCCCAAAGTGCTGGGATATAGGCATGAGCACCATGCCTGGTCTATTATTTATCTTTTACTAATTTTGGGGTTTTTTCTTGTATTTCTAGTTCTTTAAGATGCATCAATCGGTTGTTTGTTTGAAGTTTTTCTACTTTTTTGATGTAGGTGCTTATAAGTATAAACATCCCTCTTAGTACTGCTTTCAGTGTATCCCATAGATTTTGGTATGCTGTGTTTCCATGATCATTTGTTTCCAGAAATTTTGCAGTTTTCTTCTTAATTTCTTCATTGACCCACTAATCATTCAGGAGCAAATTGTTTAATTTCCATGAGTTTGTATAGTTTCCAAAATTCCTCTTGTTATTATTTTCTGGTTTTATTCCATTGTGGTCAGAGGACACACTTGATGTTATTTCCATGTTTTTGAATGTTTTAGGACTTGTTTGGTGGCCTAACATATGGTCTATCCTTAAGAATGATGCATGTGCTGAGGAAAAGGATGTGTATTCTGCAGCTGTTGGATGAAATGTTCTGTAAATATCTATTAGATCCATTTGGTCTGCAGTATAGATTAAGTTTGATGTTTCTTTGCTGATTTTCTGTCTGGATGATCTGTCCAATGCTGAAAGTGTGGTGTTGAAGTGTCCAGCTGTTAATGTATTGGCATCTGTCTCTTTTTTTTAGTTTTAGTACTATTTGCTTTATATATCTGGGTACTCCAGTGTTGGGTGCATATATATTTACAGTTGTTAAATCCTCTTGCTGAATTGACTCTTTTATCAAATAATGACATTCTTTGTCTCTTTTTATAGTTTTTGCGTTGAAATTTAGTTTGTCTAAGTATAGCTACTCCTGTTCATTTTTGGTTTCCGTTTGCATAGAATATCTTTGTTCATCCCTTTATTTTCAGTCTATGTGTGTCTTTATATGTGAAGTGTGTTTCTTGTAGGAAACAGATGTATGGGTCTTTTTTTTTTAATCCATTCAGCCACTCTATGTCTTTTGATTTGTGAGTTTTGTCCATTTCCATTCAATGTTATTATTGATAGTTAATGACTTATTTCTGCCATTTGTTATTCGTTTTCTGATTGTTTTGTAGTCTTCTCTTCTTTCCTTCCTTCCTGTCTTCCTTTTAGTGAGGGTGATTTTCTCTGGTAGTATGTTTTAATTTCTTGAGTTTTGCTTTTTGTATATCTGTTCTATGTTTTTTGGTTTGGTTACCATGAGGCTTGCAAATAATACAGTTCATTATTTTAAACTGATTATCACTTAACATTTATTGCAATTAACAAACAAAATAACAAGCAAAGAGAAACCAATAAAATTTCACACTTCATCTCCTTGCTTTTTAACATTTTGTTGTTTCTATTTATATCTTATTGTACTGTCTGTGTCTTGAACAGTTGTTGTAGTTATTATTTTTGATAGGTTCATCTTTTAGTCTTTCTACTTAAGGTAAGAGTGGTGGCCAGGTGCAGTGGCTCACACCTGTAATCCTAGCACTTTGGGATCACTTGTGGTCAGTTCAAGACCAGCCTGGTCAACATGGTGAAACCCCATCTCTACTAAAAATATAAAAATTACTTGGTTGTGGTGACATGCACCTATAATTCTAGCTACTCAGGCATGAAAACTGCCTGAGTTCAGGAGGCAGAAGTTGTAGTGAGCCAAGATGGTACCACTGCACTCCAGCCTGGGTGATGGAGTGAGACTCCGTCTCAAAAAAAAAAAAAAAAAAAAAAAAAAAAAAGGAGTAGTTTACACACCACAATTAGTGTATAATATTCTGTGTTTTTCTGTGTACTTACTATTACCAGTGAGTTTTGTACCTTCAACTGATTTCTTATTGCTCATTAACATCATTTTCTTTCTAGTCTCTTTCTACTCCCTTTAGTATTTCTTGTAGGATAGGGCTTGTGTTGATAAAATCCCTTAGCTTTTGTTTGTCTGGGTAAGTCTTTATTTCTCCATCATATTTGAAGGGTGTTTTCGCCAGATATACTATTCTATGGTAAAAGTGTCATTCCTTTAGCACTTTAAATATGTGATGCCACTCTCTCCTGGCCTGTAAGGTTTCCACTGAAATATCTGCTGCCAGATGTAATGGCGCTTCATTGTATGTTATTTATTTCTTTTCTCTTGCTGCTTTTAGGAGCCTTTCTTTTGCTTTGACCTTTGAGAGTTTGATTATTAAATGTCTTGATTAGTGTCATTTGGGTTATATTGTACTTGGTCTTTTATACCCTTCTTGTACTTAAATATTGATATTTTTCCCAGGTTTGGGGAGTTCTCTGTTATTATCCCTTTGAATAAACATTCTACCCCATCTGTCCTGTACTTACTCTGGAAGGCCAACAACTCTTAGATTTGCACTTCGGAGGCTGTTTTCTAGATTTTGTAGGCATGCCTTATTCCTTTTTACTTTTTTTCTTTTGTCTCCTCTTGTGTATTTTCAAATAACTTGTCTTCAGGCTTACTGATTCTTCTTTCTGCCTGATCAGTTCTGCTATTAAGAGACTCTGATGTATTCTTCAGTATGTCAGTTAACTTTTTCAGCTCTAGAAATTCTGCTTGATTCTTTGTTAAATGTATCTGATAGATTTCTGAATTCCTTCTCTGTGTTGTCCTGAATTCTGCTGAGTTTCCTCAAGACAGCTATTTTGAATTTCCTGACTGAAAGGTTACATATCTCTTGTTTTTTCAGGATTGGTCCCTGATGCCTTATTTAGTTTGTTTGGTGAGGTCATGTTTTCCTGGATGGTCTTGATGCTTGTGGATGTTCACTGGGGTCTTGATAGTTCAGAGTTAGGTATTTATTGTAGTCTTCACAGTCTGGGTTTGCTTGTACACAGTCTGGGTTTGTTTGTACTCGTCCTTCTTTAGAAGGCTTTCTGGATATTTGCAGGGACTTGGGTGTTGTGATCTAAGTCTTTGGTCACTGCAGACGTATTTGCATTAGGGGACACCTTAAGCCCAGTAATGCTGTGGCTCTTGCAGACTCATAGAGGTGCCACCTTGGTGGTCTTAATATAAGTTCCAGAAGGATTCCCTGGATTACCAGGTAGAGACTGTTGTTGTCTCCCCTTACTTTCTCCTACAAGAATGGAGTCTCTCTCTGTGATAAGCTGCCTGGAATCAGGGAAGGGGTGACATGAGCACCCCTGTGGCCACCACCACTGGGACTGCGCTGGGTCAGACCTGAAGGCAGCACAACACTGGGTCTTGCCCAAGGCCTGCCATAGCCACTGCCTGGCTACTGCTTACATTCACTCAAGGCCCTAGAGCCTACAATCAGTAGGTGGCAAAGCCAGCCAGGCTTGTGTCCTTCCCTTTAGGGTGGCAAATTCCTTCCAGCCCTGGGCTGGTCCAGAAATACCATTCGGGAGCCAGGGCCTGGAGTCAGAAACCTAGGAATCAACTGTTGCTCTATTCTACTGCAGCTTAGCTGGCACCCAAGCCAGAAGACAAAGTTCTTCCCACTCTTCCTTCCCCTTTCTGCAAGCAGAGGAGTCTGTCCCCGTGGCCACCACCTCCACAGGCCCATGGAGAGCACTGCCAGGCTGTCGCTGATGTTCACTCGAGGACCAACTGGTCTGTAGTCAGCTTGTGGTGAATGCTGCCAGACCTGGGACCCACCCTTTAGAGCAGTTGGCTCCCCTCTGGCCCAGGGCAGGTGCAGAAATCCTGTCCAAGTCCCAAGGCCTAAAATTAGGGACTCCAAGAGCCCACTTGGTACTGTACTCCACTATGGCCAAACTGGTATCTAAGCTACAAGACAAAGTCCCCTTTACTCTTCCCTCTGCTTTTCTCAAGCAGAAGGAGTTTCTGTCCATAGCCACCACAGCTGGGAGTGCGCTCAGTCACAGCTTGAAGCTAGCAGATCTCAGAGTCTTACCCAAGGCCCATGACATGTACTACCTGGTTACTGCTGCTGATTATTCAGGGCCCAAAGGCTCTTTAGTCAGCAGGTGATGAATCCTGCCAGGACTGGGTCCTTCCCTTCAAGGCAGCAGGTTCCCTTCTGGCCCAGGGTATGTCTAGAAATGTCTTCTGGGAACTACGGCCTGGAATGGGGGCCTCAGGACTTACCTGCTGCCCTATCCTGTGGTGGATGAGACAAAGACCTGTTTCCTCTTCCCTCTCCTTTCCTCAAGTGGAAGGAAGGAGTTTCTCCCATAGAGGCAAGCTGCACTGCCTGGGGTTGGAGGAGGCGGAGTGTAAACACTCCTTTGACCAACCTGGCTGGTGTCTCACTAGGTTTCGTGCCCCCCAAGTCCACTAGCTCCAAGCCTAACATAGCACCAGAACATTCCCAGCGATTACACGGCTTGTGGCCTAGACTGCCTTTCAGGTACATTTAGGACCCCAGAGTACATTAGCCCACCGTGGCAAGCCTTGCCATAACTCAAGTTCCAACCACTGGGATGGATGAGTGCCCTTTGAACTAGGCCTAGTCTCAATGCTCCCTCCATGGCAACAGCTGGGTTCTGCCTGGTGTTGCTTTCCACTGTGACAGGGCAGCACTGAGTTCCAATACAAAGTCCCACATCACTGTGCTCTCCCTCCCAAAAGCGCTCCGACTCTCTGCACCCCATGGCTGCTGCTGGGGAATAGGAGAGGATTGGTGTCAGTGATTCAAGACTGTCTTTCCTACCCTCTTTAGTGCCCCTTTCAGTGATCCTAAGTTAAAACCAGGTTATGTGATCGCCCACCTGATTTTTGGCTCATATGAAGGTGCTTTTTTTAATAAATGGTTGTTAAATTTGGCGTTCCTGTGTGGAGGATGATGATGAAGGCTACTATTCAGCCATCTTGCTCTGCTTCTCCTCTGCACTTTAGACCCGAGAGCTGAAATAAGGACAAGAAGAATGTGATGTCCTAGGTCTACCTTGGGGAGGGTTGGGGAACAGAGAAAATTGGGGTTGATGTCTACTCCCTTGGTGCAGGGTGATACTCCATTTTTTGACAGGGACTGGAAGGAGTCTAAATGTCGGCTTCGGGCTAATTACTGCATATTGAAAGGCCTCGAAGGGAAAGGGCAAGTAGAGCTCTCATTCTGTCATCTCCAAAAACGAGAGGATGTATTGGAAGCCTGCAGAGATTCTCCCTCCCTCACCCCAACCCCTTTCTCCAGACATCAAAAACGAATATCTGGCCAGTCTTCAGAGAGGTCTCAGAGACACTCTGGCCCTCCCCAGTCATTACTGTCATTTATGCAAGCGAAATATCACTTAGGTCTAATTAACAGAGAGCACGATTATAATTTCTATTATTAAACATCACATTAACCACGCTATGATTTAGTTTTACTTGATCTCAGCTTTAAACTCTGTTTTTAAGTGTTCCAAAATTTTATAGTTTGGGGGTGTATGTATTATTTTTGCTCCCAACTTAATAAAAATAGATGAAACTTTGCCTTGAAGGTATAGCAGGCATTTGAAAGAACAGGGTCATGTGGATAAGGCACTAGGAAAAAAGAAACCAAAACTAGCTCCCTGGAGACCAACCTTTCAGAAATCTCAGGCTTCCAGACTTTAATGATCCTGAGTCAGAATGACCCCAAGGCCTACTCCCATCCCCCCGAAAAAAGTGTTTGGTTGAGAACGAACAGAACTTGAGTAGGTGCCTTGCAAAAAAAAATAGCTGCTTTGAAATCATAGGGGAGGAAGGTGTTGAAGCTGATGCAAGCCAGCAAGGAGCCATTTCTGAGAGTTTACCATGTGCTGTGTCCTTTACACAAAAGTGATTTTGTTCATTTATCTTTACAGTGACACAGTCAGAGAGGTATTATTAATCCCCATTTTACAGAGGGCTATCCTGAAGATGAAGTTAATTGTACACAGTAAATGCTACATAGGGTTTATTATTAATATCGGCTTTTTAGGCTGAATTGTTAATCAGAATAGAAAGAGTTGTTTATATGTGTTGGGAAAAAAATTTTCTAAGTCTTTTCCCTCTTCTGAGTTTATTTTTCTCACCTCCTCTTTCCAAATGACCATCTTTTCAAAACACAAATCAGGATGAACCTCTCTTTTGACTAAATTCCACCTGCAGCTCCACAGCGCCTATGGAATAAAGTCCCAACCCTTCATCGTCTGCCCCCTGTCAGGCCTCCTGGCTGCCAGTGCCAGCCAGATGGGAATGTGTCAGTCCCTAACACTGCAGGCCTACTGGTTGGTGCTTTCATGGGAATGTATGTGCTGTCCCGTCAGTCTGGAGTGCCTTGCTGTGTCCAGTCTTGCTTTAGCAAAAAGCCTACCATTTGAATGGGTGTTTGAAATAAATGTGTAAATGAAAGAAGGTACTTGGTACTCAATATGTTGAATTTCAGCAAATGAAGTTAATCTTGAACTCATCACAGAGTTTTCTCATTTGGGACCTGGGATAGGCAGTTGAGTGCAGATGAAACAAGGAGATGAAGCCCCCTTGGCCAAATACCCAGAACACAAGGCCTTGAAGGTCAGGGAGAATTCTTGGCACCCTCCCAAGCCCCTGTCAGCCTCATCTTGTTTTTTGGTTGCTTACTCTGAATTTCTCGAGTCCTTGCAGAGCTGATGGCAGAGGAACCTAAGAAAGTGTGAGTGCATGCTCCCATGGTGCCTTCTGGTGAAGGGAAAGAAGCCGCCTTCTGGCTCCCGAACTCCTCCCTTATATCCTCTGCACAACCTCTGGTCAGTCATCGCCCCACTGTAGGGCGTTTCCTGCGGCTCTGCCATCCACTCACACTCAGTGTGGGCTTTGACACCTCTTCCCCCAGCTGGGACACCACTTGGCTTCCATCGGGACACATTGGCAGACAGTTTCATATTTATTCAATAAATTAAAGCAAGGTAACTGTTTCCAAATGTTGAGGGATAAGCTGTAAACCAATGTGTTGCCCTGATGGGGAAGGATGACATAATGAATGTGTGCATTTGTAAGTATAGCTGTGTGTGTGTGTGTGTGTGTGTGTGTGTGTGTGTGTGTGTTCAGGTGCTGAATGTCCATTTCCCTCCTTTATATATACACTATTGTGCTCTGCTGAACCACACAAGTAGACCCTGCTCATTTTTCTGCCCTTTTGCCCTACGTTGCTTTTTTACTGGCTTCACTTTGTGGGCTTTGCTTAGAGTTTATATTTTTAGTCCAATGAAACCAAGAGAATAATTGGATTGGGTAAATTGTTCTTCTCTTTTCCAAGATATTTGCATGATTTCACCCTTGAAAGAGGGTAGATAGCTTCTAATTTGCCCAAATTCCAACTTAATGTGACTCTTTGTGGACTCTCTCTCTTATAAACACCCCAAGCAAACTCTAATCTAAAAGTACTTTCTGCTTGTGACTATTAAAAATTTATCATATTATGTTATAGTTATTTTGACATGTGTCTTAGCTCCTAAAGGAGAGATTGAGTATTATATGTATCTGTATCCTCAGTGCTTAACAGATTAAAATTATTCAGTAAATGTTTTTTAAATATATACAAGAATGGAACAAAAGAACGAGGTAGAAATTGGTTATGAAACCTCCTTTCCTAGAAATAATCATGAATAGGATTAACTAAGAAGTAAACTTTCGGGGCACTTGATCTGTTCTTAGGACCTCTTGAAACCTTAAACTGAAACCTAACATAAAACTGATGAAATTTATTTTGTTACATGTAGTTTAGAAAAATTATCTATTATTTTTCTTATTTTAATCATTAGAACAACTACCCAACATAAAAACCCTGTTTAGATTTCTTTATATATATTAAATAATTATTAATCAACCTAAATTATACACATAATTATTAACAAATAATCATAACTGCTCACTGCCATACACTGGGCAAGGCACTGGGCAAGGCACTGGGATGAAACAGTGGAAAAGATGAACACAGTTTCTACTCAAATTGAGCTTAAAACCTAGTGGGAAAAGTAATACAAAGTCAGTTAATAAGCAAAAGAACTGATGAATGCTATGAAGCATTCAGATGCATTCAACAAATATTATGATGAATGCTGTTGATGAACGCTGTGAAGTTAACTGGGTAGTGAAAAATGGTGGGGGGCACACATTAAATGGAATGTTAGGTGAAGGTCTCCAGGGAGGGCAGGAGTCCAGAAAACAGGTGAAGGCAATGTTACTGGCCTCCCAGACCTTGGAGATTGGAGAAAGTGTATGCCAAGCCTCTAGCCCAGGACCCAGCACATACGAGATACTCAGGATAGAAGTTGAGGTGACCATTTTGTGCTTGCACCCTGCTCTCTGCCCTGAGTTAATCTGGTCTACTTCTGGTGGTGCCATTCTTAGTTCCTCCAAGGTATGCACACTTCTTTCTGAACACATGCTGGCTTCAGTAATGGGAAACCCTCCATTAAGTCATTCCCCAGGCCCAAAAGACTTCCCTGGAAATTGGATAATATAGTGGGTCAAGAAGAGGCTTTGGTCAATCAGGATGTCCAACATTAAAACAGATAAGAGAGAGGTTGTTCAGGTAAAATTGGGGTGGGATGTCCAGAGCATCCAACCTGGTCCTCTTACCCAAGAGACAGAAGAGAGGTTAGGATCCCCTCCCCTAGCTTTATGAAAGAATAGGTAGCATTCCCCCAAAGGGAACTTGAAGTGTTCAGTCTAAATTGGCAGGGGTGGTGACTGACACTTGTAACTGAGAAATGAGGGGAAACTTCAGCAGAGAAAAGTCCTCTGGGCCAGATAGTCCACTTCTACCCCAACCCACCACCATCCCTGACCCTAAGCACAGTCTAGAAGCACTGTCTAAGTAGGATCTGTTATGGTATATATACAGAGCTATGCAATACTCATTGTATGCAAAGTCACTTCTACAGGTACTGTTCCACAAGGCACATAATAAAACTTTAGAAAACTGTGCTGTATGGGGAAACTCCATGCTGTCTCTGTTCAGACTAATAGGGCCAAGGAAGCAGTAGCCCCCTTTCCTTTTGGCCCCTGTGCACATCCTTGCAGAATCAGCTCATATTATTCACCAGTTATATTGACATAGGCTCAGACTTTTTAATTATTATTACGATTTTTTAACATAGGCTGCTTAGCCTAATGATGACTCAAGTAGGACCTGGACATCTGAGTGAAGATGTGAAGGAAACATTCGTCACCTGAACACCATATTTGGACATCTCATTTAAATTCCTGGCAAAATTCAGGTCAAACCAAGTAGTTAGAAGCACCACTAATGTAATAGAAAAGACTTAGAAAAATAGGTTAAAATGGGTTTTTGAGGACAAAAGTGTCAGATGAAAACACTTGAATTCTTTGTTTCATATTTTTAATAGATACTACATTTATATGACTCAAACATCAAAACTACTCAGTTCCCCAGGGCCCCAACAGGAAATAACCAGTGGTTGATAATTTCTTTTTTAATGCAGATATTTTTCTACATCTACAAGCCAATTCATATTATCTTCCCCCTCTTTTTGACACATACAGGAGCGTTTTACAGACACTGCTCTTCCCTTGCTTGTCTTCCTTAGCATGTGTTAGAGAGCTTTCTGTTTCAATATCTAGAGAACATGCTCATTCATTTTACATTTGTATGGTATCGCACACTAGGAACAACCATCATTTATCTAACTGTGATGTACATGTTGGTTGTTTCCAGTCTTTTACCATTACCAGTCATGCTGCTGTAGGGGCCAAGCTTCCCACTTCCTCCTCTGAAGGTTCACTGACAAAAGGCAGGTTAAAAGGAGAAAAGGCATACGACATTTATTGTAAAATGCGTGACACAGGAAAATCGGAGGAGAATCTGACAGCCCAGTAGCTCAATGGGATACAGATGTTTATATACCCTTCTCCATAGAGGAAAGAGATGGGAATATGTGGCAATTTGAGGATAGTAAACGATTGTTAGGGGGAAATTAATGGACTTGGAAAATACACAGTGGCCTGGGACAAAGTCTGTTGGGCCCACAGAGCAGACAATGGGTGGTAAATGATTCTCTTTGAAATACTGAATAGGACCAGAATAGAAGACAGTGGTTTGTGACAAAAGTCTGTCCAGGTGTATTGACAGACTTGAATCTTTCTTCCTCAATATGAGTTAAGTTAATGAAAACTAAGGGAAGGGGCAGAGGTAGTTATTTTCTTTGGTGGGTCTTGACTTTGGGCAAATAAGAGAGCTTCAAAGAACAGCTTCATCCTTTCCTTTGGGAGAGATGGAGGGTTGAGAAGCAGGAGCAGGGAGATCAGAAAGACCATGAGGTTGCTTCTTTAGCACATCAAAGTGCCACATTTTGGGATATTCGTTTCTGAGCTCAGAGTTTCCTGGACATTTCACATGTTAACAGATGAGCTAGTGACTGTGGAGAGGAAAATAGAGTTAGTAGCTGAATGGTAAAAGATCCCATTAAACCAGTCTCTCATTCCTGAGAATAGGCCAACCCAACTAAACAGTAGTTTCTCATTTTAAGAGATGGTATTGTAGATGGGCTCTCAAAATTAGACCTCTATCCATGACACAGGCAAACAGATCTTTAATAAGAGATATTTTTATGGAAACAGATGAAAAACAAACATTAATGTCTGAGGTGGTCTATAAACTAGTTTCTTTTAGAGTCATGGGGGCAGTCAGCTGAGAGGGCCAGTGGCAATGTGATAGATTTTCCTGGATTTTAGTTTGTGTGTAAGTTTGTTCAAATATAAGCTGTTGTGGTGATTTTTTTTTTTCAAAGCCAAGTTTACTAGCTTCAGCTTGTAGGGCCTTAGGAAAAAAGAAATTTTAATTTTTAGTGATTCCAAGTCAGAAGGGTAGGAGAAAAACTCAAAAACAATGAACAGGGCTAGAATCTAACAACAGATGCACCATTGTTTTCTTCTGAAATGTAACTTTTCTCTCTTTAGCCTTCCATTTCTACCAAAGATACTCATAATGAGACTAATTTGTTTGTAAAATAAGTTAGTTTTATTAACTTGGCCTGATTACTTGCATAAAGTACAATTAGAATAATGATTTATTATATAGGCACTTTTCAAGTTGGCTTTGCTGAAAATTTTTATAAGGAATCTCAGATTAGACTTTTAAAAGCCTCTCAAGGCTGTAAGCTAAATCAAAGATTTGACTTGCCCTCAGACTACGTCTGTAATAACTACACAAATTGAGTGAATTTCTCTCTTTTTGAGCCTGGCCGACATGGTGAAATGGTGTCTCTACTAAAAATACTAAAATTAGCTGGGCGTGGTGGTGCCCGCCTCTAATCCCAGCTACTCGGGAGGCTGAGGCACAAGAATCACTTGAACCCGGGAGGTGGAGGTTGCAGTGAGCCGAGATCGCATCTCTGCACTCCAGCCTGGATGGCAGAGCAAGACTCTGTCTCAAGAAAAAAAAAAAAAAAAAAAAAAAAGAGAGTTACATTCTTTACCTACCACGGGGCAGCCATAAGAAATGTGTATGTAAGGTACTAGGCCAGTTTTTCCCAGGGCTTCTATTGGCTTCATAATGTCAGCCTCCGTTCTGTAAAGCTGTCTGGTCATAGATGAAAATATGACATTCCAGTCAAGGCCTTGGTAAAATAACCAGTGTTTCCAATTGTGTTCTGTTACAAGAAGAACAGATTCTTACTGAGCTTATGCAAATAACTACATTACCATAAAATAAGAATATTCATGAATTTCAACATTTTGGAGGGATAAGGTAGAGAGAAAGGCAAATGTTTCAATTTTGTTCACAAAACTATACCCAATTGCTGTAAACTTTAAGAGGAATAAAAGGAAGCTCCTTAACTTTGGAAAACAAAACAAAAAGAATCAGTAATGTTCAAACCTAAAGCCATAAAATATCATAATCCTTAATCAGTTGATGCCCATGTAATTCTTATTCTGCTGGTTGAGTTCACAGTTTTATGAGTCCAGCTTTTTCCATTGGAATTATTAAAATTTTTATACAGTCCAACTGGATAATCTCAAAGTCATTAGCAGAGGTCTATATTTCAGGGTAGCTGTCAGAAGCTTTTTATTTTTTTCATGAACCTTCTTGAAGACAGAACACTTGCAAATGTCTTTCAGGAGAAGCATCAGAGTAAAACAATTTACTGTGGACAACAAGACTTAAAATGGCCATGGTTAAAAATCTTATGAGAGTTCACAATAATGATGCAATCGACAAGGTGTTCTGTGAAAGATCTGTATGTAAAAAGCAGTTCTCAAATGCCAAAGGAGCCAAGAAACCAAAAAATGAGGCAGATAAATCCAGTTTGTTGGTATATGATGATTTATTAGGGGAACTTACAGACAGAAACGTGGTCTTGGGTGGCTGCAAGACAGGTCGATATCTACACTGTTACTTCCCAGACCCAAGGCTTGTATACCATAGGGGAAAGGTATACATGCTCCAGCAAGACAATTCAAGGCAACCCTCCAGAACACCAAGAATGTTATATGTGTCATAGCCTATAATTTATGTGATAACATCAAGGTTGCTTTGATCTAAAATCGGGATTTGTAGTGAGCACATATTCTTACACTAAGGACAATAAATTAAGAAGAAATCAGGAGGCATTCACAGAAATAGGGTCATTCAGAAGTCAATGGTGGATTAACATCCAAGATGGAGTCATTTTGTCTCCACACAAAGAGATCTGGTTATTTTTGTGGCATACAAGATTTAACATTACGATTATGACTGGTAACATAAACCAAGACATATCAGATTTCTAGGACTCGCGTACTATTTTGGAACACATATTACACATTTATACAAATATAACTCAAGGAAAACTAAACACCATTTTGTATTTGCCAATGCTTCCCATGTGATTTTAACATACTGAGTATGCCTAATACGTCTCTCTGGACCTTCCAAAGGCCCTTCTGGAATGTTCAAAAGTAGTTCAAGGTTGAAAAGACTTAATTTAGAATTTGAAATTTGATTTTGAAGTCTTTTAAAAATGTTCAAAAGACTTGATCAAAAGTAGAATCACAGGTCATTGTGAAACAATCATTTGTTTAACCAAAGTGATAATTTAGAGATTTCAAAAAGCTAAAACCTTTACTCTTTGATAGACGGGAGACTCAGTTTTCCAAATAATCAAAAGACACAGTAAAAACAGCATGAAGCATATATAATCTGTTCCTTTCCCTCCCTTCTTTTTTTTTTTTTTTTGCAGTTTACTCAAAAAGTGAACAAAATCTTTTTTTGTCAATATTTGTAAATCTTGCTTGCAAGAGACAACCAAAATTTATTTTTGCATCAGTATCAATGCTAAAGCTAATTTTAATGAAATCTTATAAATAAACCTATCCTGTATAGTCAGCTTTGACCACATATGATACAATTTTTATAAACTTTTATAACCTCTTAAAGTTTTATTTTATTCTTTTTCAACTTTTTATATTTATTCAGTTTTATCTATACCATCTTTTTATTTCTTCATTTGGGAACAACTTTTAAATAACCTCTAAAGTAGACAAAATAATCTTTTTAAACAAAAACCACATCCTTATGCCTTTTTAATAATCTTCCTCACCAAAAACATTTCCTACCCTCCCTGTACGTGTTGTATACAGAATTATTTCCTTTATTTCTGGTAGTTTTGATTACATATTCTAATTATACTTTTAACTCTTAGTAACCTTAATTTTCAGTGAAAAACCTGAAAAGTAAGCAACTTAATTGCTGTGTACCAAAACATTTTATAAATATATATTTTATAATTTTTAGAAACAGCCTTTTCTGTAGAACAGTTTTTTAATGTGGAAGACGGCATATTTACTAGTAAGTTTATTCTTTCTTTGTGAAATAAAAAGCCAAAAGTATGTAAGCTTAAACTTATGTTTAATAATTAATGTTTTAGTATTTTAATTTATTTAGATATGACACAGACATTTCATGCTAATCTATTATTTAACATAACATGACTTTAAGATTTTAAATTACTGAAAAGATTTTTTTGAACTGACACATTTGTCTATAAATGTTTATCCCATTCATATTTACCTAATTTACTTGTTCTTAACAATTACATCTTAATTGCTTATGGGGAACAAAACTAGCCATTTAAGTTAACTTTTTTTCTTTGTTTTTTTTTTTTTGGTTTGTTTGTTTGTTTTGCAAAAGCAAAACCAGTCTATCCTTGTACTAGCCAGTGTCATATTAACTAAGGCCTCTGAGATACTGGACATAGACACCCTCCCCAGTGTGTCCCCTGAGTCATCCTGGGTCGCAGGTACTCATTGGGCACACAGGTGGCTATGAAGGGCAGGGCCTGTCTGTTCTGGATTCACATACTAGGTACAGAGCCCAGGACAAAGGAAACAGCTGTGAAGATGATGCCAGGAGGATCCAACCCTTCCCAACATGGCCAGGAGACAGAGTTGGGCCAGGAATGATGGGGCCATGTTAGGCTGGGCCCTGCCCTGTAGCTGATGGCCCAGGTGCTGCACACACACATATCCCCAGGCCTCACCATGGCCACCTTTCTACACCTCAAAATCCAGAGGCTCAAAACCAAAGGCATAAGCTCACAGCAAGATGTATACAGAACTTTGGGGAACCCCATTAGCCGGCCCTTAGAGCTTTAGCTCACAGACAAAACAAACAAGCATCAAAAATTATTACAAAAGCAATAGTTTTATTACACTAAAACATCAAGCAGAGACAGCATAAGTCTGTCTGACAGACCTAGGCAAAATGTCCTAATTAAATTCTGAAGCCATTTTTATGTTATTTTACCAACAATTTTAAAGCTAGCTTTATTTACCAAAGGCTTATTAATGTCAACCTGAACCTAAAAAAGCATTTGGGCTTATTTACTTGATTTATGAGTATTTACGTATTTCTAAATCGGTACCATCTAAACAACATACAAACACATGTATACACATATGCATACATGTAAACATAGCATGTAACACACATTATGTACACAGAAGCCAAAGAGATGAAGCAGATCAGTGCAAAAGAGCAGAGCTTTAGACCTGAGAGGAACCTGCCCACGAGTTTTGGAGTGTTATGAGGAAGACAGGGAATCCCAAAACAAAAAGAGGTCAGTGGTCCCTTTTTTTTTTTTTTTTTTTTTTTTTTTTAATTTCTGAAGGGGTTTAAGGATTGATAGAAGTCTCCTCTAGATCTCTTCATGTAGTATTGAAGGTGGCAAAAGGAAGTAGGGGCAAAAGTAGTTGGAAGAATGAGTTGTAGAGGAGATAGTTTAGCGTGGAGGGATGAAGTTTTCCAAAAGGCCTGTGAAGTTTTAGTTACCAGGGGTTTGAGAAAAGGGAATCTAGCTGACTAAAAAGTTCTTATGGGAGAACAATATCCAAAAGAGAACGGAGAAGCTTAAAAAAAGTGCAGTCTGAATGTCAGCTTTTAATGAAGCTGATTTCTAACCATTTCTAACCACAGACCTTTCTTTTTGAAACAATCCTTTACAATTTCTTATTATTAGATTTCAATGGGGACAAACAGCACATATTCTGGGTTTTTAATTTTTTAAAAAACTAAAAGCATCTATCAGGTGATTCTGAATGCAAATCAATAAGCCTTTTATGACTTAACCAAGAATGTATGATTCATCTCTAAAGAGGTGCAAAGAAACAGTCCTCCCAAGACCCGGAGCCACCCGCTAAGACAGTTAGAAGAAAAAAGAAACTTAAAGATGAGCTGCACAACAGTAGCTGTTCATGGGAGGGAAAAGGATCAATGACAAATGTGTGCTCCAAAAAGTCAAGAGTCAAACAAATATAAATTCAAAACAAGTAATTAAAACAAATCCTTATAAATGTTTCATTTTTTTTTTCTTCTTAGTTAAAGGATTTATATCTCCAAGGGACTGGTTCTCTGACTGGGAAACCAACCCCAGACAGAGCAGAGAAAGTTCAGAATCCTAGTCACTAAACTACAGGCCAGAGTGTCTTTTTTGCAAATTCCTCAAAGGCTCCAAAGCAGACAGTTTACATGTACAAAGGATTTTAACATTGTTTTAGATCTGATTTCTGCCTTTTAAAAATCTTGCCAAGGGAGTTTTTAGGCTATCTTTCTTTTGTTTCTTTTCATAGGTACCAATAAGATAGTTGTTTAAGACTATAGCTCTCTAAAGAGTAGTCTTTTAAATTTAGAGAATTTCTTTATCTCATAAGTGACTCAAGCCAAAAAGGCTTTTTTCATGGAAAGTCCCTGAGGTAACTTTCCGGGTTTAGAATACGACAGGCAAAATTGGCATCTTTTTTTAAATGGGTGCGAAAGATGCAGCCTTCATGATCCTCCCCAAAATTTACTCCCAGAAATAAGCTAAGATAGCAGATCTCTGTTGCCACAGGCGGTTAAGGATGGTGTAGCTGGTCTCCCTATGAGCACATGGACACGTGGCCACATGGGGGTGCCTCTAGTCACAGACCTGCCAACCTGTGACGCCTGTGACACAGGGCAGGCACTTCAGGGATTAGACTTTCCCAGCACTAACCAGGCAACAAAGATGGAAGCAACAGAAGCCCTTCATGGATAGAACTCCTTTTAGGACAGACTCCACTGACAGCTTGGCACATTTGGGGAGAAAAAGAGAGTGCTGCTTAAAATTTGACATGGCTCAGGATTCCCAGTGCTTTTAGACTAGCTACTGGACGTGACCTGAAAATCACACCCCCAGAGGCAGAGACCAAGGGAGAATGCTCCCTCTTGGTTACAAGTCAACTCTGAAGGGCATAAAGCAAGACGAAAGGAGACCCTCATCCGGTTTTCATTTCAGGGACCCACAGCACAGTTTGTCTTAAATAGATGCGGGTCTGATGAGAACCATAAAACTCACCAGTCTGTGGAGATCAGCTCAGACAATGGGCTTATAGGGGTTTTAGGCCTATGTTCTATCCTACTTCTACCCTGTGATACCCTTATTTATGACAAAACAAAACAGGAAGACAAAGACGAAGGAAAAAACAAAGACTATTTCTGGAAAGAGAAGGATTAGATAATATGAATATTCATAATAAAAATACACCAGAGCTGCTATACTCAATGCTAGTCAAACAAGTGCTTTTCTCCCATTAATCTTAAATTTGGAAAGGAAAATGAGACAGTTATTTTTACCACCTACTTAACCAGATTTCACAAAGAGTGACCAAGAGTGACTGATAAGAATTTCTCCCCTTTGGCTGGCATATCAGGTCTGGGGTTCCCTCGAATCTGGCTTCCAGAAGAGCAGAGTGGTTTCGGTTATCCTGTTCACAGCACCTCATCTGTAGGGACCAAGGGAAAGCTTCCCCCTTTACTTTCTGGAGGTTTGTGAATATCAACAAAAGACAGATTAATAAGAAAAAAAAGCATACAAAATTTATTCTAACATGCATAGCACGGGGGAATTGCAGGAGAATGAATGCCCAGCAACCCAATGGAAATGTTTATACACCCTTTTTCATAAGGCAATTGGAGATGAGGGAAATGTGGCAATTTGAGGGATAGTAACATTTTTACGGGGAAATGAATGGACTTGGAGAACACGCAGTGACCTGGGACAAAGTCTCTTGGGCCCACAGAGCAGACAATGGCTGGTAAATGATTCTTTTTGAAATACTGAATGGGACTGTGTTCATTTGTTTTTGCACTGCTATAAAGAAGACACCTGAGGCTGGGTAATTTATAAAGAAAAGAGGTTTATTTGGCTCATGGTTCTGCAGGCTGTACAGGAAGCATGGTGTTGGCATCTGCTCAGCTTCTGGTAAGGCCTCAAGAAGCTTACAATTATGGTGGAAGGTGAAGTGGGAGCAGGCACATCACATAGCAAGAGCAGCAGCGAGAGAGAAAAGGGGGAGACTCTTTTAAGCAATCAGATCTCACATGAACTGAGAACTCATCACCAAGGATATGGTGCTAAGCCATTCATGAGCGATCCACTCCCATGGTCCAAACACTTGCCACTAGGCTCTACCTCCAACACTGGGGATCACGTTTCCAAATGCAATTTGGAGGGGACACACATCCAAACCATATCAGGCACCAAAATAGAAGACGATGGTTTGTGACAGAAGTCTGCCCAGGCATTGACAGCTTGAGTCTTTCTTCCTGCGATATGAGTTAATGAAAACTCAAGGAAAGGACCAGAGGTAATTGTTTTCTTCTTTGGCAGGTGTGGACTTTAGGAAGATAAGGGAACTCCAGAGAACAGCTTTGGGAGAGACAGAACATTGAGAGGCTAAAGGGAGGTGGAGGTAGGGTAAGGTCAGAGAGACCTTGAGGTGCTTACTTCAGTCCAGCATGTTAAAGTGCTATATTTTCGGGTATTGGTTTCTGAGCCCCAGCACTGCAGTTAATATACTGGTACATGGGTCCCTTTACATGTTTGCAATAACTGTTGGATAAATTCTTAAAAGGGAGCCAAGAATTCATATGTATTTGTGATTTTGATAGCTAGTGGGTGGCAAATTGCCCTCCGAAGTGGTTGAAACAACTAACACATCCATCAGCAATGTATGAGAGTGGTTTGCTATCCACTTTTTGGCTATTTGCCAGTCTGATAAGGGGAAAGTGGTATCTCCTGTAGTATTATTAGTTTTCATTTGCATTTATCTAATTTTGAGTGAGCTCAAGCATCTTTTCACATGCTTCAGAACTGAACCTTCAGGGACTGGGCTAGGATGAAGTGAGTGCAGTGCCTTGGGTGAAGAATTTAAGGAGGCATTTACTAAGTTCTCCAGGTCTCCTTCACTTACGTGCCCTAAGCACCTCCCCTACCCACCCTGGTCCCAGCTCTGTGCAGTGCCCTCCTCGCCCTCGCCCTCACCCTCGCCCAGGAACCACTTACATTCCTTTTGTGTGATCTGTCTTTTAATAATCTTTGCACATTTTTCTATTGGGTTGCTGATCTTTTTCTTAACTTGTAGGAGCTTTTTATGCATTAAAGAGATTATTGTGTAAATTGCAGGGTTTATTTTTTTTTTAACTTATGCCTTTGCTTATGAAATTTTGTTTATTTTTGCCATGCAGAAGTTTCACATTTTTTAAATGGCAAATTTAGCAATTTTCTCTTTTGTGATTCTGGATTTTATGTCATAGAAAGACCTACAGTTTGAAGTTATTAAGAAATCATCCTGTTTTCTTTCAGCAATTTATGGTTCTGTGTTTTTACATTTTTACCTTTTACATTAATTCATTTGGAATTTATCCTAGTGTATCGTGTGAGGTATGGGTTCAATTTTACTTTTTTTCAGATGGCTACCCAATTATGGATAATTACCCAATTACCTAAACCATAATTGAATAGTCCACCTTGCCCCCACTATTTTGAGGCTCCCTCTTTATTACTTGTGTATATTTTTGGCTTTGTATTCAATTCTATGAATCTCTGTCTTTTCATATACAAATATTAGAACATACATTTCGAAAAAGAAGCAGAACACACAGGTGTTTGAAGTGATGAAAGGTAAGTTTGCTTTGCTCGGGGCTAATGCATTTATGGACTTCAAATGGAAACCTTTCTTTGTTCATCACTTGGAAAAGCCACCTGTATTTAGGTACCTTAACAAGACTTCCTGTTTACAATATATTTTTACTTGATTGAAAAATGAATATTCTATGACTTTTTGGAGCAGAATGGCAGGAGTTACAATCATGAAAAGCATTCCAAATGACAAGACCACGGTAGGCCAGATCAAGATCTCATGGACAGTTGAGGGAAAGTATTAAAAAATAGAGAACTGGAAAATTTATTGAAAAATGCAGAATATGCTTTTGGCAGCTGTTTGCTTTTAGGACAAACTAGATTTGACATGGAAAAACAAATCACTGCTCCCATAGGCGGCTCTTGAGGAACCGTCTTCTGCCATTCAGTAAATAGGCGGTATCTTTCACAAGTTTTGTTTTATTGCATATGGATCATAGCAATTTTTTAAAGTTTATCAATCCATCTTCTAATGGCTTGAAATTTACTATTTTTTTCTACTTACTCTTCTTGTGTTCTATTTTCACAATTCCCAGCAAAATGCTAGTAATTATAGTGCTTAAGAATATGCTGGAGAGGATGTGGAGAAATAGGAACACTTTTACACTGTTGGTGGGAGTGTAAATTAGTTCAACCATTGTGGAAGACAGTGTGATGATTCATCAAGGATCTAGAACTAGAAATACCATTTCACCCAGCCATCCTATTACTGAGTATATACCCTAAGGATTATAAATCATTCTATAAAGACACATGCACATCTATGTTTATTGCAGCACTACTCACAATAGCAAAGACTTGGAACCAACCCAAATGTCCATCAGTGATAGACTGGTTAAAGAAAATGTGGCACGTATACACTATGGAATACTATGCAGCTGTAAAAAAGAATGAGTTCATGTCCTTTGCAGGGACATGGACGAAGCTGGAAACCATCATTCTCAGCAAACTAACACAGGAACAGAAAACCAGACACCACATGTTCTCACTCATAAGTGGGAGTTGAACAATGAGAACACATGGACACAGGAAGGGGAACATCACATACTGGGGCCTGTTGGTGGGTGTGGGGGGCTAGGAGAGGGATAGCATTAGGAGAAACACCTAATGTAGGTGACGGGTTGATGGGTGCAGCAAACCACCATGGCATGTGTATACCTATGTAACAAAACTGCATGTTCTGCACATGTACCCCAGAACTTAAAGTATAATAATAATAAAAAAAGAATATTCTGAACCTAGTTTCCTAACCAAATCTTGAGTGCTGCCAGCCAAAAAGATTTTTTTTTTCCATCCCACCTCCACATTCACCCAAATGGACTAAGGAAGGGAGATCAGTGACAGCCATGATTGTCATTTAAATGGACTGAATATGATCATGCATGAACAAAGATTTTGGATTCCAACATTTGCTTTCCAAATACTAATCTCATTTCCTCAAAACTGCTTAACAAAACCTCAATATAAGCTTTGTCTCCCTTGTGAGAGCTATGATGAACTTCTTGTGGATGAAGGATTTTTATATCCTTTGAGTTTCAAGTCAGTTTCTAAAGGCCTAATTTAAATACTTCACACATACAATATGAAATTTCAAATATATGATATAAATAAAATACAATGCATGGTGTTTCAGTAATGTTTGGTGTACTCATGCTATTATTTCTTGTTTAGGGAAAGATAAACTCTTTCTATTTTTGGATAGATATATAATCCCCCTCAGAATGAGGCTAGAGACCATCCAATATTTTTTAAATGAAAGTCTATGCCTTATTGCCGTGTTCCTGCTTTTATAGATCATATAGCACAAGTAAACGTGAGACTTGTAATACTGCTTGATGATGACTTTTTCTTGAACTGGTTGATCGTGACATCTAGTGTTCAGTACTAAAATTACATATCTTTCTCAAAAGCAGCTCATAGGGAAACCAGCATAAATTACTGTTTAATTCAGGGCTGGCAATGCACCAAAAAGGCCAAAATACAAAAATGGAAGTGGAGTCATTGGGGCAATAACTGGGGACAGTTTGAATTAGAAGGGTAATTGCTCCTTGATGATAACATCAAGAACTGTAAATTACACTTGGGAGCAATTATGTATGGACATGCAAAGTGAACTGCTCTTCAGACTCAGTTCTGAATCTGTTTTTTTGTTGTTGTTTAGTTCAGTCCTTCTTTGGCTCTTCTCAGACCAGGAGTGTGTATAAATTCACTAGTCAGATTATCTTAAGCAAGTCATAAAATTTCTCAGAGACACAGTCCTCTTATCTATAAATTTGAGATACTGAGTCCACATCATAAAATTCTGGGGGAATTAAATGAGATGTTTCATGTATAATGATCTGGGTTCAGTGCAGGGTGCATTGTGAATAATAAATAGCAGTGCTGGTGATGGGTAATGGTGATGGTGATGCGGGGATGTGTCTGGGAAGTCATTTGCATGGATCTTGATGTCTGGGGGTAGCAAAGACAGGCAGTGACCAGGTGCAGAAATTGTCCAGGATATTGTAACTGGATATTGGGATCAGTGGGCAACAGGGTTCGGGAGAGAGGGATGGAAGAAAGCCTCAGTGTCCTTGGAGAGTTTCACCTGTAGAATTTTTTTTTTTTTTTTTTTTTGAGATGGAGTCTTGCTCTTTTGCCCAGGCTGGAGTGCAGTGGTGCAAAATCTGCCCCCTGGGGTTTTTTTTTTTTTAAGCAATACTCCTGCCTCAGCCTCAGGAGTAGCTGGGACTACAGGTGTGCGCCACCACACCAGCTAATTTTTGTATTTTTAGTAGAGACGGGGTTTCACTATGTTGGCCAGGCTGGTCTCGAACTGCTGACCTCGTAATCTGCCCGCCTTGGCCTCACAAAGTGCTGGCATTACAGGCGTGAGCCACCATGTCCAGCCTCACCTGTAGAACTTTAAGAAGATATAGTAACATGCAGTAGGACTTACTACCCTGCCTCTCAGGAGCTGGATCTCCTTTATTAAGTTCCTAACTTTTCTGAGCCTCATTTTCCACTTTAGTAAAGCGGGGATGAGAGCAGTACTGACCCCGCAGGTTTGTGAGGATTCAATGAGACGGTGCATAAAAGAGCCCTAGACAATGCCTGGCACAGCTTAGTAAGCATGCAGTAGCTAAATGGTAGCCCTTGTTGCTATCTTTTTTGTTTTGTTTTGTTTTGTTTTTTTGAGACAGAGTCTTGCTCTGTCACCAGGCTGGAGTGAAGTGGCGCCATCTTGGCACACGGCAATCTCCGCCTCCCGGGTTCAAGCGATCCCCCTGCCTAAGCCTCCTGAGTAGTGGGGACTACAGGCATGCACCACCATACCCAGCTAATTTTTTTGTATTTTAGCAGAGATGGGGTTTCACTGTGTTGGCCATGATGGTCTCCATCTCCTGACCTCGTGATCCACCCACCTCAGCCTCCCAAAGTGCTGGGATTACAGACATGAGCCACCGCACCCAGCCCCTTGTTGCTATCCAAAGGAAGGAGATGAGGCCGAGTGCAGTGGCTCCCACCTGTAATCCCAGCACTTTGGGAGGCCAAGCCAGGCAGATCACCTGAGGTCAGGAGTTCAAGACCAGCCTGGCCAACATGGTGAAACCCTGTCTCTACTAAAAATACAAAAATTAGCTGGGCGTGGTGGCACATACCTGTAATCCCAGCTACTTGGGAGGCTGAGGCAGAAGAATCGCTTGAACCCGGGAGGCAGAGGTTGCAGCGAGCCGAGACCACACCACTACACTCCAGCCTGGGCAACAGAGCAAAACTCCATCTCAAAAAAAAAAAATATATATATATATATATATATGTGTGTGTGTGTGTGTGTATATATATATGTATGTGTGTGTATATGTGTGTGTGTGTGTGTATATATATATATATATATATATATATATATATATATATATATGAAGGGAGGAGATGAAAGCAGAAGTTTCAAAACAGGACAAACAAAACTCAGACACATGACTCTGCTTCCTCTTTGCTTTGGTATAGGCTGTTCCCTCTGCCTGGAAATCTTTTTCTTCCCTTATGTACCCACATAGGTCACCTTTGGTAGAGCAATCTCTGATTCTGGCAGGCATCGTTGCTCCTTTTACTGTGTTTCCAGTCCCCATAGTCCCTTGTGCTTGACACCTTCTTGTTCTTGCTAGACTGTTTATGCATCGAACCCTCCGATAAACCATGAGCCCCTTGAGGGCAGACCCAGGAAGATTAGGTACTTAAGAAATGTTGAAAGAATTATGAATACACTAAAAATACAAGAGAAAGGGGGAGAAAGAGGGGAGCAGAGAGACAGTGAAACAAGTGTGGCAAAATGTTCACTGAATCTAGGTGAAGGGTACATGAATGTTGGTTGAACTATTCTTGCAACTTTTTCTTTAGGTGTGAAATCTTTCCAAATACAAAGTTGGAGGAGGAAAAATGTTAAGGATTTTTCTTTTTACATTCAAAGCATTCCTTTTTAGGGAGATTGGCCTAGGCTCTCCCCTTCTCTGGCCTCCCTGGGTTGCTCTGGTTGCTCATAAATGCTGTTTGTGACCGAAAGGTGAAGCTATCCTTTCTCTCTGCAGGTCTTTTTACCCAACTTGGCTTCTATCGACTGATGTCCAACCTGTAATTAAAAGAAAAACAGATCCCTCTCTCTCTCTATGTATATATGAGCACCCCACCTGATGTTGTTTGGAAGCTACAGTGTATTTCTGAATTTAGAGTAAGGAGGGAGAACATCGAATTTTGCAAAGAGGAAGCATTGAAACAGCCCTTTGAAAATACATGTTAAGTTCAGAGGCAAAACAAAACAAAAAACACAGCAAACCTGTATGTTGTCCCTTCCAGGTCCCCCTGCTGGGCATTTGCAGAACCGCAGCATCCCAGATCACTCGTTAAAAAATTTCCACGTTGCGCTTTTTGAAAAGCATAAAAGGTGCATGTTCAAAGCTGTATCCTGACCCCATTCCCTCTACAACATACATTGCTTCAGCTGTTAAGCTCTATATTGAATGAAAGCACAATGGGAAAATAGAATTTCAAAACTAAAGCAAAGGTGCATAACAAATACTCTTCAAATGCTTCTGTTTTATGTTATCTCATTTCATTTTAAGAAAGGCCCTGAGGCAAATCCTAGAAGTAAAGACAGCCACACTGCTAAAGCATAGGTGCTGCTTCTCAGTGGAAAATCTGTCTGTCTCATGGTTATCCAAGGCTGAGGTGGTCCTTTCTGATCTAATAGACCTTTTGTCTGCATTTAAAAAAAAGTTCCTAAGAACTAGAACTTCCCCACAATGAATGGCCTATTCCTTGTTATAACACCTTCCCTGTTAAAACGGTGCAAGTGCTTAATAAATGCATGATGAATGGTGGGTTGCTGGGTGGACAGGCACGCAGAGAGGTATTTGGGTTGAGTGTGGACAAACTGGTAAGCTGGAGAAACTGGTGCCAAAAAGGGATGTTTACACTAAGTGCAGATTTGGACAGGATCACTGCTAGATCCCTTCCATCTAAGATATTGCAAATCACAAATTCTGAAGAACTCAGTGGAGAATTCTAAAGCATGGGGTCCACCTGAAGAGTCCCAGACTGATGCCGTCTCTTCTACAGCCACTGGTGTCATTGTTAATCTTGTCCAGTCACATGTCAATGTAACTCTTAGTCAGAAGACAGAAATATACCAAGAGAATCCATGTGTCGTCTGTAGCCCATGCCTCTCTCCTGAGCACCAGACTCATCTGCTAATTCACTGCTTTCCATTTCTACCCACACATCTCACAGCACCTCACGCTGCACGTGACTAAACCTGAGCTCATTATATTTTCTTCCTCCCTTGTGCACGCTCTTGGGTTTCTGATTTTGGTGAGTGACACCTCCACTCAATGAGTCCCCATGACAGACCAGCTGGATGCCTTCTTCATTCCCACCTCTCCATGATCATTGGTGACCCAGTTCTATTTATTCTTGAAGTCTCAGAAGAGCTTCATTTCACATCATCTTCTTTGGACCATTGCAGTGGTCTACTAACTAGTCTTCCTTCCTTTTCTTATTCTTTTTCAGGTGAGCTTTCATTTTACCGTCAGAGGGATTCTAAAATATAAATTATTCCCCTGCCTCTGTGCCCACTCTACCTCTCCCCATTGTCCACAGATAAAAGTCCAAATTCCTTAGCATGGCATTCAGTATGTTCCATGATCTAGCCCCTGCCTACCTCTCCATTCTTAAAGCAAACATTCCAACCATACCAAACCACGTACAGCTCTCTGAATAGGCCATGCCTCTGGGCTCTGTCCCTACTTGTTTTTCTATGGGGAATACCTTTTCCTATCTGTACACATGGCAAATAGCTGTTCACCTGGCAAGACACAGCTTCGGTGTCATTTCTTCTATAGTGCTGTTACTCTTGGTCCCCAGAGAGGGTGGCTTCCTCTCCCTGTCGTGCCCCAAATAGACCTCTTTTAAGACACCCATCATTCTTTATTGCCCTTTTTGATTTACGTATCTACCTCCCCACAGATGCACAGAAAAATCCTAAACTAGGAACAAACCTTGTCTTACTCATCTTTGATCCTCCACTATCTAGCACAGTGAGTCAGCGCATAATACTTACTCAAAAGATGTTTGTTCAAATGAACAAATCCATCTATTATTTAACCAGTCATGAGATCACCATGGGAGCAACACTGTTCATCTGGAGCTGCTGATATCATACCATATGTTCATTCTTCACCAGGTGTTACCTGGATATCCCCTCATCTCACAACCTCAGAGTGCAGATGTGTCACATTTACAGAAGCACCAGCAAAGTCAATGTTCTGTTCCCCGTCATCTTGATTGACAGGAGGTTCTCTGTTTTCTCAGATGATCCTTCCCATCATTTCCAAATTGTGATCTAAAGTAGACAGCTGAGTACCCAAGTCTGAAATTCAAAGCATTGGTTAGGACCACTGTTTTGGCTGACTGGAAAGAGGTGATGATTTATCTTCATGGCTAATGGCTCAGAAAGTTCTTTTCAAGGTTGTAGAATTCAAATGTTATCCATGACGGGATATGAAATCCTTACGATGTGCTTTGCTTTTTTTGTACATCAAAGCATTAAGCATGGGACAAATTTTGCTGAGCTTAATTGTGGAGATGAGTCCATGTTTTACACCATTTAGCAAAATGCAGTTGCAAGATCGCTCTGCCTAATTGTCTAACAGGGACTTCAAACCTTGAGATAATTAAGACTGAATTTATTTCCTTCAACTCTCCCAAAAGAAAATAACTTTGGATACTTTCTTCTGTATCTCCATGAACAACATCTAACTAATCACCCAGGCCAGAAATATAAATGTCAATATCAATTCCGCTTTCCATCCCCTGACTCTATCCCATAGTGAAACTGTCCCAAGGAAACTACCTCCTTAGTAGTTCTCTCTACTTTGTTCTTTGTTCTTCTTCCCGCCATCACTTCCTTTCTTTAAACCTTCATCATTAGTTGTGTAGATAAGTATAGCAACCACTTTAATGGTCTTCCTTTATTTAGCATTGCCCTTTCTTATACAGAATTGCCAGTGTCGTCTTGTAAAATAGGAATCAAAATGTGTCACTCTCCTGTAAAACTTCCAGTAATTCCTCCACGGTCTTTAGGTCTCTGTTTAGTTCTACAGTGTTGTTTTATCACACTACTATCTTACCTTATACGTTGGTCTTGAATACCTCTAGTTTTCCAAACAAGTCATCTTTTGTCATTTTTCTCAGTGCTTTAGTATATTCTGCTGCTTCTGCCTAGAATGCCTTACATAGCAGGATATTTTTGGCTGCAGGTAACAGAAAATCCAATGCAAAGGCTTAAACACTAAGAGTTTAAGCACATAAAGATGGGTGTCTGGTGGTTCTAGGGCTGATTAATGGCAGCAATTCGGTAGTGTCATCAAGGACAAGTTTCTCTTCATTTTTTCTCTCTGCCAAACTCTGTGTGGCCTCCTCAGGGTCACTTCCCTCCAGTTTTCAGGATGTCTGCCACAGATCTGAGCATCTCGGGAAGACATGAAGTCCAGCAGGAGGAGGAGCCTATTCTTTCTTGTGCATGCTCTTTAAGAGTCAGGGACATGTTTCTAGAAGCCCTCAAAGAAAAACTTGTCTTTTGTCTTAGTAGTGAAAACTGAGTCTCATGCTCATCTGTAGCCTGTCACTGGCACAGGGATTTAAAGAAGTCAGGGGAGTGGGCCGGGGGAGACAAGGACACAGGAATGAAAACGAAGGCACTGTTAGCATGGAGGAAGGGGGAAGTGCCCAGTGGGTTTGCAAACAACAGTGTCCTCTGTTGCCCTCTTCCCTCCATTTTTTTTGTTTTTTTTTTTTTTTTTTTTGGAGACAGAATCTCACTCTGTCGCCAGGCTGGAGTGCAGTGATGCGATCACGGCTCACTGCAATCTCCACCTCTTGGGTTCAAGGAATTCTCCTGCCTCAGCCTCCCTAGTAGCTGGGACTACAGGCATGTGCCACCTCGCCCAGCTAATTTTTGTATTTTTAGTAGAGACAGGGTTTCACCATGTTGGACAGGATTGTCTTGATCTCTTGACCTCGTGATCCGCCACCTTGGCTTCCCACCTTGGCTTCCCAAAGTGCAAGGATTACAGGCATGAGCCACCACGCCCAGCCCTTTCCTCCTCTTTGCCAGGCTAATTGTTGAATACTCAGCTAATGAGTCACCCTCGGAGAGACTTCTCTGACCACCTCTCTTCCTTTTGATGCCTTCTGACAAGTTAATACAGCTATAGAATTTATCCTACCAGACCACAAGTGCCTCGAGGTAGGACTGTCTTTTAGTATCTGTCATAGTTACTGGCACATAGCTACAGGCATATGTGCTAATATTTGTTGAATATAAAAATAAAAGACAAAACCTGAGTTGTGTCAATTAGCGATGACATTCTCCTTGCCACAGAAACCCTAGAGTGGTTTAACCAAAAGAGATACTGTTTTTCTCATGGAACAACTCCAGAGGAAGAGGTCCTGGGCTAATAAACATGCACTTACAATTCATCACAGGCTTGGGAGCCTTCTAGAGTCTTGTTCTGCTCTCCTTGGCATGTCACTGCATGTTCTCATGAACACATCCTGGCTCTTCCACCTCCTGAGTCCATGTTCCAGGCAAAAAGAAGGACTAAAGGTACAGGTTACTTGTCAATTGAATCTGTGGCTTTTCCTCTGGTAAACAGTAGCTTTCTCGGCAGCTCTGCTTACTTGACTTCTGGTTATATCCCATGAGCCAGGCACAGATCTGGTTTTACGGGACAATGCCAAAACAAACATTGTCAGGGTTCTGTTAGGGTCACAAGAAGATTTACTCTATTTCTTGTTCTGTCTGCCTGCTTGAAACAATAGCAGCCATTAAAAGTTGTTATGTGGAAGTCTTGTATTATATACTAGAAATGGGCCTTGTAAGAATGACTTGTATCATATTGTCCACATCCTCATTGAGAATATTAAGAAGACAATGTTGAGAAGACTGACGCCCAGAGAAATGTCATTTGCCCAAGGCAAAATCAAATATTTTGGTGGCAGAGACTGCTTAGGAAACAACCGGTCCTTATCTCAAGTCTAACTCCCTTAACATTTGGGGGCATTTCATAATTTGATCTTGAGGTAATAGATATTAGATGTATTAACTTCTTTTTCCAGCCTTACATAACAAAGTCTTCAGAAACAGAAACCGTATTTGCGTGGTTTGCTGTAAGTAATGCCTAGTATGGAGTCATGTAATGATTCTTTTAAATTTAAATTTAAATTATTGATTTTTGTGGATACATAGTAGGTATATTATGGGGTACATGAGATGTTTTGATACAGACATGCAACGTGAAGCAAGCACATCATGGAGAATGGGGTATCCATCCCTGAGTCCTGTAATGATCTTAATGCAGTCCTTCCTGCTTTCTCTGCAGGGACTTTTAGGAAGATGTAGGAAGGAATGATTTGTCCACTGTGGCTGCAGTTACCTCCATTAACTCTAGATGGCACTCATGCATTGATTGGGAAACCAGTCACTGATAATATTAACTGCCTGGTAGAAACTGACAAATTCTTCAGTCAGGGTGGTGAAAAGTTAAATATAGGTGGCTCCCAGGCATGGCTGGGTGAATAGATTGGTCAAAGGAGAAGTGGTGAAAACTGGGGACTGGCTGTAAACACATTTCATGAGTACATACAAACCCCCTTGCCTTCTGTTCATTCTCCCTCACAGCAGCCAAAGTGGGCAAACCAGAAAATGGACTGGCCAGCCTTACCAGTGTGCCTGTCTGACCAGCGGGCGACCTGGTCACTGCCCCAGAGGGTCAAGGGAAACCTATTCTCCTTGGCCACATTCCTTGAGATGGTGATCACAGAGGACACTCAGTTGCCACATCAGGACTTTGATATTCAGATGGAAAAGGCTTATATGTTGATTTGAGTTAGTAATTAGGGCTTTTAAACTGCTCTTGTCGACATAAACACATACACTATTATTCAGTACTTCTGGTTTAAAACTCTTGTTCCACTGAACACATTATTTGGGGGTACATTGATACTGTTTCTATGTGGCATTTCAGACACTGGTGAAGAACATGAGCTTTGGAGTCAGACTTGGGTTGCTGTCTGGGTTCCATCACCTACTAACTATTGTGTGGTCTTGGGCAGGTTAATTAACCTCTCTGCGCCTCAGAAAATATGGAGGTGATAATAAAACCTACTTCACAGAGTCATTGTGAAGATGGAGATAATTCTGTGTAGTACTTACAGTGCCTGCTACTCTGTAAGTACTAAAAATACAATCAGCTGTTATTTTTATTACCATGTAATCTAAAGACATGAAAGTCACACAGGACAATGATGATAATCGGTTGTCCCCATCCTGTGTAGACATTTTATAGTCACTTTAGCCTGGGTTGTAAAGTGTTGGGAGCAAAATGAGAAGTAAAATTTAACAGTTCAAGTGAAAATAGCGTTTGAGAAGTAAGTAGATTTAATTGGGAGAAAATTGATTTATACCCAATATGCAGGCCCAACTACTAGAAAATGAAAAGCAGTCATCTTAATACCAATTGTTATCCACCTAGTTCCTTGGGTAGCTTTTACCACAAATTCATGATAGAATTTGTAGACAGGAACAAAAAACTACTTAGGATTAAAAGTAGGAAAAGAAACTACTTCCCATATTAAGGTCCTATGACAATGCAAAGAGGTGGATTGGGACTCTGGCCTAGGGCAGCTGTCCAGGGTGGACACGGATGGCCATAGGAGTTGTGATGTGCAAACGAAGGAACAAGGGAAGGAGGGATTGTGTGGGACAAATATATAAATCCAGCAGTGTGTGTTTGAAAACTCAAGGATGGCAGACCTGTTGCTTCTTTCACTAACCCGCTGCGCCTTGAGTCATTGTAGTTAGTGAATTGGGTGGCTGCGTGTCCATATGCCTCATTTGACTGGCATAGCTGCCTGGAGGAAGCTTAGGCCTGGAAAAAAGTGGAGACTCATGCTCTGGGTGCCTGGTGATTGTAGGCCCAGGTGAGAATAATGCAGGCAATTGAAGATTTTTTTTTTTCTTGCTCTAATTTTCACCTGAGAGCTATGCCCACTCAGAGAGGGTTGGGGGAGAGTAGAACAGGAAAGAAACAGAAGACACTTTGGGTTTGGGCTCAGAAGATTCAGCTCACATCCAGCTTCTATCACTTACAAGTTGTGTGCTCATTCACAAGTTGCTGCTGCTCTCCAGGTTTCAGTTTTCTCATCTGCAAAATGGAAATAATAATTCTTATAGCATCCAAGGTTATGTAACAAGTATAAATTAGTGACAAATTGGAGTCTGTGGAGGTGTAACTTTGCTCATAACTCAGCTCAAATTGTTCACAAGCCCCCATTTCACTTGGTAGTGTAGGGGAGGGAAATGTGGCTTGCCCCTCACCCTTCTAGGTTCCTTGGCTGGGCTATGAATTAAATTGACATAAGACAGATTAACAGGAGGAAAGCCACATTTAATTATATAAGTACACACGGGAGCCCCACAAAATATGAGACTCAAAGAAGGGTCAGATGACTGAAGCCTATATTGCATCCTGAGCTACAGAAAGGAATAGTGGGGCTAGGAGCCGGGCGTGGCGGCATACTCCTGTAATCTCAGCACTTTGGGAGGCCAGAGCGGATGGATTGCTTGAGGTCAGGAGTTTGAGACCAGCCTGGTCAACATGGCGAAACACCGTCTCCACTAAAAATGCAGAGATTGGCCAGACATGGTGGCACACACCTATAATCCCAGCTACTCAGGAGGCTGAAGTGGGAGAATCACTTAAACCCGGGAGGCAGAGGTTGCAGTGAGCCAAGGTCACAACACTGCACTCCAGCCTGGGCAACAGAGCAAGACTCCCTCTCAAAGAAAAAAAAGGGAGGCTTCTAGGGGTGGTAGCGACACAAGTTATGGGAGGGTGAGTCAGGGAACTGTATGGTGAATAAAGTAACCTTGTTAGGCAGATAAAAAGTCTGTTGAGTAATACAAGTTGCTTCTGAGCAGCCCTTGGGAGCGGAGGTGATTGTCTGGACTGGGATCAACCTCCAAGCTCCACTCCTGTGATCCCAGTTAATCTTCCCATGTTGAGAAGATTCCCAGGGAGCAGATTCATGACAATTGAGTTTGTTTTGCAGGATCCGTCTTTAGGCGGATAAGGAAGGCTTTCCCTGCCTGCATCTGCTGCTCCCCAAGTGCCTTCACTTCTAAGTAATCAGCACACCAAAGTGGCATATTTTGGGGTGGCATTTCCTGAACTCCTTCAGTGGACATGATTTGCATTAACACTTGGTAGACAGAGGCATGGGGGCTGGGAGAGGGGTGATATTTTATTTTCTAGTCAGTTAAAGCTAGTCCTTTCTGGTTTAGATGTCACTTCTGGACTAGGCCTGTTTTGGAAAACTGCCCTCTCTCCCAGAGTTCCTCCCTCCTTCTCCAGGTCCCTTCTCTTCCCCTTTCTCAGTCTGTTCTCCTGGGTAGGTCAGGGTGGAGGAGGAAGCATACACAGCGTTTTGGTCCTGAGGAAAGAGGGTGTGCTCCCCATTGTTCTTCTCTGCTGGTTCGTGCTGACCAGTGGAGCTGCACTTCGCATTGCCTGGTCTCTGGGACCTATGTCCTCGCTGCATCTGCTCCAGTCACAGGGAGGCGACTCTTGGTTTGTTTGGCAGCACACTGTTGAGGGTTGGTGGACTCCAGCCTTCCCTCAGGACCCTCCTTACTAGCTCAAGCTCAAGCTCCACCATGGTCTTCATGAGTGCTGCTGATGCTCACAGGCTCCCCTGCATCCCTGCCAGGCTCCCAGCTCTGGCCATCCACCTCATGCCTAACCACCTCCTGTAGCCACATACTGGCTTTGTGGCTGCTGTGCCAGCTCCTTTCTCTGCTGGACTTGCCACAGCGCTGCATCTCCTCTCCTGCAGCTGTCCTGTGTTGCTGGGGTCACTCTGCAAGGTGATCTCCCAGCTCCCATTTTCCCATTTGGGAAGGAGGACCCAAGTCCCTGTGGCTTTGGGTTCCCAAAACTCTCTGTAGTTTTCTATTCCCACCCCCAGGTGTTTCTACCCTGGGCTGGGTATGGGGGAGGCTGCATGAGGTGAAGGAAAAAGTTCCACACTGGAAACTTTAGTCCCTCCGTGCCAGTCTCCCCTCCTCCCTCAGCTCTCAAAGGGATTAACCCTTGTCATGGCTGAAATTGTGGCTCCCCTCCACCAAAAAAAAAAAAAAAAAAAAATTCATATGTTAAAGCCCTAACCCCAAGGTGATGGTATTTGGAGATGGGGCCTTTAGGAGGTAAATTTATTATTTATTATTTATATTTTTTTGAGACGGAGTTTTGCTCTTGTCGCTCAGGCTGGAGTGCAGTAGCGCGATCTCTGCTCACTACAGCCTCCACCTCCTGGGTTCAAGTGATTCTCATGCCTCAGCCTCCCACGTAGCTGGGATTACAGGTGCCGCCACCACACCCAGCTGATTTTTGTATTTTTAGTAGAGACGGGGTTTCACCTTGTTGGCCAGGCTGATCTTGAACTCCTGATCTCAGGTGATCTGCCTGCCTTGGCCTCCCAAAGTCCTGGGATTACAGGCATGAGCCACTGCACCTGGCCAGGAGGCAGTTAAATTTAGATGAGGTCATGAGGATAGGGCCCCTGTGATGAAATTGGTGCTCTTATAAGAAAAGACACCAGAAAGTTTATCTCTGTCTCTGCTCATAACCACTGAGGAAAGGCCATGTGAGGACACAGCGAGAAGGTGGCTATCTGCAAGCCAGAAAGAGAGCCTCACGAGAGCCCAACCCTTCTGGACCTTGATCTGGGACTTCCAGCCTCTAGGACTGTGAGAAAATCAGCTTCTGTGATTTAGCCACCCAATCTATGGTATTCTTTTATGGAAACCTGAGCAGACTAAGACCACCCTTTCCCCTGTGGCAAGACATTGCCTCATGCCGTAGCTCTCCTCTTCTCTACAATGTAGCTTACAGGCCAAGCCCTTTCAGAATTCAAAACTTAAACTCTTTGATCTGAAGTACCCAGTTCTTACAAGTTCAAAGTGTTTTGCTGTCAGACCCTTCTGTCTGAAATGGGCTTCAGGAACTGATCTGTCATCTCCTTTGTCCTTGGATGCCTCACTGTGAGGGCCATGGAGCAACACGGTGTCACCTGCCACAAACGAATAATACATTGGATAATAATTGGAAATCATATTTGGTGACAGGAGCAGATGTGAAATTATTTAGTACTATACCTGTAAACAATTGGTACTTGGCGACTTAGATTTTGACATTGAGTAACAGCTGTGAATTTCAGTGTCCAAAAAACAAAGTTGAATTACACTACAACAATGGTTGTCCGCTGGTTGGTGGCTTTGTTCCCTGGAGGTATTGTATCCAGACACTGAGGGATGTGGGTATGTGCGGTTTTAAAGATTTTCTGATGAGAATTTAATGAATAGGTACATGTAAAAAATGGATTGTGATGGTCATTGCCTTCTTGTGTTGTGACCATCATAACCGCCTGCTGGCAGCTTCCACAGATGAGACACTCCAGGCATCTCTTCCAGGCATGGGAGCATTGCAAATGAACCTGGTTTCCATGGTGGGGGCATGCTCTTTAGAGTGAAAGAATTGCATGGAAAATAACTCAAATGTACATTTAAAACCACTCTTTCAGCTGGGCACAGTGTCTCACACCTGTAATCCCTGCACTTTGGGAGGCCAAGGCAGATGGATCACTTGAGGTCAGGAGTTTGAGACCAGCCTGGTCAACATGGCAAAACCCAACCTCTACTAAAAATACAAAAATTAGCCAGGTGTGGTGGTGCATGCCTGTAATTCCAGCTACTTGGGAGGCTGAGGCAGGAGAATCGCTTGAACCCAGGAGGTGGAGGTTGCAGTGAGCAGAGATAGCACCACTGCACTCCAGCCTAGGTGATAGAGTGAGACTCCATCTCAAACAAAACAAAAACAAAAAGAAACCCCACTCTTTCCTCTCTTGCACCTCTAGGAAAGAATTTTTTTCTTTTTAAAGGTAATAAACCTTAATACTTAAGTTAAACAAGGCATTTTCTGTATGTTGATGTAACTGGATAGCTTTGAAAAGAAGGGTGGGATCATCCCTGGCCTGGGTCTTGGAGTCTGGCCACCAAAGAAAGAGGTGGCCTGGCCCCTCTCCCAGCTGTGGGGCTCCAGGGCCAAGGAGCCCGAGGCCCCGCGTGTGACACCTCGCTCTTAAGATACTCTAATTTATAGTTAACGCCTTTTAAGCAAACAAGAGGGAGAAAAAGAATCTGGTTCATATTATGGCAACTTGCAATGAAGGGAAGTCTGGAAGTTCAAAGAAAAAATGTCCCAGGAAAAGCACAGCCCGTTAAAATTCATTCTAAGTGGTCAGAAAGGTAATTGAAAAGAAGGCTTTCTCAGTGCAGTGTTGGCAGGCTAGTTTCCCTCCCTTTGCAATCTCAGCTCTCCAAACATCTCTCCCTGACACTAAGGTCATTCCAAAGAGGAACAAAATTAACAAGAATTCATTACTAAGACATGCTAAATTGACTGAATCAATAAAATCCCCAAAGCCCAGTTGAAGAGATCAAGATGGGAGGAATAAACACTCTCTCCTTCCAAAGCCAGAAGCCTGTGGGACCCCTGCTACAGCTTTGATTTTCAACATGAATCTTCTCTGATTTGACTAGAGGCTCCCTCTCCCTTCCTATGCCCACCTTTGTCACCCACAAATGGCTGCATCACCTGCTGATCACGTGGGGCTGGATTTTCTACCATGAGAAAATTCCTGCCTGGTTTCTCTGGGCCAAGGCATCTTTTGTGGCTGTGTGTATTTGTTGGAGGTCTGCAGAGCAGGAGAAATGAGGGCTAGAAAAGAGCAGAACTTTGCTTTCCCTCCTTCTGCCTGATGTAGAAGTCTTGAGCCCCTTGAGGCTAGAAGGTTTTCATACTTGATGCAGCAGCGGCACCACAATGATGAAATCAGAAGGGCTTAGGGTGTCAGGTTGCATGGAAGGTGATATTACAGGGCTTGTCATGTAGTCGTGTTTACTGAGAAGCCTATAATTTTCGCTTTGACTGTATATTGATTTGGAGGCTTTGGTAGGGTGTGTGATTGGAGAGTGTTCTTTATCTCCATCAGCCACCCCCTTGGCCTTGCTGCTTCATGGATAAGACAGGCCACTCCCTTAATGAGTAGCCATCATTCCATGCTCCAGGGCAGCTTGTCTCTTGAGGTGGGTCCATATGCCATTAGACCCATCCCCAGCATTAGGGATTCATTCCTTCTACCTAAGGAGTTGGGCTGTAATAAAATGCTGTTCTCTGTAGCATGACACCAGGCCTAGTGTGAAAGTGAATTTGTGGATGTAATCCGTTCCAGATGAACCCCAATTTGGCTGAGAGGTAGCAGGCAGAAATTAGAAGCACTGAGGAGGGGGGTAGAAATTTGACACAAGTAGATGCTGAAAGAGAAGTGGGAGGTGTCAAAGACAAAATTGCTCTCTTCACCTCTGGTGGCCCTAGATTAAAGCAAGGAGTGCAATTTTTTGTGCTTTTCCCATCAATTCTGATAGGTCCTTTTGTTTCCCTTGAGCAACAGAGGCCATTGATCCTGCCCCGTTGAGGTCAGTTTCCTCTCTTTCTGAGCCTGTCCGAAAGTCAGGGGTCAAGCTCAGCCTTGTTTGACCCACTGACCTTTCTGAGGGGGCCACCTTTTGTAAGCAAAGTCAGGCTTTGACTACCTTAACTGGGATCCCCTCTTACGAATGGCAAAGTTATTTTGCGGTGTTTGCTTTGGGTATAAGGAAAGAACTTTTCTCTTCCTCTCTTTTCCTCTTGTGGTTTACTTTTGGATTACTTAAATAAATAGCTTGAAAATGTCCCGTTAAGCATCCAAAGAGTGCTAATGCAGCACACCATGTTTATTTATATGCTTTCCACCCTGTGTACTCCCTTCACCTCACAGTTTAAGGCAAAGTAATGCATTTCTTTTTCCTAATTTCTTTCACTTCTGGAAAGAATTTTTGCCAGGAGCAAAAGGAGCTGCCTTCAAATTTTGGTCAGATGGTGAAGATGCTTAAATGATCATCTTTGTTGAAAAAGAAAAAAAGCATTGTTTCATGATTCATGGTGATGATGAAGGCACTGTGCTAAGCATATTACCTGATCATCTCAAGCAATCATCTCAAAACATACTTGTTAGGTGGGTTTTGTTACCATCCCCATTTCACAGATGGGAAAACTGAGGTACATAGCAGTTTGCCTGCAGTCTTATACTTGGTGGGTGGCTGAGTCAGGAATCAGACCTCAGCAGTGGAACTTCTGAGTCTGGGAGCCCCACCTTGAGGCTGCACTGCTTCCTTTTCAACAAGCCCCTATTCTAGAAATTGAAAGAGTGTTAGGGTAGAATGGGGAGGCAAAACTTCTGCTGTGGATTAAAACATGTAAATTCTCTCCATTTTCACCTCTTTTCATAGCAGCAGCCAAGAAATTTTCCCTTCAAAAATCCATCTTGAGGCATTCCCTTCTTTAACAAACCAGTGTTATTTCAGCTCAAGATGATTAAATGAGGGTTCTGGGGAAGTACAAGAGTCCCTTCAAGGAAATATCTTAGGGCCATGGATGGCCTTCCCTCCAGAAGCTACAGTTTCTAGGCTGACTTGTGAACTTTGTCTCATTGAGAGAACTTTGTCTCATTGAGAGAACTTGTGAACTTTGTCTCATGAACATCCATTAAACAAGGATAAAGTCCCCAGGGTATGCAGAATTCTGTCCAATAAAGAAGCCAAGATGTGCGAGGCGCAGTGGCTCACACCTGCAATCCCAGCAATTTGGGAGGCTGAGGCAGGCAGATCGCTCTGAGCTCAGGAGTTCAAGACCAGCCTGGGCAACATGGTGAAACCCTATCTCCACAAAAAATGTAAAAATTAGCCGGGCATTGGTGGCGTGCTCCTGTAGTGCCAGCTTTGGAAGGCTAGGCTGGAAAATTGCTTGAGCCCAGGAAGCAGAGGTTGCAGTGAGCTGAGATCACGCCACTGCACTCCAGCCTGGGTGGCAGAGTGAGATCTCGCCTCAAAAAAAAAAAAAAAAAAAAAAAGCCAAGATGGTAATGCAAGTGTTTCCAACCTTGCCCATTCTGGCTGGGGCTAAGAAATGGATTCATCACCTGAAATGCCGTCCAGTCTCCTTGCTGTGGACAACAGGGTCCTTTCAAGGTCTGGCTCCTTCCCAGAGCTCCAGCCTCCCACCTACCATTCCCACTCAGCACAGACACCCCAGCCTTGTTCTTGGTCTTGCCAAGCCTATGTCTGCCTCAGGGGCTTGACACTTGCTGGAACACTTGACCCTGGGGCCTTTACCAGGCTCACTCATTCACTTCTTCGATGCTTCTGTTCAGAGGGTCATCTTCTGACCAGCCTGTCTCCAAGACTTGTCCCTCCACCACCACTGTACTCTACCCCCTCACACTGCCTGATTTTTCCCGGATCCGTTATTCTTACCTGAGGTCTTAGCATGTCTTTGGTTATATGTTTATGGCCTGTCTTCCTCTCCAGAATGTGGGCCCCAGGAGTGAAGAGTCTTAGTCCATCTTCCTCACCGTTGGATTTCCAGCGCCATGACAATGCCTAGCATATATGTGGGGAATGAACAAATGAAGTCAGGGGATCTGTGATATTAGCAGTTACCAGAATCCTTTCCCAGAGGATTCCTGGGCTTTTCTAGACCTGGGATACATTATTAAAAGTGAAACAATCCGGTGAAAATATAATCTTATTATAATCTATATGCATTGCATATTTACATTTATATGTATATGCATTGGTTTAATTCTTTAATGACCATGGATTAATTGTTATAATTGTTGCTAGTATTTCTCTTTCACAGATAATAAAACTGAAGTTCAGAGAAATTTGGTGACTTGCCAAAAATCAGATGAACTTAGAACAAGGATTTTGTGATATAAATACACGTGGAAATATGATTCATACATCTATTGTTACACTGTGGAAAGAGCCTGGGATTTGGAGCCAAAGGTTCTATTTTGTCTTAGTTTGTATTTTATTATATTTATAACAATATTATCAAAGGCAACATACTTCCCTTTCTAAACTTTAGTGTGCTTATCTCTAGAATTAGGATAATAAATGTAAAAAAACAACAGTACTGCAGTAGGACTATGATAAGGTGTATAAAGTACTTGGTAGAGTCCAGCATACCTGGTAAGAACTCAATAAATGTTCACTGACTTCCAAACACCTGTTTCCTCGCAAGTAAAAATACTATGCCTGCTTCTGGGGGTTGTTATTAAGCTCAAAACAAGTAAGGTACCAAAAGTACTTCATGAATGATAAAGCATAAATGTTAACTGATCATGTAATTGTCACACATCAAGACTCTAGATAGCCTAGGACTTTCTAAAAGGGAAATAAAGGTGAGGAAAATATTGTATTCATCCTTAGATGTTATTGGAGAAAGCATGGAAGACATTTACGTTACTGAAAGAGGGCCATTCTTATTCTGTGAGATCTCTGCAACTTTAGGTTATAGTCTTTCACACAGAATTTTTAAAAACAAAAACTTATTTACCCTTTAAAAACCTTGACTCTGTGATTCATTTTCAGTCGTGCCCACTGTGGATGGCCAGTCACAAGTTCTTTACTTTGCTAGATGCTCAGATGGAACTTTCTCTGCTTGACTATGTTTTATTTATAATTAACACTTGGATTGAAAATATTTGGGAATTATATTTTAGGGACCTGAAAGGTATACTTTACACAGCTTTCTCATGAATTCCTAACTTCACCCTTTGAATCTTGAGTAGTATCAGCCTTTTCTTTTTCATTTTCTTTTTTTCTTTTTTTTTTTTTTTTTTGACAGAGTCTCCCTCTGTTGCTCAGGCTGGAGTGCAGTGGTGCAATCTTGGCTCACTGCAACCTCCACCTCTCAGGTTCAAGCGATTCTCTTGCCTCAGCCTCCTGAGTAGCTGGGACTACAGGCATGTGCCACCATGCCCAACTATCTCTCTCTCTCTGTCTCTCTGTCTCTCTCTCTCTCTCTGTCTCTCTGTCTCTCTGTCTCTCTCTCTCTCTCTCTCTCTCTGTCTCTCTCTCTCTCTCTCGTCAACATGCTCCTGAGCTGGTCACCCAGCAAAAAGGCCCAGAACTGTCTCTGGCATGGGTTTTGCTCACCTTGCTTAGTTTAAGGTAGAATGAAATATTTCTTCTGCAAGTTTTCTTCAAATAGTTGTATCTCTTGCATAAAGTAGAATATTTGAAGCAGGTCTTGGTATTTTTCAGGCTACTTTTTAATTTGAAAAATACAAAAAGAAACACATACATTCCCAAAGTAAAAATGACCCAGAACCCTCATATTAAAATATATACAAACTTAGGAATGAATATATATAAACTAAAAAGTTACATATAATAACTAACCTTACTTAAGAATAACATTTTTATTTTGTAAAGGATTGGCTCATTGTGTGCTGCTTTGAACTAGAGAGTAGAGAGTGGGTTAATACGTTCTAGGGAGATGAGGTATTAGGCAGATAAGCTTTATACATTTAATTTTTTGGATTGTGTTCTCTCTTAAAGACTATATATTCAGTCTCACACAGCCCGGATCTACTTCTCTTATGCCACACTCAACCATACCTTTTGCAGCCCCAAAGTTACCAGCGGTCTCTACCTCTGGGCCTGTCTCTGATTTTCTACTTCTGGCCACACTAATGTCTATCCTATAATAGGTGTCAAGACCCCTTTTTCATGTTTCTCTGGAGCTGTCCCCTTTTTATCCACTTGATTTCTGTGGCCCACGATACCAGTGGTAATTCTTTTTCTTGAGCACATTCTGAAAAGATTCCCTAAGGGAATGGCTAAGAGGTTGAAAGCTAGGTCAATGTTCTGAGCCGACTCACTAATAGAAGAAATTAATCACTTACCAGCATTCATAAAAATATAGGTAGATAAGCAAGGTGGAGAAGAAATACAAGTTGCCTGGTTTTTTTTTTTTTTTTTTTTTTGAAAGCATGCCATTGGTCCCAGATAACCCCAGGAGTAGATTGAATGGTATATTAAAAGGCACTTAAGTATCATGCCTGTCCTCCCCAAATTAATGGATCAGTGTACATTCCACCTTGAATTTATTATGCCTTTGCCTGCCAGTAGGGCTGGATGGCATGTGGACATATTTGCACATTCTAGCTTGGTTTATGTTACCTCCAGTCCTGAACTCACATCAGAAGCTGACGGTAATGCCCTTGACTCTGTGGGAGCTGATTTATCCTGGGCCATTTAAAGTCAACAGATACTTTTAGAATCTGGGTTTTGGCCTTTCTCTCGACGGGCTGGTAGCTGTCTCTTCAGTGAAAATAGTAAAAGACTGCCTTGGGACAATTATGAACATTACCTGTTTGCGTACAAGATAGCTACGTTTCGTATTTAATGCCAAGGTCACTTTACCTTGCTGGTGTCTGGCATTGCCTAATCATTCATTGCAGTCCTGGAAAGACAAAACTTGTATCTTCTGTATGGTTTCCTGTGTCCCCGGTTTATACATATTGGTTCTTCTTGTTGGCCCCCTACTATTTAAGCACTACAGAGAAAAACTGAGTTTTACTCATGGTAGCTCTATGTTAACCCCCCCATATTCATTAACTATTGCTGCATAACAAATTATTCCCAAAGGTAGCAATAACATTTATCATATTTATTATCAAATAATAAACATTTATCACCCCACAAAGTTTCTGTGACTCTAGAATTCAGGAGCAGCTTAACTGGGTGGTTCTGGCTTAGGGCCTCCCATGAGGTTGTTGTCAAGATGTTAGTTGGGTCTGCAGTCATCTGAAGGCTTAACTGGGGCTGGAAGATTTGTTTGCAAGATGTCTCACTCATGTGCCTAGTTAATTGGTACTGACTGTTGGTAGGAGGCCTCAGATCCCTGCCACATGCACCTCTATAGAGCTGTTCGAGTGTCTTCACAATATGGCACTGACTTCCCCAGGTGATCTAAGAAAGTGCGAGGTAGAAGCCCCAATATATTTTATGACCTAGTCCCAGAAGTCATACCCTGTCATCTCTGCAATCTTATTGGTTACAAGGTCAGTGTTATTCAGTGTGTGAGGGACTTATAGAAGGGCATGAACACCAGTTGCCATCTCAGAGCTGGGTCAGCACACCCTCGATGGCCCTTCAGCACTTTCAGTCTCCTCTAGTAGAAAATTTCCATAGTGTTATTTCAAATAAAGAAGCAAATAGATCCTGTTGGGATTTATAGGGTCCATTAGTATTAAATATGGCTACCAAACAGTGTCAAAATATATGTAGTCCTTTAAAAGCATTATTCCTTTCCAAACGTACTTAATATGATTTTTGTTAAGAAACAAAAATACAGTCCAGAAAAGTCAATATTAGAGTCCACTTTTGATCATAATTTCCAAGTAGGATTTTCTTCCACTATGATGAAGACATATGGGCACTGTCAGGTTTTTTTTTTTTTTTCTTCTCTAGTGTCTGCATTGAGAAAAGTTAAACAAATAGATCAAAACTGAACCTCTTTTTACAAAGTTACCATTCATTTGTTGCCATCCTGGAGTGCAGGCCAGGTTCTTTTGTTAGCTGCTGCTTTGAAATATGTGGCCAAGATTGGCTGGCATGAAGCTTTGTATGTTGGCGAGCCAACTCCCATGAGTTGGAAGCTCCTTCAGAGCTGAAGAAACAAGACCAGAAGCATCTTAGAATCATCTCTCTTATAACCTTACAGTTGGAAGAAATCTAACAGGTCTTCCAGGCCTAACTTTCTTTTTTCTTTTTCATATTGTCTTTTAAAAAATATAACTCTTCACTAAACTTAGTTCTGATCATTTTCTTTTTGAGACAGGGTCTCACTCTGTCACCCCGGCTGGAGTGCAGTGATGTGATCATGGCTGTCTGCAGCCTTGAACTCCCAGGCTCAAGTGATCCTCACCTCAGCCTCTCAAGTAGCTGAGATTACAAGCAAGCACCAGCACATCTGGCTAATTTTTTTTCTTGTAGAGATGAGGTCTCCTTGTGTTGCCCAGGCTGGTCTCAAACTCCTGGGCTCAAGTGATCCTCCTGCACCACCCAAAATGTTGGGATTGCAGGCATGAGCCACCATGCCCAGCCCAGGCCTAACTCTCAATGAATGCAGACATACATTCTGAAACACTTAAGACATGAAAGATGATCATCCCACTTCTACTTTAATATATTCAGTGATAAAACACATGCCACCACTACCCTTGATTTTCAAACAGTTCTCATTTTCTACTGGAGCCAAGTTGTATCTCTGCATATCTTCTGACCATTGACCCTTAATTTTTATTCTCTCTGGAGTAAAACCAAATGTGAAATTTCTTCAAATATTTGAAAACCCATCTCATGTGGGTCTCCTTAGTTTCTTCCAGGCTAAACATTCCATGTTTGTTCAGCCTTCTCTTTAAAGTACAGTCTCCAAACTAACTATCTTAGTTTCAAAGTCCATCTGAAAATGTGGTATCCATTCATTTGTGTGACAAGTATTTGTTGAATGTTGTCTGTTGGCAAGGTACTGTGCCAGTCCGGATGTCTTAACAGGACAGAGTTGAGTGAGATTGTTTCTTCCAGTTGATTTGGATGTTATGTTTCTATTGATATGACCAAAGATCTCATTAGCTTTTTTGCAGCCATGTGAAACTATTGGATTATTTTTAGCTGTGATCAACTAAAATTATCAGTTTTGTTGAAGGGAATTGTTGTCAGTTGAGGATGTCCCAATCCTATATTCATGTCGTTGGTTTTTTGAACCTAAATGAAAGACTTCACATTCACCTCCATCCAATTCCTTCTCGCTGGTCCAGCTCATTTTTCCAGCCCATTGAAGTCATTCTGATATTTGCTAACTCTTAATCTTGACTTCATCATATTAGTTATTTCTCCCAGCGTTGTGTCATCTGCAGTTTTGATGAGCATTCCGTCTATCTTTGTATCCAAGTCACATATGGTAATGAGGAGTAGAACAGGACCCGTGACAGAGCCATTTGGCAGACCCAGGTCACCTCCCTGCCCCCTTCCAGCAGCTATCTTTGAGAACATGTTTCAGCCAACTATCAGTCGCCCAAATTATACCGTCATCTGGTCCGCATTTCTCCTTCTTGTCCACAAGAATTTCCTGAAAGACTTTGCTAAATGCCTGATTAATCAATACATTCTGGGTCTCTGACATTTACAGTTGTCAGTTCTAGGAACCTGCTTCTTGCTCCAGAGGAAGAAAGGAAATGGGGCAAGCTGGGAACTGTTTTGTCCTCTGCTCAATTTTCCTAACCACATAACTCCTGGGTCAGCCTAGGGAACTTCTAGGTTCACAAAGATCTATCTATTGACCGACCTCTTGTCCTCACCCTTTAGGACCAGGGATTACCTGATTTCTTACAAGTGTTATTATCCTGATTAGACTCCAATCTCTTAACTCCTCCTCAGCTGTCTCTCTAGCTATGCTGAGTTCATTCACCTTCATCTTTTAGCCTCATTTGTCTACTCTGTACCATCCTTCTACCATCAGGATCATGTCTTTACATAATTCAAATCAAACTATTCAATTACCTGTCATATGTTCCTGTGCAAGATATGTTTATTCCATGCGAGTGCTTTTTGATGCACCCTGCACAAACCCCCAAACTCCCCCAATATGAATCTATAACAGGCTCTTCTGGTTAGTTCTGCTTTATCTTGGGAAGTCCTTCAAGCTCATGTCTTTCCCCACCATCCTAGTTGTCCAGCCTTCTGCATTAGGACCTCTGACTTAGCCATTTGTTTTGGCTCCATGCCATGCTTGTTTATCCCATTTTGGTTTAGACAGTCCACTCTGGCTCAGTCCTTTTTTCCCATCAGGATGTGACTTCCATCGGACCAATCACCATGGGTAGGATATACATTGCTTCCCTCTCCACCCCAGAACCTTCATGGCAGAGTGTACCCTTCACCTATCAGATTAGAAAGGCGGTGGGTGGCCATATAGATGAGAAGACTGGGTTCCAGTTCCCAAGTTGCTGGTAATCCAGTACTGTGTATTGCTTGTTAATTTAGAGAAGGTATACTCTTTTTTTCTCCCTGACTGGTAACAATGAGTTTCAGCTATCATTCTTGGTGATGCCAGTGAAAAGATGCTCACCATCAAGGGTCACAGTTCAAGGTAGCCGTGTTACCCACAGTCTGTGTCTTGGTTTGCAGCTCCTTTAAGCTATATGGAGCATACCCAATTTTCTTGCCCTGAGTTTTTCATGGGAAAGATAGGGCTTTGGTACTTTTACCTGCAACACACTCATTGTCCCTCAGTATCATCTTTCTCACTCATCATCTCACCTAGACACTTTCCCTTCTAAAGTTTAAGTACAAACCCCCTAATCAGAAATTCCTCTGCCATAATTTTCCCAGTTTTGGGAGATGGACACTGTTTTCAGAGAAGTCCCAGAATCCTTATGTATAAGCCCTCCTTGGGTAGCCAGCTACCAACTTCCCATTTGTTCCACAGTCTTCCAAAACTATGACCTTCCATTAGAGTAAGACATGAAAACACTACCCCCTCCCCCTTAAGTCCTCAATTCCCTACTTAGGAAAATGAATATATGCACTTTTAATATAAGTTTATATTCCCCCGTGAGTAAGTAAGAAATGCACATTTTAAACCTTCCAAATTGAGTCAAATTTGTCTTGTGTATGACCTTTACCTGAGTTATTTTTTTCTTGGTGAGCGAGTGACTCAAGGTGGAACTCAACCTCCCCATGCTTGCCCTTAATGCTAGGAAATCTTAGCTTTTAGCCACTGAAATTCTTTAGTGAATAAACCTGTTTCTACTCATTTTTAAATGTATTAATCTGTTCTTGCATTTCACTTTGAAGAAAACAAGGTTTTTATTAATGGAAACAAGGTCTCCCACAGGATGTTCAGTGTGATTGACTCAGTCATTACATAATAGTCATAAACAAATGAGCTCCCTTTGAACTCAGCAGTTCAGGCTCCTACTGCATCTTGGCTGTGATTCCGTAGTTTGACACTTATGCTGCAGTTAATTAGGGTGGCTGTGAGAGGTAGACAGGGGCAGAGAAAAGGCAGGATTTAAAAGCTGTTCCTGCTACCTTTTGGGGGTTTCAACTCCTTTCTACATTATAAAGCTAATTGATAGATTTATGCTTTATTTTCTCCCTGGCCTCCCTCCTTGGCTTCAGATTTAATGAGCCCAAAGGAAAGAGGATCATTATTTAAAATCTGGGTGATGTGCATTTAAATTTAAGATTTATATTTGTGCAGACTTTTTATCCCTGCAACCCAAGTTACCTACATATCAAGCAAACCTCGTCTGTTGCATTGTCGGTATTCATCTCCCCTGTTGGGAAAGGTTTAATCTCATGGGTTATTTCCCAAAACCTGCTTTGTTGCTCTCTCATTTGTAAAGCATGCAATATCAGCTGGAGAGAGGAAGGCACTGGAAAGAATGCTTTGGTCACTTTACATCAGTTTTAAAGTAGTGGCAAATAAGAGAATGCCTATTCAGGGCATTTATTGGCACTTCCATGGGGGGTAGGTCCTGAAGTTTCCTGTGGCAGGTGAGTGAAAGGCCTGGGAAGAAGGCCAAGGATGAAATTGATGTGGAGAAGAGGATCTGGCTGACTTTTCCTTGAGAATTCTAAGGGATATTTCTTCTTCCTTATCCTCCTTTTCTCCCCTTCTTTCACTTAGACATGGGGAATAGAAAGAGAAATAGAGGCCGGGCGCAGTGGCTCACACCTGTAATCCCAGCACTTTGGGAGGCTGAGGTGGGTGGATCACGAGGTCAGGAGATCAAGACCATCCTGGCTAACATGGTGAAACCCTGTCTCTACTAAAAATACAAAAAAAAATTAGCTGGGCGTGGTAGCTGTAGTCCCAGCTACTCGGGAGGCTGAGGCAGGAGAATGGTGTGAACCCAGGAGGCAGAGCTTGCAGTGAGCTGAGATTGCACCACTGCACTCCAGCCTGGGAGACTGAACAAGACTCCATCTCAAAAAAAAAAAAAAGGAAAATAGAGGCCCCAGGAGAAGCTGTAACAGAGAAAAAGGGTCAGACATGGTTATGCTGAAGACCACCCACCTGAGCCCCAGCATCCCCCAGCTCCAGGCCCGATCCAGAGAGGACATGCTCCAAGACATCATGTCCTTTATCTGCTGGTGCCAGGGCAGAACCCTCAGGAGCCTTCCTTGAGTCTTCATTCTTCCTCATCCCTCTAGGGTTTGCTCCACCTTCTGGATCTCCCTCAAATGCTCCTCTTCTTTCCATCCCTTGGTAGAAGCCTCCATCACCTTTTGCCCAGATTGTGGCAGTGGCTTGGTAATGACCCTCCCTGCTTCCAGCTGGCTTTTCTCTCATCCGATTTCTGAATTGGAGCCAGGGCTGTCTTTCTAGGAGGCAATGCTAATCTCAAAGTCTTCTGATGAAACCTGGAGGAACTCTATTCACATCACCCCTTAGTCACACAGTCCTCCCCTCATGCCCCATCCAGCCCCTTTCTAGCTACACTGGACTGGGCCTGAGCCCTGTTGAGTCTGGGGCAAATGCCTCAAGGGCCTCTGGCCTCAGCTAAAAGGTAGCTTCCGCAAGGGAGCCTCCCTATCCAGACCTCTAATCCGGTGTCCCCTGTGAGGCATTGCCCTCGCGTTTGTAACTCACATCCCCGGAAGTCTTATTCAATTCAAATGGAAAGGCCTAGGAGATCCAAACCATTTCCCGTGGCTTCCAGGGACTTCCAGAGCTTGCTTTTTCTGCCTCTCCACTTCTACAACCTCACGTGCTGCCTTTGTGTCTCTCCCCAAATCTATTTTCCACAAAAGTCCACATGGCATGAGTTAACTTGTCATGAATTGACTAACTTTACTAAAGATTAGGATGATCATGAGAGGTGTGGAAGGAGGAATATCTCATCCATCCTCGGTTCACGGCTGAGCACTCCATAACAAAAGACAGATTGACAAGAGAAGTGCAAATTTATTTAATATAAGTTTTATGTGACACTGGAGCCTTCATAAGGAAATGAATACCTGAAGAAATGATTAAATCTGTGTATTTTTATGCCAGGTTTGATGAAGAGTGGACAGTCATGGAGAAATATGATAGAGCAAAAGAGTGCAATCTAATGGTGATAAACTGGGGGAATCTCAGCAAGCAAGGCCTGTTTGTTCAGATTCTTTTCTTGTCCCTGTGTCTTCAGAGATAAGGATGCTTCTCTTCTCTGAGTATAGGGAGGTCACCTCCATATGAGGGTCATATGACCTGCTTCAAGGAAGGGTCAGAAAATCCTTCCTGGGTGTGATGACTTGCTTCAGGGAAGAAGAGCAGGAGAAAGGTGATATGGTTTGGCTGTGTCCCCACCCAAATCTCATCTGAAGTGTAGCTTCCATAATTCCCATGTGTCATGGGAGGGACCTGGTGGGGAGGTAATTGAATCATAGGGGCGGGTCTTTCTCATGCTGTTCCCATGATATTGAATAAGTCTCAGGAGATATGATGGTTTTTTTTTTTTTCTTTTTTTGAGACGGAGTTTTGCTCTTGTCGCCCAGCTGCAGTGCAGTGGCATGATCTCGGCTCACTGCAACCTCCATCTCCCAGGTTCAAGCAATTCTCCTGCCTCAGCCTCCCAAGTAACTGGGATTACAGGCGCCTGTCACCAAGCCTGGCTAATTTTTGTATTTTTAGTGGAAACGAGGTTTCATCATGTTGGCCAGGCTGGTCTCGAACTGCTGACCTCAGGTGATCCACCCGCCTCAGCCTCCCAAAATGCTGGGATTACAGGCATGAGCCACTGCGCCCAGCCAATCTGATGGTTTTATAAAGGGGAGCTCCCATGCACACGCTCTCTCTTGCCTGCTGCCATGTAAGATGTGTCTTGCTTCCCCTTCGCCTTCCACCATGATTGTGAGGCCTCCTCGGCCATGTGTAACTGTGAGTCAGTTAAGCCTCTTTCCTTTATAAATTACCCAGTCTCGGGTAGGTCTTTATTAGCAGCATGAGAACAGAATCATACAGGTCTGGAGACCTTCCTGCACATGCTCTCTCAGATCCCTTTTTCCTTAAAATATTTAATATGCTCATATGCTAAAAGTCCCATATTTTTGGATAGCATGTCCAAAACACCACCAGAGGTGACTTTAACAAGCAATTGGCAATAGGTGCCTTCAAGGGCTCAGCCCTCACTTCACTCCCTTGTTCCTATTTCCTATTAACATTAGTTTTAGCTATAAGAGAAAAATAATATGTAAATATAATAAAACATTACTTTTAGCTATAATAGAAAAAATAATAGCAGTGATCTAAAGGAGTTTATTTCTGCCTCACGTTAGGTAAGTCTGAGAATAAACAGTCCAGGGCTGTTGTGGTCTCCACATTACTGGACCCTCTTCTGTCTTACTCTTTCATGCTTAGCTTCTATTTTTAAGATTATCTCATCATCTAAAGTGACTGCTGCAGCTCCAGCCATTACATATACATTCCAGCCAGCAAAAAGGGCATATGCCCTCCCTTTAAGAATATCCCAAAAGTTGCACACTACTTCTGCTCCCATCCTATTTGCCAGAACTTAGTCACATGACCACACCTAGTTACAAAGTAGACTGGGAAATGTAGTCTTTATTCTGGGCAGGTATTTGCGTGTCTGAAACCTGGTGGTTCTCTTACTGTGGAAGAAAGGGAGAATAAATATTGGAAGACAACTAGCAGACTCTGTCACACCTGTGACAATAAACATCCATCCCTTTTCTTGCCTTGCTTAATTTGACATGTGATTAGGCTCCCTCCAGGCCTCACATTTGACCTAAGATATTGTTTGGGTGTTCTTCTCAAACACCTGCAGCTCACTTCCAAAGAGAATTCTGCTTGATAAACTTTTCTCCATCTTCTAAACCGTGCTAACTTCATGTGTTGCACTGCCCAGGCCCTATGTGGTTGTCATGGCTTTGTCCTCAGTGGGCATCCTCAGATTGCACACAGGACTGGTTTCCACACACACATCCCAAGTTGTAGTTGACTTAACATTACATTTTCAGATTTTCCAGCTCTCAGAATGCAGCTGCAGGTTCACAAGTCAGCAACCCATGGAGAACAGTGAGACAGCAATGCGAGAATGTCCGTGGCCTAGCTCCCCTGCCTCACAGTCCCACGGACACTTGCTGGGGGCTGGCTTCAAGGCTGAGAAGCTGCCAACCAACTTCTTCTGAGAGCCCCCTTCCGGCGAAGTGAGGCACAGGTGGTATTTATCTACTAAGCAGCACCCACATGAATACATTTAGCCGGATATGTGTTCAACTTAGGCTCAACACATCTGCATCAAATATATCTTTGGAAGACTGCCCTATTTCGGCAAGAAGGCAGGAATTTCAGTCTGGTGATCTCCCTCCCCATGATCTCCACCATGCTGGTCTCGCTGTTGTATCCTTTCTTAGTGTCTCCTGTGGCACCTGACATATAGCAGGCCTTCTATCAATATTCGTTTAACGAATAGAAAAATGAACAACATGTGCTAAATGATATACAAAGACCATTGAGCCAATCTAGTGGGAGAACAACATACAGTTATAATAGAGAGGAATTCATACAATATAAATATGTACAGTGTCAAATGAGCACAGAGGAGATGTCCAAGCTGGATTTTAACATATAAATAGGAGTTCACTAGCCATATGGAGGTAGAGATGAAGGCAGAGGAGCCGATTTATGCAAAGGTGTAAAGGCATGAAACAATCTCACATGTTCAGGCAATAAGTATAAGAGGTTCCCTACCTTAAGAACTTTGTAGTTTATAAAGTAGTTTGTTTTTTGTTTTTGTTTTTTTAAATCTTTTCATTTTTTTTCTAGAAGTGATTCATAATTACTACTAATTTATAAGGAGTCAGAGCTTTGCTTTGGGATAATTATTTGCATTCAAGGGTTGTGGAAAAAACCTGATAGTTTGTTGGAGTTCTACCTATTCCCTACCTGAGGGAACCAATAAAATTGAGAATTTTTGTTTCTTTCCTAGAGGTTGACTACTTGGAGCCATGTGAATGCTGCACAGTCTCAATATAAAGGTCTTTTAAAACCCAAGTGATAACCACTGCTAGAAAATAATAACAGCAATTGCCAGCATTGCTATGGCAGAGTACTGTTGTAAGCATTTTATGTCTATTAATTCATTTAATTTTCCTAATGGTCTCATTAGGAGGTACTAGTATTATCACCGTTTCATAGGTGAGGAAACTGACAGAGATGTAGTGATTTGATCAAGATCACAAAGCTAATAAATGGCTGAGTGAGGATTTTATTATTTTTTTTTTTTTTGAGACGGAGTCTCGCTCTGTCGCCCAGGCCAGACTGCGGACTGCAGTGGCGCAATCTCGGCTCACTGCAAGCTCCGCTTCCCGGGTTCACGCCATTCTCCTGCCTCAGCCTCCCGAGTAGCTGGGACTACAGGCGCCCGCCACCGCGCCCGGCTAATTTTTTGTATTTTTAGTAGAGACGGGGTTTCACCTTGTTAGCCAGGATGGTCTTGATCTCCTGACCTCATGATCCACCCGCCTCGGCCTCCCAAAGTGCTGGGATTACAGGCGTGAGCCACCGCGCCCGGCCTGAGTGAGGATTTTAAACTCATATATAGTTTGAAAGTTTTGCAGTATGTTTAAAGTTATCAGGCTATTTCTTTTTGTTGTTGTTTGTTTGTTTGAGCTTGTCTGCTAAGCAGAGACAAAAACAAAAAGAACTTGCTGGTTTTGGGATAACCCCTTGGCCTTGATGCCTGTCGGTTCCTGCACATTCCTGTGCTGTGGGCCTCAGGACTTTGCTGCTCTCCTCCCATCCAGTCCCAGGCTACCCCTTCTGTGACCCATCCCCACTCATGACACTCAACCAGCTTCCCTTGGATGTGAGCACATGGGCCCTCTGCATGCTAAGGTTCAGAATTAATCACTAGGGCAAGCAGGTGGAGGTGTCCAAAAATCAGACTCATGGAGGGGAGGGACAGGTGACAGAGTTTCCAGAATGTCTGTGCCTTTACAGGAGGCCCTGACTCTCTGGGGTGGTAAATGTGCTTAATACTTTCTGTTTCATCTCTCCCACACCCCTCTTACTCACCTAGGCCAGCCCTGAGGTGTCATGCTGGGTCTTAAGGATACAGTGTGCCCCTCTGAGGCCCTCCAGCCACCACTTCCTGCTGTCCTCTTTTGCCTTGCCCTCACCCACTTTATGTCACTCAGTCAGATGTTTGTCTTTTGCAATGTGAAAGGCGAAGTATGATCAAGTGATCAGGAGCAAGGATGCACTGCTCAGACATGCCTGGCTCCACTTCCTGGCCCAGCCTCATACTAGATATGTAGCCTGAGGCAAGTCCCTGACACTTTTCATTCCTGTTTCCTTATCTATCAAGTGGGGGTCATAAAACCTTCCTTACTGGGTGGCCGGGAGGATTCAGGTAAGATCATCCATAGTGCTCAATCAACACTGGCTATGAGAGACAGGCTGTGTAGGGGTTTCAGAGCGTGGGATCTGGAGTCAGACCATGGGTTTGAATCCCAACTTGGCCACATCCAACCATGTGAGCTTAAGTACATTGGTGTTTTTGTTTTTGTTCTGAGAGAGGATCTTGCTCTGTCACCCAGGCTACAGTGCAGTGGCACAATCATGGCTCACTACAGCCTCAACCTCCTGGGCTCAAACAATCCCTCCACCTTAGCCTCCCGAGTAGCTGGAACCACAGGCATGCACCACCATGCCTGGCTAAATTTTTAAAGCTTTTTGTAGAGACAGGGCCTCCCTATGTTTCCCAGGCTGGTCTCAAACTCCTGGGTTCAAGTGACCCTCCTGCCTCAGCCTCCTAAAGTGCTGGAATTACAGGCATGAGCCACTGCGCCTGGCCTAGTAAGTTTTTTATCCTCCTCTGTAAAATGGAGTTAATAACAGTATCTACATGATGGGGTTGTTGTCAAGATTTCATGCTTATAAACTTAAGAGTCAAATATTTAAATGCTAACTAGTATGTATTAGGCCTTCAATACATATTAACCACTACTGTTTATCATTATTATCATCAACAGTTAATTCATTCTAGAGTAACTCTACTGCCTATCTGTGAAAGGCCCATCTGAGCAGGGATCCTTTCCAACAAGACTTGGACTGTCCCTGCAAGCCTTTAATTGTGCTCTCACTCATATTGCCCATTAGAACTCCCCCCAGTTGAAGATTTCTTTGCTCTTCTTAGAGAACAGAGGCTTGGCTTCTCTAACGGGCAGAGTTCCACAGCAGACAAACTAGAAAAAGTCTCCTGAGGAATTTTTCTTCATTCCAAGATGAATGTTCCAGAAACATCCCCTCTCCTGATGCGTCTTGGAAGTCCTGCTCGCTGACCTGCATGGAAATGGGATCTTGATTTTAAGAGAGGTTGATTTCACAGGAGGCTGACTTGTGTGTTATTCTCATAAAGCACATGTCATCTTAATTGAAACTGTGTGAGTGGTAAACTTTGCATTGTAAATTTAGAAAAACTCCCATGGGAAGGAAATGTAGCCTTTGAAACACTGGAGGAGGCAGTGTGAGTTGTTTTATGTAACTCTGGCACGGAGAATACCTGATTTGTGCAGGCAGACTTGTTGCAGATGCTGTTAATGGTGAGATCTGTTTTGAATAGTGCATTTTCAGGTGCTTTTAAAAAAAATTCTTAATGTTACCAAGTCTTTTTGACTGTATTACTGTATTTGGCTTTTTTTTTTTTTTTTTTGAGACAAAGTCTCACTCTGTGGCCCAGGCTGGAGTACAATGGTGTGATCCTGGCTCACCGCAACCTCTGCCTTGCAGGCGCAAGCAAATCCTCCTGCCTCAGCCTCCCAAGTGGCTGGGGCTACAGGCACACACTACCACACCTGGCTAATTTTTACATTTTTTGTAGAGATAGGGTTTTGTTATGTTGCCCAGCCTGGTCTCCAACTCCTGGGCTCAAACAATCCACCCGCCTCAGCCCTCTAAAGTGCTGGGATTACAGGTGTGAGCCACCGTGCCTGGCCCAGCTTTGAGAATCATAAACTGTTTTTAGGTCATTCAATATTATTTTAAAAGCTATAGCCTTTTCTCCAGGCCATACCCCAGCTGGAACCCTGAGCACGGAATTACTTGGAGTTGTCGCTGTTTCTGAGCCTTCAAATCTACCAGGCAACCTATTGGTAAATGACTGTTCACCATAGTAATGGTAACAGCCTGAACACTAATGCCTAACATGCTCATATCATTGTAAGGAATGTAGTCTACCACTGGTGCCCCCAATCCTATACAGAGAAAAGAGTCAGGGAACATTCCCTTCCCATTGCCACTGCTCCTATGGGATGGGGCTGGGGTATCAAGGACCCTGACCCCTGTTTTGGGGTGCTGTTGAAAAAAGGGACATTGAAGCTTGGAGTAGTTTGAATGGAGCTAGCAAAGTCCCCATGCATGCTGTGCGATGCATACAGATGTGCAGGCCACCATCAGTGGAAGGTTCTCACCAGTGGAAGTGACCAGCATAGTCAGTATCACCTGGGCACATTCTTACTTACCAGCCCAGGTCCTACCTTAGGCCAATTAAATTGGAATTTAGGGCAGGGCCTATATGGTGGTTTTCAAAGCATCCCGGGATCTCACTGTGCTGGACACTGCTGGGCAGTCTCTTGATACTGACTCCTCATGTGGATCGCAGGTCAGGTATACCTGGAACCCTATGACCTCATCCATGGTCAGGCCTTATCCATTCAGGGAATCCCAGTGTCCTAGTCTGCTCCCCAGAGGCAGAGGCAGTCACTGTTCATAGCCTCTTGTGCCTTTACAGGGACATTCTGCATTATTTGCACACAAATGGGAACATTACAGCACATATTGTTTGGCATCTTGCTATTTTATTTTATTTTTTTTTTTGAGATGGAGTCTCACTCTGTCACCCAGGCTGAAGTGCAGTGGCGTGATCTCGGCTCACTGCAACCTCTGCCGCCTGGGTTCAAGCGATTCCCCTGCCTCAGCCTCCCTAGTAGCTGGGATTACAGGCGCCTGCCCCTGTGCCTGGCTAATTTTTGTAGTTTTTTTAGTAGAGGCGGAGTTTCACCATCTTGGCCAGGCTGGTCTTGAACTCCTGACCTCATGATCCACCCACCGTGGCCTCCCAAAGTGCTGGGATTACAGGCTTAAGCCACCGCGCCTGGCCTTCTACTTTATTTTTGCTTGCAAGTACAGAGTTCTCCATGGTTTCATGCAACCAGTCCACCGTTGTACCAGCTGTTTTCTTCTCACTTCTCCAGATCTGTCAGCCATCCTTTCATCCTATGCTCTCTGTCTGCAGAAGGCTGCTGTATGTGAATTGCATCATCAAATCTTTCCTCCTAGATTCCCTCTGGGTTCAGCCCCACATGAGACAGGAGGAGGGAGGAGAGTGAGGTTGGGGTATTTATTCCCTTGGCTCTCTCCTTGCAAGGACATCTTAGGTTGCTTTCTCTACTTGACCATCTCCTTCTGGATTCTAGCAATCTCTCTCTTCCCTTGACTCACTGGGCCTGGAGTATCCCCTCCATTCTCTCTAGTTCTGGCTTACTTCACTATGCAGATGATTTTCAAAGTGCGGTTGCAGGACCAGCAAAATCAGTATCACCTGGGAACTTGTTAGGAATGGACATTTCCAGGCCCACCCCAGACCGACTACTGATTCAGACACCCTGAGGGTAGAGTCCAGCAGTCTGTGGTTTACCAAGTCCTCCAGATGATTCTGATGCAAACTCAAGTTTGAGACTCCCTGCATTATGCCTTCCTCTTATGCCCTAACCTATAACTTTACTAATAATCCCTTTACGAAGCCAGCCTCAGATAGTCGTTAAGTTGAATGTGCCATCTGTCTCCTCTTGAAAGCCTGTCTCATGAACCTTTGTTTATAGATCTCTGCACATATGTGTGAGTTTATTAGAGGAATAAATTCCTTTAAATAGCATTTTTGTGGAAAAGGAACATGCATTTCAAATTTTCATAGATATTGCCAAATTGTTCCCCATTTTGTTGTCCCAATTTTCTATTTATAAAAATGGCTTGTGGTTGTTTAACATACCTCTTCAATGACTATTGATTCACCAGACAGTGGTGGTGTATTAGGGTCATCCTTCTCAGATTTGGTGGCGTAAATCTGGGGATCTTGTTAAAATGCAGATCCTGATTTAGGAGGTCTGGGATAGAGCCTGAGAGTCTGCATTTTTAACAGGTTCTCAGGTAATTCTGCTGCTGCTGGTCCAAGGACCACACTCTAAGTAGCAGGTGTTAGGGAGTAAGCATAAAGAAATGGCGGCCAGGCGTGGTGGCTCATGCCTTTAGTCTTAGTGCTTTGGGAGCTTGAGGCGGGAAGTTTGTCTGAGGCCAGGAGTTCGAGACCAGCCTGGGCAACATAATGAGACTCTGTCTCTACAAAATCGTTTTTTAAAAATTAGCTGGGCATAGTGGTGTGCACCTCTAGTCCTAGCCACTTGGAAAGCTGAGGCAAGAGGATTGCTTGAGCCCAGAAGTTCAAGGTTTTAGTAAGCTAGGATCATGCCACTGCAACTCTAGCCTGGGTGACAAAGTGAGACCCTGTCTATTAAAAAAAAAATTCTTTATTTTTTAAAAGAAGTGGCTAAGAGATGGGCTTTGGGCTCATATCCCCACTCAGCCATTCACTAACTGTGTCTTTAGGCAAGTTTATTAATCTTCTCGAGCCTCACCTTCTTTGTCTACAAAATGGGGATTAAATCATAGTGTTTTGTGATGACCAAATAAAGTAACATAGGTATGTAAAGTATTTAGCAAAGGGCCTGATCCATCATGGTCATTCCAAGAAGTATAGCTGGGATAATTGTTTGCCCCATCTCCTATCTATTCCAATGGTTATTTTCTCCACCGGCTGTATATTCCTTTTTTTTGAGGCAGAGTCTCGTGCTATCACCCAGGCTGAGGTGCAGTGGCACAATCTTGGCTCACTGCAGCCTCCGCCTCCCAGGTTCAAGCGATTCTCCTGCCTCAGCCTCCAGAGTAGTTGGGATTACTAGTAGCGGGAGGCACCTGCTACCATGCTTGGCTAATTTTTGTATTTTTAGTAGAGACAGGGTTTCACCATGTTGGCCAGGCTGGTCTCGAACTCGTGACCTCAAGTGATCCACCCACCTCGGCCTCCCAAAGTGCTGGGATTACAGGTGTGAGCCACCATGCCTGGCCAACCCCTTGTATATCCCTGATACTCAGCTGCCCTTAGCTCCCTTCAGACAATTTCCAGTGTTCCAGATTGGCAGCTGCTGTAGAATGTCCTGTTTGTCTTCAAGGCAACAAGGCAACCTCTAGGTCCAAATCTATAGCTAAAGCTAATACTATTTTCTTTTAGCACCTCAAGAAGAGAGCTCACAGCGGAATCATTACCAAACTCTCTGCTGAGCAGTTGTTCAAGAAACAGTGCAGCCCAGGTCTCTCTCCCCATCTCTACCCAGCATCAGCATCCCTCAGACTCTTCAAGAAACTTTTGGAACGTTTACTTTTGGAAAAGTGAGCCTTCAGGAGCCCCAGCTGCCTCATCAGTTATCTGGGCCGACATAGGTTTCCAATCCTTTTCTATAGGGTGAGCATGAGTGAACGCGCACTGGCATCCTCCCATCCTGGGGCAGGGAGAACTTCTCATTTCCTCCCAGCAATGTGCAAACTCAGGTTTCATGCTTAGGCAAATTAAGTCCCCCAAATAGCACTGTTCACCAAGGTAAACATACAGATAATTTGCAGTACAGTTCCTGATTTACAAAAGAACATTTCAGAAACCAGAGCTACAACATCAAGGCATTGAAACGAGGCAAAAGCTCCACACGCCCTCCTTCAGACGTGCACGGAGCCAGCCAGGGCCAAATGTGTGAGGGTGTGACGCCACTGGTTCCTATCAGACGGGGTCTTCTTCTGTTTAATGTGAAATCAAATGAGAACATAAACAGACTGCTAGTAAAGCTCCGAGCATATGTGTGCAAAACCGTGTTTAGAATGGTTCGAAGTTGCCCAGAGGAGTCCAGAGGTAGAGGAAGTGGATGTGCTGCCCCGCAGGCCCTGGGTATTGAATTCATTTTCCCCACCCTGAAGACAGCTCTTGTGCCTGGAAGATGAAAGGACGGGCGGACAGCAAGAGACATTTGAAAGTTACTGGAGTGGGATTAGGAGTATGGAGGCCACATTGGGAGCATTATGCTGCATGTTATGGAAAAAGAAATAAAAGCTGCTGCTTCCTTTTCTTCTTGAGCAACTCTTCTATCTGTAGGTCCTCAGCCCCTCCTGTTCTCACCTCCTTAGCTGGGTCAGCTCTTCTCCCATTGTTTCAGCCTCCACCTTCATGCTGACCATTCTCCAGTCTTCACCACCAGTGCAGCCCAGATCTTCCTCCCGTCTCCTGCCCTGCATCAGCATCCCTCACACCGTCACTTTATTCACCCTCTTCACCATGCTGAACCTGCTTCTCCTTCTGTGATTCCCACACCCAAGTAAATCTTCACTTGAATACAGGGTTCTGCAGCTTAAAAAATCATAACAAACTATCTCACTGCTTGCTTTCAAATCTGGCACGATGTAGCAGAGCTGTGTGCCCAAATCCAACAATTCTGGTCCCCAAGGATGGGGAGGTGGTGTGCTCAAGCCCCAAGGCTTGGAGGCTGCTGCAAGAAGCAGACCTGTGCAACTGCTTGCTGCCTTGGCACAATGTTTTCCTTAAAGATGTTGCTCATTACATTCCATAACAGCATCTTAATGAGAACCTATGGGAGAAATTTCCCCTGGGGTCGGCTGCGTAGGATTAGATATTTTCATCCTGAGCAAGTGAGGCCGTTTTGGTTCTGTGAATGCCATGTCATATTATAGCTTACATCAGAAAGCCCAGACCTGCCTCTAGGAAGTATATAAGCAGGTATAAAAATAGATGTTGTATGCTAACTCCATTCCTGACTTTCTTGTGTCTTCGTCTACTTATTTTAATTTATTTTATTTGGTATTATTACATATATTTATGTAAATCTTCTTTAAAGTAGGACATAACTTATGCAGAATTATATCCCCTATTCTCATATTTTAGTAAATAAACACATGCATACAGTATCTGTGAGGATCTATTTATTAAGCAGAAAAATGCAACTTTTTATAGACAACCCGATTTGGTGGACTCCACCCAAAAGATGAACAAAATCAAAGTCACAACAGCACCTGTAGTAACCTGTTATAAAATAGTGCAGCATTGTGAAGAGAGATTTAGACCTTGAATGTCAGTAGGAGGCAAGTAGAAAGAATTTCAATGGTAGGTAGCAGCCAAAATTCAGATCACTTCTATGTGGCCTAAAACACAGTTATGCCAAGAGTAATTATGGGATGTGCAATAATAAAATATTGGGGACTGTATTTCTGATAAAGGGAAGACTCTGGCAACCAAATGAGGGGACCACAAAGGACGAGAATCATATGAGCCTTTTCCAGACACTGGGCAAAGTGTTCTGAGAGGTTATTCCTCTTGGGCTTCCCTAATGGGCCATTAGAAAAGGGACTGTTTGCTGGTTAACAGAGATGAAAGTTTCTGTCATTTTTCTGCAAGTGAACAGGTCTTTAATATTTCCTGAAACCACAGGTCTGCTTTGTATCCTTTAACTGAAACAACTATAATCCTTAACACCAGAGAGCTGTGGGCCCCCAGTAGTGCAGTGGCAGTCGAGGGGAACAGAAACACCTGCAGGAAAATTAGGCAGAGTGTATTTTTTTTTTTTTTTTTTTTGGCAAGCCATGTCTGGGATCTGTAAATGCTGATCACTTGTTCACTGGTGGCTTTTCTTTACTTTCTTTCTTCTGCCTTTTTTTTTTTTTTTTTTTTTTGTCAGGTGTTTTCAATGACTCCCCTACCTGAGTAAGGTACTAGATGGACATATTTTGCACCGATTCCCATTAGGCTTAAATAACATTCTCCATCTCCATTTGTTCATGTTATTTGTCATGTTCACAACTTCTGTTTCTGATGCCAAGCCTTAGTTCTTTTAATTGGGTAACCTTTCTCTTTCTCTGACACTAGTGAAATTACTTTTACTAGAGTCTGCAGTTTCCTAATCATTGCTTCTGGATTTGGGGTTTTATGGAAGGATCAAGGACAAATGAAGAGTGAGAGGCAGGAAAGAAGGTTAACTTTAGTTTTGGGAAACTGAGCACTAATTCACAGATATGCATCTCGGAGTCTGAAACAGAGACTTTTCATTAGTCGATGGAATAAACAGACAAATTTGGGGAAGAAACAGGCTGGGCTGTTTTTTATATGTTGATGGGGATTTGGTTTAAATTTTGAAGCATACTTCAGCTTTTAGTTGCCAGATTTTAAAAGTACGTACCCTTCACTCTTTAGGAGAAGGTTTGAAAAAAAACTGTGTTTCCTGTTGAAGGCCAGTGATACCTGGCAGCTTACAGTTAGAAAACTCTATAACTTTATTATTTTCATTTGCACTTAAAACTGCTATGAGTTTTTTAATGCAAAAAATAGTGATTGAGAAAGAAAAAAGTGAACATATTTATATTCTTCCCCCTCAGAGAGAAACACTGTTAACATTTTGTGTATTTCGGTCCAGGTTCTTTTCTGTGTGTGTAAGCACACATATGTGTTTATATTGTATAAAATAAGAGATTCATGCTGGACATACATTGTTTGTAACTTCCTTCCTTTCCTTCCTTTCTTTCTTTCCTGAGCTAGGGTCTCGCTCTGTCACCCAGGCTAGAGTGCAGTGGTGGGATCTCAGCTCACTGCAACCTCCGCTGCCTGGGCTCAAGCGATCCTCCCACCCAAGCCTCCCAAGTAGCTGGGACCACAGGCACATGCCAGGATGCCTGGCTAATTTTTGTTATTTTTTGTAGAGACAAAGTCTTACTATGTTGCCCACGTTGGTCTCGAACTCCTGAGCTCAAGCGATCTACTCACCTTGGCCTCCCAAAGTGCTGGGATTACAGGCATGTGCCACCATGCCCCGCCACTTTTTTTGTTAATGTTTTAGACATATCCCATGTATATATAAATATAGATCATTGTCATTAATAATAATGACGGTTTAATACTATGTGATGTGTTGCAATTTATTAAATTCCCTATTTTTTGAAATTTAAGTTGTATATCTGTTAACTCTTGCCATAATATTGCTGCGTAACAACTACAAAAATAAGGCAGATAGAAATAAGCACTTCCTTCTTGCTCGTGAGTTTTCAGCATGGCTGAGGTGGTATTGGTACATAATGAGGTGGAGCGGGCTCTGCTCCCTGAGCCTCTTACACCCTTCCTGGGATCTTCTCATCGCGTTGCCAGCTAGAGTTGACAAAAGTGCAGGAGTGCAAAGCCCAATCACATAAATGTTTTTCAAGCCTTGCATTGCATCTTAGTCACAAATATTCCATTGGCCAAAGTAAGTCACGTGGCCCAGCCTAAAGTCAGGGGGCAGGGAGTGCACTGGACCTGTGAAGAGGAGCGCAGTGGATAGTAAAATATTTTCAAACACTCATCAACTCTACCATAGTCTATCTTCATTTTTCATTGTAAACACATCCATGAACACCCCATGCATGCAGTTTACATACCTGATTGACTTTTTTTATAGATTCATAGAACTGAAATTTGGTCCAATGTCAAATAGTATACAAAGTTTTAATTTTTATGCCTGTGACCAGACCACCCTTGTTAGACTTGTTTAAAAACAGAGCAGTTTGTTAGATTGTTTTGGGGTAGGGAAAAAGGAGGATGCTCACTAAGCCAACAACAAACAAATAAAAACCTGCATTTGATTGGAAGAAAAAAAGCTCTAAAAAGTGAAAAATTCTCACATTAAATGTAACATTTAGACTCTGTGATAAAAGAAGCCTCGATTAGTTCTCAAAGATCCAGGATAAGGTAATCTGATGTTTTTGGAATACTATATTATTAGGCTTCTATGGAAAGTACTAATAGCTACTTCTTTGTTTCTAAGTATGCTTATAAAATCAGAGTCATTCCTTCATATATATTTATGTATATAAAACTTTGAGAATTTCTGGGATGATGAAGTTTTTAAAAATAGACATAAAAGTTTGAAAATACAAGTAGATTGATGCTTTCACTGAACCACAAGGATTTTTCTAAGTAGCTAAGTCCTTCACTGAATTCCAGCAGGCAGTGGTAGTGGAGAAGTAATTTCTTAGATACACGTAGCCCAGATGGAGAAGAGAAGACCTTCTTTCTCAACTCTCATTTTTCTCTTCCTTTTAGCCAGTCCTTCCTTTTTGCCCCTCTTCATGCTCTAGCCTCTTTCCCCTTTTCATTTGTTCATTAAGCCTGTAATTACCTAAAAAGAAATAAGAAAAAGAAGGACAAGATGTGTACGTATATGCTCATAGTTGGATAGAACAACCATTTCATTATTTCTATTGGCTAGAGTATTATTTTCTCACCTTATTAAGTGATCAATCCTTCTGTAGACATTTATGAGAACACCATGGTTTCTGATAAATACATGTTTTGAGTGAATTCCCTCTAAGTAAATATTGAAAAGGCAGGGATTCTTTATGTGTTTCCAGTCATTGCTTGAAAACTCAGCCTTTTGGCTTTAAACACCAGAATAATTGCTCAGAGCCATAAGTGCCCTTCCCAAAGTCCAGCAACAACATGTGGAGCCAACTTAGAAAACATGGGGTAAAAAAATAATCCCTGCTCCTTCTGGCCATAGTCTGATCAGTGTGTTTGGTTTCAAGTAACAGTAACAACTTATAGCAGCTTAAACCAAGAGGGATTTACTTTCCTATCATAACAAGAAGTCTGAAGGTAGACAGTAACTACAGTTGATTCAGTGGCTTAACACTGGTATCATCTCTACTGATTCTCCCATGGTCTCAAGAGGGCTCCTGTGGCTCCAGCCATCATATTTGAGTTCAAGGCAGACAGAAAGATGGAAAGGACTGTACTGTAACTTTTTTTTTTTTTGAGACGGAGTCTTGCTCTGTTGCCCAGGCTGGAGTGCAGTGGCACGATCTCGGCTCACTGCAAGCTCCGCCTCCTGGGTTCACGCCATTCTCCTGCCTCAGCCTCCCGAGTAGCTGGGACTACAGGCACCTGCCACCACACCCAGCTAATTTTTTGTATTTTTAGTAGAGATGGTGTTTCACTGTGTTAGCCAGGATGGTCTTGATATCCTGACCTCGTGATCTGCCTGCCTCGGCCTCCCAAAGTGCTGGGATTATAGGCATGAGCCACCGTGCCCAGCCAACTTTTTTTTTTGAGAGGGAGTTTTGCTCTTATTGCCCAGGCTGGAGTACAGTGACTCGATCTTGGCTCACTGCAACCTCCACCTCCCAAGTTCAAGCGATTCTCTTGCCTCAGCCTCCCAAGTAGCTGAGACTACAGGTGGCCGCCTCCACACACGGCTAATATTTTGTGGTTTTAGTAGAGATGGGGTTTCACCATGTTGGCCAGGCTGGTCTCAAACTCCTGTCCTCAGGTGATCCACCCACCTCGGCCTCCCAGAGTGCTGGGATTACAGGCATGAGCCACCACGCCTGGCCTGTACTGTAACTTTTAATAGGAAAGCAAACCTTTCTCATAACTGCCACCCTCCCCCACAGCAGAGTTCAACTTATATCTCATTGGCCAGAACCATTGCCATGCCCATCCCAGCTATGAAGGAGACTAGGAAAGTGAGTATTTTTTTAAAGACAAAAAAAATAAGGAGGTTGAGAATAGGTATTAAGATTGCTAATAAACAGTATCTTTTACAGTAAGGAATACAAAATATTAAAGAGCTATCTTTAATATTTAATAAAAGCACCATCCAGGGACATAGAGAAACATGAAAGAGAGAAGATGCATAGGCCAAGTTGGGCTGACTACAGGCTCGAGTCCCTCAGACTGATTACGCAGTCACAGTCTCCAATACCTCAATTCTTCTTGAGTACCTTCATAAACTCCCCTCAATCTTCATACGTGTGAATATATGTAAATGTGTGGCTTGCATCTTATTTGAATTTTAATCTATGTTGGTTTCATAATAGGTCAAAGATTATAAGTTTCTCCTATCAAGGCTTGTTTGGTTTTTGTTTGGACATTTTATTTCAGGGAGAATGATGTTCTAAAACTTGATCAAGTGGAGTGAGAGGTGGCGCTGTCTCATGAGAAGAGCATTTGACTGGTTGGCAATTTACTTAGGAAAGTAACTTGAACTTCCACAGCCTTCGTTCTTTTTTTAATTTATTATTTATTATTTTATTTTATTTTTACATTTTAAGTTCTGGGGTACATATGCAGGATGTGCAGGTTTGTTACATAGGTAAATGTGTGCCGTGGTGGTGGTTTGCTGCACCTGTCAACCCATCACCTAGGTATTAAGCCCAGCATGCATTAGCCATTTATCCTGATGCTCTCCCCGACCCCACCCTCCCCCGACAGACCCCAGTGTGTGTTGTTCCCCTCCCTCTGCCCATGTGTTCTCATTGTTCAGCTCCCACTTGTAAGTGAGAACATGCGGTGTTTGGTTTTCTGTTCCTGCATTAGTTTGCTGAAGATAATGGCCTCCAGCTCCATGTGTGTCCCTGTAAAGGACACGATCTCGTTCCTTTTTATGTAGCCTTGATTCTTCCTCTAGGGAAGGGAGACACCATTCATTCTGCCTATTTCACAGGGTGTGAACAAGTGAGAAAATACTCTATAAAGAGGAAACGGCCTTTCAAATATATCTCAGAATGGTATATATTTCACATTGGACCCATTAACTAGCTTCTCTGTGAACCTAGACTTTCTCAGGATTTGAAACTCAGATGGAGATACTGCCGTCTGGAACGGAAACTTTTGGAATATTTTTCTATGAAATTCCTGATGCTCTGACCATCGGGAAACTTCCCTCTGCTGATTTTACTGACTCCACCAGCATAGTTGACTCATGAGGAACCTCCAGAGAGAATGGTTCTACTTTTCTAAATTAGCTTTTAGAAGGGCCCACATGCTGCTGTTTTCATGAGTAAGATCTGAAGAAGAAACTGGCCCTGGGTCTCTTCTTACATTGTTTTTTCGATTAGATAGGTGCTATTATTATTCCAAACTTAAATTTGAAGAAACCAAGGTTCAGAAAGATTTTGTGTTTTACACAGAAGCCTGGCTTTTAAACCAAACCTGTCCTGTCCTGAGGCAGAGCTCGAATCAGCTGTCAAAGGTAGCGTTATCAACCTAAGCTCCTCTTCTTCCTCATCATCCTTTCAGCATACCTGTGATCTCATACAGCCCTCTTTAAAAGGAGGTTTGAACTTGGGAAGGTTCAAAGTCGGGGGCTGAACTCTGAAAAGTCAAAATTCTTTGAGGTTGTTAGAACTGTGAGTTTATTAACCCCCATTTGCAGGTGTGGAAACAGAGGAAACTCAGAGACGTGAAGTGACCTGTCCGTGGCCATCTGGAGTTTGTGATGAAGTGAACCCTTGTGATGGAGTACGACCTGGGGCCAAAGTTTCCCCTCCAAATCATTTAGAGGCATTGGGACTTAAAAGAGGTCAAGGACTTCTGACCTAATAAAAAATGCATTCTGGTTGAGTTTGCTTAAGACGTCCCATCATCTCAGAGGCAGACATCTGGTCCAGTCCTCTCTTCTACCCCTGACTATTGCTGACCAGCTAGGTGATCTACAAACATTTAAACCATTTTGTGTCTTCAAATACGTTGTTTCTCCGCCCTTTCCCCAGCTCCTCTAGAGGCTAGTGTTTCCAGATTTGGAAGAAAGAGGGCTGGGCTGACTAAGGGTGTTTAATCAGTAACCACTACCGCCACTCCTGCTATCCTCATTAATGCTGATGGCTTTTTCTAGGCCCCACTGGCTCCACATCTGTATATGTATTTCTGTTCTGCCATTATTCGTCTGACCTGGTCATCTGCATGGTATGGAGCCTTAGATGAGGGACCTTAAGAAATGAGTTCTAGGCCAAGCTCTGCCCCTAGTGGCCATCTCCCTCTCCACCTCTGGGCCTCAGATCTCCATCCCTAGGCTGAGAAGGTTGAACTAGAAACCCCCTAAAGAATTTTTCTGTGATTTATTTTCCTTTCTGGGTAGAATTACAGTTCACCATCATTGACTATTTTTGGCTCAGAATTATTGTGGTTCAGTGGTAGAAGAGGAACTTATTACAAATTCAACTTTGAAATGTTTTGAGATCATTAAGAGAAAACTGAGCTAACCATTGCCTCCAGAGCATTTGATGTTACCAGCCTTGCTGGGCAGAAGGAGGCCTAAGGAAAATGGAAATTGGAGACAGAAGTGCCTGGAGATTCTAGACTCTTTCTCTTGCCCTCTACAGACCACTTGTCCAGGGCCCACAGCTCTTAAGAAAAAAAAAAAGAGAGAGAATAAAACTGTTTCCTACATTATTTAACAGTACCTCTCATTGAATGACAAATATTTACTGGTAAATATTTTAGTGTTATTCCTATAAAATTAGTGGCCGTGTATATCAACAGTGCATAGCTTTCTTTTTGTGGTCATACTTAGTTATTACTACAGCCCAGTGACAAGTTTGTTTTTCAAGCTGTGGAAATAATTAGAACGTCAAATACCACTTCATGATTAAAAACTTTCTAACCAGGAATAGCTCCCCCTTTGCAGTAATTACTTGTGGCAAATATCCTTTTTTAGAAAATAAATGCTGAACAAATTGAAGTCAGATCATTTTTTCCTCTCCTGCTAAAATAATTGCATGAGTAAGAGGTGATTTCAGTTTAGGGACATGTGGAGTTTTATATATTGCAGGATATAACATTCAGTCTTGAGCACCCTTACACACCCTCCCCTCTATCTCAAAATATCTCTTTCTCGGAGTCAGAGTTGAAGTGGTATCCATCTTCCTTCAAAATCAAACCTTCCTCGATCCTCTTCTGCCTCATTGGAGATATTAAGTCCTGAATTTTTTTCCTTAACAGCTGTAGTTTCTCCCCCTTTGCTAGTTTGGGATTCCACTTCCAGTTCCACTTGTGGGACCTTGGGAAAGTGAAATTTTCCGAGGCCCAGCTAAAAAGTGGGAATGATGATTTTACCCCACAGGGTACTTGTTATGTGAATTAAATGAGAAAGTTACATTTTAGGATACTCCCTGGTATATAATCAGCTATCCGTAAATGCCCATTCTCTCACTTACGTGTGGCATAAGTGGCATACATGGCTTACCATTTTGGTTATGCATGCAGTTATCGCTCACATCTTACTGAAACTTTCATTGGAACTAGTTGTCTACCTCCCTAATGCCAAGTTTCTTTTCTGTTTTTTTTTTTTTTTTTTTTTTTTTATTTCCCACTCCTCTGTCCACCTCTATATACATTTTAGAAATAGTTTTAAAAGCTTCCTTCAGATTGGCCCCTTATCTGCAGCTCCCGGGTGTGAATTTCTTTGTTGTGAATGCTGGCTCATGGTGAGGTAATTCTCCCACGCTTTGCAATTTTGGAGTGTGAGCTAGTGCAGCAGGGTCCTTTTCCTGGAGCTAACCCCCTGGCTCAAGAGGAGTACCTATGAGAATATTTTGAATTTGCCTTTTCGGGGTCCTGCAAAACCAGGATTTATGTTAACTAAGCTTTTGAAGACACCACCTATTGAGTATCTGCCCACCAGTTCAGAAAGCTTTTAGCTTTATTCTGAGAAAATCTCTCAGATGTAGCTCCCTTTCAGCCAGGGAAGTAGTTGACCACAGTCTCAGTTGTGAACTTTATTAAAACTGCATTAAAATCCTAGCCTTGCAGGGCTTATTGGGTTCTCACACCACTGTAAGACATTCAGCTGTATGCCAGTGCAACATGCTTCTGACCTTGCATTTCCTCGTCATTTCTGACACCTTGGGATTTCCCTTTCTTATTCTGAATTTAGCGATGTGGGATTTGTGTACATGTGTATTCTATCCAACTTATCTCTCTGTTTGGAGATGGAAGGTGGGATTTTTGCATCAGTTCCCACTGTTGTAAGCAGGCAAGAAATTGTGTTGTTTTCCTTAAGCACTGGAATGAATGGCTTTTGCTAACAGCTGCAGACTAGTTTTCAGCTCCATTACTCTGTGGAAACTGTTTTCTGGAAAGTCAACAGTGACCACTTCCTTGCTAAATCCAATTGCCTTTTCTAAGTCTCGGGATATATAAAAGATTTTATGAGCATCTTGATAGCTGTAACCTGCAAGAAACTGTCAACCAGTGTATAAGGGCCAAAGCAACATGGTATAGAAAAAAATCTTCTTTGACTTATGTTTGCAGTTCCCCTTATGGCCAGCTTAGAATCTTTCATGTAGATATTTGTCTAGCTCCAAAGTAAGATCATGTTAAATGGTATATAATTCAAGAATGTTGTTCAAATGTTTGTTGAGGACCTTCAGAAATATTTTTAAATTTTTCTAAGTGACTTTAACATTTTAAAAATTGACTTATATTTTATCTTTTTAAAATGCTATTGTAAATAGAATCTTTTCTTCCAATATATCTTGAATCTGGTTATTGTTTATAAATATGAAAGTTATTGGCTTCTCTATAATTTTATATACTTTATCTTCATAAATTCTTTTTTATTTCTGTGGTTTTAATTTTTTTCCTCTTTGGGTGTTTGATGTATGTAACCATATCACCTGCAAGTAATGATAATTTTATTCCTCCTCATCAAATTTTTTACACATACTTTCTTTTTTCTTATTCAGTTATGTAGGCTGCTGCTTCTAGCACAAAAGTAAGAGTGAAATCCTTGTCCTGCTCCTGAGTTTACTGAAGATGCTTCTTGTATTTCTCTCTTCAGCAGGATGCAAGCTCTTGGGCAGCGGTAGATTTATTGTTATCATATGAAGGGAACATTCTAATATATTTGAATATTTCTAACAAGAATAGATGTTGAATTATGCTTTTTCTTCTTAAACTTATTTATATGGTGAATTATATTAATATATCTCCTAATATTAAACTGTATCTCTGGCATACATGCCACCTGATTAGGATGCATCGTTCTTCTAATGTCCTGAATTCTGTTTTAGTAAGTTATTTAGAATTTTTGCATAAGAATTCATAAGACGGTTTCATTTTTGAAATCTTTGTTGCATGATGTTATTGCTCACGTCAGAAAACTTAGACGTTTCCATTCTATCCTGTGCTCTAGAATAGTTTAAATAAGTTTGAGATTTCCTGTTCTGTAAAGTTTGGTGGAAATCTTAATCTCATACTTCTTAGAAGATGAGGCTCTTTAGCAACTTTCTTCTTTTTTTTCCTTCCATGGAGATTAGCCTGTTTAGATTTTCTCTTTCTTCTGGAGTCAGTTTAAGTAAATTGTATTTTTTTTCAAAAATTGTCCATTCTTTTAGGTTTTTAAATGTATTTGTCTTGAGTTTAGCTAAATAGTCTTTTATGATTCTTTTCATTTACTTAGGTTTTGTAGTTATTTCCTCATAACATTTCTTAGTTTGTGTATTTACTATTCCCCGCCCCTTTCCCGATTAAGTTAGCTAGCAGATTATGTATTTTGCCCCTGCAAAAGCTTTTAGTTCTGTTTATTCTACTATTAGCGAGTTATTCCAGCTCACCAATATCTGATGTTATTTTTATTAATTCCTTATGCTTCTCTTCAGTTTATTTCTTTTCTCTTTTCTACCTTCAAATACCCAAATTTGCTGTCATCTGAGATTTGCAGTTAAGTGTGTTCAGAGGGTCCCGCCAGTCCCTTTGCCATAGCTTCTCCCATCACCTTTCTGTTGGCTGAGGTACGTCTTCTAGAAATTTCCCCAGAAAAGCTCATAGGAACAATATTCTCAGAGTTCCTGAATATTAAAAATTATTCTCCTGTGAAGAAGTATGACTATGTAGCCAAAAAATAGGGAAAGAAAATATGATAGAGGTGTGGAGTGTTACAGAATTGGGTCAATAAGTTAGTTGCAGCTAGTTGTTAGAATCATATTCTTTTTCTGGATTTTGGTGGTGGGTGTAAAATATATCATGCATTACCATTTCTTTGCTCATTTTAAGTAAGTGCTCTCATTGTAGCTAATTTTGTATTTAAAATGTATTTAAAATGTTGTCTTATTCATCTTTAAAAGGTTCTTACCCCCCAAATTGCATAAATCTCAGGCCGACAACCCCCAGGAGCTATCCCCAGCTGCTGCCCAGCTCACCATCTTCTGTGGGGACTCCTCTGCAGGCGATGGATATGCCTTAGTCCCTCAGAGGTGCCCCTCACACTCCAGAAGTGCATTATTTTTAGGGCTTTATGAAATCTGCTGCCTCTAGACTCTCCCCTACTCCGCTTCTCCACATTTCCTCCTCTATACCTCTGGAGAAAATTTGTTTTCATTTTGTAACCCTTAAAAAAAATTTGATGTTTGTCTCCTGGTTTTGCCAGAAATAGAAGATGGTGGGTTTTTTCTTTTGTTCTCATTTTTGGGTTATTTCCACATGAAAGACGGGAGAATGCTGACTTATGCAATAATTTTCACATCAGAAGTCCGCTGCTGTCATTTTAAACATTTTTTTTTTTCTATTTTGAAAATAAAACACATACCCATTATAGAAAATTTGGATCCTGAGAAGTATTAAAAAAGAAAATTAAAACCACCATCACTGTTAAAATCTTTGTGTATTTCTTTCTAATCTTTTTTCCATGCTTACATATTTTCTTTCCTTTGAAAGATTGAGATCACTCTAAACCTACAGTTTTGTGTCCTGATTTTTTTTTCCACATGAGCATTTTCCCATTTCACTAAAAAAGTTGTAATGTTTACATAAAATATTTTACCATTTCCATATTGCTAGGCATTCAGGTGATTCTACTTTTAAAAATTATAGGCCAGGTGTGGTGGCTCACACCTCTAATCCCAGCACTTTGGAGGCCGAGGCAGGTGGATCACCTGAGGTCAGGAGTTCGAGACCAGTCTGGCCAACACAGTGAAGTCTCATCTCTACTAAAAATACAAAAATTAGGCCGGGCGTGGTGGCTCACACCTGTAATCCCAGCACTTTGGGACGCCAAGGCAGGCAGATCACAAGGTCAGGAGATCGAGACCATCCTGGCTAACACGGTGAAACCCCGTCTCTACTAAAAATACGAAAAATTAGCCAGGCCTGGTGGCGGGTGCCTGTAGTCCCACCTACTCGGGAGGCTGAGGCAGGAGAATGGCGTGAACCCAGGAGGCAGAGCTTGCAGTGAGCTGAGATCGCGCCACTGCACTCCAGCCTGGGTGACAGAGCAAGACTCCGTCTCAAAAAAAAAAAAAAAAAAAAACATTAGCCAGGCATGGTGGTGCATGCCTGTAATCCCAGCTACTTGGGAGGCTGAGACAGAATTGCTTGAACCCAGGAGGCGGATGTTGCAGTGAGCCAAGGTCGCACCACTGCACTCCAGCCTGGGTAACAGAGCAGGACTCTGTCTCAAAAAAATAAATTAATTAATTATAAGTTGTACTATACAGGTTGGCAAACTACGGTCAATGGGCCAAATCCAGTCTACTGCTACCTGTTTCGGAAATAAAGTTTTATTAGAATATAACCGTGCCCATTTGTTTCTGTATTGTCTTTGGTTCCTTGCTACAATGGCAGAGTTGAATAATGGCAATAGATGCCAGGTGGCCTGCCAAGCCTGAAATATATATTACCTGGCCCCTTAATAGAAAGGGTTTCCAAACTCTGTTGTACTAACACAACATAAAAGTGAACATGTTTGCATGTTCATTTTTGTGTGCATGTATGGTATTTTCTCAATATAAAGCCCAAGAAATGGAATTACTTTGGTCAAAGGGATGTAAACATCTTTATGGCACTTGTCAAGTTGTCCACCAGAAAAGCTGATTGACTGTTCCACTACTAAAATGTGAAAACATGCCCTTTTCCTCCACACCCTTGACAACACTGGGTATGATCATATTTTTAATGTTTTAAATTTGGAAAGTTAAAGAAGGGTATCTGCTATGGTTTGAGTGTTGATCCCTTTTGAATCTCATGTTGAAATGTTTTTCCCCGTTGTTACAGTATTTAGAGGGTGGGATATCCAACTACGGTATTTGAGAGGTGGTACCTCTGGGAGATAATTAGGATTAGCTCAGGTCATGAGGGTGGGGCATTAATGGTTTTATAAGAGAGAGACCTAAGCTAGCACGCTCAGCCCCCTCACCACATGATACCTTGCACTGCCTTGGAACTTGGCAGAGAGTCTGCATCAGCAGGAAGGCCCTTGCCAGATGTAGCTCCTCAACTTTGGACTTCCCAGCCTCTAGAGCTGTAAGAAATAAATTTATGGCCCAGCATGGTGGCTCACGCCTGTAATCCCAACACTTTAGGGGGCCCATTGGGAGAATTAATTGAACCCAGGAGTTTGAGGCCAGCCTAGGCAAATAGGGAGACTCCATCTGAAAAAAAAAATTGTTTTTTAATTAGCCAGGTATTGTACACCTGTGGTTCCAGCTACTTGGGAGGCTGAGGTGGGAGGATTGCTTAGGCCTGGGAGGTTGAGACTTCAGTGAGCTGTGATTGTGCCACTGCATTCCAGCCTGGTTGACAGAGTGAGGCCCCGTCTCAAAAAAGAAAAAAAAGAAAAGAAATAAATTTATTTTATTTATAAACTACCCAGCCTCAGATATTCTGATATAGCAGTACAAATGGACTAAGACAGTATCTTATTTTTGCTTGCCTGCCTTTGATGACAAGTCAGGTGGAATATTTCTTCTTCATTATCACTTTTATTTCCTGTTTGAAATGCCTGTTCATGTCATTTGCATGTTTTTCTGTGGGCATGTTAGCTGTTTTCTCGGTGGTCTGTGAGATGTATTTATATATTATGGATGTTTTACACTTGATGTTTTGACATTTTCTTTTCTCAAAACAACAGCATACATGTAGTCCATAGTGGATGGGACACCATTAGTCTAAGGTAGTATGGCTGTTCCTCGTCTTAGGTTTTGTTTATTTTATTTATTTTATTTTTTATTTTCGAGATGGAGTCTTGCTCTGTCACCCAGGCTGGAGTACAGTGGCACAGTCTCAGCTCACTGCAACTTTTGCCTTCTGGGTTCAAGTGATTCTCCTGTCTCAGCCTCCCAAGCAGCTGGGACCACAGGTGCGCACCACCATGCCCATCTATTTTTGTTGTTGTTGTTGTTGTTTTTGTATTTTTAATAGAGGGGGGGAGTTTCACCAAGTTGGCCAGCCTGGTCTTGAACCCCTAACCTCAAGTGATCCACCCACCTCGGCCTCCCAAAGTGCTGGGATTACTTAGGTTTTGTTTTGAAGGGAAGCCCCATGAAGCATATTTGTAAGAGAAAGCAAAACCGCTGAGGACCTGGCTTCACCAACTCCATGAGCCTGAAAGAAGGAAGCTTCTAGAAAAGAAACATGGCAGTAAAGGAAGCCTCTTTCCCTTTGTGTCCCAGGTCCAGAGTTAGCCCAGGGTCTTTTTCAAAGTGCAGAAGCTCCCTATTGTTTCTAAAGAAGCCCCTAAATCAATTCCATGCTCATGGAACCTAGTAGCAGGAATCGATTTGCTTGTGGTGAGAATTATTACTGAAGCATGCCACATTTAAACCCTTTGCCCTCCATGAAATGTCTTTTTTTTTTTTTAGAACCATATAATGAACTGTTGAAAAAGGGTTAATCACTGTAATGAGGAAAGTAGCCCCTCAAAAAACCACTCTACCCATCAAACTTTCCAAATAAAATTTGTGAATTCAGGTAGGTTTCTTGGCTTAGAGGAGTCGACAAGAAGATACTTCAGAGCCATATGGTTGTTCTCCAAAATAAATAAACCTGCTTGAGATATCCAGAGTAAAAATGGTTTGGGAAGACTTTAGTAAGGTTGGTATAAAAGCATGAATGCTAAGCCAGCTTGCCCCTCGTCAGATTTCATGGGCTCTGGGGTAATGTGAGAATGGCGGATTTTTTTGTGACAGAGCTGGAGAAGTTAACACTGAATTGTGAGACCACCTGCGGCGTCTTCTGAGCTTTGGCTGCCAAGCCAGTGCTCTGTCTAACTCTCACTCTTATATTTCTTTGATTTTTAAAAATAATTTTTATCCTTTCCTCTGAGTTTGGACAGGAGCCATCTCAAACTTAATGATAACCTCTATTTATGTAGCACCCCACAGGTACAAAGAGCTCCTTTCATGTGATCTTTATCATCTGTGTGGAAAATGTAGCTATTATCCCCATTTGATAGCTGAATAAACTGAGGCTCCGGGAAGCTTAATGTGTTGCTGTGGGCCATATGACTAGTCTATATCAACATTAGTGTTTGAATGTGGGGCGTTAGCTTTACTCTGAGACCTCCATAGACCTCAGTGTGAACACTTCACACTCACTGTGAAGAGTGTGATTAGATTGCCCCAGAATTGCTGGCATGAACTTTCTCTGTCTTTAGGACAGCTCTGTCATCCAGAGGACAAAGGTTTATTGGGCTCACACTATTTCTTGCCACTCCGCTAGACACTTCATACCCGGTCTGTCAAATCAGCCACGGCTGCCTTCCTTGTGAGGGAAGGGCTATTGCCATCATCATAGCTGGGGCAAGAAGGGCTCAGAGTGGTCACCTTGCCCAAAAGCACAGCACAGCTAATCAGAGGTTGCGCTGCATGTGAACCCTGTCCTGGGTGGCCCCAGGACTGGCCTTTAGAGCACTAATGAGCGCATGGTTGTCCCTAGCAGCCTTGGCTCTGACCTTCCTAGTTTACAGCGTCGCTTTCAGGTGGCACCTGTGGATGGGACACCCAGGTATAATCTAACTTTAATTTGATTGAAGATTGTGAGGGCCAATTTTTCAAGGAAATTAGGCATACCAACAAGGAGAGTCTTTTCAATTTACACCTGAACCTTTGTAAGTGAAAAAATTTAGGAAGAACTATTTTTCCATTTGCACTTATTGTTTGTATTTGCAAACTGAGCATCTGCGGGGAGGAACATTATTTGGTTAAATTATAATAAAATAGGTGAATACTAACTTTTTTTAAAAAAAGGACGGAGCTCATCTCTGTCCCCATCTTTTCTTTTCTAACCCCCCTTCCAAGTTGGGAAACCTTGTGCTCTAAATGTCTCAGTGATCCCAAGTCATTGTCAGCCTCTGTGTCTCAACAAAAGCAAGCACAAAATGTAAGTAGCTCCCCAATAGGACACTGGCTTTTAATTAAATACTTTTAAAAGCTTTCAAGCAACTGAAGTCTGTATTATATACAATGTTTCCTATTTACTTTTCCATACTCTGACCCCCCACCCCCACCGCCACCACACGATGGACCCCAAGAGAAATACCTTCTGGATTCTTGCCCATTAGTGAATTTGATATTTTTCTTTTAAGTTCTGTTTCAGATCAGGAAGAAGGGTGGCTTTATAAACCATTACCAAATCAAAGCCCCATCAGAGGAGGACAGAAGCCTCCATACATTGGGATGAATTATTTTCGGCTCTTGATTTTATGCCAGTGCTAGTGAAATTTCACAGCTGGTTATTAAAAGATCCCAGGGTCAGGGTTATGTGCTATTTATGTCACAAGAAGCAGGAGAAATAAAATACCCTAAAGATATGAAAACATTTTGTAAATCGACATATTTTTGGCATCTGTTTCTCTTTCAGGGCCTAAGAAGTGATTTAGGTGCTCTGATGAGGTGCTGGTAGGAAAGGTCTCCACTGACTCCCAGCTTAATGGTCCACGCACCTCCCAAAGTATTGATACAGCTGACCTGGCTCAGGCCCAGTGACGGGTGAGAGGAGGGAGGCTGAGGAAATGTGGGCAATTTATTGCTTTTCAGAAAGCGGGGAGAAGAGATGGTGCCAGTGACCTAAGTCACAGTTTCCTCGAAAGGTAGAAATTGCTAACAATTCAAGTTGACAACTGCCAATAGCAACCCAACCCCGTTTTTCTCACCATAAATTTGAATTGTTGGGTTACTTTTGAGAATGTTGAAATGGAGCTCTCCTCTCCTACTGCTTGGAGCAGTTCCAACCCTGCCCTCAAATGTAAAGACCCAGGCACCAAAGTCCCTTTAACCAGAGAAGAAAGCCCGCAAGTAGACAGTGGCCCCTCTCAGAGCAGAGTCTGCCCCAGGAAAGGAATGGACTTTGAGCATCTTATTGTGATTAACTGATTGTCCCCAATATTCATTCCCTCCCTCTCATCACTTCACCCTGCCAATACCACTCTAAACTGAAATAGGATACTAAAAGTATAGTTTCTCTTTGTTAGAAACATGACACGGGAAAGAATGGAACATTCTTCCCTGTGCTCGGGACATCCAATACCAGACAAGTCAAATAGGACCTGCTCAAATTCTGCTGGGTCATGACAGCTGTAGACTGTAGACACTGTAAAGGATTAAAATGAGTGTCAATATTATTATCTTTGTAACATAGAAGAATTTGGACTTAGAAACCTCCCATGTGGGCTGTAGAGGAGAAAGTCTAAAAACGCTTAATCCCAGGTAAAAACTGTTTTACAAACACATGCCCCTGTCCCCAGAAACTCTCCCAAGCACCCTGTCCTTTTGTTTTTAGTAACTCCATGAGGCTTCACCTCAGGAAAAGACCATGCGTCTCATTTAAGCCCATGGTAGAGTCACTAGAGGGACTGGTTACAACTTCAGGCTTTGGCAGCGTTCAGGACAGGGCCTTCCCCTGCTTACATTCTGGAGGGGCAGTCACAGTTCATGCCAATCTCTTGCCTACACAGTAAACCACCAGCATAGGCACTCATCTGCCTGGTAGCAGAAGCTTCTCCCATAGAGGAAGGGATAGATTTAGCTAAATACCATCCTTTGGTTTCTTAAGTTACAGATCAGTTTGGAACGTCGCTTGTTCTAGGTGAATCTGAGATGTTCTTTGAGCTGAACTGAGATAATTTAAGGATATGTAATTGTACCTGTCACTTACCTGAACTACAGCTTTTGCATGCTAATGTTTCTTCATGGTACAACAAAATTAATGTTTCATATTAAAAATTGATTTAGTTGTACAATAGAAAGCAGTTGGGATGAATTATTATGTTACTGAGATTGAGAATGGGCTTCATAAACAGAAGATTCCAAGATAATCATGGCCTATAGTCCCAAAGGTGGTTTTCTTTTTTCTTTCACTTGAAAGAAGTCTGCGTATGGGCAGTGAGGATCTTAAGTTCCTCAGTCTTTTTGTTCTATCACTCCCAGCATGCAGCTTTCATCCAGGTTGCCTCCAGGCCCAAGGTGGCTGCTGGAGCTCCTATCAACAGAACCACATTCCAGGCAGCAAGGTAAAGAAAGAGGAGAAAGGCAAAAAGTACGTTACTCCCTGTTCCCCATTTAAGGACCTTTCCCAGAAACTTACCCCATAGCTTCTACTGACATTTCACTGGACACCTCTAGATACGGGAAAGGGTGGAAACTATAGCCATCTAACCAGGCACAATGATGCTTGGAATAAAACTAGGGTTCTGTCCTTAGGGAGAAGGGGAGAATGAGTCTGAGGAAGTGACTCAGTCTCTACCATAAGCAATACTAAAGAAAGGAAAAGACTCTGACATGGCTCCTCCCTTCTTTCCAGCTAAAAATGGAAAGAAGGTAGCAGCCATGCCACAGGGTTGGTAGCAGCTAAAAATGAGATCAACCGCTCCAGGAGCATTTGCTGGAAGCTTTGGGCTCTGAGCAGGGTGATGAATTAATTACCAGCCAGAGAGAAGGAAATACATGAACACTGGGCATGCTGCAGACCTCACCATCCAAGAAATGGAACACCAGCACTGCCATTGCATTCCAACCACCAAAGAGTATTTTGCCAAAGGAAAGATGTTGTGCAGTTTCTGAAATTGTTGCACCCAAAATGAAACCTTTCTGCGATGATAATACCATTATACAGGCGAATGTTTTCCAAAATGCTGTGTTAATAAGAGAAGGGGAATATGGCTATGTGTCTGAAAGGTATATATGTGGCCGGGCACGGTGGCTTATGCCTATAATCCCAGCACTCCGGGAGGCTGACACAGGCAGATCACTTGAGGTCAGGAGTTCGAGACCAGCCTGGCCAATGTGGCAATACCCCATCTCTATTAAAAATACAAAAATTAGTTGGGTGTGATGGTGTGTGCCTGAAGTCCCAGCTACTTGGGAAGCTGAGGCAGGAGAATCGCTTGAGCCTGGAAGGCAGAGGCTGCAGTGAGCCAACGTCGCACTACAGCATACCAGCCTGGGTGATAGAGCGAGACTCCATCTCAAAAACAAAAAAAAAGGCATATATGTGAGTGAAATAATATATATACACATACATATAAATAATATATAAATTTTTAAAATAAATTTATTTTGTAGTGCCTACTTCTTTGTTCAAGGAGTCCTGTCTACAGAGATAAAGTTTAATCTTTTAAGAACGACTTTCCCTGTGGAAAAGCATTACTTGCCAAGCTAGCGTCACCGTGTTGTATAGGTCCCCAGACCACTGTAGTCTCTGTTAGAATTTTTTTTTCCTGTTTATCAACATAAAGTTTTCAGTCATTGAATATAACCACTGGGCTGTAAAGATTTCTCATAATGTATTTTAACTGTTATTGTTTAGAAAAATAAATGGGCTTGATGCCCTGAATTAAAATATTGTTTTGGGATCATTATCTTCATATCATTTACAGATAGAATGGCTGGTATATGCTAATAGGATTTTCAAAGTGTGGAATTAAATATGTTTGAGTTAAAATGACAAGGGGAGGGTGGGTTATAAGTGATTCTCATAATGATTTAGGCGCTTATCCTAACTGGGGTGGCATGAAGCCAGCATGCGTTGGTGATAGAAATCGAATACTCACTCGAATTTAATGATTAAGTAATTTTTAACCAACAGAAACACTGCTGTTGGATTATATTCCTCAAAACAATATTAAATTTTGTAACACTTTCTAATCAGAAAGAATCCATGGGAATAATCCATATAGTATTGTAATTTATCATGCTTTAAGAGGGGAACAACTCATGCCTCTTGAGAAAGCTGATTATTTCTCGCCTAATTAAATGCTAACATTTTAGGGTCCATTGCAAGTTGAAACCCACAAAACCTTCCTGCTGTGTAAAGTGCCTGAAATGTGTTTTAAAATATTTTGCATTTTTTCACCCCAGTTGTGCTTGGGTGTTGATAATGTCTGGCTGATAGTAGTTGGGAAACAGTGCTTTATTGTCTTTCTGTTTTTTAAATACAAATCCCATGGCTGCCTCTCCTAATATTCTTCCTCCTTGCAGAGTCCCATCTTCTGTCTGTCTGGAATCATACCTTCCTCCACTCCCATGCCCACTCTCCATCCAGGCTTCACCACTGGCTCCTAGACATTGCAGTATTCATCCTTGCTGCCCTCTCTGCCTCTGGTTTCTGCCTTTTGCATGGATCCTGCACACGGCAACCAAGTTAATCTTTTTTTTGTTTTGTTTTTCCTGAAACAGTGTCTCACTTTGTCACCCAGGCTGGACAGCAGTGGCATGATCATGGCTCACAGCAGCCTCACCCTCCTGGGCTCAAACAATCCTCCTACCTCAGCCTCCCAAGTAGCTGGGACCACAGGCACACACCACCACATTGTACTTTTTTTTTTTTTTTTTGTATTTTTTGTAGAGATGGGGTTTTGCCATGTTGCCCAGGCTGGTCTTGAACTCCTGAACTCAAGCAGTCCACCTGCCTTGACCTCCTAAAGTGCTGGGATTACAGGTGTGAGCCGCCACACCCGGCACAGGTCAATGTTACAAGGTCATCTAATCCCCAAGCTCAAGAACCCTCATTAGTATTGAATTGATGACAAATCAATTCTAAGTGCTGTAGCTTGGCATTGATCAGATGGGTCCTACCTTTCCTACCTTTTCTCTCATTATTTCCAAAGACAAACCCTTCACTCTGGTCTAATTGATGCAACTCCTGGTACCCAGTTGCTGTCCTTTCATTGCAGTTTTGCTTAATGCTCTCCTCTCTGCCAGCAGCACCTCCTTCTAAGTTCAATCCTTCCTCCACGGCCAAGGAGGAAGCCTCTCTCTTCTTGCCCTGACTACCCAAGGAGCAGCAGTCTCTCAAACACTTGAGTTTTTGAAGCACATATTTTCCCTAGCACATTTTTGCCATGCCACATAGGATACCATGTACTATATTTTCCATACACTTATCTTCTAAGCAATTTGAGGACCATGTTTAGGTATCTTAGGTGTTTGGCACAATTGTTTTTTTTTTATTATGGTAAAAAAAAAAAAACATAAAATTGACCATCTTAACAATTTTTAAGTGTATAGTACAATAGTGTTAATTACTGTATATGCACATTGCAATGTAAAAGATCTCTAGAACTTTTTCATCTTACAAAACTGAAACTCTGTTCCCATTGAACAACTCCTTGTTTCTTCCTTCTCTCAGCCCCAGGAACTACCATTCTACTCTCCGTTTCTAACAGTTTGGCTACTTTAAATGCCTCATATAACTGGAACCATACAGTATTTGTCTTTTGGTGACTCCCATATTTTACTTAGCACAATGCCCTTGAGCTTTATCCATTTGTAGCATATGATGGGATTTCGTCCTTTTTTTAAGGATGAATAATATTCCATTGTATGAATATGCCACTTTATCCATTCATCTACAGTTGGGTTCACATTTTAGCTATTGTGAGTCATGTAGCAGTGAACATGGGTGTGCAAATATCTCTTCAAGGTCTTGTTTTCAGTTCTTTTGGATAGATACCCAGAAGTGGAATTGTCAGATACTATGATAATTCAATTTTTAATTTTTGAGGAACCACCTTACTGTTTACCATTGCAGCTGCACCATTTTACATTCCCACTAACAGTGTACATGGGTTCCAATTTCTCCACATTCTCACCAACGCTTGTTATTATCTATTTTTTTTTATGGTAGCTGCCATACCAGATGTGAGGTGATATTTCATTGTGGTTTTGATTTGTATTTCCTTGATAATTAATTTTGAACACCTTTTCATGCACCTATTGGCCATTTGTATATGGTCTTTGAAGAAATGTCTGTTCACGTCCTGTGCCCATTTTTAAATTAGATTTGTTGTTGTTGTTGAGTTGTAAGAGTGTTTCGTATATTCTGGATATTAATCTCTCCTCAGATATATCGTTTGCAAATATTTTCCCCCATTCCATAGGTTGTCTTTTTCCTTTGTTGATTGTTGCCGTGGCTGAGCAGAAGTTTTTAAGTTTGATATAATATCATTTGTCTATTTTTGTTTTTATTGCCTGTGTTGTTGGTGTCATATCCAAGACATCATTGCCAAATCTAATGTCACGAAGGTTTTCCAGTAAAGTTTCTTCTAAGAGTTTTCTAGTTTCAGATAATATGTTTAGGTCTTTAATCCGTTTTCAGTTAATTTTTGTACATAGTGTAAGGTAAGAGTCTAACTTCATTCTTTTGCATATAGAAATCCAGTTTTCCCAATACCACGTGTTGGAGAGACTGTTCTTTCCCCATTGTGTAACCTTGGCACCCTTGTGGAAGATCATTTGACCACATATGTGAGAATTTATTCTTGGGTTCTCTCTTCTGTTGCATTGGTCTCCATGTCTGTTTTATGCCAGTACCACATTGTTCTGATTACTGTAGCTTTGTAATATGTTTTGAATCCAGGAAGTGTGAGGCCTCCAGCTTTGTTCTTCTTTCTCAAGATCGTTTTGTCTATTCAGGGTCCTTGGTGGTTCCATATGAATTTTAGAATTGTTTTTGCTATTTCTGCAAAGCCATACCATTGGGATTTTGATAAAGATTACACTGACTTTGTAGATTGCTTTGGGTAGCATGGATATTCTAACAATATTAAGTGTTCTAATCCATGAACATGATATGTCTTTCCGTCCAGCGCAATTCTTTATATATAACAATAAGATTGTTGTTGGTGATGAGTGTGAAAAAAAATCCACCAAAGCTGTGTGTGTTTTTCTTTTAGAGAAGGCAGAAAGAGGCAAAACAATTCACACATATTCGGCACTTTCAGTGTATCACAGATCCATATATGATTATTTTCAGTATAAACTTGTAAGTGTTGGGATTCTTATTTTGCAAAGAAAGAAATTGAGACTCACATTTAATAACTTCAATTATCAAAGGTCATTCAACTAGTACATGGCAGAAGCTGGGTATACCTCAAGTGGGTTTATCTGATTTCCAAGGCTGTGTTCTGTTCATTCTCAATCTCCCCTCCCTTTCTGTTCTCCTCTATGCTGGTATTTTCCAATTCTGCCAACATGAGCTGTTTACTGCCTACATGCCAGGGCTAGGTAATGCCAAGGTCATTTGGAGAAGCATTTCGACATAGCAAGGCTGAGTTGATGGAATAATCCAGTGTCCTCTGACTTAATTAACTAAACCTTGTATCTTTTGAACAGCTAATGTTTGAAGGCAGATTTGAATTTAAAAATGCAAATAACTCTTCCCACTTTTGGATAAAATATTGTGTTCCTTTTCATCTGTGATCCATCATGACCTCTCAATTGTTTTCTACCATAAAAGCTCACAAAGCAGCACACCCATTGTTTTCTTTCATTCCCCCACCCTAATTTTGATTTTGATGTGTCATTGAGTCATCTTTTGACTTCTCTTTCCCATCTCTGCCTCCTCTATTTAGTGCATGTTACATAATTTCTGCTGCCAAAGAGGGAACAAATCATGCAGAGAACACACCTATTTAACTATGTTTAAGATCTGCCCAGGAATGTGGAACATGTTTAAATATAAAACTGAGAATGAGGCCTTTGACATTGATTGATTTTAGAAATAAAGTAGAACTAATCCACAATACTGATCTCATAGAGAAATATTTTCATAAAATTCCAGAACATTTGTGGGAACTGGACCTTAATTAGAGCCCCATTGTACAGGGATAAATAGCATGGTGGTTAGAGTTGATATAGTTACTGAAAGGAATGGAGTGTAATCAGGGCAAGCCCGTGCATCTAGGTATTGGATCTGGTTAGAGATGCTTGTATATAATATAGGGTCAGCCCAGAAAGCACTTAAAAATGCCTCTCAACACTTATCATGTGCTATGGAAATGAACTAGGAGTGCTAAAGTTAATCAAAATTAGGGTGGGGAAGTGAATGAAAATAATGGGTATGTTTCTTTGCAAACTTTTATGGTAGAAAACAATTTAGAGGTTATCATGGATCACAGATGAAAAGGAACACAATATTTTATCCAAAAGCAAATACTAAGCATGTTTTAACAATTTAAAAATCTGCTGAAAATCTTTCAATTTTAAATGAACTGAGTGCAGTAGTAACATATCAAGTCTTATGCTTCACAAGTTAGAGAAATGAAGGAACTTTGAGGTGGCTGGGAGCAAAGATGATTAAAGCATTGGAACATAAAAGACGCAAAACAGTTGACTTGAAAAATAACATATCAGATCATAATATATTCTATGTATGGAATACATACTGAATAGAAGCAGAAGATCTTCTACAGAAGATCATCTCAGGCTGCTGTACCTCTTTAGGGAGAATAAAGTTAGGAAATGTCTTAAGTGAGAGTTGGAGAGAGAAATCATTTTATAAATGAGGTCTTTCTGACAAATGGCCAAAATAAGAACTATAATACTAAATATGCTGTTACTTCAGCCCTTGTATGTGCCAGGTGCCGCATCAGAGTTTGTCATCTTACTCGGGGAATTTGCAGCAGACTGAACTTAGATACGGTTGCATTATATAGTGTAAGTTGAATGAACTTAAATACAGTTCAGCACAGCACAGCATACCAATTCTGTGGGTGCCATCAATCAGGAAAGTTTGAGAAGCACTCAGTTAGGTTCCTGTGATAGTGACTGAAGGACAATTTTAGATGGATGGCAGAGAAGCCCTCTCTGAGGACACATTTGAGCTGTGATTGACATGAAGCCTTGTGAAGATCTATTGGAAAGACCATTCCAGGCAGCGGGAACAGCACGTGCAAAGACATTGGGAATGATCCTGGCATGTTTGAGGACTAGAAAGAGGACCAGCATTGATGATGCATGGAAAAATGCTGGGAGGGTGGTTGGGAAGAAGGTCAGAGGGGTAGGTAGGCATCAGAGCACAGCTCTGTAGGCCACAGCAAGGATGAAAGGGTTTTATTCCTCAGGGAGCATTTCCATCCTGGCTCAAGTCCACACCACACTTTCCCATTGTCCCCAGCACCCCACGCCCAAAGCCTCATGACCTCACCTTAGCATAGAGCTGTTCCACCTTGGGATTCCCAGCCCACCCTTTAGGAGTCTGTCTGGTCCACAAGTGAAAAAACAAAACAAGTGTCCCGTCACTGCAGCATGCTGAGAAAGCCTTGACTAGCAGAATTGTATCAGCCTGGCTGGGACCCAGTTTGAGGCCACCCTGCCTTCCACATACTCAGGGAGCCACCACAGCCCCTAGGCTGTTGTGCATCTTCAGCAAAGGGGGGCCTGGGCTATACCTCTCTACAGACCTCCCAACACCTCTTCCCAGGAATGTCACTCTCCAGGGTTGTTGGCCTAATGTATTGGCTCTAGGGCCAATATGCATTGAGACAGTCATAGTAAAGTCAAAAGAGGCACTGAATCCACTCCTGGAGCCAATCCTCCTAACTTTTTCAAAAGATGAAAATCATACACAAAACAGGAAAATGGAATCTTTGTCTGTGCTGTAATTTCCTCACTAAATTGACCATGAAGAATCAGTTTATACTGGCACTCTTCACGCAGATAGTCTGTGGGACTCAGTTACTCAGTGCATTATGATTTTAGGGGAGCATAGCATGGTCCTAGCTTGGGGAGGAAAGGGAGAGGTGGAAAAAAATGGAAAGTGAAGGCTTTTCAAACAGCACAGCAAATCATACTTTGAGATTTGGCAAGGCCTCTGAGACAGGCCCTTGTTTTGTGATGATCAAGTCATGCAGAATTTCACTTTTCTTTATCTTGATGACTTGAGGGCTGGGACTCCAAATCACCAGCAGGTCGTGAAGGGTTGCTCAAGGTCTGGCCTATGATAGGGCTCTGAATATATGTTGAAGAAATCCATGAGGGAATGAATGAATGTGTGCATGTGGGATTAAGGAAGCTGAGATAATTAAAGGTGAAAATAGTCACCACTGTTGATTTTATGGAGAAGAATTGATGAACAATTACAGGACCTCTTTATGAAGTCAGGTGACCTTAGAAGAAACCATTTCAGAAGCGTAAAGACTAAAGTCACACATTCATCTCAGAAACAAAGTATTACAAATAATTAGAGAAGGTGGAGAAAAGAAGAAAATGGAGCCAGTGGTTAAAGCCACAAATACAAGGAGTTTGAGAATACTTCATTATTTGGATTAATTTTATTAACCTTTTTATTTTGGAGTAACTTAAGATATTTACAGAAAAGTTGCAAAGATAGTAGAGAGAGTTCCTGTACCCCTTAGCCAGTTTCAGTGTCCCCTAGTGTTAACGTCTTGTATTACTAGGGTACATTTATGAAAATTAAGAAACCAACCTTGGTACGTTACTATTAACTAAATTCTAGACTTTCTTTGGTTTTCAGCAGTTTTTCCATTGCCATCCTTTTTCTATTCCAGGAGCTAACCCAGGACCCAACATTAACATGTAGTCATCATGTCTCCTTAGTCTCTTCTGGCCTGTCCTAATTTCTCAGTCTTCCCTGTGTTTCATGCCCTTGACAGTTTTGAAGAGCATGGTCAGGTGTGTTGTAGAGTGTCCCTCAAAATGAGTTTTTCAGATGTTTTTCTTTGTTAGACTGGGGCTATGGGTTTGAGGGAAGAATACTATGCAGGTAAAGTGTCCTCATCCCATCATTTCAAGGGCACATGATAGCCACATGACATCAACATGACAGTATTGGGATATTCATCTTGATGAATCTTGAGCACAGTCCTTGCCTTTACCTCAACAGATTCCCTTCCTTATGCTCACCTCCCCATCCTTGCAGGATTACACTAGGTAGTACAGAGATTCTTCTCTAAGATGCCCAGAACACTGCATCTTCACATCTTCACTGATACCTTTTCCCACAATTATTCTCTTTTGCTTTAGTACCAACAATCTCTTTCTGTACAGAGGTTCGTTGAGTATCTGTTTAAACATTGTCCAAGAGAGTGAATGAAACAGACATGTACTTTAAAAAGACTTTTGTAGAGTTTGGGGAAGAAAATTGAAGAGCTGAAATGCAAAATTAGATATAGAAAAGGAACAAGATGGGGTTTTAAAACAATGGCAGCCAAAAGTAGACAGCCAAATCAAACAGGGGCAAAATTTGTGATTAAAATAGCAAATGTAAAAATGGAAAAGCAGCGGTCAAAAGCAAAAGTTTAAAAATCAAGTTTCCAACTTTAAAATAAAATCTTGCAAAAGTAGAGGAAATTTAAGTGGTTCAAGTTTGTATGGGAACAGAAACATAGATGGAAAAATAAGCTTCAAATAGGTAAGGCAAATGGTAATGAAATGCCAAATAATACAGTTATCTGATCTTGCAACAGGAAAGTCCTGTAATTTGGAAAGTGTCAGAAGCTCTTGGCGATACCCATGCGATTAATAGTATCAGCTTAGGCTTAATGAAGTCTAAGAATACTAGAAAGTGGGCTGGTTCTCTTTGTATAAGCAGAAGATCCAGTTCTTTGTTTTGTTTCAAGAAGCAAACAATGAAGGAATTTGAAAAACTACAAGAAAACCTTTAAAACTTTTGAGTAATTTTGTAAAGTGGTAAAATGGTGTTTTATTTATTTTGAGGGGAAAGAATGCACGAACATGTTTTCTAAATGTGGTTCATGCCCACATGTCATACTGAATGTTTTCTTTCAAAAAGAATTGATCGTGCACCTTCTGTGTTCAGGCATGGTGTCAGGAGTGGTCCTTGCCCGTAAGGAGTTTATGGTCTGCTGAGTTTATGGCCATGTTGTTCCTTAACTCCCATCTGTGGTTTTGCTGATCTAGATCTTAGGAATCAAATATCTTTTGCCTCCAGGTTTGTGTTTTTTGGTTTTTTTCCTTCTGTAATTTAGGTTGTGCACCATGATGTTTAGAACAATGCATTACCCGTCAGGATGAGTGATCTGTTTCAGCCTCTCCCTCCAAACTGCCCAGGGTTAAGTATTGGATTGTACTGACTCTCTCACTCTTCCTTCCCCATGTACTGTCAAGAGGAGCTTGCCATCAGCATGGCACAGAGACAGTAAATTTGTCTCCAGAGACTGACTCTACCCCGTAAGGCCCATGCCAACCAAGGCCAGGTTGTTTGCAGGTGGCCTGCTTTGTCGAACCTTTAGTCCCCTCCAGCACAAGTGCCCCACACTGACATCCCATCAGATACAAGAATGTCAACACAAGGTTATAGAAATCCATGTAATTCACACAAAACAACACGTTAAACTTTCAACTTGCGTAAAGGATCAGATGATCCCATTGTATCCCACAATTCCATTTCCACCACTTACGGCGGCCTGAAGAGCAGGTTGTCTTTCCTGGTCTGAACTGGCCCAAGGCTACTGCCATGGCAGGACCCTTCTGCCAGCTCCATGGGGTTTGTGTTTCAGGCTCAGCTGCCCTGTGAGGTGCAGCCTGTTCTGTTACAACTTGTGTTACAACGTTGCTTAGTTCACAAATAACTGGTAAAAGGTAGAATGTTATCAGTGTGCCATGCAAGTTAGTTTGGTTCATCTGTAAGTTTTCCTAGGCAGGGGGAAGTGGAATAGTGGGAGCAGAATTGAAAACTTCAACAGGACAAACACATACACACACACTCACACACAACCCAAAACTCTCAGTAGGGTGTTGCATAGGCAGGAGCCTTTTTAGATGTGTATTAGGCAAATTTAAAATGAGACATGAGCACATGCCTCGGGCTGCCCCCAGGGGAGGTCGCTGAAGCTCCAGGACTGCAGTTGGTTGTGCTTCCTCCTGTACACCTGTAATGGCTACCCCGCTGGCTCAGAGCTCTGCCTCACCGCCCTGCCCCAGCACCTGCAAGCCAGTGTGCCACTTTTTTGATGTTGTATGTTTTTAATATTCCCTGAGACAGACTCCAGAGTTCTGAGTTTCTTACTTGGGGTGTCAAATTATATTCCAGGAACCAATTTGGGTTTTCCTGGCTTCTGGTTAAAAAGCTGGACAGATTTTGAGTTGTTTGCTCTTATTTCTCTCATAAACTGCACTATTTTGTAGAACACAAGATTTTTCAGGAAGTATACTGAAAGGCCTGTACTTAGTTGTGTGTTTTTCTTTCAGCCACACTCAGATCTTCCCCTTCTGGTATGTTCTCAGCTGGAGACACTGCTCCCCGCATTGTCCCAAAGTTTGAAAGGTGGGGGCTGAGGAGAGAAGGGGAGTAGTCAGGCAGTTTCTAGCAGTTACCTCCCCACATTGCCACCTAGAACCTCATCTGCCTCCCTCTACACCCCAAGCTCCAGGAAGGCAAAGACCAAATCTTTGGACTCCATATCCTTTGTGCCTGGAGAAAAGCTTGGACTTGGTGTTGGAATGTTACTTTGAGTTGTCTTTGACAGGTATCAGAAAGCCACATGCCCTCCCCATGGAAGCAGGACCAGAATTAGACTGCAGGACTTTAGAGACAAACCCCATGAAGCTCCAAGGGGTTCATTCTAACTCAACTGAGCAAATTAACCACTTCTCCAGTTAGATCTTCTAATAACTTTTGTTGGGTTTTTCTCCTGCAGTTAGGGAATAGCAAAGTCTTCACTACCAAAAAATAAAATAAAAAGTACAATGATGCAGTAATGTCATTTGAAAATAATAGTGAAGGAAAAAGAAGTATGTGATTGAGAAAGATGCTTATGTGAGTTATGAACATTGCTAAGGGGGCGGGAGGACCACTTAATGATTCAGTGAAATGGGAACTGTCTAGACAAGTAATTCATATAGCTCATGTTGAAGCCAGCCCTTCAGGAGTTTGCACCAGAGCCCAACCTCAGCTCTACCTACTGGAGTCTCAGGGCTTTGTTTTGCCCTGGGTTAAGCCACATCACAGTTGGCTGCCAACTTTGAACAATGAGTAGCTTACCATAAGAAGCCCAGGCCTAAGGGAATTCATCTTCTCCCTCATGCCAGTTATAGTAACGGGCAGGGAAACCTGAGTCCAGCTGCCAACAGTCATTAAATGCAGAGGACTTCTTCCCCAGGTTCAGATGGTCATGGTTACCTTGGCCAGATCCTCCCTACCCAGTTTTGCCCTGCTGTCCCTCCCAAATCCCCAGAGGCAAGGGCCAAAGTCACCGCACTGAAAATCAGAGGCTGTGCCTTTCATTACCAGCTCTGCAAAGGGCCTGCGGCAGGGGGTGGGGTGGTGGGGTGTTGTGGGAGGTCATTGAACCTGTATGCTTCTCAGTTCCTCATCTGCAAAGTAAAGGGGGTGAGCTAAAGCATTTCAGTTTTCTTCTGAGTAGAGAAGTGAGATACATTTTCAGTGTAGAATTTGTAAAACACAGAAAACTATCATGTATATGTAGTGTATTTTTAGGTATTATAAATATGTTGGATCCTGCTGCTTCTCTTAACATTATATGAAGCACTTCTCCATGCATTACAAAAATTCTGTGTAAGTTTTAATAGCTACCTAAAATTTTACAACTGCTTGCTTTGAAAAATGCCTTCCAGGTCAAACATTTTAGAATTCTTTGAGCGTGATGCAAAAAGAAAAATAAAAGGATGGATTTTTTTTTTTTTTCAAAAAAGGAAGCATTTCTGAGAGAGAGGGAGGAGGCAGGTGGAATCTTTGGATACCGAGTTGTAGGAACTGGGGGGATAATTTAATCATGTTATTATTGGAAGCAGTCCTCCATGGGTTTACTCATACTCCTACATGTCATGTTAGGTATGACCAGAATATGAGGACATGATCCCCTTTACCTGACCCATTTTTCAGGACTGTGTTTTCAGTAAGCAACATTTAGAAATGAGGGAAGGCCTACCTCCAGAATGAAGAACAGGCTTGTTTATTGCTTGCTGTGAATGCAGTGCATTCCCAAGCTCAGTATTCATCCACTGCATTGCAAACACACTGCATGTGGAATATGTCTGGACCTCTCTGCATTGCCCCTGTGGACTTGGAGACAAGGGGAACCGACTGCAAACACTGATATCCATGCTACTTGCTGTGCCATGAGTAATAAAGTCCTTTGTCTCATTATCCAAGATTCTCTGCTAGTATCCATGAAACCATGATAGATTAACTCATTAGCTTGTAAGTAAGTGGAGTAAAATCAACCCCCAGGCCAAGTAATGATTACATGTTAGTTATACAATGGTAGATGAGCAGCAAGGGCATTTCGACTTCAAGAAGCAAAGCATCTAACTTAATTTTACACAGCTAGTGGCAGAGCTAGAAATCAAACCTGGGTCTGTTGGACTCCAAATCCCACATATTTTATTGGCTGCTTTCACCATACTGTATCTTGCAGGCAGTAGGAACCATTTGATATGAAATTAATAAAGAACCTCAAATGGACTCTTCATTTTAAAAAGTGGTGGATCCTAGGTAGGTGTTAAGTCTGAAGCTACTTTCCCCAGGAAAGTTTGCCATCTGTTACCTATTTGGAGAATTTCTCTACCAAGCTACCCAACTGGTTTATTTAGATTGAATGATGAAAACATTTAAATCTGGTTGTTGTAGTGTTTCATTGGCTTTAAAAAGAATTTTTTTTCTCCAGCAGGCTCTAGTGCATAACTATTGTCGATATTTTTAAAAATGAAATGAATACAGTAGGAATCATTCTAATATCCATATTGGCAGAAGTTAGAAGCTTTTCATGCTGGAACGAAGAGGAGGTAATGAATAACCCTAGAGCTGTGTGTCGCTGCTCTACTGGGGCAAGATACATTTTATTAAAAACAGAACTTTGCCCATTGGTAGAAAGTTGTTGCATTGATAGAACACCCAATGCGCTTGCCACTAGCGCTCAGCACAGTGTCTAGTGTCTGGTAAACACTCAGTAATTGGTAGATTTTATTATGACTTGGTACTCGGTAAATGTTTTCCCAGTGAATGACAGCTGTTTGTTCATCCTTCACTTATTTTGTATTTATTGAGTGCCTACTGAAAGGACAAATCTATACTAGGCACTGAGGCTACAGCTGCAAACAAGGCAAAAGTGCCTGCCCTCATGGAGCTTATCTTTCAGAGGGGAGATTGATAATAAATGCACGGACATAGAATATCAGTGACCATAGCTGCTCTGAAGAAAAGTTGAATAGGAGAAACAGGCTGGAGAGAAAGATGGTGTGAGTGGGCTCTTCTAGATTCTGTGATCAGGGAGGTCCTTGCTTGGTTAGGACGTCTACAGAGTGACCTGAATACAGCATGGGAGCAAACAGCAGGGAGATGTGGCAATGCTGCTGCCTGGATTAGGGCAAAGCATGAGATGGACCTGAAGACAAACCAGGTTTTCTTCGTAGCCCAGCCTCATGTTCTGTTACGGACCACGGTCTCTCTACAGACCTTAACTCACCTGTAGTCTGGGGATAAACCTCATGCTTAACAACAGCAGGTAGAGTCTTTGGCATTGTGAAGGATAATTAAAAGTCTCATTATTTACCTCAGATTGCCATCAAAGAAGTAGAATCATTCTTTTTGCTTGAATGTGACAGTATTGCTATATGCTAGGCTCTTATATAAGAGGATGGGTGAGCTCACGTTTGGCGGTGTGGTCGAGTGATGTTTTGTGTGAGAGGATGGATGACCTCACGTTTGGCGGTGTGGTCGAGTGATGTTTTGTATGAGAGGATGGCTGAGCTTATGTTTGGTGATGTGATAAAGAGATGTTTTGCTGTAAGGGTCAAGGGGAGAAGTCTGAGTACAGAGCAAGATAAAGAAAATGTGGCTTCTGTCTTCAGCAGAGCCAATCAAATGGAAAGGGCACCAAATAATGGGAAACAGAGAGAACAAAGAGGAAGGGGGAAGAGAGTTGGACTGTTTGTGGCCTGTGTGTGGAACTGGTAACCAAGTTGGTCTTGAGGGACGTTTTAACAGACATTTGGTATTGGACTGAGGCAGAGTTTGGGGATGTCTCCACCAGCTTCTCTTTCTCAGATTTGGTTTAGGGGCCTGAAGAAGGAATAATAGATTCTCTCCCCTGCTACAGCTGAAGTGGGGAATAAAGGTGGGAGGATTCAGAGACTTTTCAAAGGCCAAGGTGTTCACTCTGAATTGAACACCACAGATTTTTGTTGTTGTTTTTCCTTCCTCCCAGGAAAAAGGAAAAAGATTTACTTTCACTACAAATATTTAAGGATCTGTTGAGTTCATTTTCACAAAAGAATTAAAACGTGGGAAAACCAAATTTCCCCCCTCCCACTGCTTTTGTTTTGGCTTTTGCTTAATTTTGTAACATTAATTCTTTGATCCTTCCAACCACAAATCATTTAAGTGACTTTGATTAAGTAATCACTTAACTTCCCAAATTCTTTGTATCATGATTGTATTTCTTGTCATATTTTATACAATTATAATGAGGTTTTACAAAGCAGGTTCAGATGCCAGCGCACCTGGGCTCCTCCTGGCGCACTGCGATTTAAAGCAAGTTATTTCACCTCTCAGGGCTTAGCTTTAGCATCGATAAGAAAAGCTTGGTATTTAATACACATCCCCCACAGAGACGGTGTCGGGAATTTTATTCAGTTAGTGTTTATAAAGGATCTTTATTGGCAACCCTAGGGAGGGTGATATACATGAATATTTTAATATGCAATGAACAATCTGCTGTTTGGGCCATCTAGGCAATGTTATGTAATGACCTATTATTTTGGCTTCATATCCCCTACAGAGACCTTTCTCTGGCTTCTCTGGAGACCGAGTTTTGTTGTTATCCCAGCAGCTAAGAAATCAGGGGGTAACCGCCCAGGCTGAACACATGGCAAATTCTATGCCTAATGTGTTCTTCTTTGGTGTGGAGGTTCCGATGATGTCTGCACAGGCCTGGGCAGCAACTTCCAATGTTTTGAGGGTTAATGCAAATCTGTGAAATACGAAACCTCCAGTGTAGCTCACAGGTTTTCTCAAAAATGCTAGCAAATTACCCTTAATTTTGCTCACTGTACAGCTTTATTAGGAGTACTGGTTGACTCCCACTGAGATTTATGCATTGCTGCATTGCAAAGGTTGAACCACTTCAGCCCGGCAGCGTTTTCCTGTGACCCCTGCGTTTACAATAACTATTAAAGACGACAGTAAAACATATATAATGGACATGGTTCAAATATTTCCCACTGCTTCTGAAATGATTATTTCTCCACAAGAGCAAAAGACCAGTGAAATCTGGGCTTAAGGCGAGGCAGCAACAAAAACCACGGGTTTTTAAGTTTAAGCTAATATTTAACATAGGATAAGGACTACTGGTAAATATTGATTTATCTTCTCTCCTATTCCCCTGGGGGCTTAATCTCGCCGCTCAGAACATTAAACAATTGTTTATTTTTCCACCAGTATTATAAAAACAATACTAGAATTCTTTTCCTTTTTTTTCTTTTTTTTAAGAAATAAAAAGTATCCAGTATCCCAGCAGGACAGAGCAACTGCGTAAGTGTTGAGTGAAACATCCATACGAGAGTAGGGCTTGTGGTAGCTCTGTTTTTTACAGGGACTTGCTTCTTTGCCTGGTCAGGACACAGATTTTTAGCTGCAATAATACTTGAAGGAGTTCTTTTAACTCTAGAAAATGAAAACATACATCTTGGTGCAGGAAGCTCAAAACCCAGTGTTTTACGAATAAGGAAATCAACAGAGATCAGAGCAAAGAAATTGATCCAAAATTTAAGCAAGGGCTCAGGAATGATAATCATGACACAGCTGATGAGTAGTGTTGAAGAAGATGCAGAATCAGAGGAATCTCATGGGAGACCAGACATCCACACACCACTTCTAGAGGCTTTCCAAGATGGCGTGAGCCGAGAGCTTCCTGTCATCTCTGTACTTAGGAAATGTGCCATCCTTGCATTGCCCTTAGCCTCAGTTTTACTGTTCCTTGTACATAGCGGGATTGTTACTTCCATCAAGCAAAGCAGTCCTTAAGTTTCATAGACTGTTACAGCATTGTCTAATTGGCTCCTCACCCTGTTTCAGATAGGTTAGGAAAGTATCTTTAAAACCACTTTATATGTCAAAGGACTTGTATTTAGAATATGGAAAGAACTCAATAAGACTAACAACTTAATAAAATGGGCAAAAGGCTTAAATTGACATTTAGCAAAAAAGATATATGAAGGGCCAATAATTACATGAAGGTGGTCAACATCATAAATCATCAGGAAAATGCAAACGAAAACCTCCTTGCAGAACCACTAATGCTACTTTATTCTCAATACCAAGGTGAGGATGAGAGACTGAAACACTCACACATTGCTGATGGGCGTGTAAAATGGTACAACCACTTTGGACAACTGACCCAGCAATGAAATTGCTGGGTATTTACTCAGGAGAAATCAAAATACAGACACAGAGGACTTGAACATGAATATTATTAGCAGCTCTATTCGTAGTAGCTCAAAACTGGAAACAACGCAAACATCTATCAATAGGTAAATAGATAAGTTGTGGCTTCTGCATGCAATAGATATACTCAGCAACAAAAAACAAACTATTGATTCAACACCATGGATGAGTCTCAGAAACATTATGTTGATCAAAAGAAGCCAAACACACAAGAATTGATCTGTAACATTCCATTTATATGCAGCTCTAGGAGAGGTGGAACTATGATGATGAAAGTCAGAAAGTAGTTGCCTCCATTTAGGGAAATTGACTTACTTGTTTACTTGCTTTATTTAGGGAAATTGACTTACTTGCTTAAGTAAATGGGTGAGCCAGTGCTTGAACTCAGGCCAACAGATCTCAGGGCTAGGGCCCCACTGGCTACATCACACTCTCTCAGCATAGAAGGAAGGTGAGGAAGAACGAGGCACAGCAGCTGGGGAGCAGAAGGAAGGCAGGTAAGGTATCAGGAGAAAGGAAAGGCAGAAGTCACTGAGGTCACATTTCTGTCCTGGGCATAAGGCTCATAATGGCACCTGTGATGGAAAGAGGCCCTTCCATCGTGGCCACCTGCAGAAGTAATTAGGAGGGCTTGACAGATGTGGGAGAGAGAAGCATCATCATCCAACTGGTGGAGCCTGCCAGTAGAGAAGGTATTAAAGTTATTCTCTTGTTGGTATCCAAATGGGATTTTTATCATCATAGTCCCACCTCTCCTAGAGCTGCATATAAATGGAATGTTACAAATCAATTCTTGTGTGTTTGGCCTCTTTTGATCAACATAATGTTTCTGAGATCCATCCATGGTATTGAATCAGTTTGTTTTTTGTTGCTGAGTAAACAATAAACTTGTTTTATTCGTAAGATCTTTTAAAAATTCTTCATGACATAATTAATACATATACACTGCAGAAAGAAAATATACATAAAAGAAGAAAAAATAAAACCTCCTATGGTCTTATTATCCCGTGATAATCTCTGATCTTTGTTTTTGTTTTTCAGTAAATAAAAACATTTTAAACAAAAATGGGATCATATACTATACGTGCTGTTTTATAATATGCCTTTTAAACAACATATCAGTGAACATTTCTCTCTATCAGAGGGTATAATTTCTATTGGATACATAACATCCTATGGGTGGATATATCCAAATTTTGTTTAACCAAACCTCTGCTACTACATATTTAAATTGTTTCCAGTTTTTAGTTACTACCTACTACCCCCTACAAGAGAACATCTTGAACATAACACATTTGCTCACTTTTTTTCAGTATTTCCTCAAGGAAAACTCTAGAAGTGGAAATTCTAGGTCAAATGGTTTGGACATCCTTAAGGAATTTAATACATATTGTCAATTATTGTTTTTGAAATGGTTTTAGCAATTTACATTCTCACCAGCAGTGAATGAATGTGTTATTCTGTGTCACCTTAACAGGTGGACTATAACTTTCGTCCCTGTGCTAAGTACTACCTCTTTTCATTGAAGCACCTGTCAGGATTAGAAATTAACCTTTGATGTTGTCTAGCTCCATCTCCCAAGCAATGGCTGAATTCCCTTTTGGATTCTGCTAGTTTGAAATGAAAACCATTTCTTTAAAAATGTTAATTTGAAAACATGATTGATGTTTGAGTGTAGTAGAAAAATTGGAGGAGCCAGAAACAGAAGTGATCCTGGGGTCAGAGTACCTGGGTTTCAGGGCTGGCCGCGTCCTTGTCTGTAGTTGTGTAATCACCAGCAAGTTGCTGACGTACCCTGCCTGGGTCTCTGTGTCCCCATGTCTAAGACAAGGGGATTGAGGGGGGCTCAATCTCTACATTGTCTTTAGTTATGACATTCAATAAATCTTCGGCTATTTAAAGCATTCCTTTCAAGGGCTGGGCTTGTAAATTAAGCGTGGCAGGCCTTTGAAATGCAGCTTGTGTGGGAAAGGAAACAAACCCAGCAGCTAGTTTGCTGCTGGATCAGAATTCGATGTTCTTTGTGAAGTAATAAATTGTGTCTTGGCTCCTGGATTGTTCCAGGTTGCCTCGGGTTTCACGGAAGTGGCTTTTTCAGGAATGGTTCCCATTGCCGGAAAGTGGGTGTTAATTTGTGCCTTGGCTATTTTTCAGGGCACATTCTGGCAAAATCCTGGCATCTTTTTCAGAGGATCAGCAGATGTAATGACCTGGGGGTTGCTCCCCTTGCAAGAGGACACATGCTCTATGTTAATACCCCAAATCAAGCCTATAGTCAGAGGCCTAGGTTTTATAATAGAGCACTTATCCTGGGCATGCCAAGGGTTTTTGACCAAGTGGAAACACTTTGGGACATGTACCACAGGAAACAGGACAGCGGAATGCTTAGTAATGGTTAGCATTTCTAAATAAAGTATCTGCTCTCCACTGAAATGGGGTACAGGTGGTGTCCTGGAAGAGGAGAGGAAGCTAATGGAAGTGAAGAAAGAATAAAATAGAATAACATCTGTGTTTGGTGCTCCACAGCTTGCAGCCTACATTAACATACTTTATTTACTCTACACAATGTCCCCAGGATATCATCATTGCCATTTTGTCCCAATTTACCACCGAGCAAATGCAAGGGTTGGAGTGTTGGTCGTGAGTGGCCCAATCACCTCTGCAACAACCTCACGGCTTGGCTTAAAATACCGTAAATCCCTGCTTCCTTGGCAGATCTTCATAGTCTCATACCTCCTTTCTCTTCTATGACAATTGAAAAATTACTTTTTTCTTACTCTTTGAGTCCATAGTCATAAATTCAAGTCATTTGCCAATCTTCAGTATAATGCAATTGGAAAACATTGTCTAGTCTAGTATTTCCCAGACTTTAATTTTTAAAATTATTTTCAACTTTTATTTTAGTTATTTGCACACTGTCTTCACAATTTATGCCACATCTGTGTGCCACCTGTACCATTATTTACATTATTTGTTTTCAGACAAATTACAATTTCACTTTTTTCTTGCTCTAAGAACTCTAGTAACTGAAATCATTAGTTTGATGTACCAGTTATAGTTTTCTAATGTATGCTATCACATAGCTGTTAAAATCTTGTGTTCATTTTTTGTAGTACATAATATATCTCACTTCTCCCTTTGATATACACACTATACTCTGAGGAATTAATTTAAATGAAATAAAATTTCAAAATTCAGTTTCTTGGTTGAGTTAGCTGCATTTTAAGTGTCCAGTTGACACATGTAGCTTAACGGCTGCCATATTGGGCAGGGCAGACTAGAACATTCTGTCATCCCAGGAAGTTCTATCAGACAGACTCTTCCTAAGGTTTGTCCAGGGCACTTAAAGCAGCAGACATTTCACTGCTTTCATTAGCCTAAGCTAGACTAACATACAAGATTATCAAAAGAAAGGTGAATTAATTTAAGAACTGCTACCAAAAATGTCAGATAATAGTTTCTTTCATTGACCACTGTCCAAGTAAGCAGCAAGACAAGTCAAAGCATCTGATTTGATAATGGATCACTTCAGTCTGCTCTAAACCAGCTCTCTCTCAGGGCTGTCTCTTCTTCCATCCCCGCCACTCCCATTCTCCCCTTCTCTCCTTCCCAGTCCATGTCTCTCTTCAGTGTGTGTCTGTGTTTTCGCTTTCATGCTTCTTCTTCCTCTTGCTTCACCTGTGTGTCCTAACCTCACTTTCATTCTAGCCCTCAGTCCTTTCTCTCCCTTTCTGCCTATTTTACCTTCCCAACCTTCTGAATCTCCCTCATTCAAAATTTAAGTATATTTGGATTTTGTTTTGTAAATTCTTCTTCAAGTACAATAATTTCAGGCCAAAGGACATTCTCATTTGTAATGTGAATAAGGGATACCTCCTAGCAGAATTCCACAAGATGTGATAAGTCTCACTGGCATCTCAGCTCTGTGTTAATGCACATAAAACGACTGTTTCCTGCTCAAACCTCTGCCTGTCTCTCACTGATGTAAAACCATAACAAACTAATTGCTTTACTCTACTCCTCATCCAAAGTCTCCTTTAAAGAACAAGAGAATTTTTGACCATGCTTCTCTTCAGGCCCATGGAAAAAGGTCCAAACCTTGCTCTGTGGCATTGGTTACACTTCTTGAGCAGACTAAAAGCCAGGCATTGCCTTGAAGGCCTGATGCCACTTCTATTTAATCAGAACTCCTTCCAGAGCCATAAGGTTACTGGAGGTCCCCCAGAGGGAGGAAAGTGCTGTGTAGACATATTTATGCTTCATCTGTTGGCCATGAATGTCAAGGAGGAGAACTGACTAGACTGCCTTCTCTTTGTTTTAATTATCCAGAGATTCCAAAAGGAAAGGAAAGGCCAAGTGGACCCAAGAGCCCTCAGAAGTGCAAGATGCTCTGGGGAACATATGTGCATTGCTCAATTCCATGAAATAGACCCTTCCTTAGGAGTACAAAATTGAAAGTTTCCCTTACTTCTTGCGGGGAAACCTGTTTACCTCCCCCCACCTCCCCACCCCTTCCAAATGTACTCAGTTAGGCTGTGGAAAATTTAATTCCTCTTGCTAATTTATATAAGAAGTTATGATACCTTGGAAATTTTTATCTGTCAGCTTTAAAACGTTAAATATGGGATCCACTATTCTCAGGAAAATGATGTGATGATCTGCTGTCTTTCTCAGACAAAGGGAGGCATTTTTCCAAGAGTGGAAGTCCCTACCTGCGTGGGAATGATAGAGACATCCTCTGACTGGGTTTTGTACTGCTCCAGACTCTGAAAAAGAGAAAGAGATCCAAGTTTAAGTGACTTTAATCTTAGTAAAGTTTTAAGGTTTATGTTATCCTCTGGATAATAATAACTATAATGATGTTTTGAGTGCTTGGAATTTGTGGAGCAGTGTGTTAGGTGCTGCTGCTGTAAACACAATCTCATTAATCCTCATGACAACCCTGATGAGGTGACTCTCCCCCACCACCATATTCTAATTGGAGGAATTTGAGTCTCAGAGAGGCGAATAATTTCTCAAAGGCAACACAGTCAATAAATTGTCAGAGCTCGGATTCAAACCCAGGACAGAGCTTTGTGGTCTTTAGATCCATTGTTCTGTGTTGGTTTATTCAGCAAATGTTTATTGGTGGTTACTGTGGCCAGGCACTGTTGCTCAGGGATTCCACAATGAACAATAAAGGCAACACTCCTGATCTTATGGAGCATATGCCCTGGAGAGGAAAGACAGAAGAACAGGAAGTTAAAAAATAATATAACATTTTTAAACAATTAATAATCTGGCATGATAATTTCAGATGTTGGCAATGCCATAAGAACAATAGATGGAGTAAAGCAATAGTGAATATGGGGCTGCTTTATGTTGGGAGCTCTCAGAAGGATTTTCTGGGATGACTTTTGAACTCAGACCTGAGTGATATGAAGGATCCAGAATCCAGTGTTGGGGGCAGAGGAAACAGCAAGCGCAAAGGCCCTGGGGTGATTGAGTGCCATGTCTTTCAGGAGCAGCAAGAAGGCCAGTTTTGCTGTGTAGCCGGTGGGGGTGAGTGACAATATAAGGTCAGAGATATAGACAGGCTTTGGATTTTGCTCCAAGTGTAATGGGACACCACAGGGTTCTAAGCAGAAACGGTATATGATCTGAATTGTTTTTTTCTTTTTCTTTTTTTGAGACGGAGTCTCTCACTCTGTCACCCAAGCTGGAGTGCAGTGGTGTGATCTCGGCTCACTGCAGCCTCTGCCTCCCGAGTTCAAGCAATTCTCCTGCCTCAGCCTCCCAAGTAGCTGGGATTACAGGTGCCCACCACCACACCTAGCTAATTTTTGTATTTTTAATAGAGACAGTGTTTCACCGTGTTGGCCAGGTTGGTCTCAAACTCCTGACCTCAAGTGATCCAACCGCCTTGGCCTCCCAAAGTGCTGGGATGACAGGCATGAACCACTGTGCCTAGCCTGAATTAAGTGTTGAAAGATAACTCTGGTTTCTATGTATGGAACAGAGTGTACAGTAGCAAGACAGGAAGTGGGAAAAATGGTTAGAAGAACATGAACATCAGAAGGGCTGGAGGTTTTTGAAGGAGGAGGATAGTGCTTTGGAAACAGCAAAGGGGGAGAGTGGGCAAGAAATGACTGTTTATCCTACCTCCAGGCCCTGGGTGTGAGGAGTGATCCTCAGGGGCCAGCCAGGTCCAGGGAGTAGGCAAAAAGGAAGGGAGCCTTCAGAAAAGAAGATGTAGCTCTAGGGGAGTTTGCTGCAGCGGCAGTGGTGGCAAATCACAGGATAGCTAGTTTTTATTGAACATGTACTGTCTGTCTAGCAGGATTCTAAGTGCTTTTCCTGCAATAACTTGTTTAGTCCTCTTGGTAATCCTAAACTGTAGATACTATTATTAGCCCCATATCACATAGGAAACTGACAGGGAGTTAAGAAACTTGTAGCAAGTAAGCAATATGGCTGGGATGGCATTACTAATTTCAGAAGTCAGAGTGGAAAGTTGGAGGGGTTGTCAGAGAGGGTTGGAGCGTGCTCTCACTAAGGGAGGGGTCGACTGGTCTAGAGATGAGACCCAGATGGCAAACGTGACCTGGGAGGTTTTGATGGAGGTAAAGCTTGCTCCATGATGCCATTTGCCCTGAATGACACTAGAGGAAGTTTCCCCATCAGTTCAGACTGGAAGCATGGAGCCTAGGAGTGACTGCTCTTTCTTGAAGCTTCCCGTGGGGTGGGGCCCAGGGCCTCCTCACTGGGATTGCTTTCTTAGGCAGCTTGTGGGGCAAGAAGAGTTTCGTCTAAACAAGGCAGTGTCTTGACCCCTTTTATCCCACTGCCTTTGAGTTGGGAGAATGTTCATATTTACACATTTCTGGGATGTTTTACTGCAGTTCTCGTTTGGAGATAATAATAGATAACATTCATCATTCATTAAGCACTTACAATGTGTCAGGTTCTATGCTGAGCACTTGACATATAGTATTCCTTCAATAAACACAGTAGTCTTATGACATGGCTACTATTCTTGCTCCCCTTTTTCTGATGGACTAACTGAGCTCTAGACAGGTTACGTCATTTGCCCAAAGTGCTATATAGTGAGTGGTGGACCTGAGATTTAAACCTTACAACCTGACACCAGAGGTTATAGCCTCACTCTGCTGCAAGTGAAGAAGATATGTTTGCTAGGTTTGGGGCAATGCTGCCCAGGAAGTCTTTGTAAATCCCAAAAGAATGAGTGATTGTAGCAACACAAAGTTTGAAGGGAAACCTTGAGAGTGAGTGGCTAGCATCTTCCTTCCGTGACCATACTGATGTTGAAATGTTGGTAGATCAACTACCAGCATCAGAGACGAACCTGAAGGTAATGGACTCAGGAGGGGAAGACAAGGGTGAGAAAGGGGAAATTGTTGTAAATAGAGAAAAGGAAATTATTGGTTTACTTAACTTGTCTTCCACTACGTGATCTAAAAGTAACAGTACTCAGATAATACTTTCTCTCTCTTTTAATTCCAGTAAATGAACACCTAAAAAACTGCTTACTTCCCCACTCTCCCTGCAAACAAGAAAAATGGTGGGATTATGGATACTTTTCTATTAAGATGTTTTAGTTTTCTATTATTTTAAAAGAAAAATATGTGGGGTATTTTTAAAAGAAATTGTTTAAATAAATGAAATAAGATTCTTTAGGCATCATATTTAATTGAATTCATTTCATCCCTTTAAAAAATATATTTTCTTTGACATTCATCTATTCCTATCCAAAAACATGGGTGGATGATCGGATCTCAGTTTTCTTAGGCTCCGTGATCCTGGCAGAGTTACTTTTTAATCACTTGTCTATGTTTCTCCAACTTGAAAATACCTAGACTTCCAAGGCAACTGAACTGCTGTGGAAGAGCCATGAACTTCTCTGCCAAATGGCCGTGAGTAAGAAGATGGCCTCTTGGATTGCTCTCAGTCCCTCATTTGTGTTCTAAAAGAATTCATTAACCTGTAGATCAGTTTGGGGTTTTTTTTGACTCACCTGGTGGATCAGATTTTGCTGTCCCTAAATGTTCCTCTGAGCTCCTTGGAGAAAAAAGTTACGAGTAATAGACATGTGTTTATCATTTTACAAATGCATATTGAGTGCCTACTGCGTTTCAGACTCCAGATGCCAAAATGAGTAAGCTGGGATCCTTCTTCCTAAGGGCTGGTTGTTTGAAGAAATTATTAGAAAAATTGGTGGTGAGGGGCAAATACAGCCACCTGTGTGGTGAGCCAGTCTGTGTCCCTTTGTGTAAAAAATTCCTTGAAAGTTAGAGCCCTAATGTCTTGAATGTACTAATATAAAATATTCATCATCAGTTCACTGTTACAATTTTTCACCCTTTTACACCTGATGTGAACTTTGGGCTTTGCACCTCATGAAGGCACATACCTACTCTTTAAGATGGAGTGATGTTACCCAGAGGGACCACCTACCTGGAAAATGGCAAAGCCTGGCCTTGAACTTCTAATTCCTACTTCAGGGCACTTTCTTCTGTCTAAAATAAAACCCTGCTCATTATCTGTGTACTTTATTTACCTTTCCAAATGTTACTATTATTATTAATATTATTATTATAACCAAGTTATTTAGATTAGCCAACATATTTTACTGAGGTGACATGGTAGAAGCAAACTCAAAACTGTCCTTTGGGCTGCCTCCCCAGTCCAGGGCATGCACAGTTGTGGACAGATCATAGAAGACAGCTTCTCTCTGAAGGTATGGGGTTAGGAGTGGGGATGAGGGAGGTCCAGGACAATAAGAGAAACATGCAACTGCTGATTGAGTGTTTGGAAAAATGAAAAGTATTGCTCACTGATTGAAAGAGATGTAGTCAGAATTTCATGCTTAAGTGCGACCAATTCTGGATGTCATGGTTGTCACCTAATATGTGCCCAATAAACACATGTTGACTGAATGAATAAATGTGGGGTGAAGAAATACAAAGCAAGGAGAGCAAGCCAACCCAGAATCTTCCTTGACTTTCTGTGTGCCTCCTGGAATAGATGATTTAACACCTCTGTGTCTCTAGGTAGAACTGAAAGGTGTCAGTGGCAGAGTTTATGGATATCTACCTTGAGATGCTATTTAGAGGAGTAGGTTTTGTATACCTGGAAGGTGAAAAGGAAGATCTAGTAAGTTCAAAAGAGGGAGACTTTGGAGCCAACAACTTAATGGGACTTCAGTCTGAACCACGGCAAAGGGGCAGCCAAGCCTGTCTGGATGCCTCCCTTGCACAACATCAACACACATGTGCCCACCACAGTGAGGGTCCTGCTTGGTTATCTGGCATGTTATGGGAACAGAGGAGTCAACACTTTGGAGTAAGTCAGTGTTAGCTCGTGTTGCTTCATTTTTAGAGATGAGTAAAAAGATGTGATAACTGCAGTAGCTTCCTATAACTGCTGTAACCAATTACTACAAACTCAGTGGCTTGAAACAACAGAAATCAATTCTCTCATAGTGCTGGAAACCTGAAATCAAGAATCAAGGCCAGCAGGGCTGTGCTGCCTCCTGAGGCTCCAAGGGAGACTCAATCCTGGCCTCTTCCAGCTTCTGTGGACTCCAGGCATTCCTTGCCCACTGGCTGCATCCCTCCAATCTCTGGCTCCATCACCACACGGCCTTCTTTTCTCTCTGTGTTTCTCTTCTGTGTGTCTCTCCATAAGGACACATGCCATTGGATTTAGGGCCCACCTGGACAATCCAGGATGACCTCATTATGAGATCCTTAGTCACATCTGCAAAGACCCTTTTTCCAAATAAGGCCAGATTCCAGGGATTGGGACATGAGTATATCTTTTGGGAGACCACGCTTCAACCTACTGCAATGATGCTGATGTATTAGGAAGATGGTTTGACAGGGGGAGTGTGATAGCAAGGGTAGGGTGCAGACACTGGGCTCACTGGCTGCTGTGGCCTTAGTCCAGGACTGGGGAAATAAGGAACGACCACAGCAGGAGCCATGGGAATAAAGAGGAGGAAATGGAAGCAGGAGATATTTCATGGAAGAATTTGCCAGAACTTGGTGATAAATTTTGGTGTGGTCAGTAAGAGAAAGAGAAAATCCTAATTTGACACCAAGGCATATTTCCCCAAAATATGTGCTACAGAATGCTGGATCTTGGGATATCAGTAGCTATTGTGTGAGGGGAAAATGGTTCTATACATAAAGACATTTGGGGGACACTGGATTAAACAGCATTGAACAGGTGTCTATCCTGCAGGATTTCTGTAAGCCTTTAACATCCCCACGTATATCATAAGTGTCTAAAGAAGGTTTCTAGAGGACAGTCTTTCCCATACTTACTTGACCATAGGCCTGCTTTATCTAGATTATCTTGAAGAACAAGTGGTCCACACACCTCTGAAAAATACTGCTCGATGGCATCCACCCTCTGAGAAAAGATAATATAAGTGACGTTCAGAAAGATGGAATGAAGAAAACTGGAATCGGACAGTCTGATGAGGGCCAGGCTTGTTTCCAAGACCCCTGCCAGCCTTAAAGATAGCCACAGGGACTGACACCAGTAACTGGCAGCTGGCAGAAGCCATTTGCAGGTTTGCACAGTGACGCTCTGACTTTAATAGTCCGTGCAACTGTCCTGTGGTTTGGTTTCTTATTTCTCTGGTACCTTCTTGACAGTAGAAGCTGTTGCTTTAGAGCAGTTGCAGCAAGTATGTTTCACCCAGTGTGCCAACTCTGCTGCATTGGATGGCTGACTCTCATGCTGCCTTGAGAAGGATGCTAAGCTGCAGGAGGCTGCGCAGGAAAGAGTGCTGTAAATGACTTGTAATGTCTGCCATGAGCACAGGAGGAAGATGGAGATGAGCTAAGAGCCCTTCTTGGTTTATGCCTCTTTTTTTTTTTTTTTTTTTTTTTTTTTTGAGACGAGTCTCTATCTGTCACCCAGGCTGGAGTGCAGTGGTGCAGTCTCAGCTCACTGCAAACTCCGCCTCCTGGGTTCATGCCATTCTCCTACCTCAGCCTCCCAGGTAGCTGGGACTACAGGTGCCCACCACCACGCCCGGCTAATTTTTTTTTTTTTTTTTTTTTGTATTTTTTAGTAGAGACGGGGTTTCACCGTATTAGCCAGGATGATCTCGATCTCCTGACCTTGTGATCCGCCTGCCTCGGCCTCCCAAAGTGCTGGGATTACAAGCGTGAGCCACCATGCCCGGCCTCTTGCTTTATACTTCAAAGAACTTCCTTGCCCATGCTCCCTCCCTCCCTTGTCCATGCCTCAAAAGGGGCCAACCAAGATCAGCAGTTATGCATCTTGGATGCAGTCTTCCTGGACTCTTCAATCTTGAGCTCTCACCTAGAAGGAAAATGGTGGTATCAATGAGAGAAATGTAGCCATCAATTTCACAATGAATAATAAAAATAGCTAATATTTACTGAGCACTTATTATGCATCAGGCTCCCTGCTAAGTGTTCTACATGTAATGTCTCATTTAATTCTCATGGCAGCCTCAAGGGATAGGTACCATCAATCATCTAATTGTACAGATGAGGAACATGAGGCACATAGAGATTAAATTACTAGCCCAGGAACACACAGCTAATATGTGCTACAACCAGGATTTAACTTTAAGCATCCTAATGTTAAAACCGACACTCATAACCACTGAACTGCAGATTTAATTATAGACATGTTGGATTTGAAACATTGGTAAGACTTGCAAGTGGAAATATGCAGGAGGCAGAGGAAGATACAGAACTGGACAAGGTCAGGCATGGGCACAGAGCCAGGGAGTGGGGGTGGTTGAAAGGTGCCCACAGATGCGTTTATTCAAACTATGAGTTGAGAGTCAGTTATACAGATGTACAATGTACAGAGAAATCTGCGCAAATGTTTTATGTATTAGGGAGATGTTTTCCCAAGTAATGAGTTAGAAATAACTGACTTTTGTTATGGTCCATGGACAGAACATTCCAACTGTGAGGAAACAGGACGCAGATGAAGAAGTCTGTGTCCTAAATCATGCTGAAAAGTCAGAATCTGTTGGGATTTTTGGAGATACATTCTTTGCATCTCATCTCATCTCAATGGTCTCACAAGTGCAATAGAAAATCATGGTCCTTGGTGAGAGCTGGTGAGAGCTTTGCCTTAGCATCCCCAGCTACAGACTCACCACCTTTCCCATTCCCTGTAGAACCTGAACCCCTCAAGGACAGGGAATGGGTCTCATTCATCCAGGAGCTTCTAACACCCGACACACGCAGACACTCAGTAAACAGTAAGTGAATTAGTAGAACCAAGGAAATAAGAACCGACCCTATTCGGTTACATCTGCTCCTGGATATATTATCAAATTTAGAGTGTTTTCACTGACCCATCACTATTTCATTGTAAATGGCTGAATTTTCCCCCTGTAGGCTGGGGACAATGCCACAATAAATTACTGCCTACTTGAACCGAGTTTCATTTTGTTCTGATTGATTGCCGGTTTCAAGGACCGTCTAAAATCTCAGTTTATGGACTTTACTTCCTGGTGGTTCCCAGAGAGAAATGAGCCTGGATTCCAGAGAATGCAAATTTCTTCAAACTTGCAGCCGGCTTCCAGACTCCCTGCAAAGGTCTCTTAAGCCTCTAAATATTTCCTCTCTTAAATCACACATCACTGGCACAGGCAGAATATTTTCCAGTTACTTCTTTCTTGTTAGGAGAGAGTCGCTTAGAGGTCTACCAAGTAGACAGAAATGCAGTCGTTTTGGCAGTTTTATTGTGCTGTCTTTAGGTTTCGTTTAGTGATTCTTTTTTTAAGTTGTGTTTGGTTTTTTATTCCTGAAAGAAACTATTTCAGGAATAGTTGCACTGGAATATTCCAGGAATAGTCGCTGCATTAGAAACACGATGTTGACTCTCTCTTGGCATGTTTATGGGTGGGATGAACTGCATATGTGAAATGAAGCTTAATCTCTCACTTGTGCAAATGTCGAGACTTTGATTTGACACTTTTCCAATTAGGTGATGTGAATCCCTAGGGCTAGTGTGGTAGCTTATTGTGTAGCAATGGCACACAGGTATTCTGCCAAATTTTGATGTGTATCTAAAATTTGTATTTGATTCAACCTAGAATAGATTCTCTTATAGTGTCTGTTGGACAGTATGCTGAACTGAGCAAGTTATGGAGTGTGGCACAGAATGAGGCACAATTTATGGTGCCATAGCTAAGAGGCACAGTGTCATGTCAAGTTAGTATGTATGAAAAATGACCATTGCCTTGGTCTGAATCTTCCCCAAAATTCATGTTGAAACTTAATCACCATTGCAGTCGTATTAAGACGTGGGTCCTTTAGGAGGTGATTAGGTCATGAAGACTCCTCCCTCATAAATGGGATTAATGCCTTATAAAATAGCCTTCACCCGGGGTTCAGCCTTTTTTGCCCTTCTGCCTTTCACCATGTAAGGACACAGCAACAAGGCGCCACCTTGAAAGTAGAGACGGGGCCCTCACCAGACACCAAAGCTGCTGGAGCCTTGATCTTGAACTTCCAGCCTCCAGAACTGGGAGAAATAAATTTCTATTATTTATAGATTACTCGTTCTCAAGTATTTTGATGTAACAGAAAACTGACTAAGACAGCCATTTATTGAAACACACAAACTCTTCTCTGATGAATACAAAAAGGCTTGTGGTCAGGGCAATAAATAATTCTCAAATGGAGGGCAACAAAAGTGAAAAATGTGACAACAGAAGGAAGTTTTTATAACTTCCCAACACTTTCTTTTTCATAATGTATTCCCCATTAATGCCCTTCAAATGTATAGCCAAAAATTTGAGTGTTTGAAAGTGCAAAAAGGTTGCAAACCACTGATCCATTCCCGACATCATCAGTTAGGTTCTGACACACATACACACACACAGCACTTTAGTTAATGTTTTTTCTTTTGGATTTTCTTTAAATTTTGCTGCTTTTCTTCATTGATGTTACTCAGATTTTGTTGATTTTTTTTCCCCATGTTTATCCTCTTTTTTTTTTTTTTTTTTTTTTGAGACAGGGTCTCACTTTGTTGCCCAGGCTGGAGTGCAGTGGCACAATCATGGCTCACTGCAGCTTTAGCCTCCCAGGTTCAAGTGATCCTCCCACCTTAGCCTCCTGAGTAGGTAGGACTAAAGGTGCACACCACCACACTCAGCTAATCTTTGTATTTTTTGTAGAGACAGTGTCTTGCCATGTTGCCCAGGCTGGTGGTCTCAAACTCCTGGGCTCAAGCAATCTTCCTGTCTCAGCCTTCCAAGATGCTGGGATTACAGTTGTGAGCCACCGCACCAATCAATTTAAACTCTTCATGTCTTGCCTGATATATCCTAGGTATAAGCCTAAGAAAATTGCCTTAAGTAAGACTGAACAGTGCCTTGGACTCTCTTGCTCTCAGACAAATACCCAACTTTCCAGAGTGTTTATTATTGAAAACCACAAAAGTTGAAAATGGGAGACAGCTAACTTGGAAACTCTCCCTCATCCCTCCATCTCTGCCATTGTCAGAGTCAGTGATAAGAATGAGAGGTAAATGCTCTTGCCCATGTATCGTACTTTTGCAGTGGATGGGGTCCTTGACTCTCTGAGAGTCATGGCCCTTAAGAACATCTGGAGCAGCCACTGAGGACTTTGTCAGCAACTTCTCATTCCAGGCAACAACCCACAGTGGCAGCCAGCAGCCCTCAGCTCCGTGGGAAGCAGTATGGGGGAAGTACGTGGACTTGGATAGCACTCAAACCAAAGTGTAACTCATTACTACTGCAACCTTTAGTAGAGTTGTCCACTTCTGTGAGCTTGGTCTCCTCATCTGGAAAATGGAAATAAAATTTCTCCCCCGTGGTTATTAAAATTAAATAAGATGTCTGTCAGGCATCCTTATAGAGGAGGCACTGTATAAAGGTTCTTTTCCTTGCCTCCCTGCATCCCATAATGTAAACACAACCTCCCTCACTGGCTACCTTTTGTTACTGACACTGGAATATCTGAAAATCAACTGATAGAGATGATGAGACATGCTTCTTTCACAGATTCATCAGATTTCCTGACTGGCCTTAGATGAAGCAGGAGCAGAGGGGGAAATCTTGATCTGTGGCAGGTGTTTAGGTTTCATGGATGGTAAAGAGTAAGTCTGAGCTATCCATGATCAATTTATTACTAATACACATCACACTTTCATATAACTTAGATAACAGCTATGAACTCACTTCTTTGGAAGATCCTGACTGCTATGGCAAAGACTCTTTCGTTGTCTGCCAAACCTGAGTCTCTTTCCTCCTGGGTCCATAGCTAGGCCGTATTTCCCAGCCTTCTTGAAGTTGGATGTAGCCAATGGAAGATGGGCCAGTCCTGGTGATTCTCCACTTTTTCCCCTCTCCATCTGCCAGGTGGATATCAGTGTCCAGTGCAACCTTGGAAACCATGTATTGAGGGGCATAGAGCCTCTGGCAGCCTGGGTCCTTAAGTGGTTGTGTGGAGCTTTACCCTCCCTGCCCACCATCTGAGTTTTACCCTAGCAAGAAATAAGCTCTTCATGTTAAGCCATGGAGGAGTTGTCAAGGTTCATCTGTTATAGCAGCTAGCTTTGCCTTAACGAATAAACTTGATGAAACAGGAGGTGAGTTTTTTAAACTTTCCCCTTTTATGATAGCACTGACATTCTTCTGAACATTTTCTATGTTGTTACTGTGGGAAAACAAATGTCATAATTACTTATCTATTCAAAATATGCTGTGTATATTGATCATAAGAAAGATGGAATGAGGTTCTCTGTCAGCAGGAAGTCTATTTGACTTTTTACCTAACAGTCTCAATTGAAAGCTGGGGTTAGTGATTAACTACACTTATTGTGTTTTCAATCAGATTAAACACTCATGGTGCCAGGTGCTAGGTTGAGAAGGGGAAGCTTAGTAAAGACAGAAGAAATAAAAGTAATTTTTTTTCTAAATAGTCAGAAATCCAGAAATTAGACAATCATCAAAGATTTGTCTAACGTATCCTATATACTTTTATGTTTTCTTGAACAAAATGTACTGAAAATAGTTTTACCTTTTCCAGCCTTCAGCTTCATCAACTGTAAAATGAAGGATACTTAATCTACAGGATTTGAGAATTAAATGGGGATCATAGCTACCTCCCAGCCTAATGCCTGACGTAATAAATATTAAAACCCTACCCTTTCTTAATGACCTGGTTTGTTGGGATATGCTCGGGAGTTATGCTTATGAACATGAATTATCACATTGGAGACTTGTAAATTATCTGTGGCTGCTTATCCCAACATGGAATGGTGCTAGGTGGCAGTGCTTCTGTTATGGTAACTACTTCTACAATTTTTATTGATTTCTTCTTGCCACTTTTTGCTTGTAGTTGCAGCCTTCAAAACTATCTTCTTCTAATCCTTTTTATTGGGGGAAGAAAATGAAACACCCCTGTTAGAAATTATTATTGGAAAATGAACGAGTTCTGTATGCAAGCTGGAAGACACTCCAGCCAAGAAGACTACCAGCCGAATGGCAGTTACAGCAGCTCAGGGGCCAGCACACTCAGTGCCAAGATTGGGGCTGGTTCCAGCAAGTTGAGGTTAGCAGCAGTCAGAACTCCCCAGTTCAGTATGGTGCTGCCACACTTCTTGCCAGCTCAGCTCCTGTGGCTGGGAGAAAGCGGGGAGGAAGGAGGTAAAGATCAGAGATTGAAGCAGGACAGGATATCCAGGGTCAGATGTAACTTTAGTGATTCTTCATTGAGGAGGCCAAGCAGTGGTTTTTGGGTGTGAGTTTTTATGACACACTACTTATTTGGGGCTAAATATGACATGCCCACGTATTTAAAAGCCCCAATCATTCATTATCCAGCACAAAGATGGTAATATACACATCTATTTAATATGGTATCAGCTGACATCTCAGTGATTTGAGGAACTTTAGAAAGGATCTGTCCTCCAAAATATCTCCTCATCCAGTTTGCCTTGATTAAGGAATCTCACCCTGAAGAGATGTATCCCTTAGGGTCAGTGGAGTGTTTGCTCTCTTTCACTCATATGGTCACCAGAAAACATGGGTTGATACCTACTGTGTACCAAGCCCCCGAAAAAAAAAATCTTTGCCTCTGCCTTCAGGAATCTTACTGTCTACTTGAAGAGATTATTACATGAGAAATCTGTGCTGTGGATGAGGAAGGGGGTCTAGAAAGTGAAGTACAGGGGCTTAGAGAGAAATTAAATGGGGGGCGGGGGCATTGACGGGGATAGGGGCAGGGGTGCTAACTTAGATTTTGAGTCAGAATGCCTCTCTGGAAGAATGTGCTTCTATCAGAGACCTGAAGGAGTGGTCCTTGGCCAGGCAAAAGAAGGGATGAGTTTAGAGCCATAGGAAAAAATGAGTGAACATTTGAGGCAGGAAGGAGCTAGGAGCTAGAGGGAGACCAGAGGGTCATAAGGAAGGGGCTGGGGAGTGTGGGATGGGGCTAGATCCTGCTGGGCTTCTGGGCCTGGCTAAGGACTTCTTAAATTCAGACCTAAGGACTTCCTCATTCATCCTACAGGCAATAGGAAACGCCTGAAGTAATAAAAGAATGACCTGTTTCCGCTCTTGTTTTAAAATATCATTCTACTCAAGATGTGGAAATTGTGTTGGAAATAGACAAGGTAGAAGCCCAGAGATCAGTTAGGAAGTGACTGAAAAAAATCCCGGGAGGTGCAAGGCCTTGAACTTGTGGACACATGAAAATGGATAGAAGTGGGTGAATTCAAGACACATTTCAAAAATGCAGTCAGTAAGATTCTTCTACTGCATTGTGGTTAAGCACCTCGGCTGTGGAGACAGACGCCCTGGGTTTGAATCCCTGCTTTGCTGCAGACTTGTCATGTGATCATGAGCAAGTCACTTAACTTTTCCAAGCCTTGACCTGACCTGTCCACTGGGCATGTTATTTAAAACAGAGAATACACTCGTGGTCTCTTAACACAGTGCCTAGTGGCACAGATCAAGCACTCATTAAATGTTGTTCTTTTGTTGAAATGCAGGGAGAGGTAACACTACAATTCAGTTATCACTTAATTAGCTCTTTGTTCTGAGTTAGTCTCCCCGATATTTTCCAGCTGCCAAATAAGAGAAGCAGAAACTGGGCAGAAGACGCCTGAATTCTGGGTGGAGGAAGACCAGGGCTGCATTAGAATCCCTTGTGAACTTGAAAACCATCAGTGTGTCCCCCTCTTCATGTTCCTCTTCTCCAGCTCACCCATAACCCCAGTCTTAAGCTTTTACTGCAAGGTCAGTTTTTCCAGTTTTTTCCCGTACTTTCTCCAAGTCCTCAGAAATTTCTGTAAGTCCTGCAGCCTAAAATACAGTCCAAGCCATGCTGAGGAGTAAGTAAGGTTACACTGTTGTGTTAATCTGCCATGAGCAGACATGCAACGGTGGTCACTGGGACCTTTGGTGCTTATTCTATAGCCTTGGCCTAGAGGGAAGAGAGACATGACCCAGAAGGGTAACAGCCGTCAGCAATGCCAACACTAAACTCTTAGCACTGACTGAAACAACAAAGGGTGAGAGAGAGAGAGAGAGAGAGTGTGTGTGTGTGTGTGTGTGTGTGTGTGTGTGTGTGTGTGTGTGTGTGATGGAGTCTCACTCTGTCACCAGGCTGGATTACAGTGGTGCCATCTCAGCTCACTGCAACCTCTGCCTCCTGGGTTCAAGTGATTCTCCTACCCCAGCCTCCTGAGTAGCTAGGATTACAGGCACATGCTGCCATGCCCAGCAATTTTTTTTTTTTGTATTTTTAGTAGAGACGAGGTTTCACCATGTTGGCCAGGATGGTCTCAATCTCTTGACCTCGCAATCTGCCCGCCTTGGCCTCTCAAACTGCTGGGATTACAGGTGTGAGCCACCACATCCAGCCAGGGTGGAATTACTTAATGTAGAATTTATCTTGCCACATATTTGTTAAACTCTTTCACCAGAGTGTTTGGTGCTGGCTGTTTATAATATAGATGTTTGACAAATCTCTTAAAACATGCAAAGCCATTTTCTTTCTTTCTTTTTTCAGAAAGTAATAATCATCTCTGTTCTATTCGAAGCAGAAAATTATATTTAATTAAGTAAAAATAAGATTAGAGAAGGAGTGTGTTGAAGACCCTTGGAAGAAAACCAATGAGTTGGTTGGCTCTGTCATTTTCCCACTGGTAATATTTTTTCAGCTCCACTGGTGGGAGTTGTAAAGTTTTCCATTTAGGCAGAGAGTGAACACCTTTGGTCATGGAAAGAAAGCCAGTCCTTTTGAGATATTCACTTGCCATGTGTGTGCCTTCTGAAGTATGAGTTGTATTTGCTGAGCAATTGAGTCTTCCCTGGGTTTCTGGGATCAGGTGCCTGCAGTTTGATAAAATAACCTCTAGATGGAGCTTTTGCACCTTTTGGTTGAGCTGGGTTGCCCGTGGGGCAAATCCCCGGTAATCTGAGCAGGATCAAAATAAACTTCGTTACTCCTTCTTATTACGTAAGTATTGTGTGTTTGTGGTGGGAACACTAGGAAATATAGATTTGCAAGTGGGAGAAAATAAAAATCACCGTGCAGAGGTAACCAGCATTACCATGCTGGAGAATAGCCTTCTGATCACTTTTTCTGTGTGTAATGAAAATGGTTTCATCCTCGAAATCCCCTTTTGTAACTTTTTTTCACTTAGTAAATTGTCACATCAATACAGCATACACCAATCAGTGTCACTAAATATTACAACACCTTAGTTTTATAATTAAAGAGTATCTCAGAACATACAGTAAGATGTATTTAACTCAGACCTTGTGATTAAATGTTTACATTATTTAAGATTTTTCACCATTATGAACAATACCAAGATGAAAACTCTTTTTTAGACAAATTTTGGCTCATGTCCACGATTCTCAGAGATGGAACTGGTGTTCGTTGAAAATGTATGCATTATGAAGTCCGCTGATATTGCCTGCTTAGAGCAGGACTCCCACCTGACTAGTAGGAGAAAATTTAATCACAAGGGTCCTTAAAGGTGGAAGAAGACCAAGGCAGATGAGGGAAGGTTGTGAGAAGAACTCAACCTGCCATTGCTAGCTTTGAAGATGAAGGGGAGACCTACTGATCGGGTAGGAGATGTGCTCTAAGTAGGCATTATTGGCAGGCTTAGTAATGCATATATTTTGAACTAAAATAACCCCAATATCATTAGGGGTTATTGGAAATCCAAAGTCTCAGGCCCCATCCCAGACCTACTGATTTAAAATCATGTTAAGATACGAAGTGATTTGTATACACTTTCAGAGACAGGGTCTTGGTCTGTTGCCCTGGCTGGAGTACATCAGCGCGATCCCAGCTCACCACAGCCTCCTGAATAGCTGGGACTGCAGGTGCACACAACACACTTGGCTAGCTTTTCAATTTTGTTGTAGAGACAGAGTCTCACTATGTTGCCCGTGCTGGTCTCTAACTCCTGGGCTCAAGCAATCCTCCCACCTCAGCCTCCCAAAGTGCTAGGATTATAGGCATGAGCCACAGTGCCTGGCCAAAGCCCAACTCTTAAAGCACCTGTATTCATTTGCAGTCTCAACCCTGTGTCAGACTACCTGTTTCCCTAGACTCTTGCCAGTAATGGGCATTTATCCTTCATAAAAATTATTTTCCAGATGAACGTAGCAACGTGTTATTTGATTTTGTGTATCTTTGGTTACTATTAATGTTAAATTGGTTTTCGTATTAGAGTCTCATATTGCATTTGTGTATCTTCATTTGTGAACTGCCTATTCATGGTCATTCCCATTTTTATCATTTCACTATTTTTCCAAATGAGAATAATTTTTGTTTTGTTACTATATTTTTCTGCTCACTGTAAAAACAATTAGAAAATAACAAAATTAAAAGAATGTGATACTCACCTTTTATGTTTGCTCAAAATAAAATTATATTAAGGATGGCATTTTATGGCCTACTTTTTAAACAGCATATTAAGATACAATTTATGGCCAGGCACGATGTCCTGTAATCCCAGCACTTTGGTAGGCCAAGGCGGGCGGATCACCTGAGTTCAGGAGTTCGAGACCAACCTGGCCAACATGGTGAAACCCTGTCTCTACTAAACAACAAAAATTAGCCAGGTGTGGTGGTGGGTGTGTGTGTTTGAGGTATGAGAACCACTTGAACCCGGGAGGCAGGGGTTGCAGTGAGCCAAGATTGTTCCCTGAACTCCATCCTGGGTGACAGAGCGAGACTCCGTCTCAAAAAAAACAAACAGAAAAAAACAGGTATAATTTATACATCATCCAATTCACTGATTTCATTTTTTTAGTATATTTATATTCACAGGGTTGTGCAACTCTCACCATAGTATAACTTTAGAACATTTTCATCACTCCCAAAAGTAATCCTATACCCATTAGCAGTCACTCCCTATTTCCGCTCACCCTCCTCGGGCCTGTGAAACAACTAATCTACTCTCTGTCTCCATACATTTGCCTATACTGGACATTTCATATAAATGGAATCATTTAACGAATGGTCTTTTGTGACCGACTTCCTTCACTTAATATATCTTTTCAAGGATCATCCATTTTGTAGCATGTATCGATACTTCGTTGCTTTGTATTGCCAAACTATATTCTGTAGTGCGGATATACCACATTTTATATATATCTGTTCATTAGGTGATGGATATTTGAGTTACGTCCATTTCGGGGGTTGGGCTATCATGAATAATGCTGCTACGAACATGTGGACATATGTTGTCATTTCTCTTAGGTATATATCTAAAATTGGAATTACTGGATCATGTGGTAATTCTACATTTAACTTTTTGATACAGCTGCAGACTTTTCCAAGGCAGCCGCACCATTTTACCTGACCACTAGTAGTATGTAAGATTTCCAGCTTATCCACACCCTTGCCAACATTTGTTATCACCTGTGTATTTGATTAGTGGTTTTGATTTGCATTTCCCTAATGACTCTTGATGTTGAGCATCTTTTTCTGTGCTTATTGACCATTTGTATGTTTTTTCCTGGAGAAATGTCTATTCAAACCTTTTGCCCATTTTTAATTGAGTTTTCATTTTATTATTAAAGTATAAGAATACTTCATAGGTTCTGATACAAGTCTCTTATCAGACATGATTTGTACATTTTTTCTCCCATTCTGTGGATTGCCTTTTCACCAACTTGATGGTATCATTAGCAGCACCAGGGTCTTGAATTTTGATAAAGTCCCATTTATTTATTTTTCCTTTTTCACTTGTGCTTTTGGTGTTACACCTATAAAACCATCACCTAACCCAAGCTCATGAAGTTGCTCCTGTGTTTCCTTCTAAGAGTTTTAAAATCTTAGCTCTTATAGTCAGGTCTATATATTAGTGTCCTATGGCTTTTACAACAAATTAACAAATTTGGTGGCATCAGATAACAAATTTATTATCTTACAGTTCCAGAGATCAGAAGTCCAAAATGGGTCTCACTAGACTGCCATCAAGGTGTTGGCAAAACCGCAGGCCTTGTGGAGGCTTTAGGAAAGGATCCCTACTTCTGGCTCTTTCCAGCTTCTGGAGGCTGCCACATTCCTTGGTTCCCAGGTCCCCTTCATCTTCAAAGCCTGCAATGGCAGGTTGAGTTCCTTTCACAACCTTCCCTCCTCTGCCTGGCCCTTCCACATTTAAGGAACCTTGTGATTAATTGTGCCTACCTTGATAATCTAAAATAATCTCTGTATTTTAAAGTCATCAGAGTAGCCATGTTAATTCCATCTGCCACCTTGTTTTCCCTTTGCTATGTAATGTAACATATTCACAAATTTCAGGGATTAGGACGTGGACATCTTGGTGGAGACATTATTCTGCCTACCATGATCTATGATTTATTTGTTTAATGGACAAGTAAAAATTGTATATATTTATGGTGTGCCACATGATGTTTTGGGTTTATGTACACATTGTGACTGAGTAAATCAAGCTAATTCACTTATGTATTATAAGAACACTTAAAATCTCTCTTAGCAGTTTCCAAGTATATAATATATTATTATTAATTATAGTGACCATGATGTAGAATCTTTGATGTGTTTTGAGTTAATTTGTGTGTGTATGTGGGAGGAAGTAGGGGTCTATCCTCATTCTTTTGCGTGTAGATATCCACTTATCCTGGCACCATTTGTGGAAAAGACTATTCTTCCCTTATTGATGTAGCCTACTTTTGTCTTAAAATGTAACATCAAAATGTTGTTAGTATCAGCAGTCAATGGCATGGTCACTCTAAAGGATTGGATAGGAGTTCACTTTTTGGATATACCATAGTGTATCTAGGACCTCCCCTACGGTTAGACATTGAGTCCAACCTTTCACAGTTAACATTGTCTTTAAGGGTTTTGTGTTTTTAAAAATATATTGTGGACCTGAGCCCTTTCCCACTATAAATGTTGTCAATTATCTTTGAAATCATTCACTTCTTTCCACCATCCCAGTTTAAGCTCTTAGCCCTTTTCATCTGGACTACAGCCATAATCTTCTAACTGGTCTTCCAGCTTCCATTCTTGCCTCCCTCTAATCCCTTCGCCATACAACAGAAGTAGCCTTTGCAAAATGCAAATCTGGTCCTATAACTGCTGCCCTTGCCCTTAAAGTAGATTCTCATTAAGAGAAAGAAAAAATCTCTGCAACATGGCCCCTCCCTTTGTCCTCAGCCCATCTGATACTGGGCTGGCTCCCCCTTGGTTGCTTCTATTCAGCCATACCCCCTTCCTCTCAAGTCATCAGGAAGGCAAGTATTGCTCCTCTCACAAGCCAATCTCTCTAATGAGGACAATCTCCCTATATTACCATATATCTTTCCTTTGTAATTCTTTTCACATTGCAATTCTAAATGTATTTGTTGGGTTTCATTAATGTTGGCATCCTGCACCAGACAAAAAGTTCCGTAATGATAAGAATTGAGTCTGTTTTTCCTGGTTCAAGCAGATGATAAGTACTGATATTTTCAGTAAATGGACAAGTGAAATACATTCTCTACTGTGTATTTGGCTTTAAAAAAATTTTTTTTTATTTTTTTATTTTTATTTTTGAGACAGAGTCTCACTCTGGCCCAGGCTGGAGTGCAATCACAATCACGTGTTCTCGACTCACTGCAACTGCCTCCTAGGTTGAAGTGATTTTCACACCTCACCCTCCCAAGTAGCTGGGTTTACAGGTACATGCCACCATGCCCAGCTAATTTTTGTATTTTTAGTAGGGATGAGGTTTCACCATGTTCAGGCTGGTCTTGAACTCCTGACCTCAACTGATCCACCTACCTCGGCCTTCCAAAGTGCTGGGATTACAGACATGAGCCACCGTGCCCAGCCTATTTGTCTTTTAATTCTGTTTATGATATTTTCAACTTACAGAATTTTAAAATATATATACAAATATATAAATATTTTCTTTTGTGTTTTTGTCTTCATTATAGCTCTGCTTAAAAATCCTTCCCCACATTAAGAATATAGAAATATAGACACATTTCCTTTTACAGTTTTCATACTTCCGTTGTTTGCATAAAACCTATAATCCACCTGCAATTTATTTTGTCATTGATATAAATTAGAGAAATAACTTTACTCCTCAAGTGGCTGGCCACATTCCCAACCCTTTGCCTTCCTTTCCTTGATGATTTGAAGTGACTCATTGATTGCACACGAAATCCCTCTACATGTTTAGTCAGGTAAATGATCTGTCTCTTCTGTCGCTGGTTGTTTTTGCCACTGTTTTCATTATTACGGCTTCGTGCTATGTTTTAGTATCTGACAGTTACCTTTTGTAAGAAAATAAGATTTCATAAAATAATACTTTGTGCAATTTGAATTAAGGTTTTCTAGACAGATAATTATTGCTTGAAGCAGTGGTTCCCAAACCAGCAGGCATCCACAGGGCTTGTTATAACACAAATCAATGGGCTTAACCCCCAGAGTTCCTAATTCATAAGTCTGGGATGAGGCCTGATAGTTGCATTTTAAAACAAGTTCCCTGATGATGCTGATCCAGGGACCATAGTTGAGAACCTCTGCCTTAGAGCAAATACTTGAAACAAAGAATACAGTCAACATGAGAATGGTTCCAATGCATTGTCTGAACTAGCTCCCCTGTGTGCTGTAAGAGTTAGGATGGGCCTGTATGGTTTTTTTGAGCATCTCCCTGATTGTGTCTCTGGCCCTTCTCCTGGCCCCACTTTAAATCCCTGAGCCCAGTTGAGCCAAGTAACATAACCCTCCTTTCAGTGAACCTGCAAGGTGCTCAGCCTAACTGCATGGCTGCCCTGATAGTTACAAGTGCTGATCCAGCCAGGCTTTGGCCCCTTTCAGATAGAAATCAGAGAAGGGTAAGGATGCAGTGACTTGCTTTGTTGTAGATTCTCATGATTGTCCTTATCTTTGAAGAGAAGGGAGAGCAATCACCAGAAATGCAGCAGAGAACTCTTCTTTGCTTTCCTCATTTCCCACCTCTGTGGCTCTTTAATGGCTTCTTGGTTTTGTACAAAGGGAGAGTTAATTACTAACACCTGCTTCTGCTTCTCCTTTCCTGCATGGCCAGCTCCCTGACTGATAGCCAGCTGCTTTCTTGACAAGAGACTTTTTCCACCTATTCCACACAATGTCAGCATATGTAAAGAAATAAACATAGTTTGAACACTTTAGCCATACCATATGGACCTCTGTGGAGAAACCTGCATCTTCCTTCTTCCTTCATAAAGAATACACATTCTTTGCAGGAGGTAAAATAGCCTTAGAGGTGACATCTGCTATGGTTTACTCTTCTTTATTAGTAAGAGGTAGTGCACAATTATATTTTACATGGGATGTGTGGTTTTAGGCATCATATGTTCATTTTCCGTATTTTTTGATACTCTCGTTTGTACCACTAACATTTTCTCTTTTTAGGTCACCCAAAAGTTAGGTTGAAATTATTTGAATTTCCTTGAGGAATATACCTTCTGGGAATTTCTCCTCTGCGTTTTCTGTTTTCTGGTATCTAAGATGAACCATTAGAAGACCTCCCGTCATAAGCAGATTAGAGTTTGCTATAAAGCCCTCCTTTGCATCCGTTCTCTTGTTTGGCATTCATTGAATCAGGCTATCTGTGTGCTGACTCTTGGGGCCACAGAGAAAAAGATGCATCTCTTGTTATGGAGGGCTCACTCTGTATTGATGAAGACAACACATTAATTAACAATTACAACACATCATGATAAATATTACACTGGAGATAATCAGAGGATATCTGGAGACAGAAGCCAGGGCAGTGCCCTCAGCTTGACAGGGAGCCTGATGAGATATAACTCCTAGAAAAAGTGACATTTAAGGGAATCATTGGGAGCAAGGAGGACTTGTGCATGGCTTCATTTCTCTTCTTAACTATTATTACAACCATTATTTCATTTTATTTACTTTTTTTTTTTTTTTTTTTTGAGATGGAGTCTAGCTCTGTCGCCCAGGTTGGAGTGCAGTGGTGTGATCTTGGCTCACTGCAACCTCTGCCTCCTGGGTTCAAGCGATTCTCCTGCCTCAGCCTCCCGAGTAACTGGGATTATAGGCATGCACCACCACGCCCGGCTAATTTTTATATTTTTAGTAGAGACGGGGTTTCACCATGTTGGTCAGGCTGGTCTCGAACTCCTGACCTCATGATCCACCTGCCTCAGGCTCCCAAAGTGCTGGGATTACAGGCCTGAGCCACTGCACCTGGCCGCCTTTTTTTTTTTTTTAAACGAGTCTCTGTCACCCAGGCTGGAGTGCAGTGGCAGGATCTTGGCTCACTGCAACCTCTAACTCCTGGGTTCAAGTGATTCTCTTGTCTCAGCCTCCCGAGTAGATGGGATTACAAGCACGTGCCACCACACTCAGCTAATTTTTGTATTTTTAGTAGAGATGGGGTTTCACCATGTTGGTCAGGCTGGTCTCGAACTCCTGACCTCATGATCCACCTGCCTCAGGCTCCCAAAGTGCTGGGATTACAGGCATGAGCCACTGCACCTGGCCTCCTTTTTTTTTTTTTTTTTAAACGAGTCTCTGTCACCCAGGCTGGAGTGCAGTGGCAGGATCTTGGCTCACTGCAACCTCTAACTCCTGGGTTCAAGTGATTCTCCTGTCTCAGCCTCCCGAGTAGATGGGATTACAAGCACGTGCCACCACACTCAGCTAATGTTCGTAATTTTAGTAGAGATGGGGTTTCACCATGTTGGCCAGGCTGGTCTCGAACTCCTGACCTCAAGTGATCCACCCACCTCAGCCTCCCAAAGTGCTGCGATTACCAGCGTGAGCCACTGCGCCCAGCCTCATTTTATTTACTTTTTGAATAGCAATACATTCACATGTTTGACAGTTCAATAAGTATGAAAGGGTATATAGAAATGCTGTCCACCAGTGTGGCTATTTTTCTAATAGCCACATTTTAAAAAGTAAAATGAAACAAGTGAAATTAATTTTAATACTATATTTTTTTAACCCAACATATTCAAAATATTATTTCAACATCAACCCAACATAAAAATATATGAATGAGATATTTTACATTCTTTTGCTTATACCAAGTTTTCAAATTGTATGAAGTGCATTTTACACTTACAGGATATTACAATTTGGAATAGCCGCATTTCCAGTGCTCAGTATTTGTGCATGGCTAAGTGGCTGCAGTATGAGACAGCACAGATGTATAATAATAAATTTTCCTCGCATTTCTGTCCTGAAGCAACTCAGTTTCCCTCCCTAGAGGTAACCATTGTTGGTAGTCTCCAGTGTGTTCTTCCACAGATAGCACATAGACAAGCAATTATAAACATGCATATGCAAATAATAGGATGGTAATCACACCTCTGAGCATCTTACTTTTTTCACTCAATAAATCTTGGATATGTTTCATATCATTACATAGGAAGCAAACTCAATTTTTTGTTGTTGTTGCTTCAGGGTACCTCATTTTATGGATGTCACAAATTATTCAATTAGTCTCTATTGATGGGCATTTAGGTGGTTTCCAATATTTGGTGCTTATGAACAATTTGGGCTAAGTTTTTAGAGACAAAAAGCAACAGGAGCTAGCTCAGTGAGGATGGGGGAATGACCTTTCTAGAGAAAGGGAGTACCAGGAAAGAAGGTATGGAGCACAAGGACACATGGTATTTGAGATAATTTCTTGTGGCTTAAGATGGCTGGAGAATGAAGTGTGTGTGAACACAAGACAGGAGGAGGAGGCTGGAAGGGCAGGAAGAGAACGTATTGCAAACAGTCTTGTAATTGTCATATGAAGGGATTTGGACTTCATCCCAAAGGACACTCATCAAAAGATTTTAAGGAGCAGAGGAGTAAAAATAAATGTTTGAATTAATAAATATATGGAGGAGGCGGGACAAATCATCCATACTGCTGAATTCTGGTTAAATGCAGAAGGCATGAGAGAAACAGAAAATCACCATTAGAACACTGCAGTAATAATTACTGCAGGCAAGATCTACAGATGAGTATTAAAATTAGCAGAGAAAACAGGACATTTGCATAGCCTCAAAGTATCTCCTCTAAAATATTTATGAATTTGTGATGGTTTTAACATATGTTGGAATATTCTTTGATACTCCCCCTCCAGGAAGGAGATCTTAATTCTATGGGATTTACTGATTCATTTCTAATGAATAGGCTATGGAAAAGGAAAAATACTATCTTTACAGTGGAGAAACCTGGCAGATACCACCTGAACCACATGGTCAAGGTTAACATCATCAGTGGTAAGTCATATTGAAATAGAATACCCCTGACGAATGTGATAAGAAGGGCATTTTGCTTCTATAGTATTCTTCGTAAAAACTCATTAACCCCTGTCTAATCATGAAAAAAACGTTAGAAAAAAACAAATTGGGCCGGGCACAGTGTCTCACGCCTGTAATCCCAGCACTTTGGGAGGCCGAGGTAGGCGGATCATGAGGTCAGGAGATGGAGACCATCCTGGCTAAGATGGTGAAACCCCATCTCTACTAAAGATACAAAAGATTAGCTGGGTATGGTGGCGGGCACTTGTAGTCCCAGCTACTCGGGACGCTGAGGCAGGAGAATGGCGTGAACCCGGGAGGCGGAGCTTGCAGTGAGCCGAGATTGTGCCACTGCACTCCAGCCTGGGCAACAGAGCAAGACTCTGTCTCAAAAAAAAAAACAAAAAAACAAAAAAAACAAATTGAAGGATAATCTAAAAAGTACCTAAGCAGTAGTCCTGAAGAGCATCAAGGTCATGAAAAACAAAGAAAGGCTGAGAAATGGTCACAGACCAGGAGAGACCACAGAAATGTGATGACTAAATGTAATTGTGGTCTCCTGGATTGGGTCCTGGAATAGAAAAAGTACATTTTGGAGAAAAACTGGGGAAATGTGAGTCTGTAGTTTAGTTAATATTATTGTGCCAATGTTAACATCTTAGTTTTCATAAATGTATCATAGTTATGTAAGATGTTAACATTGTGAAGAGATGCCATGATATTCTGTGCTGTCTTTGCAATTTTTCTGTAAACCTAAAGTTATTTCAAAAGAAAAAAGTTAGAAAAAAATCAGGAGAGTGACATGATTGGAGTCACATTTTAGAAGATCCCAGTGGCTGCACTGGGAAAGAGGCCTGGAAGGAGAAGAGAACAGAACAAGAAGGTTGCTACATAAAGTCAAGAAGAGATGATGGAGGGCTGGATGGGAGCAGGGCAGCAGGAATGTGGGGCCATAGACCTGTTGGGGAGCTCTCTAGAAGGAAACTCAATCAGACCCAATGATGGTTTGGATGAAAAAGCGAGGGAGTGGGAAGACCCTGTTGTCAGCCCCTGGGAATTATATGGATAATGATGTCATTTACTGAGATGGAGGAAACAGGAGGAAGAACAGGTTTCAGGGAAACACTAGCTCAGTTTTAGACCTGTTGAATTTGGAGTACATTTGAGGAATGCAAGTATCCATTAGGCAACTGGGTATATCGACCTACAGGTCAGGAGGGAGACCTGGCTACAGATGGTTGTAGAGAATCACAGATGTGGGCCGGGTGTGGTGGCTCATACCTGTAATCCCAGCACTTTGGCAGGCCAAGGCAGGTGGATCACCTGAGGTTGGGAGTTCGAGACCTGCCTGACCAACATGGAGAAACCCTGTCTCTACTAAAAAATACAAAATTAGCCAGGCATGGTGGTGCAAGCCTGTAATCCCAGCTACTCGGGAGGCTGAGGCAGGAGAATTGTTTGAACACAGGAGGCAGAGGTTGCAATGAGCTGAGGTTGCACCATTGCACTCCAGCCTGGGCAACAAGAATGAAACTCCATCTCAAAAAATAAAAATAAAAAAAGAGTCATGGATGTGTAAAGCATTGGGGCCATTGGAAGGATAGGATGGCCCAACAAGGGCAGATAGAGAGGAGACAGGGCCTAGAATATAGGAATTTAGGAGCTAGGCCCAGGGTGTGTCAAGGAGTCCAGAGCAATGGTAACAAGGCAGTGCTGTCATTAAGAGTCAGGCTCTGGACAAAGGCTTTTAGGGTCAGAATGCCGACTGCCACCTACCGCTGTGTGACATGGAGCAAATTATTTAATAAGACTGTTGTCATGGTTACATGAAACTATTTTAAAAGTTTTTAAAATAATTTTAGTAATACTGGGCTCATAGTGCTCAACGAATGTTGGCTGATTAGAGGCAAAGGAAATCTAGAGCCATAGCCCTGGAAGCTATGGAAAGAGAGTGGTTCAAACAGGAGGACATACGTTTCACACCCATTAAGATGGTTATTGTCAAAAAAGTGGAAAATAATAAGTGTTGTCAAGGAGGTAGAGAAATTGAACCTTCATGCATTGCTGGTGAGAATGCAAAATGGTGTCACCACTATGGAGAACAGTTTGGTAGCTTCTCAAAAAGTTAAACATAGAATTACCGTATGATTCAGTGATTCTACTCCTAGATATATATCTAAAAGAATTGAAAGCAGGGATTCAAACAGATACTTGTACAGCCATGGTCATAGAAGCATTATGCGTAACAGCCAAATGGTAGAAACAATCCAAGTGTCCATTAACAGATGGATGAATGAACAAAATGTGGTATATCCATACAATGGATATTGCTTAACCTTAAAAAGGAATGAAGTTTTGATACCTGTTACAGAGTGGATGAACCTTGGGAACATGCTCTGTGAAATAAGTCAGACACAAAAGGACAAATACTGTAGTGTATGATTCCACTTATATGAAGTACCTAGACCAGGAAAACTCATGGAGACAGACAGTAGCATAGAGGTTGCCAGGGGCTTGGAGGAGGGGAAATGGAGAGGTAGTGTTCAGTGAATACAGAGTTTCTGTTTGGGATAATGGAAAAGTTCTAGAAATGAATAGTGGTGATGGCTGCACAACATTGTGAATGTACTTAACGCCACTCAATTGTATACTTAGTAATGGCCAAAATGATAAATTTATGTTGTCTATATGTTACCACAATATTAAAAGGAGGACATGGTTACAGAGAAGTAAATGAGTTCTTAGTGATTCTCTTTTGAATTTTGTGACACAGGGGCCATTGGTGACCTTTCCAGAGCCCTTGCAGTAGAGCAGACAGGTCAAAAGATTGCAGTGGATTGAAGGGTGATTGAGAAGTGTCTAGACCAGGGGCTGGCAAACTACTGTCAAATCTGGCCGCCTGTCTGTTTTTACAAATAAAGTTTTATTGGAACACAGCTACACCCATTCATGTGTGTGTTGTCTGTGGTTTCCTTTGTGCTATAATGGCGGCGTTGAGTAGTTGCTACTTGAGCCCACGTGGTCTGTAAAACCTAAAATATTTACCATCTGGCCTTTTACAGAAAGTTTCCCAACCCCTGGCTAGACAACACTCCTGGTCTTTCAAGAACTTTGGCTTTCTTAAATAATTCCTGCATTTCTCATGAGGTTACTCGGTAGATAACTTTGCCCCTTTAGTTAGGTAGCAGAACAGAACCAAAGCTGAACAGTAACAATGACTAAGAAGGAGGAAGAGGAAAAATTCATTCCTTTCTTTCCTTAACTGGAGATATTATCCTCACTATACCTTTTTTTCTCTTACAGCCCTGTAAAAAGGAATGAAAGTTCTTCCCTCCCTGTCCCCCACCAAAAAACTCCCCACTGGTAAATGGTCATGTGACTGGTGATAATAAACTTTCTGAGATGGCTACGAACTGCAGTTAGGTTTAAAGTTTCCTCATTAATGCAGGAAAATGCTCATAACCTGAGGCTTTTCAAGTGTTTATTAATTTACTTTCTGGGGCTGGCTGCTGATACTTATTTCAGATCAAAGAGAAAGCCTGTGTCTTTAGTAGTTACTGTGTGCCAGGAACTATGCCACATTTTGTGCCTAGGTGAGCTCATTGATAGTCATCATAACCATAGGATGGCATTTCCCTATTTCACAGGAGGGGAGACTAGGGCTCACCAGGGTTAAATACTCACCCAGAGACACACATGAAGAGTTTGAAGTACAACTGGAGTTTAACCCACACCTGCCTAATTCCAGGACCTCAGGGTGTTTCCACTGCACCGTGCAGTCATCCTATCCTCTGTGGCCACCAAGAGCCTCAGAATAGCACCTTGAGCCCACTCTAGGCAGAATACAGTACTTGATGGGTTCTAATCCATTTTAAACCATGGTCTCTGCTATTTCAGGATAACAGGTGACCATGTAAAGTGTATCTCAAGTGCATTGTAGGCTTTAGGAAGACCCTTTTCCCAGCCTGCTCCCCATGCTCCCAAGCCCCACTTTGATGGTCTATGTGAGTCTACTCAGAGGTAGCTCTTATTTCTTTAAAACCATCCTGCATTTCAGTGTACTCTGACAGCACTGTCTGACACTTGGGATTCACTTGTTCCCATGTTACCACCTATTTTTACATTTTCTGCAATAATTCCTCAAGCTCTTGGTTAGGCATAGTGACCCAGGGATGCAGCAAGAGGGGGATATAATGGCTTCCACAGTTCCCATCCGTTTGTGTCTATACAACTGGTGCACAAACACACATCACCCTTGTGACTTCTGTCCCTGTTGAGGCTGCCCTTGATAATGCAGCTTTTAACTGCCTAGATTTCTGCAACCATCAAATCAGATCTAAAAGGGAACTCAGAAGTCATTCACCCAACCTTTGTATAAGTGAGAAAAATAAACTGCAGCCCAGAGCGGACTGGCAACTTGTCCAGGCAAACACAGCTTGTCAGTCCCAGATCCTGGACTAGGAAGGCCCTGGCTCTCCCCGTTCCCAGCCCGGAGCTCATCCTGCTGCAATTCACTGCCTCCTCCCTGCCTCAGTGGACGAGGTAGGGGCTGTCCCCCTGCATGTGGCGTGCTTACCTTGGAACCCTTTTCATGAATGAGACCAGATGCAGAACTCCACATTGATCATTTCTGTCCCTCCCCTTTCTGCTTTCTGTTAAAGGCAGCCCCCCAGCTCCCAGCTGGCTCCTGTCCCCTCCCCCAGCCGGGAGAAGTTATTACATGAAGAGATCAGCTTACCAGTTTTCTTCAGAACAGAGGCTGAGCTCGAAGCGCCGGGCAGTACAGTGAGGGAGAGCCGAGGGAACCAGCGCGGTGCCTAGCGGAACTCCAGGGCTGGAATCCCGAGACACAAGTGCATCTGCTAGCTGTTAGCACTTGGCAGACGGAGTTCTCCTCTAGGGTAGTTCTAACTTTGGGTAATAATGTTTGTCAGCTACCTGATATTAACATTGCTCCACGTTCAAACAGCAGTGTTAGCAAGACCTGGGGGAGAGGTAAGCCAAATAAAATATCTTGTCAGAAGTTGTATTTTTTTTCAGCATTATATTTCCTCTTCTATCTACCAAGAGGGATCAGGGAATGGAATTTTATGGGGTGCAAAGAGTAATGCTTTATATTACTTTTGTAGGCTTCTCTTGCCTTTTCTTATATGAAGACTTCTTTTCTTCTTGAAGAATTTTATACTTTCTAAAATGTCATTTTGAAGCTGTCTGTGCAGTTGCCACACTGGGAAGTTGCTCTGGCCTTGGTGACAGATGCCTGTAGCACGCACGCTTCTCCTGCTGTAGCAGAAAAAAAAAAAGATGTGCCATGTCAGATTTCGTTAGGGACTGTTACCTTTTGAGAATTTTTCTCCAGTGCTGCAGAGAGAATGTACATGCTAGGGGAATTGCTTTTCTTCCCTGCTTTTGCAACACTTCTCTCTTTTTTTTTTTCTTTGATGTGCTTAGAAAAATCTGTGCTTAACTTTCTATCATAGATTTGAAGAGGGAGAATGATATACAACAGGGCTAGGAGTGTACCCAGATGTACCTTAGCAGGGAGACATATTTTAAGTTCATGAGGATGATTTATTATTACTGGTTTAGTTCATGTGATTGTTGGGTACAGTTTTTTTTTTTTTTTAACATCAGTGATACCTCCTGGAGTCAGTTTTTGATGCAGGCAAAGAGATTGGGATAGATGATCATTGAGTCCAGAGAGGGAAGCACCTTGGTGTATCCACCCTCACCTGCAAACAAGCCTGCAACGTATTTCCCTCATCCACTCCTTTCCCTCCTTACCCTGATGCCTGAGTAACGAAAGGACAGCCTTTCTCCTGCATCCATCTTCGTCTTTGAAAAGCCAAATGAAAAGTGTATCTCCTAAAAAGGCCATGAGGCCACTTCACAGCTTTGCCTTTTGTTAGCCTTGTCAGGGACCAAGCAGGCTCTGAAAGCCTAATGTAATTACTTTCCCTTGTCTAAGAAGAGTGGAAGTGGGAGTGCTCCCAAGCCCACGGCTGCAAGGCTAGCTGTGGTTTCAGCAGGCTTGTTGCTCTGTTCAAAACAGACATGCAGCTCAGAGACATGCAGCAACGGGTCACTTGTTGTAGGCTTTTCACTTATTAGTTACTCATGTCCTCTGCTCTGTAGACATTTTCTGGGCCTGTGGGGGGATTGAGCCCTTGAATGGGAGCAGGAGGAACTGAATGGGTGAGTGATGCTGGAAGCTGAAAGCAGACCATTGCCCTCTAGTTGTAGTTGAAGTTCGCAATTTCCCTGTTGATTTTTTTCGTGTGTAGAGTGAATGACAAATGGGCTGGCCTCACTCAGCCTGGAGCATTTAAGCAGGCGAGAGGAGAGCTCATATGGAAAATATTTCTATCACCGCTGCATGCACATATGGTCTGGGGAGACCCCCGAACTGAGCAAATCACAGTGCTCCAGCAGCCCCTCAGTGGTGTGCCAATTATTCTTATTAACAGCAAGCAAAGGGCAGGCTTTAGTTACCTGCACACAGCTGACTCGTGGGGAAGGCCACGCCGGAATCTGTGTGCCCCTAGCCTTGTGTCACATGCAGAGTGGCAAATGGCTCTGCTTCACCTGACAATCAGCAAAGCAGATGAAAAATGAAAGGGATTATACAGGCTCACCCAAATCTTGGTGCTTTTCAGACAGTGCTCAGCGTTTGAGAGAGGAAGGCAGAGGTTTTGTCTTATGAGTTAAAAGTATGTGTGCTTAACATGAATAGCTAGAAAACCCGATCAGAGGTAGTGAGATGCCTGCCCTCCTGCCCCTTTGTTCCACTCTGCTTTGCTAAGTAAAGATCCTCTTGGGCCTCTTCCTCTTTTCTTTCTTGCTTTCCCTCTTTCCCCTAGTGTGTGCATGTGTGTGCATGCGTGTGTGAGTGCGTGTGTGTTTCTGTGCTGTTGGCTCCAGAACGCCTGAGCTCCTAGGAAATTATACAATTAGGATTCCTTTTTCCTTCTTGGAAATGAAATGATGAGGAAGGAGCATGAGTATGAGTAGCCCCCACCTCTTAAAAAGAATGTAGTTTATATAGAGCTTTGAAGAATGTGGCATTTATTTATAACAGCCTCTTTTTTATTGTCGTGTTACTTGCAAAACTTACCCATAAACATGTGGCGTCGTCACTAAGTCACCAGGATTTTCCTTTTCTCTGCCAGCTGGTTTTCTTGCAGGTTTTAATTATCTTCCCTTTGGATGTTCCTAAAAACACATGAGGAGAAGGAAGAATGGGTAAGAAAGCGTCATACACCTGGGGGCGCTTGGAGGGCTGTGTTCTCCACGTGGGGCTGGAAGCCAAGCGGCACACTCTGGGAAGCAGTTTACAGTCAGTTTTCTAGGGTGTGAGGTCCTTTCAGATAAGCAGGACCTGGCAGGTGGGGAGAGGAGGGCTGTGATGCAAAGCAAGCCTTGTTTGGCGTCCTGTGGCTGGCACTGTCAGTGCTGGTGACTGTGGTCCAAGGACAGAACAACCTGGTATGGTGTCAGTGCATGGGTTGGAGGACAGACACAGAAAAGAACTGTGCCTTCTTTAATTTTCCCATTGCCAGAGCATTAAACTCAGAACAGTGAGATCATGAGAATCCCTTTTGTCTTAGTCAAGGTTAGGGTGGCAGTCGTGTACACTTGTACAGATGGGGCGTATCCCCGAAAAGACTGTAAAGGACTTTTAAAGTCAAGCTGGACTTTTGAGGCATTTGTCAGCGTGGGGAGCGTGCCAACGTGCAGCTTCTTTGCAGGATGCAGCAGAATGGCGGGGAAGGGGAGGTGGGAATGGGAGGCTTGCATTTTCTTTCTTGAACTTGGACTTACCTTCTCAGATAAGACCAATGAGACATTGTTATATGTAGGGACAGGGAGGGAGATGCAACTAGAAATCTGCTACATTCCATATTTGGAATAATATGATAAATTCTGCAAAGTGTGGTCAAAAAGATGTTCTTTAATTTTCTTATTTTTGAGACAGAGTCTTGCTCTGTCGCCCAGACTGGAGTGCAGTGGCACAATCTCGGCTCACTGCAAGCTCCGCCTCCCGGGTTCACGCCATTTTCCCACTTCAGCCTCCCAAGTAGCTGGGACTACAGGTGCCTGCCGCCACGCCCGGCTAATTTTGTTTTTGTATTTTCAGTAGTGATGGGGTTTCACTGTGTTAGCCAGGATGGTCTCAATCTCCTGACCTCGTGATCCGCCCACCTCAGCCTCCCAAAGTGCTGGGATTACAGGCGTGGATGTTCTTTAATTTTGACGGTACAGTATGGCAAAACCTATCAAAATGAAAAATAAATATCTTAGCTGCTGATGGGTACAGACAAGGTTTCTTTTCATGGTGATGAAAGTGTCTTGGAATTAGGTAGTGGTGATGGTTGCACAATTTTGTGACTATCCTAAAAACTACTGAACCATATCCTTTAAAAGAGCAATTTTATGGCATGTAAATTATATCACAGTTTTTTACATTAAAAATAAATAAATGTCTTTTGGATCCAGATTTTCCATTTCTAAGACTTTTTATCATATAGGTCTACTCTGAGTGTGTAAAATGTTCTATGAGCCACCTGTCATAATTAGGTCCTTTCCATCCTACTGTCCTAGTGATAAGGCATGCTGTGCATTTATTCAGAAAGAATGAGGTAGCTCTAGATGTGTAATGAAATGACTACCAGGATATGCTTTTAGGTAGGAAAAGCAAATTGAATGTGCATAAAATGCTCCCATTGTGTAAAATGTGTTATCGACTATAATCACCATTGCAAATGCTACCAAGTGTATTAACCCTGTGCTGAAAAAAGAAAGGTGAAAAGACCAGATCTTTGTATTTGATGAGCTTATACTCTAAAAGGGGCACAGAATACAAACAGTGAATGATCATGCAATAAGGGTCTCTCATTAATTGCAAGAGCAATGGGAAGCTACCTAAGAAAGCAAAGAAAGATTCCACAAATGATGACATATTTGAACTGAGGCTTGAAGGGCTGTGTGTTGGGGGTCTTCAAGATAACCCCTAAGATTCAATTATCTGTCGTGATTCAGTGACTTAGCATACATTGGCAATCACAGCTATGATTTATTACAGTGAAAGTATACGAAGAAAATCAACAAAAGGAAAAGGTTCCTGGGGTAAAGTCTGGGGGAAACGAGATGGAAGCTCCCGAGGTTTTTTTTTCCCAGGGAAGGCACGCAGGACCCACTTACTTCCCCTAGCAATGGGTTATGACAACACATGGGAAATGTTGCCAGCTAGGAAGCTTGTTAGAGGCCTAGAGCCCAGCATCTTTACTGGGGCTGACCACATGCACACCCTCTGCCTGCCAGCTAACAAAATTCCAGACTCCCACAAGGAAAGCAGGTGTTCAGCATAAACCATATTGTCTATACAGTAGAGGCGCAGCAAGCAAGCCACCCTTACCAGTTCTGGGAATGATGGGAACCCTCCCCAAATCCAAGTTACCAGATGCCAGCCTAGGGCCAGCCTTGTAAGCAGATCTTTTCAAGGAGAGCAGTCAGGTCTGCAATCTTAACTCTTTTCTGATGGATAAGTAAGCACTTTAAGTGGGAAAAGAGGGGGAGCATTCCAGGCAGAGGGAAAACATCTATAGAGCCCCAGAAATAAGAAAGGACATGGCATGTTCTGGAAACAATGCATAGTTCAGATCACAGAAGCATCCATTGTGAGGGGATGTGGCGGGAAATTTGTCAGTCAGCTCGATCCTGAGAACTGGAGTTTTTCTCTGGGCCTATGAAAGTTCTCAAAATTCTAGATCTACAGTCTTAAGATTATCTTTTTATGACGTGTCATTTAGGTCATCATTGCAGGACATTTTCTTCTTCATAAATTATTTCCTAAGGAGTAAATCAAATTAAATAATGAATGTAGGACTGCTTTGTAAGCAGTGACACCCTTTATTTAAAAAACTAGTTGTCACTCTTCATTCCTAGAGTGTTATTTGTGGCAAATAGAAATGAAGGGTCAATGTAATGACCTTAATGACTATTTCGTGGTACACAATTCTCCCTGGCTTTGCCTTTCTTTTTCTAGTATCTAAAATAGCCAGTCAGCTATGTGGAACTCACTTGCTAATGCAAGACCCAAGTTTGAGCTTTGGGTCAATCACTTGGGTGAAAACTCACCATATGACTTTTCTCATTTAAATGTTTTTGTTGTTGTTGTTGAGACAGAGTCTCACCCTGTCACCCAGGTTGGAGAGTAGTGGTGCGATCTCAGCTCACTGAAACCTCTGCCTCCCAGGTTCAAGAGATTCTTCGGCTTCAGCCTCCCGAGTAGCTGGGATTACAGGTGCCCGCCACCATGCTGGCTAATTTTTGTATTTTTAGTAGAGATGGGGTTTCACTCTGGTCTCCAACTCCTGACCTCAAGTGATCCGCCCTCCTTGGCCTCCCAAAGTGCTGGAATTATAGGCATGAGCCACCGCACCAGCCTAGCAATTTTTTTACATTATAAAAACTATTGTAAAAACAAATTCAAGCAAACAAATACAGAGAATAAAAGTTAAAGGTTCTTCTTTACCCTCATTCTCTCCCCTATCCTTCTTCCCTGCCAAGATGAAATCGTTGTTAACAATTTAGCATCTGTCCTTCTAGAACCATTCTTGTACATTTATAAACGTAAGGGTATGTGCCTATGTGAGTGTCTGTGGGTTTATGTGCATATGTGTATGTGTATGCCTATGACTTGCAATGGCAGAGTTTTTCCTTCTTTTCTGATACCTGTGCTTCTTGTTTCTACCTCATGTCTAACTGCATTTGCTAGAACTTCCAGAATACAGTACTGAATAAGATAAATGAATGTGAACGTTCCTGTCTTCTACTAGACTTTTTTTTTTTTTTTTGAGATGGAGTTTTGCTCTTGTTGCCCAGGCTGGAGTGCAATGGCGTGATCTCGGCTCACTGCAACCTCCACCTCCCGGGTTCAAGCGATTCTCCTGCCTCAGCCTCCTGAGTAGCTGGAATTACAGGTTTTGTGCCACCACACCCAGTTAATTTTTGTATTTTCAGGAGAGACTGGGTTTCACCATGTTGGCCAGGCTGGTCTCGAGCTCCTGACCTCAGGTGATCCACCCGCCTTGAACTCTCAAAATGCTGGGATGAGCCACTGCGCCCAGCTCTTCCAGACTTAAATGGGAATGTTTCTAATATTTCATCACTAAGTATGATACCTGTCACAGATTTAGGTAGATACATTTTATCCAGTTACAAGTTTATTTCTAAGTTTTTATCAGGAGTGATTGCTGAATTTTATCAAATATTGTTTGCCTTTATCAAAATGCTCATATGAGTTGTTTCCATTAATCTACTTACATAGTGAATATATTATGGATTTCTTAATGTCGGACTGTCTTTGCATTCTTGGAATTAACTATCTTAATCATGATTTCTTCATTAAATTTGCTACTGTATTTGATTTATAAATATTTTAAATTTTTTCTTCTTTTTAAATAAGTGTTATTGGCTCTCGGCTGTATTTTATTGTGCTAGACCAGGGTTTTGATAGTTTTGTAAAATCAATTCTGAAGTCTTTCATCTTTTTGTATGCTTTGAAACAGTTTTGTTTTGTTTTTTCGTTTGTTTTTTGTTTGGTTTGGTTTTTTTTTTTTCAGATGGAGTCTCGCTCTGTCGCCCAGGCTGGAGTGCAGTGGCACGATCTCAGCTCACTGCAAGCTCCGCCTCCTGGGTTCACGCCATTCTCCTGCCTCAGCCTCCCGAGTAGCTGGGACTACAGGTGCCCACCGCCATGCCCGGCTAATTTTTTTTTTTGTATTTTTTTAGTAGAGATGGGTTTCACCGTGTTAACCAGGATGGTCTCCATCTCCTGACCTCGTGATCTGCCCGCCTCGGCCTCCCAAAGTGCTGAGATTACAGGCGTGAGACACCATGCCCCGGTTTTTTTTGTTTGAGACAAGATCTCACTCTGTCACCCAGGCTGGAAGTGCAGTGCCCCAATCACGTCTCACTGCAGCCTCAACCTCCCAGGCTCAAGTAATCCTCCTGCCTCAGCCTTCCAAGTAGCTAGGACTACAGGCATGCGCCGCCATGCCTGGCTAATTTTTTACTTTTTGTAGAGACAGGGTCTCACTGTGTTACTGTGTTGCCCAGACTCGTCTTGAGCTCCTGGACCCAAGTGATCCTCCCACCTCAGACTCCCCAACTACTAAGATTACAGGTGTGAGCCACCACACCCAGCCTCTGAAACAGTTTAAACAACCAAAAAGTTACCTTTTTTTTTTTTTTGAAGGTTTATTGAACTCAACCGTAACACCATCCAGCTCTTTAGTGGAGTGATGGTATTTGAGTATCTTTTTAACCATTTATTTTATTTCTTAAAAAGGCATAATACTGAATATATGTAGGAGAACATATGTAATATATAAGCAATTATGAAGTAGTATAATAAAGCAAACACGTATGAACTCACCACACAACTAAAGAAATCAAAATTCCCAGTACTATGCACCACTCCCCACTCATGTCCTCCTCGCTTCTCTCCTTGAAAGACAACCATCACCCTGAATTTTATGGTTTTCACTTCATTGCTTTTATTTATAATATAATCACAGGTGTATGTGTGTCTAAAGAATATGCTATTTGGGCCAGGTGCAGTGGCTCATGCCTCTGATCCCAGCACTTTGAGAGGTGCTTGCTAGAACTTCCAGAATGCAGTACTGAATTGGCGGGTCATGGAGAATGTGTTTGTTTAACTCTACAGTTAATGTCAGATTGCTTTCCACAGCAGTTGTATTAGTTTTCATTTCCACTAGTAGAATGTAAAAGTTCTCAATGATTTATCTCCTTTCCAGTATTAGGCATTATCAGACAGGTTAATTTTTACTGATATATAAGATATAAAATGGTATCAGTGTATGCTAATGGACATTTCTCTGATCATTAACTATTGATATTGTATAATGTTTATGTGTATACATATCATTCACGTTTCCTCTTCTGTGAAATGCCTGTTTGTATTTATTTTCTGGTTTTAAATTTAGTTCTTTGCTTTTTCACTACTGATTTAAGAGTGCTTTGTGTATCTTGAATATGAACCCTCTGCTTTTTATTCCATGTAATATTTTCTCCACTTTATGACTTGTAAAGTGTCTTTAGCTAAACAGAAGTCCTTGATTTTAGTGTATTTGAATGTATCCATTTTATTTCTTTGTGTTAACACTCTCTTTTTCTTGTTTAGGAAATTATTGATCCCAAGGTTATAGACATAGTCTCCTATATTGCTTTCTAAAATTATTGAGGTTTTGCACTTCACAGTTAAGTTTTTATACACTTAGAGTTAAATTTTCTGTATGGGGTAAATAAGGGATCTAATTTCATTTTTCATTAAGGGATCTAATTTTCTTTTTTCCCCATATTGGCAATGAGTTACTACAGGAACATTTATTGAATAGTCTTTCCCTTTCAACAAATTTCCAGGGCCATTTCTTTTCAGTACCAAGTTTCCATATATATGTCTATCTTTTTCTGGCCTCTGTATTTGCTCCATTGGACATTTCTATGTCTGTACAAGTAACATGCTGTCTTAATTACTATGGCCTTATAATAATCTGTGTAGGGCAAATCAGTTCGCATTATTCTTTGGGAGTGTCTTAGTTATTCTTAGACATTTGCTCTTCCTTATGAAATTTGAAATTATCACATCAATTTTCCTTGAAAAATCATTTAAGAATTTTTATCAGTATTGTATTGAGTCTATAGATCAATATGAGAACACTAAAATCATTCTGACATTGAGCCATTCTATCCATGAACATAGTGTATAAGCTTTACATTTAATTAAGTCTTCTTTGACATTTTCTAATAAAGTTTTACAATTTTCTACACAAAGGTCTTATACATCTTTATTTTATATTTAATCCTAGGTTCCTTATTTTTATTATAAATTATGTGTATGTTTTTCTAATTAATTTTTTATTTTGGTTGCTAATGCTTAGAAGTCCAAATGATCATCTGGCCATGGTGGCTCATGTTTGTAATGCTGGTAGCACTTTGGGATGCTGAGGCAGGCAGATCACGTGAGCCCAGGAGTTCGAGACCAGCCCTGGGTGAAACCCGTCTCTACAAAAAAAATAATAATAATTGAAAAATAGAAAAAATGTTAGCTAGGCATGGTGGTGTGTGCCTATATTCCCAGCTACTGAAGAGGCTAGGGTGGGAGGATTACCTAAACACAGGGAGGCTGACGCTGCAGTGAGCCATGATCATACCGCTTCACTCCAGCCTGGGTGGCAGAGTAAGACCCTGTCTTAAAAAAAAAAAAAAAGTACAACTGATGTTATATCAAAACAGCTTTCTAAACTCTTATTAATTTAAATCAGTTTTATGTAGGAACTTTTGTAATTTCTAGTACATAATTATGTAATCTGTGAATAATGGCCATTTTGGCTTTTTTCCTTTTCCAAATTCTTGTATATCTAATTTCTTTTTTAATGGCCATTTTGAGTTTGTTTCTTTTCCAATTTTTATAATTTTTATTTCTTAACCTTTGCAATGGCTAGAACCTCCAGCAAAATGTTGAATGGGGGCAGTATTATTTTGTTCCTGATTTGCTCAAGAGAACACTTCTGACATTCTGCCATTGAAAATCAAGTTTGCTGTAAGTTTATGCTTGTATTAGCTCAATAAACCCTCTTCTATTCCCAGTGTACTAAGAGATTTATTTTTTAAATCATGAACATGTGTTGAATTTTATCTGACACATTTTCTCTATTAAGATGATCATTTGGTTTTACTTTTTTAATCTGTCAGTGTGATAAATTACAGAAACAGATTTTATAATGTTAAACTATCCTTGCATTCCATGGATAAATCCAACTTGGTTATGATATATTTCTATTTTTATTAAATTAATTTTATAACATGACTATTTTTAAGAGGGTTCTTTAAAAAAATATATATTTGAGAGTGCCTGTAAACTTTTCTTTCTTATGGTTTACTTTCCTGTTTTGCTATAAGGCTATACCAGTCTTATAAATTCATTTCAGAAGTACTGCCTTGTTTTCTAATGTCTGGAGGATTTTCTATAATATAAAATTATTGTAATTTATTCCTAGAAAGTCACCTAAAAAACTGGCTAAGCCTGATGTGTTTTTCCCCCACAGGGAAATTTTAAACCACCAGTTATTTTTATTTAATAATTATAGGAGTATTAAGGCTTTCTATTTATTCTTGGAAAATGTTTAAAAGTTAAATATGTCTAGGAATTTGTCCATTTCATCTACGTTTTCCAGTTTATTAACATAAATGTGTTCATTATACCTTCTAATTATCTACAGCATCTGCAGATCTCCAGGTGCTGCAGAGCCCTTTTTTGTTTCCTAATATTGTTCAATTGTGCCTTTTATTTTATTAACCATTCTTTCCAGAATACTGTAAATTTTACTAATCTTCATAAAAAAATCAACTTTTGGCTTTGTTCTTCCTCTTCATTGAAGCTTTGTTTTCTATTCCATTCAATTCTGCTCTTTCCGCGGGTTTATTTATGTCATCATTTTTTTCTTTAACTTTAGTAACTTTTAAAATTTATGTGGGCCGCATGTGGTGGCTCACACCTGTAATCCCAGCACTTTGGGAGGTCGAGGTGGGCAGATCACTTGAGGTCAGGAGTTCAAGACCAGACTGGCCAACATGGTAAAACCCCATCTCTACTAAAAATACAAAAATTAACCAGGCATGGTGGCTGGCATCTGTAGTCCCAGCTACTTGGGAGGCTGAGGCAGGGGAATCGCTTGAACCCAGGAGGTGGAGGTTGCAGTGAGCTGCGACTGCACCATTGCACTCCAGCCTGGGTGACAGAATGAGACTCTGTTTCAGAAAAAAATATATGTGTGTGTATGTTCAGCTCATTTATTTTTAGCCTTTAATCTGTTCTAATGTATTAAAGATGGCAATTTTTTCTTGTAGTGTTACTTATGTTGCATCTCTTAAGTTTTGATATACAGTATTTTTATTATTAGTCAGTTTTAAGGTTTTTTTGTTTTGTTTTAAGACAGAGTCTCACTCTGTTGCAGTGGCAGGATCACAGCTCATACAGCCTCAACCTCCTGGGCTGAAGTGATCCTTCCACCTCAGCTTCCCCAGTAGCTGGGACCACAGATGCATGCCACCACATCTGGCTAATTTTTTAAAATTTTTTGTAGAGATGGGGTCTTTCTATGTTGACCAAGCTGATCTTGGACTTCTGGGCTCAAGCAATCCTTCCACCTTGGCCTCCCAAAGTGCTGGGATTACACACGTGAGCCACTGCCCCTGGCCTCAGTTTTAAATATTTTTAAAATTTTTCATTATGATATTTTCTCTGACCCAAGCACTATTTAATTATATTTTTAAGTATGGAGGGTTTCGGTGTTTTTTTAAATTTGAAATTAATTTCTAACTTGATTATATTGTGGTCTGAGAATGTGGTATGTGCGATGCTGATTTTTCTGAGATTTGTTGAGACTTGCTTTATGGCTTAGTATGTGAGCAGCCTCTGTAAACACGCCAAGTGTGCTTGAGAAAAATGTTGGTTTTGATGAACATTCTTGATAATTGGTTCGGAGACTTTTATATTTCTATTAAATCAAGGTTGTAGATTAGGTTGTTCAAGTCTTCTGTGTCTTTTCTAATGTGCGCTGCCTCATCTGTCAGTATTCGAAGAAGACATGTTGAAACCTCCCTCCAGCATCTTTGTTGGCCTGTGGAGGGGTGGGGCATGGCTGACCTCAGCATTCTTCAGGCAATCCTTTCCTTGATGTTAGTGGCCACTCTAGCTTTTGCTCACTGTACCTGTGGTTTCTGAGTTTAGAATTTTTTCATCTCTGCAATAGTCTGTTTTGGTGGTTTCTTCTGCTGTGGTTTCTTGCCAACATAAACTTTCTAATATCCAGAAATTCCTCAGAATGTTTTATCTGGTAATCATATCCTTTCTTGTTTTATAGTTGTCATTACAACTTGTGTGTTTTCTGCGATTTGAATGGAATTTTGCAAAGGAAAGAGGAAAACAAATACCTTTGCTCAATCTGCCATCTTGACCCTACATAAGACACATTTTTATCCTTCTTTTCCTCCTTTTTTTTTTTGCAATAAATGTTTATTGGGCAAGTAATTTTTCTAGACCTCTGCTTCTCTACCTTCTTCCCATAAAATGGGAAGAAGAATAATATTCATCGCAATGACATATAAGGAACATTAATAAGATAATGTTCATGAAAGTGCTTTGCAAACTGTAAAGATTTATTCAAATGCAAAGGATGGCCTTTAGTTCCTTACTTTAACTCACTCTCCTTTTGTGTAGCCGGTGTTATAAAGCAGCTCAGCTACATTAGAGAAAAGTGATTAATTGTGGTTAGCATATCGTGAGAGGCTCAAACAAAATTTTATTGTTACTTCTTGAGAAAATTTATTGCCAAGAAACTATTGAATACCTTAAGAGAAAGTCACATATTTAATAAATGAAAATATTATTTAGTCTAAAAACTAATGCTACAATGAGTATCTTTTTTCCTCCCTATTGTCTTATACTATACTTTTGACATGCATACTCAATTAGGCATTTCTCCTTTAAAAATAACATTTTACTTAAAAAACCTTATTTTCTGATTCAGCATATTCAATAAATTTATTTACTTTAGCTTAGAAAGTTAATATGAAGCAACAGAAAGAATGCTGAAATTTCAAGCAAGGCATTTTTAAGGGACAAAATGAGTAATTGATGTAAAAGACAGAGTGGTTTATATCAGAATGTATTGAATTCTGCCTGACTACAATATTTTTCATATTCCTACATTGCACCAAGGCAAAATAAACAATTCTGAATTAAATTCAACAACCATGTATTGAGTGCTATTTTTTGTGTCAAGTTTTGTGCTAAGTGCTGTGGAATTCATAAAGAGGTGAGACCCAATCTGCCCTCTAAAGACAGGAAACAACAAATAGGTTAGTGAGGGCTAAGATATAAATTACTCTAATAAACATATCACACTCTTTTGTGAGATCAGGAACAGCCTATGGAGAAAGTAGCATTTGAGATGGGATTGAAGAATGCTTAGGGGTTTCGTAGGCAGATATTAGAGGAATGCATTCCAAGTCATTTTTGTAAATGTTCTGTGGAAGCTTGTAAAGATGTACTTTCCATTTGTGTTATAAATATAGTTGTATATAATACGTGTGCAATTTTCCATGTAATTGTATCATTTCTTTTCTCTGTGTGGGTATGCTCTTATATTTCTTAGGTTCTACTAGAAGTAACTAAAATTAAGTGACTTCCTAAGTATGTTCCAGCCTTAACATTATCTGAATGTAGGAGTGACCACTAAACTACAAACACATATCATAAACCCCTTGAATAGAGTTGATGTCTTTTGTATAGTGGGAGAAAGTCCATGAGCTTTCAAACACACAGGCCTGAGCTTGACTCTCTGGTTCTTGCTTAGGCAGGCTACAAGTAAGTTCACTAAGCATCATTCTCTTTATCTTTTTTTTTTTTTTTTTTTTTTGAGATGGAGTCTCGCTGTGTCGCCCAGCCTGGAGTGCAGTGGCACAATCTCGGCTCACTGCAAGCTCCGCCTCCCGGGTTCACGCCATTCTCCTGCCTCAGCCTCCCGAGTAGCTGGGACTACAGGCGCCTGCCACCACACCCGGCTCATTTTTTGCATTTTTAGTAGAGACGGAGTTTCACCGTGTTAGCCAGGATGGTCTTGATCTCCTGACCTCGTGATCCACCTGCCTCAGCCTCCCAAAGTGCTGGGATTACAGGCGTGAGCCACCGCACTCGGCTCTCTTTATCTTTAAAATGGGAGGATCATGTCAATATCGTAGAGTTTTAGTGAAGATTAAGGAGGTGATTTCCGTAAAGTGTTTGGTATGAGAATATGCTCAATGAATGGCAGCTATCACCATTATTAAAAAATTGATCTCTCAAGCCTAATGGAGAAAGATTCTTTATATAGACTAAGGGAATTGTGAAATCTGTGAGTGGGTATTTGTCCAACTGAAGTAGAATGCAAAGTGAGAAGAATGAGAGGGAATTAATATGGAGTTGGGGGTGAGGGCATCACCCATGAGAATAAAAAGACAAACATGGGATCCTAGAGAGGGGAGGTATACAGTCAGGAATCCGGAGTGTAGCTCCAAATTCCTTAACCAAATCTGATGACCCACAGGCTCCGATTGGAGAGAAAGGAGAAGAAAATATGTAGGATGCTTTAAAATGGAATGACAGAGTGAGCAGTTGAGAAAGAAGAAAGAGCAAAAACCAGGATTTCCAAAGCTACAAGTGTCCATACCCTCCCAGGTGGAGAAGGAAGGGCTGGGAAGTCACTGGGATTTTCTCAGCAAAGGGTGGACCCAGGACTCCTTTTAAAATAAACACACACACACACACACACACACACACACACACACACACACACACACACACACACAAACACTCACTCACTCTCTCTCTTCTCTAGAGCCAGAAAGTGATGTTAAGCACCAAATTCCAGTGTCTTGAATCATTATTTAATAAGGAACCTCAGAGATAATCTAGTCTAACCTACTGATTTTACATATGAGGATAATGAATTTTTTGGAGGTTATGTGGCTTGCCCAGGACCACACAGTTGTTTAACCCAGACCTGGAGGGTGAATGGTCTAGAAACAAAATAATCTTCACACACCCAGTTGTGGCTTCTGAGACCTTTAGGCAAGGGAAAGCTTGGGGGTACTTGGAAGAGAGTATTTGTGGTTTTAAATCAGATACAGTTTAAACCAGGTACATTAAATGTGTTCAAAGCTATTTGTAAGATACCTCAGCTGTATAGTTTGTTCTGTCAGTATGCTTGCGCTATAGAGATGGTTAGTTTTGTACATCAACCATCTGAGTGTGTTGGAAGGTGGTAGGAAGGGAAGGGAAGGGGTGAAACCATGCCTCCTCATTAATCAACTTATCATATTATGATTCATCAACATATTATTTGCAGAGAGCCTACCATGTGCCAGGCATTATTCAAAGTGGTTCGCATATATGCCGATAAGCCAGACAGACAAATATCCTGACCTCACGTTCTGACACTCTTGCTCCTGGAAGTGTAGCAGAAAAGCAGGAACCTGAGAACTGCCAGGGCCTAAATGTAATGTTATATCCGTTTCACAGTTCCTGCTTCATGCCTATTCTAAGTCCCACCTCTTCCAGAACACCTAAGCCTACCACCTTTGGTCCTTTTTTTTTTTTTTCTTTTCTGAAACGGAGTTTGGCTCTTGTTGCCCAAGCTGGAGTACAATGGCGCAATCTCAGCTCACTGCAACCTCCACCTCCTGGGTTCAAGCAATTCTCCTGCCTCAGCCTTCTGAGTAGCTGGGATTGCAGGCATGTGCCACCATGCTCGGCTAATTTTTTGTATTTTTAGTAGAAACGGGGTTTCGCCATGTTAGCCAGCTGGTCTCCAACTCCTAACCTCAGGTGATCCACCCGCCTCGGCCTCCCAAAATGCATCTCTGGTCTTTAAATGCCCTTTGCTGTATATTCTATAACATCAAGTCTCAGATCTGGTTTGACCTCAGTTGGCCTCTTAATAGTTTTCCCCTATGAACATTCTGGTCTCCCAGTAAGCCTGTAAGCAGCTGAGACTGGGAAACCATCTCTTATATCCCACATCGTCCTATGGTGCACAGCGTTGGACACATGATGCGTGAGTACAGCGCATGTTTAGTGAACCTTTACATCACCACACTGGAGCAGAAAAGCTGTATCATGACTGATGAGGACCCCCATCAGAGGCAAGAGGCATGGTGGAGTCTTGCTGGAGGACCCACTAGCAAAACCACTCTGGAAATCTCGGATAGTAAAGACTCTGTTAGTACCCTGAAGGCCGCTTACTTGGAACCGTATCTTCTAAATGCTCTGAAAACCTATCCAAAGGCAATTAAAATCACAAATATCATTGAAAACATCTAAGAACTACGTGTAAGCACTTCGGGATAGTCAGGTAAAGGCGGCCCTCTAATTATGAAGCATTTTGATAATTAATAGAATTCTAAGCCAAAGCTTAAATCCGGATACACATCATAATGGTTAAGCCAAATAACACTTAATCATTTTACCTTTTATTATTGATAAAGACAACACACTGAAGTAGACAGACAGTAAAGAAAAAGTCCACATCTTTTTATTGGGTCCAAATAACCTGATTGTAAATACTTAGCCTCTGATTTTCATGTTTCAGAATTTGTATGTTAATGACCTTAGTAGATGTGGCTTTGTCCAGCCTCAAAAAGGGTTGCTCTCCAGCCAGGGCCCCTTTTTTCCAGTTACTGCTCCCATCTCCTTTAAGTATATTCAACTGGTGAGTGAACTCTTTATCCCGTGTGACAAATGCGTATTGAGGCCCTAACATGCCCCAGACCTCAGATGTGCTGCTCATACATTTGAGGTAGCCCTGACTTGTTTTGGGGGTGTGGGGGTGGGCTTTTCCATCAGTTGTCTTGGTTGATGTGCCAGTCAGCCAATTCCAAATTGCACTGAGTTTTCTTCATTTTACTTTTGTATATTAAAAACTAAATAGTTTTTTGCAGCATCGTAGAATAGATTAGAAACCAAGACTTCTGTTTCACAATTTATAAAATTGGACAAATGTATTGTCAGTGATTCTGCAATGTTTCTGCCCATTTTTCCCTCTTCAGGAAGTTGTAGAGGTAAGATGCCCTATTCCTGCTATGCTTATGTTGGGCATTATACCAGAAACTGAAGATTCAAAGGTGGGTCCCCACTCCTAGAAGCCCTTCAAGGGGCAGAGGTTCCCAGAGAGGACCATAATCCAGTGTGAAAACTGTTGTACTGTGTGTGGATCAAGTGTCATGAGAACCCACGTAACAGCATGGCTGATTCTGCTGAGGAAAGTCAGGGAATGTTTCACAGCAGAGAGGACATTCAGGTTAGGGCATGTTGCCTAAGTAGGAGTTTCTCAGTTGAAGAAGATTGGAGGTGGAAGGGGAGGGAGGTAAACTTCTCAGGCAGAGGGAAAAGCAGGTGCAAAGGCAGGAAGTCTGTAGAAGTTCAGATTCCATTACCCAAAACCCTTGAGACTCAGATGTGTTTCAGAATTTGGATTCTTTTGGATATTCCACATATTGTACATTATGCGTAATACAATATATATTGTATATTATAACATATAATACAATATATAGTATATTATAACATATAATACAATATATAGTATAACATATAATACAATATATATTGTATATTATAACATATAATACAATATATAGTATAACATATAATACAATATATATTGTATATTATAACATATAATACAATATATATTGTATATTATAACATATAATACTATATATTGTATATTATAACATATAATACAATATATTGTATATTATATAACATCCCCAGCAGGTTCTAGTCAAATACATGAATATATCCAGGACAAAAAGGTTAAATAGTCATACTAAATGGGATAAGGAAGACTATCAATAGTATCACATCAATTAAGTCATGTTTTGTGGCCAAATGAGTTTGAACACCAAACTTACAAAGAGAACAAAAAACAACAACCAAAAGAACACCTTAGGTTTTTAAGCCTTTTGAATCTTGGAATCTTGAATACAAGGACTGTGGCTGCAGGTCCAGCAGATTTCTAGAGCTAACTCTCATTAAGCTGACTGAGGTCACATGCTCATCCCTGACCCAGTGGAGATAAATGTGCTGATTGCCAGGCTGAAGTCCTGGGCACACCCTAGAATGGCAGGATGCTCAGCCTGCCAGGATCACAAAGTGACCTCAGAGTGCTGTTTGCAGGAAAATGGACACTTAGTAGGTAAAAATCATAAGCGATAATTATATATGCATCACAGATGTACCCACATAATATTGACTGTGTAATGCAGCCCAGAGCAGAACCAGGATTCAGACCATCATCTCTCCTATTCCAGAGCCCACATCAGATTAGGCTGCTCACACATCAGTGGAAAACAGTCTGCCCCATGTAACCCACTGCTCAATTATGTGATACAGACAATTAGAACTTAGCAAAGTACATAATAAGTTGCTAATTGCATGGAGTACAGTGCACCCATTCGTTGAAATGATTTAGAGAAGTAAAAGACTTTAGCAGGCTGGAAGGATGTGTTAGAAGTGATGGTAGAGACCTTATCCCTCTGATTTCTGCTCCAGGGACTCTCTTTTTTTAAGTTTAATTGCAAACAAACACTGAACTTGAGGAGGGAAGGATTAACAGGCAGATTTTCCTGGGCCCTGAATGAACCTCTGAAACCACAGGACATAAATTACAGAGGAATGGAAACAAGGGGGAAGCATCGTCTAATTTATTGACAAGGGAAGAAAAGCAAGGGAATCATTAAGGGTTAGAGGCTCTAAGCCAGCTTCTGAGGTGCTTAGAACAAAGTATGATGATGGCAGACAGAAGTAAGTCTCTATGACCTCATGAAGGACTTGTTTCTCTGCTTTCCCAGAGGCTCCTAGAATTGAAACCAACTAAAGACCTGAAAGGGCACTCCAAGTGCATCTGGCCCAACGCTCCCTGATTTTAGTTACAGGAAATCCGAGGCCCAAGGAGGGGAAAAATTTGATAAGGTTACAGCTTAAAGAAAAATAATGACTAAACCATTTCTTTTCTTTCTTTCTTTTTTCTTTTTCTTTTTTTCTTTTTTTTTTTTTGCTGAAATTCGGTAGTGAATTCAAGTTCTCTTAAGGCACAGTTATTCTATAACAATGCGTGGTTTGGAGGTTGTGTGTTTTCTCTTTACAGGGATTTAATAAAATAAAAATGCAAACTACTTTTGAAATAGCTATAAGTAAAAATACCCAGAAGTCTGTGGTCAGAGGCAATGTCCATGTATTTCCTTAATTCAGGATCAGCCCACAGATTTCAACACCAGTACTTACTGAGCATCTACTTTGTGGTCAGGTGTTAGATACTCTCCTTTAATCTCCACCAGAGCCCTCTGTGACAGGGGTTGTGGGGGTAGACAGATAACTAGCTTGCTGAATATAACTTGTTAAAGGGTGGGGCTTGGAGTCCTCAGCCATGTTGAGTGATACCGTGCTGCCCCGAGAGTTTCTGTGCTGTAGATCCTGGTCTCTTGGACTGTTTTCCCCATAATTCCCCATCCCTACCTTTCCTACCCTGCAAGATTGTGTTGGATATAACTTGCTCACTAGGCCTTCAAAGGCCGGGTCATTTTCCCCCCTGGTTTATAAATTGGCCTCTTATCCCAGGGCCCCCCCTCTTTCCCCCTGCTCCCCGCTCCCCCTGCCATTCCCACTTGGTCATCACCTTGAGAGATCTCCAGACATTGGCATTTCTTTCCATGGGGCACCTCCCTGTCTTTTCACCCTGAGTACTTAACTGGGATTCTTTGAAAAACACATCAGCAGAGAGTACTGTCATTTTTTTTTTTCCCTAAACACTTAAACTCACATAGGTGTGGAAGTTTATGCCAAGGAATCTTGGAACCAGAAGGGAGCAAGGGACCAACCCTCTCTCGTTAGAGATTTGGAAACTGCAGGACAGATAGAGTAATTGGCCCAACTTCGCATAGCAACGCTAAAAGTTAATTTATGAAGTGGACCCCTCACTCAGAGCAGTGCCCGGATAGCTGTGGCATTCATAATGTGGAACTGCCCTCGACTGTACTGGCGGACCCTATAAGAGGCAGCACGTTGCAATCATGGTGTTTCCTGGAAGCATTTTAAGACCCCTGTTCACTAGATCCCAGAGAGGTCTTTGCTTTAGTTTGGGTTCCCCCAGACACAGCTGAGCCAAGGACCTGAGTGCCAGTGGTTCCTTTGGCAGGTGGTTCTACTGGTGAAAACACCAGCAGAGGACAGAGGAAGTGAGATAGGAAGGGAAGCGGCCTGATACAGGGGTGTGATCAAGCCAGTAGCCACTGTGGGCACCAGAGCTGAATCCTGCTGGAGACATCTAGGAGTCAGTGAAGCACACACCTCAGAATTACCCAGCAATGAAGCAAGGAAGCAGGCATATTTGTCCACCAGCTCCTTTTTCATTGTTAGTTGAGTACCGCTATAGGAGCATTACCTCTTTAGCACTTCCAACTTGCTCCTGGACAAGAACAAAGACACCCCCCCACACACACACACACACACATGAAAGAGAGTCACAGTGTTTCTAGCAAACTGCCTTCAGGAGCTGAGAGAGGAAGGAATGTAGCAGTGCATGGGCAGAGGATCCACAAGAGGAAGCGCCATCAGCGGTCAAAACCAGGGAAGCCAGAACAGCTGGAGAGAGAAAGAGAGAGAGAGTGTGTGTGTGTGTGTGTTTGTAGGTGTGTGTGGGTGTGTGTGTCTGTCTTCCCCATGAATCCCATCATGCTTGCTTCTTGATTTTGTCCATTTGGAAGCTCAGAACCAATTTACACCCCACCTCTAGCTGTTGGATAAGACCTTAAGGGAATGTCATCTCTTCACCCACCTTACCCTTTATTTCTCTTATTTATTTCCCTTCTGCCTCTCTTTCTTTGTATACTTATTATTATCCTGTTTGTGCCTTTGAAAGTCCCCTTAAGTTCCTTTCTTGGTATAGGATGAGTATAAATAAATACAAAAGCCAATTACACACCAAAAAGATACAAACTTGGGACTAGTCACAAGCATCTGCCACACTGCTAGCTCTTCTCTAGTTTTACCTCAGAAATATTTTTTTTAACGAGGACTCCCTGGTCTTCACATGAAGGCCCTGACTGCATGGGAAAACCACAGAATTCTTGCCCATACATCAACCTTGCATTGAGAACTGCAAATAAAGCAAAATGCATGTTTTCTTCAAAGTGGCCACAGAGACAGATGCCCATCATCCCCACAATGCTACAAAATAGGATGCAGCACATGGGTGACATGATGAGAGGTCCTTGAAGGCCAAGTAGGATCCCGGGATTCTATTTTGCTGAATCAGGATTCAGGATCCCATGATTCTGTTTTGCTGAATCAGGATTCAGGACCTTTTTCAAAACAAGTAAAACAGAAAAATAAAGTGCAAGTACCAACAGAAGCAGCCTCCAGAACTTTTAATTGTTATACTCTTACCTCTTTTTCTCTTTTTTTTTTTTTGTTTTTTGTTTTTCTTTTTTTAATTATACTTTAAGTTCTAGGGTACATGTGCACAACGTGCTAGTTTGTCACATATGTATACATGTGCCATGTTGGTGCGCTGCACCCATTAACTCGTCATTTACATTAGATATATCTCCTCATGCTATCCCTCCCCCTTCCCCCGACCCCACAACAGGTCCCGGTGTGTGATGTTCCCCTTCCTGTGTCCAAGTGTTCTCATTGTTCAGTTCCCACCTATGAGTGAGAACACGCAGTGTTTGGTTTTTTGTCCTTGCTATAGTTTGCTGATCTTTCTCTCTTTTTTAAGAACAATCTTTAAAATGTTTCCTCCTATGCATGATTTTTGTTAACTTTTTTACTGCTTGTCTATAGAGTATATGACAAATTTTCTTTAATCAGCATGTATTACTTTAAAATGGGGAGAAAATGAAAAAGTGTTGTCTCATCTGAATATGTTTTTACCATAACATCCCCCAAAATGCCTTCTTTTCTAAAAATAGATGTTTTGCTAGAAGCATCCAGGGTAAAATGTGGCCTGCCACTCAGAAATCTAAAGTTTTAGTTGTTTTCTTTGCTGGTCAGGAGCCCTGAAGCAGCGGAGATTCTGCCCTCTGATATTCATGGATGTGAGTGCTGACCCACACGGAGGCTTTCTTTGCTATTTGATTTCATGTTTCAAGGGAAATGTTAAGTCAGATGTCACTGTTAAAGGGAAAGAGGGAGGAAAAGAAGAAAGAGAGAGAGAGAGGGAGGGAGGACAGGAGAAAGAAACCATATAAATCTAGAGTCCAGTCTTGTTTGTTTCTTTATTTGGCCCAGTGATCAATAATGTATTGACTAAACATCTTTCAAAAGTTATTTATTTATAATGCCTTCATTCTAAAAAGAATTTAAAATAATGTTTACAAATGTAGTGAATAGAATTTACAAGAAAACAAATAAGGGAGGAAAATGGAGCAAAGAGGAAACTGGGTAGAAAAAATAGGACATGAGTAAGACTGGTGTCTAAACTCCGTGCCTTTACATCTAACTAGAGATGTGTCAAAAATTTTACTGTGAGCTCCCTAGCAGCCAAAGCAAAGAAAGAAACAATTGAATGTGTAACTCATAGGTAAAAATAAGTGAAAGGCTGGGTGCGGTAGCTTAGGCCTGTAATCCCTGCACTTTGGGAGACCAAGTCGGGCAGATCACTTGAGGTCAGGAGTTGAAGACTAGCCTGACCAACATGGTGAAACCCTATCTCTACTAAAAATACAAAAGTTAGCTGAACGTGGTGGTGTGTGCCTGTAATTCTAGCTACTCAGGAGGCTGAGGCAGGAGAATCACTTGAACCCAGGAGGCAGAGGTTGCAGTGAGCTGTGATCGCGCCACTGCATTCCAGCCTGGGCGACAAAGTTAGACTCTATTTCAAAAAAATAAAATAAAATAAGCTGATTTATTTATTTATTGAGTTAAGTAAGTTGGGGCAATAAAATAAAGCGGATAAAATATATTAGCCCTTTGACTCAAGAAGTCAATACCACTTTTTATGAGAACAATTAATAACACCTAACATCAGTGAACACTTCTTATATGCCAAGCACTAACCTAACCAATGTAATTATGACATAAGAACACCATGCATCAGGTAAAGCCAGTTATATTTTAAAAGTAGAATTTGGGGTTTACAAATGGCTTTCTCGTTTGTGTTGTTACTTAATTGCTCACAACAACCCTATGAGAGATATTGGTCAGGAAAATATTTTTATATGAGGAAAGTAAGATCACATTTCTAATCATTGTTGCACCCGGAATATAAATCCAGATTACTCAGATATACTTTTTTTTTCTTTTTTTTTTTGAGATGGAGTCTTGTTATCTCACCCAGGCTAAAGTACAGTGGCGCCATCTAGGCTCACTGCAACCTCTGCCTCCTGGGTTCAAGCGATTCTCCTGCCTCAGCCTCCCAAGTAGTTGGGACTCCAGGTGCACACCACCACGCCTGGCTAACTTTTTGTATTTTTAGTAGAGACGGAGTTTCACCATCAGATACACATTTTACACTACTTCATAATCTGGGAGCAAAACCCTGGTGATGGGAATATGGACATTTGGCTTTAGGATCTTAAGCTGAGTTTGTTCAGGTGAGTTGTCTACTCCTGGGCCTGCCATTAAGTGGCTGTGTGGTGTTGGGCGAGTCCTTCTTCTCCCTAGAGTGGCAGTGTCTTCAACTGGAAAATAAGAAGGTTGATGACTTGTCTGGGAAGATTCATTCCAGCTGTGACAGCCTGTTCATCTCTGGGTGTCTGTGGCTCCAGGCAGTTTCCCAGACTACACTCCAGGGTGTTCCCAGTCATTTTCACATTAGCAGTTGCTCTGTGGTACAGACGTGGCTGCGCCTCTGTGGATCATTGAACCTTCACCATTGCCCCAGCCTGCTTGGGGCTAGGGTGTGTGGGCTGTGAATTAAAGGCTGTGAGACGTCAGAACTCCCTATGAGCCTGAGGTGTCCTATGGGGCATTTCCACCGTGTCGGCGGAACATGTTTCATTGTTCCTTCCTTGATACTTTGTCTTCCATAGATTTTTTGAAGGGATTCAAAGTGGAAAGCACCAGAAGTTGGAACTAGACCTGCTGAAGAACTCACTTTTTTTTTTTTCCTTTTAAAACTTCTCTTGAGCCCAAAAATCACATGGACACATCTTGAATTCTTACAAGTTAGCCGGGTCTCAGTGAAAGGGCTTCCCTGAGGGGTAGAATGCCGCATGCTCGTTTCCTATGCCTAGATAAATAAACCCTGGCCCAGGCTTTAGGCTCCAGGTTTGTTTCTGGCATCCCTTTGCCTGAAAGTTTCTGTGTTGAATAAAACAGAAATGTTTAGCAAATCCCAAGAAATTCCTTATTTAATGGAAAAAAGAGATCCCTGGGCTTATATTTCAAAATGTGATTTCCATGTTCCCACTGCATTAAGGCAAGGTCGCCTCACCAAATCCCCAGATGTCTGGTATGCTTTTCGAAAAATGCCTGTATTTAGCCCCTAGAACACATTTTGAGTACCTATTGTGGACAGGATTCTCCTCTGAGCCCTGCAGGAGATAGAGCAGCCAAATGAGATGGAAACCCTTCCTTCAAATTTAGTTGTAATGGTTGCATTAGAATCTATAGGAAGTCTCACCTTTACCTACAGACAAGCTTTATTCCCCCACGCTGATCTTTTAAACTGTACAATATTGCATCTCTGTGTGGCCATCTGTCCTCCTTCATGACAATGGGAGATTCAGCTGCTGGGGTTGGCCACAAACAGCTTATCTTATTAGCTAACCTACCATGTATGAGCTGCCTTGGCAATATCCCTATTAATTATATTTTCTTTCTTCAGCATCTTAGAAGAGTGGGGTTTTTCATTTGCTTCATGTCTCTGCCAATCCTAACCTCTCTCTCCTAAAATGTTTATTTATCTTTTGTTATAAAAGTAGTTGATGTTTATTGTTGACAGAAAGAGAGAGAGAAACAGGGATGGATATTGCAGAGAAAAAATTTTAAAAAGCTATTTATAATAAAATAAAATCCTACCACAACAAGCTTATTGTTGTTTATATTTTGGATTTACAAAATCTTTAGCTATTTATCCTCAACCCTTGCCAATTATGTGAATTTCCAGTTGGGTGAGAGTAGCTATATTAAATAGTGAGCAGTTTTCCTGTATCATTAAATAGTCTTCAAAACCTTGATTGTTCATAGCTGAATAACATTTAATACTATGGGTGAAGCAATTATTTTAATTGTTTCCTTTGTGCTGGGATTGTAGATTGTTTCTATCTTTTTACTTCAAACTCACCTGTAGTAGTGGCTGTTGCAAGGTAGCCACTTACACAGTATACCACTTTCTTCCCTGCATGCTGGGAACTGCACTGCATGCTGGAAAGCACAGCCTGGCACTGGGCTGGCTCTAGGGTAAAGAAAGAAGAGACACTGGCTTGCCCTCAGGGAGAGGGGTGGGGAGCTCTGGCGCTGGGCATGTATCATGTCTACTAATGTGATACTTAATATTAGGAGCCACCCCCTTGAAGACAGCGGAGTCCAAAAGGGCTTGCTGAGTCATCAAATACTAAGTTGGTTCAGCATAATCTTAGGATTCTGTGTGTTTTATTTTCCAAGTCGGAAAGTAGGGTTAGGGGTGGGGAGAACACTCTCCAAGAGAAGCTGACTCAAGCTACTTCTCAAAGAACAAAGTGACACACAGGAAGGAGGTTGGTTGGGAGGGGAAAGGAGAGGTCATTCCAGGAAAGGCAAACAATGTCAAGAAAGGGAGCCTGGCAGGGTTAGGTATGTGCCAGGTCTTTGTTCTGGCCTGAGTTTAAGATACCTGGGAAGGCATGCCAGGAGCTGTTCCTGGAGAAGTCTGTAGAGGGCATACCCTGAGAGGCCTTTGATGCCCCACCAAGGAGGACGACTTCATCCCAAAGACTTCGTGAGGCTGCTAGGGGTTACACATAGAGGCCTGAGCTTGGCAGACATGCACTTTGGGAAATACACTGTGGCATCTGCAGGAGGGACAACAGACTTAGGGTTTCTGGGGAGAGTTGGTGGGTGAGGAATCCGAGCCTCCTAGGTACAGGAATCATGACTTGTTTACTGCTCACCCAGGGCCTTGCACAGTGCCTGACATGCAGTAGGTGCCCAGTATTTATTAAATCTGGGAAAAGTTGTTAAACGAATCCAGGCAGGGAATGCCAAGGGTGGTGGCAGTGAGAATAGAAGATAGGGATCCTCTTAGAAAGACATTTAGGAGGGACGTGGGTGAAAATTTTTAATCTGAAATCCAAGGACCGAAGAAACTTCATTTTTTAGTGAAGCGCAAAAACTAGAAGGTAGCTTTGAAAAGGCGTTTGACTTCAGGAACCAATTGGCCAAAGGAATGTTTCTAGACCTTTCAAAACTTTAATCTGTGCTTTGTGAATTACACAGTTTGGTTCTATTCAATAGTTCCCTTTTTCCCTCAAATGCCACCTGTGAAATAAGTTAAACACCATACTGTTTTAATGTAAAAATATTTCCTCAAATCCACTGTATAAATTAATTACTCTTTGGGGAATAGGATAATCTAATTTCCCTTCTACAATGTGCTCCATTCATATGCTCTCCATTGCTGTAGAGGTAGGTTATGAATCAACTGTTTCTGAAGGATTATGAGCTATAATAAATGTCAATATGAGCTCTGATTGATTTCCTGCAGCCTCACTAGTTGTGACTTCATTTAGTAACTTAATACTAATTGTGTCGCTTTGATTACTTTGATTTTAGCTGTTTCCCCAGCACCTACTGGAGTGTCTAGGACAAGCAAGGATTCTAATGAATGTCTGTTGAATGAAGGGCTTTTAATCTTTTTAAAATGTTCCATAGAGGATTTTAGAGAAGTCGGAGTGAATGCCTGCAGTTCAGATGGGTATTGACTGAAGAGGCGAAACCATAATTTCAATTCTTGAGAAAGTAGCGCAGAACTTCTCTAGCTCACTACTGTATCGCAGTACCTCAGTGCACAGTAGACAGTCAGTGAATATTTGCTGACTGACCCTGTATTGTAGTGTCTGATGGTGAGCCACAGCCCTTAGTTCAAGTATATGCCTTAGAGAGTAATGCATCCCTTCATGTATGCATTCAACATTTATTAAGCCCCTATTGTGTGTCAATGCAATGGCAAACATTTATGATAGGCTCAAGTTTTGAACCTTGCAACAACCCTGGTAGATATTATTGTCATCCCCTTTTGCTGACAAGCAAAATGAGGCTTGGAAACACTAAACTATTTTTCATATAATTAAAAGGTATGCTGACTCCCTCATCTAGATCCTCATGATACCTAACACTAAGTTTTGGAAACACTAAACCAAGATCATATAATTAAAAAGGTACCATCCATCCAATTAAAAAGGATCCATCCTCACCTGGATCCTCATGGTACCAATAACTGGGTCCTGAATCTCCTTTCACTAACTAAGTCAGCAGCGATGGCTATGAAGGTGGGCATTAGGATGTCAAAGGGACTGTCACACATAGGTTTGCATCTCTGGCATCATGCTATGTGACCCTGAGCAGTCCGTTTGTCTGTCTGAGCCTCAGTTTGTAGTGCCCAGGTTAGAGGTGATACAAGACCTCTAAACATGAGGTCTTATATCTCATACATGACCGTGATCATCTCTTCACAGGAGGAGCTTCAAAGTCACATTTCCACAGGAATTGATATGGAAAGGCATGAACAGGTATAGCCATTTTTGTAATCTACCATAGCGATTGCCTGAAACTGTTACAATCTAGTCCATTTCTCTAGATATCCTGGAATATGTTCTGACCAAGCAGGACTGGCAGAAGCTGCATACCTGGACCACAGCATTATAGTCTTCTGTGGAATTACCTTTATGCTTGGGGCTTTAGCGATGCATCAGCCGTATATAGAGGAAGTTATAGGAAACCGAACTCATGCATCTCACTATCGTATTTACTACCAGCTTGTTGCTGAGGGCATTGTTCATTTTACTGCACCATGGGAGAGATTACTCTCTTGTCTCAGCACTAGGCAAACCTAGACTTCTCTAAAGCTGGGCTTGTTTGGTTTTTTCAATTTTATGGATTTGTAACTTAGGAAGCCAATGGATTTCTCTCTTCAAGTTGTCTGCTGGAAAGCTTAAGGCTGAATATGTGATCTACCACCAGCAAATACAAAGACCATGTGACATGTATTTTGGCACTGATTTCACTTTTAGCTTCATATTATTATTCCTTTAAACAGATCTCATCTGTACATACTTTAAGTTTTATTTTGTTTTAGTGATGAGCAAAAACTAGAAGGTAGCTTTGAATTGCATACTTTGTAAGTTGCCTAAAATCCTGTTTGAATACAGTAGGTGATAAATAAAATCACTAAAATGAATGAACAAGAAGAGTACCTTCATATACCCAGAAATGCACTGGAAATCGGGACATTTTGTTTCTTCGTCTTTAATAAGTTGTGTTTGAAGTCCTACATTGAGCCAAAATTCATACCTGGAAACTGAATTCTAGAAAGATTATTTTGGAAAGCCTGTAGTTACGTGTATTACCACTAGATGACCTTCCCTCATTATTGTCTCTAAAGTGGAGCTGCTAGTTATATGGACTTTCCAGAGGACTGTAGGAAATTTATGAATAATCCCTCTAAAGCAACAACGACAACAACAACAAAAAAGTCTACTTTATATGGTGTTGAGTGTACAAATATTTGGCAAAGGAATGAAAAAAGTTAGAAAGTTGTCTGTCTGTGGGCTAGGCTCTGCCTGCAAGATACTTACAATCTAGGTCAGAGGTTCCTAAATCCTTCTCAATGCCGTTTGCACTGGCCCTGAGGAAAGTGTGAAAATGAAGACTATTGTAGAGTCTTACATGAAGCTAAATTTGTTCATTTATATCACTTCTCTTTTATTATGAGATTATGTCCTCTGCAGTTTTTTGGTATTAAAATGTCTTTTATGAAAGGATAGTAAGAGTTAGATAGTAGTCTTTTTTGTGGAAAAAAAAAAAAATTGTTCTCACTTGACAATAAAAAGTGGACAAATCCATGGAGCCCTCAAAATTCTTTTTGGAAATTTTGTTCTATAAAATCCAATATTCTGAAAACCTGTGGTTGAATAAGAGAAAAATATTTAGTATAATCTTTCTCAATACATTTGCATGCATCAGGACCTTAACAGAAAATACTACCTGTTAGCATTTGCAGTTGAGCTCCTATTAAAAACCATGTTTGTTTGTTTGTTTTTAAAGATGTTTAGGAAAACAGTTTAAGGAACATTCTCCTTCCTCCCCTCTCACTGGGAATTCTGAATCTACTCTTTGAGCAAGTCAAAATACTTGGACCTCAGCTCAGGCCCCTCTACACGTCACCTCCAGAAAGCTACATTCTGCTACTATGTTCTTAGCTTTTATGAAAGATGAAACAGCCAATTAAAAATCTACTTCTGCCTTCATTTTGTTTTTTGTTAGGACAGTCATGTACATAGTACATACTATGAAATTATGTCAGTTTGATTGACAACCATTTGATTTTACTAAAACTCTGCCTCCTGAATTCAAGTGATTCTCCTGCCTCAGTGTTAAGGACACTTTCTCTTATATCACACAGTAGACGTTAAGGAAATTTTAGTATCCTTTCTAATTTCCTTTGAATTTATCTTTTCTCCCCCTTTCAGATAAAAAGATAACATGTTACCTTTTTTGCCTTGGCTACCAGTGGTCTCAAAGTCAGGTGTTGTACTCAGCCAGAACAGCTTTGTTATACCCTTAAGCTTGATATCTTTTCTGTTTCCTGGTTTCTTCCATTTTTATCAACCTTATAATGTCTTTTATTCAGAGCTCCCAAAAGCCTATATTGGAGTGATATACAATTACTTTTTAAATAAATAGAATGTTTTATATAATAAATGGTATTTTTGGAAAGTACTGGATTATGCAGTATGAACTGTAAATGTCTCCAGAGTATATTACATGATTGTCCTAACAAAAAAAAAAAAAACCTTTAGTACTTTATTAAGTATTTCTCATATTCAAAATTATCTCACCTGTGTGCTGAACTAGACTGTAATTCCTTTTGTGGAAGGAAATTTTGTTTTGTATGTTGTTTTAAATCTCTTGCAGTTTCTCTCGATCAGTGCCAGGACATCAGACATGCTCAATGAATACTTGCTGATTGACTAATCCACTGATCTGTGTGTTCTGGGGGAGTTAGAAAAGCTTTCCTAGAGGAGATGCAAAGAGATGGCCAGAAGACAGGCTGTTTGCCACTCTAATCCTTGGCTTCTCACATGTTAAACATGATGGCTAAGGTCTCTAACTTTCTGGGGCTTGACAGTTGTAAAATACGAGGAGGATAGGAGACTGTGAGGGGGTGAAAGCCAGTTTTCAGATTCACAGAGGCTGGAAATAAATTTGGTATATGGGGAAGCTTTGGAGATGGAGAAATGCTTTCGAAACTGTGAAGTACATACTATGAAATTATGTCTCTTTGGTTTACAACCATTTGGCGTTACTAAAACTTTCACTTGATGCCCTAATTCAGCTCTAAGGGGTCTGTCTTGGCATTTATGAAAGCCATTGTGGACTGGTGCAACCTTTATTTATTTATTTTATTTTATTTTATTTTATTTTTGAGACGGAGTCTTGCCCTGTTGCCCAGGCTGGAGTGCAGTGGCATGATCTCGGCTCACTGCAACCTCCACCTCCTGAGTTCACGTTATTCTTCTGCCTCAGCCTCCCGAGTAGCTGGGATTACTGGCGCCCACCATGCCTGGCTAATTTTTCGTGTGCGGTTTTAGTAGAGGTGGGATTTCACCATGTTGGCCAGGCTGGGCTCAAACTCCTGTCCTCAGATGATCCGATGGAGGGAGGCTGCTACTCTCTACCATTTCCTGTGTGCCTCCACTGTGGCCTCAACCCTGGCAGTTAAAGCCACTGCTCCCTTCCCCTACCTGGCATGTGTGAGCCCTTCTCACTGGATTTTATACCCTTGTGTCTGTGTACATTATCGATCTATATAGTATATATATACATTATATCTATCTATATAGTATATATATTCATTATATATATAATGAATATATATACACACAATTGATAAATTGAATATATATATAAACTCTGCACTGGTGCATCTTGTAAGCGGCAGTGTAGACTCCAGGTGGTTATCTTGGCAGTGGGGTAGCTAGCACCAACATCTGGCTGAGTGCCCTTCTTAACAGGTGACTCGAGGTTTGCTAATTTATAGCAAGGATGATGCTCATTATGATGTCAACCTGTTTGATAAGTGTCATGTCATTTGGATTCTGCCATTGATTTCTTTTGACTTTATTTTTTTAATGGTTAAATTATATAAACTTTGTATAATGTAATCCATAAACATGCTTTGTGACTTTGTGACTTTCTTTTTTGGTGGTGACAGGATTTCGCCATGTTGCCCAGGCTGGTCTCAAACTCCTGAGCTCAGGCAATCCACCTGCCTCAGCCTCCCAAAGTGCTAGGATTATAGGCGTAAGCCACCACGCCCAGCCTATAGTATACTCTTAAGTGTACTCTTCTTAAGTGGCCTACGACGAGCAGGTAAACAGCCATTCGATAGACTAAATAATAAATAGAAAATACTTGTTTAGGTTATATTGTGATAATATATGATAGTAAATAATGAACACTGTTTTAATGATATTTGGTGTTATCTTTGCATACATTAATTTGACTTGGGGGACTCTGGACTGCATTAACTTTTTTTTTTTTTTTTTGAGACGGAGTCTTGCTGTGTCGCCCAGGCTGGAGTGTAGTGGCACAATCTCGGCTCACTGCAAGCTCTGCCTCCCGGGTTCAAGTGATTCTCCTGCCTCAGCCTCCCGAGTAGCTGGGACTACAGGCACCAGCTATCACACCCGGCTAATTTTTTGTATTTTTAGTAGAGATGGGGTTTCTACGTGTTAGCCAGGATAGTCTCGATCTCCTGACCTCGTGATCCACCCACCTCAGCCTCCCAAAGTGCTGGGATTACAGGCGTGAGTGCATTAACTTTTTAATCAAACTAGCAGTAATTATGTTTTCAGTTTAAGATAAGTTGCCTTTATAAATTTGGGGATAAATTGGATTTAGGTAAGGCAGTGTTATTACTTTACTTCTTTTGTATTCTCCATAACAGCTGGCTCTTCATGGTTGTACAGTAGCTATTGTTAACTTGCTTGAGGCCAGCTGTGTGTGAGCATTACCGAGAGCCAGAATGTCCTCCTGAGAAGGGGCTCCTCACGCCTGTTCTCATGATCATCTGCGTAGCAGAAGCCTATGGAGTTCCGATGAGAAAGGGAACTGGAAATCCCTTTGAGTAAACAAGTCCCCAGAAGAGGGAGAGCATAGGTGTGAAAAATAATAATTCTACCATCTAAATTCCATTTCTCAGCCTTAGTTAACACAGGTCAGAAGATCTGTCATTTGATTAAAGTCACTTCCCTGGGACTGAGAAAAGATTGCTACTGTACTCTTGAAGGGTGATTCTACTCCACTCTGTAGTAAATGCCTCCACATGGTAGATCCCCTCAAATTGGGTCATGTATCTCTCCTCTGCCCTCAACCCTTGGGTTTTATTTCCCATTTATAGCTTTCAAAATATTGGAGACACCATGGTTTGGAAGGTAAAACAATAGCAATGAGAGACACCTGTTTATAAGTAGAGCAATTAAAAACCTAGCTGGTGACCAAACCTGCCCAACTCTATGTATATTAGTTTTCTATCACTATATAACAAATTACCACAAATTTAGTGGCTTAAAACACATAAACGGTGGGGTTTTTTTTTTGAGGAGGGTGATGCTCAGCATCGAATGACGAATTTGTCATTCACCTAGCATTTATTAAGCAACCACAGGATGCAAATTACACTGTGACTAATTGGAGATATTAAAAAATCACATAATAATATCCTGCTCTTAAGAAATTTGTGCTTTCCCAAGAGAGAGTTTTCAAAAAAGAATACATGTAATTTGTACACAGCAGGCAGTAAGAAGTATAGATGTCATGCTAGGATAGTTCCAAGGAGAGGAAAATTATTTCAGGGAAATGGGCATGGTGACCTGCGAGCTGGACTTGAAACGCTAGAGAGATATGGAGAGATGTAGGCTTTGTCTAGACTATAAAGTAAGAAGTGACATTGGGAAAGAAGTTAAATCCTTAAATGGCAGACTCTAAGGCGGTTAGGCTCCAGAGTCTAAGCTTTTCTTTTTCCAGATTTATTGACATATAATTGACAAATGATAATTGTATATATTTAAGGTATCAAATGTGATGTTTTGATATATATATACATTGTAAAATGATTACCACAATTCAGCTAATTAACATATCCATCACCTCACATCTTTGTGTGGGTGTGTGTGGTGAGAAAATGTAAGATCTACTCAATTTCAAGCATACAATACAGTATCATTAACTATAGTCACCATGTTGTACATTAGATCTTCAGAAATTATTTATCTTGTGTAACTGAAACTTTGTACCCTTTGACTGACACCTCCACATCTCTCCAACATGAAGTTCCACCACCAAGGCCCTGGTAACCACCATTCTACTCTCTGCTTTCATGAATTCAACTTTTTTTACATTCCATCTATAAGTGAGATCATGCAGTATTTGTCTTTGTGTATCTGACTCATTTCACTTAGCATAATGTACTCCAGGTTCATTCATGTTATTGCAAATGGCAGGATTTTCTTCTTTTTTAAAGCTGAATAATATTCCATTATATACATATATATGTGTGTGTGTATATATCTACTTATATACACATATGTGTGTGTTATATATATACACACACACACACCCCATATTCTCTTTATCCATTCATCCATCAATGGACACTTAAGTTATTTCCATATCTTGGCTATTGTGAATAATGCTGAAATGAACATGGGAGTGCAGATGACTCTTCAAGGTAATGATTTCATTTCCTTTGGATATATACTCAGAAGAGGGATAGCTGGATTATAAGGTCATTCTATTTTTAATGCTATGAAGAGCCTGTATACTGTTTTCCTTAATGACCATACCAGTTTGCATTTCCATCAACAATGTACAAAGGTTTCCTTTTCCCCACATTCTCACCAACACTTAATCTTTTGTCTTTTGGCAGTAGTTATTCTAACAAGTGTGAGGTGATGTTGGATTCTGGTTTTGATTTACATTTCCTTGGTGATTAGTGATATTGAGCATCTTTTAATGTACCTGTTGGTCATTTGTATGCCTTACTTTGAGAAATGTCTATTCTGTTATTTGATTTTTTTGCTACTGAGTCAAGCCCCTTATATATTTTGGATATTATATTCCTTATCAGGATATATGTTTTGCAAATATTAGCTTCTATTCCATAGGTTGCCTTTCCATTTTGTTGATTGTTTCATTTGCTGTGCAGAAGATTTTTAGTCTGATGCAATCTCACTTGTCTGTTTTTGCTTTTGTTGCCTGTGCAACAAAAAAATATTATTGCCTGGACCAGTGTCAAAAAACTTTTTTCCTCTTTTCTCCTGGTAGTTTTACAGTTTCAGATCTTACACAATTCAGTCTTTAATCCATTTGCATTGATTTTTGTGTAGAGATAAGGGTTTGATTCCACTCTTCTGCATGTGGACATCCAGTTTTCCCAGCACCATCTGAGAGACTATTCTTTCTCCATTGTGTGTTCTTGGCACCCTGGTTGAAGATCATCAGTTGACTGTAAACGTGTGGGTTTATTTCTGGGCTATTCCGTTCCATTGGTCTATAAGTCTGTTTCTTATGTTCATACCATACTGTTTTGATTACTGTAGCATTATAATATTTTGAAACCAGAAAGTGTGATACTTTCAGCTTTGTTCTTGCTCAGGATTGCTTTGGCTATACAGGATTTTTTGTGGTTTTATTTGAATTTTAGGATTGTTTTTCAGTTTCTGTGAAAAATGCCTTTGTAATTTTAATAAGGATTGCATTGACTCTGTAGATCACTTTTGGTAGTATGGACATCTTTAATTCTTCCAATCCATGAATGTAGATCTTTCTATTTATTTGTCTTCTTCACTGTCTTTCTTCAATGTTTTATAGTTTTCAGTGTACAGATCTTTTACCTCCTTAGTTAAGTTTATTCCTAAGTATTTCATTTTTGTAAATGAGATTGTTTTCTTCATTTCTTTTTGGATAGTTCATTGTTAATGTATAGAAGTGCAACTGGTTTTTGTATGCTGATGTTGTATCCTGCAACTTTATTGAATTTGTTTATTAGTTTTAACAGGTTTTTTTGTTAGGGTCTAGGATTTTCTATGTATAAGATCATGTCATCTGCAAACAGAGACAGTTTGATTTTTTTCCTTTCGAATTTGGATGCCTTTTATTTCTTTTTCTTGCTTACTTGCTCCAGCTAGTAGTTCAGTATTATGTTGAATAGAAGTGGCAAGAGTGGACATCCTTGTCTTGTTCTTGATCTTAGAGAAAAAGCTTTCAATTTGTCACTATTGAGTATGGCTTTAGCTGTGGGCTTGCCATATATAGCCATATTATGTTGCGGTATATTTCTTCTATACCTGATTTGTTAGTTTTTATCATGAAGGATGTTGAATTTTGTCAAATGCTTTTTTCTACATCAGTTGAGAGGATTATATAACTAACTTTAGTCCTTCATTCTGTTAATGTGGTATATCACGTCTTGATTTGCACATGTCAAACCTTCCTTGCATCCCAAGGATAAGTACCACTTGATTGTAGTACATGTTCCTTTTGATGTGGTTTTGAATTTAGTATACTAGTATTTTGTTGAGGATTTTTGCATCTGTATCTATCAAGAATATCGATGCTGGCCTTATAAAAAGAGTTTGGAAATGCTCTCTCCCTTTCAGTTTTTTTGAAGGGTCTGGGAAACTTTGGCATTAATCCTTCTTTAAAGGTTTGGTAGAATTCACTGGTGAAGCCATCCAATCTTGACTTCTCATTGTTGAGAGGAATTACTGATTCTATCTCTTTACTTATCATTGGTCTGTTCAGATTTGCTATTTCTTTATGATTTAGTCTTAGTAGGTGGTATATGTTTCAGAATTTATCCTTCCAAGTTATTCACCTTTTTGGCATATAATTATTTATAGTAGTCTCTTAGGATCCTTTTTGTTTCTGTCATATCAGTTATAATCTCTCCGCTTTCACTTCTCATTGTTTGAGCCTTTGACTCTTTTCTTATAGTCTAGCTAAAGGTTTGTCAATTTTGTTTGTCTTTTCAGAAACCCAACTCTTAGTTTCATTGATCTTTCTGTTGTTTTTCTAGTTTTATTTCATTTATTTCTGCTATAATCTTTATTACTTTCTTCCTTCTGTGAATTTTGGGCTTTGTTTTTTTTTTCCTAGTTCTTTGAGGAGCTAAAGTTTCTAAAGTTACGTTGTTTATTTGAGATCCTTGTTTTTTCACAGTCACTATAAACTTTCCTCTTAGAACTGCTTTTGCTGCGTCTCTTATAAGTTTTGATATGTTGTGTTTCCATTTTTGTTTGTATTAATATGTATTTTTATTTTCCCTTTCGATTTCTTCCTTGATGGTTGTTCAAGAGTGGATTTAGAGGTGCATTGTTTAATTTCCACATATTTGTGAATTTTTCAATTTTCTTCTGCAATTTCTAGTTTCATACTATTTTGATCAGAAAGATACTTGATATAATTACACTCTTCTTAAATTTGTTAAGACTTGTTTTGGGCATAATATATGTTCTATCCTGGAAAAGATTCTATGTGCTCTTGAGAAGAACATGCATTCTGCTGCTGTTGGTAGAATGTTCTGCACATGTCTGTTGGGTCCATTTGGTCTATGTGTTGTTCAAGTCCACTGTTCCTTATGGATTTTCTGTCTGGATGATCTGTTTACTGTTAGTTAGACTGGGGTACTAAAGGCCCCTATTATTATTGTAATGCTGTCTATTTTTACCTTCAGTTCTGTCAATATTGGGTGCTCCAATGTTGGGTGTGTATGTATTTATAATTATTATATTCTCTTGATGATTCTCTTGATGAATTGATTCCTTTATCATCATATAATGATTTTCTTTGTCTCTTTTGACTGTTCCTGACTTAAAGTCTATTTTAAGTATAGTCACCTCTACTCTTTTTTGGTTACCATTCACGTGGATTTTTTTTTTCACTTTCTTTTTTTTTTTTTTTTTTTTTTTGAGACAATGTCTCACTTTGTCACCCAGGCTGAAGTGTAGTGGCATGATCTCGGCTCACTGCAGCCTCCACTTGAATCAGTTCAAGTGATTCTCCTGCCTCAGCCTCCTAAGTAGCTGGGATTACAGGCGTCTACCACCATGCCCAGCTAATTTTTGTATTTTTAGTAGAGACAGGGTTTTGCCACATTGGCCAGGCTGGTCTCAAACTCCTGACCTCAGATTATCTGCCCACCTTGGCCTCCCAAAGTGCTGGAATTATAGACATGAGCCACCATGCCCAGCCTTGACTTTTTTCACTTTCAACCAGTGTTTATCCTTAAAGCTAAAATGAATCTCTGATAGGCAATGTATAGTTGATCTTGTTTTTTAATCCATTCAGCCATTCAATGTCTTTTGATTAGATAATTTAATCTATTTACTTTTAAAATAATTATTGATAGTTAAGAACTTACTGTTAATTGTTTCTGTTTTTTAGTTCCTTTTTTCCTTTCTTCCTCTCTAGATGTCCTCATTTGCAATTTGACAATTTTTTGAGGTAGTAGGCTTTGATTCCTTTCTCTTCGTACTTTGTGTGTCTACTAGTTTTTATCTTCATGATTTCCATGAGGCTTACATAAAACATCTTATATCTATAATAGTCTATTTTAAGCCGATAACAAGCTTTGATTGAATTTAAAAATCTACATTTTTAACTTCTGTTTTCCATATTTTATGTTATTGATATTACAATTTATAACTTTTATGTTGTATCTCTATTAACAAATTATTGTAGCCATAGTTATTTTTACTATTTTGTCTTTTCACTTTATACCAGAATTAAAAGTAATTTATATGCCACCATTACAATATTGGGTTATTCTGATTTTTGACTATATTCTTACCATTGTTAGTGAGTTTTATACTTTAAAAGTTTTCATATTGCTAATTCGTGTCTTTTTGTTTCAACTTGGAGAACTCTGTTTGGTATTTCTTGTAAGGAAGACCTAATTATAATGAACTTTTGTTTGGGAAAATCTCTTTGTCATTGTAATTTCTGAAGGACAATTTTAGCAGATATAGTATTCTTGGTTGACAGGGTTGGTTGTTTGTTCCTTTCGGCACTCTGAATATATCCTCACTGTCTCCTCACCTGCAAGGTTTCTGCCAAGAAATCCACTTATAATCTCATGGAGTTTCCTTTGTCTATGAAGAGTCACTTTTCTCTTGTTGCATTGAAAATTCTCTCTTTGTATTTGACTTTTGACAATTTGGTTATAATGTGTCTCAGTGAAGATCTCTTAAGGTTCAGTCTGTTCGGGGTTACTTGGGCATCATGGACCTGGATGCTGAATATCCTTCCCAGAATTGTAAAGTTTCTTGTCATTATTTCTCTAAACAAGTTTTCTGCCTCTTTCTCTTTCTCTGCTCCTTCTTTGACTCTCATAATGCATATATTGGTTCACTTGATGGTGTCCCATAAGTCCTGTAGGCTTTCTTTACACTTGTTTATTCTTTTTGTGTGTGTGTGTGCCTCTTAACTAGATAATTTCAAATGACTTGTATCTGAGCTTACCAATTCTTTCTTCTGCGTGATTGAGTCTGTTGTTGAAGCACTCTATTGATTTTTTTCAGTTCAGTCGTTGTATTACTTAGTGCCAGGATTTTTTATAGTTTGTATTTCTTTATCAAACTTCTAATTTTATGCATGTATTATTTTTCTGATTTCATTTAGTTATCTAATTCTTTTGTAGCTCATTAACTTTAAGATGATTATTTTGAATTCTTTGTCAAGCAGTTCATGGACCTCCATTTCTTTAGGGTTGGTTACTGATGTTCTATTAGTTTATTTTGGCGGTGTCATTTTTGCCTGATTCTTCATAATTCATGTAGCCTTGGATTGAAGGGGCAGATACCTCTTCTAGTCTTTTCCATCTGGTTCTGGCAGATAAAGACTTTCTCTTGGCTGATGGGACTATCTCTGGGATCATATTCTACTATCTTGCTGATGTCACACCCCTCAATATAAATGTTTTATGTCACAATTTCTATAGGTCAGAAGTCTGGGCACAGCATGACTAGGTTTTCTGTTCACGGTCTCACTGGGCTGAAATCAAGGCATTTACCAGGGCACCACCCTCATCTAGAGCTTGGAATATTTTTCTAAGCTCACTGGTTGTTGCCAGAATTCATTTCCTTGCATCTGGAAGACTGAAGTAGCCATTTCCTTGTTGGCCCTCAGCTGAGGGATGCTTTGAGAGTCCTAAAGGCCACCCACATTCCTTGTCACATAGCTCCCTTTGTCTTCAATCAGAAACAGCATGCTAAATCCTTCTCATACTTCAAACCTGTGACCAGAAAGAGAAAACTATCTGCTTTTAATCATGTGATTAGGTCAGGCCACTCTGATAATTTTTCTGAAGGTCAACTGTGCCATTTAACATAACCTAATTGTGGGAGCAAACTCCAACACATTCACAGTCGTGGGATTATCCAGGGTATGCAGTACAGCAGAAGCAGGAAATCTGGGGATCATCTTAGAATTCTGCCTACCACACTATTCTGTGTTTCCTTCATGAAGCTGTTGACATTCGTTAAAGGAAGCTGCTTATCACAACCAACAAGCATTATGCCTAGTCAGTGCTAGGCCCTATGGAAGATATAAAATGCACATAGGAATAAGCCCATCTCTGACCCTTTACAGTTTTCAAAGCACTTTTATAGCTGTGATCTCATTTTCTCTTTTAAAAACCAAAAAACATGCTCATCATCACTGGCCATCAGAGAAATGCAAATCAAAACCACTATGAGATATCATCTCACACCAGTTAGAATGGCAATCATTAAAAAGTCAGGAAACAACAGGTGCTGGAGAGGATGTGGAGAAATAGGAACACTTTTACACTGTTGGTGGGACTGTAAACTAGTTCAACCATTGTGGAAGTCAGTGTGGTGATTCCTCAGGGATCTAGAACTAGAAATACCATTTGACCCAGCCATCCCATTACTCGGTATATACCCAAAGGACTATAAATCATGCTGCTATAAAGACACATGCACACGTATGTTTATTGCAGCACTATTCACAATAGCAAAGACTTGGAACCAACCCAAATGTCCAACAATGATAGACTGGATTAAGAAAATGTGGCACATATACACCATGGAATACTATGCAGCCGTAAAAAATGATGAGTTCATGTCCTTTGTAGGGACATGGATGAAATTGGAAACCATCATTCTCAGTAAACTATCGCAAGAACAAAAAACCAAACACCGCATATTCTCACTCATAGGTGGGAATTGAACAATGAGATTACATGGACACAGGAAGGGGAATATCACACTCTGGGGACTGTGGTGGGGTCGGGGGAGAGGGGAGGGATAGCATTGGGAGATATACCTAAGGCTAGATGACGAGTTAGTGGGTGCAGCGCACCAGCATGGCACATGTATACATATGTAACTAACCTGCACAATGTGCACATGTACCCTAAAACTTAGAGTATAATAAAAAAAAAAAATTAAAAAAAAAAAAGAAAAAAAAAAAAGAAAAACCAAAAAACAGTTTTACCATGTTTTCATTTTATAGGTAAAGAAAATGGCAGATAGAGAGGTTAAAACATTAACTTGAGGTAACACACCCAGTGGCTTGGAAGCTGGGACTTTTGACTCAAGAATGAGATCCTCTACCTCTAAAACCAGTACTCTCCCTGTGGCATAGTTTCATTGTCAAGAATCTCATTGTCAAGAATCTTGTCATGGCCGGGCGCGGTGGCTCACGCCTGTAATCCCAGCACTTTGGGAGGCCGAGGTGGGCGGATCACGAGGTCAGGAGATCGAGACCATCCTGGCTAACATGGTGAAACCCCGTCTCTACTAAAAATACAAAAAATTAGCCGGGCGTGGTAGCGGGCGCCTGTAGTCCCAGCTACTCGGGAGGCTGAGGCAGGAGAATGGCGTGAACCCGGGAGGCGGAGCTTGCAGTGAGCCGAGATCGCGCCACTGCACTCCAGCCTGGGCGACAGAGCGAGACTCCGTCTCAAAAAAAAAAAAAAAAAGAATCTTGTCATTGGGAAAAGTGAGACACAGCTGAAGATTAGGAGGAAATATCATACTGGTGCTTTTATTTATTTTTTTTAATTTTTAATTTTTTTTAATTTATTTATTTATTTTTCTGAGACAGGGTCTCACTCCTGTCACCCAGAATGGAGTACAGTGATGCAGTCTCTGCTTACCACAGCCTCGACCTCCTAAGCTCAGGTGATCCTCCTGCCTCAGCCTCCCTAGTAGCTGGAACTACAGGCATGTGCCACCACACCCGGCTAATTTTTTTGTATTTTTTGTATTTTTAGTAGACATGGGTTTCACCACGTTACCCAGGCTGGTCTCGAATTCCTGGGCTCAAACAATCCACCCACCTTGGCCTTCCAAAGTGCTAGGATTATAGGCGTGAGCCACCACACCTGGCCAGTGATGCTTTTAAATGAGGCTTATGTTCAAGGGCAGTATGGGGCTGGGGTAGCTTGGAATACATGTGGGGGAGATAGGTATCAGTTATGCAGAGTGGGAGAAAAAGAGTGTTGCAGTCAGGGGGCACAGTTTGAGCAAAGACAGGAACAAGCAATGTGTGTTGTGGGAGCATGGGGAGATCTGTCAAAGGGTTAATGACTGAGTGTTGACAATTTGGTCAGGGAGGTGGGTGAGTCATGGGAAGCCTTGTGAGAGAGACCCAGGAATTTGCTGTGGGATGTTAGACATTAGGGACCTTTTGTGCTTTCTTTTTTTGCTGGAGAGTGATTTAAAATAGCAGTTTTACAATGGAGAGTTGGAGATTCACATAGTCATGCATTCACTCAGCAATTTCAGGTCTGAATATATATCCGAGGTTCATTAATGCCTTATACAGTGAATTTAGTGGATTTTGACCAGCATGTAAATTATAGAATTAAATGGACTTGAATATATTAAAGGACATAGGATATAAGAGTAATAAGTCCTATTTCATAAAATAGTTCCAATTTGTGTGTGTTTGTGTGTGTGCATACATATTTTGTGTTTTGTGTAGTCTGGTGTGATATAAATTATTTATTTATTTATTTTTTTATTTATTGGAGACAGAGTCTCACTGTCATTCAGGCTGGAGTGCAGGAGCACAATAATGGCTCACTGCATCCTTGCCCTCCTGGGTTCAAGGGATCCTCCCACTTCAGCCTTCCAAGTAGCTGGAAACACAGTCATGCATCACCATGCCCAGCTAACTTTTTAACTTTTTTTGGTAGAGATGGGGCCCCATGTGTCACCCTGTTGGGTCATGATCTCCTGGCCTCAAGCAATTCTCCGGCCTCAGCCTCCCAAAGTGCTGATATTACAGGCATGAGCCACTACACTTGGCCTAAAATGTATTTCTTACTGTTGGTTTCAGTAAAAAGTTTGAAAAATACTACCCAGAAAATCCCTTGTACATGTGTGCACAGAGACGAGTACAATAATGTTGCTAGCAGCACTGTTTATTATCACCAATAATTGGAAACATTCTCAATCTCCATCCCCACGAGAATAGATAAATAAGTTGTGGCTATGCATGTAATGAAGTACAGAGTAACACTTTAAAAACAGGAAAACTAGAGCCACATGTGTCATCATGGACACAAATAAGAAATCAAATGTGAAAGAAAGATGGTTTCTGAATTATAAATGTACTATATCATTTACAGAAACTTTTTAAAAATGTAAAACAATACCATCAATCATTTCTAGATCTGTGCATATCAGTAGGAATATAAATATGCATGGAAATTATGAATGCCAAATTGAAGATAGTGGTTACGGCTGATGAAGGAGAGAGGGGAATGGAGTTGAGGGAAGGACGTTCAGTCATATCTGTTGGGTTAAGACAAATCTGGGTGATGGAAACCCAAGTGTTTGTGGTGTCATTCCCTATCTTTGTCTGAAGACTTGAAATATTCCGTAATACGTTTGTTCACAGCAGAATTTCAGAATGGCATGAGCCAGTGCTGGACGAAGACTGATTTGGCAGCTTGTAATAATGTAGTTTTGAGGCCGTGTGGACCTGGACTAGGTTGATAGGAATAGGCCATTCTCATTATGCAGCCATAAAAAGGAACATGATCATGTCCTTTGCAGGAACACGGATGGAGCTGGAAGCCATTATCCTCAGCAAACTAACGCAGGAACAGAAAACCAAATACTGCATGTTCTCACTTATAAGTGGGACCTGAATGATGAGAACACATGGACACATGGTGGGGAACAACTGGGGCCTGTCAGAACGGGTGGGTGGGGGGAGGGAGAGCATCAGGAAGAATAGCTAATGGATGCTGGGCTTAATACCTGGGTGATGGGATGATCTGTGCAGCAAACCACCATGGAACATGTTTACCTATGTAACAAACATGCACATCCTGCACATGCACCCTGAACTTAAGAGCTGAAGAAGGGACAGGCACGATGGCTCACGCCTGTAATCCCAGCACTTTGGGAGGCCAAGGCAGGCGGATCATGAGGTTAGGAGATCAAGACCATCCTGGCTAACACGGTGAAACCCTGTCTCTACTAAAAATACAAAAAAAAATTAGCCGGGCATGGTCGTGGGCACCTGTAGTCCCAGCTACTCAGGAGGCTGAGGCAGGAGAATGGCTTGAACCCGGGAGGCAGAGCTTGCAGTGAGCCAAGATCACGCCACTGCATTCCAGCCTGGGCGACAGAGCAAGACTCCATCTCAAAAAAAAAAAAAAAAAAAAAAAAAAAAAAAAGTTGAAGAAAAAAAAGAATAGTCCGTTCTCATATGACAGTATGTATGATAACAGTAATGACAATATCTTGTGTTGTGAAAGGGCTTTTCAAAATAGAAAAGCACTTCTATAGACTTCCTCTTACCTATTGTCACAAAATAGGCAAGGCAATTGTTTATTATGAACCTCAGAAAGCTGGAATTTGGAGAAAGTCAGTGACTGAAGGTAAGACAGTAGTGTGTGGTGGAGTTCGGAATTGCAATTGGCTGTCCATGGCTTTTCTAGCCTTTCAAGGCTGCCCTGTTGTGCCTACCTTTGGTCTAAGCTCAAGTGTCATTCTTTACATCTCCTTCTGTTTTCTGTTTATGCATGTCACAAACATATAACTATGTGATAAGATTTTGATCGCTCAGACAGCTTCACTTCTCACACAGCAAGAGCATTGCTATACCGATCCTCTTGGCTGACTCCCATCTGCAAGGTAGAGGAGCAGATCATCCCCTGGGCTTCCCTGTCACACATGTGACATGCTCCATGTGTGGCAGATGACACTGAAAGGGAGAGTTCAAGGACAAACACCTGGTGAATTCATGCTGGTGAAGCTCCAGGAGATGTCAGAGGGCAGCTGTTGGGAGTATGAGGCCCAGTGTAACCTTCTGCAAGAATGTTTGCAACCAGCCTATTTGTGGGAGAGATGTTCAGACTGCGGCCAGATTTTTTTTTAGAAAAAAAAAAAATCAATAAATCCAGATATGTTCCATATACCAAAAACTGAGAAACAAAAAAGTGGGTATATAACAAAAAGGCAGCAGGTAAATAGGTAAATGGGAATGGTATTGTTCAGAAGTGGTTTCATTACAGAAATAAAGGAAGAAAAGAAGAAAACAAATGTTTGTGGGCCTGATGGGTGACAGGCACCATGTCGTGTTTTCATGAACATTATTTCGTGTAATTTTCCCATCCCTATGAGGCAGATGTTAATGCCCCTCATTTTAAAGACGAGGAAAAGAGAGCTGGGGGATTAGCTTGTTGGCCCAAGGTCACTGGCTAGCATGTGATGTAGCCAGGATTTGAGCTACGGTTTTTCTCCATAGCTTGCAATGTTTCCTCCATATCACACAGCAGTAACATTGAAAGAGAAAAGTACACACATTTCTAAGCCAACATGTGGCCACCATGGGAAGAAGCAGAGAGGAAGTTTGGATCTTTTGGCAGGGAAACCATTTGAGGTTCTTGACAGTTGTTGAGGTGAATGCCCTGTTCCCCCATGTTCCACCAGCAGTGAAGCCCATGATGGGCAGGAGCTGCAGGACGCAGTGGCAGGGAGAAGGCTGTTGGCAGCCCCCAGAGCCATCTGAGCGTGTGCACAGCCACATGGCCCTGCCGCCCCAGGAATTGAGCTGTTACTTGTCTGTAGAGGTGCTAGGAGAAGCTGTTTGCCCGGCATGACAAGTTGGAATTCAGAACACATTTTCCCACAGAAACCATGCCCTCCTGGGTAGTTGGGTTCTGGTCTCCAGAAAAACAACAGAATTGTGTCACTGTTCTATACGTGGTGATCGGGTTCCCAGACCTGTCTATAAAAGTGAATACACTGTGGGCTGGATTCACTTTTATAGATAGGTCTGGGAACCCAATCACCATTTACAGAATGCATTTTGTGGGAAAACACGTTCATAGTTCAGCTTTCAAATGTTTGGAACGTAGCCTGCCTCTAGGTTGAGAACAGCATGCATTAGAATATTGAGCATCGAGGTGTTACAAGTCCTGAGTTTCAGTGCTGACTGAGAGGAGGGGTGAGGAGTAACATTTAGCAAGCAGCCACACGGACCCCATGCTGAGCTGACTGTCCTGCCTGCCCTCTCTCATCGCGTTCCAGCTTAGTTCTGTGAGGTCAGCAGGAGCATCTTTGTTTTAATGCAGAGCAGTTGGAATGTTGGAGAGATTCATTAACTTTTCCAAGGGTATGCACCTAGCGAAAATAGAGATTTGAACCTCAGGTTCTTTCCAGAGAGGGTCAGAGCCAAATCTAAATCAAGTGGAGAAGTGAGCAGAGGAAGTGAGCAGAGGTTTCTATCCTGTCCCCAGCCTTATCTCTTTGTCCATTGTGATAAAAAGAGCCTGTAGGCCGGGCGCGGTGGCTCACGCCTGTAATCCCAGCACTTTGGGAGGCCGAGGCGGGCGGATCACGAGGTCAGGAGATCGAGACCATCCCGGCTAAAACGGTGAAACCCCGTCTCTACTAAAAATACAAAAAATTAGCCGGGCGTAGTGGCGGGCGCCTGTAGTCCCAGCTACTTGGGAGGCTGAGGCAGGAGAATAGCGTGAACCCGGGAGGCGGAGCTTGCAGTGAGCCGAGATCCCGCCACTGCACTCCAGCCTGGGCGACAGAGAGAGACTCCGTCTCAAAAAAAAAAAAAAAAAAAAAAAAAAAAAAAAAAAAAAAAAAAAAAAAAAACCTGTAAGAAACCCTCATGGGTGACCTTTTAAAAGCACCCTAACTCGCTGGAGACAGTGTGACAAGGCAGGATGACAGTGCCCTCCTACCTGTTCCTGCTCTTCTGTCCTCGGTGTTTGGATGCAAATTCTTACTATCAGCTGGGGAATGGTGGCTCACACCTGTAATCCCAGCACTTTGGGAGGCCGAGGTGGGTGGATTACAAGAGCCCAGGAGTTTGAGACCAACCAACCTGGGCAACATGGCAAAACCCTGTCTCTATAGAAAAAAAATGCAAAAATTAGCCAGGCATGGTGGCATGTGCCTGTAGTCCCAGCTACTTGGGAGGCTGAGGTGGGAAGATTGCTTGAGCCTGGGAGGTCGAGACTGCAGTGAGCCATGATTGCGCCACTGCACTCCAGCCTGGACAACAACACAAGATCCTGACACCCCTTCCCACCCCCCCGGCAAAAAAAAAATCTTACTACCCAAATTAGTGACTGTTTGAAATCACTAAGAATGGGGGCTGATGAGAAAGAGGGAAGAGGGGAAAGGTGCCCAGGAACAGGAGGGACTTGAGAGGGTGGTGAGGTGGGGCAGCTGGACATGAGCTGCACAATGGTGCTGAATGCAGCTCAGCATGGGGGTTGCCTTTTCCTGCCCGGTCCCTCTCTCTGCCCCTTCTGCCTCACAGCCTAGGGATCCACTGGACTCTTATTTCCTTTCACTCCAGTCTGTTCCCAAGCCTGGATGAATCCTTTTTTTTTTTTTTCCTGAGATAAAGTGTCACTGTTGCCCAAGCTGGAGTGCAATGGCACGATCTCAGTTCACTGCAACCTCCAACTCCCGGGTTCAAACTATTCTCCTGCCTCAGCTTCCCCAGTAGCTGAGATTACAGGCATTTGCCACCACGACTGGCTAATTTTTGTATTTTTAGTAGAGACAGGGTTTCACCATGTTGGCTGGGCTGTTCTTGAACTCCTGACCTCATGATCCACCCACCTCGGCCTCCCCTCTTAGTAGCTGGGATTTCTGCCCTCTGTGAGCCAGCCTCTGCCTGAGCTCCAGAGTATCCAGCCCGACCCAGGTGTGCCCAAATGATCCAGGCTTCCAAAATCAAAGAGGCTCCCCACATTGCCTTAGGTGGAGACCTTAGGCCTCTTCCCTGGGGTCTCAGCTGCTTCCCAGGCTTCAGCAGCAGACATGGGAAAGCTGTGCTCCAGATCGCTGGTGCTCAGACCTCCATGTATCGAACAAGCATTAACCCATTTCCTACCCCATATCAGTATTGTGTGATGTGCATGAGGGGAAATAAGATACAGTCTTGGTCTGGAGGACTTCCTAGTCAAGAAAGAGAGATAGAAGTTAACAAAGTATATTTTATGCATGAGGGATATACAAGGAGCTCGGGAGCGGAAATAAGTGAGCAGCTGAGTCTCCTTTGGGAGGGAGGGATTGGGGAAGGCTTCTCTGAAGAGGTGACATCTGAGCTAGGTGTCAAAGAAGAAGGAAGCATTTACCAGCTATCTAGGGGGTCAGTCAATCCCAGTGGTGGGAACTAAGTGGTGATATGGTATAAACAGGAAAAGTTTGGAATAGAGAACAAAGATGAGCTGAGTTTGAAAAGTCAGCTAGTTTCTTACTAAACTAAATGTATGAGCTTCTCTCTTTAATCAGATTGGGATTGGAAGCTCTCTTCTATACAAGTAATGGGTGATTGCTGGAAAGGTACTATGAGTGGACAGGCCTGGAAGTCAGACACTGTGAATCCTAAAGATTTGTTTTAACAAGGTGATAAGCTTTGGCTGTGTCCCCATCCAAATCTCAACTTGAATTGTATCTCCCAGAATTCCCATGTGTTGTGGAGGGACCCGGCAGGAGGTAATTTAATGATGGGGGCTGGCCTTTTCCGTGCTGGTCTCATGATAGTTAATAAGTCTCATGAGATCTGATGGGTTTATTAGAGGTTTCCGCTTTTGCTTCTTCCTCATTTTTCTCTTGCCACCACCATGTAAGAAGTGCCTTTCGCCTCCTGCCATGATTCGGAGGCCTACCCAGCCATGTGGAACTGTAAGTCCAATTAAACCTCTTTTTGTTCCCAGTTTCAAATGTCTTTATCAGCAGCTTTAAAATGAACTAATACACAAGCCATATGTTCAGAACTTGGAAGCTCAGAGGGCCTAAAATTGCACATGTGTGTATGCAAGTCCAGGGGATGCAGATTGTATTTCCAAAGAGTCCTGTTAAGTGGAGAACATTCTCCCTTGAATTATTGAGCAGAAGACTCCCCCAACTCCATCACCCCAAGATCTGCTAGTTCAACGCCCTCCATTTAAAGACGGTAGCTACTGTTATACCCATTCTACAGATGAGGAAACCAAGACCCAAAGAAGCTAAGAAACTTGCCCAAGGTCTGCGAAAGTGACAGAAAGGGACTTGTGTCTGTGTTTTTGTTAACTATGCACATCGATTTGACTGAGAGACATAGCACAGTTTTTCGCTGGTGACCGTTTCAGCATCTGCTAACCATGAAAGTCAGGACATGCATCATCCATCCTACCTCACTGTTGCTTCTTTTCCAGCAAAAGTTCAGTTTTGTTTGTTTTGAATTTTTAAAATCACAACCAGAATGTCCTTGAGGTATTCCTTGTTTGTGCTTTTATCTTGTGAGTATTTGTTTCATCCTTTATTAAAAACATGTCTTTAGAGGAATCACTGTCTGTGGTGGTTGAGTGAAATGTTGGGGCGACTTCTATTTTGCTGATGGGTTTGAGGGGAGAGTGGCCTTCCACAAATGACACAGTGTGTGTCACCCTTCTGTGGGTAGGAACGCAGTCAGATTGTGACATTGTTGTGGTTTTCTCTCTTTCTTCTTCTTCTCCAAGTACAAACACAAGATAATTATCCAAAGGCCTTTTTTTTATGAAAGTCTTCCACCACATTCCAGAAGTGGCCATCTGTTTTTCTGATGCACTAAATGCATCAGTGCCTCATCTTCCAGAAGGTTCTGTGAAAGCTTATTGCTAAGAGTTTTGTATTTTATAAACTGAGTTGCCATTCAGATTGTCCATAGTATCAACTTAACACTGGCTCCATGGGGACAGAATAAGATATTAGTTCTATCTAGTTACTCCAGATTGAGTCACTTGTGGGAACTCTTTGAATTCTAAAGTTTCCTGGTGTGGACAGGGTCTAGGTTGATCCTAAAGACAAAAATCTTTAGGCTCAATTGGGCCAAATTGTTAATGATAGAACCACCTTCTGTTTGTTTCCCCTTCTACATGGTAGGGTTAGAATCCTGCGGGCCTCCTGGCTGGGGAGCGCAGCTCTGTTTTGGAGACAGCAGAAGCATGTAGCAGCAGAGGGAGGTGGAAGAGTGGCAATGGTTTGTCGGGCCCCTAGGTGACCCTGGTTCTCCTGGCTTGGAATGCTGTTGTTTAAGAGCAGCAGCCAAAGAGGGCGTGTGGGGAAGAAGGAAAGCAGCCAAGGAACATTGAAGCCACAAGCTTTAGGGAACAGGGCTGGGTGAGGCAAAGGGGAGCTCTTGCTAAACCAAAATATTTAACTAGATTTCACTTTTTTCTGTCAGTCCAAATTCTTTGTTTGAAAGTTTCACTTTGAAGTTGTTTCTTTTCTTATTGTTCCAAAAAATACTGTTGTTTTAATCTTGTTTCTGGGTGGGGCCATTGACCATTTAGATTATTTCTAAATTATAGCATTAAATGTCTCAAATTCTTGGGGACGTTTTCTGTCACAGGCCTTCCTTGGTGCTACCCGGAATCTCCTGTCTCAAGTAGGCAAGAATATGTGTAAGAACAGCCTGGCTGAAACTGACAATTGGACTCTTTAGCAATTGATATGTATTATACCTTGCAAATTTTCAGAGATTCAGAAAGTTGCTAAATAGGTACAGGCACGTGCACACACACACACCCACAGATATATGTGTGTATATATACCAAAATACACATGTGGTAACATATACATGCAGCTCTTCTAGACTTCTTTACAGAGTGTTTATGCCAGCTATTTCTATAGACAACATACATTATAAAAGGCATAATAACAGAGGTCATTTTAAGGATCATTAGACTTTTAAAGAAATAGCTTTTTACCAAAAATCGTGTATACAAAGAAAGCACTTTTAATACTTTGTTTGGAAGAACAGGAGGAGAAGACTCCTGGTCAAACCACCTAGTTCTGATGACTTAGTTTCTCCTGCATATGTCCCACCCCCAAGTATTGGATGACACTGACGAATTTTTAACAAGCTCGACGCCTTATGTGAGAAGTGTCTCTTCCCTCTTTGGCCTCCTAGGGTGGGAAAGCAGATCCCTTCTCGTCCCCAGGCGTGGCTTCCAAGATGCCAGGGCCCTGCGATGTGTGTCTCATCAGGGAACACCTCTGTGTCAGCCCCAAAGGAAGTGAGTTCAGACGCTCCCTGGAATTGCTTTTCATTTCTCCCTCAGATATTTAGTGAGCGCCAGACATTTAGTGGGCTCTTACTATGGTCCCAATCCTGTGCTGGGCCCTAGGATCACCCAGATGAATAAGTCATGGTTCAGGCCTTCAAGGTGCTCCCAGGCTTTCAGGGGAACAAGAAGTGTTCCTAGTGCAGGCTAAGCTGAGCAAAGAGGACCGGTCAAGAGATGGAAGCCAGGCTATCTTGGTGGGCAGAGCCCTGGGGGTTAGGAAAGGCTTCGCCGAGCCAGTTTTAAAGTTAGACCTTGAAAGACTGCTAAGAATTGGTCAGGAAGATGAGCAAGAAGACCCTTCCAGGCCAAGGTAGCAAGAGCAAGTACTAAGGGCAGAAGGTATCCAGCCCATGATACATTTGAAGAGTGCTAGTTTGACTAGAGTGGCGACATCATGACATTTTAAAAGTCAAACGGGACACATCCCTGAGGCCATGAGTTTGACCTTTTGACTATAGGCATTGATGGGTACTGAGACAAGGAAGGCCAGGAGGTATACGTGATATCAAGTATAAATATGCTAGAGGACTCATTGTAAAGGCCAGGAGTTGACTGAAGACTGGGGAGAAGGGTCCACCGTTTTGCAGACGTCATTTCTCCATTCCCTGCTACACTCTCTTTGTGCCCCACCCTGTGCTTTGGGCTGGAATCTTCCACAGTTCTTCCTGTTTCTCTTAGGTGTTTTTTGTTTGTTTGTTTTGTTTTTTTGTTTTGAGACAGGGTCTCACTCTGTCACCCAGTGTGTAGTGCGAGATCATAGCTCAATGCAGCCTCAATCTCCTGGGCTCAGGTGATCCTCCTGCCACAGCCTCCCTACTAGCTGGGACTACAGGCACATACCACCCCACCCAGCTAATTTTTGTATTTTTTGTAGAGACAGGGTTTCGCCCTGTTGCCCAGGCTGGTCTCGAACTCCTGGGCTCAAGCAACCCTCCCACCTCCACCTCCCAAAGTGCTGGGATTACAAGTTGAGCCACCGCATCTGACCGGAACTTATTTTTTAAAGATTGACAAAGGCATGTGTCACTTATGTTAGGAACACCCCAGCTTAAGTCCTGCCCACTTTATGACAACTTTTTCAACTAATCCGATTTGCTCCGACCTTTTTTCCCCCTCTGAACTCCACTTGCACTACTGTCAGTATTTAAAGGTAGGACCACTTGACAAACCTTAGTAAAACCATAAATGTTACTGGGTACAAGAATTTCATGTGGCTTAGTTCTGTCTCCGAAGCTAAATTGTAAATCTTTGAGACTATGTTTTATATTTCTTTGGAATCCAATCTGTTGTCTCTAGCATGGTGTAATGCTGGTTACACAGTATATACAAGATAAATATTTGATTGATTTGCTGTATTTTTTTTCCATCCAAGTAGAAATATGGATGCTTGTCCCCTGCGGAGAGTCCAAGTCCTCTGAGCTGACATCATACACAGAGCCCACTTCCTGTCTAACTATTTTTTCACATTGTCACATACTCATGAGCCCCTGATATGCCAGGCCCTGTTCATCCACATCATAATGCTTTCTCTTCACTCCTAGATTTAAGGTTCAAACCCAGGCAAACTGTTGTTCTGGCCAGACCTTAACCACCTGTGAGGTCATAGAAATGCTATGGAGTATCTCAAGGGTAGAAAGGCCCTTAAACCAGGAATGCTGCCCAAATACTAACGCAGGCTAATTACATGCCATCAAGCCCGTGGTATGTGCTCCCCTGGCAAGGCCCTGCTCCATTTTCTTCATAAAACCTGATGAGGAGCATTTTATAAATTAAGAGCTGTTCCCTTCTGCCGCTCAGCCGCTCCAGTGGACTCTGGCAGTGGGCCAGGAGGAACGTGTGTGCATTCAAGGGCAAATGTCATCTCTCTGCATTGTGTGGAGAGGCCCACTTTGAGCCGAAACACTGGGAGCCGCATAAAGCCCCAATGTCTTCCCCACAATGCCCCCCAGTATGGGAAGCTCCTTTCCAGCTGCAGAGCCACAAATCTTCTCACCAAGAGACACTTTGGCTCTCTGTTTGACCATAAGCTCTCACATCTCAAATTCTAAAACATCCAGGCGTGGTTAGTGTCTTCTTTCTGTTATGACTCCATCTGGTGAAAGCCTATTTCACTTTCCTTCCAAAGTGACTGATTTTGGGCAGCCAAAGTGTTTCTTTTTTAAGACTAAAACAGCAATTAAGATTCTGCAGCATTCCGTGGGGAAATGCTACTAATTAGCTACAGTCAATACTGTGGATTAGTGTTCTGTGCAAGACTTACTCACTCAGAAAGCTCTGTATTTCAAAGTCTTGCTCTCCTCCTGGAGTACCTGCCTTCTAGTCTTTGAATGGTCAAATCTTACCATCTTTACTAGCTCAGGTACATCTCCTCCAGGAAACCTTCTGTGATTTCTGCTATACTCCCCTTCTGAATTCCCGTAGGTTTTGTTTGCTCTTCTCTTGGAATTCTTGTCATTGTCTTCTTTGTCTTAATACATGACCTTTACTCTTCTGTAAGATCCTTGAGGGAAGAATCTGTGTCTGAATCATCATAAGCCCCACAGTACCTGGTATAATGCCTTACACATATGAGGCACTTTCTAAATATCTGGAGTAGAAAAAGAATGATTGGGAATTATTAATCACACCCAACCATTTTCAGTGACCCCCAAAACTGGTTCATGTTATGCAGTGATGATGATGACAATGACAATTAAAGTAGTAACAACAGCCATCATTAACTGAACACTCATTACATTCTAGACACTACATTCTGCATTTCACCTGCATTATCTCAGTTAATACCCTATTATCATGCCTGTCTTTTTTTTTCTTTCTTTCTTTTTTTTTTTGAGACAGAGTCTTGCTCTGTCGCCTAGGCTGGACTGGAGTGCTGTGGCGCAATCTCAGCTCACTGAAACCTCCACCTCCCGGGTTCAAACGATTCACCTGCCTCAGCCTCCTGAGTAGCTGGGATTACAGGCACTCACCACCATGCCTGGCTAATTTTTGTATTTTTAGTAGATAGGAGATTTCACCATGTTGGTCAGGCTGGTCTCAAACTCCTGACCCCAGGTGATCCACCCGTCTTGGCCTCCTGAAGTGCTGGCATTACAGGCATGAGCCACTGTACCCAACCTATCATGCCTATCTTAAAGATGAGGAAACTTGGTTTTGGTGAGAATAAATAACTTGCCCAACAACCAGTGAGATAATTAAATGATAAAATGAGTGCATGTTGGAAGCGAGATTTGAGTCCAGGCTCATGTGATGACAGAGCAAGAGCCATTACCATTCTGTTCTACTAAAGACTATCATTTAACACTTCCTGCTGTGTGTGAGAGCAGATCCTCTCCCTTTATTGCCTCAATGATTGGCTGGGGGTAGTGGGGAGAATTGATGCATTTATGAAATCAGCCTAGAATGGAAGCCTTTAGCAGCTAGAGAAAGCACTCCAGGATAGCTACTCTCACACCACTCCAGGGGTTGCTCCCTTATGGCCTCCATGGAGCTTCCAAGACAAGGGGGCAGAAAACTGGGTGAGCATGTCCAGGCTGCCGGACTTTGCAAGGCACTGTCATGGGCCTGCCAAGACTCTGCTCCTGTTGGCCGCTTTATAAATGACTGTAATTGCACCAGTCTTTGGTGAAAGACTTTGAACTTAATAAAAATGTCAAACTCATTAAGAGCGTTTTCAAGACCAAATAAACTCTGAAGAGGCTGTAATCTTTGATGACTTCAGATTTGTGAATCACAAGGACGTGGAAAAAATCTAGCTGCCCTGTACAGAGCTACTGAAATGTCACTATTTATTGCTTCAGCGTCATCTGGTAATGGAAGTTTGGTTGCGAGATCAGAAATCTCTCCTGAAAATATCATAGCACTCTTTTTCTTTACTGTGTCAAAGCAGCTGTGTGCGTGAGCAGCTCTGTATGTGCCACAAAGCAGTATCTAGAATAAACACAAGTTTGATTAGCCTGGAGTCATGTCCAGAATCTCATTATATTGGAAATGTTTAAAGTTAGACTGAAAGGGCTTTTTTTCTCTTCAGGGTAGCTTAGGAAAACCATGTGAAAAGCAGCATTATTCTGGAGAAGACTTCACATGATGTAGGAGGTGGGATTTCAGCTGGATCTTAAATGTTGGGTTTGGAGTGGCAGAGTTCTAGGAGACAGAAAATGAGTTGTGGGTAAGAACAGACAGGAGGGGTGAGGACAGTAATAAAGAACAGGGGTGGTCTGGAGCTAAAGGTCTTTGTACTTGAGACACTGAAGGAGCCAAAAAATAATTAATATACTGTTAGCAACTTATTATAGTCCTCTTAGATGCTAAATTATGATGTAGACATTTTGAAAAATGGTCTCGGCCAGGCGCAGTGGCTCATGCCTCTAATCCCAGCACTTTGGGAGGCTGAGATGGGCAGATCACCTGAGGTCGGGAGTTCAAGACCAACCTGACCAACATGGAGAAACCCCGTCTCTACTAAAAATACAAAATTAGCCAGGTGTGGTGGCGCATGCCTCTAATCCCAGCTACTCAGGAGGCTGAGGCAGGAGAATCTCTCAAACCCGGGAGGCAGAGGTTGCAGTGAGCCAAGATCACATCGTTGCACTCCAGCCTGGACAATAAGAGTGAAACTCTGTCTCAAAAAAAAAAAAAAAAAAAAAAAAAAATGAAAAAGAAAAACAGTCTCTATCCCCACAGCAATCCTATAAGGTAAATGTTACGTTCAGTTTAGAGACCACTAAAACCAAGGCTCCTGCAAGCCTGTACAGGCAGAAGGCAGATTGGTGGCTGCCAGGGGCTGGGAGTAGAAGGGAATGGGCAGTGACTGCTAATGGTTATGGTTATGGGGTTTCTTTTTTGGGGTGATGAGGTATTCCAGAATTGGATAGTTTTGACTGTTGTACCACTTTGTGAATATACTACTGAGTTGTACATTTTAAAAGGATAACTTGTCTGGTATATGAATTATATCTCAAATAAGGAGGGGAAAAAACATAAGGCTCAAAGAGATCAAGTGACATTCCCAAGCTTATGTAGCCACTGGTGAGAAGGCAAACTGGGGTTTGAACCCAGGGCTTTCTGGCTCTAAAGCTTGTGCTCTTTCCCCGCTATGTTGCCTCTGTCCTTTCAGGACCTGTGAGGGCTTAGCGGTGAGGTTGGCTACAAACTTTTGGTCAAAGAATAAAATGCATTTTTGCTACAAATGCAATGATGTCTGACAGGTACAATGTAGAACTGATGTAGAGCTTTGCTCCTTGGTTCAGCTAAAACCAGGTTTTTGTCACACCACCAGGAATGATTAGGAACACAGACACATTGAAGGGTGAGGGGAATGGAATTTACTGGGCAAAAAGAAAAAAAACTCTCTGCAAAGCAAGAGGGGATCCTGCTAATGGGCCCCCACCGCACAGATTGAACACCAGGTCACCACACAGGAACTAAAGAAGCCAGGCTCCTTTCCCTGCACACAGCACGAACTTCCCGTGGCTCCACCCCGTTCTCCCAGTGCAGAGGTGGGTCAGAGATTCTCCAGGGACCCTCCCCTTTATCTGCCTCCTGCATCTATCAGAACCAAGTGGGTCATGAGATGCGTAGTTAAGTTTTGAGTGGAAGGTTACTCCCAAGACACTGGCTTTGAAGAGAGCAAGACCAAATCTGCACCCCGCCATGGTCAGGAGGGGAATCCTAATATGGAGGCTCCCATAGGTTCAGGGACTGGCTGAGCAAGCCGATGGGATTTTTGGTGCCTGAAGCTGGTGGGCTGTGACAGGTAGGGTCTTTGGAAGGGGGCCAGATTATGAATGGCTTGAAATGCCTCTCCCTCTGGTGGGAGAATTTGAATTTGACGCAGTGGGCATGGGCCATGGTGCATTAGGAAGACAATTGCTGTTATTGGAAGGTTCTTCTGGCAGTATATAAAGGGTGGGTTAGGCTGAAGAGAGAGTGGTCAGAGAGGCTAGCTGTGGTCATCCAGGCATGAGTTAAGGAGAATTCAGTCCAAGGTTTTAGTAATGGAAATGGAGAGAAGAACTGAATATGGGCAAGAATTAGAAGAAAGAAAAAATAGCCTTGGCCACAGATGAAGGAGAGAAAAGAGGTATAGAACACTCTTAAGTTGCTCTCCTTTTTAACTTTGGGTTTTCTAAGACTAGAAACATGAAAGTGCTGAAGATGGGCATGAAAAATAATGGAGAGGAAAACCATGGGGATAGTGAAGATAATGAAATAAGTTTGGGCCCTAATGAGTTTGGGGTGGTGACATGAAGATTTATTAAAAGTTTTGCTAGTGTTCTGCCCAGACCCTCAGCCCAGACAGGTGCAGCCTTTTTCTTCCTCCCACTTTAGGAAGGCAAGGTCTGATTGATGTGCCAATGAGAAATATGAAAGTGTAAGAACACTAGAAATTCAATGCATTTTTATAACACTTTGTAATTTACAGATTGTTTTGCCATCTTTTATTCTATTTATTGTCACACAGTTTTATCGTAATCCTTCCACAATGGTTACTTTACCCTACATGAAACCATATAGTTGGACTTACTATGGCATTTTATTCAGCAGTTTGAGAATTTCAGACCAAATGTATTTAAATCCAAGAGATGACCTCAGATGAGTGACACAGGGAATTCAAGAGGAAGAATTAGAAAGGCCTAGGATATTCTAATGCAAGGTAAGACACCCACACAAGTACCTGGTGAAATGTGTATTATCTATATCAAATCAGCAAATGCCTCATTTAAACTTAGAGGAGCCCAAGGAAAGTTCTAGCAAGCAAGGGCTAGGAAATGTATATGTATCATTCAATGTCAGTTATTTACTGTTTTAAGTTATACAAAATGTCACTTGTAATATGCAAGCCAGAAGACTGTGGAGTGTCATCTTTGAAGTGCCAAAAGTGAAAACAAAAACAAAAACAAAAAAAAAACCTGTCAACATAGAATTCTATATCCAGTGAAAATACTCTTTATCAACAATGGCAGAAGAAATGCTATGGAGAAAAATAAAGCAATAAAGGTCAGTAGGAAATGAATGGGGAGTGGGTTCTCAGTTTTAAGTAGAATGGTAGAGGAAGACCTTTTTGGGAAGGCAGTATTTGCTCCGAGACCCAAAGGAGGTAAGGTGGTTGCCATGTAAACAAAGGGGAGAACATTCCAGGTAGAGGAAATAACAAGCAGAAAGACCCAAGAAAGGTGCATCTCTTACATGTTTAAGAAACAACAAGGTGACCAGCGTCACTGGAACAGAAGGATCAAGGAAGAGAAGATAAGGAGATAATGTCCTGAAGTTGACAGGGACCAGACCGTGCAGGGCATTATAGGAAGAATAAGTATATATTTTGTTTGCCTGGGACCATCCACATTTATACCTACTGTCCTAATATTATTATCAAAACGTCCTGGTTTGGATGAGAAACTTCAGAGTCGTTCTAAGTATAGGTCATGTAAAGACTTTGGCCTCTAGGTGGATTGAGATGGGAGCCCCTGAGGGGTTTCACCCAGAGCTCTGGCTCTAATATGATCATTCTGACTGCCGTGTGGGGAACAGACAATAAGTGGACAGAACAGAAGAAGAAGTGCCCATTACTAACTACTGAACAAACCCAAGTGAGGGGGAAGATGGCTTGGACCACATGGCAGCAGTGGCAGTGGTGGGATAACAGCAAACCTTCAGCCTGAACAGGGGGAAGGATGAAGTAGCCAGCAGCTGTGATGGGGAAGACTGGGAAGAACGGCTTTGGGAGGAAAGATCGAGAACTAGATTTTAGACTGTAAAGTTTCTAGGGCCTTTTGGACACCTAAGTAAAGATGTCAGAGAGCCAGTGAGTGTAAAAGTCTGAGGTTTGGGAGAGCTTCAGGTTGGAGATGTAAATGTAGTATTCAATGCCAAGAGGCAAGATGAGATTACCAAGTGTAGACAGAGGAGAGATGGAGGTCAAAGAACTGAGCCCTGGGATGCTCCGATGCTTGAAGTCTGAGAAATGGGGAGGAAGGCACAGGAGACTGAGAAGTAGCAACCAGAGACAGAGAGACAAAACCAACGGAGTGAGCTGTGCCTGAGGCTACTTGAAGAAAGTATTTGAAGCAGGGAGGAGTCATCACCTGGGCCAAGTGTTCTGTTAGGTCAGGGAAAATAAGGACTCATCATTGGCCATCAGATTTAGTGATTTGGCATCACTGGTAACCTTGACAAAGGAAATGTCTTCATGTAGTGAGGGCAGAAGCTTGACTCTGGGTAGTTGAAGAGAAAATACTGTCTCTGTTTTTGTTTTTGTTTTTTGGTTACTTTTTTGTTGTTTTTCTGCTCTCCCTCTTCTTGGTTCTTGCGAAGAGCAAAAGACAAAGGTGATTCCTCCAAGAAACCTCTTCTAAACTACTTTGTGCAGTGGCAGGGCAGAGAGACCACATAAGTTGTATTATTTTCTGTTGTTGGTGTCTGGCTCCTTTTGGGGGTAGGAGTATTTTGCAGCAGTGTGATAATTAATTTTATATTCCTTGTCACTTAGGCTTCTATGGCAAAGTGAATGCAGTTTGGAGGCACAAACTCCAGCAAGGAGGCAGGATAAACTGCTCAGAGGAATAAGACCTCCCAGAAATAACATTTCAAATGGCAATTGTTTATTTATTTATTTATTTATTTATTTTTTGAGACGGAGTTTCACTCTTGTTGCCCAGGCCAGAGTGCAATGGCATGATCTCGGCTCACCGCAACCTCCACCTCCCGGGTTCAAGCAATTCTCCTGCCTCAGCCTCCCGAGTAGCTGGGATTACAGGCATGTGCCACCACGCCTGGCTAATTTTGTATTTTTAGTGGAGATGGGTTTTCTCCTTGTTGGTTAGGCTGGTTTCAAACTCCCGACCTCAGGTGATCCACCTGCCTCAGCCTCCCAGAGTGCTGGGATTACAGGCGTGAGCCACCATGCCCAGCCTCAAATGGCAATTGTATTGTAGCTGTCCTTAAAATTGGGAGATCAAATCTGAAAACATTTTGGAGGAGGGGAAAAAGCAGGACTGGATGACAGCTTGGCTTTAGGGATGCATGAGTGGAATACTCTGAAGATTTTGGAGAAACCAAAAGCTCAGCAATGCTCCAACAGAAGTGTATTGGTAGGAAAAGATGGGCCAGCTGGGGGCCACATGGTAAGTTCCATTTGGGGCCTTTGAAGGAGATACAAATGGAGATACAGTATCAGAGATGCTCTGACACTGGCTGACACCAGAGAGCCGTTATGCCTAAATATGGATCCAGGAGTCTCTGACCAGAAGTGGTGGAGGAACTCGTGTTTCACAGGAGAGGTGGAATTTTAGGAGCTTCTCCAGAGGTTGGGGAAAGACAGCTTGGCTGTCTTGAGAATAAGTGGTAATGAGGAAGATCACAGGCAGATGGTCCAGCTTGCAAAAATGCTCAAAGGCAAGAATGGATGGCATTTGTAAATGACAAGGAGCCTGAGAGGTGACCATGGTAAGTTAAGATGTTAACATAGGAAAGTCTCCTGTACTCCTTTGACGAACTGCCAAGGCCCAAGTATCATGCCCAACACTTGAGGATTCAAAGGTGAGAAAGGTATGTTGTCCACACTTGAAGTAGTTCCCTGTCATTCCGGTGAAACAGACGTGTGTGGTCATCACAGCACAAAGCATGATAAGGATTATAATTGGGGAATGAGGAGGGTGCTCAGGAAAGCACCGGTGTGGCAGAGCCTTACCCAACCCCCAGTCACAACGGAGGTGTGGCCTTAGAGCCGTACTGAGTAGGGCTTAATGAGGCGTGGGTATGGGGCACCTATGATGTTTTCCAGGTGGACAAACATGAGGGCATGTGGAAGGGCATGAGAGGTCCTGGGAGGTAGGAGTTCAGAATTAAGGAAGTGCCTAGAATCTGGAGGAGAGCAAGAAGTGAGTAGAGTGTGCTCAGGGAGAGGAGGACAGGACTCATGTGTTATGTGCCTGCTGTCTAACAGTCTCTTTGCCAAGGTTTTCATATTGTTTCAGTGTAGTTGTGATCTTTCCATTTTAAAAAATATATACTTAGCCTGGGCTGGGTGGCTTACACCTGTAATCCCAGCACTTTGGGAGGCCAAGGCGGGCGGATCACGAGGTCAGGAGTTCAAGATGAGCCTGGCCAACGTGGTGAAACCCTGTCTCTACTAAAAATACAAAAAATTAGCGGGGCGTGGTGGCAGGCACCTGTAATGCCAGCTACTTGTGGGGCCGAGGCAGGAGAATTGTTTGAACCCGGGAGGCGGTGGTTGCGGTGAGCTGAGATCGCGCCACTATACTCCAGCCTGGGGGACAGAGCAAAACTCTGTCTCAAAAAAAAAAAAAAAATATATATATATACACACACACACACACACACACACACACACACACTCATTGTAGAAAAATGATAAAACTCAAAAAGTAGAAAGAAGAAAATCCTCCATTGTTAGCGTCCTGATGTACTTCTTTCTGGATTATATAAATTCTCTACCATCCTTTCATTACTTAACATTATAAAAGGGATTTCCCACATTATTACAAATTCTCTGTCAACATCATTTTAAGCAATCTCTTACACACATGATATGAGCATGCAATAATTTATTTAATCATTTCCCTAATGCTGTGCATTTGAGTTGTTTCCAGTTTTCTGTAAATATAAATTAAGCTATTATAAACATACTTGTCTTTAAATCTTTGGCCTTGTTTCGGATTATGCCTTTAGGATTGGTTTCCATTATTGGAGTGACTGGGTCAGAGGCCATGAGCATTTTAAGTGTCTTGATCCCTATCAAAGGTAAATGGCTTTCCAAAAAGTCCTTCTAATCTCTGTTTCTACTGCCAGCATCTCACCTCATACTCTCCAAAAATGAATATTATAATTTAAAATTTGCTATCACTTAATCCTCATGATACAATCATGCAGTGAGTATTCTAATGCAATGACTATTATCCCCAATATGTAGATAAGGAAAGTGGGGCCGGTGGATGATTTCACACGCCCCATTTCACAGAGTTAGTAAGGCGGTCAGAACCAAGGCCTGGTTTGGCTAACTCAAGAGGACATCAGTCTCTCCCTGGGCAGGTGATGAGCCCCACAGAAGGATTTTAAATCTGGAAAGTGACATAAAGTCCAGGATCCCCTTGGCTTGCTCTTCTTAGTGCTGGCTTATCTATTGGTAATGATCTAAAGAACATTAACTACCAGCTGACGCCAGAGAACTCTTTCTTAACACACTGTTGTTCTTCAGAGCATGTATGAACTGAAGACTGGTAATGTGAAGACAGGGGAAAAAAAGAATAGAGGATGTAATGTAGGTTATTAATGCAATAAGTAACACATATATGAATTCATACAAATTAGTTAACAAATACAAGCCACTGCAGGACTTTCTAAACAGCACTGTATAGTTCATCACTGTGGAAGGGGTCATTTCACTAGGAGTAAAGTCAAATTTCTCTTAGCTCAGCCCTGTCCCTGATTCCTCAGCATCTCTTCAGGTTTTGTTCAGACCTGAAGGTCAGAGGTAACAGACTTCCAGGGCCAGGGTCACCTCTTGATTTAACTTGGGCTGTGGCCAGATTAGCCACATTGATCTGCTCTCTTGGAAGCCTGAAGAAGCCAGTAATCTCACTTGGGCACACATGGAGGGAGAGAGTATAAGAAAAAAAACAACAGGCCGGGCGCAGTGGCTCACGCCTATAATCCCAGCACTTTGGGAGGCCGAGGCGGGCAGATCACGAGGTCAGGAAATTGAGACCATCCTGGCTAACATGGTGAAACCCCGTCTCTACTAAAAATACAAAAAATTAGCCGGGCATGGTGGCAGGCGCCTATAGTCCCAGCTACTCGGGAGGCTGAGGCAGGAGAATGGCGTGAACCCAGGAGGCAGAGCTTGCAGTGAGCGGAGATCATGCCACTGCACTCCAGCCTGGGCGACAGAGCAAGACTCCGTCTCAAAAAAAAAAAAAAAAGAAAAAAAGAAAAAGAAACAACAACCAGAACTACCATGTATTGAGGGCTTCCTATATCCCAGGCACTGAAAGAAAGTGAACTTGCTCGGGCATGCTTGGGGCCCAGTAAGCAAGCCAAATTAAATACAGGCGGCCTGGCATGGAATCCGAGACTGTCATCGACAATAAAGAGGTGAAAACTGTTTGCAGAGAGATTTAAATAAACTGTTTCAAAGTACATCCAGTCATGCACAGTCCTTCGCTAACTTCAAGAAGAGCACATTGGTGTTAAGTAAGGGGAAAGCATCAGATTGATAAGTAACTGATAATGATCAGCACTGATGTTTCAGAGGAAATATGTGTTGCAGAGAGGCAGAGAACCATGGTGGCATTTTGCCCAGTGAGATGTGTCATGCCCACTACAGGCCCCTCCTTTAGAGAGGGCACCTTCTGCCATCTTCATCTCTCCCCTTGGTTTTTATTCATTGTTCCTTCCAGTGCAAGAGGATGTCACATTTCATAGATATATGTGAACCACAGAGACCCACCTTCATCCAGGGAACTGCAATTCTTAGGAAGGCACTGGGGCATACTCAAGGCAATGAGAATTTTTTCACAACAGAACTCCTGTGGCAACAGGATGGAACTTAACAAAGGGGACTGCCCTTTCAGAAACAGTCTGTCCTGCAACAGCATGGAGATGACAACAGGGACAGGTTCTACTTAGTGGTGACAGGGATACAGGCATCCTGGCTCCAGAAATTTATAACACTGTCTGTGCTCATGTGTAAACATGGGTGACTTATGTACCTGTATATACTTATATACATACATACATATTTACTGCAATAGACACATATATTTAATAGACTCTCCTTCCCCATGCTGTATAAAGTGCCCATCTTTATAGCTCTTTCCTTACATAATGAAAGGTAATGCTCTGATAATCATTCTCCAGATATAAATTGGAGGGAAGCAGAGAGCAGTAGGGGCAGTTATGTCATGGGATGGGGAGTCTAGAGAGGTGCCCCTAGGTGAGTTGAGATGTATGTAGATATCCACATGTATGCCTACATGCATATTTATATGTGTGTAGATGTGTGCATATGTGTATGGAAAGAAGAAGTGAGAAGGACTGGGGTATGGAAAAGATTGCATGGATAAACAACGTGTTACCCTAGATTCTTAGCATACAACTATTTACAGAGGGCTTAGCAATTTTTAAAGTGTTTTTAGACGAGTTAAAATAAAAATCACTGGACTTACAGCCAATACACTTGGCCTGAGCCGTGATTATGCCATTTTACCAGTTTTGCAGTTGTGCAATCAGTAAGTATGCCACAAATAGCAGAGACAGCCAGTTTCAGCGCATGGACTCCATTTCCCTTGTGTATCCTCTGCCCTTTGGGTTTCCTAGTGTTGCTATGCTGGTCTTCTCTTTTCTGCATCAGGCATTTGGAGGGTCTTGAGTGTTTCATTGGATGTAAAAATAATGCCATTTTCCTTCTAGAAAGAGATGAAGGGTGGGACCAGGCCAGCCTTTTCCATTTGCTGCTGCCTACTTCCTGCTGCCAGCCCCTACCCCGGCAAAAACCCCTATGCTAATTCTCACTCAGCAACCCCTGTGCCCATTCACAGTGAAAACGCTACAGTGCTTCTCTCTTTTCAGTGAACATCCTATGAACACCTGCTTTGTGCTAAGCACTGGGGACCCCCAAAGAGCTCCCAGTCTAGACATAGGAGACACAGATCAATAACAAGCAACCATTGTGTAATATGACAGGTGGGCGATTAATGTTATGTGCAGAGAACAGAGAAGGATTAACCCGGCCTGGGGTGGCCAGGAAAGGTTTCAGAGAACATGACATTTCAGTTGGAAATTACAGGAGGCTTTTTGTTTGCCAAGCGAATGAGGACAAATAAGGCAGAGCCTACAGCATGGGTGAAAGCCCTGAGTCAAGAATATGCAAGACAGGATTAAGGAACAGAGAATATTCTGAAATGCCTGGATCCCTGGGGTTGCTGGATGAGGATGTAATGGTGGGGAGGGGAGGATGGGAAATGGCTGTAAATTAGTTTGGAAAATTGGGCAGGGATGAGGTCTTGGAGGCTTTGAACTGAGCAGTTGAGTGAGTACTCTTCGCCAAGAACTGCATTTAAATCAGTTGAGTATTGTGTACCAGCTGCAGCTAAGACTTGTGGGGTCCCAGGAAAACTGGGTCATTTGGAAGATATCCCCTCTTAGCCATTTCTCTGGAAATGGACAACTCTCAAAGACTTGGGAAACACTAGCTGTGTGGTCAGGGAGGGGCCAGGAGGCCTGGGAGACCTTTGGAAAGGGGTCATGAATGACCTGACATCTTTGTGCTTTTGTCAGTGTGATCACTAAAGGGGAATTAAAGCCTTTTGTAAAAGATGTAATGAGGCTCTCTGAGGTCAGTCGGATGAGCTCACAATTTCAACAATCACCCCCCGGTGGGATTGAGGCCAGATTTCTTCTGCAAACCTCTTGTGTAAGATGGTTCCTTGAAGGATTTCTGAAAATAAATATTTCATAGAAAAAGTGGTTGCACAAAGAGGGAGGATCTGGAATTCAAAGGGCAGGTCCCAGGAAGCCCAACTGCTATCCTAGGCTCAGTGAGGTTGCTCAGGTTGTTAATGTGTGAACCTAACACTGTTAGGCTGTTTTCTGGGCTGACACCCATGAAAGGGATGGGTTCCGTGCTGCAGCTGTTGATGGAGACAAGAGGGATATGCAGCTGCTTAAACTTTTGACACATTGCTAGGGGACTGGAATGGGAGGCCATTCAACTTCCTCTCATGTCTGCTATGCCTTCTGAATTTGACAACTCAAAGGGTCACAGTCAGAAAGAGGCCCCAGCTGTGAAATTATTTCCCAACAGAGAGTCAATGCATTGATATGGCTCAAAGGTCCAAGCCAGGGTACTCCAAAAAGCTTAGAACAAAATGGATGGGTGTTGCTTTGCTGAAGTTTCTGGTGATTGCTAACTATGGCTAAAGACAGAACTCTATTGCCATCAGTAGGAAGAAGTAAACTCATAGATTAGTTTTTTGGCAGTAATTCTATCTTGAGTGTTATTGTTTGTTTAATAAGGGCCCTTGTCACATGGTCACATGTAAATGGTCACAGGTAAAGGATTTGTGGAGTCTGCTTCCTTAATTGAAAAGCATTGTGAAATTCACCTTGACTTATGGAAAAGCAAATGCATTTTCATTTGTTAATGGCCCTAGTCAAGGGTGTAGTATTTGTATAAGCAGAGGTGGTGAAAAGCAGCCTCTCCCAAAGCATGTTTCAGAACCTCAAACCCTGTGAGTCTTGCATGGGAAGAGTTTTATATGGAAGTAAATTCAAGAAATGCCGTGTATTATGTGCCCCTCTTGGAGATTCATAAGGCTCGCTGGCATAGTAAAGCCTCTAGGATATCTTGCACTAAGGAAACTTGGTTAATTTGGTATCATTTAACATTTCCCAAACTTGTCCCTGGATCCATTGTTTGTTTTTTCAATTTTTAACATTTTTTTAAGTCCTGCAGATTCAGAACCACTTTACGAAACCCTGATTTGAAGAATTAAGACATAAATAGGAGGAGGATGTATGGGTTTATCAATTGTCTATTACAACTTAATCTTTAGCCAGAAGATACATATGGAGCCACATATATAAAATAAGTCACAATCTATTAAATTTCTCTTCCTTATCTAGACCCTCTCATTTTCACAGCTTTCTACATCCACCCAAGCAAAACTAAACTGACTACATCTTCATTTTTTTCCTCTGCAACTTATTTATGAATCCATACCTTCACCAGCTATTGTGTTCTGAAGGGTTTCTTCTGTGCACACACAGGATCATATCTCATCTAAACCATAGGTTCCATGCAGAACTCTGTACTCCAATAAACCAGTCCTGATTAGGTGGAAAATAGTATCATATTTTGGCCAAATTCCCTGCTGAGCAATATGCCTCCTTTTATGTGGGGTATAGGTATAGCTCATCTGGGCTTTGTATATCTGTAACTGATATCTGTCTATGGTCTGAATGGGGGTTTGCTGCATGTAGACTAGACCATAAACTCAATAAATAGACCCTTTTCTCTATCCTCGTAATACAAGGAATATTCATTAATGCAACTTTTAAGCATGGAAGCCATCTCCAGACAGCCAATTTCTGTGGTTGAGGCAGGAACAGAATATAAATGCTTGTTCTCTAAAGAACCCTATTCTTATCTTTCTATAAAATGCAGCAACTCTATTTTGGCCAAACATTTTTCTGTCTGTCCCAGGTTAAACACTTCTTCCCAAAAGTAGAAGTAAGTACAGAGAAGAGTACCTTTGTTTGGGAAGAATTCGACCCACTTCTTGCATTTCCTCGCCACCATTTACTTCATTCTGTATCCATTCCAGCCTGGATTCGGCCACCATTACTCTTGAGGACACTAGAAGTTGCCTAATTACCAAAACCAATTGTCATTTTCGCCTGCTTTTTCCACCTCAGAGCCTTCTGGAGAATTCTAGTCTCCTGACTGAGAGGATGCTAAGTTTTCCTGGTTCTCACACCTACTCCTAAAGTCCTCCCTGCTAGTCTCCATCTTCTGTGTGCAACGTTTCCATTCATTTATCTCACCTATCCCCGATGACCTAACGGATGTTGTTTTCAGAAGGAGAGAAGAGTAAATTTTGGTTCCTACCTTGTGGTGTGTCACCTCACTGAAAAGAACATCCCTAAATGTGAAATTTTAAAATAATAGTTTCTGAAAATAATTAAATCCAGAAATGTTTGGGTTATAAGACATAGTTCAAGTATAGGAAGAGAATGAGAGGTCAATATTGGTTATGATCATGGTAGAGGATTCCAAAGAAAAAATGAGATTCTGAGTGGAGATGAAGCATATGTAATGTTCAAAGAGAGCAGCAACGGAATACAAGGAAACTAGGGGATGATTACTTCCTTCTTTTGAAGGAGAGAGGCAGTCAGCTGGACCTGAAAGGGAAAGAAGCATCCACTAGTATAAGCAAACATCCCAGAGGTTCAAGTTAACTGAGGCCGACTCCTGGCTAGGACCTCTGCGGAGCATGCTTCCCTCCACGAGTTCTTAGAAGCCTGTGCATGAGGTGTTGCGCGGAATAGGAAGATGCCACCCTCTCTATCAAACTACTGCCCAATTTTCAAAAACAGGACCTGAGAAAGAGCTGGCATTCAGAATGGCTCTCAGATTACACTACTTTCTATGTAAATTGATTTGTGCAGATTTGGTTTTGTAAGGGAAAACAATTGGCCAATTTTTTTATAGCTCTCTACTTCTGCCCACAGACTTGTTCACTTTTCCCTTTTACATGTAAATGGAAAAATGGAAATGAGATTTCTGTGATGCATGGAATCTCTATTTTTAGAAAAGATAAACAGGGTCCCCTGGTCAGAGACTCCAAAGGAAAATATGGTTCCCAAAGGATGGAAGATTAAAAATAAAATGTAGATAGGTACGTAAGTAAATTAATAAGACAACAAGCAAAAACCTGTAAATTCAATCCACTTTACTGTGCTGAGGAATGCCACTGAAAGAAAATGAGAACCAGGGTAAGAAGGGAAATATGCATTTATAAATTTATATAAATATATGTAATTATGTATTTTATACTATATAATGTACCTTACACAGAATGAATATTTTTTTAAACAGAAGCTACTTCTTTTCCCATTATCTTCATCATCATCATCCTTTAGAATAAGTAGGTACAGAGTAGAGGACCAGGCTTCTTCCTTAGGCCCCAAGAATAATGTTAACAATGTCAAAGGGAAACAAGAGCTGTTTCCTCTTGTATTCTGTCTTTTCCTGGATGGAAATTGCTCTTCACATGAGAAAGGGTGTAAACAACAGCGAAAAGAGGCCTCTGCAGCCCTGGCTAGGTGAGAAGATGAAGGACCCAGGCATTTAAGATGAAGTTGGGCTTCCCACCAACACTCATTGTGTGCAGGTTGAGCCCAGCACCCCAGGGAACGATGCCTCTTTAGTGTGGATGAATATGTTCTCAGAGGCATCTTGTTTCTGAGCTCCTGTAACCTTCTGTGCATTCATGTGACTCTCCTCACTGAATAGAGGCTCCTTGAGAGCAGAAATTGTGTCTTATTCACTGACCCACCTCACAGCACAACATCTGGCCCAGGATAGACACACAGTACAAATGTGCCAATTGATTGAAAAACTGTAAGACTAAAGATGGACAAATGTCCATGTTTTCAAAATGGAAGGTGGGTATAATTTGGAAACCACATCTAAGCTTGATGGCAGTTCCTTAAAAAAAAATCTGTTGAACAGACAGACTTGAATAGCTGATCTTAATACTCTGAAATTCACCTAAAAATGGTCAGAAAATTGGAACTGACCTTCAGTAAAAACCACTAGTATGAAAAAAGGTTTAAAAAGTGAATCTAATTGTGGAATGTCTTAGTAGAAAGGTAGGGTTCTGAGCATAATCCTCTTATGTTTTGCTGGTCAGACTACATCATGTTCCATTCTTAGGTGCTTATTTTAAGAAAGGCCTTCATAAACTAGAACATACCCAAGGGAGGGTGACCAGGACCAGTAATATAGGGTTCCAATCCAAAGAGGACAATTGAGAAAGAGATGGCATGATTTAACCTGAAGAAGAACAGGTAGAGGCAGACAAGTGGTGGCAACAGTGCCATCTTCAAAACTTGGAAAATAGGGTTAGAACTTTTCTGTACTACTCACAATGCAGAACTGCGACCAGTGGGTAGAAGTAGTAAGGGGCCTGAATTCAATCCACTGTGAGGAAGCATTTCCTAGAAAATAGAATTGCACCCAGACGCAAAGAGCTCTCTTCACTGGAAATGTTCTAGCAATGGCTGGATGGAAAGCTGTAGATGAGATTCCTGCATTGGGCAAGAGGCTTGGATTGGACTGGGTGGTCTTCATCTCCAAGCATCTGTGACTGTTTCACTTCATTCATCATGAATAGGATTAACTCTCTACGAGAAAGCTTTCTCGATTAGGGCCACTGTGCAGCAAATCTCCTCGAAAGCTTCATTTACACTGTTTTCTAGATCAACTGCTCACAGTAACCCATGCCTGTAATAGGGGCTCAGAAGGGTTTAGCCATTAGTTTAAAGGGACTTCCAACCTGTTACCAGGGAGTGGCCAATCTAGAATTACTTCTAATTATTAGAAGATAATTTATAAATTAGAGAATTGATTCATATTGCATCATGTGATATCATGGCAAATGTCCTCAGAAGCTTAGAGTGATAAACCAACTAACATAAACTCCAATCTGAGATTTCTTACCCTCCTCAAATTTCCTATCCTCCAGTTGATGTTAGAACATTTAATAGTAATTTTCTAGTTTTGCAATAAAATCAGATACAAGCCAGAAACGAATTAATGGAAGTATGTGAAATTAAACTAAAATGATTTTTTAAATATTTTAATTTTTAAATGATTTTAGTTTAAATTTTTTTAATTAATATCATCATTTGATTTAACTTCTGTTTTTGTCAGTCATTTCTCATTGCCTTCTCTTTTTCTTCTTCTCCCTTTCTTTCCCTTCATCTCAGTTTCCTCTAAGGATTTCAATTTTTTAAACTTTCCCAGGACTCAATTAACCTCACTTAAACAATTTTTTGGTGGGACCAGTGAAGTCTTGGAGCTGCTGCCTTTCATACTCAGCCGAACCCTGGAAACCAAATCCGTAGCCAAACATTTGGCTTTGGTTTAGAGGCAGAAGTCAGAAAGGGGAATTGATATGCAGGTGTGGTGCAAAGCTGGTCTTAAAAATACAGATGTTATTACCTCTGGGCCCTAGGGGCCTGGAACAAAATGCAGTGAGCCACCCCCGGAGGTGAAACGATGGTCATAAAATGGTTTCTCCATTCGTGAATTTTGCTGAGCTGCCTCTGCAACATTTAGTGACTATTTAATAACACTAACAGCTCTTTGAGCTAAATTACTAACATTTGGGGGAGCAAGGTTATGTAAAACAAAATTGAATTATGAAAACAATTTTCCAGTTAGCTCCAGCGTTTCTTGATTTCTGTTTATCTTTTTTCTCAAAGGGGCCATTTACCAATTCCCCCCTGGCTGGCATGAGCTGATGTCCAAAGACTCCAAACAATCAGCACACACCTCTGAACAACAAGGGTCCGTATTTTTCCATCTCTGTTCCTAGCCCAAAGCTTGGAAACACTTTCAGTCATGGAAAGATCTAAAACCAAGAAATATCCAAAGTGGTCTTCTGAAGAAAAGTATGATGCTCTTTGAACCCTGGTTAAGTTTTCATAAAAATTCTCTGTTAACCTAATGCTGTTGGAGGTCACCTTGTTTAGATACAGAAACTGCATGAATTGACAAGCAAAAGTTAAAGACAGAGGCACTTTCTAGTAAAATTGAAAATGCACACTCCATAAAAGTAAGCAATCCCACTTCCAGGTATACACTTTAGGGCACCTCTCCCACATGCGCACACTTTAACAGCAGTTAAAACGACTAAACTATACGCATATGTGTCGACGTGGATAGATCTCAAAAACAACAGAGCGCAGAAAGCAAGCTACTAAAGTTATGTTACCAATATGCAAATTGCTAAAGACAACACAAAATATAAAATATAAAAGCAGGGATATACCCCGGCATCACAGGCTGCCTCTTGGGAGGGGGTGGAAATGGGGATGGTGCAACAAAAGGTTCTTCAACATTATTTTATTATTAAGAGACAGGGTCTCACTCTGTCACCCAGGCTGGAGTGCAGTGGCACAATCACGGCTTATTGCAGCCTCAGCCTCCTGGGCTCAGGTGATCCTCCAACCGCAGCCTCCTGAGTAGCTGGGACCACAGGTGCGTGTCACCACACCAGGCTGACTTTTAAAAAAATTATTTGTAGAGACAGGGTCTCGCCATGTTGCCCAGGCTGGTCTTGAACTCCTGGACCTAAGCGATCCGCCTGCCTCAGCCTCTCAAAGTGCTGGGATTACAGACATAAGCCACCGTGCACAGCCTCTTCAACATTATTAATAATGTTTTGTTTTCTCAAAAAGGAAGGTACTTTAAACAAAAGTAACAAAAACTTAATTTGGTGGATACTTGAATATTCTTTTTTTTTTCTTTTTTTTTGAGTTTCGCTCTTGTTGCCCAGGCTGGAGTGCAGTGGCACAATCTTGGCTCACTGCAACCTCTGCCTCCTGGGTTCAAGCAATTCTTCTGCCTCAACTTCCTCAGTAGCTAGGATTACAGGTGCCCACCACCACGCCCGGCTAATTTTTGTATTTTTTTAGTGGAGATGGGGTTTCACCATGTTGGCCAGGCTGGTCTTGAACTCCTGACCTCAGATGATCCACCTACCTCAGCCTCCCAAAGTGCTGGGATTACAGGAATGAGCCACCGCGCCTGGTCTTGGATATTATTTTCTATATCTTTCTGCATCTTTACATATCTTACAGATTTTTAAAGAGCCAAACCAGGATTTAAATTAAAAAGATGAAAGCATTGTCAAACACCCAGAAAGGTTTCTCTGCGGACCCAGGAGAGCCAGGATAGTTAGCATCTGGAAAACAAGGCAGGCCCCAGTGTTCGGAAGGGGCAGAGGCACCGGGAGAGTTACGTTTGAGCAAATTTGTTATTTTCTCATTCAGTAGCCTGCTCCTAAGATTCCATAAATCCTTGCTGGATGACTTATGTCCTGGTCCCATTCTACTTGCCTGAAACAAAGTTTTACCCCCAGTTGGTGATAATATACATTGAAATTTCTGTTGCTCCTATCTATTCTGTTTCTTTGTGGCTCAAGTTTTCTCTTCTCTCCGTGCATTATATTCAAACATGTAACTCCAAACAGAACATACAAGCATAGGGCACAGCACGCTGTCTGTTTCAGATAGAACTTTATTTGGTAGGTGGAAATAAATGCATACACATGGAGGGAGGTCTGTCTGACAGTAACAGTTCATTTTTCCAACTAATTCAACTGATACCTGATTGGTGATCCTGACCAAGGTTTGACGTTGTTTAACTATTTCTTAATATTTCTTCTGTTCAGCTAGTATATATTCGACATATTCTCCATCAAGTGTGACCAGCCTAGAAGACTAGAGTTACATATAGCTCTTTAGAAATTCAGGTGTAGTCCTAGAAGTCAGTGAGAAGAAAAATATAGGATGTTCTGCAAGTTGTAATGATGTGTGGTTTAAAGGCCTTTGAGAGTCCTAAGAAGGAGGCATAGAGGAAACAGCCCAGCATTTGAAGCAGACAAACTGGGCTTCAGAGCCTAGCTCAGCCACTTTAGTACCTGTGAGGCTTTGGGAAAGTTACCTAACATTTCTGATATTCTGTTTTCTCATCCAAAAAATTGAGTTGTTAAGAATGAAGTGAGCTAACTAATGAAAAATGCTTAATATGGTGTCTAACATATTATTGGTATTTAAAAACATAGTTGTCTGGCTGGGTGTGGGGGCTCATGCCTGTAATCCCAGAGTTTCAAGGGGACAAGGTGAGAGGATTGCTTGAGACTAGGAGTTAGAGATCAGCTTGGGGAACATAGCAAAACTCTGTTTTTACAAAAAAAAATAATAATAATAACAAAATTCGCCGGGCATGGTGGTGCATGCCCGGAGTCCCAGCTACTCAGGAGACTGAGACAGGAGGATCACTTGAGCCCAGGAATTCAAGGCCAACTTTTTGTCTGATGATATGTCATTAGCAGGGCACCAAGAGTAGCTCATTATTCTTGCTGATTAACTCAGCTGAAGCAACCTTATTAATGATAGTGGTGACAAATAACATAATTAGATCTATGTACTCTGTGTATAACCTTGCACAAGGCTTGAGAAATGAAGCCTCAGAGTGGATAGATTCAACCTGCACATATCTGATGCCATCCTTCCAACTTTGCCCACCCCTCCAACATAGACTTATTGCTCTGGTGACCACTCTTAGTAGTGGAGACATGTCTTAACTCTCAGGTGGGGTAGAGGGTTAAAAAGGCTAATAAGCAGCAGGGTCAGTTTCTGGCTGGGAGTCCAACCTATGTTATGGTCTCCTTTCTGGCTGCCTCCTATTGTGTTATTTTGGGCAGATAATTTCTTTGGCTGTAAATTTATTGATCTTTAAAATAGGATGGTAGGACGTTGGACAAGATGATTTCTGGGGTCCTTTGCCCCATATTCTATGTTCATGATTTCTTTTCCTTTGTAAGTATAATTATACACCCAAAGTACCATGGATTATCAATTCTAAAATGCACAATTGTTTCACATCTTAACATCTAAGAACCCAGGATATAACTTACAATTAATGGTAATTTAGATTGCTGTGAAATACAATATATAATTAAATGTGTGAGAGGTACTAATAAAAATACTACTTAATTACGAGTTTCTACAGGAAAAATTGAAAATTGCTGTCAAGATATTGACTGAAAACAAGCGTACATTTTTTGTAAGTTCAATGGAGATCATTAACATGGAAAAGAACCCATGAGTTGCTAGGACAGTTGTCCCAGATGAGGGATTGATTTGGGTGTTCCTAAAGGTCCCTTTCAACCCTGAGATGCTATGAAACACTAACTTTATTCCAGTTATTTGTTGTTTTGCACACTCATTCAGTAACTGAAGAGCATTTTGGAGAAAAAAAAAGGTAGTTTACGGGGATGACATAGTAATATTGTACCTATTAAATAATCATGTGTACATTTCCATTGGAGTGTTAAGTTATTGATATTCTGATTAACTGTTACTATAGCTATCATTCAATAATATTTTCAAAAATTAATAGCTATGTTTGGACACTAAAACTGTGGTGAAAATAATTTCATATTCATTGATGGCTGAAAACGCCTTTTAGATTCTTGTAGAAGTTCAAGTCATTTGCTATGAACACAGTGCCATATAACAAAAATATTCACTTGTGCTCTAGATAAATGGAACTTCCATGTTAAGTCTCAGTAATAGAGGAGATATTATTTTATTACAATTGCTAATGATTTGTTGTTGTTGAGTTTATAGGTAGAAAAAGAAGCCATTAGTTACTTTTGGGTAACTTGTTGCTTGATTTATCAAGACTTCTTTGTAATCATGATATATTATCTATCATTAATCTTACTTGGCTGTTAGCATGACTGAGAATCGAAGTGATTTTGAACCTGTCTCAGGAATGAGGCCCAGAGGTGTGGTTCAGGTGATCTTGGAGGAGCTGTTTAGAAAGCAATTCCCGATGCCAAAAGTTGGGATCAGTTATCCAAAGGGCTGTATTTGAAGGCTGGGTTTGATTTCTGGGTTTCCCTAATTTACAATAGAAATCTCGATTTATCACATGTGCCATGAATTTGTTACTCTGAAGGAATTAATCAAAATGTTCTTTCTATAAACATTTTTATTGATTCATCATTTCTGAAATCATGCAATTTATGAGTTGGTCCTATTTTGGGTAATAGCAATTACTTATGAAAGCTGCTAGAGAGTTTCTGTCAAGTTTAATTAAACCTTTTCTACTGGAGACTTTTTCAAGAGTTTGTGAACTGTTGACTGTTGATACCATGTCCCAAATATTACTCATAAACTGGAATTTTTACCAGCAAAAATAACTCAGAGGCATCAGTCTCCCAAATCTGGAAGCCAGTTGACTCCTTTTTGACAAATTCCGTATGTCTCTTTACTTCATTGCAACTTAGCATTTGGCCTTGTGTATTATTTACACGTGTGATTCACTTTTCTCTAACATGTTCTAAATACTTTTTTCAAGATGTTCAATCTACTTTTTATTACCCTCTTTTTGTAAATTTTAATGATGTGAAAAGCAGCTAAGGACCAATGGAGAAGCTCAGAATAGCAATTTTTGTAGGAAGTCCTGATGAAGAGTTTATCAAGGGAGATTTTTAAGTCAGTTATGAAGCCTGAGGGAAAGCTAGAAGTTTAGGGAGACCTTTGATCATACAGTATTGGAAATGCAGGATACTGTTAGGGTAAGTGAAGGCTCAGGATAGGCAGAGGTAGCTATGGACCTAGATTGAGGGGAGATTTGTTCAATGGGATCTACATTGAGCTGGGCAGGATTTGGATTGATAAAGAAAATAAGAGCAAGCCAGAGTGAGCCATGTTCCAAGGACAAGGAAGAGGAGTCTTTTCTGTTGCAGTGCTGGTTGGATGGCTCCAGCAGTGCCAGTTGATGGAGGTCTCGGTAATCAGGAGTCCCTGAAAAATATTGAGCAGAGGAAAATGTAATAAAAGCCATATTTTAAGAAAATTAATTTGGTGCCACTGGAAAGAATTGGAGGGAAGGGGTAATGAAGAGGAAAACTGAGTGTTAGGAACACCAATTTCTATTATAATAATCAAGGAGCAAAGTGATGATTAAGACAATAACTAAGGTTACCAGAGTGGTGCCAGTGTTATGCCATTAATGACAACAACTACCATTTATTGAATGTTTATGTGCCAGGCATTGTGCGAAATGCTTTACATAGATTATACTCTTTAATCATCACAATAGCCTTATGAAAGAAGTACTTTAATCCCGTCTTACAGAAGAGAAAACTGAGATTTAGCAACATAAAAGTATTTCCCGTAAGTAAACAGTAGAGCCAAGATCTTGACCTACGCCATCTGATACCTGAGCCCATGCTATAAAAGAGGAGCATTAGAAATATTTGAAAGATAGAAATGAGAACTAGTCAATATTTATTTTGCTTAGCACTGTATTCAGTATTATGGCATCTTAAAGTAGTTAAGACTCAATATTTCATCAAAAAAGTTTAAAATCTAATCAGAGAATCGGCCGGAAGCAGTGGCTCACGCCTGTAATCCCAGCACTTGAGAGGCCGAGGTGGGCGGGATCACCTGAGGTCAGGAGCTCAAAATCAGCCTGGCCAACGTGGTGACACCCCATCTCTACTAAAAATACAAAAATTAGCCAGGCATGGTGGCGGGCACCTGTAATCCCACCTACCTAGGAGGCTGAGGCAGGACAGTCACTTGAACCTGGGAGGTGGAGGTTGCAGTGAGCCGAGATGGCGCCATTGCCCTCCAGCTTGGATGCCAAGAGCAAAACTCCCTCTCAAGAAAAAAAAAAAAAAAAATCTAATCAGATAATCAAGTCTTACAACAGTGAATTAATTCATGAACCAGACAGATGTCATGGATTGGCTTCCCTGGGAAACAGACTTTGAGATTTGTCTGCAGGAGGTCTACTAGGGAGAGTGATCGAGAACAACACGTGAAGGGTAAGGGCTGCAAGAATGATCAGGTCCAACAGATAACTTAACATATCCTACAGGGAGTTCTGGAGCCACAATGACCTTTCAGAGTTGTCCCAATAGAAGCAATGGGACAGGGCCTTTATGCCCCTCCATCACCCAATCAGTGGATACCAGCTGCCCCCAGTGAGAACACTTGAGCAAAGCAGTCCTATGTGGGGGATTCAGCTCTGAGTCTCCAGCCTCAGTCCTGAAAGGAATCCGGACTGCATACCACAGCATCCACAACAACAAAATAGATGAACATGTTATATATTTGAATTATTTAATCTTCAATTTGTAAACACTTTAAATCACATTTTTGGGGAATACTTTCCTGTAAAAGTAGTTTTTGGTGGGGAGGAAATGTCCAATAAATCTGCCAGTATATTTCTTTGCCATGGAGTGACAGCCTTAGTTCTTGATGAAAGTAATCAATATGGAAGGCATTTTGTGTGTGGCTTAATTGAAACCCTGTGTTTTGGACTCATTTGGTGTTAATGTGTAAATCCAATCCTGTTTTCACACCTGCCCTCTTTTTTTTATGATGCCTTGTTCAAGTGGAAGTCTAGTCTGGCTTTTTGCTTCAGTCTAAAGAAGGCCATGGACTGTTGTCATTGGCCAGGAATCCAACTCATATGGTGGCATGAAGTCATCCTTCAAGCCCAGCAAAAAGACCCTGTCAGCCTTGCCTGCAGAGAAAGCCATGTGAAAGATGTCCTGTGCTAGGATCATCTGGTGAGCAATCCATTATACTGTCATTGATCTTGACAGATATTGGGCATACATGTACACCTGGACTTCACCTCCTAAAGAATCTGATTCCTGGTGGCTGGGATGGGATCCAGGCATACTTATTTTTTTCTAGTGGGCCAGTGAAGAGCTTGTTTTGTTGTTGTTTTGTTTGTTTGTTTGTTTGTTTGTTTGAGATGGAGTCTTGCTCTGTTTCCCAGGCTGGAGTACAGTGGTGCCATCTTAGCTCACTGCACCCTTTGCCTCCAGGTTCAAGTGATTCTCCTGCCTCAGCCTCCCAAGTAGCCAGGACTGCAGATATGCACTACCACCCCCCGGCTAATTTTTGTATTTTTAGTAGAGATGGGGTTTCACCATGTTGGCCTGGCTAGTCTTGAACTCCTGACCTCAGGTGATCCACCCGCCTTGGCCTCCCAAAGTGCTGGGATTACAGGTGTGAGCCACCAGCCACAGCCTGGGCCAGTGAAGACCTTTGATAAATCCATCTATTCTACAGGGTTCTTGGAGATGAGATTGCCTGTTGAGTATATTGGGGGCTCTTCAAGAGACTAAATCTCAAAGAAAGAGCTTCTTGAGGAACTGAGGAGTACCATGTAGAAATGAGAAAGAAGGTGAGGAGAAGTTTGAAAAATTCTGCACTCAAATAAAAGAGAAAAACAGGAGGACAAAGGACAGAGTTGGGTACTAGAGACTATGATAAATCTCTAAGATTCTTAGGTCTTCTTGGTTACTGTCATTCCCATATCCATTACTCTTAGATGAAAGTGGTCCTTGTGTTTATCTTGACAAATAGCAAATAAGTGGGACCATGCAAACAAGCATTGGTCTCTTTTATTCATTCATGCAATAAGTATTAATTAGCAGTAACTATATTCCAAGCACTGTGCTCAATGCTAGGAGTGCAGGATGAGGAAAATTTAGTCTGCTCAGGGAGCTCACAATTCCAGGGTGGAGGGGGTGGAGACTAAGAGGTGATAGATTGCTAAGGTAGAGAGGGGCACAGCAGCTGGGATAGCACAGACTGGCAGTCCATAATCCTGTTTAGAGAGTCACGGAAGACTTCCTGGAGGACTCTGCAGGATTAGAAATGGGTAAATCAAATATGGTTTTGTCATTCAAAATTGTGGCACATCTCTCCAGTTATTTAGATCTTCTTTTACGTCCTTTTAGAGGATTTTTATACATTTTTCTACAAAGATCTTATACAGTGTTTGTGAGCTTAATTTCTAAGTAATTCATAATGTTTGGTGCTATTGTGAAGAGTATGTTATTTTGCATTCTTTTTGTGGTTGGTTATTGTTGGTTATAGAGACGTACAATTTATGGTATCTTGTAACTTGCAATCTTTTGGTACTCTCTAATTCTCAGAGTTGTTGGATTTTATTCGGTTTTCTAAGTAAGAAAAACAACATCTGCAAACAATGGCAACCTTTTCTCATGTTTTCCAGCACTAATACTTCTTATTTCCTTCCTGTGTGTTATTGCACTTATATCTTATTGAACAACATGGTGACTGTGGGCATCTTTGTCTTCTTCCAGACCCTCAGTGGAATGTGTATTAAATTTTCTCTTTTGAGAGTGGTGGTTTCTGTGGAGGTAGGTTCTGGTAGAAACCATTTTCAGATTCATAATGTGCCCTTCTGTGTCTAAGTTTTTCTAAGAATTTTTACACTAAATATGCATTGAACTTTAACAGATTTTTAAAGCATCAAAAGATGCTTTATTTAAATTGCATCTTTTGAGATTCCCATATGATTTTTCTTCTGTAGTACCAATGATGGAATGAATTACATTTAGAGATTTTATCCGATTTTGTACTATCCTTACCTTCTGTGATAAAAATCATCTGATTATAACGCATTACCACATTAACATACCACTGGATTTCATTATCTAGTGTTTTACTCAAGATCATGACATTTCAAAATAGGTAGCATTGACGTGTTATTTTCTCTGCTTTCACTGTTCTTATCTAGCTCTGGAATCAAGGACATACTATGTCATTAAATGAGATGGGCAGCTTTCCTTCTTTTTCTGTACTCAGAAACAACTTGTAAAGTGGGAATTATCTGCTCCTTGAATGTTTGATAGAACTTACCCATAAAACTGTCTACGTCTAATATTTGAGGAAGGGAGGTAGGACATAGGAAGATTCTCTGTTATATGAATTTAGTCCATGGAGATTTGTCTGTATACATTTTCTGTTTCTTTTGTGTTGGTTTTGACACTCTTTTTTTTTAGGTGTTCATGGAAGAAAAGGAACATGTCCTGAGGTTACAGAAAGGGAAAGGAGAGCTATCCCATTGCTGGGCAGAGGACTGTCAGAATAGATGTCTGTGTGAAGGGGAGTTAAATGTTCCTTCTCTGATCAGTGTGTTCTATTCATCCATCCTAAGGAGGGAACCTCAAGAGGAAGATGTTCAGCTCATATGGGTTTGTGTAGTATGTCACCTCTCCGACATCTTCATCTGTGACAGGGCCAGTAGGGCTGAATCATGGCATTGGCTTTTGATCAGTGACTTGAGCCCCAGGCATCAAAGGGCCAGTGCTACTGAAATGACTTTCCTCAGAGAATCTGAGCTTGCACAAGCTCAGGCCGTACCACAACACCATTGGCTGTAAATGGCAGCCCCTTCACTAGATGAGAAGTAGGTTTAGCTTTTAGAAGGACACATGGGTATCAAATAACCAGTTACTTGCCTTCAGAGGAGTTTGACCAAGGTTATAGGGGTCCAGAAATCTCATATGAGGACCGCCTGTTGGATCTGAGCTGGAAATGACAGTAGGGGAAAAATATTTCTCTTCTTATAAATTAAGAATCCCCATGGAATGAGAATTACAGATTATTTTCAGGGTATTGTACAATAGGGCAGGGGAGAGGAAGATTTTGGTTCAGAGTAAGGAGAGATTTTTTCCAGTTGAGCTGTGAGTCATTTGTCACTGAAGAGTTTAATTATATGGTGGTTTCAAGCAGAGCATCTCCTGGGTCAAGGCAGAAATTTGGTTTTCACAATGAACAGGAACTTCATGTGGGGGTTACCAGCAGACTATGTTTTCAGGAAGACAAAGCTTTAGAAAGGTTCACATATGGACAACCTGATAAACGTTCGCTGGGCCCTTCCATATTCCAGCTAAGCATTCTCTTACCCTTAGGTAAGTGGCAGAGTTTGGGTGCCCCAGAGTCATGGGCACACAGTAGGATCACCTGGGAAACATTCAACAAGTTATCATGGCCAGGCCTGTGCCAGCCCAAGTCAGTCAGAGTCCTGTGGGTAAGGCCTGGGCATCGGTAGCTTTTCAAAGCCTTCAAAGTGATTCTAGGATACACTCAGGGTTGAAAAGGAGAGAGCTTTGAAAGGAGGGAGGATTCCATTGACAGAGGAGCAGAAGCCTTGGATCATCTTAATTTCATTAACAAGGGGGTAAAAAAGGAAAGGCTGAGAATGACACACAGCCTTACTTGAAACCTTCTTAACTGGATAGTTTTATGTTCACACTTCCTCATGTTTCATAGCAACCCTATGCATTATTTATTCTCATATTAAATATGAAGACACCAGAGATCAGAGAAATTAACTTATCCAAGGTGGCGCAGCAATCAAGGAGCAGAACGGGAATTTGAAGCAAGGTGCACCAGGTCTCAGCCCATTTGGCAGAGACCAGGGCTGCTCACCCTTTGGGACGCATACACGAGTCCCCTTGGGATCTGGTTAAAATGCAGATTCCTCTTCAGGAGGTTTAGGGTGAAGCCTGAGGTTCTGCATTTTTAACAACTCCCAGGCAATGTTGATGCTGTTAGTTTGCAGGTGACACTTTGCGTAACAAGGGTGTCAATACACTTTGAGAATCGAATCTTGATCTTGATGGAGACGTTCAAGAGTCTTTGATTACAGATGAATTTGGTGACTCTTCCCCAGGTGAGAAAACAGAAAATCCATGCAAGTTTGGGAAGCCCCCACCTTGACTCACAACTGCTGCTTGTCCTGCTGAGGCACCAGCCAGGCATCCCCGGGAAACAGGCAGAATGAGGCTGGCAGTGACAGAAATATGGTTGGTCATCCAGCCATCTAACTAATATTTATTGAGTGCCTATGGTGAGCTGGAGACTGTTCTAGACACTTGCGATGCGAAGATAAACAAGGCAGTTTTATAATCTAGTGGTGTGTGTCTAAAGCAAAACAGTTATCACGGGGTTTGGTTACGTTTGTAACTTACCAGACCCTTGAAACACCCTGACTTTTCTCACTCTGTCAGCCTCTACATCCAATCTGTCACCGGGTTGGCTCAATCTGAATAAACAATGTAGTGGAACGGCCAGAAAACTCATGGGGGCTCCCTCTGCATGAACAGCAGCATACTGAACTGGCAGTAGAGACCCGCACTGTCTGCCCAGTAAGGCTGAAGCTGGACAACTGACAGCCTTCAGGTCTCCCAGCCTTATCTCAATGTGGATTGCAACAAACTGGGCCTCATCTAGGGGGCAGGGCGGCCAGACAGTAGAGGAGACCCAAACCCTTTTGCATCAAGCACTGTTGAGAGACCTGGCAGTGTGGACCCTGCTTCAAGACAGAAGAGCCAGTGGGACCCTGAGGGCCTTTCCGCAGCTGCTGGGCCTCCGTGTTCCCTGTGTCTTTCAGGCCACACTCAGATATCACCCGCCCTAACTATCCCAGCTAAAGCGTCCTCCTCAGTCACTCTCCATCACATTTTCCATTTGTAGTTTCTTGAGAACTCAGCTCTAGAGGATGTGACACATAAAGAGATGCTCAGGCCCCCTGGTTGTTCTTTTGTGATGTTGGGTAGACTTGCGTCTTCTACCTCCCCACACCCCACTCCACATCCCATACCTACATTGTTGCCTCAGCCTCCCTGTAAGCTTCTCTTTGTTTATTTACCTCCCTTGCCCCCATCCCAAATCAAATCCATCCTATATGTAGCTGATAGCCCTGCTTTTCTATACTTTTTTCTCATTTGGGATGCGTGGTTTGCAACCTCAGCTCTCAGGAGCCTATTTCCTCGGGTTACTCTGGCTGTAAGGTAGTGATGGCTTGGCTCTGGAACCCTTGGAGGCGCCTTTGTACCCGCAAGCCACGTGGCCAGGCCCTTGTGTGCTCAGAGAGGGGCCTCTGTCTCTCTTGGCCGGCTTTGCTCCTCCTGTCTCTAGTTGGAATCTCTTGACATTTTCCACTTTCCAAGCATCAAACTTATGTCTTTGTAAGCTGGCTCTCAATCATGTTCTTTCTTTTTTAAAATTTGTTGCTATCTAACTACACTCTAAAGTCCCCCAGTAAAAAAAGAAAACAAACAGACAAAAAACAGAAAATTCTCCTTTAATCAATGCTTGCTGTCTTAACTGGTGCTTCAGACAAGCACTTCTTAGGCAAATGGATGACCACATGGCTATTCCAGGGAGGGGAAACGGGGATGCTAAATTGGCACAGAGCTCTGCTCTGTCTCGTCACGGCACTGCCTTTGATCTTTAATTTGAGCCATTCTAGGCAGGGCTCAGTATACTCTGAAAACACACTTTGTGATTAAAAAATGTGCAGTACATCAGCCAAAACATTTGTTTATATTTTACCCCCAATTTTGGGGTTTCTTGTCATGCTTTCCTCAAAAACTTTCTTTATATAATTAAAGAGGTGTGAGTGCTCTGAGCATGACTGTGCAATAGAATACAAAGCACAGTTCCCTTCTCTGAAGACAGAGAAAGGTTTTTCCCCATCTATTCAAGCATGAAGTCTGTAAGGATATGGCACAGCGACCTTCACTGCATTGTTTCTGGAATGGTAATGACAGTCTGGGCTGTCCAGGAAAGAGCGAGCTTCACAAAGACTAAGGCCCTTCCAGGAGGGTCTCTCCCAGCTCTGGGGATCCCCTCAGAGACACATGGGTGTTTGAATGCACCAGTGTGTGTCTCTGGTTCTGTGAGAGCAGGGTTTTTCAACAGCAGCACTATTCACATTTCAGACCAATAATTCTACAGTGCACAGGATGGCTCCTCACGGCAAAGGTTTCTCCACTCCAGCTCTATCCACATTTGGCCCTGAAGGTTCTTTGCGGTGGGGGCTGTCCTGTGCGTTGTAGGATGTTTAGCAATACCTGTGGCCTCTCCCCACCAGATGCCATCATGCTCTCCTCCCCAACCACCAACTGGACAATCAAAAACACCCGCAGACATTTCCCAGTGTCTCCTGGGGAGGGCAAGATCTCCCCGCAGTTGAGTACTCTGCATTGGATGGCTTGGAAAAGGATCCCCCTAGGTAAGAGGCACAGTCTGGGTGCCCCAGAGTCATGGGCACACAGTAGGATCACCTGGGAAACATTCAACAAGTTGTCATGGCCAGGCCTGTGCCAGCCCAAGTCATGCAGAGTCCTGTGGGTAAGGCCTGGGCATCAGTAGCTTTTCAAAGCCTTCAAAGTGATTCTAGGATACACTCAGGGTTGAAAAGGAGAGAGCTTTGAAAGGAGGGAGGATTTCATGACCTCCATTGACAGAGGAGCAGAGGCCTTGAATCATCTTAATTTCATTAACAAGAGGGTGAAAAAGGAAAGGCCGAGAATGACAAACACCCTCACTAAGTCTCTGTGTTTGCTCTTTTTGTCGTCTTTAGTGGTTAGTAGAACTCTTAAAATGAAGAAGGCCTGTGCTCTTTTCTTCTGGGGTAGCTGGAAGGGAAGAGCTGGGGAGATCAGGTAGCACCTCACAGCTAGGCTTGAAAGAGGAACCCTAAATGAGTAGGATGTATCTTAGAGATTTTGAAAAGGAAAAGTATGCTGAGTCTTTGAGGCCTCAGAGAAAGAGGCCGAAATAGCCCAGGAGGGCTTAGCCATCAGTCCTTGGCTACGCGGTTCCAGTCAACTGAGGGTAAGAAATTTGCTTCTGCAGTGTTGGCTGGGGTCTTGTGATGTCCCACCATTTTCCTCTAGGATACATGAGTCCCAGACCAAAAGGAGAAGAAAAACAATGGGTGCTGTAGTGTCAGGTGTCTCTGGGTTTCGGTTCAGGGAACTATCATTCCGTCCAATATCCCAAGCTACAAAACCTCCTGTAGCACGGAAATTAGGAGCATGGGCTTTGGAGTCACTACAGTTGTGTTTAGTTCTCAGCTTTGTGTCTTACTAGCCGAGATATCTTAAAGAACTAAGCTACTTGACCTGCCTGAGCCTCGGTTTTCCCATCTGTAAAATGGGAAATATAATAATCATACCTATCTTATAGAGCTGGCAGAAAAAGTGAATGAGATAATCCATGAAAAGCATTGAGTCCAGTGCTCACTAATTATTAACTACTATCATTAGTTCTTGTTATTTGGCCCAACATTCAAGAAGTCCTGTTTCCTTCTCTTCCTTGGAAATGTATTTTGAAAATCTGACCCCTTCTTCCCATCTCTGTTGGCGTTGCCTGAGTTCTGTACCACCAGTCACCCTTGGGGTTGAAAAGGAGAGACCTTTAAAGGAGGGATGATTCCGTGTCCCCTCCTGATGACTGTATGACCCCTCCTTGATCTGCCACCCAGTTGACCTCTCTCCAGGTGTTACCGGGTCATGTAACTCTTGATTCAAATTTCCAGGGATTGTTTGCAACCAACAGGCTGAAAGCCAAAAGCCCTATGGCCAGAACCTACTTCTTTGGCCACTCTGTGGTCCTCCAGCATGTTGGAATTGTTAGTTTGGGTTCCCATGACCAGAGAGTGTTGACTGGCTTTTCTTGCTTATGTTTTAAATGTCTGTATGTTTTCAAGTCACTCTAAGTGTTGGTGGAGTGAACTCCCCTAACCCACAGTTTATATGTCTTGGACTGAAGTGTTGCACATTTTTGTGTGTGATGTTTTAAATATAAAATTTTGTTTTCCCAGCAACTGCTGTAAGTGATTTGGAAACATTGCCTGGTCCTGATTAACTTCTTTTCTGCATCTCATTTAGGGTCTTGTTTATTTACATTAATAAGAAGACTACACAAACAGCTTACATGTGAAATTTTCTCTTGAGGACACAGAGGCTGACGATAAAGGCTAATTCGTGAGTGAGAGGAAGTTGAAATCTAAGTTCTTTCAGCTCTTGTCTGAGCCTATTGCTGTAACAAGTCTCCTAATCAACAGACCTTGTTAAAGGCAGTTATTTTATTACAGGCCTCCCAAGTTTGGCAGCTTACCCGACAGCTTGCCTTTTTTCAGGAGGCAGGACATCAAGGTGAGGCAAGAAAGAAAAGAGGACAAAAAGGAAGGCATTTAGGCAAGGCAAAGTTGGTCTCTTCAGGTTCTTGTTGTAAGTCAACCCCCATCTATTGTGTGTATAAATGATCAGCCCCACCTGTGAGAAAGATACCACAGAGGCTGAAGACAGGTCTAACTGGGGGAATATAGTGCCTTGAATCAAAAGCAGTATTTCTTCTTTTCTTTTTCTTTCTTTCTTTCTTTTTTTTTTTTTTTTTTTTTTTGGAGACAGGGTCTCACTCTGTTGCCCAGGCTGAAGTGCAGTGGCGCAATCATAGCTCACTGCAGCCTCGACCTACTGGGTTCAAGCCATCCTCCCATCTCAGCCTCCCCATTAGCTGAGACCACAGGCACATGCCGCCATGCTGGCTTATTTTTGTATTTTTCGTAGAGATGGAGTTTTGCCATGTTGCTTGGGCTGGTCTCGAACTTCTGGGCTCAAACGATCCACCTGCCTTGGCCTCCCAAAGCGTTGGGACTACAGGCATAAGCCACTGTGCCCTGCTGAAAGCAGTATTTCTTTTGAAGGGACAAATTTGGATTCCTTGAAACATACAGCTCAAATGGATATTTGTATAAATTATTAATATTTGTCTTTCAGTTCATTTAGTTTCCTGCTGGGTTATGATTATCAAAAATTGTAAACTTGTCTATTTCCCTCTGCTAGACTGGCAGTTAAATAACAGGAAAGTCAGAGTAGCAGAATGGATATGGGCATGGGATTTAACAACAGATAAGCCTGGTCTAGTCCAATGTCCACTGCTTACCAGACTCCCAGCTTGGTTTATGCCCTTCCACAAAAAACTAGCTCCATCATCTGTGAAATGAAAGAATCTGGCTGGGCACGGTGGCTCATGCCTGTAATCCCAGTACTTTGGGAGGCCAAGGCAGGCGGATCACCTGAGATCAGGAGTTCTAGATCAGCCTGGCCAACATGGTGAAACCCCATCTCTACTAAAAATACAAAAATTAGCAGGGCATGGCAGTGGACGCCTGTGATTCCAGCGACTTGGGACACTGAGGCAGGAGAATGGCTTGAACCCAGGAGGAGGAGGTTTCAGTGAGCCGAGATCGCACCATTGCACTCCAGCCTGGGCAACAAGAGTGAAACTCCGTCTCAAAAAAAAAAAAAAAAGAAAAAGAAAAAGAAATAATCCTAGTAGCCACCTCACTGGGTTGCTGTGAGGATTAGGTGGGATTGCATAAGTAAAGCAGTTAGCAGAGTACTTGGTATAGTCAACCCATGGCAGCCACTACAGTGACAGGGAGGATGGTTTTTTAAGTTCCTTGGGAACACCAGTCTTGTATCTGCATCACCAGCTTCTAGCTCAGTATCTGGGAATGAGAGTGTCGGAAATGAATACATGAAAGTCCCAGTCTTTGCCATCTTTAGAATGAGTATTTAGGTAAGCACAAGCACATCTGCGTCCCAATGCCATGTCCACTTTGGCTGCAGCTGGACAAGTAATATTCTTAAATCCCCATAAGATTTAGGAGAAGGGATCTTCCCCAGGGCATCAGTCACGCAGGGAATTTGAACAGAGAGCAGTGGCTGGGGGACTGTCTCATTGAGGGAATGGGTGGGAAGAACAAGGTAAAGAAAGGTCGGTCAGAAATGAGAGAGTAAGATCTCCTCGGAAGTCAAGGGAGGAAGTTCTCAAGGGAGATATGCTGCTCCACGGTGGCAGCAAGTTCAAAGAGAAGGTCATTCCATGTACGCCTTACGCATACCTATGTGGAGTCACTCATTTGGACACCCAGTCTTATTAGAGTTGCATCGTGCCATACATTCATTTTTCTCTATTTTGATTAGCAGCTATTGAAGAGCCTTTACCCACCATGACAAATGAATACTCCATCTTAATGGCTGTCAGCTGGGCTGTGGTTTGCTGCCATTGTTTGCCATTGTTTGCACACAAAAGCCTGATCCCATTAAGACCGTCAGATATTTCCTGCCATCGCATGGCCTCCTGCTCACAAACATTTGATGCTATTTAAAGCCTCTTCTCAGCAAATATGCATCGGTCACATGTATGCACTGCCCATTAATTAAGGCCAGATTTGAAGCTCTCACAGCTGTCACTTCTATTAACTGATTGCAGGGAATGTAGGACTTCATTTTTCTGGGAGATAATGTGAACATCGGAGAAAAGCCAAGAGATCTTCGAATCCCTGTGGCACTTACCTTGACTTCCAGGCTTGTAATGAAAAAGCTTCTTAGACAAAAAGGGACAAAAAGACCCTTTCACAGAAATCATAAACAATCTCTGCCAAGCAGGAGATTTAGTGGGTGGGAACACACACACACACACACACACACACTCTTTATTTGAGGCACCCTGGAAAATGAAAAGCTATCTGGGGAAAGTAATCATGTGAGAAGATGGCCTTGAAGATAGCAGCTTGATTTTCTTTGAAAGAAAAAAGTGGACCAATTTACAGTAGTGACTTTGCTAAAAGGCTGAAAAGAGTTGAGTGTATTTTCTCTTCAGTCTCTCTTTTTCTAAAGGAAACACGTCATGGATTGATTGGAAAACATGATCTTCTAGTTATCAAATGCTTTAATTAATGGCAAATCAAAAACATACCAGACAAAGGTTGCCAGTTATCAAAAAATCAAATACTAATTTTCTCCCAGCTGCATGATTGGGAGCAAGGGTGTGGAGCTGGAGGTGAGACTGGAAATAGTCACAATCATGATATTAATGGAATTAACGTTTATTGGGTGCCCACAACATGGCACTTTAAAAGAATGCATTTTCATAAATTATCTTATTTGACTCTTGAAAACTTAGATGTTATCATATGCCCATTTTATAGATGAGGAAACTGAGGCTTGGCAAGCTTAAGCAATTTTCCCAAGGTCACCCAGCTGGTAGATGGCAGGGTCAGGACTCAGATCTCAGTGAAGTCTGTCTGCCATGAAGTTCCTGTTCATAACCCTTTGTTATCCTGGTACAGTGGAAAGCACGTGGGCTTTGGAGACAGACTAGAGTTTCATCCAGATTCTGTCATGGGACCTTCAACAAATTGTTTACCTTCTCCTCAACTGAAGTAAAATGAGGAAAATAGACCAGGCGCAGTGGCTCACACCTATAATCCCAGAACTTTGGGAGGCCGAGGCGGGTGGATCACTTGGGGTCAGGCGTTGGAGACCAGTCTGACCAACATGGTGAAACCCCATCTCTACTAAAAATACAAAAAATTAGCTGGGCATGGTGGCAGGTGCCTGTAATCCCAGCAACTCGGGAGGCTGAGGCATGAGAATCGCTTGAACCTGGGAGGCAGAGGTTGCAGTGAGCCGAGATGGTGCCACTGCACTCCAGCCTGGGCAACAGAGCCAGACTCTGTCTCAAAAAAAAGAAAAAGGAAAAGAAAAATAATAGCTGCCTCATGGGCTACTACACAGATTCAATGAAATAAGGGTAAACAAAAATCAGAGATACTCAAAGTGTTAGTTTAGGGGTATTCTGCACCCCACCTCCCATTTCATTTCATTCCAGTTATTTCTTTCTCCTGTCACTGGACTGAAGCTCCCACCACCTTCCGCTATGTTGTTCCTGCATTCTCCACTTCCTCTTGGCTCTTTGTCTTGGGGACCAACACAGAGAAATCTTTTTTTGCCCAGTTCTTCCCAGCAGTGCCTGCAGCTGTGCCTTTGACAATCCTGACCCCAGCTGGTCCCCGAGGACCTCCCAGCCTCCCACCTCTCTCCTCAGACTCCCATGCCATGACTGAAAAACAGGAGGACCTGCGAGGCATGTGAGAAATCTACAGGCTTGACATCTGTGGGCCAGGCGCTCTCTCTCAATATTTTTTTCTTTTTTTTTTTTTGAGACAAGGTCTCACTCTGTCACCCAGGCTGGAGTGCAGTGGTGTGATCTCGGCTCACTACAGCCTCCACCTCCCGAGTTCAAGTGATTTCCCCACCTCAGCCTCCCAAGTAGCTGGGACTACAGGCACACGCCACCATACCCAGCTGATTTTTTTGTATTTTTGGTAGAGACGGGGTTTCACCATGTTGGCCAGGCTGGTCTTGAACTCCTGACCTCAAGTGATCCACCCGCCTCAGTCTGCCAAAGTGCTGGGAATACAGGCGTGAGCCACAGTGCCCAGCCTCAAGTCCAATTAACTATTTTTCACCGTTGTTTACAGAGCTTTAACTTCTCATTTGCTTTCAAAGCACCTGCATTTAGAATTTTAGATGATAACTAAGATGGTTTGCATTACAAATTCTTAAAACATTTGGCTTTCAGAAACCATCTTGGGCTGTATACATGGAGAAAATGCAGTCAAGCCCTGAAGCCCAGGGCTAGGAGACAGCAAAGGAAAGAAAAAAAGGGAAACATGGGGAGCCATGATCTCAGTGTCGTGGAAGGCAGTGGCAGAGAATAGCTCAAGAGATGAGGGATGAGAACTGAGAAGACCCCACGTGCAGGGAAAGTGAAGCTACTGGCATCCTCAGGGAAGAAATGCCAGTAACCTGGTGAGGGTAGCAGTCTATGGCAGAAGGTTAAAGGAACAATGATTATGTGGAAGTGGGACCAGCACTGTGGTTGCACTGTGGTCGCCAGGGGCTGGGGGAGGTGGCAATGGGGAGTTGTTGTTTCATGGGTACAGAGTAGAGGTGGATGGTAGAGTGATGGTTGCACATTATGAATTTTTTTTTTTTTTGAGACGGAGTTTAGCTCTTATTGTCCAGGCTGGAGTGCAATGGTGTGACCTCAGCTCAGTGCAACCTCTGCCTCCTGGGTTCAAGCAATTCTCCTGCCTCAGCCTCCCAAGTAGCTGGGATTACAGGCACCCGCCACCACACCTGGCTAAGTTTTTGTATTTTTAGTAGAGACGGAGTTTCACCATGTTGGCCAGGCTGGTCTCCAACTCCTGACCTCAGGTGATCCACCTGCCTCAGCCTCCCAAAGTGCTGGGATTACAGGTGTGAGCCGCTGTGCCCAGCCAAGAGTATATTTTAATACCACTGAACTATACCTTAAAAGGGGCTAAGATGGTAAATTTTATATTATGTTTATTTTACCACGTTTTTGTTTTAAAAAGTGCAGGAAGCATCAAGCTTGGAGCCACAGTGAAAGTCAAGAATGTCAGTGATTCCACATTTAATATCTACATTTTTGCAGGGCAGTTACTCTTTTGTAGTATAACATTGAGCTGATAGCACATAGTGTAGACAAGTGAATACAGGATTCTCTGGGTTATATTTCCAGAAGTCTGGAGGTCATTTGGATATTTGTGGGCCCTTGGCTTCACTCTGACTTGTGTGACACATAAAAATTGTGATGAAATGTCCTATAGATGTCCTGCAGGTCTTAAAAGAACCTTTCCAAACTATGAAACAGCCCAGCAGCACTGAGTTAGAGGTAAATTCTGAACCCTTGAACACTAAAACTATTCTAACTGCACATAGAATTGGCAAGTAGCATTCTATGTCTATGAACAGTATGTCTTTTCTATATAACAGAGAAAATCTTTTTAAGCAAACTACTCAGTTTAAAACCTAATTCTTCTCATAATCTCAGTACTTTTGAATGAAGACATATCAGTGCAACAGTACACTCTTATTCAGGCATTTGAAAGAAAGAATTCGAGATCTAGTTTGTATCAGATATTATAAATTAGTATGGTTTAGTCTTTGTCATGAAATTCTACTTAATTTTTGGACTATAGGTTTAAGAATGTAAGCAGAAGTTCTGCACCAATCAGAATAAGCTACATTATGCTTGAGTGACAACTACTGTAATGACAAAATATCAGTGGCTTAATACAATGGTTTTTCTCTCATACTTGTTCATAAAGAGTCAGCAAGGACCCTGCTCATTATGGTCCCTCAGGGACCCAGGTTGTTGGAAGCTCCACCATTTTAGATAGCTCCCTTCAAAGTCAGCCATCTTTGCAGTCATGTCCCCCAACAGCTGCAAAATTTGCTCTGATGCTCAAGAATTGAGCATCGGCAGTTAAATGCTTCAACATGAAAGTGACACCTGCCACTCCCACTCACATCCCATTGGCCAGAACTAGTCACATGGCCAGACCTAACTTCAGAAGGTTGGAGAATTGTAATCCTCCATGTACCCAAAAAGTAGAGAAGCCAGATACTGAGAAACATCAATAATGGCTAACAGAAATCCATTCTACCATTCCCTTTGCCTAAAGTGAAAAGATGAGTACTTTCATCAATTTGTAAACTGTACTTTTGAAGTAAATCCTGGTAGCTTGCATGGGGGCTGGATTTCCAGAAAGCCATATGTAATTTGGGAATGACATTCACTTAAGCTCATAGAATATCATTATTTGATGTAAAATGCCCCCATTTGCAATACAGGACCAAAATGCACTAACCACAAAATTCCACTCCACAAGGGTCTGGGTTCTAATTTCTTCATTCTTTAAATGAGGCATTCTATGATTTGGAATGGAAGCCCAGTTGTAGTCGTAAGAATTTTACTTAATTCAAGAATTATTCTCACTGAATATGTGCCAGTTCTGAAAGGAATGCAAAGTCAAATTTTGCATCTTCTTTGCTCAAGGGCCTTTAGATGTAACAACACAGACATGATACAAGGCTGACAATGACATTATGATTTAAATATGTTAAACAACTTATTAAATTGTGAATCAACAAAAAATTATGTTCTTTATTTTATGGTTTTGCATAGTCCTGACTCACTGCCTACATATCCCTCTTGTTCCTCAGCTCTTATCCCTGATTTCTTACAGGATGGCCTAAGACAGCTGTAGATGTTTTTATTTAGCAAAAAAAAAAAAAAGAAAAGAAAAGAAAAGCCAAGCCAGAAAAATATGTTACTCCTGTTAATGTTTTTTCCTTATTCAAAATAAAACTTACTTTAGCTTCATGAGAAATAATACATCTTACAATATATATTACTGACTTTTTTCAGTAAAGATAGGTCAAGAAAGAAATTGTACTGCTCATTAGCCACCAAAATACTAGTATTGGGGGCTTATTGGAAAAGTGGTAACAACGGCAACTTTTTTTTGCAACTTTCTTTTTCTTTTATTGGACAGTCTCACTCTGTCACCTAGGCTGGAGTGGAGTGGCATGATCATAGCTCACTGTAGCCTCGACCTCTTGGGCTCAAGCGATCCTCCTACCTCAGCCTCCCTAGTAGCTGGGACTACAGGTACACACTGCTATGCTCAGCTAATTTTTTTTTTTTGTAGAAATAGGGTTTCACCATGTTGCCCAGGGAGGTCCCAAACCTCTGGGCTCAAGCGATCCCCCAACCTCAGCCTCCCAAAGTGCTGGGACTATAGGTGTGAGCCACTGCACCTGGCCTAGGCAAATTTCTAATCCTAAATAGTGAAATTAGAGGGCCAACTGTGGCAAATCTAGGGGATAATTTATGGCAAGAGAGCCAGGGGGTTGCCAGGACTGGTCTCAAATTCTCCCGTATTGGATTAATTTCAGTGATGTAAGTTGAGGCCACTGACCCACATGACTCCTTCAGAACCGAGAGCAGGAAGGACAGCATGACATAGATAAAGTCCCAAGCCATGCTGATTATTGTTTAAAAACTTCAGGCTTTCCCCAAATTGCATGATATCTTAATCTTTGATTTCTTCTTATTTTAAGTGTAAAAATCCATCCCTTTATTTTATAAATCCTGATTTTGCCATGAAGCGGTCTCTGAACTCCTCAGCTGTTACTGCCCAGTTTATCCCTTAATTCCAATTCCACCTACCATGTGGTTCATCTCTTGTTTATCTCCCCAGCTAGATATTAAGCCCATTGAGAGCAGGGATGTAACATATGCCACTTTTGATTTCTCTAAAGGACCAGGTCAGTGCTAGGCACACGGTCGATGTTTAATTAATCCTTCATTAATATAACAAGTCACCTGATGATTTAGATCTTTCCTTCAAAACCCACCTACAGACACACACACACACACACACACACACACACACACTTACACACTCTGATCATTTAGTCTTTCCCTGAATGACTCCGGTGGTGAAGAGCTCACTTCCTCCCAAAACAGCCCTTCCATCTTCAGTCAACTGCTAATGTAATGAGCTAAGATTTACTGAGTGCCTACTATGTTCCAGGCATGGTGCTAAGCCCTTTACAGAGATTATAACATTAATCCTTACAGCAATCTTTTGAGGGAGGCATTCCCTAAGGCTTTGTTTCCCAATCACTACGTGGGATCAGTCCTTCTATACCATTCCTCTGTAAGCCCCAGTCCAATGTCTTGGGACCACAGATAGGAAATCTAATCTTTCTTCCAAGTGACGAAGTTTCCAATGTGGGGGCTATCTAGCAATGCCTGTCTTCTTTTCTTCTTGTTAAACCCCCCAGGTCTTTACACCATTGTTAACAACAATCACTGAGTCTCATTGAACACTCACTGTAGTCCAGGTACTGTGAGGAAGGCTTTCTTTTTGTGCTTTAAATTATTTTTTCCCATTTATGATTGACAGAAAGGTTATGCGTCTTGCCTGAGGTCACACAGCTAGTGTATGGCCAACAGAACTGCAATCCTGGAGGGGTGTGATTCCAAAGACAGAGTTTCTCATTACTGTTTGGCATCATTTCTACTTATGGTGATTTTCACTGTTTTAACAGTTTAGAATCCCTTATGTCACTTTCATAATAAAAGGGAGAAAAGGGCAAATACTTTGTCACAGAAAGAAGATTCATTAAAGGGATATTTTTAAGCCACTGTTTTCACAAGAAAACCAAATGCTAGAAAAGGTACAATGCTAAAAAGAAACTGTAAAAAAAAAAAATTGATACCTATACCACAGTAAAGTTATTCCAGGTAATTTAACTTTTGAGCTAGAAACCGAGGGTTCTCCTTGCATCAGGGTGCTCTCACCCTGTAGTCCTGAGAAGACGACCTGTTTTAGGCAAATACATAAAACCAAATGGAATATATTAGAAAGGAAGTGTCACAGACCAGTGTCCAAAGGTTTTTGGAGGGCAGAACGTGGAGCAATGGACCGTACACAGAGAGAAGAGGATTTATTACAAGTCAGGATCATTCAGGGATGAACTGGCTTCCTTAATGGGTGGAAGGCTGCCTGTCACCGGAGAAAGTCAAACAAAATCAGATAGACAGGGCTCTTGCAAGGACAGAAATGGCTTAGAAAGTTACCAGGCACCCAGGAGATCATCTGAAGGTGTGTTAAAAGTTAACATTAAGAGTCTAGGTTCTTTTAGAATGGCAATCATTAAAAAGTCTGGAAACAACAGGTGCTGGAGAGGATGCAGAGAAATAGGAACACTTTTACACTGTTGGTGGGACTGTAAACTAGTTCAACCATTGTGGAAGTCAGTGTGGCGATTCCTCAGGGATCTAGAACTAGAAATACCATTTGACCCAGCCATCCCATTACTGGGTATATACCCAAAGGACTATAAATCATGCTGCTATAAAGACACATGCACACGTATGTTTATTGTGGCTCTATTCACAATAGCAAAGACTTGGAACCAACCCAAATGTCCAACAATGATAGACTGGATTAAGAAAGTGTGGCACATATACACCATGGAATACTATGCAGCCGTAAAAAATGATGAGTTCACGTCCTTTGTAGGGACACGGATGAAGTTGGAAATCATCATTCTCAGTAAACTATCGCAAGAACAAAAAACCAAACACCGCATGTTCTCACTCATAGGTGGGAATTGAACAATGAGATCACATGGACACAGGAAGGGGAACATCACACTCTGGGGACTGTTGTGGGGTGGGGGGAGTGGGGAGGGATAGCATTAAGAGATATACCTAATGCTAAATGACGAGTTAATGGGTGCAGCACACCAGCATGGCACATGTATACATATGTAACTAACCTGCACATTGTGCACATGTGCCCTAAAACTTAAAGTATAATAATAATAAAAAAATAAAAAAGAGTCTAGGTTCTGGGACTGGAATGCCTGGGTTACATTCCTGCTCAACATCTTACTCATCTTAGACAATTTACTCAACTGCCTCAGTTTTCTCATCTCTAAAATTGAAATAATAGTATGACTTTCCTCTTGGGGTACTGGGAGGAGTCAGTGAGTTAATTTAAATAGTAAAACATTTTTAAAGTGCCCATGCATATGCTAAATCATCTGGTCCGGTGGTCCTAACACTTTTTCATGAAAATGATCTTGTTTCCAAAGAAAAGAGATATAAGTAATCCCAACACATAAAACAAATTTTTTAAAACCACTAATGTGTTTTGTTAGCATAAATTAATTTCTTTTTTGAGACAATTTTTAGGTTCAAGAGTACATGTGCAGGTTTGTTGTATAGGTAAACTCATGTCACAGGGGCTTGTTGTACAGATTGTTTCATCACCCCAGTACGAAGCCTAGTACCCAATAGTTATTTTTTCTGCTCCTCTCCTTTCTCCCACCCTCCATCCTCAAGTAGGCCCCAGTGTGTGTTGTTCCCCTCTATGTGTCCATGTGTTCTCATCATTTAGTTCCCACTTGTAAGTGAGAACATGTGGTGTTTGGTTTTCTGTTCCTGCATTAGTTTGCTAAGGTTGACGGCCTCCAGCTTCATCCATGTTCCTGCAAAGGACATGATCTTGTTCTTTAGTATAAATTAATTTCTAATTAAAACATTAACATCTAACTCTTATACAGGCATTTAGTGAACATGTGGCTATTTTGTCCATTAGAAAATTTAGCACAAGTAATATGGAAAATGATTTGGATGCCTTAGCGTTTACTTTATTTCTGAATTGTGTTTCAATTTACAACCTTTGAAGAGTTCTTAATTAACATAGGCAGGAAATTACAGACAGTCTCTTTGGTTGAATAAAAATGGGAGCAGTTTGTTCCAAAGGCTGCATAAAAATGAGTTAATGCAGAGATGTCTGGTGTGTTACACGTAGGCGTATACTGTGGTTGAGTATATATGATGTTTATCACAGTTCTTCACATTTTGAAAATATATCTTAAAGATTATGAAAATACTGAAGTAGAGCCTTGGAATAGCTTGAAAGCCACTGACCTGTCTCATTTAGCAGACATGATTTATAGGTTAAATTAGCCCCAGTGACTGTCCAAGGTCTCAACAGAAAACAGTAGGACTCAGGCTAACACCAGGGTCTAACTGATTGTGGTTAAACCAGATGATCTCTATGTTTTCTTCTGTTCTAAGAGTCTATGATTCTAGCATTCTATGTTTAGTGGGAATACTTGCCAATAAGCCTGATTTTCTATGATAAGCCTCTTCTTCCTTCAATTGGTTAGGCCATTTTGTTCTTCTCTATACTACAAATCTGTTACGAAATGAAATTTCAGAGCTATATTTTCTGAAAAGGATAAATGTCCTTTGCTCCAAATTCATTTTATTTTTATTCCTATCCACTTCAGTTTGTATAAAATACAGAATTCTAATCTTCACCAGCAAGAATTTGTGGTTTTTCCTAATACAAACTGGTAACTGTAAGCTCCAGATTTACAAAAAAAAATTCAAATTTGACTTTCACGGCCAGCTAGGTCAATACTCTATGCCACCTTTGTATTCTGTTCCTCTGACATTTTAGCTTTTATTTTTTAAAAACTGGTTCAATATGTTGCTGACTTTGAGTCACAGCAAGGAGGAAGATGGATATCTTCATCTATGCTGCTGACATGGTTTTCCAGCCATCCTAAGAAGTGAATAAATCACTTTTACTGGTTACTAATCTGAATGGCTTTGTATCAATCATGTCACCATTACCAACTTATTTGAGGCAGGGATTTCTCTAGTATTCAAGTAGACACTTCCAACAACTTCCTCTAGCAGTCCATTTCACCCCTCAGCTCAGGGGTAATGCCTTGGTTAGTTCATGGAATCCTTAGGCGGCAATAACGGTTCAAAATGAACATTATACTGCAGCTCCTAGTAAGTTATGGATTTATAGCCTGCCCCTGCTCAAGAGCTCCAGAAGTTCCTTCAGCTTAAAGGTAATAGGCTGTTTTTCTATCATTATTTAAAAACACAAGTCGAACAGTGATTTCCTTGCAGCCCTCAATCATATACAGAATACAGTCTCAAAGCTGGTACCTCAGGGCTCAAAATGGGGAGCCCCAGGGTCACTAGGGTGACTCAAACCCAGAGGAAAGATGGTCTTGGGGTGTATTAGCCTGTTTTCATGCTGCTATGAAGGCCTGCCCAAGATTCTGCAATTTATAAAGGAAAGAGGCTTAATTGACTCACAATTCCACAAGGCTGAGGAGGCCTCAGGAAACTTACAATTCTGGTAGAAGGGGAAGCAAACATGTCCTTCTTCACATGATGGCAGGAAGGAGAAGAATGAGAGCCGTGCAAAGAGGGAAGCCTCATATAAAGCCATCAGATCTCATGAGAACTTACCATCATGAGAATAGCATGGGGGAAACTGCCCCCATGATTTAATTACCTCCCACCAGGTTTCTCCCACCACACATGAGATTTGGGTGGGGACATAGCCAAACCATATCATGAGGAAATCCTGGCTTGTCATCGAAATCATACCATGGTTTTAGATTCCCTTTCTGATAATCGAAGAACATTCTGGAGGCCTGAGGCAGAGTGAGCCACCAGAAGAAATAGGAGCTGTCCAAAATAATTTAAAGTCCCAGGCCCTTGGGTTTGCTTTGGGGAAAAAAGCTTTTATCACAGCCTTTTGGTGCAACAGAAAACAAAATGTTTGGGAGAGGTTTTAGTACCAGCACTTCAGGCAGTGCATGTAGGCAATGGATAAGAGAGAACTCAAAGCTTCTGGGAAATTGGAGGTGTCCCATGTTTATAAAGGGGAAATTCAAGATGCAATTAAGACGACTCCTTTCCAAGAAATACCAGGACAAAGCAAGTACTCCAAAGCCACCCAGTGCCACTTTCCCTCATCCCTCCACCTGTCCAACACGTGCACCTTTCAGTGGGTGCTCTGCACTTGCTGGCATCTGCTATTCACTACCATATTCCCTGTTTCAATCACTCCATTAATCTCCTTGCCTTTGTGGCTTCCACCTTAAAACTCTGCTTTTGAGTTTTTGAACTAGATAGATACGAGCACAGATCCTAGCACTTGGCTGTGTGACCTCAGGCAAGTTACTTAATCTCCCTCTTTCCTCCATTATTAAAATGGTAGTAAATACATTCATCCTATCAGATAAGCAACAAATACCAGTTTCTTTTCTTTATATTGCTTTTCTTGGTGCTCAGGAGCACCTCTGCACACCTCTCTGAATAGAGGGAGCACACTTTTCTTATGGAACCTAAAGTCACCAGAGTCCATAAGTTGTCAAAATGGAATCCTTGATTCTTTTTGACTTTGGCTCTTTCTCTCTTTTAACCAGAGTTTGTTCTCTGCTGGAGAAATGCTTTTCATTTTACTTCCATATTTGCTGCCGTTTCACATTTTTAAAAGTATATTCAGGCCATTCTCTAGCTAAATAACATTCCAATCAGCTACTGTTTAAGCTGGGAATTGATATCATTTATTTGTGTTTCTTTGAATTTGCCCTCTATGTTATCTTTAACTTGACTTTAAATAAAACATAATATGCATTGAGTTCCTTCCATGTGTCAGATGCTTTTTACAAACATAAACTGGCTTCATCATCATAAAACCAACCCAGTAAATTAGGAGATATAATTAATAAATAGTGTCACTAATTATTACGTATTTTCACTTTATGACAGCAAAGTATTTTTGCTGTCAAAGCATAAGGACACTGGATCATTGTCAAAATCCCTACCTTCACTCAGTTGTCCACACCTGGGTTAAGGCTTATTCTTGAGCGGCTGCAGCCCTGGGCACTCCCTTCCACCTGGAATCAGAGAATCACATATAGGCATAATGCCTAGGAGGAAGTAATCAGCTCGTTTAAGTGATGGCTGACATCAGGAGGCCTTTTGAGCCAGAAGAATGACATGATGATAGCTGTGTCTTTGGAAGATAAATGTCACAACCACGTGCAGTATAGATTACCTGAAACCACAACATTTAGCCTTTATGCTTACACATCTGGGGGGCATGATTTAAAAGCTCATAAATACAATCTGGATTTTAAAGAAGGGACTGGTGAAAATTAAGAATTTCAAGGTTCTACCAAAGAAGGTGAAGGATCGGTGTTTTTCCAACTGGTTTATGTGTCCTAAATATTTATGTATACAAGTGCATATTGTTAGTGCAGTCTCTTGGAAGCCATGTGTGGGCAGCAGATCTGCTATTGCCCTACCTTTCAGTTTAAAGTTGCAAGAGAACGGAAATTCTCTGCCAGCATGAGAATCATTCATCTGGCAGCCACCTGAATTACTGTTAAGCAACACATTGAGTTTGACAGATAACCCTGTTCTTAGCCATCCTTCAAGAAAAGCATGAAGGAGCCTTCATGTTTAAACATTTCAGCCAAATTTCTTCCTTCTGACAATGCATGGAACACAATGTCTTTATTTCCTAATGAAATATTCATATTGGATGTATCTATGGTTAGAAGAGAGAATAATAAGGAATTATCTTTATTTAATTTCTTAGTCATTCTGGTCTCAGAGAGCAAGCTCTCGGGTTGGGTAATGACGTCGCCCAAGGAACCTGATGTTTTTCATTGAGTTATAAATATCTCTCAACTTGGCAAACCAATAGTTCCCATTCCCAGGATGACAAATGAGAAAAATCGTTACTATTTCAGTGGATAGTTTTGGATCTAGGAATTTGTTGTGAGAGGAAGGGTGGTGTTATAGATGTCCCTTCATGGGGGGTAAATCAGCACAATATGGGACTTCAGAGGACTTCAATATGGGATTGCAAGGGAATCAAGAGACGCTATAGGAGATGCTGAAGCAGTGTGGCCAGGCCTCGTGGGAGGGGAGGCCTCGGATTGGGAGTAAAGCCTGTGTGTAAGCATGTTGGGGAAAGCCCGAGAGCAGCCTGAGAGATATAAGCGTATAGGTGGCCCTTGGTCAGTCATCTACCAGGCCCTGTTCTTACAAGAAGGGTTTCTGTTGTCCCAAGAGACAATACAACTAGCAGAGGAAAAAGATCCTAGACTTCGGGGCCAGAAGGCACTTATTTCAAACCCGCCACCATCACTTCTGTGTGAGCTTTGACCTATTACTTACCTTCTCAGAGCTTTGGCAAAATAGGGATAGTAATTCTTACCTCCTGGTGTTGTTGAGAGAATTAGGCAGGATAACATATTAGGTAAGGTGCCAAGCACATGGTGAGTGGTCCAGCCGTAACAGCTGTCACATATATCCATGGGGCTTCCTACTGCCTAAATCCCTACCAGATGCTTGAATGCCCTGATTGCATCTGTTTTCCACCTACAACTCATCTAAGACCATGACCCTACATGCCCAACCCATAGGCTCCATCCAGCAGTCTCCCTTGCTCTGTTTCTAAAATGAAAATAATCCCTTTCCAGTTTTTTAGGCTTTCCATAGCTGGTCTCCAAGACAAACCGGGAAAGACTACCAAAAGAAAGCATTTTCTTTAAGTTTTTTGTTGTTGTTGTTAATGAGAAAAGTTACAAAGATAAAAGAAATCTCTGGAAGCCTTGATCACCATTGTCCCAGAGCATTATTGAAATGCAAATAGATTGTGACAGTTTACCTGTTACAGCTCTGTCTTCAAACACCACTTGAGAATCATGTGAAAAGAAAGGGGGGTTTTGGTGGACAGTGCAAATACACAAGCCTCCCCTGTTGGTAGAGAAGTATATGTAGCTTGTGTGAAAAAGGGGATCCCATGGCCAGACTGCCAAGGGACGCGTCTCGAGGAGAAGGAGAGGCACAACATTTTACCAGCCCCTACTTCATGCCAGTTCTGAATTAGGTACCTTCATTTACACATTTCATTTAAGCCTCACAAGAGATTTGTGAATTATACTTTGATCCCTCATTTTACAGGTAACAAAACTAGGGCTCAGAAAATGATGTCACCTGCGGGTGTAATGTGCATTATTAGGAAGGCTCTTAGGTGAACATTCATGTGTCTAGAAGAAAAGACGTTTTGAACATATGGAACGTAGAAAAGAAATTTTTGTTAAATTCTTTAAATCCCAGCAAGTGCACTTCAGATTCAAAGTCCTTAGGAGTCCCCCCATCACTCAGAGCTTCTCTTTGGCTCTTCTCCACCATCTCCTAGTTTCTCCTCTCCCTTTCCTCTCTGTCCCTTTCCTCTCTCTCCAGCACTGGAAGCAAAACTAGGCTTTTCTATTTAGCCAGATCTCAGGGCTTTTTTGTTTGTTTTTTGTTTTTTTGAGACAGAGTTTCATTCTTGTTGCCCAGGCTGGAGTGCAGTGGTGTGATCTCAACTCACTGCAATCTCTGCCTCCTGGGGTCAAGCCATTCTCCTGCCTCCAGCCTCTCGAGTAGCTGGGATTACAGGTGCCCACCAACATGCCTGGCTAATTTTTGTATTTTTTTAGTAGAGATGGGGTTTCACCATGTTGGCCAGGCTGGTCTTGAACTCCTGACCTCAGGTGATCTGCCTACCTCAGCCTCCCAAATTGCTAGGATTACAGGCATGAGCCGTGCACCAGCCTGATAGCTTCTTTTGCTATGCAGAAGCTCTTAAGTGGATCCCATTTGCCAATTTTTGCTTTTGTTTTGATTGCTTTTGGCATCTTTGTCATGAAATCTTTGCCAGTTCCTATGTCCAGAATGGTGTTACATAGGTTGTCTTCCAGGGTTTTGGCAGTTTGGGGTTTTACATTTAAGTCTTTAATCCATCTTGAGTTGATTTTTTATATGGTATAAGGAAGGAGTTCAGTTTCAATCTTTGCATATGGCTAGCCAGTTATGGCAGCAACATTTATTGACTAGGGAGTTCTTTCAGTTCTGTGATAGTTCATTTGCTCTTCAACCATTTCCTGGTGAAAACAGCCAATAAGGAAGTCAGAAAAGGACTGCCAGCTGCAAGAAGTGACTTCTGACATCCAGAGGAGGGACGGCAGAGACCTTCTGGTAGTTGGAACTACTTAATATAGAGGGTGGCAATCTCTCACACCTCAGAATGTCTCTGAGTCATCTAGAGCAAGAGTCAGCAAGTTATAGCCCATGGGCCAAATCTAGCAAGTAAACCAAATCTAGCATGTGAGCCTAATCCACCTGCCGTCTGTTTGTGTAAATAAAGTTTTATTAGAACATAGCCATAAGTCATCCATGGCTGTTCTCACGCTGCAACAATCCAGCAGAGTGGCTGCAACAGAGACCATATGACTGCAATGCCTGAGGTATTTACTCTCTGGCTCTTTACAAAAGAAGCTTGCTGACCCACAATGTAGAGCAGCACCTTTCAAACCTGAATGTGCATAGGAATCACCTGAGAATGCTGTTAAACTGCAGATTCTGATTCAGTAGCCCTGGGAAGCGGTGCAAGACTTCTAAAATGCCCCAGACGATGCCTGCACTGCTGGTCCATGGACCACACTTTGAGTAACAGGGGGCCAGAGAAAATAAACTAAGGCTTATTGTAAGATTCTCCCCGGGGGCCTGAAAGCTTAAGGAGATGAATAACTCCTCCCTTCTCAGGCCCAGTCCCAAGGCACAAGGCTACTTGCACCAGCAGTGTGCTCCAGCAAAATAGCAGAAGCAGGAAGAGAGCCAGCCGGAAGACACGTACCCCTGAAAATCAAGAAAGAGGCCATCCGGGTACAACATAGCAGTAATGTCAGACTAGGACACTTCCTGTTTACAGGAGACTATAAAACTTTCGCCCTGTCCTCACTTGGGGCTGACGCCATTTTAGGCCTCAGCCCGCCTGCACCCTGGTGCTCATTAAAACAGCATGTTGCTCCACACCGCCTCCTGTTGTCTGTTGGCACGCTCTCAGGGTTCGAACCAGTACAAGAACCTTACACTTACTAGTCTTGATTTTTTTAAAAACTGAGAATTATAAAATATACTTTAGAAGGATTCCTATCCAAAAAGCTAAAATAAAAATGCATAGGGTTTTAGAGGAAAATTCTGATGAAAGAATGGGAGAGAGAGAATTATTATAACTAAATTCGATGAATGAATTAATGAGTATCAAGATCTATGCTCAGACCCTTGCTGTAAGATGGCTCCATCAAAGGCCTGCCCCCCAGTGGAGTTTCTGCCTCAAGAACACTAGTATTCTTTCAGGTTGTCAGGCCAGGAACCTTGGTCTTCCTTACTCCACCTTTGGTAGAACATCCATCTTCAGTCCAGTTGGCCATTCCTTCAGCGTGATGTTGGTGGGCCCTTGCCCTCCATTCTAATTTCATCTCTCTGGTCCAGGCCTCCATCACTTTGTGCCCATCTTAATGCAGTTGTCTGTGTGTGTCCCAGTCTCCAGTCTCTTCCATCTCCAGTCCATTGCCCGTGTTTGCCAGACATCTTCTGAAAAGAGCTCTTCAGCCTGCCATTTCCCACTCAAGAGTCTTCGGATTTAAGATCCCACACTTTCGTTGCCAGCCTTTTCTCTCATCATCTCGTCCCACTCACCCAGTCAGTCCTCTCAGCCGTCCCTGGAGATGGCCCAATGATAGCTAAGAAGCCTATATATTCCCCAATGTTGTAACTCATTTACACAGATTTTAAAGCATTTTTCTTGAACATTTTGGAAATACAAGATTTGAATATTTCACCCACCTTTTTTTTTTTGATGTTCCAAAAAAATTTTAAGAAATGAAATCATGCCTTAACAACATGGCAGAAACTTGCACATAAGAGCACAGTAAATATGCAGTCAGCCTGCATCTCTGGGTCCACCCTTCTTGTGTTTCTCAACAGTCATTGTTTTTGTTAATGTTGGATCACTGCTTCTTGTACTTAAACTAGTTGTTTAGGTAAGTACCCTCTTGCAAAGGCTTAGAGGTGCCATCTTGTGGAGAAAAATGCAAACAGGCACATTTGGCTGTGTGTTAAGGAAATGACAAAGATGCCGGCGTGAATCTCCATCATTGCCTTCTGGCCATGGGGACGGTCCCGTGAGAGCCTTCTGGGGACCTGCATTGGTAGACACAGGCCATCTGCGCTCAGGAGGCCCTGTAAATCAGGCCAGTGTGCAAGCAACCTCCATCCTGGATCAGAGTTCATCAACCCAACTCACTATTGCCTTTTTGCTGATAATCTAGCCTCCAGAACTCTGCCTTATAGGGTGTAGGCAGTGTCTCTCTGCTCCATTCTGCAAGGAACTTCCTAGTCTTGACCCCTTATCAGCCCCAAACCACAGCTTCTAACAGACCCATCCCACGTGGTTTTTTCCTGCTGCCAGCCCCTCCTGAGACACTAAAAAATTACAATAAAATCTGGCCAGACATATTATGATCTCTTTAAACACAATTCACCATACGGCTCTACACATTAAAAGTAAAGTGAAAGTCTAGAGGTTTCTAGTATTCTATACAAAAATATGGTTACCTTACTTTTATAATAGAGCAATTATCACTGTCAAAAGCTATTTCAGGCCTCTCTCCTCCTTCCCCCATTTCAATCCATGGAGGAGGAAAATTATGAAAGTAAAGCATTAGAATTTTAGAGTTTGGGATATCCCCACCCTCCAGAGAACGATGACCCTTGTTGGAATTGGGGGAGGTGGTAATTATCTTACAGAATATGATATGTTTACCTCTCGGGACTCCTTTCTTCAGATTTGTAAACATAGCTGCAGTTGATTCTTACCCAGTTTTATCCTACAAGAGCGCCAACATTTTCTTCCAGTTGAGTCCCTTGATAAGATGCTATCCTATTATGAACTAGGATGAGGTACTGAAAAGTGACAGCCATAAGCTTGATTAAAACCAGATCGCTCGTTTTACAATTGCTTTCATTTAGGAAGCCAAAATACCTTTTATGCCATGGACCATTTCTTCTCTTCAAATGAATGGCATCGTCAATTTGATCTTCATTGATTCCTGTTTCCAATTTAATTTTGTGTATATACAGCAAATTTCCCTCCCTTTAAACATGGCAGGATTCTTCATATCAGGGCTGTATCTCTTTTTAAAAGAAAAATTTTGGCACCAGAAGGGACCTTAGAGATGAGCCAGTTCGAAGAGCAGGTTGGTCCTGTAACTTTGATCTTTTGATTCTTCAACCAGCTGCTCTTTCATTCAACAAACGCTTATTAAACACCTACCAAGTCGCAGGTACTGTGCTCTTTGCAATACATAATGATACTCCTGCTGAAGCTAAGCCAAGAGGCAATCTTAAAGAACTCGAGAAGGTTTGATAGCAGTAAGGAACTATTTTTGGAAACTGGATAATTAAGTGTTCTTTGCTTATTAGCTTCTCTGACATTTACAAAGGCTGTTTGTGCACTTCTGTGGAACTACCATCATTTTAAAGCTTTCTGGGGAATCTGTCATGTGCTCCTCGGTGTCCCATGAGCTTTGGAATAAAGAGCAGTGATTCTCAACTGAGGGTGATTTTGCTCCCATGGGGAACATTTGGCAATGTCTGGAGACATTTTTGTTTGTCACACTGAGAGGGATGCTCCTGGCATCTGGTGGGTAGAAGCCAAGGATGCTGCTAAACATCCTACAATGCATAAGGCAACCCCCATAAGAAAGACCTTTCAGGACCAAAACATCAGTAGAGCTGGAGTTGAGAAGCCCTCACCTTGAGGAAGAAGAGCAGGCAGGAGGATGAGAAGCTAGGTTTCTAAACCCTGACAGTCCTTCAACCAAAGCAGTTCTGCTCTTCTCATTTTGCATAGTGGAGCTTTGGATTTCCACATGAGATTTTATTTTTGAAGTATATTTTTTTCTACTTAAAAAAGTTGAAGACTACTGTGGTAGAAGACAACTCTCTGCCTTCTGTTTTACAATTGAGTCACTTTGGAACAAATCAAGTGGGTGTATATGATACAGGATGAGGGCAGTCAGGGGTAGATTTGGAAGCATCTACCTGAGCCTTGGTTTTGGCTGCACAGGACTCGACATTTACAAACAATATTGAAGTGATTTGATTGTGTCTGACTTTCAATTTAGACCAGGGATTGGCAATTTTTTTCTGTAAAGGGCCAGATCTAAATATTTTAGGCTTTGTCGACTTTCCTGTTTGTGTTGCAACTACTTAATCTGCTGTTGCAGCACAAAAGCAGCCATAGACAATAACTAAACAAATGGGAGTGTTTGTGTTCTAATAAATCTTTATTTATAAAAACAGGTTGTGAGCCAGATTTGGCCTACTAGCTACAGTTTGCTGACCCCTGATTTAGACTGTAAATAGGAACCTTGTTTGTTTTACCTTCATGTCTCCGCTGCCTACCACTGAATTGGCACGTAGTTGAAGTTGGCTCAGGAAACATTTACTGAACTATATCGAAGGTCAGTTTTACAGGCATAAGTGTTAGAAGATTTTAATGAGAATAACAACTGGAAAAAGATCCACCCAGAATAGATTAACTGTTTCCTTATGTTGAACATTTAGGATGTTTCCAATTTTTTATTAACAATACTGTGATGAGCCCTTCATACAGAAACTGTTGGCCTGATTTCTTATTTCCTGGCATAAATTCCTAGAAGAAGAATTTACTGGATCAAACGGTCTATATTGCTAAATTGCTTTCCAGGAAGGTGGTATTGATCTACATGCCTAACAGTAATAACAGGAAGATATTTATCATATACAAAGGATTTCTTTCAACAGAATGTCATGAATAAACGTTTTGGCATCCATATGCATTTCCACGAATTAGCTCACCGTAAATATAAGTAAATTGGTGTCAGCTACTAATCATTTTAATATTCTCCCATACTGTTCTACCAGCATGATTATTAAGGCACGCTGTTTTACCTGTGGGGGTCATCTAGCCAAACAGTTGAGGTTACCCTATCTCATGTGTTTACTGAGCACACACAGACACATCTGCTTCCCATTAGGGAATCAGGACCTCCACTATCTGAATGCCTGGCACCAGCCTACCCTGCTGTGAAGGACAGAGGCCTCCTCCCTGTGAAATTCACCTCCAAATATGTCATCCAGATTGCTCATTTCCCTCAGGAAATTTCATTCAGGTTAATTTTGGCACACAATTGGGGGTAATTCTTGAGCAATTTCTCCTGTGATGGCTTGCGATGTGTAAAATTTTCCTACAACGTGTTGCAGAAATCACTGGAAAAAATACAAAGGACATCTGATGGTTATCCACTGGTCTTTGTAACAGCAAGAAATATCTATTCTGAACAGCAGTACACGATGAGCAAGAAACATAAAATAAAGGTAGATCAGAGAGTAGATGTTCTTTCTGGCCTTTTTCGACAGGTACCGTTTGAGCAGTGAGAATGTAGAAGCTGTATGAGGTGTCTTGACTTTATGGTGAACCTTGGCCGATTTTGTTTTGTTTTGTTTTTTGCACTTCAAAGTTTTCTGAATTTCACCAAATGAAGAAGAAAATATTTCTGACTAAGAAGTAGTAGAAAGTGTTACAGAAGTACGGGTGGGTCCGGGTGGTTGTATGATGATGAGATTTACTTAAAAGTGAATAGACTTCAGACAAAATAAAATACATAAAGACAAAGATGACAAAACCCAGCATTTTCTGAGAAGCCACCATATTGCAGAATTCTGCTAATTACATTCTATGTTTGCCTCATTTGATTTTCCCAACAGTCCTAAGGGGTAGCTGCTCCATCCCCATCCAGGCAGAAAAAAAATCCCAGGGCTCAGAACAGCTCATCAAAATGTCCAAAGATACAGCACTCGTCAGCAGCAGAGACAGCACAAGAACGCATATTCTCCTGCCCACCCAAAGCAGTGGTGCCTCGGAAAGAGTCTAGACATAGGTCAGCACTAAGTCGTCCCTATCAGCGACCAATTGATCAGCCTCCTGATACACAAACCAGAATTCAAGCCAGATTCGTTTCTGAACACTGTCCTTGGGAAGAAGATCTGGATGGTGGTGGAAATGTTTTCAGCACCTACCTCAAAGAGAAGTGACCAATCCAGCATCACACAACAAGCCAGGGACTGGGCCAGGACTGCACCCCAGGTTTTCTGGTTTGCAGCCCAACATTCTTTCCATTATTCCAAACTGTTTTTCCTGATAAATGACATCAGCTAGTGATTATACCTAATGATTATACAGCTGTGTTTTGGAGGAGACTATCGGCTGCTTTAAAGAAAGTCATAGCACGTAATCTATACATGTGATAATAGTTCATGAAACATCAAAAAAAGTGCATCTAAAAGATAACAAATACAAACAAGGCCTATTCTTAAGTTAATAGTAGTATACTGCTGTCAATGGCATACATGGTTTTGACAAAGTGCTTTGGTTATGTAAGATATTATCGTTAGGGAAAGCTGGGTGAAAGACCACCGAAACTCTCTGCGCTCATTTTAAACTTCTTATGAGTCTTACACTATTTCAAAATAAAACATTATAACAATAAGAAAGTAATGCAACAGGAAGATGGGCTAGAATATGTATTCACACACTGTGTATAAAGTATAATGTTAAAAGAGCCAGTGTAAGAGAGATACATAATGGGGTTGGTCCCTCTTAATCCTGCAAGAGGAGAAAGCCAGAGTCACTTCTAGGCCAGGCCCTCTCCAGGCTTCATGGTAACTATGCTTTGAACTTGTTCCTCTGCACCTAGGTCACTGTCACGATCTACTCCTTCAACAAAGCTAGAACCCTCAACACGACCTCCGATCCTTTGACCTCCGACTTTTACCTAATGGTTAAAAACATGGACTTTGATTTGGGGCCTTGCTTTAAATCCAAGCTCTATCTATTATTAGCATTTTAGCCTTGGGCAAATTAACCTGTCTTCTAAGTCTTAGTTTCCTATAAATTTCAGCAATCTCACAGATGGCTTTTTAGGATTAAATGGAAAAACATATATGTTTCCGAGGACCTAGAAGATAGTAAAGACTGTAAATGTTAGACATGATAATGTTGAGGAAGATGGCAAGGAGGAGGATGAGGACAGTCAGAAAGGCCTGTTCATTTTGCATCCTAAGCATCTCTCAAATCCCTTCACGCCATCCCCAGTCCCCTCATTCAGGCTGGGATATTGCAACATCCTCCAGACTTTATGTACCCAATTGTTAATTATCGACTTTCTAAAGGAGATTTGATCCTGTCCAGCACGACATAGAGCATGCAAGCGTTCCTCATGGCCTGATAGCTTGTGATTCTCTATGTGTATGTCTGATTGCTCCTGTTAGACTCAGATTCCCAAAGTCAGGACCTGTGTCTGATTCAGCTTGGGATTTTCCAGGCAGCCTTTTCAGTGTAGTCACTCAACAATATCAGTGATGAAATGCATCTTTACGTGTTTCGATCTTGTCATGGCAGGTCCTTCATGTCATTCAGATCCTAGTCCAGAGGTCATTCCCCAGCCATGCCCTCCTAGACATCTAGTCCAATTCTTCCCTCATTACATCATCTGATCTTCACAACAGCCCTGTGCAGGAGAAGGGACAGTTGTCATGTGTGTAATTTGCCCTTGGCCTCAGCTAAATATTAAGGTCTTGAATATGTGTTGTCTGCCTAGTTCTCATTCTGGAGTTGTCCCTCTTGCTTTGTGAAGTAAAGGAGAGATATTTGGTAACTCCATGGGAACTCAGTCTCTTAGAGGCCTGGGTAGCCACTAGAACACTGAAGAGTGCTCCTAGTATGTTCTAAGGAAGCTATTGATCATGGCTCCCGGTAGACAGGCTGTCACCTTTAGTTCTTGGCATCCTTGTGCAGCCGCATGCTTCACTGAAACCAACCTCCAGGCTACTTCGACATCTACCAGGAAAAACTCTTGCAGCCTTTCCTTCCCATGTCTAGATTGATCCAGAGCAACCATGCTCTGCAGGAAATCTGGTGGGGGTGTGTCCATCAAACTGTGCAGAGCATTTTCATATAATGTCTGATTCACAAGATCAAATAACATTTTGTCTGTGTCTGTGGTTATCTGAAGCTATCCATGCTAGTGTAATTTCCTTGTGATAGTTCCATTCTAACTGGGCTGGGGCTGAGGATTAATGTGATTAATGTGACGTCTGTCCCATCTTTGGCGACTCTCATTCATTCTTGAAATATCTCTGACACCCTAGTTACAGGAGAGGGACTCACTGGACGGTTCATTGTCTCCACTCTAGGTAAGGCCCGCTCCACACTGCAGTCATTGTTACCACCGAAAAGCAAGTCTGAGCATGGCTCTCCCCTTCTCCAGACATCTGGGGGTTGCTGATGCCATAGGATGAAAATCTAATTCTTCAATCTGGCAAACAAGATTCTTGACAAGTTCCGCTGAACTCTCCAGCCTCGTATTATCCCTCCCAGCAGGCTTGCACTTCAGCCGTGTCATTCTGTGTTCTTTCCTACCTGTGTACACATTGTTCCCTTTAACAGAAGGACCCCTATGAGAATGAGCTCAGTCTGGACAAGTCGAGTCCAGGGGTAGCAGCAACAGACTGGAGGTTGGGAAGGGAGGGAGTGTGAGATGTCACTAGACAGGGCAGGCAATGGGTGTTGACCACCTCTCCTGTCTACCTTCCCCCTTGATGACAGTCAGAGGCATCTCCTTGATTCAGTTGGAATCTTGCCTTGATAACATGGGTTCTACTATTCAAAACCCCTGTTGATGGTGACATTTTTGTTGTTGTTGTTTCAAAGCAAGGGAGAATTCAAGGGGGGTGGGGCTATGGAAATCACACATGGAAAACATATTCCTTATTTTTTCTGCTAAAATGTGCGTGGGGCAGATTGAGAAGGATTTGAGGGAGGAGAAATACATAGCAAACATGGCATTTGGAAAGGCTAATTGGATGTGGATGAGCATATTGAGATGATGTTCTATTACTGTCAGAGATAATGTTTTACAGAGATGCTATTTGTGAAGAGAGACCAGTCATTATTGATGGGTCAATGTGCGCTTGGGAATATGGAAGCAATAATGCCCAAGGGCAGTGCCTGCAGAAAGGTTTCAATCAGGCATGCAACTAGAGGGGAAGGAATGGGCACCTTTTGATTTGACTCTGCCCACAGGATTTGACCTATAGGACCTACCTGAAGAGACCCAGGGTTGCATAACAAAATCAAAAGTGGACTTTGACTGGTTTGCTGCTCACTTTGTCCTAGAGATGTGGTCTGATTATTGCACTTAGAATTCAAGAAAGAGGACAAGCCTGTGATTTGGAGAATATGTGTCTCAAGAATTAGAATACCATTCTGATTTCAAGTATCTTTCCATATCCTCATGACCCAGTGAATAATCCTGTACTCACAATATTTCATTGTCCAAACCATAATCTACCCACTTCCATCTGCTCATGGAAAAGTGACAGAATTCTTTGTTCAGAACATGAGTCCCAATTTTAGATTCAGGAAACATGATCCTGAGCCCTGTGAGGTCAGGAGTGGAAAGCTTCAGAAGTAGAAAAAGATTTTGTGAAGATCATTCCATTTTGTTCCAAAGTTTAATTTTTGGTTTTTTTAAAATAGGGCCTGCTCTGTTGCCCAGGCTGGAGTACAATGATGCAATCACTGTAGCCTCATACTCCTGACCTCAAGTGATCCTCCCACCTTAGCCTCCCTGAGTAGCTGGGACTACAGGTGTGTGCCCTCGCACCTGGTTAATTTTTTACTTTTTGTAAAGACTGGATCACACTGAGTTGCCCAGGCTGGTCTCAAAGTCCTAAGCTCAAGCAGTCCTCCTGCCTCAGCCTCCTAAAGTGCTGAGACTACAGACATGAGCCACCATGTCTGGCCCAAAGTTTAATTTGTGTGTGCGACATAAAATGGTCCCAACGGAAACATGAATGAGGAGGGAGAGATAAAGCAAAAAGATCTTAGAATGAGTAATGGGAAGATTCCTTTTGTCGGGGGAGGGAATTCAGGAAAGTCAGAATTCCTTTATACACTGATGAGACCAGCTCTACAGACAGCACTCTGTGGTTTAGCAGGTTATGATCTCGTTTGTTGATGATTCTGGCTCTTGCTTACCTTCATCCTTCTGCTCTGGGAAAAGTGCTCTGGGGTAACCAAGGAAAAGTCCTGCTTCTGAGGCCTCTAGAGCCACAGTTACCAGTTAGAGGTTCAGCTCCCAAACCATTTAATTTCCTAAGAAACTGGTCCAGGGAACACTACTTTTGGAGGTACTTTGCTAAGAGTAGCATCTATAAGAAGACATGAGGGCAAACTTCAGTTTCAGATGTGGCACTTGTCATGATTCCAGAGAGATTCTTTATATAAAAATCCCAGCACAGACCATCCTCTCCCCTTCCAGAGTCCAACGGGGATTTTCAGAACAACTTCACTGTACAACCTGTTTAAGTAAATTTCTAGCACCCTACATCTTCCCTAGTCTTTTTCCCAGTGTTATTTTTCTCCTGATCATTTACCACCACCAAACAAACTCTGTTTTATTTACTTGTCTGGTTTACCGTCTGTGGCTCCCACCCCACTCCTAGAATATACATTTCGTAAATAGCTAGAAAAGAAATTTCTTGCCCAGGGATCTTCTCCCTTCCTTCCTCTGCATGCTCCTGATACATACTATGAGTCTTTTGTTTTCTGTCTTTTTGCAGAGCATTGGCTGTGATGACTACTTAGGCTCCGACAAAGTCGTGGACAAATGTGGGGTGTGTGGAGGAGACAACACGGGCTGTCAGGTTGTGTCGGGCGTGTTTAAGCATGCCCTCACCAGCCTGGGCTACCACCGCGTCGTGGAGATTCCCGAGGGAGCCACGAAAATCAACATCACGGAGATGTACAAGAGCAACAACTATTTGGGTAAGCTTGGTCTTTTTCCAGAGAAAACCGTCTGTCCCTGCCAGATGATGTATTCCTTCAGAACTGTGAGATAGACACAGCAGTGTCCGAGAGTCCCGGGGCATGCAGGCAGTGCCCCTGGGGAATGTCAAAGTACCACCTGGCCTGCGCCTTGAAATGAGAAGCTTGAGTGGAGAACGTTAAAAAAAAAGTCCTTCTTGCAGATAAATACTTAATATCTATACATTTAAACCAGCCTTTGCTTTTCCCAAGAGAAACATGGTTATAAAGTGGATAACAGCCCAAATTATTGCTCTGAGATGGGAGAAGCTCTTTGCAAAGCGCGGAGACCAGCCAGTGTTTGTTCTGTTGGGATTTGAGGTGGCCAGGGACAATTGATCCTATCTATACCTTCACTCCCTGGAGGTCTAAAGCGAAGCCATTTTTCTCTTCTTTCTGCCTCATCTGCCTGGGGCAGCAGACCTATACATAGTAGTGTGCATGTCTTCTGAAAAGCTGTGGAATCCTCCAGCAATCATTTTGGGCAACATCATCAATACTGAGAGGCCAATTTTAACCCATTTTTCTACAAAAGATCTTTGTTGATACTTCCTTCTGGACTTTGGAGCTATTTGCATTCCATCTGATAAAAACCACAAGCCAATCGAACACATTATTTATTTATTTATTTTTTTTTTTTGAGACAGAATCTTGCCCTGTCACCCAGGTTCGAGTGCAGTGGTGCGATTTTTGCTCACTGCAGCCTCCGCCTCCCAGGTTCAAATGATTCTCCTGCCTCAGCCTCCCGAGTAGCTGGGACCACAGGCGTGCACCAACACACCCAGTTAATTTTTGTATTTTTAGTAGAGATGGGGTTTCACCATGTTGGCCAAGCTGGTCTTGAACTCCTGGCCTCAAGTGGTCTGCCCACCTCGACCTCCCAAAGTGCTGAGATTACAGGCATGAGCCACCACGCCTGGCCTTGAACAAATTACTTTTTATGAATTTCTAATAGATGTAAGCATGTTTAAATCAGTTAACAATATAAGGGAGCCATTTGTTTAATGAATAGCTATATTCATTTTTATCTTTTAATTATTTATTGAACAGGAACTTACCTAAAACAAACTATGTGTCAGGCACTATTCTTAATGTGTTGCAAGCATTCAATCTTTGAATTCTCTCAACAGGGAAAAGAAGCTATTCCCATCCCCACTTTACATGTAAGAAAGCAGGCACAGAGAGATTATGTACCTTGCCAAGCTCACCATACCATAACGAGGTGGAGCTGGGGTTCAGACCAGGCAGTCTAGCTCCAGGTGTAGTAGCCTGTCAAGAGATGATACCCATGGGCAGTCTCAGAACCTAAGTTCCTCTGGTGTGCCACTGGCCGTGCAGCAGTCAATGGCTGCAGCACTTGAAAGACTATTAAGTCTGCAACTTTCAAATATCAGGATCACCCACAAGTTAACTCCAGACTCGGGAACTCCATATTCTACAGCTCTTCCATCCCCATCTAGTCAAATGCAGCCAAAACTAAGTGGTTTTACGGGGGGGGAGGAGGAAGGGATGGCAGATGGGACTCAGAGACAAACCCAATCAAAGAAAAACTGTTCAATTTGCTTTGACAAAACCCAGGAGCCACCAGAGTGTCAGAAAACCTAGTTTCCCAGTGAGTGCTTTGTATATTCTTTTTAATACTGAAAAATAGTGTTTGTGTGTTTCCTCCTTTCTTTTGTACTGCTATGAGATCACATCTCCATAAACATCCTGCCTCCTAGAATGGGAAATGTTCTTCTGGGGATTATTTGAATTGTGATTGTGTTCAGATGTACCGGCAAACAATGCCACTTTTTATTAGCTTTGTGTTGCTTTTAGTACATTTTCCCTGGCTATAGTTAGTTGTATTCAGTAAGCAGTTTTCAAGCTGTGCCCCCTGAATAAAAAATAGACATTCTGGGTGAATATCTACTGGATGTCTGAATGGAGGAAGCTCTCGGAGGCTTGTTGTTTTCATCTGGAGTATGGGAATAAGAATCTTCACCTTATAAGTAGTCATGCGATTCAATAGGATACAGATATTTCAGACTCGGCAGAGCCCCTGACACCTATTAGGCAGTTGACAAATGTTCATTGCCTTTCTTTTGTCTCAGAGAGATTGTCAGTTTTGATTCCATCAAAATTGTGGAATAAACATTTCCTCTTTCCTTAAAAAAGATGAAGGGAAGGCAGAGGGAAAATGGAGTCAGTGAGGGGCGGGCAGGGAGGTTCATGTCTGTAAGCCCAGCGCTGTGGGAGGCCAAGGCAGGAGGACTGCTTGAAGTCAAGAGTTCACGACCAGCCTGCGCAACATCAAGTGAGACCCCATCTCTACAAAAAAATTTAAAAATCAGCCAGATGCGGTGACACATGCCTATAGTCTTAGCTACTTGGGAGGCTTAGGCATGAGGATCACTTGGGCCCAAGAGGTCAGGGCTGCAGTGAGTTGTAATCGTGCCACTGCACTCCAGCCTGGGCAATAAAGCAAGACACTATATCAAAAAAAAAAGAAAAAGAAAAAAGTCAATGGAGAGGTGATTCAAAAAGTCAAGTTCAACTTCCTATGCCCAAAGATCAGTGGGGTGCACATGAAATCGGTAGCGTCCATGAAAATATTACATAAGGTCCCGTGTGTGAAGGAGAGAGAGCAGAAACAAAAGAGCAGGCTCTAATGAAAGCAGATTCCAGAGATGACGAACAGAGATTCCTTCTAGAGCACTTACGTCACCTGGGGTGCTTTGTGTATTCTCTTTTTAAAAAATTGATCTATAATTCACATGCCATAAAATTCATCCTTTTGAAGTGTACGTTGGTTACGGCCCTTTTCTCTTCACAGGTGTTCTCTTTACCAAACCCACTATTCCTGCTCTGTGAAGTCTGTATATTTTAAAAGTAAATATACATGAGATTGCTTGAGATCATGTAGAAACCACTACCAGGTGTATCTAGCTATTTTGAACTCTTCGACGGCTATTTTTTACATTGTACATTGTCAAACACTGAAACCTTTTTCAAAGAGATATGTGGTAGGTTTCTCCATAATTCTCTAGGTAACAATGAGGGTTCTGGTTTTCTTACCTTGTGAGTTCTGGCTATGAAAACTGTATTTTCTGTAAAATTTGACTTGATACACAAAATTTACTCAGCTATTTGCATAAGTTTGATCTGCAGAATAAGCAATATAAAGGAAATGAATACTTCACATTTGTATCATTGCTTTCAAGATTCCAGAACTTTTTTTTTTTTCCGAGACAGAGTCTCACTCTGTCGCCCAGGCTGGAGTGCAGTGGCGCCGTCTCAGCTCACTGCAAGCTCTACCTCCCGGGTTCACGCCATTCTCCTGCCTCAGCCTCCCGAGTAGCTGGGACTACAGGCGCTCACCACCATACCCGGCTAATTTTTTGTATTTTTAGTAGAGATGGGGTTTCACCGTGTTAGCCAGGATGGTCTCGATCTCCTGACCTCGTGATCCGCCCGCCTCAGCCTCCCAAAGTGCTGGGATTACAGGCATGAGCCACCATGCCCAGCCAAAGATTCCAGAACTTTTACAACTTTATTTTTTTTTAGTTTCCTGTTGTTTCCAGAATTACCTTTAGTTATTTGTCATGCAAATAAAACTTTCCCTGTGAAATATTTGGTATTTTTTTAAATAACTGATTCCCCAGTAACAATAGAAAATAGATTTCTATGAAAAAGGCAGACTTGTATTTATTAATGCTGAAGCTGATGATTTAATCACCTCATTTAATCTTATTTTTTACTTTTATTTTAGCTTCAGGTGTACATGTGCAGGTTTTTATATAGGTAAAATCACGTCACTGGGGTTTTTTGTACAGATTGTGTCACCCAGGTACTAAGCCTAGTATCCAATAGTTATTTTTTCTGATCCTTTCCCTCCTCCCACCCTCAAGTAGGCCCTAGTGTCTGTTGTTTCTCTGTGTGTGTCCATGTCTTCCATCATTTAGCTCCCACTTGTAAGTGATAGCATGTGGTATTTGGTTTTCTGTTCCTGCGTGGTTTTCTAAGTATAATGATCTCCAGCTTCACCCATGTTCCTGCAAAGGACATTGTCTTATTCTTTTTATGGCTGCATACTATTCCATGGTGTATATGTACCACATTTTCTTTCTCTCATCTGTCATTGTTGGGCATTTAGGTTGATTCCATGTCTTTGCTATAATGAATAGTGCTGCAGTGAACATATGCATGCATGTGTCTTTATGGTAGGATGATTTACATTCCTTTGGGTATATACCCAGTAAGGGATTGCTGGGTCGAATGGTAGTTCTGTTTTTAGCTCTTGGAGGAATCACCACACTGCTTTCCACCATAGTTGGAAAATATTTACATTTCCAGCAACAGTGTATAAGTGTTTCCTTTTCTCCATAACCTCGCCAGCATCTGTTCTTTTTTGACTTTTTATTAATAGCCATTCTGACTGGTGTAAGATGGTATCTCATTGTGGTTTTGATTTGCATTTCTCTAATGATTAGTGATATTGAGCTTTTTTGCATATGCTTGTTGGCCATACATACGTCATCTTTTGAAAAGTATGTCTTCTGTTCATGTCTTTTGCCCACTTTTTAATGGGGTTGTTTTTTTTTCCGTAAACTTGTGAAAGTTCCTTATAGATGCTGGATATGAGACCTTTGTCTGATGTATAGTTTGCAAATATTTTCTCCCATTCTGTAGGGTATCTGTTTACTCTGTTGACAGTTTCTTTTGCTGTGCAGATGCTCTTAAGTTTAATTACATCCCATCTGTCAATTTTAGCTTTTGTTTCAATTGCTTTTAGCATCTTCATCATGAAATCCTTGCTAGTTCCTGTGTCCAGAATGGTGTTACCTAGGTTGTCCTCTAGGGTTTTATAGTTTTGGGTTTTACATTTAAGTCTTTAATCTATCTTGAGTTGATTTTTATATATGGTGTAAGCAAGGGGTCCAGTTTCAATCTTCTCCATATGGCTAGCCAGTTCTCCCAGGACCACTTATTGAATAGGGAGTCCTTTCCCAATTGCTTGTTTTTGTCAGCTTTGTCGAAGATCAGATAGTGGTAGGTGTGTGGCCTTATTTCTGGGCCTTATTTCTCTATTCTGTTTCACTGGTCTATGTGTCTGTTTTTGTACCAGTACCACTCTGTTTTGATTACCGTAGCCCTGTAGTATAGTTTAAAGTCAGGTAACGTGATGCTTCCAGCCTTGTTCTTTTTGCTTAGGATTGCCTTGGCCTTTGGGGCTCTTTTTTTGATCCATATGCATTTTAAAATAGTTTTTTCTAGTTCTGTGAAGAATTTCATTGGTAGTTTGGTAGGAATAACATTGAATCTGTAAATTGCTTTGGGCAGTATAGCCATTTTAATGATATTGGTTCTTCCTATCCATGAGCATGGAATGTTTTTCCATTTGTTTATGTCATCTCTGATTTCCTTGAGTGGTGTTTTGAATTAAAATTTCAGAGATCTTTCACCTCCCTGGTTAGCTGTATTCCTAAGTATTTTGTTCTTTTTGAATTACCTCATTTTAAATGATTTTTTAAGCCCTCAATATTTAAATGAGCATCCCTAGGATTCTCTTTTTTTAACTTTTAAGTTAAAGGTACAAGTGCAGGTTTGTTACATAGTTAAACTTGTATTATGGGGGTTTGTTGTACAGATTATTTCATCACCCAGGTATTAAACCTAGTACCCCTAAGTTATTTTTCCTGATCTTCTCCCTCCTCCCACCCTAGGCTTCTCAGTTAATAACAGTAGTCATACCACACATATATAATACTTCAGTCTCCAAAGCATTTTCACATACATGGCCTTCTGATCTTTAACACTGGACATTATTTATTAATACTTTGCTTATTCCAAAAAGCTTTAGACGTACTAAAACTTACTATTAATACTTTGCTTATTTCAAAATGCTTTAGACTTACTAAAACTTACTGAAGGTATAATTATAGAGTTAAGATATGAAAATTAAAATTTAAAACTTAAAAACTAAATAGAAAACGGAGGCATGTATTCCAGAAACCTTGGCTGATATATTTATAGTGATGGTACATTAAAGTTAACTCTGAGTTTCTGGCTTAATTTAGTTTGACCATCAAGGCCTAGCCTACTAGACTCAGATTCTGAAGGCTTTGGGTCTGGCCCCTTCCCAGCCATAACTCCTAGGAGGAGTGGCCTATGTAGAGCTGGGGGAAGAGGCCAACTCACCACAATGCTTACTCTTGTCTCCAAGCAAAGCTAGAGAAATCATAACATTTAATGGTGCACATATTTCAGGAGATAAGATGTTTATTCATCTCATTTGGGGTTATACACCAATGAAACTCTGCAGACTTGAGCTCCAAATTTCTGTTTATTTGAATTTGTTTACATGCTCCAAAATATAGACTGTTTCATGAGTTCTAGAGTCCTAAATTTTTTTAAATGGGAAAGACTTTAGAACTCCTGTATCTATTGTAAGCTATGAATTCTCCTTTTGTATGTGAATTATTCTGAACTCTGCCATTTGGGGAAAAAAAAGTTTATTTAAATGATTGACATTTTGTATTACTTGCCTTTTTCTTAATAAAAGATATTGTAAAATTATTTTAGCTGAAATATCAAAGTTTGGCATAGTTCAGTCAGTTCAGTTTACTAATGTCATTATGCAACAGTTAAGAAATCAGACATAAAAGCATACCAAGCACAAATTGATTATACAAGACATGTACCACCTGCCAACATGTTAGATTGTCATAGAGTTTTAGACTTGGAAGGAATTTTTAAAGATCTGTAAACTTTCAAAAATAAACTGGCAGTATTCTTACTTTTAAGCATGTTCTCCTAAAAGTTTTAAACAACAGTAATGGTCAGCATTGAAAAAAGTCAAGTATCATGGATCATCTATAATTTGCAAGCTTTAATTTATTCTTTGAACAGCTTTCTTTACAGGAAACATTGGATGTTTAAATACTATGATGTCTTACATTCGTATGACTATTAATCCCTAATATTTTTTGCATGTTCACTGTAAAAATTTCAAGGAAGACAAATGAAATAGAGCAAAAAGGTAAAATTCCCTCTTCATACAAACTCCACACTTGATCCACTGCCTTCAAGTGTAAAGACTACTTGAAGGTAAATAACCACTGTTCACAGTTCATTGTGTATTCTCCAGCCCTTTCTGTAAGTACCAATAAATAGCTATTTTCTAAAATTGATATTACTATACATACTTTTTGCAATTTGTGTCCTTATTTTAATATCATATCATGGGTATCTTTTCATATTAATACATATAAGCCTATGTTATTGATTTTTTTTTAGTGCAGAGTATTCTGTACAGTGGATGTACCATTATTTATTTAGGTACTTCCCTACTGAGGGATGTTTAGATTGCCTCTAGTTTTCTAACATTACAAATAATACTTTAGAATTTTGGTTCAAGATGGCAGACTGAGCACATGAGCTTTTCTTCCCTTTCTCCAAAGATTCCTTCAAAATGATACTAAAGCGATTTAACTAAAAGATGTGACCTAAAACCACTAAGACTGGAGTGGGGGCATCAGTGAGCAAATATCTTAACAGATTTTTGGAAGACAGAAAGCAGATGGGAGGATGTTCACTAGCAGAGCAGAGGAAATCACAGCCCAGGTGTGCAGAGGGGGTCTGGGATGAGAAGGGGCTGACCTGTGAGATGAAGCCCCAAGAGGCTCTGAGCCTGGAAGACAGCAGGTAAAAGGGAGGGGAGAAGGGGAGAATGTGGCTGAAAATGGGGAAAGAAGTGAAAAAACCTGTCTGTGGAACAGACACCCCCACTCCCAGCACACACACACATTCAGAATGCTGGCATTGCCTCCTCGTCCAAATACGGAAAGGAACTAGGACATGGATGAGAGGTGGGTGCTGCAAGACTTCTGTCTTCATTGTGGAATTGGAGAAAGGGCAGCTTGCTGACTGGTACCCCACTCTCTGACTCTGTAGAACTTAGCCTTTTAACAAACTCTCACAACGTGCACAGGGTTCTCAGGAAACCTTCACATTGCTTTTGTCTTGAATGCCAATGGATAACTGAAGATAACATGAATGGGTGACCAAGGATCACTAGACATTTTCTTAAGCCTATAGCATGAAAGATAAGGCCCAAGATAAATAACTGGAAAAGTTATTTCTGGAAGAAACTGAGCAAATTCTTGGAGAAGAAAACTTAAAGGTTCTCTAACAAGTACTGCTTCCATGAATATCCTAATATGTATATCTTTTCATACTTATATAAATAATTCTGTAGGATAGACTCTTGGCAGAAGAATTTGTAGGTCAAATGGAATGCACACTTAAAATTCTGGAAAATAAAGCAAAATTTCTCTCCAAAGTCGTGCCAATTTACACTCCCACCAGAAGCACATGAAATAATTCTTTCTTCACACCGTTACCAAAACTAAATATTATAAGTGTACTTAATTCTTACTAGATCTTTTTTATTTGCATTTTCCTGACCACTAATTTTTATTGTTCTTTATACTCTATGACTTTGACATTTTTAAATTGCACTTGTAGTTTTCTTATTGATTTTAAGAACTCATATACATAATCAGTAATAACCATTTTTGGTGATGTCTATCTAAAATATTAGCCTTTATCTTACATTTCAACTCTGCTTAAATTATCTATTACTCTGTGGTGAAAAATTTTCATCTTTTTTTATTATACTTTAAGTCCTGGGGTACATGTGCAGAAAGTGCAGGTTTGTTACACAGGTATACACAATTCTGTCCTTTTTTTTTGTGGCTGTTGGTTTTCTGACAGATACCTTTCACCAAAATAAGGATTTTTCTTTCTATAACTAGCTTTTAAGAATTTTTATTAAAACTTGCCCGTTTTGTTTAGTTTTCTTCTGAATGTCTGATGATCAATCCTTAGTTGTCAGTTTATATTTATAAAGATAATGGATAGTTGCTTATTCTAGGTACGTTCAGTTGCTTTCCTCCACAATTACTTTCATCTGTTTTTGCAACAGTCCTTTTCTCCAAATGGAGCAGAGCCCAGTATGCTGCCAGGCTGCAGTCAGGCAGGTTTCCTCTGAGTGTGCGTGGGCAGGGGTCAGACAGGCAGACAGATACAAATCATCCTCTCTTAGAGGCATATGAGGATTCAGTAGGATAAACACGAATTGCCTAGCATGATAATGAATTTAATACATATTTTCCCTGCTTTATCTCAAGACTCCAATATGTATCAGTGACTGCTTAACAAACCTGTTTAGTTTGCCTTGCAATTTCCTTGCAATGACAAGAAACAGGCTTCTCTTCAGCTCCACTGCCAAGGAAGCCTCCAGGATTATGCCACTTCGGGTGTACCTTTTTTTTTATTATTATACTTTAAGTTCTAGGGTACATGTGCACAGTGTGCAGGTTTGTTACATATGTATACCTGTGCCATGTTGGTTTGCTGCACCCATTAACTCGTCATTTACATTAGGTATTTCTCCTAATGCTATCCCTCCCCTATCCCCCACCCCATGACAGGCCCCGGTGTGTGATGTTCCCTGCCCTGTGTCCAAGTGTTCTCATTGTTCAATTCCCACCTATGAGTAAGAACATGCGGTGTTTGGTTTTCTGTCCTGGCAATAGTTTGCTCAGAATGATGGTTTCCAGCTTCATCCATGTCCCTACAAAGGACATGAACTCATCCTTTTTTATGGCTGCATAGTATTCCATGGTGTATATGTGCCACATTTTCTTTTTTTGTTTGTTTTTTTTTAGATTTAAATTTTACATATATGTATATATATACTTTAAGTTCTAGGGTACATGTGCACAACGTGCAGGTTTGTTACATATGTATACATGTGCCATGTTGGTGTGCTGCACCCATTAACTTGTCATTTACATTAGGTATATCTCCTAATGCTATCCCTCCCCCATCCCCCTGCCACACAACACGCCCCGGTGTGATGTTCCCCATCCTGTGTCCAAGTGTTCTCATTGTTCATTTCCCCCCTATGAGTGAGAACATGCGGTGTTTGGTTTTCTGTCCTTGCAATAGTTTGCTCAGAATGCTGGTTTCCAGCTTCATCCATGTCCCTACAAAGGACATGAACTCATCCTTTTTTTATGGCTGCATAGTATTCCATGGTGTATATGTGCCACATTTTCTTAATCCAGTCTATCAGTGATGGACATTTGGGTTGGTTGGTACCAAGTCTTTGCTATTGTGAATAGTGCCGCAATAAACATACGTGTGCATGTGTCTTTATAGCAGCATGATTTATAATCTTTTGGGTATATACCCAGTAATGGAATGGCTGGGTCTCTAGATCCTTGAGGAATTGCCACACTGTCTTCCACAATGGTTGAACTAATTTACAGTCCCACCAACAGTGTAAAAGTGTTCCTATTTCTCCACATCCTCTCCAGCACCTGTAGTTCCTGACTTTTTAATGATTGCCATTCTAACTGGTGTGAGATGGTATCTCATTGTGGTTTTGATTTGCATTTCTCTGATGGCCAGTGATGGTGAGCATTTTTTCATGTGTCTGTTGGCTGCATAAATGTTTTCTTTTGAGAAGTGTCTGTTCATATCCTTCGCCCACTTTTTGATGGAGTTGTTTGATTTTTTCTTGGAAATTTGTTTAAGTTCTTTGTAGATTCTGGATATTAGCCCTTTGTCAGATGGATAGATTGGAAAAATTTTTTCCCATTCTGTAGGTTGCCTGTTCACTCTGATGGTAGTTTGTTTTGCTGTGCAGAAGCTCTTGAGTTCAATTAGATCCCATTTGTCAATTTTGGCTTTTGTTGCCATTGCTTTTGGTGTTTTAGACTGAAGCCCTTGCCCATGCCTGTGTCCTGAATTGTATTGCCTAGGTTTTCTTCTAGGGTTTTTATGGTTTTAGGTCTAACATTTAAGTCTTGAATCCATCTTGAATTAATTTTTGTATAAGGTGTAAGGAAGGGATCCAGTTTCAGCTTTCTACATATGGCTAGCCAGTTTTCCCAGCACCATTTATTAAATAGGGAATCCTTTCCCCACTTCTTGTTTTTGTTAGGTTTGTCAGAGATCAGATGGTTGTAGATATGTGGTGTTATTTCTGAGGGCTCTGTTCTGATCCATTGGTTTATATCTCTGTTTTGGTACCAGTACCATGCTTGTTTTGGTTACTGTAGCCTTGTAGTATAGTTTGAAGTCAGGTGGCTTGATGCCTCCAGCTTTGTTCTTTTGGCTTAGGATTGTCTTGGCAATGCGGGCTCTTTTTTGGTTCCATATGAACTTTAAAGTAGTTTTTTCCAATTCTGTGAAGAAAGTCATTGGTAGCTTAATGGGGATGGCATTGAATCTATAAATTACCTTGGGCAGTATGGCCATTTTCACAATATTGATTCTTCCTATCCATGAGCATGGAATGTTTTTCCATTTGTTTGTGTCTTCTTTTATTTTTGTTGAGCAGTGGTTTGTAGTTCTTCTTGAAGAGGTCCTTCACATCCCTTGTAAGTTGGATTCCTAGGTATTTTATTCTCTTTGAAGCAATTGTGAATGGGAGTTCACTCATGATTTGGCTCTCTGTTTGTCTGTTGCTGGTGTATAGGAATGCTTGTGATTTTTGCACCTTGATTTTGTATCCTAAGACTTTGCTGAAGTTGTTTATCAGCTTAAGGAGATTTGGGGCTGAGACGATGGGGTTTTCTAAATATGCAATCATGTCATCTGCAAACAGGGACAATTTGACTTCCTCTTTTCCTAATTGAATACCCTTTTATTTCTTTCTCTGGCCTGATTGCCCTGGCCAGAACTTCCAACACTATGTTGAATAGGAGTGGTGAGAGAGGGCATCCCTGTCTTGTGCCAGTTTTCGAAGGAAATGCTTCCAGTTTTTGCCCATTCAGTATGATATTGGCTGTGGGTTTGTCATGAATAGCTCTTATTATTTTGAGATACATTCCATCAGTACCTAGTTTATTGAGAGTTTTTAGCATGAAGTGCTGTTGAATTTTGTCAAAGGCCTTTTCTGCATCTATTGAGATAATCATGTGGTTTTTGTCTTTGGTTCTGTTTATGTGACGGATTATGTTTATTGATTTGCGTATGTTGAACCAGCCTTGGATCCCAGGGATGAAGCCAACTTGATCTTAGAGGATAAGCTTTTTGATGTGTTGCTGGATTCGGTTTGCAAGTATTTTATTGAGGATTTTTGCATCAATGTTCATCAGGGATATTGGTCTAAAATTCTCTTTTTTTGTTGTGTCTCTGCCAGGCTTTGGTATCAGAATGATGCTGGCCTCATAAAATGAGTTAAGGAATATTCCCTCTCTTTCTATTGATTGGAATAGTTTCAGAAGGAATGGTACCAGCTCCTCTTTGTACCTCTGGTAGAATTCGGCTGTGAATCCGCCTGGTCTGGGACTTTTTCTGGTTGGCAGGCTATTAATTATTGCCTCAATTTCAGAGCCTGTTATTGGTCTATTCAGGGATTCAACTTCTTCCTGGTTTAGTCTTGGGAGGGTGTATGTGTCCAGGAATTTATCCATTTCTTCTAGATTTTCTAGTTTATTTGCATAGAGGTGTTTATAGTATTCTCTGATGGTAGTTTGTATTTCTGTGGGATCGGTGGTGATATCCCCTCTATCATTTTTTATTGCGTCTATTTGATTCTTCTCTCTTTTCTTCTTTATTAGTCTTGCTAACGATCTAACAATTTTATCAGTCTTTTCAGAAAACCAGCTCCTGGATTCATTGATTTTTTTGAAGGGTTTTTTGTGTCTCTATCTCCTTCAGTTCTGCTTTGATCTTAGTTATTTCTTGCCTTCTGTTAGCTTTTGAATTTGTTTGCTCTTGCTTCTCTAGTTCTTTTAATTGTGATGTTAGGGTGTCAATTTTAGATCTTTCCTGCTTTCTCTTGTGGGCATTTAGTGCTATAAATTTCCTTCTGCACACTGCTTTAAATGTGTCCCAGAGATTCTGGTACATTGTGTCTTTGTTCTCATTGGTTTCAAAGAACATCTTTATTTCTGTCTTCATTTCGTTATGTACCCAGTAGTCATTTCAGGAGCAGGTTGTTCAGAGAGTCTCGCTCTGTCGCCCAGGCTAGAGTGCAGTGGCAAGATCTCGGCTCACTGCAAGGTCCGCCTCCCAGGTTCACACCATTCTCCTGCCTCAGCCTCCCGAGTAGCTGGGACTACAGGCGCCCACCACCACGGCTGGCCATATACTTTTCTTCTTAGACATCAAAAGCCTACCTGATTTAACTGGCACAGTTGTGTGTTCTTATGGCTTTTGCACCCAACTGTCTGTCGGAGTAGTTGCCTCTTCCCAGAAGAACAAAAAGAGAAAGAAAAGTAGACATGCTTCTTCTGTGCGTCTCCTGTGCTGACCTCATTCTATTCAGAGAATGGTTTCTCTAGGGGTATAAATGTGTGATGATGTGTTTATGCCTCTCCACCTTACTCCCCCAGCCCTAGGCTGCATCCAGTGGTCTAAGTGGCATTCCTCTGCTCTTGCTCTTATGTGGTCTCCAGTTCTTGGCCTTGTCTTCCATTTACAGTCCAGCTCTGCCCATTGAAATTGGTCTTTGCAGAGCTCTTATTTCCAGCTGGGATGCTCTTGGACAAGTTCCTTAACTTTTCTGAGATTCGGTTTCCCCATAGGCAAAATAGGAAAACAATTACAATGTCATAGAACTATTACCTTTAAATGAGAAAATGTAGGTAAAATACCCTGCATGTCAACCCTATTAGTTCCCATATCTCCCTGGATCAGTGCTTTTCACCCTGGCTGCACATTGCACTCATGGGAGGCATGCTGTGTGAGGCATGTTTGAACTATGCTGATGCCTGAGTCCCACCTGCATGTTTAATTGGTCAGGGGCACAGCCTGACAGCCTGGACTTCAGGATTTTTTTTTAAACTTTAAAGGTGATTGCAATGTCCTTTCAGGATAAAAGGCCTTTTCCCTATGTCAGTAGGTGTCAACTAGGGACTATTCTGCACCCGCTCCCCATACATTTGGCAATGGCTGGAGGCATTTCGATTGTTACAGTGAGGGCAGAGAAGGGGGGAGGCGGGTGCTGCTGGCATCTGTCGATAGAGGCCAGGGATGCTGCTGAACCTTCCACAGTGCACAGGGCGGCTCCCACAGTGAAGAATTATTCAGCTCTAAACCTCAGTGGTGCTGAAGTAAGAAACCCTGGCCTGTTTGATCACTAAGATCCCTTTCAGTGCTGAAGTTTTGTAGGCCACTTATTTCAGAATGATATTTTTAAAATAACAATAAATATCTAAGGTTTTCTTTGAATGACCGTTTTATGTACCATTAAGTTCACATTCATCAGCTCACTCTGAATCCTTAGCTTCCAATCCAATCCCCCTCCTTTGGTTTACTTTCCAGATTTCACTCAGTTCTTGGTAGTGGGCCCCTAGATTGCTTATCTCTGAACAGCTGTGAGGCAGCCCCAACAACAGAAGTACCATCTTAAAATGCCCTTTTATAGCCAGCCCTGTGGTGTTTGGAGTCCTTTCTTGCTTTCTTAATACATGGCAGAAGAATAAAGGACAGAAAAAAAAGAAAAGCAAAGAAAGTCAGTTTTTCTTTGGATTCTCATAGAACTCTGATCATCTCTCCAGCTCGGTACTTAAATATATTTTACTGTAGTTTATCTGTTTACATGTCTGTGCTCTTCCCGGTGAGGCCGTGCAATCCTTGAAGACAAACAGGCCAGCCTTAGACAGTCTTCTCTGGAGTACACACCATGAGCCAGGAACTGTGCTCAGTGGTGTGGATACAGAAATAAAGGTCGTGCTGGCTCTCCTGAGGCCCATGCATGGTGTGCAGCCCGTGTGGGGGTTCTGTGCTCAGACATCTTAGCCCCTCTTGATCATGAGACCTCGCTCGTGGTACTGGAGTCATATTACTACTCACTAGATGCTTGGAATCCTGGGTCTCCCACCTCCTTCATCTAACCCTCACAACACTCACACAAGGTGGGAACTAATGTCATCATCTGCATTTTATAGTTGAGGGACCTGCCTGTGGTAAACAATTTGTGAGGGGTGGAGTCAGGACTTGAACCTGGGCACAGGCCTCACTTATGACCTTCCCTGCATGTTTATGACCATGGCCATTTGCAAGAAAAATATGGCAGGGTGGGGTGGTATTTGTGTCTTCTCACTTCCCAGCCACTGGAAGAAAGACATGTTCCACTGAATTCCTTGCAGCCATCTTGCACCCTCCTCACTGTTCCATCCCTGTCCCCACTGCTACCTCAAACTTGATTACAATCATGCATCCCATGCTCTCTTTGGGAATCCTTGGGCTAAATCTCCATAGTTATTATCTTAGTCACTAGACTTGCACCATCTTGCCTCAGCAGACCTTCTGGAACTAGCTTTTAAAAGAGTATCCAGCTCTTAAAAAGAGTAGAACATTTTAGAGAAATAAAACATCAAGTGTGTGTTTTTTCTTTTTTTATTGTGGTAAAATATATATAAACATAACATTTATCATTTTAATGATGTTAAGTGTATAATTCAGTGGCATTAAGTACATTCACTGCTATCACCACGATCCATTTTCAGAATTTTTTTTTGAGACGGAGTCTCGCTGTGTCGCCCAGGTTGGAGTGCGGTGGCACGATCTCAGCTCACTGCAACCTCTGCCTCCCGGGTTCAAGCGATTCTCCTGCCTCAGCCTCTTAAGTAGATGGGACTACAGGCATGCACCACCATGCCTGGCTAATTTTTGTATTTTTAGTAGAGACAGGGTTTTACCATGTTGGCCAGGATGGTCTCAATCTCTTGACCTCGTGATCTGCCCACCTCGGCCTCCCAAAGTGCTGGGATTACAGGTGTGAGCTACTGCGCCCAGCCTCAGAATATTTTCTTATCCCAAAAGCTGTACTCAGTAAACAATAGCCCCCTTCTTTCCCCGTCCTCCAAGCCCCTGGTAACTTCAACTCTCTGCCTCATGCACTGACCTATTCTAGGAACCTCATACAAGTAGAATCACACAGTATCTGTCCTTTTGTGTCTGGCTTATTTCACTTAGCATAATGTTTTCAAGATTCATCCCTGTGGTAATATGCACCAGAATTTCATTTCTTTTTTATGTATATGCCACATTTTGTTTATCCATTCATCTGTTGATGGGCACCTGGGCTGTTTCTCTCTTTTGGTTATTGTGAATAATGCGCTATGAACATTGGCATACAACTACCTGTTTGAGTCACTACTTCCAATTCTTTTGGGTATATACCTAGGAGTGGAATTGATGAGTCATATGGTAACTCTATATTTAACTTTTTGAGAAACTGCCAAACTGCTGTCTACAGCAACTGCCCCATTTTATCTTCCAACCAGAGTTTCAATGTCTCCACATTCTCGCCAACACTTCAAGTGTGTTTTTGAAAGAGTATTTAAGCATGTGATATAATAGGCACCAATGGTCAGCTCTGAGGCATCAGGACAAGATGCTGCGCTGGGCTTTGTTACCTGCTGCAGGTCATGGCAGCCCCTGGAGACGATTAAGTCACAAACAACTCAAAGTGATATCCTGACTCTTGGCTGAATGTTCCTCGTCAATGCTGGTAGATGAGGAAAGTGATCATTGAGTATTTGTTTTTTATTTGGACTCAGTTCTTGCCTTTTCTTCACCAAAAGCTTTTATGACTCTTGTCCAGAACCAAATATTCACAAAACAAAGATTCCATGCCAAAGAGACTGTGCCCTCTTGCTGTGATTTGGAAAGATGCTGTTGTTTGTTTTAGCACTCCTGGACTTACTTTTGGATTACATACTTTCCACATGGTGTCTGACAGCGCACCTCCCTTTGATTTAGGACAGCTCTGATGTCCTTGCATCTGTTTACAGGGACTTTCTTTTCACTTTCAGAGTCCTTTGCCTTGAAAAGCTTTCAGATATGCTGGAACGAAAGGAAATCAACTCTGCCCCACCCCCTTCTGCTGATTGTTTCACATTTTCTGCTTTGTATTGATAGTTAGCACCTAGCTACCCTGGAAATGTGAGACTGAGTTTTCCTGTTTGTACATGGATTTGTCTTTCATTTTCTGGGGAAATAGTTAAGCTGTGGTTTGTTTTTGCTTTTAATTGTATCGTCTGTCTCAGAAATATGCAAAATGCCCACACCTGTTTTCCTACACTTAATGTGATACTTTCCTCAAATGCAGGAAACAGTTGCTGAGCTGGCTGAGTCTTGAATTTTTATGGAAGTGATTTGACACCGCTATCCTTGCATGAGGAATAACATTGTCTCCTAGCCCACTCTAGGCAGCAGCGCCTAAGGACAGCATCTTCAGCAGGGCTGTTAATCGCTCCCAGGTCTCCTATCTGGATTAGGATAATAGCTGAGAATCCATTATCTGCAAGTCCAATGTGGTTAACACTGTCCCTAGATCCGCCTATTCCCTAACCCACTTGGAAGTGCATTTAAATCTTCCCTGTTTGAATCAAAGTCTTGCTTTTTTGTGATATGTTAGATCACTGAGCTACCACATTAGGGAACTAATACAAGCTAAGCCCCAAGAAGAGATATCTAAGGTTTAAACAACGTTTAATAAATATAGTTGACTTAATGAAAGAGAAGTGACTCCTGAGAAAAACAGTAATCTTGAAGATTTCTTAACCAACAGCTGGGGATGACCCACCCTTTGCTTCTCCATGGTTACTGCTCTCACTGGGAGCCTCTCTTCCTTCCTCGTGAGCATCAGAGCTTCAGAAATGTGAAACCTGCCTTCTAAGATTGCCCTCTTCTCTCTTCAGGCCTTACTTTCCCATGGAAGAAGTTGAGCACCCTTTCCCCTTTTTTATTAAGCAGAACTCTAGGCACATTGTGCTCTTCTTCTAAACCTTGAAGTCTTGCAGATAAGTCACTGAAGGGGTGGTCTTTGAAGATAAGCCTCCTTTCTCCCTCTCATCATGAACCGCCTTTATTAGCTTTGCTCTGGCTGTTTTAGCATCAACAGCTTTAAGAATAACTTTTGGCATCTCCTGACTCTACCCTACTCTGTCCCCAAGCCAGACACTATTCTCTGAATTAGAAACCATATAAATGTCAGCATGGGAAAGACTCACTCCTTCTGTCTGAATTCTGAATCAATATTCATGTTCTTCCTTGGAAAATGTACTTTCACATAGCCCCACCCTTTAACTTTCTTTGTGGCCTTATAGTCACGCCTATATTTGTTATGCTTTGGGGGCAGAATTTGTCTCATTGATCAATATTTATTTTTCCCTTTATTATCTAGTGTTTAGTGTGAATCAGGACTGATTTTCTTTCTTTGATTAAAGAAAACATTGCTCTTTGTCTGAATTGATATTCCTGCAAGATAATTAAACATTTCAATGGATATCTGTAAGCACCTACTGTGTACAATATATTATGAAGAGAAAGAGTTGAACGATACATGGCCCCTTCCCTGAAAGGCATTTACTGTCCATTTGGAAATCCTTTGATGACTTTGAAAAGAGACCCAGTGCTATGGGAGTGCAAAGGATGGAGAAATTAACTCTAATAGGATAATCAGAGGAGGCACCTGGGGGAGGTGGTATTTAAACTGGGCTTGTAGAGCAGGGGCTGGCAACCTTTTTTTTGGAAAGACCATATAGTAAATATCTTGGGCTTTGCAGGCCATTTGGCCTCTGTTACAGCTACTCAGCTGCACAGTGAGAAAGCAGCATAGACAATATGTGAATGAATGGGGGTGCCTATGCTCCAATAAAATACGATATACCAAAAAAGCCAGCCGCCAAGTTTAGCCCTCATGCTGTGGTTTGCCCACCCTTGTTTTGGTGGATGGATAGGCTTTTCTCAGAAGAAATAGGGAAAGAGCATTTCAATCTGAAGAAGCAGCACAAGCTAAGGTACAGAGAAGGAAGAATGTGAGGCATGTTCTGGACTTAGTCACTTATGAAATAAGTGAGGGTGACCTTGACATTTGAGACTGCAAATACAGGGTATAGCTAGGCCTGTTTCATCCTGAACCACATCCTTTGTATTAAATCTGAAGATGCTCGGCTGGAGAAGAGTTGTGACAGGGTCCTGCCTCTGCTCTGCAGACAGTTTGGGGCAGTTGTAGAGGAGGAGGGGGAGCGGCTGCTGTAAAAAGGCCTGGCCTATAGGAAGAGTCTGAGGCAGGGGAAGTGACTAATAACAAGGATACTGCTATGTCAGTGGGCTCTGTGATTCCAAACAGTAAATTTGACCGTGTTAGAAAACCAGAGTTTTTGCGTGTGTTTTTAATCAGTGACTGTAGGTTGAGCACCTTATGATAGAAGAACGTAATACACACCACAGTATTGCTACATCAGGGAGTGATAAACTGCACTTGGAAACTTGAGATGATCTGGAGCAAATCAGAGTAGAAAAGACGGATAAATAATTTTGGGAGTTGGAAATTTAGGTAATCAGTCCTCTTTAAAAAGAGGGGAGTGGTTGCATTTGAGATAAGCTAAATCCCTTCCCTTGTCTCTAAAGCAGTACTTTTGAAACCTAGTCCAGCCTTTCCTGTCTTTCCTGTTTTGTTGGTAAGTTCTGGGAACACCAAGGTTCTCTAAGCCTTCTCCCATACAAAGGTCCCAATCCAAACAGCAGGTTCTCAGCAGGCAGCATAGATCCTGTCCTACATGAATGCTTTCAGTTGAATTCCTTGATTTTTAATTATCCCTAACAAATCACATATTTGCCAAGTTTTTAGAATTGCTGCGAGAAGACCAATATTAACCTGTAAGATAATTTCTGTTGGTAGGGTAAAAATTTGTTGATCAGAGAAAAAGGATTTAATCAACTGCATTAAGATTTCTTGTAAATAAATACTCCACATCATTGCTAGGTCCTCCTTAACTTACAAAATCGTGCATGGCTAGGACTCACTTGGAATTTTAAGAAAAATTTGAATTATCAGTTTCACTGGCCAAAGGACCCAAAGTACTGTCTCAAACATTTCAGTATGAGCAGAATTGTGCAAGTTAAGAGTTCTACTCTCAGCCACGCAGCTTTCTGGCTCTATAGCCTTCAGTCAGTTACCTGACCTCTCCGTATGTCATTTTCTTTACCTGTAAGATGAATTGACAATAATATTTATCTCATAGGGTTATTGGGAAGGTTAAATAAGGTAAAACAGGTAAAGCATCTAGCACAATGACTGGCACAAAATACTTATTCAATAAACATCAGATGTCATTACTAGTAATTTTTTTTTTTTTTTTTTTTGAGATGGAATCTCACTCTGTTGCTCAGGCTGGAGTGCAGTGCCATGATCTCAGCTCACTGCAACCTCTTCCTCCCAGGTTCAAGCAATTCTCCTGTCCCAGCCTCCTGAGTAGCTGGATTACAGGCATGTGCCACCATGCCCAGTTAATTTTTGTATTTTAGTAGAGACAGTGTCACCATGTGGGCTAGGGTGGTCTTGAACCCCTGACCTCAAGTGATCCACCTGCCTTGGCCTCCCAAAGTGCTGGGATTACAGGCATGAGCCACTGCTCCCGGCCCTACTATGGTATTTTAATTGTTGCTACTGTTATACAAATTAGTCCAGGATTATATGGTTAGAGATCCACATAATTGTGCTTTGAGACTTTGTCTAGACAATAAATACCTTTCCAAAAGCAAAAGACAATTTTTTTCTAGACTTATCAAGCCAACAATCAGTATCAAAAGTTTACGTGGCACACTGGGCGTGGTGGCTCATGCCTGTAATTCCAGCACTTTGGGAGGCCAAGGCAGGTGGATCACCTGAGGTCAGGCGTTCCAGACCAGCCTGGCCAACATGGGGAAATCCTATCTCCACTAAAAATACAAAAATTATCAGAGTGTGGTGGCGAGCCTATAATCCCAGCTACTCGGGAGGCTGGGGCGGCAGAATCGATTGAACCGGGGGGGTGGAGGTTGCAGTGAGCCAAGATGGTTCCACTTAACTCTAGCCTGGGCAAAAGAGTGAAACTTCGTCTCAAAAAAAAAAAAAAAAAAGTTTTACATGGCACATGCCTTTATAACTAACTGATAGTGAACTAAGATCAAGCACCGTTTGAGTTGTATCCAGTAAATATGGTGTCCCCTAACTCAGCTCATTGGCTTGAGGTGGTACCAAGATGTTCATGGGGGCAAACGGAAGTTGATCAACACTTGTATTTCAGACCTAGGCAAGTATGAGGATTGGGCTATTAGATGTTCCTCTTTTAATATGAATACTGACTTACTATTCTCTGATGTGTTGGTCTTTAAAATGTTCAGCTGTGCCTCAGAGAACAGTGAAATTTCTGCTGTCAGCATGTGAGGGTCATGGGCACGGTCTCTCAGTACCATTCAGCATGGGGACCCTTGGAGCCCCTGTGAAATCCGACCCCCCCTGGAAAGGATGAAGACATAGTTCAACCCAAGGTCTTTATGGACCTGCTGAATTCATTACAATTAAGTAAGTTAAACTTTCATCACAGACTTTATCCCCTCTTCTCAAAGCACAAGTGAAAAAGAGATACCTGTTTAAGTGCCAAAAGCCTATTGTCTGGCCAGAGCCATTGGCTGGCTTAGCACTTACTTATTTGTTGGATAAGCTTTTTATTGAAATGCTAAGTATAAATACACAGGAAAAGTTCTCTATTCAAAACTATAAGTACAGCTTGATGAATTTTCACAAAGTGAACACAGTCACGTCACTAGTACTCAGATGAAGAAATAGAACTTGATCAGCTCCCAGAAGCCCCTTCCAGTGTCCCCTCTCTGTCACTAACCTCCCCACCGCAGAAAGAACCACTACCGTGATTGTTCACACCATACATTAGTTTTTGTCTGTTTTTAGAAAAACCTTATATAAATGGAATAATACAGCATATACTGTTTTGTATCTGGCTTTTTTTTTTTTTTTCTCAACATTTTTAACATTTACCTTGGAGTAGAGTATAAAATGAGAAGGTAGATTTCTTCCTAATGTTTAGCCAATTTTACAAACCAATTTGTTGAGTGGTTCATTTATTTAACATTGGAATGTGTAGAATGTGCTAAGTCACATACTTACCATTTATTGTATTCCATTTATCTGTCAAATAATTTCTGTACCACACAGAGTATTTTGGTTATCATAGCTTTAAAATGTGATTTAGTATCTGGCATGGCAATTCTTCCCTCTTTTGCTACTTTCTTTCTTTCTTTCTTTCTTTCTTTCTTTCTTTCTTTCTTTCTTTCTTTCTTCTTCTTCTTCTTTTTTTTTTTTTTTTTTTGAGTCGAGGTCTCACTCTTTGCCCAGTCTGGAGTGCAGTGGTGCAATCATGGCTCACTGCAGCCTCAACCCCCCTGGGCTCAAGAGATCCTCCTACCTCAGCCTCCCAAGTAGCGGGAACTACAGACTCACACCACCATGCCTGGCCGATTTTTGTATTTTTTGTAGAGACAGGGTTTCACCATATTGGCCAGGCTGGCCTCGAACTCCTGGACTATAGTAATCTGCCTACCTTGACCTCCCAAAGTGCTAGGATTACAGGTGTGAGCCATCGCACCCAGCCTTGCTTCTTTTCAATAACAATTTTCAGACAGTCTAGCATTATTCCAGGTGAATTTTTGAAACCATTTTGTCATATGTAAGGAAAAAAAAAATCCTATGGGTGTTTGCACGCAATTATGTTAAATTCATTCAATAAACATGTACTGAGTCCTTACTGTGTGCCGGGTGGAATTCTGGGTACTGGGAATACTCAGAAAAGGGCACACCAGCCCTGATGGCATTTACAAAATTCTACCGGGGAAACTGGAGACGAAAGAACAAAAAGGTAATTTCAGATGATGAGACATGCTATAAAAAATAAAACAGGGGAAGAGGAGAATGAGTGCTGGCTGGAAGAGCAGGCTGCTATTTGAGTTAGGTTGTCAATGTCTTAAGGAATGTGATCCTTGAATTCCAACCTGATTCATGCCCAGAGTGTATTAGATCTATAAATTCATTTGGGAGGAGTAGACATGGTTAAAATGTTCAGTCTGGCCAGGCTCAGTGGCTTACACCTGTAATCCCAGCACTTTGGGAGGCCGAGCCGAACGGCCTACTTGAGGTCAGGAGTTTGAGAACAACCTGGCCAACAGGTGAAACCCCATCTGTACTAAAAATACAAAAATTTAGCTGGGCATGGTGGGAGGTGCCCATAGTCCCAGCTACTCAGGAGGTTGAGGCATGAGAATCACTTGAACCCAGGAGGCAAGGTTGCAGTGAGCCAAGATCACACCACTGCACTCTAGCCTGGACGACAGAGCAAGACTCCATCTCAAAACAGCAACAAAACCATTCAGTCTAAGAACATAGCATTTATTACCGTTTATTCAAATAGCTTACATCTGCCAGTGAAGTTTTGTTATTTTCCATATAAATTCTCTGCATTCCTTGTAAAGATTCATCATAGGTATTTAATTGCATTTTGCTGTGGTATGATGATGATGACAAAGAATGGAATCTGTTCCTTTTTATCTCTAAAATTCTTATCAATATACAGAAAAGTTATGGGTTTTTTTATATTTACCTCTATCTGGTAATTTCGTTGCGCTTTTATAAATTCTGAGTAATTTGAGTTGATTCTCATCGTTTTCTAGTGATATAATCATACCATATAGAAATAATTATAATATTGCCTCCTCCTTTCCAATAGTAATTACTCTGAATAGCAGACATCCTTAACCTATCTCTGATTTTAATGTGAATGCTCCTAATTTTTACTAGCAAGGAAAATGGATGTATGCTCAATAAATATTTTAATTGAATATATGATTACATGCTCATCATTGGGGTAAGAAAGTCTATTTCTAATCTTGTAATCTTTTTTTTTTTTTACCAGGATGAGTTTTAAATGACATTTTGGCACCTACTTACGTTATTTTTTCTTTAAAGTTTTCTATATTATCCTTGAATTCCTGGATTATACCCTGTTTCATCTTGCTGAATGGTTTTTTTAATGTTCTGTTGAATTCAATTTGCTAGGACCTTATTTGGGATTTTTAAAATCTGTATTCCGAAGTGAGATTGGCCTATTGTTTTCATTTTGTGCTACCTCTCTGAGGTGGAGGTTAGGTTAGTGTTCCAATTTTTATGTGCTCTGGAAAAGCTTATATAATAATCTGTTCCTTCAGATTTTTATAAAAACTCACCAATAAAAAACATCTGGCACTAGAATATTTTTGGAAGAAATTACTGCTAACTTGTAACAATTCTTCTATGGCTGTGAGTCTACTATGTTTTCTTGTTCATCTTAAATCAAGCTGGTAATTTTTTAATGTATCTTTTTCATGGAGAATTTCAAATGTAGTATAGAATTACATATCAAATTCACTTTTAATTTCAGCATCATCTGATATATTCTCTTATTTGGGCTTTATTGCTTTTTTATTAAATTTGCTTATTTTCAAAAATGTCTTGGAGACCAGCTCTCAGGTTCTTATGTGTGTTTTTCTTTCTTGAATTCACATACTTCTGTTTTATGATTTCTACCTTGGTTTCCTCTTTTTAAAAAAAAAAGAAATAAGAGTATTTAAATTGCATAAATTCAATGTGTGACACTTCTGTTTTTGCTGTTTTCTCAGTGGTTCTTAAATGTTTTCATCTCAGGACCCTTTTCTCCTCTTTAAAACTGAAGACCCCAGAGAGCTTTTGTTCATATGAATTTATTCGTTAATATTTACAGTATTCACATTTTAAACTGAAATTTGAGAATTTTATATTACTTTGCTTTCAAATAACAATAATAAACTCACTATATAATACAGTAACAGTTTTTTTAAAGTAACTATTTCCCAGAGCAAAAACATTTTGAGAAGAGTGGCATCATTTTACAATTTGCAAATACTGTATCTTTTAATGTCTGGCCTAATAGAAGACAGCTGGATTCTCATATCTGCTTCTCCAATCTATTGTGATAGATTATTTGGCTAAAGTATATGAAGAAAATCTGGTTTCACATAAATATGTAGTTGGAAAATAGAGAGGTAGTTTAGTGGTCTTTTCAGATCATTGTGAATCTTCTCCTTTGATACTATACCAAACTAGAAAAGTGGTAGTTTCTTAAAGGTTAGTTGCAATGGGAAATCTGAAACCACATCAATAAACTTGTCATGTTCTTTATACTCATGAGTAAGAGAAAAAAAGGCAAATAGCATCTTAGAGTTGTTATGGAAATAGGTTTAATCTCAAAGATCCCCTGAGAGGATCTTAAGGACCATACTTTCAGATATACTTTTCCAAGTAAATGGAAATATATCCATTTTTTTAAACTTTTTATTTTCAAGTAATGTTAAATTTACAGAAGAGTTGCAGAGAGAATGCAGAGTTCCCATGTACTCTTAACCCAGCTTCCCCTAATAAGAAATTTTTAAAACTTTATGGTAAAATATATATAACATAAAATTTACCATTTTAACCATTTTAAATGTACAGTTCAGTGGCATTAAGCACATTCACATTATTGTACAACCATCAACAGCACCCATCCATAGAACTTTCTTCATCTTCCAAAACTGAAACTCTATACCCATGATGTGTAAGTTGGATTCACTTATTAACCCAAACTACTTGAGGCATCTGTTGAGATTTACATGCTTAACTGGTTGCATTTGTGCTGTTAATACCTGATTGTATTGCTTTGGAGAGTGTAGTCTGCATGATTTTGAGGGCTGAGGTGAGAAAGAAACTGTTTCTCTCTCTGTCTACTGAATCAGGGCTATACAGTTTATACCAGACAAAAAAGGACAGCTGTTCCCTCCACATAGGAGCACCTTTGTTTTGAGATGGCCAGAGCACTGCCTCTTCATCACTTCATCAGTCTCTGTCAGTTGATATAAACCATGAAATCAGAACACATGGGATAGTGAGAGTAATGACATGACGTTTCACCCACAAACACCATATTGCTAAGCTTGGGTTATAAGGACAAAGGAAGAGGAGGAGTCCCTAGACCCATTCTTGGGGGAAGGGGAAGTCAGTAGTGATGGAGGACATGGTGCACTCTGTTGTTCCAATCTCTGTGGGGGGAAGCAGTAGCAAGAAAACTGAAGATTTACAGCCAGATAGGAAATATTTTAGGCTTTGCAGTCCCTATGGACACTGTCACAACTACTCAACTCTCCTATGCAAAAGCAGTGACTGATTCCAATAAAACTTTATTTACAAAAGCAGGTGGCAGGCCATATTTGGCTCAGAGACTGTGTTTTGGTGACCGCCACACTAAATGAATTCCTGGCAGGGGTCCGAAAACTGGTTAAGACTTAGGAATATCTCAGTCAACACTAGTTGACCATCTTAAAGGAGAGTTCTACCAGCACGCAGATGAACAGTAACCAAGGCAATGGACAGTCACATATCCTGCCTGTTGGCTGGTACCAAAGCAGGATATCACGCTTCCTTCCAACATTTAGTTGATAAAAGTTTCATAGTCAACTCTGAGCATGAGGCAGGTGGCATCTATTAACCCCTAGAGAATAAAAATTAAACTACAGACTTCTCACTAGATGTCCACCTTCTTTAACTGCTTGTTCTTTAAGGACTATTGAGTCCACCTCTTAATGTTGTTAGGTTTTGCTGTTTTAAATTTTATTCTATATGAAAAATTATGCTATAATTTTTAGAAGTTATGGGATATTTGCTGTTAGGACCAGGAAGCTATAACCAGAGCATTATTGCTTCCTCCTGACAGCACTTTCTGTTTTTAGAAAACAGGCATAAGAGACCGTGAAAAACCACTAAAACGGCTGAACTCACAAGCTAACCTTAAAAGCCAGCACCTTGGCCAGGCGCCATTGCTCACACCGGTAATCCCAGCACTTTGGGGGGCCAAGGCGAGTGGATCACCTGAGCCAGGAGTTTGAGACCAGCCTGGCCAACATGGTGAAACCCTGTCTCTACTAAAAATACAAAAATTAGCCAGGAGTGGTGGTGGGCACCTGTAATCCCAGTTACTCGGAAGGCTGAGGCAGGAGAATTGCTTGAACCCGGGAGACGGAGGCTGCAGTGAGCTGAGATCGTGCCATTACACTCCAGTCTGGGCAACAAGAGTGAAACTCTGTCTCAAAAAAAAAAAAAAAAACAAACCAGCACCTCAGAAATTCATCTGTATCAACCATTCATCAATCAAAAATATTTGAATGCAAATATTTGGAAATTACTAATGCAAAGTATGCCAATATGCAAATTAACCTGTTTGTTCATTTTTTCTCATTTATTCATTCATTCACTTATTGAGAGTCTGTTATGAGCTAAGTCTGTTATTAGCCAAGTCTGTTTTAGGCTGCAGTTGTGGCTTCAGTTATAATCTCCTGTAAATGTTTGTTTTGTTCACATGTGTTCAGATGTATTCTATGTAACAGTTGCCTCTACCTTCTATTTTAATGAAAAAGCTCCTTGAGCACAAATCTGTATTTTCCCGTCTCTTCATAATTCTCCACAGTTCCCAACTGCATGCTCTGCATGCAATAAAGCATTTAGCACATGATTTTGATTTATTGACTGGTGGGAAGCCTTTACAAGCCAGTCTTCTGTCTTGAGCCCCATCCAGAATTCTTCTGTTAATTTTTCTATAGTTCCCAAAGGTTACAAAGAACATTTTCCTTTCAGCCTTTAAGAGCTTGTGTAGAATTAGTCATCACTGGGACCCAGACTTCACCCTAAACATGAGTGCATTTACATGCTCCAGTGAATTAATCCTGATGTCATATTGTGAATTGTGTCCTAATTTTTTAAGAGACTCCGTATTCCATTTGATTCATAAAAATGAAAAGTAAAATGCTAATGTGTAAAACTGTTGTTACTCCAGTTAATGAAATATTTTCCCAACCTTTCATAATCAGTTCCAGCCTAGATGAGAAGCTTATTTGCAAAAATAATAGATGAAAAAGGGAAATTAAATCCTCTGTAATTAAAAATAGTAACATTCTTCTATTAGGTTCCCTGTTTAATCATCTTCATTGTTTTGTTTTGTTTTTTTCTTTTTTGTTGTTGAGGTTTTTTTTTGTTTTGTATCTCTGTGTGTGTGTGTGTGTGTGTGTGTGTGTGTGTGTCTGTGACAGAGCAAGAGAGAGAAGAGAGAGAGGTGCCTGTAATTTTCTAAAACCTGTGTTTGAGGGCAAAATGTTAACATCTTGGAATAATCACCCCCTGCCAGTGTTTTTTTCTTTTTCAATTATTTGCTTACTTTGACATTTTCATTCCCCACTATGACAGATGTTCCAGAACCACGTGCATATGGTTCTCCTCCTGGGCAAGGCCATTTCCCTGCCTCCTCTCCATCCCGGCCCATGAGATAAAGCTCAGGAACGCCTTTTGTCCATCTTTGGCTGGCAGGCAAGAGCCAGGGATCCCCACACTCTGCAACTGTATCCATAAGGCCCTGTAGAGCTCTTCAGTTTACTTCCTCCTCAATGAGATTCTGAAAGATGGTTTATCTAAAATGTGACCAAGATATACTAATAATTCTACTGGAAATTTCTACGAAGTGTTTTTAACCCTCAAAAAGTCAGACCAAGGATGGATTTTGAACCTGGTGTGGCCTCTCTGCTCTGGGAGCCACCACCTGGTTCCTCGGATGCTCAGTAGCTCTGGGCTTCCGGAAGCAGCGTCTGTGAAGGGGCAGGGGAGAGAGTCCCAGACATGGAGCCTCAAGTCAGGCTCTGAATTCTGTGTCTGCCACTGAGCAGCTCTGATCTTGAGCATTGTTATTTGAACTCTGTGACTCTCCTTTCTCCTCACATATAAAGTGAGGATAAGAGGAAGGTAGAGAGGATGAAAGGAGATCATGTTGTATAAAGCTGCCTCCATATACAGAATAAGCCTTCCCCCTCAGTGCTGTCATAAAATCAGTAACCCACAAAGGAGAGCCAAGTTCCTCCAGGCTTCACGCCTAACCAGAGAGGTGTGTGGGATAGAAAAAGACCTACACCATCCTCCTAGCTCTGTGCTGGATGAGATTTGTCACTTGGGGCAAGACTGCGTGCATCACCTCAGTTTCTGCATCCATAAAATGGAACTGATACCATCACCCTCATTGAGATCATGGGGATTGAGAAGATGTACACATGAAAGTGCCAGCACCTCTTCTGGACAATGGAAGAGATTCCTCGGGTGTTATTTCCCTCCAGTTTGGGTTCTGAGTCCAGAATCCTTTCTGGAGCAACCTGTTTGGGTGTTCTTCCCCGTCCCTGAACGTGAGTGGAGGCTTAGAGCTGACTTTTTCATGAGGCAACCTCTTCAACCCTGAACAGGTCTTGCTCTTCAAAAGTCCTTGATATTTAACCAAAATATGCCGCTTCAAACTTCCCACTGGTGATGCATGAAATAGAGTAAATGCCCCCAAACTCTTCTCCAATTAAGATTTTTTATCCCAGTGGAATCAGATTCAATTAAGCATCAAAGTCAATCTTTGGTGGAAAAATAAGTCAAATTTCAGCCAGAGTGATCTTTGCAGAAGGGCCATCCTTGCCTTTGGCTCTGGCCCTGGAGTTGTATTGAGGTTTTGTGATTAATGGGTAATTGCCTGAGCCTTACATTTTTTAAGATCTTTTGGTGGAACTGTCCTCTTTGGTGTTGCTGGCTCTTTCTTCGGAATCACAAAAGCCCAGAATCCTTGCTGAGAATCTGGGGTCCTTGTGGCATGCAGCTGCAGCTGCCACTCCCCACCTCCTGGGATGGTGCCTGAGTCTGTACTTCTAGATAGTCACAAGGTCGTCTAGCAGAGTAGGAGCCAAGAGTCAGTATACATGCCTGACTGGGGCGTGGGGACCTGAGATGGCAAGGAGGACCGAGTCTTACTGATACTCACTATGGTAGACAGAATAATGGCCCCCCAAAGTTGTCCACAGCCTACTCCCGAGAACCTGTGAACATGTTAAGTTACATGGTGTATTAGTCCATTTCACACTGCTGATAAAGACATCTCCTAGACTGGGCAATTTACAAAAGAAAGAAGTTTAATGACTTACAGTTTCATGTGGTTGGGGAGGCCTCACAATCATGGCAGAAGGCAAGGAGGAGCAAGTCACATCTTACATGGATGGCAGCAGGCAAAAAAAGGTTGTGCAGGGAAACTCCTCCTTATAAAACCATCAGATCTTGTGAGACTTATTCACTGTCATGAGAACAGCATGGCAAAGACCTGCCCCCATGATTCAATTACCTCCCACAAGGTCCCTTCCACAACATGTGAGAATTCAAGATGAGATTTGGATGGGAATACAGCCAAACCATATCACATGGCAAAGGGGAATTAATGTTACAGATGGAATTAAGGTCCTAATGAAGACCCTTGTGATGGAAAGATTACCCTGGATTATCCAGGTGAGTCCAGTGTAACCACAAGGGTCCTTCTAGGTAGAAGGGGCAGGACGAAGAGTTGAGTCAGGAAGAGATTTGAAGAGGCTGAACTGCGGGCTTTGCAGATGAAGGAAGGGGCCACAAACTAAGGAGTGCAAGAAATACAACTCTAGCAGCTGGAAAGGCAAGGAAACAATTTTTCCCCTAAAGCTTCCGTAAAGGAACACAGCCCTGCCAACTCCTTGATTTTAGCCCAGCAAAATCCATTTCAGACTTCTGACCTCCAGAACTGCAAGATAATACATTTATGTTGCTTTAAGCCACTAAGTGAATGGTGATTTGTTACAACAGCAAATAGGAAAAGAATACACTCACCTTCCTTTATCATCAACACATCCTGCTACTCAAGGCAGGGACTTCACCTGGCTGGAGACCATGCCTGTTCAGGTGTTAGCTGATCGTTAAGGAGCAGCTTGTCTGGACGGGAAGGAGCACAGACGTTGGATCGAGGCAGAGCTGAGTGAGGCAGTGCCATCACTTTCTGGCTTCACAGCCTTGCTCAGATTGTTTCATTTCTCTGACCTTTATGCTCTAAAGCAGGAATCATTACAGGATTAAACTACAGAATGTACTCCTGGTTGATTACCTGGCATGCAGTCAGCTCTCAACACATGGTCTCTTTTAGTAATGATGAGTTGAACTGTGCCTTTTCTTCCCTCCCCTGGGAAGTGTTTCTCTTTTTTTAGGGTGTGAGAGAGATTGACATTCTCTCCCTTGTCTAGCACAGGACTGCCTTGCCCTGGGGATCCCTAGTGAACCATTGCTGGGAGGCTCAGATGGACTCCAGGCAGCTGGACATGGCGAATACATGAGAGATTGGCATAGCGTATCCCCAGGGGAATGAGAATGAAACTAGAATCAAGATTCCCGAAGATCAAGCCGTCCAGGTGGAAACCTCAAGTAGCCAAACACAGCAGTGTGGTTGGGCTGGAATGTTTAACCTCTCTGGGAGGGATAACAACATTCCAGCTGGGACGTTCACCAAAAGTAACAAGTAATCACATGGGTGTGTTCTCTATCCAAATGACCAGAGCCTCCATCTGGCTAGCTTCCCATGTAATTAGTTTAAGAGTAACAAAATACCAGGACATTAATATATACAAAGGAGTGTTCCAGAACATCTAGGCACAGACTGATAAAGGAGACGTGGGTGTATGTGCACGTGTACGTTAAAGATGAGTTAATTTCAATGTTTCTATTATTCTAAACTGAACTGCTGCTATGGGTTTCAAGAATTACATAGCTTATGAGGTCATCTGGCTGGAACTATGATTCCAGAGCATCCCTCAAAACACGAGAGGACTTTTTTCCCCACTTTTATGTTGTTAGATGCCAAGGTGATTTAGCCAGAGTCAAAGCTGTACTTTATGGCAGGACATATATTCTTCCACTGTAGATTTTTTGTTTTTGTTTTGTTTTGTTTTTTGTTTTGTTTCATTCACCGAGTTGGAAGATTTAGCTCTGCAGTGTACAGGGAGCTACCAGTAAACTGTAGGTCAGGAGCTGGCCAGGGTGACCTCAGCTTAGCCACCAGAGCCCAACTCTCAAGTTGTTCAACTCTGTGTCTCCTCCTCTGTGCTTGATGGAGTTAACTAGGAGATCTCTGAGTTGGAGTGTCGCTCTGACCTCTGAGGGTACTTAAAGGGAAGCAGCAGGAGAAAGTGGGGAGGCAGAGAGTGGCACCAAGGTGCTGCAGATGACGTCTGCTGGCTGTGTTCCTGGTAATAAGAAGCGCTGTCCTCTGAAGGGACTCATGTTCCAGGGAAGACAATTTGGGGAAATGCTGACCGAGGTCATATTTTAATGTTTAAAGCTAGCTTTTAAGTATTTAAAGAAACGATTTACAAGTCAGTCTCCTGAAATTACAATTCCATAAAACTTCCAAGTGGGCAAAGAATAATAACTTAAGGAAGAGCAGTTTCCTAAACAGATGAGAGTGAAGTCCAAATTGCTTTTAAAGGGAGATAAAAAGGTCTCAAATTTCTTGCTATGGTTCTGAATGTTTAGTGATAGGTTCGTTTGAAGATGAAATCAACCCTGATGTTAGCTCAATAATTTCAGGATGTGGGGAGGGTGGGGGGAAACCTAGCCTATGGGAAAGGAAAATCAGGAAAACCTTTTAGTAGACAGACATTTTTCATTGCTATCAAAGGATGTGTAAGGCCACAAAAACCTCTTAGCAGGAAGCATCCTGGGGTGATCCATACATTCTTTCTGGTGAGGCAGAAGGAAAAGGAGGTCCAAGTCTCATGATCTGTCTCTTTAGATCCAGTAGCAGCAAGGATCCTAAATTGGTGGATAAAGAAACAAAGCCAACTGGGCTTGGTGGCTCACACCTGTAATCCCAGCACTTTGGGAGGCCAAGGTGGGCAGATTGCTTGAGCCCAGGAGTTCAAGACCAGCTTGGTCCACATGATGAAACCTGGTCTGTACAAAAAATACAAAAATTAGCCAGGTGTTGTAGTGCACACCGGTAGTCCCAGCTACTTGGAGGCTGAGGTGAGAGGATGGCTTTGAGCCCAGGAGGTTGCAGTGAGCCATGATCTCACCACTTGATATGGTTTGGCTGTGTCTCCACCCAAATCTCACCTTGAATTGTAGCTCCCATAATTCCCATGGGTTGTAGGAGAGACCCAGTGGGAGATAATTGAATCATGGAGGCGGTTTCCCCTATGCTGTTCTCATGGTAATGAACAAGTCTCCCGAGATTTGATGATTTTCTAAGGGGTTTCGCCTTTCACTTGGCTCCTACTCTCTCGCCTGCCACCATGTAAGACATCCCTTTGCTCTTCCTTCATCTCCTGCCATGATTGTGAGGCTTCCCCAGCTATGTGGAACTATGAGTCCATTAAGCCTGTTTCCTTTATAAATTACCCAGTCTCACATCTGTCTTTATTAGCAGCATGAGAACAGAATCATATACCACTGCACTCAGGCCTGGATGACAGAGTGAGACCCTGTCTCAAAAAAAAAAAAGAAAGAAAGAAAGAAAGAAAAGCCAGTGTCAAGGTTGGAGGTTGAGCAGAGGTGAGCATAAAGATCTCCTCTCAGATGAAGGTGGACCCTTTGGTGGAAACCATGTGAGAAATGGTCTTGGTCAGATCCTCTATTTGGAAAAACCATGAGAGATGGAATGGATTTCCATCTATGTTCTGGTGGCTTTATCCTTCTTGTAATGTCATGGTTGGTTCATCTGATTCAGAATACTTGGATTTCTCTTCTTTCAGTTTCTTTCTCTTTATAATCTATTTTATCCCAAAATATAGATTTGGACCTGGTTAGCATTTTTCACTTGCCTCTAAGATCTGCTGTCTCTGATGACTTTTAATAAAGGTCTGGCATCTTTCAAGTATGACTCTGGGTCAACATATTTTCTTTTAACATGGTTAAGCTTTTGCAAGGATTATACATTTTCCTTCCAGTTGTGCAGCAAGTTGCCTGGCAATTTAACTTTTCATTTCTGTGTATAGTTTAATTGAAATTTTTATTGAAATAATTGGGAATTCATATGCAATTGTAAGAAATAATGTGTTATTTCAGATTTTAACTGAGTGAAAAATTCTGCTTCCAAACAAAAGAACTGTTAAAAACAAGAAATCCAGCGATTGCTGCCCATATTATGATGTCCCAAGAAAAAGTACAGATACCAGGAACTGAACTGAAATTTTCAGGACATGCTGTTATAACTCTGTGTAGCTTTGTCAGGAGAAGCCTGAAGTACAACTCTGAGACAGTCCATAGCCCCTTGATAGCACTGAAGACCACCACACTAGACCCCACAGGACCACAGCAAACCACCCAGAACACTCCCCTGTATCCACCTGGAGTCGTGTGCACCTGGCCACCAGGATGGTCCTAAGTGCAGCAGCCCACAGGAGATGGAGAGGTGTGCCGAGGAACCAGCAGTGCATGTGATGGCCCTGGCTCTCTCTTAATTTGAAGTTTGCCTTCTGTGCCCCTTGAATTCACATCTCATTCTGTCTCCTCACGGCCCTCTTTCCAAAACCTCCCACGGAATACGCATATAGCTTAATGAGCTATTACAAGGGGAAGAACTAGAACTCTGCTAGTCCCCAGAGGCCCTTCCACAGGCTGTGTCCCAATCTTTGCTCCCTCTCTTCCTCTCTTGACTTTTAGAGAAATCATTTCCTTGCATTTCTTTATAATTGTATAACCCAAGTGTGCATCCCTAGGCATTCTGGTTTAACCTGGCCCATTTTAAATTAGGTCCTTTAAGCCTCTCTAATCTACAGATTCTCCCTTCTATCCTTTTATTGTATGTGTATGTGTGTGTGTGTTTGTGTATGTATGAGTGTGTGTGTATGTATGTGTGTGTGCAAGTTCAGTTCCTGATACCTATAATTTTCTTGAGACGCTGTAATATGGGCAGCAGGCATTAGATTTTTTGTTAATAATGTGTGTATATACACATAAAATATTTGTGTGTGTGCATGTGTGTGTGTGTGTGTGTGTGTGTGTGTGTTACAGCCCAGGGTATTTGACTGTAACATTTCTCATAGTGGTGAGTTTTGCTGATTGCAGAGCCATTCTCCCTTAGTGAAGGGACAGATGATGGTGACCACTACAGAGACAGGTAAGAAGGTAGCCTGAGTCCCAACCAACCCAGGGAGCCACAGCCCCTGCACACTCAGGAGGCAGGACGGATGTTGCTTTCTTCTTCCTTCACAAGGGAGAAGAATACCTTCAGAATCAGATTCAAATCTTGACTCTTCCTCATTGTTAGCTCTGTGACCTTGGGCAAGTTACTTAGCCTGTCTGAGCCTCTGCTTCCCATCTATACAATGAAGCTAATAATGCCCACCCAGAGACTTTGTGAAGATTATATAAGACAATAAGTGTGTGTTGGGCAAGTTACTTAATTTATCTGTAAAATGTAAATAGCAGAGGTAAAATGATTGTGATAACTAAATGAGTTAATACAGATAAAGCATGCAGGATGTGCCTGGGGCACAGAGAGGCCTCAATAAATGTTAGCTAGTTTTACTAGTATTATATAAAGTATCTAATTTGTTGAAAATTCCTGTTTATGGTACCTTTTCTTAGGCCATTTTGTGTTGCTGTTTTAAAAATACCTGAGACTGGGTAATTTATAAAGAAAAGAGGTTTATTTAGCTCATAGTTCTGCAGGCCGAGAAGTTCAAGAGCATGGCCGTGGTTTTGGTGAGGGCTTTCGTGCTATGTCACAACATGGTGGAGAAGATCAGAGGAGAAGCAGACCCATGTGCAGAGAGGGACCAAACAGGAGGAGGAACCTCACTTTATAACAACCCACTCTTTTGGGAACTAACCCCTTTACACTAGGACTAATACAATCTCATCAGAACAAGAATTCACTCACTACAGCTAAAAGGAAACAAAGCCATTCCTGAGGGATCCACCCCCAATGACCCAAACACCTCCCACTAGGCGCCACCTCCCAACACATTCAGGATCACATTTCAATATGAAATGCATATTGAAACTATAGCATAGCTATTATCAGTTAAAAGGAGAAAATGGGGGCTTCCAATTAGCTGAAGATAATGGTGGCAGCCAGATGCCCATATCCCAATATTTCCTCCCCAAATGATATAGATCAAAAAAGGGAGAAAGGAAAAGACACAAAAATCACACCCTTGGCATACCTTGAGGACAGAGAGTTAAAAATAACTTTAACTAAAGAGAGAAAGAATACCAAATCCAAGCACAGGAAAACTCATGCTTCCTTCCAGCCCACCCCACTACAGGGCTTTGAGGCAGGCAGAGAGAAAGGGAGCTGATCTATAAGGAAGAGTGAAGGAGAGAACTAGTATAGAGGCCTATAGGTGATCTAAAACCACTCCCAGCCACAAGTCCACCCAAAGCCTGAAAATACAACACGAGGTGTCCAGGTCGATCATGGTGCAGTGTACAGGACAGTCACAAGCCCATGCGACTTGAGAGGCAGCCTTCAGAATGCACAGCTTCTCAGGTGAGGAGAACAGGAGAAAGGAAGGAGGGAGTGCCCTTTGGCAACTGGGTGATAAGACGGTGAAGGAGCAAAAGGGGATGATTCAAGTGGCCACTGTTAAGAGCCCACAGATACAAGTTATTGTATAGAATGGGGAAGCATGAGGGAAAATGTGCCAGAGAGAATACCGGAAGGAATATTAAATCAGAGAGCTTAGAAAGAAACAAATCAGAAAACGAGGCAGAGGAGCCATGCGGAAGGGTGAGATGATGTAATGGAAAGGGGGATGGAGGACAGCAGCATGAACAAGATCTATGAGAGGTGCATGAAATTGGGGAGTGAAGGAGCCGGCTGGGGGTGGGACTTGCTGGGACACAGCAGCTTCAGTGGTCAAACTTGGTGTTCATTTCAGGACAACTCTTGCTCAGGGGAAGTAGGTGCATAGGCACATCGACATAGACACACACCTGTCTCCCAGCAAGCCTCTGCCAGAGGATCCCAGGGCCGGCAGGCAGGCAAAGAAGTAGGGCACATCCAAGGGGCTCTGCTGTAAAGAAAGAGTATGCACTGGGATCCAGACGACAGAAGAGGAGGGGACATGTGGTGATTATGGACATCATAGAAAAGAAATGCTGTAGAATTCAGATCAGTCCAAAACGCACCATGTAAAACAAAAGAAGAGAGGGCAACTTTGGTAACACTGATTAACATTTAGGATTTTGAAAATTTATGGTGTTTGCAAAACCTGCATTTGAGTTAAGTATTTTGCAGGGGAGATGTTATTGGTTATTTGTAGAACATCATATCTTTCCAGTTACAAAATATAAATTCATTTTGCAGCACAAGATATGATGTCTCATCTTTGAAGTTCTTTTTTCTCTATGTATGCATGGAAAGGGAACATGGTAGAAATAATCCTTTTTTTTTTTATGGGGGTAGATAATAGATGAAATATGGCACAGAACCCCCACTTCAGCACGTGAATGAGACACAGAAGGCAGTTCTCTCACTGAAGAAGGGGCCAAGGGCCTCCCCCTCATCAGCTCAGCCCCTTCTCACACTGCAGAGTCCCTCGGGACCGCCCCAGGACCTGGGGGCTATGTGGCACACTCCTTGAAAATCATTTGGTACTTGTCACTTCCTGATGCCTATTGCAGTAGATGTTGGAGCCACACAGATAAATAAGTACCATTCCCTGCCCTTGGATAACTCAGTCTAGAGGAGAGACAGAAGGTTAAACAACCATCTGGAATGTAGTCAGCTGGGTGCTAAGGTAGAATCTGAGGGAGAAGAATAAACTCTATTAGAGTGGCCGTTATCAAACAAAAGATAAGTGTTGACAAGGATACAGAGAAAAGGGCCCCCTTACACACTGGTAGTGGGAATATAAATGAGTGCAGCCACTATGAAAAACAGTATGGAGGTTCCTCAAAGAATGAAAAATAAAACTACCATCTGATCCAGCAATCCCTGGGTTGCTGGGTATATATATCAGGATCAGGAGATCCTGATTTCAATTGAGATCAGTGAACTCCCTTATTTCTTGCAGCATTATTTACAATGGCCAAAACATGGAAGCAACCTAAATGTGTATTTATAGACGAATGGATGAAGAACTTGTGAAATATATACATGCATGTATATATACATGAAATATATACATGCATGTATATATTTCACAAGTTCTTCATCCATTCGTCTATACACACACACACACCCAATGGAATATTATTAAGCCTTAAAAAGAAAAATTCTGACATTTGTGACAACATGGGTGAACCTGAAGGACATTATGCCAAGTGAAATAAGCCAGGCACAGAAAGATGAATATTACATGATACCACTTATATGAGGAATCTAAAATAGCCAAACTCATAAAAGCAAAGAGTAGAGTGGTGGTTGCTAGAGCTTGGCAGGAAGGGGGAAATGGGAGGTGTTATTCAAAGGGTACAAAGTTTCAGTTATAAAAGATTAATAAGTCCTAGAGCTCTACGATACAGTATAGGGCTTACAGTTAACAATACTGTATTGCATACTTAAAAATGTGTTAAAAGAGTAGACCTTATTTTTAAGTATTCTTATCATAAAATGGTAATAATAAAGAGGATGGGAGGAAACTTTTGGAGGTGAGTAATGTGTTTATGGCATAGATTGTGGTGATGTCACAGTCTCTAAAACTTATCAAGGTGTATACATTAAATAGCTACAGCTTTTTTTTTTTTTTTTTTTTGAGACGGAGTCTCGCTCTGTCGCCCAGGCTGGAGTGCAGTGGCGGGATCTCGGCTCACTGCAAGCTCCGCCTCCCGGGTTCACGCCATTCTCCTGCCTCAGCCTCCCAAGTAGCTGGGACTACAGGCGCCCGCCACTACGCCCGGCTAATTTTTTTGTATTTTTAGTAGAGACGGGGTTTCACCGTTTTAGCCGGGATGGTCTCGATCCAGCTTTTTTAATGTCAATTATACCTCAATAAAGTGGCTTTCTTTAAAGCCAATTATTCCATTTGTTTCTCTGCATTAGACATTTCACATTTTACTTGACAGGGACAGCCCAGAGTTTGCCAAAGCCACATCCAAACCTGAGTCCATGCTGAGATCATACAGCTTTCTATACCATACTTTCATCAAGAGCTTCCATGCCTGGAAGTGCCAAGCAACAGGAACTGGTTGAGAGATGGCAGGTCCAGAATTCTGTTCTTGATGGAATGGGTTTTCTATATTAATATGACGGTCTTTGTTGTTTCGTGGCCAGTCTCATCAGAAGGGCTTTGTGGGGGGCAAATTGTAGTCAGTTTTAAAAATTCAAATAATTCCAGGAGTAAAAAGGTCGGTTCATTTTAGGATATCTATTACGCACCAAGATGTTAAGAGAAAAATATCATCTTAATTGATACTGAAAAATTACTTGATAATATTTACTACCCAATCTGTACAAATTAATAAAAAGCTATGAATAGAAGTAAAATTCCTTAATTTGATAAGGAAAGTCTACTGGAATTCAGTAGTATTCATCATACCTAAAGGTGAAACAAGAGAGCCAATCCTATTTCGAGGAAAAGATAAGGATACTCAATATCACTATGAAGGTTCCAGCCAATGAAATGAGACAAGAAAAATAAATGAGGTATAAAGATTGTAGAAAAAGGATAAAACCCACCTTATTTATATATGACATCATTTCTTACCAACAAAATTATTGCCAACTTATGAAAAACTATTAGACCTAATCATATATTCATGACACTGTCCAGATCAAGTAAACATTTAAAACTCAATAGCTTTCCTATATATAAGCAAGAACCATATAGATCAGGTAGTTTTAACAAGATGCCATTCACTATAGCAAGAAAAATATTAAATATTTAAAATAAATGAAACAATAAATGTACAAGAACCATAGGAAAGAAAAACAAACTTTACTAAAGGGCATAAAATTTAAATAAATGACAAAACAACATATTTCAGTCGAAGACAACTCCTTACTAAAAAGCCATCAATTTCCCCCAAATTAATCCATAAATTCAATTTTTAAACTCCTCAATATTCCAATGGAATTTTCATGAGAATCACCTGATTTTAAAATTCATCTAGAAGAGCAAATGTTCAAGAGTAGCCAAAAGCTTTTGAATAAAGATGAAGTGAAAATATGTCCTACAAGATATGAAAATTTTATAAGCCCACAGCAATTAAAACACGTGGGGAAGGAACAGGGATACCAAAGAGATGGTAATGAAATGAAATAATCTAGAAATAGACCCCTGTTTGTAGTATATGATAAAAGCACATTTAAATAATTGAGGAAACAACTCAATAATCAGCATTAGGATAATAATTATTATTAAAAAATAATGTTAGATCTCTGTGTCACAGTATATACCAAGATAAAAACTATAAATATACCAAAAGAAAATATAGAAAAATAAAATCTATAAAAATATCCCAGAAAAATATTTTTAAATTTTGTGGTGAGGAGAGACTTTCTGACAAGAACTAAACTCTTTTGGCCTCTATAAGCATTAAAAAGGTTTACAAATCTGATTTAATAAGAATTGGGGGCTTCTCTATGTCAAAAGACACTATTAAAGTCAAATGGCAGACTGAGAAATAATATTTCTGAACAAAGTGCTAATAGCTAATATCCTTAATATTTTTTAAAGCTCCTGAAGTTCACTAAGAAAAGATAAAACAACCCAATGTAAAAAAGGCAAAGGATGTATGTAAGTAATTCCCAGGGGAAAAAGTACCAATGATTTTTAAATATATGAAAAGATATTTATTACCCACTAGTAATCAGGACAATTCAGATTGTTACAGTGGGGTACAATTTTACCTGGCAGATTACAGAAATTTAAAATGATGGTAAAATATAATATGGGGTAGGGAGCTGGGGGAGAAGTTTGTGACTCACTAAGTATTGAGTGTATAATGTACCACAGTAAGCAAACCCTTGATTTAGCAAAATAGTCATTAAGAGCACAAAGACCTTTATAAGAATGTCCATTGCAGCCAGTTTTATAAGCTGAAAAAATTAAATGCAACCTAACTATTCAACAATAGAAAAATGATTAAATGTTACATTATTTCCATCCTATGAAACACTCTTTAGCCATTAAAAATAATGGACTAGCTCTATATTTAATAACACAAAATGAAGGTCCTTAAAATGATGGTGGGCTAAAAAAATTATAGTAGGGTCCCATTTTGTATTAAAAAATACATGTGAACTTTTATATAATTTTGTTTATGCCTGTCCGCACATGCACAGAAAGATCTGGAAGGATTCTCACTAATTGTTAAAAGTGGTTATCCTTGTGGAGTGAAGCGAGATTGGGGCCAAGCAGAAGAAGTGAGACCTTCCACTTCTTTTAGGAGGCTTAAATTGTTTTTAATGATCATGCATTGCTTCTGTGATTTAAAAAAAATTAAAATTGTGCTGATGAAAAACATATGGAAAATAAAACTGCCAGAGGTAACACTGCTGCACAGCCTATAAATCAAATCTGAAAAGTGTCTTTGGACCAGATGCCCCCTGCCAGGCCTCCTCTCCATCTGAGGTATTCTGAACTGACAGTCTTCAGAAATTTGACTGTCTGCAAATCCATCCGTGACTTCCTCCTTATGGGTCAGGTGCTCCCATCTGCTTGCTCTTCCTGCTGCTCAGAATTCTTCCTTGAGGGCAGGCCTCGTCCAGGGGCCCCCCAGAACCACTGGACCCTGCAGCCTGGAATGTTGTAACGGGACCAGGGAAAGACAGGAGGAAGTTGCCATCAAGCCTCTGAAGCTCATAGTCATATTTAAACTCTTAGTTAATTGATTCATTTCATCATTTTGAACTCATTGTTTTAATTACATTGAATCTTTTAAAAGAATTTTTCACTTAAAGAGTCCTTGGAGATATCCTTTTGTTCAATCCTAACATTTTATGTGTAAGGAAGGGGAGGCCCAGAGAAGGATGGTTAATAAATTGTATTAGATTTAAGACCCTGAATTTGGGGGCTCAAGCCTCATTAAATTTCTTGATTCTTATGTGAGCCAACTTCTGCCCCTCCTATGCAGAATGTTACTTGAGAATGCTATTGCCACCCTGTAACCCACACACCTCCAGAAGAGCCAACATGATTATGTCTCTTCATGAGGACAAAAGTCATCAACTGGGCTTTCTGTCATGTCTTCATACCAAGTTCTTCTGACCACGGGGCCTTTGCACAGACAGTTCTTTCTTTCTGCAATGCACTTCCCTGCTCTTCACAAGGCTGGCTCTTTCCACACACTCAGGCACCTCCTTGGAGAGGCCTTTCCTGACCACTGCACTCCCTTCCCACCATTCTCCCTTTCAGCAACCTGTTTCCCTCAAAGGAGGCAGAGTCCGTGCCTCTCTGTCCACTATTGTATGCATCCAGCACATGGCACATTAGTGGGTGCTCAAAAAAGAGTTTGAGTGAATGAGCAAATCTGACACCTAGTTTTGAAAGGTTTCTGACCCCTGCTCTTTTTTTTTTTTTTAAATGGAGTCTCACTCTGTTGCTCAGGCTGTAGTGCAGTGGTGCCCTCTCAGCTCACTGCAACCTCCGCCTCCTGGGTTCGAAGGATTCTCCTGCCTTCTGAGTAGCTGGAATTACAGGCATGTACCACCATGCCCAGCTAATTTTTCTATTTTTAGTAGAGACAGAGATTTGCCATGTTGGCCAGGCTGGTCTCGAACCCCCAACCTCAGGTGATCTAGCTGCCTGGGCTTCCCAAAGTGCTGGGGTTATAGGCGTGAGCCACCACACTCGGCCAGGCTCCTGTTCTTATGTGATTATCTCATCATGTAGACCCAGAAATCTCTATTATTATTTAATTTTTCTGTTATTATTATATGGCAGGTGAAAATGATAGTTTTATTATTTTAATTTGTGTTAGATTACAAGGGAGATTTAACATATTTCCATTAGCTTATGTCATTTGCTCAGCTGTCCATTGGCATCTTAATGTTTCACTCAATCATTCCTGGTTAGTGGCCTGATTAAGCAAGGGAGGAACCTATGAGTGGTTATAACCTGAGATACAGCAAAGAGAGGGGACAGGGTCTTACATCGCACTGGGGACAGGTCTTACATAGCACTGGGGACAGGGCCTCAAGGGCTTGGTGCTCTGACACACAGGCACTGAGTCCAGCTGCAGGGCTCAGCTGCAGGCCTAAGGTTCTACCACAGCCTGGGGTGGATGGAGATGGGTCTAATTCCTAGGGAGCCTCCTCAATTTCTTCCTTGTCAGCACTGTATTCTGCGCCTGTCTCTGGTGAGGGGCAAGGATCTTGGCAAATTTTAGCCAATATTTAATGAAAAACTCTACAAAGATTGGGGTTTTTTGTTAGTTTGTTTTTGTTTTTGAGACAGAGTCTTGCTCTGTCGCCCAGGCTGGAGTGCAGTGGCGCGATCTCTGCTCACCGCAGGCTCTGCCTCCCGGGTTCACGCCATTCTTCTGCCTCAGCCTCCCGAGTAGCTGGGATTACAGGCGCCCACCACCACGCCCGGCTAATTTTTGTGTTTTTAGTAGAGACGGGGTTTCACCATGTTAGCCAGAATGGTCTCAATCTCCTGACCTCGTGATCCGCCCACCTTGGCCTCCCAAAGTGCTGGGATTACAGGTGTGAGCCACTGCGCCTGGCCTGAAAAACTCTACAAAGTTTTTAACAGAACTTAAAGTGATTTCTCCCCAAGAAACCAGTTTTCTTAGAGTTAGCACCCTAACATGAAGATTGCTAAGTGACAAGATAGCACATTACATTAATCCTTGATATGGTTTGGCTATGTCCCCACCCAAATCTCAAATTGTAGCTCCCATAATTCCCACATGTCGTGGGAGGGTCCGGGTGGGAGGTAATTGAATCATGGGGACAGGTCTTCCCTTGCTGTTGTGACAGTGAATAAGTTTCATGAGATCTGATGGTTTTATAAAGGGGAATTCCCCTGCACATGCTCTCTTGCCTGCCACCATGTGAGACATGACTTTGCTCCTCCTTCACCTTCCACCATGATGGTGACACCTCCCCAGCCATGTGGAACTGTGAGTCAATTAAACCTCTTTTCCCTTATAAATTACCCAGTCTCAGGCATGTCTTTATTAGCAGCATGAGAACAGACTAATACAACCCTGTATTATATAATTCAGAGCTAAGTATTTATTCAGTTATTATGCATGTATCCAGCAATCACCATGAACCAGGCACTTGGTCCTGGACATACAGGGGCCGGTTGGCTACAACCCCTAGCTACAATGATTTGTATGACAGACCAGGGAGAAGCATGATGGCAGTGAAAACAGCAAGTGTGTTGCAGCCTAAATCCAAGTTTGAATCCAGACTGTGACGTGCAGACACGGCAAGCCTTAGCCTCTGTGAACGAGAAGTACATAGTGATACCATCTTCACGGACTCTGATGTAAAGTGTTTGGCCTAGGGAAGGAATAAAAAGTCCACTTTGGGCCTTCAAATCAGAGAGAAACCAGTGCTATATGAAGTGATCAAGGGTGGAGGAGGTGTAGAGGAGGTAGAATGTGGGCCCAGCCCTGAAGAATGGGTAGAATTTGGAAGGGAAAATGCAGAAGCCAAAGAATGAAGATAATCCTAATCCACTGAAGGGCAGTCAAGGAGCTGGAAGAATGGAAGGGTAGCTGGAATTCTTCTACCCTTGCAGGGAAGGAGCAGGGCCAGAGGGATGGGCACCCGGAGCCAGCCCACAGCAGGTGTCCCTCAAACTGAGTCTTCAAATACTTACTGAACTTTCATTTTGAGGACAGGCTGAGCCCTGTGTGTGGAGAGGAAGAGCAAGGCGGGCGGCACCTAATTTGCACACCGCAACTAACAAAACTAAAACCCCACAGATAACCAGACCCACATTCCTCAGACGCCATTGGACTGACTTCTATTGTTAATGAAGTATTGCCTTGTTGGGGAGGGAAGTGTCTCCTCTAACCCCGAGCAGCTTATCCAGGACATTCTTCTTGCCATGCACAGGAGTTCCATCATCTCCTTGCATATCTGGTCAGATGTTGCTGTCCTGGAGGTGTTTTAGAGCCCCTTATAGACCAACACTCTCAGCAGCTGCCAGGCTGGCCCACCCCTTATTCTAGTTCTCAGAAGAGACAAGCTATTCCAGCCCTGTGTCAGGACAGCAGCCAGGAGGAAATGAGAAGCTCCTGCAGCTTTTTCATCAGTGGGGAAGATTTTGCAGTCATTCAGTCATTCAATGACTACATCATGGTCACCTACTACATACAAGGAGAATCTAAAGGAGAAAAAGCGCAAGACATGAACTCTTCCCTCCAAGAGTTTGTGGCAGTTCATATAATGAGGGAGATAAGTAAAATGCCCTATATGCCCTGAAAGAAATACAGAAACTGTGACGGTAATCCAGAGTGGGGAGACATTACTTCTAGTTGGGGTGGCAGGGAGAGAGGCAGAGAATGCTTTGAGAGGAGAAGGATCTTGAAGGATACACAGGCTTTGGGACATGCAGACATGGTGAGGAATTGCATCTAGAGAATCATAAAGCCTCAGAGATTGTGTAACCCCTTATTTCACATGTGAGGAAACTGAGGTCGAGGCTGGTAAATGGCAGATTTTGAAATGGAGCTTTTTTCTATTCAGCACTCTCCTCACCTGGGGCTGGCCTTCCGAACAGAAGACAGTGTGGGCACCAACCTGGGGTGTGGAAGTTTTGACTGCTCATGGTGGAATGAGGATGCAGCTTGCTTGTAAAATAGGATTTTGTAGTTGATTCGCTGCTAGGGGTAAAAGAAGAGCCAGGGGAACCCAGAGGTCTCCAGCCTGATGACTGGGAGGACACCTGAGCCAGTGAACAGGAGGAGGCAGGGATGGGAGAAAAAAATGGTGTGTTTGGTTTGGGACATGTTGAACTGGAGGTTTTTATAAAATATACAGGGGAAATCTCTAACAGGTTGGGGAAACCTGGTGCTGGAGTTCAGGACAAAAGATATAAATTGTGGATAGTTGGGATTGTCCAAGGGATAGAATGCAGAGAAAAACAGAAATTGACCAGAGAAGGTTGGTGGACAGTGGTGAGCATAGCCACCTTCTAAAGACTGTAGCACCAGCTCCCTTCGGAGAGGAGAACCAGGAACTGGACCCGAGGTAGACAGAGGTTGGAGAATGCAATGCCCTGGAGGTGAAGATGAGAGATTTGGGGAGAAGCAGTCTACATTCTAGCAAAAAGGGTTAACATGCTACCAACGTGACATCTGAGAAAAGAGACAGCTGCATCTAGCAGCTACAACATCTCGCATGACCTTTGCAGGTGCGAGGCAGCCAGAGTGAATGTTATCTAGGAAGTTTGACACTGAAGAGGAGGAGGAGGATTAAGGGGTGCCAGAACTGAGGCAAGACGTGGTTTGTCTTTTCCTTTTTAAGGCTAGGATAATTGGAATATGTTTCCTGGAGGATGGAGAGGAGTTGGCAGAGTGGGAGATAAGAGATGGGAGGGAGAAGGGATGCGTGACAGAGGATAATCCTGAAGGAGGCAGGAGGGGTTAAGGTCAAGGGTGTGGCCTACTGACAGTTGGAGTTAGGGTCTCTGAGCTGAGATGGGAGGGTGGTTCTGAAGGGTGAAACAGAGGGGAGCCTAGAAGTCCCAGCAATCAGGTCAGTCTCACGCAGCACGAAAACCACAAGCTGAGACTCCAACCTTGGGAGAAACCCAAAGTTAAGGGTCAAAAAGGCATCAAGGATGGGACAACTGAAAAACAGCCGTGATGTCCAGAAGCCCACACGAGTTGGTCAGTAGTACCCAGCCCAGAAGACAGGGCTGACTGAAGATGACCAACAAGGATAAAGTTTGCTTTTGAAGACAGATTAGAATAAGCTATAGTCCATTAAAGCCACATACCAAATGCATGATTTCCCTGCTTGTTCTGCACTTTAGAGTCCAAATATTTTAATTAAACCAACATGTGAATATCAGAGATATCAAAAGAACAAGAACATTATTAATTTGGGAACCAAGGCAACTAACCACTTTATTCTTTTAAGTCATTTCCTCATTTAGCTCCAATCTCGGTAACAAACATTTCGATATCTCTACGATAATTTTCCTGGATTTAAAACCACAGTTTTGATTTTTACCCCTTGGGGATTTATTTCTTATCTCTTGGGCCCTTTTGAACAAGGCAGTTATCAGATTAACTTTTAGCTCACTGGCCTGGGGTTGAATAGGTCATTTCCCTCCTGAATCATAGGCTCCTAAGAATTCAAGCCAAAATTCCAGGCTGGCTTTAAGTAATGAATACTGTAATTAACTTCTAACCAAGCAAGCTAACATTTTGCTTGGAGAAAGCATCCTTTTCCCAAACAAATGCCTTTCAAATAAAAACAATTTCATGCCCTCTTTTTCCAGCCTGATACTTTCCAGGGCTTGGGAATAACCACTGTGTTGTGCAAGAGTATATTCTTGGAGCCTCTTAAAATCCAGTTTGCTCTGGTTTTTGGTTCTGCCATAGAAGCTGCACCATCTTTTAGGACTATATTGTTTTTAAGAGAGTTAACTGAGTTCCCTTCCATCTGTACTGTCTGGGAAGTTTTGTGGAAGTCCTGCCAAGCCTGGTTAGATGTGACTTCTGTCTGCCCAACTCACTGGACACAGGACAAAAACAGATCCCAGACCTTAGCAGATTGGGACTGCAGTCTGTGATTGAACGTCATCAATGACCTGCCAAGGCTGGGGAGGAGGGAGAGTAGGAGTGCTCTGACCCAGCAGGGGAGAGTATTTTACACGATGATAATAAAAAGCACCACTTCTAGACAGTTTTATGACTGTTTTTCATCCTCTGTAGACAATGCACCTCCTTATTGCCTGCATCTGGGACCTACCACGCCCAGTGCCTGGCCAAGGGCTATCGGCCTTGTCTTTAGCCCAACCCATGAAATAAGTGAAATGAAGACCTGTAGTAGGGTCAGTAATGGGAGTTTGAATGAGACAGTCTTGAGAAAATACCAAACGTGCAGCCAGAAAAACAAACTATATAGAAACTAACTGAAAGGGTATATCATTTAAGTGTCAGCTGTGAGATTTTTTTTCAGTCCTAGGGCAAAGCCATGTCAGGAACCAAAAGGAGAATAAGGCATCACATATATATATGCAGCAAGGAATTCATCTTGAGCTGGGTTAGGAATTTTTGCCAAACGGATTTTCATTCTGACCTGGAGTGTCTTTTGGTGTTTTGTTTAGTTTGGTTTGGTTTGGTTTTTGGCTGAGCCATGCATGTGGCAGTCTTTCTCTGAGGAAGTTTTTAAGTCACCACCTAATTTCTGTCAGCACTTAAAGTGAGGGGCAAATAGCGTTGCCCTGAAACCTGGCCTATTTTCTCAGCACTGTGGCAAAGACCCCTGTCCTGCTGTTATGGTGCTGCACACAGCTGTGCACAGAGCGTGGGTGGCCCTGGAACACTGCCACACGAAGCAGCGCTAAGCCGAGGTTTCCCTGCTGTGAGGTCCCGTCCCTGGACTACCGTGGACTGTGCAGTTACGTGGGAGGTAGAGTCGCGTGGTGTACAGATCACAAAATGGATTACATCCCCTACTCTGCTACATACTAACCATGTGGTTTGGGGGCACGCCTATTCTTTGCTCTAAAACTAGCTTTCTCACCTGGAAAACGGGATTGGAATAAGGACAGCCAGGGGGAGGAGTAATTAAAATAAGGTGTGTGAATTTACTCTGCGAACTATAAAATGCTACAGGGATGTAAGGGTGAATTGCCTACAGGTTCTGCTGATTTGGTTTTCTGGTTGTCGTTAGGCCTTAGCCAGTAATTAGTGACCAAATGTAAGATGGGGGAAAAAAGGGTTTAGCAGCAGCACCTGTGTGAAAAAAAATCAAAGCGTTTTTATCATGTAGGTGGGGTTCCATGGAAAGCTGAGCTGCAGCAATTGAAGTGGACTGTGGAGAAGAAGGGGCATCACGGTTCTGCTCTCCTGTGCCATGATCAGACCCGTCCTAGTTATTACCTTCCAGGGGGGCTCCTCACTGGTCTATAGATGACGTAGATCAGCCGGATAACATGTGGCAGGAGGAGGCATCTAGGAAGCACCAGGACCTTAACTGGAAACGCTGGGAAGAAAGTGAAGCTGTCTTCGTATTTTCTTAAGGGTCTTATGTAGAAGTTGGATTTGACTTGTTATCCCAGCTTTCCAGGGAAGAGTAAGAGCACTGGGTGGACACATGCAGGGTGTAGATATTAGCTTATCTAAGGCATGGTTCCCAAACTTTGCTACAAATCAGAATCACCAGGAAACTTTCAAATCTCCCATTGCCCAGGCCATACCTGAACCCATTAAATCAGAATTTCTGGGAGTGAGGCCCAGGCATCAGTTTAAAAAAAAAAACTTTTCAGGTGCTTGCCATGGGCAGCCAAGTTTGAGAAGCAGTGATGCATGCAGTAGTAAAAGCATCAGGACTAGTCAAGACGGGGTGAGCGGCTAGGGATGTGGGGAATCCCCTGCCTCTGAAGCTGCTCAGATCCAGGCTGGATGTCACTTGGTGATGATGAATTCAAGCCTTCCGCATAGAGGTAGACTAAGATAGATAAACTTCAAGCTCTTTCCCATCCTGAGGGGGCTGAGTCAATGCTCCAAAGTGGAAGTTTTCCAGTTTATTTAATTCCAAGGAACTATTTGTTCAAATAACATAAAATATTTAAAACAAAGCAACAGGGAGGTGCCCCCCTCCATTCCATTCCACCCTCTGTTCCAGGATGACCTCTGAGGACACTTTGTAGAAATCTGGAAACTTAATGAAAATCTCTTGGACTCCAAGGAACACAGTTTTAAAAACCACCAATTTAAGGGAAGGGAAATAGGATTTCCACAGAAATTATTTTCTTACTCAGCCATCTGTAGTTGGAATCTTGATTATTTTGATGAATAGAAGTAGCAAATCCCAAATGGAGGAGGGCCAAGATAAATGACCATGGACCTAATCTGTTTATTAGTTGGGAACATGAACAGCATCAGCCAGAATGTGGTTGACCCAGTGCCTCAGAAACTAGACCCAGGTCAATTTTGGCTTATTATCTTGGTGCCACATAGAGGATGTAAGACCCACCTCATCTGGCTCATACGGTATCTTCAAGGGGAAAAATACTTTATTATTATTTGTGAAAGTTCCCAAGCTCTGCATTCACAAGTTGAGTGTTAAGCCTGGATTGAGCTCTTTCCTTATGACCTGCAGTGAGCAGAGCAGGTCTTGAACCTAGGTATTCTCAGTGCCAATATATTTTTACAATTTCATGGTACGTTCTGTTCCACACAGACTCTAGTTCTGTATCAAAGCTGTAACTTACAAATGAGGAACAAAATGCAGCCTGGTACAGGGGAAAGAAGTAGCATATAGGTTTGAGTCCTGGTTCAACTCTTCACCAGCTGTGTCAGAGCAGACAAGTATCTAACTTAGTTTGCTTGCCTCTTAAATGGAATTCATTATATCTGTTTACCTATTTACCAAGATTATTGTGAGGTTAAAAGAAAAAGCCAAAGTCATATCCTCTTAAGTTCTATAAAATATGCATGATTATTGAAAGCAAAATATATATATGTATATATATATACATATATATATATAACATTGGGAGAATTTCAATATATGTAGATGAAATACACATGGCAAATATAACATAAATAGGGGAGACTTGAAGGACCTTTATTTTGTGTTTGTTTGGTTTCAGATTTTTTTTGAAAATAGGCTTTATTTTTTACATCAGTTTTAGGTTCACGGAAAAACCGAAGGTACAGAAAATTCCCCTATATTCCTAGCCTCCACACATGCAGAGCTTTTCCCATTGTTGCTTTTAAAATTTCTACATTTTGTTTGAAATGGTAAATATTAACTCAAAGTAGACTATGACAAATTAGGTTTGTATGTTTTAACACCTGGACAACAACTAAAAAATAGTTCAAAGAGATATGACCAACATGCAAATAGATAAATTATACAGAATACTGAAAATTATGCAAGTACAAAAAAAGAAAGGAAAAAGAACAGAGGAATAAAAAAGGTGACAAAGAAGAGCAATAAAATAGAGCGAAATCTAGTCATGACTCGTTGTAAATACAGATGGTCAGATTAGATTGAAAAAGAAAGACCCAGTGATATGCTGTCTATAAGAAATCCACTCTAAAGGTAATGATATATATAAATAGATTTAAAGGAAACACATTTTTGAAAAGATATTTCGGGGAAATACTAATCAAAAGCAGGAGTGGCTATATTAATATTACACAAAGTAGACTTCAAAACAAGGAAACATTACCAAGAATGAAGAGGCAGATTACATGATAATAAAGGGGAAATTAACCAAGAAAACATAACAGCCATAAAGGTATATGCATCTAAACAGCAAAACTCTAAAACACATGAAGCAAAAACTGATAGCGTTGAAAGGAGACATAGACAGATCCCCAACAATGCTTGGACACTTTAGTCTTCTTCTTAAAATAATTGATAGAACAAGTAGAGAACTTGACCTAATTGACATTTATACAACACTCCAACCAACAGCAGCAGAACACATATTCTTTTCAAGTGTACATGGAACAGTCACTAAAATAAACTATATTCTGGGCCATAAAACAGACTTTAAAATTTTTAATATAGCTATAATATAAACATCGCTTTTCTCATCATAATGGAATTTAACTGGAAATCAGTAACAGAAAGAGATCTAGAAATTTCCCAAATATTAAAAAATAACATAGGAATGAAACAACACACTTCTAAACAATCACTGAATTAAAGTGGAATTCTCACATGAACTTAGAAAATATTTTCAGCTGAATGAAAGTGAAAGTACAACATGTCAAAATGTGTGGGATGCAGCTAAAGCAGTGCTTAGCAGAAATCTGTGGCATTAAATGCTTATCCTGGAAAAGAAGAAAGAGCTCAAATCAATAATGTGATGTTCAACCTTGAGAAACTAGGAAAAGAAGAGCAAGTTAATCCCAAATCATATTTCTTTGGATTTTGCTTTGCAGAAGGGAGAATTGCAGAAGGGAGGAAACAATAAAAACAAGAGCAGAAATCAGTGAAATTTAAGACAGAAAAACAATAGAGAAAATTAAGAAACAAAATACTTGTTCTTTGAAAATATCAATACAATTGATAAGCCTCTATTCACAGCCCTTTACCCTAGTACAACCCAACTATTCCTCAACTAAGGAATGAATGACCTAGGGTACATCGATGAAATGGAATACTACTCCAGCAATAAAAAGAATAAACCACTGATACACACAACATGGATTAATCTCAAATGCATTATGCTAAGTGGAGGAAGCCAGACTCAAAAGACTACATACCCTATGCTTCCGTTTGTTATGACATTCTGGAAAAGGAAAACCCATAGGTGTGGAGAACAGAGCAGTGGTTACCAGGGACGAACGACTGGGGAAGGGGAATTTTTCAAGGAGGTGAAACTAATAAATTTTAAAACATCAAGTTTACATCTGTAAAAGTTGAATTAATTGTTGAATCAACATACTGCTATGATAATTGTTAATATTATGATCAATAACGAGGTAGCCCAGGCTCCTCAAGCCAAGGAAACCTGGGAAGTTTAGTTTAAAAGGCTTTTGGGTAATGGTAGAAAACAGTGACTGGAATCGTCTTAATCCAATATGCCATCATTGTAATCTTAGAACCCCATATGCTCTGGTCCCTCCCATTGGGCAGGACAGCTACCACAGTGTCCTTGCCAAGCATTAAATTCCCCCTGTTCCAGGGCTGTGTGGCTACCCTCTGGCCTTTGGGAACTGCCCTCAGGAACTGTCTTGGTCCTTCCTGCTGTTTTCCTAATGAGCTCCTAGTATCCTCTGCAGGGCCCCAGAGGCTGTTGTATGGAGGTCACTGTGCCCACATGGCCCTCCGCCCACACCTATGTTGCTGATTCTTTCAGCAGCTGTTGCCCCTTGGGGTTCTGAAAAAGAGATATAGTGGGGTTTACACAATCTTACAGCATCTTACGTTTTATTGATGTCATGCTCGAATGTCTTCCATCTAGCTTGAAAATAGATTTATATAAAGCTTCATTGTGATATTTCACAATCCCCTCCCATCGCCATGACAACCAGGGTATCATTAGGGAGGAATCAGATGACTACTGTGAGCTTTGCCACCAAATCGGACATCAAAGTAGAATTTAGATATTAAGTCTCTCATCCTGCCTCTACCCCAGATAAATTCATTTCCAACTTCTACCAAGTTACAGGGGTCATTTGAGCCATCTTAAATAATAGATTAGAAATGATTAAGATAGTACACTAAAGGGAAAGCATTGATGTTTTAACAGGCCTAACTAGTTAAAAGGATTTGTGGATGGATGTGAAACCTAAAAAAAATTGTACTGGACAATGTTTCAGAACCTGTGAGAAGCTGACTGTCCAGTTGCCCCCACACCTACTATCTTATTTCCTTGTTCCAATGTGGAGTAGAAGGTGAGCCATAGAACAAGACAAGCAGATATGGGGTCAAGTCATAGCTCCAATAGTTACTTACTGTGTGACTTTGGACAAAGTACAGGTTGGTGCAATAGTTATTGTGGTTTTTGACATTATTTTTAATTGCAAAAACCGTGATTACTTTTGCACCAACCTTAATACTTAACCTTCCTGAACCTATTCTTCTCATCCACAAAACCCTGTCCCAGAGGATTATGAGATGAAGATAGTTTATATAAGCACTGAAATGTAAGCTTTATGAGGGCAAAGATGTGCGGTGGGTGTTGTGTGTTGGGGGGGGAGGGGTTCTGTTTTGCTCACTGCTGCTATCCCCAGCACCTAAAACAGTGCCTGACACATAGTAGGTGCTAAACTACTCTTTGTTGAATGGCGGAAAATGCCTGGCAGGGTGGTGCAGGCATGGGGTGGACTTTTAGGATAGGTTAGGATAGGTTAATGGATAAGCTTTAGGAGTGTCTATTGTACATGACTTCTAAAATTTAAAAGCAGAATTAATAAAATTAAATATAGCTAAAAGGATGCTGAAGTTTTGCCTTGGCATTTTCTTTTCTTAAGATAATGCTGGCCAGGAGCAGTGGTTCACTCCTGTAATCCCAATACTTTGGGAGGCCGAGTGGGGGTGGATCACTTGAGATCAGGAGTTCGAGACCAGCCTGACCAACATGGTGAAACCCTGTCTCTCCTAAAAATATAAAATTAGCCGAGCGTGGTGACGCATGCCTGTAATCCTAGCTACTTGGGAGGCTGAGGCAGGAGAATCGCTTGTGGAGGTTGCAGTGAGCCAAGATCATGCCATTGCACTCCAGCCTGGGCAACAAAACCGCTGCAACACACAATTTACCCACATAACAATCCTGCACGTGTACCCCCAATCCTAAAATAAATAGATGAAAACTAAATAAATACAAATAAAAATAATGTCTTAAATTGTTACTGTGACAGAAATGTCTCCTACCTGTTCAACTAGTGAGTGGGTGGACAAGCTGCCATCATTAGATACATAACCCTTATAACTCCAGAGACATAAGTGGGTCAGTCTTGCAGGAGTATGGCATGCGAGAATCACAACTCGACACTCAAAATAATTAAACAGGAATTTGTTTATGTACATCTGTTCCCAAAGGACATTAAAATTGATATTCAGTTATCGCTTGGAGTTCTAATACTCAAAAACACCAAAGTTTGGGTTCATTTGTGTCTCTACAAAACCCTTGTATTAAATTAGCATCTATGTACATCCTGTGTTTTTTAGGTTAACTACTTCTGCCATTAGCAGTCCGTTTGGTAGTCAGGAATGAATTCCTGCCATCATCTTGGAACCCATGGCGACAGTGCCTTGTTGGTTACAACTCTGAATGGATCATTTGAAATTCCCCTCACAATCCTGCATCTTTTCATTGGATTCAAGCTTATACTTCAAATTTCCTATGTTTAGTCCTAACTTTTGGAATTTTTGTTTAATTACCCGAATTCCCAGCATTGAATGGGCTTTGGATTCTACAGTGCTTAGAACAGAAATGGAATTTAGTTGTGTGTTTATATTTTTTTTAATGAGACCAGGTAATTAGAACAGAATGTGGAAGCCACTGTGTGTGTATGTGTTTGTGTGTGTGTTGTAAAATCAAAGAAAGAACTATCCTATGTTGGTTCATAGTATAGTAAAATTTAAAACATCAGCTGTCCATGACATTGAGAACAACCCTTCCACTTATTCCCCGACGTCATCGCAATTTAGTCGCAGATTTGGGGCTCAAAATTTGGAATTAGGCTCTGGGTTTTTTTTTTTTTTCCTCTATTTAGGATAGGTCTATTTAACACTGGCTTCAAATATTGGTGTTTTAGTCTTTTGCAAGCCAACCAAAACACCCACCACTCCACAACCACCAAACATGCCAACCCTGAAGCAAGCACACACATGAATTAGATAATAGGGATGTGTATTAGTTACCTGTGGCTGCCATAACAAGATACCACAAACTGGGTGGATTAAAACAACAGAAATTCATTCTCTCACAGTTCTGGAGACCAGAATTCTGAAATCAAGGTGTCAGCAGGATTGGTTCCTTCCTGAGGGCTTAGAGCAAGAATCTGTTCCGTGACCCTCTATCAGCTTCCAGTGCTTGCTGGCAATCCTTGGCCTTCCTTGGCTTGTGGCTTCCTAACTCCAGTTCCAGCCTTTGTTTTCACATGGCATTCTCACTGTGTGTCTGTGTCTGCCTGTCCAAATTGCCTTCTTTTCTAAGGACACCAGTCATACTGGATTTAGGGCCCACCCTAATGCAGCATGAGCTCATCTAAATAACATCTTCAAAGATCCTATTTCTAAATAAGGTAACATTTACAGGTTCCAGGTGGATATGAATTTTGGGAGGACACTATTCAACCCAGTATAGGATATGTTTGGCCATGCAATTACCACATAAATGAAAGAAGTAAATCCACACTACAGTGCAATCGTGCTGTAGGATTGCACTGTAGTACTACGCTAGAATCGCACTGGAGTATTGATTTAATTCTTTTTGTTCATAGAGCACTTTCCTGTTTGTTTTATAGAGTGTGGGGTGTGTGTGTGTGTGTGTGTTGGTTTTTGTTTTTTTTTTTGTAGTCTAATGACCAGTGCTTTAGATCATAGCTGACTGTACTTGTGGGGTGATGCCAGGCCAGCGAGTGGGCTGTTATCCTGCCCAGCCACGGTGCACACCTGACCGCACACTATCATCCTCCTACCCGACTTCCAGGGCCTTTTTCCCTCAAACCAAGCAGGTCTCACTTCTTGGGGCATCCCCCCTTGCAGTATATACAGGATGCTTCTTTCCTCATGTGTTCTGGTCACTCACATAGAATCCTGGACTTTCCTCATGTAGAATCCTAATATTTAACTCCATGAGGTCACCAAAGATGTTTCTCCATGGGAACTTCTGGGTCAGACCTGACCAGATGACCAAGAGCCATAAAAGCTGAATTCTGACCCCACCTCGGATATCTTATTTTTTAGACAACTCCAGTTTTCCCTCTCTGTGCCAGGAGGAAGATGCATTCTGGGGCACATGTTGCTGCCTTTTGCATACATATGTGAGCCCTGATAAGATACTTTTCCTCTTCCTAGTGATGGGTTTCTGTTTTTGAAAATGGGCCTTCTTGGCTTCTGGTGTTTTGTAACAAATACCTAATGAGTCATCACTAAACACTAGCTCTTTACTGACACTGTGGACTATAACAAAGAAATTTAAAACCAGGCTCCAGAGGCCTAGGGGATTGGCTAAGTAAACTGAGGTAGGTGAATGCCATGGAATTCTATATGGCAGTTAGAAAGCAGTTATCTAGATGGACATTTCAGCAACAAAGACAGTGTAAAAAGCAAAGGGAAAACCCAGTAACATTTATGTAAATTACATGTCTGTATCACATTAGTGTAGGTGCTTGTTGGGATAGCCAGGGACTGATGGTGGTGGAATCTGGCATAAAGGGAAAAATAAGACAAGACAGGTGGACCTTATACAACAAAATTGCCACAGGCTAAAGAGTCTGATTAATTCACCTTTCTGCTCCTGAGGTTAAAAAAAAATCTTGAGAAACTTAAATATGGCATTTAGCATAGCAAAAAAAAAAAAAAATCACAAAAGCAATTGATTAAACATCAAAGAACAGGGCATAGACACTAAGATTAGGGATGAGAGTTAGAAGCAGGAGCTAGCAGCACGGGAGACAGAGGAGCGGTAATGGGGCCATTAAGTGACTGGCCCTTGAACAAGACCCCCCACCACCATGAGAGGGGGCTGCCAGCATTACTTGGCAATATCTATTGAGTGTCTGTTGGTCAGGTACTAAATGAGACAGGGCTCCTGCCCTGTGAAAAACTTACAGCAGGCTGGGCGCAGTGGCTTATGCCTGTAATCCCAGCATTTTGAGAGGCCAAGGTGGGAGGATCACTTGAGCCCAGGAGTTTGAGACCAGCCTGGGTAACAAAGCAAGTCCCTTTCTCTACAAAAAAATTAAAAATTAACTGGGCATGGTGGTGCACACCTGTAGTCTCAGCTACTCGGGAGGCTAAGGTAGGAGAATTGCTTGAGCCTGGGAAGTTGAGGCTACAGTGAGCCATGATCATGCCATTGCATGCCAGCCTGGGCAACAGAGCGAGACCCTGTCTCAAAAAAAAAAAAAAAAAGATTGCAAAAACTGGAATCTGAGTAATGGGAGAACAATTTCTTTTTTTAGAGGAGGGAATTAGGAAGCAACTACTTTGGGATGAGAAAGATATCAGGTTTCTCTTCTAGATAAATTGGGCTACAATGAGACCCATTGACAAAATTAGCCTCCTGGAATTCCTTCTGAAGGGCAGACATAGTCCTTCCCTGCTCGTAGCAAGTGGACAGCTCAGCCTGAAGAGGGGAGCGTGGCCTGAGATGGCCACAGTTGCAGGGCTGGTTCTGTCCATGGGCTGGGAGAGGCATGGTAGGTACGTGAGAACTGTTTGTGTCATGAATGAACTTTGGGTATCACATGCTACCCATCTTCCTATTTAGCTGCCAGCGTAGGCTCCTAAAACCAGATTTCAGTTGTTGTATCCTGATCAAAAATCTTTTAGGCATCCCAGTGCCCACAATCAGCCGTCACAGTCTGCCTGATGTCTTCCATCCAAACTCATCTCCAGGGGCTCCCATCTATGCACGCTCCCAGCGCCCCACAACTTCCCTTCTCCATCCTTCTAAGGTCGTGCCCCCTCCTGCCTCTGTCTTTGTCCATGCCATTCTTCAAGACCCCCAATGCCCTTCCTTCATCCTCTGTCCGGTGACCCACTCCTCCCTGCAAATCTCTGCTCAAATGCCACCCGCTCTCTGAGAGCCTCTGCATCTCGTGGAAATTTTACCAGCCTCTCTGGTCACGTTGTATTGGCATGTGTCTGACTGCTCCATGGACTCAGCTCCCAAAGTCATGAGCTGTACCTTTACAACCCCCAATACTTTTTTGACCAGTTTATTTTCTTATTATACCATAGGTGGGATCAATTTCATACAACATTATTTGAGGCTTAAACATACATAAACTTTCTTTAAAGTTAAACCACACAAACTTTCTTTAAAGTTAGTATTCAAAGGAAATTTGGAGTCAGAATAAATCAAACCTTCTAACATTTAAAGAATGAGAATTAGACATACTTTGCTATAATTTAGCAATGAAATAAGAACAAAGCCTTGGCACTTCCCTTCGTTCAAACCCCTTACAACCTGTGATTAGAGTGCCAAAGAGAAAGCCAGCCTTCTGATTTTCAGTCCAAATGTGTTACATCATGTTTTAGAAACTCACACAGGTTTGAGTCCATCCAAACTCAAAATGCCAAAGTGAATCTGACTGAAAAAAAATTACTGTGTGATATCTGCGTATATTTGTTTAACAGAAACCATAATTTGGACATTACATCAAACTAGACTTGGTCTACCTAAGGAGAAATGTTTGCTTTTCTTTTAACAGAATTTTAATGCATTACCGCATGTGTTTGCCATTTTGGTCAGAAGGAAAGAAGGACATTTTGGAGATTAGAATTCTTAAACAGGAATATCCAGATGGAAGCAGAACTCCTAGGCAGTCTATGGGTACCTTCTCAGAACAGTGTTTTAAACTCATAAAATAAAATACAGAAGAGTACAAAGGAAACCAATTCTCTTGAAATACAATTATCAAAACATGTATTTTTTGAGACAAGGTCTCACTCCGTCTCCCGGGCTGGAGTACGGTGGCACGATCTCAGCTCACTGCAGCCTCAACTCCCTAGGCTCAAGCAATCCTCCCACCTCAGCCTCCCAAGTAGCTGGGACTACAGGTGTGTACCACCACACTTGGCTATTTTGTTAATTCTTTGTAGGGATGGGGTTTCTCCATGTTGCCCAGGTTGGTCTCAAACTCCTGCTCGCAAACGATCTGCCTGCCTCGGCCTCGCAAAGTGCTGGGATTACAGGCATGAGCCACTGCGTTCGGCCATCAAAATACTCTTTAACAAACAAATTTGCTGTGTAATAACATGTGCTTTTTTTTTTTTTCTTTTTTTTTTTTTTTTGAGACACGGTCCCACTCTGTTTGAGACAGGGTCCCACTCTCAGGCTGGAGCGCAGTGGTACAATTACGGCTCACTGCAGCTTTAACCTCCTGGACTCAAGGGATCCTCTCGCCTCAGCCTCTTAAGTAGCTGGGACCACAAGTGTATACCACCACTCCTGGCTAATTTTTTTACTTTAGATAGAGACAAGGTCTCCCTATGTTGCCCAGGCTGGTCTTGAACTCCTGGGCTAAAAGGATCCGCCCACCTAGGCCTCCCAAAGTGCTGGGATTACTGGCATGAGCCACTGTGCCCAGCCATATGCTTCTTTAACATTAAAATAGGAGAACTCCTAGAAGATCTAATAATTATCATAATTTCAAAATAGTTATGAGTTCTTAAATAATATTTCAAAATATCAGTAACTTCTGTAAAGTCCCATGAATATCTATATGATTTCCGTTGGTGATAGAGTCACAGTCCTGCATACTATTATGGGTGTTACCACATTCATAATAAAACGAAATGCTAAATTTCAGTTGGAGGTTAGTGAAAAGAAGGATGGAATTCACAGAACCCACCAAGGCAGTACAGGAAGAGTTATATTTCATTTTCAGGGTATCCACATTAGCTAACACATTCTGAGACCCATTTGGGTTCATGCCCATGTGTGGGATTCCATGGAAGCTCATATTTTAGACCAGAAATGGCAAAGAAGCCAGGCTTCTGACCTCCAGCTGGCATTGTACTGGTGGCCAATGATGTCTGACACTTCAGTATTCGGTTTGTTCGGCTACTTACCGTAGCTTCCAAGAACTGCTGAAGCATTGCAAAGCTTGCGATTTGTTGCTAGGAGAAACTTTTTTTTCTTTTTAAGCTAACCTATCTCCCAGCCAGAAACTAGGAAGAACTTCACCTTCATTTCTCAAAGAAGGAAACAAACATTTAGATCATAGTCATGTGTCTCCTGTAAGGAAACCAGCTTCTTTATTTTGGTTGTAGGAACAAGTGGTTGGGTCATCATCACAATGGGCATTAAGATTATGGGATTATGGCCAGGCATGGTGGCTCACACCTGTAATCCCAGCACTTTGGGAGGCCGAGGCAGGCAGATCACTTGAGATCAGGAGTTTGAGACTAGCCTGGCCAACATGGTGAAACCCTGTCTCTATTAAAAAATACAAAAAAAGACCAGGTGCGGTGGCTCACCCCTGTGCCTGTAATCCCAGCACTTTGGGAGGCCGAGGCAGGCAGATCACAAGGTCAAGAGATCGAGACCATCCTGGCCAACATGGTGAAACCCTGTTTCTACTAAAAATACAAAAATTAGCTGGGCATGGTGACGCCTATAGTCCAGCTTCTGCTACTGGGGAGGCTGAGACAGGAGAATCACTTGAACCTGGGAGGCGGAGGTTGCAGTGAGCTGAGATTGTGCCACTGCACTCCAGCCTAGTGACAGAGCGAGATTCTGTCTTAAAAAAAAAAAAAATTAGCTGGGTATGGTGGCACATGCCTGTAATCCCAGCTACTTAAGGGGCTGAGGCAAGAGAATCATTTGAACCCAGGAGACAGAGGTTGCAGTGAGCTGAGATTGTGCCACTGCACTCCAACCTGAGTAACAGAGTGAGACCCTGTCTCAAAAAAAAAACCTAAATAAATAAAAGATTATGGGATTAAAGTATATGATAATCAGGGCTTGCATATATAAGCTCTTGTTATATGAATCTTGGAGAATGGCATTGTTGGTACCCACAGTTTAGGCCAAAAATATTTGCCCAGCACCAAGACTGGAATAAGGGGCCAGGCATGATGGCTCACACCTGTAATCCCAGCACTTGGGGAGGCCAAGGAAGGAGGATTCCTTGAGCCCAGGAGTTCGAGGTTACAGTGAGCTATAATGGTGCCACTGCACTCCAGCCTGGGTGACAGAGTGAGTCCCTGTCTCAAAAAAAAAAAAGGAATAAAACCCAAATGTCAAATGAGAGTGAAGGTATCTTTATATTGACATAGCCATGAGGTTGCCCTTCAAACAGGCTTTGTTAAAGCTTGACCTTCAGTGAACACAGCGTCTAGCAAAAGCCAGGAGCCACCTGCACCTTTTTGTGAGGTAGTTCTGGATGCCATTCCTAGCCCTGGAACTGCTTGCAGGCATATAAATTGTAGCCGCAGCTGTTTTTGATATGCAAGGCCAGATGGGGGCTAGTTTTTGAGCTGTTTCAGAAGCCAATTCATGGACCTATGGAATCAGGACCACATTTGCTAATAATCTGTTGTGGCATTTTAAAAATTATTTGCTATTGTATGATTCAAGATTAACCCAAACCTTTAGAGAGAATGAGTGAGTAATAGTAATAGATGGTAAAAAGATTCAAGGTACCAATTTTTAATCTCATAGGGAGGTCCTTGCAGATTCCTCCTGTGCTGTCTTTCAAATGGTTCTTTAATGGACTTTTTAGTTACCAGATGATAACCTCTTCTACGATATTCCCATTAAAAGCAATAAAATCGTGGCCAGAACCTACCTCAATTCTGCATTTTTGATGTGTGAATGGGATCGTAAGAAGAAGTTATAAAAAAGAGAAAATATCTTTCACAAGTATTTCTGCTTGTACCATGTCCGTTACATTGATTCAAAATGTTTAAACTTTAAAGAAGGTAATACATGCATATGGTAAAACAAATTGTAAAGGGCAGTAAAGAGATATCAAATGAGAAATAAATGTCTCCCTTCTTATCTCCCATCTCAACATAAACCCCAGTTCCTGTCCCAAATGTTAATAGTTTTGTGACTATCCTTCTCTAAACATTTTATGTATATATTTTCTGTCTATGCTTTTATTTAAAAGTGTGCACAAACGGGATTATACCAAACACACTGTTCTGAATTTTTCTTTCATTCACAAATGTATAATGGAATTCTTTCCATACCCACACACACCGACCTAGCTCATTCTTTTTCGAGTCACTTGGTATTCCATTGTGTGGATGGCCAGTGTTAGAACCATCTTAAGCAACGTTCTATGGATGGACATTTAGGCTAGTTTTTTTTTTCTCTATTTAAAAAAAAATGGGCAGATAATATCCTTGTTAGAAACATTTTTGTATACTCATAGAAGTATATCTCTCAAGTAGTTTCCTAGAAGTAGAGTTTTTGGGTCAGGGTGTATGGGCATTTCAAGTTTTAGCCATGTAATCAAATTGCCCTCCAATATGGCTGAGTCTGTTTACATTCCTACCAGCAATGCCATCAATACTTCCTTGCTTACCCACCTGGCAATACTTGCAATATTAAATTTTTTAAAATGTTTGCTAATTTGGATGGTCAGGATGATCCCATTGTGGCTTTGATTTTCATTTCTTGAATTATAAGTAAGGCAGAGCCTCTTTTCATTTGCTTATGGAGTACTTGTACTTGGTTTTCTGTGAATTGCCTATTTATTATTCTTTGCTTTTCTTTTGAGCTCTTTGCCCTTGTCTACTGTGTAAACATTCAATTCTTACTATGTGGTGAGCACTATGCTAGACTCTCAAACTGTAATGGAGATGAAATCTTTTGGAGCTGGCAGTGTACTAGGAGACAAACATTGATCAAATAATTCTCTCAGTAAGTGTATGGACAAACTGAATTAAACTGAATTAAATGCCTTGAAGGAAAGTTTCTTGCATCCCTTAGAGCATGGCAGGGAAGAGAGGGGGCTGGACTAGGGGTGGGAGAAGACTGCCCTGGAGAAATTGACATCTAAAGAATGAATAGGGCCAGGCACAGTGGCTCACACCTGTAATCCCAGCACTTTGGGAGGCCAAGGCAGGAGGATCGCTTGAGCTTAAGAATTCAAGACCCAGCCTGGGCAACATGGTGAAACCCCCATCTCTACAAAACATACAAAAATTAACCGATTGTGGTGGTGCGCACCTGTGGGAAGCTGAGGTGGGAACATTGCTTGAGCCTGGGAGGAGGAGGTTGCAGTGAGCAGTAAGCCATGATTGTGCCACTGCACTGCAGCCTGGGAAACAGGAGTAAAACCTTGTCTTTATTTAAAAAAAAAAAAAAAAAAAAATGAATAGAACTTGGAGTTGAGGGAGGAGCATTTCTGGAAGAAGGGACAGCACCGTGGAGGGAAGATGATGTTGTAGATGGGCTAAAAGAAGGCGCAGGAGCAGAGCACAGAGAGAAGAACAGTGATGCAAGATAAGGCTGGGCTGCAGCATCTGGGGGAGGAGGCCTCTATGATGGGATATATATATATATATATATATTTTTTTTTTCCCCCCAAGATGGAATTTTGCTCTGTCACCCAGGCTGGAGTGCAGTGGCGTGGTCTCGGCTCACTGCAAGCTCCGCCTCCTGGGTTCACGCCATTCTCCTGCCTCAGCCTCCCAAGTAGCTGGGACTACAGGTGCCCACCACCACGCCCAGCTAATTTTTTGTATTTTTAGTAGAGACGGGGTTTCACCATGTTGGCCAGGATGGTCTTGATCTCCTGACCTCGTGATCCGCCAGCCTCAGCCTCCCAAAGTGCTGGGATTACAGGCGTGAGGCACTACGCCCAGTCTTTTTTGCCTAGAGCAATAGAAAGCCATTGAAGAATTTTGAGCCATCGTTGGTAATCTAATCTACATTCTGAAAATACTGTTCTAGCTGAACAGAAGAGAAACAGGAAGATCAATTAGAAGATATTTTATTAGTCCAGATGAGATCTCATGGTAGCCTGGCCCTGGATTATGACAGTGGACATGAAGAGAGGCGGAGGAGGTTAAATAAGATTTGATGACGGGTTAGATTTGGGGGGATAGGAAGAGAGGAGGTATCCAGGATGATTCCTGGGTTTCTGATTACATGGATGGTGGTACCATTTACTGAGATAAGAAACACTGAGGCCGGGGTTGGGTTCAGCCTTAGACAAGACATCTGACTAAAGCTGGCAAGGAGGTAATTAAATAAGATTTGATGACGGGTTAGATTTGGGGGGATAGGAAGAGAGGAGGTATCCAGGATGATTCCTGGGTTTCTGATTACATGGATGGTGATACCATTTACTGAGATAAGAAACACTGAGGCCGGGGTTGGGTTCAGCCTTAGACAAGACATCTGACTAAAGCTGGCAAGGAGGTAATTAAATAAGATTTGATGACGGGTTAGATTTGGGGGGATAGGAAGAGAGGAGGTATCCAGGATGATTCCTGGGTTTCTGATTACATGGATGGTGGTACCATTTACTGAGATAAGAAACACTGAGGCCGGGGTTGGGTTCAGCCTTAGACAAGACATCTGACTAAAGCTGGCAAGGAGGTAATTACATATGAAATTCTAAGGCCAGAGGCAAAGTTTGGCCTGTCAACATAAATTTGTGAGTCATTCACATATGGTAGTTGAAATCATGGTCCTAGGAAATTGCTCATGAAAGGAATATAGTGCCCAAAGCAGGTCTACTCTTATTCCTTAAGAAATTCTGATATTTAATAGCCAGGTAGAGAAAGATGAGACAGAAAAGAAAACAGAAATGAGCAGCCTGAGAGCAGGAGGAAAGCAAGGGGAGTGTGGTTCCCAGAAGCTGGGGTGAGAGTGTTTCAAATAGGATGGAATAGTGCCAAGTGCTGCCGAGACATCTGAAAAGAGGAGGCCTGGGAAACACCCATTGGATTTAGCAACATGGGGGTCTTGGTGAGCTAATTTTAAATTTCCTCAATGGAATGATGGAGGCAGAAGCCAGATTGGAGATGGTTGAGGAATTAGTGGGAAGTGAGAAAATGGTAGACATTATATGGACCACTTTTTTTCCTTTTTTTTTTCTGAGACTGGAGTGCAATGGTGCGATCTTGGCTCACCACAACCTCCATCTCCCAGGTTCAAGCAATTCTCCTGCCTCAGCCTCCTGAGTAGCTGGGATTACAGGCATGCGCCACCATGCCTGGCTAATTTTGTACTTTTAGCAGAGACGGGGTTTCTCCATTTGTTCAGGCTGGTCTGAAACCCCCGACCTCAGGTGATCTGCCCGCCTCAGCCTCCCAAAGTGCTGGGACTGCAAGCATGAGCCACCGTGCCCAGCCGCACCACTTTTGAAGAAGTGTGATTCTTCATAGAGAATAGCCCCAAATCTGTTCTTCCTCAGTTTCCACCCTTGACCCTTTTTTGCTACTCAGTAAGCTGAATTGATCTTGTAATTCAGTAGTGAAAGGTCTGCAGCTTTGCCCTCCCTGCAGCCATGGCACCAGCCAGCCCAGTGTGGAGTCTGCAGGGGGAGCCCAGCTGGAGTTTGGGCCACTCCAGCCCCTCTGTGCAGTTTCTGATTCTACAGGCCAGAGCTCTGGGAAGGCCCATTGTAGGAACGCGGCTGAAAAAATGAGTTTAAGAAAAAGTTCTTATATTTTAGTGGTACCTACTGAAAAGTTGAAGGATACATATTTGCAATGTGACACAAGAGAAGCCATGAGCTGATCCTTGTTGAAGCTGAGCAATGGGTACATGGGGGTTTATTATATTGTTCACACCACTTTTGCATATGTATACATTTTTCCATAACAAATTATAAAAAGTTAAATTTAGGAATTCTATAAACCGAAGGTGCAAAGAGCCAGTGGCCATCACAGGTCCACTATGTACATAGCACTTAAAACAGGACCTTCGGCTGGGCGCAGTGGCTCACGCCTGTAATCCCAGCACTTTGGGAGGCTGAGGCAGGCGGATCATCTGAGGTCAGGAGTTCAAGACCAGCCTGACCAACATGGTGAAACCCCGTCTCTACTAAAATACAAAAATTAGCAGAGCATGGTGGTGAATGCCTGTAATCTTAGCTACTCAGGAGGCTGAGGCAGGAGAATTGCTTGAACCCAGGGGGCAGAGGTTGCAGTGAGACGAGATCGCACCATTGCACTCCGGCCTGGGCAACAAGAACGAAACGCCATCTCAAAAAAAAAAAAAAGGTACCTTCTCTAAACCAGTCCTCCTTTGGATTGTGGGTTTCCAGGTGCCAAGGGTAGCTGAAGAAATTCTATTTCCAGATGCCACCCTTTCTTCTCCTGTTAACTCCAACACCTTGTTCCTTGCCCCCTTCTCCTTTCGTACCCGCCTCCTGAGTACACACTAGAAATCACAGGTCTGACCCCTATGGGCCTCATGAACTTGAACAAGTTCCCTCCCATCTCTGAGCCACTCTGAAAAATGGGGATTATAACATCTGCTGTGCAATGTTGTGACGATTAAATTTGACAGTGCACGTGCGGTATCTAACACAGCCCACAGCCTCAGATGCCCAGGAACTCAGGAAGGTCATAGAAGTGAATGAAGCTGACCAGGTACATGAGAAAATCATGTGACCCTCTTAGCTTTAGCTTTGCCACTTGTAGTAGACATGTAAGTAGAGAGAATTATAAGAAAAATTCTGGGCCAGGTGCAGTGACTAACACCTGTAATCCCAGCACTTTGGGAGGCTGAGGCAGGCAGATCGCTTGAGCTCAGGAGTTTGAGACCAGCCTGGGCAACATGGCAAAACCCCATCTCTTAAAAAAAAAAAAAAAAAAAAAAATATATATATATATATATATATATATATATATATACACACACACACACACACACACACACACACACACAAGCCAGGCATGGTGGTACATGCCTATAGTCCCAGCTACTCAGGAGGCTGAAGCAGGAGGATTCCTTGAGCCCAGGAGGTTGAGGCTGCACTGAGCCAGGATCACACCACTGCACTCCAGCCTGGGCGATGGAGCAAGACCCTGTCTCAAAAAAAAAAGGGGAGGGCTGGGAGGGGAGAAAAAATTGGATAAGAAAAAGAACAATGCAAGTATGATAAATGATATAAATCACCCATATTCATAAATAAAGGGGTAATAAACTGAGACTTAACCTCAGTGTTGGGGGGCAACAGGGAGGGGTGGGGACTGGGGCAAATCAGAGCATATAGGGTCCATCTGAGAGGGACAGCCATCCTGGGCTCCAGCCGATTGCTGCCATGAGGGAGTGTGAAGCCAATGTTAACATGTCTTCCTGGTTTATAAGAGAAGCCAGAACTCTTAAATTTTTTATGTGAAATATTTCAATTCTTAAATTTGGGCTCAGTTATTTTTTTTAATAACACTACAGAAGCCAAACTAAACCCATTTATGGGCCAAAATCAGCTCGTGGGCTGCCAGCGTGCAACCTCTCACCTAGATAATGGTATATAATATAAATACGTTTCCCTTCCCCCCTTTTTTCTCTTCCTCCTCTTTCTCCTTTCCCTCCCATTTTCCACATCCTTTTCACCTAACCAGCCCCCACCCTACATTTCTATACTAAGTCCAAGTGATAGAAGGGATTAGGGTGGGTTGAAGCAGTGATTAAGCCCAAGGGGATGTAATCTAGATGCCTAATGGCGCCCCAGGGCCTGGATCATTGCCTGGCACATAGTGGATCCTGTCAAAAACCTTGATGAATGAAGAAGCCAGAAACTGGGGGAGTCAGTTCTGTTTCTTGTGCACACCCTGGGCTTACCCAAAGAACTGTCTGATTTTTCTCAACAGCCCTGAGAAGTCGTTCTGGACGCTCCATCATCAATGGGAACTGGGCAATTGATCGACCAGGAAAATACGAGGGCGGAGGGACCATGTTCACCTACAAGCGTCCAAATGAGATTTCGAGCACTGCCGGAGAGTCCTTTTTGGCGGAAGGTCCCACCAACGAGATCTTGGATGTCTACGTGAGTTTGGATGTTTCTGGACTGTTCTTTGGATTTTGAATCTTGTCACTTCTAAGGAACATACTCTGAACAAATAAGCAACAAATCATTGCCCATACTCAATAAAAACCCTTTGAGCAGAGCCTGTTGGAGGCACTCCTTGAATGCTTGGCGTTCATCTTTGCCTTTACTTCTGAATGGGCCCAGCTCACAGCAACCTCCAACTCCACCAGATGCTTATTACCTTCGGAGTTTATTGACCCAGTAAAACCAATTTTACTTGTTGAACCAAATCAGAGGCAAAACATGCCCTTTATTTCATGAGCATTGGATCTCCTCCAGGCACTTTCCTTATACTGCTAATTTGGCATGTTTTCTTTTTATGGCAAAAGAAAGCAAGAGCCTAAAGGAAGGCAGGACCGCTCCCAGCTCCCAGCCCTGTTCAGACTCTGAGAGCAAATGAAGAAAGGAGAGCTCCAGAGCCCTCCAGATGAAACAATAAAGCTGAGAGTCACAGTAGAGAGATTTACTAGAAGCTCCCTGCTTCATAGAAGACAAAACCTTAATTTCTTTTACGTGAAACTAAGATATTAAATTGCTCAAGAGTTTTAAATGGTCCTTACGTTCAAAGGAAACCACTAGAATTCAATCTTCTTAAAAGACCAGGAAATAAAGGGTGATAAGACATAAAAGCTTGAAATAACATTTTGATAAAAAGATTGAGATCACCCATGAATATACACATTATTTCTGTCCCCAAAGCTGAGCTGATTAACATATTTGCTGTGTCAGAGTTTTAGAAATATTATTAATTGCATTGTCATTACTTCTCCACCTACACACAGTTCTATGTCCTTTCCTCTTGGGCCTAGTAGACTCGAAATTACAAAGGAAGCCTTGTTGTAGTTTATTTTGGATTTTTTTTTTAGACTGTCCAGTTGGTTGGTTGAATCTGAATATATTTTAAATGGCATCAGAGGTAAAAACTCAGGTTGTTAAAGGCCTACTGTGGGTGGTCTAGGAATGGAAGCCAACAGCAATTTCATAAACGGGACAAGGTTTTGCACTGGCAGAATGCTCAGGCAGAAGAGGCACCAGAGAGGGAGGGAGGATTTCCAGCCACAGACCGAGAGGAAGATTGTGTGAAAAGGGAGTGAGGGGATGAGGGATACACAGCAGGAACCTGAGGTCACACAACCGTGTCCCTTGGGGATTCAGTGCCCACCACGTTTCTGCAACGCCGATGGTTTGATATTGGTTCCTGGGTAGGAGAATCCCAGGGGTTCTCAGGTCTGCCTTCCTTTGGGTAATTTATAAAATGAAGACCCATTTCATCAGTAGGGAGTGGCAAGAGATCATGGCATAAACAGGAAGAATAGACACAGGACCCACCATGCAGGAGTGACTCAGAGATGCTTCTAGCTGGAAAGGACCTTTGAAAGTGACATGATTCTAACCTCTTCCTTCCCCAAGGAAGAAATCAAAAACTGCAGGGTGAAGGGGCTTGCTCTAGGTTACACAGCTGGTCAATAGGAGAGCTGCTTTATAAAGCAGCAGAGACAGAAACATCAAACCCGACCGTGTCTCCTTGCACGGCTCATATTTACACTGTGGATTCTCATTCTGCTGCTGGGTTTAGCCCACCACCCTGCTCCCCATCAGGAAATCCATGGGCAGCAAAGACTGTGTGCTCTAAATCCAATAGGGAGGGACGTATTCTGTTGGGCCATGCTCATTTAATATGTTTTCAGCCCAGACAATGTTCAGCTGCTGACTTCCACAGTCCTACGTAGATTCCTGCTTGCCATCCTATTTTTGTCATCATTCCTAAGAGAATATGACCCAGCAAGAGTTGGGTCGCTTCTACTTGTTTTCCTGGCCCCATGTCTTTGTGTTTCTGGGGCTTTCCCTGAATAAGAGGGAGGGACCTGGGGGCCAGCCTCACCAGCCAGGTCAAGAACTTTGAGGGAACCTAAAGCATCCCGGGGTGGCTCTGTCCAGGAGGTCTGCTGCTTGTTCGCATGACTTTGTCACGCCACCTAGTGTTAAAACAGTTCTCCTGCAGTGTACACGTATTTATCTGTGTTGGATGTTTCAAGAGCACTGAGCAAAATCTAAGGACAGAAAGGTTCTGCTACCGTTGCTCCATCTTCTCCTTTGGAGTTTAGAAAATCTTGACTCTTAGCTTAGTCTTCTTCTGATTTGCTCGGCCTAAGTTCTTCATTCTTCAAAAGTAAATGACAAAAAGCCATCCAGGAATAACTTTGTTTAATCTGCCACAGGTTCACTGATATTACTGGATGCGTACTAGAGTGAACCAACCCAGTCATTTCTCAGTAGTTCTGCAAATGCCATTGAAACCCAGAAGGGGTGTGCATACGTGCCAAGTGCGGTAACACTGATTTTTGTGTCAGCAGATGATACACCAGCAGCCAAACCCAGGCGTGCACTACGAGTACGTGATCATGGGGACCAACGCCATCAGCCCCCAGGTGCCACCCCACAGGAGACCAGGTAGAATCCCTTGTCTTGTGGCCGGGGACTCTGGTCATTTCCTTGTAAAGCCTTCTCTCTCTCAATTCTTGTGCATCCACCCTCTGTCTCTCGGTCAACACAGAGAAAATTGAGGGACGCATATTTCAAAGCCAAGGGGCCTTGACATTGGAGCAGGCTTCACCATTTGTCTGAGCCTTCACTGATGAGACTGTTTCATTCACTCGATTCCAAAATGGCATGAGCATCCTGGGTCTGCCCTGCCAGTTCAACATTTGAAATGCTTTATACTAGTTTCCAGGCCAGACAAGGGGGCTCATGCCTGTAATCCTAGCACTCTGGGAGGCCGACGCAGGTGGATCGCTTGGGCCCAGAGGTTCAAGACCAGCCTGTGCAACATAATGAAACCCCTGTCTCTACAAAAAAAATTACAGAAATTAGCCAGGCATGGTGGTGTGTGCCTGCAATCCCAGCTACTCAGGAGGCTGAGGTGGGAGAATCATCTGAGCCCAAGGAGGTTGGGGCTGCAGTGAGCCGTGATCAGACCACTGAACTCCAGCCTGGACAACAGAGTGAGACCCTATCTCAAAATTAAGAAAAAACAACACAAATTTACTTTCTTAGAGCTCTGGAGGTTAGAAGTCTGAAGTGGGTTTCATTGGGACAAAATGAAGGTGTCATCAGGGCCCCTCTCTCTCCAGAGGCTCTAGGAGAGAACCCACTTCCTCGCCTTTTCCAACTTCTAGGAGCCACCTGCCTTCCTTGGTTCCTGGCCCCTTCCTCCACCTTCAAAGCCAGCAGGGTGGCACTTTCAAATCTCTCTCTGACCCTGGCCTCATCACATCTCCTCTCTGACTCTCATCTTCCTCTCTCTTTCCTTTATAAGGACCCTTCAGATTACACTGGGCCCACCCAAGTAATCCAGGATAATCTCTCCTTCTCAAAATCTGTAATTTAGTCTCACCTGCAAAGTCCATTTTTGCTATGTAAGGTAGCATGTTCACAGATTCCAGGGATTAGGATGTGGACATCTTTAGGGGGCCATTATCTGTCTACTATATGCCTTTTCTCTTGGTTCCCCTTTTGTTTCTGTTAATAATACTTTGACCTATAAGACAAGAATAATGAGTTCACACCTAACAATCCATGTTGAGTCTTCCTGGTGGGCTCTGCTTATGGACAGAGCAGGCAGCTTTCTCTCGGCTGGCACTGGGCATGGGACTGCTCTCTGAGTCTGCAGACATTTCTCTACCGGAGGATGATGGAGCCCACCACCCAAATGCAGGCAGTCTTTTCCTTCCTTAAAATAGGAAGGTCTGCAGAAGTATTCATGGTAATTATAGCTCACACACATTGAGTCCTTGCTGTGTGCAAGGGCTTAGAAACTGCTGTGCTGAGCTCTTTGCGTAGATTAGTTCTTTGAATTCTCATGACAGAGGGAGGTACTTGGAGGGAAGTACTATTATTAGCCTTATTTTAAGAGTAAGGAAATGGAAGCTTAGGAAGAGTAAGTTAATAATTGTCCTGATCTCACACCTGGGCAGTGACCTGAGGAGGGCCTGTGTGACCATACTTTGTGCTTGTTATATCACTGAGAGGTTACTTGGTCCAATCCCTACCCTAGGAGGAAATAAAGGCACAAGTGCCAAACCCGCCCCATCCATTCTTCTCTGAACTTTGGACGGGATAACCAGGTTATCTGATTGCTACAGACTGGGGAGGACAACAGCTGGGTGCATCCCCAGAACATGGGGTGGGTGTGTTGTCCAAACTCCAAGTCAGCAAACTCAGCACAACAGAGAATTTTTATGTCATGTCCAGAAGCAATCCACAGTTTGAGAAACCAAGTTTGGGTAAGATTTCTGGGGTCCATTGCTGGTTTACAGGGATAATCAGACAGACTATTTGAAATCTATCAGGATGATGATGATTTCTGTCAGGCCTGATGGGGCTCAGCTCATGAATAGCATGGGGGTTCTGGGATCAGCTCCCTGGGACAGGGCAGGCCTGGAGGGGTCACCTGTAAAAAGTTGGTAAGCAGGGGCATTGTCACCAGGCTTCCTCTTCCATGTCAATGGAGTCTGGAGGCAGAGTTGGAATCCAGCTCTGCACCTTTTTGCTGTGCACCCTCAGGCGGGTCAGCAACCTCTCTGAACACACACCCAGTCTACAAAATAGAAGAAAAACCCTATAAGGTGGTTTTTGGCAGGGGAGAGGACATGGGAAGAGATTGAATAAATTAGTTGTCCATCCTAGCATAGAGCCCAGAACAAGGCACTGAAAAGACTTCTTAAATTTTTTTGTCCAACAACATCTTGGACAGTTCTCATTTATGTCAACATGCCTGGTCCTGATTTTGTTGGTCATATTTGCATGTCATATTTTAAACCATGAAGCATAATAACCAACTAAGTAAGAAAGCCCTGGCAAAAAAGCTGAGAGGTCTGGTGCAGTGGATCACGCCTGTGATCCCAGCACGTTTGGAAGCCGAGGTGGGCAGATTGCTTGAGCCCAGGAGTTCGAGACCAGCCTGGACAAAATGGCAAAACCCCATCTCTGCTAAAAGTACAAAAAGCAGCTGGATGTGGTGGCACTCACCTGTAATCCCAGGTACTCAAGAGACTAAGACACGAGAATCACTTGAACCCAGGAGACACAGGGTGCAGTGAGCCTCCTGCACTCCAGCCTGGGTGACAGAGTGAGACTCTGTCTCCAAAAAAAAAAAAAAAAAAAAAAATTGCTGAGAAAGCCCTAATTGTTGTTGTTGTTGTTGTTGTTGTTGTTGTTGTTATTGCTGAAATGGGGTCTCGCTATGTTGCCCAGGCTGGTCTTGAACTCCTGGGCTCAAGCAATCCTCCTGCCTCAGCCTCCCAAAACGTTGGGATTACAGGCATGAGCCACCTCACCCAGCCCCCTTGTAGTTTTAACTGTGTTCTACAGTAACCCTAGAATTTGCCTCCTTATTTTCTATTAAAATGAGACATACTTGAACAATATTCAGTCAAAATAGAAATATATACAGTCAAAAGCAACTGCCACATAATTGCCAAAACTTGGAAGCAACCAAGAAGTCCTTCAGTAGGTGGATAGACAAAAACTAATGGAATATTATTTAGGGCTAGAAATAAATGAGCCATCACGTCACAAAGAGACATGGAGAAACCTTCCATGCATATTACTAAGTGAAAGAGGCCACTCTGAAAAGACTACCTATTGTTTGATTCCAACTATATGACATTCTAGAAAAGTTAAAACTATGGAGACAGTAAAAAGGTCAGTGGTTGCCAGGGGCTGGGAGGACAGAGGGATGAAAAGGTGGAACAGGGAGGATTTCAGGGCGGTGAAACTACTCTGTGTGATATTACACTGGCGGATGCATGTCACTGTGCACTTGTCCAGACCCACAGAATGTGCACCCCCAAGTGTGAACCCTCGTATGGACTATGAACTCTAAGCAATAATGACATGTCCGTGTAGGGTCATCAGTTACACATGTACCAGTCTGATGTGGGATGATGGTAGTAAGGGACCCTGTGCCTGTGTGGTGGGAGGAGGTGTGTGGGAACTCTGTACTTCTACTCACTTTTGCTGTGAACCTAAAACTGCTCTAAAAAAAAAAAAAAGCCTATTAAAAAAAAAAAAAGTCCACAGCTCCCAACCCCATGCCCTTCCCAGAGGGAGTCTAACCCTTTGGTGGGATTTTGCCTAGCCCTTTTCTATGCATACACAAACATGTTTCCAGCCATTTGAATCATCATCTACAATCTCAGATGTGCAAGGAATATTGCATATTATTATTTTCCATTAGTCAGTTTAAATCTGACCTCAACTTCACCCTTCTTTGAAACCAGTAGATAATTCAATCGCAGTCTGCTTGGGGGTTACACACACACACACACAGACACACACACACACATATTCTCACTCCAGATATAAGGAAAGATCTAGAGTCTTAGACAAGCCAAAACATTGGCTAGACCCCCCTGGTGGTCTGTCCACACTAATTCCGCTGAGGTGCCACCGGGAGCAGCCTCATGGGGCCTTCAGGTTAGGGCTCTGCTCCTTCCAGTCTGCATGGGGGGCACAGGAAGCTGGTGAGGCTGGCAGCCAGGCCCCCTCTCCCGCTGCAGGGGTGGCTTCCTCCTGGGACACTGGACATTGTCTGGTACACCTAAGGATCCATGGCACTCAGGAAACCCAAGACTCCAGACTCCTACCTCTCCTCCATCTTGAAAACCTCTCTCTCTCTTTCTCACTCTCTCTCTCTCTCTCTCTTTCTCACTAGCTCTCTGTCTTGCTCTCTGTCTGTCCCTCTCTGTCTCTCTTACCATCTCCCTCTCTTTTGCTCTCTCTTTATTGCTCTCTGTCTCTCTCGCACTCTCTGTTTCTCTCTCTCTCTCTTGCTCTCTGTCTCTCTTGCTCTCTGTTTCTCTCTCTTGCTGTCTCTCTTGCTCTCTGTCTCTCTCTCGTTCTCTGTCTCTCTCACTTTCTGTCTCTGTCTCTGTCTCTCTTGCTCTCTGTCTCTCTTGCTTTCTGTCACTGTCCCTGTCTCTCTTGCTCTCTGTCTGTCTTCTTCTCTGTCTCTGTCTCTCCTGCTCTCTTGCTTTCTGTCTCTATCTCTCTGTCTCTCTTGCTCTCTGTCTCTTTCGCTCTCTGTCTCTCCTGCTCTGTTGCTTTCTGTCTCTGTCTCTCTGTCTCTCTCTGTCTCTCTTGCTCTCTGTCTCTCTCACTTTCTGTCTCTATCTCTCTGTCTCTCTTGCTGTCTGTCTCTCTCTCTTGCTCTCTGTCTCTGTCCCTCTCTGTCTCTCTTGCTCTCTGTCTGTCTCTCTTCTCTGTCTCTCCTGCTCTCTTGCTTTCTGTCTCTATCTCTCTGTCTCTCTCTTGCTCTCTGTCTCTCTCTTGCTCTCTGTCTCTCTGTTGCTGTCTCTGTCTCTCTCTTGCTCTCTCTCCGTCTCTCTTGCTCTCTGTCTCTGTCTCTCTCACACTCTGTCTCTCTCTTGCTCTCTGTCTCTCTGTTGCTGTCTCTGTCTCTCTCTTGCTCTCTCTCCATCTCTCTTGCTCTCTGTCTCTGTCTCACACTCTGTCTCTCTCGCTCTCTGTCTCTCCTGCTCTCTGTCTGTGTCTCTCTCTTGCTCTCTATCTCTGACTCTCTGTCTTGCTCTCTTGCTCTCTGTTTCTGTCTCTCTCGCACTCTGTCTCTCTCGCTCTCTGACTGTCTCGCTCTCTTGCTGTCTTTGTCTCTCTCTTGCTCTCTGTCTCTCTTGCCCTCTCTGTCTCTCTCACTCTCTGTCTCTGTGTCTCTGTCTTGCTCTCTCTATCTGTGTCTCTGTCTCTCTTGCTCTCTGTCTCTCTCTCTCGCTGTCTCTCTTTCTTACTCTGTTTCTCTGTCTCTCTTGCTCTCTTGGTCTCTGTCTCTGTCTCTCTGTCTCTCTCTCACTTGCTCTCTCTCTCCCTTGCTCTCTGCCACTGTCTCTCTCTCCTCTCTCTCTTTCTCTCTCTCTCAAAATGTGCCCTCCTCCTCTCTCTGGGCTGGCCCCTCAGGGACATCCACTTTACCCTTAATGAAAGCCTAGGCTTTGCACTCTTGGAAGGGAAAGCTGTTGACTTCTAGCAGCTTTTGTTTTCTGTCCTGCACAAAAACAAAGCAATAACATCTAAGGACTTGGCTACTCTTTCAAACCGGAGGAGGAAGTGGAGGAATAAAGATAGTAAATCACACACAAATTAGTATCTCAAAAAGTGACCTGCCACACCTGTGTGTATGTGTGTGTGTTCTGCTTTTTTCTTTCACCAAACAATATTGTCATTTCTTCATGTCGGAACGTTATATTTGCTGCATTCTTTTCAAAACTCACATAGTATTCCATTTTGTACTTGTAGCATAACGTAGTTTAACCAGTACCACTGGTGAACATTTGTGTCTGTTTGCTATTTCAAATAATACCTCAGTAACCATACCTGTATATTCAGATTTATGTACAAGAAAATATTTGCGGAACAGATGTGATAGAAACTGAATTGCTAGGTCAAAGGGTATGTGCATTTCAAATTTGGATAAATAATGCCAGATTTCCCTCCAAAACCATGGATCTATTTGCAGGCTCATCCATAGTGACTGGAAGTGTGTTTTCCTGCACCTTCAAAAGGAGTTTAGGGATTTAAGGGTTTCCAAACTTTCCAATCTTTGGTGTTAGGTGGTGGTGTTCTTTTCATGTGTATTTATGGAATTATGAGTAAAGTTGAGGATTTTTGTATGGGTTTTGGCTGTTTGTGTTTCTTTTTATGTGAACTGTCTATGGCTCACAATTCCTGTTCCTACTGCAGTGTTCGTCTTTGTCTTATTGATTTTCAAAAGTGCTTTGCATGTGAGGGAAAGCACTAGTAGGTGTCTGCTTATTTTAAACAGATGTGCTTATGTGCTGTGACTTAGAAACGATCTCATGCTACACAGTCTCTAATGTCGAAGCAATTTCCTCTTTACAACTCAGGGTCTAAACTGATCCTGATTCTGTGTGTGCACGCTCACCTCTCCTAGGGGAACCCTTCAATGGCCAGATGGTGACAGAAGGCAGGAGCCAGGAGGAGGGAGAACAGAAAGGGAGGAACGAGGAGAAGGAAGACTTGCGTGGGGAGGCCCCTGAGATGTTCACCTCAGAATCGGCACAGACCTTCCCAGTCAGGCATCCAGACAGATTTTCTCCCCATCGACCGGACAACTTGGTGCCACCAGCACCGCAGCCCCCACGGCGCAGCCGGGATCACAACTGGAAGCAGCTTGGGACAACAGAATGTTCCACGACCTGTGGGAAAGGTGAGCCTGTGTGGGGGACGGGTGGATCCCTGCAGAACCCTAAGCAAGGAGTGTGTGGGTGGCCCAAGGCAGCGGTCCCCGGCTTTTTTGGCACCAGGGACTGGTTTCGTGGAAGACGATTTCTCCATGGATGGTGGCGGGGTTGGGGGATGGTTTCTGGGTGAAACTGCCCTATCGCAGATCATCAGGCATTAGTTAGAGTCTCATAAGGAGCATGCAACCTAGATCCCTTGCCTGCACAGTTCACAATAGGGTTCACGCTCCTATGAGAATGTAACGCCACCACTGATCTCGCCCACCCACCAGTCACCTCCTGCTGTGCGACCTGGTTCCTAACAGGCCATGGACTGGTGTCGATTGGGGGCCCCTGGCCCAAGGGAAATGGCAAACCCTCACCTCTGTGAGCCTGTCTATGAGATGGCTCATGGGTGTGACAGATTGCATTGGGGCCCTCAACACCACCCTCAGGTTTAATGATTGGCTCAAAGGGCTTACGAGACCCAGAAGAGCTGTTACAATTCATCACAGTCAAAGGATAGGGATTCGAGTTAATAAAGGAAAAGGTGTGTTGGCAAAGTCCTGGAGATGCCAGGCGCCAGCTTCCAGGTGTTGCCTCCAGCAGAGTCACACAGGGATGCACTTAATTCTCTCAGAAATGGTGTAATTCAGAGGCTGAGAACACATGCCAAGTACTGCCAACCAGAGATGCTCACCCAAGATTTGGTGTCCAGGGTTTTTACTGGGGTCTCTCGTCTAGGTATGCAGCTCCCACATGAGTGACACTAGCTACTCTCCCTTTACCATCCCAGAAGCCAAACCAATACTGCGTGGCCCAAGACCTCAGCATAAAAAAACACTCTTATCAGGTGGCATATTCCAAGGGCTTAGAGGTTCTCTCTCAGGAGCTGGTCAAGGGCCTGTCTTTGGCATGTGCAGGGTTTGAGCAACTCAGGCCTGCTGTGCACATATATTCATTAATAAACGGAATACACTCATGTACTTCAAGATCTAAAATTTAATCTCCAAGTCAGGGTTGTGGAAGACTTACACAAATCCCAGTTGAAACTCATTCTCAAATCTCAGGATTTCAGAAAAAAAAAAAAAAAACAAAACTTTGCAGGCTTGGCGTGTTAGCTGGCTTTTACACTGACCAACACTCACAGCTCCCATACTATCCCGGTAAAATCCCAACCCTGTATTCATTCATTATTCCAACCTGATCAGCTAGGACCACCAGGGACAAACCTGAAGCCCAACAAAGTCAGCTTTATTGACCCCTCACCACAAGGGAGTCCACACACCGGAGGAAGCATGGGGCGTCTCTCCAAACAAAAGAAAAGATAGAGTTGTAGGATTTGGGAGGATACAGTTTAGGTGAAATTTAAATAAAGTAGGGTTGTGATAGGCTGAAAGCAAGACATGGCAGTGTTACAGGGGTCACATCAGGATGATGAAGTGGACCCAGGGTCCCGTTTCCTTGAAAACTCCAAAGTTAAGATACATGTGGAATGTGCTGTCCAGAAACCCTTTATCTGACATTCCATACCAGATTGGAAATCAATGCTGCTTCTGTTTCAAGCTGACTCATTGCAAAGATACACCTATGAACTGTGTAGTTATAATTTCCTTCATATATATGATAATAGCCTCCTGTTTGTAGTAAAGTCCTATTTTATCCCCTGAAACAGCTCTTCTTTGAGGGGAGGTTGCTAAAGAAACAGGAAGGCTGTATCCCCCAGGAATCTCTGCAAACTGGGGAACTGTGTGATGTCCCAGAGCATTGGTTTGGGGTGGTTTTTTTTTTTTGCTTTGCTTTGCTTTGCTTTTTTTTTTTCTTTTCCTTTCTTTTCTTTTCTTTTGATACTGGTATCTAAGAGTACAAAGTTTGGAACCTCTCACAAAATTAGCACACTGAAAAATCTCATGACAGCTTCTAAAGTTTTTATCTTTTTCATAAGAGCATTGGCTTAGTGGCTTTTGAGAATAGAATTTAGGTCTTTGGTTCTTCTTGGGGGCTGGAGCTTTTCCTGCCTGGAACCTCTGCAGTTCCATAATGATTTGGTAACTGGAGTGTTGATTTATAGAGGTTTTATTGTGCAAATTTTATTATGCTTATACTTAATAAATGTGCAAAGAATCTGGACTGCAGATTCATTGGACCAACTTCTTTTATATACTTTGTGAGGAAAAATTAAATGCATATAAAATATGTCTTGACAGAGTCAGAAAGCTAGAAATATTTTTGCATTAAGGCCAAAACCATTTTGGTGAGACTCTGTGATATTATAGAGGTAAGCAGTATGTAACATAATTGATATAGGAACCCGAAATCAAAATGTATTATTATTGAAATATTCTACCTTTAGGTAATGTGTGATGCCCATCAAAGGAACCAGATACACTCAGAACTAGGTGAAAATAGGGAAAGTCATAAAAAGGATGAAAGCTGTCACTGCGTGGTTTTCAACAAAGGGTGCCATGTGGAGAAGATTCTCTTTCACCCTGTCCGGAGCCCATAGGCCTTGTGTTGTGAGCAGGATGAGATGAGGGCAAATGCATGTGCTGGTTCCCTGTGTCTCCTCCAGACGCTCCCACGGTCTCTCTAATGGAGCAAACTCATAACCAAATGTTCCAGTTTTTGCCCCCACAACCCATCCGCACGCTGTGTCATCCACACTGAGGTATGGAGTTGAAATTTAAAGAAAGCAAGGTTTTGATAGACTGAAGGCAAAACATAACTGTTACTACCTCACTATATGCTAGTATCCCTCCTTTACGACACTCTGGTATCTGGCCAGCAAAGTCCTGCTCGTACTCCAAGCTCTGAGACCACCTCTTCTGCAAAGCCTTCCTGATTCTGCAAAGAACAGGTAGGCATTTCATCCTTGGGACCTCACAGCAATTCAGGACACATTTCTGTCCCAGCCCTGCTTGGCTTGGCTGTCTCCATGAATATACACTTTGCAACTTCTGCACCAGGCATCATACCAAGCACACAGTAGGCACTCCTGTGTTTTTTGAATAAGTGACTATATCATCACCACATTTCAAATGCGGAATATATGAGCTACTAGAAAAGACATAAGGGTAGATTTTACATCTTTATTGTATCCTAGATATACAAGTCTATTACTGCCTTTTCCCATGTTCTGTCAACATAGCATAAAGAATGTGGATTTACCTGTTAGAAATTGAATAAGCGGCCGGGCATGGTGGCTCATACCTGTAATCGAAGCATTTTGGGAGGCCAAGGCAGGTGTATCACTTGAGGTCAGGAGTTCAAGAGCAGCCTGGCCAACGTGGCAAAAAACCCTGTCCTCACCAAAAATACAAAAATTATCTGGGCATGGTGATGCATGCATGTAATCCCAGCTACTCGGGAGGCTGAGGCAGGACAATTGCTTGAACCCAGGAGGCGGAGGTTGCAATGAGCCAAGATCATGCCACTGCACTCCAGCCTGGGCAACAGAGCAAGACTCCGTCTCAAAACAAAACAAAACAAAACAAAAAAACTGAACAATCTCTTTCTCTAGATTTCCATATGATTTTGTTTAATCTTCTGTCCTTTGCATTGCAGAAACACACACACAGAAATTCACAAGAGTGTGAGGTATGGGACTGAGCATGCACAGGACCCATTTTCAATATTTAGCCCATATACACCCATGTGTGCATGTACACACACACACACACACACACACACACACACACACACACACACTCGGCATCTGCCACTCAGAATGTCTGAGGCGACATGTCTAGCTCTTCTTTACCCAGTAAATGGCACCAGTTCTCAGGCCCAAGAGATACTGAAGAGGTGCCTTGGAAATAAAGCAAACCTAGGGATGTGTTGTTTCTCATCCCTCCCTTCTCTGGCAATCCTAGTTCCTTTTTCTTTCAAGTGACAAGTGGCAGCGGCCCGTGGAGGCCTCTCCTTTGCTCTGTCCCAGGCGGTGATGGCACCAGACATGCAGGGTAGGTGAGGCAATGCGGAGGCACAGATGCAGAGCACATCTAATGGTCGTCAGCAGTCATGGCAAGTGACCAGGAAATCCCAAGCCTCCCGGCATTGTCCAAGTCACTTATGCACAGAATAAGTCTGTTCCCCTTGTGATCCCATTGTGTATTTTCTCACATACCCTCGCCTAAACCCTTCTCCAGTCCTCCCTGGTGGAGCTAACCACACCACACAGTTCTGTGCTTTTCATGGTCAAATTTCCCTTTGTCTAAGTGCTTCCAGCATCATGATATCACCATCTCAGGGAAGGGCCCTGTTGCTGGCATCCAAGAGTGGTCCATACTCACACAGCCATTGATCAGGCCTCTGTCAAACTCTTGGCTTGTTTCATTTGATTCCTAGAGTTCCAAGTCTAAAGTCATTTACTTTTTTCTTGCTCTTTATTTTGTCTCTCTTCCATAATGTCCCACTGACCTCTACACTAGCCCCTGAATTCACTGACCTCATTTATTATCTGCTAATTACCTGTGTACAGTTCCCCCCTTCAACATGACATATTTCTATTTTGATCAACATGTCCGCATATAAGGCAACCGAACTGATCTCGAATAGTTTTCCTGCTGCCTGAAGCCCAGCCAGTGCCTGACCTCACCACCTTGTTCCTGCTTGCTAGCAAATAGAGGAATAATTGAATTGCAATCTTGAACAATGGGAGGTGGCCAGGTGCTGTCTCCCTTTCTAAATATATTAAAACTGACCCAAAGAAGGAAACCACTGCGGTCACTAGACTCAAGAGTTGTAGATATGGGTCAGGCGCCGTGGCTTATGCCTGTAATCCCAGTACTTTGGGAGGCCGAGGTGGGCAAATCACCTGAGGTCAGGAGTTTAAGACAAGCCTGGACAACACGGCAAAACCCCATCTCTACTAAAAATACAAAAATCAGCCAGGCGCAGTGGCAGGCACCTGTAATCCCAGCTACTTGAGAGGCTGAAGCAGGAGAATCACTTGAACCCGGGAGGTGGAGGTTGTGGTGAGCAGAGATCGTGCCACTTCACTCCAGCCTGGGTGACAGAGCTAAACTCTGTCTCAAAAAAAATAAAAAAAGATTTGTAGATCTGGCATTTTCCCACCTTCAGAGAGCCAGAGGGCCTCTGAGTTCATTTCCGTGGAGCTGGACCATGGACAATGTCCATAAACGCCGTAAAATGTCAAGGGAAGACAAGCAGTGGCCAGGTGCTGGACAACCCCAGCAGGACCCATCTTCCCAAGACACAGAGCATTCCTATGGGAGCCTGTATCCTTTTGATTAAAAAAATTTGATTTCTCCCTTATTTGAGTGCCAAGTGGTTGAGATAGTTCCTTTTGCTTTCCTATCCACAAACATCTAAGTGGAAAAGCTAAACCCGCATGGTCTGAAGGAAAAGGAATAGGCTAAATAAGATCTTTACTTAATCCCTTAATAGCCGGGTCCCACTGCAAGCTGTGAACCATGTATTCACCTTTATAACTGCACAGTGTACTTAATGTTTGTTGAATTTAATTAAAAATCTGTTCTATTTAATGGAAGGAGATCTGTAGCTGGACAAACTTTAATTCCACAAAAGTTCTTTGCATCCCATTAACTTTACAGTCAGTACTGCCTTTTACTCAGCCAATAATTGTGCTTAATTGGAACGTTATTTTAAATAATGGTCTCAAGTTATAGCCACACTGTAAATTTTTACTACCAGGGTAATTTAAACAAATGATCGTTTCAGATTCAACACTGTCTTGCAAACTGTCAAGTTTCTTACTACCCTCTGGGTCAGTGTGTCATACAAGATGAGCTTGAAAAACCACTGAAACACTTTCATGACTGATGAAATATTAAGATGTTTATGTTAAAAGATAGCCCCTATGTTGCAGTTAAAATTGTAAGGAGTTGGAACTTCAGAAAATATGAATGCCTGGCCAATTAGCAACAGAGATAAGACAGAGTTGTAGAATAAAGTATAGTGTTCTTCCCGGCAGGAGTTGTATACTGGCCTGGACTGTGGGGAAGACAGTTATTTGTGAAGAAGCATCTTCCCGTGGTTGGTTCAGGTTCAGGGGTTACATTTCTCACGTTATAAACGTCCATTAATAATAGCTCAGTGTTGCCACCAGGTGGCAGCAGAGAAAGGAAGGCAGAATTGAATCAGCTTTTTTTTTTTTTTTTTTTTTTTTAATTGACACCTAGACATTCCATTTAACAAATTCTGGCTTTTTATCGAAAATAGATGTATCCTTATTAATCCAATGAAAGTAAAACAAAAAACCTAAAACAGTTATAAACATTCATTCAACACCATTCAAACATTCATTCAACACGGTCATTTATTGAGCCCCTGCTACTCTCCTAGGTACTGGGGCTACAGAGATTAAGAAGTAGCCCTGTCCCTCAGAAGCTCACGGTCTCATGGGAAGTAGACAAATGCTCAGATCACTGAAATACCATTGGATGGGTACTTTATTAGAAGAACATGAAAGACGCTTGCCAAAGGGGGAGGCAGCTGCTCTTCCGCCCTTTCTTGAATCTTCTACTTCTGTGCTTCAACCTATCCCTTAAATGTACCTGGTGTAGCAGGCTAGTTTGTCAGGCAGGTACTTTCATTCCAGTTTAATGACCTAGACAGCCTCCTCCCTCCAAAATATACATGCACATATCTACCCAAACCCAATTCTTTCTCTAGAACGAAGCTTGGCCCATTTAGGACACTTTCTCTTTGACGCTTCCAGAGAACTTTAGAAAAGTTACTATTTGTGTTCCTTCTATAATCATTCCCCTGCCTAGGGAATCTCTCTTTTGTTATCTTGAACTATAATGAAGATGCTTTGTATCTGCCTTTGAGCATATTTAGACCGTGTCCACAAATAGATTATTGATTCCTTTTAGGGCAGGCTCTTCTTTGCACCCCCACAGTTCCTAGCAAAGACCTGTGAGGTAGGTGTGTGTAAACCCTCAAATGAAGGGGGAGCGTAAGTGTGCATGCATGTGTGAATTGTCCTCACTGTTTCTGTGCCCTCTCTTCATCAGCACCCGAATCTCTGTGCATCTCCACCCATAGCCCAGCTTTCCAGTGTGTGGGACTGTCCTTCAGACATTCTCCTGTTGTTGCAGGATCGCAGTACCCTATTTTCCGCTGTGTGCACAGAAGCACTCATGAAGAGGCTCCTGAGAGTTACTGTGACTCCAGCATGAAGCCGACCCCCGAGGAGGAGCCCTGCAACATCTTCCCTTGCCCAGCCTTGTAAGAAGGCCCCTCCATTTAGGTCGCCTATTACCGGGTCACTTCAGGTCACTTATGCACAGGACCTTAGGAACAGATATAAGTCAGTCTAAATCTGAGTTAGAAATACAAGACTTGGACCATGCATAAAATGCAGTCTGTTTAGCAGGCACACCTGTCTTTCAGGATGAACTCAGGAGCTGATAGCCTTTAGCAAGTCAACCCACTTCTGGGAAGCCCACCCTTGACAAAGCTGGAGCAATTAGGTTTGAGCCTGGTAAGGAAAACAAAGGAGGAAGCAAAAAACGAGAAGCCAGTGTAGTTGGTGTCGTAGGTGAGCTGTTCACAGAGAGAGGATAATGCAAGTCACAAAAACATCAGCCTGGAGAGGCCAAGAAAAGTGTCTCGGGAGAGGTCTTGAACTGTTTCGGTTTTTTGGTTTTGTTTTTGTTTTTATGGCAGAGTCTAGCTCTGTTGCCCAGGCCAGATTGCAGTGGCACGATCTCAGCAAACTCCGCCTCCTGGATTCAAGCAATTCTCCTGCATCAGCCTCCCGAGTAGCTGGGACTACAGGTGCACATTACCACGCCTGGCTAATTTTTGTATTTTTTGTAGGGACAGGGTTTTGCCATGTTGGCCAGGCTGGTCTTGAACTCCTGAGCACTAATGGTCTGCCCACCTCAGCCTCCCAAAGTGCTGGGATTACGGGCGTGAGCCACTGCGCCTGGCCTTGAACTGGTTATTGAATGATAAATGGGACACTTGAAGAAGAACAAGGGGAAAGGGCCCTAAAAGGGTCAAAACCTAATTTGCAGAGTAATAAAAATATAATTCTCATCCAAGTATATGGTGAGCATGGGCTGATGTCTCATTTAACTAATAACAGAGCAGATGACAGAGGAGGGTTTGCAAAACTGATACGGGAATTGTTAATGAAAAATAATGCTAGAATAAGATTCCTAAGTTAGTAGCAAAAATGAGTTAATGATCTACAGTGTAATAAAACTAACCTTTGGAGGTTTTTTTTTTAATTAGATAAAAATCATTTGTACGTTTTCAGTTTTCTATAACTTTTCATAGAATCTGGGCCCTAATCACTGGTAAATAGCATGTCAAGTGTCAGGCAAATTTATCTGCCTTTACAGAGTCAGATGACCCTTAGGCAGACTTTTTCTTTTTCTTTTTCTTTTCTTTTTTTGAGACAGGGTCCTACTCCATTGCCCAGGCTGGAGTGCAGTGGCACAATCATGGCTCACTGCAGCCTCAATCTCCCAGGCTCAAGCCATCCCCTGACCTCAGCCTCCCGAGTAGCTGGGACTACAGGCACACACCACCACACCCAGCTAACTTTGGTATTTTTTGTAGAGACGGGGTTTTGCCATGTTGCCCAGGCTGGTCTCGAACTCCTGGGCTCAAGCCATCCTCCCACCTCAGCTTCCCAAAGTGCTGGGATTACAGGCGTGCGCCACTGTGCCCAGCCTAGGCTGACTTTCAAGCAATGCTCTAGTAAGAAACTCTACCCATAGTGATTCTGATGATTCTGTGTACGCTGCTGCGGGCTCACGCTGACTTCCTGTTGACTGAAGGTTGTCTCTCACTCTCGCTCTCTCATTCCTGAACCAGCTGGGACATCGGGGAGTGGTCTGAGTGCAGCAAGACCTGTGGCCTGGGCATGCAGCACCGCCAGGTTCTGTGCCGCCAGGTGTACGCCAACCGCAGCCTGACGGTGCAGCCCTACCGCTGCCAGCACCTGGAGAAACCTGAGACCACCAGCACCTGCCAACTCAAGATCTGCAGCGAGTGGCAGATCCGGACCGACTGGACCTCGGTACGCAGGCAGGGCAGCCCGCTCTGCAGCTCCCTCTCCAGCTCCCACCACACTTTCCAGCCTCCCCCACCAAGACCTGAGATGGGTAACCCTGAGTTCCACAGGAGGGAACCCGTCCCGTGGGGGTCTGGACGGCTGTTTTTGCAAACCACAGGATGTACCAATAGTTCAATAGAGTTCAGGGTAGTGTGTGCCACCCACAGCCAACTTTATGAGTGAGCCCAGGGGGAGCCCTCTGATACTGGCCTCATCTGCTTTGTGAGTCATGGTGAAGTGAAGGTTGGCAACTGCTGGTAGAGCCAACTCCTTCCAATTTTCCCTACCCATTTTATAGCTGAAAAGACTGAGGCCTGGAAGAATAGAGTAGTGTCAGTCAAAATTAAGGCTGTTAAGGCAGAAATAATTTGATAAAAGATTTATTGGAAGCCAATGTAAGGATCAGCCCAAGAAGACACACGAACAACGTTGGACATGTTCCAAAGTCTGTTACAAGTTGAAAGGCTTTTAGAAGAAAGTTTAGGAGAGGAGACGGGGACCCCTTGAATCGGAGTTGTCTTTTTCATTGGAGGGTACAGCACAGAGGTTGCAATCACTGGCTACAGATGACGACATACAGGCTAAAATGTTTTAAGTGCAAGACAGTCAATAAAACTTCATGAGTCAGAAATAAATCAGCAAAACTTTATGACTCAGAAACAAACCAAACAAACCAGTGTCCTCTTCAATGTCCACAGGTTACGTATTAATCAGTATGTCAACAGTTTGAAGAATTCACAATAAGATTTGAGGAACTGACAATAATATTCTTTACTCTAAACAGGATGTAAGCCATGAATCCTAAGACCTTCTTCCCAGGCAACTTAGAACATAGTTTATTCTTCAAGGGCAGAGGTGCATGACTTAACCCCTTGCCTGCCATGGCGTTGGGTCCTGTTTATAATTTGGTATCTTATTGCCACAGAGAGTCCATTCTGTCAGTCTTATGATTTCTCCCTTAACATCAGTGCTGGTCGGTTGTGTCTAGACTGCAAAACGGAGGTGGTATGACAGGGTGTGTCCAACCTTCCATCCTGTCATGGCCAGGAAATCCATTTTTAAGGTTTCTCTGGGGGTCTCCTTGGCCAAGAGGAGGCCCATTCAGTCAGCTGGGAGGCTTAGGATTTTATTTTTAGTTTACAGTAGGCGAGGCATCTAAGAAGGTCTTGTAGAAAAGGGTTGTGGAGTTTTCTAGGGCTCAGATCCCTGCCCCAGCTGGTGACATGCATGACAGAGCCTCAGTCTCATGGGGCTGATCACAAAGGCTGCGGGCTCCATACTGGCAATTCTCTCCCAGAGCTGAAGCTGCTGGTTCCCCTGACGTCAGTGTGCTGTGTTTCAGTGCTCGGTGCCCTGCGGCGTGGGACAGAGGACCCGTGATGTGAAGTGTGTGAGCAACATTGGGGATGTGGTTGACGATGAGGAATGCAACATGAAGCTCCGGCCGAATGACATTGAGAACTGCGACATGGGACCCTGTGCCAAGAGCTGGTTCCTCACCGAGTGGAGCGAAAGGGTGAGTGTGATGGCGGGCAGAGCGCCGGGGACCGAGGTCTGCCAGGTGCCTCCAAAACCACACAAAGATGAGTCACTAGCTCAGAATCCCAAGACTGATTTCTGGCTCTGGGGGGAAAAAAAAGGCCCAGAGAGGAATTATCGTAGGCTTTCTATCCTTATGTGAGGACTGAGGGTCTCCAAAGGTGAGGAGGGTGTATGCAAAACTTGATTGAATTCTCCTTAGCACTCCATGTGGTCACTCCATAATACTAGGTGAAGTGAATCATTACATCCCATCGTTCATATGTCTTGTAAGTGCCTGGTGTCTCATAGACACTCAGCAATGGCAGGCCCCTCTACTGCTTTTTGCCAACTCAAAACATCCCACACCCCGTTCCCTCCCCAGTAGCCTGGCCTCCCATGGGAAGTCTCAGGTGTCAAAGAATAACTCAAAGGCATATATAGTCAACCATTAGCCCACCAGTTACCTGGATATAAGGGAAAACAGTCATATATTAAATTCATCCATCAAAGGCAAAAGGAGGATTTATATGAAAAGGGGTTTCTGCAGATGGAGTGATGTTGGTTACACAACAGCATGAATGCACCTAATGCCCTGGAGGTGTGGGCTTAAAAGTGGTTACGATGGTCAATTTCATGCTATGTGTATTCTACCACAATCAAAAATGAAGTTTGAGAAAAGACACTAAACAAATTGTAGAACATACCTTGGGACAGGGAGAAGAAAAGAGGAAGGAGATAAGGAATTGTGCTTCCTTTCCTGGTGGGATCGGCGCATTGGCGGGCATGGGATGGCCAGTCAGAGGGTTTGCCCAGGGCAGCTGCACAGCTGTGAGAGGCACCAAGTCCAGATTCTGGATTCTCTAGGAGATCTAGGGAGTTTACCTGGGATGAGGACATGATTGGCTATCTCTGACCTTGGTTAGCGGCCTACCTCTCGGATACACTAGTTCTGCCCCACTTCCCTTGCTAGAATCCCGTGCGTACACGTTACCTGTGAACCGCATTAAAGTGTAGGTCTGAGGCAGCAGGTGTGGGGAGGAGCCAGGGATTCTACATTTATTTTCTTTCTTTTTTTTAATATTTTTATATTTTTAAATTTTTATTTATTTATTTATTTATTTATTTATTTATTTATTTTGAGACCGGGTCTCATTCTATTGCCCGGGCTGGAGTGCAGTGGTGCAATCTCAGCTCACTGCAGCCTCGACCTGCTGGGATCAAGCAATCCTCCTGCCTCAGCACCCCCTGCCCCCCTCCCGCCAACGTAGGTGGGACTATAGGTGCGCGCCACCACCCCGGCTAATTTTTTGTATTTGTTTGTGGTTTCACCATGTTGCCCAAGCTGGTCTCAAACTCCTGGGCTCAAGTGATCTGCCACCTCGGCCTCCCGAAGCCCTGGAATTGTAGGCATGAGCCACTGTGCCTGGCCACAGCCTACATTTCTAATAGGTTCCCAGGGTCTCTGAGGCCACTGGTCCAAGGACCACACTCTGAATAACAAGGCCATAAAAAAGACAGAGGAGCCCAGCCATGTTCTTGGATCTTAGGAGACACGATGCAGCCCATGAGCCCCCACCCCGTCCCCACTCCCAGCATCATGAGAACAACAACCATAGTATCTCAGACTCAAAGAAGGACCCTTTCACGCAGTTTGGGGATATCAGCAGACATGCCCCATACGGCCACATTGGCTGACTCCAACTGGTCAGTGTCCATTCTGACCGGTCAATGGCCACCATGCACCTGTTATTGAGTATTTTGAATATCACCCCTAGAGGTGTTCACATAGGTTTTCTCTCCCTCTGCGGTGTAAGATGCCCCTTCATTTTGTCCCTCTATCACCATAACAATCCACTTCCACAGGGAGTGTTATCCAGAAAGAGAGGAAGGACAAACCTGCAAATGCAGCCTTCACTCCACCTCCAGAGATGGTCCTGGAGATTCTTACCTAGCGGCTCATCTTCTTGTGTGTTCCCCACACCTCATGGCATATGGCCCCTGCCCCTTAGGCCCACGATGGCCCCAGATGGACAGCCCTTGGTGCAAATACTGAGCTTCCAAGATGAGCATCTGACTGTGCCCCCAGTCCCAGGAGCAGACACTAATTTGGCCATCTGGGAGGCTCTAACCAAAGAGAAACAGATGGAGAGTAAGTGCTGATCTGGCCACTGACTCAAGCTTCTGCCCTAAAGCTGAGTCCAGGAGAGCTCATCCTAGTTCTTCGGTGTATCCCTATTTTCCAAGCCTCCCATCCCAAACATTAGCGCATGGTACTGCGGAAACAGTGGGGGAAGGTGTTTGTGAGCTCAGCCTCCTTGCCAGCATGAGGAATCCTCTGCAGTGCCCCTGACATAGGTCACAGCTCTTGCCCAAACCCTTTATCAGAAATTCACCCTGTGTCCAGACAATTACATCTATTTCTTGTACAGCTCAAGGTGTCAAGAGGTCTCCTTTTACAGTTAACCAAAGTGTTTCTTACTAAGTCCCACTGTCCTTTAGAAAAGGACAGCCCTACAGCCATTGGGGAACCCCTTCCACTTTCTCCAGGCTAAAAATATCTAGTTTCCTCAACTAATCCTTTTGTGCTTCAGTTTCTGAACTCATTCGTGTTCTCAGTAAACTTGATGGATTTCCTGTATCAGCAAATGGATGAAAAGAATGATGCTGGACTTTCATTTTTATATTGGAATGATTCTTTTTCTTAAAAATGTTGGCTTTTTTCTGGTTAAAAAGTAACACAGTATTGTTTTAAGAATATGAGAAATTTGGAAAAGTATGCTCCAAACCTCTTCACCAAAAGAAAATTTGAGATTAAGCTATACTTCAAGTTTTTTCTTCTCATACATACTTTACCTACATAGCTTTTTTTCCTCATACGTATTTTAAAGATATAAATGTATCTTTATATCATAATGTATGTATAATTTGGTCACCTCTTTTCACTTAATTATTATAAGCATAAAATCTTTAAAACATGATTTTTATTATAATAAGCTATAGAACTATATAACTGAAACAATCTCCTATTTCTAAATGTTTGGGATTTTCTAGTTTTTATTTTTATTTTTATTTTTATTTTTATTTTTGAGACCAGGTCTTGCTCTGTTGCCCAGGCTGGACTGCAGTGGCACAATCATGGCTCACTGAAGCCTTGACCTCCTGGGCTCTAGTGATCCTCCCTCCTCAGCCTCCTGAGTAGCTGGGATTACAGTTATAAGCCTCCATACACGGGTGATGTTTTACTGTTTAAAACAGAATATTTTAAAAGACTTCAGTAAGTGTTCTTGTGCATAAATCTTTATATGCACCTCTTCTTATCTCTGTAAAATAGTGGGGGCGTGGAATCATGTTAAATTATGGGAAAATATTATGAATGCTTTTTGAACTCTTAATACATTTTAGCTAATTGTTCTCCAGAAAGATTATTTCGGTGTAGTCTTCCAAGCAGCAACTGAGAGCGCTTTTACAGTCATTTTGTTGCCATGATTCTTTAGTTTGTAAATTCCATGTCTCTACATTTGCCACTCTCTGAAAAGGCAGGGGGCACAGAGCACAATACGTACAGAGAAAAAACAACTCTGTGGGGAAAATAGCTGCAGTGGTTCATTCCTCTGTGTGTCTCCCACATTTATTTAGAACAGTAAAAAGCTACATGTAAATTTTCCAAAGATTTCCACTCTACCTATTTCCTCTCCAATAATGACTTGCAGATTTCCCCTTAAAGTAATTTTGCTTTGCATTTCAACATAAGTTCTTGCCGAATCTAGCTTGGCTTAAAATTATAAATAGAGCAAAGAATGAGCACTTTATTCTATTCAGGGAACTCTTTCGTTCGTTTTGGAAAAGATGTTCTAAATCATGCAAGTTGGGTGCTATGGTGTAAGTAAATAATTTTTGCCTTATCTACCCTCAGAATAGATCATGAATTCTAAATGTTCATGCTTATTTTAGAGTAGATGAGTGGGAAGGGAGTACTATTGGGTTTAAGAAACGCACATTGGCTTTGGTATCATCTCCATGACCATCACTTATTTCGTATTTGACCCTGAGCCAGCTACTGATTCACCGAGCTTCAGTTTTTTCAACTGTAACATTGCTGAGTAACCGCTGCAGTAATATATTTGAAGCTATGACCTAGATGAGGTTGGCACAGTGGGAAGGATTTCCTGTGGGCTGCTTCATTCTTCTTCAGCTGCGTGTTACCAGGGGCCTTTGGGCCACCAGTTGGTCTTAGAAAAGGTTCAGCCCCTGGAATGACCAGCGGATGGCAGTCTTCCACTTTTGAATAGTTGCTTTGTGTAGAAAATGGCCTCGTTAAGCTTTAGTCTGAACTATGAAATTTTTTATTACTGGGAATAAACACGTGTTGAGCACCTGTTACATGCCAGTCATGAACGAGACACAGCTTCCGACTCAATAAGCTCAAGAGGGAGAGACCAAAGAAAATTAAAGTTCGCAAACACTTAAGAGTACAGAGTGTGTCTTATTGCCCAATTTAAAATTAATTAATCTTTACCTAAGTGAATTGAGGTTGTAACCCCAGTCTGAATCTTCTGTTAAACTTCTAGGGACACAAAGTTTCTTCTGGCTTAATGACTCACCTTAAAAACATCTTTTCAGCTGCTTGTACTTGAGAGTGGGCCTTATCAGAAGTAAGCATCGTTGACTTTTCAGTTCTACAAATCAATGATAGGTTTAAGCCCATGTGCAATTTTTAATCACAACAGGAAAAAAACACTTTTAGAAAGTCCACCAGCCTTAGTTTGGTAACACCTAATTTCTAAGAAAGTTTTCCAGGAAAAAAATACTGAATCATTTAAATTATAAGAAATGATGCATAAAGCTGAAGTTCAAGAATAGTCATTACAGCCTTATAGTCCCTTAGGGGCCAGTTGGGCCAAGTTTAGGATTTAACTGTTGCTGGAATGAGAAGGCAGTCCCCACCAGAGGGTTGCTTAGGAATTCCATGTGTTTCTGTGTTTTATCAGCCCAGAAGTTCAATTACGAGTCATGTCCTCTTCTGACTAGCAAAGCAGATTTGGTCCTTTTAGGAACATCCTTTAAGGACAGTGGGTGGGTGTGGTTTGGAGCCTCACCTGGAAGGTTAGTCCCCACTCCCTGGTAGGGACTTCTCCTTCCCCTTGCTTCTGCTGACAGGCTTCCTGGACCAGGTCGTGAGTGGGGAGCTCCTTTCATGTTTACACTTGTTGGGCTTTTCACTGAAGGTGTTGTAATAAAATGAAACTCCTCTACAGGCCTCATCCATGTGATGTCCTCCCATTGGGCACTGGCATGGTCCTTCATATTCTTCTTTTAAATTAGGTATATGGGGATGTGAAGACACTTTCCCAAATGTATGTGCATTACTTGGTTTTGAAAGCAGAAAATTAAGTTAGCTAGTCAGATGGAAATTACTTGGAAACAAGTAGCCTAAGGGTTGGAAACATGAAGATAACTGAAATTCTGTTTACCTTTTATTCTTTTTTTTTTTTTTTTTTTTGAGATGGAGTCTCACTCTGTCACCCAGGCTAGAGTACAGTGGCATGATTTCGGCTTACTGCATCACTGCAACCTCCACCTCCCGGGTTCAAGCGATTCTTCTGTTTCAGCCTCCCAAGTAGCTGGAATTACAGGTGCACACCATCATGCCCAGTTAATTTTTGTATTTTTAGTAGAGATGGGGTTTCACTATGTTGGCCAGGCTGGTCTCAAACTCCTGACCTCAGGTGATCCACCTGCCTCAGCCTCCGAAAGTGCTGGGATTACAGGTGTGAGCCACCACACCTGGCCTACATTGTATTCTTTACAAGAGTATTTAAATGTCTTGAGTTTTAAAGTTAGGAAGAAAACCAGATCATACATGGCTGAAACAAACAAACAAACAAACAAACAAACAAATCCTTTAGCCTAGAATATTCCAATTATTGTAACAAATTTTAAGCTAAAGGACTGAGTCATTGTCCCAGATTTCTAATAGCAATCTAGCAAAATAGCAAAGGACATGAAATATGCAAATAGCAAAATAGCAAAGGACATGAAAAATGTCTGCAAACCTGTAGGGGAGGAAAAATGTTTCCTCTGCATTCTTAGGTTCTCTGGCTGCAGTCTGTGAATTAAGCTGACAAAAGATTAACAGATAAAAAGCATACCAATTTTGTTTGATGTTAATATTTTTGTAGTGGCATGGGGGGCTTCATAGGAAAGAAGTGACAACCCCAGAGAAGCAGTTAGACTTGAGGGATTATATACCATTTTAACAAAGGGTGATAAACTATGGAGAAGTGATTAGACAAAGGAAAGGGGCTGGGGCTTCTAGGGACAGTAAATTGTGAGAAATTGACTAAGAAAAATATGGGGGAAATTGACAGAAGATAAGGGTCCTTTTATTAAAGTTTATTTGTGCAGACTTGTCTTGGAGTCAACTCCCCATCTCCAGTGATAAGAATCTTCTCTTCTTCCTAGCACTGGGAGGGCACCCTTCTCATGGGAAATTTATGCCCTGGTTTTAGGCAGAAATGGGGAAGGCAGAGAGCTCTTCCTGCATCTGCTATTTCTCAATAGCCTTCAGCTCAAAATAATCAACATGCCAAAGCAACATATTTTGGGGTGGCATGTTCTGATCCCCTTCAAGCCCTTTGCTCCAGAGGGAGTTTCTTCCCTAAGGGGTCAAGCCCAGCTTAGCAGTGGAAAGGTAAATGTTTGATCGCTCATGCTGGCATGTGATTTTACAAGACTAGATGTCAGCATACAAAAATGAAAGTGGAAATTTTGATAAGGAAATGAGGTTGTAAGGATTGTTTTTCCCTTTTCTCAATTTTTATTTAAATTCTATTGCTTTATTTTCTAAAATAATACGGGTAGAACTCAAACATTGACTCTATTTTTAAGAAAAGACCCAGAAACCCTTAGAAAGGGCTTTGGTCATGTGCTAAAGGGCCACGTCTAGGATTAGAAAGTGCTAATAGATAAGAGAAATGAACAAGGCAGGGCCCAAGTCTATATGCAACTGATATTCATGGATTTACTCATGAATAAGACACTGACCTGAGAAAGAATTAGAGATGATTCGTTAGTTCCTGCTCTCACCAAGCCTGCTTCAGCAAAGACAAAAAAAAAAAAAAAAAAAAAAAAAAAGACAGGACACAAATAACCATAATACAAAGGCAGGAAGCAGCACATAGAGTGCCATGAGAATTCCAAGGCTTGAAAGAACATCTTAAATTGGACACTCAAGATAGTCTTCACAGAGGACAGAGGAGAAGGTATTTGAGGTGAGCCTTAAAGGCTTCTGATCTGTCCAGTGAAGGGAAAGAGCATTCTGGGTGGAGGGAATGACAGGGGCAAGGGCTCTGTGAGCCTTTTATGTGATCAGGGAATAATAGCCACTCTGAGTCTGTCCAGAAGGAGGTATGGGGGATAGGATAATAGGAAATTAGTCTAGAAGAATTGGGTCAATTGGGGCCATATTATAGAAAACCCTTAATGCTAGAAGTCCATATGTGACTTCTGTTAGGAATGGGATAACTTCAGAGGGAATTTTTAGCATGGAGTTCTCAACACCTGGCAGCCCAATGCATTGGAAAAGCTGGTGAGGTTGAGCAAGAAGCTACAGCCACAGTCCAGGGTAAGAAAGTAAACTGTGCTGGGAACCATGGATGGAAAGGGGCAAGACAGGTTAGAGAAATGTGGCAGAACTAGAGTCTGTGAGACCTAATGATTGTCTAGATGTTGGAAGCAAGAGGGTAGGAGAATAGTCAACTTTTAAATCCAGGTAGAAACTTGAAAGCAAATCAGAAAAATAAAAGGAGGAATGGTAACGGTGGTGAAGGTGTACATGCTGGATTCAAGGTATCTGTAGGACACCCAGATAAGGACGCCCCAAAAATGTTTGAAAAGATAAAGTTTAGGTGTGGTGGCACACACCTGTAATCCCAGCACTTTGGGAGGCCGAGGCAGGCGGATCTCTTGCGCTCAGGAGTTTGAGACCAGCCTGGGCAACATGGCAAAATCCCGTCTCTACAAAAAAATACAAAAATTAGCTGGACATGGTCGTGAGCACCTGGAGCTACTCAGGAGGCTGAGGTGGGAGGATCACTTGACCCCAAGAGGTTGAAGCTGCAGTGAGCTGAGATCACGCCACCTGGGTGATGCAATCCTATCTGGGTGACAAAGCGAGAACCTGTCTCGAAAAAAAGAAAAGACACGATAAGATGAGAACCAAAATAAGGGCACATTCCAACGTATGGCAAGACAGATGGAAAATGCTCTATGAGCTTTGGGCTGTGACTCAGGAATGTTTTCACTGTATCCTAGGAGAGGACAGTGTGATTGTAGTAGAAAAATCACTAATAGATATTTGGCTTTAAGTGAAGATTTTATCCCTATGAGGCTTAGTTTCTCTATCTTGGAGTGGGAATGTAGGGGTTGAAGCCCCTTATACCATTTACTGGGCACCTCCCATCTGCAAAGCACATTATACAGTCTCCATAGCCCTGTCAGAAATGTGTTTCTATGCCAGTTGTCTAGATGAGCATGCCAAAGGTAGGAGGGGCTGGGTCACTTGCTCCAGGCCGCACAGCTAGTGAGGATATCAACACTGATGTACCTGGTTCCAAAGCCAAGCTCTCCCTCTATACCAAGCTGTCTCCCAATCCCCTCATAGCTGTGACCTTCAGAGACTGGAACAATTTGCCTTAATATCAGGCAGCAACATTGAGGTGACAGACTTAAGTCCCCCTATTTTTCCAACCCAGACTTGGCTACTAGCAGGTAGAAATATGCCCAGGTTTTCATGCACCCATTCTTCTTCAGCTGAATATATATATATTTTTTTATTTTTATTTTTAGAGACAGGGTCTTCTCACTCTGTTGCCCAGGCTGGAGTGCAGTCGTGCAGTCATAGCTCAGTGTAGCCTCAACCTCCTGGGCTCAAGCGATCCTCCCACTTCAGCCTCCCAAAGCTCTGGTACCACAGGCGTGAGCCACAATACCCGGCCAAGCTGAATATATTTTTGAAAGCAAAAGCTGGGAAGGATAGTCTAACAAGTATAAGTGTATTAATTGCAGTGGCAAGATTGGATATTTGGAATTTGGAATGAAGCCCAACCCAGAAAATCTAAGACAGAGAATTGCCATACTGATATCTCATAATGGAGTAGGCTATGCACGAGAAGCTGCCAGATATTTCTAGGGGAAACAGACGGCAGGAAAATGAAGCATTCCATCCTCCTTTCCATCATTTGAAAGTGGCTTCAGCAGCTGCCAGGGCCTCCTGACTAATGTGCCCTTCCCCTGTCTCACAGTGCTCAGCGGAGTGTGGGGCCGGAGTGCGGACACGCTCGGTGGTGTGCATGACCAACCATGTCAGCAGCCTGCCCCTGGAGGGCTGTGGGAACAACCGGCCGGCAGAGGCCACCCCATGTGACAACGGACCCTGCACGGGCAAGGTGGAGTGGTTTGCCGGGAGCTGGAGTCAGGTGAGTGGCCAGAACTGGGTATGTCTGCCTGTGTCAGGCAAAAGGCAGCATACCAGAGGGGTTAGGAACCAGGACTTTGTGTCAGGTGTCCCAGCTTTGAATCCCAGCAGTGCCACTGTCTATCTGTGACCCTGGAGAAGCTATTTATATTTCTGGAGCCTCAGTCAGTCAACAGTATTCATTGAGCACCTACGGTGTGCTCATCTAAGTACTTGGGTTACATCAGTGAGCAACACAAATATCTCTGCCCTCAGGGGGCTTATGGCCTAGCATGCTTTCCTCATCTATACAATGCTGGCAGTGATGGTACCTTATGAGGTTATTTTTAGAAGAAATGAAATTGTGTACATAAAGTATGTAGCACAGTGCCTGACACAAAATAAATGGTGGCTGCTGCTATTATTCCTGTTAATAAAGCCAGTTTTTCTGTATTTGACAGTATCAGAAGCAGAAATTTTAAAAGTTGGAATTGTTCATTATGAAGAATAAATAATACTGAATACTTTAATAATTGATGAATTACATTTTCCCTCACTCTTCCAAAATTGAACGTGAACCCCACTAAGAAAATGTGGAAATGACTGCCTTGGTTTGATTATCATCAGTATTGGAGTTCTTGAGCCACTTAGCATTTGGCTCCCAGGGCTGGCTGGTTCTCCAAGGACTGTTTGGCTTATGATCATGATTTACACATTATCAAGACCTCTGGCTCCATATAGAATTTTATTTCTTTTAAGTAGCATTAAAAACTGACCTTGGAAAAAAATGCACTGCCTTATCCTTGTAAATTGACACAAGCCCTTGGGAAAGCAATTTGGCAATAAAAGTCAGGAACCATAAAAATGTTCCTTTGCCTTAACCCAGTCACCCCACTCCTGGGGATTCATTTTAAGGAAATAATTAACAAAAGAAAAAAAACAGCCTTTTTCAACAGAGATGTTCATGACAGCAGGATGGTTACAGATATTATGGCATATCATAACTCAGTAAAATATAAGGTGACAATGACAGCGATCGTTAGGAAGATGTGAAAGTGCATGTGGTATAATGGCAAGTGAGAAATAGAATGTGAAAATATTCAAACCCTATCATCTCTGCCACTTCAATGTAGAGTTTTTATGCAAAAAGCATAGGGAAATGTTTTTCTATTCAAATTCCCTTTAATGTTTTTTAAAATATAGAGAATTCAGAAAGAATTCAAGTACTTCCAGTGCTACTCTGGTGAATATCAAAGTTAGACACATTTGCTAACTGATCCCAGCTTGACTTCTCATGAGTTTTCTGGCTCTAGGTGAGTGATTTAACCTCTCTGAGCCTGTTTCCTCATCTGAATATGAAGGTAATCATATCAACCTCTTAAGGTTGTTACGAGGTTTTCATAAGATGCTATACATAAAGAGAATTACCCATTGCTTGGGATATGGGAAACACTTAATAAATATTGGTTCCCATCTCTCTATGTTTATTTTTTCTGCCAGCTATTTCTATCTCATTACTGGTAGTAAAATACATAGGACCTAAACCCCAAAGATAATTCAGCAGCGACTGTATATAGGACACCAATTATACCAAATATCCATAGATGTGTGAAATCATATCAGATCATTACAGTCACACACGTGAAGATAAGCAGTACAATCGAACTCATATGTCTACCATTCTTAGAAGAGAAGGGAGCAGGATTCAGGGCCTTTTTTGCTTGTGGCTTCCTATTGACTTTAGACCTAAGCTTAAAGAACCAAGGGTGGTATGAACCCTGGCAAAGACAACCTTTATTTCTGCTAAGATTAGAAACAAAGGATTTGTTGCCCTGTTGTCCAAAAGGGTCAAGATACAATTGAATGTGGCCAAGGGTTTTGGTTCTGGATTTATAAGGATGTCAGGGCCTGCTGGAAATTCCCTGCCCTAGGAATTTGACATTATCCCCAAAGAAAATGAAATAAGAGCATGCTTATTTCTTGAAAGGTAAGTTTTAAACATTAACTGGCTTCAGAATATAAAAATAAATGTTCCTTCTCACCATATGGGTTGAATGAAAGTTGGTATTTCGAATACCCCACCAGCCTGGTCACAGTGATTAGTCCAGGAGTAGACATGTGATCCAACAGGTGGATGTGTGACCCAAGCTGAGCCACAGAATCCTTCCCAAGGACATTTCATTTGTGTTTTAGGGAAGAGACTCACTAAGAGGTTGTGAGCTCAAGGGCTGGCAGTGGCCCTACTGAGGCTTGTGCAAAAAGCCAGTCTGAGAGAATGAGACCTAAGTCCATGGAGAGGCAGAGACCAAGGAGTTTCTGGCTTTAGAGTCTTTCTGACTCCACCAAGAAAGGAATATATTCCATTTCTGCTGCTTCCCAGATCCCTGGAAACTAACTAGGAGTATATCAAGCTTAGGGAGTCTTTTTCTACTCTGGAGGCACAGTAGCCCAACTCTTACTCATGAGAGTCTACCAAGTCTATTATTTATGCCCAGAATTATTTCCTTTCTTCTCTATCAATTCTGAGTTTACTGCAACCTTAGATTGTCTTAGTTCCGGGGAGATCTGTCACAGTCTCTAGTCTTCAGGAGCAGCCATTTTGTCTGCCTCTGGGTCTGGATTGCATTTTATTGATTGCATTTATTGCAATAGATATATTTATTCTCATCTCTTCGCGAATCAGTGATCCACAAAAGTGCAACTGCAGGAATTCTTTAGGTACAGAAACATGCCTAATTGCCATCACTTCTCACTGAAAGCATTTATCCCTATTAAATATTACTTTTTCTCATGTGTGCTTTTCTCTGTGGATTACATTTTATCTACTATTTGAATTACTCCATCTTGTTTCTTATTGTTGATTTTCACCTGATGTATCTTCATCAATTTCTTAATTTTCAAACGTTCTATGTATTTTTAAGGTATGTCTTTCAGGACTATTTTTGTCTTTATTTTTACCCAATCTATAAACCTCTGTATTTTAAGAGTTAAATTTTAACCATTTATATTTATTGTAATCACTTATATGTTTGGACTTTTCCCTACCATCTTATTTTGTGTTTTCTATTTTCATGCTTTCTTGCTTCTTTCCTCTTTCCTTTCAACATGCTTGTTATTAGTCAGGTTTTCTTAATTCCATTTTTTCCCCTCCAACATTTTGGAAGTTATAAATCTTCTAGTGGTATTTCTTCTGTGATAAGATTCAAATTTTTAGCACAGAATTTTAAACTTTTATGTCTCCATTAGTGTCAAGTTATCAGTGACCACATCCTCTCCTAAAAGAAAATAGAAGCCTTCCCCTTTTATTTACCTCCACTCTCTCAATCTACAATATCTCCAAAAAGATGTTGATATTATCTGGATCTAGCTCCAGATTAATGTTAATTTTATAGAAAATATAGATTTAAATTTTAAAATAGTTTTCTGCTTTCCCCCCAAAGATTTTTTTATTGAAATATAATTCACGTACCATAAAATTTACCCTTTAAAAATATAGAATTCATTGGTTTTTAGTAAATTCACAAAGTTGTACAACCATATTCAGCATTATCCAATTCCAGCACATTTTTATCATTCCAAAAAGACACCTGGCATCCATTAGTAATAACGGCTTTTATTGGTGTCTTTGCCAGCTCCTTCTTTTATGTCCTGTGTCTTCTTCCTGGTTCTTTTTTATTTTGCTAAAGACTATAACCCAGGAAGTCTTTCAAATAGGATTTGTAAGTGGTAAGGTTTCTGAGCCCTTGAATACCTGAAAATGACTTCATTTTGCACTTTGACACGAATGCTTCTGGCAGATGACTCACTGCTTCCTCTTCCTTGGCACAGTCAGGCCAGCCCGGCTGCTCTTGGCCAGTAACTCAGCTGATCACTCATTGTCCTGAGGCCTCCATCCTGATCTCCATGTCCACCACCAATATAGCCTGAAGCACATGAGTTTTGCTAGAGCTCCTCCTCTGTGTGCATTTGGACTATAGTTTCCTTCTTCAATTTGATCTCATCTGTCTTTCATTGTTCAAAGATTCCCCATAATTTCTGGTCCATCAAGGCTGATTGCCCTTTCTTGTCTTCAAATGCTGTCTCATGCGCGTGTGCAAACACACACACACACACACACACACACACAGAGATAGAGATACACACACATGAACACATTCATTCACTTTCCAGACGCACATATTCTGCCATTTCTGAGCATTTACAGTAAGAGAAGGCTGAGACGGGCTCATTCTCCCTGAAGTACACAATCTCTTCAAGGACTTGCCAAAAATAGCAGAAGATAACTACAAGTTTTGATCAAAGTTTGCAGTCTTCTGTTCTGCCACACACTTAGTACAGATGTAGGATCTCATAGCATTGAGGGGTCTTTCAGATTATGTTTTCAAACCCCTCACTTTCTCTTTTCAGATAAGACCACAGCGACCTGGGAAAGTGCAACGTCTTAGCCAAAGACACAGAACTATTTAGCGACACTGTCTAGACTCTAGTTTCCATGTCTCCTGACTTCAGTCTAGTGTTCCACCCCTGCCGCCCACCCCTGCCCCATCCTCATTCCTCCTGCAGGAGAGGCCAGACCTTTGCCTGCTGCAGCTTGTGGCTCTTCTCCTGCCTTCAGTTCTTCCATTGCCTGCAGCACTTGAAAGAAAAGGACAAGACACGAATACACTCCAAATCATAAACTAACATGGAAGAAAATAGGAGAAACAGAGTGGGAAATCTTATAGTTTTTTTTTGGCTGGGCACAGTGGCTCACGCCTATAATCCCAGCACTTTGGGAGGCCAAGGCAGGCAGATCACTTGAGGTGTCAGGAGTTTGAGACCACCCTGGCCAATATGACAAAACCCCATCTCTACTAAAAATACAAAAATTAGCCAAGCATAGGGGCTCACACCTGTAGTCCCAACTACTTAGGAGGCTGAGGTAGGAGAATTGCTTGAACCTGGGAGGCAGAGGTTGCAGTGAGCCGAGATTGCACCACTGCACTCTAGCCTGGGCAACAGAGCAAGACTCCATCTCAAAAAAAAAATTTTTTTTTAGTAAAAAAATCCCGTAGTTTTTTAATGCTACGAAGATGGCAAAAAAGAAGACATAGACAAAGCAGAAACTGATGGCCTCTGCTATTTCATGCCCTGTGTGACTACTTCATCATTTGTTGGTTTGGGGGTTTTATAATTTTTTTTTTCTGTAGATGCGTGTTTTTCTTTCTCTCTATTTTTATTTGATTGTGTGGCTGCCTATGGACAGCAAAGCTAATATTTAGAGTTTGAACTGCAGACATTGTTGCAGGCTTCTTATAAAGGTAGTCGATTCTTTAAAGTCTATAATAAAGTACATAGACCACAGCTTTACAACTTTAAATCAAAAAGTATTAAGAGGCTGGGCACAGTGGCTCACGCCTGTAATCCCAGAACGATGGGAGGCCGAGGCAGGAGGATTGGTTGAGGCCAGGAGTTCAAGACCAGCCTGGGCAATATAATGAGACCCTGTCTCTAAAAACAAATTTTTTTTTTTTTAAACAGAGTCTTGCTCGTCACCCAGGCTGGAGTGCAGTGGCACGATCTTGGCTCACTGCAACCTCTACCTCCCAGGTTCCAGTGATTATCTTGCCTCAGCCTCCTGACCCCAGGCGATTTGCTCACCTTGGCCTCCCAAAGTGCTAGGATTATAGGAGTGAGCCACCGCGCCTGGCCCCCGTCTCTAAAAAAAATTGTTTTAATTAGTCGGGCAAGGCCTGGCATGGTGGCTCATGCCTGTAATCCCAGCACTTTGAGAGGCCGAGGCAGGCAGATCATTTGGGTTCAGGAGTTCAAGACCAGCCTGGGCAACATGGCAAAACCCCATCTCTACAAAAAAATACAAAAATTAGCCAGGTGTGGTGACATATGCCTGTAATTCCCAGCTACTCTGGAGGCTGAGGTGGGATGATCACTTGAGTCTGGGGAGTGGAGGTTGCAGTGAGCCAAGATCACTCCGCTGCACTCCAGCCTGGGTGACAGAGTGAGATCCTGCCTCAAAAAAAAAATAAATAAATAAAAGAACGAATGAACCAGGCAAGGCAGTGCACACCTGTGGTCCCAGCTACTCTGGAGGCTGAGGTGAGAGGACCACTTGAGCTCAGGAGGTTGAGGCCGCAGTGAGCCATGATCACACCACTACACTCCAGCCTGGGTGACAGAGTGAGACCTTGTCTCAAAAACAAGGAAAAATATTGAGTAAACCAAACATGAACAAAAAACATTTTGCAAAGTAATAGATACTAAATGGGATGATTTATCAGCAAACAGTTGTATGCATTTTATTTCCATAAACTAATGAAATGAACCAACATATGTAATTGCCTGGCTTCTTTGTGGGGTCACTACCCCATGGTGCAGATTTCAGCACCACATTAGGAAACAAGAAGATTGGGCTCTGTAGTCACAGTTCCCGCTGGCTGCCCTGTTGGAAGGGGAGGGTTGACCATAGGGTACATTTTCCCAAGTCTTAGGTCTTCTCCTCAGCTTTGGGTGTTCACAGGTGTGCAGAGTGTAGGAGTTCATTCAGTCACAGTATCCACCTCCTAAGAGAATAACAGATAAGAATGTCAGTTCATTGTCTTGCCTCCTGTGAGAGGTGCCAGAGTCTATGGGACAGAGACAACCAAATGACCTGGCTGGTGTGTTCCTGCAGGAGAGTTTATGGTAAACTGTTTCCCTCTCAGCACAGAAGACAACAAGATCTTAGTGACTAGCATCCTCCAGGTATGACAATCAGGGCACCTAGTCTGCATTTGGAGACAGAACTGTTAGGAAACTGCATTCCATATGCCATTTCTCCTCCAGAAACATTTCCAAGTTCTCCTGGGTTCTTCCTCCTAGAATTGGTGGTAGAATTGACGGTGCCCGTCATAAGCATCCCTTGATGGACAGTAGCTGCCACCCCCTTTCCATCATGTGACACTCATCTTTTTCTGCTTCTTTCTGCAGTGTTCCATCGAGTGTGGGAGCGGGACGCAACAGAGGGAGGTGATTTGTGTTAGAAAGAATGCAGACACCTTTGAAGTGTTGGACCCCTCTGAATGTTCTTTCCTGGAGAAACCCCCCAGCCAGCAATCCTGCCACCTCAAGCCTTGCGGAGCCAAATGGTTTAGCACCGAATGGAGCATGGTAAGTCATGGTGCTCTTGATGGAGGTTGCATTGGCACAACGTCCCCCACCTGAACTCCTATAGACCCCTCTGGGCCAGGCACTGGGTTCAGCCCTGAAAGAGATTCCCTACAGCAATCTACCTTAGGTGGTAGCTGCTGGAGTACCCCGTGACTCAGCCTGCTTCGTGGGGAAGGCCTGAGACCTAGATGATCTTGCTTTCTAAACTGTAGAAACAGTGACTCTCACACTTCAGTGTGCATAGGAATCATCTGAGGATCTTGTTTGACAAGACCAACTCTGGGCCAACTGTGGCCGAGGATTTGCATTTTTAGCAAGTTCCTGAGGTGTGTTGGATGGAGTTGTCTTTGTACTGCATTTTGAGCAATGCTGCCATAGAGGATTGAGGATTCAAGGGTGCTGTTAAAAGAACTACATCTGATGCCAGGCGTGGTGGTTGACACCTGTAATCCCAATACTTTGGGAGGCCAAGGTGGGAAGATCACTTGAGGCTAGGAGTTTGACACCAGCCAGGTCAACTAGCAAGAACCCATCTCTGAAAAACATTTTTTTTAATTACTACATTACACAAACACACACGCACACACTCTCTGTGTGTGTGTGTGTGTGTGTGTGTGTGTGTACACTTTTTAAAAATCCTATAGACATTCTGGATTATGGATTGTGGGACTGATTCTGTTTTCTGTTTGAACTGGCTACTAGGAAGCGCAAAGCCAAAATTATGCCTCACCTAGTATACCAGATCCTGCAAAGTGGATTTTATGTGCTAATATTCCTGTGGCTTCTCTTTCTTTTTCCTACTTTTATCTTCCTTTAGTACTAGTTTTCTCACTTTTTTAAAATCTTGTGGCCCTCTAAGTCTTTCTCAAGTCATTTCAAATCCTTTTTGTAAGGAGGGAAATAGTGTGTAAATGAAGAAAGAGAGAGATTGATAAATACAGAAATAAGTTATTAAGAAATGAAAGGGGAAAGGATGGATATAGTGATAAGATTCATTTTTTTCAAGTTGAAGAGTTCATTTTCAAGAAACTTCCTAAAACAGAAAACCTCCTCACCATCATTCCAGGTGACCAGAAAACCTCCTGAGGGCCCCATCCCAGGTGACCATTGGCGTAGTTCTGTGGGTTGGGGTGGGAAGTGGAGGAAGGGTCATTCTGCTTCTCATCACTGAAGATCTTCAAGCAGAGGCTGTAGTGAGCCCAGAGTAGGGGGGCCAGAGCCTTTCTCACAGTGATCCAAGGGTGATAAAAGGGAATTTTGCTTAGAAAATATATGAATAAAAGCTGAGAATTCCATTTCCAAAAAGTGTCTGTCTGCTCTAGTGATAACAGCCATTTGGCTGTGTAGCAAACCACATCTCAGAGGTAGATGGGAATGAAGGAGGTGGGTTGAAAGGTTTCTGGCAACTTCTGGGAAGTGGAATTTAATTATTTTGATGTTGACCAAGGCTTGAGGATACAATAACAGATCGCAGTTTTCTTTTGTCATCTGATTTGGAGAGTCTACAAAGAGCCATGCTCACCAGGCCAAGTTGAAGGAGACAAACTTCAAAAACACCCCAAATGTCCGTCAGCAGGTGAACGGACAAACCATGGTGCATCCACACAGCGGAACAAAAAACTCAGCCACAAAAATATGGATGAACTTCCGGTGCGTTTTGCTAAGTAAAAAAAAAAGCCAGGTTCAAAAAACTACGTGTTGTATGAGTCCATCTATATAATATTCTGTAAAAGGAGCAGCTACAAACGCCAAATCAGTGCCTGCTGGAGGATGGGGTGACCACATCTGTGCAATCTGACCGTAGAGGGGCAGCATGGGAATTTTTTGTCTGCAATGAAAATATTTCGTGTCTTGTTTGCGGTAGGAGATACACAACTGTATGAATTTGTCAAAACTGATAGATGTGTATACCACAAAAAGGGACATTTTTAGATGCAAATTTAGAAAATATGAAGTAAATGGTTACTATAATAGCAAAGACTGATGGAAGCTAGACTTCTTTGAATGTACCTTGTTTTACAAATTTGAGTTTGGAACTAAGTAAATATTTTAGATAATCATAAAAGAAAATTAAGTTTTAAAAAAGCAATCCCCCAGAACTGAAAATACAATGAAACAAATTAATGTAAATATGTTTCTAGTTGGTGGCATCAGCACTATTGCAAGTGACTTGAATACATAGTAATTTGACATTCTATCCCTAAAAAAAATTACTGCAGAAGAATGTTCACACTGTTTGCAATTATCCTATTTTTGGTGATAGTGTTGTGCTGGATATGATGATTGGGCATATAATGTGTGAGAAGGTAAATGAGTAATTAGATGATAGTATAATTCTGTTAGCCCCAATATCCTTGAGAAGTAGGATGTTCAAACTTAGGAGAAAGTAGATACAGATACAAGATAGATATTGTATGGCTTAAGTCCGCAATAAAAAGCCTGTTGTCCTGAATTTGAATTGGAAGTGTCAGTATAAACTTAGAAATTATCTCTCTAAAAATCTTTTCTAATTTCACCCACTGAAAGAGTCTAGAATCAGTGACCAATCTCGGGATTCAGAGGGGGTGGCCGCTTCCAGATCTGGGGCAGCATATATGTAAGTTAGGTTGGGATATCTTTTTCTAGCAGGCAGCAAGGAAGTTCTTAAACACAACAGAGCTCATGTCCAAAGCATCCCAGAGCCAACTTGTAGAGGCTCCTGTGAGCCATTGAGCATCAGTAAGAATAATAATACCATAGATTAGATGAAACACATTATATGTGTTTAAATCCATCCATTTACAATGAAGTTTATAATACTTTAAAAAACTGATAAGTCATCATCATAGGATGTTAGGGAACCAACTTATTATTATGAAAACCCGTAAATGAAGGGAAAGATTCAAGTGTTTATGCTTTCTTTCTTAAACGACATACCACTGGGTAACCAAAGAGTAAAGGTGCTGAGGGAATATGATAGAATTAGAATTAGAATTCTAAACTCCCTGTAAACTGATGGATCTGAGCATTGCACATCAGTGGCCACTAACATCCCCAAAAGAGAGGCAGCCCCCCGGAAGTAGTCTCACAAAAAAAACCAAAAAAAAACCCTGCACCTGTTAAGGCCTCTTTTAGGTCCAACTTCCAATGTTCAGGAGATATAGAGCATAGAGGAACACGAATTACACCGTGGGAGCACAGTCAGCAAAATCCAGACTATGGGCAACTGCAGAACAAATGACTCAGTTCCACCCCACCACCGCAACCAAAAACTTTTTAAGTGCAAGAATGAAAAAGACAGTGGAAGGGAAACCTATGGATTGAAAGAGTTGTGAGAGACTTATTGACCAATTGCAACTTGCAGACCTGACGCAGATCCTGATTTTTTTTTTTTTTTTTTTTTTTTGAGACAAAGTCTCACTCTTGCCCAGGCTGGAATGCAGTAGCACCATCTCGGCTCACTGCAACCTCTGCCTCCCAGGTTCACGCCATTCTCCTGCCTCAGCCTCCCAAGTAGCTGGGACTACAGGTGCCCACCACCATGCACGGCTAATTTTTTTGTATTTTTAGTAGAGACGGGGTTTCACCATGTTAGCCAGGATGGTCTCGATCTTCTGACCTCCTCAGCTTCTGACCTGCTCTGCCCGCCTCTGCCTCCCAAAGTGCTGGGATTGCAGATGTGAGCCACTGCGCCCAGCAATCCTGATTTTTAAAGGAAAAAAAATCTGTATTAAAAAATCTTGGCTGGCTGCCCGGCCAGCCGCCCCGTCCGGGAGGGAGGTGGGGGGGTCGGCCCCCCGCCCGGCCAGCCGCCCCGTCCGGGAGGGAGGTGGGCGGGGGGTCAGCCCCTCTGCCCGGCCAGCCGCCCCGTCCGGGAGGTGAGGGGCGCCTCTGCCCGGCCGCCCCTACTGGGAAGTGAGGAGCCCCTCTGCCCGGCCAGCCGCCCCGTCCGGGAGGGAGGTGGGGGGTCAGCCCCCCTGCCCGGCCAGCCGCCCCGTCCGGGAGGGAGGTGGGGGGGTCGGCCCCCCGCCCGGCCAGCCGCCCCGTCCGGGAGGGAGGTGGGGGGGTCGGCCCCCCGCCCGGCCAGCCGCCCCGTCCGGGAGGGAGGTGGGCGGGGGGTCAGCCCCTCTGCCCGGCCAGCCGCCCCGTCCGGGAGGTGAGGGGCGCCTCTGCCCGGCCGCCCCTACTGGGAAGTGAGGAGCCCCTCTGCCCGGCCAACCACCCCGTCTGGGAGGTGTGCCCAACAGCTCATTGAGAACGGGCCAGGATGACAATGGCGGCTTTGTGGAATAGAAAGGCGGGAAAGGTGGGGAAAAGATTGAGAAATCGGATGGTTGCCGTGTCTGTGTAGAAAGAAGTAGACATGGGAGACTTTTCATTTTGTTCTGCACTAAGAAAAATTCCTCTGCCTTGGGATCCTGTTGATCTGTGACCTTACCCCCAACCCTGTGCTCTCTGAAACATGTGCTGTGTCCACTCAGGGTTAAATGGATTAAGGGCGGTGCAAGATGTGCTTTGTTAAACAGATGCTTGAAGGCAGCATGCTCGTTAAGAGTCATCACCAATCCCTAATCTCAAGTAATCAGGGACACAAACACTGCGGAAGGCGGCAGGGTCCTCTGCCTAGGAAAACCAGAGACCTTTGTTCACTTGTTTATCTGCTGACCTTCCCTCCACTATTGTCCCATGACCCTGCCAAATCCCCCTCTGTGAGAAACACCCAAGAATTATCAATAAAAAAAATAAATTTAAAAAAAAAAAAAAAAAAAAAGAATGGACTTTCCCAGGCCAGCTGTGGTGGCTCACGACTGTAATCCCAGCACTGTGGCAGGCCAAGGCGGGCAGATCACCTGAGATCAGGAGTTCAAGACCAGCCTGACCAACACGGAGAAACCCCGTCTCTACTAAAAATAAAAAAAATTAGCTGGGCGTGGTGGTGCATGCCTGTAATCCCAGCTACTTGGGAGGCTGAGGCAGGAGAATTGCTTGAACCCAGGAGGCAGAGGTTGTTGTGAGCTGAGATTGCACTATTGCACTCCAGCCTGGGCAACAAGAGGGAAACTCCATCAAAAAAAAAAAAAAAAAAAAGGACTTTCTCAAAGAAAATGTATTTAAATGTCTGCACCAATAATTCCAGCATGTGTATGAATAAATATGATATGTCCTTTAAAAAAAAAAAAAAAAAAAAAATCTTGGCTGGGTGCAGTGGCTCACGCCTATAATCCCAGCACTTTGGGAGGTCGAGGTGGGCAGATCACCTGAAGTCAGGAGCTTGAGACCAGCCTAGGCAACATGGCGAAACCCCGTCTCTACTAAAAATACAAAACTTAGCCAGGTGTGGTGGCATGCACCTGTAATCCCAGCTACTGGGGAGGCTGAGGCAGCAGAATTGCTTGAACCTGGGAGGTGGAGGTTGCAGCAAGCCGAGATCACGCCACTGCACTCCAGCCTGGGTGACAGAGCAAGACTCCATCTCAAAAAAGAAAAAAATCTATAGGATTCGCAAGATAAGTGGAAGTAGGAACACTGAGTCTATATTGAAGAGAATAAGAAATTATTGTAATTTCTAGGGAGAATAATGATACTGTGGTAATTGTTAAGAGTTCTTGTCTTTTAGAGCTACAGCCTGAAGTATATGGAAGAAGTGATCAGATGTCTAGATTTGCTTCAAAATAGTGGGAGGAGCAGGAGGGCTGGGGATATGGATAGGACACACCTGGCATGAGTTGCTGATTGTTGAAGCTGGTTGATAGGTACATGGGAGTTTGTTTTCATATTCTGTCTCCTTTTGGAAATGTTTGAGATTTTCCAGTGTCTTCTTTCTCCAGTGTGCTGAGCTATTGGTCTGCCCAAAAATCTGATGTTTTCCCTTTGTTCCCATGCAGTGTTCCAAGAGCTGCCAGGGTGGCTTTCGGGTCCGGGAAGTGCGGTGTCTGTCTGATGACATGACTCTAAGTAACCTCTGTGACCCTCAGTTGAAACCAGAAGAGAGAGAATCTTGTAACCCTCAGGACTGTGTCCCTGAAGTTGGTAAGTAGAGATTTCAATCATGGGGGAAAGGTTTGTGTTTTTTAAGCTTGTCAGATTCTCCGGTGTGACAATAACAAGCCTCTTCTAGGTCTTTCTGTGACCTTGCACACAGTCATGGAGTTCAGAGGGTTGAGGTGCTTTTGGTATTATAAATTTCATGGTTTAAGATGATCATTCATAGCGAGGATGGCTGTCTAAGCCACCCACCAAGAGACACACTTTAGTGTGGATTGATTAAAATGGTAATGCCTTCAAAGATTTGGCTCTATCGTCCTTAAGGTCAAAGTAGTAAAATGTCAACTTTTAATTGTAGGTGCAAACCAGTGTAGGCTGGACCATGTGGGGAGATTCTGGGACCTTAGCAGGGAGTTGGCAGAGAAGGGAGGAAGGGGAGGAGGCCAAGAATTGGTAGAGACAGTGATGGAGGGTCTGACCATCTCTCAGAGGGGCGTAGTGCAAGCTGAGTCCAGAGAGATGCAGTGACTAGACTCAAGGAGGAGGAGTGACAGCAGGAAGATCTAGGCCACACAATGGTCAGAGTCCTGCAAAGAACAGCAGTCTTGCAATTCAGAAGACCCCAACCTGCACCCTTGAAATAGGGGCCAGTTTCCTGGAGGAAAGCATTGGAGAGTGTTAGGGAGGTTAGGCCCTCTCATGGGCTGCGGTTCATGAGGAAGGGGCCCATCCCAGCAGGGGAGCTCAAGTACAGCCAGAAAACCAAAGAAGGCACCTCGCACATAGATTGGGCAGATAGGAAGTGTGAGGTGGGTGAAGATGCATCTCCAGAGGCATATTGGATGCCCCAAAGCCCAACTTGAAATCTACTCAGAATGCACCCCCAGGTATAGTCAGGACTGGTTCCAGAATGGAGGTGCACCGAGCCCCTTCAGTAGCTTCTTCACAGTCTGCTAAGAACATATTTACTTTTCTGTCTTCACAATAACATCAAAGGAAATGTATTAATATATCAATAAGCTTTCATGGGGTAGATTCCTCCTGCTGTGGACCAAATTGAAGGTTTTAATATACTGACCTAACATCCTTCCTATCCCAGGGAAGATGTGTCAGTTACAGCATAGATGCTTTATGATCATAAGTTTCCTATGTCCCAGCAATGACCCATGACTAAAGTTATGGGGATGACCATTCCCAGTAGCTACCAAAAAAACCCATAAATTCCATAAGAAGAAAATTAACAAGTTTATAAGATCTATATAGAAAAAATAAATAAAAGTAAGAAAGCCTTGCTATAGAATATAAAGGGAAATGTGAATAGATAGAAACATTAACATGTTCCTGAATGGGAACACTCAATACTATAAAGGTGATAAAAGAAGGTTCCCAAGGGGAGCCGTATGTGCCATATATTGGAACATATTATAAAGCTACAGAAACTAAAACTATTAGGTTGGTGCAAAAGTAATTGTGGTTTTTGCCATTATTTTCAAAGCTGCATTTACTTTTGCACAAACCTGATATATGATATAGGCATACCATATACCAACGTTATAATGCAGAATTCTGAAACAGACTCCTTTATAAAGGAAAGTTAAGTTTGATAAAGGGGGAATGATAAGTAAGTGGGGAGAGGAGAGGCTTCCATTGTATTGAGACCACACTGAAGATCCCTTTAAAAATATAAAATATATAAATGTCTAATGGATTAAAGACTCTAACAGAGAAAACAGTCTGTAAAAATGCTAGAAAAAAGTATCTTGGGCTGGATGCAATGGCTCACACCTGTAATTCCAGCACTTTGGGAGGCCAAGATGGGAGGATTGCTTGAGCCCAGCAGTTCAAGACCAGCCTGGGAAACCCCATCTTGGCAAAAAACGCTTAAAAATTAGCTGGGCATGGTAGGGCATGCCCATGGTCCCGGCTAATTAGGAAGCTGAGGTAGGAGGATCACTTGAACTCAAGAGGTCAAGGCTGCAGTGAGGTGCAATCGCACCACTGCACTCCAGCCTAGGAGACAGAGTGAGACCATGTCTCAAAAAAAAAAAAAAAGAAAAAGAAAAAAGAAAAGAAAAAAAAGTTATACACATAAAGCTGCCTGTTTGTCTCAGGCCAGATAATATAACTAAAGACAATCAAAATCACCAGGTCCTTGGAATTGATTGTGTAATTCTCAAAGCTAGGAATGACTGGCATAAGCAAATCAGGTACTCTGAAGAGCTGTCACTCAGCTGCCTCACTATGTCAAAGGCTTCTAGCTAATATAATATAATACAAAATGTGTTGCCACTGTTTTTGTCTTCTGTATTTGTCTATGGTATCTTTTCAAGCAGGGGAAATTGTCTAACTTCTAATTATATAAAATCCAACTAGAGAAAAAAAGGGAAACTATGAGATTAACAAAACAGAATATGTAGACAAAGCCTTGGTATTCTTTGATGTGCCTCAAAATTATACCTGTCAATGCCAAAGTTACTAAAGATGTCCAGGCCACAAGCCAGAGTTATGACACACACTTCGGTATATCCCAGAGGGCTGCTGATAGCAAGAATCTGTGTAGGCTCTGAAGGAAAAGAAGGCTCAAGTGCACATTTTGATGATGCTGCTGAAGAAGAAAATAGTACCTGAGTACATGGGTACATGTGTGCTGTTGTCAGCTTTTTGAAATCTGCATATAATCTTTCATTTAATCCCAGAGTGACATGATTAAATCATCCTACAATTGATAGCATCTTAAAATCAAATAAATGTCACTCAAGTAGACAGAAAATTAAATCCCCAATATAGACAGAACTCACTCAATTTTTTAAAAAAGACAAGTGGTCCAGTTTTGTAAAGGATAAAGGAAATGAACAAACTCACCACAGGGCCGGGTGCGGTGGCTCATACCTGTAGTCCCAGCACTTCGGGAGGCTGAAACCGGTGGATCACTTGGGCCAGGAGTTTGAGACCAGCCTGGGCAACATGGTGAAATCCTTCTCTACAAAAAATATAAAAATTAGCCAGGTGTGGTGGCGCATGCCTATAGTCCCAGCTACTTGGAAGGCTGAGGTGGGAGAATCACCTGAGCCCAGGAAGTCGAGGAAGCAGTGAGCCATGATCGCACTACTGCACTCCAGCCTGAGTGACAGAGTGAGACTCTGTCTCAAAAAAAAAAAAAAAAACTACAAGAGGCTGAAGAAATGCTCAAGCTACTAGTAATCAGAAATGCAAATTTTAAAAATAATGGGAGTCCATGTTTTTCCATAAGATTGGCAAGCTTTTAAAATATTAGACAATGTTTGTTCATTGTTGGCAACCGCATGGGGGATAGGTCAAGTGGCAACTCGTAACTTGGTGTAAACTTTTTGAAGAGAATTTTATCAATATCTATCAAGATACAAAGATATTATTACCTTTGACTTAATAATTTCACTTCTAGGAATATATACTAAAAATATGCTTTCAAAAATGTACAGGGGCACACACATGCAAAGAATAGGGCTCATCGGGTGTGCCACCTACTCAGGACGCAGAGGCAGGAGGATCACTTGAGCCCAGGAACCCGAACTGTGGCTGCCCCTATGAACAGTCACGGCACCTCAGCCTGAGCAACACAGAAAGACCCCATCTCTGAAAAAAAAAAAAATAGGGCTTAATGAATTGTGTAGAATTAATGAATGAACCGTACAATTTCTTGTAACTTATAAAAATTGGAAGCAAGCTGGGCGACGTGACTCACACCTGTAATCCCAGCACTTTGGGAGGCCAAGGCAGGCGGATCATGAGGTCAGGATATTGAGACCAGCCTGGCTAACACAGTGAAACCCCATCTCTACTAAAAATACATAAAATTAGCCAGGCATGGTGGCACGTGCATGTAGTCCCAGCTACTCAGGAGGCTGAGGCAGGAGAATCGCTTGAACCCGGGAGGCGGAGGTTGCGGTGAGCCGATATCATGCCATTGCACTCCAGCCTGCGCAACAAGAGCAAAACTCCATCTCAAAAAAAAAAATTAGAAGCAATTACATTTCTATAACTAGAAGGAAATGACTTATTTAATTATGTTCCAGCACATAGGACAAAATACAGACACCCCAAAAAAGAAGATGGTAGATATTATGATACAAAAAATTATCTAAATATATTTATGAGTAATATTTTAAAAAGCAAGCAGCTGAGAAGTATATTGTCAGTTCTTTCCCAAAGTAATCTATAAATGGAAGCAATATTAATCAAAATCCAGGCAAGGTTTTTCATAGAAAAATCTGACAACCTGTGTCTAAAGTTTATGTGGTGGCTCACGCCTGTAATCTCAGCACTTCGGGAGGCCAAGGCAGGCAGATCACTTGAGCTGGAGTGGGAGACCAGCCTGGGCAACATGGTGAAACCCTATCTCTACTAAAAATACGAAAAAAATTAGCCAAGTGTGGCAGCATGTGCCTGTAATCCCAGCTACTCGGGAGGCTGAGGCAGGAGAAAGGCTTGGACCCGGGAGGCAGAGATTGCAATGAGCTGAGATAGAGCCACTGTATTCCAGCCTGGGTGATACAGCGAGACTCCGTCTCAAAAAAAATAAAATAAATAAAATAAAATAAATAGAAGTTTATATGGAAGAGCAAAAGCAAGGAACCAAGAAGAGCCAAGGCTGTTTTGATGATTAACCATGTTGAGGGACTTTTCCTACCACATATCAAGGCATCTTGGCACAAGGATGGATAAAAAAAGCAAGGAGAGCAGAATAGGCCAGAAATACACATATAAAGGATGTGTGATATATGATGGAGGTCATATTATGAAGCTGTGGGGAAAAGATGAACAATTCAATAAATGGTCATGAGACAATTGTTTATCCATATACAAGGAAAAAAACAAGAAAACTGAACTCCCTCCTCTCATCCTACACATACCATACACTCCACAAACCCTAATTCCTGGTGGATTAGTCAAAAGAATGTGAAAAGAACATTTTAAAACTTTTAGAAGAGAACAGGGAAATTTATATTTTATTTCAGAGTACAGAAGGGTTTTTTAAATGAAACCAACAATTCCAAACCACAAAGGAAAACATATTATAATATCAATTACATTAAAATTAAAAATCTCTGTTTATCAATCAACACCAGAAGCAAAGTGATCAGAAAAGCCACAGGCTGAAGAAGATATTTGCAGCACATATAACCTAACTCACAAAGGATCAGATCCATTAGATATAAAGAATTTTCGTGAATCATTTTTTAAAGTTAACTAAATCAGAAAATGAGCAAAAGATCAGAAAAGCAATTCACAGAAAAGGAAGCTTGAATGGCAAATATACATGATATGTTCAGCCTCACGTGGGAATCATTTCACATTCACTAGCTCAGCAAAAACTAAAACATATGGCAAAAAGAGAATTCTTCTGTTTCACTGACAGGAACATAAACAGTTATACCGACTTTGGAGAGCAAACTGACTGTATCTAGCAAAGTTGGATATACCTTATGACCCAGCAAGGCCCAGGCAGAGGATGGTAACAAAACTACTTAAAAGCATTGTTTGCACTAGAAAAAAAAAATTGGATTAATGTCCAACTTAAATGTCCATCAATAGAAAATGATTAAATTGTGGATTATATACACAAGAAAATTCAATAATGAAAATATAGCATTCATCAAATATGAATGAATCGCACAAATTCAATGTCGAGCAAGTTGCCAAGGAGCTTATACAGTATGTATCTTTTATGTTTAAATGTCACAGAGTGGTGAGGGATTCCCTCACATAGAGTTTAAGTGTAAAGAAATGTTTGGGGATAAGAAACGCCAAATTTGGAACTTCTGATTACCTCTGGAGTGATGAGGATGAAGGAGGAAGTGATCAGAGAGAAGTGAGGACACAGATGAGTAACTTATTCTCTATACCTATTTCCCTTATCGTGTTTAAAAGAAAGAGAAAAACCTGTGAGCCCTTGGCACACATTCATACCCCACAATGGTAATAAACAGCAGCGCAGGAGTTAAAGCCACAGCCACTGCCCTTTCTCTTCCCACTGGTCCAGGCTGCCTCTTGTGCTCAGGGAGTCTTCTGTTCATTCTCTTTCGCTACAGATGAAAACTGCAAGGACAAGTACTACAACTGCAACGTGGTGGTCCAGGCAAGACTCTGTGTCTACAACTACTACAAGACCGCCTGCTGTGCCTCCTGCACCCGTGTGGCCAACAGGCAGACGGGCTTCCTGGGGAGCAGATAACACTCCTGCACCCCCATCAGTAGGGCAGCATCACTGCCTTCCCGGGGGCTTCAGCAGTGCGCCTGGCTGGCTGCTGCTCCACCACGGGCCCCCTGGCCCAGGCGCTGCCAACCAACTTAGTCACCACCCCTGCCTCCGGTGAATGCACCCCGTGGTACCCAGGGGCTTTTTACACAAGATGTTTGAAAGCCACAGTCAGTCCTTTAAGCATCACCATGTACTGATGATCCCCTCCTTGGACCTGGCATCTGCTAATGGTGCCCTTTGAAAGTCAAGCAGTGGGAAGTACATGGAGCTCTCAGCCCTGCTCCCATCTGGCACCTTCAAGTCAGCAGATGGGCCACTGACTGAGCACTGCCCCGTCCCTGGTGCTACTGGTCTTTCTAAACTTAGCACCCTGGAGAGTCCAAGGAGGCAGCGCCCCCAACCCAGCGCCCCACTAAGCCTTGCTGACACGCGTGCATCCCTCTGTGACCTCAGCCCAGATGTGCCTGTTTTCATTCTCAAAGACATTAGACTGTTTTCCTGCCCTATGACACAGATAGCTCACATGAATATTGTGCTTTATTTAGCAGGTGTACTCACAGATACTAGCTCCTTAGCAGCTCACAACATCCCAGAATGGGAGGCAGGGGGTGACTCATTATCCCCATTTTACTGACAGGGAAACTGAGGCTCAACTTAAGTAATTGACCTGCCAGGTATATTCACCCATCCAGTGGAAGAGCTGAGTCCCCGCCCCAGTCATCTACCAGTATCCAGCCTGGGGCCTGTACTTAGATGTGAAAGGTGCTGCTTCATTTCTGACCAAGAGACTGAGAAGTTTCCCAGAATGCAAACAAAGCCCAGGCCCCTGAAATCTTTCCGGTCAAGCCTTTATCCCAGCACTCAGTTGTTTTGGATGTCTGTTCCTACTTGCCCTTACCCCCAAAGTTACAGATCCTAGTTACAGGACTCTGCCAGCTTTGTTAAACTGTCCGTGAGACAAGAAAGCCATTGGGGAAACCAGGTGATTGCCTGAAATTCTTACTCCGTTCCAAGTGCTGTTCCTCCCAGGAAATCAAAGGCCAGGGTCCTTATGGCCGTGGAGCCTTCCCGACCACAGAGCCAACTTGTGAAGCACACAGCTCTGCAGCCTGGGCTCTGCCCTGCCTCAGCCGCCTCCCCCACGCTCTTCACCACGTTCCTGGAGAGTCCGGCCAACCTGTCCCAGCCGAAACACTGCTGTATTAGAAAAAGTCTCTTTCTGGTCTTTCTGGTTTTGTTTATGAATTTCCCTCTGTGGCCACAAATTCCTCCCCTCCCCCATGACTCACAGTCCATATGGCCCACCCCCAGACTTGAGCACCAAGCTCTGCATTAATGCAGTTGGCCTGCGACAAGGAGCTGTGGACCCTTCCCCATCTCTTCCAATTCACTTTCCCCAACTATCCAGTTCCAGAGGCCGCAGGCCTGGAAGGATGCAGTGCATATTGAAAGGTGGACCCTCTGAAAACAGTTAAGAGGAATATATGTATGTTTTACCCATTAAGAAAAAATGGCAAGCTAAACAAATGTTAAACTTACAGAAAATTTGTCTTATGGTCCTGAGCATATTTCCCTTTTAGAGCAAGCCTGGATTCTTAGCAAAGTGTTTCCCCCATTTGCTCTTTTAGCTGACAAATCTGCCACTGTGATGATGGTTTGCAGCTTTTGGAAGCAGTATGGCAACCTGGCCTGACATGCTCTTTAGGCTTCCACTAACCTGGGGCTTTCAGAAATTCTATTTGGCCTTTCTGTGGGTAGCTTTCCAGCTTCTCTTCTAGGGAGCCCCAGGCATCATTTCCCAAAAGCATCCCCATCTCCTGATTCTCTTGGAACTCCTACAGATAAGCATCCTGGCAGAGGCCCAGGCTCCCAAACCGACAAAGTGAAAAGAGACCAGAGAGGCCAAGCATATTGACTGGTGCTGTTCAGGGCCTGCTCTTTTCCACTCACCACTTGTTTTGCTGCTTGTCACGAGGAGAGTTGTTCCTGTATGTGGCTGCTCTCAGATCTTTCCAAGCAAGCCAGTCATTTGAAGAGGTTTTCTTTTCATGCTGGAGGGCAGGCTAAGATCAATGAGTGGAAGAGAGAAAGGCTGTTTTAGCTCAAGTTAAAGGAACACCTTCTAGCCATCAAAGCCGCCCAACAGAGGCAAGGGCCACCACACATGAGAGAGCGCTCTGTCCTTAAAGGGAATTCTCTGTTGAGTGGGAGGTGAACACCCTGGTTCTTCCAACTCAGGAATTCTCGTGGCTGGGCTGGGTCAGTGATGGCTTTGTCTCTTTATGTCTAAAGTGCCCTATGGCTGCTGAAGGTTACCTAACCATTCTTTAAAAGGAGAATGACCCTCCATGGGAATGGCCAGCCTGCCAACTGTGCAATTGAAGAAGACCCGATGGATCAACCCCATGTCTCCCTTGGGGAGAAAGTGCATAAACCAGGGGTCTCTTTTTTTTTTTCAACAAACCATTGAGCTGTTCTTGGAGTTCATCTCTGGAGAGGTTATACATTATTAGAAGTTTGATTATTATTATAGTTTGATCAATTTATTTGTCTTAGAGATCCAATTTTTACTAATTCCCTAGTTTTTTATTTCAGCATCTGAATGTCTTTCTCCCTAGCACAGTGCATACAATCAGGGCCTTGGGTATTTCCAGTGATAACTTTCCTTGGAGAGGATCTAAGAAAAGCCCAGATTTCGGTAGCCATCTCCCTCCAAATATGTCTCTTTCTGCTTTCTTAGTGCCCATTATTTCCCCCTCTCCTTTCTTCTGTCACTGCCATCTCCTTCTTGGTCTTCCCATTGTTCTTTAACTGGCCGTAATGTGGAATTGATATTTACATTTTGATACGGTTTTTTTCTTGGCCTGTGTACGGGATTGCCTCATTTCCTGCTCTGAATTTTAAAATTAGATATTAAAGCTGTCATATGGTTTCCTCACAAAAGTCAACAAAGTCCAAACAAAAATAGTTTGCCGTTTTACTTTCATCCATTGAAAAAGGAAATTGTGCCTCTTGCAGCCTAGGCAAAGGACATTTAGTACTATCGATTCTTTCCACCCTCACGATGACTTGCGGTTCTCTCTGTAGAAAAGGGATGGCCTAAGAAATACAACTAAAAAAACAAACAAAAACACCAAAAGAAAAAAAAAAGCCATTTAAAGCCAGCCACTAGAGGGAGTCAGTTCAGTTCCGTAAAGGTATGCTCAGTGCCCGCTGCCTGCAAGCTGTTGGGGACCCCAGGGAGGGCAAGGCAGCCTGTCCCCGCCCCCAGGGAACTAGAACATGACAAGAATTCTCCGCACTGTGCCTACCTGTCCCTTTACCTTACCTCTCTGGCCCAGAGTTCTTGGAGGGTTTTTTCTTTATTTTCTTATGTACTCATCTACTTATTCTCAAAGTATTTAGCATTCAACACTCTTTTTGCTTTAAAAAGAATGGCCTTACAAAGGGACAGAAAAGAGAAGACACGAGCTTGGTGTATTTTCATCAAGTTATGTGGCAGAGAAATCCAGATATTACCAGGACCTGTCTAAACAAATGTTGTGGGTTTTCTTTTCATTCGGATAGCCACTTTATAGTTGGAATATCAATTCTAATGAGGAGGAAGACATAAATATAAGTGGTAAAAAGAAACATGACTTCCCTTAAAACAGGCTGGATAATCTATATCAGCCTTGTGGGTGGAGACTAGTATTTGATCCTTGCCATATAAAACATTTTAATATGGTTTACATGGGAAAATATCGATGGCTTCCTCACAAAATGTATGGGTGACGTGAAGTTGAAGAGCCAATGGCTTGGGTGACACGTGCTGGATCCAAAAAGATCAGGGAGACTAGAATAAAACTTGGATGTTAAAAATTCACCAGGAATCCACATAAAGTACTATATTTGGGCTAAAATGAAAAACTAAATACAAGGTGGGAGAGAGGCAAGAATTTCAGTTGACTAAGCTCAGTGTGAGTCAAAGTGGGATGGAACCATGCAAAAACAAAACCCACAGACATGCAGGCTACGTGAGGAGAAAACAGTGGTGAGGATCACATCACATTGTGTTTGCATTTGCCGGAACCATACTTTAAGAAGAAAACCGATCATCTATAATAACATCAGTTTATCAATGCCCCGTCCTGATGAAGTGTGCAGACTCTCAGAAACAGCAGGAAGGACTTCATGAGAACCCTCAGGCTGGAGAAGGCACTAGGGCACAAGGAGAGCTCTCCTAGGACCAGGACCAAGAAGCTACAGGCAGGCACAGTTTAGCTCCTGCAGAGACCCAGCTTTTCACAAGTTGGAGCCTTCCAGAGATAGAGGGACTGTGGTAGGTGGTGACCCACCCATCACTGGAGGTGGAAGCAGAGGCCGTTTGCCAGGGATGCTGGAGAGGGGATTCAAGCATCTGGCTGGGCAACGTGATGCTCAGGGCCGTCTCCACTCAGGGCTTAGGGGAGTCTGTGAGTAGAAGAGCTTTAGGTGATTTGTTTGGTGGGGGAAGGCAAGTACACAGCTATGCACTTTCCGTTTCTGACTTTTGCCACCCTGTCAGCCATGGGGAGCCCACTGTGGGACTGAAACCCTGAGCTGAATGCGGCCTCATGTCTCAGAGAAACACTGGCAAGTTGGTCAGAGCCGCCGTCTGCATCGAGGCGTAGCTGAGCGGCAGGATGGGGGGCTGCCTGCCCAGGGTCTCTCACCGTGGTGTAAGCAGAGCCATGGCTTGCCTAGGACCCTATAGATACCATCACTCTTTCTCAGCTCGACTGGAGTTTCTGCACCTTTGCAGGGGCAAAGTAACTCCCTGCACCCTGAACCACCCCCCATTCCTGTTCATTTCAGCAGATAATGATGGAGGGGGGGGGTGTCCATCGTGCTGAGGGTGTGACCGCAAGAGGGTGAAAACTTCCAGCCAACTTTCTCAGTCCTTTCTCTTGCGAGAGGGAAGCCACCTGCTATACAAACTAATACCCCCTGCCTTGACCCCTTCCCCACGACTCAGTTGACAGAAGGATATACTTTGTTATAACTTATTATTTTGTTCTCTGTAAATACAAGATGTTTATAGGAAATATGTATTCTGAACTCTATCTGCAGAATGAGTCACTACACCAAAATAGTTCTATTATTTAGAATGTGTTAATTTTAAAGGGACCTGATAGGTATTTATTTACATATGCGATCCACATTTGTGTGAAAGCATGTGATCATACTAACCCAGCCTCCTGGAATGTCGCTGTACGATGATTGATGTCTTTTTCTCAGTCCATAGTTACAATTGTTTAGTATGCTAATCAGTCCAGTTCCCTGAGGTTTAAGATCAAATATAAATTACTCTGCTTTTCGACTCATTCAGGTAGCATTGTACCTGAACCTGATTGCTACTTTTTCATCTTAAATATTATATTTCCTCATCTAATCTGCCTTCCCCTCATCCACAGACATTTGGAGAAGGAAATGGGAGGGTGTCTGTTATCCCTTTCTCTTTGCTTTGTCCCCGTTGTTAGACTGGCAGCGTCAGTTGCTCGGTGGGCTTGGTTAGAGCCGTGGGTGAGGCAGGTGGCTGGCGGGGACAGGGAGAGGCTGAGAGGGAAGTGGTGGCATTTACTGCTCTGACACTTCCACTGTCCCTGCTGGGGATGCTGGGGCCAAGGCCTGTGGGGCCTGTGAACTGCACAGCCAGGAGCAAGGAACCCACTAAATACTCCGTCACCTCCATGTCCCCTCTACAGTGTTAAATTATTACATAAGCAGGTGAAAGGTAGAAGGCGAATTATGTGAGTAAATATGGTCTGTTTTCTCTTCAGCAAAAATGACTATTTTTGTGTGTGACTAATTTATTTTTATTATTGTAAAGATACAATAAACCGGTTGAAATATCTGCTTTGTTGACAAGCGTGTGCTTTCTCTGGCCTTATTCGCGTTCTGTTCTCCTGCAAATAGCGCCCTCTAAAAAGAAGAGTCAGACAATAAACTGGTTGAAATATCTGCTTTGTTGACAAGCGTGTGCTTTCTCTGGCCTTATTCACGTTCTGTTCTCCTACAAATAGCCCCCTCTAAAAATAAAACTCAGACCCTTGAGAGGTCAGCCGCTTGTAGACGTTGGCTTTGGGTGCTTGAGGTGGAGCCGGGCCAGTTAGAGAATGAGACACGCCTTAGAAAGAACATGAGCCCACCCGTCCTATGTTAGGCTGCATTAGACTCACCTGAGAAGCTTAAAGTGAAGTCGTCAGGCGTGTGCACCGCGCCCAGGATGCAATCTCACATGAATTTCTTTATGTCTCCCCCAGGGAATTGTGCAGAATAGGTTGGCAGCCACTCTGCTGGTTTGGTGGGGCTCCATCTCTAACTTGAATTAATCTTCCTCCAGCTCCCTCTAGCTGACTTCACTTGGGGCTTGATTTTAGCAAAGTGTTCGACAAAATCTTTCAGGCGATCTTGGTGCAAAATAAAGTGAAACGCGACTAAGATGGTGATGCCAGTTGAAGCCCACCCTGGCCTAGAGAGCAGTCTCTAGCGAAGCCTGCAAGCTCTGCTACGGACTCCGTCCTGGACAGCATGTCGTCAATAACTCAGAAACCAGCTCTATGCCTAAAATGCTATCGCCCACCCTTCCCATCCACCTTTTTGCCTGGAAAAACCTCCATTCTTTTTTTATTGTGGTAAAATCCACTTTACATAAAATTCACTATTTTAACTTTTTTTTTTTTTTTTTTTTTTGACAGAGTCTCACTCTGTAGCCCAAGCTGGAGTGCAGTGGCGTGATCTTGGCTCACTGCAACCTCTGCCCCCGGGGCTCAAGCGATTCTGGTGCCTCAGCCTCCCAAGTAGCTGGGACTACAGGTGTGCCCCACCATGCCCAGCTAATGTTTTGTATTTTAGTAGAGACAGGGTTTCACCATGTTACCCGGGGTGGTCTCAAATTCCTGAGCTCAAGCAACCCGCCCCCGTCAGCCTCCCAAAGTGCTGGGATTACAGGCGTGAGCCACTGCGCCTGGCCTCCATTTTAACCATTTCCAAACGTACAACTCACTAGTATTTAAAGCAACCACAGTGTTGGGCAACCATCACCCCAAAATTCCATTTATTCTTCAACAGTTCAATACAGGAGTCCACCAGGCGCCGGCCACTCTGCTGAGCACACTTACATGAGCTCATTTCGTCTTCACAGCAAACCTATGAAGTTCAAATATTGTTTCCTCCTACAGATGAGAATATTGAGACTAGGAGAGGTTTGGTACCCCAGCTGATACTTGGTGGTGCTAGGATGCCACAGTCCTCTTCCCCTAGAGGCTGAGGCTTGTCTCTTTGCCGCCTCCATCTCCCCGGGGCCTGGCATGTTATATGGTTCCAGCCTATACTAGTTCCAACCTCTTTCTCCACATCAGTTTCAGTCACTGGGCAACAATTGCACAAGGACTGGTTGAAAAAGTCCAGCGCTGCCCATCCTACCCGGGCTCAGTGTGACCAATGTGATCTGAGGCGGCTTCTGGAGGAGTGCACCCCCCACCAGGGGGAGGCAGTGAGCCTGCTCTGCGCAAGGGGCAGACCCAGGCTGGGACCCTCTGCCTCCAGTTCCGGGGACCACATGTCATAAGGTTTATTGACTGTCTGGAAAAAGCCCAGAGGATGGTAGGATGGTGACCAGGATGGAGGGGTTCTGGAAGGAGGGCTGTCTTCAACCTTCAGACAATTTAAAGTACTGTCAGGGACAGATGACAAGAACCCGGACTCCTCCAGCAGACCAGGGCAGGGATGTGACTGGGAGTCAGACTTGGTTCAAAATGAGACGTTTCCAGTAATCAGAGAGGCTGAACAATGGGAAAAGACACTTTAAGAGACAGGGCCAGGGGCAGTGGCTCATGCCTGTAATCCCAGCACTTTGGGAGGCCGAGGTGGGCAGATCACTCAGAAGTTCGAAAGTAGCCTCAGCAACATGGCAAAACTCCATCTCTACAAAAATACAAATACTTAGCTGGGTGTGGTGGTGCACACCTGTAATCCCAGCTACTCAGCAGGCAGAGGTGGGAGGATCACTTGAGCCTGGGTGGCAGAGGTTACAGTGAGCCGAGATCGAGCCACTGCTGTCCAGCCTGGGTGACAGAGTGAGATCCTGTCTCAAAAAAAAAAGAGAGAGAGTGAGTGAGACCCCCAAAAAAGTGATCAGGAACATTTTAGGAGAGGGAAAATTTGAATATGGGCTGTATTTAAGATGACATCATTGGCCGGACACAGTGGCTCACGCCTGTAATCCCAGCACTTTGGGAGGCCAAGGTGGGTGGATTGCTTGAGCCCAGGAGTTCGAGACCAGCCTGGGCAACATGGCAAAACCCTGTCTCTACTAAAAACACAAAAATTAGCTGGACCTGGTGGCGGACACCTGTAATCCCAGCTACTCTGGAGGCTGAGGCACGAGAATCACTTGAACCTGGGAGGTGGAGGTTGCAGTGAGCCCAGATCATGCCACTACACTCCAGCCTGGGCGACAAAACAAGACTCTGTCTCAAAAAAGAAAAAAAAATGACATTGTTGAATCTGTGTAAAGCTTCTTGGACGTGAGGATGGTGTTTGGCCAAACAGGAGTACATGTTCCTCCAGTACTTAGCCAGGAAGGTCATGATCTGCTGTTTACCTTCTAATGGGTCACTAAAAGTGTGTGCGTGTGTGTGTGCACACACATGCACATGTGTGTATGGAGAAAGCATGCACACAGATAAGGTAAGATGTATTTTGGTGAATATTAGTGAAGGGTATGTGGTGTCCATTACACTACTTCTCTGAGGTTTGAAATTTCCTAAAATAGAAAGTTGTGGGTGGCAGAAATAAAGTACAAAAAGGGGATGGGGAGAAAGAGAACTAACTTTTTTCGCTGTGTTTTTCAGATTTACCTAATAAGAATTAACTGGGGTGCTCATTCAACCTTGAAGGTAAGCAAGGTAAATTATGTGCACAAACAAATGTTTTTAATTGTTTGAATTTTTTTCAATGAATCATTTATCAATTATGGTTTAAGAAGAATGGCTAGCTGAGCATGGTAGCTCATACCCATAAAGAATCCCAGCACTTTAGGAGGCTGAAGGGGGAGGATCACTTGAGCCCAGGAGCTTGAGACCAGCCTGGGCAACATAGTGAGACCCTATATCTAAAAAAAATGAAATAACAATTAGCCAGGCGAAGTGGTGCATTCCTGTAGCCCCAGCTACTCAGGAGGCAGTTCAAGGCTGCAGTGAGCTCTGATTGCACCACTGCACTCCAGGCTGTGTGACAAAGCAAGACCCTGTAGAAGAAGATGAGGAAAGGAGGAAAGGAAGAAAAGAAGGAGAAGGAGAAGAAAGATGAAAGAAAGAAGAAGGAGGAGGGGAGGAGGAGGGGGGGAGGAGGGAGAGGAGGGGCAGGAAGAGGGGAGGAGGAGGAGGGGAGGAGGGTGAGGAGGACGGACAGGAGGAGGAGGAAGGGGAGGAGGAGTAGGGAAGGAGGAGGCGGGACGAAGAGGAGGAGAAGAGGAGGAGGAATGGTCAATACTTAGTAGACTCAAGTGCAATTTAATAAGGCGCCTTACATCACTTTATCGGGAACAGTTGCCTTGGTCTCTCTGACCAAGAAAAGAGAGAGAAGCGGGTTTACAAAGTGCTAGGAAAGAAGACACAATATTAGAATGGGTTAACGAAGCAAAGAACAAGCCTTCCAAAAGTGGACAGTGGAGCCAGTGGAGAGGAGGGGAGGTCCCAGGAGAGGGGACAGGAATCTGTGTGGTGATCCTTGCCCTCATCAAGGCTGGGGAACCCTGACTGGGTGAGCACCACTCGATGTCAGGTATCGTCCGAGTCTCTACAGCACTTAGTTTTCATCTTCGCAACAACTCATGAAGCAAGCACTCTTGTGCGGCCATTTTATGGACAAATAAATTGAGGCCCAAAGAGAATAAGTAATGTGACCAAGCTATTAAGTGGGACAGTCTGGCTTAGGTCTTCCTTATGCCTCACTGTCTAATGAAATCAACTGGAACTTCTTTTAAAAGTGATATGGGGGCCCTACTCCCAGATATTTTGATCTTCAGTTGATTGAGGGTGGGGACCAGGCATCGATGTTTTGAAACCTCTCCAGGGAATTCTAGCTAAGGCTGAAAACACTGAGAAGAGTATGTCCCACTCTGATGTGCATATGAATTGCCTGGGGATGTTGTTGAATTTCGGATTCTGATACAGTTAGTCTGGGGTGGGGACTGAGTTCTAACATGCTCCCAGGTGATGCTGATGCTGCTGGTCCAAGGACCGCACTGAAAAGTGAGGCACCTCACCCTTCAGAATGCTGAGGGGTTTCCTATATTCACCGGGAAGATGAGCAGGTGACCTCTGAGTCATTTGCTTTCTTTATAAAACAGTCTTCTATGAAGTCTAGATGCTAGGTCTGAATCTACTAGTTCACCTTTTGGCCAATGACGCTTAGGGACTCTGAAGTGGTTTTAAGCCTCTGTGCTCCTGCATAGGTGATTTATTTGTTTTTACTAGATAATTGGTGTATTTAGGCACTCAGCTGTCCACACAAAAGAGAAACCTTGACTGCACTGACTTGGGGACTTGTTTTTGTTGGTGGGTTTTTTGTTTGTTTGTTTTTTGAGACAGAGTCTCACTCTGTCACCCAGGCTGGAGTGCAGTGGCGCGATCTTGGCTCAATGCAACCTCTGCCTCCCAGGTTCAAGCGATTCTTGTGCCTCAGCCTCCCAAGTAGCTGAGATTACAGGTGCATGCCACCATACCCAGTTAATTTTTGTATTTTTAGTAGAGACGGAGTTTCACCATGTTGGCCAGGCTGGTCTTGAACTCCTAGCTTCAGGTGATCTGCCCGCCTCGGCCTCCCAAAGTGCTGAGATTACAGGCGTGAGCCACCGCACCTGGCCGGGAAGTCCTTCTACTAAAAATGCAAAACTTAGCCAGGCATGGTGGCATGCCCCTGTAATCCCAGCTAGTCGGGAGGCTGAGGTAGGAGAATTGCATGAACCCAGGAGGCAGAGACTGCAGTGAGCCAATATTGCACCACTGCACTCCAGCCTGGGCGACAGAGCAAGACCTCATCTCAAAATATAAAAAAAGAAGTTCAGAGGGAGGCAGTTGTTGGATTAGGTCTGCAACTCAACAGCTTCAGGGCCAGCTTCTCTGCAGCTCTCTTGGCCTCTTCTTCATGGTTGCAAGCCAGCTTCTCCTGCTCCACCTATCATGTCCATCTTCAGGGAAGAAAGCAGGAAGGGCCATTGCAGCTGTGTATCTCCATTTGCCAATAAACCAAATACATTCCCAGAGCCCCATCCTACGTCCCACAAACTTCTATTTACATCTTATTGGCCAAAGTGGGCTCCATGGCCATTTGTGGCTGCAGAGGAAGCTGGGAAGACAGAGAAGGGATTGTTATGCTTGGCTGTGACCAATTGGGGTTCCATTAGCAGAGAAGAAAGACAGGAAGGATGTGGGTGAGACAACCTGGGATGTCTGATTATTGCACCCTTACCAAGCAAAAGCTTCTAGGAAGGGACAACAAAAGTTCAAACACCGCAGTGTCTGTTCATCTTTGACCCACTGAGGAACTACTCCTTAAAATGGGTTTAGGTCGTACATCCTCCCTTTATTCAGCAAATATTTATTGAGCACACACTCTGTGCCAAGCAATGTTTGGGGCAATGGAAATACATAAATCTCATGGAACTTACAAAATGCTGTGCAACCTAAAACACTTGCAGATAAGGAGACCTATTGCATCAGGCTTCTGGAGCGAACAGCCTATGAATGGACACCATATTTGGCTCTCCATTTGCTGAGAGCTGGAACGGGTGATGCTACAGATTTTATTTCTAACCAGATAGCTAGGGAACTTACACTTACCGCGCCTCCACATGATCGACCTCACCTTGTATACTCACAGCCACCTCAACAGCTGGGTGCTGCAGGTCTCTCTGCTTTACAGCGGGGAAAACAAAGCCTCAGCCAGGTGAGGGAACTTGCTCGTGATCATGCAGGTCTCAAGTGACTGGGGACTTTGAGCCCAAGTCCGCCTCATTTCAAAGCTTATGCTGGTTCCTCTGCATGCTGCGGCCTTTCTGAAACAATCACACGAAGCCATCACGTAGAAGACTAAACTCTCTTTAAAAGTAAACTTCAGCCAGAACTGACACCCTGAGCATGGGGCGTTCATCACAGCAGATACTGCTGATGATCACTGTGGCTTCATGAATAAGAGCCTGGGGACACAAGGAAGGCTTCTCCTATGACACACACACATGCACAAACACATGCACACACACGTACACATGCACACGTACACGCATTCATACACATGCACACACTCATACACATACAAGCATGCACACGCACACACATGCACACATGCACTCATACACATGCACACACACGCACTCATACACACATGCACTCATACACACACATGCACACTCATACACACACACACAAACACAAACACTGTTGCCTGCAGGGAAAATGCTTCAGGAGCCACCTCTACTTCTACATCCCACTTTTGTACGTGGATTCCAAAAATCTCTTCTAGGCCCAGGAACAGTCTTGTTTAAAGGCTGGCCAAGGAGGTGGGGGACAGAACCAGTGGGACCCAAAGAATCCAGTGTGCTGGAACTTGATGCCGATGTCAGCCTCAATGCTCTCACCCTGACAGCAGAAGTGGCGGCTTCTCCCTCCACCTGTGCCCGGACAGTGCCACCAGTCTAACTTCTGCCACCGTCCCTACCTGCAGCTCACCTGAGCCCAGAACCATGCCCCCTGCACCCTCCCGACACACTCAGGTAATGCCCCCGTTTGTGTTATCTCTTGCTCTATAACAAACAACCATTTTATTATTTCTCATGATTCACTGGGTCAGGAATGTGGTCGGGACACTGGTAATAGCTCATTCTTCCTCCACATGAAGTCCGCCGGGGCTGGGCCATCCAGGCTGGCTGGTTCACTCGCAGGTCTGATGATGATCAGGCTGAGATGATTGGAATGGTTTGCCAAGGGGGCCTCAGTTCTCTCTGCCGCCCTGTTCCCTGCTTCTTCCTCTCCATGTGGTCTCTTCACGAGGGTTTCTCTGGATGAAGAACAGGCAAGAGGAAGGAAGAGAGAGCTGCCAGATCTCTTAGGCCTGGGCTTAAGCACCCTTCCTGCATGTGGAACCCCTGGCACGCTAACCTAGGGAAAGGCTCACACTTCTCACTCACTCCACTACCCGGCCCACCTCAGTGACCTCAGAGGGGTCTGCCGAGCCTGGGGATGGGCAGTCGTCCCTGTCCACTCCCTGTCCTGGAGGTACACTGGAAAGCCACAAATAGGCCTTTGTAGCGGCAAGAGGCAGCTGAGAAGCACCACGGCAATGTAGCCGTCACTCTTGGTGACTCCAGCTCTTTCCATCCTCGGCCCCTCCATCCAGATTTGGGTCCTGCAAGCTGATTCTCAAGTTTGGCCCCATTGATAAGAGCCAGAGGCATTGTTGTTTTCTTTTCTTTTCTTTTCTTTTCTTTTTTTTTGAGACAGTCTTGCTCTGTTGCCCAGGCTGGAGTGCAGTGGCATGATCTTGACTCACTGCAACCTCCACCTCCCAGATTCAAGCAATTCTCTTGCCTTAGCCTCCCAAGTAGCTGGGATTACAGGCACCTGCCACCACGCCCGGCTAAATTTTGTATTTTTAGTACAGACAGGGTTTCACCATGTTGACCAAGCTGGTCTTGAACTCCTGACCTCAGGTGATCTGCCTGCCTTGGCCTCCCAAAGTGCTGGGATTACAGGCATGAGCCACCACATCCAGCCGGCATTGCTGTTTTCCTTGTGGCAATTTTAAGTCAAGTCAAGACTGATTCAGGGTCTTCCTGTTGATATAAGGGTGTGAGGAAGATGGTTGTGGCAGGTGCTATGAGAGGCTGACCTCATAAAAGTTGTATGAATCATTCAGACAACACTCCTGCCTTGTTATATTGGTCAAAGCCAACCATAGGCCTGCCCGCATTCAAGGGAAGGGATATGAGTCTACCTCAGCCTGCTCCTGACTCAGTTCTGTTTGCCTCAGAACTCAGCTACTCTCCCTTGGGATTCGCTGCATCCCAACTGCCTCTATCCTCCTCAGTCATGGTAATCATTCACTCACTCATTCAATCGTTCAACAAATATTAATTGAGCATCTACCCTGTGCCTGATACTATGCTAGGCACTGAATATATAGCAGTAAACCAGGTGGCATAAGACTGTCCCCAGGGAGCTTCCATCCTAAAGAAGGAGAGAGAAAATAAAGACATAAATGAGGACACTCTACGTGGTGTGTCAGGCATGATATGTGGGCTCATACCTGTAATTCCAGCACTCTGGGAGGCCGAGGTGGGAGGATTGCTTGAGCCCAAGAGTTTGAGACTAGCCAGGACAACATAAGAAGACCTTGTCTCTATGAGAAAAAAAAAATAGCCAGGCATGGTGGCACATGCCTGTGGTCCCAGCTACTCGGGAAGCTGAGGTGGGAGGATCGCTTGAGACCAGGAGATGGAGGGTGCAGTGAGCTATGACCTTGCTACTGCACACCAGCCACTCCAGCCTGGATGAGATAGTGAGATGCTGTCTCAAAAACAAAAACAAAGCAAAGTAGAAAACATGGATAAGGAGTGGTAGAGACAGGGTTGGACCTGCAATTTGAAATAGATGGTTAGGGGGTGTGGAACAAGCCAGCCACATGGCTATCTGGATAAGGGTGTCCCTGTTAGGGCAGGGAAATGTGCGAAAGCCCTGAGCAGTGGGGCCTGTGCAGAGGGTTCAAGATGCGGGAGGACAAGGCGGAGCAGGGGAAGAGGTATAGTCAGATGACGTGGGGCCCAGGGGAAAGACCTGGGGTTCAGTCTGAGTGAGATTACCGGCCAGTAAGGGATTTGGGCAGAGGAGCAACAGGATTCGACTAAGGCCAGCAGTCTGATGTAAGCTGTGGATTCGTGCACCTGCTTTGTGTGCAAATCACCTATTTTCCTGGGTAAAACCATTAGCATTAGAGGCTAGAGCCGTGAAGCTGAGCATACCCTTTCACTTAATAATTCCATGCCTGGGAATTCAACCTGGAGAGAGAATTTAACAAAACAGTATTCTTCAGGAGTCTCAAGTTTTCAATAAGAAGTTTTTAAATTTTGTGTTTTTAACAATAACCTTTTAAAATAATGGTGAACATATATTCCACTGTCTGGTTGATTACTTATATCTCAATACCACATTTCATTCCAGCAGCAGAGTTAAGTAGTATTGCTTTAATTGCAACAAGCTGAGCTAATGTGGGAAGAATGCAGTAGAGTGGCACAGAAGAATGGTGAGTTCATTGTTATTACCCTCCTAGCCCGTGAGAACGCCCACCATCCCATGAGTTCCTACATCTATGCCATGAGGAGCAGTTGGGTTTCAGCACAGCATTCTCTATCTTTGCAAAGTTGTTGATTTTAACCCTGTGTTTTGAAGTTGTGCTTTGATTTAATTAGCAATTTCATTTTGATGGGATAGTTATATCAGTCATACCCCTTCTACTTAGTTTTATGTCCATAATATTATAATTAAACATTATTTAATTCAACATTGAAGGGCAGTGAAATAATTATTTTCTGTTTTTTCTTTTTTTCTTTTTAATTATTATACTTTAAGTTTTAGGGTACATGTGCACAATGTGCAGGTTAGTTACATATGTATACATGTGACATGCTGGTGCACTGCACCCACTAACTCGTCATCTAGCATTAGGTATATCTCCCAATGCTATCCCTCTCCTCTCCCCCGACCCCACAACAGTCCCCAGACTGTGATGTTCCCCCTCCTGTGTCCATGTGTTCCCATTGTTCAGTTCCCACCTATGAGTGAGAATATGCGGTGTTTGGTTTTTTGTTCTTGCGACAGTTTACTGAGAATGATGATTTCCAATTTCATCCATGTCCCTACAAAGGACATGAACTCATCATTTTTTATGGCTGCATAGTATTCCATGGTGTATATGTGCCACATTTTCTTAATCCAGTCTATCATTGTTGGACATTTGGGTTGGTTCCAAGTCTTTGCTATTGTGAATAGTGCCACAATAAACACACGTGTGCATGTATCTTTATAGCAGCATGATTTATAGTCCTTTGGGTATATACCCAGTAATGGGATGGCTGGGTCAAATGGTATTTCTAGTTCTAGATCCCTGAGGAATCGCCACACTGACTTCCACAATGGTTGAACCAGTTTATAGTCCCACCAACAGTGTAAAAGTGTTCCTATTTCTCCACATCCTCTCCAGCACCTGTTGTTTCCTGACTTTTTAATGATTGCCATTCTAACTGGTGTGAGATGGTATCTCATTGTGGCTTTGATTTGCATTTCTCTGATGGCCAGTGATGGTGAGCATTTTTTCATGTGTTTTTTGGCTGCATAAATGTCTTCTTTTGAGAAGTGTCTGTTCATGTCCTTCGCCCACTTTTTGATGGGGTTGTTTGTTTTTTTCTTGTAAATGTGTTTGAGTTCATTGTAGATTCTGGATATTAGCCCTTTGTCAGATGAGTAGGTTGCGAAAATTTTCTCCCATTTTGTGGGTTGCCTGTTCACTCTGATGGTAGTTTCTTTTGCTGTGCAGAAGCTCTTTAGTTTAATTAGATCCCATTTGTCAATTTTGGCTTTTTTTTGCCATTGCTTTTGGTGTTTTAGACATGAAGTCCTTGCTCGTGCCTATGTCCTGAATGGTAATGCCTAGGTTTTCTTCTAGGGTTTTTATGGTTTTAGGTCTAACGTTTAAGTCTTTAATCCATCTTGAATTGATTTTTGTATAAGGTGTAAGGAAGGGATCCAGTTTCAGCTTTCTACACATGCCTAGCCAGTTTTCCCAGCACCATTTATTAAATAGGGAATCCTTTCCCCATTGCTTGTTTTTCTCAGGTTTGTCAAAGATCAGATAGTTGTAGATATACGGCGTTATTTCTGAGGGCTCTGTTCTGTTCCATTGATCTATATCTCTGTTTTGGTACCAGTACCATGCTGTTTTGGTGACTGTAGCCTTGTAGTATAGTTTGAAGTCAGGTAGCGTGACGCCTCCAGCTTTGTTCTTTTGGCTTAGGATTGACTTGGCGATGTGGGCTCTTTTTTGGTTCCATATGAACTTTAAAGTAGTTTTTTCCAATTCTGTGAAGAAAGTCGATGGTAGCTTGATGGGGATGGCATTGAATCTATAAATTACCTTGGGCGGTATGGCCATTTTCATGATATTGATTCTTCCTATCCATGAGCATGGAATGTTCTTCCATTTGTTTGTATCCTCTTTAATTTCATTGAGCAGTGGTTTGTAGTTCTCCTTGAAGAGGTCCTTCACATCCCTTGTAAGTTGGATTCCTAGGTATTTTATTCTCTTTGAAGCAATTGTGAATGGGAGTTCACTCATGATTTGGCTCTCTGTTTGTCTGTTATTGGTGTATGAGAATGCTTATGATTTTTGTACATTGATTTTGTATCCTGAGACTTTGCTGAAGTTGCTTATCAGCTTAAGGAGATTTTGGGTTGAGACAATGGGGTTTTCTAGATATACAATCATGTCATCTGCAAACAGGGACAATTTGACTTCCTCTTTTCCTAATTGAATACCCTTTATTTCCTTCTCCTGCCTAATTGCCCTGGCCAGAACTTCCAACACTATGTTGAATAGGAGTGGTGAGAGAGGGCATCCCTGTCTTGTGCCAGTTTTCAAAGGGAATGCTTCCAGTTTTTGCCCATTCAGTATGATATTGGCTGTGGGTTTGTCATAGATAGCTCTTATTATTTTGAGATACGTCCCATCAATACCTAATTTATTGAGAGTTTTTAGCATGAAGGGTTTTTGAATTTTGTCAAAGGCCTTTTCTGCATCTATTGAGATAATCATGTGGTTTTTGTCTTTGGTTCTGTTTATATGCTGGATTATATTTATTGATTTGCATATATTGAACCATCGTTGCATCCCAGGGATGAAGCCCACTTGATCATGGTGGATAAGCTTTTTGATGTGCTGCTGGATTCGGTTTGCCAGTATTTTATTGAGGATTTTTGCATCAATGTTCATCAAGGATATTGGTCTAAAATTCTCTTTTTTGTTTGTGTCTCTGCCAGGCTTTGGTATCAGGATGATGCTGGCCTCATAAAATGAGTTAGGGAGGATTCCCTCTTTTTCTATTGATTGGAATAGTTTCAGAAGGAATGGTACCAGTTCCTCCTTGTACCTCTGGTAGAATTCGGCTGTGAATCCATCCGGTCCTGGACTCTTTTTGGTTGGTAAGCTATTGATTATTGCCACAATTTCAGCTCCTGTTATTGGTCTATTCAGAGATTCAACTTCTTCCTGGTTTAGTCTTGGGAGAGTGTATGTGTCAAGGAATTTATCCATTTCTTCTAGATTTTCTAGTTTATTTGCGTAGAGGTGTTTGTAGTATTCTCTGATGGTAGTTTTTATTTCTGTGGGATCGGTGGTGATATCCCCTTTATCATTTTTTATTGTGTCTGTTTGATTCTTCTCTCTTTTTTTCTTTATTAGTCTTGCTAGCGGTCTATCAATTTTGTTGATCCTTTCAAAAAACCAGCTCCTGGATTCATTAATTTTTTGAAGGGTTTTTTGTGTCTCTATTTCCTTCAGTTCTGCTCTGATTTTAGTTATTTCTTGCCTTCTGCTAGCTTTTGAATGTGTTTTCTCTTGCTTTTCTAGTTCTTTTAATTGTGATGTTAGGGTGTCAATTTTGGATCTTTCCTGCTTTCTCTTGTGGGCATTTAGTGCTATAAATTTCCCTCTACACACTGCTTTGAATGTGTCCCAGAGATTCTGGTATGTTGTGTCTTTGTTCTCGTTGGTTTCAAAGAACATCTTTATTTCTGCCTTCATTTCGTTATGTACCCAGTAGTCATTCAGGAGCAGATTGTTCAGTTTCCATGTAGTTGAGCAGTTTTGAGTGAGTTTCTTAATCCTGAGTTCTAGTTTGATTGCACTGTGGTCTGAGAGATAGTTTGTTATAATTTCTGATCTTTTACATTTGCTGAGGAGAGCTTTACTTCCAACTACGTGGTCAATTTTGGAATAGGTGTGGTGTGGTGCTGAAAAAAATGTATACTGTTGATTTGGGGTGGAGAGTTCTGTAGATGTCTATTAGGTCCACTTGGTGCAGAGCCGAGTTCAATTCCTGGGTATCCTTGTTGACTTTCTGTCTCATTGATCTGTCTAATGTTGACAGTGGGGTGTTAAAGTCTCCCATTATTAATGTGTGGGAGTCTAAGTCTCTTTGTAGTCACTCAGGACTTGCTTTATGAATCTGGGTGCTCCTGTATTGGGTGCATATATATTTAGGATAGTTAGCTCTTCTTGTTGAATTGATCCCTTTACCATTATGTAATGGCCTTCTTTGTCTCTTTTGATCTTTGTTGGTTTAAAGTCTGTTTTATCAGAGACTAGGATTGCAACCCCTGCCTTTTTTTGTTTTCCATTGGCTTGGTAGATCTTCCTCCATCCTTTTATTTTGAGCCTATGTGTGTCTCTGCACGTGAGATGGGTTTCCTGAATACAGCACACTGATGGGTCTTGACTCTTTATCCAATTTGCCAGTCTGTGTCTTGTAATTGGAGCATTTAGTCCATTTACATTTAAAGTTAATATTGTTATGTGTGAATTTGAACCTGTCATGATGATGTTAGCTGGTTATTTTGCCCATTAATTGATGCAGTTTCTTCATAGCATCGATGGTCTTTACATTTTGGCATGATTTTGCAGTGGCTGGTACTGGTTGTTCCTTTCCATGTTTAGTGCTTCCTTCAGGAGCTCTTTTAGGGCAGGCCTGGTGGTGACAAAATCTCTCAACATTTGCTTGTCTGTAAAGGATTTTATTTCTCCTTCACTTATGAAGCTTAGTTTGGCTGGATATGAAATTCTGGGTTGAAAATTCTTTTCTTTAAGAATATTGAATATTGGCCCCCACTCTCTTCTGGCTTGTAGAGTTTCTGCCGAGAGATCCGCTGTTAGTCTGATGGGCTTCCCTTTGTGGGTAACCCGACCTTTCTCTCTGGCTGCCCTTAACATTTTTTCCTTCATTTCAACTTTGGTGAATCTGACAATTATGTGTCTTGGAGTTGCTCTTCTCGAGGAGTATCTTTGTGGCGTTCTCTGTATTTCCTGAATCTGAATGTTGGCCTACCTTGCTAGATTGGGGAAGTTCTCCTGGATAATATCCTGCAGAGTGTTTTCCAACTTGGTTCCATTCTCCCCATCACTTTCAGGTACACCAATCAGACGTAGATTTGGTCTTTTCACATAGTCCCATATTTCTTGGAGGCTTTGTTCGTTTCTTTTTATTATTTTTTCTCTAAACTTCCCTTCTTGCTTCATTTCATTCATTTCATCTTCCATCGCTGATACCCTTTCTTCCAGTTGATCACATCGGCTCCTGAGGCTTCTGCATTCTTCACGTAGTTCTCGAGCCTTGGCTTTCAGCTCCATCAGCTCCTTTAAGCACTTCTCTGTATTGGTTATTCTAGTTATACATTCGTCTAAATTTTTTTCAGTTTTTAACTTCTTTGCCTTTGGTTTGAATTTCCTCCTGTAGCTCGTAGTTTGATCGTCTGAAGCCTTCTTCTCTCAACTCGTCAAAGTCATTCTCCGTCCAGCTTTGTTCCATTGCTGGTGAGGAACTGCGATCCTTTGGAGGAGGAGAGGTGCTCTGCTTTTTAGAGTTTCCAGTTTTTCTGCTCTGTTTTTTCCCCATCTTTTTGGTTTTATCTACTTTTGGTCTTTGATGATGGTGATCTCCAGATGCGTTTTTGGTGTGGATGTCCTTTCTGTTTGTTAGTTTTCCTTCTAACGACAGGACCCTCAGCTGCAGGTCTGTTGGAGTTTGCTAGAGGTCCACTCCAGACCCTGTTTGCCTGGGTATCAGCAGCGGTGTCTGCAGAACAGTGGTTTTTTGTGAACCGCGAATGCTGCTCTCTGATCGTTCTTCTGGAAGTTTTGTCTCAGAGGAGTACCCGGCCGTGTGAGGTGTCAGTCTGCCCCTGCTGGGGGGGTGCTTCCCAGTTAGGCTGCTCAGGGGGTCAGGGGTCAGGGACCCACTTGAGGAGGCAGTCTGCCCGTTCTCAGATCTCCAGCTGCGTGCTGGGAGAACCGCTGCTCTCTTCAAAGCTCCGATGGAAATGCAGAAATCACCCGTCTTCTGCGTCGCTCACACTGGGAGCTGTAGACCGGAGCTGTTACTATTCGGCCATCTTCCAATTATTTTCTTTTAAAGGTCGTCTGAGTGTTACTCGAGTGTGCACACACTGGAATAACGAATGGTGTGGAGCATGGGATAATTCAAAACAGGCTTTCTTGTGCTCCATCCCCAGTCACCCACTCAGGAAGGGCTGAACGTTCCTGGCTGCCACAAGGGTCAGGGAGGCCATGAAGGTAGCAAATAGCTAGTCAGGACCTGTCCAGGCCATTCGTGGTGGTCACCAGGCCTCCTCCATGCACAGGCCCTGACAGGATGGTCCAGCCAGGATTCAGGAATGTTCAGTTCATTTATGCTGGTGGTGAGCACACCGTCAGGGAACAGCAGGCAGGGCTGTGTCCAAAAAAGTTTTCTGGCTCTCAGGTTCCAGGCATACACTCACTCACTCTTTCTTTCTTTCACTCTTCCTTCCTTCCTTCCTTCTCTCCTTCCTTCCCTCTTTCCCTCCCTCCATCCCTTCCCTCCCTTTCTTCCCTGCCTCCCTTCCTCCCTCCCTTCCTTCCTTTTTTTGTTAGAGACAGAGTCTCGCTCCGTTGCCCAGGCTGGAGTGCAGCGGCACAATCTTGGCTCACTGCAACCTCTGCCTCCCAGATTCAAGCAATTCTGCCTCAGCCTCCTGAGTAACTGGGACTACAGGCATGCACCACCACACTCAGCTACTTTTTTGTATTTTAGTAGAGATGGGGTTTCACCATGTTTCCCAGGCTGGTCTCAAACTCCTGAGCTCAGGCAATCCACCCATCTCAGCCTCCAAAAGTGCTAAGACTATAGGTATGAGCCACTGTGCCCAGCCTCCCTCCCTCCCTTTTTTTTTTTTTTTTTTTTTTTTTGACAGGGCCTCGCTCTGTCACCCAGGCTGTAGTACAGTCACAGCTCACTGCAGCCTTGACCTCCCAGGTTCAAGCAATACTCCTGCCTCAGCCTCCCAAGTAGCTGAGACTACAGGTGTGCACCACCACATCAGGCTAACTAGTATTTTTTTTGTAGAGACAGGGTCTCACTTTGTTGCCCAGGGTGGTCTCAAACTCCTGAGCTCAAGCAATCACCTGCCTCAGCCTCCAAAAGTGCTGGGATTACAGGCATGAACCACCATGCCGAGCCATGCACTCTTTTTTTTTTTTTTTTTTTTTTTTTCGAGATGGAGTTTTGCTCTTGTCACCCAGGCTGGAGTGCAGAGGTGTGATCTTGTCTCACTGCAACCTCCACCTCCCGGGTTCAAGTGATTCTCCCACTTCAGCCTTCCATGTAGCTGGAATTACAGGCGCCCGCCACCCACGCTCAGCTAATTTTTGTATTTTTAGTAGAGATGGGGTTTTGCCATGTTGGCCAGGGTGGTCTCGAACTCCTGACCTCAGGTGATCTGCCAACCCTGGCCTCCCAAAGTGCTGGGATAACAGGCATGAGCCACCGTGCCCGGCCATGCACTCTTGATCATCACTCACGCTCTCTGCCAGGTGACCCCAGTCATCACCTCTGTACCACCTCCTCCAAGTACCTTTCCAGCTCCCCTGACTGGCAGGGCCATGAGAAGTCAACACCCCTCACTCCTCCATGTCACCCTGCCTCCATTCCTAGTGTCTGCTGCTTAAGACACATCCTTCCTGCCGGAGCCAAGTTTGCCTAATCCCGGTGCTTTCATACTTTCTTTACCTACCAGCAAAGTGTAACATGACAGAGGTTCCTAGCCAAGCACATGCACAGAATCTCATCTTTCTCTGGCGACACCCTTGTCCATAGTAGGTTTGCCAGGATTCACCTGACACTTGCTCCCAGGACTGACTCAGTAAATGCCCTTCCTGCTCACTGATCTCCAAATCCTGGGAATCTGGGCCTTGAGGCAATCACTTCTAGAATACAGGAAACCAAATTCTAGACAAAGCATCTGTCTCCAGCCATTTTCCAATCATCTCAACAGTTCCTGGCCAGGTGCAGTGGCTCATACCTGTAATCCCAGCACTTTGGGAAGCCGCGGCGGGCAGATCATGAGGTCAGGAGATCGAGACCATCCTGGCCAACACGGTGTAACCCTGTCTCTACTAAAAATACAAAAAAATAGCCAGGCGTGGTGGCAGGCGCCTGTAATCCCAGCTACTTGAGAGGCTGAGGCAGGAGAATTGCTTGAACCCGGGAGGTGGAGGTTACAGTGAGCAGAGATTGCACCATTGCACTCCAGCCTGGGCGACAGAGAGAGACTCTGTCTCAAAAAAAAAAAAAAAATCTCAACAGTTCCTATGGGAACATGGAAAACCCTCTGTAGGGGACACCGTATATTTTAATGCCAAGTACGTGATTCAGTAAAATAAATCCAGCATCCACTCCACTCAACATCTGTTTTCTGGGTGTTTGCGATATGTCAGGAGCTCTGACGCACATGAGCCAGTGTATCAGGACACAATGGGGTGATACTCCCAGGGGGCGGGGATGCCACCTCTGCGTCAGATAGTCTCCTGACTGTCGCTCAGCCCCTCTTTGGTGCTTTGATTTAAAAAAAAAAGTTGTGCATGAAACGCTATAGGGAACCGCTGGGGTTCTTTAGTAAGAGCTTAAATCCTCTGCCTGAAGATGCAAGTGCGTATTGGTGAAGTGTTTACTTTGCTACAATTCCAAAGAAGAAATTCTCAAGTCTCTTAGGCTACAAATTGGGGGATGGAACAGTGCAGAGCAGGCCAAACTTTTCTCATGGAGTAACACCTCCATCTTGTGGCCTTTCAGGGTATTCCAAGTGGATCCAACTACCTGCTATTTTGTGATTCTGGGTACAATAAATCAGATCTGAGAGAACTTGAGAGGTCCTCTGATTCGGTCCTCTGCCTTCACCCAGACGTGAAGCTCCACTATTAGCTCCATGATTTCCTCATAGTAACAGTCCAGAGAGGTGAAGAGACTTGGCCGAGCCCACCCAGCTAATACGCACGGTCTCATACCTGAGGCTCAATGCTACCCACTTGTCACTCTTTAGGAAGAGAAAAAAACTTCTTCAAACAAAATTTGACCAACTATGAAACAGATGAAAGCAGAGAGAGTCCCGGTAGAGACTGCAGAAGGACCCACCCTTCCCAGCACCTTCAGTCATCACGCCCTGGAAACCACTGTCTTGTGCCAGGGGGATGCTGCTTCTCTGGGTAATGGAACATCATTGTGGCAGCCTGGAAAGCCCCCTAGGACAATAGCATTCCCTTCCGAGTAGCTTATTGCTTCAATCAGTTTAGGTCCTGGCCAGGTAAATGCCTTTTATTAAAACACATTTTACACCTCTCATGGCAGAATAAACGGCCTCATAGGATAAGGGTGTGTGGCCCCGCGACTGCTGATGAGAAGTGAAGCCAGCTGGACTTCTGGGTCAGGTGGGGACTTGGAGAACTTTTTTGTCTTACAAGAGGATTGTAAAATGCCCCAATCAGCACACTATAAAATGGACCAATCAGTACTCTGTAAAATGGACCAATCAGCACACTGTAAAATGGACCAAATCAGTGCTCAGCAAAATGGACCAATCAGCAGCACATGGGCGGGGACAAATTAGGGAATAAAAGCTGGCCACCCCAGCCAGCCCTGGTAACCAGTGGGAGTCCAGTTTGGTGCAGTGGAGTCTTTGTTCATTCGCTTTTCACAGTAAATCTTGCTGCTGCTCACTCTTTGGGTCTGTGCCACCTTTAAGAGCTTTAACACTCACCGGGAAGGTCCGCAGCTTCATTCTTGAAGCCAGCGAGACAAAGAACCCACCGGAAAGAACCAACTCCGGGCCTCCGGACACCATTGGGACCTGCAATTGCTGGGACCCGGTCCCGGGAGGATGCCCGAGAGATGCCCACAGGGCCCCGGGCAGGGCAGAAAGCCGAAGCCGCCGCAGGCTGCCAGGACTAGGGCAAGCTTACGTCCACTCAGGCGGTCAACAAATAATTATCAGACTCCTTCTACGTGTCATGCCGTTGAACAAGATCGACAAGACCCTGGTCTCACAAAGCTTCTGTGCACATTGGAGGAGCCGGGTGACTGCAAAGAAAGGGCGTAAGATTGTTTCTGATAGGGCCTGGGATGTGAGGAGCGATGATAGAGTGCGTGCTCTCAGGAGAGACCTTGGAGCTGGTCTTGAAGTGTGAGGAGGAGTCGGTTGGAGAAAGAGGGAAAGAACAGGCCGAGCCGAGCCAGAACCGGGTATAGCCAGAAGCGCGAAGGAGAGAGCCAGCACTCGAGGTCAGAGGAAGCGCAAGGTGGCACCGGCCCCTCTCGCTGCGCTTTTTGTCCTTCCAGGAGGGGGCGCTGGTCCACCGACTGGCCCGGCAGTTCCCCAGTAGCACCGGGGGTTTCCTGCCGCGCGCGTCACCTGGTTCAGTTTAGAGCCTCCAAAGCTGCAAGGCAAGGCGAAGATGGGCAGTGGAGACAGAGTAGGGTGGGGAGGGTCCAAGCTGAGGAGCCTGTAGAGCGTCTAAAGTCATCAGTGGCACCTGTTGTTTCATTGTTCGTGTAGGCAGCTTGTATGTGTATACATATTTTAAACTTATTACCTAACATTTCAATCACAAAAGCAATTAGAGATAAAAGGTCCATGACACCCATGTACCCATCACCCATATCAATAACTATCACCTTCAGTCCTCAGTTCATCTACTCCCTCTTTTCATTCATTCGTTTATTAAAAAAAAACAACAACAAAAAAAAAAACAGTCTTTAAAAGCAAATCCAAGACATTGACTCACTTCTGTAAATACTTCAGAGTATATCTCTAGCAGGATTATTTTTTAATTAAACATATCCACAATACCATTGTCATAACAAACTAATAACCCCTTAATATATTCTAATTGTATATATTGTTTTTAAATATTTTATCTTCAAAATAATTCGACTTCCACAGAAGTTTTTGTTTTGTTTTTTGTTTGTTTGTTTCTGAGACAGAGTCTTGCTCTGTTGCCCAGGCTGGAGTGCAATGGCATGATTTTGGCTCACTGCAACCTCCGCCTCCTGGGTTAAAGTGATTCTCCTGCCTCAGCCTCCCGAGTAGCTGGGACTACAGGCGCCTGCTTATAGACAAGGATAATAATGACAATGCTTATCTGATTGTGTTGTCGTGAGGATTAAATGAGTTTACACATATAAACGCTTAGAACTGTGTCTGGCACATAAAATTTCTTAATAAATATTTTCCATTATTATTACAGCTCGTATTTTTTAAAAATTAACCCGTCTCTTTTAAAAAGACAAAAAAGCTTTATTTTATCTTGATTATAATTCTAGGCCAAGCACACTGACTTACGCCCTGTAATCCCAGCACTTTGGAGACCAACGCAGAAGGATCGCTTGAGCCCAGGGGTTCGAGACCAACCTGAGCAACATAGGGAGACCCCCATCTCTACAAAAAAATTAAAAATTAGCCGGGTGTGGTGGCACACACCTGTGGTCCCACCTACTCAGGAGGTTGAGGCAGAAGGATTGCTTGGGCCCAGAAGGTCGAGGCTGCAGTGAGCCATGATCACGCCACACTGCACCCCAGCCTGGGTGACAGACCGAAATCCTGTCTCAAAAAAAAAAAAAAGAAAAGAAAAGAAAATGAAAAAAGAATGCATACTCTGAGCCTGAGAGCCAGATAACTTTTTGGACACAGCCCTGACTGCTGTTCCTCCATGGTGTCCTCACCACCAGCATAAATGAACTGGTCAGTCAGCTAGTGTACCCTGGTGTGGTTGTGCCTGTTGTTAAACGTTTAAAAATAGTTCTATACTGGTTTTCAAATAGCTTCCTGCCCCAGCCTGCCCCCAGTGTTCTGGCCCCTCCCAGGGTCTCCAGATCTGCCCATGGCCCAGCAACTAAAGGGTTTACACCTGGTGCAGCAGGTGGACGGGCGGCCTCTGCACTGGGGGCTGCAGCTGTTCCAAGCAGCGGAGGCTCAGGCCAGAGCAGCCGCTAGAGATTTAGGTCCTCCTCTTGGGTGAAGAGGGAGAGAAAATGAAAGCATGGGGAGCTTCTCATTTTCACACATAAAGACTGAATTTCTTTATAAATATTTCCTATCATTATTAGTATAGGTAATATTGATTTCAAATTAGTCTCTTTTTTTAAAATACAAAGAACTGTATTTTATCCAGGTTAGAGCTGTAATACATGTGTATTATTAAACATTCAAATGAAACAGAAATATTTGCCTGTGGGGAGAATGTCTGCGGTGGCCTCTGGTGACAGCTCTGCAACAGAACTGAGACAGCCACCTCGCATGGTGCTTGGGAGTCAAGCCAAGCTAACCTGGAGGTCTTTCCTGTCAGTCATCTCGGGTACAGAGGAGGAAGAGGTGACCCAGGGTGGAGCAACAGATGGTGCATGTTCCAGACAGGCTGCTTTTTGTCTGCCTGTCCCAGGACAGGGCAGGGCCCCCGCCAGCCCTGCTTAGACCTTTAGAAGAGTTCAAGGGGAAAAAGACTTTACTAGTCAAGGGCTGGGAAAACTGTGCAGGGGAATATCTGATCATTTCTAAATGTTATCTTGAAAAGAAAAGAAAGAAGCTTTATTGAGAAACATTCCCGCTGGTGTCTGCCTCTCGGAGCCCTGCACCTTCCACTCCCTGCTCTAGAAAGAAAACCATTGATTCATTTAGGTCCTGCCAAGGAGACAAGCATCCCATGATCTTCAGCCAGAAATTCCCCTGGGCCACATGAAATCAAACTATCCATGTCTGTTTTGTAAGTGGCTTTGAAGTTGAGACATTGTGGACATATTTCCATGTAAATGAATATAGGAACACCACCAGCTGCAATGGCTGCATGGGATTCCACTGTACAGAGGGAGTAGAACTTATTTAGCCAGTTGTCTAGAAAATTGCTGCAGGGTACATCCATATAATTAAATCTTTGTAAAATTTTCCAAGGGATAGTTTCCTGGAGTGTGGATGGCTGAGGCCTCAGCTCCAGGGCCTGTGCACTCCCCACTAGCTATGCTTCAAAGAAGGTGAAGACACTTGGGGGTGGGGGGCAGGAATTCGGGGGGTGGGCAGGAATTTGTGGGGGTGGGTGACTGTTTAAGAAATAAATCCTGGGCCAGGCATGGTGACAGCACTTTGGGAAGCTGAGGCAGAAGGATCACTTGAGCCCAGGAGTTCGAGACCAGCCTGGGCAAGACAGGGAGACCCCATCTCTATGAAAAACTAAAAAGTTAGCCAGGCATGGTGGTGTGCACCTGTAGTCCCAGCTACTTGGAAGGCTGAGGCGAGAGGATCTCTTGAGCCCAGGAGACTGAGGCTGCAGTGAGCTGTGATCTCGCCACTGAACTCCAGCTTATGTGACAGAGCAAGACCCTGTCTCAAAAAGAGAAAGAGAGAAAAAAAGAAAAGAAGGAAAAGGAAGGAAGGAAAGAAAGAAAAAATAAATCCTGGGGCCAGGTGCAGTGGCTCACGCCTGTAATCCTAGCACTTTGGGAGGCCGAGGTGGGTGGATCACCTGAGGTCAGAAGTTCAAGACCAGCCTGGCCAAGATGGTGAAACCCCATCTCTACTAAAAATACAAAAATTAGCCGGGCATAGTGGCGGGCGCCTATAATCCCAGCTTCTCGGGACGCTGAGGCAGGAGAATTGCTTGAACCCAGGAGGCAGAGGTTGCAGTGAGCCAAGATCACCCCACTGCACTTCCAGCCTGGGCGACAGAGCAAGACTCCGTCTCAAAAAAAATAAAATAAGGAAAAAAGAGATCCTGGAAGATTTGTTCCCAGCACCCAGTATTGTGGCTGAGACATGCCCCAGACAAGAAGCCCAGAGAGCCGCTCCCCCTAGAGAGGCTAGAACAGGGGATTCCTTGCCAGGGCCCTGAGGATGCAGAGGGAGGTCAGTCCTGCTGCCCCTATCACGCCTTGTTATTCCACCCCCAACCGGCCCAGACCTCCTGGGAGTCAGAGGAAGTTGCTGACCTGTCCCCTGGGGGAATAATTGTATTAGTGATAAGGTGGCCTCTGGCAGCTTAGTCAGCAGATTCAGGGCTTTGGGCTGAGTAATCCTTTGGCGTCTGCCCCAGCAGCTGGTGATCACAGATCGGGGAGACCCCCCCAACCCCCAGGCCCTGCTGGGCTTTGGCTTCCATTCCCCCAGCACAGTGCATAGGGCACAGCTCTGGCTGGCCTGACCTGCCAAAGAACCCAGGGCCAGGCTCAGAGGGGATTTTGGCTGGCATCCACGTGATGGAGTGACAGAATACAGTCAAAATCAACAGCGTAAAAATGGGCCGGTCAAACACTGCAGGGGGCTTTCATTTAGATGGGACTGGGTTTCTTGTGTGGCCTGGCTTGTTTTGTTTTTGCCATTTTAGGTAATACATACCCACTACAGAATACAGGGAAATACAGACAAGGTTGAAAACAGATTCTCTGTCCATTAAGTGCCTTGGGATCCTCATCCCCAGCTAACCCGAAACTCTAAGCCTGTTCCCTGGAATCTTCCATCTGGATGGAGGAGAGAAAGTTGACCTGGAGTGAGGTTCAATGTAAGGACAAGATCTGCACCCGGAGAAGCTCTCTCTCGGAGAGCACAGGCGGCCTGAGGAGTCAAAACAGGTGGCCTGTGGAGTCAGCACAGGCAGCCTGGAGGAGGTGAGCCCTGGACAGGCCTTCAGGGATGGGAAGGGTCTGGGCAGAAGGAGCAGGAGGGCCAAAGCCAGCCCCGCTCAGCGGCCTCCCCTGCGTGTGCTGCCCCTGAGAGAAGGAAGCGCTCTCCTCCAGTAGCCCTGCCCCCGCTTCCTCCCTTCCATCTGCCCTTTCCGCTTCAGTTCACCTCCTTTAATCCCACCACAACCGCCCAATGGGACACCATCCTACTCATTCCAGAGAGCATGAAACTGAGAGGCAGAATAACTTCCCCAAGCCCACACAGCCAGGCTCTGAGAGGAGCGGTGCTGGCCCAAGCCTGCCCTTAAGCCCGGGCTGCAGGCCGGAGCAGCCCCTTCTCTCCTGCCGGCTGCCGCCCCCTCAAGCCTGCAGGTGTCTCTCCGGAGATGCTGGGCATGGGGCAGGGTTTGAGGTACACCCACCTCCACCTCTCTTCCTGGCTCTTTCTCCTCTGTAGCTCCCATTTTAAAAGGAACTGCATTCCTAACATATTTTTCTTTAAATATCTAAATTCGTTGGGGAAAAAAATCTTTCCTTAATGTTACCCTCCCTGCCACCCCTCAGCCCCGTCTCCTTCCCTCACAGCCACGCTCCCTCCCCACAACTAGGCCTCCTGAATCATGCTCCCTCCCAGGGCACCAGCTCCTCCGGCTGCTGCTGAAACCCAATGAGGCAGCTGCCCCTCCTGGGAGGGTGTCCTGGTGCAAAGCTGAGTGCAGTGCCAAGCACAGTTTGAAATCCTCATCTGCATCCCCAGCCTCCTCCACCACTCACTAGCTGTGTGGCCTGAAGCAAATTACTTAACTTCTCTGACTCTGTTTTTCCTCACCCATGAGTTGAGGCTAGTAAGGACAGCTCCTTTACAAGGCTGCTGTGAGGTTTGAAGGATCTGTGTAAGAACTTGGCATGCTTCCTTTCTGCATGACACGGAAGGAACACTTGCATGGTGACACCACCATTGCTGATTCCTCCCCGTCCCTGGCTCCCGCGACAGCGCAGCGCTGTCCTGAGTTTCCGTCTTGTCTCTGATGTGCCTTTGTCATCAGCTTGTCCTTGGCTCCAGCCACCAGAGTCTGAGACCCTTGAGCTCAGCCTTAGGCATTTTCAAACCTGCACGCATTTGCTCCAGGCGGCCCCCCAGTCCTGGGGTTACTACCTCTGTGCAGATAAATTGGGGGTGGTTTGGTCTGGGGCATGTGGAGCTGGACTCCACGGTGGAACTGATATGAAGTGGCCCTGGAAGCCGTGAGTGTGTGTGAAACTGCCCGAGGAGAGAGCGGGAAGGGCTGCTGGGACCAGTCTCTGGGTACATGGAGGTGATGACAAGTTCAAGGCAAAGACCCGTGTTCCAGAAGAGATGGGAAAGAGCGGCTTCGGGAAGGAGGGAGTGGCCAGTCAAATCCATGGAGGATGGCCTCAGCTTCAGTCTTAGGTGGAGCTGGAGACCTTGTCCTGAGGGGCTTTTTGGCAGAGGAGGCAGGGAGGGGTGAGGACGGAGGAGAGGAGAACAGGTGAGAGCACCCAGCCCGGTGGCCTCGATCTTCTGAGGCCCCAGAAAGCGGATTACCCTGCAAAGCCCCTCGAGCTGACTTCCCAAATCCCTAATTGTGCTTCTCTGTCACAGGGAGGGTTAACCCCACTTACATAAGGGCCAGGCCCCGCCCCCTGTCCCCTTAACTCCATGATCCTTCTGGAAGCTTCACGCTCCGCCCGCTTCCCCTTGGGGTCTAAGGCTGGACCAACCCCACCCCAGCTCATCCTGAGGTGAGCTCTGGTCTGCTGGGGACAAGTGGTCCCCTCCAGGACAACATGGGCTTTCAGCTCTGTCCCGGGCAGGGAGGGGGCTGGCAAGTGGGCCTGGGGGTGGAGGAGCAGGCAAGAAAAGGCTGCTGAGTGTGACCTTCTCAGTAACCCCAAGAATATAACAATATCAGCTGCACACACCATTTATTAGGTTCTTACTGAGTACCAGGCTCTGAAACACATTTCCTGAACCATTGTCTTTAGTTCCCCAACTACACCATAGGACAGGTGCTCTTCTCATCCTGTTTTACAGGTGAGGAACTGAAGTTTGGACAGATTGAGTCACTTTCTCAGGGACACATGGCTGGCCGGTGATGGAGAAGGTACTTGAACCTGGGTCTGCCTCTGCTCTCTCCACACTCCCTTGCGGGGGCCCGGGGCTTACTATAAGGCAAGGATGTAAGACAAGTTCCTCCTTCCCTCTCCTTCCCACAGGAGCAGAGGCATCGCTGGGCTGGAGGTGGGAAGGATGGACCTGGGAGCAGCGCAGGGGGCTGGTGTGGCAAGAGGCAGGCGGAGCTGTGAGGCCGAGTTCGGGGGGAAGGGGAGGACTCCTGAGAGCCCGTGGCCAGGCTCAAGGTGGCTGTGTCCTCACTGGCTCTAGTCCTGCAGGCCTGGCTCTCCAGAGGAGCCTGCCAGCTCCTCTTCTGCCCCCTCACAGGCCTGAAGGAGACCCTCCAGATGGGGATCCAGGCCTCTTTCCTCCAGGCCAGCCTCAGACCCTACGGGGGACGGTTCTGGGAACGTCCTCTGTGCCAGGTGTCTGGGGACTGCTAGCCTTCTGGGGGGGCTGGATCCTCAAATCGTGAGCCCCAAGCAGTCCCTTTCCAAGGGATTGGAGTGAGAACCTCGTGGGGCAGAGCCAGATCTACCTAGGACCCAAGGGGAGTGTCTCAGGCAGGACCCCCACAGGCAAAGACACACACACTGGCCACACACTTGCCTTCGGATGTGTGCCAAGCAGCTCAAAAGGATTTAAAGTCCAGCCAGGTGGGGTGGCTCACACCTGTAATCCCAGCACTTTGGGAGGCTGAGGTGGGCAGATCACTTGAGGTCATGAGTTCGAGACCAGCCTGGCCAACATGGCAAAACCCCATCTCTACTACAAATACAAAAAAAATTAGCCGAGCGTGGTGGCAGGTGCCTGTAATCCCACCTGATTGGGAGGCTGAGGCAGGATAATCGCTTGAACCCAGGAGGCAGAGGCTGCAGTGAGCCGAGACCATGCTACTGCACTCCAGCCTGGGTGGCACAGCGAGACTCCGTATCAAAACAAAGAAAAAGATTTAAAGTCCTTGGGAGAGGTGGAGTCCACACCTCTCTTCAAGATGTGGCATGAAATGGTGAACAGCTGAGCACACAGGGCAGGAGGGCCCCGGGGGACCTTGGGCAGCCCGGGAACCAGCATGGGGTAGCAGGACTGACCGGCTCCCGGGGCACCTTGGTAATGCTGCAGGTGTGGCCAGTTGATCCCCTGTGGAGACAGTAAAGATTAAGAGGATCATAAACTGCGTCCAGCGGCTGCCCCGGGAGAAATCTCCTCAAGCCAGAGCCTGTGCTGTGAGGGGCTTCGGGACCTTGGGGCAGCTCCTGAGTTCAGACAGAGTTCAGGAAGGGAGACAGGGGCACAGAGAGACAGAGGTTCATGGACTGAGGCAAAGGCTGGGCCAGGCTCAGCAACCCAGGCCTCCCGCAGGCAGGCAGAGGCTGCCCTGTAACCCATGGAGACCAGACCAACAGCTCTGATGAGCTCCACAGTGGCTGCAGCTGCGCCTGCAGCTGGGGCTGCCTCCAGGAAGGAGTCTCCAGGCAGATGGGGCCTGGGGGAGGATCCCACAGGTATGGCTTCTCCTGGAGGTAGGGTTGGGTCTGGGCCCTTGGGGAGCAGGGTAAGGGCCAGAGGTTCGCAGGGACCATGGAAGGAGCCAGAACAACTCAGACCCAGCCCCGCCGGCTGTGGGCAAGGGTGGGGTAGCCTGTGGGTAAACCCAGAATCCTAGAAACACGGTGGGGCGGGGATGGGGGTTGGGGGCGGGCAGGCTGCAGAGCCAGGACAGGACAGCCTAGCCGATGGGGAAGGAAAGAACAGAGAAGCGCCCTTAGGGCTTAACAGCACAGAGGTCCCTAGTGGCGTTGACAAGAATGTTTCTGTGGGATGATGGAGCCTGAAGCCACCCACAGAGAAGGGATGGGAGCTGGGAAAGTGGAGCTAGGGCTCGGACTCTTGCTGAAAATTGGCCATTGAGGGAGGAGAGAGGGCAAGGAATGGGGGTGGGGGCTGGGGTGTGGATGCACAGTGAGGGAGACACTTCTCCAGATGGAAGAGTCACGCGTGGGTTCGTTCAAATGCGGGTGAGCGGGGCCTGAGGACTGGGAAAGGGACCCGAGGGAAGGAGGGGAGCGTGCAGCCCTGCCCCGGCCCAGCCCTGCCCTGGCCCAGCCCTGCCCCCTGCCCCTCAGGCGTGAGCCCCTCGCTCCAGTGCCGCGTGTGCGGAGACAGCAGCAGCGGGAAGCACTATGGCATCTATGCCTGCAACGGCTGCAGCGGCTTCTTCAAGAGGAGCGTACGGCGGAGGCTCATCTACAGGTGAGTGCGGTGGGCCCTGCTGGGCGTCTGCCCCTGAGGGGTTCTGGAGGGGTGAGGGGGTGCTCAGGGGAAGAGGGGCTTGGGCAAAAATGTCCAAGCCCATGGCTCAGGGCATGGGAGGGACACTGACCCCTGGGGTCTCCTCTTCACCTGCAGGTGCCAGGTGGGGGCAGGGATGTGCCCCGTGGACAAGGCCCACCGCAACCAGTGCCAGGCCTGCCGGCTGAAGAAGTGCCTGCAGGCGGGGATGAACCAGGACGGTGAGGCGGGGGCTGGCCCGGGGGGAGGTGACAAGAAATGGGCAGCGGGACTGGCGTGTCGTCCTGACCCTTCCTGCCTCCCCAGCCGTGCAGAACGAGCGCCAGCCGCGAAGCACAGCCCAGGTCCACCTGGACAGCATGGAGTCCAACACTGAGTCCCGGCCGGAGTCCCTGGTGGCTCCCCCGGCCCCGGCAGGGCGCAGCCCACGGGGCCCCACACCCATGTCTGCAGCCAGAGCCCTGGGCCACCACTTCATGGCCAGCCTTATAACAGCTGAAACCTGTGCTAAGCTGGAGCCAGAGGATGGTGAGTGGGAGAGCAGCTGAGGGCACAGCAGGGCTTGGCTTCCCGGGTCACAGCAGGGCTGCAGCGCCTTGCCTTGATCCTCCCTCCCCCGGGGCTCCAAGTACTCCCTGCCACCTCCCGAGAAGCAGGCGCTAAGATCACAACCTCCTCCTCCAACAGCTGATGAGAATATTGATGTCACCAGCAATGACCCTGAGTTCCCCTCCTCTCCATACTCCTCTTCCTCCCCCTGCGGCCTGGACAGCATCCATGAGACCTCGGCTCGCCTACTCTTCATGGCCGTCAAGTGGGCCAAGAACCTGCCTGTGTTCTCCAGCCTGCCCTTCCGGGATCAGGTACCTACCGGCCTGCCTGCTGGGGAGCTAGGCTGGGCTGGGGTCAGGCGGCCCACTCGAGTCAACCAGACAGGGCACACACATCCCCACGCCAGTATGAATGCACACAGCTTGGATGGTGATGGCTGGGGACACACATACCTCTGATTCAGCGATGGCTGGGGTGCATCTCAGGGATGGTGACGGTGGGGGTGCATGCATCTCTGGCACAGGGATGATGGTCGGGGTGCACACCTAGGAGATGATGATGGCTAGGGACCTACAGGGCCCAGGGTCTTCTTAAGTTCTGGAAGACCCTCAGGCCCTGCAGACATTCTGTGGGTAACAAGTGACCTGCACACCCTGAACAGGCTGAGTGGCTGACTCTAGGCCCCCTTGGAGCACAAGTGCCTACGACTTCAGGGCTTGCATTTTAGTTCAATCTCTCCAGCTCTGGGCCATCCCTCTCGGCTTCTAATGGGCAAGCAGATCTTTCAGGAAAACCAGGAGGAGAGGCATGAGGAGGGTTTGAGGCCCTCAGCCAGTCTGTGTGCTGGGGTGGAGCAACTCAGAAGAGTCAGGCCACACCACTTGAATACACTCAACTTAGGACACTCATGAGGCATGTCTCTGAGGCTGCCCAACTTCCAATGGCTCTGGGCGTTCCTAAATGTCCCAGCTGCAGCTCTGGATGGAACCCAGTGTCTCAGATGATAGGCAGCTGAGCCGGATGGTGCCAAATCCCAGAGCTCTGAGCCTCTGGCTGATGTCAGGAGAGCATTCTCGGGTCCCAGGACAGCACTTCCATTCCTTGGGTGCCTGAGATGGTGGCAGAGGCTCCAGACTGAGCCAGAGAAGCTGTGTGTCTGCCATAACAGGCACCCCTGTCTGAGCACAGGTGATCCTGCTGGAAGAGGCGTGGAGTGAACTCTTTCTCCTCGGGGCCATCCAGTGGTCTCTGCCTCTGGACAGCTGTCCTCTGCTGGCACCGCCCGAGGCCTCTGCTGCCGGTGGTGCCCAGGGCCGGCTCACGCTGGCCAGCATGGAGACGCGTGTCCTGCAGGAAACTATCTCTCGGTTCCGGGCATTGGCGGTGGACCCCACGGAGTTTGCCTGCATGAAGGCCTTGGTCCTCTTCAAGCCAGGTAACTGAGTCTCTGCCCAAACCTTGAGTGGGAATTCTGGTGACTTCCATCTGCCTCTCACTCTCCCTCCACTACCCCCATGTGTGCAGATGTGTGTAGGCCTCTATCCTGGGGGGTGGGAGGAGAGTGGTGAGGCTGGACTCCCTTCTCCTTGGGGCCACTCCTGGTTGACTGTGAGGGGACAGGGCAGGCTGGGAGCCCCTGGGAGACCCTGAGCCCCAGCCGGAGCCCCTGGTGGCTCCTCTGGGCCTGGCAGAGCCCACCCCACAGGGCCCCAGGTCCATGTCTGCAGCCAGAACCCTGGGCCACCACTTCATGGCCAGCCTTATAACAGCCGTAAACCTGTGCTAAGCTCACTGGTGCTGCTTCTCCCCAGAGACGCGGGGCCTGAAGGATCCTGAGCACGTAGAGGCCTTGCAGGACCAGTCCCAAGTGATGCTGAGCCAGCACAGCAAGGCCCACCACCCCAGCCAGCCCGTGAGGTGACCTGAGCATGCGCCCACCCACTCATCTGTCCCTGACCTCTAACCTTTCTCTGCCTCTCCCACACTCTCCCAGAGCTCACTGATTAGACAGCACAAGGGTCTCAGTTCAACAGCATACAGCCAACATCTATGGTGTCCCAGGCACAGTGCCAGGCCCCGGGAGTGGGGACCAAGATGTACATAAGACAAAGCTACTGCCTTCTAGAGACAACCGGCAGTGACCTCACTGAAGACAAAAACTGCCCTAGCCAGGTACTGAGGGTTGCATGAATCTGCAGGAGACAGAGATCCCCTTGCATGGGAAACATAAAGCAGAATTGGGAGGGACTTTGTGGAGACAGGGCTGGACTTGAAAGGAAGAAGAAGTCTAAAAGAAAACATCATTTGCAAAGGGAGAGAGGGGCAAGCATGATATGTTGTTAGAACAGGAGCCCACTTTGAAGGTATAACAGGTTCCTGCCAGTGAGAAATGGGGAGAATAAGCCAGAAAAGTACCCTAGGACCAGCCCGTTCAGGACTTTGAATGCCAGCCAAAGGCCACGTCTGACTTGGGAGGCAGAGGGCAGCTACTGCAGGTTTCCGAGCAGAGGGTCATACACAGGGCTGGACCTCACGCAGACTGGCATGGCCATGGGTCCAGAGGATACTACTGGGAAGGGGATGGCAGCTACTGCCACCTTCCAGATGGTTCCATGGAGTTCTGATCTTTGGGCATGGCCAGGGGAAGCAGAAGGGAGACTCTAGGAGTTGAAATGGGTCAGACCCGGTGTTTGGGTGAAGGTAAGGAATGAGGGAAGAGGAGCTCTTTGGGAGAAGACATTGTTAAAAATATAAAAAGGAAAGCCAGGAGGAAAGACGGTTTTGAGGGAAGATGATAAGGTGTTTTGTAGGTGCACTGAGCATCCTGTAGAGATGCCAAGCACATGGATGGCCCTGGCTAGGTTTGGGGGAGAGTTGCTGCAGGCTGAGTGTGGCTGCGCGAGGGTGGGGCAGGAGCCGGTGCTCTGGGACTACGCTGTTTGGCCCAGCACAGGCAGATGTCATGGAGCCTCAGCAAGGTTGGAACATTTGGCCTTCAGGCATCTACTGGCTATTTTAGACCATGTTATCTGCAATCTTTGGGGCTCCCGGCAGTTTCTTTCTGAAGAAGCAAGCTAATATGGGCATCCTTGCATCACCTCTAATCCAAGAAATGATTACAAGGAGAAAAGGTAATTTCCTTTTAAGAAAAGCCACAGTATACAAAGTATATGCCATATAGCACAGGAAGATTTGTGCTGCTTATGAGCATAGGGAGAACGCTGCTACTACTAAGACTTGACTTAGCATCTGAAGAGTGGGATTCAGAGACATTCAGAAACCAGCAGCCTTTCTCTGCCAAGTTTCTGTTGGAACCAACTCCCAGAGATGTCCTGGCATATTGGTTATGCGTCAAATTTCAAAATGCTGATTAAGATTTCCTATGTCCCTTTTATAGCGGTTCATTGCCTACTACAAGGGAATTGAGCATGAAGATAGTGGTTTGGGGTTCTCTAATCCAGCATATTATTTCAGTTTTTAAAAACTGCAACACCCAGGAAGAAACACAATTACCATCGCCCCCTGATATGCACACAGACACCAAAGCGAAGTTCCACGAAGTAATTCCTACCCTTAGCTTTTACAATTTACCTGATGTTTCTCTTTTCTTTTTTTGAAAAGGCTGATTGTGACCCCCTGAATTTAATTTCAGACCCACTAGGTGAGGCAATACCTGCAGTTTGGAAAAAACATTCTTTAACTGACTTTATAGTTATTTCTTCTTCCTCCCACTCTAATTTAGATCAGAAAAACAGAAGCAGGGAAGGCAGATGGGAGGGGTATACGACTTGCTCAGTGCTGCTCACTTGGCACTAGCAAGAGAAAGGAAGGCCTTAGGTTGGCAAAGCAAGTCCAGCAGATCACTGAGTGGTGGGGAAGTCTTCCCCGAAATTCACGGTGAGAGGAGCATGGGACTGCCCAATGTGGAGTAGCCTCCTTGATGCTGGGTGTTGACCCTGGCCATCAGACCTACCCAGGGAAGGTTTAGTTCCCCCATCTGTCTCTTGGGGCTTCACCATCCGTCTTTTGTGTTGCGGACTCCTGTCTTAGCAAATACTTTTTTTTTTTTTTTTTTTTTGAGACGGAGTCTCTCTCTGTCACCCAGGCTGGAGCGCAGTGGCGTGATCTCGGTTCACTGCAAGCTCCACCTCCTGGGTTCACGCCATTCTCCTGCCTCAGCCTCCCGAGTAGCTGGGACTACAGGCGCCCACCACCACGCCCGGCTAATTTTTTGTATTTTTAGTAGAGACGGGGTTTCACCGCATTAGCCAGGATGGTCTCGATCTCCTGACCTCGTGTTCCGCCCGCCTCGGCCTCCCAAAGTGCTGGGATTACAGGCGTGAGCCACCACGCTCAGCCAGCAAATAGTTCTTATTTAAAACAATAAATATTTTTTTCAATGACTATCTCAGTCACCAAAATTATCCTTCAACTTCAGGACATTTTCAGTAATGGCTATCATCATCCTAGGTGGTATACAGACAGGAATTTGTATTCTTACAAACAATTCTTATCTACTAAAAACTAATCATATAATTATAATACTTATATATGAGATTAATAATAATATTTTCATATACAGGTGCTCCTTGACTTATGATGGGGTTACATCTGGATAAACCCATTGTTAAGTTGAAGCTACTGTAAGTTGAAGATGAATTTTCATACATAACCCATCTTAAGTCAAGGAGCATACTGAATGCTTATCACTTTCACACCATGATAAAGTCGAACCATCTGTATAGAGTTAATATAAACTTCACTTTATAATCTTTACATATAATAAACAATATTTACTCATTATTTTCATTGCACTCCTAAACTAAATAGAGGGTGGCGGCTCACAATGGGTCGAGGTAGGTGGAGGCAACTCCTCTGGTTAATGCGGCTTTTCTTTTTTCTTTTTTTTTTTTTTTGAGACGGAGTCTTGCTCTGTAGCCGAGGCTGGAGTGCAGTAGCGGGATCTCGGCTCACTGTAAGCTCCGCCTCCCGGGTTCATGCCATTCTCCTGCCTCAGCCTCCCGAGTAGCTGGGACTACAGGTGCCCGCCACCACGCCCGGCTAATTTTTTGTATATTTAGTAGAGACGGGGTTTCACCATGTTAGCCAGGATGGTCTCGATCTCCTGACCTTGTGATCCGCCCGCCTCAGCCTCCCAAAGTGCTGGGATTACGGGCGTGAGCCACCACGCCTGGCCTGAATGTGGCTTTTCCTCGAAATTCCTCCTGACCCACTCTGGGGACCTCATCTCTCCTCTCCTTCCTCCCCTCCCTTTCCTGGGAGGGCACCGCCCCAGGGACTAGTGCTCAGAAGCTGGTCGTAAAACTGATGGCGTCCTCTCTCCTGTTCAGGTTTGGGAAATTGCTCCTGCTCCTCCCGTCTTTGAGGTTTATCACTGCGGAACGCATCGAGCTCCTCTTTTTCCGCAAGACCATAGGGAATACTCCAATGGAGAAGCTCCTTTGTGATATGTTCAAAAACTAGTGGGGGTGGAGGTGAAATGTTTCCAAGCACTCTGGAAAACAATCTACTGAAACGAAACATTTGCCTACTCTTTGCCCCAGCAATTCCTCGTAGGTGTGTGTACCCAGCAGAAATGCCCACCGAAAGATATTGTAAGAATATTCATAGCAGCTTTATTCATAATAGCCCCAAACTGTATATTGATGGTAGGATGAATTAACAAGTTGTGGTATATTCATATAATGAAAAATAATTTAAAAAGAATGAATTACGGATACATGTGGCAACACAGGTAAACTTCACAGACATAAAAGTTGAATGAAAGAAGCCAGGCCGAAGTTCCATTTATGCAGAGTTCAGGAACAGGCAAGACTAATTGACAATAATAGAAGTTGGAATAGTGGTTACTTCTGGGTGGTGGGGGATTGATACAGAGGGGGCTCATGGGAGCCCTCTGGTGTACCAGAAATGTTGATTTTGATCTGGGCAGTGGTTTCACAAATGTATTCATACGTAATAATTCATTGAGCTGTGCACTTTATTTTGTTAGACCTCAATAAAAAAGTAAAAAAAAAAAACAAAAAAAACCAGAAAAATGAGTGTGGTCAAGGCTCTCCCTTTGGGGACACTGAAGGAATGAGCGCAAGGTCTTTGAGTTCCATCTGGGTTCCACTCCAAGTCAGAGACCAGGCGCAATGAATTCAAGCCCAGTGGAAAATCTCCCATAGAATTCAACCACCCAGCTTCTCTCCAGATGGCATCCCATCATCCGCAGCATCTCTCAACCTTTATCTCCTATCTCCTGCCTCATCTCCTTCCTAAGTAAAGAACACCTTCCAACTCAACATAAGGCAGCTACAGGTACGTTTTGTGAAAGGGACTCTTCATCACTTCTCAGGTCCTTATGGAAAGATACAGCTCAGACAAACTTCATCATTTTCTTTTTCTCTTTTTTCTTTTTTTGAGACTGAGTTTTGCTCTTGTTGCACAGGTTGGAGTGCAATGGCGCAATCTTGGCTCACGACAACCTCCGCCTCCCGGGTATAAGTGATTCTCCTGCCTCGGCCTCCCGAGTAGCTGAGATTACAGGTATGCACCACCATACCCAGCTAATTTTGTATTTTCAGTAGAGACGGGGTTTCTCCATGTTGGCCAGGCTGGTCTAGAGCTCCCGACCTCAGGTGATCCACCCACCTTGGCCTCCCAAAGTGCTGGGATTACAGGTGTGAACCTAATCCTTTTTGAAGATAGACCCAGATGACTGTGAAAATAATATTTTAACATGTTAACATAGATCAGGCAATGTATATATTAATAGCAGGCAGTGAGCCGGGCACTTTTTAAATTGCCATTTAATCCGCAGATTAACTCTGAGGGAAGAGCCAATTTTCTCCATTTATAAGTGAAAAAACTGATGCTTAGAGAGGACTCAAACCTTGGTGTGACTCTACCTAATGCTGCTTAACTTTGGCACCGCCTCTTTCCCAACTTCCCCTTCACTTTTGGAATGAAAGACTGAACAATTCTGTTGCATTTTCTGCCTTCAAAGGATAAGTGTTTGAAATCAAGACAGAAAGGGTCATGTGAGAAGGCTGAGAAATCCTAGGGGTTCCCTGTCCTTTGGCTTGTGTTTGAATTCCCTTAGCTGACAGAAATGCCCTATCTACTCAGGAACTCAGAACCGCTAGGGCTGGTGCCAGAGAGGAAAGAGTATGGCAAATGCTGCCCAGCTGAAGCCCTTCTTACTTCAGCCCCTAGGCTACTTCAGATTCTCTCCAACTTTTCAAAGTATCAGAGTGGCCTCAGTTAATCGGTCAACTAATGTCTATAATGCCATTATACAGTCCAATTCCCTATCAAAAGTTTTATCCATATGAGCTAAGCCCTGAGCAAAGCCACCTTAGTAAGACACATGGTTGAAATATGACATGACCAGCCCTGCGTATGTATCTTACAGTTTGGCTTTGGAGGACATGGTAAGACTGCAAAGGTAGCCTGCTGAAGTTCACAGGCTAGCATCTGGGATGTGTGAGCCCAGCACATCTACATTGGGAAGGAGATTTGAGGGCTCTCCAAGAAGTCTTGGAGAATTAGAGGAAGTACATAAGCTGGATTGTCTGCTGTCAATCGGGCATCAATACCACCCCTCCCCCACTTCTAAGGGCTTTTCTTCACTGCAGAGATGCCAGGAAGGAACTACATTTCCCAGAAACCCTTTCCCCTAGGATTTGCTAATGAAAGACACTCACAGGAGATTTTTTCCCCCCTAATGCCAAACTGATTAAATTTGGCATTAGGAAAAAGAGAAGCCATTTTTCTTTGGAGACACTGCAGCCCTGTCGTGGGAAAATAGATTTCATAGCAGCCTCCTGGCTAGAATTGCACTAGCTTCCAGGCAAGCTCTTGAGAACTCCTCTGGAACTTGTAGCTGAGATTTGCGTTGGCTTTCTTGACCTGTGGGAATATCTCTGACCTTTGTTAGATCCTAATTTCTGTATTAAGTCCATCTCACCTGGAATACAAAGTGGCCTCTGTTCTCCTAACCTGGTACAGCTCTCAGCATGTCTTACAGACAAGAATACAAACTCCTGTTTGTAAACCACCTAGGATGATGGCAGCCATTATTCAACTTCTTGTTGTAGATTGGCTCTACAGAAATTCTGATGAGTAATGGCTTTTCCATTGCATTTAGGGTCCTTATTAGGAGGGTAGATAATTTGAAAGCTTTTTTTTTTCCCCCTCAATGCCAGAAATATCTTTGGCTATGAAGCACCACAGAGGTAGTCCCTGTGGGACTATCTGGGCCTTTCTTTTCAAATAAAGCTAGTTTTTAGATTCACGAGACACTCCTCTACCCACAAGGGGATATTTCAAGGTAGGAAGGGCAGGGAAAGACTCAAAGATGCCAAGAAGCGCAACCTCATAGTCAAACCCAGGTATCATGGATGACTAGTCTCTATCTGGTGGACATCACTGGTGTTCCCCACTAGAATGCAGGCTCCACAGGGCAGAGATCTTTGTTTTGTTCACTAATGTACCCTAAGCACCTAGGACAATGCCTGTGGGCACTACCTGGAAGTGACACACTCCTTGACTGTGAGTCTGAGATACCTACAAGATTCAACAGTCAGATATTACATGTACTTTATCTACTTTCATGTTTATATCTCTGGCTCTAAGACACTGTACTGCCACCCATTCTAGGGGCAAAAGCAATTTAAAAAACAAACCAAACCAAAGCTGTGGTCACTTTATAACTTGCCTCTCCTTATATACCTTTCTGTTCTCAGGTCTTCATAATCACAATAGTTGTCTTCTCAGTAATCATCTCAGGGGCAAGTTTTAAGAATGTATTTCGGCTGGGTGTGGTGGCTCACACCTGCAATCCCAGCACTTTGGGAGGCCGAGGCAGGCAGATCACCTGAGGTCAGGAGTTTGAGACTAGCCTGGCCAACATGGTGAAACACCGTCTCTACTAAAAATACAAAAATTAGCCAGGCATGGTGGCAGGCACCTGTAGTCCCAGCTACTTGGGAGGCTGAGGCAGGAGAATCACTTGAACCTGGGAGGTGGGAGTTGCGGTGAGCCGAGATTGTGCCACTGCACTCCAGCCTGGGTGACAGAGTGAGACTCCATCTCAAAAAAATAAAAATAAATAAAAATGGTATTTCTAGGTTTTATTTGGGCAACTAAGGGAATTTTAAACAATTAACACTTCATATTTCAATGTAATATAAATTTAATGCAAAAATGAAAATGTAAATGTAACGTAAAAACAAGTGAGAAGGATGACCCCAGAATTTTAAAAATTGAATACATTTGGCATTAGGGACATGTTTTTTTCCCCATGTAACCTCAGACCTGATTTGGCATTTTGGAACCACTGATCCTAGTCAATCCTCTCATCCAATATCTGCCTAGCCAGCACCTTTTATTAGGTGCTGGGATCTAAGAGTCAGCAAGACAGGTAAGTGTTTGACGCTGTGAAAACTGAGAGCTGTTGAGAACACAGACCTCTAACCCAATTCACAGGGTCAGAGCAAACTTCCTAGGACAACTACCTTTTATACTAAAACCTGCGAGTCAGTAGGAGTTCTCCAAAGCTGGGAGTTTGGGAAACAGAACTGACTTCCAGATAAGAAAACTAACATTCAGAGAGAGCGAATGCCTTTCCCAGACATGCAGTAAAGTTGGTAGCAGAACAAAAATGACAAACTGAGTTAAAATTTCTGTTCCTATTGCAATGTGTTGCTTTGAATTTCAGTGAGAATCCTTGGGCCCTCTATTGGCAACCTCTATTAGCAACTTCTTCAAGTGGCCAATTTAGGGGAGGATCCTAAATGCAGATTTACTGCTTTTCCTCCCTTCTAGCCTTAAACCGATTAAATGAAGTCTTGACAGCCAGCAGCCTGCATCCACTACAGAAAAAACGACACCTTGAATCACACCTTCACTTGAATTCAGTTGAGTTCCAGTGACTACCACCTCTGTGCTTTGTCAACTTTGGGTTGAGTCCTTTCCTGAAAACACATCAGTGTAACTAAGAAGTCACTGCTGTTTCTTGGAGTTGGGTTGGAATAGTTGGAGTGGGAGCCAGGATGGTTGGAAAACAAACCACACATATTGCTGCTTCTGGAAGCTTTGTTCTTTAATGAGCCATGGGGTGATTTGTTCATCAAGCTGCTTTTGTGTAGCCATACAGTGCATATTTTGAGTGACACAAACTGCACTTTATACAGATGGTATCTTGTTACCCCTCAACCCCCCAGCAAAGAAAAAAAAACAAAAAGGAAATTACAAAGTGCCTATTGATTGCATCCGGAATGTAATCAGTTCCGTGGGTGAGATAAATCATTCTTCTTATAGAATTATTCTATTAAACAGTAAAATGTTATATTTCACAGGATATGTCCTTTTATAATACAGTTTTTAAAAAAAATTTACACTCAGCATACTTATAAATTACTTAAAATCCATTAAAATAATATAATACGAATCTGTAGTCCACACCTTTCCCATAGTAAATACAAATACTTGGTTCAAAAGGTGCAACTTTTATATGACCTCAGAGGGCTGATAAATAGGCATTAAGAATGGATGACTAGCAAGGTGACAGGCCCATTGTTGGGGCTTTTTTGAAAATAGTTTCAACCAGGGGACCAACATGAGACCTAATAGATCCATCTCCACAATCATCATTTTGCTGTTACCCTTTCAATACCCAATCAAATGTGGGAGTCATTCCAGAGAAAAGTGGTTAAAAGTAGTCTAGGGCATAGAAAAAGAGGACTCTCACAGATACCAAGGAGTTTTACTACCAAGGCCAGCATGGTATTGCAGGACAGTGCTGGGGAGTTGTCACAAGAGTATGGGTGGACATAACACATTTGTCCATACAGAATGATGCATGCCCCGCATCCAGCTTCCCACCAAGAAGAAAAAAGAGAGGAGGATGAGGAAAGCCATGGAGTGAGTATGTATGTTTCTTTTTAAAATGAAAACTCTCTTAGCTTTGAACACATCCTGAGAATCCTTTCTTCTTTCTAGTTTACCAAAGTGCTTGTTACAGTGAAAAACACAGCCCACAGGCACTGAGGTGGGACTACAGAACCTTGCTGGACCACATCTTTTCAGCACATTTCTGTGACCCTCTGTTTTTGATGGAGAAAACAACGCTACTGTTATGAAACACAGAATGGAGTCTTCATTAATCTTCCAGCAGGGTAAGTGCTCTGGCAGGTTTCCAAAGCATGAGAAGGTGGGGGCTCTAGTATTCCATCCCAGGACCTCTGGCCCTTTTGTCTCTCTCTGCAAGGCTCATAGTTGGAGGGCTGTATCTCCCTTTGTGTTTTCAGAAGCCCAGAGTGGCAAAATAATTTAAATGGCAGGAGGTACAAAGTACGTTGTAAACTAAGCCTCCCTGAATCCTGCTGTATTTGCTGTTGATTTGCTTCAATTTGTGATACAGAATGAAATCACACTTCTCTGCTTTTGTTACATTTTCCATAATAAGTACATACTAAATTACAGGGATACATTCACTTTAATGGGCAGAGTTGAAAATTCAGGTTTTGTTTGGGGCTGGGAATGTGTGCTGTGAGAAGAGTGCTCTGCATTTTGGAGTATGGGCTCCAAATGTGGAGCTGCCCCACTGCTGCCATGCAGAGATCAAACAAGCAAAGGAGAAGCACTATGGAACCACAAATGTGATGCATATTAAGGGCTAACAGTTTCATAAGTGATTGTAATGCGGCATCACTTTGTGGTGACATAACTTTACCATGCAGAGGGCCAGTGAGAACAGATGGATGCAGACACAGCGTTTGGTTCTGAAGGTTTTTAAGAGTTATGGCTTCATCTCTTGATCAGGCCAACAAGGCCTACTACCCTATGTAAACAACGGCTTTCCCTCAAAGGGAGGGCCCCACACTGCTCTCCACTCTTATCATTTTGTGGCTCTCTCCTCCTCACCCACCCACCCCAATCCTGGCAGATTAAATTACTAGAAATCCACAAATCTAGCAACTGAAAAAACAAGTTTTTTTAATTGAATTTTATCCAAACTGGAGTTTCAGGTCCCTGAGAAAAATTATAAAGTCTCTTAACATCCATCACCTAGTTCCTTTAAAGTGACCTACATCAGTCGTTTTTTAACTGCCAAAAAACTTATTTTGCCAAAAAAGCCCCACAAAGATTTAGAAGGAAGAACATGTGCCAACATATGTTCTTCTGGCCATTCCTCTGGGCCACAGGAAATTATTCCATAAGGGCAATCTCTTTTTTTCATACAGGATTTAACCAACATTCTGGAGCAAGTGCAGAGTAACAATTAATGCCCAGCAGTACACTACTCTCCCAAGAACACTGAAACACAGACTGTGCAACCTGGCACGGGGCTGAGGAACCAGCAATCCCACTCTAACACACCATGCTGAGGGGTTTTCCTCTATCCTCTAGGAGATTCTCTGAAATTCAGATTTTTAAAAGCTTAACATTATTTATTACTCCTCAGGACAAGATGAACAAGGTGGCAGATGTCTGTGGGATATAAAGCATAACATTTGCTCATTAACTATCATTATTCTGGAGATTTTAATGGCTTCCTTTCTCTGGCTCAATTCTGAACCCAAAGTAGGGAGAGGTAAGACTCCTGCTACCTTTAGCTGCCACTCAGAATTATGCTCCAAGTCTAACCTCTGGGGCTGGCCAATAACCACTGAGGCAGTGGCGTGAGGTTCAGTGTTGTGTAACAGGAGAGAGAGACTCTGCCTTAACAAAAGACTTAATATTTCCACAACTTCAAAGAAGTATGAAAAGGAAGAATACCCAAAATACAGGTTATAGATGGTAAAGGCTCTTTTTCAGAGCAGTGCATGTAGTAGCAAGACAAGATGCATTTAGTAACTTTAAAAATAAACATTTCACATACTTATCTCAAGAAAGGCTATCATGTTTCATTTTTTATATATTATAAATAGCAAAAACAGATTTCTAATCCCACAAATGCTAAGATACTTAAAATGCTATTATAACTCATGTGTATGAAGACCACCCAGTGGTGAAAATGATGTCTTACTAATTCCCTCAACCCAGGGACGAATGGCTCTCATCCCCCTGTCCAGTGGCCCCTCATCTGTGGGAAGAAATTCCATGGGAAGGAGGGAAGCACAAGGTTAAAAAGAAATATGCCTACTATACATACATATTTACAATAAACTTCAGTAACCAGAATATTAACAAAAATAGCTTCAAGTAGTCCTTGATTTTTTTCCATCTATTTAATACTGATAGTCTGAGAAAAGGAAGATAAAAGTTAGTTAGTTAGATAGGTCATATTAAAAACCTTTTTATTTTTTGGCAGCTTTCTGTAACACTTACTTACTTATTCATGCAATATTGTATGTGAATGTTTTTGGAAACTAACTAAACGGTCACATTATTTGTTTGTTTGTTTGAGTCTGAGTCTGTGGTGGGAATCCACCAGCAGATGAACAGGCTCATATGCGGTTTTCGGTTTAATCTATACAAAGAGAAAAGCCTGAATGGCTTAGGATGAAACCTTCATAAGTTTAGGGATCACCATGTCTCTGGGAAACTAAAAAATAATGTAGAAGAATCTGATCCTAGGACCAAGAAACATGAGAACAGTATGGCTACTGACACTTCAGCCCATGCAATGTATTTGGCAGGAACTAAACAGGAGTTAAACCAGCACTGATTACTATGACATCAAACATCATCAAAAAAAATAGGTATTCTCTTCTTCACTGTATAACAAGATATCTGAGACACGCTCTGATGGCTTAATGGAAACAATCACGGTTTTTTTTTGTTTTTTTTTTTTTGTTTTTTTTTTTTGTTTTTGCTTTCCCCAGAATATAACATGGAGTGTTTTTTCAGAAATCTTAAAATAGAGGGATTAGGCTTTTTGTTTGTAAGTAAGTTTTTGGAAAAAAATTATATTCTACCCTAGCTCCTAACTATCCCAAAATAAACCCAAAGGCTTTTGCTTTCACGGTTAAGAAAGATTTATACGTTTTCTTCAAATGTCAGAAATGAGAGGGTCCCTCAGGACAGCAATATCCCCCCTAGTTCAACACCCACCTTTGGGAAGGGAAAAGAGGGTGGGGGAGAGGCAACTACAACTGACCCAAATCCCCAGGCCCTAGGTGGCTTTGTATAGTAAAAATCTCAATTCAAATACAACAGCCAAGGCACAGCTGGCACCATCCCCAGCAGGCTTTCTGCTTCTGCAGGAGGCCCAGGAATTCAGCACATACAGTCTTAGCCATATGCTTAGAAAAGAGGCAGGACCACAATTAGGATTGACTATTGTGGACGAGGTGATGAAACGCAGCCCCAAAGGTGAGATTTGTTTACCACTCTGTAGCCACGGAGGGACACACATCTGCCGGTTCAGACCATAAATTCATTATTTCCAAAGAGTGCTAGCTGTTGGTTGGAGGTGCAGTCTGGGTCCACAGTTTTTCTGCGGCCAGACATGACTGTCCCCTCTGGGGTCTCTTTGGTTTTCTGAGGTGAGTTTTTCACATTCTTTAATTTTTGTTTGCCCTTTTCCGGGTTGAAGGTTCCTCTGCTGATGAACTGAGGCTTGTCTTCCAGGAATTTGGTCTGGCCCAATGGTCCTTCCATTCCCAGGGCCTCATTACCTGAGGCAGCTCGGTAGAATGGAGATTTGGAATAAATCTGAAATAGTTTTCTGGTCCCATGAGATGATGCCGTGTTAGACAGACATAAAGAGGAGACCGAAGAGTCCACGACATCTAAAGAGTCTTGCTGCTTTTTAAGTTGCTTTCGCAACTTGCTGGAAGGTTCAGACTTGCCAGCTGTCTTCAGGGAGCTAAGGGCTAAGCTTCTTTCTAATGCAAAAAAGAGACCAAAGATGTAAATGACAGTGCCCTCTAAAGCAAATCATCATATAATGAATAGATGCCACTGTTCACACATGAAATTGGGTGGGATAAGATTCAGAGGGTCCAGGATGACTTACTATGGGCACAGTCACAGTAAGAGCTCACCATCCATTTCTCTATGTAGCATTTCCGAATCATCTCCAAGGAAATCTGGTGTTTGACTATGCCATCAGCGGAGGCCTAGAACAGTCACTATCATTTCAAAAACTGCCAGGATATGCAGGTAAGTCCTACATCTCCCTGAGACATGCCACCCAGTTAAACACCTCCTTTGTATATGTATATAGTCCCACCTCACAGTGGGGGCACAATGCCTGCCACCCTCAGAAAATGGGTTATGGGTCAGTAAGACAACATATATTGTGATTATTGGCTTTTCTCTGTGGTAAGTACAGGATAAAACATTAAATTACCAAAAAACAAAACAAAACAAAACAAAAAACAAAAAACTCAATCACGTTGAAGAGTTGGTTTGATAAACAATGTATATGGAAGCTTTACAAAGACAACAGGAAAAAAAAGACCTTCCGTGGAAGTCAGGAATCTAAGTAGCAAAGACAATTATATTTCTTATCCCCTTATATTTCTTATCCCCATCCAGGTCACTACCTGTATGCCAAACGATGAAGGCTAAAATTATATGGATAAAAGGACAAAATTCCTCAAGACTTTGTTATTGCTGATGTACAGTCAGTAAATTCTTAAAAGACTTTGTCTTAGTTTTGGAATCTTTATTCCTCCTTTGCAAAACAAATCTGGAGTCTTTGGTCTACCATGTTCACTTACCTGATTTCTCAGAGATAGCATATTCAGACTCCATATTCAAATTCTCTGAGCTATCAGCAGTCCCAATGGAGGCCTCAGACTCAAGGGTTTCATCATCAGAGGCACGGGGTTCCAGTACAAGCATCTCAAATGTTAGCTCCTCCCTGTAAGACACAATCAAGAAACCATTAGCATTTGATAGGAAGTGGAAGGAAGATAACAGAAAAAAAGATCCTCCATGGAAGTCAGGAATCTAAGAAGCAAAGAGAGTCCATTTTTACTGTCCCCATCCAGGTGGTGATGAGGACCTGTATGCCAAATATGGTGAAGGCTAAAACTATATGGACTAAAGGACAAAATGACAGATAGCCAATCTAGGACCAATAATAGGGGTAAGGGTAGGGTGAAGAAAGATGTAGTGGTGAGATCTTTCAGTAAAATGAACTCTGGACTGATAAGCAGGAGATCAGGGCTCTAACCTTGTTCATAATATCCATAATGCATCAGGAAAGTACCTTTCTCTTCTGGACCTCAGCTTCCTACCACAAAACAAAGAGATTAAACTAGATAACCTCTAAGATTCCTTCCAGCTCTTAAACTATTTTCCATGAAGCTTACTAACTGGCTATAGACGATACCCTCTATCTTCACCACAGAGACCTCTAGACGAAGAAAAACACTGATTGATCTTTTCTGTCCTTTGAAGCTTATGCCATCTTCAGTTGTCGTATTCTCTAGTCTCCCTTCTTCATCACGGTCACCCAGCTACCTCTCAGTAATGCCCCACATTCTGTGAGGTCTTTGGTACTCAGATCCTAATCTTGCTTTTTCACTAATGCCTGACATCACCTGATCTATTCAATTAATATCTTTGTAAAAACTCATCTGAATATTCTAACACTGAAGTTCCTTTATGTCTGCAACTTCTAACAATATTCTCCTCTACTTTATCTAAGCTACTTTCTCCAATGCACAGATCCTGGAGCTTGTCATTACTCTGAATCCAACACTCCACCCTGTTCACAACCTCCTTATCCTTCCAATTCTTACTCACCTTCTAATCAAGTCTCTTCCCTAACAGAGCCCCTTACCTTTACTTCCCCTTTACCTGGCTTGAGATCCATGAACAATCATTTCAAGAACAGTATCACCAGCATTACAATTGTCTGAGGCCATGTGCATTCTGAGACTCTGCTCGTTCTTCTTTCTTTTTCTAGAGACTCTCCCCTTCCTTGAAAATTCCTATTAATCCTTCAAGACTGCCAATATCATCTGCATCAAAGCCAAACTGGGTCTTCTTTTCAGATCACTCTTCTAGCAAATAGCCCCTGGTCAATGTACATCATCTTTGCCTTATCATGTTTTTTACAGCTGAGCCCCAGCTGCTTTTTTAGCTGGCCTATATTCCAGAATCAATCATGAGAGACCAAGAAAGTATTTTAACAGTCTTATATCCCCTTATAAACCAAACTCAAGACCTGGGATCCTGGAACTCAGGAATAAAGATCCCATTAAGACTTCCTAAGAGTCATCAATGTCGACCAGAACTATTACACAGCACCTGTAGGGAGAACCATGGCACGTTCATATTATCCCCAAGGCATACTGTCACCCAATCCCTGCAACAGTGATGAATGGAGGTAAAAGAGCTTCTCATTTGTCTCTCTCCTAAATTGCAACCAATTTCCCTATCTAGTATCCTAGCACCCTCTAGGGCTATAGCCTTACTATGACCATCTAGTTGCTGTTCCCATGGTCATATGGATCTTTGGCTAATAACCTTCCTTCATGGATTTGTGAATAATGCCCATTCTTGAAAGGGACTTTGGCTTAGCCTAAGAATTCCTTCTCTTCTTTGCAAAATAAATCTGTTCATGGAGGCTGGTCTCCGACCTGTTAGGACTCCAGTACCTCATCTTGGCTCCCCACTGTTACTGCTAGATGAATCGTGACTAAGACTGACATGCCCTGTGGATACTGTGTCCTCCTCCCAGTCAGCCTCTACAGACCATCACTGTAGCAGCCTCAGGTTTCCCAGCTCATGGAACTGGCTTCCCAGAGGGAACAACTCTCACACTGTTACCTGAGTATAGACAACACGTCTTTGTCATCTCAACATCTCCTGTATCATCTGACACAGTGTTTAACACACAGGAGATAATAAATAAGAAAAAATAAAGAAACGATAGAAGGAAGGAAACAAAAACAGACTATAACTGTCTCTCCCCTTCCTCCTGGATACTCACTTCTCCTTCTGTAGGTTCTCAATCTGCTCAGTCAGTACTCTCTCCTCCTGCTGCATAGCTGCTTGCTGCTGTTCTGTGATGTCAGTCTCCATGGCTGCCTCACTAGTCAAGGTCTCCTCTGAGACATCAGACACAGAAGGCAACCGAACTACAACAGGAGACGATGGACCTGGATAGTTTCCTCGACGAATACGCCCCTTTCCCTGCAGAGAAAAATTCATGTTAGAAAGTAAATTGAGTGACTGCATCAGTTTTACATTGCTCTTTTAGGATAACAAGTGTATTTCCATCACACCAGGTGAATGATAAGAATAAATGGAAACACTCTGCGAGGCCTAGGATATTTAGTGAGACATATTCATACAACACATTTAAGTTAAAATATTTCTTGCAGGAGTACTGGAAAACGGATACTTTGGTAGGTGGGAGTGTAAGAACCCATTGTGTACTGAGATGAGTTTCTTCTTTTAATATAAGCTGCATCCATTCCAAACAAAATAGCCACATCTGGGTATTTATTTTTAAATTAATTAAAATTGAACTAACATTTCAGTTCTGCAGTCACACTAGCCACATTTCAAGTGCTCAATAGCCACAAGTAGCTTGTGACCCCCACACTGACTGGTACAGATCTACATTTCCTACCATCATAGTAAGTTCTGATGGATAACAGTGCTCTATAACTGTAGCCTTGGAATGCATAATCTCTCTAGGAAGACCATAGAAGTATGTTCTAAAACTCAGTTTTGAAAAACAAAAACAAAATGTAGTCATTTATAGAACACAGGGTGCTAGTGAGATATATTTTCTTAGGAAACTTCTATCCTTGAGATCAGAGTGTGAAAATCTCATTGCTGCTTCTTCCTTTTTTTTTTTTTTTTTTTTTTTTTAAACATTGGTTACTTTATATATGACTTTCTTCTGGTAGTGGCAAACTAAACTTTTTAGGTTAATCTCCTGCTAAGAAACATAAAAACTCAACATATGCTAGAAGGCACTGAAGAGCTAACAAGATAGATTAAGGAGACACTAGTCCAGCATTTAGTGCTGATCTAAATGTCAGAAGTGGCTGTGACTCTAAACAGAGCTTTTGACATGCTACAGCAGAGGACGGCAAACTATAGCCCGTGTGGCAAATCTAGCCTTGCACATATTTTGTAAATACAGGTTCACTGGAATACATTTATCTCATTAATTTATTGTTTATTGCTGCTTTTGCAGAACAATGGCAGAGTTGATTGTTGAGACAGAGATTGGCCTACAAAGACTAAAATATTTATTCTCTAGTCCTTTACAGAAAAAGTCTGCCATCACCTTGGGATAGAGAATAAAAGTTGGAGCCAGACCCACTCAATGGTGTGGGTTGCTGCCTGGCAAAACCTCCGTGCCTGACACTGGGATCCCCAAGGTTTGTTTCTTAGACATAAGAGTAAACTGAAATTATAAAAGTCCTTGCAGATACTGTAGTCTAGCTTCAAGTCATCTGAATGGTCCAGAAAATTCTAATCCCTAAAAATGAATTAATCTCAGATTGCTAATACTTTAGGACCAGGCAGAAAAAAATGAAAACATTCTTGGAAGAAAGTAACATTATCTAGGCCTCAAAATATTTTAAAAATAGTTTTTCAAATACTCTGACAAATAATCAAAGGTAACAGGCACAAAAGGAGACAGGACAATGTAAATGAAAACTAGTAAAAATGACAGAAAACAGAAACCCTAAAAGACTCCAGATATTGTGGCTATCAGATTTAAAATAACCATGCTGAAGGAGACAGGAAGACATAGCTGAAGTAGTGGACTGGAAATTAGGTCAAAAGAAAAATCCTGAACCAAGCAGGAAGAAACAAAAGAATGGAAAAATTCACAAAAGAAAGTAAAAGAATGGCTGGGCACCGTGGCTCATGCCTGTAATCCCAGCACTTCGGGAGGCTGAGGCAGGCAGATCACCTGAGGTCAGGAGTTCAAGACCAGCCTGGCCAATATGAAGAAACCCCATTTCCACTGAAAATACAAAAATTAGCTCGGTGTGGTGGCATGCGCCTGTAGTCCCAGTACTCAGGATGCTGAGGTAAGAGCATTGCTTGAACTCGAGAGGCAGAGGTTGCAGTGAGCCAAGATTACGCCACTGCACTCCAGCCTGGGCAAATATCAGGACAAGAGAGAGATCCTATAGAATAAATATTGAAGAGATCATGGCAGAGAATTTTTTAAAAGCAGTTAAAGATATTAACCTAGGAATTTAAGAAAGCCTACAACCCCTAAGAAAGAAATAAAAAGAAGTCTATACCTAGACAAACTACTGTTAAAAACTAAAGGCCTAAGGCAAAAAAAAGACTTAAAAGCGTTACAAAAAGCAAATTCCTTGCAAAAAAGGAATAACTATTAGATTCAAAGTTTATTTCTCAACAGAAATAATGGAATGCAGAAAACAATGGAATATTTTCATGGTGATGAAAAAGTAACTGCCAAGCTTGATTGTTATATACAGAAAATAATTTTCAGGAATGAAGGTGAAATAAAGACATTTCAGACAGACTAAGAGGAGAATCTCACACCAGCAGACCTGCACTAAAGGAAATATTGAAGGAAAGATTGAAAATGTCTCGAAGAAAAGTTAGAGGTGTGAGAAATAATGAAAGGCAATGAAACGTGAGTATGTTTAAATAGTGACTGCATAAAACATAATAGCGATGTGTTGAATTTAAAACATACAGATAATTAAGATACACAACAACAAGAGGAACAAAATCATATCACAGTAAGGCATATTAAAACACCTGTATTATCTGGGAAAAAGATAAAACTACTAGTTAGCAAATACTGATAGATCACAGATCTGTTTTCACCATTTGGTTAATGACTAAAATAATAGTAAAAGAGTAAAACTTCCAAACAAAAGAAAAAATGGAATAAAAAAGTAGTAAAAAAATGCAAGAAAGAGCAAAAAAGGCAAGGAAGAAAAGAAAAAGGAACATATATCAGGCAGGACAAATAAAAAGCACATAAAAAACAGTAGATTTTAAGCCCAAATATATTGGTGAGTATATTAAATATAAATAGATGAAATGCTCCTATTAAAATTTGAAGATTGTTGGGCCATATAAAAAAAAAGAAAACCTATCTATATGATGTTTATAAGAGACATGTGAATTCAGAAAGGCTGAGAGTAAAGAAATGGGAAAAAAAAGACATACCATGCAAATACCAAAATAAAGCTAGTACAGCTATATTAACTGTAAACAAAGTAAACTTTAAGAAGTATTACCTGTGATAAAGAGGGATACCTCACAATGACAAAGGTTCATATTATGAAGAATAACATTTCCAAATATGTATGTACCTAAGAAATTGCTTCAAAAAATTTAAAGTAAAATATTGACAAAACTATTTTTAAAAAATAGACTATAATCAGTACTGAGAGAACAAGTATGCACACGCAATCAGAAATGATGTAAAACTGAACTTGATATAAGCAATCTAACAGACATATACAGACTTCAGTATCTAACTAGAGAATACTCATTTTAAAGCGCACACAGCAAGACAACAAAATTCCAAGGGTTGAAATAATTTATCTGACCGTTAAAGTAATTTAAAACAAGTTTTCTAATAATGTAGTTACAAAGAGAAAATTAAAAATTCTTGTATACTCAGAAATTAAGAAATAGACTTTAAAACAAACCATGGTCAAAGAGGAAATCACAATGGAAATTAGAAAATATTTTGAATGAAACAATATAAAAACCCATGTAAGCTCTGTCTACTTTAAAGTTACAGCCTTAAATACATACATTAGAAAAGAATTAATTAATTAAAGAATTAATTAATTAAGGATGTAAGACTCTATTTCAGGAAACTAAAGAACAACATAATAAATTCCCCCTGCAACAAAAGCAATAAAGAAAAGAGCAAACAAACATTAGAATAAAGACAATCAAAGCCAAATGTAGCTCTTTGAAGAGGCTAATAAAATTTTTAAAACCCTAGCAAGACTAAAAGAAGTCACAAATAACCAAAGGTTGTAATGAAAAAGGGGATATCACTACAAATCCTGTAGACCCAAAGAGGATAAGAGACTACTAAAAACAACTTCATGTCAATAAATATAAAATTTTAGACAAAGTGGAGAAATTTCTATGAAAATCTAATTAATACCATCAATGAAGAAATTAGGAATGTGAATAATATTAAAGAAATTGAATCCAGAGTCAAAATCTTTCCAAAAACAAAACTCTAGGCCTAGATTTCAGTGGCAAAGAAGAAGAAATAACAAATTCTTCCACAGAATTAAAAAAGAAACTATTCCCTAACTTGTCTTTAGAGGCAGGCGTTAAGTTTGATAACAAAACACAACAAATACATTAAAAAGAAGGATTATTGCCAGGTGCAGTAGTGCATGCCCACAATCCCAGAACTTTGGGAGGCTGAGGCAGGTGGATCGCTTGAGCTCAGGAGTTTGAGACCAGCCTTGGCAACATGGCAAAACCCCTTCTCTAAAAAAAAAAAAATACAAAAATTAGCCAGGTGTGGTGGCACGTGCCTGTAGTTCCACCTACATGAAGCACTGAGGCGGGAGCCCAGGAGGTTGAGGCTGCAGTGAGCCAAGATCATGCCACTGCACTGCAGCCTGGGTGATAACAGTGAGAGCCTGTCTCAAAACAAACAAACAAACAAAAACAAAAAAGGATTATTATGGGTTAACTTTACTCATAAACACATGCAAAAATCCTAAACAATATCCTAACTACAACGGAATCAAGTAATATAGAAAATGTAATATAAAAATTTTAAATATATGAAAAGTTGGATTTATTGTAGTAGTATGATACTACTACATACACATAATATAATGATACTACTACATTATAATGTAGTAGTCTAATGTAGTCCATTAGAAATGGACTCAGTGTAATGTGTCATATCAATGCAATAAAAAAGTCTGATAAAACCTCAATACATGCAGTAAAGGCATTTCATAAAATTCAACATTCTGTCACAATAACAACTCTTAGAAAACCTGGAATGGAAGGACACATGCTTAATCTCATAAAGTACCTACAAAAATTCTATAGCAAACATCACACTTGGTGGTAAAAGGTTGAAAGCTTTTCCTTTGGGGCTGGGAACATGCCAGTAATGATCACTATCACCACTTCCATTCAACACTATACTGGAGGTTCTAACTTACATAAGAAAAAGAAAGAAAAGGTATAAGGATTACAAAAGAGCAAATGAAACTATCATTATTCATGAATGATATGACTGTACAGGTAGAAAATCCAAAGGAGTCCACAGAAAACTTATTAGAATAAGTGAATTCAGCAAAGTCACTGAATACAAGATGAAAAATACCAAAATCAATTGTATTTTTATACAATAAGCAACAGAAAATAAAAATTTTAAAATAATACCTATGATTGCATTTAAATATTAAATACCTAGTAGTAATTCAAACTAAAGATGTGTAAAATCTCAACGTACAAAACTATAAAACACTTTTGAGAGTAGCTAATGATCTACATGAATGAAGAGATATATCATGTTCACAGATGGGAAAAATCAGTATCGTAAAAATGTCAGTTCTCCAGAAGGCAATCTATAGATCCAATGCAATCCCAATAAAAATCCCAAGAGAATTTTTTGAGGCTGATTTCATAATTTATATGGCATATAAAGAGCCAAGAATAGTCAAAACACCACTGAAGAAGGTAGGATGACTTATTCTACCAGTTATTTTTAGAAAGCTAGGGTAAATAAAATAGTGGTGGTGTTGGTACAAAGATAGTCAAAACAGAGCACCTAGAAACAGACCCACACATAAGAAGGCTCCCAATTTATAATAAAAGGGGAACTGCAGGGCATTGTGGAAAGGAAAAATTTTCTTAAACATGACTTTAAAAGGTATTCATCCTAAAGGGAAAGACTGATTAACAACATTAAAATCCAGAACCTGTGTTCATCAAAAAAGAAAGGAAAAAAGCAAACCATAGAATGGAAGAAAATTTGCAACAAAAGTAACAATAAAGGATTTGTATCTGGAATTCATAAAGAATCCCTACAGAACATCAGAAAAAGACAGACAATCCAATTAGAAAAACAGGCAAGAGCTTTGAACAGGCTCCTCACAAAAGAGGATACAGAAATGGCCAACATGTATATATACACACACATTATACATGTTAGAGTCACAACAAAAAATACAATTTTTAAAAATAACACACCCATCAGAATAGCTAAAATTAAGGAATCTGGCAAAAGAAGTGCTGGAAGGAGGTGGAGCAATTGGGAATTCCTACACATTGCTAACATATTAACAACCATTTTGGAAGAAAGTTTGGCATTATCTACTAAAGCTGAAGACACATATATCCTGTGACCCTGCAAATCCACTCCTGTATATTTCTCCAACAAAAATACATGTATGAGTCCATTAAAATCATAATTCCCCAAAACACAACCCAAATGTCCATCAACAGTAGACTAAATTGTGGTATAATGCATACACTGATAAACTATACAGTTATGAAAATGAGCTACAACAAAATATGAATAAGTCTTACACACATAAGGTTGACTGAAATGAATCAGAGACAAAATAATACATCTTAGATGATACCATTTATATAAAGCTCAAAGTTAGGTAAAGCAAAACTACAGTGCTCAGGGATACATATTTTGGTAGCAAACAAAAAATAAAGTAAGTCATTAATGTAAAAATCAGGTTACTGCTTACCTTTGGAGGAGAAAGAGGATTGTGACTAGAAAGGGAAAGAGGAGAGCTTCTGGGGATGCTGGCAATGTCCTATTTCTTGAGCTGGGGTGGTATGTGGATGTTCATTTATAATAATTCCTTAAACTGAATATGTTTCTGTGTTTTGTATGTGTTTTGTTGTTATGTATGTGTTGTATTTTGCAATAAAAAAGATATTTAAGAGTTCCTTTTCAAAGTTAGCTATTTATGGAAATATACGAATAGCCTTTGAAAATTATGTGACTTTAAACTGACAAATTTCTGAGTTGAGTTTGGCAAGAAAGAAAGGAAAAGTGCTGTCTCAAAAATAGAAATCCATGATCTAGGGCAGGTGATAGGGTAAAGGCTGGAGGGTAGTTCTAAGGGCATTCAGGCTAACTCCTCCAAAACTAAAACACTTAATGGGATAAAATCAGGAGGATTACAATATTGCTATTCCACTTTTAGTTCTAAAATCAACAAGGAAAAAACATGTTAAGAAAAACAAGCTAAAAACAGAAGATCACTCTGCAAATTTAACAAAAAATGACAAAGTATTCTTTATGTTATAAATTCCAGGACATCATCCAGTTCCATTTGACATTGACTATTTCTAGCCAAATGAATAAATAATATGATTTAAAAGCCTCAAGGAGCTTGAAAATCTGAGTTTATTCCTAGTGTCCACATTCCAGTATTCAATAAAAGAGCTGCCTTTTTTCAGTGTTCATACCATCAGCTGGCCACCGGAGTATTTCACCATGAGTTAGCTGCAAATCTTTTAATATGGCTAAAGAAAATCAAACAAGCTCAACAGATCTGATCTCTTTTAAGAAGCATTAAACAAAACAAAGAAAAATGGAAACTCCTACAGCCTAGAATTATCTTAAAAAGATTAAAGTAATTTTTAAAAAGTTGATTACATGGAGCTTTTAGAAACATGAGAAAATACTAATATTGTGTTAAAAACAGTACATAAGGTTGTATACCATTGGTTTTAAAAATGAGTAATACAAAATTTGCAAATACACTAAATTATTAACAGTAGTTTCCTGACTGGAATAATATCCTTCACTTTCCCACTTTCCTAAAATAAGCATGAATTTACTTTTTTCAAACTGGAATTTTTTCTTTTGGATCCATGTTCACTGTATATTCTCTTGTAGTGTTTTTTTCCATAATTGTTTTTCTACCACCAGTGTGTCACAGAGTGAAAAAGGCAAATATTTTCTTGACAGTATCATAAAAATAAATTTGACCTTGTAGACCTCCCTGAAAAGGATCTGTAGATAACACTGAGAAGTGGTTTATAGTATCCTTTGTTCATTTTTCACTGGGTAGCTAATCTTTCTATTTACTTATAGGAGCTTCTCTTTATTAAGGAAAATTAGACTTTGAAATAGGAATTGAAAATATTTTCTTATGGTACGTCACTTCCCTTTTACTTTCCTTATGGTCATTTTTGTCACACAATAATACCTGGTTTTTGTTGCTGAACCTTTCAACTTTTTTCTTTAATGGTCTTATATAATAGCAAAGCCCTGTCCAAGATTATATTTTTCCATCATAATAGGGATTGTATTGGTTTTGACTGATCACAGACTACATGAATAATTTGTACCCAACTCTTAATGCAAGTACTGGAAAAAATATAAAGCCATATTGTCATCCTTTTTCTCAGTAACTATTCCAGTGACTTCCTGGCTTAAACTTTGCAGGCAAACTGTTCCTAAAATGAGAATATCAAATACAATTATCTTGAACTGTTGATAAGTAGTAGGTCTCAAGTCCTACTAAATCACAATTTAATATTATATACAATACCCAGATTTCCAATCCTTTATAGCACATTAACAGGATTATCAGAAAAATCTGGACTGGACTACCACTACCAAAGACATCACAGATAATATGCTTTTGACAGAGAGCCAAGATCAGGAAGCAGTTTAAGACATTATTAGGCTTATAGAGAGCTAACTATTCTCAGTTTGTACAGAAAAATAAACTAGCACTGAATTCATTCCTTTCAAGTGGGAGGAAGTGGAGTTCTCTTCTTAAAAGCTGTGTTTTCAGAGCTCTAAAAAGGTACACTTATAAAATAATTTAAAAATTCTTCTGAATTGTACAATGAGATACTGGGACCCCTGACTTAATAAGAGATCTTTAATCACACTTAAGCTTCTTTCTGGCTTGTTTTCAGTTTCTGTTTTATGAAGATAAATGTTTTTTGGTTAATCTCTTTCCATTTGCTCCCCTTTTCCCTTTTTATTTGCACTTTTTTCACCCTAAAGATGTATCCTCTTCAGCCACCTTTTATGGCTTGGTTTCAACTTTTGCATGAAAAGGTTTAGCTGATAACTTTGCTGATTTCCCCTTGTGCTCCTTCCCGATTGCCCTTTGAGCTGAGTTAAACTACTTGGATATTTTGGCAGTATTAAGGTAGAGAGGTAGGGTACTTGAGTTCTACAGGATGCAGGGCAGTGAGAACCTCTGCCAGGATGGAGTGCCAGAGCTGTACTTCCAGTACTTTTATGTTTTAGTCTTTGATGTGAATCAGGTTTTTTTTTTCTTTCTTTCTTTCTTTAAAGATACAGGGTCTTACTCTTGCTCAGCCTAGAGTGCAGTGGCACAATCATAGCTCACTGCAGCCTTGAACTCCTGGGCTCAAGGGATCCTTCTACCTCAGTGTCCCCAATTCGTCGGACTATAGGCATGTACCACCATGCCCAGCTAACTTTTTAAATTTTTTGTAGAGATGATATCTCGCATTGTTGCCACGGCTGGTCTGAAACTCCTGGCTTCAAGCAATCCTCCTGCCTTGGCCTTCCAAAGTGCTGGGATTATAGGCATGAACTACTGTGCCTGGCCTGAATCGGCTTTTTTTTTGTTTCTTTTCTTCCCTACATGGATATTCATTTTCCCCACATCATTTAGTGAATCCCAGACCTTTGAAATGCCACTCACATTATAATCCTTTATTTTTCTCTTTTAGAATTTTCCTATTCTGCTTCTTTATTTTCTTATGAATTTTAGTATCAACTTGTAAAGATCCCCAAAGTATTCTTTTGCTGTTTTTGTTGAGACCTCATTTGTAAGTAGTTATGAAACTCTTTCCTTGTCTGTGTAAGAACTGATCTTTGGTCAAATGTTCTAGCTCAGGACCCCTGGAAACCTGATAAAGGCAGGATGCAAATGATGTTATTAGGCAACATCACCTCTGGCAAAAATTAATCTGATTGATAAATCGCATCTGGAGAAGTAATTTATAAATATCCCATAGGAAGTCATATATTTCCAATTCCCTGAAAGTGGAGTCTGTTGTAACTGGACATACCCCTTGAGGGGACCCTGGAAACAATATCTATGGAATTTCACAAGAGGTTAATTCCTGTACAGGCATAAAACTTCTAAGGCAGAATAGTTCTGCATCCATTGGATGTGGAGTCCTTTTTCCTTGCACCTGAGTTGTGACTTAGAAGCCAAAGATAACTCATTGATGGTTGTGTGGACTGCTGCAAGGGCTCCCACACGAGGATGATCTTAGGCTCTCTGCAGGCATGCTATACTCCCAGTCCCATATCCTCAGTGATTCTGATGCCAAGTGGAGCCCATGGTAGTCATATGAGTCTGAAAGTTGAGCCTAAGAAAATATCCTCTTTCCCTCCTAGTGGGTATTGAAACAATATATGAATAGATTAATTTAGAAGAACTGACACCATTACAAAATTTAGCCTTTCTTTCCAAATGTATTTAAGTCTTCTTTTGTAATATTTGAGGTTTTAAGGCTTTCTTTTTTTGTTTTTTTTGAGACGGAGTCTTGCTCTGTCGCCCAGGCTGGAGTGCAGTGGCGCGATCTAGGCTCACTGCAAGCTCTGCCTCTGGGGTTCACGCCATTCTTCTGCCTCAGCCTCCTGAGTAGCTGGGACTACAGGCGCCTGCCACCATGCCCGGCTAATTTTTTTGTATTTTTTAGTAGAGACAGGGTTTCACCACGTTAGCCAGGATGGTCTCGACGTCCTGACCTCGTGATCCGCCCACCTCGGCCTCCCAAAGTGCTGCGATTACAGGCGTGAGCCGCCGTGCCCAGCCTTAAGGCTTTCTTTGTACAAATCTTTTACATTTCTTGTTAAGTGTGTTCTTTGGTATTTGATGTTGATGTTTAAAGTGTGTGTGTGTACAATATACAAATGGGCATTTTTCTTCCATCATATCATCCAAGTGATTGTTTGCATAAGTAAAATTTATTAATTGTACTCAGACACCTTATTGAATTCTCTTATCATCTTTAAGTTCCTTCATTGATTTTCTTGAGTTTTGCATGTATATAATCATAATGGAAATGGTGATAATTTTATTTCTTTATTTTATATCTCCAATTCTTTTTCTTAATTGCTTTATCTAGTACCTTCAAATCAATGTCAAATAATAGTGGGGATAATGGATAGCATTGCCTTTTCTGATTTTAATCAGAATGCTTCCAGTGTTCTTCCATTAAGCAAGATGTTGGATTTTGGGTTCAGATATATTTTTTATCATGCTAAGAATGTAAGATATCCCTGTTTTAATAAGAATGTTTTTAAAAAGAATGCTAATATATCAAATGCTTTTAAAATATCTATGAGGATAATACGATTTTTCTCCACAGATCAACAAACATGGTGAATTACATTAACAGCTATCCTAACATAGAGTCATCCTTGCATTCCTAGGTTAAACCCTCCTTGGTCAAGATTTATATTTTTATATTTATAGGCTATTGAATTCTGCTTGCTGATTCATTTTTATTTTATTTTAAATTTTTCTTTATTTTTTATTTTTTTGAGATAGGGTCTCCCCCTGTCACCCAGGCTGGAGTGCAGTCATGGCTCACTGCAGCCTTGACTTCCTAGGCTCAGGTGATTTTCTCATCTCAGCCTCCCTAGTGGCTGGGACTATAGGTGCTCGCCACCAGGGGTAGTTTTTTTTTTTGTTTTTTTTGTTTTTTTTGTAGAGACGGGGTTTCACCATGTTGCCCAGGCTGGTCTCAAACTCCTGGGCTCAAGGATCCACATGCCTTGGTCTCCCAAAGTGCCGGTGATATTTTAACCTAGGATTTTTGAATTAATATTCATAGATGAGGCAGTCCTACATTTATATATCAAGTGCTATCTGTGTATGGGGGTGTGTGTATAAGAACTCTCTTTCTCTCTATGGAGAGAGGTCCATAACAAGCATAATTCTTAATGGTTTTACAAATATTAACTCATTTAGACTGGGCATGGTGGCTCACACCTGTAATCCCACCACTTTGGGAGGCCAAGGAGGGCAGATCACCTGAGGTCAGGAGTTCAATACCAACCTGGCCAACAAGGCAAAACCCCATCTCTACTAAAAATAAATACAAAAATTAACCAGGCGTGGTAGTGCACACCTGTAGTCCCAGCTACTCGGGAGGCTGAGGCATGAGAATCGCTTGAACCCAGGAGGCAGAGGTTGCAGTGAGCCAAGATTGTGCCACTGCACTCCAGCGTGGGTGACAGAGCGAGACTCTGTCTCAATTAAAAAGCAAACAAAAAATTAACTCATTTAATCCTAAGTTTGGTACTATTAACCAATTTATAGATGAGAACACTGAGGCATGGAGATTAAATAACTTGCCCATATCACAACTACTAGTAAACTAGAGCTAGGATTTACACCCAAAAGTCTAGTCCAGAGTCCATGCTGTGCTCTGCTGCTTTTAATATTTCTATATGTGGCTGGGCACGGTGGCTCACACTTGTAATCCCAGCATTTTGGGAGGCTGAGACGGGCAGATTATGAGGTCAGGAGATCGAGACTATCCTGGCTAACACGGTGAAACCCCGTCTTTACCAAAAATACAAAAAAATCAGCCGGGCGTGGTGGCGGGCACCTGTAGTCCCAGCTACTTGGGAGGCTCAGACAGGAGAATGGCGTGAACCCAGGAGGCGGAGCTTGCAGTGAGCTGAGATAGCACCACTGCACTCCAGCCTGGGTGACAGAGCGAGACTCCACCTCAAAAAAAAAAAAAAATTTCTATATGCAATTTTTATTAGCTTTTCTTTGTGTATGCATGTGTGTGTGTGTGTATGGGGCGGGGGGTGGTGAGGATCAATGTTAGACTCTTTTAGTTAAAAAAAAGACCTTTTCCCCTCTCTGCTCTGAGACAGCTTAAATTATATTGTAATTATGTATTTAAAGAGTTGGTACGTTTTCTCTGTGAAACTATTTATGTCTGATGTTTTTATGAGAGGAAGTTCTTAGACAACTCTCCTATCTCTTCTTCTTTTTAAATTAGTCTGTTTGGCCAGGCATGGTGGCTCATGCCTGTAATCCCAGCACTTTGGGAGGCCGAGGTGGGTGGATCACTTGAGGTCAGGAGTTCGAGACCAGCCTGGCCAACATGGTGAAACCCCGTCTCTACTAAAAATACAAAAATTAGCCGGGCACGGTGGCAGGCACCTATAATCTCAGCTACTTGGAAAGCTGAGGCAGAAGAACTGCTGGAACCGGGGAGGCGGAGGTTGCAGTGAGCTGAGATCATGCCATTGCACTCCAGCCCAGGCTGACAACAGCAAGACTCTGTCTCAAAAATAAAGTAAATAAATAAATAAATAGATTAGTCTTAGGATTCTTTTCAGCTACTCTTTTGTTTGTTTTTGTTTAAGACAGGGTCTCACTCTGTCACTCAGGCTGGCGTGCAGTGGTGCTATGTTGGCTCACTGCAACCTCTGCTTCTCAGGCTCAAGCGATCCTCCCACCTCAGCCTTCCAAGTATCTGGGACTATAGGCAAACACCACTACATCTGACTAATTTTTTTGTATTTTTGGTAGAGATGGGGTTTCACCGCATTGCCTAGGCTGGTCTTGAACTCAAGTGATCCGCCCGCCTCGGCCTCCCGAAGTTCTGGGAGCTACCACTCCCAGCCCCTTTTTGGCTATTCTTATTGAGAACCTTGAAGACGACCCAGGAGGAAATTGTTTTTATGGCTAAAAAATAGTAGCTAACATCAGTTCCCATTCCCTATCATAAATATAAGATATAAAGCACCAAAATTTACATTAAGTACTAAACTCTGAGACTTTGTGAGTCCTGGCTCACTCTTCAAGACCCCATAGTACTAATGTCTTAGAGTTTGCTTCAAAACAAAGCCTATTTTGGTTTTAACTTAAGGTTTCCCTTCTGCACAATTATATATACAAGTTTATATGTAAGCTATATAGCTTTTTACAGAATTAAACCTTGTTGACTTTTACCAACTGGTAGTTCTTTCTCCATCTGCTTAATTTAAACTCATCCCTTAAGAGCTAGCTCACATGTCACTTCTACAGCCTTTCCCTGTGCCACCAGGCAGAATTAAGTACTTCTTCCTTAGTATTCTCACCATATTTGGCACACAGTACTGTCTAATCCATCTCTCCCTCCTTCCTTTTGGGACAGGCTTTCTAATACCCACATTCAATCACCTAATCATATAGATTTGCCATGCTCTGTCTAAGGAAGTCTATATATGATTCTATGGTCTATTTTTTCTAAGAATGATATTCTGAAACAGACAGTCTTAATTATTTAATTTGGGTGAGAATTCTGTGAGACCAGTCCATTACAGGCTTCTCAGACTGTAACAAAAATATTGAGAGTCAAATGCTCTAATGTGGGGGATCTGAGTGATACCTATTTGAGGGAAACAGGATACCCTATTTGAGGGAATCAGTTGAAACTCACTTTTTCATTTTCTCCTAAGACTTTAAGAAGATAACAGTGGAAACAAATAGAAGATACTCCAGTGTTAGAATGAATAAGGCCTATGAGGAGAGCTTTGATTTCTTCTGAAAATTCTGTAAGGCTCACGATAGCGAAAGAATGCAAGAAGGAATGGCAAGGCATGATTGATGGGCACAAAGAAATTAAATACTATAAATCGAAGTAAGCCTAAACAGTAAAAGAGACTCATGGTGATAATGAAGGAATGAATTGCATTGCCTTTAGTAAACCTGATGACTATTTAGAAAAAGACATATATTACCCTCATGCAGAAAGTCATGATACTTTATGAAGACCCAAAGAAAGTACACGTTACTAGGGTTTGTCTATGGGTTAAATGTGTGAGGAGGAGGAACTATGCATTATCTAGACAGAATAATAATATAACTAGCTAAAACACAAATCTCAGAATCCTAATGAAATTTTACTCAAAAATAGCACTTCAGGGCAAGACGGAAGATCACTGTTGAGTGCCTTTTGTTAAGTCACAAAAATAGGAAGGAACTGAATTATCAGACCACTTCCTGAGGAGTTTGCTTTCCTGATAAGGAGAGATCCTTTATCCAAGGCTTTTTTTTGAAAAGACTGGTTGTTTTGTGTGGTATTATAACTAGGTATCCAAGCTTGTTCAAAAATCATATCCCAATGCCTGCAGTTATGGTTCACCAGATAATCAGGGTTAGTAAGCACTTTAAATACAGCTAGTATCTGTTTGTAGGTATTTATATCTTGCATATGAAAAGGAATTATTCTCATCAAATATTTCTGTGAAGTGCAGTGAGCCGGTAGTATTATATGTATTATAGTGCAGTGGTTCTCAGAGTGTAGCCCACAGATCCCCAGCAAAGATGCTGGGGTGTGATGATGTCCTCAAAACCATTTCACAGGGTCTACAATGTCAAAATTATTTTCATAATTATACTAAGATGCTATTTGCCATTTTCACTTGTTGACATCTGTACTAATTACATACAAGCAATTGTGGGTTCAACTGCTGTCACCGTTACGTGAATCAAGGTAATGATACCAAATGGTTCTAGCAGTCTTCATATTCTTTTGCTACCACACATTTAGTTTTTAAAAAGTCAGTTTCACTTCATGTCATTGAACAAGAGGTGTAAATTAATTTTATTTACTTCTTAACTGTTAAATTAACTATTTTCAACTTTCTGTATGATTAACTGGAAATTACACATACAGCAACTCTGTCACATACTAATGGTTATCTCAAGAAAGAGTATTAGTGCAATTCTTTGAATTGCAAGCCAAATTAGCTGCTTTATTAATGAAACAGTATTTACAATAATTGACAAAGTTTGATTATTCTTCTTGAGTACGTGGTTTGAAATTATATGAAGGGAATCTGTTACTGCAAGTGAAACAAATGGCGATATTTGTTGTCAGTGAGTAAATTTCAAGCTTTCAAACAAATATGAGAATTTTGGAAAACTTGTATCTGCCCTGTGAGTTTGACAGCTTCCCATATGGTGTGAATGCCAACACCCAGGATTTAGCCAGAAGATGTAACCATATCTTGCAAGGGACTATCAGTGCCTACAGAAATGAGATAGAACTGAGTTCACTGTCAACAGGGTAAACTGGAGCTACTACTTATCTTTACTTAGCCTACTGACAATGAGCCGGAATAGCAGTGTTGAACAACCAAGAAAGTGGACTGCCATCTCAACACCAAGATATCATACAGAATTCTGCCTCCCCTATCACTCCTCCCAGTCTCAACATCAGGGGAGAAAGGGTCAAGAAAGACGAAAGGCAGAAGTGTCTGACAAACAGAAATTACCCACCTACCCTCCAAAGTTTTAAGTTCCAGATAAAGGTCTAGTCTGCCCTGGGAGGAAGTGAGAAGAGCACTGGATTAAAACTGACTGAAGTTTTAATATGAAGAGAACTGACTCTTAAATACTAGAATGAAATGAATTTTTGAAAATTATAGAATTGGTTTCAAGATGCTGTTAAGGTAACTGATATCTAATGGGAAAGGGAAGTTTGACAGGCTGGAGTTAAGAGGCAGTTATAGACAAAAAGAAAAACTGACTTGTATTAGCATCCCAACAAGTTAAGCCTCCTCAATAAAATGGTTACAACACAGGTGGACAGTTTTCCACAAATATTGGTGTTCTCAGCCTTCCATCCCCCCCATTCCTTTTTTTGTACAATCAATGGAACTGAAGAGGGATACCAGCAATGAGATCCTGGTATGAGTTCTAGCATACCATAATATTTAAGTCTAGAACTAGTCCACCAATTTGGATTAGTTCACTCCTATTTGTAGCTCTGTCTGATAAATGCTAAGTGGATAAGAACCATATTTCTACATCTGGGAGGACACCATCGGAGTCACAGATATGAATGGACAAATAAGCATTACTAATGATAGGAGATGCTGAAAGTAATAGTAAGTATTTCAAATAATAAAGTGGAGGAGATTGCTGGGAACACAGCTCATAGAGCAGAAATTAATTTGATATCTCAATGCTTTTAACTTTCACCTTTTAATGATTCAACCAAAGAAGAAACCCAAAAGGAGGCTCATCTAACAAAGAGGAAAAACCAGTGTATTTTAAATGGATGCTGTTCAACTACACAATACAGAGGAAGGAAAATGAAGGATCTAAAGAAAGAGATTAAGAGAAAAGCAAGTGAAAGGTAATCAAAAAGTAGAACCTGACTTGGGGCCGAACATGGAGGGTGGACAGGCATGAATGATAGACAGGGCGGAACAATTCCTGGATGAACGAGAGACAATAATGTAGAGTGGCTGTGACACATTGCATTATTAATACATACCGAGACTGAATTGCGGGTAATGTTCATGAATCTAACTGCAATTAGTACAGGTTTCTGGATTAGGAAGGACATGAAAAGGAAAGCAGAAGGTTAGAATGTACATGTCATTGCCTCATTAAAAGAGAAGGTTTAATCTTGCAATGGACTGAATATCCATCTTCTGCAGCACTGGAAAAAAGCGCAGCTTATCTATCTGCTTTGAAAAGTAGGTTTATAGCAAAAGGCTCTTCCCTTCCTGCCTGGATAGCCACCACTAAATTGGGCCTCTCAGAACTGAGCTCCTGAAAATTCATACTACAGAAATGTTTCACTTTTAAGTGGGATTTCTGTTTTTAATTTCTGGGGAAAAGATTTAGATAGTATCCCCTATGATGAGTTTTATTTAATATCTTTACTGCCTGCAAAAAGCCCATGCTTATGTTTGTTTTTACAGAAGACCCTTCACTACCTTAATCAACAGACCTTTGTTAAGCACTTATTCTGTGCCAGGCAGATTAAATAATAAAGGAAGAAAAAGAATTATTTTAGTGCTAATTTGCAAACTGTGAAGATATGGGAGGAAGTACTGCTGGACCCCTGAAAGAGTAAGGGCATGATGAAGCCTGCTTCTCTTTAGAGATTTATTGGGAATCTGAAATGCGTGCTCATTGTCACAATTTTATTTTACAACTGAGAGGAAGGGTGGCAAATGGGCAATAAATAAACCTTAATGCAGCAGTTTTCCAGTTATCCTGAAAACTGACTTCAGGGTAACATATATGGATAACTCCAGTTCTCAATGACCACTAATCAATAAGGCTGAAGCTATTGATTAGTGGTCATTGAGAACTGGAGTTATATGTTACTGGTTGCAAAGGAAGATATTAAAAAGTGGGCAAACCAAGGAAATAAATTATCGGTTTTACAAGGACTGTCTCAAAACCTAACCCTAAACTCAAAGAAATACTTTTTGATTACAGTAGACTCATAGATGGAATTCCATTTCCTTAAGAATCAAATGATTCCATTTAAATTCAGTTACAAATGATTAAGTTCTCTACATCCCAGGGGTCTTGGCAGGACCACCAAAAGTGACACGATTAAAGGCGGGAACAGACAGTGGAAGGAAGTGGAGAAAAAAGTTAGAAGAGGATTACGTTTTCATAGAAAGGACATGAAAAGAAAGCAAGGCAGATTATTAAGACACCAACATTTTATCTAAATACTTGATTTGAAAAATTCTGCACACTTAATCACATAGATTCTATAATGTAACTAAAGAGAGCCAGCAGATTAAACATGAGGAATCCATAGCACCTTGAGATTTGGTGACGTTTTACTTGTTTTTTATAAAAAAGATTCTGATAATAATCCTTGTATACACCACAAAAGCACATTTAAATTCCCAAGACAACTCCCATTTTTCCACTATTCCATGTGTTGCATCTTACCATTGATCTACGAATCAGTGACAACCTGGTCTTTGCCTTATTCTCAGCAAATTCCAAGCTACTGATATCTTTGAGACGAGCCTTGTATTTATTCATTTGTTCCACAACAATCAGTTCCACACAACTGAAACAGAAGGAAAGAGAAAAAAACTGTTAAGAGGTGAAGTAAATAAAGTATAGCACTCACAGACTGTTTTTGTGGTAGACAGTTGAAAGATGAAGGAAAAAATTAACATCCCTTACTTGATAAACTCAGAGACAAGGTTTAGAATGGTGGTTCACAACTTTGGCTGCACTTTAGAAGCCATCTAAAGAGCAGTTATGGCTGAGCACAGTGGTTCATGCCTGTAATCCCAGCGCTTTGGGAGGCCGAGGCGGGTGGATCACCTGAGGTCAGGAGTTCGAGACCAACCTGGCCAACATGGTGAAACCCTGTCTCTACTAAAAATACTAAATCAGCCAGGCATGGTGGTGCACGCCTATAATCTCAGCTACTTGGGAGGCTGAGGCACGAGAATCGCTTAAACCTGGGAGGTGGAGGTTGCAGTGAGCCAAGATCATGCCACTGCACTCCAGCCTAGGCGACAAGAGTAAAACTCCATCTCAAAAAATTAATTAATTAATTAATTAAAAATAATACAAAATAAAGAGCAGTTACAAATCCCAATGCCCAGGCTACACGCTACACCAATTAAATCAGACTCTCTGGGGATGGGATCCAAATATTGATATATTTTTTAAAGTTCCTTTTGCAGTCAAGATTGAGGAGAGCAAAAGAAAACCATGTTAGAAGGAAAGCAGAGCCTCAAGAAAAAAGACCAAGGTGAAATACAGGAATACTGAAGTATTAAGACCAAAGGATTCAGAGCCATTAAGACCACAGTTAGACTAGATTACAGGAAGATACTAAGTGTCCATAATTTGGTAAAATGGAAATTTAAAATCTATTTAGAAACTACAAGCAGTCCTAAAGAAAAGCCAGATTTTAAAAATAAGATGCTTTAAGACAAATGATGCTCAGTTGAATCCAGGAGTTTGCATCCTCAGCATAAGAAAACCCAGCAGTGTCCAACAATCTTCTTAAAAACACCTGAATTTATGAACCCATTCACTATGTTTGATATCTGGATACAGTGACTACATAGTCAGAAGTCCCTGAGGTCTTGCAAAGGTTATGGTAACTGGCCTTACGTGGTAGTCTTACTGATGTCCTGTACACTTTGTAGTGGGTCAGTGGTGTCAGGGCAGCGGAGAATGCAGGGCGCAAACACAATGGCCAAAGCATTAGCAGACATTCGATTAGTGTCTTCCTGCAGAGCAATCCTAAGAATTAAAACAAAACAAAAAACAAATGAGTAAGGGATAAAAAGGGAGCACCATAGGGAAATAGGCAGAAGAGATGAGCAAAAGAAGACAGTATGACATGAACTGCATAGTACTAGAAGGATATCCATTAAGTTTAAGGGTCTGCAGACTTTTCCCAAGTTGTTCCTTTGTTCCTTTGTCTCTGGAAAATGTATTTTCACTTGTTCTTTCCTTGAAGCAGTCTAGGTCAGCCGATAGCTTCCCAAGGGAAATTTGTGACCTACCTGCTCTAGGCCAAGATCACTAGATGAACATGTCCAAAGAATGCAGAATCGGCCAGGCACGGTGGCCCACACTTGTAATCCAGCACTTTGGGAGGCCAATGTGGGCAGATTACTTGTGGTCAGGAGTTTGAGACAATCTTGGCCAACATGGCAAAACCTTGTCTCTACTAACAATACAAAAATTAGCCAGGGTGTGGTGGCGCACACCTGTAATCCCAGCTATGTAGGGGGCTGAGGCAGGAGAATCACTTGAACCGGGGAGGCGGAGGTTGCAGTGAGCTGAGATTGCGTCACTGCACTCCGGCCTGGGTGACAGACTGAAACTGTGTCTCAAAAAAAAAAAAAAAAAAAAAAAAAAAAAAAAAAAAGAATGCAGAGTAGAGGCTTTAACCAAAAATAAAGATGGCTTTCTTCTCAACTACTGCTGATATTTACACACAGGGGAAGAGACACTACTCCTGACGCCTCTTTGGTCAATTCCTGAGAATGATCTGAACCCCTCATATGAATTAGGTCATTTCAATAGATTATATATCCTTTCTAGTTCAGCTGTTAGAAAACAGGCTAAACTACACACTGCCACCATGAGGCTGAAGCTGTTACATGGTTCAAACAAGGGCAGAAAAGCAACTGCCATGCATTCCAGCTCAGCTGAATATTTCTGCTCCAAGGTATCCTAACCACCTGTTTGAGACACTGACTTTATAAATAGAAGAAAAAATAAATACCTGTCAGTCTTCCAAATGGAGAAATTCCTTATCTATTTAAAATAATCCAAGAGAAACTATTAAAAATCGTTCCCTTGCTTCTTAAAGTTACCTGACTAGATGAAAGATGAGGCGTTCCAGTGTATTGAGATGAGTTCGGGAGAGTTGATCAATCACAGAGTATACACCACGGATTGTCTCCTTCCTCTCCTGAAGGCCTAAAAACAGTAAGAGCAGAAACTAAGACTAAATATCCCCCCTTATACAGTGTATCTTCCTCCCAGACACTATGAAGCAAAGAAGGCTGGCTACAGAGTTTTAGGAGTAGTTGTACCTGTAGGGCAGGAGAAGAGCAACTCACAGTAACTATTTAACTCCTTTTGCTTGAGTTCTATATTCATAAACAGTCTCCTTAGTTTGAACCTATATCACAGTAATCCTTAATAACAGCAAGGGGATAGAGATGTTCTAGTTTTTCAGTCATTGTGTAGCAGATTGATTTACCATTAAAGTCAACATAATTTATGAATCCTCAGGGCCTAAATACCTCTAGGAAGGCCTTTATCAATATCCTACGCACTTACAGCACTGAGAAACTAAACTCTGAAACCTGTTAAGCTTGGCATAAAACAGCCAGCTTTACACATAGTTCTTGCCTAGATTTCCAATTTAAATGAACATAAGCCTAATCTTAAAACTTATTTTTAATATTTTAATCTGTTTTATAACCCCAGTCTTTCCATTTCTTTGTAAGAAGCAACCAAGTGTCTCACTCAGAAAATTTTTAGGACACTAACGTTTTGATGAGTCTCTAAAAAGTCAACATTTGAATAGGTGACAGTATACTAGCCGTTTTGTATTCACTGTCAAAAGCTTACCTTTGAATCTATAAGAATTAAACCACTAGAGGATGGCTTGATAATCTATACTCAAGATGGCATTTCTTTCCCAACTATAGGCCTTCTCTCTAACCCAGGAAGCCTATGCTTACCCATAGCTCGAAGAAATTCCTCATAGAGTTCAAAGGTCATGAGAGGATTGGGCAAATCTCGAAGCCATTGTTTGAATACACTTGCAATGACGTGTATGTTATAGTCATCTAGATTTACACTCTCAGCATCTATTTAGAGACAAGAGTTAGATTAACAGAGCCAAAACATGCAAAGAGATTCAAATAATTCACTTTAGAAACTATCATCATTAAAGGAAGGCTTCATGTTTCTTTTTTTTTTTTTTTTTTGAGATGGAGTTTCACTCTTGTTGGCCAGGCTGGAGTGCAATGGTGTGATCTCAGCTCACCACAACCTCTGCCTCCCGAGTTCAAGTGATTCTCCTGCCTCAGCCTCCGGAGTAGCTGGGATTACGGGCATGCGCCGCCACGCTTAGCTAATTTTGTATTTTTAGTAGAGACGGGGTTTCTCCATGTTGGTCAGGCTGGTCTCGAACTCCCAACCTCAGGTGATCCACCTGCCTTGGCCTCCCAAAGTGGAGGGATTACAGGCGTGAGCCACCATGCCCGGCCGGCTTCATGTTTCTTAGTCAAACTGACTAACCTATTTTCCACAATGTAATTCCATGCTTTGGAACTGTGCTTCTAACTGTGGTGAAAGAATACGTCTTGTGTATTTGTTTTCCAAACCTGTTGTGGACTGAAATGTGTAAAATAAAAGATCATGGCCAGGAGCAGCGGCTCATGACTGTAATCCCAGCACTTTGGGAGACTGAGACAGGCCGATTACTTGAGGCCAGGAGACAGAAAGCAGCCTGGCCAACGTGGTGAGACCTGTCTCTACTAAAAATATAAAAATTAGCTGGGTGTGGTGGCACACGCCTATAATCCCAGCTACTTGGGAGGCTGAGGCAGAATTGCTTGAACCCAGGAGACGGAGGTTGCAGTGAGCCAAGGTCACACCATTGTACTACAGCCTGGGCAACAGAGCAAGACTGTCTCTGAATGAATGAATGAATGAATGAATGAATGTTTTCGTGCTGAAGCACTGTTATACTGCTATAAACGTCTCTACATGCTTGCTCTCAATTTCTGTACTTACCTGGTTTTGGATTTGTCCACAGACCACACTTTGAGTAACAATGGTTTACATGACAAATGAAAAAACGCATACAGGACACTTTCTGAAAGTAAGGCTAATTTTAAGTCATTCTTAGAGATAAAAGGACAGTGATAACTGAGCTTAGAAAATGTAAAGGAAACACCTTCACCCGTTTCACTTATAAACTCCCTAAGGATATACAGATTAGATGACTGGGGAAGATTCAGGATGATTGATTTTCACTTGTGCTATTTCAAGGTATCAGAGACAAAGTCAGTAACTGCCTGTAAACCAAAGTAGACCAAGTCTCTTGTAGACGGAACCTCCTGCCTGAGTCTTACCAGTCATTGTTATTATTTTCATACTCAATTCATTTCTCATTGATTTGTTCATAAGAAACAGCACTGAACACAGGTTCTTGCCCACACAAGGACATGCTTTACTCTGTTTAGTTCAAAAAGATCTATTCCTTCCCAACAGTGGTAAAATGTAGAAGTTGAGAATGAAACCAGAGTCAGTCCCCTGCATGAATTCCAGTACTAAAACTACAGCTCTACAAAGATACATGCTCAACTCACTAATTATCAGTTTGAGTAACTGTCATCAGTGTAGGCAGGCAAGAAGATGATACACAGGAAAGAGTACCCCTTGGAGTCAGAATAATAAAGAGAAAGGGGAAATAGATTATGAATTCAGAAGATCTGGGGTTAACTCCAATTTGGTCACTTATTGGCGATCAGTCTTTGGGCAAGATCTTCTGTAAGCCTCAGTTCCTTTTTCTGTAAATGGGGATAATAATATCCCTAATTCATAGGATTGTTGTGAATATTATAAAAACATTAGTACAGCACCTTGCATCATCATCAGCAGCTCATTATTTAATTTCCCTATACCTTAGTTTTTCTCTTTGTCAATCAGAGGTATCACAATCTTACTAAATTATTACAAAAATTAAATGAGATCTGTCCCAAGTGCAAATTATATGCTCAATATATGTCTGCTGAGTTGACCAAATGAAACCAAAGACTCTTTAGAAAGCCAAAAAATGATAACAAAGCATCACAGAAAAGAATGCATTCTTCTGGCTGCTAAGTAAAGGATTGACATGTAATGAAAACTTTAAGAGCATGAAAGGAACTATTTAAATAAAAGTATTTCATTATGATTTAGAGGGCACTATCTTACCTGTATCTAGACCCTGCCGAAGCTCCTTGATTTTATTAGTCGAACCAGACTTTCGATAAATACCTTCTGTATACAGTCCATGCATTTCAATGTAGTTTATGAGCTTTTCCACTACTAAAGGAACAGTTCGGTCTTCACTGGTCAAACGGGACAGTTCAACCCCAAATTGTCGAGATGACAGCTCTGGATCATACTAAATGAAAGATAATTTTTAGTTTCCAAATGCATTCAAACATCTTGAAACATGTTTAACCATTTCTTTACCAGGAGCTACTTTTTTATTTCTCTGAAGTTTTATGAGCATAGTTAGAAGAGTTGGGAGAAAGGGAATTATGTTTAAGTAAGTATAAATGAGATATTAGTTTCAATCCTTTTCCACCAGAATCTCCAAAAGAAAATAATGGAGTGAAGAATGAAGGCAGTGGCAAAGGGCTACAGCTTCTCCTATCAAAAAATTGCTTCAAAAGCAAAGGTGGGATTTGGGTGTGGGGAAAAGGGTTGGATTTTATATGCAAACAGCTTGACCACCTACCAGATACCACTAGAAAATCTACTAATTTGATAAGAATTAGAGTTGTCAGCAAGTTCTTAAGCATAAGAATGCTTTGATGTTTATATAAACTTTACGGAAGTTTAACTGAAAAATGATTTCATAATTAAAGGCAGAGGTACACACAGATCAGCCCATGACTACTGTTACAGCTCTTTTGTATGGACTTGAATAGCGTATCTGATATCACACTTTATTTATTCATGCATTCATTCATTCATTCATTTGAGACAGAGTCTCGCTCTGTCACCCAGGCTGGAGTGCAGTGATGCGATCTCAGCTCACTGCAACCTCCACCTCCCAGGTTCAAGCGATTCTCGTGCCTCAGCCTCCCAAGTAGCTGGGACTACAGGCACATGACACCACGCCCAGCTAATGTTTGTAGTTTTAGTAGAGACGGAGTTTCATCATGTTGGCCAGGCTGGTCTCGAGCTCCTGACCTCAAGTGATCTGCCCGCCTTGGCCTTCCAAAGTGCTGGGATTACAGGCATGAACCACTGTGTCCAGCCAATATTATACTTTATTAACCTATAGGTTACTTTATATCCTATGTGACTGCAACATAACAGCTTACCCTTAAGATTATTTGAAGTAATTCACTGAAAAGAAAAATGGCAGGTATTATCTCTGAGACTGAAAATTGTTTTGCAAATCTGTCTTTCCTTCTCCTGTACCATTGTCCTTCCCTAACTATATATTCCATTTTCTCCTTTAACCTGCATCCAACCAGTTGCCAAGTCAATCAGTTCATCCTCTTTATTGTTTCTTTTCTGTTCTAAGTGTCATCACCCCAGCTCAAAACTATATCACTAACCAATTAGACTATTTCAACACTTTCTTGGCGAGTTTTCCCCATATTCATATGTCTCCTTTTAATATATTCTGTAGTATATATAATCTGTTTTATTATCCTCAAAAACCTTTAGCGGCTAATTAGTATATAGCAAACTAAAGTGCAAACATTCTTGAGTCTCATACTCAAGAACTTACTTGAACTGATTCTAATTTCTACTTTCCAGCCTTACATTCATACATTTGTCATTTATGTGTTAGGTACCAAGGAAACAAAATCAAGGCCTTCTGCTTAAGACTAGTAGTGTTAGGCCCGGCACAGTGGCTCACACCTGTAATCCCAGCATTTTGTGAGGCTGAGGTGGGTGGATCACCTAAGGTCAGGAGTTCAAGACCAGCCTGGCCAACATGGTGAAACCCCATTTCTACTAAAAATACAAAAATTAGCCAGGCATAGTGGTGGGCACCTGTAATCCCAGCTACTCAGGAGGCTGAGGCAGGAGAATCACCTGAACACAGGAGGCAGAGGTTGCAGTGAGCCAAGATCACGCCACTGTACTCCAGCTTGGGCAACAAGGGCAAAACTCTGTCTCAAAAGAAAAAAAAAGAAAAAGACTAGTAGTGTTAGTGTGTGGAGATAAGTAAAATTATAAATAGATTAACTATTATGGAAACACAGAAGAGAGACAACTAGATCAGGAAAGACTGGGCTGGATAACAAACAACTAATGATCTTGAAAAGACCTGATGTTCAACCTTAGTGTTGGAAAGCAAGTAATAGATAAGTAAAGAAAGCAAGATCTTTTAGGCACAGGAAATATAAAACTACAAAGGTAGGCAGAGCAAAGTGGCTACGGAAATGAAGCTACCAGATAATTTTAAATAAAGGAATAATCAGTTTATTAGTTTTAGCAGTATTATCAGTATTATTTTGCATCATTCATGCATGTATCTACATGCTCTGCATTCCAGCTCTTAATCCTTAGAGTATTAATTTCATGTCTATTTTGACATACATTAAATTATCTTAATATCACACAACATCTCTGAAAAGCATTTCCAAGTCTAAGGCAGAATAGGACACAATCTTGGAATATTTAGAGGATGCATATTAAAAGTTTTGCCTTGTCACTATGTGAACTTGGCTAGGTTATTTCACATTTGCAACAGAAATACCTCCTTTCTACTTCAGAGGGTTGTTGTAGAGATTAAGTTGAACATACACAGCATGACAACCTGGTATACGTCAAATACTGAAAAAATTATTATAGAAATAGAATAGAATAAGGCTTGCTGTAATGATTAAATTTTAGTCAAATGTTTTCCTAATGCTGGGACACAGATGTGCAAATACATATTCTGTTTATTTAAATCCCTATGGCATTAGAAATGTTATGACTTGTGGAAGCAAAATAACAAAATACTTTTAGGTATTAAACAAAAACTTTAAAAATAACTTGATTTGAAACTAAGTAATCTAAAGCAAACATGCTAGAACATTCTATTTCTTGAAATGAAGAGACAAATTAATCTTACTATTTTCAATGGAAAAAAAAATTCTGAGTATTTTTCTAAAAATATATTTTTATAGTTTTTGTTTCATAGTTATTTTTCATTTAAACTAACTTCAATGTGTATTTTAAATAAAATCTTTATTGAGCTGTGACATACACACATTGCAAGTTACAGCTTAATGGATTTTCACAAAGACCCAGATTAAGAAACAGAATATTACCAAGCAGTTTAAAATTCCCCCAGGTCCCTTCCAGCCACTATGCCCTTTACCCTTCACAAATAACCAGTATCTGTACTTCTGTCACTAAAAATTAATTTTACCTGCTTTTGGATATTATATAAATGGAAAAACAGAGTATGTGCACCTTGAGTTAGTTTAATCTATTTTTGAACTTTGTTTAAATGTACTCTTTTGTCTCTAGCTTTCAGTCAACATTATGTTTGTATCGACAGTTTTTTTTTTTGCACTTTTTACATTTAGTGAATATTGATAGGTAAAAGTATATAAAGGTACATGGAAAAATAATCTAATTAAACTAAAGAGCTTCTACACAGCAAAAGAAACTACCATCAGAGTGAACAGGCAACCTACAGAATGAGAGAAAATTTTTGCAATCTACTCATCTGACAAAGGGCTAATATCCAGAATCTACAAAGAACTCAAACAAATTTACAAGGAAAAAACAAACAACCCCACCAAAAAGTGGGCAAAGGATATGAACAGACACTTCTCAAAAGAAGACATTTATGCAGCCAACAGACACATGAAAAAATGCTCATCATCACTGGCCATCAGAGAAATGCAAATCAAAACCACAATGAGATACCATCTCATACCAGCTGGAATGGCGATCATTAAAAAGTCAGGAAACAACAGGTGCTGGAGAGGATGTGGAGAAATAGGAACACTTTTACACTGTTGGTGGGACTATAAACTGGTTCAACCATTGTGGAAGACAGTGTGGTGATTCCTCAAGGATCTACAACTAGAAATACCATTTGACCCAGCCATACCATTACTGGGTATATACCCAAAGGATTATGAATCATGCTGCTATAAAGACACATGCACACATATGTTTATTGCGGCACTATTCACAATAGCAAAGACTTGGAACCAACCCAAATGTCCATCAATGATAGACTGGATTAAGAAAATGTGGCACATATACAGCATGGAATACTATGCAGCCATAAAAAAGGATGAGTTCATGTCCTTTGTAGGGACATGGATGAAGCTGGAAACCATCATTCTCAGCAAACTATTGCCAGGACAGAAAACCAAACACCGCATGTTCTCACTCATAGATGGGAATTGAACAATGAGAACACTTGGGTCTATGGCCATACTACCCTGAATGCGCCCGATCTCTTCTGATCTCAGAAGCTAAGCAGGGTCAGGCCTGGTTAGTACTTGGATGGGAGAACACTTGGACACAGGAAGGGGAACATCACACACTGGGGCCTGTCGTGGGGTGGGGGGAGGGGGGAGGGATAGCATTAGGAGATATACCTAATGTAAATGATGAGTTAATGGGTGCAGCACACCAACATGGCACATGTATACATATGTAACAAACCTGCACGTTGTGCACATGTACTCTAGAACTTAAAGTATAATAAAAAAAAAAAAAAGGAAAATTCCCACTAGAAGAAAAACATCTCACAGATGTAGATTCACTACTCTGCATTCTCTTCTCTCTAAAATCTAGTCTCCTAAAGTACAATTTGCCTGTGCAGCTCCCTGATGCTTGCCAACAAACTTTTTTAGTATTTGTCTGACATAAGCTGCTCCATCTTAGCTGGAAGCAAATGTCTCACTCATATTCTTTGCATTTTAATTCCTGAATCAAATTTCTCTCTGTACTTTGCCATGATTTGTCTACTGCAAACAACATGCACACACATTTATATTTCAGATTTGCATGCTATTGTAACAACTGTCAGTATGTGATTAATGAATAAGAAAATGTTGTGATCATACATCGATAAAAGCCTGAATTTTTTAAAAAGATTACCTCCTTGAAACATAAGGTATCAAACAGTATGTGTACAGTATATTTTAGATCTCTGTGTATCCAAGAGATATATGTAAAAACACCAACCATCCATGCTGGTGAATTTTGCTACTCATGTTTAAATTTGTTCATCTTTAATTGTAGCTTACTGCATTAAGGATAATTCCTAGAAGATTTATGAGCATTTAAGGAAGTATGAAACCTCAATGCAGTGTTCTTCAAATTGTGGTTTACGAAATTAATTTAGTAACTCACATATAGTAACGGTAAAATAATTCTATGAAAATCAATTCATTTTTGTACATATATCACCAAACATATGAACTGGATCATGGCATAAAACATATTTCTACTGTGATTTGTGGTCAAAAAGTTTAAAAACCACTCATCTGTAAAACTATCAAAAAGGCCTTAATTTATTTCCATAAGGCACAAAAGACCAACAGGTCTGTTATCTATTACTGATAGGTGATAATTTCTTACCTTTTTAGAGCACTTGGCTGTGGTTTTCAGACAGCACTTCTTATGGCAAGCATACTTGCATACTGAAAAATAGGTGAGGAATGCAACATTTTTAGAAGTCTGTACATCAGTGATAATAACTTATCAAGTATACTTTATTTTAGACCTACGTTTTTTTCTTTAAATCTCAGACTGCTGTAATATGACATACATACTTTGTACAATGGTGTAATTAAAAAGAATTTTAACCCATTCTATTGGGTATAATGAAGTTGAAAACATGATCAAAATTTCTAGCCACAGTCAATGAAAAAGCTTTTTGTTCTTTCAAAGCTGCTCATCCTGCCCCTATGCCATACAGTACCACTCCCCAACAAATTCCAGCAGGATACTTATCTTTGTGGTTTGATTCACAAATTAGTGTTCATGTTCTACCACATATATGCTCTACAACATACTAAAATCTCAGAAATGCCTATTAAGAATCATTCCTATAGATAAGGAAGGCATTACTGTCAAAGATCCCTCCTGAAATGAAAACTAATTGGGTAGCACAGTTTAAGATATAAGAAAGGTCTTATTTATGATCTCTAAAGGTTCAGAACAGAGCTCTGAAGAACCAGAACATGAAGAATATTGAGTTGTGATTGGGAAGATGGGATAAAGAAAATGTTCAGAGCTAAAATAATTTAGAGGAGTGGTGATAACCCAGAGTAGCTGGGCAGCTGGTGAACAGGAAGAGGCACATTTAGAGGAAGGTATTGAGAACACAGCTGGCTTATGTCATTTTGTTACACTAGCTCTGGCTTCTGTGTACCAATACCTGAATATCCTTTCTTGAGCTTGTAAAATATAACTTGTAGGCTTTTGAAGGCCAAGATCAAGTAAGGGAGGCCATGTCATTGTACTGGTGAAATAATCAGGATAACAACAAAGAAAGTTAGCTAATTCTATTAAAAAATCAAATCAGGCCAGGCACAGTGGCTCATGCCTGTAATCCTAGCACACTTTGGGAGGTCGAGGTGAGTGGATCACTTGAGGTCAGGAGTTCAAGACCAGCCTGATCAACATGGTAAAACCCTGTCTCTACTAAATATACAAAAATTAGCCAGGCATGGTGGTGGGCACCTGTAATCCCAGCTACTTGGGAGGCTGAGGCAGGACAAGCACTTAAACCTGGAAGGCGGAGGCTGCAGTGAGCTGAGATTGTGCCAATGCACTCCAGTCTGGGCAACAAAGTTAGACTCCATCTCACCAAAAAAAAAAAAAAAAAAAAAAAAATCAAACCAGCCCAACATAGTCATAAAAAAGAAAATTATTTAAATTTTTAGCTTTAAGTTACAGAAGAAACTAAACCTACAAGAATCATAGTTACACTAAAGGGTCAAATACATTACAAACTACTTCCTATTTTCAGACTCATTATAATTTTTTAGACTACTGATAATAAAACCAAAGCAAAACTGCTGTTGAACCATGGAATAAGTAAATATATAGTAATAGTGGCAATTTTTCTGTGGCAAACTGCTGTCATATTGGTTCCAGTCCTTTCCTAGTATTTGCTTCATTCAATTTTAGCCCACTAGTAAAAGCAAAGCTTCACAGAACTAATAATAGCACCAGAGCAGATGTATAAAATAAGATGAGTGGAGGCTAAAGGTTCACTGTAAGCCAGAACCAAGTTGATCTACAAAGAATCTCTACTCACGTTTTAGGATTTATATATTTAGATATATATTTATATGTAAAATAATATATATATTATATTTATATATATTTTATATATTTATATTTTCTACTGTAATCTGCTAAAAGGATTACAGTAGAAAAAGTACCTTTTTGACTGTAATCTAATTTATTCATTTATCCATCCATCCATCCATCCATCCATCTATAGGTTTATCTAACCAACAAATATTTATTAAAACTTACTATGTGCCATCACCGTTTTAGGCACTGATGATATAAAAAAAAAAAAAAAAAAAAAACAAATAAGTTTCCTGACCTATAGAGCATATATTTTAGAGGTGTAGACTGAAAAACAAGAACACAAATACTTAATGTAATTTTGGGTGGTAATAAGTTCTATAAAGACTATTAAGTCTAAGTGAAAGAACAGAGAATTTCGGAGGCTGGAGGGGCGGGCGCAGTGGCTCACGCCTGTAATCCCAGCACTTTAGGCCAAGGCGGGAGGATCATCTGAGGTCAGGAGTTCAAGACCAGCCTGGCCAACATGGCAAAACCCTGTCTCTACTAAAAACACAAAAATTAGCTGGGCATGGTGGCACATGCCTGTAATCCCAGCTACTCGGGAGGCTGAGGCAGGGAGAATCACTTGAACCTGGGAAGCAGAGGTTGCAGTGAGCTGAGATCACACCACTGCACTCCAGCCTGGGCGATGGAGCAAGACACCATCTCAAAAACAAAAAAAAGAATAGCGAATTTGGGGACAAGGTGGCATTTAAACTGGGGGTAGAAAAGAGAGCTCTCTGAGAAGGTGAGATGTGAGTGTAGGCATGAAGTAATTGAAATATTAAGTCATACTAAAATCTGGGACAAGACCATTTTAGACAGAGTGAATTACATGTACAAGACTCTCAGTGACCAAATAACATCAAAATATCTGGTTTAGAGACAAAGAGTAGGTGAAGAGAGTATAGCAAGAGATGAGGTTAAAAATTTAGGTAGTGTAAATAACTCCTTTATGTTAAAGGAGATATAAGACAACTCAAGGAAACAGAAATGTCAGTGGTTAAAAATATTCCTCAAAGATCTCTCATACTTACATTTGCAAACAGAGGCTCGGTCCATTATCCATATCAAAGAAGAACAGTATTCACAGTATGTAGGGATGCTATATTGGGTGGCTTTAAAGATGTGACCATTGTGTTCTTCCACCTGAATGAAAAAATTTAGCTACTTATATTAAAGCCAACACAGTAAATGCTGCCCTAACGTGGTGGGAAATCCTTCAATCTCTTGTTAAGTCTTCACTAGGCACTAATTCCAGGGGGACAATTAGGATCTTTTGAGAAATAACATAAAATAAAATATATTTTTCCTGCTTTCCAAAAGCTAACAATCTAGATAAACATGACCAAATTATATGAAAAACAGAAAGCAATGCAACAGACATATAATAGCTGTCTTACATGACTCTAATGTTACATTAAAAGCAGCAGTTCTCAAAGTATGTTTTCTTTTTCTTTTTTTGGCTTTTTTTTTTTTTTTTGAGACTTAGTCTTGCTATGTTGCCCAGGCTGGAGTGCAGTGGTGCTATCAGCTCACTGCAGCCTCCGCCTCCTGGGTTCAGGCAATTCTCCTGCTTTTGCCTCCCAAATAGCTGGGATTACAGGCGCCTACCACTACGCCTGGATAATTTTTGTATATATTTTTTTTTACTAGTGACAGTGTTTCACCATGTTGGCCAGGCTGGTCTTGAACTCCTGATCTCAAGTTATCCGCCTGCCTCAGACTCCCAAAGTGCTGGGATTATCAGCGTGAACCACTGCGCCTGGCTAAAATATATATTTTTTTGTAATCTCAGGAAACTTTTACAGTTGAAAATTACTGATGACCTCAGAGAGCTTTTGTTTACATGAGTTATACCTGTTAATATTTACTATGCTAGCAATTAAAGCTGAAAAAAATTTAAAGTATATATTCATTAATTTATTTAAAATGAACAATAAATGTATTATACATGAACATAACATTTTAATTAAAAACAACTATATCTTTAAAGCAAAAAAAAATAGTGGCAAAAGGGGTATTGTTTTACATTTTTGTAAATTTCTTTAATGTCTGGATTAACAAAAGACACCTGGATTCTCACATCTACTACTGCACTCAATCTGTTGCAATATGCAGTTTAGTTTGAAATATATAAAGAAAATCTAGCTTAATACAGATATGAAAGTGGAAAATGAAGGAATATAATTTTTTAATTAAAATTTTTTTATTTGTATAAATGTATGTGGTACAAGTGTAATTTTGTTACATGCATAGGTTTCATAGTGGTGAAGTCAGGGCTTTTAGGGTATCGACCACTCAAATAACGTGTATTGTACCCATTAAGTAATCTCTCATCATCCATCCCCCTCACACCCCCTCACTCTTCCGAGTCAGTGGAGTAATATTTTAACAGTCCTTTCAGATAGTAATACGGCACCAAAACTTTACATATGGTAACTTAAAAGTTAAGTAAAATACCATAACCAATGAACCCTTCCTGTCCTATGACAGTAAAATCTATTGTTTTGGACTTAATTAAAACTTAAAACTTTAACCTTCAAAGACACCATTAAGAAAAAAAGATAAACCACAGACTCGGAGAAAACATTTGCAAATCATATATCTGATAAATGACTTCTAGTCATTATATTAGAATGTTATGTAATTATGTTAGAAATGTTAGAACCCAATAATAAGGCAACCCAACTCAAAAATGGGCAAAATACTGAAGAGACAGCTCATCAAAGAAGCCGTTCAAATGGTCAATGGGCACATGAAAAGATGTTCAACATCATTAGTTATCAAAGAAATGCAAACTAAAACCACAATGAAATACTACTTCATACCTACCAGAATGGCTATAACAAAAAAGGTAAACAATAGCAAATGTTGGTAAGAATGTGGATAGACTAGAACCCTCAGGTACTGCAGGTGGGATTGTAAAGTGGTGCAGTCACTTGGAAAACAGCATGGCAGTTTCTGAAAACTGGAAGCATAGAGTTGCCACTTGACCCAGAAATTCCACTCTCAGGTTTATACACAAGATAACTGAAAATGTACGTCCAAGAAAAAACCTGTACGTAACTGTTCATAGTGGCATTATTCATGGTAGCCAAAAATACAAAACAACTCAAATGTCTGCCAACTGATAAAAGGATAAATAAAACGTGACATATCCATGCAATGGAATTCTATTTAGCATTAAAGAAGACTGAACTATGGATAAACACAATGATATAGATGAACTTCAAAAACATTATGCTAAAAAGCCACATGCAAAAACCACAGTGTATTATTCTATTTACATGAAATATCCAGAAAAGGTAAGACTATAGAAACAGAAAGTAGAGTAATAGTGCCTGAGGCTAGTAAAGAGCAGTGACTGTAAACTGGCATGAAAAATCCTTTTGGGATTTTTCTAAAATTGGATTGAGATGATGGGAAAACTATGTGAATTTACTGAAATCACTGAATTGTACACATAAAAAGGGATAAATTTGTGGTAAGTAAATTTACCTCCAGAAAGCTGGTTTACAATACCAATTGGTCTATTTTGTATTTGGACATTTAACCTGTATATGATTTTACAGTGGTACATGTTGATCATTTGGAATATACTGATTCACTAAATTAAACTTCCAAATGTTGACACATTTCATTATACACTAGCAGAAAGTCATAGTCCTTAACTTTATAACTGACCTCATTAGAAAACTTGGCAGATACAAGTTTTCCAAAATTTGAATTTTTGCTTGAATACACAAGTTTTACTGGTAATAAATATTGTCAGTTGTTTTCCTTGAAGTGACAGGATAACTGCATATGCCAAAATCTTAATGAATAGTTTAAGTAAAAATAATGTTCTGTGAAAAAAGTGGCTAGAAACATGCTGCCACAAAAACTTGTTCATGAATTTTCATAGCAGCATTATTCAAACAAAAAGTAGAAACAACTGAAATGTCCTTCAATTAATAAACAGATATATGAAATGTTATATATCCATACAACAGAATATTTGGCTTTACAAAGGAATGATGTACTGACACATGCTACAACACGAATGAACCTTGAAAACATTATGCTAAGTGAGAGAAGGCAGACACAAAAGGCCATATATATGATTATTTAAGTCAATATGAAAATTTCAGAATAGGCAAATCCATACAGACAAAGTAGACTGGTGGTTGTGAGGGGCTCAGAGGAAGAGAGAAGAGGGATTGAGTGAGTGCTCAGAAAGTACAGTTTCTTTTTGGGATAATGTTCTCAAATTATATAGTGGTAATGATTGCTTAACATAGTGAATATACTAAAACCCACTAAATTGCACACTTTACGTAGTTAAAATGGCTAAATAGTTAAATTTTGTTATATGAATTTTATCTCAGTTTTAAAAAATGCTAGATCAGCCTGCAATCTAATTGTACAAGTAATTTCTTGAGACAACCATCATATCATGGTTTTGCATCTTTCCCATTTCATTACACAGAATATTAAAGAGATGTGAATTCAAGAATCAAAACTTAATATAATTAACGTTTTTATTATTTCACCTTCTTCAGTAAAGCTTCTCTATTTTTCTTAAACTATGAGTGTGTGACTGTAAAAATTATAATGCCCATTAACAAAGTTTGCAGGCACTGCCTTGATTCACGTTGATGGCAGTTTTACCCATGTTTGCTTTTGTGTCAACTCAATGAAAAAGGAAAATGATGTTTTATTATTACAAAAAGAGTTGTAATATCATAAAACCCCTAAAAGTCTACCAGAAACCCCTGTAGACCACACTTTGAAACGCTGGATCATATATAAACTAGACTCGAGTTTATACAGACTATGTATGTTTATAAATGATCTAGTACAAAAGGATATATGTTATACTGTTAACTATAGTGATTATCCGTGCTGAGATAAAACACTCAATAGTAAGTGTAACATGACTGGGCATGGTGGTGTGTGCCTGTAGTCTGAGCTACTAGGGAGGGTAAGGTGGGAGGATCACTTGAGCTCAGGAGTTTGAGGTTGGTCTGGGCAACAGACCCCATCTCTTAAATAAATAAATGTATGTATGTAACACGAAGTTTTTTTTTTTTAAACCTGTATATGAAACACTTTAAAACCCTCTTGAAGGACACAAAAATAGACTTAATCAGAAGAAAAGATTCAAAATAATAAAGATGTCAGTTCTCTCTACATTAATTTATAAATATAAGGTAATAGAAATAGAAGTACTAATAGATCTTTTTTCTGCTCAAACTAGACAATCAAATAGTTGGAATGGCTCACGACTATTTAGATCAACTAATGAAACAAGATAAAAAAGATCAAAGCAGGCCAGGCGCAGTGGCTCACGCCTGTAATCCCAGAACTTTGGGACGCCGAGGCGGGTGGATCACAAAGTCAGGAGTTTGAGATCAGCCTGACCAACATGGTGAAACCCCATCTCTACTAAAAATACAAAAATTAGCCAGGCGTGGTGGCGCACACCTGTGGTCCCAGCTACTCAGGAGGCTGAGGCAGGAGAATAACTTGAACTCGGGAGGTGGAAGCTGTGGTGAGCCGAGATTGCACTACTGCACTCCAGCCTTGGCAACAGAGTGAGACTCTGTATCAAAAAAAACAAAAAACAAAACACACACACACACACACACACACACAAAACAAGCATAATGGGAAATTTAGAATGTAAAAAGGGTGACATCTCAAAGTTGATGAGTAAAGACGGACTTTAAAATAAATGATGTTGGTAGCCATTGATAAGAGGCAAAATTAGATTCATATCCCACACTGCACACCAGGACAATTCCATAAAGATCGCAATTTAAATGTAAAAAATGTGACCACTAAATTATTGGAAGAAAACACTGAGAATTCCTTTATAACCCTGAAGTGAGGAAAGTCTTAACTATGACTCAAAATTCAGAAGCTATGAAAAAAGAAGATTCACAAGTTTAATTTCTTAAAAATCTTCCACATGACAAAAAATATAATAAGCCAAGTGAAAAGACAACTGACAAACCAGGAAAACATACTTTCAACTTATATCACAGACAAAGGGTAATCTCTCTAATGTACAGAGTTGCTACAAATTGAGAAGGAAAAGACCAAAGCCAAAAGAAAAATGAGTAACGAACAAAAACAGACTGCAGTTAAAAAAAAAAAAAAGCAAATGGTACTTGAGTATAAGAAAAGATACTCAATCTCACTGACAGTATGAGAAAAGCAAATAAAAACTGTGTAGAGATACAAACTACAAAATGAGACTACCTTTATTACAGAGAAATGAAGCAATATTTATCAAAATAACAAATGCATTCACCCTATGACCCACTAATTTCAATTCTGGGAATCCATCACACACACACACACACACACACACACACACACACACACACACACACACACGGTTATTCATTGTTCACTCTTTGTAATAGCAGAAGACTAGAAGCAGCCTAATAGTCCGGTAAGGAATGGTAGCCAGTTGTGAAATAGATTTCTGTGTATAGCTACTGTATTAGTTTTCTATTGCTGCTGCCACAAATTACCATAAATTCAGTGGCTTAAAACAACACCTATCATTTGTTATCTCACAGTTCAGTAAGCTAGAAGTCTGACGCTTCTCAGAGTCAGAGACTTTTAGTCTCACCAGGCTAAAATCAGATATTGACAAGGGCGTGTGCCCTTCTGGATGCTCTGTGGAACAATCTGCTTCCAATCTCATTCAGGTTGTTGGCAGAATTCAGTTCCATGTGGTTGTTGGACTGAGGTCCTATTTCCTTGCTGACTATTAGCTGGTAGTTGTTCTCAGCCTCTAGAGGCCGGTCACATTCCCTTGCTCAACACCCTCCTTTCTCCATCTTCAGAGACATCAAAAGAGGATTGAGTCCTTCTCATGCTTGTATTTCTCTGTCTTCTACTACCTATGTCTCCTGCATCATCTTCTACCTCATCTCTCTTACTGACTCTTCTGTCTTCCTCTTCAGCTTTTAAGGGCCTATGTGGTTACACTGGGCTCATCTGCATAATCCAAAATAAACTGTTATGTTAAAGTGAGTTGATTAGCCATCTTAATTCCATCTGTGAAGTCCCTTCACAGCAGTACCCAGATTATGTGTGAATGAATAACCAGGTGACAAGAACCTTGGAGGGAACATCTTTAGAATTCTGCCTACCATAGACAGAGAAGGGTCTTCTGAATATATTGTTCAATGATAAAAGCAAAGCACAAAAGAGTACTAGCTGTTATTATATAACATGCTACATTTTATGTGAGAAAGGATAGCAAATAAGTTTATACTGGAGAAAGAAACACTAGAAAGTTATAACAAAAATTTACCACTAGAAGACAAAGGGGGTTGGAGTTAGACTTCTCAGTATATATATTTTAAAAAAAAGTTTGAATGGTAAAAATATATCTATTAGAAAAAACACTGTAAAAATAAATTATATCAGTGCAGGCTAAGGAATTCTTCTTTTATTCAATAGTTCTACTCTCATTTAGTTTGATGCTCTAATTATCACAAATTTGTCCAGTGGCACTTCCTTTGAGCTAAATAAATAAAAAGGGAATGCTTGTCTTTAGAGCAAAAATTCAACTAATAAATGTAGAATGACTGATGGAATTTTTAAAAAATCACTATTTAGCAACCATCACAGCAATTGATTCAGTCAAGAATCATCAAGTAATAACAAAACTAGTAAGAGTTTGAGGAATAAGAGGACACTTATTTACATGGTCTGAAGTATATCCCCACAAGATAATAATTACAAGGGAAAATAGTATCTTTGCTGAGTTTTTTGAAACAACCTTGCAGATATCAACCACAATAGGACAAATAGATATCATATATCTCCTGATACCACACAATGAAAAATCACAGCATTTCTTCTGTGATGTTTCATGCCAAAAATGTGTAATCTGAATCTAATCATGAGGAAATATAAGACAAACTCAAATGGAAAAACATGCTCTAAAAAAACTGACCTATGTTCTTCAACAATGCCAATGTCACGGAAACTAAGAAGGCTAAGGAACTGTTCTTGATTAAAAGAGATTTAAAAGGCATAACAATTAAGTGTAACAAATATCTTGTTAAAAAGGAACAATAGTGGGATGAATGGTGGAATCTAAATAAATCTGGGTTAAGGGATACGGTTTATTTGTACTTCTCTTGCAACTTTTCTATAACACTGCAATTATATTATGTCAAACAAAAAGAAGGGGAGAGGAGGGAATGGAAGGAAGGCAAAACCAAAATGAAACAAAAAGAACTGATCCAGGACAGTGAGACAATTACAGCTGCTAGAACAAGTTGGTAGAGAGTAATGAAAAATAAGGCTGGACAGTAGTGTAGCAGGGACCATGAAAGTCTTTCAAGTCACTCAACATTTACTCATTCAATTAAACATTTATAGATGCTTACTATGTGTCAGGAACTGGCATGAACTTGTTGTGGAAAAGAATGCTAACTGCCTACTAATATCCATTCTTTGTTTCTTCCTTAAATACAGATTTCCCAAGCCCTATCTGGGCATGTGACAATCTATCTAAACTTTACTTCTCAGCTTCTCTTGCATCTATAAATGGCTGCATAAGTAGCTCTGAATAATGAAATGTGAACATATGTGATGAGTGACACTTCCAAGCCATGCCTAACATTATGGGCTCTCTTGTCCTTTTTTCTGTCCTGCAAGCTAAGATGGGAATCAAGAAATTGAGACCTGAAGCAGTGATTTTGAAAGTCTGTATTACTTTCATGGTAAAAGTGGTTAAAAAAAAAAAAAGTGGTAAAAGTTCCAAAGTATAGTGGAAGCACAAAGAAAGGAGTAATTAAATGGTTCCATAGGAAAAAAGGTGTCACAGAGGGAATGCTTGAGATGAATACAAAGAACTGAGCAAAGACAAAAAAAAGAATGATATATTTAGGGAATAGTAATTGTTTCTATTTAAGCTGGAAAATATGCAACAATAGCCTTTAAGACTTTTTAGAGTCATGTGTATATAGGGGTATACATGTACATATATATTTGATAAAATAAAAAGTAATTTAAGAGATTTGGTACTGATACAAGAATAAACACATCAATGAATAAAAAGAGAGACTAAAAATTTAAATCCAAATACATTAAGATTTGAGTATACTGTTGTCTCTCAGTAGCTGTGGGGAATTAGTTCCAGCAACCCCCTGCAGATACAAAAATGCAGATGCTGAAGTCCCTTATATAAAATGGCACAGTATTTGCATATTATTTAGACATATCTGCATATCCTTCCATATACTTTATATCTAGATTACTTACAATGCCTAATACAATGCCTATACATCACTTCATTTGTGTGGATTCACTCAATGGACAGCAAATTCAAGTTTGTTTTTTGGAACTTTGTGGAATTTCTTTTTCTAAATATTTTGGATTCATAGTTGGTTGAACCCATGGATGTGCTGGGCCAACTGTACTATAAAAATGGTATTTCAAACCAGTGAAAAAGAAATATATCATTCAACAGTGGGCAGACAACTGATACACTATTAAAGAAAAAAAGCATCATCCCTTGGTGCCTTGGTCCATAACTCGATCTTGAGACTAAAATAAATTCAAGAATGATTAAATATTTTTGTAGGAAAAAATGAAATAATAAACATACTAGGCCAGGTGTGGTGGCTCATGCCTGTAATCCCAGCACTCTGGGAGGCTGAGGCAGGAGAATCATGAGCCCAGGAGTTTGAGACCAGACTGGGCAACATGCTAAGACCCCATCTCTACAAAAAATGAAAAAATATTTAGCTAGGCATGATAGGTGTGCGTGTGGTCCCAGCCACTCAGGAGGCTAAGATGAGAGGACTGCTCGAGCCCAAGAGGTCAAGGCCGCAGTGAGATGTCATTACGCCACTGCACTTCAGGCTGGGCAACAGAGCGAGACCTAGTCTCAAAAAAAGAAAGAAAGAAAATGTACTGGAAAAAAGGTATGAATGGACAGGTATGGTGGCTCACACCACCCAGTACTTTGGGAGGTTGAGGTAGGTGAATTGCTTGAGCCCAGGAGTTTGAGACCAGCCTGGGCCCCATGGTGAAACCCCATCTCTACAAAAAATACAAAAAAGTTGGCTAGGCATGGTGGTGCACTACTTGGGATGCTGAGGTGGGAGGGCACTTGAGCCTGGCGAGGTTGTGAGGCTGCAGTGAGCCGTGATCATGCCACTGCACTCCAGCTTAGGTAACAGAGTGAGACCCTGTCTCAAAAAGAAAAAAAAAAAAGAAAGAAAGAAGAAAGTAAAAAAAAATGATAATAATTATGTAAATAATTTATCTAAGAAGGACAAAAAACTCCAGTAGCATAAAGAATTTAAAGGAATTAAAATTAGTAGTAAATAAATCTACTATAAACAAAGTAACAACATAATTCCACTCAGAATATCCTGAAAACAGAGGAGGAATGTATGTGTAATACATATGTGTATAAAATATATATAATCATTTATATATAAATGATTTTATACGGACACTGTATTTCTGGAATAACACCAAAAAACTGGTAACAGTATCTCTGGGAAGAAGGGCTGGGAAAGAGGTCTACTTTATAATGTATATAATTTCAAATTATGTTTATGTGACTTTCTCAACTGAAAAAACTTAGTTCAAAATTTATGATGATAAAACAGAACTAGACCAAGAATGCCATTAATCCTGATTGACACCATTGCCTGTATCAAACCATAATGGCACAAAAAGATTGGCAGTCATTTTTTTTCTTAAGAAATTAAGTAAATAATCAACTAACTTAAAAAAAATCAAGGGAGGAAGGAAAAAAAATACTTCAACTCATGGTTCATCCATCCTAGTTTCATAATATGGCCTTGCTCTATGGTATCTCAAATATTCCCAGATAATAACATCTTCTCTCACAGATATCCTTCTAATTATAAATCACACAAACGTTATTTTCCTCTACTAAACTCTAATATTAAAGTTGTTTTCATTAAAATTTTCATTAAAAATTACTTTATTCTGTAGGTAGAAGAGAGGACTTGCTATGTTCCCAACACACAGAAATGATACTCAAGGTGATACATTCCCCAAATACCCTGACTTGATCATTACGCATTTTATTCATGTAACGAATACTCACATGTACCCCCAAAATATGTAAAATATATATCAATTTAAAAATTACTTTATTCTGAATGGATATAATATAAACCCCTGATCAAAAGGTACACAAAGCAAAATAAGTCTTTTTCCTGTCTCTGTACCCCAGCTGTCTAGTTCCTCTTTATAGAAATAATCACTGCTATCAGTATACTCCCAGATATTTTATATGTGTGTATATGTCTGTGTGTGAGTACAGATATTAAAATTTTTAAAAACATATGCAAATAGTAGCTTTCTATACAGTGTTTATAGCCCTTGTACTTTTTTTCTTTTTTTGCACAAATAGTAGCTTTCTGTACAGTGTTTAGCCCTTGTACTTTTTTTTTTCTTTTTTTGAGACAGAGTCTCGCTCTGTCGCCCAGGCTGGAGTGCAGTGGCGCGATCTCGGCTCACTGCAATCTCCACCTCCCAGGTTCAAGCGATTCTCCTGCCTCAGCCTCCCGAGCAGCTGGGATTACAGGCGCCCATCACCACACCTGGCTAATTTTTTTTTGTATTTTTAGTAGAGATGGGGTTTCGCCATGTTGGCCAGGCTGGTCTCGAACTCCCGACCTCAGGTGATCCACACCTGCCTCAGCCTCCCAAAGTGCTGGGATTACAAGTGTGAACCACCGCGCCTGGCCAGCCCTTGTACTTTTTACTTAACAAAACATCTTGGTGAATGTCCCCTTTTCCTTTAATGTTATGCTACATCCTATTATATAGATGTATCTAATTTATTTAATCATTTCCCAATCTATTTAGGTTGTTTTCAGTCTTTTGCCATTACAAACTCTTCTTCAATAAAGAACCTCGTGCATGTCAGCATGTTACTGTGAAAAAGTGTGATTGATATGCCTACTAAACAAATTCTTAGGTATGTTATTGCTGGGTCAGTTTTTTTTTTCCTTTAACGTTTTTAAGGTTTTTAATACATCATTGCTAAAGTACATTCTCCAAGAAGATTATGCAAATTACACTCCTATTTGTATTATTGAAAAATCTGTCTTATGTTTCCAAACTCTAGGTAACTAATTTATTTTCAGCTTTGTTCAATGATGGAAAAAGTAGAAAATCACTGTTACTTCACTTTAATTTGACTGCTAATAAACATTTATTTGTGTATTTCTAGACATTTCTATGAATTGCACTTATTACAGTTCCTGAATTATAATAAAATAGTTGTTGAATAAATGTATTCATATGCTTGTACATTTTTATTTTGAAGTGTTGTTCTTTCCCTTATTGATATGAATAACTAATCTTTTAAGGCTTAAAGTATATAAAGTGCCTAAACATATCTGTTAGTAAGAGGTTCTCTGTCTTCCCTATCCTTTCCTTTGTATACAATCTCATTTATTTTCACAAAAATCTCAGTGGTGGGTGGCATTATTCCTGCTTTACAGATGAGGACATTGAGACTCAGAGCTTAAGTTGTCCAGTGTTTCTCAATGAGAAAATCCTCTTGGAAAACCAAAGCAAACCAGGCTAAGGAGTTAGGTATACTACTTTCAAAATTCTGTACTTGTGAAAAGGCAGAAACTTCGCAATAGGCAAATAATCTATAAAACAGTCAGATCGCACTTCTAACACAGATAGTGGAAAAGCTGCAAGTAAGGATGTAAAAAGATTTGGGAATTTTGTTTACAAGCAAGAGGGGATGATTTATAATCCTGAATATTAGTAAGGTAGATGATAAATATTCTACAATTAGAATTTGCAATTTTTGGCAGGGTTGAATCCAGGTTTTGTAGGCCCTAAAGTTTAAAGTTTCCAGAAGAAAGTAAAGACGATAGGAGGAGGAGGGGAAGTGGGAAGTGATGGCAGCAAATGTAGCTTAAACAGAAGGAACCAGGGGGAGAGTAGGAGGAAATGAAGCTTAGAGAGGCAGTCACGCTCAAGATCATGTCAAGCCTTGTAGGCATGGTAAGAACTTTGGGTTTCATTCTGACAAACACTGGAAATCACTAAACAGTTCTGAGTAGAGAAAGGATATGATTTGATTTTTATGTTTAAAAAGTAACTATGGCTATTACATAGAGAACTATAACGGGAGAAGAGTATAAGAAGGTAGACCAGTATGAGACTCATAGTTCATCGGACTGCTGTTGATAGCAGTGGAGGTGATGTGAAATGGTAAGGTATTCAAAATATTTTGAAGGTAGAGTCTTGATCAGACTCCTCCCAAACGCCTTCATATGAACATGCAACACTTAAGCCAATCAAAGCAACTGGCTCAACATAGCAGCTTCTTCATTCACACACATTTGTACATACTGTTTTTCCCAATGGCTAGATATTGACTGTCTAAACCACTACTCACTTGTCAAGAATTAGCAAAAGTATTTTTCTCTTCTGTAAACTATTCCTTCATTTCCCCTTTCTGTATCCAACAGCACTTTGTATTATTCCTACTATAATATTTATCATACCTGACAGTAATAATTTGAAAACTTTTTACTGCCTCCACTTGTAGATTATGCACACCTTAAGGGCTTAATTCATCCTTGTAATTGCACAAATTATCATAAACCACATAATATATATGTGATATATATTTTGTATCTATGTTTCTATCTATTGTATTATATATATGATAGATATTATAAATGATGTTGTGTATATGATGTATATATGATAACATCATATATTGGATATATATCATATAGATGTGTCTAATTTATTTAATCATTTCCCTATATATTTAGGTTGTTTGCAGTCTTTTGCTTTTACAAAGTCCTCTTCAATAAAGAACCTCATACATGTCAGCATGTCAGCGTGAAAAAGTGTGATTGTATATATTGTGTGATTGTATATAAACATGAACAATGATAAAATTTGTTCAAATGCCTTCAGAAATGTCTTTTGAATTGAAAGTATTTATAATTGTAAAATCCTAAATAACCCCTGTTTTCTTTAGAAGGGAGAGAAAACTCCTGAAGAGCTCCTTCCCCACCCCTAGTTCTGAAAAGAAATAATATTTTTTCTTTCATGAGTAAACAATTTCAGTTTTCTGCCATTTTAGGAAGCTATCATTGATAACAAGTCCAGTCACATCTAATCATTCTAAATTTTTGTAAAGATATAAATATGATTATTGCCTAGGTACCTGATAAACTTATTTCATAAATATATCCACATATATATTGTATGATATACCTCAGACAACTGATCTGAAAATTACTTTTTTAATTTAAAAAACAGATTATAACTTACCAAATCAGTTTCCTTTTTCCTTCTTTTCTTTCTTTCTGTTTTTGGCACCTGACAGGGGGACAGGAGATATATGGAAATTGTGATAACAAAGACTAACATACTTTCTTACTTCATTGCAAATGTTAAGATACTTGCTCAACAGGTAACACAATAGTCATTTCTTTATTCTCCAAGAGGAACTGTGCAGTGCTAATAAGCAAATGTGAGAAAAAATTTAAAATCTGATAAAACATAATTGCCAATGACAGCAACAGAATGGAAGGATACTTTAGAGATTATTCTTTTTTAAACCTCAGTTCTGCCCAGAAGCCACCGCCATATTAATTTAAATGATTGTTTTATTTTAATCATTAATTGATTTTTTTTTTTTTTTGAGACGGAGTCTTGCTCTGTCGCCCAGGTTGGAGTGCAATTGGTGCAGTCTAGGCTCACTGCAACCTCTGCTTCCCAGGTTCAAGTGAATTCTCCTGCCTCGGCCTCCTGAGTAGCTGGTATTATAGGCACACACCACCACATCTGGCTATTTTTGTATTTTTTGAGACCGGCTGGTCTCAAACCCCTGACTTCATGATCCACCCGCCTCGGCCTCCCAAAGTGCTGGGATTGCGGGCTTGAGCCACCACGCCTGGCTGGTATTTTTTTTTTTTTTTTTTTTTTTTTTTTGAGACGGAGTTTTGCTCTGTTGCCCAGGCTGGAGGGCAGTGGTGCAATCTTGGCTCACCACAACCTCCACCTCCCAGGTTCAAGCAATTCTCCTGTCTCAGCCTCCCAAGTAGCTGGGACTACAGGCGTGTGCCAGCACACCTGGCTAATTTTTGTATATTTAGTAGAGACGGGGTTTCACTATGTTGGCCAGTCTGGTCTCGATCTCCCGACCTTGTGATCTGCTCACCTCAGCCTCCCAAAGTGCTGGGATTACAGGCATGAGCCACTGTGCCAAGCTGATTGTTTTAAAGATTTTACTTCCCGTATTTTAGCTGTAGAAAACTACCATGGAGCTAAATATAAAATATATACAAAAAGGCAACATTTGGGACACGGAAAAACTCTTTTCCATATGACATTTCCTGATAACCATAGTACAGAACAATCTAAACCCAACCTTTTAAACTTAAAAACAAACGTAGTAGAAGCCTACTAAGAATCTTCTTCAGCATAAAGACCTTAACCTAGATCTAGAACTGAAGAACTGTCCAGAACTTATTTATATCTGAAAACTTCAAAAATGGGATTGAAGAGGTTTTGGAAATTTAAATACATATAAGGTAGAATAACTAAAAATAAAATGGAACATAATCAATACAAAATATTGATGGTATTCTTGATATGAATAGGTATCTAATTATTTCATCTGGGGTACTGAAAAGAAACACATTGATAACTTTGTCTAAGCCTGATGTCTCTTCTGTAATATGGATTTTATAAAAATTATTTAATAAGGCTGAAGCAAGAATTAAATAAAATACACAACACCGAGTACGATTCTCAGGCCGTAACAGGCACTCAAAATAAAAAGGTTATTATTATTATACAGACTTCCCAAAACACGTATTTTCCTAAAACCTAATTCAAGAATAAATATAATTTGTAGGTTTTTATAAAGAGGCCACTGGGTAATACAATGAATCACATCTTTAACTATAATTTTTCAAAAGGAAATTCAGATACTTATCTCTTTTTTTTTTAAGACGGAGTCGCACTTTGCCACCCAGGGTGAAGTGCAGTGGCGTGACCTTGGCTAACTACAACCTCTGCCTCCTGGGTTCAAGTGATTCTCCTGCTTCAGCCTCCTGAGTAGCTGAAATTACAGGCGCCTGCCATCATGCCCAGCTAATTTTTGTATATTTAGTAGAGATAGGTTTTTGACATGTTGACCAGGCTGGTCTCGAACTCCTGATTTCAAGTTCTCTGCCAATCTAGGCCTCCCAAAGTGCTGGGATTACAGGCATGAGCCACCGCCCCACCCCGATCTCTATTAAAGCTAAGAGTATAATCTTGAGGGCAGAACATTATGTTTTAACTCAGTGAACAAAGTATTGATTACAGACGGTTTAGAAAATATGGTCTGATAAATTATAAGACAGAATGAAGTTTGGAGGATCTAAAGTGGCGCTAAGTTGACATGTTCCCTGTAATGTTTTTCTCAAAATAAAATTTTTCTCAAATTTCTCAAATACAAGATGTCCCAAACGCTCTTAAAAAGAATTCATAATTAAATCCTTTAAGTAATCAAAATATATCACATTTACCTTTGTGGCTGTGCAATCTGAAGTCTTGAATTCATTCATATATTCATCTAAAAACACTTTAAAAGTGTTGACCCAAACTCTCACTGGAGATTCACCCAGTGAATCACGCTGCTCAAGCCTCATCGTCTTTTCCAGAATCTGTTCAAATAGTGCATAGAGGTCTTTATACCGTATGCTTTTCCCATCATCCATCTATAAGCAATAAGAAAAGAAATGTATGGTTTTATAAAGAAACTCCTTAAATATAGAGGAAAGATTACACTTGTAATGGGGTAGTATTTAGAATAAAGATTAGGATCCTGATATAATTTCTAATGAGCATGCCCATGAGGTCATGTGGTATTTGTAAACTCCCATTCTAGTATGGGATGAATGCAGAATCAAACATGCTAAATTTTAGTAAAAAACCTGACGGTAATAATTTGAGGAAGTCTTGAGAATTTCTCTTCTAAGTGTGACTTTTTAATTTTATGTAGCTATAAAGGTTATTTGCATCCCTCTTAATTACTTTCCTCCCCAGAAATGAACCTTGTTTAGATGGTTCTACTCTAAAATTGAAAGAATGAATACTTGAATCATTGCCTAAGCATATATTAAGTAACCAATTTATTTTTCCAAAGAAGAGTGACATGCCCAGAATAACATCATATTATTTGCAAGGAACTGAAATAGAATTTCTTTTATTTAAATGAGATCTGGAATTTTTTTTTTTTTTTTTTTTTTTTTAGACGGAGTCTTGCTCTGTCACCCAGGCTGGAGTGCAGTGGCATGATCTCGGCTCACTGCAACCTCCACCTCAAGCTATTGAATGGGTTCAAGCCATTCTCCTGCCTCAGCCTCCCCAGTAGCTGGGATTACAAGCATGCACCACCATACCTAGCTAATTTTTGTATTTTTATTAGAGACGGGGTTTTACCATATTGCCCAGGCTGGTCTTGAACTCCTGACCTCATGACCTACCCGCCTCAGCCACCCAAAGTGCTGGGATTACAGGCTTGAGCCACTGCGCCCAGCCAAGTAGAGTATAAATTAAAAAGCTTTCCAGATTTTTCTCTTCACAGTGAATTAAAGAATATATTGAACAATGAAAAGCCAATAAAATATGAATTCTTTTACAGAATATGATAATTCATAAACACTAATGCTTCTATAGACCAAAGCATTAATTGCACACACCAAAAATAAATTTTCTAAAACATGACCAGTATCATGTGAAAGTATAAGGTAAATCTCAAAGTGATATAAACTGATATGTAGAAATCAGTGTCCATAAACTAACTGCCCTAATTCCATTAAAAGAAAACATATAATGCATTCCTCACAAAGGAAAATTAGACATTATAGCCTAGCAATAGAGCTAAAAGGATTATGAAAAGTCACAGGCAAAAACAGAATCATACCCAGGACATCTGAAGTCAGTATCTTAAAAGATGAAAAAAACAGCTGTAAGGTGGGAAAAAGCTACTCAAGGAAATTCAAGGGAGCTTTTAATCTGAAACCATTCAGTTTCCTTGTCTATCCCTAAAACAAAAACCATTCATTTTCCTTGTCTATCCCTAAAACAAAAACAAGGCACTGGAGAAATCTCTTACGAAACATGGCTTTTGTATTATCTTCTACAGCGCTATCAAATTTTTCATATGTTGAACTACTAAATATCTCCTAACATAGTCCAACTCACCGCCAATGCAGATGAATAAAAGCTGAAGATATTCTGCCGAAATTCCTTCAGGGCTTTTTTAAATACAACATCCACTAGTGTATCCTTCTTGCTGTCTTCATTATCTAGGTCATTCACCTGGGAACCACAAAACGAGTTTTAGTACACAATCAACTAATTGAAAAGAAGTAAATACAACAGTAGGCATGTATTGTTGCTTCCACAATGACTGTCCTCAAAGTGCAAGCCACAGGCTATTATAGGACTCAGGTGAAAGTTATGACTAGACAGTCAAACTATAATTACTACTCTATGATTTCTAAGGTTCCTTCTAACATTGTATGATTCTATAGTTCTGTTACAAGAAAACTCCCGTGTGCAACAAGCTGTACCTTCCCATATGAAATTTGACAATTTTAGGAAAATTAAAGTCACTACTAAAGCCTACAACCTTAAATCCTGTCTACCCAGTCTAACTAATGCATATCCTATTATTCACACCTTTCTGGTAAAGAACAGATCATCTAAAGCATGGAAGCATATGTAATTTTGATATCTAGAGAGTATATCCTGATATACACAAGTATTCCATACACAGAGCTGCTCCAGGGCCTGACGTGGCAAATAAAGTGTACCTTTTTCAGAAGAAATTCATCCATGCTTTTTAAATCACTGACACTTGCTATGATCTGGACAGAGTCATTTTGCCAATGCATAGAATCCAAAGCCACGTTGCTAATCTTCACACTTCGCTTGCGCTTAGCCTTTGGAGAAGGTTCTTTGTTCTCTTTGAATTCCTTCCGGCAACTGCCGGGCAGTTCTGGGCTCAAAGGAGGTGTTGGGTGATATGCAGCTAATTCTACAATTCAAGATAGAAGACCCAAAAGGACACATTTAGTAAATATATTGATAATCTTCACATCCTTCTTTTTAAAGTTCCTTTAACAAGTCACTGAAGGAAACATGCAAATATATGAATAGCAAAGTAACATTAATGTTTGAGGTTAGGCAGCTAAGCAATAAATCCAGACAGCACATTTGTACAGAAAGCGTATTTAAAAATTACCACTTTTCAAAGGGAGATGATATCATATCTCCCAAGAAGCTGAAGTCTGATATTAAAAACCTGGATAGAAATGCTTTGCAGGACGTCAAGTTAGATCCCAAAGATCTCAGTCCCAAAGAAAAGAAGAGAATATAAAACCATACTAGCATATTAAATGCTTACTGTTAACAAAGTCATAGCTTTGCTACATGTTTGAAACAATATGTGTAGCTATATACAAGTCCAACAAACCAGTGGAGTTTGATAATTATTATTATTTCTTTACTACAGTCTAAAGTCCTGAATACTTCTGTGATAACATTTGGTGATTGCTGGCAACCTGTTAGGGAGCCAAGTAACTCAACTGGCTTACTTCTGCTTGGGTCTCTTCAGCATTTAGGATTTTCTTAAACATCCCCCAAATAACTGTCAATTTATTTTCTCTACAATTTTTCTCTACAAATGTTTACAACGGAGAAATTAGATTCTATGTAGCCCATTACAACTTAGAACTAGACCAGATTTGCCAAACCCTATCTGGAGCTCGATGAAAATGTTTACCTCCTCTCATTTCACATGCTTGTCTTCCCAATGTGTATGCTCGTTACCCTCTGTCCAATGGTATATCCTGATTCTATCCAAACTAACTTTGATAATAAAGGAAAAAAGTAGCCCCCTACATGCTAAATACCACCTCAGGCAGGAATTGAGAGAAACCCAATTTCAACTATGACACAAGAGTAAAGAATATAAAGATACAGGATACAATTATATTCAAACATATATCAACTGATTTTAATTCTATTATACAGCTTAGATATATTAAGTATCTATTTTATTTAGCAAAGTCAGTATCTTTCTTATTAATAAAATAAATGTTTACTAAAGAAATTATCCATAATCCCATATTAGCATTAAAAACAAGGCCTACCTTAATACATTTTTTCCAAATATAAATAAAAAGCTATAATCCTAAGTTTTATACATGTGTCATTATGAAGCAAACACACAACAAAGTCTGCTTATAATATGAATTTTCAATTAGAGTTTATACTTCTTTCTCAAGAATTAGCAGCAAAGAATATAATTGTGGGAAATAAAAAACTTAGAAGGATGACTGTCAACCAGACAAGATATAAGAAACTGATAACCTTAGCCATTCAATAGTAGGGAATTCCCAGCTTCCTAAACCTGTAGTATTCATTTAACTTGTTATTGGTTTTATTCACATCCATTTCTCAACTGATAGAAGCAAAGCCATAAGATACAAAAACAGGGGTCTAACTACCTTTCCACCATTCTTTCCTCTGGCATAGAGAGCTCAAGCCCATTCACCCCTCTGGGAAGCTTGATGATCTTTCCTCCTTGTTTCTCTATTTTATCCTAGATATGAGAAGATGCTGGTTTCTTACTGTAACTGGGTCTGTTCTATCCTGCCTTAAGCTTTCTTCCGAGGACCTCTTTCTATTTTAGTCAATGCTGGTATTTCACCCACATTACCATATATCCACCTTGGATGTATATCTCTGTTGAAGAAGTTGGTATCTTTACGTAGTAGCTAAAAACTCTCAGGCATACCTGAGAAAAGGGCTTGAGAAGTGGTAATCTTCTAACATTAGGATAACTTGGAGAGTAAGTAATTTTCCCATTTAGAGAGGTCAGTTTTCTGAACGATGAACTAACTGTTGAGTACTTCTCAAATGTGTTATGCTGCACGCCCAGAAAGTTAAAATAAGAGCTATGGGACTGGGCATGGTGGCTCATGGCTGTAATCCCAGCACTTTGGGAGGCTGAGGTGGGAGGATAGGTTGAGCCCAGAAGTTAGAGGTTACAGTGAGCTATGATCACACCACTCCGGCCTAAGCAACATAGTGAAACCTTGTCTCTAAAATTGAAAAATAATAGCTATTATAAAGTGCCAGGCATCTGCTAGGTACTGAAATATAGCAAGTACTTAATATACAACACAGTGGTTAAGACTATGGACTCTGGAGCAGGACTGCCTAGATTCAACTCTTAGCTCTTCCAGTTACTATATGTGCATAAATAAATAACTTTTCTTTTTTATTTATTTATTTGAGACAGGGTCTCACTCTTTCCCCCAGGCTGAAGTGCAGTGGTGTGATCACAGCTCACTGCAGCCTCAACTTCCCAGACTCAAGCGATTCTCCTACCTCAGCCTCCCAAGTAGCTGGGACTACAGGCAAATGCCTCCATGCCTGGCTAATTTTTATATTTTTTGTAGAGATGGGGTTTCACTATGTGCCCAGGCTGGTGTTGAACTCCTGGACTCATGTGATCTGCCCACCTCAGCCTCCCAAAGCGCTGGGATTACAGGTGTGAACCATCGTGCCTGGCCTAATAAAAAAAATTCTCTGTGCCTGAGTTTTCTCATCCATAAATTGGGAATAATAATCATACTAACTCTCAAAAAACTGTTGTGAGGAGCAACTGACTTAATAACCATAACATGCTTACCACAGTGCCTTGCATGTAGTAAGCATTCAAATATTAGCTGCTATTAGTTATAACCAGTAATACATATTTGTTAAATGAATGAATAATGGCTACATTTTTTTAGTTTAGAAAATTAAGGCTAACCTATGATACACAGTCATTTTTGAGGTGGTTGCTGCTTCATTGTTTTGTGATGCATTTTTTGGAAACTTCTATTGTAGGAAAAATGTAACTTTATTTTTTAGTTAAGGAAGGATTTAACAATGCTGGTCCTATCTCATTAGAACATCCAGCCAACAGGATTGACATTATGAATACTACAGGAATAGCAAACTTTCAGAAAGAGTGAACAGAAATTATGAACACAAGTTCCACCCTTTGGTCACTTTTACCATCTGGAAACTGATGAGCTGGAATCACATCTGTGCCTGCAAAGAGTGGCGAAACCTCTGACTGGGTAGTAGGTTTCACTCTGGTAGTCTTCTTCTCCCCTTGTTTCCCTTTGGCCCAGAATCTCATCTTAGCTCTCTGAGGTCTGTTTAAAGAAATAAAGGTAAAAATGGAAATTAAGAGTATCTCAGTGATAATATTTGTATATATCACTTTAAGCTTTACAAATCTTCTATGTATATTAGCTCATTTAAGCTTCACATTTAAATTAAGTGTATTTATCTTTACTTTTGCATTTAAACTTCACCTGAAACTGAAAGGCGAAAAATTATTTAACTTCTCTGGGTTTTGTTATTTCTATATTCAGATGAGGAAACATCTTGAATACAGAAATAACAAAACCCAGAGAAGTTCAATATTTTTTCTAAGATGAAACAGCCACAAAGCAGTGGAGCTAGAATTCTAACTCAAGTTTTCTAACTCCCAAACTGGTTTATTTTCATTCTTGTCCCCCATCCAGCTTGGATTTAGTATATACACAATTTAACAACAAAGAAAATACTTTTTAAAGAAATCACGAATAATCCTACCACTCTAAAAAACATTAGTTTACCTTTGTTTGTCATTTCCTTCCAGTCTTTATCCATAAGTATGGCAAGTTTTACATCACTGTTATCATGATGCACATAGCATTTTAAATCTTTCCACTCACCATTACATAATAAAAGCTTTAATGTCACTATTTACATTCATGAGTTATTAGTATTATTAACAGCCACTTATTTGAACTTGTATCTTTCTCCAGGCACAGTGCTTACAAAATTTAATTACAATATCAACTTTGCTTTTTTCTTTTTTCTTAAAGAACAGGTGATAGTAACAACTTTGCTTTTAACAAACTACTATAAATATGTTACAGGTGAAAAACTGGAGACTTATATATTAGGTAACTTTCCCAAAGTTTCACAGTGAGTGAAAAATTCAGAACCACATCTATTATATTGTATTGCCTCTTCTTAGTGCTTGTACACGCTTTCATCATCTACATCAAAGAAGTACCTTGCGATAACAATGGCATGTAGTTACTGACCATATATTATGTATTCTAACCTCATAGTTGGAGGTTTATTTGTAAATTAATTTATCTGTTCATTTGTCTGTTCAATCATTCAATTAAAAAATTTTGAGTATGTACTAGGTGACAGGTACTATGCCTTATATATGATATTCCTAATTTCACAACTACTGTGATAAACAGTATTATCCTTACTTTACACATGAGCAAACTAAGGCTTACAGGCCTGATGGAGATGGAAGTTAAAATCAAGTCTATCTGGTTTTGAAGCCCATGAGCTCTTTCTTTCTTCCTTTTTTTTTTTTTTTTTAAAAAAAAGCTTATTACTAAACTCATATATTTATACATTAAAAAGAGAAATTGTTCTACAAGACTAATTAAAAACAACAGTATCTCTCTGCCATGCTCACCCCATTTTCTGCTCCCTAGAGGCAACACTTTTGAATTGCTTTAACTAATTCTTCTGATATTTAGTGTGCTTCTGTAACTATCATACTCATGGCCACAGATAATGATTAGGCATGTTCCACCATTCCAGTCCTAACCATAAACATGTGCCCCCAAAAGAATTATACTGTAATTTTAGTTAGATCAATATTCAGTATTTACTTTTAATGATATTCAGTATTTATTTTTATTATGTAAATAATATTCACAGTTGAGGGATGTAATTCCCTAAATAATCTACTTTATTCTAGAGGATTTTTAAAATTTGCTCATGAAAACTGTTTGATTTTTCATTTCCTCACTTTTCTATATACAATTCACCTCCACGTGTTTCCCCATTTCTATCAACTCTCAATACATTCAAATGTATTAGGTACTTTATCAGTTTCATCTTGTTGAAAAAAATCTCTCCCAGAGCCTTCTAACTTGCTCCAATTTGGAGTGGTTTCCCTCATTGCCTGCTGTGCAGTTGTCATTTGAAAAGCTACTTTCATCATTGTAACAGATTCCTTTTGTCTCTTTTGTTTCATAACAACATGTCTTTTGGTATGGGTCTATTTTCATCCACTATGTTGGGCACTCAGTGGCGTCTTCAAATCTGGAAAATCGTGTCCTTCGGTTCTGTAAAATTTGGCTGAATTACTTTTTCAATAATTTATCCTCCGTTTTCTCGGTTCTATCTTTCCAAAGTTCCTACCATTGGGTCATTGGATCTCCTGAATGGAGCCTCTAATATTCCCATCTCTTCCATTTCTTCATTTTTTGCTCAACATTCTGAGATATGTCCTCAAATTTCCTTTTGATTCTTGAGTTGCTCCTTTATCATATTTTTAATCTTCAAAAGCTCTTTTTATTATGAATGTTTCTCTTTCATGCACCATTTGGTTTCATGAATACAATTGTATTTGTTATGCAAAAGGCCTGTTGATAGTTACATTTGTCTATCTTGAAGTGTTCTATTCCCTGTATAGTTTATTTCTTCCAAGTTGTATTTTATCTGTTAATTTTGGTTTCTTCAATATAAGGTATTTCCTCAAATATACGGTGATCAGTGGTATGTGATTATTATTTAAAGTAGGGTAAAAAAAAAAAAAAAAAAAAGAAAGAGGCTGCTTGGAAGCTCTAGTGTGCCTTGGTGGGCCTGCTAAAGTATGGTCTTCCTTACAGGGTTATCTGGTTGGTTGACTTTGCAGGGAGAGCTCCTGATAGTAATATATTCAGGGTTTTCCCTAAGGGCTAGACAGAAGTCCCCAAAACTCTTTGAACCATTTGCTTAGAACCATTTGCTTAGAGGGTATGGGAAATGAAGAAGGCTGGCAAATCTTAACATTCTGTATATAAACAGTCATTAAATCCCTATGTTCCAAATATGTGCCCCAGCCCTCAATTGTATCTAGTAAACTCCAGGTCCAGAGATACTCTGTTTTATACTTTCCAGATAATAAATTTCTTGTTCTGCTATAATTGGGGAAGGTCAGCCAGCTAGATGTATCTTTCTCAGCTTTACTTAGCTGGATTAGGATTTGGCTTTCTAGTATGTATTAACATATTTAAAATTTAAAGTCCATTTACTTTTTGGATTCCACAGTTTTATTGCAGTTGTTTTCACTTCTAAGTTTTTTTGAGGGGGAGAAAAGTCCTTCGTAGATTTTGTCATTTTAGCAATTGTGGGGGAGGACGTGGAAACTAAATATATATAATCTATTATTTCCAGATGTATGTTCTTCTACTGTGTCACATCTTATTTCTCAATATTTGGTTTCTAGTATTATCTGCTCTGGATTTGGATTACCTTAGATTATACCTCTACAGTCAGCGAAAAAGTGGTCTTTAATATGGTTATGAACCAGAAAAATTTCAACATAATCTTGTAAGTTTTCTGCGAGGCCCAAATGCTTATACAACATAATGAGGGACAAAGATATTTATTTGAAAAATAAAAATTCCATAAGCTCTCTTAAAGAGAACAGAATTATCTCCTGAAAGGCCTTTTCAGTTCCATTTCTAAAATGCTTACCTCAGAACAGAATCCAAGTCCAAAGCTGGCACCTATTTTCAATCTTATTTAGTCTCATTCTCTTTTACAACAAAATACCATAAGTCATGTAACAATTTGGAGACTTTCCCCAAATCATACTGCTAAGTATAGAGGGAGATAAAGCCCATTATACTGAAGGGAACCAGTATGTGCCACCCCAAAATATTCCTCTTTGAGATAAATATTTTTAAGCTAAAGGCAATTAAGAAGTAGATGCAGAAAAGCTCTCTACCCTCCCCTGTTCGCCTAAAAGCAGGATATAAATTTGAAAGGTGTTCTTTCTTCCCTCTCTACCAACAAGGACAGAAAATCACTGGAGACAGTGTAGACCTTTATTAGCTAGAAATGACATCAGAGGAATCTACCAACTTTACTCCGTTAGTTTCCCCATAAATTTACCTTCCCAGTTTTGTTACCTTTGGAAGCCTGAAACTGCTTATCTTTGTCTTGTCACTTCTCTAAAATTAATTGTTCATTGTTGAAGACAATGTATAAGCCAGATTCCTAAACCACTGTTTTGAGTTACCTTTCCTCTGCATGATGTGCATGCACTGTATGCACTAACTTGCTTATTTTTCTCTTGTTAATCTGTCTTTTGTTACAGGATTCTGTCCCAACTATGAACTTATGAGGGTTGAGGGAAATTTTTCTTTTCTTCTCTTCAACACATATCTTAACTACTATGTGCCTATAAACAGTAGGTACTTACCATTTCTTGAAAAATTGGTAAATAAGTTTAATTTCAAAAGTGGCCTATCAATTATGGTTTTTTTAAAAAAGCTCAGTACTTAACTATAGTCAGTTATCAAATAAAATTATATAACCCCTGTTAACTCCGTGTATACTTTATACCTTATATCTGAATCTGAAGCCTTCTGTCTCACTGCCAACTTGGTAATCTCTCCTTGAGACATAGTCTTATGAAGTTTTGCTTGTTCATCAACTGACGAAAATCGCTGTGATGTCTGTAATAATTACATATGTGAAAGATTTAATGCCAAGTAAATATATGATAGCACTGTAATTTAAATTCAGGTTACAGAATTACTTGAGCTATTTAAAAACACACAAAACATTGATATTATTCAGAGATTCATTGAAATAATAGAGCCTACTGAAAACTCTATATAAAGTAATCTGAAATAAAGATGACTTGGTCAATGAAAATAAACAGGATCTACCAGTTCATATTTTCTGACAATTTAAAAAAGAATCTCAAGTGGAAAGGCAAGAAAGTGAAAACCATTTAAAGATAGAGACAAAAGATGCAGGATCTAATAAATCTAGAACGCTAAGTATTGTTTTTCAAATCTCCTTTTATTTATCCCAAAAGGTGGTTATTACTTTCATGGCTTAACTTGCTATTATAAGTTCTTCATATATCTAATCAATAATTTAAAAGAGATGGAATATGCAATGATTTTTAAAGAGCCAAAAGATGACAGGATAAAGGCTCATTACCATTATTAATGGTCTAAATTATAAACAACTTATAAGGCTATCAAACTGTGACCTGATTTTTAATTGGCAGTTCTTGTTCCATTTGTTTAAAATGTGTCCCTCTAAAGACAATCCTGTTCTGAGGAGAGAATTTCTTGTTATCTATTCAAGTCATTTCCTAATATTTCATTTTTCTGTAGTTATAATATTCTTTCTTTAGCCTTTTGGTCTGCCTCACTATGGCCTTATTAACAGAAAGAGGAAATACCTTAAGTTGGCAAAGATGAAGTAATAGGGATCTGGTCTACCCACTTACCTGAAACCAACAAAAAACCCAGACAAAATAATATGAAACCGCAATGTTTAAAACAATGGACAGATACCCCTGAGAGATGGGAAAAAAGGGAAGTATGTTCTACACTTGTTTCTAGGCTGTGATGCAGAGAGGAGGAACCCAGGTGAAACTTGACAGACTCTAAGTGGAACACATGAAGCTGAAAGTCCAAGGTGAGCACAGTGACTAGAGACCAAAAGACAGAGTACTGGAGAGGAGTGAGAAGCACAAAGATAGAACTCTAGAGATCTACAGAAGGTCCACATTGAATGTTCAGCTTGAGTACTAATCAACACTTTGTATGAGAAAACAATCCAAGACCAAGAAAAAGATCACTTGAAAGGATTAAAGGTAATTGAGCCCATCACTCACAAAAGGTCAGTAATAGTGTCTATGCCCAAGAGCCAGAGCATATAACTTTATGATTCCCAGGGCACTGGGCAAAGTATAGAGAGGATCTCACCTCAATAGTCAAGAATAATTAGCCCTAGACTGAGTACTGTTTGGGTCTAACAAACCTTTTTTTTTTTTTTTTTTTTTTTTTTTAAGAGACATGGTCTTGCTCTGTTGCTCAGGCTGGAGTGCAGTGGTACAATCACAGCTCACTGCAGCCCTGCACTCCTGGGCCCCAGTTATCCTCCTGCCTCAGCCTTCTGAGTAGCTGGGACTACAGGCACATGGCTCTGTGCCCAGATCTTACTTTCCAGACCTCTGTGCAAATAAATTGAAAAGTTAGATGAAATTGATAATTTTATAAGAAAAAAGGGTTTACCAAAATTGACCCTGTTAGATAAAAGGTTTAAAAAAGACTGATTTCCCTAGAAGAAAAAAAGAAAAACTTATCCAGGAACTACACCACAAAAAAGTACCAATCCCAGGTGGTTTCATAGAAAAATTCTGCCAAATCTTCAAAGAACAGATAGCTGCAATGCTATAAACTGGTCCTGACTTTTTTTAGAGAAATAAAATACACATATAAATACTAAGTGTATAGTCAACAGTGTGGCTGCTGTCTTAAGGCTGCCAATCCAAAACTCTTAAGTAATGAACTTTGTTCAATAACAACCAGTTTTCTACCACGCAAGACCAACCTCAAAATCACCTAGCCCAGGTCCTAAAACTTTATGAATATCCTCTCCTGACTTCTCCCTTGTGAGATATTACTAAGACACAGTCAAAGTGGGTTTTCTCTTACTGTAATAAGCTAATAAACAGCTTTGTTTGATCAACAGGTTTTTCTGGCAGTCTATGGAGTAGACATCAGAGAGAAAGAAAATTCAACACAGACAAGGATCAGAGAGTATCTCAGAGAATAGCAGAAATAGGAATATAAGAAGTGACAGCAGTTTGGGGGGAATAATGAGAAATTTAGTTTTACTATGCTAGAAGTAATGAAGATTGAAATTCTGGAGAGCCATTCAGAAGTCATATCCATAGAGATGACTGCTTTAAATCTGGGGGATGATAAAAGAAAACTGTACAGAGAAAAGTATAATGTTTCCTATACTAATCCTATAAATAAGGAATAGAAATGATTTTACTAACCCGCTTACCATTCAGAAGACAGAAACTAAAAAAAAACTATCTTAAAAACAACTGCTTAGCAGAAAACGCCATTCTTCTTGAGTAAATGCCAATGTGGTGTGTATAAAAATGGAGTGAGAGCAGCACATAGAGACTAAACAGTTATTCAAACGGCAGCGTTTGAAGTAAGAGGTTAAAAAACACCAAAGTCACTAAGGAGGGAAACTACTACACTTGTTTCCCCTCCCACAGCAGGTAACAACTGATTAATAATTTAAAAACTCAAATCTCCTTCAATTCATTTGTGAATGTCTTTATCCCATTAGATTGGGTTACTTCACAATTAGAAAGGTCATACAGCAATTTCTTCCAAGATTTAATGACACACTTCAGAGTAATAAAATCAGTTTGTCCAGAAAAAAAAAATCCAGCTTTTAAAACTCCATGTACCTAGAAAATCAAATACATTTAAAATCCAGAAAATACTGTGAGATTGTAGTAGATTTTATTTAGACACAATACATCTTCATCTTCACAATATCAGATAATGTTAGAACGTGGAATATTCTCAAGATAAATAAAAAGAGAAACACATTTAAAAATTGTTCCTACCCACCCCATCCCCAACCCTGGTAAGTAACTATCCACATATTCTACAAAGCAAAGCTTCTTCATGCAGTGTCCACCAGAAACAAGCACCACCACCTGTTCCTAAAATAGCTCGTGGTGAAAGAGAAGAAAATGAGAAAGCTGGCGACGTGACTAACACACTGTGCAGGGAAGTGCTCTACAACTACTGGCATGCAGTGACCGTCAAGCAGGTGAACAGAGGCTAGAACACTGAAAGGAGCTGAATGCTCCAAGCAGAAAGCCCAACTTCCTGGTTCATCTCAGTAAAAGTTCCCAGTGTAAAAGAAGTCTATCACCAAAAGGACTAAGGGTTGTTACAAAGGAAACTCTCAGAAACAAAACAGCAGTCATAATGCCAAAGTTTTTCTGCAAACAATAAATCTATGTATACTAGACAAAGCAGGACTTTTCATCAAAATTAGTTTGTTCCATTACATAATTTCGTATTTAACTGTTAATCAGATAACACAGTATATTTCCTTATTTATAACTCAAATACAGGGCACCTCCAAAATGCTATTATTTTATTCTACACTGAAGATTTTGGCTCTAATTATACATATTATCAGATACACAGAATGTTTCCAATTTCTATAATCCTACAGTTCGGCTCAGGTTAATGACTCATTTATCTAATCAGGGGACTTGTTTTGCATTTTTCTCTTTTTGTTGTTGTTGTTTTTGCCTTCATAAAACATCACTTTTGTCACTTAAAAACTGGGTCTACCTCCAACAAAAGATAAAAGACAACGAGAGTATTCTGGACAATAGGAGAAATTTCAATTAATTAGATCTTTGACAATTCAAACAGCTTAAAACAGTTCAAAGATAGAATATTTAATGAGTCAAATAAAGACCATTCTAAAATTTTTCTCTGATAATTGACAGACACTAAAGAATATTAGAGAGCTCAGTTACAGATATGTATGGAAATAAAATGTTATTTCACTCTACTTCATCAGTGATGTTCTGGTTCATATTAGACATACGGTCTTTATCTTATATATTTCTAGGACAATTCCAAAATAAAATTCTTTGCATTAATATACCCATCAATATACTATAATACTTGTCAAACCACATATACACCTGATTTGGGCTGAGAAGATGATATAGTTATATTCTTAGCTTAAAATGGTGCAGCTTTATTCAAACACAACACCAATGTTATATTGTGTGATTAATACAAATTCACATTACATATAGCCTTCTATTTGGCTGGGTTGGTCCAGGAAGACACTTTTTGCTCACTATATGTTTTAAAATTCATGTTTATTTCTTATTAGTGGAAAGTGAGGTGGAGGAAGAAAGTTTACAGGCAAAAAATGTAAAAGTGCATTGTAGCTAAAAGCTACTGGATTATTTTAGACCAAGGATCAGTAAACTAAACCACGGATCAGTAAACTATGGCCAACAGGTCAAATACAATCCACTGTCTGTTTTTGCAGTTTTATTACAAGACGGTCATGCCCATTTGTTTACTTAGTGTCTATGGCTGCTTTCACACTACAGTGGGTGAGTTAAGTAGTTAAGTTAGGTAGTTGCAATAGAGACTATATGACCCACAAAGTCTAAAATATTTGTTATCTGGCCGTTTACAGAAAAAATGTAAGGACCACTGCTCTAGACCTTTTAGGATACAACATGGAAAATTTCTACATTAGTGCCAAGTCAAATAATCTTAATTTTGCCTAATTTGTGGCTTTTTAAAGTGCCCTTTATTTGAGTTCTATTAAATTAAGGTTTAGCTTAGTTGCTGTGTTCACTGAGGTTTCCCATGCACAAACCATTACATGGGAAGAAGCTGTGAAGGTTAGCTTTAGATTAGCAAAGACTATTTCCATCAGATTTGCTTGCTATTTTTCTTATATTGCTGTAAAATTACCATTTCGGAGTCACTGTGAGAGGCCTGACCCAGGCTGGGTGCAGGCCCTAGCTCACAGTGAGAAGCTTGGTCAAGGGAGAGAAGGGGCTCAATAATGTCATCGTAATCATCTTCCTCTGTATCCCCCTCCCCATCGGCAAAAGTACCTCTAGTCAAGAAATCGGAGCGCGTCCGCGCCATTCGAGCTTTCTTTTTATGGGCCGGTCTGGCAACCTGCTTGACCAAATGATAAAACAAATAACACAACAATGTTTGGGGTTTTTGTTCTTTTTGAGATGATGCCAATGAAAGACATCAGAGGGCTCATGAATTTCTTGAAATATCCCTCCACCCAACCATGCCCTTTCCACTAGCAGAAGTGACAGGGATGACCAAAAGGAATCTGTATACATTACTCTGGATGAAGGACTAGAATGGAAGCTAAATCTACACTGTTCTACATAGCCAAAGAAGTCATCTTTCACTGCCATAGTAAGTCAACAAAGTCTCTTGCACAAATTGCCTTCTTTTTCTTAGCAACTGGGTTTTTAGGCACCATTCCCTGCCTGGAGTACACCTTCATAATTATAACAATCTCCGCTCATGGCTTCTTTCTCTAAAAACACTTGGGAGTAAATGGGTAGATGAGGTGCTCTACCTACAAGAATAATAATTTCCAAAATAATGTACATCTCTTTTGTATAGAAGATAGATAAACAAAAACTCAAAACTTACCTCTCTTTGGCCTGGCCCAGCTAACTTCACAGGTTTCCATGCTGGTTCATCTTCTTTATGGAGTTGAGGATTTTTACTGTTTAAGGCTTCTTTGCTGACACTTTAAATAAAACAATGAAATTACATTTCAGTTCTTAGCAGATATCCCATGGCAGCCAGGTTAAAGACTTCCAGCAAATTCCATAAATATTTTCAGATCTTAGTCAATTCCCAAGACAATTAAGTCATATTTTTTCTGCTTAGCTAATTAGTAATAATAATCCTGAACCTACGCATAAGACTGAATTACTAAAGGCCTTGTCCTGATGATCAGTGGGTATATTCCACTATGAATATGACATATGTTTAAGAATAGTAGCTGCAAAATAAACTCAAGAAATAAAATAGATCTGATGATGGGGAAAGGAAAATACCAAACCCCTGAATCTTTAGAATACTAGTCTTACAAGGGGCCTTTCCATCTAATCATTATAAAATACCTGAAAAATAGCCATCCAGGGATGAGGATCTCATTATATTTTATACTGAGATGGTTCTTATTGGTTAGAAAACTCCTTCTGAAATCTCTCTTTGTAGTTTTCATCCACTGTCTTTGAGTTTTAAAACTTGACGTTGAGGCTGGGTGCAGTGGCTCATGCCTGTAAACCCAGCAGTTTGGGAGGCCGAGGCAGGCGGATCACCTGAGGTCAGGAGTTTGAGACCAGCGTGGTCAACATGGCAAAACTCCGTCTCTACCAAAAATATAAAAATTAGCTGGGTGTGGTGGCAGGTGGCTGTAGTCCCAGGTACTTGGAAGGCTGAGGTAGGAGAATCACTTGAACCCAGGAGGCAGAGGTTGCAGTGAGCCAAGATCGTGCCACTGCACACTCTAGCTTGGGTGACAAGAGTGAAACTGTCTCAAAAAAACCAAAAAACAAACAAACAAAAAGCTTGATGTTGAATAGCCTAAAATCAACACTGGCAGGGTAAGAAATTGTTATCAAACTAAAAGTATGCTCCAGACAATACAGGTGTTACAGTGTTAGCTTATGAAAATTTAATTTTGATTGAAAAACTGTATGATGAGAATGCTTTATCATTAAATTCTGGGCAGAAATAGATGCCAGAATCTGATGAAAAAGTGTATATAACCTTCATGGCCCCAATTACCTATATTAACTCAGTACCATGAGTCTCATCAACAACATATTGATAATCTCTCCTGAGCAGAACTGTAAGCTCCTTGAGAATCATATCTTACTTCCAAGGATAGTGCTAGCTAAAATTAGACACTAACTTATGATACTAGTTGGTAGATTAATTGTTCTTCCATTCAAAATCTTTCATTTAATTTTTATAAAAGTAAGTCTAGGAGCCATAAGAAATTATCTTGCCCTTTGCCTCTATGCAATAAGCCCGAAACAAACACAAATAGATGCAATCTTTGCTAGCTATAGGCTTCTTAGAGATCTCCCTTTTTGAGCAATGTATGTACAATGTGTATAAGCCTAGCAATCCTAGCTTGTTCTAAAGGATTCTCTTCTGGCTATCAAAATCTCTCTTGCCACAGTTGAGCCTATTGGACCTTCATTTATCCTCCAAAGAGAAACAACAATTAATAGGATCTTGATAGTACTTGACCACTGCAATTAACCTTTTAACTCACAACATTTTCTTTAGACTTCACCATGAATTCTTTTTGTCCTTTCTCATTAAACAGTTAAAAACTACTGTGTACTCATCACCACTACAGTACAAAAGGGACACTAACCTAGTATTACTTTCTAATTATAAAACCCAATGCCGATCCTTAATGATGAAATGCAAGTTCTAGTCCCAGCCATTTCTCTAAATACATGATCTTGAATAAGTCATTTCACCTCTATGGGCCCCAGTGACCTTATCTGTAACATGTGGGAACTGGATTACATAATTCAGAAGCACCAGCATTTATGATTCTACAAAATGTTAATGTTTCTAATATTACTTATACAACAGGATGAGATTTAAAGTATGAATTTTATCTGTAGAGTTTAATATAATCTAATATATAATAATTTTAAAGATAAGTAGATCATTAATAAAGCAATAAAAGAAATCAACTCAAATACACCTACAACTATGTATCTTGGAAAAATAAGATAAATATTTCACAAGGATGATTAATATTTTTTAGAATCCACAATTTGTTTTTTACAAAACAAATTCATGGATCCAACAGCTACTTTATAAGTGTATACACCTATAATACATACACACACATAAATGTCATAATTAATAGACATTAAAGAATATTAAAGAGCTCACTTACAGATATGCATGGAATACCATGTATCACTAAACTTAGAATGACAGGGAATATGTTTTTAACACTCTCTTATGGATGCATATGCTACACAGAGTCTTTGAACTTCTGGGAAATCTGTAGGTTAATGGGTGGGAATAATACTTAAAACTGTCATTAAGCTCAACTGCACTTTGTAATACTATAGAGACTCTTGGAAAAATATATTATTGATCATCTCTTGCCCACATTTACAAAGGATTTCTCTAAAATCCATATGAAATTTTAAAGGGTGGAACATTTAAATGTTTGGGTTATATATAAAAGGAGAGAAAAGGTTATTTTCATTGTTAATGTAAAATTTATTTTTAACCCAAAGATACAGCCCTCCTTTCATTTCAATGATGACATTCTCCATAAGAACCAAAAGAATCTACCAAATATAAAGATAATACAAGTATCTTCAATTTTGTTAAATTTGTTTTTACGTACCACTTAAAAATGCTTTTCTCATGACTACCTCTAGTTTAAAAAAGTATAAAGAAATTCTACTTACGGCTGGGTGCGGTGGCTCACACCTGTAATCCCAGCAATTTGGGGGGCAGAGGCAGGTGGATCACCTGAGGTCAGGAGTTCGAGACCAGCCTGACAAATATGGTGAAACCCCATCTCTACTAAAAATACAAAAATTAGCCAGGCATGGTGGCGTGCACCTATAGTCCCAGCTACTCGGGAGGCTGAGACAGGAGAACTGCTTGAGCCTAGGAGGCAGAGGTTGCAGTTAGCTGAGATCACACCACTGCACTCCAGCCTGGGTGACAGAGTGAGACTCCATCTTAAAAAAAAAAAAAAAATTTCATTTCTATTTATATGAAGTATAAAAAGTAAACTCTTGGAAACAGAAAGTAGAATGATGGTTGCCAGGGGCTACAAGGAAAAGCAGAGTTGTTCAATGGGTACAGAGTTTTATTTTACAAGAAGAAAAAGTTCTAGAGATCTTTTGCAAAACAATGTATATACAGTTAACACTACTGTACTATATTATTTAAAAATGGTTAAGATGGGAAATTTTATGTTATGTGTTTATCACATACAAAGAAGTATAATGAACGTAATGATGACCATAAATAGGCCAACAGCTGTAACAAAACAAATTAACTTCTTTAAAGCCTGAAACAAACAACCTTCAACTACTAAACTTCACAGCTGTAAAGCAACCAGTATTCGGTGAATGCCTACTATGTTTATAGGCACTGTACTGCCCTTCACAAATGCTTCTCACTTAATGGGGAGGAACCCAGTATTTACTCTGCTATTCATGATCAGTCAAGGATTCCTAGGATATAACTACATCCAACTTCAGGTGATGGTAGAGTCAACAATTAGGGAATATTTTTACAAAGAGAAAATGGCCAAGTTGAGCAGCCACTTTACACAAATAGTTGGAGCAGAACAAGGCACCTTAATAAAAATACTCCAAGAAGTTTCCCATTTATACATAAATAAACATTTCACTTACAGGGGAATACTCATATTGTCCTTTGGAGTGAAGAAAATGGGCCTAGCATTTCCCTCTCTGGAAAGGTCATCAGAATTGTGGCTGTAAGACTGAGTTGGCCTAAAGTGTTCTCTTTTTGAAATGCGATTATTTGAGAGTTTACAGGCTACATTCAGCTGGGTGCCCATTCTGTCTGTCTTGGATAATTCCTTGACAGTACTAGATTGGCATGGACTTCCTTTTCTTTCAAAGAACACGGTGACAGGTCGGTCCTTTGGGGGTAAGTGAGCAGAGGAACTGTCTTTTTGGGCAAGAGCTGCATCTTTTAATGATAGGGACCCCAGTACATTAAGTTCTCCCTTATTTGAGGTATTTAAGCTGAGGAGAGAGGATGGCCTCTCTACTCTTTGCTTTGACTGATAGGAAGATGGTGCCACCAAACACTCTCCAATTCTTGGCTTTTCAATTGTCTTGAAGGCTTTGCGCTCCTTCTCTAAAATATCTGTTTGCTGGCGAATCTGTTCCATCATCTCTTTTTCATTCTGTTGCTGCAACTGTTTTTGCCTTTCTTCCTTCTCAGTGTTTAGCTTTTCTAACTTCTTAAGCACAGGATTAGAAGACTCTGTATTCAAAGAAGGAACAATCTGATCTTTTCCTGAGCAGTGATACCTTCTAGTTTCCCTGTTGATATCCAAAGTAAGAGCTTCCCCCGCTGTGTCTTCATTTTCCAATAGTTTGTTTCTTTGGATACTTGTGTCTAGTTGGGAATTTGTTTTCAGTGGGTCTTGTTGGGGGATATAAAAAAAAGTAGGTAGACTATTTGAAATGAAGGAGTCTTTCAGCTGTGGTTTACAGGTAATAGACTCAGAACTGCAGACCACCATTTCCTTCATAGTTCCATCCTTCAAATGCTCTGCACTGCTAGTCTCATTTGAGGCACTGAGGGCATTGTCCCGTGAATCAAATTTTGGACTGCTGGATATCTTAGGTGATGGAAACTGCAAGTCTCCTTCATCTGAAATGACAGACTCTAGTTTGCTCTTTTGGCTTTCCTCATAGCTCAGAAGTTCCAAGCTTCCTTGAGAGCTCTCACTATCAGGTGTACCCCGTGGAGACTGAAGGCCTTCAGGCACCAATTCTGTAGACCATCTGCGATCCTCTGAAGGAGAAATACCACCAAGAGAACGAACTTTCAGCAATTCTAAGCTAAATATAGCTTGCTCTAGTTCTCTCATTCTCCTACTTTCTCTCTTAGCCCGGCCTACTTTTTTCTGATGGAGATCCTCCAAGGATCTGGGTCTCTCTCTTACAAGCACATCTTCCTGCAAGTCCACACCACTCTGGCTTTGGGCTCTCTCCTGCTGCTTGTTTGGTGACTCCTTCAAGCAGTCCACTGAACTTTCACGGCTAATTCGATTACTCTCTATTACAGATTTACATTCCTCTATGGCTTTTATTCTGTTGTCAAAAGAACAATCCTCCCATCCTGAAGGGTCTGAACCCTGAATTTCCAGAGATCCATATCCCTTAATATTCACCAATCCAACTTCTGGCTTTGTTTCTCTTAGCCTTTGTTCTTTTAAAGCTTTAAATCTATATAAAAACAGACAAAATGGGTTATAGAAATATCTTAGTTACCACTGAAAATAACATATTTCCTGAGAATTTAAGAAAAAATGCAGAGTTGTAAAATCTTTTTATAATACCTAAGTTCTTCTTAAACTAACTTGAATGCACATTTCATAATTTTCCTATTTCCATGAGTCAGATGATATTTCATTAAGTGTATTACTTCTACCTAGGCATTTCAGTCAAAATGTAAACTAATTCAGAAGTAAAGCTCTCATTTTAATAATGCCTTTATTTTAAAGTAAACCTCAAATTAAAGTGAAATTTTAAGTGTGAAATTAAAGTGAAATTTTAATTTAAGTGTGAAATTAAAGTTTCTGAAAGTAACAACAGTTGAATATTGCCAATTTTATAAGATTCAGCCTAATGTAGAAGTTAATTCTTAGCAGTTATGATCACAGACCATGTAGATTTTCAATCCAATTTAATTCAATAAAACCTTATTTAACTTCCATTATAGACAATACAATGTGGGTTAAAATCGGTATCACAGTATAGTGGAAAAGACAAATTGTATACAACCAATTCTAATACAAATTAGACAAGTGTTAATGCAGAGGTATAAACAAAGTACTTGGGAAGAAGAAAAAAAGCAATTATTATAGTAATAGAGATTACCTTTGTCTTGCTCTGAATCCTCTACATGTTGATTGCAAAAGGATAATTTTTTTCCTTTGTTCTTGGTACCTTTTACTTTCCCTGTAGGCTTTCCATCTTGCTTGTATGCAAATAGCAGCCATGTGCCTGCGCCTATAGTAATCTCTCCATTTCTGCTGGATAACGATGGCTGCAGCCCGTAACTCCAAGTACCGCTGCCTCTCTAAGTGAGCACGCCAGGAAGCTTGGAGAAGAGCAGCTGCACTAGCCATAACAAAAGCATCCTTCTGCACAGCTGCATCTCTGACTTGCTTCTGATTTAGGTAATTCCTCCAGAATCTCTATGGGGAAGACAAAATAACAGAAACTGGTTGTCATATCTTACACTGCATTTTCACAGGAAAAAAAGAGAATAAATTTCTTATGTCATAATTACAGGTTAAGTGGCTATGCAGCTAAATTCTTGGTGATTAAAAATAAGTTTTCTGGCCAGGTGCGGTGGCTCATGCCTGTAATCCCAGCACTTTTGGAGGCTAAGGCAGGCAGATCATGAGGTCAGGAGATAGAGACCAACCTGGCTAACATGGTGAAACCCCGTCTCTACTAAAAATACAAAAAAAATTAGCTGGGCGTGGTGGTGGGTGCCTATAGTCCCAGCTACTCAGGAGGCTGAGGCAGGAGAATGGCGTGAACCTGGGAGCTGGAGCTTGCAGTGAGCAGAATTCACGCCACTGCACTCCAGCCTGGGTGACAGAGTGAGACTCTGTCTCAAAAAAATAAAAATAAAAAAACTAGTTTTCTACAAAAGCAGAAAGTGTACCTGAAAAAGATAAATAGAAAAAAGTTTTCTCTTCCAGATATGTTTGGCTAAAACAGCTATTTTAAATAATATAACCTTGAAGAAGTTAATTACAGAACCTAATTTAAAATTTTTGGATGATTTCATGTCCTTCAAATTATTAGTAACTTTAACATATTATATTCTTTTGTTACAATTTTCCTAAATAACACTAATGGGTTTAAGGTAATCCTGACACACATTCCAAAGATGAAGATACTAAAGATTTTCTTGCACAAATGGAAAAGATCTTATGGAAATGATATAAATCAATGAGGGAGTTAATAAAACAAATAAAATGTAAAATAAGGTACCTATCATCCAAAATGAGTGTCTAAAACCAACGGTATATATACAACTCTCAAACATCACTCCAAAAACTATTAAATAAAAACAACTATGTCAACAAATATTAGGTAACTCCTTAGCCCCTACACAGATCTCACAAGACATTATAACTACAAATTCAATTTAATTTAAATTCAATGGAATCAATATTTATTAATAGTCTATTATATGCCAGATAATCTGTTGGGTGTTATGAGCACTTCAAAATTGGGTACGACATATTCTCATTTCTGAAGTTCACATTATTACTGAAAATGTTTTACAGTAAAAAGGTTCTGGTTACTAAACAAAGGCCAAATAAACTAGTCAATCTCATGCAAAGAATCCTTTGCTTCTCACCTGGATAATAACAGATGCTTGTCTCAGATGGAGGAAATGCTGCCTACACAGCAAGACCCTGAACCATCGCTGCAACAATATGATTCTGCGGAGCACCTCTTGGTGAAGCAGATCTTGTAAGTGCTGTCGTTCCTGCTCCTTTAGAAAGACCTACCAAAAGGAAGAAAGATGAGGAATGCAGCTTAAGAAGAAATGAGAAATTTATTTCATGAATCATCCTTTCTGTGATAAGCTTTTAGAGAAGAACAAACACAGTGGCAGGCATGTAAATGAAGTACTGATAAATATTCCTACAGATTTATCCAAAGTAGTCATTCTCAAATTGAAATGGAGATAGTAGAATACGGAAGGTGAGCTGGGTGTGGTGCTACATGCCTATACTCCTAACTACTGAGAAGGCTGAAACAGGAAGTTTGCTGAAGCCCAGGAGTTCCAGTTCTACGGCAAAATAGAGAGACCTGGTCTCCAAAAAAAAAAAAGACAAAAAAAGGAAGGTAAGGAAGGGAGGAAGGGAGGGAAAAATGACAAGGTGAGCAAGAATATCAAAATTCCAGTGCCAGAGATTATGATACATTAGTCCATTGGGGAAACCACTGCTATGAGTAAATGTATTACTGGTAATAAGTCATATTTTTCAAGCGTGTTGGGATGGGGAAAAAAGTTGAAAACCATAGATCTTGAAGCTTGAATCATATAATGAATAAACCAATGATAACAGTCTTTTTGAAATCCAGCGTGCATTAAAAGCTTCTCACTGTCCAAAGTTATTAATAAGTTTATTTTATTTACTCCTTCATTCCACTAATGTTTAGGGTTTGTGAGGCTGCAAAGGTGAAGGAGACATATCCCTTTAGAAACAGGAATTATACCTCTCATTTGAGAGCAGGTAGATATTATATACCCGAAGAGGAAGATGGTAAACTAATAAGGGCCAGAGACAAAAGATCCCACCTGAGTAACACAGAGAGTTGAAAATAATAATAAAGGCATGCACAGGAGACAACGGGACAATTAATCTCCATAAAAAAGATATTAAGTAATGTGAAGCCACAATATGAAGGTTCTCAAAAAAGAGAAAGATGTTTGGATTTAATGAGGAGGTTATCAGGAGGTTATTATCAAGCAGGAGGCAGACATAAAGAACTAAGTATATTAAGATAATAATTTTAATATTATGAGTAGAATAAATTAAATGGAATGACAAATATACTAGAATCAGATAAGTAAGCTGTTCACTGTATAAGCAATGTAGATGAGAAGAGATAAGGAATAAAAATAAAATGGAAGCAGTAGTAATGGAGAAACAGAAAGCGATGTAAGAATCTCTTTGTAAAAGGAAAAAAAATCCCTAAAACTTTGTGAAAGGATTAAAGTGAACGGTATGCCAAAGACAATTATGGTTTCTAGACTGAGAAACTGGAAAAAGGGTGACAGAGAAAGAAAGTATTTGATAAATTTAAGAACAGATGAATCTGGATATGGTCACCTTGGGCAAGCTGGCTTGGAGATTACAGTAGAGTATCTATGGAGAGATGATTTTTAGGCAGTTAAAATTATAGTCAGAACTAGAGCACTGGCCAGAGCTCTGTGATTAATATTGACTACATAATTAAATAAAAACCTGGGCCTAACCAATTGTCTTCTGATATCTGATTCACTATCTTTTTAATAAACAATCTCATAGGCAAAAATTATTATTTTTTAAATAAATGCACTCAATTTTGACCAGAGCTATACAGATTATATTTACCATGGTTTTTCCAACTTGATAATTATCTGGATTAAGATTTATTTTCCTGAAGAAATCCTGAATGTTAAATTTGGATGGAATAATATTTCGGGGAAGAAGTACATGGAAGTGGCTCACAAAATCCTGAAAAATAATTTAAAAATATTGTAAAATCAGAAAACAGTGTATGTAAACAAGACCTTAAACTAATTATCATTCTATTAATCTTTTCTCTTTCTTTTAAACAGGGTGAAACCAAGACGTGCATGTTAATTTAAGATATGATAAAAGGTTAATTCGGAAAACATAGGAGGTGGAGAAAGATATTGGGTTCTACATATCATGACATCAAAAGGGAATGAGAGAAAAAAAAGGCAGAGGCTAATTATCCCTTTTGAGAAAGCTTTATAAAAGACCAAAGAAAAGGGTATTTAACAAGACCCTAAAATTTCTATCAGGAAAAAAAAAGCAAACGTGGCAGGATGGGGACAGGGTATCACTGAGAATGAGGCTTTCCGTCCCAGTAACAGCAAAGACTTGCTCAGTTGCTGAACAGCTTCAATATAGTTTCCATACCCATAGCAGCAATTGCTGATACGAGTAGCTGTGAGCCTTGCTGGCAGCTTACTATGAAAGAAAATCCTGCTGAGAAAACTTTAGGGAAAACCAAATAGAATCTTTTCACTAGATAATTCTCATTGAACTATTTCAGTTACTGGAGAGGTCAGTGCAAAGAATTGTTATATCAGGAGTAAATTTAGTATTAGCAAACATTCCGAGCAAATGAGAATAGCCAAGTACTGGATTCTATTACAATAAGCTTAATGAGATTGCTGCCATTCAATCAAAGTAAATACTGTCTATCCCTTTTCAATTCCGTATACAAAACGTGAAATGGAAAGGAAGAATTAAGGAAAATAAGTAAGCCCCAAAGAAATAATAAGCAAGATATGTGGGAATCATTTACTTGATGTGTCTAAATATGTAAATATCACTATAAAAACAGAACCTGGAAAGAATATTTGGAGCTGTATCCTGATTGGCGAATTCGAACTGTTTCCAGCATCCCGGTGTATCGAAGCTGTCTAAGTACCAAGACATCACTGAACCTTAAGGGCAGCTAAAGCAAATGGAAAAAAGATTAACCCAGAACAGTAGATCTCCAAATTAATTATCTGTTTATAAGCATGACTAACTGTTGAGTATCTAGAGATTGACTGGAGGTTGTCTGGTTAACATATACAGTAACTAAGTATATTAAGGCAAGCTCACCTCTCAGCTGGTAGCTTCAGAAAAGTTCTGACTGCCCAACCCTAGGGAAAAGAGAGAAACCAAGCTTCCAGGCTTCTCTGGTTGTGAAGAGAGAGGACCTTAAAGGCTCAAAAAGAATGTAGTCACCCACAGAGGCCACATAGTCCAATCACTACAAAATCTGTAACAAGATAACCTACAACTGGGTGTAGTGGCTCACGCCTATAATCCTAGCACTTTGGGAGGCCAAGGTGGGCTGATCACCTGAGGTCAGGAGTTCAAGACCAGCCTGGCCAACATGGCAAATCCTTGTCTCTACTAAAAATACAAAAATTAGCCGGGCGTGGTGGTGCACACCTGTAGTCCCAGCTACTCAGGAGGCTGAGGCAGGAGAACTGCTTGAAACCAGGAGGCGGAGATTACAGTGAGCTGAGATCATGCCACTGCACTCCAGCCTAGGTGACACAGTGAGACTCTGCCTCAAAACAAAAACAAAAACAAAAAAGAAAATTCTTTTCTGACAGGACTTCAAGAGGTATTTGCTTCTCAAATTCTGGGTGATGCTAAATCAAATCCAAATAAACACCTTACAGGCAGGGAAGTGTGGAAAAATCCATTTAAAGTGTTTATAACATACTATTTTCCTTATAAATATTATAGTTAGTGCTTCCCCTCCACTTATTCTGCTTAAAAGTATTTAAAGCTCAGTTTGAAGTAAGCTGAGATATGTGCTCTCATTTATAGGACATTTTTACCTTTTCAGCATTAGAGCGAATGCATTTTACAAAATATGGTTCTGCTTGACCAAGTGTTTCCATTAGCTTGCTTAATGATGCCTGCAACAGAAAGCAATATAATTATCATACTCTTCCATTCCAAACTATTAACAAATAATTTATAACTATAATCAACATGCTGGCAAAACATTCAAAAAGTAGAGGTACACATAGAAAGAGGTTTTTGAAAAGCACATTGTGTATATTCTCATACTGGTTAAATTATGGATAATTAAGGATAAAGATGGTAGTTTAATATTAAAGCAGATAGCCTGGAAATAGTAAATATTGCAGATGTTTTCAGAACAATCAAATATAGAATTTTTTTCACTTTTCTTCACATTTCATCAAACAATTTTATTCAAACTCATGTATCCTACAACTTTTAAAATGATTCAGGAGGGTATCCAGTAAGGTAGTAAGCCCTTGCTTTACTTTAAATGTCTACAAAGTATGTAATGATATCCCTTTTTTTATTCCTGATAATGGTAATTTGCACATTCTCTCTTTCTTCCTGATTAGTGGCTAGAAATTTATCAACTTTTTGATTTGCTCAGCCCAGGCATGGTGGCTCACGCCTATAATCCCAGCATTTTGGAGGGCCAAGGAGGGCAGGATCACCTGAGGTCAGAAGTTTGAGACCAGCCTGGCCAACATGGTGAAACCCCATCTCTACTAAAAAATACAAAAATTAGCCAGGCGTGGTGGTGCCCGGCTGAGGCATGAGAATTACTTAAACCTGGGAGGTGGAGGTTGCAGTAAGCCAAGATGGTGCCACTGCACTCCAGCCTGCGCAACAAAGTGAGACTCTGTCTCAAAAAAAAAAAAAAAAAAAAAAAAAATTTGGATCTGCTTAAAGAACCAGCTTTTGGTGTCAGTGTTTTGTCTATTTTTCTGTTTTTCATTTCATTGAATTCTGCTGTTATCTTTATTATTTACTTTTCTCTGCTTGTATTGGGTTTCATATATTCTTTTTATAGTTTATCGAGGTAGAAATTTAGATTATTGAATTGAGACATATCTCCTTTTCTAATAAAAGCATTTAGTGCTATAAATTAACCTTGGAGCACTGCTTTAGCTGCATTGCACAAATTTTGATATTTCATTCTATTTAAAATATTATAAAATTTTCCTTCCTCTAAAATATGTATTATTTAGAAGTCGCTTTTACATATTCTAAATATTTGGGGATTGATGTCTTTCTTTGATTTCTGGTTTAATTCTATTATAAATACAACATTTTGTATGATTTTAACTCAAAATTGTTAAGGTTTTATGGCCTAGTTTACGATCTACCTTGGCAAGTATTTCATGGGCACTTAAAATAAATGCATATTCTGCAATTGTTGGCTAGGGTGTTCTACAAATTTCAGTTAGGTCAAGTAGGTTAATTGTTCTATTTAAGTCTTCCATATCCTTCCTAATTGCCTACTTACCCTGTCAATTACCAAGAGGTATGCTGAAGTTTCCAAGCATAACTGCAGATTTGTCCATTTTTCTTTTAATTCTATCAGTTTTTGGTTCAGATATTTGGGAGTTCTGTTATTAGATGAATATACATGTAAGACTTGGTAAATTGCACCTTTTATCACTATGAAATTATCTCCCTTTATCCTTGGTAATTTTCTCTGTTCTGAAGTCTACTTTGTCTGACTCTACTATAGTCACTATAGCTTTCTTTTGGTTTTTGTTCGCATGGTTTATTTTTTTTCATTTTTTAACCCTTTAGTATCATTGTATTTAAAGAGGTTTCTTGTAGATAACATACAGTTAGGTCTTATTTTATCCAATCAGATAATATCCATTTCTTTCTTTTTTTTTTTTTTTTTTTTCCTGAGACAGTGTCTCGCTCTGTCACCCAGGCTGGAATGCAGTGGCACGATCTCGGCCTACTGCAAGCTCTGCCTCCCGGGTTCACGCCATTCTCCTGCCTCAGCCTCCCGATTAGCTGGGACTACAGGCCCCACCACCACACCCGGCTAATTTTTTTTTTCTTTTTTTTTTTTATTATTATACTTTAAGTGTTAGGGTACATGTGCACAATGTGCAGGTTAGTTACATATGTATACATGTGACATGCTGGTGCGCTGCCCCCACTAACTCGTCATCTAGCATTAGGTATATCTCCCAATGCTATCCCTCCCCCCTCCCCCTACCCCACAACAGTCCCCAGACTGTGATGTTCCCATTCCTGTGTCCATGTGATCTCATTGTTCAATTCCCACCTATGAGGGAGAATATGCGGTGTTTGGTTTTTTGTTTTTGCGATAGTTTACTGAGAATGATGATTTCCAATTTCATCCATGTCCCTACAAAGGACATGAACTCATCATTTTTTATGGCTGCGTAGTATTCCATGGTGTATATGTGCCACATTTTCTTAATCCAGTCTATCATTGTTGGACATTTGGGTTGGTTCCAAGTCTTTGCTATTGTGAATAGTGCCGCAATAAACATACGTGTGCATGTGTCTTTATAGCAGCATGATTTATAGTCCTTTGGGTATATACCCAGTAATGGGATGGCTGGGTCAAATGGTATTTCTAGTTCTAGATCCCTGAGGAATCGCCACACTGACTTCCACAATGGTTGAACTAGTTTACAGTCCCACCAACAGTGTAAAAGTGTTCCTATTTCTCCACATCCTCTCCAGCACCTGTTGTTTCCTGACTTTTTAATGACTGCCATTCTAACTGGTGTGAGATGATATCTCATTGTGGTTTTGATTTGCATTTCTCTGATGGCCAGTGATGGTGAGCATTTTTTCATGTGTTTTTTGGCTGCATAAATGTCTTCTTTTGAGAAGTGTCTGTTCATGTCCTTCACCCGCTTTTTGATGGGGTTGTTTGTTTTTTTCTTGTAAATGTGTTTGAGTTCATTGTAGATTCTGGATATTAGCCCTTTGTCAGATGAGTAGATTGCAAAAATTTTCTCCCATTTTGTGGGTTGCCTGTTCACTCTGATGGTAGTTTCTTCTGTTGTGCAGAAGCTCTTTAGTTTAATTAGATCCCATTTGTCAATTTTGGCTTTTGTTGCCATTGCTTTTGGTGTTTTAGACATGAAGTACTTGCCCATGCCTATGTCCTGAATGGTAATGCCTAGGTTTTCTTCTAGGGTTTTTATGGTTTTAGGTCTAACGTTTAAGTCTTTAATCCATCTTGAAATGATTTTTGTATAAGGTGTAAGGAGGGGATCCAGTTTCAGCTTTCTACATATGGCTAGACAGTTTTCCCAGCACCATTTATTAAATAGGGAATCCTTTCCCCATTGCTTATTTTTCTCAGGTTTGTCAAAGATCAGATAGTTGTAGATATACAGCGTTATTTCTGAGGGCTCTGTTCTGTTCCATTGATCTATATCTCTGTTTTGGTACCCGGCTAATTTTTTTTTGTATTTTTAGTAGAGACGAGGTTTCACCGTGTTAGCCAGGATGGTCTCAATCTCCTGACCTCGTGATCTGCCTGCCTCGGCCTCCCAAAGTGCTGGGATTACAGGCGTGAGCCTGTGCCCGGCCGATAATATCCATTTCTTAATTGGACTGTTTAGAGCATTTACATTGTTAATAATTAGTATGATTGGATTTAGGGCTACCAATTTTATTACTGGCCTTCTGTTTGTCCTCTCTCATTTGTTCCTCCCTTCCTCCTCTTACTCCCTGTCTGTTTAAAATAGACTTTTGGAGCAGTTTTAGGTTCACAGCAAAAATGAGCAGAACATAGAATTCCCATATGCCCCTTTACCCTCACATGCACAATTTCCCCTATAATTAACATCTTGCATTAGTGTGTTATATGTGATGAACCAATACTGACATGATTATTAACTACAGTCCATAATATGCATTAGGGTTCACTCTTTATGTTGCACATTCTCTGGGTTTAAACAAATATATAGACATTTATTCACCATTGCAGTATCATACAGATTAATTTGACTAACCTAAAGTCCTCTATGCTCTGCCTACTCATCCTCCCCCAACTAGATCCTGGCGACTACTGATCTTTTTTACTGTCTCCATAGTTTTGTTTTTTCCAGAATGTCATATATTTGGAATCTTATGGTATGTAGCCTTTTCATATTGGCTTCTTTCACTCAGTAATATGTATTTAAGGTTCCTGCAAGCCTTTTCATGGCTTGAAAGCTCATTTCTTTTTAGTGTTGAATAATATTCCATTGTCTGAATGTACCATAGTTTATCCATTCACCTACTGAAGGACATCTTGACTGTTTCCAAGTTTTAGCAATTATGAATAAAGCTGCTATAAATATCTGTGTACAGGTTATTGTGTGGACATAAGTTTTCAACTAATTTAGGTAAATACCAAGAAGTTGTTACTGCTGGATCATATGGTAAAAATATAGTTTATAAGAAACTGTCAAACTGTTTTCCAAAGTGGCTGTACCATTTTGCATTCCCACCACCAATGAATGAGTGTTCCTGTTGCTCCACATTCTCACCAGCATTTGGTGTTGTCATTGTTTTGGACTTCTGCCATTCCAATAGCTGTGCTGTGGTATCTCATTTTTGTTTTAATTTGCAATTCCCTAATAACATATAATGTGGAACATCTTTTCATATGCTTATTTGACATCTGTGTACTTTCTTTGGTGAGGTGCCCCTCCCCTCTGTTCAATATACTTTAGTATTCCATATTAATTTATCTACTTTTCAACTATCTTTGTACTGCATTTTAGTAGCTGCTCTAGGGATTACAATATACAAACCTAACTTGTCACAGTCTACTTACTTAAGAGTCGATATTTCACAAGTTCAAGTAAAACAAAGAAGTCTTACAACTATATATAGACCCCTGTTACTGTTGTGAAATTACATCAACATACAAATTTTTAAACTTTTAACTGTTCGTTTTTCTTGCAAATGCTATTGTAGTATAATATACATAGGGCTTGGCACAGTGTCACATGCCTGTAGCCACAGCTACTTGGGAGGCTGAGGAGGGAGGATAGCTTAAGCCCAGAAGCTGGAGTCCAGCCAGGGCAACATTTTATTTATGAGACTCCGTCTCAAAATAATGATAATAATAATACACATAAAATATTAAAATAATAAGTGTAAATTATGACTTTTTACAAAAGGAAGACATTGTTGTAACTAAAGCCCCAATTTTATATATATACACGTATATATATATACGTATATATATACGTGTATATATACACGTGTATATATATATACGTGTGTGTGTATATATATATACGTGTATATATATATATAAAATCAGAAACTCAGAAGCCCCTTTGTGCCCCATCCCATTGACTTTAGCAAGCTCACTGTACATAAGCTATGTACTCTTATTTCCACACCCCAACCAAGGGTAATTATTATTCTTACTTTTAAGATGATAAGTTAATTTTACCTACTATTAAAGTTCATATGAATGGAAAAATACACCATGTACTATTTTGTATTTGTTGCATACAATTATATTTTGTAAATTTCCAGTGCTGTATATTAGTGATCCATTATTTGGCTATACTGGCTATACTACCATTAAACTATCCATTAAGAGATGAGTATTTCGTTGTTTCCAGTTTATTATGAAAAATTTTGCTATGAACATACTTATACTTGCCTCTTTTAACTGTTTTCCAATATGCTTGTATCAATTTACATTTCAACAGTACCATATAAGGTTCTGAATGCTCCCCAATCTTGCCAACATGTTGTATAATCAGTTTATTTCAGCCATGTTGGCAAGTATGTAACAGTATTGCTTTGTGGTATTAATTGGCATTTCCCTCATGAATAATAATGTTGAACAGGTTTTACATAGGTGTGTTGGCCTTCTGGATATCATCTTTTATAAACTGCCTATTTGAGACTTTTGTCCATTTGTCTATTAGGTTTTCTTCCTTTTAAAACACTGATTTTTAGTTCTTCATATTATACAAGTCCTTTTTTAGTCTTGCTCTTTTTCTTCTTTTAATGGTGACTTTTTTGGTTTAAAGTTTTATTGGAATAAAATCTACATACTATTAAAATATACACATTGTAGTTCACAAATCAATGAGTTTTAGTAAATTTACACAGTTATGCCACTATCACTACAGTCCAGTTTTAGAACTCCTCTATCACCCCCAAAAAACTCCCTCCTGCCCATCTGCAGTCAATAACCACTTGAGAAGCAGCCCCAGGCAACTACCAATCTGCTTCCTGCTGCTATAAACTATCTTTTAAAAAAATACATTCTTTTTTAGATGGCTTTTCCTGTGATTATAAAAGTAATATGTAGCTATTCTAGAACACTTAATACATACATATATGTTCAGAGAATATCAGCTTGGGTTTAATTTGACTAATGACTAAATTCTTAGAGCTATAATTAAAACCAGGTTAATTTCTTCAAACCAATCAGCCTTTTCAAAGGGAATTCATACTTCTACAAGTATGAATTCAATTCAAATATGAAAACAAGCTTAATGTATCCTACATCTTCCTTATACCCACAGTTAGAAGACTCCTAGGGAAGAGAAAAATTTAGGTTTCACCGCTTGAAGAAAGAGTATGTTGACTGTTCACATAACAGCGGATATTTTTCCTAGCAACCTGTGGATCCCTAGGCAGCTGAGTATGGAGAGGAGTAGCAGCTTTACCAGTAAGTTTTAGTAGCTACAACAAGCAACAGCATGTGTATGACTGATTATATTAGGAGAAAGCCACAAAACTTCTTTTAAAAAACTACTAAGTAGAGACATAGTGCTATGAAGTGACCAGACTTTGACATACAGGTCCATGCATAAACATTGCACAGTTCTTTATGATCAAGTTGTATCATCCCAGTCATAACTTAAGGCTTTACCTGCTTTGAAAGTTTGGTGGTCAAAGGGATTGACTCATTAAAATCTAACATTAGCCTGCAGAAGACAAACTCTCAAGAGGGAATGTTTTAGAGTATAGTGAAGGTGGTAATTTACCACAAAAGGCTGAAATAATACAGAAAATATACATTATAGTCTACCATGTTGTTACTTGTTTCTATTTATCAGTCTGAATTTTCTTTTTCCTTTTTTTTATTGAGTATATTTTATGGTTCCATTTTAGTTCAGCTATTACCTTACTAACTGTTAACTCTTTTTTAAAGGATTATTCTAGGATTTGCACCTTTTATCACAGTCTACCTTCAAATAATACTATACCATGTTCTGTATAGTGTAAAAGCTTAACAACACTATATTTCCACTTAGCCCCACTTTAGGTGTTTTGTGATACTTTTATTATATATTTTATTTCTACCTCACAATATACTATTATTTTTGTTTTCTATAGCCAATTATTTTAAAAAGAGAAAAGTTTTTTTTTTTTTTCTTGAGACAGTCTCGCTCTTTTGTCCAGGCTGGAGTGCAGTGGTGCAATCTCAGCTCACTGCAACCTCCACCTCCTGGGTTCAAGCGATTCTCCTGCCTCAGCCTCCCAAGTAGCTGGGATTACAGGCGCCCATCGCCATGCCTGGCTAATTTTTGTATTTTCAGTAGAGATGGGGATTCACCATGTTGGCCAGGCTGGTCTCGAACTCCTGACCTTGGGTGATCTGCCTGCCTCGGCCTCCCAAAGTGCTGGGATTGCAGGTGTGAGCCACCAAGCCTGTCCAAGAAAACATATTTTTAAAATATTAGCCTACATTTCTATCAATCTGCCACTATTCATGTTTTGTGTAAATTCAAACTTCCATGTGGTTTTCCCATCATTTTTCTTCCATGTTTAAAATTTCTGATATTATAGATCTGCTGGTAATAAATTCTCTCAGCTTTTTTGGTCTGAAAATGTCTCTACTTAACCTTAGTTTTTAAAAGATACATTCACCACACATAGAATTCTAGGGTGACTTTTTTTCTCTTTTTGGTCTTTTGAAGCTATCACTCTTGTCTTATGGCTTTGATAGTTTCTGATCATCTTCACTTAGTTACACAAAATGTCTCTTTTCTCCCTCTGGCTAAGTTTAAGATGCTCTCTTTTTAACTGGTTTTAGCAATTTGATATAATGTGTCTTGGTGTGTTTTTGTTTGCTCTGATTGAGGTTTACTGAGATTCTTTGATCTCCGTAGTTTTTTTTTTTTCCATCAAATCAGAAAATATTTTGCTCATTATTTCTTCAAATATATTTTTCTGTGCCCTCCTCCCTTTCATCTCCTGAGATTCCAATTACATCTATGTTAGACTGCATCATATTGCTCCATAAGTTATTGCTATTTTCGTTTTTTTACATCTTTGTTGCTTTCTCTGGGCTTTAATAAACTATGACTTCAAATGTACTACTTCTGAACTGTCTAACCGATGTTAATCCAATTTAGCTTGTTTTTTATTGTCAAATATTACATATTTAATCTCTAAAAGTTCCATTTGAGTCTTTTTCATATCTTCAGTTTTTTCATTTTCATAATACAAATGGCCCTTATTGGTTGCAACAGGCAGTGAAAGACAGGACAGAACAACTCCATCTCCTGAGAAAGCGTCCAGAGACTCTGTCATCACCTTCCAAAATAAAAAATCTATTTTGTTCTTATCATATTCATGTTTTTTGTTATGTCTTTGGGCATATTTAAAAGATACATTATAGCTAATTTGACATTCTTACTATTTACATCATCTCCATCATTTTAAAGTCTGTCTCTGATTATTGATTTTTTTTTCCCCCTTGTTATGGGTTATTTTTTTCCTGACTCTTTGCCTGCCTTGTAATTTCTCATCGGATGTTAGACACTGTGTTTTACATTGTTGGATTTTGTTGTATTCCTTTAAAGAGTGACAAACATTTTTCTTAACATGCTGTTAAGTTACTTAGGATCAGTCTGATTCTTTTAAGACTTAATTTTTAGTTTTGTGAGAGCAGGGCCAGAGCAGCCTTTACATTAGGACTATTTTGGTCCCATTGCTAAAACATTGTCTTTCTGAGGATTCTACCTAATGCCTCATGTAATAAAAGGTCGTTTCACTCTGGCTGATGAGAACAGAACTACTCCTCTAATCCTGTATAAGTACCAGAAATTGTTAGGTCTACAGGATTTAGGTGATTAGAATAATCATTCTTTCCCCAATCTCATGGAATTTTAACTCACATATGCACAGATCAGTAGTCAGCCACAGAGACTCAAGGAGACCCCTCAGCAGATCTCTAGCTCTTTCTCTTCATACAATTTCCTTCTCCTCTTTACTCTGCCTCACAAATTCTAGTTGCCTCTACCTTTCTATCTCCATCTCTTCAATTAGCAAGACCACTGGCATTTGTTTGGGTTTCCTCTTCCTGAGCCGTAGCAAATCATCTTTAGGTGTTAATCTGGGGCTTTCCTCATTTATTTCCCCTATTCTCAGAGATTGGAGTCCCGTAATGCTTACTAATATCTGAAAATATTTGACTCATATCTTTTGTCCAGTTTCTGGTTGTTTATAGCAGAAGGGCAATTCCTATACCAATTAATCCTTTGTGAGTTCTATGGTATCATTTTCATGAAAATAAGCATTCAAGGAAGGGCACAAAGACGGCTGGGTGCCATCCATTTTGACTACCTGCAATTTGGTCATCTGTTACTTGGTTTCCTCACCTTTATAATAAGTATAATAGTAATTATCCTAGAATAATTGGAGAAGAACTTAGACAACACCTATTAGACAATGCATACGTGTAAATTTTTGGCAAAGGGCCTGGAAAACATACCATACATTGGTCATTATCTATGGATGGCAGATGACTTTCACTTGTTCTTACTCATGTATATTTTCTAAATAATCAAAAATTAACTCATTACTTTTGTAATAACTTAATGGCCGATTAGAAATATGAAAGAGGACTCTTTTTCTAAAAATTAAATATAATTCATGAATATAAATTGAGAATATGTAAATTTGGAAGGATTTTAAAAGACACAATAGGATTGTGATTATAACTAAGTTTTTATTGTACTAGCTATATGGTATTCTTCAGATTAAAGAATGATTTTGGTATACATGGCACCTGTAAAAGATCCAAGGTAACAAAACACTTAACAGCTTAATAATTCTACCTTTCATAATCACGAGATTAATGTTCCCTTTTCAGACACTGAGCTCACCAAAGTACTTTTTGACCAGAATTTGGCTTCCCATGTGGATTTGCTAATCAGGAAAAAAATATGCTAATAAACTAAAAAATTGTATTAAGTCTGCTTATGACTCATATTTATGTTGTATATTAATAAACTTATATTACTCAACATGATTTTTTTTTCTATAACCCATTAATCTTTGCATTTCTAATCTACAAAGTGAACATCCAGACTCTGGATTGTGAGGACAGAAGCAAGGTAAAGACAGACTTCCCCAAGCACTATCTTCTCATTCTTCCCAACCAAATGCCATTAACCCATATGATTATTAGGAAGGATTTTTAAAATTCATGGCAGTGATTTCATTATACTCAATTCCCTTTCCTTTAAGCTTATTTGCACATAATGAGTTATTTGGCTCCTTGGTCTTGCTTTTTCATTTCTTTTTTTTTTTTTTTAAAGAGAAAGGATGTGACCAAATAGCCTGCACAGATTCAAATTTTTCTTTAGGCCCATGGTGAGAATTACCTAAAATAAAATGACATTTCTAGCCCACAATTTGAAGAACTGTGCTTATAAATCAAACAAGATCATATACAATGATACATTAGTAGATAGCTTATGTTCAAACATCCTAGCTGCAAAAGAAGCATTTTAAAAAGTGTTAACATATACAGATACACCTATCATGAATAAGGAAATTTTTATACAACAGTGAACACTGCTTCTGTGATATAAACATGAAATAGGGTAAAATTATGCAAAGCATTTGTTACCTACCAGATATTTTGCTTACTTTCATAAATATCTACCAAATGAAAAGATCTTAGGAGATAGATGATTTGAGAAGAATGGAAGAGGCAATTTAAAAAGGAATTTGAAAAAATTATTCTGGAAGAAATTTGGTTAACTATTATCATATTTATTCCTAAAAGCCCCAAAAAAGAACTGGATTTCTATTTATACAAAGGTAAAATAAATACACAGGAAAAAAACCTTCAGCCTCATTTAGTTAACTATTGATGGTAGCAGCATGAGGTTTAAGCAGGGAAAAAAACATATATCATTATGCTAACAGTGACATTATCTAAGCAGCAGGGTTTAAAGGCAGATTTGTTTATAACATCAATTTTCTGCTTTCTCCTCACACTGAAAATAACAAATATTGAGATATCCATTATCCAGACATATGTGGATGAAAAACAAAGGCATCTGACTTTTTTTTTTTCATCTTTGGTTCTTTTTTCCAAAATGATCAGTAATATATGGCTTTTTAGTCACATAAATTAAAATCCCATTCAAGTACCCTGCAGATCACTTTAACCTTTCAATGACAATCTGAAAGATACAGATTCTTATTTGTTTTAAGCGAAACAAGAAATAACCTGAAACTGGGCACTGATGCTGGGAGGTTTTTTCTTCTTGTGTAAATGAAGAAGAGACTTGGTAATGCGATCTTGTAGTGTCAGTCTTGTCAGGTGCTTTAAAGAATTTACTTCTAGCAAGTGCTGAAAGAAGAGAAAAAATAAATTGCTCACATAAATTAATCTAACAATAAGCCAAAATTCTCAGCCAGTTTTCATCATTTCCTATCTATATGACCATTTCCCATCTTAAATGACTGTAGTGAATATGAAAGACTGATATCCAACATTCATTCTATTCTCCTGTCTTCCTCTAGAAGCTAGAAAGCTAAAAAGAAAAGTACACTTCACAAACTCTCTTGCATCTAGAGTTCTGGATATGGTTTAAGTTTACTAATAAAAGGCCCACATGTGAAACTGGGAAGGTATAACTGAGGCAGAGGCTCTGGCTACTAGTTCTGCTTCTGCTAGCAAAAATGCATATACTTTATGTACCTTTTTTCTGTGGTTCCAGCATCCAGGCACTAGTTTTGTAAATGCTCAGAGGCAGAGTGCAGAACATTTGTGTTGTCATCACAACTATACTAAATGCAGCTTAGCCCTGGAGCAAATAGTTGTAGCAGTTTCTTCCAGATGGCTAGATTACACCACAGGCAGTATGTACCGCAAGTAGCAGCTGCACTGACAGCTTCCTGATTTCCTAGCTTTCTAATTACATTTAGGGACATTTCTGCAAATGTTATTTTAACATGTGACTTCTAATGATTTTATAAGTGCCTGCTTAATTCCCTTTCTACTTAAAAATATCTACTGTAATTACTGTTATCTCAATCCTGACTCACAGAGACAACAATTAAATACCAGGGCGACAGTCGGTGTGCCAGGGACATACACAAAAACCAAGTAGGCTGGGCACAGTGGCACACGCCTGTAATCCCAGCACTTTGGGAGACTGAGGTGGGCGGGTCACGAGGTCAGGAGTTTGACATCAGCCTGGCTAACACAGTGAAACCCCGTCTCCACTAAAAATACAAAAATTAGGCAGGCATGGTGGCACGTGCCTGTAGTCCCAGCTACTCGGGAGGCTGAGGCAGGAGAACTGCTTGAACCCGGGAGGCAGAGGCTGCAGCGAGCCAAGATTGAGCCACTGCACACCAGCCCGGGCAACAGTGAGAGACTCTGTCAAAAACAAAAAACAAAAAAACCAAAGCATAGTCCCTATTAACCCTCATCATGATGTACTACACTAAAAATTAGGAAAATGGGAGTTAGACATGAAGCAACTAAAGTATACAAAGTAAAGACAGTACAAGTATTTGGGAGCTTTTTGAGCCAATCATAATTTTTTAAACCACACAATATTTATGGTAGTGAGTTTGTAAATGAAAAGAATATATCTATACAGATGTAAACTATATGTTATTTAAAAAGTAATCAAAAATCTTAATGTATGAGAAACAAAAGATTGTGTTAAAAACATGACAAATTTTCAAGTCTAAAGGTATCTATTTTGACAATATAAACATTAATAAAACCATGCAAATTGAAAGAAGTACAACACACATGTAAACAATCTGAATTAAGGAAATGTTATTTCCTACAAATGAAAAGGCTTATCATCTGTATGTAAAAAAAAAACTTTTAAAAATTCTTAAAAAGACAGATATCACAATAAAAGAAAGGGCAAAGATTATCTGACAAGGCAATTCTCAAAGTAAAAATGGCAAGTAACAAAACCACAATCCATTCAATCTCACTTGTATTGAAGGAAAATGCCATTTCTTTTAAAAGAGGTTTTCTGCATCAGATTGGCCAATACAATAAAGACTGACAAGAGCCAGTATTCATGAGGTGGTGGGGAAACAGACATATACTATATACTCACTGTTCTTAGGAATGTAAATTATTATAACTTTCCTGACAAGAAATTTCACATCTAGATATTTATTCTAAGGAGTTATCAAACAAATCTATGTTGTTTATAACAATATACTTCAAAAAATAATGAAAAATTATAGATATGCAATTATATAGAATTATTTATATAAAGTATGCTTCATTTACACAACTGAGTACTCCACAGCTCATAAAGTTACTGTAAATCTGTATTTCCTGACATGGGAAAATATTTGTAAGCACTATTGATCAAAAAAAAAGCCATGTAAAACAACACACATGTAAAAAGGGCATTTGTGCTAATTAGAAAGTTTTTGTTTTACTTTTATTGGCACTTTTGAATTATCACAGCTTCACGGTATGTATATTCATGAAAAGTAATTTTTCATACTGGTCAAGAATCAATTAGAATAATTTATAGGTTACCCTTATGTGAAAACAAATTAGCATTGAAGCCTAAAATAATTCCCCCACTTCCACTTTTAAGATACTATGGAGAAAAAGACCTTGGAAATAAAGTTTGAGTTTAAATTGTTTTTCACTATGAAAAAAACACCAGAGGGACTATGCAAAATAAAATAACTATTAGAAAATCTTTGCTGTCATGTATATTGCAAAAGTTTGAAAAACCAAACATGACATTCATTTCTGCCTCAGAGTCATTCCAATTTTTTTCATTTGCTTGGAATACTCTATAGCCGGGCCCTCACAAGACTTGGTTTTACTTGGCACTGAATTTGTAGTTTAAATGTAACTTTCTCAGAAAACTCTTGCTTAAATACTGAAAAAATAGCCCACTTCTATGTCAATTACATGTCACTTAATTTTCAACACTGCACATAATATCATCTAAATTATTTTTTCATTTATTTGTTAATTTGTATATTGTCTTCTTTTTCTCTAAAAAATAACCTCCTGCAGTGCCACGCACTGTGGCTCAGGGCTATAATCCGAGAACGGCTGAGGCAGGCAGATCACCTGAGCTCAGGAGTTGGAGACCAGCCTGGGCAACATGGCAAGGCTTCATGCCTACTAAAAGTACAAAAATTAGCCAGGCGTGGTGGCGAGTGCCTGCGGTCCTAGCTATTCGGGAGGTGGAGATAAGGGAGGATTGCTTGAGCTCAGGGGGCAGAGGCTGCAGTGAACCAGGATCGCACCACTGCACTCCAGCCTGGGTGACAGAGCGAGACACTGACTCAAAAAACAAAAAATAAATAAGAGATAACCTCCCAAAGGATTCTAACTGTACTGTGCATCCCTGTACCCTCAATTTCTAAAATACTGTCTGGTTTAGAGTAGGATTCAATAAATATTAGTTTGAATGAATTAAATACCTAGCAACTGGCCAGGCGTGAGGAGGCCGAGGAGAGTGGATCACCAGAGGTCAGGAGTTCGAGACCAGCCTGGCCAACATGGCGAAACCCCATCTCTACTAAAAATACAAAAAATTAGCAAGGCATGGTGACAGGCGCCTATAATCCCAGCTACTCGGGAGGCTGAGGCAGAAGAATCGCTTGAACCCAGGAGGCAGAGGTTGAAGGGAGCTGAGATCGCACCACTGCACTCCAGCCAGGGCGACAGAATAAGACTCCATCTCAAAAAAAAAAAAAAAAAAAAAGCTAGCAACTAATGAACTTTGAGCAATGCTTTCCCTAGCAAGTGGAGACCAGACTTCTTCCCATATACCTAACAATAACCTGGTCAATCAACAAATGTTCAGAGTCATTACTAAAGGTCAGACTCTGTTGTAAGTGCTAAGGATACATTGCATTCAAGTCCAGGCTATTAGGACATTAAAAAATAATTCAATCATGCATAAGGTTTATGAAAAAAAGATAAAATAGGACCGTAAATCTAGAGGTAAAGGGATACAGAATTATTTCCTTTCTTAGGGCTTCAGTTCCTTGTCTACTTCATTCCTTTCTTAATTCCATCATTATGGTTGAGTTTATTAAGCTTAATTAACCAGTTTATTATTTTTTTCAACAATTATCTACCACTTGCTGTGCAAGGTGCTGTAGGCAAAAAGATTAATGAGATATTGCTTGAATATAGTCTAACTGTTTTGAGTCTCCCAAAATTCATATATTGAAACCTAATCCTGGTGTGATAGTATTAAGAGGCGAAGGGGAGGGGCCCTTGGGAAGTAGCTGGGTAGTGGTATTAGTACCTTGATAAAAGAGGCCCAAAAGAGCTGCCATGTTAAAACACATAGAAGGTATCATTCCATGAGGAATGAACCATCACTAGACATCAACTCTGAAAACTTGATTTTGAAATTCCCTGCCTCTTACACTGTAATATATTTCTTTTGTTTATAAATTACCCAATCTAAAACATTTTATCATAGCAGCCCAAACAAACTAAGGCATTTCTCATGTTATTAAAAAGGACTAAAATGGCTAATAAAATTAACTTCAAGGTTGGGCACAGTGGCTCACACCTGTAATCCCAGCACTTCGGAAGGCTGAGGTGAGCAGATCACTTGAGGCCAGGAGTTGGAAACCAGTGAGGTCAATATGGCAAAACCCTGTCTCTAGTGGAAAAAAAAAAATAGCCGGGCATGGTGACGCATGCCCGTCATCTCAGCTACTTGGGTGGCTGGGGCACAAGAACTGCTTGAACCCAAGAGGCAAGCGGTCAGCAAAAATCGTGCCACTGCACTCCAGCCTAGGTGACAGAGTGAGACTTTGTCTCAAAAAAATAATAACTTCAAGATTTGAGCCCAAGTGACTATAAAAACGTACTAGGGGAGCAACACAGTAAAATTAGTTTGAGCATGAATTTTGAGACAAGGAAGATATCAAAGTACAAATATATAACTGGACAATGAAGCTGTCACTAAAACAATGTAACTAAAAAAAATAGGTCATGTTAGAAAAGTAGATCTAATACAGGTGACAGTTTCAAGTTAGGAGGGAATAAATTCTAACAAGAAAAATGGGAAAGTATTACCAAAACAGAGCTATCATCTTGTGGAAGGACGAACTTGAGTTCATGAAAGCTGCCTCTGCATTTCAAGTGGATGCTTGTCTGAAGCAAACTAGGCTAACTTGTTATCCAAAAGGGAAGAGCTGTGTGTCATCTCAGAGTCATAGTTGTACAAACTAAGTGCTGACTGTGGCTCCTGTCAAGAGGTTTGATGGAAAGGCTCCCTGTAATAACAAGGATCTCAGATCATTTTGACTTATCCTGCAAAACCCAACCTAGATGTCATCCCTTCCACCCACTCCTTCTCCCGCACTCCATCCCTACCTAACTCATCCCTACTTCTTAAATAGAGAACTTAGTCTGAGACGAAATTAGTGAGTTGAGGATATTTGGCCTCCTACTATATACTCAAAAAATTCCTCAGGATAGGGATATATCTTATCTAGCATAGCCTGTGTAAACAGGAGATATTTTTAATAAAAAGTTGAAATGAATTAAAAGTAGTAAGAAGTTTAAAAGATATATATTCAATAAGTAAAAAGGTCAAAAAGTTAGTATGAGTCTAAATTCCTTTCCCTCAATGATCTTTTTTCCAATAGCTTTACTGAAACAAAATAAGCTGCACGTATTTAATGTATACACTATAAGTTATGACATATTTACATAGCTATGAAGCCATCACCACAATCATGATAATGAACATATCCATAGCCCCTAATGCTTTCTTTGTTCCTTCTCTCACTTTGCAAGTCCTCTCTTTTCCCTAAACACTGCATGCTGCTTCCTGGCAATCTTTTTCTACTTTTTTTTTTATTTTTTGAGCATGGAGTCTCACTCTGTCGTCCAAGCTGGAGTGCAGTGGCGCGATCCTGGCTCACCGCAACCTCCGCCTCCCAGGTTCAAGCAATTCTCCTGCCTCAGCCTCCTGAGTAGTTGAGACTACAGGCACGTGCCACCACGCCCAGCTAATTTTTTGTATTTTTAGTAGACACAGGGTTTCACCATGTTGCCCAGGCTGGTCTCGAACTCCTGAGCTCAGGCAATCTGCCCACCTTGGCCTCCCACAGTGCTGGGATTACAGGCGTGAGCCACCGCACCCAGCCTCTGGCAATCTTTAATCTACTTTAGGTCACTGTATATTTTTGGTTTTTCATCTTTTTTAAAATGATGAATAATAATTGTATATATTTATGGGGCACAATGTGATATTATGACACATGTATACATTGAGTAGTGATTAAATCAGGCTAAATAAAATATCTCACATACTTATTTCTTTGCGGTGAGATCACTTGAAATTTACTTGTACAGCAACTTTGAAATATATAATACATTATTATGAACCATATTCAACTTGCTACACAAAAGATCACTAGAACCTGTCTAACTGAAACATTATCCTTTGACCAGTGTTGTCCCTTTCCCTTTCCCACCCTTATACCCCAAACCTTTGGGAATCAAAACTCTATTATATACTGCTATGAGTTTGGCTTTTTGTTGTTGTTATGGTTAAAAGAAACCTTTTATTTAAAAACAATATGACATTTTAATTTTAATTAGCATTCATTAAGTAGCCAGTTTTTAATTCCTGGGGAGCAAATATGTACAAATATCAAGCACTAAATAATTGATAATTACTAATGTACTTAACATTAGGTAATTTAGTGTCTTCCTCCTTTCCAATTTCTATGCCTTTTTTTTCTTTCTCTTGCTTACTTGCTCTGGCTAGGACTTCCAGTACTATGTTGAATAGAGAAAGTGGTGAAAGCGGGCATCCTTGTCTTATTCTAGATCACAGAAGAAAAGCTTTCCATTTTTCCTTGTTTAGTATGCTGTCTGTGAGTCTGTCATGTGGTCTTTATTATGTTGAGGTACATCTGTTCTGTCTATATCATGAGAGTTTTTATCATGAATGAGTGTTGAATTTTGTCAGATGCTTTATCTGTGTCTATTGAAATAACTGTATAATTTTTTCCCTTAATTCTGTTAATGTATCACATTTACCGATTTGCATATGTTAAACCATTCTTGCATCCCTGGGATGAATCCCACTTAGTCATGATGTTATCTTTTTAATGTGCTATTGAATTTAGTTTCCTAGTAGTTTGTTGAGGATTTATGCATCCATGTTCAATCAGAGACACTGTCCTACAATTTTCTTTTTTGTTGTGTTCTTGTCTGGTTTTCTTATCAAGGCCTTGAAAATAAATTTGGAAGAATTCTCTCCTCTCCATTTTTCTGAAATAGTTTTAAAAGGACTGAGACTCATTCTTCTTCAAATGTTTGGTAGAATTGAGCAGTGAAGCTGTCATGTAATGGACTTTTCTTCAATGGGAGACTTTTTATTACTGATTTGAACTCAGAGTTGTTACTGGTTTCTTCAGATTTTCTATTCATGATTCAATTTTGGTAGGTTGTATGTGACTAGGAATTTACCCATTTCTTCTAGGTTTTCCAAATAGTTGCCTTATAGTTGTTAGTAATAGGCTCTTATGATCCCTTATATTTCTGTAATATCAGCCATAATGTCACCTTTTCACATCTCTGAATTTGAATCTTTTCCTTTTAAAATTTTGTCTAGCTAGAAATTTGTCGATTTTTATCTTTTCAAAACACTAACTCTTAATTTCATTAACGTTTTGTATTTTTAAGCCTCTATTTCACTTATTTCTGCTATGATCTTTATCATTTCTCTTCTTCTATTAACTTAAGGTTTATTTTGTTCTCATTTTTCCTAGTTCCTTGAGGAATAATGTTATTGGTGGTTTACTGGAGATCTTTCTCACTTACTAACGTAGACAATTATTGCTATAAACTTCCCCATTAGAACTGCTTTTGCTGTAGACCATAGGTTTTAGTACATTGCATTTGCATTCTCATTTCTTTAAATTTTTTTTTAATTTCCCTTTTAGTATCTCCTTTGACTCATTTGTAGTTCAGAAGCATGTTGTTTAAAAACTATTTGCATATAGTTTCTAAAGAACCTATTATTGATTTCTAGTTTAATCCCTTGTCACAAAAGATACTCCCCAACTTGAAATTTTGTTTATTATTATTATTATTATCATTATTGTTATTATTTTTGAGATGGAGTCTCGCTCTGTCACCCAGGTTGGAGCCCAGTGGCGTGATCTCGGCTCACTGCAAGCTCCACCTCCCAGGTTCAAGCCATTCTCCTGCCTCAGCCTCCTGAGTAGCTGGGAATACAGGCGCCTGCCACCATGCCTGGCTAAATTTTTTGTATTTTTAATAGAGACAGGGTTTTACCGTGTTAGGCAGGAGGGTCTCAATCTCCTGATCTCGTGACCTGCCCACCTTGGCCTCCCAAAGTGCTGGGATTACAGGTGTGAGCCAAGGCCCCCGGCTCCCAATTTGAAATTTTTTTAACTTATTGAGACTTGTTTTGTGGCCCAACACATGACATATCTTAAAGAAAGGTCCATGTGCTAATGAAAAAAATGTGGGCCAGGCGTGGTGGCTCACGCCTGTAATCCCAGCACTTTGAGAGGCCAAGATGGGTGGATCACCTGAGGTCAGGAATTCGTGACCAGCCTGACCAACATGGTGAAACCCCATCTCTACTAACTACAAAAAAGTAGCCGGGTGTGGTGACACATGCCTGTAACCCCAGCTATTTGGGAGGTTGAGGCAGGAGAATCGCTTGAACTCGGGAGGTGGAGATTGCAGCAAGCCGAGATCGTGTCACTGCACTCCAGTCTAGGTGAAGAATGAAACTTAGTCTCAAAAAAAAAAGAAAAAAAGAAAAAGAAAAAAATGTGTATTCTACAACTGCTGGGCAGAATGTTTTGTAAATGTCTGTTAGGTTCATATATCTTGAGTGCAGTTTAACTCTATCGTTCTTTGCTGATTTTCTGTCTGGTTGTCCTATCCATTGCTGAAAGTGGAGTGTTGATGTCCCCTATAATTACAGTATTGCTATCTCTCTCTCCCTTTAGGGCTAATAATATTTCCTTCACATATATACATGTGTATATATACACATATATACATGTGTATATATACACATATATACATGTGTATATATACACATATATACACATATATATACATATACGTATACACATATATACATATATACATATACGTATACACGTGTATGTACATATATACGTATATACGTATATGTACATATATACGTATATGTACATATATACTTACATGTATATATACATATATACGTATATACGTGTATATGGATATATACGTATATACATATCTATGTATATGTATATATAGATACGTATATACATGTATATCTATATATAACCTTTCTTCCTCTCTTACTATTTATCTGTCTGTTTTGGTGGTTTTCTGGAGAGTTAAGCTTTAATTCTTTTCTCTTTCTTATTTATGTATCTGCTGTCGTTTTGTTCTTTCAGGTTACTATGGGGCTTACATTTTAAAATCTTGTATTTATAATGGACTATTTTAAACAGATAACAACTTTGCATACAAATACGCTAGACTTTTATCCCCATCCCCCCACAATTTATAACTTGCTGCCTTAATTTACATCTTTTTAAAATCATGTGTTACTTAACATTTAATTGTAGCTATAGACATCACTTACCATTTTGAGTTATAACCATCATACTAGAGATTTAAAAGACTATATGCCACCATTACATTAATAATATATTCTGAGTTTGAAAGTGAAATTACCTCTAACAGTTCTAAATTGGATTCTGAATTGACTTCTACCAGTGAGTTTTATTCTTTTGCATATTTTTATCACGGTAGTTATCTTACCATATTTCTTGTGTCCCCGTATTGACCTGTGCCATTAGGTGAAACAGCTGCCTCTTCCAATTTTATGGGGTAACTTTCTTAAGAAGACATTTTCTGTAGATGGATCCTAAGGTGGTAAATGGGTAGGGTGCTTTAGCTTTGGTTCTAGGTAGGTGCAGCAGTGTAGTCTCTGTGTAATTTCTTTACCTGTAGTCAACATCCGATGTTACTGCCTCAGTGACTTAGGCTACGGGTGTTTACAAAGTTGGTGTGCTTTTCCAGTACTATGTTGGTGCCACCAAGCAAGCCAGTCCTCTGGTCCTGGGGGGCATGCGCAAGGCATGAGTGACAGTTCCAAGCCATGCACCGTGGTATATGCCTATAATCCCAGCAACTTGGGAGGCTGAGGCTGGAGGATCACTTGAACTGAGGAGTTCAAGTCCAGACAGGGCAACATAATGAGACCCTGCATATTTTTGTTTGTTTGTTTTAAAGTGCAGTGGGCCAGACACAGTGGTTCACACCTGTAACCCCAGCACTTTGGGAGGCCGAGGCAGAAAGACTGCTTGAGGTCAGAAGTTCAAGACAAGTTCAGGCAATAGAGTGAGATCCTGTCTACCAAAAACAGAAAAATTAGCCGGGCATGGTGGTACATGCCTATATTTCCAGCTACTTGGGAGGCTAAGGCACGAGAACTGATTGAGCTTGGGAGGTAGAGGCTGCAGTGAGCCACGATCGTACCACTGTACTCCAGCCTGGGTGACAGTGTGGCTGTGGGGAAAGCCGCCACACAAGCTATCTTGATGCCAAGGGTGTATGTCCAAAGCATGGTTGTTCTAGCAAATGAAAAGGCAGTGTCACCAGGAGCAGAGCTACCAGACAGCCTGGCCCTCAGACCCTGCAGGGTACACATGCAAAGCATAGTGGTTCTGTAGGTTTCAGAGGTGGCATCATTGGATACACACCAGTCCACTGGCTCTGGAAGGCACACACAAAATGCACCAGTTCAGCCAGTTGTAGGGACAGCGTCATCAGGGGTGGGGATGCTGGGTGGGCTGGCCCTCAGGACCTGGGTAAGAGTACAAATCCACTCATCATGGGGGTGGCATTGGCAAGAGTGGGGCCACCAAGTGGGCCCATCCTCAGGCCCTCGGGGAGGGCACAAATCCAATGATCACAGGAGCTGCACTGTCAGGGGTGGGGCTGCCAGGTAGGCTGATCCTCAGGCCCTAAGACATTTCTTTGGCAAAATGTCTTTTGGCTATTTTTAAATTAAATTATTTGCTTTTTTGCTATTAAGTTGTTTGGACTGCTTATATATTCTAGACATTAACCCACTGCCATATGCATAGTCTGCAAATATTTTCTCCCATTTACAGTTTGTCTCATCATTCTGTTGATTAGTTCCTTTGCTGTGCAGAAGCTTTTGAGTTTGATGCAATCCCATTTGTCTATTACTGCTTTCGTTATCTGTGTTTTGGGGGTCATAGTCAAGAAATCAACAGCCAGACCAATGTCATAGAGTTTTCCCCGTATGTTTTATTCTACAATTGTCCCTCAATATCCATGGGGATTGGTTCCAGAACCACGCTGAGATAACAAAATATGTACATACTCAAATCCCATGGCCGGCCCTGCAGAACCCACAGGTACAAAAAGTTGGTCCTCCATAAGGGTGGATTTTGCATCTCACAAATACCATATTTTGATCCACATTTGGTCACAGATGTAGATCCCCCTGATATGGATGACTGTATTTATTTTTTTTAAACCCATGTATAAGCGGACCTGCACAGCTCAAACCTGTGTTCAAGTTTAACAGTTTCAGGTCTTATATTTAAGTCTTTAACCTACTTGGTTGGATTTTTTATGTGGGGTGAGATATGGTCCCAATTTCATTCTTCTACATGTGGATATCCAGTTTTCCCAACATCATTTATTGAAGAGACTATACTTTACTCATTGTGTGTCCTTGGCACCTTTGTTTAAAGTCAACTAACCATAAATGTACGGGTTTACTTCTGAGCTTTTAATACTTTTCCATTGGTTAATGTATATTTTCTTCTGCCAGCTCCATGCTGTTTTGATTACAATACCTTTCTAATATATATATATATATATATATATATATATTTTTTTTTTTTTTTTTTTTTTTTTTTTTTTTGAGGCGGAGTCTCGCTCTGTCGCCCAGGCCGGACTGCGGACTGCAGTGGCGCAATCTCGGCTCACTGCAAGCTCCGCTTCCCGGGTTCACGCCATTCTCCTGCCTCAGCCTCCCGAGTAGCTGGGACTACAGGCGCCCGCCACTACGCCCGGCTAATTTTTTGTATTTTTAGTAGAGACGGGGTTTCACCTTGTTAGCCAGGATAGTCTCGATCTCCTGACCTCATGATCCACCCGCCTCGGCCTCCCAAAGTGCTGTCTAATATATTTTTAAATCAGGTAGTGTGAGCCTCCATCCAGCTTTGTTCTTTTTGTTCAAGATTGCTTTGGCTATTTGGGGTTTTTTTGTGTATTCATATGAATTTCAGGATTTTTTTTATTTCTGTGAAAAATGAAAATGGAATGTTATAGGGATTGCACTGAATCAGTGAATCACTCTGGGCAATATGGAGATTTTAACAATATTAATTTTTCCAACCCACTAACACAGGATATCATTTTTCATTTGTGTTGTCTTCAATTTCTTTCATCAATGTTTTATGATTTTTTTGTATACAGATTTTTAACCTCTTTGGTTGAATTTACTATAAAATAGTTTATATTTTTTGATGCTATTGTAAATGGGATGGTTTCCTTAATTTCTTTTTCAGATAGTTCATTTTTAGTTTATAAAATGCTACTGATTTTTAGGCTGGGTGCAGTGGCTCATGACTGTAATTCTAGTACTTTAGGAGGCCAAAGCAGGAAAATCATTTGAGGCTAAGACTTTAAGACCAGCCTGGGCAACACAGAGAAAGAAGATTCCATCTCTACGAGAAAAAAAAAAAAAATTTAATAGCCAGATGTGGTAGCATGCACCTGCAGTCCTAGCTACTGAGGAGGCTGAGGTGGAAGGATTGCTTGAACCCATGAGTTCAAGGTACAGTGAGCTACAATCATGCCACTGCACTTCAGCCTGAGTGGCAGAGTGATACACTGTCTCTATTAAAAAAAAAAAAAAAGCAAGAAACACTGCTGATTTTTGTATGTTGACTTTGTATCCTGAAACATTACTGAAGTACATTACGGAATTTATATATCAGTTCTAACAGCTTTTTAGTGGGGTCTTGAGGATTTTCTATATAACATTATGTTGTTGACAACCACAATATCACTTCTTCCTTTTGAATCTGGATGCCTTTTATTTCTTTTTATTACCTAATTTCTGTGGCTAACAATTCCAGTAATACACTGAATTGAAGTGTAACAGAAGTGGTGACAGTGGGCATCCTTTTCTTGTTCCTGATCCTAAGAGTAAAGCTTTCAACTTTTCACCAATGAGTATAATGTCAGCTGTGGGCTTGTCACATATCGCCTAATTATATTGAGGAACAGTCCTTCTATACCTAATTCGTTGAGCTTTTATCATGACAGGTTGAATTTTGTCAAATTCTTTTTCTGCATGTGTTGAAATGACAGTATGGTTTTTGCTATTCACTGTGTTAATATGATAAATCACATTTATTGATTTGCATATATTGAACCATTCTTGTATCGCAAGAATAAACCCCAACTGATCATGGTAAATGATCCTTTCAATGTCGTATTGAATATGGTGTAGTAGCATTTTGATGAAGATATCTGCACTATTTACAACAGCAAAGACTACTGTGAATAGTGCTGCAATGAATGTACAGGTGCATGTGTTTTTGGTAGAACAATTTATTTTCCTTTGAGCATGCACCCAGTCATGGCACTGCTGGGTTGAATGGGAGTTCAACTCTTAGTTCTTTGTGAAATCTCCAAACTTCTCCGTAGTAGCTGAACTAATTTTCTTGTAGTACTTTCGTATGGCTTTGCTATCAGGGTAATGCTGGCCTTATAAAATGAGTTTGAGGTATTCTCTCCAGTTCAATTTTTTGAAAGAGTTTGAATAGGACTGGTATTCATTTTTATTTAAATGTTTGGTAGTGTTGCATCATGAAACTATCTGGTCCTGGGCTAATCTTTTATGAAAGAATTTCTATTGCTGGCCAGGCATGGTGGCTCAATGCCTGTAATGTCCTGAAGAATGTCCTATGTATGCTTCAGACGAATGTGTATTCTGCTGCTGTTGACTGAAATGTTCTGTATATGTCTATTAAATGCATTTGGTCCACTGTTTTCTTCAAATCCATTGTTTCCTTATTGATTTTTGGTGTGGATGGTCTGTTCATTGTTGAAAGTGGGGTACTGAAATCCCCTAGGATTACTGTATTGTAGTTTATCTCTCTCTTCAGATGTCTCAATATTTGCTTCATGCTTTTAGATGCTACAATGTTGGGTGCATATATATTTAAAATTGTTACATCCTTTTGATGACCATACCCCTTTTTATTATTATATGTTGACCTTCTTTATCTCATCTACAGTTTTTGACTTTATTTTGTCTGTTATAAGGATAACTACTGTTGCTCTCTTTAGGTTTTCATTTGCGTGGGATACTTTTTTCCATCCCTTAATGTTCATTCTCTGTACATCGTTAAAGCTAAAGTGAGTCTCTCGCAGGTAGCATATAGATGAGTCTCTCTTTTTTTAATGCATTCAGGCACTCTGTGGCTTTTAATTGGAGAATTTAATCCATTTACATTCAAACCAGTTATTGATAGGTAAAGATTTACTAGTGCCACTTTGTTCATTATTTTATCATTTTGTAGAGCCTTTCTTCCAATAATTCTGTCTTCCCTTTGTGGTTTGATGGTTTTCTATAGCAGTATGACTTCCATCCTTTTATCTTTTGTGTATCCACTAAAGGTGGTCACCTTGAGGCTTACATAAAAAGCCAGTCATATACTTACAACTGGCTATTTTATGCTTACAAAAACTAAACTTTCATTGCATGCATAAACCCTACACTTTTACTCACCCTTCATGTTTTATCTTTTTGATGTTACATTTTATATCTTTTTATAATTTGTGTCCCTTCACAAACTATTGTAGCTGCCATTGTTTCAACAGTTTTGTATTTCAACCTTTATACTAGAGATATCATTGATTTACACACTGGCATCACATAATTAAAATGTTTGAATTAGACAGTGTACTTACTTTTATCAGTGAGTTTTCTGCTTTCATGTTCTCATGGTACTAATTATCACTGTCCTTTAGCTTGAAGAACTTTCTTTAGAGAACTCTCAAGAAAGAAGTTCAAGAAAGTAGAACTCTACTTGTAAGTCAGGTCTAGCAGTGCTGAATTCCCTTAGCCATCATTTGTCTGAGAAAGTTGTTATCTCCTTTTCATTTTTGAAAGACAAAATTGCTGGGCATAGTACTATGGTTGGCAGGTCTTTTTTCTCAGAGGATTTTGAATCCCACTAACTCTGGCATGCAAGGTTTCTCATGAAAAATCTGATGATAGTCTTGTGGGGGACCCTTGTATTTAACATGTTGCTTTTTCATTGTTGCTTTTTAAAAAATACTCTGTCTTTAATTTTTGACAAATTGATTATAACATGTCTTAATAAGGATCTCTTTGGATGGATAGTATTCGGTGTCCTTTGAATTTTCTAGATCTGGAGTTCTATTTCCCCAGGCTTGAGTAGTTTTCTGCCTTTACATCTTTGAAAGTGTTTTCTCTCACTTTTTCTTTCTTCTCCTTCAGGTATTTTTTGAATTTATCTTGTTTCTCTATTTGGAACATACTTCCCCATTTCTTCATTTGCCTTTACCCTCTGTGTTGTTTTCTGCACATTAGATAACCTAATAGCTTCTCCCAATCTTGTTTAGTGTAGAAGAACCTAACCAGTCAGTCTGGCCAGAAATTCTAGGGTACCTCTCAAACCTTTGTGTTTGTCCAAACTGCTGCCTTTGTTTTTTGTTGTCTCCAGGAAATTAGGATGTGCCAAGTTCCGTTAGTACCTCAAAAGTCTGGCCAGAAATTCTAGGGTACCTCTCAAACCTTTGTGTTTGTCCAAACTGCTGCCTTTGTTTTTTGTTGTCTCCAGGAAATTAGGATGTGCCAAGTTCCGTTAGTACCTCAAAACATTTGAGAGAGAAGTCATTCCCCCTAGACACAGCTAGAAAGGTTGAAGTGTTAAGTGTGTTCCAGTTCCTTCTATCCTCGTGGTGAAGCTGACAGTAGGATTCTCTCTGCACTACGCTGAAGAGAGGAATTCTAGCAAACGTCTATATTTTAGATCAGACTGCATTATCTCATCTTGGGGGAAAAAAGTGGGCCCACTGAATGCCCATTTATTTGTTTTCAGTGGTCTAGAGACTCAGAAATTCAGTGTCCCATCAATTCCCAGAACTATAAGGTTAAGGCGGCTATCCCTTGGGAGGGAGCAGTGGCAGCTGTGATCAATCCATGAATAAACTCCTTCCAAGGATAATCTACAGAGATAATCTGCTCTAGCTTTATTGCTGGAGCAAGCCAGATGAAAAAACTCAGGAAACGCTGGAACTCACAGTCAGTATCCCAGGGTTCTGCTGTTTCTTTGCCCATTGGCTACTAGATGCAGCCTAGAGAGGAGCCCAATCCTCAAACAATGGCTAGAGAAGTATACAGACAAACCCCTTCCAGAAATTAACTGGGGAGTGTGCTTTTTAACTGCTTATCTGCATTGATCCAGGGGGCTGTAGTCCCTGGAAATGTCTGTGTGTTTAAAACCACCTCTTTGTTCTCTGTCACTGCAATTCATATTTTCTAAGATTTATATACAGTATCTACTACTGCATGTAATTATTTTGAGATTCATTCACGTTGTTACACGCATCAATAGTTTATTCATTTTTATTGGTGAGTTAAGTATTCAATTATATGGATATACCACAGTGTGTTTATCCATATTTCTGTTGATGAAAGTTTGAGTTGCTTCAAGTTTTTTGCTATTACAAATAAAGCTGCTATACACATTAATAAAACAAACAAAGCAAAATGAAACAACAACCCCTGCAAAAAAATAAAAAAATAAAAAAAAACCAGAGCTATATTAACAGAGGGGCAAGTACTGCTCACCAAATCCTGCCCACTATTTATATATTGTTTATATGGGTTAAAATAATAATATTTTATGGCATGTGAAAAATTATATAAAATTCAATTTTCAGTGTCCATTAACAAAGTTTTATTGGAATGCAAATTATAGCTGCATTTCTGCTACAACAGCAGAGCCAACTAGTTATATCAGAAACCATAAGCCTGAAAAGACAATGTCCCTTTATAGAAAAACCTGGCAAACATTTATTATAGATAATTGGATTAGGTGAGCACTAATCAGAAATTATTTTAAAATCAGGTACCATTCAGAATTTGACCTTAACTTGGCTCAAGGAGAAATGAAAAGACCTTACATAAAGAGGCAATAACTAAACAACATTTATATTCAGGAGCTATTAAAACGCTAGAAAATGGTATATATCACAAATAAATATTTACCTGAACCATTAGGCTCAGCCATTTCATAACAGTGTTATTTCTAAAATGGATTCAACTAAGTGCACGATCACTATCTTGGATACAAATAAGGTTATTTCTTGTTTTTTGATGTATGAAGATTGTATGAGTAATAAAAAATAATTGTGTAGCAGAATACCAATACAAAAAAAGTTTTCATAGTACTCACCTTTGGAAGGGCAGGCTTGGATTTGAAATTTTTGTTTCTCCTATAGAGATAAATCATTCATTAAAAAAAGCTACTGTATAAAAACAAAAACAAAAGCTACTGTAGAGAAGAAAGATTTCAAGGTCTCTCCTAAAACAACAGATTATATACCCATTACCAAGACTGTAGGTTCTTTATATGAAAACACTATCTGATTCAGCCAAGCAGGCACCTTGGGAAGGAAGAATAAACAAGGAAAAGATACCTGCCTTGTTATATAAGTATAAACAGATTTACACCTGATGATTAGTAACACTGTGTTGTACATTCTAAGCCACAGGTTCATTTTCTTCAGTTGTTAGTAGTTTCTTGTACCTACAGAAGACTTATTTCTATCATATCAAAACTAAATGAGATGTCTAAGTTTCATAAATTTTAAAAAAACGTACTTATCACCAAAACGTAATCTTCCATTTTTGGTAATTAAAAATTCTATTCCACTCATTTTTTTCCTTATTCAAACCTCAATACCATACTTAAATCAAGTCTTTTTAATTTATTTTTAGCCTTTTTTATGGCCACAGAAAAGAAGGAATAAAGTCCAACGCTTATGAATATGGGCTGGGAAGTTAGAAAGACCTGGACAACAATCTATGGTCTACCATCTATTAAGGTATGATTTTAACCTCTTTAACTTTTCATTATGTAATAATGTAAAACAGGGAGGACAATACTACCTATAACTTAAAAGTTGTTGTGAGGATTAAATGAGTTAATGTATATCTCTGGGCTAGAGCAAGACCTACATAAATAGAACCTACTAATATTATTAAGCAGTGATTCAGACAAGGATTATGGAATCCAATTCAGTCACACCTCTAGCTAGCGGTCAAACGATATGCTTGGGAAATATCTAAAACATGTTAATGCTAATAACTAATAACTTTTTTTCCTTTTTTTTTTTTTCTCAGAGACAGGATGTTAATCGGTTGCCCAGGCTGAAGTGCAATGGCAAGATCATGACTCATTGCAGCCTCAACTTCCTTGGCTCAACTGATCCTCCTACCTCAGTCTCCTGAGTAGCTGGAACTACATGCATGCACTACCACACCTGGCTAATTTTTTTTCTTTTCTTTTCTTTTTTTTTTTTTTTTTTTTTTTTTGGAGAGATGGGGTCTCTATGAAGCATGGTAGAGAATGGTTATAGCTATGTCTTCAAACCAACTCTGTAATCAGTTAATGAGAAATGGAAAGCTTGGATAAGTGTTATATATCACTCAACCATTCACCATTTATAGATTTTCTTGCCTAATTTGTTAAGATTGCTAGAATTAATGGATAATTATAGTAAAAATTGGGAATCCTAAAAGGAGCTAACAGTTTTTTCTTTCTCTGAAGGTAGGGCCTGTCTAAACAATAAGACCTTTATTATCATCTCCATAACAAATATACTCAGTCATGATTCTCCTGGTAATATGGGGGAGAAAAATCAACAAAAACACAAGCTTTATAACACATGAGATTCATGGCTGTAAACGCTACCTAAATAACTTTGAGTCTTGTTTCAGTCAAAATTCTTCCCATGAAAATAACATTTCACCATCTTCCTTCTTCATTTTTTTCTGCCAGAAATTTTAAACCAGACAAAAAACAAAAAACAAAAAACAATTTACATTACTGATTAGTACTGACGTGAGAATTCCATGGGCTCTCTCCAGGAGTTTGCTGCTAGTTGAATTAGCAAATATTCCATCTTTATCAAGCAAGGAGGTGCCACTTGATAGTCTGCTCTGGCGAATCCCAGTTCTGCCATTCCAGGCAATATCAAATGTATCACTGTAAAAAATATAATTTGCTTTAGTTAATGAAGACGTCTCTAACACTATACTGCTTAAATAAGTAAAATAAAACTTTAAATACTAAAGTTAAAATTTAGAAAAAAATGCTAAACCAACCAAAAACTGATTTCATCCAAATGACTGCCAATCAGTTGGGACTAACCGTTGTCTCATTCAGAACAAATTCCTATGAATTCCATCATATTCACATACAAACGTGCATGTAGATGAGCATATCATGTAGCTGATATCTTTAAATATATTATCATTCAACAACTAGTAACTAATAAAATGGATTATAGTATCTTCCCTCTTTGTTAGATTTTAGAATTTTCAAATGCTACTATAGGAATTTGTCATCCTAATACACTATCCCATCCTATGGAATATCTAATTTCCTCCTGAAAGGTCTTATTTACACACACACACACACACACACACACACTCACTACTCACACACCCATTAAACTAAGTCCTATGAGACTCTAAACATTGCAGATATAGCAATGAACAAAACATAACACTATCACAGTGATTGTAACATCATAATTAATGGAGGACTCACCAGGTAAAGTAGTAGTATCCAACAACAAATGAATGGATAAAGAAAATGTGGTATATACATACAATGGAATGCTATTCAGTCATTAAAAAAAGAATAAAATCCTATCATTTGGACAACATGGACAAACATAGAGTACATTATGTTAACTGAAATAAGCCAGACACAGAAAGACAAATACTGCATGACCCCACTCGTATGTGGAATCTAAATAAGCTGCTCTCACAGAAGTACTGAATAGAGCAGTGATTACCAGAGACTGGAAAAGGTAATGAGGTGGAGGGGTGCAGTAAGCAGAGAGGTTGGTCAATGGGTACGAAGTTACAGTAAGACAACAGGAATAAATTGTGGTCCTCTATTGCACAATGAAGTGATTATAGTTAACAATAAGGTATTGTATACCTGAAAACAGCTAGAAGACAGAATTTTGAAAGAGAAATGTTCCCACCACAAAAAAATGACACATATTTGAGACGACGAATATGGTAATTATTTTAATTTGATCATTACACAATGTATACAGGTATCAAAACATCACACTGTACCTGATAATATGTATAATTATTATGAGTGAACTAAAAATTTTTTAAAAGAAGTATCAGGAGATAGCTACTTACAACAATTTCACATTTGTCCATATTTATAAATCTCAGCTTCCATTTGCTTAGAGCATTTATTCAAGATATATAAATGGCATGTAATCAATAAACCATTTAGAAACGCTTGTATTTTCATTATTTTGTGCTAAACCATTAAAAAAAAGTCAGTGAATCATCATCCCTAAGATAATGTGTCTTCCCAAATGGGAGAATCATACTGCACTTAAGATGGTTTGTGTGTGCACTTATATTTTTCTCATTTACAAAAATGAGTGGTACTCTGGCTTTAGAAAAAAAAAAAAGAAAACAAAAGGAGAGAGAGAGGAGAGAGTGAGAGGAAGGAAGGAAGCAAGTGAGGGAAGAAGGAAAGCAGGAAGGAAGGAAAAACGAAGGGAGGGAGGGAGGGAGAGGGAGGAAAAAATGCAGTAGGAAAATACATTCCTGGTGAAGATACTGTGAAAAGTGTTGAAATGACAACATATTCTGCAGTAGGGACTGTGAGGAAAAAATTCTTTTAAAAAAAGAAAACAGAGGATTCAAAGCATTATAGAAATTGAGTTGATAAAGCAGTGGCAGGGTTTGAGAGGATTGACTCCAATTCTGGAGTTCTACTGTGGATAAAAGGCTATCAAACAGCATTGGATGCTACAGGGAAATCTTTCCTGTAAGGAAGAGGCAACTGATGTGCAAATTTCATTGTCTTATTTTAAGAAATTGCCATAGCCACTCCAATTTTCAGCATCCACCACCTTAAACAGTCAGCAGCCATCAACATCAAGGAAAGACCCTCTACCAGCAAAAAGATTATGACTCACTGAAGGCTCAGATGATTGTTATTTTTTTTAGCAACAAAGTATTTTTTAATTAAGGTGTGTATGTATTTTTTAAACATAATACTATTGCACAATTGACAGACTACAGTATAGTGTAAACATAACTTTTATATGCACTGGGAAACCGAAAAATTTGTGTGATTTGTTTTACTGAGAATTCGTTTTATTGTGGTGGTCTGGAACTGAACCAGAAACCCATATAGATCACTTCAGGTATCCAAAATGGAAAGTACAAAGAAAGAAGCACAAACTAGAAATTAGGAAACTTAAAACCACTAAACTGCTTTGTGAAATGAGGCATATTGCGGTTTCTTTTTTATATAATCAAGAAAATTGGGTTCCCATCTGATGACCAGGGTGAGAATACTGCCAACAGATGAAACTGAAGGTACACAGGTCAAGGTTAACTATCTAATTTGTGTTCGGGTAAAATTTAACATGCAAATATGGTGGTAGATACCATAGTTAGCCAAATACTACTGTTAAGAAAACAAAGGACATACAATATAAAGATAGCAAATAGCTTAATTTGTGGCATTCAAAGTGAATATATTTGTGGCTAGATACTTGGGCTGTGACAGATCTTGCATATGAAGTTAGTGAACCTAGACTTTTAAATAAGCAATAAAGAGTCATGAAAAAGTTACTGAGCAGACAAGTGACAATTATGTATTAGAAAGACACGGTGACTCAATTGGAAAAAATGATCAATGAAGTTATACCTTCATTTTAATGACAGACCATCCTTATTACCACAGTATTAGGAAGCTCAATTTTTTGATGATGTTTAAAACATACAGAATACATTCTAGAAACAATGTTCTCCTCATACAAATTACAATCTTTATTAAATAGTATATATAAAAAACAAAATTTTATGAACTCATAAAATTATTTATATTTGTTACTGTCAAATTGTTCTCAGGAATTCATCATTGAAAATAGTAAAAGGTAAGCTTTGGTAATCGCACTCACCCAAAAAAGGTATTGGATGGTTTGATGTAAATCAAACTATTCAATTATTACTTCCCAATAAGATTTCTCCACAGAAAGCAGCGGAATAACCCTTAAATTTTGTAAAAGACATAAAATGCAAGAAGGGTCTCAGCAATTAAAATATATGAGCTCATTTTAAGTTATTCTGAAGAAACTTTTTCAAAATTGTAAAGCCATTTTACCAGAAGCAACTGTAGACAAATCTTGTTAACTTTAACCTATTAATGTGTTATTACATCACTTATAAAGGATTCAAGAAATAAAAAAACAAAACAAGCCTGAATTACTTCAAACTTTTAAAGTCACAAAAATATCAATAAGAATGTTAGTTATTTCTTCTATACGTCCTTGAAAACATAAACCAAACACACTTACTGTTGGTTTTTTTCATTTAGAGCATTCATGCCCTGGAGATCAGAAAGAGGTGTTCTGGGATTTTTCCGGGTTATACCTAGCAAAATTTAAAAAACAGAAAATTTCAAATCAGTGCAAAGAAAAATGAAACGTGAAATAGTTTTTCTAAAGACAAACGAAAATTTAATCACGAGTATTTGCTAAATATTTCAGAAATATCTAAATAATTACATGACCCAAGTCTCATAACTGTCATAGATCTTAGTTAACAATGAACCCAATTAGAAAATTTAATAATGAAATATTTTCTTCTTTCATTGAATCATTAACTTCAGAAAATACAAGGGTGACTGGACTGAAGGCCTAGAAGTGTACAAGTTCATTTTTATTTTTAGGTTCAGGGGGTACACATGAAGGTTTGTTACAAAGGTAAACTCATGTAACGGGGGTTTGTTGTGCAGATTATTTCACCCAGGTACTAAGCCCAGTACTCAATAGCTATTTTTTCTGCTCCTCTCCCTCCTCCCAACCTCCATCTTCAACTAGACCTCACTGTCTGTTGTTTCCTTCGTGTTCATAAGTTTTTATCATTTAGCTCCCACTTATAAGTGAGAATATGCAGTATTTGGTTTTCTGTTCCTGCATTTAGTTTGCTAAGGACAATAGCCTCCAGCTCCATCCATGTTCCCACAAAAGACATGATCTTGTTCTTTTTATGACTGCACAAATTCATTTCTTATTTTGATGCATCATTTTTTAGCCATACATTTCTGACATGTTCAGATAAATACAATGAGTATCAATGTATTGAGAATTAATGTTATAAATACGATGAATATAAAAGAAATTGCTTCCTTAAGAATTACTAATATTTAAAAAATGTAATGTTCTTCAAATCATATGATAAACATGTAAGTTCCGTAAGCATAAGGCTATCAATTTTTATAACACACAAACATGTAATATATGTAAGATACACTGGAAAAAGGAAGTAAAAGTATCTCTACTCAAGATGACAATCTTGTAGGCAGAAAATCCTATGGAATAATTTAAAAAAACTGATTCGACTAATAAACGAGTTCTGCAAAACTACAAGAAACAAATAAATATACAGTGGTGGCCAGGTGTAGTCACAGATGCCTGTAATCCCAGCACTTTGGGAGGCCAAGGCAGGCAGATCACTTGAGCTTTGTAGTTCAAGACAAGCTGGGCAACTTAGACTTCATCTATACTAAAAATAAAAAATACATGTAAGTGCTTAGAAGAGTGCTTGGCACATAGTCAACACTATATCCACATGAAGTGATTGTTATCTTTCTGTATGAATGAGGGAAACTGAAAACCCACAGAAGACTCTTTGTGCTGTTTAAATCATGCAAATGGGCCAGGCACAGTGGCCCATGCTGGTAATCCCAACAGTTTGGGAGGCCAAGACAGGCAGATTACTTGAGCCCGAGAGTTCAGGACAAGCCTGGGCAACATGCTGAAACCCCACCTCTATAAAAAATACAAAAATTAGCTGAGTGTAGTGGCTCACACCTATAGTCCCAGCTTGAGAGTCTGATGTGGGAGAACTGCTTGGGCCCCAGAGGTCGAGGCTGCAGTGAGCTGAGGTCGTGCCACTGCATTCTAGCCTGGGTGACAGAGTGAGACCCTGTCTTGGAGCGGGGACGGGGTTGGGGGAGGAGGGGCGGAAATAGCAATAAATATTCTGAAATGAAATTTTTAAAAGTATAAAATGTCTACATTGAAAACTATAAAACATCATTAAAAGAAAATAAAGACTCAACTAAATGGAATACTATCTATGTGCCTGAATTGGAAAATATAATATTGTTAAGATGTCAATGTTCCCCAAACTGACCTACAGATCAATGCATTTTCTATTAAAATTCCAGATAATTATTTTTGTAGAAATGAATGAGCCAATCCTAAAATTAACATGGAAATACAAGGGATCCACAAGAGCTGAAAACAATCTTGCAAACAATCTTCAAGGAGGATGGCTTGAGTCCAAGAGTTCAAGGCTACAGTGAGTTATGACTACGCCATCTCACCCCAGCCTGGATGACAGAGGAAGACTCCATCTCAAAGAAGAAGGAAGAAGAAAGAAGAGACAGAAGAAAGGAGGAGGGGGAGGAGGAGTAAATTTCTAGACAATAGATTAGGCAATGGTTACCATTTTTACATCAATTATTAAGTATTTTAAACATAAAAGTGGCCTAAAGAATAATATACTAAACACTTATGATGGATCACTCAGATTAAAAAATGAAGCCCTGTGTAGCTCACTCCCTGATCCCATTTAAAAATCATCAGATCTGGTCAGGTGCAGTGGCTCCCACCTGTAATCCTAGCACTTTAGGAGGCCAAGGTGGGCACATCACCTGAGGTCAGGAGTTCGAGGCCAGCCTGGCTAACACGGTAAAACCCCATCTCTACAAAAATACAAAAATTAGCCCGGCATGGTGGCACACACTTGTAATCCCAACTACTCAGGAGGCTGAGGGAGGAGAATCGCTCAAACCCAGAAGGCAGAGGTTGCAGTGAGCCAAGATCGCGCCATTGCACTCCAGCCTGGATGACAGGGCAAGACTCCATCTCAAAAACAACAACAACAACAACAACAAACCCATCAGATCCCAAGATTGCCCATTTGTTCGAATTAGCAAAAAAAGCATTTTAAAATAGCTATCTTGAGATGGTATCAAATATTCTAACAACATTTGTAACTGGAGTTTCAGAAGGAAAAAAGAAATTGTAGCAGAAAAAATTTTTGAAAAATATTGGCCAAAAATTTTCTAAATTTGATGAAAAACAATGAAAGTCCAAAAGGTACAGCAAATCCCAAAGAAAATTAATATAAATCATATTTAGGGACATGAGAATCAAATTGCTGAATGCCAAATATGAAGAGAAAATTTTAAAGTCAAAGGAAAAAAAGGTACACGACATATGAAGGAATGACAATGGGATGACAATCTGAGTAATCATCACAAATAAAGCCCTAAGAACATGGAACATCTTTAAAATGCCAAAAATTTGATAGTTTGTAATGATGTTAAACATATGCCTACTTCATGAAGTAACTCCACTCATAAGTATTTACTGAGGAATAAAAATATATGTCTGCAAAATGACTCAAAAAAGAATGTTTATAGCACTGTTGTTCACAATAGCTCTAACAATATATATAATTCTTAACTACACCAACAAATCAATAAGCACAATTATATACATTATATATAATCATATAAATTAAATACAATGTGTGTATATACATATACAATGGAACACACCTGAGCAACAAATGATATATGGAAAAATATGTATGAATACATGCATAACTATGTTGCATAACACAATCAGAACACAAAATACATACTATGTAATCCCACTTGCGTAAAATTTTTAGAAAATGTAAAACTGACTTATAGTAATAAATCTGTGGTTACCTAAAGGAGGTGGGAAAATGTACAAGAGAATAAGGATAAATTTTGATATAACTCTTTCCTAATATTCTTAATTTCTTTGTGTTTATATGCTTTAGGTTTGTCTCTTGTAAGCATTCTACAGCTAAATTTTGCTCATCTTCCTTAATCCATAATGTTTTTTAAACTGTTCAGTTTAGTCCATTTTAACTTACTGCTATAATTGATACATCTGGAATTTTTTTCTGACATCTTAGTTTATATTTTTTTATTTACCTTAACTATTATATGCTTTCATCCAGGCTTCTATTGTTTTCTTTGTACTTTGACTTCTTTTGTTCCACAAATTGTATACTTTCTGCTTTATTTATCCTTAAATGTTTAACATACTCATGAATTCTAAACTAATAATCTGTTCTCTTTCTCTAAAGAGTACAAGAACCTTCAAATGTTTTAATTAAAGTCATCCCCTTCTCATTAGGGATGTTATTGCTACCCAATACTTACATTCACCTTGTTTCTTTTCCTTCATCAAGCAAATTAGGTATAAGTTTTATAAAATTGTTGCTTATTTAGCTTTATATATACATTTACCAAGTTCTTTATTAAATATCAAAACTTTCTAGTGGGTTCAGCTTCTATCTTGCTCAACTAAATTTTTAAAATCTATATAGGTGAGCATCTGTTCAGATTACTATCTAGCTTTAATAATTGCTATCATTCATATTTGCCTGGTACATCACTGTCCATCCTTTTATTTTCACCTCTTTAATTAAAAATCATGTAGCTATCACTTAAACTACTGAAAAATTCATTGAGAGTTTAACTGGTGAGTGTAAACCATTTATATTAATTTTAAATAATACTTGTTTCTGGCATTTCATTTCATGTTTTTCATTTATTTCACTCTTTCATTTTTTTCCTTCTTGATTTTCACTTTATAAGGTCTCTTATGCTACCTTAAAAGATAAAAATTGTTATTACTGTGGTTGTCCTTAAGGTACACGTTCAATTTATTTAATTATACTGATTTCCTAAACTTGAAAAGATTATGTTAATTCAAGAGCAGTAGAGCTCCCCGCTTTCCCTTCAGTTTTCACCAAAATGCATGCCAGTATCTTCTATATTTGTCTCTGTATACCATCTGCAAGCAGTAATTCTGATCATATACAATTTTTTATTTTGGATATTCTTAGTTTCATGAAAAATAATCTCTTCTAGGCATTTACTTGTAACTTGTATCAGGCTTCATAACATGTAATTAAACATTTTTATTGGAATAAAAATTTCAAAGTTAAACATATATATGTTAAATGTACAGTTAAATAAGTTTTGCTAAATGCATTCACCACACTAATAACCACCAAAGAAAGATACAAAACATTTCCATCATCACCAAAGTTGCCTTATGCCCCTTCTTGGACAATCTCCCACACTTACTTATGGGTAAAGACAATCACTAACTTGCTCTCCACACAGATTGGCTTGTATTGACTAGAACTTTATACAGATGGAATAAAACAGTATGCTTTGAGGATAGGCCTTCCCTTAGCATACCACTTTAGAGATTCATACGTAAAAGTCTTTTGTGAATATATACTTTCATTTCTTAGGTAAATAACTGAGATTTGAATTCATGAAACATATGGGAAAAATACGCTTATCTTTATAAAACTGACAAACTGTTTTCGGAAATAACTGTACCATTTGACAGTGCCAAGAGACAGTAGGAGAGCTCCAGTTGCTCCACATCCTTATCAGTTCGTATTTCAACTTCTTACATTTTAGCCACTATAGACGTATTAGTGACCTTAGTCAGATTACAATTTGCCTTTCCATAATGAAAAAGTTGAACATCTTTCATGAGAACACAGATAAATCTTCTTTTGTGGAAGTGTATGTTCAAATCTTTTGCCCATTTAAAAACTGGCCTGTTTATCTTATTATTGTAGGAGTTTTTATATTTTGTTTTCAAGTCCATTATCAGGTATGAATATTACAAATTGTAATAAATACTGTTTCCCAGGCTGTGGTATGTTTTTTGTTTTCTTAATAGCAGTTAAGAAAAGTAGTTTTCAAATTGGCTAACTTTACCAATTTGTTAATTTTTTCCTTTTATATTCATGCTCTTATGTCTCATCTAAGAAACTTTTGCCTGTCACAAGATTACAAAAATTTGTTTCTCAGGTTTTCTTCTATTTTAAGACAAATTTAATAGTTTTGGTCCTTACATAGAGCTGTATGACACATTTCAAAATTAACTTACATGTATGATATAAGGGTCAAAGTTCTCTTATACCTTATGGATATCCAGTTGTTCTAGTGCTATTTGTTTAAAAGACTATCCCTTACCCCCACTAAATTATCTTGGTGCCTTAACAGAAAATCAACTGACTGTGTATGTGTAGATCTACTTCTGTACTTTGTATTTGGTTCATTAATCCATTGATCCTTAACACCAATAGAACAATGTCATGAATATTTTAGTCTTAAAATCATATAATGTAAATTATCCAGCTTTGTTCTGTTTAAAAATTGTTTTGGACAGTCTGGGTATTCTACATTTCTCTATAAAGTTTAGATTCAGCTTGTTAATTTCTACCAAAAAATCTGCTATTATACTTATTGGGTTGAATTCAATCTATAGATCAATCTGAGAGAGAGCTGCATCTCAAAAATACAAACATAAATATGTATCTCTCTTCATTGTATTCTTCAGTTTCTCCTAGTAGTGCACAACTCTTAAACATATTTGTTAAATTTATCCCCAAGTATTTCATGTTTCTGTTAATTATCCACTGCATATTAAATTACTCCAAAATCCAACACTTTAAAACAAGTTATCATCTCATATAGTTTTTAGAGGAACAACAATTCAGGAGTGGCTTAGCTGGGTGGTTCTGACTCAACATGTCTCAAGAGGTTGTATTCAAGCTATCAGCCAAGGCTGCAGTCATCTCAACATTGGAATGAAGGATCCACTTCTAAGGTCACTCACATAGTTGGTGACAAGCCTCAGTTCATACTGAGTTTTGGCTACTCACAAATAGCATCTTGTCTCTCCAAGAGACAGTGATTTCAGAGAGGCCTAGCAAGTAAAGCAGTACCCCAGAAGGAAATTGCAGTCTTTTACAGAAATCGTAAAAGTGACATACCATCATTTTTGCCATGTGCTTTCTGTTACACAGACCAACTCTTGTAAAATATAGGAGAGGACTATAAAAGCTTGTGACATCTAGGAGGCTGGCTGCCATAGATGTACAGTACATGGAATTTGTAAATCATTTTCTTAGTGCTCATGGCTAGGATATTACAATTTTCTATAATTACTTGGTATCCCGTAAAAATGTTAAACTCACTTTTTAGTTTTAAGAGCACTTTTCCTTAAATAGGAAGTGTGATTCCTTCACACTTCCTATATTAATGAATTTGTTGACTACTTCTTTTCAATCTATGTACAATTTCTTTTTGTTGCCTTTTTGCACCACCTGTGACCTTTAGCAAATGTCAAATTTAAGTGGCAAAAGATGTCTTTGCCTTGTTCTTAATGTTAGGGAAAAAGTATTCAATCTTTCACTAATAACTATGGAGTTTGCTGTAGGATTTTCATGCATATTCTTCATAAAGTAGAGGAAGTTGGTCTCTATTCCTAGGCTACTAAAAGTTTTAAAATAGAATGAGCGTGGTATTAAGACAAACTTTTTCTCCATCTACTGAGACAATCATATGTGGCTTTCTTTTTATATGGTTAACATGGTCAAGCCAACCTTTCTCATCCCTGGAATAAATTCCATGTGGTCTTCATGTATTATTCTTCATGTATTATCTTTAATATATTGCTGAATTCAGCCAGCTATTATTATTTCTATATCCACCATTACAAAGTTATATTGGTCTATAGTTTTCTTATAATGGTTTTGGTAACAGAATAATAACACTGGCCTCATGAAATGATTTGGATAGTGTTCCCTTCTCCTGTTTTTTGAAAGAGTTGAAGAGAATTGGTATAATAGTCATTTCTTAAATAAAATTACTAATGAGCCTATCTTGGCCTAAACTTCGTGTGGGGGGAAAATTTTAGTTAAGAATTCAATATTGTAAAAAGATACCGCACTATTCATATTTTCTATATTTTCTTGGGTTGATTTTAATAACCGTTGACGTTCAAGGAATTTTTCCATTTCACGTAAGTTGAACTGATTGCCATAAATGTTCATAATCTCTTTGTCAAACTTTTGATTTCTGTAGCATATATAATTGTGTCCACTCTTTCATTCTAGGTAATAGCTTTGTGTCTTCTCTCACTTTTCTAGATCAGAATAGCTATAACTGCACTATCCAATACAGTAGCCACTAGCTATATGTGGCTATACAAACACATTAAACAAAATTAGAACTTCAGTTTCAGCTGCACCAGACACAGTTCAGGTGCTTAACAGCCACATGTGGCTAGTGGCTACAGTACTGACAGTGTAGCTGGAGAACATTTCCACATCGCAGAAAGTTCTACTGCACCATGCTGGCCTAGAGATTTATCAACTTCATTGTTCTTTTCAAAAAACCAGCTTTAGGCCGGATGTAGTGGCTCACATCTGTAATCCTAGTACTTTGGGAGGCCAAAGCAGGAGGATTGCTTGAAGCCAGGAGTTTGAGACCAGCCTGGACAACATAGTAAGACTCCATCTCCACAAATAAAATTTTAAAAATTAGCAGGGCATGGTGGCATGCACCTGTAGACCTAGCTACTTGAGAGACTGGGGTGGGAGGATCACTTGAGCCAAGGAGGTCAAGGCTGCAATAAGCCATGATTGTGCCATTGCACTCCAGTCTGGGTGACAGAACGAGCTCCTATCTCTAAAATATGAAACAAAACAAAGTAAAATGGTGGCATGCACCTGTAGTCCGAGGTGCTTGGGAGGCTAAGGCATGAGAATCACTTGAACCCGGGAGGTGGAGGTTGCAGTGAGCCAAGATCATGCCACTGCACTCCAGCCTGTGTGACAAGCCAGACTCCATCTCAGGAAAAAAAAAAAAAAAAAGTTTTATTTACTTTACTTCCTTTTACTTATTTGGAGTCTAATATGCTCTTTTCTTCCTAGCTTAAGGTGAAAGCCTCAATCACTGATTATTTTACCTTACTTTTCTAATTTAAGAATTTAAAGCTGTAAGTTTTCTCCTAAGTACTTCTTTATTTATATTCCCTAAGTTGTAATATGTTGTTTCCATCATCTTTCAGATCAAAAAACTTCCAAGTTACCCTTATGAAATTTTTTCAACTCATTAGTTACATATACATTTTATTTTTCAAATATGTGAGGGTTTCCCAGATATATCTGTTAATTGATTTGCATTTAATTCCATTTTGATCAGACAATCCACTAAACTTTCAATCATCTGAATGACCATCCTGATACCTGAGGTTAGGGACATTAAAGTAGGCACTGTCAGCATGGTGAGGGTAATTTAGGTGGAGTAAGCCCTCAGCCCTTCCCTGGCAATTGCTGATCCTTCATCTTGCTGATGCACATCATATTCTCAATCATCCCAAACAGGACTGAAGGCCAAAAGAATGGGTTCAAATTAAAGTTAGATTCTTCTTTTCTACCCCTGCTCTCCTTCTGCCATCTGATTCCTTCTTTCTAGGGCTCCTGTCATTTCTGGAAGTGAGCTGTAGCTCATGCTCCCCAAAACTTCAATTTTTCCTCACTCCTCTAATTTCCTCCCTGAGAAATTTCAGAGAAGAGCCACTTTGGAGAGAAGGCGAGAGCACCAGAAAGAAAGAGAAGGAGGAAAGGCCACAATACCTTTATGTCTTAATATTGAAGGTCACACACTGTAACTTCTGCCACATTCCATTTCTTGGAAGCAAGTCACTAAGTACAGGACATGCCTTATGAAGGGGGCAGTATCAATTTGTGGACATATTTTAAACCACCAAAATAATGTCAGATTTTTTACTTTAAACAGTCATTTTTTTAATTAAGAGAAGCCAAGAAAATATGTGTAGTCATTTATATTTTTATACATATTTATTAGTTCTGCCTTCTTTATTCCTTCCAGTAATTCATGCATGTATCAGCAAACTAGAGTCCATGGCCTAAACCAAACCCACTGCCTGTTTTTTGTATGACCTATGACCTATGAATGGCTTATATAGTTTTTAACTGAGGAGAAAAAGGAGAACATTTTTGTACCATGTGAAAATTGTTTGAAATTTAAGTATCAGTGTCCATAATAAAGCTTTATTGGAACACAGCTAAACTCATTTATTTATGTATTGTCTATGGCTCCCTTCACAGAAGAGATGAGTAGCTGCAACAGAAACCATACTGGCCTACAAAGCCTAAAATGTTTGCTGTCTGCTTTTTGCAGAAAAAATTTGCCAACCCCTACTATAGACCCAAGTTACGATCATGGGGTGATTTCCCTCGAGCCTGAAGAATTTCTATTATCATTTTCCATATAATACATATGTTGACAAATTCCCAGACTCTGTTAGTCTGAAAATGTATTTCACCTTCATTTTTGAAGGATACTTTTGCTACATGATAACAGGACATTGTGGATAACACATCATAGCAACAGTGGATACTGTTAGGTTCTTCTGAAGATTGTTAATTTTTCTTCTGTCAGTTAATCTGTCTGGACTCAAACTGCAAATACAGAAATTCTGGTTCAAATTTTTTTTGTGAGGGGGGGGGATGTGACATATTAAACATGATTTTTTGACACCTTTTGGCCTCCATTATTTTTACTGAGAAGTCAAGTGTTAATTATCTCATTATTCCCCTGTATTTAATATGTGTATCTTTTCCAGGCTGCTTTCAAGATTTTCTCTTTATCTTTGACATTTTAGCAGTTTATCTATAATGTGCCTAGGTGTAGTTTTCCTTCGTATTTACCCTGCTTTGTGGTCACTGATCTTCCTGGATCTGTAAGCTAGTGTTTGTTTGTTTGTTTTGAGACAGTCTTGCTCTGTTGCCTAGGCTGGAGTGCAGTGGTGTGATCTCAACTCACTGCAACCTCTGCCTCCCAGGTTCAAGCAATTCTTGTGCTTCAGCCACACGAGGAGGCTGGGATTACAGGCGTGCACCACCACACCTGGCTAAATTTTGTATTTTTAGTAGAGACAGGGTTTCACTATGCTGGGTGTTTTTTTGTTTTTTTTTTTTTTAACCAAATAAGGGATGTTTTCTGCCACTGTCTTCAAATAATTTTCGACCCCTTTATCTCTCATTTCCTATGGGACTCCAATTAAGGCAGAAAGACTTCAGTTTTTCCCACACAAGCTAAGCACAGGCAGAAAATTTCCTCAGTTTTTCTAAAAAGCAGCAAACTTGCATAGCTCAGCTATTATAGTTATGTCTTTCAAGGATTATCTCTTATTTGATTTCCACTTTTTTTTTTTTTTTTAATACGGTTCCTGGGGTCTTCCCTGCATACTCACAGCAGTCGCCAGGGATATGGGCAGAGTTCATACTTTAATTTGGGTTTTAGCCCTTTAGCAGCTCTCTCAGTCCCAGGATTTTCCTCCTAAACCCCAAGCTGCTCTGAAAGTCTTCTAACATAATAAGCCAGTATGGTGGTGGTGGTGGTGGTTTTCTATCTCTGAAACTATGCAAGTTAGGAAACCCCTTGTATAAAAAGCTACAAATTCACAATTCTTACCCACTGCTTTACTACCTTTAAAGAATAAACTTTTCCCTACTTTCTGCCTACTTTTGGTCTTTTTCCAGTACTTTTAAATATTTGGTTATTTTAAAAATTTTTTTCCAGGTTTTATCACTGTTACTTGTGGGAGGATTCATTCACCTCACCAATTCACCACTACCTAAAGCTGGTAGTTCCGTTTTTTTTAAGAACAATTTCCAAAACTTGAATCTACAGTTTTACGTATAATAAAATTTATAACGTGATACCTTTTTATAATTAGTATATTGCTAATACTATCGTGGAAAATGGAATAAATTACATAAAATAATGGAAGAGCTCCAACGTCCACAAAAGTAGAAATTTGCAAGTGAACACACATAGACACACAATTTCTTCATGCAGCCTATGCTGAAACTGGTGCCCTCCTATTCAAGATCCATATGTAGCTGGCATACAATCAGGTCTGGGGTTGTCAGGCTGGGTCATGAAAAAACAAAGCAAATAAACCATTTGCAACTATTTAAGAGTTAATAGAAATTAATTTAAGTGTTCCAAAATGTTTTATAGACTATTTTAAATAATGTCCCATGGATTAAAAGACAGAATAGGAAGATGAATAACTGGAATGAGGATTTGTTACATTCCTCTTAGAAACAACAGCAACAATTAAGAATAATTTTAAGGATGTCTTTTTAAAACAAAACACTTACCTTTGTTCCTCTTAAAATGAGAAAATACTTTAAATACTGTTTTTCAAAACACATTACACACTTTTGTTTTAACCAAGACAGCAATGGCAATTGAAAAAGAATCCACAACATTTGTTCTTAGGAATTCTACTTATATTCTCCTCTCACTGACAACTGGATAGTAAAATTTCATGGAATTTCAACCAGAAAACTGTGAAATTAGCAAACTAAATCAGTGGTAATTTATTAAAAGCTCAGAACAGATTATGTAGGTCCATTATACGCAAATTGCTGAGTTGTCTTTGAGTATTTTGAAGGATCCACTTATTCTCACAATAGCAGTGCCTCAATAATAGTAATCTTACAACTGGCAAAAGAATCAATTTTCATGCAGAATGAGTACAACAAATAAAGAGCAAGAAAGGAAACGGAGACCAAGGGCATCTTTTCACACCAATTTTATAAAAAAGCAAACAAAAAAGAACATGCACCATGATTCTGTTATTATTCCTCAAGCCAAAACATTAATGCGGTGGTTTTGCTCTAAACCAGACATAGGAAAGGCTGGCTGAAGCACTGCAATCAAACTAAGTGGATTTACCAATGATACACAAAAATAACATTTGCTAATGTTGAAATTTCAAGCATAAGCAAACAGAAAAATCATCCAGATTTAGAAAGGGCTATGACAAAACTTTTTGGGAATGCTGAATATATTCATTATCTTGACTCTGGAGATAATTTCATGGGTGCCTACATACGTCAAAACTTACCAAATTGTTGTCTTTGCATTCAGTTTTTTACTTCAATTAGACCTCAATAAAGTTTTTTTTGTTGTTTTTTTTTTTATGAGCAGGAAAGAAAACATTGTTGATTCCTATCCATCACTTGGCTACTTGAAAGACAAATAGAAACCAATCCAGTGACTGTAACCAAGTATAATTAACAATCCAATGATCACAGGCAAACAGAAAAGTCACCAAAGTTAAAAAAGTATATCAGTATTTTCAAAAGAAAGTACTAAAGACTCAATAGAAATATTCAAAGACTGCTCAGAGGTTTATGGAGGCCATGTTGCCCATACAATCTATATCCCACCCTGGTGTAGGATGCTCCTGGTTTCCATTTCCAAATGGATATGTGATAACAGTTTATCAGGATTTGTAGCCTTACTGTACTTCTCTTCCTTGCATCTCTGCAGAATCTCTAAGCTCCTCTGGTGGACTGGGTGTTGGAGAAAGCTAAAACTATCCATACTTTTCAAAATTGCACATGGCGCTGTATCATCATGTCCTTAGGAAGCAAAAAAAAACAAACAAAAAAAAAAGGAGAAAAGAAAAAGACATTATATAAGCCCAAACCAACAGAGAATCAAGGACAATGCTGCCAACTATTTAAGGGTGTATAAAAATGTATCAAATAATAGAGGTTATATGTGAATGTCCAATTATTTTGAGGAAAATGCTTAAAAATAACAGGAAAAAATACAGGCATTTTTCAGATATTCAAAGTGTCCTTTTCAGTACTCAAAGTATTGTTAGTTAACACCATACTAGAAATTTCTCAATACAAGCAAAAATTCAAAAGCAATTTGTATGATTTATTTTTTAAAAGGACTTATTTTTATCAGGTCTCAAATATAATTAACATATAGTTGGCAACACTGATGGAACCCCAAAGAGAAATATACCCAGAACAATTTACTTAAACAATTCTTTCACAAATCCTGCAATTAACCACACTTGTAGGAATTCCAACAAGTGTGTCAATAATGAAAACATGAAGAAAAGCACCATAGAGCAGGAAAGCCCAGCAGCACTTCTGTACTTATAAATTTGAAAACAAAGCTGAAGACTCTGTACCTCATTATCACTTCTTAGGAAAATAGGATAGAAATCAGCTACCAGTGAAAAATAGAAGAGAGCACATTCAAGTAAAGACCAAAGCCCCAGATCAGTGTTATTTAAAGTGAGTACTTAGGAAATAAAGTGAATGGGAGATGAGTGCCATAAATATTAGCAATAAAGAGTTTCCAGGCTTTAGGGTGGTGGTTGTGTAACATTTATTCAGAGATCACCTCTAGAGTTAGGGCATAATGTTCAAATTTAAATAAGTTTGCTTTTAAAAAACAAAGTACATAATAATATAGAGGCAAATTAAGTAACACATTAAAATGAACTAAAGTTCTATTACTGCATTTTACTGTATAATTAGGAATGAGATACAACAGAACAATCTTTGGAAAAATCTCATAGCAGAATCATTTTAAAAGTTAAACAGTCTCATACTAATTCAAAGAGGTTTGTAGGGCATATTTTAGTCTCATTCTAATTCCCTAAATTGGATTTATATATCCAGAGAATAGGCAGCCATATTTGGCAATGGAGAGGGAATCTAATACCATAAATCATGTAATATTATACACAGAAAACAGGCTTTTAAAAAATAAAGTGAATTTGAAATATTTTTCATAATAAAAGTAACTAAACTAATAAAATACTATATTATTTGTACAATACGAAAAGTCAATAGGTACAAAGGTTGAATGTTTCAAAAAGAGAAGTATAACCAAGCTTAACATCATTTCTTACTCAAAAGATACCTCGATAAACATACTCTGTTCTCATTATTACCAGTAATCCCCCCTTGATGGATTGCTTGGAGAAAGAATGCTTAGGCCTTAAACTCCACTGCACTTGGTTTGGCAGTCAGCTGAAGGGGACCAGTTGAGGAAAAAACACCCAGTGAGTTCTAGTCAGACTCCATTCAAATTGTAAATTGAAGAAGTTATCACTAAACAATCACGCCTTTCAACAGCTAATCTGATAATCAGCTAGTCAAAAATAATTCAAGAATATTATGTGTTAAAGTATTCTGTATAAGAGCTCAGGATATTAAAATACACTAATTTATTATGTAGAGTTTTAAAAAATCAATCAACATTACTACAACCACCAAACTATTTTCTATTTCATCTAATAAACTGTGGCACTGCCATTTAAAAATGGGTATTTTTGTATCTGTGACTGCTTTGTCTCACCACCATGCCTAGATTAGTTTCTTTAACCTCTCTCCTGTTCTTTCATTCTGCTTTCTATACCTTTTTACAGTTTTGAACGTTATTTTCCAGACTGTGACATAATTTCTAAATCTTAAAGTGATATTCCCTGTTTGTTTTATGTACCAAACCCCTGCCAAGGTAGTTTGGTTTCCCAGGATGGTTTATATTTTCAGTGGGGATTCTTTTCTGAGGAGTCTCATCAACTGTTTTTTTGTTTTGTTTTGTTTTGTTTTGTTTTGTTTTGTTTTTTGAGAGGGAGTCTCACTCTGTCGCCAGGCTGGAGTGCACTGGTGCAATCTCGGCTCACTGCACCCTCTGCATCCCGGGTTCAAGCGATTCTCCTGCCTCAGCCTCCGGAGTAGCTGGGACTACAGGCACGCACCACCATGCCCAGCTAATTTTTGTATTTTTAGTGGAGATGGGGTTTCACCATGTTGAGCAGGATGGTCTCGACCTCCTGACCTCGTGACCTGCCTGCCTCAACTTCCCAAAGTGCTGGGATTACAGGCATGAGCCACTGTGCCCGGCCATCATCAACTCTTTTTTCTTTTTTTAAGATGGAGTCTTGCTCTGTCGCCCAGGCTGGAGTGCAGTGGTGCGATCTCCGCTCACTGTAACCTCCGCCTCCCAGGTTGATGCCATTCTCCCACCTCAGCCTCCTGAGTAGCTGGAACTACAGGCGCCAGCCACCACGCCTGGCTAATTTTGTTTTTGTATTTTTAGTAGAGACAGGGTTTCACCGTGTTAGCCAGGATGGTCTCTATCTCCTGACCTCGTGATCCACCTGACTCGGCCTCCAAAGTGCTGGGATTATAGGCGTAAGCCACCGCACCCAGCCTACTCATCATCAACTCTTAAAAGAGATTTATTTAGTATTTGCTTATGCTAGTTGCTGGACTGGTTGTGATGATAATTTCTTAGTTTGACATTATGCACCAAACACATAGTATAAATTCAGACCCCATACTCATATATGGTGCAGATGTGGGGCATTGATTTTTTTAAAGGTAACTTCTTTTTAACCTTATCTAAGGCCTAACACAGATTGCTAAGGCTCCTCATTTTTTCTTATGCAGGACCAGCAATTTTCAATAATTTTTTTAGTGACAGAAAAGTTCCATAACTTTGAAGGACTTGGACTATGTAACAGAGGCTCAGTCCCAGCTCCAAAGTATCATTCAGACCTTAGGCAATATCTTTGGCCCTATAAAAGTTTCTGTAATGTCAATTCAAAGGCCTTAAGGCCATTTTTAAAAGCCATATTTCACAAACATAAAATAACGCTTTTCTTAAGTACTCAGTTTGATGAATTTAAACAAACGTTTACATCCACAAAATCCTGAATCAAGATAGAGAACATTTCTATCACCCCCCCAAGTTATTTTATCTCCCTTCCTATCAATACTACCCTTGCCCCTGATCCCACCAGAAGTAATCAAGTTCTGATTTGTCACAATTTATTACCTTTTTTTTTTTTTTTGAGATGGAGTTTCGCTCTTGTTGCCCAGGCTGGAGTGCAATGGTTCAATCTCAGCTCACCACAATCTCCACCTCCTGGATTCAAGCTATTCTCCTGCCTCAGCTTCCCAAGTAGCTGGGATTACAGGCATGCGCCACCAAGCCCGGCTAAATTTTTGTATTTTTAGTAGAGACAGGGTTTCTCCATGTTGGTCAGGCTGGTCTTGAACTCCTGACCTCAGGTGATCCACCCACCTTGGCCTCCCAAAGTGCTGGGATTACAGGCGTGAGCCACTGGGCCCAGCCATGTTGTCTGTTCTTAAACTAAAGAAATAACACAGCATATATTCTTTCATATCTAGCTTTTTGCTGAGGATTTTTTGTGACTCATTCATTCTGAGTATCAGTGGTTTGTTTCTTTTCATTGCTGAGTAATGTTACATGGTAGGAGTATATCACAATTTGGTCATCCATTCTTCCACTGATGAACATTCAGGAACTATTATGAATAAAAGCACTTTAGAATATTCTTTTTTATATGTTTGTAACAGTTTTATTGAAATACAATTCACCTACTAAACAATTCCTTGATTTAAAGTATACAATTAAATGCTTTTAGTATAATTCATGAAGCTACATAAACATTACCACAATCAATTTTAGAACATTTTGATCATACAAAAAGATACTCACACTCTCTATCATCCTCCCCATCTCTTAGCTCTATACCTGACCCTCTAGCCCTAGGCAAACACTAATCTAAGTTCTGTCTCTACAGATTTGCTTATTCTGGACAATTCACATAAATGGAATGATACAATATTCCATTTTGTAATATAGAGTATTGTATGATTCCATATTACAAATATGGAAACTGTACTTCTTTGATATAATGAGAACCAGGCATGGTGGCTCGCACCTGTAATCCCAGACACTCGGGGGGAGGCTGAGCAGCGAGGATCACTTAAGGCCAGGAGTTCAAGACCAGCCTGGGTAATACAGCAAGACCCACCTCCAAAAACAAATTTAAAAAAAGAAAAGGCCAGGCATGGTGGCATGTGCCTGTAGTTCCAGTGTCTTGAGATGCTGAAGCAGGAAGATAACATGAGCCCAGGAGTTTGAGGCTACAGTGAACTGTGATAGCACCACTGCATTCCAACACATGCAACACAGCGAAACCCGGCTCTTAAAAAAAAAAAAAAAAAAAAATATATATATATATATATATAAAATACGCCCAGCGTGGTGGCTCACGCCTGTAATCCCAGAACTTTGGGAGGCCGAGGCAGGTGGGTCACCTGAGGTCAGGAGTTGAAGACCAGTCTGGCCAACATAGTGAAACCTCGCCTCTACTAAAAATACAAAAATATAAAAATAGCCAGGCATGGTGACGAGTGCCTGTAGTCCCAGCTACTAGCGAGGCTGAGGCAAGAGAATCGCTTGAACCTGGGAGGTGAAGGTTGCAGTGAGCCAAGATTGCACCACTGCACTCCAGCCTGGGCGACAGAGCGAGACTCCGTCTCAAAAAATATATATATCTATATATATCTATCTATATATCTCTCTTATATACACGTAGCATATGTGTGTAGCATATGCATTAGCATATATACACATATGTAGCATATATAGCATATATTCATATATGTAGCATGTATGCTATATATGTATATATGTATGCTATATATATATGCTATATATGCTATATATATATACACACACACACACACACACACAAATATATATATATATATATATATATCTTAATGCTTTCAAGGTTCATTCATATTGTGGCATGTACCAGTATTTCATTTCTTTTATGGCCAAATAACATGCCATGTATGGATATACCACCTTTTGTTCATCCATTCATCAGTTGATGGAACATTTGGGTTGTCTCTACTTGTTGGCTATTAGAAAGATGTTGTAAAGAATATCTGTCTACACATTTTGTTTTGTTTGTTCTTCTAAGTACATACCTAGGAGCAGAATTGGTGGGTCAAATACAATTCTATATTTAACTTTCTGAGGAACTGCCAAAACGTATTACGGAGTGGCTACATCAGTAGTATACAAGACTTCTAATTTTCCATATCCTCACTAAAATATGTATTAGGCACTGTCTTTACTGATATTCAGCCTTTTGTCTTGTATAAATACTTCTCAGGTTACTGGGAGCCTTTGATTAAATTCCAGGGTTCTGACAAAGTTGTTTTGACAATTTTTGCCAATTTTCTCATTGCTATTATGAAAAAAAATTTAGAGGTCCTTACCCCACCATTTCACTGATGTCTATCCAAAACCCTTATTCTTAATTGCCCTACTATACTGCCCAATACAGAAGTAATTTATAAAAAAAGTCCTTTTTTTTTTAACAAAAGTTTATTTAAATCTATTAAGTACTAGGAAGAATTGTGTACAGAGTACAGCATAGAGATTCTAGACTTATGGTGATACCCAAATCAATTTTAGTATCTGGTCATTTTTGAAAATAGATGGTCACTAGAACGCTTCTCCCACTTACATAAACAAACAGAAGTACATCAGAGTTACATAGTCTATTGAGTGGGATGAAGAAGAGAAACAGGTTCTGTGGAAAACCTTGAAGCTCTCTCATCTGCAGACACTATATAAAGGGTTTCAGCTTCTCTCTTTGTAGATGAAGAAACTGAAAAATACTTTGGACCCTCTTGTTCACGTCTCATCCTGATGGCACAGCTGAATTACCCATCTTTGCCTAGCCTTTTTAGACTAGTTTAAATTCCTATTTGGCTATACTTTTATTAATAACTCCAAAAGAATCAAATAAAGCATCATTGTACTCAGTTCTACATACTGTATAATTCCCAGTCAGGTTATTTCTGTATAATTCCCAGTCAGGGTGTTTCTTGACAATTAACTAAGAGTCCACTGAAGTTTTTAATTAAGATATCATCAAAGGAAATAAAAACATACTGTAATTCTGCAGATTTCATCTTCTTTCTTCTTTAGAAAGTATTATCTTTGCCCTCTTATTCTCATATCCAACATCTAGAATTGGTCACCTCACCTTTTCTGCCTTTCATATTTTCTACTTCGTCTTAATCTGTAATTCCTATTTCATCTTAATATGACTGCATAATATTTACGGTCATTATAAAAATTCTGGATCTACCATTTAAACCATTTTTACAATCTGTTAGTTTTTACAGTGATACAATGTTCCAACTTTATAATATGTTTTTATCCTAAACCTACCAAAAGAGAGTAGGTAGGAAGCGGTGTGGAGAAAATAAAACGTTAGGGTGAATGCTGGCATTGACACTGATATATTGTAATATAAACAATTACTTTCGGAAACAAATCTGCTCAGGCTTCAAAATGCAAACAAACTAGAGTTTTTCTTTTCCTTTATAAAAAGTAAAAATTTTAAAGTTTTTTCCAAGGAGAAATTTTGGGTGGCTGGAATGTTGTGTTTCTTAACCTAGGTGGTAGTTCCAGGGTTGTGTTTACTTTGTGGTACTCCACTGAACTATACATTTTTGCTTTGTGTACTTTTGTATATGCATGTTATGTTGAATACAAATTTTCAAAAAGAGATTATTATATGGAAGCTCTGTACTAGCCAGAAGGGAAAACAAGATTAGAAAATAAGGAATCTAGACTTTATCAAGGTAGAGAAAATACAGGTTGTTTATCATTAATAACATTGCATGTCATTGCCGATATTGATAATAACAGATATGTAACAACTAGCTTTCACAAATAATAGATTTTAAATGCCAAAGGAATATACAGATAATGTGAATAAAGTAAATAGGCTTTGACAGTAAATACAAGAAAAGTTTCTTCTCTTACTCAATTATGTCTTAGCAGGATGCTAATCAATTTTGAGTGGTTTTCTTGATTAGAAGTTTGTCATAATAAACAAGAAAGCATCTTAAAGAAAAAAAATTTTCCTTAAAGCTTTTTACAAAGATAACCTCTTAGAAATCACTTTGTAAAAGGCAAAGCAGGTTTGAGATAGTCCTTTTATTTCTCTAATAAACTATAATTCTCCCTATACATCTACAAAGACCAGTTCAAATACTTTACAATCTAAAAAATGGAAACTAGGTTCAATTATTTTACATGTATTTTTAGAAATACACTCTCTCAAATATATCTATTTGTCTCAAACATTTAAAAGCTAAACTTAAAAGTTTTACTACTAGTGCACATCCCAAAAAGCCACGTAAATCACTTTGGGAGTCCTGAAAGCACAGGTGAGCCCTATAACATTTCTACTGAAAGGCATAAATCTCAACTGCATATGTATCACAAAATCTTCTCTATGCAGCAATGGCCCTATCTAAGACTAGAGCTACAGCAAACAATAGTTTGGTTTCCAGTAGGCCAAAAGTGCTTATGAAGTTGCCCTCCCACAGAAAATGAGATGAGAGATTTTATGATTGAAGGGGGAGGCATACAGAAAAAGTATCCTGCTTTATCTATTTCTAAATTTCAAAGTTTTTAAAAATCCATGAACTAAGAGTAAAGGAAAAGAAAATGAACACTTCATGAACAGATGCTCTGACTTTATCCTCATTATTTTAAAGGCAGTATAACTCTTTTACAGAAAAGAAAAACTGTTCATAGTCACAAATCAGTTAAGAGATGACACTAGATTGACTACAGAAGCAGGATTTTTGTCCTTGAGAATCTCATAGCAAGAATTCTACTCCTTTTTGTGGAGAAGTAGAAAGGTAAAAAAAAAAAAAAAGATGAAGTATGGTAGAATACTAATAACTACTACTTACCAGTTTTTCTGTGAATGTTTCTTTTCCCAGCTTCCCTGAAAGCAACCATGGCTCTGAAAAAAGCTCGGAGAATTGCCCATCGGAAAACAGCTACAGGATCAATTCCAATCATCCCAGAGATAAATGCATTCTTGCTGCTTCTCAGAAGAGCTACAATGTCTGGGCGCATATGATCTGTATTTTTTTCCCGGAAATCCTATATGAAAAAAGTACCAGTGTTACTTATGGGAAAAAAAAATTATGAAAAACAAGATGACGGGTGATAACATACTTTGGATGCTTGTCCCTCCAAACCTCATATTGAAATGTGATTCCCCCATGGTGGAGATGGGGCCTGGTAGGAGGTGTTTGGGTCATGGAGGCAGATCCCTCATGAATGGATTGGGGCTCTCTTCAAAGTAATGAATGAGTTTTTGTTCTGAATTCACCAAAATCTGGTTATTTAAAAGTGTGGCACTCCTACTTCTCCATCTCGTTCCCTCTCTCTTGCCATGTGACACATGTGCTTCCACTTTGCCTTCCACCACAAGTAAAAGCTCTCTGAGGCTTCACCAGAAGCCAGGTAGATATCAGTGCTCTGCTTCCTGTACAGCCTGAAGAATCGTGAGCCAATTAAATCTCTTTTCTTTATAAGTTGCCCAGCCATAGGTGTTTCTTTATAGAAACATAAGAATGGACTAACCCAAGTGACATGTTTGAACAGTGGTTGAACAATGAGATAGAAGAAATGTCTGCTCCAGGTAGCTAACTGGACCGGGTATCTTCTATAAGGTCTCATCCAATCCTAAAACTATTGATTTCTATAATACATGTAAGTTAGAATAAATATTCTATAATTTTATAGCAGCTTGTTAAACTCTGGTCAGGGACAGCCTCTCCAAAGAGGTATCACATACAGCAACAGGAGAGCTGAATAACAAAAAGAAGCCAGAGATGAGAAAACTGGGAAGAGCAAGCAAGGGTAACACCTATAACCTATAGATGATGATAAGCTGGACAAGTTAGGAGAAAAAGGATAAAAACCACAGGCTGGAGCACTGGGGACAAGGAGAAAGTGTGGAAGATTAGATAAATAAATAGGCTATTTAGACTCTGAACTTCAGTTGTTTGTTCAGATTTTATTCAAGTATAAAGGAAAGCCCTGGAAAGGTAACAACATGAGCTAACTGGTGTCTTATACATTGGTTGCTGCATAGGAAATGAATTATTCAAAGAAAGAATGGAAAAAAGGAGGCACAATATTAGAGTAAACCAGGTAAGAACTGCTAGTAACTTGGACTTGGTCAGTTGTAACAGCAGAAATAAAAAATAGCTATATTTGGGACATGTAAAGGCAAAAAACCTGCTGATTAATTAGGGTATGATGAGAAAATGAGGAAATCAGGTTAAAACTTACATTTTGGGGTTGGGTATTTAGTGGATGGAGATGCCATATACTGATAAGGAGAAGACTAGAGAAAGGAAAGTTATGAGGATAAGAAATGAAGACCAAGAGATCAGTTTTTTCCAAGTGAAGTTTGGGCCAGTGAGGATAATAATAGTAGGTAACACTTGAGAGGTTAGTATGTGTCTGGCACTCTTCTAAGTATTTTACATGTATTGTCTCATGTAATCTCATTTAATACTCCTAATAATCCTTTCAGATAGATATTACTACTCTCATTTTATAGATGAGAAAACTGAATCAGAGAGAGGTGAAATATCTTGGCTCCTATCACACAATAAGTGGAAGAGCAAGGGCTCAAAAACATTCACTCATAACCAAATGGATGTGTGAGTCTGGAGTGCTAGGGAGATTTCAGAAATTATATTTGGTTATTATCACCATATAGATTTTTTTTTTTAAACAAGGTCTCGCTCTTCAATACAGTGCAGTTGGCACCATCATAGCTCACTGCAGCTTGTTAACTCCTGGACTCAGGCAATCCCCTGCCTCAGCCTTCCGTGTACCTGTGAGTACAGATGTGCATCACCACGTCTGGCTAATTTTTTTTCATTATTTTTGTAGAGACAGAGTCTTGCCATGTTGCCCAGGCTGGTCTTGAACTCCTGGCCTCAAGTAATTCCCCCACCTCAGCCTCCCAAAATGCTGGAATTACAGGTGTAAGCCATTGTGCCCAGCCAGCACACAGATTTTTAAAACTGAATAAGAAGGATTGTAAATAGGCAGGGACAACCATCTACCAAAGAACAGAGGTTGGAGGAGCTAGAACATAAGAAAATGGGTTAAAATGCACCATAAATAAATGGGGAGAGTAAGCTTCCACTCTGGGAACAAGGGCCCAGCCTGATATTACAGCATAGGCATTGACTATAATCTTACCAAATGGAAGGATTAAAAATTTGGTAAGTAAATCGCTCCAAGTTGGTACAGCTTCATAGAATATCTCTAACTCAGAATTCTATGAGAAACATACCTAGTATCATGTCATCTATCCTCATGTACAGAAGTCAGCTTGCACTTATCCTATTACTTTTAGGGTTTTCCTTTCCTAATTCTTCTTTATTCTCCTGAGAACAAGGAAAAACAGGAAACAAGCCAGGAATTTTGGTCCTTGGCTTGTCCTTACATACCCTTAGAGCAAACGTATGTATTATAAAAGAAAATTAGAAAAACTGAATAAGAGTACTCAAATCCAAATAACCTCTGACACCATAATCAGCAGCTAATAACTACTGATGGCAGACAAGCTGTGAGGCATGAACTTAATGTATTTTACGTAACTTATTTTTACCCAGTTCTAACAACTACTCAATAAAGCAGATTTAGTCATAAGCCATAATTTACTGATAAGTAAACAGAAAGGTAAAGCAGCTTGCCAAAGGTCAAAGAGACAATAAGTACCAGTGCAGAAACTGAAACACCAGTCTGCCCTACTCCTATTAATAACTACACTGTACAACCTAAAAACCTAGGATTCTTTTCAATGCTGACTGTCAAGTGTTGAGAGTGACCAGTGACCTTCATTTTCAAAATGAAATAATCTGTCTTCATATTTCTAGATTTCTAAGTACATTATCAACTGACCATATCATTCTTCTTCAAAATCTCTCTCTAGTTTCCACAAGAACATACTTTGTGGTTTACCATTTACCTCCTATACTGCCCTTCTAAGTCCTCATTGCTAGTTCATATTGGAAATTCAAGGGTGGGTTTAACAGTGTGTACTCATTTCTCTTTTTTTGGTTTGTTTGTTTTTTGAGACAGGGTCTTGTTCTGTTGCCCAGGCTGGAGTGCAGTGGCACCATCTCAATTCACTGCAACCTCTGCCTCCCGGGCTCAAGTGAATTCTACCCCTCTGCCTCCCAAGTAGCTGGGACTACAGGCACACACCACCATGCCCAGCTAACCATTGGTATTCTGTGTAGACACTAGGCCTTCCCATGTTCCCCAGGCTGATCTCGAACTCCAGGACTTAAGTGATCCACCCACCTCGGCCTCCCAAAGTGCTGGGATTACAGGAGTGAGCCACCACACCTGGCTGTGCACTCATTTCTTCACTCAACCCTCTTATATCAAGTGATCAGAACCAGAGTTACGACTTTATTTTATTTTATGTATTTAGAGACAGAGTTTCGCTCTTGTTGCTCAGGCTGGAGTGCAATGGCTTGATCTTGGCTCACCGCAACCTCCACCTCCTGGGTTCAAGCAATTGTCCTGCCTCAGCCTCCTGAGTAGCTGGGATTACAGGCATACACGCCACCACGCCTGGCTAATTTTCTATTTTTTTAGTAGAGACAGGGTTTCTTCATGTTGATCAAGCTGGTCTCGAACTCCTGACCTCAGGTGATCTGCCTGCCTTGGCCTCCCAAAGTGCTGGGATTACAGGCGTGAAGTTATGACTTTAAATTAACACCATCGCCCAAATGCAAATTTCCAGATCAGATCTTTCTTATTATTTCTTGAGATCCATTAACAAATCTTAAAGGATATGTCTAATTTGAAAGAAAATGTGTAAGACCAGTAGTACATTTAAATGTTTGGAAGCATTCACTAGTAAAACCATGTGGGCCTGGGATTTCCTCTGTGGAAAAGTTCTGAACTACTGATTCAAATTATTTAGCCAACAGAATTTTCAGGTTTTTCTATTTATTCTGGTGTTAGTTTTGGTAAAGTGTTTTTTAATGGAATTTATCCATTTTTTGTTTTCAAATTTCCTGACAAAATATATGCATATCCTTCTAATATCTGTAGGTTATGTAGTAAAGTTCTTTTTTCATTCCTGGTATCTGTAATCTATAATTTTTTTTATATTATCAGTTATTTTCCTATTGCATTTAATTTATATTATTTTGTGTTATCTTCTCAAGGAACTAACTTTTGGCTTAGTTGATTTCTTTGTTCAATGTCTGCTTTATATTGCACTGATTTCTGGTCTTATTTTTATACCCTTTCTCTAATTCCTTTGAGTGTGATTTCTCTTTTCCTAGTTTCTCACATAGAAGCTTAGAGAACCACTTTTCAATCAAGCATGGTGGCTCACACCTGTAATCCCAGCACTCTGGGAGACTGAGGTGAGCAGATCACTTGGGGCCAGGAGTTTGAGACCAGCCTAGCCAACATGGCGAAACCCCATCTCTACCAAAAATACAAAAACTGGCTGGGCGCGATGGCTCACATCTGTAATCCCAGCACTTTGGGAGGTCAAGGCTGGCGGATCACGAGGTGAAGAAATTGAGACCATCCTGGCCAACATGGTGACACCCCATCTCTACTAAAAAAAAAAAAAAAAAAAATTAGCTGGGCGTGGTGGCATGTGCCTGTAGTCCCAGCTACTCAGGAGGCTGAGGCAGGAGAATCACTTGAACCCGGGAGGCAGAGGTTGCAGTGAGCCGAGATCGCGCCACTGCATTCCAGCCGGGTGACAGAGTGAGACTCCATCTCAAAAAACAAAAACAAAAAAATTAGCCAGGCATGGTGGCACAAGCCTGTAGTCCTAGCTACTTGGGAGGCTGAGGAACGAGAATTGCTTGAACCCAGGTGGTGGTGGTTGCAGTACGCCAAGATCGCACCACTGCACTCCAGCCTGGGTGATAAAACAAGACTCTTGTCTCAAAAAAAAAAAAAGTTTAGATAACCACTTTTCAACTTTTCTTCCTTTCCAACATATGTATTTAAAGTTATAAACTTTCCTACATTCCTTGCTTTAACTGTATCCTACAAGTTTCTGATAGGCTGGATTTCATTAATGTTCAGTATAAAATATTATAATTTTAATAATTTATTATAAGTAATTTATATTGTCATTTCTTTTTTGACTCATGGGTTATTCAGAAGAGTTTTGCTTAGTTTCTAAATATCCAATGATTTTCTAAGTTATCCTTATGATGTGCTAATTAGGTCACCTATTTAACAGTGCTATTTGTATTGATTTTGTGTTGCTTGTTCTGTTAGTTACTAACAGAAATGTGTTAAAATCTATAATTTTTTCTTTTTTAAGTTTTTTTCTTTTTCCTTAGAAAAATATTGAAGAAAAAAATCTACAATTATGATGGTGCACTTATCTAGGTCTACTTTTGCTTTCCTTTTGCTTTATATATTTTAAATCAGTCATTAGCTACATATAATATCAAGTGGCTCATGCCTGTAATCCTAGCACTTTGGGAGGCCGAGGAGGGTGGATCAACTGAGGTCAGATGTTCGAGACCAGCCTGGCCAACATAGTGAAACCCCATCTCTAGTAAAAATACAAAAATTCGCTGGGCGTGGTGGAGTACGCCTCTGATCCCAGCTACTCAGGAGGCAGAGAATCGCTTAAACCTGGAGGGCGGAGGTTGCAGTGAGTCGAGATCACACCACTTCACTTCAGCCTGGCAAAAGAGCGAAGCGAGACTCCGTCTCAAAACAAACAAACAAACAAAAACCCCAAAAACATTTAGTGATTACGTCTTCCTGTTGAACTGGCCCCTTTTATCATTATAAAATGTCCCTTTGTATCTCTAGTAATATTTCTGGTCTTAAAGTCTATTTTGTCCTACAATTTTTTTTTTTTGGAGACAGAGTCTCACTCTCTTTCTCAGGCTGGAGTGAAATGGCACTATCTCGGCTCAATGCAACCTCCTCCTCCCAGGTTCAAGCACTTGTCCTATCTCACCCTCCTCAGTAGCTGGGATTACAGGCGTGCACCACCATGCCTGGCTAATTTTTGTATTTTTAGTAGAGATGAGGTTTCACCACGTTGACCAGGCTAGTCTCAGACTTATGACCTCAGATGATCCACCCATCTCAGCCTCCCAAAGTGCTGGGATTACAGGCGTGAGCCACCATGCCCAGCCTGTCCAGAAATAATATACACCAGCTTTTATCCTTTCTCCATCTTTTTACTTTCAACCTATCTGATAACGCAGATGAATATCCCAGGCAAGTGTGTGTGTGTGTGTGTGTGTGTGTGTGTGTGTGTGTGTGTATGATTCTATTTATCTGAAATTTAATTAAAAGTAAAATTAAGAATGATAAAAATTAGGGCAGTGGTAATCTCTGAGGGGAGCTGGCTGGGAAGGGGTATAAAAGAAATCTAAACACTTTATTTGTGCACTTTATGCACAATATCCTCAAGTTTTTCTATAGCTCAAGCTTTTGTTTTACTTTTTAAACTATAGTCTTAATTTCTATTCTAAAATCCATTCCTTCCAGTATTTTCCATCTTAGGAAATGGTACCTCCAAAGCACCCATCAGCTCTAGCCAGAGGTCACTTACTCATTTAGAGTCCATCAATAAAGTCTGTGGATGGTTTACCGCCAGAAATACATCTCATAATCATCTGGATCCCCCCCAACCTCTACTGCCACTCCAGTGCTTCAGTTTACCTTAAGATTTCACTTCAATTTAAAAAAAAGTGACTTAACTGATCTTCCAGATTCCACTCTTACCCTCTGCTATCCCTTCTCCTCAAGGTAATCAATGCAATCTTTTAAAAACACAAGTCGTATCCTCTGCTTAAAATATTATCACAGTGCCACTAATTTGGATAAAAGCCAAACTCAACTTGGCTTACAAGCCCTAAATAATAACCCCCTGTCTATTCTCTAAGTTCATTTCATGTTACTCTCCTTAGTTCATTATAATCTAGTAGCACTTACCTGTTTTCAATTATTTCACCATATCAAACTCCTATCTCCTGGCCTATAATATTCATCATCCGAACTCCTCATCAAGGTAACATTTATTTCAGGTCATCTCTCAAAATTTAAGTTTCTTAGAGAAGTGTTCATGTATTCACAAATTCAAAATCCACTATTTTACTACTTTCTCTCATAGGACCCATTAACTTATTTATAACACATAGCCCATTTATCTATGTTATACAAATAGATACACACACATATATATATGCACACACAATATGTATATATGCACATATGTATAGAGAATCAGGACTACATCTGTCTAGTTTATCATTAGATCATTCCAAACACCAAGCACAAAGTCTGACACATGTTCTGTGTTCAACAAATACTTCTTAAATAAATCAATAAATGGATGAATAAATGATCTTAAGACACTCGACTCAAGACCCAGGAGAAAACATTTAATTCCACTATTCTCCATATCATCAGCTGCCTTACCTGGGAAATTAAATGCCTGAAATAGCAGGCTTAAACATCAAGTAGTTAAAGAATAACAGACTCACAAATTACACAAGAAATGGACAACATTATTAAGATTCCACTCCACATAAGAGTTTCAATATATTCATGAAAAGTACGAACTGACAAATCCCTAATGGTGAACAGAGACATGAAGACCTTATGAGTGCAGAGAAGGGAAAAATTCAACAAATTATGTGCATAAACAAGTGAGTTTGGGATATACAGATGCAATCTATTCTTTCAGATCTAAAGTTTATCAGGATCAACTGACAACATCAGGTTTATCTCCAGGCAGAAACCAACAGAAACATTACCTTACCTAAGACAGTAATGTGCTGAAAAGCAGAATCTAAGTTTTAGTAGTATCTTTATACAATATCTCCAGTTATTACTGATCAAAAGCCTCCACAAACTACAAAGAGGGCAGTGTGCTGGGGACAGTTAAGAACACATCTCTGCCCTGTAAGCATATTCAGTGAGAAATTTACTGACCTTTACCCCATATTTTACTTTTCCAGCATAATGTTTTATAATGAAAGCAGGCTCCATCACGGCTGGAAATTCGATGTAAGAATTATCTTCATGTTGATGCTTAAACTTGTCTAGCAATGTTTGATTTGTAGCCTGTGGAAAGCTGAATTAAAAAAAAAAGAAAAAATATCATTACAGAAAGATGAGAAAGATGCGGTAATTAGTACAGCCCTTTTCAAAGTACATTACAATTACATTGCCATCTTACATAGCAGTTTACAAAAGTTTTCACCTATATTATCTAACCTGATTCTCATAACAAGCTAAAAAGTAATAATAAATATTGGTGTTACTATTTTATAGATGAGGGATCAAAAGTTATGATTTGCCTGTACTCATATTTTGCAAGTAGTAGTACCAAGAAATTAACTCATTACATATTTAGCTTAGATTGCAGTGTTCTGAACTACTATAAAACCCAAAGGAAAATAAAATCCAAATCATATACTCTTTGGGGCCAACAACTTCCAAATAAGAGAATAATATCTCGATTCTCATAGGTACTAAAAATCCATAAGAATTATTTGACTTCCTGTTCCTACATGCATAAATAAGTAGCCATTTTCTTACTATACCAATTATTTGTACTCATTGATTGTACTGATCAACTGAGCACTTAATATCCAGGAATCACACAAATAATATCTATTATTTAATCGCATAATAGGAAATATGGAAATACAAAAGTTCAAAAGAGGAAAAAAATCATCACTGGTGTAAATAATGAAAAAGTTCACACAGGACATAGTAGGTGTTAAGACTGTGATGTTAAAGGTTGGGAAGGGTTTCAAAGAGAGAAAATATCATTGACAGAAAAAGGAGAAAGAAAGTTTCAGAAAATAGCTTCATTTAATGGTAGCTGAAATAATGAAAAATAATGTGACATGAGGTTGTAAAGTTGCTTAATACAAATCTAATGTGTAAAAATCATTCCAAAATTACAACAAACATAGTTAATTACATAGTATGCATTGCAAACCATACAGAGAATGGCCTTTAGCATCAGATAATCATAGTTTACATTACGCATTCTATCAGTGACCTGGGGCAAACTAGGTAACCTTCTTTGAGAAGGGGTCTTCTAACCCACAAAATGAGATACCAGTTATCACAGTGCCAGTAGAATTAAATAAAACTAGTAAAAACATCTGGCAACCGCAGGCATCCTCTAGGGATTAAACAAACATCGACTTCATGTTGCCAACACTGATATTTTCTTGGTCACCTTGACCTGCTTTTGTATTCAAATATCTCTTCCTCAAAACATCTCTACCATCTAGCTCACTCCAAAACTTTAAAGCCATTTTACAATGGAATATAACTTACTATTTCAAACAGAGACAACAGCACAGCTCCTATAACAGTCTCACCAATCTTCTTTCAAGTCACCAAAGCATATTATCAAAATAAATTTTCCTATAATAGTGCTTTAATCATGTGCCCCCTCTGCTCCGAAATGTATAGATCACCAAGGCAAAAAGACTTGATTCCAAGCTCCAAAGCATAGGCCAGCTCAACCTCTGCAAACTTATATCTCACTACTTCACAGCAGTGTGCCTCTCTTAAGGCAGGATGCTCACTTCGTCGTCTCTAGGTCAGGGTTTATTTGCCTTCTAATCATCTGAGTAATTGAAAAGCTTATGATATACTTTCTCTTACTTTTAAATGGATAATAGAAATTTTCAAAGGAAGGAAGATAGACATGAAAACAGTCATTACTTGAAACTAAAAAAGATGGAAAGTTCCTGCATTCAACAGACATGTATGGATACTTATTACATTACCAGGCAAAAAAAAAAATTTGGAACACAAGAAAATCATTCATTATTGCTCATATCAAAGCTCTTCATCTAGTGTTCCTCAAACACTATCTGGAAGGGTAGCGTCAGGAGAACCTCTAGAGATTTGAAAACTACCAATGCCTGGATCCCAACTATTGCAATTCTGACTTAAATGATTAGGGAGATGACCTAGCATCAGTGGTATTTACAAAGTCCCAAGGTAATTCTCATGAGCAGGCAAGATTCACAAAATGCTGCCTTAAATGAATGCTCTAATCCTAACTTCGGTTGTTAAAATGTAGATTCTGATTCAACAGATCTGGAATGAAAGCTTGAGATTCTACATTTCTAACAAGAATCAAAGTGGTCCACTGCTGCTGATAGAAGATGACACTTTGAATACTATGGGAAGATTGATACTATTCCTAACATCCTATTCATATGTAACTCTGATACAATATTCCTCCTTCCTAAATGCCACCCTACATCCTACAGAATCTAGCTAAAGTAACCTGCCCCATAACATACAGCCATTAAGTAGGAAAGGCTAAACCAAGACCTCTGATTCTAAACCCATACACCTAGAGCACTACAAACACACTGCATGAAGAACACAACTAAGGATATATTTGACATTATATATTCCCTATAAAAAATATTTTTAGAGAAAAAATACTCAATGTAAGTCCCAAAATAGTTCTTCCTACATGTGACTAATTTATTTTCAATCTAGTTTTTTTACAGGTAAATGGGAGAGAAAAAAATATTTCATGCCTTTGCATCTTCTGGAATGTTAAAGCACAGAAATTCTTTACAAGGACAGGTAATAACTACAGGACTGACTCATAAAAAGGTTATTCAGTCCAGTATCCTACCTACAACAATACGCTGACAGATGATGCAAAGTAATTATAATAATAGGAAATTACATTAATTGTTAAAGCAGCTGCCAATCAGCTCTAATAATTATAAAGTTCTTCATTTTATTGAGCCAGAATTTATCTCCCTGATATTTATGGCCACATGGCTCAACCCTCGTAGCTTTCGGGTAACAGCAAATAAGTGACATTCTCGGCCGGGCGCAGTGGCTCACACCTGTAATCCCAGCAATTTGGGAGGCTGAGGCGGGTGGATCACAAGGTCAGGAGGTCGAGACCATCCTGGCTAACACAGTGAAACCCCATCTCTACTGAAAAAACACAAAAAAATTAGCCGGGCATGGGGGCGGGCGCCTGTAGTCCCAGCTGCTCGGGAGGCTGAGGCAGCAGAATGGCATTAACCCGGGAAGCAGAGCTTGCAGTGAGCTGAGATCGTGCCGCTGCACTCCAGCCTGGGCGACAGAGCGAGACTCCGTATCAGAAAAAATTAAAAAAAAAAAAAGAAGTGACATTCTCATTATTGGGTTAAATCTATGTGAAGTAGCAACTGGTCAGGAAATTATAGTCTTTGTATAATAAGATGTGCATTCAATGAAATTTTGTTTAAAGAATGACAGGACAGGACAGGCACAGTGATTCTCATATGTAATCCCAGCACTTTGGGAGGCTAAGGTAGGAGGACAGCTTGAGCCCAGGAGTTTGAGACCAGCCTGGGCAACAAAGTTGACTCCTTGTCTCTAAAACAACATTTTAAAATTAGCCAGACGTGGTGGTATGTGCCTGTAGTCCCAGCTACTCAGGAGGCTGAGGCGAGATCACTCGAGCCCATAAATTCAAGGCTTCAGTAAGCCATAACCGCACCACGGCATTCCAGCCTGAGCTACAGAGCTAGACACTGTCTCAAAAAAAAAGAAAAAAAAAGAAAAAAAAAAAACAAAGTAATTCTACTACCTCAGTTGCTGTTTACAAACACCTTAAGATATATAGGACGGAACATCATCATGTACCATTGTCATTTGCCTTCTGCATACAAGAAAACTGAGGACTAAGGATATTATGAGATCTGCCAAGGGTAGTTTTGATATATACAGTTGTGATATTATAAATAAATAAATATATATATTTATTTTTATATATATAGGTTTTCATCCACGGTTCCTGGCTCATAACTCCTGCAGCCCTTGGTGTAGTCTTTTGTTATAATGTTGGGGTGCTTTAGGCCTCAGGAGCAGGCCTCAGGAAACAGAATCTCTCTCTCTAACCTTCTTCTGTCCTCCTTTTACCTGCCCAAGGGAGGCCTCTAATATGATTGCCGGTTAAAAGACCCTCATTCCAGAAAGGGTCCCTCCCCATATTCTGAAAGAAAAAATGCTGCACAAGAAGCCAGGAAGAATCTGGACAGACAGGCCTTGCTGGGTTTCCCACTCATGAGATCATGTTCTTTTGTCCAATCACATTTCTACACAGGGTCAATAGTGCCTATGTAATGAAGCCTCCATAAAAACCCAAAAGGACAGCACTTAGAGAGCTTCCAGATAGCCGAACATATGGGTGCTCCTGGAAGGTAGAGTGCCCAGGAAGGACATGGAGACTCTCTACTCCTTCCCCCATACCTTGCCCTACACATCTCTTCATTGTATCCTTTGCAATATCCTTTATAATATACTGGGGTAAATGTAAGTAAGTGTTTCCCCAAGTTCTGCAAGCCACTCCAGCAAATTAATTGAACTCAAGGAGAAGCTGGTTGGTCAGAAGTTCTGGAAGAGTAGATTATTGACTGGTGTTTGAAGGTGGGGTGGGGTGCAGTTTTGGGGACTGAGTCCTCGATCTGTGGGATCTGATGCTACTTCCAGGTAGATAGTATCAAATTTGAATTAGAGGACACCCAGTTGGTGTCCACTGCTTGCTGGTGGGGAAAACCCCACAAACGTTTGGTCACAGATGTCTTCATGTTGATTGTTATGGTGTGAGAGCAGAGGAAAACATGGTTTTAATGTTTTTCCCAAATAACTGGTGTCAGAGAAGTGAGATTTGCTAAAAAGGCCCTGGCTCACTGAAACATGTGGTTTGGGAAGAAAAAGGATAAAAGGGTAGAAGATGAGAAACCTTTGTTCTGGTGTGGCCACATGGTCACCCAAGGTATGAAGCCATAGCTGCTATGCTCGGTTATTAAAGGTAAAAGTTATCAGTGGAATTTAGAGATGGTTCCAACTCCTGGGGAATTGGTTCACTGGCTGCATAAGGAAATGCAAACTAATAAGAAAAAAAATGAACTGGCTGTTATAAATAAATAGCCATAAAACTAGCTATTATAAATAAATAATCCCTTAATTATTGTTATTTATAATAGCTAAAATGAAATTTAAAGAGAGTACTGTGTTGGTCCTTGAAGCTGGATAAACCTCAGATCTTGGTCTGTTTGAGCTCAGGCTGCTGGCCTCAAAGCCACCCTCCAAGGACAGAATTGTGCAGGGGCAACAAAGTACCTCTGAGACATGTGGTTACCAAGAAGGTAGTCAATGTGGAAAAAGGGCAAAACGAAGTAACTGCACCCCACCCCACCTTCAGACACCAGCCAATAATTCATGCCTCCAGAACTTCTGACCAACCAGCTTCTCCTTGAGTTCAATTAATTTGCATAGTGTGAAGGAATAGTTCCATTTTGTAGATTGGTATCATTAGCTTCCTAAAGAACCTTTACTAAAATGGATTATGAGAGTAACTACATTAGGGGCAGTAGCTTTGGTTTAAATGCTACCGTGGAAAACATGTTTGGGTTGATGTAGGACACAGGGCTCACTACTAAGCAATCTCAGACATCTATACATGATTGAGACACACAGGACGTTATTCCCAAGGCAACAGCCAGCATAGTGGACTGGATAAAAGCCACTGTATGATCTTTTTACTCTGGAAAGGGGGATTGCCCAACTTTCCCTAGAAATGCCAAGCAGAACAACCCAGATGAAGCAGCTGATATGCTTCATATGCAAGCTACGTAAGACTAGCTTTATGATGATAAGGATATTCGCCCAATGAATGTGTCTGTTATCTACTTACGAGGTTACAGTAAATGCTGTAGTTAAGGGGGTCCCTTCTACATAGGTCCATGAAATGAGCAGATATGGGGGTACTACAGCAGTGCTGAGAAGCGCTAAATCTAGACATTCCTCTTACACCTTCTCTCAAGCACAAAATGCCAATAAGAACTGTTCTTTTTGTCAGCAAGAGAGTCTGAGACTTCCAATGGCTATGTGGCAGTTTCCTTAGTGGGAAGACCCTGAATGTAGAAGGTAAGTGAGACTGATGCTGGTAGCCCTGGGGGGCTACAAATGAATGGGTCTTGACAGGAATAGTCACCGACTCTGAAGTGAGCTTTCCTTACCCAGTGGAAGATGCAAATGCTCAGAGTGCCATTTAAAAAACAAACAAACAAACAAAAACCAAAAAACAGAAAATATCGCATGGATTTGGACAATCATCATCTTTTCAGAACGAGAAACACATTGTACAGCCTACCATGTCCAACAAAGAGGAAAAAAAAATCCTCCTCAGAGTAACAGTTTGATGAAGGAGTAGGATGGGCAATTAAAACACTGGTTGTCTAAAACACAGGAAGATAAAAGAATGAAGGGCTGGCTTGCATGCTTTCACGAGTGTGTGCTCACATTCAACATGAGTGGGACTAAAGGAGCATCCCCTTAGATTTTTCTTGTTTTTCTGGTTCATCTGGGAAAGAGGCGGTTGGGGAAGGTGCTGGTATGACTATCCAATTCTTCCCAAGGGAGGAGTACACTGGTATAACAACTATAATTTTTTTCTTCCCCAGATGACCTCAAAAAGAAAAAACTTTTTTTCTCTCCGCTACCAGATGCAGTGGTCCTAGGACAAGGGCTGCAACTGCAAGTGCTGGAAGCAGGGATGATTTCTAAGCAAGAAACTGTAACTACATTTTTAAACCTTAAGTCAAAATTCCTAAGGGCATAATGGGGGTGGGTTGTACCTTCACTCTATCTAGCAAAATTGGGGCTAAGAGTGAATGCAACTACTACTTTTCCTGGCCATAAAAACAGCTCACTAGTTCTGCACCCATGTAATTTACCCTATCTAAAGGGGAGTGGACTGAGGAGGAGGTACTTGCTAGACTAGAGTTGTTGTCTGCAATCTAAACCAGCACAGTGGCAATTCTTAATGTGCCTTCCAAAGGAGGAAAAGTTTGGGAACTACTGGAGAGGAGGAATAGCAGCTGAGGGTAAAGACAGGAATAAATGGGTTATTCATTGAGGGAAATCCAACATTACATTAACACATTTAAAGAAGCTCAGAGCAAGAGATGACACTGTCTTTAACTCAGTTATAAGAGATGCTCAAAAGGTAAAAGTTGTATGTTTGCGGAGACTGCTCCTGCTTCTGGAATCTGACAAGACTGAAAGGAAGCCTGCAAACTTGAGTGGTCTCTCCCTGGGAGACATATTCATACAACATGATAATGAACTGGACTAATTACTAATGACTGAATGGGATTCTAGTAATGTAGCAGTATGTTTGAGTTGTATATTCTTTTGATGATGTAAAGGATCCATGTTTGAAAGCCAGGGCGTGGCCTATGACATGATTTTATCGTGTGTGTGTGTGTGTGTGTAGGTTTTCGTCCATGGTTCCTGACTTATTAACTACCACAGCCCTTTGGCCTATGACGTGATTTTATCGTGTGTGTGTGTGTGTGTGTGTGTGTGTGTGTGTGTGTAGGTTTTCGTCCATGGTTCCTGACTTATTAACTACCACAGCCCTTGGTGTAGTCTTTTGTTATAATGTTGGGGTGCTTTAGGTCTCAGGAGCAGGTCACAGGAGTGCTTTAGGTCTCAGGAGCAGGTCACAGGAGCAAGCCTCAGGAAACAGAATCTTTCTCTCTAACCTCCTGTCTTCCTTTTACCTGCCCAAGGCAGGTCTCTAATCTGATTGTGAATCAAAAGATCCTCATTCCAGAAAGGGTCCTGCCCCATACTCTGAAGGAAAGAATGCTGCACAGAGAGGCCAAGAAGAATCTAGACAAACAGGCCTTACTGGGTTTCTCACTCAGTCTATTAGTATGAGATCATACTCTTTTTGTCCAATCACATTTCTACACAGTTGTCAGTAATGCCTATGTAATGAAGCCTCCATAAAAACCCCAAAAAAGAGCATTCAGAGAGATTCTGAATAGCTGAACATGTGGGAGTTCCTGGAGGGTGGTACACCCAGGGAGGACATGGAGGCTCTGTGCTCCTTCCCCCACACCTCGTCCTACGCAGCTCCTCATTGTTTCGTTTTCCCTGAGTTCTGCAAGCTGCTCGGGCAAATTAATTGAACTCAAGGAGAACCTGGTTGGTCAGAAGTTCTGGAGGCATGGATTACAGGCGGGGGTCTGAAGGTGGGGTGAGGTGCAGTTTTGGGGACTGAGCCCTCGATCTGTGGGATCTGATACTACCTCCAGGTAGACAGTGTCAAATCTGAATAGAGGATACCCAGCTGGTGTCCACTGCTTATTAGTGGGGAAAAAACCCCACACATTTGGTCACAGAAGTCTTCTGTGTTGATTACTGTGGTGTTAGAGTAAAGGAAAAACACAGTTTGAGAGTTTTTCTGTAACAGTAGTTATAGAAATGGGATACAAGTCCTGGACTTCTGACTCTAACACCTAAATATTACAGGGAAGCAATATAATACTTCAAAGCACAAGCTTATTAGTCAGAAATACTTGACAGGTTTGACTCTCAGGTCCTCCATTTCCTACCTATATAATCTTTTTTCTTGGATTGTTTCTTAAACTTTCTTTTGTTACTATAAAATTCCCCAAACAAAAAGAAATGCTAATCATTCCATTATCAACCACAACGGTTCTCAACACGGAATATCAAAATCACCTATAAAGCCTTCCCAAATAAACATATACCAGAGGTAGGGTATACAAACAGTGAATTACAAACCTTACAATTTTATGAGAGACAATAATTATGTTGGGGCATATAGAGTAATGCAAGAAACTTTTACAAAACTCTGGACAGAAAATTAAGGTACTTTTTACTTGTGTTAACAGCATTTTAATTTCTTTAGATTAATGGAAGTTGACTAGTGATAGAGTAGGTCAGAGTGACACTAAACTGTTAGCAGTCTTCTTTCTGTTAGCTTTTTATTCTACCACCTTACACAATCATCTTACCTCTAATAGTAAATCCTCAATACTTTCTATCTTGTCTAATGAATATTAAACTAGAAATCAGGTAAATAAATTCAATTTCTAAATTTTTTACTAAACAGTCATAAAAACCTCACAACCACCTCATCTCAGTTTCTCCAAATCTAGATTTGCCATCTCTTAGGATAATCAACTGTATTTTATACATTGTTGAGAATACTCTGAAGAATGCTACATAAAGCATTATTTCTGAAGCATATATTTAACTCAGTTATATTGAACAGTGTTATCAAGGAATAGTAAATAACTGGCAGATGTTGCCACTTACACTGCACGATCATGGCAGACATTACTAATTTACCATAACATTCTTTTTTCTGTTTTGTTTTTTTGGAGACAAAGTCTTGCTCTGTCGCCCAGGCTGGACTATAGTGCATTGGCGCCATCTCGGCTCACTGCAACCTCTGCCTCCTGGGTTCAAGCGGTTCTCATGCCTCAGCCTCCTAAGTAGCTGGGATTACAGGCCTGCACTACTATGCCCAGCTAATTTTCATATTTTCAGCACAGACAAGATTTCACCATGTTGGCCAGGCTGGTCTCGAACTCCTGGCCTCAAGTGCTCCTCCCGCCTTGGCATCCCAAAGTGTTGAGATTACAGACATAAGCCACCACGTTTGGCCTATCACGATATTCTTTTCTGCTAAACATGAAAACTACAAACACATCTCATACATGAAGCTCAATTTACAAAGAAAGAAACATGTAACCAAAAAAAAAAGTCAACAAGTTTGACATCAAGGTGTATTGAATAAATCTAGAAGAACTTAAGAAAAAAATGAATTCAAGTAATGAAGCCCATCCTAATTACCTAGAAACACACAGATATAAAAAAAAATTGTGGCCACACGCGGTGGCTCACGCCTGTAATCCCAGCACTTTGGGAGGCCAAGGCAGGTGGATCATGAGGTCAGGCGATCGAGACCATCCTGGCTAACACGGTGAAACCCCGTCTGTACTAAAAATACAAAAAATTAGCCAGGCATGGTGGCGGGCACCTGTAGTCCCAGCTACTTTGGAGGCTAAGGCAGGAGAATGGCGTGAACCCAGGAGGTGGAGGTTGCAATGAGCCGAGATGGGGCCAATGCACTCCAGCCTGGGTGACAGATCAAGACTCCGTCTCAAAAATAAATAAAAAAATAAATTGTACAAAAAAAATTTGGCTCTTTATTTGGTAATGTAAGAAAAAAGTTTAAACTTAAAAGGAGATAAAAAGCCAAAACAGCCAATAACAAAATTGAAAAGAATCACACTCACTTGCTTTCTTCATCCAAAAGATGAAGCAGTCCTGTTGGTTTTTTGCTAATAAGATTTATGCAGCAGGTATTATCAATGTAATCTATGTTGTGCCAGCTGATACCTTCAGTTCTATATTCCTCCTAGAAAAACCAAAAAATAAAATAACAATTTATTCATCTTGCAGAAAATAGGTATATAATATAGATTGAAAAGCTTTTACCCTGCTTAAAATTCTAAGATTTTAAAAATCACCAATCCACACAATGAAAGAATGTATAATTTCAGTTGTACAAATCTTAATACAACGTATTTGTTTTCTCTTAAAAAGACATGCCACAAATTTTTTTTGTTAGAATGCCAGTTCTAAGTTCATTCTAATCAAAATGTAGGGCTAGATTTGTTTTAGTCTCACTACCTGATGACTCCACTAAGTAAAAACGTACAATGAAGAAAAAAGGCTAATATCTCCCACATGACTTTAAGCCATCAAAAAGCACTATATTTCCTGGATTATCAACAATGAATTTAATGAAACAATTTCTGGGAAAAGTGGGACCCCATCACCCTCCAGTAATTATATGGAATTCATACACACTAAACTTTGGCAAAATATAATCTTTAGGACTTTTTTTTTTTTTAAAGAAAAGGTTTTGAATTCTAAGGTTAAAAAACTCGAGGTTCAGGTCTTGAGTAACTACTTAAAATCATCTTACAAAGCGCTCCATTTTTTCTTATTCTTTCCTGTATGGAGATATATTCTTCTATTCATCCTTGTGATACTTTCACTTTTTAGATGGTTTTTTTAAGGAAAAAATGCACCTGAGAATGTAAAGGAGATATGTTTCTGCACTGCAGTGGTATTTAGGCATCAGGTAAAATATCCCATGTACCTAATTGTTTTAGCATTCACTTACAGTACTTGCAGCACAAGTCAACTGCCAATCTGCAAATAGTGATTTTGAAATTCTTTTTTGTTGTTCTTTTTGATTTTGAAATTCCATCATTCTTTCTGTATTCATTATTATCCAGTAAAGAAGAATGAACACTAACATAAACTATAGTTACTCTAACTAGGAAAGGTAAATACTTAATTCTTTTCTTTTAATTAACAATTTCACACATAAGAAATAGTCATATAAAGGTCACTCCCCAATGGCAGTAAGAAAGGTATTTCCCCCCAATTTTTTGCAGCATGAAAAATATACACACTAGATAGTATGAGCTTAATGATTTTTATAGGCATTACTAGAAGTCCAAAAGTCCTCCTCATTATCTCTTCCCAAGGACTATCCAAACCCTCCTACCCAAAGTCAGCTTCTAATACAATCAATAAGATTCCCCTATTTATAAATAGTATCTAAATGGAATCACATAACACATACTCATTTTGTCTCTTTTCTTTTTTCATTCAGCTAATGTTTCAGAGACACAACCATTTTGTTGGATGTACCTGAAGTTCATTCATTTTAATTGCATTGTGAAACAACACAATCACTCAGCTACATATTGTCTATGGCTACTTTGTCAATGTAACAGCTGAGTTGAGACATATGGCCCAAAAAGCCTTAAAAGATCTGGCCCTTATAGAAAAAGTGTGCCAAACTCTGCTACAAAGCATTAGTTCTAAAACTTTAACATACAACGGAATCACAAGAACGGCTTGTTAAAAAACAAGAGTATTGGGACTCCATCCCCAGAATTTCTGCTTAAGTAGGTATAGAGTACTTAGAATTTTCATTTCTAAAAAGGTTCCAGGTGATGCTGATGCTATTATTGAGGAGAGAGAAGGAATAAACTTTGAGAATCACTGCTGTAGAGTATTCCATTGTATCTGTATACAATAACTTGTTCACCCATTCTACTTTTTTCTTTTTTTTTAAGAGACAGGATCTCTCTTTGTTGCCCAGGCTGGTCTCGAACTCCTGGCCTCAAGCAATCTCAAGCAATCCTCCCACAACACTGGGATTATAGGCACAAGTCAAGCCCCACTCTACTACTGATAGACACTGCTCTTAATTCTAATATTTGGTCATTAAAAATAACGTCTTATGACCATTTCCACACAAAACTTTTGGTGTGCATTTATACTTATCTTTGAGTGAAAACACAGGATTATAAACTACATGTTTAACCACAGCAGATAATGCCAAACAGCATTCTGATGTGGTTGTGGCAATTTACATACCCACCCCAGCGTATGTCCCTATAGACATATCTCTCCAATACTCGTATTGTCTGTCTTTTTCATTTTAGTCATTTCGGTGAATGCCTACTAGTAGCTCATTGTGATTTTAGCTTTGATTTCCCTGATGAATAACAAAGAAAAAACATTTTCCTATGTTTACTGCTCATTTGGATTTCCCCTTGTATGACGTGCTTGTATTCATGATAAAAACTCTTGGCTGGGCACAGTGTCTCACATCTGTAATTCCAATGCTTTGGGAGGCCTAGCTGGGAAGATCACTTGAGGCCATGAGTTTGAGACTAACCAGGACAACATATTGAGACCCTGACTCTACAAAAATAAAGAAAAAAATTAGCTGAGCATGGTGGTATGCACCTGTAGTCCCAGCTACTTGGGAGGCTGAGGCAAGACGACCTCTTGAGCCCAGGAGATCAAGTCTGCAGTGAGCTATGATTGCGCCACTGCACTCCACCCTGGGCTGCAGAGCGAGACTCTGTCTTAAAAACAAAAAACAAACAAACAAGCAAAACTCTCGGAAAACATTATTGCCTTGTTCTTAGTCTCAGAGGAAAAGCACTCAGTCTTTTTCATTCAATAAGATATTAGCTGTATTTTGTAGATGTCCTTTATCAGAAAATCATTTTCTACTCCTAGTTTAAAAGAAAAAAAGGAATAGCTACACAGTTTTATCAACTGCTTTTTATATATCTCGAGATAACTGTGTTTTCTCCTTATTTATTAACAGATGATTAAATGGCTTGATTCAGTTAAATGTAAAGCACATGCTGAAAAAAAAATCTCCCTTTGGTTACAATGTATTATCCTTTTGTACATATTGATGGATTTTATTAATGTTTGTTTAGAATTTTTGTATCTGTGTTTATGAGTGAAACTGACCTATAATTTCCACTTCTAATATCCTTAACAGATGTGTGTATCATTGTTATCCTGGCCCCCTAAAATGTACTGAGAATTGTCCTTTTTTCTATTCCACCTAACAGCTTATGTCAGACTGACACTCTTTCTTCTTTCCATGTTGGTATAATTTACCCGTGGAGCCACCATGGCTTGCAATGTTCTTCAGGGAAAGGTTTTAAATTACATATTCAATGTCATTAATAGTTATAGAAACAGATTTTCTATTTCTTCTATGTCAGTTTTGAAAAGCTCTTTTGTTCGTATCATTTGACAAGTCTATTAACATAAAGTTATTCAGTGTGTCTATCTTTTTAATATGTGTAGGATCCAGAGTAATACCCTCTATCACTGGGATTTTGGTTATTTATATCCCTCTCTCTGTCTTGTCTCTCTCTCTCTCTCTCTCTCTCTCTCTCAGATGAATTCCTTGAGGGGTTCATCAATATTATTAGCCCTTTCAAAGTATTACTTTTGGTTTGGTTGATCCTCTCCCATGGTATATTTGTTTTCACACTTTTATTAATTTCCTCTTTTATCTCTATTATTTCATTTTCTCTACTTTCCTCTGGTTTAGTTTGCTGATCTTTTTCCCAACTGTTGACAGGGATCACTGATTTTAAACAAAAATCTTCTAAGAGCTATGAAATGTTCTTCTAAGTATAGCTTTAGGCATTTCCCATAGTTTTAATATGTAACGTGTCATTAGGTACAATATATTTTCTAATTGTTCAACCTCTAGCCTATTTAGAATTTTTTTTTTTTTTTTTTTTTTTTTTTTTTTTGGGACAGAGTCTCACTCTGTCGCCCAGGCTGGAGTGCAGTGGCCCAATCTCAGCTCACTGCAAGCTCCGCCTCGCGGGTTCACACCATTCTCCTGCCTCACCCTCCTGAGTAGCTGGGACTACAGGGGCCTGCCACCATGCCTGGCTAACTTTTTTGTATTTTTAGTAAAGACGGGGTTTCACCGTGTTAGCCAGGATGGTCTCGATATCCTGACCTCGTGATCTGCCCACCTCAGCCTCCCAAAGTGCTGGGATTACAGGCGTGAGCCACCGTGCCCAGCCTAGAATATTTCTTAATTTTTAATCATATAGGTATTTTTCAGTTATTTTTTAGTTACTGATTTCAGGTATAATTTTATTATGGTATTAAAATCTGTGTCATTTCAATCCTTGGAAATCTGACTTTCGCTTTATGGTCCAGGATATAAACAAATTTTGTAAATATCCCACGCAAACTTGAAAAAAAAGTGCATTCTGCAGCTGTTGATGCAGTGTTCTATGCATATCAGTTATATATTTGATTTTTAAATCTTCTATATCCTTAATTGATTAGGTTTCAGGCCTAAGGGCAGGAAACTGACATTCTGCTCTGAAGGACAGTCAGTGATGGATGCCCACAAAGGCACTAATCTCATCTTCTAGATATTTTAAATCTTCTGTATCCTTACCAACTTTTTGAACACTTATTCTATCAGCAAGTCAGCATGGTATGTTAAAACATTCCACTATGATGGTAAATATATTTTTCTTTTTTGAGTTTTATTCATTATTGCTTTATATATTTTGAGGTTCTGCTATCAGGTGCTTATAAATTTTGGACTGTATACTACTTCCCAAGGAAGTGAATAATGCTAAAGGGTAACATTATTAAATATTCCTTTTTATCTCTAGTAATGCTTGAAATATGATATTAATATAGCTACAACTGCTTTTTTTCTTAAGGTTTACTAAATCTTTGCTCATCCTTTTAATCTTTCTATATACTTATATTTAAAATGTCTCTCATAAGCAACAATCAGTTTAGTTTTGTATTATATCTAGTCTGACAATCTTTAGCTTCTAGTTAGAGCAATGAATCAATTATATTTAATGTAATCACTAATATTTGTGAGATTAAATCAAACACCTTACTACTTGTTCTTTGACTTTCATGGCATTCCTTTTATTTCTTGCTTTCTTCTGGATTGAGTGTTCTTATTTTACTTATCCTCTGTATTTTTTTTCAAGTTTTATATTATTTTACTATTTTTGGCAATTCTAGAAAACATGTATCCTTAACTTATCACTAACAGAAATAATATCTCTGTAACTTAGCATTTAATACAAAGATCTTAGAGTATCTTAAATTCTATTTACTCCTAACTTATATGCTATTACTGTCATGTATTTTAGTTACATTTAAACATTAAATAGTTTTTTATTTTTTTTATTTCTTTTTTTTTTTTTTTTTTTTTTTTGAGATGGAGTCTCGCTCTGTCACCCAGGATGGAGTGCAATAGCGTGATCTCAGCTCACTGGAACTTCCGCGAACCCTTCCCAGCTACAAGCAATTCTCCTGCCTCAGCCTCCTGAGTAGCTGGGATTGCAGGCGGCTGCCACCACGCCCTGCTAATTTTTGTAGTTTTAGTAGAGTCGGGGTTTCACCATGTTGGCCAGGCTGGTCTCACACTCCTGACCTCAGGTGATCCACCTGCCTCAGCCTCCCAAAGTGCTGGGATTACAGGCGTGAGCCACCACGCCCAGCCTAAATAGTTCTATTTAAGCCATAAAAGTTATTTTTAACTTTGCCTCATTAATATTCATTTAGATTCAACGACTTTTTTATAATTTTCATTGCTCTTCATTCCTTCCTGTACCTGAGCTACAATAGGAAACAACTTGCTGCCTAAACAATATACCTTGGTTTTAAGGAAAATATGCCATTGTCTCCTAGCTTCCACTATTTCCACTGAAAGGCTGACTGCCAAGTCTTATTGTTGTATCTTTAAAGATAGAGATGTCCCTGACTTACGATGATTCAACTTTACAATGGGGTGAAACTGTCATAATTTCTGCAGACTTTATCTTTGCCTAGGCTGGTGATATGTGGTACATGAGATATTCAACATTTTTACTATAAAATAGGTATTGTGTTAGATGATTTTGCCCAACTGTAGGCTAATGTAAGTGTTCTGAGCACATTTAATGTCCTGCACATTTAAGGTAGGCTATGTCAAGTTATGATGCTTGGTAGTTTAGATGCATTAAATGCATTTTTGACTTAAAATATTTTCAGCTTGGCAAGGAGCAACTGTAGTCTCTGGTTTCCTCTAGCTGCTTTTTAGACTTTTTTCATTGTCTTTGGTTTAGTATAATTTTCTAGGTATAAATATCTTTGTATTTAACATGCCTTGGATTCTTAAAGAGCTTTTCAAATGTATGCTTGTTGGGTTTGTTTTTTTGTTTTGACAGTTTTGGAACATTCTCAACCATTATGTCTTCAAACACGGCTTCTAACTTATTCTACGTCTCTCATACACATCTTTCCAAAATTCCTATGGCACATGTTAGACCTTTTTACTATGCTCTTAGAGTATAAGTCTCTTTCTTATCTTCATTCATTAGGCTCAGTATTTTCTTCTGGTCTATCTTCCAATTTACTAATTTTACTAACCTGTATCTTACTATTAAAAACCATCTGTGTCTTTTCAATTTCACAGTACTTTTTAGTTCTAGGTTTTCCCCAATTTGGGATTTTTAAAAGTAATTTGTAGTTCTTTAATAAAAATATTGCACCTTATTTTTTAAAATTTCTTGAAAGCATGGTTAGTTTCCAGTCCATGTCTAGTGCTAATATCATTGGCTGGATCCACTGTGGTATTATTATCTCATTTCTCTTGGGATATTTTGTTGTTGTTGTTGAGACGCAATCTCACTCTGTCACTCAGGCTGCAGTGCAGTGGTACAAACTCAGCTCACTGCAACCTCCGCCTCCTGGGTTCAAGCAATTCTCCTCCCTCAGCCTCTTGTATAGCTGGGATTACAGGCATGTGCCACCAAGCCCAGCTAATTTTTGTATTTTTAGTAAAGATGGGGTTTCACCATGTTGACCAGGCTGGTCTTGAACTCCTGACCTCAAGTGATCCACCTGCCTCAGCCCCCTAAAGTGCTGGGATTACAGACGTGAGCCACCATGCCCGGCCACATTTCTCGTGGTTTTTATTCATGCTGGTTTGCCTCCATGTATGTCTTTATGTCTCTGTCTGTCTCTCTCTCTCTCTGTTTTGGACTGAGTGTTAGATCCTGTATATGAAAAATTATAAAGATAATTTTAGCAGTTGGATGATGTCTTCTTCTGGTGGAGATTGTATTTGCTCTTGGCAGGTGGTTAAGAATACTACAAATTGTATTTTAACCTAATTGGGAACTGAGATGATTTTAAACTGGGCTTCAGTCCTTCTGATGCCAGGTTTACTTCTGATTTACTTTTGTCTGAGATGTAACCCTTTAGGGATCTCAACCTAAAGCCTATAGGAATTACCAAGGGCCTCCTCCTTATTTTTGAGTCAGAAGAAAACCCTGCTCAATTCCTCATACTCTCAAGCCTGGCCCTTTTAGAATCAGAAACACTACAAAAATAACGAAATGTCTCTAGGAACAAAGCAGCACCCAAATGCTGGGCTCACTTCCCTAGATTTCTTTCTTATAGTCTAGGCCCTGTAAAACTTATTTGAAGGTACTCCAATGCCTTCAAATATATGTTGTTGAAGTTTTTTGGTTGTTCTCCAAGGTAAGGTTCATCAAAAGTTTCTAGTCTGACAACAACAAGTAAAATGGATGAAACAAAAACTTGCTAGATTATGAGCTCCTCAAATAAGATCCCTGCACTCTAAATTTTCTATCTTCTATGCTTAGCACACTGCCTGGCACACAACTGTTGTTCAATTTACTGATGAATCAATCAAATGAAGAGTAATTCTCAGCAAGTAAGGAAAAGAAAAAAGAGGGCAGTAATACAAGTAACAGAAAACATACAATTGGCCCTCCATATCTGCAAAAGTTTCCACATTTGTAGATCCAACCGACCACATATCAAAAATATTTAGAGAAAAAAATGCAAAAAATATAAACTTAGAAACAGTATAGCAACTATTTACATACCATTTACAGTGTATTAAGTATAAGAAACTGAGAGATGATCTAAAGTATACTGGAGAATGTGCATAGGTTATGTGCAAATACTATGCCATTTTACATAAGGGACTTGAGCATCTGTGGATTTTGGTATTCTTCAGCAGGGGGTCCTGAAACCAATCCCCTGTGGATACCCAGGGATGGCTGTACTTTCAAATATCAGAAACCTCTTTGGGTCTGTCTCTTAGTCTACATTACAGTCTCTACCACTACCTTGATTCAGTTCAGAATCACTCACCCATTCTACAGTCATGTGCCACACAAACACATTTCAGTCAAGAACCAACTGCATATACAACAGGGATCCCTAATCTCACGAAAAATTCATATTATCTACTGACGTCTTGATCCTGACCCTGTGTAGGCCTATGCTAATATGCTATGGTAATATGTATGTATACATGCTAACATGTATGTATGTGTCTTTGCTTTTAACAAAAAAGTTTTTAAAGTTTTAAAAAATTTTAATAGAAAGAGGGCTTATAATTATATAAAGAGAAAACATTTTTGTACAGCTGTACAATGTGTTTGTGTTTTAAATGGCTACTACAAAAGTCAAAAAGTTAAAAAAGTTTATAAAGTAAAAACATTACAGTAGGCTCAGGTTAATTTATTACAAAAAAATTAATAAATTTAGTGTAACTTAAGTGTACAGTGTTTATAAAGTCTAACTAGTGTGTGTACAGTAATGTCCTAGGCCTTTATCACCACTCACCCAACATCTCACCCAGAGTAACCTCCAGTCCTGCAAGCTCTAATCATGGGAGGTGCCCTATGTAACTGTACTATTTTTTATCTTTTATATTGTATTTTTACTGTATCTTTTCTATGTTTAGATACATTTAGATACACAAATACTTACCATTGTGTTGCAGTTGCCTACAATATTCAGTGTAGCATGCTGTACAGGTTTGTGGCCTAGGAGCAATAGGCTATATCATATAGCCTAGGTGTGTAGGAGGCTATACCAACTAGGTTTGTGTAAATACAGGATGATGTTCATACAACAGCAAAATCACCTAATGATGCATTTCTCAGAACATATCCTCATCATTAAGTGACACATGACAGTACTTCAACTAGTTCATAGATTTTTCTCCTTCTTTCCAGTTCACTGCTCTTCAGTTCAATTCAAGTCCTCTGCTAAATATACTTCAAATAGCTTCTCATTGTCTGAAAAATTCTAATCTTCCCTGCATGACATATAAGTCCACTGTTTTAAGTACAATGTGTATAATGTTACCTTTGCCTAAAATATCTTTTCCCATTGACAATCTAGTGAGCTTCAGCTCACTATTTGAAATTATATGCCAGAATCAACCCTGGAAAATTTTTGCAGCCTTTCAGGTAGTTCCAATCAACCCCATCCTTTGTGTAACTACTTTACCTTATATCTGATTATAGCATTTACATCCTGCATGGCAATTATTACATCTCTCTCCCATCCTATATGCCTATGTACTCCTTTTGGACAAAATTTAGAACCAAACCACAGTCATCATATTGAAGATTTTTCCTACAAATGTACCTGTGATACTGTACCTTCTTTTTAAAAATTTTAACCTTAACTTATTTTATACTCAACTGAACTTAACAAGTAATCACTGAGTACCCATTTCATACCAGTTACCAATGAGGTACATATAAATAAGACACTTAACAAGATTCTGATCCATAATTGCACCACATTGCCCAAAATGCTGACATTCAGGGTAGCAAGTAAATGAGAATCACCCATCTTCCAAGTAGTTTTGAACACATTTTCCATAAACTCTAAGGTTTTTTATTTTTATATATAATACGTTTATGGCCAAGGCATTTCTTCTGGCTGTCTAATCTAGACTTCTAGAAAAGAATAATTTCAGTTTACAATAAAGAATGTTTGTCTTTTTCAAAATCAATTTAACCAATGTTCTGTTTAATGATCCACAGAGCAACTGATGTTCTGCTCTGTAAAATATAGAACCCAGAAAACTAAATGCATTCCCTCACCCTTCTAACACATGTACTTATTTGCAAGAGATAAAGAATATTAACTTAGTATGATTTATGTAAGAGTTTTGGACTGATTCAATAGACATGGATGGCAATCCCAGCTTAGCTTTTGATTAAAAGAAAATATTATAGAGCCAGAGTGTTAAGGTTTGAATACTGGCTTTAGACAACATCTGAAAAACTAGAATAAAAACAGTACTGACTGATAAGTAACACTACATAACTCGTAAGTGTTAGCTAATATTATAACAAATAATATCTTTCCAAAGCTCTAGGGTAGCATCTAGCTAACAGATTATATGTTTAAAACTTTAAGCATTCATCAAGTTGGCCAGGACTAATATTGTCATGCTATTGTTAACCAGCCATTATGTCCTTTAAGCAAAATAGAGGCACTTTTTTAAAAAGCTAAGACAGCAACAAGATCCAATGATAGGAGACTTGATGATATAAAGATCTTTTCTCCCTCTTTTCTGTAGACCTGCTAGCTGTTGTAGTCTTTCTGTTCATTCTCTATTCTTAACTATTTCCCTTGAGTTCAGTTTGATGAAACCTGTGTCTGCCTATGTCCTCATACACAAATTCTGGGGTACAATGTAAACCTATTACTGATTTCAACCTTAGTTTGGAGAAAAAGTCCACATTTTGTTTGCCCCTCCCTTTGCACTAATAATTTTCATGGAAACTGAAAGCCCACTCTTTTTTTTGAGATAGAGTCTCACTCTGTCACCCAGGCTGGAGTACAGTGGCGCAATCTCGGCTCACTGCAACCTACGCCGCCCACATTCAGGTGATTCTCCTGCCTCAGCCTCCTTAGTAGCTGGGATTACAGGCTCCTGTCACCACACACGGCTAATTTTTGTATTTTTAGTAGAGATGGGGTTTCACCATGTTGGTCAGCCTGGTCTCAAACTCCTGACCTCGTCCGCCCACCTCGGCCTCCCATAGTGCTGGGATTACAGGTGTGAGCCACCACTCCCAGCCAAAAGCACACTCTTTTTATACTAACTTAATCAATCTTGAGATCCTCATAAGAAATATCTAGTTACCCATCTTGGTCTCTCCATACCTAGTTTCTTTGTATCTACACTCTGTACTGACTTGAGATTCTGTTAAGCTCCTCTATCTCATCCTAGAACTAAGAGACCAAAGCAATCAAACAAGCATACAGTTGGCCCTCCATATCCTCGAGGGATTGGTTCCAGGACTCCCTGTGGATACCAAATCCACAGATGCGCAAGTCTCTTATATAAAATGGCTTAGTACAGTCAGCCCTCTGTATATGCAGGTTTGTATCAGTAGTTTTGTATCAGCCATGGGTTGAATGCTTGGATGTAAAACCCAAAGATAAGGAGGACTGACTGACTGTACTTAGCATTACACACAGTGACCAAGCCCATGGTAGCAATTAAAAATCAACACCATTGTTTCCAAACCCCTGTGTGAAAGAAAAAGAAAAAAGAAAAAAACAATCAACACCAGCAATAAAAACAAAACAAAACACACACACACATCTTTTTAATCAAAGGTTCATTCAAGGCCAGGAGTGGTAGTTCCTGACTGTAATCCCAGCACTTTGGGAGGTCAAGGTGGGAGGACTGCTTGAGCCTAAGAGTTTGAGACCAGTCTGGGCAACATAGTGACACCTTGTCTCTACAAAAAATAAAAACAAAAATTAGTTGGGTGTGGTGACGTGCACCTGTGGTCCCAGCTCTTGAGTGGCTGAGGTGGGGGGACTCCTTAAGCCCCAGAGGTCGACACAGTGAGCCAAGATCACGCCACTGTACTTCAGCTTGGGCGACAGAGCAAGAAGACCCATCTCTAAAAAAACACACTCCCCTGCAAAAACAACAAAGGTGCAATCAAATAAGCATATATAAGCAATTTTTTTTTTTTTTTGAGACAGTCTCATTCTGTTGCCCAGTCTGGCATGCAGTGGCTCAAACACAGCTCACTGCAACATACACCTCCCAGGCTCAGGTGATCCTCCCACCTGAGTCTCCTGAGTAGCTGGGACAACTGGCATGCAATACCACATCTGGTTAATTTTTATATTTTTTGTACAGACAGGGTTTCGCCATGCTGCCCAGGCTGGTCTCTAACTCCTGGGCTCAAGAGATCCACCCACCTTGGCCTCCCAAAATGCTGGGATTGTCAGCTTGAGCCACCATGCCCAGCCAGCAAATCTATTTAGGGAACTATAAAACCTCTGTCATCTGCTTACAATGATATGTGGACCACAATATTTGTATTGAAAGACAAGATTTAGGCTGGGCGCAGTGGCTCACATCTATAATCCCAGCACTTTGGGAGGCTGAGGCGGGTGGATCACGAGGTCAGGAGATCGAGACCATCCTGGCTAACACAGTGAAACCCCATCTCTACTAAAAATACAAAAAAATTAGCCGGGCATGGTGGCGGGCACCTGTAGTCCCAGCTACTCGGGGAGGCTGAGCCAGGAGGCTGGCATGAACCCGCGAGGCGGAGCTTGCAGTGAGCCGAGATTGGGCCACTGCACTCCAGCCTGGGCGACAGAGCGAGACTCAGTCAAAAAAAAAAAAAAAAGACAAGATTTAAAATGCTTATTATGTGCTCTCCACTCTTTTAGTAAAATATCACAACTGATATTATGATAAACAATTGAAGCTACCAGACTACTCTGTTTTATCTCACATTTCTAATCCCATCAGTTGAGTTTACATAAACAAAGAGGCAACGGTATTTGTTCCCAAGCCAATTTACTTCGGTTATTCTTGTTTGTAAAGGCACGTTTCAATATTTAATAAAAACACTATGTAAATCAATAAAATGTGTGAAAAAATGAAGTGAATTATTATGAATATGACTCAAAGATATGTGTGATGGGGGGACAAGTGTATACATATTTAGGTACTCACTTGTTCCAATTTAAAGATATGCTGATTAAAGTAGTGCTGTAAACGTTCATTAGCAAAATTAATACAGAACTGTTCAAAGCTGTTATTTTCATAATCTTCAAACCCAAAAATATCAAGAACACCAATAGACAATGTCTGTAAAACAAGAGAAAGTTTTGATTAAAAGTAATGTTTAAATTTATTTAATGAATAATATCCACAACATAAGTAACAAAATGCTCAATTCCTCTAAAGCAGTGTACAGGGGATTGTGTTTGGCCAGTATTCAAAACATATCATGACTTAAAAGTATTTTAGTTATCTTTATCTTACTTTTATCCTAATTAAAAAAATATATCCAAACTGTTAATACATATAATCTATAGATTACAGAAATATGTGAAGCAAGGTTAGTGGCCTTTTATCTTAAGAAACCTCAGAAATCCCTAACATCTTAAAGGGAATGGAAAAAAACAGAGGGTGAGGAAATCAAAAGGTTATTTCAATGAAGGATCAAGAGAGGTAGGTTACTCCTGGCTATACCAAGAGGACAATGCAATTTTTCCTATTTCGACTTCTACATCCCAATAAATAGAATTCTTCATTAAGAACCAAACTAGTATATTTTATCAGCCTCATGAAGACTGAGTGAAACTAGATGTCAGAACGTATGGTTTCTTTTTTATTTTTGAGACGGAGTCTCGATCTGTCGCCCAGGCTGGAGTACAGTGACGTGATCTCAGTTCACTGTAACCTCTGCCACCGGGGTTCATGCGATTCTCTTGCCTCAGCCTCACCAGCAGCTGGGTTTACCATGGCATGCACCACCATTCTGGCTAATTTTTTGTATTTTTGGTAGAGACTGGTTTCACCACGTTGGCCGGTCTGGTATCAAACTCCTGAGTGCAGGTGATCCACCCGCCTCGGCCTCCCAAAGTGCTGGGATTACAGGCGTGAGCCACCGTGCCCGGCCAGAACATACGGTTTCGTAAAGTTAAAAATATTTATTAAAAAAAAAAAGTATGAGGTTTAAAATGTTGAATAGTGCTAAAAGGATTACAACAAAAGACAGCAATCCCTGCCTCATCATCAAGATCTGCTCCCTAAAGTCAACCACATTCAAATCTTTCAGCTGTTTGGTAGAATACAGAACATAAATGCTTATATTCTTCTATTGCACTTCTAGGAATAATCTAACTTCTTACTGTGGATTTGGCTCTAATACCTGCATATGAACACTTTTCTCACCACCCCAACCCATTCTAGAAATACAGTTGTATGACAATTTTGGTTAAATGAAAATAATTTTTCTCCACTGGTGCTAAGAGATACAACGGGCAAACTGATATGATGAATGAAAAATAGTAAGATCTTTTTTAAAAGCCTGTACTAAGAGTATTTTGTTTAATTCTGCTAAGTCTAGGCCCTTAAAAAAATTAAAATAATGCCCTTCAAAAATAAATCAATTTGATAAATTAGATTACAATTTAAATTAATTTTTATGACTGTGAGTTTACCTGAAGCATGAAAAATTAACATAAGAGCAATTTCACATTTAAGGCAATAGGATTAAATTTAAAAGGTGACATTTTTAATCAGTCTGACAAGGTGGACTAGTCCATGAAGGCTGCCCAGAAAACACAACTAGATGTGAAATGATTAAATACCTATAATCTGCCATATTAAAAATATAGTTAGAAAAAGTCTAAACATAAAAAAATTATAATTATAAAAATATAAGAATAAATATTTTATAATCTTGGGCTAGAAGAGGCCTTCCTCTGTAAGTAAAATACATATACAAAATGCAAAACTAAAAACAAGAAAAATGACAGAATTAACTGCAAAAAAATTACAACATAAAATCAGAAAAAGATGGTATAAATAAATCTAAAAAGTAAATAACTAAGAGAGAAAATAATTGCAATATATATCAAACTATAGGCCTCCACAAATATCCACAATAAATGCCTTCTAAAAAGGAGTAGGCCAGGCCTGGTGGCTCACGCCTGTAATCCCAGCACTTTGGGAGGCCAAGAAGGGCAGGTCACTTGAGGTCAGGTGTTCGAGACCAGCCTGGCCAACATGGTGAAACCCATCTCAACTAAAAATACAAAAATTAGCCAGGCATTGTGGCACGCGCCTATAATCCCAGGTACTTGGGAGGCTGAGGCAGGAGAATCACTTGAACCCAGGAGACGGAGGTTGCAATGAGCCAAGATCATACCACTGTACTCCAGCTTGGGCAAAAAAAATGAGACACTGTCTCAAAAATAAAATTAAATTTAAAATAAAATAAAAATAAAAAGGAGTATCAAAAAGACAAAACAGAAGACAAAAATAACACAAAGTTATTTTAAAAATACAGAGAAGAAATAAAATAGCGAAAACATGAGGTGATGCAGAACTTTTATCTATCATTAAAAATAATGCAATAAAATGAAACCATTCCCCTTATCAGATTAGGAGATGTAAATCCTGATAACATCCAATGTGGGTAAAGGTGTAGGGGATCAGGTGCTTTCACACACTGCTGCTGGAAATGTACAGTCTTTTTTGGAAAGTGTCAAATTTTCAAAATGTATCTATCCTTAAACTTAGCAATCGGCAGGGCACGGTGGCTCACGCCTGTAATCGCAGCACTTTGGGAGACCAAAGCAGATGAATCACCTGAGGTCAAGAGTTCAAGACCAGCCTGGCCAACACGGTGAGACCCTGTCTCTACTAAAAATACAAAAATGAGCTGGGTGTGGTGGTGGGCACCCATAATCCCAGCTACTCAGGAGGCTGAGGCAGGAGAATCGCTTGAACCGGAGGTTGTAGCGAGATCATGCCACTGCACTCCAGCCTGGGTGAGAGCAAGACACCGTCTCAAAAAAAAAAAAAAAAACAGCAATCCCACTTTGATAATGTTATCCTAGAGAAATGTATACACAGGTAAGTAAAAGAATATTTGTTACAGCATTGTTTATAACAATAAAACAAAATCTATTTTTAATGGATGGATTTATGGTACACATCTTACTATATATTTATAACTTTTTTTAAATAGCCAGGTCCAGATATATAATGAGACAGAAAATATTTCAAGAGATTCTAGGTAAAAAAAATACATATATTTATGTTTGAAAGAATACAGAGAGCATGATTCTATTTACATTTTTTAAAGCAACTCTGAATATACACGTTCGGGAGGTAAAAACACATAATAAAAAAGGTCTGGAAAGACACACAGAACAATTCTTCTGAACAGGGTAATAAATAACAAATAAAAGCGATTTCTTACTTATTACTCTATATAATTCTGTGTTTTTAAATTTCATGTATTAACCAGTTTATTAAAATAGCTTTCAGGGAAAAACATATTATAATCCAATATATCATTACCTTGGTATTATGCTCTAAATCTTTACTATTCAGAAGTGCATGATTAATTCGAAAAACTATCCAGTCAAACAGGGCACTATACAGAGACTTAGCCATGGAGTTCCTCACTGTCACAGCCTGAAAAACAAAAGCATTACAAGTGCATGTAGAATTGACAATGATTAAGATACTATGACAAAGTTGTTTGCTCCCATTCAAGAAAGAAACTTACTATCCTGAATTAGAAATGAATTTTTCTCTCAAAATAAAAAATCTATAACTAAAGTTTTTTGTTTGTTTGTTTTTGAGAGTTTGGCTCTCATTGGCCACGCTGGAATGCAATGGTGCAATCTCGGCTCATGGCAGCCTCCGTCTCCTGGGTTCAAGTGATTCTACTGCCTCAGCTTCCCACGTAGCTGGGATTACAGGCATGCACCACCACGCCTGGCTAATTTTGTATTTTTAGTAGAAACGGGGTTTCTCCATGTTGGTCAGGCTGGTCTCAAATTCCTGACCTCAGGTGATTCACCCGTCTTGGCCTCCCAAAGTGCTGGGATTACAGGCGTGAGCCACCGCACCCAGCCAATTGAAGTTTTCCACATGTACTCATTCAATTAGTCCCACTCAAAGAATCTACGTTAAAACTGCCATTAAAGATAAGAGAAACAAAATGTAGGTCACTCAGTTCAAAACATGTTTATTAAAAATTGGGATATATATTCCCCCTAGGAAAGAAGGTATAATTGGAAGTTTACAAACAAATGACTTTGCCAGTTACAGTAGGTAAGAGTATTCTAGGCAGAGGAATAAATCTGTTAGGAAAAAGCCATTAATTTCTGTGGAATCCTAATCACCCTCTTAAAACATACACTAATACAACCACAATTACATTGGTAGTTGTCTTCGGCTTGTCACCCATAGAAACTTCTAGAATTACTCCATCCTCAAAGACAGCAACAATTCCCTCATTATGTAGTTACAAAATTTATTTTTTCCTCACTCTAAGCTTTCCAAGTTTATGAAAATTCTCAATACTATCTGCTCTATTTTCCTGTAAGTCTGAAATTGTTCTTAAAAAACAAAGAATTTCACCATTTAGAAAGCATAAATTTACAAAAAAAAAAAAAGGGAGTAGAGTATGGCACATGTCTTACAGAACTGAGTCTTAGCACTTAGAAGAATATAAATCCTAGTAATTTACATATTTATTATCTAGGGGCTTATTCTGAAGCTTGTATATTCAGGTACATATTTATAACTCCATTTTGAAGTATAAAGAAAATAGTAATAATTAAGAACTAGAGTATCTTCCAATTCCAGTTTTTCTACTTATTCTAGCTGCATAATCATGACTAAGTTACTTAACCTCTTAGGCTACTGGTTATACATCTATAAAAAGAAGGTAATACTACAACCTACCACATAGGTGATGAATTAATTTCTGAATATTGAAGGAAAAAAAAAGCTTCAAGTTCCTAGACCAAAAAATAACTGCCTACATAGCAGAAAGAAGACTGGTACCAAATTCTCTATCTTCAACACTAGAAACCTGTATTATTTTTTATTGTTGTGGAGTTTTAGAATATTTTTAATGTGCAAATGGTTGAATCCTTGGATGTGGAATCTGTGCATAAGGTGAACCAACTATCAAGAAAACCAATGGCAGAATGAAAATATAACAGAATACCACTGTATTTTTTTCCCCAGAAAGAAAAGAAAAATGAAGATAATCTAATAAAATTCAGGAAAAGTACAATATTTTAAAACTAAATCAACAAATATAAGACATAGAATAAGCATATAAACATTATCACAATAAATTTTATGAATGGGTTGAATTTTTTAGTTAAAAGACCTTCAGACAAAGATAAAAACTAAAGTCTAACTACAGTATTTATGGTTTACATAATGTACCATTTTTATAAAATACCATAGTCATAGAATCCAGATAGGCCAATACGATACCTATTTGTTTACTCTGTAACTCCAAATTTTATACTTTCAGCCCTTTTCTCTGAAATGCATGTCTGTCTTTCATAGCTTAACCTCAATAAACCCAAATATCAAGTAATATTTTCCCACCCAAACAAGATCTCATTTAGTGTTTCCTATGTCATTGAAGGGTACCAATATTCTTACAGCTGTGTAAACCAGAAATGCAGGACTCATCCTTGACACCTCCTTTGTTTGCCTTGCTTCCCATTATTCAAGTCATTACTAGGTCCTGCTGATTTAATCAAATTTTTTTCTTTTTAAATCCATACATTTCTCCCTATCAATATGTCACCATTCTGCAAAGCAAATATCATTCTCACTACCGCAGCCTCCGAACTCATCTCTCTACATCCACTCCTGCCTTCTGTGCTTGACCAAAACCCAAGATAGCCCACAAGATTCCCTGGGGGTACAAGTTCTATATAATTCCCTCCTCATAAGTGTAGGCAGAACTGTAAATACGATGGATTTCACTCCCATATGAAACTGATGTCACATGATAAAAATGAAAGGATTTTAAAGATATAAAAACCCAAACCAGTTTATTTTTTAATCAAAGGGAGATCACCCCAGACTTATGACCCATGGAAACTGCCAAGATATTAAGTCTGTATTATATTAAGTTGCTAAGTTGCTTACATAGCTGTAAAAAACTAATACATTCCTCCAAATGGTTCTAAACACATCTGCCAGAGTGCTCCTTTTAAAACAAAAAAACAAATTAAGATTTTTTTTTCTTAAAACACTTTAAGAGCTTTGCATTACCCTTCAGATAAAATACTAAAACTGTTTAGTACTGTTCCCCATAGTACCCCTAATGCTTTGCACATTTCTCGGCACAAAAATAGAGTTTTTATATATTTATTAAAGAAATAACAGCCGGGCGTGGTGGCTCACGCCTGTAATCCCAAAACTTTGGAAGGCCAAGGCAGGTGATCACAAGGGCAGGAGTTCGAGATCAGCCTGACCAACATGGTGAAACCCCATCTCTACTAAAAATACCAAAAATTAGCTGGGCATGGTGGCGGGCGCCTGTAATCCCAGCTACTCGGGAGGCTGAAGCAGGAGAATCACTTGAACCCAAGAGGCAGAGGTTGCAGTGAGCGAGATCACACCACTGCACTCCAGCCCAGGTAAGAGTGCGAGACTCGTCTCAAAAAAAATAAATGAATACACCAAACAAAAATAAACAAAAAAAAAGTAGGGAATACAAAATAATCTCAGAAGGTTACATTCAAAGTTAAAAATGAAAATAAATACTAAAAAAAATTTGTAATGAAAAAGGTGGTGTGGTCATTAGAGAAACGCAAATCAAAACCACAATGAGATACCATCTCACGTGAGTCACAATGGCTATTGTTAAAAAGTCAGAAAAACGACAGATGCTGGTGAGGTTGTGGATAAAAAGAAACATTTATACACTGTTGGAGGGAGTGTAAATTATTTCAACCATTGGGGAAGACAGTGTGGCAATTCCTCAAGGACCTAAAAGTAAAACTACTATTCAACCCAGTAATCCAATTACTGGGCATATATCCAAAGGAATAGAAATCATTCTATCATAAAGACACATCCACGTATATGCTCACTGCAGCACTATTCACAATAGCAAAGACATGGAATCAACCTAAATGCTCATCAATGACACACTGGATAAATAAATGTGGTACTTATACACCGTGGAATACAATGCAGCATAAATAAGAAGAAAACCACGTCCTTTGCAGGAATTTGGATGAAGCTGGAGACCATTATCCATTGCAAACTAACGCAGGAACAGAAAACCAAACACAGCATGTTCTCACTTCTAAGTGGAAACTAAATGATGAGAACACACGGAGACATAAAGGGGGTGACAGAGAATGGGAGGAGGGAGAGGATCAGGAAAAGTAACTAACGGGTAGTAGGCTTAATACCTGGGTGACGAAATAATCTCTACAACAAACCCCCATGACACAAGTTTACCTATATAACAAACCTGCACTATACCCCGGAACTTAAAAGTTAAATTTTTTAAAAGAAGAAAAAGGTAGTGAAAGAAAATGTAAAAAGCAATGAATCTTTATTTTATATAAAAGAAATATAAAACTCTTAAAGATTTGGCTTTCTTTTTTTTTTTTGTCTTTTTTTTTCTTTTTATTATTATTATTACACTTTTAAGTATTAGGGTACATGTGCACAATGTGCAGGTTAGTTACATATGTATACATGTGCCATGCTGGCGTGTTGCACCCATTAACTCGTCATTTAGCATTAGGGATATCTCCTAATGCTATCCCTCCCCGCTTCCCCCACCGCACAACAGTCCCCAGAGTGTGATGTTCCCCTTCCTGTGTCCATGTGTTCTCATTGTTCAATTCCCATCTATGAGTGAGAACGTGCGGTGTTCGGTTTTTTGTCCTTGCGATAGTTTACTGAGAATGATGATTTCCAATTTCACCCATGTCCCTACAAAGGACATGAACTCATCATTTTTTATGGCTGCATAGTATTCCATGGTGTGTATGTGCCACATTTTCTTAATCCAGTCTATCAATGTCCAACAAAGATTTGGCTTTCTTTTCATTTAGAAAGAAGCTCTCACAGTGGAAGACTATAATATGACATAAGAAGAAATGTGGACTTGGAGATACAGAAGGTGAGATAAATGGATCAATGTCAAGCTTAAAAAACATTCTCTAGAATTCAATCACAATTTCCTCACCTGTCTTCTAATCTTCTAATTTCATATTCCTGTCCAATTTTTATAATTATAATAATTTGACTTGACATCACTTTCATAAAACTACTCCACAAAGTAGCAGCTTTTCAATAATTTTCCTGCCCCTATAGATCTGAGTGGTATAATAGTAGCAACAAGTATCCCTAGGAGCCTCAGTATACAGATGGTATTTAAAGTGATGGGACTGGGTAAGATAACCTCAATGAAGAATATAGAGAAGAAGAAACAAAGACTGCGTCCTAGGGTACTCTACCTTTTAGAGATAAAGAAAAAAAAATACAAGCAGAAAGAACTGCAAACAAGTAGCCAACAATGAAAAAGTTAACCAAAAAAGTATGATGTGCTAGAAGAAACTGTCTCAAGAAGAATAATTAATTGGGTCAAATATTGCTCATTTATAATTCTACCTACCATCTATCTACCCCACATTAGTAATATGAAAATTGGAAATGATGAAGAGGTTAAGATCCTTGGAGAAAAATGCAAGCCTATTTCTCACAATCACATTCAAATTTAAGTTTCTAAATCAATGGAAAATTCACAATCAAATGTAAAGGCCTAGAAAATATTTCAATCAAAACTTTTTGCCATTGTCATTTTCATGCTGTTAAGAGAAAACCCAAACTTCAAACCTAAACTTCTAACAATGTCCAGAATGCTTTCATTTCAAAGAAAATCCATCATACCTCTGCCAACTTGTATGGCAAAATAAGCTTTTCTCCCACTGTCACCGTCTTCCTTGTAACTAATGCTTCAAATAGCATCTCTTCTTTAACCTATAAAACAGAAAAGTAAACTCAATATGTAAGATTTATGACAATAGGTTGAATTATCTTTTGAAAAAGCCAAATAGAGGAGGAAAAGCTTAATGAGATTAGCAATTACATAGCAGAGAAAAAAGGCAATACACTGGGCAATTTTAATACTGGCCAAATGGAATTTAAGTGTCCCACTCAAAAGACAAATGGGTTTTTTCAAGTTAAAGTTTGCTTTCTGATCATAACAGAGAAACATGTTTCATTGTGCAGAATACAGAAAATATAGAATAGTATAAAAAACATTTTAAGATGATCAATCATAATCCCACATGCTGGAGGCAAGGACTAAAAAGTGACAGCACTTCTTGAATTCCAGAAATATTCCAAAGGATATTTATTTATGTTTCAGATATTTCTTCTTCATGAATCTTGAATTCTAGGAATATTCCAAAATATACTTATGTTTCAGATATTTCTTCTTATTCATGAATGATAAACTTTTAAGATAAAGTTGACACTTCCTTTGTTCTCACTCTCTCCCCAGAGGCAAATACTATCATGAATTTCACATTATCATTTCAGTTAATATTTCTACACTTTTACATGTATTAAATATGTTCATAAACACTATGCTATACTGTCAAATGACTTTAATGTTTATCTATAAAGTACCATATTGCCCATATGTTCTTCAGATCTAACTATGTGGATAATTTATTATTATTATTATTTTTTGAGACAGAGTTTCACTCTGCCATTCAGGCTGCAGTGCAGTGGTGCGATCTCAATTCATTGCAGCCTCGACCGCCCAGATTCAAGCAATCCTCCCGCTTCAGCCTCCCAAGCAGCTGGGACTACAGGCACACACCATGTCGATAATTTAAATCAACCTTATTCATTTTAACTGCTACATAGCATTGCAGCATATAAATATACCACAGTGTGTAATCCATTCTCCTCTTTGTAGGCATTTACACGATTTACAATTTTGTATGATTAGAAAATAAACCACAATGAATATTGTTGCACATGAGTTCAAAAGTTTCTGTGAAGAACAAACCTAAAAGTAGAAGGTTAGAGCATACATATTTTCAGCTTTAGAGAATACTACCAAACTCCTATATATAATTTTTACCAATATGCTCTCTCAGCAGTAGCACTGAGAGTTCTTATTTCTTCCAAACCTTGACTATACTTAATGTTACCAGACCTTAGAATTTTGTCATGATGATGGGCATGAAGTGGTAAAACAAGGACATTTTATAAAAGTATCCATACATAATAAAAACATAACATTCATAAATGTAGGCAATATAAAAATTTATCAGGTAAAAAATATTAGATTATAACAGCTGTGAGTGGTAGCTCACGACTGTACTCCCAGCACATTAGGAGGCCAAGGTGGGCGGATCACTTGAGGTCAGGAGTTCAAGAACAGCCTGGCCAACATGGGAAATCCTGTCTTGACCAAAAATACAAAAATTAGCCAGATGTGGTGGTGCACACCTGTAATCACAGCTACTCGGGTGGCTGAGGCAGGAGAATCACTTGAAACCGGGAGGCAGAAGTTGCAGTGAGCCGAGACCACACCACTGCACTCCAGCCTAGGAGACAGAGTCAGACTCCATCTCAAAAAAAAAAAAAAAAAAAATAGATTATAAGGAGGAGATTGAGTTATAAAATGATAGGAAGAGGCATTATCCTGCCACCAACAACATATGATAGATCAATAATCTTTTAAAGAACAACTTTTAACCATACTGAATGGATAAATATTATCTAGCAAATATAACACCTTTCAGAGCATTCACTGATCAACTCTCAAATTTCAAAAACTGGAAATAATTTGAGGCATATTAACTTCACAAAAACGCAGTAAAGCCAAAAATCAACAATGAACTTTAAATAAAAGGCCTCAACCTTTTAGATTTATTTAAAATACATTAAAGAACAAAAATATCAGATTACACAAAAATGACAAAACTAACAAAGCTAAGAAAAAAAATGTAATAAAATCCAAAGCTATATTGTGAGGTATATTGCTGCAATTATTAAAAGTAAATATTGGCTGGGTGAGGTGGCTCACACCTATAATCCCAAGGCAGTAGGACTGCTTGAGCTCAGGAGTTAAAGACCAGGTTGGACAACACAGCAAGACCTCCTCTCTACTAAAAATAAAATTTAATGTGCCTGAACTCACAAGTACTCAGGAGGCTGAGGCGGGAAGATTGTTTGAGCCCAGGAGATCAAAGCTACAGTGAGCCATGATCGTGCCACTGCATCCCAGCCTGGAGCTACAGGCACATGCCACCATGACCAGCTAATTTTTTTTTTTTTTTTTTTAGACAGAGTTTTACTTTTGTTACCCAGGCTGGAGTGCAATGGCGCAATCCTGGCTCACCGCAACCTCCGCCTCCCAGGTTCAAGCAATTCTTCTGCCTCAGCCTCCCGAGTAGCTGGGATTAGAGACGGGGTTTCATCATGTTGCCCAGGCGGGTCTTGAACTCCTAAACTCAAACAATCCACCTGCCTTGGCCTCCCAAAGTGCTGGGATTACAGGTGTGGGCCATCGTGCCCAGCCTCATACCATGGACTCTTACACAACAACAAAAAAGAAGAATATAGAATATAGAAATCAGCATTGAAAGATCTCAAAAACATACTATGGAATGACAAAAAGCCAAGTTTCAGAATAATATATACAGTGTAACATTTATATAAAGACCGAAAACATGCAAAACTATGTATTCTTTATAAAAACATCTATCTATACTGAAAATATAGAAACAAGAGTAGGAATGATGAACACCAAATTCACAACAGTGGTTACCTCTGGTGGAGACAGGGTACAAGGGTACACAGTGGGCTTCAATTATACACAATATTTTATTACTTGAGTGGGGCTGTAAGGGTTGATTATATTGTTTTCTATATAATATTGTGTGCTGGCAACATTTCATAACAAGGAAAAAAGGAAGAAAATATCCTAAAACAAATTAATATGTAACAAGTAAAATGTTAGAACTGATCAATCTAAAGTCCAACTCTTTGAAAACATGAAAGATGGCTGGGCACAGTGGCTCATGCCTGTAATCCCAGCACTTTGGGAGACCGAGGCGGGAGGATCACCTTAAGTCAGGAGTTCGAGACCAGCCTGACCAATATGGAGAAACTCCGTCTCTACTAAAAATACAAAATTAGCCGGGTGTGGTGGTGTATGCCTGTAATCCCAGCTACTCGGGAGGCTGAGGCAGGAGAATCGCTTGAACCTGGGAGGCAGAGATTGTGGTGAGCTGAGATCGCACCATTGCACTGTAGCCTGGGCAACAAGAGCAAAATACCGTCTCAAAAAAAAAAAAAAGTAAAAAAAAAATAAAAGACAAATCTCACACAAAGCAAAAGAAAAAAACTAAGAAACACAAATAGCTAATACCATAGAGAAAAATTTTAAAGAGTGAAATTAACAGACTATTTACAAAGAACTCAAAAGCAGGCCGGGCGCGGTGGCCCACGCCTGTAACCCCAGCACTTTGGAAGGCCGAGACGGGCAGATCACAAGGTCAGGAGATCGAGACCATCCTGGCTAACACGGTGAAACCCCGTCTCTACTAAAAATACATAAAAAAAAAAAATTAGCCGGACATGGTGGCAGGCGCCTGTAGTCCCAGCTATTCGGGAAGCTGAGGCAGGAGAATGGCGTGAACCCAGGAAGCGGAGCTTGCAGTGAGCCGAGATTGCGCCACTGCACTCCAGCCTGGGCGACAGAGCGAGACTCCGTCTCAAAAAAAAAAAAAAAAAATAAGAACTCAAAAGCAACAAATTCTAAATATCCAATACATCATTTTTAGAAAAACATAGATCATCCAAATAACTCAAGCCAGATTTGAAAATCCTAAAAAATTAGTTAAAAAGGAACAAATAAAAGACATCAAATACAGTTGCTCATAAGGCTGACCTCTCTCAAACCCTTGAGGAACATATTATTCTCTGCTAATGATCCTTCTAATTGCAGAAAAAGGAGCAAGGGTACAAAAACTCTCAACTCATTTCATGAGTTCTCTTTACCTAGCACAAAAACCTGACAAAGATTGTACATAGATCTACGCATACCCACACAACCCCAAAACATACTAATCTTGCATATCATATTTGGTAAGGATCCTAAATATTACCCAATTCACGATTTTTTAATCAGCTCTTCTATAATTTTCTAAAAATTCTTAAATATATTACTTTTAGAATATTCAAAAACTATTAATACAGAACAAGTAGCAATGGGTTCAATATCCATTCTACAAAGCTTCTCATATTTACCTAATTAAAAATCTGATATGTAATTAAAAATCTATTCTTGGCCGGGCACAGTGGCTCACGCCTGTAATCCCAACACTTTGGGAGGCCAAGGCGGGTGGATCACCTGAGGTCAGGAGTTCAAGACCAGCCTGACAAACATGGTGAAACCCCATCTTTACTAAAAATACAAAATTAGCCGGGCATGGTGGCGCATACCTGTAATCTCAGCTACCTGGGAGGCTGAGGCAGGAGAATGGCTTGGACCCGGGAGGCAGAGGTTGCAGTGAGCCAAGATTGCACCACTGCACTCCAGCCTGGGCAACAACAGCGAAACTCCATCTCAAAAAAACAACAAAAAAAAACCCTATTCTTTATATTGTTTCAACAGATGTTAAAATATACTCAAAATACATAAACCTGATAAAAACTGAACAGTTTTTGGTAATGATGATAGTTCTAATATCTCACAACAAAAACATCTTCCACAATTACCCACAATTTATCAACTGGAGCTTGTTCACCTTTCAATAATTTTCACAAGTATCCATGCCAAATAGGCATTAGTAAAGGCTCAAAACATTCATTATTGCCTCAGGTAACTACAAAAAAATAACTGAAAAGTAAATAAATAAAGTTAAACCACTACTTTAAAAACATTTGTTCCTCTATTCTATATTTAGCATTGGATTAAATCACCATGGGAAGGAGAGGAATTAAATTAAATCACAACTAAAGAGTCTGAATGTTAAATAATCCAGTCAATGTGCTTATCTTTGTACTCTATCTCAACCAAAGCCTTAAGATTGCAATTATTATTATCAGTCTTAACCAACTAGAGGCAATCATTTTCTAAAATAATTTCTAAGTACTAACTAAAGATGGGATAGGTATCTTCTTTAGCTCCTGAACTTTGAAGCTATTTTCTTTCTACTTAATACTAAACCTCAGCCCTAGAACCAATCCAAACTATACACAAGAAGAAATTTAAGAAGCCAGGGTTCAAAAGTAAGATTTTCTGTCAAATCATATTTGCCATTTGCCATTGTCTTTGATACTGGTTTGCCCAATTCTCAGAATTAGATTTCTCTCTTTTTTTTAAACCTATAGCTGAGTTCCTCTTTGAGTTGCCTGAATTGTTCTTATCAGTCTCTTACCAAAGAAGAAATGATGCACTAGAAACAGAAGCCCTGGTTTCTGCTGAACTGCCTAGACTTATAAGTAAGACCATTAGCCACAATGCCCTGTCACAATACCAAATGCTTGACTAAAATATCACCTGAAATACCTGACTAAAATGCCATCTGTTCTCTGGCCTTTATGATCTTCAAAATTACAACCCTCAGATACCACACTCCATCTCCTGGTAGAACTTCTTTCCAGTAAGTCTAGTTCCAATTCAAGGTACTCCCTTCCCCTGCCTCTTCCTCTGCCAGGTTATCATTCCACTGAAGTTAATAAGCAATGCCCAATCACGTACAGAAAAAATAAACGCTGGGTGGTTAGATAAATAAGAAAGAGGTATCTATTGCTCTCAAAGAGCACTGGAGCCTTACAACAGACACAAACTAATAATTAACTTTATGCTCTAAAACTAAATTATGCTACGTAGAAACAAATGCTCTGTATTTAGGGAGTCAGTTTAGACCACTTAAGGTTAAACCACATGAAGTGGCCTATGAACCAAGATTTGGAAGATGAATAATATTTTTTAAAAAAGCAAGTTATTCATAACTGTCAAAAACTGGAAACAACCAAAATGTCCTTCAACAGATAAATGAATAAACTATAGCACATCTATATAATGGAATATTACCCCGTAATAAACAGAAATGAGCTATCAAGTCACAGAAAGACATGAATGAATCTTTTTTTTGTTTCTAGAGACAGGGTCTCGCTCTGTTACCCAGGCTGGAGTGTAGTGGCACGATCTAAGGTCACTGCAACCTCCGCCTCTGGGGTTCAAGCCTCCCACCTCAGCCTACCAAGCAACTGGGACTACAGGTACACGTCACCACGCCCAGCTAATTTTTGTGTTTTTTTTTTGTTGTTGTTGTTGTTGTTTTTAGTAGAGACAGGGTCTCCCTATGTTGCCCAGGCTGGTCTTGAACTCCTAGGGTTCAAGCAACTCACCTGCCTCAGCCTCTCAATGTGCTGGGATTGCAGGCATGAGCCGCCAGACATAAATAAATCTTAAGTGCGTATTACTAAGTAAAACAAATCAGTCTGAAAAATCTACATATTGCATGATTCAATTATATTACATCCTGGAAAGGGCAAATCTATATATCTACTAAAAAGATCAGTGGTTGCCAGCAGTTTAGGGGGAGGGACTGAACAGGTAAAGCACAGGGGATTTTTACGGCAGTGAAACTATTCTGTATGATACTATAATAGTGGACATATGACTTCTTGCATCTGTCAAAAACCAAATAGCATGAAGAGTGGAACTTAATGTATGCAAATATTAAAAATTATTTAAGAGATTGGGGGATTCCACGAAGGAATGTAGACCATGACAAGAAAACAGCATGCATGACAAATATATGAAACCTCAACAAATAGGGTGGAAGGAAAAGGTGCTGTTCTAAGTAATTTTGGAAATGAGTGAAGTCTGCAGGATTAAAGGCAGAAGGAATTGCTCATAAGCACTGTATTCTAGTTGAAAAAGTCATTTCCCAGAGGGGTACAGGTTAACAATTTTGATACCACTATACATGTATACTGGAATTAAACAAATAAGTAAATGGATGGCAGAGGACAGAAGACAGCTTTCTCACTGTTGAAGCGGGAGTTCACAGATAAGCAAGGGAAGAAGGCTAGAATGATCCACGTGGGGAATGGATTACAGTTGGAGACATTATCATGAACTCATGTTTACCTTTATATAGATACAGATGATTACATATTAAAATATGTATAGATACGTGGATATACACAGGTTAGTATATACACACATATATTTCCTTGCTATGCCAGACGATAGGGCCTATAAGAAATGACACCCCATCTGATGGGATAAATCTGGCAAGATGAGAAGGGGTAGGCAAGAGAGAAATTAGCTAAGAAAACATGATAAATCATCACTCCAGGAAGAAAGAATCAGGTAATAAAGGCCCTTGATGTAAGAAGAAGCATGGTAGGAGATGAGAACCTTTATGTCCTATTCAACCCATAAGGGAAAAAAAAAAAAGTAGTATCCTTTTTTCTCCACCCACCCAAATACCCCCATCTTGAAACAAAATAATCTAACCAAAATCTTAGTATGAGAAGAAATCTCAAATATGAAGAGAAAAATTAGCATAGTCCCAGAATATTACAGTCCAGTGTGGAAATATTCATCCTATCCAGCAAATTTAGGGACTATGGATGTCTGGAGCAAGTGGAGGCAGAGGAGAAAACACAAATTTTATAAAGATTCTGCCACATCCAATAGCAAACTGAGGCAGGTATCAGGAAAAATTAGATCTTTTGGAAATGCTATTTAAAAATAGTGCCTAATAAAAGCATTATTAACAGAAAGCATTAACCCGTTTACACCTACAAAATACACAAAATAAAAAATAAAAAGTTACAAAGATTTGAAATGACAACTGAAAATGTAATCACTCACCTCTAATAATTCTGAGACAATAGGCAGAACTTCAGGATTACAGATATCAATGGAGTCATCCCGGTATGTCTTCTTTTTGTAACAGATATTACCCAAATGTAGTATGGCTGAGAGAAGAGAGAAAATCCTGGGAAAATAAAACACAAATTATAGCTTAGTTGTGTCCATTCCCAAAGCTCATTTCATTCTAAAATTCTAGTTAAGCAAATTAACCTACAAATATGAAGTATTTAGTCTTTGGAAAATAAGCAATATGGGAATAATTACTAAAATTTACTGAGGGTTTACTTATATGTCAGGTACTGTTCAAAATGCTTTTCATGGCCTTAAGTATACCACTTCTTATATAGTCATTTCAAAGGGACTTCTGCTATTGCCTGAATTTGTCACAGTGTTTACAGTGTTTTAAAAAGGCCATGCCTCTCTAAATGCTATTTATCCTGCCAGGAATGCTTTTTTCCTACACTGTTTCAGATACACTGAATCAGAATTGCCAAAGGAAAGGCCTTGAATCTGTATTTTTTAAATCAAGTATCCTAGCTGATTTTTTATTATTAGTTATGTTGTTAAAATGCTTTTCTATACCATAGTATGGTGTTTGAGGTAAATGGGTGTGTGTGTGTGTGTGTGTGTGTGTGTGTGTGTGTGTGAATGGGGTAAATGGGTGTGTGTGTGTGTGTATGTGTGTGTGTAAGTATGAAGCCATGTGGGGTATATTAACCTCTACTGTGAAACAACTTCATATGGACCCTCCGTTATAAATTTCCCTCCTGAGTCAGAAGAGTATGTGCCCTCCAATCAAAAACTAATCCCTCCACTTATGCTATATATCCCATCAACTCCTGTTAATTCAGGAACCTTAGGTTACCAAGTACCTCCATGTAGCTAAGAACAGTATATTATGTTATTGACTTATCTGACATCTCAGAGGCATTTAACACAGCTAAACAATCCACTGAAAAACTCTTCCTCAGTCTCCTTATATATATACAGCTTTGTGTCACATGCAGTTATTTTCTTAGAATAAATACGGCTTACAAAATTTGGCTTATGAAAATTTAACACTATGTTTTCCTAAAATTAGGAAGTATTCCAACTAAAACAAAGATATTGCTTTAGGAACCTGAGATATTACCTTAGGAACATTTGAGAGGTACTGAATCACCATCTAACTTATAAATCTAATTTTTCAAATAATTTAAAGTTTTTAAATCTTTGAATCATTCACGTGACTCACAGGAAATACAAGTCTATTATAAAAATAATTAATAATGTTATTCTGGATTAAAGAATAAACTATCAACTGAAACATAAAAACTAATGGAAGTCAAAAGACAAAAACAAATTCATGAGCCTCTTTTAAAAATGATTTTTAATAGAAATTCACTAATTTTCATTGAACTGTAGTTTATGTCACCAATTGAGTTGGTATGCCAACTTACATATTGTATTATTTGATTTTAATTGACTTCTCATAAAAAGATTCTAGTAAATAGCCTGCTAATTAAAGAGTCATACCAATGATGTAAGTGCAAGCAAACAAGAAAACAGGAGAGGTGATTTTCTCCTACTCTCAGTATAGGGTCATCAATCATGAGGTTAAAAATTAACAACAGAGGGCGGGCGCAGTGGCTCATGCTGGTAATCCTAGCACTTTCAGAGGTCAAGAAAGGCAGATCACTTGAGCCTAGGAATTCAAGACCAGCATAGGCAACATGGCAAAAAAAAAAAATACAAAATTAGCTGAGTGTGATGGTACAAGCCTGCAGTCCCAACTTCTTGGGAAGTTGAGGTGGGAGGATCATCTGAGCCTGGGGAGGTTGAGGCTGCAGTGAGCACTCCAGTCTGGGTGACAGAGTGAGATGCTGTCTCCAAAAAAAACAAAGAAAAAAAAATTAACAATATAATCAGATCTGACATATTCATCAGCACGACTCTCCCCTTCAAAAAAGTTATAAGTAACTATTTCTTTCTGGTGAGAGCCAAGGTTGAGTCTTTAATTTTAAATAATTTGTTTCAAATATAATTTATCTCATCTTTATCTCAAATTTTTATATTTTTAAATTGTTTAGATTTACAATTAAAAAACTTAATAGTATAGTACAGATATAAACTATACAGAGGAAATACACTGAAAATTAAATACTATGCATCTGATAAGTATGCATAATTTAATAAGATTAGAGATCACTGATATATACAAAATGAAGAGCTATAAAAATAGTGTTACAAAGCAAAAGTTTTAAGTAAGGTCCATGGATAGGCTTCAGGGGCACCATAAATTCCTGCATTTATATGCAAATTGTTAAGGATGTACATTTTACAACAACAGTGTCAGCTTTCATCAGATTCTCAAAATAATTTATGATAAAAAAAGGAATTAGAAATAATGCTCGAGATGGATGAGGTACTAGATGAAGAATACCACTTAGAAAACTATTTAAAAAGGTCAACGGCAGAAATCTTTCAAAGACATATCATGTGTTCTCTATTAGAGATATAAAAATACAACAAGTAAACTCACTGTCTTCGTGTCTTGGGAAGAAATCCTACCATTTCCATGGCAAGTTGTAGGCGCTCAAAGTCATGTCTCAAATCTTCTCCTTCCACCGTGAAGCAATCCTGCTTATTTAAAATAAAAGTTTAAAAATCAAGATTATATATTTTAAAATAATGTGGGCCATTCAGAAATATGGTAATTTAGGATAGGTACCTGTATGTATAAATGCAAATTAGAGCTGGTAGAATAGTAAGACCTAGTCAAATTCATTAGACCTCTTATCTTACTACAGGTATGGAAACTAAACACATACTTACTAAAATACCAATAAGTTACTTTTGTTCTCCCTTTCACAATCACCAAGATTAGGATTTCAAAAGTTAACTTAAGATAAAGAGTTAGCTGTACTCAGTAAGTGTGCTGATACTAAGTTTGATTTTGAGTGGTTCTAAAGGGTTTCAGAAATTCAAAGCATTTACGGGCGCTCAATTCTACCAGCAAATACTATTTATTCAACAAATATTTAACAAGTGCCTACCCTATGTAAGGCACTGAACTAGATATTAGTGACACAAAAATAAATTTTAGAAGAGGCAATAATTTAGTTGAAGAGTGAACCCCAGATTTACGTAATATAGTTTGTTACATCTATCTAATCTATATTTATATAGATCTATATAGATATGTTATTTTTTTTTTTTAAGACAGGGTCTCATTCCTGTTGCTCAGGCTGGAGTACAGTGGCATGATCTTGGCTCACTGCAGCTTCGACCTCCCGGGCTCAGGTGATTCTCCCACCTCAGCCTCCCAAGCAACTGGAACTACCCAGCTAGTCCTACCATGACCGGTTAGTTTTTTGTATTTTTAATAGAGACATGGTTTCACCACATTGCCCAGGCTAGTCCTGAACTCCCGGACTCAAGCAGTCCACCCACCTAGGCCTCCTAAAGTGCTAGAATTACAGGCGTGAGCCACTGTGCCCAGCCTGTTACATCTACATTAGATATATACATATATAATTATTTATATATTTTATATATGTAATTATTTCCTAATGAAATAACAGACAACATGGTAATCAAACAAGGAAAGAAAGAAGTATATGTGAAAGTATAAAAACCCTCAGAAAACACATCAGATGAGTCAGTAAAACTAGTTGTGAATAGTCACACATGCCTGTAATCCCAGCTACTTGGAAGGCTGAGGTAGGAGGATTGCTTGAGCTCAGGAGTTTGAGACCAGCCTGGGCAACACGCATGACACCATCTCAAGAAAAAAAAAATTGTTGTGGAATACCAGATTAATAAATACTACTTTTTAAGCATAATCCTTGCATTTCAGTTCCTAAAATAGTCAAACAGTGGTAGACATACTCTAAATCTTCAAAACAATAAGTGAGTCATAAATCTCTTTACTGTAAGTTCTCACAGTCCCTTGCACTTTCAAAAACCTCCTCACATTTGCATTTACATTTTTAATGCCTATCTTCCTAGGGAATATTCTCTCAAGTACTTGGTGAAGTATATGAACTGTTAATTGTCTTATTAACTGCAGATCCCCAGTGCGAAGTCAGTGCCAAAAACAAGTCATTATTTAGGTAAATACATAGTCATTGAATTATTGAATAATATATAAATATTGAATTGAATGAAACATTCCTTTTTCAGAAATAAAGTGCTCATTTGTTTTATAAAAAGTATTTATCAAGTATTTACCATGTACAAGAAAATCTGTTTTAGGCACTGTAAGCATTAGTTAATGAATATCTAAAGTTTAAAATAAAGTTTTGAAATGCTGTTACCAATATTTTTATTCTCTACATGGAAAGCTACACATGCATAGTTTAAAAATTTAAATTCACCACAAGTAAAGTTCTTTCTGAGAACCCATGCATTTAATTTTATTACTATAAAATTGCTTTCGATAAGCAATTTTAAGACATTCTACTGACATGCCAATGTCCTACTCATTAAAATAATTTTTTTTTGAGATGGAGTGTCGCACTTGTTGCCCAGCTGCTGTGCAATGACGCGATGTCTGCTCAGTGCAACCTCTGCCTCCCGGGTTCAAGCAATTCCCCTGCCTCAGCTTCTCAAGCAGCTGGGATTACAGGTGCGTGCCACCATGCCAGGCTAATTTTCCTATATTTTTTAGTAGAGACGGGGTTTTACCACATTGGCCAGGCTGGTCTCAAACTCCTGACCTCAGGTGATCCACCCGCCTCAGCCTCCCAAAGTGCTGGGATTACAGGAGTAAGCCACCGTACCCAGCCCTAAGATAAATTTTTAAACACATTCTTCTTTTACCTATAGTAAGTAACCTTTTGTAAAAAGCTCTCTTGCTACTCTTCCCCCTAGTCTCAAAACACAAACAGTTCATTCACTTTATGATTTAACAAATATTTTCCTATTACAAGTGGCAAGGCAGGGGGAATCTATGCTTCCACATGTGTCAATAATGATTCTTCTAACTAACAGTGTTCTAATCTTCCCCGAAAGTGAATGGAACAATTAATGTATATAAAATAGTGGGAAAGTACACTGAAAGAGGCACTAAAATATGTTTGTATTTGCTCTTATCCTTAATCAAATGTTCTTAGAAACCCAAAGTGGTCTCAGTGAATATCAAAATCATAGTTTAAAAAAAATGTGTATTAATTTCCTTCTCTGTTTCTCTGATGATAACTGTAGAAGAAAAACTAAGGATAAATTAAATCTCCCAGAACAGAAATGACTTTATCTTAATTTGGGCTCCCTGGGAGGCAGATCTTGAGACAGACCAAGAGTCAAATACAAGTCACAGAGAAAGTGAGAAAGTAAAAGAGAAGACAGACTAAACAGTCTGTGCTAACTACTATGAAAGTAGTTAAATGGAGTTTAATCCCAAGGTTATCTCTGGGAAACAATATAAAACCTACAGAGGTGAGGGAGCTACTGTATTTATTTATATACCATCTCATCTCTCATCAGTCATTGTTTGAAGACTTCTGGAGAGGGAGCAGGCAGCTGTTAATTCCCAAGTCACTTCTAGAGGGCCCTACAAATGCCAAGGCCTTCCAGGGTTCTGGAAAAAGCCTTCAGGCCCCAGGATCCAAATACTGGTCAGCCAGAGTTCAAGGAAATGGTAAGGTTCGTTCCAAGGATAAGGCAGGGAACTAACCAACAACTGTTACAACCCCTTCCACTGAAAGAACATAGGCAATCCTTCTGTCAGCTCCATATAAGTTCTTGTTTGTACTTGATAACATGCCACTACATTCCCCCCACAAACATACCCACCAAATGCTCTTTCATGCTATCAGACCTTGCTCTTTCTGTAAGGTGACACACTTTCCCATTTACAAATGCCTAGGATAAACCTAGCATGGAGTAGGCAATTAGTGTGGGTGTGAGGGAGAGAAAGAGAAGAGTCAAATTAGATATTTTCTTCTATCTTGTCTCTATTTCTTAAAATTGTACTTAAGAAATCATACTATCTTGTCTCTTTTTCTTTTTTCTTTGAGATGGAGTCTCACTCTGTTGCCGAGGTTGGAGTGCAGTGGCACAATCCCAGCTCACTGCAACCTCCGCCTCCTGGGCTCAAGTGGTCCACCTCACCCTCTTGAGGAATAGCTGGGACTACAGGCCTACACCACAGCATCCATCTGATTTTTATATTTTTTTGGAGGGACAGTGTTTTGCCATGTTGCCCAGGCTGGTCTTAAACTCTTGGGCTCAAGTGATCTGCCTAGCTCAGCCTTGCAAAGTGCTGGGATTACAAGCATGAGACACTGTCCAGTTCCATATTATATTTGATCCTTATAAAACCTCTGGTGGTAGTTATGATTGCCTTTCACACAAGCAGCAAGCAGCATTGGCTCACAATTTAAGCCAATTGCTCCTATGGTGGTGAAGCTTGTTAATAGTGTAGCTGGGATTCCAACCAAGCCTATGTTATTTATCTCCTTTTTTCTTAAGTGATCTCCAGCATCTTTACTAACCTTCAAAGTCAATTGTTCCAGTTTATGTCCTGCACTCTACACTAGTAGTTATAAAAATGTATGATTTCTTAAGTACCATTTTAAGAAATAGAGACAAGTGGCCAGGCACGGTGGCTCATGCCTATAATCCCAGCACTTTGGGAGGCTGAGGCATGCAGATCACCTGAGGTCAGGAGTTCAAGACCAGCCTGGCCAACATGGTGAAAACCTATCTCTACTAAAAATACAAAAATTAGCCAGGCGTGGTGCCGGGCACCTGTAATCCCAGCTACTCAGGAGGCTGAGGCAGAAGAATCGCTTGAACCCAGAAGGTGGGAGTTGCAGTGAGCTGATATGGTGCCACTGTGCTCCAGCCTAGGTGACAGAGCGAGATACCATGAAAGAAAGAAAAGAAAGAAAAGGAAAAGAAAAGAAAAGAAGAGAAGAGAGAGAGAGAGAAAGAAAGGAAAGAAAGAAAGAAAGAAAGAGAAAGAAAGAAAAGAAAGAAGGAAGGAAACAAAGAAAGAAAAGAAAAGAGAAGAAAAGAGGATGTTAAGTGCTTTTTTTAAATTTTTTTGAGACAGGGTTTCACTCTGCCCACCCACGCTGGAGTGCACTGGTGCAATCTTGGCTCACTGCAACCTCTGCCTCCTGGGATCAAGTGATTCTCTCACCTCAGCCTCCTGAGTAGCTGGGACTACAGGCACGTATCACCACGCCCTGCTAATTTTTTTTTTTTTTTTTTGGTAGAGACAGGGTTTCACTATGTTGGCCAGGCTGGTCTCGAACTCCTGACCTCAAGTGATCCACCCACTTCCCAAAGTGCTGGGATTACAAGCGTGACCCACCGCACCTGGCCAGATGTGAAGTGCTTTTTAAACAGAAAAATATATGCAGAGAAAGTTGTGGAGTATGCAGAGACCTTATACTAGACCGGCAGAGGGTAAGGAATAAAGCCAGAAAGACATGTTTAAGGGCGTGACCACAAACTTACAAACTGACAGATGGGTTTTGGCAGTAGGAATCTTTATACTGCAAAAATACTTAAAACAGAGTAGATGAAAACATTATGGTTTCAGGGTATCTTGCCCAAGTTGCATCATGATCTCTGAAAGCACTATAGGAGGTCTACCTCATAGGAAACGAGCTTCCACAGATTTATAGATGTTTGGATTCCTGTAAAGGTAGTAGTGACCAAAGTTGGAGCTTTGTCTCCACAGAATAATACAGGTCAAATCCCTTTGCAGCATGGTGGAACCAACAGTGTCCTGAGACTATCACTTATGGCAATGACCATTAAAACCCTACCTAATAGTTGGACCCTAAAATTCATGGCTCAGATAAATAAAAGAGTTTGGTGAGGCTGACCGACCCTTTACATTGAAGTTACTCAGATCAGGTTTTTTTTTTTTTTTTTTTTTTGAGACAGAGTCTCGCTCTGTCGCCCAGGATGGAGTGCAGTGGCGTGATCTCGGCTCACTGCAAACTCTGCCTCCCGGGTTCAGGCCATTCTCCTGCCTCAGCCTCCTGAGTAGCTGGGACTACAGGCGCCCGCCACCACATCCAGCTAATTTTTTGTATTTTTTAGTAGAGACGGGGTTTCACCGTGTTAGCCAGGATGGTCTCAATCTCCTGACCTCGTGATCCGCCCACCTCAGCCTCCCAAAGTGCTGGGATTACAGGTGTGAGCCACTGCGCCCAGCCTCAGATCAGCTTTAAGGTACAATGGCAGACATCAGCCAACATATTACCAGTATTTAATTCATTCTCCATATTTTATAACTGAGGAAACAAAGGCTGAGATGTTAATAATAATAAAAATAAAAAGACATTTAATAGATTATTACCACTTGAAGAGGGGAAATTAACATTTATTAAATATTCTTCTACATGTCAGTCACCATGAGTTACTAAAACCTCAGAACACAAGGAGATACTTATATATACATTTACGGAAGAGAAAATAGATTCACAGGTTAAATAACTTGCCAAAGCTTAAAAAAAAAAATCTTATAAATAACAGGGCTGGCCAATCCAAAATCTATGTAGTTCCAAATCCTCTGCTCTCTCCCATGCAACACTGCTGTTTGTGCTTATTTAATAGGATAACCCTTAAATGGAACTAAATCACCACACAAGGGCAACAACAGGTACCTTGTAAAAAGCAATTTTCTAACTATAGGTCTCCTTGGGACCATTTATACAATTCCACGAAATACATAAGTAATGTAGTACAACAGAAGAGTCCTCAAACAATCCTCTCTACCTATGATGCTAGTCACATAAGTTCTAATAACTCACAGGGAAACAAAGTTTAGTTTGTCCCCAAATATATTATGAGGAAGAGCTAACAGGAAAGAATAAAAGATCCTCAGACTGCTTGCTTTTATTAATTAACATAAGAAAAACAATCAGAAATTAAATTTCAAACTATAATAGATTTTAAGACACAATAAACGGATAATGGTGATGAAAGTATGATTAAGGGAAGAGGAGATTATGGCTACAAAGTTCTTCTAAAGGGAAAGATGGGTAATGATGACTTCAATGGTGGCAACAACATTCACTATGCACTTACTAAGGATTATGTACTCTATCAAGTTCTTTACATGCACAACTTTAAGACTCACAAAACTTAAAGACCATTATTAACCCCTAAAATAAATGAAACTGGAAAATAAGCCAGCCAATATTTATGTTAGGTCATTCTGCTTCAGAGCCCAAATCTTTTTTTTTTTTTTTTTTTTTTTTTTTTGAAATAGAGTCTTGCTGTGTCACCCACGCTGGAGTGTAATGGTGTGATCTTGTCTCGCTGTAGCCTCAACCTCCTGGGCTCAAGCAATCTGCCTGCCTCAGCCTCCTGAGTAGCTGGAACTACAGGCGTGTATCACTATACCTGGCTTAAATTTTTGTAGAGATAGGGTATTGCCTTGTTGCTCAAGCTAGTCTCAAACTCCCAGTCTCAAGCAATTCTCCCACCTCAGCTTCCAGAAGTGTTGAATTACAGGCGTGAGCCACTACTCTCGGCCCCCAAATTCTTAAGTATTACTTAGACTATCTCTGAAAAGTAGCAGATCAGTTCACAACTTCACTGTAAGCTCAGAACAGATGATCAAGTCTTCTATTTGCAGTATGTGTTTGCAGTCCCCTACCTGCTTTCCAAGGAGGCATGGTCACTTGGTGTAGTACGTGAAAAAGGAAAAGGGGGAGCTTCTTAAGAATGGCAAAAACAACTTAAATTTTTTGTTAAAATGTATCAGAATCTATAAATTTATATGTCAAGTGTTTTTTTCCCCAAAATGTTAAATCTAAACTCCAAAATTACTTGGTTATGTAATAGTAATACAATTAAAATTTCTCTAAAAAAAATTATTATTCATGTATACTGATCATTCTCACCTGTGAAATAAGCTAGTCATGCAATTAGTAAAGTTTATAAACATGCTGTGAGAATCACAGTTGTGGTTCTTTAAAGCAAGGACTAAGAAATGTTTTCAGAAAGAATATTTAATAAATTAATTCATTAATTAATAGACATAGGAAGATTAGTATGTGTTTTCAGCCTTTTTACAAGTAACTTAATTGAAAACTTAAGAAAAAAATTTTTGTGTTCTTTATGGTTACAAACTTGTCATAAAATATAACAAATAAAGCTAAATTTAGCGGGGCATGGTGGCTCATGCCTATAATCCCAGCACTTTGACAGGCCAAGGCAAGAGAATCACTTGAGGTCAGAGGTTCAAGACCAGCCTGGACAACATAGTGAGACTCTGTCTTTAATTTAAAAATATACTTATTAAAATACAGTAATATAATTTTTAAAAAATTAAAGCAAAATGTACCTATTCACTTTATATTACATCATACATCCCCTTAAATCACTCAATTTACAACATAAAATAGGCTGGGCATAGTGGCTCATATCTGTAATCCCAGCACTTTGGGAGGCCAAGGTGGGCAGATCACTTGAGGCCATGAGTTCAAGACCAGCCTGGACAATATGGCAAAACCCCATCTCTACTAAAAATAGAAAAATCAACCGGGCATGGTGGCGCACGCCTGTAATCCCAGCTACTTGGGAGGCTGAGGCATGAGAATCGCTAGAACCCAGGAGATGGAGGTTGCAGGGAGCCAAGATCATGTCACTGTACTCCAGTAAAAGAGCGAGACTCTGTCACAAAAAATAAATATTTAAAAAAAACCTTATTTATAGGAATTTCAATACTTATTTTTGGATAATTTTATTAAGGCTACAGACTCTGGCTACTGGGAAAAAAAATCAAAGAAAAATATACATGCATTCATTATGTGTAAAGACTGTTGATATATAAAACATAAAGAATGCAATTTTTTGAAATAAACAATAATTACTACTCATAGTATGTAGGTAATGAAACTACTAAAAAATAATTTTAAAAAATAAAAGGGGAAAAAAACCATAGTTCATACAAATCCACAGCAATGATGAAGAATCAGGAATATAATCAATTTAATGTTTGTCGAAATAAATATTGAATGTGGACTAAGTCTTAATGACCAGAAAATAGCCCAAAAAAAGTAAATTAACTGGTTTTAAATCAACAAACTATACAGATATAAATCAATCATTCAAAAGAAATGAAACATTGATTTATCTTCCTTCCTAGGATTCTTTGTATTTCAGCTGATTTGCATTCTAAATCTTCAGATGGATGCAAATGCGCAATGTGAGGACCCTTTGACAGAAACACAGAATATTTAGGTACTTGTACTGACCGGCTCAGAGTCATAGCAATAATCATCCCAGCTCTGTCTGAGGGGTTTCTTTGTTATCTGAAAGTAAGGCAGATTAGTTAGGTAGAAGTAATGGTTATTATACTCTTCTAATGATCTCTTAGATGTGGTGTGCAAGTAGTACTGCTGCTCTCCATTGAAAAGTTATTTTGCATAGCAGCATAAAACAAGAAATAATGAAGCAAATATTCACATGCTGGGAGACTGTATACTGTACTACCGAACGCATATATACCATGGGCTCCAGTGACTGTTATTTATATAAACTGAGTCCCATATCCTATGAATATTGACATTATGACAGGAATATATTATGGTCATTAATTACAAAAAGATCTGAAAGAACAGCAAAATTCCAGACTTCTCTAATACTAACAACTATCAGCTCATTTATGAGAGAATATTACTTTATAAAAAAGAAAATCTTTAATCACCCAAATATAATGCAAATAGTTTAAACTGGGGAGGAAAAAACTCAGAAGCTGAATTAGCAAATATTTTTGAAAAGCTATTTAATTCTATGTGTAAAAATTAATAATATTATATCAGAAATGGATACTTTAAATAACTTGGAATTCTCAATATATTAATACAAAGTCATTAGTTTATATTAATATAGGTAGTTTCAAAATTAAGAAATAACAGTTAATACAACACACTGTATTAACTTGGAGAAAGCCAAAGGTATAACTTTCTTTTTTTCTTTTTTTTGAGACGGAGTCTCGCTCTGTTGCCCAGGCTGGAGTGCGGTGGCACAATCTTGGCTCACTGCAACCTCTGCCTCCCGGGTTGAAGCGATTCTCGTGCCTCGGCCTCCCAAGCAGCTGAGATTACAGGCGTGCCTCACCACACCTAGCTAATTTTTTTGTGTTTTTAGCAGAGACAAGGTTTCACGATGTTGGCCAGGCTGGTCTCGAACTCCTGACCTCAGGTGATTCAACTGCCTCAGCTTACCAAAGTACTGGGATTACAGGTGTGAGCCACTGCACTCAGCCAAAGATGTAACTTTCATAACCCTAAATATATACTGCTATCTGAACCATCATCAAAGTGTCAATTTGTTTACAAAAGCTTCGTAAGGATTTTTTTAATGGTCATAAAGGGATTTATTTCCGTAGACATTACATCTTGCCTCCAACAATGGAAAAATAAGGGGAGACATCTATTATTTAAATGACCTATTGTTTTACTAATTCCATTAGTGCTGGTTGTAAAATTTCTGTTATTATGAGAAATAATAAAATTAGTAAAGTCAATGTAATGAAAAGTAAGAATTACTCCTCAATGTGGAAGTTTAGGGATGAATTTTGAGTTTTGAGGAAAGATCCAAATTCTCTAAGTCATTTGCCTTTGATGACCTTCATACTGAATATTTAAGAAGATTGTTCATTAAATTATAAAAATAGTCATACTCTAAGTCAGTGTCATAGTATCATGCAAAGACGTATGTGTATGAGACTTCAAAACATGCAAATTAGGTTTCAAGTAATCCCTTGCAAAGGACAAGAATTAATCATTAGTAACATTTAATATCCTGGGGGTTGTAAAAGGTAAATCACTTTAGTAAAAGTAAAGCATTTTTCTAATACAGTAGAAATATCAATAAACAGCTTATTATTATTTTCCCAAAGAATCTCACAGAAAACGAAAAGCACATATATTATCTGAGCTTTTAACATTTATATGAGGATGGTAATCATCCTCAAATTTGAGAACTGCATCACCTAAATTTGTAGAGTACATATATGAAAATGCTAGCTAATCCATTCCTAGGTTTGAGAAAGTACTAGAAAAAAGACATTTTTCAAGCATTAAATTTAATACTGCCCTATACTTCAAAATGCTTTTTATGAACTCTCACCTGATTGAGATAATGATATTCCTCTGGTTGCTTAAGATGGAATGCTGATCTCTCATCTTCACTTGCTCCTGCCAGGAGGTAATAGAATACATGATAGTTCCTGTGGGAAACAAAGAAGTACAAGTTTCATAATGTGTGACTTATGGTTATCATTTAACAGGGGGAGGGGGGAAGCAAACAGTAATTAGTAAAATGTATCAGCTTTGCTTCATTTTTTAATATAAATGTGATAAATTCAGCGTTTAAGTACTCCTAAAAATTGAATGATGTTTTGGATGTGGAATACAAAAGAGAGGGATGAAGGCAGCAAAGTTAACAAAGTTAGGACCTCTGAAAATTCTCTTCTCCATAAAACCAATGAGAAATCTGGCAAATCTGTCATAATTAACCTTTTCAGAACTGTGGAAACTAATCGAAAGCTTGCAACAACCCAGAGAGTGTTTACTCAATAAAAAGAGCTAAATCTCAATAAAAATGGCTTTGTAGTGTTTTAAACTTGCCCTATTCCATCCCCTTGAAAACCAACAGCCTGCAAACTTGGAGATGAGAAGCCTGACAGCTACCAGAAAGGTCAGAACAGAGTTTGAGCTTGTTCAAAGCCTCATTCCCTAAGAAATATCATTATTTGAACTGTCTGGTGGTTCTCTGTGAACAGCCATATTCAAGGCTGACTCTACAAGATTCAATTCGGACTTCATATCATGCAAAGATCTTTTCCCCAGAGGCATCCATAGAAACTGAGGCAATCGCTGAACAGCCTACTTCCTAAAGCAGTGGATCAAAGTTGGGGCAAACAATAGGCTAACCAAGAAACTTAAAAGGAAAAGCTGGCTTTGAAAACCTCCAGTAAATGTCCTGGGAATCTAGAAGGTCATATGCATGCATAATGCTGTGGACATGCCCAGGGTTGTGTGTGCTCTCAGAAAAATAACAGATGAAATATAAACTCTCACCTCTGGTTAACTTTGAAACCCTGCACAAGCAGAAAATAAAGGCTAAGGTAGATTTGTGAAATACCTAGCTGAGTGTTGAAGGCATGGAACAATATACATAGAGAGCCCTGTGGCAAAGAGTGAGAGACTTACTTATTGTTTCCAAGCATTTAAATAAATATCTGTCCAGTTATTACCTGACATCTAAGTTAAATAAGCAGACACTTCAATAGCCACACTCAAAAAAGAATATCAACTTTATAAAATTAGTTCAGAAAAGTCACAATTAACAATCAGACAGTAGGAATAAAAGCAACAATCAAACCCTGGGAAGGAGAGGACTCATTTCTAGAGCTGCCACATTATATTATTTTAAAAATCAAATTTTTTGGCCAGGCGTGGTGGCTCACACCTGTAATCCCAGCACTTTGGGAGGCTGAGGTGGGTGGATCACGAGGTCAAGAGATCGAGATCATCCTGGTCAACATGGTGAAACCCCGTCTCTACTAAAAATACAAAAATTAGCTGGGCATCATGACGTGCGCCTGTAGTCCCAGCTACTCTGGGAGGCTGAGGCAGGAGAATCGCTTGAACCCAGGAGGCGGAGGTTGCAGTGAGCCGAGATCACGCTACTGCACTCCAGCCTGGTGACAAGGCGAGACTCTGTCTCAAAAAAAAAAAAAAATCCAATTTTGTTGTGTTTTGTTTCGTTTTTGTTTTGAGACAGGATAGCTGTCACCCAGGTTGGAGTGCAGTGGCATGCTCATGATTCACTGCAGCCTTGACCTCCTAGGCCCAAGTGATTCTCCCACTTCAGCCTCCCTAGTAGCTGGGACCACAGGTGTGCACCACCAAATCTGGCTAATTTTTGTATTTTTTGTAGAGACAGAGTCTCCCCGTGTTGCCCAGGCTGGTCTCGAACTCGTGGGGGCTCAGGTGATCTACCCATCTTGGCCTCCCAAAGTGCTGGGATTACAAGCGTGAGTCACCACACCCAGCCAAAAAAAATCCAGTTTTCAACAACAACAACAAAAAATTATAAGGCATGCAAAGAAAGAAGACAGTATAGCCGATACAAAGTAGAAAAAGTATTAATTAATAACTGTCCCTGAAAAAACCCAGACATTAGACTTACAAGATTTTAATCAGCTATTTTAAACGTGTTCAATGAACTACAGAAAGTCACATTTAATGAACTAAAGAAAACTATGAGAACGCTATCTCACCAAATAGAGACTAATATACAGGACTTTAAAGAAATTAATCCAAAAAGAATTCTGGAGTTGAAAAATATAACTGCAATGAAAAAGTATCCAGAGGAGCTCAACAGCAAATATGAGTAGGCAGAAGAAAGAACCAGTGAACTTGAAGAAAAAATCAACAAACATGAAGACAGGTCAATTGACTCTCGTCTAAGGAACAGAAGAAAAAATAAAATGGAGACCACAAGGTCTCAGAGACCTGTGGGACACCATTAAAAAGACTCCTATGGCAGGCACGGTGGCTCACACCTATAATGCCAGCACTTTGGGAGGTGGAGGTGGGTGGATCACCTGAGGTCAGGAGTTTAAGGCAGCTCACGCTTATAACCCCAGTACTTTGGGAGGCAGAGGTGGGTGGATCACCTGAGGTCAGGAGTTCGAGGCCAGCCTGGCCAACATGGTGAAACCCCGTCTCTACTAAAATTACAAAAAAAATAGCTGGGCATGGTGGCAGGCACCTGTAATCCTAGCTACTCAGGAGGCTGAGGCAGGAGAATCACTTGAACCCAGGAGGCGAAGGTTGTACTAAGCTGAGATCACACCATTGCACTCCAGCCTGGGCGACAAGAATGAAACTCTGTCTCAAAAAAAAAAAAAAAAAAGAAAAGAAAAAAAGGCTCCTATACTGGGGGTTCTAAAAGGAGAAAAAAGAAAGGGACATAAAGAATACTTGAAAAAACAATTGCCAAAATCTCTCTCCAAATTTGATGGAAAACATTAATCTGCACATCCAAGAAATTCAATGAACTCTAGAGAGTATAAACTCAAATCCACATTTTGACAAACCAAAATTCTTGAAAGGCAAAGACAAAGAATTTTGAAAGCACCAAGAGAGAAATTCCTCATCAAGGAATCCTAACATAAGATTAACAGCTGATTTCTCATCACGAACCATGGCAGACAGATAACGTATTCAAAACGTTGAAAGGAAAAAAAAATTGTCAATCAAGAAGTATATATCCAGGAAAAATAAAGGAGAAATTAGAATACTGCCAGATAAACAAAGTTGGACTTCACAGCTATAGATGGTCCTTACAAGAAATACTAAAGGGAGTTCATTTTTCTGACTGAAATAAAAGGATACTAGACAAGATTCAATTAAACATGAAGAAATAAAGAACACTGGTAAAAGTAACTACATAGGTAAATATAAAAGATAGTATAAATTAATTAACTCATTGATTGATTGATTGACAGGATCTCACTCTGTTGCCCAGGCTGGAGTGCAGTGGCATGATCTCGACTCACTGCAACCTCTATCTCGTTTCAAGTGATCCTCTCACCTCAGCCTCCTAAGTAGCTGGGACTACAGGCGTGCATCACCACACCTGGCTAATTTTTGTAGAGATAAGGTTTTGCCATGTTGTCTAGGCTGGTCTCGAACTCCTGGCCTCAAGTGATCTGCCCACCTTGGCTTCCCCAAAGTGCTGGGATTACAGGCAGGAGCCACTGCACCTGGCCTATTTTTTATGTATAACACTTTTTTCCTATTAAACTTGAGAAATTACATAAAGCAGTAATTATAAATGTGTTGATGGATGTACCACCATAAAGAAGTAATTTGCATAACAATTACAGGACAAAGGAGCAAGAAAGGAATAGAACTACATACAAAGTTTGTTGTATACTATCAAAATTAAGTTGTCATTATTCCAAACTACATTGTTATCAGATTTTAACTACAATGCCCAAGGTAACCAATAAGAATATAAAAAATAATAAAAAGAAATGCCAATGAAATTAAAATGGTACACTAGAAAACATTTATTTAATGCAAAAGAAGGCAGGAATAGAAGAACAGAAGAACAAAAAAAAATCGTAACACATATGGAGAACAAACAGCAAAATGGTATTAATAATCCTACCTTATCAATAATTACATTAAGTAGATCAAATGCTCTAATCTAAAGGTAGATAAATGGCAGAATGGATAAAAGGAAAATGTATGGTCCAACTGCATACTGTTTACAAGAGACAAGCTTTAGACTCAAAGACACAAATAGGTTAAAAATAAAAAGATGGAAAAAAAAGTTACCATGCAAGCAATATCCAAAAGCAAGCTAGAGAATACCAGATAAAACAATAATTACTAATTATTACTAATATCAGGTAAAATAAAGACCAAACTTGTTCCTAGGGACAAAGAAGGCCATCTTATAATGACAAAAGGGCCAATCCATCAAGAAGACATAACAATTTAAAATATACATAAATGTGTGTCTAAGAACAGAGCCCAAAAAAACATTGAGCAAAAAAACTTTTTTTTTGAGATGGAGTTTCGCACTGTCACCCAGACTGGAGTGCAGTGGCGAGACCTCGGCTCATTGCAACCTCCACCTTCCAGGTTCAGGCGATTCTCCTGACTCAGCCTCCCAAGTAGCTGGAAATACAGGCGCATGCAACCACACCTGGATAGTTTCTATACTTTTAGTTTCACCATGTTAGCCAGGCTGGTCTAAAACTCCTCATCTCAAATGATCTGCCTGCCTTGGTCTCCCAAAGTGCTGGGATTACAGGAGTGAGCCAGTGCACCCGGCCACAAAAAGAACTTGACAGAACTAAGAGAAGAAGCACACAATTCAACAATAATACTGAGAGACTGCAATACTCCACTTTCAATAATGAAGAAAGCAACTAGACAGAAGATGAACAAGAAAAAGAGGACTTCAAAATTACTATATACCAATTAGACCTAACATATGTTTATAGAACACTCCAGTCAACATAAGGAGGATATATTCATATATTTTTTCAAGTCCACATGGAGTATCCTCCAGGGTAGACCATGTGTAGTCTACTACAAAACAAGTCTCAATAATTTAAGGAGATTGAAATCATACAACTACTCCAAACACTTTGCAGTGAAATAAGAAATCACATTTCCACGGCCAGGCATGGTGGCTCACGCCTGTAACATTTTGGGAGGCTGAGGCGGGCAGATCACAAGGTCAGGAGATCGAGACCATCCTGGATAACATGGTGAAACCCCGCCCCTACTAAAAATACAAAAAATTAGCCAGGCGTGATGGCAGGCGCCTGTAGTCCCAGCTACTTGGGAGGCTGAGGCAGGAGAATGGCGTGAACCCAGGAGGCAGAGCTTGCAGTGAGCCGAAATCTCACCACTGCACTCCAGCCCGTGCCTCAGAGCAAGACTCCGTCTCAAGAAAAAAAAAAAAAAAAAAAAAGAAAGAAAAGAAATCACATTTCCAAAATACAAATACATGGAAATTTGACAACACATTCCTAAATAACCAGTGGGTTAAAGAAGTCACAAGCAAAATTATAAAATACTCCAAGATGCACAAAAACAAAACACTACACCAATACATGGAAAACAGTTGAAGCAGTGCTTAGAGGGGCTTTATACCTGTAAACCCATATAAAAAAGATCTCAAATCTATAACCTAACCATCCACCTTAAGAAACTAGAAAAAAAAGCAAACTAAACCCAAAGCAAGCAGAAGGAAGGAAATAATAAGCATCAGAGCAGAAATAAATGAAATAGGAAATAGGAAAAAAAATAGAGAACATCAATGAAACTAAAGATCGGTTCTTTGAAAAGATCTTCAAAATTAAACTTTTATCTAAACTGATGAGACAGACAGAGAAAGAAGCAGAGAGAATCAAATTCAGGAGTGAATGAAAGCGGAACATTACTACCAATCTTACATAAACAAAAAAGATTGTAAGGGATACTATAAAACAAGTTTTGGCAACAAATTAGATAACCTAGATGAAATGGACAAATTCCTAGAAAGATAAAAACTACCAAATCTGACCACAGATGAAACAAAAAGTCTGAACAGATCTATAATAACTAAAGTGTTTCAATTAATAATCAAAATTTCACACAAATAAAAGTCAGAACCAGATGGCTTTGCTGGTGAATTCTACCAAATGTTTAAAGAATTAACCCAATCCTTCACAAACTCTTCTAGAGAATTGGTTTGTAAAAACTGGATTTCACCTCTCATTCATTCTCCAAAACCAAGGAAATAAGAGTTATATACCCTTATTTCATTATCATTAAAATGTGTTAGAAAAAGTTACTAATAGTTTTCTATCTGTAAAATGGGAATAAATAACCAAGAAGCAGAAAAGTTAAATGAGATGCCCAAGGCATACCCAATATTTGAATGGAAGTCAAACCCTCTCTTAACCAAATCTCACTGTAGCATGAAACAAATCATGAATTTACTTCTTTATCTTATTTCTCCATCTGAAGGATACCACATATATCATCTCTAAAGACCTGTATACCTCAAGTAATACAATGGAATTAAGAGCTTTATTGAAAATTTTTTTTCTCAAGTTAGAAAAAGAACACTAAGGAAATGGGAGCAAAGTCCCAAGGCACATTGCTCACCAAGAGGAATGAGGAACAACTGAGAAACTGCTTACTTGTTCTGACAGTTTGCAATAGTTCTATATACCAAATAAAGATCTCCTAGCAGCCTCTGAAAAACTGCAAAGTTCTGCCCATGACAGAAATAGCAATTATGCATAAAGCTATGCATGACGTAAACTGAATTAAGGGTCATAATACACAAAGACCTTAAAAGTCAGTCTGCGTGATACAAATGTTAACTTCATCTAATTACACAAATAAAAATACGTACCGTTCATTATGCTCCTGATAAACGAGTCTGGACTTCTCCAGTAGATATTTTTCAACATAGGCACTACAAGAAAAATTAAATTGGTTGATATAAATAATAAAGTTTAATATAAGGCAGAAAAATATTTGGAGACAGTGTAAAAGTATAAAGAATACTATCCAGATCATTTCAAAATATGCGCCATTGGCCGGGCGAGGTGGCTCACACCTGTAATCTCAGCACTTTGGGAGGTCGAGATGAGAGGATCACCTGAGGTCAGGAGTTCAAGACCAGCCTGGCTGATATGGTGAAACCCCATCTCTAATAAAATACAAAAATTAGCCAGGCATGGTGGCAGGCACCTGTAATCCCAGTTACTCGGGAGGCTGAGGCAGAAGAATTGTTTGAGCCTGGGAGGCAGAAGTTGCAGTGAACCAAGATCAGGCCACTGCACTCCAGCCTGGGTGACAGAGTGAGAATCTGTCTCAAAAAAATAAATAAATAAATAAATATATATATATATATATATAAATATATATATGTACATACTATTATAATTGTGGTATGGGTACTGTTAGTGTTATCCATGTTAAATTCATATGGTCACGAGTCTTTTTTCTTTCACTAAAGCAAAATAAAATAAGAAGTTTAAACCAGGCCAGGCGCAGTGGCTCACACCTGTAATCCCAGCACTTTGGGAGGCCGAGGAGGGTGGATCACCTGAGGTCAGGAGTTCGAGACCAGCCTGACCAACATGGAGAAACCCCATCACTACTAAAAATACAAAATCAGCCAGGCATGGTGGTGCACGCCTGTAATCCCAGCTACTCGGAAGGCTAAGGCAGAAGAATCACTTGAACCCGGGAGGCAGAGGCTGCAGTGAGCTGAGATCATGCCACTGCACTCCAGCCTGGGCAACAAGAGCAAAACTTCGTCTCAAAAAAAAAAAAAGAAGTTTAAAACACAGTACACAAGATCCCTGAAGAAAGACTCTACATTATTTCTAGGCTATATACCACTACACATTCTTCCAGACATACTTTGGACAGATTACTACATAAGGCTCAAAGATATACATAGTTTCTTTTTATATATTTACGCTATTGTCACAGCCTAAAATCAATTTATTATATAATGATTTACTCTATAGTTATTTATTGGGCACTATATCAAGCACAAGGAATATGGAAATAAGTGATCTACTGCCTGTTCTCAAATGACTTACAAATTAGTAGAGAAAGGAGATAATCTAGCAGCTATCATACTGAGTTGATAGGGCTTATTGTAGAGCAATGACCAGGATATTATGCGTACACAAAGAGAGACACCTGAGATTCAATCCAAGAAGGAAAAAGGATGTAAAGAAGAATTCCCATGGATAAGTGAGTACACAGCACAGAGTAAACTTTCATTACATATATCTGGTGAAAGAGTGACTGGGTAAATGAATTCAAAATCTGAAGGATTAACCAGAAGGAAAGGAGAACTGCCTTTATGTAAAGTTATAAAGGAAGGAGGGTACACATACCAACTTCAGGGAAAACAATTAGTTACGTATCACTTAACTACAGAGGTACATTCTGAGAAATGCATCATTAGACAATTTTGTTGTTTGTCAGCATCACAGAGTGCACTTATACAACCCTGATAGTATAGCCTACTACACACTTAGGCCTTATCTTATAGCCTATTGCTCCTAGGTTACATAGCTATACAGCATGTTACTGCACTGAATACTATAGGCAACTGTAACACAATGGTAAGTATTTGTGCATTTAAACATAGAAAAAGTACAGTAAAAATAGGGTATTAAAATCTCATAGGACTACCATAGTATATGAGGTCCATCATCTACTGAAACATCACTGTGTGGTGTATGACCCAAGTTACGTATGACTAGAGAATGATATAGGTGGACGGACTACGATCAAGAGCTACTATACTATATGCCAGAAGAACGAACTTTATCCTGAAAGTAATGAGGAATTAAACATCAATTGTATATCTGATATTTTTTTCTCTTTATCCAGACTGTGCCCTCCAAGTCTTTAAAACTTCTTACCCAAATGGGTGCAATCAGCTAAGATCTCATTGGAAAGGGGTTCTAGAATCTGAAATGTAAAAGCTTTAGATTACTGAATCCAAATTATTAGGACAAACCTCTTAGAGGCCAGAATCTGACTCTTAAGCTGTATTTCTCCCAGTTGCCTCCCACCACATGCTATATACTTCAGTCACTCACAAACACACAATCCCTCAAAGATTCCATTCACTCCTAACTGCACTGCTCACTTTCTTCCTCCCACTTCCAATTCCCTAGTCTATTCCCAGTCTCTGTCCAGTAAATTGCATTCCTTCATTAAAATAAAGCTCAAATGTGGGTTCTTTGAAAATCCATTGCCACTACCACCACCAATAATTAAAATTTATTTCTTTTTCTGAATTACCATTGCCATTTCCAGTCTAAATTACCAAAACAGGCTCTTACCTGTCTAAAATGGGAGAAAGGAAATTAACATGAATATGTTAAATCCTCACAACCACCTTGCGTGGCAAATATTACTGCCCCTATTTTACAAGTATAGAAACTGATGCTGAAAGATATTAAGATCACACAGCTAGTAAAAAGCATAACTTTTAACTCAGGTTTGTTTTAACTACAAAGGCTCTCTTTTTCAACTACAGTAGCCCCCTTCCACTTTATTCATGGGGGATACATTCTAAGATGCCAACCACAAATAATACCAAACCCACATATATATCCCATTCTACATAATACATATCTATATACTATATCTATATCTATATATACATATATATATGGTTTTTTTCCTTGAACTTTGTTTTTTTGGAGGAGTCTTGCTCTGTCTCCCAGACGATCACAGCTCACTGCAAACTCCGCCTCCTGGGTTCAAGTGATTCTTCCACCTCAGCCTCCTGAACAGCTGGGTCCACAGGCACGTGCCACCACACCTGGCTAATTTTTGTATTTTTAGTAGAGATGGGCTTTTACCATGTTGGCCAGGTGAGTCTCCAACTCCTGACCTCAAATGATTTGCGTACCTCAGCCTCCCAAAGTGGTGAAATTATAGGGGTGCCTGGCCTGCGTCTTTTCTTCCTATACATACATACCTATGACAAAGTTTAATTTATAAATTAGGCACAGAAGACAGGGGGCCCCAACCCCCAGGGCATGGACTCGTAGCGGTCCATGACCTGTTAGGAACCGGGCTACGCAGCAGGAGGTAAGCGGCCAGCAACTGAGCAAAGCTGAGCTCCACCTCCTGTCAGATCAGCGGCGGCATTAGATTCTCATAGGAATGTAAACCCTATTGTGAATCACACATGAGAGTGATCTAGGCTGCACACTCCTTATGAGAATTTAATGATATATGTAACAAGCTTGAATCATTCCAAAACCATTCCTCCATCCCCCAGTCTGTGGAAAAATTGTCTTCGACGAAACCAGTCCCTGGCACCAAAAAGGTTGGGGACCACTGCAGTAAGAGATTAACAATAACTAATAATAAAATAGAACAACTAGGCTGGGCACAGTGGCTCATGCCTGAAATCCAAGATTAGCCTGGCCAACACAGTGAAACAGCATCTCTACCAAAAAATACAAAATTAGCCAGGTATGGTGGTACACGCCTGTAGTCCCAGCTACTCTAGAGGCTGAGGCAGGAGAATCACTTGAACCCGGGAGGAAGAGGCTGTAGTGAGCCGAGATTGCACCACTGCATTCCAGCCTGGGCAACTGAGTGAGACCCTTCTCAAAAAAAATAAATAATAAATAATAAAACAATTATAACAATACACTGTAATAAAATGTATGTGCATGTGGTCTCTGTCTGAAAACATCTTACTGTACTATACTCAACTATCTTTGGGTAACTGAAGCTGCATAAACTGAAATCACAGATAAGGGTGGTGGTAGGGGGAGTTTAAAGGAATATAGGGGAATTTGCTGTACTTTTCCACTTATTTTTGCTGTGAAGCTACCACTGCTCTAAAAAATAGTCTATTTAAAAAAAAAAAACTATGAAGAATATTGCTCACACAACCAGAGGACTCTGAACATAGACTATATAATAAGAAACAATATTGTAACAAAATTAAATTTCTCGAATATAATAATATGGTTATATAGGAAAATGTAGATTAGAAAATACCAACTTACTTGAAAACAACTTTTTATTTTTTTATTTTTTTTGAGAGACAGAGTCTCGCTCTGTCGCCCAGACTGGAGTAAAGTGGCACAATCTCAGCTCACTGCAACCTCCACCTCCCAGGTTCAAGAGATTCTCCTGTCTCAGTTTCCTAAGTAGCTAGGACTACAGGTTTGCGCCACTGTGCCCGGCTGATTTTTGTTATTTTTTAGTGGAGATGGGTTTTCACTATATGTTGGTCAGGCTGGTCTCCAACTCCTGACCTCAGGTGATCCACCCACCTCAGCCTCCCAAAGTGCTAGGATTACAGGTGTGAGCCACCATGCTTGGCCTTGAAAACAATTTTTTAAAAGAACAAATGTATGCATAATATATAGAAAGCAAATGCAACACATTGACAACAATCAAATCTAGGTTAAGAGTATGTGTGACTGTTACATTGGTGTTAAAATTTTTCTGAGGTTTTAACTTTTCCAAAACTAAAAAAAGTTGACAGGGAAGAATTTTAATGCTGACACCAATGTCTGGGAATGAACAATACATAGTTTATAAAAGGGTAAAGACAAAAATTAAAACATGCTCCAAAGCCTACGCCTGCTAAGTAGCAGTACTTACCCAAGTACAGTGCCTGTTTCCTGGTAATTTACTTGAATAAACTTCCCAAAACGACTTGAATTGTTATTATGAGCTGTCTTTGCATTTCCAAAGGCCTGTCAAAATAAATAATTCTCATTAGTTTCACTAAAAAAAAAAAATTTTTTTTTGGAGGGGGGATTAGGTCAGCTGCTTAGGTCAGCTCAGAGACAAAATGTTAAAGAGACAGTAAAAAGACAATTTGCTTGTATGTTCAGACTCATTCACAGTTCAGGCAAAATTTTTTTAAAAAAAAAGCAATTAACAACTGAAAGAAGATCAAGTAGATTTTATTTTGTGCTATTCAGTAAAATAAACCATAATTTTATTTTATGTTATTTATTTATTTATTTATTTTGGAGACAGAGTCTCACTGTCGCCTAGGCTGGAGTGCAGTGGTGTGATTTCGGCTCACTGCAACCTCTGCCTTCTGGGTTCAAGCAATTCTCCTGCCTCAGCCTCCCGAGTAGCTGGGACTACAGGCCCACGCCGCCAAGCCTGGCTATTTTTTTGTATTTTAGTAAAGATGGGGTTTCAATGTGTTGCCCTGGCTGGTCTGGAACCCCTGAGCTCAGGCAATCTGCCTGCCTCGGCCTCCCAAAGTGCTAGGATTACAGGTGTGAGCCACTGCACCCAGCCAAAATAAATCATAATTTTAAAAATGTAATGTTCTTTAAAGTTTGGATTTCTCTTTCACATTCCAGAGCCCCCCTACAAAAAAGTCTTAATATATTTATACTTTTACTTTTTAAAAAATTTGCTAAACTGAAGTAACAAGGAGTTAGGAAAATAATAATTACATCAAAATAATTACAATTTTAGAATAGAATGAAATGAAATTCCAGTACATAATGTACTATACTTTATTATGCCTATTTAAAACAAAGCTAGAGTACTCATTACAAAAGAATAAGAACTATAAACTTCCTAAATCGTCACCCAAAGTATGTACCTTACAATGGAATACTGCCCAGGAATAAAAATAAACTAATGATATCAACAAACACTATGCTAAGCACAAGAAACCAGGCACAAAGTACATATCATATAATCTATTTATATGAAATTCTAGAAAAGGCAAAACAAGAATAACAGGAAGCAGATCAGCGGTTATCTGGGAATCCGGGTGGAATTGAGAAATATCTACAAAGGGGCACAATGGGTGATAAAGATAATCTATAGCTCAATTCTGTGATGGTGGTCACATGGATATATACATTTATCAAAATTCACTGAGCTGTACGCTTTAAATGTGTAGATTTTATTGTAAGTTATAGCTCAATATAGCTCAATGAAATTTAAGATGTAAATGTTTTTAAAAATGAAGCCACTGCCCTAGCCTGAGCAATCACATTATACTTGAAGAAACAAAACTAGAAAAGACACAGAGATGATTCATTGCGGAGCTTTTTTCTTCTCCTACAATAATCTCATGGGAATGGCATGCCCTCTAACTCCAAAATCCTAAAGTAGCCATTTACTGAACACCTCCCTAAATGCAAAGCTGTTTGTGCTAAACTGTAACTGTGCAGAGCATATATACACGGACGCACGCACACATACAAGACAAGGCGAGGACGTCAACCAAGCTGATGCCCCGGCAACTACATCTGTACTCAAGTAGTCGTACTCAACTACAACTGTATCATGGTCCTGAGACCAGAAACATCAGCATCTCCTGAAAATTTGTTAGAAATTCAAATTCTTGGGTCCCTCACAAAACTATTGAATGAGAAACTCTGAGGATAAGGTCCAGCAATCTGTGCTTATAAAACCCCCTTCGAGTGGTTCAGATGTAAGCCAAAGTTTGACAACCACCGCTCTACTTATTATGCATGCATTTACATTTCTGAGAAATTACATTTTACTATGTCTTAAGAAATTATTCTATAATGATAGCAGCAAATGCAAAGATTCATAAAAATCTCCAGAAATGTCCCTCATGAATGTTTAGATTATACTGTATCTTAGTAAGTCATGGAAAAGAGCCCAGGCTCTCAACCATCACCGAACCATCTGCAAACTATATACACAAAAAAGCTTGACATTGCTGAGTCCTGAATGCCTAGAACAGTTTGTCCATTCTGCTTTTTCCCTTTCCACCATAGAAAGTTTTTTACAAGGAATTTAGAAAAACCACATAGCACAGATTAATAAAATGTAGAAACAAACAGAAACATACATTTCATCAAAGAAATATTCATTTAAGTGTCAAATGCATTACATTTTGAAAAAACTTACAAAATAAAACCGTGGGCTTGGAGATACGAAATATGGATGTGTGATGTACTACTCTTATTTTCATATATGCTACTTTTGATTCTGCCCAAGGCTACAATGTCAACAGCAAATCAGAAGCTTTACCTGTTACTTAACCTGTGATTGCAATACAACTTTTATCACTACATAAAGTCATTTAGGGCCATTTTGAGAGGTAGGCTTGCAATAGTTACTTCACCAAATAAGTTATATGGGTGGCAAATAAGCATGAGAAAGCATGTTCAACATCACCAACTATTACAGAAATTCCGTCAAGACCACAATGAGATACTACTACACACCTATTAGAATGGCTAAAATAATCAACAAAAATTGACAATGCCAAGTGCTGCTGAGGATGCAGAGGAACTAGAACACTCATACAGTGCTGGTGGAAATGCAAAATGGTAGAACAACTCTGGAAGACAATCTAACAAAAAGTAAAACATTCACAGAAAGTTAAACACACTCTTAACAATATGACCCAGCGATACCCCTCCTGGCTATTTACTACTGAGAAATACAAATTTATATATACATACACATCAAGGCACAAACATTATCATCAGCTTTTTGACAGTCAAAGCTTGAAAATAACGAAATGTCCACCAACAAATGAAGGATTTAACAAACTGTGATTCATCTAAATAATGGAATACTACTCACAAGCAAAATAAACAACTGCCGTATTTTAACAACCTGGATGAATTTCAAAGATACAACACTGAATGAGAGAAATCAGTCTCAAAACTTTACATGTGGTGGTTCACATGTGTAATCCCAGCAATTTGGGAGGCCAAGGGGACAGAACTGCTTGAAGCCAGGAGTTTGAGACCATCCTGTGCAACATAGGGAGACCTCATCTCTACAAAAAGTTTTTAAAAATTAGACCAGCATGGTGGCACACACCTGTAATCTCAGCTAATCTGGAGGCTGAGGTGGGAAGATCACTGAAGTCTAGAAGGTCGAGGCAGCAGTAAGCTGTGACTGTACCACTGCACTCCAGCCAGGGTGACAGACTGAAACCCGGGCCTCAAAAAAATAAAAAACTTTACATACTATAGGACTCTATGTATATGACATTCTCAAAAACAAAAACAGCTGCAATGGAGAGCAGACAAGTGATTCTGAGTCATGAAAGGATGGCAGGGCAGAGGGTATGAAGATAAGGAGTATCAGAGTTTTATACACAGAGGACTATAAAAGGTAATATTTTAAATTCATAGAATTTTATAATATGATTACTTATTTCAAAAAAACTTAACTCCTCAAAATATTTATTCAAAATATAAGGCACAAAAAAGACAATTTCAGATATACATAGTTGAAAATATTCATCACAAGCTAACCTGCACTAAAAGAAACATTAAAGAAGTCATTTAAGCAGAAGGAAAATTGTATCATATTAAAACATGGATCTATATAAGGAAGGAAGAACAGCAGAAATGGTTGCCCCATGAATAAATACATAAAATATTTTTTAGTACTTAAATCTTTTGAAAAGATCATTGAGAGTGAGATTAGCAAAAATGGCAGAGTAAGGACCTCTAAACATCCTCTCCTTCATAAAAGGCACAAGAATGCTGACAAAAACTGTCAAACTCAAATTTTTAAGAACTCTGGAAATTAACCAAAGGATTGCAAGAACCCTTGGCAGAGGCATTTAATCAAGAAAAAACAGATGAGTCTTGGTTAGGAAAATCAGGCATTTTAACTTGTGCTATTACTACTCCTTTCTCTTTAGCTCCACACTGAAGAGAAAAACCAACATCCTACAATGATGGGGTTTTTTTTAAAGACACCCAAGAAGCCACCTGAAGAATCAGAACAGGGATGGAACTCATCCAAACTCCACTTCCCCGAGAAAATCATCACAATTTGACTTATCTGGCATTTCCCTGGAAAAACTCACACAAAGGGTACTCTTTTTGTGTGTATGTATGTTTTGTTTTGTTTTGTTTTGAGACAAGATCTCGTTCTGTCACCCATGCTGGAGTGCAGTGGTGCTATAACAGCTCACTACAGCCTCCAACCTCCAGGACTTAAGCAATCCTTCCACCTCAGCTTCCTGAGTAGCTGGGACTACACACAGCCATGCACCACCACACCCAGCTAATTTTTGTATTTTTCTGTAGAGATGGTGGGGGAAGGGGGATCTCCCTATGTTGTCCAGGCTGGTCTTGAACTCCTGGGCTCAAGTGATCCACCTACCTGAGCCTCCCAAAGTGCTGGGATTATAAGCATGAGCCACAGTGCCTGCCCCTCATCCTACTTTTTTTTTTGCAACAGGGTCTCACTCTGTCAACCCAGACTGGAGTGCAGTGGTGTCATAAGGACTTTCTTGACCTTACTTGGAAATCACTTGCTTAAAACAGCCTCTTCACACTCCCCACTGCACCCACCCACCATCACTATGTGTGCTTGTCAAAAACAATCAGAAGCAATTGTTTAAACACTATAACTGCTTAAGGTGGCAATAACAGAATGGGGCAAAAAAAAAAAAAAAAAAAAACACCAAACAACTTAAAAGGAAAAGCTGGTGAATAATATGTACAAAGGGGACTCTGAAAACATCTGAAATATTCATGGGCATATGGAAGGCCACGAGCATGCACAGCACTGCACATGCCCAGGATATGTCGATGCTCACAAAACACAGGAGACCTGTGTTTTGAACTTGAGGTTCTTTGTAAGCAGGAAGTAAAAGGTAAGGCAGAGTTGACAACCGCTTGGCTGAGTACTGAAGGGGTGAGTCAACAAACACACAGAACCTCATAGTAAAGACTGGAGGCCTTAACTTCAGGCATTTAAGGAAATCCAAGTCTAATCATAACTAACCACTATAACTGAGTACAGTTTTTGATGATCTCATGCACAAAAATATAGACTTTACAAAATTAGTTCAAAGAAGTCATGAAACAACCAAATAACGGTAAGAAAACAACCACAAACCTTGGGAAAATCTCATTTTGAGGTGCCACATCATTATTATTATTTAAAAATGTCTAGTTTTCACCAAAAAATTAAGAGACATGCAAAAAAGTACAAAAGTATGGGCATGGGAAAATGAAAAATAGCACTAAACAGCAACCGTTCCTGATAATGCCCAGATGCTGGACTTACTAGGCAAAGACTATCAGCTTTTTTTTTTTTTTTTTCTCTGAGACAGGGTCTCACTCTATCACTCAGGCTGGAGTGCAGTGGCACCATCACAGCTCAGTGGAGCCTCAACTTCCTGAGCTCAAGCCATCCTCCCATCTCAGCCTTCCAACAGTAGCTGGGACTACAGGTGCATACCAACACATCCAGCTAATTTTCTTTTCCATTTTTTTGTAGAGACAGGGTCTCACCCATGTTGCCTAGGCTGGTCCTGAACTCCTGGGCTCAAGTGATCCACTCTCCTTGGCCTCCCAAAGTGCTGGGATTACAGGCATGAGCCACCACACCTGGCCAAAATACAGAACTCTTAAATGCACAAAATATATCCACCACGAAAGACCATGTTCTGGGCCATAAGTCTCAATAAATTTAAAAGAGTTGAAGCTATACAACACAGTGTTATTTAACCTGGCCAAAATACAGAATTCTTAAATGCACAAAAAATATCCACCACGAAAGACCATGTTCTGGGCCACAAGTCTCAATAACTTTAAGAGAGTTCAAGTTATACAACACAGTGTTATCTAACCACAAAAGAATTAAATTATAAATCAAGAACAGGGGACAGAATCTCAGAGGACAGGATTGGGGCAGAGCAAGATGTGGAACAGATCCACAGATCCACTGACTGCTCCCCCACACACAAAAAGACACCAATTTAACAACTAACTACACACACACAAAAAGCACCTTCATGACAACCAAAAACCAGTAGGGTAAATGGAAACAGCCATCTTAGACTAAGATGGAAGCCATGTACTGAGAATGGCAGAGCCACAAAGAAGGAGCCCGTGCCCATCACTGTACAATCAACCAGATCAGCCCAAGACTGCTACCATGTGTATTATGACGTGAGAGAAATAAGAGTCTATCTTCTTTAATCCCTTATTGTTTTGACCTTTGTTACAGCAACCTAATGTTTGTACAAAAGGGCTTTCATTTCTTACTTCATTCGTTTCTGCATTGTTTGTTTTACAGCATGTATAATTAGTTTAATAACTTAAAATATATACATAATCTATATATATTTACCTATAAGATAGATATAAGTAGATATATATCTATATAAAGGGAGAGTGAAATCCATATTTATCCATATAGTCTATACAGAGGTTAGATAGATACAATGTGCAGTGGGCCAAAGATAGAGACTTTTAGATTTTGGTTTTCTGATACACCAAAATATTTCGAATTATTTATACCTTCCTGAGAATTAAATTCACAAATCTTTATTGAGAATTGGTCATGTGAAAGAAACTAAAGTGACACAAGTATGTCATTGTTTTAGAAAGTACTGTATTCACTCGTGAGTAGCAAATTAATTTCAACAAAATACCATCCATACTTTTCAAGTAATACTGTTAATCTAAAGTTCACTGATTTGAAGTTCCGTTTGTACTTAATTTGGCAAAATCTGTTTTGCTTTATAGTTGTATACAAACTTTAAGGAAAAAAATTTAAATACAGTTTTATATTTGTACATTTTTCAGTGTCTTTAAAATTTTTGTTTATATATATTTATAATAAAATAATTAGGTTTCCAAAAAAAACCAGATAGGATTTAAATATTTACAAACTAAACACAAATCTAAGCAACCCATGGTTCAAAGAAGAAATCAGGCCAGGCACAGTGGCTCATGCCTGTAATCCTAGCACTTTAAGAGGCTGAGGTGGGTGGATCATCTGAGGTCAAGTTCAAGACCAGCCTGGCCTACATGGAGAAACCCCATCTCTACTAAAGACACAAAAATTAGCTGGGTGTGGTGGCGCACACCTATAGTCCCAGCTACTCAAGAGGCTGAGACAGGAGAATCGCTTGATCCCGGCAAGTGGAGGTTGCAGTGAGCTGAGATTGTGCCACTGTACTCCAGCCCAGGCGACAAAGCAAGATTCTGTCTCAAAGAAAAAAAAGGGGGTGGGTGGGATCTGTCTCTGCTGTTCTACGTCCTCCACCTCAGGAGCCCCTGGTGACTTTGTCACAGCCTCCGTTCCTCTGTGATCTCCAGGTCCTGGGAGATGCACAGCTAAGAAGCCAGGACATCCTGGAAGCTGGGAAATAACCCTGAACCTGCAGCAGCAATCTGGTCTCTCCATCACCCTAGGCTTGTGGACCACAAATCACAACCTCATCCACTGCATGGACACAGGAATATGTCAGAACATAGCCCTGCCTGGGCCATCAAGCTCCAAATAGTCATCCAACTAGGAGCCTCGGACAACGGCCACTTTTGCTGGGAGCCCGTAGATAGGCCTCTAGGAAGATCTGACTGCTGTTTTTCCAAAACAGTGCCCCGTCAGCAGGAGGCAGTTAAAATTGGTCTTCATCCTCATCCTTATCCTTATTCTAATGGCACTTAGATGCACTTCTTTAGAGGGGAGAATGAGACAGGCAAGTAACAAAAGGTTCCAGGAGAATCTCCAACTGACCTGCATACCAGGAAGACAGGGTGAAGACTTGTGAAGTCTATGCCATTTGCAGGGGGGAGGAGCCTGGCCTCTCCTGTTTCTGTGTGAAGACTTGGGATCAAATTAGTGAGGTGAACAGCCTGTTAGGAGGACCTCATCTCACTTTCCTGAATTGTTTTTCCTTTTCATTCATTAATTTTACTCCTCACCCTTCTATGTGTCTGCGAGCCTAATCTTTCCTGGTCGTGTGACAAGAACCCAGTATTTTCCGTTTTTTTGAGACGGAGTCTCGCTCTGTTGACCAGACTGGAGTGCAATGGCATGATATTGGCTCACTGCAACCTTTGCCTCCCGAAGAACCCGGTATTTTCTACAACAATATTTTATACATTTCTTTCTACAATGATTATATAATTATGGCTTACCAGCAGGAAACAAAAAAATAAAGAATAAGTCACAAAAAAAGAAATCAAAAGGGAAATTATCAAATGTTTTAAACTAAATAAAAATGAAAACACAATATGTCAGAATTTGTGGGATAGCAGTACAAGCAGTACCTAGGAAAGAATTTACAGCACTAAATAAATATATTAGAAAAGAATGATCTAAAATCAATGACCTCAGAGATCATACTAAAAACTTTAAAAGCTTGTAATTCTAGCACTTTGGGAAGCCAAAGCAGGTGGATCGCTTGAGCCTGGGAGCTCAAGACCAGCCTGGGCAACATGGTAAAACTCCATCTCTACAAAAAATACAAAAATTAGCCAGGTGTGGTGGTACATGCCTATAATCCCACCTATTTGGGAGGCTGAGGTGGGAGAATTGCTTAAGCCAGGGAGGTTGAGGCTCCCATTTATTTGCAGGGTTTTATGGCTACAGCATATTCTTCACTCATTGCACACATGACAGACACCTGTACATCTTCACCTGCGTTGTATTTTCCTTGTATTTATTTGCCTAGTTCACTTTCTGGCAGTTTAAGATCCTCAGGAACTTCATCAGCTTCTGTCGGCAGGGAAAGGCAACTATCTTGAATGCATATCAGTTGATAATCATGTCTCTGAATATTTGGAACATCCACGTTGTGAACAGAAGGACAAATATCTTCTTCTTCTTTTTTTCCCATGAAAACAGCAATTCCAACAAGGTGAACCTTGGCATGACCAAGTTTTCCAGTTTTGGAAGTTAACATCTTCACTATTTTGCATGGTTGTCCTTTGAACATCATGAAGTCACTTTTCCGCAAGGTTGAGCACTGCATAGGGTGAGTGCTGGAAGCCCCAGCATCTCCAGTAGTTAAATCAATTTCGTACACCATGGTGAGCTGGGGAGATGGTAGTTTTTCCGTGGGAACTTTCAGCAGGCAAAGAGCTCCTTTCACCTGCGTACCTGCACAGGTCCCCTACAGCTGCAGAGCCGGTGGCAGCGGTGGCAGCCACAGCAGTTGCCAATAAGGGAATATTATATAAAACTTTATGAGAATAAATATGATAACTTAGATTAAGCAAGTTTCTTGAAAGACACAAACTACCAAAGCTTACTAAAAAAAAAAAAACAGTAATAATAATAATCACATGAATAACTCTATATCTACTTTTAAAATTGAAACCTTGTTTAAAATTCTCCCATAAAAAACACCAGGTCCAGATGGTTTCATTAATGAATTCCAACACTGACAGTAAAAAAAAAAAAAACCAGTTCTACACAACTCTTCCAAAAATACGAGGAGAAAAGACTTCCCAATTCATCCTATGAGACTTGATAATTCTATCAATGCAAAAGATTGAATGCAAAAAAAAAAGACATTAAAGAAAACAATGTTAGGCATGATGGTGCAAGATAGAATGCAAAAAAAAAAAAAAAAAGACATTCAGGAAAACAATGTTAGGCATGATGGTGCATGCCTATAATCTCAACTATTTGGAAGGCTGAAGCAGGAGAACCATTGAAGCCCAGGAGATTGAGACCAGCCTGGGCAACACTGTGGGATCCACTCTCAAAAAAAATTTTTTTAATGAGAAAGAAAACAATGTCCCTCATGATGTAATTCACATTAACAAAGTTTAAAATATAATCATCTCAATAAGACACAGAAATAACACTTGACAGAATGAATTTTGACATCCATTCCTGAAAAAAAGCTCTAAACAAGCTAGGAACAGAAGGGATCAAGCTCAATGTGACAGAGAATTTACAAAAAACCAACAGCTATCATTATAACTTAATGGCTAAAGACTAAATGTTTTCCCCTAAGATCAGAAACGAGACAAGGATGTTGCTTTCAACCACCTCTACTCAACATTATACTGGAGTAGCCAGTGAAATCAAGCAAGAAAAAAAAAAAAAGACATCCAAACTGGAAAGTAAGAAAAACTTTTTATTCACAGACATGACTGACTATATGAAAAATCCAATGGAATCTATAAAAAAGCTGTTGCAGGGGTGGGCAGGTGTGGTGACTCATGCCTGTTATCCCAGCACTTTAGGAGGCCAAGACAGGAGAATCACTTGAGCTCAGGAGTTCAGGACCAGCCCGCCTAGGCAACATAGTGAGACCTCGTCTCTACTAAAAATTAAAAAAAAACACAGCCGAGCACAGCAACACAGGCTGATAGTGCCAGCTACTCAGGAGGCTAACGTGAGAGGATCACTCGAGCCTGGAGATCGAGGCTGCAGTGAGCTATGATGACACCACTACACTCCAGCCTGGGCAATAGAGGGAGACCTTGTCTCAAAAAACAAACAAAAAAAAAAGGTTAATGGCACTAATATTTAAGTCTAGCCAGGTTGCAGAAGATAAGGTCAACGTGTAACTATCAACTGTATATCTATATACTAGCAACAAACAATTGAAAATTGTAGAACACCATTTATAATAACATCCTCAAAAATATTGAGAGATAAATCTTACCAAAGATGTAAAAGACCTGTACACTAATAACTATAAAATACTGCCAAGAGAAATTAAAGAACTTAATAAAAAGTTAAACACATACTTATCATCTGATCTAGTCATTACATTGCTAGATATTTACTGAAGAGAAAAAAATGCATATGTCTACATAAACTTGAATGTAATAGCCAAAAATTAAAAACAACCCATATATCCATCAATGAGTGAACAGATCTAAAAAATTGTGATATCCCATGGAATACTATTACCTTAGCAACAAAAAGGAATGTATTATCGACATATGCAACAACATGGATAAATCTCAAAATAATTATACCAAGTGGGAGAAGCCAAATATAAAAGGGTACATACTATGTGGTTCCATTTATATAAAATGGTAGAAAATGCATACTAATCTACAGTGACAGAAAGCACTTAACTGGTTTCCCATATATGGGTGGGCTGAGAGGAGCGTGAAAGAGGGATTACAAAGAGGTATGAGGAAACTCTGGGGATAATGGATATGTTCTTGACTGTGGTGGTGGTTTCATGGGTATATACATGTCAAAGTTTATCATGTTATACACTTTAAATATACGCAGTTTACTGTATTTCAATTATACCTACAAAATATCTTTTAAAAAGACAACAAAGTAATATTACCTTTTCCTTTCAGGTCTAAAACAAACACTATATTCCCTTTCCTTTTTTTTTTTTTTTTTTAAATTGGCAAGCAAAAACCGCATATATTTATGGTGTATAACATGATGTTTTCATATATGTCTGCAGTGTAGAATGGCAAAATCAACCTACTTAATGTATGCATTACCTCACAATACTTATCATTTTTTGTAATGAGACTAATTAAAATCTTCTCTTGGAAATGTTCACGTATAGGCTGGGGGCGATGGCTCATGCCTGTAATCCCAGCACTTTGGGAAGCCAAGGCAGGTGGATCACCTGAGGTTGGGAGTTCAAGACCAGCCTGACCAACATGGAGAAACCCCTACTCTACTAAAAATACAAAATTAGCTGGGTGTGGTGGCACATGCCTGTAATCCCAGCTACTCAGGAGGCCGAGGCAGGAGAATCCCTTGAACCTGGGAGGCAGAGGCTGCGGTGAGCCGAGACCGCACCATTGCACTCCAGCCTGGCAAGAAGAGCAAAATTGTCTCAAAAAAAAAAAAAAAGAAATTTTCAAGTATATAATGTATTGTTACTTACCACAGTCATCATGAAGTACAATAGATCCCTTGACCTTATTCCTCCTATATAACTAAAAAATTTGTGTCCTACAACCAACATCTCTCCAATCCTCACAGCCTTTAGTAACTACCACTTTGCTCTGTTTCTATGCATTCAACTTTTTCAAATTCCACATATAAGTGAGACTGTGGAGTACTTGTCCTTCTGTATTATCTTTCCTTTTGACATTGGATGGTATTACTTGTAAAACATCCCACAACTAAACATTTTTCCCATATTCTCTACATTATTACAAGTTTCGATGCTAGGCACAGCTGTTAAGCTTGCAGAAATACAAATATATCAGCAAAAATATTTTCACCAACCATCACAATGCAGTTAGACACGACCTGACTCTGCTTTCTCCCCTTATAGGGGGATATACAATGACTACAGTCATCTCTTTCTTTGCATCATTAATGACCCAAAGACATTCTCTTTAAAAAAAAAAAATTACCACTGTCACACTCTTCAATCTTCCACACCACCTTTTTTGCGTTCCCATCTTCCAGGTCCTCTTGGTTACTAAAAATAATGTCTACACTTCTATTTAGTTTTACTTCATCTTCTCACATCTATCAAATATTTTTTAAAGATATGTTTAAGAATAGGAACAGTATTTTTCTTTCTTTTTTTTTAAATTGCTGCTCCTTGTAGAGCAGGGCTACGCTGCAGGCAGTGTGCCCAGAATAGCAAGAACAGTATTTCTATAGCTTCTCAGCCTTTTGGCTAAGATCAAGTACAGTTATGTTTTTATAGTTTAATATCTGAAATGTCTTCTATCCAAAGACAATTTTTTTTTTTTTTGAGATGGATTTTCGCTCTTGTTGCCCAGGCTAGAGTGCAATGGCATGATCTCAGCTCACCACAACCTCTGCCTCCCAGGTTCAAACAATTCTCCTGCCTCAGCCTCCCGAGTAGCTAGGATTACAGGCATGCACCACCACGCCTGGCTAATTTTTTTTGTATTTTTAGTAGAGACAGGTTTCTCCATGTTGGTCAGGCTGGTCTGGAACTCCTGACCTCAGGTGATCCACCCACCTAGGCCTCCCAAAGTGCTGGGATTACAGGCATGAGCCATTGCGCCCAGCCCTAAATGAGTTTTTGGAGCTGGGAGATGGAACAGTATCTTGCTTGATCTACTCCACACATCGACCTGGTATTGCAGTACCTCCAGGAATGGTACACCCCCCCACCTCAAAGGATAAAAATCAAAATTAAAATCAAAAATAAGATTTCTATATATTTACCTCAAGTACTGGTCCAGCTCCAAGAATAATCTGTTCTACTCCACTGGCAAATCCTTTCTGACTGAGAGCAGTAAGGTGGTGAATAAGAAAGTTTGTGCTTTGAGTCTTCCCAGAACCACTCTCTCCTGAAATCACGATGCACTGATTCTTTTTGCGCTGAAGCATGGCATGATAAGCTACATCAGCCACAGCATAAATGTGGGGCTCAAGTTTTCCCAGTTGGTGGTTATCATACATTTTGACATATTTGGGGTTATAAATAGGAAGAAACTTGAATGGGTTAATAACTATTAGAATACTGCCAACATAGGTATAAATTTTTTCATGCTTAAAGCGATTTCGTAGGTTTTCTAAGAGAGTTTTCTCATTCAAATCAGGTAAACTACATAAATCATCAAAGTCTTTCTGTTGAGGCTGTGGAAGAAAACCCCGTTCCATCATCCTGCGACGTTCTTCTGTTACCCGTAGCCATGACTGCAGGCTACCATAATGGATTGATCCATCAAGGTTTTTCTCTCTCAGAAGGAAGCGGTAGTCCTCTCCACTTAAGCGATTTTCCAGAGCCATTCGGGGCCACAGCATCATTCGCTGAACTGGACAATCTGTTGGATTGAGAATCCATTCTTCTCCACCAAATTCCTTTACCTCTGCTAGAACATAACATTTTGTTTTGTCAAGATGAAGTTTGTTTATAAGAGACTCAATCACCTCAGCAGCTGTGGAGTTTTTTCTGGCAGGAATCGGACAGTAGATTGTCCCTTCTGAAATAGCCCCAGGATATATCCGTAATGTATGTTCATTATCTTCAAAGCGTCGTCTTCCTCCATCATTTATATTCATATTGGATCCTGTCCCATCAGCATGGATAGTATATGTTCAAAGTCGTGCAAACCATTTTCTTGGTAAAATAACTGTAACATAAAAGATGCAAAATATTTAGAAGTAAATACACATTGCTTTCTGATGCTCAAGAAAGAAAAGCTTAACAAGCATGTTGATTACATCTTCTAAAACACAAAATACTAACTCTTGTCTTAGCACAGCAACAGTTTCATTGAGACCACATAATATTAAGTTTCACTGTCCAAATCTAGGCACTTTCTAAAATAGTAACTTGCCAAAAAAAACATATATTTCAATGTTTTATTATACAAAAATCCAAAGAGTACAAAGAAAAATTATTTTTCCCCTGCTGTCTCAAATGTTTGTAAGGAACTTGGGATTAGAACCAAGTTCTTTCCTTATACTTAACAAAGACTGGATTAAGACAGAATAACCATGCAAATCTAATTGCCCTGTACCCAAAATTTCTTAAGGATAAAGCAAAAACAAGAAAGCATCCCAACAATGGAGCAAAAATTTTGTAAAATTTGTTAAAAACAGCAAGAAGATAGATAAACATAGAAATTACATAAAACCAAGAAAATGATGAGAGAAACCAACTAAGGAGATAGACATATATTTTCAAGGAATTCTAGGCTCTGACTCACTCCCTCCCACAAGGTGGGAAGGAGAAGGGAGTTTGGCAAGAGTGACAAAAGAATCCTGCCCCTGACTTGCTAGGCAAATTTAACACAATTATACAACTAGGCACCACTACAAATTTTATTCAGCTTCCCTTTTTCCTTCAATGCTACCATTATATCTTTTTACCTAACCTTATTTATTGCATTCCTTACAAGTATTCTGCATTTTCTTCCCATCTTCTCGAACCTCGTATACAGTATATTACACTTCTAGAAGAATGATTTCAACTTTTATACCTCACTGAGAAAATAGTGATTTCCTTCAAATGGCTTCTCCAACTCAAAATTTATTCCTATCTTTACCTCATCTATCTTATTCCATTCCTGTCTTCTACTGAGAAAATATGCCCCACACACTTTCCAGGGCTGATAAAACCTGTTTCTTATCTTCATTAGTTAGTTATATGCCCCCAAAAAACTACTCTCATGTGTCATCAATATTTACCTTATTTATTTCATCCTTTAACATATAAGGATGATGTGCTATTAAAAAAATAATAAGAAGAAATACTTTCAGTTACTTCCTTTTTTTTTTTTTTTTTTTTTGAGACAGGGTCTTGTTCTGTCACCCAGGCTAGAGTACAGCGGCATGATCTTGGCTCACTGCACCCTCCATCACCCGGGCTCAGGTGATCCTCTCACCTCAACCTGGCTGGGACTACAGGTGTGCGCCACCTTGCCTGGCTAATTTTTGTATTTTTAGTAGAGATGGGGTTTCACCATGTTGCCCAGGGTACTATCTATCCTCTCATACTACTACATATTTGTCAAAGTCTTCTAATCAAGAAACTATTTTTTCCTGTTTGCCTAGATGGTCTTTCAAACACAGAGATTAATACAAAACATATAAAAAAAACCCAGCCATATAGGCCAGGAGTGGTGGCTCATATCTGTAATCTCAACACTTTGGGAAGCCAAGGCGGGCGGATCACCTGAGGTCAGGAGTTCGAGATCAGCCTGGCCAACATGGTGAAACCCTGTCTGTACTAAAAATACAAAATTAGCCAGGCATGGTGGCACGTCCCTGTAATCCCAGCTACTCAGGGGCCTGAGGCAGGAGAATCACTTGAACCCGGGAGGCAGAGGTTACAGTGAGCTGAGGTCGCACCCCTACACTCCAGCCTGGGTGACAGAATGAGACTGTCTCAAAAAAAAAAAAAATTAAAAAAGAAATAAACTAGTGAGGAAAGGACAAACTATTCACTGTGGTACTGGTTCAATTGCTAATCTGAGTTGGAGTGAAGAAAATTAACAGTCCTATCTCATAGCATACTGAAAATAGATTCCATCTATGGATCTGTACCTATCAATCTGTTCTGGGCTCTATAGTCTGTTCCATAGGTCTATTTTTCCACCCCTGAACCTCTGTTAATTACTACAGTCCTATAATAAATTTTGGTATCTGAAGGGCACATTACCTTAATGTGTTGTTCTTTACAAATTTTACCTTGGCTATTTACACTACCATAAAAATGTTTAAGTTTGCATGTTTACTATCGTGAAAAAAAACCTTTTCAGATTTTAATACTGCATTGACTTTACAGATTAATATTGGACAGAACTGACATCTAATTGACTCTTCTCATTCATGAACACCATGCTGTTGGCTTTTAAAAATTACAACTATATTTTTCACTTCTAAAGTTTTTGTCATTTTCAAATCCACCTCATCTTTTTTCCGCCGATTTACATTTCAAAATTATTTATACTTAAGGGCTATTACTCCTTTTCTTTTTGAAAACCCTCAGTATGTAATTTAATATTTTTCAGACTAACACTGAAATGTCATCCAGACGGAACTGCTCTTATGGTTATTTCATATCTTCCTTAGCATGAGATGAGTTCATATATTTGAGAATTTAGCTTTACAAGTGCACTTTTGATGGAACTTCTTTTGTTTTTCATACAAACACTTACTGAGAACATGTTTACTACTTTTTTAAGAGAACTACAGTATCATAAATATATTTTTAAAAATTAAAAATTTTGGTATTAAATGATCAATTGATATTCAAATTTCCAAATTTCCTCAGTTATCTCATAAATATTTTTCTTACAGATAGTCTAGCTGGAGATTCTGCTCTGCAATAACAGTGAGGATATACTCTGAGTTACCAGGTTCCTAGTTGTATAGCTATGTTTGCTTTCCTGAATCCCTAAGTGTTTGCTTCATATACGCTATGGCATCTGGCAGCAGTCAGCAGCAAATCTTCTTACAGCCAGGGAGGCTGTGACCTGTACCACTCCAGGAGATGTACTAAGTTAAGGGGTCCCCAACCTCTGGGCCATGGACCAGTGCCAGTCCATGGCCTGTCAGAAACTGGGCCGCACAGCAGAAGATGAGCAGCAGGCAAGTAAGCATTACTGCCTGGGCTCTGCCTCCTGTCAGATCGTCAGCAGCATGAGATTGTCATAGAAGCATTAAGCACTATTGTGAACTGCATATGCAAGGGATCTAAACTGCATGCTCCTTATGAGAATCTAACTAATGCCAGAGAATCTAACTAATCATCTAATACCTGATGATCTGAGGCAGAATAGTTTCATCCCAAAACCATCCCCTACTACCCCATCTGTGGAAAAATTTTCATCTATGAAACCAGTCCCTGGTGCCAAAAAGGTTAAAGACCACTGTACTAAGTAACTACAATCTAATCCCTAAAGTTGTATAATATGGCAGCCCTGGAAGTAAACTTAGAAACATCTTTTTTAACAGGAGTCCTATCTTGGACCACTGTTTCCAACAATAAGCCCAACTCTAATTACACTTCCCCATTACTTCAAAGCAGCCAAAATCACACCTGCTCCTTCCTGAAACAGAAGTGTTTACCTTTTTTGAGTCCTAGTTTTGTCAGTTTGGTTTTATCTTTGTTATTTTATCAATTACTGCTTTGTGGGTTTTTTTGTTTTGTTTTTTTTTTTACAAAAAGGAGGGTTTGTCTCAAAATACCACTCAGAAATCCATCTTGATCACAAGCCAGTCCTTACTAAACAGCTTGGAAAATCTGTACTTGCAAATCCGAGACATGAGCTTTCATCAAAATCATCTGGGGAGCTTTTTCAAAACGTACATTACCAGCCGGGTGCGGTGGCTCACACCTGTAATCCCAGCACTTTGGGAGGCCGAGGCGGATAGATCACGAGGTCAGGAGATCAGGACCATCCTGGCTAACATGGTGAAACCCCATCTCTACTGAAAATACAAAAATTAGCCAGGCATGGTGGTGGGCACCTGCAGCCCCAGCTACTCCGGAGGCTGAGGCAGGAGAATGGCGTGGACCCTGGAGGCAGAGCTTGCAGTGAGCCAAGATCATGCCACTGCACTCCAGCCTGGGTGACAGAGCAAGACTCCGTCTCTAAATAAATAAATAAATAAATAAACAAACAAACAAACAAAATTTTTTTTTAAATGTACATTACCAGGCTCAACAATAGTTATGAGTTGAGGAAATGCAGGTAATTCTGTTATTGCTGGTCCAGAAAATAGTATTTGAAAATCACCATATTCCCAAATATTTGGGAACTCACTTTCTACTCCCTTACCACTCTTCCCACATAGCAAGCTACTTGACAATGCTCCGGAGAAGTCACAAAATTCCACAGAGTTGGTAATCCAAAGGTCTTTCCTCATTCTTCATTTTAACACACCACACTATGGCATGACTAAAGCAGCCAATTTCTAGTTCTTGAAAGTGTACTCACATAGTTATTTTTCTTGTAGTCTTCCTGATAGTCTTGCTCTTTTTCTGACTCACTCCTACAGCTCCTTTTCCATTAACTCACTTTATTTTGTTGTTGTTTTGTTTTGTTTTTGTATTTGTTTTTGTTTTATAGAGCCAGGGTCTGTCTCTGTCATGCAGGCTGGAGTACAATGGCACAATCATGGCTCACTGCAGCCTCAACCTTCTGGACTCAAGTGATCCTCCTGCCTCAGTCTCCCGAGTAGCTGGGACTGTAAGTGCATGCCACCGATGGCAGCAGCGGCCCATCTATAGCGGCCACTGCCATGATACCAGCTGCAGTGGGGGAGGTGCAGCCAGGACTGCGTGCTCCATGGAGGCAGCAGAAGCCAGGAACAGGTGGGAACCCTGCCACCTTCTGAGTTGACAGGGCAGGAGTTTCGTGCTCCCTAGGTGCAGCTGCGGCCACCTGCCCAGGTGGGCTGCAGACCCAGGCATCACTGTGCTCTTGGGGGATGGGAGCAGGCAGGAGCCCCACCCTCCCAGGCACAGCTGCAGCCGCCCAAGCTGCAGCTGCAGACCCAGGCATGTCTGCACTCTCAGAGGCCCAGGAAGGCCCCCCGCCCAGTCCCTGCAGGCTCAGAGGTGTTTGCTCCCACTGCCTGGCCTCTCCTCACTCCCAGCACCCACTCCAATCTCAGAGAAAGGTTGGGTCCGAGACTGGGCACTGTCACAGCCTGGCCAAGTGTGCACACGCTCCAGATAGCACTGATACACCAGCCCCCTGCCACCTTGGCCCCCTCTAAACTTTGGGTGCCTACAAACACTAGAGGGAGGCTGAGGGGGTACTGAGGGCAGCTCAGTACCTGTAGGCACCCCCTGTCACAAACAGCCTGGGCACCATGAACAGCAGGAGGAGGCAGGCAGGCTCCTGGGCAAAAGGAGGCAGGTCCCTGGTGAAACCCCACCTTCAAGCCAGGGAAGGCCTGAAGCCTGGGGACCAGGCTTTCCATTGGCACCCGATGACCAGAGTGGGAACTTGTGGTGCTTTCTCCAGGCTCACCCATGGTTGTCAATGAACCAATCAGTACACACACCCTCCCTGCTGAGACCTATAAAAGCCTGAACTCAGCCAGACTTGGGGAGACAACCACCTGCCAGTTGCAGAGAAAAGGTGCCCACCCCAGGGTCTCCTCTCTGCCGGGAGTTGAGAAGATGATGGGACAACCAGCTGCAGGGAGAAGCTACCCACCCCAGGGTCTCCTCTGCTGAAAGCTGAAGAGATATCCAACTACCAGCTGCAGTGAGGAGCTACCCACTCCACGGTCTCCACTCTGCTGACAGCTGAACACTCATCAGGACACCCGAACACTCATCAGGACACCCTGGCTGCAGAGAGGAGCTACCCACTGCGAGTCTCCTCTGAGCTATTCTATCACTCGATAAAGCTCCCCTTCACCTTGCTCACCTTCCACTTGTCCGTGTACCTCGTTCTTCCTGGGTACAGAACAAGAACTCAGGACCTGCCGAATGGCAGGACTAAAAGAGCTATAACACAAACAGGGCTGAAATACGCCCCTTGTTCGTCCCATTGTAGGCAACAGAAGGAGAGAAGAGAGAAGGAGAAAAGAGCTAAGGCCCTTCATGGAGTCCAGACCTGGGGGCTCCCCAAGCCAGGGCTCTGACACCCTCTTTGGGGCTCTACGGTTCCTGGCATCTTCAAGCTTCCGAGCACCACTGCATTCCCCAGTGCCAGCCATGGAAGCTGCTTGAGGTATGCCTGATCCACAGCCTTGCAAGGAAGCCAGCGCCTATGCCAGCACCCGGAGCTGCCTGCCCCGCTGCAGCCAGCATGCTCGGTTGTGTAGAGTGGCCAAACTCCTCACTCACTCACACACCCTCCTTTGGTAGGTGTGGGATCCAGGCTGGTAGTGCAAGCCAAACACAGCCTGCCATTCAGAGTGATCAGAATAAGCCCAGCAGGCCCAAGAAAAACTCAGGCAGAGGCGCCAGTGGCCACAGACGTTTCCAGCCTGAAAAGTATCACCCCAAGAAGTATCACCCCATAGCAAGATGGAATGCTGCCCAGGCCGGTCCACAAAGCCAAAAACTTTTACTATATGCTCCTTTACAGGAAAATTCTGCTGACGGTTGTTCTAGGGTAGCCACTAAAAAAGACTTTTTTTTAGGCTGGGCCTGGTGGCTCACGCCTATAATCCCAGCACTTTGGGAGGCCAAGGCAGGCGGATCACTTAAGGTCAGGAGATCGAGACCAGCCTGGCCAACATGGTGAAACCCTGTCCCTATTAAAAGTACAAAAAAAAAAATTAGCCAAGCAGGGTGCTGCGTGCCTGTAATCCCAGCTACTCAGGACACTGAGGCAGGAGAATCGCTTGAACTCAGGAGGCGCAGGTTGCAGTAAGCCAAGATCACACCACTGCACTCCAGCCTGGGCAACTGAGTGAGACTCCGTCTCAAAGAAAAAAAAAAAGGTTTTTTAAGTGTAACTTTCCATGTGGCACATATACACCACGGAATACTATGCAGCCATAAAAAAGAATGAGATAATGTCCTTTATAGCAATATGGATGGAGCTGGAGGCCATTATCCTAAGCAAACTAACGCAAGAACAGAAAACCAAACACCACACTTATAAATGGAAGCTAAAAACTGAGTAGACATGAACACAAAGAAGGGAGCAATAGACACAAGAGCCTACTTGAGGGTGAAGGGTGGAAGGAAGGCGAGGATCGAAAAACTACCTATCGGGTACTGCTGTGCTTATTACCTGGGTAACAAAATAATCTGTACACCAAACCCCTGAAACACACAATTTATCTAAAGAACCAACCTGTACATGTACTCCTGAAACTAAAAGTTAAAAATAATTATGTATAACTTTTCAACTAGTAGAGTGAAAAAACAGAATAATGAGTTCAAAAGAAAGCAAGAAAGGAGAAGAGAAAAAAGTCAGAATAGGTAGATCAAATAGAAAACAAATAGTAAAGTTTTAAAGCTAAATACAACAGTAATTATATTATATTACATGTAAATGCTCCAGTTAAAAGACAAAGATGGTCAAAGTTTTAAAATTCAACTATCTGCTGTTTTCAGTAGACACACATCTATAACATAAGGATACAGAATCAGAAAGTATTTTTTTAAAAGGAGAAGAAATACCATGCAAACACTAGCCAAAAGAAAGCTGGTATAATCAAAATAACATCAAGCAAAACAGGAAAATAAAATTGAATTAAACATCTCTTAAGGGTTTTTTTTAGCCCTTCCATACTATTATTTTAGGCTTAGGCCTGAGAGAAAGGTCTCTGGATATCACTGGTATTCTTGAAAAGAAGTACAAAACAGAAAAAGATTACAAGAAGTTAAGGAGGAAGCCACAGAGTGGCAAGTAAGTAGCTAGCAGATGTTGATCGAATCTGCTACAAAGAAAGCAGGAGTAGGGCCAGGCGCAGTGGTTCACATCTGTAATCCCAGCACTCTGGGGGGCCGAGGCGGGCGAATCACAAGGTCAGGAGTTCGAGGCCAGCCTGGCCAAGATGGTGAAACCCCACCTCTACTAAAAATACAAAAATTAGCCAGGCATGGTGGTGTCCGCCTGTAGTACCAGCTGCTTGGGAGGCTGAAGCAGGAGAATCACTTGAACCCAGGAGGCAGACGTTGAAGTGAGTAAAGTGAGTAGAGATCGTGCCACTGCACTCCAGCCTGGAGACACAGCGAGACTCTGTCTCAAAAAAAAAAAAAAAAAAAAAAAAAGCAGGAGTATTGTGAGTGAAATGTTTATTAGTTAGGGGGCTTGGGAACACAACTGTATGATTATAAATAAGATCAAGCAAGGAAGCAGAAACTAAAAACTGAAGAAAAAGAAGGTCTAACTGGTAAGCCAAAGTTCCTTGGTAAGCAAGACTAAATGAGATTAAGGTCAAAGGTGGACAGATGTCTCTCAGAAAGGAAAAAAAAAGGACACTTTTACTGAAAGAATTAAAAAAAAAAAAGATGGGCAGAGAAACAGAATTTGAGATAAGATGTGACGAGACTGTATATCAGCTAATCATTACTAGAAAGAATATAAAAGCCCAAGTTTTACCTATAGCAGATCAACGTCAAGTAAAAGCAAAAGTGGGTGCTGAAAGAAAACATATTTTGTACCATTTCAGTTGAAGAAAATGTAATGGAAGAAATAAATTATCAGGCTGGGCACAGTGGTGCGTGCCCATAGTCATAGCTATTTGAAAGGCTGAGGTGGGAGGACTGCTTGAGCACAGGAGTTCAAGACCAGCCCGGGCAATATACCAAGACCCCATCTCTAAATAAATAAAATGTTAATAGTTGGCAGGCCACATGTAGAATGAAAACCTCTCACCTTATACAAAAATCAACTCAAAATGGATCAAGGACTTAAATCTAAGACCTGAATAAAAATTCTACAAGATAATGTCAGAAAAACCCTCCCAGGCCTTGGCTTAGGCAAAGACTTTATGACCAAGAACCCAAAAGCAAATGCAACAAAAACAAAGATGAATAAATGGGACTTAATTAAAGAGCCTTTGCACAGAAAAAGAAAAAATCAGCAAAAAGACAACCCACAGAGTGTAAGAAAATCTTCACAATGTGTATATCCAATAAAGGACTAATATCCAGAATCTACAAGGAACTCAAACAAATTAGCAAGAAAAAAACAAACAATCCCATCAAAAAGTAGGCTAAGGACATGAATAGACATCTCAAAAGAAGATACACAAAAGGTCAACAAACATGAAAAAATGCTCAACAGCATTAATGATGAGGGAAATGCAAAACAAAATAACAATGTGATACCACCTTACTCCTGCAAGAATGGCCATAAAAAAAATCAAAAAAATAATAGATGCTGGCAGGGATGTGGTGAAAAGAGAACACACTTTGACACTGATGGTAGGAATGTAAAATACATTCACTATATGTAAAATACAACCACTATAAAAAACAGCATGGAGATTCCTTAAAGAACTAAAAGTAGGGCAGGTGCGGTGGCTCACGCCTATAATCCCAGCACTTTAGGAGGCCAAGGCAGGTGGATCACCTGAGGTCAGGAGTTCGAGACCACCCTGACCAACATGGCGAAACCCCATCCCTAATAAAAATGTAAAAATTAGCTGGGCATGGTGGCACGGGCCTGTAGCCCCAACTACTCAGGAGGCTGAGGCACAAGAATCACTTGAACCCGGGAGGCAAAGGTTGTAGTGAGCCCAAATTATGCCACTGTGCTCCAACCTGCACAACAGGGTATCACCCAGTTGCCACTACTGAGTACCTACCCAGAGAAAAAGAAGTCATTTATACAAAAAAAGATACTCCCACAGGCATGTTTATAGCAGCACAATTCACAACTGCAAAAATATAGAACCAGCCCAAATGCCCATCAATCAATGAGTGGATAAAGAAATTGTGGTCAATATACACCATGGAATACTACTCAGCCATAAAAAGGAACAAAATAATGGCATTCACAGTGACCTGGATGGAACTGGAGACCATTAATCTAAGTGAAGTAACTCAGGAATGCAAAACCAAACATCGTATGTTCTCGCTCATAAGCAGGAGCTAAGCTATGAGGATTCAAAGGTGTAAGAATGACACAGTGAACTTTGGGGACTTGGGGGAAAAGGTGGGAGGTGGGTGAGGGATAACAAATTGGGTATAGTGTATACTGCTCAGGCGATGGGTGCACCAAAATCTCAGAAATCACCACTAAAGAACTTACTCAGCTGGGCGCAGTGGCTCACGCCTGTTAATCCCAGTACTTTGGGAGGTCGAGGCAGGCAGATCACCTGAGGTCAGGAGTTCAAGACCAGCCTGGCCAACATGGCAAAACTCCGTCTCTACTAAAAATACAAAAATGGCTGGGCACAGTGGCTCACACCTGTAATCCCTGCACTTTGGGAGGCTGAGGCGGGCGGATCACCTGAGGTCAGAAGTTCAAGACCAGCCTAGCCAACATGGTGAAACGCTGTCTTTACTAAAAGTACAAAAATTAGCCAGGCATGGTGGGTGCCTATAATCCCAGCTACTCAGGAGGCCGAGGCAGGAGAATTGCTTGAACCTGGGAGGCGGAGGTTGCAGTGAGCCGAGATTGCACCACCGTACTCCAGCCTGGGTGACAAGAGCAAGACTCTGTCTCAGGAAAAAAAAAAAATTAGCCAGGTGTGGTGGCACATGCCTGTAATCTCAGCTATTTGGGAGGCTGAGGCAGAATCGCTTGAACCCGGGAGGCGGAGGTTGCAGTGAGCAGAGATCACACCACTGAACTCCAGCCTTGACGAGAGAGCAAGACTCCATCTCAAAAATAAAAATTAAAAATAAAAAAAACTTACTCATGCAACCAAGCATCACTTGTTCCCCAAAAAACTATGAAAATAAAAAATAAAACATAACGTGAATTATTGTATGACACACTAGTATATGTGTATCAGCTTAGCCTGACCAGTAAGTACTCTGTACCTTCTTCAAAATTACTGTTTTCCTTTGAAAAACTATTTCTCCTCCTTGTCATTCCATCTTTGTCATCGAACATAGTTTGAATGAACTGACCTCATTCCCCAGATAAGGGAGAAGAGAGACATTTGCTGTGACCCAGGCCCAGTCAATCAATTTATTTCATTACTCTTAGCCACAGTGGCTGACTACTGAGATTCTGTACTGGAATTTTTGCTGCAACTGTCGGAAAAGAAGCTTTCTTCCCACACCAGGGCCGCTAAGCTAGAAAGATCTAAACCTACAGCTGCTGGCAGCCATATTCCCTGAATGCATAAAAGAAGGCTCTGCAATAAAAGAAAATGAAACTAACACACACAGCAAAATCTTATCAACATATTTGAGCCACTGAATCCAGTTGTGCCTCAAATAAGCTAGACCACTGAAATTCCTTGTTAAGTGTGCCAATCAATTCCCTTTTATTCCCTGAGCCACTCTGAGGTAGGTTTCTGTTCTCTACAATCAAAAGAACCCATTATAATGGGTAGTATTTCAGTGCAATACCCTTTGAGGATACAGGTCGCCCTTGTTATCCAAATTCCTGATTTCAAAAAATCTCACAACCTAAACTCAAGAACCAAATACGTTTGAGTAAACTTCTGGAATTTCCTTCATTATCTTGTTATTTGCTATGCAAACTTTAGGAAACAAACAGATTCAAATAAGGCAGTACCCCCTGACATTCAAATTCACTATCCAAACTGAAGAATTAAGCAAACATGAATAGTGGGAGATAGCTGTAAAGTCAACCATGCAGAAATATGGAAAAGAATTTATAACGTAAAATTTTTAAATCTAGAAAATTGCACATAAAGGTATACATATATTTTAAAATGGGTTAAAACACTGGGCTTTTGGGAAATCTTCACATTTTCCATCTATAGTTATAATCAAAAATAAGTTTGATATACATTACCTAATTTGAGTTGAACAGCAATTCTTAGACAAAAATAAACTATTACCTTTCAAATCAGAAAATCAAGACCTAAAGAGCAAAAAAAACTATGAAAATATACGATAAAGATGACATTTCAAGTCAGCAGAGAAAAAACGATTACTAAATAAATGATGTGGGGATAGCTGACCATAAGAATAAAACAATACACGTAAAGAACTAAGCACATTACTGGCATTTATATAGCAATCAGACAATGCTGTATCTTTTATATAGAAAATTATTTAATATTCTTTTTATTCTCTATCTCAATGTAGACACTTCAAAAGTATATGCTAACAGTATATGCTAACGAGGTAAGAAAGTTGCTGTGGTTTAGCAGGGTGTGGTTCAGAATAGGCCAGCTTATGATGTTATTCACTGGACTGAGTTAGAAGGGACTAATTACAGAGGAAAACTGTGGTGAAGAAAGAAAACAGGGAATAAAGAGTTTCCTTTAAACTAGAAGTTCAGTTAAAGAAATTAAAAAGTACCTAAGGATTTTTAATGCAGTGTTCTGTGCAGTGTTCTGCAGTGTGTTATTAAAATTTACTTTTCAAAATATATACATTAATTTTGTTTTTGCTTTTTTATCAAAAACTTTGATTCTGCTTTAGAAGTTTTACATAAATTAAAATCTTTATCAAATGTTAATATGAAGGGAGGCACAGGATGCAACATATATAGTCAAGTTACCTCTCTGTATATTTAGAAATTACTTTCTCCTCCAAGGTATTTGCAACAGAAAGCTCTGTCTGTCCTGCTTAATAATCAGTAGTACAGGTTGGAATCAAAGTTCCTCTTGGGGAAATGGCAAGTCTTTAGGACAGGCGAGACCCTGTATGAATAGTACCAAAGCATTACTGCATGGTAGAGAACACACTCAATTAAAAATGTTAAGCTATCTGAAAAATAAAATGTGCAAGTCTTCAGGATGGCACAAAACAAAGGTTAATGCTTCTTGGGGCACATTTCTTAGAGGGCTTGCTGAGTGTGTAAATATAATCGACTTTTGTTTGTGTTACATGACTTCTGTGACTTCACTGAAAATCTGCACAATTCAGTTTCAGCTCTGGATTACTTCAGTTGACCTTTGTGAAGGTTTTTATCTGTGTAGAATGGGTGTTTGACTTGTTTTAGCCTATTACGTTTTTATTTTCTTTCACTCTGTATTAAAAGTAAAACTTACTAAAAGAAAAGAGGTTTGTGTTCACATTAAATGGTTTTGGATTGGCTTTTTTTAGTGAGGCTTTCTGAACATTGAGATATCCTGAACTTAGAGCTCTTCAATCCTAAGATTTTCATGAAAAGCCTCTCACTTGAACCCAAACCAGAGTACTCTTACTGCCTCTTTTCTAAATGTTCAGGAAAAGCATCGTCAGTTCAGTCTTTTCAGAATGAGGGAGAAACATTTGCCTGCCTTGTAATAACAAGACTCAGCGCTTATTTTTTTAAACTGCATTTTAAAAATTGGATAGTATAATAACAATAAGGAGTAAGCCACCTTTTATAGGCACCCTGTAGTTTTATAGTTCTTAATCCAAACATTTTATATTTCCTTCTTTTGGAAAAAACCTACATGCTACAAGCCACCATATGCACAGACTATACAGTGAGTTGAGTTGCCTCTCCCACAGTCTTTGAGGCGAATTACAAAAGTCCAGCCATTATCATCTTCCTGAGTTATTATTTTGAACTGATTTTTTTGTACATTTTGGCTGCAGTATTGGTGGTAGAATATACTATAATATGGATCATCTCTACTTCTGTATTTATTTATTTATTACTAGACCTCAACCACAGTCTTCTTTTTCCCCTTCCACTGTCTTCTTTTTCCCCTTCCACCTCTCTTTGCCTGTAAGATGTACTGTATGTAGTCATGCACTTTGTATTAATATATTAGAAATCTACAGATCTGTTTTGTACTTTTTATACTGTTGGATACTTATAATCAAAACTTTTACTAGGGTATTGAATAAATCTAGTCTTATTAGAAAATAAAAAATAAAAATAAAAAATAAATAAAAAATAAAAGAGCCACTGGTGAGGGTAGGAAAGACAGTCTTGAACTGCCAACACCACCCTATCCTCTAGCAGCAGCCATGTTGTCCAGAGACAGAATCTGTGTACCTGTGGGAGAGATAGCACAGAGATTGTGGGACTTTGCATTGAAACTCAGTGCTGCCCCGTCACAGGAGAAAGCAGCACAGGGCAGAATTCAGCCGGCATCTATGGAGGGAGCATTTAGACGAGCCCTAATCAGAGAGGAATTGTCCATCCCAGTGGTTGGAACCTGAGTTCTGGCTAGCCCTACCATGGCAAGCTAAAGTACTCTGGGATCATACATAAACTTAGAAGGCAGTCTAGGCCACTAGGACTTCAATTCCTGGGCAAGTCTTGGTGTTGTGTGCACTTGGAATCAGTGGACTTGAGGTGCACATGACCCAGTGAGACACCAGCTAGGGCAGCCCAAACAGTGCTTGCATTACCCCTCCCCCAGCACCAGGCAGCACAGCTTGTAGCTCCAGGAGAACCTCCTTCTGCTTAAGGAGAGGAAAGAGTCACGTTGTCTTACAACTTGGATATCAGCTCAGCCACAATACAGTAAAGCACCAAGCACAGTCCTGATGCCCCCATTCCAGGCTCTACATCCCAGATAACATTCCTAGACACACCCTGAACCAGAAAGGAACCAGCTGCTATGAAAGGAAAGACCCAGTCCTGGCAGGATTTATCAACTGCTGCCTAAAGGGTCCTTGGACCTTGAAAAAACTTCAGTAGCCAGCAGTGGCCAGGCAGTACTCGCCATGGGCCTTGGGAGAGACCCAGTACCATGCTAACTTCAGATGTAACCCAGTGCACTCCCAGCTGTGGTGGCCACCGTGAGAGACTCCTTCTGCCTGAGAAAGGAGAGAGAAGAGCAAAAATGACTTTGCCTTGCAACTTGGGTATCAACTCAGCTACAGTAAAATAAAGTACTAAGCAAACTCTTAAAGTCCCTGATTTTAGGCCTTAGCTCATGGACAGCATTTCCAGACCCACCCTGGGCCAGAAGGGAACCCATTGCTCTGAAGAGAGACCCAAGCCTGGCAGGATTCACCACAAGCTGGCTCAACAGCCTTCAGGCCTTGAAAAAACATCAGTGGTAAGTAGGCAGTACTCACCACAGGCCTGGGGAGGTGGTAGCCACAGGGAGAGACTCCTTCTGCCTACGGAAAGAAGAGGAAAGAGTAAAAAGGACTCTGTCCTACAACTTAGGCACCAGCTCAGCCACAGAAAAATAAAGCACCAAGGAGATTCCTAAAGTTCCCAACTCCAGGCCCTAGCTCCCAGCCAGCATTTCCAGACTCACCCTGGGCCAGAAGGGAACCTATCTCCCTGAAGAGAAGCACAGGAGCCTGTCTGAATTCACTACCCACTGACTAAAGCACCCTAGGACACTCAACAAACATCAATAGTAGCCAGGCAATAGTCACCACAGGCCTTGGGCAGGACCCCGTTTTGTGCAGACTTCAGGTCTGACCCAGCACAGTCCAAGAGGTGGTGGTCACGGCGGTGCTTGGGTCACACCTCCCCAATTCCAGGCAGCTCAGCAAGGAGATACAGACTCCACTAGTTTGAGGAAAAGTAAGGGAAGAGAACAAGAGATTCTGCCTGGTAATACAGAGAATTCTGCCAGAACTAACCCAGACCACCAAGGCAGTACCTCTACGAGTCTGCAAAAGCCACAGTGTTACTGGGGCTTGGGGTGTACCCTAATGAAGAGACAGCTACAATAACCAAAGACAGATCATAATACTCAATCCACTTTGAATACTTGAAAACCTTCTAAAGGAGGACAGGTACAAAAAAGCCCAGACAGCAAAGGTTACAACAAATACCTAACTCTTCAATGCCCAGACACCAACGAACACCCACAGGCATCAAGACCATCCAGGAAAACATGACCTCACCAAACAAACTAAATAAGGCAGCAGTGAGCAAACCTAGACAGAGATATGTGACCTTTCAGAGAATTCAAGATACTTGTTTTCAGGAAACTCAACAAAACTCAAGATAACACAGAAGGAATTCAGAATCCTATCAGATAAACTTAACAAAGACTAAAATAATTTTTAGAAATCAAACAGAAATTTGGGAGCTGAAAAATTCAACTGACAATCTGAAGAATGCATCAGAGTCTCTCAACAGCAGAATTGGTCAAGCAGGAGAAACAATTAATGAGCTTGAAGACAGGCTACTTGAAAATACACAGAGGAAGACAAAAGAAAAAAGAATAACATAAGAATAAAGCCTACAAGATCTAGAAAATAGCCTCAAAAGGGCAAATCTAAGAGTTATTGAGGCTGGGTGCTTTATCACACCTGTAATCCCAGCAATTTGGGAGGCCAAGGTGGAAGGATTACTTGGGCCCAGGAGTTCAAGACAGCCAGGACAACATAGAGAGATCCCATCTCTACAAGATAAATATTTTTTAATTAACTGGATGTGGTGGCACAAGCTTGTGGTCCCAGCTACTAAGGAGGCTGAGATGGGAGGATCACTTGAACCCAACAGGTCAAGGCTGCAATGAGCCGTGATCGTGCCACTGCACTCCAGCCTGGATGACAGAGCGAGATCCCATCTATGGAGCTATAGTAACCAAAACAGCATAACAACAGACGAATGAAACAGAATGGAGAACCCAGAAATGAATCCATACATCTATAGTGAATTCATTTTTGACAAAGGTGCTAAGAACACACACTGGGGAAAAGACATTCTCTTCAATAAATGGTGCTTGGAAAACTGGACATCCATATGCAGAAGGGAGAAACTAGACCCCTATCTCTCACCATATACAAAAATCAAAATTAGAATGGATTAAAGATCTAAATCTAGGACCTGAAACTCTCAAACCACTGAAAGAAAACATTGGAGATCTCTCTAGGACATTAGTCTGGGCAAAGATTTGTTGAGTAATACCCCAAAAGCACAGGAAACCAAAGCAAAAATGGACAAATAGGATTACATCAAGTCAAAAAGCTTCTGCATAGCAAAGGCAACAATCAGCAAAGTGAACAGACAACTCACAGAATGGGAGAAAATATGTGCAAACTGTCTATCTGACAAGGGATTAATAAGAATATATAAGGAGTTCAAACAACTCAATAGGAAAAAAATCTAAAAATCTGATTTTAAAATGGGCAAAAGACTGGAATAGACAATGAGATATTATCTTATCACAGTTAAAAAGCTTTTATCCAAGACAGACAACAACAAATGCTGGCAAGGATGTAAAGAAAAGGTAACACTTGTACACCGTTGGTGAGAATGTAAATTAATACAGCCACTATAAAAACAGTTTGGAGGTTCCTCAAAAAACTAAAAACAGAACTACTATATGATCAAGCAAATTAACTGCTAGGTATATACCCAAAAGAACGGAAATCAGTATATCAAAGTGGTATCTGCACTCCCGTGTTTACTGCAGCACTATTCGCAATCACCAAGATTTGGAATCAACCTAACTGTCCATCAACAGACAAATGGATAAAGAAAATGTGATGCATATAATACAATGAAGTAGTATTCAGCCAGCCATAAAAAAAGAATGAGATCCCATCATTTGCAACAACATGGATGGAACTGGAGGATACTATGTTAAGCAAAATAAGCCAGGCACAAAAAGACAAACTTTGCATTATCTCATTCATTTGTGGGAGCTAAAAATTAAAATAATTTGGACTCATGAAAATAAAGAGTAGAGTGATGGTTATCAGAGGCTGGGAAGAGTAGTAAAGGGGCGGAGGAAAGTGGGGATGGTTAATGGGTATAAAAATATAGTTAGAATGAATAAGATGTAGTATTTGACGGCACAAAAGGGTGACTACGGTCAACAATAATTTATTTTACATTTAAAAATAACTAAAAGAAGTATAATTGGAATGTTTGTAACACAAAGAAATGATAAATGCTTGGGGTGATGGATACCCCATTTGCCCTAATGTGATTATTATACACCGTATGCTTGTCAAAATATCTCAAGTACCCCATAAATATATACAACTACTATGTATCCATAAAAATTAAAGTTTTAAAAAGCATAGATGGGGCAGAGAAGAAGGGATTGACTGAAACAAGAGGGAACTCTCTGGAGTTAACGGAAACGTTACACTTATTTTTGGTGGTAATTACACCAGTGTATACCATTTCAAAACTCATACTGAACATTTATGATCTGTGCATTTTATTGTATGTTGTTTCTCAGTTAAAATGAATTTTAAAAAGATACCGCCACACATCTAAGAATAAAACAAAATATACGTAAGGTCGCAAGAAGACCTAAATACATGGAAAAATATACTATATCCAATAATTTGACTTCTGTATCATTAAGAAGCCAACTCTCCCTCAAAATGATCTACAGATTCAGCACAATTCCAAACAAAATACTAGTAGGTTCTGAACAAATTAACAAGCTGATTCTCAATGTGTATTTGAAATCTAATGGACCTAGAATAGCCAAGACAATCTTAAAGAATAACAAAGTTGGAGGACTTATACTACCAAATATCAAGACTTAGTACAAAGCCACAAAAAGTATAGTACTTGGTACAAGGAGAGACACAAGAGAATCCAGAAACAGGCTCCTATACAATGATGTTCTAACTTAAAACAAAGATGCCACTGCAATTCAGTATGGGGGAAGGAAAGGCTTCTATGTCAATGGTGCTGCACCAACTGGATTGTCTAGAAAAATTAATTCATGGACAAAAATTACTTTATGATGGATCATAGACCATGAAAGGTAATAAAATTAACATTTCTAGAATAGATCAAATGAGAATATTTACATGAGCCAGGCACGGTGGCTCATGCCTGTAATCCCAGCACTTTGGGAGGCCGAGGCAGGCAGAACACCTGAGGTCGGGAGTTCAAGAACAGCCTGACCAACATGGAGAAACTCTGTCTCTACTAAAACTACAAAATAAGCCAGGAGTGGTGGCGCATACCTGTAATCCCAGCTACTTGGGAGGCTGAGGCAGGAGAATGGCTTGAACCCGGGAGGCGGAGGTTGCAGTGAGCTGAGATCACGCCACTGCACTCCACCCTGGGCAACAAGAGCAAAACTCCGTCTCAAAAAAAAAAAAAAAAAGAATATTTACATGAACCTAGAGTGGGATCTCGAACAACAACAACAACAAAAAAAACACACTAGGTACTAACCATAAAAAATAATAAATTTGACTTTATTAAAATTAAGAACTTCTATTCAATTAAAAAAATCATTGAGAGTAAAAAGGCACAGAAGATACCTGCAATACACATATCAAAAAAAAGACTTATATCCAGATTTTTGTAAAAACAGCTAAAAAATAAGAAAACTGCCCAATCTTTTTAATGAGCAAAAGACTTAAACAGATTATTATGAGGATATATAAAAGGCCAATATGGATATAAAAAATAAAATTCAACATCTGTAGTAGCTCATTGTTCAAAAATATTCACTTCTTATCCTTACATGCATTGAAGACTTATACTTCCGCAACCATGAATTTTGGCTACACCACAACTTAGTTTAAGGAGTGGAAGGTCAGCAGACATGACATAAACACGTCTTGAAATATGCTTGAACAACTGGATATGACTTCTTGCATTTATGTTACCACTATGAAAAGAACATGTCCCATCTGGCCTACTGGTGCACATAAGAAGATGAGATACACACAGCAGAGCTGTCCCAGCTGACCCACAAATCCTTAACCAAGAAACAAATACTTGAGTACCACTGGAGATTTTCAGGTTAAGCAGTAATAGCTGACTAATACAGGCCAAGTGTGGTGGCTCACGCCTGTAATCCCAGCACTTTGTGAGGCCAAAGCGGGTGGATCACGAGGTCAAGAGATCAAGACCATCCTAGCCAACATGGTGAAACCCGCCTCTACTAAAACTACAATAATTAGCCGGGCGTGGTGGTGCGTGCCTCTAGTCTCAGCTACTCAGGAGGCTGAGGCAGGGGAATCGCTTGAACCCGGGTGGTGGAGGTTGCAGTGAGCAGAGATCACACCACTGCACTCCAGCCTGGCAACAGAGTGAGACTTGGTCTCAAAAAAAAAAAAAAAGAAAGAAAGAAAGAAAAAAGCCAGATAAAAGAGTACAAACTAAATTATCCCATTTATATGAAGTTCACAAACAGACAACATAAATCTATGGATACAGACACCAGAAGCATGGTTTCCTTAGCGGAGAGGAAGTTATATAGGCAGGGCACAAAAGGAAGGCCTTACAAAGTTTTATAAACATTCTATATCTTAATATGGGTGGTGGATAACCGGTATATACATATGTAAGAAATTTTTAACTGTAAATACTGAAGATTTATGCACTTTATTGTATGTTACATGGGAACTGCTTGAACCCGGGAGGCAGAGGTTGCAGTGAGCTGAGGTTGCACCATTGCTCTCCAGCCTGGGCAACAAACAGCAAAACTCCGTCTCAAAAAAAAGAAAACAACAAATTAGTTATTTGTGGTAAAAAGGAATCTGAGGGAAAAAAAGAAATAAAAGAGATTGGTTATTTGAAGTTAAACTGGTATTCCATATAATAAATGTATTATTATACTGCAATCATTACATTATATATTACAATATATAATCATATATTAATACATTATATAATATATAGGTAATCATTAGCAATATTGATAATTATATATTACATAATATAATCTTATATGATATAATCTATTAACTATATTAATTACATAAATTTATATTATAATCTAATATACTTATTAAATATATTAATATTATTACTATATAAATTAAGACTGTCTCAACATTATATTTTACCATAATCACTAAATACCTGAGAAAAGTACAAATATTAGCATCTGGTTTAAATATTATTCCCAATACTAATTAATTAATTTATTTCATTTTATTTTATTTTTGAGACAGTCTCACTCTGCTGCCCAGGCTGGAGTCCAGTGGCGCAGTATCGACTCACTGTAACCTCCGCCTCAGCCTCCCGAGCAGCTGGGATTACAGGTGCCTGCCCACACCTGGCTAATTTTCTGTATTTTTAGTAGAGACGGGGTTTCACCATGCTGACCAGGCTGGTCTCAAACTCCTGACCTCGTGATCCACCCGCCTCAGCCTCCCAAAACGCTAGGATTACAGGCGTGAGCCACCATGCCCAGCCTCCAATATTTATTTTTAAAATATTACACTATTTAAACAGTTTCAAAATAAACTAACCTTTTGCCCTTCTACTGGGACGCCACATGGAGACTAGACTATAACCAAAACATGAATCTTAAATAACTTAAAATCTCTCCCTCCACAAGACATATTTCTATTGTTTGCAAAATGAGATTTTATTTTCTTGATAAAACAGTGTAATATAAAGTACTTAGAAAGCTTCTGTGCTTTTATCCATTTAAGTAATACAATTCCAGAAGCTTCAAATGTTTACTCATTCTATTAAAAATCTTTTAAGGCTATAAAAAAAAATTCATATTGTTTTACTCTGCAAATCTTCTACTCTGTAGAAACCCCCTCAAGTTTACTCATAAGAACAACACAAAGCAGAGTTTAACAGAATAACTAAAAACCTTAGAATTCTTAGTGAAAATACATAAAAACTATTAGTAATTATAAATGATTTTCTTTTCTAAGTCATTTATTCTGAGATTTCCTTTTACTAGTTTAACATACTTGCCTATAGGACTATCAAATCGCCCTTCGACAGTCCTTATAGAAAATAAGAATATTTCCAACAGCTTTCTCACTAGGCTTCCATTCTCTACATAAAGATATTAAGTAAACATGCATCTAGTGAGTCCTATGAGATAAAGAATGTCCTACACCTAAGCAGTACTTCTCTGAAATTCTGTAATATTTATTTTACTAATTTTTTTAAAAAAAGCTTTATTGAGAATATATAGTTGGACACTGTGCTGTGTGCTTTATATGTATTACTTCATTTAATAAGAAATATGTGATATTATACCCATTTCTAGATTTAAAAAACTAATGCCATAGATGTGATGTTCCCAAGATACTACAACTACTATGTTGATGATTACAAACTAGATCCCAATTTCTCTTTTTTTTTTTTTTCCTTTTTGGGACAGGGTCTCATTCTGTTGCCCATGGCTCACTGCAGCCTTGATCTTCCTGGCTCAAGCCATCCTCCCACCTCAGCCCCCCAGGTAGCTGGGACTACAAGTGACAGCCATCATGCCTGGTTAATTTTTTTTATTTTTATTTTTATTTTTGCAGAGACAGGGTCTCCCTATGTTGCCCAGGCTAGTCTTGAAGCCTGGGATCAAGTGATCCTCCCACCTTGGCCCCACAAAGTGCTGGGATTACAGGTAAGAGCCACCATACCCAGCCATATCCCAATTTCTTTACCAATATGCTACTCTTAGCACAAATAAGAACCATGGCAATAATTAATGATAATGAATAACTGCATCAAACACTCATACAGCATTTACTGTATGTTTTAATCATTCCATCCTCATAACAACCCTAAGGAAAGGCACACTATTATGTCTTATTTTACAGATCAAGAAACTGAAGTACATAGACTTTGCCACTTGTCTAAGGTTACAGGCCAGTACATGGCAGAGCTAGGATGTGCACATCAGCAGTCCAGCCCTAGAATCTGGGAGCTAAACCACTATGCCACTTTGCCTTTCACAAACTGCCTTATACTGCCTCATAGCTGATAAGGTATATATCATATCTCCTTTATGAACTCACAAGCTCTTAGGTAGCAAAGACCAAGACTTCTAACCTAATCAGCATTAGACTTTTGCCAGCATAGGGACTGGTAAATAATAAAAAGAAACTAGAAGGTGCACTGAGGTCCTAAGGAAAGCTTCTTTGTAGTAGTGACTCTTGAGGTTAACCTTGCCACTGAACTCTACAATTGTATATGTAATTGTTTAGTGCATATTTGATAGTCTCCCCTACTAGTATATAGGCTTGTTAAGGGTAGAATATTTTTTTGTCTTTCCATCTGCTATACAACATTCAAAAATAAATAAAATAAATAATAAAATAATAAAAATTCAAAATGTTTGTTGAATAAATATGTGAAAAACTTTATTACAGAGGGTTATACTTCACAATCCCTACTATCAACAGAATCAATACAAGATCTCTAGATAAGAGATTCACAGCAATTAAATAATTTGTGACAAACCACTTATCAGGTTATGGAAGCAGACAGGAGAATAGAAAAAGATAGTGATAGAAGGTAGAAACATGTATTACTTAAACCCAACAGTAAATATAGGAGCAAAGTAAACAGTGACTCTTTTTTCTCCTTTAATTTGCATACTCATGAATTTTTATCCCTCCTTCATTTTCTTTCAGAATACCCTTCAGTTGAGTACCTCTTCTGACTTTCAATTAGAATGGGGGGGTGGGGCGCAGGGCCGGGGGAGGCTGGTGTGGTGGCTCACGCCTGTAATCCCAGCACTTTGGGAGGCTGAGGTGGGTGGACTGCCTGAACTCAGGAGTTCGCAACCAGCCTAGGCAACACGGTGAAACCCTGTCTCCACTAAAAATACAAAAAAAAAAAAATTAGCTGGGCATGGTGGCGGCATGCACCTGTAGTCCCTGCTACTCAGGAGGCTGAGGCAGGGGAATCACTTGAACCCGGGAGGCAGAGGTTGCAGTGAGCCGAGATATCTCCACTGCACTCCAACCTGGGTGACACAGTGAGACTATGTCTCAAAAAAAAAAAAAAAAAAAAGAATGAACGTAGGCCCAGCGAGGTGGCTCATGCCTGTAATCCCAGCACTTTGGGAGGCCGAGGCAGATGGATCACCTGAGGCCACGAGTTCGAGACCAGCCTGGCCAACATGGTGAAACCCCATCCCTACTAAAACTACAAAAAAAAAACAAAAAACTACCCAGATGTGGTGGCACACGCCTGCAGTCCCAGCTACTCGGGAGGCTGAGGCAGGAGAATCACTTGAACCGGAAGGCAGAGGTTGCAGTGAGCAGAGATTGTGCCACTGTACTCTGGCCTGGGCAACAGATTGAGACTCTGCCTCAAAAAAAAAAAAAAAAGAATGAGGGGCAGGCCTCAATCTACGGGTTAATCCACTTATGAGCTCTACAAATATCTGCACATTTTGGAGGCCTTGTTGACAATATAGATATACTCAATGACACAATAAAATACTGAGACTTAGGCAGGAGAATTGCTTGAACCCAGGAGGTGGAGGCTGCGGTGAACCAAAACCGCGCCACTGCACTCCAGCTGGGCAACAAAGTAAGATTCCATCTCAAAAAAGAAAAAAAGACACAGTAATCAATGGAACAGAATAGAGAACCCAGAAACAAAGCCACATACCTACAACCAACTGATCTTCAATAAAGTTGACAATAATAAACAATGGGGAGATGACACCCTATTCAATAAATGCTGCTGGAAATACTGGCTACCCATATGCAGAAGAATAAAACTGGACCCCTACCTCTCACCATATACAAAAATTAACTCAAGATGGATTAAGCACTTAAATGTAAGACCTCAAACTATAGAAATCCTAGGAGGAAACTAGAAAAAAAATTCATCTGAACATTTGCCTAGGCAAAGAATTTATGACTAAGACCTCAAAAGAAACTGCAATAAAACCAAAAACTGACAATCAGGCTTAAACTAAAGAACTTCTGCATAGCAAAATAAAAATATCCACAGAGTAAACAGACAACCTACAAAATGGTAGAAAATATATGCAAACTATGCATCTGACAAGAGACTAGCACCTGGAATCTATAAGGAACTTAAATCAACAAGAAAAAACAAACCATCTCATTAAAAGGTGGGCAAAGGACAGGAACGGCACTTCTCAAAAGATGACATACAAGCAGCCAACAAATATGAAAAAAATGCTCAGCATCACTAATCATCAGGGAAATGCAAATTAAAACCACAGAGATATCATCTCACACCAGTCAGAATGGCTATTATTAAAAAGTCAAAAAAATAAGAGATGTTGGCAAGTATGTGGAACAAAAGGGAACACTCACACATTTGGTAGAAATATAAATTAGGGTCAGGCGCAGTGGCTCACGCCTGTAATCCCAGCACTTTGGCAGGCCAAGGCAGGTGGATCACTTGAGATCAGGAGTTCAAGACTAGCCTGGCCAACATGGTGAAACCCCGTCTCTACCAAATATACAAAAATTAGCCAGGCATGGTAGCACACGGCTGTAATCCCCGGTTACAGAGGCAGGTTACAGAGGAGGCTGAGGCAGGAAAATTGCTTAAGCCGAGGAGACAGAGGCTGCAGTGAGCCATGATCCCACCACTGCACTCCAGCCTGGGCGACACAGCGAGACTCCATCTCAAAAAAAATAAAAATAAAAAAGAAATGTCAGTTAGTTTAACCCCTATGGTAAACAGTATGGAGATTTCTCAAAGAACTAAAAATTAAACTACCATTTGACCCAGCAATCCCACTACTGAGTATCTACCCAAAGGAAAATAAATTTTTCTATCAAAAAGATACCTGCTTAGCCAGGTGTGGCGGTATATGCCTGTAGTCCCAGCTATTCGGAAGGCTGGGGTGGGAGGATCACTTGAGCTCAGGAGGCAGAGAGGTTGCAGTGAGCCAAAATCATACCACTGCACTCCAGCCTGGGGTGACAGAGTGAGAGCCCATGTCAAAAAAAAAAAAAAAAAGTATATATAATATACATAAAAGAGAAAAAAGATACCTACATTCTTTTTCTTTTTTTTTTGGAGACGGAGTCTTGCTCTGTCACCCAGGCTGGGGTGCAGTGCCGTGATCTCAGCTCACTGCAAGCTCCGCCTCCCAGGTTCATGCCATTCTCCTGCCTCAGCCTCCAGAGCAGCTGGGACTACAGGCGCCCGCCACCACGCCTGGCTAATTTTTTGTATTTTTAGTAGAGACGGGGTTTCACCGTGTTAGCCGGGATGGTCTCGATCTCCTGACCTCGTGATCCACCCGCCTCGGCCTCCCAAAGTGCTGGGATTACAGGCGTGAACCACAGCGTCCAGCCAAAAGATACCTACACTCTTATGTTTATCACAGCACTATTCACAATAGCAAAGTTATGGAATCAATCATCAATGTAAGTGCCCATCAATGGCAGATTGAGTAAAGAAAATGTGATACATACACAAAATAGAATATCACACTACCATAAAAAATAATGAAATCATGTCCTTTGCAGCAATATGAATGCAGCTGGAGGCCATTATCCTAAGTGAATTAATGCAGAAACAAAATGAAATACCAAATATTCTCACTTTTAAGTGGGAGCTAAGTAGCGGGTATAGATGGACATAAGGATGAAACACTGGGGACTCCAAGGAGTGTGAGGAGGGGAGGAGGGAAAGTCTGAAAAACTACCTATTGGGTATTATGTTCACTATTTGGGTGATGGGTTCAGTAGAAACCCAAACTCCAGCGCTACACAATATACCCTTATAAGGAACCCGCACGTATACACCCTGAATCTAAAATTTAAAATAAAAAAAAAGACACCTTCACTCATATGTTTATTATAGCACTAGTCACAAATAGCACTGTTCACAAGTCATGGTCTCAACTTAAGTGTCCATCAATGGACATTATTATTCTCTGACCTCCCTATAAGTAGACATATTTCCCTTTAAGACCAGTCATGGTTAGTAATCAATTCTTACTGAATCATCCTCTAATAATATGGATACTTAGGACAGTATGGAGATATTAACAAACCATTTGTTCCCACAAGCTGAAACTAAGCCATTACTTACCACCTTTCAAGTGTGACCATCCATTACTACATTAATACATTCACCTCTAAATATCATTAAGACTCAGATCAGCAACTTGTAACATTTGCCCCAAATACTTAAAAATCATTCACTTGGTTCCTGTAACAAAAATGGATCAGAAGAGGTAATTATTTCAACCAACTACCGCCACAATTGTCAGGGTCCATGGAACATCAAAAAATTATAACAAAATAATACCATCTTGCAACAGCCATTGTATCTAGGCATACCCCTGCTCTTTGTTCCATAGAGTCAACATATAACTCTTATTCACATCTCAAGGAATCTAACTTAAAATATATTCCATGGATGACCTCCTAAAAACTGAAAGAAATTTAGATTAAAAAGAGCCACACTTTGATTGAACAAATACATACCTATAGCTGAGATTAGCTGTTTAACAATGGTTCAACATGGCAATGATTTTATAGCAAAAGTCCCTGGGGAGTTATAAAAACAGAAACCTAGCACTGATATACAGTAATCTTCTGATATAATTTGATATACAGTAATTTGGATAACTCTTACAGACCAAATTGAGGTATCTACTAACCGAAAGGAAACAAAAGGAAAGGCCACCAATGATAAGTATTATGTAAATATGGCAGGTATCACAGCCTAATAAAATTAAAAGACTCCACAAATTTTTGAAAAAACAGAAGTAGCTGTGTGACCTGGGACAAGTTATTTAACTTCAAATATTATTCATTGGGATTTAATCATGGTCTACTTCTGGGGTCCACAAAACTTTTTCTCTATAAAGGGCCAGACTGTAAGTATTTTAGGTCTTACAGGTCATATGGTCTCTGTCCCAACTACTCAACTCTTCCTTTGCAGAATGAAAGAAGCTATAAACAAAAATTTATCCTCACATCACCTGCCTTTACACATAAAAAATGAAGTCTAGAAAAAAATTAACTGATGGAAATTTAGATTTGACTAGGTATTAATGTGTGATAATAATAATAAATTAACCATGCTCTCAGTGGAAATGAGAAAAGCAAGTCATCTCAGAATCCATCAAATTTGTTCATGCTATTAAAAACTTAGAATACCACCTTTTCAACCTGTACTAAACAAGAAACTAATAAAATACTGAAAGTTCTTCCAGTTAGAATTTAAAGGTCACAAGGGAGAATCACTCCACTATATTAAAAAGACAAAGCTAAACTATAAAATCCAAATTTTAAAACTCATCGGAGAGCTGAGAATACAAAGAAGTCTGAAAAAAACAACAACAACAACAAAAAACAATTCCAGAAAGGAAAAAGCCCTTTCTAGGCTAACAGACAAGTGACTACTTTCAACTCTGAGATCATGGTGAACACAGGAATGAATAATCCTATAGACTGATACGATGGACCAAATTCCAAAGAAGTCCCACAAGTAAAGTTAATCAAAACAACCTAAAAATTCTTCCCCATGGAGCTTTAATAGAGTATACATCAATGTGCACTAATCTAGGGGTAGACTCGGAGGGCAAAGTGAGATGATCTGCAGAGTAGAAAGTCAAGTGCAGTGCTAAAGCAGAGAGATCCCCGGAACTTAGCTAAACTTAAATCTCAAGATCTATTGTAGAGTGAAGACTGAATCCTCCCTTAAAACACTTGAAACCAAAAATAACTACAGTTGCAGCTCAGCCCAGACATAACTCAATTCCATGTCAGAATTAATAGTTTAGTCCCTTTTTTGATCTGTCTGAGGAATTAGCATGTCTTTTCTCAGGAAGAAGCAGTTAGAAATTTCATTTTCACTGCCTTTTTTTTTTTTTTTTTTTTTTTTTTTCTTGAGACAGAGTTTTGCTCTTGTTGCCCAGGCTGGAGTGCAATGGCACGATCTCAGCTCACTGTAACCTCCACCTCCCAGGTTCAAGCAATTCTCCTGCCTCAGCCTACCAAGCAGCTGGGATTATAGGTATGCGCCACCACGCCCAGCTAATTTTGTATTTTTTTAGTAGAGACAGGGTTTCACCATGTTGGTCAGGTTGGTCTCAAACTCCTGACCTCAAGTGATCCACCCGCCTCGGCTTCCCAAAGTGCTGGGATTACAGGCATGAGCTACCACGCTCAGCCTTCACTGCTCTTTTTACATTTAATATTCACATATAATAAAAATTACAGGATAGTCAGTCATGAAAATGTGACTTATAGGCAAGAGAAAAAAGTCAACACTAACCCACGGATGATGCAGATTGGAATGAGCAAAGACTTTAAAATAAATTTTATAAAAATATATGATATTATTATGTATAATCTTATAGAGAGAAAAAACATTGATTAAATATATTTTGTCACAGAAGAAGAAATTTGGGGGAAAAAGAGCCAAATGGAAATTCTCAAGTAAAAAATATTTGAAAAGTTCACTAAATAGACTTAATAACAGATGAGACACAGAAAAGATCCATGAATTCAGAGAGGTCAACACAAACTATCCAAATTAAAACGAAGAAAGCCAGGCACAGTGATTCACGCCTGTAATTCCAGCACTTCAGGAGGCCAAGACAAGAGGACTGCTTGAGTCCAGGAGTTCAAGACCAGCCTGGGCAACATAGCAAGACCCCATCTCTACAAAAAAAATTTATAATAAAAATAATAATAAAGTAAGAAATACTAAAGTAATTTCTTCAGACTGAAGGAAAATAATCTCAGACAGAAGTCTAGATCTGCAAGAAGGAATGAAGAGTACTAGAAAATATTGTGAACAAGACAGCTATGTCTACTGTTACCACTTCTGTTCAACACTGTACCAGTGGTAACAGCAAGTGCCATAAAGCAATAAAAAGAACTGAAGGCATGAAGACTGGAGGAAGAATTAAAACTATCTTTATGGGCCAGGCGTGGTGGCTCATGTCTGTAATCCCAGCACTTTGCGAGGCTAAGGTGGGCAGATCACTTGAGGTCAGGAGTTTGAGACCAGCCTGGCCAACATGGCAAAACCCCATCTCTACTAAAAATACCAAAAATTATCCAGGCATGGTGCCATGTGCCTGTAATACCAGCTACTAGGGAGGTTGAGGCAGGAGAATCGCTTAAACCTGGGAGGAAGAGGTTGCAGTGAGCTGAGATCATGCCACTGCACTCCAGCCTGGGCGACAGAGTGAGACTCTGTCTCAAAAAAAAAAAAAAAAACCTTATTAGTCTCAGATAATGAGACTTTATATATGGAGGATCCAAAGAAATAGACAAACTAGTAAAACTAATAATTGAATTTGGCAAGTTCAAAAGATACAAGGTCAATCTACACAAATCAAATATATTTCTAAATACTCCATGAAAGAATGGAAAATGACATTTTTAAATACCATTTATAATATACTCAAAAAACAAACACTTAGCAATAAAATTAACCAGAATATGTGAAAGATCTCTAACGTGAAAACTATGAAACTTTGCTAAAAGAAATTAAAATCTCAATGAATGTAGATATACCATGTTCAAGAAGAGGAAGACTCAGTATTACTAAGATGTGAATTTCCCAAAACTCATCTATAGATTCAACACAATCTCAATCAAAATCCCAGCAAAGTTACTTTGTGAATATTGACAAACTTATATCGTTTATATGGAAAAGTAAAAGACCAAGAATAGCCAATACAATATTGAAGGAGAAAAACAAGGTCAGACACTACAAGATTTCAAATTTACTATAAAACTACAGTAAATCAAGACTGGCAAAACAATACACAAACAGATCAATGAAACAGAAAAGAGAGTCCAGAAACAGACCCACACAAATATAGTCACCTGATCTTTGACAATGAAACAAAGGCAAGTCAATGGAAAAAGGATAGTCTTTTCAACAAATGGTGCTGGAAAAACTAGACAACTACATCCAAAAAAAAAAAAATCTCAACACAGACCTTACACGTTTCACCAAAAATTAACTCAAAATGGATCGCATATCTGAGTGTACCACACAAAACTATTAAACTCCTATAAGACAGCATGGGGGAAAATCTTGGTAAACTTAGGCTTGGTGATGACAGTATAAGAGAAAATCTTGCTAATCTCAGCCTTGGCAATGACGTTTTAGATACAACACCAAAAGCACAAACCATAGAAGAAATAATTGATAAGCTGGACTTCATTAAAAATAAAAACTTCTGCTCTGCAAAAGGCACCGTTAAGAGAATGAAAAGACAAGCCACAGACTGACAGAAAATCTTTGCAAAACACATATATGATAAAGGACTAGTATTCAAAATATACCTTAAAGATGCCGGGCGCCATGGCTCACATCTGTAATCCTAGCACTTGGGGAGGCAGATGTGGGTGGATCATTTGAGGTCAGGAGTTTAAGACAAGCCTGGCCAACAGGCTGAAACTCCATCTCTACTAAAAATACAAAAATTAGCCAGGTGTGGTGGTGCATGCCTATAATTCTAGCTACTCAGGAGGCTGAGGCAAGAGAATCACTTGAACCGGGGTGACGGCAGGGTGGTGGCAGGGTGGCGGGGGGCGGCGCGGGCAGAGGTTGCAGTGAGCCAAGATCATGCCATTGCACTCCAGCCTGGGCAACAGAGTGAGACTCTGTCTCAAAGAAAAAAAAAAAAAAAAAAAATATATATATATATATATATATATATATAAACACATAAACACACACACCTCCAATAACTCTTAAAACACAATAATAAGGAAATGAATAACCCAATTAATATGGGCCAAGTGGGAAATCTAAACAGACATCCCACCAAAGAAGATATACAGACAACAAATAACTAAATGAAGATACTCAAAATCATATTTGTTAGGGAACTGAAAATCAAAACCATGGTGAGATAGTACTATATGCCTATTAGAATGGCAAAATTCTGAAACAATGACAAAACCAAATGCTAGTAAGAATGTGGAATTACAGGAACTCTCATTCATTGCTGGTGGGGATGCAAAATAGTACAACCACTTTTCAAGACAGTTTGGCAGTTCTTACAAAACTAAACATACTTTTGCCATATAATCTACCAACCATGCTCACTGGTATTTACCCAAATGAGCTAAAAATTCACTTCACTACAGGGCTTGCCAGGGTGGCTCATGCCTGTAATCCTAGCACTTTGGAAGGCTGAGGTGGGAGGAACGCTTGAGCCTAGGAGTTCAAGACCAGCCTGGGCAATGTGGTGTGACCTCCTTCTCTACAAAAAATAAAATTAGCCAGGCATGGTGGTACATGCCTGTGGTCCTAGCTACTCAGGAGGCTGAAGTGAGAGGATCCCTTGAACCAGAAAGATAGAGGCTAGAGTGAGCCCAGATCATACCACTGCACTCCAGCCTGTGGGACCCTGTCTCAAAAGGCAAAACAAACAAAAATTACCTCCACCCAAAAACCTGCAGACAGAAATCAGACACAGTGGCACATGGCAACAGTCCTCACTATTCAAGAGGCTGAGGTGGGAGAATTGCTTGAGCCCAGGAGTTTGGGGCCAGCCTGGGCAATATGGTGAGAAACTGTTGCTAAAAATAAAAAAATAACTTTAAAAACCTGCACATGGATGTTTACGGTAGCTTTATTTATGATTGTCAGAAATTGAAAGCCACCAAGATGTCCTTCAAAAGGTGAATAAACAAACCCTAGTATCCATACAATAGAATATATTTCAGCAATAAAGACAAACGAGCTATCGAACCATGAAAAAATACAGAGGAATCTTAAATATACATTGCTAAGTAAATCCAAAAAGCCTATGTACTGTATGATTCCAACTACATGACATTCTGGAAAAGGCAAAACTATGGCGACAGCAAGAAGACAGTGGTTGAAAAGCGTTGTGGGAGGTGAAAGGATGAAAAGGTAAAAGCATGAGATTTTTAAGGCAGTGAAACTATTCTCTATGATACTGTAACGGTACAGACATGTCATTATACATCTGTCAAAACCCACAGGATGTAGGACACAGAGAGTGAACCCTAAACTACAGACCACAAATAGTAACGATGGATTAATATGGCTCATCAACTGTAACAAATGGACCTCACTTAACCAAGATGCTAAACAATAGGGGAAACTGTGGGGGCAGGAGGAGGAGCAAGGTGATATCCGGAAACTCCGTATTTTCTGCTGCATTTCACTGTAAACCTAAAACTGCTTTAAAAAATAGACCCTATTAAAAATAAAAGAAAATTTAAAATTTTAAAAATAAAGTATATTAATTAAAATAATTTTTAGTTGCTTACAAAGTCATCAACCTGCATACTATAAAATTTTGGCATTTTATTGTAAATTAAAACTTAATTTTTTAAAATGTAATACTCAACAGTCTCTTAGGCCTTCTATCTGAAGATGAATATCGAAAAAAGGATACAGTATAATATGCATGTGTTTTAAAAATGCAAGGTGACATATGGTCTACAAGTGCATATGCATATATATAAGTAAATGCACAAATAAATATATGAAAACACATATACCAAACTGGAAAGAGCACCACTAGGAAACGAACACTATGGAAAACCAACACTACTGTGAAGGGAATGAAAGGAAAAGATGGGGGATGTGGAGTGTGTCCTAATCCATATGTCTTGATCTCTCTTAAGAGGATCTACATTAATGTTTCCAATTCGCTATTATTAGGTTTTATACTACATTTAAAATGTAGGCTTCAGAATCTGAAGAGGAATTTCAAAATGTTTTATAAATCTTTAAGACTAAACAGCCTCAGCATAAACTAACATTGGAGACAGATTTTTACCTGTAAGTATTTCTGCACCTGTATTTAAAAGTATAAAAAAGTATTTAAAAGTTTAAAAAAGCATTTTTACCTGTAAGTATTTAAAAGGAATTTTAAATCACTCAATAGTGATTGATCAGGCAAGGAACAAGTATTATCTGCTGATTCTTAGTTTGTCTGTAATGCCATCCCTACAAAGACTGTATTTCCATTGCACCCTCCTTTTATTACTCGGCTGATTATACCCTAAAACACATACACACTCCTCCCTGGTGTAGATGCTGACAGCTTAATTCACATTATATAATTCATATAATAGTGAAGTTGTAATACAGAATGCAACAGTATCCATTATATCAGAATAAGGAAGAAAACTGGTCTGAGATGTGCTATTATGATATAAAATCAACTAACAACGTACCAATCAATAAACTAACCATGCTTCTCTTTTTTTTTTTTTTTTTTGGTAAATGTGGGTATTTTAATTTTCCTTGATAAGGACAAATATGGCCATGAGAAGTTTCTCTGGGAGTTTCATCATCTGCCATTTACAGAGAGTGGGAAGTTATGCAGCAATTAGCCTAGGAGAGAAGTGTCCACCAACCTATGAAGACAGTCTCCACAGCTCAAGGAGACAGTAAGAGCCAGAAAGCGTTAATACCAGTCACCCCAAAAATGCAAAGATCCTCCCAGTAAGCTACTTAAAAAATGTAAAAAGTGAGGTCTAAATTGTGAAATTATACTTTTTGGGTTTTTTTTTTACTTTTAAGTTCAAGGGTACATGTGCAGGTTTCTTATAAAGGTTAACTCACATCACAGGGGTCTGCCGTACAGATTATTTCATCACCCAGGTATTAAGCCTAGTACCCATTGGTTATTTTTCCTGATTCTCTCTCTGCTCCCACCCTCCACCTCATCAATTAGCTTCCACTTATGAGTAAGAACATGTGGTATTTGGTTTTCTGTTCCCATATTAGTTTACTATGAATAATGGCCTCCAGCTTCATCCATGTTCCTGCAAAGAAAATGATCTTGTTCTTTTTGATGGCTACACAGTATTCCATGGTGTATATATACACCACATTTTCTTTACCGGTCTACCACTGATGGGCATTTAGGTTGATTCCACGTCCTTGTTATCATAAATAGTGCTGCAGTGAACAAACACACATGTGTACATGTCTTTAGGATAGAATGATTTATATTACTTTGGGTATACACCCAGTAATGAGATTGCTGGGTTGAATGGTAGTTCTTTTTAGGTCACTGAGGAATCACCACACTGCTCTCTACAATGGTTGAACTAATTTACACTCCCACCAACTCTGTATATGTGTTCCTTTTTCTCTGCAACCCCGCTAGCATCTGTTATTTTTGACTTTTTAATAATAGTCATTCTGACTGGTGCGAGGTGGCATCTCATTGTGGTCTGATTCACATTTCTCTAATTATCAGTGATGTTGAGTGTTTTTCCACATGCTTGTTGGCCACAGGTATGTCTTCATTTGAAAAGTGTGTGTTCATGTCCTTTACCCACTTTTTAGCGGGTTTTCTTCTTGTAAATTTAAATTCTTTATAGGTGCTAGATATTAGATCTTTGTCAGATGCAGTTTCCAAAACTTTTCTTCCATTCTGTAGACTGTTTACTCTGTTAATAGTTTCTTTTGCTGTGCAGAAGCTCTTTAGTCACTCTAAGCTCTTTGTCAATTTTTGCTTTTGCAATTGCTTTTGGTGTCTTCGTCATAAAATCTTTGCCCATTCCTGAGTCCAGAATGGTAGTGCCTAGGTTGTCTTCCATGGTTTTTACAGTTTTAGGTTTTAAATTAGAGACTTTAATCCATCTTGAGTTAATTTTTGTACACGGTGAAAGGAAGGCATCGTTTCAATCTTCTTCATACAGCTAGCCAGTTATCCCAGCACCATTTATTGAGGAGGGAGTCCTTTGCCCATTGCTTGTTTTTGTCAGCTTTGTTGAAGGTCAGATGGTTGTAGGTGTGCCTTATTTCTGAGCTCTCCATTCCATTGGTCTATATGTCTATTTTTGTCCCAGTACCATGCTGTTTTGTTTCCGGTAGCCCTTTGTAGTACAGTTTGAAGTCTGGTAGATGCCTCCAACTTTGTTGTTTTTGCTTAGGATTGCCTTGACTATTTGGGCTCTTTTTTGGTTCCATATCAATTTTTAAATATTTTTTTCTAGATCTATGAAGAATGTCATTGGTAGTTTGATAGGAATAGCACTGAATCGATAAACTGCTTTGTGTAGTATGGCCATTTTAACAAACTGATTCTTCCTATGAATGTGGAATGTTTTTCTATTAGTTTGTGTCATCTCTGATTTCTTTCAGCAGTGTTTTCTAGTTCTCCTTGTAGATATCTTTCCCCTCCCTGGTTAGCTGTATTCCTAGGTATTTTATTCCTTTTGTGATGATTGTGAATGGGATTTGTGTTCCTAATTTGGTTCTTGGCTTCTTGACTGTTGGTGTATTGGAATGCTAGTGATTTCTGTATGTTGGTTTTATATCCCGAGACTTTGCTGATGTCATCAGCTTAAGCAGCTTTTGGGCTGAGATTATGAGGTTTTCTAAATATAGTCATGTCATCTGCCAAGGACATGGACAGGGACATGGACAGGGATAGTTTGACTTCCTCTCTTCCTATTTAAATGCCCTTTATTTCTTTCCCTTGCCTGATTCCTCTGGCCAGGACTTCCAATACTATGTTGAATTAGGCAGTGATGGAGGGCATTCTTGTCTTGTGCCAGATTAAGACAAATGTTTCCAGTTTTGGCCCATGCAGTATGATGTTGGCTGTGGGTCTGTCTTATTATTTTGAGGTATATTCCTTCAATACCTCGTTTATTGAGAGTTTTTAACACGAAAGGCTGTTGAATTTTATCAAAATTCTTTTCTGCATCTATTGATATAATCATGTGGTTTTTTTAGTTGTTTATGTGACGAATCACATTTACTGATTTGCATATGTTGAACCAACCTTGTATCCCAGTGATAAAAGCCTACTAGATCATGGTGGGTAAGTTTTTTGACATGCTGCTGAATTTGGTTTGCCAGTATCCTGTTGAGGATTTTTGCATTGATATTCATCAAGCATGCTGGCCTGCAATTTTTTTTGTTGTGTCTCTGCTAGGTTTTGATATCAGGATGATACTGGCCTCACAGAATGAGTTAAGGAGGGGTCCCTCCTCCTCAATTTTTGGGAATAGTTTCAGTAGGAATAGTACCAGCTCTTCTTTGTATATCTGGTAGAATTTGGCTTTGAATCCATCTGGTCCTGGGCTTTTTTGCTCGATGGGCTATTTATTACTGATTCAACTTCAAAACTCATTACTGACCTGTTCAGAGATCCAATTTCTTCCTGGTTGAGTCTTAGGAAGGTGTACGTATCTAGGAATTTATACATTTCTTCTAGATTTTCTAGTTTCTGTACACAGAGGTGTTCATAACAGTCTGATGATTATTCCTATTTCTGTGAGGTCAGTGGTAATAGCCCTTTTGTTGTTTCTAATTGTGTTTATTTGGACCTTCTCCATTTTCTTATTAGTTTAGCAAGCAATCTATTAATTTTTTCAAAAAACCAAATCCTAAATTCACTGATGTTTTGAATGGTTTTTCGTGTCTCAATCTCCTGCCATTCAGCTTTGATTTTGGTTATTTCTTGTATGCTGCAAGTTTGGGGGTTGGTTTGCTCTTGGTTTTCTAGTTCTTTTAGTTGTGATATTAGGTTGTTAAATTGAGATCTTTTTAACTTTTTCATGTGCACACTTAGTGCTGTAAGTTTTCCTCTTTACACTGCATTAGCTGTGTTCCAGAGATTCTGGTATATTTTATCTTTGGTCTCATTAGTTTCAAAGAACTTGGTTTTTGCCTTAATTTCATGGTTTACCCAAAAGTCAGAAGAAGGTTGTTTAATTTCCATGTAATTGTATGGTTTTGAGCAATTTTCTTAGATGTGACTTCTAATTTTATTGCACTGTGGCCCAAGAGAGTGGTTGTTACGACTTCAGTTCTTTTGCATTTGCAGAGAAACATGTCGAATTGTGTGGTCAATTTCAGAGTATGTGCCATGTGGTGATGAGAAGAATGTATATTCTGTTGTTTTGGGGTAGAGAGTTCTGTAGATGTCTATTAGGTCCATCTGATCCAGTGCTGAGTTCAGGTCCTGAATATCTGTTAATTTTCTGCCTTGATGATCTTTCTAATACTGTCAGTGGGGTGTTAAGCTCTCCCACTATTATGGTGTAGAAGTCTACATCTCTTTGAAGGTCTCTGAGAACTTGCTTTATGAATCTGGGCGCTCCTGTGTTGGGTGCATATATATTTAGGATAGTTAATTCTCTTGTTGAAATGAACCCTTTACCATCATGTAATGCCCTTCTTTGTCCTTCTTCATCTTTGTTGGTTTAAATTGTTTTGTTTGAAATTTGGATTGCAACCCTTGCTTTTTTGTTTTCCATTTATTTGCTTGGTAATTTTTCTCCATCCCTCTATTTTGAGCCCATGGGTGTCACTGCATAGGAGATGCACTACACACCTTAGTTTTTTTATCCAATTTCTCACTCTGTGCCTTTTAATTGGAGCATTTAGCCTGTTTACGTTCAAGGTTAGTATTGATAAGTGTGGATTTGATACTGACATCATGATGTTACCTGGTTGTTATGCAGACTTGTGTGGCTGCTTTATAGTGTCACTGGTCTGAGTACTTCAGTGTGTTTGTGTAGTGGCTGCTAACAGTCTTTCCATACTTAGTGCTTCCTTCAGGAGCTCTTGTAAGACACGTCTGACGGTATCAAATTCCCTCAGCAATTACATGTTTGAAAAGGATCTTATTTCCCCTTTGCTATGAAGCTTAGTTTGGCTGGATAAGAAATTCTTGGTTGGAATTTTTCTTTAAGAATCTTGAATATTCACTCCCAGCCTCTTCTGGCTTGTAGAGTTTCTGCTGAGAGGTCCACCATTAGTCTGATGGGCTTCCCTTTGTAGTTCTCATGAATGAGATCCTGAAATATATTTTCCAAGTTGCTTCCATTCTCCCCAACTCTTTCAGGGACACCAATGAGTCGGGTGTCATAGATTTGGTCTCTACATAATCCCGTATTTCTTGGAGGTTTTGTTTGTTCATCTTCATTCTTTTATCCATATTCCTGCCTGATTGACTGTCTTATTTCAGAAAGCCAGTCTTCAAGCTCTGAGATTCTGTCCTCAGCTTGACCTATTCTGCTATTAATACCTGCAGCTGGCCGGGCGTGGTGGCTCACGCCTGTAGTCCCAGCACTTTGGGAGGCCAAGGTGGGTGAATCATGAAGTCAAGAGATCGAGACCAGCCTGGCCAACATGGTAAAGCCCCGTCTCTACTAAAAATACAAAAATTAGCTGGGTGTGGTGGCACAGGCCTGTAGCCCCCGCTTTTCGGGAAGCTGAGGCAGGAGAATCGTTTCAACCCAGGAGGCAAATGTTGCAGTGAGCCAAGATTGAGCCACTGCACTCCAGCCTGGCGACAGAGTGAGAGAGTCTGTCTCAAAAAAAAAAAAAAGAAAAAATGAAAAAATCTGCAGCTGCATTATGGAATTCTTGGAGCATGTTTTTCAGCTCATTCGGGTTGGTTACATTCTTTTCTATAATGGCTATTTCATCTGTCAGCTCCTGTATTATTTTATTGTGATTCTTAGCTTCCTTGGATTGGGTTTCAGTGCACTCCTGCATCTCTATGATCTTCGTTCCTATCCATTGTCTGAATTCTATTTCTGTCACTTCACCCATCTCAGCCTAGTTCAGAAACCTTGCTGGAAAGCCAGTGTGGTTGTCTGGAGAAAAGAAGGCACTCTGGCTTTTTAAGTTATCAGGATTCTTACGCTGGTTCTTTCTCAACTTTGCGGGCTGATGTTCCTTCAATCTTTGAAGATGCTGTCCTTCGAAATGGTTTTTTGTTTTTTTCCTTTCACCCTATTTGATGACCTTGAGGGTTTGATTGTGGTATATAAGGTGGGTTCAGTCAACTGGCTTCATTTCTGGAAGATTTTAGGTGGCCAAGGTTCAGCTCCTAACTCCCAGATTACATGCTCTAAATCTGGGGGACTGGTATTGGGACCCTATTTTGTTCTCTGGCTCCTCAATGTTAGGAACCCACTGCACTGGGGGTAGGAGGGTGTCAAGGTGCCCCTGGACTACTTGTCACTACACTCCAGCGGGTGGTGCCAAAGAGTTTTGTAAGGCAGTGGCAGTGGGATCTACCCTCATTCCCATGTGCCAGTGGCAGCACAGAGGGGTGCACACTTGTCAGCTGTGGCAGTGTGCTAGCAGATGCCAGAGTGTCAGCCTCAGTGTGGGCGTTTGTAGCAGTGGTACAGGCAGCATGGCTTAAGCGGGCCCCACTGGCAACTATGCATGTGGTCACACTGGTGGTGGTGTTAGCCGGGTAGTGCTGGTAAGGGCAAATCTGTGTGCACCCTCTGTGCACATTTACACAGGTGGGGATGGCCACTCAGGGAGGGGGAGGGTTCATTGTTCTCTGTGCCTAGTTTCACTCCAGCAGCAATGTTGGCAAGGGGGTGGGGCACTGGCGGGGTGGGGCACTGGCAGGGCAGGGCTGAAAGGCTCTGTGCCTGCCAAGACTCTGACTGCAATTACAGTACAACCAGGGGAAGGGAGGCAGAGTGCACTCACACTGGCAGCAGTGGCACAGGGTAATGTGCACGTGCACACGTGCTGGCGAGGCGAGGGAAAGCAAGATCTGCCTGTGCACACACACCGGCAAAGTGATGTGTGTTGGGGGGGCCGGGGCAGTGGTCTGTGGGCAGGGAGGGGTTGGGGTGTAAGCTGCAATAGGGGAAGGGAGCAGGCAGGCAGGCTGGTGCATATCCACCGGGGCTGTTTTGTTTTTTTTGTTGTTTTTGTTGTTGTTGTTTTTTTTGAGACAGAGTTTCACTCTTGTTGCCCAGGCTGGAGTGCAATGGTGCAATCTCAGCTCACCACAACCTCCGCCTCCCAGGTTCAAGCGATTCTCCTGCCTCAGCCTCCCAAGTAGCTGGGGTTACAGGCATGCACCACACACCCAGCTAATTTTGTATTTTTAGTACAGACGGGATTTCTTCATGTTGGTCAGGTTGGTGTCAAACTCCCGACCTCAGGTGATCCACCTGCCTCGGCCTCCCAAAGTGTTGGGATTACAGGCATGAGCCACCGCCCCGGCCCACAGGAGCTATTCTACTGCAGCTCTCTGCCATTCAAGTGTGGTCAGGTCAGCCAGCCCAGGAGCTATGATGCAGGTCCCCAGGGTACCCAAGGCTTCACTGCAAGCAGGCGCAACCAGGCTGGGTCCCCAGAAGAGGCCAGCAGACCAAAGCATGCTCAGGTTGATGGGCAAGACTGCCCTGCAGAGTTCAGGTCTGACTTTCTCTAGGGCTAAAGTCTCCTATGGGAGCAAGTCAAGCCTAGGGAGATGGGCATCCCTGGCCATGCTCCACTATAGACACTCCTGCACCAAACCCTCTGGGCTCTGCACTGACTGGAGTGCTGCCTCTACCACTTTTCAAGTGTGCTTGAGAATCAAGCAGCTCTCCCTGCCAACTCGAGTGTCCATGAAGTTTGAGGGATCTCCTCCTGCCAGGATTCCAGAGGCCTGTGGTGAGAGCATACCGTTCCTTGCCAGTTCAACTCACCCGTTTCCCTGGAGTCACTGGGCACCAGGAACAAGTCCTGGTGCATAGTAGCCTTGTGCAGGGTTCCCAGGTTCCTCCCACTTCATCCCAACATCTGTGTCTTCCCTCTGTCTACTCTCAGTGCCTTCCCTCTGAAGATCTGTTAGGAGTGTGCCAGTTGTCCCAGTCCCTCAGTGGCAGCCATTCCACCTGGCTGTGTCTAGTCAGCCATCTTGCCCACCTTCCTCCTTTCTTTCTCATATTTTTTTTCCACTATGCCTTTCTCCAGAGAAAATTTACCTTCTATTCTTTTCTGCTGTTTGGGTTTATACTACTGTCGTTATGTACTGAACTGTGCTGTTCTCCCAAAATTTGTATGTTAAAGCCCCAATCTGCAATGTGAGTGTATTTGGAGACAGGACCTTTAAAGAAGTAATGAAGGTTAAATGAGGTCATAAGGAAAGGTCCTACTTCAATAGGATGGGTGTCCTTGTAAGAAGAGATGTCAGGGATGTGTGCACTACAAAAAAAGGTCATGGAAGGATACGGCAAACAGCAGCTACCAGCAAGCCAAAAAAAGAGGCTCCAGGAGAAACTAAACCTGACAACACCTTGATCTTGGACTTCTAGTCACCAGGAGTGTAGGAAAATAAATTTTTGTTTTTTAAGCCACTCAATCTGTGGTATTTTGTTATGGCAGCCCCAGCAAATTAATACAACTGTACAGCAGTCTTTGGCACACAATTATTAATATGTTCAACTTGATACTGTTTTATAATAAACTCTATAGAATACTAACTAGTTTTCTGTCATTGCCCAAAAAGTGCAATGCCCTCTGGGCCTACTGTCATAGGTCAATGCCTTCTGTGCCTACTTTGCCTTTCTTTTTCCAATAGTGCTTCAAATATTCTATAGAGTTCCTTTCTCTTCCATCTCCTCTACTGTGATCATCTCTGATCTCTGCTCTTAGTATTTACCATTGTCAGAGGTCTACTTTCCAACACATTATCAAATTTATAATCTAACACATTTGCCACTTACTACTGTGACATATACACCCTCACCTCCCTTGACTCACTCCTTTAGCAGCTGCTTCATGTATACTTCTCAGCCTTGCTAATACTGACATTAGGCATTTAGAACCAACAACCAAAAAGAGCTCTACCAGTCAGTAAAAAATATATATATGTATATGCTAGTTTCTGCTGATTATCTTATTGCTCTTACCAGTAGTATTTTGTTCTGACTGACAGAGACGTTCCCTGAGTTTGGAAAACTCAAATGTTACTCCAGAACTTAAAAAAACTGCTCTTCAAATACTATCTAAATACAGTCCAGCTAACCCACCATCAACAAAATATATGCCAGGGTTGATTTTTCTACTTACATGTATGTCTATGCTCATTTATCCACAGTCATCCAGTCTCCCTTCTCTGGTCAATGATGTACACTTTTGCAGAATAAAACATTCCAAAGGCAAGAGTATGATCAGAAAACAGAGTATCCCTTATGAACTCAATCAAGAATAAATTCTGAAATCTTGTTCTCCCTGGAATGGGACACTGCACAACTAAGTTAACACTTCAAAATACTCATCAAATGTTGTCTTATTACCTCAAGAGTCAAAACAATGTAGAAAAATAATGGTTTTTGTTTTTGTTTTTGTTTTGAGACAGGGTCTCACTCTGTTACCCAGACTACAGTGCAATGTCTTGATCACAGCTCACCACAGCCTCAACCTCCTGGGCTCAAGCAATCCTTCCACCTCAGCCACCCCAATAGCTAGGACTATAGGCACACAGCACCACACCTGGCTAATTTTTTAATTTTTTTGTAGAGACAGTTTCACTATGTTGCCCAGGCTGGTCTTGAACTCCTGAGCTCAAGTGATCCTCCCACCTCAGCCTCCCAAAGTGCTAGGACTGCAGGCATCAGCCACTGTGCCCGGCAGGATGGGTCATTTTTATTCCTTCAAGAACCGTATGAGCTGGGCCACAGAGGCTCACACCTATAATCCCAGCACTCTGGGAAAGGAAGGGAGGAGGATCACTTGAGGCCAGGAGTTCGAGACCAGTCTGGGCAACATAGTGAGACTTCGTCTCTACAAAAAATTTTAAAAATTAGCTGGGTGTGGTGACATACTGCTGTGGTCCCAGTTACTCAGGAGGCTGAGGTGAGAGGAAAGCTCGAGCCCCAAAAGTAAAGGCTACAGTGAGCCATGATCTCACTACTGCACTCTAGCTTGGACAACAGTGTGAGACCCTCCTCAAAAACAAAAGCAAAAAAAACACCAACTTATCAACAGCAATGTTGTCATACCACTTACTAAAAAGTTCAAACTTAAAAGTTTCTCTGGGTTTTGGTCCTTTTTAAGAGGTGTCATATTCATTCTGTATCAAAAACTGTATTGTGCCAATGGCTTCGAGTGGGATATTAAACAATCTCACCTCTATTTTGTTAAGCTGTGAGATAACAATGCTATATTAATAACTTATTAAGACTAAGTATACAGGAATTGAAATTACTTTTATGTAAAATAAAAGTGCAAGTTAATCACTATGTACTGCATGGTCATTAGAATTAGATAGGTAGCAAGTCATAAATTACTACTTATTAGCCCACTGGTAAAATTACAGCTGTTCTGAAGTTTTAGAGAAATCCTAAATATTCAAGTTTTCCAATGAACTGGAATTTCAGCTCTTTAAGCTTCTCTAAGCTTTAGAAGTTCTTCTTTTAATACTCTGGATTAATTATTTCTATAATATACTAACTTTATATCTTTTTAAACAAAGTATATTAAATATACCATGCATTTCTTAAAAATTTAGAATTGCATAACAAATGTTAATTTTGATATGATACAGTTAATATTTATTAGAAACTACTGATATAAACAAGGTTGGCTGTCCCTGTCAATATTCCCAGATTGCTTTATAGACAAGTGCTTCATCCTATCAGCCTAACAACCTATAAATGTCCCTGTTCTCATTTACTGTTTCTATACTACGTAACCTTAGAAACCAAATTCTTACTTAAATTACCTGAAATAAAACTAGCCCCTAAATAAAAGCCTAGGGGACTCTCATATAAGTATAGAAATGTTAAACATATTTTCATAATCTCCATTAACCATTTAAAGACTCTGGGGTTTTTTGCAATATAATCTGAAAATAAACATGGGCTTTGTAGTCAGTCACACAGTGAGGGGTTCAGATCCTACCATTACACTTACTAGCTGTGAAATCTTGGAAAGATAATAAACCACCTTCCCTAAATGTTTATATTCTTTTTTAAAAAAACTCCATCACCTAGTTCATCATTGCTGTGAGATTAAGTGTGATACTGTATATAAATAAACAATGATTGGGTGCTGGGCGCAGTGGCTCACACCTGTAATCCCAGCACTTTGGGAGGCTGAGGTGGGAAAACCACTTGAGCCCACGAGTTCAAGAACAGCTTCAGCAAAAAAAAAATAAATAAATAAAAAATAAAAAAATAAAAAAGCAACACCTCATCTCCACAAAAAAAATTTAAAAATCTACCCAGGCATGGTGGCTCATACCTGTAGTCCTAGCTACTTGGCAGGCTGAGGCAGGAGGATCACTGGACCCCAGGAGTTCAAGGCTGCAGTAAGCTATGACTTCACCACTGCACCACAGCCTGCATAACAGAGTAAGATCTGTCTCAAAAAAAAAAAAAAGTCAACTTTCATACCTATTTTAATCATTGATACAAATAGTTAATATAACAAATTTACTGAATTTTACAAACAAAATTCACCATTTCTTTTTCGTTTTTATTTCTTGATATCCATATGGGGTGTTAGCTTTCTATACCAAATAGCTTTTAACCACTTTATTCTTTTCTTGTTTTTCTTTTCTTTCTTTTCTTGTCCTCTGTGACTGAGACATTTCCACATGGCTAAAACAGTAGAAATCCTTAAGACTACAGTCATATATGGGAAAGAATACGCAAGCCTAACTGCTCACACTCCTAGATCATAAATAAGCTTCTGAAAGTCAAACTCTGCTATTTACTAGTAATACAACTTTACCTGAACTACTCTCTCTCTCTGAGCCTTAATTTCTTCATATTCAAAAAAGAATGGAGATATCCATCTCCAATAACATGGCCAATTACACAGAACACAACTACAACTAAGATTTTTAAAACTAAATACATCAGAAAATATATATTCTTTTTTTCTTTTTTTTTTTTTTGAGACAGAGTTTCACTCTCTTGCCCAGGATGGAGTGCAGTGGCGCGATCTCGGCTCACTGCAAGCTCCGCCTCCCAGGTTCACACCATTCTCCCTGCCTCAGCCTCCCGAGTAGCTGGGACTACAGGTGCCCGCCACCACGCCCAGCTAATTTTTTGTATTTTTTTAGTAGAGACGGGGTTTCACTGTGTTAGCCACGATGATCTCGATCTCCTGACCTTGTGATCCACCCACCTTGGCCTCCCAAAGTGCTGGGATTACAGGTGTTAGCCATCGCGCCCGGCGAAAAATATATATTCTTAAAAGCCTCAAAGAGCTAATGTTAAAGAATTATAAGCCCAAAACATAAGATAGGGCAGGAATTCAGAGAGATAAGCAGAGCACTGAAGCCAGGTTAGCTACTGACAGAAGCCAAACTCAGGCTTTGGTTTTCATAGTCTCATAATGATAGAAGCCAAGCCCATGACCCAGCCTTAGTGGTGAGTCTGATAAGACACCCCTATACCATATGGCTGGAACCAGTAAAATGAACAAAAGTAAACCTGTCCTATTCTAACCTAATCCCCTAAGAACTTCAAAGAAAGCTGCTTTGGCACTGAGCAGAAAAGAATGATGGGAGAAAGGAGAGTTCCTGACAAGTTATTAACAGGAAACAGCAAACTTTTTCTGTAAAGGGCCAGAGGTATAAATATTTTAGGCCTTAGCTGAGTGTGGTGCCTGCCTGTAGTCCCAGCTACTCCGGAGGCTGAGGCAGCAGGATCCCTTGAGCCCAGGGGTTTAAGACTGCAGTAAGCTATGACTTCACCACTGCACGACCACTGCCCACCATCCTGGGCAACAGAGGGAGACTGTCTCTAAAAAATAAATAAATAAATAAATATTTTAGGCTTTGAAGGCAATATGATCTCTGTTGTAACCAATCAGCTCTGCTGTTGTAGCATGAAAACAGCCACAGACAATACATAAACCAGTGAGCATGGATGTATTCAATAAAGATTTATAGGCACTTAAGTTTGAATTTCATATGATTTTCATGTCACAAATTATTTTTTTCCAACCATTTAAAAATGTAAAAAAAACTCTACTAGCTTGCAGCCCAAACAAAACAGGTGGCACAAGCCAGTTTCCATTTACTTGTAACAACAAGACACACACCACCACTTCAGCCACCACCTTACTTACACACACACACACACACACACACACACACACAGAGATTTGAGGCTCTAATTCCCATCACCTAGATGAAGTAAAAAACATCAGGCCATAAACATTTAGAAAATACATGTGCAAAACCCACCAAGTACTGTCCCAGGAAAAATTAACAAGAAAAAAAGCACCACAAATGAAAAGCAAGCAAGCAAAGAATACCAACACACATGCAAAAATTTCAGATATTAGAAAAGATCACATAGAGAATATAAAATAACTGCTTTCTAAAGTTTAAAGCAACAAACAAGCTTGAAAGGGTCGTATATATGAGAGGGGAAAGAATCATTAAAAAATGACTTAGCAAGCTAGGTGTGGTGGCTCATGCCTGTAATTTCAGCACTTTGGGAGGTTATGGTGGGCTGATCACTTGAGCCCAGGAGTTCAACACCAGCCTGGGCAACATAGTGAGACCCTGTCTCTACAAAAAATAAAATAAAATAAAAAATAGCTGGGTGTGGTGGCCTGCACCTATCGTCCCTGCTACTCAAGAGGCTGAGGCAAGAGGATCACCTGAGCCCAAGGGAAAGAGGCTGCAGTGAGCCGAGATCACACCACTGCACTCCGCCCTGGGCAACAGAGAAAAAATGACTTAGCAAATATAAAGAATTAAAATAATTTCTAAAATTGTAAAACACAAGGAACTGAAATTAAAAATCAAATCAGGCCAGGCACAGTGGCTCAAGCCTGTAATCCCAACATTTTGGGAGGCTGAGATGGGTGGATCACTTGAGGTTAGGAGTTCAAGACCAGCCTGGCCAACTTGGTGAAACCCCGTCTCTACTAAAAATAGAAAAATTAGCTGGGCATGACAGCAGGCACCTCTAATCCCAGCTACTTGGGAGGCTAAGGCACAAGAACCACTTGAAGCCAGGAGGCGGAGGTTGCAGTGAGCCGAGACTGTGCCACTGCACTCCAGCCTGGGCAACAGAGTGAGACTCCATCTCAAAAAAATTAAATAAAAAAAACCACACAAATAAAAAATAAAATAAAATCATTGAAAAGTAGTGAACTTAAAACATACATCTGAAGAAATCACCCACAGTAAAAGAAGAAAAATACACACCCAAAAAAAGAAGAAAAACACAAAAATACAAAAAAAGGTTAAAAAAACATATAAGAAAGCCAGACACGGTGGCTCGTAGCTATAATCCCAGGAACTTGAGAGGCTGAGGTGGGAGGATCACTTCAGCCCAGGAGTTCAAGGCTGCAGTGAGCTATGATCACACCACTGCACTCCAGCTGGGAAACAGAGCAAGAACTTGTCAAAAGAAGAAAGAAGAAAGAGGAAGGAGGAAGAAGAAAGAAGGAAGAGGAGGAGGAGGAGGAGGAATAAAAGAAAAAATACATAAGAGTAAGAAAATCTAACATATATAGACATACCTCATTTTATCGCACTTTGCTTTATTGCACTTCACAGATAGTGATTTTTTAACAAATTAAAGGTTTGTGGCAACCCTGTGTCAAGTAAGTCAACAGGTGCCATCTTCTAACAGCATGTGCTCACTTCGTGTCTCTGTGTCAAATTTTGGTAATTCTTGCAGTATTTCAAGCTTTTTTAAACTTTTTTATGTATTTATTTATTTTTAGAGACAGGATCTCGCTCTGTCACCCAGGTTGCAGTGCAGCAGCATGACCATCATAGCTCACTGCAGCCTCATATTCCTGTGCTCCAGCAATCCTCCTGCCTCAGCCTCCCAAGTAGCTAGCACTACAAGTGCATGCCACCCTGCCCAGCTTATTTTTTAAGTTTTTGTACAGATGAGGTCTTGTTATGTTGCTGAGTCTAGTCTCAAACTCCTGGCCTTAAAGCAAACCTCTCACCTCAGCCTTCTAAAGCACCTGTATTACAGGTGTAAGCCGCCACACCTAGCTTCAAACTTTTTTATTATTATATCTGTTATGGTGATCTGTGATCAGTGATCTTTGATGTTACTGTAATTGTTCTGAGGCACCAAAAATCATGACCATATAAGACAGTGAACTTAATCAATCAATGTTATGTGTGTTCTGACTGCTCCATCGACCAGCTGTTCCCTGACTCTTTCTTCTCGTTGGGCCTCACTATTGCCTGAAACACACAATATTGAAATTAGGCCAATTAATAACCCTACAATGGCCTCTCAGTATTCAAATGAAAGGAAGAGTCAAATGTCTCTCACTTTAAATCAAAACCTAGAATGATTAGGCTTAGTGAGAAAGGCATGCTGAAAACCTAGACAGGCCAAAAGCTAGACCTCTTGTGCAAAACAGTTTGCCAAGTTGTGAATGCAAAGGAAAACTTGAAGGAAATTAAAAGTGCTACTCCAGCGAACACACAAATAAGATAGCAAAACCACCTTACTACTGATATGGAGAAAGTTTTAGTGGTCTGGAAAGAAGATCAAATTAGCCACAACATTCCCTTATGCCAAAGCCTAATCTGGAGCAAGTCTCTACCTCTCTTCACTTCTATGAAGGCTGAGAGAGGTGAGAAAGTTATAGAAGAAAAGTTGGACACTAGCAGTGTTGATGCATGAGATTTAAGGAAAGAAGCCGCCTCCACAACATAAAAGTGCAAGGTAAAGCAGCAAGTGGTGGCATAGTAGCTGGAGCAAGTTATCCAGAAGATCCAGCTAAGATAATTGATGAAGGTGGCTACACTAAACAACAGATTTTTAATGTGACAAAACGGCCTTGTGTTGGAAAAATATGTCATCTAGGACTTTCATAATTAGAAGTGAATGCCTGGCTTCAAAGCCTCAAAGAACAGGCTGCCTCTCCTGCTAGGGGCTAAGGCAGCTAATGACTAAGCTGAAACCAATGCTCATTGACCATTCTGAAAATCCTAGGGCTCTTGAGAATTAACGCTAAATCAAGGCCAGATGTGGTGGCTCACGCCTGTAATCCCAGCACTTTGGGAGGCTGAGGCAAGCGGATCATCTGAGGTCAGGAGTTCAAGACCAGCCTGGCCAACATGGTGAAACCTCGTCTTTATAAAAAATACAAAAATTAAGGTGGGTAGATCACCTGAGGTCAAGAGTTTGAGACCAACCTGGCCAACTTGGAAAAACCCCATCTCTACTAAAAATATTAGCTGGGCATGGTGGTGGGAGCCTGTAATCCCAGCTACTTGAGAGGCTAAGGCAGGAGAATCATTTGAACCCAGGAGGCAGAGGTTGCAGTGAGCCAAGATCACGCCACTATACTCTCCAGCCTGAGTGACAGAGCGAGACTGTCTCAAAAAAAAAAAAAAAAGAAAAAAAAAAATTAGCTGGGCATGGTGGTGCAGGCCTGTAGTCCCAGATACTCAGGAGGTTGAGGTGGGAGAATCACCTGAACCCAGGAGGCAGAGGCTGTAGTTAGTTGAGATCACACCACCGCACTCCGGCCTGGGCAACAGTGAGATCCTGTCTCAGGGAACAACAACAACAAAATTACACTAAATCTACTTTGCCTTTGCTCTCTAAATGGAAAAACAAAGCCTGAATGACAACACATCTGTTGACAGTAAGGTTTACTGAATGTTTTAAGCCCACCGTTGAGACCTACTGCTCAGAAAAATAAGATTCCTTCAAAATACTACTGCTTATTGACAATGCACCTAGTTACCCAAGGGCTCTGTTAAAGATGTACAAGGAGATTAATGTTTTCCCACCTGCTAACACAACATCCACTCTGCAGCCCATGGATCAAGGAGTAATTTTAACTTTCAAGTCTTATTATTTAAAATATTTCATGAGGCTTTAGCTGCCATAGACAGTGATTCCCCTTATGGATCTGGGCAAGGTAAACGTAAAACCTTCTGTAAAGAATTCACCTTTCTGGGTGCCATTAAGAACATTCATGACTCGTGGGAAGAGGTCAACATAACATTAACAGGAGTTTGGAAGAGGTTGTTCCCAAGCCTCATGGATGACTTTGATGGCTTCAAGACTTCAGTGGAAGAAGGAATTGCAGATGTGGTGGAAACAAAGATAATTAGAATTTAAAATGGAGCCTAAAGATATGACTGAACTGCAGCAATCTCACAATAAAACATGAACAGATGATAAGCTGCTTCTTACTGATGACCAAAGAAAGTGGTTTCTTGAGATAGAATCTACTCCTTGAGAAGATGCTGAGAACACTGTTGAAATGACAACGAAGTATGTATAATATTACATCAACATAGTTGATAAAGCAGCTGCAGGGTTTGAGAAGACTGACTCCAATTTTGAAAAAAGTTATATTGTGCATAAAATGCTATCAAATGGCACTGCATGCTACAGACAAATCTTTCATTAAAGGAACAGTCCACTGATGCAGCATACGTCATTGTCTTATTTCAAGAAATTGCCACATCCACTCCAACTTTCAGCATCCACTATCCTGATTAGTCTGCAGCCACCACCATGAAGTAAAGAACCTCCACCAGCAAAAAGATTACAATTCAATGAAGGCTCAGATGACCGATGACCGTTAGCATTTTTTTAATATTTTCTAATCAATGTGTGGATATTTTTGTAGACATGGTGCTATTATACACTTTAAATAGACTATAGTACAGTATAAACATAAGTCTTATACGCAATGGGAAAACAAAAGTTTCATGTGACTTGCTCTACTGCAATATTCACTTTATTACAATATTTGCTTTATTGCAGTGGTCTGAAACTGAACTTAAATATATCAGAAGTATGCCTGTATATAAACTGGAGATCCAGAAAAAGAAAGACTGAGATGGTGAAACAAAAATATTTAAAAACTGGGAGGCCAAGGTGGGCGGATCATGAGGTCAAGAGATCAAGACCATCCTGGCCAACATGGTGTAACCCCATGTCTCTACTAAAAATACAAAAATGAGCTGGGCATGGTGGCGTGCGCCTGTAGTCTCAGCTACTCAGGAGGCTGAGGCAGGAGAATCGCTTGAACCCAGGAGACAGAGGTTGCGGTGAGCCGAGATCACACCACTTCACTCCAGCCTGGTGACAGAGCGAGACTCCATCTCAAAAATAAATAAATAAAATAAAAATTTTTTTAAAAAAAAGAAGAAACAGAAAAAGAAAGACCACTGAAACTATAAGATCATTTCCTCTGAAAACAATTAACTAGAAATCAGTATAAAAAAGATGAGTGGGCATAACAAATGTATTTTTCAAAGATGTCCACACCAGCATATACCCCATCCCACACATACTTTTACAATGTGACTTGACACTTTTCCCTATGCTTCCTCCTCCTCAAACATGAATGGAGCTCTGTAACTCTGGATCACCAGAATGCAGAAACAAGGCTAGGTCATAAATGGCAACATGGCTTCTATCTGGTATGCTCTCTCTCTCAGGAATTCCACTGACCATGCCCTGACAACAGTTAAAGTTTCATGGAAAAACCCACATGGAAGGGAACTAACACAGAAATGCCAAGTTTAACCACTCCTGAATTCCTAACCCACCAAAACTGTAAAGGATAATAAGCCACTAAGTTTTGGGCTTAACTGGTTATGCAACAATAGATAACTAACATACTAAAAATTGTCACTTATTTGGAAATTTTTAAATATACTCCTAAATAATATATGTGACCAATAAATGAAAAATATTTTGAAATAAATAACAAAACTACATTTCAAAACTTGTGAGATGCAATTAAAGCAATACTTCATGGGAAAATGTATAACCCTAAATAAGTATAATAGGAAAAAAAATTAGAGAGCTATCTATTCAGAAGATAAAAAAGAATTGCAAAATAAACCTGAAGAAAGTAGGAAGGAAATAACAGAAGTGATCAGGTGTGTGTGGTGCCACACACCTATAGCCCCAGCTAGCCAGGGGGCTGAGGCAGGAGGGTTACTTGAGCCCAGGAGTTCGAGACCAGCCTGGGCAATATAATGAGACCACACCCCCATCTCAAAAACAAAACAAAACAAAACAAAACAAACTGCTGTGATCATATTTTGGTTAGAAAAGAAATGATAAAAACGAAGAAGTGATAAGTAGAGAGAAAACAAAATAGTAAAGGCCATCAAAGCCAGAAGTTGTATTTAAAAAAAAAAACAACTATAAATTGGCAAACCTCTGGCAAAAATAATTAAGAAATTAAAAAGAAAAAGAGGCCAGACACAGTAGCTCACACCTGTAATTCCAATACTGGGAAGCGGAGGCAGAAAGATCATTTGAGCCCAGAAGTTCGAGATCAACCCTGGCAACACAGCCAAGACCTCATCTCTACAAAAACTCAAAAAGTAGCCAGGTCCAGGCCAGGGGCAGGGCCTCACACCTGTAATCCAGCACTTTGGGAGGCTGAGGCAGACAGATCAACTGAGGCCAGAAGTTCCAGACCAGTCTGGCCTACATGGTGAAACCTCATCTCCACTAAAAAATACAAAAGTCAGCTAGGTGTAGTGGTGCACACCTGTGGTCTCAGCTACTCAGGAGGCTGAGTCACAACAATCGCTTGAACCTGGGAGGCAGAGGTTGGCAATGAGCCGAGATGCTGGGCAATAGAGCAAGACCCTGCCCCAAAAAAAAAAAAAAAAAAAAGAAAAAAAAATTAGCCAGGTCTAGTGACACACACCTGTAGTCCCAGCTACTCAGGATCCTGAGGTGGTAGAATCACTCGAGCCTGGGAGGTCAAGACTGCAGCCAGCCGTGGTCACATCACTGCACTCCAGCCTAGGCAACAGCGAGACCTTGTCTCAAAAAAAGAAAAAAAAACCAAGGCTGGGCGCGGTGGCTCATGCCTGTAATCCCAGAATTTTGGGAGGCTGAGCGGGTGGATCACCTGAAGCCAGGAGTTTGAGACCAACCTGACCAATATGGTGAAACCCTGACTCTACTAAAAACATAAAAATTGGTCGGGCATGGTGGCATGCGCCTGTAGTCCCAGCTACTCAGGAGGCTGAGACAGGAGAACTGCTTGAACCCAGGAGGCTGAGGCTGCAGTGAGCCGAGATCGAGCCACTGCACTCCAGCCCTCCAGCCTGGGTGACAGAGCAAGACTTGGTCTCAAAAAAAAAAAAAAAAAAAAAAAAGCAAAGGATCAGGAATGGAAAAAGGGATAAAAACTAACATCAGAAATAACAGATTAGGGTAATCCCAGCACTCTGGGAGGTGAGGCAGGCGGATCACCTGAGGTCAGGAGTTTGAGACCAGCCTGGGCAGTATAGCAAGACCCCATCTCTAAAAAAATAGAAAAATTAGACAGGTGTGGTGGCTTGCACCTGGAATCCCAACACTTTGGGGTGCCGAGGCGGGCGGATCACCTGACGTCCGGAGTTCAAGACCAGCCTGGCCAACATGGTGAAACCTGTCTCTACAAAAAATAGAAAAATTAGACAGGTGTGGTGGCTCACACCTGGAATCCCAGCACTTTGAGAGGCCGAGGCGTGCAGATCACTCTGAGCTATAACAGATGTGAAGACTCAGTGCTCGGTGGTGCCCAGGCTGGAGTGCAGTGGCGTGGTCTCGGCTCGCTACAACCCCGTCTGGGAAGTGAGGAGCGTCTCTGCCTGGCCACCCATCGTCTGGGATGTGGGGAGCCCCTCTGCCTGGCTGCCCAGTCTGGGAGGTGAGGAGCGTCTCCGACCGGCCGCCATCCCATCTAGGAGGTGAGGAGCGCCTCTTTCCGGCCGCCATCACATCTAGGAAGTGAGGAGCGTCTCTGCCCGGCCGCCCATCATCTGAGATGTGGGGAGCACCTCTGCCCCGCCGCCCCGTCTGGGATGTGAGGAGCACCTCTGCCCCGCCACGACCCCGTCTGGGAGGTGAGGAGCATCTCTGCCCCGCCGCCCCGTCTGAGAAGTGAGGAGACCCTCTGCCCGGCAACCACCCCGTCTGAGAAGTGAGGAGACCCTCCACCCGGCAGCTGCCCCGTCTGAGAAATGAGGAGCCTCTCCGCCCGGCAGCCACCCCGTCTGGGAAGTGAGGAGCGTCTCCGCCCGGCCAGCCGCCCCGTCCGGGAGGGAGGTGGGGGGGGTCAGCCCCCCGCCGGCCAGCCGCCCGGTCCGGGAGGGAGGTGGGGGGGGTCAGCCCCCCGCCCGGCCAGCCGCCGCGTCCCGGAGGGAGGTGGGGGGGTCAGCCCCCCGCCTGGCCAGCCGCCCCGTCCGGGAGGGAGGTAGGCGGGTCAGCCCCCCGCCCGGCCAGCCGCCCCGTCAGGGAGGGAGGTGGGGGGTTCAGCCCCCCGCCAGGCCAGCCGCCCCGTCCGGGAGGGAGGTCGGGGCATCAGCCTCCCGCCCGGCCAGCCGCCCCGTCTGGGAGGTGAGGGGTGCCTCTGCCTGGCCGCCCCTACTGGGAAGTGAGGAGCCCCTCTGCCCGGCCAGCCGCCCCGTCCGGGAGGGAGGTGGGGGGGTCAGCCCCCCGCCCGGCCAGCCGCCCCGTCAGGGAGGGAGGTGGGTTCAGCCCCCCGCCAGGCCAGCCGCCCCGTCCGGGAGGGAGGTCGGGGCGTCAGCCTCCCGCCCGGCCAGCCGCCCCATCTGGGAGGTGAGGGGCGCCTCTGCCTGGCCGCCCCTACTGGGAAGTGAGGAGCCCCTCTGCCAGGCCAGCCGCCCCGTCCGGGAGGGAGGTGGCGGGGTCAGCCCCCCGCCCGGCCAGCCGCCCCGTCCGGGAGGGAGGTGGGGGGGTCAGCCCCCCGCCCGGCCAGCCGCCCCGTCCGGGAGGTGAGGGGCGCCTCTGCCCGGCCGCCCCTACTGGGAAGTGAGGAGCCCCTCTGCCCGGCCAGCCGCCCCATCCAGGAGGGAGGTGGGGGGGTCAGGCCCCGCCCGGCCAGCCGCCCCGTCTGGGAGGGAGGTGGGGGGGGTCAGCCCCCCGCCCGGCCAGCCGCCCCGTCTGGGAGGTGAGGGGCGCCTCTGCCCGGCCGCCCCTACTGGGAAGTGAGGAGCCCCTCTGCCAGGCCAGCCGCCCCGTCCGGGAGGGAGGTGGCGGGGTCAGCCCCCCGCCCGGCCAGCCGCCCCGTCCGGGAGGGAGGTGGGGGGGTCAGCCCCCGACCGGCCAGCGGCCCCGCCCGGGAGGTGAGGGGCGCCTCTGCCCGGCCGCCCCTACTGGGAAGTGAGGAGCCCCTCTGCCCGGCCACCACCCCGTCTGGGAGGTGTGCCCAACAGCTCATTGAGAACGGGCCAGGATGACAATGGCGGCTTTGTGGAATAGAAAGGCGGGAAAGGTGGGGAAAAGATTGAGAAATCGGATGGTTGCCGTGTCTGTGTAGAAAGAAGTAGACATGGGAGACTTTTCATTTTGTTCTGTACTAAGAAAACTTCTGCCTTGGGATCCTGTTGATCTGTGACCTTACCCCCAACCCTGTGCTCTCTGAAACATGTGCTGTGTCCACTCAGGGTTAAACGGATTAAGGGCGGTGCAAGATGTGCTTTGTTAAACAGATGCTTGAAGGCAGCATGCTCGTTAAGAGTCATCACCACTCCCTAATCTCAAGTACCCAGGGACACAAATACTGCGGAAGGCCGCAGGGTCCTCTGCCTAGGAAAACCAGAGACCTTTGTTCACTTGTTTATCTGCTGACCTTCCCTCCACTATTGTCCTATGACCCTGCCAAATCCCCCTCTGTGAGAAACACCCAAGAATTATCAATAAAAAATAAATAAATTTAAAAAAAAAAAAAAAAAGAAATAACAGATTAGGTGGTTCCATGGTGTAATGGTGAGCACTCTGGACTCTGAATCCAGAAATAACAGATATATCAGAAAGCCAATCAATACAATCAACCACATCTCAAAAAAATCCAAGAAAATTCAGTAGTTATACACGTCTCTAATGGAGTCTTGGCAAAAGAAAAACAGAAGCTTCCTTGATTCGATAAAAGGTATCTACAAAGCCTACACCATGCTTAATGAGGAAAGGTTGAACATTTTTCCCTTGAGATGAGAAACAAGACAAAGATGGCCCTATAAAGTCCTATCAACATTATGCTGGAGATCTCAGGCAGCAAAGGAAAGCAGGAAAAAAATAAAAGGTATAAGGATTAGAAACAAGAGACAAAATTGTCATTATTTGCATATGACATAATTATATATATAGGAAATCCAGAAGAATCTACAGATAAATTCAAATTATATATGGTTTTTTTTGTTGTTGTTTCTTTGTTTTTTGAGATGGAATCTCACTCTGTCACCCAGGCTGGAGTGCAGTGGTGCGATCTCTGTTCACTGAACCTCCACTCCCGGGTTCAAGTGATTCTCCTCGGCTGAGGAAGGAGAATCACTTGAGCCTGGCAGGCGGAGGTTGCAGTGAGCCAAGATTGCGCCACTGCACTCCAGCCTGGGTGGCAGAGTAAGACTAAGTCTCAAGAAAAAAAAAAAGCAGCAGCAGAAGCAGAAGCAGCAGCAGAAGCAGCAGCAGCAGAAGGAGAAGCAGAGGCAGCAGCAGAAGCAGCAGCAAGCAGCAGCAGCAGAAGCAGAAGCAGCAGCAAGCAGCAGCAGCAGAAGCAGAAGCAGCAGCAAGCAGAGACAGAAGCAGCAGCAGAAGCAGAAGCAGCAGCAGCAGAAGCAGCAGCAAGCAGCAAGCAGCAGCAGAAGCAGCAGCAGCAGAAGCAGAAGCAGCAGCAGAAGAAGAAGCAGCAGCAGAAGCAGAAGCAGCGCAGAAGCAGAAGCAGTGGCAGCAGAAGCAGCAGAAGCAGTGGAAGCAGAAGCAGCAGAAGCAGTGGAAGCAGAAGCAGCAGAAGCAGTGGAAGCAGAAGCAGCAGAAGCAGTGGAAGCAGAAGAAGCAACAGAAGAAGCAGAAGAAGAAACAGAAGAAGCAGAAGTAACAGAAGAAGCAGCAGCAGAAGCAGAAGAATTTCACAAATACTGAACTAATTTTTTAGATTACATAATATACACATAGTATTATTATATGCACATGAAGTTCAAAAACAAGGAAAACTATATTGTTTAAGGATGTATAGCTAGGACTTAAAATTATGAAGCAAAGCAAAAAACAGTCACAAAGGTCAGGATAATAACTACCTCCACTGAGGGGGGATATGTTGACAAGGATGGTGAGGTTGGAGGGAAGCACTTCTGGCTTGTTGACCTGGGCAATGACAACACTAATATTCACTTTATTATTTCCCTTAAACTGAACATTTTATGCCTTCTCTTGTATACAGATGGTCCACAACTTATGACGGTTCAACTTACAGTTTTTCAACTTTAGCACAGTGCAAAATCGATATGCATTCAGTAGAAACCATACTTCAAATTTTGAATTTTTATCTTTTCCCAGGCTAGCAATATGCAGTATGATACTTTCTCATAATGCTGGGCAGCAGCAGAAAGCAGCAGCTCTCACAAGGGTAAACAACTGATCCTCAATAGTATATACTGTGTTGCCAGATGATTCTGTCCAACTGTAGGCTAATGTGTTCTGAGCGCATTTAAGGAAGGCTAAGCTAAGCTATTATATTTGGTAGGTTAGGTGTAATAAATGCATTTTCGACTTATGGTATTTTCAACTTACAATGGGTTTATCAGGATGTAACCCCACTGTAAGTAAGGAAGCATCAGTATATGAATGAAAAGGAAAAATAACAACTGCATGTAACTAGTATGGTAATTTAATATACGGTAATATAAGTCTGGTACCTAGTGTGCATTTTTTAAAAGCTACCATAATTACAAAATGTTCTGTATCCTCCCCAGTGCCTACACATCAGGAAGTTGGTCATGGTAGATGCTCAAATATTTTGATCAATAAATGAAACAACTTCCATTCTGATTAAACGAAGTAAAAGACAATTTAGATCTGAATGATTCCCTAAACCAACTGTCATTCTACAAGCCCAGAGACTGAATTCTTTATATCCCAACAGACTATTCCCTCTGCCTTTAGCATTTTCCTGATCTCTTTCTCTTCATTCATAGGATACATCTGTTCTGCCCTACTATACTGTAAGAAGCTGTACATTAAATGCTTAGAATCCTATACATAATCTGAGATTTAAGACAAAAAAAGAGAAAGAAGAAAGGTTAAAGTTAAGGGGAAATGGTACATAAGATGTACATAAGAGCAGAATTTTCAGGAAAACCCAGTGAAGATACAATGTATCCTTACATGAAAACATTCAAGACATGGGCTTTTTTTTAGTTCTAATGATTCAAGGAGTCAGGAAACAGTGAAATAAAGCAGGAAACAGTGAAATAAAGCAGGCAAATCATCTACTGTCCCTTCAGACCTAGGTACCATACCAAAATATATCTACTGTTTTTTTCCTAAAATTATCTCAACAACAACAAAACAGAACAAAGATACCTCTGAAAGCTACAAGACTCTTCTGGAAAAAATCAGCTCCTTCTCAGTCACTTGGGAAAAACACTTTTTTCTTTTTCCTTTTTTCTCTTTTAAGAGACAGGGTCTTGCTCTATTGCCCAGGCTGTTGGACTACTACCGTGGCATGATCATTATGGCTCAGTGTAACCTCGAACTCCTGGGCTCAAGTGATCCTCCCATGTCAGCCTTCCCAGTAGCTAGGACCACAGGCACACACCACAATGCTTGGCTAGTTCTTTTGTTTGTTTTGGTAGAGACAGGGTCTCATTATGTTGCCCAAGCTGGTTTCAAACTGCTGGCCTCAAGCAACCTTACTGCCTCAGCCTCCCGAAATGCTGGGAAAGCTTTTTTTTTTTTTTTTTTTTTTTTGAGACAGTTTCCCTCTTGTTGCCCAGGCTGGAGCACAATGGCATGATCTTGGCTCACCGCAACTTCCGCCTCCCAGGTTGAAGCGATTCTCCTGCCTCAGCCTCCCTAGTAGCTGGGATTACAGGCATGTGCCACCACGCCCAGCTAATTTTGTATTTTTAGTAGAGATGGGGTTTCTACATGTTGGTCAGGCTGGTCTTGAACTCTCAACCTCAGGTGATCCACCGGCCTCGGCCTCCCAAAGTGCTGGGATTACAGGCATAAGCCACCATGCCCTGCGGGGAAAGCTTTATTTTTTAATCAATTTATTCAATATGTATTACTTACACATAGTTCAAAAGATTAAACATAAATATCCTTCAGAACCAAACTCACTGAATAAAACTATGGTACATCCGTATAATAGAATATTGTGTCTCCGTAAAAAAGAATGAGAAACATCTTATATACCAATACGAAGTCCTCTCCAGCATACAGTAAGTGGAAAAAAAAGAAAAGGTACAGAACAGAATACATGGTATGCTACCTTTAGCATATGAAAAGAGAATACATATATTTTATTTTTGAAAGAAAAATATTAGGATGATTAATCAAAGACTTACAAAAATGGTTACGTATAGAGGAGTGAGAAAACAGGATGAAAAAGATGGGGATGAAAATGAGATTCCTGGCCAGGCACAATGACTCATGCCTGTAATCTCAGCACTCTGGGAGGCTGAGACAGGAGGACTGCTTGAGGCCAGGAGTTCAAAACCAGCCTGGGCAACATAGCAAGACCCCATCCCTACTAAAATAAAATGTAATTTAAAAAAATAATTAGGAAGGCACAGTGGCACGCACCTATAGTATTAGCTACTCAGAAGGCTAAGGCAGAAGGATGGCTTGAACCCAAGAGTTCAAGGCTGCAGTGATGTATGATTGTGCCACTGCACTTGCTCTATCACTCCAGCCTGGGTGACAGAGCAAGACCTCATCTCTAAAAACATTTAAGAAAATAAAAATCCTTTTTTTATATGGTTTCTCTTTCTGAACTATGTAAGTGCTTTACATATTCAAAGAATAAAATCAAGGGTTTTTTTTTATTTTTTTTTTGAAATAGGGTTTCACTCTGTCACCCAGGTTGGAGTGCAGCAGCGCAATCACAGGTCACTGCAGCCTCAACCTCCTGGGCTCAAGCAAACCTCCCACCTTAGGCTCCCAAAGTGCTGGGATTACAGGCGTGAGCCATAGCACCCAGCCAAATTAAGTCTAAAAACAGGAAAAGCAAATCCTAAAATAAAATAAGTAGACCTAACTGCATATTAAACTGGTAACAATCAAACTGAGAAAATCATTATTTCAAGTGACTTTTGAACATAGTACTACTTACAATAGGTACATTCTTAGTAGGATACAGTCTAAGGACAAAAAGAAATGCAAAGAAATTTTGAGTCTCACTGAGCAGTTTCATTTATTTTTGAAACTATTTTATAAATACTTAGAAAAAACATACATCAATGTTAATAAAAACTATGATTTTCAACGTAAAGGAGATTAAAACAAAAATAATTTAACAAACTAAAAGGAGGAGGAGGAAGAAGAGTAGGGAGAAGAGAAGGAAGAAACCCATAATGTTAAACTTGAGTAAGAATTATCAAGATGATATCATGCTTTTTACTCCCTCCTGTCAAGAGCCTCAATGACAGCCCAATAACAAGGAGCATACTTAGCACCTAAATAGTGGTTTCTAAATACAATCTCGGCAGAGTGTAGTGACTCATGCCTGTAATCCTAGCACTTTGGGAGGCTGAGGCAGGCAGATCACCTGAGGTCAGGAGTCCCAGACCAGCCTGGTCAACATGGTGAAACCCTGTCTCTACTAAAAATACAAAAATTAGCGAAGTATAGTGGCGCGCGCCTGTAATCCCAGCTACTCCAGAGGCTGAGGCAGGAGAATCACTTGAACCCCGGAGGCAGAAGTTGCAGTGAGCCAAAATCGTGCCACTGCACTCCAGCCTGGGCGACAGAGCAAGACTTTGCCCCTCCCCTCCAAAAAATATTTTTTTTAATTAAATAAATATATAAATAAATACAATCCTCCACTGTAAGAAGACAAAGCTTCTTGGAGAAATTGCTGATTCCAAGTCTAAAGCAGGAAAAGTCCATGGTGAGCCAAGATATCGTGTACCCAAAAGTAAGGAATCATTCAAAGACTAATGGGTTCAGGAAAAAATAATTCAGGAACCTGTTTGAAGAAGCTCCCACTGTCCTTATTTGAGACAATTTGAGCATCAAAAAAAAAAAAACGTCTGCAAATGACTATAATACAACAAAAGTCATGAGACCATTAAAAACCTCATTTGCTACTATTGTAGATGACTATTACACAAATCCTCACTCTAAAAATTAAGGAAAAAATTAAGCATTTACTGTTCTCTTTTAATAGGAACTGTTGTTCACTCCCAGTTGATAAAGGTTACAAAGCTCTTATTAACTGAAGAATAACTAATAAATGAAAAAGAATTACAGAATTAGAAAAATCGCCATTTTGCAATCCTTAATTAAATACCTAAGGATCAAAAAAGATGCTAAAATTATTAGAGAAAGAATACTGAGAAATGGAATATTTGTATGGTACCAAAGTATCAGTCCCACAGATTATTGTACATAACAGGAGAAAAAATTTACTTTTAAAATGGAGACATAAGCAAACACCACCTTAAACCTATCGAACTTACATCACTGATAGGAGGACAGCTGACATTATGTGCCTCCCATTAACACACAACATGATATACAACATCACCTACAGAGTGTTCTTGCCAAAACTTTTTAATATGAATCTATTCAATCCTTTACAATATAACTTCCAGTTTACAGGACATACAAGCACCAGAAGAACAAGTTAAACAATCTAAGAAACAATCAGAAAACTCTAGAAAACAGGCCATTCTACAAGATGATTGGTCTCTTCAAAGACATTTCAATGTCACAGGGAAGAGAAATGTGGGAAGGAACTTCCTACATTGAGAGACTAAAAAGAGATAATCAAATGAAATGCAAAAACTAAAAGTGAGTTCTCTTTTGAAAAAAACATTTTTCAGGACAGTTGGGAAAATTCAAATATAAATTCAATATTAAATTAGGGTATTATTTTTCCTAGGTGTTGGTAATAGCACACTGGTGATACGAAAAATATGTATTTCTTAGAAAATATATACGAAGTATTTTGCAGTAAACTTGTCATGACACATACATTTTTTTTTTTTTTTTTGAGACAGAGTTTCACTCTTGTCACCCAGGCTGGAGGGCAATGGTGCAATCTCAGCTCACCACAACCTCCACCTCCCAGGTTGAAGTGATTCTCCTGCCTCAGTCTCCCGAGTAGCTGGGATTATAAGCACCCACCACCACGCCCAGCTAATTTTTGTATTTTTAGTAAAGACAGGGTTTCACCATGTTGGCCAGGCTGGTCTCAAACTCCTGACCTCAGGTGATCCACCTGCCTCGGCTTTCCAAAGTGCTGGGGTTACAGATGTGAGTCACGGCACCCAGCCGCAACTTACTTTCAAAAGGTTCTGCAAAAATATATACAATCACAGCCGGGCGTGGTGGCTCAGGCCTGTAATCCCAGCATTCTGGGAGGCCGAGGCAGCAGGCAGATCATGAGGTCAGGAGGTCGAGACCATCCTGACTAACACCGTGAAACGCCACCTCTACTAAAAATATAAAAAATTAGCCAGGCGTGGTGGCGGGTGCCTGTAGTCCCAGCTACTCGGGAGGCTGAGGCAGGAGAATGGTGTGAACCCAGGAGGTGGAGCATGCAGTGAGCCAAGATCATGCCACTGCACTCCAGCCTGGGTGACAGAGCAAGGCTCTGTCTAAAAAAAAAAAAAAAATACACACACACAATCACACAGGGAACAATAATGCAAATATGGATGGCATAACGCTATCTTTTGAATCTAGTTGATAGACATAATTAGTGTTCTCTTCCAACTTTTCTATTTCTTTAAGATCTTAATTATAAAACAATAGGGGAGGGAAGAAAGAGAACTAAAAGAAAACAGAGTTGCAAAAGCAAAATAAGACAAAAATATTAGTCGGGTGCAGTGGTTCACGCCTGTAATCACAGCATTTTGGGAGGCCAAGGCAGGCGGATCGCTTGAGGTCAGCAGTTTGAGACCAGTCTGGCCAATATGGTGAAACCCTGTCTCTATTAAAAATACAAAAATTAGCTGAGTGTGGTGGCACACACCTGTAATCCCAGCTACTTGGGACGCTGAGGCACAAGAATCAAGAATCACTTGAACCTCGAAAGTGGAGGCTGCAGTGAGCCAAGATCGCACCACTGCACTGTAGCCTGGGCGACAGAGCAAGACTCTGTCTCACAAAAAAATAAATAAATAAATAAGGCAAAAAAAATCTAAAAATCGTTTATAAACATGTCCACACAGTCACCTAAGAACTTTCTCCCTTACATTAAAAAAAAAAAAAAAATCTAGCCAGGCAGCGTAGTGGCACACATCTGTAGTACCAGCTACTCAGGAGGTTGAAGTGGGAGGACTGCTTGAGCCCAGGAGCTTGAGTCCAGCCTGGGCAATACAGTGAGATGCTGTCTCAAGAAAAAAACAAAAAGGAAATTCCAGGCCGGGTGTGGTGGCTCACACCTGTAATCCCAGCACTTTGGGAGGCCGAGGCAGGTAGATTACCTGAGGTCAGCAGTTGAAGACCTTCCTGGCCAACATGGCAAAACCCCATCTCTACTAAAAATACAAAAATTAGCTGGGCACGGTGGCAGGCACCTGTAATCCCAGCTACTTGGGAGGCTGAGGCAGGAGAATCACTTGAACCCGGAAGCCGGAGGTTGCAGTGAGCCGAAATTGCACCACTGCACTCCAGCCTGGGAGACAGAGCAAGACTCCATCTCAAAAAAAAAAAAAAAAAAAAAAAGAAAATTCCAGAGATTACTCAGCCCACTATCATCTGATCAATAAAAATAAACAGATTTCAAACAAATACTTACACACTACAAACAGCAATAGTACTAAAATCTGTCAATTATTTAAGGAATGTTTGTCATTGACAAACAGAACACATTTTGTTATGATAACTCACACTGAATCAAATACATTCTAAAATCCATTAATCTTATATGCTAAGACATCAAGAGAAGCATTTCTTTGCAGTATTTTTTCAAAAATATTTTTTAAATGCCCCAATGCCACAAGAAATATTTTAACTGAAAAAAATCACACTTGAAAGACAACTAGTAGACAGACTGCCCTAATATCTGCTTCTTTTAGCAACAAACTTTGATTAGCCATTTATTCTAAAAGCCACACAGTGAAATTCTTAAAATTCTTGATTTCGGCCGGGCATGGTGGCTCACGCCTGTAATCCCAGCACTTTGGGAGGCCGAAGCGGGCGGATCACAAGGTCAGGAGATCGAGACCATCCTGACTAACATGGTGAAGCCCTGTCTCTACTAAAAATACAAAAAATTAGCCGGGAGTGGTGGCAGGTGCCTGTATTCCCAGCTACTCGGGAGGCTGAGGCAGGAGAATGGCGTGAACCTGGGAGGCAGAGCTTGCAGTGAGCCGAGATTGCACCCCTGCACTCCAGCCTGGGCAACAGAGCGAGACTCCATCTCAAAAAAAAAAAAAAATTATTGATTTCACATTTAAACATAACAAGAAATAGGCTGCGCACAGTGGCTCACACCTATAATCCCAGCATTTTGGGAGGCCAAGGCAGGCAGATCGCTTGAGGTCAGGAGTTCAAGACCAGCTTGGTCAATATGGTGAAATCCTGTCTCTACTAAAAATACAAAATTAGCCGGGCATGGTGGCGTGCACCTGTAGTCCCAGCTACTCGGGAGGCTGAGGCACGAGAATCACTTGAACCCAGGAGGCAGAGGTTGCAGTGAGCCGAGATTGCGCCACTGCACTCCAGCCTGGGTGACAGAGTGAGATTGTCTTAAAAAAAAAAAAAAATTAATAAATAAAACAGGAAATAGACGTATTCAAGAGGGAAAAGGAAGACTTACTGAGTACCTACTATATGCTTGGTGCTTTACATAAAAATTTTTTTAACTCCAATGATAGTCTTATGAGGCAAATATTACCCCCAATTTTTTTTTTTTTTTTGAGGCAGGGTCTCACTCTGTTGCCCAGCCTGGAGTACAATGGCATGATTACAGATCACTGCAGCCTCGACCTCCCAGGTTCAAGTGATCCTCCCACCTCAGCCTCCCAAGTAGCTAGGACCATAGGTGAATGCCACCACACTCAGCTATTTAATAATAATTTTGTCATTTTTGTAGAGACAAGGTCTCCTATGTTGCCCAGGCTGGTCTCAAACTCCTAGGCTCAACTGATCCTCCTACCTCCACCTCTGCCTCCCAATTATCCCCAATTGAGAGATGAAAATTCTGACAAGCTCTCAAACGTTAACTGACTTGCCCATAAATGACAGTTCCAAAGTTATAAGGCTAGAACTTGAATCCAGGTCTGTTAGAAATCTAGGTTTGAGAATCCATATTCTCTCCACTTAATGGATTTAAGATTCACAGATATAAAAGCCTATCTAAGGAAAAAGAATATTTAAAAGAATACAGTTATATATTCAAAGAGCTACACAATCTTACAGTTTAAGAAAAATCAAAACTGAGAAAAAGTATGCTCCAAAATTATTGCTAATTGTAAAAAAAAATAAATAAATAAAAAAAACACACACAATTTTTAGCAAGCCAGCTGTCTATGACAGGACAGCTAGTCCATTCCTCACTGTACATGTAAAATTACACTTCAGTTGCCCGCTGGATGACCCCACTGCCAAAATACGCCAGCAACATAATTCACATTAAAACCCAGAGGCCTAACACTATTTGGAAAGTGCTTTACATGTTTACTATACCTATCCCAAGCATATTTACCACTCATAATTCATAGGCCATTTTCAGCAAATATACTTTGTTCTATCATATTATTTTCTGCCACTCTAAAATCATATTAAATGTATAAAACAAAAACACCTACCTAAATATAACATCTCACAAATAAACCTTAGTAGTATTATGTTATTTTGAACTTGTCTATTGTATGAAACTATGCCATAATTGTTTCTATAACATAAATTAGGTATGTTCTTTCTACAGGATCAAAATTCCAATACCTACACTCCTTGCATGTCTAAAGATACACACAAAATAGGTACAGAAACCTATATGTTAAAGGGTTTCCCATGTAAATTAAATCCTCTATGAGCTGGATTAGTGACTAGAAGAAGGCATGAGGCAGCTTGTAGAGTTCTAGTGATATTCTATATCTTGATGTAGATGTTAGTTACACTGGTATGTTCTTAGTGAAAATTCACTGAGCTATATATTTACCAGCTGTGTACTTTTTGTATATTTTATAATTTATAAAGTCTTATATTTTTAGGCTGGGCACAGTGGCTCAGCCTGTAATCCTAGCACTTTCAAAGGCTGAGGCAGGAGGATGGCTCTAGTCCAGGAGTTTAAGACCAGCCTGGGCAACACAGTGAGACCCTATTTTTTCTGAACTTATATTTTTTAAAATGCTCAATCTAAAAACTTGTTTTACTAAAAAGCACTGATATCATCCCTCTTACCAAAGTAGTCAAACCCTAGTGAAGAAAACAGACAAGTAATTAAGCTATTTCATTAGAGGACTATGATAGAAGTAATTACTATGTGCTACAGGAGCACATAAGAATGGTACCTAACTTAATCTGAAAAGAGGTAAAGGAAATCTTCCTGAAGAATATACACCTGAACTGAATCCTAAAGGTCAGACAGAAATTAGCCAAGCAAAGAAAGGGGAAAGTGGAAATCAGGGAAATAGAACATCAAATGTAAAAGACGAGAGAGAAAGCACATTACCTGAGAGGAAGCCTAAAGTCAGTAAGAGTGGATTAAAGTATGTAAGGAAGACAGCAAGTGAAGAAAAGCTAGAGAATTAAGAGTTAGATCATGAATGATCTCATACACATGCCATGCTACAGTTTAAACTCTATCCTGAAAGCAATGAGACAGCTTTTTTGAAGATTATTCAATAGGAAAGGACATGATTTGATTTTTATCTGTACTATACATGTCAAAATTATGGTGTGGGCCATGCTCACAACCCCATTTTGCGGTAAATTAGCCTGCACACTGTCCCATACTTTCCACCATTAAGATCTTTCCTGATACCCATATATACATACAAACACACAGCCAACAATAAATGGCCAAGAGTGGTGACATAACCTAAGTACACAGACTTGTTAGCAATCAATGAGAAAAAGAGCTGAGCCAAATCTGGAATTCAAACCAGAAAATCCTAGGGAAAAGGAAGAGGTTAGCAACAGGAGCTAACCTCTTTTAAAACGTTTTAAAACAATTGCAGCCAGGAGGCAAGATGTTGGCATGGGGGTCACATAGTAGTTATAAGGAGCAGAAATTAGTAATAAATGGAAGCTATGACATAGGGGGAAAAAAACTGAAGAAAGAAACGGTATCTAGGACAAGCTAACAATGGAGCACTGGAGTGGGGTCTCCAGCTTTATTAGGTTCTTGTTCTTCTTGAGAGCAAGTTTTATTAGGTTCTTTTTCTTCTTGAGAGCAAGTTAACTTTTCCTGGGTTCCCTTGTGTATGGTTCCTTTCAATAAGCACTTCATTACTTAAGGTAACTTGAGTCTCTTCCCTCCAAGTGAAAGAGCCTGACTAAAAGAGCATTTTAGAATACTTACTCCAACAGCAGTCAAGAGAATGAACAGGAGGGCATGACAAGAGGCAGAAGACAGAAGGCAAGAAGACCACTCAGCATTACAGAAGCCCAACAAACAGATATTTTCAGTTAAAATAAGATAGAGGCAACAAAAAGTAATAAGGAATGACCTGAAATATCATGAGGGAAAATGTACAAGGCAGTGACAGACTGGATGTTGGCAGTGAAGTACAGAGTGAAGCGGAGGGCAATTCCCAGGTTCCTGAAGGTTTCATGAGGAAAGAGTGGTGCCATTAATCAAGGTAGGAAATCGGGGGGAAGAAAAAATTTTGTTGCAGTTTCTGTCTCCGGCTCTCTCTCCACTGTTTTTGTGGGGGGAAAAGAGGCAGGAAGAGTTTTGTTTCCTAAATGTTTGGATTGAAGTGTTTGTGAAATGTGAATCAAAGTGGTGATATCCATTAGGCAGTGCTTTTACAGGGGTCTAGAGCAAAGGCAAGCACTCTAGACAGCAGTTCTAGACTTAGGAATCAATACATTAAGTCAATATTGTGGTTTTTAAAATGTCTGAAAAGTCTTTGACTAATATTTATTTCAAACTGAGTTAACATAACCAAAAATCACTCCAACTAAAAACCTTAATATTCTTGGCAAATCATATTTTCAAACCTCCTACATTTCTCTGCTATTAAAGACTGAACAAACTTCCACATAGTATAATCCAAATGATTAGGAAAGATGGAGTTTATATCGCTAACTTCTATTGAGGTACTTGTTAAAAAAAATCTAAGTTTACCCAATTTCCCTCAGGAACTATATACTACTAAAATAACTAAGGGAAAACAACTGTTAAAAATTCATATATTAGATAGTGAATCTCACTGTTAATGCTTAAACTAGAATAAGTTTTTTAAAGGCACTTAATCATGTAATTTACTAATTTAAATATTCAACTCTACCTGTAATTTAAATGTTGGGTTTCCATCCTAAAACCTTTTCTCCTCCCTTCTGTATGATTTTGCCTCCAAAATCTACTGCTATCAACCCAGAACCTGATACTGAGCTTCAGCCACAAATCCAAATGCCTAATGGTCATCTACATCTGACAGAACTACAGTCACCTAAACTGAACATGTCACAAATTAACCCCTCTATCCTTCCTCCTTGACAAAATAAAAACAAAATCCCACTCCTTCATGGGAATCCCCACCTCAGTGAAAGGCACAAGCCAGAAACCTAGATTTTATCCTGTATGCAACTTCTCCCCAACCCCAAATACAATAAAATCACCAACTCAACTCCGAATATCCAAGTTCAGATCCAGTCTCACCATTTGCCTGGATAACCCTAATATTCCTGGCCTTTAGTCTTATTCTACTCTTCAATTCACTGCAGCCAGAATGACTTTTTTAAAATGCAAATCTGATCATTCCAGTCCCCTGCTTTAAAATCCTTCAATAATTTAATAAATATTATAATCATCATCACAGCTAGTCACACTGTGGAAGCTCAGAGGTTCAATGAGAAATTTAGTTACATCCTTTCTGTAGGTTCAACATAAAAGAATCATCAGGAATTTTTTTCAACTCACAAAATTATTTAAACATACATATAACATCAGACACATTTAAAAGAAAAGCATGTAACATTGTTGGTAAAAGCAAAACACCAAAAATAACCTCCAGTCCACAAAAATGGAATACTATCCAGCCAGTAAATGAGGCACTTCCATATGTATTGTTAAGAAATGACCTCTAGGATGTAGTATTAAGTAAAAAAAACAGGCTATGTATAGAATGTAAAGTATGCAACCATTTGTGTACAGTGTCTTAAAAATATAAATGTGTAGGTTTATATATTGGAAATATCACAGAAAGGATACACATGAAGCTGGAAATAGTGGTTGCCTCTAAAGAGGAAAAATGGGTGGCTGGAGAGTGAAGGCGGAACAGAAATTTTTACTACATTACTCTTCCGAAACTTTTGGCTTTTACGTCTAGTTATTATCTATAATTTTAATGTGATTTTCTCCTGTTACTTTAACATTTTTTACTGTGTGTGTGTGTATGACTACAAAGACCTCTTTATATTTCATCTTTATACCAATATTAAAATTACGTACTGATCATTTGATGCAACATTACATTTCTTTCTTGACAACTCAGGAGCTCAACTTCTACAAACATTTTATTCAACATTTTACTGCTATTGAGAAGGCTGTTGTTGGTAATGACCTCAGTGAACACTGCATGATTTCTGTACTTGCTTCTTGGAGAAGCAAGACAGCAGCACCAGGCAACAGAAGTTTATTATTAAACCGACATCGAAGCATTCAGGGATTAAGGAATGCTACAAATCTTATTTTTCTAGCAAATCCAAAAAACAGTGAATCCAAAAAAAGTCCCCTAGTATCCTTTAAAAATAAAAATAAGAAACAGTTCTAGTATCTGCAGCAATCGACAAGGAGGTGAAGTAATACTACAAGACGACATAGTTATATCCACTAGTGCAACGTGATTTAATCCTTACAGAGGTCCCTAAAACATCAGTGCTGGACAACCTCACACGTTCTACACAGAACAGACAAGACGAGGTGCAGGCTCTGTGACCTTATAATGGCACACACACAACTGGCCTCATGCTTCCATAACTTCACTCTGCCTCCCACTTTTTTCAGCCCAACCCCTCCAAACATGGGTCTCGGTCGGTCCCCTTAAGCCACAATGGAGGGAATACATTAGGCTAAGCAAATATTCCCTCAGGATTTCATGGCAAAGCCCTTTCAACCAAAGAAAGGATCGCGACTAAGGAGAAAGATAACAAGGTTTGCTTGAGGAGAGGTCTGTTGAGAGAGGCTACAGTCGGTGGTGGGAGAGAAGCCAAAGTCTGTGACGGTGTCTAGAGGGACTGACACCACATCTACCGGGAGTAAGAACACCATGACAGCGGCTATCTGAAAGCCGTGATGGCTAGGGTTAGTGCTAGTCGGCTTGGTGATGAGCGAGCTGGGAGGGGTTCTACTAAGAAGAGTAGGGCGAGGGGCACATGGGGGACGCAATGGGTTAGGGGGCGGTCGAGACTTTGCCTGAGAACTGTAATCACGTCAGCCCAAGGGAGGATGTAACGTAGTCTAGAAGCTCCATTAAGAGTCCTAAGGGACTCTGAGGGGTACTAATGGGGTCTGCTGGGTTGGGGGGACCGTGACAGAATCTCCGGGGAGGCTGGAGGGCCGGAATGGTGCCCGGCCAATGGAAGATACAGGGGGTGGGGTCTACTGGGGATCCGGGGCCGTGATCTGGTGTTTGGGAGGCTCGGCGCAGACCCGCTCGCGGGGCGTCTCCGCTGGGACGGGGCGGGGCGGCCCGACCGGAGCCAAATAGCGAGGCTGAGACGTGGGCCAGGACGGGCTGCAGGGCCGCTGGGCGCTTGGGCGGGTCTTACCTCGGGCTCCGCCGCGGTGGCCACCGCAGCCCCCTCCTCTTCGACGGAAGCTGCCTTCCACCCTCCGCCCCAGGGTAGGACCGGAGATGGCAGAAGAGGCCGAGGCCACCGAGGGTCGGACGGTTCCGGGAGGGTGGGCCCAGCAGCCTCAGGGTCCGGGCGAGCGGCCGCGGCGCATCCCCCGCCCTGTCAGAGAGACTCCGCCCGGCCTGAGCAGGCACATCCCCCGCCGCACCCCGCCCAGAGAGCACGCGTTGGACCGCCGCCTCAACCGCTGCCAGCGGCCGCCTCTGCCGGTGCAACTACTGCCTCCGCCGCCGCCTCTCGCAGTCCGGGCTGTCCTGTACTCTCTCAACAGACACAGCCAACCGCCGCCGCGTCCCTTATCCGCTTCGGTCGCGCGCCCCCGACCCCGCGCACGCGGCCCCGCCCCGCGCGACTCCCCGGCTGCAGGCGAGCAGGCGCGCGCGCACTTACCTCCCACGCCCCCTACTGCCAGCACGGGTCGGCCCCGCCCTGTCCCGCCCCCGCACGTGACGCCACTGGAGAGTACAGCGTGCGCTTGCGCAGACACGCCCCCTTTCCTACGCCCCAGGCGGCCCCGCCCAAATTTTTTCTTCTTCACCTTACGGCAGAGCAGGGAACTCAGCTTTAGATTCTCCCTGTACTGGAAAGGGATGTCGCAAGGTTGGGGACGAAACCTCTGAGTTTGCGACCGTAGCTGTCGCTTTCCGGCCAACACAGAGGTGCCTGAAGGCTGGTTGGGGTGGTGAGGCCCGAGGCAGGTAAGAAGCCTCCTCCCCACTTCGGTTTGTCTCGGCAGTGGATCGCTCTCCCACCCACTCAGATTCTGGCGTATCCGTGCTCCCTCCCGATTCTGGACCTGGATTCTCAGCGCCGCCGGTCATAGCCCCCGCCCCTTTTCAAACACGCACGCTCTCTCCACCCACTGCCCCCTCCATTGTCCCCGCCCCGACCTCCGTTTCCATTCATTTCTCAGACTTTTCACTGAGTGGTTTCCATGCCTTGGGTTCCAGAATGTCAGAGGCGAATTAAGTGGTGTCAGCTTTTTGAAGTGCTTTTGTATAGGAGACCGTGAGAGAATCCGCAGTGGTAGTACAATAAAGTGACAATAGAGAAAAATGCACGGGATGCTGTCTGCGCACAGAAGAGGGGTCCCAGGTTGTGTAGGAGGATAACGTGAGGAAGCCCTTTCCAGGGTGACTTTTGGGTCACTTTTAGAGGACTGTGTTAAAAGACTAGTAATCCAGTACCTGGTCAAAGAAATACGAAAGGAGGTAAAAGCAGAATAACGGGCGCAAGAGCATGTGACAGTGGTGGTCTGAAAGAGAAAAAAGAAGTAAAATAAACCTGATGGAAACCGTACTAGTGTAGACTTCCCTTTAAAGAAGCATCGTTATAAAGTTAGAGAAATGAGGAACGAGAATATGGCCCTCAGGAATGTTTTCTGTTTAGGTAGAAGACTCAAAAGCGTACCATGAAACCGAGAAGTGGCCTCTTCGAGGGTGAGGGAGGCTAATTTATAAGATCAAGATCACTAGTGGAACGCAACCTTGTATGTGCATTTGAATCACCTGGGAAACTTTTTGTTAAATAAAACCAATACTGTTGCCCCACTCTAGACCAATTAAATTCTGGGTTGTGCCAGGTGTCATTACTGTTTTAAAGCTCCACAGGTGACTCTAATGCTAAAGATTGAGACTCACTAAACTAGAGAGAAGGAAGTTGAGACAGTTGGCTCTGTAACATTAAGATGGAGGTCATTTAGCCGGGCGCGGTGGCTCACGCCTGTAATCCCAGCACTTTGGGAGGCCGAGGCGGGTGGATCACGAGGTCAAGAGATCGAGACCATCCAGGCCAACATGGTGAAACCTCGTCTCTACTAAATATACAAAAAATTAGCCGGGCGTGGTAGCAGGCGCCTGTAGTCCCAGCTACTCGGGAGGCCAAGGCAGGAGAATGGCATGAACCCGGAAGGCGGAGCTTGCAGTGAGCCAAGATCGCGCCACTGCACTCCAGCCTGGGTGACAGAGCGAGACTCCGTCCCCGCCCCCAGAAAAAAAAGATGGAGGTCATTTAACTACAGAGAGGCTTGGAGATGGAATGAGAAACTTGAGCGGCGTTATGTTTGGAATAACTGGTCTGGGAAATGGGAGAAGGAGCCACTCTTGCCTTTCTCTTCAGCACTGTTCATTCCTCAGTGTTTATCAGGTCCAAATTAGTTACTTGTCTCTTTGCTCTCCCGTTCCCTTCCGTCCAGGATTGGTCAGCTGTTGTCTCCAGCCTTAAAGCTCAAAGGCCATCCCCACTTCTGTCCCCAAAATGATCAGAGCTAAGCCAATTTATGAGATGCAGAGACCAACATCCAGAGCTAAGCCAATTTATGAGATGCAAAGACCAACATCCACTCTCATAGAGATTACTACATACAGTGCCTTGCCAATTTAGAATCTTTTTCTATTATTTATCATTTAAGTTAGTAATGAGATATAAAGATATTTAAAATACAGCTCAATTAGGATGGAAAATTACCGTATTAGGGAAAGCAGGCCTTTAAACAAAGAATTCACTTGGCAGGCAGAGAAGCTGTATGAGGTAAAGACCAAGACAGTGTATGGCTGCTATCTATTAACTAGGGTTAATCCAAAAACCTGTCTATCAGACCCAGATAAGAACGAGTTATTGTTGTCTAGTATGGCTAGAGCATAGTATGGAGAGTAGAGGTGGGACAGAGATGAAGATGATAAAGTGGGTGTGAACAGATTATGAGGAGCCTTGAATTCCATGGTGAAGAGTTTAGATTATATTACTAGAAGTAATTAATAAGTACAAAAAAGGTTCTTAACCTCTTTTACCCAGTGGACCTTGTTGGCAGTCCACCTTATAGATTCAGTCTCAGAAAAATGTTCTTAAATATATAAAATAGAATACGTAGTAATATAAAGGAAACTAATTTTGTTAAGTTTTTAAAATATTAAAACAAATGTGTGATATATATGCACTTTATGCATTAAATAAAATCTGGCAGCAGGTCTAATTATATAATTTCTAAGTAGTGATGACTATAAATTATATTTTGAAATGCCTGCAGCAACTTTAATGTGATGTGAAAATATCAGATTTCTATTGGTAAAAAAGAGAGTGCTAATATTGTAGTTTGTGGTCCACACTTATTGAAGAAATGCTAAATTTCAGCTACTGATTATTGAAAACAAAGATGCAATTGTTTTCCCAGTCTAAGTTCACAGAACCCTGATATTCTAGCCACATCCTGGTCTATGGATCCTAAGTTTTAAAATATCTCAGTATAATGGTTTTAAGCAAGAGCATGACATCAAATCTGTGTTTCAGAAAAATGATGAAGCAGTGTTCACTTCCCAACCTCTCTGCTGGGATGAGAGGCTGGCTCTGGGGCAGCAACCAGTACTATCCCACTGTTTCCTAATAACCAGGGCCTGCAGAGGGACTGAGCTTGTGGGTGTATATGTCTGTGAGAGTAATACCAGAAAATAAATCAGGAAAGGTAGATTGGGGCTATTTTTGTGGAAATCATTGAATGCCAGGCTGTAATTTGTAGTTACTTTGGTAGACAATGGAGGGTTGTTAAAATTTTTTGGAGTAGAATAATGTGATTAGAGTTCTGTTTGAAAATCTAGAATAATGTGCAGGTTAGATTATCAAAAGAGAAGATAGGAATGAAGAGACTAGAACAATAAGTTAATTAATTTTTGAAAAATGGAATCTTGGGCCAGGTGCAGTGGCTCAGGCCTGTAATCCCAGCACTTGGGGAGGCTGAGGCAGGAGGATCACTTGAGCCCAGGAGTTCAAGACCAGCCTGGGCAACAAAGTGAGACCGTGTCTCTCCAAAAAAAAAAAAAGAAAATTAGCCAGACATAGTGGTGCCTGCCTGTGGTCCCATCTACACGGGAGACTGAAGCAGGAGGATTACATGAGCCCAGGAGGTCGAGGCTGCAGTGTTCATGCCACTGCACTCCAGCCTGAGTGACAGAGAGCCTGTCTCCAAAAAAAATCTTGAGGTGATCTCTAGAGTCTGCTAAATTCCTTTATTTCCACAATGTGCTGACCAGTCTAGAGTAACATACATTGGAATAAATGGCATACCTGTCAACAGGAATATATACCCCAGTGTGGGAGTCAGTTAACTTTATGTGGTCAAGAGGCTAGCCCAGTCTTTTGTATTATAAATGATATTGTTAGTACTTCTAATAAAGCAATGGCCTTACCATAAGTTCACAGATCTTGCCAAGGCCTTCCTCAGTCAAACTCCATCTATACCTGTGAGTCCTACATTTCTGACTTTTAAAAGTCAGAACCTGTCTATACCTGTGAGTCCTACATTTCTGTCTTTTAAAAGTCAGAACTCCTCTCTTTTTGCCAATTCCTTAAACTTCTTGGATGGGAAAGAAGTTTAGTTTAAACACATTAGCAAAAGAATGGGAGGTCCTCAAGGCCCAGGCAACCCATCTCCTTTGAAACTGATCAATACCGGACTATAAAAACTTACTGCTCAAATCCAGCTAGTACCCAAAGTATGTACTGTCTATATACCTGTCTATACCTGTGAGTCCTACATTTCTGACTTTTAAAAGTCAGAACTCCTCTCTTTTTGCCAATTCCTTAAACTTCTTGGATGGGAAAGAAGTTTAGTTTAAACACATTAGCAAAAGAATGTGAAGTCCTCAAGGCCCAGGCAACCCATCTCCTTTGAAACTGATCAATACCGGACTATAGAAACTTACTGCTCAAATCCAGCTAGTACCCAAAGTATGTACTTTTTAAATGTATTCTAAAAAATTGAATTTGGGGTTTAGGTATTACTGATCCAAATGAGTCCTATAAAATTAACTTCCAGAACTAGGTTCTCAGAGAGGCCACCATTACCACCTTCTTCAACATAACTAGCCTATATTGACTTTCTGTCCATCAAATAATTGGAGGCCATTTGGGTGGTGATAGGAAGAATTAAGTTTATGCAGAACTTGAGGTTCAGCTATCTGACACCTTTTGCGGGAGGAGGAGGAGTGGGTCTATCTGAAATCAGAAATAATACTTTTATGAGGCTTTTTAATAATTTTTATTACTTACAGAAAATTTCTGAAAGTTCCTTTCTCTGGCTCCCAATTAAATGGCTTACTCCACAATCAACTTATAAAAGCACTGGATCATTGTCTTGATCCCAAAAAATTTGTCCCAACTATAGTTACTATTTTGAGCATCTGTATTATTGTTTGAAAACCTTAGGCTTGCTTTCCCTGATGGCCAATGAATAAAACTCTCAAAGTCGTGTGATTCATTACTCATTAATTCATTAGATATTTATTGAACCTCTACTATGTGCCAGGCACATTTTTGAAACCCACTAATGAGCAATTTGTAATGACAATTTACCTCTTAACTATCTATGAAAAAAATAACTTGCCAGGATTTGAAATCCTTAGAACAAATGAGATTAAAAGATCATAGCTTTTTTGTGTTCTTTCAAATAGTGTGTTTGCATAGAGCTGCCATGTGCTGACCACAGTGATTATCTGTGAAATGAGGTAAATCATGGCTTTAACCACTCCTTATCAGACTTTGTTACCACATGTACTAAAATAAAGTTCTGTCTACACCTTTATAAAATATTATCTTACACAGACGTCTTATTAATTCTAATGGCCTCTCCACACCTGACCCTCACTCCTAGTCATTTCAAAGTTTGCAATTGTGTAAAGTCATTTCTCAGAAAATTTGAAGCAAAACAAAGTCACCACAAGAAAAACTTGGTATACACCAGGTTTATATTGAGGACAAAAACTGTGACACAATTACAAATGGAACTTTTTTTTTTTTTTTTGTGATGGAGTTTTGCTCTTGTTCCCCAGGCTGGAGTGCAGTGGCGTGCTCTTGGCTCACCACAACCGCCACCTCCTGGGTTCAAGCAATTCTCCTGCCTCAGCCTCCCGAGTAGCTAGGATTACAGTTGTACACTACCACGCCTGGCTAATTTTGTATTTTTAGTAGAGACAGGGTTTCTCCATGTTGGTCAGGCTGATCTAGAACGCCCGACCTCAGGTGATCCACCCGCCTTGGCCTCCCAAAGTGCTGGGATTACAGGCATGAGCCACCGCACCCAGCCTACAAATGGAACTCTTGAGGTAGAAATGGTAGACCAGGAATAAAATTATTTTCATGGTCAATGACACCTTAGCCATTGATAGCTGTGCCTAGTTACAGAGCAATAAATGGAGAGCCTTGGTGTTAGATGAAATCCTAAAAAGTCACCTGTTTTATCTCCTTGGCCCCAGACAGAATAAAGTGGAATTTATAGCAGTAGAGTTACCAAGCATCATCATCACACCAAGTAGGTTTTGTACTTTGAGAGCTGAATTCCTCTCTGAAATATTGATGTTACAGGAATGTTGTTTAAATTCATAGCTCATTTATAAAATTGAGAATATTTCTTACATTTATAACTGTGTTGTGTTTTCCTGAGTTTTTCAAGATATGTTTCACTTCTGTACTTTGCTCACTCAGGAAAAATATTTATTTATTAAAACTCTAGCTTGTCAGGCACTGAAGTTAGAAGGATGAGTAAAATCTAATCTGTGTACTCAAGAGGGTTATATAATAAATCTTGATGGTCATTCTTACATGCCACATTATACAGATCTCCAGATGGCTTAGGCTTAGTTTTAAAAGGAAACGTTTTAATTGGGGGGAAATTGAAACCCCAAAAAAAAGCCATGAACTTCCTTCCTGGAAATATTTTTGCCATAAAAAGCATATTTGGTCTTGGATGTGATTCTTTTTGTGAAAGTGCAAGTTGAATCAGACATTAGAAGTTGGACATAATCTTCTAATTTTAGTAAACATCAAATTATTTTTAAATATTTGTGTTTGAACATTTATGGAAAAGAGATTAGATTTACCTGTTTTATCCAGAGGACAGAAGTAAGACTCAGAAGTTGAAAAAATGGAAATATTTTATGTCATTATAAGAGTGGGAACTGGTACATCTTTTATTCCTCTTCAATATGGAAATCACTGTATTTACTAATTATGTGTTCATTATTAAAAAAGGGGGAAAAATTAAAGCACAATATCAAAAGGTAGAAGGAAAAAGGCAAAAAAGTATTAATCCTATTTCTTAAAATGATATTTACACTTGATGGATATCGTTCTTGATTATTTTTCTGTATATTTTTATCATATACAGATGTTTATATCAAAGCATATTATGAACATTTTTCTTTTAATAAATTTGTATTGACAATATTATATTTAATGGCTGAAAACTATTCCATCGTGTGGAAACCCTGTTGTTTAATTTACCAGTCCTTTTTTGAACTCCAGATTGTTTCCAGTTTTTCTGTTACAAATACTGCCATGGTGAATATCTTGTTGAATTTTTGCACACATTGTTAATGTCTCCCTTAAGTTAAATTTCTTAAAGTATAATACCTACATATATAAATTTCTTAAGAATTCCAATATAATGGCAAATTACCCTTGAAAAAGCTTGCATGTATGACAGTCCTATCAAAATGGGGCATCATTTACTCATTTCCCATAATCTCTCAGCAATGCTAATTATTATTAGTTTTCTTCACCTTTGCTAACTTGACAGGTAAAAAAATGAAATTTTATTTTAACTTACATTTATTTGATTACTACTCTGATGTCCAGTGTCTTTTCATGTGTTTATTGACTAGTCATGTAAGTGTATTAACTAATATTTTCTAACAATTTTTTTTTTACTTTTTAACATTTAAATTTGTATTCTATCTAAAATATAATTTGATGTAAGGTATGAGGTAAAACTCTTTACTTTTTTAATCAAATAATTAACAAGTTGTGCCAATGCTACTTATTAAAAAATCCAGCAAGCATATCCCATACTTCAATATACAGATAATAAAGTACTGATAGATATTCCTCCAAAAAAAAGAAAGACTATTTCGTGGTTAAATAAGTTTGGGAAAAGATCATACGAAAAAAAGTTAAAATTTTTTATCGCCAAACTCTCGTTAGCCTCTAGTGTGTGTGTGTGCATTAGGAGTTAGCATTTCCTAATTTAATTAACCATGTAATCTTTTTTCTTTTTTATTTATTTATTTATTTTATTTATTTATTTTTTTGAGATGGAGTCTCACTCTGTCGCCCAGGCTGTAGTGCAGTGGGGTGATCTCGGCTCACTGCAACCTCTGCCTCCCAGGTTCAAGCAATTCTCCTGCCTCTACCTCCCAAGTAACTGAGATTACAAGTATGCACTACCATATCCAACTTGTTTTGTATTTTCAGTAGAGATGGGGTTTTGCCATATTGGCCAGGCGGGTCTCAAGCTCCTGACCTCAGGTGATCTGCCTGCCTTAGCCTCCCAAAGTGCTGGGATTACAGGTGTGAGCTATTTTTTTTAACCATGTAATCTCACTTCATAGGTATTTCAGGAAATACCTATGAAAGCCTGTGGAACTGAGCTGTCCAGTATACTAGCACTAGCCACATGTGGCTATTTAAATTTTAGTTAATTAAAATTACTCAGTTCTTCAGTCACACTGACCATATTTCAAGAACTCAATAGCCACAAGGGGCTAGTGGCTACTGTATTGAACATTTTGCAGATAAAAGAAAATTTCCGGGCCAGGCACAGTGGCTGATGCCTGTAATCCCAGCACGCTGAGAGGCCGAGGTGGGTGGATCACAAGGTCAGGAATTCAAGACCAGCCTGGCCAAGCTGGTGAAACCCTGTCTCTACTAAAAAACTACAAAAAATTAGCCAGGCACAGTGGCAGTTGCCTGTAATCCCAGCTACTCGGGAGGCTGAAGCAGGAGAATCGCTTGAACCCAGGCAGCAGAGGTTGCAGTGAGCCGAGATTGCGCCACTACACTCCAGCCGGGGCGACGGAGTGAGACTCCATCTCAAAAAATAGGAAAATTTCCGTCACAAGAAGTGCTATTGGACAGCACTGCTATGGGAACATAATGTTCAGTGGAACACGTGAACACGCTGAAAACACTGGAATAATCCATAATTTCTCCTGATTTGTCAGGCAAACATGATTACTACTACACTATGAGAACAGACTCTCTCATTGATTTGTAAAGACTCCATCATCATATTTAAAATTTCTAATCTACATATGATTTTTTTATGCTATTGATTTATCTACTTCTGCTCCAATACCACACCCCTAGTTTTAAGTCAAGGTTCTGCACCTTTCTCTTTCAGAGCAGAAATGAAGAATTCTTGCATGGAGTAGGAAATTAGATTAGAAGTGATAGTAAAGGCGCTTTCACTTCCCAGACTCTAAATGTAAACATTTCTCTGCCGAACTTGATTTATATTATGTTGAGCTGTATACTCAATTACTTATTCATTTATTCTACAATTATTTATTGAGTACCTGCCTGGTAAGCACTGTTTTAGGTCCTGGGGTTAAAATGGCAAACAAGGCAGACAAGGCCCCTCGTCGTCTTATTTTCATAGAGCTTACATTCTTGTTTTGGAGAGGGAAAGAGAAGAGGCAGGGGGAGGAAAAAAGAATATGAACCAATAAACAAATAAATTAAAAAACTATCACATAGTAATCAGTGCTATTCAAGGAATTGAAATTAGAGTGATAGTAACTGGTGGCCTCTTTGTTTTGGCTGCCCTGAGACCTCTGTGACTTAGTGGCATTTAAACTAAGATCTGTCCAAAGAAGAAGCTAATTACTAGAAGGTCCAGGCAGAGCTAGTACCACCCTCAGGAGGGAAAAAGCTTGGTGTATTTGAGGAGTAAAAAGAAAGTCTTTGTGGCTGGGTCTTAGTGGGCAAGCAGGGAAATAATAGGAGATAAGGTTGGAGAAATAGCTGAAGCCACATTTTCATGTAGGGTTTTGTAAACTAGGGTAGGGAATTTTCATTTTTTTCTGAGTATGATAGCTACTAGAGACTCCTAAGCAGGGAACAGACCTGGCCTAATTTAAATTTTTAAACAATTATTTTGATGGAGAATTTATTGGCACAGTCAGTAGTGGAAATAGGAGACCTGTTAGGCTAGGTCAAGAAAGAAATGGTGATAGATTTGACTAAGGTGATAGTAGTGAAGATGGAAAGCATTGGACAGATTTAGAACATTTAGGCTATAGAATCAACAGGACTTGTCAATTGGATGTGAAGTGTGAAGACAATAGAAAACTCTGGGATGAGCCTGGGCAACATAGTGAGACCCTGCCTCTATAAAAAAAAATATTAATTAGCCAGACATGGTGGTATGCACGTATAGTGCATATAGCTACTTGGAAGGCCAAGGTGGGAGGATCACTTGAGCCCATCAGTTAAAGGCTGCAGTGAGCTATGATTGCACCACTGCACTCCATCCTGGGCAACAGAGTGAGACGTTTTCAAAGAAAGAGAGAGGGAAAGGGGAGAGGGGAGAGAGGGAGGGGAGGGGAAGAAGAAAAAACAGAGAGAGAGAGAAAGAAAAAAACTAACTCTTGGATGATGTCTGTAATCCATTATATAGTAACCAGGTTCAATTTTCAGTCTGATTATGGCAGGCAAAATTGGGACACATAAGACACCAATAAATATATTTTAACCAAATGAATAAATTTACTTTAATAAATGTTTCTCTCCTGTACACATTTAAGCTGCTAAAGCATAAGCTTGTGCTCATTCCTTTATTATTAGGGAATCTGACTCCTAAGAATTTGAGGTTTATGTCATAAACACATCAGCTATAGGTAATTATTAGACTGTTCCCCTGAAGTATCCAAGCCAACAGAGGAGACTGAATGAAACAGAAAAAATTGCCTGCCACAGTTGCAAAAGTTCTGTGAGATTCTCATATTTTATTTTTAAATTTCATGCTGATTTTGCATTTTATGCCCAAGTTTATGTTAATAATTAAAATATTTTTAGTTGCTGATTTAAATGTTTTAAGTCAATGATTAAGTGGTTTAGCTCTTTCCCCTAAAGTTGGTCAAATTAAAGCTCTAGGAAGATGCCCTGTGATTAACTTGTGTTTGTTTTTTGGACTTTCTTTGTTGCTATCTGCTGGCACATGGGCATGTATCCATTTAGAGAAGTACAGATGCATCTCTGAGCATTTGTAGTTTGGTACAACTTAAAATCGTAGCCAAAGCGAGTGAGGAAGGCAATAGCATTTAGAAACAACTGACTTTTATAATCTGCACTTACTTTGTAATGTTTTTAAAAAACATACCTGAATGAGGCTGTTTCTCTCTTTTTATTTTTTTAAGGAATGCTTACTGAATAATTAGAAAAAAATGAGTAAAGGTCACAATTCTGGAATAGTATGTTTTCAGTAAAACAGATTTATCTGGAGTACTACTTAAGTCAATAGCCAACAGGCTTATTTTCCCTGAAGTTTTGAGAATTGCTGTATGCCATATAAAATCCTTGTTAATTTAAAACTCTAATACATATTTTAATCCCATAAAATAAATACTTATACATCTATAAAATAGACAATTATCGTTAATATCCATTGTAAATTAGTATTTTTAAGCATTTCCATTCATTAAAAATCCAGATTGAGTCCAGGTGAGGTAGCTCACGCCTATCAACCCAGCACTTTGGGAGGGCTAGACAGGAGGATCACTGGAGCCAAGGAGTTCAAGACGGCCTGGGCAGCATAATGAGACCTCATCTCTACAAATTTTTTTTTTTTTGAGACAGTTTCGCTGTTGTTGCCCAGGCTGGAGTGCAATGGTGCCATTTCGGCTCACTGCAGCCTCCGCCTCCTGGGTTCAAGCGATTCTCCTGCCTCAGCCTCCCGAGTAGCTGGGATTACAGGCATGCACCACCACACCCGGCTAATTTTGTATTTTTTTTTTTTTTTTTTTTAGTAGAGACTGGGTTTCTCCATGTTGGTCAGGCTGGTGTCAAACTCCTGACCTCAGGTGATCCACCCACCTCGGCCTCCCAAAGTGCTGGGATTACAGGCATGAGCCACTGCGTCTGGCCACATTTTTTTTTTTTAATTAGCCAGGTGTGGTGGGAGGCACCTGTGGTCCCAGCTACTTAGGAGGCTAAGGCAGGAGGATCACTTGAGCCCAGGAGGTCAAGGCTGCAGTGGCCGTGATTGCACCACTGCATTCCAGCCTGGGGGACAGAGTGAGACCCAGTCTAAAAAAAAAGAAAAAAAAAATCCAGACTGAAACAGCAATAACACCTCCAGTTAAAAGTTAATCTGGCCAGGCACCATAGCTCACACCTATAATCCCAGCATTTTGGGAGGCCAAGGTGGTGGATCACCTGAGGTCAGGAGTTTGAGACCAGCCTGGCCAACATGGTGAAACCCCGTCTCTACTAAAAACAATACAAAAAATTAGCCAAGCATTGTGGTAGGCACCTCTAATCCCAGCTACCTGGGAGGCTGAGGCAGGAGAATCACTTGAACCTGGGAGGCAGAGGTTACAGTGAGCTGAGATCGCGCCATTGCACTCCAGCCTGAGCAAGAAGAGCGAAATGCCATCTCAAAAGAAAAAAGAAAAGTCAATTTATCTGGAAACTGCCTTTAAGATAGTTTAATAAATGTCCCCAGTGCTTTATTAGAATTGTAAAAGTTCTTAAAATTAATTCAACCTGGAAATTTACAGATTACATAACAGTGATCTAGAATAGGGATTGGCAAACTTTTTCTCTAAAAGGCCAAATAGTAAATATTTTAGACTTTGCAGACTACTCTGTCCTTAGAGGTCAAAAGTAGCCATAAACAGTATGTGAACAAATGAACATGACTTAGTCCAATAAAACTTTATTTATAGAAGCAGGCAGTGGGCCAGATTTGGCCTGCAAACTGTAATTTGCTGACCTTTGGACTAGAAAACTAGAATGTTTTAGGATTTTTTTTTTTTTTTTTTTTTTTGAGACAGAGTTTCGCCCTTGTTCCCCAGGCTGGAGTGCAATGGCGTGATCTCGGCTCACCGCAACCTCCACCTCCCAGGTTCAAGCAATTCTCCTGCCTCAGCCTCCCAAGTAGCTGCAATTACAGGCATGCGCCACCATGCCCAGCTAATTTTGTATTTTTAATAGAGACAGGGTTTCTCCATGTTGGTCAGGCCAGTCTCGAACTCCCGACCTCAGGTGATCCGCCTGCCTCAGCCTCCCAAAGTGCTGGGATTACAGGTGTGAGCCACTGCGCCCGGCAGGATTTTTATAAACAGGATGACAGAATTTAAAAATTGGCAGAGATGACAGCTTAGAATCATAGAATATAGAGCTAGTGGAAACTTAGAAAAGAGCTAGTGGAAACTTAGACATCAGAATAACTTGGAAATATCTTAAAAATGCAGAGGCCCAGATTCTATCCCAGGTGTATGCTCTTTAAAATCCCCACAGATAGGTGGGCATGGTGGTGCATGCCTATAGTCCCAGCTACTCAAGAGGCTGAGGCAGAAGGATGGCCTTGAGCCCAAGAGTTCAAGGATGCAGTGAGCTATAATCACACCACTGCACTCCAGCATGGGCGACACAGCAAGACCTCATCTCTTAAAATAATTTTTTTAAATCTCATAGATGATTCTAATATGCTTCCCTGGCTAGAACCACTGTTTACCTGGTCCAGACCACTCAGTTTACAGATGATGAAGCTGAAATTCATAGGTTAAGTGACTCTTCCAGAGTCAAACAACTGGTTAATTGTAGATCTGAACTGAATCCCAGGTCTGACTCCCTAACTAATATTTTTTCTACTGAACCAGCAGCTTCTTCCCTTGTATCAGCAGGCCATCAGAATGACTCCTATTGAATTGTGAATTTTCCCTTCAAGTTGGTTTTTATTACTTTTTATTTAATTACTTTGTTTTTTATAACAAATATTCAAGTAGTGTGCATCTTAAGGATTTTAGGATTAATAAGAAGTAATCTCCTTCTATTAAAATTAATCCTTTGTTAAGGAAGTGTTCTACACTTATGAATTCAATATTAGCTTCATTTAATTACAGAATTTGGAAGATACAATAAACTAACCCCTGTAATGACAGGGTTTGTGTATACTGACAACACATTAACATCATTGCTTCACTCAGATTGAGAGAACAATTTTCCCTGGACTTAGCATTCTCTCTCTTTATGCCAAAGATAAAGCACAAGAGCAGAGTCATGCCATGGCTAGTTCCATCTTTGATAACTTTGTGGCTTTATATAAAGAGACAAGTGCTTTATTTTCAAGAAATCTTTGGGGTCCATTATTGCCACCTCAAACATAGGGAACAGGGAAGGAAACTAAGTTTTTTTGAGAGCCTACTGTAGATCAGACAAGGTGCTGAGTGTTTTCACTCATGTTTTTAATTCGTGTAACAACCTGTGATTATGTTATTACTACCTCATCTTACAGATGAGGAAAATGAGGCCCAGAAAGAGGAAGAATAACTTGCCCACGATCACTTAAATAGTAAGTGGCAAGGTCAGAGCCTAGACCCAAGACTTCCTAGCCCTAAAACATAGAACTATGTGTTTGGTAAGATTTTACAAATAGAACTATAAGGAGGTCATTGGCTCCCCAGTTGACTCACCTTTCTTGCCCTTCCCCTAGTCTTGCTTACCATCCACCAAGACCAAGTACACAGATCCTTTTAACTCTAAACGAATTTACTATTAACAGCAGAACAATAAAGGATAACAGGCAAAGCATAAAACCAAAGAATAAGGATGTTACAAAGAATACAGAAATCTTAAGTGGCCTTATTTCTTTTTTTCCCGTAATCTAAATTTTCTGACTTCCCTTTAAAAATATTTCATTCATCTGGCAAACATTTATTGCACTTCAGATATGCCAGGCACAGTGCTCACTACATAGAAAATATTCCTAAATGATTATAGATGGCTCTTGGTTTTTTGCTAGGTCCCCTTCCATCTCCTTTTCTCCCACCCCATTGATAATGTTATTATCATCCTCTCACTCACCCCCAACTGAAACCTTCAGACCATTTCATAATTCTTTTTTTTTTTTTTTTTTTTTAAACAGAGTCTCACTCTATCCCCCAGGCTGGAGGGCAGTGGCGAGGTCTCGGCTCATTGCAACCTCTGCCTCCCGTTTTATCTACCCTCCTCTGATCACTTACTGAGTCTTATTGATTCTCTGTCTACAATATCTATTCCTCCACATTCCTACTATCATTTCTCCTGCTTTAGGTCATTACCTCCTACCTTTACTTGCAATAAAAATCTAATTGGGCTGGGCACAGTGGCTCATGCCTGTAATCCCAGCACTTTGGGAGGGCAAGGCGGGCGGAACACCTGAGGTCAGGAATTCGAGACCAGCCTGGCCAACATGGTGAAACCCCGTCTCTACTAAAAATACAAAAATTAGCCAGGCATGGTGCCAGGCACCTGTAATCCCAGCTACGCGGGAGGCTGAGACGGGAGAATCGCTTGAACCCGGGAGGCAGAGGTTGCAGTGAGCCAAGATTGCACCACTGCACCCCAGCCTGGGCGACAGAGTGAGACTCACCTCAAAACAAAAGAAAAAAATATCTAATTGATCTCTGCTTTCAATTTTTCCCTTACCAATTAGTTCTATATATTATAGCTGAATTATTATCTTCCCAAAGCATTGACCTGGCCATTAATGGCTCCCACTTCCTCCAGTATAAATTTCAAACTCCTTCACTGGAATTCAGTCTGTCACCACTTAGCTTCTAAGAATCCTCTAATATTTGCCTGCACCTCTACTACTCCCACTTCATTCTAGCACGCTAGACTATTCAAGATTCTCTCCACATTTGAAAGCACTTTCTTTACCTCTCTGTCTTCCACATGCATCCAGCTCCACCTGTCCTTCAAGAGCCCACTTTTATGCCACTTTCCTCAAAGCCATTTCTGATCTGAGCACTCATTCCTTTTCATCCTGTTAGCCAGGAATGATTATTCTCTCTTGTGAATTCCCATACATTCTGTTTGTGCCTCTTATGGATTTCTTATCTCATTGACTAGAAGCCACCTTATACATCTTTGTATCTCCCATAGCATCTAATATGAGGTGCTCAGTAGGTATTTATTGACTAAAATAATGGTATATGCAGTACGTGTTCATTATAACAAAATAGGTTTAAGCTCAGTAAGGGTAGAAACTATTTCATTCTCACTCTATATTGCCACCCCCTGACACAAAGGAGAACACTCAGTAGACCTTTGTTAAATGAAATACATTACAGTTATCAGTCATTGGGTTATAAATTTCCTGATGCCATAATAGATACCTAGAAACACTTTGTCTTTTTTTGTTTATTTGTTTTGGGGGTTTTGTTTTTTTGGATGGAGTCTCGCTCTGTCACCCAGGCTGGAGTGCAGTGGCGCTATCTAGACTCACTGCAACCTCTGCCTCCTGGGTTCAAGCTGTTCTTGTGCCTCAGTCTCCCTAGTAGCTGGGACTACAGGCACCCACCATGCCCCGCTAATTTTTTGTATTTTAGTAGAGACAGAGTTTCACCATGTTGCCTGGGCTGGTCTCGAACTCCTAAGCTCAGGCAGTTTGCCTGCCTTGGCCTTATGTTGTATTTTAAAATCCTAGTTATGTATGTTTCTTTATTTTATATTGACAAATACCACATGATAAAGGTCATATATTCTTATTCTCACTTTAAGCTGGGCACGGTGGCTCACACCTGTAATCCTAGCATTTAGTGGGGCAGAGGCAGGAGGATAACTTGAGCTCAGGAGTTTGAAACCAGCCTGGGCAACAAAGTGAGACCCTGTCTCTACAAAAATTTAAAAATTAGCCAGGCATGGTGGTACGCACCTGCAGTCCTAGCTACTCTGGAGGCAGAAGCCAGAAACTTGCTTGAACCTAGGAGTTTGAGGCTGCTCCGAGCTATGATTGTGCCACTGTGCTCCAGCCTGAGCAACAGAGCGAAACCCTGTCTTTAATATAAAAATAAAAAATACTGCCTTTTGGCCCAAAATGCCATCTTCCAGTAATTTGCCAAATGACTAACACAAAGGGAAAGAGGAGAGGTATCCAATATATGTTCTCTAGGCCTTGGAAAAAACATGGAGTTGTTCCTTTGGCCATGTATATGCGAATCTATAAGAAATATGATATCGTAGACATCAAGGAAATGGATACTGTTCAAAAAGGAATGTCCCAGAAGTGTTACCATGGCAAAACTGGAAGAGTTTACAGTGATACCCAGCATGATGTTGGCATTGTTGTAAGCAAACAAGGGCCAGATTCTTGCCAAGAGAATTAACGTGCATATTGAGTGCATTAAGCACTCTGAGAACAGAGATAGCTTCCTGAAATCGTGAAGGAAAATGATCAGAAAAAGAAGGAAGCCAAAGAGAAAAGAGCCTGGGTTCACCCTGAAGCACCAGCCTGCTCCACCCAGAGAAGCACACTTTTTTGTTTGTTTTTTGTTTGTTTTTGAGACAGAGTCTGGCTCTGTCACCCAGGCTGGAATGCAATGGCGCAATCTCAGCTCACTGCAACCTCTGCCTCCCGTGTTCAAGCGATTCTCCTGCCTCAGCCTCCCGAGTAGTTGGGATTACAGGCACCCACCACCACGCCCGGCTAATTTTTGTATTTTTAGTAGAGACGAGGTTTCACCATGTTGGTCAGGCTGGTCTCGAACTCCTGGCCTCAAGTGATCCGCCCACCTCATCCTCCCAAAGTACTGGGATTACAGGTGTGAGCCACCATGCCCAGCCTCAGAGAAGCACACTTTGTGAGAAATAATAGAAAGAAGCCTGGGCTGCTGGTAGGTGTTAAAAAAAAAAAAACTCTGGACTATAAAAAATAAAAATAGAAAATATTTTCACTTTACAGAAAAGGAAAGTGAGAGTTAAGGAAATTTAGTAATTTATTTATGATCACACAGCCAATGAGTAACAGAATTGAATCTAAAATTTAAGTCTTCAAATACGAAGTTTAGAGTTATTTTTGGCAAAGGGTGGGTTTGGCTAAAGGCTAGTTGAGTTCTATTTGCATTAGAATTTTTGGAGTTAAACTTGCTGTCATGCTGTATGGAACAGAATTAAGGCCTTGATTAACATTTTGTCTATGTGCTTGGTATTTTAAAAATCAAACAGACAAAACACAAAAACTATTTCTGAAGAAAATCTTAGCCCAGCTTGTGGACATTCCCTTCAAGGTGAGAGATGACTGACTGTTGAGGCAGTCTTCTTGCAGGTTCCTTTCCCTAGTTGGGTTGGTGTTGAAGACTGGGTGTGATTTCAGCAGGCAGTGTAGAGAGTAGGTCTCCGGGTTTTTGCCAAGCTATATGACCTGGCACTCACAAGTATGCAGTGTTTATTGAAGACATGAGAGACAGATGCTGTAGCCAGGGAGCAGTCATTCTGCCTTTATATTATAAACTCTTACATCAAGTCACATCGACAAGCTGATTACCTAAACTCTGTCAAATTGCTTTTGTTTGATTGATCTGTGCCCATTTGCCATAAGGCTAGATAGTAAAGATTATTATAGGAAACAATCCTGTCTGTTTCATCTGTTGTAAGGATACTGTGAGGCACTATTTGTTATGATGCACCATGTCTTTTATGAAAATCTCTTGAGAAAAAACTATCGGACTATAATACAAAGAATTATTTTACCTCTCCTGAGCAATTGCTTTGTTTTTGTCTTATGGACATTGTGAATGTTTACCTTTCTCTGGCCAGATGCCAAAAAGCTTAGAGCCAAATTTGTGGCCCACCCATAACAAATGTGCTCTATGCCTCATTAACTTCATTCTTGGCTCCAGTTTATGTCTCTCCACTAGTCTTTTTTTCTTAAGAAGATCCTAATTCATGCCATCTTATTATATATTTTTTCTTTTTTCTCATAAGTAGCCTTATGTTGTTTCTCAAATAGTCAGATTATGACATACTGTGTCTACATAAAACCATGTTGGATGCCCCTTCATTTACTTTGGCTTTTTTTCTTGAGGGGTGTATTGATTTTTCATATAGGTTTTTGCAGCGTTTTGTTACACGAAAATGGTTATATCACAAAAATTATTGCTTAATAGTGTAGACAAGTGGTAAAATAACTGGTCTAATGGTCAGAATTGATTAAATTGATGTCATAATTCTAGTCTTGTCTTTTACAGCATTATTACTATTTTCTTATAATATGCTTTGTTTTGCACTCTCAATCTGCATGTGACAGTTTATTGCTGTGTGATTTTCAGAAATATTGTCGTGCTGCCAGGTCACTGCATAACAGCTAACTCTCTGTTAACTCTGTTGAGTCTGTTAGGCTCAAATATTCTACACCCATCAGACTTGTCTCACTTTGGGTGGTCACAGGCATATTAATTTCATCACACAACTTGTCTTGCTTCTCCTCTAAATTAGTCATTCTTTTATTTAGACAAGATAATGTGAATGGATATTTGTTTTCAAACCTCATTTTCTTTGATTGGTTTGGAGCTCTAGCTGGATTTTCTGATTATCTTACTAATGTCATCTAATTGATAAATATTATTGTACAACTTTTTAAACTCTTTTAGTACTTCCAAGTAAAATTATTTGGTCTTCTCTACAACTCTCTAGGGTATGTAAGGTGGGTATATGCCTTTTTTACAGATGGCATACAAAAATGATTAAATGATTTTATATGCCATCTGTAAAAAAGGCGTATACCTTTTTAGAAAAACAAGGACAAAGTCATTTAAATGACTGCTCAAGATGATACCAGCAAATCAGTGGTAAAACTAGGACTAGACCCAGGTTTCCAGAATCTTATCCCATACTACCTTTTAAAAGAAGTCAAAAGAAGTTCTAACTTATATTGTAAACATTACTTCATCTTTATCATACCCCTTGAAGCTAAAGCTATGAAACAGGCAAACACATGTTATATCACTCATGCTCATAGCAGGGCAGAATCAGGAATGAATTTCATTTGTATTAGTCTCATGATTCTCTGTTTTTAAAATTACAGTTCCTTTTAACTACTACCGTAATCACTGTCACGTTCCATTATGGAAGGAGGAAGCAATATTTTATCTTATCTTTTGAAAATTAATGTTGAGGCCAGGCGCGGTGGCTCACGTCTGTAATCCCAGCACTTTGGGTGGCTGAGGTGGGTGGATCACGAGGTCAGGAGATCGAGACCATCCTGGCTAACACAGTGAAACCCCGTCTCTACTAAAAATACAAAGAATTAGCCGGGTGTTGTGGCGGGCGCCTGTAGTCCCAGCTACTTGGGAGGCTGAGGCAGGAGAATGGTGTGAACCCGGGAAGCGGAGTTTGCAGTGAGCCAGGATCGCGCCACTGCACTCCAGCCTGGGTGACAGTGCGAGACTCCATCTCAAAAAAAAAAAGAAAAAGAAAATTAGTGTTGAAATGAAAAGTATTTCCCTTGGAAATTAGTAACTTTTTAGATTCTTTGAATTCATCTTTAATATAAAAATAATTTGTTGTCATTATGCATATTCATTAAGGAGCCAAATAATACAGTTAATGGTATGGTGTTTGGTAAAACATTAGCTATAATTTTAATCTCTGTGCTTCAAGAGGATATTTAAAATTCATGCTTACTGTGTACATGGCAAGTTTCCAGTTCTCATTCTAACTAATCGTTTACATGTAGCACATAAGCTAGAATTTCTTATAGTTACAGTTGACCCTTGAACAACACAGGGGCTAGGAGTGCCAACCCCCGTATGCAGTCAAAATTCTAGGTATAACTTTTTTTTTTTTTTTTTTGAGATGGAGTCTTGCTCTGTTGCCCAGGCTGGAGCGCAATGGCATGATCTCAGCTCACTGCAACCTCCACCTTCCAGGTTCAAGCAGTTCTCCCACCTCAGCCTTTCGAGTAGCTGGGATTACAGGCATGCCCCACCACGCCCGGCTAATTTTTGTATTTTTAGTAGAGATGGGGTTTCACCATGTTGGCCAGGCTGGTCTCAAACTCCTGACCTCAAGTGATCTGCCCACCTTGGCCTCCCAAAGTGCTGGGATTTCAGGCGTGAGCCACAGCACCCAGCCTAGGTGTAGGATTTGACTCCCTAAAAAAATACGCCAGGTGCGGTGGCTCACGCCTGTAATTCCAGCACTTTGGGAGGCTGAGGCGGGCGGATCACAAGGTCAGGAATTCGAGACCAGCCTGGCTGATATGGCGAAACCCTGTCTCTACTAAAAATACAAAAAAAAATTAGCCGGGCATGGTGGCACATGCCTGTAATCCCAGCTACTCAGGAGGTTGAGTCAAAAGAATCGCTTCAACCCAGGAGGCAGAGGTTGCAGTGAGCTGAGATCGTGCCACTGCACTCCAATCTGGGCGACAGAGTGTGACTCCATCTCAAAAAAAAAAAAAAAAAAAAACTTTACTACCAATAACATAGCCAATTAACAATAACATAGCCAATTAATACATGTTTTGTAAATGTATTATATACTGCATAATATATACCTTACCAATAACATAGCCAATTAACACGTTTTGTAAATGTATTATATACATTTACAAATAACCTTACCAATAACATAGCCAATTAACACGTTACCTTACCAATAACATAGCCTTACCAATAACATAGCCAGTTAACACATGTTTTTTAATGTATTATAAACTGCATTCTTACGAAAAAGTAAGCTAGGGGAAAATATTAAGAAAATCATAAAAGAAAATATATTTACTATTCATTAAGTGGAAATGGATCGTCATAAAGGTCTTCATCCTCATCATCATGTTGAGTAGGCTGAAGAGGAGGAGGAAAAGGAGCAATTGGTCTTGCTGTCTCAGGGGTGGCAGAGGCAAAAGAAAATCCATGTGTAAGTAGATCTGCACAGATCAAACCCACCTTGTCCAAGGGTCAACTGTGTATTTTTTTACCACAACCCTATAAAAGTAACTACTATTTTCCAGCCGCATTTTACAGTCAGGTATTTATTGACAATAATATTGTCTTCTAGCTCTTGTTCAGCTTCTGGAATTTCTGAGCAGCCCTCGTCAGTACAAGATGGACCCCGTAGTCTTGAGTTACATGGACAGTCTACTGCGGCAATCAGATGTCTCACTATTGGATCCGCCAAGCTGGCTCAATGACCATATTATTGGGTTTGCGTTTGAGTACTTTGCCAACAGTCAGTTTCATGACTGCTCTGATCACGTCAGTTTCATCAGCCCTGAAGTCACCCAGTTCATCAAGTGCACTAGCAACCCAGCAGAGATTGCCATGTTCCTTGAACCACTGGACCTCCCCAACAAGAGAGTTGTATTTTTAGCCATCAATGATAACTCCAACCAGGCAGCTGGAGGAACCCACTGGAGTTTATTGGTCTACCTCCAAGATAAAAATAGCTTTTTTCATTATGATTCCCATAGCAGGAGCAACTCAGTTCACGCAAAGCAGGTAGCAGAGAAACTGGAGGCTTTCTTAGGCAGAAAAGGAGACAAACTGGCCTTTGTGGAAGAGAAAGCCCCTGCCCAACAAAACAGCTATGACTGTGGGATGTACGTGATATGTAACACTGAGGCCTTGTGTCAGAACTTCTTTAGGCAACAGACAGAATCACTGCTGCAGCTACTCACCCCTGCATACATCACAAAGAAGAGGGGAGAATGGAAAGATCTCATTACCACACTTGCTAAAAAGTAGCTATTGAAGTATATTTGCGACTTTTGAAGGCTCCTCTTTCTGCCCTTCCCCATTTGTTGGATGGCTGCAATCTCAGTGCCTGAGGGAAGATGCCTAGTAGAGGAAAGCTTAATACTCTTTTTCCTGAAAGAATATCATCCTCTGCATTATCCCCATGGAACGTTTCACTTTAACCCTGACTGGGGAGCAATATGTTCTGTGAAAATATCTTGAAATTGTACACCAAAACCTTACAACCAACTTATTTGAACATTTATTACACACAGGGTTTACGTAAGACTTTTCTTATTGGTATATAATTAATTTCCTTTGGTCTCCCTTATCCACATTGGCTTATTCTGGAGGAAAAGCAGTGATCTGTAAAACAAATCAAGAATATATTAAATCTAGAGGAATGCAGAGAAGAAAACTATAAAACAGAACCAAAAACTTGTTGCACAGCCTACATAATTAAGAGATCAACTGGCTGGAAGCAGATCAAGGCCTAACTTCATTCAAGACCTAAATATTATGAGACTCAGTTATTCGGTTTTATGTGACATCTCTTCCATTCACCATGCACAGGCTTTTCCAGCTATCTATATAATGTTTGCAAATATTTGATAAAGATGATGTTACCCTATCTTCCTCCATCTGATTCCTGGAATGCTTGAAGAAAGGGGAAATCTTGAGTAACCTCATTAAAATTAATGTCTGGTGGACCTCTCAGTTTGCTCACTGATTGGGTAGACTTGCTACTCTGGATTAATAACTGCTTTTCTCTGCCTTGTCTATTAGCCATGCACACACTTCCTCCTTATATCCAAAGTTCTTTGGTTCTAAAATTCATAGTTGATACCTTCCCAAGGTTACCTGTTGTTTCAGATAAACATTTGTTCTTCCTGATAGTTATAGGTTTTCCTCTCTGTCCTTAATTCTGGCAGAATTGTTTTTAGTTATGTCATGGTAATTTCAGGATGATTTTTGTATCTGAAACTTAACAGACTTAGAGTTGGTTTGTTTTTTAAATATAAAGGAAGAAAAGTGACCTTTCTCAGCCCTTTTACTTAATTAAAAATGCAGGGAATGTAATTTGTAAAATGTGGAACCAAGAGTAGAACGAAATACTATCCCTCCAGAAGCACTGATGTGTTTCAGTTGTTTCAAATAGTAAACAACCAGATGACATGTTAGGTACACAAATTAATTCTATTCCTAATGAGAATTAGATTGCAAGGCCTATGAGACTTGAAAACCAAAGATGAGCTTCAGCCATGAAACTTATTTCAGCTACCTCCCCAGCCTAACCCTGCCCCCAGCCCTCATGGCCCAAAATAACCTCACCACTCAGTGACCACAGAGAAAGTAACTTGGTTCCTTTTAGCCGAGAAGGGAAAACACAGTAAGGGTAAATAAGTACAGGTTACATAGCAGGCCTGAGTGAGCAGGAGCTGAAACTAAAAGTCAAAGAGAAAGCTATCAAAAAAAGTTTCCATTTCAAGTCGGTACATTTTGGATAAAAACCAGTCCTAATGGAAGATGGGGCTAGGAAAAAGATTAGGAACTGGCAGTCATCCATAGAGGTGAAATACAGAGGGAGGGACAGCAAGAGAAGTGACAAAGGTCACTGATGATAGGCCACAAGTGTAGATAAAGATAAGAAAACAATGTTATTTCAGTGACTGTTGACTTAGGCAGCTAATCTAGACTATTAAAGTCAAATCCTCTCTGGGAAAAGTTATCTTTCTGACAATGCAAAGTATGTTTATTTAAATATCAGAGTATCTTCAATCTGAGAATTAAAGCATATGAAAGCAATCTTTCCTAACTCCCTACGATTCATCTTATAAGTAAATTTATAAGTAAATTTTTAAACTACACTAGTCTTTTAAATATATATAGAAAAATATATATACACACGTATAGACATGTATATGTAATCTATCTACATATATATAAAAAATGCATTTTCCAAATGCATTAGCCTGATTGGACTGTGCCACAGATTAGTGTCCTCCTATGAAATTTTGAGTATGTCATTTGTAAATGTTAGCATTATAAATTGCAGGAGAATTTAAGAATTGACTTGTATTTCACTGGATACTATAGTACCCGGTAAGTTACACACCTGCTTGACCACATACCATTCATGTTACATGACACAAAATAGGAAAAAATCTTTTGCTGGTATTGCGTTCCCTTCTCTCTTAGAGTCAAAAGGATCTATTCTGCAAAATTAATCAAAATATTCAAAAGGAAGGCAGGTTTTTCAAAACTGGGCTAAGCAATTATCAAACTGAACTAACCTGCTTTCAGATATCCTGTTGTATTGCCCGGTAAGTATAGTCACACTTGTCCAACCCGTGTCTCAATATGGAATTCAGAAAAGTTACCATATATAAACCCAGCTATAAATGGTTGTAGAAAATATAAGTATCAGTGGGTTTCCTATGTAATAGTGTTTAAAACACAAATATTTCAACCATTTGGCAAGGTATATGTTGAAGTTCACAAGCGCTGGTCCTAACCAGATCAGATAAAGTGGATTATGTTTCTGATATGTACCTAATTATTTTGACTATACTATAATTTTACAATATGCATATTGACCGTATGTTTTAATAACACATTCCATTGAAATGACCAAGTAGAATTTCTCAGTTACATGGGGCAGGCCGGGCGCAATGGCTCATGCCTGTAATCCCAGGACTTTGGGAGGCCAAGGCAGGCAGATCACCTGAGGTCAGGAGTTCAAGACCAGCCTGGCCAACATGGCGAAACCCCGTCTCTACTAAAAATACAAAAATTAGCCGGGCATGGTAGGTGGGCGCCTGTAATCCCAGCTACTCAGCAGGCTGAGGCAGGAGAATCACTTGAACCTGGGAGGCGGAGGTTGCAGTGAGCTGAGATTGTGCCACTGCACTCCAGCCTAGGCAACAGAGCGAGACTCTTATCTCAAAAAAAAAAAAAAAAGTATTTACAGAAATGTACATGCTATGGTGTTAGAGCATGAATGTCAAATCCAGGGTCTGTCAGATTCAGTAGTCTCATCTACAAAATAAACCTTGTTTTCCTTCTGTCCTACTCAGTTCCATTTTAAGACTAACAACAAGTTTGAAAACTTAGTTTTATATTGCTATGCAGCTAAACAGCTGTGTAAAAAATGGCTGATAATTACTGTTATGTACAAAAGAGAAACTTATTCAAGGATGGTGAATAGCAACAACTAACCTTTTTATCACTCTGTAATGTGCAGGGTACTTTATGCACACATATTACACAAGTACCTTGCATATTATATATGCATCATTATATATATTACCATATATATAAAGTAACTTGTACATTTTTGAGGTTCTATAGAAATATATAATCTCATTAATTCTTATGTTCTCATGTTTCAACAGGTACTGTTATTCTCATTTTATAAATAAACTCAGAAGCTCAGTCACGTGGCCTCCATCTCGTCTCACACTTTTTCCACCTATTCCTTTCTCCCTGTCCTAGAAAATGGCAAGAACTTCACACTTGAACATTTTAAATGTAGTCTAGCCTCAGTTTCTAAATTTCATATATTCAGCTGGTATGTTACAGAAACTAATAGTGAGAAATTGTCATCTGAATTAACTGCTAGGCAGCAGGACCTATATAACTGGCTTGGTTTTATATATTAAGTCATATCTGGATCAGCTCCTTATACTGCTCTGCTGGTTTAGGGCACCTTAAAAGCCCTACATTGGCCGGGCGCAGTGGCTCACGCCTGTAGTCCCAGCACTTTGGGAGGCCGAGGCGAGCAGATCACGAGGTCGGGAGATCCAGACCATCCTGGCTAACATGGTGAAACCCTGTCTCTACGAAAAATACAAAAAGAAGTTAGCTGGGTGTGGTGGTGGGCACCTTGTAGTCCCACCTACTCGGGAGGTTGAGACAGGAGAATGGCGTGAACCCGGGAGGCGGAGCTTGCAGTGAGCTGAGATCGTGCCATTGCACTCCAGCCTGGGCAACAGAGCGAGACTCCATCATCTCAAAAAAAAAAAAAAAAAACCCTACATTTTATGTCCTGTGTTAAATTACCTTTAATATTACATGTATATGAAAGACGGGAAGTTGAACAAGAGCAGCAGCGTGGGGAATCTCCAAAAAAGAGGGCTTAAAGGAATTGCATCAAATAAATGGGACTAAGCAAAGATGCCCTGCACAATAGTGGCAAAATTGGTCACTAAGTTCCAATATGAGGCTGAAATTCCACTTTGAGATGGAGTCTCACTCTGTCGCCCAGGCTGGAGTTCAGTGGTGTGATCTTGGCTCTCTGCAACATCCGCCTCCAGGGCTCAACCAGTTCTCCTGCCTCAGCCTCCTGAGTAGCTGGGACTACAGGTGCCCGCCATCACACCCAGCTAATTTTTGTATTTTCAGTAGAGATGGGATTTCTCCACATTGGCCAGGCTGGTCTTGAACTCCAGGCCTCAAGTGATCTGCCCACCTCAGCCTCCCAAAGTGCTGGGATTAGAGGCGTGAACCACCGTGCCTGGCGGAAAAATCAAGTTCTGAATACACTTAAATTTTCTTATGTAGGGAAAAACTAACATCTCAGAGTGTCAAACGAAGTGATAGTCGTCTTCAGTGTCAGCAGTAGGGAAGAATTATCATTACTCTGGAAAAAATCTTACATCCTGCAGTTTGCATTAAAAGACAAAGGCTGTTTCCGGGATCTTTGTCCTCCGTGTACCAAAACCAAGCAACTTGTATTTAGAAGAAAACCCTTTCTCCATGATGCAGGCTCAGGCAAGGTTTTCTACAGTAGGCTTTGCTTCCCTAGCCAGCTCCTGCTTCAGCTCCTCACAGCTGCTATCTCAGTCTTCATTCCTCAAACCTGGACAATGCTCACCTCCACCCTCACTCCTACTTTAGAGAGAAAATAGAAGCTGTCAGACATGAACTCCTTCAACTTCCCTGACGCCAGGTCTACAAGCCTACCTATATCTGCCCGTTTTGGCACCTTCTTCACTTATTTCTATTACAGAGTGACCTCAGAGCTAAGGCTAACCCTCCATCTGCACAGGGATATCCTGCAAACAATTTACACACATCATCACCATCAGTTTCTCTCTATTGCCTCCTTTCCATCAGCATTTAAGTGTGTAAAATCTCCCCTACCTTTACTGTTTATTTTATTTTATTTTGTTTTATTTTATTTTTTGAGATGGAGTCTCGCTCTGTCTCCCAGGCGGGATTGCAGTGGCACTATCTCGGCTCACTGCAACCTCCACCTCCCACGTTCAAGTGATTGTCCTACCTCAGCCTCCCAAGTAGCTGGGATTACAGGCGGGTGCCACCACACCCAGATAATTTTTGTATTTTTAATAGAGGCGGAGTTTTGCCATGTTGGCCAGGCTGGTCTCAAACTCGTGACCTCAGGTGATCTGCCCAACTCAGCCTCCCAAAGTGCTGGGATTACAGACATGAGCCACCATGCCCAGCCTATTATTTATTTATTTATTTTGATGGGAGGGAATGGAGTCTCGCTGTGTCGCCCAGCCTGGAGTGCAGTGGCACAGTCTCGGCTCACTGCAGTCTCCACTCACTGCAATCTCCACCTCCCGAGTTCAAGCAATTCTCCTGCGTCAGCCTCCCAAGTACCAGGGACTACAGGCGCACACTGCCACACCTAGCTAATTTTTTGTATTTTAGTAGAGGCAAGGTTTCACCATGTTGCCCAGGCTGATCTCGAACTCCTGATCTCAGGCAATCCACCTGCCTCAGCCTCCCAAAGTGCTAGGATTACAGACATGAGCCACAGCACCCGGCCTCCCCCATCTTTAAAAATAAATAGAAGCATGACCCCATGTCTCCCTCTAGATACTGACCTTTTGCTTTTCTTCAGAGCCAGCTCTGAAGTATCTGTAGTCAATCACAATTCCTCACTTCCCTCCCACTTTTCTACCCAGTTTAATCTAGATTCTGCCCCAACTACTTAATAAAACATTAAGATCACTAGTAGTTTCTATTTTATTAGGCCTCTTAGCAACATTAAACCCTCCTTCTCAAACCACTGTTCCTAGTTTTCCTCTTTTCTGAAATCACATTTTTTTTTTTTTGACAGGGTCTGTCACCCAGGCTGGCACCATCATAGCTCACTGCAGCCTTGAATTCCTAGGCTCAAACAATCCTCCCACGTCAGCCTGCTGAGAAGCTGAGACTACAGGTACATGCCACCACACCCAGCTTGATCTCTCTCTTATTTGCCAGTTTCTTCTTTACTTGCTATAGCTTCTCGGGGTTTTGTCTCATAAGCCCTCTTCTTTTCAGCCTGTACATACTTGCTAGGCTCTCCCATTCACTACCAAGGTCAATGACTGATTGACGCACTTCACATGTACACTTCTGTCCTGAACTTCAACTTGTAATCCATTTACCTGCCTGCTGGTCATCTTCGCTTAGATATTTCTTAGGCTCCTCAAACCCAACAAACCCCCAAACTGCTCTTGCCTTATCAAACTTGCTCCATCAGTGTTCCCCACCTCGGAAAATGGCACCACTGTGCAACCCAGCTCCAGCCAGAAATCTAGGAGTCATCCTTGACTTTCCTCTCACTTTGCATTTATCAGCCTCCTAGTCCTGTTGCTCTACATCTTAAGAATCCTTTAAATCCATGTATTTCTATTGCCAATGCTACCACTCTAGTCCAGACAATCATGCCCTCTCATCTGGGTTGCTAGACTAGCTTATAAAGGACTCTTCAGTGTTCACTTATACTCTTCACCCCCACTCCATTTTATATTCTGCCAATATCTTTAAGAAAGCTCTGTATAACCTGGTCCCTTCCCACTTTCCCTGCCTCTTTGCAATCTATACCACTCTTGCCTTAGCTTCCTGTGTTCCAGCCCTGCAGGCCTTCTTTTAGTTCCTCAAACACACACTTTCTTTTCTCCCTTTCCAGTCTCCCCATTTGCTGTTCCCTCCTGCACTCTCTCCCATAGTCCTCAACAGATAATCTTCTATGTCATCTCTTCCTCAAAGAAATCATCCCCAGTGCATCTGACTAATTTGCTTTCCTTGTTAATTCCTCAGAATCATGAATCCTTTCAGTGTGCCCAAATCACATATGATTTTTGGTGTTGTGTCCTTCCTTCCCACTAAATCACAAGAGCCATGGAGGCCGGGAACCATGTCTGACTCGTTCACTATTGAATCCATGCAGTTTCATACAGTGCCTGGCACATAAACATTGTTATTTGTTGAATGGATAAATGAGAACATAGAAGCTGTTTATCAAAGAAAAAACAGCCCATCATCCTCCCTGGCATAGCAGCAGAAGTCAAAATGCAACATTAATCAGTAGAACTATTCATGCTTGCTTAAGACCAAGCTCAGAGGTTGATGAACTTAAGCAACCTAACAGAAAATAGGGAACTCCCTAAACTTGTACATCTAACTGTGGACATCTCTTCAGTTTATCTGCTGACTTCTTAGAGATTTTCACATTTTACATCGTTGTAATCCATGTCTAAGCACTATCTTAATTCTGCTTTTTACAAATTTCCACCTTAATCACTGTTTACTTGTGCTTAAAGGTAACATTGGGTTACATTATATTTATAGATTGTGATTTTCTTAGCCAATTCCCCACTGCCGGGCTTTTTGGTTAGTTCTGATTTGAGATTGTTATGAATAGCAGTGCTACAAACATTCTTCATAAGTAACTTATTTCACATGTTCTCCTTGAATACAAAGTGGGATTAAGATTTCAAAACATATGAACAGTTTATATCCTATCATGTAGACAGCCAGAGATTTGTCTAAAAAGAAAGAATCAATATATAGTACCATTAAAATTCTATGATACAAACCTATCTCTAGTTCTGTATAGCCCTACCAACACTGAGGGTGGGTTGTTTTGTTTTTTTAGAGATAGGGTCTTGCTGTGTCACCCAGGCTGGAGTACAGTGGTAAAATCATAGCTCACTGCAGCCTCGAACTCCTGGGCTCAAGCAGTCCTCTCCTGCCTCAGCCTCCCAAGTAGCATGGACTACAGGGACACACCACCACACCCGGCTAACTTTTTTTTTTTGAGACAGGGTCTTGCTGTGTTGCCCAGGCTGGTCTTGAGCTCCTGGCTCAAGTGATCCTCCTGCTTCCCAGAGTGCTGGGATTATAGGTATGAGCCACCACACCTGGCCAACATTAGGTTTTGCATTTGCTACATTTATTTCTTGGAACTTAACAGAAAACTAATATCTGTTGAGCTATTTCTGTGTGTCAGAAACTTCAAGGATTTGACATGACGTTTCCCATTTAACAAATTACCATAAACCTGTAAGTACTATTAGTATCCCCCTTTTAGAGATGAGGAAACTAAGGCTTAGAGTTGTCCAAGTAAATTGGAAGAGTTTAAATGTAGATGTACTGATTCCAGAACCTGTATTCTTAACTACTATGCTGTACTCTCTCTCCTGGTTGTCAGTGACAGTGTTTTTTCTGTTATATTTAACAGACAGGAAAAATTATTAATAAAATCTGTAACCTTTCTGATTTCCAAGAATGTGGTATAATTTATTGCTAGTGAGCTTGTTTCATTGAGGTAAACATCCAGATGGAGCTTTTTGGTTAAGAAAGGTCAACTCCCAGGGTTTAACACGTGTAGGCCAGGACAATACAAGAGAGATCAGTTACTCCAAATAATAAAATCAAATAAATTTGGATTTTCACTGGATGCCCTAGAGAAAGAGAATGAGGCCTAGGAAAGAAAGAAGTAGGGAAAGGTTAACGAAGAGAACTGAGATGAGAAGCATTCCAGAAACATGGCAGGAGACAGGGGCCTACTGGAAGACATGGCCATGGAGAAGCTCCCTACTGTAGTAGAGAATGGCTGCTAAATTTCTTTAAGCAATCATCTATGTATTGAGTTTGAAGTTTTCTGCTTTGTGATATAGCCTTCCATTAACTAAACCTTTCATGCAATTTGGATATACTCAACCATTTTGGTGGTGGATCATTTGGAGGAATGAAGGATGAGGAGTGGCACATGATGAGGCAAAAAGGAAATAGCCAAAGGAACAGGGGACGGGACAAGCAGGCTGCATCCCATCTGCAGGAGACACAGAAGCAACCTTAAAAACCCTTGGAGAAACTGAGGTCTCAGGACTTCCCACAGTGGTTAGAAATGGGTCTCAGGCCATTTCAAATTGAAAGAATGACCCCTAAACACTAAATTATTTGGGGTTGTCCAAGTTTGGAAATTTCTGGGTTACACTGAAGTGAGAAAGAGCTTGAACCACAGTAAAATAAATTTGATGTATTAGCAGCATTTGTCATAGCCTTTGCCTTGATGTATCATGAAATAATTAGCTTCGGCTGGGCGCCGTGGCTTACGCCTGTAATCCCAGCACTTTGAGAGGCCGAGGCGGGCAGATCACGAGGTCAGGAGATTGAGACCATCCTGGCTAACACGGTGAAACCCTGTCTCTACTAAAAATACAAAAAAAAATTAGCCGGGCGTGGTGGTGGGCTCCTGTAGTCCCAGCTTCTGGGGAGGCTGAGGCAGGAGAATGGCATGAACCTGGGAGGCGGAGCTTGCAGTGAGCCAAGATCGCACCACTGCACTCCAGCCTGGGCAACAGAGTGAGACTCCATCTCAAAAAAATAAATAAATAAAATAAAGAAATAATTAGCTTCCAGGACACCAGACTCTTCTGGTTTTCCTCCTTCCTCATCAGGCATCCTTAGTTTCCTTTTCCTAGTTCTTCCTTTTCTTCCTGATCTTTTATTAACAGTGTGTGACAGGGTTCACTCGTCCACTCTTTCTTCTGTCTACAGACTCAGTCCCTTGATGATCTCATCCAGCAGCATGCTTTTAAATACCATCCATATGTTGACAGCTCCCAGATTTATTTTTTTATTTTATTTTATTTATTTATTTTTATTTTATTTATTTATTTATTTATTTTTGAGACGGAGTCTTACTCTGTCACCAGGCTGGAGTGCAGTGGCATGATCTCAGCTCACTGCAACCACTGCCTCATGGGTTCGAGTGATTCTCCTGCCTCAGCCTCCCAAGTAGCTGAGACTACAGTCGCATGCCACCACGCCCAGCTAATTTTTGTATTTTTAGTAGACACGGGGTTTCACCATGTTGGCCAGGATGGCCTTGATCTCTTGACCTCATGATCTGCCTGCCTCGGCCTCCCAAAGTGCTGGGATTACAGGTGTGCGCCACCATGCCCAGCCAACAGCTCCCAGTTTTGTTTTGTTTTTTTTGAAATGGAGTCTTGCTCTGTTGCCCAGGCTAGAGTGCAATGGTGCAGTCTAGGCTCACTGCAACCTCCACCTCTCGGGTTCAAGCGATTCTCCTGCCTCAGCCTCCCAAGTAGCTGGGACTGCAGGCATGTGCCACCATGCCCAGCTAATTTTTTGTATTTTTAGTAGAGATGGGTTTTCACCATGTTAGCCAGGATGGTCTCGATCTCCTGACCTCATGATCTGCCCGCCTCGGCCTCCCAAAGTGCTGGGATTACAGGCATGAGCCACCATGTCCAGCCAACAGCTCCCAAATTTATATCTCCCAGACTTCAGACATCTCTCCTGAACCCCAGACTCATATACCCTATTGCCCACTTGACATCCCCACCACTTGGATGTCCAAAATTCATCTCAGACTGAATATGTCCAGTACTACATTTCTGATTCTCCTTCCAAAAGCTTTACCACTCATGGCTTTCTCCACCTCCATTCTTTCAAGCCAAAAAACATGAAGTCATCCTTATGACTCCTTTTCTGTTATACCCCATATCCAATTTAACAGGCAGTCCTGTCGTTTGTACGTTCAGAATATATCCAGAATCTGCATGTTTCCACCATCTCTACTACTGCCCTAGTCATCAGAGTCATTGTCCTCCCTAACTTGTAAGGGAGGCTGTCTCCTAACTGATCTCCCTGCTTCCACCTTTCCCTCCCTAGCAGTCAAGTTTGATTCTTTTGAAATCTGAATAACAAAAGATTATTATTCACTTATCTACTCATTTCATTGGGAGTCAAAGCCAAAGTTCTTATAATGGTCTTAGATGATTTCCCAGCCCTCCCCCTTTGACTTCATCTAGTTCTGCCCCTTCTTCTTCTCTCTCTTCCAGCTACACCTGCATCCTTGCTGTTCCTGAACAAGCCAGCCAGGCACCCTCCCTTCCACTTTAGACTTGTTGCATTGGCTATTCACTCTACCTGGAATGTTCCACAAACCTTATTCTCTCATTTCTTTTTTTTTAAGACAGAGTCTCACTCTGTCGCCCAGACTGGAGTGCAGTGATGCAATCTCCACTCACCGCAAACTCTACCTCCCAGGCTCAAGCAATTCTCCTGCCTCATTCTCCCAAGTAGCTGGGATTACAGGAGTGTGCCACTACCGCCCAGCTAATTTTTGTATTTTTAGTAGAGACGGGGTTTCTACTCTTGACTTCAAACGATCCACCCGCCTCGGCCTCCCAAAGTGCTGGGATTACAGACATGTGCCACCGTGCCCAGCCCTACTGTCTCATTTCTTATAAGTCTACTTAAATATCAACTTCTCTGTTGGACCTTCCCTGATAATCATCTAATGTGATGCCCTATAAGCATTTCCAATCTCCCTTTTCTTGTTCTATATTTGTTCTTTTTTCTTTATCTCTTATCACCTTCTAACATACTATATTTATTTATTTATTTATTTATTTATTTATTTATTTATTTATTTATTTTATTTTATTTATTTTGAGACAGAGTCTCACTCTGTCACCTAGGCTGGAGTGCAGTGGCACCATCTCAGCTTACTGCAACCTCCACCACCCGGGTTCAAGCGATTCTCCTGCCTCAGCCTCCTGAGTAGCTGGGATTACAGGTGCCCGCCACCACGCCCAGCTAATTTTTGTGTTTTTAGTAGACACAGGGTTTCACCATGTTGGTCAGGTTGGTCTGAACTCCTGACCTCAGGTGATCCACCCACCTTGGCCTCCCAAAGTGCTGGGATTATAGGCATAAGCCACCATACCCAGCCTATAATTTATTATCTTAGTTGCTTATTGTCTCTCTCCCCTCATCACTAAAATATATAGACTTCACGAAGGCAGAGACCTGTATTTGCTTTGTTCACTAATATATTCCAAGCTCTTAACACAGTGCCTAGCCCATTGTAGACACTCAATGATAATTATTTTGATGAAAAAATAAATGAAAATCTGGCCTGGAAAATCTGTAATCCCAGCCCTTTGGGAGGCCAGGATGGTCGGATCACTTGAGATCAGGAGTCCGAAACCAGTCTGGCCAACATGGTAAAACTCCATCTCTACTAAAAATACAAAAATTAGCCAGGCATGGTGGTGAGCATCTGGAATCCCAGCTACTCAGGAGGCTGACACAGGAGAATCACTTGAACCCAGGAGGCAGAGACTGCAGTGAGCCGAAATCACACCACTGCACTCCACCCTGGGTGACAGAGCAAGACTCCATCTCAAAAAAAAAAAAAAAAAAGGCCAGGCGTGTAATCCCAGCACTTTGGGAGGCCGAGGTGGGAGGATCACTTGAGGTCAGGAGTTCCAGACTAGCCTGGCCAACATGGTGAAACCCCATCTCTACTAAAAAAAAATACAAAAATTAGGCCAGGCCTGGTAGCTCATGCCTGTAATCCCAGCACTTTGGGAGGCCAAGGTGGGAATCCAGACTAGCCTGGCCAAGACGGTGAAACCCCGTCTCTACTAAAAATACAAAAATTAGCTGGGTGCGGTGGCAGGCACCTGTAATCCCAGCTACTCAGGAGGCTGAGGCAGGAGAATCACTTGAACCCGGGGGCCAGAGGTTGCAGTGAGCCGAGGTCACGCCACTGCACTCCAGCCTGGGCAACAGAGTGAGACTCCATCTCAAAAAAAAAATACAAAAATTAGCTGGGTGTGGTGGTGGGCATCTGTAATCCCAGCTACTCGGAGGCTGAGGCAAGAGAATCACTTGAACCCAGGAGGCAGAGGTTGCAGTGAGCCGAGATCACGCCACTGCACTCTAGCCTGGGGGACAGAACAAGGCTCCGTTATTAAAAAAAAAAAAAAAAAAAAATCACCCCTAGGAGTCTAAAAGCATTTTTTTTTTTAGGCCAGGGATCAGCAAACTTTTCCTTAAAGGGACAGATATGGTCAGATGATCTTTGTCATAACTCCTCAACCCTGCCATTGGAGCTCTAGAGCAGCCAGAGACAATACATAAACAAAGGGGCATGGCTGAGTTCCAGTAAAACTGTATTTACGAAAAGCTGGCCAGGCTGTACAGCAGTCTGTACTTAGCTGATTCCTGCTTTAGACAAAGACACATCTTGGTAAATCAGCTCTCTTCATTGATAGGCCAGTGTCTATTCATCCCCTCTCCCAGTTGCCAAAAACAAAATTCTAGAAGGGTGAATGCAAACCTAGCAAAATTATAGATCATTAGCTTCTCTGCCTGCATGCACATGGGGGCATTCCTTACTCAATGTGGCCCTTGAGTAAGTTGTGATTTGCGGGATGAGGTAGAGAGAGAAATCCTGCTATCAGGTGCTGTCTTGCTAATGAGTCTTGAGCACATTATCTGAAGCTTTGGAGTATCCTCTAGAGGTTTCTAATAGGCAGAATGATCTACTTCTGAAGCCTCTTTTCTCTATGCCATTAAGTTCTTTGGCACTGATGATGAATTTCCTGCGGCAAGGAAACCATTTTTTACTTTTATCAGCTATTCTGAAAGTCAATAGACTGACGCAGTTATCAAAATAACTGCCAATATTATAAGGTCCAGGCCCTAACTTCCTGCCACCTAAAGCAATGATACTCAATTAGGGGTAGTTTGCCTGCTCTGGAGACACTTGGCTGTCATAACCAGGGGTGGGGGGTGCTACTGGCATCAGGTAAGCAGAGACCAAGGATGTGGCCCAGAATCTTTCAATACACAAGATAACCCCCTATAACAAAGAATTAGCCAGTCCAAAATATCAGTAGTGCTGAGGTTGAGAAACCATGATCTAGACTTTTCTACTGAACTTTTAATCCACCTTGTACTCTACTGAGAAACCAATATCGCCAAACCATCACTTTTCTCCTTCACTCCTAAACTGCAGTAGCTCCTCAGCCCGGGGAGACTAAGTCTGTCCTTGTCATCCTGGCACTTAGATCCTGGGGATTCTGCCCACATACATATTCAGACTCTGCTTCTTTCAGATTTTTATCTGTCCCGCCCTCAGCACTACCATACTTTAACTGATGTTACCCCGCAAACACACATTTTGGGAAGATCCTCCCCACCTCTCTCCTCAGATCCAAATCTTACTCATTCTTTGAGGCCCACGCATGCTGCATGCCCCTGTAACATTAAGTCTGCCCATACCACTGCCTTTTGCACTTACACGGATTCACCCGTCTTACACTGTTACATTGCTATTCTGTCTACCTCGCTTCCTCAGCTACTCCCTGAAGGAGTCCATATTGTATTTCTGGCCTATTGATCTCAGTTTACACAGCGTAAAGTGTGAAAACTGTATTAGTGTATTGAGATTCTCTTCAATGAGATAATGAGTATAAAAAGCACTCTATATAGTGCCTGGTACACAATTAAGTGCTCAGAAAATTATAGTGTCATAGTATCTATAGAAGCATGCATTCAGGAGCCCATAGAAGGTGCTTAATAAATTGTTTAAATGTGGTTATATATTGGGGAGAGCATGCCACACAGACTAGTCTGGTATTTGGAACTAACAGCAAAGAAAAACTTGCATAGAAATCCTACACCAATTAACACACCTTCATGCTAGACTGAATCCAGGAGCAGGGGTGTCATGTTTTCCCAGAGTGGTGCCCAACCCAACCTTTTTGCATTTAGCAAGTTAATGAACACCTTGTGAATAACACTTTGCCAACTCTGGCCCAGTTTAGAAGGCTGCCAATAGGATATCAGTATGCCACACCGTCTGCTTTCCTGGGGACCCTGCTGTCCTCTCCCTAAGTGCTTCTGCTTTCAGCCGGTGGAGAGTCTGATGTGCCTAGAGAAGTTGCGCAGTGGGACGAGGCTGCAGCGAGAGCCTGGCCTTTCCCCAGGCGGAAGAGAGCCTTGTCTCAGATCCTGAGAGAGAAGTGAGTGGGGGCATGGCATTCCGAGCAGCCCAGGTTTGGCTTTGGGCCAGGCACTGAGTGGCAAACAAGAAGGAACACATTCCGGGAAGGCAAGGAGCCCTGCCAGCACGAAGGCAGCAGCGAAAGCAGGGCTCTGCTGGGTACCAGGTGTTCCTTGGCTCTGTGGAGGTCAGGCACGCAGGCGGATGAACTCAGGTTTCTCTAGAATATCATTTCAGAGGCTTAAATGCCTCCCACCCTCTCGCTGTCAGCGGACAGGGCATGTGGAACTGTTAAACGTTAAAACTCTCTGCTCTGGGGCCCAGCCCGTGCTCTCTAAATAAAGGTAGGAGCGGAAAGAGTGTTGTTGCCATCATGAAATCACACTTCACAGGAGCCAGATTTCGGCGATTCTGTGTCTAAGAGAAAATGCTAATCCAAACAAGGGCAGGTTGGAGAAGAGCCTGGGATTTCTATGCCCTAGAAACTGCACTCTCCACCCTTGCAGCCCAGAAACACAAACACACACACACTTGTTCTCCACGCCTGCCTTCCGAGTGGCCAGAGCTGGGGGAAGTCTGGAGAGCCCTCGGAAACGCCGTCCTTTCAGAATCAGCGCTGGCCCTTCCCCAGGTGATGAGAGAAGAGAGCGAGGAGGACCAAAGCGGAAGCGGATAGAGCCATTCTTTTCGGGGCAAATGGCCACACAAGCCTTCCTGAAGATTCCCTTCTTACTTTGGATAGGTAGGTGACCTGGACTGGAGGGGCCCTGGGCCCGTTTTCCCCAGCAAGGGGACAGGAGTAGCTTTTTCTGAGGGAGGACAACGAAGTCTTTACTCACCCCTCTGCCTCTGCGTCTTTTTGCTGGACTTTGCTGCCGCCTAGTGGCTCAGTTGTCATCACTTCCTTCTCTGAGAGAGAGACAGCCAGCCTTGGATTGAGTTTGAGGATCTAGCCTCTCAGTCTAGTCCTGAGGCAACCTGGAGATCCTTCTCTGAGAAGTTTCTCTGCTCTAGGACTCCCTGGTTCTGTGGCCCAGCAGCTAGGAGAGAGGAGCACCATGGGCTTCTAGGCCTCACTCAGTCTGGCAGTCAGGTAGAGGGGCCATGGCTGGCTGGCTGGGCACCTGGGAGAGGGGGTGGGGGTAGTTTCTTATTCCCAGGACATCTCAGTGGGATGAAGTTGTCCTTGAGTCCCCCTCATTCCTGAATGCCTTTTTCGCTAATAATACTGCCCCTCCCATGACCCTTCCTTTCTGCTAAGGCCCATGTTGCAAAACTGAGGCTCTGGCATAATGTATATTTCCTTTCTGTTTCCCCAAATTTAAGGCAGCTATTTCTCCCTGATAAAGTTAGCTCATTGCCATGATAAATATATGATTATATGCCTTCTCTGTGATGCTGCTGCTATGAATCAGTCCCTGGGAATAGTGAGGAGTGGGCATACTTTAAAGAATTTTATTGGATTGGTTTCTCTAAGTCCCTGAAAAGCCTATAGATTATAAGCTATATTTTTCTGTGTATTATATCCAGGTGTTTATTTCCTCTAGCAAAGGAAAGCACTTGGTTTCAACAACCACTGATCTGCCCTACCAAACTTTCCGATCTGAGCTGTAATACCCAGGGACTATATAAAATCCAAACTCTTCTGCTTACCCCACCAAACTCTTTTCTTTTAACTTTTAAAAAATTGTGGTAAAATGACATAAAATTTACCATCTTAACCATATTTAGCATATAGTTCAGTAGTGTTAAGTACATTACACTATTGTGCAACCAATCTCCAGAATTCTTCATCTTGCAAAACTGCAACTCTATACCCATTAAACAATAGTTCTCCACTTCCCCCTTCCCTCAGCCCCTGGCAGCCACCATTCTACTTTCTGTCTCTATGAATTTGACTACTCCACATACCACCTATAAGCCAAATCATACAGTATTTGTCTTTTTTTTAAGAGATGGGGTCTCGCTGTGTTGCCCAGGCTGGTCTCAAACTCCTGGCCTCAAGTGATCCTCCCTCCTATGTAGCTGGAATTACAGGCATAAGCCAGCCACTGCACCCTGCCCAGTATTTGTGCGGGGTTTTGTTTTTATTTTTTTTTCTTTCTACAAGCCTGGATTCCAGAAATTTTTTTTTTTTGGACTGGATTATTTCACTTAGCTTAATGTCCACAAGGTTCATCAATGTTATAGCATGTGTCAGACTTTTTTTCCTTCTCAAGGCTGAATATTTTTTCATATATATATATATATATATATATTTACATATCCATGAGTAGATGAATATACATATTTCATTGTGTGTGTATATATATATAGAATATATAAACATATATATATAGAATATATACACATATATATATATATGTTTATTCATCCATGGGTGGACACTTGAGTTGCTTCTACTTTTCGGTTATTGTACATAATGCTGCTATGAACATGTGTGTTCAAATATTTCTTCAGTTTGGGCCCTGGAGGTCGAGGCTGCAGTAAGCTGTGATCACACCACTGTACTTCAGTCTGGGTGACTGAGTGACAGAGTGAGACCCTGTCTTTAAAGAAAAAAAAAGAAAAATTTCTTCAAGATTATTCTCTCAGTTCTTTTGGCTATATACTTAGAATTGCTGGATCATATGGTAATTCTGTTTTTAATTTTTTGAGTAGCTGCTGTCCTGTTTTACACAGTAGTTAAACCACTTTACATTCCCACCAACAGTACAGTTCTCCATATCTTCACCAACCCAGCCCAAGTCATTCCCAGAGTTACTAATTCTCCACATCTTCACCAACACTTGTTATATTCTGTTTCTTTTCTGTTCTTTGAGAGTAGCCATTCTAATGAGTGTGAAGTGGTACTTCATTGTGGTTTTGACTGGCATTTCCCTAATGATTAGTGATGTTGAAGATCTTTTCATTGGTTATTGGCCATCTGTGTATCTTCTTTAGAGAAATGTCTATTCAAATCCTTTGCCTTTTTTTTTTTAAGACAGTCTTGCTCTGTTACCCAGGCTGGAGTGCAGTGGCATGATCTCGGCTCACTGCAACCTCCGCCTCCTGGGTTCAAGCAATTCTCCCACCTCAACCTCCTGAGTAGCTGGAACTATAGGTGCATACCACCATGCCTGGCTTTTTTTTTTTTTTTTGAGACGGAATCTTGCTCTGTCGCCCAGGCTGGAGTGCAGTGGCGCGATCTCGGCTCACTGCAACCTCCGCCTCCCGGGTTCAAGCGATTCTCCTGCCTCAGCCTCCTGAGTAGCTAGGATTACAGGCACCCACCACCACACCCGGCTAATTTTTGTATTTTTAGTAGAGACGGGGTTTCACCATGTTGGTCAGGCTGGTCTTGAACTCCTGACCTCGTGATCCACCCACCTCGGCCTCCCAAAGTGCTGGGATTACAGGAGTGAGCCACAACACCTGGCCTAATTTTTGTATTTTTAGTGGAGACAGGGTTTCCCCATGTTGGCCAGGCTGGTCTCGAACTTCTGGGCTCAAAGCGATCCACCTGCCTCAGCCTCCCAAAGTGTTGGGATTATAGGCATGAGCCACTGGGCCCAGCCTTTTGCCCATTTTTCAATCGGGTTTTTTTGTTGTGTTGACCTCTATAACCTCTTTTCATGTCACTCTCCCACTTAGCATCCTAGGATACTAACATGCAGCTAGTCTCTCTGCTCCTCAGAGACAAACATGTCCTTTCCTACCTTTTGCAGTTGCTGATCCCTCTTCCAGGAATGTGTTGTTCCCAGCTCCTCTCATGACTGACTTCTCATCCTTTAAGCACCAGCTTGTCACTTTGGAGAACTTTCTTAACCATGTCATCTAAAGCCACCTCCCTCTTTACCACTGTTTATCACACTTCATCATGTCACTGTTTCTTCTTGAAAATCACTATCTGCAATTATCTTGTTTGTTTACATATTTACTTGGAATCTACCTGTACATGGAATGTAAGTTAAGTTCCATGGACACAGATATGTTTGCCATGTTCATGGCTCCAGTGCCCAGCTTAGTACCTGGCATGTAGTCTTGGCTCAATAATATTTATTGAATGAATGAATCACTACTAGAGGGGGCATCACAGGGAAAAAGAAGGAAGGTGATATGGCCCAAATTGGAATTTTACCTCCTTACATAGGCTCTGGGTCATAGAAAAGGCCACACGAGCTTTCTGGCTCTGAACTCCGTATGTTAATTCCTGGATCAGAGGCATAATCCTGTTTGAGCCAGGGACATTGCTTTGGAGTTGCTCAGAGAAAATGGGTAAGTATTCCCGGTGTCCACCCAACAGAGGCAGAGGGCTGTGGGGGTTTGCTGTGGCCACCCTCACTCTTCCCCATATGCCAAGTCCTTTGAGATTTGCAGAGTACTTGGGATTATAGGAATGACTTGGGCTCCATCAGTCTCCTGGGGGCTGAGTATGTCAGTAAGAGTACCTGTAGTGAGTAGTCAGAGGATAAAAATGAACTTTCTATACCATAATACACTAGAAAAATCAAGTTTTTTATTTTAAAATATTTTCAAAGGCTAAGGCCATAGCAAAACAACCCAAGGGTGGTTGAATCAAACTCAGGGAATTAGAGGAGCATCAGCCAATGCAAGCAGGTCTATATAAAATACACATCATTTATAAATGCACACAGCAGAAAGCACAGTGGCCCCAGAGGACCAGGCAGGGGGACAACAGAGAGAAACAGAGCACTATCTGGAGGGACAGGCACACCCGCAACACTCAAAGCCCTGGGCCCCAAGTGCACCTCCAAAGTCACCTACGCTGCAGCATGGCTCTTGCCCTTTCTGAGCCTGGGTATAGCTGAAGACCAAGTTCACCAGCATCTTGGCACATCCACCTATAACTGGCACCTCTCATGGCCTCTGACAACCAAGCAAGGCTCAGAGAATGGATTTTTATCTCTGTCTTTCAGCAAGGACCAGGGAGAAGTGCTGAAGCAAGAAGGGTTATTTTCCTAAAAAAAAAAGACGGATGAAAGGGTGAAAGGGGCTGGTTCCAAAAAAAAAAAAAAAAAAAGGATGACCATTCATGGAACAGTGAGTTTCACCTGAGACATACAGATTTGGTGCAAGCAACACAAAAGGCCAGGCTCTAAATTTCATCCTAAAAACTGGGATGGGGAGAGCATGAAGAGACCACTTACTGGTAGTCCCTCCAATTCTCATTTGGGTTTGTCATAAACAGGACAGACAGTCGTCTGCTTCACAATAAATAATTTCCACCTGGATTTCATTCCCTGATTAATCTCTCAGTGTCTGAAGAGGGGAAAACAGTGGCTGCTTCTGACACCGCCCACCCCATCACCAGCAACTTTCCCTGATACTTCTGGCCTCCTCACTAAGCCCTTCCAGAACCTCCAAAGCCACTATCTTAGCAGATGGGAGTCCCAGGGCGATGAGGCCAGAGTTGTGGGACACAGAGAAGAAGAGAAGGCCTTGATAGAGGAAGAGGAATATCCAAGGCAAAGCCACCACCACGTCCAACCTCCTCATCCTCTACCTTTCCTGTCCCCAGAGGTATGAGATAGACCCCCTGGCCTGGTTCCTGCACTGTGCTAGGCCCACAGTGGACACTTCCACCTTAATGGAGAATAGGCCCCATGGAGTGGAGGTCCCTCCTCCATGGCCTGCAACCCAATGACTATGGGGGTGACACAAGTGACCTCTGCCCTGTGATGGCTCAACACCATCACACGCAACTGTCCAGACAAGCCCCCCTCAACGGGCTGCTGTTGGCCATGCCTGAGATGCGGGCAGGCAGGCAGGGAGTGGACAGCAAGACCTCAGATCCAAGCCTCCACCCTTCCCTTCCCTATTTCCAGGGCTTGGGACACCTTAGAAATGTTTGAGCACACAAGGGCAAAACCCAGTACCAGGTCTGTGACCACAGTGATCAAAGGCCCTGCTCCACTTGTCTCACCGGAAAGTGACAGCTGAGGACACAGAATTCAGGTACCTCTGTTCTTCACAGCCACTGCCACCATCTCCGCCGTGGGCAGCATCTCCCCATAATGCAGCCAGCCACCTCATGAGGGGCCGGCACAGAGCCCTGGCCCAGAGCATGGAAATTCATCTCTGGCTGGAATCCTGGCCATGAGCCCTCCCCTCTGCATTCACAGATTCTCAGCAGGCCCCTGCCCAAGCCTGACAGGTGCCTGGCTGCCCGCAGAGAAGCCCTGTGGGAACACAGAGTGTTGGGAGGGAGCAGAGCCCACATGGGTGGTTTGTGTTCTGACCTCTGACCCCACCATAGGAGTGAGCTGTGTGGCAGAGCCACATTCCAAATGCGAAAGCATGGCCTCTGTCCTTTGAGGTGGCCTCCAGTGTTCTGCCTGTGTGCCAGAACTGTTTCCAAGGACCCAGTTTGTTTGTTTGTTTGTTTTCTCTAAGTGTTTGCTGAAGCTTTGTGTACAGAATTCCTCAGTTGGTTCCAAAAAATCTGGCTTTTTGCTTGAGTCCAAAAATTGTAGAAGCCAGTTACTTTGTAAACACGTACTTCAGATCTCTCATAGAGGGAAGAGAAGAGCTGCGGGGAGGAGGAGGGATCTGGAATATTTTCCTTCATAGGCAGTCTTAGCACAGCAGCAGCATAAACCACAGGGATCATTGGTGGAGACTTAGCACCCAGAACATTCTTCTTGGAGAAGGAATGGGGACAAAGGCCAAGTGGCTGTTACCTGCACACAGGAAAGATGTCCACATCAGGGAAAGGGCCCAGAATGCAGACGGACGTGGGCAGAAGGGCCAGTGATAACTTTACTTCCCCCAAGAGTGGGCCAGGGTGGGACTGGTGTACCCTGCACGCTGCCCAACCTTGCTTAGGGTCAGAAGCCAGCTCAAAACAGGACCAAGTCCAGCCAGGCAGCCTGGCCTGAGGTTCTTGGCTCCTGTCCTCAACCCTCAATATCAAAGGCATTAGAAAGAGAAAAGGCCTCACCTGTGCCCAGGGACTGGGTCATCCCAACTCAAGGAGCATAACTGCTGCTCTAGCCGAGAAATACGGAACGCCAGGTAGGATGAGGACATGACCAGGAAGCAGATCCTGAAGAAAGCGGCAATACGGAGTTAAATATTTCTTCCACAGAAAGAGCATTTCTGGAAGTTCACCGGAAATAGTGGGGACCAAGCTACCCCTGCAGTTGGAAGAATTAAAGAGCCCTTTGTCCTGCAGCCAGTTCAGGCCTCAGCATCTTTCTTCCCAGACACCATGTAGGGGTCTTCAGACTTGTCCCCATGGAAGTGTCCTTACAGCCCAGCTAGAGCTCTGGGCCCTTCAGCTGAGCTCTGGGGGGAGCTCTGGCCAGACAGCCAGATCAGTCATCCTACCCTCTCTCTCACCAGCCATGGTGGTCCTTCCTGTGCCTCCTCTGGGAGGTCATGATGATGACCCCCTAGGCGGTGGGCCCATTCCCCCAGCAGGTGCTGATGTTGATGGTCAAAACCCGGCCAGCCGAGCCAGAGGAGGCTGATGAGCTAAGGTGAGGGAAAGCAGGGGCTGGCTGTTCATGTCACTTCCCACGATGCTCCCTGCTCTACTGGTCCTTAGACAGAGGTAGAGACAAGTCAGGGGTTCCAGAAGCTGCCCTAGTGGTGGGCAGTGGCGAGGCCAAGCTTTTCCTCTCTCTCTCCAATTTTCCTGGCCCTCCTTCTCCCAAATCCTTTTCCTCTTCTCAACATCTCCATATCCTGCCCCTCTCCACCAAATAGTCTTAACCCTAAATTACAGGGTTTCAAGAATAAAAACTGGAGATCCTTTCTCTTGCTACAGAAGGGCGTGCCACATGGCCTTCAGATACCACCCAAGAGCTTGAATTTGACTCAGAAACTTCCCCCTGGTTCTGAATAGTGAATTCCCCACACTCCAAGGCCCTTGTTCCAAGCACCTAGACATGCAGGTGGGTCTGTCCCCCTCCCCAGTATAGTCACTTACAGCACAAAGAAGACCTTGAGGAGCCGGTAATCCCAGAGCCTCAGCTCCCCAGTGCTCCTGGGCTCCTCCTCCAGCTCATCCTCCTCATAGACAGCATTCTTTGCAGTGGGAGAGCAGTTCGGCATCTTCTTAGGGCAGGCAGGACCCCAGCCTGGCATGGGCCATGCCCACCTCCCACCATTTTCTGAAGCTACTTGGGCTCTTGACTTTTCTTTATGGATTGGGAGAAAAAAAAAATCAGCTCTCAGAAGCCCTGCTGGCTGTGGTGAGCCCTTTTTATGGAACTGGGAAGACAGAAAGTCTGGCCTTTGCAAGTAGTTGCCATGGACAAGCCCTCCCGAACTTACCAGACATTGGAGGCTTCCTGGAGGGGAAGAAACTGTCTGTGGAGTCCACGGATGATGGAGGGATACAAGGGATGTTGTCTGGGAGAGACAGGGACCTGGAGGAAGGGCATACCTTTCTCCACTTCATCTCAGGGATGAGGACTTCCTGCAGTAAGACAGGAGAAGCTATCTTACCATGGCCCTTGCGATCTCACTTGCCCTAAGGAGCCCACACCAGGTTTATCAGAGTTTTCTCCAGATATTACCAAATATAGATGCCTAGCCAGGGATGGAAGCAGGTACAAGCGAGGAGGGCAGTTGCTATAGCAACCATATGCCTCTCCTCTCTGCTCCCTTGCTGTGACTAGCTATTCTGCCAGCAAACGATGTCTTTGAACACTGCTAGTGTAGAACCACAGTGGGATCTTAGATGTGAGCCAACCCAGATACATGCTCAGATCTGAGGCCAAGAAAGCTCGGCACAACATGTCTTAGGTAGGATAAGTTCCTGCTCCTATCCCAAGCCCTAACCTTGGCAGGGAGGACTTAGCGTCCCCATCTACAAAAATGGGAACTTCACCTTCTATCCGGCACATGGTATTATGCATATCACATGCTTGGCTAAACACTAATAGTTACTAAAGGAGCCTTCAAACACCCCAGGGTCATTTCTACGCCATCCCTGCCCTAGAAACTCAGTTCTGCCTACCCAGGGCCCCAGCTGCCAAAGGAAACTTCTGGAACTTTGGCAAATCTAAAATAAGTCTGTCTGGGTTCTTCAGGGATAGTCTTTGGAGTTCTTCCCTAGGGACATCTTTTATTTTTTTTTTTTTTGACAGGGTCTCCCTCTGTTGCCCAGGCTGGAATACAGTGTTGTGATCTTGGCTCACTGCAGCCTTAACCTCCCAGGCTCAAGTGATCCTCCCATCTCAGCCTCCTGCGTAGCTGGGACTACAGGTACGTGCCAACATGCCCTGCTAATTTTTGTATTTTTATTGAGACAGGGTCTCACTATGTTGCCCAGGCCAATCTCGAACTCCCGGGCTCAAGCCATCCTCCTGCTTTGGCCTCCCAAAGTGCTGGGATTACAGGCGTGAGCCACCACACTCGGCTCCCAGGGTCATCTTTATCCCCTTGAAGGCCCTCTTGACTCAGCTGAAGAAAAGAGGATGGGCCACTGGTCCTGCATCTGTACAGGTGTGCAGCCCAACCTGGCCAGTGTTTTGGTGCTTGGACTTCTGTTCTACTCAGAAAGTCAGCCTATCGGCTGGGCACGGTGGCTCACGCCTATAATCCCAGCACTTTGGGAGGCGGAGGCCAGTGGATCACTTGAGGCCATGAATTCGAGATCAGCTTGGCCAACGTGGTGAAACCCCATCTCTACTAAAAATACAAAAATTAGCTGAGTGTGATGGCAAGTGCCTGTAATCCCAGCTACTTGGGAGGGTGAGGCAGGAGAATCACTTGAACCCAGCAGGTGGAAGTTGCAGTGAGATGAGATGGTGCCACTGCACTGCAGCATGGGCAACATAGCAAGACTCTGTCGTCCAAAAAAGAAAGAAAAGAAAGCCTATCTGCTGAGGCCCTGGTGGCTCTGCATTATGGTGTGGCAGGTTTAAGAGATGCCCTGGCATAGCATGGCCACTGACTCTTGAGCCTGGTGCCCCAGTTCTGCATTGTGGGCCCCCCTAGGAGGCCCAGAAGCCTCAGAGCTCCAGGCACTGTCAGTCCAGCAGTCTTTGCTCCCAGCTTCAGCTCTCACCAGAGACTCAGGTTCCCCTGAAAATTCTCTTACACTCAGACTCTTCTTGCTGGAAGGCTGAGGAGGAAAGGGAACAGCAGTCACTTGTCCATCTGGAACAGGCAAGGTCAGGCAGGGGGAAGCATCAGCCCTCTCCAAGAGAGCTTTACCTCCAAATAAGCCACTTTGTGTCAGGTGAAGCCCAGCTCCCAGGGTCTATAGGGGGCCCCCTATTTAATGCTGGAGCAGAGAGGCAAACCCCAGGAAACTTACTCTCCCACCTGCTGCCCCATCCCTCCCCTCTTCCTCACCATAGGCAGAGAGAGTCATAGGGCATGTTGGGAAGCAGCTACGCGCTCCTATCTGTGCATTAAGGAAGCACAAGTGAGGGCCTGGACATAGAGACGGTCCCTGACCTACGATGGTTCCACTTAAGATTTTTCAACTTTATGATGGTGCAAAAGTGATAGGCTTCCTGTAGAAACTGTACTTCAAGTACCTATACAGCCATTCCGGTTTTCGTTTTTTGTTTTTTGTTTTTTTTTGTTTTTTTGAGATGGAGTCTTGCTCTTGTCACCCAGGCTGGAGGGCAATGGTGCAATCTCGGCTCACTACAACCTCCTCCTCCCGGGTTCAAGTGATTCTCCTGCCTCATCCTCCCAAGTAGCTGGGATTACAGGTGCCTGCCACCACACCCGGCTAATTTTTGTATTTTTAGTAAAGACAGGGTTTCACTACGTTGGCCAGGCTGGTCTCGAACTCTTGACCTCAGGTGATCCACCTGCCTCGGCCTCCCAAAGTGCTGGGACCATACAGCCATTGTTTTTCACATTCAGTACAGGATTCAATAAGTTATATAAGATGTTCCACACTTTATTATAAAACAGGCTTTGCCTGAGATGCTTTTGCCCAGCTCTAGGCTAATGAAAGCATTCTGAGATGTTTAAGGGAGGTGAGGCTAAGCTACGATGTTCTGTAGGTGATGTGTACCTCTATTAAACACATTTTTGACTTACGATATTTTCAACTTTTGATGGGTTCATGGGACATAAGCCCATGAACAAGGAGCATCTGTATATGGGGACACACAGGGGCTCACTGGCCTCAAAGACATGCTTGCAAGCATAGACACACAATCCAAGTACTGTCTCTTGTACATTGAGCCTGAGCCTTTAACTCCCCTCTCCCTGCCCCATTCCCTGTGCTGGAGAGATGGGCGACCTCCCCCAACACCCTTGTGCAAGACCTGCATCCAGGCCTGAGCGACTTCCCTGGCCTTCCTGCTCCCAAGCTCCATACCTGTAGGTGGGTGCAGACTCTCCTCAGCAGGTCATATACACTGTCCCGGGAGAGCAGTGACACAAAGATATACTGGGACATGGAAAGAAAACAGACAGGGGTAGGGTGAGATGAGACTCCTTGCTGTGCCAGCCAGCCCCCTTGTGGATTGGGCACAGGCCCACAGGGGTATCAGGCCATGAGAGCCAACAGAAGCTCTGCCTAGGAACTTCTCTTCCAGCTTGTTGTACGGCCTGAAATACCTACTGGAGAGCTGCAGGGTGGGGTGAAATAAAGACCTGGGAATGTGCCCGAGTCAGACTGTGGGCTGTCAGGGCTGGGAGCGGGAGACTGACAAGGGAGCATGGGCCCAGTGCACTGACCTTCTGGCTGGTGTTGGTGGTGATGGCCAGTCCATTGGGAAGGAGCCGTGCCATCTTGTGTTTTTTGATCATTTGCACAGACACCACAGGAATGACCACCTGAGAGGGAGAGGGATGCTTCTCTCAGGACTAACCCCCAAGGACGTGGTCCCTTTGCTCCCTGCCTAGGGACCCAGCTGTGAGCCCAGCATGGCCACCATGGGGAAGCCTGGCCCCATGTGGGGAAGTCTCTGAACCTTCTACCTTTTCATCCAGGCTCCCCTTCCAGTTGTCCCTGCCACCCTGCCCCAGCCTTGGCAGGATGTGTCACTCTTGGCTGTCACATAGGTATGATCCCTGTTATCCAGGAGGCCAAGGATGGTGGCTCTGGTAAATCTCATACTCTAGTAATGGAGCTCCCCAGGCTACTTCTTGGCCACAGCTAGGGCTCCGCCTAAATGTGATATCCCACTCTGATTCTCAAAGCATTTCTGAAATACCCAGAGGCAGAATGATTTGGCTGTGAACTGTTCAGGCCAGCTCAGGCCAGATGTGGGGTCCAGATTGGGCCCCTGTTTTTGAAGGGGCAGGACTACTTTCCTGGACACTGGATGGGATGCCTCGAAGCTGCGCATCCAACCAGCAAGGGGCTTCACCCGGGGCCCAGCACGCAGAGAGATAGGCATGACTTTGAGGCATGCCCGTGGGGCAGGAGGCTGGCTCCCCTCACAGGGTCATGGCAGCCCTCACCACTCATTACTACCTTGATATCCTTGCCAAAGAGGCTGGCATGGAAGCAGAGCCAGTTGGGGGAGATGTAGAGCCGGCCCTGGAGGAGGAAGTCCCTCTGGAGGGCACAGGAACACACTAGGATGTCACAGGAGAGAAAATGGCCATAAGCAAGGTCAGCCCAGGAAGCCCCAGGACCTGGGTCCTCACGTTCTGGAGTCCACAGTCCAGCCTCAGGACCTGTCTTCCTCAGACTCCCCCTTCCCCACCGCAGGCCCCAAACCCCAAACAGTCCATTCCCCAGCGTCGAAGGGTCCTTCTCCTGACTGCTCCTCCACTCCACCAGCCTGCTGGATGTTTCTTCCTTCTCCACCCTTGCTCCAGAGGGTCCAGGCAAGTTCCTGCCCTGATCTCCAAGCCTGCATTCTCACCACCTCAGGCAGAATCCCTGACCTTTCCCTGCTCTGCTCTGCCCCAAGGGCCTTGATTGTGCAAATGCCCCCACCTGCTCAGTGAGAGGCCAGAGCAGGTAAGAAGTCACCAGTAAGAGCAGGACACAAGATTCCAAAGCCCTGACGTTTCCCCAAGAAAACCTTCAAAAATGCAATGCTATGTCCAAACCAGCCCAGTCTTCTCACCAGCCCAGTCTTCTCACATTCTAGGGGAGTGGTCCACATCTAAAGGACAGCCAGTTCCCATTTCTAAGTCGTGCTTTGGAGGCTCCAGAGCAGAGGCCCCTGGCCCCAGGCACTCTGGGTGCCTAACCAGCTATACCGGGAGACAGCTCACCTTTGAGAACCACTTCCTCCAAGGGAACATCCTTAAACAGCTTGTGGTATTGCTGGTTGTATTTATTCAGTGTTATCTGCAAACACACAGGCTGCGTCTGAGAAGCGCTGGGAGATGAGACCGCCAAAGGGGCCCTGCTCCAGCCAACAGGAAATGCCACAGCCCCCCGGCCCATGCTGGGGACTTAGCATGAGGCAGCTAGTAAGCAGCCAGTGAGTATGGAGGGCTGTGTGCCAAGCACAGCTTGTCTCCTGGTGCTGCTAGGTCCTGACAGGCAGCTTGTACTAGCAGAGGGGGACACACTACTCCCACCCAGGAAGGGATACACACTCAGGTCTCCTGATTTCCTGATGACAGGCCCGGTGGCCAAGGAGCCAAAAGTCACTGAATTCTGGCAGCCCAGGACCCCTTCCTGGGTGAATAGTGAGAAGTCAGCCTCCAGACTTACCCCTTCTCGGCCACACTTCTTTATCTCTTCACCCTTCAAGCCTTCTGGCCAGTGCAGACTGCAAAGGAGACATTCCATTTCGGGAACAAGGAACCCCAGTCCTGCCCATGCATCCTCAGTGCCAATTCTGCCCTGGCCTTGAGCCAGAAGCTTGAGGCAGAGATCAGAGACTAGGACCCTTCTCTAGGGGACACAGCAAAATGACAAGTACAGCGAGCACACAGCTAAACTATACAGCTCATCCCTGGGGGAGGGCACTGCGGGAGGTAGAGAGGGGTCGCCAAGGGCCCACCTTCCCCAGTGCGGGTGAGCAGCATCTCCTGGAGGTGCGCCTGGTCTCCCAGAGATGCTGAGGAGCTTCCCACCTGGGTGTCAAAGACCCTGTCCCATTTCTCTGGCCAAGGGGTAAGCAGGGGAGCAGGCAGTGCTGGAATAGGGACAGTTTGGGGTGTGGGTGAGGTGAAGGTGTCAGACTCACAGCGCCGGGGCCTGGCCACAGGCCATGATGCCAGCAGGACTGCCCTCCCTGCCGCCTCCTTCCTGTGGCCTGAGCTCTGCTGCGGGGAGCTTGGCACAGACTCACCTGACCTGGCTGAGGCTACCACACTGGGAGAGGGGGATGGCACTGAGAAAAAAAGGTAAACCTTTGCCTTGGCCAGGTTGGCCCAGAGCACAGGTGAGCAGGGAGGAGGCTGGAAACCCGAGAAGCATGGACTCTGCTAGGTCCCAGTGCACTGGGACAGTCTTGAGGGGCGGGAGGAAGAAGCCTGGGGCAGCCTGTGCCTGACCTCACAGACCTGCAAAGGGGCCCCGGCTCTGCCTTGAGGTCCTCTTACAAACAGGTCACTTCCTGAGGGCTTCCCACCCTCTAGTCTGTGTGTATCTATGACTGGGAAAGGGGTCCTCACCTGTAGTCCGGGGGCTCCTCAACTCTGTCTGGTTTCTCTTTGCAGGACACAGGACTGTTCAGAGAAGCTGTCTTTCTGTGCATTTGTTGGTTGCTAGGGAAAAACAGGCCCATATCAGGAAGGGGGCTTCATGAGGACACCTTTCCCTAACAGCCCCACCATGCCCATGGCCGCTGCCTCTGGCCCCCACCCAAGACTGGCCCTGATATTGAGGGTGACACTGAAAATGTCACAGTTCAGAGGCAGCAGCGCAGGCAGAGGTTCTGGGATGGCTGACGGAGTAGGCGGGTCTCACACAGCGTCTTTCCCGAAAGCCAGAAGTTCTGCTTATGCCTAGGCTGGGAGGAAAATCAACCTGTCTACCTCATCTCCAGTGCCAGGCAGCTCGTAGGCCAGGCTGAGTGAGGCCTCTAGCCCCACCCTTGAGGAGGCACACTGAGAGGGAGGACCCTGAGACTCGCTTATGCCGAGAACAAAAGTGTCCAAAGTACCCGCGCAGCATGACTGTAAACCATCAGGTTCCGGGAAAGTAGGCTGAGCACAGGAGGCCTTATCAAAGCTCAGGAGCTGATGCGCTGAAGGTGTGGGAGGTGGACGCCCATCAGCCTACAGGTGAGTGTGGCCAGGAGGGGAGGAGCCGTCTTATACCAGGAAGTGGCCTCAGCCACCTTGGACAGTCAGGACAGCTTGATGATGAGAGCCAAACCATCTCAAAAATGTCCCTGAGGGAGAGCGTAGGAGGGAACAGATCCTCTCTCCCTGGGCAGGTCGGGCTCTCCAATGGCCTTTGAGTTCCTGCCTCCACTAATCGCTCCAAAGAATCATTACCCTGTTCCTGCTCCTCCAGGCTACACATCAATAAAGCCTGAGCCGTCAAGCCAGCCCCAACCAAGTGGGCCCAGGGGCTGACCAAGAAAGAGAGGGTGGCCAAGAAGCAGGGCCGTGCTGGGGCAGTGTGGTGGTCAGGAACAGGTAACAAGGTCACGTGCAGTGGTCCTGCTGCAGATTAGGAGCTGGAGCCTGGAACCTACAAATCTCAATGCTCAGTCACCCTCCGCTCTGTGACTGAGGCCAGCCAAAGTTCTCTTCTTCAAGAACAGAGTTTTCGCCTCAGCCCAAGATCTGCCAGGACCCTCAGAGATTGATTCAGCCTCACCCGCTCCCACCATACCATTGTACAGATTATGAAACTGAGACCTGCCAAGGGACAGGCTGTGTCCGGTCCTACAGTGAACAGCCAGTGACCTCACCCACAAAATCAGCCCAGCCATGGCCATGTGGCCTGGTTACCTCTGTCCTCAACCTTAGAGAGGATTTTGCCACACATATCAACATATACCTACAACAGTCTTGTGAAGTGACAGATTTTGCTAGAGATTTGACTCTCAAAGTTGATTTCTGGATTTATTTGGTTCCATCATGTCACATTTCACAGAGGTTTTTTTTTTTCCCTTGATTTTTAAAGATTATAGAAAATATGAAAAATATATATAAGATCAAAATCACCTAAAGATTCCCCAAAAATCACCCAAATAAAAAATGTATGATAAACATATAACCTATGTAAATGGTTATATAATCTATAATTTGTATACCCTACTTCTGTGGCTTAACCTGATTTCATGAGAAATTTCCCATGTCACTCACTGTCCATTCCTAAGATAGATTCTCAGAAGTGAAATTAGTGGATTGAGAATGAACAGATGCTGTTCCAGTTAACCCAGCCATCAGCACGACATGAAGGTGCCTGTTTCCCCATATTCATGCCCTTCTCTGGATATTGTCTCTCGCTCACCTTTGCAAATCTGATAGGTGAAAATACGTTGTCTTCATTTGTATTTCTGCTTACTGGTAGGTTGAACAGTTTTTTCCAAATAATTATTAACCACTGGAAGTTCATTGTCTTATAGAGAATTCACAGGTGAAATTCTTTCTTCATTTGTATTGAAGTTCTTTCTTCATTTGTATAAATTTTTTCTGGCTTTTTTATTTTTTTTTTTTGAGATGGAGTCTCTCTCTGTCGCCCAGGCTGGAGTCCAGTGGCGTGATCTTGGCTCACTGAAACCTCCACCTCCTGGGTTCCAGCAATTCTCCTGCCTCAGCCTCCCAAGTAGCTGGGACTACAGGCGTGTGTCACTGTGCCTAATTTTTGTATTTTTTAGTAGAGACGGGGGTTTCACCATATTGGCCAAGCTAGTCTCGAACTCCTGACCTTATAATCCCCCTGCCTTGGCCTCCCAGAGTGCTGGGATTACAGGCATGAGCCACCACGCCCGGCCTTTTTTTTTTTGAGACAGGGTTTCACTCTGTCGCCCAGGCTACAGTACAGTGGCGCAATCTTGGTTCACTGCAGCCTCAGCCTCCCGAGCTCATGTGATCCTCCCACCTCAGCTTCCCAAGTAGCTGGGACTACAGGAATGCTCCACCATGCCGGGCTAAGGTTTTCATTTTTTTTGTAGACAGCGGGGGTCTCACTGTGTTGTCCAGGCTGGTCCTAAACTCCTGAGCTCAATCGTCCCACCTCAGCTTCCCAAAGTGCTGGGATTACAGGTGTGAGCCACCATGCCTAGCCTTTTTTTTTTTTTTTGGAGACAGAGTCTTGCTCTGTCACCCAAGCTGGAGTGCAGTGGTGTGATCTCAGCTCACTGCAACCTCCGCCTCCCAGGTTCAAGTGATTCTCATGCCTCAGCCTCCCGAGTAGCTGGGATTACAGGTACCTGCCATCACATCTGGCTAATTTATTTATATATATATAAATTTTTTAGCAGAGATGGGGTTTCATCATGTTGACCAGTCTGGTCTTGAACTCCTGATCTCAGGTGATTCACCTGCCTTGGCCTCTCCAAAGTGCTGGGATTACAGGTGTGAGCCACCATACCTGGCCTGTAAATTCTTTATTGAGAACGTTAATCCTTAGTTTATCATTTTTGTGATGTTTTCCCCAGTTTGTCGTTTCTCTTTTGTCTGTGGTATTTCTGCTGTGCCTGTGTGTAATTACTGCATGGGAGATTCCATCTATTTCTTCCATGTATGTTTCTCGCTTGGTCTCAGTCCTCTCACAGGACAGGCCTGGGGGGAGTAGATATGCAAGTCAGACCACTGAGCCATTACAGCGTGGGCCTGGCAGTGAATCCATGGGGCCGCCAGGGAAAAATTCTGTGGGCTCAGCTCTGAAGAACCTGCATCCCAGACTGAAGGATGGATGAGGGATAGAACGGGATGACAATGGGAAGGAGCTTGGACAGTGCTTTCAGAGGCAGGGAGCCTGTTGCTTGAGAATGTGAGTCAAATTCTCAGGACTGCAGGAGCTCAGAGGATGCACAGATCCCTGGGAACTGAAATACAGTGGGGTTCCTAGAGAAAAGGAAGCTGAGCCTTAGAAACTGGGTATAATTATAATCTTGCATGGATTATCTAATCTTGCATAGATAACCATGTCTTTGCATGGATTCTAAACCAAACACATCCTTAGGTTCAAATGTGACTGTCTCAGGGAGAGAAGCCTTCCCTCAGCCCTCCCCCAGCCTAGGTGAGTAGTCCCTGCTTCAGATACTCACTCACAGCACCCTGATCGGAAGTCTCTGCTCAGCATCTGTCACACTGTGTCTGTGTGCCATGACTGTGCATCTCCAGGGGCTCACAGACTCTGCCTGGTCCTTCATTGAATCCCCTGAGTCCAGTGCTGAGCATGCAGCAGGCGCTCACGACAACTCCAGGGAGGAGCTTTCCTGCCTTCAGACCAGGCTCAGCCACCAAACCCGGCCAACTTTCAAGTCTCTTTAAATTAAAAGCCAACTCCTGGCCAGGTGTAGTGGCTTATGCCTGTAAGCCCAGCACTTTGGGAGGCTGAGGCAGGTGGATCACCTGAGGTCAGGAGTTCAAGACCAGCCTGGCCAACATGGTGAAACCCGATCTCTACTAAAAATATATAAATTAGCTGGGCATGGTGGCGGGCATCTGTAATCCCAGCTACTCAAGGGGCTGAGGCAGCAAAGTCGCTTGAACCCGGGAGGTGGAGGTTTCAGTGAGCCGAGATCACACCATTGCACTCCAGTCCAGCCTGGGCGACGAGAGTGAAATTCTGTCTAAAAAAAAAAAAAAAAAAAAAAAAGCCAACTCCTTTACACATGATCAAGAGGATGGTTGCAAGCCATTCCTTTCTGTTTGCCCACTGAAGCCAGTTCCTCCTGTCTCTCTGCTGATAATGCTCTTGGCTCAGAGACCCTGCCTATGGCCAAAATGAGTAAACCTGCCGCGCTCTCAAAACGATCTTCAGTTCACTTTCCACTCAATAGTGGTGTCTTCTCCCCTGTAGTGTTTATTTTGACGAATGAAAATAAAGAAATGGGAGTAGTGCCACCTGAAGAAGTACAGGGCAGACTGGTCACTGAGCACTCACCAGCAGAACCACTCAGGCAGGGGACACCCAGTGACCAGCTGGGCCCTGACCCAGAGGGCCAAGAAGGAGGCTTCAAGAGCACAGGGCTCAGCCTGGTCCCCCACCCTGCAGGCAGCCGCTGTAGACTCTACTCACAGACTTTTTGTCGCGCTAGGTGTTCATGCCCTGTGGGTTGTGAACCACATCTCCTCCCGCTCTGTCCCATCCAGTCCCGTCCCATCCCCATGCCCCAGCTGTGGAATTCATGTCAGGAGTCCTGGAAGCCATAAAAAACTACCTAATTTCTGTCAGGAGAGGTATGGAGCAGGGGAGTGGCAGTGTTTTGACATTAAAGGAGGTACAAAAGATTGGAAATCCTCCGATGAGGCCCTTCCCCTGGCTGAGCATGGTCTGAAGGCAGGAAGGCCCCTCCCTAGAGGGCACAGGAGGTGTCTGCCTGCTCTCCAGCCCCATGCAGCAAAAAATACTCCCTGAGCTTTTCACATCATGAGGCAGGTAGGGAGCTCCCCAGCCTGAGAAGCTGCCAGAGGGCAGGGATGGCACCAGCACAGGGAGATGTCAAGAATGGGGAGACAGGGCAGGAGAGGAGGGGGCAATGAGTGGGAGCCCAGATACACAGGAGTCTAGGGGCCTCGTGGTGCACCTGACACAGGCATTCTGCTCTGCACACCTCCCCCAGGCTCCAAATACCCACACCAGGCAGTCACTCCCAAGTCTACCTCTGTAACCTTGACACCCACACCCTCCCGAGCTTCACCCCCTGCCATCTAGACGTGTCCATGCATGTAATCTCAGTAGCGGCCCCCCAAACCCACTTCCTCCTTGGCATCCAATGTCTGTGAAAGGCTCTGTCTCCCCACAGTTACCCAGGCCAGAATACTCCACTCATTCTTCTCCTCACCTCCACAGCCAATCAAGCCCTCAGGTCCCCCCCAAGATAACCCATAAAACCATCTCTTTTCTCATTCCCACTACACCACGCAAGCCCAGGCCACAATCCTTTTCCCAGATGCTGGCAACAGCTCCCTGACCAAAACTGCCTCCGGCTGTGCGGGTACACACTGCCTCTCTCCCACATGCACACTGCCCAGAGGGCCAGCTGGGGCCCGGGTCTGATCCTGCCACTCTCCTGCTGATGCTCCTTCTTCACTTCCCGTCACTTCTTCAGCTGGCCTCCCAGACCTTCCTGCTTTCCAGCCTCATCGCCCGTCATTCCCTCCCCTGCAGTACAGCCCAGCACCTTCACTTCTATGCCACAGCAGCCCTTCACACCTGCGTGCTTTGCCTGCATACCTGCTTACCCTTCTCATGCTTATCTACCTGGGGAGTTCCGGTCATCTTTCAAGCCCCAGGTGAAACGTCACCACCTCTGTGAAGCCTTCCTCAGTTTCCCCCAGCAGAGGGGCTCATCCCTCTTCTGTGGTCCACTGTCGCTTCTTGCAGGCTGCTGCCCCAGCACTTACCACACCAGAGTGTGCTTGTCTGTTTACACATCTGTGTCCCCCAGTTGACTCTGAGCTCCAGCAAGGGCGTGTCCCGTACATCTCTGTATCCCCAGCATACAGCCAGCACCCAGTGTTTGCTGAATGAATGAAGGAGAGACAGGGAAAAAGAGATAACACCCCAAAAGGGAGAAGCAGAGGAAAAAGCAAGGCAGTAAGAGTGAGGGGGCGCAGAGAATGACACACCCAGCAGGAAAGGAGGGGACAGGCTGGACAGGAGCTGATGGGGTCCCCCACAGCAGGGCCCTTTCCTCCAGGAGCTCTGGTTCGGTACCTCAAGGCACTCAGCCCAGGGTGGCTGACTGATCAAAGAGGAACTCAGGTGGGAGGTAGGAGGCCCAAGCAAAGAATAAAGGGTCTGGGCAGGATGGGGTATTTGGGTGAAAGCACAGGCTGGGCCCCTCCTGTCTCCAGTGGGCTGCACACACCTGGGCGGGCCATGCCCTGGCAACACTCCCCCAGCCTTCCCAGCCCTTCCTAACCACAGGGCAAACCTCCCTCCAGTACTCATCCAAGCCTCTGGCAGTGGCCAAGCCTGTGGCTGATGCTGAAGCACAAATCTCAGCCGGGCCTGCGTGGTCACAGGCAGGGCCTTCCCCACAGCTGGGGTGGGGTGGTCCCCTTGGGCATCTCCTCCTCCAAGGAGGTGACCGCACTCTCCCAAGCTGACTTCTTGTGGACCCTGTGGGTCCTGCCAACTCTTCTCAAGGCCAGGCCAAAGACAGCTCCACCCTTTTGTGCAGCCAGCCAGGACGCTCAGCCCCAGCGAGCTCCAAGCAGAGACCTGAAAACACCACTGTTCTCTTCCAAACAAAAACACATCATGGCAACAGGCCCCGACAGTACAAACCCAGAAACCAGGGAAATAGCCATCCAAGGACAGGAAGCTTCGTGGACATCTGTCCTGGATAAAACTTCGCAAACTGGGGCTCAATAGGCTGGACCTGGGACTCTTCCCCCCAGTGGCTGCTCCAGATCCCCCGACAAGGTCTCTTCACTCCACCTGCACTTCTCACTCAGCTCACCTCCTACTTCAGGGGGAAAGGACACTCTCCTTTTAACTCTAAAGTGTAGCCGCTGGGTGCACATTAGAATCACCTGCAGTGCTTTTTTTTTTTTTTTTTTTTTTTTTAAGAGATGGAGTCTTGCTCTGTTGCCCAGGCTGGAACACAGTGGTGCAATCATAGCTCACCACAGCCTCAACTTCCTGGGGCTCAAGTGATCCTCCTGCCTAAGCCTCCCAAAGTAGGTGAAACTACAGGTGTATGCCACCATGCCCAGCTATTTTTTAAAAAATTTTTTTATAGAGATAAGGTCTTGCTCTGTTGCCCAGGCTGGTCCTGGCCTCAAGCAATTCTCCCACCTCGGCTTTCTAAAGTGCTCGGATTACAGGCATGAGCCACTGTGCTCAGCCTGCAGTCCTTTAAAAAAAAAAAAAAATGATGCCTGAGCTCTGTCTCAAACCAGTTAAATCAGAATATCTGGGAATAGCATTTAAATAACTATAGATTTCTTAAATTGTTGTTGAAGTATTATTTACATATAGAAAAGCACATGTTAAGTAAATGTACAATTCAATGCATTTCACAAACGAGTACACACCTGGGAACCAGGCCCCCAGAACTACCCGCTGCTTCCTCTGGTTTCACTGGCCACACCCTCCTGGCCATGGATAGCCATCATCCTGACTTCCAGCACCACAGAGTGCTTTTGCTGCTTTTGGGACTTTAAATGAACAGAATCATACCATACATACTCGTGTATGTGTCTGCTTTTACTCAGCAATGCATTTGAAATATGGATAGACCACAATTTATTTATTCGTTTTACTACTGATGGACATTTAGGCAGTTTCCAGTTTTTGCCTCTTATGAAAGTGCTATGAAAATTGTAGTACCAGTCTTGTGCATGCAAGTATTCACTTCCGTGGGTAAACACTTAGGATTAGAAGCTCTAGGTCATAAGGCAGGTGTATGTTCAGCTTCTTTTTTTCTTTTTGAGACAGAGTCTCACTCTTTCACCGAGGTTGGAGGGCAGTGGCATAATCTCAGCTCACTGCAGCCTCGACCTCCCAGGTTCAAGAGATTCTCATGTATCAGCCCCCTGAGTAGCTGGGATTACAGGCGTGTGCCAACACGCCCAGCTAATTGTTGTATTTTTAGCAGAGACGGGGTTTCACCATGTTGGCCAGGCTGGTCTTGAACCCCTCACTTCAAGTGATCCACCCGCCTCGGCCTCCCAAAGTGCTGGGATTATAGGCGTGAGCCACCGCACCTGGCCGGCTTTAGCTTTTAAAGGCTCCCAGGTGATTGTAAACCCCCAGCCAACTAAGAAACCATGGGAAGAATCCTGCCCCCACCCCTCCTTTCTTTGTGGCTTCTCTCCAAGGCCAATCCACCTGCCTGGGCTCTGAAACTGGGGTCCTGACCCTCCTGAGCCTTCTTCACCCTGGCCCTCTTGAGTTTCAGGAACTTCCTTGACAAGGCAGGGAACCCCACTGTCAATAAGCTTTCCTTCATCTGTTTAAGGCCTGGGGGCCCATTTCCTAGGTTGTACCACAGAAGTCACAAGACCAGCTTTTCCAGGTGGCAGAGGCCGGCTCTGAACCACACTGTGTCCTTCCCGAGAGACTCCCTATGTGCTCTCAGGGCCACAGTCCTCACACACAGTCAGAAACTGGGTGACAAGACCTTTCCTGATGGCAAACTAGGATTCTGTGGAGAGAGGCAGGCTTATTATCATCAATGTGCTGAAACTTGAAGATAAAAGGTAATTTCCTTCTTTTGCAAAAATAATGTCATTATTGCTGTCTTGCACTTTCTTTTTTTTTTTTTTTTTTTTTTTTTGAGATGGAGTCTTGCTCTATCGCCCAGGCTGGAGTGCAGTGGCGCAATCTCGGCTCACTGCCAGCTCTGCCTCTGGGTTCGTGCCGTTCTCCTGCCTCAGCCTCCGGAGTAGCTGGGACTACAGGCGCCCGCCACCACGCCCGGCTAATTTTTTGTATTTTTAGTAGAGAAGGGGTTTCACCGTGTTAGCCAGGATGGTCTTGATCTCCTGACCTTGTGATCCGCCCGCCTCGGCCTCCCAAAGTGCTGGGATTACAGTTGTGAGCCACCCGGCCCGGCTGTCTTGCACTTTCATAGAAGCTGTACCTCCCTTTTTATTTTCTCAGATGACATTCCATATCTAGGACAACTGCTTTGTCCTTTCCACTGACTGGAGGAGGGGAGAAAAATCCAATAATCGAGTCTCATACTGAGTGTAAGGGGGTGAGGCTTAGTGAGTTGGGGTCCCACTCAGCTCCCCTGGCAGCGGGCTCCAGAGGGGCGGGAACTCAACCTCATCACAATCCCTTCTTCCAGGAAGGGTTCTGAGAACACCCAGGCCGGGAACGGGCTTGCTCTCCCATCACTGCCTGTAGCAGCTTTGAGATGAAGGGGGGATGTGGAGGGCCAGAGGCCTATCTTCCCAAGACCTACCAAGTGACCCTGGCCACAGCCAGCGGAACCATGGTGTGCTCCAGGCCCAGGAAAAGCCATCACAAGCTGACCAGCAGCCTCTTTAGAGTGAAAAGATGAGCCGGCCTGTCAGATTCCCTTCCTAAGGAATCCTAACTGGGAAATCCGAGATGTGGAGGTATGCAGCCAGGAGGGAACAGGCGAGAGAGAGCCAGGTAGGTGCGAGCTGCAGCTACACTAGAGCTGAACCTCTGGGTGCCCCCGGAGACTGGCTCTAGAGCGAGGGAAGAGGGGGCAGGAGGCAGAGAGAAGCAGGGGGCCATGGGCCAGGCCTCCAGTCTAGGAGAGCACGAACTGGCTCCCCTAAGATGCCCATTAACTCCTGCATTTGTGTCTCCACAAAATGGCAAACAGAGAAAAAAATTATCCCCTCTGTGACCTGCAGATCGTCAGGGCTACTGTGAGGATCTGCAAGAGGTCTTGACTCAGTCTGGGGTGGGGCTGGGGACACCCATAACCCTGCCCATTGAGCAGGACGTCCCCGACTAGCACTGGTGAGCGCTGTGTTAGCCTCTGTCCCATCACATCCTTGAAGGATACCTAGAGGGGCATCTACCCACGGCAAGTGAAGACAGGGGTACCACTGGGCCTCAAAGGCACCCAGAAAGCTCCATACATGTCCTCCATGCCTGAATCTTTCCACTGGGACTACAGTCCAAGGAACCAGCCGCGGCAAGGCCCTCTCTACACCTGGGCCACACCCAGTGACTGCCTCCCACCACCATGGGCTCGGAGGCACGACCCAACTTCAGCTCAGGCCCAGCCTCCCTTTCTTCTCCTCCCTCCACCAGAGGTTAGAGGCCAGCAATTGCTGCCCCCTCCTGCCCAGAGCTCAAAGGCCTGTGCAGTGAGAACAGTCGCCACGGAGACAGACAGGGACAAACAGCTAAAACCGGGAAGCTTTCCTCCTGGGGATATCCAGGATTTCCTACAAAGCATAGGCCAAATCACAGAGCCGGCTCTGCAGAGAGTGCCCTGCCGGCTGCTGGCTTCGTCCCATCATGCCCGCTGCTGGAGCGGCATCTATTTGAGCTGGCACCCCCGGGTCTGCTCATAGACCACTTTTTCTTGGCAGGCCACTTGGGGCTTGGCCATTTCCAGACAAAAAGCTGGTCATTCAGGTCTAAAAACAGACTTGCATTCATTAAGGAACAGAGCGCCCCTGTGCTCTTGGGGGCCGCCCTCCGGCCAGGCCTGCTAAGTGAGGGGGCCTGCAGACAGGCTGAGCCGCTCAGACGCCCCCACTCAGGGCTGCCAGGGGCTGTGGCTACTCTGGAGACAAGTCAGTTCTGTCCATCCATGGATACTGTCCAGACAGCCCACCCCAACCACCCTGGGATACCCACCTCAGAATTACTCTGGCTTTGTGGATCCATCAGGCTCTTCTCAGGACCACAGGCAAGTGTGAAGGGTCTTGGGGTCCTGAAAGAGCCTGGAGTTGGGGACAGGAAGACAGGAATGCAGGCCTGGAACTGCTTCTCACTGCTGAGGGGCTTTGAGTAAGCCACTCTTCCTTTCTGGGCCTCAGTGACTCCTCTGCAAAGGGGCGAGAAAGTCACAGCCCAGGAGGGACAACAAATGTTGTCTGAGGGAAAAAAGCAGAGGCCACGAACTGTATAAACTGCAGATGGCCACTGGCCCTCTGAGGTCAGATGAACCCTCATCCCAGGAGGGACCTCTATTAGGGCATCCTGACTCAACCATGGAGGGCAAGGAAGACTTTTCTGAAGACGTACAACATTGGAGCTCATCTCCAAGGGATGCTAGCCAAATGGAGAAGGGGGATTCTGGGCGGACAGGGTCACTGTAGAGGGGTTGCCATATACAAAGGCCCCAAGGCCAGAAGTGTGCAGCATGTGTGAGAAAGCTAAATAGAGCCTTTGAGTCTGGAGGGCAGAGGTGAGCAGCGAAGTGGTAAACAACAAGGCTGGAGGGGTTGGCAGGGCCAGATCATGCAGGGCCCATGGGCCTCTATAATGGTTTTGGTCATTATCTTAAAAGCAATGGGGAACCAATGTAGAGATTTAAACAGGAAAGTATACTATCAACTTTGTGTGTTAATAATTTGTTTCCAAGTAATCCCATGGAAGTGGGGCAGGGGAGTGGAGGGTGAATATTGGTGAAACAGGAATGACTCGTGTTGTTGGTTATTGTAGCTGGGTGATACATACGTGGGGATCCACTGGACAACTCTCTCATCCTTTGTTATGTTCACAATTTTCCATGGAGAGAGATCAGGTGAAAGGCTGTAGCTCAGCAGAGAGATGATGTCTTGGACTGGGTGGCAGTGGTGATGGAGGGCCAGGGATGGATTTGGAATATGTATTTCCAAATATAATCAATCTGACATGGTGATGAATTGGATGAGAGGTAAAAACAAGAAGGTGTCAAGTATGACTCCAGATTTCTGGCTTAAGCGAGTAGGATAGTGGGCTCTTTTGCTGAGACTAAATGAGGTAAAAATGGACTAGAAGAAAAGCCTAGTTGGAAGCAACAGTCACGAGTTCAGCCTTGAACATGTGTGAGAGACATTTAAGTGGAGATGTCAAACTATATATGACTAAGAAGCTCAGAAGAAAGGTTTAGGCAGGAGGGATAAATTTCTGAGTTACTGGCCCATAAGTGAGAAGAGGAGCTAGTAAGACTGTGCCAGGGAAAGTGGGTACACAAGGAACAGAAGCTATCAACAAGAATGCCAAGACTTAGGGGGAAATAAAAGTCTTTTCAACAAATCATGCTGGGACAAACTGAATATCCACATGGAAAAGAATAACATGACCTTTAGCTCACACTGTATACAAAAATTAGCCAAAATTCGGCCAGGCGCAGTGGCTCATGCCTGTAATCCCAACACTTTGGGAGGCCGAGGAGGGTGGATCACTTGAGGTCAGGAGTTTGAGACTAGCCTGGCCAACATGGTGAAACCCTGTCTCTACTAAAAATACAAAAATCAGCTGGGCGTGGTGGCGCATGTCTATAATCCCAGCTACTCAGGAGGCTGAGGCAAGAGAATTGTTTGAGCCCGGGAGGTGGAGGTTGCAGTGAGCCAAGATCTTGCCACTGTACTCCAGCCTGGGCGACAGAGTGAGACTGTCTCAAAAAAAAAAAAAAAAAAAAAAACCCAAAATTTGCTAAAACTATGAAACTCTTAAAGAAAACATAAGTGTAAATCTTTATGACCTATCAGGCAATGATCTCTTAGATATGACACCGAAAGCATAAGAAACAGAAGAAAAAAACAGATAAATTGGATCTCATCAAAATTAGAAATGTTTATGCTGTTAATATCATCAAGAAAGTGAAAAGACAATCCACAGAATGGGAGAGAATATTTGCAAATCATCTGTCTGATAAGGATTTAGTATCCCAAATATATAGAGAACCCTTATAATCTTGAGGACATTATGTTAAGTGAAATAAGACAGTCACAAAAACACAAACACATATGAATCCACTTAAATTGGGTATCTAGAGTAGTTGAATTCATAGAAACAAAGTAGAATGGTGGTTGCCAGGGCCTGGGGGCAGAGGGGATAATGAGTTGTTGTTCTTTGGGTATAGAGTTTCAGTTTTGCAAGAAGAAAAGTTCTGAAGATTGCACAACAACGTGAATATACTTAACACTACTGAACTGTGCACTCTGTTGCCCAGGTTAGAGTACAGTGGCGCAATCATGGCTCGCTGCAGCCTCAACCTCCCTGGGCTTAGGTGATCCTCCCACCTCAGCCTCCTGAGTAGCTGGCACTACAAGCACATGCCACCATGCCCAGCTAATTTTGGTATTTTATGTAGAGACAGGGTCTCTCTATGTTATCCAGGCTGGTCTCAAACTTCTGGCCTCAAGGGATCCTTCTGCCTCAGCCTCCCAAAGTGTTGGGATTACAGGTGTGAGCCACTGTGCCCAGATGGTAGGGTTTTGTTGTTTTTTTTTTTCTTAACTACAATTTAAAACTGTTCTAAAAGAACTCTTGGCCGGGCGCGGTGGCTCACGCCTGTAATCCCAGCACTTTGGGAGCCGAGGTGGGCAGATCACATGGTCAGGAGATGGAGACCAGCCTGGCCAATAGGGTGAAATCCCATCTCTACTAAAAATACAAAAATTAGCCAGACATGGCGATATGTGCCTGTCGTCCCAGCTACTCAGGAAGCTGAGGCAGGAGAATGGCGTGAACACGGGAGGTGGAGCTTGCAGTGAGCTGAGATCGCGCCACTGCACTCCAGCCTGGGCGACAGAGCGAGACCATGTCTCCATTAAAAACAACAACAACAACAACAACAACAAACCCGGGCATGGTGGCTCACGCCTGTAATCCCAGCAGTTTGGGAGGCCGAGGCAGGTGAATCACCTGAGATCGGCAGTTTGAGACCAGCCTGGCCAACATGGTGAAATCCTGTCTCTACTAAAAAAAATAAATAAATACAAAACAACAAAAAGTAGAAAACCAGGTGTAAGGCTGTCATGGAAGCCAAAGGAGGGTTTCAAAAGATGGAGGAGAACGCAATGCTGAAGTCTGCTGAAAGGCCAAGTAAGAGCAGGACGCAAAGGCAGTCCCTGAATTTAACACTGCAGATGAGTTACTTTGGTCAGGACAACTTTGGTGCAGTAGTGGGGTCTGCTCCTCCTCCTTTTCTCCTGGGCCGGTGACTGCATCCCAGGGATGGATGGTGAGGACAGGTCTCTGTCCACCAGCAAGGATGCTGCTGAGCACAGCTGGAAACTCAGTCCCAGTCCAGCTCAGCGCCACATCCCCTCTGAACCTGCCCTCCGCCCTCCCTCGCGGGAAAAGACCACGGAGATACTGGGAACGGATAGATAGGATTGCATCTTTCTCTCCTGGTTCCCCGAGGGGGTTGTTTGCAGTCGGGGAGGGAGAGGGACTGCCCTCGCCCCACGGCCTCACTGCCCTGTTCCCCAGTTCCCCAAGCCACCTTCACCTGCAGCACCTCCACCCCTCGGCTAGCACAGGCAAGAGCCACAAGCCTATTTTCTGCGCCTGCCTTGGAAAGGGCTGGGAAGCTGGTGAGGCAGCCGCACCCAGCATTCCACAGCCACACTCAGTGGCTCCAAAGCGGCGCCCGCGGCGGCACTGATCCCGCCCGGCTGGCCCCAGCTGACCCTTTGCAGGAGGCTGGTGGTCACAGCCAGAGCTTGCGCAGGCCGGGGAGCTGCCAGGAGTGCCGCAGCCGTGCCCCCACCTGCTGGGCTCCCGGGAAAAGGAGCGCGCGCCCCTCTGAGCCCCTTCCTGGTGCAGTGCGTGTACCAAGCGTGGTAACTGGCCTGGCTGAGGACGCCCGCGTGGGGACGGGCTGCGCGCCCTGCCCAGGCTCCTGCCAACTCGGCTCCCCCAGGCTGGGCTCGGCCGAGGGCTCAGATTCCTGACCAATGACCTCGTCTTGAGGAGCTTGCTAGGTCCTGGGACCTCCTCCTCCAGGGAGAACCCCAGATTGTCTAACTGCGGGAACGCTCCTTAGGAATGCCTGCTCTCGCCACTGTTATTCAACCTTGTCCTGGAGGTTCCAGCCACCGCACACAGGAGAGAAAAACAAATAAAAGGTTCACTTACATGTTAAAGAGGGACAATTATTGTTTGAAGATGGTCAGATAAACTACCTAAACAACACATAATCAACCGACAAATCATAAAAACGTGGCGCAGATATTTTCATATTTGGGCACCAAAGTAGGCAGAACTGTGATGGGGTAGACACATAATTAACTCATGGAATTAATTACTACTTTAACGGTTACAAGATCAATAGATCTTGTCCAATAAATGGTATTGGGGCAATTGGCTACCTCCCAAACGACTGATTTTTTAACTTGTAAAAATCAATCGTTTTCCTGTAGACCTACAATACAGTTATAAAGTATATGTGGGAAAATACCTATATTCATATGACAACAAAAATATATTTTGTTCCAGTTTTTTTTTTTTTTTTTTTTTTGAGACGGAGTCTTGCTCTGTTGCCCAGGCTAGAGTGCAATGGCACCATCTCGGCTCACTGCAACCTCTACCTCCCAGGTTCAAGCAATTCTCCTGCCTCAGCCTCCTGAGTAGCTAGGACTACAGGCACGTGCCACCATACCTGGCTAATTTTTGTATTTTTAATAGAGACAGGATTTCACCATGTTGGCCAGGCAGGTCTTCAACTCCCAACCTCAGGTGATCCACCTGCCTCAGCCTCCCAAAGTGCTGGGATTACAGGCATAAGCCACCATTCCTGGCCTGAGTCAAAGTTTTAAAGGAGCAAATTTACCCCAAATTAATTTGTAAATGTTCCAACAGGGTGCACGTGCATGTGCACACATGTGAAAGAGAGCAAGAAAATTTTGAAAAAGAAAATGATGTAAAGGCTTTGCCTTACCAGATGTCAGAACAAATTACAAAGGTAGGATAATTAAGTAGCGAAGTATTAACTGGCCTAGGAAAGATTACTAGATCAATGGAGCATAAGACAGTCCAGAAAATGACCTATGAGTATATGAGAATTTAGTATAGCATGAAGAATGTGTTTCACACAAGTAAGGAAAGAATGAGTTGTCCAATAAATGATATTGGGGCAATTTGGCTACCTCCCACCATTCACAAAAAGATAACCCAGGGAGATAAAACACCTAAATATTTTCTAAATCTATAAATAGCTAGAATAAAAGAGAATATTTTTAAATATCAGGAAAAGTTTTTCTAAGCAAGATATAAAACCCAGAACACATAAAAGATTTAATTGCATAAAGATTTAAAACTTCTGTATATCAAAATTTAAGTGGACAAAGGATTGGTATTCTTCATATGTAGGGAGCTCATCCAAGTCAATAAAAATAGGTAAATAACCTAATAGAAAAGTGAGCAAAGAATATGAACAAGCAATTTAGAAAACAATCTATCTTACCTATTTTATCAGTAAACACTAAAATTATAGTGCTCAGTATTACCAAGGATGTGAAAAATAGTCATTCATTATTCCCCATTATAAGACTAAAGACTGAGTTAACCTTTCTAATATACATCAAATGCCTTAAGAAATACAAATTCTTTTCTTTTTCTTTTATTTATTTATTTAATTTTTTTTTTTTTTGAGACAGAGTCTCGCTCTATCACCCAGGCTGGAGTACAGTGGCGCCATCTCGGCTCACTGCAACCTCCACCTCCTGGGTTCAAGCGATTCTCCCGCCTCAGCCTCCCGAGTAGCTGGGACTACAGAAGCATGCCACCACGCCCGGATAATTTTTGTATTTTTAGTAGAGACAGGGTTTCACTGTGTTAGCCAGGTTGGTCTCAATCTCCTGACCTCGTGATCTGTCTGCCTTGGCCTCCCAAAGTGCTGGGATTACGGGCGTGAGCCACTGTGCCCAGCCAAGAAATACAAATTCTTTAACCCAACAATTCCCTTTAAGACACTTGATGTAAGGAAATAAATGGACAAAAATGTATATTCGTATGATTAACAATTATGGGGAAAAATGTAGAAATACCATAATGGTATTTTATCAGTATAATGGATTCCTATGCAATTGATAAAAAAGAGTAAGTTAGAGCTCCTATATGTGCTAATATGGAAAAAAAGTCCAACATGTATTGTAACTGATAAGTAGGTACAGACTGAATGCAGTGGCTCATGTCTGTAATACCAGCACTTTGAGAAGCCGAGACAGGTGGATCACCTGAGCTCAGGAGTTCGAGACCAGCCTGGCCAACATAGTGAAACCCCATCTCTACTAATAAAAATACAAAAAAAAAAAAAAAATTAGCTGGGTGTGGTGGTAGGCTCCTGTGATCCCAGCTACTTGGGAGACTGAGGCAGGAAAATCACTTGAACCCCAGAGGTAGAGGTAGAGTGAGCTGAGATAGCGCCACTGCATTCCAGCCTGGGCAACAAGAGCAAAACTCTGTCTCAAAAGAAAAAAAAAAGAAAAGAAAAGTAGATACAGATCAGTATGATATAATCTATAACATAAAAAAACTATACTTAAGGGTATATATCAATCATGACTACATCCAGGAGAATAAAGGGATGATGTTCACTCTTTATACACTGTTTTGTTTGAACTTATACTAACAGGTATAAGTTCCCATCTGCTACTTGGGAGGCTGAGGTGGGAGGATCACTTGAGCCTGGGATGTTGAGGCTGCAGTGAACTATGATCATGTCACTGCACTCCAGCCTGGGCAACAGAGCAAGACCCTGTCTCAAAAAAGAAAAAACAAAAAAGAAAACTAAAAAAAAAACAACAGTAAATTAAAGATATAAGTTATATATATATTTTGAGACAGGGTATCACTCTGTTACCCAGGCTGGAGTGCAGTGGTGTGATATAAACTCACTACAACCTCTGCCTGCTGGGCTCAAGCAATTCTCCCACTCAGCCTCCAAAGTAGCTGGGACTGCAGGCATGTGCCATCAAGCCTGGCTACTTTTTGCATTTTTTATAGAAACAGGGTTCTTGCCATGTTGGCCAGGCTAGTCTCAAATTCCTGGGCTCAAGTGATCTGCCAGCCTCAGCCAGCCTCTGAAAGTGCTGGGATTACAGGTGTGAGTGAGTCACTGTACCTGGCCATAATATCTTTTTTTCCTAACTTTTTAGATTTTAAAGGCTTAAAGTTAATACTATCTAATGTTGATCAACATATTGTGAATGAACAGTCTCACATACTTGTATGTTACGACAGTATGAAAAAGGTACATAAATTTTATGTGTAGACACCTGTCACACCTGTAAATTCCATTTCTAACAATTTATTGCTAGGAAATAATTGAGCACAAATTACAATGTATAATAAGAATGCTCACTGGCTGGGCGTGGTGGCTCATGGCTGTAATCCTAGCACTTTGGGAGGCCAAAGCAGGCAGATCACGAGGTTAGGAGTTCTAGACCAGCCTGACCAATGTGGTGAAACCCCATCTCTACTAAAAATACAAAAATTAGCTGGGTATGGTAGCATGCAGCTGTAATCCCAGCTACTCAGGAGGCTAAGGCAGGAGAATCACTTGAACCCAGGAGGCGGAAATTACAGTGAGCTGAGATCCTCCTACTGCACTCCAGCCTGGGCAACAGAGCTAGACTTCGTCTCAAAGAAAAAAAAAAAAAAAGAATGCTCATTAAAGTGTAGTTAGAGGAGAAAAAAAGGAAGTACTATAAATGTCCATCAATAAGGCACAAATTATGTTTTATTTGTAGACTGGAAGGCTATGTAACCATTAAAAATATTTATCAATATTTATTAAAACTTATTAAAAAGTCTATATTAACATGAAAGATAGCATTATATAACATTGGAAAAGCGTTCTGTAGAACAGTGTGCCTAATAATATATGTAGAAAGATGCTCACTAAAATTCTAACATTTTCCTCCACGAATTGGGATTTTTACATGTTTTTTTGTTTTCTTTATACTTTTCTGTATTTTTGGTATACTTTGCCTCAATTTTTTTTTTTGAGACAGAGTCTTGCTCTGTCGCCCAAGGTGGAGTGCAGTGGCATGATCTTGGCTCACTGCAACCTCCGACCCCCAGGTTCAAGTGATTCTCCTGCCTCAGCCTCCCAAGTAGCTGGGATTACAGGTGCCCGCCACCTCAGCCAGCTAAATTTTTGTATATTTAGTAGAGATGGAGTTTTGCCATGTTGGCCAGGCTGGTCTCGAACTGTTGACCTCAGGTGATCTGCCCACCTCAGCTCCTGAAGTGCTGGGATTACAGGTGTGGGCCACCATGCCCAGCCTTTAAGAGCTTTATTGGTTTTGATCTTAAAAGTATTATACACCTGTTAGAATAAGTTCAAACAAAACAAAGTATTCAGGCCACTTTGCCTGAATTTTATAATTAGAATAAACATACTATTTTCATTTAGTAAAAGAATTTTTAAAAAGGAGGAGAAGGAGAAGGCAGGAAAAAGAATTGTTCCAAAGGCACTGCGATATTATTAATGAATAGACACCTCTGAAATTCAAAATTCCTAAAATCTCATTCTTCACTACATGGAAACTTTCAGAACCAACAGAAAAATAAAGCTTTGTTTTAAAAATGAACTTTGCCAAATCTACATGTGATAAAAATCACACAAGACTAAATATAGGTCCACACACATGCAGAGACACAAATGAGTGCATGTAAAACTAGTGAAATCTGACTAAGGTAGATGGATTATATCAATGTCAATTTTCTGGTTGTGATACTGTTCTATTGCTATTCAGGATGTTACCATTGGGGGAAACTGGGTGAAGAATACATGAGATCTCTCTGTGGTATTTTATAAAATTGAATGTGAATTTACAATTCTCTCAAAACAAAAAGTGTATTTTAAAAAGTGAACTTTGTGCCTGGAAAAGTAAAACAGAGGTAGCTTTTCTTAGAGCTGTAGCTGAATTATCACTAAGAAGTCCCATTTTAGGTTCTCAAAGTTAGAGGCACTGAAAGGAAAGTACGTTTTAGTGAGCACCTACTGTGTACTAGGCCATTACACAGCCAGAGTACCTATGAAGCAGGTTAGATGTGAGTCTGTTTTATAGAATGATAACGGGAGGCTCAGAGCCAGTAGAAACTCAGCAGTAACTTGTGGAGCAAGAATTTGAACCCAGGTCTGTCTGAAAGCTTAGGCTGTCCTATTGACTACATGGCTGGAATGGCTTAAAAGACAAAACCAAACCAAACCCTTACTCAGTGTTATCCATATCAAGAAACTCCATATAAAGAAATAAATATTCGAGTGGGTGGGGAAAAAAAGGTGCATTGTAACTAGGCAACAGGAATTTCAAAATGTATGCCTATACATGAATATCATCTATTAGATCTGTCACTGCAGTCCTGACTATTAGAAAGTTCTAATAGTCAATTAGCTGGGCGTGGTGGCTCACGCCTGTAATCCCAGCACTTTGGGAGGCCAAGGCGGGAGGATCACAAGGTCAGGAGATCGAGACCATCCTGGCTAACATGGTGAAACCCCGTGTCTACTAAAAAAAATACAAAAAAATAGCCGGGCGTGGTGGCAGGCGCCTGTAGTCGCAGCTACTCAGGAGGCTGAGGCAGGAGAATGGTGTGAACCTGGGAGGCGGAGCTTGCAGTGAGCCGAGATTGCACCACTGCACTCCAGCCTGGGCGACAGAGTGAGATTCTGTCTAAAAAAAAAAAGGTTCTTCCCAATACCTAAATGGACCACCTTCTAGCTAATAATCCTTCACCAAGGAACAAACCTTTGTCCTCATGTTCCTTCCTTAATAAAACTGGATCTCCACTGCTGGTGTGACCAGGGCAAAGTCTGCTCCACAACTCTCTGTTCTCTTGTGTCTTCTTATATTGCAAGATTCATTAACTTTTCCAGTTTCTGTTTTCACATGGGGACACTTGGTTATTTCCCATTCTCCCAAGTCTTCCATCATTATGGACGCAGATTGACAATCTAATGTAAATTACATGCCTCTGAGGTCCAGGCAAGAGTTGGAGGGTGGATCTGTGAACTCCTGGAACTTTGGGCAAAATTGTTGGGTCTGAACAAAGGAGTATGTTTCTGGGAAGAGAGCATTTCACTTTTATTAGACTCTCAACGTAGCCTATGACCCCCAAATGATAGAAAATACTCCTCTAATTAAGCAGCTCCTTGGGGAAATGGCTGATTCCGGATCTGAGGAAATGCAAAAAGGAGCCTAAAACATCTAATCATACCAGAAACTAAAGAAGTCATTGAAGCCTGGAGTCATGGCTCAAGAACTCAGGAACCAACTTAAAGATGGGACCATTTGAGCATCAATAAGAATGGATTAAAACACATCAAATATGTTTAAATCCATGAGATTATAATACACCGAAATGACTCATTGGCCACCTTTGGTGGCTACTAGAGCCCATACCACGATTTTGAAAACTAAGAAATAAGAGTCAAGTATTTATTCTGCCTTTCTAGTACTGGCTACACCTCAGGATAAGCAAATGGTTGAAGAGGGAACACATCTTTTTTTTTTTTAAATGGAGTTTCACTCTTGTTGCCCAGGCTGGAGTGCAATGGTGTGATCTCAGCTCAATGCAACCTCCGCCTCCCGAGTTCAAGCGATTCTCCTGCCTCAACCTCCTGAGTAGCTGGGATTACAGGTGCCCGCCACCATGCCCAGCTAATTTTTGTATTTTTTTTAGTAGAGACAGGGTTTCACCATGTTGGCCAGGCTGGTCTCAAACTCCTGACCTCAGGTGATCCGCCTGCCTTGGCCTCCCAAAGTGCTGGGATTACAGGCAGGACCCACCGTGCCCAGCTGGGAACACATCTTTTTATAGAAAGAGTCTCCTAATAAATGATGAAAAACTGGTAGGATTAGACTAATACCATATTTCAGTCCCTAATTAAATAATGGGTCTGCATGAAATAATCATCAATGGCTGCTAACATTCTTCAAAGAGAAATAACTGATATTATATACTTCTTGAAGCACACAATACCATCAGAATCTGACCGAGACTGTAGGTCCAACTCCCAATGTATAGGAAATACATAAATCAAAGGAATGGTTTAAACAACATCAACACATCAGAAAAAGTTATAGAAAACATAGCCTGTTTTTTTCAACAAATAATTTGCAAGGAAAAAAGAAAAGGAAGAAAAGAGGAAACCATAGACTAAAGAGATAAAGATATAGAGATTCAAAATGGCAACTCTTTGACTTTAGTCAAAGTATAAACTTCATTTGAATCCTTATTAAATGGTACAAAGACATTTATGAGACAATGGAGGGAATGTAAATGCTGACTAGCTATCTGATTAAGAAGTTACTGCCATTTTTTAGATGTAATAATGATATTGTAGAAATATTTTTTAAAGGCTCTTTTATAGATATACATTGAAATATTTTTGGATAAAATAATATAATAGCTACAATTTGCTTCAGAATAATCCAGGAGACAGGGAGAAGGGAGGTATATATGAAACAAACTTTACCCATGACTTGATTATTGCTAAAACCAGGAGATGGGTACATGCCACTTATTATACTATTCTCTCTCCTTTTGTATATGTTTGAAATTTTCCACAATAAAAAGTTAGCAATTCAGAATATAAACATGTTTCAACTTGTCTGGTAATGAAGGAAGCCCAATAGGAATACCAATTCTGAAGTACTGTCACTGGGTTATTTTAAAATAAAATTTCTAAGTAATCCTTCAAAAATTCAAAATGTATTTTAAAATAGCATTTTGTGTGGCCTGAGTGATTACTGGCAGGTTTTGAGTAATCTGATTAATTCTAACACATATTAGAAATATCTAAACTTTTTTCCTACAGAAGAGAGAAAAAAAATCCTAATAATCAGTCACAGTTGTTTGGTCAGGCATACTGCCCACGCTGCTGTGCGGTGGGTAAGGCAATGAAATGAAATACCAGCAGGATCTCGACAATTAACTACTATACCATTGATGTGCCATGTACAGATGTTAGGAGGAAAAGCAATTCATGTTTGATTTAAACTAATTCTTCAAGTGATCTTTACTTTAGGTTAAAAAGAAATAGAGCCAGCCAAAAACTGCTTAAAAATTAACAATGTAATTACAAACATCACTGAGGAAACACTAATTTATGACAAGGCTTTAAAGATTGGTTCAGTCGGCCAGGTGCAGTGGCTAATGCCTGTAATCCCAGCACTTTGGGAGGCCAAGGTGGGCGGATCACCTGAGGTCAGGAGTTCAAGACCAGTCTGACCAACATGCAGAAACCCCATCTCTACTAAAAATACAAAAAATTAGTCGGGCGTGGTGGCACATGACTGTAATCCCAGCTACTCGGAAGGCTGAGGCAGGAGAATCGCTTGAACCTGGGAGGCGGAGTTTGCAGTGAGCTGATATCGTGCCATTGCACTCTAGCCTGGGCAACAAGAGTGACAGTTCGTCTCAAAAATAAATAAATAAATAGATAAATAAATAAATAAATAAAGATTGGTTCAGTCGCCACAGGTTATTAAAACACGCCTCCAGTCCTAAATGATGACCAATCATTTCTTTTTTTTTTTTCATTCTTGTTGCCCAGGCTGGAGTGCAAATGGTGTGATCTTGGCTCACTGCAACCTCTGCCTCCCGGGTTCAAGCGATTTTCCTGCCTCAGCCTCCCTAGTAGCTGAAATTACAGGTGCCCGCCACCACGCCCAGCAAATTTTTTGTATTTTTAGTAGAGACAGGGTTTCACTATGTTGGCCAGGCTGGCCTCAAACTCCTGACCTCAGGCGATCCACCCGCCTCAGCCCCCCAAAGTGCTGGGATTACAGGCGTGAGCCACCACACCCGGCTTGTGCATTTCTTTTTTTTTTTTCGAGACGCAGTCTTGCTCTGTCGCCCAGGCTGGAGTACAGTGGCGTGATCTCTGCTCACTGCAAGCTCCGCCTCCCAGGTTCACGCCAGTCTCCTGCCACAGCCTCCCGAGTAGCTGGGACTACAGGCGCCCACCACCATGCCTGGCTAATTTTTTTTCTGTATTTTTAGTAGAGATGGGGTTTCGCCCTGTTAGCCAGGATGGTCTCGATCTCCTGACCTCGTGATCCGCCCGCCTCAGCCTCCCAAAGTGCTGGGATTACAGGTGTGAGCCAACGCGCCAGGCCGTGCATTTCTAAACTAATAAAAATGTATAGTAGTGGGAAGGAGGGGCGAGGAATCACTTTCTCCTACAGTGGCTTATATCCCTGAGAACAATGCCTGTCTTTTGGAATCTGTGCCGGAGCACGCAGGTGCACCTCAGGGAGGCTGTTACTTCTTAATTACACAGGAAGCTCCATTCCCAGGGGCTTCTGCCCTCCCCCTCCTCCTTCCTTTCCCACATTAGCAAATAACTGGGGAATTAAAGCTTCAAAGGTTGGTGATGACAGGTGGTGACAGACTGATGCCCTGAAGTCCAGGTGAATAGCGCACAGTGGCCAAGGCCGACCTCAAGTGAAACTCACACTTGCATCAGAGATGGCTGCAGAATTGAGGGAAATCATTTTCACTTTCCTGGAAGGGAGAAAAATTATTTTCTGGTGTTCAGGCTCACACCAGATGTCAGAGTGGAATGCTACACCGTTCTTGACTTCAAGGGCTTTCCATGGGTAGCCACAGCAAAGGAGAAATTCTGAAAATAAATGAAACATCTTCCGAAACTGGGAAGGAAATTGGAGGGATTTTGGGGGGACGGGGAATAAGTTTTATTTTATTCTTTCTCCTAAGCTTATGATTTTAGTATTCCAAGACCTTATGCTTGAATTACTTAGCAAGAGGGCATGCTTATGCAGAAGACAGGGAAATGAAGAGAAAACAGCAGGCATATACAAAAGTGAAGGTTCCTTAACAGAGTTCATGGTGGAGATAGTAGGCACCAGTGGAGTTTTTATCCAGAACTTAAAACTTAGGAAATACCTATGATGACGCTTTAGCTGGAAGTAATGGAGATATCTGATTCCAAACTCATATTTTTTCTTTATTATTTATTATTATTATTATTATTTTGAGACAGAGTCTCACTCTGTCGCCCGGGCTGGAATGCAGTTGCGTGATCTCAGCTCACTACAGCCTCTGCCTCCCAGGTTCCAGAGATTCTCCAGCCTCAACCTCCCAGGTAGCTGGGATTACAGGCACACACCACCACACCTAACTCATTTTTGTATTTTTAGTAGAGATGGGGTTTTACCATGTTGGCCAGGCTGGTCTTGAACTCCTGACCTCAGGGGATCCACCTGTCTCAGCCTCCCAAAGTGCTGGGATTAGAGGTGTGAGCCGCCGCGCCCGGCTCAAATTCATACTTTAAATGCCTATTTGCAATCAGCAAAGAGCCAGGTATGCTGCATGCTGCTTGCTGTAAGGATTTGGCTTCACTGGCCCAAATTTTTTCACTCCACCAAAAGATAAGGCACAGGCCCACTTGTCCAATCACATTTGCTGAAAATACTGTAGCATGAGTGTAGACAAACTTCCCCTGAAGCTGCTAGAAGTGTCTAGTTAGGAGAATCACTGGATGACTGCATGCAGAAGGCCTTTAGGGAACCTACAGTCCAATCTCCTTACCTTATGGTGTAAAGCAGGCCCAGAAAGCGGAAGTGACTTGTCCCAAGTCGCAGCAAAACAGGAACAGCCTGAGGCTTAGAACTCACTTCTGATTCCAGAGTGAGGCTCTTCCCTCCAGCTGATAAACATGGTCCGTGGCAGGCAAGGACCAGAGCGAACCTAAGCAGGTTAGGGGCGGGGTGGAGCCACCCAGGAGGCACTAACAGCGCAGCAGCTCATGGGAGAGCTTCCAAGAGGCCAGCTGGCAGCAACCCACCTTGGGTACTGCCGACCTCAACCTCAGGGGGTCACGGGAGCACCCTAGGTGGATGAATTAGCATACAAGTCTCTCTGGTCTGTGCCAAAGCTTTGGGGCCTTGCTAAATTTAGAAATTTGAGGCCAGGTGCAGTGGCTCACACCTGTAATCCCAGCACTTTGAGAGGCTGAGGTGAGCAGCTCACCTGAGGTCGAGAGTTGGAGACCAGCCTGACCAACATGGAGAAACCCCGTCTCTACTAAAAAATACAAAATTAGCCGGGTGTGGTGGCGCATGCCTGTAATCCCACCTACTCGGGAGGCTGAGGCAGGAGAATCACTTGAACCCAGGAGGCGGAGACTGCAGTGAGCCGAGATCACGCCATTGCACTCCAGCCTGGGTAACAAGAGCAAAACTCCGTCTCAAAAAAAAAGAAAGAAATTTGAAAGCAGCCAGCAACATCAAGGCACAGATGGAGCTTGAGCTACCCTCTTCAGGCTATTCAGAAAATTCTCCCAAGGGGAAGTTGGGAAGGAGAACTTCTATTTGGCCCCAGCCTAAACTCTCCTGGAAGCTCGATGGGGCCTCTGTCAGCTTTCCCCTCTGGACCTGCCCATTTGTCCCAGAGGTGCCCACTGAGGCTACCTCAATGCCTGTCAAACTAAAACTTAAACCTAAGAGTGTCTGCAGCATGGTCTCCAGCCAGCCTGATCAGAAGACTATGGAGGGGGCCAGGCACGTGGCTCACACCTGTAGTCCCTGTAATGCTAGCACTTTGGGAGGCTGAGGTGGGTGGATCACCTGAGGTCAGGAGTTCAAGACCAGCCTGGCCAACATGGTGAAACCCCATCTCTACTAAAAATACAAAAATTAGCTGGGCGTGGTGGTGGGCACCTGTAATCCCAGCTACTCGGGAGGCTGAGGCAGGAGGATCACTTGAACCTGGGAGGCAGAGGTTGCAGTGAGCCAAGATCCCACCACGGCACTCCAGCCTGGGTGACAGAGTGAAACTGTCTCAGAAAAAAAAAAAAGAAAAAAGAAGGAGGGGCATACTGACTCCTCACTGAAGAATGGGATAGACACCCTCTATTCTACCTCTCCCAGCAAGGCCATAAGTCTTTGCTCTGAAAGGAGCCAGACTTTAGAGCCGGCTACAGGTGGACATGGGGTGAAGACATCAGGTTGCGAGGGTACCCTCTCTCGTTCCCTAGGAGCCTGGCCCCTGCAAGGAGGGGCACCTTTAAACAATCAAGCATAGTGAGTGGGGCGGCAAGCAGAGCAGAGACACAGACGACAGCGGGGTGGAGCCCCACCAGTCCCTCTGAGTATAAGGCAGAGGGAGTCCCGCTGGGGTCCACATCCCTGTGTGTCTCGGGCTGATTTGGACACAAGGCTCACACATTCATCCTACCTGCCCCAGTGCTAGCTGGCCGAGGATGCCAGGCTGTACCCGACCTTAGGCTGTGCGGCTTGGAACCTGGACCGGGGCAGGAATTGACAGGTTCCCCCAAACAATGTCACTCCCAGGACCCTAAGACCTCAAGCAGCAGAAACCACAATTCTGGATGTTACGTGCAGCGCCAGCTCCTGTCTGCCCTGCCTCCTTATCCCTTTCTCCCAGGGCGACTTTGGACCAGGTCTCGAGGCCGGGAGACCGGCCCCAGCCCGCCCGACCGGGATGGGCCTGGCGCCCGGGGGAGGCCGCGTCGTGCTGAGACAGCTCCGAGCTGCCTCCCCGCAGCCGCGGGCCGCTACAATACGGATTCGGCGGCGAGAGGAAACAGTCTGGCCCTCCAGGGGACGCAGGGAAATCCAACCTTTGGGTCGGGGGCAATTAGGACTGGGAGTCGATACCGCGGGCAACGAATGATGAATGAATAAATGAAAGGATGAACAGAGTGGCGAGGCGGAGATGGGCCATGCGGGGCGTCCCGAGGAGGGTGCCCTTCCTTGCCCCGATGCTGCCGGGACCGTCCCTCATCCCCCAGGTCGCAGCAGACTCAGCCAAGACACCCGGTCCTAGTGCGAACACCTCGCGGGCCCCGGGAGACGCCTGGGCGCGCGGTGCAGCTCTGGCCCGGAGCCCGCATTCCGGCGGCCGGGAAGTGCCTGCCCCGTGGGCAGAACGCGCCGAGTTGCCGCGGCCCCAGGAGCCGTCCTGCCCCGCGCGGCAGCAGCCCCTCGCGGCGGCCTCCGGAACCCCCGAGACCGGCCCCCGGGCCGCAACCCCTTACCCGCCCTCCTCGGTGGCCTCGCTCCGGCTTAAAGCGGTCATCCCGGCGCCTGCACCCAGCGCCCCGACCGCGCGCCGGGACCCAGCGCCCGCCGGACCCCGCCCGCCCCGTCGAGAGCCCGCCCCGCCCGCCCGCCCATTGGCGGGTCGCGCGGGCCGGGCACAGCCCATTGGCCGTTCCTCCCCCTCATTCCCCAGCTTCCCCAGCTTCTCTCCTTCCCCACCTTCCCCAGGTGGGGCTCCAAGCTCTGAGCAGATCCTAGCGCTCGGTTCCCCGGACTGGGAGGTCCCGGAGGCCAGGGCCTGGCGCGGCACCTCCTGTCCCTCACGTCGAGGGTATTGTGTCCCCTCTGGACGCTTCTGTCGTCCTAGTCTTGCGGCTTGGGTCCCTCTGCAGGAACCAATTCCGGCCCCTCTCCAACCTAACCCTTCCCAACATAGAGCTCCGGATAAGTTTCAATTTTACCGTCAGTGGGGAACACCAAAGGGGATATTGAACACCATGGTCTGACAGCCAAGTCACCACCACGAACCCGGGAGCCAGGATGCTCCCACGCACTTTTGCCGGAGTTAACATTGCAGTTTCTCCAAGGAAATACACTTTTGGAGGAGTCTGCAAAGGGGCTGAAGGTGGACACAAATCAAAGGCAGGGAAGCAGAGGCACGTGCGCTCAGTGTGACAATGAGCTTTTGCCTGGCCTGCAGGCCCTTTCCTCTTCCATCCCCACCAGGACACTTGGTCCTTGGGAGTGTGGTCAGGGGAGAGGAAAAGCGCAGGCCAGATTTGGTCCCATTCCCAACTCTCTCCCCCAGCCCTTTGGCACTACAGCATCATGGTGGGAGGGCACCAGCAAACAGGAGGGGTCCCAAGGGGAGCCTAGGTCCACAACTGAGGACCTGGGAGCCAAACCCAGTCTCAGGCGCCCAGAGCTGACTCCTCCTACAGCCCCCATAAGGGATACGCTAATGCAGGAAGACCAAAGTGGAAGAACCATGGCCAAGGCCACTTTGCAATTTGGGTTTATCTACCAGAGTGGGAGGGAGGCCTTGTCCCTGCTCTTTCCCATCTTCGGTTCACGTAAGCCATTAAAGTCTCCCCGCAGCACTGAAGGGGGCAACCTGTAACCCTAAGATAGTAAGCTACTGCTTTCCCAGCGCCTCTGCACCAGGAGGTGGGCAGGATGGCAGGTGACACCACCATAGCTCCCACTGCGGGGCACGAGGCTGCAGCCATTCCCAGCCTGCTCAGAGGGCAGGGTTCAACCACCTCCCCCTCCCCAGCAGAAAAGAGAGGAAACAGGTGCTTCAGCTGTTGTTTATTGACATACAGGTAGGCTCTATAGCAACAGGCCTGGAGGTGCTGCAGTAGTGGGGGAAAATGGAAGGTGGAGGGTGGAGTGTTTGCTGCAGGACAGCTGAGTGGAGGGTGGGGACAGGTGCAAACTGGAGAGGCCTAGAGAGCTAGAGAAGCAAGTAAGGGCCAGGGCCAGAGTCGGCTTCAATGGAACAACAGCCCAGTGCCCTAAGGCCCCTAACTCTTGCTGGCTGTTTCTTGACCCCAAGCCAGGGTTGGGAGTCCTCTGGGCATCCATTTTTTCTAAAGGAACTGGACAGAGTACACACAGGAAAGGAAGCTGTCACCCTCTTGCCATCTGGCTCCAGGGGCCTCCAGTCCAGCATTCCTCCTTCTTCCCTTGATTGGGTGGGGCCACATGATGGGCAGCCAGGCTCTGGGCTGTCCCACTAGAGCAGGCTGCAAACACAGCCATGTTTCAGTGAGGCGTTGATCTTCTTCCCTGGTGTCCCAACCTACCAGTGCCACGTTACAGCCCAGAGTGAGTTCTACAAGCGTTGCTGGCCTAATGGATGGGCTGGGGGAAGGGGGTGGGACAGGGGCTGGAGGAGGGGCTCTGGGGTCCATCACGGCACAGGAACAACACGCATGGTGTTGGTGAAGCCGGAGCCAGGGCGCCATCCGGTCAGCACAATGACCACATCTCCCTTCTTGAAGAAGCCTCGGGCCTTGCCTGGAGGAAGAGAAGGGAGGTTGGTGAGTAAAAGCCAAGCCAGGCAGGTTTGCACCTGGGCAGCTGCCCCATAGCCTGAGTACTGAACTAGGCTGGCTGACCACTACTTCCTCACACCACAAGGTGGCACCAAACTCACAGCCCAGGCAAACAGGAGGAAGGCCCTGAAATGTCCTTATCACTCAGATGGCAGGGTTGGCAGGGACCTTTGGACATCATTCACTATCCTGGAGAGGGTGCAAAGCCTTGCCCAGGGTCAGAGCTAGCTGCTTCCTGTCATCTGATGATACCCTACCTTATACAGGGACAATGGCCACATCAGTACGTAATCTGTGTATGCCACCCCACAGCACAGGAGCTGTGGCCAATTTTATTTAAAAAAAAAACAAAAAACAAAAAAAACTCTCAGTAATGAGCAGATGCCAAAAAATGGACAATTTTGCTTTGAGCCCCAGACTAGAAGAGAAGAGGAACTGAATTGCTCAGCCCTACAACTCAAAGGACCCTTTTCCCTCCTGGCTCAGCTTAGGACTTCGGAGAATGAGAGATTCAGAATGAACATTCCCAATAAGGGAGAGGAACAGTCGCTGGGCCTTTTGCCCCACTAAGGTCTGTGTGTTCCCCTTTCTATTCCCCAAACTTTCGGGGTCCCACAGAAGCCAATGCTCAAGCATCCCCAAGCTCCTCTAGGCTCTAGCCCCTGCTCCAGCCACGTACCAACATTCATGGCAAAGTTCACCCGGAGGTCCACGTCCTCAGCCCAGGCCTCCTGGACTGGGTCCTTGCACAGCACAGGGAAGATGCCACGGTACAGGTGGGCCTGACGAGCTGTCTGGGGATTCCGGGTCACAGCAATGATGGGGGCACGTGGGCGGTATCTGGCCACCTGGTGAGCAGACCTGAGATGGGATGGGGGACATACAGAAGAGACCATTACACGAGGCCCCAGGAAGTACCCTCAGGGCGTTCAAACAGCTCACCCTCTCATCCAGCTCACTGAGGGCTCTGGCCTCTTCAACATCTGCTCCCTAGGACCCCTCCCGAGGCTCGGGCAGCCCCTCATCCTATATCCCCCACAGCATGCTAGGTTACCATTTGCCCTCTACCCCCATTCCACAGGCCAAGGGCTCAGGATCACCTTGACCCAGCAAGATCAGCCTCACCCACTTACCCCACACAGCCCATGGTTGGCAGAACCCCTCCTACACCCTGAACTCTGACACAGAGAGGCAGCCCTGGCCCAATGTCACCAGCACCCATTCCTCTCGCTGCCAATGACAGTGACAAGCCAAGCAGCACGTGACTAGCACCTGACTCTTGACATCTGCAAGGAGCAGTAGCAGAGCTGACCAGCCCCCTGGGAATCAACATCAGGCTTCTCTACTTTTGTGCCCTCTCCCTGCCCCACATGGCCCCTAGCTCCTGAAACAGTCCCAGCAACTGGGCTATAAAGGCCCAGAATCAAATCTGAGTATCTAGATGAGGCTTAGAAATCTAGGTGCTACTCAGCAGGCAAGAACAGGAAATGGGAGTGTTGCTGCAGGAGCAGCTCTGCCTGCCAAAGCTCCTTTGGAAGGCAGGGGACCCTTCTAAAGCCCCTCTGCCAGGCACTTTCTTGAACACTGACACTGCACACTTGTAGCTGCAGCTGTGTCTCAGGAGCTGGGGAGGGGCACCAGAAGGGAAGTTATGAGGACACTCAACAGGTGTCAGGGAAACTTAAGCCACATCACAGCAGAGAAGTCCCTGCACTTCACGCTTGGCCTCTATGCAAGGCCTTCAGAGGGAAGCAATTGCTGAAGCCAGGACCAGCTGAGTGAAACCCCAGAAGACTAGAGCTTAAAATAGCCAAACAGCAAGAACTGGACCTTTTAAGAAAGGTCAACCCTACGGGTTGGAGCTGTTCAGCCAAGAGTGGGAGGCTGGAGCCCTCTGCTGAGGGCATCTGCACAGAGCTTGTGTCCTGGTTCTCTGGGCTGCCCACGCCCATCTGCTGCTCCTCAGTGCATGGGCACTGCCTGTTTGCTCCCCTCTTCCAGGAAACCCTTGCTGCCCTGTGGACAGGGACAAGGAGCATACTCCCTAACTAGGAGAGTGAAGGACATTAACTCAATGTCCTGGGCCAAGGAAGGGATCCCAAGTTGGAGGCCCAGCATAGGCCACACAGTCCTCAGCCTGGCTGCCAGGCCCCACAGAATGTCAGCCAAGATAGCACAGCAACCTCTCCTGAGCTGGAACCCAATTTGTCTTTAGGGCTCAAAAACAGCAGGGACTAGTGTGCCAAATGGAGGCACAGTAAACAGCATTTAAATAAATTCATTTCCCAACTGAAATTTTTAAAGAGCACATAGTAACTGGAATAAGCAAAAGTGGTTATCTTTTACAATTTTAGAGGACTAAATTTTCAATATCAAATAACCATTTGTAGTCAGCCTGTGCACTGTTATGTAATAAATCTCCAGCATAAATTTGCTTTTGATCCAAATGTTCTGACATTCCTTATGAGTGCTACCTAGAGTCCTTTGGGCCCAGGGAAGGGGCTCTGCTCAATCCTTCCCTGCAGGCCCAAGGTGGCAGGCAGAGGGGTCTTACCTTGGCTCAGTGCCACCTGAGCATTGTTCAATGGACTGCTCCCAGGACCCCCAAGGTGAGGTACCACTGAGCAGGGCATTCCAGGGAGCCGCTGCCGCCTCCTACCTGCCAGACTTGGTGAGGACGATTATGGCCCCACTGCAGCACTTGAAGGAGGCCTCCACGGCACCCACGGCGGTGGCTTCTGTGGGGTCGCTGGTAATGGGCGCCAGGCGGCGGAGTTCCTCAAATAATTGCAAGTGGTAGATGGCAGCCTCTGCCTCACGGGCAATCTAGGGGAGCAACATCCGTCCAGAGGGACGAGAGGGGGACAGAGCTTTGTCAGAGCTTTGTCACAAAAGGAGAGGGAGGGGAAGAGTCACCGGACAGCTGGTGAGGAACATGTTCCTGGGAACAAAGGCCAAGAGGAGCCCAATCACTGGAGATTCTGAGCTGAGCCAAGATCAAGACTCCACAGAAACCAGTCCTTCACCAAGTGCCTGTGACATCTACTGTGCCTACTGAGCCACAGGACCCTTTGGTCCTGCCCTGCCATGACCTCCCTGGCGGTGTTCCTACAGACGAGAAGAGGCTCTGTGCCCAGATGCCAGGTTGGGCCTGGCTGTCTTCTCCTAGAGCAGGTGGAGCAAGAGGCTGGTTATCCTAACAGTGTTACCTGCCCTTAGGGCCCTACCTGCCAGACTCCGTCAGAACTATCAAAGCTGCTGCTAAACACTTATAAGAAGCCTCCACGCTGCCCATGGCCATGGCTTCCATGAGGTCTGTGGAGTGACTTGAGGCTCGCACAAGTTCTTCAAACAGCTTGCGGTGGAACATGGCTGCCTCAGCCTCACGAGCTATCTGTAAGGTTTAGGGGAAGAGGGGGCAAGGAAGAGGGAAGGAGGAGGAAAAAAACGAGACACAACACATGGGAAGACAGAATGGGGAATTTATCAGAGAGGAAGGTAACCTTAGGTTAATTGGCTAAATCTGTCCTTCAGGCAGATGCAGAGGTAGGGTGATGAAAGTCCAACTGCTTCAGGAGGTGCTGCCACTTCCCCTCCAATACAGGGGAAATTGGCTCTTCCCTTCTGGAAGGATTTTTTCATTGGGGGTGGAGGGAGACAATCTGGCAGTAGGCTCTAGCACCCTGGCATGAAAACATGCCCAGGCTGGGCCCAGGCCACTCCCTGGCAGAGGACTTGACCACGCTGCCTCATGACATAGCTTACAGGAAGGAACAGGCCCTCCCTCCTCACATGGCTGGTTGATTAGGCAGGCTCCTGCCCAGCCTCCATGCATGCATGGAGTGAGCGCTCACTTGGCTTCAGGCACGGGGATGCACTGAGCCTTTCCAATGGCCTGCCATGGCAACAGATTGAGCAGCGCTGGAAAGCTGGGATCAAAGCCAAAGCAAGGCAGCTCAACTGAGTTTGAAGCAGGAGAACAGAAAACGTGGGCTAACTTGTGAGAGGCACACTGAACAGCCATGTGAAGAGACAGATGCCTGTGGAAGCATGCAGATATATTTAATAAGACACTTGATTAAAATCTAATAATTAAAACAGTCATGAGAAAGCCACTGAGTTATTTATAGATCACTTGCTCAGATAAGACCAAGAATCAGAAAGACAATGTAAGCTTTAGAGGATTATAATGCAATCACCAGCATCTCAGTAAATGATGGGTGAGGGAAGAATCGGTAATACCCCCTCATCAATTTCACAGTAGAAGCAGATGTGTGGCAGGATGTACTAGGTTAAAGGTATTCTTTCTGTAAGAACGGAATGCATGCAGCCCAGAGGACAGGGGACATGAACAGGAAACAGAGCCATACCTGGTACTGCTCTTAGTTATGGGTCATAAACTGCATCAGTTAGACACAGGAGAAAGCAGTGAACAGTTAATGGAAGGAACTGTTGGCCAGTGTTAACTGGTGACACAGAAAGGAAAGGTCTAGCCACCTGGAGGGGCAGCTACAGCCTAGCCCAGACCTGTAACTTATCTTCTGAGCAGTGCCATGCAATCCAAACCTTGCAGCCCTAAAGTATCTATCTGTTCATAGGAAACACCAGGGTATGGAAGAAAGGATATGGAATTTAGACCCTGAGCCTGAATCTTAGTCTCTGACCCCACTGACAGGCTCCAAATGGAGACCTGTTCTCATCTCCTGCTAGACAGAGCATGATGTTGCAGGAGAGAAGACTGGCTTTGGAGGCAGTAGACCTAGATTCAAACCCAGGCTTTATTGGCCATATAACCCTCATCTATAAATGGAGGTAATGGGAGTTAGGAAGATTACATCCATGTACACAGAGACTTATCAGACACTTAATAATAACAGCAATGAATATTTAATGCTAAGGCTATAATTAAACATATCTAATCCATTTTACAGATGAGGTCTTAAGAGGTTAAATGACTTGCCCAAAGACACATTCAAGTCCCCACATTCTATGCAGTGATTTCATGGTTCAGTATATCTAAGTCAAGATCAGCCTCTGTTCCTCCTTTGAGACCATGAAGTCACACGATTAAGTAGGGAAATTAGAGAGAGGGGATGTGTGGAGAGACCCAGAAAGGCAGCCACTTTAGTGGTGACTGGTTCAAGGTGCACCGTCTCCTGGGACACCTTCCTACCATGGTGGCAATTGTGAGACTGCGCCAAGAGTATCTAAGCATCAGAACAGCAATCACATCACACGAATGGTGAGGTGTCAGCCAGGCCCAGTCTACATTAAGTGGGCCTGGGAGAGAAATCACTCTCTACCGATTTTTTTGTTTTTTTTTTTATGTTTGTTTGGTTTCTTTTTTGAGACAGGGTGTCACTTTGTCACCTAGGCTGGTACCATCTTGGCTCACTGCAACCTCAACCTCCTGGGTTCAAGCGATCCTGCTGCCCCAGCATCACCCCCTCTCCAAGTAGCTGGGACTACAGAAGTGCATCACCATGCCCAGCTAGCTAACTTGAATTTTTAGTAGAGACAGGGTTTCACCAGGTTGCCCAGGCTGGTCTTCTGAGCTCAAGCAATCCACCTACCTTGGCCTCCCAAAGTACTGAGATTACAGGTGTGAGCCACCATCCCTGGCCTCTACCAATTTAAATATGGGGAAACCCACTAAGGATGCTGATGACAGACAGTCCGGAAAATATCCTTAGTCAAGTGTGAACTCAGTTCGCTACTGAAAGAGCATTTAATAGAAATGACATCTCTTCTCTGAAAGCTGTTTAAGCCCAGTAACAGGATACATAGTGAAAAAGGAAAGGAAGATGCCCAGACCAGATGGGTGTTTTAGTTTTTTTTTTTTTTTTTTTTTTCTGTTTTTTCTGGTGGCAGGGGGTGGCGTTTTAAACTTGGGGGCTTGGAGGGGCTGAGGTCAAAGGGCAGCGGGTCTTTCACTGGCTAGAAAGGGAATAGAAAGGCTGAAGGAAAACCATATCTGGATAAAGTTTAAGTTCACTGAGCATGACCTAAGACTACTGGGAGAAAGTTAATTTCCAGCACTCATTTTACCAAACCTATGTAACCCTGATCAGGGATCCCTGAGTTAGCTCCAGAGCTGGAACAGACAGGGCAAAGGGACTGAGCCTCCAACCCTGAGCAGTGGCCAGGCACTCGACATGACAAGCTGGAAGAGCCTGAAGAACGAGCTCTCAGAGGAGAAAGAAGGGAAAGAGCCTCCACGACTCCTCCAGACGCTCAGTCCAGGGCCGCCAGGGTCAGCCACCCTCCCCGCTGTCTCTATCTGTGGCCCTGCCACCAGTCACTCAACCCGACTTTTTGGTCTAGAGTAAGAGCAGCAGCTGTACCCCAATGGCACAGCAAAGCAAATCCCCCTACAGGCACCATGCAAGGCCAGCACAGGCAGCTCAGTGAAGGCAACAGACTCCAGTGCAGGTCCACAAGGGCCCCCTGCGGGAGCGCCTGTCTGCAGGATGCGGGGCAGAGGGAACTGAATTGGAAGCCAAAGGAAGAGGGCAGCTGGGAGCAGGAGCCCCTAGCCCTTTTCAGAATAGGGCAAAGGTACTCAGAACTTCTGACTCTGAGGAAGAGGTACAAGACCTCCTTTCACTGCAGAAGTATCCCAGGACTTAAGCCATGGGAAGAATTCACAACCTTGAAGTCAGAAGTGAAATAAACTGTGTGGTGTCCAATGAAGGAGGATGCCTCCAGAGCAGAAGGAAATGGAGGGGTGGGGGTGTGGGCAGGAATGCAGAACAGGAGAAAAAAAAAAGCCACCTCCACTTCCACCCCCACCCTCTTGCTGCTGTAACTTGGAGGATAATGAAAGGCTGTGCATAAGAGGATGGAGAAACCTAAAAAGCTCTGCACCAGAGCTTGCATCCATCCCAGGCCCAGTCCGAAGCCCTGGGGGATGGGGCAGGCCCCAGAACTCACCAGGTGCTGCATGCGCACAGCCTCCAGAGGATAGTCCCCTTTGGCTGTTTCTCCAGACAGCATGATGCAGTCGGCTCCATCCAGGACTGCATTGGCCACATCACTGCCTTCAGCCCGAGTGGGGCGGGGCTTCTTGATCATGCTCTCCAGCATCTGGGAGGGGACAGAGCATTAGTGAGATGTAGCTTGAGCTGTCTTCAGAGACAAATGACAGCAAGCTGATCCTCTGGATAGTGAGTAGGTACACAGAGTATGGCTTTGTGTAGGTACATGGGGGAAGGGGATTATCTGTGTGTTACGTGCGACAATTCCATGGGAAGAGATCAGACAGCCTCCAGAGCTTTCCCATACAAACATGCGAGTGTGCACATGAGAATGTGGGGAAGGGTGGGCACATGCCTGAGTAGCACAGATGACAGGCTTCCCAGCTCGGTTGCACCGTCCAATCATCATCTTCTGAGCAAGGAAGACCTTCTCTGCAGGAATCTCAATGCCTAGATCACCACGAGCCACCATGATCCCATCACTGGCCTCCAGGATTTCATCAAACCTGATGGACAAAGTTGGGGGGAGAGAGGTTATATAGAACAGAGGCCACAAGTATGGCAGTAGACAAGAAGTTTCCCTGGGATTCCCTAACTTAGATGTCCTTGTACCAGGACAGACATCCATGATATCATCATGGGTGCACACAGATGGCAAGGCAGTCCAGCTACCTTAGGCCCCCAGAGTGGGCCAACAATTCTGCCTGCTGGGCTTCAACACCAATATGGATGCTTCATTGACGGAAGAAAGGGGAGAGGGCAAATCCAAATGGGCTCATTCCCAAGGTCTCCTCTCCAAATCCCATGCATGTTAGGGGTCTCTCTAGGGCCTCCATTTTCCAATCAGCACTTCAAGACAGGGAACCTGAGGCCTGATGACTGCTTCCACCACAAAGACCCATGGCCTCATCTAGTCAAGGACACTTGAGGACTGCCCTTTGAGGTGGCCCACTCCAACCTGCTGAAGGCAAGAGGGAATGTGGCTTTGCCTGGCCTAGGGCCAAGTTCAGCTAGCCTATGGCTTATCAGGATGGCAAAGGGGAGGACCCCAAATTGCCTGGTACAGAGGATATCTACACAAAGCTCAGACAGTAAGGCCACTACAGTGGGTGCACAGGGTTGCTCCCCCACCCTCCCCAAACACACTTCTAATCCACAAGAGTGTGTCTAGCATCTTAGTTGTGCTGAGTTGTATTCCTAGCAGGATGCCAAAAATGGTGGCCATGCCCACTGGGCTCTACTTTGTGAGCATTGGGGAGGGGGTAAGCTAAGTTGGGGCAATCTGAAACTGGAGAAGAACCACACATCTTCCTCTGAGAGTGGAATGGACCATACCAGAGTTAGCATGATCACTGAGCCAGCTGCATTCTAAGTGAAGACCAGGAGGCCATAAGCTTTAACATGGACACCAGGCCCTGAAATTCCACATGGCTCCCCAGGAAGGGCCAAAAAGAGCCCTTTCTTAAGTGTCTGCTGTCATCTTTCCCCCTGGTCCCCCCATTCCAGCAAACACTGGTAGTGTTTCTGATCAGGAACAGAACATCATGGCCCCTGGTCCTGTGAGCAGTGACCCTGTTCTCTCAAATGTTGGTCCCCAGGCCCAGGGAACAATGTCAAGCTGCCAGCATCTCAATTACCTGGGAAGCTTTTTTTTAAAAAAAACAAAAAAACAAAAACAAAAAAACATAATGCCTTCTACTCTCCTAAGATATTCTGATTCAGCAGGTTTGGAACTGGCTTGGGAGTCTACATTCTGATGGGCTAGGGGCTGGGAATCAGACATTCACAGGATGGACCATGCCCTTCGGAGAGCTGCGCTGGGACTGGAGCAGGGACAACGGGGACTTGCCTCCGAACCCCCTCATGATTCTCGATTTTGCTGATAATCTTGATGTTCTTTCCCTTCTCTCCCAGGACCTTCCTAACTTCATGGACATCAGATGCCTTGCGGATGAATGACGCAAACACCATATCAACATCCTGCTCGACCCCAAACTTCAGATCCTGGATGTCCTTCTCCGACACAGCAGGCAAGTCCACAGCAGCCCCAGGAAGGTTCACACCCTTCTTGCTGCCCAAGGAGCCACCATTTTCCACCTCCGTCACCAGGAAGTCGGCACCTGTATGAAAAAGGGTAAGTAGGGGAGGCAGAGCACGAGGGCACAGGTCAACAGGAAGCAGGCACCTTTCCCGCAAGGACAGTGAGCTGGGAAGTGGTGCATTATGGGTGCTGGAGCTGTTTTACCAGAGTTGAAAACCTACTACACTGTGTAATCCTGGGCAAGCCATTTAACCTCTCTGTACCTCACTTTCCTCACCCATAAATAAGGATAATTAAGACTGTTCTGACTTTGGGAGGCCAAGGCAGGCAGATCACCTGAGGTCAGGAGTTTGAGACCAGCCTGGCCAACATGGCAAAACGCCATCTCTACTAAAAATACAAAAAAATTAGCCGGGTGTGGTGGCGGGTGCCTGTAATCCCAGCTACTCAGGAGGCTGAGGTAGGAGAATAGCTAGAACTCTGGAGGCAGAGGTTGCAGTGAGCCAAGATCATGCCACTGCACTCCAGCCTGGGCAACAGAGCGAGACTCTGTCTTGAAAACAAAACAAAACACAGCGAAACAAATATATATATATATATATATATATATATATATATATATATATATGTATATATATATATATATGTATGTATGTTCCTGTGTTCTCCAGAACCAGAAGAATGTAACTATGCTGGATTAAAGCCTATCTTTGAGGATAAATGAGTTATAAAAGGGATTCCTGAGAACACACAGACTCAATCTCACTGCCAGGCAACCAACCTTCCCATCTTCCTTGTGTCAAGGAAGTTTAGAGACAAAAGACTGTTTTAGACAACTGGACTCCAGCTCCCATACGTACCTTTCTGCTTCACCTGGAGAGAAATAAGCCCATCATCCACGTAGATCTTGCTGCCCACTTCCACCACCTTGCAGATGTTCTTGTAGTCCAGCCACAGGATGTTCTCGTCACACTTTTCCATGTAGGCGTTATCCAGCGTGATTTTGAGAGTGGCTCCCTTCTTCAGCTCCACCTCTGCAGTGCCGCTCTAGGGACAAGAGAGTAAGCAAGAGTCCAAACTGGAGACACCAGTAGCAGCATCACCTCAGAAGGAATGGAAAAGCTCTTTCCTCCCGGGAACAATGCTCAAGTCACTGCTAAAAGTAATACAGTTTTTTGCTCTTATTCTCTAACTCTGTATACTTCACGGAAATAATCCAAGAAAAGAATATGTTTCAGTTATGCTACTTAATGATGGGGAAAAAGATACAAAGAGATGGTTCTCCAAGTTAGAAAGCCTAAAGTTTAGGTTTTTAGGGTAAAAAAAAAAGGTTCCTTTGTGGTACCATTTCCTAGCAAAGTAGATCAAATCAACATTGTTTACAGTGATGAATAAATCCTCATTTGTAGACCTCAACTCCTCTGCAGTCCTTCATAGTACTGGGAAGAAACATGGCAACCCAGCGCTTTGGAGGACATGTCTCTGGGGCATATTGCCTACTGAGCCTTCCCCTCGCTCTCCGCAGAATACTCACGCCCTTGATGAGCCCAGTTCGGATCTCAGGTCCTTTAGTGTCTAGAGCCACAGCAACGGGCCGGTAGAGGATGGGGTCAGAAGCAAAGCTTTCCGTGGCTGTGCGCACATTCTTGATGGTCTCCGCATGGTACTGGGGGAAAAGAAGGAAGATGACAAGCGTGCTCCCACACTAGAATCCAGCTCCAATTCCCCTGCCCAGGAGCCAAAGCTGATCACTCAGGAAAGGCCCGTGGATGTCTTAGAGCTCTATCTCCATCCTCAGCACGATCCATGCACTGAGAAATCCTCTACCTGCTTAATCCAACCTCCTCAGCCTCCACCCACTTCTACTACAGCACTAATTCACCCAAAGGGCAAATCTTTGAAATGTAGGTGGCAAATTTCAGAATATTGCCACCAAAACCCATTAAGGTATGGGTGCAAACATGTCTCATCATAAAAGCAGCTGTGTCCCCAGGGCTGTTCTTTTTTCCCTAAGACTCATCAAATACCCTCAGCATATAAAGCTCATAAACAGGGCAAAAAGCCTAGGACTTGTGTTTGGATAAGGCTGGTCTGGCAATCAATGTCACATTCTGATATATGTGGTAATGCTGAGAGCTTTTCCTCTATTGATTCCAACTACAACGCAAACTTGAAGTTATTGACTTAAGCTAACAGTGGCCCAAGCTAAATAACTCATTGCTAAGGTCACACAGACCTGATTTTCTCAATCGCTTTGTTTTTTTTTTTTTTGAGACAGAGTCTTGCTCTGTCGCCCAGGCTGGAGTGCAGTGGCACTATCTAGGCTCACTGCAAGCTCCACCTCCCAGGTTCACGCCATTCTCCTGCCTCTCAGCCTCCCGAGTAGCTGGGACTGCAGGCGCCCACCACCACGCCTGGCTAACTTCTTCGATTTTTAGTAGAGACGGGGTTTCACCATGTTAGCCAGGATGGTCTCGATCTCCTGATCTCGTGATCCGCCCACCTCGGCCTCCCAAAGTGCTGGGATTACAGGCGTGAGCCACTGCGCCCGGCCTCAATCACTTTCTAGATTCTGATTGGAGGGGGAAAGGTGGTCATATGCCTTTCTCTAAATGAACTGCCCTTTATTACTCCTTGCTTACAACAAATCCTGGCTTCAATCTTTTTTCTTAAGCCTTTCCTCCTTTCCATTTACCATTTTGTTTGTTTAAAAGAGGGACTCAGGCTAAGCACAGTGGCTCATGCCTATAAACCAAACACTTTGGGAGGCTAAGGTGGGAGGACAGTTTGGGCCAGGAGTTTGAGATGAGCCTGGGCAACATGGCGAAACCTCGTCTCTACAAAAAACACAAAAATTAACTGTGCATGATGGTGCGTGCCTGGGGTCCCAGCTACTTGTGAGGCTGAGGTGGGTTATGTCTAGGAGGTCAAGGCTACAGTGAGCCATGATCACACCACTGCACTCCGGCCTGGATAACAAAGCAACACCCTATCTCAAGAAAAAAAAAAAAAAAAGACGCAGAGCCAAGATGTCAAAAGAGCTCTAAGATAGTGTCATCAATAAGACATTAGCGGTAACAAGGGCACCTAATTCAGCACTTTCTGGGCCTTGTCCTTTAACCACCACTGTCCAGGAAAGTGGCACCTGCAAGTAAGCCTGCCTGTTATTCACAGGAGGCTGGAGGGAGCTGGAGCCAGAGCCTAGCCTCTAAAGACAGTGTTGCCTGAAACCTGTGTCTAAAAATCTTCAGCTTCTTATTCAGGCATACTTCCTAATGACAGACCCTTGGCTTGTCTGTTTTTTATAGGGTTCCTTATAAATTATGATATTTTCTTGCTTACTGGCTTGTAATAGAAATAGAACAAAATAGAATAGAATAGAGGCTGGGCGCGGTGGCTCACACCTGTCATCTAAACACTTTGGAAGGCCAAGGCGGGTGGATCATGAGATCAAGAGATTGACAACAACCAGGCCAACATGGTGAAACCTCGTCTCAACTTAAAATACAAAAATTAGCTGGGCGTGGTGGCGTGCACCTGTAGTCCCAGCTATTCAGGAGGCTGAGGCAAGAGAACCACTTGAACCTAGGAGGCAGAAGTTGCAGTGAGCCGAGATCGTGCCACTGCACTCCAGCCTGGGCGACAGACAGAGTGAGATTCCGTCTCTAAAAGAAAAAAAAAAAAAAGAATAGTAATAGTTGTTTTCTTTTAAGGGGATAGGTGGTGCCTTTCCTTCAGAGTTGACGTGAGGAGTAAAAGAATACATGAAGTATTAGGACAAAGTACATGGTAATTATCTAATAAATGTTACCTATTATCATCTTATAATGATAAGACTCAGGTGTACTGAGTTCCACTACAGCTGTGGCTTTGTTGGGATGTTATCACGTGGATAAGAGTTCCACACATCAATGCTGTCCTGCGGAAGGCTCTATATTTAGCTATATTTAGGTTGTTTAAAAGTCAACCTTAACTCAGGCCAGGCGCAGTGGCTCACGCCTGTAATCCCAGCACTTTGGGAGGCCGAGGAGGGGGGATCACAAGGTCAGGAGATCGAGACCATCCTGGCTAACATGGTGAAACCCCGTCTCTACTAAAAGTACAAAAACAAAATTAGCCGGGCGTGGTAGCAGGCGCCTGTAGTCCCAGCTACTCGGGAGGCTGAGGCAAGAGAATGGTGTGAACCCGGAAGGCAGAGGTTGCAGTGAGCCGAGATCGTGCCACTGCATTCCAGCCTGGGTGACAGAGCGAGACTCCGTCTCAGAAGAAAAAAAAAAAAATGTCAACCTTAACTCTACTTAATCCCGATGTAGAATTTTGTTCTCCTAGAATAAAATCTACTTGGTCATGGATCAAGACATTCCTTTCAATCACTACTGGATTTGGATTATTAAATTTTATTTGTTTTCTGCATCTAAGTGAGACTGGTCTAGCACACTAACTGTTAGTACCTGCCTGGTTTTGGTACTGTCCTTGTTTGATCTCAGTATCAGCGTATATTGGTTTCAAAGAACACAGTGGGAAGATTTCTATATTTCTCTAGGCTCTGGAACAGTTTAACAATGTAACTGAACTTTGAAGGGGAGACAATTCAGCCACTAAAATCATTTGGACTTAAGTGTTCTGAGGTGAACCAGATCTTAATCACTTTTTCAACTTTTTGGCTGGAGTGCAGTGGCGCGATCTTGGCTCACTGTAGCCTCCACCTCTCAGGTTCAAGCGATTCTCCTGCCTCAGGCTCCCGAGTAGCTGGGACTGCAGGCATGTGCCACCATGCCCAGCCAATTTTTGTATTTTTAGTAGAGACAGGGTTTCACCATGTTGGCCAGGCTGGTCTCGAACTCCTGACCTCAAGTGATCCCTCCGCCTTGGCCTCCCAAAGTGCTGGGATTGCAGGTGTGAGCCACCGCACGCCCAGCCCACTTTTTCAACTTCTTATGGCCACTGGTCTATTCATATTTTCTATCTTTTGGATATTTATCTTTTCTTTGAAAATAGCCAGAGTCATCTCTCTATATAGGAATTAAGTTATAAGTCTTTCTTGACTTTTAAAATCTCCAATGTGTAGGAAATATTCTCTTTTCTATTCATACTCTTATTTGCACATCCTCGCATTCTTCACCTGGCTTCTCAGAACTTTCTATTTTACTATTTTTTCCCCACAAAGAATCAGCTCTTAGCTTAATCTGTCAAATTTATTTTCATTTCATTGAGCTATAATCTTACAAAATTATTTTCTTCACCCTTTTTAGGGTTTTCCTCCCCTAGTGTTCTGAGTTAAATATTTATTTCATCTACCTTGAGATCTTTGCTTTCTAAAGTAAGCACACTTCAGTTTTCTTGACTTTGTTCTTAATTTCCACTAAAAAATTTTATCAGAGAATGTGTCTGTATAATTTCTACTTTATGAAACGTGGGGGTTTTTTTGGTGGCCTAATATATTTTTGTAACCATGAGTGTTTCATGCAAACATGCATTTTTGGTCTTGGGGATGTAAAACCATATATTATAAACATACCAATTATTAGGTATATTATTCAAATCTATGTCATATATCATAATCTCTTAGAGCATCTCTGGGAGGTGTACTGAGTCTTCCACTTCAGCTGTGGCTTTATTGGGATGTTATGTGGTAAAGCATCCATCAATGCTGTCCTGTGGAAGGCTCTACATTTAGGTTGTTTAAAAGTCATTATTTCTAGGCCAGGTGTGGTGGCTCACGCCTGTAATCCCAGCAATTTGGGAGGCCAAGGCGGATGGATCACTTGAGGTCAGGAATTCGAGATCAGCCTGGCCAACAAGGTGAAACCAAGTCTCTACTAAAATACAAAAATTAGTCGGGTGTGGTGGCAGGTGCCTGTAATCTCAGATACTTAGGAGGCTGAGGCAGAAGAATCTCTTGAACCCAGGAGGCAGAGGTTGCAGTGAGCCAAGATCGTGCCACTGCACTCCAGCCTGGATGACAGAGCGAGACTCCCTCTCTAAATAAATAAATAAATAAATAAATAAATCTGGAAAACATGGCATATGGAACCACATGTTCAGCAAGAATGCATCTTGCCCATGTGAACTGCCAAAAGTGAGGGCTGAAGACTAGTTGCCAAAGCTGTTAAAAGAGGGCTGGGCGTGGTGGCTCACGCCTTTAGGAGGCCGAGGCAGTCGGATCACCTGAGGTCACAAGTTCAAGACCAGCCTGGCCAACATGGCGAAACCCCGTCTCTACTAAAAATATAAAAAAATTAGCTGGGCGTGGTGGCACAGGTCTGTAATCCCAGCTACTCAGGAGGCTGAGGTATGAGAATTGCTTGAACCTGGGAGGCAGAGGTTGTGGTGAGCAGAGATTGTGCCAGTGCACTCCAGCCTGGGCAACAGAGCAAGATTCTGTCTCAAAAAAAAAAAGCTGTTAAAAGATCAGATGCAGACATTTGATGTCCCTCTGTCAGAGTGAGAGGGAAGACAGTAATCTCAACGTTCTGCTCAGAAGAGCATTTAAAATAGTCAGAAACTGGAAAAGTACGCCCCAGCCCCTAGTCAAAGGTGCACATGAAACGATAGCCCTGACGTATGGTAAGGCTGAAACTGTTTACATTACATTATATAAATTAGAATAATTTCAGATCAGTTTCCAAGCTGAGCCCACACACAACCTCATCTTGGTCTAAAACTTCAAAATGAACACACAAGAGGGACATCTTTAAAAAATAAATAGATAAAAAATAAAAAATAAATCTTAATTATAATCTGGGAATAGGAGTGAAAGTAGAGATAATCTCCAAAAGCCTCTTAAAGTTTAAAATACCAAAATCGGAGCCAGCTCTCATCCAGCAGGTGTGGCAGGTATCACTCGCCCTTGCCATGTTAGAGCTATGTGGTGTTATTTTACTGGATGAAGGAACCATAAAGCCTACTTAAAGGTCAACTTCTTAAAAATCTATTTCTGCTCCTTCCCCTGAATGCAGGAGCCCATGGCAGACTACAGCAGCAGGGATCAACAGCGAACAGACCTCCAGCATTGTCTTCAGCTCTCTCTAAGCTAAGCTAACACTTAATTCTCTAACAAGTAATTCTCGGTGACTCCTGCTAAGGACCCCTTGCTTTTGGAAAACTACAGAATTTTCCAAAAGGTACAGGGACATGTCTTAACCTACATGGTATGTCTGCTGGACTTGGTCAGGTCCCCATGACATTTAAGGGCCAGCCACTAGCCAGGCCATAGGCTGTTTATGAACACAGGTTAGGGAATCTATGATGAAGAGTCTTGTGTTTCCCAAAAGGAGGAATTCACTCTTGGATTGCATTTCCTGAGGCTTTATTTTTAGTCCAAACTTAATACCAACTTCCAAATGCCAGAGGGCAACCTCTGTAAGGCAATTGGCCTTACAGGATAGCATTTTCTTTACTCTCAACAGGAAATACAGAAGCCAAGACAGGTGCAAAGTTTGCCTCTTCTGTAATTCCTCTTATCAATGCCATTACGAAATCCCATGATCTATGGGAAACCTATGGTTAAGTCTGAAGGTTTTAAAAAGGCACAATCCCAGGCTGAGCATGGTAGCTCATTCCTGTAATCCCAACATTTGAGAGAATCACTTGAGCCCAGGAGTTTGAGACCAGCCAAGGCAATATAGTGAGACCTCATTTCCCCCAAAAAAATTTTTAAATTAGCCAGGTGTGGTGGTGCATGCCTGTATTCCCAGCTACTCGGGAGGCTGAGGCAAGAGGATCACTTGAACCTGGGAGGTCAAGGATCCAGTTAGCCATAATCATACCACTGCAGTCCAGCCTGGATGACAGAGCAAAATTTTGTTTTATAAAATAAAAAAATAAATAAGTCATGGTACCTCAGGGAACCCCAAGCTCCTCAGAATGGGTTAATTCTAAATCTGGCAATGGAGGCAGGAATGGAGCCATCCCAACAGCTGCTACCTGGCTCCTGGGCAAGGCCTCTGTCCATAGGTAAAGCCAGCTAATAAAGAGCCCAGCACAAATACAGTCCTACTAGGCTCCTGGGGAAGAGTGCTAACTGGTGTTATTTTAATGTACCAGAACCCCTGGGAAGGCACAGGCTGAGAATACAGTGCTGAGGAAGTGGGGTATTACACCCCAGATAGTGCTTATGCATTAGGCTCAGTCCCTCAAAACTTAGAATAGTGGAAACCGTTCTCATGGACCTGCCCAGTTATTTTGGTTCTAAGCTAGAATCAATCTGCTAGATGGTTTACCATGGCAACACAAGGTGAAGCAGAAACCCTGGGACAGGAGAGTCAAGCGCTGTGGCCAGGACACCTAAGGCTTAGAGGGTTTTCCAGTAGAACCTTTCCATATCTTCCTTTGTAAAAGCTAAGGGTAGGAGAGGTGTGTGGGAGAACCACAGCCAGCAACAAAGGGGGTCCTTTTTGCTAAAAGAGACTCAGCCAGTTGCTTTGTCAGGACAAGAGGGAAGGAGAGTAGGGATGGGCTAGTAAAGACAAACTTCACACTGACTGTGAAACTCAGACTCATCCTTGTCTAGTCCACTGTGGCTAAACGAACACTGCACCCCCTCCCTGTTTCCTACAGGCCATCACAATGGCCATAGGGTCCAGCCACAGCTCACCTCATGAGTTCCATGAGAGAAGTTCAGACGAGCCACATTCATTCCAGACTTAATCATCTCCTTCAACGTCTCCACTGATCGGGAAGCTGGGCCTATTAGGAAAAGTTTTAAAGCCACAAGTATTAATTATTCAAAGAAGGAAAAACATTTAAGTTTGCTTAAGTTTAAAGAATTTTTTTCCCTGAAAACTTTTCCTCTCCCAAATAGCTCAAAAGTCTTTAAAAAGTGCATGGAAGGCTACTACCGTGCCAGCTTACTTTCTTGATCTACTGGGACACTTCGACCATTTCCTTCAAGTTCTGCAGGCTCCCACTGTATCAGAAAAGCCTAGGTTAAGACTTGGCCAGCCTTCTCCACCCTCACTGAAACCCAGCCAGATGTCCAACCACAGAATCTTGGTAGCACAGAACATGTTAGAAAGATCTTTCCTAGGTCTTTAAGTTGCTCCTACAAAGACCTGCTAAGGAAAACATCTTCTAAATTTTGCCTATAGCATAAAACCTAAACCATATGGATTCTTTTTGCAACAAATTATTTTTTATTATAAACTGGTAATTTATAATTTGGGTTACAAAGTTATGTAATCCAATACATACAGTTTGGATACAATGTGGAATAATTAAATCAGGTTAGTTAACATATCCATGACTTCAAATACTTAACATTTTTGTGGTGAGAACATTTGAAATTTACTCTTAGCGATGTTTTTTTCTTTTTTCTTCCTTTTTTTTTTGAGGCAGAGTTTCGTTCTTGTTGCCAAGGCTGGAGTGCAATGGTCAGATCTCAGCTCACTGCAACCTCCGCCTCCCAGGTTCAAGCAATTCTCCTGCCTCAGCCTCCCAAGTAGCTGGGATTATAGGTACCCGCCACCACCCCCGGCTAATTTTTTTGTATTTTTAGTAGAGATGGGATTTCACCATGTTGGCCAGGCTGGTCTCGAACTCCTGACCTCAGGTGATCCACCTGCCTCAGCCTCCCGAAGTGCTGGATTACAGGCATGTGCCACTGCGCCCGGACAATTTTTTTTTCTTAAGACAGGATCTCGCTCTGTTGCCTAGACTGGAGTGCAGTGGTGTGATCATGGCTCACTGCAACTTCAATCTCCTGGACTCAAGTGATCTTTGTCTCAGCCTCCCATGTAGCCAGAACTACAGGTGCATGCCACCATGCCCAGCTAATTTTTTTTTTTTTTTTTTCACTTTTTGGAGAGACAGGGTCTAAGTTGCTCAGGCTGGTCTCAAATTTCGAGGCTCAGGCAATCCTCCCACGTTGGCCTCCCAAAGTGCTGGGAGCCACCATACCTCGCCATCTTAGCAATTTTGAAATGTCTAATACTCTCTTATTAACTGTATTTGCCATCCTATGCACATACTAATTCTTTACTGCAACTTCCTATGACCTGAGTCCTTTCATAAGAATCTGTGTAGTATCCCATGTAGCACCTAGGTTTGTTAGGACATTTAGTTACTCTTTTCAGGAGAGAAAGGTCACTGCCCATGAAGCCCTTTTTTGGGGGAAGGGGCACACCCACTCACCAATGGTACAGATGATGCCAGTGTTCCGGGCTGTGATGGGTGGTGAATCAATGTCCAGGCGGCACATGTGCTCCAGGAATGTGTCAGCCATGGCTGCGTGCAGCTGCTGGGTCTGAATGAAGGCAGTCCCGGCTTCACTATGGGGCTTCGACATGGCTGCTGAGGTCCTGGGTCGAGACAAATTGAAAGAGAGTGGTAAGACTGAGAAGTGGTTAATATACCATTTAGCACAGAAGGCTGTCTCCTGCTTACACATTAACTCAATAAGCACGCTTTGTACACAAGCCACAGGGAAGCCAGACATGATCTGGTTATGTGGGTGCTCCTCATGTTAGAAAAAGGGTTCACCAGATTGTGAACAATGGAAAGGACCTTACTGAACAAGTTAAAACCTCCCACCCACTCCACATAGTCCCAAGCACCCACAGTAAGCAGGTCTCTCTTACACTGGGCTGACTGACATCTACCTAGACAGCTTTCTCACCACCCTATCTATAAATAACATCATTTAACATGCACTGAAGGAGCTTCCAATGAAGGAAGTTGTAACCAATCTTCCAGTGATACAAACAACTGACTCCTAGCTTAGTGCCTTGATAAGCCTAGATCTCTGCATGTCAAGCTGTCACAAAGCTACAAATAGCTGCTTTGTCGTGGGGCACCCATATTGCCTCTTTACAATCCTCACCCAAACCCAAAGTCATTCCCCTGAATGCAAAAGCTTCCATCCCAGGAGTCTAAACCTAAAACCACATCTACTGTTGGCCAGAAGGATGTCAGGACACGCAAAGCAATTTGCAATTTGCAAAGCAAGGATAACATAAGGGCACTGGTATAATTCTGAAATTATCACAACTACATTAACAGGATAGTTGCAAACATAGAGAAATTAAAGTTGCTGGTCAAATCTTTTCCCCAAATGATTTTTGATACACATCCTGATTTCTTTTCTAAGCCTGACAAGTATACCACCACTCTGTAACACAGACCATCAGTTCCAGGTAATTAACTAGCCCAGGTCACAACCCTGACAATGGCCCCAACCTTTGCTTTCTTCATTAATGACTTACAACTAAACTCACTCAGCCTGTTAGTTAGCTGATTAGAGACAAAAACTCAGGAGAAGCTTCCAGGCAGTGTTTGAATAACTATCAGGTAAGGATGTGAACCAGACCAGGCAGTGTTTGAAGAACTATCAGGTAAGGATGTGAACCAGAAGCTTGCTACACGTCTCATCAGAAAGCTGTTTCCTTGAGTTCTCAGACCAAGGGCTACTCTTTCTAAAACGCTTGAGCCTAAATGCTTCGGCCAAGCAAGGCTCAGGAACAAGCTCCTCTTTAGCCCTTCCCCACCTCATCCTAAATCTCAAAGTTCCAAATCAAGGCATCTCACACATATGACCCTTACTCCTTTACCCTGTTCCATCTCTGACTTTGTGGGCTCTCTGGGTGGCTCGAGTAGAGTATACATCTAAATCCATCTCTGCCATCTCCAAAGAAGGCCCGCTGAGGTCCAAGGAGCTCTGAAGGCAGTAGTGAACAGTCTGTTGGCTATGGAAAACTGATGGCCACAAGTCCTCAACCACAGATTCTAAAACTTTTAAAATGGGGAAATAAGATACCGGCTAACGGTTCAACATGGCAAATGCACTCTTCATTTCGATGTGTATTTCCTAAGCCCCTAATATCTACTACGTACCAAAATGAAAAAATCAATCCTCCCTTCCAGGACCTATATGGTTTTGTATCTCCTAGCACCTAGTATGTGGAAGCATTCCAGTGTTTGTTAAATGACCTTTCAGTCTCTCTGAATGCCTCTTTGTCAGAATCAAAGTTATGCCTCTGCTCCCCCTTCCCTAAATCTGAGGAACTTCTGCATTACTGACAGGAAAGCCTGGGGCCCCTGGTCCCTTTCCCTACACTCATGGTTGAGGGAGGGCTCGCATACCTTCAGAGCTCCCAGCTGGGCTTAGGGAAGTCTGGCTGTTAAGGGAACATTACTGAGAGATGGCACATCAGGCCAACTGGAACACAAAGGCTTTGCTGTGGCCTCCAATGGGCCTACAATCTAGGGACTGTATTGTGAACAAAATAAGATCTGAATAAGTGGGTTGGAGTAACTAATTCCACTCTTTTTAAAAACCATCAGCTGGCTCTTCTTAGACCTGAGATATGAGGGTCTTCCTGTAAAGACCTGGCTGGGGCCACTGAATATCAGGTCATACCTTTGGTTCTCTGGGGTTGGGCTTCCGGTGACATAATGCTCCCCTTTTGGCTCAGGGTGGCTCCTTGGCCTCACTAGCAAAGACCGCTCAGAGCTGAATACGGTGTGCCCTGGAGAGCTGCACAAGGATTAAGGAAAAAGCTGAGTGTAACTAAAGCTCTTTGGGGTAATGGAAAAATTACCTTAATAACCAGGTATCCAGGTGACAGCTGCTCTAGAGATTCCACTGTTATGTCTCTTTAAACCTGTGATTTACTAACATTCCACTATTCTATACAAGAACCTGGTCCCTCCCCTTTTGGGAGCGGGGAAGGGACACCAAATTAAACATACCTAAAAGACCTGGGAGGATATATACTGAAATTTTAATAGGACGTCATTGGGGTGGTAGGATTACAGAAAAAAAAAAATCCTCTTTATTAACAAATTTACTGATATAAATATAAAAATACTTTTATAGTAAGAAATTATGTGTACCTCTTTTGGAAATATTTATATGCATCCTATAAAATTGTTGGGAGGAAGTAAATGAAATGTGAAGACACCAATTCCATTAATCAATTGCTGCTCTATGCACTTCAAGAATAATCTGCTTTTAAAAGGTGGCAGAGAAAAGACGCATGTCTCAAGTTCTGTACACTGGGTTGTGATTAAAAAAAAAAAACGATACAAGTCTTAGGCCCTACATCACAAATGTACTGCAGAACAGTTTCAACGGCTTAAGAAGGTCAACCTTAATACATTCAGAACCTCAAAGCAAAAAAAAAAAAAAAAAAGTCCACAGGATAATCCCATGCCTCAAACCTGTTAGTTACATGCCCAAATCCAGCAAACTAGTTTGTTCTCAAGCTTTACAGTAAAAGCTTTTGACAATGTTCTGGTACAGAAGGGCTGCCTCCAAGTCCACGAGATGCCATTAGCAGATAAAATTATATTGGCCTCAAACACAAACCCTATTTCAACTATCTCAAATTAAATCTGATGCCTATAAGCTCTAATTTTTTGCCAATAAGTACAAAAATGACAAATGAAAATTTCTATAGTGGATTTACGCATTAGCAGTCAAAAAAAGCTTGCTTGTCAGCAAGTTCATCCAGACTCCAGATCTCATGTGTCCTTCATGCTCTCTACCCAGCCAGAGACCTCATATCTCATGCCCAGGTCTTTCCTCAGGCTCTGACCTGAAGCCTCCCTTGCAGGGAGGGCCAGAGCTCTCCTGCCTTCTCCAAAATCCTCCACAAGCCTCTTCCCAGCACAAACTGCCCATCCCACCAACCACGTACCTAGAGTTGTATGTAAAACACTCACTGGACTCCCCTGGCTCCAGGAGAGCAGCCCAGCCTTGGTTTCTCAGGGCGGACTTCTGGGAAAGACTCCTCTCCCTCATGCCAGCTGCCTGGACAGTGCCTGCCAGGACATGTGGCCCCACCCATGCCAGTCTGACTCACTATTGCATCCTCCTCCTAGGAAGGCACAGACATGCAGAGCCAACCTCCAGCCAGCAGTGGAAGCCTGGCGTATCCACTGATAGCAGCACACACCATGCCCAGGTCCAGGAGCCTTATTCTTGAGCCCGAGCCCCTGCAGTAAGATCTTCCTCAGAGCCATGTCTCCTCTGTGAGAAAGGAGACACCATCTCTAAGAGGCCTTAGTCTGGAGTGACAGGTTGGAACAGGCACAATCACAGCTCAGCTCCAAGTGCCCTATTCTCCCTTTCCTTTCTCATCTCAGACAGCTCCTGGCTTTTTATATTAGTTTCCTTTGTGTCAGACACAATTTTTTGGCCATTCTTCAGAAACCAGGAGACAAAAATCATAAAAAATACCCAACACTCCTCCCTCCAACTTTTTTTTTTTCTTTTTTTTTTTTTTCAGACAGGGTTTCACTCTGTCACCCAGGCTGGAGTGCAGTGGTGTGATTATATTATATTATAGCTCACTGCACCCTCAAACGATCCTCCAGCCTCAGCATCCCAAGTAGCTGGGACTACAGGCACGAACCACACCCAACTCCCATGCTCCACTTCTTAGGGCCAGGACTGTTGTTGGGTTGTGCTGGGAAAGATTCACGCTTCACTCCACCAATTCTTCCACAAAGGACCAAATCATTCTGCCCTAATAAAATAGCCTGGCCCGTGAGTCTGCATCTGCCTAAGTCATTTTTCCTTTGTACCAATTATGCTCCGATACCAACCTCATCACATAGATCAACTATAAAATGATGGCACCTGATGCTCACTTTCTCCCTCCAACGTTGCCAGTAGGTACCCAAGATTGTGTTCCTTCCTGTGACGTCAGTTTGCTACCTACACCTCCAAGCCATCATGAAGGCGTTTCGATCCACAACTCTTCCGAACACCTGCATCCGTTAGAAAGTCTGCATCATGATACGCTGGCATTCAGGTCAGCCTGCTCTCTAGTTCTCTTCCTCAACAATGGAAATGGAGTTTCTAAGATTTGCCCTAATCAAACTAGGCCAGCAACATGATCAAAATGGGTGACGGGCCAGCAGAACCTAGTAAGGTCTGGAATAGGCACTGTTCATCTTCATCTATAGTTAAGGGTAATGACAATAATGTATTTGCATATGGGTGCAGGATACAGAGGATAAGATATCTTCTAGCTAAGAGACCTGGGTCTTAAGCCCACACTTTAACCCCAGGAGGCCCCACAGCAGAAAGCAGTATGGTGTTACCAGGCTACACAGAACAAAATGAGCCCACTTGTAGGTTCTAGTAAAATTCCCTGGCTTTAAAAAAAAAAAAAAAATCTTGGCTCTTTTATTTCTTCGGGGCTGAAAGTAAATGACTTGTCAACAGGAACCTAAGGTCCTATTTCCAACTAGAGTGTGGAATAGGGAAGAGCAGCTGATGCTAAATGGGCCTACTTCCCTCAAAGACCACTCAACTTCAGGTGAAGAAGCCCTAAGTCAGAGACCCCTCAATGTCCTCAGATGCCGAGGATTTCCTGGTTCCATCCCAGCTGCTCAGTGCAGAGAACTGGTTTCAGCCTGAAGGAGGTGGTTTGGGGGAAGCATTAGTTGTCCTGGGACATGGTGCCTCCTTACTAGGATTAAAAGTAGGGCGGTGTTTCTGGGTATGATATCCACACTCTAAAATCAGCAAGGGACCTGGGACCCTGATTTAGGGTCCTCTTAAGTGCAACTAAGGTGGGTGATGGCCTCAGCAAAGTGAGGCACTGGCTCAACATTTACTGGAAGGGCTGCCCTGCATTCTAGTCGGGGGGATAAAGGAGGAAAGGCAGTGCCAACTCTCCAAGAGCACTGAACTAGTTACTATGACTGGTCTTCCTACGGCAGCCTTTATAGGTTTGCTTCTATGTTACGAATTAAAGAAAAAAAAGTTTTAACATCTGCCTCTCTACCACCCAGAACTGACCATTAACACTGAGCCATGGCTGGCTGTGTTGGCTCACGCCTGTAATCCCAACAGTTTGAAAGGCTGAGGCGGGCAGATCACTTGAGGCTAAGAGTTCGAGACCAGCCTGGCTAATATGGTGAAACACCATCACTACTAAACATACAAAAATTAGCCAGGCGCGCACCTGTAATCCCAGCTACTTGGGTGGCTGAGACACAGAATTGCTTGAATCCAGGAAGTGGAGGCTGCAGTGAACGGAGATCGCACCACTGCCCTCCAGCCCGGGCAACAGAGTGAAAAACTCTGTCTCAGAAAAAAAGGAAAAAAAAAAAAACACAAATAAAGGCTGAGCTGTATTTTCTTTAATTTCTTTTTTCTTTTTTTTTTTTTTTTTGAGATGGAGTCTCGCTCTGTTGCCCAGGCTGGAGTGCACTGGCGCGATCTCAGCTCACTGCAAGCTCCACCTCCCAGGTTCAGGCCATTCTCCTGCCTCAGCCTCCTGAGTAGCTGGGACTACAGGCGCCCGCCACCAGGCCCGGCTAATTTTTTTTTTTTTTTTTTTTTGTATTTTTAGTACAGACGGGGTTTCACCGTGTTAGCCAGGATGGTCTCAATCTCCTGACCTCGTGATCCGCCCACCTCAGCTTCCCAAAGTGCTGGGATTACAGGCATGAGCCACTGTGCCCGGCCCTCTTTACTTTCTAAAAACAAAAACAAGAATTTTAATTTTATACAGTTCATTTTTTCTCCATCCCCAAGCTCCTCCAACCCTTTCCACCTCCATCTTAAACTTTTTTTTCTATTTTATTTATTTAAATAGAGATGGGAATCTTGCGATGTTGCCCAGGCTGGTCTCGACCTCCTGGCCTCAAGTGATCCTCCTGCATCAGCCTCTCAAAGTGCTGGGATTACAGGTGTGAGCCACTGCTCCCAGCCACATCATGCATTTTGACACCCAATCACTGTCATGAACTCTATATCCTTCCAGTTCACTGAAGTCTATGTACAGTGTATCTATGTCTATACTGAACCCTATAATATTGTGGTTTTCTTAATGCCCTAAGTGGTATACTGTATATATCACTGAGTAACTTGTTTTTCACTCAGCAGCACATTTAAGATCCATCCAGTGGGTATATGGATCTAGCTAATTCATTTAAGCTGTTACACTAGTCCACTGTACAACAGACCATTTTATTTATGGACTGTCTTACTGGTGGCCACTCTCCCTCCCCGTTAAACTAAGTTTCTTCTATTAATCAATACTCTTGTAGTACATGTCTCCCTGTACTGTGTGAGTTTCTATATATCCAGAAATTGAAGTCTTAGGTCATGGAGTATGTTTATTTCTATTTTTACTAAATAAGGCTGAATTGCTCTCCAAAGTGGCTATATCAATGAACGCTGAGTTGCTGCCTTCCACACCTTTTTCCACACTTGGTACTGCCAGACTTTTTAAATGTTTGCCCATCGGTGACATTTGTTTTTCTGCTCATCTAATGTTAATAACCAAAGAGGGATACCCAGATAGTTTCAACGTTTACAACATCTCTATTTCCCTGCTTAACTCAATCAAATCTCCTCTGAAATGGCATGGTGGACACAGTGTGTCTTATGTGCCCTGACTGACTCCACTGATGGGCAGTTCTTTTTCGTTCATGGCCAAGGGAGATATCAGTTGTTTAAAATTGAAGAAACATGGCCAGGCGCGGTGGCTGATGCCTGTAATCCCAGCACTTTGGGAGGCCAAGACAGGTGGATCACGAGGTCAGCAGACTGAGACCATCCTGGCTAACACAGTGAAACCCCGTCTCTACTAAAAAATACAAAAAAAATCAGCCAGGCGTGGTTGCGGTTGCCTGTAGTCCCAGCTACTCAGGAGGCTGAGGCAGGAGAATGGCATGAACCCGGGAGGCGGAGCTTGCAGTGAGCTGAGATTGCACCACTGCACTCCAGCCTGGGTCATGGTGCGAGACTCCGTCTCAAAAAAATAAAATAAAATAAAATAAAATAAAAAATGAAGAAACATTATCTGCAAGTAAACTGAAGATGTTTGGAAGGGATAGGACTCCCTTCAGAGAATCTTGACTGCAGTATTCAGCCAGCAGCTGTGCTGGTCCACAGTGTGAAATGCTAGGACTGGCAACCTCACTGCCCTTGAATAACTGGTCTTGGCATCTCTCCCACTGCAGCCCCAGCCTGCTTCCAAGACTGCTTGCTGGCATGAGGAAAGAGGCTTAGGGCTCCCCAGGAGCTTTGTCTATGGACAGAAGTGGGGGAGGTGAGTCTCAGAGGCCACCGAAGGTACTGCAGCCGGCTTGTTCCCTCCTACGTGCAGACAAGCACAAACCACTGCAGGGGCGGGGCTTCACCGCACTGCATGGTAGGGGCCCTAAAGCACCCAACTCCTGAGCTGAGCAGTCATACCAAGAGGCAGGAAGGCCCAGCAGATGCTGCACATCACCCTCCACCACTCACCCAGGCTCACCTTCCCCCAACAGCTTCTTTAACAAAGTCCCAAGTATTTAAATTACTCAATTATCCAGTCTGCCCCTTGGTAAAAAAATGCAAGCTCCCCGCAAGTATGGTGGTATCAAAAATGGTCTTCATATATCTGGTTGTTTAGCTCTATTCCCATCTGTATCAGAACTGATGCTTAAAGGGACAACTTAAAATCCTTAAGACCTCATACCAAATAAACCAATCTCACGAAGACCCTTGAAGATGCAATAAAACTCTGCTCACAGGGTCAACGCATTCTTGTGTTATACCAGCTAATTGAGATTTGACTGTGGACTTTTGGAGTGATTCAGAAAGAAGGGTAATGTCAAATGAGTCATTTTCCTCTACTCCGGTCTCAGTCTTAGCTCTTGGCCAAGATAACACATCCTGACTTGCCTTCATAAAAGCTGAAGCAGGCCAGGTGCAGTGGCTCACGCCCGTAATCCCGGCACTTTGGGAGGCCGAGGCCGGTGGATCACCTAAGTCAGGAGTTCAAGACCAGCCTGGCCAACATGGTGAAACCCCATCTCTACTAAAAATACAAAAATATTAGCTGGGCGTGGTGCAAGTGCCTGTAATTCCAGCTACTTCGGGAGGCTGAGGCAGGAGAATTGCTTGAACCCAGGAGGTGGAGGTTGCAGTGAGCCGAGATCACACCATTGCACTCCAGACTGGGCAACAAGAGCAAAACTATCTCAAAAAAAAAAAAAAAAAAAAAAAAAAAAAACAAAAAACTGAAGCAAAATAAACTAAAACCCAAGTAAAGTGAGTTTGTAATGTAAGTGCTGCATTTTCTTCTACCTTCCTGCCCACGGCCGTTTCCTCATTTCTTCCATTGCCTCAATATTAAGAAATAAACAGCTTTAGGAAATAAAATGGTTTTTCCTGTGACCCCACATCAGTGTCACAACATTCAAGGCACAGAAGCAACTCCCATAAAGTGCTAGCTGTTTAGAGTCACCGCCACCAAATTTGCTAAGTCACTGGGGGTACGGTTCTTAAAGAGCTAATGATGCTCTTTGCTAAAATATGAATACAACATTATTTCTAATGCAATGCTTAAAATGAAAGCAGTTGTGCTAGACAGGAGACCAACATCCATACATTTTGGCTCAAGTCAGTAACTGAGAAATGAGTTCAAGAACCTTCTTTAAGTCATCATTAATCAAGTCCCAGGAGAGGCGGCTGTGCCCGCTACAAAAGGGCCAGGAATGAAGCTGCACAGACGGCATTAGCTGGGCACCGGGCTCTGCCAGTCTACACTTAAGCTCTTAAGGCAGTACAGAGAACCAGGTGACCCGGACCAATCATTTTTTAATTAGTTGTGGCTTTTTTTTTTTTTTTTTTTGAGAAGGAGTCTCGCTCTGTCGCCCAGGCTGGAGTGCAGTGGCGCGATCTCGGCTCACTGCAAGCTCCGTAGTTGAGGCATTTTTAATTAGGGGAAATGCATGCTTCATTATCTGACTCACTGAAAGGGGAGAAGGGACTTTTTAAGCCTGCAAGAACCACAATGTAGTTTCCCCACTCACCCAGCGAAGATAATTCTCTCAAAAGCAGAATAATTGAAAGGTTGAGTCATCTTCCCCACAGAGCCCCACTCCCCCACAGATTTGGTGATACGTTACATTTCCCTTCCCCACAAGACAGCCCACTCCTGCCCCCACAGCACCTCAGGCCACCAAAGGGCAAATTATTTGCTAACAACGCTGCAGCAGGGGAGTCCTGACCTCCATCTCCTCTGTGACCTAGGGAGTGGCCACACCCTCAAGACGGCCAACTGGGGGCTACTGACCCTGGCTCCAATCCTAATCTCACCAGCAGGCAGAGCAAGTCAAGGGCTGGAATGTTCCTCTGGTAGGTAGTATTCTACTTACAGCGGAACACCAAAGGCTTAACTCAGCCCCTCCTTGCCTGCCTTTGTCTACAGGTCCCAATCTCAGATGACCAAAAAGCATCTGCTCCAAGCAGAGAGTTGGAAAGTTACATTATCAGTTACTTTGTCAATATTAAACCAGATCCCTTGGGGAACTGGTTTCCAGGAGACACGTGGTTATTCAGAGAGCCTGATTCCTCACGATTAGCTGTAGGCGTTTGGGGACAGTAGGAAGACAATGGATCAAGGCCCTTATGCTCAATTGTGGACTAAGTAATTGTGCTCAAAAATAATATATTCAGTCACAGGCTTTTCTTCTGGGTATTTCGCCAGAGATTAGACACTTACTGAGTGTGCCACATCCACGTAAGCATGAATCCTTTCAACCATCATGAGGAAAATGTTACTCCCAGTTTTCCCAGGGGAAACTGAGGTGTAGAGGCTGAACTCCTTCAGAGTCTCAGGAAATTAATGAGTCAAACCTGATTCTAAACGCCTTTTTGACAACTTCCCAATGTCTCTCTCCACGTGGACCTTCACTGTCGGCCTCACTTTAACCCGTACCAGCAAAGGTCCAAGCCCTGGGTCTGGAGTACGTAGATTAAGAAGCCAAGGGATGCCCTTACATGACTGAGTCTTTAAATGATCTTCAGACTGGAAGGTGCTTTCCTGCATCTTCTAATCCAGTGTGCTTGCCACCTGGTGAGACCTTACGAGGCTTCCTGTCCCCCTCCCTCCCACAGCAGGAAGCTCGTACCCCACTCCCAGCATTACAGGAGATACATTTTAAGATTGTGAGCTCGGTGGGCTATGACTCGTCTAGTCATCCTGGTCTCTAACTCTGACCCCCAAACAGCCCTTGACCCACACCGTTTGCGTTCAGTGAACGCGACAGATTTCCTGCCCCCTCCGTAACCAGATCCCCACCCCACCCCGCGGCCTCCGCGTTCCACAATCAGGACGCATTTGTTAAAAAATGTGCCGGATAATTAAAAAAAAAAAAAAGAAAGAAAAAAGAAAGGAAAAGAAAGAAACGTGCCGGAGAGGCGCGGAACGGGCGAGGGCCAGGAGGCCCCAGCAAAGCCTGCAGAGGTTTATCCCGCCCGTTACGAGGCCCAAGGCCATCGCCCGGTGAAGCGGGGTGGGCCCTGGGCGCGGCCGCTACGTGCAGCCCGGCCGCGGCGAGATGGAGCGTGGTCCCTGGCGGCCACCCGGCAAGGGCCGGTCGAGCTCTCGGGCCCCGAGCCATTCCCAGGCCCTCGCAGGCCGCCCATCTAATCCCGGCCACAGGGGACGGCACCGCGCCGCAGGGGCAACCGCCCTGCCTCCCGGCAGCGGGGCAGGCCAACGTTACGTAAGTCTCCAGCTGCCCCCGGGCCGCCGCATCCCGCCCGCCGCGCGGGGCACCCAGCCCAGCCCTCCGCCCGCCCGCCCCGGACACGGGGCCTCAGCACCGCCCGAGCCTGCTGGGAGCTGGGAGGCGGTGATGGAAAAGGGGGGTGGGACCGCGCTCGGAGACCGGAGCAAGTGGGCGGGCGCGACCAGAGCAGAGAGGGAGGGAGGGAGCGGACACGCCAGGCGAGGAAGGGGATGCGGGGGAGCGGACGTGACCAGCAAGCAGGGGGAGGGGCGGCGAGAGGGAACTGGGGCGCGGGAAGGGCGGTCGCGCATGAATGGAGAATGGACGCGGGAGGGGAACCAGAACGCAGTTTCAATGAGTTACACAGAAAGCATTAGAATCAGGGGACACGCACAGCTTGAAGAGGAGGGGGTGGAAGGACCAGACTTAAGGAGGAAGAGGGGAAAACGAGCACGGAACAGGCGGCGCGGAGAAAGGGGAAGCAAGGGTGGAATCAATCACGAGGGACCGAGAGAAGGCAGGCGAGGATGGAGGCGCATTGAGGATTGGGGCAGGAGGAAGAGGATGGGACCAGAATGAGGGGGTAGGGCTGGGGCGGGAAAGGAGCCGGCGGACCCGCCTGATCTGGAAGGAACGGCGCTGGGGACTTCTGAAGAGCAGGCCCCAGGCGTGAGGAGCCGTTCTCCTCTCTCTGAGCTCCACTGCATCCCAGACGCCCTGGATCCTGCGCCGCCCTGCCTGCGTGCCCGGGGCCGGCCGGCGCGCCGGGATTCCGCACTAGCCGGGCGACTGGCCCTTGGTGGGGACTGATGGCGTAGCCTCCTGCACCGCTCACCTCCGGCGCTGACCGACTCGGGCTACGCTGCAAAGACGAAGAGATCCGGAGCCACGGCGCGTGCAGCTGCTGTGCAAGGAGCCACTGCCTCAGCCTCAAGGTTATCCCGCTGCGGGCCGCCGCAATCCCTCCGCCGCCCCGCCCTCTGCCCAATCCCGGCTCCGGGCGACCCGGGCCCCGCCCCCTGCGTCCCCGCGGGCGCAGTCACCTTCAGGAGGAAGCGCGGCGGCGGCGGCGGAACGCGCGGGCAGGTTGCCCTTTCGGTGGGACTAAATTCTGCGGCGGAAGGACACAGATTCAGAGTCACATTTTAAGAAACCTGATGACCAATGGGGACGCGGCGGGGCAACGGGGCCCGCCCCCGGAGCGACTTTCCTCCCAGACCCCCGGGCGCCGGGCCACCTGTTGCCGCCAAGTTGGGCTGCCAGATGGGGTGTCTTTTCTTGGCTCTCGGCCCAGGCCACCCCAGCTGTCCCGGCCTACCTGGGCAGGGCCCAGATTTATGGGTTCCGGGGCAGCATTCTCCCGGCCCCGCCCTGCCACTCCCCACTCCTCCGGGTGTCTGCTCTGGCGCACCCTCGGAGACTGAGCTGAACGGAAAGTTGGGGAGAGCTGCAGACTTGTGCGTGGTTGGAGGTCCTGGCCGCCTTCGGAGGGGCTCTGGCACTGGAGCGGCAGTAGGGAGAACTAGGGACTGCGAAGTGGGCCTGGAGCGGGAGCGCGAGGCCGTTTTCCTCTTAGGACCATTCATTGTGTTAGGACCGCGGAACAAGGAAGGACCGGTTGGGGCCATGTGAATAATTTAGTAGGGTCTGGAATCCTGCAGAGCGAATGCCTCAGAGTAGAAAGTAAATAGACGGTGTTGATATTAGCGCAGAGCTGGGCATCTGGAAATATCAAGTCAGAACATTAGGGCCGATAACCTATGCAGGAGTCAGCATTTCTGTTTTCACCTTTGTCGTGTTTAAGTCAGTATTGTTGGAACTTTTCTTACATTTTTCTACAAGACATTTTCTGATTTCCCAGTTGTTAGCCAGCAACTAATGATGCGAGCAGTTATCAATTAAACAGCTGTTAACTCTTGCCTTCATTCACAGATACAATGTTGCGCATTCAAAATGTGAAGACCGTTCTCTTAGGTTCTTTTTTTATTTTCCTGGCAAAAGAGACCAAATGGGTGTGACCTGCTCAGGCATACCCGCTGCCTGCAGCTGAATCACAGGCCTTCATTCGCTTCCTGTTAGCTCAGATAAGCTGGGAGGAGACAGTGACAGCCTAAAAGTAAATTTCTGTTTGAAGTGAGATAAAAATCTTTCACTTTCTTCTGTAAGTCTTTCCTGGTCCCTTTAGTTGTTGTTGGGAAGGAAATGCTTGATTATTAAGGTGGTGAAAGAACATGAAGTTGTTGAGAAGGAAAAAAGACATGCCCCCCTAGGGAGGGTTAGATTCCTCTCTATCAGAGAAAGAGGGATGGCATAAAAGTCCCTCCCTGGCCCCTGAGCTGAGGACAAACTAAGAACAGTGGTGGACAACACTGGGATGGCAAGGATCTGGCCGATGCTGGACTATATTGTATTTTAAAGTTCTAAATTGTCTGGGTGCAGTGGCTCACGCCTGTAATCCCAACACTTTGGGAAGCCGAGGCCGGCGAATCACATGAGGCCAGGAGTTGAGACCATCCTGGCCAACGTGGCGAAACCCCGTCTTTACTAAAAATACAAAAACTAGCTGGGCATGGTGGTGCACGTCTGTAATCCCAGCTACTCGGGAAGCTGAGGCAGAATCGCTTGAATCCGAGAGGTGGAGGTTGTAGTGAGCAGAGATCACTCCACTGCACTCCAGCCTCCGTGACAGAGCCAGACCTTGTCTCAAAAACAAACAAACGAAAAAGTTCTAAATCTAGATATGTTCACAAGACTGAAATGTACATGTAGAGTTGATGGCAAACTAACTCCTCAGTTGCAGATTTTGATCTGACAGTTCTAGAAATGCTGTCCACGAGCCTCTGGCAGAGACAAATCCAGCGAATCGTTGCTCACATTAGGTGCATAGTAGGCCGGGTGCGGTGGCTCAGGCCTGTAATCCCAGCACTTGGAGGCAGAGGCGGTAGGATCACGAGGTCAGGAGATCGAGAGCATCCTGGCCAACATGGTGAAACCCTGTCTCAACTAAAAATACAAAAATTAGCCGGGCATGGTGGCGGGCGCCTGTAGTCCCAGCTACTCGGGAGGCTGAGGCAAGAGAATCGCTTGAACCCAGGAGGCAGAGGTTGCAGTGAGCCGAGATCGCGCCACTGCACTCCAGCCTTGGCAACAGAGCGAGACTGCGTCTCAAATAAATAAATAAATAAATAAATAAATAAATAAATAAATAAACAAACAAGTGCATAGTAAAAATTTGTCACACTGAAGGTAATTTTCTTTTTGCCGATAAGTAGCACAGTATAGAAGATCAAGCTTGGAGGCCTGGTGCCAGCCATTGGCTCACGCCTGTAATCCCAGCACTTTGGTTGGCCGAGGCGGGCAGATCACGAGGTCAGGAGATCGAGGCCATCCTGGCTAACACAGCGAACCCCATCTCTACTAAAAATACAAAAAATTAGCCGGGCGTGGTGGCATGCACCTGTAGTCCCAGCTATTCGGGAGGCTGAGGCAGGAGAATCGCTTGAACCCGAGACGCGGAGGTTGCAGTGAGCCGAGATTGTGCCACTGCACTCCAGCCTGGCTAACAGCGAGACTCTGTCTCAAACAAACAAACAAAAAAAGATCAAGCTTGGGTTCCATCATACCTTAGTTCCAGTTCCCTATGACCAAATATTGTAATTTAATGTGTAGAAGTCCAGTTCCTCAAAAGTAAATTGAGGACAATTTACTTTTATGGTGGAGTTTGATGATGTATGTGAATGATTCCAACACTGCCCAATAGGCATCCTCTTTCTTTGGGAATTGACTAGTCCTGGAGGGCTGTCCTTGTGACACACACACACACACACACACACACACACAGAAGTTTTCATCCAAAGTTCCTTGCTTATAACTCCCACAGCTCTTGTTAGTCTTTTGTTTATAATGTTGGGGGCACTTTAGGCTCAGAAGCAGGCCTCAGAGAACAGAATTCTCTCTCTCTCCCTCTCTGGCCTTCTTCTGCCTTCCTTTCACCTGTTCCTTTTCCCCCAAGGCAGAAATCTTCCCCCAACTTTGTGTCTTGGAGCTGGCTATAAATAAGTTATTTGTCATATCTTTTCTGATTGTAGGTTGCAAGACCCCCATTTCAGAAGGGGTCCTGCCCTGTACCTTGGAGGAAGGGATGCTGCACAGAGGCCAAGACAAATCTCGACAGTCCTTGCTGGGTTCCCTCACTCAGTCTAGAGTATCACTATGAGATCATACCTTTTGGTCCAAGCATATTTCTACATGGTTATCAATCATGCCTATCCAAGGAAGTTTTCATAAAAGGCCTACGAGGACATGATTTGGAGGGCTTTCAGATAGGAGGTTCCTGGAGGATGCCACTCCCAGGGAGGGCATGGAGCTTCCAGGCCCCTTCCCCCATACCTGGCCCTGTGCATCTCTTCATCTTTATTCATTATAATATCCTTTGTAATAAACCAGTAAATGTGTTTCCCTGAGTTCTGTGAGCCTCTGTAGCAAATTGGTTGAACCCAAAAAGGGGATCATGGGAATCCCAAATTGAAGTTGGTCGGACAGAAGTTCTGGAGGCCCATACTAACTACTGATGTCCAAACCAGGGGCATTCTTGGGGACTGGGACCTCAACCTGTGGGATCTGATATTATCTCCAGGTACAGTGCCAGAATTGAATTGGAGGACACCCAGATGATGCCCGCAGCAGAACTGATTGCCTGTTTGGTGTGAGGGCAAATCCCCCACATATTTGGTCACAGAAGTCTGTGTTGATTGTTGTAGTGGTGGCATGAGAACAGAGGAAAAATACAGTCTGAGTTGGCTTTTCCACAAACACCTTCTGACCAGAGCCAGAATGTTTTCCTGAATTTAAGCTTGCCCTTCTCTGGACCATCACTCCTTTGACCCAGTAACAGGTCGGGACTACAGGAAACTGGGGTTGCTGAAGGAGGACACAGGCTTCTCCCCCTAGAGCCAGCCCTTCCACTGTGTTCCTGGACTTGACCAGGATGGGATGGGAAACTGCTAGGTTCACTGGATTTGGGTGTGAGTAAAAGTGGAAATTGGTATGTTTTCTGTTTGGATTCTTGACCACAGAATCTGCAGTTTAATGGTTTAACTCTCTAAAATCATTGGGAGTCCTTGGAGAAGGGGTGGTAAGTGTGTCAACAAACTGTAATGAACCTAATCCTGGAGCCTAAAGACAAGCTTTGGCCCTGATGAAGAGGGTGAGATTACAGGCTTTACATCAATTATGTGACATCTTAGCCTCTATCTGAAATGGCAGTGTTCTCTCAGGACAATACAATTTCCAGGGCAGCCTACCACGCCCGGCCTCTATGTGAAATTTAAAAATTAGCCAGGGCCAGGCTTGGTGGCCCACGCCTGTAATCCCAGCACTTTGGGAGGCTGAAGAGGGCGGATCAACTGAGGTCAGGAGTTCGAGACCAGCCTGGACAACATGGCGAAACCCTGTCTCTACTAGAAATAGAAAAAATTAGCCAGGCGTGGTGGCGGCTGCCTGTAATCCCAGCTACTCAGGAGGCTAAGGCAGGAGAATCACTTGAACCCAGAAAGCGGAGGTTGCAGTGAGCTGAGATTGTACCATTGCACTCCAGGCAGGGCGACAAGAGGGAGACTCCATCTCTAAATAAATAGTATGTAGAGATGGGGTCTCACTGTTGCCCAGACTGGTCTCAAACTCCTAGGCTCAAGTGATCTGCTTGCCTCAGCCTCCCAAAGTGCTGGGATTACAGGTGTGGGTCACTGCACCGAGCCCAGGTGAACTTTTTTGTTTTTTTGAGACACAGTCTTGCTCTGTCGCCCAGGCTGGAGTGCAATGGCGTGATCTCAGCTCACTGCAACTTCCGCCTCCCGGGTTCAAGCGATTCTCTTGCCTCAGCCTCCTAAGTAGCTGGGATTACATGCACCCGCCACCATGCCCAGCTAATTTTTGTATTGTTGGTACAGACGGGGTTTCGCCATGTTGGTCAGACTGGTCTTGAACTCCTGTCCTCAGGTGATCCACCTGCCTCGGCCTCCCAAAGTGCTGGGATTACAAGCATGAGCCACTGCCCCCAGCCTGAACTTTTTTTCTAGGTCTTCCTTCAAACTCCTACAATTTCTTCAGGCCTATGAGGGTGGCATATCAGTTTCCCCAGACAAATCCTGGAAGATAAAGTTAGACTTTGGAGTTAGGGATAAAGAGAACAGGCTGTCTGTGTGGAAAGGGCATGCTTCATGGAGGAGACATTCAAGCTAGGCATGGAAAATTGGTTAGAATAGAGATAGGTATGGCAAGGCCATGGTGTGGGGGGTGGCCATGGGGAGGGACAGTTAAACAAATACTGAGTGTTTTCTGAATGCAACTGTGTATCTAGGTTTCCCCAGGCTCCTGCAACCTCATCAGTGCTTAGAATGGAAGGGAGAAGCTTAAGGAGTCCTTGGTCACTCTGATGGAAGTATAGTCTTAGCCAAGGTGACCCTGTCAACCAATGTGACCTCCAGCAGTCTTTCTCCAGCCCAGAAATGCTGGGCTCACTGGACAAAGCCCCGTTAGAGTGATCTAATCCTATCCACCAAGCAACTCCCTTCGAGGCCCTGTGCTCTTTTTTTCCCTGTTAAGTGTAGCCAGAGCTCAGGTCCCCAAAGATGCAAGTGGCACTATAAACAGACCCTATCCCCCCAAAGTAATCTGCCTGGATATACTTTGGCACTTTCCATCCCAAGGAGAGGCAGAGACTGGAGCATCCTGACACATGGCATATGGGGATGAGATGGGGCATCAATCAAGATTTGGAAGAACAAGAAGGCATCAGTGAAGCCCTGATCAAGTGACTCCCTCCCAAGGAGCCCTCTGGCTTCAGTTCCACCAGTCTGCTTTTTCCCTGACACACTTCCACTCTCCACCTGTGTCTGCCCTTGCTCATTGGCTGCCAGCTAATCTGACCCACTTATCCCAGGAAGGACAGCTAGGACTGAGGAGACTTTGGGTCTTCTCCTAAGCAAAATAATTTTTAACTTAAAGAGTGGCATCTCTGGCTCACTGTGAGAGGAGGAGAGGTCTGATGCATTTGTGGCAAGTCCTGTGCTCCAAAGGAGCCAGTGAATCTTCAAATGAGCTGCAGCCTACCTTATTCCCACTTCTCCTGGGGTAGGAGGGCTCTACAAGGAATTACACGATCCATAGAGCTTCCTCTACACCACTCCTGAATTAGTCCCAGAAGCTGTGGCATCCCTCAGACCTCCATCTCAGAATCCATCCTGTGAGAAGCTGGTAAGAAACCCAGTAATGACTCAGCACCAGACTCTTCTCCCCTCTCCCCACCAGCCAGAATGAAAGGCAGAATCGAGCAGGCTCCTCCCCAATGGATGGCCACATCCTCACCACAAACTGAGTCATGGTCACACCCTGCCTGATGGAAAATTACCAGGAGGAGGGAAACGGAAGGTTAAACTCCAGGGGTTTGTAATTTCTCAACCTAAAAATCAGATAAATGTTTGAGGTGATGGATACCCCATTTACCCTGATGTGATTATTGTTCATTCCATGCCTGTATCAAAATAACTCAAGTAACCCATAAATATATATACCTACTATGTACCCACAAAAATAAAAAATAAAATAAAAATAGCCATCTACTCTGTACCCAGAACTAATGAAGAAAATAGTTCTTTTCCTGACCCTAGTCCTAACCAAGCATGTCTAGGTCTATGAAGTGAGACTGCTTGAGCCCAGGACTACATGAAAAGTAGGAGGCCGCTGTCAACCTGTATGTATGGTATTTGTAATAGGCTTGGCCCTGTGGAGGATGCCTTGTTGCTCACACCTGGGTTTCACAGGCTCCAGCTTCCCCACCTCCAGAAGAACCAGGCCTGGGCAGAGAAAAGGGGCAACTTTACCTCAATTCCCCCTCCAGGCTGTGGGAGGATTCCTCTCCAGAAACTCAGGGTCCCACCCAAGTTTCCCTACAATGAAGGCATTCTTGTTGTTTGTGGGGTTTTAATTATATTTGTTTTACCTCATATATGTTAAGATATTATCATTTGTGGCTTCTAAACTTCTTAGATCCAAAAAGTCCTATTGCTTTTCTGTGGCACTATGAAATGATGTATTTAACTTTATTACAATTTTATTGGCATAAAAAGATTATTATACAGATGATTTTTTTTTTAAAGTGACACCCATAAGGCTAGCTCAGCTATTTGAGTTTTTCTGGTAATATACACCATTTGTTCCTTCTCATTCCATCATTTGCTAGTACTGCTATATTGGATGTCAGTGATACAGAGAAACTATAAGAAATGCTTACGACTGAGAAAAATCTATTAACAATCTTTGAAATTGAACAGAAATGTTGTTATACCATTTGAGTAGCCACACACCAAAGTTCAGTTGCTGGAACATCAGTGAGAACAGTTGGAGACCATCTAGGATAACAGAGTGGTTAAAAGAACTCAGGTTCTGGAGTTGGTCAGATCTAGTTAGAAACAGCACTGGCTGCGCACAGTAGCTCATGCCTGTAATCCTAGCACTTTGAGAGGACTGCTTGAGGCTAGCGATTCAAGACCAGTCTGGGCAACATAGCAAGATCCCATTTCTACAAAACAATTTTTTTTAATTAGCCAGGCATGGTGGCACATGCCTGTAGTAATAGCTACTTGGGAGGCTGAGGCAAGAGGATCACTTATACTCAGGAGTTGAAAGTTACATGAGCTATGATCACGCCACTGCACTCCAGCCTGGGTGACAATGAGACCAAGTCTCAAAAAAAACCAAAAAGCAAAACTTAACATTGCCAATAACCAGCTGTGGGACCTTAGATACATTATTTAAGATCTCTGAAGAAAACCTATCTTCCAGCTTTGTTGTCAGGATTAAATGAAAAAATATTTGTAAAGTTTGAACACTTTTCAGCATAGAACCAGAACAGCAATCTGGAGTCAGGCTGCCTGTCACTAGCTGTGGAATATGTTACTTATGCTCTGTGCCTCTGCTTTCTCATCTACAAAATAGGAATAATCACGCCTACTTCATAGGCTTGTTCTGAGAATTACGAGTAAATATATGTAGAGAACTTATAATACTGGCTGGGCGCAGTGGCTCACACCTGTAATCCCACTACTTTGGGAGGCCAAGGTGGGTGGCTCATCTGAGGTCAGGAGTTCGAGACCTGCCTGACCAACATGGTGAAACCCCATCTCTACTAAAAATACAAAAAATTAGCTGGATGTAGTGGTGCATGCCTATAATCCGGCTACTCGGGAGGCTGAGGCAGGAGAATCACTTGAACTCAGGAGGCAGAGGTTGTAGTGAGCCGAGATCACACCACTGCACTCTAGCCTGGGCAAAAAGAGTGAAGCTCCATCTCAAAAAAAAAAAAAAAAAAAAGAAAAGAAAAAAGAAAATTTTTAATACCAAGCACACAGTAAGTAATCCAAAGTGTTAGCAAATTATTAAAGTGCTTAGCATAATGTCAGCACCTTCTTAGTAAAAACTAAAGAAAAGGTCAGCTATCTCTAATACTACAGAGATGGGCACAAAGTCCTCTCAGGAGGCAGGTATTTCAGTCAGAGTGGGCTCAGTGATGAGGTCATTTACTTGGTGAAGAGGTTATTTCCTAGACCTGAAACCAGAATGGGAGAAGAGGGCTTAGGAGACTTGTAAATTAGAATGTGTTAGTGTTGATCAAGAATGAGCAAAGTTTAAGAAACAGCTTCTAGAGGGATGGACCTTAAGAATGGTACTTGCATGTTAAAGCAGGTCAGGAACTGAAAACCAGGGTAAGATACCCAGGCAAGAAGGTACCTCTAAAGTACGGTGAAGGTGATGAAAGACAACAGGTAGCCTAGAGTGTGCTTTGTAAATCAAGCTATAACAGATTAAAAAACCCTATCCTTGAAATGCCAGGCTTATTTAATGCTTTTTGTATTCTCTGTGCTTATATTCCTGTTTTTCTTCATTAATATTTCATAAAGTATATAATCCCAGCACTTTGAGAGGCTGACACAGGCAGATGGCTTGGGCCCAGGAGTTGGAGACCAGCCTGGGCAACATGGTAAAACGCCATCTCTCCAAAAAGTATGGAAATTATCCATGTGTGGTGGCACCTGCCTGTGGTCCCAGCTACTTGGGAGGCTGAGGTGGGAGGATCACCTGAGCTTGGGAGGTCAAGGCAACAGAGTAAGACCCTGTCTCAAAAAAAAATTTTTTTTTCACAAAATATTTGGAAATGTCCAACTGACACAGCTATGCTTATAACTAAGGATCTGGGGCACATGAAGCACAGCCTGAAAGGCCAGCAAAAGGCTGAAATGGGAATTTCAACAGGGAGAAGAAAAAATTCACTACAACAATTAGGCTTCCTAGAAAGAGCTGCCTTCCTTTACCACCTTACTAAACTTGGTGAAATTGGGTTGTTTCATTAAGTGAAGCTGCATTCCCTTAGGATGTCTTTATAGATTTCGACTTAGAGACAAACCCCACTTCCTGCTCCCACCAGTTCTCCCCTAACCTCACTTACCCTGAAGAAACAGGTTGGAGGAGAAAGAGAGTAGGGGTCCAGTTCCTGAGATATAGAGCAAGGGAGACTGGGCAGGTTTGTGCAGAAAGCAATAGGCCCTAAAGGCAGTAAATCTTAGCTGCTCTGGCCTCAATGGCCCTTTTAAATTTTGACTAATAGTCATTAGTGGTATTCTATATTCTCGGTTTGTTTCATCTGCATAACTGATAAGTTTCCCTTTAATCCACTGATTAAAAAGCTGACACATCTGTAGTATACTACAATAAATGGACACAACTTTGATACCATGCAACATAAACAGTCCCAATCCGCAGGATATTCCAGTCTCCCCACCCCCTGCCCCTTGTGAGGGCTTGGGGCAGGTGCTGCTCCAAGGCTAGTCAAACCACAGTGATCATATCCAGTCCACAGCACCTTCCATTTTATTGTTTTATTTACAAACAGGGTGAAGTCAAAGGGAAAGTCAGGGGATGGAGTCAGTCTGGGCCATCCGAATGTGGAGTAGTTCTTGGGTCAAGCTCTACCATGAAGGCCACCTCTTACATATCCTTTTCCTGCCCCTTGGTAATGGCCCCTTGATTCCTCAGGGCAGCCTCAGCTGCTGTACCTGAACACTTTTATGAGGGCAGATGGATCCTGGGGTAACAGGGGTGGTACGAGGGCTGGGGCCCCCTCAGTTTGTGTAAACCTGAGTTCCGATCACACGCATGATTTCCTTCTGTATCTTGGGGTCCTGAGTATTAATGTTGGCATCGCCCACCTGACCATCCTCATATCTGCCAAAGATAGGGCAAGTGTGAGCATAAGAGGGAGAACAATACCAGAATAACATCAATCAGTGGAACTGTATTTCAAGGTATGGCCATCCCATCCCAGAAGTCAAAGCCCTTTCTCACTGCTTCATAGTGGAAGATATTCAGCTTATCTGGTTTCCTCTAGATAGATCCCAACCATCTATACCCATTCCCATCCTCCAATGGTAAAGTCCCAGTGACAGCTCCACTCAGGTAGCCAAGGACATGTCTCAGATAACAGAAATAGACTTTTCCCAGTAGCCACACACCATCACACCCCCAACCTCACTCCTCGAGTAATCCCCAGAGTCCCTCCGACACTTACACAAAGAAGAATCTTGTGCAGACATGGTCGGACACAGGGCACACCCAGATGTTCCCATGCTTCTGGAGGTCCTTAGATGTAATCACTGGGAGAAAGAGGGCCAGAAATCATAGATACAATGCTTAAGGCACAGAGTCCAGGCAGGAGAAGGAAGCCATGCCACTTCAACATCACTCTTGGCCAGATCATGTGCCAAAATTACATCAGAAACAAAGGTTAGAGACCCAGAAAAACAGGACATGGGCAAGCTACCTACCTTCACAAAGTGCTATACAGTTTAGATTCCGACTCTGCAGGAACCGTGACTGAATGGATCGGGTCTGGAAGAGAAGGAGGCAAAGGAGACCAGAGCCAGGTAGATGGGTACAGCTTTCCCTAGAGAGGCTGGTTAGCTGATGATTGGGAGTGGGGATCAGAGATATCCTGGGCTCCCAGCAACACCCCTCGCCGCCCAGAAAATTCTTCTTTCCCATAATCAGTCTGGATAGGGTCACAGCTTCCATCTTTACATTTTCATCTAAACTCAGCCTCTGCTTTTATACTCATGACTTCAGCTACATATGACTCCAGACGTGTGTTCACTTTAGAACATACCTGACTCCTTTAAATGATCTCAAATCACTCCCCAACCCATTCTCACCCCACTGTTTCCCTGTCCAGCTCTGGAGCCTAAATTAGCCCCAGGGAAAGGTCCTGCCTCATTAGAATAGTTCCAATACCTGGGGGATGGTATTCATCCTGTTGTATCTCTGGACCAGCTCATCCTTGGAGGGCATCCTGTGCTGTCCTTTTCCCATTCCTGTCACAGAACAATACACCCACTTCATTTATCAAAAATTTACGAAAGTGCCTACTATGTCCCAGCACTGAGCTAGATGCTCATCAAAACAGCAGAGAATAAAACAAAGAAGATTATTTTCCCCCACAGAATTTAGTCTGCTGGAAATTACAAGCAAGAACAAGTAATTAACAACACAGCATGGTAAGGGGTTGTGATGCAGATTATAGAGCATGGTGTGAGCCTAGAGGAGGGCAACTAGCCTAGCCTAAGAGTTTAAAGAAGTCATGTGGTGACAGCTAGACTGAGAACTGCAGGATTAGGAAGAGTTAATTAAATAAACAGCGGGGAAGTGTCTGGGAAGAAGTAATAGGATACAGAAGGCCTGAAGGAAAGATAAGGTAGTGTGTGTTAGTTGCATAGAGAATAGTGAATTGCAGAGGAGTGGTGAGAAATGATGTAGAAGAGGCAAGCTAGGATCAGATCAAGCCGGCTTTGCAGGCCATGTTAAGGCAACTAAAGTCTATCCTCAGAACATTAGGGAACCACTGCAGGGTTCTAAGATAGGGGAGCAGCACATGAAATCAGCCAGGAATGAGGGGCCCAGGAGAGTGGGACATCAATACCTTGGTGTCAAGTGCCTGGATGAGTAAAATGAATGGAAAGGAAGCAAGCAGAACAAGTCAGATTTGCTCTAGTCTCAAAGTTACATTAAAAACCTGACCAGTCATTCAAGAGAAAAGCATCAGCAGTTAAGTGATGAATAATTTTGTACAGGAAATCACAATGGCAACTAACTTGAAGAATCCTACTTCAAACAGTCTTCCCAGGCTTGAGAAAGAAGTGCCCATTCCTTCTAGTTTCCACATTATCTAAATCCATAAACTCTCTACCTTCCTTACCCGTTTATAACATTTATAGACTCAACTTGGACTTTTCTTATTTAGATATGAAAATGTGCTTGTGTGCTCCCACTCCTCACTCTTTTTGGTTTGAGGATAGGACGTTAAGTCTCTGTACTCAGCTTTATCATAGGCCCAATCTTACCACAGTTAGGGATAAAAATGTCTACCCATGTGTGGACACACGTGCCTGTGTGTGTCCACCAGGGAGAGAGATGAAGATGGAGATGATGCTATCATTATAGGTCATAAGCACTCTCACCACTCTACCCTGGAACTTTCTATTACTATTAACTCCACTCTGATCAGTTCTTGGTTTTCTCATAGCCATGGTGTAGAAATAGACTGATAGCTGTTGAACTGACATTCTTCACTGCTCAGGCTGTCAATTCATCATGCATTTACACTCAAGTCTCGTGACAGATTTAGGTAGGGCCTGAACAAAACTCAGGACACCAAGAGCCTCAAGGCTTGAATTGCCCATTTCTTCCTTTTACAGGACAGGTACTCATAACCCCTGTTTTCACCTTCCCCATTAGCCTTAACTAGGTTCAGCTCTCCACCCAAACATCATGACCTTCTCTCAAACTGGGTATGTCAGTGACAAAAAGTAAAATTCCCATTCAGGTTATACTCCAGAGGAGGCACATAAAAGATAATAAAGAACAATCTGATTTCTCTGGCAGGTCTTAGAGATGGCCCTTATGATATAACCCAAATCTTGTCCCAACTCAATCCTGTTGTACACTATCCTTTCCACACTGATCCAATGATTGTCCATTTCCTGAGCCCAGAACCTGAGATCATGGTGGCTAGAATAATCCCTAGATGTTCTGTGTCCAGAGTATGCACTTATCAGAAGTCCCTAAACAAGACTAAACAAACAGATGGAGTATATCACCTCCTTTTTCACTGTCCCCTATTTCAACCTGAACTTTATAGCCAAGTCACTGGAACTAGATATATGAACGCTATTTACACCAACCCTCACTTCCAGAGGGCACTCAATGCCATTAGGCTAAAGATAGTGTGAGAAAGAAAAAACAGAAAACCAGAGCAGAATAGCGTAGAAGAAAACATACAAGACAGTTGGTCAAATGCTGGAGTAACTACAGTAAGTGGAACATTTGCACACATTTCCCCCAACATCCCATTATACATACTCACATATCTATAGGGCCCTCAGAGACCCGTCATTCAAGCAAGGCCTACTCTGTCAGTCTAATATAGTGTATTAGTCCATTTTCACACTACTGATAAAGACATACCCAAGACTTGGTAATTTATACAGGAAAAAGGGTTTAATGGACTTACAGTTCCACATGGCTGGGGAGGCCTCACAATCATGGTGGAAGGCAAGGAGGAGCAAGTCACATCTTAAATGGATGGTGGCAGCCAAAGAGAGAGCTTGTGCAGCAAAACTCCCCCTTATAGAACTATCAGATCTCATGAGACTTATTCACTATGACAAGAACAGCACTGGAAAAACCTGCCCCCATGGGCCAGGCACAGTGGCTCACACCTATAATCCCAGCACTTTGGGAGGCCAAGGCAGGCGGATCACGAGGTCAGGAGATCGAGACCATCCTGGCTAACATGGTGAAACCCCACTTCTACTAAAAATACAAAAAAATCAGCTGGGCGTGGTGGTGGGCGCCTGTAGTCCCAGCTACTCGGGAGGCTGAGGCAGGAGAATGGCGTGAACCCGGGAGGTAGAGCTTGCAGTGAGCTGAGACCGCGCCACTGCACTCCAGCCTGGGCGATAGAGTGAGACTCTGTCTCAAAAAACAAAACAAAACAAAACAAAAACAAATAAAAACCTGCCCCCATGATTCAGTTACCTCCCGCTGGGTCCCTTCCACAACACATGGGAATTCAAGATGAGATCTGGGTGGAGACACAGCCAAACCGTATCATATAGTGATAACAACAATGGCCTAGAAATTAGGAGACCTGGATTGCAGCCCTATCTCTGCTACTCATAGCTGTGTGACCATAAGAAAATCATTTAACTTTTCTGTATATCAGCTTTCTTATCTGTAAAGTAATAAGGGATTAAATTAGATGATCTCTAACTCCAATAGTAAAATTCAACTGCATTTTGTATCTATAATCAATTACCCTTTGAGAGAGGGAGATGAAAGGTGTCTATGATATCTTTATGTAATCGGTTAAGTGATGAAGAAAGACGAGAGGTCAACAGAGATTTCTGGCTTCATCTGGTAACTAAAGGTATTTAGGCACTTGGTAGTAAACAAAGGCCAGGGGGAGAAAAGAGAAAGAAAGGGAGGGCATAGGGAGAAAACAGAAAAGAAGAATCTCAGTGGGCACCAAGAACCATGAGAATCTCACTACTCGGAAAGACAAAAGAACTTAATCAGAGGGATGCTTAGGCTGAGACAAAGATAAAAAGTGAAGAATCCAGACAAATCAAAAAGACTATTCCAACCCTAACCCCACTTTGGATGCCAGGCACACAGAGTAAGATTCACTCATATATTCAATAAATATGTGTTGGTCACTTGCCCTGTGTGGATTAATCATAATCTTTGTTTCATAACACATTATTGTTTTGTTTTGTTTTTTTGAGACGGAGTCTCACTCTGTTGCCCAGGCTAGAGTGCAGTGGCACGATCTCAGCTCACTGCAACCTCCGCCTCCCAGGTTCAAGTGATTCTTCTGCCTCAGCCTCCCGAGTAGCTGGGACTACAGATGTTTGCCACCATGTCCAGCTAATTTTTCTATTTTTAGTAGAGACAGGGTTTCACCATGTTGGTCAGGCTGGTCTCGAACTCCCAACCTCGTGATCCACCTGCTTTGGCCTCCCAAAGTGCTGGGATTACAGGTGTGAGCCACCATGCCCAGCCTCATTATTATTTTTTAATAAGACAATGAATACCCAGAGACCCAATCAAAGAACTAAATTCTAAACCTAAAACATTACCAGTGACTTACATCTAACTATATGCCTCCCTTTGGAGGTAATCACTATCCTGCAATTTGAGTTATTATTCTTTTGTTTTTTCTTTTTCCTTTAGTTTTCACACACACACACATAATACACATATATATGCCTAAACAATGTTTAATTTTGTTTGCTTTTGAACAATATAAAAAAGGCATCACAGTCTCACTCTGTCTTCTGGGACTTCCCTCTTCTTATTGAACATATTTATTATTATTTTTTTTTTTGAGATGGAGTCTTGCTCTGTTACCCAGGCTGGAGTGCAATGGCGCAGTCTCACCTCACTGCAACCTCCGCCTCCCAGATTCAAACGATTCTCCTGCCTCAGCCTCCTGAGTATCTAGGATTACAGGCATGTGCCACCACGCCTGGCTAATTTTCTTTGTATTTTTAGTAGAGATGGGGCTTCTCCCTGTTGGTCAGGCTGGTCTCAAACTCCCAACCTCAGGTGATCTCCCTGCCTTGGCCTCCCAAAGTGCTGGGATTACAGGCGTGAGCCACTGCGCCCAGCCAAAAAGTACACTTTTATTACTAATCTTTTGTGGTTATATGTGCTGCAAATGTCTTCTGTCGGTTTGTAGCCTGTCTCTTCACTTTCTTTAGGGTGTCTTCTGAAGAATATAAGTTTTAAATTTTTTTTCTTTTTTGAGACAGGGTCTCGCTCTACTGCCCAAGCTGGAGTGCAGTGACATGATCATGGCTCACTGCAGCTTCAACCTCCTGGGCTCAGTGATCTTCCTGCCTCAGCCTCCTGACCAGCTAGGACTTACAGGCACGCACTGCCAGACCTGGTTATTTTTATTTTTTTGCAGAGATGGGGTATTGCCATGTTGCCCAGGCTGGTCTTGAACTCCTGAGCTCAAGCAATCATCCCACGTCAGCCTCCCAGTGTTGGGATTACAGGTGTGAGCCACTGTGCCCAGCCAGAAGTTTTTAATTTTAATATAGTCAAATTTATCAATCTTTTATGATTTGTAATTCCATTTTTTCTATTCTCTGGAAGACTTTAGATAAAACTAAAATAATTTGTTCCTTGAAAGTTTAAGATTAATTTGTAAAACCATCTGGGCTTGGTGAGGTTTATTTTGTGTGTGGAAATTTTTACACAATTTCTATTTCTTTTATAGTATTATGATTATACAGGCTATTTCTTGTCAGATTTGTTATCTTTTTCTAGAAATTTATCCATTTTATCAAAGTTTTTAAATTATTAGCATAGTGTAGGTAACTCTCTTATTACTTTTTATTTTTTTTTTAGGCAGAGTCTTGCTTTGTTGTCTAGGCTGGAGTGCACTGGTTTGATCTTGGCTGACTGCAGCCTCTGCCTCCTGGGTTCAAGCGATTCTCCTGCCTCAGCCTCTCGAGTAGGTGCATGCCACCATGCCTGGCTAATTTTTCTATTTTTAGTAGAGACAGGATTTCACCATGTTGGCCAGGCTGGTCTTGAACTCCTGACCTCAAGTGATCTGCCCACATCAGCCTCCCAAAGTACTGGGATTACACGTGTGAGCCACCGTGCCCCGCCTTATTACCTTTTTAAATTCTGCTTATCTATAGTTGTACTGCTTTTTTTGGTCATTATATTATTTAATTGTGTCCTTTTTCTCTTAATCTAACCAGGGTTTATCTGTTCTGTTAGTTCTTTGAAATCATCTTTGGACTTTTTTGGTACTATCTATTGTACCTATTTTTATTTCACAGGTGTTAGTTCTTACCTGTATTATCTCCTTTTTTCTATTTTGTTTGGTTTATTCTGTTGTTAGAGATGTTTTTAGGCCTCTGATTCTGGCACTTTCTTTTTTCTTTTTTTTTTTGAGACGGGGTCTCCCTCTGTCAACCAGGCTGGTGTGCAGTGGTGCAATCTCAGCTCACTGCAACCTCCGCCTCCCGGGTTCAAGCGATTCTCCTGCCTCAGCCTCCTGATGGCACTACATTTTCTGATCTTTGTAACAGTTACAAATTACTACAGGATATCAAGTAATAATCTATTAAGAATCTAGCACAATCCCCTTCATGTAGTGAACATGCAACTACATGGTGACTATACCTTGTACAGAGACTACATCAAACAAGCACAAAAGCAGACTGAAAATGAACTAAGACATAAGCCAGGAAGACTGAGAGAACTCTAAATCAGATTTCCTTTTCTGAGCTTGACTCATCTCCTGATTAGAATCTGGACCTCATCTTTAGAATAAAATGCTTTATCTTGCATTCAATGTGACTAACATAATAGTGTAAGATTATAGACAGTTTAAATTTTAAAAGATGGTTGAGAGAGAGAACAGTGTCTCTAGAAATATAAGCCAATGGAAAGGACGCAAGCCTTCAGGCCTTCAGATGTTTTCACATGTAAACTTACATGTACAAGTATACACAAACACAATCTATAATTGCCAACACCAAACGTGTTCTACAAAAAGCCTTGTTATGTCCCTGTTATTCCTCCACCCATTCCCAGGGCCAAGCCCCTGCTATGAATAAAACCATCATTTTTAACAATAACTGGCCTCACCTTGTAAAGAATCTAAATTTCTAATAAGAAAATGTAGAGAGAGAGAGAATATGTATCCATGATCGGGGAGAGAGCTGACACAGACCAAGTATCCATAATGAGGGAGGAACAGACAGCACAAATCATGTATTCACAAATGGAGGCAATGTAAATAGAGTCAAGGTGGCCACAGAATATTTCTTACCTGAGTATCCAAAGGAAATACTGGAGATGGGGCTCAGGTAGATGCCTTTGCCATAGGCTGCTCCATGCAGCTTGCAGGGAAACACCAGGATGAGTAATATGAGCCTGGGCCCTCCCATGGCTATTTATTAGGCAGCAGCAAGGCTTATCCAGCCCTCTGTCCCTCCTTCTACCTTCTCATTCAAGTAACCCTAAGCACCTATTCTCGGAAAGCCAACTGGCTGAAAAGTGGATGCAGGTTAACCTGCTTGCCTATGAAGTGCTACATACTGACACATTCGAGAGTGGGAAATGGTAGAACCACTGAGTCAGTCCCTCAGCATTCATTTTCCTGTCTCCAGGCCTTGGTACATATGCAGATTCCAAAAAAGAGGAACTACAGAACGGGTAGCCAGAAGGAGGGCCAATACACACTCCCTGGAGTCTCTCAGGGCATAGAAAAAGTCTCCCATATCTACTCCTTGAATGAATAGCCACATAAATTGAAAAGCTCTAATAGATTAATTCATCACAGTGGCTACAATCAGCAATTCCATATTCCTGCTTACAGGTACATTCCCATTCCCCAAACCACCAAAAAAACGCAGACTGAGATCAAATACACAACAGCCACGTTCTCTATTCATACAGTTCTAACTTCCTCTCTAGGGAACTCCACAAGACAGGTTAGGCTTGAGGACACTGAGGCAAAAACAGCTTACTCTAGAGCAGCCTTCCACAAAACTGAGTAGGGAAGGGAGCGGTTAGAAATAAAGGAGAAAGGGGCACAGCCTCACCTGCAGTTTGGTGTAGGATGCATTGACCAGCCCATTGCGCAGGATCGAATGCCAGTTCTCAATGTGGGACCCACTGTAAGGCAGGGTAGAATACATGTCTCCTTATGATATGAGGTTCCCAGGAACACTCCCAAGACTGCCATTCCCACCCATTCTCACCCACACAGGACATGAAGATGGACAGGTACACCTAGTGATGGACATGCACATGGATACAGTCACAGGCATGCAAGATGTGTGTGTGTGGTTAAACTCTACGTCTCTATTTCCAGTCCCATCCTCTCTTCGGTGCTTCAGCTACTCCCATCCTAAATCCTCAACTGCTGGTTCAGTATTTTTATTTGCCCATTATCCTGACATTTCAAATTCAATAAATTCATCTGAAAATCAACAAATTTATCACTGACCCCAAATATGGCTTCCAGTTCTGACTTCATGTTCTATTTTAAGAAAAGGGTACTACCACTCCCTATAAGTTCTCTTTAATACCTCTCTTTCTCTTTCCCTCCTCTCAAAATTAGGCATAAATTGTGGATTTTTCCATCAAAGTAGCTTTCAGATCTGTTCTCTCCAATCTATTTCTTCAGCCACATCTTTTCACATGTAAATGTCATTTTTCCTCAACTACATCATAAATAGTTTGAGAATAAAGACCACATTATATGTACCTTTTTGTCCTCTATAGCACCTACCACAATAGCATTTAGTAAGTATCTGCTGACTGGTTGATGGACACATGTAACACAAACTCATATCTCAAGGGCATCCTTCTTGCTCATCCCCGCCCCCTCACCACCCCCACTGCCCAGCCCCCAGCCTCCTCACTGGAAGGCAAAGGTGCTGCCATAGAGCTTCTTGGCGGTCCGGAACCGAGCCTCCTTGGCAGGAGGGCTGCTCAGCAGGAGGAACTGGTGTGAGGTGTGCATGAACTTCAGCTGCTGCCCAGGGTGGGGGTGGAATCAGGAAAACAGAGCAGAAATCGAGATCAGGGAGGGAAGGGTTGGGGATAGGGGAAAAAATCAGGCTTGCATTAACCCCACACAAGGGAAATATGCTAAGGCCCAAAGACTAAGTTGATGGACAGAGCAATGTAGGCAGATCTAGGACCAATATGGTTAGCTGGCTTCCAGCCCCTCCCTGCCCCTCACCAGAAATTTAAAGCATTTAGAGGGAGAATGGTCACTTACCCTGCTGAGAGGTAGTTTGACAATGTGTGACCTGTTGCTAGAGATGATCCTGGGAAGAAACAGAAAAAAATAAAAAGGATAGAATAATTATGTATTTAAGCTATCCTTTCTGAACAAGCCAGTCTTCCTCTGCCTTTGGGAGAATAAACAAGGATTCCTGGGCTGTCCAAATTGTGTGAAATGTCAAGGTCACTATCTGGATATTCCTGTGGGTGATAGTGCTTATGAATAAAAAGGTAAAAAGGAAGGTAGTGACCAGACACAAGCTAATTATTGGGGAGTTAAACAATGGATGAAAAAAAAAAAGGGGTGGGAGGAGTGCTGCTACAAGTAGGGAGTAAAAAGGGTAGAACAAAAGGAAGAGCACAGAGGTCACCTACAAAAAAAGAAAAGAAAAAACAGCAAGAGGTCTGAATTAGAATGGTGACAACTTATACCTGGGATTTAGACTCAGATTCAGACCTGGGCTCAGAAGCCATCCTTCCTTAGCTTAAGAGAAAACATGAAAGCTCTCAGGAATGGGGAGAAACGGAGAGAAAGTTACTGTCTAGGCTGGAAAAAGAAACAGAAGAAACTAGAATGAACTTCCTTAGGAGTCAAGGACAGACTAAGCTCTATACAGGCTGAACACAGAAGATAGAAGAGAACAGACATAAAACACTGAGGGCTCAGCAAGAGAGCACTATCTCCCATGTGGATACAGTTTGCTGTTGTCTTTGTTTTTTGTGCCTCATCTATGTACCTGTGATGCCACCTCAGATGGTCTATGCCTGGTTATTCCTCAGGCTAAGAGGGAGAAAGCTGTTGCACTGAGGAAGTACTGAAGGCTGACTAGGAAGAGGGAGGCAAACTAAAAAGGGAAAGCTATGTCAGGAAAACAATAGAAATTGAGATCAGGAATGGATGGCAGCAGGGACAGTCAAAATCTTGGCTAGGAGAAGAGCACAGCAATAGTGCCTCAAGGCTCTGGACATTCTATATCATCAAGGAGGCCCAGAGACAGGGCAAGGGGATAGCAGGAGGAGACAGACGTCTCTGGATGCAAAGAAAACTTAGTTGAAATTAACAGTGTTAATTTCTACATGCAAAGGACACAAAAACCTATTGGTGGTGACTATAGTTAGTAACAATGTGTAATATTCTTCAAAATCACTGTGGTAGATTTTAAGTGTTCTCGCCACAAAAAATACATACGCGAGATAATGCATATGCTTATTAGCTCTACTGAACCATTCTGCAATGTACACATATTTCAAAACATCATGTTGTACACAATACATGTAATTTTTTTTTTTTGAGACGGAGTTTCGCTCTTGTTGCCCAGGCTGGAGTGTAATGGAGCAATCTCAGCTCACGGCAACCTCCGCCTCCCGGGTTCAAGCGATTCTCCTGCCTCAGCCTCCCGAGTAGCTGGGACTACAGGCATGGGCCACCATGCCCAGCTGATTTTGTATTTTTAGTAGAAATGGGGTTTCTCCATGTTGGTCAGGCTGGTCTCGAACTCCCAACCTCAGGTGATCCGCCCGCCTCGGCCTCCCAAAGTATTGGGATCACAGGTGTGAGCCACTGCACCCGGCCCTGTAATTTCTATCTGTCAATTTAAAAAATAAATTAACAAACCAAAAAAGAAAACAAACAACAAAACCTATTGCGAAACATGGAACACCTAAAGAGAACTTGAAAAATCATGTCAGCTGCACATCGTGGCTCACAGCTGTAATCCCAGCACTTTGGGAAGCCAATCAGGAGGATCACTTGAGCCCAAGAGTTCAAGACTGGCTTGGGCAACATAGGGAGACTCCATCTCTATTAAAAAAAAAAAATTAGCTGGGTGTGGTGGCACATGCCTGTGGTCCCAGCTACTGGGGAGGCTGAGGTGGATCACTTGAGCACTGAAGGGCAAGGCTACAGTGAACCATGATCGCACCACTGCACTCTAGCCGGGGCAACAGAGTGAGACCCTATCTCAAAAAAAAAAAAAAAGAAACAATTAAAATAAGATTAAAAATAATTTTTTTGAAAGAAAAATCATGTCAGAATTTGTGGGCGTTTTGTAGGATGTGTTATTTTCAAGGCAAGGTATGCCAACAAACTCCAAGAAAAAGCACCCATTACTGCCTATAACCTTGGGAAGGATGTTGAAACCACCACTAAAAGAAGGTACAGGTTCCATGTCCAATAACTCCCTCCCTCCCCATAACCCAAGAAGGATGAGCCATTCTATCCATACCACTGCAGGAGAGGATGGGCCAGGGGATCCAACTTGTCCATCTGTTTCTTGATTTCCAAATATGAGCCCTGTAAGACAATGGCCATAACGTTATCTCCTTGGAGAGGTGGGAGCCTACCTGCTTTCTGCTTTTCACAGAGTGACTATTAGGGTCCAGGGCAAGGTAGGCACCAAAGGCCACACAGAGGAAAAAGGAGATAGGGTTCCCACCCTCAAGGAGCCCTAGTCAGGCTGGGAAGACTCATAAATAAATATGAAAATGACTGAAGATGCTTACAAAACAACATGCAGGTGGGTCTCCCTCATTTTATGCAATTCCTACAGCCCTAAAAAGTTGATTATAAATCAAAAAATAAATAAAATCAATGTCCCAAGAAGATTAGGCTAAGGAATCCTGTGGTAAATCTTTAAATAATGCAAAGCGTCCTCCTGACAAGTAAATCATTCCTCCTAGGTGTATCTTATGTGTAAATCTCAACTGTGATATACAGGATTTGCTGAGAAGAGGCCCACCTGTAAATGAGTACAAATGAATGTCTATTCATGCAGAGATTGCAGACGAGGGGTGGGGAAGTCTGGTGAGGGACAGCCTTGAGTCAAAGGATGGTCACCGCTCCATGTGGCTGCCCCACCCCTAGAAGGATAGAAGATGTAGGCCCCTGTGTCTAGTTCCTTACCTTCAAGCCCCCCTCCTCCTCACCCTCCCAACCCTGGGCAGAGGTCTTTCCTTCACTTCTTAACTCCCTAAGAATTATGGCAAAACATTAAATATGAACAACTTGTAAAGGAATTAACAGCAAAGGTAAAGATTGAGACACAAAGACTAAAGAGAATAAAGAGGAGTAACAGAGCTAACAAAACAGAGAACAGGAATTGGGAAGGTTAAAGAGGAAAGACTAAAAAAAAAATACAGTGCGTAGCATCTCTAAATCTTCATCCCACTCCCACAAATTACCAACAGAATAGGACACTTGAACTGGGCAGGCAAAGGAGAGGGGACAGAGAGAAGGCAGAATACCTGGGTCATCTCCCGAATAGACATCACACTATCCAGAGCTTTCTGAAGCCGCTCATAATTCTTCTTCTGTGGAGAATCAATGGGAAGAGAAGAACCAAATAAAGAAAAGTAGAGGAAAGTAAGATGTGATGAAAAGGGGCTAGATGTACCAAAAAAGTCTAGGCCCTAGGAAACAATAGTATGTCATGGAAAGAGCATTAATGTCAGACAGTTCTAGGGGCACATGCTAGTTCTCTTTTACCAGCTGGGAGTAACAGGGTAAGTTATTTGGCCTCTTAGAACCTTTAGCATCCCTTTATGCAAGTGAAGATAACTCCTATCACCCCCATAGAGATGTTCTGAGGATTAAATATCATATATAAAGAACTCTGTATAGTAATGACAGTAATAGTGAGGTACTATGCTGGGTACTTGTGATGGTTAATTTTGTGTGTCAACTTGACTGGGCCATGAGGTACCCACTCATCTGGTCAACCATTATTTCTGGGTGTGTTTGTGAGGGTGTTTCTGGTTGAGATTAACATTTGAATCAGCAGACTGAGTAAAGCAAATTGTCCTCCCTAATGTGGAAGGGCCTTATCCAATCAATCGATGACCTAAATAGAACAAAAAGGCTGACTCCTCTGCCCCACCCCGCCATGAGTTTGTAGAGTTTGTAGGTATTCCTCCTGCCTGATTGCTTGAATTGGATTATCAGTCTTTTCCAGTCTTTGGATTTGAACTAAAAAAAAAATTGGCTCTTCTTGGATGTTAAGCCTTCAGGCTTTCAGACTAGAACTTACACCATTGGCTCTGATTTTTTGGTTTTGTTTTTTTGAGGCAGAGTCTCGCTCTGTCACCCAGCCTGGAGTGCAGTGGTGCGATCCTGGCTCACTGCAACCTCTGCCTCCTGGGTTCAAGCGATTCTCATGCCTCAGCCTCCCAAGTAGCTGAGATTACAGGTGCCCACCAACATGCCTGGCTAATTTTTTGTATTTTCAGTAGAGACAGGGTTTCACCATGTTGGCCAGGCTGGTCTTTAACTCCTCACTCCAGTCAAGTGATCCACCCGCCTTGGCCTCCCGAAGTGCTAGGATTACAGGCAGAAGCCACTGCGCCCAGCCCACTCTCTGATTTTTCAAGCCTTGGGACTGGGACTACCACTGTACCACTGGCTCTCCTGGGTCTGCAGCCTGCTAACTGTAGATATTGGGACTTCTCAGCCTCCATAATCATGTGAGGCAATTCCTTATAATAAACCTCTTTCTCCTTCTCTCTCCATATATATCTCCTATTGGCTCTGTTTCTCTGGAAAACCCTAAAACAGTACTTTACATATATTACTTCTCTCTTTTTTTTTTTTTTTTTTTTTTTTTTTTTTGAGACAGAGTCTCGCTCTGTCAAGCAGGCTGGAGTGCAGTAGTACAATCTCGGCTCACTGCAAGCTCTGCCTCCCAAGTTCATGCCATTCTCCTGCCTCAGCCTCCCGAGTAGCTGGGACTACAGGCGCCCACCACCACACCTGGCTAATTTTTTGTATTTTTTAGTAGAGACAGGGTTTCACCATGTTAGCCAGGATGGTCTCGATCTCCTGACCTTGTGATCCACCTGCCTCAGCCTCCCAAAGTGCTGGGATTACAGGCGTGAGCCACCGCGCCCAGCCTACTTCTCATTTGTATAATGATCTGCAAAATAAATATTATCCCTTTTTACAAGATAAGGAGATTGAAGTTTAGAAACGTTAAGTGACTTGCCTAATACCCTTCAAATGGGGAGTAGCAGAATCTCAAATGGAATCCAGGTCTGTCTGGCTCCAAAAGCCCTTTTTCCCTATCATAATGTAACTAATATTAATTCTTCTCCCCTTTCTGTGTCAAACTTGGCTATTTATTTACTGAAACAGCTAAATCACAGAGTTTAAGAATTCTGTCCCTTATTCCAAGCCCTGTATATACCAGAATGTCAGCCCATAGTCTGCCACTATCTTTTATCATTTCTGTTCCTTAGCCCTGACTTTCTCAAGTAACATACCTTAGGGTTAAAGGCCAGAGTCTTGGGATCAGTGGGGTCCACCACAGAGGGATAAGGCTCAAAGATGATGCTCTTTCTAGGGGACTCTAAAGCTGCCCTACACATGGCCACCAGCAGATCCACCACCTTAGGGGAAAGGAAAAAAAACAGGGCAGAAGCTAAATGATTTCCCAGTACTGGGAGTCAGAGTACCCAGTATTTCTCTCTGATGTTCTTTTAAAAAGCAAATATGTTTAAGGCTTTCAAAATAGAAAATACAAGCTCATAAAAATTCAAGTAATACCAAAGTAATTAAAGATAAAAAACCATCTTCCTGCCCTTAAACTAATCTCAATTCTCACAGCTAAGTACTAGTGAGTTTGATGTATATCCTTCCAGATAATTTTCCTACGGAAATATTTTCTTTTCTTTCTCTCTCATTCTTTTTTAAAGAGACAGGGGCTCACTCTGTTACCCAGGCTGGAGTGCAGTGGTGTGATCATGGCCCACTGCAGCCTCGACCTCCTGAGCTCAAGCCATCCTCCCATCTCAGCCTCCCAAAGTACTGGGATTACAGGTGTGAGCCACTGTGCTCGGCCCTTTATTTTCTTACATGGACAATTTTACTACATATGCTGTTGTATTTGCTTTTTTATATGACTATGTTAAAATTTTGTCTATAAATAATACCTATATAGTACATCTACTCTAACGATATCCCATAATTTCTTTAACTGGAGCCCCTACAGATGGGGTTGTATCCATTTTTTATTTTACAAACAATACTACAGTGGTTATCTTATATACAAAAGCATTTTTGGAAGTTAAATTCCAAGAATGAAATTGCTGGGTTCCTCTGTCTTTCTTGATCCCAATTCCCCAGCCACGTTTCCCTCCCCCATACCTCTGCTCCAGTGGCCACCTCCTCTGCAGCTCCAGACATGACGCCCAGTGTGTAGAAGGAGAAAACGCATAGTTCACGAGTACAGACAGCTGGCTGAAAGGATATATTAAACAGATGGTGGTGGGATGGGGTGTGCAATAAGGTGTAGGCAGAGAGGGACAGTCCTAACCTCAGACAACTCTAAAACAGGGTAGGAATTTGAGGCCCTCTATATCAGGAGAAAACTACCAATAAAGTCTTAATTAAAATGCCTTACTGATAAGTTTGGGAGTTAACACTGTCTCCCCTATGAAGCCTTCCCTGATCTTCCTATGAAGTCAGATGTTCTCTCACCTGATTTTTAACAATGCTAATATCTCTTCTATAAACTTACCATACATTGTGATTTGTCTGTCTCCCATCTGGACTTAGAGTCCTTGAGGACAGCATCATATCCAATCATCTTGGTCAATATCTGATCCCCATTTTTAAATGTCAGGTGGACTCTATCCTAAATAAATATTCTCATATCCTCATCTCTCTAAACAGTACTGCTGAGACTTGTTTTCTGAGAAAAATCAACAATTTCTAGAGTATCAGGGTGTACAGACAGAATTTTACCTTGACCACAGACCAAGGAAGAAGGAAATAAAGGAGAGGAGTGAAGGGGACCTGGTTAAGGAAGAGGGTCATAGAGTACGGTCCTATACCTTCAGCATAGATCCATTTTGGAAGACATGCTGCTCATCACACACCACACAGTACTCATTCAATGTTGGAATCCTCTGTTCTGCATACTTCATGATCTGAGAAAACAACAGATTCTAAGTCTTTTGGAAGTACTGGCACACACAGATATGGGAAATAATTTCAGCTTTTTTTTCCAACTACCCTCCATCCTCCCAGCCCCGTGCCTAAGGTAGGATATATTCTTAGGCTGTGTACTTAAACTGATGGCCTGACTGCAGAGCTAAGACTGTATGGTATAGTAAAAATAAGAACATGATGTTTGATTGAGAAGACCTGGGTTAACACTGTACTTCTAATACTTAATGGCATATATAACTTTAAGCAAGTCAGTTAACCTGAGCCTTGGTTTCTTTGTTTATATAGCACAGCATTATTCACCTCATAGGGGTATTGCAAGAAATGAGATGATGTCCATGAAGGCATTTTAAAAATATAAAATGGATGCTAATCAAACTATTAAAAGTACTTGTAATTATAGGCTGTCCCTCTGGGATAGGAGAGCATTCAATCAATTAGATGGCAGAAGGTCCTGAGAAGCCATTTCAACTACCTAGAACAATTAGCCAGACCACTGGTCAAAACTACAGACAATTCTGTGCTAGGAAGATAGGAAAATCCAGAGCTAATGCAGCAATATCCTACAGCGTTTTTTTTGTTGTTGTTGTTTGTTTGTTTTTAATGACACCCTGTCTTAACATAGCTTTTGTGCATCAATCAAGTTGTTCCCCTTTCACATGATTTTAGGCTGGTAATGGGACATGCAAGAGACTTTATTCATTTAATGCAGATTTACTGAATGCCCATTATGTACCCAGCTCTGTGAAAGGTCTTCTTGATTATGAAATAAAATTAAAGGTTGTTTTCTCAGAAGCTGAACTTCAATAGGAGAGATGTGGCATGTTTATAAATTAATAACAATTCAAGGCAGCCCATAGTATGTGACACACAGGTGCCATATGAAACAAAAACAAATCGTAACAGTTCAGTGAGGGGAGACATCACATCTAGTTAATGCATTGGAGTAATGGCAATTTTATGGAAAAGGTGCCATCTGACTCTTGATAGCAAGAGGAAGATAGGAAGAATTACATGAACAAAGGTTAACAGAGATGCAAAAGTGAAAGCATGCCCAGGGAATAAAGAGATTTTAAAAAGCAAATGACCAGTAGTAGCTGAGCAGTGAAAGGGGGTCTGTGAAGAATACTAAAGATCATTTGAGCAAGGGCTATTGGGAATCATTAAGGAAATTAGTGTCAATCTCATTCTCATCTCATGTCATATGAGTCTCGACACTCATACACTTAAAATTGGCGGTGCCTCATTGGCACTTGATCATAAGTGGTAAGTATTGTCTTTCTAGTAATGCTGTCAGTTTCTTGAAGATGGGAACAATGCCTTCTTTCCTTCTACCATTAGTTCTGGAAGCAAAGCAATTCAGAAAGTATTTGATTGAGGAGCTGGGAGGTGTTAGGAGACCAAATGGGTCAGACAACAGGGAAGGGCTTCGGAGTGACAATTTTGACTTGATTACCTGAACGAGGAATCCATACTCCAGAGTGGGAATGTTCTTGCAGTGACCACTGACCTGGTGAGAGTAAAAAGACAGACCCCGTGAACCTCCTATGAAGCTGGGGCCTAGACAGACCTGACTCTTGCCTATCACCTAGGACTCTCCTAAAGCAGCTAAACCCTAGCTCAGAATCCCGAAGCTAGAAAGGAGACTTTTAGACATTTTTGCCAAAGGTTCTGGAAAGGGGCTCACCTGTCCTTAACCCTCCTTCAAAGTAGATGGAATAGGTTAGTACAGCAGCTACAGTTAACTACAGTCCTACTCACAAACTAATAAAATCATACATGACTTCTCCTTGAGATTCCCATCTCCAGACTCTGTGCTTCATGGCCTATCAGAGAAGCTCGCTAGACAATTTAGACATAAGTTTTCTACTGTTAAAAAATGTTTTCCAGCTGGGAGTGGTGGCTCGTGCCTGTAATCCCAGCACTTTGGGAGGTGAAGGAAGGCGGATCACTTGAGCTCAGGAGTTCAAGACTACCCTGGCCAACATGGCAAAAGCCCGTCTCTACAAAAATATGAAAAATTAGCCAGTCGTGGCATGTGCCTATAGTCCCAGCTACTTGACAGGCTGAGGTAGGAGGATCATGAGCCTGGGAGGCAGCAACTGCAATGAGCAGAGATCGCCACTGCCCTCCAGCCTGGATGACAGAGTGAGACCCTGTCTCAAAAAAAAAGAAGTGTTCCATTCTACTCACTCATGGTACATACCTAGGTTTGATTTATGATGCCTAGACAACCATATCCCCACCCCATTTTGAGAAACTACACTCCCACAGTTCCACTCCCACCCTCCTGATAGCCAAGTCAAACCCTCCCCAGCCCATGTACCAAAGGAGAGGTCCGTGCTGGGGGAGGGAGGCCCACGTGCTGAGGGCACAGGAGACCTGCCTGGGGGCTGGGAGGGTAGCCAAACACTTCCACTTTGGGGTTCTTCATGGTACAGGAGATGGAACGGTTCATGAGGCGCCCAACCCGAAGCTCTGGTACACCTAGTTTGCCTTTCAGCATGGAGTCCTGTATGATAGGGAAACTGGGAGACCTGCAGAGAGAGAGCAAAGAGAAGTGATAAAACTGGGGATTTCATAGGATCCCTGGAGGGGACTGGAGATAAGTGAGCCCTAAGCCAAAAGTTCTAAACTAAAGAAAGACAAACTCATATCTGAGGAAAGTTGCATTGTATCTTAAACACTATTAAAACAAGTAGATCACACATCTGAATTAAAATTTTTATGTCATCATCTGTGGGTTCTTCACATTGGGACACTGAGGGTGGGCAGAGGCAGAGGATAGGTTATTATGTTTCTAAGCCAAGTATGGAATAATCCCTTGGAAAGGCTGCCTGTTTTTCTGAGAGAGAGAAAAAAAAATAGAGAGAGAGATTGTTAAACACTGCGCTAGGCAAGAAGTAGTTGCATCCCAAAGGGCGTAATATTGACTATCTGACTGTCAACAATGATTCCTGGGAAGCTACAAATCTGGGTTTGTGTCTGCCTTTGGGAATATCAGAAGACACCACAGGGGGAAAATGTAGACCTGGGGTCAAAGAATGGAGCAATATTTATTTCCAGAACCTAGCAAGGAATTACTGCCTGTTCTCTGACACTTTCTTCTTAGGATGGGGAAACGGATCAGGACAAAAGAACAGAAAGATGGAAGATTCAGCATACATTTCTCCAAATACATATCACGAGCTAGGTATTCTGTTTTACATAAAGGATTAGGTATTAACCTTGGATAAGGAGTAGAAAGGTAAGGACACATAGGGAACAGGACCATGTGAGTGGTGTCAGTAGTTAAAGAGACAGAATTCAGGGAAGAGAGGGGATAGAAACATTTATGTAATCAAGAAGGTGGGGGTGGGGGCTATCACAAGGTGTTTACAGATGATCAGCTTTAGGGAGCACTTACTTGGGGATGGGTGAAAAGATGCTGAGGCCAGCTCGGAACTTCTTGATGGTACCACTTGCCTTGAACCAACTGTGCCTCTTCTCCTGCTGGGTCTTCAAGAAATCATTGCTCAGATGTTTCCATTGTTGGGATGTAAACATACCCAGGATCCTGAGGGATCAAAAAGAATGAGCTTAGGCAAGATGAGGCAGGGTCAAGAAATAAGGACTAAAGAGAGACAAATAATCTAAAATTCAGACCCAAGGACTGCAAAGCTAGTTGTGGTAGGGGAATGTGTATCTGAAGACCCCTTTAAATGACCTTAGTAAATAAAAAAATCACCATCCCAGAGCACCCCTTCACCCTAGAGGGCACCTAGCCTAATGGCCAGAAAAATTCAGAGATGCGTTGCCTTTAGAGTGAGATTTCAAAGGTGAGCCTTCAAAGGCTGCAAACTTTGAAATCTATTGCCAAGAATGACTATACTGTTGACAGGGAAACAGAAGTGGTAGGATGGAGGTGAGTACCACTTTGTTCCTTGTGAGTCATGAAGAAAGGGAGTAGGGACATAAGGGGTACTGACATTGTTAGGAGAAAAATTATATTCTCAAATTTATGGTTTCCAATTTGAGCTGCGCCCTTAGCTAGATTTGTCAATCCTTTCACTTGTCCTTGATCAGTTCTCTCTAGCATTACTCTAAGGTATTGTTCTAAATCCTTATTACCTTCTTTAAGTTACTAACTTCATCTACAACCAAAAACCTCTCTTCCTTCTTAAGCCATCAGGTATCAGTTCCCTTAATTTTCCAACCCTACTATAAAATCTACTTACATTTCCACCCTACCTTGATCCCTCCATTCTCTGGAGGTAAGGTGACCCTTCTACCTAAGATCAATCCTTTGATTGCCTTTTTAGGGACCATGATGTGTCAATCATTCCCCTTTCCTGTCAGTTCCTTTCCCAAAGTCAACAAAAGATGTCAACTTTCTGCACCTTAGTCTAGTTAACCTCTCCCTGTTGCCTTCCCATCCCCATACAAATTTCTCAACCCATACTCATTGTTTCTATGTTGTTGCCAACCACTCACCTCCAAACTTTCTGTATTCTGGTTCCTACCTTCACCACTATAATTGTTCTCATCCTGATGCTAAATCCGATGGAAACTCCCAGGTTCTTCTCTTATCTTCTCTGGCATCTGGCCCTCCTTGCAGAACCTGCCCTCCTTTGTCTTCTGTGCCACCATTATCTTCCTATTCTACTCTGACCTACCTGCAGTGTTTCTTCTTCCTCTGCCTACCCTGCTGGTTTCTTTGGGATTTCATCTGAGTGTTTAAGGGTATTTTGTCCTTGATCCTATCTTCTTTTCCCACTATCATGCCTTCCTTTGGCAATCTCATATTCACTGACTGTAACTTCTTCCCACACACATTGATGCATATCTTCAACCCTAACCTCTCCTTTAAGTAGCAAATTGACATATACTCTGGTAAGTAGCAAATTGACATTTCGGATAAGCATCTCTACCTGCATATCTGAAAGTTACCTTTAAATAACATGTCAAAAATGGAACTAATTACCTATCATCATCCTACAAACCTGCTCCCCTCTCATATCCCTATTTACATTGGTGGTATCACAATTTACCCAGACATCTAGGCTGGAAACCTAAATGTATTTTCCACTACTCTTTGGCCCTTATGGCTATATTCAATATATCTAAATCAGTCTTCAAGTCTTATTGATTTTATATCTCACAAATCTTTCTAATCTGTCTCTCATCTCCATTCTCACCTATAATCACACTTTAGCTCTGGCCTTTAGCATCTCTTGTCTTGACTTTTACAAAAGCACCCTACTACACTAGTTCTGGTCTCTTGTCTCATCCCCTCCTACCCATTTTGTATAATGCTACCAGAATGGTTTTTAAAAATAAATCTGACCACGTCATTTCTTTCCCTAAACCCTTCAATGTTCACACTGCCTAAAGGATAAAAGTCCAAGATCCTCTCTAACTTGAACCCTTCCCTATTCTCTGGCTTTGGCTCCTACACCCCCAGCTTGTATTTTACCAGCAATATTTAACTACCTGAAGCTCCCTACACATATACTGCTTTATGTGACTAAGCCCCTGCAAATGTTATTCACCCTCAGAATCTGTCTACATGGACAACTCTTATCCATCCTTGAAAATTACTAATCATTGGCTGGGTGCGGTGGCTCACACCTGTAATCTCAGCACTTTGGGAGGCTGAGGCAGGTGGATCACTTGAGGCCAGGAGTTTGGGACCAACCTGGCCAACATGGAGAAACCCCCATCTCTACTAAAAATACAAAAATTAGCCGGGCATGGTGGTGGGTGACTGTAATCCCAGCTACTTAGGAGGCTGAGGCACAGGAATCACTTGAACTCAGGAGGCAGAAGTTGCAGTGAGCCAAGATCATGCCACTGCACTCCAGCCTGGGTGAGAGCAAGACTCTGTCTCCAAAAAAAAAAAAAAAAGGAAATTATTAATCATCACCCTTTCAACAGACTGAGTCACTCTTCAGTGTCCTTTCTAAACCTTACATATTCACCTGTATTAGAATATGTATCCAGTGGACTCTATTTGAAACTTCACTGAGAGTGGAAAATATGCTTCATTTCTTTGCATACCAAATACCTAGCTTAATGCTCAACACATTCAATAAACTAGAGTTCCTAGAGACTTACTCTGAAGAAACCACTAGAGAAATATGAATAGCATGACTCTGATTTCAGGGTAGTAAAAATGCTAAGTAGTGATGAGCCTCTTTTATCTCTAGAAAGTCTCAGCTTCTGACACCCAAGAACCACATACTCTCTCTCCACAAGCTTAAATCTGGCTCCCTAAATTTATTTTAGCTTTTCCTGGGCATATTTCAGAAAGACATTTTTGGAAGGGGGCATTCCATCCAAGGCTCTGCCTGTCCATCCATATATTTCCACCTCTCTCTCCTTCCTTCACATGTCCATGACCAGAAAAGACCAAAGTTCTTACTTTTTCAACTGAAGACCCAGCCCAAATCCTTCCTTATTTGATGGCTGGAAAACCTCAATGGATGGTTCTGCAAAGAGAAGAGAAGGCTACTAGTAAGTACATATCTCTTGTCTTCCTGGAGTCCAAAGCTCAGTGGAATAGCTTCCATACATTCTAAAGATCATAGCTGCTGGGTACTCTAAACAGTAACGGTGGAAGAAAAAAAACATCTGAGGGAGAGGGCAGATTCTCGAAGCTGTCATATGAATCTGAAATATCCTCAGGAGGATGTTGAGAAAAGGAGGAGAAAGAAATTTTATCTTGGAACCAGAGAAAACAATGTCATTAGGCAAGAAGGCCTTTAGGGAATGGTTATTAGGTGACAGGGGATGAAGATACCAATTACAGGGGACTAAAAAGCCCCTACCAATAGCCTGCAGATTGAGCCCAAGGACCTTGTTCCTAATTTTTTTCTACCTCAGTTAACTTAGGGCTTTGGATTAGACCACACTCAGACCACCCACTTGCCCAAAGTCACTGCCTTTACCTGGTCCATCTAGGTACTGGGAGAGAGAAAATCGCAGCCTCAACACAATAGGTTCTGTCCGGAGGACCTTCCAGGCTGTAGAGACTTCCTCCTAAAAGAAGAAGGGAAATAGTTTCCAGTTTAGCAACATAGACGAATGGACCTGAAATTTCCCCTATATGACACACACATGCACATGACAGTACACACCACTGTCTGCTGATGGTCTAGGAAAGACAGAGATGAAGAATATGTGCTCCAAATACAGCACTCGGGAACAAGACTCCTGGCCTACATGACAAATTCCACAAGTCCAGCTAGACATGTTGTTGGCAGGTACTAGCCCCACTTACATCGAGGAAGCTGATGTTGATGTGGAGGTCAATGTCCACGTCATCGATAGTTCCATATTCTCTATAGAGATACAGGTGACAACAGGTGAGACTCATTAAGGGAGAAAGAAGGGAATAGAAACTGAGTTGGAAAGAGAACTGAGCCTGGGGACAGGGGAAAGGGAAGAGTGGATGACAGTTTTGTACCTAGGGTCTTAGCTATAGCCTTACACCACTTACCTGATCAGGATCTACTTCCAGGCCAAAAGCATTTCTTACCTGAAAGGTGAAACTACTGGCCCAGAGGGGTCTAGGATAAGAGGGAATTCCTAAGAAAAGTGGCCTTACTCTCTACTCTCAGCCAAGCTCATTTATTCTGAGCATTTTCTATCATTAAGTTCATAATTTATCCCACTATCATACCATAAAAAGAAAAACCTCTAGCCTTTTAACAACTCAGAAAGAAGTGACTTGCTCCCCTGCCACCCCTGAAGTAGAGTCCCACCTGATGGATACAGAGTTCTCACTGTAGATCTCCTTCACGGCTTCAATGTCTGCATCAAGCTGTGGGTGTCGATACAGGTCAGCTGCACAGCTCCCCTGAGATAGCAGCAAAAATGGTGGTGGAGAGAGGTGGAAAAAGACGAGGGAAAGAGAGAGATAATAAAAAGAATATGAAAAGACACCAGGAACAGGAGAAATCAGACAGCAGTATAGGGGAAGTAAAAGCCACTTATGTGAAGGGGTTCTCAGTGGTGACCCTAGCAAGGGATTTCATTAACAGAGGTCTCCATCTCATCATGACTTTAAAAAGGTTCAGCAGACCAAATGTAGGCTTTTGCTTGGAGTTCACTTCCTTAAATCTCCAGCTTTTCTCTCAGACCTTGACCAGGATACCTTCTATGACAACTCAGAACAGGCTGAAGAGTTACAGGTTTCCTAAGATTGGTTCTAAGTGAAGAGCATTCTGAGAGTCTGGGTACTTCTGCTCAGGACTGTGCCCTGGGTAGTGATGGCATTAAGCAAACGCTGGCAGAGTAATCTTTTAAGATGTGACCCTAATGAATGAAACTACCCCCACTGGCTAGTGTTATAAAAGTCAGAAAATAATTATGTCTAATTAAGATATGGGTAGTCTCCACATACAGAGGATGTAGTTTACTCTGGAACAGGTATGACTCCAAAGAAAGAGCAAGGGCACGGGATCAGCTCTGACAAGACCATGCTCAGACCACATCAACATTATAACCTCATCTCATCTGTGCTCCAGAACCTCTTTCACTCCTGATGTATCCAAAAAGCAGCACATATCTAGACCATCCAACACGGGGGTCTTGGGAGATGTAACCTCACCTGAACGCCATAGAGAAATTCCTCTGATTCATTATCTCCCTCCGAGTCGTCATCATTCCAGAACTGGCCTTTGATGTCCTAGTGGTGAGAAATAAGGATATCATGCTTTGTTAGGTCCCTATTATCCCATGGAAAGGCGTGGGATGATATGGTGAGGAACAGATTCCCACAAAGATTGGGAAATATAGAATAACTGAAGCCCTGATCCCTTTACACCTTTCATGTCACCCTTTGTGAGAGTCTCAGTCTCTTCCTGATATGATCATATCCATAAACTAGCTCTTAGTGGGACAGAGGAAAACATCTAGGGAATTTTGGCCTTCTGAAGTCTCAGTATGATGACTGAGAGGCTCTGGTAGCCAGTAGGAAAGAAATGCAAATGACTTCAATGTCAAGGTTGACTCCTAAGCATATCTGGGTTCCAGTACAAGCTGGCCTCTTCCAGGATCATTACCTAAGACAGTTCCCAAGCACACCTAAACTCTCTTGTCTCATTATTTTCTTTCTATCCTTTAAAGTACTTAACTCTCCTCTCCCTCCCCAAGAAAACCCACTACACAAACACACCAAGTAATACTGTTTCTGTGCCCCTTCCCTTTCCTTTAACTTCAAATAGCCACTCTATCTTCCAAAAGGGTAGAAGGGAAAATACCAAGAAAGGGTGAGATCTGCACTTTGTCTCCTCTACCCTTTGAACAATCAGTTGGAGAGGTGGGCAGTCAGTTCTCACCATTGGGTCAGTGGGTCACACACACTCTCAGGTCAGTGCTAGGCAGCACCCCTCCATACCACTAGCCGAACCAAGGCCAACGAGATGGGCATTTAGGAGACCACAAAGGGAGACAAGGTAGGGCACGATGTCAGGGACAACTGGTGATCTGTTGGGGATGGCAGGCTCTGCTGTTGCGGTGGTAACAAGTCACTGTCCTGTGGAAAGTAGATAATAATGGGTTTCATCACCACTTAATAGCTGGGTGGTGTATATATACAGGCACACGTATTTATCAATACACTTTTTTTTTTTGAGACAGAGTTTCGCTCTTGTCGCCCAGGCTGGAGTGCAATGGCGCGATCTTGGCTCACTGCAACCTCCGCCTCCTGGGTTCAAGTAATTCTCATGCCTCAGCCTCCCAAGTAGCTGGAATTACAGGTGCCTGCTGCCACGCCCAGCTAATTTTAATATTTTCAGTAGAGATGGGGTTTCACCACATTGGCCAGGCTGGTCTCGAACTCCCGACTTCAGGTGACCTACCGGCCTCGGCCTCCCAAATTGCTGGGAATACAGGCGTGAGCCATTGCACCTGGCTATTAATACACTTTTATTATACATACAGATACTTGCATATAAAAAGACATGCTTGCGTGCATATACATGCACACTTGCACATGCAGTTCTTTATAGATAATGAAACACAAAAGCACTATATGCAAGATACTGCTGTTCTACTTAAACTGGAGAGCTGGGATTAGAGCAAGATCCTGCTCTAGCTCATAATGTTACAACTCCTAAAGCCAAAAGTGATGGTGGCAGGACAAGATGCTTATGTTTACTCTGTCAGTTAATTCTTCAGAGTACCAACTCACACCAGAGTTAAGATTCAGAATCGGATTATTTCTGGACTCTTTATTCTTAGTTATTTCTCCATATTAGCCAGTATCTCTCTTTAAACATCAGTATTACTAGCTATTATACGGCAACAATAGCTAACTTAAAAAGTCCTCAACGGCCAGATCACCTGAGGTCAGGAGTTCAAGACCAGCCTGACCAATGGGGTGAAACCCCGTCTCTACCAAAAATACAAACTTAGCTGGGTGTGGTGGCGTGCGCTTACGATCCCAGCTACTCAGGAGGCTGAGGCAGGAGAATCGCTTGAATCCGGGAGGCGGAGATTGCAGTGAGCCTAGATCACGCCACTGCACTCCAGCCTGGACAGTAAGAGCAAAAACTCCATCTCAAAATAAAAAGTCCTCAACAACACTGAACATCTTTTGGCAGTTATGGTCTCAGTTGTCATTGCCAAAATAATGCCCTAAAGTCATCTTGGAACCTGCTTCCCAAAGAAAAATGCAATAATTATCCCAAAAATTGCTTAGAAAAACTTTTACTTAACCCAGAGCCCTTTCATACACAATTCCCTGCTCGCTTCTAATCCCACAGACTCCTAATCCTATACCAGCAACTTTTAGCTCCATTAAAACCTCCACATATAGCAGAAAAACAAAACAAAACAAAAAACTCATCTGTGAAATTATGAAGGCTTTAATGGCTGAAGATGGCAAATCTACCCTAAAAGCAGGCTAAAAAAGCTTTCTGTTGCTCTCTAGACCAGCAAGTCACTGGCTTTGCACACATCGCAGCTGAAGCTACTCCAACCTCAAACAGAGGTGTTCTTGGTCTCTAACACAGTTCTTCTTCTTCTTCTTTTTTTGTTTTCTGACAGAGTTTCGCTGTGTCGCCCAGGCTGGAGTGCAATGGTGCGATCTCGGCTCACTGCAACCTCTGCCTCCCGGGTTCAAGCAATTCTCCTGTCTCAGCCTCCCACGTAGCTGGGATTATAGGCGCCCGCCACCATGCCCAGCTAATTTTTGTATTTTTAGTAGAGACGGGGTTTCACCAGGTTGGCCAGGCTGGTCTCGAACTCCTGACCTCAGGTGATCCACCCGCCTCGGCCTCCCAAAGTGTTGGGATTACAGATGTGAGCCACTGTGCCTGGCAGGTCTCTAATACAGTTCTACTGAATGTCAGGTTTCCAGATTAGTGATTCTCTGACTGGGGTTGGTGGACCTACAGCATCAGTATCATCTAGGAACTTGTTAGAAATGCAAATTCTCAGACTCCTCCTAAGACCTACTGAATTAGAAACTCCAGAAATGGCCAGGCACTGAGGCTCATGCCTGTAATCCTAGCACTTTGTGAGGCCCAGGTGGGCAGGACACCTGAGGTCAGGAGTTCGAGACCAGCATGGCCAACATGGTGAAACTCCTTCTCCACTAAAATAAAAACATTAGCAAGGCATGGTGGTGCACGCCTGTAATCCCAGCTACTCAGGAGGCTGAGGCAGGAGAATCACTTGACCTACGGAGGCAGAGGTTGCAGTGAGCCAAGACTGCGCCATTGCACTCCAGCCTGGGGGGCAACAGCAAAACTCTGTCTCAAAAAAAAAAAAAAAAAAAGAAAAAGAAAAAAAGAAATTCCAGAAATTGGACCCAGTAATCTGTGTTTTAACACACGCTCCAAGTTGTTCTGATGCATAAAATTTGAGAACCACTGTTCTAGTTCTAGATCCTTGTGTGTTCTAAGGACCTGTGGTTCATTCCTTAGATACCAACTTAAGTCTGGTAACTAAGCCAGGATGGGGACAAAAGACACCATGCCAGAGCAGAGCCAGCATAGGAGTCTTCCAGCTCATAGTGTTGCCTGATCCTTCAGAAACAACATGCAAACGGAAAGTATAACTAAAGTTCTTAGAGATGGAATGACCCGATTACTGAGATTTGTTTAAAATACTACCCTGGCACACACATAAAAAAAGGAGGGAGGATAACAGATGAAATAAATACAGCAAATAGCAAAATGTTGATTACTGGTGAAGCTATGTGACGTACATGATGGTTTTCTGGTAATCCCTACCTCCCTACTTTTGTGTAAAGTTGAAAAGTTTCAAAATAAAAAGTTTAAAAAAAAAATCAGAAGCTACTCTAATGGGCTGTCCTCAAAGTCAAGTCTAAATGTTAACAGGAAGATTAACCAACACTCCACAATTGCCTCATTACTGTTCTTCAAACTCATCAAGCATATTCCCACTATAGGGCCTTCATCTTCCCACCATATTCCCAAGCATATTCCCGCCATAGAGCCTTTGTCCCTGCTGTTCCCCTTTCTTGGAATGCTTTCCACCCAGATATCCACATGGCTTGTTCCTTCACTCTTCCAGATCTCTGCTCAAAGGCCACCTTGACCATCCTATTTATTAAAACAGAAACAACTCAACACCCACACACTAGCACTCTCTATCTCCCTTCCCAGCTTTATTTTTTTCCACTTACCATGTTCTAACATATAAAATGTTTATCAGAATGTAACCTCTGGTGGCAGAGGCTTTGACTGCTTTCAGTCTACATTCTTAGTCCCTTAACACATTTCTTGAATGAGAGAATAAATGAATGAACCCTCTGCTGGATACTTAAGTCAAATGGGAGATATATACAATAACCTGCATGTTTCTACACATAGACAAAAATCACACAAAAAAATGATTTTAAAAAGCAAAACTTCACCTTCAAGAGCAGCTGAGATCCAGAATGTGAAGATCTTGGGGTGAGGTTCGTGAGATTTGAAAATAAACAGTCAAGTGCTGATCTGGATGATCACAGAGGAATAAAGAGGGAGGCACTAAATGTCCAGCCTGGGTTGCCCTGGGGTGAGGGGTAGGATGACGGCAGCGTTAGGCCAGAAGTGCCAACTTTTCACGGTCTTTGTTGCTGCAGAAGTCAAGAAAAATTTAGCCTCTTTCCAAGGGCTGTTGCTGCTTGGTTTCTGTTGCTATCACAAGGAGAAAAAGGTATTTCAGAGGGAGTTTTTCTTGTTCAAGCAAGAGACAGTTCAGAGATTACCGGCTTTTTCAAACCAGGCTGCTTTAGTGAAAGGGACTTGCTTCCTCTACTCTCAATGCCCTTTCCTCTGGAGAGATGGAAAGTGGATTTAAAAGGTGAAGAGTTGGAAAAGGAAGGTGGTGGGTTATGGAATTCACAGGATCACAAACACTTTTTAAAAAATTAGCCGGAAACGTGGCCTAATTCAAAGCTTTCATGTTACACACAGAATACTTAGACCTACAGAGGTCGACCAATTTGCTTAAGGTTAGGAGTACAGAAGGACTGGGATGTAAAGACATTGGACAGGTCCTAATTACATCTAATCTTCATGTGATGTGGTTATAATTAATTGAGTTGTTAATGAAGTAAGCAAGAAAGACCTATCTGATTTATCTAAATGAGGTAAAGAATGGGCCCTTTCAAAAGAAGTTGGGCCAAAAATAGACTATATGATGAGTGTCCAGAGAAGGTGTTAAAACTCAGCGGCTAATATAGAACGCTTTATGAGTTTCCACGAGAATAAGTCAAATGTAAATGAGCCTCAAGTCTGGATCACAAAGGTCTTTCCCTAGGTCCATGGGCGCTTCTCTAGGTGTGACAACTTCACGTCTAGTCAAAGCAGCTTCAGAGCTCAATGTTTAAATTGTGGGTTGGGCTCCCGGCTTTGTGGTCCTGGAGGAGGTTACTCCACTCCATCCCGTGTGCTCCCTTCTCAGGAGTAGGCCACTAAACAAAGACTACTAGGAAGAATCACTGAGGGGCGACTCCCGCAGGTTAGCGCTATCTCGGGCACCCCGCAGGGAGAGAGGACACGGCTGCCCCGCGAAAACACTCTCTGGCACCCGTGCTTCCAGGACAGGCCCTGAGGCCTCTCCCGGGGAAGCAGTTACACCTGTTCTCCGGGGCTCCCCTGAAGACCCCAAAAACACCCAACACCTGCCTCCCCAGGAAAGACGCTCTGGGCCCGATCTATGCCGCCCGGCCGCCGGGCCTGAGTGAAGCCTGTCCAGCCTAGGAGGGGCCCTCAGAACCTCCCGGTCCAAGCCTCTCACTTCGTCCACCCCTGCGGAGACGGGGCGAGCCCCGCACCCTTCCCGTGGCCCGGCCGCACCGCCCTGTGCCCGTGGTGGCGGCCACACAGGCCAGCCTGGCGAGTACTCACGGCGACCCCGGGCCGCGCGCGGCCGCAGCCGACGGGACGAGCGGCCCGGGACGCCCCGCGGGGGCGGAGCGGCAGGCCAAGGGGCGGGGGCCGGGCCTGGCGGGCGAGGTCGCGCACCCCACGCCTCGTCGTTCCGTCACGGGCGCGCTCAGCCACTCTGCGCACGCTCGCGCGGTGACACGATGGCACGTGGCCCGCTCCTGACCAACAGCCTGACGGCCTGCTCCTGGGCGCGCCTCAGCAGCCGACGCCAGCCTTGAGACGCCTGCGCGGCGGTCGCTAGTCGGGAAAGGGTGCGGAGTGGGGGGTGGCGCCTGCGCCGTGGGTAGGGGAGGCAGTGGAGAAGGAAGAGGGACTCTGGGGGAGTGCGGGGAGCCTTCCAAAGGAGAATACTTGCATTTAGCGCCCCGAGTGGTTGGGAGGAACAAGCAGGAAGGGCAACCCAGGTTGCCTGTAGGCCGGGAGGGAGTCCCCTCGCCGGAGGTTGGGGCCGGCAGGTAGAGACTGAGGGAAGTCCTGAGGCCTTGCTGACTGCAGGATTCTCTGGTTCGACAATGGAAGTCGAACACCTCGGGCTTTTAAAAATTCTGGCATTTAACTCATTTGTTCCCCGGTAGCTGCAGCGTGATGGAGAGCACCCTGGCCTTCTAGTCAATCTGGGTCTGAAGCTTGGGTTCGGCACTTATTGATGGTGCAGCCTTAAGCGATGACTTTCACTTTGTGAATCTGATTTCTCCTCTTTGAGGTGGAGACAGTAATATGTGTTTCACGGAGCCGTTGTGGTGAGGATGAACTGAGATAGTGTTAGGTTGAACCGTAGGAAATTGCTATTTTTGCAGTTTATAAACAGTCAGATACCTTCAATTTCATACGATTCCAACTAATCCATGTAAAGTAACCAGCAGAGTACTTGGGACTAGGAAGTAGTTCATACATGGAAGCTGTAATTGTGGTTATTGTGGTTATTAACCCTAGACATGGCCAGATCTCCTTCATCCTTATTAGTCTTGGGGCTTCCACGTGACCCTCTTTTCCATCAACACTAATGGGAAAAGGCTTATCTTAGACCTACTCTGTTTCCTCACTCCCTCTTTGTAGCTGGACACAGTACACACAAAGAAGGCTTTGGCCCTGAATGATATAAACACGTCATGTCTATCCCTCCTAAGCTGGCCTCAGAAGTTTCCCAGTTAACTTTTTGTTGTTGGTTGATTTACATTTGCACATTCTCAGCCTCTCCTTTCTAACTCCTTCCCCTTTTGATGTCCCCCTCTGCTCACCTTGCCACTCAGCCTGGGCCACAACACCGTCTCGGTGTGAGTTTGTTACATCTACTGCTTATAGTAACTGAAAAAAGTGAGGGATCAATATAACCTCGGTTTCAGAGTGCGGAAGTTCAGAGTGGTAGGGGAAGGAGTCAGGCCTGCTCTCTAAAACAACTCACCATCAAGGGCCCCGTAATAGCTTTTGAGAACCAAGTATGTATGGGAGTGTTTGAACATAAGCACTGTGCCCATGAGTGACAAGTCCAACTCCAGTATTCAATAACCTTTAGGATTCCCCCTTTCCAGCATACCACCACTAGCTCTTCTATTCATCATGAATCTCAGCCACCTCATAGTTTACCAGTATCTTCCAGGCTTCACCTCTTTTCCTACCCAGTCCACATCCTTGGTCAGTCATTTTAATCACATCTTTGTTAATATGCTTGCACTTACTCTGTAAAAATCACACTCCTGGGTCATGCCAGCTATCTACCTTCTCTACTCTCCCATCCTAAACCAGGATAAAGGAAGTCATCCAATCCTGCACACTTAAGCTTGTGAGTGGACACCATTTAGGTTAGTCTAGCCCATGAACCCTATTCTGTGGGAATTATCGTTTCCACACCCACACTATGGATCCACAGGCCCCAGGGCCATGTTCGTCTTGTGTGACCTCTAGCACTTTAGCTGCAGTTTATTGAACTGTGAGTGGATTCCTGGTCTAAGCTGTGTTAAACAGATGTTCTCCTGAAAATCTGGGATTAGAGCTGACAGATTATGATTCTAACTGGACTGGTTTCTTAAGCAAAAGAGACATAGACTTAGGAGCTATGGTACATCTACCTCCCACCTACTATGATGAATGAGAAAAGGAAAAAGACCATCTGGGGACACAGAATGAAGCATGGAGAGGCAGAGACCAGAAATGGTGAGACTACTCTCTGCTTTCTGGCAGCTTCCCAGGCACCCCTCCCTTCCTTCCTTCTTTTTTTTTTTTTTTTTTTTTTGAGACAGGGTCTCACTGTGTTACTCAGGCTGGAGTACAGTGGTGTGATCATAGCTTACTGCAGCCTCCAAGGCTTAAGCATGCACTAACATATCTGGCTAATTAATTTTTTTTTGCAGAGATGGGGTCTCCCTATGTTGCCCAGGCTGATCTTGAACTCCTGGGCCCAAGCAGTCCTCCATCTTGTCCTCCCAAAGTACTGGGATTACAGGTGTGAGCCACTATACCCTGCCCAAGGCACTTTCTGAGGCCCTCTGATCTTGAGGGACTAGGAGTCAGTTTTTATCTAGAATAAATGGCTTAAGCTAACTTAATGTGCACTCAGTACAGAGCTCCTACAAATTCATTGTCTCCTCAGCAGAGTCCTCAGTGTACCCAGCAACCCTTCCCATGTCAGCCTCTCCCACCATCCCCCATTCTGCTTCACAGAAAAAATAAAGGCTCTGGGTGCCAGGTACTTGGGTGGCTGAGGCAGGAGGATCTCTGGAGCCCAGGAGTTCAAGGCTACAGTGAACTGTGGTTATGCCACTGCACTCCAGCCTCAGCAATGGAGCGAGACTCCCCATCTCTTTAAAAATAAATAAATAAATAAAAGGCCACGGGGGAACTGCCTCAATTTTCTGTCCCCTCCAAACATTTGAATCTCTCCCATCCTTTCTGTTTCAGAAGTGGAGAGGGCTCTCTTCAAATACAAAGTTAGTCCTTTCACTGTGATCTGTATTTCATTCCTTTTTGCCTCCTTGGGAAATTTGCTCCTTACCTCTCTCTTTCATTTATATTCAACTTTTTCCTCTCCCCTACTCGTTGATCTCAGTATATAAGCTTGATCAACTAGCCCAACCGTAAAAAGAAAATCCAATTTGAATCCTATATGCCATGCTACTGATTTTTCTTGCCTTTAACCAAACTTCTAGGAGTAGCCTATACTCCCCCTCTCCACTTTCTTGTCTTCAGTTGTTCCTTAAATCTGGTGTCATCTGACCTCTCCCCAAAATTTCTACTGAAAATACTTTCACCAAAGTGACACATGACTTACAAATGGACAAATCCATTGGGAATTTTCAGGCTTCATTTATATGACCACACAGTGTCATTTGGCATTGTCAATCATCTTGCCCCTGCAGTTGACTGCATGGTGTCATTTGGCATTGTCAATCATCTTGCCCCTGCAGTTGACTGCATGGTGTCATTTGGCATTGTCAATCATCTTGCCCCTGCAGTTGACTGCATGGTGTCATTTGGCATTGTCAATCATCTTGCCCCTGCAGTTGACTGCATGGTGTCATTTGGCATTGTCAATCATCTTGCCCCTGCAGTTGACTGCATGGTGTCATTTGGCATTGTTGATCATCCTGCCCCTGCAACCCTTTCCTCTGTTGGCTCTTATGGGCTACACTCTTCCAGTTTCTTGCTACACCTCATATGACTCCTTCACAGTATCCTTATTATACTCCCTTTCCTTCATTCCCTACTTAAGTAGAAAAGCAGTTCAGCCCACATCCATTTCTCCTATTACTCTTCCCTGTGGCCTCCATGGCCACTTGAAGGAGATCTTGATAATTTGGGGTTGCCCAGAAACAGAATCTCCTTCTTATGTTACAAGTTTTAGAAGTAAGCAGAGCCTATCTTTCATGACAGACACTAAAAAGGTTGAATCTTTGCTTTCCCAGCTCTCTAGCTAAGACAGAGGCATGTGACCTTGGCCTGGCCAAGCATCTTCCAGAAATGTAGTTTCTGGAGTGACTCAGAGAAATAGAATCATAGAGAATTCATGCCAGTGGCAATGGTGACAGGAGAGCAGGGTCAGCTTTACCCCATGCCCAGGGACTTTCATGGTGTGGGTACTGGTAGTGGTGACATCCCATGTCCAATAATGATGACAGCAGCAGTGGTCTTGTGGAGCTGGTTCTGGCATCTGAATTTGGCCTGTGCTGTGGTGGACTGGCCTCTCATTGTTCCTGCCTATTTTCCAAGCTTGGGTCTTTTGCCTGGCAATCCCGTGACCCACCTAGTGCCCTTTCAACAAAAGTCTCATTTAAATCCACCTGAGTGACACACAGTTATAGACTGGAACTCCCAAATCTATATTTCCATCCTGTACTTCTTCTTCTTTTTTTTTTTTTTTTGACGGAGTCTCGCTCTGTTGCCAGGCTGGAGTGTGGTGGCGTGATCTTGGCTCACTGCAACCTCTGCCTCCCAGGTTCAAGCGATTCTCCTGCCTCAGCCTCCTGAGTAGCTGAGACTACAGATGCACGCCACCACGCCTGGCTAATTTTTGTATTTTTAGTAGAGACGGGGTTTCACCACATTGGCCAGGATGGTCTCAATCTCTTGACCTTGTGATCCACCCACCTCGGCCTCCCAAAGTGCTGGGATTACAGGCGTGAGCCACCGCGCCTGGCTTCCATCCTGTACTTCTTGAGTTTCAAGTTAACTTTGGTCAAGTTGTCTTTTGGACAGCTCCACTTGGATGTCACATAGGCAAACATCTTCTCACTGTATTTCTTTCATGTTCCTAACTTAGTAAATCTCACCTATGACTTATTCAGACTGAACCCTGAGAAGAAAGCATCTTAGACTTCTCCCATCCTTATTTAAATGGAACCAATTTTACCTCATAAACTCTAAATTTTACATCTTAATACATCTTCTTCTTCTTTTTCTTTCTTTCCAAACTCTGGCCTCCTGCCCTCTAGCTGCCTAAAAGCACAGAGACTCAGAAGGCAGAACAGGCCACACGCCTGGGTCTGGCTTTTCCCAAGGGATATCTTAGGTGCTGAGCAGAAAATGCAAGAAACTAAAAAGCCTGTGGAATGAGCCTCAGCCTCCTGGGGAGTAGTAGACAGGGTCTCAATATGTGGCCCAGGCTGGTCTCAAACTCCTGGCCTAAAGTTATCCTCCCACCTCGACCTCCCAAAGTGCTAGGATTACAAGTGCGAGCAAATTAATACATCTTAAATCAATCCCTCCTTTATATTCCTATTCCTCCCTACCAGAACTATCGCATTCGCCTCCTAATAGACTCCTTATCCAGTATCTACTCCTGCAATCTATTCTCCACTTAGCTGCTTAGGGGATCTTTCTAAAACTCAAATCTGATCATGTCACTCCTCTATTAAAACCCTTCAATAGGCTGGGCCCAGTGGCTCATGCTTGTAATCCTAACACTTTGGGAGGCCAAGGCGGGTGGATCACTTGAGGTTAGGCTTCGAGACCAGCCTGGCCAACATGGTGAAACCCCGTCTCTACTAAAAATACAAAAATTAGCCGGGCATGGTGGCAGACACCTGTAATCCCAGCTACTCAGGAGGCTAAGGCAGGAGAACCACTTGAACCTGGGAGGTGGAGGTTGCAGTGAGCTGAGATCGCACCATTGCACTCCAGCCTGGGTGAAAGAGCAAGACTCCATCTCAAAAAATAAAATAAGATAAAAATAAAACCCTTCAATGTCTCTCTACTACTCTCAGGATAAATACACCCTTTCTATAGATATAACCCTATTTGACTCTCACCAGCCCCTCACATGCATCCTACACTCCAGCCTGGCCAGATTATACATTCTTATAGGCCATGCAGGACATACTTTGTTTTTGTTTGAGATGGAGTTTCGCTCTTGCTGCCCAGGCTGGAGTGCAATGGCTCGATCTCGGCTCACTGCACCCTCCGCCTCCTGGGTTCAGGTGATTCTCCTGCCTCAGCCTCCCAAGTAGCTGGGCATTACAGGCATGTGACACCATGCCCAGCTAACTTTGTATTTTTATTAGAGACAGAGTTTCTCCATGTTGGTCAGGCTGGTCTCGAACTCCCAACCTCAGGTGATCCACCTGCCTCAACCTCCCAAAGTGCTGGGATTACAGGCATGAGCCACCGAGCCCGGCTGCATACTTTTATACTTTGTAAGTATTAGTACTTAGTGGAGCTGACAATCACAATGCTACCTCCTGCCCCCTTCTACCCCACACAAATGGATGCATGACCCATCAGGCCAGGCAAAGGACTCCATCATCCTGACCAAAGTGATTAGTTCAGGTGTGGGTTTGTGACCTAAGCAAAGCCAATCATAATCTTCTGCTCAAAGCTCTCTTGCTTTTGAGGTTAATGTGCTAAGAGGATATGAGATTGAAGCTGCTGGCACCCAGCTCTCCCTGCCACAGGGCAGAGAATGGGGCCAAGGCATAAAGAGAAGCAGAGCTCTGAGAAATGGAATGAGAGAGACCTGATGACATTGTTTGAGCCCCTGAGATGAGCCTTGCCTGAGGTCAGTAATACCACCGCATTTCTCAGTTCTCATCTTGCTTAAGCTGGTTTGTCTTGGTTCCTATAACTTGCTACTAAATCAGACCTAATACAGAAATGGAATGAGGTATGGAATTGATGGCACTGAAGTGAAGTTGAGGCAGTGGAGATCCCCACTTGGCTGGGGAACTGGAAACCCCTGCTATTTGGTATCAAACCAGCTGGTTAAATGATCATCTATTTTATCTTGAGATTCAAGTCATGTATCCATCAAAGTGGAGATTTCTGGGATGCACTGGAAAAAAAAAAGTTTGGATGTTGGAGTATGTTGACCTCTTCTTGAGATTTTCAATAAGGTCCTCCAGTTTGACTTTCCTCCATGCTGGCAGAATCAGAACAGTATACAGCTTTGTTTAGAGTTGACTTTTCTGCTTTTTTTTTTTTTTTTTTTTTTTTGAGACAGAGTCTCCCTCTGTCACCCAGGCTGGAGGCTGGAGTGCAATGGCGCAATCTTGGCTCACTGCAACCTCCGCCTCCCGGGTTCAAGCGATTCTCCTGCCTCAGCCTCCTGAGTAGCTGGGATTACAGGCACACACCACCACGCCTGGCTAATTTTTGTATTTTTACTAGAGACGGGTTTTCACTATGTTGGTCAGGCTGGTCTGGAACTCCTGACCTCAGGTGATCTGCCCGCCTTGGCCTCCCAAACTGATGGGATTACAGGCATGAGCCACCTCGCCCGGCCGCCTTTTCTGCTTTTGACCAGCAATCCAGGGTGCTAAAGGTCAGATAATCATGCATCTTGTCGACTATAAAGGCCAAATCCTTTCCCCCAAACTAAAGTGAATAAGAACAAAGGCCTAGAGGTAGAAAATCCAGTAGGAGATATTGGAGTGAGTTTAGGGTCTGGGAAGTTCCAGAGAAAAAAGGGAGAATCCTGATCCTTCAAGCTATACCTGAATGCTTCCCTTTTCACCCCTCCAAATTAAGTAAGATGTATTTGGCTTGGAATTCAGACAGTGTTGGGGGTTCTGGTGCCTGGGGACTTTGGCTGTGAATCCTGTGGGAGAGAATTGGATGTCTTGGGCACGAACTTCATGCACTTTCTTGGATTCCCTAGCCACCTCCTTCTTTCTGTCTCTTGGTTGGCACCCTGCCTGTGCTAAGTAGCCCTTCTACTTCCATGTCTATAGTAGAAATGCCATACAGCAGACCATGGGAGCTGACTTCCCAACAGCCATCCAGGGAGCAAATGATGCAACTGAGAAGTGCAGGGGAGTTAGCTCCTTGTGGGGTGGAATCTTGGCCAACAGAAAACAGGAGAAGAGAGTGGAACAGAAGCATTAATTCCCTCTCATATCTCCCCTTGGTGAACTGCTCCAAGGTGCCATTTCTCCTTTCAAACACCATGTGCTTGGCAAACAAGCCTGACAAGGGACGTGCTCTCTCCTAATAGCTCATATGAAGTGGCGGCCGGCACAGTACTGCGTCATCTTGCATTGCCTTCGTCTCTTCTCCCTTTCACCATCCTGGACTTCCACCTCCCTGCAAAATGTCAGCACTTGCCTCAGGGTCTGCTTTCTAGAGACTTGGGTTAAGATATGGAGATAAAATCAAAGCCCCCATCTCTACATTAAGTCCCCATATAACATAAAGGTCCTGAGGACACAGCTGAGTTTTCCCACTCAAATGCAGGGAATCCAGCCCAGACTGCTGGCTTCCTCTCGGGAATCCAGTGTCAGGTCACTGGGTCAGGCCATCTCGGGACTACTCCCCAGGAGGCTGAGGCTCATTCCACAGGCTTTCTCTTTACTCTCTTGCATTTTTTGCTGGTCACCTAAGATATCCCTTGGGAAAAGCCAGACCCAGGCTTGTGGCCTGTTCTGCCTTCTGAGTTTCTGTGCTTTTAGGTAACTAGAGGGCAGGAGGCCAGAGTCTGGAAGTTCAAAGTCCCCTCTACAGATGGCCAGCTAAAGGCTTTGGTCAGCCCAGGCTTCTAGAGGGCAGAGGTTGCCATAATAGCTGTGTCTGGAGTTGGGGCTAGGGAGACAAAGAGTGGCCCTCTGCCCCTTCTTAGTTTGTACTTGGCACAGACTTGGCCACCTCTTTGCAGATCCCAGCTGGCTCGGGCTGCAGGCTAGAAGGGCAGCTGAATGGCCCACATTGCCTCTTAGCTCCCTGAACTCATGCAGTTTCTTCCAAATAATACAGGGCTGTGTAACATAATTGTGCAAATATACTGGCCATGAATGAGGCTCAGAGGCCAGAAACAGCCTGTGAGTCCCTGCTGGGTTTGGCTATGTCATGATGGAGGCAAGTGCAATCAGGACAGTGGCTGCTCAAAGATTACAGCCCAAGCTGGAAAGGATCAAGTGAGATTCTGTGATCTCCACATCATAGCACCCTCTTTTGGAAGGTATTACATGCATGTTCTGCTCCACTGAGGCCAGGGTGAGCCCCCAGGTCTGGTCAGAGGACATAGCAGAACCAGAGCTGCTTCAAGGTCAGAGGTCACCAGTCCTATCTCAGACCAGAGGACTTTTCTCCCTACATCCAAGACACCCAGATTGCATCCAGCGAGAGAAATTCATTCTAGGGGATCTGCTGGAGGCTGAAGACTCTGCCCAGAGCCCCTAAGTTCTAGAGGTTGTAAGAGGGCCCCCAAAATTCAGTGTCAACTGAGAGACTCCCCTGAGGAGTCTTTCGATTGTGTGGCCTCAATGTAATAATGGGCCATGGCCAGAGTTGGAGGAGTAGAGCAAGCTGCAGGTTGCTGGTCCAAGAGTGCTTGACTGGTTGCTTCCATCCTGTCCTATGCATCTCCTTGGGGCTTGAGGCCTAGGAGCCAGTACTGCTCAGGTATTTTGAATATCTGGTCAAGACCAAGGTCACTGGAGCGTGAGTCAGCCAAGTGTTGAATGAGTAATCTCTCTTTGGGGGTAGTGAGCAGATTAAGGTTGACTTACCACTATAGACAGACCATTATGGAAGCCACAAAGCTGAGAGGTAGGGGAATGGCTAAAGTGTGACCTCTTGCTAAGACGAAGAAATCACATGAGCTAGGATTGAAACTCATGGAGCAGGACATTATCAAGGATTCCTCATGATGGTTACCAGCTCAAAGAAAGCCCACGAATCAGAGAATCCTCACAACTGACAAACAAAGATCTGGGAATGCTTAATCTCTACGTCAATCTTTAAATCCAAAACTGGCTGGGCACGGTGGCTCACACCTGTAATCCCAGCACTTTGGGAGGTCAAGGGAGATGTACCACTTGAGGCCAGGAGTTCAAGACCAGCCCGACCAACATGGCGAAACCCTGTCTCTACTAAAAATATAAAAATTAGCCAGGTGTGGTGGTGGGCATTTGTAATCCCAGCTACTCAGGAGGCTGAGGCATGAGAATCACTTGAACCCAGGAGGCAGAGGTTGTAGTGAGCTGAGATCACGCCACTGCACTCCAGCCTGGGCAACAGAGGAAGACTGTCTCAATAAATAACTCAAAACCATGTCAAAAGGGAAGTGGGATGCTTCAGTTCCAAAGGTCCATCCTCTCAGGGATGTCCATAAACAACAATGGACAAAGGAGATATGTCCCAGTGGAAAGGACCAAAAACAATAGGTTTTGTTGGCCAAGAAATTCACTCCACTGTCCAGAAGGATGTGTTATATGCTGTAGATTAGTGACCATTGTATTCTCTTCTCCCTATTCCAAATGGAAGGTTTTTAAATAACTGTTATAGCGAGGTGCAGTGACATGCACCTGTAGTCCCAGCTAGTCAGGAGGCTGAGGTGAGAGGATCAGTTGAGCCTAGGAGTTCAAATCTAGCCTGGGCAACATAGCAAGACCCCATCTTAATTTAAAAAAAAAGAATTAAAAATTATTCAGTGGTGTGTATTTGTATTCCCAGCTTCTCAGGAGGCTGAGGCAGGAGAATTGCTTGAGCCCAGCAGTTCAGGTCCAGCCTGGACAGCATTAGCAAGGCCCCATCTCTTTAAAACAAATTGTGATCTTCTTTTTCTCCTTATTTCACATTGGTTATAGGGCAAGTATGGGGTAGCTAAGTTTATCTTTTACCTATAGATGGCAAAATCTTAAGAAGTCATATCCAGACCTGAGCAAGAATTGCCCATCACCAAGGGACCCTGGACTGAGGACTCAATAAAGCAACTGGATGTAATTCTGTTTTATCTCCCCTTGGGAAATAGGTGAATGTGGTTTTTGTTGGGTCTATGATTATTGCATTGTCAGGCAGGCACATTTTTGAAATTGTATGTTTGTCAAGAAAAGTATAGGTGGATGCAATAAAGGGTGGGATATAGTGGGTGCATTTCATTTATCTGCCCATCATCTCTTCCTTAGGGACCCATTTCTCCCCTTCCACACAGTCCTGATGAAGTTGTCAATTATGGTGGCCTACTCTTCTATCCTAGTGGTGGGCATGTGTCCAAAGCTGGCCAAAGTCCTCCCTGGGATTTTAGAACTAGAACTAATGAGGCCAACATATGGAAGGAAGCAGAGCCAAGAGATGGAGACATCATCCTTTGAACCCCTAGATCCAGCCATGCTTCAAGGCAGATACATGCTTTGATTTATCAGTTATGTAAATCAATTAATTTCCAATTGGCCTAAACATGTTTGAGTTGGGTTTTTGACACTTGCAACTGAAAAGGTCCAGACTAATACATGCACACAGAGAGACACAAACACCATATTGTTCAAGCTCATCAGACATTATATAAGTCTTCCATGATCTTACCAGGGGTCAGCAAACTTTTTGTCTAAAGGACAAGATAGATAGATATTTTAGGCTGTGTGGGCCATATGTGGTCTCCGTTTCACTTTCTTGTTTTGTTTTGACGACCCTTCAAAAATGTAAAAAAAATTATTAGTTTGGTAGTTCATACAAAAATAGGCCACAGGCCAGATTTGGCCCACAAGCCATAGTTTGCCAACCCCTGATCTAGACCATGTCAAACCCTGAAGCTTTGGAATCACACAGTCTGCCAGTCCTTAGCCCATACTCTAAAGTATGAAGCCAGATATTTTAAATGTCATTTTGGTTCAAGTGTCTTGACATGACTTGGTAATGGTAAGGTTCAGGGTAGAGTTAGGAACGGGAAAAGGGTCTTATCTTGTGCCCATTATCTGCCATATAACAGGTACTGAATAAATGGTAATTATTATTATTTCTTGGTAATAAAGATAATTTTTCAAAATGATGCAGCTGTCTAAATGGCTTTGTCCAAATGTCCCAGTTCATCCTTGAAGACTTTTCCCCTTCTTAATCTCCTTCAGAAAGTATTTCACAGACCTCCCCCACCAATAAAGTCTGAACTAGGTACTCTCATTCTTGCTAGCACAGACCTTCTATGGCCCTCCATTGTAACTGGATTATTTGTCTCTCTTTCCCCTTAACTCTGAGTACTTTGAACATACCTGAGCCCCGACACGTAGCACAGTGCTTAGCACCTAGCCTGAGGGGACTCTCTGCTTCCATGTGAATATTAGTTTGAGGGTGCGGGTACTGTGTGTCTCTATTTGTGTCTAGGGTGGTCACTCTAGGTGTCAGCATTGTGCTGGTGCACATACACCCTCTGGTTCTTCCCTCGGTTGGAAAATATTTGTGGATGTCCATCACACCTTACCTGGTAATATTACTGCCAGATCTATGTTTCATTCCCATTCCCTCCAAAAATGAGTCGAAGACAGAAGAACAGGTGGGAACAAGTTTTCTTAGAAACTGTTATGAAGGAGGAGCCCTCCACCCCCACCCCCACATCTTTTACTATCTGACATGTTATCAGATCAGAGGCCTTCAGCCTCAGCAACATCTGGGGATTAGAGGGACCCCACACAGCTGGGGCCTCAGACCAAGCTGATCCATGCCTGTGGGGTGGAGGGGAAATCCTCCTGGGAAAAATATGTGCAAGGCCCTACAGGCCCAGGAAAGGCTGACCAAGGCAAGGTGAGTCATGGTGTTCTAAGCTGAATCTTTTGCCCATCTCACAGAAGCAGGCAGGAAGCACCACCATTGATCAGCTTTATATGGCACCCACTGTATACAACAGACAGACAAAGACAGACAGACAGAGCACACACCACTTCTAAGCTCAACACTGCTCACCAACTAGAAGCACCTCGGTTAAGCACATGTGAGACACTCTTGCATAGGAAAGATGTAGTTTTTAAAGGAATGAAGAAGTATTTTGGCAAAACATCTACTTCCCTCCCAGGTCTGGGGTAAAGAGGGACCTCTAATTCTGAAGCTTCTACATATTGAAAAATTTCCCCTTCTCAATGGCAGTATATACAGTAGCAAACCTTCCAAGTCTGTTGTCACAGCCCTCTACAGATATCCTGAATCTACTTTACAGGTGGGCAAACTTAGACTAAGAGACAGAAGGTAGCCTGGAGCAAGGGGACACTGGGACTGGTTCAAGGGGAAGGGAAACAGGAGGTGTCTCAGCTCAGCCAAAGGCAGGGCCTCTGTCTACCTGGATTGGCAAGGGAAAGGCTCAGGTGGCCAGAACTCCCTCTTTCTTCCCGCCTGGGGAAGCAGTGGTTCCACAGGAAAGGCAATCCCACTCTTGCTGGCTAGGGGGCCTCCCGGGATGGCAAAGGCCAGGGCCAACCTGAGCTCTGCCTGGGGCCTCTTCTGGGATGCACTCTGAGTTTGGGGATTGTGGATTGTGGGTTCACTGCTTCCATAACGTTCTCATTACCTGCATGTGAGCCTAGACCTCAAATCCTTAATTATTTTTAAAAGGGCAGGGTGGGGGAGTGGCTTAAGAGGGAATGAGACACAGAACAATCTTTCCACAGCCCCCATCTGCCTAGGCTGGGGCTGTCAAGGGTCTCCTTCACCCTGTCTCCTAGGGATATTTAAAGGCAGCTTTTATGAGACTCTATACTGTCTTTTTTTGTAGTTGTTTGTCTTGTTTTTTGTTTGTTTGTTTCTTTGTTTTAATTTATATAGATATATATATTCTTAAAAAAGCAATAGTCCTTTGGTCCCTAAACTCTAAGGAATGATATGATTTTGAAAGAAGTAAATCTGGGCTTCCCTTGCGGAGAAGCCCTTGGCACCCCCAACGCCCTCTGCTGGTTCCCCTGGACAGTCACTCCTCACCAGCCCTATTTGCTCTGCCAGCCTGCGCTCTATGCTGCAGGCACAGAACAACCCACTTGATAAAAACAATCCTTAGAGTGGCCTTAGCCCCAGGCACCAGCCTTGGGTCCGATCCACCTCCGTCCGCAGCTGCTCCTTCGGGAAGGGCTGCTCAAGCGTTTCTGTGCTTTTCCTCTCCTTTCTTCTCACTCTTCTGTTTCTGTTGTTGTGTATTAATTGATAAGGAGAGATAGGGGGGAAAAGGCAAGAATCACCTTGGAGGGCAAGACCAGAAGAGCAGCTTGCCCCCATGAGTGACGTCTCAGGTGAGTGGCTGGACCTCTCTTCCTGAGGAGTAGGGCTGCAGCAGGACCCAGGCAGCAGCCCCGTCCACTGAAGCCAGACTTGAGTCCTGAGCAAAAGACCCCAACCCCACATCCCCTCTAGAAGGTTCCTGGGGTAGCTCAAAGTGAGGCAGGGCCATGTGGGCCTTCTGAGACAGAAAATCTCTAAAAGTTGCAGGCAGCATCCTATGGACCCATGACCTTGCCAAAAATGTAGAAGAACTTGGCCCATCTTTCTCCCCATCACCCACCAGGCCCTGCAGATTCTACCTCTGAAGCATGTTTGCTTCTCTTCCTCCATCTCCATGTTCACTGCCACTATCTCAGCCCTTACTTCTAGTCCTTTCTCTGCTTAAGCTCCTCAACAGTTCATTCTCATCTTCAGGATAAAGTCCAAACTCATGGCCTGAAGACCCTTGAAAACTGGCCCAAAGCTACTTTTCTAGTCTCATTTTCCAGTCTCCTGGACCCTCCCCGCATACAGGTTCTCTACTCTCATTGGCTGTCTCTGGAGTAGAACTGCTTCTCCAGGCAGAAAGACTCTGATTGTCTCTCCTAGACTGCGGGGCAGGAATGTTGTCCAATTGATCTCCTTGGATTGAAGGAAAAGCAAAGTCTCCATCTGAGGTTTCCTCCTAGCTCCTGGCTCTTCTCTCTATCCCAGACTTTCTCAGAGGTGGGTGCCTCCAAGGTCCCAAAAGGAGGACCATCAAAGCTGGGAGGGCCTCATCACTCAGGCCTCATCTACCTGGGGTCCATCAGGGACTCACCTTTCTGTGGCTGGTCAGTGAAAGCAGGTCAGTAAGGCCGGTTGGCATCCTTGGGCCGCTTTAGCTGGACCTTGAGCCTCTTCATGCCAATTTGAAAGCCATTCATCGCCTGAATAGCAGTCTGGGCACTAGTTGGATTGTCAAAACTAACAAACCCTGGAGGGTGTGGGCAAAGAGATTAGCTGGGGACTCTGCCTAGCAGGGCCTCCTTTCTCTCTGACCAGCCCCCTCCTCTTCCAGCCCCGTCAGGCCAGTTCCATCAAACACATACCCCTCCACTGTTTGTGTGGATACAGAGTCATAGGCAGATGGCCTGAGATTCCTAAAGGTGTGATTCTTGGAAGGATAGGAAGCAACTCTGAGTGTGTGTGCAGGGTCAGTGTGTTGATTTGGATGTTTCCGTGTTTTTCCTGGCATGGGTTGGCTTTCTCCCTCCACAGCTCCCATTCTGGTCCTCAGAACCATAGTTGGAGTTGGAGGGGATCTTTGGTCTCAGAACCAGACTCCTCCTGCCCTGGCCAGACTCCAAAGCTCTGACCTAGCTGGCCACATTCCTGGTGGACACATGATCATCCCAGGTAAACCTGAAATAAAGCTCGTTCTTTTTTTTTTTTTTTGAGATGGAGTCTTGCTCTGGGGCCCAGGCTGGAGTGTGCAGTGGTGCCATCACAATTCACTGCAAACTTTCCCTCTCGGATTCAAGAAATTCTCCTGCCTCAGCCTCCTGAGTAGCTGGGATTACAGGCACCCATCACCACGCCCAGCTAATTTTTGTATTTTTAGTGGAGACGGGATTTCGCCATGTTGGCCAGGCTAGTCCCAAACTCCTGACCTCAAGTGATTCACCTGCCCTGGCCTCCCAAAGTGCTAGGATTACAGGCGTGAGCCACCATGCCCGGCCAAGGCTTGTTGTTGGCCTAAACTTAGGCCCATCACTGGTTTGTGACCCTGTTTTGTGCCATACATTCAATCTCAGGAAATCACTGCATTATGGAAGGGCAATCGTAGGGTCTGTAGGAAATCCTTTATAGTCAGAGGTGGGAGAGGCCTAGGGGTAGGTTCTCAGCTCACCAAAACACTTGCTCTGGTTGGTGGCTCGATCCACAAAGACTTTAGCAGAGACAACGGCTCCAAAGGGCAGGAATGTCTGTATGAGTTCCGCATCACCAAACTCCTGAGGCAGGTGATAGATGAAGAGGTTACAGCCTTCGGGGCCTGGAGGAACAGTAGCAAGCTGGTTCAGGGGAAGGACCCTGAGTCCAGCCCCACCAGGTTCTGCTGTCCAGCCCCCAGTCCCTCACCTTCTCTCTGCTGCTGGGGCAGGGCTGAAGGCTGCTGGGGAAAAGCTGTGCTCACTGGGGCATAGGCCGACGGATAGGCTGCTGGAGACAGAGGTGGGAGTGGACAGTGATCCCCAGGAGCCCTTCCCCAAGCAGGGCCCCAACTGCCTGGCCGCTTTTGACCAATTCAGCCCAGTCCACCATAACCCTCACCCCAAGAGAGGTCGTTCTGGGGGTAGGAGGGGATGGGAGGATCAACTCCTTGGAACAGAGCCTAAATCCCCCACAACTCTCCCTATTTCTTTCTAGGGCCCTTCAACCTCCCCCAGGCCGCGTAGCGCCAAGTGAAACCTGCGTAGTGGTGCATCCCAGCGTAGGCCTGCTGCAGGGGGTCAGCCACGCCGGGGCTCTGGGCTGGGGAGAGAGGGGCGCGAGGCCCACAGTGAAGGCAAGCGGGCGAGCAGAGTGGGTGAGAAGCTCAGGGAGTGTGGGAGGTGGACGGCGGCTGTGAGAGACAGCAGGGAAGGAGGGGGATCTCTTCCCAGGGAAGCCAGGCCCTAACCCCCCACCCCCCGCTCCCCACTCCATTTCGGGGGGATTTGGGCGGAGCGGGGGGCCCACCTGGATAAGGGGAGAGCCCGTTATTGTAGAGCGTGTCGGAGCCCGGCTGGCCATTGGTCTGGGGGGTCAGAGGGCCGAATCCATTGACCCCGATGGGCGCCGGAAGACCTGGGAGGGTGCCAGGGCCGCTGCCAGGCGGGGAGTTGGCTGCTGATGGCGGAAAAGGTCTGAGAGTCAGGCCGCCACCCCGCCCCGCCCGGCCCCTCCCAGGCGCGCCCCAGTCCCTGGGGGCCGTACCTGCCGCGGGCAACAGAGGCGCAGCTACCAGGCTAAAGGCCGCCACGTGTTGCATCTGGGCCGCCACTGCCGCCACCGGGCCTAGGCCTGGGCCCTGTGCCGCCGCCAGCAGGGCCGCCTGGTGCTGCAGGATCTTTGAGAGGAAAGATGGGCGAGAGTGGAGGGCCAAGGGGCAGGCAGCTGCCCGTGCTCTCAGCCCCAGGCCTGGCCCACCCACCTGCGCGCCCTCGCACGCAGGTGCCCGGTACCTACCGCCGTGGTGTAGGCGCCGCAGGCCCCTAGCGGCAGTGGCGCGGGGTGGAAGGCGCCCAGGTGGCCGGCCATCTGCTGCATCCGCCGCAGCGCGCGCTCCCGGTCGGTGTCCGCCAGCTTGACCACGAGGCTGGACGAGGCGCCCTGGGCAGGGCAGGGGAGGCCGTGGTGACCGGTCCTGACCCTGGCCCCGGCCCGGGGCCGAGCGCCTTTCCCATCAGGTCCTTTCGCGGGGCACCGAGCACACTCGGGGAGGAGAAGCCCGTCCCCACCCCACTGGCCTCACCCTCAGCCCAGGGAACCCGCCCTCACCGCCATGGTCCGGCTGCCGTGCAGACCCCGGATGGCCGCCTGAGCTTCCCCTTGACTCCCGAACTTCACAAAGGCACAGCCTGGGGCAGGACAGAGGGAGCGGGTGGCTCAGGCCACAGGGGCCAAAGAGTTATGTGGCCCAGAGTGAGGAAGGGTCACCAGGAAATCCCGGGGTCAGCTCAGGTCACCTTTACTGGTGCCGTCAGGACTCCGCAGGACCGTGCACTCCTCGATGTGGCCAAAGGGCTGGAACAGGCGTCTGACGTCCTCCTCACCCTGCTGCTTGCCCAGCATCCCCACAAACAGCTTTCGGTCCTCTGGGGACAAAGCCAGGAATGACCTGGGGACCCCAAGTCTTCCTAGACCCCCGAGAGTAGCCTGAGGAACTTAGGAAGGCAGCTCACCAGTCTCACTCTGGGAAGCAGAGGGAGTGAGAAGGCCCTGGGCTTCCAGGGTTGGTTTTCATTGAGGGGCAGGATCTGGGGAAGGGATCTGGAGAAGGGAGCTCAGCTCAGCTTTCCATCAGGAAAACCTGGGTCCTGGGGAAACCCAGAGAGGCTCAGGGCTGCTCTTGTGGGGAGTAATGCAGTCTTGATATCTCTGGCTGGGTAGAGCCCTATATGCATTGTTTTACATGTTTGACCTTTCTGTTCTTAGAGGTTGGGAAACGCTGTTTTGGACCATTTCTGTACTATTAAGGAAGCGGGTGCTCAGAGAAAGCCTTTCTATTCAGACTGGGTCCAGAGAAGAGAAGTACATCCTTGCTGGTCAGCCTGATAGTGCTGGCTAGAATCAATGCCCCTTCCTGCTAATATCAAGGAGGGTTCTGGATTTAGAAACAGCACAGAAAACAGTCCTGTCATCCTACTGCCTCATCTTTAGGCACTGAGCACTGGCATGATGAATCCTTACCCTCTGCACCACATCCAACCTGGATGCCCCTCCCAAAGGCCTACAGAGAGCAGGACCTTGGTTTCCTGAGCCTCCAACATTAGCATTTTTCCTACTACAGTTGCTGAACCCCTGACCCCTTTCCTTAACTCCCACCTCCACCACCCTGTCCCTTCAGCAAGCTTCTAGTGCCCTGTCTGTATCCTTCCCTCTGATTCCCCTGTCCTCTTGCCCTGATGCCTCCCAAAATGTTCATGCTATGAGAGAACAAGTTCTGCCTATAGACCTGGATTGCCACCAGAGAACCAGTCTGATTCCTCCCTGTGTCCACCCTTTCTATGGGAGTGGCAGAAATGCAGGAAAGGGGCTGCAAGCTGGGCCTGTGTCCCTCGAAGAAAGCTGGAGAGCTGGGGCTGGAAACTAGGGTTTTGCCGCACATCCAGCAAGTTAGGCCTCAGGAACACTCTGGGAGCGTGGGGTAGAGGGGTCCAGCCTGCTGTTAAAGTCTGGGGCTCTTCTCTGCACCAAGGTAAATCTCTGAATTTGGGATGGGGCTTGACCATGTAGGGGACAATACAAGTTGGGAGAGAAGGAGTGGGTAGGAAACTGGTTTCAGGCTTCATCTTCAAGACCTTGGAGTGCAGGAAAACCCATCCTAAATGGTTCTACTCCTTGACCAGCTTGGCTAGGCAGATGGGGGTCCTTGGATTCTGAGTGCAGGGAAAACAAGGCTAGTGGGGGGTCATAGACTGAAGCCTGGGTGACAGCGAAGGAAGAACAGACTGTTCAAAACTGAACGAAGTTAGCAGGGGAGAAATCTCCAACAAGACTATGTGTGTGTCCATATGTCACCCGGGTGGTGTGGGGTTTGGCCTAGGCTGCCTTGGGGATCCTGAAGTGTCTGTCTGTCTGACGATGCTATGTCTGTGTGGAGGGCAGGGGCTGCAGTTCATAAGGGGCAGGCAAAATGTGTTTTAGCAAAATTCTGCCGTCTGTCCAGAGAGGTACCATCCGATGATCCTTGGAGAGGGGATGGATAATGGACTTGTGGCTGGAATTCTGATGGAGGAAAGAAGGTCTCACCAGTGACCTTCTGTGGTGAGAGTACAACCTGGTGGGTGTACTTTGCTTCTGGGGGTGTCAGCCACAGAATAGTGCCCTTGGAACAGATCACTGGTTTCCCAACCTTTTGAAAAATCAGTGGAATACATTGTTCTAACATAAATATTAGGATGAAGCTCAAAATGTAAGAGAAAAATAGAACTGCTGTGACTGAAGCCAGAAAAGGAGGGGTGGAGTTCATCTTGCTTGATCCTCCCCTAATACTCCCTAGAGGGGCTCCAAGGAAAGCCCTTTGAAATTACTGACCTAGAAGATAGAGAACAGAGTTCCAGCTGTTGTTTGAGGGGGGATCTGAGATCATCCTGTTCAGGAGCCTGAGAAGACAGGAAAGGTCTTTCATGAGTCTCTCAACCAATCTGATGGCTTTGCCTTGACATTGGAGAATGGGCTCATTTGGCCAGAGAATCAAACCCCGAAAGACCATGCCATTGTTCTAAGTTATTCTGGGCTGCAGAAGGCCTGGGAGAGGCTGGAGAAGAGTCTAGGGCCTCCATAGTCCCAAGGGGGGCTTCACAATGCCCTAATTTGTAGTGGAGCTGTGTCATTGGGCAGGGTCTGAAAAATGGTGATGGCACCCCAATAAGATATCATACCACATGGACCAGAATCCAGGTAGCCTTGTGTAGGAAGAGAGACATCACAGGCTGAGATAGAGCCCATAAGACAGAAAAGAGGTTTGTACTGACAGTGGTGATCTGATCCTTCATCTGCTCTGCCTCTTGTTGCTTTTTCTGCTGATGGTGAAATTTTCCGATCCTCTTTTCCAGTGAGAATCTCACAAGTTAAGAATTTTCAGCAGGGCGCAGTGGCTCACGCCTATAATCCCAGTGCTTTGGGAGGCCAAGGTGGGCTGATCACTTGAGGTCGGGGGTTTGAGACCAGCCTGGCCAACATGGTAAAACCCCATCTCTACTAAAAATATAAAAATAGCCAGGCGTGGTGGCACATGCCTATAATCCCAGCTATTCAGGAGACTGAGGTGGGAAAATGGCTTGGACCTAGGAGGCGGAGGTTACAGTGAGCCGAGATTGTACCACTGCACTCCAGCCTGGGCGACAGAGTGAGACTCCAACTAAAAAAATTTTTTTTTCCATTTCCCTGTCAGGGCACTGACCCTATGGATCTGGACTACTGGGATGTACAGAGTTTGGAATGGAAATGAGTATCTACCATGGGGTGGGCTCTAGGCTCCTGTTTCCCAGGTATCACCTTAAATCCTGGTATCCTCTTTGCCACTTTACAGGGACCTTGATTGTGTTTGACAGGAGGATAAGCTGGATCACAGTGGTCATGAGCCTCAGGTGACCCAGAAATGGTGGGATAAGTTTCTTAAGAGACCCGGCCAAAGAGAAGTACATGCTGGACCCCTAACAGTAGCCCCGCAAACCCACAGATCTGAACATTCTGATGGCTGATCATTGATTGCCTCCAAAGAGAGATGATGATGGGATGTAGCCCAGATAATTCAGTTTCCTCTAGATCAAATTCTATCATTTGGATAAAAAGCGGACGCTACAAGAGGCAAGTCAGAAATGTCTGAATAAAAGTATCCCATGAGTGGTGGGTAGTATCCTAGAAAGATGGGAATATCAAACATGGACGCTCAACCTTCCTGGAGTGGAAAGTATTAGAAGGCAGCATCAGCGCAGAGTTGAGACATAGTTGGAATGCCATATGGTTGAATGGTATAACTGCATTTTCCTGTTGGCAACCGATGTATACTTCTTAATCTTCTATCAAATGCTTTTTTTTTTTTTTTTGACACTGAGTCTTGCTCTGTCACCCAAGCTGGAGAGCAATGGCACGATCTCGGCTCACTGCAATCTCCTCCTCCCAGGTTCAAGTGATTCTCCTGCCTCAGCCTCCTGAGTAGCTGGATTATAGGTGCACGCCACCATGCCCAGCTAATTTTTGTATTTTTTAGTAGAGACAGGGTTTCACCGTGTTGGCCATGCTGGTCTCAAACTCCTGACCTCAGGTGATCCGCCCGCCCAGGCCTCCCACAGTGCTTGGGATTTCATGTGTGAGCCACCACACCCAGTCTCAAATGCTTTTTGAGTCCAAAACAAGTGGCTTAGGCTCCCAGAGGCCCATCTCCATGAAGCTGCCTTGTGCAGCTGGTCATATAGGTCAGGGATTCGAATGCAGCAAATGATGGGGTTGACATCCCAGTAATCATAGCAGAATCAATCCAGACTACTTCTTCAGAAAGGGCACCAGGATGCTGTTCAAGGAAGGAGCGTCTGCCTCATGTTGCTCCAAAGAAATTCCTAAGTTGTTCAAGTTTCTTGTTTTCTAGGCCACTCACACCAAATCACCTCCATGTTGGTGAAATGTAATGATTGTAGGGACAGTGTAAGGAAAGGTCCAGCCTTCGGGTACCAACTACCAGACACATCCTAAAAATACTGGTCCATTTTTCAATGTAAATGCCAACCCAGAAAGTCTTGCTGGTGGCAGTAATTGTATTACAGCAAAGCAACTCTCTCCTGATACTCTTAGTGACGACTGCAGCATAAGAAGCCACGGGGAAAGTGACAGAAGGAAGTAGCCAGGACGAGAAGAGTCTCCTGGCCAGATGTGACAGGCATCAGGAGGGACTTAAATTCCACACACAAAAAAACTGTTAGAACAAATAACCCAATTCAGCAAAGTTGCAAGAAATAAAATTGACACACAAAAAATCAGTTGTGTTTCTACACACTAGCAATGAACAATCTGAAAATGAAATGAAGTGAAAGCAAAAGCCAGCACGGTGGCTCACGCCTATAATCCCAGCACTTTGGGAGGCCAACGTGGGTGGATCACATGAGGTCAGGAGTTCAAGACCAGGCTGGCCAACATAGTGAAACCCTGTCTCTACTAAAAATGCAAAAATTAGCCAGGCATGGTGGCATGTGTCTGTAGTCCCAGCTACTCGCAAGGCTGAGGCAGGAGAATCTCTTGAACCTGGGAGGTGGAGGTTGCAGTGAGCTGAGATTGTGCCGCTGCACTCCTGCCTGGGAGACAGAGTGAGACTGTGTCTCAAAAAAAAAAAAAAAAAGAGATGAAAGCAAACAATTCTATTTGCAATAGCATCGAAAAGAATAAAACACTTGGAGGCCGGGCATGGTGGCTCACGCCTGTAAACCCAGCACTTTGGGAGGCCGAGGTGGGTGGATCACCTGAGGTCAGGAGTTTGAGACCAGCTTGGCCAACAGGGCAAAATCCTGTCTCCACTAAAAATACAAAAATTAGCCGTGTGTAGGTGGCAAGCACCTGTAATCCCAGCTACTTGGGGGGCTGAGGCAGGAGAATCGCTTGAACCTGGGAGGTGGAGGTTTGCAGTGAGCCGAGATTGAGCCACTGCACTCCAGCCTGGGTGACAGAGTAAGACTGTTTCAAAATACATAAATAAATAATAAGATAAAATAAAATACTTGGGAATAAACTTAACCCAGGAGGTGAAAGACTCATACACTGAAAACTACAAAATGTTGCTAAAAGAAATTAAGAGGCCAGGCGTGGTGGCTCACGCTTGTAATCCCAGCACTTTGGGAGGCCGAGGCGGGCAGATCATGAGGTCAGGAGTTTGAGACCAGCCTGGCCAACATAGTGAAACCCCATCTCTACTAAAAATACAAAGAAATTAGCTGGGCGTGGTGGTGGGTGCCTGTAATCCCAGCTACTCAGGAGGCTGAGGCAGAATTGCTTGAACCCAGGATGCAGAGGTTGCAGTGAGCCGAGATCACGCCACTGCACTCCAGCCTGGGTGATAGTGCAAGACTCTGTCTCAAAAAAAAAAAAAAAAAAATTAAGAAGACACAAATAAATGAAAAGACAATCTGTGTTCATGGATTCGAAGACTTAATATTGCTAAGATGTCAATACTACTCCAAGTGATCTACAGATTTAATGTAATCTCTATAAACTCCCAATGGCATTTTTTGCAGAAATAGAAAAATCCATCCTAAAATTCATATGGAATCTCAAGGGACTCCAAATACCCAGCAATCTTGAAGAAGAAGAAGAACTCCCTGTTTTCAAAACATATTACACAGCTATAGTAATCGGCACTATGGTACTGGCATAAAGATAAATATATAGACCAATGGAATAGAACAGAAATCCCAGAAATAAACTCTCTTACATATGGTCAAATGATTTTCAACAAGGGAGGCAAGGTCATTCAATAAGGAAAGGACAGTCTTTTCAACAAATGGGGTTGGGAAAAATGGATATCTACAAAAGAATGAAGTTAGACTCTTACCTTTCACCATATACACAAGATTAACTGAAAATGGATGAGTCCTAAATGTAAGAGCTAAAACAATAGATGTCTTAGAAAACTGAGGGGAAAAAGATTTCCTGACAGGATTTGGCAATGATTTCTTGGATATGACACCAAAAGCACAGGCAACAAAAGTAAAAATAAATAAATTGGACTGACTACATCAAAATTAAAAACTTTAACAAGGATCTATTGGAGGGCAAAAATAAAAAACTAGAAAACTTCTGTCCATCAAAAGACACAACTCACAGAATGAAAAAGCAACCTCTGGAATGGGAGAACACATTTGCAAACAATATATCAAGATAAGAGGTTAACATCCAGAATATATAAAGAACTCGTACAACTAAATGGTAACAACAACAATACCAACAACAGAAAACACCAAACCTTCTATTTAATAATGGGCAAAGGATTTGTATAGATGTTTCTGCAAAGAAGAAATACAAATGGGCAACAAGCATAAGAAAAGATGCTCAAAATGACTAATTGTTAAGGAAATGCAAATCAAAACTACAATGAGATATCACCCACCTCACACCGATTAGGATGACTGCTATCAAAGAAACAGAAAATCACAGCGTTGGCGAGGATGTGGAGAAATTGGAACTCTTGCACACTGTTGATAGGAATGTAAAATAGTGTCGCTGCTACAGAAAGCAGTATGGCAGTTCTTCAAAAAATTAAAAATAGAATTACCATATGATCTAGCAATACCTTTTCTGGGAATATATCCAAAAACATTGAAAGCAGGGTCTTTTCAAAAATTAATCTATAATTTTATTTCAATTGACCAATAATAATTTTATATATTTATGGGGTACAATGTGATGCTTTGATATATGTAGACATTGTGAAATGATTAAATGGAGCTAATTAACATATTCTTCACCTTGCCTACTTATCACTTTTTTATGGTGAAGATGATTGAACTCTATTAGCAATTTTGAAGTGCATATTGCATTATTATTAACTACAGTCTCCATGCTATGCAATAGATCACTAAAACTTCATCCTTCTGTTTAACTACAACTTTGTATCCTTTGACTAACATCTCCCCTTTCTCCATACTGTAACCCCCCTGCCGCCCCTAACTTCTGCCAACCACCATCCTACTCTCTGCTTCTATGAGCTCCACTTTTTTAGGTTCCACACGTAAGTGAGATAATGCAATGTTTGTCTTTCTGTGCCTGGGAAAACAAGATCTTGAAGAAATCTTTTGTACACCCATATTCATAACAACATTAGTTACAATAGCCAAAAGGTTGAAGGTACCCAAATATCCAACAGATGAACGGATAAACAAAATGTGGTATATACAAACAAAGAACTATTATTCTGTCTTAAAAAGGAAGGAAATTCTGACACATCCTACAACGTGAATGAAACTTGAAGATAGGCTAAGTGAAATAAGCCAGTCACAAAAGGACAAATACTGTATGATTCCACTTACATAAGGTATCTAGAGTAGTCAAACTCACAGAAATAAATAGAATGATGGTTGCCATGCTGACGGAAATTGGGAAATGGAGAATCATTTAATGGATACAGAGTTACTGTTTCTGCAAGAAGAAAAAGTTCTGAGGATTGGTTATACAATGTGAATGTACTTAGCTCTAGTAACTGTACCCCTAAAAGTGTTATGACAATCAGCTTTGGGTGATCTGCTCTGAGCCAAGCCTAAGGAAAGCACCTCTCATTACCTTTGTGGGTAGAATGCATTTCAGGAAGTGAAGAGTTAATGTGAGGAAAGGGTCAAGTAGTACAGGTGAAATCTATCCAATCTTAGTTGGAAAATACTTTTTAGAATTAAATTCATCTAAGGACCAATAACAGGTATGACTGTCAACTGACTGTGACAGAACAGTTGTTGCTAAGGTCTATTTCTGATTTAGGCCACGGAATATGTCCCAGTACTATGAAATTCTGAAAATTCTACCTCAAAATTCAATTTTAACTCAAAGATTAGTTGTTAAACACTGAATAAAGTGGAATCCTAGAAAGAACTTGGAAAAGATGGCTCTGCTAGTGAGATAGTCATATATGCATTATGTTTATACTCAAAATCCAGGCTGACATCTAATCAAACCCTTGCAAATTCAGGCAGAAATTACTTACGCAATTATAGGATAGTGATAGGAGGGTTAATTGGATAACAGATAATTGGCTTTTGAGTTGAACCAAATTGCAAGACTGAAAAACGAGATGCCTCAAAATATATTTTAAAATCCTCAGAGAATGTTTTAAGTTTGAACGTTAAAAGAAAATAACTGAAGTGGAAAGAGTGCATGGATTGATTACCTAACCTATTTCTGTACCTTAGGCATCTTGGATACATGAATATTTGCTGAGTAAAGGACACAGCCAAGTTGAGAAGTGGAACAAGCAGAGCAATCACCATTGTGATTTATGTATTGATTCTATGCTATGAAATTTGAAAGAGGAAAGAATATACAATTCAATAATTTTTAATATTTTGCTTTAGGACTAAAAACTACTTTTCCTATAAGATCGGTACTTATAGTTTAACTTATTGGTGTTTCCAAAGTAGAGAAAATATAAGTGAGGAAAAATCAACTACAGTCCCTATGCCGAACAGCAAATAAAACAGACTTATTTAGTTACCATTGTCTGAGGGATTTGGGGATCCTTATTTCTGACCTCATATAATTTGTGGTTAACATTTTAAAAATACGTGAACCTAGGCCAGGCACAGTGGATCATGCCTGTAATCCCAGTACTTTGGGAGGCTGAGGCCGGTAAATCACTTGAGGTCAGGAGTTCAAGACCAGCCTGGGCAACATGGTGAAACCCCATTTCTACTAAAAATGCAAAAATTGGCAGGGTGCGGTAGCAGGCGCCTCTAGTTCCAGCTACTCGGGAGGGTGAGGCAGGAGAATCTCTTGAACCCAGGAAGTGGAGTTGTACCTTGCAGTGAGCCGAGTTGTACCTTGCAGTGAGCCGAGATCATGCCACCGCACTCCAGCCTGGGCAACAGAGCGAGACTCCATTTCAAAAACAAAACAAAACAACACAACAACAACAAAAATACATGAACCTTGAATTTTTACCCATACAAACATTTTAATGTTCATGTTCAAATGCACACAAATGCTGAGGGAAAAGGTTTTTTGTTTTTTCTTTTTTTTTTTTTTTGAAATGGAATCTCGCTCTGTTGTTCAGGCTGGAGTGCAGTGGCATGATCTCGGCTCACTGCAACCTCCGCCTCCTGGGTTCAAGTGATTCTCCTGCCTTAGCCTCCCAAGTAGCTGGGATTACAGGCACACACCACCAAGCCCGGCTAATTTTTTTGTATTTTAGTAGAGACAGGGTTTCACTGTGTTGCCCAGGCTGGTCTTGAACTCCTGAGCTCAGCCAATCCACCCGCCTCGGCCTCCCAAAATGCTAGGATTACAGGCGTGAGCCACCACGCCCAGTCCTGAGGAAAAGGTTTTTGACACTATGTGTATTTAATGTATGTTAGGAGATAGTTTCATTTTAGAAAGTTAGATGCATTTTCCTTTAATAGTGTACTGCTCAATGTGTAGCTGCCACAGGATGTAAAATATAGGCCTGGAGTGTGGAGTATAGGAACAGCGTGGAACTTAGCTACAGAATTTATGCAAACTCACTGGAATACATTAAAAGGCTGCTATAATATATCCACAAAGACCCAGATGCACCTCTGGTACTCTGAGAAAAGTGTTGCCAAGGCTGCGGGAGATGGCCATGACAGAAAAGGACCTTGACATCTTCCATCAGGCAGATCCTGGTGTATTGCTAATATTAATTGTATTGCAGGCATCGAATTAACAAGTGTTACCAATAACTATTAAAAGTAATACAACAGGGGCCGGGCACGGTGGTTCTTGCCTGTAATCCCAACGTTTTGGGAAGGCAACGTGGGAGGATCATTTGAAGCCAAGAGTTTGAGACCAGCCAGGGCAACAAAGTGAGACTCTGTCCCTACAAAAAATAAAAATACAAAAATTAGCTGGGCATAGTGGCATGCACCTGTAGTCCTAGCTACTCAGGGGGCTGAGGCAGGGGGATCACTTGAGCCCAGGAGTTCAAGGCTGCAGTGAGCTATGATGGTGCCACTGCATTCTAGCCTGGGCAACAGAGTGAAACACTGTCTCTAAAAAAAAAAAAAAAAGTAAATAAACAGACAAATCAGTAAATAAATAAAAATCATAAAATATACAATATGTATGTTGGTTATTTCAACCACAAACCTCATGTTTATTGATTAAAAGTAAGACTACTAGTACACTGTTACATCAAAAGTCAAGTGACAGAAGACAAAGTAGCTATTTTTGTAAAAAAGCTAGGTTGGGCGTGGTGGCTCACACCTGTAATCCCAGCACTTTGGGAGGCCGAGGCAGACAGATCATTTGTGGTCAGCAGTTCAAGACCAGCCTGGCCAACATGGCGAAACCTCGTCTCTACTAAAAATACAAAAATTAGCTGGGCGTGCTAGTGGGCACCTGTTATCACAGCTACTCAGGAGGCTGAGGCAGGAGAATTGCTTGAACCCAGGAGGCAGAGGTTGCGTTGAGTGGAGATGGCGCCACTGTACTCCAGCCTGGGCGACAGAGTGAAACTCCATCTCAAAAAGAAAAAAAAAAAAACTCATGTGTGCACAATGTAATCCTGCTTTATGGCAGATGGAAAAAGAAGCAATTATGATAGGTTTGGTAGGCTCTCACAGTGCTGGTCTATTTTTAAAAATTGAATTAGTTGCCAACATTTAATACAGCTAAAATGATTTTTTTTTTTTAAGACAGGGTCTCATTCATTCACCTAGGCTGGAGTGCAGTAGCGCCATCTTAGCTCACTGCAGCCTCGAACTCCTGGGCTCAAGTGATCCTCCTGCCTCAGCCTCCCGAGTAGCTGGGTAGCTGGGACTAAAGATGTATGCCACCACACCCAGCTAATTTTTGCATATTTTTTGCAGAGACAGGGCTTCACCATGTTGCCCAGGCTGGTCTCAAACTTGTGAGCTCAAGTCATCCTCCCGCCTTGGCCTCCTAAAGTGCTGGGATTACAGGCACCAGCCCACATGCCCAGCTGTAAATTATTTTATTAAAACATGGGAGTCTCATCCATTTAAGGTTACCTACCTGGGCTCCTGTAGTATTTGAGCTGATGATCCCTACTTGATGGGAAGAAAAATCATGCATAATCCCTTCCAGAAGAAACTGGAAGGTTTTGGAAGAATATGTTGGCCTTGATATCCCTTAGATTGTTTTCATTGACATCAGTACTCTTATCGGATAAAGAAACCATTATTAACCAATGGTAAACTAAGGGATTTAATTTCAGGAATAATTTTAGAAGACACAGGCTTACTGGCGTAAATATATCTGGTCAGGTGTGTGTGACCATTGACTCTGACAGTTTATAGAATGTTTGAGGTCACAGATATAAGACTTAAATGGGACACGCTGTTCCACGTTGTTGCCAAATGTTACATTTTAAAAGCAAAATCCAATACCATTTTAAAAAGTTGATTTTTTTTTTTTTTTTTTTTGAGACAGAGTCTCACTCTGTCACCCAGGCTGGAGTGCAGTGGTGCGATCTTGGCTCACTGCAAGCTCCGCCTGCTGGGTTCACGCCGTTCTCCCGTCTCAGCCTCCTGAGTAGATGGGACTACATGCGCCCGCCACCACACCTGGCTAATTATTGTATTTTTAGTAGAGATGGGGTTTCACCGTGTTAACCAAGATGGTCTTGATCTCCTGACCTCGTGATCCGCCCGCCTCGGCCTCCCAAAGTGCTGGGATTACAGGCGTGAGCCACTGCTCCCAGCCAAAAAGTTGACTTTCTAAAGCATTAGGTTGTGTTAAAATTCAGCAGAGGGTTGAACTCACTTTAGAAGAGATATATGATAGCACTGAAGAAAATACATTTTGATTAGTAATGATTATCTAACACAGATCTGTTAGTATTAAAATACTTATAAATTGTAAAGGCCCAACTGTTCTGCAAGACTGGATACATAGGCCTTTTCTCTCCTGAATATATAGTAGGGAGCAGGGAGGAATTGAGAGATCTGGTCATCCAAACCTGCAAGAAGGATTATTCATGGATGCATTTGGAGTGTATGCTTCTTGAGAGCCACCACTTGTCCAGAAATATCTGTGTAACACAACTGCTAAATTATGAGTTCTGCTGCCAGGCAATACTCTTTTTCAGCTAGATTTGCTTTTCCTGCTCTTTTAAACAGGTGTATAGGTGGAAATGCCATATGTACAGAATTTTTTAATGATGTGACACCTGCAAAGTTTATACAAAAATGTGGAAAGAAAATTCTACAACTCAAGCTGATGTCATTGCTTAGAGCCCAGACCACCAGAACACATCAACCAGGCCAAGCAAAAGCACTATCAGCATGGAGGCCCCCTTTGTGCGGCTGCCCAAACACTGACAAGATGTAGTGGACTCCATACAGCAGGAGTGCCCTAGCATTGTGGACTTAGTTCCTGAGCAAGACTCCAAATTGCACCACGTTCTTCTGAGCTCTGGGGCCTGCGGACATGCTCTTCCTCTGCCCAACATGCTTGCTCCCTCTCTCCTCTTTTCTCTGACTACTTCCTATTCATCCTTGAGGTCTCAGCTTAAATATTACTCCTCTGGGAACCCACTTTGATCTTCCAGACTGGGTTAGGTGCCCCTTGTTTGTGTCCCCACAATTCCCCTGGACTTCCCCTTGAAAGCAGTGATCACACTGAATTGTGTTCCCTTGTTTACTTGTCCATATCCTCTCATAGCATCCGTGCTTCATGAGGCCAGGTACCAGGTCTGCTTTGCTCACATCTGTATTCCTGCTGTGGAGTAAGTTGCTCAGAAGATGTTGGTTGTGTGGTTGAACCTGTCTGCTTCACAGCTCACTCACATACTCTTAGTTGGCTTCTCAGCTGTGGGACTGGCTCATGGTTGTGGGCAGGGCTTAGTAGTTGGCCAACAATGGCCTTGATGCATAAAAGAGTTTCCCAAGAGGCAGAAATTCTTGGGTTACATGAACATGAAGTTTTGCATGCAGCCTGGAACATCTCAAAAACCTGACTGGAAAGAATAAAAAGGGAAAGGAGAATGTGTGTGTGGATGGAGGAGGAAACTTGGAAATATCTCTCCAAGACAAGGTGAAGGTGATAACATTTTGACCAGAAATCAAGAATCAGAGACCAGAGGTCAGAGAATCTAAAAGGATAATGGAAGTATTTCTTGGAGGAACGAACTTCACAGTGGAACCACAAAGTCACCAGAACTCTGTGTGTGGGTTCTCAGACTGAGCATGAAGTCTGAGAGGGGTACAGAATTAGTAGGACTCAATACATGTTTATATCAATTGGGTTCCATTCTGTTCCTGAACTCGGGCAGCTTCTTTCAGCTAGCAAAGCCATGGCTGATCTTGGGTTAGACAGGAAGAGAGTCTTACCCAAGATAAAGAGTCAGCAGACATCAGGGAGGGCTATAGGCTGATACACTGGAAGGATCTAAGATGCAAGGGTGAGAAAAACACCAAGAACTGACACCAGAATCCAGCCTTGCCTTTACAGCTTGGAAGCTGGCCAGAACCCAGCTGGTTAGAAGAAAGCACAGGCTCTCTAACCGTCCTATGTGGTTTTGTTTTTGTTTTTGTTTTTGTTTTGATACAGAGTCATGCTCTGTTGCCCAGGCTGGAGTGCAATGGCGTGATCTCGGCTCACTACAACCTCCGCCTCCCAGGTTTAAGCGATTCTCCTGCCTCAGCCTCCCTGCCTCAGCCTCCGAGTAGCTGGGATTACAGGCATCCACTACCACACCCGGCTAATTTATCTATTTGTAGTAGAGACGAGGTTTCACCATGTTGCCCAGGCTGGTCTCGAACTCTTGGCCTCAAATGATCCACCCACCTCAGCCTCCCAAAGTGCTGGGATTATAGGTATGAGCCACCGTGCTCAGCCCACCTCCTGTTCTTAAGGAGCTCTGTTTTTTCTCTACCAGGAAACAGTGTAGCTATCAGAGCTTTCCATGGTCCTCAGCATAGAGGACTTACTATGGCCCATAAAGTCTGTCGTACCAGCCTTATCTTTTACCATGAGCAGCTAGGCAATTACAATGAAGGAATGGCCTCAATCCGAAACGGACTGTGTTTTCTGATATCAGAAGGATATGGAGAAGGAGAATAACCCCCACCTGATTCTTAAAAACAACAACAACAACGAAACCCTGAAAGTTCCATGTGGCAAAACAGGAATGATCTCTCTCCAAGGGTAAGTGGCAAGAACCCCCTTTCTCTATCACTGGCATCTGTTTAGGCCCTTCTTGCCTCTTCTGGGCCTGGGCTCCCCAGAACCCCAGCCCTGCTCAGTCTGAGCAGGGAAGGCTGAGCTATTTCTGGGGCTCAGCAACTCTGAGCCCCACCTGTCCCCTTGACCCAGGGAGGCTCTCATACTAAATGGGTAGGACAGACTCCAGGTGTGGGCCCACCCTCCCTTACACGGGTTGCAGCCTGAGGTTGGTCAGACAGGGAAGTTACCTCCTCGGCCCTCACTGGCAGCTGGCTTCACTTGGATCGGACGATTCATCTGAAAGACATCGGACCAACACACCCATTCAGCGTGACTGCCTGGTCCTGGAGCCCCCAGCTTCTCGAACCCTGGACTCCTCAGGATCTGAGCCCTAGCCCCTTTGAACTCTGCACTCTACCACTTCCAAACTGGGATTACAGATTTTCTCCAAGATTCCTTCCTTAAACCCAGGAATTTAGAAGGTGCTGAAACTGGCAGGGATGGGTGACAGGAACTTAGTGGCAAGCACAAGGTGGAATGAAGCGGCTAAAGAGACTTTTCTGCCTGGGGCTCTGGGCAGGGGCTATGTGAGGCCTGTCCCTTTGGCTTCTGGACTTACTTAAAGGCTTTGCATGAGAGGATTGGGAAGGAGGGTAGAATTGATACTGCAGATTTGTGTTTTATGTCTAAAATGGAGAATATCACGCTATGTGTCATTTAGATGAGAGTCTGGGAATCAGACTCAGTGCTATCTGCCCTCAACTCTAGTCATTTAATGGTTGTATGACTTTAAGTAAGCCACCTTTTCTCAGATTCAATTTTTCTTTTTCTCCTGTGTAGCTGAAATTACAGGCACGTGCCACCAGGCCCGGCTGATTTTTGTATTTTTAGTAGAGACAGGGTTTCTCCATGTTGGCTAAGTTATTCTTGAACTCCTGACCTCAAATGATTCACCCGCCTCAGCCTCCCAAAGTGCTGGGATTACAGGCGTGAGCCACTGCGCCCGGCCAGATTCAATTTTTCAAATGAGGAAAACATTTCCCAAGCTGCTGTATCACTAGAGTCTCCACGCTCACCTGCTCCATCCCCTCCCTAGGGTCCCCTTCCCTGAGGATGCTGGAGTTTTCCAAGGTGCCGTTCTCAGCCCTTTTTGTCTGGCTCTTCCTACTTTTCTTGGATAGTCTCATCCACACTCAGCCTCAGCTCCTCTCCACACAGGGATGACTTAGAGCTCTGTGTCTCCAGCCTGCATTCTCCTCTGAGCTTCAGAGCCATGTTACCAGCTGCCTGCTGGACATCCCCACTAGAAAGTCCCACGGGCGCCTTCACTCAACACACCCAAACGAGAGCTCATTTGTTTTTTTTTTTTTTTGCCCCAACCTGATCCTCCCAGTCACCCAAGCTATAAGCCTGGAAAGCAGCTTGACTTCTCCTTCCATCCCTTCCCCGCTCCCACCAACTTCATCTTTTAATTCAGGGGTTCCTGAGGAAGTGTAGATAAAAATCACCCAGGAACCAGATGAGGCTCTTAAGTTGGGGTATTGCATAATTTGAAAACGCTCCTAGGTGATTTCAATATATCGCCCCCACATCCCCATCCCCCAACCACCCTGAGTGAATTCATGATTGAATCCCCATCTCACCTTCCTCTCATGGGTGTTGTGGGGATCACATGAGGTAATGGGGACGCAAAAGGTCTTTGTAAACTGCCAAGAGCTGGGTGCGTGGGAGGTGAGGAATTATTGTTGGGGGGCAGGCAGCTGAGTGCCAGGAGGGAAAAACAGCGGCCTTCCCGTTCATGGAGGAAGGGGTACTGATGCCCATCTGGCCTGAGAAGGTGATGATCTGACCCCCTCCCCTCAGGAAATGCTCTGCTTCTGCACCAATCAGGGGCCACTCCATCCCTTACCAATTTGCTCGTTGCCGAGACAACAGGCAGCTTCCTGTTACCATAGCCACAAGTGCTACCCAGTAACCATGGTAACGCCCTGGCAGTCACAGTTGAGCAATTTCCTTTGGATCAAATTTGGGGGTGGGAGGGGCAGGGAGGGCTTACTAAAAAAAAAAAAAAAAAAGGAAAAGAGAACAGGCCAAGTCTGAACCAGCGCAACTCCCCTCCCACCCAGGGCTCTGACACACCCACCCGCTGGTGGTGGAGCACCTGCAGTGTACCAGGCTGTGGGTGGGGGCGGAGACACCAACAGGACTCAGGTTGCAGTCTAGAGGGGATGACAGATCAATCCAAGCAGATCAGGGCGAGCTTGACAGGTCTGGACTGGCCTGGACCAGGGACCAGGAGGACAGGACCCGTCCCTGGGCATGGCCACCTGTGATTGTGGAGGAAAGACCAAGAGACAGAGCCATGGAGAGCAGAGACACAGGGAGAGATGAAGAAACACTGGCAGACAGAAATGATGTGAGAGAAAGACAGTTCTAGAAAGGGGCAAGGAAAGAGAGTTACTGGTGGAGAGGGGAAGGAAATGAGGAGAGGAAGGGTAAGGAAGCGGGTGCAGGAGAGGCAGGGAGGAGCCTGGTAGGGAAGAAGGCCAAAAGAGTAGAAGCCTGGGGTGGGGGGCAGTGAGGGTGAGCAAGACCATCATTATTTTATTAGTTCTTAAATAGATCCTGAGAATTTCTCTCTGGAGCCTAGAGTGACGAGCACACGTGACAGCAGCAGTTTCCATGGCAGCTGCCTCCCTGGCTGGGTTTCCTGGGAGATGGTGCTCTGGGGGACGCCACCTTCTCTCCTCCCACCCACTTCCCCACCCTTCAACAGAGAGTGGGCATCGGGTGGTACATACATGTTCCCCCCTGGACCTGACCTAGGCCTCCCACCACCCAGGCATGCTGCCAGCATTTCCTGAACTCTGTGATGAGCCCCAGGCAGCCTTTCGTGGGAGACAGTGATGATCTGTATGGGGATCCTCTCTTCATAGGCTCGCAGAGGGGAAGATAATGTTACCATTTCCTGAGAGCCCACTCTGTGCCAGGCCCTTCCTGGGACACTTTACATACATTGTCTCTAAATCCTTCCAACCACTCTTCAAGGGAATACAAGTGTCCCCATATCATAGATGAGAAAGCTGAGGCTGAGGGAGGTGAAATCACTTGTCTAAGATCCCATGGTGGGTAAGTGGTTGAGCTGGGATTTACCCCCAGATCTGTCTGAGGCTGAAGCCCATGATTTTTGCACTGGAGTGCTGCTCAAATCCATTCTTAAGGCATGAACACAAATAGTGAGGCACAGAGGGACCAGGGCCTCGGGGGAGTGCAAGGTCAAGAGCTGTGGAAGAGGCAGACTCCAGCTGAAGAGGTTGACTGAGGAAAGCTGCATAGAAGAGGCAATGTTTGACCTGAGCCTTGCAGGACTGGGGTCATTGGCCATGTAGAGATAATAGGAGAGGTAGGAGTGGTGGCTGAGCACGCTGAATGGCTAGGGTACGGACAGGGAGCTGCAATGGCTAGGGTACGGACAGGGAGCTGCAAGCCTGAAGGAGCAAAGTTTCTAGTGAGCACTTGGCATGGGAGTAGCCATGGTAGAGCAAATTGCTTCCTAGCAGATAGATGTGGATTTCAATCCTGGCTCTACCACTTGCTTCTCTAAGGTCTCTGAGCCTCAATATCCACACTAGTGAAGAGGGAATCATGATCTTAACTTGCAGCGTTGTGATGAAAATGACAACTGCTAGATCTTAGTAGATACCTCAGATATAAAAAGTTATTGTTTTTTTTTGTTTGTTTGTTTTTTGAGTCAGAGTTTTGCTCTTGTTGCCCAGGCTGGAGTGCAATGGCGTAATCTCGCCTCACCGAAACCTCTGCCTCCCAATTCAAGCAAGTCTCCTGCCTCAGCCTCCCGAGTAGCTGGGATTACAGGCATGCGCCACCATGCCCGGCTAATTTTGTATTTTTAGTAAAGACGGGGTTTCTCCATGTTGGTCAGGTTGGTCTTGAACTCCCGACCTCAGGTGATCTGCCTGCCTCGGCCTCCCAAAGTGCTGGGATTACAGGTGTGAGCCACCGCACCTGGCCGGTTTTTGTTGTTGTTATTGTTGTTAAGGATATGAAACTGAAAGGTAGGCAAGGGCCAGATTAGGGAAGGCTGTGAAAACCGCATCAAGGAATTTTGACTTTTGACTTTGTTGTATTTCAAAGGCAATGAGGATCCAGGGGAGGGAAGGATTTTTAAATGTTTTTTTTTAAACATTTTTATTTATTTATTTATTTTGGAGACTGAGTCTCACTCTATCACCCAGGTTGGAGTGCAGTGGCGCGATCTCAGCTCACTGCAATCTCCGCCTCCCAGGTTCAAGCAATTCTCCTGCCTCTGCCTCCTGAGTAGCTGGGATTACAGACACCCACCACCATGCCCAGCTAATTTTTGTATTTTTAGTAGAGACGGTTTCACCATGTTGGCCAGACTGGTCTCAAACTCCTGACCTGTGGTCTTACTCTGCTACCCAGGCTGGAGTACAGTGGCGCCATCATAGCTCACTGCAAACTCCAAATCTTGGGCTAAGCGATTATTCTACTTCAGCCTCTCAAATAGCTAGGAATACAGGTACATGCCACCATGCCCAGCTAATTTTTAAATTTTTTGTAGAGACTGGGTCTCACTATGTTGCCCAGGATGGTCTCAAACTTCTGGGCTCAAGCGATCCTTGGACTTCATCCTTTCAAAGTGCTGGGATTACAGGTGTGAGCCGCTATGCCCAGACAGGAAAGGGTTTTAAGTAGAGGAATCATCTAGTCAGTTTTGTCTTATGAAGGATCCCATAAGCTGTCACTATGTGGAGAAAGGATTGGAAAAGGAGTGATTAGAGGCAAGAAGATCAGTGGCACAGGTGAGAGGTGAATGTGACCTGGATAGAAAGAAATGAACAGATTTAACAGATGTGTAGGAAGAATTAACTGGGCTATAGTTCTATTGGATATGTGGACCCGGGAAGAGGAGGGCATATTGGCTGAGCCTCAGGTTCATCGCTTGGGAGTTGGGGAAGGTGGGAGTTTGGGAGTTTGGGGGTACAAGGAAGTCCCCAGGGGAGGAACCCAAGAGAGTAAGAACAGAGTTGGGGAGAGCAGGGCTCTGAGCCTTCAGTCCCCACAGAGCAGTGGTGATGGAGGACACCTGGGATTTAGGCATGTTATGTGTGGCTGGAGGAGAAAGAGAGCTGCCCCCATGAGCTTCCTGGGCAACCTATTATATATATCTTGTTCCTGCCATGGGCAGAGGAGGGACATGGCAGTGGGATAATCAGGACGTAATCAGGAGTCCCCCTTGAGGAAAAGAGGACATTGCCTCCCAGGCCAAAAACTTGTCCTGGGACTTCAGGTGAGCTCTTGCCCTGGCTGAGCACCTGTTCCCTTAAGAATTTCCCAGGTGGAGTCCAGGCCCATGTCTGCTTCAGAGCCCAGCCCTGGAGGGGAATTCAAGGGATAGAATGTCAGAGAGAACAACCTATTCCAGGCAATGGAGTGGGAAAGGTCAGAGGCCGCACAGACACGCACAGGGCCCTGGACCTTCTGCCCCAGTGAGCAGAAGGGAGAGCAAAACCCTACCTAACTCTCTGCCCTGATTTGTCTAAAATTCCTCCCTTTGGGCTCAGCATTGCCCTTTTCAGATTCTTCTGCCCTGATGCCAACTATTCTTTTCACTGAGCACTCACACCCTCAGCACTCCCCATTCCATGGGAAGAGTTTATCAGAACCTTCTTGAGGAAGGGAACACTGGTAGGTCTGGGAAAGGTGTCAGGAGGTGCAGGGCAGAGTGGGACAGAAAAAAACCAAACTTTCTAATTTTTAGTACTTTGTTTTACCTCACCCCCCTCCTCTAATTCAACCCACTGTCAAGTCCCATTGGTTCTAGAATCTATATGGATATCCTAAACAGCTCTGAAATCTAACCTCTTATCTCCTTTCCTGGCCTATCTCCAGCTCTAGGCCAGCATCACCATTCATCCACACTCAAGCAACACTGCACTAAAGGGTCATCCAGCCTGCAGTGTTGCTTCCTTTCCAACCCAACCTTCTTCACACCATAGCCAGAGTAATCTTTTTTTTTTTTTTTTGAGACAGCGTCGACCTCCAGGGCTCAAGCAACCCTCCCACCTCAGCCTCCCAAGTAGCTGGGACTACAGGGGCACACCACCACACCTGGCTAATTTTTAAAAAACTTTTGTAGAGACGGGGTCTCACTATGTTGTCCAGGCTGGTCTCAAACTTCTGGGCTCAGCGATCCTCCAGTCTCAGCCTCCCAAAGTGCTGGGATTACAGGCATGAGCCACTATGTCTGGCCCAGAGTAATCTTTTGAACCTAGTCTCTTACTCTTCTCTGCTTAAAATCCACCTCTGTTCCCCCATTGCAAGCCTCCTGTTAAAGCCCAAGATTCTAAGACTAGCTGTCAAAACTTGTGAGTCTTTCTTCCACTGCTGCCCAACATGCACGATTCTCTCTACTCATGTGGAGCCTTAGCTATCTTTGCTAGACACCTTCCCTGCCAGTGTTCACACTGTCCCCAAATTTTCTTGTCTTTTAGGTTTCTAGATCCTCAAATATGATAAAATATGATCATGATTCAGCTCAGATAACATCTCTGCAAAGCATCTACTCCCTCCCCATTTCTTTTTATTCTTTTCTTTATTCCTTTATTTATTTATTTATTTTTATTTTGTATTTTTGTATTTTTAGTAGAGACGGGGTTTCACCATGTTGGCCAGGCTGGTCTCAAACTCCTGACCTCAAGTGATCCGCCCGCCTCAGCCTCCCAAAGCGCTGGGATTACAAGTGTGAACCACCGCACCCGGCCTTTTCCTTTACGGTTTGACTCTGGGACTCCCTCCCCAATTCTGGTCTCTCTTTTACTTGCCCAGATGTATGCCTGAGTGAGATGCAATGAGGCTCACCTTTTTTCTTTTTTTTTTTTTTTGAGACAGAGTCTCGCTCTGTCACCCAGGCTGGAGTGCAGCGATGCGATCTTGGCTCACTGCAAGCTCCGCCTCCCAGGTTCACGCCTTTCTCCTGCCTCAGCCTCCCGAGTAGCTGGGACTACAGGCGCTCGCCATCACGCCCTGCTAATTTTTTGTATTTTTAGTAGAGACGGGGTTTCACTGTGTTAGCCAGGATGGTCTCAATCTCCTGACCTCGTGATCCGCCCGCCTCAGCCTCCCAAAGTGCTGGGATTACAGGCGTGAGCCACTGCACCCGGCCAATGAGACTCATTTTTAAGAAGCATCTTGAGGGCAAAGACTCAGACTCATTCATGAAGTGGTTGCTAGCACATACAGTGCCTTTCTGTAAATTATAAAAAGGCACTCCCCAACCCTGGGATGAATGAGAAAAAATGTGCCCTTTCCTCTGGGCTGACAAAGCCTTGAAATAATGTGCATGACTTAGTCAATAGAGCATGGCTGGATTTTTGCCCCCATCTGCCCTCTCTACCCAAGCTGTTTTGTGCAGGGCACAACTTGCAAAAGCAAATGTACTCCCCTACTCAGTAACATCTGCCTTCTTCACAGCGTTTGAAGGGATGGCTTCCCAAAGAAAGGGAAGTCAGGAACAGGGAGATAAACAAATAGGGAGGCACCTTATGCATCTCGTAAGTGGGGCTGAGGCTAGGCCTCACCCTCTTCAGGTGGATTCTGGAGCATAAAGTGAGGCTAAAAGAAGGAATTCTGGCTTCATCAGGAAGAGGCTGCAGGAGGTGGGAGCCAGGTGGGACAGACCAACCAAGGTTTGAAGGAGTTCTCGAATAGGGAGGCAAGCTTTCATAGGGGACAGAAATTGGCAGGGGACAAATGGAGAGGAGCCAAGCAAAAGAAGGTCTTAGTCAATCAGAATCCATGAAATTCTTGGCCAGGAGTGGTGGCTCACGCCTGTAATCCTAGCACTTTGAGAGGCTGAAGCGGGCAGATCACTTGAAGTCAGGAGTTCAAAACCAGCCTGACCAACATGGTGAAACCCTGTCTCTACTAAAAATACAAAAAAATTAGCTTGGCGCGGTGATGGGTGCCTGTAATCCCAGCTACTTGGGAGGCTGAGGCAGGAGAATCACTTGAACCCTGGAGGTGGAGGTTGCAGTGAGCTGAGATGGCACCACTGCACTCCAGCCTGGGTGACAGAATGAGGCTGTGTCTCAAAAAAACACAAAAAACAAAAAACAAACCATGAAATTCCCCCTAGGGTTTCAGACTTTTCTCTCTGGGGGCTGACCTAGCCTTTTCTGGTCCCATGGTGACAGTCCTGCCTGATGCCAGCAGGAATTCAGATTAAAGTCTTGTCCCTGCTTCTCCAGCAGGTGGCAGCTGTGCTCAGGACCCAATGGCAGCAGAGAGCTGGGCACTCCTCCTCCATGCTGGTGGGCCTAAGGCCAGGCGACTAAAGTTGCTGCTGTCCCTGGCAGGCCCAGAGGAAAGATTGATGGCACAGGCATTGCTGGGGCTGGCCAACACAGCCATTGATTTTCATTTAGGAGAATAATTAAATATTAATTTTCACTTTGTTAAGCTGGAGAGGGTGAATAAAGCCAATCCTGACAGTATCAGAGGAAGCCAGGCCATGTTGGAGACCTGCAGATGAAACAGTGAGAGGGGGAAGATGTCCCCAGTCACCATTCTCTCTAGAACCTAAGACCCCTGTCTGCTACCTGGTTGTCTCAGGTCACAGTACAGTGGTTAAGTGAATGAGTTCTAGGGCCAGATTAGCTGGGCCCAAAGTCCAGATCTTCCCATTATTAACTATATGACCTTGGGCAAGTCACTTGATTCTTATGACTTAGTTTTCTCACCTGTAAAATGGGAATGCCAATAACAATACCTTATTTAGGCCTGGTGCGGTGGCTCATGCCTGTAATCCCAGCATTTTGGGAAGCCAAGGTGGGTGGATCACTTGAGGCCAGAAGTTCAAGACTAGCCTGGCCAACATGGTGAAACCTCATCTCTACTAAAATTACAAAAATTAGTTGGGCAGAGCCCTGTGTCTTGTGGAGGAGAGATTTTTTTCCTCCCAAAGTTTATCTTAATTTTTTTGGGGGGGACCTCCCATTTCCTTTCAGGGTAAAGCCTGGCATTCAAAGTTTCATCTTCAACTGCTGCCCTCTGTAGATCTTCCCTCCAGCTTCCCTCCATGCTCACGTGGGCCTCCCCCACAGTGCCAGCCGCATTTCACACCCACCTGTTCCTTCTGTGTCTGCACCTTTACCATGCTGTTTCCCACATGGAATGTTACAGCTTGTCTCATTGACTCTCAGTTCTAGAAGCAGAAGTCATTTGCTCCCATGATTAGATGAATGATGAGTTCTACTCCTACTCCTACTAATGCTGCTGTTACTATTACTGTTACTATCACTACTACCACCAGCTAACTCATATCGAGTGCTTATTTTCTGCCAAGAACAGCATTGAGTACTTTAGTTCACTTAATGACTTAGCTCATTTAACCACGACAACAACCCTATGAGTTTAACTTTACAGGTGAGGAAACTTAGGCTTAGCAGTAAAGACTTGCCCAAAGTCACAAAGCTAGTGAGTGGTGGGCCTGGATCCACACCCAGGTCTCTCTGACTCAGGAGCTTGCATACAGAGGACCAGTGATGGTGACAAATTGGTGTTACTTGGCACTTAGTCCCCAAAAGTGAGGCTAAAGGTGCTTCAGTTACTGTGCTTGGTTCTAGGAGCTGTCACCCCATTAACAGCTTGATTAGCTCTTGGCGAAGCTTGCTCCATTGCTTGGTAGCTCCAATTCAGAGAAGTGACTTCTTTATACTGAGCTGAAATCAGTGCCTATTTCTTATTATATTAACTGATCCGAATCTTGCCTTCTGGGATCACTCATAGAAAACCAAACCCCTCTTCTAGAATCTGAAGGTAGTTACCCCAACCCCAACAGTAGTACTTATTGAGATCTTACTCTGTGCCAGGCACTTGCTAAGCCTCAAGTAATCCTCACTACAGCCAAGCGAGCTAGGTGTTAGTATAACCCACTCCTCATATCTAAAGAGACTGAAGCTCAGGAGTCCAAGTAACGTGCCCAGAGACACAGAACTGATAAATGGCAGAGCTGGGATTCAAATCCAGGTCTGTGAGACTCAAAACCCAGTGTTTTTTTTTTTTTTTTTTTTTTTGAGACTGAGTCTCACTTTGTTGCCCAAGCTGGAGTGCAGTGGCATGATCTTGGCTCACTGCAACCTCTGCCTCCCAGGTTCAAGTGATTCTCTTGCCTCAGCCTTCCAAGTAGCTGGGACTACAGGCATCTGCCACCATGTCTAGCTAATTTTTGTATTTTTAGTAGAGACAGGGTTTCACCATGTTGGCCAGGCTGGTCTCGAACTCCTGACCTCAGGTGATCTGCCCGCCTTGTCCTCCCAAAGTGCTAGGATTACAGGCGTGAGCCACCGCACTCGGCCTCAAAAACCAGTATTTTTAATTATTAGCTTATGATGCCTCCCTATTAAAGTCCCTCTAAGCCCTATCTCCTCCAGTTAAATCATCCCAACTCTTCCAAACTATTATTCCAAATATATCTTGTGTCTTTACTTCATCCTCGTCTCTTTCTTGTAGACAAACGACTCTCTTAAATTTGAGAGGCCTAGAACTGGACATAGTCCCAAGTTTGGCCTGTGAATGGCATTTAAACAGTGCTCTGTTCTAGACACACCGCTTCTTGGACAAGAGAAAACAAGGCTGTATAGTATGACTTGCTCTTGGTAAACCCATGCTAGTTACTAACGATCACCCCTTTATTCTGCCATATGGTCAGTAGGTCCCACCTTGCCTTTTGTTGACTGATTATCCATTAGCCAAGACCAGACCAGGTACCATTGGTGCCTACAAGCCAAGCTGCCTGTAGAATCAGGTCTCCCCTAACTTTAGCCAAGTGTTTGCAGTGTGGAGGGAAGACAATCTTAGTGAGTCAAGGCACCAAAAATAACCATTACAGGAAAAGGACTAGAGAGAAGTTCCAGCAAGGACCTTAGGACTAGAGAAAATGGGCTACCAGTCCAGCAGAACCTCTACCCCATGTATCTGCATACATGCTCACACCAGTGACAAGAGACACCCAAAGCCATAATTTTACCAAGGTGAATAAATTCTAGCTTAGCCCTCAACACTGATGCCTCTCCTAAAAGATGGGTGGAACGCCTGGCCCAAGGATCTTGAGCCCCTTTTTTGAGCCAGAAGATTGGATGTAACAAAGAATTTGTTGCTGTTCAGGGTACAGGAAGCCCTCTCCTAGAAAGATGACTCTGCTTCTAGTTCTCGGTCCCAACCCAGCCCCCACATGCTGCTTTGGCATGCACACAGGGCACTGTCCCCAGCCTGAGGTGATTCCCACCCCCCAACCTGGAGGACTTACCCCTGGCAGGGTCTTCTGCTCGTGCAGTGCACTCTGGGCCTTGAGAGCAGAGTCCCGGGCGCAGTAGGTGAGGAAGGCACAGCCTGAGGAGGAAGAGGCTGGCTCAGGGGGTTTCCTGAAACCCCCAACTATTCTTCTTCGAAATACCCCACTAAGTTGACAAACTTAAGGCCACTCTCCTTTAAGCAAGGACTCTGCTTTCTGAGAAGCCCTCTCTGCCTCCCACCTCTGGAGGGAGGGGCTTCATGTGCCTGGGGACCAGTGTCCCAGGCTCTGGCTCCCTTTCATTTGCTCCTGGCATCCTGCCCAGAGAACATATGTGCCCACACCCAGTCACATGTGCATACAATCCCACATCTCCCCTCCCCACTCCAGTCACAAGTCCTGTTGGGGTTAAACCTCCCTAAGCAGCTTTATCATCATCTTTAACCCAGACTTCCCCTTCCTTTTTGGATTCAGACTCATGGAGTCTCCCAGGATCAGCCTCAATTCCTTCCCAACTCAGTTTCGGATGGGAGGAGGCAAAAGAGTAAAAGAAGGATTGGGAGCCAACCCCAGGAGCCCCCAGCTCTTGTCCATGTCTCCCTCCCCTAAGTTTGAAGCTGGGGAATGGATTGATTTGAGACTTAGAAGATGGGATTGGTTTAAGGGCTTCCCATAGGTGGGAGTTTCCAGGGACCCCCTAATCCTGTTCAAGGATCTTGATCTGTCAACCCTCCTAGGGCTTTGAGGTAGGGCCTCTTAAAGAGTTATTGTGCCTCAAATCTGGCTCCTCTAAAAGGGCCAGCATATATGGGTCAGCGAAGAGGTCTAGGTTGAGCCAAAGGGTCAAGTTTAGCCCTCTGTTTGTTCAGCCTCAGGACCTGTAGCCTGCTAGGAAGCACTGAAGCAGCACTCTCCTCCTTTCCAACAGCCACTGAGCACTCATTCATTCAGAAAATATTTATTGAACACTTACTTATTATGGTGGGGCATTTTGATGACCTTGGAGATAGAGTGGCAACAAGACACACATTCCCTGCCCTCATGGGGATTAGACAAATCATGAGGGACCCCTAAACAAGTCCAAAGGGTTGAGTAATGTCTCAAAGAAGGCACTGAGTCCTCGAGAACAAGAACACTGAGTCCTTAACAATCAGGTGATGAAAAGGACAGTGATTATTTCAGACAGAGGGAAAAGCATATATGAAGACTGAATCAAGAATTTGGTGTGTTGGGGAAATGGATAGGTTAGTGTGGCTGGAGGCTGGTGTATGGGGGCAGAGTGGCTAGTGAGATATGCAGGAATCAAGTCATATGTAGCCTTGTGGGCCTCAGTTGGATTTTGAACTTTTTCCTAAGAGCAATAGAGAGCCACTTTAAAGGGTTTTAAGCAGATCTGTGAGATGATAAGATCTGTTTTCAAAAGGAGCATTCTGAGTGTAGGAGGGAGAAGGACTGAAGGAGGAGAAAGTGGATATGGTGAGCCATTAGGAACTTGGGGCAGATTTCCACTTAGACCTCAGCAGATTAGAAAGGCAAATGGGAACATTTTTTTCTGGCCTCTTCTACAGGGCTGCCCCATTAAGATGGGTTTATTGCCGGACATTCATTGAGTTAAAGGGAACTTAGAGAACTGAGCAAAACTCTTATCACATCAACAGGGAAACTGAAGCCCAGAGAGTGGGTCAGTGGCAGGGCAGGATTTGGAATGTCTTAACTCCCAAGCTGGGGTTGTTTTCAAAGCACTGTGGCTGCCTGCCTCGGTACCCAGACATCAAAAGGAAAATGAGTCACTGTTTCTGGGGAGAGGATGAGGAAGATGTTGACTTGGAGACCCTCTACAATCATCTTGGAAGGCAACACTTGCCTTGGAGAGTTGTGATTTAGTTTGGAAATAAATCACCAAACACCTGATTCCACTTACATCCCTGCTCTGTGTTTTGCTACCAACCCATATCACCTGACGTCCAAACCGGGCAGGTTGCCTGTCTGAAAGGCTCAGGGGCCCAGTTGCTGCCTAAAGAAGCCCCATGTGGACTAGCCGGGATAGAGGGTGGAAGAATGAAGGGAAGAAAAGACAGAGAAGCATGGTTTGAGAGACAGATGAATGAAAATAACAGGCAGAATTAGAGCTAAATGAAAAGAGAGAGGATGAGGGAACAGTTCAGAGACTGATAGTGAGAAGAGTGAGATTTAAGGGTATTCTATACACTTCCCTTATTGTACGGATGGCCTACAAAGATTAGCTTTGTATGTACATCCTGAAATCAATGTCTAAAAATAAGAAAATGAGTTACTACAGAGGGATGGACAGACAGGCAGGTAGTGGGAGTGCATTAGAAGGACTCTAGATGGTGAGGTATTGTCCTTTCATACACCCATTAACACAATCCCAGCCCAAAGGGTGGAAGCTGTACTCCTAGCCAGATGGTCCTAGCTCTTCTATTGGCATTTTCTCGAAGTGCCTACATTAGTGTGCCAAGGAACCCTACGAGGCCTCCAAGTTGAAGAGGTGGCAGTCTGATTCCAGCTCTCAGTCCTTAGGAATGTACCTTTAGCTGTTACCCAAGGCCCACCACTCCTCTCTTAGGAAGATCATGGAGGATAGTTGGTGACTCTTTCCCAGCAAAAACTTGAAAGCACAGCATGGTGGTGGTGGTGGGGGAGGAGATAAGAGTGTTCCTTCTCAAATCATCTCCCCTTCTCCTGCCCATGTATGACATGTGACTCTGGCTCTCTTACTCCAGCCCTGCCTGGACAGACTTTTCTGCATGTAAACAAGCCTCCTCCCTCTCTCTACAGGAAGAAAGGGGTGTGGCCGAACAGGACCGTGTATCTCTCTAGAAAGGGCAGGGAGAAGATCTCCTTCTGTCTCTTCAGCCTGACTCACCCTGAGAATGGGCCTGGACTGGGACCAGCCTGTGAGGGGAGGGAAAGAAAGAGGCCATAAAGAGGACTGGGGAGGAGCAAAGAAGAGGCACAGGAGTGAGGGGATTAGAGAAGGAAAGAAGTGTGGATTTAGCTGAGAGAAATCCAAGAAGAAAGGGACACAGGGTGGCAGGAGTTCCCAGCTGAGGTCAGGGTTCTGAACTGAAATCAAAAGAGGTAGAGTGCATTGGGATTCTGGCGAAGGGCAGGAGAGATTGGGGCTGTTGTTGAACATGAGGGGGTGTCTGGAACTGAGAGCCTCCTGGGAATTGAATTGGATTTTGTGTTAGACAGGTCTGGGTTCTGAAGAAGGGGAGGGTTTGGGTCTGCGGTGTTTTAGGTTGGCAGTCTGAGAGTCAAAAGAAGGCTCTTGAGGGGGATGGCCGGACTAGGAGGCCAGAGGAGGGGTGCAAGTCCAAGATATGCATGTGGGTGGTTAGGCCTGAGTGAGGTGCCACCAGATGGAGGATTCAGGAGTGTTTGGGCTCAGGGTTTGGGAAATTGAGGGTATTCGAGATCTAGAAGGTGGAATAAGTTTTCAAATTCCAGAATTTTAGGTCTGATGGGAGAGGTGGTGGAAAGGTCCAATTGAAAGGCAGGGACTGCTGGGATGTGAGAGGTGGAGGCCAGGAATTTGGAGGTTAGAGTGGAGAACATGTTAGGGGACCACAGTGATAATCAGAGGGAGGATGTCAGAGAGAAAATTCTGTGATCTGGGAAGGGGGCTGGGCTGAGGTGGGGCTGATATTGGACTGGTGTTGGACTGGCTCTCGGCAGGGCTAGGGCTGGGGCTGGGCTGGGGTCGGGCCACACTCTAATCGGATTGGGGCTGGGCTGGGCTGGGCTGACCCCGCGCACCTTTGTGGAGGCCGGTGAGCCGGTCCTTCAGCACCGTCAGCTCGTAGATGCGGCCGAACTCCTCGAACAGCGGCTTGAGGTCCTGCTCGTCCAAGCCCCGCGGGATCTGCCCCACGAAGAGCTTGATGGCGTCGTGGTCCTTCATGGGTACGGCGGGACCGGGGTTTAGCCCGCTCATGCCGACGCCGCTGTCCGCGGTGCTGAAACCCAGGCGCGGGCCGGGGCCAGCGGGCTGCGCTGACCCTCCCGGCGCCGCGGCCATGTCCCCGCCCTGTCAGCCCTCCCGCCGGTCCCACTGGTCCCGCCTGTCCCGCCGTCCCCTCCCTGGACCGGTGGCGAGGGCCAGGGGGAGGGGGCGGAGCCCGGGCGGAGAGGGCGGGGGGCTGCCCAGGGGGCGGGGTCCGGGTGGAGGGGCGTAGAGGGGGTGGGGCGGGCAGGAAAGGGGCGGGGCCGGGGCGGGGCGGGCCCGGGCCGAGGTGGCGGCTGAACGCTGGGGTCTGGCTTGAGGTCCCCGTGCGGCTCTCTCTGGGCTCCCGCCCGAGCTCTCCCAGAGCCGAGCCCCGAGCCCCAGCCCCCGTGCTTGGTGACGTCAGGCAGCTGGCCGCCGAGTCTACGCAAATGATTTGCATAATGAGGAAGCAGCCGCCAATCAGAGTGGGAGTTGACTGGGCTCGCCGGGGGCGGGGGGGGCGGCTGGGCTCACGCGCTCCTGCTCGCCATGGCAACCGGACCCTCGAATGCCCTGTGTGTGTCGAGTGTGTGCGGGCGTGGCCGTGGATCGCGCGTGTGCGCCTTGGGCCGCGTGAGGGGAAGCAGCTTCGTCATGCGTGATGGTGTCTGCCGGAGTCGGGGCTAATCCCCACCGCACACACAGGCACACACAGGCAAACGCAGGCACACGCAGGCACACACACCTCCAAACGCTGGTGCGTTTCCTGCGGGGGTGGATGGGGATTCCTCTTCTCTATTCCCACTATCGAGCCAGTCCCTCGGAGCCAATCCCACCCCGCCCCATCACACATCTCTGTCTTCGGTGTCTTTAACCACTTTCTTACCCCTGAGCCTCAGACACATTCGTCTCCCTTGCAGCCTTAAAAAGAAAGGAAGAATAAAATAAAAACCCCTTAAACACTCCTTGAACACGGATTCCTCCTTAGGAGAGTGAGGGAACTTAGCCGTATTTACTCAGAACCCATTATGCACCAGGTGCCCAGTTCATCCCAGTTCTGTGAACTCAGGAGTGTTCTCTTTTTCCGGAAAAGGAAGCTGAGGTTCTGAGGGTCGAGGATGTTAGGGCCAGGCCCACCCCAACATTTGTTGGGCCCAGCGCAAAATAAGAAATGGAAATCGACATACTGTGCATCTAAACATTTAAAAGATACAAATCAAATTACAATTTGTTAAATATGTTCCCCTCTTATTTTCACAAATACAGGTTCAGAATTACGAAAATGAAAGACATATGTACAGCTACGCTTTCTATATGACTGAAAGTTGGCAAAATATCAGAGCTGATGGAATTTTATTACTCCTGCACATGTCTAGGTATTCTCTTGATGGATCAGTGATGTTTGCACAAAGTAGTAATACAATGTTTGGACAAAGACACATACTTCATAAATTATATATTTATTCCATAATATATTTTTCATGCCTCTTTCAGTAAAATTGCTAATTATTTTAATAGAGATTTCCTTTTTTTTTTTTTGATAGGTTATCATTCTGTCACCCAGGCTGTAGTGCAGTGGTGCGATCTAAGATCACTGCAGCCTCAACCTCCTGGGTTCAAGCGATCCTCCCACCTAAGCCTCCCAAGTAGCTGGGATGACAGGTGCACGCTACCATGCCTGGATAATTTTTTTTCTTTTTTTTTTTTTGTAGAGATGGTGGTTTCACCATTCTGCCCAGGCTTGTCTAGAACACTCCTGAGCTCAAGTGATCCACCCACCTCGGTGCCCCAGAGTGCTGGGATTACAGGAGTGTGCCACTGCACCTGGCCTAATAGAGATTTTAACATAACTTGTGTCCATTGACTATTCTAAGAAACTGCTGGAGACCAGCAGTAGCAACTGGAATCATCAAAAAGTTCTTAAAACAATATTCAATTCAGAAGCAAATCATGATTTTTAAATGATTTATTTTTCTGGCTGAGCATGGTGACTCACACCTGTAATCCCAGCACTTTGGGAGGCCAAGGCGGGCAGATCACTTGAGGTCAGGAGTTCAAGACCAGCCTGGCCAACATGACAATATCCCGTCTCTACTAAAAATACAAAAATTAGCCAGGCATGGTGGCGGGCTCCTCCTACTCTGGAGGCTGAAGCAGGAGAATCGTTTGAACCCACGAGGTGGAGGTTGCAATGAGCCAAGATCGTGTCACTGCACTCCAGCCTGGGTGACAGAGTGAGATTCCATCTCAAAAAAAAAAAAAAAATGCAGCAGCAAATTATGATTTTCAAAAATCATTTTTCTGGCGGGATGCGGTGGCTCACACCAGTAATCCCAGCACTTCAGGAGGCCGAGGTGGGTGGATTGCTTGAGATCAGGAGTTTGAGACCAGCCTGGCCAATATGGCAAAACCCCATTTTTACTAAATGAATAAATAAATAAAATAAATTATTTTTCTCCTTTAACAGAAAGTTACTCCTTGTAATAAGTTGACCACGAAATGGGTTACTGGAATTTCATTTTCATTCAGTCCTATGTAGTTTTTTTTTTTTTTTTTTTTTTGAGATGGAGTCTTGCTCTGTCGCCCAGGTTGGAGTGCACTGGCCCGATCTCAGCTCACTGCAAGCTCCGCTTCCCGGGTTCACGCCATTCTCCTGCCTCAGCCTCCCGAGTAGCTGGGACTACGGTTGCCCGCCACTACGCCCAGCTAATTTTTTTTGTATTTTTAGTAGAGATGGCGTTTCACCATGTTAGCCAGGATGGTCTCGATCTCCCGAGCTCGTGATCTGCTTGCCTAGGCCTCCCAAAGTGCTGGGATTACAGGTGTGAGCCACCATGCCTGGCCCAGTCCTATGTATTTTTTAAAATTTTCACCCCAAAAGTAGTAAAACAATTCAAAAATCAGAACAAAGTTCTCTGCAGAAAAAGAAAAATACAGTAAAAAATTTCCTTGAGGCTTCCTCTTTGATCCATATATTATTTATAAATGTATTGTTTAGTTTCTAAGTGTTTGGAGGTTTGCCTATTATTTTTCTGTTATTGATTTCTAGTTTGAGTCCATTGTGGTCAGAACACACTGTGTATAATTTCAATTTTTTTTTTTTTGAGATGGAGTCTCGCTTTTGTCACCCAGGCTGGAGTGCAGTGGCGTGATCTTGGCTCACTGCAACCTCTGCTTCCCGGGTTCAAGCAATTCTCCTGCCTCAGCCTCCTGAGTAGCTGGGATTGCAGGCACCCGCCACCATGCCCGGCTAATTTTTGTACTTTTAGTAGAGATGGGGTTTCACCATGTAGTCCAGTCTGGTCTCCAACTCCTGACCTCAGGTGATCCGCCTGCCTCAGCCTCCCAAAGTGCTGGGATTACAGGTGTGAGCCACTGAGCCTGGCCTCAATTCTTTTGCATTTGTTGAGGTTTGTTTTGCTACCCTCAGTCCCAAGCCTGGGACTACAGGCGCCTGCCACCACACTCAGCTATTTTTTTTGTATTTTTAGTAGAGATGGGGTCTCACCATGTTGGCCAGGCTGGTCTCAAACTCCTGACCTCAAGTGATCCGCTCCCCTTGGCCTCCCAAAGTGCTGGGATTAAAGGTGTGAGCCACTGTGCCCAACCTTGTATTTTTAGTAGAGAAGCGGTTTCACCATGTTGGCCAGGCTGGTCTTGACCTCCTGACCTCAAGTGATCTGCCCACCTCAGCCTCCCAAAGTGCTGGGATTACAAGTGAGAGCCACAGTGCCTGGCCCTATATGCTTGCTGATTTTGTCTAGTTGTTTTATCAATTGTTGAGAGAAAGGTGTTGAAGACTTCAATTGTAATTGTGGATTTGTCTATTTCTCCTTTCAGTTCCATTAGTTTTTGCTTCACATATTCTGTAGCTCTGTCATTTGGGGCATAAACATTAAAAACTGTGATGCCTTGATGAATTGATACTTTTATTATTATGCAATGTCACTCTGTTCTTGGTAAGCTTTTTGTGTGGAGAGCTACTTTGATATTAATATAGCCATTTATGTTTTCTTTTGATTAATCTTTGCAAAATATACCTTTTTCTATCCTTTTACTTTCAAGCTACGTATATAGCTGTATTTAAGTGAGTTTATTTTAGACAGCATATAATTGGGTCATTTTTTTAAAGTCCACTCTACTAATCTTTGTCTTAGTTGACATATTTAGACCATTTACATTTAATGTAATTATTGGTATTACAGGTGTGAGCCTGTAATTTACATTTACATTTAATGTAATTATTGGTATGTTAGGGCTTAAGTCTGTCACTTAATTTTTTGTTTTCTTTTTGTTGCCTATGTTCTTCATTTCTCTTTTCTTTATCTTTCTTCTTGTTTTTTTGTTTTGTTTTGTTTTGTTTTTTTAGAGATGGGGTCTTGCTATGTTGCCCAGAATGGTCTCAAACTCCTGGCCTCAAGCAATCCTTCCACTTTAGCCTCCCAAGTAGCTATTATTACAGGCATGAGCCACTACACCTGGTTCATTTCTGTTTTATTTTTCCTGTGCTCTTGTTGATAAAGTGTTTCTTATTCTATACATACATAGCTTATCACAGTGTACCGGTATTGACATTTTGCCAGTTTGAGTGAAGTGTAGAAACCTTACCTACTATTAAGTCCCTTTATCCTCCCTCATTTATAATTACCTTAAGTATTTCCTCTATATATTTCAGAACCACTTTAGACAATGATATACAATCAGCATTTATAAAAAACTTCAGAAGCATTAAAGTCTATCGCATTTACCCACATTTTCCTTCTTTCAGTTGTTTTTTCTCCCTTTCTGACAGTCCAAGATTCCTTATTTTATCATTTCCTTTACATTTTAAGAACTTCCTTTAGCCATTCTTTTAGAGTAGTTATGTTGGTGACAGATTCTCTAAGTGTTCCTTCATCTGAGAATGTCTTGATCTCCCCTCCATTTCTGAAGTATACTTTTGCTGGATATTGAATTTTGGTTTGACAGTTCTTTTCTTTCAGCTCTTGAAAAATGTGCCACTTCTTTCTGGCCTTTGTAGTATCTGATGAGAGATCCTGTTTTTCTCTTATACATAAGAGATTGTCATCTCTTTCTCAATTCTATGTTTGTCTTTAACTTTCAGAAGTTTGATTATTATGTGTCCTGATATGGATTTCTTTGGCTTTATCCTGTTTGGCGCTCACTTTCTTTAATCTGGAGATTTATGTCTTTCGCTAAATTTGAATAGTTTTCAGCCATTATTTCTTCAAGTACTTTTTAAGCCCATCTCCCCTCTCCTCTCTCTCCATGACAGGAGTGTTAGATCTTTTGTAATAATCCTATAGGTCCCTGAGACTCTATCTATTTTCTTTCTTTCTTTCTTTCTTTTCTTTCTTTCTTTCTTTTCTTTCTTTCTTTCTTTCTTTCTTTCTTTCTTTCTTTCTTTCTTTCTTTTTCTTTCTTTCTTTTTCTTTTTCTTTTTTTTTTTTTGCAGCTCTGAGGTAAACTTTTATTTTTTGGCTGACAGGACTTCCACCCCCATGCTCCTCCTGGCACCTTTTACTCTGCCCAAGCAGTGGCAGCCCAGTCCAAAAGGTGCCTGCCATGGCCAAAGGGGTTGAGGAGTCAGATTCTATCTATTTTTTTTAAGTCTGTTTTCTCTTGGTTGTTCAGATTGGGTAAGTTCTATTGTTCTATCTTCAAGTTCACTGATGCTTTCCTCTATCTTCTCTATTCTGACATTGAATCCATTGAGTTTTTCATTTTGGTTGTATTTTTTAATTCTAAAATTTCCTTGTGGGCCAGGTGTGGTGGCTCACACCTGTAATCCCAGCACTTTGGGAGGCTGAGGCAGGGAGATCACGTGAGGTCAGGAGTTTGAGACCAGCCTGGCCAACATGGTGAAACCCTGTCTCTATTAAAAATATAAAAATTAGCTGGGTGTGGCAGCATGTGCCTGTAGTCCCAGCTACTTGGGGGACTGAGGCAGGAGAATCGCTTGAACCAGGAGGTGGAGGTTGCAACGAGCCAAGATCATACCACTGCACTCCCATCTAGGCAACAGAGCGAGACTCTGTCTGAAAAAAACAAATTTCCATGTGGTCTTCATTTATATTTTCTATTTTTTTCTAAGACTTTCTATTTTTCCATTTGTTTCAAGTGTGTTTGCAAGTACTTATGATGCATTTCATGATGGCTGCTTAAAAATTATTGACAGGTAATTCTAATATGTGTGTTATCTCAGTGTTAGTGCCTATTGATTCTTTTCTCATTAAAGTTGAGATATTCTCGATTCTTAGTATAATGAGAGATTTTCAATTGATTCCTGAACATTTTGGGTATTTTATTATGAGATTCTGGATCTCATTTAAACGTTATATCTAATTTAAACATGTTTAGCAGGCCTCCTTTGACCCCCAGCTAGTGAGGAAACAAGGACACTGCCTTGGTTATTGTGAGATAAGGATGGAAGTTAAGGTTTCCTACTAGGTCTCTGCTGAAACCACCTCAAATGAAAGGGAAGGTGGCCTCACTGCTGGGCAGGAGTGGAAGCTTCCAACTAGAGACTCCTATGATACTGCTCTATCAAGAAGGGAGAGGAGTCCCATGCGGTCTCCACTGAACCCATAAGAGGTGTATCTGTTAATGCTGGGTGGGTATACAAGTCCTAGCTCCTCATTTGACATTCTCTGATGACACCTTAATAGCAGGTGGGAGAAGGGTCTATGTATGGAGTTGTTACATCCATAGCCTAGACTAGTTGAATCAGAATTGCTGGGGTGGGACTCAGGCATCAGCATGTTTTAAAACTCCCTTGTTGAATCCAATGTGTGTGGAAGCAAGGTTAAGAATTAGTGCTTTAGAAGTTCCTTTAGTCAAGAGACTGTTGGCGATAAGCTCTGCTTTGCTTATCTGGAAATGCTTTTATTTCGAATCACTTCTTGAATAATAACTTAGTAAATATATAATTATTTTCTCTTACTTCACTTTGAAGATATTATTTCACCATACTTTGGTTTCCATTTTTGCTTATGAGACATCAACTGGCAGTCAATTTGCAGGTAGCTGGTGTTTCCCTGACTGCTCTTAAGATCTTTTGATTTCTTTTGGCAATCTTCACTTTTACAAGGATGTGTTTAGTTGCTTAAAATTTCTTGTGCTTTCTAAATCTGCACATTTATGTTTTCCCTCAATTAAAGAGGACTGTCAGTCATTGTTTCCTCAGTTATTTTCTTTCTCCCATGTGGTGTGATGTGCTGCCATTGTGATGTGATGGTCAAGACCTCCCTTCCCCCAACCCTTCAGTGAAGAATGTGTTGTTATAGTTTAGGGGAGTGCTGTCCCCTTCAGAGTTTGCCTCAAGGTCATGCCCCTTCCCAGGGCAGCCCAAATCCAATGACTAATTAATACAGGATTATAAAGGTCTAGCTATCTCAGCCTAAATCAGAACAATGGTGAAGGCCATTCTATTTGGGCTAAATTTAAAATAGTTGGATATGTAAAAATTTGAGTTTGGTGCCAATGGGCTTTTGAGCTAATGAGTCCCAGCCTGCTCTGAAGAAGTAAACAACATAGGGCCAATATACAGAGGTCATCTTTGGTTCATTTGCATAACATGGCCCCAGCACTGGCACTGAACATATCATTATCTCTTCAGGCATTGGCCATTCCGGGTTTGTTCACCCCAGGTACATGTGTGTCTATTCAACCTGTAGTTTGAAGCTTTTTTATTTCAGAAAAACAAAGAACAAAAAACTGTTAGGCCAGGCACGGTGGCTCTCACCTGTAATCCCAGCACTTTGGGAGGCCGAGGCAGGTAGATCACTTGAGGTCAGAAGTTCGAGAACAGCTTGGCCAATACGATGAAACCCCGTCTCCATTAAAAATACAAAAATTAGCCAGGCGTGGTGGTGGGCTCCTGTAATCCTAGCTACTTGGGAGGCTGAGGCAGGAGAATCACTTGTACCCGGAAGGCAGAGGTTGCAGTGAGCCAAGATTATCCATTGCCCTCCAGCCTGTGCGACAGATCAAGACTCCCTCTCAAAAAAAAAAAAAAAAAAAAGGTATGAAAGTATAGTTTTAGTGTATGTTCTGTTCTGTTGCTTTCCCTTTCCTCTTCAGGAAATCCTGTCATACATATGTTAGATCTTCTGCCTATCTTGTTTTTTGTTTTGTTTTTTGATCACTTTCTCCCAAATCCTTTTTTATCTCTTTCTTCTTTAAAAATATATTTTTTTAAAATCCTCCATGGCTGGTGCGGTGGCTCACACCTGCAATCCCAACATTTTGGGAGGCCAAAGAGGGCAGATCACCTCCATTTAATCTTCTATTTGTCTGAAGATATTATCCATTGTCATTTTTGCTAGTGAAACTTCTAGAATAGACTTCATTTCTGAAATAACTTTTCATTTATTCTAATTCCCTCCTGAGTTCTGTAACCTCACTTTTAAACATCTTATTTTTTCCAATCATCACATTTTTGAATTTTTCTCACTCTTATATTGATTTTTCATAGTCCCTTTTCTTTTCTTAATGGTTTTCTTTTGTTTTAAGGGTAAATCTTTCTGTCATGCTTTCACTGTCAACAGGGACATTATGGTATTATTCCCTATCCTCCTCTTTTATGTATGGACTTCAATTGAGTAGTTTTAATTGCTTTTTTTTTTGAGATGGAATTTCGCTCTTGTTACCCAGGCTGGAGTGCAGTGGCATGATCTCGGCTCATTGCAACCTCCACCTCCTAGGTTCAAGCGATTCTCCTGCCTCAGCCTCCCAAGTAGCTGGGATTACAGGCGCACGCCACTACACCTGGCTAACTTTATATTTTTAGTGGCGAAGGGATTTTGCCATGTTGGCCAAGCTGGTCTTGAACTCCTGACCTCAGGTGACCTACCTGCCTCAGCCTCCCGAAGCGCTGGGATTACAGGGGTGAGCCACCGCACCTGGCCTAATTGTTCATTTTTAAGGGCAATGAGTTTTTCTGTTTAGAAAGAGCAATAGGAAGAATAGCCTTTTTCTTTTTTTGTGTGATGGAGTCTCGCTCTGTCACCCAGGCTGGAGTGCAGTGGCACGATCTCGGCTCACTGTAACCTCCATCTCCCAGGTTCCAGAGATTCTCCTGCCTCAGCCTGCCGAGTAGCTGGGATTACAGGCGCCCGCCACCACACTTGGCTAATTTTTCTTTTTTTAACCATGTTGGCCAGGCTGGTCTCGAACTCCTGACCTTAAGTGATCTGCCCACTTTGGCCTCCCAACGTGTTGGGATTACAGGCATGAGCCACCACGCCCGGCCAAGAATAGCTTTTCTAGCTTCAAAGCTTTAGAGTTTTCTTTACCTTAAAATAGGTGATACAAATGTGATCTTTGACTCCCGAGACAGGCATCCTCTACTACGCCACCTACTTCTATCTGGACCTTCTCTCTCTCTCTCTCTCTCTCTCTTTTTTTTTTTTTTTGTCCTTATTGTCTCTGCTAAGTTCTATTTGGATTCTACTGCCAGCAGTTTCTCCTCTATTTGGGCTTTGTCTTGGAAGGAAGTGTTGATTTGTTAGTCTCAAGATCTCATAAAGTTCAGACCACTCCAATATCTCCAGAACTTTAAAAATTAGAACAGAAATCAATGAAATTGAAAACAGAAAATAAAGAGAAAAAAATCAACAAAATCAAAAGATGATTCTTTGAAAAGATAATAAAATTAACAAACCTCTAGCCAGGCTAACCAAGAAAAAAACAAGACACAAATTATTAATGTCAAAAATTAGAGATGGGGCTCACTCCTGTAACCCCAGCACTTTGGGAGGCTGAGGCGGGCAATTGCTTGAGTCCAGGAGTTCAAGACCAGCCTAGGCAACATGGGGAAACCCTGTCTCTACAAAATATAAAAATTGGCTGGGCTTGGTGGCGCATGCCTGTAGTGCCAGCTACTTGGGAGGCTTCGGTGGGAAGATCATCTGAGTTTGGGTCGGTCAAGGCTGCAGTGAGCCGTGATTGTGCCACTACACTCCAGCCTGGACAGAATGAGCCCCAGTCTCAAAACAAAACAACAACAACAACAACAACAACAAACAGAGATAGGCCATCACTACTGATTCCATGAGCATCAACAAGATAATAACGCAGGCTGGGTGTAGTGGCTCATGCCTGTAATCTCACCACTTTGGGAGGACGAAGCAGCCAGATCACTTTAGGTCAGGCGTTCGAGACCAGCCTGGCCAACACGGAGAAACCCCATCTCTACTAAAAATACAAAAATTAGGCTGGGCGCGGTGGCTCACGCCTGTAATCCCAGCACTTTGGGAGGCTGAGGCGGGCGGATCATGAGGTCAGGAGATCGAGACCATCCTGGCTAACGCGGTGAAACCCCGTCTCTACTAAAAATACAAAAAAAATTAGCCAGGCTTGGTGGCGGGCACCTTTAGTCCCAGCTACTCGGGAGGCTGAGGCAGGAGAATGGCGTGAACCTGGGAGGCGGAGCTTGCAGTGAGCCGAGGTAGTGCCACCGGACTCCAGCCTGGGTGACAGAGCGAGACTCCATCTCAAAACAAAACAAAACAAAACAAAAAAAATTAGTGGGGCGTGGCGACAGGTGCCTGTAATCCCAGCTACTCGGGAGGCTGAGGCAGGAGGAGAATCACTTGAACCTGGGAGGCAGAGGTTCAGTGAACCGAGATCGTGCCACTGTACTCCAGCCTGGGCAACAGAGGTAGTGACTCCATTTCAAAAAAAAAAAAAAAAAAAAGGATAATAAAGGAATATTATGAAGAATTCTATGCCCACAAATTTGTCACACAGGCTAAAGTGCAGTGGTGCAATCACAGCTCACTGCAGCCTCCACCTCCTGGGCTCAAGTGATCCTCTTGCCTCAGTTTCCTGAGAAGCTAGGATTTACAAGCATGTACCACCACACCTGGGTAAGTTTTTTTTATTTTTTGTAGAGACGGGGTCTTGCTATGTAGGCTAGGGTGACTAATTTGTATTATTTCTTTTCTCTCCTTATTTGAAATTTAATTTTCTATGTCTAGTTTCCAGAAGTGGAAGCCGATTATTGATTTTATATCTTTCTCCCTTTGGAATATATACATTCAATGCTACAGGTTTCTCTTGCAGCATTGCTTTTACTACATCCCACAAATTTTGATAAGTTGTATTTTTCGTTTTCATTTAGTTTAAAATATTTTCAAAATTTCTCGAGTCTTTTTTTCTTTTTTGAGGTGGGGTCTCACTCTGTCACCCAGCCTGGAGTACAGTGGCATGATCATAGCTGTATTAGTCAGGGTTCTCTAGAAGGCCAGGACTAATAGGACAGATGTACATATGAAAGGGAGTTTATTAAGGAGTATCGACTCAAACAATCACAAGGTGAAGTCCTACAATAGGCCATCTGCAAGCTAAGGAGCAAGAAGCCAGTCTGAGTCCCAAAACTTCAAAAGAGGGAAGCTGACAGTGCAGTCTTCAGTCTGTGGCCAAAGGCCAGAGTCCCTGGCAAATCACTTAAGTCCAAGAGTCCAATAGCTGAAAAACTTGGAGTCCGATGTTTGAAGGCAGGAAGCATCCAGCACAGGAGAAAGATGAAGACCAGAAGACTCAGCCAGTCTGTCCTTCCACGTTCTTCTGCCTGCTTTATTCCAGCTGCACTGGCAGCTGATTAGATTGTGACCACTGGATTGAGGATGGGTCTGACTTGTTAATCTCCTTTGGCAACATCCTCACAGACATACATATGGAGGAACAATACTTTGCATCCTTCAATCCAATCAAATTGACACTTGATATTAACCATCACAATAGCTCACTGCAGCCTTGACTGCCTGGGACTCAAGTGATCCTCCCACCTCAGCCTCCCGAGTAGCTGGGACCACAAGTGTGTGCCACGCCCAGCTAATTTATTATTATTGTTTATTTTATTTTTTTTAGAAATGGGGTATCACTATGTTTCCTAGGCTGGTTTTGAGTGTTTTTCTTTGGCCTATGTATTATTCAGAAGTGTATTGGTTAATAAGCTACTCCGGAGACTGAGGCAGGAGAATCGCTTAAACCTGGGAGGTGGAGGTTGCAGTGAGCTGAGATCGCACCACTGCACTCCAGCCTGGGCGACAGAGTGAGACTCTATCTCCAAAAAAAAAATAATAATAATAAAAGAAAAGAAGTATATTGGTTAATCTTTAAATATTTGACTATTTTCTAGCTATATTTCTGTTATTGAATTCTGTTTAATTTTTTTGTGATTTGGGGGCATACAATGTATGATTTCAAGCTCTTTAAATATGTTAAGGAGTGTTTTATGCCCAAAAATGTGGTCTATCGTGGTGAATATTCCGTGTGAACTTGAAATGAATATATAGACCAAGTTGACTCATGTTGCTGTTCACTTCAACTATGTCACTACCAATCTTCCTCCTGGATCTGTTAACTCCTAATACAGGGCTGTCAAAAACTCCAACTATAATAGCAGATTGTTTATTTCTTTTTGCAGTTCTATCAGTTTTTTTTCTCTCTTATGTATTTTGATACTAGGGCATACCCATAAAGGATTATGTCTTCTTGAAGAACTGATCTCTTTATCATTGTGTAATGGCCCTCTCTTTATCCTTTTTTTCTTTTTTTTTTTTTGTTTGTTTTTGAGACAGGGTCTTGCTCTGTCACCAAGGCTGAAGTGCAGTGTTGTTGCAATCATGGCTCACTGCAGCCTCAAACTCCCAGGCTCAAATGATCCTCTAGCCTCACCCTTCTGAGTAGCTGGGACTACAGGCACATACCACCACGCCTGGCTAACTTTTGTATTTTTTGTAGAGATGGCATTTCACCATGTTGCCCAGGCTGGTCTCAAGTGATCCTCCTGCCTCGGCCTCCCAAAGTACAGGGGTTACAGGCATGAACCATCACACCTGGCCCTCTTTATCCTTCATAATTTTCCTTGCTCTGAAGCTGACTCCATCTGAAACTAATACAGCTTTATTTTTTCTTTCATAGAGATGGGGGGGTCTCATTATATTGCCCAGGCTAGTCTCAAACTCCTGGCCTTAAGTGATCCTCCCGCCTCGACCTCCCAAAGTGCTGGGCCACCATGCCCAGCCTCCAGCCTTCTTTTGATTAGTGTTAGCATGATGCATCTTTCTCCATTCCTTTACTTTTAACCCATCTGTGTCTATATTTAAAGTTGATTTCTTACAGACAACACCAGTTGGGTCTTTTTTTTAAATTATTATTATTATTAGAGTCAGGGTCTCTCTGTCACCCAGGCTGGAGTTCAGTGGCACAATCACAACTCACTGCAGGCTCGACCTCCTGGGGTCAGGTGATCTTCCTGCCTCTGCCTCAGCCTCCAGAGTAGCTGGGACTACATGCACGCACCACCACACCGGCTTTTTGTACTTTTTATAGAGATGCAGTTTTGTCACGTTGCCCAGGCTGGTCTTGAACTCCTGGGCTCAAGCAGTCTCCCCAACTTGGCCTCCCAAAGTGCTGGAATTACAGGCACAAGCCACTGAGCCTGGCCCTTTTTAAAAAATTCATGTATTTAGACCATTGATAAAATTGCCATTGCTATTTCTTTTTTCTTTCTTTTTTTGTCTTCTTTGGTTTTAACTGATCATTTAATATAATTCCATTTTCTCTTTTCTGTTAATATAGCAGTTATACTTTTTTGGGGGCATAGGGTCTGACTCTGTCCCTCAGGCTGGAGTACAGTGGCACAACCATGGCTCACTGTAGCCTCAACCTCCCAGGCTCAAGAGATTCTCCTGCCTTAGCCTCTTAAGTAGCTGGGACTACAAGCCTGCAACACCATGCCTGGCTAATTTTCAAAATTTTTTTGTAGAGACAGGGTCTCACTATGTTGTCCCAGTTGCTCTCAAACTCCTGGATTCAAGTGATCCTCCTGTCTTGGCTTCCCAAAGTGCTGGGATTACAGGTGTGAGCCACTGCACTCAATCCTTCTCTTTAAAAAAATTTTTAGTTGCTGCCCTAAATTTCACAATATACATTTATAAGTAATCCAAGTCTCCTTTTCTCTTGTTTTCTTTCTCTCTCTCTTTCATTCCTTTTTCTTTCGAGACAGGGTCTTTCTCTGTCACCCAGGCTAAAGCACAGTGGTGCAATCATAGCTCACTGCAGCCTTACCTCCCAGGCTCAAGCAATCCTCCTGCCTCAGCCTCCTGAGTAGCTGGGCTAATTTTTATTTTCTGTAGAGAATACAGGTCTTGCTATGTTGCCCAGGCTGGTCTTGAACTCTTGGCCTCAAGCAATCCTCCCCATCTTGTTCTTCGAAAGCATTGAGATTACCAATTCCTCTCTCCCATTCTTTTTTTTTTTGTTTTTGTTTTTGACAAGAGGTCACCCAGGCTGGAGTGCAATGGTGTGATTTTGGCTCACTGCAACCTCTGCTTCCTGGGTTCAAGCGATTCTCCTGCCTCAGCCTCCTGAGTAGCTGGGATTACAGGCGCATGCCACCATGTCCAGCTAATTTTTGTATTTTTAGTAGAGACGGGGTTTCACCATGTTGGCCAGGATGGTTTTGAACTCTTGACCTTATGATCTGCCCACCTCAGCCTCCCAAAGTGCTGGGATTATAGGCATAAGCCACCACGCCCAGCCTCATTCTTTATAACATTGTTGTCATGTATTTCACTTATTCATAAGGTAATCACTGAATACATTGCTGGTATTATTATTTCGAACAAACTGCTATTTGTTACATCACTTCAGATTAAGAAAAATAAAATGTTTTGTTTTATCTTCATTTACTCCTTCTCTAATGCTCCTCCTTTCTTCCTATAGCCCCAAGTTTTTTTCATATAGCCCCTAGATCATTTTCTCTCTCTTCAAAGAACCTCTTTAATTTTCTTGCAAGGCAGATCTACTGGTGATAAATTTTCTCAAGTCTTCTTTGTCTGAGAAAATCTATTTCTTCTTCACTTCTGATGGATAATTTTGCTAGAAACAGAATTCTAGGCTGGTGGGTTTATCCCCCCTTTTTTTCTTTCTTACATATTTCACTTCACTCTCTTCTTGCTTGCATGTTTTCTGAAGAGAAGGCCAATGTAATCCTTATCCTTGTTCCCCTATAGGCAGGTGTTATTTTTCTCTGGCTCCTTTCAAGATTTTGTCTTCGATTTTCTGCAGTTTGAATATAATAATCTATAGATATAGATTATTACTTGGCATTTATCCTGCTTGGTGCTATCTGAGACTCTTGGATCTGTGGTTTGTTGCCTGTTATTAATTTTGTAAAATTCTTGATTGTTATTACTCCCTTATTATTCTCTTCATGTGCCTGGTTATTTCTGATTATATGATAGGCATTGTGTTTGAAAAATATTTTTAGAAATAATTGGAGGTCTAGGGGTACGTTTTCCTTCTACAGAATGGATATACATTTGTTTCTGGAAGGCATCTAGGGGCTCTAGCAATCTGAGATAATCAAACTAATTTTAGTGATTGAGATGACTCATATCTGAGCAGTTTCTGAGCAATGAATGGTCTGTTTTCAATTTATCTTGTAGAGTTTGGTCTTTTGAGGTCTCAACCCAAAAAGTGGAGAGTTTTCCAGGGTCCTTTTTGTGGGCCCGGGATTAAAACTTTATTTCTCATTTTATTTACTTATTTTTTCCTACCTCCTGGAATTATAAGGAATGGACTACAACTTTTAATCCCCAACCCTGTGAGGTTGTCAAAAGTGCTTCAGAGCATTTTATCAGCCTTATTTGGAATTGGCAATTGCACCCAGAAGAGACATGCCCCCAAATGCTAGGCTTACTGTTCAGGGTTTTAGTCTTTCTTACATCTCATCCAAGTAATGTTTCATAATATTTTACTATTCCAATGCCTTCAAGCTTTTCTAATTGTCTCCAGTGGTAAGATTGTTCCAAATTACCTAGTCTACCACTATGAGAAAGTAGCCTTCATATATATATATATACACACACACACACACATACATATACATATATATATACACATATATATACACACACATATATACACACATATATATATACACACACACACACACATATATACATATATATATATTTTTTTTTTTGAGATGGAGTCTCGCTCTGTTGCCCAGGCTGGAGTGCAGTGATGCAATCTCAGCTCACTTCAAGCTCCACCTCCCAGGTTCATGCCATTCTTCTGCCTCAGCCTCCTGGGGAGCTGGGACTACAGGCGCCCGCCACCACGCCCAGCTAATTTTTGTATTTCTAGTAGAGACGGGGTTTCACCTTGTTAGCTGGGATGTTCTCCTGACCTCAGGATCTGCCTGCCTCGGCCTCCCAAAGTGCTGGGATTACAGGCGTGAGCCACCGTGCCTGGCCTATATTTTTTATTTTATTTTTTGAGACAGAGTCTCACTCTGTTGCCCAGGCTGGAGTGCAGTGGTGCATCTTGGCTCACTGCAACCTCCACCTCCTGAGTTCAAGTGATTCTCTTGCCTCAGCCTCCCGAGTAGCTGGGATTACAGGCGTGCACCACCATGCCCACCTAATTTTCGTATATTTAGTAGAGATGGGGTTTCACTATGTTGGCCAGGTTGGTCTCAAACTCCTGACCTCAGGTGATCCACCCACCTTGGCCTCCCAAAGTGCTGGGTTTACAGGCGTGAGCCACCGCACCTGGCCTGCCTTAATTTTTGAAACGGTTTTTATCTTTTTCTTGTATGTATATCTGTAGTATTTTTACTCATATTTGAATAAATGTAAGAAAATTTGAATAAAATGAATTTTCCTGAACCAGCGATTAGCATTAAATTCAGGTAGTTTGGAGTCTTTAGGCTCTTTCTTGTTTCACTAGTTTGTGCCTTTTTGTTTTTAAATTCACCTTGTTGCTCTGTATGGTTTTTACAGAAGTTGGAAGATTAAAAACCAGGTTTCTACCATGTTCCTATAAGAATCTGAAGTCTCCCAATTTGTTACATAACCTCTGTATATTTTCAGGTTGCTGTATATGAATAAGCCTCTTTTTGGGTTCTGCATTCTGTTTTATGGGGCTTTTTGTCTATTTCTGCACCAATACCAACTGTCTTGATAATTACACTTTTATAATGACTTATTTTTATTTTTTAATTTTTAAGAGATAGGGTCTCACTCTGTTGGCCAGGCTCCAGTGCAATGCTGCAATCATAGATCACTGCAGCCCTGAACTCAGGCTGTAGTGATCCTACTGCCTTGGCCTCCCAAAGTGCTGGAAATACAGGTGTGAGTCTGTGACTTCATATGAGGGTAGCTGAAGATACACTGAGTGTGAATGAGATCACTCAAAGTGTATACTGGCTGGATATCAACTCTATTCCATGTTGTACATGTTTTTCTTTTTTTCTTTTTTTGAGACGGAGTCTCACTCTGTCTCCCAAGCCAGAGTGCAGTGGTGCAATCTCGGCTCACTGCAACCTCCGCCTCCCGGGTTCAAGCAATTCTCCTGCCTCAGCCTCCTGAGTAGCTGGGATTACAGGCATGCGCCACCACGCTTGGCTAATTTTTGTATTTTTAGTAGAGAAAGGGTTTCGCCATGTTGGCCAGGTTGGTCTCGAACTCCTGGCCTCAAGTGATCTGCCCGCCTCGGCCTCCCAAAGTGCTGGGATAACAGGCGTGAGCCACTGCGCCCAGCTTATTTTTCTCTTCTTAAAAATTGACTTTTTCATTATTCTTAGGAATTCTTGCACTTACTTTAAAATCAATTTCAAGTTTCCCCCACCCTAAAAAAGATTTGCACTTACTTTAAAATCAGCTTCAAGTTCCAAAATAAAAAGAAATTGAATTTTAATAGGAACCATATTGAACCTGCAGATAAATTTAAAATCCTTATGAATATTGAGTCTTCTCTTTCATGAACATGTTCTGTCTCTACATCTCTATCTCCTGTGTCTCTCCAAAATTTAGTAATTTTCTCCACAAAGTCCTTAGGTCTTTTAATAGATTTATCCCTAGGATCATATAATTATGTACTGTTGATGTTTATCTAGGCTGACATAAGTCAGAATTTTGAATGTGTATGTGAAGATGTATAACATGACACAATGTTTTACCTTTTTTTGCACAATCCAGTTTGAGCTATTTCCTTGTAACTAATATAGGTAGAGTGTCAGAAAATGATTATGGAGTGGTCAAAGGCATCATCTTGAAGAGGAAGACTGGCGTATACTTCTGAGTGAACTGGACAATGGGGCAAAGCAGGAAACACGTAATCTGACTTGCAGTTTAAAAAGATGACTGGAAGAACTGAGGCAGATGCATTCATTAGGATCCTAAACAAAGATGGTGGCAGTGTAGATAGAGAGGAGTACATGAATCTAAGAGTTATTTATACAGAGTAGGGATGTTGTGGTGACAATTATGACAGGAAGGAAGGAGTTAAAGATGATTCCCAGACTTCGGCTCTAATGACCAGCAGAATAGTCATACAGGAGGAATAGAGTGGGGAGCTATGAAAAGATGAATTCTGCCTGGGACATGAGCTTTAAGTACGTAATGGACATTCAGATGATATGAAGATGTTGGCTACCTGAGCTTGGACCCCAGAGGAAATACACATACATATATTATATATATGTTTGTCGGTCAGTCTATCATCTATCTATCTATCTATCTATCTATCTATCTATCTATCTATCTGTCTAATCTATCTGTCTATCTACCTACCTACCTACCTATCTATCTATGGCTGTCCAGGTGTAAGACTGCACACTAAGACTGTCTAAATGAGATCACTAGGAAGAAAGTATAAGAGGAAAGGTAAGGTGCTGTGGCTCATGCTTGTAATCCCAGCACTTTGGGAGGCTGAGGTGTGTGGATCACCTGAGTTCAGGAGCTCAAGACCAGCCTGGCCAACATGGCGAAATCCTGTCTCTACAAAAATGCGAAAAAATTAGCCGAGTGTGGTGGTGCACACCTGTAGTTCCAGCTACCCAGGAGGCTGAGGCAGGAGAATCGCCTGAGACTGGGAGACGGAGGTTGAAGTGAGCTGAGATTGCACCACTGCACTAGGGCCTGGGCAATAGAGCAAGAGAGCGAGACTCTGTCTCAAAGAAGAAAAAAAAAAAGAAGACAAAACCTTGGTTATGGGCTGAGAGTTTACTGAAGGAGTCAGTGATAGACATTGAGAAACTCAGGAAAGAATGGTGTCACAAAAGCCTGCGAAGAAAGAATTTCAAAGAGGGAGGGATCAAAATCTCAAAAATATGCGAAAAGATCAAGTAATTTTTTTCCTTATTATTGAGCAATGTCCCTTGATTTGGCAACATGTAGGTTATTGTTGGCCTTAGTGGAAGCGGCCCTTATGAGGATTACAGCCCAACTGTGGGGTCATGAGGGCTGAATGCAAAGTGGTGAAATAGACAAACTTGCAACTGTTTCAGGCAGCTTGACTAATAAAAGTGGACTGAGAGGTTTTAATTTTATTTGTTTAAACATAGGAGAAGAAATGGATTCGAGCCCAGAAATAGCTGAGTTGCTAGCTTTATCTGTATGTCTGTATTTGGTGTCCGAGAGGAGGAAGATGTCTGACGTGGGGCAGCCCAGGACAGTGGCTGAAGGCAGTAGGGGCTAGAGTTAGGTAGCTGAGTTAGGAGTCATATGCCCTGCAACTCCCCAGTGCTAATCGGGACTCAGCGTAGCTGTGTAACCATATAGATGTCACTTAACCTTCCTATGTTTGTTTCCTTATCTGTCAAATGAGGATAATATTGATAGCACATTGGTTGGGATGAGGATTAAATACATTAACATCCAGTAAAGTGCTTATAATAGTGCCTGACAGGTCGGGCTTGGTGGCTCAGCCTGTAATCCCAGCACTTTGGGAGGCCAAGGTGGGCAGATCACCTGAGGTCAGGAGTTTGAGACCAGCCTGGCCAACATGGTAAAACCCCGTCTCTACTAAAAATACAAAAATTAGCAGGGTGTGGTGGCACATGCCTGTAGTCCCAGCTACTTGGGAGGCTGAGGCAGGAGAATTGCTTGAACTCGGGAGGTGGAGGTTGCAGTGAGCCCAGATTGCACCACTGTATTCCAGCCTGGGTGACAAGAGCAAAACTCCATCTCAAAAAGAAAAGAAAAAAAAAAAAAAAACAACAAAAGTGCCTGACACAGCAAGCACATAAAAATGACGAAGCACTTTTGTTCTCCTAGCTGGATCTCCACATCTATCTTCATTCAGATTTCTGACTCATGTGAGTCTAGATAAACACCAGCAGTTGAGTTCCTATGTTCAAATATCCTCTTTCATAATAGATCATCCAGACACTCAGACACACGCTCTCACTCACACACTCTGCAGCACACCAGCGAGCATGGCACCCCTTCCCATCTGTGTCTGCCTGCCAGCTGCTCTTCCTCCTTTCCCACACACACTCCCTTTTTTGAGTGGCTTCCAAAACATCTCTTTCTAATTTGCTATAAAGAGTGAGCCATAAAGAATTTATTAAGTGATGAAAAAAATCACAGCTAAGTATCAGATTCTCCAGAGGAAATAAGATTAAAAAGAAATTCTGGAAAACAGTTGTTTTTGGAGAAGGGAATAGCATTGGGAAGGGGGATATTAATAATGTTTCATCTTTTTTGTTTAAAAAAAACAAATCTGAAGCAAATATGACTACTGAGATGCAACAAAGCTGGGTGGTTACACTGTTTACTATTTTCTAGACTTTTCTGTTGTTTGAAACATTTGAAATCACTAAAAAATAGGAGTATTTACTGGGATAGTTTAGACTAAACATGGGTGTGGTTAGAGTACAGTAATTACTGTGAAAAAAGCAAGGTTCCTGGACATTTAAATTTTTTTCTTTTTTTTGAAACATGGTCTCACCCTGTTGCTGAGGCTGGAGTTCAGTGGTGTGATCATGACTCATTGCAGCCTCAATCTTCCAGGCTGAAGTGATCCTTCTTTCTCAGCCTCCTGAGTAGCTGGGACTACAACCACACACCACCATTCTTAGCTAATCTTTTTAATTTTTAGTAGAAATCAGGTCTCACCATGTTGCCCAGGGTGGTCTTTAACTCCTGAGCTCAGGCAATCCTCCCACATCGGCCTCCCAAAGTGCTGGAATTAGAGGCATGAGCCACTGCACCTGACCCTGACATTTCGATTTTTAAAAATTTTGTTGAAAAACGTCACACACACACACACACACACACACACACACACCTGCTTCAAAGAGGATTTTTAAAAACAATGGTGGCTCGGCTAGAAAAGATACTAATTTTCAACCTTTATTTCAAAGTTTATTTATAAAGGAAATACAAATTTTGATAAACAAAGCACCCAATTCCTACTTATTTTTTTTCTTCGTGGAAAAAAAAGTATGTGACACATACTTGTCATGCCCTGTATTGATTAAGCTTACAAAAGATATTGACAGAAACTATACAAATCTAGAATTTAGAGTGCTAGGAATGTTGCCATAAGGTATGTGTACCTACATTAATACTAAATAAATTCCACCTACATCCTTTCTTTCACCCTTTCCCAGTATCATTTCAGCTTTCCTCACAGTCTCACTGTCCCAGAAGTCTAGGGGCAATGACTCTCCATCACTAGTGCTGTGGTGGCACCTGTGCTCCCACATCCTGATATCCTACCCCTACGGCAATCCTTTGAGAAGCACCTGAAAACACCAGTGACCTAGCTTTATTAGATTCCTCGAAGGGAAGGTACCTGGCATGCAGCCTCAGCTCCTACCAAGGAGAGGAGAGGTTGAAGACTCTCCCAGTCTCCATTCACTCCTTTGCTTTGATACCCGTTAGGCCTGCTTTGCCTCCTTAATAGACTCCTGGAATGGGAAGGGGTGGGGGTGGGGAGCGACTGGAGAACTCTTTTCCTAGGATGACTGGAGCCAGGAAGTCAGTCTGGAAACTTCCCCACCCCCTGGTGGTGCACAGCACACAAGATGGCCTGTGTTCCGCTCAGGGGTGGGACTTTCAATTTACAGCCTAGGTGAAGGGAGATGAGTTGGGGCAACAGCGATTCTGTTCATTGGAACAGACTGGGTGGTAACTGCAGGCCACTGCAGTTGACCTGTTGGCATTCGAGGTCTGACGACCTTCAGGTAAATGCTCTTATGATCAGTGGACCAAAGGAGCAACGGTGGAGGGTGAGGAACAGCACACTTTACCAATGAAAGTCGTGACCAGGCCACGTTAGTTTAGTGGTAAAAATAATAACATTAAAGAAAATGTTTACAACAGGAATAGAAAATGACAGAACCCTACTGCTTTAACTCAAGTGTATCACGATCTCTGCCTTCATCCACTTGAGACTTAAAACTCAGTGTCTGCTATTTTTACTTAACATTATCCCAAGCAATAGTAACATGAAAGTTATGACCAGGAGGGAAGCAGGGTCGCACCTGTGCAGGGTCCTTGTCTGCGGACCACCCCTCCTACAAGCTTCTGGGTAATAGAGGTAAGGGGGCTCCTGTGGTGGGTGCCAGTGCTGGGACCTTAACTTGTGTATCTGGGCTATAGCCCTGGACTTGGCTAGGCTGGGCTGTGTGAAAATTCCAAGAATTCTGTTGGTAGAAAATGCCCACCCTGTCCTTACAGGAACAGCACAAGGCTAGGCTTGTCTACCTCCCACCAGGACCTCGAAGGAACATGACCCAGGGGCTGAAGGATGGTGTTGAAGGACCGAGTTTTACTCAGATCCTTCTCAGCCCTGCCTTCCTGAAGTTTCTGTATCCACTACACTGGAAGCTTTCTGAAAAAAATGCCTGGAACCTGTCCATTGTTACCCCAGCCCAGGGCCCAGCCAAAGAACTTAACAAATAACCGCCAAGGAAATCCTCACCTAAAATGGCTGCGATGCATTACTGCCCCCGCCTCTGGCTTACAGTATCACTTCTGCATCTGAAACCAGGAGGGGGCAGTCTGGGTCCACGACGAGACATTTCCTTCTAGAGAAAATCACACCTGCAAAGACCCTCTCCAGAGCCACCGCCCACCTCCGCGCAGCCATCCATTCCCTGCGAAGATGCTTTGGGCTGAAAATGGTTGGGAGGAGGGGGATGGAAGTCGCCTACGTTATTTTGGAATTGACCAGGGCCTCTGAGTCCTTCAAATTCAACAATTTACCACAGGCCCGCGTGCGGTGGCTCACGCCTCTAATCCCAGCACTTTGGGAGGCCAAGACAAGTGAACATCTGAGGTCATGAGTTCAAGACCAGCCTGGCCAATATAGTGAAACCCCATCTCTACTAAAAATAGATGAATTCGGCCGGGCGCGGTGGCTCACGCCTGTAATCCCAGCACTTTGGGAGGCCAAGGCGGGCGGATCACGAGGTCAGGAGATCGAGACCATCCTGGCTAACACGGAGAAACCCCATCTCTACTAAAAATACAAAAAATTAGCCGGGCGTGGTGGCGGGCGCCTGTAGTCCCAGCTACTGGGGAGGCTGAGGCAGGAGAATGGCGTGAACCCAGGAGGTGGAGCTTGCAGTGAGTCGAGATCGTGCCACTGCACTCCAGCCTGTGTGACAGTGAGACTCCGTCTCAGAAAAAAAAAATATATATATATGAATTAGATGGACATGGTGGCACGTGCCTATTAATTCCAGTTACTCAGGAGGCTGATGCACGAGAATCGCTTGAACCCAGGAGGCAGAGGCTGCAGTGAGCCAAGATTGTGCCACTGCACTGTCAGCCTGGGCGACAGAGTTTTTGAGACAGTCTCAAAAACAAAAACAACAAAAAAACCCACTACCACAGTGCCTAGAGAACAATATGTGTTTAATAATATTTAAATAATGGTTGTATAAAATTGAAGCAGCAAGAAACCCAAAGGAGAATAGCTCTAGGGGAGGGAGGTGGATGAGTATGCATGGGGGAGAGGCTCTTCTGTGACCAGGTTGGGTCTGGAGCCCTCCCCACTGTCCAGAACACCTCCAAGCCCCTACATCTTTTTCCATATACCAACGCCTTGGAGATATAATGCAGAAGTGAAGTGAGCAGGCTGAGGATTAGGGCAGGTGTCTGGAATATGGTCAGGAGTGGGAGGGGAGTGACATAGCTCACAGGCAAGGCAGAACAGCACAAAGGCTATAGGTTTCATTCCCAGCCCTCAACTTAAAAGACCTCAGGGGCAGACACTGACTCCAGCCTGGCTGTGCCCTTACCCTAACGCCATTCACACTTTTTTTTTTAAACACAGGTAATCCATGTTTATTATAGAAAAATGCCACATTACTCTTTATTGAATGCGAGCGCCAGCACCGGCCCCTTTCTCTCCAAGCACAGGGGCACGCAGGCAAGGGGCACGAAGGCAAGGGGCTCCGTCCCCTGGCCAGGATGCAGTGGAAGCCTGGCTCCACTACCATTCACCTACAGCCAGCACCCTCCTCGGTGCCTGGGGCTCAGGTCTGTTCAAACTCCTGCTCACAGAAGCCTACATTGAGGGGTTGGGCCTGGACACCTCGCCTGCAAGAGGACATGAAGAAATGGCAAGATAAGCCCCTCAGAAGGGGCCCCAGCAACACTTTTCACACCAGTCAACAGTCTCTCCTTCCCCATTTCGGTGACTCTCAAACTGTCACTGTACACCAAATGCACCTGGGAATCTCAATTCCAGAGATTCTCACCTGGGGTGGGGCAAAGTATTGGCAAGAATCTGCAAGCTGAACAGGTGCCTCAGGTGATTCTGATACAGGTCTTGGAGATCCAGAAACGTTGGCGACATCTATTTATATCCTGCCCATCTCTGTACCCTAACCCCAAATAACTCAATCCCTTTAGAATATAGATGGATGTCTGAAAGGCAGCCAATGCTCTTGGTCTACTTAGCCCTCTGTTCCTGACTCTAAAATGCTGTAAATATGGTGGCACTGGGGGACTTAGGTGCTGTCCTGTCCATGAACATGGATGCGAAATCCTGTCCTTGGGTCTCAGTCTATAACCTGACCAATCTCCTTAGGGGACCTCTAGGCATGCTTCCCTTATCATCCAAGTAAGCAACATGCTTAGAGAACCAGCTGGAAGTTACCCAGTGAATGACATAATTGAGGCTTAGACACCATCATGCTTGACTCTCAGCCCAGGACTCTGCTCTGCACTAGGCTATGTCCCCCAAGTACTCAAGACCTAGCCAACGAAGGAATCAGGGAAATGACTATCTTACACAGGCACATCCCTGACAGAGGCAAAGGTGTCATGACATCCTGTAAGTCAGCCTGGTTCAAATCCTGCTTCTTAGTGACTTTGGGCAAGGTCCTGAACTCTGTGCTTCAGTGTCTATCTCTAAAATGCACCTGTCTCATGGGGCTGTGGTGAAGACTAAATGAGACAATATTTGTAACAAACTTAGCACAGTGTTTGCCACAAAATACAGTTGTCCCTCAGTATCCACAGGGGATTTGTTTCAGGACCCCCGTGGATACCAAAATCCAAGGATGCTCAAGTCCCTTATATAAAAATGACATAGTATTTGCATATAACCAATGTACAACTTCCCATATACTTGAAATGATCTTAGATTACTTATACCTAATACAATATAAATGCTATGTAAATAGTTGTTATACAGTATTTTTTATTTGTACCATTTTTTGTTGTATTTTTTTTTTCCTGAATACTTTTTATCGCAGTTGGTTGAATCCGTGGATGAGGGCTGACTATAAGCCTCTGTAAGTGTTAGCTATTGTTAATTATTGTCTTCCTCTCTCTAAGGGGTTCCCCAGCCCTGGATCTGGCCTGCTCCGCCTTGCGAAGGCCCCACAGCTTGCTTACCTCAGCAATTCACAGCGGAAGTGTGACAAACGTTCATAGGCAAATGTCAGGTCAGATGTCAACTTGTTGCTCCACAGCCTTTCGGCAACAGCCCCTGCTCTGGGCCTGGAGGAAAAGGGGCATGTGCCAGATTGGGCCCTGTATTCCCTGCAAAGGTGCTGGACATCCACAGGCTGCTACCTCTTGTCTAGGCACCCTGGACTCACTCAGGCCAAAGGAAGTGATCAATACCTTGTTATGAGCCACAGCCAGGTTGGATGGCTCCCAGAGAGTTCTACGGCTCAGCTCCACCTTCATTAAAATGTGGGTAGCAATCCCACTCTCTTCCTCTCTCAAAGATATGGGAATAAGAATAAACCTTAAAGCCATCATTAACCACAATGACAGTGGCAGCAGCAGAGGTCCTTAAAATGTAAACTTTGCACACCCAACCATACTTGGTAAGGCTGCAGTGAAAACAGCAGAGGGAAGCCTTATTACAGGAATCATGGATGCTTGTGCTGGGTCTTGAGCAACTCACCTATGTTCTCCAGGCCTCATTATCTCTCTGGGAAGTAAGGTTAACAATCCCTATCCCACATACCAAAGGGCAGCTGGAGGGATATAGACGGAAGTCATGTGGAGAGTGAATATTGCACACAAATCTTCAGAAGGCTCGTTGCACGGCCTGCTCTCTCTCAGGCCTGAAAGAAGGGTACTAGTCCAGAGGTGGCTAGATGGGATTGGGTCTCTAAGGGAGAACTCCTGCTCTCAGGCCCAACCCTCCACCTCCCCCCCGAAAACCCTTACCAGAGCCTGGGGACCAGGTTTGTGTTGTCCACATATTCTCCCCACATACAAGCCTCTCCACCAATCACCAGAGCCTTCTGCTCAGGGGTACCTGAGGGAAAACAAGCAACAACAGTCTGGTGATGGTGGGGTAACTCCAGGGTCCCTCTCAACCACCTTCCCAATGTGGCCCTCACCCCAGCTAAGTTGTTTCATTTACTAACTGGAAATGTCTGGCCCAGACCTTCCTGCCTCCCATCCTGTGCCCCAACCCAGCCTCCTTTGGTTAGCAAGGAGAGCTCTCTGCTTTCACCTTCAAATGCCAGGGGTTCCACTATGTAGAAATCCTTCCAGTCAGGGCCATAGGATATACGGTTCAGGTACCAGGGGGCAGAGAGAAGGGCCCGGAAGCCGGCCTTGGTGACCAGTTCCAGCTCCTTCATATAGTTCACTGGAATATCCTCTCGCCACACCTGTATGATTGTGTCTGGCTGAATCTGTTATAAAAGGTCAAATGGCAGTAAGGACACAAAGCTGAGGAGATTCCTGGGCCTTATTCATACACAGGCAACATGGGACAACAGGTATGTGCTCCCTCTGTTCCCCAGCAGCAAAGTATGTCTCTGTGACTCCTGACCATTGAGCTCACACCTCAGGACAGAGGCCAAGGAATCCAGGGCCCTAAGAGGCCTCCCTGCAGCTCTCCTCCCCGTCCCTCTGCAGCCTCCCTGTCCACACAGAGCTAGTAATACCAGCTGTGAGCTGAGGGAGGCAAGCAGTGGGACCCAGGAGCTGCCATGTCCAAAAGTCTCCAGATGTTTCTGGGGACGGGACAAGGTTCCTGAAGAGTCCTTGCATGTGACAGGAGACTGGGATCTTACTGATCAACAATAAAGGAGAAGGTAACCTTGGTCCCACAGACCCAGAAGACCCTCATCTATGATTTAGGAAGAAAAATCCAGCCTATCCAAGTAACCTAACAGCAGAAATAGTTCTTAATTAAGTTTGTAGTGAGGGAAGATAGAAACTCTGACACATAAACCCAGGGCTCATACCACAGCGGCCTTTGGTTTTTTTGAGGCAGGGTCTCACTCTGTTGCCCAGGGTTGAGTGCAGAGGCACATCTTGGCTCACAGCAACCTCTGCCTCCTGGGCTCAAGCAGTACCCCAACCTCAGCCTCCTGATTTTTGTATTTTTTGTAGAGATGAGGGTTTTGCTATGTTGGCCAGGCTGGTCTTGAACTCCTAGGCTCAAGCAATCCCCCTGCCTTGGCCTACCAAAGTGCTTGGATTACAGGCGTGAGCCACTGCACCCAGCACTCTGTGGCCTTTCTAGAGAGAAAAGGAGAGTGCTCCGACCATTAAAGCCCAATCCAAACCAGGAGGATCAGTCTCTGTAGAGGCAGGGAGGAGCTGGGGAGACCAGAGGGAGGCACTGCTGGTGGCTTCTTCTCTTCTCTGCCCCGGCTCACCTTTACTTTATTATCAAACACCTCCTGCCACACCACATAGCCCTTGCCATAAGAAGAGACGATGTCCAGCAGCCTGGAGAGGAGAGGAGTGTCTAGTAAGTGTCTGCTTAGCTCAGATGGGTTCTAGACTGTTTGTGCCAGTGCTCTAGGGGTTGAGCCTGGCCAGGGGCCTATTCCTCATTAAGCAGTGTCTTTCCCCTGGGCTGAAAACCAACCACTCCAAATCTGAAAGGATGGGACAAAGGACAAGGGAACCCTGCAGGGACCAGACAGTGGCCAAGCAGGGCCTGACTCGGTATGGAAAGGGAGGACCCCACAGGAGGACCCCCAAGGGACCCCACCCACCCTCCTTCCTTCCTCACGTCTGGATGTAGAAGGACTCCAGCTGCTTGAAGTCCTCACCGAAGCCTTTCTTCCTCATAAAGTCCTGGATCTCTGGGTTGGACTTCCTGAATCCCAAGAGAAAATGAAGATTAATCTTTCAACATCCTGAAAGCCTAATGCCTGGGGATTAGTCACCTGGCCCCCTATAACTTCCTCTTTTCACCTGAAAAATCAAATAAGCAAGGATCTCAGAAGCCCTACATGTGGAAAGTGTGGCCAAGCAAAGTTATGTGAAGCAGGTGGGCTGTTGACACAGGCTGAGAAAGGCTGAGTCTGGACCTGAAGAGTTTTAAGTTCAAACTCCCAAAGAGAAAACATATTAATCCTCTCTGGACTGCAACATGAGAATCCAAGGTCTTAACTTGAAGCTCCAGCACACTGGATTTCGGCTTTCCTATCTGCTCTTCCAGTTGGATGACAAGCCTTGCTGTCTAACACCTGCTGCAGATCCCTTGCGTTATGACGTCCACATTTTGCTCACATTGTTCTCCTTCTGGAATATTTTCCCCTGCTCACATCTCCAAAAAGCCAAATTGATTTCCCCAGATTCAGCTCTAGCGCCCTCTTCTCAAAGAAGCCCCTCAGCCTCTTTTGAGCTTACTAGAACCAAGGGTTTGGACTTTACAACTGAATACTAATTAGACATTGTCACCTATTAGTCTTGAATTCTGTGTCTTGACTCTTCAACTAGACAATTTTAAGCCTTCATAAACAGGGATTATTTTTCTCTATCCCGAACTTTTCCAAGACAATTCTGTGCCCAGGGCTGTTTTTTCTATCAATACCTCAAGGATATGAGAGTAGGAAGGAAGAGGTTCACAGTGAAAGCCTTGCCAAAATCAGGTAGGATCTCTACGTAGATGGGCAGAGGAAGGCCTAAGACCTGAGCAATGTGAGCCCATACAGACCCCTGAGAGCAGCAGCTGAGCTAAGCAGCCCCTCGGGTGCTAACTTCTATTCTGAGTAAGCAACTGATCAGGCCACAGTGGGAAGATCAAAGGGCTCATACCAGCAGGTGAAATCAACCTCATCTCCTCCAAGATGAAGATAAAAATCTGGGAAGACAGAGCTGACTTCTAAGAAGAATGTGCTCATGAACTCATAGGTATTATTGAGACTGGGATTCACTGGTCCAAAGGTGCCAGAGGGCTCAGACCCAGAGTAGCAAGGAGTCAGTAATCCAGGGATACCTAAGCCAAGAGAAAACCCCATATGAGTGTCACAAATACATAAACCCCCACGCACAGTCCTACACGTAAGGACACGAGTCACACAAAGCAAGACAAGTGTATTCATAAACATCACACACATTTAGGTAGGCACACTTAGGCACTCACAGACACTGGTAGTCACCACCATTTAGTCACAGTAAAAAGATACAAATATATCCACAATCATAGGCAGAGGCTAAGTTCCAGCCAGACAACTGTCAGTGCGCACACTCTTGCCTGGACACACTGCTTCTAGCAGGTGCTACCCTTGCTCCCAAGGCTGCTCTCCTCACAGGCCTTGAGGCAGAGAGAGAGCCTAATCCAGCCAAACTGGCAAAATCTTTCTTCTCTATCTCCTCCTGTAGGTGGGGTCAACCATCACCCAGAATCTTTTTACATTTGCTAAGGGATATCTCCCTTGGCCCAGAGACTACTTCCTGACGCTGAGGTCACAAGATATCTTCAGGGTTTTTTTTTGGTTGTTGTTGTTTGTTTGTTTTTGAGACAGAGTCTTGCTCTGTCGCCCAGGCTGGAGTACAGTGGCATGATCTTGGCTCACTGCAACCTCTGCCTCCTGGGTTCAAGCGATTCTCCTGCCTCAGCCTCCCGAGTAGCTGGGATTACAGGCGCCTGCCACCACGCCTGGCTAATTTTTGTATTTTTAGTAGAGATGGAGTTTCACCATGTTGGCCAGGCTGGTCTTGAACTCCTGACCTCAGGTGATCCACCCGCCTTGGCCTCCAAAAGTGGTGGGATTACAGACATGAGCCACCACGCCCGGCCAATATCTTCAGTTTTCTATCAGGCCAGTAGCCCTTTTCAACTGTCATTTAACCTGTGTTGGGGGCTCACACTGGAGGGCTGAGGGTATACAGAAGAAAGGGAGCAGGGGTACTGACTGACTCTGACCTCTGCAGGCTGCCCTTGGGCTTCTTTCTTTCAGATTCTACCCTGGTGGTCAGATTCCTCAGCATCCACTCTAGGCACAACTACCTGCAACGGCATCTGAGAAAAATGTGCCCTTACATAGTCTAACAGTACATATTTTAATAGTAAGAAGCAGCCTCCATTGTCCAAAGTGAGTTCTTCCTATCTAAATTCCCAGGTGGAAGAAGTCGATGGAAAACATTCTTCTAAGGACCAAGGCTGGGATATGCCACTTCCATGAGCCAGTGCCCTGAAGCTTCACTCTGAGCATAACAAGCAGAGTCCCTCTGGTCCCAGACATCATTCTTACCTGGTCCCCAGGACAAAGTGTGGCCAGGAGTGTCAAACTCTGCAAGCACACGGATACCCCGGAGCCGTGCGTATTCAATGACCTCCTTCACATCCTGTGCTGTGTAGATGTGGGTGACAGGGTTGTAGGACCCCTGAAAGGCACAAGACACCCTTCAGGTTCACACTTCCTGAAAGCTAGCAGAGTAGAAGATACTCAAAATGCCCACAAGACTCCCCAGATATCAGAAAACCTGCCCATAGCCCTTTGGTGTCAGGGACTATCTTCAAAAAACTTGATCATAATTTCCCAGAAGTTATCACATCTGTTTTATCTGAGTATCATAATGCCAGTGAGATAATCATGGTAGGTATTAATACTATGTCCATTTAACAGAATATAAATACATAAAAAGGGAATAAGGCCAGAAGAGATTCTCTCCTGAAGGTCACAAGGCAAATTATCGGCAAAGTTTTGGACTTGAACTCAAGTCTCCTGACTCCAAATCCAGTGTCCTTCCCCTATATTGGTCTAAAACTGGCTGGTTAGGATGAGAGACCCTGTTCTTGCCAGCAGGGCCACAGCCAGATTCAGACATTGACCCATAAACTTGGTCTGAGTGAAACGGGAACATACCTTTCTCATGAGCTCTGGAAAAGTGAAGCTCTCATATGGGAAGGAAGGATCATCTACCAGATGCCAGTGGAACACGTTCAATTTATTGTACGCCATGACATCCTGTAGGTTAAAGTGCACACTGTGAACCCATCACAGTCTCTCCGGTTTCAGCCTCAAACTTGCGATGTTGGGCGAGCTCTCAGGCCGCTCCACACACCCCTACAGGCTTGACCTGCCTCAGCTCTCAATTAAGTATTTATGGGGTCTATCAAACCTTCCCATCAGGGAGGGATGGCATGGAGGGAAGGCCCAGCACACTTCTACTTTTCCCAGAACACATCCAAAGATGGATGATAGAAGTGGTCTTTCCTCTTCTTGAAATAAATTCTGGCCACATTAAGAGGAGGGCTGCAGCTACTGTGGTAGCCTGGAATCTTCCAAAAGCCTGAAGATCAATACTTCCTCTTGCCATTTGTGTTCGGTTGTCTGACTGATGTTAAGCCCAACTGTGAGACCTCCTGGGAACTTAGTAGCCTCTTAACTCATAATCTCAGAAGCAAAGGCTGGCAGATGTGTGGCCTCCTTTGGTTCCGTCACAGGAGCAAAGGAAAAGGCAGACACAGGAACTGGATTGGGAACTGTCAGATAAGACTGCACATTAAACTCAAGAGAGTTAGGAACTTCCCCAGGAAAGGCTTTTTTTTTTTTTTTTTTTTTTTTTGAGACAGAGTCTTGCTGTGTCACCCAGGCTGGAGTGCAGTGGCACAATCTCAGCTCACTGCAACCTCCACCTCCCAGGTTCAAGTGCTTCTCATGCCTCAGCCTCCTTCCTTCCTTCACTTATTTATTTATTTATTTATTTTTGAGACAGGGTCTCTGTTGTCCAGGCTGGAGTGCAGTGGTGCAATCACAGTTCATGCATCCTTGATCTCCCCAGGCTCAGGTGATTCTCCCATCACAGACTCCTGAGTAGCTGGGACTACAGGTTTGCGCCATCGCGCCTGGCTAATTTTTTGTATTTTCAGTAGAGATGGGGTTTCACCGTCTTGGCCAGGTTAGTCTCAAACTCCTGAGCTCGGGCAATCCACCCGCCTTGGCCTCCCAGAGTGCTAGGATTACAGGTGTGAGCCACTGCACCTGGCCCCAAGTTAAGGCTTTGAACGTCTCTCTCCTATGACCTTGTTCTAACTAAAGTTAGCTCTGCCGGCCAGGTGTAGTGACTCATGCCTGTAATTCTACCACTCTGGCAGGCCAAGGTGGGCAGATTGCTTGAGCCCAGGAGTTCAAGACCAGCCTGGGTAACATGACGAAACCCCAGCTCTACAAAAAATACAAAAAAAAAAAAAAAAAATTGAGACGCTGTCTCAAAAACAAATATAGTTAGCTCTGCCAATGAAGCCAATTCCCCTAAACATTTGTATCCCTGGAAACAGCCTGAACATTGATCTACAGTAGCCTGTAAGGTAGATTTAAGTCACTCTGTTATTTTTTGAGTCTTGGAGCAGCTCATCTTCTACATTTTTCCCAGGAGCTCATAGAATTACATACAATTTTTTTTTTTTTTTTTGAGACAGCGTCTCACTCTTTCACCCAGGCTGGAGTGCAGTGGCGTGATCTCCACCCACTGCAACCTCTGCCTCCTGGGTTCATGCGATTCTCCTGCCTCAGCCTCCCAGGTAGCTGGGATTACAAGCATGCACCACCATGCCCAGCTAATTTTTGTATTTTTAGTAGAGACAGAGTTTCACCATGTTGGCCAGGCTGGCCTTGAACTTCTGACTTCAGGTGATCCGCCCACCTCGGCCTCCCAAAGTGTTGGGATTACAGGCATGAGCCACCACACCCAGTCCATACATTCCCTCTCTAACTCTTTAAGAATTTGGAACTTGGTCTGTCCGTTGCTCCATCACCCTAGAACTCTTAAGTGTGAAGAAGGCCTTAAGGCCTGGTTACCAGAGTGTCCAGGATGCTAGAGAGTGGCAGGTAATGGCGAGATGTATCCAACAGCAAGCCCCGGTGAGGAAAGCGGGGAAAGTCCTCAATCTCAGTCTTGTTGATAAAGAACTGTGCAGAACAAACATTGAACATGTCAGTTTCAAAGGAAGCTTACTATGGGGGCACAGGGAGATGAAGACAACTCTCCCAGGATTCTTAAAAAGCCAATCTGTGACTGTTCTCAGGGTCGCTCTCTCCCTAAATGCTCCCCACCTCTATAAATGACCATAAGCAGCCACCTTCCCAGAGAGCAATTGTCCAACGCCAGCCTAATACAACTGTCCCAAACACCACTCAGCCTACAAATTCTGGATTTTCCTGTTAACATAGTTTATTTTCTTCAAAGCAGTGTGGCCTCAAGGTCATTACTAAATGATGACTCAGGGGGACCAAATTACAGTGATTCCAAACAGACCAAATCTACCAAACCAGTTTTCCACTCACATCTCCTCTTCCATTTCTACTGGGGCTATCTCAAGCCACCAGGATCCTAAGGCAAAACAAGATTTTTCTAGGATTCTCAATATTGGGATCCAACCCCAGAGATGAAAAAGGAGCCCTTTTTGAGGGTCCACACTTACTGTGCCCTCAGCAGATTTCCAAACAAGCTGGCTAAAAGTCTCCAGACCTAGGAAGATGTAGAGAGGCAGAGTAAAGACTCAGGGAGTGGAAAAAGAGATGTCTCTATTTGGAAGGTTCTCAATGTAGCAGAGCATAACATTTGGGTACACAGGGAAAATGGATGTAGTGTAGGCTTGACGATTTTTAACACTGATGAAAAGGGGATATTAGGAAGCCACTATCCATCTTTACTTCTGTATTTCATTTTGGGAGATGTCAGAGTAAGGGTTTTAGTGCCCTTCCTTACAACATACTAACCTTCAAAACCCACATACCTCTTATCTATATTTCCTGTGCCTTCACAAGAATATTGAGAAGAGAGGCCAAGACATATACTCATGAGGACAGACACAGAGACAACTCAGCCTGCAAGAGTTGGACTTTTCATGGATAACCCCTATCAGGAGCTAAGAGAGCTGAGAAAAGGGGTCCCAGAATAAATTGTGAGAAAGTGATCATAAGCTTGGGTTTCCAAGGAGCCTGGGTTCATGGCTGGACCTAGAAGATAAAAAAAATCATCCACTCTTCCTCTTCAGAGTCTAAGAAGAGACCCAGCTATAGGGAGCTGAGGTGTGGTGGACAGCAACTGCCCCAGAAGGACTCCCCTAGTCCACTGACACTGTCTCCTAGAGTCTAGCAAGGCCCACACACAGGTATGTTGAACCCAGAGTATTGTATGTTCTCAACAGCTGGGGCCCCTCTTCTGGAAACCCTGCAGAAGCCCCATGAAAATTATCAGAGTCCCCAGTTTCAAAGTGAAAGAATCCATGAGACCTCAGCAGTCACTCAGCACCTGATTTGAGCAGACTGCTAGTGTACTGTTTTGGCTTCTCCCCACTCTGACTCTGACACCCAGCATTCTGGAGTTCCAGGTCCTCCCTTACCTCTAGCCTGACTCACCATCAGCACCTGCATGAAAGGTACAAGAGGGCAGGAAGGGGAGGCAGCATGCTGTTGCTCCAAGCATAGAAGTGGAGCAAGGGAATGAAGACAAACTAAAGCAAGGTGTGGAATTCCGAGAGAGTTTCCCACATCATTCACCAGCAGAGGGTTTACCAAAAGTGGGAGAGATATTTGGCTAAGTCTGTATCTAGGCACCAAATGCCTTCTCAGTAAACCCAGAAGAAGGGCAAGGGCCAATAGTTTAGCCAGTAAACTCATTTTCTCCAGAAATAATGTAGTTCTAAATATTTCACTACTATTTATCTTTTTTTTTGCATGTATCTATTTCTTTTGTTATAGTTTTCCTTTTAAAAAAACCTTTCCAATTACATGTCTTTAGCAAGAGCTGGACAGACAGTGTCTGTGGTAGCATCATTCCCCCTGCCCCCAGCTACCTGTCCCCTGCTGGCACCTAGAACATCAGCCCACAGACTCTCCTACTGCTTCCCAGAGCCCCTGACTAGGGCAGCAGCAGTTGCTGATGCTGCACAGGGTAAAACCTGTCAACTTCCAGGGACAATTCCACAGAGACGGGAAAACACGCCAATTGTTCCCATAAAAAAAGCTTCCTGGCTGGGCGCGGTGGCACACACCTGTAATCCCAGAACTTTGGGAGGCCGAGATGGGTGGATCACTTGAACTCAGGAGTTCAAGACTGGCCTGGGCAATATGGTGAAATCCCATCTCTACTAAAAATACAAGAATTAGCTGGGCATGGTGGCAGGCACCTGTAATCCCAGCTACTTGGGAGGCTAAAGAGGGAAGATTGCTTGAGCCTAGGAGGCAGAGGTTGCAGTGAGCAGGGACTGGGCCACTGCACTCCACCAACACCAACCTTCCCACATCATCCTTTCTCTCTCTCTTTTAATCAGCCCCAATTTGTTACCTCGGAGAGCTCCCCAGACAGTCTCAGAGAGGAGTAAACACTGGTCATCATTTATGGTCAGGGTATCTGAAATGACAGAAATGAACTCATTTAGTTGGTTAAGGTTTTCTATTCTCAGATTATAGACCAGATATTCTATATAAATCACTGGACTAAAAAAAAAAAACAGTAAGACCATATATTTTAAAAAATCTTTCAATGAGGAGATGTCCCCAGAGCAAGACAGCTGTAGGATGGCCTGGTCTGGGGCCAGAGTGGGAGGGTGGTCACCACAGTGACTCTGTAGACCCTGGATGATGATGTACAGCAAGAGTCAGGCTGGAGTGGAGGTCTGTACAAAGCACCACCTACCTCATGGGTCAGTTTCCACAGCAGAAAGATGAAAGAAGTCTTCTCCTGGCAAAGGGAACAGGGATGCCTGCAGGGGTGAGTGCAGCACGCGATGCTCCCAATGCCTTTGTAATCACCCTCCTTTCCCCTTCCTCTATGCTTCAGCTACTTCCTCCAAGAATGTGAGGAAGGAGCCAAACTCAACTGTTCACTTTGGAGACTGAGAAGTCCCCAAATGCTGCTCAGGGAAGACAGGAGGCAGTCACTGGACTAATGACTTAACTTCATCTCAGTATAAGTGACCAGAACCCCTGCTTTCCCCAGTGTAGGGTCTATTAGAGAAAAGTAGCAAAGTATACACTTTCCTAAAATAGAAATGTATTCAGTACACCAGGTAGAAGTCCTGTGGGACTCAGTGAAGAGCCAGTGTGATGTTCCACAGCCAACCTTTAGCACTGGTTAAGTTTCTGCATAGGAAAAACTCATCTTCCATGGCTCTCAGCACTTGGTGACCCTCGGTCCCCAGGGTCAAGGGGGACTCCAGGCCGAGCATCAGCAGTTTAGGCCAGGCCATCCAGAGTTACAGCTTCAGACAAGTGTTTGCTCTTCTAAGACAGGGAACAGGATGGTACTTACAATTCTCCACTGACTCCAAAGTAGGAAGCTGGTTACATCCAGGTGTGACTACAGAGACAACCAACACATTCTTCTCCAGTGTATGCCGTTTCCCTAGGAAGACAGGGTAAGCTTGGTGCGGCCAACCTGCCATTAGAAGCAACAGGCAAAACCAAGACCCTAGCTCTAGTCCCTCAGCTCACACGCCTGTGGTAAAGGAAAGGGAGGACATGGCATTTACCCTTGGCATAGGCAGTGCCTGATCATCTGTTCAGCTGTCTCACTCTCGTTGTGCCCCTCTTCTCCTCAGTAGCTGCCCTGACCCATGTCTGAATGCTCTGGGTGACAGCTCTTCTTAACCAGGGCTCTATATTTCTGACTGCCCTTGGCCTGTACCAAACAAACAACTCCATGACCTCAACAACTGCTTCTGAATGAAAGGCAGCTCTAGAGCACTGCTACTCCAAGTATGGTCTGCAGATTAGCTGCCAATTTGCAAACTGTGTTACTGGCTGGTCACTATATAGAAAACTTATATGAAGCCTGAATGTAAATCAATTATGTCAGAGTAAACACACTGTCTAGTTCTAACATTTTTTCATACAAGATTTTCTTGATGAAGAGATCAGTCTTACATTCTGGTACATATGCTTCTTATCTCATTGAAGATTGGCATATTAAGTAGTACTGCTCTTGAGGGCTCCAGATGAAGGGTTTCCAGTTTTGCAAAAGCCTAGGAGCTAATGGAGCAGATGACAGAAGGATCAGGCAGAGGAGGCCTGAGATGATGCAACTGATACCTCAGAGAAGATCAGGGTCACCCACCCATCTTGCTTCCTTCCTTCCTCTTCCCAAACAGGTTCTCTATCCAAGGTAGATTTTACCCTAATAGTGGAGGGTTGAACCAACATAGTATCTAATATAGCTTTACAGACCCTTGTCTATGCAGAAAAAATGCCAAAGCCAAAATATGAATACACTGTCTCTTCTCACCCTCCTGCTGGTTCTTCCCTGTGATTTTCAGGGTGGCTCTGGTGTTATAGCCCCAAGCCTTAACTTAATGAACCCCTCTCTATTCTATTCTTTCCTGGAGCCATATTCATCCCACTGGCATCACAACATCCATGACTTCTTATGGCACTACAATGTCAGGGATAGGATGGCCTGGCAGAAGGCAATGAGAGAATTCAGAACCAAACTGGAATCTCAAATGTTACCCATCTCCAGGCAGAAGGAATCCAAGCGCTCAGATCATCTCACGGAAGCCTGCTCAGACCTCTTGAGCACTACCACATGGCTGTATCTCAGCTCTTTGGTCTGCCAAGAAGCAAGCCAATAAGGGGGCCTTTCCTACCATCATGAACAACACATTCTTTCCCTTACCAGTAAATACCCTGGATCCCCACACCAATACCTGCCTACATTCTGCAAAGAGGAGGGAATCTGAGGCAACTCTGGGCCAGGTCAATTCACAGCTCCATACTTGAACCCTAAAACTACATTGTTACAACACAAAAGGACAAGCAGACCTTCAAGGCAAAGACCACACTCAAGGCAGAATCTGCAGGGCCATCCAAGCAGACAGGCTACAAACCCATCTCCACAGGAGACTCTACAGGGAGACCAATGAGGACTTAACCTAGGAGCAAGGGTGAGGAAAAACTATACCCCATCCTCTGACTTCTTGCCCCCACTCCCAACCCCACACATCATGGAGCCCCAATATCATTGTGTGGAGAATTCATCTGCATATCTACCCAGGCAGCCATCCAAAAGACAGCCGAAGTCCTGAGCTTTAGTTCTAATCCTCTGGGGCTCAGCCTGCCACATAAGGAGAAATCACAACTAATCCATATGCAACTACCATGGCTCGCTGCCCTCATGACAAAATAAGAGAGGCCACACAAACACCAGGTTTATCTGAACTATTACTTGGAAGACAGAAAAATACCTAATCTTTCGATTTTTAAAAAATTTATTTTTCTAAAAGACACCTGCACTGTACTCCCTAAATCTGTAGTCTTTTGGAGAGTCACAGACTCCTTTGCAGATCTGCTGAATAGGAAAACACTTTTTTTCCCAGAACAATGCCCCTAATTTAAGGGCTGTTTCTCCAGAATTACAATTCTTCCACTCCCTGCCATCAATCTCATGGTGAAGAATCCCTGTCCGAAGTTCTCTCAGTGACTCATCTGGGTTTGGGCTGAAAGAAGTAGATACGGGGGCATGGCTGCTGTTTAAACAAATTATGAGAGGGATGTTTGGGGGAGGCAGCAACATGAGAGCTGGCAAAACAGGAGGGACACTAGGTCATTGTAAAGGATGTAAATAGGGTATCACCACTGTGGTTTTCCGCCTCCAAGTTGCTACTTTGCCTGGCTATGAAGAGGGCAGGAAATAGGCAGGGGACAGTAGTACAGCCGCCTCTACACACACCCGCCCACACCCTGAACACTGAGAAGCACCAACGTGTGGGAAGCACAGTATGGCAAACAGCCCGGTCAGCCAGCAATGTCATGAGCACATGTGCCATGAGTCTGGCTGGAACAGCAGGAAATTGAGAAGCCTCCAGGGCTTAGGAGGTAGCATGAAAAACAGACCAGAGGGCTGGGAAATCAGGACAGGTTGCTTCTGGTTCTGGTTTTGCTGCTGCCAAGCTGAGCAAGTCTCAGGGCTCCCATTTCCTTCCCTGTAAACAATGGCAGGGTGGGACCAGATTCCAGCTACTCCTCTTCAGATCTAAGACCTTGTGATTCCATAGACAGATAATACACTCCAGGGTCCCATTCCAGGACCACAGCCTGCTACCTCTGCAGCTCACTCATCTCCCTGCTTTCATGTAAACCTACTCTTCTCTTTGGGTTCACTGAAAACTTTGTATCTTTTTTTAAAATCAAAACAGTTGTATAGGCCTGGTGCGGTGGCTCAGGTCCATGATCTCAGCACTTTGGGAGGCTGAGGCAGGCGGATCACTTAAGGTCGGGAGTTAGTGACCAGCCTGGCCAACACGGTGAGACCCTGTCTCTACTAAAAATACAAACAAATTAGCTGGTCATGGTGGTGGGCCCTGTAATCCCAGCTACTCAGGAGGCTGAGGCAGGAGAATCACTTGAACCCAAGAGACGGAGGCTACAGTGAGCAGAGACTGCACCACTGCACCCCAGCCTGGGCAATAGAGTGAAACTGTCTCAAAAAAAAAAAAAAAAAAAAAAAAAAGAGTAGTACATACTGGTTAAAAAAAAAATCAAACAGTACTACCAAACAGTAGAAAATATTTACGATTAAAAAAAAAAAGTATCTTTGGTACCCTTCCTTAGTCCCCTCAGTAAAGAGACAAACATCACTGGTAGTTTTCTACCCCTGTAGTACCTTATAGAGTAATTTTGCCTTATTCATCACAGACAGGTCACCTCTGGACATGGAATTCTAATAACAAGGACGCTCTATCACCAAAGTCCTACTGTTGAACCTTCTCCAGACTCCAGTACTATGACCCCTCCATTTCCCTTCTGTTCTCAGTCTTCTCTCATTCTTGCTTCCTTCCCTGCTGGCCTACATGTAGTGATTCATCACCTCAAACGCAATCTAGCCAATACTCCCAACGATCTGTCTCTTTTCTTCTGTCACAACCAATGGGCAAAACTTTCAACCCTGGATCAATCTAACATCTGCCTGCTGTGCCCCTGACCCCGGCTACTGTACCCTACTGGAGGGAAGGGAGAAAAATCACAAAACAGCAGGACTGGACCACTGCAAAATAATGGTCTCCATCTTGGCTGGGCCCTTGATGCTACCCTGAAAATCTTCTATCTCCATCATTGCTTCATTCTATTCTCTACACCTTCCTCAAGTCTACTTGATCACCACCTCCCTTATGCTCAGCAGACAATCAGAAGAGAACTTTCAACTATCCCTACCCTCTTCCCCTCTCCTCGCTGACAAAAATATCTGCAACACACACCTGCCTGTACCCTCTCCTGGACCTCCACCTTGATGGAAGGGGCTTCCTTTTACCTGTGCTCTGGAGCTCTTCTCAGTCTCCTCTTGTATAAATTATTTCCCCTTTTCCCAAAGCCTTCAAATTATTTCTTTCAACTCTCATCAGCATTAAAATGTTTGCAATCTTCCTGGCCTCACTTACTCTTTCTTTTGCCTTCCTGCCACAAAGACTCCCTAGAGGAAATGTAGCCTGGGCAGCTAAGGACCTGAACTCCAAAGGAAGACAGATCTGGATTCAAATCTTGGTTCTAACACTTTCTAGCTGCAGGCCTTCTCTAGGCAAGTTATTTACCCTCTCTAAGCTGCAGTTTCCTCAACTGTAAAATAGGGATCATAATACCTATATAATTGGGCTGCTGGGAAGGTTAAATGAGTTAATACATGTAAAGTGCTTAGCTCAGTGCCTGGTACCTCCTATGTGCTCATGATGTTGGTCATACTTAGTATTTTGTAGCTGCTTCCTTACAACCTATCTATTCCTCAATCCACTATAATCTGGCTTCCTTCACCACCACTTCTCTCAAAATGGCTTCACCAAAGTCCTGTGGTTCTGTAACCAAATTCAAGGGACTCTTTTCAATTCATTCATTCATTCAACAGTAATTTACTGAATGCTTACTATGTGCCAGGGTGTTGTAAGTGCTGGGGATACAGCAGTGGTCAAAACAGACAAAAATCCCAGCTGTCAGAGAGCTAATAGAAACCACTCACTCCTTCTGGGACCTCTTGACAGCATCAGACATCTCTGACCTTCTTGAAACTAAACTCCCTTAGCTTAGGGGACATTGCTCTCTTGGTTTTCCTTCTAACTCCTTGAATATGCTTCTTCATTCAACTTCTCCTTTACCAATCCCAATGTACTAATGTTACCCAGGGTATCCAAGGTTCCAAACTTCTCTTTTTCCCTTCGCTTACACTCTCCCTAGACAATGTCATCCACTCCCACAGCAGGCCAATGACTCCCAAATCTATCTTTCCAAGCCAACTCTTCTTCTGGAGCTCTAGACTTGTACACCTCCACTCAAATGTCTCAAAAGCCACTTGAATCTTAAACATAAAACTAATCTAACTCTTCATTCCTCCTCCTGGCTGATCCTCTCTCTCACTTTGATAACAGCCCCATCTATTCACCTATACCAGAAATCTCCTTCTTCTACACCTTCCATCTAACTGAGTAGATCACAAGTTCATCAACTCAAAATAACATTTACAGACTGTCTGATATCTCAAACATTGTGTTAAGCACTGAGATTACAACAGTAAAAATACTTTTTAAAAGTCTTACAATTACACAATCCTTATAATCTCTTAACACATCGCCATTTTCCCAGCCCCACTGGGCCAAAGCCTTAATTCAGCCTCTTGTAATTTCTCACCTGGATGACTATAAAAAATCTCCCAGGCAGTCTTCCCCTGCCTCCAGGAATACCCATGTCAATCTACTATCCTCAGAGATATTAGAATATGAAGATAAGAGCATGACAGTCTCCGCTTAAAATCTTCCAATGGCTCCCATAGCTTTCAGAATACAGTCCAGAATTCACTGGGTAATCATAAGAAAATGCCTTGTCTTTTTCTGCTCCTGTGCAGGAACTCTCACAATGAACAATGAACTCTTAACAGAACCCTGAAAATGCCATATTTTCTCCATATTTTTCTTTGCACATATTGCTTCCTCCAATTGAAACAAACTTTGCCTTCCCGCCACATCTCCCCTAATTAAGAAACAGCTCTATTTTCCTTTTAGGAAACTTTTCTGTTATTCCCCCCCTCTTTCCTAAGAAACCCTCCTATGTGATCATGCAGCAATGTATACATACATTTTTCAAAACACTTTTCTTAAGATATGCTGTTTATTTGTCTATCTCCTCACCTAGGTTGTGAGTTCCTCAACAGGAGGGACCAATCTCAGTGTCTTTGTATTCCCAGTGCCTGACACACAGCAGTCATTCAGTACATGTTTGCTGAAAAAATGAATGATGTTGGAATTCAAAAAATGCATATTTTATGATTGTGCTATGTGATAATCAGGCATAAATAGCAAGTAGTTAATGTAGAGATTACTTTTATATCCCCAAACCTAGTATTTCTGAAATCCTGAGACTGGGGTGGGCGATGCTAAGAAGACGCCCAGACTTACACAAAGTGCCTTTTCAGACACTGCTCTGAAGACCTCTGGATCCATAAATTCTAAGATTTAGGTCTTTCCACTTCTCTGAGAGGAAGAACTCGTTGCTGTATTAGGGTCACTAATAACTATTAGGGTAACCTGGAAACTATCAATCTTTACCTCAGTGCACAATAGCCTTTCCCTCTACCACCCGTTCCCTCCTGAATCAAAACACTTCCATCGTATCAATGTGTTTGATTCACAGAATCCCAGCACTATGGAAAAAAAACACATTGGTTTCGGTTATAAAGTGGTAGCTGATTTTGCTTCTGGATTGAAAACTAAGAAAGGCAACCCAGACTTTGCCACCTTCCCACTCTTTAATGTCTACTCTGCTCCCATATCCCCTGGTACCCTCCTAGGCTGGTGCCAAAGTTTGTTCCCATGCCCACTTTCTTCTCTTCCCCCTCCCACCTTTATACACATCATATCCAGGTTTCATCTCCCCCATATTCTGCCTAATAAAAGCCCATTATATCATTCATTTCCCACTCATTTCTTCATTCCAACCAAGATATATTGTGCATTTAATGTGCATCAGGAACTGTGCTAGGTGCTGGGGCAGTTAAAAAGAAAAACAAACCCTGGTCCCTGCCCTTGAGGAGATCACAGTCTAGCAGGAGAGATGAACACAAACAATAATTACAAACATTGTGATAAGGGCTATGGTAGATTTAATAGCCACGTCCAGGAAAGGTGGAAGGCTTGACGTTGAAGGGGACCTCTGAGTGGGATCTTGAACCCTGAATTGGTGTTCACCAAGCTACCAAGAGGAGAAAAGGTATTCCAAGCCTGGGAAGTGAATTGGTGTAGCTAGGAGAGAAGTCAAGGCCAACCTTGTCAAACTTCTTATCCCAGTAAAGTGGGAGTCTGTGAAGCCGACTGCCCTGAGCTGGGGCCTTCTCCTTAGTGCTGCTGAATTTAGTCTAGATCATGGTACCTCCTCCTGTAAGTTCCAAGATTCTTCACCCTCCACAGACTATTAATACCTACTTGGAAGTATCACTCTCTCCAGCCCACAGATGAATCCTGAATGTTCTTCCTTCCTCTCATTCCCATCCCATATTTTTTGGGTAAAAGTTGTACCCATCTTTTTTTGGGAAAAGCTGTAGTTAAAAATTTTCTATTTTCCCCTACTTTTAAAACTGATCTGTCCCTCCCAACCCTATCCCCACTGGAAAGAGAACATCTCCCTAAAATTCTAGATCTCAAGGGATAACTTTAGTTATAACATTTTGCACAATTTTCCAATTTTTTTGTAAATACATAAATTTATTAATTTTTAAAATAAAAATGGGCCCAGGCTAGGTGGCTCATACCTGCAACCCCAGCACTTTGGGAGGCTGAGGCAGGTGGATCACTTGAGTTCAAGAGTTCGAGCCCAGCGAACGACTTCAAGGTTCGCCAGTCAACATGGCGAAACCTTGTCTCTACTAAAAATACAAAAATTAGCTGGGCGTGGTAGCAGGCGCCTGTAAACCCAGCTACTTGGGAGGCTGCGGCAGGAGAATCACTTGAACCTGGGAGGTGGCAGCTGCAGTGAGCCAAGCGACCACGCCACTGCACTCTAGCCTTGGTGACAGAGCGAGACTGTCTCAAAAAAACCCCAAAACAAAAAACAAAAACAGAAAAAAAAAATGGGATCCTAATACTATTAGTTTGTAACATTTTTCCCCTTACCAAAATGAGCTGTAGATCTGTTAATGTCAATATATATAGATTTACATCCTTCTTGTAAATGTTGAATATAATTCCAATGATGAGATATACATTAACTTACCTAACTTCTCTTCTGTTTGTAGACATTCGGTAATGTTTCTAAGTTTTTAGTATTATAAACAACACTCTAGTAAACAAATATTCATATATATGTATATAAGCAATTGTGAAAGATATCTGTAGGATAAATTCTTGGAGGTGGAAATGCTAGGCCACAGGTAAGAAAAGTTTTGGTTTTGATACTGCCAAATTCCTCTTCCAAGTTACTGTACTGACTTACACCCAAATCCACATATATGGGCCCATCTCTCCACATCTTTCCAACACTAGAACATCTCAATTCTTTTTCACCATTGCCAGCTGGATTTAAAAAAACACATACATTGTTTCAATTTCAATTTGTATTTCTTTTTAAGTTTTAATTTAATTTTTTTTTTTTTTTTTTTTAGAGACAGGGTCTTGCTCTGTCACCCAGGCTGGAGTGCAGTGGCACAATCATAGCTCACTGCAGCCTCAACCTCCTAGGCTCAAGTGATCCTCCTGCCTCAGCCTCCCAAACAGCTAAGACTACAAGCGTGCACCAGCATGTCAGGCTAATTTTTATTTTTATTTTTTGTAGAGACAGGGTCTCACTATGCTGCCCAGGCTGGTCTTGAACTCTTGGCCTCAAGCATTTCTTTGCATTTACTAGCCAAATTTTTTTTACTCTTTTTTTTGAGACGGAGTCTCGCTCTGTCGCCCAGGCTGGAGTGCAATGGCGCGATCTCGGCTCACCGCAAGCTCCGCCTCCCAGGTTCATGCCATTCTCCTGCCTCAGCCTCCTGAGTAGCTGGGACCACAGGCGCACGCCACCGTGCCCGGCTAATTTTTTATTATTATTATTATTTTTAGTAGAGACGATGTTTCACCATGTTAGCCAGGATGGTCTAGATCTCCTGACCTCATGATCCACCCGCCTTGGCCTCCCAAAGTGCTGGGACTACAGGCGTGAGCCACGGCACCCAGCCATTCTTTTTACTTTTTAAAGTTACTTTTCTTTTATTGACTTGTTGCAAATATCTGCCTCATTTTATCCCTTATTTTTTAACCTTATGCTTTCTTTTGCTTTAATTTTTATGTAGTCAAAGCTATGACTCTTTTCCTTTACGGTCTCTTTATTTGCTTACTTAGAAAGGCCTCCTCTACCCCTAAAATTATAATAATAGTTTCCTTCATTTCTGTCTAACACTTCAATGGTCTTTTATCTTCAGATCTTTAATCTCCCTGGAATTTACTTTTGAGTTTGATATGAGGTAAGGATTTATTTTTTTCCCAATTGGATAACCAGTCATCCTTAGGTATTTATTGACTAATACATCTTTTCACATTTGATCAGAAATACTTCTTTGATCATATATTAAATTCCCACATATATACACATGCTTGCTTGTCTCTGGAATCTATTTTCTTGGTAATCTTATTGTCAGGGAAATCCGCCATGTCATATCTCTACCATATTTTGTCACTTTGCCCAATATATAACCCCCTTTGCTCACTTCTGGTCCTGCACTTCTATTTTTATACATGTTGCTTCCTCTTCTCCACCAGACCACCTGTGTACTACATATCATTCACCTTGTAAACCCTCTGAGATCTTGTTGTGTAGTTACTTAATTACTCAGCCTCTTCTACTTCCTCCCTAACTGAAGCCTGGCTCTCCCCAGGAATACCACACACCACTTCCCCTACAACATGCTCTGAGAGGCAGCCACTTCCCACATCATAGGGTTGAGATATGGGGCTGCTTCTGGGTCATCCATTCCACCACCACCAAGTAATAAAACACCTTTCTTCTGTGGTTCATGTCATCCAGCTGTTAAATCTTCAGCTCTCCTTGTTACAACACTCTGTAGCTTCCTGATCACTTCTTTATTCACTTAATTTTTTTTTTTTTTTGAGATGGAGTCCTCCTCTGTTGCCCAGGCTGGGGTGCAGTGGCGCGATCTCAGCTCACTGCAATCTCCGCCTCCCAGGCTCAAGTGATCCTCCTACCTCAGCCTCCTAAGTAGCTGGGATTACAGGTGTGCACCACCACACCTGGCTAATTTTTCTATTTTTACAAATTAGACGGGGTTTCACCACATTAGCCAAGCTGGTCTCGAACTCCTGACCTCAAGTGATCCCACAGCCTCAGCCTCCCAAAGTGCTGGGATTACAGGTGTGAGCCACCATGCCCAACCTTATTTACTTAATACTTTGGATCCTGTTGCCCAGTATTCCTCTCCACCTCAAGGCTGGCTATTATCCTAGATGATTTTCACACCCAAGAGGAAGAACTAACCCATGTTCTGGCTTAGCAGTCATCCAACAACATCCTCCTCCTCCTCCTCAACCACCCTCCTGTGGTTGCCTTTTGGACCTTCTTCTCCTCGGAAGTGTTCAAACTCATTCTCCCAAGCTCTAGTACTACATAGCTAACTGTTTGCTTGATACCTCATAGTCAACACGTCAAAATCAAATTTACTTTTCATGATTCTCACTCTACCTCTCAACCTCTTAATTTCACTGTTTTTTTTTTGTTTTGTTTTTTGAGATGGAGTTTCACTCCTGTTGCCCAGGCTGGAGTGCAGTGGCGCACTCTCGGCTCACTGCAACCTCCACCTCCTGGATTCAAGCGATTCTGCTGCCTCAGCCTCCAGAGTAGCTGGGATTACAGGAATGCACCACTATGCCCAGCTAATTTTGTATTTTCAGTAGAGATGGGGTTTCTCCATGTTGGTCAGACTGGTCTCGAACTCTCGACCTCAGGTAATCCACCTGCCTCAGCCTCCCAAAGTGCTGGGATTACAGGTGTGAGCCACCACGACCACCAATTTAGCTCTTTTTACTCCTTCCCTTCCTCTCCTACTATTTTCCCTATCTTTGTTAATGGCAGCACGAGTGAATGAGAGCCAACATTCAAACTGCTAAGTCAGAAATCTGGGAGTCATCCTCAGCACCCTTTCCCTCCAACCTAACTCCCACTTCCAAGCAGCCACCTCCTAAATCTCTCTTCAGTCTTTCTAGTTTTCTCTGTCCTTACAGCCATCAACCCAACTTCAGCCACTACTCTCTCTTATCTAGACCACTGTTGGCAGCCTTTTAACTGGGTTTCCTGCCTCTAATCCCACTCTACAGCAAGCCCCAATGTAGCTAGAGTTTAGTCACATCACTTATCCTGTTGACTGGACTTTACTGGCCTTCTTTGACCTTAGGATAAAGCTCCATTCCTTACCAGGGCTTATTAGGCCATTTCATGACCTTTCCATCTATCACCTCTTTAGCTTCAGAACTTGCTGATCCACCCTAGAGTTGTGTACTTCAGCTAGACACCTTGAGTTCCTTGAATATGGCATGAAGGCTTCTCGCCTGTAGGCCTTTTCCACGCGCAGTTCTTTCTATGCGGAATACTATCTTCACCCCCACTAACTTCTACTTTTAGATCTCCTTCAACAGCTCTCTAGGAAAGCCTTTTCAATGTGCACTTTCTCCTTTTCCCCCCATACACTTAGGTCAGGTGTTCCTCTTCTGCACTCCCAAAGTACCTTGTGCTTCAGTTATCATAGAAAAATATCACACTCTGTCTGTATCCCCACTTCCAGAAACTGTAAATTCTTTAAGGACGGGGAAGTTCAATTTAATATTCCTTGGACCTAGTACTATTGACAATTAAAGTTACTTAATAAATACTACCTGTACTAAGAATAGATGGGAGGAAGGAAGAAATGCTACTGGAATCTGGTAACAATGGGCCAGGGATCAAAATATTCATAACCTGAGTGCTTATGAGTAACTAGATGTTAGAAGTTACTACCTATTTGAAGTAATTAACACTAAGATGTGATTAGAGCTTAATCCTGCCAGAGGCCAGTAGTTTTCCAAATTGCTAACTGGACTGACAAAGACGTGTATGAGTATATTACAAGACTGTACAGTGACAAAAGCAAAATTTATGCATGACTGGAATTTCTGCTCCATCCCTACAAGCTGTGTAACCCTGGGCATGTTACTTAGCCTCTATGTCTCCATTCTCAAAGATTGGGATAACACTGACCTCACAGAGCTGTTTATGAAGATTAAAGGGCAATAACATACATCAAGTGCCAGACAATAAATGCTAGTTTCCTTCCGTGTTCTACTTCCCTTTTCCCAATAAGACAGTTTTGCCCCAGCAAACCTCGACTCTCTCATTTGGCCAGAGGAGTCCTGGGGCAGGGTCTCCTATGGCAAAGCCACACTCTAGGAGCAGCTTCCCTGAAGGGTTTTTCATGAGCCTCTTATAGGAGACTGAAGGCTTCACTACTGTGAGATGCCATTCTGTATATGAACAGGCTGACACTTCAAAATACAAGAGGGACATGGCCTTAGAACTCTGAATCTCCCCCAACCTAGGACTGCAGCTCCAGGCAAAACAACAAAGCCACTAATGTGGAATCCTAGTTACAACAAGGACAAGGTTGAACAAACAGTAAGTAGTTAAACTTTTCATGCATAACAGTGTACCTAGTAAGGCATCTCTCTTACCCCCTCAATCCCAAGAGCTTTACAAAAGAAGGGGAAGGCTGCTTAATGACAGCTGACAAACACCCATACGTCCTGTATTTTTGAGTATACGCTTCCACAGAAAGGAGCTCTACACCACACCCAAGCCTAACCAGCCTCAAGATGTGGACACAACAATAGCATACAGCAGTTGGCTGGGGATCAGGGCTGAGTGTGTGGCCAGGAAGCTTAAGCAAATGCCACAGCTTGAAACAGGAACAAAGGACAAGAAGAGAGAAGACTCAAGTTCCTGACCCAATAATGGGTTTTATTCATTACAGCCAGGAATACAGAAGAAAATATAATCCATTTCTGTATTACAATGGACTGTAAACATGTAAACCTTGAGACAGCTCACACCACAGAAAACTCTTCACACATACACCTCTCTGACCCCTACAGACCCAACCTCCTTTCTTCAGCTGACTTTGTTGTCAGTGGCTCCAAAAAGGTCATGGAACCTCTTGAGGATGATGCAAATTGACTCTATTTTATCACTTATTTTCAGGACCAGTAGAAGAAATTTAGGAAACTGCAGAAACATAAGAGTGATCCCTTTCTTTTGTTTTTGTTTCTAGGTTTTTGTTTGTTTGTTTGTTTGTTTGAGACAAGGTCTGGCTCTGTTGTCCAGGCTGGAGTGCAATGACACGATCTCAGCTAACTGCAACCTCCACCTCCTGAGCTCAAGCCATCCTCCCACCTCAGCCTCTGGAGTAGCTGGGACTATAGGCATGAGACACCATGCCCAGCTTTATTTCTTAAAAGAAGTACTGGTAAGGCTGTAAAACTCCTTTCCCTCTATATAACAACAGGAAAGGGATTGAGGCTTATGCCTTGAACAGGCTAAGAAACAGACAACATGCCCTAGCATGAGACGGTTAAAAACAAACAACAACAAAACGACAAGGTATCCATTGTCAAAAACCTTCCAATGCTATGCTTCTCGCTCCTGTTTGGAGGTAAGGAACTGGGGTAGAAGGAAATGGAAGGAAAGGCATCTCTGGGGCTTGGACTTTTAATTTTTATTGTTTTATTTTTAAAATCACCAAGTTCTTCCCACTATTATACCCTCCCTTAAAGACTGAAAAAACATTCATAACTATTTTCTTGTTATCCTCGGAAATGTCTGGAAGGCAGGCAGAGTTAAAAAAAAAAAAAAAAAAAAGGAAGTAGCAGCAACAGCTTGGAAATTAGGCAATTAGTCTGAAGGCACAGAGTTAAGGGGTTAATAAACACTTTCTCAGCTGACTCCTGAATGAATCATGTTCCACATCCTGAGTCCTCCAATGTATACTGTGTTCAAACAGAATATCCAAAGCAGGGGAACACCTACAGCTCACAGAAATAAAACTCAAATTTTTCATAAACCAGGCCCAGGCTACCCACATACACCTTGATCAAGTTTAGCTTCTTGGACTCAGTACTATACAGGGATACTAGAAAAGTATCATGCTTTAGGTAATAAATGGTGGCTCACACCTGTAATCTCAGCACTCGGGGAGGCCGAGACAAGAGGATCGCTTGAAGCCAGGGGTTCAAGACCAGCCTGGGCAACACAGTAAGACCCCCATCTCTACAAAATGCAAAAAATAAAAAAATTAGCTGGGTGCGGTGGCATGCGTCTGTAGTCCTAGCTACTCATCAGTGAGGCGGGAAGACTGCTTGAGTCCTGGAGTTCGAGGTTGCTGTAAGCCGTGATCACACCACTGCACTCCAGTCTGAATGACAGAGAAAGACCTGTTTCTTAAAAAAAAAAAGAAAGAAAAGAAAAGAAAAAAACAGGGCTGTGAGAAGAGAGGCTGGTGGAAGACTGCAGGCCAAGCTAATCTAGGCCCTGGGATTCAAAATGAAATATGACACTTATTTTGCCCTTCAACTAAAAACTGTGCTTCTGCCATCACCTTCTTTCTAAAGACAATTTATTCATCACTGTATTTCTCCTATGTATCCCTCGTTCTCCAGAAACCCCTTCATGAGAAAAAGTAATTCTACTACAAAACCTTCTTCCCGTGTTGTTTTCTTCCTCTTTGCTTTTAAAACAATAAACTTAGTGGCAATCATCTTTGGCAGGAATATGCCTTGTCTTTGCCGTGGGAAAGGTTAAAGTATAGTTAGCCGCTAGCCCAATTAAAGTGGAGAGAACTAATCGGCCTTATTCTTTCTCCCCAGCCCAGCTGCTTGACCTTATCTGTTTCCCTCCTAGATGCAATCCCAATGCATCTCTCACTGCATGCTGAGTTAAGAGCAGCACGAGTTGGGATCACACAATAAGCAGCATAGTGTGATTATCCTTTGCCTGGAATCACACACTTACACTCCAAATTGGTAACCTGAAAGGAAAGGTAATCCTCAATGAAAACCTGCAAATCATATCTTTTTGATGATCTTCTCAGACCTGTAATCCCAACACTTTGGGTGGCTGAAGCAGGCAGAGTGGTTGAGCCCAGGGGTTCGAGACCAGCTGGGGCAACATGGTGGTACTCCATCTCTACAAAAATTAGCTATGCACCTGTAGTCCCAGCTACTCAAGAGGCTGAGATGGGAGGACAGCTTGAGCCTCGGAGGTCGAGGCTGCAGTGGGCTGTGTTTGTGCCACTGCACTCCAGACTGGGTGACAAAATAAGACCCTGTCTCTAAAAGAAAAAAAAAAAAAAAAAAAAAAGAAAACAAAACCCAAACCCATAAAGCCTTCTTACAAATGTTTACACAAAGTAGCTCTTTAACGTTAATATATTTTACAAATAATTACTACATATCTACAACGTTCCAGATACAGAAGAAATGGCCAAAGAAGGTATTTTAGGAGATCCAGATTATAATGAACTATGCCATTTATTAATTTAGTCACTTCTTTAATATCTGAGGATGAGCAAATCAAATACTGATAATGGCTGCAGAAGGACACAGGCTCTTATATAATAATCTTACTTCCATTCCAGAATAAAAGGGCTGGAGAAGGGGGGCAGGATTATTCTGTTGAAGGACAATGGCATCCTCAGCAACTCACAGGGATGTGCAGGTGAACATCAGACCAGGATGGGAACCTTATAATATCTATGATATACTATGGCTTCTATCAACCAGTTTCAGGAAAAGCAAAGAAGAATGCAGTCATGGCCAGGTGCAGTGGCTCACACCTGTAATCTTGAGGTGGGCAGATCACATGAGGCCAGGAGTTCGAGACCAGTCTGGCCAACGTGGTGAAACCCCATCGCTACTAAACCCCGTCTCTACTAAAAAATAAAAAATTAGCCAGGCATGGTGGTGGGTGCCTGAATTCCCAGCTACTTGGGAGGCTGAGGCAGGATAATCACTTGAACCCAGGAGGTGGAGGTTGCAGTGAGTCAAAATCACACCACTGCATTCCAGCCTGGGCAACAGAGCAAGACTCCATCTCAAAAAAAAAAAAAAAATGCAGTCTAATGGCAGAATTAGACTTAGCCACTTTACTTGGAAAAATTTGGACTTTATCAGCTCCATCAAGCACCATGCTCCACACCATGCTTATTAAATGTCTGGAGCAACATTAGATGGGTGCCATTCCAAATTCCAAATAATCACATCTTTGCTTTGCAAACAGGATGTGGCTTAATAATCAAACAGGGAACTAGATTCATTCAAGTATCTAGTTCCTAAAATAAGTCTATTTAACAGGTTCAACAACATGCAACACACACCCTCCAATTGGTAGAAACACCTCTCAATGACAAAGAAAGGTGGCAAATACTAAACACCTTCACAGACCATTTAGCAACTGGTGGGACTAACCCTTGAAGGTGAATTCAAAATAGAACTGAACCTCAATACCAGACTTCTTTTTCAGAAAAGGGAGTATGAATTCTTAGTTTCAGGTTCAGACAAAAACCAGAAGTTGTATTGCATTAGGAAAAACACTGGGCTGGTCAGGTGGCTCATTCCACCCTGTAATCCCAGGACTTTGGTAGGCCAAAGCAGGGGGATCACTTGAGCTCAGGAATTGGAGACCAGCTTGGGCAACATGGCGAAACCCCATCTACAGAAAATACAAAAATTAGCCAGGTGTGGTGGCATGCTCCTGTGGTCCCAGCTACTCAGGAGGCTGAGGTGGGAGAATTGCTTGAGACCGGGAGGCAGAGGTTGCAGTGAGCCAAGATTGTGCCACTGAACTCCAGCCTAGGTGACTAAGCAAGATTCTGTCTCAAAAAAACAAAAACAAACAAACAAACAAAACCTACTGGCCCAGAGCCTACAAATAAGTTGTTTGGAGGAAGAGGATGGAAATCTGTTAGTTAAGATTTAACCTGCATATGTTGCCTTCTTTACTAAAATCAGACTCATAAAGAAATGTATTCTGGCTTCAGCCTTGTTGGTATTGCTCTACCTCTATTTGTTTCCCATGCTATTGCTTCATCCTTGTTTCTGCAGAACTAGGATTTTAGCTCAAAGTCACCTAAAAGCCTCCACAGGAAACTACATTCCAAAGGGAAGACTCCATGGGAAGAGCAATAGAGAAAGAAGTTACTTTTAAGTCTTTGGTAATGTTCACCCAACCCAGTTTTCATTTTCTCTCAATGGACAAGAACCCTCAACTAATAAAGCTAATGAACTTACAGGAAGGTAATATATGGAAATAAACATCTTATTGAATTTATCTGGCTCTAAATCTCTTTTGTTAGGGAATTTATAGTATTCCATTATCTTACAATCTCTCCATTTCTATCTACTTGATTAAACTATGGTGCTATAGCAATGGAGGTGAAGGCCTAATTTAGAAGTATAGGAATTAGGTATGGCGCGGTGGCTCATGCCTGTAATCTCAGCACTTTGGGAGGCTGAGGTGGGTGGATCACTTGAGGCCAGGAGTTTGAGACCAGCCTGGCCAACATGGTGAAACCCCATCTCTACTAAAAATACAAAAATTAGCTGGGCGTGGTGGCAAGCACGTGTAGTCCCACCTACTCGGGAGGCTGAGGCAGGAGAATCGCTTGAACCCAGGAGGCGGAGGCTGCAGTGAGCCAAGATCGTATCACTGCACTCAGCCTCAGTGTAGGCTGAGTGATAAAGCGAGACTCCGTCTCAAAAAAAAAAAAAAAAAGGAAAGGAATTATTCTCATGTATACAATAGTAGGAAACAACCTATAAAGCTTTTGAGAATCTTATAATTCACTGTGTACCTCCCTCTGTTTCATATTTTCGCAATTGAACTATAGAGCCTAGGCCTAGGTCTTAAGACTTTTCTTGTAACCTTCAGAGTGCCCAGCACTGGGATTGACATATACCAGTTAGACGGATTTTTTTTTCCATAAACCAGGCTCAAACTCTTCTAAACCAAAATCAACATATTCTGAGTGCCAATCTTGGGTAAGGCACTCTATTATTTGTCATGAAGGATTCAGAGGAAAATGTGATCTACCACACTCAACAGCAGGCCTCTTATCCTCTCCAGCTTAATGCATTTTACCAGTTAAGGACTACCCTGATGCTGAGATTGTGTTTCTTTCCCCAAATCAAATGTCACTCTCTAAGGGTCATCTGTATAATTAAATGCTTTTAATTCTATATATCAAATGATAACTTTTGTGAAAGTAATTTAAACACACTTGAAACATCATATAAAATATTACTACAAGACTTAACCGTAAATGTGGCTCCCACCCCCATAACATCTATACAATATAACCAAAGAGCTAGATTCCAGATTATCAAGAAACTTCTAAATTTTGAACCCATGCAGCAGAATTGTATTCCTTTACATTGTTGGCTCGACTTACAAATGTGCTGTGGAATAATTATCCTCAAATACAATTTTCAGTACTGATTACATAGCTGCCTAAAAGAAAACTGTTAGCCCCTTCCATTTTATGTGAAACCAATGTCTAAAGCGCTCTTGACTCTTCAACCCCACATTTTCCCCACCCTCATCCCTCCTCAATCCCCAGCCCCCACTCATCACATCCACTAGACCTGAACTTTGAACTCAATCATAATTCTTTGTGCCTCTGCTCAAGCCCTTCTTCCTGCCTGGAATACCCTCTTTTCAGTCCCGGCTAATTACATCTACCATCCCATTCCAAGTGGCCGCTGGAAACTCACTTCCTTATGTTCTATGATTTCTTTCACAATTTACACTTTTTTTGTTTTGTTTTGTTTTGTTTGGGGGGGGGGGTTGTTTTTCTGAGAGGGAGTCTTGCTCTGTTGCCCAGGCTGGAGTGCAGTGGCGCGATCTCAGCTCACCACAACCTCCACCTCATGGGTTCAACCGATTCTCCTGCCTCAGCATCCCGAGTAGCTGGGACTACAGGCGCGCGCCGCCACGCCTGGCTAATTTTTTGTGTTTTTGGTAGAGACGGGGTTTCACTATGTTGGCCGGGCTGGTCTCGAACTCCTGACCTCGTGATCCGCCCGCCAAACATTCTATGTGCCAGAAACTTGTATGTAACTTTGCATAGTTCTTGTATTATGTCTCCCCAATTTTGAGTGTTTTCTCTGGTCTCTACTCAGCCCTTGCTCACAGTCTCACTAGGACCCTGGCTAGCTTGAACACGGTCAGAAGGATCACCTTAGATTTCTGCTGGCACAGTATTTTCCATAAATTAATCTCCTGATTGAACCGTAGTCCTATAGTAGTTATCTTTGGATGAAAACCTAATGCAGCTCGAGGAGGAAGTGGAGTGCCTGTGATCAGAGGGCTGGACAAAAGCCCATAGGGCGTCTCTGGAGCCCTGGGGGAACTGTCCCCAGGCAGGCACTCTCAGGGCCCAGGAACAGGGCGGGACAAGTCCGACTCACCTGTGAGGTAAGGACGGGGCCAAGACCCGGAACCGAAAAGCAGGTCACGATAGCGCTGGAAGGCCTCGTCGAGGACTGAGCAGCCGGGCTGCGCGGCCGAGCTGACATCGTACTGGAATTGAAAGTTGTTCGGGTAAAGGACGTAGCGCTGGTCGGAGGTTTGGAAGTTCTGAGGCCAGGGCCAGAGGGCCGTCGCCCGTCCTGCGAACGCTGCCGCCAGCAGCAGCGAAAACCAAAGCCTGGAGCTTGTCATGGCCCGCTGGTCTCCCCTCTCGGAGGGGGCTGGCCACGTGAGACCCTGGTCAGGTGAGCGGCGCCCCCGTGACTTATCGGCGAATCACGTGACCAGAGGCGGCTCTGCGCCTGCGACCCCAGGAGGACCCACACCCTGCCCTTTCACTTCCGGCCTGGACCTGAGGCTCCTGCTACGTGCAGCGGATTGTGCCGGGCGTCGGCAACTGCTCGGCTCGCCAGACTGTTCACGGGCCCAGTAGAGCAGTAAATAACCGGCCACCCCTGCGGCCGTGCCGGCCGTGATGGAACTAGACAGCTCACCCGACTCGAGAAGAACGGGGTGGGGAGGCGAGGACGCAGGGCGACCTGGAGAAGAAAGTTTCCCAGATGGCTCTAGGGTGAATCTTGAATGTTGTGATGCAGCTCGCCAGGCCTACGGGGAGGTAAAGGACTTGCCAGGCTGAAGTAACTTCAGAAGCAGAAAAACGGAGGATTAAAACCACAAGTCGTTGTGATGTGAAATTTCGTGGGGCAAGAAAGGGCCGGAAGTAGGTAGTCTGCACGGCTCTGCTAGAGAGAGGATCACAAGATCACACAAATGTGATCTACTTATGACTGGAAAAAATGTGTACTTTCAGAGCCAGCTTGAGGCATTCCATTGCCTCCAATATGAGCTCTTCCCTTCAAGATTGACTATAAATCTCTTAGTTACAACTCACATCCCCTTTCCCCAGACAAAACCCCACATAGCCCGGTGTGTATTTACTGAAAGCAGTAAGATATTGCTGGGGCTTTGGGTGCAAGATGGAGAGTGCTCAGAGATAATGACAGGGGCCTGGTCCTGCAGGGCCTTACGTAGAAAGTCAAGGAATTTATTCTCTGAGCAATTGAAAATCATCCCGAAAGATCTGCATTTTAGAAATACCATGTTGAGTAGTTGCATAAGAAACCAGTTAGGAGGCCCCTTTTTATTGGAGGTAGAGAATAATGAGAGACTGAACTACAGAAGTGGGGAAGGAAGACAGCTGTAGATCCAAGAAATAGTATCCGGAAGAGAGGCTTGAGAAGTGATCAAGGAGAATTCCACAGTTATCAGAGACCCTGTCTTCCTTGTTCACCACTATATTACCAGAACATAATACAAATAATGCTATTGTTATTGGGTGGCATTATTTGGTTAGTAGGTACTTTTTAAAATTTTTAAATTTAATTTTAGTATTAAAATACATGTAAAGATCAGGAAAATGAACTTTTAAAAATAAAGGGCTTTCACTGGGCATGATAACACATCCCTGTAGTCCCAGCTACTCCCAGCTATTCAGGAGGCTGAGGCGGCAGGATCACTTGAACCAAGGAGTTCAAGTTTAGCCTGGGCAGTATAGTGAAACCCTTTCTCAAAAACAAATAAAGGGCTACTGAAATAATGATAATTTATATTCAGGTCGTAGGTACCTAATTACTAGTTACACATACATGGCTTTGATGGGAAATCAAAGAAACATTCTGACAATACAGAGATTCATCAAGCAATTTGTCTTTGAAAGTTGATTATTCAAAAACAGAGCTTGTAGCAAAAGAAGCAGAAATTAGATCCCACAGTCATCAAGTTTCAGATCCTAAGGCTTGCATTCTTACACCAATTTCTTCTTTGCTTAAATCTTAATTTTCATCAGCATTAATTAAGTGTCTGGGTACTCTGCCAGTCAGGAGAGATGTTACCAAAGGTACAGGATTTGAGAAGTATTGTCAGAAGAGCCAAGTTCATAATCAGGCCCACAGGATCAATAATTTGGGGGAGTGTTTAGAGCAGTTTCAAAGATGAGAGCAGTAGATCAAAGTAGAATTTCAGGACTGAGCACATGCCAAGGCACCCTTTTATGGATATTCAACCTGTACCAGAAGGGAGGAGTCATTTACTTAAAAGAGTTACACAAGATGAAAGAGCTAGATCCAAATAAAGACGCTATAAAAATTACTAATGGGGCTGAGCATGGTGGATTACAGGGATTCAGTTATTTAATTATTACTGAAAGAGCTCTTTTAGACTTAACCAGATTTTTAAACCAAATATTCTTATGCATACATAAAAGTAAGTTACACAAGATAAATTTGTTGATCTTCCAAAATATCCCCCCTTACTATACACTAGAGTGGGGTTTTGGCATAATGGCAGACAAATAGATGGAACGGAATAGAGGGTCCAGGAAAAGAGCCATTTGATTATTACTCCATTTCAATGAAGACACCAATTTAATTTAGTGGGGAAGGCAAGTTATTTTCAATAAAAGGTGATGAAGAAAATAGATATCCCTATGTGGGAAAAATGAACTATGATCCCCTACCTCACAGCATACACAAACTTAATTAAAAATGGATCACAGGCTGGGGATGGTGGCTCACACCTGCAATTCCAGCACTGTGGAAGGCCAAGATGGGAGGATCACTTGAGCCCAGGAGTTCAAGATCAGCATGGGTAATACGAGGAAATCCCATCTCTCTTTATTTTTTTCTTTTTTGAGATGGGGGTGGTTAATGGGTACAAAAAAAGTAGCCTGAATAAGACATACTATTCGAGAGCACAATAGGGTGACTATAGTCAATAATAATTGTATATTTTAAAAGAGTGTAACTGGATTGTTTATAACTCAAAGGATAAATGATTGAGGGTATGGATAACCCCATTCTCCATGATGTGCTTATTTCACATTGGATGCCTATATCAAAACATCTCAGGTACCCCATAAATATATACACCTACTATATACCAAAAAAACTTAAAATTAAAATTAGACTGGGTATGGTAGCTCATGCCTTAATCCCAGCACTTTGGGAGGCTGAGGCGGGTGAATCACTTCAGGTCAGGAGTTTGAGATCAGCCTGGCCAACACGGTGAAACCCCATCTCTACTAAAAATACAAAAATTAGTGTGGTGGCAGGCACCTGTAATCCCAGCTACTTGGGAGGCTGAGGCAGGAGGGTCACTTGAACCTGGGAGGCAGAGGTTGCAGTGAGCCAAGATCACGCTACTGCACTTCAGCCTGGGTGGAGGTTCTGTCTCAAAAAAAATTAAATTTAAATTTAAAAATGAATAAACAGTTTTTAACAATATGAATTATTTAAATTAGTATATATACAACATTGCCATCAATTTGGACAGTAGATGAATATAAAAAATAATAACATACTGTATATAATATTTGATGGTTTTTCTTTTTTTTCTAGTTGTCAAATGATCCTTTATTGAAATATTTTCCTTTGTGCTTAACTAGCTGGGCATTCCACAGCACCACTGTTGATGTCATCTATGATGTCATGAGGGTGCTGGCCATCAACATTACAGCCCACAGACTGGGCAGTCCCCAGGATCTCTTTAATGGTTCCAGAGAGTTCTCTGGCTAAGGATCAGTGCCGCATCTGTTGAGCAATGTTGACGATCTCATCAAAAGTGATATTCCCACTGTGTTTAATGTTTTTCTGTTTCTTTCTCTCTCGGTGGTTCTTTGAGGGCTTTGATGATCAGAGCAGAGGCAGAAGGCACCACCTCAATCTGGGCCTGTCTGTTCTGAGTGGTTAGTTTCACTGTAATCCTCAGGCCCTTCCAGTCACCCGTTGCCTTGGCAATGTCATCACCAACCTTTTTTGGAGACAGACCCAGGGGGCCGATCTTGGGGGCCAGGGCAGAAGTGGCACCGACTTCACCTCCAGTGCACCTCAGGTATACAACTTTGATCTCGTTGGGGTCAAACTTTGGCGGCATGGTGGAGGCAGCTGGTGTCGAATGAACCCGGATTCGGGATGACCGAAGAAAGTTGCACCTTGGCCTCCTCCGAGCCAAAAGCTGAGAGCTATTTTTTCTTTATTAAAGGCAGCTTGTTAAATGAATAAAAACATGATTTAATTTTCATATCTATAGCTTCTAATAAAATTAATTTACATATCAGAAAAATAATTCACTGTCAGACAATGTGTTCAGGTTTTTGGCTCATAAATTAAGGGATCAGAAAGAAGCAGGAAATAAATAATTTGCCTCAGGAAGTCTTTTACAATGGAGGTGAACTTTGAATTGACTCCCAAAGCATGAGTTAGCCAGGCAGGGAAGGGGAGCATAGGCAAAGCACAGAGATGTGAAAGAGATGACATATTGAACAAAGGGTTTATGGGGCTAGCAAAAGAAAATGTGCCACGATTACCTCACTTCCTGGTCCTCTACCATACTCTCTTCTCTCTGCAATGCCTTTCCCACTTTCCAATCCCTCCACCTACTTGAAGGTCTAAACTTATATTTTACCATCCTGGAAATTTCTGACTTCTCAAATCTGGGTAAGATCCCCCTCTGTGATCTCATAACTCTCTGAGTTAATCTCATGTATCTGAAAGTACAGTTGACCCTTGAACAACGTGGGTTTGAACTGCACTAGTCCATCTATACACAGATATTATGCAGCCAAAGGCAGATGGAAAACACAGTGTTCTTGGGATGCAAACCCCATGGATATGGAGGACCATATGCAGGACTTGAGTATGTGCGGAGTATATGCAGATTTTGGTATCCTTGGAAGGTTGGGGACGTGGGGGAGGCGGTTCCTGGAACCAATCCCTTGAGTATACCAGGGTATGGCTCTATTGTTATTGTTTGTCCATTTGTCTGTCTGTTCCACTACAGTAAGAGCTTCTTAAGGGCAGGTTCTGTGTTCACTAGCCCCTGGAACAGTGTCTAGCACACAGTAAATGCTCTTTAGCATGACTTTATTCATTTTAAGAGTATTTCTTGGCCAGGCACGGTGGTTCACGCCTGCAATCCCAGCAGGTTAGGGTCTGAAACTCGTGGGCTCAAGTGACTCTCCCACCTCAGTTTCTCAAAGTGTTGGGATTACAGGCATGAGCCACTGCGCCTGGCCTAGTATTTCTTGAATCTCCTACTGGTGTGCTGAGACAGCCAGCCCCTCAATCCTTGGGGTGGTAGGGCCTGGGGCAGCTAGACATCCTGGCGAGTCACCTGCAGTCAAGAGCAGTCTCTTCCTGTGTGTGCTGTGATGTGTGGAAGGGGAAACATCATCTCCTCTTGGGTACTTTTGTATAGTACCCTCATTATAGCCTCTTTACTTGTCCATGTCCTCCACAGCCCACATGCTGAATGAATGGTACCTTTTTCACAATTGTATCCTTACTGCCTAAGCCAGGACTCTGCACACAGTAAGTGTTCAGCAAGTACTTGTTGAATGAATGCATGAAAGAGGAAGCATTTGTGTTAAATTTTGAAAGAGTTTGAATTTCAATGTGTAAAGGAAAAGAGCAGTCTATAGAGGGGGACCACAATCTAGAAGGATAACTCTATGTAACTTGTTCACTTTAGGATCTCCAGGTTCTGGAAGAGTGCCTGGCACATAGCAGACACTTAATGAATATTTTCTGGATGCATACAATGAAATGGCAAATGAACCTAGGCAGAGATCTCCAAAGCATCTGGAGAGATACCAGGGAAGTAAGCAATTCTGTCTGGCTAGAACAAACAGTGCATGAAGAGAAATACTAACAGAAGGAATGTAAGGAATGTTAGAAAGTAGGTTGAGGCCAGGCGCTGTGGCTCACACCTGTAATCCCAGCACTTTGGGAGGCTGAGGCGGGTGGATCACGAGGTCAGGAGATCGAAACCATCCTGGCTAACATGGTGAAACCCCGTCTCTACTAAAAATACAAAAAATTAGCCGGCCATGGTGGCGGGCGCCTGTAGTCCCAGCTTTTCGGGAGGCTGAGGCAGGAGAATGACGTGAACCCGGGAGGCAGAGGTTGCAGTGAGCCGAGATCGTGCCACTGCACTCCAGCCTGCACTACAGAGCAAGACTCCATCTCAAAAAAAAAAAAAAAAAAAAAAAAAAGAAAGTAGGTTGAAACTGGATTGTAAAGTAAGGAAAGTAGGAAATTGAGTGAGGCACCAGACATATGTTGTCTTATTTATCTCTCACAACAGCTGTGTGAAAATGAGTCTTAGCTACATTGTACAGGTGAGGTAATTGACTCTGAGAATTAAAATAACCTGACCCAAGTCCCATGTAATTGTCAGAACCAATGTTTGGACCCAGGTCTTCTGTCCCAAAGTTCATTTCTTTTTATATCTATCACAGTTCCTTGAAAGCTAGGCTGCAGATTGTATTGAGATTTTACTCTTGAGTCCATGGGAAGCGAGAGAAACTTCTTTAGTTGAGGAACAACAAGGTCAGAGCTAAGATTCACTAAGATTAATCTGTTAACGTATGTAGGAGAGATTGAATGGGAAAGCCAAGTGCAGGGAGATTATCTCTGAGACTGTTAACTAAGAGTTTAACCTGACCATCCTCATGTGCTATGGGACTCAGAAAGTGTAGACTCAAATTCACTTGGGACTGATGGTTTCATTTCTCTTCTCCCACACTAGGTGGCCAGACCAGCAAGACTTAAGCTTTGTTTAACTTGTCAATGTTTACAGAAGTGCAGGTTGCCAAAATTCTCTCTGCACCCTGACTCCCACTCCCTTTTTTAATTTTTTATTTTATTTTTTGAAATGGAGTCTTGCTCTGTTGCCCAGGCCGGAGTGCAGTGGCTCAATCAGCTCACTGCAACCGCCGCTTCCTGGGTTCAAGTGATTCTCCTGCCACAGCATCCTGCATAGCTGGGATTACAGGCGCCCACCACCACCCACGGCTAATTTTTGCATTTTTAGTAGAGACAGGGTTTTGCCATGTTGGCCAGGCTGGTCTCAAACTCCTGACCTCAAGTAATCCACCCACCTCAGCCTCCCAAAGTATGAGGATTACAGACATGAGCCACTGCGCCCGGCCACCTTTATTTTTTATTAAAAAAGTTTTTTTAGAGACAGAATCTCCCTCTGTTGCCCAGGCTGGTGTTCAGTGGTGCAGTGGCACAATCAGCTCACTGCAATCTCAAACTCCTGGGCTCAAGGGATCCTCCCACATCAGCCTCCCAAGTAGCTGGGACTACAGGCACATGCTACCACACCAGGCTAATTTTTAAAGTTTTTGTAGAGATGGGGTCTCCCTATGTTGCCCAGGCTGGTCTCAAACTCCGGGGCTCAAGCGATCCTCCTGCCTCAGGCTTCCAAAGTGCTGCGATTATAGGTGTGCGCCACTGGCCCAGCCATCCTGACACTCTTTAAATCCATTCCATTTCACATGCCTCTGCTTCTCCTTTTTCCTGTTGCCTCCAAGCTCTTCCCTTCCTATTTCTAGATTTACAAAACTCTATCCAATTTATCACTACTGAACATATACAATTTTCTGTAGGGTTTCTAAAAATGTGTCCAGGGCCCAGTGTGGTGGCTCATGCCTGTAATCCCAGCACTTTGGGAGGCTGAGGCAGGAGGATTACTTGAGCCCAGCAGTTCGAGACCAGCCTGAGCAACACAGGGAGACCCCATCTCTACCTCTACCAAAAAGAAAATGTTGTGTCCAGTTTCCCTTCTTTTTTAGCCCAATCCCCTCCTGTCTTCTAGTTTTATAATTATCCTAGTTATCTTATTCAGGTTTACTCACTAAGTCTTAGCAGACTTTCCTAAATCTAGACATACACCCCTTACAATAACTGGCTTTGTCCTATATCCATCCGATCCGAGGCTATAAATAGACCTTTCTTTTCTTTTCTTGTCTGTAGAGACTTGCTGTACTTTTTAAGGATCTTGCTCTGTTGCCCTGGCTGGTCTTGAACTCCTAACCTCAAGCAATCCTCCCTCTTAGGCCTCCCAAAGTGCTGGAATGACAGTTGTGAGCCACCACACCCAGCCAGACTTTCATTTATGGCCTGAATTTTTTACAAAGGTTTTTCTGTGTGTCATAAAACTAGAAAAACTAGAGCCCCAAGGGAACTTTCAACAGATCTGAGCTAAAGGAGTGACAGTGGAAAGGAGGCTGTGGGACAAATGCATGTGGGACAAATGCAATAATATTTCAGATATGGAATAATGGAACTCAGCAGCTAACTGGGTGCTGTGGGAATGGGGACAAAGGAAAGGGGAGAGGAAAAGATGTGAGGGTGTACCAGCTTGGAAAGGAAAAGAGCATGACTTTAGTCATTCGTTTAAGGATTATTTCTTTTTTCTTTCCCTTCTTTCTCTCTTTTTTTTTTTTTTGAGACAGGATCTCTGTTGCCCTGACTGGAGTGCAGTGGCACCATCACAGCTCACTACATTTCCCCACGGAATGATGGTGTACTGGCTCAGTACAAATGGAAGAGCAGATATTGGGAAAAGAGGATGAGCTCTGAGACATGCTTTTTGAGGGATTTTTTTTTGGAGACGGAGTCTTGCTCTGTCGCCCAACCTGGAGTACAGTGGCACAACCTTGGCTCACTGCAACCTCCACCTCTCAGGTTCAAGCGATTCTCCTGTCTCAGCCTCCCAAGTAGCTGAGATTACAGGTGCACGCCACCACGCCTGGCTAATTTTTGTATTTTTAGCAGAGACGGGGTTTCACCACGTTGGCCGAGCTGGTCTTGAACTCCTGACCTCAGGTGATCCACCCACCTCGGCCTCCCAAGATGCTGGGATTACAGGCGTGAGCCACTGCACCTGGCCTGTTTTGAGGGATTTTAACAGACAATTAGGATGTCCAGCAGAGCTGAGATTGGTGGCTCACCAGAGAGCTTTAAGAGTCACCTGCCCAGAGATAACAGTTGAAATCATGAAAATGTATGATATAGTCAAGGGAAAATGGGAAAAGGGAAAGTTAGCTAAAAATTAGAGGTAAAGATGAGAGAGGTTTGTGAGAGACAAGAGAACAGGGGAGAGATGGTGGCTAGTAGAGTAGACTCAGATCAGAGGTGGTGTTGATGAAGGGAAAGGCAAGAAAGGACCTTTTCAAGGTCTCCTCAACATCAGGAGGACATTCAGCCTCTACATCAGGGGTCCCCAGCCCCCGGGCCATGGACTGGTACTGGTCTGTGGTCTATTAGGAACCGGGCCTCACAGCAGGAGGTGATCAGAGGACCAGCGGGAATTACTGCCTGAGCTCCACCTCCTGTCAGATCAGCAGCAGCATTAGATTGTCATTGGAGTGGGAATCCTATTGTGAACTGCATATGTGAGGGATCTAGGTTGCACACTCCTTATGAGAATCTAATGCCTGATGATCTTAGGTGGAACAGTTTCATCCCGAAACCATCCCAACTCATTCTCCCCCTCCCCACCCCCCACCCATTCCATGAAAAACTGTCTTCCACAAAACCAGTTCCTGGTACCAAGAAGGTTGGGGACCGCTGCTCTACACTACTGTCGGAGTTTTATTTATCTAAATTGTATTTCTGATCAAGTCATCTTCCTTCTCCAGAACTTTTAATGGCTATGGAATGCTATCAGGATGAAATCCACTGTTATGATCAGAGCCTTTTGCTTGCAAGGAATAGAGACTTACGTTATTTCGGGAAAACAGAAGTCTATGAAAGGGATATACAGAGCAAACCCAGAAAAGCACAAAACCAAATTTCAAAAAGAGCAGAAGTCAAGGGCCTGGCTACTCTCTCATCTCCCTCTCTCTCTCAGTGTTCTTCTATTCCTCTCAGAACGTCCGATCAGTTTTCCTCTTTGCTTGTCAGCTACTTCAACTGCCTTATAACCTCTATTTCCTCCTGACTGGAGTGTTGCACAAGACATGTAATGGCCACCTCAGCCCTATTCCATCTAATGTTCCAGCTCCAGGGCCCTCTCATTCTCCCATCTATGCCAGTGGTGATCCTACTGTCCTCCAAAGCTCTGTGCAAATCAAGATTGTTCTGATTCCCCCAGTCAGAGTTAATCCCTCCATTGTAATTCCATAGTCTGGGTTCCACAAGTACAGCTCTTACCACAGCCAAACTCGTGTTGTGATTAATTATGCATGTTCAGCACTCCCATGTATCTAGGAAGGCACATGCCATATCTTAGCTCTTTTTTTTTTTTTTTTTTTGAGATGAAGTCTTGCTCTGTCACCCAGGCTGGAGTGCAATGGCACCATATCGGCTTACTGCAACCTCCACCTCCTGGGTTCAAGCGATTCTCCTGCCTCAGCCTCCTGAGTAGCTCGGATTACAGGCACCCGCTACTACACCAGGCTAAGTTTTGTATTTTTAGTAGAGACAGGGTTTCACCATGTTAGTCAGGCTGGCCTCGAACTCCTGACCTCAGGTGATCCACCTGCCTCGGCCTCCCAAAGTGCTGGGATTATAGGCATGAGCCACTGTGCCTGGCCATACCTTAGCTCTTTTAACTGGCTTTATCATACCACTGTAATGGTATACACACACACATATATGTGTGTGTATGTATATATATATATATATATATGCAGTATGTATGCTAATTATAAGCTATTCCTATGAATTTACATATCAGATCCCTTAAAAGGCTGTTTTTTAATCTGTGTGATGATGGTGTTGATTAAAACATATATAAAATTTCTTCCAGATCCATGATTTTATTTTGTTAGAAAAAATTAACACACCTTCAGCAGTCACATTTTAAAATAACATTTAAACTATTATTTTTTCTATAGTGTACTAGGCTGAGAGCCTTAGAGATCTATAGATATAAAATGAAATAGCAACTGTCCTTCATTCTGTCTTCAAGATATTTTTCCCCCAATGAAACTTTAGGGATATTTGTATCCATATCTCCATTGCAGGCCAGTAGAATAAGAAGAACAAAACTAATGACTTGCATGCAACTCCTAACACTTGAGGGTTTTAGACCTTTTACAAATAAGGGACAACAGGATTGGACCCATTTTAGGGACACAAAGTTACACTCAAGATAGAAAATGACTCAAGATATACCTTGGAAACCTTGCTAGTGCTAGGCCACACAGGGTGATGCCCTCAGCAACTTTTTTTTTTTTTTTTTGAGGCAGAGTCTTACTCTGTTGCCCAGGCTGGAGTGCAGTGGCACAATCTTGGCTCACTGCAACCTCCACCTCCTGGACTCAAGCAATCCTGCCATCTCACCCTGCCGGTAGCTGGGACTATAGGTGTGCACCACCATACCCAGCTAATTTTTGTATTTTTAATAGAGACAGTCTTTCACTATGTTGGCCAGGCTGGTCTCAAACGCCTGGCCTCAAGTGATCTGCCTACCTTGACCTCCTAAAGCACTAGGATTACAGACATGAGTCACTGCAACTGGCTGTCCTCAGCATCTTTATGAAAATGCATTGAGTAGGCATCAGTTGGGCACAGTGCTGAGAAAGGCACTAACAATAAAAATAAGGAATTAAAAGATTTCTCTCTGGCGTTATAAAGAAGGAAATGCTATTAAAAGAAGGAAAATATGTGATGTGTGTTTTCATCTGTATTAGCATAGACTATGTCTCAAAGCACATATATGCAACCGGTGCCTCTGGAGAGGGATATTGGGTGGGTAAAGCATAAGATGGCAGGGGGACTTCCTGTATATCCTTTTGTGTGTTTCATATTTTGTACTATGTAAATATGTTCCACCTATAACATTTTTTAGTTTTTTAAAAAAGTCTATGTCATTTCCTTTAATTCTCACAATAATGCCTCGAGGAATGTATTGTTAATATCCCCTTTACCATGGCAGCTGTTTGATTAGGGCTCTTCCCACTTTAAGCTTATATCAAGGTTGGCTAAACTCATGGAAAAACATCAGAAGTCCCATCCAGGGTTAGACCAAGAGTCCAGGGCCCCGATATTGGGATTTTTAGATCAAAATTGGACAAATTTATAGGCATATGACAGCTCTATGGGGTTTAAGGCCCTTTTAGTGGGGACTCCTTCTGCCTAGACTATATCCTCCTGCCCCAGGCATCCTGAGAGCTGCTTCAGACTAGGATTATCTTGAGTCTAACCTGGTCCCTTAGACCTCATTCCTAGAGAGGTGATGGTGATACATTTTATGGCAGGGCTGCTCATGTTGACCAAATCCACAAAAATAATCTGAAATCCCCTGAAGGGAGGTGGGACAATGATGAAATGGAGTATATAAATCCTTCACAGAAAGTGATTCAGATCTTATGTTATTTTGCACTGGAATTTCCCAGTGGGCCTTGCTCACTCCTTGCCTTCTTCCCATTCTCTTCCTGCTTGAGTCCTCTATATCTTATTTTCCTTCCTTGACTAATAGCCAGGCTACACCCTCCAGGAACCCCAGAGCACAGATCCCTGTAACATTTCTGTCCTTTGGCCATCCACTAACATTTGGCTTCATAAAATGTTAGTGACATATTACTGTGATACAGGTTTCCAAAACACACAATTCACTGATGCTAGGAGTGGACTCTTCAGTGGTAAGAGCACAGTCTAAATGTCTTACCTCTGTTGGAGTGCCTTTTGGATCTTTCTCTTAGATTCCTTTTTTTTTTTTTTTTTTTTTTTGAGTCGGAGTCCCACTCTGTTGTCCAGGCTAGAGTGCAGTGGCATGATCTTGAGTCACTGCAGCCTCCGCATCCTGGGTTCAAGTGATTCTCATGCCTCAGCCTCCCGAGTAGCTGGAATTACAGGCACACGCCACCAAGCCTGGCTAGTTTTTGTATTTTTAGTAGAGATGGGATTTTGCCATGTTGACCAGACTGGTCTCAAACTCCTGACCTCAGGTGAGGGAACTGAGAACCAGTGAGGTGAAGTGCTGTTCCTCAAGAGTAAGGATAGAATCCTATTTATTGTGGTACTTCCAGCACCTAGCACAGTGCCAGGTACCTAGTGGGTGCTCAATAAATATTTGTCAAATGAAAAAATTTTTTCCTTGTTGTACATAGTATAGTGCTTTGCATGCCAATACATTTTTAAATTGAAATTATTTGATCCAGGTCGAATGCAGCCAAAGGGTGGCAGGGCTGGAAACAGACCACAGATGTGTGGCCATCCTGACAAGGGCTCTCATTACCACACTGGAACTGTGCCTCTGGAAATGCCTACAATCATCTAGCCCCCTTGAGTTTGGAGTTTTTTGTTGGTTTGTTTTGTTTTTTTTGATGGAGTCTTGCTCTGTCGCCCAGGCTGGAGTGCAGTGGTGTGATCTCGGCTCACTGCAATGCTATGTTGCCCAGGCTGCAGTGCAGTGGCACAATCATGGCTCACTGCAGCCTCAACCTCCTGGATTCAAGTGATCCTCCCATCTCAGCCTCCCAAATCACTAGGACCAAAGGTGCACACCACCACACCCAGCTAATTTTTTTTTAAATTTTTAGTAGAAATGAGGTCTCACTATGTTGCCCAGGCTGGCCCCCTTGACATTGAATGCAGTTTAATCATGGAGCTTTCCGTGCCTACATCCTTTTCTTAGCCCACTGCCTTATTCCAGAAAGGAATGATAATTGGATTTGAAGGTGCATGGCCAACTTTCAATTAACCCTAGAACTGGAAAGAAGCAGTGATGCGAATAATCTAAGAGTCACTGTGTTTGGCCAGTGGTGTTCCTCCCCGGTAGTAGCTGACTGACTTATTTTCCTAAAGAAAGTTTGCTTAGGGGAGTATTAAAAATCCATTAACCTTCCTTGAGTTTACATTAGCCAGACAGTGGCAGGAGGCCAGGGGAAAGATAAAGCATTGTTCAGAGCCAATAAGTGAACATACAAGTAACTATGAAGTGATTATAGCTCTAACCATGAAGACAAAGGTCAAAGAAATAGTGATTCTTCCCATTGTGATAAACGATGTTATGTAATATAAGAATGTTCCAAAAATGAGAAAGATTCTTTGCATTCTAGGTGCAAAAGATTAAATACTTGATGTTCTTGTCAGAGATCTTTTAGTTGCAAGGAAGAGAACGCCAAGTAGCTCAAGAGTGAGGAGTTTATCATCTTTACAAGCACCTAGAAGTAAATTTAACTATAGCAATGGTCAAATGGGCTAGAATGCCTTATTAGGAACCAAAGCTACCTGTTGATCTCTCAGGACCCACCCTTCTCTCAACCCTTTTCCTGCATCTGCTTCATTCTCCTGTTATTTCCAATTCGTTCTCTTAGTGTTCCAGTGTTCCCAAAGAGAAAATTTGGTTGGCCCAGCTAGGAAGAGATGTCATTCTTGAGCCAAACATTAAAGACGCATACTGTAGGCTGGGTGTGGTGACTCACGCCTATAATCCGAGCACTTTGGGAGGCCGAGGCAGGTGGATCACTTGAGGTCAGGAGTTTGAGACCAGCCTGGCCAACATGGTGAAACCCTGTCTGTACTAAAAAAAATACAAAAATTAGCCAGGTGTGGTGGTGTGTGCCTGTAGTCCCAGCTACTCTGGAGGCTGAGGCAGGAGAATTGCTTGAACCGGGAAGGCAGAGGTTGCAGTGACCCCAGATCACACCACTGCATTTCAGCCTGGGCAACAGAGCAAGGCTCTGTCTCAAAAAAAAAAAAAAAAAGTTAAAGACACAAACTACAGATAAGAATGGTAGGGTCATCTAATCCATAGACGATCAAAGCTCCGTCTTTGAGCAGGTGCTAGGGAGGGGAACAGATTCACTTAGAAAAGGATATGGGACAGGCAATGACTGTCATTTATTTATTGTAAAAGCAACATGTATTTATTTTGAAAAATTTAAACACCACAATATTGTGTGTAGAAAGTATGACTCTCAGTTCACCAACTCAGCTATGTAGAAATTACAAGTGTTTTCTACAACAAATTAATTTCTAACTTCATGACCCAAGTCCCCAATCTGCTGGGCTACAGGGAAATGTCACCACAGTCCTTCCTGATGTTTACGCATTTCCCAGGGCTTATTTCGCACTCTTGAGCCCTTTATGGTGCCAAGAGGCCATATAGAAGCCTGAAAGATAAAGACTACCATCACTTTAGCACATATATCTGTTTATGTATGTATGACATAGTATGCATGGTTCTTTCTTTTTTTTCTTTTTTTTTTTCTTTTTGAGATGGAGTCTTGCTCTGTCTCCCAGGCGCCCATGCAGTGGCACAATCTCAGCTTACTGCAACCTCTGCCTCCTGGGTTCAAGCCGTTCTTTGCCTCAGCCTCCCGAATAGCTGGGATTACAGGCACCCGCCACCACGCTTGGCTAATTTTTGTATTTTTAGTAGAGATGGGGTTTCACCATGTTGGCCAAGCTGGTCTTGAACTCCTGATCTTGTGATCCACCCACCTTGGCCTTCCAAAGTGGTGGGATTACAGGTGTGAGCCACCACGCCTGGCTGGTTATTTCTATGTATGACCATCGTTTTCTTTTCTTTTCTTCTTTTCTTTCTTTTTATTTGAGACAGGGTCTTGTTCTCTCGCCCAGGCTGGAGTGCAGTGGCGCAATCACTGCTCACTGCAGCCTCGACATCCCAGGCTCAAGTGATCCTCCCACCTCAGCCTCCCAAATAGCTGAGACTATGCCTGGCTAATTTTTGTATTTTTAGCAGAGACAGGGTTTCGCCACGTTGCACAGGCTGGTCTTGAACTTCCATGTTCAAGAGATCTGCTTGCCTTGGCCCCACAAGCTGTTGGGCTTATAGGCATGAGCCATGGCGCCCAGCATATTTTCTCTCTTTCTTTCTGTTTTTTTTTTTTTTTTTTTTTTTTTTGAGATGGAGTTTCGCTCTTGTTGCCCAGGCTGGAGTACAATGGCACGATCTCAGCTCACTGCAAGCTCCGCCTCCCGGGTTCAAGTGATTCTCCTGCCTCAGCCTCCCGAGTAGCTGGGATTACAGGCAAGCGCCACCACGCCCAGCTAATTTTATATTTTTAGTAGAGACGGGGTTTCTCCATGTTGGTCAGGCTGGTCTCAAACTCCCGACCTCAGGTGATCTGCCCACCTCGGCCTCCCAAAGTGCTGGGATTACAAGCATGAGCCACCGTGCCCAGCCCAGCCCCACTATTTTCTATATACACACATTTATAATCCTTCAAAACAAAAAATCAGGGCGTGATGTAACCACTATTTTGTAAATTTTTCAGTTGATAATATATTAGGGGCGTCTTTTCATGTGCACCTATAAAGAGCTAACAGTCTATTTTTATTTCATTTTTATTATTTATCTGTTTGAGACAGGATCTCACTCTGTCACCCAGGCTGGAATGTAGTGGCATAAACACGGCTCATTGAATCCTCGACCTCCCTGGCCCAAGCAATCTTCCCACCTCAGTCCCCCCAGTAGCTGGGACCTCAGACATGCGCCACCACACCTGGCTAACTTTTTTTTTTTTTTTTTTTTTGTAGAGATGGGGTTTCACCATGTTGCCCAGGCTGGTCTTGAACTTCTGGGCTCAAGCGATTTGCCTCCAGCCTCCCAAAGTGCTGGAATTACAGGGGTGAGCCACTGTGCCAGGACTATTTTTTATTTTACCAAGTGGAGAAAAAACTAACAAGAATAGGAACAACCTGAATATTATTGATAATTTTAATGTGATAGATTTAGAATCTTATATTCTACACAAATATATTTAAAACTTTATACTTTACACATTGTTTTTATATTTTATTTATTTTTTATTTTTTTTACACATTGTCTTTAAATGCCTAAAGGACGTTTAGGAAAACTGGCTAAATGACAAATGTTACTAAATTCCAAAAGGAAAAGAGTTCTTGTAGGACATGTTATTTGACCATAATATATTAAAACTAAAAAAAAAAATCTAAACATGTGGATATATTTTTAAAATTCTAGATTATTCTTGGCTTGAGTATATAAACAAATACTCCTAGCAGTATATTAAAGAATAATGTACTATGTTCATAAATACGTTATTAGAGGAATGTAAAATTAGATAAATGTTAAGAAATGTATCAATGAAATTTTTACACTAAATAGATTAAAGAAGAAAAGCCATATTCTAGAGGCTAAGAGGGAATTTGATACAGCCATTCTAAATTTTAAAATCTTGATAAAATAGAAATGGAATGGAACTTCTTTAACACAGAAATGAATACACAAATAGACAAAGACCAATAAAGCCAGTTCCATTAAAGTCAAGAGTAATATAACGATGTCCACCACCCTTAATACTTCATGAGGACTATTCTAAAGGGTCTAATCAATGCAATATGACTTTTTTTTTTTTTTAGATGGAGGCTTGCTCTGTTGCCTAGGCTGGAATGCAGTGGTGTGGTCTTGGCTCACTACAACCTCTGCCCCCCAGGTGCAAGCGTTTCTCCTGCTTCAGCCTCCTGAGTAGCTGGGATTGCAGGTGCATGCCACCACACCCAGCTAATTTTTTTTTGTATTTTTAGTAGAGACAGGGTTTCACCATGTTGGCCAGGCTGGTCTCGAATGCCTGACCTCAAGTGATCCACCTGCCTCGGCCTCCCAAAGTGTTAGATTACAGGCATGAGCCACCGTGCCTGGCCAGTGCAATATGACATATTTTGTAAAGGGAGAAACAGAATGATCATCATTTGCAGATGATAGGATGTTTACCTAGAAAATCTAAGAGAAATTGGCCAATAGAATGATTAGAATTTAAATAATTCAGTCAAATGATCAGATAAAAGGTAAATACATTGAAAAAATAATTTATTCATTAGCAATAACAAATCAGAAAATAAAGTGAAAAAATGTGATTCAGAAAGCAAGTAGGTTAATGTATATAAAGCACCTAGCACAGTTCCTGGTAGATGGGAGGTTATAGAAATAAGCTGTAATAATCTTAGTTATTGATTTTATAGATTTTAGGGATGAAATTACTGAGACAAAAGATGCAAACATTTTTAAGCTTCTTGATTCATATATTCAAATTATTCTTTTTTTTTCTTTTTTTTTTTTTTGAGACAGAGTTTCGCTTTTGTTGCCCAGGCTGGAGTGCGATGGTGTGATCTCAGCTCACTGCAACCTCCACCTCCCAGGATCCAGCAATTCTCCTGCCTCAGCCTCCCAAGTAGCTGGAGTTACAGGCACCTGCCACCATGCCCAGCTAATTTTTATATTTTTAGTAGAGATGGGGTTTTGCCACGTTGATCAGGCTGATCTCAAACTCCTGACCTCAAGGGATCTGCCCGCCTTGGCCTCCCAGAGTGCTGGGATTACAGGTATGAACCACCACATGCGGCCTCTTTTAACTTTTAGTTGAAGTATAACATGCATATAGATACTTTGGGAGGTTGAGGCAGGCAGATCACTTGAGGTCAGGAGTTCAAGCCCAGCCTGGTCAACAGAGTGAAATCTCATCTTTGCTAAAAATACAAAAATTAGCCGGGCATGGTGGCAGGCACCTGTAGTTCCAGCTACTTGGGAGACTGAGGCAGGAGAATTGCTTCAACCTGGGAGGCAGAGGTTGCAGTGAGCCGAGATCACACCACAACTCTCCAGCCTAGGTGACAGAGAAAGACTCTGCCTCAATAAAGAAAAAACAAAACAAAACAAAACAAAAAAACATGCATATAGAAAAATTGTGCATACAGAAAGCTGGTCATCAGTGTACAGATCGAGAATGAAACTTTATAGTACTCCAAGAGCTCTTCGCATGTCTCCTTCCAATACCTAGCCATCTTCCTCCCCAGAGTGTTTCTGACTTCTAACAACACAGATTAGTTTTGCCTGTTTTGCACTTCATATGAATAGAATCATACATGTGTACTCTTTTGTGTTTGGATTCTTTTGCTCAGCATTATATAGAAAAGATTCATCCCTCTTTGCTCAGGTGGTTGTAGATTACTCGTATTGCTGTATAGTATTTCATTGTATAACTAGACTGCAATCTTCCATTCTTCTGTTGATGGGCATTTGGGTAGTTTTGAATTTGGGGCTATTATGGAGTGCTGCTGTGAGCATGCTGATACATGTCCTTTGGGGGCCATATGGAACATTTTGAACCCAGCACTGCTATGGTATCTTGAAGAGCAGTGGCTTTTAGCACATTGGCTTATAGTCTTCTGGGCTATAGATACTGGCATATTCATAGTGGGCCCTGTCAGCAGTGGCAGTGGTATAGCAGCACCCTTAAATGGCTTCATGAGTAGAGGACATTGAAAAGAGGGAACCAGAGCCAAAAAGGGAGAAAAAGATGGACGCTGTATGAAGGACCATGACTGACAGACTGGTTCATGAGCCTATTGAGACAAACCTGGCATGAACTCCAGGCTACTGGCTACTGATAGGGATATAATTTTAAATTATAACCACAACCAATAGAGTTCTAGAGACATCTGAGTTGCCCCCTTTTTAAATTTTTATTTTAAGTTCAGGGGTACATGTGCAGATTTGTTATATAGGTAAACCCATGTCATGGGGGTTTGTTGTACAGATTTCATCACCCAGGTATTAAGCCTAGTACTTATTCGTTATTTGTCCTGACTCTCTCCCTTCTCCCACCCCCCACCCTCCGATAGGCCCCAGTGTCTGTTGTTCCCCTCTATGTGTCCATGTTCCCACTGATAAGTAGGAACATGCAGTATTTGGTTTTCTGTTCCTGCATTAGTTTGCTAAGGATAATGGCCTCCAGCTCCACCCATCTTCCTGCAAAGCACATGATCTTGTTCTTTTTATAGCTGCATAGTATTCCATGGTGGATATGTGCCACATTTTCTTTATCCAGTCTACGATTGGTGGGAATTTATGTTGATTCCATGTCTTTGCTATTGTGAATAGTGCTTCAGTGAACATACATGTGCATGTGTCTCTATGATAGAATGATTTCTATCCCTTTGGGCATATACCCAAAAATGGGATTGCTGGGTCAAATGGTAGTTCTTTCTGTCTTCATGTCTTTGAGGAATCATCACACTGCTTTCCACAATGTTTGAATTAATAATTTACACTCCCATCAACAGTGTATGTGTTCCTTTTTCTCCACAACCTCGCCACAGTCTGTTATTTTTTTGACTTTTTATAGTAGCCATTCTGACTGGTGTGAGATGGTATCTCATTGTGGTTTTAATTTCTCTAATGATCTGCCCCTCTTTCCACGGTCTCCCTCTCCCTCTCCCTCTCTTTCCACGGTCTCCCTCTCCCTCTCCCTCTCCCCTCTTTCCACGGTCTCCCTCTCCCTCTCCCCTCTTTCCACGGTCTCCCTCTCCCTCTCTTTCCACAGTCTCCCTCTCATGCCGAGCCGAAGCTGGACTGTGCTGCTGCCATCTCGGCTCACTGCAACCTCCCTGCCTGATTCTCCTGCCTCAGCCTGCCGAGTGCCTGCAATTGCAGGCGCGCGCCGCCACGCCTGACTGGTTTTCGTATTTTTTTGGTGGAGACGGGGTTTCGCTGTGATGGCCGGGCTGGTCTCCAGCTCCTGACCGCGAGTGATCCGCCAGCCTCGGCCTCCCGAGGTGCCGGGATTGCAGACGGAGTCTCGTTAACTCAGTGCTCAATGGTGCCCAGGCTGGAGTGCAGTGGCGTGATCTCGGCTCGCTACAACCTCCACCTCCCAGCCGCCTGCCTTGGCCTCCCAAAGTGCCGAGATTGCAGCCTCTGCCCGGCCGCCACCCCGTCTGGGAAGTGAGGAGCGTCTCTGCCTGGCCGCCCATCGTCCGGGATGTGAGGAGCCCCTCTGCCTGGCTGCCCAGTCTGGAAAGTGAGGAGTGTCTCTGCCCGGCCGCCATCACACCTAGGAAGTGAGGAGCGCCTCTTCCCGGCCGCTATCCCATCTAGGAAGTGAGGAGCGTCTCTGCCCGGCCGCCCATCGTCTGAGATGTGGGGAGCGCCTCTGCCCTGCTGCCCCGTCTGGGATGTGAGGAGCGCCTCGGCCTGGCCGCGACCCTGTCTGGGAGGTGAGGAGCGTCTCTGCCCAGCTGCCCTGTCTGAGAAGTGAGGAGACCCCCCGCCTGGCAACCGCCCCGTCTGAGAAGTGAGGAGCCCCTCCGCCCTGCTGCCACCCCGTCTGGGAAGTGAGGAGCGTCTCCGCCCAGCAGCCACCCTGTCCGGGAGGGAGGTGGGGGTCAGCCCCCGCCAGGCCAGCCGCCCCGTCCGGGAGGGAGGTGGGGGGTCAGCCCCCCACCCGGCCAGCCGCCCCGTCCGGGAGGTGAGGGGCACCTCTGCCCGGCCGCCCCTACTGGGAAGTGAGGAGCCCTTCTGCCCGGCCAGCAGCCCCGTCCGGGAGGGAGGTGGGGGGTCAGCCCCCTGCCCGGCCAGCCGCCCCGTCCGGGAGGTGAGGGGCGCCTCTGCCCGGCCGCCCCTACTGGGAAGTGAGGAGCCCCTCTGTCCGGCCAGCCGCCCCGTCCGGGAGGGAGGTGGGGGGTCAGCCCCCCGCCCGGCCAGCCGCCCCGTCCGGGAGGTGAGGGGCGCCTCTGCCTGGCCGCCCCTACTGGGAAGTGAGGAGCCCCTCTGCCCGGCCACCACCCCGTCTGGGAGGTGTACCCAACAGCTCATTGAGAACGGGCCATGATGACAATGGCGGTTTTGTGGAATAGAAAAGGGGGAAAGGTGAGAAAAAGAATGAGAAATCGGATGGTTGCTGTGTCTGTGTAGAAAGAAGTAGACATGGGAGACTTTTCATTTTGTTCTGTACTAAGAAAAATTCTTCTGCCTTGGGATCCTGTTGATCTATGACCTTACCCCCAACCCTGTGCTCTCTGAAACATGTGCTGTGTCCACTCAGGGTTAAATGGATTAAGGGCGGTGCAAGATGTGCTTTGTTAAACAGACGCTTGAAGGCAGCATGTTCGTTAAGAGTCATCACCACTCCCTAATCTCAAGTACCCAGGGACACAAACACTCTGCCTAGGAAAACCAGAGACCTTTGTTCACTTGTTTATCTGCTGACCTTCCCTCCACTATTGTCCTATGACCCTGCCAAATCCCCCTCTGCGAGAAACACCCAAGAATGATCAATAAAAAAATAAAAAAATTAAAAAAAAAATACAAAGATTAATTTCTCTAATGATCTGAACATAGAAACCAGCAAAGATTTCATGATGAAGATGCAAAAAGCAATTGCAACAAAAGCAAAAATTGACAAATGGGATCTAATTAAACTAAAGAGCTTCTGCATAGCAAAAGAAACTATCAATAGCGTACACAGAAAACCTACAGAAAGGGAAAATTTTTTTGCAAACTATGCATCTGACAAAGGTCTAATATCCAGCATCTGTAAGGAACTCAAATAAATTTACAAGAAAAAGACAAATAACCCCATTAAAAAGTGGGCAAAGGGCATGAACACTTTTCAAAAGAAGAAACACATGTGGCCAACAAGCATATGAGTTCCCCTTTTTTTATTTGCTATGAGGGAACTGTGTCTTATTTATTTTTGTGTCCCAGAAGCTAGCACAAAGCCTGACACACAGCCACTGCTAACAAAATGTTTGTGGATTTATTTAATAAAAGAGTTGGGAGTAGGTGGAGAATGGAGGGTGGGGAGCATCACACATACATGCACATGCTTAAAATGTGGTGATTTCTTCCTGATCTGACCAGATCAAAAATATAAAACAGAAACAGGATCTATGCCATGGGTCCTGGCCCTTTTTGCTTCTGCCAGCATGTGTGAGGAGATGCAGAGACAAATTCCGTGGCAGTTAGAGAACTAACTGCCAAGATGGAGCGAAGGGAACATTTAACCTTGACTTTCCACAGTCCTGAGGTTCCCAAAATAAAGGGGAACCGGAAATACCAAAGGGTGAGGAGGTATCTAATTGAAAGTCAGATGGGAAGAAGAGAACTTACTTAAAGGCAGGGCTACACAGAGCATCCTAAAGACAGAAAAGATCACCCTGAAAATTGTGGGGTTTTTTTTTTTTAGGAGTAGGGAAAAATATCTATAAATCAAACACACATGGGAATGCTTGAGGTAGAGAAGAGCGGGTGACCCTGGGGATCAGGGGTTATTCTTTCGGGTAGGCAATATTTCCCTCATCCTTGTAGCCTACCGTCCCTGCCAAGAAACATCCAAGTGCCTCGATGTCATGCCAAAGGCAGCAGCAGCTTATGGATCAGGCACACATCTACATCCGAACGCTCTGTGGCAGCCTCTGTAGTTTTAGCCTCCTAATGCTGATCGCCATGTCCCCACTGAACTGGGTACAGTTTCTGGTGATCAAGAATGGCCTTGAGCTCTACGCAGGACTCTGGACCTTATGCAACCATGAGCTGTGCTGGAGCCACACACCCAAGCCACCCTGTGAGTGCCACCGAATTAAATGCCACAGGCCCCACACAATTGCAGAGCTTTCTGCTCACACAAATTGGCCCTTCATGTTTCTTCCTCCAAGATCTTTTGGCCTTCACCTCTCCAAGTGCAGGATGGATCTTTCTTTGGTATCCTCAGTGTGCCCTTTCTCTCTCCTATTCCAGGTTGTTTCCTGTCCTAAATAATGGGTTATACTCTCTTTATGGGAAGAACTGTTTTTGTTTGTTGGTTGGTTTTTCGAGACAGGCTCTTGCTCTAACGCCTAGCCGAAGTGCAAAAGCACTATCATTGCTCACTGCAGCCTCCACCTCCAGGACTCAAGCAATCTTCCTGTTCAACCTCCTGAGTAGGTGGAACTACAGATGTGTGCCAACACTCCTGGCTAATTTTTAATTTTTTTAAATTTTTTTTTCTTTTGTAGAGACAAGTTCTCATTATATTTCCCAGGCTGGTCTCAAAGTCCTGGCCTCAAGTGATCCTCCCAAAGTACCAGGACTATAGGTGTAAGCCACCATGCCTGCCCTAGGAATAACTCATTTACAAGGTGTTACTGCTAAGCAATGTGATTGGTATTCTAATGTGGCTTGCAGAATTAGAAGAGAAGTGATTGATCATAGCTGGAAGATAAAGCAAATATCTTAACCTCTATTAGATTTAACTTTCAAGGTCAGCTTGTTCTTCTCCTAGCAGTGGAATAGAACTTAAATGTACGTTAGATATGTGGTATAACAAATGCCAGCTATGAAGATAATGTTATTTATGTCAAATTTTATGTGAATTTAAATAAATCTGAAAGTGCAACACAAAATATTTTAAAATAAGTTTTTGGGGCTAAAAATAACATATGCATGAATTTTTCAATCAAACCAAAAACTTAGAGGAAAGATATCATTACACTGACAGTTTTCCCATAACCCGCAAGATATACATTTACACAAAGAAGTGGGTATTGTGAAAGAAAACATATGTGAGTAAAGCATCTATTCTCATCACATAAGCAGGGGTCCCATCTATTCTCCTCACATAAGCAGGAGGGGAGCACCTGTGCCCAACTCTGAGGTACAGCATCAGTTGTTTGGCCATGGGCTGTGACATTTGATATTAAGGGACAGTATCCTGCATGATCTTGAGAAGAAACTAAAATCAAAGGCAGACAGACAATTCAACTGCATAAAACGAAAACTAGAGAAAATATTTGCAACAATTATGAAAGATAAAGGTTAATGGCCTTAATATAGTAAAAGGATACACAAAGTATTACAAAGACACAAACTCAAATAAATAAGTTCTTTTTGAACAGACATGCACAAAAGAAGAACTATAACTATCTAATAAACATAGGAAAAATAATTTAACCTCAATCATTAAAGAAAGGTAAATCAAATGAATAACAAGATGTAACTTTTCAACCACCATATTAACAGATTTTTAAATGATAATGCAACTGCTATCACTCCCATACGCATTCCTGTACATGCCATGCAAATTGGTATAACTAAAGCAATATGATTAGGTGTATCCAGAGACTTAAAAATGTTCATCTCCTTTGAGTAAATAATTCCATTTCTAGAAATTAATTCCAAGGAAATAACTAGAAATGGATTAAAAGGTTTAGGCAAAAAGATTAAGCTGCAATCATATTTATGTAACTGGGTGCCCAGGCTAAAATTTCATCCTTAAGATTATTATTTAAATTTTTAATAAATTAGGGCTGGGTGTGGTGACTCACGCCTGTAATCCCAGTGTTACCAGAAAGGGGTCCTGATCCAGACCCCAGGAGAGGGTTCTTGGATCTTGGGCAAGAAAGAATTCAAGATGAGTCCATAGAGTAAAGTGAAAGCAAATTTAAGAAAGTAAAGGAATAAAAGAATGGCTACTCCATAGGAAGAGGAGCCCCGAGGGCTGCTGTTTGCCCATTTTAATGGCTATTTCTTTATTATATGCTAAACAAGGGGTGAATTATATTCATAAGTTTTTGGGGAAAGAGGTGGGCAATTCCCGGAACTAAGGGTTTCTCCCCTTTTTAGACCATATAGGGTAAATTCCTGACATTGCCATGGCATTTGTTAACTGTCATGGCACTGGTGGGAGTGTCTTTTAGTATGCTAATGCATTATAATTCATGTATAATGAGCAGTGAGGATGATCAGAGGTCACTTTTGTTGCCATCTTGGTTTTAGCGGGTTTTGGCTGGCTTCTTTACCACAGCCTGTTTTATCAGCAAGGTCTTTATGACCTGTATTTTGTGCTGACCTCCTATCATTCAGTGACTAAGAATGCCTTAACCTCCTGGGAATGCAGCCCAGTAGGTTTCAGCCTTATTTTAACCAGCCCCTATTCAAGATGGAGTTGTTCTGGTTCAAACACCTCTGATATCAGCACTTTGGAAGGCTGAGGTGGGGGATCACTTGAGCTTAGGAGTTCAAGACCAGCCTGAGCAACAAGGTAAAACCCTGTCTCTACAAAAAATACAAAAATTAGCTGGGCGTGGTAGTGGGCACCTGCAATCCCAGTTACTTGGGAGGCCGAAGTGGAGAGTTGCTTGAGCCTGGGATGCAGAGGTTGTTGTGAGCCGAGATTGAGCTACTGTACTCTAGCCTGGGTGACACAGTGAGACCCTGTCTCAAAAAAGAAAAAAATTAATACATTAGAATCCCGAAATTATGTCACTTAAAGCAGTGAATAGTTTATTTCTTGGAGCCCTGGATTCACCTTTATGCAGATAAAGAAAATCAAGGAAATCAAGCCAGCCTGTCACTCAGATTTTGTGGAGTCACTTTGTCACTCACCTTTGTTTATGCTTTGTTTTATCTCTACAGACTGTAATTATTTAGAGAAAGTCAACTGAATCCTTAAGGTGCATAAGTATAAATCAAGTATCCACCCTATTTTCCATGTTATTATAACTAGCTCTAATTCAAGAGTCAGTAATTAATCTGCAATACAGATCTCATAAGAAATATCCCACAATGTAAGCAAAATGTCCAGGCCTCATCTCCCTGTGACAATATAATGTTATTATTGCCCGAATACATTATTTATTTATTTATTTATCTATTTATTTTTGAGATCGAATCTCATTCTGTCACCCAGGCTGGAGTGCAGTGGCGCGATCTTGGCTCACTGCAACCTCTCCCTCCCGGGTTCAAGCAATTCTCCTGCCTCAGCCTCCCAAGTAGCTGGGATTACAGGTGTGCGCCACTGCACCCAGCTAATTTTTGTGTTTTTAGTAGAGATGGGGTTTCACCATGTTAGCCAGGCAGGTCTTGAACTCCTGATCTCAGGTGATCCGCCTGCCTCGGCCTCCCAAAGTGCTCAGATTACAGGCATGAGCCACTGCACCTGGCCTCCGAATACATTATTGTCTAATAATTACTGTCCAATTCAATGACTTCAAACTTTTACCTACTGGATTGCAAGAATTTCGTTCCCCTCCCTGACAGTTTCCTTTCATAAGTCATTTTCGTAAGTTTCACAGGGGCTATCTCAGGTGTGTTTAAGAATGTGCATGCTCATATTCCTATTCCCTGGGCTCACTTCAGGGTGTTGTGCTTCTGTCTCTGAGTTCACCTGGGTCTAGATGACTGACAGCCTCTCTGTTGTGGCTGTTGCTAATGGGATGAAGAAGGGATGGGGAGGAAAGGACAGTATTCTTCACTTTTACTAGGAAGTCTCAAGTGTAGAACAGACCCTTCTGTTATTTTCCCATAGCACTGGTGAGATCAGGCTGAAATATAAAGGATATATTGCCACAGAGAGTAGTTTGAACTGTTTTGCAGAGCGTGGGAAAGAAAGGGTAAGTCTTTTTGTCAAGGCACTGGGCACCCTAGAGTTAGGACCCTAGGAACAACCATATAGTACACATTGCCAAGCTGTGTAGGGATGCTTTATTCTGGCACTCCAACTGGGTTACGAGGGGACTTAAATACTAAGCAGATTTCATAGATACCTCTTCAGGGTCCTAAGTCTCCACCCAGGATCATTTCCATTCCAAAACCACCCACTTGGGGCACCTCATCTGAGCCTGGAGAAGTTGTATGTTGCCTTCCGTGCCTTGAAAGCGGTCACAATGGCAGCAGCGTGGAAGTTCAGATTTGGCTAAATAAGTGAGCTGATTCCCCAGCTTGTCTCCAGCAACACCACTTTCCAAAAGCTCCCTGGCCAACTTTTACTTCCACAACAGTAGAAGGAGATCCCGCCCATTATTTACAAACTGCCAAATGGTGAACGTTCTCATTTCACTGAGATCTGAGGGGATGCCACAGAACACTACTGCTTTCTGGTTGGGTGATGCCCCCTCCAATCTTGGTAGGGGTTTTACATCTCACCCAATGGTACTCTGAAGTGTAGCATCGCTGACTGATGCTGGGCTGATCCCGAGAACATCTACGAAAATCTTACCAAGTTTTTCAGATGATTTGTACTTCCTCCTCAAATTGAAAGTGACATCCTTTCTCTTCCCAAGGTATTAGTTTCAGTAAGCTGGGAGAAGTGCCTTGGTATTCTTGTAACTTAAGTCTGCATCAAAGTATATCAGTAAGGAAAACATCAAAAATGTTTGGATACAGTTGACCCAGACAGGTGACACAGGGGTGTTCGTTTTATCTCAGGCACTCCTTTTTCCGGACCAAGGCTTCTTACAGAAACATACAAGCAGAGCCTTTTGTGATTTAGATCCTAAGATTTTTGAAACTTTGATGAGTAAGCTGTTGTAAAAACTGTTGTTTAAAAGCTGAAATTAGCTTTGGTGTTACAGGAGATAGAAGCTTGAAATCAGCTTTTGGACATTTATTTATTTAGAGTAATATGAATTAAAAAACTATAAAGTTAACCAAATGCAGATGTCTTAGACTCTGAATATAAGTGTGTAGTTTGTTTATATAATTTGTTGTATATGATTATTCCTAATAGACTTGGTTACTTTGGGAAGGTTAGACTCTTCTATGCTGCACATCTTTAAATTGTTCCTTCAGAGTTGTGAGGATCTTGTTTATGTAGTTTTCAGGAGATGAGAAGGTAACACAGAGAGAATTGTAAGAAATATATAAAGTTGCAGTCTTCTCCTCATGGTAGAAGAGGAACTGGACTTTATATGTTAGGCTGGAGTTGGACAGGAAATATCCTCGACAGTGCTCCTTGGTGTTTTGAATATTAAAATCATTTGAATTAGTGCAAGCTAAAGAGTGAACTTATTTATAAAGATTCAGAAGAATCTGCCAGGTGTGGTGGCTCAAGACTGTAATCCCAGCACTTTGGGAGTCTGAGGTGGGCAGATCGCTTGAGCTCAGGAGTTTGAGACCAGCCTGGGCAACATGGTGAAACCCCACCTCCACCAAAAATACAAAAAATTAGCCAGGTGTGGTAGTGTGCACCTGTGGTCCCAGCTACTCAAGAGGCTGAGGTGGGAGGATAGCTTGAGTCTGGGAGTTGGAGGCTGCAGTGAGTAGAGATCATGCTACTGCACTCCAGCCTGGGTTACAGACTGAGACCCCGTCTCAAAGAAAAAGATAAAGAAAAAAAAATGTGGCTCAGAAGAATAACATAGACTCCCAAGGCAGGAAGTTCGCTGGACCTTAGGGGATTCCAGAGGAGGCTGGGATCTCAGATAAAGAAAATCAAGCCAGCCAGTCACTCAGATTTTCTACAGTCACTTTGTCATTCAGCTTTGTTTATGTTTTGTTTTATCTCTACAGCTCAGTTTTTCCTGTTTATTAGTGTGTAAGTGCCTAAAAGGTGATACCCCGGTCAAACTTTACATCTTCTCAGTTCAAGCAAGCAAAAGAGGAAATCCAATTTCTAAGCATAAGAATAAAATTGTCCCAGGATGGGTCAGGTTCCCATGCTTAGTCCAGGTAGCTATAGTCAGAGGGCTATACAGACAATAGTCAAGGGCTATAGACAAGGGCTGCTAGAGCTCATGGAGGATTGTGGACTAAATACCACAAAGGCTGCCTGTTACCCTGGGCTTCATACAGCTCAATCTGGGCTTATGTTCTGGCTGGCTACATATACTGCTAATTCTGCATAACCCAGTCTTCAGAAAATGTGCAGCTTGTGAATTACTATGTTTTAATGTGGCTCACTTGTTAGGGCTACAGAGCAACTTAACATCTGTGGATAGGGGTGTGGTTTCTCTGAATGGAAATTCCTGCAATTCATCATATTAGTAAGTGGCAGGTTCTGGAGAACAAAATGAAACAAGGAGGCAGATATTAGACTGGATAAGCTTGATACATAATTTCTGCTCTCTGGGTTACTCAGAAGCTGGACTTGGATTCTTAGGCATATAAGTGGTTAGAGAACTTTCTAACCACTGGGGTGGGGGTGAGCTGGTCCCTGCTACACTGGGACAGAAAAAGAAGCTAGATAAGGAGGCACCTTATAAGGGATACTGAAGATATTCCTGGGTGTCTGGTAGCTCAGAAAAGCTATAGCTACTTGTAATTATAAGTTATCTTCTAAATCTTCAGTAAAATATTGATGGGGAAGTCGAAGAACCTGTTCCATCTTAGGGATGTGGTAGCAAAAAGTAAGGTTGAGCATATCCCCGCTGCTCTCTTACCAACATCCAGTCCGCAGTGGCAGAGCCAAAGAGAAGACACCTAGAGCCAAAGATGGAAGAAGGAGAGGTGTGGCACTTGGATAAGAGCAACTTGAACAAATATGAGATAGGACTTTGGGGGACTCTCAGAATAAAAAAAAAGTGGAGGGAAACACTTTGTGGTAAGTTCCTGCAGCTTGGTAAATTGGGGCTTGAAATCATCATAATATGGAATTAAAGTAAATGAGGCTGGGCGAGGTGGCTCACGCCTTTAATCCCAGCACTTTGAGAGGTCAAGGCGGGCAGATCACCTGAGGTCAGGAGTTCAAGACCAGCCTGGCCAACATGGTGAAACCCTGTTTCTACTAAAAAAAAACAAAAATTAGCCAGGCATGGTGGCATGTGCCTGTAATCTCAGCTACTCTGGGTGACAGAATGAGACTCTGTCTCAAAAAAATAATAATAAAATAAAGAAATAGATAAATAAAGTAAATGTGACTTCATTTTGTAGTCATAGGCTGACAAGGCCTGTACATGCCAGATAGAGCTGGAAGTGAAAAACCAATGGAACTAAACAATGGGTAAGTCATTAAGCAAAGTATATTAATATGATAGAATATTTTGTAGCCATCGAAAATAATATTTACAACAGATAATGGGGAAAATCACATCATATATTCTTAAGAAAAAAACCCACATGATATCTAGTATCATATCTACTATGTACAGAGGGTAGAAAAATAAAATATTAACAATGGTTGCCTCTAGGTAGTCAAATTGTGGCTAATTTTTTTCCTGCTTCTTTGTTCTTTTGTAGTCTTTTGAATACTTATGTTGAACGCGTATTACTTACTACTTTTAGAATTAGAATTAGAAACAAGAAAAAGGTTTAATCTGTTTTGTCATTGGTGACACCTTTTATAAGCTAGTTTATATCTAAATCAATGCATGCAGAAGTATTTGTATATTATCTTTAGTTTAACAATCATAGTAAAGAAATTCCAAGCAAAAAGGATGTCATGTAGCAAGCTCTGCTCCATCATCCTTTGTTCTTAAATCCTTCTCTAAGACTCTATCTGGCCTTTTTAAGGGAAGGTCCCTCACTGGACTAACCACGGTCTTCCTTTCCTCTTCTTCATGCAGATTATCTCCAATATTCCAGGGCCTTCTTTCTCATCTCTGTCTTTACCATACTTACTGGCCTTGGCTGGCTCTTCAGCTCTTGGATCCTTAATCGAGGAAGCATGACCACCAACTTGGATCTGAAGGTATCCATGCTCAGCTTCATCTCAGGTACAGACCTAGACTGGCAGGGTATTTTACCATGGTAAAATAGTCAAGGTAACAAATTTTCTCTGTGGAACTCTCATACTCTTTTTCTTATCTCTTTGCTCTTCTTCAGTATCACACCAACTTGCCAGCTATCTGCCTTATCTAATTATATAGAACACACCTTAGCTGACTTTACCAGGGTATAGAGCCTTTCTCTCATCTTGGTCAGTCCCCAGGTTTTTATCTTTTTGATCCTCGCTATACATATGGCCTCTGGAGGCCAAAGAGCTGGGGGTGGCGGGGAAGACAGACTGAAGATGCTGATGGGTTGTGACATCTTTCCTTCTGGTCCTAGCTACCTGCTTGCTCCTCTGCCTCAACCTGTTTGTGGCACAGGTTCACTGGCATACTAGGGATGCCATGGAGTCAGATCTCCTATGGACCTATTATCTTAACTGGTGCAGTGACATCTTTTACATGTTTGCTGGTGAGTCACTTCCCTGCTCTATGCTAGAAGGATGGATAGGGAAATCGCTTCTGGAAAGGGAGGTATAATCCAGGAGAAATAGAAGCACTGACTGTTCCTTTTCAGAACACTGATACTTGGAGAGTCAGGGGGGCATAATGAAGAAAGGGTGGATTTTAGAGTCTGAAAACCTAGCATTAGTAACCTGCTCTATCACAAAGTGAGGCATGGACAAGTTGAGTAACTTGCCCAAGACCACACAGAAAATAGTGGAACTATGATCTGAATCCAGGAGGTTCAAGCTTTGTCCTAATCAGTCTGAGAAATATTATAATGCAATTAGAGCACAGGAGGGTAAAGTAACTCCACTGGGGGAGAGAGGGGTTCACTGAAAAGATGCCTCTTGAACTGGTTATTAAAGGATGCATAAGAATTTTAAAAGCCAAAAGACCATTGCCTATTGAACCTCACCTCAAATTATTCCCTTCCCGTAGGGATCATCTCTCTTCTCAACTACTTAACTTCCAGATCGCCTGCCTGTGATGAAAACGTCACTGTGATTCCAACAGAGAGATCAAGGCTGGGGGTTGGTCCGGTGACTACAGTATCACCTGCTAAAGATGAAGGGCCAAGGTCTGAGATGGAATCTCTAAGTGTGAGAGAGAAAAATTTACCAAAGTCAGGACTGTGGTGGTGATAGGAAAACCTAACTATAGCTTGTCTTAAAAGCAGGGGAGAAGCTGAGTTGGGAATGGTCACATAAATTCTGGGAAACTCTCCTAATATCATGTCCATATTACTTGAGGAGACAGCATTAAAGCTGATGAAATGTCTTTTGCGTGCATTGGATCCAAAATATATATGATAGTCATAAAGTAAATAACTCACTTAAGAAAAACATTTCTAAAAGAAAACAACAATGTTTAGAGTCATGAATGAAAGAAACTAGTGAAAGATGCAGTGTGTAGACCAGAGACCTCTTTGGGTATCAGGGATCTCATGGACCAGAATGGCCCGTGGAGAAGAATGTTAATTACTTCTGTTTGGAATTTTCTTTATTATGTGTGGCTTTGGGTATACTCAGGATGGAAAGCACTTGGACAAATACTGTTGAATCTGAACTTAATAGCATTACCAGAAATGGAATAAATATCAATGGATATAAGACCTACTACTCAAAGGAACTGAGAGGTGCTGGGTAGATTCCAGGGAATCCATGGGGTCCCACTTACTGTGAGGATTGGTAATTTGAAACATTTACAGTCTATTACGTAAAACCACTGCTTCTCCCTAGGCAGGGAGATACCTTAACCAGGCATCCACAAACTCCCTGAAATTCTATACAAAACTTGTATATGTATTCTTCTGTGAAGAGAGCCAGAGATTCCATCAGATTCTTCCTTCCCCCCGCCCCGCCCCCAGAAGATAGTTTCATGTAAACTCCATCAAATTCTTGACAGGCTGGTGACCGCTTTGATTCCTTAAGCATCAATTATGTTTTACTGAGCCAAATGGGACTACAGGGCTTCCTTCAGCAGATGGATAGATAGATAAATAGATAGATAGATAATAGATTGATAGATGATAGATCGATAGATAGGCCTATCTATCTATATCTATAATACATCTACATCTATATCTATACAAACTGAAAGATTTTCCATGTTTTATATATCCTGTAAAGCTAAGTACGGAGGGAGGAGGTGGTATTTTCAGGCAATCATATAGGTCTTTTGATGGCTAAAGATCCCTTTCACACTCAGACTAGATTTCACACATAAAGTTCCTGATACTCATTTTGTCTTTCATACCCTTAGTTGCTGCCACTACTGCTGTATTGGTTGAGATCCATTCTTCTCCCCAAAGCTGGCAATGAAATGGACTATAGTGTCCAGCTTCACCTCTTGCTGCATGTAAAGATAAGCCCTTGGGTCTATTTGGTTTAATTTAGAGATTCACTAGTAACCTTTGCAGAAAACCCAAATAATAGACATTGAGCAATTATATAATTCTTGTAATCCTGGTCCTGATCAGTAATTCCCAAACATTTCCAGATGGTAACTGGAAGCCCTTTAAGTTAATACTTATGCTTTTATTCCTGTGGGTTGGAGCTTATACACAGCACACACTTGTATGCACCCACACACAGATACACAAACAGACATATATACACACACCTCATTTTGATCCTGCCTTAGAAAACCCTTTCTTCACGCCCCTCTTCCAATCAGGTGAGTTTCGTTATGGCAGAATTACTTGTGCCTCCTTGCTTCAAGTGGCCTTAGTTCAGAGGCTCTTCAGGCTGTTTCTGGGCCTTTGTCTGCTTATAAGAACAGGCATGTAGTCAAAGCCAACTCTCCCTCCTCACATTACCACTCACACAAACTCTAACCTATACATTAACTGGTTAAGTACTCACTGGGTTCACAATCTTTATTCGTAATTTAGTTTGAATACTTTCATTATATGACTAAATTGACAGGATGCTGAACACTGATGACTCTTCAGGGAACAAAAGTTCTAAATGGGGCGAAGAGAAGAAAGTAAGTCTGAGTGAAGGTGGAAGAAGCGAGATAATAAGAAAGTAACGCCAGGTACGATGGCTCACGCCTGTAATCCCAGCACTTTGGGAGGCCAAGGCAGGCGGATTGCCTGAGGTCGGGAGTTCGAGACCAGCCTGGCTAGCATGGTGAAACCCCATCTCTACTAAAAATACAAAAATTAGCCAGGCGTGGTGGCAGGCACCTGTATTCCCAGCTACTTGGGAAGCTGAGGTAGGAGAATTGCTTGAAACCCGGGAGGCGGAGGTTGCAGTGAGCCGAGGCTGCGCCATTGCACTCCAACCTGGGCAACAGAGTGAGACTTCATCTCAAAAAACAAAAAGAAAAAAGAAAAGAAAGGAAGACAGTAACAAGTGCCCTGGCTATTAGAGGATAATTGGCAGTAATTATAACTAAGTTTTCCACTTTGCTACTGGAGAATTATCTTTTAAGCAAAGATAATTTTCATTGCTCCTTTAGAAACTGAATGCTTTCTATTTTCTTTTTTCTCTTTTTCTTTGCTTGTAAATAATTCCTTAAAAGGCTTAAGTGGGCCGGGTGCTATGGCTTACACCTGTAATCCCAGCACTTTGGGAGGCCAAGGCGGGCGGATCACTTGAGACCAGGAGTTCGAGACCAGCCTGGCCAATATGGTGAGACCCCGTCTCTACTAAAAACACAAAAATCAGCCAGGCATGGTGGCGCGCACCTGTAATCCCAGCTGCTTGGGAAGCTGAGGCAGAAGAATTGCTTGAACCTGGGAGGCTGAGGTTGCAGTGAGCTGGGATTGAGTCACTGCACTCCAGCCTGGGCGACAGAGTGTGAGACCCTGTCTCAAAAAAAAAAAAAAAAAAAAAAAAAAAAAACTTAAGTGAATTTCCAGTCAGATAGCTCAGTAAATTACCCTTTCGTGCACTCTCTTTGTTCCGTATATATTTTATAATAGGTTAAGTGGGAAGAGAGAGAGGGAGAGAGAGAGAGAATAGTCCAGTCAAAACGAGATAAACATTTTCATAGACTGGAAAAAAGAAAAAAGCAATGGTATGATTCAAGCTAAGCCCTAGACTTCGTAAGCTGTAAGTCCCAGAGAAAGCATAGGTGAACAGGGAGATAGCTCCTATGGGGTGAAAGGGACTAAAAGTGCTTCTCAAGACACGGACTAAAGCCAGCTTCACAACCCTACATCAAAGAGGAGCTCTAGAAAAGAAGCTAAACAAAAACTGCTGCCCAGCACTAACTAGCTTATTTGGAACAGCAGACCTAACGAGGGAGAAGGACACAAATATAACCTTGCTAAACTAAGCAGCCTGTGGGTTCATTAACTGTGTCTCTGATATTCCTTGGTAGCATAATAGAACAGAAAATCTAAAATATCACATTATCAGACCTGATTCTGGACTGAGGCCTTTGGCCAATGTAAGGAAACCCCAAAACTACCAGGTATGATAGAATAAGCATAGAGGGAGAAAGAAACAAAAACAAATAAACCAAATGTTTGTGCCTACAAATAAGAATTCCAGACATGTAAAGAAATGTTCAGTTGGGCGTGGTGGCTCATGCCTGTAATTCCAGCACTTTGGGAGGCCAAGGCAAGAGGATTGCTTGAGCCAATTAGTTTGAGACCAGCCCTGACAACATAGTGAGACCCTATCTGTACAAAAAATTACAAAATTAGCTGGGTGCGGTGCCGCACTCCTGTAGTCCTAGGAGCTTGGGAAGTCCTGTAGTTTCTGAATCCTTGAGCCCGGGAGGTCGGGTCTCCAGTGACCATGGTCATGCCACTGCACTCCAGCCTGGGCAACAGAGCAAGACTCTGTCTGAAAAAAAAAGTTCAGAAAAAAACTAACAAAGTCAACAATCAGAATATGAAATCATTCTAGATTAATTTGGGGTATAATGTGATAAAGACTATTCTTAGGATGCACAGATACATGACAGAATCATAAATTTAAAAAAAAGACCCAAAACTGTGAAACAAAAACAGGTAGAAATAAAACAAGAACAGGTTTAAATAAGAAAGAACCAACTATCAATCATTAAAATGAAAAAGTACTAATTGGAATAAAAATCCAATAGGATAAAATCTAGATAGCACAAGCAACAAAAAGAGAAACTTTGATTTTTAGATCTATCTAGAGTACTTACAAAAAATCGACCAAATACTATATAGTTTTAATAAATGTCAAAGGATATATCAGTCCATGGATCCTGACTGTAATGAAATTAAATTAGAACTCAATAATGAGAGTGATTAAAAAAAAATACTTGGCCAGACATGGTGGCTCATGCCTGTAATCCCAGCACTTTGGGAAGCAGAGGCAGATGGATCACTTGAGTCCAGGAGTTTGAGATCAGCCTGGCCAACATGGTGAAACCCCATCTCTACTTAAAAAAAGAAAAAATAGATTGGGGAAGTTCTCCTGGATAATATCCTGCAGAGTGTTTTCCAACTTGGTTCCATTCTCCCCGTCACTTTCAGGTACACCAATCAGACGTAGATTTGGTCTTTTCACATAGTCCCATATTTCTTGGAGGCTTTTTTCATTTCTTTTTATTCTTTTTCCTCTAAACTTCTCTTCTCGCTTCATTTCATTCATTTGATCTTCCATCACTGATACCCTTTCTTCCAGTTGATCAAATCGGCTACTGAGGCTTGTGCATTCGTCACGTAGTTCTCGTGCCGTGGTTTTCAGCTCCATCAGGTCCTTTAAGGACTTCTCTGCATTGGTTATTCTAGTTAGCCATTCGTCTAATCTTTTTGCAATGTTTTTAACTTCTTTGCTGTGGGTTCGAACTTCCTCTTTTAGCTCGGAGAAGTTTGATTGTCTGAAGCCTTCTTCTCTCAACTCATCAAAGTCATTCTCCGTCCAGCTTTGTTCCGTTGCTGGTGAGGAGCTGCATTCCTTTGGAGGAGGAGAGGCGCTCTGATTTTTAGAATTTTCAGTTTTTCTGCTCTGTTTTTTCCCCATCTAATGCAATATGGATTAAAGACTTAAATGTTAGACCTAAAACCATAAAAACCCTAGAAGAAAACCTAGGCATTACCATTCAGGACATAGGCATGGGCAAGGACTTCATGTCTAAAACGCCAAAAGCAATGGCAACAAAAGCCAAAATTGACAAATGGGATCTAATTAAACTAAAGAGCTCCTTCACAGCAAAAGAAACTACCATCAGAGTGAACAGGGAACCTACAGAATGGGAGAAAATTTTTGCAATCTACCCATCTGACAAAGGGCTAATATCCAGAATCCGCAAAGAACTCAAACAAATTTACAAGAAAAAATCAAACAAACCCATCAAAAAGTGGGCGAAGGATATGAACAGACACTTCTCAAAAGAAGACATTTATGCAGCCAACAGACACATGAAAAAATGCTCATCATCACTGGCCATCAGAGAAATGCAAATCAAAACCACAACGAGATACCATCTCACACCAGTTAGAATGACAATCATTAAAAAGTCAGGAAACAACAGGTGCTGGAGAGGATGTGGAGAAATAGGAACACTTTTACACTGTTGGTGGGATTGTAAACTATTTCAACCATTGTGGAAGTCAGTGTGGCGATTCCTCAGGGATGTAGAACTAGAAATACCATTTGACCCAGCCATCCCATTACTGGGTATATACCCAAAGGAGTATAAATCATGCTGCTATAAAGACACATGCACACGTGTGTTTATTGTGGCACTATTCACAATAGCAAAGACTTGGAACCAACCCAAATGTCCAACAATGATAGACTGGATTAAGAAAATGTGGCACATATACACTATGGAATACTATGCAGCCATAAAAAATGATGAGTTCATGTCCTTCGTAGGGACATGGATGAAGCTGGAAACCATCATTCTCAGCAAACTATCGCAAGGACCAAAAACCAAACACCACATGTTCTCACTCATAGGTGGGAATTGAACAATGAGAACACTTGGACACAGGAAGGGGAGCATCACATTCCAGGGCCTGTTGTGGGGTGGGGGGAGTGGGGAGGGGGGAGGGATAGCATTAGGAGATATACCTAATGTAAATGACGAGTTAATGAGTGCAGCACACCAACATGGCACATGAATACATATGTAACAAACCTGCATGTTGTGCACATGTACCCTAGAACTTAAAGTATAATAATAAAAAAAATAGCTGGGTGCAATGGCAGGTGCCTGTAGTCCCAGCTACTTGGGAGGCTGAGACACAAGAATTGCTTGAGCCTGGGAGGAAGAGGTTGCAGTGAGCTGAGATCACGTCACTGCACTCCAGCATGGGTAACAGAACTAGACTCTTCAAAACAAAACAAAACAGAAACAAACAGAAACAAAAACAAAAACAAAGCTCTACATCTTTTAGGACAAAATAATGCTCCCTAAAAAAATTGGGTAAAAAGGAAATCACAATGGAAATGATAAAATATTTAGAACTAAACAACCATGAAAGAATTACTATAACCAAAACCCATAGATGCATTAAAAACAAAACAACCAACAAAAATAGTTTAAAATAAATGAGTTATGCATGCAATTCACGAACCTGTAAAAGAATAACTAGAAAAGACCAAAGAAGGAAGAAAATTTTTAAACTAAACTTTGTAAAAATATGAAAAAACCTTAGGTTCAAATGACAGACTAAAATCTATTTCTTTGGACAAAAACTAAATGAAAGGCAAACTACAAGTAAACCTAATTAAGCAAAAAAAAAAAAAAAAAAGAGTGAAAGCATGAAAAGGACATAACTAAAGTATATACGTAGGTATACATATTTACATATACATTACTCAAGCATATTTTATTGTTTAAATCTTCTGTTTCTTTACTGCTCTTTGGTGTTTTTGTTTGTTTGTTTTGAGATGGAGTCTTGCTCTGTCTCCCAGGCTGGAGTGCAGTGGCGTGATCTTGGCTTCCTGCAGCCTCTGCCTCCCGGGTTCAAGTGATTCTCCTGCCTCAGCCTCCTGAGTAGCTGGGATTACAGGCACTCACCATCACACTTGGCTAATTTTTGTATTTTTAGTAGAGACGGGGTTTCACCATGTTGGCCAGGCTGGTCTTGAACCCCTGACCTCAAGTGATCCACCTGCCTCGGCCTCCCAAAGTGCTGGGATTACAGGCCTGAGCCACCACACCGCACCATCTTTACTACTCTTTGTTTTATGTTTTTCTGTGTTAAGTCTCCCATGATGGCTTCACGTTTTAAATTTTTTCCTTGTAATACTATCAATATCTGCTTAATATTTTGAATCTATAAGATGGTAAATATCCAAATTAACCTGTGGATTCAATGCAATTCACAACAAAAATCTCACAGATTTTTTTTTCTGTGGAAAATGAACAAGAGTCAGGTACCCAAATTCAGGACAGCTCATTCTGTCCTTTTTGCAAAGGGCCCAAAAGGGCCAAGATAATTGTGAAAAATAAAAGGATGGAGACATTTACATTACCTGATGTGAAGATGACTTATCAAATTATTGTAATTAAGACTGTGGAAGTCAGGTGCAGTGGCTCACACCTATAATCCCAACTACTTGGGAGATTGAGGTGGGAGGATCGCTTGAGGACAGGAGTTCAAAACAAGCCTGAACAACACAGTGACACCCTGTTTCTCCCTCCTTCTCAAAAAGAAAAAAAAATAGATAATGTGGTATTGGCACATGATTACATAAACAGAACAGAATAGAAAGCCTAGAAATACAGAAGAAACATTAAAAAAAAAAAAACAGAATGAGGGAACTATGGACTGTCCACCTAATGGGGCTGATGTAACTGGTTAAATACGGAAAAAAACATAAAACTACATCCCTGCTTTGTGATCTTTTTGTTTTTAAGTTCCAAAAGATCAAAGGCCTATATGTGAAAAGCAAACTTTAGGGACCTTCACTGGCCGATCCAGAGGAAATCTAAGCATCAAAAAGAGTAATGAAAGTACTAGATTATTACACTTTGAATTTTTTTAAAAATCCATGAGTCCTAGGAAAAATCAATATCGTGAAAATGGCCATACTGCCCAAGGCAATTTATAGATTCAATGCCATCCCCATCAAGCTACTAATGACTTTCTTCACAGAATTGGAAAAAACTACTTTAAAGTTCATATGGAACCAAAAAAGAGCCCGCATTGCCAAGACAATCCTAAGCCAAAAGGACAAAGATGGAGGCATCATGCTACCTGACTTCAAACTACATTACAAGGCTACAGTAACCAAAACAGCATGGTACTGGTACCAAAACAGAGATATAGACCAATGGAACAGAACAGAGCCCTCAGAAATAATGCCACACATCTACAACCATCTAATCTTTGACAAACCTGACAAAAACAAGAAATGGGGAAAAGATTCCCTATTTAATAAATGGTGCTGGGAAAACTGACTAGCCATATGTAGAAAGCTGAAACTGGATCCCTTCCTTACACCTTATACAAAAATTAATTCAAGATGGATTAAAGACTTAAATGTTAGCCCTAAACCCATAAAAACCCTAGAAGAAAACCTAGGCAATACCATTCAGGACATAGGCATGGGCAAGGGCTTCATGTCTAAAACACCAAAAGCAATGGCAACAAAAGCCAAAATTGACAAATGGGATCTAATTAAACTAAGGAGCTTCTGCACAGCAAAAGAAACTACCATCAGAATGAACAGGGAACCTACAGAATGGGAGAAAATTTTTGCAATCTACCCATCTGACAAAGGGCTAATATCCAGAATCCGCAAAGAACTTAAACAAATTTACAAGAAAAAATCAAACAACCCCATCAAAAAGTGGGCGAAGGATATGAACAGACACGTCTCAAAAGAAGACATTTATGCAGCCAACAGACACATGAAAAAATGCTCATCATCACTGGCCATCAGAGAAATGCAAATCAAAACCACAATGAGATACCATCTCACACCAGTTAGAATGGTGATCATTAAAAAGTCAGGAAACAACAGGTGCTGGAGAGGATGTGGAGAAATAGGAACACTTTTACACTGTTGGTGGGACTATAAACTAGTTCAACCATTGTGGAAGACAGTGTGGCGATTCCTCAAGGATCTAGAACTAGAAATACCATTTGACCCAGCCATCCCATTACTGGGTATATACCCAAAGGAGTATAAATCATGCTGCTATAAAGACACATGCACACGTATGTTTATTGTGGCACTACTGACAATAGCGAAGACTTGGAACCAACCCAAAAGTCCAACAATGATAGAATGGATTAAGAAAATGTGGCACATATACACCATAGAACACTATGCAGCCATAAAAAATGATGAGTTCATGTCCTTTGTAGGGACATGGATGAAGCTGGAAACCATCATTCTCGGCAAACTATCGCAAGGACAGAAAACCAAACACCGCATGTTCTCACTCACAGGTGGGAATTGAACAATGAGAACACTTGGACACAGGAAGGGGAACATCACACACCGGGGCCTGTCGTGGGGTGGGGAGGGATAGCATTAGGAGATATACCTAATGTAAATGACGAGTTAATGGGTGCAGCACACCAACATGGCACATGTATACATATGTAACAAACCTGCACGTTGTGCACATGTACCCTAGAACTTAAAGTATAATAATAATAAGAAAATAGCAAAAAGACACCATGACACACGTAGCCTCTCCTGTCCCAATAAAGTATATACTCTGGGAAAAAAAAAATCCATCAGTCCATAGTGACATTCAACAAAAGACAGAGTCAGTGAAAAAGGAAAAAAGTAGAGGTAGCTTTTTTTTTGTATAGAAGAATGTCAGCTAATAAATATAGAAGGAATGATAGAAGTTGAAAATCATTATTTTATAATCTGCAACATAATTAAGGCAAGGATCACCGATAGGTCATCATTAAATGGTTATTTGGAAACAGGATATCAAATTATCACTCCACTAAATATTTATTAGTTCCAAAGGGGAAATGTATCTTTACAATGCAAATATTTGGCAATCACAATCTTAACTAAGTGGTCACCATGTGCGGTTTTTTTTTGAGACAGGGTCTCGCTCTGTTGCCCAGGCTGGTGTGCAGTGGTGTAATCATAGCTCACTGTAGCCTTGAACTCCTGGCCTCAAGTCATCCTCCTGCCTTGGCCTGCCAAAATACTGGGATTGCAGGTGTGCACAACCACACCCAGCCCATCATGTGCCTTTAGATATGATACAGTAGGAGGTATACACCATCACTTGTGTGGTGTTTTGTTAGAAATGTCTGCCCGAAATCTAACGATAAATAGTCAAACAAAAATCCAGAATATGGGACAGTCTATGAGATAACTGGCCACTATGTAAGGATTTAATATTATGAAGAGCAGAAGGAGGTAATAGTATTGTTTAAACTGGAGGAGACTATAGGCATATAACAGTCAGATGAAATCCATTGAATCTGGACTTTTAAAAAATGTATAAACTGGGCCGGGTGTGGTGGCTCATGCCTGTAATCCCAGCACTTTGGGAGGCCAAGGTGGGTGGATCAGGAGGTTAGCAGTTCAAGACCAGCCTGACCAACATGGTGAAACCCTGTCTCTACTAAAAATACAAAAAAATTAGCTGAGCATGGTGGCGGGAGGCTGTAATCCCAGCAACTTGGGAGGCTGAGGCAGGAGACTTGCTTGAAACCAGAAGATGGAGGTTGCTGTGAGCCAAGATTGCACGACTGCACTCTAGCCTGGGCAATAAGAGCAAAACTCCATCTCAAAAAAAAAAAAAAAAAAGCATAAACCTTTTTCTTTGACAATTTAGGAAATTTGAGTATGAAAAGAATGTTGGAAGTTGTGTTGAATTAACGATTTTTTCCCTCAGGTGTGGTAATGATGCTGTGGATATGTAGGAGAATGTCATTGTTTCCTGGAAAATATGCTGAAATATTTATCTTTTTTTTTTTTTTTGAGACACTGTGTCACTCTGTCGTCCAGGTTGGAATGCAGTGGCGTGAGCTTGGCTCACTGCAACTTCTGCTTCCTGGGTTCAAGCGATTCTTTCGCCTCAGACTCCCGAGGAGCTGGAATTACAGGCATGCACCACCATACCAACTAATTTTTGTATTTTTAGTAGAGATGTGGTTTCACCATGTTGGCCAGGCTGGTGTCGAACTCTTGACTTCAAGTGATCTGCCCACCTCAGCCTCCCAAAGTGCTGGGAATTACAGGTGTGAGCCACTGCGCCCAGCCGAGATAAGCTGAAATATTTAGAGGTAAAATATCACAATGCCTACACTCACTTTCAGATGTTTTGTCAAAAAGGAAAAAAATACACATAGAGACAGAGAGATAGAGAGAGCAAATGTGTCAAGATGTTAATAGTTGATAAATATAGGTGAGAGGTATAACAGTATTCATTTTAGTATTCAACTTTTCTCTGGGTTTGAAATTCTGCAAAATAAACAAGAATATTTTTGAAGGTAAAAAATTAGAGAATAATAATAAAAGTTTTATGAATTTAGGTGTTCTTAAGAGAAACAACATTTACAAACCACAACAAAAAGTCTTGATACATTTTACTGTTTTAAAACTAAAACTTTGGCTGGATGTCGTGGCTCACGCCTGTAATCCCAACACTTTGGGAGGCCCAGGCGGGTGGATCACCTGAGGTCAGGAGTTCGAGACCAGCCTGACCAATATGGTGAAACCCTGTCTCTACTAAAAATACAAAAATTAGCTGGGCGTGGTGGTGCGTTTCTGTAGTCCCAGCTACTCGGGAGGCTGAGACAGGAGAATTGCTTGAACCCAGGAGGCGAAGGTTGCAGTGAGCCGGGATTATGCCACTGCACTCCAACCTGGGCAACAGAGAGAGACTCTATCAAAACAAAACAAAGAAACAAAATAAAACAAAACACAAAAACCTAAAACTTCTATACTACAAGATATAACATAAAGCAGTCAAAGAGATAAGCTGGCTTGTAAGTAGATATTTACTATATATAACAAACAAAGGATCAGTATCTAGAATATACAAATAAACTCTATGCAAAGAAAAAGGAGGGATGGGGCCAAATTACCCAATAGAAAAATTGGTGAAGGGGTCAGGCACGGTGGCTCATGCCTGTAATCGAGGCAGTTTGGGAGGCCAAGGCAGGAGGATTGCTTGAGCCCAGGAATGTGAGACCAGCCTGGAAAACATATTGAGAACTCGTCTCTACAAAAAGTAAAAAAAAAAAAAAAAAAAAAAATTAGCTGGATGTGTTGGTACGTGCCTGTAGTCTCAGCTACGCAGGAGGCCAAGGTGGGAGGATTGCTTGAGCCCAGGAGGTCAAGGCTGCAGTGAGCTATGATCACACCACTGCACTCCAGCCTGGGCAACACAGTGAGACCACAGCTCTAAAAAAAAAAAAAGAGAGAGAGAGAGAGAGAGAAAAGAAAGTTTGGCAAAGGATCTGCATAATTAATTTACAAAAGGAAATCCAAATGGCTAATAACACAAGAAAGATGTTTGTTCAATTTTACTAGTAATTAGGGAAATAAAAAACAAAACACTAACAATAAAATGTTTAATAAAATTATAATACATATTATGAGATTATTAATATAACGTTATAGTAAAATGTGTAAATACATAATAAAATTATTATTACATTTAAAAGGCTCACATTATCAGACTTTTTTTCTTCCCTTATCTTCTGATAAAATAGGAATTTGTATACACTGCTGGTGGGAGTACAAACTGGTTAAAAAACATTTTAGGTAGGGCACAGTGGCTCATGCCTGTAATCACAGCACTTTGGGAGGCTGAGGCAGGAGGGTCACTTGAGTTTAGGAGTTCAAGACCAGCCTGGGCAACATAATGAGACCTCATCTCTACGAAAAAGAAAAAAGTTAGCCAGCCACAGTGGTGCACACCTGTATTCCCAGCTATCTTGGGAGGCTGAAGCAGGTGGATTGCTTGAGCCCAAGAGTTGGATCACTCCACTGTCCTCCAGCCTGGGTAACAGAGTAAGACGTTGTCTCAAAAAAAAAATTTTAGAAATTAATTTCTTAATACTTAGTAATCTAGGAGCTTCAGATATCTTAGGACTCAGCAATTATATCTCTAGACAGTTTCATTTCCTGCTGTTCTCCCTCTTCCTCATTCTGCTTCAGCCACATTGGCTTCCTTGTGGTTCCTTGATCCTTTCAAGCAAGTGCCCATCTTGGCACTTTTTCATTCACTGTTCTCTCCATTATCTTGATTCTTTACTTCAGGACTCAGCTTTAGTGTCACCTTTTCCGAAAAGCCTTTCCTGACCCACCCTATCTTAAAGATTACTCATTCTCTATGCCCACAACTTGCTTTATGTATTTGATATACCTTAGTTTACTTTCTTTCTCCCACCCTTCCTGATGGTAGATTGGATAATTGTTTTTCAGTTAATAAAATTTTTTTTTTAATTGAGATGGTGTCTCGCTTTTTTGCCCAGGCTGGTCTTGAACTCCTGAGCTCAAGCAGTCGTCCCACCTTGGCTTACCAAAATGCTGGGATTACAGGCATGAGCCACAGCACCTGGCCCATTGTTCTCAATTCTTTACTGCCCCATCCCAATATTAGAATTATCCAGCCATGCCTATCACCACGTGACTTTGCAAAGCCTCCCACTGTAGTTGATGGAATATATTTCTCTGCTCCCTTGATGTTAGTCATATCATGGCATGGTTTGGCTAATGGAATGTAAGCAGAAGTGACCATGACAATCCTGAGTTGAGACCTTAAAAGGCATTATGTATTTCTACTCACCTCTCTTGTACTTCTGTCCCCCACTGTGGGAAGAATGTATCTCAGGCAGGCAACTTGTTCTAGAATGATGAAGACATGTGAAGCAGATGTAAACCTGACCTGAAGATTGGAGTCCAGCCTAGCCCAGCCAAACATAGACAAGCCCAGCCAAGATCAGCCAAACTTTGATCTGCAGACCTGTGAGTGAGGAAAAAAAAAAGTCTGTTATTGTATGTCACTGAGAACATTCGAAGTATTTATTGTGCAGCATTGTTGCAGCAATGCAGCTGACTAATATATACCCCTCTGGAATGTAAACTTCAGGACAGCAAGGCTTTTACAGTTTTGTTCACTGGTATGTGCTCAGTGAGTAGAACAGTGTCTAGTATGCATAGGTGTTTAATAAATATTTGTTGAGTTAATTAATGCATTTGTGCTAAAGCCATAAAACTACTCATAATCCCAAAGGGCAAGGTAAATGTTCAAGTGTGCAAAGAAACAGATATAATTGGCTCTGTTATAAATATAGTCAGTCAGAAGCTGGCACCAATGTATAGTGAATGAACCCTGCAATCAAATCAACAAGCAGCTTAAACTGGCAATAGATACATATGAAACTAAAGAATAGTTGATAAGAGGATCAGAAATAGAAGGTCCCAGTAGAATTTCAATAAAATAGATATTTACTCAAATATTACCATCACCTCTGAATTGGAGACTATTTTCAAAAATAGATGGGGCATCAGCTAAGTGTTCCAAAGAATAAATGAAATGGGCTATAGTCATCCATGAGCTGGCTGGTGGCAAAAATAGAAGTCAAGGAGGCCTTATAAAACAGCCCAATGTATATAGATAAATCAAGAGAGCAAATGTTAAAGTATATAGGGAAAAAGTGAGTTTAGGTGTTTTTGAACTATTATAACTTTTCTTTAAGTACGAAATTTTTCCTAATTTTTTGTAACAAGTAAGAAATGGTGGCTGGGCGCAGGTGGCTCATGCCTGTAATCCCAGCACTTTGGAAGGCCGAGATGGGTGAATCACCTGAGGTCAGGAGTTTGAGATCAGCCTGGCCAACATGCCAAAACCCCGTCTCTACTGAAAATACAAAAATTAGCCAGGCATGGTGGCACATGCCTGTAATTCCAGCTATTCCAGAGGCTGAGACAGGAGAATCGCTTGAATCCAGGAGGCAGAGGTTGCAGTGAACTGAGATCATGCCGGTGCACTCCAGCCTGGGCGACAGAGCAAGACTCAGTCTCAAAAAAAAAAAAAAAAAAAAAAAGAAAAGAAAAGAAAAGAAAAGGTTTGTTCCAGTATTTCCAGAAATAAACCAAATATGACTAATCCTGAACATGACAACTTTTGTGGTCTTGAATGACTTAAGTAGCAATTGTCTAGTTTTTGTGTGGGACAATGGAACATATATTGCCAGAATGACCATAGGCAGATTGCTTCCTACCGGAATGACCTTCTCTTGTCTGCTGTTTGTTCTTTACACTGTCCTTTGACTTAACTGGAGGTATGTTGAGGAACTATCATACTGTTTCTCTTGGAACTTTATTACCTCCCTTAGGTGTTGTGATTAAGAACCACAACAGTTTTGAGCAAGTAGTAGATTCTGCCTCTTTAGCTGGGTGTCCAATGTTCAGAACAATCCTAGACAAAGATTCAAGTACATGTATGTTGTTTGAAAGGTACAAATGGAATGCTGTGGGGAGCTGATGCCCCAACTAGCATCATCAACAGTTCCTCCTTTTCATATTTTGATCTCCACCTCAAGATGTAAAGCTGAACATAAGGTGGGAAAGAGAAGAGGGGAAGTGAGGAAGTGAAAAAGGGAAGAGAAGGGAACCAATAAAGGATGCATTATCAAGCTTGCTTCCACTATGGTCAATAAGAGCTTAATCCTGCAGAGATAATGGAAGCAACATAAAATCCATGCTTCAGAGTTATACCTCCCACACACAGGGGCAGGGATCTGGTTGAGGACTACTCAGAGCCAGATATTAATTCCTTAGAACATCTGGGCCAGCTTAGGGAGAGAATCCTTCCCTGGCTCCAGCAAAAGTCTTTAGGAAAACAGATGCAGATGTTGGCTACTGGAAGTCTGCCAGAAAACACACAAGCGTTAAGGCCCACAGGATACAGGTAGAGCACTGAAATCATCTACTACTAGGTCTGAGAAGGTCCACAGGACACACACTAGTGATCAAAGGAACTAATTAGCACTACGGCCCAGAAAGACAACTCAAATTAAAGATGTTATATCGTTCTCCTCTTGACAAATAGACATCATCTACCTTAGTTGAAACTAGAATGCTACTTCTTAGGACATTGACATTCCATCTGTAACTACTTTATACATGAAGATTCATCCTGTTTTCTACCACATTATACAATACCTGGCCCCAAATACTCCTTTTTCTCATATTGTATTCAGTCCTGTTATTCTGAGATGAAGAAGAAGAGTGTGAAATGGGAGAAAGTATTGATGCCAGCTGGATGTGGTGGCTCACGCCTGTAATCCCAGCACTTTCAGAGGCTGAGGCGGGCAGATCACTTGAGGCCAGGAGTTGGAGACCAGCCTGGCCAATATGGTGAAGCCCCATCTCTACTAAAAATACAAAAGTTAGCCAGGTGTGGTGGCGCATACCTGTAATCCCAGCTACTTGGGAGGCTGAGATGGGAGAATCGCTTGAACCTGGGAGGTGAAGACTTCAGTGAGCCAAGATTGCGCCACTGCACTCCAGCCTGGATGACAGAGCGAGACCCCGTCTCAAAAAAGAGAAAGTACTGATGCCATTTGGGGCATTAAGTTCAGCTTCTATCAATGATATACTGGGAAAGAGATGAGCCAGAAAAATGAGAAACTGCCTCCTACCTGAATAATCACTAAGAAAATCATACCAGGCAAGTCTAGGAAAACTTCGCTACTTCATATGAGGAGGAGGGAGCTGGTCTCATTCTTGGACCATTGATACAGATCTACCAATCTATATACAATGTTGACATCATGTTTACCACTCAGAAATTGGCCCTGGCTTGTTTTATTTTGATCTCATTTCCTTTTCATTCATTAATTTAACAAATATTTCTTGAGTGCTTACAATGGATCTGAGATAAAAAGACAGACTCATGCTGTTTTCTGGAGCTTGTAATTTAGTGGAGAAGCAGATTATGCCACAAATAATTACTTAGTTACAATTGTGTTAAATGCTAAGAAGGACAAGTATAGAATACTATGAGTGTGTAATACAGAGATTACTCAATCCATGCTGAAGTGTAATGTCAAGGAAGACTTCACTAAGGAAGATTTAATCTAAGATTTGCAGAGTAGAGTTTGGCCAGGAGAAGGAGCAGCTGAAGAACAGCATTTGCAAGAAGGAGTTTAGGATGTTCCTGATACTAAAAGAAAGCCAGCGTGGCTTGAGAGCAGTAGTCACAGAAAAGAGTGGCAAAGATGAGGCTGGAAGGATGTGAAGAGCAGACAAGGACAAGATTTTGGAGGATTAGGGTGACAGAAGATAACATCAATTTTTGCTATTCTACATTTTTGCCAACATTTGTTGTTGTTAATCCTTTTAAATTTAGCCTTCCTAGTGAATATAAAATGGCACCTCATTATGTTTTAATTTGCATTTCCCTGGTGTTTAACGATTTTGAGTACCTTTTCCACACCCATTCGTATAACTTCCTTTGTGTCTTTAATTTGTCCTCTTATTTTTAAAATTAGGTTATATTTTATTATTAATTGTAGGAGTTCTTTATGTATTGTGGATACAAGTTCTTTGTCAGATATGTTTTGCAAATCTTTTCTCCCAGCTTGTGGCTTGCCTACTCATTTTCTTAATAGTGTCTTTTAATGACCAGAAGTTTTAAAAATTATATTAACCATATCAGTTTCCAGTTACATGCATTCATCACTATAGATCTGAGTTACTACTTGATGGCACATCTCATCAGACTGAATAACTTCTTTTAACATTTCTTGTGGTGGAGGTCTGCTGGCAATGAATTTTCTGTTCTTATGTGTCTGAGAATGGCTTTATTTCACTTTAATTGTTGAAAGATAATTTTGCTGGATGTAGAATTCTGAGTTGACAATATTTTGTCTTTTGACATTTTAGCGATGTCATTCCATTGTTTTCTAGGCCCCATTATTTCCATCGAGAAGTCAGCTGATATATATATATATATATATATATAATATATTATATATAATATATATATAATATATTATATATAATATATTATATATAATATATATAATATATTATATATAATATATATAATATATTATATATAATATATATAATATATTATATATAATATATATATAATATATATGTATATTTTATATATTATATATGTATTATATATATTATATATATACACATACATACACACACACACACATACACATATAATTGTTCCTCTGTCACATGTGGCTTTCCTCTGGCTGCTTTCAAGACTTTATTTTTGGTTTCAGCAGTTTGATTACAGTGTGCTTAGGTGTGGAGTTTCTTTGTATTCATCCTACTTTGAATTCTTTGAGCTTTTTGGATCTGTATGTCAAAATCTTTTATAAAATTTGATCAGTTTTCAGCCATTACTTTTTCAAGTATTTTTTTCTGCCTCAATCCTACTCATTCTAGGGCTCTTGTTCTACTTCTTGTTGTTATTCAACAGGACTCTGATGCTGTTTGTTTTTCTTCAGTCTTCTTTTCCTCTCCATTCTTCAGATTGGTCCAATTCTATTAACTTATTTCCAAGTTCACTGGCACTTTTTTCCTCACTGCCTCCAACCTGCTGTTGAGAACATACAGTGAATTTTTCATTTCATTTCATTTTTTTAATTATTTTTTTTTACTGCTCCTTGTGGAGCAGGGTTAACCCATAGGCCAATTTTTAAATTTTACTTGTTGTATTTTTCAATTCCAGAATTTCTAGTTTGTTTTATACTTTCTGTATCCATGTTAAGAGGCTGTAACTGTTCATTCATTATTCATTTATCTTCTAAGTTATTATAAAAATGATAATTACTTTTACTCAAGTAAAAGTAATGATAACTTTTACTTGAGTATGGATTATATTTTCCTGTTTCTTCACAGGTTTAGTGATTTTTTTAATTGACTACTGTACATTATGTTTGATACATTGTAACAACCTCTACACTTTTCCATCTTCCTCCGAAGATGAGTTTGCTCTAAAAGACAGTTAACTTGCCTGACCTCATTCTCCAAATGCTGTCTCCTACACAGTAGGCAACAGGTAAAATCTTGCACAGTCCTTTAAGCTTCCAAATGCTGTTTTTCCATAAGGCTCTCCGGAGTCACCCCCATGGATATGTAGTTTAGTCATGAGCCAAGAATGTAGTCTGATTTTATATGCAGGTCTTAAAGCTCATCTCCTCTGCAACCCACTCTTTTTCATGATTTCCCCCTAACTTTCTGGATACTCTACTAGGCTGATATTTTGTTTTTTGACACATCAAGCCAGTAAGCCATGGCTTTCTACTTCCTGAGCTGCATAGAAGCTGGGGAGTTATCTCAGGCAAAAACCCACAAACCCACAAATCTCTGACTTTATAGACACCTTTGAAGGGTAGACTTCCCTCCAGTTTGTGACTATTTTTGGTCACTCTTCAATACCTTCAAAGTATTGCTTGTTGTTGTGTTGGGTTTTATGCACTATTTTCTTTACATTTTCTTTCTTTTTTGCATTTTTAAAAATTGAGATAAACCATATAAAATTTATCATTTGAAAGTGTACAATTCACCAGACTTTCTTGACAATAATTTTTAATAGACTTTATTTTTCAGAGCAGTTTTGGTTCACAGCAAAATTAAGCAGAAGTTATAAAGATTTCCCAAATACCCCCAGTCCACACACATGCATAGCCTCCCCTGTTATCAATAACCCCTAACGGAGTGTACACTTGTTACAACTGATGAACCTACACTAACACATCATTGTCACCCAATGCACATAGTTTACATTTGTGTTCACTCTTGGTGTTGTACATTCTGTAAGTTTGAATAAATTTGTATGACATATATCCACCATTATAGTATCTTACAGAGTAGTTTCACTGCCCTAAACATCTTCTGGTCTCTGCCTAATGATCTCTCCCTCATGGCTAACTACTGTCAACCACTCATCTTTATACTGTCTCCATAGTTTAGCCTTTTCCAGAATGTCATATCATTGGAATCATGCAGCATGAAGCCATTTCAGACTGGCTTCTTTCACTTAGTAATATGCACTTAAGTTTCCTTTGTATCTTATCATGGCTTGATAGCTCATTTCCTTTTAGCACTGAGTAATGTTATTTTGTTTGGATGTATCAGAGTTTATTTATCCATTTGCCTACCGAAGGACATTTTGGTTGGTTCCAAGTTTTGGCAATTATAAATAAGGCTGCTATGTGCAGGATTTTGTGTGGACATAAGTTTTCAACTCAACTGGGCAAATACCAAAGGGCATAATTGCTGAATTATATGGTAATGGTATGGCTGTTGCTATGGGGTTGTTTTGGGGATATATGGGAAATCTCTGTAGCTTCTGCTTAATTTTGCTATGAACCTAAAACTGCTCTAAAGGTTAAAGTCTATTAAAAATGATTGTAAAAAAACCCAACTGAATCATACACTTTTGAATGGTGAATTTTATCTCAAATTTTAATAAATGCAAAACAAAAAAAGAAAGAAAATATAAAGAAAACCGTGCATAAAAACCAAACAACAACCACCACCACCAATTCATTGAAACTACCAAACTTTCTTCCAAAGTGGCTGTACCATTTTCATCCCTACCTGCAATGCATAAGAGTTCCTATTGCTCCACATCCTTGACTGCATTTGGTGTTGACAGTGTTCTGGATTTTGGCTAATGTAATAGGTGTTGTGGTGTTTCATTTTAATTTCCATTTCCCTGATGACATAGGATGTGGAATTTTTTTTTATTATACTTTCAGTTCTAGGGTACATGTGCACAATGTGCAGGTTTGATACATATGTATACATGTGCTATGTTGGCGGGCTGCACCCATTAACTCGTCATTTAACATTAGGTATATCTCCTAATGCTATCCCTCCCCCCCCCGACTCCCCCCACCCCACAACAGGCCCTGGGGTGTGATGTTCCCCTTCCTGTGTCCAAGTGTTCTCATTGTTCAATTCCCACCTATGAGTGAGAACATGCAGTGTTTGGTTTTTGGTCCTTGCGATAGTTTGCTGAGAATGATGGTTTCCAGCTTCATCTATGTCCCTACAAAGGACATGAACTCATCCTTTTTTATGGCTGCACAGCATTCCATGGCGTATATGTGCCACATTTCCTTAATCCAGTCTATCATTGATGGACATCTAGGTTGGTTCCAAGTCTTTGCTATTGTGAACAGTGCTGCAATAAACATACGTGTGCATGTGTCTTTATAGCAGCATGATTTATACTCCTTTGGGTATATACCCAGTAATGGGATGGCTGGGTCAAATGGTATTTCTAGTTCCTGATCCGTGAGGAATCGCCACACTGACTTCCACAATGGTTGAACTAGTTTATAGTCCCACCAACAGTGTAAAAGTGTTCCTATTTCTCCACATCCTCTCCAGCACCTGTTGTTTCCTGACTTTTTAATGATCGCCATTCTAACTGGTGTGAGATGGTATCTCACTGTGGTTTTGATTTGCATTTCTCTGATGGCCAGTGATGATGAGCATTTTTTCATGTGTCTGTTGGCTGCATAAATGTCTTCTTTTGAGAAGTGTCTGTTCATATCCTTTGCCCACTTTTTGATGGGGTTGTTTGTTTTTTTCTTGTAAATTTGTTTGAATTCATTGTAGATTCTGGATATTAGCCCTTTGTCAGATGAGTAGATTGCAAAAATTTTCTCCCATTCTGTAGGTTCCCTGTTCACTCTGATGGCAGTTTCTTTTGCTGTGCAGAAGCTCTTTAGTTTAATTAGATCCCATTTGTCAATTTTGGCTTTTGTTGACATTGCTTTTGGTGTTTTAGACATGAAGTCCTTGCCCATGCCTATGTCCTGAATGGTATTGCCTAGGTTTTCTTCTAGAGTTTTTATGGTTTTAGGTCTAACATTTAAGTCTTTAATCCATCTTGAATTAATTTTTGTATAAGGTGGAAGGAAGGGATCCAGTTTCAGCTTTCTACATATGGCTAGCCAGTTTTCCCAGCACCATTTATTAAATAGGGAATCCTTTCCCCATTTCTTGTTTTTGTCAGATTTGTCAAAGATCAGATAGTTGTAGATATGCGGCATTATTTCTGAGGGCTCTGTTCTGTTCCTTTGGTCTATATCTCTGTTTTGGTACAAGTAGCATGCTGTTTTGGTTACTGTAGCCTTGTAGTGTAGTTCGAAGTCAGGTAGCGTGATGCCTCCAGCTTTGTTCTTTTGGCTTAGGATTGTCTTGGCAATGCGGGCTCTTTTTTGGTTCCATATGAACTTTAAAGTAGTTTTTTCCAATTCTGTGAAGAAAGTCATTGGTAGCTTGATGGGGATGGCATTGAATCTATAAATTACCTTGGGCAGTATGACCATTTTCACGATATTGATTCTTCCTACCCATGAGCATGTTCTTCCATTTGTTTGTCTCGTCTTGTATTTCATTGAGCAGTGGTTTGTAGTTCTCCTTGAAGAGGTCCTTCACATCCCTTGTAAGTTGGATTCCTAGGTATTTTATTCTCTTTGAAACAATTGTGAATGGGAGTTCACTCATGATTTGGCTCTCTGTTTGTCTCTTATTGGTGTATAAGAATGCTTGTGATTTTTGCACATTGATTTTGTATCCTGAGACTTTGCTGAAGTTGCCTATCAGCTTAAGGAGATTTTGGGCTGAGACGATGGGGTTTTCTAGATATACAATCATGTCATCTGCAAACAGGGACAATTTGACTTCCTCTTTTCCTAATTGAATACCCTTTATTTCCTTCTCCTGACTGATTGCCCTGGCCAGAACTTCCAACACTATGTTGAATAGGAGTGGTGAGAGAGGGCATCCCTGTCTTGTGCCAGTTTTCAAAGGGAATGCTTCCAGTTTTTGCCCATTCAGTATGATATTGGCTGTGTGTTTGTCATAGATAGCTCTTATTATTTTGAGATACGTCCCATCAATACCTAATTTATTGAGAGTTTTTAGCATGAAGAGTTGTTGAATTTTGTCAAAGGCCTTTTCTGCATCTATTGAGATAATCATGTGGTTTTTGTCGTTGGTTCTGTTTATATGCTGGATTACATTTATTGATTTGCGTATGTTGAACCAGCCTTGCATCCCAGGGATGAAGTCCACTTGTTCATGGTGGATAAGCTTTTTGATGTGCTGCTGGATTTGGTTTGCCAGTATTTTATTGAGGATTTTTGCATTGATGTTCATCAGGGATATTGGTCTTAAATTCTCTTTTTTTGTTGTGTCTCTGCCAGACTTTGTTATCAGGATGATGCTGCCCTCATAAAATGAGTTAGGGAGGAATCCCTCTTTTACTATTGATTGGAATAGTTTCAGAAGGAATGGTACCAGCTCCTCCTTGTACCTCTGGTAGAATTCAGGTGTGAATCCATCTGGTCCTGGACTTCTTTTGGTTGGTAAGTTATTAATTATTGCCTCAATTTCAGAGCCTGTTATTGATCTATTCAGAGATTCAACTTCTTCCTGGTTTAGTCTTGGGATGGTGTATGTGTTGAGGAATTTATCCATTTCTTCTAGATTTTCTAGTTTATTTGTGTAGAGGTATTTATAGTATTCTCTGATTGTAGTTTGTATTTTTGTGGGATCGGTGGTGATATCCCCTTTATCATTTTTTATTGCATCTATTTGATTCTTCTCTCTTTTCTTCTTTATTAGTCTTGCTAGTGGTCTATCAATTTTGTTGATCCTTTCAAAAAACCAGCTCCTGGATTCATTGATTTTTTGAAGGGTTTTTTGTCTCTATTTCCTTCAGTTCTGCTCTGATCTTAGTTATTTCTTGCCTTCTGCTAGCTTTTGAATGTGTTTGCTCTTGCTTCTCTAGTTCTTTTAAATGTGATGTTAGGGTGTCAATTTTGGATCTTTCCTGCTTTCTCTTGTGGGCATTTAGTGCTATAAATTTCCCTCTACGCACTGCTTTGAATGTGTCCCAGAGATTCTGGTATGTCGTGTCTTTGTTCTCGTTGGTTTCAAAGAACATCTTTATTTCTGTCTTCATTTCGTTATGTACCCAGTAGTCATTCAGGAGCAGGTTGTTCAGTTTCCATGTAGTTGAGCGGTTTTGAGTGAGTTTCTTAATCCTGAGTTTTAGTTTGATTGCACTGTGGTCTGAGAGACAGTTTGTTGTAATTTCTGTTCTTTTACATTTGCTGAGGAGTGCTTTACTTCCAACTATGTGGTCAATTTTGGAATAGGTGTGGTGTGGTGCTGAAAAGAATGTATATTCTGTTGATTTGGGGTGGAGGGTTCTGTAGATGTCTATTAGATCTGCTTGGTGCAGAGCTGAGTTCAATTCCTGGGTATCCTTGTTAACTTTCTGTCTCGTTGATCTGTCTAATGTTGACAGTGGGATGTTAAAGTCTCCCATTATTATTGTGTGGGAGTCTAAGTCTCTTTGTAGGTCTCTAAGGACTTGCTTTATGAATTTTAAAAATATTTTTTAATATATTTTTTGCCGTCTGTGTATCTTCTTTAGTGAGGTGTCTGTTAAGATCTTTGGCCCATTTTTAAATTAGGTTATTTGTTTTTTTATTGTGAAGTTTCAACAATTCTTTGTATATTTTGAATAACAGTCCTTTAGCAGATATATTTTTGCAAGTATTTTCCCCCAGTGTGTGACTTGCTTTTAATATAAATAAATATATATAAACATATATATACATATACGTATATATACACACATACATATATACATGTATACATATATATATTTAAAGACAAGGTCTTGCTCTGTTGCCCTGGCTATAGTAAAGTGGTGCCATCATAACTCACTGCAGCCTTTAACTGCTGGGCGCAAGCGATCCTCCCATCTCAGCCTCTGGAATAGCTGGGACTACAGGTGGGACATGCCACCATGCCTAGCTAATTTGTGTATTTTTGTAGAGATGGGGTTTGGCCATGTTGCTTTTATTCTCTTGACAGTGTCTTTCACAGAGCAGAAAGTTCTAATGAAGTTCAGTTTATCAATTATTTATTTCATAAATCATGCTTTTGGTGTGTCTAAAAAGACATCATCATACCCACAGTCACTTAGATTTTTTTCTATGTTATCTTCTAGGAGTCCTATAGTTTTGCATTTTACATTTAGGTCTGTGGCCAATTTTGAATTAATTTTTGTGAAGGGTATTATGTCTGTATCTAGATTCAATTTTTTTGCATGTGTATGTCCAGTGATTTCAGCACTATTTGTTGAAAAGATTATCTTTGATCCATTATGTTATCTTTGCTTCTTTATCAAACATCAGTTGGCTGTGTTTATGTGGCTCTATTTCTGTGTTCTCTAATCTGTTCCATTGATTTATTTGTTTATTTTTTCACGAATACCACACTGTGTTCATCACTATAGCTTCACAGTAAGTCTTAAAGTCAGCTAGTGTCAGTTTTCTAACTTTGTTCTTCTCCTTCAATGTTGTGTTGGCTATTCTGGGTCTCTTCTCCATGTAAACTTTAGGATAAATTTGTTTACATCTACAATATAACCTGCTTGGATTTTTTTTCCAGTTTTTTTATTGTGGTAAAATATACACAACATAAAATTTGCCATCTTAACCACTTTTAAGTGTACACTTCAGTGTTAAATATCTTCATAATATTGTGCAACCATCACCATCATCCATTGATAACTCTGCATCTTGTAAACTCAAAACTCTATACCCGTTAAACAATAACCCTCCATTCTCCACTTCCCCCAACTCCTAGAAACCACCTTTCTATTTTCTGTCTCTATGATTTTGACTACTGTAAATATCTCATGTAAACAGAATCAAACAGTTTTAGTGAATGGTGCATTTCACTTAGCATACTGTCCTCAAGTTTCATTCATATTATAGCATGTGTCAGAATTTCCTTCCTTTTTAGGAGTGAATTATGTTCCATTGTATGTATATATCATATTTTGCGTATTCACTCATCTGTTGATGGGTACTTGGGTTGCTTCCATGGTTTAGCTATTGTGAATACTGCCACTATGAACAACAGTGTACAAATGCCTCTTCAAGACCCTTCTTTCAATTATTTTGGGTATATACTCAGAAGTGGAATTGCTGGATCATATGGTAATTCTATTTTTAATTTTTTGAGTAACTTCCATACTGATTTAAACAGTGGCTACACCATTTTACATTCCATCAACAGTGTACAAGAGTTCCAATTTCTCCACATCCTTGCCAACATTTTAATATAATAACCGTCATAATGAATATGAAGTTGTATCTTACTGTAGTTTTGATTTGCATTTCCCTAATGACTGAGATGTTGTGCATCTTTTTATGTGCTTGTCAGTCATTTACATATCTTCTTCAGAGGAATGTATACTCAAGTCTTTTGCCCACTTTTGAATTGGGTTGTTAGGATTTCTGATGTTGAGTTCTGTATTGTTTTATTATCTCAAAAGTTTAAATAAGATGGTCTGCTGCTATACTTGTTCTTGCTGTCCACTGTATTAGCACTTTCCCTGATGTGCTTTGGAAGTTGATCCATGAATTTCTTAAACTTTTTGCTGGAATTCCTTTAAAGGGGTCTGATTAGATGGTGAAAAGTAGACTGAGACAACCTTCAAGTGACCATGTCATTGTTTTCTTGCTATGTCTTTGGCTTGATGATTAAGATACAATTCTTTTTAAAACCAAATGGCATTTGTTATTATGTTTCCCAAATTAGGAATCTATTTTAGTTAATATTTTAAAGAAACACAAAGGCATAACAAATACTATCATTGTTTTTACTCCAGAGTGTTAATGAATGTAAAGAGGTTAGAGAGATGTAGTGTTTAATTAATGATGCTTATTTTAACTATATTTAACATGAGTGATTTTTCATTGTCTTTAAAGAGGAATAATGCTTATTGATTAAAGGTGAGAAATTATGGTTAAGACACTGATTCTGTGTCAAGGTCTTTGACTACATTATGCATTGTGCAAATAATTTCATTTTTCATGAATGCCTTAGTTTTCCTACTATAAAATAAAGACAATGATGAATAAAAAAGAAGAAGAAGTTTCTCTACAGATTCTGGATATTAACCCTTTATCAGATATATGACTTGCAAATATAGTCTCCCATTCTGTGGATTGCCCTTTTACTCTATTTATATTGTCATTTGAGGCAGAAAAATTTTAAATTTTCATCAAGTCCAAATTGTCTATTTTTTTATTTTTCTTCCTCTTGTTCTTTGTCTTTTTTTTTATGAGTCAGGGTCTCACTATTTTTCCCAGGCAAGTCTCGAATTCCTGGGCTCAACTGATCCACCTGCCTCGGCCTGTCAAAGTGTTAGGATTACAGGCATGAGCTACTGTGTTCAGCCTCCACTTTTTTGTTGTTGTGTCCTGTGTTTTTGGTGTCATGTCCAAGAAATCCTTGCCAAATCCAACGTTGTGGAACATGTTCCTTACATTTTTCTTCTAAAAAATATTTTATAGTTTTAGGTATTTAATCCATGTTGAGTTAATTTTTGTATACAGTGTTAGATAAGGATCCAACTCCATTCTTTTGCAAGTGGATGTCGAGTTTTTCTAGCACCATTTGTTGAAAAGACCATATATATGAGGGTTTATTTCTGAGCTCTCTATTTTATTTCATGGGCTACATGTCTGTCTTTACGCCAGTAAGTTTTGAAATCAGGACTCGTGAGTCCTCCAGCTTTGTCTGTCTTTTTCAAGATTGTTTTCGCTATTTAAAGTTCCTTGAGATTCCATATGAATTTTAGAATGGGTTTTTCTATTTCTCAAAAAATGTCATTGGGATTTTGATAGGGATTGCATTGAATCTATAGATCACTCTGGACAGTATTGATCTTAACAATATTACATCTTCCAGTCCATGAGCATTTATTTATATCTTCTTTAACTTATTTGAGTAAATTTTGCAGTTTTCATTATACAAATCATTTACCTCCTTGGGTAAGTTATTTCCTAAGTATTTTATTCTTTTTGATGCTATTGTAAATGGAATTGTATTTATAATTTCCTTCTTAGATTCTCCTTCTCCTTCTTCTTCTTCTTTTGAGACAGGGCCTTGGCTCTGTAGCCCAGGCCGGAGAGCTGTGGCATGACCACGGCTCACTGCAGCCACCACCTCCCAGGCTCAAGCAATCCTAACACCTCGGCCTCAAGAGTAGCTGGGACTACAGGCACGCAGTATTTAGCCTAATTTTTTCAATTTTTTTGTAGAGACAGTGTCTCACTAAGTTGCCCAGGCTGGTCTCAAACTCCTGAGCTCAATGACCTTCCACCTCAGCCTCCCAAAGTGATGGGATTACAGGTGTAAGCCACCACACCCAGCTTCCTCATTGTTAATGTATAGAAAGGCACCTGATTTTTTGTGCTGACTTTGTATCCTGCTACTTTGCTGAATTCATTTATTAGCTCTAACAGTTGTGTGTGTAATCCTTAGGGTTTTCTACATATAAAATCATTCATCTGCAAACACAGATAATTTAACTTCTTGCTTTCTGATTTGGAAGCCTTTTATTTCTTTTTCTTGCCTAATTGCTCCAGCTAGAACTTAGTACTATGTTGATAGACGTGGCAAAAGTGGGTAAACTTGTCTTGTACCTGGTCTTGGAGGAAAAGCTTTCAGTTTTTCACCACTGAGTATGGTGTTTGCTGTGGGTTTTTCACACATAGCTTTTATTATGTTGAGGTAATTTCCTTCTATTTCTAGTTTGTTGAGTGTTTTTATCATGAAAGGGTGTTGGAGTTTGTCAAATGCTTTTTCTACATCAGTCAAGATGATCATGTGCTTTTTCCATTCATTCTGTTAATGTGGTGTATTCCATTGATTGATTTTCATATATGGAACCATTGTTGCATTCCAGAAAAAAAAAAACCACATGGCCATGGTGCATATTCCTTTTTTATACGTTACTAAATTCGGTTTGCTGGTATTTTGTTGAGGATTTTATATCAATGCTGATATGGTTCGGATGTGTGTCCTCCTTCAAGTCTCATGCTGAAATGTGATCCCCAATGTTGCAGGTGGGGCCAAGCACTATTCCCTTGGTGATGAGTGAGTTCTCACTCAGTTAGTTTACATGAGAGCTGGTTGTTTATTTTTTTGTTTATTTAATTTTTTTACTCAGATCATTTCTTCTCCAGAATTTTTCATTTGGTCGTTTAAAGAATCCTGGCTCCTCCTCCTCTCTCACTCCCTCTCTCACCATGTGATACACCAGCTCCCGCTTTGCCTTCCTAAGGCCTCACCATAGACAGATATGGCACTATGCTTCTTGTACAGCCTGCAGAACCATAAGCCAAAATAAACCTCTTTCTTTATAAATTGCCTAGTCTCAGGTATTCCTTTACTGCAACACAAAACAGACTGACACAAATGTTCATAATACTTTAATCTCTGAAAGTTATAATGAGTTATAACACTCTAATTTGAACTATACCAGCTTAACTTCAATAACATGCAAAAATTCTACTCCTTTACAGCTCTGTCTCCACCCTTTGGTTGATGATGTCACAAAATTATATTTTACAGATTGTGTGCCCCAAAATATAAACTAACAAGTCTTTTTTTTTTTTTTTAATGGAGTCTCACTCTGTCGCCCAGGCTGGAGTGCAGTGGTGCAATCTCAGCTCACTGCAACCTCTGCCTCCTGGGTTCAAGTGATTCTCCCACCTCAGCCTCCCAAGTAGCTGGGATTACAGGTGCCCACTACCGCGCCTGCCTAATTTTTGTATTTTTAGTAGAGATGGGGTTTCACCACATTGGCCAAGTTGGTCTCAAACTCCTGATCTTAAGTGATTTTCCCACCATGGCTTCCCAAAGTGCTGGGATTACAGGCATGAGCCGCCATGCCTGACCATAAATGAATAATTCTTTTAAATGCACTACTCTCTTAAATTGTGTAGAAAACACAATATGGGGTTGTAAACCAAAGTTACAATAATACTAAAAAGTGTTAGTCTTTTAAAGCATGTAGAAAACAAAAAGTGAAGTTACAAACCATTGTTATAATAATACTAGCTTTTATAATTGCCATAAATTTACCTTTATTTAGATCTGTATTTGTTCATATGGCTTTGAGTTACTGTTGAGTGTCCGATCATTTCATCCTGCAGGACTCCCTTGAGTGTGTTTTTCTTATTTTGTCTCACTAGTGATACTTTGAGCATTTCTTGCAGGGCAAGTCCAGTGGTAACAGGCTCCCTCAGTTTTTATTTACCTGGAAAGGTCTTAATTTCTGCCTCACTTTTGAAGGACAGTTTTGCTGAATATAAGATTCTTGGTTGACAGACTTTCCCCTGCCTGCCTTTTAGCACTTTGAATATAATGGCCCACAGCCTTCTGACCTTCAAAGGTCCTGATGAGAAACCTTCTAATAATCTTATTGAGGATCCCTTATATGTGATAAGTCACTTTTCTCTTGCTTCTTTAAATATTCTCTCATTGTTTTTGGTTTCCAAAAGTTTAATTACAATGTGTCTCAGTGTGGATCTCTGAGTTCATCTTACTTAGAGTTTTTTGAGCTTCTTGGATGTTTATACTCATGTCTTTCATTTAATTTGGGAAGTTTTCAGTCATTATTTCTTCAAATATTCTCTCTGCCCCAACTCTCTCTCTCTCCTCTTTCTGAAATTACCATAATACACACTTTTGTCCACTTGATTGTGTCCCACAGGTCCCTTTGGCTCACTTTTCTTCAATCTTTATTCTTTCTGTTCCTCAGACTCAATACTTTCCATTGTCCTTCTTCACATTCACTGATTCTTTCTTCTGCCTACACAAACCTGCCTTTTCTTTCTTTCTTTTTTTTTTTTTTTTTGAGACAGGATCTTGTTCTGTCCTCTTAGTAAAATTTTTATTTCAGTTATTGTACTTTCAACTTTAGAATTTCTTTTTGGGCCGGGTGCGGTGGTTCACGCCTGTAATCCCAGCACTTTGGGAGGCCAAGGCGGGCGAATCACAAGGTCAGGAGATTGAGACCATCCTGGCTAACATGGTGAAACCCGGTCTCTACTAAAAAAAAAATACAAAAAATTAGCCAGGCATGGTGGTGGGTGCCTGTAGTCCCAGCTACTCGGGAGGCTGAGGCAGCAGAATGGCATGAACCCGGGAGGCAGAGCTTGCAGTGAGCCGAGATTGTGCCACTGCACTCCAGCCTGGGCAACAGAGCGAGACTCCGTCTCAAAAAAAAAAAAAAACCAAAAAACGGCTGGGCGCGGCGGCTCACACCTGTAATCCCAGCACTTTGGGAGGCTGAGGCAGGCGGATCACGAGGTCAGGAGATCAAGATCATCCTGGCTAACAAGGTGAAACCCCATCTCTACTAAAAATACAAAAAATTAGCTGGGCGTGGTGGCGGGCACCTGTAGTCCCAGCTACTCGGGAGGCTGAGGCAGGAGAATGGCGTGAACCTGGGAGGCGGAGCTTGCAGTGAACCGAGTTCACGCCACTGCACTCCAGCCTGGGCGACAGAGCGAGACTCCATCTCAAAAAAAAAAAAAAAGAATTCCTTTTTGGTTTCTTTTTAGGTTTGCTGTTTTTAGATTAATATTTCCATTTTATTTATACATTATTTTCTTGATTTTTTTTCCCCACATCTTCCTTTAGTGATTTGAGCATCTTTAAGACAGTTGTTTTAGAAGAATCATTTGAACCCGGAAGGCAGAGGTTGCGGGGAGCTGAGATCACATCACTGCACTCCAGCCTGGGTGACTGAGAAACACTATCTCAAAAAAAAAAAAAAAGTTGTTTTATTTATTTATTTATTTATTTATTTATTTTTGAGATGGAGTTTTGCTCTTGTTGCCCAGGCTGGAGTGCAATGGTAGGATCTCAGCTCACCGCAACCTCCACCTTCCAGGTTCAAGGGATTCTCCTGCCTCAACCTTCTTAGTAGCTGGAATTACAGGCATGTGCCACCACGCCTGGCAAATTTTTTGTATTTTTAATAGAGATGGGGTTTCTCCACGTTGGTCAGGCTGCTCTAGAACTCCCAACCTCAGGTGATCCGCCTGCCTCGGCCTCCCAAAGTGCTGGGATTACAGGTGTGAGAAAAGACAGTTGTTTTAAAGTCTTTGTTTGGTATGTTTGCTATCAGGTCTTTTTCAGGCACAATTTCTGTTGCTTTATTATTATTATTTTTTGAATAGGCCAAACTTTTCTGTTTCTTTGTATAACTTATTTTTTTTTTGTTGAAAACTGGACAGTTGGATCTAATAATGTGGTTAACTCTGGAAAGAAGATGCTCTCCCTTTCCTACAATAGCAGGTAACCATCCTCCACCCCTGAGCCACTTGGCAGGCAGTTTGTGCATGTGTTCCTAGAGCACCTTGCAAACATCATGCGGGAGCCCAGGTGGGGAAAAAGGTCCCTGTCCTTCAAATATTAGGCATCTAAGCCATGATTGCTGATTACCGCTTCTGATCATAGAGGTGCAGACAAAGAGGTTGGCTGCCAAGGTTTGCTATTTTTATTACTGTTTATTTTTATTTGGGTAGGCAGTCTCTGTGCCAAGAATCATCTGAGATGTGAATTTTTTTAGTTTTTTTTTTTTTTTGAGACAGAGTCTCACTCTGTTGCCTAGGTTGGAGTGCAGTGGCGCGATCTTGGCTCACTGCAACCTCCATCTCCTGGGTTCAAGTGATTCTCCTGCCTCAGCCTCCCAAGTAGCTGGGACTACAGGCACATGCCACCATGCCTGGCTAATTTTTTGTATTTTTTGTAGAGATGGGGTTTCACCATGTTAGTCAGGATGGTCTCGATCTCCTGACCTCGTGATCTGCCTGCCTTAGCCTCCCAAAGTGCTGGGATTACAGGCGTGAGCCACCAGGCCTGGCAAATTTTTTTAACTTTTAAGTTCAGGGGTACATGTACAGGTTTGTTATACAGCTAAACTTGTGTCATGAAGGTTTGTTGTACAGATCATTTCATCACCCAGGTGTTAAGCCTAGTATCCATTAGTTATTTGTCCTAATCCTCTCCCTCCTCCCACCCTCCACCGTCTGGTAGGCCCCAGTGTCTGTTCCCCTCTATGGGTCCATGTGTTCTCATCACTTAGCTCCCATTTATAAGTGAGAACATGTGGTATTTGGTTTTCTGTTCCTGTGTTTGCTAAGGATAATGGCCTCTAGCTTCATCCATGTTCCTGCAAAGGACCTGATCTTGTCCTTTTTTATGGCTGCACAGTATTCCATGGTGTATATGTACCATCTTTTCTTTATCAGTCTACCTTTGATGGACATTTATGTTGATTCCGTGTCTTTGCTACTGTGAATAGTGTTGCAATGAACATATGCATGCGTCTTTTTTTTTTTTTTTTTGAGATGGAGTTTCACTCTTGTTGCCCAGGCTGGAGTGCAGTGCCGCGAACTCAGCTCACTGCAACCTCCGCCTCCCGGGTTCAACGATTCTCATGCCTCAGCCTCCCGAGTAGCTGGGATTATAGGCACCGGCCACCATACCCAGCTAATTTTTTGTACTTTTAGTAGAGATGGGGTTTCGCCATGTTGGCCAGGCAGGTCTTGAACTCCTGACCTCAGATGATCTGCCTGCCTCGGCCTCCCAAAGTGCTGGGATTACAGGCGTGAGTCAACACACCCGGCCTGCATGTGTCTTTATGATAGAACAATTTCTATTCATTTGGGCCTATATCTAATAATGGGATTGCTGGGCCAAATGGTAGTTCTGTTTTTAGGTCTTTGAGGAACCACCACACTGCTTTCCACAATGGGTGAACTAATTTACACTCCCATCAACAACATATACATGTTCCTTTTTCTCTGCAACTTTGCCAGCATCTGTTATTTTTTGACTTTTTAATAATAGCCATTCTGACTGGTGTGAGATGGTATCTCATTGTGGTTTTGATTTGCATTTCTCTAGTGGTCAGTGGTGTTGAGTTTTTTCTCATATGCTTATTGGCCACATGTATGTCTTCTTTTGAAAAATGTCTATTTATGTCCTTTGCCCACTTTTTAATCGTTTTTTTTCCTTGCAAATTTGTTTAGGTTCCTTATATATGCTGGAAATCAGGCTTTTTTCCAGATGGATAGTTTGGAAAATTTTCTCCCATTTTGTAGGTTGCCTGTTTACTCTGTTGACAGTTTATTTTGCTGTGCAGAAGCTCTTTCATTTAATTAGATCCTATTTGTCAAATTTTGCTTTTGTTGCAATTGCTTTTGGTGTCTTTGTCATGAAATCTTTTCCCGTTCCTGTGTACAGAATGGTAATTGCCTAGGTTGTCTTCCAGAGTTTTTATAGTTTTGGGTTTTATGTTTAAGAATTTAATCCACCTTGAGTTGATTTTTGTATACGATGTAAGGAAGGGGTCCAGTTTCAATCTCTGCATATGGCGAGCCAGTTATCCCAGCACCATTTATTGAATAGGGAGTTCTTTCCCCATTGCTTGTTTTTGCCAGCTTTGTCAAAGATCAGATGGTTGCAGGTGTGCCACCTTATTTCTGGGCTCTCTATTCTGTTCCATTGGTCTATGTGTCTGTTTTTGTACCAGTTGATGTAGAAACTTAAGGTCCTCTCAGATCTTTTCTGAGTTTTTCCCTGTGCATTCATGGTCACTTTCTGCTTTTCCCCATATATATAGTTATGTTTCAATGTCTTAGTCTTTCAAGTCTGGATCCCAAAAGAAGAAAAAAGAGAAAAATGAAGGGGAGAAAGAAAGGGCATCAACCACTTAAATGCCAGTCCTTTCAATCCCTTGGAAGTCACTTCAGCTGGAGTGGGAGGGGCTTGCAACAATTGGGGAAGATGCAACAACAATGGCAGCCAACCTCTTTGTCTGCACCTCTATGATCAGAAGCAGTAATCAGCAATCATGGCTTAGATGCCTAATATTTGAAGGACAGGGACCTTTTTCCCCACCTGGGCTCCCACAAGATGTTTGCAAGGTGTTCTAGGAACACATGCACAAACTGCCTGCCAAGTGGCTCAGGGGTGGAGGATGGTTACCTGCTATTGTATTCAGGAGCTGAATTTGACCAAATTTATACTCACTTTAGCATCCAAGCCTTCTCCTGGATGGTGCAAGCCTTCAGTAGACTCTAGAATTTCAAAATAGTTTCATCAGACAAATTCTGCCAGTGCAATTGTTGTTAGGTTGGGAGACAGATTCCTGGTGCCTTCTATTCTGTCATCTTCCCAGAATCCTGTATCAAGTAGCTGGGATTTTAACTGGGAATGTATTGAATCTATAAAGTCAGGAAGAATTGACATCTTAATAATATTAAGTCTTCCTCAGTATGGCGATTCCTCAAGGTTCTAGAACTAGAAATACCATTTGACCCAGCCATCCCATTACTGGGTATATACCCAAAGGATTATAAATCATGCTGCTATAAAGACACATGCACACGTATGTTTATTACGGCACTATTCACAATAGCAAAGACTTGGAACCAACCCAAATGTCCATCAATGATAGACTGGATTAAGAAAATGTGGCACATATATACCATGGAATACTATGCAGCCATAAAAAATGATGAGTTCATGTTCTTTGTAGGGACATGGATGAAGCTGGAAACCATCATTCTCAGCAAACTATTACAAGGACAGAAAACCAAACACCGCATGTTCTCACTCATAGGTGGGAATTGAACAATGAGAACACTTGGACACAAGAAGGGGAACATCACACACGGGGCGTGTCATGGGGTGGGGGAGGGGGGAGGGATAGCATTAGGAGATATACCTAATGTAAATGATGAGTTAATGGGTGCAGCACACCAACATGGCACGTGTATACCTATGTAACAATCTGCATGTTGTGCACATGTACCCTAGAACTTAAAGTATAATAAAAAATAATATAAGTCTTCCTATTCATGAACAATAAATAGCTCTTGATTTATTTCTTTGATTTCTTCCATCAGAGTTTTGTATTTTCCCTCATATAGATTATATGCATATTTTATTAGATTTATATCTAAGTATTTCATTTTTGGTGGTGCTAACGTAAATGGTACGATGCTTTTAATTTCACATTCTACTAGTTTACTGCCGGTATATTTAGCTGGTATATAGGATAGTGATTGAAATTTTTATATTGACTTTGTATCCTGCAATCTTGCTATAATTGTTTATTAGTTCCAGAAGGTTTTTTTGTAAATTCATTTGGATTTTTACATAGAAAATCATGTCTTCTGTGAACAAAGACAGTTTTTATTTCTTCTGTCCAAATCTATATAACTTATTTCCTTTTCTTTTCTTATTTCATTAGCTAAGAGTTCTAGTACAACATTGAAAAGGAGTGGTGAAAGGGAACATTCTGGCCTCGTACCTGATCTTAGCAAGAAAGCTTCCAGTTTCTTACCTTAAGTATGTTGTTAGCTTCAGGCTTTCTGTAGATGTTCTTTATCAAGTTGAAGACATTCTCCTCTATTCCTACTTCAATGAAAGTTTTTTTTTTTTTTGAGATGGGGCCTCACCGTGAACCCGGGAGGCGGAGCTTGCAGTGAGCCGAGATCCCGCCACTGCACTCCAGCCTGGGCGACAGAGCGAGATTCCGGCTCAAAAAAAAAAAAAAAAAAAAAAAAAAAAGAGATGGGGCCTCACTTTATTGCTCAGGCTGGAATTCAGTGGCGTGATCATGGTTCACTGCAGCCTCGACCTCCTGGGCTCAGGTGATACCTCCTGAGGAGCTGGGACTATAGGTGCATGCCACCACACCCAGATAATTTTTGGATTTTTTGTAGACAATTTTCGCCGGGTGCAGTGGCTCACGCCTGTAATCCCAGCACTTTGGGAGGCTGAGGTGGGTGGATCACCTGAGGTCAGGAGTTTGAGACCAGCCTGGCCAACATGGCGAAACCCCATCCCTACTAAAAATACACAAAATTAGCTGGGCATGGTGGTGGATGCCTGTAGTCCCAGCTACTCAGGAGGCTGAGTCAAGAGAATGGTGTGAACCCGGGAGGTGGAGCTTGCAGTGAGCCGATATCGCGCCACTGCACTCCAGCCTGGGCGACAGAGCGAGACTCCGTCTCAAAAAAAAAAAAAAAAAAAAAAGAAAGAAAGAAAGGAAACAAGGAGACAATAGAGGACAGACAGGGCAAGAAGCATTAAAAGATATTCTTCTTAGTAAATATGAATTAACAGAGACCAGTTTTAAAGTACGAATTCTCTAAGAGGATAGTTAAAATTTCAGTCATACCTTAAATCAGATTATTCAAATCAATCATATAGTGATATACTGAAATATTACTAAGCAGACGCTTTGATAGTTAAGAAAAGAGAAGGAAGAAGAAACTTTGCAAAGGAAAGGTCTAGATAGGGGAAGAATTTTGACAGCTTTCAGGCAGGATGAAGGGGCTAATTACCTGGAGGACAGGGATACTGAAAAAGCATGAAGGCATGAAGGAGATTGTTAATGACAAACTTTACCTCCTTTATAATTTTGCCTAAAACCATGGAGGCATCAGATGTTTGACTGGCTTGAAAACCTGTAACTTTCATTTTCTTTTATTCATACCTGCATTCCCATGCATCGTATTTAAATAAATATTCTTAAAAAGTAAAAACGAAAAATGAAATTTCCTCAGCCATTTATATTCCTTTGACTCTAGCCTCTTGTCATAAATGCTTAGCTTTACTATCTTCCTTCTTTTCTCGTCCTCTTTTACTTTTTGCTGCCCCATTCTTTGATGGAACAAAATCCTATTTCCTTCTATTTTTTTTACACACAGCAATTCATGTTTCTCTAGTCTTTATCCCAAAATCAGCTCTGGGGCTATGGAGATTCAAAAGCTCAGCTAATTATTTGAAAACCTTGTGTTTCAAACTCTGGCCATTAGAAAAGATCCATACCCTCTAATACCCTAGTATTAGAGGAGGGGTTTATTCTGTTATTACATTTTCTCTTTGGAGTGTTTTGCAAAGCTGCTGCACCCATTTTTTTTCTAAGAGTAGACTGAAAAAAAGACCAAACACATTATTAATTGTGGTAATTTTCTTGCTTATCTTTCTGTTCTGGGAAATGACTATAGCTTTTCTGCCTTTAGAGGGGTATTAGCTCCACTGCTCTCTTCAAGCTGTGCTTTTGGATTTGTGCCAGGCCTTACTGGGTAGCTAAGCTAGTTCAAAGGGGCAGCATATGCAGTAAGATCTATGGAAGAAGCAGTACTTCCAGGGTATCGGTTGTTACATCTTCCTCTTCTACCTCACTACCCTAACTTACCATCAGAACTAAGAAGAAACTTTACTTATATGGATGAACAAAAGAACAAAATAATCAACACTCAAAAATCAGAAACTAATTTAAAAATTAGCAATATAACCAATTAGAAAATGTAACAATAAACTATATTCAAAATAGTAAAGAATAAAACACCCAAGAATAAAAATAACTGTAGAAGATATATATGAAGAAAACTTTAAAACTTTCCTACAGGACATAACAAAAGACTGATTTCAATAGTGGCATACCACATAATCACTTTCTTTCCTCCTCTACAGCTAGAGATAACTATACGATATATTTCTGTCCAATGAGACAATAGAGTAAACGTGTATTTGCTTTGTAAACACTAATAGTGCTGCTCTCAGCTTTTTCCTTTTTGTTTTGAGATGGTCTCGTTCTGTCACCCAGGCTGGAGTGCAGTGGTGCTTGATCATGGCTCACTGCAGCCTCAACCTCCTGGGTTCAAGCAATGCTCCTGCCTCAGCCTCCTGAGTAGCTGGGACTTCAGGTACATGCCACCATGCCTGGCTAATTTTTTTTTTTTTTTTTTTTGAGACAGAGGCTCTCTCTTGTTGCCCAAGCTGGAGTGCAGTGGTACGATTTCGGCTCACTGCAACCTCCCCTCCTGGGTTCAAGTGATTCTCCTGCCTCAGCCTCCCGAGTAGCTGGGATTACAGACATGTACCACCACGCCTGGCTAATTTTGTGTTTTTATTAGAGAAGGGGTTTCTCCATGTTGGTCAGGCTGGTCTCGAACTCCCGATCTCAGGTGATCCGCCCAGCTCCGCCTCCCAAAGTGCTGGGATTATAGGCGTGAGCCATTGCGCCCGGCCTGCCTGCTAATTTTTAAATTATTTTTTGTAGAGACAGGGTTTCACTATGCTATCCAGGCTGGTCTTAAACTCCTGGGCTCAAGTGATTCTCCTGCCTCAGCCTCCCAAATACTGTGATTACAGGTGTGAACCACTGTACCCAGCCTCCTCTGGTCTTAAATGCTATTGTGATGGCCAGAGCTGCAACAGTCATCTTGGATGTATGAAGAAAAAGCATGAAGTCAAGAGCCAACATACTGAGGATGGAAGAGCAGAAATACAGAAAAACCGTTAAGTCCTCAATGACAGTGTTGAGCAGGGGAAACTGCCAAGAACTACCTACTTCCAGAATTCTTGTTATATGAGAAAATTAAAGCCATATTTTCAAAGCCAGTATTAGTTGGATTGTCTATTACAGGGAGCTACATACTTTTCTAGCAAAGTGTAAATACTACAAAAGACAATAAGTCTAATATCAGCCAGGTGCAGTGGCACATGCCAATAACTCAGGAGGCTGAGGTGGGAAGACTGCTTGAGCCCAGGAGTTCAAATCCAGCCTGGGCAACATAGCAAGACCCCATCTCCATACTTGATCTTAGCCAAAAGGCGATAAGCAGTAAGATCCGATTTCTAAAAAAAAAATAAAATAAAATCAGATGATGGAAGACAAAAAGAATAAAGGGAAAGAACAGGAAAGATTCCATTATCAATTGCGTCCTTCTCATAACAGTCATTAGATCAATCCAAAGAAAATGATCATTAGGGCATATATAAAGTTATTATAAATGCATTCAATAGAAAAAATTCAAACATTCTAAATTATCGGAATAAATATAAACAAAAACAAAGGAAAGGAAACACAGACCACATTTTGAAAATAATTAAGGCTATAGACATGAAAAGCATATCCCAATAATATGATATATTCCAAACCAAATACAATTTGTGTAAATAAATGTGAATACTTGGGAGTCTCTCTAAGCCTTCTCTGGCTAGAAGGGCTGCCCATAAAAAAATTTAAAAACATTTTTAGGCTGGTCACCGTGGCTCACACCTGTAATCCCTGCACTGTGGGAGGTCAAGGCGGGCGGATCACGAGGTCAGGAGATCGAGACTATCCTGGCTAACATGGTGAAACCCCATCTCTACTAAAAATACAAAAAATTAGCCAGGCATGGTGGCGGGCGCCTGTGGTCCCAGCTACTCAGGAGGCTGAGGCAGGAGAATGGCATGAACACGGGAGGCAGAGCTGGCAGTGAGCAAAGATGGCGCCACTGCACTCCAGCCTGGGCGACAGAGCAAGACTCTGTCTCGGAAAAAAAAAAAAAAAATTAGCTGGGCGTGTTGGCACATGCCTGTAGTCCCAGCTACTTAGGAGGCTGAAGCAGGAGAATTGCTTGAATCCGGGAGGTAGAGGTTGCAGTGAGCCGAGATCATGCCATTGCACTCCAGTCTGGGTAACAGAACAAGACCCTGTCTCAAAAAAGAAAAAAAAATTAAAAATTAAAAATTAAAAAAAGTGAATACTTAATATTACCTAGTAGGCTGGGAGCAGTGGATCATACCTGTAATCCCAACACACTGGGAGGCTGAGGTGGGAGAATTGTTTGTGGCCAGGAGTTCCAAGACCAGCTTGGAGCAACATAGCAAGAACCTATCTCTATAAAAAAAAAAAAAAAGTATATATAAAAGGAAAAATTGACAAATTGCATTTCATGAAAATCAAAAACTTCTGTTCTGTGAAAGACCCCATTAAGAAGAGGAAGAACAAGCTATAGAGTGGAAGAAAATATTTGCAAACCACATCTGACAAAGGACTAGGATATATAAAGAACTTTCAAACCCCAGCAATTAAAAAAGCACACAAAGGAAACAATCCAATGAGAATGGGCAAATACATGAACAGGCATCTCACCAAAGAGGATATACAGATAGCAAATAAACACATGAAAAGATATTCAACATCAATAGACATTAGAAAAATGCAAATTAAAAATCACAGTGAGACATTACTACACATCTATTGGAATGGCTAAAATAAAAACTAGTGATATCACCAAATGCTTTGAAGGATACAGAGAAACCAGATTATACAGATATTACTGGTGAGAATGTTAAATAGTACAGCCACTCTAGAAAACAGTTTGGCAGTCTCTTATAAACTAAACATGCAATTACTATATAACCCAGCAACTGAACTCTTGGGCATGTATCCCAGAGAAGAGAAAACTTATATTCACACACATAAAAACATGTACATGAATGGTCATAGCAGTTTTGTTCATAATAGCCCCAAACTGGAAATACTCTAAATGTCCTTCAATGAGTGAATGGTTAAACTGTGGTACATAAATACCATGGAATACTACTCAGCAATAAAAGGAACAAACTATTGATACACACAACTTCGATGGATCTCAAGGAAATTATGTTGAGTGAAAAGGCCAAACTTAAAGGTTTTATATTTATGATTCCATTTATAAAACAGACTTGAAATGACAAAATATGAGAGATAAAGAAAGAATGTGTAGCTGTCAAGGGTTAGGAATTGGGGGATGGGAGAAGGATAAAAGGGAGTTGTGGTTATTAAAGAACAGGAGGAGATCCTTGTGTTGATGGAACTGTTCTGTATCTTCACTGTGGTTGTGGATACACAAACTTACATGTAATCAAACTGCATAGAATTAAATACAATTAAGCTTCTAGAAGAAAACAGTTATCTCCATGACATCAGGGTAAGCAAAGATTTCTTAAACAGGACCCACACATAAAAATAACAGTAACCATGAAAGATCATTTGATACTTTGGATTTCGTTAAGATTAAGAATTTTTTTTTTTTTTAGATGGAATCTTGCTCTGTTGCATGGACTGGAGTGCAGGGACACAATCTCCGCTCACTGCAACCTCTGCCTCCCAGGTTCAAGTGATTCTCCTGCCTCAGCCTCCTGAGTAGCTGAGATTACAGGTGTGCACCACCACACTCAGCTAATTTTTGTATTTTTAGTAGAGACCGGGTTTCGCCATGTTGGCCAGGCTAGTCTCAAATTCCTGACCTCAAGGAATCCACCTGCCTTGGCCTCCCAAAGTTCTGGGATTACAGGCGTGAGCCACTGCGCTGGCCAGGCAAATATTAAAATTTTTGATAAGACAATCTTAGAGTGGGGAACATAAATTGGCACTGCCTCTACAGAGGGAAATTTAACAGCAACAAGAGAAATGTTTAAATGTTTAAAATATACTCTTTAATTCAATTCCTAGGAATTTAATCCTATAGATAAATTCATACATATGGAAAGTGATTTGCATTTGTAGTCATTCACTTCAGGATTATTGGTAAATCTGTAAACAACTTAGTCTATCATAGAAGACTGAAAAATAAATTATTATTTATTCAGTCAATAGAATACCGTTAAACTGTTGAGAAAAAGGAAGCTTTTTTTTTTTTTGAGACGGAGTTTCGTTCTTATTGCCCAGGCTGGGGTTCAATGGTGTGGTCTCGGCTCACTGCAACCTCCATCTCCTGGGTTCAAGCAATTCTCCTGCCTCAGCCTCCCGTAGCAGGGATTACAGATGCCTGCCACCACACCTGGCTAATTTTTTTGTATTTTTAGTAAAGACGGGGTTTCACCATGTTGGCCAGGCTGGTCTTGAACTCCTGACCTCAGATGATCTGCCTGCCTTGGCCTCCCAAAGTGCTGGGATTACAGGCGTGAGGCACGGCACCTGGCCAAGGAAGCTTTTTATGAATCAGTAAGGAAGTGTTAAAGACAAAAAAAAAATTTAAGGTGAGAAAACAATTATATGTATTATATATTTTTTATTTAAAAAATTTTAAAGTTTAAAAATGTTTAATTTTAGGGGCAGGGTCCTGCTGTGTCATGCAGGCCAGAGTGCGGTGGCCCAATCATAGCTCACTGCAGCCTCCAACTCCTGGGCTCAAGCAATCCTCCCTCCTCAGTCTCCTGAGTAGCTAAGATGACAGGCGTGCACCACCATTCCCAGCTAATTTTTTAAAAAATATTTTGTATGTGTGGCTGAGGAATTTACGTGGAGGTCAGAGTGGAAGCAAGTGTGAGAGGGTCCAGCAGAAGGAAACATGGCTGCCAAAGTGTTTGAGTCCATTGGCCTGGCCTTAGTTGTTGCAGGAGGCATGGTGAACTCTGCCTTGTTGCAGGAGGCATGGTGAACTCTGCCTTATATAATGTGGATGCTGGGCACAGAGCTGTCCTCTTTGACTGATTCTGGGGTACAGGACATTGTGGTAGGGGAAAGAACTCACTTTCTCATCCCATGGATACAGAAACCGATTACCTTTGTCATTCTCGACCACGTAAGGTGCCAGTCATCACAGTAGCAAAGATTTACAGAATGTCAATACCCCACTGCGCATCCTCTTCCTGCCTGTCCCTAGCCAGCTTCCTTGCATCTTCACCAGCATGGGAGAGGGCTGTGATGAGCCTGTGCTGCCATCCATCACTACAGACATCCTTAAGCAGGTGGTGGTTCGCTTTGAGGCTGCAGAAGCAATCACCCAGAGAGAGGTGGTCTCCAGGCAGGTGAAGGATGACCTTATGGAGCAGTAGCCACATTTTATTTAGCTCATGCTGGATGACACCTCCTCGACACATCTGACCTTTGGGAAGGAGTTCACAGAAGCAGTGGAAGCCAAACAGGTGGCTCAGCAGGAAGCAGAGAGGGCCAGATTTGTGGTGGAAAAGGCTGGGCAGCAGAAAAAGGCAACCATGATATCTGCTGAGGGCGACTCCAAGGCAGCGGAGCTGACCGCCACCTCACTGGCCACTGTGGGGACTTGCCTGATGGAGCCATGCCAGCCAGAAGCCACTGGGGATACCACGTGCCAGCTCTTATGCTCCTGAGGCGGGGCAGTACCTGCTCCTCCAGCTGCCCCAGTGAGGCCCCACCTGCCTGCATCTATGCGGGCCAACTGGGCCACAGCCCCGATGATTCCAAACACCGCCTTCCTTCTCTCCCTACCCCAGGAATCACTGTGAAATTTCATGATTCGCTTAAAGTGAAGGAAATGAAAGTAAATTACTTCAGGCTGGGAGCAGTGGCTCACGCCTGTAATCCCAGCATTTTGGGAGGCTGAGGTGGTAGATCACTTGAGGTCTGGAACTCGAGACCAACCTGGCCAACATGGTACTACAAATACAAAAATTAGCTGGGCGTAGTATGCCTGTAGTCCCAGCTACTCGGGAGGCTGAGGCAGGAGAATCGCTTGAACCTGGGAGGCAGAGGTTGCAGTAAGCTGAGATTGCACCACTGCACTCCTGGGCGACAGAGCGAGACTCCATCAAAAAAATAAAAGGACAGGGTCTTGTTGTGTTGCCCAAGCCAATCTTGAACTCCTGACCTCAAGTGATCCTCCTGCCTCGGCCTCCCAAAGTACTGAGATTATAGGACTTAGCCAGACATACATACATACATATATATAATATATATATCATAATATTTATATATACACAAACATACACATATATACACCACACATTTTTAAAGGTAAAAAAGAATTGTACATATATATATACACTTTATATGTATATATACATTTATAGCTGAAAATGCATTGTATTTGTATATATACATATACTTATATATGCATATATGTAAATATGTAAAATATAAAATTTTGATTAAAAGGAAGACATAAGTGGTTAAAAAAAAACACACAAAAACCAAGCCTATCCCCTTACTTCTAGACTGCTTCTCTTCACTTCATACTGTGTATCACTTGGTCAATTCCTAAAATGCCAGCCTTCATCAGTTTGTTGTTAAAATGTAAAATTGTGATTCAGTAGATTCTGGGCGAGATTGGTGGGATTGGGATCTGAGGTTCTGTGTTTCCTTTTTTTTTTTTTTTTTTTGGAGGCAGGGTCTTGCTCTGCTGCTCAGGCTGGAGAGCATAGTGGTGCAATCACACCTCACTGCAGCCTCAACCTACCCTCCCACCTCAGCCTCCCGGGTAGCTGGGACTATAGGCAAGTGCCACCATGCTCCGCTATTTTTTGTAGAGGTGGAGTTTCTTTCACCATATTGCCCAGGCTAGTCTTGAACTCTTGAGCTCAGGTGATCTGCCTGCCTAGGGCCTCTTGTGGATTACAGGTGCGAGCCACCATGCTTGGCTGGTTCTCCAATTCTAACAGCTCCTACGTGATGCTTCTTTTGAGTAGGAAAGAGCTAGAATGTACAGCCTTTGAATTCACATCACATTTACTATATGCAACTTTGTTTTATAATGTGTGAATACCTTGCCTACTCACTTGTATTTTAAATTCCAAGAAAGCTTCTAGCAGCACTTGAACAGCTGATTATTCTTTCCTTCTCAAAACATTTTTTCTTTCTGCTTCCTTGACATTACAGTCCCCTACTTTTGCTTGTACCTCAATGGCCTCACCTTTCAGTCTTTGCATGTGCTTAATAAGTAAGTAAATCTTTATGTAGACTCATTACCTATTATTAAGTATAATATATACTGAAGTGAACACCATGCCATAGCTCCTGAATGGTTCTAGAGAGCCTTTCTCAGACTGTGTCCCTCAATAAGAGTTTACATATTTTGTAGGTAGGACAATAGCCTTATGAATGAAGTCTTGGTGATGCAGCCAGAAACTCAGAGACTCTAAGTCAAATACTCATTGGTTAGATCAAATATAATTTTGCCATAGTCTGAGGATTACAGCAGGTCACATTATGCTAATCTTAAAGTATGTGTTGGGCTGAACCTTGCCATATGTATTTTTTAAAAGACTTTATTTTTTAGAGCAGTTTTGGAGCAGCAAAATTAAGAGGACAGAGATTTCCAACATATCCCCTGCCCTCCTCACAATATATTTTACACATGAATAGTTAGGATATTTTCAGCTGTATATAGTGAGACCTAATTCACACCAGCTAAAACAATATGGAATTTTATTATCTCACAAAACAAAGTTCAGTGGTTAGGGTGTCTAGAGCCACGCTCTGGCTCCATTTCTATGCTATTTTCTCAGCTCTGCCTTCCTGAGGGTGTAGGGTTCATCCTTAAATGGCTTTCTTCTTGGCCACATGATGGCTGCCAGCAGCAGTAGTGATAACATGTACCCTTCTTCAAGTATAGGTGAAGAGAAAGGAAACCTCTCACCTACTATTGAATGTAAGTCTTTCCCTTCAGTTTGATTGGTCAATGTAGGTTCTCTCCCTGACCAGTAATAGTCACCGTAAGAATGCTATGTGCTGATTGCCTTAAGCCTAGTTCTGGAGCAAGTAACAAACATTGGCATGGAAGTAGGAATACCATGTTTTCACTAGTCCTAATAAAACAGCTAGGGCTAGGGATAAGGTGAGCTTCAAAGAATTATATAGAATTCATGGAAGAGAGGAGGAATGTTAAACAAAAGCAAAGTTCTTTAGGAAGGAGAAGGGGAAAAATAAATTCTGAAATTAACTAAGTTATATTACTATGCTAATAGTAATTGTATAATAGCTTTTATAATAAATTTTTTGCTTGTTCTCTATATAGCTAGCCTCAGAGTGAGATGTACACTGATATATTTGATAGTGAAACCTTAAATACAAGTGCCAAGAAGTATGAGCACATAATTCATAAATTAAGACACAGAGTCTTAATTTGTGAAAAAGTACCATTACATCCAGCTTCCTGGGTTTTACCATTGAACTCAACAGATATTCTGCCTATTTCCATGTTTCCATTAACATAGCCCCAAATTATGTGAAAACTGACACGTATGCCCAATTGATTATTAAGACATGGAGAAATTCTACTTTCTTTTTCTCTTTTTTTTTTTTTTTTTTTTGAGTCAGAGTCTTGCTCTGTTGCCCAGGCTGGAGTGCAATGGTGCAATCTTGGCTCACTGCAACCTCTACCTCCCAGATTCAAATGATCCTTCTGCCTCAGCCTCCTGAGTAGCTGGGATTACAGGAGGATGCCACCACACCCAGCTAATGTATTTTTGGTAGAGACGGGGTTCCACTATGTTGGCCAGGCTGGTCTCGAACTCCTGACCTCAGGTGATCTGCCCACCTCGGCCTTCCAAAGTGCTGGGATTACAGGCGTGAGCTATGGTGCCCTGCCGAAGAAATCCTACTTCTCTGCCTAAACTTGAGTAGAGGTTTCTAAAGTTTAAAATAGAATTTAAACCTCGTCCCCATCCTCCTTTGCTTAGATATCATACTATCAAGGACTTGTTTATGTAATAGATTTTATATTGAAGGTATTCAAGCAGAAGCTATACTAATGTTATTGATGGTACTGGTACATCTGATAAATGACTGGTCTGGAGAATGCTTCCTAGGCCTAGCTGATTGAGAGAATAACTCAGAAGTTTTAAACAATACAGATTCCATATCCTGATCATACTTAATCAGAATCTCTGAAGATGGAGCCAAAGATATGTATCTCTCAGAAGCACTACTAATAATTTTTTACAGCCAATCCAGGACCAGCTCCTGGGTAATTATTTAGGAATCTCTGGACTAAATTTTCTAAAAGACCCATTTAAATATACAATTTTAATAACTTTTGACAGTGGAAATAGCATTGCACTAGAAATTAGGTGACTGAAATTCTAGTGCCAGCTCTGCTATTGGTTACTTTGATGACAGGCAAGTTGGTTTACCCTGTGGAGCCTCAGTTTTCCCTTCTGTAAAATTAGGGATGTCTAAAGTCCCTTCCAGCTCCAAACTCAGTCAATTTTACTTGTTTGGGCATTCTGAGGAACCAAGAGTTGATTATAAAGATTCTAATTTCTAATACCTCTAGCTGTTTTTAAGGGCACATAAAGAGCTTACATAGACACTGCCATCTCAGAAGAAAGGTTCAAGATGGGGTCCATAGAACTCTTAAGAGTGCTATCATTGTTTTGGTAACTTTGAACAAATTTTCCTATAAAAACTGGGGACAAAATACTATAAATATGTGAACAAAAGTCTCTTTGTTACCAGTGGTTAATGGGTATCCCTGCAGCTACCACCTGAAACAGTTTTGGCTCTGACTCCAGAACCAAACTTTCTGGCCTTTAACTGTTTGGTAGGGTGATATAATTCATGTTATACAGCATACTGGTCCAGCTTTTAGAATATATATATATATATATATATATATTTTTTTTTTTTTTTTTTTTTTTTTTGAGATGGAGTTTAGCTCTTGTTGCCCAGGCTGGAGTGCAATGGCACAATCTCGGCTCACTGCAACCTCTGCCTCCTGGGTTCAAGCAATTCTCCTGCCTCAGCCTCCTGAGTAGCTGGGATTACAGGTGCCCGCAACCACGCCCAACTAATTTTTGTATTTTTAGTAGAGATGGGGTTTCACCATGTTAGGCTGGTCTGGAACTCCTGACCTCAGGTGATCCCCCCGCCTCGACCTCCCAAAGTGCTGGGATTATAGGCGTGAGCCACAATGCCTGGATGTAGTTTGTTGGTTGGTTTGTTAAGAACTAATTGTTATGGTAAGATTTGCCTTAGCCTGGGCATGGTGGCTCATGCCTATAATCCCAGCACTTTGGGAGAATAAGACCAGAGGATCCTTGAGTCCAGGAGTTCGAGACCAGCCTGGGCAATATAGTGAGACCCTGTCCCTACAAAAAATTTTAAAAAGTTAGCTGGGTGTGGTGGCGTGCGCCGGTAGTCCCAGCTACTCAGGAGGCTGAGGTGGGAGGATCATTTGAGCCCACGAGGTTGAGGCTGCAATGAACCATGATCACACCACTGCACTCCAGCCTGGGAGACAGAGTGAGGCCCTGTTTCAAAAATTAAATAAATAAAACAAAATAAAATTATCCTATGGTCCACTTCTCTTCTGATTATCTTACTGTAATTAACTCTAGTTTGTTTCCTGACTCATAATTTCCCTCTCCACACCATGCCCTTTTCTCTCTTCTCTGCTTCCATACACAAATTCAACTTCTTCAACCCCTTGTTTTACACATTTTTAGTGACACTCTTGCCCGTGATGTTATCATTTAAAAACTTTATTTAGGCTGGGTGCAGTTGCTCACATCTGTAATCCCAGCACTTTGGAAGGCTGAGGTGTGCGGATCACCTGAGGTCAAGAGTTCGAAACCAGCCTGGCCAGCATGGTGAAATCCTGTCTCTACTAAAAATACAAAAATTAGTCCGGCATGGTGGTGGGCTCCTGTAATCCCAGCTACTCAGGAGGCTGAGGCAGGAGAATCACTTGAACCCAGGAGGCGGAAGTTGCAGTGAGCCTAGATCACACCATTGCACTCCAGCCTAGGCGACGGAACGAGACTCCATCTAAAAAAAAAAAAAAAAAAAACAAAACTCCAAAAAAACTTTATTTACACTGAGTAACAAATAGCTAGTGTTTATTGAATGCTTACCATGCGCCAGGCACTGTATTAAGCATTTTACATACAATATATCAATTGTTATACTTTTATTTTGAGTACTATTAGATCCTCCACTATACAGATAAGACCCAGAAATATTGAGTAACTTGCCCAAAATTACATAACTAGTTAGGTGGTGACGTAGGATTTGAAATCAAGCATTTAGACTCCAGAGCCTCTACTCTATTGTCTCCTATAAAAGCAAGGATTAAAGAAAAGTAGGCCAGGCGTGGTGGCTGATGCCTGTAATCCCAGCACTTTGGGAGGCCGAGGTGGGTGGGTCACGAGGTCAAGAGCTCGAGACCATCCTGGCCAACATGATGAAACCCCGTCTCTACTAAAAACATAAAAATTAGCTGGGTGTGGTGGTGGGTGCCTGTAGTCCCACCTACTCGGGAGGCTGAGGCAGGAGAATCACTTGAACCCGGGAGGCGGGGGTTGCAGTGAGCTGAGATTGTGCCACTGCACTCTAGCCTGGCCACAGAGTGAGACTCCATCTCAAAAAAAAAAAAAAAAAAAAAAAAAAAGAAAAAGGAAAGTGTACTACACTATGATGAAAGAGATGAGAGTTTTGTGTTTTTTTGATAGTAACTAGCTAATATATCACTATGGACAGGTCATAATTGTTCTGATTTTCTCATTCATATATAAGTTGAAGTAGAACCAACTACTGTGTCATAATACTCTGTGATTCTGTTATGTGAAAAGTGTATCTTTTGATCTTTTGTCTCCTGATATGAAAGGACTTTGGCATTTCAGCCCCTTCTCCTATATTTTCATATTTATTCTAGCACTAGCTTACATTCTAACAGTGAAACACAGGTAAATATGTATTTTATGTGTGTTCTGTTTCTATTTCTGTAAAGCAAAATGTATCTGAGTAGCATAAAATTTTTAGAAAATTTCAAGTCTCATCCCTATTTTTCTGGTACTTTTAGATCTGATATCTTGATGATGGCAGAAGTGGCTTAAAGTTGGAAAATTATTGTGGTTTTGCCCAACGTGGCAAATCAGTGCTTTTTATTTTGTATATAATGTGTAATTTTCACAGCTATAACAATTGGTTATTATATATTGATCTTTGAAAAAGCAATGTATTCCAGTAGCATTTTTTTAAACAGGGTCTTGCTCTGTCACCCAGGCTGTAGTTCAGTGGTGTGATTGTAACTCACTGTATCCTCAATCTCCCAGGCTCAAGTGATCCTCCCACCTCAGCCTCTTGAATAGCTGGGACCACAGTGAGCACCACTTTTTAAATTTTTTGTAGAGATGGGGTCTCAATATATTGACCAGGCTGGTCTCAAACTCCTGGGTTCAAGCAATCCTCCTGCATCAGCCTCCCAAAGTGCTGGGATTACAGTGTGAACCATCATGCCCCACTAGTATTTTCTTTTGTGTTCCTATCTATTTCTTGAATTCATGTTTCCTTATGTTTATCAAGCCTAGTTTCTTTTACTTTTAGGAATTAAGGCTGAATTAGGACTTTTAATGACTCCCATACTAAAACTTCTTATCCTTTTAAAGCTGAAATACATTGGGAGGATCAGCAAGGTCAGAGAAAGAGAGGGTAGGTGGGGATAAGAGAGTAAAGCCCTTTTGCAAATAGGCATACTTACACAGACTGAAAGCAGGCCCTTCAATCTCTCTGCAAGTATTTAATCTCTCTACAAAAATTAAAGTGTGTTTGCTTGTTATCTTTTTCATTCTTTGGAAAACATTTTAGCTATCGTTACTATTATTTTGACATTTTATATTTGCCTTTTTTTTGGAGGAGTCAGTACTGAAGGGGGAATTTAACTTTTAAAATGGCCACTTATACATAACTAGCATAGAAGCAGAAGAAAATATAGGTAAGCAAGAAAAGAAAGATCATTTTAATTGGAATGTGATGGTGGCACAACTCTGTAAATGTATTAAAACTCATTGAATCATATACTTAAAATGGATGAATTTGCCTCTTTTTTCTTTGTTCAACCACATACGATAACCATCTTTCCAGGTCAATTCATATTCCACAATATCATTTTAAATGGGGACACAATTTTCGATTTTATATTATGTAATTTGTTTTAATTTTTTTTTTTTTTTTTGAGACGGAGTCTTGCTCTGTCGCCCAGGCAGGAGTGCCGTGGTGCGATCTTGGCTCACTGCAAGCTCTGCCTCCCAGGTTCAAGCAATTCTCCTGCCTCAGCCTCCCGAGTAGCTGGGACTACAGGTGCATGCCACCACGCCCGGATAATTTTTTGTATTTTCAGTAGTGATGGGGTTTCACCATGTTAGCCAGGATGGTCTCGATCTCCTGACCTCATGATCCGCCTGCCTTGGCCTCCCAAAGTGTTGGGATTACAGGCGTGAGCCACCACGCTCGGCCATAATTTGTTTAACCAATTGATTCCCTGAACATTTTTGCAGCTAAAGTTTGGTACAAATTTTTTTAGGTTAAATTACTAAAAGAATTATTGCTAGATCATAGGGCATGCTCATTTAAAGGTTTTTCTTACAAATTGCCCTCTAAAAAAACTACCAATTTATACTCCTATAAGTAGTCATTCTGTCCTTGCACTTCTCCCTTCGAAACTCAGTATTAGTATTTTATAAAGTCTCTATTATTCTGAAAGGTAGAAATGATAGCTTGTTATCAATTTCCATTTCAATTACTAATAAAGTTGAACTTTTCGTCATTTATTAGACATTTGTATTTCAGTTTATGTTCTCTGTCCCTCTCTCCAAAACACTAGCATGTGTACATGTGTTTCTTATTCATTCATATGACTTTTATACATTAAGGATAAATAACTTCATGTCATATATTTTGTAAGTATTTTTCCAGTTTGTATCTTTTATTTATGTTGTTTTTGCAGAAGTATCAAATTATATGGTCATACCTATCAATCTTTTGCTTTATAGATATTGCCTTTGGTGCTATCCTTGATAAGGCCTTCCCCACTCTCAAATATTTAAATATTCAACAATATTTCTCCCACTAATTTTATGTTTTCTTTCTTCAGACCTTTATGTAGATTTTATTTTTATATATAACATAGGACAAGGATATAACTTGGTAAAACGAATGGGGAGACAAATTTTTACCTTATTTATTGCATGTCTTCTAAATATCAAAAACTGTGTTATATATGGTTTGTAGTAATAAACACAGCAGGGATGTTCTCATCCTTATGTAATTTACCAACTCAGAGAGACAACATACTGTTTAAGTGCAAATTTGATAAATGCTATAAAGAAGTGCTAAGTTCTATGGTAGTGTATAGTATGTGGAATCTATCAACTGTTCAGGTACTTATTGAACAGTTGATCTTTAAAAGGAGATGGTTTGGTGGAAGTGGAGGAGAATTCAATTAAAAAACAACAGGGCACAGTGGTGTACGTTTGTAATCCCAGCTACTCAGGAGGCTGAGGTGGAAGTACTGCTTAAACCCAGGAGTTAGAGACCAGCTTGGGCAGCATAGGGAGACCTCATTTTTTGGGGGGAGGGGGAATACCCAAAAAACCCAACCATACACACACAAAACCAACCAAACAAAAAACAACAATGAACATTTATTATTTCAGAGTATCCCTGGGTCAGAATCTGGGTGTGGCTTAGCTGGGTTCTCTGTTTCAGGATCTCTCGCAAAGATGCAAACAAAAGTCTTGCCCAGGGCTGCGATCGCATCTGCAGGAAGATTCACTTCCAAGTTTGCTTACATGGTTGTTGGCAGAATGCAGCTCCTCATAGGCTGTTAAGCCAAGGCTTTCAGTTCTTTGGTAGGAATTCAGTTCCTCACAGGTTTTTTGGTGGCTGGAGATCTCCTTTAGTTCCTTGGCATATAGGTCAGAATAATTTATTTTTGTCCTAGGGTGGGTACTTAAGCTTTGATAAAACTGATTTATAATGTCTTTATGGAGTAAAAATTAGCACAGCATTCATGTTCTTAGCTCTATATTCAAGAATAAAATAAGTGTGTATATTCTGTGAATATTCTGGTTGGTATACATTTTTGGCCTGTATGTAAATTAATATGTGGGTGACTTAAACATTCACAGAGAATTAATTATATATTGCAAAGGACAAACACATAATTCTGTTCAAGATAGGAATGTCAAGAAAACTTTAAGATGATTTTGTCTTTTAATCACATCATGGTTATAATTTCAAATGATTTTTCATTCCCTCCTTTCCTTCCCATCACACAGACTATACTGTAAATATACTCTCTGAAGTTGCACAACGTGACAAGCTTAAGCTTAGCCACACAAGTATGTGCATATACAATTATTTTATTTTTTGATCTGATGCTGACAGTGCTGTGCGTTTTACCTGAACTCAGAAAATTTAATTTCTAAATTATAATATATGGTTAGATATTTACTAAAATCCTGAAACTAGAATTTTACTCCCAATCTTAGACCTTGCAAATGGTAACTCTAGTTTAGTGTACACATTTTCAACATGGGCAATATTACTCCCCAAGAGGAAAAAATTGTTTTTTTGGGAGGGTATGAAAAAAAGTATGTTTTATATATAAAGCATAGATACACATACAGTCCATTAAAGCATATACAGTGTATCTATGGTGTTAAAATTTTACAGTGGGGTGCTGAATAGGAAAAACAGGTCTAAAAGGGTTCCATAAGGGGGCTGATAATGGAAATAAAAGTTGAGAAACATGGCCCTAGTGCTAAGCTTAACAGACAGCTGTTTGACGAACCATCTGGCATTAGATTTTTTTCCTGCATGATTTCCTGTATTAGAATATAAGCTTCTTAAGGACAGAAAATGTAATCTGATTTGTATTTTCAATAATAGCTAACACAATAGTTACGTTCAACTGCATTCAGTATATGTATATTTAATTGAATTAATATGGAGTACATCTTCCCCTACTTGCACTCATCCTATTAGCTCTATAAAATCTAAATGTAATGACCAAAATTAGTCTAGTAAAGCACAACCTATCACAATCTCCCTCACAAAAATCCTAGTAAAATAATGACAAATTTTATTCAAAGAATGGAAAATCTTCAAAGTAGCATAAGAGAAGGAGTACAGACTAGAGACAGAGAGATGAATCAGGGCTTTGATTTCCACCTCTTATCATTTGCAAGCCGAGGAGCCTTGAGCCAAGTTATGTAAAGAGAAAGTGAAAGAGGATAAAAAAGAATAAAAAAGGGACCTTTCTAGGGGAAGGGTACAAGAAGGGACAATGGCATTTCTAGCAGGTTTTTGTTTTGTTTTGAGACAGGGTCTCGCTCTGTCTCCAGGCTGGAGTGCAGTGGTGCGATCTTGGCTCACTGCAACCTCTGCCTCCCGGGTTCAAGCGATTCTTGTGCCTCAGCCCTCCCCCCGAGTAGCTGTGATTACAGGCAAGTGCCACTAGGTTTGGCTAATTTTTTGTATTTTCAGTAGAGACAGGGTTTCGCCATGTTGGCCGGGCTGGTCTCAAACTCCTAGCCTCATGTGATTCGCCTGCCTCGGCTCCCAAAGTGCTGGGATTACAAGCATGAGCCGCCGTGCCTGGCCCTAACAGTCTTATATACACCCAAAATTTCAGGCATGCTGAATTTCTGGCAGTTCCCCAAATAATGCATGGCTCAAATATGCCGTATTTCACACTTACATATTTTATATATACATTCACATTCCTCTTCCCAGAACATCATTTATTTGTCCTCCAATACTCAGCTCAGGTCACACTTTTTTTTTTTTTGGATGGAGTCTTGCTCTGTTGCCCAGGCTAGAGTGCAGTGGCACGATCCTGGCTCACTGCAAACTCTGCCTCCCAGGTTCACGCCATTCTCCTGCCTCAGCCTCCCAAGTAGCTGGGACTACAGGCGCCCGCCACCACACCTGGCTAATTTAAAAAAATATATATTTTAGTAGAGACGGGGTTTCACCGTGTTAGCCAGGATGGTCTCGATATCCTGACCTCGTGATCCGCCCACCTTGGCCTCCCAAAGTGCTGGGATTACAGGCGTGAGCCACCATGCTTGGCCAGCTCAGGCCACATTTTCCCTAGGAAGGCCTCCATGACACGCTTGTGTGCCTTCTACACTGAGTTAGATACATATATTCTTGCTTCCCTAACATTCAGATCATACTTCTACTATAGTACTTATAATTAATGGTTTACATGTCTGCTTCTCTTACTAGCCTGAGAACTTCTTGAGAGCTGAAATGGTTTTATTTATTTATCTTTTCAGACAGAGTCTCGTTCTGTTGTCCAGGCTGGAGTGCAATGGCGGGATCTCGGCTCACTGCAACCTCCGCCTCCTGGGTTCAAGTGATTCTCCTGCCTCAGCATCCTGAGCAGCTGGTTTACAGGCGCATGCCAGCACACCTGGCTAATTTTTTTTTTTTTTTTTGCATTTTTAATAGAGACAGGATTTCACCGTCTGGCCAGGCTGGTCTCAAACTCCCAACCTCAGGCGATCCGCTCGCCTCGGCCTCCCAATGTGCTGGAATTACAGACAGGCGTGAGCCACCGCGCCTGGCCTATTTATCTTCTTAACCTCAACATCTAGCACAGTGCCTGACATGTTAGTGAACAACTGACTTGTTGAATTAACTAATAAAAATACAGGCATACAAGAAGAGCACAGTAGCATTTTCAGCAATTTGACAAATGAATATTGCTTTGTTTTCTTCAAAGGGCCACTACTTTAAAATTGAATAATCATCTTTGTATATAGTCAGACCTAAAACAAAGCTCTGTACACTTCCTGTGTCAAATAATAATAATGTAAGTCCTTTACACTAACTCATTTCATCATTGCAATCCAATGAGGAAAACCTTATTATTTTTCCTTTTTTTTTCCTCAGATGAGGAAACAGGCTTGTAAGAGGTAAACTAATTTGCCTAAGGTCACATATTTAATAAGTAGGGTTTCTAGCTCTGGCATGTATGGTGCTAACTACCACACTATTGTGCCTCTCAAAGTCAGCTGAGTAAGAATACTCACTGTTGCACAATATCTCATCCCTCTGTCTGACCCTCTCCACCTGCAATCTCCCATATACACTCACTTAGGAGAAACAAAGGCTCACGGCTCATACATGCAGCTTGTGATTTAGAAAAAAAATGTGCCCACATATGCTCGGCTTTGCTTAATGTAAACAAATATACTAATCAATATGGTATAAACCTCCAGGACTATTCTGTTTTAATAACATGTAGATACAATGTAATGATTTTAATTACTTTATTGTCCTGTCAAATTCTTTAAAATGGGAACTTGAGGCCGGGTGCGGTGGCTCACGCCTGTAATTCCAGCACTTTGGGAGGACAAGGTGGGCGGATCACCTGAGGTCGGGAGTTTGAGACCAGCCTGACCAACATGGAGAAACCCCATCTCTACTAAAAATACAAAATTAGCTAGACATAGTGGCGCATGCCTGTAATCCCAGCTACTCAGGAGGCTGAGGCAGGAGAATTGCTTCAACCCGGGAAGCAGAGGTTGTGGTGAGCTGAGATCGCGCCATTGCCCTCCAGCCTGGACAACAGCGAAACTGAAACTTCACCTCAAAATAACAAAAAAAAAAGGAACTTGGTATGCTGCTCCAGCAATTTAAATGTGTCAATCCACGTATCCAATGTTAAATTATCTTTTCCAGAAAGCAAAATGTGAAGCGGCTTATAAAGACTTCTTGTCAAGTATCACAAGCTCTCCATTATTACTTTACTAAAGATGTCTGTGATGCCACTTTGCAAAATAACTGTAGGGAGTGGCATTTGGTTCCTGGGGTGGAAGAGGTGACTATGCCTACTAAATCATGGTATTGTCTCAAATGAAACCAAAAGAACCAAAAAACCAAGAGAGAAAACAAAAAGACAAAAAAAGAAAGCTTTTTCATTTCTGAAAACTTTGGGGCTGTGTGGTCCTATCAGGTGCTGCTATTTCTGGGTTTACTATTACTACAATCTTCAAGTCCTAAAGATTTTTGCTTCCTGTTGCAGTCCTTTATTCATTCATAACCAAGCTGCATTGTACCATTTGTATCCAATTTAGCTGGATTCCAACATCAATCCTATCTTGCCATGAAGTATTAAAGGCTGAGTTACCACTGGGGATGTGGGAGGTAAAATGAGCATTTGCCCTAGAGAAATCCTAGATAAGGAGTGCCACGGAGAACATGCATATCAGACCCCCTCTTCCTTCTGCTCCACACAACCTTCAAGTTTTCATGAACACCTAGAAGAATTAACAGGCAAGAACACCAGTGTTGATTTAATGTTGGCAAGATTCAACATATTTTGAGGTAAGAATACAATACTACATGTCTATTATTTTCAGACATTTAGGTTTATACTAATTCATAAACTTTAGGTTTATATTAATTTATTCCAGCATTAACAAAAGCTTGGAAGTTTGTTGGGAATGGGCATTACATAGATGACTACATGTTCTAGGCATCAAGCACCATATTAGAAATGATACGAAAAAAATAGTAGTTTTGAAGCACATGAATTAGTTTGTGGGAAAGAGTAGGTGGAAAGGAGATCAGGCAGAGGCAACAGCAGTTACAAAGGCAGGACGCATAAGAAAGTCTAGCAATTATGCTTTTGTAGAATATGCCAGTCTAGTGACTTCTATCTTTTTTTCCCTAGCTAGGATTTGAACCTATCTTTTTTTATAACTTTTTTTTTTTTTTTTGAGATCGGGACTTGCTATGTTGCTCAGGCTAGTCTTGAACACCTTGGTTCAAGCAACCCTCCTGTCACAGCCTCTCAAGTAACTGGGATTACAGGCACATGGCACCATGACCAAGAACTCCTTTAGCACTACCATTTGTGCCAGTCTTCTTGGCTTGTGACATCTCTTCAACTGTGCACTTATCATTTTTTAAATTAACCTTTTAATTTATCTCCTTCCCTAAATTATAATCTCTCTTTGTTTCTCCAGAATGCCAAGAAAGGTGCTTTGCATTGAGTAGACACTAATAAGTAACTATTGATTGCCTGACCAAAAAAATCATGGCTTATGTACTGTAAGTCTTCATTAAGAATGCTAAGATTAAGTCAGGTGCAGTGGCTCACGCCTGTAGTCCCAACACTTTGGGAGGCCAAGGTGGATCACCTCAGGTCAAGAGTTTGAGAGCAGCCTGGCCAACATGGTGAAACCCTGTGTCTACTAAAAATACATAAAATTAGTCGGGCGTGGTGGTGGGTGCCTGTAATCCCAACTACTTGAGAGGCTGAGGCAAGAGAATTGCTTGAACCTGAGAAGTGGAGGTTGCAATGAGCCGAGATTGCGCAATTGCGCTCCAGCCTGGGCGACAGGGCGAGCCTCTGTCTCAAACAACAACAACAACAACAAAAAAAAGAATGCTAAGATTATATTTATAAGAATAAAGTAGAACGTTGTGAACAGAAGATAACACGTCTATTCGCTACGCTACTTTTATTACCTATTTCCAGGAGGAACAAATACTACATACAGTCAATGTTTATGGCTGTCAATCTAGAAAGCAGTAGGATTGACAGCAATTACTCCCTTATAAAAATACAAAGACAAATTTTAGAATAAGAATAAGATCTTATTATAATCACTGAGAATTAATATGGAAAAAAACTGGACTTGAACTCTGAAAACTTGGATCTGAATCAAGGTTCTGCCACTTGTTGTGTACTTTGGTAAATTACTTCCACCTTTGAGCTTTTTTCTCATCTATAAAATGAAGTTAAGACTTCCAACTTCACAGGATCATAAAGAAGAAATTAAAAATGCATATGCAGCCGGGGGCGGTGGCTCACACCTGTAATCCCAGCACTTTGGGAGGCCGAGGCGGGTGGATCACGAGGTCAGGAGATCAAGACCATACTAAACATACAAAAGGTCACGAGGTCAGGAGATCGAGACCATACTAAACATACAAAAAATTAGCCGGGTGTGGTGGCGGGTGCCTGTAGTTCCAGCTACTCGGGAGGCTGAGGCAGGAGAATGGTGTGAACCTGGGAGGCGGAGCTTGCAGTAAGCCAAGATCCGCCACTGCACTCCAGCCTGGGCGACAGAGCAAGTCTCAAAAAAAAAAAAAAAAAAAATGCATATGCATCTAGTGTGGCATCTAGTATAGACTCAATAATATATTTGCTCACTTTTTGCCCATTCATCCATTTAAATACATCCATAAAGCAACAAAATAAACTAGAGATATTGTGAACTACAGAGAAATGTTTGTTTTGCAAACTTTAGCTACAAAAATACTTTTCCTTCAAGTCCTTAAGTCATTACGATAAATATACGTTCACTTTTTGGAAGGTCATCATATGTTACTTTTTGTTGTAGTGTAAGCACACATTTAAGGCCAAATAAATGTATATTGCAATCATGGGGCACATAGACACTATGGTTTTGTACATTTGTCCAATTGTATGATAGTATATACTCTAGTTTCAGCATTATCTTTTTTTTTTCTTTTTTGAGATGGAGTCTTGCTCTGTCGCCCAGGCTGGAGTGCAGTGGCATGATCTCGGCTCACTGCAACCTCTGCCTCCTGGGTTCAAGCAATTCTCCTGCCTCAGCCTCCCGAGTAGCTGGGATTACAGGTGTCTACCACCACGCCCGACTAATTTTTTGGTATTTTTAGTAGAGACGGGGTTTCACCATTTTGGCCAGGCTGGTTTCAAACTCCTGACCTCAAGTGGTCTGCCCGCTTTGGCCACCCAAAGTGCTAGGATTACAGGCATGAGCCACTGTGCCTGCCCTCTAGTTCCAGCATTATCTTATCACACATTAGATAATTACTTGTATAAAAGCTCAGGCTCAATAATAAAGTCTATAGACCCTGTACAATAGGCCCCTTTGTATCTGCAGTTTCCACATCCACAGATTCAACCAACCATGGAGTGAAAATATTAAAAAAAAAAAAAAACATAAAAAGTAAGAATACGGCAATTAAAAAAATCAAATGTAACAATACAATATAACCACCATTTACAAAGCATTTACATTGCACTAGGGGTTACAAGTAATCTAGAGATGATTTAAAGTGCTTGAGAGGATGTACGTAGGTTATATGCAAATAGCATGCCATTTTATATAAGGAACTTGAGCAACCATGGATTTTCTTATCTGTTGGGGTACTGGAACCAATCTCCTGCAGATATCAAGGGACAACTGTATTTCTAGAATAAAGGTGAGGTAGCGAATATCTTTTATTTTTATTATTATTTTTTGAAACAGGGCCTTGCTCTGTCACCCAGGCTGGAGTACAGTGGCATGATCATAGCTCACTGCAGCCTCAAATTCCTGGAGGATCAATGGATCCTCCTACCTTAGCCTCCTGAGTAGCTGGGAGTACATGCATGCACCACCATGCTTGGCTCATTTTTTCTTTTTTTTTTTTTTGAGATAGGGTCTTGCTATGTTGCCCAGGTTGGCCTTGAACTCCTACGCTCAAGTGATTCTCCCATCTTGGCCTCCCATAGTGCTAGGATTACAGGCATGAGCCACTGCACTCAGCCCTCGCTAATTTGCTTATTTTTTATTCTTTTGTAGAGGCAGGGTGTCACTATGTTGCCCAAGCTGGTCTAAAACTCCTAGCCTCACGTAATTGTCCCACCTTGGTCTTCCAAAGTGCTGGGATTACAGGCATGAGTCACTGTACCAGGATGGGGAGATCGTAAAGAAATGGCTGCAGTTAAGAATCTTGGGTTCTACTTTTGGTTGTCACTATCTCTACCAGACGTCTAATGTGGCAGGTAACTTCAGTTTCTCTATACCTTATTATTATTATTAACACTTAGAACTGGTGTGATATGATCTCTCAATAATGCTGTAATACTTCATTGGTATCTATAGCAAAATTTGAAATACATAGATGTTTTTACAGAAATGCAAAGTACTCAGCTTATCAGTGTCTCTTTTTGTGCTTTGATAAAAATTTAATTTCTTTACCTCCTTCCTGGTAAAACACAGGAACACCTAAAACATTAAAAAACAAAAAACAGGCCAGGTGTGGTGGCTCACGCCTGTAATCTCAGCACTTTGGGAGGCTGAGGCGGGCGGATCACAAGGTCAGGAGATTTAGACCATCCTGGCTACATGGTGAAACTCTGTCTCTACTAAAAATACAAAAAATTAGCTGGGCGTGGTGGCACGCACCTGTAGTCCCAGCTACTTGGGAGGCTGAAGCAGGAGAATCACTTGAACCCAGGAGGTGGAGGTTGCAGTGAGCCGAGATTGCACCACTGCACTCCAGTCTGGGCGACAGAGCGAGACTCCGTCTCAAAACGAACAAACAAACGAAACAATAGAAAAACAGGCCAGGCGCAGTGGCTCACGCCTGTAATCCCAGCACTTCGGGAGGCCAAGGCAAGTGGATCACTTGAGGTCAGGAGTTCGAGAACAGCCTGGCCAACATGGTGAAACCCCATCTCTACTAAGAATACAAAAAATTGGCCGGGCGTAGTGGCGCATGCCTGTAATCCCAGCTATGCGGAAGGCTCAGACAGAAGAATCACTTGAACTGGGAGGCAGAGGTTGCAGTGGGCCGAGATCATGCCAGTGCACTCCAGCTTGGGCAATAGAGTGAGACTTTGTTTCCACCCCCCCCCCACCAAAAAAAGACAAAACAAAACAAACAAAAACAAAAAGTGCTGCATTAAAACTGATTTTATAAACAAAATGACAAAAAGCAATTTCTTCTCACTTGATTTTAGAGACAATTGCTTACATATAAGAATTTTTGGTCAGATGCCCTGTAGGGTGACCAAACCATCCCAGCTTGCCTGGGACTTCCCAGTTTGGGTACTGAAAACTCCATGTCCCAGGAAACCCCTGTCCTGAGCCAACTGGAACAGTTGGTACAGTTGGCTTTTCCATAGCTTACACTTCTATTATCTGCCCTTAGAAAAATTCCAGTGCTACTGTAATTTATATTTATCTGAAAAGCACCTGCATAGTCTTCCTGTTGGTATTCAGTACATAATCATTTGGTTAGCATATAAATATTTATGGAATTTTGTCCCATGAGTAGATATTTTATAAATGTATACGAATATTTTTTTACCTTACTAGGACTTGGGGACAATGGGAGTGCCAAATTACCAACAATGATTATCTCGGCACCAAAAAGGTATTAATTTGTGTATTTTCTTTTTCAAGAACCTTTTCCTGTTGTTGTTTAGAGACTACTGTGCTTCTAGCTAGTAATCACCATCGCTGGGAAAACAATAACACAGGCAATACCTTTAAGAACAAGTCATTAAAAAACAATACAAAATAATGTATGTGGGTCATCCCTTGGCCAATGTGGGGCCAGAGAGAAGTTGTTCTACTGGTTTTCCTTAAATAGCACCATAACCTAACCTGAATCTAAGATGGTTTCCAAAATATGTATAGAACGAATGTTAACTAATTAATTCTATAAAAATATGTATAGAATGAAAGCTAATTAACCATCAAACCATGGTTATAATGGTTTATCCATGGATAGGAGACCCAGAAATTCAGAAGCACTGTAATACTTTTCATGATATTAATAAAAAATGAAGTCATGAGATCATGGAAAAGGTTTCTGAGAAAAAAATCAGACCAATTTTCTTCCCTAGAAAATGGGGATGACACAGGCTGTGTACATATAAGCATAATTAAAATAAAACTGATTAGGCTGGGTGTGGTGGCTCACGACTATAATCCCAGCACTTTGGGTGGCCGAGGTGGGAGGATCATGAGGTCAGGAGGTCGAGACCAGCCTGCCAACATGGTAAAACCCGTCTCTACTAAAAATACAAAAATTAGCCAGGCATGGTGGTGCGTGCCTGTAGTCCCAGCTACTCAGGAGGTTGAGGTAGGAGAATTGCCTGAACCCGGGAGGCAGAGGTTGCAGTGAGCCGAAATTGCTCCACTGTGCTCCAGCCTGGGCGACAGAGTGAGACTCCGTCTCAAAACAAACAAACAAACAAATAAACAAAACTGATTAAAAGATTATAAAGGTGACTTATGACACTTTTTAAAAGCTCTGATTTTGTGAGTACTTAGCTATGTGCCAGGTACTGTGTCAAATGCTTTAAATACATAATTTCATTTGATACTCACAAATAATCCTATGAGAACAGGAATTATGATCCTCCAAAGTAAACCTCTAAAAGAGAGGCTTAGTAATTTGCTTAAGGTTACAGACAGCAACGGGGCAGGGGGGTGCATAGGCAAATTCAGATCCATCTGCTTCAATAACTTTTATCCTCTTCACCTTTATCCTATGCCGCTTCTAAACATTGCTGGTGTAAACTCTGGTAAAATTGTATCTCCAGCTCTAATTTTTCCTGACCTTCAGTCTTGTATCTTAGTTTATGGAACTGCCTACTCAACACCTCTACCCTGATGTCTAACGAGCACCTCAAATAACATGTTTCAGTGAGTGATGCCACCATTCACCCAGTCGCTCAAGCTCCAAATACAGTAGGCATCCTTGTTTCCTCCATCAAACCCACTGTCAAGCCACCAGCAAATATTTTGGCTCTTCTTTCAAATTCTATCTCAATCTGACCACTTCTTATCACCTCCACTGCCACAACCCTAGTTCAGGCTATTATCTACTTACCTGGACTACTGAGATAGCCTCATAATTGCTTTGTTTTCGTAGTCCATTCACCATAAAGCAGTCAGTTATCTTTTTAAAAACACAGATCATATAGTTTCACTCTTCTGCTTAAAACTCGTTAATAATTGCCACTGGAATAATGTAAACTTCTTAAGATGACCTACAAGGCCCCTACTGGCCCCCTACCTTGATCTGCTTTCTCTGACTTTATCCCTTAACACCCTCTTCTTTGCTCAGCATGTCTCAAGTCACATTGGTCCTGATATTTTCAAATTCCTCTGTGACTAAAAGTCACATGTTTTGAGAAGATGTGAAAGGGCAGGGCTGAAGTTTGAGGAAACTGCAAAGGTGTGAAAGAGTTGTCGAGAGTGGGAGAACAATCCAGAAAAATTTAATAGGATTGCTGGGAATTATTGAAGGTTGAGTTGTGCTTGGTGATTGAAATTAAGTAGGCTGGGTGTAGTGGCTCACACCTGTAATCCTAGCATTTTGGGAGGCCAAGGTGGGAGGATTGCTTGAGGCCAGGAGTTCCAGACCAGTCTGAGCAACATAGTGAGATGTATCTGTAAAAAAAAATAAAAAATTAGCCAGGTATGGTGGTGTGCACCTGTAGTACCAGCAACTCAGGAGGCTGAAGTGGGAGGATCACTTGAGCCCGGGACATTGAGCCTTCAGTGGTGATCGCACCACTGCATTCCAGCCTGGGTGCCAGAGCAAGAGTGTCTCCAAAAAAAAAAAAAAAAAGAAGAAATGTAGTAATAGAATACAGATGGCTATGCACATTTCTCTAATAGTGGTCAGCTGCTCCATTTATCAAAGTGGAGACTATGGATGGTAGGGTTCATTCAAGATAGGGGTACAATGAAAAGAAAGGTGAGGCAAAGGAGTTTAGGGTACTGACGAGTGTTACTGAATTTTTCTGTAGGTAATATCACAATGGAGACGGGGTGGACAGAAGTGTTCCTTGTGTCCATGGCTTGCCTTAGTTGTGGCAGCAATCTAGAATTGCTAAATAGAAACACTGAATCAAAGAACCTAGACCTGGCTGGGCGCTGTGGCTTATGCCTGTTATCACAGCACTTTGGGAGGCCGAGGCAGGTGGATCACCTGAAGTCAGGAATTCGAGACCAGCCTGGCCAATATGGTGAAACCCCATCTCTACTAAAAATACAAAAATTAGCCTGGGGTGGTGGCATGCGCCTGTAGTCCCAGCTACTCAGGAGGCTGAGACAGGAGAATCGCTTGAACCTGGGAGGCAGAGGCTGCAGTGAGCTGAGATCACCACTGTACTCCAATCTGGGCAACAGAGCGAGACTCCGTCTCAAGAAAAAAACAAACAACAACAACAACAACAAAAACCTAGACTACCAGTATTGAGGTTAAATGCTTTACTTTGTAAATCCTGAGGTTAAGAAATATAATTATCGGTATTTTAAAACTTACAAAATGGACAAATTGGAAGAGGCTTTTTAACATTATAATGGAATTTTTCACTTTTCAAAATCAATTTCCAAAGGGAACCTATAGGTTGAACAGTAAGATTTATCAACAAATCAGGGGTTTTGATTTTAAAAGGTTTTCAATCTGGCCAATTCTTCAGATTATCTCAAGAGGGAGCCTTCTTATGCCTCTTCTTCCTTCATAACACTTCTCTGGCTCGCATGTCCTGTTTGCAAAGATTTAAGCCCACTCTTAGGCATAAAATGCTCTTAACTGACATGACCCCTGACTAACTTGCCTAATATTTTGCCATGTACCCTCCATGCACTTTAAGCTCCCCAAACTATTACTTACTTGACACCTTCTGCGCTTTTGCTTGTTCTCTGCGGCTAGACCATCTTCCCTACCTTCTCTGTTGAACTCCTAGCCATTCATCAACACTCAGCTCACATAGCACACTTTCAGATGAGATTCAAGCATTATCTCTCTGGCTACATTTGGCCCTTGTAGATATTTCTATTATTGCCTGTATTTTGTTGAAGCATTCATGTCTTTTATGTACTACATAGTACATAATATATCTACATTACAAAGCATTTTTATGATTCATGTTTTGGGGCATCCAGCGGTTAAAATAGGGCAAGGGTTATGTGGTCTTGGCCAGGTCCCTTTTCCTTTCTGAGCTTCAGGTTCCTCAGGTATAAAATGGGTACTATGGCTCCGTGAAGATGAGACAGAATATATGTAAAGCCCTTACACAGTGCTCAATTCATGAAAATCATCGCTGTTTACATTGTTTAGGGCCCTCAAGAGGCGCTCTTGTCAGCGGGGTGGAGGAAATGCCTCTTTAAAATGACGTCATTATAGGAGACTTAAAAACCACTGCACGTCTGTACAAGTGGACAGAATCACACAGCTACCTAAAGTGGGTTCACCTGTCATACAGTTTAGAGGTTCCACTTACAACAGGTTTCCATCAGTAGCCAAAGCAACAGAAATTTTAGCTTAACGGCTGAGGGCTTCCGGGATTACCGCAGGGCGGGCGGGAAGCGCCTTTCCGCTCCGGAGGGAAGGCCGCGTCCCCAAGGGACTGCCTAAGTGGGCTGGATCCCTATGGCCTGCGGCAGACACCACCACGTAGGCGGTCCAGGGGTCCCTCTCTCGGTGACTGGTGACCAGGAGGCCGCAATCTCTTCACATAAAAGGTCTACGGGTTTCCGCTCGGCCCTCACAGCGGCAGCGGATCGAACCAGGAAAGCAATTCCCGCTCGGCTCCCCTCGGGTCCCAGGCCCAGGAAGGCCGGGCCGTGGGGTCTCCCCGGGCTCCACGCAGGGGCGGTGGGGCGGGGCGCAGTGACGCAAAGAGGAGTGACGCGACGACGCAGCGCGACGCGGTGACGCACGCCCCTTTGTTGGCTCAGTAGCGATAGCAGCGGCCGTGGAGGTGGCGTTGGGGACTGTTTTCTCTCGGAGGCCGGAGCGGAGCCGCGTCTGACTGAGGCGGGCAGCAAGCGGCCCCCTCGCTCCCTCCCTCCCTCCTCCGCGCCCTCCCCGCCGCCACCAGCCGTCAAACGCCAACCGCCGCTCCTGGGGAGGAGCCGCGGCTCGCGGGGCCGGAGCCAGGCCTGCGTCCGGACATCAGCCGGAGCCGGAGCGAGAGCCGGGGCCTCGGCGTCCCCGCCCTCTCCCCGCCTCGGCCAGCGTCCGCCGGGCCCCCGCGCGTCGCGCCATGGACTCGGACGAGGGCTACAACTACGAGTTCGACGAGGACGAGGAGTGCAGTGAGGAGGACAGCGGCGCCGAGGAGGAGGAGGACGAAGACGACGACGAGCCGGACGATGATACCCTGGATCTGGGCGAGGTGGAGCTGGTGGAGCCCGGGCTGGGCGTCGGCGGGGAGCGGGACGGACTGCTGTGCGGGGAGACGGGCGGTGGCGGCGGCAGCGCTCTGGGGCCCGGCGGTGGCGGCGGCGGCGGCGGCGGCGGTGGTGGTGGCGGGCCGGGGCATGAGCAGGAGGAGGATTACCGCTACGAGGTGCTCACGGCCGAGCAGATTCTACAACACATGGTGGAATGTATCCGGGAGGTCAACGAGGTCATCCAGGTGAGGGTGGCCGCCGCGCCAGCTGGACCGGGCCCGACGGGGGAGCGGATTCAGGCGGCACGCGCGGTCCCGAGGGACAGGCCTGGGCCTGGTGCGCAGCCTAGCCCGGTGCCTCCCGGCCTTGTCTTCTCCGCTGCCTCTGCTGGGGATAGAGGGTGTCGAAAGCAGAGGTTCGCCGATTAGCCGGGTGTGGGGAGGTGCGCTGGGGGCGGTGCTTCCCAAGTCCTGCTATGGCGGAGGCCTTCGGTCGCCTAAGCCTTCTCTTGCGGGCAATTTCTGCCAGTCCCTGGGCCGGGTGTCCTTTCTCTGGCCGGGCGATCGCCTACTGGGGCGGGGCGGAGGAGGTGGGGTGGAGAAGAGGAGTCAGGAAGAATTGGGCCCTGACGGGACTTACCCCGGCCGTAGCCTCATTTGAGCACTTTTGGAAGGGATTAGAGTAGGCCTAAGAGCAGCTTGGTGTACAGTTGCCCCAAGTGGGCACCAGTTAATAAAGAAATGGATCTTGGCAGTCTCAAGTGCCTACTTAAAGGTGGGGGAAGGGAAGTATTTCTCGGAAGAGGTGCTGATGGGCCTTCTTTTCAGATGGTGAGGCTTCTGCTTACATCTTTTTTATGTCTTTGCTGTTTGGGACCTAATTGCTACTTTTTCTAGTCGTAGCAGATGACTTGCTTGAAGCTGTTGGAATAGTTACTGCATATTGCATACCCTTCCTTGTAGCTAAAACAACAACAAAACGCAGTGTTGTCTAATATTGGACAAGACTCTATTGTGAGTTAGAAAGCAGAGGTTTTCTGCTTGTGAACTCCTTTCTCTGATATTTTCTATTTTGTGGTAAGTTAGGCTTGGTGTAAGTTGATAACCACATCTCATTTAACCATGTGCGTCAGATTTTGCATTTTTGAGCTTTAGAAACTCAAAAGTTTTCATTTGGGGAAAAAAAAAACCTCAGTTCTCCTGAGGAGTCAGGGATATGGCTGAAGAATAAAAATGAAGCTTGATTCAGTGCAATTTTTAGAAAACCTGGAAGGAAACATATATGAGCAGCAAGTTACTATTGCCTCTTTTATCAGTATTATTTCTTTTTTGTTTAACTTAAATTGGTTGGCTAAATATTCATTGACAAATTAGAAGTATGTCACTGTCAACTCGTTGACTTTCTATTATTAACTGATTTTTATAGTATTATAAGTAACAGTTTTAAAAATTGAAGCATCTATTCAGGCACTGTTTCAATACAGTGTTTTGCATAATAGAAAAATCTCTGATATCTAGTGCCATTACTAAATAGTGGAAGTCTTCATTTTTAATCTAGAGAACACAGTCTAAGAAGGAAGTTGAGGATTGTAGAAGATAATTTTTTGTTTGTTTGAGACGGAGTCTTGCTTTGTCGCCCAGGCTGGAGTGCAATGGCGCAATCTCTGCTCACTGCAACCTCCGCCTGCCGGGTTCATGCAATTCTCCTGCCTCGGCCTCCCAAGTAGCTGGTACTACAGGCGCGCTCCACCATGCTCAGCTAATTTTTTGTATTTTTAGTAGAGACGGGTTTCACCATGCTGGCCAGGCTGGTTTCGAACTCCTGACCTTGTGATCCGCCTGCCTCGGCCTCCCAAAGCGCTGGATTACAGGCGTCAGCCACCGTGCCCGGCCTGTAGAAGATGCACATGTAAGAAAAATCTGATTAGGTAAGAAAAAATAAAAAGACAAAACAAGCCTGCCACCCAGAGACGTACAACAAAATGCGAACTGTAGTTATTTTTCTAGACCTTTGGATAGCCATTAATATGGTTCCACGTTAATAACAGTGGAACCATACTGTATGTTCTGTTTGTGTTTTCAGTGGAAAAACATTACAGAAATACTCTGAACAACCTTCTGTCAAGTAAATTTTTCGAGAACTTATATGATTATAGATCTGAACTAATTTATTTAATCAATCTGTTATTTGCCTTCCTTTTTATTTTCTAGTTTCTGGCTTTTATAAATATTGAAAATATCCTCATAGGTCAGTCTTTGAGTGTTCTTATTTTCTTGGGATAAAGTGAATTGCTGAGTCAAAAGAATTTGCTCATTTTCAATGCATTTGATACATACTACCACATTGCTTTCAGAAAAGTTATGCTAGTTTTCCCAACCAGTGTTTGATGGGCAAAAAAAACCTGGTGAGATTGAATTTATGTTTATTGGGCTTGGTATTTCTTTTTTAAATTGCCCCTCGCTTTTTGCTCATTTTATTCTCTTTTGCCCATTGCCCCTCTTTGGGATATTTATCTCTTACTGGTTTGTAAGACTTCTTTCTATTAATAGAGGTTGGAAATAGCAGTTATCTAGGTTTTTAATGTTGGTTTGATAAACACTGAATTTTACTTAGTTTGCATTAGAGAGCTTACTGTTAACTCTTAAACATTTAAATTCCCTGTTCTCAGTTCTAATTTTCAGTGTGAAATCAGGTAAGATACATTTGCAGGTGAAAAAGTTTGAAATGTAAAAAGATAACCAAATTAATTTAATATTTCCTTGGGAATTTGATTACTTTTTCTGGGAGAGGAGTTCTGGGCAACAACATAAATACTGTTATTTGTGGATATTTGCAGGTTAGGTTTGGTCTTCAAATAAGTCAACATTATTTTCTTTCAGAAAACTTGGTTTTCTGGCTTTCTATAATTTCCCAATTAACATTTAAATAAAAGACCAAATTAAACAATTAAACTTTATTTAATTTGGTCTTTTGTTTAAATGCTTTGTGGCTACCTAGCTTACCTTTTCAGCTTTTAAGGAAAAAAAAAATCAGAGTTTTTTATTTTGTTTTGTTTGGAGACAGCCTCACTCTGTCACCCAGGCTGTAGTGCAGTCGCGTGATCTCAGCTTACTGCAACCTCTCCCTCCCAGGTTCAAGAGATTCCCCTTGCCTCAGCTTCCCCCCCTACCCCAGTATCTGGGATTACAGGCACCTGCCACCAGGCCCAGCTAATTCTTGTGTTACAGGGTTTCCCCATGTTCATCATGCTGGTACTGAACTCCTGGCCTCAAGTGATCTGCCCTTCTCGGCCTCCCAAAGTGCTGGGATTACAGGTGTGAGCCACCATGCCTGGCCAGGGTGTTTTTTGTTATTTGTTTATTTTGAGACAGAGTTTCATTCTGCTGCCCAGGTTGGAGTGCAGTGGCGTGATCTCAGCTCACTGCAACCTCCGCCTCTTGGGTTCAAGCAATTCTCCTGCCTGAGCCTCCCGAGTAGCTGGGATTACAGGTGTGCACCACCACACCCAGCTACTTTTTGTATTTTTTAGTAGAGAGGGGGTTTCACCATGTTGGCCAGGCTGGTCTTGAACTCCTGAACCCAGGTGATCCACACAGCTGGGCCTCCCAAAGTGCTGGGATTACAGTCTTGAGCCACCGCGCCCAGCCTAAAAAGTAGTTTTCTAATGTAACTATATAAGTAGCTAGGTAATTTATTAAAAGAACCCTGTTCAATTCTGCAGTTGGGAGTATTTAAACTTGCCATTTTGTTTTTCCACAACAGTGTTCAGCAAATGTTGATTGTGCTTTCTAAGTATGCCAGGCATTATGTTAAGCAGAGGATATGCTCCTTGCCTAAGGAGCATATAGGGATAGGGAATATGGAGGTCCTTGAACTCCACTTCCAGAGATTCTTACTCATTAATGAAGTCTGAGGTGAAACCTTAGCATCTCTGTATTTTAGCCTTCTAGTGATAACCAAACCACTGGAATAGTGATAGTTAATCCACTGTCACGATTTTGACTCAGGCAGGGTGAGTAGAGTGAGAAGAGCAGCAGCTCTTAGGGGCACAGATTGGGTATACCTAATCAAAAAATCAGAAATGCTCTGAAATCACTTTGTGTTGTTGCCCAGACTGAAGTGCAATGGCAAGATCATAGCTCACTGCAACCTCAACTTCCTGAGCTAAAGTGATTCTCCCGCCTCAGCCTCCTGAGTAGCTAGGACTATAGGTGTGTGGCACCACTCCTAGCTAATTTTTTTTCTTTTTTGTAGAGACACAGGGTCTTGCTCTGTTGCCCAGGCCAGTCTCAAACTCCTGGCCTCAAGCGCTCCTTGAACCTCAGCCTCTCAAAATGGTAGGCCTGGAAATCCAAAACTTTTTGAGCACCGTTGTGATGCTCAAAGGAAATGCTCACTGCAGCATTTTGGATTTCGGATTTTCAGATTAGGGATGTTGATTGTAAGTATAATTAAATATTCCAAATCTGAAAAACTTCTGGTCTCAAGTATTTTGGATAAGGAATACTCAACCTGTACCATATTTAGAGTGTGTGCCGAGAGGAATATGGACCTGGGACTATTGAATGTGAGTGGTCAGAGGAGGTATAAAAAACAGTGGATAGGTATCTTGCTTTTATAAGATCTGTTATGCTAAATAACTTTTTTTTTTTTTGGAGACGGAGTCTTGCTCTGTTGCCAGGCTGGAGAGCAGTGGTGGCGTGATCTTGGCTCAGTGCAACCTCTGCCTCCTGGGTTCAAGCGATTCTCCTGCCTCAGCCTCCTGAGAAGCTGGGACTACAGGTGCGCGCCACCACACCCAACTAATTTTTGTATTTTTAGTAGAGACTGGGTTTCACCATGTTGGTCAGATGGTCTCAACCTCTTGACCTCGTGATCCGCCTGCCTTGGCCTCCCAAAGTGCTGGGATTACAGGCGTGAGCCACCGTGCCCAGCCAAATAACTCATTTTAAAGAAAAAAATATCTAAGCCTTACTGAAGAAATTTTCTGTTGGCTGTTGGTTCGAAAGCTGTATTTCACTTATTTAATTAAGAGATTTAATTAAAGAACCTCAAGTTGAGGTTGCAAGCCTAAACTAAGGAAGACAGTGTACTATTCTTTTTTTTTTTTTCGTTTGAGACGGAGTCTCGCTTTGTTGCCCAGGCTGGAGTGCGGTGGTGCGATCTCGGCTCACCGCAAGCTCCGCCTCCTGGGTTCACGCCATTCTTCTGCCTCAGCCTCCCGAGTAGCTGGGACTACAGGCAGCCGCTACCATGCCTGGCTAATTTTTTTGTATTTTTTAGTAGAGATGGGGTTTCACCATGTTAGCCAGGATGATCTGGATCTCCTGACCTCGTGATCCGCCCACCTCGGCCTGCCAAAGTGCTGGGATTACAGGCATGAGCCACCGTGCCCGGTCAACAGTGTACTATTCTAGCATATTGTTTACTGATTGGGGAGTCAGTTATAGCCCTGGTTTTTACTCTGTCTAGTTAATATCTCAGAACCTTCAAATTTTTTTTTTTTTTTTTTATACATGTCTCACTGTGTCACCCAGGCTGGAGTGCAGTGGCCTGATCTTGGCTCACTGCAACCTCCACTTCCAGGGTTCAAGCGATTCTCCTGCTTCAGCCTCTCAAGTAACTGGGATTACAGGCACGCGCCACCACACCCAGCTATTTTTTGTATTTTATTAGAGATGAGGTTTCACCATGTTGGCCAGGCTGGTCTCGAACTCCTGACCTCAAATGATCGACCTACCTTGGCCTCCCAGAGTGTTGGGATTATAGGCATGAGCCACGGTGCCCAGCCACACTTTTTGTTGTTGTTGTTGAGATGGAGTTTCTCTCTTGTTGCCCAGGCTGGAGTGCAATGACGCGATCTCAGCTCACTGCAACCTCTGCCTCCCAGGTTCAAGCGATTCTCCTGCCTCAGCCTCCTGAGTAGCTAGGATTACAGGCGTATGCCACCACGCCTGGCTAATTTTGTATTTTTAGTAGAGATGGGGGTTTCTCCATGTTGGTCAGGCTGGTCTCAAACTCCCGACCTCAGGTGATCTGCCCGCCTCGGCCTCCCAAAGTTCTGGGATCACAGTGAGCCACCTTGCCCGGCCTTGTTTTGTTTTTAATCTGGGACTGAAAATGAGGGAGTTGAAATACTAGGTTGGTCCTTTTTTACATTAAGTGTTTTATTCGTTTAACATCATTTTAAAAACCTCAGTTAATTGGAGATGTTCATTTTTTCCAAGAAATTGAATTCAGGTGTGCATATTGTGGTTATGTTCATTAATTGGGAGAGGAGGAAGAGGGTGTACAAGCCTGTGCATGATGTGTGCAGGCACATGTGTTTTGAAGTTATTAAAGTGTTTGATATAGTTTAGATTTATTTCTTTTGGACTTTTATATTTTCCCAGCTGATCTCCTTGAGCTGTAAGTTTAAATTACACTGACTTGTTGAATTGCTATGGCAGTAGTCCTATGAATCAAACTCTGGGGATGGGGTCTGGCTGTCTGTTTTAACAAGCCTTCTAGGTGATGGTGATGCAAGCTAAAGTTTGAGAACTGCTGATGTAGTTGAAATTTAATAGCAGTGTTTCTCTATGTGTTACGTGTAGTGATAGATTACTACAGAGGTGGGTTAATGAGGGAAGATAAATTGTTTAAGAAACTAATAATAGGGGACCAGTCACGGTGGCTCACACCTGTAATCCCAGCACTTTGGGGACTGTGCCAGGCAGATCACTTGAGGTCAGGAGTTTGAGACCAGCCTGGCCAATATGGTGAAACACTAGCTGGGCGTGGTGGCCTGTGCCTGTAATCCCAGCTACTTGGGAGACTTGAGGCAGGAGAATTGCTTGAACCTGGGAATTGGAGGTTGCAGTGAGCTGAGATAGTGTCACTGCACTCTAGCCTGGGTGACAGAGGGAGACTCTACTTCAAAAAAAAGGTAATAATGGGAAAATTTCCAGAACCTAGGCAACGTTTACTAGGCTAATCATAGGGTTGGAAGATGTTTGTCATCGTAGATGCTATCCTTCATGCTATGCTATCCTTCAGCTAAGGTGGTCTTTACTCAGTATTTTCTTTTCTTTTCTTTTCTTTTTTGGAGACAGAGTCTTTTCTCTCTTGCCCAGGCTGGGGTGCAGTGGCGCCATCTCGGCTCACTGCAACCTTCGCCTGCTGGGTTCAAGCGATTCTCCTCCTTCAGCCTCCCGAGTAGCTGGGATTACAGGCGCCCACCACTACGCCCGGCTAATTTTGTATTTTTGGTAGAGACGGGGTTTCACCATGTTGGCCAGGCTGATCTCGAACTCCTGACCTCAGGTGATCCACCCGACTTGGCCTCCCAAAGTGCTGGGATTACAGGCATGAGCCACTGCACCCGGCCAGTATTTTCAAATAGACAAACTAAACTAGTGACATCTGACATTCTAGATTGGAGTTCTTGATTTCCCTTCCAGTCCTAGATTTTTTTAATATAGAATGTTGAGTTTTCTAATTTATTAGTATGCTGGAAGAGATATAAAGTCCTGGATAGATATAAAGTCCTGTTTAAAGGAATATGAGAAGACTTATTCTTAAGGAGTTGAGAATCTCTTAGAGTTAAAGCTGTTAGGTTAGTGAGTAATTTAAATAAGTGGATAGTAATAGATACTCATGGAAGAGACCTCTGTAGGTGTTGTCAAAGATGGCTAGGATTTGGGTGGATAAAAAAGAGGAAGTCATTCTAAGGAACTGAATGAGGTGAGAATGAGGAGAGTTTTTGGGTAATGGTGAAATCAGCTAAAGTAGAATGGAGCTTATAAATGCTGGATAATAATGTAGAACCTGGGAGATTAAATACTGTGATGAAAGGTAAGCAGAAGTCATCACATTAGATTCTTTTGGGGTTGACCTGTGGTAACTATGTAGATTGGTTATCTTTTGCCTTATGTTACCCCAAAACTTAGTGGCTTAAAAAAACAAGGATCTGTTATATCATAGTTTCTGTGAGTCACAATTCTGGATGCAGCTTACCTGGGGGCCTCTGGCTTATGGTCTCTTACAAGGCTGCAACCAAGGTGACGGCTTGGTAGCAGTTCTCTCTCTCTCTTTTTTTTTTTTTTTTTTAAAGACAGAGGCTTGCTGTGGTGCCCAGGCTGGAGTGCAATGGCATAATCTCGGCTCATTGCAACCCTCACCTCTTGAGTCCAAGTGATCCTCTTACCTCAGCCTCCTGAGTAGTTGGGACTATAGATGTGCACCACCACACCCCAGCTTATTTTTTTGTTTTTGTGGGTTTTTTGGTAGAGACCAGTATTTTTTTGTTTTGCCATGTTGCCTAGGCTGCTCTTGAACACCTTAATTCAAGGGATCTGCCCGCCTTAGCCTCCTAAAGTGCTGGGATTACAGGCATGAGCCACCGTGTCTGGCCTGGGTAGCAGTCCTCAAGGCTTGACTGGGGAAGCTTCCCCTTCCGAGCTCACTCATTTGGCTGTGACCAGGCCAGATTTTCACTGGCTGGTTGTTGCCCAGAGATATCAGTTCCTTGCCATGTGGGCCTCTCCATAAAGTGGCTGACAACACAGTAGCTTGTTTCCTCCAGAGTGAGGGATCTTAGAGAAAAGGCCCATACGATGGAAGCCACAAAGTTTTTATAACTTAATTTCAGAAGTAACGTCGCATCACTTTGCAATATTCTATTTGTTGTAAGTGAATAACCAAATCCAGCCCATACTCAATCGGAGGGGATTATACAAAGATGTGAAGACCAGGAGGCAGGGGTCTTTGGGGGCTATCTTAGAGGCCGGCTGTTTGTCTCTGTCTCTCTCTGTTAAGAGGTAAATTACAGCTATTGTATAATGCCTTTCTATCCAATCTTTTTGTATGCTATTGGGAGAACATAGTGTTTTGGATTTTTTATTTTGGATTAACCGTAAATTAATTACTTTTGGCTTTGCAAAACATTATACCTGTAAATGATAAACATTCCTAATAACCTTTCAGTGGCTTAAGTTTAAAATAGCTTGTAGTCTCAGAATTGGTAGGAATTTGAGATTCTCCAGTTTACTGATTTTTTTTTTTTTTAACTCTAGCTACGTAATGGAATCACCTGGGGATTTTTTTCATTACTGTTTTTAAAATAGAAAATTGTAGATTCACAGCCGGGCATGGTGGCTCACGCCTGTAATCCCAGCACTTTGGGAGGCCGAGGCAGGCGGATCACCTGAAGTCAGGAGTTCGAGACCAGCCTGGCCAAATGGCGAAACCCCGTCTCTACTAAAAAAATACAAAAATTAGCCGGGCATGGTGGTGGGCGCCTGTAATCCCAGCTACTCGGGAGGCTGAGGCAGGAGAATCACTTGAACCCAGGAGACAGAGGTTGCAGTGAGCCAAGATTATGCCATTGCACTCCAGCCTGGGCAACAAGAGTGAAACTCCATCAAAAAAAAAAAAAAAAAAGAAGAAAAGAAAAGAAAATTGTAGATTCACATGCAGTTACAAGAAATAATGCAAAAATCCCACATATTCTTTTTTCCAAAAAATTTTATTTCCCTAGGTTATTGGGGAAGAGGTGGTATTTGGTTACATAAGTAAATTCTTTAGTGGTGATTTGTGAGATTTTGGTGCACCCATCATCTGAGCAATATACACTGAACCCAGTTTGTAGTGTTTTATCTCTCACCCCCTTCTCACCTTTTTCCCCCGAGTCCCCAGAGTTCATTATATCAATCTTAGGCTTTTGCATGCTGATAGCTTAGCTCCCACTTATGAGTGAGAACATATAATGTTTGGTTTTCTGTTCTTGATTTACTTCTCTTAGAATAATAAGTCTCCAATCCCATCCAGGTTGATGCAAATGCCATTAACTCATTCCCTTTTATGGCTGAGTAGTATTCCATCATATATATATATATATGTGTATATATATATGTGTGTGTATACATATATATACGTATATGTATGCGTGTGTATACGTATATACGTATATGTATGTGTGTGTATATATGTATATATATATGTGTGCATACATATATATGTGTATATATATACATATATATACACACACACACACACACCACAGTTTCTTTATCCACTTGTTGATTGATGGGCATTTGGGCTGGTTCCCCATTTTTGCAGTTGCGAATTGTACTGCTACAAATGGCGTGTGCAAGTATCTTTTTCGTATAATGACTTTTCCTCTGGGTGGATACCCAGTAGTGTGATTGCTGAATCAAATAGTAGTTCTACTTTTAGTTCTTTAAGGAATCTCCACACTGTTTTCTATAGTGGTTGTACTAGTTTACATTCCCACCAGCAGCGTAGAAGTGTTCCCTTCTCACCACATCCATGACAACATCTATTATTTTTTAATTTTTTGATTATAGCCATTCTTGGCGTGACTGAAGTTGTATAGCATTGAATCCCACGTACTCTACCGATTTTTTCTACAGTGGTAACATCTTATAAAAACAGTATCTTGCAAAACATCTTGCACAGTATCACCATGAGGGTAATGACATTGATGTGATCTTACTCAGATTTTCTTACCTGGGGATTTTAAAAAATACAGGCAGGCAGGCCCTACCCCATACCAAGTAAGTGGGTCTCTGGGGGGTTTGGACCAGGCATTGCCGTTAAACAAGAATCTTTCCTGGATTATTTTAATGCACATCCAGGATCGAGAGCTCCTGCTTTTGTAAGAAATCTTTCTAAAACACTGCCGTCTCTGCTTAACTACAAATAAATAACAGTGAGCTATTTTTGTGATGCATCTCAATACAGTGTTTGCCTATTGATTTTTTTTTTTAATGGAAAGAAAATCTACTTCCGTATTAGCTTTCACTCATTGTTCTTAGTACCTGTAGCACCCTGAATGGTTTTGTTTTTTATATAACTATCATTTTGGAATCCTGAAGGAAAAATTTTTCTTCCTGAGGTTAATCAACCCCCCTTTCCTCAGTCATTCCTGCCTTCTAGGTAATTGCTGTCTTTCTTATAATAGGCATAGTATCATAGGCCATAACTTTGCTAAATTATTGACTGTATATACACAACTCATCGTTTGATCTTGACACTATATTACTATGTAACTTTGTATAAATAGCTTAATTATTTTCATTAAATGATGGGATAAATAGAAGAATGAGAATTTATTTAGGTTGACATTATTGGATGAGATAGTAATCAGGCTGTTTCTAACCTGGAGTGACTGGATCCTTTGGGGCCCATGGAGATAGTAGTGGTGGTCCTTGCATTATTTTCAGTGTTTTAAAAAGCCTCATGTATATTTTTTTAAAAAGCTGTCAAGCCACTTTTATAAAGTCAGTAGATTTCTATAATCACTTATGATTTAAGTTTCTTTCTAAATTTTTAATTTTTTTTTCCCTAAATTGTCATTCACCTAGTGATAGGAGGTCATCTGGCTTGACCATACAATGGTTTCCCCTTATCTACAGTTTCAGTTTCCAAGGTTTCAGTTACCTGAGGTGTGCAGCAGTCTGAAAATATTAAATAGAAAATTTCAGAAAAAAACAATTTGTAAGTTTTAAATTGTACACCATTCTGAGTAGTGTGATGAAATCTCTCACCATCCCACCCAGGACGTGAATCATCCCTTTATCCAGTATATAGCAGTATATAGACTACCTACCTGCTACTGGCCTCGGCTGGTCACTTCACTGTTACCAGATTGAAAAAACATAGCATGTATAAGTTCGGTATTACCTACACTTTCAAGCTTCCACTGAGGGTCTTGGGACATGTTCCCTGAGGATGAAGGGGACTGCTGTAATGTCTCATTTGATACAGCTTGGGGTATAGTTGATGCCCAGTTAGTGTTTAAGTGATGGATAGTATGCTATCTCAGAAGGTGGCTTAAAAAATTCTTAATGCTCTCTAACATCTGCTCTGGCAAATCAGCTTTCCAGAGCCCTACTTTTTTTTTTTTTCATTTTTAAAAATGACTTTTTTTTTTTTTTTTTTTTTGAGACAGAGTCTCTGTGGCCCAGGCTGGAGTGCAGTGGCATGATCTTGGCTCACTGCAACCTCTACCTCCTGGGTTCAAGTGATTATCGTGCCTCAGCCTCCCAATTAGCTGAGATTACAGGCATGCATCACCACACCTGGCTAATTTTTGTATTTTTTGGTAGAGACAGGGTTTCACCATGTTGGCCAGGCTGGTCTCGAACTCCTGTCTTCAGGTGATCCGCCCTCCTCAGCCTCCCAAAGTGCTGAGATACAGGCATGAACCACTGTGCCCAGCCTGACAATTTTGGTTTTAAGGCCAAAAGTTTGAAGATTTAAATGAAAAATGCCAAATATTCAGGAATTTTCTCCTATTATTATTATTATTTTTTTTTGTATGTAAATATTGTTGTGTAGTATTGTTCTTTCCTTTTTTGCTCTGTTCCATTTAAAAGTGTCAGAAGTGCCCTGACAATACATTTTGGCAAAAAACAGAGCAGGTAATGAAGTATTAGGTAACATTTTCTTGTTACTGAGACATTTGCTTAGACAATGCTAAGAATAGCTATCATCCTAGACACTTCTCCCCAGGCTTGCTTTGCCATTGCCTTTGAAACTGTCATACTTATAACTCAGATATTAACTGGCTCTAATTACCTGGTAATATGTCCTCTCTCCTAATCACAATTGTACAGTGTTTTTAGGGATAAAGTGTAAACTAGAAACCGAGAAGTATTACCTGATTCTTAGCAAGTATTTATAAGTGAAAGCCTCTAATGTGGACATTTATCTTGGAATTTGTGACATTTGGACAGATATTTATCTGAAACTTACTTGAAACTCAAATTTAATACCTTCTCTCTTTGAGGCTTTTCCCCCTTTTATTGGCTTATCTGAGAACCATTCTTGGGATTTGAGTCATCCTTTTTTTTTTCCTTCATTTTCCACATCCAGTTATCCCTGATCAAGTTACCTCTGAAATTTGTTTCATGTTGTTGCTATCCTTTTTACTAACTAATCCTAGTTTAGGACCTTTTTATTTTGCCTCCTTGTCTCTGGGCTTCCAGTGTATCATTCTGTTACCAAACACAAATTTAATAGTCATCCTCCTGCTAAAAAGAGACTTTCTGTCAAAAGTCTATCCCAGACTCCTTACTATGGCATTCATGGCTTCCCCATCTTAACATAGCTAATTTTTTTCAATCTCATCTGCAGTTGTTCCTCATCCCTTATCACCCCCAGTTGCACTGTTTGTAATTCTTTACTGTGTAACACATATTTGTGTTTTCATGCTTTTGTTCATACTTGTCCCTCTTCTTTTGATACCTTTTCTTTTCTTTCTGTCTCTCTTTTTTCTTGAGACAGGGTTTTTGCTCTGTTGCTCAGGCTGGAGTGCAGTGGCACGATCACGGCTCACTACAGCCTTGAACTCCTGGGCTCAAGCGATCCTCCCACCTCAGCCTCCTGAGTAGCTGGGACTACAGTTGCATGCCACTACACCTGGCTAATTTTTTGTATTATTATTTTTATTTATTTATTTTTTGTTTGTTTGTTTTGTTTTTGGTAGAGACAATTTTTTGCCATGTTGCCTAGACTGGTCTCGACCTCCTGGACTCAAACGATCTTCCCACCTCAGCCTCCCAAAGTGTTGGGATTACAGGCATGAGCCACCGTGCCCAGCTCTCTTTCTCTTCTTAACTGCCTGATATATTCCTATTGAGAATCTGCCAGGCTGGCTGCGGTGGCTCATCTCCTTTCAGGTTCTTCTCTACCTTTCCTGTGCTTCCTTATCTATGTTTGAATAGTGCTTCATATGGATATTTGGTATAGCCTATAAGAGGTTATGATATAGCTATCCCTATATCCAAGCCTCTAGCTATATATGAGGGTTTTGAAGGTGAGAACTAAAACTCCTTCATCTTTGTGTTCATAGCAGAGTTTCTTCTCTGACAGAAGAAACTCAGTAAATATTTGTTGAAGTTTGTCCTTGCCTAGTAAATGCTTGCTTTCTCAGTTTCCTTGTGGTAAACCAAAGGGATCCAGACAAGATTTTCTTCTGGCACTAACAAATTATTTTATGATTTCTAGATAATGCCAAAGTGGTAGTGTAAGAAGATGGCAAGGAAGAAATGTTTGAATTCCAAGAGGACAAGCTTCTTAAGGTCCCTGAATATTCAACCTTTTAGGTGAAGCTTTATTATTTGCGTATAGTTCCCTGGCGCTGGGTGTGAACTGACACAGTGATGATGTTAAAGACAGTGGAATCACCCAGGTGCAGTGGCTCACGCCTGCAATCCCACAACTTTGGGAGGTTGAGGCCAGAGGATTACTTGAGTCCAGGAGTTTGAGACCAGCCTGGGCTACATAGACTTTTTCTCTACAAAAAAAATAAATAAAATTAGCTGGGCTTGGTGGCATGTGCCTGTAGTCAGTTACTTGGGAGGCTGAAGTGGGAGAAGAGGATTGCTGAGCTCAGGAGGTCAATCAAGGCTGTAGTAAGCCGAGATTGTGCTACTGCACTCCAGCCTAGGCAACAGGGTGAGACCATGTCTCAAAAAAAAAAAAAAAAAAAAAAGACAGTTGAATCAGTTTAATACAGTACTTCTCAAAGTATGGTCCATAAGAACAAAACTATTTAATAATAACAGAAAGACACTATTTGCCTCTTAAAATGTTCTGGCATTTGTGCTGATGTTGCAGGGCAATGAGGAGGTAAAACCACTGGCACCTTAGTACAGAAGGTATCAGTGGCACCAAAGTATGCTAGTAGTCATTGTGTTCTTCACTATCACACACTCAGAGTAAAAAAATACGTTTCACTTAATCCTAAATGAATAAGTAAAAATTACTAGTTTTCTAAGTCTTTATTCCTTAAGGACACATCTTAATTGCTTGTGTGACAAAATGGGAGGTATGCCTAAAGCACTTCTGCATACTGAAGTATGGTGGTCGTCCCAAAATGAAAACATTTGTGTGTGCTTTTGACTTGTGAGCTTGTTTCTGTTTCTGGACCTACCCTGGGCAGGTTTCCACAGTTGAGAATCTTAGCGTATTGCTGTTACCTCAAATTTCCACACACTACCAGTTTGTCTTTTGAAATGTTATTTTTATAAGATGTCAACCCTGGTATGGTTCACTTTTGTTATATGTTGGCACCTCTGTGGGTTACGGAAAGCTTTGCCCTCCAAAGCAACCAGTTGGTTTTTAGGAAAGGGAAATATTGATCTTTGTGGATAAGTAGAGTCTTGTTAAAAGCTATTAGAAGGCTCTCTTTGGAAAAAAATCAGAAAAATCAAAAGAACTGTGAAAAGGATGATAATAATGGAAAAGAGGCCTTTGTAGCCTTGTGAATGTAATACGTATAGTCACCACAGATTTTTCAGGGAGGCCAGTCACGGTGGTTCAAGCGTGTAATCCCAGCACTTTGGGAGGCTGAGGCAGGAGGATTGATAGAACCAAGGAGTTTGAGACCAGCCTGGGCAACATAGTGAGACCCCATCTCTAGCAAAAAAAATGTTTTTCAGGGAATGCTGAAATGTCTCCTTCTCAAAAAAAAAAAAAAAGTCTCCTTCTCTTACAAGTTAGTCACCTTACTCAGTTTATTACAGCAGGAGTTCCCAATCCTCAGGCTGTGGCCTGTTGTGAACTGGGCAGCACAGCAGGAGGCGAGCAGCCAGGGAGCGTTACCACCTGAGCTCTGCCTCGTGTCAGATTGGCAGCGGCATTAGATTCTCATAGGAGTGCAAACCCTATTGTAAATTGTGCATTCAAGGGATCTAGGTTGGCACTCCTTATGAGAATCTAATGCCTGATAATCTGAGGTGGAATATTCATTGTTATTGTCTGACTCCACTCCCCTCCCGCTCCTTTCATGGAAAAATTGTCTTCCATGAAACCAGTCCCTAGTGCCAAAAAGTTGGGGACCACTGTACTGTAGTTTCAAAAATGTTCATATTTGGCCTAAATCTATAGTCTGAGGAAGCATATCACATCTTTATCATTCATGACAAGCAGGGATGGGAGAGGAAGCAGGGATAGGAGTGGTTATGTGGGCAGCCAATAGCATAGGAAACTTAAAAGGAACCTACTTAGCCAAACATGTTTTGAGCCTTTGAGTCCCAGTGACTAAACAATGCAGATTAGGATAAAAGATTTGCTCACACCTGTAATCCCTGCACTTTGGGAGGCCGAGGTGGGCAGATCATGAGGTCAGGAGTTCGAGACCAGCCTGGCCAACATGGTGAAACCCCGTGTCTACTAAAAATATAAAAATTAGCCCGGTGTGGTGGTGTGCTCCTGTAATCCCAGCTACTCGGGAGGCTGAGGCAGGAGAATTGCTTGAACCTGGGAGGCAGAGGTTGCAGTGAGCCGAGATCGTGCCACTGCACTCCAGGCTGGATGACAGAGTAAGACTCTTGTCTCGAAAAAAATAAAAATAAAAAATAAAAGATTTATTAGCATGATAAATCAGGCTTTTCATAATGTGCCCCTATCTACCTTAGCTGCCATTTCTTTATGCTTATTCGTATTATAGCATAATAATCACATTCCCTGTGGAAATTTTCTGTATGCCTTTGTAAGGTTTTTTTCCTATGCTTCAAATGCTTCCCCCCACCCCCCCATAAACCCATTCATACTTCATGACCCACTGTAAATATTGTTTCTTCCTTGAATCTTTCCCTGTGAGCCTCAGAATTTTGTATATACTTTTATAATAAAAAGCTCTTATCTCATTATTTCCTTACTAGATAGACTCTGAAATTCTTGGTTGTTTGATCAGTGTATTAATTTTGGTATTCACGTTGTACCCACAAAGTTCCTGGAACATAGCTGTTAGACATTGAGTGAAAAGTCAGATATGAATGAATTTTCTAATTGATTTTATTATTGATAAAAATAAGTCTTGGTACTATCCCCATTTTTTTCCTTTGTGAATTGTTCACATTTCTCTTCTACCAAATTCACTGAATTAACCCTTCCCTCATTCTCTAACATACTACTTTTTGCTCTTAACCAGTTATCTTACGGAACTTTAGTTATCACAACTGTTATGTGAAATAGGTGACATTTTTACTGTTTTGTGGTTAAGGAATTAGAGGCATAGAGGAATTAAATAACCAGCTTTTCATAGCTGGAGTTGGAACTCAGTATTTTATATCATTAAATATACACAAACGTGTGAATGTTATTGTTGTGTGTGCTGGGTATTTTCTGTTTGCCTCTGCGGAACTCTTCTACCTTTTTCCATCCTGCTGTGCTCCAGAAGACTGACTTATACAGGCTGAGTCAATGGGCTCTGACTTGTGACTTCATTGCTGTGGCCTCTGAATCCAAATAAATGACTAAGAGTGGAATAGAGTCAGAAGTCTACTACATACCCCATTTAAGACTTTACAGCTTACATATGTACCATCCTCAAGAAAATATCAAGCCAAAATTGCTGTTATATTTACTGTTTTCTACTCTAAGCATTTAAAAACACAAAGTTTAATAAAAAATAATTCTCGACCAAAGTAATAGAATACATATATATTATATAAAATTTGTTCGTTATTTATGTATGAAGTTACAAACTTAGACTAGTGGTCCAAAAAGCCCAGCATTCTTCTGAAAGAAGCACCAAGAGATTCTGGAAGAATAGCACCGTGAAACTGTTATGGAGGCACTAGATAACAAATGCTTGCTTTAAAGGGAGAAGAGCCAGTTTATTTTGCTCGGTAATGAGAAAATAGTTCTTTAGTAAAGTTCTCAGGTGAGCTTATTACTAATGCCGTTTAACTTCAAATGTGAGAAAATATGTTTACTTTTTAACCTGTTCACCACTTCACCTCTTATGAAGGGGAAAACTTAGGGAGTGGGCCTCAAATTACTTGTCATTTAATTTGGAAATGTTCCTTTGAAATTTGGAAACGTATGTACATAATTTTAGTCACTGATTTGTTACAGAATTTTTAAATGTAGTAATTACATTTCATTGGCCCTAAAAATGTTGTCTGTTTTTAATAATCATCTCTAATTGTATTGCATTAATATAATAGCTGGGTCCTTAGGATATATGATAATGTATGAAGCTTGATTATAATGTTGCATTCCACCCAGCTATAAAGCCAAAGTGGTGAAAATAGGACTTTTAAATATACAGAAGTATTCTAGTCACCCTTAGGAATGAAAGTATAACATTAAGCAATATTTGAAGATTTAAGGATGGCAGTAAGCTTGCCTAATCTTTGATTCATACCACTGTCAACACAGTTTTTGATTCATGTAGAGTCAAATTAACAAGGTTGGAAGGATCCTAATGGTTATCCTAGCCAACCACATATCAAGTACTACCTCCCTGGTAAGTGGTCCTGTAGACTATTCTTAAATGTCTACTCTGGCTAAACCTTCACAGCCACTTCCAGAAGACCTCTGATTTAGAGTTCTTTCATACTCTGATTTTGTCTTCCTGTAGCTTTTTACCTGAACCTACCTGGTTCTAACCCTTCTCATGATAGCGATTCTATAATTTTAAAGACTTATTTAACATATTGGAGACTAGCAGTGCAATAACCTAATCCAGACTAACACTTTTTGGGGGGGGAGGTCAGAACCCAGAATAAAGCTGCTGCTTATTCTGGGTTTACTTCTTATGGATTGTTGATTAGAAAGATTATTCTGCACTGGTATTTTGGATTGAGGCCTGTGCATGTCTGTTCAGGCAAAGTTTACATAAGGTAGAACACTACAGCAGCACATGTGCACCCTGCTCAATTAAATAAATATCAGGCAGATCTGTTTGTTCATACCCTCATTGCAGATACTGAAGGGTTGGTGGGTTTTGCAGTAACGAATGAATAATTCATCTTGATATTACTATATTAATAGTTTTGGGTTCTGTATATTTCCTCCGACTCAGAATTTACAAAAATAAAAGCACTTTCTAGACAGTTAACTAGTTAGCTCTGAGTAGAATGTTTTCTACTACCTTTTTAAAGATTCTAGATCATTTTGAGCAAAGAATATTGAAATTGCATTGCAAACTTATCTTTGTGAATCAGGTTTTTCTTCATTCTATGTACAAAACAAAATATAGAAATAAGATGTATACTGAGCTTTTCTCCATAACCTCAGATTTTTTTTAAAAAGTTAAAACAGTCTTAGTATGCTAAGAGTGACTGTTTATAAACTTTTTTAAAGGATTTTAAATTTTTTATTGTTTGTGCATACATATATTTTCTTGGTTCAAATTCAAAAAGCACAAAAGATTTAAAAAAAACATATATATCTGCCTTTATACCTCAACTACGTGGTTCCCTCCCTCACAGTATTATTGATGTCTTAGTACTTTTCTCATAAATGCAGAACCCTTCCCTAACCTGATTTTTATATTTCTTATAAGATCCTAAATAATCGTGTTATAGTTTATGAATTTCTGAGGTTAGTGGGTCCCTAAATATAATGCTTCAGTTTAATTGGGAACCATTTGTAAATTGAGTACTTGATTTATTTTTATCAGCTGAGATTTCTTTAGCTGCCACACTGCTGGGGGAATACAGATAATGGACAACTCTTTAAGAAATAATGTATAAATAAATTATAATGCGACGCTTTGTTTCATAGTAGAAGCATAAGGTCGAGAAGGAATATTTAATGCTCTTCTCTGGGAGGACCGACTTGCTGGTAGGAATGGAAGCTGAATTTTGAAAAATGAATGGTAGCTTACTAGGCAGATGGGGTTAGAGGTGGCATTCCAGACAAAGGAGGAAGAGGAATGGAAGAAGTTGTGGTATGTTGAATGAACAATAAGGAATTGAATATTGCTGAAATTACTGGGAAGTAGAGTGGTAGGAGCTGGGGCTAGACAGGCAGTGTGATCAGATTATGAAAGCTTTTAGCGTAGTGCTGTTGAGATGGACTTAATTCACTAGGACTACGTGAAACAACTTTAAACTTTTAAATTAATAAGGAATTAGAGTTTAAAAGGCCACTCTGTTGGTACTATAGGAAATAAATGAGAACAGGACGGGATTAGGAAACTGGGAGAGTAGTGAGTAATCCATTAGAATAACCTGTGAAAGAAATGGGTTAGCAAGGCTGGAATGGAGGAGGGAAGGCATTCAAGATACCGTGAGAAATGATGAATTATTAGGAAAAAAAAAAAAAACTTAGTGATTAAGTCTTTGGTGTCATTTAGAACCACATTCAGTTCCAGCTTTGCCTTTTACCAGCTCTGTGACTTCGTATGTAAATTTGATTTTAATAAATTCTGTTTCATCATCTGTGAGTATTGTAATTGTGTAGTTGAAGCTTTAAGCAACTTTCATTTAACTAACTTGGTGAATAGTTAATAGTTGCTCTCCATTCCCTCAGTAAAAGAGACCTAGGGCAGTGTTCATGACAGGCTCTCAGCTTGTCGGCCTAAGTGGCAAAATTAACCAGTCACGATAGCCCTTATACTGTGTGGTATCATTTATACAAAATGTCCTGAATTGGCAAATCTATAGAGATAGAAAGTAGATCAGTGGTTGTCAGAGGCTGAGTGGGGGAAATGGGGCGTGACTGCTAATGAGTATAGGGTTTCTTTTTAGGGTGATGAAATGTTCTAAAATTAATGGTTGACACAACTGTCACAATTCTGTGAATATAATCAAAACCACTGAACTACTTTTGAGAGTTAATTTCATGGTATATCTCAAGTTGTCACAGAAAAAAAGTCTAATTCAGTATTCCCCATTTGTCCAATACGTCTTTTATAGCTTTTCTTCTTTTGGTCAAGGATCATGGATTGCATTTGGTTATCATGTCTCTTTATTTGTCCATGTTCTTGATGGGTTAAAATAATAAAGAATATACAAATGGTTAGATCTCCTATAAACAAAAGAATATACAAATGGTTAGATCTCCTATAAACAAAAGTTTCCTGAAACTTCCTTAAACATGTAGCATGGATCTAGTTTATTTTAGTTGCATGCAAAATAAAACAATTGATTAAATTAAAATTGTTCTTTCATGGCTGTAAGCTCTTGGTGAAGACAGGTCAGACAGGTATTTGGGTTAATGTCAGGCAAAAATTTCTGTATCAAAACACAATATTTATACTGGCTTGAGCTAGAATGTTGAGACATTGTTTTAAGGTTTGTTTTTTTAAAATAGCTTTTAGAAGCTTATTGAGGTGTAACTATATATGCTATATAAACTATGATATACAAATATATATACTATACAAAAATATATCTTACAATTTTTTTCCTCAAGAGATACTGTTTTTCTGTCACCCAAGCTGGAGTGCAGTGGTGTAATCACAGCTCACCGCAGCCTTCAACTCCTGGGCTCGAGCAATCCTTCCGCCTCAGCCTCCTGAGCAGCTGGGACTACAGGCACACACCACCACACCTAATTAAAAAAAATTTTTTTTTGGAGATGGGGTCTGTTGCCCAGGCTAGTCTCAAACTCCTGGCTTCAGGCAGTCCTCCCACTTCAGCCTACCAAAGTGTTGGGATTACAAGCTTGAGCCACTGTGCCTGGCCATAGTTTTGTATATAAATGTCTTACTATTATAGTTTGGTAATCGACCTAAATAATACTGTTACATATTGTTTTAAGCCCCCAAAGTTGTCTTACCTAGATGTGGTGCTAGCAAACGTTTTTATAAAGGCAGGAATGTAGAATGGCAAAATGCTGAAATACAAACATACTCTAAGCACACAGACCTTAGTGTCACAGTAGAAACTTCCTGCTTGCAATAATTGCCATTTTAATTTTGGTGCAGAAAGCCTTCTATGGATGTGATAGTTTATGTACCAAAGAGCAATCTCTATTTGAAGAAACTGTGTGGCCTGGTTACAAAAGTGCCTGCTGTATCTGTAACTGTCAGTGGTATTAAAAATACTGATTTATTTTGCCTGTTGTGATAATCAAGAATAGCTTATTTGGATATATGCATGGGATGGTTGCAAATACCAAGTTCAGGTATTTTACTATGGAATATAGATAGGGGTGTTTTCTTCTGGTTTTCCCCACCCCTTTATATATACCTTGATTTTAATTTTTATCAAGTGTGTCTCTTTGGCCTTTGCCGCTGTGGCCCATTGATCTGTCCATCTGTCTGTTACAGTGCATATTGGGTACTTCCAGAAGTATGAATTCAGTGATGCAAAGGACAGGCGGGCTGCAGCAGCAAAGGTAGGACAGAATCATTCCAAAGACAAGTCATTAAAAGACCATTAAACACACATACTTACACACAGACATTGGCAACCAGTACCTCATTATTTAAGGGCACATCATTTATCCTATAAATCTTTGTGGGAAAGTTTGTTTTGACATGACAAATGTGATGTACTTGTAAAGGGCACAATTTTATTATTATGTTTTAAACCAGAAGCCTACTTGGCACTTAGGCAACAAAGTAAATGGCATTTGCCACTGTCTTTAAGATGCCGAATAATAGAAGAGATAATTAAATGGAGGATATTAATGGTATTAATTGATTCATGGAGCTGGCTGATTTTCAGAAACTATGATAAAGGATCCTATTTTGTAAACTGGGAGGAGAAACAGAGAAGATAGATTGAGCTATGTGTGTATATTTATGTGTTAATGTTTATTTATATTCCTGACTCTGGAATATTTTGATGAAAATAATCTAAATCTTCCTGTTATTTCGCTGACATCACTATGAGGAAGATTAAGAAATTCTATTTAAATGTTTGTACCATTTACTTAAGTATTTGTATCAGTTTACTTGCTAAATGATAGCAGTTATAATAGCAATTTCTGGCTTAAAAAAAAAACAGGGTTAGGATGGAAGGGCAATAGCATTTTTATACTGAATCCTAAAACATCAGTTATAGGCAAGTTTTAAAACTTAATCATACGTTGCAAACACTTGAAGATGAAATGGAAGGCTTATAAGGTTAAGTGTTAGGTTTTATGTGTCATTCTAGTATTGGCTGAAAAGTGAGTGCTATAGGGATGGTGGAATGATGCAGATATTTGCATCATTTTCTATGCTGTTATGCTTCTAAAAAGAAGAGGCTATGTTTTCCTAAATAGGTTAGTAGAGTGCTTCTCAAGGCTTCCCAAATGAAAAGTCAGACAAAAATATGTATTTGTTCTTCAGTGAAGATTGTTGGGTTTTCAAACCAGCAATCTTAGCTGTAAAACCTAAGATCTTACCACAGCCTAAATTGTGACTCAAATGCTGATGTTAGTTAATACTTTTATAAACTCCATATACTATATTGAGGAGATCTAGTTTCTTGAATGTGGAAGTGAAGCTTCATAATATACCATAGTAGGGATGTTTCGAATCAATAGTGTTAAAATGTTTTGGGTTTTTTAAAGATTTTTTTTCAGCTGGTCTTGGAAACCTTTTCAGTTATCTGTTTTTGATTCTACCAAAGGTATTAGGTATTTAATGCTCCACTAAATAGATCACAAAAGGGGAGTCTTAAGGAGGTGAAGATGTGAACTTCTTGACTAGATGTAAATCACTGCTCAGAAAGATTTGACTTTTTTAAATGATGCATTCTTATGTCAATAGACTTTAATCTGCAACCAAAATGTTTTTTTTTTAAATAAAAATGAGGCACATTTGTGCTTTCTCACTTCTGCTCCAATTCTACCTTATTCTGCAAGTTGCTATTTTTTCCTTTAGCAGTACACTATAGATTTAAAAATTGTATGGTATTTTCTAATATAACCATATCAATTTATCAGTTTTCCTATTGTTGGACATCTAATTCACTCATATTTGTGTCTTCTTCCTTTCCCTTACAGAGTTTTTGTAAAGAAGGCTGAGTGTTTTCAAAAGTTATGTTTATATTTACATGTGTGTGAACTACCATTTTCTGTATACCCTTGCTGATAACTATTAAGAATCTTGGTCTGGCGTGGTGGCTCACGCCTGTGATCCCAGCACTTAGGGAGGCTGAGGCGGTGGATCACCCGAGGTCAGGAATTGGAGACCAGCCTGACCAACATGGCGAAACCCCGTCTCTACTAAAAATACATTAGCTGGGTGTGGTGGTGCATGCCTGTAATCCCAGCTACCTGGGAGGCTGAGGCAGGAGAATGGCTTGAACCCAGGAGGCGGAGGTTGCAGGGAGCCAAGATCGTGCCACTGCATTCCAGCCTGGGCAACAAGAGTGAAACACTCCATCTCAAAAATAAAAAAAAAAAAGAACTCTTCAAATTTTTATTAATCTGGTAAAGAAAATACTAGTTGTTTTAATTTACATTTTTCTGAATTGCCTTTTTATGTCGTTTGCACCTTTTCATAAATTTTTTTTTTTTTTTTTTTTTTTTTTTTTTTTTTTTTGAGACAAAGTCTTGCTCTGTCACCCAGGCTGGAGTGCAGTAGTGTGATCTCGGCTCACTGCGACCTCTGCCTCCCGGGTTCAAGCCATTCTCCCGCCTCATCCTCCTGAGTAGCTGGGAGGCGCACGCCACCACACTTGGCTAATTTTTGTATTTTTAGTAGAGACGGGGTTTCACCATGTTGGTCAGGCTGGCCTCGAACTTCTGATCTCAAATGATCCACCTGCCTTGGCCTCCCAAAGTGTTGGCGTGAGCCACTGAGCCCAGCCAGTAATGGTATTTAATGTATAATTATTGTAGCTCTTTCTCCAGTTTGTTATTTGTAAGAAAAAAAAAAAGCAATACATGCATGTGGTAACAAATGTAAATGTTATATCTTACAATGATTACATTTATAGCTTTAATATGTCTCTTCCTTTTGACATTATCTCTTTCCTTTTTCTTCCTCCATCCTTGAGAACCCCACTTTATGCCAGCTATAGTTATATGTTATCAAAATATTTTTGTCTTGTGATTATAACCAAATGTTATTAGTTCGCTTATAGCTTGATTTTTGAAGTGACATCATTGAATGTTTGTTTTTATGGTTTATAAATATCAATGACATTCTAAGTAGTGTATTATGATTACTGTTGCTTTTTGTTTTTAACAGGTCTAATTTCAAATGCTGTGAACCTTCCTAAGAACAGTACTCTGGTAGCAAGATGGTTTGGGTTTATTTATACTCCTTGGAGCCCTTCATTCTGCTCTTGTAATCAGGATGGCTTTCCCTGTAAGCCTCTTACATATAGCTCTCAACCATGGACTTTGCATCATTCTCCTGTGTTGGAGCCTCTGATTCTTAGATACATGTCTTTTTCTTGACTGAATCTCATTGTGCTGGACTGCATCCTTAATTTAACTCTCACAACACTTTTTTCCCCCCTGCAACACTCTTAGGCTGTTACTTATTGTGGCTCTGATAATGTGCTTAATTTTCCTTCAAACTTGATTGCTAGATTGGCTAGGTTGGAAACTCTAGATTAGAATATTTGTGCAAGACATTGCCTTCTGCATTCACTGTTGGTGATAAGACTGATAGTAGTCTGGTTGTCATTTCTCTCTTTTTTTTTTTTGAGTTGGAGTCTTGCTCTGTTGCCAGGCTGGAGTGTAGTGGCACAATCTCGTCTCACTGCAACCTCCACCTCCTGTGTTCAAGCGATTTCTCCTGCCTCAGCCTCCCGAGTAGCTGGGACTACAGGCGCACACCACCACGCCCAGCTAATTTTTGTATTTTTAATAGAGACGGGGTTTCACTGTGTTGGCCAGGATGATGTCGATCTCTTGACCTCGTGATCTGCCCGCCTCGGCCTCCCAAAGTGCTGGGATTACAGGTGTGAGCCACTTTATGACTTTATTTATTTATTTATTTTTTAAGTTTCAGCCTTTTCTCTGAAGAGATATGTAAGTGTGAATCTTCTAATCCATTGTGCTGGATCTTCAGTGGACCCTTTCAACTGGAAGACTTGTGTCCTTATAAAGCTTTGGGGAATTAACTTCTGTTACTGCTTTGCTAATTTCATTCCCTCTCTTCTTCTTTTGGAATTCCTATCAGTTGAATGTGAAAAACAATGGATATAACTTAAAATAATGATAAGTTATGGAAGAAAGATTGAGAGGTGCATGTAGCGTGCCAGATCCTCATCTTTCACATTAGGAAGGTGACAGATAATATCTAAAATAGAAAAATAATAACTCCTTGAGCATAAGCATATTATTTAGCATAAAAGTAAATACTAGAAGACACAGAAGAGTTTAAAATGGTTACCTCAGAGGATTAGAAATCAGTAGTGACTGAAGTATGGCAAAGAACACTGTTAAATCTTGCAGTACCATTAACTTCTAAAACTATGTATGTATATTAAATAAAATAACTTAAAAGTGATTTAATGTAATCCTTAAGGTCTACATTTAATGATACCTTCATTCTTTAAAATATCGTCAGGAAGTTTATGTAGACGTGTTCTTAGACCAAATATACACTATCAGCCTTCATGGGAGGAGGTACACACTATGTATTCCTTTGTCATGATTCGTAATTATTGAGCTGTGTATTTTGAGAATAATTGATAGAGAATGTACTGGAGATTTACATGGCCTGTTATTGCTTGGTTTTAAAACTTAAAGGATACAGGGGTATATTTTTGTCTAATTCAAGATCATTTGGATTTATGACTTTTATTAGCTTTAAAGAAGCCTACAATGGCTTTTTTCAAAAATAGAATTTTTCTTAGAAAACAGTTTTTAAGAGACAAATTTATTTAAATGCCCACTCTTTTAAAATAAAGTTAGATGTATGGTTTTCAAATAATCTTATGTTTGTTATTGAACAAAATCTTATTTACTGTATATACAAATATATAGTATGGATGAGTAAGAAGCAGTGAATTGCTAATCAGAATCCCACCACTTATCAGTAAGTGTTTTGAGTTGCACGGTTTGAGAAAGTACTGGTTCAAATGCTGTTAAAAATCAAATTTTTGTATGCTGTCTCTAGATGGTTTGTTGATGACCTAGTGGTTGTGTTAAAGAAGTGGAGTTACATTGAAGTCACGCGAATGTTTTGCTTGTGTGTTTGGTGGAACATTTTTAGTATATGCCACAGCAGATACGTGGAATGCTGATACTTAGGGCTTAACAGTTGGAACCCAGAAGTGAGTATGTGAACAAATAACTGAAAGGTTACAAAATAACTTTAATCATCTCACAATTCTAATCACCACAAAAATAATAAAGTAGCATGAGGTGGTCTATATTTATGGTTTACATTAGCCCCACTGTGCCAGGGCAGTTTGGAATTTAAGTTACCTGGTTCTTGGCTCTACCTTTAGTTTGTACCCTTTTTATCAATAGGGCTTTTTTGCCCCTATAAGGAATAGCCAGTTAAGAGACTGCAACCCAAGAAAATCTTGCCTGAATGGAGTTTCAGGTAACGATAAAAGTTTAAAAACTAGGGTGTTATATATATTAGAAGTGACTTGTCTCTTGATGCAAAGTCATAGACTGCTATTTTAAGTCTTGAGTATTTTTTTTTGATATAACATTGAAGGATACCTTACCTATTGTTTCTATTGTTCATGTAAATATACCCTTCCATTATCTCTCCCCACTTTGGTTTGCCGCTGAATTTTTATGGAAGAAATCAAATGATTATACATAGTGATAACATCCTTCTACTTACAGAAACATTGTATTAAAACACTGATTAAACTCTTGATGTTTTCTAGAGGTGAAATCTTTATATTTGGGATGACATAGAAGGAAGTAATTTCCCTCATAAAATAAATGTGCAAAGAACAGCAAAGCCCAGATGTGTCATTGGCTAGGCACATTTATTAACAAGTTTGGATGCATCAGGATTACATATTTAAATCAAATGCATATCTCAGCAAAATTTCAAATTGTTATGTATTTATAGGATTGCCAACAGTTAATTGAAACTTGTCATTGTTAAATTTTGCTTTAAATAATCTCCAAGAGTAATGAGTGGCTGGGCACTCACTCATGGCTGTAATCCCAGCACTTTGGGAGGCTAAGACAGGCTGATTGCTTCAGCCCAAGAGTTTCAGACCAGCCAGGGCAACATGGCGAAACCCTGTCTCTACAAAAAAATAAAAAAATTAGCCTGGCATCGTGGCACGTGCCTGTAGTCCCAGTTACTTGGGAAGCTGAGGTGAGAGGATTGCCTGAGCCTGGGAGGCAGAAGTTGCAGTGAGCCAAGATCTCGCCACTGTACTCCAGCCTGAGCGACAGAGCCAGACCCTGTCTTAAATAAAATAAAATTAAAAAAAAGAGTGATGAAGGTATGACATTCCTGCCTGCTGAAGTAATCTGAGAAGCCTCTTTAAGGGGGAGTTCTCTCAAGAATATTATCCTCAACATTTTTACCTTTTACCTTCCTTCTCCTGTGGTAGCTTAGAAGTAAATATTCATAACTGGGAAGTTTGATGATCAGTGTTTAGTTGTAAATTCTTTTAAAATGCACATACTTTTAAGCCATCTAGAGATTGTGTGGATTGTCTCCCTTAGCCCCACTAGGTGCTTCTCTGTCCTAAGTAGTCTAGAAGGCCAAAAACTATTTCTCAGACTATTTTGCATTTAGGGTTCTAGATATAAAATAGTTGTGACAATTATAATATATATGTGGGAGATTTGAAGGGAGTTTATGTTTTCTTCGTTTTTGTGGTCTGGGTCATGAAGAAGTGAGATTTTGCCAACAGTAGCAGAAATGCAGCATAGCATTATTTATTCTCCAGCATCTTGAGTTATCAAGAGGCTTTTGTGGTTAAGGCAGCAGCTAGACTGTTTTATTGTGTACATCCCCTAGCTGGGTATTTAGAGGCAGTTGTGACAGTGGCAACTTCCTGATTCAAGCTTTCCAATCCTTGGATCACAGTTATCTGCCATGTGTTCTTGGATTTAGTGGTCCCATTGGTAGCTTCTTATGATTTCAGTTCTGTAGTGTTCTGGTAGTCACTCCTGGAGACATATTCCTATAGCCCCATTCCTCCATTCTTTCCCGTAACTAAGCATCTAATTCCTTTTTAACTCCCCTTTGCTCAGAATATCTAGTGGTTTCTATTCCCTCCACCAAATACTGATTGATCAAAGTCAAGAGCATCCTTTGGTGACAAAATGCTACTCTTACATTTAGTAGATGGTACTGTATGTGATGCAGGATTTTTCTTGACCCCTTCTTTGGACTTGTGATGGAGGTGCCCCATTTACTCTGCTTGCAGCCCTCAACCCCTTGCAGGAGGGAGCACGTGAGCAAGTGAATGCGGGATCTGGCTGGCTGCTTTGGGTGCTGGCAGGAGCAAGTTTCATGTGGGCCCTGCGATGGCACCCAGGTTGGGGTGCCTGCAACCCCTGAAGCCCTAGAGGGCATGTTACAATGCTGTCTTAGCTCCACCGTCTGTGGACAGCGGTGTGTTACCAGCTCAGTAGGCTCCTTGCCTTGTTGCGTGGGGCAGCCGCCCTCCACTAGTGAGGGCAAAGGGCCAGTGTGATAGCCTTTATTTATTTATTTATTTTTTAGATGGAGTTTCGCCCTTGTCGCCCAGGCTGGAGTGCAGTGGCACGATCTTGGCTCACTGCAACCTCTGCCTCCTGGGTTCAAGCGATTCTCCTGCCTCAGTCTCTTGAATAGCTGGGATTACAGGTACCCGCCACCATGCCCCACTAATTTTTGTATTTTTAGTAGAGATGGCGTTTTGCCATGTTGGCCAGGCTGGACTCGAGCTTCTGACCTCAGGTTAATCTGCCGTCTCAGCCTCCCAGAGTACTGGGATTACAGTGTGAGCCACCGCACCCAGCCAGACAGCCTTTTTTGGGTACCTGCACTTGGTGGGTCCCAAGTTCTTGTCTGGTGTCCAAGAAAAATGAGGTCCTGCCAGACGCTTGAAGGATGGTGGAGGCGGATAATTTTCTTTAGTGATGAAAATGGCTCTTAGCAGAGAGGGGAGCTAGAGAAGAGACAGGTTGGGCAGGTAATCTTTCCTGAAGTCAAGCTGCCCCTCTGAAGTCCAGGGACCTCTCTCCAGTCAAGCCGCTTCTCTCGTTCGTCTTTATCTGCACAGGATGAGGGGTGGGTTGGCCATCAGTAGTTTTGGAAAAAGCAACATTCGATTGGTAAAAAGACATTATTCGGAAAGAACCAACTGGGAGAGAATCGGCAGACGGAAGTTCTCATTTTGGGCCACAGGTTTCAGGCTTTTTGGTTTGAAGTTGGGGTTTCACTGGGAACCCACCCCTGTCTGCCTAGAATGTCTCTGCTTCCTGCCTCTATCATTGAACTTCAGATATATAAAGAAGTTATTCTATGATATGTCATTGACTAAGCATTAATTATGTTGACCCTTTTAGTGACTCTAAATAAAGAGCTCTCAACAAACCTATACCTTTAAAGGGAAGAAAAACTATACCTGAATTACACATGATAATTTCTTAGAAGGCATTAAGTATTTAATCATATCTGAGGAGAATTTGGAAATGAAACCATTTACAGTTGCAATTTAACCAGCTCTCAAGAGCATTACTTCCTGTAGCTTATATCAGTGCTCCTCAAACTTTAACATGCATACAGATCACCTCAGGAACACTTGAGGGTCTGTTCAAAGTGAAGATTCAGTAGATGGCTGTTGGGACCTGGGATTCTACATTTCTCACAAACTCAGGTGATTGTAATTTTGTGAACCACACTTTAAGTAGCAAAGCCTATAGTATTTACAGTTATAAATAAAGGTAATATTTTACATTTCTATTTATTTGAAATTTCTTTTTGAATATTACCATATCATAGAAATTTACTTTTTTAACACAAAAATGGAATATTGTGCACTACTCAGTAGCTTGTTTTTTTTCGCTCAGTGGTATCTCATGAATAACCTTCCATATTTTTTTAATGGCTGCATAATATTTCAAGTATGAATATAGCATAATTTATAGGCAGTCTCCTCTTGAAAAAATGTATAAATGGGAAAATGCTTTCCCAAATAATGTGGATGTGAAAATTCTTATACTTCTATACTTGGTATTTCTGTTGAGCAGGTTCCTATAATGGGTATTTCTAGGTCCTAGTTCATGTGCATTTTAAATTTTGATCACTTCTGCCAAACTACCCTCAGAAAAGGTTTGACCAAAGTTGCCATCTCATTAACAAATTATGACCTGTTTCTCTTGCCGTTGTCACTGGATAGTGTCTTTTTTTTCTCCCTGAGACGGGGTCTTGCTTTGTTGCCCAGAGGTGGAGTGCAGTGGTGCGATCTTGGTTCACTGCACCCTCTGCCTCCCGAGTTCAAGCAGTTCTCCTTCTTCAGCCTCCCGAGGAGCTGGGATTACAGGCTCGTGCCACCATAGCGGGTAATTTTTTGTGTTTTTAGTAGAGATGGGGTTTCACCATGTTGGCCAGGCTGGTCTTGAACTCCTGACCTCATGATCCACCCTCCTTGGCCTTCCAAAGTACTGGGATTACAGGTGTGAGCCACTGTGCCCAGCCAATAGTATCAGCTTTTAAAAACTTAGTCATTGTGGGCCAGGCGCGTGGCTCACGCCTATAATACCAGCACTTGGGGAGGCCGAGGCGGGCGGATCATGAGGTCAGGAGATCGAGACCATCCTGGCTAACACGGTGAAACTCTTTCTCTACTAAAAAATACAAAAATATTAGCCAGGCGTGGTGGTGGGCACCTGTAATCCCAGCTACTCAGGAGGCTGAGGCAGGGGAATGGCGTGCACCCGGGAGGTGGAGCTTGCAATGAGGCGAGATTGCGCCACTGCACTCCAGCCTGGGCGACAGAGCAAGACTCCGTCTCACAAAAAAAAAAAAAAGAAAAAAAAAAAGAACTTAGTCATTGTGGAAGATTTAAAGCATTCATTGTATTAAGGAGATTGGATATTTTCGTGTGTTTTTCAGCCAATTGTAATATGGGAATTGATGAACTGTCCATTTTTGTTGGATTATTTTCTTTTTTGAGTGGGTATGCTTGCTCATTTTTGTTGTAGCATTTATAAATATTCCTTAGAATACAGATGTTTTTATACTTTGTGACTTTTGAGTTTCTAATATTGTTTAAAAAGTATTAAAAAATTCTCTTTAAATTTTGGACCCATAAGCAGCTCATTTGAGGAGCTTGTAGATTTTATGCAAACATGAGCCCATGCTTCTGTAGGAAAATCTTAAAACTGAGGTTTAAGGTGGTGCCTCTAACCTGTTTAATTCTCGTTCAGATCAAATTCTGAAATAATAAAAAGGTGGGTTTTGGAGGTTTTCTGTGTATGTAAACTGGAATAAAAAAGTGGTTTTTTTTTGTTTTTTTTGTTTGTTTTTTTACTTAGCTTTATCCTAAAATAAGAAAGTTGTCTCTTGAGATTTTTGAAAAAGTAGTTGCCTCCCACTCTGCTAAATATAGGAATGTCATTCAGCAATTTGGTTGTGATTATTTTTATGTATGTATGTATGTATGTATGTATGTATGTATGTATGTATTTATTTATTTATTTTTTGAAACGCAGTCGTGCCCTGTCGCCCAGGCTGGAGTGCAGTGGCATGATCTCAGCTCACCGCAACCTCTGCCTCCTGGGTTCAAGTGTTTCTCTTGCCTCAGCCTCCCAAGTAGCTAGGACTATAGGCGCACACCACCGTGCCCGGCTAATATTTGTATATTTTTGGTAGAGACGGGGTTTCACCATGTTGGCCAGGCTGGTCTCGAACTCTGACCTCAAGTGATCCGCCTGCCTTGGCCTCCCAAAGTGCTGGGATTACAGGCGTGAGCCACCATGCCTGGCTTTGGTTGTGATTCTACCTGGAGAGTTTGTCATACTCTTGAATATGGGCCTGTCTGCACACATGTGTGCATCCAGATTATGATTCTCCACTGTGACTGCTTATTGGAATCTCTTGGGAGTTTTTGAAAATGGTAATGCCCAGGTGTCCCCCTCAGTCCTCTTCCTCACTCCCCCCATATTCTGATATATTTGGCCTGGGGTTTGTGGCTTGTTTAAAAGCTTCCTAGATGGCTGTGCACAGTGGCTCATTCCTATAATCCCTGTGTTTTGGGAGGCTGAAGCTGGAGGATTGCATGAGCCCAGGAATTTGAGACCAGCCTGGGCAACATAGCAAGATCCTGTCTTTAAATAAAAATAAATAAATAAATAACAGTCAATTAAGAGCTTATGTGCTACTAAAATTGAGAACTACTTGATCAAAGGATAGGGGATGATGGTGCAATTGATGTTAAAGCTTCAGCTAGGACAGTTGACATAATCAGACTTACTAATCAACTTTTTCAAAATGCAAAACTTTAAAGTAAATACAGCTGCTCTGAGCCTGGAATGTTATTTTCTTTAGATTACTAAAATACTATACTGCCACATTCATGGGAGTTCTACAGATGTACTTTTTCGGAGCCTGTGTAGTGGGAAATTGTTTAGAGCAGTAGTTCCCAGTTCTGTCTGCATGTTAGGATCATCTGGGGACCTTCAGATAAAAATGTTGGATGAAAATATATATATTCATATTCTACCCTTGACAGTTGAATCAGAATTGCTGGGGGCAAAGCCCAATTAATGGTATTTTTTAAGTTCCTCAGGAGATTCTTATATGTAGCCAGAATGGACAGGGGTGGGTGGTACTGATTTAGAGTTATAACTAGACAAGATGTAAGGTTTTAGGTTGTTCTATTGTCCTAAAAGTTAAATGTACTGCTGCTAGTATTAGTACTAGTTTTCTGATTATAGTGATTTTACTCAAACTGTTTTTGTTTGGTTTGTTTATATCCTTTAAAAAGGATGAAGAGCTCTTTATTTCAGCCAAGAGCTTGAATTGGCTTTTCACTGAACTATCAGTTTTGGTGGCACACCGAAGTGAATTTCTCTCCTTTGACAAGTCCTTGTAGGGAGTGGTGCTATAATCATAAATTAAAAAATAATTTCTCCATGTATTCAAATCCTACTAGCCTATTTTATCCTGGACCAAGACACTTAACCTCTGTAACCTCATCTGTAAAATGTAAATCATATCTAACTTGCATAAAATATTGATGTGAGTATTAAATGAAATAATGTATATAAAGTATCTAGCATTGTGCCCGGCACTAAATAATTTCAAATCTATGTTCTCCTTTTCAGCATTCCCTTTTACTCTCATTGTTCTTTCTTTCTTTTTTTTTTTTTTTTGAGACGGAGTCTCTCTCTATCACCCAGGCTGGAGTGTAGTGGTGCAGTCTCGGCTCACTGCAACCTCCACGTCCCGGGTTCAAGCAATTCTCCTGTCTCAGACTCCCGAGTAGCTGGGACTACAGGCATACGCCACCATGCCCGGCTAATTTTTGTATTTTTAGTAGAGATGAGGTTTCACCATATTGGTCAGGCTGGTCTCAAACTCCTGACTTTAGGTGATCTACCCGCCTTAGCTTCCCAAAGTGCTGGGATTACAGGTGTGAGCCACTGTGCCTGGCCCTTTTTTTTTTTTTTTGAGACTGAGTCTTGCTCTGTTGCCCAGGCTGGGTGCAGTGGCCTGATCTCAGCTCACTGCAACCTCCGCTTCCTGGGTTCAGGTGATTCTCATGCCTCAGCCACCCAAGTAGCTGGGACTACAGGCGTGCATCACCACTCCCAGCTAATGTTTATATTTTTAGTAGAGACAAGGTTTCATCATGTTGGTCAGCCTGGCCTTGAAGTCCTGACCTTAAGTGATCACCTGCCTCGGTCTCCCAAAGTGGTGGGATTACAGGTGTGAGCCACCACACCTGGCCCACATTGTTCTTTTTAAAAGAACTTCACTACAGGTGCTCCAGTGCAGGCTAGATTACGTTTATAGTTGAATACTTTAAGTTTCATACAATAAAATTTACACTGGAGCATACAGTTCTCTGAGTTTTGATAAATGCCTAGAGTTGTGTAAACCACCACCATAGTTAATTTACAGAACAGTTTCCCCTCACCATCACCCCTCAAATTTCTTTCTACCCCATTGTTTAGTCAAACCCTCCCCCACCTTTAATATTTGGCAGCTCTGGATTTGTACCCTATCCTTACTTATTTATTTCTATTTATTTTCACTCATTCATTTAAGACAGGGTCTTACTCTTTCGCCCAGGCTGGAATGCAGTGATGCGATCATAGGTCACTACAGCCTTGTGCTACTGGACTCAAGGGATCCTACTCACCTCAGTCTCTAGAGTAGCTGGGACTACAGGCATGTGTGTCATCATGCCTGGCTAATTTTTTAAAAATTTTTAGTAGAGGTCTTGCTTTGTTGCCCAGGCTAGTCTGAAACTCTTGGGCTCAAGCAGTCCTCCCGCCTTGGCCCCTCAAAGTGTTGGGATTACAGGTGTGACACCAATCGCCCACTCCAGCCCCACCTTTTTTTTTTTTTTTCCCCAAAGAGAGATGGGGCCTCACTGTGTTGTCCAGGCTAGAGTGCAGTGACTGTTCACAGATGGGATCCTAGCACACTACATCTTTGAACTCCTTAGCTCAAGTGATCCTCCTGCCTCAGCCTCCTGAGTACCTGGGACTACAGGGATCTCCCACCTCTTCTGGCCTGAGCCCTGTAATTTTGCCTTTTCCACTGTGTCATTTAAATAGAATTGTAAATCAATTTTTAAAATGGGCTTTTATTTTCTTGTTAGGTTTTTAGATTTTTAAAAAATTATTCTAGGTACAAATTCTTCATCAGAAATGTAATTTGCAGGTATCTTCTCCTAGTCTGTGGTATATCTTGTATTTTCTTAACAGTATCTTTTACTTTCGATGGATTTCAGTGTATCCGTTTTCTCTAATGGATTGTGCTTTTGATGTATGTACGAACTATTTGTGTAACTCAAGGTCACAAACATTTTCTTTAAGTTTTACAGTCTGATTTACATTTGGGTCTGATCCATTATTAATTTTGTATTAAATGTGAGCTAAAGTACATTTTAAAAATATGTACATCTTAATTATTCCAGTACTACCCAGCACTTTGGGAGGCCGAGGCGGGTGGATCACGAGGTCAGGAGATCGAGACCATCCTGGCTAACATGGTGAAAGCCCATCTCTACTAAAAAAATTAGGCGGGCTTGGTGGTGGGCGCCTGTATTCCCAGCTACTGGGGAGGCTGAGGCAGCAGAATGATGTGAATCCGGGAGGCGGAGCTTGCAGTGAGCCGAGATCACGCCACTGCACTCCAGCCTGGGCAACAGAGCAAGACTCTGACTCAAAAAAAAAAAAAAAAAAAAAAAAAAAAAAAAAAGACTTTTTCCCCGTTGAATTGTTTTATCACTTTTGTAAAAGATCACTTTTGCTGTATTTATGTGGGTCTATTTCTGGTCTCCATTCCATTCTTTTGATCTGTATATCTTTTTGCCAGTACTGTAACTTCATAGTTATGTTTTGAAATCAGGTGTTCTGTTTTAAAATTTTTCAAAATTTGGCCACTCTAGTTTCCTTGGTATTCCATATAAAATTTAGAATCACTTTGATGTTTATCCAAAAAATATTTGGAGTTTGATTGGCATTGAGTGGAATCTATAGGTCAGTTTGGGAAGAATTAACATTTTAATTATGTTGTTTTCCAATCCATGAAGATGGCATCTCTCTCCATTATTTAGGTCTTATTAAAATTTCTTTCATCAATATTTTGCAGTTTTCCGTGTACACGTTCTTCACATATTAAATTTATACCTATGTATTTCACGTTTTGGTGCTATTGTAAGTGGCACTTTAAATTTTTTTGATCTTCAGTTATTCATTACTAGTATGTAAAAATATAGCTGATCTTTTCTTTCTTTCTTTCTTTTTTGAGATGGAGTTTTGCTCTTGTTGTCCAGGCTGGAGTGCAGTGGCGCCATCTTGGCTCACTTGTAACCTCCGCTTCCCGGGTTCAAGTGATTGTCCTGCCTCAGTCTCCTGAGTAGCTGAGATTACAGGCGTCTGCCACCATGCCCTGCTAATTTTTTGTATTTTTAGTAGAAATGGGGTTTCATCATGTTGGCCAGGCTGGTCTTGAACTCCTCACCTCAGGTGATCCACACACCTTGGCCTCTCAAAGTGCTAGGATTACAGGCATGAACCACCGTGCCTGGCCCAGCTGATCTTTTTATATTGGCCTTGGACTTCGCTAAACTCATTTCTTCTAGGAATTTTTTGTAGATTAATGGGATTTTCTGCATAGCCACATACATAGTCATCTGATTAGAAACAGCTTTTTTCCTTTCCAATTTCTTTTATTTCTTTTTCTTGCCATATTGTATTTGTAAGACTCCGTCCAGTACAGAGTTGACTGAGAGTGACTGGGCAGCTGGCCTAGAAGTGCCTCTTCTAGGCACTTCTTTTTCGTTTCCTAGTTTGCTGAGAGATTTTTATAGTAGTGGATGTTGAATTTTGTCAAATGCTTTATTTATATCCTATCCTGTGACTTTTCTTCATTAGGCTTTTAGTGTGGTAATTAAATTGAATTTTGAATATTTAAAACTATCCGTGCAATCCCAGGACGAACCCCACTTGATTGTGGTGTAATTATCCTTTTTATATATTGCTAGATTGTATTTCCTAATATTTCATTGAGGATTTTTGCATCTTTGTTCATGTAGTAATTTTCTTGAAATGTCTTTGTCGGATTTTGATATCAGTGTGATCTTATGGAAATTGGGAAGTGGTCCCTCCTATTCTAGTTTTTGGAAGAGTGGTGTAGAATTTTTTTTTTTCTTCCTTGAATGATTAGTAGAATTTTCCAGTGACACCATTTTTGGTCCATGAGTTTTCTTTGTGCAAGAGAGTTAATTACATACTCAGTTTGCTTAATAGATATAGGATCATTCGTGTTGTGTCTTCTTTAGTGAGGTTTAGTAATTTGTGTCTTTAAGAAGTTGGCCTGTTTTATTGAGTTGATGAATTTAATGGGCAAAGAGTTTGTAGTATTTGCTTATCATCCTAGGTAGAGTTTTATTAGTTTCATTGATCTTTAGCACTAGCTTTTGGTTTTGTTTCTCGGTTTTTTTCTTTTTTTTTTTCCTTTTTAATTTCATTGACTTCTGCTGTTTATTATTCCCTTTCTTCTGCTTGCTTTGGGTTTTTCTTTTTCTTTTTTTTCCTGAAGTGTTTGAGATCTTTCTGATTTTCTTACATAAGCATTTAATATGATAAATTTTCCTGTAAACACTGTTATGTCCCACAACTTTGATATGTTGTATTTTCATTTTTGTCTAGTTCAAGATATTTCTAATTTTCTTTGAGATTTCCTCTTTCAAGCTTGGATTTAGCAAAAGATGGTTTAATTTGGAAGTAGGCTGTCTACATATTCAGTGGATTACTGAGAGAGGAGTGTTGAAATCTCTTAAGTATAATTGTGGAATCATCTATTTGATTTCTATCAGTTTTTTCTTTATTTTGAAGTTACTGCTGCTAATTTTTCTTGTTCTGGAGTTTGCTTTGTCTGATAGAAATATGGCCACTGTAGCCTTCATGTGATTAGTGTTTGCGTGATATATCTTTTCCCATCTTTTTACTTTTAATCTGTATATATCAATCATTACATTGAAAACTGAGCTGTTATGGACAGCATAGAGTTTTGCCCTTTTTAAAAAAAAGATCTGAGCGGTTGCCCTGCCTTTTAAATGGTTTGTTTTGAACATTTACACTTGATGTAATTATTTACGTGGTTAGATTTAGGTCTTTTAAAATTACTTTTCTCTTTGTTCCTCCTTTTTCTGCCTTTTGGATTACTTGAAATTTTTAAAATATTCTACTTGATATATTTATTGGCTTTTTAAAAGCTTTTCTCTTGGTCTTACTATTTTAGTGGTTGCTCTAGGGAGTATAATCTAACTCTTGACATTCTAGTTAAGGTAAATATTTTACCTTCTCAAAGTAAAACAGGTTTTTTTCCTAGCCTCTTTATATTACAGTTGTCGTATGTGTTATGTCTAGAAACATTTAACTCTTCCTACCAAGCATGATGTTACAGTTTTTTATTTCAACAGTTTTATAAGTTTTCAAGAATTTAAGTGGAGAAAAATAGTGTATAATATTTACCCAGGTATTTACCATTTCTGTCGCTTTTCCTTCTTTCCTGTAGTTCCAAGTTTACCCCCATATCATTTCCCTTCCACCCAAAGAATTTCTTATAGCTTTTCTTTTAGAGCAGGTTTCAATCTCTCTCTCTCCCTCTCCCTCCCTCCCCCTCTCCCTCCCTCCCTCCCCCTGTCCCTCCTTCCCTCCCTCCCCCTCCCTCCCTCCCCCTCTCCCTCCCTCCCTCCCCCTCTCCCTCCCTCCCCCTCTCCCTCCTTCCCTCCCTCCCCCTCTCCCTCCCCCTCTCCCTCCCTCCCTCTCTGTCTCTCTCCCTCCTTCCCTCTACCCCCCGCCCCGCCTCCGCCAAAGACAGAGTCTTGTCTGAGGCTGGAAGGCTGGAGTGCAGTGGTGTGATCACAGCTCATTGCAACCTCAGCCTCCTCAGCTACTGGGACTAATACGCCACCACGCCCAGCTAATTTTTTGTAGTTTTTGTAGAGATGGGGTCTCACCATGTTGCTCAGACTGGTCTCGAACTCCTGGGCTCAAGTGATCCTCCTGCCTTAGCCTCCCAAAGCACTGAAATTAGAGGCATGAGCCACTGCACCTAGCCTGTTTTTTGCTTTTTTGTCTGATAATGTGTTTGTCTTCATTTCTGAACTATACTTTTAGTGAATACAGAATTCTAGCTTGATACCTTTTGATATCCTATAGGGGCCTGAGAGATTGTTTGTTTTTAAAAAATATTTCTTCTCTCTTTTGTTAAGATTGGATAATTTGTGTTGCCATATCTTCAAGTTCACTGACTCTTCTGTCATCTTCTTTCTGATAGTGAGCCGGTCCAGTGAGTGAGTTCTAAAATTTTCATTTTTTTAAAAAATAGTAAACTCTTTCTTTTTTGAGAATTTCAGACCGGGCTCTGTAATCCCAGCACTTTGGGAGGTCAAGGTGGGAGGATCATTTGAGTCTGGGAGTTCGAGACCAGCTTGGGCGGTATACAAAACCCTGTCGCTACTGAAAATACAAAATATTAGCTGGGCACGGTGGTGCATGCCTGTAGTTCAGCTGCTCAGGAGGCTGAGGTGGGAGAATCACCTGAACCAAGAGGTTGAGGCTGCAGCAAGCTGAGATTGCACCACTGCACTCCATCCTGGACGACAAAGCAAGACCTTGTCTTAAAAAAAAAAAGAGGATTTTGGCCAGGCGCAGTGGCTCATGCCTGTAATCCCAGCACTTTGGGAGGCCAAGGTGGGTGGATCATTTGAGGTCAGGAGTTTGAGACCAGTAGAGGGGGTTTCACCCTCTCTACTAAAAATAAAGAAAATTAGCTGAGTGTGGTGGCATGCCCCTGTAATCCCAGCCACTCAGGAGAATTGCTTGAATCCAGGAGGCAGAGGGTGCAGTGAGCCTAGATCACGCCACTGCACTCCAGCCTGAATGACAGAACAAGACTCCATCAAAAAAACAACAAAAAAGATAATTTCACATTTCATTTGTTTTAAGGTGTTCTTTTTTTACCTAATGGATCATGGTTGTAATAACTGCTGGCCTGTAATCCGAGCACTTTGGGAGGCCGAGGTGGGCAGATCACCTGAGGTCGGGAGTTCGAGACCTGCCTGACCAACATGGAGAAACCCTGTCTCTACTAAAAATACAAAAAATTAGACGGGCATGGTGGCGCATGCCTGTAATCCCAGCTACTTGGGAGGCTGAGGCAGGAGAATTGCTTGAACCCGGGAGGTGGAGGTTGTGGGAGCCGAGATCGTGCCATTGCACTCCAGCCTGGTCAGCAAGAGTGGAACTACGTCTCGAAAAATAAAAAATAAAAATAAAAAAATATAAAATAACTGCTTTAAAAGTCTTTGATAATTGTAATATCTGGGTCATCTAGGAGTCAGCATCTGTTGATTATCTTCTGCTTTAAGAATTGGTCAGTTTTTTGTTTTTTGTATTTGCTGTGTTTGGTAGTTTAGATTCTATCGCGGACATTTTGAATATTGTATTGTGAGATTCTGAGTCCTGTTGAAGTGCTGTAGAGAAAGTTTAAGATTTGTTTTAGTAGACAAATTGACCTATTTAGTTTATACCTGCAAATTCTTTCTCATCTTACATAGGCAGTGGTTCCATTATCTCTTCAGTTTTCAAAGTCTTTGCCATGTTGTTTGCATTTGCCCCTCCCATTCCCACTTTGGTTGATCTAGCACTTGAGCAGTGATTTATATCCTAATTTTATTGTGAAAGCCTCCCTTACACTTCTTTGGATCTGTTCCATATATATATAGATAGCTTGCAGCTGGGCCCACAGACTTAGGGATCTACTTTTCTGTCTCTTAATCATCAGTGATTTCACCTATATTCTTCAGCTCCCAGGGGCCTTCTTTATTCCCCTAGCCAGAAGCATGGAATTATAGTTTGAGTCTCCTACCTGTCATGCCTCACATGGCAGTGAGCACATTTAGGGAGCCCTTGCCCTAACCATATTAAATAAAAACATGGTGGTGGAAACTAGGAATCTGTTTTAACAAAACTTACCATAGTTACTTTTGATAAACCAATAACAGATTTGGGAACTTGTGGCTAGAAACAATATTTGGCACTAGCAACATCAAGTTATACTCCCTCCCCTCTGTTTTTTCCCTTTTTGCAAGTTGAGGCTCTTAACAATTCCTGAAATAGTTTACCCCAAGCACCCTATCCAGTGGTAGAAAATACAGTGTACTGGATGCCACAAAGTTATAGTCATGCAATTTTAGTTAATAACAGGAGACTTAAGTCTCTTGATTGATGGAGAGACTTAAGATTTAGCTTATTTTACATATAGCTAAATCTAAATTAGTGACTTTATTTCAGTTGTAGGCAAATCCTCTTGTTAAAACTTGTTTTTAATTTCTGAGTTCTTTTAAAAAAAAAGTTTTACATCACATTTCTAAGAGCTGGAGATGACAGTGTCTCTGTTTTCTGTTTTCTCTACAAATAAACGTATAACTTAGGATCAGTTAAAATATTTCTTTTCACATCTTAACTCTTATAGATGGGTGGTGTCTATCAGCAGTGCTCTGTTAAAGACAGATTCTTAGGGGAGTGTGGGTCCAGAGAAGTAAGGAGTACCTAGATTAGCAAAATGTACTAAGGTGAGTAAGTGAGTGTCTGTATCTTTGGCTTTTGGAGGGGAGTATGCATGTGTGTAAATTTTTCTGTAACAAATGGTACTGTCGAAAACAATTGACATACATTTCTTTCATGACACTATTTTTATACAAGATTACTTTAAATCTGTAGCTAACTACGGTCTGCTTGTGGTGAAGTAAAGTGGTTTTAGTCCACAGAGATCTTTTTTGGAAGGTTATTTGATGTAGTAAAATTATATATGAGATAAAAATAAGCAGACACATGTTTGAGTTCCACTTCTGCTATTGTAACTAGCTCTTGTATCTTTGAATGAGTCAGGCCTTGCTGACTTCTTAGGCCCCGTTGCATTTTGAGTTAAAATTTTGTGCACAAATAGTGAGCTCACTAGTTTCATGGGAAATGGAGATATTTGTGACAGCATTGAATGATAAGGCAGTAAACTTTGGTTTTATTTCATAGTGGTAACTTTTCTTTCTTGAAATAGCAGCCTAAAAGTATGCCCTGTAAACTACTATGTGGTACAGTATTTTTTCATTTTGGTTAAATATCTCTGAAGTATCCTTCTAACTTAAAAGTGATTTGAACTCATTTGAACTATTCAGTGTATAAGGTATTAAATTATTTTTTTAAAAGAGACTGGGTCTAACTATGTTGTCCAGGCTTCACTCGAACTCTGGGGCCTGAGATCCTCCTGCCTCAACCTCCTGAGTGGTTAGGACTATAGGCACATGCGATCGTGCCTGAGTGTTGGAAATTTTCCTTTTTTAAAACAAATTTTTTTTTTTTTGAGTCAGAGTCTTGCCCTGTTGCCCAGGCTGGAGTGCAGTGGTGGGATCTTGGCTCACTGCAACCTCCATCTCCCAGGTTCAGGTGATTCTCGTGCCTCAGCCTCCCAAGTAGCTGGGACTACAGGTGTGTACCACTACACCTGGCTAATTTTTGTATTTTTATTAGGGACGGGTTTTGCCTTGTTGCCCAGGCTGGTCACAAACTCCTGAGCTCAAGCAGTCAGCCTGCCTTGGCCTCTCTAAGTGCTGGGATTACAGGTGTGAGCACCCTGCCTGGCTGAAATTTTGATTACATTTAGTGTGCTGATGTGGCAGTCTGCTGAAATTATTTTTTTTTTGCAATTAAGACAGCGCCGGATTTACTATAGTAACTTACTTTCTGTTTAATTTCTTTTTGGCTTATTTTTAATCCTAAAGAAACCTGACATAGTAGTGTGGCAGACTATGTTTAAATAGTCTTGATCTTATCATTCAAATATATTTCCTTAGAGGAATAAAGAAATAACTCTAGGGATGGAAATTTGGGTGGAGTATTGTGGAAATTTAACTTCAACCTAGGAGTTCACTAAATGTCCATGAAGTGCTATTACCTTAAAATGACTTTTTTTCCCCTCCTTCTTTAGAATCCAGCAACTATCACAAGAATACTCCTTAGCCACTTCAATTGGGATAAAGAGAAGCTAATGGAAAGGTAAGGAACTATATTGTCAGCTTTGTACTTAGAAGTAACACAGAAAGCCTATTGAACCGAATTTACAAGAATCAAGTAAGGGAATTGATGAATATACCAGTATGTGGACAACCCAGTGTGCAACTAGTGACTGCTTTAATTTCTTGTATTCCCCTTTTGTAAATTTTGCAGTAAATTTAATGTTAGGGAGTTCAGTCTTAGTGTTTCTTTTTATTTGGGAGTATGTGTGTTTGGGGGTGTGCTTCAGTATCTTCTACATATATCCTCTTGGGTACCAAGAACTGAAAGCAGGTAGAGAAAAAAAGCACCTGATAACATTCTTGGAGTACATGAGTAAGATCCTCCTTTAATTACTTAAAAAGATTTCTTGCTCATCCGGGCATGGTGGCTCACGCCTGTGATCCCAGCACTTTGGGAGGCTGAGGCAGGTGGAACACGAGGTCAGGAGATTGAGACCACCCTGGCCAACATGCTGAAGCCCCGTCTCTACTAAAAATACAAAAATTAGCTGGGTGTGGTGGCGTATGCCTGTAGTTCCAGCTACTCAGGAGGCTGAGGCAGGAGAATCACTTTAACCTGGGAGGCGGAGGTTGCAGTGAGCAGAGATGGCGCTACTACACTCCAGCCTGGCAACAGAGCGAGACTCTATCTCAAAAAAAAAAAAAAAAAAAATTCTTGCTCACAAACCTTTAACCTGTTATTAGTAGCATTTATTCAGTAGAAACAAAATTGAGAAGTTGCTTAGGCTTTTCTGGCCACCAGACCAGGTGCTTGGACTGGTTCTCTGGTTTCAGGGCAGGATTCTATTCCATTGGGTTTTTAAAAATATTTTCTTTCTGAAAATCTTTATAGTTTTAAAAGAGAAGAAATTAGTGGGACTGGAGAATGACAGTATTAATGTCATTCTTAATCTTGTTCTGCTCTTTGGTTTGGAAATTTGTTTGAATGGAAATTTGGGACACTTGTTAATGGTGAGGTTGACAACTTATGTTTATTTCATTATCAATTCTAAATTTAATAAAAAATTAAACCTAGTTGTTGGGAACTGACAACCCATATATTATAGAAATAAATGGAAAGTATTTCCCATTTGATTTTAAAATTCAGAGAGTACTTTATAAAACATAAATAATACCGAGAATATCACCCCATTTCATACACCTTGTATCTATTAAATTACATTGTAAATAATATCTATTGTTACTATTAAATTACAATTTAATAGTAACAACTATCTCAAAACAAACACATACTGTATAAAGCTTTCCCATGGTTCATGAAGGATAACATGTTCAACTAGTTTGATTTTTCTTTTTATGCATTCTGACCATGTTTTTTTTGTTTTTTTTTTTTTTTTTTTTTTTTTGAGACGGAGTTTCGCTCTTGTTGCCCAGGCTGGAGTGCAATGGCGTGACCTCGGCTCACTGCAACCTCCACCTCCTGGGTTCAAGCGATTCTCCTGTCTCAGCCTCCCAAGTAACTGGGATTACAGGCGCCCTCCACCATGCCTGGCTAATTTTTGTATTTTTATTAGAAATGAGGTTTCTCAGTGTTGGTCAGGCTGGTCTCGAACTCCCAACCTCAGGTGATCTGCCCGCCTCAGCCTCCCAAAGTGCTGGGATTACAGTTGTGAGCCACTGTGCCCAGCCCTGACCGTATTTTTTGACATCAGTGGTGTTTCTTAATTTTGGTAACATTTACTTTCAGGTTTTTTTATTTGATGACACCTCTACTAGGAGAAAGAGTTTTTATCGTTTACTTGTGAAACTCTAATGAATTAACACTGATTTACTCAGAGTTTCTCTCATATTAATGTATTTCTCCAAGACATTCTGAATTTTATCCTATAACACTGCTGAAAATATTTTTCCATTAAATATTGTACTTAATATTTGTGTACTATTGGATTTAATGTTGTACTAAATTTTGTACTTTATATGGGAACTGTAGCTTCTGCTCAGTTTTTCTGGGAACCTTAAACTGTCTAAAAAAATAGGTGGTAAGTGTGAATTTAAATTAAAAGGAGGTTTCTGGGAAACTTCTGAGTATGTGAACGTTTCAGTTTCTCCTTGTAGTTTCTGTAGAGAAGCTATTGGATACCTAAAAGATTTATAATTCAGTCTTTAAATAGTGTCTTTAAAATCAATATGCAATATCTTTTTGTCTCATTTAATGATTTTCACATTATATTTTATGTTGTCTGCTATTAGCACTGCCACACTTTTTTTTTTTTTAAAGCATTTGACTGATGTATCTTTTCCATTTTTTAAATATTCAACCTTTCTGGGTTTTAGGAGTGTCTTTTGTAAATACCATGTAGGTGCCGTTTAAAAAAATCTGAATGAAAAAACTATTATCTTTTAATATCAGAGATTAACATATTCATGTTTTATAATTAATGTTTAGATTAAATTACTGTCATTTTAAGTTGTGCTTTATATTTGTTATGTTTTCTGTTCGCTTATTCTGTTGGCCTCATCAGATTTTCCTTTTTCTCGAATAATTTCAAATTTATATATGTATTCTATTTCAGTTTTTCTAGTCACTTTTACAATTTGTACATGCCTACTTACAACTATATAAAAGTTTCTAACAATATTTACTTGAAGTTTTAATCCATCCTCTGTACAAGACAAAAACTGTAGCATAAATTTTTTTCTTTGTCCTTTCCTTGTCCCTATCAGCTTGATAAGTTGATGTTTGAATTTTTTTTTTTCTTTTCTTTTTGAAACAGGGTCTCACTCTGTCACCCAGGCTGGAGTGCAGTGGTGAGATCATGGCTCACTATAGCCTTGACCTCCTGGACTCAAGCAATCCTTCCATTTCAGCACCCCCAGTAGCTGGGACCACAGGCACGCATCACCATACCTAGTTAGTTTTTATATTTTTTTGTAGAGATGGGGTTTCACCATGTTGCCCAGGCTGGTCTCAAACTCCTGGACCCAAGCAACCCTTTCACCTTGAACTCCCAAAATGCTGGAATTACAGACATGAGCCACTGTGCCCAGTCGATATTTGAATTTTTTATTTGATTGTAAGCATTTTTACTATGTATGTATTTAATGCCCCCCCCCCCCCCTTTTCTGGCTAATTCGCTTTTTGCATACCACTATTTTTTTTCTAAATACACTGTTTTTCTTAGAATATATCCTGTAATATAAATTGTTTCACATGTGACAAACTTTAAGTCCTATAATAGAAACTCTTAATATACTGAAACTTACTGTAATATTTCTGGATGTGAGTTTTGAAAACATAAACTGTTGGGCCCTTTAAGTCTGACAATTCATATTTTTGGTTTTGGAAATTCTCAGCTGTTATTTGTTCAGCATACCTTTTCTCCATTCTCTTGATGCTTTCTGGAATTCCTGGATCCATGTTGAAACTTGGGGATCTCTTTCCATGTCTTCTAACTTTTTTTTTTTTAAGATGGAGTCTTGCCTCTGTCAGCCAGGCTGGAGGGAGTGCAAGTGGTGCCATCTCGGCTCACTGCAACCTCCGCCTTGTGAGTTCAAGGGATCCTCCTGCCTTAGCCTCCTGAGTAGCTGGGGTTACAGGCACCCACCACCATGCCTGGCTAATTTTTGTATTTTTAGTAGAGAGAGGGTTTCACCATGTTGGCCAGGCTGGTCTCAAACTCCTGACTTCAGGTGATCTTCCCCTCTCTACCTCCCAAAGTGCTGGGGTTACAGGCATGAGTCATTGCATCCAGCATGTCTTCTAACTTTCTAAAAAATACTTCTTCTGTATTCATCTCCCCACCCCCAGCACTTGGGCAAGTGCCAGTGACTGTACTCATCTTTGTTTTTGACTTTGTTCTGTGAAAATTCCTCAGTTTATCTTGCTTTTCTTCCTGCATCCATTCTGCTTTATAGTCGTATTGAATTGTTTATTCAACAGTATCCATCTTATTCCTTTTAATAACTTTGTTCTTGTTTTGTGGGTACAATTTTTGCTTTATCTCTCGGTTTATTCTTACATTAAAATAATTAGAATTAAATAATGAGAATACAAAGATGAGATGTGGCTGAAAAGGTCCAGGGCAATTTACAGTCTTAAGGGTTTTTATTAGAAAAAGAAAATGAGGTAAAAAACTGGGCTGCGCACCATGGCTCACACCTGTAATCCCAGCACATTGTGAGGCCAGGGAAGGCAGCTCACATGAGGCCAGGAGTTTGAGACCAGCCTGGCCTACATGGTGAAACCCCATCTTTACTAAAAACACAAAAGTTAGCCAGGCGTGGTGATGGACACCTGTTATTCCAGCTATGCAGGACGTGGAAGCTGAGGCACGAAAATGGCTTGAACCCGGGAGGCTGAGGTTGTGGTGAGCTGAGATTGTGCCATTGCACTACAGCCTGGGCAACAGAGTGAGACTCTGTCTCGAAAAAAAGAAAAATAAAAACAAGAGAATGAGGTAAAAAAAAGGACCAAGCCTTTGAAACAGGAAGTTAGAAAAATAAAATAAACCCAAAGAAAGTAGAAAAGGTATTTAAGATAAAATTAGATATTAATGAACTAGAGAGCAACAACAACAACAAAAAAGATAAAGATCTTTGACATGAATTTTCTGGAAGATAAGCTACAGACTGAGAAGATATTTGCAAAAGACACATGTAACAAAGGACTCTTGTCCGAAATATACAAAGAACTCTTAAAACTCAACAGTAAGAAAACAGTCTGATTAAAAAATGGGCCAAAGAGCTTAACAGACACCTCACCAAAGAAGTTATACAGATGGCAAATAAATGAAAAGATGCTCCATGTCCTATGCCATCAGGGAAATGCAAATTAAAACAACATTGAGATACCAGTACATACCTATTAGAATGGCCAAAATCAAAATACTGACTACCAAATGTGGACCAGGATGTGGAGCGGTAGGAACTCTCATCATTTCTCGTGGGAACGCAAAATGGTACAGCCACAAAATGGAAGACAGCGTGGCAGATTCTTAAAATACAAAATGTACTCTTACTATGTAACTCAGCAATCAAAACTTCTTTAAAATTACCCAAATGAGTTGAAAACTGTGTCCATACAAAAACCTGCACATGGATGTTCATAGCAGCTTTATTCATAATTGCCAAAACTTGGAAGCAACCAAGATGTCTTTCAGTAGATGAAAGGATGAGTAAACTGTGGTACATCCAGAAGTGGGATATTATTCCGTGCTAAAGAAATCAGCTATCAAACCATGAAAAACCGTGGAGGGACTTTAAATGCATATTATTAAATGAAATAAGCCAATCTGCAATGGCTGTATACTGTACGATTCCACCTATGTGACACTCTGGAAAAGGCAAAACTATGAAGACAATGAAAAGATCAGTGGTTGCTAGGGGTTAGTGAAGAGGGAGGGATGAATAGTCAACAGCACAGTTTTTTTTTTTTTTGGGTGGGTGGGGGCCTAAACTATTTTGTATGATACTGTAATGGTGGATATGTATCATTATGCATTTGTCCTGACCCATAGAGTGTATAACATCAAATAAGAACCCTTATGTAAACTACAGACTTTGGGTAACAACGGTGTGTCAATGTAGGTTCATTGAATGTACCACTCTGTGTTGTTGATAGGGAGGCTATGGGTATGTATTAGGACAGGGTTATATGGGAGCTGTAGCTTCTGCATATGTTTGCTGTGAGCCTTAAACTGCTCTAAAAAATAATAAGTTTTTTTTTTCTTTTAAAGGGGGAAATAAACCGTTGGCAAATGTGTTGGGGGAGGGGGAGAAGACACAACATTGAGAATAATAAGGCATAATTAGAGGTAGGAAAAATACCGTGTGCTACTTTTACATCTTTTTTTTTTTTTTTTTTTTTTTTTGAGATGGAGTCTCGCTCTTTTGCCCAGGCTGGAGTGCAGTGGCGCAATCTCGGCTCACTGTAAGCTCCGCCTCCCGGGCTCACGCCATTCTCCTGCCTCAGCCTCCTGAGTAGCTGGGACTACAGGCGCCTGCCACCATGCCTGGCGAATTTTTTTGTATTTTTAGTAGAGACGGGGTTTCACCATATTAGCTAAGATGGTCTCGATCTCCTGACCTCGTGATCCGCCCACCTCGGCCTCCCAAAGTGCTGGGATTACAGGTGTGAGCCACTGTGCCCGGCCTTTTTTTTTTTTTTGAGATGGATGGAGTCTTGCTCGGTTGCCCAGGCTGGAGTGCAATGGTGCAATGTCCACTCATTGCAACCTCTGCCTCCCGGTTCAAGCGATTACAGGCGTGCGCCACCATGCCTAGCTAATGTTTGTATTTTTTGGTAGAGATGGGGTTTTGCCATGTTGGCCAGGCTGGTCTGGAACTCTGACCTCAAGTGATCCGCCCACCTTGGCCTCCCAAAGTGCTGTGTGAGCCACTGCGCCAGCCCAAGCTGGTCCACTTTTACATACATTTGAAAGCTTAGAAATGGAAATTACCTAAATTGTCCCTCAAGAAGAAGTAGAAAAATAGAGTAAACCCATAACCAGAAAAATATGGTGAATATAGTAAAAGATTCCACTCCTTCCCCAAAAAGTACTGGATGATTTTATGGGTAAGTTCTGTCTCATAAACGTTCAAGGAACTGCCAGTTCCTGTAGAAAATTATCTCCAAACATTGAAAATGGTAGGACATCATTAATTCATGTTAGCCAGATCAGAATAACCCAGTTCCAAAATTTGACAGACAGTAGGAGAAAATGATACTTATAAATATAGCTGTTGAATTTATAAATAAAATAATGATTGAATCAACGACTCTTAGTAGGATTTCTCTTTTTTTCCTTTTGAGACAGGGTCTCACTCTGTCACCCAGGCTGGAGTGCAGTGGTGCAATCTTGGCTCACTGCAACCTCCGCCTCCCAGGTTCAAATGATTCTCCCGCCTTAGCCTCTCCCAAGTATCTGGAACTACAGGTGCGTGCCACCATCTCTGGCTAGTTTTTTTCTTTATTTTTAGTAGAGATGGGGTTTCATCATGTTGGCCAGGCTGGTCTCGAACTCCTGAACTCAAGTGATCTGCCCGCCTCAGCCTCCCAGAGTGCTGGGATTATAGGCATGAGCCACTGTGCCTGGCCAATTTAGTAGGATTTCTCCTAAGAATGCAAGAATAGATCATCATCGGGGGAAAATTTTTTCGTTTATAACATTTACAACATTAACAGATTTATGAAGATAAAGAATAATCATAATAAATGTCAGTTATGCATTTTAATAAAATTGTGTATTAACTCGTGATTTAGTGAAAACTAGATTCTTAGCAAACTGAGAAAGTGATTTCTCAGATTGATTAAAGGTATCAACTAAAATCTACAATAAAATTATAGTTAATGTTGAAGCATCAGAAACATGCCCATTGTAATCAAACAAGGATTATGGCTGTCACCACCATTTGAATGTATTGGAAGTTCTGATAAATAACGTAATACATGGAAAATTAAATAAGTGGCATAAAGACTAGAAAGGAAGATAAATTATATGTAAAGTATATAATCTAGGAAACCCAGAAGAATCGACTGATTAACTATTAAAGTGATTGCCCATTAAAATCACCTGAGAAGTGAAAAAAACCCACAGTGCCCAGTCCCTTTCCATTACTTCTTCCTTCAGTTCTCTTGGAAAATGAAAAGAAACATGGAATGTAAGTAGTTGTAGCTTCGGTGACCCCTGTGTTCCTCCACATTCTTTTTTTTTTTTCTCAATTTTTTTGTAGAAGCAGGGTCTTGCTATGTTGTCCAGGCTGGTCTCAAACTCCTAGACACAAGCGATCCTCTCACCTCAGCCCCACAAAGTGCTGGGATTGCAAGCGTGAGCCACCACGTTCAATCTCCACATTTTTTGCATATAAAAATTGAGGTTACCCATATGGTAATCCTGTAGGTATTTAGTATCCTAGGAATTGTTAAGAAAAGGTAAGCAATATACCTACCTTTAGTCTACATATAGCCCATAAGGTTTGTAACATCGTATTTTTTAAAAATCGTGCTTCCTAATGGGTAACACTGAATGTATTAAAGTGTCATTTCTCCTTATTTCGATATATTTAAAGATAAATCTTATCCTAGTTAAAATTGTGAAATATTTTAAAACTTTCTTTTCCTTTGTCATTTCCATATACCAGGCATATTAGTATTTCTTTTTATTTTATTCATTAGTAAGCCATAGTCCCTGCCCTGGAGGGAGGTGCCCATGGTCCCCTGAGGGCAATAGAGGTATAAATAGATCCTTGCCAGTTATTCCTCTTGTTTGCCCCATGCCTCTTAGTCTGTAGTTTAAACAAATTTATACTGACCCTAAAAATGAATGTGATTTTTTCTTTTTAAAAATATATTTTGAGGCAGGTACAGTGGTTCAACCCTGCAATTCTAGTGACTCAGGAGGCTTAGGTTGGAGGGTCACTTGAAGCCAGGAGTTCCAGACCAGCCTGGGCAACACAGTGAGACTCCGCCTTTAAAAAGAAGTAGGAAACTTAGCTGGGCATGATAGTGTGTGCCTGCAGTGCTGCCTACCAGAGAGGCCGAGGTGGGTGTCTCACTTCAGTGCAGAGACTGCAGTGAACCCTGATCTTGCACTCCAACCTGGGCGACAGAGGAAGACCCTGACTCTTAAAAAATTAAATAAGATATAAATTTTGGGCAAAGGTCGGAGCTGGTGGAGAAAGGACACCTTTAACTTTATGGTCTTTTCTTTTATCCATTATAGCAGTTTTCCAGACCACTGTCATTTTCTTTCTTTTACTGTCTAATGCTTTTTTTTTTTTTTTTAAATCTCTGCAGATTAATTTCTCTTCTGTTTTACAAACTAAATAGAATTTTCTATAATTACTAATTTCTTTCCATGCCTCTCCAGATGAAGCAAAGCAAAGCATAAAATCAGAAATACAGCAACAACTGTTATCTGTCAAGTCTTCCATCTGGGTTTTGATACTATCATGATTTTTGTGGGATATTGCCTCCATTATTTCATCTGTCATATCTTGAACCTTTTCCTCCTTTCTTGGTATATCAGTCAGGATTTTTCATTATAAACAAACTTTAAGAAGTTAAAAGTGAAATAGACATTAAAGATTGAGAATCTTAGGTGTGAAGGTTGTGCAGTCAGGAAAATGCCAAAATCAGAATGTCAAACTATTTTAGTGGAGGCACTGTTGCTGCTGCCATTGGGCACAGGTATCACTGCTGATAACATCAATATTGGGCATATGACACCACAACTAATACCTCTGCAACGTCTGAAAGCTGGATATCTCCTTACTCCTTTGATAGATTACCTCATTGAACCTTCTTTGAGTAGTGAGTTTTTGATAAACTGTCTCCCTGCTCCTGCCTGGGAGGAATTCTCTCACCTGGAGGGATGGGAAAGTGAATTGTGTCCTCTGTTTACCTTGCTAGCTTTTTTTTTTTATCTCCGTATCCTTATGTCTGTTCTCATATTACACTTTAGTAGTACAAAACTTTTGTGACAGTCACCAAATTCATTTTTCTGCTGCCTCAGCTTTGCAATTGTGTTTTGACCCAGGGCTTCTGTTTACTGTGCAGCTCTAGGGAGCATCTTTGGAATTGTACTGTCATTGGCCCAGGCCTGACTTGCCTTTCTTACTGTCTTTTTTCCTAATTTTCCTTCAAAACTCAAGTTAACCTTTTCTTCTGAGACAGCTTTTCTTATCTCTCAAGATCTACTTGCTTTGCACTGTATTGTTTATTTGATTTAGTATTTTACCACTTCTATTTGAGGTTCTTTGTGCAGAAACTATCCTACTTTTCTTGTATTCCTACACATAACGCAGTTCCTAATATATAGCCATTGTTTACTAAGTATTTTAATTAAATCCAGCCATTTATAGGTTTTCTTTTCTGTAATAGAATTTTATTGAAGTTATGACATGAATGTAAATCAGATTTCATTTTGGGAGCTTTTAGAAACAGCATCAACAATGGAGCTACTTTTAAGTTGATAACAAGTAAAAAAAAAAGTGTCTTTCTTGCAGCTCAGATTTCTTGTAGGTTATTAAATTATAATAACATTTAAAAACTCATTTCAGTTGATAGTATGGTAGTATATAGGGTAAATGCTAATGAATTAATTGGTGTGTTTGAGGTGGGATGAAATACAGGTGGTTGAAAACTTAACCACCTATAAAACTTAATTATACTTGGACAGGTATAATTAAAGAATCCTGAAGAAGGATTTCAGTCTTTCCTGGACTCTGTTACAAATAGCTTTTCACTTTTCATTCTGAAGCATTAATACCCATTTAATGGGTAGGTACTAGTGTTAATACTTGGATGTGATTATGATAACATGGAACTTTTTGTAGCCACATTATTAATAATATATAATTTCATAATTAGCCTCAGGGATGGTGAAAGTAAATTTGGTTTTTCAGAAACCTTGCCTTTTTGATGACATTTATCACTATTCTACAATACAGTGAAATTTTTCCTGTTTAAACAATCCACGGCCGGGCACAGTGGCTCATGCCTGTGATCCCAGAACTTTAGCTGACTGTGGCAGGAAGATCGCTTGAGCGTAGGAGTTTGAGACTAGCCTGGACAACATAGGGAGACCCCCATCTCTACAAAAAAATAAAAAATTAGCTAGGTGTGGTGATGCACACCTATAGTCCCAGCTACTCAGAAGGCTGAGGCAGGAGGATTGCTGGAGCCCAGGAGGGTGGAGCTGTGATCTGTGATCATGTCACTGTACTCTAGCCTGAGTGACCAAGTGAGACCCTGTCTCAGACAAAAAACAAAAAACAATTCACGTATTATTGAGGAGAGTAGTGAAGGGCAAGAGGCAAATGTACGGCTGGGTGTGGTGGCTCATGCCTGTAATCCCAGCACTTTGGGAGGCCAAGGTGGGCGGATCATGAGGTCAGGAGATCGAGACCATCCTGGCTAACACAGTGAAACCCCATCTCTACTAAAAATACAAAAAATTAGCCGCGTGTGGTGATGGGCTCACGTAGTCCCAGCTACTCAGGAGGCTGAAGCAGGAGAATGGTGTGAACCCAGGAGGCGGAGCTTGCAGTGAGCCGAGATCCACCACTGCACTCCAGCCTGGGCGACAGAGCGAGACTCCGTCTCAAAAAAAAAAAGCAAATGTACTATCTCATTATAGTACAGTGATTAAGAACACAGAATTCTTGCTCCCCCTATCTCACTATCTCACCTAGACTGGAGTGCAGTGGCGTGATCACAGCTGACTGCATCCTTGAACTCCGGGGCTCAAACTGATTCTCTCGCCTCAGCCTCCCTAGTGGGTAGGACTGTGCACCACAACACCTAGCAAATTTTTTGTAGAGATGGGACCTTACTTTGTTGACCACACTGGTCTGGAACTCCTGGACTCAAGCAGTCCTCCTCTCTTGGCCTGAGCCACTGCACCCTGCCAGGAATTTTTTAAATATCAGCTATGTTTAAGACATTGAGCAGGAGCTTGGTGATGAGGAGTTACACACAACAGTGTATCATACAATAGACCACCATGGTACGTAGAGATAAGTTTTTATGGCTCCATGGTACTTAGAGATAAATTTTTATTTTTGACCTAGGTGGGAAAGGATTTAGTAATGAGGTGTGGCATTTGATTGGACAAGGAAGGGCAGAAGTGATATGGGAACCTGGGTATTTAAGGCTCAGAAAACAAAACTAAGTGGGGCACAAAGTTTAAGGAATATATGTTGAACAATTATGAGATTGAATGTCTGGAGTATGCGAAGAATAGAGGGGAAATGGTTGGAAATGTTTAATGCACGTTATAAGGGCCTTGAATTTTAAGTAAGTGAATTTGGAATTTTTCTGTCTTTATTGGGAAGCCCTTGAACGTTGTTTTATGGAGAAATAGTGATGGAAAAGCATTATTTCAGAAAAAAATCTAGTAATAAATGAGCTGTTTTAACTATCCAGGTAAAAGGAAAATATTGTCCTGACTTACAATAGTGACAGCTAAATTGATAGCAGAGGGTAGATGGAAAGAGAAGTAAAATTAGTTTTAACTGAGACAAAATATAGGAGACTCTGGGAAACTTCTGGTAATTTTGACCGTTCCTTTCACTAAATACACTAGAAGAGGCTAGGTGAAATACTGAAACATGTTTGAAAAGTAAGATTATCAAATAATTAGTAAGATAGGAAATAGAGGTTCAAGGTTGAGAGTTTGGGAATCAAGGGAAATTTAGAGAAACAAGCTTCCAGTCCTTGTTGCTCTAGCAGTGTATGTTGATCCAGAAGAGGTAGCTAAGAGACTTAGCTGTGAGTTTTGTTTGCCCTTTGTTAGTAGAGGGGGAAGTTGGAATATTAGGTCTACTAAGAGCGAAAATTGAATACACTAGCTCCTTAAAGACTGAAGATGATCTTCATGTCTTTTGGGTAGTCCAGAAAACCTTAAACCTTGAACTTGGGTTAAGATAGCCCCCGTATATAACAGAAACAAACGTAAATCTTCTCTAGGGAAATAACATTATTTAAGACCTTAAACTATTTTCTCAAATTATTTTTCTAATTAAAACATAACAACCTGGAACTTAAGATACTGGAATTGTCAGACCTAGACCAAAATGAGTATGCTATCACCAGGGAGCTGTCATTCAGATTTGGAAAAAAATCAGAATTTTTATAACTAAACAAAATAAGCAAAATTAACTTTGTGACATAGTTTAACAGCAGACTGGACAAAGCTGAAGAGAGTTTAGTGTATTTGAAAATCAAACAATGATCCAGAATTAAGTATATCCATTAAAAGATGGAAAATACAGAAGAGATTAAGAAATACAGAGGATATAATGAGAAGGTCTCATTGAGTTTTAGAAAGAGAGGAGAGAATGTGGCAGAGGCAGTATTTTAAGATAAAAATGACTGAGAATTTTGCAGATTGGTAAAAGACCCAAATGTCATAGATTGAAGAAACATAACAGTTCCCATGTGTGATAGCTACTTGTTTCACTGATCCTAAGATACACAGTTTTTCACATTTTAACATCTGAAATCTGGATGCATCTTTCAATTATTGACACCTTACAGTCCAAAAAGATTGAAATTTTGACTCGTGAAAAATTTTCCATGTCAACTTCTGTTAAGATCATGAAATTTCAGCACGAAAGCATTTTAGATTTTATGAAATATGGTAAAAAGAAATCCACATTTTTATTTATTTATTTATTTATTTATTTATTGAAACACAGTTTCATTCTGTTGTCCAGGCTGGAGTGCAGTGGCACAGTCTCAGCTCAGTGCAGCTTGCACCTCCCGGGTTCAAGGCATTCTAGGGCCTCAGCTTTCTGAGTACCTGGAATTACAGGCACGAGCCACTAGGCCTGGTTAACTTTAGTATTTTTAGTAGAGATGGGGTTTCGCCACGTTGGCCAGGCTGGTCTCGAACTCCTGACCTCAGGTGATGTGCCTGCCTCAGCCTCCCAAAGTGCTGGTATTATAGGGGTGAGCCACTGGGCCTGACCAGAAATCCACATTTAAAAACATCTTAGTAAAACTACAAAATCAGCAAAAATAAAAAATCTAAATCAATGAGATACAAGAAAGGCTGCTTTCAAAAGAGTGAAAGTATAGGTATAATAATATTCTAGAGCACAGCTCAACAGCAACAGTGAAAGTGATAGTAAGATGATACCTCAGTCTTTTGAAAGAAAATAAACCTTACCTAGAATACTATGTTCATGGAAAATATATTCATAAACAGTATGTTTTAATTAATATAAATGGTTTTATGTTGTACCTAGCTTTTGTATCTTTTTAAAGCCAACCAACATTTTGTTCTGCCAGTGTTGATTGAAGTTTCAAATACTCATAATTGTTATTTAAGCAACTATTTGTCTGTTAAAGGGAAAAATCTTGCAGAATGTTGTACTTTGGAATTTATAACCTTAAATGCATAATGAGCTAAGCATTCATCTTAAAAGTCTCAAGTAATAAGCTTAGAGGTCTCAAGTTAGGAAAAGAACAACAAAATAAATATAGGGAAAATACAAGGAAAGAAATAAAGAACAGAATATAATAAAATAGAAAACATGCAGTAGAAGGGATCAAGAAGCCGTAAGATTTTTTTTTTTTTTTAAGACTGATAACGTTGACACTTTGATGAGGTTAGGAAAAAGAGAGATCCTAAATAACCAGTATTAGGAATGAAAACAGAGTATCACTAGGATCTTGTGGATGGTTTAAAAAAAAACTCTTAAAATTATGGACAACTATTCAAACTTGATAGACGAAATGGGTAGATTCCTAGAAATAGGCAATTTCCCAAAACTGACATAAGAAATAGTAAACCTGTATCCTTATTAAGTATAAAGAAATGAAATCCATAATTTAAAATGTTCTTATAAAGAAAAGTTGAAATTCAAATGGTTATACTGGAAAGTTCTACCATAACATTTAATATGACAGTAACTTCAACCTTATTCTAAAGAACAGAAAAATAGGATCTTCTGCCTTCATAAAGATATCATAACCTTTATACCAAAACCCAAGGAAAGATGATACACCAGTTTGTCTTATGTACATAGATACAAAAAAACCATACATACACACACGCACGCACACAAAACAAAAACTGGAACAACAGAAACACCTCAGAATATTAGCAAATTGAATTCAGCAATACATATATAAAAAGGAGGGTAACCCAGCATGGCCACCTGAGGTGAATCCTGGGAATGCTAGGTTGGTTTAACCTGAAACAATTCAGCATGATTGGTCACTTGAACAAATTGATGAGAAAAACATTTCAGAGATGCCAAGGAGCCTTTGCTTCATGATTTTAAAAAGAAGCTATTAGCAATCTAGAACTTTGTTAACCTTATAAATCTTACAGAAACATTTGTAGGAGATATCATAGTTTATCCACTGAAATGTTAAAAAAGATTTCCCTTTTAGATGGGAGTTCAAGATGTGGATATCGTATCTCCAGTTCAATTCAGCATTATACTAGAAATGATTCTAGCCAGTAGAACATCAAAAAATGAAAACAAAATACAGTGTTGTAAGAGAAATGCCTGTGTTTTTGGGGGTTTTCTTTTTTTTGAGATGGGGTCTTGCTCTGTCTCCCAGGCTGGGGTGCAGTGGTGAGATCATGGCTCACTGCAGCCCCCTACCTGCCAGGTTCAAGCAATTCTCCTGTCTCAGCCTCCCAAGTAGCTGGGACTACAGGACCATGCCCCCAAGCACAGCTGATTTTTGTATTTTTAGTAGAGATGGGGTTTCACCATGTTGGCCAGGCTGGTCTTGAACTCCTGAGCTCAAGGAATCCACCTGTCTTCAGAAGTGCTGGGATTATAGGCGTGAGCCCGTGGGCCCGGCCCCTGGCTGTTAATATTCACTGACAATGTGATTGTGTATTCACAAACAATGTGATTGTACATGTGGAAAAATCAGAATCTGGAGGTAAATTGTTAGAATAAATGTCTTTAGAAAGAAATATGAAAAATTTCTTTTTTCTTTGACCCAATAATTCCGCTCTCAGGTATATATCCAATAGAAAGAAATACGTGCACATCTACATTGAAAGTCATATATAAAACTGGTGGTGGCTCATGCCTGTGGACTCAGCAACATGGGAGAATCGCTTGAGGCCAGGAGTTACAGATCAGCTTGGGCAACATAGTGAGACCCCGTATTTACAGAAAATTAAACAATTAGCTATGCATGGTGGCATCTGCTTGTAGTCCCAGCTACTCAGGAGGCTGAGGTGGGAGGATTGCTGGAGCCTAGGAGGTCAAGGCTGCTGTGAGCCATTTTTATGCCACTGCACTACAACCTGGGCGACAGAGTGAGACCCTGTCTCAAAAAAAGAAAAAGTCATATATAAGCATGTTCCTAGCAGTATTTATTCATACTTCAACCTATAAACAACCCAGATGTTTATCACTATTACACTAGATAGATAATTATGGTATATTGACATAGTAACTATTCAGCAGTGCAAAATAAATGAGCAAAAGCTACAAGCCACAGCATAGATAAATCTTAAAAACATAGTGAAAAGAAAAGGACCCCAAGTAATACCTATCTACTATATGGTTCTACTTACATAAAATATAAAAACAGTTGAAACTAAGTTTATATTGTTTAAGGATGTGTGTTTAGGTGGTGTAGCTATTTAAAAAGGGCAGTGATTAAAACAGTTGAAACTAAGTTTACATTGTTTAAGGATGCATATTTAGGTGTAATTATTAAAAAAAAAAACAGGGTAGTGATCATACGTTTAGGGGGGCTTGTAGAGTACTAGCAGTCTTCTGTTTCTTGTCCTGGGTGGTATTTATATACTGGTGTTTGTTTTATAACAGTTTGTAAGCTGCATGTTTATGTACTTCTCTAGGATTGTGTTATTGCAAAATAAAAATCATTTTAAAACACATATACACAGACATAGGAAAAGGATCAGTCTTAAAGGGAAGGTCCATCTTTTTTCCTGGACATGTAGGATTAATAGTTCCTTTGTACCTACAAGTAAACTTACATTTTGCCAAGACAGCTTTTCTCACTGCTCTCCTAGGCTCTAGTATATTAAATCTATCCTAAATTTAACTTAGATTGTGTTAACTTACTTGAGCAACCTCTGCTACCCTTGTGGTTTCTGCCACATCAAAGCCATACTCCCCGGATTTGGGGTTTGAAAACCTTGTGTACATTCACTCCATTCTGTATGTCTTTGCTTATAACTGTATATTCCTTGGGATGCCCTCTGCTATTCAGGCCTCAATCTTAAGAGCTGTAGCTTTGTACAGAATCAGAGCGTATCAAGAATACTTCATTCTGGGGTTGTGCTCATAGCCATCACGTACAATTCTGTGCATCACAAATCGATGCCTCCTATGTCTTCTTATTGTCTGTATTCTTTTTTTTTTTGAGACGGAGTCTCGCTGTCGCCCAGGCTGGAGTGCAGTGGCGCAATCTCGGCTCACTGCAGGCTCCGCCCCCTGGGGTTCATGCCATTCTCCTGCCTCAGCCTCCCGAGTAGCTGGGACTACAGGCGCCCGCCACCTCGCCCGGCTAATTTTTTGTATTTTTAGTAGAGACGGGGTTTCACCGTGTTAGCCAGGATGGTCTCGAACTCCTGACCTCGTGATCCACCCGCCTCGGCCTCCCAAAGTGCTGGGATTACAGGCGTGAGCCACCGCGCCCGGCCTTATTGTCTGTATTCTTACCACATTTACCAACTTGTTTCAACATCTTGAAGTTAGTTTTCTGTACTTCTCTAGGATTCTTCTCCCATTCTTGCATGCTAAGTAGCATGTCATACTACAAACAGGTATTCATCTCTTTCCTTCCAAACAATTGACATTACAACTAACTAGCATAATTCCTACATATAGTTGCTGAATAGGTGAGGGAACTGTGTTAAATGGAACTTAATTATATTACTACCTTGTGTTTTGATGGATAATTTGTTTTAACATAGCTGAATTTTAAACATACTTGTTTGATTCATAGGCTTTCAACTTTTACAGCCTGAGGACTTGCATTAGATATATTGAAAAATCGTTATCAAAACAATAAAAAGACAATTTCTTTTTATATACTTGAAGAAACGATATTTCTCTTCAGTTGGAATGAGATCCACTGTTGCATGAATCACAAGTAGTAGTGTGTTTTATTTTCTAGATAAAAATGTATAGCAGGAGCAAAAGACCATTAAGCAGAGGGTGTAGATTTCCTTTAATGCACGTATTTGGAAAGAGGTGGACAAAAAAAGCCACTGTCTTGGTTTTCTTTGAAGTAAAAATAGTTTTTTAAAAATAATGGTTCTTGTCGTTTTGGGGACTGTAGTCTCTTTTGAAAAAGTAATACAATCTTGAACCTTCTCCTGGGAGTGCGGGGGTGGGGCGGGGGCAGAGAACATTTGTAAATAAGTTATAACATTTGGATTCTGCCCAATTGTTGAAATGCCAGGGACCTCCAATTACAAATTTATGTGTTTGATGATCTTGGTAAAACTGAAATAGTCATAAGCCAGAAGTCGTAGACAACCACCAGTAAAGATGACACATGTGTTTGTAGTGTGGCTGGAACACCCTGTGAAAACCAGCATCTGTGTCTTCTAAAGCCTGTATTGTACAGATGTTCTCCATTCTGTGTTAGAAAAAGAATAGTCATTAACTTCTTTTGTAAATGTCCTCCATACTTTTATTTTTATCTTTTAAATTTTATTTCTAATAGAGATAGGGTCTTGCTATATTGTTCAGGCTGGTTCCGAACTCTGGGCTTGAGCGATCCTCCCAGCTTGTCCTCCCACAGTGCTGGGATACAGGCTCACTAGCTACTGCACATAGCCTTTTTTTTCTTTTGAAATTTTATTTACCTGCATAGTTTTACATCTACCTTTAAAACTCATGAGAAACAATAAAATTTTATTATGTAAAAAAGCTTTTTGATTAGCAAAATTTTTTATCGTAAAAGCTGAATGGGGGGGATGTAAGAGGTCAATTTACTGTTCACTTGGCTTTTGGGTATTTAGGTTTTTCTGTAGTAAATGGGTATTGGATCCCTTTGGAAGATGGCATAGTTTATTGTAATTCTGTTATGGTTTTGCGAATTCGAGCCTAGAAAGAGTTATCTTAACATCTGTTTCACTGTGGTTAGTTCCTTAATCCACCTGCCTTCATCCTGGCTCAGAACTAAAAAGGTTAAAGTATGCAGTAAGATTTTTGTGCTGCCACTTGGAAGTAGTATTAATTAGTAGCTGCTCTATCAAGCATTCTTTTGCTTAGCAGTAAGCAAACTTAGGAGATTTTATTACAATGCTGTTTTTTTAGGTTTTATTTTATTATAATGCCTTTTTAAAAAAAATTAGGCTAATAAGAAAAATCTTATGGCCTCAAAAAGTATTCTACTTTTTCTGAAAAATATATGAGCAGTATGTATATTTAGCTATAAAAACTACATAGAATACCCATTTTTTTTTAGAGATTAGCTTAAGAAACCTAAGTCTTTTATAGCAAGCTGTTACAGATTTGTGTGAGTTCTCATTTTTGTTGTTGTTGTTGTTGTTGTTGTTGTTTGTAACATGAGGGCTAAAAGCTTTCCTTAGGATAAAAAGGTTTTCTATCCTTAACTCCTTTAGATGGTTTTTGTTCTTTGGAATTCTGAACTTACCTAGTAGAGGTATGTAGTTATGCCAGTCATCTTACATTCTTTTGAAAGAATAACTTTAAAAACCACAAAGGATGCAGTAATATCTTTTAATTTGTTTGAAAACTTACATTCTGCCTCAGGAACCCTTTTTTAAATTTAATTTTTTATCAAAGTAACACAATCATGATTTTTTAAAAGTCCAATAGTTTCCCAAGAGTTATAAATGAAAAATAGTGCTCCAAACCCTCAGTTCCAATCCCATTCCCCAGAAGAGAAAGAACTATTTATTTTAGTATTTTTTATGACTTATTATTCCGTATTGCTGTTTTAAGACAGTCATCTTCATACCTCATGTTACTTTTGCTTTTTATAAATGTGACGGCAGTTCTTATTCATTCGTATGATTTAAATGAATTTAAGATATTCCTTTGCTCCTTTGACATTTTCCCTTAAATGTACATTTTCTAAAAGTAGAAAAAAATTACATCATTAACAGGTTAATGTGGCTGGGGGGAGTTGAAATGGCAGTTCTTGGAAGGGTTTTGGCACCCTGGATTTTTGTTCTTTGTCAGAACTATAAGGTATAGAATAATTGTGACTTTTGTAGTATTTTGAAATTGCAATCCGATACCCATAAACTGCCATATGTGAGTGTTAAAACAGAAATGTTTTGGTCATTTAGAAGTAAACGTTATGTGTATATACATTTTCATACATGGATACATATAACCTATAATGTGTTTTTTAATACATTTTCATATGTGTGCTTATTTTTACTCCCTCTCAGGCTTATAGCAATAGCTAGTTGACTTGCAAATGTATAATGGAAGCATTAAAAGACTGGATAGGAGGATTGAGCTCTGATAGTTTAAGAATAAGCATAGAGGCTGGGCGTGGTAGCTCACACCTGTAATCCCAGCACTTTGGGAGGCTGAGGTGGGCAGATCACTTGAGCCCAGGAGTTTGAGACCAGCCTGGCCAACATGGCGAAACCCCATCTCTACTAAAATCACAAAAAAATTAGCCAGGAGTGGTGGCACACATCCGTAATCCGCTACTCCAGAGGCTGAGGCACAAGAAATGTTTGAACCCGGGAGGTGGAAGTTGCAGTGAGCTGAGATGAAGCCAGCCTGGGTGACAGAGAGAGACTTTGTCTCCCTCTCCCCCGCAAATAAATAAGTAAATAAAGGAATACAGCGTACAAAAGCCTACTTTATATCTTTAAATTGGTTTTACATTTTGCTTTTCTGATTCTATTGTGAGAATTAGTACTTCTCCAATAGTTGTTGGTCTTTATGAAGTATGAAGACTTAGTAGCTTTGAAGATAAAATTAAATATTCGAATGGCAGTGATGCCACAGTCACTCAGGATTCAAGAAGAAGCATTAGCCAGTGGTGATCCCTACCAGCCCCGTTTCCTCTCTCCTCAACCAGACATAAGAGCTCTTAGGCTGTAACTTTCCTGCCTTGAAATTTAATTCATATTATTTGGTATGTTTCTCTATAGCAGGCAAGTAAAATGAAAAATTAAGATTCAAATATTCTGGAAAGTTGTCTGAGTACCAGGTTGCTCAGCTGTATTTCTGTAAATATACTCAATGTGCAGAAATAATCCTGGAGAGAAGAGAATTTACAATCTACTGAGAAACTGCTTAAATCCAATATTTTTTAAATTGACAGATTATTGTCTATATGAAAATCTTAATGTAGAGAAATATAGGCCATAGGAATGGGTGTTAACCTGCTTGTGCCCTTTCTTCACTAAGGAAAGGCTGAAGGAGAAACCATACTGCTGCTTGTTTTTTTACTTTGATCAATATGATTTCCTGAAAAGGATAGGCAGGGTTACAGGGAAGGAGAGAAGCACAGTCCTAGGATAAGCTTTGCAGCTCTTTCAAGTCAATGAAGCAGAGAGAAGTATTTGGTTAACTCATTAAAGATGCCTCAACTACAGTGCTTTACATTGAGTCAGTTCCTTTTTATTTTGGTCTGATTTTCAGAAGCAATGATTTACATAGAAGCCAGCAAACTGAAGGAACTTCCAGATAGTGCCCAGGTAAACAGTGTGGATAGTTAAGAATCCAGCCTATTCTTCTATGCCTGGACTACTATCCAGGCACAGTAGTCTTAAATAAAACAATCATAATTAGAAGAAATCAGCTTTGTCTTAGGAAATTAAACATAAGACTCTTGAGATGAGGGATCAGAGGTAAACTGATAAAACAACAGAAGGTGAAAAGGGAACTGACAGAACAGAAAAAAAAAAGAAAGGATAAATAATGATTTTGTAGAACTTCAAACCATGTTGATAGCAGAAAGAAATAGAGCAGGCATTACAGAAAATAGGTCTGGAAGACAGGAAAAGGACAAAGAAGTAAGTAGCAACTGGTAAACATGGAGGACAAATTAAGAGACTGGATGCAAACCAAACATATTCTTAACAACTAAAGGATCTTGAGGTAATTAATATCCAAATGACATTTCAAAAGAGAAAGTTAAGTGCTTAGAATAAAGCCTAGTGGAACTGCTAAAGTTCAAGAATAAAGAAAGAAGAAAATGAGAAAATTATTTTGGCCAGACTTCCTCAGTAACAACAGGTAACAAGAAAATAGAACACTATCTCTATATGAATATTGAGGAGGGAAGGGATTTTGGCCAAAGTGAGCAGTTGAACACATTTAAACATTAGAATTATGTCTAAGTAGTTGGAGGTGATCAAGTTTATGAGACAAAAAACAGTTATCATTCTTGAAAGAAAGGCTACATGATATAAAAACAATGGGCCGGGCACGGTGGCTCATGCCTATAATCCCAGCACTTTGGGAGGCTGAGGCGGGCAGATTACAAGGTCAGGAGTTCGAGACCAGCCTAAACAATATGGTGAAACTCTGTCTCCACTAAAAATACAAAAATTAGCTGGGCGTGGTGGCAGGCGCCTGTAGTCCCAGGTACTTGGGAGGCTGAGGCAGGAGAATCGGTTGAACCTGGGAGGCGGAGGTTGCAGTGAGCCGAGATTGCACCATTGTACTCCAGCCTGGGTGACAAGAGCGAGACTTTGTCTCAAAAAAAAAAAAAAAAAAAAAAAATTAGTGAAAAAATTATATAAAACTGTAATCAACTGGGAAGAGCTTTAGGAAGTTCTGACCAAAACCAAAGGGATGATCAATGTATTATTTAAGTTTTATAAATTAAGAAATGTATTTAAGTATTAATTACATAGGCCACTCCTAGTAAAACTAAATTAGATTTTAGTAATTTCCAAATAAACATTGTGGAGTCAGGGGTGAATGGACCATATAATAAATACAGATCAGAACAAATACATGAAACTTTGGTAAAAGAAAAAGATTTCTGGGCCTACTACCCCCAAGAATATGAGTGGATTTTTAGCTTCCCACTCATATTTCATTTAAAATACTTAGCAGTATTTGAAAGTTCCTTTGGTGGCTTCTAGAATGGATCAAAAAGCTATAAACTCCAAGCCACATGTAGTGGTGTGCACGTATAGTCCCACCTATACTCAAGAAGGTGAGGCGAGAGGATCTCTTGAGGCCAAGAGTTCAAGGCTGTATGCTATTATTGCATATGTGAAAAACTGCTGTGCACCAGCCTGGGCAACATAGTGAGACCCTAACTCATTTTTTTTAAAAAAGGTATTAACTCCAATATACGCTATTTTTAAAAATGCTGCAAACTCCAGTACATGCTATCTAAAGCACAGGAATTCAGATTGATAGTAAAAGTGTTGATGTGATCGGACCCAACACCAGGCTGTGGGGGCGACAAAGTCCAGCGGAGTCAAAGGAATGAGAAAAGACAAGAGACAAAGTGGGACCAGGGGGCCAACGCTAGTATGGAGGCTGCGAAGGCCTGGAGCTCTGGGAGCCCACGCTATTTATTGGTGATCAAACAAAGAAACAGGTGGTGAGGATGTGGGGGTTAAAAGGAAGCGGTGTATCAAGCGAATGAGCTACAGCTGTGAGGGTTTAGCATTTTCTTTGAAACATATGGCTAGTTGAGATAATGGGAGTGCTAGAAGTAAGGAGCCAGCAGTCTAGCAGGCATGCAAGCCCTGCCTCAGCTTCTCTCCCGACACTCAGCTTTTCTCCCAACAAAAAGAACTTGAAATACCTGAGAATAAAGTTACTGGAAGATGTGCAGGATCCACATAGTGAAAAAAAGTTATAAAACTATTGAGAGACTGAATAGGAATTGGAATTAAGTAAATTAAAAGATACTTTGTTCTTGGCTAGGAAGACAATATTATAGAGTCAATTCTTTCAGTCAGTTTACTCTTGATATAATTGTAGTAAAAGTTCCAAGAGGATTTGAAAAAAAAATTAATGATTGTACTTAACTTGAAAAAACAAATATGGAAGAACAGAGAAAATTCTGTGAGAAGAATGATAAAGGGATCTTTGTCAAATATTGAGAATTTATCGACTACAAGAGCAGACAAATTAGTGGAATAGAATGGAGAGTCCAGGAATAAACTTGTCTAAATAGGAAATTTGGGTATATAGTGAACAGATCAGTGGGGAGAGTTAGATTAGTCAGTTACTCTTTAAGAAGAAACTAAGTGCTTGTAACATGCCTGTAGACATTAAGGGCTCCAGGAATAATAAAGTAGTCCTCATGGGGTTTACATTCTAGCAGAGCAAACATAAAGAGTGATTACAGTTAGTAATGTTGTAAGTGCTGCAAAGGACTGCAGAGTAACAATGGGATGTAATTCAAGGGAACCTTATCTAATGGGGGTGGAAGTGAGGAGCTGTCAGAGATCAGTTATTTGAGGAAGCTGGGTGTAAGCTGGAACCTAAAGGTGGGAAAAAGTGTTTCCAATAGATGAAACAACCCTTCAATAAGTGATTAGATTTTTGGATTGAAATGAAATGGAATCCTGGCTTTACTCCTTATTACGCAAAAATAAATCAACAGTTTTAATGGAAACAATTTAAAGGTGAGATCTAAATCATTAATGAATTTCCATTAAAAAATCTTTGGGTATAGAGGTCTTTTAAAGTGTGATATGAACTGCAGAAATCACAGTGGAGTAGCACGATAAATGTGCCTACATAAAAATTTTAAAGTGGTAATTAAACACTATTAAAGAAGGTTGAAAGACAAGAAAGAAATGAAAGAAAGCAACCCATGAAACAAAGATTTACTCTTCCTCTTTGCATACTGAACTTAATAGGGAATAAGATCACCACAGAAAAATGTGTTCACCTTCACTAATAAATAAATAAATACAAGTTAAGTCTAGGTATTTTTCCCTATCTGATGGGCTAAGATTTTAATCTAGGATTATTTATATGTGGCACATTTAAATGTCCTTCAGAATAACATTGGTTGGATATATTATAGTAAATAACTACAGTGGAATATTGTGCAAAAATGAAAAATGTAGACATTTAAAGACAAAGGTGTCTGTTAGATATTGTCTAGTGAAAAAAGCAGGTTATAAATCTGGACTAGGGTGTTACTTATATGAAATTAGGGACACATGTCTGTGTGGCTGTATACTCATAGAATGCTGTCTAGAATGTTAACCAAAGTATGAGAGTCATTAGTTCCCTGTTGTCAAATTTTGGATGACAGAAGTTTGTCTTGTCTTGGGAGCATGAATATTTTTATAAAACAAGGTGTTTAGCTGGTTTATGAATTGATATTTAGTGTTAATCTCTTATGCTTTCAGTTTTTCAGGTAAAACTTGGTATTTTATATTATCTTTTTTTTTTTTTTTAAATTTGAGACAGTCTCGCTCTGTCACCCAGGCTAGAGTGCAGTGCAGTGGCACCATCTTGGCTCACTGCAACCTTGCCTCCTGGATTCAAGCGGTTCTCATGCCTCACCCTCCTGAGTAGCTGGGATTAGAGGCACCTGCCACCGCGCCCAGCTAATTTTTTTGTATTTTTAGTAGAGATGGGGTTTCACCATGTTGGCCAGGCTGGTTTTGAACTACTGACCTCAAGTGATCCACCCACCTCAGCATCCCAAAGTGCTGGGATTGCAGGTGTGAGCCACCGCGGCGCCTGTAATCCCAGCTACTCGGGAGGCTGAGGCAGTAGAATCGCTTGAACCTGGGCGGCAAAGGTTGCAGGGAGCCGAGATGGCGCCACTGCACTCCAGTCTGGGCGACAGAGTGAGACTGTCTCAAAATTGTAGGAAAGCATTTGATTTTCTGCTTTAAATATATTCTGATTATCTGAATCATCAGAGACATTAATTTTCTATTTGTATGAGTTCCTGACAACTTTTAACTTTCTGATAATCCTCCTTTTTATAATGTGTTGGCATTTCGATTGATAATATGATTATTTCATTGAACTATGCTGTAGTCAAAGTATTTATAAAAAAGATATTTATTTATTAGTCTTAGGAGAAGTGATATGGTTTGTTCTCATTTGAATGATTTTTCTGGAGGTACAGTAAGATATAGTAGCCTTTGACACAAAGCCTAAACAAGACCTTAATTAAAAATATTGGAAATTTCTTTTGAGTATTGATTACTTTTAAAATTGAAAATCTCCTGTTTGTATATAAAGAGCATTATAGTTACTGTAATCTGGGCTTTACAACCCAAAAAGTAATTGACCAGATTGCACATTAATATTTTTGCTGGTTATATTGGTTTTACAGATTGAAAAGTTTTTTTTTTTTTAATATCTATTGCTTTTCCCTTTTGAATAGTAAGCTGTTTCAGGAGGCCAGGGAACATGTCTCATCTGAATTAATTGGAAACATTGTGCTAAGTATTTACTGTTATCTTAACCACCTCAACCCACCTTAAGGTCTGCTCTACTATCTTCTGTCCAGAGGTTTGCTATTTAGTTAAAACTCTAGGTAGTACTTGGCATATATATACTCTTGATGTCTTAGATATGGAACTACTCTATATTTAGATACATATTTTATGAAAAGCTAATATGTAATTTATTTTATATAAAATGTTTGAAGATACACTTCTTTGTTTTATTCCTCCTCCTTTCTCAGTAAATTAAAAATATTTCAAAATAATGTTTAGAAAGCAAGTCTATTATGTAAAATGAGACACGTAATAATTATATTTTTAAGATGATTTGTGCAGTAAGATAAATGCTTTACTGAAGCTAATATGTTTAAATTGCTTTAACTAAAATTATTAATAAAATGAATTCATTTGTATAAAATACAGCCTACCCATGTAAAATATTACTCTTCATAGGTACCCCAGCAACAGCACAACTTTAATCCTTAAGTTTTAGTTGCAGTACTGTTAAAATACTAATAGCTTAATTTCCCAAGATTCAGTTATTTAAAACCAAAGTTTAGGGGGAAAAAGGCAGCAAAACTCAGTCTACTAGTTTACATACATACACACACACACACACACACTCATATATATGAGAGTAGACTGAATTTTTGCTGTTTGCAATATATATATATATGCACATGTATACACACACCTTTATTTGCTATAATTTGTACCATGTAGCTTTTATTTCCTCTGAATAAAAAGGTTGTTATCTTGTTTTATTTTAATTCAACTTCTTGCTTTTCCCTATAGAAAGTCAGGTTTTTGGAGAGCTCTAACAGTGTGCAAGTTGCTGGGCTCTTATCCTTTCTGTTTAAATAATGCAGGTACTTTGATGGAAACCTGGAGAAGCTCTTTGCTGAGTGTCATGTAATTAATCCAAGTAAAAAGTCTCGAACACGCCAGATGAATACAAGGTCATCAGCACAGGATATGCCTTGTCAGATCTGCTACTTGAACTACCCTAACTCGGTGAGTATCTGGTAGTTTAAGGCTAGTGCTGACTTTGTATTTCAGAGGGTAAATCAACTTCCATTATTTAAACAAAGGAAAATTTGTGGGTCTGGGAGTAGTAACCTCTAAGCCATAACCTATCAATGTATTCAGTGTGAGGAAAGGAAGAAAAAGAGTAAAAGCTTGGTTCCTCTTACCTCCAACCCCCATTTGTTTTTTAAAGCAGCAACAACTTGTCCAAGTTGTCATTTATAGACCTAAATCTTTCTGGAGTTTATTCTATCACCATGGGAGAATTGTGTAATAGTAGGCAGTAAGTAGAATTCTTTCTCATCCAAATTAAAATAGATTTAAACTTTAAGTGTTTTTTAAATATCCAGAAACACTCATAAAATACCGTTAATACTATTTGCTAGGGAACTCTCAGAATTCTTCAGAAGATAAGATTTTCACTTAATCAAATCCATTCAAATGGAGATTGTTAAATATGGTATGTGGGGACAGAGTTGGAGCAGAACCAGTGATATAGCAAGAGAACCAAAGAACTGATGTTAATCCCTTAAGTACAAATAACCTTCCTAAAAATTTATTGAACTGAAGCTGGACTCAGTGGCTCATGCCTATAATCCCAGCACTTGGGGAAGCCAAGGTGGGCAGATCACTTGAGGCCAGGAGTTTGAGGCCAGCCTGGCCAACATGGCGGAAACCTGTCTCAACTAAAAATACAAAAAAATTATCCTGGCATGATGGTGCATGTCTATAATCCCAGCTACTTGGGAGGCTGAGGCATGAGAATTGCTTGAGCCTGGAAGGCAGAGGTTACAGTGAGCTGACATCATGCCACTGTATTCCAGCCTGGGCGACAGAGTGAGACTCCGTCTCAAAATATAAAATAGAATTTACTGAACTGAGATGATTTACTTACTTGATTTACTTGAGTGTTTACTAAGGAAGTTTAGTCTTAAGATGTCTAAGATAACTTAATTCTATGATAATTACAACTGTCTTGTTCATATTCTCTGCTTTAATAGTTAAGCATCTCTTTCTAATAATTACTATATAACAAGTCTTTGACACTGTTATTTTAACAATTATTTGGTTGATGGGGGTCTCACTATGCTACCCAGGCTGGAGTGTTATGGCTATTCACAGGCACAGTCAGTGTACTACAGCCTTCATCAGACTCTTGGGCTCAAGTGATCCTTTTCCCTCAGCCTCCCAAGTAGCTGGAACTACAGACGTGCACCATCAAGCCTGGCTAATATTATATTTATATTGAAGGATTTTTATTGTTTATCTTAGAGTTGTATATGTGTATCTCTAATGGGGTCCATTTGTGGGGAGTTAACTTGTTCACATGTACAAGTGATGAGAAAAGTTTTAAAAGAAAATAAAGTACTCTTAGAGAAATAGAATGATCAGTGAGTTATTTAGTAGGTAAAGTGGTGAACTGAATTTTCAAATTCTCAAGTTCTGATCGTAACTCTAACGTGAAATTTTTGGCTTTAGCGGGAGGTAAGCCATTTAATGTCACTGGGTTTTTCTTTTTTCTTTCTTTCTTTTGAGACGGCCTTGCTCTGTTGTCTAGGCTGGAGTGCAGTGATGTGATCACTGCAGCCTCAAACTCCTGGGCTCAAGCGATCCTCCCACCTCAGCCTCCCAAGTAGCTGGGACCACAGGCGCATGCCACCATGTCTGGCTGATTTTTCTGTGTGTGTGTGTGTGTGTTTTGTTTGTTTTGTTTTGTTTGTTTGTTTTTTTTGTAGAGACGGGGTTTCACCTGTGTGTGTGTGTTTTGTTTGTTTGTTTGTTTTGGTTTTTTTGTAGAGACGGGGTTTCACCATGTTGCCCAGGCTGGTCTGGAACTTGTCTGAGCTCAAGCAGTCTGCCCACCTGGCCTCTGAAAGTGCTGGCATTATAGGTGTGAGCCACCACGCTCCTCCAGTTTTGGTTTCTTCTCCTTTTCTTTTCTTTTCTTTTTTTTTGGAGGGGGGGGGGTGGGACGGAGTCTTGCTCTGTCGCCCAGGCTGGAGTGCAGTGGTGCGATCTCGGCTCACTGCAAGCTCCGCCTCCCAGGTTCATGCCATTCGCCTGCCTCAGCCTCCCGAGTAGCTGGGACTACAGGCGTCTGCCATCACGCCTGGCTGATTTTTTGTGTTTTTAGTAGAGACGGGGTTTCACCATGTTAGCCAGGATGGTCTCGATCTCCTGACCTCATGATCTGCCCGCCTCAGCATGCCAAAGTGCTGGGATTACAGGCGTGAGCCACCGCGCCTGGCCTCTTTCCTTTTCTCTTTTTTTTTTGACACGAGTTTTGCTCTTGTTGCCCAGACTGGAGTGCAATGGCACAGTCTTGGCTCACTGCAGCCTGCGCCTCCTGGGTTCAAGTGATTCTCCTGCCTCAGCCTCCCGAGTAGCTGGGACTACAAGCGCCGGCCACCACACCCGGCTAATTTTTGTATTTTTAGTAGAGACGGGGTTTCACCATATTGGCCAGGCTGGTCTTGAACTCCTGACCTCAGGTGATCCACCCACCTTGGCCTCCCATAGTGCTGGGATTACAGGTGTGCACCACCGCACCCAACAGTTTCTTTTTTCTTTCTGATGAGTTGAATAAGATACTCTTTCAATTTTCTTCCAACCTGAGTATTGTATCATTTCTCTTACCTTAAATCACAATTCTAATTTGAATATTTTTTAAAAAGTACTACTGTTACAATATATTAATATTTTGACTATTTTATTGTCTTTAACAGATTCTCCTTGCCAGTTGACATTTATATAGTGCTTACAGTTAAATGTTTCTGTGAGGTAATACTAAGACCCAGGTTTTACAAGGTTTCCTTACTTCTTGGCGTTTTTCCTCCTGCCCTATCATAGACAGTTCCTTCTTAACTTAAATCTTAACTCTGATTTGAGTACTGAAGCTTGGCTGCTTCCAAATATCCACTATAACTTTCTCGCTGTTCTTAATATGGTCTAACAATCTCAACAAACTAGAATTCAAAATCATGACTTGAGATTTACAGTGTAAATTTTTGTTTTGTACTTGTAACTGATGATGGAGAAACCTATTCATTGAACACACTAGGCACTATTCTAAGAAACAATGGAGAATAAATACATAATTCCTAACCAGATAATTTGCAGGTTAGTTGGGTAGATAAGTAGTAAGGTGACATATTCAGAAAGAGTGGTAAGTGCTTTGGTAGGGCAAATATAAGATACGATACTGTGGGAACGTGTTGGAGGGATACCTAACCCAGTTTTTGATCAGGCAGGACTTACCACAGAAATCTGAACTAACATCTGAAGGCATGGTAGTTAGGCTAAGGAGGAAAATGTAGCAAGTCCAAGGAAGAGAGAATGTACTTTCAAGAACTGGGGGATGGTAAATAGTACTAAAAGATTCAGAGAAAAGATTTAAAAAGTTAATTTGAAATGAAATGAAGGAGTGAGGTAGGATGGGAAACCAGACTTCATGGGCTAAAGAGTCACTGACTTGAAGGTGGGAAAGGAAATGGAAGCAATAAATGTAATGAAATTACTCTTTTACAAGAAATTTCACTATGCAAGTGATAGGATAAGATAGCAAAAGGAACAACATGGGTTGGCAAGTAAGGTAAGGCATTATGGAAACTGCTAAGTGTTCCGAAAAGTATCATGACAAAACTAGGATGTCCTTTCCTCATAATTTTTAGACTCATATAGAAGGATAATTTTAACCTCTTCAGTTTTGGAAGTAAATGTCACCTGAAACTCTTCATAAAGTTTTATTATTGGATGAGTGAGTTCTTCACTTACATTGTATAACTCCCACATTTTACTACTCTCCAAGCATTTGTACTTTTTTATTATATATATCTTCAGTATCTTTATCCTTCCAGAAAGCAATTTTTGCTTTATGCAGTGTCACATGCACATTTTAAAATAAGTGCTTTTGATAGCTTAGTTTACAACCCTTTGGAGTTAACTGTCCTGAGTGGCTGCTTCTTTCAAAACAATGTCCTGAGACATTGGAGCACTTTGTAAATTCATAGATTCCAACTTAATGTTTTAGGTTAAAGTAGTTAAGATAATAGCTGTACTGGCCCACCACTGTGCTAGGAAATGTAGCTTCGACTACAGCGTCTCTCTCTCTCTTTTTTTTTTTTTTTTTGAGGCAGAGCCTTGCTCTGTCGCCCAGGCTGGAGTGCAGTGGCATGTTCTCGGCTCACTGCAACCTCCACCCCGCAGTTTCAAGCGATTCTCCTGCCTCAGCCTCCCGAGTAGCTGGGATTACAGCCGCCCACCACCACACCTGTCTAATTTTTGTATTTTTAGTAGACATGGGGTTCCACCATGTTGTCCAGGCTGGTCTCCAACTCCTGACTTAAGGTGATCCACCCACCTTGACCTCCCAAAGTGCTGGGATTACAGGAGTGAGCCGCCACGGCCAGCCAGTGTCTCATTTTTATGAAGTAAATAATTTGTATTTTCTAAGAATAAGATATGTGAAGTAGGTAAAGGCAGAGTTGAAATTGTGAGGAAGGGTGGTCCACCATCCCGTCCCCCATTCCTGAAGCCCCTCTGTGGAATCTTGGTGCTGCTGGAAACTGCTTGAAAATACCTACGTCCCACCCTATTTTCCTTTTAACACATTACATTTTACACACAAGGGAACCGATTCCCAGGTCATTTGTTCAATTTTTATAAACAAAGGGGTTTCAATTTTAGAGGTTATATGGACAACTTATTATGGAAGAAAGATTCTTAATTTTCTTACTGCTATTTGACATTAGTTGCTGTGTATGTAAAGTGATGCAGATAAATGAAACCTTTAAGAGTGTATTCTTAAGTTTCTTTAAGTCCATTAATTTCTTTTGTAGATAATATTTCATGTATTTTTCGTGTACTCTCTTGATCGGATGTATTTGTGATATAAACAGGGATAAGTTTAGTGAATAGATAATATGATCCCCTGGGACAGGGGAAAGCCCAGGGAGCCATGTAGGTGAACCTAGCTCAAGGTTATGAGGAAACGAATATATCAGAGGAGGGAGAGGGAAAGGGAAGTAAGACAGACAGGAAGATATCTGCGATAATAATATGTTCCTCGAAAGCACAATGAATATGTATCTTTAGACTACAGATTTGTGTCTTGGTTTTTGGTGTTTTTATTTTTTTGCTCTATCTTTAGACATCCATGTATGATTTATTTTTCTAACTTGTTTAATCTTGTTATCTGATTAGAGAAGTTATTTAAAAAGAATAAAAAGCTTTTATCTGTGTGCTGAAGTTGTAACAAGGTTGAGAGAGGTGCATCTCACACGAGTGTGATTACATTTATGAACTATCTTTTTATCTTAAAATGAGCTCTAGACTAGAAGTCAAAAAAGGTTGAGACTTAAAGTGATCACTTAGTAACCATTGTGACCGTTGATCTCTGTTAAGGATTCCTACTTGAAAAAAGAATGAAGCACATATAAGCATGTGTATATGTTTTTAAGTTTTGAATAAAACATTTTAGAGTTGCTGATATATTTACTGTATTTGTGTCTTTTACAGAATACCCCTTCCTTTAACAGCCTTAAAAATCAAAGACTCCATTAGTGATGTGGTAACAAGTTAGTGCCAAATCTCCTTCTCTGATGGGGAGTAATGATAATAGATTCCCTTTAAGCTTGATATTTATTTTACATGTCATTCTTTCAGTAAACCTAATTGCAGGACTGATACACTTCATATATATATATATTTTAATGAGATGAAGTCTCACTCTGTTGCCCAGGCTGGAGTGCAGTGGTGTGATCTCGGCTTACTGCAACCTCCGCCTCCCGGGTTCAAGTGATTCTTCTGCCTCAGCTTCCCGAGTAGCTGGGATTATAGGTGTGTGCCACCATGCCCAGCTAACTTTTGTAGTTTTAGTAGAGACAGGGTTTCACCATGTTGGCCAGGTTGGTCTTGAACTCCCGACCTCAGGTGATCCGCCTGCCTCAGCCTCCCAAAGTGCTCGGATTACAGGCACGAGCCACTGTACCCAGCCCTCTCATAGATTTCTTTTCATGTCCTTGTCTTTGTATTTAAAAAATATAGTTGATGTGCTGTATATAGAATTTCTGTCCTAACGAGATATTTGTATCTAATATCATAAGTAACATCAGAAATTTTATAAGTACATGTCACATAATGGCTAAATAGAAAATCTAAGGGAATTTTAAAATACCCTTTATAAGAGCCACGAAAGGAAAGAATAAAAGAGCTAGGAATAAACTTGATAAGAAATGTGAAAGATTGCTATGAAGAAAACTTCAAATACTAAGATAAAAGAATGACTTGAATATTTGAGATAGAAGAAATAGGAAAATATTGAAAAAGAAGATTAAATTGACAGGGGAGAGCTGAGTGAGGACTAGTCCTGCTAGATACAAGAGTAGACAGAGCGGTGGAACAGGATAGAGTCAAATATGCATGAGGAGAATTTAGTGTATTACAGAGGAGGCATTTCAAATAAGGTGTATTATTTGATACATGGTAGCAGTGGAACAGGATACAGTCAAATATGCATAAGGAGAATTTAGTGTATTATAGAGGAGGCATTTCAAATAAGGTGGATTATTTGATACATGGTGTTAGAGCAACTTGGTAGCCATATGGAATAGAAACTTAAGATTCCTACCTAGCTTCATAAATAAAAGTTAATGAATTCACAAGCGGTAAATTTAAACGGTGATAAGTTTCACTGTGAGTGAAGAGCTTCTGTATGGCAACAAAATATGAACACTAAGAATTAAAGTGGGGGAAAAGATTTCCCCTACTTATAAATGGCCAATTTCCTACATAAGTAAAAAGCCTCCGTAAATAAGTGAAAAACCCACAGGCAAAGTTGGCAAAATATATCAAGAGAGTATACAGAAAAAGAAATATACAGTGTAAAACCTTTTTTGAAATATTATAATTTCATTTATAATAAAAATTCAAATCAAAACTAAAGAAGTTAGTGTGTTTTTCACCTATTAGATTGGCAAAGATCAAGGAGTTGGATCATATACTACATTGTCATGGGCATGAGAAATCAAGTACTCTTGCACGGCATAAATGACGACAATCTCTTTGCAGGGGAGCCTGATGATAGCTATTAGATTGTAAATGTATATATTTATTATAATGTCACCTCTACAGATTTGTCCTAAGATACATTCATAAGATCACAAAGATGTATATATAGTCAATGCAGTAGTATAGTAGGAAAAAAAAAGGCAGTGTAAAGGTTCATTAATAGTAGACTATAAATAAAATTGTGGTACCTTTCTATAAAGAGGCAAACCCACACCAGTGTGGTACCATATGAGAAATCCATTGGATTTATTTTTGTTTTTTTAAGACGGAGTCTTGCCCTGTCATCAGGCTGGAGTGCAAAGGTGCGATCTTGGCTCACTGCAACCTCTGCCTCCCGGGTTGAAGGGATTCTTCTGCCTCAGTCTCCTGAGTAGCTGGGATTACAGGCATACACTACCACACCTGGCTAGTTTTTTTGTATTTTTGATAGACACAGGGTTTCGCCATGTTGGCCTGGCTGGTCTCAAACTCCTGACCTCAAATGATCTGCCCGCCTTGGCCTCCCAAAGTGCTGGGCTTACAGGCGTGAGCCACCGTGCCCAGCCCTATTGGATTTTTTTAAACAACAACAACAAAAAAAAACAAGGTGCAGAAGAGAATTTGTGGTACTGTTACAGTGTGTGTGTAAGTGTGTACGTTAGAACACCTCTGGAAGAATATGTAAAAAACTGGAAATAGCAGTTGCTTCTGGGTAGAGGAAACAAACAACAGGGATGGGAATGAGGGAGGCCTGTTTTTTTTTTTTTTTGAGACAGAGTCTCGCTTTGTCACCCAAGCTGGAGTGCGGTGGTGCGATCTTGGCTTACTGCAACCTCCATCTCCTAGGTTCAAGCGATTCTCCTGCCTCAGCCTGCCAAGTAGCTGGGACTACAGGTGCCTGCCACCACACCTGCCTAATTTTTGTATTTATAGTAGAGGCAGGATTTTGCCATTTTGGCCAGGCTGGTCTTAAACTCCTGACTGTAAGTGATCCGCCCACCTCTGCCTCCAGTAGTGCTGGGATTACAGGTGTGAGCCACCGCACCCGGCCTAGGGAGGCTTATTTTTCAACATAAACTCTGAACTTGTACTGTTAAAGTAATTGTTTTTAGTAATGTCTATTTAACTTACTCAATTAAAAATAATTTAGAGGTAAATTATGGCAAAATGTTCTTTAAAATAAGGTAACCATTATTTGAATCTTTTTAAAAGACATAATCCTCCAGATCATCTAATATTATTTAAAGTATTTACTTAATGTCCCATTACAGGATACTGCTTCATTTAACGATCCCTTAACTCTTAAGATTTTAGAACAAAGTGTTAGTTACTATTATCCTTAGCTATTCTGAATAAATCTTTTCATAACAGGTTTATTGAGATATAATTTATATACTATCCAGTTCACCCATTTAAAGTGGTTTTAGTATATGCTACAGAGTTGTGTGCCATCGCCATAATTTTAAAAACATTTTATAACCCCCCAGGAGATAACTTTTTAAATTCACCCCCTAATTCCTCCCAAGTCCCCCAGCCCCTAGGCAACTGCTCATCTGTTTTCTTTGTCAATGGATATACCTATTCTGGACATTTCATATGAAAGAATCAAACAAGGTTTTGGTACGGTGGCTCACGCCTGTAATCTCAGCGCTTTGGGAGGCCGAGGTGGGTGGATCACGAGGTCAGGAGTTGGAGGCCAGCCTGGCAATATGGTGAAACCCTGTTTCTACTAAAAATACAAAAATTAGCTGGGCGTGGTGGTGCGTTTCTGTAGTCCCAGCTATTTGGGAGACTGAGGCAGAAGAATCACTTGAACCTGGGAGGCGAAGGTTGCAGTGAGCCGAGATGGTGCCATTGCACTCCAGCCTAGGTGACAGAGTGAGACTCTGTCTCAAAACAAAAAGAATCAATATGTGATCTTTTATGACTGGCTTATTTTCATTCTTTTACAAGAAATTTCACTGTGCAAGTGATAGGAGAACAACCTTGGAAACAAGGTTCATCTATATTGTGGCATTTATCAGTACTTTATTTCCTTTTATGGCTGAATAATATTTTATTTATGGAAATATGGAAAAATATTTTTTTCTTCAGTTGATGGACATCTGGATTGTTTTCATTTTTTGGCTGTTACGAATAATGCTATAATGAACACTTGTGTACAAGTTTTTGTATGGATGTATGTTTTCATTTCTTTTGAGTATATACCCAGGATTAGAATTGCTGGGTCCTATGGTAACTCTATGTTTAATATTTTGAGGAACTGCCTGATTGTTTCCAAAGTTGCTGTACCATTTTACATTTCCATCAACAGTGTACGAAGGCTCCAATTTTTCTACATCCTCACCAACACTTGTTATTAATATTGGCTTTTTTTTTCCAAATAGAGTCTCACTTTGTTGCCTGGTGTGGAGTGCAGTGGCATGATGACAGCTCACTGTAGCCTTGACCTCTCAGGTTCAAGTGATCTTCCCACCTCAGCTCCCCTGAGTAGCTGGGATTACAGGCATGTGCTACCACACCTGGCTAATTTCTTAATTTTTTGTGGAGACAGAGTCTCACTATGTTGCCCAGGCTGGTCTTGAACTCCTTGCCTCAAGTAATCCTCCGCTCTCAGCCACACAAAGTGCTGGGATTACAGATATGAGCCAGTGTGCTCTGCTTTATCTGTCTTTTTATTATAGCTGTTCTAGTGAGGGTGAAGTGGTGTCTTACTGTGGTGTTGCTTTGTTTTGTTTTGTTTTGTTTGAGACAGGGTCTCACTCCTTTGCCCAGGCTGGAGTGCAGTGGTGTGATCTCAGCTCACTACAACCTCCGCCTCCCAGGCTCAGGCAGTCCTTCCACCTCAGCCTCCCAAGTAGCTGGGACTACAGGCGTGCGTCATGATGGCTGACTCATTTTGTATTTTTTGTAGAGACAGGGTTTTGCCATGTTGCCCCGCCTTCATGGTGGTTTTGATTTGCATTTCCATGATGCTGAATGATACTGAGTATTCTTTCATATGCTCATTTGTCTTTTTATATTTAATACAAACATTGTTGCCCGCCTTTCCTAAGATGTATGTGTGTTCGGTGTATCTGCATGTCTAGATTCACCATGAAAAGTTCATTTTAGGAGCCCATCTATTGTCAAATTGGACATTTTAGCCACGTAAGAAATGTGACCTTACAGAGCCCTGTTGAGTCACTGTTTATAGTGAGTTTTCTGATAATACCTTTGTTAAGTTCATGTTTTGTTTTTCTTACAGTATTTCACTGGCCTTGAATGTGGACATAAGTTTTGTATGCAGTGCTGGAGTGAATATTTAACTACCAAAATAATGGAAGAAGGCATGGGTCAGGTAAAGATATCAAGTTGTTTTTCAGTTTTTGTTGAATTTCCTATAGTGTTAAGACCCTTGCACAAATTTGCACAAATAAAAACAGGTGAAGCTTTATGTGTCATGATTCTAGATTCAAACAACTAAAGATAATAGGCTTTTTCCTAAAGTAATGTGGCATTCCAGTTAAAGAGCCACTCCAGGTAACGTTTTCTCAGCCGGCATCAATATTGGTATATGTTAACTTAAACTTGTTGCACGATTTTGTCAGATTATCTCGCTTTTGCCTTTAAAATTGTGTGTTTAAAAACCAATTAGTCAGGTTAGCAAGTCTAGTTACTTTATGGTGATAAACATACTCTCACACACATTTCCTTTAAGGAGAAAGGGAAGGATTGAGATCCTGTAAACATTAAGGTATTCCCAGAACCTAGCAAAGTGCCTGGCGATGGTAAGCATTCATTAAATATTTGTTGAATGAAGACAGTTTAAATTTCAATCTTTTTCAGACTATTTCGTGTCCTGCTCATGGTTGTGATATCTTAGTGGATGACAACACAGTTATGTAAGTATTTTTGATAGATTCTGCATGTGAATATTGGTTAGTTGGTTAAACCAAATTAATTTTTACTTAGTACCTCAAAGGAAGTGAAACTTTTTAAAGTCTGAAGAAACTTTTTAATCTGCGTTCCTTAGTAGTAGTACAAAAGCCCATTTGTAACTTGGTTAAATGCCTGATCACTATTCTTACAAACTTAGAAATGCATGGTAGCTAGATTTTGATAAACCTTGGGATTGGAGATTAGAATGTGTGTATGTGTTAGTTGAGGTGTTCTTGGAAGCAGATCCCAAGATAGAATAAAAGGTGAAACTGACTTATTGTGGAATAGCATCTGTGCAAGGTAAACAGCAGGAGCAGATAGACATTGATATAGGCCTGACATCTGTTAAAAGACAAAGAAGGAAGATTCAATAGGAAGAGACTTTATATGATACAGCTATGAGAGTCTTTGGCAGCCCTGATGGGGGAACTTCAGTGCATAGATTGCCCATAGAGGAATACCTCAATAAGTAGAAAGAGCTGGGCCCAGTACACTTGATATGCTCAGTTGTTGGCTGGGACTACCCAGGGAGTCATGGTCTTTGCTGAAACACTGCTGCTGATTTCAGATACACTACAGCTGGATGCTTTCAGCTAACAGCTCTTCTTGTGAAAGGTTCTTTCTTTTTTTTCTTTTAACTTTTAGGTTCAGGTATACATGTGCAGGTTTGTTACATGGGTAAATTCCTTGTCCGTGAGGTTTGGTGTACAAATGATCCCATCACCCAGGTAGTGAGAACAATACCTGATAGTTTTTCAACTCTTGCCGTCCCACCCTACCCACTCTAGTAGTCCCCAGTCTAAATAGTCTTTTATTCTCATCTTCATGTGTACTCACTATTTAGCTCTCACTTATAAATGAGAACATGTGGTATTGAGTATTTCTGTGTTAATTCATTTAGGATGATGACCTCTAGCTGCATTTGTATTGCTGCAAAGGACATGATTGTGCTCACTTTTTTTTATGACTGCATAGTGTTTCATGGTGTCCATGTGCCACATTTTGTTTATCCAGTCCACTGTTGATGGGCATCTAGGTTGATTTCGTGTGTTTGCTATTGTGAATAATGCCACAGTGAACATACTAGTGAATGTGTCTTTTTGGTAGAATGATTTATTTTCCCTGTGATCTCACCAACATCTGTTATTTTTTTACTTTTTAAAATTATTTTTTGTTTAATTTTTTTTTACTTTTTAATAATATTCCTTATGACTGGTGTGAGATGATGTGGTACATCATTACGGTTTTGATTTGCATTTCTCTAGTGATTAGTGGTGTTGAGCATTTTTTTGTACCTGTTGGCTGCGTATATGTCTTCTTGAGAAATGTCTTTTCATGTACTTTGCCCTTTTTCTTTCTTTTTTTTAAGTGAAAGCAAGTTTATTAGAGAAGTAAAGAAACAAAAGAATGGCTACTTCGTTGACAAAGCAGCCTGCTCATTTTTAAATGGGGTTATTTGTTTTTTGCTTGTTTGATTAAGTTCCTTATAGATTCTGGATATGAGGCTTTTGTTGGGTGTATAATTTTTAAATATTTTCTCTCATTCTGTAGGTTGTCTGTTTACTCTGTTAATAGTTTCTTCAGCTGTACAGAAGCTCATTAGTTTAATTAAGTCCCACTTGTCAATTTTTGCTTTTGTTGCAGTTGCGTTTGGGGACTTAGTCATAAATTCTTTGCCAAGGCTGATGTCTAGAATGGTATTTCCTGGATTTTCTTTTAAGATTTTTATAGATTGAGCTCTTACATTAAAGTATTTAATCCTTTAGTTAATTTTTGTATATGGTGAAAGATATAGGGGTCAAGTTTCATTCTTCTGCATGTGGCTAGCTAGTTATCCCAACAACCATTTATGTGTGTGTGGCTATTATCGATAGGATTGCATTATTAATTTGGCGCTTACCTTGAATGTTATTGGTATATATTAAATGCTACTGAATTTTGTACATTGATTTTGTATCCTGAAATTTTACTGACTTTGTCAGCTCTAGGAGCCTTTTGGCAGAGTCTTTAGGGTTATTTCTAGGTATAGAATCATCATCAGTGAAGATTGATAGTTTGACTTCTTTTCTTATTTAGATACATTTTATTTCTTTCTCTTGCCTGATTGCTCTGGCCAGGACTTCCAGTACTATGTTGAATAGGAGTGGTGAGTGTGGGCATCCTTTTCCTAAGTGGAATGCTTCCAGCCTTTGCCTGTTCAGTATGATGTTGGCTATGGGTTTGTCATATCATAGATGGCTCTTAATGTTTTGAGGTATGTTCCTTCAAAGCCTAGTTTGTTGATAGTTTTTATCATGAAGAGATGTTGGACTTTATTGAAAGCTTTTTCTGTGTCATTTGAGATGATCGTATGGTTTTTAATTCTGTTTATGTGGTGAATTACATTTATTGGTTTGCCCAGGCTGGAGTACAAGTGGCACCATATCGGCTCACTGCAACCTCTGCCTCCCGGGTTCAAGCAATTCTCCTGCCTCAGCCTCCTGAGTAGCTGAGATTACAGGTGTACACCATCACGTCCGGATAAGTTTTGTATTTTTAGTAGAGACAGAGTTTCGTCATGTTGGCCAGGCTGTTCTCGAACTCCTGACCTCAGGCGATCTGCCCGCCTTGGCCTTCCAAAGTGCTAGGATTACAGGCGTGAGCCACCAAGCCTGGCCAATAACTATTTTCAATTTGTGATGGTAACAAATCTTTGTCAAGAGAATTGTCTTATTAATGACCAGAGTGACACTTGCTGCCACCTTCTTGAGAATGCCTATTCTTGAAGATGGATGCTCACTTTCTTTTACTTCCTTATCAATATCAGATAAACTAAGGGTGGAACCTTGTCCTAATAACTGTTGGCTGATGTTTGCTCTCACGTCCTGGTGGTCCATGCCAGGTTTAGATAGCTTTTTAGGCTAAGGCCAGCTATCAGAAATCATTAGGGTTTGTCATACCAGAAAAGCATTATGGGTAATACATGTGTAAATAAGATGTGTGTGTTTGGCAATCAAGGCATCTGACTTTTGGCCTGATACATTCCTTATTATTATTTATTGATATAAAATCTGTAATATAAAACTCATTTTAATTACAGTTATCCTTAGTATACTGGGGATTGGTTCTAGGACCCACGTCCTCCACCCTGAATATACCAAAATCTGCGCATGCTCATGTCAGCCCAGCAGAACCCATGTATACAAAAATTTGACCGTCCATATATGCAGGTTTCACATCCCACAAATAACTATTTTTGATCCCTGTTTGGTTGAAAAATATTCATAAATAAGTGGACCCATGCAGTTCAAACCTGTGTTGTTTAAGAAGCAATGGGGTTTTTTTTGTTTTTTGTTTTTTTAAGATGGAATCTCTCTCTGTTGCCCAGAGTGGAGTGCAGTAGTGGCATGATCTCGGCTCACTGCAACCTCTACCTCCTAGGTTCAAGTGATTCTCCTGCCTCAGCCTCCTGAGTAGCTGGGATTACAGGTGCCTGCCACCATGCTCGGCTAATTTTTTTGTATTTTTAGTAGAGACGAGGTTTCACCATGTTGGCCAGGCTGGTTTTGAACTCCTGACCCCAAGTGATCACCCACCTCTGCCTCCCAAAGTGCTAAGATTACGGGCGTGAGCAACCGCACATGGCCAGCAACTGTATTTTTAAGTATATTATCCAGTGGCTTTTAGTATATACATAATATTATTCTACAAACATCACCTAATTGCAGACTATTTTAATCACCTTATATCCGTTAAGCAGTCATTCGCTATTCCTTTCTCCCCCTAGACCCTAGCAACCACTCATCTGCTTTCTGTCTTTGTGGATTAGCCTATTCTAGACATTTCATATAAAGGGAATCATGTAATATGTTGCCTTTTGTGATTGGCTTCTTTAATGTTTTCAAGATTCATCCATGTTGTATCATGAATCATCACTTTACTCCTTTTCATTGCTGAATAATGGTTCCATTATATGGACATTTCCATTTTTTACGGAAATGTCTTATGTGAACATATGAACATTTGTGTACAAGTTTTTCATTGAACATCTGTTTTTAATTCTCTTAAGTATATATATTTCAAAGGAGAATTCCTGGGTCTTGTGGTAATGCTATGTTTAACTTTTTGAGGAACCATCAAATACACAAATTATTTTTAGACCGCAGGTTCCACTTCTGTGAAATATGGAGATTTACTCATTTAAAAAATATTAATTGAACACTTTCTACAGGCGTACTGGACACCTGGGGATCCTTTCATGGGGTTGGGAGGAGAAAGACAGATATTAAACAAATGATTATACAGATAACTGTCTAATTAAAATTATGATAATTTCTATAAAGTAGATGTTTAAGGTGCCATGAGAACTGAGAGGGTATCTATATCCAAACGAGTGTGGAAACTCAGGAAAGGCTTCCTTGAGTAATACTTTATTGTAACTGAGTGAAGTAATACAGTAATAGCGTCTAATATTTATTGAGTGCTTACTATCTGCCAGGCACTATTCTAGTCTCACAACCATGTTTCTGATATCTATTTTACAGATTAGTAACTGAGAAATGGAGAGTTCAAAGAATTTACCTTCAATTCATAGCTAGTGAGTTGTGAGGCTGGCATTCAAACCTAGGCTGTCCCACCTTAGAGCTCCATTACAATATTCTTGTCTTTCCAAGGGAGGCAGCCTTATGCACAGCCTCTGAGGAAGGGTGGTACTTACTGTTTTGAGGAAATACAAGAATACGAATGTGATAGGAGTGCACTGAAAGTGCCACAGGACAGGGTGGGATCTTGTGGAAGGAGAGAGGCCTATGAAGCTCAAGAGTCAAATGAGGCCAGATTGGTTCATTTAAAAGATTTTAATGGGGTTGAACTACATGCATGTTCTTCATGTCTTTCTCAGTGGGAATACACTCAGAGGAGTATTTACCATAGAACTAATGAAACTTAAACTTCAGGATTCCTCACTACGTGGGATCCTGTGAATTCTGGAAATTCTTGTGAGTTATAGTGTTCAGAAGAGGCCAGGATGCAGTCAGTGAGCATTTCTGGTTAATTTCTAAGAGCTCTCAGAAGAAGAAGGCTCTTAAAATTGTATCAGCTTTAGGTATCACAAAACCTGGATCCATTTCTTAACATTTCTGGCAACAATATCTGTCTCATTTCGCATACTGATTTGGGTGGGGTGTCTGAAGGAAGGTGGCTGAGAATTGCTGTCTTAAGGCATGATATGATATCAGAGTCAAAAGACCCTGAAATGCGCTTATACTTGGCACTAGTTGGTAAGTCATTAGGCTGTAATAAAAACTGGGTAAAAGTAGACTATTTAAAAAATAAGAACCATGGAAAAAAAGTCTATGAAAATAAAACTATACAAACTTTGAAATTATTGTTCTGATCAGTACAGTTATATTTGTTGATAGCCTATGTGCATTTCAGTATTTACAGCTTAGGGCATAAACATGTAGCCGTAGCATAAACAGCTTTTGAAACTATGTTTTATAAATGTGGAAAATACTCTTGACTGGAAACTTTCTAATCTATTTTTATTCTTGGTTTCAGGCGCCTGATCACAGATTCAAAAGTTAAATTAAAGTATCAGCATTTAATAACAAATAGCTTTGTAGAGGTAAGTGATTTGTTTTCCTTCTTGTAAGAAGGAATTCTGTTTATTAATAGAAATACTATTTTAAAAATTATAATTTATTGACAGTAAAAAACATCTTTAACATATTTATGAAGCATGCCAAAATACCTTTATTCTCAAAAGAGTATGACAGGCCAGGTGTGGTGGCTCATGCCTGTAATCCCAGCACTAAGGGAGGCCGAGGCGGGTGGATCACCTGAGATCAGGAGTTCAAGACCAACATGGCGAAACCCTGTCTCTTCTAAAAATACAAAAATTAGCTGGGCACAGTGGCACAAGCCTGTAATCCGAGCTACTCGGGAGGCTGAGGCAGGAGAATCGCTTGAACCCTGGAGGCAGAGGTTGCAGTGAGCCGAGATGGCGCCACTGCACTCCAGCCTGGGTGACAGAGCGAGACTCCCTCTTAATAAAAAATAAAATAAAATAAAATAAAAGAGTATGAGAAACCAGTAAGTACATCTCTCCATAGATCTTGACCTTGGATAATAAAATTATTTTTACTGTATTCTTCCTTTACTTTTCTTTATCCCTAGCTGAGAATTGTAGTAGATTACTAATCGTGTCATGTTTAATCATGTTTGAGATTCTAACCCTGCTATTTCTCTGCTCGTTTTAGGTTTCATTACCAGTAAATCTTGTTAATAAAGAATGCTATCCTTTATTGGACCATGCCTTTGCCCATTTGTTCTATGACTCCTTTTGTGCTACAGTGGCAGAGTTGAGTAGTTGCTACAGAGACTGTTCTGGCCTGCAAAACCAAAATTCTTTACCCTCTTGGCTTGTTACAGAGGAGTTTTTCAGCCCCTGTATGACAACATCAGTAACTTGGTCTTTTAATTCTAGAAAGTAATTATTTCTGTTAGAGATTAAACCTGGAAACAGCCTATTTTAGAAATAGTGTATTATTTGAAATGGTCAATGGACTTCTGAATTCTGGTGCAGAGTGTTTTTTTTTCATAATACTATAAAAGTTATATTTCCTTTTGAGGAACTAAAATGCAATCTTTGCCTGTGGTTTAGGAACTGGGTTTTTTGTTTGTTTTTTTTTTTCCTTCTTACAAGAGCTTTTTATGGGAGAAGTTGTATGTATATCCTTTAGCCTATCTTGAACTATTCTGTAGCTTCTAAACACCTTCCTTGATAAAGAGTATATCTGATTTTCTTGTGTCTTTTGAAAATTGTTCTGAAATAGAACTGTAAATAAATTAGTGGTTTTTAATGGTCACATACATGATATTTAATTAAAGTTATTCAGTGGGATTTTGAAGATAGAACAAGAGGTGATTCATGTATTTTATAAAACCAGGTCTTCAGGGATCAGTCATCTTTAAAAAAAAAAAAAAAAGGCACATCTGAAGTGTTGCTATAGAAGACCACAGCAAGTTTTCATAAGCTTGTGTAATTATCCCCCATTTGCCCCTTGTACCAGAGAAGCAATATAAATAGCTTGATGTACTAGGAAATCTTGCATCATGACCTAATTTAATTTGCTGTCTTTTTTTGAGGCAGGGCCTCATTCTAACACCCAGGCTGGAGTGCAGCAGATGATCACAGCTCTCTGCAGCCTCTACTTCCTGGGCTCAAGTGATCCTCTTGCCTCAGCCTCCTGTGTAGTCGGGACTACAGGCACATACCACCATGCCTGGCTAAATTCTTTTTTCTTTTTTTTAAGGTAGAGACAAGGTCTTGCTATGTTGCCCGGGCTGGTCTGGAGTGCTTGACCTCAAACAGTCCTCCCGCCTTGGCCTCCCTAAGTTCTGGGATTATAGGTGTGAGCCACTGTGCCCAGCCAGCTGTCATTTTTTATTTTCTAACTTGTATTTCAGTGCAATCGACTGTTAAAGTGGTGTCCTGCCCCAGATTGCCACCATGTTGTTAAAGTCCAATATCCTGATGCTAAACCTGTTCGCTGCAAATGTGGGCGCCAATTTTGGTAAGCAAGTGATTTCCTAAATTGAAATAGTGCACAAAGCGTTTCCATTTCTCCTGTTTATTCTTGGTAGTAAAATAGCAGAAAAAAAGTGTTTACCTTAGGCAGGGAGATGTTTGATACTGGTTTAAAATAGTATATATCTCTTTCAGAATTGAATGAAAAGGTCACATCTTAAAAAAATTTTTCCTCTTTCCTTGATGTTCTAACTTTTTTGAATTTTTTTTTATGGAGAAAATATACAACTCTAATCATATCTTCCTGTATGCTCCACTGTAACTTAATGGGAGCAAACTTGTAGATCTGGGACTATACGTTTTTCTTTACTCTGCCAAATTTTAACCTTACTTATGCAAAGGAAATGTGCAGGTAAATTCTGCTGATGGTCTCCTTTTTAACTAAGAGTTTTCCTGTGGCTCCTCTCGCCCAGCTTTCTTGGTAACTTGGGCTTTTGGAGTTCTATAGTATACTCTTCAGCCTCTGAATTCTAGATTTGAACTGCCAGGAAGTTTCCAGTGCCACATATTAGGGGATGTCTTAATCAGTTCAGGCTCCTTTATAGGTGTTCTAGTTTTTTCCAAAGTGGATAGGCTGAAAATTTTTCAAATTTTTGACTTCTTATTTCCTTTTGATGAACAGTTTATCTCTAGGTCATTCATCTCTTCTTGCATTTTCTATAAACATTCAAGAGAAGCTAAGCTGCGTCTTCAACACTTTGCTTAGTAATTTCCTCAACCAGATATTCAGTTTCATTTCTCTACCTTCCACAAAACAATTCAGCCAACTTCTTTGCCACTTTATAGCAAGGATGGCCTTTCCTCTAGTTTCTAACAGCATGTTCCTCATTTTCATCTGAGACCTCATCATAATGGCCTTTACTGTCCATATTTCTAACAACATTCTGTTCATGGCCATTTATTTAGGTTTTCTCTATGATTGAGGCATTCCCTGCACTTCTGTCTTTCTGAATCCTCACCAGAATTACCCTTAACAATTCAGTTCATTCACAGTGATCTAGGCTTTTTCTAGCTTGCACTTCCAAGCTCTTCCAGCCTCTACTTACTACCTAGTTTCAAATCGGCTTTCACATTTTTGGTTTTGTTAGAACAGCACCCTCACTTCTTGGTACCATTTTCTGTCTTAATGTTCAGGCTTTTATAACAAAAGACCATAAACTGGGCGGCTTCTAAACAACATAAATTTATTTCTTACAGTTCTTAAGGGTGAGAAGTCCAAGATCAAGGTGCCAAAAGATTTGTTGTCTGGCGAGGGCCTGCTTTTCTGGTTCATAGATGGTGCCTACTTGCTGGGTCCTCATATGGTGGAAAGGACAAGGCAGCTCTCTGGGCCCCTTTTTTTTTTAAAAAGGATGCCAATTCCATTCACCTCCTAAAGGCTCCACATCCTAATACTGTCACATTGGTTATTAAGTTTTAACATACACATTTTAGGGGGACACAAACATTTATATCCTGCTAGAAGTTAAGATGATTTTCTGTTCCTTTGAGGGTCTTGAGGAGTAAGAAGCCAATCAAGTCAAGGGGCTCTAGACCCAGCAAATAGATTTTTTGTTTTGTTTTGTTTTGAGAGAGGGTCTCACTCCATCACCCAGGCTGGAGTGCAGTGGCACGATCTCGCACTGTAACCTTTGCTTCTCAGGTTCAAGTGATTCTTGTGCCTCTTGAGTAGCTGGGATTACAGGCGTGTGCCACCACGCCTGGCTAATTTTTATTTATTTATTTATTTGTTTATTTATTTATGTATTTATTTTTAATAGAGACAGCATTTCACCTTGTTGGCCAGGCTGGTCTTGAACTCCTGGCCTCAAGTAATCCACCTGCCTCGGCCCTCCCTAAGTGCTGGGATTACAGGTGAGAAGCACCATGGCCAGCCAGATTTTCTTTTTTGCTGCGGGGTGGTTTGGAGGGGGAAATATTTTATTGGTATTCCATACCTTTCTTTTTTTCCTCCAAACATCTATAGAATTACACTTAACACATCATTAATAATAAATATTTCCAAAAAGAGCAGGTAAGCTCACAGAGATTAAGTATGTGTAAAATACATACTGTTTCGATAAAGATTAATTATGTATTGTTATTTTAGAGAAAAGGTGGATAATACCTACTTTCCAATGTATTTTTAGCGTGACACATTTCAAACATAAAAGTATAGAGAATACAGCAGTGAATACCTATATAGCTACAATCCAGTTAAATCAAAATTAGTATTTTGTTTTTCTTCATTAAGAGATAAAACATGACACATATATTTGAAGCTCCTTGGTTCCCTGCTCCTTCCCATTCCCCATCTTTCTTTTCAGAAATAACCATTTATCTTAACCTGATTTAAATCAATAGTAGTTTGTTTCTGTCTTTAGCAAAGGACTTTTTGCCATTCGTAAATTACTTAATTAGCTAATTAATCTGTCATTTTATTATTTTTTTCTTAAGCATTTGTGTTTGTTAATTATACTTCTTTTACAAGTGTATATGTCATGAACTTAGAAAACAAAAGTGAATTACTGATTAACACATGTTTAGTGAGTATTTAGTCTTTTTGTTTTATACCTTGCCCAGTACCATTTCCCTCTACAGGGCGGAGGTTCATTTGTTTAAATAATGCAAAGATGTGACCTATTTGCTTCCCATATATTGTTTACTGTGTATTAGTACTAAATTATATAAGTAACCTACAAAGTCAGCCTTTTATTCTTCATTTAGGGTGTTAAGTAAAAGATTAAAAATGCACTGATGAAGCATGGGTTGAAACTTCTCAATATAGTCTGAGGCACCTTAGCAACAATTATTATGAAATTGTCATCAAAGCGTGTCTTCATGCTTATAGTCATTCTTCACACATATTGAGTACCCACTATGTGCTAGTTCTACTACTAAATTCTAGGTAATTAACTGTAAAGCAGACATGGGTTCTCTCCTTGTATTTGCCAGTCACTAGAAACTAGTGACAATACTGTGGAACTATAAGGCATGAAATGATTGGCTTATTTACTTGCTTACAGTAGGTAGGCCTTAATTCTATTAACTCTTTGTGTCACTTAACAGCTTTAACTGTGGAGAAAATTGGCATGATCCTGTTAAATGTAAGGTGAGTTTGTCTGACATTTCAATTTTTAAATAATGGCACACTTCTAAGACTTAGTGACTAAAAATCATAGCTGATGATTTTGTTATCTATCTATTGATAGATTTTTTTTTATCCTTTTAATTTCAGATGATCATTACATGTATTCAGAGGTAATTCCTTAGGATAAGCCAAGTCAGCTCCTGATTGTTATTAGGATAACCATGGCTAAGGCACCTCTTTGTCAGGCTTTGTAATTAGGGGAATACACACCTTGCAGTTGGGCTTCTCTTCAAGCTCTAGGTTCCCCACTCAGCTTCTGCCAAAGAAAATCCTGCTTTGGTTGATTTTATATATACTGGACATTGTAGCTATGGGATTTCCCTGGCTTAAGAGGATGTGAGCCTAGTGATAATCTTATTCATTGGCTTTTACATTTAAGCTTGACTATAGTTAAGTGCTAAAGTAATTTGCTATTTTTAAAAGTCTTTTGTTGTATCCTAACCGTTGTTATTTTCAAACAGTGGTTAAAGAAATGGATTAAAAAGTGTGATGATGACAGTGAAACCTCCAATTGGATTGCAGCCAACACAAAGGTTGGTGTTTTCCTTCAGTAACTCTTGGTAATAAAAATGATAAGGATTGGTACTTTGGCATTAGCAAAAGCAATGAGGTGACCTACTTACAGGCTTTGTTTCATCTTTTTCTCCATTGAGTCTTTTTTTTTTTTTCCCAGAATGTTTGCCTGTTATTTCCTTTTTCTCTTTGAGTTTATTTTAGAGTATTGAGTACTGTAGTACAGCATCCACAGTTCTCTGCCTTAGGTTTCTTCTACTGGAAAAAAAATTAGTGTTCTGTAGAGGAAAAAGCTGATAATTTTTCAAGTGTGGGATTTGTGCTTGGCTGCCATTTAGTATACAAATGCATTGGAGTTTACTCCGCCTAGCTTGGTTCTGTTAGGCTAATTTACATTTTTGTTTCTAATTTTTTGTTTTGAAGTACATTGCTCTTGATACTAGTTTCAAAATTCAATTTCAAAATTCACTTTCTTAACCCCAGACAAATGTCTTAGAAGTGTTTAAATCTTGAGTACCCTTCTCCTCGATCACTAATCTAATGAGCAAGCATTTGAATGCCAACCGTGTACCCAGCTAGTCTTTTAATACAAAGTCGTATTATCCATCCTTTATGTAATTCAGTCCTATCCTATCCCCATAGTGAGTGACTTGGGTAATGAATGGTAGGTTGGTTCATGGGCTATTCATTTTTAGTATTATTTTGTACATGTAAAGATGATGCTTTAAAGAATGCTGAGTTGTTTGACCCATAGTATATAAAGCTATCTTTGAACTGTTGCCTCAGTCATCACAGGACAATGAGATTAAGAAGTGTGTAAACAATGAAGGCCGACGCAGGTTGTCTGTGTGTGTTTAAATATACATCTTACATACTTATATATAAAACATGAATTTATATTTCTGTCTCCCAGAAAGTAGTGAAACAGTGAATCTTGCCACATAAAACAAATGCCCAAGTCTTTAAGGAATATATGGTAGAAATTAATATTTTTTGTTCCCTCCAAAACCATCACGATAAGCATAACTCACGTCAATCAAAGAAAACCTTACTATAAATATACTGTAATGTCAGAAAGTGGTTACTTGTTTTGTTATTAAAAAAAAATTCTTAGCCAAGCATTCTTTTTTTGAAAATTGAAGATTTTCCCACAAGAAATGTTCCTTAAGTCCCAGAATTCTTTAATATGCTCTGAAAAACTAATATTTAGAATAAGGCAATTATATTTTCACTAAATTGTTTAATTAAATGGTAGCCTTTTTTCTACATCTAGAGAAATTCCTACTTGTAAGCCCCAAAGATGTTTAAAATAGGGAGTACAGGCTTGAATATGTTTGGCTTAGTTTAGATTGTAGATTACCAAGGAAGAATGGCAATTTGTAAAACAAATTTAGCTGCTCAGTATTTTTGAGAGAAAACTGAAGAGTTTTTCTCTTGAGGTTTTAGAAGCTTTTAAGATTATTAGCTCCCTAAACAGATATGCATATTGTCAGTGATATCCTAACATTTTGGAGGTTTAATACTATTAGGTTAATTATAACCAAGAAATGTAGAATGTAGAATGACGCATATTTTATGCCTGAAATTTGCTTGTTTGGAAAAAATGTAAAATTTCTTATGTGGGTGATTTCAAAAATTTGATTTGAAATATATAATTAAAAAGTTGCTATATTGGCCTATTTTAAATTGCTATCATTGATGGGCAGCATAGTCAATTTCACAAAGAAGGCCAAATTGTGCAAATACTAATATAGTGGGTGATCCCTCCTTGGGAGAGTTACAAACCTCAATCACAAATGCAAAAACAAAAAATCCATAGGCCTACAGAGCAGTAATTTTGGCTTACTAGCAACCAAGAATATGATATGAGGCCAGGTGCAGTGGCTCACACCTGTAATCCTAACACTTTGGGAGGCCGAGGTAGGCAGATTGCTTGAGCTTGAGAGATTGAGACCAACCTGGGCAACATGGTGAAACCCCACCTCAACAAAAAATTCAAAAATTAGCCGAGCATGGTGGCATGCACCTGTAGTCCCACTACTTGGGAGACTGAGGCAGGAGGATGACTTGAACCCTTGAGGTCAAAGCTGCAGTGAGCCATGATTGCACTGCTGCACTCCAGCCTGGTCGACGGTGAGACCCTGTCTCAAAAAGAAAAAGAAAATGATTTGGACTTGGAAAAAAACAATCTAACACGATCTCTGTAGCATACTTGTTAAGGAGTACAATGAAAAGAATTTAAAACATGGTTATTTGGTAGGAGAAAGTTGGAAAATCCAGTAGCCACAAAATGAATTTACCAATCAAGGTCTGATTTCCTAGTTACCTGACACTGAAGTCAGATTGCTTGGATTTGGATCCTGACTTGACTTATGTGACCTTGGACTAGCTTCTTTATAATTTTTCTCTCCCTTAGTTTATTCATCTGACAAATGGAAATAGGAATAGCACCACTATAAGAATTATGAGTTGATGCATATAAAACACTGAGAACGGTACATGGGATATGGGAAGTACTCAATTATTTCTAGATGACACTAGAGAGTATAGTATATTTATATGAATAGAATGCTTTTATCTCCTATAGTACTGTTATTACTATATATATGACTAAAAGTACTTAAAATGATTTGTCTCTCAGCCCTACTTAAAAAGAAATCCTAGGAAGGCTGAAGTGGAAAGATCACTTGACTCCAGAAGTTTAAGGCTTTAGTGACCTATGATTGGGCCTCTGAATAGCCACTGCACTACAGCCTAGGCAATGTAGTGAGACTCTGTTTCTAAGTTTAAAAAAACAAGTCCTTAAATTGTTGTATGTCTTAAAAGCCAGTGGTAATAATGGTAACAGCTCATTTTAAATAGTGCTTAAGTGTTCAACACTGTTCTAAGTGCTTTATATGTATTAACCACAATAAATAAAATGTTTAAAAACAAACCAAATCTAGAACTGGCTTTTCCTTAATGTTAGTAATGCAACCTAGTGTAGCATTGACACCAACTTTATAGTTTCTCTTCATAGGAATGTCCCAAATGCCATGTCACAATTGAGAAGGATGGTGGTTGTAATCACATGGTCTGTCGTAACCAGAATTGTAAAGCAGAGTTTTGCTGGGTGTGTCTTGGCCCATGGGAACCACATGGATCTGCCTGGTAGGTTGGGGAAATTAAGGGAAGAATGTGTTTACATAAGTATGTGCCATGTATTATGAATAACATTTCTACCTCATAGATATCACCATCTAACTTGCAAGCTAAATAAATACATAGTGTGTGATTAATGTTATAAGTCTATGCAAGACATAGAGGGATTAGTTAGATATATTTCATAAAGGAGGTAACAATTTAGATGAACTTTAAGGGGACCAAGAGTTCATTAGTTATAAAAGTAGTAGGAAAAACATTTAGGGCAAAAGTTGCAACATGAGCAAAGGTAGAATGTTGTGAAAATACATGACTTTTTCAGAGAATAACTGTATTATCAAATGTGCCTCTCTAGGCCAAAATTGAAAACTCAGATGCTGTTGGCAAAACCCAACCTGCAGGTGGTTTTACTCTGCATATCATTAGACATTGTGGAATGCTTTAAAGCCTTGCTAAAAGGCTTTGTCATATTTTTTCTTTAAATAAGCATATATATGTTGCTTTCCTTGTTTTATTGATGACTTACTTGAACTAATATAAGAATCTTGGGCCAGGCACGGTGGCTCACACCTGTAATCCCGGCAATTTGGGAGGCCGAGGTGGGTGGATCACCTGAGGTCGGGAGTTCAAGACCAGCCCTGACCAACATGGAGAAACCCCGTCTCTACTAAAAATACAAAATTAGCCAGGCGTGGTGGCGCATGCCTGTAATCCCAGCTACTCGGGAGGCTGAGGCAGGAGAATCACTTGAACTCGGGAGGTGGAGGTTGCACTGAACCAAGATCGCCCCATTGCACTCCAGCCTGGGCAACAAGAGTGAAACTGTGTCTCAAAAAAAAAAAAAAAAAAAAAAAAAAAAAGAATCTTACACAGCATATGAAGCAGTTTTCTCACTGGTTAAGGGCATAAGCCTCCACTGGGTGACAGGCAAAAGTTTAAGCTCTGAAACTCTGTAGTTATGTGACCTTAAGTATGTTTCCCATCCTCTGTAAATTTTATTCTTCATCTTCTCAATGAAGAAAATAATGCATATTTCATAAAATGTTTAAGGGATTAAATGTGTTAGTACATTTAAAGTCATTAGCCAAGTGCATGGTATATAGTAAGCACTCATGAAATAGCTGCTCCCATAATGTAGGCTCCCATAACTGATGTATAGTAACCACTCCAGGGGAAGTGCAAGTCTTACTCATCTATGCTCTGAGCTGACCTCTCTGGGTATGTTTTCCCCTTCCCACCATTCTGTATATCATGCAGTTTTAAATGACTCTGAAAAACTGTAATAGCAAAGCACATAGCACAGCATCTGTTACATGGTAGGCTGTCAACTGTTGGTTCTCTGTGGTTTATAAAAGAGCAGATAAGGTGAATAATCCTGGAAAATTAGAAATATTTGGCTTAAGTAACAGATGGCCTAAGAGATAAGATTATCTCTTTCTCAAAAAGTTGAGTTAGGAATTCAGACAGTCAATAAAGGTTCTAGAAGGACAGTGTTTTCTAATAATGATAGGTGAGCTGATTTGAAATGGACTGCCTCAGGAGGTGGGGAATTTCCTATCACTGGATAGAGAACTAATTTATTATAGAGAGAATTCAAACACTAGATAGGGTTAGAACAGTTCCTTTCAGCCTGCTAATTCTGTCATTATAGCAGTAGAACCCTGGGTGTTTTAACATCTCAATTTCTCTGTTATAAAAGATAACGTTGGTGTTAGATAATCTGTAAATCCAGGTTAAAATTCTGATTTTTTTTTTTTCCTTTTCATTGATTTTTTTTTTCTTTATGGAATCCTCTTTATTTACTTGAAGGTACAACTGTAACCGCTATAATGAGGATGATGCAAAGGCAGCAAGAGATGCACAGGAGGTAAGTATATGTATAACAGGACAATAGTTGACTAAGAATGCACGTTGTATATTCATATTCATTAGAGAATAATTTTTTTTTTTTTTTTTTGAGACAGTGTCTCGCTTTGTCGCCCAGGCTGGAGTATAGTGGCATGATCTCAGCTCACTGCAACCTCCACCTCCTGGGTTCAAGTGATTCTCCTGCCTCAGCCTCCTGAGTAGCTGGGATTACAGGTGCGCGCCACCACACCCTGCTAATTTTTGTATTTTTAGTAGTCAGTCTAGTCTCGAACTCCTGACCTCGTGATCCACTGGCCTCGGCCTCCCAAAGTGCTGGGATTACAGGCGTGAGCCACCACGCCCAGCCCAGGGAATAATTGAGTAGAACTTTTCAATTCTGAAGGATTTGTGAAAGACATTCCAGTAAATATTGGATATCTATTTACATTTAGAAAGGGAATCTTATCCAAAATATTTATCAAGAACATTCTTATAGTAAGTTTATTTTCTTTTCATTAATGTAGTTACATAGCACATTTTAGCTTTTGGTAGAGTCTTGCTTTCAAGATCCCTCCTACCCCAAGAAGAACAGTAGTGAACAGCATTTGTTAAATGGCCCTGGTGCTATTTATAGGCAATATCTTACTTACTTAAATTTTTTTTAAACCTTTTTGTTCATCAAGAAGCGCTGATGATTATAGGTGAGCTGATTTGGTATGGAGTGTCTCAGGAACTGAGAAATTCCCTATTGCTAGGTAGGGAAATGACCCACTGTTATAGAAGGGATCCAAACACTAGGTGTGGATTAGATTCTAAAGCACTTTTCATTCCTTTCAGTCTGGTGATTTTATTGTAATTGTGGAACCCTGGAATTTAATAGTTCCTACATTCACCCATTCCATATTGAAATTCCCCAGTTGTCCCAGAAATATTCTTTTCAAATGATTTTCCTAGCCAGGGTACAATCTAAAATATGGTTTGCATCTGTTTCTTATTTACTTGTTAACATATCTTCAAAATGTATTTCTAATAAAAATATCATATATAGAAATGAGTATATATGTAACCTAGTCTGTCATATTGCTAGAAGTGAAAGTTTTGTCTTTCCCTTTTTAAAAAGACTGGGAAATACGGCCGGGCTTGGTGGCTCACACCTGTAATCCCTGCACTTTGGGAGGCCGAGGCAGGCGGATCACCTGAGGTCGGGAGTTCCAGACCAGCCTGGCCACTATGGTGAAACACTGTCTCTACTAAAAATACAAAAATTAGCTGGGCATGGTGGCTTGCACTTGTAATCCCAGCTACTCGGGAGGCTGAGGCAAGAGAATCGCTTGAACCCAGGAGGTGGAGGTTGCAGTGAGCCAAGATTTCACCACTGTACTCCAGAGTGAGACTCTGTCGCTAAATAAATAAATAAATAAATAATAAAATGACTGGGAAATTATATTTTGTAACTATAAATGATGTTTCACAGACCTTCACAATGTTTGGGTCCATTTAAGGGGAAAAAATCCCTACAAATTCCAATATTGATTTAAATTATATTTATTATAATATTATTTAAATATGTATAAACAAAAACCAGCTATAAATTCTTGTGCTCTTGCACAATTCTACAGCCAAACCAAGAGAGCCACAAAATCAGTGAAACTCAAGTAAATGTTAATTTGGTAGATACTGTTGTTGGGGTTTTAAAAATGTATTATTACTGTACTGTTAAATATCATGAGATAACTTGTTCTCCCACCAATTTTCTTTTCTTTCTTAAATGATGTCCCTTAAGTCATATCCCACTAACTTTCTATATATTTCTATATTTCCAACATTAATTTTTATGATGCATTACTTGATTTGCCCAGAATGTATTATGGATATATGTTCTTATCACCTTTTTTTCTCCATTAACCTGATGTATTTATTTAGCCAGATATGCTGTTTATCAACAAAGAAAATATATGTGGTTTATCCTTGACCTCACCTGGTCTTTATTTGGATGCCGGTAGAATCCCTTTCTGAGATCTATAGGGAGGGTGGGTTATGTGCATAGCTTTTGAGCCAGAGTCTAATGTTTAGATTCTAGATACTAAAATAGATTATTTTTCTGTTTCACATCTGTTGGACTAAACTAGAATCTTCTATAACTGTGGGAGTACAAAGAAAGATTTCCTATCACTCCATTGGTTGTTTGGTTGATTGACTAATTGATTGGGAGCCACGCCTCCCTGAAAGGATCACACCATTGCATGCCTATCTGGCCTCCTCATCTTTCCCCACTCCCAAGCTCTTGGCCTAGCATTTACTGGGAGTTGTAGTCTGAAAAATTACTAGAAGGTTGACACATATTCAAAAGATCCTTGATGGTACCTTGACTGCCCTGCAAAAGATGTACCTGTGTTATAGAAAATTGTTGACTCATTATATTGTACCACAGTGCCGACAGTTGTGGATATTTGAATCTTCTTGTCCTCTAGACTAGGGTCAGCAAACTTTTTCTGTGAAGAATCAGATGGTGTATATTTTTAGCTTTGCGTACTACATAATCTCTGTTGTGACGGCTCAACTCTGCCTCTGCCCTTATAATGCAAAAGCAGCCATAGACTTAAATGAGTAGGTATAACTGTTCCAAGTAAATTTTATTTACTGGCTGGGCATGATGGCTCAAACCTGTAATGTTAGTGCTTTGGGAGGCCAAGGCCAAGGATCACTTGAGGCCAGGAGTTCAAGACCAGCCTGAGCAACATAGTAAGACCCCCCCGCCGCCCCCGCCCATCTCTACAAAAAAAAAACAAAGAAGGTTTTTAAATTAGCCATGCATGTTGGTGTGTGCCTATAGTCTCAGCTATTTGGGAGCTGAGGTGGGAGGATTGCTTGAGCTCAGGAGTTCCAGGCTGCAGTGAGCCATGATGACGCCACCCCTCTTTAGCCTGGATGGCAGAGACCCTATCTCAGAACAAAAAAACAACAAAGAAAGCAAAACAGTTTTATTTACAAAGACAGGTGGCAGCTGGATTTGTCATGCAGGCCAGAGTTTGTATACCCCTGTTCTAAGCAGTCAAGTTTGTTGTCTTTTCCACGCTCCCCAAACTGCTTTCAGGTCGCTGATTACATTTCTCATTCCAGATTCTGGCATTTGATTGGAGAATTTGTCTTGATCAGGCTCAGTGGCTCACGCCTGCAATCCTAGCACTTTGGGATGCTGAGGCGAGAGGATTGAGTGCGGGAGTTTGAGATCAGACTGGGCAACAACTGAGACCCTGTCTCTACAAAAAATTTATTAAAAATTAGCCAGGTATGGTAGTGCACGCTGGCTGAGGTGGGAGGATCACTTGAGCCTGGGAAGACTTCAGTGAGCCATGGTTGTGCCACTGCACTCTAGCTCAAGCAACAGAGCAAGACCCTGTCTCCAAAAAAAAAAAAAAAAAAAAAAAAAGTCTTATTAGCAGTGATGGTATGGGTGTTCTTTTTTCATGTTGAATTTTAGTGAGAAGCAGTTTCAGAATTCTTAGATTAAGTCAAGTCCCATAACATCATACATGTCAATATGGTAAGGGAGGGTTTTCATTTCATTTGGGGAACTTGACAGGCTTGGAAATATTAGTACTTTAGGGGAAGATAAAATGCCAAGCAGATTTTCCACATATTTTCAGATTGGCATAATTTTCCTGTTCATAAGCATTGGTTTGATACTTACCTGACTCTTGAAATAACATGGCTGTGGTTTTGTTGTTTTTTCATTGAGATGAGGGTCTCGCAGTGGCATGATCATAGCTCACTGTAGCCTTGAACTCCTGGGCCCAAGTGGTCCTCCTGCCTCAACCTCTGCATTAGCTGGAACTAGAGGCAGCTTGAGGTGTGCACCACCGCGCCCAACTTGTGTTGGTTTTTTGAAGTGTTTCGTTGTATAATGCTGGATCATGTGGTTAGCTAATTATGTGGCTCAGAATTAGTATTTCTAAGCAAGGGACCAACCATAGGGCCAAGTAGTATCTGTTATGTAGGCTTTAAAACATGGGGAGAGAAAGAGGAGGTAAGGATAAAGGAAAAGAACATACGTGTGTTAGGAACCCCTTTGATAGGGGCCGGGCGCGGTGGCTCATGCCTGTAATCCCAGCACTTTGGGAGGCCGAGGCGGGCGGATCACAAGGTCAGGAGATGGAGACCATCCTGGCTAACACAGTGAAACCCCATCTCTACTAAAAATACAAAAAAATTAGCTGGGCGTGGTGGCGGGCACCTGTAGTCCCACCTACTCCAGAGGCTGAGGCAGGAGAATGGCATGAACCCGGGAGGTGGAGCTTGTGGTGAGCCGAGATTGTGCCACTGCACTCCAGCCTGGGTGACAGAGCAAGACTCTGTCTCAAAAAAAAAAAAAAAAAAAAAAAAACCCTTTGATAGTGGTTGCATTTAGTAAGCATTTATTAATGGTTTTCTGCAAATCAGGTATTGGAAATACTTTATCTTTTTAAAAGTCCATTCCCTCTAGAGATTTATGGTATAATGGTAGAGGCCTCATATGAATAATTATATATTATAATGTAATAATACAAAACAAATCTAAACTAGATACATTGTTGCTTTGATAACAATATACTTTACATATCTCTAAAGACAGACTCTCTTTACATAACTGTAATACCATTACAGTTGACTCTTGAACAATTCAGGGGTTAGGGACACTAACCCGCCCTACCTCCGCAATGGAAAATCCACATACCACTTTTGATTTTCCCAAAACTTACCTGTTTTAATAGCCTACTGATGACCAGAAGCCTTACCGATAACATAGTCAATTAACACATATTTTGTATGTTACATGTTTTATTATACTGTGTGCTTTTTTTTTTTTCTTTTTTTGAGACGGAGTTTGCTCTTGTTACTCAGGCTGGAGTGCCAGTGGCAGGTCTCAGCTCCCTGCAACCTCCACCTCCCGAATTCAAGCGATTCTCCTGCCTCAGCCTCCCAAGTAGTTGGGATTACAGACATGCGCCACCATGCCTGGCTAATTTTTTTGTATTTTTAGTAGAGACGGGATTTCATCATGTTGGTCAGGCTGGTCTTGAACTCCTGACCTCAGGTGATCCACCCACCTCAGCCTCCCATAATGCTGGGATTACAGGCGTGAGCCACTCACTGTGCCTGGCATATACTGTGTTCTTAACAATGAAGTATGCTAGGAAAAAAGTTATTTTAAAAAATTGTGAAGAAGAGAAAATGTGTTTACTTTTTATTAAGTAGAAGTGGATCAGCCGGGCCCAGTGGCTCACGCCTGTAATCTCAGCACTTTGGGAAGCTGAGGTGGGCAGATTGCCTGAGGTTGGGAGTTTGAGACCAGCCTGGCCAACATGGTGAAACCCTATCTCTACTAAAAATACAAAAATTAGCTGGGCGTGGTAGCAGGCGCCTGTAATCCGAGCTACTTGGGAAGATAAGGCAGGAGAATCACTTGAACCCTGGAGGTGGAGGTCGTGGAGAGCCGAGATCGCACCATTGCACTCTAGCCTGTGCGACAGAGTGAGACTCCATCTCAAAACAAAAAACAAACAAACAAAAAAACGGATCATCATAAAGGTCTTCAAGTTGAGTAGGCTGAGGAGGAAAGAAAATACAGGAGGGCTTGGTTTTGCTATATCTCAGGTGGCAGAGGTAGAGGAAGTCGAATGGGATTCAGGAGATGCAGGCACACTTGGTGTAACTTTACAGGAAAACCTTACGAACCGTTTTGCATTTTCATTTCTCTAAAAATGTTTCTGTATAGTAACAATCCTCTTTCCATTTGCTTTAGTTTCAGTGCTGGTATAATAGAAGGGTCCATTCATAAAGGAAGTCCAAAGCAGTCTTAAGTAATCAGAACCCTTCTGCCAAATTGTCTAATGTCAATTTATTTTCTGGCACTGCTTCTTTAGTGTCTTCTTCCTCATCATCTGGCACTGGTTTGGAAGCAGCTCATCTCCATCAAGTGGTCTTTTAATTCCTCTGGTGTGGTGTCTGTTAGCTAACCCTTCACCTTCCACGTTTTCTTTGCCATATCCACAGTCTCTTTCGTGATTTCCTTGATGGGCTCTGTTGTAGATACTGCGAAGTCACGCGCAACATCTGGACACAGTTTTCTCTACCAGGAGTTTATTGTTTCAGTCTTGATGATGCCATGGTTTTTTCTATAACAACGATGACATCTTCAGTGGTGCTCTCCTTCCAGACTTCCATGATGTTCTGTGGGGGTTCTCTTCGATAGCATTGACAGTCCCTTCCAGAGTACCGTGTGCATCTTTACGTTTGTTTACATTTCTCTCAATGTGAATGGTACCATATACGGTCTGTAAGAGTTTGTGTGCATAAGTTTTGATAAATCTCAACTTTTTATTAATAGATTTATGTATATTTTATCGTAGTAAATCATAAGATAGGCTACATATGTCTTATGCATTCATGACAACTCTTTTTCTTAATTTTGGTTTGTCCGCAAGTGTTTTCAAATTGTTGGCAAACCTCCAAAAAATATTTCAATATATTTATTGAAAAAAATCCACATATAAAGTAGACTTACAGTTTAATCCTGTGTTGTTCAAGGGTCAACTGTATATGTTTTAAAGCAATACTCTGTTGGTATCAACTATCTATTGTTCAAATATCCCCAATTATCTTAAATTTTGCTTTTTTTTGTTTTTTGGTGTTTTGTTTTTTTTTTTCAGAGGTAGAGTCTCGTTCTCTCCCCAAGGCTGGAGTGCAGTGGTGCAACTCGGCAATTCTCCTGCCTCAGCCTCCCAAGTAGATGGGATTACAGGCACATGCCACCACGCCCAGCTAATTTTTTGTATTTTAGTAGATACAGGGTTTCACTGTGTTGCCCAGGCTGGCTCAAACTCCTGAGCTCAGGCAATCCACCCGCCTCAGCCTCCCAAAGTGCTAGGATTACAGGCATGAGCCACCACACCCAGCCTATCTTAAATTTTCTTTTATAGTTGGTTCAAATTGGGATCCACATAGGTCCACAAATTGGATTTAATTGATATCTCTTGAGTCTCCTCTACCTGTTGTTCCTTCTCTTCCCCCCTCCTTGCTTTTTTTTCTTTGTTGAAGAAACTAGATCGTGTTGTCCTGTAGAGTTTCCCACATTATGGATTTTGCTGGTTGCAACTGCATGGTGTCATTTAATAGGTTCTTCTATCCCTGCATTTTCTGCACTGGTGATTAATTCAAGAAACTTGATCAAATTCAGATTCAGTGGTTGGGGGGGGAGCCCAGAATACTTAATTGATTATACTTTCTATTGTATTATATCAGGAGTTACATGGTATGTAGTTGCCACTGTAGTTTTCTACTTAAAAATATCTCTGCTTTTTGCTTGTTTTACATCTTGTGGCATACTGTAGAACAGTGCCATCCAGTAGAACATTTTTGTAATGATGTAAATGTTCTTTATCACCAGTGTCTAATTTGGTAGTCACTAAGCACATGTGACTATTGAGCGATGAGGAACTGAATTTTTAGTTTCTTAAATTGAATTTTAAGTAGTCAGGTGTGGCTTGTGGCTACTGTATTGGAAAGTACAATTAATAGGACATTTTTCAAGAGTATTAAATAACAAAAGTAGCAGTAGATGTCTATTCCTGATTTTAGCCTAGATCACAGTACTGTTTCATCAGTAAATCAGCTTTTTAAATTATTAATATTTTTAATGGACAAATCATAATTATACACATTTATGGAGTACAGTGGAATGTTTTGAAATATGTAAACAATGCAATGATTAAATCAAACTAATTGTTGTATTGCCTTGCCTTAACATTTTTATGGTGAGACATTTGAAATGATACTTATTTTGAAATATATATTATTATTGACTATATTCACCCTGTTGTGCAATAAATCTCAAAACTTACTCATCCAGTCTATCTGAAACTTTGTACTCTTTGGTCACCAACTCCCCATTCCCTCCCTTCCTACCCCTCTATCCCCGCAAGCCTCTGGTAACCGTCATTATACTCTGTATGTCTGTGAGTTCAACTTTTTTAGTTTCTACATATAAGCGAGATCATGTAGTATTTCTTTTCTGTGCCTGGCTTATTTCACTTAGTGTAATGTCCTCCAGGTTCATCCATGTTGTCACAACAGAATTCCTTTTTTGAGGCTGAGTACTCGTGTGTGTGTGTACATACATGACGTTTTCTTTCTGTGTTCATCCATTGATGGACACTTTACATGGATTCCATGTCTTGGCTATTGTGAATAATGCTGTAGTGAATGTGAGAGTACAGAGATACCTTTGACATACTGATTTCAATTCCTTTTCATATATACACAGTAGTGGGATTGCTGGATTCTGTGGTGGTTTTGTTTTCAGTTTTTTAAGGAACCTCCCCATACCATTTTCCATAATGGCTATACTAATTTACATTCCCATCAACAGTGTATCAAGAGTCTCCTTCTTTCTTTATCTTTGCCAAGACTTATCTTTCATCTTTTTGATAAAAACCATTCTAACAGGTGTGAAGTGAGACTTCATTATGGTTTTAATTTGATAATCAGCTTTTATGTACAGTTTATGTGTTATAATTATATCACCCAATTTTTCTTAATGGGACAGCGATCTAGGGCAGCCCTGCAGAGGTACCTGTTCTACTGTAATCGCTATATGAACCACATGCAGAGCCTGCGCTTTGAGCACAAACTATATGCTCAGGTGAAACAGAAAATGGAGGAGATGCAGCAGCACAACATGTCCTGGATTGAGGTGCAGTTCCTGAAGAAGGCAGTTGATGTCCTCTGCCAGTGTCGTGCCACACTCATGTACACTTATGTCTTCGCTTTCTACCTCAAAAAGAATAACCAGTCCATTATCTTTGAGGTAGGAGTAGTTCTGGGTGAGGAAAAAGCCCACCTTGTATCATAGGTCTACCTGATCTTTCATATATAAGATACAGAGTTTTCAGGGTTCTTGTTTGTTCAGAACATGTAGGTAGACGAATGTATTTATTACAAAGATACAAGAAATTTCTATTTCTTGTCCTAAATTATATTCAGATCGATGTGGTTTAGCCAGCTAGTGATTAGGTATGCAGGTTCTGGAGTCAGCCCTAGATTTTAATCTTTACTTCATTATGTTTTAGCTCTGTTGATTTGGAGCAAATTCCTTAACCTCTTATTTGTCCATTTTAAAGTGAGGATAGTACCTTTCTAGGTTGTTATGAGGTTTAAGTGAGACAATTTGTGTTTTATGTGAGACAATTTGTGTTAATTGCTATACGGCACCTGGAACATCATAAGTTCTCAATAAAAGCCTTTATTCAGGCTAAACTAACCCTGCAATATTAGAAGTTAATGTGGTGGTTATCTTTAGTGGAGAAATAATGACTAAAAAGCCAGCTTTTAGCAGTAAAGGTTTTCTCAAGTAAAGATGTTCATTTAAAATTGATGCATAAAACATTGATATCTGTATATGACTAGACAATAAGACTGACTAGCAGATGGGACTTCAGTTGGGTAACAGGTACAAAACTAGCCATAGTGGTAAAGGATGATACAATTTGAATCTTCCATACAGTGTTTTCTTATAAGAAATAAGTATAGCCAGATGTAAGCAATAATAGGTTTCTATTTTTTCTCATTTACCTTTGAGTTTTCAGCAAAGAGCAGCTCTCAGAACGAGAAGATTCCAAAAGACATTTTAAATCCTTTCAAATGGTCTTCAGTATTCTTCCAAAAGTAATGGGTGAAATCTTTCGTTCTTTTAACATTTAAAAAATTGTTCTGGAAAAGAACAAACAAGTTATTAGAGATGAAAGCCCATAGAGCTTTACAGGTGCAGTTAAACCACCTATGAAAGTTACAGAATGAGTGTTGAGAGCAGTCTGTAGTCAACAAAACAGTGAAAATGGTTTATCTTTTAGCTTTATTTTGAAGCCAAAATTTACTTTCATTCTTCTTACAGAATAACCAAGCAGATCTAGAGAATGCCACAGAGGTGCTCTCGGGCTACCTTGAACGAGATATTTCCCAAGATTCTCTGCAGGATATAAAGCAGAAAGTACAAGACAAGTACAGGTAATTTTTTTTTAAGCTGTTGAATAAAACTTTCTGCCAGTGATGATCCTTACTGGTAAAGTTCAGTGATAGTGAAACTGGGTTTAGCATATCCAGCAACTGAGCTTTTGCCATGTTTCTCACAGATTGCTTCTGTCCGTTGGGCACTAAATTGCAGGTAATAGTATTGGTGAAGCATACATAGAGAAGGAATTCAGCCATTTATTCTATTGGCTAATTCCACTTCTGTTCAGTTATTTAGTTGCTACCTTGCAAGGAAGAAAGAATCCAAAAAGGCCAAGTGGCCTTTAGGATGAGAGTGAGAATTGAATGTTGGTCTTAGCCTGAGAATCCTATGTATGGGTCATGGCTATTCACAAATGAGCTATGGAAACTTACTTTTTAGAGTTTTTATTACATATATATATATATATTTTTTTAATCTAAGGAGATACTTGTCCTAGGAGTCGATTTTTCAAGATGTGCCGCCTCTTAAGCTAGAGATGCAAAATGTTTTATTTCTCAACATGAAGCTCTTTCTCCCAAAGTGACAAATGCTAGTGTCTTTTGAAAGTTGTAGGAAACTTGGGGAGTTTGGAAGACTTGGAGATTTAGTCCTAACCAATATCTTCCCTTCCCTTAGCCAATTTTAGCTACCATATTTTGTTTACAGTACTTTTACAGTTGACAGAGATTTTAAGGACGTGAATAAAGAACCCATGAAATTATTTCTGAACCTGTTTATCTGCAGAACTGTGGGATTGAATTATGATTTCTAAGGTCCATCAGAACTTGTAACACTTTATTGCTTTAAAATTAATTCCCATGGAATCATGGCTTTCAGAAAATACCATTTTAATATTAGAAGCAGTTTGATGTGTCTGTACATCTAGACCTGAACATGTGCCTATTAAAATAAAAAATAGGTGCTTGGTTCCGAGTCTGGATAAACTATAGGGATGCCTTAAAAATAAGTAAATGCCTCTTTTTTTATTATTAGAGGCTGACAACAAGTTTTTTTTTTTTTCTCTTTGATTACAGATACTGTGAGAGTCGACGAAGGGTTTTGTTACAGCATGTGCATGAAGGCTATGAAAAAGATCTGTGGGAGTACATTGAGGACTGAGAATGGCCCTGCATAAAATGAACTCTGAAAACTTTACCATCTAGAGTGCTCATGCAATTAAAACAAAACAAACACAAACAAGGAGGCACTAAGCCTATTCTGACACCACTGGTCTGTAGTACCAGAATTGTTTTGTTAATGGAAAGTTTAAGTAAATTATATTGTAATAAAAAGGTAGATAAACCATTGTACAACAGTATTCTAGGCCACCAACAAAAGTGTGACAGACACACTAAAAGCCCTCCAACTTTAACTTGTAACGTAGCTTCATTCTCAAAGCTGACTCCTTTTTTTTCTTTTTCCTTTTCCTGAGTGTAGTACAGTTAAAATTTCAAACAGCTCCTTGACACTGCTTTTCATGTTCAAACCAGCCATTTTGTTGTACTTTGGTAAAGGACCTCTTCCCCTTCCTCCCCTACACATACAGATACACCCACACACAGACTGACTCTCTTTCTCTCATACCCCAAGGTCATGAGTGAATGATGCTTAGTTCCTTGTAAAGAAAATCTTGGGATGGGGAAAGGGGTAGGCAGCAAGAGGATTCAACAAACGAAAAACATAAAAACTTTGTATATGACTTTTAAAACAAGAGGACAACACAGTATTTTTCAAAATTGTATATAGCGCATATGCATGGACAAAGCAAGCGTGGCACGTGTTTGCATAATGTTTAATTACAAAAAAATATTTATTCTTTAAAAATCTTCAAGATTATGTCTATTTGCTGTGCATTTTCTTTCAGTTTGCTTATCTTTCCCGGGTTGGGGTTGGGATAAAGGTGTGTCGGTTTAGCACCTCTGGAAGACCTATCTAGAGCTCTTTCACTTTCCTGAGGTTATTTTGCCCTTTCTGGTGTTGGTATGTCTGTTGCCGGCCATGGGCCTCATGCCTTGAATTCCTGCTCTTGATCAGGGACAAGGGAGGTCAAGCTCTGACTAATGCCATGACCTGATTAAGGGGTACAGCAGGGAGTTTTGTTGCTACAGCTCATGAATTAACCTGTCCCAACCTAATCCCCCTCCATGGCATCATGCCTCTACCCAAGCCTTTGTGTGCCCATGTTATGCACACAGCTGTAGGCATTCTTAAGTCCCCTGTCGCATCCAGTGGAAGCATTTTAAAATTTCTTTTACTTTTTGGTTTTCCCTTAATTGCTGCTTTTCAGATTTTAGTTATGGCTCGTCTGCTCACCCCTTCTCTACATTAGGGTGTCAAAGAGAATGTTTTGCTTTAAATATAAATAGCCATTCATTTAGTCTCAGATTGTGAATTTAAAATGGTGGATACCGAAATTGCTTGTGTGTGTTGCTGTGGGTTTGGTTTGAAGGCAAACACCCCTAGAACATGATATTCCCATCTAGTGCATTTAAATAGAAATCACTGAGTTTGCTGCTTTTTTATTGTCAGCAGATAGGAGAATTAATAATGCATTTTAGCTGTGATGTCCATTTTTATGAAATTCCTACTAAGAGCTATGTTAAAAGTAAAGGATGGTGGTGGTTGTATTAACTATATACCTGTTTAGGCCATTCTGGCTGTGGTATTTTTCAATAGGTCAGCATCTGTAAATCTGTCAGTTTTATACAGGAGTGCAGAGTGAACTAGGCAACTAGATTAAGAGGTCTAAATATGAAATACCAGTTGAGGCTGAGGACCTCTTCGTCTTCCTTTAAATGTCTTTTGCCTAGGGAGTGTTTACCATTTGTGAGGCAGCTTTGTCTGCTCTTACACTGTACATCCTATTACTCCATTGGGAAGTAGGTTCACTTTCCTCTGGCCTTTTGCCTAAGTTAGGCTTTGCTGAATCAACCCTACTTTTCCTTTTAGAAAAGGTTGTTACAGGAGATTTACTGGCAACTGTTCTTTTCCCATCAAAAATCAGTGAATGTTTGCTGAGTATAAATGCTGCTTCCTTAAACCACTTGTCGCTTTAGGATCAACTTTACCTGTACCTTTTCTCCTTTCCTCCCTTGCCACCTCAGGTGCAAATCTGAACTCAGTGTCTGCTTCTTCCATTTTCTCGTCTCTCTCCCCTCTTCCCCCATTATCCATATGACATTATTTTACTTCAAATGACAGCATCAATCTTAAAAAGATATACATTAAAACTAAGGAGTTTTTTTAAAGAAAGCCTGAATAAGTTCCTTTCCCTGGTAACTTTGAAAAGCAGTCAGAGTTGCTATATAGATATATGTGGCTCCTTTAAAATGCTTTGTGTATGTGTGGTGTTTAAAAAAAAAAAATCTTACCAGTTAACTTTGCAGTGTCTAGGTTTGAGTGTCATAAATCCACGTGTTCCTGTTGCAACAAATACCCAAAAATTGTGTGTGCACTTCCTAATACCAGTCTTCACCCATGGAGGAACAGTGCTTTTTAGAGATGCTTTCTATTTCAATGTTGGCATACTGCCTGAGGGTATTGCAGTTGTGGGTGCATTCCCTAATTTGTATGATCAAGATGAACTGGCCCTTTTCTACTTCCAAGCTTTTAACAGATACCACCATATTTGACAGAATTCCCAGAGTGAATTGCTTGTGTTATTAGTAGATTCAGTGCCCCCAGCTGGGATAGGCAAGCCATGACAGCTTCCCTGTTTCACCTACAGAAGTCTTATCTGAGGGATCTATTCACAGTAAGCACCAAGGTCTCCATGTCTTGAGGTCAGTTTCATTGTCTTTTGAAAAGTGCATGCTTCATTTGAACAATTCATTCAGCAGCAGATGGACTTTCAGTGATTTAAAATAAAATTTTGATCCAAAGCTCAGGACACAAACCACAGTGGTAAAATTGAGTAGCATATAATATCAGACTAAATTATCTGTAATTTTCCACAACCCAGATTGTATGTGTTTTATGTGTGTTTAAATAAATATGTTAGATACACGTGTATACATACACCCATATACAACAGATCCAAGACTGGCTGACTTCATTTGAAATGGTTGAATCTGCTGTGTAATAAAGTGGTTCAACCATGATTAGGAACTGAAATTTAGTAGAAGAGGGAAAAGGAGTTAATGTAACAAATTATTTTAGCTACAAACCCCGGTAATAGAGCACTTGGGGGATGGGATGGGGTGGGTTGGTGAGACAATCAGAATGGTAAATTGATTAAATGCTCCTAACCCTGTAATTTTGTGCATAGAGCACCCTATGCTGTGGAAATAACTGTTCTTAGATTTCATTGTAACTGGACTGTTCAGGTTGCCCAGAGGGAAAGAACATTCCTAATTCTAATAAAATAAACTTTTATTTTGTTATTCCATTAGTTACTTATGTTTATTTTTATAGTTAAAAAATGACTAAAGGTGGCTAATAGCCACCCGTATTATGTGCCTTATTCACTGTTCCCACTTAATATAAAATGTCAAAAATTGGTTGTTTCTTTGCAGGGAACTGTGAATGAGCCCATTCCCCCAACATTTAACTTGGTTAATGAAGCTTTCAGAGCATTTTCTGAAAGATTTCCAATTTCTGCATCTCAGATATTGAATTTAAATTGTTTGTGTTGTAACAGTGATACAAAAATGTTCAATAGCTCTTTGAATGCCACTTTTTTTAAAGAAAATACTTTAAAAGTCATTCTTAGCTAACCTCAAAACTCCTTTACATTACTTTCATTTTAGCTCACTCTTAAAGCTGATACTGTTATATAGGGATGAAGGGAGAGTTTTCTTAAAGAAGGTCCCAAAGTTGAAGATCGTTTGTCATTGATACTCTGGCCAAGTCCAGGTTTTAGGACAATTTAATTTACTCTTATTTGGATCTGTAATTATGGGAGTTTATCACTTTTCCTCTTCAAAGCACTTCAACTTACTGTCTAAAACAAGTGGAGAAGAAATTGCCATTTTTTATAAAGGAGGAAGATAAGGCTCACTGAGGTTAAATAACTCCCTCAATTTTTCATTTCCTTCTACCTGAAACTTAACATCATGCTACCTCTTTGTATCATATTTTGTTATTCTGGTCACAGAATGACCTAGTATTCTGTACCAGGGAAGGTAGTTCTTAACTATATTGTACTTTTAAACCACATTAAAGACTATTATAAATGCCTATCACTGCTACTGTTAGAGGTTGCTCTATACTATCTCTGATCTTTCATTTGTTGCAGTTTGCAACACAGTAGTTGAGAATAAGTGGTTTAGTATGATTTGCTTAATAGTACCCAAGTAATTTGCAGTTGTTGGTTTAGTTATTCAAATGAATTTCCATTGTAAAGAATTTTGGATAGTCTGCAGGAAATTGTTACAGGATGCACAGAACATCCCATATCCATTGGATCTCAGCCTTTGAGGCTTTAAAAAGATGATAAGCAGTGAGTTTTATGAGAAAATTTTGGCTCCTTCAGAAACAGGAAGATAAGTGGGCCCCTCAGATTTTTCATATATCTTTGGGGATAAAGTTGGTTATATCTGGTTTATTTTAGGGATTTTGCTTCTGTAGTTACCCAAGATCAAATAGCCAACTCAGAAATACTCAGTTGGATATCAATCAAATAGTGCCTACCAGGGGAGTAAACAGACAACTTTTAGGTTTTTAGTTTTTGCTTTTGTGTGGAGTTGAGTCCAATTTTTAAGGCAACTATTGTTGACCTTTCTCTAGGCGGTAGCATTTAGGATGGGAAAAAATAATATGAGTTATGTGCGAAAAGCAGTTTTCAGGCTATCATTTAGGGCCACAGATATGCTTATTTAGGACTATTTTCAGGGTAGGAGCCAGTTAAAGTTTGTATATCAGTCACACATTGATATGTAGCAGCTCTATCAATACCACAACAACCTTATTACCATAGTAATTCAGGGGTCTCAAGTAATCCAGGAGTCTCAAACTGAAATGTCAACAAGAGCCAAGTAAATATTTTAGAAATAGAGTACCCTGGAGTAGATGGGCTCTGAGAGGAGCCTGTGAAATCCAGACTTCATGTGAATTCTCTTAATTAAATGTGGGCCAAAGAAAACCCGGCCATGGGCAGTTTTTTTTTCCCAGCTTCTACTAGTCTTGGCTTGCAACAATGCCACTGTCCATCTGGCATTACCTAGACCAGTGATACTTAAACTTGACTGCGAATTGGAATCACTGAGAAGCTTTAAAAAATATTAGTGCCTGAGTGTTACTTTATGGAGATTATGATTTAATTGCTTTGGGTAGGCATCAGTAATTTTTGTAAAGCCCTTTACGCATTCTCACCCCTAATTCCAGCCGGTGATTCTCACATGCAGACTAGGTTGAGATCCTTGATCTAGACTGCCTTCTATAGTTGCAAAAAGAGAATATAGGCGAGCAACTCCAGATCATAAGGGACAAAATGATTCAAGGCAAATTGACTGGCTCAGAATAGGGCCTCACTGGAGGCCCTAGTTGAGTGGGTTTTGTGGAATGGTGCCTCCCAAGGGTCTGGTGTGCAGTGCCCAATTTGGTTTTTTGTTGGTTTTCTGGTAAGTGGTCCACCTTGGAGAAAATCACAAAACTAAAAGTCTTACCAAGAAGTAGAACTGACAAGCAGCCATGTTGATTGGCAGTACATTCTCTTACCAAGGGGGAGAAATCTATCTAGGGAAAATAATACAGAGTCTGAGCAAAGGAAGTTGAGTGGTTATAAGCAAAACTGTCATTAAAGCTAGTTGCGTCAAGTCTGCACAATTCCACGAGCACTTAAGAGTTTACAAGTTTCTCATGTCTATCATTCTTTTGATAATCTTGTATTTTTATTTCAAGTGTGGTATAGTAGTAAGAATATTGGTATTTCTCAGCCATAGATTTCCCTTTTGTAAAATGGGAATACTAATAGGAACTGTAATTTGTTGAGTGCTTTTTGCCAGATGCCTTACTTTTGTCTGTATCTTCCAAGCAGCCCTAAAGCAAAATGGGCATTGTTACCCTATTTTTATGAGGAAAGACACTCATATACTACTAACTTACTCAAAAGTTACACATTGAGTGTATAACAGGGCCATGCTTGTCTGATTCCATATGTTCATTCTATTATGCTGCTGTTGTCTGTTACATAGGAATATTGTGAGGATCAAAGAACATGTGAAAACAAAACCTAGTTACAATAATAAGCACACCAGTGCTAACTTGGGCAAAAGATAAGGATACAGAGCTGTCTCAGAGACTCCCAAAGGCAGGATGAGATTGGGAACTAGAAAACCATTTTGGACCCCTAAAGTGGTATTGTCTACTATCTGTACATCATTCTCTTACAGCTCTTACTGCTGCTTTTCCTGTCAGTTACCCCATAGCTCCAGGTATTACATGTTAACTGTTCCTGACACATGTAGACAGAACCAATCAGATCCATGGGGCAGGATCATCAATACAAACATGGGTGTTGAGAGCTTAACTTAATCGGGAAGGAGATCTTGGAGATCATAGTTCGCTGGGTTCACATCATGGAAATCGTCTTTGACAAAACTGAAATGCCCTGAAGTTTTAATTTTTTAAATACATGTAATGAATTGGTATATGGTAGATACTCGTGGCTACTTAGTATTTACCAAATGCTTTGTTTCCATCTCGTTTATTTTTATTTTTTATTTTTTTAAGAGACAGTCTTGCTATGTTGCCCAGGCTGGACTTGAACTCCTAGTCTCAGCCAACCCCTTCTGCCTCAGCCTCCTGAGTAGCTGGGATCATAGGCATGTGCCACTGCTCCTAGCTCTTCCATCTCAGTCTTATGATGTAGTTACTATTTTCATTTTATAAATAAGAAAATAGAAGCTCAAATAAAATGGGTAGTTTCCTTGAGGTCATCCTGTTAGTAAGTGGTGGAATGAAGTTACAAACCTAGGTTTTATTGGTCAGCACACACAGTGCCGGGCACTGGCAGTACAGCAGTGAACAAAAGGTCTGTTGGTTTGTCTGAAGCTCTCAACCTTGATTCTGCATAGACTCGGTGGATTGCCCAAGGCCACTCAACCAGTTAATATCAGAGCCAGCTCTGCTGTTTGACCAGTATATTATTTTCACCATGCTGTATCTGCTTCTCAGTCACCAAAAGCACCAGCTAAAATTGTATATAGACTGATTAGGGGACTTCCAACCTAAGATTGTCCTGGAAACTTAATTCTTATCTTGGCTCATCTCTTCAAAACAGATGCCTCTTTCGTTGGTGACCTCAGATACACTGTTCAGAAGTACTCAAAGTATTCCTTTTTTCTCACATTTGAGAGTCACTCTAGCATTTTAATGAGTTAAGCAAGCCAGCCCTGCATTTCCAAACCCTTCCCAGAAGTCTAACCTTACTTTGATCTGATGACATGGGCTTTTTAAAAGATTACTATTTTTTTAGAGGTGGGGTCTCACTATGTTGCCCAGGCTGGAATATAATGGCTATTCACAGGCACAGTTAGGGTGCACTACTGCCGTGAACTCCAGGACTCAAGCCATCTTCCTGCCACAGCCTCCTGAGTAACCTAGGACTATAGGTGCATGCCACCATGCCCAGCTGACAATGGCTTTATATACATAATATTTCCTCAGCAACAATTTATGTCTTATTTGGCACCTGTAAAACCCTCTTCACTGATTATGCCTGTTTAAAGGTTTGGTATTTACTCCAAGTCACCTGCCTTTAGCCATGGAGTATTCAAGTTTCTTTCAGAATGAGAATTTGGAGGGTGCTCATAGAAATATAAAACAAGGCTGGGCATGGCGGCTTACACCTTGTAATCCCAGCACTTTAGGAGGCTGAGGCAGGTGGATCACGAGGTCGGGAGTTCGAGACCAGCCTGGCCAACACAGTGAAACCTCATCTCTACTAAAAATACAAAAATTAGCCAGGCATGGTGGTGCATGCCTGTAATTCCAGCTGCTCGGAAGGCTGAGGCAGGAGAATCGCTTGAACGCGGGAGGTGGAGTTTGCAGTGAGCCAGGATCACACCACTGCACTCCAGCCTGGGCGACAGAGAGACTCTGTCTCAAAAAAAAAAAAAAAAAAAAAAAAGAAGAAGAAGAAGAAATACAAAACCAACTCTTTATAGTAGACAGTTTATCCCCCAGAAAGCTTTTTAGGCTGAAAACGTTTCTATAGATTTTGGATTTCCTTCTGATAGCTAAAATTTGTTTCTGTATAACAGAGTAGTGCCCTATAAGCCAGTTCAGTGCACATTAAATGGCTGTTCTTAGAATTATGAATCTGAGGCTTATGCAGTGAGGCTCTAGCTCTCTGGAGTCAGTTGGTCAAGTGGGATTCCTGAGGACTGAGCAAACACACACAGAGCAGGATTTTGTCCTAAGTTTTCTTAGGGATCCTATCCAAAAACACCATTACTTGAATTTCCCAGCTTCCTTTTACAGGGAGACTTCCTTGCTATGTGTACTCCCACCTCGGTATGTCAAATCATTTTCTCAGAGGAAGTACAGCATAAAATAATAACCAGCATTTGTAGAGCACTTCTTGTGGGCCTTCTTGGGCAAATAGACATTCTCATGGAATGCTCTAAAATTGTTAAGTTCTTGCACTTGCTCTCAAGTCATTTATAATCTAATTGCTGGTCTTCCTGGTATGAACAAAGATGTTTGCTTGTTAATAAATTCCTACCACATACCCAGACTTGTGGTTTATTTCTATCTAACTAGGGAAAGCACTAAAGAGTTTTCCAATAAGGAAGAATGATCTGAGTGTCTACCTGCTTTGGAAAAGATGTCTGCCATGGATAGGAAATGATTTTGTATCCCAAAATCCTAGTACTAATTTGGAGTGTTGTAAAGGTCAGGGCAGCAAATGCTAGAGAGTGGGATTAATGAAAAGTTATAGTGTTCTGCATGCCTTTGAATAATTAATTTTTACTCCATTTTTACTCGCTTGCAATAAAGTAGGTTAAGTGCTGTACTTTAAGGAAGTCCATGTACAAGCCAGTGCCTTAACAATGGTCAAATGGTTGCTCACTAACCAATGGAAATAAATGACTGTTGTTTCCACAAAATTGCTTTACAGATTCTAAATGCTATCTCTGGGACACTGGATTGTGTGCTCTTTAAGATAAATTCCATAATCAAGGGCCTGGCCCTGAATAGATTGGAGCCCAAAAATCTCACTGAAGCAAAGAGATAATAGGCCAGTAAAGAGTGGGAGACAAACACTCCTGGAATAGGAAGCCACTACTCACCTTTATTTTAAATTGATATATAGAAATTAATATTACAAAATGCACACATCTTAAGTGTGAAGTTTGATGTTTTGACAGTTGTATACGTCTGTGTAATAACTACCAAAAGAAGACATAATATGTTACAATTAACCCAGAAAATTCTCAAGTACTTTTAAATCACCCCTGAGCACCTCCCCACTCCAGTGATCACTTCTTGATTTTTATCACTAAAGATTTGTTGTACCTGCTTTTGGATTACATATAAGTGGAATCATATAATAATGTACTCTTTTGCATCTGGCTTCTTTCACTGATAATGCTTTAAAGACACGCATACTGTATGTATTAGGACATTGTTCTTTATTGCTGAGTAGTATTTCATTCTATAAATATACCACAATTTGTTTATTCATTCTCCTATTGAAGGACCTTTAGGTTGTTTCCAGTTTGGGGCAATTATGAATAAGGATGCTATCGATATTCTTACACAGCCTTTTGTTTTTGTTTTTTGTGGATATACATCTTCACTTGTCTTGGATAAATAAGAGTAGAAAATTACTGGGTCATATGGTAAGTGCATGTTTATAAGAAACTGCCCTCTTATTCTCCAAAGTGGTTTTACCATTTTGTACTCCTATCAGTGATGTATGAGAGTTACAGTTGCTTCACATGTCTGTCAACATTTACACTGTCACTGTTTTTTATATTAGCCATTTTAGCATATATGAAATAACTGATTTTAATTTACATTACATTTCCCTGATTAATGAGTTGAGCACTTTTTCATATGCTTATTTTTCATTTGTATATCTTTCAAGAAGTGTCTTTCATGTCTTTTCTCATTTTAAAGTTGGGTGTCTTTTTATTGTAGGTGTTATTCTTTGTATTTTGAATATAAATCCTTTGATAGATATGCTATGATTTTTTAAAGACTCTATGTATTCACTTATTGGGATCTTTCGATGAACAAATTTTTTTTATAAAATCCACTTTATCAGTTTTTTATTTTATGGTTTTATGACCTCAAAGTCACAAAGAATATATTTTCTTCTAGAAGTTTTATGGTTTGGGATTTTATGTTTAGGTCTGTGATCCATCTCAAATTAATTTTTGTGAACAGAATGAGGTTTGGTTTTTTTCCAACATGGATATACAGTTGTTCCAGCAACATTTACTTAAAAAGACTTTTCTTTACCCATTAGATTGACTTGGTAGCTTGGTTAAAAATTGATCACGTGTGTGTGTATTTCTACATTTTCTGTTCTGTTCCATTAATCTATTTGTGTATCCTTACATCAGTACCACACTTTGGATTATTGAAACTTTCTAGTAAGTCTTTAAATTAGTAAATCCTTCCTTTTTGTTATTTTTCAAGATCGCTTTGGTTATTGTCGATTCTTTGGATTGTCATAAAAGTTTTACAATTAGCTCATCTTGTTTTTCAAACGTAGATGTGCTGGGTTAGCTGTGTTCATGCCACTGCATTCCAGCTTGGGTGACAGCAAGACCCTGTCAAAAAAAAAAAAGAAAAGAAAAAACTGCTAGAATCTTGATATGGGGTTTTGTTGAGTCTATAGGTCAATTTAGAATGAACATTTTAATAGTATTGAGTCAGCTAATTCATGAACATATTAAGTCTTGTCATTTATTTAGGTATTAAATTTTTTTCTCAGCAATGTTTTGTAGCTTCCCTTGCGTAACACTTGCTTATCTTACATTAGACTTTTTCTTAAGCATTTGATTTTTAAAATATTTTTGATTTTCTTTTCTTTTTCTTTTTTTCTTTTTTTTTTTTTGAGACGGAGTTTTGCTCTTGTTGGCTAGGCTGGAGTGCAGTGGCGCGATCTTGGCTCACTGCAACCTCCGCCTCCCGGGTTCAAGCAATTCTCCTGCCTCAGCCTTTTGAGTAGCTGGGATTATAGGCACACACCATCATGCCTGGCTAATTTTTGTATTTTTAGTACAGACGGGGTTTCACCATGTTGGTCAGCCTGGTCTCGAGCTCCTGACCTCGTGATCCAACCACCTTGGCCTCCCAAAGTGCTGCCATTACAGGCGTGAGCCACCGCGCCTGGCTAATTTTCATTTTTAAGTTGTTTGCTGCTAGTATCTAGAAATACAATTGATTTTTTGTTTGTTTCTTTAGAGATGGGTCTCACTATGTTGCCCAGGTTGGTCTTAAACTCCTGAGCTCAAGGGATTCTCATGCCTCAGCCACCCAAGTAGCTGGGACTTTATTCACGTGCCAGTGTGCCTGGCTGATTTTTGTATGCTGATCTTGAATCGTGCCACCTTGCTAAATTCATTTATTCTAGAAATAGTTCTTGTAGACTCCGTAGAGTTTTATATTAAATAGATACACAACAGTGTAGTCTGCAAATAATGTTTTTACTTCTTTTTCTGATTTTATGCCTTTTCTTCTTTTTTTTTTTTTTTTTTTTTTTTTTTGTCTTTCTCCACTGGCTACAATATCTAGTGCAATGTTTAACGTGTGGTGAGAGCAGACACCTTGCCTTGTTTTCTTAATCTTAGGGATAAAGATTTTAATGTTTCATCACTAAGTATAATGTTAACTGTAAGTTTTTCACAGACCAGCCCAAAGAAGTTCCTTTCTATTCCTAATTTGTTGATAATTTTTATTAGGAAGGGTTATTAAATTTTGTGAGATGCGTTTTTAGCTTTTAATAAGATTATTATGTATTTCTCTTTTTATTTTGTTAAGATGGTATGTTACAGGGGTTGGCAAACTGTGGCCCATGGGCCAGATCCAGCCCATGGACAGTTTTGTTGTTGCTGTTTTAGAGACAGTCTCACTCTTTTGCTCAGGCTGCCAGGCTGGAGTGCAATGACATGATCATAGCTCACTGCAGCCTTGAGCTCCTGGACTCAAGCGACCCTCCTGCCTCAGCCTCCTGAGTAGCTAGGAATACAGGTGCATGTCACCACACCAGGCAAATTTAAGAAATTTTTTGTAGATCTTGCCGTGTTGCCCATGATGGTCTCAAACTCCTGGCCTCAAGCAATCCTCCTGCCTTGGCCTCCTACAGTGCTGGGATTAGAGGTGTGAGCCACCACACTTGGCTCTCATGGACTGTTTTTGTTTTTGTTTTGAGACAGGGTCTCTGTCACGCAGGCTGGAGTGTGGTGGCATGAACGTGGCTCACTGCAGCCTCAACTTTCTTGGCTCCAGCAATCATCCTGCCTCAGCCTCCCGAGTAGCTGGGACCACAGGTGTGCGCTACCACAGCTGGCTAATTTTTCTTTTTCATTTTTGTAGACATGGAGTCTTGATATGTTGCCCAGATTGATCTGGAACTGCTAGGCTCAAGTGATCTTCCTGCCTTGCACTCCCGAAGTGTTGGCATTACAGGCATGAGACACAGTGCCCAGCCTATTGCAGTGTTTTTTGTTTTTTCTGTTTTTTTTTTTTTTTTTTCATCTTTGTTTTTGTTTTTTTGAGACTGAGTCTTGCTCTATCTCCCAGGCTGTGGTGCAGTGGTGCAATCTGCAACCTCCGCCTCCCAGGTTTAAGCGATTCTCCTGCCTCAGCCTCCCAAGTAAGTGGGATTATAGGCACATGTCACCAAGCTCAGCTAACTTTTATATTTTTAGTAGAAACGGGGTTTCACCATATTGGCCAGGCTGGTCTTGAACTCCTGGCCTCAGGTGATCTGCCCACCTTGGCCTCCCAAAGTGCTGGGATTACAGGTCACTAGGCGTAGTAGGGCTACTACGCCTGGCCCTACTGCAGTTTTTAATAAGAGATGAGTTCTCTCAGCTTTTGTCTATAAGAGAATGTCCTTACTTTTATTTTTGAGGGGTATTTTAGTTGGATATAGGACTCTATGTTGACCTTTTATTTCTTCTTTCAGTACTTTAAAGAAGTTATTTTATTGTACTCAGGCCTCATTTGTTTCTGGTGAGAAGTCATTCATCATTTTAATTTTTATTTCCTTTCCGTAATGTGTGGTTGTTCTCAATGGCTGCATCTGTGCATTATATTTACTTTTCAGTAGATTGACTAGGGAATGTCTAGGTATGTTTTTCTTTGTATAGAGTTTACTGAACTTCTTGGATCTGTGTTGATGTCTTTCATTAATATTGGTTCTTTCTTGGCCGTTATCCGTTTACATTTTTCTCTTGTCTCATACTCTCTTGCTTCTCCTCTTCTTTGGAGATTCTAGTTACATGTATATTAGATGATTTGATATAAACCTACAGATCTCAGATGATTTTTCCCCTGCCCTGTTTTCTTTTTGTTTTCAGTTTGGATACTTTCCATTTAACCATCTTTAAGTTTTTTGATGCTTTCCAATGTTAACCTGTTAAACTTGTTTATTGAATTCTCCATTTAAAAATTTTTATTTTTAGTTATTTATGGATACATAGTTGTACTGAATTATTCATTTCTAATATTTTTATTTCTAGCATTTCATTATATTTGTATAGTTACAATTTTCTGCTGAAATTTCCTATTTCTTCATGCATGTTTTCCACATTTTCCATTCTACTTTTTAGCATTTTAATCAGTTATTTTATTGGGTTTTTTCTGTTTTTTCTTTCATTTTTAATCAGTTATTTTAAGGATCCAAACTGATAATTCAACATCTGGGTCTTTTCTAGTTCTGCTTCTATTGAGCCCTTCCTCTCCCTTACCATGAATCTTATTTTCTTGCTTTTGCACGTCTTGTATATTTGATTGGATGATGGACGTTTTATGTTGAAAAAAAAAAGAAATTGAAGAAAATGTTTACTTCCAAAACAGAGCATGCCCTTTGTTTTTTTTTCAGGCCACTTGAATGGTGGCTCAATCTGATGTATATGAATTCTAGACTGGGGCTTCACTGCAGTTTTAGTTTGATTCAGTTTGCCTCTAGCTTCAAATATTTGAAGGAACGTAGAATCAGAACTCTCATATCACCAGGGCCTGAGTTTTGGGCATTGGCAAGATTCCAGAGATCTGACTTTGCTTCATAGCTAAGCCACCAGCTTTTATCAATGTGGGAGATCTTTCCCTACTTTACAACCTTGCTGCCAGGATTTTTTTTTTTAATCAATGGGCTGGGGATAGGAGGATCTTTCTCAGCTCTCATGTGTGCCCTGCCCTTTTGTAGAGGAATGCCCACAATGCCTAGGGGATGGGTTTCTCAGCATTTCTGACCCCATTTAGGCTCCAAGAGTGCCTCTGTTGGATTTCACAACAATCCTGCCTCCCCTTTCATTTTTAAAGGGTATTTTGCCCTTGGGAGAAGTCAAGCTCTCTCAGCGTTCCTTCTATTATCCACACCTTTAGTGTACTACACCTTCCTGTACCTGGTTATCATCTAAGGGGTAAGATTGGTGGGAAGCCTTCCTCTGTGGATTTGGGTCATCTAGGTTCTAATGTCAAACCAGCCTCCAAGGGGTTGTGAAAATGTTGTTAAATTTCAGCAGGTTTCTCTTTTCTCCCCCCTGTAGTATTCCTCTTCCTACCATAGTTCAACTAGGAATAACAACAGCTAGGGGGTCTCTTCTCTCCTATGAAGGACTTGGCACTTTCTGGAGTTTGGATCATTTAGGTTTCTTTGGTTTTTGTTTTTATTTTGAGACAGGGTCTCACTCTTACCCAGCCTGGAGTACAGCCTGTAGTGATCTCAGCTCACTACAACCTCTGCCTTCCTGGCTCAGTTGATCCTCCCACCTCAGCCTCCTGAGCAGCTGGGACTACAGGCGTGTACCACCACACCCGGCTAATTTTTGTATTTTTTGTTGAGATAGGGTTTTACCATGTTGCCCAGGCTGATCTCAAACTTCTGAGCTCAAGCGATCTGCCTGCCTCAGCACCCCAAAGTCCTGGGGTTACAGGCATAAACCACTGCACCCAACCTAGATTTCTTTGTGTCCTTAGCTTTCTGATGAATTAAACATATGTTTTATTTTCTAGCTCATCTGGCCTTTTGTTGTTGTTTGCTAGAGTGGGAGGTATATTCCTTGTGACTTTGTTCATATCACTAGTGAATTTCAGAAGTAGGAGTTTATTTTTTTAATAAAAAATTTTTTTAGGTCAGGCACAGTGTCTCATGCCTGTAATCCCAGCACTTTGGGAGGCCGAGGCAGGTGGATCACCTGAGATCAGGAGTTTGAGACCAGCCTGGCCAACATAGTGAAACCCCAACTCTACTAAAAATACTAAAATTAGCCAGGTGTGGTGGTGGGCGCCTGTAATCCCAGCTACTTGAGAGACTGAGTCAGGAGATTTGCTTGAACCTGGGAGGCGGAGGTTGCAGTGAGCCGAGATTGTGCCACTGCACTCCAGCCTGGGTGACAGAGCAAGACTCCCTCTCAAAAAAAAAAAAAAAAATTTTTTTTTAAACACGTCTCACTGCCACCCAGGCTTGAGTGCCATGACATGATCATAGCTCACTGCTGGCTTGACCTTCTGGGCTCAAGTGATCCTCTTGCCTCAGCCTCTTGAGTAGCTGGGACCACAGTCATGTGCCACCATGCCTGGCTTTTTTTTTTTTGTAGAGTTTGGGTCTCGCTATGTTGCCTGTGATCCTCCCACCTTGGTTTTCCAAAGTGCTGGGATTAAAGGCATGAGCCACCATGCCTGGTTAGGAATGGGAGTTTAAACAATGGTTTTATTTACATATTTCATTAGCTAGTATTTTTTTCTTTTTTGAGACAGAGTCTGGCTCTGTTGCCCAGGCTGGAGTGCAGTGGCACGATCTAGGCTCATTGCAACCTCTGCCTCGTGATTCTCGTGACTCAGCCTCCTGAGTAGCTGGGATTACAGGCGCCCGCCACCACACCCAGCTAATTTTTGTATTTTTAGTAGAGACAGGGTTTCACCATGTTGGCCAGGTTGGTCTCCAACTCCTGACCTCAGTTGATCCACCCGCCTCAGCCTCCCAAAGTGCTGGGATTACAGGTGTGAGCCATCGCTCCTGGCCTCATTAACTGTTTTCAAAAGTAAAAGTACATGGATAATACAAAGTTAAATTTTGTAGAATCATAAAGAAAAGCAACACCTTCCCATCTTAACTCCCCTAGTGCCTCTACTCCCTCCACAGAGACAAATATCTTACCAGTTGGTTGTGTTTTCTTTTCCAAACTGTATTTCTAAAATGTGTCAATATCTCTTCCTTTTATTTTTTATTTTTTGTAGAGACAGGGGTCTCACTGTGCTGCCTAGGCTGGTCTCAAACTCCTGGCCTCCTACCTCGACTTCTCATAGTTCTGGCGTGAGCTACTGCACCTGGCCTCCCCCTTATTATTTTTTTAAACATGAATGGAAGCATACTATATTTTCTACACTTTATTTGTTTTATGTAACTATTTTAACAACCTGAGGACTTTTACAGGCTGCATAATATGTCTTAATATGGATGTATCTTAGTTTATTTAAACAGTTACTGGTGATGGACATTTCCATGTTTCCAGTATTTTTTCTCACAAACAATGCAGTATTATGCCTTTGTCCACATTCACCATTGATTGCTATTGAGTATATCTGTAGCATCAAGAATAGGCATACTGAAAATCCTCCATGAAGTCCAGTGAAGCTTCATATTATTTTGAAGTGATATTTCCCAGTGTTGGCTGGACTCTCAAGCGTTTGTGGTATAGGTTTTGGGAGGACTGGACACTTCCAAAGAGAAATAAGATGTTACAGACTTGTCCAGCAGGTGGCATCAGAACAAAGCTGGCTATGGACCTTGTCAGTACAAATGATAAAACATTAAAAATGTAAAAACTCAACTGTAGCTCCTTGTTTATACATATATTGGGGGTGTTGAAAAGTTACCGATGCCTGATTCCTCTTCTATGTCCTCAGCCCCCACCATAAAAATAGATAAATGCCATTTTTTTTGTATGCCCAGCACAGCTATATGATTTGAATAATCTTGATAAGCAGGGTCACATTTGAGGAGATTTGCTAAGGGAAATGAAGATCCATCTGTGACACAAGAAACATGTTCTATGTGATTTCTGGGATTTTCCTGTGAACATACTTCTTGTTTGTTTGTTTTACAGTGGATCTCACTCTGTCACCCAGGCTGGAGTTCAGTGGTGCAATCATAGCTCACTGCAACCTTGAGCTCCTGGGCTCAGGAGAGCCTCTCTCCTCAGTCTCCCAAGTAGCTAGGACTACAGACACATGCCATCATGCCAGGCTCATTTTAAAATTTTTTGTAGAGACGGGTCTCACTATGTTGCTCAGGCTGGTATTGAACTCCTGGGCTCAAGCAATCCTCCTGCCTCAGCATCTCAAAGTGTTGGGATTACAGGTGTGAACCATAGTATCCAACCTATTATGTTTTTTTAAAAAGAGATTGTTCTAATTATGTATATAATTAAAGTACATTAGGTTTAGTGATTGCAATTTGAGAAACCAATGTCCTTTCTTATTGAAAAAGGCCCTGGTACAGAAAGTGTTCTATCTTCCTCACAAGATCTGAGGTCAAAGGAGAGATTTTGAAACATTATAGCAATGGCTTCTAGTTATTGAATAAAGAATGTCATTTGCTCCTCACAGGACCCCTTTCAGGGAGATTTCACATATTGGGAAACAGCCTCATGAGCTTTCTACAAACATCTTTGTCCTTAAGTCTTCCCATTTCAGTAATTGGCTGTACCACTCATCCAGCAGCTTTCAAAGTAAGAAACCTGGCAATCTTCCTTTAACATCCATTTCCCTTTCCCTCATTCCCCCATATCCAATCATGTGTATTGGAGGTTTTTCCACCTCTAAACTTGAGAACCCATTTACTTTTTCTCCATCTCCTTTGCCATCACACTAGTCCAAGTGAAGTGTTTCATCATCTCATTTGCAGCATCCTTTAGTTTACCCTAGATTATCAATTTTTGTCCCCCTCCCAATTCAGTCTCTACTCATGAGCTAACATGAGTTTATTAAGTGTTCATTCTGACCATGCCATTCCTTGCTCAAAATTCTCTAGTGCCTTCCCAATGCCCTTAAAATAAAATTCCTCATATGGCCTTTGTGGATCTGCACTCCTACCTCTTCTCCTATTGCAACCAACCCTGTTACCTTTTTCTCTTTTCACACTGGTCTTCATTCTGTGCTGCAAACTGGCTGAGATTCTTCCATCCTCAGGGCCTTTGCACAAGTTCTTCCTTTGCCTTAGAATTCTTTCCTGGCCTGCACATGTCTTCATCCCCTTTCCCTAAGCTAATGCCTTACCCTTTAGGTCTCATTTTAAACATCTCTTACCCAGGAAAAATTTCCCTGTCCAAACAAGTCTAGATTGGCTCCCCATTGTTTGTTCTAACTGTTCTATATTTCTCCTTCTTAGCATTTATCACAATTCTTGGTATGTTGTGCTTTTCACTTTCTTAGTCGCTATTATTGGAGTAGGTAATACATCCATATAGTACAAAATTCAAAATGTATTAAAGGTATAGAGTAAAAAGTCTTCTCTTCCCTGTCCCCCCGCTACCCAGTTCTCCTCTTTAGAACCACTTTTAGCATTTTGAATATCCTTCCAGAAATATTTTCTAAGTATACAAGCAATTATGTATATAATATTCCTCTTTATTTTTGCCTTTTTATTAATACAGATACTATATGCATTTTCTGCACTTTATCTGTTAATAATATATCTTGGCAATTATTCAATATTAATATGTAAATAGTTGCCTCTTTCTTTTTCATGCGCCATATAATATGGACTTATAATTTATTTAACCTCTATCTAGGTTGGTTTTAGGCATTGGTTATTACAAATAATGCTGCATTGAATACCTTTGTATGTAAAGTCATTTCCCACATCTATGCCTATAGAATAAATTACTAGAATTGAAATAATTCAGTTAAAGATTATGTGCATTTTTAATTTTGGTAGTTATTGCCAAACTGCTCTCAATGGAAGTTTTATGAATTCCCACTAGTGAATGCATTTGTCCTCACAATTATGTCAGTGAAATTTTTGTTCTTTGCCAATGCAAGAAATGGAAAGTATCTCTTGGAAACTAATTTGCATGTTTTTTTTCCTTGCACAGTTATATTTTCATATGTTAAAGAGCCATTTGTATTTCTTGGTGAATTGTTCATAAACTTTGCTTACTTATTATCTAATGTCTGACTAATTTGCTACACTCTAAATTCCCAATTCATACTTAAGTCTCGCCCTTGCAATTTAGATGTACAATCTGCCTCTTCAGTGGTTTCCACACCAAAAAATCCACAGGCTCCTGAATTTTATATGGGCCTAAGAGTCTTACTGAAAATTGGAAGTCTTAAGGTGTAGTCTATTTTATGCAGTGTGAGGCCTTTCATGCTCTGAAATGTACCACTCTTGACTGACTTTTTCTTCTTCACCCTGTCCGGCACTGTGCCCTTATTAGCCAGAGAAATGTTCCCCCTTTCTCCCAGGAAACGTTCTGACCTTACCCTGGTCCCTCAAGGACTCTCCTTCTCCCCCAAATTAACTTTCAAGGAGTTTCTCCAACCCAAAATGGCACCCTTCCTGAAAAGATTTCTAGTGGATACTGTTTTCTGTACCTCACTACGGATGTATTTTGCTGCTTGGCTCCCCGTCTCCATTTTGCTATGGCAAACATTTTTTTCCAGAAATATATCAGATAAAATGAACATGTGGTCCCTTTTGTTGATTTTTGTTGGGATCCATGGTATTGATTTCTTCTAGTTTAGATAATTCCACCGTGGCAAGCTTTTATTCCTAGCATAGCGCTCATGAGGAGAATGTTAGTCACTTGGTGTTATTAATGCTAAAATAGTAAACAAGAACACAAAATTTGCTAGATTAGAAGTGGATTTTTTTTCCAGGCTGGGCACAGTGGCTCATGCCTGTAATCCCAGCAGTTTGGGAGGCTGAGGCAGGCAGATTGCTTTGAGCTCACGAATTCGAGACCAGCCTGGGCAACATGGAGAAACCCCGTCTGTACTGGGGCTAATTTTACCAAAAAAACTAGCCAGGTGTGGTGGCACACACCTGTGGTCCCAGCTACTGGGGAGGCTGAGGTGGAAGGATGGCTTGAGCCTGGGAGGCAGAGGTTGCAGTGAGCCTAGTTAGTGCCATTGCACTCCAGCCTGGGTGACATGTCTCAAAAAAAAAAAAAAAAAAAAAAGGTAAGGAATGAATTAACATGAATGAAAAAGGCATGATCTGCAGTCAGTCACCCATGGTCAAAGATAGCAGATACCAATTCATTCTCAGAGCGAAACGAAATCAGCCCAATGCTTTTGGCAAACTGTGGTTGCCTCCCTGTCATCATCATCTGGGCTCACTGTGGCTCGCCCTTCTGGCCTTGCTTCTGACCTTGCCATCTCTGGGGAGGCTTCTTTGCAAGCCCAAGCTTGGGCTCCCCTTCTCAGAACCATGTGCATACTTGTCCTGGAACTGTTTTTTTTTTTTTTTTTTTTTTTTTTTTTTTTTTTTTGCCTGTGCCTCTTGGAGGGCAGGGGCCATCTGGCACAAACCTGCATCCCCGCAGTTGCTAAATTAATGAACAAACAAATACCAAGTCTTTCACAATGTAACTTGAGAGTGGAGGTAGTGGTAGTGGCAACTCCATCTGGGGGATGAGAGAAGGTGGAGGCTGAGTTTTGGGGATGGCTTGCAACAGAAGAGGAGAGATTATTAGCAGCTAAAGGAGTGGCCAGGGTGAACACCAAGCATTTTCCTGACTGGGGAGCTGTGGGTTTGTTTATGGCTGGGTAAGGGGTGAAACCAGTGAGCAGGAGAGATAGCTAGTACTGGACTGGAGTGAAAGGCATCTGTAGAGGCAGGAGACAGGATGGGGAGGTAGAGGAGTTGGCCTAGGACAGGACAGCACTTATTTGAAGACTGGTGGGCAGGAGGAAAGGAAGGAGAGGGATTGAGAAATGACCTGGAGGTCCTCAGTCAGCTGGGAGAAGACCTGGAAGAGGGGGATTGGCTGCTGTTGGGATGGAGAGGAGGGCCAGGGGAGGCAGTGACTCACACGGAGGGAGGCTCGGGGATGGGGACTTTGGCAGTGGGGGGTGGGAAAGACATACTCGCAGGGGATCGGAAGGCCCCGTGGCAACTTTGTGTAAGTCCTGGTTCAGTCAAGGAGAGGAATCCGAGGGAAATGCCTGATTGGACCCATGGCCCACTCTGAGAGAAAGGGGTACTGTGGGTGTGCAGGAGGAAGAGCAGCTGGGAAGTAGGAGTGCCTAGGACTGGATCCAACTGGAAAGGGGGCAGATATGCTCCCAGGATCAGGGTAGGGACCCTCTAGGAAGGGGGCGTTCTGAGAGGGAGGTTGTGGGGAGCACTGTATGGGGGTCCTTGGAGGTGATTTCTGGGAAGGGGAAGTCTGGGGCAGGGCTGTGAGGAGTCAGGAAAGAAACTGTGGAGTCCGTTCCTCACCCACCTCCTGAGCCCTGGGGTCTGAGGCCCCCAGGAAAGAGGGTTCAGTGGCACAGGAGGGTCCAGGGCAGGAGAGAGAAAGCAGCCTCTCAGGTCTTCTTGGAAAGGAACTCTGACCACCAGTGTGAATAGTCTTGCAGAAAGCTAAGCGGACACCAAGTGAAAGCTGGCCCCTCCCCTCTCCCAGAGTGGGAGGGGCCAGCGGTTGCATGGGCAGCTTTCCTTGTGATGCCACAGTCCTCTGGACACACTGCTGCCTTGCCACACCTCCTTTCCCTTTCATCTTTCTCATCAACCAATGGGCTTGGCAGCATTGAGGCCATGCCCCTATTCTGTGTTCTAGTGTGGCCCTGGTTATCCCTCCTCTGACTCAGTTGCACAGCTACCTGGCAGGTGACCGGAGGTGTTTAGCAGTCTTGCCTGGATTGCGCTGATGTGGCCCCAACCCCGCCTCCCTCCCCACACCACCATGTAGGAAGAAACTCAACAGAGCAAATTGGCTGCAGCCAAGAAAAAGGTAAAAACCACCAGGTCATAGCCCCTGACCCACCTGCAGACTTCCTCTGACGGCAGGACTACTGCCAGAGTCTGTGCCACTCCTGAGGCACACCGGGTTAGGCCCCCCTGGTGCCTCTGCACTCCCCCTACCAAAATATTGTTAGCCAGCGCTGTTCCCTCAGCAGCCCAGCCCCTGCCCTCAACAGTCACCCCAGGGTGACTACTGGGGCAGGTGACTCCTGGGGCTCCCTGCTCCAGACTAGGCCCTGACCTCCTGCCCCCTCCCAAGCCTGACCTCCCTGGGCTCTTTGGCCTGGCATCTCCAAGGACTAAGACAACCACTTCTGGTGGTTGCCACTCACCTGGGGATGTGAGTTTTGGCTGGCCAGGCTCCTGGGGACAGGGGGCCCAAGGGGCAGTAGAGGGTAATTGTTAAGATTGCTGGGTACTGGTTAAAAATTCTGGGTTTGAATCCTGCCTCTCTGTCTGCTGGGGATATGATTTAGGGCAAGTTACTTGAGCTCTTTGGGCCTCTCTTTTCATATCTGTATAATAGAGGTGGTATTGTTTGACTTCCATTTGTGAAGTTTAAATGAAATTTGTTGTTGTTTTTATGTGAATCCCTAGTACATAGCCTGCTGTAAACACACAGGACACCCAGGAAATGGTCATTGCTGTTTGATTTTCCTCGCCCCAGTCTCAAGGGGAAGCCAGGCCAATGAGAAAAGCCACTTGCCATCAGCCTATCCCTTTAGAAGTCACTGAAAGGGCCCCACGTGTGGTGTAAGAGAAGATCTTACTTGCCACCAGCTTGCTGGGTGACCACAGAAAAATCACTATTTCCCCTGAGCCTCAGTTTTCTCCTCTATAACATGATACTGGATAAGATCAGTGTCTTTCAAACTTGTTTTTCACCTGGAGTCACCTTAGCTCAACTGAACCCTTACTCAGAAGTCTGGTTTTTTTTTTAACAGAAGTGGAGGTCTGGAGCTCTACCACATTCATCGCCCATGTCCTGGGCCTGAGGAGAGGGGTCCAGTGAGCGTATTGAGAGGTGCATTGGTCAGCTGACTCCACTCTGTGACTGCGTCACTCAGGGGACTTTTCCATCTATTTGTTCCTGCCCCTGGCAAGGCAGCAGGTGGCCATTTGGAAGAATGGCACAGGCCATGGTTTTAATCTCCTCTGCTCTTCTTCAGCGTTTCCTTTCCCTGAATCCACATCTTTCTCCTACCCTGACTTTCTTGCTTCTCTCTAAGCCACTTCTGTCTTTCTCCCCCTGCCCTTGTTTTTCCCTTTTCATCTCCTGTAGATTCAGGACATTCCGAAGGTGCTGGTGTCCAACCTTAACTACTCCAATGGGGTAGCACTCCTCGACTGGACAAGTGGAAGGTGAGGCAGTGCCCAGACCCCTCTCTGGCTTGCTGTCTCCAGCTATGCATGTTCCTGAGGCTTCTCTGGTTTGGGGGATACTTTGCCTCTGGCTTATTTTATGTTGCTGCCATTAACCTTCAGCCTGTTTATGTCTGCTTCTTCACTTGCTTGATTGATTGAGTTTTTTTCCTTTCCAGCATCTTTTATCATCTTGGAAATGGTGAGACATACCTTAAAGTTTAAAAGTAATTTGGGAATAATGTACAAAGCAGGAATATGGGATTTGGGGCTTTTTTTTTTTTTTTGAGACAGAGTCTCACTCTGTCACCCAGACTGGAGTGCAGTGGTGTGGCACAATCTCTGCTCACTGCAACCTCTGCCTCCCAGGTTCAAGCGATTCTCTTGCCTTAGCCTCCTCAGTAGCTGGCATTACAGACACCTGCCACCATGCCCAGCTAATCTTTGTATTTTTAGTAGAGACGAGGTTTCACCATGTTGGACAGACTGGTCTTGAACTCCTTACCTCAAGTGATCCACCAGCCTCAGCCTCCCAAAGTGCTGGAGTTACATGCGCAAGCCACCGTGCCCAGTCCCTTGCTGTTTTTATACTTTCTCTATATCCATAACTGTTTCCCATGGAAGTTTTTGTTTCTTTGAATTTCTCATTTTTATTACCCCTGCATCATCTGCTACCCTAAAGGATCTGGAGGTAAGAGGCCCTAGGCTGAGGTGCAGTGACCCTGCAGGCCAGCCCTCCAACCTCCTCTCACAGTGGGGGCTGGGTGCCCCTCTGCCAGCTGAGACAGCCCACACACACCCCAGCCCTAATGATTGTTCTCTCTACCTCTCCCTGCAGTCCTCCTCCAACTCCTCCTCTCTGTATGCACCTCAGAGCCGGTACCAAGAACTAGCAGTAGCCCTGGACTTGAGCTCTGCAACAATCAGTCAACTCATTGAAAACATAGTCATTGGTAAGAGTCCAGTAGAGTCCCCTGATTCCACTCTGCCAATCCTGGGCTCCAGTTTCCCCTTGGGGCCCTGAATAAAGGGGCTGGGGGCCCCTGGTGCCAAGGACAAATGGAGAGCTGGGGTGCCCATGCCTCACCTAGAGGGACCCCAGAGCAAGGAGCATGCAGCATGGCTCTTCCATTGCTGCCCTCTTTGCTGACTCTCTCTTCTTCAGGTACCCCTGCTCCAGTCCTTGCCACACACGCCCTGGGGTTGTCACCTCTCAGGGAAGCGCTAGCCTGATTGGTTGTCAGGGGCCCCATATTTCTGCCCTGACTCAGTCTCTAATTTGCCCTTGAGTCTGGACAAGCCACCTCTCCTCCTTGGGCTTGTGTTTCCAGAGGAGGTAGAGAGTATCAAAGGTCTCTGTTAGCTCTGAGAGTCTGAGATTTAAAGTCCCCTAGAATGGAAACCTCAGGGCGAAGGCCTCCTGTCTGTCCTTTTCTGTCCTGTATCTCTGTTGTGAAGAACTGTACCTGGCCTGTGTGTGCTCAGTAAATGTTCATTGAATGAACGCACCTTTCTAAATCACAAGCTGGCAGAAGGGTGGGCCTTTCTCAGACTCCGTCTCTGGAGGTTTATGTTACTGTCCTTTTGAGAGAATCCAGATTCAGACTTTGAGTTCTGTGGCTGTGGGCAAAAACCAACAAAGACCCACATCCTGTGTCCTTGGGAGCTTGAGGAGAGTTGACCAGTTTGTGTTGCCATTGGGTCTGAGAACTTTGCCTTTAAAATCCATTCCTGGCCCCTGCCTACCGCTTCCTGGTCTGGGGAATAGAGCTGAGGGGGCCACCCTCAGTCACCTGAATTTGACTCTCCCCACAGAAACAGCAGAAGAAACAAGTGGAACATCAGCTGGAAGAAGTAACATGATTTCTTTCTTTGCTCACGACATAAATGCTGGGTTTGGGGGACAATCAGATGTAGAGGTGCCAGTCTCGTGTCGCCCACTTCCAGCCTGGGGAAGAAGGCTCACCCCTCAGATTCCACCCCATCCTCCCAGGTTATCCCGATAACCTGGTCCCATGGGTGGGCCTGTCCTGGGGCATTGGTGGCATTCTGGGGGCATGTCTCTTGCTGTGCCATCTCTGCCTCCCCCTGGTAAGAGCTCTGTCTTCCTCTTCCTGTAGGAAAAGAAAACCAACAATGAAATACACAAAGCACAAATGGAGCAGTTAGAGGTGAGTGGAGGGTGGGGAGTTTTCTCCTGTCCTCTGGAGAATGTTTCTTTCCTTCTCTTTCAGCACTTGCTTGGCTTTTCTCCCAAAGGTTCAATTCCAGACAATCAACATCCTCATGTTGGAAAAAGCAGACTTGAAGACCACCCTTTACCATACTAAACGTGCTGCCCGGCACTTTGAAGGTGGGAATCTGGGCACCCCATCATCCTTCAACCTGGCACTTTGACAGGTCTTTAGGGGGAGTCCTTTGGGCCCCATCTCAACCTCTTTCATTACAGCAGAATCTAAGGATCTGGCCAGCCACCTGCAATATTCCTTGCAGTGTATTGGAGAGTTGGAGTGGGCTCTCTGTGCTGTGTCTCCATGCAGCAGCAGGAGGAGGACAGGGTGAGTCCAACCAGCTGCCCCATCCCCTGGCAGCCTGGCTTCCCAGATAGAGGAGTGAGCCTAAAGGTCCCTTCTGCAGGATGGAGTGTCCTGCCCAGAAGGCAGCATGGTCATTTCTCGCTGCTTTTGTGTATGGTTGTTAGAGGCAGCCTGGGGCTGAGTCAGCTGCTGTGGGTGAGTTGGGGGGCACTGTGGGGAGCGAGCACTGGATGCAGAGCTCAGAGGCCACACAGCAGCTCCAGAACTGGATGGTGAAGATGAGAAGTTTATATCTGGGGAGCCCAGGCCATTCTACACAGTGCCCCTTAAAAGGGCAAGGGGTAGGCTCAATATACAACTCGGTCGGTAAAGATCAAGTCATTTCCAAGCCTGTGGTCTGGTTTTTAAAAGAACTGTTCCACACAGTCCTGAAACAGGAGAGGCTGCGGGAGCAGGAGGAGAGGCTGCGGGAGTAGGAGGAGAGACTGCTGGAGCAGGAGAGACTGCTGGAGCAGGAGGGGCTGCAGGAACAGGGGGAGAGGCTGAGAAAGCAGGAGGAGAGGCTGCTACAGAAGGAGAGGCTGCTGGAGCAGGAGGAGAGGCTGCAAAGGCAGGAGGAGAGGCTGAGGGAAGAGGAAGAGAGGCTGTGGGAGCAGGAGCAGAGGCTGAGGGAGCAGGAGGAGAGGCTGCTGGAACTGGAGCAGAAAGCCAAGCTCTGGGACGAGCAGGCAGAGACACACATGCAAACCATGCGGAATGACTGCACCACCATCAGCCACATGCTCTCGCAGAACCACGAGCTTGATAAGCAGCTGGGCGAGCCACAGTACGACTTCCAGGAGCTGGTGGGTTGCCCCACCTGGGGAGCCTGCCTTCCTCCCTAGCCCTCCAGGCCTTTGTTTCCCCACCTGTAAAATGGGCATATGTAGCCCTCACGTGAAATGGTACTTCTAAAGGAACCTGTGAGCCAGAGCCCTGCTCTGATGGCTGTGAGAGAGAGGGAATGATTTTTCTAACTTGCCTCCACCCTTCCCGGTGACATGGGAGGCAGACATCAAGTTCTGGGGTCTCCAGCTGCAGTGGGTGACCGCTGATTGCTTCTCTTTGTCCAGAACAAAGAGAGCAAGGGCGCACTGCAGTTGGAGCAGCAAGTAAAGTTGCTGCAGGAGAAGCTGGGTGACCTGAAGGAGACGGTAACCTCCGCCCCATCCAAGAAGGGCTGGGAGGCGGGCACCAGTCTCTGGAGAAGGGAAGTGTGAGGCCAAAGGCAGCTCCAGCCTGGAGGCAGGTGACGCCAGCACCCTTCAGGGCAGTCCTGTGACTGTTTCTTGCTTCCTGCCCTCTGACTTTTAGAGGTAGGTAGCCCTGGGCTCCTCCCAGGTCTGGACATCATCATCCCAGCTAGAGGCATGGAGCCCCCAATCATAGGGGAAGAGACAGTGGTATAAGAGGCTCCTTTGCTGGGGGCAGTAGCTCACGCCTATAATCCCAGCACTTTGGGAGGCTGAGGCAGTAGAATCACTTGAGGTCAGGAGTTTGAGACCAGCCTGGCCAACGTGGTGAAACCTCATCTCTACTAAAATTACAACAACAACAAAAAAAAATTAGCCAGGCATGGTGGCGCATGCCTGTAATCCCAGCTACTCAGGAGGCTGAGGCACGAGAATCGCTTGAGCCCACGTGGTGGAGGTTGCAGTGAGCTGAGATTGCACCACTGCACTCCAGCCTGGGCCACAGAGTGACACTGTCTCAAAACAAAACAATAAAGCCTCCTTAGATTCAAACTGGATTCTGGCCTGGGTTCCTCTGGTCACCGTTCAACTACTTTTCATCTCTAAGTCTCTGTTTCTTTAACTTCAAAAGGAAGTTAGCATTTTCCTTGCAGAGGTGCTGAGGATTGAATGAGAGAATACCTGGAAAGCATTAGGCATGTAGCACACTTAGCAGATGGTGGTTGGCTCCCTCTGCTTTTCCACCAGTCTGTGGCCTACAGTTTAAATGGTGGGAAGAAGGACATGAGATTTGAGGCTGAGGAAGGAGGCATGGAGTTCTAGGCAAGGGAGGAATTCTCTAAGGCCTGGAGCAAGCGGCCAGGGGCCTGGGCAGGTGACAGAGCCCCACGGTGCCCTCGCTACCCTATTAATGGGCCCAGAATCTGGAAGCCAGCCACCATGTGCCCTCACGCCCAGGGTCTTCCTGCAAGTGGAGCTGAAGAGCCAAGAGTCTCAGAGTCTGCAGCAGCAGCGAGACTAGTACCTGGGTCACCTGCAGCAGTACGTGGCCACCTGTCAGCAGCTGACCTCTGAGAAGGAGGCGCTGCACAGGCAGTTACTGCTGCAGACCCAGCTCGTGGACCAGCTGCAGCAGCAGGAAGCTTGGGGCAAACCGATGGCTGAGATGGCCCACCAAAAACTGCAGGAGACTCAGGGGAGGGAGTTGCTGAGGACGGGGCCCCAAGAGGGATGACCTGCATCTTCTGTGCCTTCTCACTCTCTTTCCTGGCCCCTTAGGAGTGCCTAGAAGCTGCCAGCCAGCAGAAACAGCAGCTAGAGGCCCAGTTGAGCCTCATGGCTCTCCCTGGAGAAAGTACAGGAGATCACTTAGAGGAAGAAGAGAGAGCCCCAGGAGGAAGGAGGGGGGATTGTTAGCAGCATAGGACTGAGGAGTTGGAACAGACCTTTAGAACAGCTAGTCATTATGCCGACCGGGTGTCTGCACTAAGTTTGGTATCAATATGGTGACCTCCTGGGGAGCAGGGGGCCACCAGGTTGCCTAAGGATGGGTGAACTGGCCCAGATCAGAAAGGGAGCAGGTCAGAACTCCCACACTGACTGGTAGTGGGACTGTGCCTGGGAAATATAACAAGATCTTGGTTCTTAAAAGTAAAAATAAAAGTAAAAAAATAGTAAAAAAAAAAAAAAAAAAAAAAAAAAGAACAGCAGCTCATTTCCCTCTGGGGAGGGGCTGGCTCAGGGTTACACAGTGAGGGTGGGGGCAGAGGTGGCCCCACAGTACCTCCCTTGTTGGGTTGTCTGAAGACCCCTTTGGCCAAACCCTACAGATGGAGGAGGACATCTGGACAGTGAGGAGGAGGAGGTGCCTTAGCCCCTTCCGAGCATCCTGGAGGACCTGGAGAGCCGGGAGGCCATGGTGAGCTGACTCCCCCTGCACCTCCTTTGCCACCTTCCTCTGTGGTCCCTCCCAGACCCCCTTATGCTCTTCATCTCCCCACCGTCTGATTTCTCTGGACCCTCACCCCTTCCGGGAGCCAGTGATCAGACACCATTTCACCTGTGACCAACAGGTGCACTCTCTGAGGCCCCAAGGGAAGGGGCTGCACTCCACCACCCTGCCCTGTTTGTTCTGTGTATGCCCCTACAAGAAGGGCATCAGGGTGGCCAGGCCATGCAGCCAGGCTCCAGACATCCCCAGGATCTCAGCCCCTCCAAGGGTACCTGGAACATTGAGGCACAGGGAGAAGCAACTGGCCAGAACACACATCCAGCTCCCCACATGCTCTAGAGGGTTTCAGGTCTCTGCCTCTCGGGACCTTGGGCTCCCCCGATTCAGCCTCGTCTTAGTTCTGACTCTAGTACCCATAATTTGCCTCCATTTCCCAATCCAGAAATTGGAAAGGAACATCTCCATGTCCCTTGCTTGAAGACCTGGCCAGAGCTGGTGCCAGGCTACAGATGCCTGGCAGGAGGCAAGAAGGGCACACTCACTTTCCCTTTGTCCTGGGAGGCCCACATACCAACATTGCCACCACTGCTGCCACCTGGAAGCACAACCAAACTAGACACAGGAAAAGGGGAAGGGTTGAGTGAACCTGGGACACTGCACCCCAACTTTAATGTGTTGTTGGATTCAATTTGCTAATATTTTGTGGAGGATTTTTGCATCAATATTCATCAGTGATATTGGCCTGTAGTTCTCTGTTTTGGATGTATCTTTGGTTTTAGTATCAAGGTAATACTAGCCTTGTAGAATGAGTTTGGAATAGTTTGGGTAAGGTCTCTAGTTTTGGAATAGTTTGAGTAAGGTTGATATGAGTTTTTCTTTAAACGTTTGGTAGAATTCAGCAGTGAAGCACCAGGTCCCAGGCTTTTCTTTGCTGGGAGACTTTTTATTACCATTTCGATCTCATTGTTTGTCACTCGTCTGTTCAGGTTTTGGATTTCATCATGGTTCAATCTTGATAGGCTGGATGTGTCTAGAAATTGATCCATTTTTAGTTGGTTTTCCTATTTCTTTGTATATAGTTGCTTATAATAGCCACTAGTGATCCTTTGAATTTTTGCAGTATCAGTTGTAATGTTTCCTTCTTCATCTTTGATTTTATTCACTTGGGTCTTCTCTTTTTCTTAGGCTAAAAGTTTGTCAATGTTGTTTATCTTTTCCAAAAACCAACTATTCTTTTCATTGATGCTTTGTTTTCTTCATTTCAATTTCATTTATTTCTGCTCTGATCTTTATTATTTCTTTTCTTCTAGTAATTTTGCATTTGCTTTGCTCTTGCTTTTCTATTTCTTTAAGGTGCATTGTTAAGTTGTTTATTTGATGCTTTTCAACTTTTTAAAAGTGGGTGTTTATAGCCATAAAGTTCCCTCTTAGTACTGCTTTTGTCGTATCCCATAGGTTCTGGCATGTTGTGTTTCCATTATCATTTAAGAAATGTTTCAATTTCCTTCTTAATTTCTTCATTGACCCACTCGTCATTCCAGAGCATATTATTTGATCTCCATGTGTTTGTATAGTTTCCAACATTTCTGTTGTTACTAATTTCTAGTTTTAGTCCATTGTGATCAGAGAAGATGTTTGATATTATTTCACTCTTTTGTAATGTTTTAAGACCTGTTGTTTGACCTAAGATATGGTGTATCCTTGAGAATGATCCATATGCTGAGGAAAAAAATATGTATTCTGTAGCCCAAGGGAGAAGACACCTGCCCCCACTCTGCTGCAACACACAGCGCTCTGCTCAGGGATGGGGCAGTGGAGTGCTGTTGTTACACAAGGGGCTCTCTGTCGGGGAGGGAACAGAAATCTGTTCTGTAGTGTTTGCCATTTTTGGTGGTGCAAATATTCCATGGCTGATTTCAAACTGCCACCGTCTTCTCAGCCTGGGCTTGTTTGTACCCACCCTTGGGAAGGCTATCCAAGTATTTGAAAGGATGTGGGTGTTGTGATCTAAAGTGTATCTTTATTAGATACACTCCAGCCCAGTTATGCTATGGTTCTTGCAGACTCATAGAGGAACTGCCTTGTTGGTCTCAGATAAGATCTGGAAGAATTCTCTGGGCTACCAGGTAGTAGAGACCCTTATTCTGTACCTGTAGTTTCTCTCCAAAAAACAGTCTCTCTCTCTCCCTCTCTCTCTCTCTCTCTCTCTGCTGAGCCACTTGGAGCTGGGTGTGGGCTGACACAACATCCCTATGGCCACCACCACCACTGGGACTGCACTGGGTCAGACCTAAAGCCAGCAAAGCACTGGGTCTCACTCAGGGCCCGCTGTCAACACTACCTGGCTGTCGCCTATGTTCACTCAAAGCCAAGTAACTGGGGCTCTACAGTCAGCAGGTGGCAAAGCCAGCCTGGCTTATGTCTTTCCCTTCAGGGCAACGAGTTCTCTCAGGCCCTGGTGGGTCCAGAGATGCTGTCTGGGAGTCAGGGACTACAGTCAAAAACCTTAGAAACTTACCTGGTGCTTTATTCTAAGGCGGCTGGGCTGACACTGAAACCATGAGACAAAGTCCTTCCCACTCTGCCTTTCCCTTTTCACAGGCAGAGGAGCCTCACCCTGTGGCCACCACCACAGGCCCACAGGGAGTGCTGCCAGGCTACTGTCGATGTTCACTTAGGGCCCAAGGGCTCTTAAGTCACTTGTGGTGAATGCTTCCAGGCCTGGGGCTCACCCTTCAGGGCAGTGGGCCCCCCTCTGTCTCAGGGCAGGCCCAGAAATGCTGTTTAAGAGCCAAGGCCTAAAATCAGTGACCACAAGAGCCCATTTAGTGCTCTACCCCATTGTGGCCAGGCAGGTACCTAAGCTGCAAGACAAAGTCCCTTTTACCTTTCCCTCTGCTTTTCTCAAGCAGAAGAAATCTCTCACCACAGCCACCAAAGCTGTGAATGTGCTGGGTCTCACCTGAAGCCAGCATGTCGCAGAGCCTTACTCCAGGCCTATAGCACATTACCTGGGTATCACTGTTGGCTATTCAGGGCCCAAGGGCTCTTGAGTCAGCAGGTGATGAATCCTGCCAGGACTAGAATCTTTTCTTTAAAGCAGCAGATTCCCTTCTGGCCCAGGGTGTATCTAGAAAGGTAATTCAGGAGCTAGGTCCTGGAATGGGGGTCTCTCAACTCTGACTGGGGCTGTATCCTACTGTGGCTATCCAAGACGTAAGACAAAGTCCTCTTTACTCTTCCCCCTCCTCTCCTCAAGCAAAAGGAAAGAGCCACTTTTGTTGCTGCAAGCTGCACTGCCTGGGGTTGGGGGAGGGGTGGTACAAACACTCCCTTGGCTGTCCTGGCTGGTGTCTCTCTAGGTCGTGTGCCTCTTGAGTCCACTGGCTCTGAGCCCAGCATGGCATTAGGATGTGCCTAGGAGTTGAAGTCCTTATGGACTAGACTGCTTTCAAGTTTATTTAGGACCCTGGGGCATAATAGCCTGCCATGCCAAGGCTTGTCAAAACCCAAGCCTCAAGCCTCCTAACTACTGGGATGGGTGAACCCCTCTGGGTAGGGCTGGTCTAAATGCTCCCTCCATGGGCAGGTGTCACGTGAGTTCCACCTGGTTTCGCTTTCTGCTGTGACAGGGCAGCACTGAGTTCAAGGCAGAGTCCCACAGTTGCTGCATTCTCCCTCCCCCAGGTGCACAGATTCTCAGCACCACAGCGACCACTGCTGGGGGAGGGGGAGGGGTGATATTGGTGTTTCAAGGCTGTCTCTCCTACCTTTTCAGTGCCTCTTTCAGCGACATGAAGTTAAACCCAGGTACTGTGAGTCCTCGCCTAATTTTTGGTTCTTATGATGATGGTTTTCTGGTGGAAACAGTTGTTAAATTTGATTTTCCTGCAGGGGGAATGATTGGTAGAGACTACTATTCAGCCATCTTGCTCTGCTCCTCCTCCCTCCCTTCACTTTAATTACCTCCTAATAGCCCTATTTTTAAATACAATCATATAGGGGGTTAGGGCTCCAAGTATGAATTTTGAGGAGACACAATTCAGTCTATAGCATTTGGACTTGGGAAGAGGGAGGAAAAGAACACGCACAGGAAAGTCACAGTGTAAGCAACAGTATGGAGGTGGGAAAGTTCAGCTCATGGATAGGAAAAATTGATCCAAGTTGGCAGGGCCCACAGGGAGATGTGGTGGGGTGGTGAGTGGCGGCCACATCAAAAGAACCTTGAATGCCAGGCTGAGGTGGGAGGCATTTCCTGTTGTGTGGAATGTGCCATGAGGTGGTGGGGAGGGTAACGTGATGAAAGGACATTTGGGAGGATGGATCTGGCATCAGTGATGGGTGGGGGTAAGGAGTGAACAAAGCTGGAGGCCAGGAAACCGGACACATGGCCCAGAGTTCAGGCATAGGCTGTTCAAAGGCAGTTTCCACACTGAGTTCCAATGTGGATCCAAGCATGCAGCGGATATATTTGGAAAAGCAAAAGCATTCCCTTCCCATTACCACACAGTTTCCCAGCTGAGTTCATCACCAGAGTCCTACACATCAGACAGTCAACCTGCCCCAAACTCTGTCCCTAGAAGCTGTGGCCCAGAGGGAGCCCTTGTCCAGCTGTAGCCCGGGGACGCTGCAGCCTGAGCAGGACTGCACCTGTTCCCTCCCAGGAGCCTCATCTCTGTCCGGCCTGGCTTTGGCTTCAGATGCCCTCAGCTTTGGCTTCGAAATCTGTTGGGTCAGATTCACGAGAGCTCTGGCCTTCTTTGGGTTGGGAATTTTAAATAGTTTTTTCAAGCAGGCAGTAGATCAACTCTACTTGCTTACTTCTGGGTGCATCTCCTGTTCCCCGGCCCCAGATCTTCTTTTTCCTTGGTTTATCCTCTCATTGTGTTGCAGCACATCTTCCAGTGGCTTCCAGAGAAACAGTGAATGGAAGCCAAGCTTTCTGACCCTCACATATTTTAGAATGTCATTGTTCTACCCCAATTCCTGATTACTAGTTTGGCTGGATGTAATGCTCTAATTTAAACATAACTTCTCTTCACATTGGGAAATATTGCTCTATTATTTTCTAGTTCCCAGTGTTGTTGGGAAGAAGTCAGTGTCATGCGGAGTCTTGGCTCTTTACATATGACCTGTCTTTTCTCTCTGGAAGATTTTAGGATTTTCTATCTTTGGGTTCTTGGAATTTCTCAGTGATGTACCTTGTTATAGGTCTTTCTACCTATACTGTGCTAGTCACTTGGTAGACTCTTGAACTAGAAAATTATGTGCTTCTGTGGGGGGAAGCCACCAGCATGTTTGGGTCCTGGTTTGGGTCCCAATGGGGCACATGTGGGAAAGACCATGAATGCCCATGTCTCCGACTAGTTTCCCCATCAGAAGTGTTGTTGCACCAATCATCCTCCTCCATTAAAACTGGACAGACTAAGGGCCACTTTCCTAATGGATGGGTCTTCTTGGTTCATCTCATGCTCCCAACAGAGCTCCCTCCCGGGGATGGGAACGCGCCATGCCAGGAGAGCCCTCTTGATCCAGCCTCCAGCCAAAGCCAGTCCCCCTGCCAAACAGGCCCTAGAGTTACACTGGAGGGTGACAGGCCTAACCTGGAAATTTCTTGCTGAAAATTGTCAGTTTCCCACACAAGTACAGCCTGGCAGTTAATTCAAATTCAAACCAGAAGACTGCTGCTTCAGTCTCGACTGCTTGAAAATTAGGTTGTGTAGAGCTTTCATTTGCTGGAAATTGTGCAGCCAGACATTGTGCAGATTGACCCAGTAGCTACAGCAAGTACACACATAGGGCGCCAAGCAAGGACAAGTGTGCACATGTGCGCACGCACACACACACACAGCAGAAAATCTAGAAATAAACTATTTTAATGTCAGCTGTCATGGAAGTTTTGTGTCATTTCCCCAAAAAAACACAAATTTTATTTTATGATTTAGTCTAGTATTTATTTAGAATTACTTAAGGAAAAGGAGACGTGAGTGCAGTGGCTCATATCTGTAATCCTAGCACTTTGGGAGGCTGAGGCAGGAGGATCACTTGAGCCTGGGAGTTCAAGACCAGCCTGGGCAACATGATGAAACGCCATCTCTATAAAAAATATGAAAATTAGCCAGATGTGGTAGCATGTGCCTGTGGTCCCAGCTACCCAGGAGACTGAGGTGGGAGGATCCCTTGGGCCCGGGAGGCGGAGGTTGCAGTGAGCCAAGATCACATCACTGCATTGCAGCCTGGGTGACAGAGTGAGATCCCATCTCAAAAACAAAGAGAAAGAAAGAAGAAGACAGAGAAAGAGAAGAGAAAAGAAAAAGAAGAGAGGAGAAAAGAAAGAAGAGAAAAGAGAGGAAAGAAGAGATAAGAGAGGAGAGAAAAGAGGGGAGGGGAGGGAAGGGGAGAGGGGAGGAGAGAAGGGGAAAGGAGCAATGGGATCCTGATATCTGGTATGGGAAAACTTAAGTGGATACATCTGAGAACTTTGAACCTCCAGTTTCCACTAAATGCTCTGATCTAAAAGAAGAAATGCTCTTTCCTTGCTAAGAGAAGGGCAGCTGCCCCTTGCCTGGAAACTAGGCAAAGAGCCTCCAACAAGGCCTTACAGCAGGATGAAGTGTGTCGTCATTGCTGCCCCACATTGACACCAGGCTATGGTCATTCCTCATCATGGCCTAAGGTCACAAGCACAATCTGCTCTGGGAGAATAATATTTTTGCCAAAAATGTCACAAAGTATGTACTGGCAGAATCTGAGAGAGGAGGTGGAGGAGTGGACATAAGGGTGTTGGACCAGGGGGAGACTAAAGGCTGTATACACGAGAATACAGTGACCTGGGAGCACTCTCAGGATTTAATGGCTTGGCAAAGACACCTGGGGCTCCAACACACTGCTGAGTGGCTCCTTGAAATGTGGACAGAACAGTTGCTTCAGTGAATTAGGAGGAGATTATAGAACTGCATTCGCAAAGCATCAAAGAAGCAGGAAAGTACAGGGAGGTAGGAATGTTGGAATGGTTCATTATATGCCAGCAGATTCGGAATCCACCACTTGACTGTGTGCCCTTGGAGGGCTCACAGGAACTCCCCTCTCTAGGCTAACAAGGAAGGCACTAGTGAGAAGGGCACCTGAATCTTTAAGAGACTCAGTGGCACTATCCTTGGTAGGCCAGGATCGACAAGAGGAGATGCTGCCATGAGACCAGGCTTCGTGGTGTCAGTGGGAACGGTGGAAGGTGAGAACAGCGGATGCCAGGTGGTGGCCCTTCACCATCATCCACAAGGTGGATGTAATTAACTTAATTGGTAGGAAGGCTAGAGTGACAGCCAGGATGCCTTGACCTCCAGGGAGCTGTTGTGTTAGCTACAAACTGATGGCATTCCAGGGGAGAGTTACATAGGCAGTTGATTAGGGTATTTTGGGTTTTTTTGAGACAGGATCTTACTCTGTAGCCCAGTCTGGAGTGCAGTGGCACAATCATAGCTCTCTGCAGCCTCAACCTCCTGGGCTCAAGCGATCCTCCCACCTCAGCCTCCCAGGTAGCTGGGATTACAGGCATGCACCACCATGCCTGGCTATATTTTTTTCTAATTTTTAGTGAAGATGAGGTCTTGCTATGTTGCCTAGACTGGTCTCAAACTCCTGAGCTCAAGCAATCCTCCTGCCTTGGACTCCCAAATTGTTGGGATTACAGGTGTGAGCCCTAGGATATTTCCTGATTTGTGTATTCAGGAAACAACAACAACAAGATCTGGCACATGGAAGGCTGCAACAAAAAATTACAATTTCCTAGCCAGTTTTCAGACTGAGACAATTGAGACCTATAGCTCATGGATTGTAGGGGAGGCTGGGTATTCTTGGAAAAAGATCCTGCAACATTACCACATGGTATTCATTAATTATTCTCCAAAGGGATCTGGGGTCATTGATGAAAGTAACTGTAGCTGATGAAAAGGGAATACCCAGACTGTTTGAGGGCCATTTATATAGGATTAGAGCTGACCCTGACACCATAAGATCCACAATGCCACCATGTCCCCTCCCCAACAAGACTGAGGACATGTGAAATCTAGGTAATAAATGGATCCCTGGATGAAGAGGCCACAGCCCCATCCGGTTGTCATTTCTCTGTCCCTAAATATGCAATTGATATGAGTATGCTTAGAAGCTAACAGAGCTCTCACTTTACTCCCTGACCTGTGGGTATGAGCCACTATAGTAGGAAGAGCCCAGGGGAAGTCTCTGAAACTACCTCTTCCCACTTCCGGGAGCAATGCAGTATTCCAGGTGGAATCACAGAGATTTATCACCTCCCTCAACTGTGACCGCCACCTTATAATGATGGTATTCTTACATTTCCCCACCTGTCCCTTGTGCCATTCTCATCATCATTTTACTTCCACACGTTATAAACCCCACAATGTTATTACTTTTGCCTCAGTCAATTATTTCTAGACATCAAAAAATGAGAAAATAGGATCTTTTCTATTTATCCATGTATTTATTATGTCAGTGGTCTTCATTCCTTTGTGTAGAACCAAATTTCTATCCAGTGTCATTTTTCTTCTGACCAAAGAACTGCTTTTAACACTTCACAGAGTGCAGGCCTGCTGGTGATTATCCTGGCTTTTGTCTGTGTGAAAAAGTCTTTATTTTGTCTTCATTAAATTTTTTAAAAATTTTTTATTCTGTTTTTTGTTTTTTGTTTTTTGTAGAGATGAGGCCTCACTGTGTTGCCCAGGCTGGTCTCAAACTCCTGGCCTCAGGCAATCCTCCTGCCTCTGCCTCTCAAAGTGCTGGGATGATTACAGGCATGAACTACCACACCTGGCCTCACTGACTTTTTAAAACTGCTTTTAATCCCTTATCTGCAGAGTTAACTTTTTCATGTCCAGTAATTCTTTTTTGTTTTATTTTGAGACAAGGTCTCACTGTGTTGCCAAGGCTGCAGTCCAGTGGCACAATCACAGCTCACTGCAACCTCGACCTCCTGTGTTCAGGTGATCCTCCTGCCTCAGCCTCGTGAGTAGCTGGGACTACAGGTTCATGCCACCATGCCTGGCTAATTTTTAAATTATTTATAGAGATATCTCTTCTTATGTTGCCCAGGCTGGTCTTAAACTCCTGGGCTCAAGCAATCCTTGTGTCTAAGCCTCCCAAAGCACTGGGATTACAGGTGTGAGCCACCACACCCAGCCTGTGTTTTTTTTTTTTTTAATACATCTTCCATTTCTCTCTTCTCATCATGTTCAGATTTTTCTAGCCTTCTTGAACATATGGAGCATATTTATAATATGTTTTTTAATGTCTTTATCTGCTAATTACATCATCTTTGTCATTTCTGGGCCTATTTCCATTGATTTATTTCTCTCCTGGTTATAGGCCCTATTTTGCCTGTGTTTTTCTTTTGTTTTGTTTGTTTGTTTGTTTGTTTGTTTTTGGAGACAGGGTCTTACTCTGTCACCCAGGCTGGAGTTCAGTGATGTGATCTCGCCTCACTGCAATCTCCATCTCCCAGGTTCAAGTGATTCTCGTGTCTCAGCCTCCCAAGTAGCTGGGACTACAGTTGCATACCACCACGCCTGGCTAATTTTTGTATTTTTAGTGGAGACAGCATTTAGCCATGTTGGCCAGGCTGGCCTTGAACTCCTGGCCTTAGGCAATCTGCACGCCTTGGCCTCCCAAAGTGTTGGGATTACAGGCATGAGCCACTGTGCCTGGCCATTGCCTGGTAATTTTTTATTGACTGTGTTTTTGTGTTGTGACTGCTGGATTTTGTTTTGCTTTAAATAGTGTGGGACTGTGTTCCAGCACTAGTTAAGTTATTTGAAATAAGTTGGATCTACAAAGGTTTGCTTTCAATCTTTGTTAGGACAGTTTCAGAGAAGTCTTTACTCCAGTGCTCATTTAGCCCCACTATTAAGGCAATAGTTTTTTAAAGCTTCTCTTCCATTTCCTAAGTATTATGAGGTATTTTCATTCTGACTAGTGAGAATATGAATTCTCTCTAGCCTGTTGTGAGCTCTGGGGATTCTTCTGTCTGCTTTCTGGCAGTTCTTTCCCTGGGTACTTTCTTCTCACATATGTCCCTATCAGCCCTTTGCCAAAGGCTTGAGGGCATCTTCCATAGCTCTCCAGAGTTCACGCGCTCTCTTCTCCCACCTCCTCCCTGGTACTCTACCTCACAAATTCTACCGGCCTTGAAGATCTTCCCAAGCTCTGATCTCTGTCTCCTCAATCCACCAAGACCACCGGACTTTGGATTCCCCTCCCTGTGTTGGAGCCTGTAATTGCTTCCGGCAGTAAACCGAGGACACTCTAGGGTTCACCTTCTTTTAGGGATCATAGTTCTGCTCGACCTGTTCTCCGATGTCTGAAAACTATTGTTTTATATTTTGTTCCATTTTTCTAGTTATTAAAGGTGGGAGGCAAATCTGGTCCCTGTTATCAGTCATGGCCACATGTAGAGGTTGCAGGATGTTGTTTACATCTGTATCTTTTTTTTTTTTTTTGAGACAGGATCTCACTCTGTCACCCCAAGTGGCACCATCTCGGCTCACTGCCACCTCCACTTTGTGGCCTCAAATGATCCTCCCACCTCAGCTTCCCAAAGTGCTGGGATTACAGGTGTGAGCCACTGTGCCTGGCCTGAAACTGTATCTTTCTTATTACCAGAGAAGTTAAACATTTTTTCCTGTGTGTCAGCAGCATTTGTGTTTCTTTTTCTTTGAATTTTCATTTTTCCAGTTTGAACTTTCCATTTTTCTTAGAATTTTTGGTCTTTGTCTTCTCTACTTTTAGAATAGAATGAATATGATATTAATCATACTTCGAATTGTGGCCATGATGGAGTACCTGTATTGATGATGGTCTCCCAGCATAAACAACTACAAAGCTGGACAAAGTACATGAAGAAATTGTCTTCAGCCATTGGGCAATAGGCAGTTCCAGGTACAATCTGAGAGAAGGGAATCACATGAAGTTACTGCTACATTTTTCTGGTGGGGAAAGTTTCAAAACCCTCAATGACAGCACGAGGAAGCAGAGTCCAGGCAAAGGATCAGTCTTGTTTGGTGGAGGAAACGGAGACTGCTGCTCAGGGCTGCTAAAATGTGTGTGGCAGGGTATCAGAAAGGATGGAGTTGCAGAGAAGGAGCCCCAGAAATCTTATAGAGGTTGCTGCAGGTCCTTGGCCAAATCCCAAACTATGAATGTGTGGATTGAGACTCTGCAAGGCCTAGCACAGAACAGCCGATGGGGAGCTGAGAGCTAAACAGCGATTTCAGTGGTCACAGAGTGCTGGAAACACATCTGAATTCTGGCTCAGCCAGCATCTCCACTCTTGGAATCTCAGGACTTGATGAATATCCCAGACATTCACAGGAGGGCCTAGAAGGCCATGCCTTGGGATTAAGGAAGATTCTCTAGGAATAAGGTCAAAACTAAAAACCAGCTCACGCTAACAAAACCTAAAATGTAGCCTTGACACACGTGATCAAGTTAACCCATCAGTAATTTAATTCCCTGCCAAAATAAAACTCAACACTGGAGTAGGATAACATAACCCACATCTCTACAATGAAGGTTCACAATGTCCAACAGCTCAAGAAATACTTAGAAGACATGAGAAAAAGTGAGAAAATATATCCTACAATTAAGAGAAAACCAGTCAATACGAACTGACCCACTGTGCATGGTGGCTCACGCCTGTAATCCCAGCAATTTGGGAGGCCAAGGCAGGTAGATCACTTGAGCTCAAGACTTTGAGATCAGCCTGGGCTACATGGCAAAACCCCATCTCTACTAAAAATTCAAAACTGAGTTGGGTGTGGGGGTGTGCAGGGGCCCATAACCCCCAGGCTGTGGACTGTACCCGTCGGTGACCTGGTAGGAACCAGGCTGCGCAGCAGGAAGTGAGTGGTGGACAGCGAGCATTACTGCCTGAGCTCCGCCCCCCGTCAGATCAGCAGGCATTAGATTCTCATAGAAGCGTGAATCCTAATGTGAACTGCACATGCAAGGGATCTAGGTTTCACACTCTTTATGAGACTCTAATGCCTGATGATCTGAAGTGGAACAGTTTCATACCAAAACCACCACCCCTGACCCTGTCTGTGGTAAAATTGTCTTCCACAAAACCAGTCAGGACTGCTGGTGGCACATGCCTGTGGTCCCAGCTACTTGGAAGGCTGAGGTGAAAGGATGGCTTGAGCCTGGGAGGTGGAGGTTGCAGTGAGTTGAGATCATGCCGCTGCACTCCAGCCTGGACAACAGAGTGAAATCTTATCTCAAAGAAACAAACAAACAAAAGGGCCGGGCATGGTGGCTCCCATCTGTAATCCCAGCACTTTGGGAGGCTGAGGCAGGCAGATCACCTGAGGTCAGAAATTCAAGACCAGCCAGGTGAGGTGGAGGTTGCAGTGAGCCGAGATGGCAGCATTTTACTCCAGCCTGGGCTACAAGAGTGAAACTCCATCTCAAAAAAAAAAAAAAAAAAAAAAAAAAAAAAAAAGGGGGCCCATAAATGGCTCACACATTGGAATTAGCAGGCAAGAGCTTTAAAGTAACTGCATACATACATCAAAGATTTTAGAGAAATATCAACACCTGTGAAGATGGTGAAAAAAGAATTTAGAGAAATAATTTTTAGTATAAGTATGTCCTAAATATGCATGGTACATACTTACTAAAATATAGTTTATTTTTTAATCAGAAATCTAAATTTAACTGGGCATCCTATATTTTATCTGGCATCTCTACCCCAAAGCCAAGAAAGAGAGAATCCAGAGTCCTATCTTTTAGCAGGTGACCTAGCCTAGGACAGGGCCTGGCCAGGGGCAATTGTGCATTGGATGGATTAGAGATGCCAGTCATTCAAAGGTTTGCCAGACCTGCATACAATCAACATTATTTTTATTTAATATTTTTGTCTAAAGCAACTTTAAAAATGTTAACCCTTTATTTGGAAATATAGATTCAGAGGAAATTTCAAAGATGGTACAGAGAGGTTTCATGTACTTTTTACTCAGTTTCCTCCAAAGGTTCTATTTTGTATAAATGTAGGACAATATCTAACAATGTCACATGACTATGTCTATGCCATTTTATCACATATGTAGACTCCTTTAACCACCGCTACGATCAAGATAGAGAACTGTTCCGACACCACGAAAATTCCACTCCTGCTATTACTCTGCACTCATTCCTGGCTCTTCCCCTCCACTATTCCTACTCCTGGCAACCACTAATCTGCTTTCTGTCTTTATAATCTTCTCACTTCAAGAACATTATAAAATGCAAAAATTAGCCAGGCGTGATGGCGTTAGCTTGTAGTTCCAGCTACATGGAGGCTGAGGCAGGAGAATCACTTGAACCTGGGAGGTGGAGGCTACAGTGATCCTGCCATTGCAATCCAGCCTGAGAGACAGGGTGAGACTCTCAATGAATGAATGAATGAATGAAAGAAGATCTGGCATGGTGGCTCACACCTATAATCCCAGTGCTTTGGGAGGCCGAGGCAGGTGGAACCGCTGAGGCCTGGAGTTTGAGTCCAGCCTGGCCAACATGACAAAACGCTGTCTCTACTAAAAATACAAAAATTAGCCAGCATGATGGTGCGCGCCTGTACTCCCAGCTACTTGGGAGGCTGAGGCATGAGAATCACTTGAACCCAGGAGGCGGAGGCTGCAGTGAGCCGAGATTGTGCCACTGCACTCCAGTCTGGGCCACAGAGTGAGACTTTGTCTAAAAAAAACAAACAAAAAAAACAAAACCAAACAAAGAAAAAAAGAACATTATATAAATGGAATCACACAGTATGTGGCCTTTTGAGACTGGCTTTTTATTTTTTGTACTCAGCAAATGCCCTTTGAGATCCGTCCAAGTTGTGCATGTTCCTTTTTATTGTTTTTTTTTCTGTTTGAGATGGAGTCTCGCTCTGTCACCCAGGCTGGAATGCAGTGGCATGATCTCAGCTCACTGCAACCCTCCACCTCCTGGGTTCAGGCAATTCTCCTGCCTCAGCCTCCTGAGTAGCTGGAATTATAGGCACCCACCATCATGTCTGGCCTTTTTTTTTTTTTTTTAGATGAAGTTTTGCTCTTATTGCCCAGTACATAGGCATGATCTCAGCTCACTGCAACCTCTGCCTCCCGAGTTTAAGCAATTTTACTGCCCCAGCCTCCTGAGCAGCTGGGATTACGGGTGCCCCCCACCATGTCCAGCTATTTTTTTTGTATTTTTAGTAGAGATGGGATTACACCATGTTGGCCAGGCTGGTCTCAAACTCCTGACCTCAGGCAATCCACCTGCCTTGGCCTCCCAAAGTGCTGTGTTTATAGGCATGAGCCATCGTGTCTGGCCCCCTTTTTATTGTTGAATAGTATTTCATAGAATGGATGTATCAGTTTGCTTAACCATTCACCTATGGGGGAGTATTTGGTTGTTTCCAATTTGGGGCTATCACAAATAAACCTGCCATAAACAATCATGTATGAGTTTTTGTGCAGACATCAGTTTATTTATTTTCTGGTACAAATGCCCAGAAGCAATTGCTAGGTCATATATTGAGGTGTATGTTTAATTAAAAAAGCTGCCAAACTATTTTCTAGAGAGTCTGTACCATTTTATATTCCCATCAGTGATGTATGAGTTAGTTTTGTCTGCATCCTCGCCAATATTTGATATTATCACTATGTTTGATTTGAGCTGTTCTAATAGATATGCAGTGATATCTTACTGTGGTTTTAATTGCATTTCCCCAGTGGTTAGTGTTGAAGATCTATTCATGTGCTTTAAGTCAACTCATTTTTAAAACCTAAATAAATGTATTTAAAAAGGAAACTTTCGCTTTGGGAGGCCAAAGCGGGTGAATTGCTTGAGCCCAGGAGTTCAAGACCAGCCTGAGCAACATGGCGAAACTCTGTCTCTACAAAAATTACAAAAATATCCAGGCATGGTGACGTGAGCCTATAGTTTCAGCTACTTGGGAAGTGAGGCAGGAGGATTGCTTGAGCCTGGGAGGTTGAGGCTGCCGTGAGCTGTGATCGCACCATTATACTCCAGCCTGGGAGACAGAGCAAAACCCTGCCTTAAATAAATAAATGAATAAAAGGAAATTTGTGATTAGTGGTTCTCAAAGTGTGGTCCCTGAGCCAGCAGCATCAGCATCCCCATCAGCTGAGAACTTGTTAGAAATGCAGATTCTCAGGCGCCACCCCAGACCTCCTGAATCAGAACCTCTGAGGCGTGGGTTCAGCGACCTGTGGTTTAACAAGCCCTCCCGGTGAGAATCGGTCTCATTCACTACAGATAGAAGGAAATGGTAAAAATCAATTCATCCCCGTATCGCCTAAAATCCTCCTGTGGGCCCCAGGTTGGCACAGCACACTTTTGGGCAGGAGCCCCACTCACAGAGGCCGTGACAAGAATGCTCCTGCCCCTGGGGTTGTGCAGTGACAGCTCACACAGCTCCACGTGGCGGTTCTGAGTTTGGGAAGCGCTGATGTAGTCCTACTACAGCCCTTCCTGCCCTTCACTGGACTGAGAAAATCCAGGCTCTGAGGAGGGAGAGACTTGCCCAAGGTCACCCAGCAACATGGTCAGTCTCCTTTCCCAGGGCCCTCACAATGCGTGGCCTGTTTAAAGCCTGCCTCTATTCACTGCTGAGTGAAAAATCCAGCTCCAAAACAGAATATGGGGAAGGATACTATCTTGTGCAGCTTATGTTTATAGCTGCAGATACGTGGGAAAAAAAGTCAGAAAATACTGTTGAAGCAGTTACTTAGGGAGAAAAGGTGTTTGCTGGTCTTTTGTGTTTTTAACTTTTCTATATTTCATAATTTTTATCACAATAATGTTTAGTTACATAATCAAAATGTATTAAATGTTAAAAATTGACATGAAGCCTGATCCAGCCACGGCCTATTGTTGGCAGAGTCAGGAAGCCTTCCAGATAGAGCAGCCCCGCACCTGCCCCAGGTCACACCCTGGGCCTGGGCACATGCTAGGTCCTCTGTCTGGACACCCTCACCCTGTGGTGGCCTCCACGTCCGTACCCACCAGCACCTCCTGTGGGCGAGGCCCTACATTACATCCAGCCCTGGGCACCCACTAGCCCAGAGGGCACCTCATGGTCTGAGAGCCCGCCTGTCTGTCTCTAAAGAGAGGAAAACTCCTTGGGACATGTGTTCCACTTGACCCATCACCCCTGGCCTGGTACAGAAAGGTAGACAGTGGGTATTTGGTGAATAAATGAATGGATGATTAGAATGAATTCCCAAAATGGCAATTTCCTGAGGCCCTTCTCCAGCTGGCCCAGGTGGAACCAGTTCCACTTTTCACAGGAAAGCCAGGTGGGAGGAGTGGGGCAGGTGTGTGTGAGGGGCCAGATTCTTGAGGGCTGCATGGACATGGGGCTTTGGCGGGTCTGGGGGCGGCAGTGCTTCTGTGGGAGCCTCAGGGAGGGCTCATCCTTGGAATCCACCAGGGTATCCTGGTACCCCCAGCTGCTGCGTGGCGTGAGAAGTCCTGGCTGGTGGGGACACACAGGTACTTGTTTGGATTGGCCACCTGGTCCAGCCCAAGGAGCTGTGCCTCCAGCCCCTTGGGGAAAAACTCACTTCTGATGTGTGACAACAGCTGCAGGCAAGGGGAGGGAGAGGTGTGCTGGGCCTCGGCCTTAGAAGCCAGAAGCCCTACCTTGGTCTATATGGGAAAGGCATGCGGCCTCAGCTAGATCTAGGGTCCTGGGTTATGGTCAGAACCCTCCCTTATGGACTCAGTGACTTGGGCTGACCCCGCCCCTCCCTGAGCCTCATCAGTGAAACCAGGATGGGGCCAGGGCTCTCGACACCTCCCAGCTCAGACCTCTGACTTTCTCCCAGGAGGGCAGGAGATCAGACAGAGGTGACCCGGGCTCTCCTGTTTACCTCAACCTCCTTGTGAAGCCTCCCTCTTTCTGCCTGTGAGGTGGGTGGGGCCGGAAGGAGGGGCATTCACCTGTAGGCCTCTGACTTCTCTGCCCAGGTGTACCTGGAGAGCCTGGTCTATACCCGGTGCTCTGCTACACCCCATGGCCTGGCCATGACCTCCCTGCCTCCAGAGCAGCCCTGGCCCAGGGAAGAAGCTGTCTCTGCATCGAATGATAGGTGGAAAATGGAAGTGGGGATGATAGCTCTGAAAAGGAGTCAAGGAGGAGGTGCCTTCCCAAGGATGCTGAGGGTTTTTCCAGAATGGAACTTGACTGGTGCGGGCAAACATCAGGAGGTGGGAAGGGTGGCTCCCTCTGTGGGAGCCAGGGTGACTTGCCTGGATCGAACAGTGGTAGGCAGTGGGTAGGGCAGGCAGAGCTGGGGTGCCCAGAGCCTGGGGTCCCTGTCCTTGCAGAGGACTGGATTGCAAAACAAGTGTCCCCTGCCTTCTGGCTGGGGGACATCCTCTACTTCCAAGCCCAGACATACACCTGCTGCCACAAGCCCCTGAGGTTCTTCAGAGGACCAATGGGCAGCCACACCCATGCTGGGCCAGCCTGCTGGGCCCACCTGCACCATGGTCAGAGCCCATGACTGAGGGGACTCTCTGGGGACAATGGGGGCAGTCTCATGCTGCCCTCTTACAGGTGGATCAGTCCCTGGGATCTGGTGTTGGGCCGGGGTAGGCTGAGTATGTTCTCTGATGGGGTGCCTTGTGGACAGCAGGTAGAGCAACTTCTTCTTGGCTTTCTTGGACCTCAGGACATAGCTGAACACTGCGCTTTACCCTGGATGCCTTCAGATTCTCAGGGGACCCTGGGAAGGAAGAGGGGCTGCCCCTGCAAAGGGCCAGGGCCCTGGCCCATGGTTGCTTCCCCCAGCAGGTACCTCCTCTCCAGATTGACATCACCTGATTCCTGAAGGCCTGAGCTACAGACCAGAGCCCCAACACCCTCACCAAGGCCTGTTCTTAATCAGAGCAGCTAGTATATGATTCCGGAGCTGAAGCGGGCAGAGAGAGAATGCGGGGCTCTGTAAGACTTCTTGGCTCCCTGCTGCGGTGGGCCCTGTAGAAGGCCCCCCAGAAATCTGCAGCTGCTGTAAGTCACTGGGAGGAAGCTGCAGCAGACATGTGTTTCCCAGCCTGGTAGATGGAGAAGGGTTTCCGGGTCTCCGAGTGGGAGGCCCAAACGTGGCCTTGGTTGTAGCAGTGCAGGAATTCTAGCCAGCTCTGGGGCCCAGGGCAAGTCATTTAACCTCTCAGAACCCCACTCCTGGTCACCATGTGGCTCTTGTGTGGTTGTAAAGAACACCCCTGGCCACTTATGTCCCATCAGTGGAAGCCTAGCATGGGTGGAGACCCCCGAGACTGAACTCAGTGGCAGGATCCAGCCTTTCCAGCTCTCCTACATAGAGCCCAGAGCCAGCAGGGTGGGTTTCCTGAAGAAGCAGGCACTCCTGTGGGCTGGAGAGCATGATTAAAGGTCCCTTTGGGAAGGTGGAAGAGGCTGCGGTCAGTGGAGGCCATAATGAGGCAGAGCTTGGGCAGAAGGGGCATGATTGGGGGATCTGAGACCCAATAGAGACTGGACTGAGGACACTGTGCCACTCAGGTGGTGGAAACTGAGCTAGGGCTGGGCCCCCTGGTCCCGAGTGAGGCCTCACCAGTCTTGGAAGCTGTGCCAAAGGTGGCTTCATGTAAGGGTGCATCTGAACACTTTTTTTTTTTTTAAGAGATGGGGTCTTGCTCTGTCATCCAGGCTGGAATGCAGTGGCATGATCATAGCTCACTGCAGCCTCAAACTCCTGGGCTCAAGCGATCCTCCCACCTCAGCCTCCCAAAGTACTGGAATTACAGGCCTGAGCTACAGAGCCTCGTTTTAAATCTTAATAAATATCTCCCCCTGGTCTGCTTCCCTGGCTGACACACATGCTGGCAACTTGCCCCTAGACAGACATGTTTCTGGACTTGGTTCCATTTGTTCTGATGGGCTCCTCTCTCTCAATGACCGCACGTTATATTATGTGGCCATTCTTACACGTTTCTGTATAGACCTGAGGGTTAGTGTATTAATGTCAAAGTTCTACTGGTTTTTCGAGGCTGGGTGGAATGTTTGGGTTAATTTAGGAGTGGGCATCTTGACAATATAGGCTTTTCCTCCGGGAATGGTGATTCTGGGACGCAGGTTTTGCACATTCTGGTTTATTGCTTGGCTCGCTGCCACAGAGGGATGGCACTGCTCCACATGCCATGCCCAAGAGATGTCCCACCTTATCTTTCTAAATCAAGCTGAATGTTCTCAGCTGACAGGATATCCTATCAGTGCTGCGGGGACTCACACCTTCCAAACTGAGATGAAGTGAGGTGGAGACTATGGAGCAGATCCGTGCTGACTGCATTCGCCCTTCCTGACCCACACTGCTGCTGGCCGGGGCTATGTCTGAGCCATCAGAGGGCATTGATTTGGGGACGGGGCGGGGGGCGGTCCTGGAGAGATGCCCCTCACCTCCCTCAGCTCCTCCTGTCCACCTAACACTTGGCCACCAAGGTCCCTGACTTCCAGGCCCCAGTCACCACTAATGGGGTGCTGCATGGGAACAAAGTGTAGGCCCAGAACCTGGAGCTCAGGTCACTCCTCCTTCCATTCGAAGCCTCTGCCCCTCCCAGGTGATTCCACCCTCATTCCTCCATGGGCCAAATATCCTAAACAAAGGCCTGGACAGGGGTCTTTATCCGAGTACTCAGAAAACACACACGGAAATGCTTTGCATGCCCCCTGTGGCCTGCCAGGGGTAAGAGCCTGCCCGTCAAAATGCACAGTCCTGGTTCTTGCAGGGAGGTGAGGAGCGGAGGAAGAAAAGATCCATCTCATTCTTTCAGCAGGATCCTAAACTTGGGAAAGCCAGATGCAGTACATTTCTTAATCCTGATACTTTTATAACTGGTTATAGCGGGGTCACATGCGCAACTGTTTTCCAACATCTTTCAACGGGCCACATAACATCCTGTAACTTCTTTTTTTAATTTTTATTTTGTAAGGCCAGGGGCAGTGGCTCACGCCTGTAATCTCAACGCTTTCGGAGGCTGAGGCAGGAAGACTGATTGAGGCCAGGAGTTTGAGAACAGCCTGGGCAACATAGCAAGACCCCATATGCAACAGAGAAAAAAAATTTTTTTTTTTTGAGTACAGTGGCATGATCACAGCTCACCATAGCCTCCAACTCCTGGGCTCAAGCGATACTCCCACCTCAGCAGCTGGGACTATCAGAGCGCAGCACCACATCTGGCTGATGTTTTAATTTTTAGTAGAGATGCGGTCTCACTATGTTGCCCAGGCTGGTCTTGAACTCCTGGCCTCAAGAGATCCTCCCAATGTGACCTCACAATGCACTGGGGTTACAGGCATGAGCCACCATGCAGCCCCTGCAAAATCTAACTGTCCTTCAGGTGCTCCTTTTGGACCTCCTAGCTAGACTGCCATTGGCAAATGCCAGTTGATTATCCACCCACATTTATGTTAATGGATTTCCCATGTTTTATTTGTCTAGACCAGGCTTTCTCCACAGCAGCACTGTTGATGTTTAGGGCTGGACAGTTCTCTGTTCTGGAGCTGTTTGCGCCTCGCAGGATGTTTAGCAGCATCCCCAGCCTCCGCCTGCCACATGCCAGCAGCACTCCTCAGTGTGACAGCCAAAGTGATTTCAGATACTGTCAAATATCCCCAGGGCGGCAAAATCACCTCCAGTTGAGAACTGCTGACCTAAAACCCTCTGGAACAATGTTAGATCATGGTAATGATAGCGCATACTGCTCCTGACCTTAATGGGAATACCTCTAGCATCAAAGTATAGTAGTACCTGTATACTACTGTCTGGGCTGTTATTAGTACACTGTATTAGTCCATTCTCATGCTGCTATGAAGAAATACCCAAGACTGGGTAATTTATAAATAAAAGAGGTTTAAGTTGACTCACAGTTCTGCATGGCCGGGGAGGCCTCAGGAAACTTACAATTATGGCAGAAGACACCTCTTCACAGGGCAGCAGGAGAGAGAAGGAGAGCCGAGCAAAGGGGAAAGCCTGTAATAAAATCATCAGATCTGGTGAGAACTCACTTACTATCATGAGAACAGCATGGGAGAAACCACCCCCATGATTCAATTATCTCCACCTGGTCCCACCCTTGACATGTGGGGATTATTGCAATTCAAGGTGAGATTTGGATGGGGACACAGAACCAAGCCATATCATATCCTTTATATTAGCATACTGTATCAAAGTATAATTTTCTTTCTTTTTTTTCTTTGGGACAGAGTCTCACTCTGGCTCTGGCTGGAGTGCAGTGGCACAATATCAGCTCATGGCAACCTTGGCTCACTGCAGCCTCAGCCTCCTGGGTTCAAGCAATTCTTGTGCCTCAGCCTCCCGAGCAGCTGGAACTACAGGTGTGTGCCACCAATGCCCAGCTAATTTTGATTTTGTTTTTAGTACACATGGGGTTCGACATGTTGGCTAGGCTGGTGTCAAACTCCTGGCCTCGAGTGATCCAGCCACTTCGGCCTCCAGAAGTCCTGGGATTATAGGCGTCAGCCACTGCACCCAGCCTGAAGTATAATTTTCACAATATGAAAAGCTTGACTTTCATACAAATAATGAAGGAATACGTATAAGATATTTTCTTTAATTTACAAGGGAGTCAGCAACACGGTGAAGCTAGTTCAAGGAGCGTTTTGAGAGACAGTGTCTGTAGTGCTCCAGGAAGGGCATTCCGAAATGCATTCTGAGATAGAGACAAAACTTGTTAATATCCTAAAGGGAGGCCGGGCGTGGTGGCTCAGGCCTGTAATCCCAGCACTTTGGGAGGCTGAGGTGGGTGGATCACCTGAGGTCAGGAGTTCAAGACCAGCCTGGCCAACATGGTGAAACCCTGTCTCTACTAAAAATACAAAAATTAGCCAGGCTCAATGGTGGGTGCTTGTAGTCCCAGCTACTCAGAAGGCTGAGGCAGGAGAATTGCTTGAACTGGGAGGTGAAGGCTGTAGTGAGCCAAGATCATGCCACTGCACTCCAGCCTGGACAACAGAGCAAGATTCTGACTCAAAAAAAAAAATCCTATTGGGAAATAAAACTGTCATCTTTGGGAGTTATCTTTTCTACTGTACTGAAATCTGTAAGTTAACATATATACATATTCTCACATATATTCATAACATATTCTCTAGTATATTTCCCTACATTAGTGGTTTTCAAACCATGGTCTCAAATTGGAAGCACCAGCGTCACCTGGGAACACAGACATGCAATGCTTAGGCCCCACCTCAGTCCTATTGAGTTAGAAACTCTGGTGTGGGGCCCAGCAGCCCATTTCACAAGCCTTGCAAGTGATTAGGATGCACTCTAATGTTTGAGAAACACTGCTCTAAATAGTCAATCTTTAATAGTAAAACAAGTATCTATGAAACAATGCTCAGTATGACATTAAAAGGGCGCACCACCCACCTTTTAACTTTATTTCTGAATTTAAATATTTTGTCTGTCTAATGTTAAATTTGCTGTTTTGTTTTTCAAATACTCTTAAGATAAGACAGTTTTCATCTGTTCCTAATTTTCTTTTTAAATAAAAAATGGTCCCAAAACTATCCATTTTTCTCTTCTTTAACCTACTGACAGCATGAAATAAAAGTTGAACCATTCCTACATCTTTTTTTTTTTTTCTCACCTTGTTGCTCAAGTTGACTGAAATGCAGTGGTGCAATCTCGGCTCACTGCAACCCCCACCTCCCGGGTTCAAGCGATTCTTGTGACTCAGTCTCCTGAGGCTGGGATTACAGGCACCCAGCACCATGCCCAGCTAATTTGTATTTATTTATTTATTTACAGTAGAGACGGGTTTTGCCATGTTGGCCACACTGGTCTCCAACTCCTGACCTCAGGTGATCTGCCTGCCTCGGCCTCCCAAAGTGCTAGGATTACAGGCATGAGCCACCGCACCCAGCTTTTTTTCTTTTCCTTTTTTTGTTTTGAGATGGTCTCATTCTGTTGCTCAGGCTGGATGGAGTACAGTGGCGCCATCATGGCTCACTGCAGCCTCCACCTCCCATGCTCAAGAGATCCTCCCATCTCAGCCTCTTAGGTAGATGGGATGACACGTGTGCACCAGCACAAGCAGCTAATTTTTTGTAGAGACTGGGGTCTCCCTATGTTGCCCAAGCTGGTCTAGAACTCCTGGGCTCAAGCGATCCACTGGCCTTGGCCTCCCAAAGTGCTATGATTACAGGTCTTATGTTCTTAAAATTTTTCTTTGACATGGTATAGGATAGTCTAGTAACTTAACACACTGTTGCTTTCAAGAGGATAGTGCTTATGATTTGTAAAATAACTCTTCAGAAATGAGTTCAATTTTACCATGAATTGGGACACTTTCTATTTCTATTCTATAGAGCAGTTTACTTGTCATGAGGTCTGTCTTTTGAAAACTTGAAAGCCTGCAACAATAAAACCAGCTGCACCTGGTGCATGGGATAGGCATGGAATTGAGGAGAGAGCTCAAACTATGGTCAGCCTTCTGTATCCTCGGGTTCTGGGTCCTTGGATTTAACCAACTGTGCATCAAAAATATTTGGAAAAAGTAAAACAATAAAAAAACACAAAAATTTAAAAATACTTTATATCAGCTATTTACAAAGCATTTATGTTGTATTAGGTATTATAGCAATCTAGAGATGATTTAAAGTATACGGAAGGATGTGCATAGGTTATATGCAAATACTATGCCACATTATATCAGGAACTTGAGCATCTGTGAATTTTGGTATCTCTGGGGTCCTGGAACCAGTATCTTGAGGTTACTAAGCGACGACTGTATTCAATTTCTTCTTTGGTTATTAGTTTATTCTTTAATGTATTTTTGTTGTTGTTTTGTCTTTTTGTTTTTGCCTCTTCAAGTCAACGTCGGAAACTTAGTTGTTCTAGACTACCCATTAGCTCAAAGCTACCAGTAATCAGACTACCACTGCAATCTAAGCAACCGATTTTTTTTTTACCCATCAGACTGGCAAAAATTAAGATAAGATCTATTGATGTTGAAGCTGTGGGGAGTTTTCCTGAGCATGTTAATTATGACAGCCCTTTTTACTAGGCACCTAGACGATTCATCAAAATGAAATAAAATACCCATGCACTTGAAGAAGTTACCTGGTTATTTCCTTATCTGGGTGCTGGTTATGTGAGGTCTACAGTTGATGAAAACTTATTAAGCTTTATATTTCTAATAGGTACAATTTTCTGTATGTGTAATATATTTGAAAAGTTTTTAAAATGTTTTTTGCCACAGCCCGCAGCTGTGTATAATGCTATTCGCTTAACAGTGGAAAACATGGCAATGACCTGAATCTCCCTGGCTCCCGGGATCCTACCCCCTTAAGTTAACGAAAATAAAAGTAAAAGAAATAACTTCCACTGTCTTTCGTAATGCCTTAAATCCGTCCTCAGTTAAACCGGCGGTTGGCGCTGGTTTTTTCCAGGGCAGGATTCTGGGAGACGGAGGAGCAGACGCCAGCATTTCGCCCCCGGCACCTCCAGCGGGCTGCGGTCCGCTCCCGGCCTCACTCGAGCAGGCCCCGCCCCGCCAGAGGCCGTTAGTCCAAGTCACGTGATCGTCGACTCAGCTGACCTGGCGGGACCGGAAAAAGAAATTCCCGGGCGATGATGAGGCACCAGGGGTGAAGCGGACATGGGCTGCTGGAGCGGGAATGAGGGGGCGCCAGTGGCTCCGGAAACGGGTTGAGGTTGTCTGCACTGGCCGCTCCGCAAACACAGTGTGTGCGGGCGTCAGGGCAGCAGGTCTGGTAGAGAAAAGTCCACCGCCATCCCTCTCCCGAGTGGGGCGGGTAAGACAGAGCAGGCCGGCCGGCTTAGAGTTCCCTGCTTCCCTGGCGGAAGGAAGGGCCCCTGACTCCTGGGGCAGGAACTAGGGCTTGTCTGGAGCTGGGAGTCCTTTCAGGTCTTCTCTAGCTCCAAAAGGACCTCCCAAGGACACCCCCTTCCCCAGCCCTGCTGTGGGACTTGGACAGGAAAGTGCTAGAATCAGGCTCACTCTTGCACACTGTTAGGAAGCCACTCCGCTCTTTTCAGATCCAGAAAGTAGTAGTTTTGGGGCTGATACTTATCCATCCATTCATCCAATCCATCCATCCATAGGTTCAAAGTGCCTAGTCTATACCATGAATTGTACTAGGCACTGGGAGGACTTGAGCTGCCGCGGGAAGGGGAAATCAGAGGCTTGAATTGGCAGTCATAGTTAAGGCTCCAGGGGCAGAGACCTAACTGCGCCTTGTGTGTAGTGCTAAGGGGGCTTCCTGAGGATGCCTTCAACCTTAAAGGCGATGGCAGGAGTTGGCTGGCTGAAGTACAGTTTGTGTACCAGGGGTTGGGAGGCAACGGTGGGAGGCGTGTGTCTTCAGACAGGGAACAGCATGTGCAGAGACTTCAGGTGAGAGAGAGCATGGCTCCCCAGGAATGAATGCATTTCCCGTAGCTGGGAGAGTATCATCTGGAGGTTAGGGAAAGATGAGTCTGGACAAGTAAAGGCCAAATCTTCCTGACTGTTGGATCACCACAATCAAGATAACGAATATATCCACCGGCCCCCAAAATTTCCTTGTGTTAGGGGCTATTTTAGGAAGTATGATCAAGAAGGGCTGGCCTGCCAGGGTGGAGTGGCTCACGCCTGTAATCCCAGCACTTTGAGAGGCCAAAGTGTGCAGATGACCTGAGGTCAGGAGTTCGAGATTAGCATGGCCAACACGGTGAAACCCTGTCTTTACCAAAAATACAAAAAAGTTGGGTGTGGTGACGCATGCCTGTAGTCCCAGCTACTTGGGAGGCTGAGGCAGGAGAATTGCTTGAACCCGGGAGGTGGAGGTTGCAGTGAGCCGAGATTGTGCCATTGCACTCCAGCCTGGGCAACAGAGCGAGACTCCGTCTTTAAAAAAAAAAAAAAAAAGAAGGGCTGGTCTGATGAGGTGTCACTTGAGCAGAGAGTGGAATGAAATAAAGGATAGCAAGCCACATAGAGAGTGCAGCGGAAGCAAGGCTGGTGTCCCTGAGCTGCAGCAGGGAAGCTGGAGTGGCTGGAGTTGTGTGGGTATGGGGAAGAAGGGAGAGAGTTCACTCGTCTCTGTGAGGCCCAGGACTTTGTTTTATCCCATGCTGTACCCCCAGCACTTAGAGTGGGAGCTAGCACAGAGAAGGTGCTCAATTGATGTTTGCTGAGCAGATGAATGCCTGGAGTAGACCTCAGAGCAGGGTTTGGTGGCAGGGTGGGTCAGGTAGAGTTTACTCAACAGCCTGGTGATAGGGGAGAACAAGTGGCCAGAGGGTATCCATCTATGTCGGGGACCAGGGGTCCCTGCTGGGCAGCAGTGTGGGAGACACAGGGATCCTGGCCACACCTCAGTCTTCTTTCCAGCCTGATTACCTGCCTCCCTCCCTTGCAGAGGTTTCGGTTCTGTGGTGATCTGGACTGTCCTGACCGGGTCCTGGCAGAGATCAGCACGCTGGCCAAGATGGTTGAGTGCACAGGGTCTACACTGGGTGGAGGAGGGGTGTTGGGCTGGGGATTGTGGCTGTAGAGGATGGTGAGGTTTCTCTGGGGCTAGGGCCTCAGTGCTCTCAGCCTGTGCTACCATGCTTTGTGACCTTGATCAGTGGCTGGCCTGCTTTGAGCCAGTCCCCAGGAAGAAGGGGTGAGGTTTGCCAGCCTGGCTGATGTAAGGACTTCCTTTCCAGTCCTCTGTGAAGTTGCAGCTGCTCTGCAGCCAGGTACTAAAGGAGCTGCTGGGACAGGGAATTGATGTGAGTACAAGATCCAGCACCCCATTGTCCCATGACCTTATGACCACCACTGCCCTGAAACTCTGCACTAGGCCCGGGGAGACGGGTGAGCCAGCCTCTCAACCTCTCTGGGCACCTCCCTTCCTTCTTTCCAGCCTGTCTGTTCCTTATTGCAGGATCCAGGCTGGGGGTGAGGGGCTGGTGAGCAGGGACCTGGCACCCCCTGAAGGTCTCCTTTCCCCATAGTATAAGAAGATCCTGAAACTCACAGCTGATGCCAAGTTTGGTGAGCACCCCGCTGAGTTCACAGGCCCCAGGCAACCCTGGGACCTCGGCCTGGTGCCTGGTACAGAGCCCGCCCCCCACCCCCCCGCCAACACACACATCCCAGCAGTATCCTTAACCTGCCTTCCCTAGTGGAGGAGCATGAGGGAAAGAAAGACATTGACAGTCCCACCTTCCTGTCCTCTGCCAGCTCCTGGTGGAGCAGTAGCAGTGCCTATGGCTCCAGGAGGCCTGGGGGCTTTGAGCTGAAGTTAATAGGGCAACAGGGAGGTGGCTGGGCCCACAGTGACACCCCCTGTCCCATGCATGGGTCCCTGAGAGTCAGGCGATGTGAAGGCCACAGTGGCAGTGCTGAGTTTCATCCTCTCCGGTGCGGCCAAGCACAGTGTCGATGGCAAATCCTTGGCCAGTGAACTGCAGCAGCTGGGGCTGCCCAAAGGTACGGGTTGTGGGTGGGCAGCTGGGCAGCCTGTGGGCCAAGGGCTGCTAGAGAGTGGGCCAGGCCCTGTGACCCTGAGGTGTACCCTGCCCTGTCTGGGCCAGGAGCCCAAGCCCAGCCCCCACCTGCTACCTCCAGAGCTTCTCCATTCTACCCCCAGAGCACGCGGCCAGCCCGTGCTGCTGTTATGAGGAGAAGCAAAGCCCCTTGCAGAAGCACTTGCGGGTCTGCAGCCTACGCAGTAAGTATGAGGCCAGCCAGGGTCCGGGCTCATCCTAGAAGGTGCACGCAGCACACAAAGTGCGTGGAGAGTCCAGGGAGACAATTTAACCGCAGTCACATACCGAGCAGCCGCAGAGCCGGGACGTGGCCCTCGGTCTCCTGACCCCGCGCGCTCTGTGATGTGTACGTACAGGATCAGACCTTGCCCTTTCCTCCTGGCTGACCCTTCCTTAGTCCCCCGTGCCCCATGTGTGAGCACCCAGCTCACTCTCATTCCTCCCTCTCCAAAGCGTGGTCCCTGGCAGCACGAGTGGCAGAAGGGACAGCAGAGACTGTGGACCCCTCAGCTGCACCTAAGACCTCTGTGTGGTCTAGCCGTGTGTGCTGGGGGAGGCTTTTGGCCACCATTTCCCCCTCTGTAAATGAGACCGATACCTGTGGCATGGAGGACAGGAGGCTGGTGTGAGTGCCAAGCACTTGGAGCAGGGCCCTGAGTGAGCATGGACATGGGAACAGGGGTGTTTCTCGACTTTGTGCACCTTGGGGATGGGAGTGGGGCTCCCTGCATGGGTTGACAAGGCATTGCTTTCCCCCACCCCACCTCTGTCCCAGCCCTGCAAGTCCAGTCCTTGGGGGTCTAGGAAGGAAGAAGCCCCTGGCTGTTTGGCCTCAGGCTGGTGCCTGGCCCTCTCTGGCTCTGAGTTCCTGGGAAAGTCAGCACCCAAGGCATGCCCTCAAGTTTAGCACCTTGACAAGAAGGGCGGGGACACTGGGATCAGGCCCAACTCTTTGGCCCCAAATCCCACGGCCCCAGCTGGAGGATGAGGAGACGCTGGGCTTGGATGGGGAAATCAGGGGTGTAAAGGGGCCTGCTCACCCCTCAGCTTGGCTCAAAGGCTCAAGGCGTCAAAGGCTCAGCCTGCCACTCAGGAAGGAGCCCTGGCCAAGCCAGACACTCACCAGGACAAGGGCAACTGTGATGAGCAGGAGGCCCAGGATGAGGAGAGCCATGGCATAGCTGGAGATAAAGGCATCCAGCAGGCTGGAGGCTTTGGGGCTAGGACTGCCTAGAGCAGAGCAAGAAGGCTATGGCCAGGCGGGGCTCTGCCTCTCAGACTTCTGAGAAGACAGAATCTGGGCCCAGAAGTTGCTGCGGGACCAGAGAGCTGGGGCTAGGAGCACCTTAGAGGGCTCCATGAGGAGGGGAGGCAGGCTTCAGATCAGGGCATGTGGAGGCAGCGAGCCCAAGGGAGGAGGCAGAGGGACAGAGGGAGGCAGCCTGCAGAGGGAAGGAGGTACTGACCGAGGTCTAGGATGACCATGTCTACCAAGACGCCCGCTGCCTCCCACAGGGTGTGCAGGCCCTGGCGTGCACAGTGCCACATGACGGCCTGGGCTGGCGCCACCCTGAAGAAGGTGGCACCCACTCTGGCGGTCAGTGGGTCCAGCCTGCTGAGAGGATTATCACAGACTTCAGGGGTCTGTGCAGCCTTGGGGGACTAGGGGAGGTCATCTCTTCCAGCCTCCTGTCCTCAACCCCAGAACCCCGGTATGAGCCCTGGGTCACCCAGGGCCACCCCGGACCCACTGGAATTCCTCCACCACCGCTTGGTCAAAGTTCTGCAGAGATCTGAGGACAAGGGTCAGCTGGGGGGTCAGAAGAGGATGAAGAGGGTCACAGCTCTACCAAACAAAGCTTCATTCCTTGTGGCCCCTGGCCCACCCCTCTGCTGCCAACCTCAGGCTGGCCCAGCCCTGCAGAGTAGGTGCCCAAAGGCATCGTAGCAGTTCCTGTCATGCTGGTCTCCCCCCGGGGCCCCCTCTGGAGCCTGGTACCACAGATCTCAGGGTAGGGGGTACAGCTCAGTCTCCCTTCCCTCTCATCCCCCTCATAGGGGCTTAGTCCACCAAGGCCCCTGACTGCTAGGGGACCCACACCCACGGCCTCCTTCTTTCTGACTGCTGGCCCTTCCCCAGCCTGGATACTTGAGCCCTGGGCAGAGGGGTAACAATCCCAGGACTGTCTTCATAAGCAGAGAGGCCACTTGGCACCAGGCTCTTACTCCTTGGGCTGAGCTCAGCAGCAGGTGTGTCACCAAGGTCCCCTGGGCAGAAGGGGCTCAGCCCTGAGGGCCCATCACTCGCCATGCCTGCACGTTCCTGCTAGGCATCCACCCTGGGGACCCAGCTTTCCCCCTTCCCCCAGCTGCTGGCAGGCCTGTCTTGATTCATCCAGGGTCCTTCAGGCCATGCCGGGAAGCAGCCAGCAGCTGGGAGGAGCACTTGGGGTTTCTGCATCTTTTTTTATGGAGCTGACTTGGGTGGGAGGGGCTACAGACTCAAGGGAGACTGCAGGCCACCCCTTCCCCACTCCCTGGCTGGGTAGGCTTCCAGCTCAGGAGTCTGATTGGAAGGATGGGACCGTCCTGTCACAGAGGCAGGTCTGAGTAGTCCAGGCCCAGTTTTACCCTCCAGCAGGGCCCCTTTCATTCATTTGTCCAGCTGGCTTTGCCCAAAGCACAAGTAATGTCTATGTGTACTGTGTCCCCTGTCCCCAAGGGGAGTATGGCTCCAGTCCTGGCCTGGAACTCAGAGACCTTAGAATTAGAGGCCACATCTGGCAGGGTGGACCAGCATGGTCTGCCCACGGCCAGGGCAGGTACCATGTTGGCAGCCCCAGACCTGACACCACGGCTCCCGTCTCCCCTCTCCACTTCCATCCTGCACATCACCTACACTACGCGCTGTCCCTGATGAATCCAAGCTGTCAGCTTCTGTCAGCTTGGCTGGGAAGTCATGCTGACCGTAAGGGGAATGGTGCAGCCTGAGTTGGGGGCTGAGTGGGAATGGGCCTGGTGTGGGGTGGGGGAGGTGGGGGTGAGGCGGGTGTCTGGCGCCTCTCTGCTTATCTTCCTTTCTCCTTTGTCCACAAAGGAGGCATCTTTTCCATGTCCCTCTGCCACCCTGGGGACATAAAATACTGCCCCACTTCTGTCTTCCCTTGGACATAGCCCACCTATCTTCCTGTGGGACTCAGGGCTTTGTTTTGTCCTGTGGCCCACATGAGAAGCAATTATCCCTGCTCTGCTCAGCTGAGAGAGGACAAACTGAGGCAGAGCAGGGGAACAACTCTGTCATAGTCTGGCTGTTAATGGCAGAGTAAAGACCAGCCCTTCCCTGAGTGTCAGGTCCAGTAGACATTATATTAGTCCGCTTTGCATTGCTCTAGAGGAATACTTGAGACTGGCTTATTTATTTATTTTTGAGATGAAGTCTAGCTCTGTCGCCCAGGCTAGAGTACAGTGGCACAATCTCAGGGCACTGCAACCTCTGCCTCCTGGGTTCAGGCTACTCTCCTGCCTCAGCCTCCTGAGTAGCTGGAATTACAGCCATGCACCACCATGCCTGGCTAATTTTTTGTATCTTTAGTAGAGACAGGGTTTTGAAATGGAGTTTCGCTGTTGTGGCCCAGGCTAGAGTGCAATGTTGTGATCTCAACTCATTGCAACCTCTGCCTCCCAGTTCAAGCAATTTTCATGCCTCAGCCTCCCAAGTAGCTTGGATTACAGGCACGCACCACCATGCCCGCCTAATTTTGTATTTTTAGTAGACAGGGTTTCACCAGGTTGGTCAGGCTGGCCTTGAACTCCTGACCTCAAGTGATTCACCCGCCTCAGCCTCCCAAAATATTGGGATTACAGGCATGAGCCACCACTCCTGGCACTGAGACTGGTTATTTATAAAAGAGGTTTATTTGCCTCACAGTTCTGTAGGCTGTACAAGCATCTGCTAGGCTTCTGGTGAAGCCTCAGGAAGCTTTTACTTCTAGTGCGAGGCAAAGAGGGAGCAGACATGTCGCATGGTGAGAGAATAAGCAAGAGAGAGGAGGCATCAAGCTCTCCTGTGAACTAATAGAAAACTCACTCATTGAATCACTTGAACCTGGGAAGTGGAGGTTGCAGTGAGCCAAGATCATGCCACTGCACTCCAGCCTGGGCTATGAGCGAGACTCTGCCTCAAAAAATAAAAAAATAAAAAATAAGAAAACTCACTCATTACCATGGGGAGGGCACTAAGCCATTCATGAGGGATCCCCCACCATGACCCAAACACCTCACACTATAGGCCCCATCTCCAGCACTGGGGATCACATTTCAACACGAGATGTGGATGGGACAAGTATCCAAACTATGTCAGAGGCCTCCCCCTCCCTCTCATCAGAATCTTCTGTCCTCAGTTCAGGTGCATGCTGGCCTCCATGCCTGGCTTCCTAGAAAGTCATCTTGGCGCCAAGGGGTTGGGCAGGGCCACTAGGCTGAGGGTTGGAGCCCTATCTCTCCTAGTCCCAGCCTGGGTCTCCATCACTGGGTAACCCGTACTGCTCGCTGCATTCTCTCCACACCTGCTCCCTACAGCCCAGGGGTCAGTCTGGGTGCAGGCCTGGGTAGAGGTCCAGGAGCAGATTCTGCCCCCCAGCTCATACTTCCTGTGCACCATGGCAGAAAATGCACCAGCATGGCCAGGAGCACTGGCTTGTCCCTGTAGTCTCAGTGTTTTGGGAGGCTGAGGTGGAAAGATCGCTTCAGACCAGCCTGGGCAACATAGTCAGACCCTGTCTCGAAAAAAATAAAATTAGGCATGGTGGCATGCACCTGTAGTCCCAGCTACTCAGGAGGCTGAGGTGGGAAGATTGCATGAACCCAGGAGGTCCAGGCTGCAGTGAGGTGTGATTGCACCACCACAATCCAGCCTGGGCAACAGAGCAAGACCCTGCCTCTGAAACAAGAAACAAAGTGCACCAGTGTGTGGATTCCAGCTTCTCCTGGTGTGTGGACCTGACCTCACTCAGCCCCATCAGTGAGTAGGAGGCTTCCTGCTGTCTTCCAGAACACTCTCACCACTACACCTGTGTTCCTCCTGCATTCTCTGGCAGGCTTTGTGAGGAGACCTGTCACCTGCCTCTCTGGCTGCCCTAAGGCCCAGCTCAAACCTTCCCTGACCCTGAGAACCTTTTTCTGAAGAGTCTTTCCCCCACCCATAGGCCCCCTCATTTCAGAGCTTTTGGTGGGGTGAGTACAAGGATCGACTCTCTGCTACCAGCCTGGGTAGGGTCCCTAGGGTTGGGTCTCTGGATGGCATATGAGGGTCTAGACCAGGATCCAGATGCCTGTAACCTGAAGGGCAGGCCCTCAGCTGCCCCAACTTCATGGAGCCCCTCGTCCAGCCTGACCTTCTGGGATAGGCCCAGCCCCTGCATCCTTTGGTCTTGGTCCCTGCAGGGAACTCTGGTTACCCTGGCTTACCTACTTTGACTCCAAAAGTAATGCTGACATCCCCCGTGAGACACAGTGACAGACTGAGACTAACGTAGGGTTACGTGGCTCAGAGTCACCATGGCCAGGCAGAGCTCAGGTCCTAGCACTGTTCAGCCCTGCCTCCCGGGTTCAAGTGATTCTCCTGCCTCAGCCTCCCAAGTAGGTGGAACTACAGGTGCATGCCACCACACCCGGCTAATTTTTTGTAGTTTTAGTAGAGATGGGGTTTCACTGTGTTAGCCAGCGTGGTCTTGATCTCCTGACCTCGTGATCCGCCCACCTCAGGCTTTCAAAGTGTTGAGATTACAGGCCTGAGCCACTGCACCCAGCCTCCCTAACACTCTTCTAGCTCTGGTGCCCTGCAGGGTCTCCCTTGGAGCACCTGGAGCCCAAGAAGCTGTCCCTCACCTTTGCAATCCCAGGGACTCGCCCCCTGATCATGATGAAGGTGGACCCAAACCCGCTGAGGGGCCTGAAGGAGCAAAGGTCAGCCTCTGCCTCCCACGGCCTCTCTGATGGGGGGGATGTTATCCCAGCAGCATGAGCTGGGAGCAGAATTGGGAGGATGGGGGGTTTTCTCTGTGGGTAGCTCTGGGCTCCAAGGTGGAGCCCTCTTAACCTGGCCGCTCCCCTGTGACTCTCCTTAGCCCCAGGCAAAGAAAGCAGCTTGCCGGAGGTCACCTGTCAGATAGGGAAAGAGTGGGACCTGGGTTCTTTCTCACCCAGCTGCAGCTCTCCCTTCCCCCAGCCCCTTCCCCCAGGTGATAGAGAACCTGGCAGGCTGTGTCCCATAGAAGAGTTCACTTTCCTTCTGGTAAGGGATGGGAACCAGCTTGGGATGGGAGGGATGAGGGGTCTGGGGGCTCTCCCAGCCCTGCCTCACATTTGAAGGATGGCATCTGGGTGTCAGCATGGTTTAGGCTAGACGGGGCGGCCCCGAGGTTTATAGCCTGGCCTCGGGCAGGATGCTGCCATGCCACCTTCTCTTCTGCACGTCCTGACCTGGCATCCTACCTAAAGGTCCTCAGGTCTCCTGCCCCCTGGGCATTGCCCCCACTCCCTGCCCAGACACAGCTGTCCTTGTCCTGGACTAATCTTCAGAGATTCTTGTCCAGCCCACAGCTTTGCTGGACATCGCAGGCTGGGCCAGGCCCCCTGCCCAGCACTAACATCTCTGTGTGTCTCAACCAGACTGAGCTGCAGCTTCAGGGTCAGGGTAGGCTCTGACTTAATTGACGTGACCCAGGACAAGGGGATTTATTGATGGTGTCACATATGCTTAAGCTCTTGGCCTCTATGATTTCTTTGGGGCATGATACCCCTCTGTCCCATGCTTAGGTGCCCACCTGTGGCCACAAGTACCTTTCTTACCACCATCCCTACTTGAGATCGGTGTCCAGGCACCTGTGGCTCCACGCAGAACGCTGAGCACAGAGCCAGGCCTGGGCGGATGTTCTGCAGGGGCTGCAGGAGCTGACAGTCCTGACCACCCAGCCCGTGGCCATCCATTCCCTTTCACCGTGGCTGGCTCTTCATCCACCATCCTTCCAGGGGCCAGGCCTGAACCCAAACTGACTTTTACCTGCCCTGGTCCCCCTTGTGCCTATCAGGTTCTTGGCTGAGCATGATGTTCTTGCCCATTTCCTTGATTATCCTCAAAAGGTTTATAGAACCACTTGGGGACATCACATCTGTCTACCAGGTCCTCACCAGAGACATGACTGCCTTGGGCCGGGCCTGGGATAGTCAGGGGTCACACTCACCTGTTGGGACCTAGCTTCAGTGGCTTCAATCTGGGCAATGGCCTGATGGGCGGCTGCCCCTTCTCCTCTGCTTGGGGGAGGCAGGAGAGGAAGGTCAGGGAGGAGATCTGCTTCCTGCCCACCTGACACTGGTTGGAAGCAGGGCGCCCACCTGTGCCTGTCTCACCTTGCTGCAGGTGCATCGGAGGCCGAACCCCTCTCCCGATCTCCTGCAGGTGCAGATTCCAGGTTTCCAGTGGGTGTCAGTGTGGGCTCCAGAGCTCTCCTGGTCCTAGGGAACCCTGGGCTCCATGAGGCCTTCGCCTAGCCAGATTGTTTCCCACACTGTCACCTCCCCACCCTGTCACCTCCCCAAACATGGGGCTGCATGCTCTGTGCCCTGGGTGGGACATTGGAAGGAGTGCCACCTTCCAGGTTTGGATCACAGTAAAGCCTCTGCCATGGGGATGTGCTGGCCGAGACAGATGGGGTTGAACCAGTCATGATATGTTGGCCTTGGGCAAGTCATCTGTGCCTTGCTTCCCTTTCCCCAGCAGCCAGAAGGGATAATAGCACCTATTTCACCCATACTCAAGTGTTCATTTGTTAGCAGGAACTGAGTCCCGGAGGAGGTGCAGGTGGAGCCATTGAGGCAGCACTGCAGCTGGACCTGGGTCTGAGTCCCAGCTCCTGGCTGTGATATGCATCACTCTCTCCATTTATTTATCTGAAAGACAGGGCTGTGCTGTTCTGGGGTCACTGTGAGAATGCAACTGGCCTGTGTGAGTTGGTGGTGGCCTCCTGTGATAGCTTGAGGTGGGCTGGAGGTGTGTCTTGAATGCCCCCTCACCCCCATGGGGAAGACCCACTTAGGGAAGACTCAAGTGTCTGTATGGAGGAACCCACATTCCCTGCCCCTCAGCTGTCCTCTGTCCCTTCCTAGCCCCCTCTGCTGTCCTGCAGGCTCTGGCGGTGGCCATCCAGCTTGGTGGCCATCTGGCTGATCCACTCCTCCAGGTGGACCCTCTGTCCTCATGTGGTGCAGGTCCCATTGTGCCACCTCCAGACAGGCCATGCTAGCCCCAGGGCCTCCGTTCCCTGTTACCCAGCCCCCACCCCCAGGTACGTGCCACCTCCCTAAAGCCCACTGTGTCCACCAGCTGTGTTTCAACTCTGTCTCTGAGCAAGGCCTAACGCAAAGCCTGAAACAGCCTGGCTTGTAGAGGGCCAGGAGACCAAAGCTTGAAGAGAGAGTGACGGTCTCCCAGAGCCCACTTAGCCTCAGCCCCAGGGCTGTGTCCATGCTGTTCCTGGCTCCAGTGAGCCAATTCTCTCCCCTGACGCCCGTAAGGGCTCCAGTGGTGATGGAGGTAGCTGGAGAGAACAAGGCTGTCTTAACCCTCCCTCCCTGAGAAGGCCCAACGGGGAACGTTTTAGGCATCAGGGCATTCTGGGGGGCATCTTCCAGGGACCCCTCCTATACCCTGCCCTGCCCTGGCTCTCTAGTGAGAAATTGCAGTTGCTTGGACAGTGGGGCTGACCCAGGACAAATGCATATATTGGGCTGGTCTTCAGGGTGCTGGGGTAGGGGCAGGGGCACTTCAGGGATAGGAAGGAGGGGCCTGTGTGTTCCAGAAGTACAGAGGAACCTGGTGCCGGCCGCCGTCAACCCCTATGTGATGATCTTTCTACCCGCCCTCTTTCGTGTCTTGGTGCTGGCTGCTGTCTTTGGCCAGGTAAGCTCATGGTCTGGGCTCCTGGGGTCCACTCACTGGGCCTCCACACTGCCTGCAGGTAGGGGAGCCTTTGGGCCAGGACTATCCTTGGCTCCCCTTCCAGGTGGTGGGTTCAAAGACCATTCCTGGGTTCCACCACCGCCAAGCCTCAATGGTGTCTCGATGGTCACAGGAACTGCTGGGGCTTTCTAGGTTAAGACCCTTGCCTATCCCGGTGTTCCTCCCTGCAGTAGGGGGCTGCAGGGGTCAGCCTCAGTCTCTGCCTTGGGAGCCTGCCTTACCTTGCCTGAACTCAAGCGATCTGCCTGCCTTGGACTCCCAAAGTGCTGCAATTATAGGCGTGAGCCACTGCACCCAGCCCAGCCTTGACTTTGAAATATATGTTGTACATCCAGACAGCAGTGAACTCTGGGGGAACACCAAAGATGAGGAGAATGAGAGAAGAGATACCTCCAATTAAAGGAGTTAGGAAGAGATGCTTGAACTTATGTTTTAAAAAGTCAATGCAGGTTGGGCACAGTGGCTCGCACCTGTACACACAGCACCTTGGGAGGCTGAAGTGGGTGAACGGCTGGAGCCTAGAAGTCTGAGACCACCCTGGGCAACATGGCAAAACCCCGTCTGTACACAAAATACAATAATTAGCCAGGCACGGTGGTGCCTGTGGTCCCAGCTACTCGGGAGGCTGAGGTGGGAGGTCGAGGCTGCAGTGAGCTGAGATCCACCACTCCACTGCAGCCTGGGCGACAGAGTGACACCCTGTCTTAAAAAAAAAAAAGTCACTGTTTTGGGGTTTTCTGGGTGAAACCTCTGTTTCCATAAAAAAAGAAAAAGGTCGAGACAGTGTGTATTACTGATTCAAAATCATAACCTGATGCTTAGAGTAAATCATTGTATCTATTGTTTCAAAAACCAACGTCAGGATTATTAAAAGTTAATTTTATTGGGTTTTTCTTTAAGCTTGGCTGATTCACTCAGGTCTGTCACTTCCAAGCCCATGTTTTACTACTTTGTAACCCTATTTGGAAGGAAAGCTGCAGCTCACATTATGATCCATCCTGAGATGAAGAGTTTCACACATATACACCACATATACCCCCCACCACAGTATGACGACACAGCAACCCAACCTTGGGCAAATGGTACCACTGCCAGCAAATTTTTTTCTTTATTTTAAATATTTTTACTGTATTTCTTCTAACAGCAGCAAATGCATTTAACACTTTATTGAGATTCTCAACAGCTGCCATTTGGTTTGTATAGCAAATTGTTTACAAAGTAACTTTTTTCCATTTTTGATATTTTAATGAAAATTATGTTCTTCAGTTTTAAAGCTCTGTCCCTCTCCCAAAGAAAGGTTAATAACTAACTACCAAGTAATGATTATTTGGGAAAAGAAGAAAAGCAAAACCAGCTTGTAAACACTTCTGGAACGTGGGTAAGGGGCCAAAGTCAAGACCTTCTGGGCCCAGTGCAGGTGCTAGGCTTGCCTCGGGACACCATCAGCACTTCCCCATCCACAACATCCTCAACAGCTGGGAGCCATGTGCAGACCCCAGGGGGCTTCCTGTTCCACAAGCTCCCCTCTCTTTTTCCTCTCCACCCTTGCTGTTGGGCCTCCCTTCCAAATCTGCCTAACAAAGGCAGCAGGATCTTTAATACTGTTCAGCTTTGTCAATGGAGACAGGATACTCTAGAAAGTTGAGAGATTCCCTGGTCCAGTCTGGGGGAGGAAAAAATATGCAGTGTAGCATAGATGGTTTTACTTGTCCACTCAGACACATGCTCATACTTATTAGATGGATGTATCAGATGCTTCAAAAGTCCTGATGTGTAGTAGCACAAAAGCTGCTTGTAAAAAGGAAGTTGCAAAATGATAAAAATTTCTGCAGCAGTTCAGGCTCCTGATGACAAAGCTGGTTCTGATAAGTAGTTCTTTTGACATGCACAGCAGCTTTCACTGTTAAGTCCTGTGTTCCAGCGGTTTCATTTAGACCATAGGAAGTTGAAAGCAAAGTTTAAATGTTCTCTGCTGACAAAATGTGGTATATATCCATCAATGGACTTCTACTCAGTAATGAAAGGAACAAACTACCAAAACCTGTTATATGTCATGGACCAACCTCAAAAACCTTAGCTAAGTAAAAAGCCAGACATGTGACCACATATTGTATAATTCTGTTGATTTGAAATGTCCAAAAAAGGCAAGTTGATAGAGACAGAAATGGTCTGATTTACCTCAAGAAGTAGGGATTCAAGCTCTTAGGGTACATGTGATACATACATTAGAAGAAATAAGGAAAAGAAAAGAAATTTATATGTAAATAAATGAAAATAATACTTCTCCCTGATTATAAAGAAAATTGCATTCTTTTTGTAATAATTTGGAAGACAAAATATGAAGAAAAGTCTTTAATTTTGCCACTGAAAGCATTCTGGTTTGTTGCTTTTTATATTTTTTTATGCATATGAACATTTTAAAAAGTAGAATCGTAATATATAGTCTTTTGTCACTATGTTTTGGGCATATTTCTATGGCAGTAAATATATCCTTGGCATCATCTTTTTAAAAGCTCGATGTGTATTAAGTTAATCATTGCCACCCCAGAAGTAAATTTTCTTATATATATATTTTAATGGACGCAAGCAAGCATTTTGGGGCTGAAGTCATAGAAGTAGAATTTCTGGAGAAAAATAACATAAAATAGTTTTAAGATTTTTAATAGAAATTTTCAAATTATCCTGCAGAAAAATTGGTTCAGTTTATACTCCCAACAGGGGCAGAGCTCCAGTATCCCGTTTCCATTTGTCCTCTTTGCTGATATTTAAGGAGAAAATCTCATTGTTTTCATTGTATTTCTTTGGTTTCTAGTGCTTTTGAAACTTTTTTTTTTTTTTGAGATGGAGTCTTGCTCTATGGCCCAGGCTGGTGTGCAACAGTGCAATCTCGGATAACTGCAACCTCTGCCTCCTGGGTTCAAGCGATTCTCCTGCCTCAGCTTCCCGAGTAGCTGGGATTACAGGTGCCCACCGCCATGCCTGGCTAATTTTTGTATTTTTTAGTAGAGATGGGATTTCACCATGTTGGTCAGGCCCGTCTCAAACTCTTGACCTCAGGTGATCCACCCACCTCGGCCTCCTAAAGTGCTGGGATTACAGGCGTGAGCCACGGCCCTGGCCTTGAATCATTTTTATGTGCTTATTGGCCATTTTTATTCTTGTGGGAAGTGCCTGTTTCTCCATTGCCTATTTTCTGGCCAAGCTCCCAAGTCACATTTCACTTAATTTTTATCCTGCTGATTGAAAGCATTTTAACATAAACAGGAGCAGGACAGACTGTAATTATCTAGATCTTGCTCTGTCACCCAGGCTGGAGTGCAGTGGCATGATCATAGCTACCACAGCGTCGTACTCCTGAGCTGAAGCAGTTTTCATACATCAGCCTTCCAAGTAGCTAGGACTACAGGTGTGTGCCACCACCCCCAGCTAATTTTTAAGATTTTTTGTAGAGATGCGAATTCACTATGCTGCCCAGGCTGGTCTTGAACTCCTGACTTAAAGTGATCCTCCCACCTTGGCTTGCCAAAGTGTTGGGATTACAGGTGTGAACTACTGCTCCTGGCCGAGGGCTCATTTTGTTTGCTAGTGGTGATATTGGTATCTGTTTATATTTGAGGCTTTGGTGCTAGTGCTGATGTATTACACTCACCATCCGAGGTTTGCAGGACTTTTGTTTTAATATTGAATAGATGGAACTGTTTACTTCTGCATCTTTGCAGGCATACAAAATGTGCCTACCAGGACTCTGCTTTATATCTATCGAAAGCAAGAAGTAATACAGTAAAACTTTGCCTGGCTAGAGGCTTTGGAAGAATGGAGTATTCTGATTTAATGCTATTGAAGTGTGAAGGTGAAAAGAATGAAAAACTTACATTTCCTGTTGAATGCAACTTGAAAATACAGCCAGTGATTCCACTTTTCTTCTCTAGTAAGTTTGGACATTCTGATCTACTTGGTGTTTTATTATAGAACTGCTAGTGTGCCCGAGACTTACATTGTGAAGACACTTTTTAAAAAACTTGAGAGGTAAGAGGGTGTAAATGGTATTGTGTGAGATCAGGCTGGATGAGAACTGACACTTGTAAACATACTTTTTAGGCTGAATCTCTGATTGCCGTTTGTTTTCTTATTTAACTCATAAAAATAAAACACATTGGATGGAGGGTGGGAGCAGGAAGGAGATTTATGTCTTTTAATTGCATGCCATTGTTTCATATCAAGACAGAACATATGGTATCCCTGGCTTTGGACCTACAGAAGGAAACACATTTTTCTGCCTGCTGTATGCCAGAGGTTCTTGAACACCTGGAGGGATGACTGCAGCACAGATTGCTGAGCCCTACTCCAGAGTTTCTGATTCACCATGTCCAGGGTGGGGCCTGAGAATTTGCACTTACAAAAGGTTCTCAGGTTCTGCTGCTGCTGCTAGTCCAGAGACTACATTTTTGAGAACCACTCTTGTCTACTAACTGTAAATTGTAGAACTCTAGAACAAAGCTTAGTTTGGTGTAGGAAAAGAAGCTCACAGGTTATGGAGCAAATCATGAAAGATTCAACCCTTGATCCCAGCCTAGTGTGGAATTCAGGTAACAATCAATACACAGTGACATAACACAATTCTTGGTTTTCATGATTGCAAGTCATAGCCAAGTATCAAGTGAGAAATTCAGTTTCATTTGCAAGGCTTAGAGAGGCCAGGTGATTCTAGAAAAATAGGCCTTGTATTTGCTTTAAACCAGTAAAGAGCTTTGAGTGCTTATTAAATGGAAAGCTTTGTGTTTTTATTTATTTTTGACTATTTTATTTTATTTTTTTGAGATGGAGTCTCAGTCTGTCACCCAGGCTGGAGTGCAGTGGCGTGACCTTGGCTCACTGCAACTTCCGCCTCCCGGGTTCAAGTGATTCTCCTGCCTCAGCCTCCCCAGTAGCTGGGATTACGGGTACCCACCACCACACCTGGCTAGTTTTTGTATTTCGAGTAGAGACAGGGTTTCACCATGTTGGCCAGGCTGGTCTTGAACTCCTGACCTAAGGTGATCCACCCACCTAGGCCTCCCAAAGTGCTGGGATTACAGGTGTGAGCCACCACACCCGGCCCAAAAGCTTTGTGTTTTTAAAGATATTAGACATGTTTCTTGTTTTTTAAAAAATCTTAATAATGTAGGAGAATAAGAGAAATGTTTTTTCCAAAGCCGAGAAATCATTGTGATTATTTTACCTTATTGGGATGTTGGATAATATAGTCCACTTCATTCATTAATCATCAAACATGCTATGGATTTTCCATTTTTATAGGATTTGTGTCTTAACTGGGGTAATACTGGTAATTCTTATACTCCCTCTGAAGATGAAAAATGTAGGCCAAAATCATAGACCATGCATAGAAGCTGGATAATGAAGACAGCTCTGGAGGAACATGTAGACACACACACACTGACACACATATATATAAAGTATAAATACATATTTTTTTAAAGTTTATTTTTAACATTTTAAAGCAAAAACCAGCCCTCCCCTCTCCCGGAGTAGGCAGGCCCCGCCCCTCTCCCCAAGTGGGCAGGGACAGCAGTCGCATGGGCAGCTTTCCTTGTGATGTCACAGGTTCCTCTGGGCACACTGCTGCCTGGCCACGCCTCCTTTCCCTTTCATCTTTCTCATTGACCAATGGGATTGGAGCATTAAGGCCACACCCCTATTCTGCATTCTAGTGTGGCCCTGGTTACGCCTCCTCTGGCTCAGTCACACAGCAGCCTTGTAGGTGACTGGAGGTGTTCGCTGATGTGGCCCCAACCCTACCTCCCTCCCCACCCCATGATGTTAGAAGAATCTCGACAGAATAAATTGGCAGCAGCCAAGAAAAAGGTAAAAAGCCAAGAAAAAGGTCATGGCCCCCCAACCTAGCCAGAGATCCCCTCTGATGACAAGACCACTCCCAGAGTCCATACCACTCCTGAGGCACACCGGGCTGGGCCCCCCTACCCCGGCGCCTCTGGACTCCCCCCACCAACGTCTTGTCAGTCAGCCCCGCCCCTTCAGCAAGCAGCCCAGCCTCTGCCCTCGCCAATCACCCTGCGGTGACTTTGGGCGGATGACTACTGGGGATACCTGCTCCATATTCAGCCCTCACGTCCTGCCACCCCAAGCCCAACCTCCCTGGGTTCTTTGGGCTCACCTCTCCAAGGACCTGGGTCCCCCAGCCCCAACCCCCCAGCATCGCCAGTCATCCCGGGGTGACTTTGGGCTGGTGACTCCTGGGGTTCCCTGAGCAGACTCTGCTCTCCCCTCCTGCTGACCCAAGCCCGACCTCCCTGGGCTCTCTGGACTGGCATCTCCAAGGACCTGGGTCCCAGCCCCACGTCCCCCCTCCCCCATCGTGGATCGGCAACTCAGCCATTGCACTGATGAGGTTTCCCCCACCCCCAGGAGGAGTGGAATGTAGTGATGTCACAGTCCTCCTAGGAACTGTCATTACTGCTGCAAGACCGGCCTTTGATCTTATAACCCAGTCCCCTAAGCATTCTCACCCCATTTCTGGTTCCTCTGGTCACAGCACAAATTTCCAGCTAGAAGGGAAATGGGGACCATGGGACCTAGGAGCAAGAGGTTTCAGGCTGCCTTACTCCCTTCACATAGACATCGACAGTGTGAAAAGCCTACACTTCCCCTGTGAGCTCAAAACGTTGACAGTATCTCTGGGTGGTAATGGGAGAATGGGTTTGGTTTGGTTTTCTCCCAGGCTTCTACTCTCCAGAGAGACTTTAACATTTTTTTCCGAGTTCTCCACCTCATATTCTAATTCTCCACGGTTCTGGGACCAGACTGCCCTTCAGTCAGTGGTCTCTGAAGTGAGATTTGCTCATCTTCTGTGGAATAGGTCTTGGGAAACTGAACTTGACAGCTTGAATCTTCCTCATATCATCTCAACTTAGGGTACATTGAGTGCCACAGGATAAATGTGGGAGATCTTTCTGAAGCATCAGTTTCCCTTGAGTCTCTTGAGAGAGAAAAAACATTAATGTACTTAGGGGTGACCCTCACATAGGTTTCTAAGAGTATACCAGACTTCTCTCTGAAATGAGACTTGGGTTGTCCTCTTTCTGATAAATTCCCAGATTTAACAAAAAAGCTGCCTTCTGCCATGAGGACACATTGATATAAAAGTTTGAGAGATACTGGTGCACTTCTTCACACTAACAGACATTTGAGGATGTATGACTCTAAACCACACAGCGTGTAGTTCATGCCTATGTAATGTTTACTTTTCTACCTCTGCGTCTGGTTTTGGTCCCCGGCAGCTGCTGATTCATGGCAAAACCCCAGAGCTTGGAGTCAGAAGACTGAGTTTAAGTTCCATTATTGCCCCCCCACACTTTTTTTTTTAGCCATAATATCCATCCCTCTCAGTCACTTAAGTGATTGTGACAACACCTTGTACAGTTGTTGGTGGCATTAAATCAGATGGTGTATAAGAGTATTTTGCAAAAACTGTAAGGAGGGTGTGGCTGTAAGGGCTGGTAGTTCTCATGAGTATTACTGCTCTTCTTTCCCACAGCTAAAAGAATATCAGCAAAGGAAGAGCCCTGGTATTCCAGCAGGAGCAAAGACAAAAAAGAAAAAAACTGACAGTAGCCCTGAGACAACCACTTCCGGTGGTGGCCACTCACCTGGGGATGTGAGTCTTGGCTGGCCAGGCTCCTGGGGACAGGGGGCCCAAGGGGCAGTAGAGGGTAATTGTTGAGATTGCTGGGTACTGGTTAAGAATTCTGGGTTTGAATCCTGCTTCTTCATCTGCTAGCGATCTGATTTATGGCAAGTTGCTTGAGCTCTTTGGGCCTCTCTTTTCACATCTGTAAAATAGGGGTAGTATTGTTTGACTTCCATTTGTGAAGTTTAAATGAGATTCCTTATTGTTGTTGTTTTCATGTTAACCCCTAGTACGTGGCCTGCTGTAAACACCCGGGATACCCAGGAAATGGTCATTGCTGTTTGATTTTCCTGATCCCCACTCGCAAGGGGAAGCTGGGCTAATGAGTACAGCCACTTGCCATCAGGCTGTCCCTCTAGGAGTCACTGAAGGGGGCCCAGGGTGTGGTGAGGAGAGCCCAAGGCACTAGGAGCAAGAGAAGGTCTAACTTGCCACCAGCTTGCTGGGTGACCACAGAAAAATCACTTCTTCTGCTGGGCCTCAGTTTCCTCCTCTGTAAGATGATACTGGATAAGATCAGTGTCTTTCAAACTTGTTTTTTAGCTGAAGTCCCCTTAGTTCAAGTGAACTCTTACTCAGGAGTCTGTTTTTTTTTAATGGAGGTGGAGGTCTGGAGCTCTACCAGATTCATCGCCCATGTCCTGGGCCTGAGGAGAGGGGTCCAGTGAGCGTATTAAGATCTGCATTGGTCAGCTGACTCCACTCTGTGACTGCGTCACTCGGGGGACTTTTCCATCTATTTTTTTCCTGCCCCTGGCAAGGCAGCAGGTGGCCATTTGGAAGAATGGCACAGGCCATGGTTTTAATCTCCTCTGCTCTTCTTCAGCGTTTCCTTTTCCTGAACCCACATCTTCCTCCTACCCTGACTTTCTTGCTTCTCTCTAAGCCACTTCTGTCTTTCACCCCCTGCCCTTGTTTTTCCCTTGTCACCTCCTGTAGATTCAGGACATTCTGAAGGTGCGGGTGTCCAACCTTAACCACTCCAATGGGGTAGTGCTCCCCCATTGGACAAGTGGAAGGTGAGGCAGTGCCAAGACCCCTCTCTGGCTTGCTGTCTACAGCTGTGCATGGCCCTGAGGCTTCTCTGGCTTGGGGGATGCTTGGCCTCTGCCTTGTTTTATGTTGCTGCCATTAACCTTCAGCCTGTTTCTGTCTGCTTCTTCACCTGCTTGATTGATTGGGTTTTTTCCTTCCCCGCGTCTTTTATTATCTTGGAAATGGTGACGCCTAAAAGTTTAAAAGTAATCTGGGAATAACGTACAGAGCAGGCATGTGGGATTTGGGCTCTTTTTTTTTTTTTTTTTTTTTTTTTTTTTGAGACAGAGTCTCACTCTGTCACTCAGACTGGAGTGGAGTGGTGCGATCTCGGCTCACTACAACCTCTGCCTCCCGGGTTCAAGTGATTCTCTTGCCTTAGCCTCCTGAGTAGCTGGGATTACAGGCACCTGCCACTACGCCTGGCTACTCTTTGTATTTTTAGTAGAGATGCAGTTTCACCATGTCGGCCAGGCTGATCTTGATCTCCTGACCTCAAGTGATCCACTTGTCTCAGCCTCCTGAACTGCTGGGATTACATGTGTGAGCCACTGTGCCCGGCTCCTTGCTGTTTTTATACTTTCTCCATATACATAACTATTTCCCATGTAAGTTTTTTTTTAATTTCTCATTTTTATTACTCCTGCATCATCTGTTACCCTGAAGGATCTGGAAGTAAGAGGCCCTGGGCTGAGGTGCAGTGACTTTGCAGGCCAGCCCTCCAACCTCCTCTCACAGTGGGGGCTGGGTGACCCTCTGCCAGCTGAGACAGCCCACACACACCCCAGCCCTAATGATTGTTCTCTCTACCTCTCCCCACAATCCTCTTCCAACTCCTCCTCTCTGCATGTGCCTCAGAGCCAGTACCAAGAACTAGCAGTAGCCCTGGAGTCAAGCTCAGTGACAATCAGTCAACTCAATGAAAACATAGAATCATTGGTAAGTCCAGTGGGGTCCCCTGATTCCATGCTGCCAATCCTGGGCTTTAGTTTCCCCTTGGGGCCCTGAAGAAAGGGGCTGGGGGCCCCTGGTGCCAAGGGCAAATGGGGAGCTGGAGCACCCAGGCCTCACCTGGAGGGACCCCAGAGCAAGGAGCACGCAGCATGGCTCTTCTGTCACTGCCCTCTTTGCCGACTCTCTCTTCTCCAGACACCCCTGCTCCAGTCCTTGCCACACACGCCCTGAGGTTGTCACCTCTCAGGGAAGCGCTAGCCTGACTGGTTGTCAGGGGCCCTGTATTTCTGCCCTGACTCAGTCCCTAATTTGCTTTGAGTCTGGACAAGCCACCTGTCCTCCTTGGGCTTGTGTTTCTGGAGGAGGTAGAGCATCAGAGTTCTCTGTTAGCTCTGAGAGCCTGAGATTTAAAGGCCCCTAGAATGGAAACCTGAGGGCCAAGGGCTCCTGTCTGTCCTTTTCCATCCTATATCTGCTGTGAAGAACCGTAGCTGGCCCGTATGTGTTCAGTAAATGTTTGTTGAATGAAGGCACCTTTCTAAATCACAAGCTGGCAGAAGGGTGGGCCTTCCTGAGACTCCCTCTCTAGGGGTTTATGTTACTGTCCTTTCAAGAGAATCCAGATTCAGACTTCGAGTTCTGTGGCTGTGGGCAAAAACCAACAAAGACCCAAGTCCTCTGTCCTTGGGAGCTTGAAGAGGGTTGACCAGTTTGTGTTGCCATTGGTTCTGAGAATGTTGCCTTTAAAATCCATTCCTGGACCCTGCCTACCGCTTCCAGGTCTGGGGAATAGAGTTGAGGGGGCCACTCTCAGTCACCTGAATTTGACTCTCCCCACAGAAACAGCAGAAGAAACAAGTGGAACATCAGCTGGAAGAAGTAACGTGATTTCTTTGCTCACAACATGACTGCTGGGTTTGGGGGACACTCAGATGCAGAGGCGCCAGTCTCATCTTGCCCACTCCCAGCCTGGGGAAGAAGGCTCACCCATCAGATTCCACCCCATCCCCACAGGGTCCCTGATAACCTGGTCCCATGGGTGGGCCTGTCCTGGGGCATTGGTGGCATTCTGGGGGCATGTCTCTTGCTGTGCCATCTCTGCCTCCCTGTGATAAGAGCTCTGTCTTCCTCTTCCTACAGGCAAAGAAAACAAACAATGAAATACACAAAGCACAAATGGAGCGGTTAGAGGTGAGTGGAGGGTGGGGAGCTTTCTCCTGTCCTCTGGAGAATGTTTCTTTCCTTCTCTTTCAGCATTTCCTTGGCTTTTCTCCCAAACGTTCAATTCCAGACAATCAACATCCTCACATTGGAAAAGGCAGACTTGAAGACCACCCTTTACCATACTAAACGTGCTGCCCGACACTTCGAAGGTGGGAATCTGGGCATCCCGTCATCCTTCAACCTGGCACTTTGACAGGTCTTTAGGGGGAGTCTTTTGGGCCCCATCTCAACCTCTCTCATTACAGAAGAGTCCAAGGATCTGGCTGGCCGCCTGCAATACTCCTTACAGCGTATTCAAGAATTGGAGCGGGCTCTCTGTGCTGTGTCTACACAGCAGCAGGAAGAGGACAGGGTGAGTCCAACCAGCTGCCCCATCCCCTGGCAGCCTGGCTTCCCAGATAGAGGAGTGAGCCTAAAGGTCCCTTCTGCAGGATGGAGTGTCCTGCCCAGAAGGCAGCATGGTCATTTCTCACTACTTTTGTGTATGGTTGTTAGAGGCAGCCTGGGGCTGAGTCAGCTGCTGTGGGTGAGTTGGGGGGCACTGTGGGGAGTGAGCACTGGATGCAGAGCTCAGAGGCCAAGTGCCTGCCCTGCCCTTTCCTGGCTGTGGCCTTGGCCAAGTCCTAGGTGGGGTATTGGGTAGTTGTTCTGTGAAGGTACAGAAGAGCACCTTTAGTATGTTACCATTTCTGTAGAGAGAGGAAAGGGGTGTGTGTGTGTGTGTGTGTGTGTGTGTGTGTGTACTATGATAATATACAAAAACATGTCTGCAAGCATTCATAAAAAACTCAGGAGAGAGTAACAGGGTGCCTGGAGACACCTCCCTTCTGTACCTTCTGAGTTTTGGACTATATGAATGTATCATCCTTTCAAAAAGTGAACAAAAGATTAATTTCCCCCTTCCTATCTGTGTCCCCACCCCCAGCAAGAAAAATGGGCTTAGAGAATAGGATAGACCTGGGTGTTCAAATCCCAGCTCTGTCTAAGTGATCTTAGGCAATCACTTAACCTTGAACACTCGATGTTTTTCATCTACACAATAGAGGTAATCCTAGTAACTGTCTCATATGGTGGTTGTGAGGATTAAATGGGATCGCTAGCATGGAACCTGGTGAAGCACTCCATAACGGTTCAAACAGTGGTAGTAATAACAGTAATAACAATAGCAATATTATCTGATCTCTCTGGGCCTCTGTTAGCCAGCTGTAAATTCTATCTCTTTCCCTCTCCCTTCCAACTTTACTGAGTTCTTTTAATAACCAGGCCACGGGCTTGGAAATGCCTTGACCTTTACTGACCGAGTTGTATATTGAGCCTAGCCCTAGCCCTTTTAAGGGGCACTGCCTGAGCTCCCCAGATCAAAACTTCTCACTCTTCACCATCCAGTCCTCGAGCTGCAGAGAAGCGGTCCTCCACCGGCGGTTACAGCAGACCATAAAGGAGCGGGCGCTGCTGAACGCACACGTGACACAGGTGAGGCTTTGCAGAGGGAGGGATGTGGAAGGAAGATGACCCCAGGTGGCCAGGAGCAGGTGAGGACCAGTGACAGCCCTTCCTAACTTCTGTGCCCATTTCTTGCAGGTGACAGAGTCACTAAAACAAGTCCAGCTAGAGCGAGACGAATATGCTAAACACATAAAAGGAGAGAGGGCCCGGTGGCAGGAGAGGATGTGGAAAATGTCGGTGGAGGTGAGGTCTGACCCTTCAGCCCCCACTTTAGATAGGTCACTGGATCTTTCTGGGCATCTGTAAAATGGGAATAGTACAGCCAGAGGTGGTCATGGGTCTGGGCTTTGTGGAGATGGGGACAGAGAATGAGATGGTAGCCTGTCCAGCCACCAGCCCCTCTCTCCAGGGCCCTTTCCCCTGTGCTTTGGGCAGGCTCGAACATTGAAGGAAGAGAAGAAGCGTGACATACATCGGATACAGGAGCTGGAGAGGAGCTTGTCCGAACTCAAAAACCAGATGGGTAAGATGGGGCTGGTGTGACCTCGGAGCAGGACTGGCATCAGAGGTCTGTGGGGGTGGCTTAGAATGCCCCAGGGAGGTGGGTGGGTGGAAGGGCTTTGAGGCAGAGGGAAAGAGGTCTGTGCCAGGAGACGGCAAGTTTTGTCATCTCCATGAGCCTCAGGGTCCCCATCAGCAAAGAGGGAGGAGTGCCCGTTGTCAGCCACCCACAGTGCTCTCTATGTGAAAGTGGCTTGGAAATTGGCTACCATTGGGTGCGAGGAATGATTAGCAGTGAGGCCAAGTTTGGGAAGCCTGAGAGGAGCTGTGCATCAAGAGGAGGTTTTTTTTTTTTTTTTTTTTGAGGGGGATGTGGGTAGAGGGGTTGGGGAATCCAGAGGCCCTTATTGTCTGCTTCATTTCTCAGCTAAGCCCCCATCCCTGGCGCCCCCAGCAGTGACCTCTGTGGTGGAACAGCTACAAGATGAGGCCAAACACCTGAGGCAGGAGGTGGAAGGTCTGGAGGGAAAGCTCCAATCCCAGGTGGAAAACAATCAGGCCTTGAGTCTCCTTAGCAAGGAACAAAAGCAGAGACTCCAGGAGCAGGAGGAGATGCTCCGAGAGCAGGAGGTGCAGAGAGTGCGGGAGCAGGAGAGACTGTGTGAACAAAACGAGAGGCTTCGGGAGCAGCAGAAGACGCTACAGGAGCAGGGTGAGAGGCTGCGAAAGCAGGAGCAGAGGCTACGCAAACAGGAGGAGAGGCTGCGAAAGGAGGAGGAGAGGCTGCAAAAGCAGGAAAAGAGGCTGTGGGACCAGGAGGAGAGGCTGTGGAAGAAGGAGGAGAGGCTACAAAAGCAGGAGGAGAGGCTCGCGCTCTCCCAGAACCACAAGCTCGACAAGCAGCTGGCCGAGCCACAGTGCAGCTTCGAGGATCTGGTGGGTTGCCCCACCTGGGGAGCCTGCCCTCATCCCTATCCCTCCAGGCCTTTGTTTCCCCACCTGTAAAATGGGCCAGTGTAGCCCTCACATGAAATGGTACTTCTAAAGGCACCTGTGAGCTACAGCTCATCGGGCTCTGCTCTGATGGCTGTGGGGGAGAAGGGATGATTTTTCTAACCTGCCTCCACCCTTCCTGGTGATATGGGAGGCAGACACCAAGGTCTGGTGTCTCCAGCTGCAGTGGATGGCCACTGATTGCTTCTCTCTGTCCAGAACAACGAGAAAAAGAGCGCACTGCAGTTGGAGCAGCAAGTAAAGGAGCTGCAGGAGAAGCTAGACGAGGTGAAGGAGATGGTAACCTCCACCCCATCCAAGAAGGGCTGGGAGGCGGGCACCAGCCTCTGGGGAGGGGAGGTGCCAGGCCAAAGGCAGCTCCAGCTGGGAGGCAGGTGACCCCAGCACCCTCCAGTGCAGCTCTATGACTGTTTCTTGCTTCCTGCCCTCTGACTTTTAGAGGTGGGTAGCCCTGGGCTCCTCCCAGGTCTGGACATCATCATCCCAGCTAGAGACATGGAGCCCCCAATCATAGGGGAAGAGACAGTGGTACAAGAGGCTCCTTATCCAGGCACGGTGGCTCGCACCTGTAATCCCAGCACTTTGGGAGGCTGAGGCAGGAGAATCACTTGAGGTCAGGAGTTTGAGACCAGCCTGGCCAACGTGGCGAAACCTCACCCCTACTAAAATTACAACAACAACAACAAAAAATTAGCCAGGCATGGTGGCGCATGCCTGTAATCCCAGCTACTCAGGAGGCTGAGGCACGAGAATCGCTTGAGCCCACGTGGTGGAGGTTGCAGTGAGCTGAGATTGCACCACTGCACTCCAGCCTGGGCCACAGAGTGACACTGTCTCAAAACAAAACAAAAAAGCCTCCTTAGATTCAAACTGGATTCTGGCCTGGGTTCCACTGGTCACCATTCAACTACTGTTCATCTCTAAGTCTCTGTTTCTGTGACTTCAAAAGGAAGTTAGCATTTTCCTTGCAGAGGTGCTGAGGATTGAATGAGAGAATACCTGGAAAGCATTAGGCATGTAGCACACTTAGCAGATGGTGGTTGGCTCCCTCTGCTTTTCCGCCAGTCTGTGGCCTACAGTTTAAATGGTGGGAAGAAGGACATGAGATTTGAGGCTGGGGAAGGAGGTATGGGGTTCTAGGCAAGAGAGGAAGCCTCTTAGGCCTGGAGCAAGGGACCAGGGTCCTGGGCAGGTGACAGAGCCCCACGGTGCCCTCGCTACCCTATTAATGGGCCCAGAATCTGGAAGCCAGCCACCATGTGCCCTCATGCCCAGGGTCTTCCTGCAGGTGGAGCTGAAGAGCCAAGGGTCTCAGAGTCTGCAGCAGCAGCGAGACTAGTACCTGGGTCACCTGCAGCAGTACGTGGCCACCTATCAGCAGCTGACCTCTGAGAAGGAGGCGCTGCACAGGCAGTTACTGCTGCAGACCCAGCTCGTGGACCAGCTGCAGCAGCAGGAAGCTTGGGGCAAAGCGGTGGCTGAGATGGCCGGCCAAAAGTTGCAGGAGACCCAGGGGAGGCAGTTGCTGAGGACGGGGCCCCGAGGGGGATGACCTGGCAACCTCCGTGCCTTCTCACTCTGTTTCCCGTCCCCTTAGGAGCACCTAGAAGCTGCCAGCCAGCAGAACCAACAGCTAGAGACCCAGCTAAGCCTCGTGGCTCTCCCGGGAGAAGGTACAGGAGACCACTCAGAGGAAGAGGAGAGAGCCCCAGGAGGAAGGGGGGACTGTTAGCAGCATAGGATTGAGGGGTTGGAAGAGACCTTTAGAACAGCTGGTCGTTATGCCAACCGGGTGTCCGCACTAAGTTCAGCATCAATATGGTGACCTCCTGGGAGCAGGGGGCCACCAGGTTGCCTAAGGATGAATGAACTGGACCAGATCAGAAAGGGAGCAGGTCAGGACTCCCGCACCGACCGGTAGTGGGACTGTGCCTGGGCAATATAGCAAGATCTTGGTTCTTAAAAGGAAAAATAAAGAACAGCAGCTCACTCCCCTCTGGGGAGAGGCTGGCTCAGGGTTACACAGTCAGGGTGGGGACAGAGGTAGGCCCACAGGACCTTCCTTGTTGGGTTGTCTGAGGACCCCTCTGGCCACCTCCCTACAGGAGATGGAGGACAACATCTGGACAGTGAGGAGGAGGAGGCGCCTCGGCCCACGCCAAACATCCCAGAGGACCTGGAGAGCCGGGAGGCCACGGTGAGCCTGACTTTCCCTGCCCCGCTTTGCCACCTTCCTCTGTGGTCCCTCCCAGACCCCCTTATGCTCTTGGTTTCCCACCTTCTGATTGCTCTGGCCCCTCACCCCTTCCGGGAGCCAGTGGTCAGACACTTTGTCACCTGTGACCAACAGGTGCACTCTCTGAGGCCCCAAGGGAAGGGGTTGTTCTCCACCTCCCTGCCTCATTTGTTCTGTCTATGCCCCTACAAGAATACTCACCTCTTGCCTTCAAGTGGCATTTTTCACCTCTGCTGGAGCCAGTTCCCAGGAGGAGCAGGCACGGCTATGTGGGCAGCGGAAGGTGTGAAGGCTGTGCTGCCTGCACCTGGCTCATCTGTTGGCCTTGGCCTGGAAGGAGCCAGAGGCAGAGGCCCCAGCCCCAGGGAGTGGGGGTGAGTTTGTGTGTGGGGAGAGCTACCGGGCCCTGAAGGAGGCCATGGTGAAGCTGAAAGGGAGTGAGTCCTGGCATGGGCCAAGAAAAGTGGGGGCGGGGCAGAACAGGTCACTCCCGAGATGTGACCCCATTATTTTGGCTCCAGAGCAGCTTTATGGACCTCCCGAAGGAGAAGGCGGACGGGACGGAGCAGGTGGAGAGACGAGAGCTTGGATTCGTCCAGCCTTCTGGAGTGACAGACGGCATGAGTGAGCGGGAGGCCAGGGCACGGGCACGGGGAGCTGCAGGGCCGTCGGAGGGACCCTAGTGTCTGAGCTGTGTCCTCTCACAGGAGAGTCCTTCACCGTATATGAAAGCCAGGGGGCAGTGCCAAACACGCGGCACCAGGAGATGGAGGATGTCATCAGGCTGGCCCAGAAGGAGGAGGAGATGAAGGTAGGGCGTGCAACATCTCTGCGGGGGTGGGGGTGGGCATGGGCGCTGGTGCAGGCTCCAGGGTGGGAGCTGAGCACCCCTCCCTTCAGGTGAAGCTGCTGGAGCTGCAAGAGTTGGTGTTGCCCCTTGTGGGCAACCATGAGGGGCATGGCAAATTCCTCATCGCTGCCCAGAACCCTGCTGATGAGCCCACTCCAGGGGCCCCAGCCCCCCAGGAACTTGGGGCTGCCGGTGAGCAGGATGGTGAGTAGAGCTCTCAGGCGGGGTGGGCAGGCAGGGGCAGGGGAGGCTCGCACTGTGCTCAGACCCCCGCCTCCCTCTCTCTGAAGATTTTTATGAAGTGAGCCTGGACAACAACGTGGAGCCTGCACCAGGAGCGGCCAGGGAGGGTTCTCCCCATGACAACCCCACTGTACAGCAGATCGTGCAGCTGTCTCCTGTCATGCAGGACACCTAGGAGCACCCAGGCTTGCCCAGCAAACCCTGCGTGCCATTCTTCTACCAGGCAGCCGAGAACAGGGAGATAAACATCATCATCTTCTAAGAGCTGATCAAGAAATTTAAAACAACAACAACAACAAAAAGTTACGGGGTTCATCTCCTACACAATTCATTTACTCCATTTGAATGCTAGAGCCACTCACATTTATTTGTGTTTCTAATTTACCGTTTAAATTTATTTGTAAAAAGTTAAGGGAGAGTTGGTCTTTCCCTGATGTTCTTTCTGGCATCCTTTAGCATTTTTATTTTTAATTTGATAATTGTAGGTCATTAGTATGCATATCGAGTTTGCCCTTAGGTGGTGGGAATTCAAACACACAAAGACCCACTAATTTGCACAAAACTATTCTGGCTGGTTTGGAACAGGCTGCCATGCTTTTTTAATGTTATTGCAGCATGTATATTCATTCCAGAATTCAGATAAAATGTGCTTATGTTCTGCTATGACGTTTGATCGAATCCTAACCACAGTGAGCTCTTCATTAGCTCAATATGTGGTTTGCCCTCAATTGAGCACTGTTTATTACTTTGTAATATGCCACTGTGAGTACTGACATTTAGAGTTGTTTAAAGGCCAAGAACTGGAAACAGCCTTTTCCCTATTTTCTGTGTATTGGGGATGGGAGTAATAACATTTTGGGGAGCTTTTTAAATCTCACAGAAGAGGAAAGTGGCCTGCTCTGGCAGGTGTGTGCAGGATAGAGTGTGTTTCATTTGTTCTGGTGCCAAGAATGAGCGCTGTACTATGGTAGTTCCCTTAGGATTTGTATGTGCTCTGGGCTCATGAAGATATTGCATCATGAGCTGCAGCAGTTGTACCCTTTCTTGATGACCTAAAAAGGGATTATTTCTGAGGAATGAAAGGCTCCCATCATTGACTGTGGATGTGGAAAACCTTTTCTAGCTTAGAGCATTTATATCTACAATACATTTTAAAGTCAGAGTTCATGTTACCTGTTTTAATCACATGAGTATATGTCCCAGTACACAAAAGGGCACTGGTTGGCATTCTTCTTAAGGTATTTAGTGAAGATCATAAGAAATCCTTTAAGAGTTTAAATGTCCCTGGAAGAGGCATACAGGCTCTAGTCAAGAATGAATTCGAGTGAAGGAAAGCTGTGTGACACCTGGCCTTCCTCTATGTTCATGGAGCTTCTTTGAGGCTAGAAGATTGATTTTATCATCTAGACCTCTCTGGCTAATACCTATTCTTCAGCCACATTAGTTACTCTGACGTAGGAATTTACTTCTTTTCTTTGAATGGAAAACACTTTAAAAATAATAACAACCATTATTATAAACCAATATATGTGAGAGTACTTAGTTGAAACAAAAAGGAGTTTTAGTAGACAGTATTATACTACACATGAAAATCAAGGCGAAGTTTATGCAACTTAAAATGTTTACAAGCTGCAGTGCAATCTAATGTTTGCGAATGTCCAAGTATTATGAGAAAAAGTGTCTATACAATGACAGACTTACGTTTCCTCACAAAGTTCTTCACAAAGAGTGAAATATGTTTTTATACCTCTCAGTTTCAGTTAGAGGCATATTTTGTGCCATATTTATGTTAATGTGCCTATACGTGATGAGTGAATTATTTCAGTCATACATTGCCTAAATCATAACTTTAAGATGCTTGGGAAAGAATCAACAGCTAAAAGTTCATGAAGTTCTAATGTCTGTGTTCCAAAATACGTCACAGTATTAGGATGCAGGGAGAGATGTGTGTGCGCTCCCTGGGGTGGGCATTTCTAGTTACTAGACCATCTCCATTTTTAGCATTTGGCATCCTCATGATACTTTTATACATATGACGTTAATAGGAGAGCAATAATACGATTTTACAGATGGAATAACAGATGTGCCTGCATTCAGTGAAAGAGTGCAAATATTAAGTCCTTGTGACTTCAACTGACTCTTCCAAATTGTATGAATTTATCAATGTATTAGATAAACTCAGTTCCAGAATTATAAAGAAAAACTGTTAGACCAACGAATGTGGCTAATTAACAGTAGGACGATTTCTAGCCCGAGGGTTTAAAATGGACTTCAAGTCCTGTTCTTGCCTTTTATTTTCTGAACTTGCCACTTTTGCATTCTTTGAGTTCAGTTTAAAGACAGTTTGAGTCCAATTTAGACCCTCGGGCTAGAAATCATACCACTGTTAATTAGCCACCTTATTTGGTCTAACAGTTTTTCTTTATAATTCTGAAACTGGGTTTACCTAATACATTGATAAATTATTTCAAAGGTATTTTTATAGTTCAAATCACTTCACTTTTACCCTGATAAATATAAATGACTAGGAATGATCTTCAGCTAGCCTTTAGCACCTGCAACCAATCGGACAATAATGTGTTCATCAGGTACCTGTGGATTAAATCACACACCGGCATATTTAAGCTGAATGTCAGTCTGGAAAATGAATGTACTATATTAACTGAAATACCACTCTTTGTGTAGGTATTCTGTCATATATTTAAGAAAAATTAAATAGCATGTAAATCATATAACAACAACTTAAGTCTTTCTTCAAAGTGCATGTGGTCCTTTGCAATACCTCATTCAGCCAAGTATTTGTTCTCTTCCTCATTCAGTTTAAGGCAGCTTTCAATTTGCTTAGAAGGCAACATTAGAAGGGTAGAGTTTAATCAGAAACATAGAATTTTAAAGTGTGGGTTCAACTGAATAAATTTGAATTTCTGTAGGAAGTAAAGAATTAAAAATCTATTTAAAGATTGCAATATATAATCATTTTTAAAGTATTTGTTTAACCTGATGGGTTTTCCAGAAATGAAAACAAGTCAGTTCTAAAACCAAAGCTGATATTTAGAAAATGTGAAAATGTAAATCAGCCCTATCCATAATATAGTTTCTCTAAAACTTTATCTTAAAGAGTCATTTTAAAAGAATATAACTATTCATAAGTGTAACTGCTATCTTAATGTTTTGAAATAAGTTAAAACACTTTAAAATATGAATACTGTAGTTTGAAAGAAAGAAACTGGGGGAAGGAAAAGTAGAGAAAGAAATGCCAATTCCAATGCAAGGCTTTATTTGCCAAGTTTTCTTAGAATGACTTTTACCAGTTTATGAATTCTTGTAAACAGAATGTATAATAGAAATACTGAAACACTGTTGCCTAAAGTGGCATTGTTGACTGCTACTGTGATGCTACTGTAATGTAATAAATTATTAAATGGTTGCAAAGTGCTGTTTTTGCCTTAAAATTTTGTGTGTCTTGAAAACTATAGTATTACAGGTATTGAGACTGTGCAAATGCTGGGCACGCTTGGCATGAGATAATCAGTTTTTATTTTTACAAAATTGTAATTAACTATGCAAGTGTGTTTATTAAAAGAATACAAACTAAAAAGAAGTTATGGGATTTAGAAAATGTTGTAGGATGAAAAAGTTATGGGATAAAAAATGTGGAAAAGTCGTGGCAAAAAAAGTTGTGAAAAAAGTATTTAAAGTTTTATGAAAAGTTTAAAAAAAGTATTATGAAAAAGAAGTTACGGGATTAAAAAATAAGTCATGGGATATAAATAAAAATAAATAAAAGCAGGCCTCTGTCAGCATAAGCCTGGAGAAGTGGGGCTGGAGTCTCTGCCGCCATCGTGTCCCTACCATCCCTTCCTACCCCTTTATCATTAGGGTAGCAAGACAAGACCCCTGTCTAATGGGGGGAGACAAACAGACCCTTTGCCACCTTGACCAGGGCTGAGTCCTTAAATTTCTGGATGATGATGATTGTTATTTAAGAGCCAGAGGCTGGTGGAGTCGGTTTGTTTGGAGGCGGCCTGATGGCCTCCCTACCCTCACCAAAGCAACTTTTCCCTCAGGGGGCTCCCATCTTCTTATTCAGAGAGGCAGCTGAGGCAGGGACAATGGGGCTAACTGTAGAGCAGGTGAGGGCACGGGCTGCTGGGAAGGCCCCAGTGTACATATAGTATCTGTGTAACATTTTGTATATTCCAGGGGGTAGGGCCACCCCCTGTATCGTACCTAGCAGAGGTTGGAGCTGGCATATGAGGAGGAGGTTCTAATCATTATTTGTGGCTGGGAAACTTATTTATTGATAGCATGGGGCAGAGGAAGGAGGCGGGGATGGGGTTGTGGCTCCCTGGTGATGCGACTCCTGTTTATTTTGCCTTTCATTTTGGAATAAATGGATTTAGCCATACTGCTCAGCCTGGTGTGTTCCTTTTTCCCTCACTGGGTCCTGGAGTTTGTGCCACTGAATGAGGAGCCCCAGAGTTGTCTGAGCATGTCCAGCTGGGCTGTTGGTGACCTTCCAGGCCTGTTACCTTTATGCTGCCTAGTGACACCTGGTGGATTTCATTGGGACTGCCATGGCGCCTATGGGGCACAGTCCAGCCCTGACAGCCAACAGGCTCAGAAGCCTGATCTAGCGGTGGCCGGGAAGACAGATACTAGCACCCAAGGGCACTGACTTCCATTCACCCCAGGAGTCTTCCATTCCGTCCCCCTCCCTCCTTCTCCTGTCTGCACTGGGTGGCCTGTTCTGTCTGTCCCTCCAGTGCACCTGGTGACCTGTTCTGTCTGTCCCTCCAGAGTGCCAGCTGCCCTGCAGGCTCCTCGAGGCTGAGTTCATGGCCCTGCCCCTAGTGGCCAGAGCCGGCTTCACAGGATAACAGCCAGCTAAGCTCCAGGGGCTTTCCAGGAAAAGTGTCCCTTGAAAAGGGTGTGGCTTTTTCACTGCTCCCAACAGCACCCTAGAAATGGCTTGGCCTTTTCCCTCCCCTGAGTTCCAAAAAGAACACAGCCAGCAGAGGACACATTCCCTGACATACGAGGGACTGGAAGACTGGTAGAGATGTCAGGTCACAGGCTGCCAGCACAGCACCCCCATGATTGGCCACGGGAGTGCTGGAGGAATGGTGGGGGTTGGCTGTCCACTGGCTGGGCATGACAGGGAGACTCACTGGAGGTGGTGCACTTTGGAGGGGCGATGTCAGGGATGTATTTGGGTCTCAGTAAAGAGATCTGTTCTTTTTAAATTTCTGCATCTAGTTGCCTATACGCGATGATGACACATAGCAACTTATTTTTTACTTTCTAAAGACAGGATATCATGCAAAGAGATCAAGCTGCCCTTCTATAAATATAACTCAATTGCCTTCCAGCCATAGGCTGCATGCTTCAAGTTGTTTTCAGAAATAAGAAATGGGTTGAGCTGAACCACTTATAGCCTTACATGGAGAGTTCCCACTGTGACCTGTAGCACATGTGAATTGACTTGCTTAATGTATGAAACCAATGGAAATGAGATGAAAAGTCCTATTCTCATGCAAGCCCGTTGGGTTATGCAGAGACACAGTAGCAGAGACACAGCCCTAACTACAGCCTGCCCTCCGGAAAACATGTGTCTGTTCATATGGAAATGACACAAGTCTAGTGCTTGTCTGAAAGTCATGCAGCAAAACAAAAAAAGTCTCTGCAAAACCGGGGAGAGTTTTTTACAATGACTTTAACTTTGAGGGTGCTCTTTAGCAGAGGCTTTTGATAAAGGAAGAATTCTATCAACCAGGATCACTGAGGAGGAATGAATTTATAACTACTCTTTTTAAGGCTAGAAGAGACCTTAATTAAATTCCTTCTATTTACAAAGGAGGGAACTGAAGTCCAGAAATGACAAAAGGTTTGGCAGCTTTAGAAATAAGGCAACATTGAGTTTCAGTATTCTAAACTTTTGGAAAGTGGTAAAAATGAAGGATATTGAACAAAAAATACTAGTTGTTTTTTTTCTATCTTGTTCAGTTAGTGTCAACATGCTGTAAGTTTTCATAATTTTTTTTTTTTTGAGATGGAGTTTGACTCTTGTTGCCCAGGCTGGAGTACAATGGTGCGATCTCAGCTCACTGCAACCTCCGCCTCCTGGGTTCAAGCGATTCTCATGCCTCAGCCTCCTGAGTAGCTAGGATTACAGGCATGCACCACCACGCCTGGCTAATTTTGTATTTTTTAAATAGATAGGGTTTCTTCATGTTGATCAGGCTGGTCTTGAACTCTCAACCTCAGGTGATCCACCTGCCTCAGCCTCCCAAAGTGCTGGGATTACAGGCGTGAGCCACTGTGCCCAGCCTATTTTTTTTTTTTTTTTTGAGACGGAGTCTTGCTCTGTTGCCCAGGCTGGAGTGCAGTGACGCAATCTTGGCTCACTGCAACCTCTGCCTCACAGGTTCAAGAAATTCTCCTGCCTCAGCCTCCCGAGTAGCTGGGACTACAGGCGTACACTGCCACGCCCGGCTAATTTTTTTTTGTATTTTAGTAGAGACGGGGTTTGACTGTGTGGCCCAGGCTGGTCTCAAACTCCTGAGTTTAGGCAATCCACCCACCTCAGCCTCGCAAAGTGCTAGGATTACAGGCATGAGCCACCGCACCCTGCCTGGTTAATTTTTATGATAATAAAAATATTCTCATAAAATTTGGGAAATTCCAAAACCTATGGAGAAGAAAATTTAAATTATTCATCATCCCACAATTTATTCATTTGCTTATTTGAGCAACAAATAAAAGTGCACACCTTATTAAGAGCAGGGCATGTTCCAAGACTGACTATCCAGAAATGATTGATAGCCTCTAACTGATTCCCTTCCAACCCATTTCTCAGTGCACTACTACTAATAATTTTAAAATCAGATTATTTAGTTTTGAAATCTCCTTTTCACCTAATATATCATAAGCCTTTTCCCAGGTTATCAAATAATATTCCAAGCTATGATTTTAACAGCTGCATAACGTCACATCATATAAATTTACACTGATTTATTAAACCATTGTACTTGGGACATAATAAGATGATCAATTTTTCAATATTATAAATAATGTTGCATGTAACATTCTTTGGCCACATGCCTGATTATCTTTGAAAACTTCCCTAGAATTCAGATTGTTAGATCAAAGCCTTAAATATTTTTAAGGTCTTAAATACACAATACTCAACTGCTTTCTTGAAAGACTGTAATAGTTTTACTTCTACCAGCTACAAGAGTGTCTTTCAGTCATGCAACAAAGCCCACACCTCAAAACAATGAGTATTAGCTTTAAAAAAGTCATTGTCAACTGAGTTCAAATGGTTTTTCCTTTAATTTGCAGTTCTTACTTGGCAATGGTTAAGTCAAACTTTCCAAAAAAAACTTTGTTCTCTTTTTTCATAAATTATATATGCATGCTTTTTGTCATTTTCTATGGAACTGTTAACATTTCTTCTTAGCATTCTAGTCTTAATATTTCTCAGTGAGGGATTTTTCTGACTGCATTCTGAGATCTAGGCTCCTGGCTGGGGCAGCAAGAGGTGGGATGGAGAAAGGGCGGGGAGTCAGAGTCAGGCTTGTTCTCTTAGTCCTTCCACAATCACCAAGGTGTGACCTGGGCCAACTCTTGGTATCTCTGGGCTTCAGTTTCCTCCTCTGTAAATAGAAGGGTCTTAATTAAGGTCCCTTCCAGTCGTATAAAAGGGAGTTAGAGATCCGTAGTTTCAAAGCTTCTTTCACTATCATGATTTGTGATCAGCTTTGAAGGAGGTAGTGCTAGTGGGTAAACATCAAACCATAAGCTTGTTTGCCAGTTCTAACCTACCACTACCACCTACCACTGAGAAAATCATTTCAAGGCTCTTAGTTTCCTGATCTGTAAATGGAAACCTCGTTTTACAGATTTGTTGTAAAAATTATGTGAAATAATAGAAATCAGGCCAGGTGCGGTGGCTCACACCTGTAATCCCAGCACTTTGGGAGGCTGAGGCGGGTGGATCACCTGAGGTTGGGAGTTTGAGACCAGCCTGACCAACATGGAGAAACCCTATGTGTACTAAAAATGCAAAATTAGCCGGGCATGGTGGCGCATGCCTGTAATTCCATCTACTTGGGAGGCTGAGGCAGGAGAATTGCTTGAACTCAGGAGGTGGAGGTTGCAGTGAGCCGAGATCATGCCATTGCACTCCATCCTGGGCAATAAAAGTAAACTCCATCTCAAAAATAATAATAATAATAGAAATCAAAGTGTATAGAGCATAATATACCACAGACAGGCAGGATGCAGTGGCTCCTGCCTGTAATCCCAGCACTTTGGGAGGCCGAGGCGGGTGGATCATCTGAGGTCAGCAGTTCGAGACCAGCCTGGCCAACATGGTGAAACCCCGTCTCTACTAAAAATACAAAAATTAGCTGGGCATGGTGGTGAGTGACTGTAATCCCAGCTACTTGGGAGGCTGAGGCAGGAGAATAGCTTGAACCTGGGAGGTGGAGGCTGCAGTGAGCTGAGATCGTGCCATTGCACTCCAGCCTGGGCGACAAGAACAAAACTCTGTCTGAAAAAGGAAGAAAGAAAGGAAGGAAGGAAGGAAGGAAGGAAGGAAGGAAAGAAGGAAGGAAGGAAGGAGAGAGAGAGAGAGAGAAAGAAAGAAACAAAGAAAGAAAGAAAGAAACAAAGAAAGAGGGAAGGAAGGAAGGAGACCATATTCATACTAGTAGCTGCTTATGACTAATAGAAGTAAGGATGAGGATTAGAAGGGATTTCAACTTTATAATACATTCTTTCCTTTATATAATAATAATGAAAAAGACAGCCAGTCACAGTAGCTCATGCCTGTAACCCTAGTGCTTTGGCTAAGGTGGGAGGATCATTTGAGCTCAGGAATTTGAGACCAGCCTGGGCCACCGAGCAAGACTCCATCTCTACAAAAACTTTAAAACAATTAGCCATGTATGGTAGCCTGTGCCTCTAGTCCCAGCTACTAGGGAGGCTAAGGCAAGAAAATCATGTCAGCCCAGGATGTCGAGGCTGCAGTGAGCTATGCTAGTGCCACTGCACCTGCACTCCAGCCTGGGTGACAGAGTGAGACCTTGTCTCCCTTTTAAAAAAAAATGAAGCAAATATAACAAAATATTAACAACAGTCAGTGTTGATTCTGTGGTAGGAACATAGTTGTTTGCAAGATCATGCTCTGTACTTTTCCGTATCTTAAAAAATTTCCTGGCCAGGTGCGGTGGCTCATGCCTGTAATCCCAGCACTTAGGGAGGCCAAGGCAGGCTAATCACGAGGTCAGGAGTTTGAGATCATCCTGGCCAACATGGTGAAACCCCGTCTCTACTAAAGATACAAAAAATTAGCCGGGCGTGATGGCGCGTATCTGTAATCCCAGCTACTCGGGAGACTGAGGCAGGAGAATTGCTTGAATCTGGGAGGCAGAGGTTGCAGTGAGCCGACATTGTGCCATTGCACTTCGGCCTGGGCAACAGGGCCGAAGTTGCACTCCAGCCTGGGCGACAAGTGCAGCCCATCTCAAAAAAGAAAAAAAAAATTCCCCCTTCCCATACAAATATGCCTAGCTCATAAAAGCAATCCTAAAAGATTACATACAGTATGTGTGTAATTTTTTACTTTTTTCTTATTTTTAGAGTTTATTAAGCAGGGGAGTGGAGGGAAGATGTGGCACAAATAGAAATATGTAACATTCAAACAACAGAATCTGGGATTTTTGAAAAAATCTTTCAGTTATGGTTACAGGAAGGGTCACTTCCTCCCCCAACGACACAGGGACCTCTCAAAGGAGAGGAGAGAGTAAGTCCCATGGTAGGGCCAGTGGTTGCTCCTGGGTTTTGGAATGATTTCTGCAGAGTTTTCAAGACCCTGGGCTCAGGGTGGAGACTTCATAGCGGTGGCAGCTAGACCCAGCAAGATGGCTGCAATGGTGAAGCCCTGGGCGGCGATCTGGGTGTGCATCATAAGCCGTGAACATTGGCTGTTGCCCTGGTGGAAGCAGTAGAGGCCGTTGGTGAGGACGGCCGCCGTGCACAGGAAACCTATGGGTACCACCGGATTCTCGCGGGTCTTGCGAAGGAACTTTTCCTTGAAACCCTCTGGATTGCTGTAAACAGTGGGGCTAAGCCCCTCAAAGATGGGGGGCTTCGATGATTCAAAGGGGGCCTCCGGAGTCACAAAGCCGAGAGTCGCCATGCCTAGGCCACAGCTGCAGGAGAAAATCCTTTGTTTTTTTTTTTTTTTGAGAAGGAGTCTTGCTCTGTAGCCCAGGCTGGAGTGCAGTGGTGCAACCTTGGCTCACTGAAACCTCTGCCTCCCTGGTCCCAGTTAAAGCAATTCTCCTGCTTCAGCCTTCCAAGTAGCTGGGATTACAGGAACATGCCACCATGCCAGGCTAATTTTCATATTTGTATTTTTAGTAGAGACGGGGTTTCACCATATTGGCCAGGCTGGTCTCGAACTCCTGACCTCATGATCTGCCTGCCTTAGCCTGCCAAAGTGCTGGGATTACAGGTGTGAGCCACCATGCCCAGCCTACATGTTTTATATAATGTTATTTGATATAACAACTTGGAAAGGACAAAATTATAGAAATGGAGAATAGATTAGTGGCTGCAGGGGTTAGGAATGGGGAGGTGGTGGGAAGGAGGTATATGTTTATTAAAGGGTAATGACAGGGAGGCTTATGGTGATGGAACTCTTCGTATGTTGACTATGGTGACAGATAGGAAAACCTACACGCGTGACAAAACTGCACAGAACTAAATACACACAAATGAAGTAAAAGTGGGGAAGTCTAAATCAGATTGGTGGACTGTATCAATGTTAACATTCTGGCTGTGATATTACACAATAGTTTTGGAAGATGTTACCATGGGATAACTGTAGAAAGGGTATATGTGATCTGTCTATTATTTCTTATGACTGCAGGTGAATCTACAATTATCTCATAAGAAAAAGTAAGAAGAGGCCAGGGGTGGTGGCTCACACCTATAATCCCAGCACTTTGGGAGGCCGAGGCAAGCAGATCACTTGAGGCCAGGAGTTTGAGACCAGCCTGGGCAACATGGTGAAAGCCCATCTCTACTAAAAATACAAAAATTAGCCGGGCATGGTGGCACACTACTCAGGAGCTACACAAGAGGCTGAGGCAGGAGAATCGCTTGAACCCCGGAGGCGGAGGTTGCAGTGAGCTGAGATCACACCACTGCCCTCCAGCCTGGGTGGGCAACAACAGCAAGACTGCAAGGGAATAATGTTCTGTTTGGGAAAGAGACTGCATGTAAATAGGGGGTCTGGTAGGTGGGCATGGTGGCTAACACCTATAATCCCAGCACCTTGGAAAGCTGAGGCAAGAGGATCACTTGAACCTAGGAGTTCAAGACCAGCCTGGGCAATATAGCGAGATTCTGTATCTATAAAAAATGAAAAAATTAGCCAGGCATGGTAATGCATGCCTGTGATCTCAACTACTCAAGAGGCTGAGGCAAGAGGATCAATTGAGCATCCAGAAGTTGAGGCTGCAGTGAGCCATGATCATGCCACTGCACTCCAGCCTGGGCAACAGGGCAAGACTGTATCTCTAAAAATTAAAAAAAAATAAAATAATAAATAGAACATATAAAAGTAAATAAAAATTAAAAATAGGGATCTGGAGCTGGTAGGGAAGAAACAGAGCTGTATGGGAGAAAAGAATACTTTTCCTTGTTGATATATGGTCTGTGTCCCCTTTTTCTCCTCTTATTTTCTTTTGCATTCTTGCTCTGATTGACTTCTTTCTCAAGTGCCTCTTCTCTCTGACTTTCCCTGTGTCATTATTTTCCTCAACTCATTATTTTCCCTCTTTGCTTTGCTAAAAGACTCTATCCCTGCATCTTATTCAGAGCACACTGACTGCACTGGACAGGAGTTACAAGAGGGAAGAGGTACTCATAGAATCCTGGATTTCTAAAACACTTAAGCTACAAAGGTTGGTGAATATCAGAGTCCAATAGTCACATATTACACAGAGGAAAACTGAAGTGCTGAGAAAGGAAATAACTTGTGTCACTCACAGAGGGAATTTTTGGTAAAGTTGGAATATAAGCCTGGGATCCACTAGAACAGCTTCCCTAATTTTCTTTTCTTTTTTTTTTAGACAGGTTCTCACTCTGTCACCCAGGCTGGAGTTTGGTGGCATGATCAAAACTCACTGTGGTCTTGACGTCCTGGGCTCAAGTGATCCTCCTGCCTTAGCCTCCCAAGTAGCTAGGAATGCAGGAGTGTGCCACCATGCCTGGCTAATTTTTTTGTATTTTAAGTTTGTAGAGATGGGGTCTGGATATATTGCCCATGCTGGTCTCAAACTCCTGGACACAAGTGATCCTCCTACCTTGTGCTCCCAAAGTGCTGGAATTAGAGGCGTGAGCCACTACGCCTAGCCCTAGTTTCTATAATTTTCAACAGACGGAGCTCACTAGTTGGAGAAAAAGAGATTCCTGGGGGCAGCCAATTAAAACATAGAGAAATTAGAGCAACATGGTGAGAGAAATAATCTGATCAGGTGCAGTGGTTCGCGCCTGTAATCCCAACACTTTGGGAGGTCAAGGCAGGAGGATCACTTAAGCCTTGGAGTTTGAGACCAGCCTGGGCAATATGGCAAAACCCCATCTCTACAAAAAATAAAAAATTAGCTGAGCATGGTGGCGCATGCCTGTAGTCCCAGCTACTCAGGAGTCTGAGGTAGGAGGATCGTTTGAGCCTAGGAATTCGAGGCTACAATGAGCCATGATTGTGCCACTGCATTTCAGCCTGGGTGACAGAGCAAGAGACTTTGTCTCAAAAATAGAAAAGAAAAGAAAGAAAAAGAAAAGGAAGGAAGGAAGGAGGGAAAAGAAAAAAGAAAAAAAAAAGAAGGAAAGAAAGAGGGCAGCCAGGCGTAGTGGCTCACGCCTGTAATCCTAGGACTTTCGAGGTGGGCAGATCACCTAAAATCAGGAGTTTGAGAGCAGCCTCGTTAACATGGTGAAACCTCATCTTTACTAAAAATACAAAAAATTAGCCGGGCATGGTGGCACACTCCTGTAGCCCCAGCTACTAGGGAGGCTGAGGCAGGAGAATCGCTTGAACCAAGGAGGCAGAGGTTGCAGTGAGCTGAGATTCTGCCATTGCACTCCAGCCTGGGCAACAAGCACAAAACTGTGTCTCAAAAAAAAAAAAAAGAGAGAGAGAGAAAGAAAGAAGAAAAAGATGCAGAGAGGGGAAGAGGAAAGAAGGAAGGGAAGGAAGGAAGGAAGGATATAGTTATTAAGTAGTTATGAGCCAGAATTATAAACTAGCCAGATGGTTTTGTGATAGGATTTGGGTAGAATGAAAATCTCAAGAGGTTAAATTCCTAAGAGGCAACTCTTCTCTCTTACTAACTATGGATTATTTTAAATGCACCAGATACCCCTCCTCAAGATGTAATATTATACCATAAATGTTATGGGGAGAAACTGCCCAAATGAACAGACCAGCGCTCACACTGAGAACAGGAATAGGGAGTAGCCTATTTTGAGCCTACCTTTTTAAAAAACACTTGCATTTTGGGAAAATATAAAAAAAAATGTCCAACAGGGTTGTCCTGTTGGTACCAAAAACCTTCAGAAATTTCAGAGTATAGGATGTTGGTAAGAAGCACCAAAGCAGAAAGTACCTCTTTCTGCATGCGAGAAACCATCATTTATCTGAGAGTGATGTTCCCTAACACAAGAAAGGGTCTCTGTTAAGCAAGTGAGGGGTGGAAGGAGCTGTTGCCAGAGCCCGCCAGAAGCATCCTGGTAACCAACTGCTGGTCCAAACATTTCCTACTTACATGGAACAGTGGAAAGTGCCAACAGAGTTCTCCCGACGAATGTCTTCATATTCCTCATAGATTCCCTGCTTTTGCCTGGGCAAAATAGTCCATCAACCAAAGTTTAGGTTTTCTGATCTTCTTCCCATTCTTACCCAGCTGGTGGAGTCTACAGCCTATTTCAGGTTTGACCTCAGTAGCTAGAGGAAAAGTGGTTAAACAAAATAAAGAAGTTAGAAGCTGATTTACCTTTAAAAATAACAAACTTAAGTTCTTGTCTACAGTAAGTTTTATGGATCAAAAACTATTCTGACTTCTTATCTCAACAGATATCCTACACATATCTCACATCAGCATATATATATGCCTTTTAGAAAATTCTGTTATTAAAACTCGAAGGAAAAATGAGATCATGAATAAACTGAACATTTTTAAAAAATTATCTTTCATAACTTTTCAATCTAATATCTGTGTATTATAATCATTTATTGTTTCATGTACTAATTCATCTATGTATTTACCAATCAATAAATATAATCTGATATGCACTATGATAAATGAGGTCAAAAAAAAAGGAGATACCCTGATCCACACAGGATATAAAGATGAAGGGCTGGGTGCGTTGGCTCACGCCTGTAATTCCAGCACTTTGGGAGGCTGAGGTGGGCAGACCACCTGAGCTCAGGAGTTCAAGACCAGCCAGGCAAACATGGCAAAAACCTGTCTCTACTAAAAATACAAAAAATTAGCTGGCCGTGGTGGCAGATGCCTGTAATTCCAGCTACTCAGGAGGCTGAGCCTGAGGCACGAGAATTGCCTGAACTCAGGTGGTGGAGGTTGCAGTGAGATCGTGCACTCCAGCCTGGGTGACAGAGTGAAATTCTGTCTCAAAAAAAAACAAAAGTGCTGTATTGAGGACTGAGACCTGAGATAGTGAGAGACAGGGATGTACAACTTGAGTCATACTGTGGACTGACAGGATGGGAATAGCTAAGGGACTGTCTGAGGTGGGGATGCCTGTCTGGTTCACTTGTTACTGCCTTGTTTATGTGACTTAGATAGTACTTAGCTTCCGCTGTTGATACTCAGTGGGAGATACACCTAAACCACACAGACAGCATTATTCTGAAAAGGAGAAGTTGCCAGGGAGTGTGGACCAGTAGTCTCCGTGGCCCTGTACTCTCCAAGCAGAAGTGTAGACTTCTTCTTCCCTGTGACTAGCCTTCAGGTGTAATTTCCAGTACATAGTTCCTTATAAATTCTATAGCTCAGGAGAATAAATAAGAGGCTCCTTTTCCAGAAAATCCAGTATTGGTTTTCCTCCTTTGGAGGCGTAGAGTCAGAACTCTCATGGCATGGCAGGATCCATGGAGGTGGCCACATCTCCCTTTTTTCAGTGAGTATTAGATCCCACAAGACAACCGCACAGCTAAACATAATTAAAACTTAGGTTTTATGATATTTGTTCCTTTCCTAAAACCTTCAGTGACTCCTTATTATCCATAGGGAACATATAAGCTAAATAAATGTGAACTTTTTTCTCCAAGCAAAACATTCTCCCCAGTGAATAGAAAATCTTGTTTTCCTGTGTTACCTTGAACCAAAATTTTTTTTTTTTTTTTTTTTTTGAGGCAAAGTCTTGCTCTGTCGCCCAGGCTGGAGTGCAGTGGTGGCGCGATCTCATCTCACTGCAACCTCCACCTCCCGGGTTCAAGTGATTCTCCTGCCTCAGCCTCCCGAGTAGCTGGGATTACAGGCGCCTGCCACCACACCTTGCTAATTTTTGTATTTTTAGTAGACATGAGGTTTTGCCAGGTTGGCCAGGCTGGTCTCAAACTCCGGACCTGAAGGGATCCATCTGCCTACCTTGGCCTCTCAAAGTGCTGGGATTACAGGCATGAGCCACCGCACTTGGACTCCTTTAAAATTATTATTATTATTGAGACAGAGTTTCGTGCTGTTGCCCAGGCAGGAGTGTGGCACTACCTTGATTATAGACGCAAGTCACTGGGCCTTGGGATTATAGACGCGAGTCACTGGGCCCAGCTTTCTTTCCAGTTTTAAAGTATTATTTTTAATTATCCAAACTAAATGTGTAGTAAATACTCTTCTTATAAATCTTTGTTTTCTTGATTGCTTCCTTAGCATATAATTTCAGAAATAGAACTGATCAAAGGGTATGCACATTTTTAAGGATTTATAATGCCAGATGCCTTCCAAAAGATGTTAACAACTTATTGAACTGACAGTATATAAGGGTGCTATAGAGTAATTTATTTATTTGAAAAACAAATCTTTATTGTGTAGAAATATGTATTTTAAAAATCCCCCAGAAAAGATGCTCTTCTCTCATTTCCCCATCCTCTTCCTTTTCTTCCACACCTCTGATATGAAGGACATTATTATACCTTATTAAAACTTCATCCACACTAGGCATGGTGGCTCATGCCTGTAATCCTGGCATTTTGGGAGGCCAAGGCAGGCAGATCACTTGAGGTCAGGAGTTTGAGACCAGCCTGGCCAACATGGTGAAATCCTGTCTCTACTAAAAATACAACAATTAGCCAGGTGTGGTGGCTGACGCTTGTAATCCCAGCTACTTGGGAGGCCAAGGCACGAGAATCACTTGAACCTGGAGGTTGCAGTGAGCTGAGATCGCACCACTGCACTCCAGCCTGGGTGATAGAGCGAGACTCTGTCTAAAAATAAGATAAAATAAAATAAAATGAAAACTTCATCCAGATGTCTAGACAACACTTTAACTATGTATTCTTCTGTATTTGCAAGTTACATGTTCATATAGCCATCTACAGATACCAGTTAGCCTTTGTAATCCATTCCCCACTTAAGTTTCACCATCTACTGGCTTTTCTGTTAATCCCTTGAGGAAAGGTTTGGAATTGAGGAGTAAATCCTTTATAAGGAGAATGCTGCAGTCTATTCGCTATTCACCGCTGACCAAGCTGCCACCTGGCCCTCCTGACTGCAGCAGGCACCCCCAGACAGTCATGTAAATGGACTAGGCCTGAGTCTGTAGTTCTTTGCTCTGAAAAAGGAGACGTAATGGCTTCTACTTTTTATCATTTGGTGGAAATAATAGAGGAGTTTTTCTAGAATGTTTTTTGATCTGGTGGTTAAAGGGAACTTGGACATTTAGTCCCTGAAATAAATTGTTGCATCTTTGAAGGAAAAGATGAAAGTAGTTTCTTACACTTTAGTGAAGAAGCCTTTGGAAAATTTTGTTCTGGATGTTGTATATTCTCTGTAGAGGAGTGTTGGGGATTCCCCACATCAGCAGAACTAAAGGGTAACTGAAGAGAACAGGGAGTGACATGTCAGATTGAGAATCAGTCTTTTGAAAGTGGCAAAAAGAATATGTGTTAAAAGAAAAAATAGGGTAGAAGATAAAAAGAATAGGGCAGAAGATATTAGCTTCAATTCCTCCTTTTTTTTTTTTTTTTTTGATCCTTTGGAATGATTTCTTCCTAGACTGCCAGTGTTGCGTAGTAACCCCGCCCATGAAGAGGACTGGAATACTGAAAAACTGCATGAAACTAAGCGCTGTGGGTTGGGCGGGGTGGCTCACGCCTGTAATTCCACACTTTGGGAGGCCAAGTTGGCTGGATTGCTTGAGCTCAGGAGCTTGAGACCAGCCTAGGTAACATGATGAAACCCCATCTTTACAAAAGATACAAAAATTAGCTGGGTGTGGTGGCATGAAGCTGTAGTCCCAGCTACTCAGGAGGCTGAGGTGGGAGGATCACTTGAGCCTGGGAGGTAGAGGCTGCAGTGAGCCGTGATTGTCCCACTGCACTTCCGCCTGGGCAACAGAGCGAGATCCTGTCCCAAAAACAAAAAAACTAAGCACTGTGGATTAGAAATTAATAATTTTTCATCTTTATATCTTTTTTTTTTTTTTTGAGACAGTCTTGCTCTGTCTCCCAGGCTGGAGTGCAGTGGCACGATCTCGGCTCACTTAGGCAAGGTGTTTAATTAATCTCTGAAAAGTGGAGAATTTAGCACCAGGCATGGTGACTGGTGCCTGTAATCCTAGCTACTTGAGAGGATGAGGTGGAAGTGTTAAAGGTGGAGGGTGTCCAGGTTCTTGGTGTCTTGAAAAAAGAATTGGACAAAATGCACAAACAAAGCAAGGAAGGGACAAGGAATTTACTGAACATGAAAGTACACTCCAGTGTGGGAGCGGGCCTGAGCTTAGAAGTTCAGTGGCTCCGTTACAGAATTTTGGGGAGTTTAAATAACCCCAGAGGATTCCATGGTTACTTCGGGTATGCCTTATGTAAATAGAGAAGATGAAGTAAAGTTACAAAGACATTTATGGCCTATGCCCTATGGACAGAATATTACCTGTTATAGCTGAAGTGTGAATTGGCCTTATGTTCCCTACCTCCAGACCCTATTTTCCTGCCTCAGGAGGATTACTTGAGCCTAGGAGTTCAAGTCCAGTCTGGACATCAATAGTGAGACCCCTGCCTCTGAAAAAAAATTTTTTTGAGACAGAGTTTTGCTCTTGTTGCCCAGGCTGGAGTGCAATGGGATGATCTCAGCTCACTGTAACTTCCACCTCCTGGATTCAAGCAATTCTCCTGCCTCAGCTTCCCTAGTAGCTGGGATTACAGGAGCCGGCCACCACGCCCGGATAATTTTTTGTATTTTTAGTAGAGACAGGGTTACACCATGTTGGCCAGGCTGGTCTTGAACTCCTGACCTCAGGTGATCTGCCCACCTCAGCCTCACAAAGTCCTGGGATTACAGGCGTGAGCCACCGAGCCCAGCAAATTTTTGTTTTTTAGACGGAGTCTCCCTCTATCGCCCAGGCTGGAGCACAGAAATGCGATCTCGGCTCACTGCAACCTCTGCCGCTTGGGTTCAAGTGATTCTCCTGACTCAGCCTCCCGAGTAGCTGCGATTACAGGCGGGCACCACCATGCCCGACTAATTTTTTGTATTTTTAGTAGAGACGGGGTTTCACCATGCTGGCCAAGCTGGAAAATTTTATTTTTAATAAATGAAAGGCAGAGTATTTATCTGAAAAAAGTGGGAGACCAACAGTCTCATGGGATTGTTATAAAGATTAAAAGAGAGAGTGTTACTGAAATACTTAGAAGAGCTGTTATTCTATTGCTGTCCTTTCCCCTTGTATTTGGATAGATTACCGTACTTGTTTCTTCTATGTAACTCTAATTGTCAGTGGGGTTCTCCCTCTCTTAGAGGCCTGGAGAAACTTGTCTTAAATGCTTTCCCAGTTAATGAATTGGGAGAGGCAGATTTTATGTCTAAATTACAAGGGCGAGACTTAAAAGTATGAATTGGGGCTAATGTCAGTGCTCAGGTGCAGGGATCCTCCGTTTTGTTCATCACACAGCTCCCGGCACTTTAATAAATGAGGCTCAAAGAAACGACGGGCTTAGGTCATGCAGTAGTCAAATTCAGAACTCATGTTTGATTCCAAAGCCCACACGTTTTCCTAGTTTAGAAACACTAAACATTTAATTCACCGCACCGGGGGCCAGACAGGTAATGGAGAACGCCTTAAGTATGTTAGGAAGGGAAGTTATCTACAGTCGCAGCCGCTATTCAGATCTATTTCACTGCCTTGCAGAAAACGCCGACTGTCGTCTCTTTATCCCATGGCCGATTTCTTGTGAAATCTCCTAACTTTTAAATATTTCCAATCAAAAGACTGCCGTTCAAATGCAGCCCACCAGGAGCATGTTTGCAAACTCTGGAGTAAACAAGAGTGGGAAGCTGATAAGGTGAGTACCTCAGTTCGATAGTGACAGCCAAGAAACGGGGAGTTTTGTACCTAAGGCGAGAAAGAAATTCTCCGCCGAAATCTCCCGGAAGAAGGACTGAATTAAATGCAGATTAGAGTCAGGGCAGGGTAAGGTGGCGGGAGAACTAGGCTGCCATCCCAGGTGGCTGGCCTACCAGCCAGCGCGGCCGGAGGTACAGACCATGTACAGACCACGGCGAGGGGTGTTAGGGGCTTCTCGGGATAAAGGCAGCGAGTGGCTGCGCATTCCCTCCCCGACTCTTTCAGAGGTAAGCCTTCTGTGGAGCAGACCCTAATCCTCCCCCTGATTCCTTAGGTCACTCGGCGATTTACTTCCTTCCCCCGCTTCCTCACAGTCCTCCACAGCCCTACGACTTCCGCTTGCCTCGTCGTCTGGGAAACCGCCGACTTCCGGCCGCGCAGCGGTGGGCTGAGCTAAAATGGCTGAGGAGAGAGTCGCGACGGTGAGCGCCGAGATTCTCTTTAGTTGCCCGGCCGCAGGGCAAGGCAAGCTGGCGGGTGGCTTTTGTCCCATGCAGCGGTTCCTGGAGAGAGGCGGAGCTGGGTGCCGAGCGTCTCAGGGTGGGCGGGGCGACACGGTCCCCTTTTTACTGTCCCGGGAACTGGTCGCCTGGGGCAAGTCTGGATACTTAGCAGCACAGGTCCTGTTCTAGGACTGTAGTCCCTCTTGGGGTGCGCTGGACGGAGAAGGGAGACTTTTCACCAGTAATGGCTCTTACCGTAGTGCCATCTTTTTCTGTCTCGGGGGTTTGGAAGGTAATGACTAGCACTTGTGTAGACAGTTCCTGTTAATCCCGTGAATTGGGAATTTAACATGCCTGGAAGCTTGCAGCGTCACTGCCTTCTGCCAGTGGAGCGGGACTGTGTTTTTTCTGTGGTGATTAAGTTTAGGAAAGTACGGTTTTGGAATTCATCTGAAGGCTGAGTTGGGCGTTCACTCCACAGAACTGCTAATATAGAGGAACCCGATGAATTCAGGATGACCTAGTCGCTATTTTTTGAGGCATATATCTATAATTGGATCTAATTTCGGTAAAGTGCCAAGTGTGAAGCTTTGTTTACCTTGCTTTAGTGTTGGGTTTGAAAGCCTGTTCTGTCCATTTGTTAGAATGATTTTAGGTATTCGGAATTTATTGTCTTTCGAAAAACGCCCTGGAAAACAGTACAAATAGCAGCCTTTGGCTGTTTTACAACTTAGTTTTGGCTAAGCAGCAAGGTTAGTGTTATTGTTAGAGGGCCTTTTGTTTGTTTTCTACTCTCATTTGCAGAGTAGTCATATTATTCTAGTCTAATTAGAAAACTCTGAAGACAGAAACTTTTTTTTTTGAGACGGAGTGTCGCTGTTGTCGGCCCGGGCTGGAGTGCAATGGCGCGATCTCGGCTCACTGCAACCTCCGCCTCCCAGGTTCCAGCAATTCTCCTGCCTCAGCCTCCGGATTAGCTGAGAATACAGGCGCCTGCCACCACGCCCGGCCGAAACATTTTTATTAAGCTAAGAAATTTAAAATAGCTAGGCCGGACGCGGTGCATCACGCCTGTAATCCCAGCACTTTGGGAGGCCGAGACGGGTGGATCACTTGAGGTCATGAGTTTGAGACCATCCTGGCCAACATGGTGAAACCCCGTCTCTACTAAAAATACAAAAATTAGCGGGGCATCGTGGCGCTCGCCTGTAATCCCAGGTACCTGGAAGGCTGAGGCAGGAGAATCGCTTGAACCCCGGAGGCGGAGGTTGCAGTGAGCCGAGATCATGCCATTGCACTCCAGCATGAGCGACAGAGACAGACTCCTTCTCAAAAAAAAAGAAAGAAAAAACAGATTTTAAAATAATTAAATAGGCCAGGCTCAGTGGCTCACGCCTGTAATCCTAGCACCTTGGGAGGCTGAGGTGGGTGGATCGCCTGAGGTCAGGAGTTCGAGACCAGCCTGGCCAACGTAGTGAAACCCTGTCCCTACTAAAAAAATACAAAAAATTAGCTGGACGTGGTGGCGGGCGCTGGTAATCCCAGCTACTAGGGAGGCTGAGGCAGGAGAATCGCTTAGAACCCAGGAGGCAGAGGTTGCAGTGAGCCGAGATCGTGCCATTTCACTGCAGCCTGGGCATCCAGAGCAAAACTCCGTCTCAGAAAAAAAAAAAAAGTAAATAGCATGGTTAATGTTACTGGGTTTTAAATATTAAAAACATAGGAAAGAAAATACTTCCACTCCAGCCTGGGTGACAGAGCAAGACTCCGTCTCAAAAAAAAAAAAAAAAAAAAAAAGAAAATACTTCTAAGTAATCTTAAAGTGTAAAAGATAATGGGTAACATAACATTGCTACAAATATAGCTTATCCTCTAGTGCTCATCACAAGTGTTTGTGTAATAGAATATGAACTTGAGTCTGTGACGGCAGAATTGTCATGTACATTTGAATGTCTAATACTGTTTTAAAGAGAATAGCTTTTGTTTCGATATGACTTAGCAATTAAGCCTGAAGTTAACTGTTTTCATTGTTGTCAAATTTATTGCTAGTAGTGTTACGTTTATAGTAATTTTCATCTTTTCAAGTTACCAATGCATGGAAATGTGAATTTCTGTCCTTTTAGGAAGTGGTATTTTATCTTTTTTTTTTTTTTTTTTTTGAGACGGAGTCTCACTTTGTCGCCCTGTCTGGAGTGCAGTGGCGTGATCTCAGCTCAGTGGAACCTCTGCCTCCCGGGTTCAAGTGATTTTTCTGCCTCAGCCTCCCGAGTAGCTGGGGTTACAGGCCCTCACCACCATGCCTGGCTTATTTTTGTGGAGATGGGGTTTCACCACGTTGGCCAGGCTGGTCTTGAACTCCTGACCTTGTGATCTGCACGCCTCGGTCTCCCAAAGTGTTGGGATTACAGGCGTGAGCCATGGCCCCCTGCCTTATTTTTTAATACAATTAAAAGAACCCAGTAATCCTACTCCTAGACCTGTGTCCCACAGAAAAAAGTGTTAAACATGAGCGTGTAGTACTAGGGCATTCGTTGTAGTACTATCCGTAGTGGCAAAACGCTGGAAGCAAATTAAATGCCCATTAATAGGGTAATTGATGACTTCAGATATTTCCATACTGTGGAATATTATGCAGTCATTAAAAAGAATGTTACAACTAATTGCTTTTCCTCTCAGAAGCCCCTCTCTCTCACTAGAGAAAGCTGTTCTCCTTTCTTTCTTCTGCCTATTAAACCTCCATTCCTAAACTCAGAAAGAAAAAAAAAAAAAGAGAATGTTACGACTAATTGACTTGGAGGGACTTCCATGGTGTACATTTAAATAAAAGGTAGATGTGAAGTGGGGTATATTATGTGATCTTAATTTCATAACACAAAGGAAAACATATAGATCCGTAGATAAGGATATATGGATATGGAGGAGAGAAAAGGAAAAGACTCAAAACTCACAGAATTTTTGAAGAAATGTATAGCTAAAAATCTAAGAAGGCTACAGTCAAGGCCTTGAGGCCAGAAGACACCCCATCAAAACTGAGTAAAACTAGCCCAGTGTGGGACGCAGAAATTCTAGTATGCTACCAAAATTACTTACGGATTGCTACCAGTTCCTTAGAAGGAAAACTGAGGACTAATATTTGTATTTTCAGTATAGTTTAGAATTCTTAAAAAATGAGCAAACAGGCTGTACTTGGTGGCTCATGCCTGTAATGCCAGGACTTGTGGAAACTGAGGTGAGAGGATAACTTGAGTCCAGAGGTTTGAGACCAGTCTGGGCAACATGTTGGAGCCCCATTTCTACAAAAAACACAAAAATTAGCCAGACGTGGTGGCACGCGCCTGTCTTCCCAGCTACTGGGGAGGATCATCTGAGCCTGGGGGAAGTTGAGGCTCCAGTGAGCCATGATCATGCCACTGGACTCCAGCAGGGGCAGAGTGAGACTTTGTCTGAAAAAAACAAAAAATGAATGAGCAACTAACTCTGGCTTTCATGATTTGTGCTTATAAATCTTTTTATTTATTTATTTATTTATTTATTTATTTATTTATTTATTTATTTTGAGACGGAGTCTTGCTCTGTCGCCCAGGCTGGAGCGCAGTGGCGCGATCTCGGCTCACTGCAACCTCCGCCTCCCGGGTTCACGCCATTCTCCAGCCTGAGCCTCCGGAGTAGCTGGGACTACAGGCGCCTGCCACCACGCCCAGCTAATTTTTTGTATTTTTAGTAGAGACGGGGTTTCACCGTGTTAGCCAGGATGGTTTCAATCTCCTGACCTTGTGATCCGCCCGACTCAGCCTCCCAAAGTGCTGGGATTACAGGCGAGCCACTGTACCCAGCCTATAAATTTTTTTTATAATGCCCTGATTCCCATTATTTGATGTATTTGGATAAATATGTCATCCTGTAAATTGAAGGATTAAACTGATAAGAGCAGAAAACAGAAATTAGTACACTAGTTGATCTGGCTCAGATATAGTGCCTATGTATCAGGTGCTCCATGAATATTTGTTGGATGAATAAATGATCATAAAACTATATAAAAATGAAGAAATAACAGAATAAAATAATTTGTTCTATATAAATCCTATGAATGAGATTGAGTGGGCTAATAGAATCCTTTCCATCTCAAAATGTTCTGGAAAGTCTTGAGTAAAAGACTCATCAAAAAAATAATTCTGCTTTGTGCAGAAAGAAGGGTTGCTGACCTTTGAAGGTGCTTTTTGAGTCTTTAACATTCTTTAGTAGTATATTCCCCAAAGTTAAGAAATTCTAGTTAGATTTTAAAAAATTGAGTTAACATTTAAAAAACAGTTTTGTTGAGGTATAATACACGTACCATAAAATTTACTCAATTTAAGTACAAAGTTTGATCAGTTTTAGTAAATTTATATAGTTGCACAGCTGTCATCAGAGGCTGCTTTTAAAACATGTCCATCACTCCAGAAGGGTTCCTGTGTCAATGGAATTGCTGGGTTATATTGTTTAAGTATTTGTTTAAAAAAACAGAAACAAATCTGCCTAACTTCTGCAGGCTATATACGAGTTAACATTTCCATGAGCAATGCATGAGGGTTGTGATTTTTCCACATCCCTGTCAACACTTGGTTTGTCAGTTTGTTTTTATTTAGCTGTTGTAGTGGATGGGTAGTGATGGTGTATGGTGGTTTTAATTTGTATTTCCTTCATGAATAATGATATTGAAGATTTTTTATATGTTTATTTTCCACCCGTATCTCTTTGGTGAAATGTCTTTATAAATTTTTGTGAATTTTTAAATCAAGATCATTAACCAAATGAGCCCCTCATTTGGGCTCAAGTGATCCTTCCACCTCAACCTCCCGAGTAGCTGGGACCACAGGTGCAGGCCACGCTTGGCTAATTTTTGTATATTTTGTAGAGGCGGGGTTTTGCCATGTTGCCCAGGCTGGTCTTAAACTCCTGAACTCAAGCAATTGGCCTGCCTCACATAAGTATTCTCTTTTATTTTGAGGATTAATTTTTGTTGTTGTGAAATATATCCTACCTGTAAAAGAGTGCTTAAAATGTCGTATGTGTGCTTTAAAGGATAATATAATGGAAACTTGTGTTCCTACTGCCCAGGTTAGGAAATGGGTTATTAATAACTTTGAAACCTCCTAAATGCCTCTCTCCTACTGCATTTTCCTTCCTCCACATCAGATGTAGTGTTTCTTCAATTTTATATTAATATTTTGTACTTTTTATAGTTTTACCATATATGTTTATATATATCCTTAATATATTAGTTTTTAAAATTTGTTATTAACCTTCAGTTTATTCATTATTTCAACACTGTATAGTATCTTATTGTAGTAAAGTATGTCAATTAACTTATCCATTCCACTAGATGGAGATCGGGATTATTTCTGGTTTTTAGTTATTAAAAACAATGCTGCTGCTGGGTGCAGTGGCTTACGCCTGTAATCCTAGCACTTTGGGAGGCCGAGGCTGCGGATCATGAGGTCAAGAGATCGAGATCATCCTGGCCAACATGGTGCAACTCCGTCTCTACTAAAAATACAAAAATTAGCAGGATGCGGTGCTGCGCGCCTGTAGTCCCTGCTACTCGGGAGGCTGAGGCGGGAGAATCACTTGAACCCAGGAGGCGGAGGTTGCAGTGAGCCGAGATTGTGCCACTGCACTTCAGCTTGGCAGAGCGAGACTTCGTCTCAAAAAAAAAAAAAAAAAAAGCTGCTATAAATATGGCCAAGACTAAGGAAAGGTAAGTGAGGTGCTTAGGGTTCACATTTTATGGAGTAAGAGTAAGTACCTTCTTAAGGTTTATACCCTAGGTTCTTCACATGCCTCACTTTAGTCCTAGCCCTGAGCATTATTATGTAGGTCTTCTGATGCAATATCTAAGAGTTTCTCTAAGGTATACCTAGAAATAGATTGCTAGGTAATGGAGTAACTTTATTACTTACAGGAAACTATATGGTGGTTGTAACAATTTATGCTTCTGCCACCAGTCATGGTGGATATGAAATTATGTCTTAATGTGATAATTTACATTGCAATTTTTTTTTTTTTTTTTTTTTTTTTTTTTGAGACAGAGTCTTGCTCTGTCACCCAGGCTGGAGTGCAGTGGCGTGATCTTGGCTCACTGCAACCTCTGCCTCCTGGGCTCAAGTGATCCTTCCACCTCAGCCTCCCGAGTAGCTGAGACCACAGGCGCAGGCCACACTTGGCTAATTTTTGTATATTCTGTAGAGGCGGGGTTTCGTCATGTTACCCAGGCTGGTCTTAAACTCCTGAACTCAAGCAATCGGCCTGCCTCAGCCTACCGAAGTGCTGGGATTAGAGGTGTGAGCCACCACACCTGGCTGTTTGTTTGTTTTGAGCCTGTTCCTCAGGCTGGAGTGCAGTGGTCCAATCATGGCTTGCTGCAACTCCGCTTCCTGGGCTTAAGAGATCCTCCCACCTCAGCCTTCTGAGTAGCTAGGACTAAGGGCACCTGCCACTATGCCTGGCTAATTTCTAAAGTTTTTTTTATAGAGGCAGAGTCTCGCTGTTTTGCCCAAGCTGTTCTCAAATTTCTAGGCTCGTGTGATCCTCCTGCCTCAGCCTCCCAAAGTGCTGGGATTATAGGTGTGAGCCACCACACCTGGCTGATCTATCTGTCTTAAACTGGAGAATTGCATTTTTTTCTACCTCCTTTCTTTTTTTTAAAAAAACTGAATTTCCATCTGTTACCCCTCCCTTTCTGCTCCTCTTATTTCATGCCTTGGAAGTTATACTTTGCCTTCCTTTAATGAGTACCAAAGAAATTAAAAAATACATGTTTACTGTAAGTCCAGGCCTAAATGTTGCTACTACAGGGACCATCAAATGCTTTACTACCATCTATTGCCATCTGCAAATGTATGCCATTGTTGTTTAGTTTTGTAGTTCTTAATGTATTTTAATTAAACACCACAAATTATGCTTTTTGTTTGTTTTATTCAGTCAGTAGATGCTTAGAATACTTGCTTATTTTACCAATTCCTTTGCTTATTCCACTCCTTTGTTCTGGGATTATTTTTCTTTTTCCTAATATATTTTCATTAAAAGTTTATTTGGTGAGAATCTAAAAACTCTCAAATTCTGAAAGTTTTAAAAATTTGCCTTTGTTGTTGAAAATTAGTTTTGATGGGTGAGAGAATCTAGATCAGGTGTTAGCAAACCTTTTTTTGTAAAGGGCCAGATAGTAAATATTGTGGGCTTTGTGGGCCATAGAGTCTCTCTGACAACTACTCAGCAATGCTGTTGTAGGACAAAAGCAACCATAGACATTATGTAAACATGAGTGTGGGTATGTTCTCACAAATTTTGTTTATAGACACTGAAATTTGACTCAATTTTCATGTGTTAAAAATTATTATTTTTTGAATTTTTTTAACCATATAAAAATGTAAAAATCATTCGTAGCTTGTAGACCAAATAAACAGGATGGATTTGACCTGTGGGCCATAGTTTGCTGACCTCTGGTCTAAATTAACATTCATTTTACTTAGTACCTGACACTGGAGTAATTATTCTTATGATGTCTTATTGTGATATTGTCTTCCATTTTTAATTGTTGAAGAGCCAGCTGTCAGTCTTTTTTGTTTTTCTTTTTCTTCTTCTTTTTTTTTTGAAATGGAGTTTTGCTCTTATCGCCCAAGCTGGAGTGCAGTGGTGTGATCTTGGCCCACTGCAACCTCTGCCTTCTGGGTTCAAGCGATTTTCCTGCCTCAGCCTCCCAAGTAGCTGGGATTACAGGTGCCTGCCACCACACCCAGCTAATTTTTGTATTTTTAGTAGAGATGGGGCTTCACCATGTTGGCCAGGCTGGTGTTGAACTCCTAACCTCAGGTGATCCACCTGCCTTGGCCTCCCAAAGTGCTGCAATTACAGGCATGAGGCACGGCGTCTGGCCTTTCTTTCCTTTTTTTTTTTTTTTGAGACGTAGTCTTGCTCTGTTGCCCAGGCCGGGGGGCGATGGTACGATCTTGGCTCATTGCAACCTCTGCTTCCCAAGTTCAAGCCATTCTCCTGCCTCAGCCTCCCAAGTAGCTGGGACTATAGGCACGTGCCACCATGCCGAGCTAATTTTTGTATATTTAGTAGAGACGGGGTTTCACCATGTTGTCCAGGCTGGTCTTGAACTCCTGACCTCAAGTGATCCTCTCGCCTTGGCCTCTCAAATAACTGTCCTTTCTTTGTTGGTAATCTGGTGATATGTTTTCTTGTTTGGCTGCTTTTAAGAGCTGCTTCTTGTCTCTGGTGCAGTTCGCTATGATGTATCTAAGTATGTATTTATTTTCATTTAACCTGGTCAGGATTTGTTGAGTATCCAGAAACTAAGGATTGGTGTTTCTCATTACATCTGGAAAAATTTGAGCCATTATTTTTGCTTATATTGTGGTATGTCATAGGAAGTTGAGAAAAGAAAAATTCATTTGATGGTTTTCTATGAGGTTATAGTGGAAAATAACTATCTCCCTTTTAGAATTGAGTGCTAGACAGTTTCTGTGTAGATGATCTCATAAGCTTCCTTTTATCAAACAGCGATCACTTTTTTGGTTTGGCTGCTGAGAAGTATGGCATCAAGTATAATACTCATATGAGGTGTTTAAGAACTGAGTATATTTCTTATGCACATTTTACTATATACTATAATTATACATTAAAAATGCACATTGTAAATATTATAAATATGTGTTATACATTGTTAATAGTTTGGATAGCAAAAGTATGACTTGACATTTGTTTTTTAAACCATATTTAAAGTAACTCTATCACAATATGGATTTAATGGATTAATTGCATAATTGGTGAGCTACTGATTATTCTTGTTATTTGGATGCTTCTTTAAGTTAGCAAGTTTATATTGTGGTGCTTCAATATAGACTACTTATTTCATTTCAGAGAACTCAATTTCCTGTATCTACTGAGTCTCAAAAACCCCGGCAGAAAAAAGGTCTGTATGCAGTTTCATGGTATGTGTATGTTTGCACAGACAGATTTCTCTTTTATTTATTTATTTATTTTTTTTTTTGGAGGCAGAGTCTCACTGTCACCCAGGCTGGAGTGCAGTAGCACAATCTTGGCTCACTGCAACCTTTGCCTCTGGGGCTCAAGCAATTCTCCTGCCTCAGCCTCCCGAGTAGCTGGGATTACAGGTGCACGCCACCACACCTGGCTAACTTTTGTGTTTTAGTAGAGATGAGGTTTCACTGTGTTTGCCAGGCTGGTCTCGAACTCCTGACCTCAGGTGATCTGCCCACCTTGGCCTCCCAAAGTGTTGGGATTACAGGCGTGAGCCGCCACGCCTGGCCAGATTTCTCTCTCTTGTTGATTCTTTTATCTATTCTATATTATTTCAAAATGAGTGTTGGGAAAAGAAGTAATAGTCTAAATGTTCTGTCACATCTAGCTTTTATTTAATAGAGTTATTAGATATTAGGAGGTTGGTTTGACCTGGAAATTATTTAAATGGGGTTTGATTATTATGTAAGTGTGTACTAATTTTCTGCTTCTGGAAAAACCACTTTGTGAAGTTCCAGGTATCTTTTTGCTTTGTTGGTTTCTAGTTTAATTCTATTGTGGGTAGAGAACATTCTTTATATGGTTTGTTTTATGGCCCACAATGTGGCCTGTGTTGGTGCATGTCCCATGTACACTTGGAAATAATGTGTATTCTGCTCTTGTAGGATGTAGCATTCTGTAAATGTCAATTAGGTCAAGTTGGTTGATAGTGTTCTGTATATACTTACAATTACAGATATTCATATTCTTACTGATGTAGTTACTGATTGGAAGGGTGATAGAAGAGTGTTGAAGTGTGCAAATGTAATTGTGGATTTGTTTCTACTTTCAGTTCTATCAATTTTTGATTTGTGTATTTTGAAGATCTGTTGTTGGATGCATATACATTTAGGATTGTCTGATTTCTTGGTAAATTGACCCGTTTGTCTTTATATAATATTCCTCTTCAATTTCTGATAATATTCCTTGTTTGAAGTCTACTTTGCCTGATAATATTTTAGTTTTAGTTATTTATTTAGCTATTTTAGTTTTGCTTTGGCCAGTCTTTGAATGGTATCAACATATAATTTTCGTAGAGTAAAATTCCCTTTTTTTAGTACAAATTCTGAGTTTCGACAAATGAAACTAGCCATGTAACCACTAGTAGCACCATAATCAAGTTATAAAAGTTTAATTACTCCCCCAAAAGTCACCTTTACTTTGTAGTAAACCACTTCTTCCATTCCCAATTGCGGGCAGCCATTAATCTGTTTCTTTCTTCCTAGTTTTGCCTTTCTTGGAATGCCAAATAAATGGAATCATACATTATTATTATTTTGAGAGAGAGGGTCTCGCTCTGTCACCCAAGCTAGAGTGCAGTGGTGTGATTATAGCTCACTGCAACCTGAAACTCCTGGGTTCAAATGGTTTTCCCCAGTAGCTGGGTCTACAGGTGCATGCCGCCATGCCTGGCTAATTTTTATGTATTTTTTTTGTAGAAATGGGGGTCTGGCTCTGTTGCCCAGGCTGGTTTTGAACTCCTGGCTTCAAGTGATACTCCATCTTCGGCCTCCTGAAGTACTGGCATTACAGGCATGAGCTATTGCACCTGGGTTATGTAAATTTTTCAGTGGCTTTTAAACCTCATATAATGTTTGTTTGTTGGTTTGTTTTTGAGGCGGAGGCTCGCTCTGTCACCCAGGCTGGAGTGCAGTGGTGCAGTCTCAGCTCACTGCAACCTCCACCTCCTGGGTTCAAGTGATTCTGCTGTCTCAGCCTCCCAAGTAGCTGGGATTATCGGCATGAACCACCATGCCTGGCTAATTTTTTTATTTTTAGTACAGATGGGGTTTCACCACGTTGGCCAGGCTGGTCTTGAACTCCTGACCTCAAGTGATCCACCTGCTTTGGCCCCCCAAAGTACTGGGATTACAGGCATGAGCCACTGCATCCAGCCCAATATAGGGAGGTATTAAGAAAAGAGAAGAACTATCATCCTTAAGTATTAACGGGACTTTAACAAATTAAAAAAGTAGTACTTTGAATAAAAAGCTGTCACATTTTACTGTGAAATCCTTAGACTTTTTTTATACCTCTAGTTCAGGTTTTTTCAGCTTTGGCATGAATGATATTTTGAGCAAGATAAATCTTTGTTGGAGTTGTCCTGTATATTGTAGGATGGTTAACAACATCCCTGGCTTCTACCTGGTAGATGACAGTAGCACTTAATTGTAACAACCAAAAGTGTCTCCAGATGTTGCCAGTTATTCCTTCTGGGGCAAAATTGTTCCCACTTGAGAACCACTGCTCTGGTTAAGTAGTGTAATACTTGGAAATAGAAGGCAGAAAGTTGGTAAGTGCATAAAGAATTCACACAGAAGTTGGATTAGCAAGCTGAGAGACGTTATTTGAACAAGTAGCAATTGGAGGCATTTTGACTGAGAATGGATGTTGTGCCTCTCCCTCACTCTTTCCTCCTCAGCTTGAGAGGTCCATATTCTCTCAAAGTTTGACTCTTTAGTTTTGAGGGTGATGACTGCCAACTGTGGAAGGGATAAACAGATTTCTGTTTGGTATTTTTGTCCAAATATATCAGGACTTTTTCAAGAACAGGCAATGAAATTATTGATCAGAACTACTTGGTGGTTCTGAGAAAATAATATGCTACATGAGGCTACTGAAGTCCTCTTCCTTTTGCCCCATGATGTAACCTTAGGTGACTTTCTTCTGGCTTTCAGTTGAAGATCTTACCCATCATTGAGGTGAGCGAACTGATTTACTGCTTGAGTCTATTTTCTTCCTTAAAGGAGTCTTCATTGAAAACTTTACCCATTTTGGGGTGGCCATAGCTGAGGATGAGTTTTGTCCACAACCTGAGACAACATACTCACTATGTAAAAAACCTGATCTCAGCTTGATATCTGGTTTTAGACTAATTGTTTAATAGAATAATTTATTATTGTAAAATATATATAAAATTTACCATTTTTAAGTGTGTAAGTCAGTGGCATTAAGTACATTTACAAAGTTGTGCAGCCATCACCACTGTCCATTTCTAGAAGTGTTTCATCATTCCAAACAGAAACACTGTACCCATTAAACAATAAATCTCCACATCCCCTTGCCTCCCCAGATCCTGGTAATCTCCATTCTATTTTCTGTATCTATGAATTTGACTATTCTAGGTTTTTCATGTAAGGTGAATCATACAATATTTGCCCTTTTCTGCCTGGCTTATTCCACTCAGCATTTTCAAGATTCATTCATGTTGTAGCATGTGTCAGAATTTCATTCCTTTTTAAGGCTGAATAATATTCTAGTGTATGTATATATCACATTTTGTTTATCTGTCTGTTGATGGGCATTTGGGTTGTTTTCCTTAGAGTCTTTATATGTCAGTAATTCTTAAAGAATTTAAAAGTTGTAGAAACTAGGAATTTTGTAGATATTCTAGAAATATGTCATTTCCTGTACTGTATATAATAATTTATTCTACAGACTAATTACTGTGTATATATTTGGTTCTCAGACGTGATTTTGATTTTGTAGATGCTGTACATGCTCTTCACTTCATTAATCTTTTCCTTTTGCTAATTTTGGTTCTTGTGTATACAGAATTATAGAGTTACAAGGTAATTTAGTTGTTACCTAATTCACCCTAAAGTCTACATGAAACCACTGTCACAGTCTTTGATAAGTAGTTACCAAATCTCACTATTTCTACTGTGATAGTGAATGACTTTCATTGATTAGCTTTCTGAAAGAATAGTTTATCTTACTTGTCTTGGTATCCTCACCTCTGAGTCTATTTGTCTATTGTAATCTGGCTTTTGCTCCACCGCTCCACTGATTAAATGGATGAGCTAAGCATTTTTTTTTTTTTCCACTGCAACCTCTGCCTCCCGGGTTCAAGTGATTCTCTTGCCTCAGCTTCCCGTGTAGCTGGTATTACAGGTGCCCACCACCATGCCTGGCTAATTTTTTGTCTTTTTAGTAGAAACGGGGTTTCACTATGTTGGCCAGACTGGTATCGAGCTCCTGACTTCATGATCCACCCCAAAGCCTCCCAAAGTTCTGGGATTACAGGTGTGAGCCACCGTGCTTGGCCCAATTCTGTTTAATTTTTGAGGAACAATGTTAACTTCTAATTTAAATGGAAGGTAGTATATATCTAATTTTTCCCTATTATTTTTAATTTCAATGCTAGTAAATCTTTAAATCTGAAATACACACTCTTGAATTTTGACAGATATGTATACTCATGTACATATTTATATTCCTGTAATCATCAGATCAAATTAAACATTTTTATCACTTAGAAAGTTTCCTCATGCCTTTTTCCAGTAAGTCTTCTGCTTCACTTCGCCAGATGCAACCACCATTCTGATTTCTGCCTGTATAAATTGATTTTGAACTTTCCTATAATAAGTTGTGCTTGAACTTCACACAAAGGGAGCCATACAGTATCTACTATTTAGCTTTTGGCAGCTTTCATACAACATGTTGTTTTGGAGATTCATCCGTGTTGTTATATGTATCAGTAGTTCTTTTATTTAAAAAATGCTGTTTAGTATTCAGTTGCATGAATATACCACCGTTTGTCCATTCTCCTGTTAATGAGTATTTGCAATGTTTCCAGTTTTTGAGTACTGTGAAAGTTTCTATGAACATTTATTTATTTAGAGATGGAGTCTCGCTTTATTGCCCAGGCTGGAGTGCAGTGGTGCGATCTCAGCTCACTGTAACCTCCGCCTCCTGGGTTCAATCGATTCTTCAGCTTCAGCCTCCTGAGTAGCTGGGACTATAGGTGTGTGCCACCATGCCCGGCTAATTTTTCTATTTTTAGTAGAGACGGGATTTCACCATATTAGCCAGGCTGGTCTTGAATTCCTTACCTCATGATCCGCCCGCCTCAGCCTCCCATAGTGCTGGGATTACAGGCATGAGCCACTGCACCCGGCCTGAACATTTATTTACTGGTTTTTTTTGTGTGTGCATGTGTGTGCAAGTTTTCACTTGAATAAGTGCCTAGGGAGTGGAATTGCTTGGTCATATGTGAACTGTTTGTTTTAACTTTATAATAAACTGCCGAAGTATTTTCCAAAGTGGTTGTACAGTTTTACCCGACCGCCAGCAACGTGTGAGGATTCTGTTTGGCTACATTCTTGCCAACATTTGTTACTATCAGTCTTTTTCATATTAGACTTGCTGGTGGGTATATTGTGTTTTATTGTGATTTTAATTTGCATTACACTAATGACTAGTGATGTTGAACACCTTTTCATATACTTATTGGTCATATCTTTTGTGTAGTGTCTGCTCAAGTTTTTTGCCTATTTTTAAATTTCTTTTTTCCTTATTATTGATTTGTGAGACTTCTTAATATATTCTGAATGTACGTCCTTTGTCTGTTATATATGTGGTAAGTATTTCCCCCCAGCCTGTGTTTTACTACTTTCATTTTATTAAGGTATCTTTTGATGATCAAAAGTTTTAATTTTGATGAAGGCCAATTTACTATTATTTTTCTTTTGTTATTAATGCCTTCTCTGTCTTGTCTAGGAAATCTTGATCCTTACCCCAGACTGAGTTGTGTGTCCTCTCCCTTTTCTGCATTAATATTGCAGAAATTAATTTTTTGGTTTTAGAAAATGTCTAATTTGGCTCAATCAGTAATTTTTGATATCTTTCTATTGAAATATATATACAGAAAAGTACATACATAAATCATAATTGTACTGTGCAGTGAATTTTTACAAAGTAAACATATCCATGTAATCACCATCTAGATTAAGGTATAGAATATTATCAGTGCCCTCCAGGCCGCCTCCTTATTCCCTACCAGTCATTAACCACCCCTCCCAAAGGTAGTAACTTGTATTTAACTTCTATCTTCTACATCAGTTTTGCCTGCTTTTGAATTTAATGTAAATGGAATCATGCAGTGTGTACTTTTTAATATCTAACTTCGTTGCTCAGAATTATGTTTGTGAGATTCATTTATGTTGTTGCATGTAGTAGTGGTTGGTTGTTTTCTTCCTTGTTATATATATTCCATTGTGGGGCTCTACCTAAGTCTATTCATTTTATACTTGATGAACATTTGGGATATTTTTATTGTGATGTATTATGAATAATGCCACCATGAAGAGTCTTGTACATGTTTTTTGGTACACATACATACTTAGGAGTAGGATTTTCAGGGTCACCAGGAAGGATATATTTAGGCTCAGTGAATACTAGCAAGCAATTTTTAAAATGCGGTCAATATAATCCCCATGTGTAAAATAAAGGTGTACAAACGCACACACACACACTTGCTCATATGCTTATATGTGCATAGAAATTCCTTGAAAATACTCAAGAAATGCTTCACCTCTGGTAAGGGATAGGAATGGAATGGGTCTTTTGTTTAGTATCCTATGTGCCCTTTGAATTTTGTTTTACTGTAAGTATGTATTTTTAAGAAAACCAACTAGTTATTTTTAAAAATCATTTGAAAGTCTTCCTACTTTGATATATGAAAAACACTGGTTTTAAAAAAAATAATAGAAAAGCTTTAAAATCATTATTATTTTTTTGAGACGGAGTCTTGCTCTGTCGCCAGGCTGGAGTGCAGTGGTGCGATTTCCGCTCACCACAACCTTTGCCTCCCGGATTCAAGCAATTCTCCTGCCTCAGCCTCCCAAGTAGCTGGGACTACAGGTGTGTGCCACCAGGCCCAGCTAATTTTTTTTTTTTTTTGTATTTTTAATAGAGATGGGGTTTCACCATGTTGGCCAGGATGGTCTCAATCTCTTGACCTCGTGATCTGCCTGCCTCGGCCTCCCAAAGTGCTGGGATTACAGGCGTGAGCCACTGTGCCTGGCCGCTTTAAAATCATTAATGTTGCGTTGCTCAGTTATGTCTAATTGACAGCCCAAACATTTACATTGTAATATTAGAAAATCCTTTATGATTGGGCAGAAACTTGGTTTAATGTGTCACCTTGGAGACCTGGGTTATAGTCCTGCCTCTTCCATTAACTACTTGTTGAATGTGGACAATTTACTTAACCTTTAGGGCCTTAATTTCCTCCTTTATAATGTGAGAATGTTCTCTGAATTGCATAACTCACTGGCCTTACGTGACTATTCAGTGGAATAATAAGAGAGAAAAACTTTGAGATACATGCACACACACCCTTAAGAAGGATATAATTGTTAAATTTTGCTTTGAGGAAATAAAATAATCTAAGCTATAAAGTAAAACCATAATTAGCTAATCTTTTATATGACTTTTTTCTTCCTCATTTCAAGCTAATGAGAAGCAAACAAACTGGATAGCAGCAATATAATTAAAAAATTATAGGCCAGCTTCTAGCATGTATTCTTGAGTCAATACTGACTCAGCCCAGTCTCTTCCTCTTCCTTCATCATCATTTATGTACCTGAACAGAGTAGATGTTTCTCTTGATCCTGGGCCTGTTCGCCCTCAGATCCATTCCTTGCCTTCTCTTCTCTTTTTGGTATAGTGAGGAGCTGACTCTTTTTTTTTTTTTTTTTTTTTTTGAGACGGAGTCTCGCTCTGTCGCCCAGGCTGGAGTGCAGTGGCGGGATCTCGGCTCACTGCAAGCTCCGCCTTCCGGGTTCACGCCATTCTCCTGCCTCAGCCTCCCAAGTAGCTGGGACTACAGGCGCCCGCCACTACGCCCGGCTAATTTTTTTTGTATTTTTAGTAGAGACGGGGTTTCACCTTTTTTTAGCCGGGATGGTCTCGATCTCCTGACCTCGTGATCCGCCCGCCTCGGCCTCCCAAAGTGCTGGGATTACAGGCGTGAGCCATCGCGCCCGGCCGAGGAGCTGACTCTTGCAGCCTCCTTTTCTTCCCAGGCTTCCGTGTCAGCAGTTTCTGGCTGGATTAGCAAGTGGAGGAACTGGCAGGAGATTAGAAGGCAAGAGGAAAGAGAAGACAGGGCTTCCCTCCCCGACCTTCAGGCCTCAGAGTCGTAGTGGTTTTTTGCTCATGCAGACTTCTGATTTGTCTCACCATTCCCTGTTGGGCCTCTCATTTCTTCCATTGCCTGTTCTCTGCATTAAAGTCCTTGTGTTTCAAATCCTCAAGTGGCTTTTTGTTAGGCTTTGACTGATACAGGGCTCAAAATGATAGTAATGAAAATGTCTTACATTTATATTCTTTTCAAGATTTGTTATCTCTTTTGATACCCCAAATATCCTATTGAGGTAGAAAAGTGTTATAATTCCTGTTTGGCATGAGGAAATTAACATTTATTGAATGACTATTTTCAGATTCTTTGGATTTTCGGGTGAAAATTTTAGGGGGGATAAATGGAGGCCCAGAGAAGTGAAATAACTTGCCCTAGGCCCCATAGAAGGCTGGTATTGAATCAAGATTGAAATTCTGCATGTGAAAACTTTTACGTGCTACATGTCTGCTAGTCCTGGAAGAAATCCTTTCTTTGATGAGTATTTTTTTTAAAGGCTTTACTTGCAATATATTTACAAAAGCCTTAGTTATTTAGTAAATTTTTCAATGAAAAATCTGAACCATAATAATTTTCTGCTTAGTACTTATATAGCTAGCATACTATCCCTAGCATTAATCAAAGTGTCATGTAAAGGTTTGATTTTTGAGCCTAAGCAGAATTTGAAATTCTTCTAAGAGAATTTAGCACCTAGGGCAAACTACAGGGGAGAATTCTTGAGGTGTCATGTTTATTCACTTCTGGAATTGTTTAAAATATGTCAGGTGCATCCTTAAAGGGAGAAAGAAGGGGGAAGAGATGTTACAAAAGAGTAGAATGGGGCAAGAGAAGTGGCAAGGGAGTATTGTTGCTAGGTTGCCAGCCTTCTGCCCCCACTGTCTTGGTGATGGTGGAGGGGTAGTGTGGCAGCTGGGATATGAATGAGGTCTTTTTTATAACTCACTAAAAGCCATTACCTTGTCTTCATCTCGTCAGCTGGCTACCTGACCTCTGTGGTAACATAGGCTCCTGAAATGTAGCATTGGAGATGATCACTGTGCTTTATTGCAAAATAGGGGAGACTCTGCTCTGCATTTACATGCTTATGTTTTGTGGAGGATCTTTCAACTAGTAATTCTCATAATACCTGTGAAAGCATATAAGAACCAGTATCTCCATTTTTAGGGGGAGTTGGAGTGAGCAATGATTTGGAATACCAGAAATTCAACTTATATATTTACAGGTAAAATTCTAATTGTAAATTCAGGATTCATAGATTCTAGGGATTTCTGAGGTATCCAGAATTCCTTCATCTTTGATGATAAGTAGATAATAATGGTAATAAAAATAACAGCAACAGGCCCAGCACAGTGACCCACACCTGTAATCCCAGCACTTTGGGAGACTGAGGCAGGTGGATCACTTGAGGTCAGGAGTTCAAGACCAGCCTGGCGGACATGGCAAAACCCCATTTCTACTAAAAATGCAAAAATTAGCTGAGCATAGTGGCATGTGCCTGTAATCCCAGCTACTCAGTAGGCTGAGTCATAAGAATCATTTGAATCTGGGAGGTGGAGATTGCGGTGAGCTAAGATCGCGCCACTGCACTCCGGCCTTTATGACAGAACTCGACTCCATCTCAAAAAAACAAAACAAAACAAAACAAAACAAAAACAAAATGCAAAAAAACAGCAACAATAATAGGTAACATTTCTTTAAGGCCTACTATGTACCAGGCACTATTTGAACCTCTTTATATATTAGGTAATACGATACAACTCTATGAGAATGAGTATTTTATTTCCTGACCCTTCTATTTAAAAGTAAAACCCCCCACCCGGCACTGTTTCTCTTTCCTGCTTTATTTTTCTCCATAGAAAAATATCACTCATAAGTGTAACATACTTTATTATCTGTCCTGTGTGGTAGTAGCCCCTGCCCTCAATTATAAACTCCATGAAATCAGGGAGTCAGTTTTGTTCACTGCTGTATTCCCAGTGCCTAGAACAGTGCCTGGAATCATGGTAGGTACCCAGCGAATATTGGTTGAATGAATGAGTCTTGGTTTTACAGATGAGGAAACTATAAATTTCCCAGGTCACACATTTGGTAATAGGACAGTTGTGTACACTGAAATGTTCTCTAAAATATTTGATGGAACGAAAATTAGCTTTTGGACAGCTACATCTCCAAGAGTGTGAAATGACCTTCAGCACTGGATTTGGTGGATTTTCCTTTTTCTAATCCCTAGAGTTCCATTTAATGAGCGTTTGGGTTCTTGAGCTACCTTACAAATTGAACACTTTTTTCTCCAGCTTTCACTCAAGAAACACAAAACATGGCTTGTCCTTTTTTTTTTTTTTTTTTTTTTTGAGACTGGGTCTCACTCTGTCACCCAGGTTGGAGTGCAGTGCACAATCATGGTTCATTGCAACCTCTGCCTCCCAGGCTCAAGCAATCCTCCTAACTCAGCCTCCTGAGTAGCTGGGACTACAGGCTTGTGCCTCCACTCCTGGCTAATTTTTTTGTATTTTTTGTAGAGATGGGGTTTGTCCAGGCTGGCCTTGAAGTGCTGGACTCAAGTGATCCGTCCACCTGGGCCTCCCAAAGTGCTGGGGTTACAGGCGTAAACCACTATAGCTAGCCCTGATTGTCTTTTATTGTGAGATTTTAATAACAGCTAAGACTTGAAAATTAACATTTTATAAATTTTCTTTTAGACTACTTAGTGATATACTAAGTATCTAAGGTTTGTAATACTTAGTATAAACTCAAAAGGGTTCAGTGCCTCATTCTCTTTTACTCTTTCCCTTTAGTAGATAGGTGACAGAGGACTGGGTCATGCAGTTGAGACTTGGTCCAAGATGACTTAGTAAGCTACTTGTCCCAGAACTATTTATTTATTTACTTATTTTTGAGATGGAGTCTCGCTCTGTCGCCCAGGCTGGAGTGCAGTGGTGTGATCTTGGCTCACTGCAACCCCCGTCTCCTGGGTTCAAGCGATTCTTTTGCCTCAGCCTCCCGAGTAGCTGGGATTATAGGTGCCCGCCACCACTCCCGGCTAATTTTTTGTATTTTTAGTAGAGACTTGGTTTCATTGTGTTAGCCAGGATTGTTTCGATCTCCTGACCTCATGATCCACCTGCGTGGACCTCCCAAAATGCTAGGATTACAGGCGTGAGTCACCACCCCCGGACCCTGGAACTATTTATGACGGTGCACTTTATGCACTTAACACACTCACATGTCTTTAAGCTTGGTGACTCGTGTGGCTTTTTCGAAGGAGATTTGATTCTGGAAGTGGTTAAGTAGGATGTGAATGGCTAAGGTCTGGTCATTGGTGAAGCCTAGGGGAAGAAAAGAAAGGAAACACAAGTCTTAGAAGAATTTCAGATCGGCCCCAACGACTAGAAGGGTGGTTCTACTAAGAAAATGTGTGTAGTCAGAAAATGAAGAGTCAGTTGCTTAAAATTTTACTTTTTTTCTTGTTCCTGGCATGTAAAGTCATATCCATACTTTCTGTTATAATTTCTTCTTACAAATTCCATTGATAATCCCTATTCTTGGATAGCAATGAGCAGCATTACTTCTTTTTTATTTTTTTAAAAAAATTAAATTTTTTGTTGAAATGAGGGTCCTGCTGTATTGCCCAGGCTGGTATCAAATTTCTGGGCTCAACTGATCCTCCTGCCTCAGCCTCCCAAAGCGCTGGGATTACAGTTGTGAGCCAGTGTGTCTGGTTGTACCTTTTAATTTTTGTGTTCAGGCAACATTAACTCTGAGTCACAGTAAGCTTTTTTTTTCTTCCTGTCATATTATGGACATAGAAGTTTTTTGGTTTTCTTTAGATTGTTTCTCCTTAGGTTGCAGAACATCAAGAAATGGATTACAGTCATTTTCCTCTCTTCCCCATGCTCTTCCCTTTCTTTTCCTTTTTTCTTTTCTTTTTTTTTTTTTGGAGACAGAATCTTGCTCTTTGGCCGAGGCTGGAGTACAGTGTCATGATCTTGGCTCACTGTAACCTCCCCGCACCAGGTTCAAGTGATTCTGGTGCCCAAGCCTCCCTAGTAGCTGGGATGTCAGGATGCGCCACCACACCCTGCTAATTTTTGTATTTTTTTGTAGAGATGGGGTTTCACCATGTTGTCCAGGCTGACCTCAAACTCCTGGACTCAAATGATCTGCCCTCCTCGGTCTCCCAAAGTGCTGGGATTATAGGCATGAGCCACCACATCTGGCCTCTTTTCCATTTTTAAAAAGGACTGTCTCCAACATATTAAAATTCACAAAAAATAATATAAACACACATGTACTCACTGGCTAGGCTTAATAAAAAACATTTAGTCATGTTTACTTTAAAGCTTTTTATTTTTTTGAGAAATAGGCATTAAAGAGTTGAAGTCTCCTTTCTGTCTTTTCATAATTCTGTTCTTCCCTCTTCCTTCCTTGAGATCTTCACTATTCTTGGGTTAATTTGGATCTTTCTACTCCTTGTTACCACAGAAAAGTAATTCTTAATGAATTTGACCATATTTTAAACTTCTGATTTCAGTGGGCAGGTAACTCATTTTATGGTTTCTGTATTGTGAGCCATTTTCAATGACTCAACTAGATTTTTTTCATCGTTGACTTCTCATTTCTGGGCAACAGCATAATGTTCTCATTTGAGCTATTTCTAAAGATTGTGTTTAACTATTTAAAATATTTGTGGTACTCTGATCATCAGATGTGATTTTTTTTTTTTTTTGAGACGGAGTCTCACTCTTTCACCAGGCTGGAGTGCAGTGGCGCGATCTCGGCTCACTGTAACCTCCTTCTCCCAGGTTCAAGTGATGCTCCTGCCTCAGCCTCCCAAGTAGCTGGGACTATTGGTGCGGGTTACCACACCCGGCTAATTTTTTGTATTTTTAGTAGAGACAGGGTTTCACCATGTTTGCTAGGATGGTCTCGATCTTCTGACCTCGTGATCTGCCTGCCTTGGCCTCCCAAAGTGCTGGGATTACAGGCGTGAGCCACTGCACCTGGCCAGAAGTGATATTAACTATCTTATATGTATATTTCTGTTGCGGGAAGTCAGGGGCCCCAAACGGAGGGACCGGCTGGAGCTGTGGCAGAGGAACGTAAATTGTGATTATTTCATGGACACTTACCAGTTCCCAAATAATATTCTTATAATTTCTTACACCTGTCTTTAATCTCTTAATCCTGTTATCTTCGTAAGCTGAGGATGTACCTCACCTCAGGGCCACTATGATAATTGTGTTAACTGTACAAATTGATTGTAAAACGTGTGTTTGAACAATATGAAATCAGTGCACCTTGAACAGAATAACAGCAATTTTAGGGAACAAGGGAAGACAACCATAAGGTCTGACTGCCTGTGGGGTTGGGCAAAATAGAGCCATATTTTTCTTCTTTGCAGAGAGCCTATAAACGGACATGCAAGTAGGGAAGATATCGCTAAATTCTTTTCCTAGCAAGGAATTTTAATAATACTCTGGAGAAGGAATGCATTCCTTGGAGGAGGTCTATAGGGCATGTCTGTCTTATGCTGTTGACATAAGGACTGAAATACACCCTGGTCTCCTGCAGTACCCTCAGGCTTATTAGGGTGGGGAAAAAACCCCACCCTGGTAAATTTGAGGTCAGATCAGTTTTCTGCTCTCAAACCCTGTTTTCTGTTGTTTAAGATGTTTATCAAGACAATTTGTGCACCGCTGAACATAGACTCTTATCAGTAATTTTGCTTTTGCCTTTTGCCTTGTGATCTTTGTTGGACCCTTATCAGGAGTTTCTGATTTTGCCCTTGTCCTGTTTCCTCAGAAGCATGTGATCTTTGTTCTCCTTTTTGCCCTTTGAGGCATGTGATCTTTGTGACCTACTCACTGTTCTTAGGCCCCCTCCCCTTTTGAAATCCTTAATAAACACTTGCTTATTTTGCAGCTCAGGTGGGCATCACGGTCCTACCGATATATGTGAGGCCCAGCTGTGAAATTCCTCTCTTCGTACTCTTATTTCTTAGCCGGCTGACGCTTATAGAAAATAGAAAGAACCTACATTGAAATATTGGGGGCAGGTTCCCCTGATATATTTCCTTAGTGACATTCCTGCAATCTCCTTTAGAAAGTCTTTCTGTTCACCTTCTATAACCAGGGAAGGAGAGATTGAGAAGAGACGAAGGATGATTTTATGTTTTTCAGTCCCAGTCATTATTTGATGAGAAACTGATATTACAAGCTTTAAAAACTCAAGATATGTATTCAACATGTAGTAGTAGAACAAGTATCTTAGTTTAATAGTCTATAAATTTTTGATGCACTATAATATATTATTGTAGTCAGTAGCATCAAAATTTTAATGTGATATTGCAGTATGTTTATGGTTAGTTTAGACATGAGGACAGTGCTAAAGGAGAAAATCTAATGACTGTGTTGTTTGTTTTGTCAAAATATGCTGCCTAGCTCCAGAGTTTCCTATTTTGGAGAAGCAGAACTGGTTGATTCATCTTCATTATATCCGGAAAGATTATGAAGCCTGCAAGGTAAGAGATTGCCATAATAATAAAAATGAGAGGCAGGATGTTGGGTAGGCAACTAACAGTGCCTGCTAAACAGAGTGTGGCAGTTTATATCTCAGTGATAAAACATGAATTCCTTCTTCCCCATACTTCATACACTGGTTATCTTTTGCTATGGTAGTGATGTTTAACATACAACCTCAATATTTCAGTGGCCCCCAACAAACAAATATTAATTGCTCATGGGCTTTCAGATCAGCTGTGGGTTGGCTGGGTTTGACTGCAGGCTGTGGGTCAGGTTTAGGTGTGTTCCATGTGTCTTCTCATGTCAAGAGCAAACAACTCTCTTGGACATGTTGGTCTTCTGGTGGAGGCAGATGTTCAACTCAGCATATTAACTTTTTTATCTTTGGATAGATGAAAAATGGTATTTTGTCGAGTTTTTTTTTTTTTTTTTTTTTTTTTGAGATGGAGTCTCACTGTCACCTAGGCTGGAGTGCAGTGGCATGATCTTGGCTCATTGCAGCCTTTGTCTCCCAGGTTCAAGCAATTCTTCTGCCTCAGCCTCCCCAGTAGATGGGACTACAGATGAGTGTCACCATGCCCAGCTAATTTTTTGTATTTTTAGTAGAGATGGGGTTTCACCATATTGGCCAGGCTGGTCTCGAACTCCTGACCTTGTGATCTGCCCGCCTTGGCCTCCCAAAGTGCTGGGATTACAGGCGTGAGCCACCGTGCCCAGCCCTGAGTTTTATTTTTTAATTTCTCTCTTACTGCAAGGTTGATCATCATGTGTATATTTAAAAACCATTTGTATTTCCCTTTCTCTGTATCTTTGGTGACATACCATATGTGTTACAAACTTGCAGGCAGACAGTGGTAGTACTAACATGCAGAATGTATCCTTGGTGTCATCTTTTTTGGTATCCAGAGCTTTGTGACCCATCTAAGGTTTTTAATTTATACCCATGGCATTTATACCTATGGCAATGCACAGAACTAATTCATACTGGTATGACAAAGATTCATACCAGTTTTTTTTTTTCTTTTTTTAAGTGGAGTTTTGCTCTTATTGCCCAGGCTAGAGTGCAGTGGCGCAATCTCGGCTCACTGCAACCCCCGCTTTCCAGTTTCAAGCAATTCTCCTGCCTCAGCCTCCCAAGTCGCTGGGATTACAGGTGCCCGCCACCATGCCCAGCTAATTTTTTTTTTTTTTTTTGTATTTCTAGTAGAGGTGGAGTTTCACCATGTTGGTCAGGCTGGTCTCAAACTGCTGACCTCGTAATCCACCTGCCTCAGCCTCCCAAAGTGCTGGGATTACAGGCGTGAGCCACCGCACCCGGCCCATACCAGTTTTTTTTGACACCGCTGATCCGAAGGCAGATACCAGTATGAATCTTTTTTTTTTTGAGATGGAGTTTTGCTCTTGTCGCCAAGGGTGGAGTGCAATGGCGTGACCTCGGCTCACCACAACCTCCGCCTCCTGGGTTCAAGCGATTGTCCTGCCTCAGCCTCCTGAGTAGCTGGGATTACAGGCATGTGCCACCACGCCTGGCTAATTTTTTGTGTTTTTAGTAGAGATGGGGTTTTTCCATGTTGGTCAGGCTGGTCTCAAACTCCCGACCTCAGGTGATCTGCCCGCTTCGGCCACCCAAAGTGCTGGGATTACATGCGTGAGCCACCGCGCCTGGCCACCAGTATGAATCTTGAAAGGTTCTCTTTCTTTTTCATCTGTGATAATACTTGGAAATCTTATCACACTTTTCTTAGCTTGCCTAGTTAGATTTTAGACAGGGGTTGGCAAACTTTTTCTGTAATGGGCCAACAATATTTTAGGGTTTGTAGGCCACATACAGTCTCTACATCATATTTGTTATCTTATTTTTTATAACCCTTTAGAAATAAAAAAACCACTGTTAGCTTGAGAGCTGTACAAAAATATACAGGGCCTGTAAGCCCTGTAGTTTGCAAATCCCTGTTCTAGAAGAAGTAATCACAACAAGGGAGTTGAAATTTTAAGAAACTGAATGAACTAATACTTTACTAGGCATTATTAATACTCTAGGTTTTTTTACATATGATTCTTGTCCACGTCTGCTTTTTCATTACTATTTGTTTTCTTTTTTTTTTCAGACAGAGTCTCACTCTGTTGCCCAGGCTGGAGTGCAGTGGCGCTATCTTGGCTCACTGCAACCTCCGCCTCCTGGGTTCAAGCGATTCTCCTTCCTCAGCCTCCTGAGTAGCTGGGATTACAGACACGCACCACTACTGCCCGGCTAATTTTTGTATTTTTAGTAGAGATGGGGTTTCACCATATTGGTTAGGCTGATCTTGAACTCCTGACCTCATAATCTGCCTGCCTTGGTCTCCCAAAGTTTTGGGATTACAAGCATGAGCCACCGCACCTGGCCTGTCCATGTCCACTTTTTCTTAAAGACACCTGAAGAAACTTAACCACTGCTCAGAAGCATTTTTCTCCCTCTTTCAGGCTGTTATCAAAGAACAGCTTCAAGAGACTCAGGGATTGTGTGAATATGCTATCTATGTCCAAGGTAAGACACATACTTCTTGTCTTCTTGCTAGAGAAATACACTTTTCCTAGGTTCTTGAAAAAGATCAGGCAATTGAAGAAACAAGTTCAAGTACAGTCATGCACCACTTAACAATGGAGATATGTTCTAAGAAATGTGTTGTTAGGCAATTTTGTCATTGTGTGAACATTACATGGAGTGTACTTACACAAACATAGATGGATGATATAGTGTACTATACACATGATATAGTCTGTTGCTCCCAGGCTACAAACCTGTATGAGCAGGTGTTATACCGAATACTGTAGGCAGTTGTAAAACAGTGGTAAGTGTATCTAAACATAGAAAAGGTACTGTAAAAATATGGTATAAAAGATAAAAAATAGTATACCTGTATAGAGTACTTACCATGGATGGACTGGAAGTTGCTCTGGGTGAGTTAGTGGTGAGTGAATGTGAAGGTCTAGGACATTATTGTATACTAATGTAGACTTTATGTTGTATACTAATGTAGACTTTATAAACACTGTACACTTAGCCTACACTAAATTTATTTAAAAATATTTTTTCTACAATGATAAATTAACTTTAGCTTACTATAACTTTTTACTTTATAAACTTTAAAACTTTTTGGCTCTTTTGGGGTAATACTTAAAACACACAACAACATTGTACATTTGTACAAAAATAGTTTCTTTAGGTCCTTATTCTATAAGCTTTTTTCTTTTTCTTTCTTTTTTTTTTTTGGTAGAGAGACAGAGTCTCACTTTGTTGCCCAGGCTGGTCTTGAACTCCTGGGCTCAAGCAGTTCTCCTGCCTCAGCCTCTCAAAGTGCTGGGATTATAGGCATGAGCTACGACACCTGGCCCTTTATGCTATTCTTAAAACTTTTTATTTTTTTACTTTTAAACTTTTTTGTTAAAAACTACGATACACACACTACTACAGTGGTGGTACTAACATGTGGAATGTGTCCTTGCTGTCTTTTTTGGCATTCAGAGCTTTGTGACCCATCTAAGGTCTTTGTGACACACACACACACACACACACACACACACACACACGCACACGCACGCACGCACTGGTCTAGGCCTACACTGAGTCAAGATTATAAATATCACTGTCTTCCACCTCCTTATGGAAGGTCTTCAGTGGCAATAACATACATGGAGCTGTCATCTCCTATAACAATAGGAATACCTTCTGGAATACCTCCTGAAGGATCTGCCTGAGGCAGTTATTCTTTTTTTTAGTAAGTGGAAGGAGTACACTCTAAAATAAAGATTAAAATGTATAGCGTAGTAAATACATAAACCAGTAATGTAGTCATTTATTATCAAGTATTAAGTTCTATATATATGTAATTGTATATGCTGTACTTCTATGTGACTGGCAGCACAGTAGGTTTGTTTATACCAGCATCACTACAGATAGGTAAGTAATGCATTGCACTGTTTTGATTGCTATGACGTCACTGGGCAATAGGAATTTTTCCTCTTCATTATAATCTTAAGTGATCATCATCATTTATACAGCTGTCGACCAAAATGTCATTACAGGTGCATGAGTTTAAATGTTCCAGAAAGGTTTTATTCAGTATTAATCTTTTTATGGAATCTGAATATAATTACTGTGTTGGATTTGACTTCAGAAATGACTAGTAATGTTAAAAAATTGCTATGATTACCCATTTTTTAGTTTCTGGCTAGTGTTTTTTGGAATGGATGCTTAGGATTCCTGCCTAATGCAGTGATTTCAGGGCCAAAAGATGCTTTTGGAAGGATTGCTTGTAATCAAGCTAAAAGAGATGAAGAAGAGCTTGAGGATTTCTGTAAGGTGAATCAGGATGAGGGGAAGAAGCCTGGAAATAAACAAGATAAAGCAGAGCATAAATTCAGCTCATTAGAAACCAAAGATAAGGACCACTCACTTACTTTTTTTTTTTTTTTTTTTTTTTGAGACAGAGTCTTGCTCTGTTGCCCAGGCTGGAGTGCAGTGGTGCGATCCCAGCTCACTGCAACCTCTGCCTTCCAGGTTCAAGCGATCCTCCTGCCTCAGCCCCCCTATTAGCTGGGATTACAGGCACATGCCACCATGTCCAGCTAGTTTTTGTATTTTTAGTAGAGACAAGGTTTTGCCATATTGGCCAGGCTGGTCTCGAACTCCTGACCTCAGGTGATCCACCTGCCTTGGCCTACCAAAGTGCTGGGATTACAGGCATGAACCACTGCACCTGGCCCACTGACTTAAATTTTCCTCTTTAGTGGCATAAGTAGCATTCTTAGTTTTTCCAGGAACTTTCTTTTTGACTCTTGGGTGTAAATAAATGGTTTTGTTTACCATTCATTGCATTTGTAGTCTTCAGATTAACATATAATTTTCTGACATAATTGTTAAGATATTGACAAATTTAGGACATCATGGCAAAAAATGCTCTTATTCCCAGTGTCACAAGTATCAGACTTTCAGTGCCTGATAAATTCTTCTGGAAACATAGGCCTAGGAAAAACCTCTGGTTCTAATTGGTTGTTACACTGACAACTGAAGTCTTAAATGTTACTTTATCCTTTGCCAGAATCTCCATGTTGAATTTGAGGTATTGATTCCATTTGCCCCATTTGGGGGTTCGCTCTGAAAACTATCAGTTGGAAGTAAATTATGATAAATGAAGCATCTGATGGGGAAGCCCCAAAATGTTGTTAATGTGAAGAGTTTGTGTGATAATTTGCAAAGGAACTGATTATCTATGTGATGGATCCTGGGAGTAGAGAGAGAAGTAGGTAGGTTTGAGCTACCTTGCTAAAAGACAGTTGAGCTTGTCAGCAGTTTTGGTTGTTGTTTCAGCCTGTCCAAAGCCATATCTGATTGTTTTAAGGATACAGTTGTCCAAAGGATTTACTTGATGTGGTTTCCCAGTTTTCTCTTCTCCAATTTTTCTGACCCCAGGCTCCATTCTTCCCAGAACATGGTTTTACTTTTTTTTGTATTTTCTGTTTCTTGGCAGCATTGATATTTCGCCTAGAAGGAAATATCCAAGAATCCCTAGAACTCTTCCAGACATGTGCAGTTCTTAGTCCTCAGAGTGCTGATAACCTCAAGCAGGTGGCCAGATCTTTGTGAGTATTGGCAACCTGGAGGCCCTAGGGCACTCACAGAGAACAGTGTAAAATGCATTCCTAGGTCCAGCCTGCTGCTGGCAGCTGCATCAGCCTGATACACAAGTGGGGGAATGGTTTAATAGGTACAGTGGGATTCACTCTGAAGAGCATGGATTAAGTTTGAAATTTGAGAAAATGAGATAACTAGTGTTAAGGAACTAAGCATTTTAAACACTGTGCATTCTAGTTTGATGGGGGACCAATATTGTTTATCATGTAAATAGAGACACCTTGTACCCTAAGTCTTCTAAACTTATTGGCAATCCTTGGAATTTTTCTCATCTACTCTTCTAACACTTAGTATTTGTCACACAGTAAGTTTTTAGTAAGGACAGAGAGTTCCTGACTTCTGATGGTTCAACTTACATAATTTTTCAACTTTACAATGATGTAAAATTGTTATGTATTCAGTAGAAACTGTACTTCAAGTATCCATACAGCCATTCCGTTTTTCATTTTCAGTATAGTATTCAGTAAATTACATGAGATATTCAGCATTTTATTATAAAGTTGGCATTGTGTTAGATGGTTTTGCCTAACTGTCAGCAAATGTAGTTAAGAAAGTGGAGATAGGAACTCCATGGAACAGAGTAAGTGTTCTGAGCATGCTTAAGATAGGCTAGGCTATCTATGATGTCTGGTAGAGTAGATGTATTACATGCATTTTTGAATTACAGTGTTTTCAATTTACAATGGGTTTACTGGGATGTAACCCCATCATAAGTTGAGGAGCATCTCTATTTGTTGAGTGAATGTCCTAAAGATTCCTAGATGGAAAGAATCTCAAGTGTTTATAAACTACTAGGTACTCCCTTTTCAGTCCTTTGTTCCATGGAGTTCCTATCTCCCCTTTCTTAGCCACATTGCCATTCATACCTGTGTTGTTTTTGCATAGAGCTTGGTTTTCCCTGTTTCTCTCTAAACTCAGGATCCAATATCAAGGAAAGAGACTTAGTCTTGGAAGGAAAGGATGTGTCCCTAATGGGTGATGATAAATGATGGTAGTTACTGCTTAACATGGTATATCATTAGGCTTATTTCTTTTTTGGTCTGCATTTATAGTACATTGTAGAAGAAAAATTCCACAAGACTCTCACTAAAATTGGTATAGAATGAGACCAAGGCCTTGGAACAGCTGCCAGTGCAATCCCTACTAAGAGAGCTTCTGCTGTTAGTGTATAGCAGCTTCACTGACCAAACCAGCACAACCACCTCATAGAGAAAAGGCTTCTAGAATTCTCTGCTGGATGAAATATGATTAAAATGTGGGACTAGTAGGGTTAGTCTTCTAAGAATTTTGAGGTAATAATTATGGAAAATATATCTTTTACAGATTTCTTTTGGGAAAACATAAAGCTGCCATTGAAGTATATAATGAAGCAGCTAAACTCAACCAGAAAGATTGGGTAAGTAGAGAACTTTCAGTTCTTTCTTATTAGTAAACTTGCTAATGGTTCCATTTATCATCTGGCTGTCTTATTTCTGAATTCTTACATTCCAAAAATGTCTTGATTTTAACCTCATACTTAATTCATGATTTGTATAAGTATAGGATCAAAAACCATGTTTCCTCATAACTTTGCAGGCATTGCTGCATGATTTTCTAGCAGTTTGCTGACGAGCAGTCTCTTACCAGTCTGATTCTTGTTGATGACCCCTAGAAGCTTTGGGTATTTTTTTCGTCATTGGAATTCCACAGTATCAGCAATAGGCATCTAGTTGTGTTTCATGTCTTTTTCCCGTCCCCATCTGTGTGACATTCAATTGACTCTTTCATTCTGAAGACCCTTGCCTTTCTTTGGGTCAGGGCCTTTGAGTAGTTCTTTATTTTTCCCCTCCCCTTCTCTTTGTGTCAATTGAGGATTGTGTGTAAATGCAACAGAAAATTTGACTAAACATTGGCTTTACAAATTCGTTTTTGTTTTTTTTTTTAATTCTCATGAAACAAGATGTCCAGGTAAGTAGTTGCTGGCATTGATTTGGTGGTCCTAGGATGTCAAGACTGAGAGTTTTTCCTCATGGTTACAAGAAGACTGCTGCATCCAGCATCATATCTGCATTCTAGGGAGGCAGAAAGAGAAAGCAACAAGGAGAAAAGGACAGAGCCTATACTGGGAAAGCACAACTTTCCCAGAAGTCCCCCACAGACTTCCACTTATGTCATATCAGCTCCCCTTCTATAAGGAAGGCTGGTTAAATGTCGTTTTTAATCTGGTCACACTGCCACTCTAAACAAAATTAGGGTTCTTTTAGTAAGGAAAAAGAGAAGAGTAGGTAGCAGGTAGGCAAGTAGATAACTAGCAGCATCTGCCACACTGTTTTCCATTCTCTATGAGAGATGTTCTCTAACTATTCTCTACAACTCTTAACTTGCCTCTCATTTTCTACCTCTGTGTCCTTTTCTTTGTGTGTGGTGCGGGGGGGTACAGAGGCTCACTCTGTTGCCCAGGCTGGAGTGCAGTGGCGTGATCTCGGCTCACTGCAACCTCTTTCTTCCAGGTTCAAGTGATTCTCCTGTCTCAGCCTCCTGAGTAGCTGGGATTACAGGCGCCTGCCACCATGCCCGGCTAATTTTTGTATTTTTGGTAGAGACGGGGTTTCACCATGTTGGCTAGGCTGGTCTCCAACTCCTGACCTCAGGTGATTCACCTGCCTTGTCCTCCCAAAGTGTTGGGATTATAGGTGTGAGACACCACGCCTGACCCTCCTTGTCATTTTATTATATGTTCAGGACATGTATTCAGTCTTATCTTCCATATCATCATTTTTGTTTTTAGCTATTTGTATTCTGTTATATACCCTATCCATCCAATATTTTTTATTTCATTTCCTTTTATTGTATTTTTAATTTCCAAAAATCTTGTCTTTTCTTCAATGTCTCTGATTCTTGAAGTTCTTTTCTGCTTCTCAGAATTATCTTTTTCTTCCTCTCTGCATTTTGGTTCTTCTATTTTATGCTGTTGGTATTTTTCAAGTATTTGGTGATTCTCAGAGAGACATTCATATCTGTGAGTGAAGAACTAGATTTATTAGTACAGAGAATTAGCATGGATTTCCTTTGCAGTTCTTACGGGGCACTATTATTTTTGAAGTGTGTTCAATTTGTTAGTCGCTTTTCTTCTGTACATCGGAAGATTGAGTTGAGTCTTTATGCCATGGAGTATGTTATAGCTAACAGCCAGAGTGAAACTACAGATGAAGAAAAATTCATGTACTTTTCATTCAGTCGGTTTTTCAAAAAATGAGTATGTCTGCTATATGCCAAGCACTGATCTATGCCCTGGAGATGCAAAGATGGACTGTTGGATTATAAGATACTCAACTAGAATAGGAAATGAAGGAAGAAGAGCAAGGTTTGGAAGAAGGTGATGGTAAGAAATCAGAGTTAAATCCTGTCTTTCAGAGGATTTTGGATATGATAAGTTTTAGGTTCTGAGGGGATATCTAAATTGAGATGTGTCCAGTAGGATTGGATATAGAAATCTGAAACTCAAGTGTTTTGGAGTAGAGATGTGAATTCTGGAGTCAGCAACATAAAGGTGGTAATTGAAACCATTAGATTGGTTGACATTACCCTGCAATGAGCTGAGGATGGGACCCTGGAAAAAAAGAGTTTTTTACTTTTTTTTTGTCTGTTTGAGACGGCACAGGAAAAGTTACTGCTTTAATGCAGGGAGGAAGCCCTGCATTCTCTATGGGGGCCAGGATCATGGGGGTGGCCAGTGCCACAAATGGTCACCATACAGGCCAGGGAGGAGCCAGGGCCCACCAATAATCCCTGGAACATCCCTGGATGCTAGCAGTTTTTTACTTTCTAAATTTTTTTTTTTTTTTTTAAGAGACAAGGTTGCCTAGGCTGGAGTATAGTGGGGTGATCATAGCTTACTGTAACCTCCAACTCCTGGGCTCAAGTGATCCTCCTGCCTCTGCCTCCTGAGTAGCTGGGGCTACAGGTGCAAGCCACCATGCCTGGCTAAATTTATTTTGTGGAAATGAGGTCTCATGTTACCCAGGCTGGTCTCAAGCTCCTGTCCTCAAGTGATCCTCCTGCTTTAGCTTCCCAGAGTGCTGGGATTACAGGTGTGAGCCATCAAAAAGCAATTTTGAAGGACTGAGCAGAAGAAGAGAACCCATAGAGGGAGATAGGGAAGAGGTAAAGCAGGAGAGCTCAGGGTCACAGGGGGAATGGAACGTATTTCTTAATCTATCCAGTTGGTTGAAAGAGCTCATTTGGTATTACTGACTCACTTGGGATAACCATCCCATTGTTACTAGTAGATGTGATCATTCACAAAACAGCCATTCTTTTTTTTTTTTTTTGTTGAGACAGAGTCTCATTCTGTCACCTAGGCTAGAGTGCAGTGGCTCAATCTTGGCTCACTGCAACCTCTGCCTCCTGGGTTCAAGCGATTCTCCTCCCCCAGCCTCCTGAGTAGCTGGGATTTACAGGCACCCGCCACCATGCCCAGCTAATTTTTGTATTTTTAGTAGAGATGAGGTTTCACCATGTTGGTCAGGCTGGTCTCGAGCTCCTGACGTTGTGATCCGCCCACCTTGGCCTCCCAAAGTGCTGAGACTACAGGTGTGAGCCACCACCTTTTTTTTTTTTAACTTTAAAATTTTTCTTTAAAATTTTCCCCTTCATGGCATTTTTATTTTCTTTTTAGAATATTTTAATGATTTTGAATTTTACTTTTATTAATAGCCCTTACCTACCCTACATATTTCATAAGTACCTGTAGAAAACCTTATAGTAGCTGGAGCATGGTGGCTCATACCTGTAATACCAGCACTTTAAAAGGATGCTGAGTGGGGAGGATCACTTGAGCCCAGGAGTCTGAGACCAGCCTGGGCAACATAGAGACCCAGTTTCTAGGAAAAAAAAATAAAAATTAGTGGTCGTGTGCACCTGTAGTCCTAGCTATTCTAGAGGCTGAGGTAGGAGGATCACGTTAGCCCAGGAGGTTGAGGCTGCAGTGATGCGGTGAACTGTGATTGTGTCACTGCACTTCAGCATGGAAAGCAGAGCAAGACCCTGTCTCAAAAAAAAAAAAAAAAAAGAAACAACCTTGTAGCCCTACTTTCTTGGACTCATCAGGGTATTCCACAGTCTTGCTGCAACAGGGGAATAGTAATTCCTCCTGCCATTATCTTAGTTGACTTTTGGAACAGTTCTGTTAAGTAGGGAGAATTTCCCCCATTGACAAGTGAGGAAGCTAAGGCTTTGGAAGATGGAAGTTGCTACAGTGAGGTAGTTGCTGAGCCAGAACTGGAATTCAGACCTGTGATCTAGGATGATCTAAGATTCCTCGTCTTAAGACTGTGATCTTTTCCACTGTACCAACTGCCTTTGCAGGATGTCTGCTGGGTTCCCTTACCTCCTGAAAGATAGGATTTGACTCTGATTTGTTCTGTTGCCCTTTCCAAATTTCTTTTGCAGTTAGTTTGTTAAAGGTATATTGCTGCCTTCTCAACTATCTATGTCAAAGATTTTAAAAGGTCAGAGGTTAGCCTTCAGGACATCTATTTACTTACCTACCTTAACAATTCCTACTGTAGAGCAGGACATTTAAAGGACAAGAAAGGCTTTATTTCTGCCTTGTCTCTCTCCATGCATGCATTCTTATAGCATGACAAAGTTGGCAGTATACAAGTTTTGGAAGCAGGCCTGAGTTCAAATCCCAATGTTCTATAATATGGACATGATTTGTGATTGAATAAAAAAAATTTTTAAATGTGCGGCATTTGTGAGATAATTGGAAATTTTAACGTAATTGAATATCTAATATCAAGCAGTCACTACTTTTTTTCGAGTGTGACGATGTGGGTAGTTTAAGAAAAAGGCCTTATCTTTTAGAAATAAATACGGAAACATTTGTGGATAAAACGTTGGGCTGTTATTTGCTTACAAAAGTTGTGGGAGTAGATGGGGTGTGGATTGGATGGTTGTTGGGACAGGATGATTAGTACCTAATTCTGTCTGCACTTACGTATGATTGAAATTCTCCCTAGGATGTAGAACTAAAAAAGAAAAAAAAAATCCCAATACTCTCTGTCTTAAGTTAGGTAATCTACTCAACCTCTCTGAGCTTCAATTTCCTTATCTGTAAAATTGGAAAGATTATAACTATGTTGCAGGTTTGCTGAAAATTAAAGTAACATATATGAAAACATCTGGCATAAAGCCTGATGTTAGTAGGTGCTCAACCAATGGTTGCTGTTTTGTTGTTTTTACTATTTTTGGAGACTTGGAAAACATTAAATCAGTTGTTATCTCTGAGCCTGGGGGTCCATGTTTCCTCAGACAGGGACACATCTCCACTACTAATAGGGTAGTTCTTACTATGTTTCCCAAGAGCATTTTCCTTACCCTTGCTTTCTCCTTTTCCAAAGCTACCTTAAATAAAGGGAGGTTTATTATAAAGGAATTTGAGAGTCCATAAAACAGTATCAAGAGATGCAGGTTGGTCTTTTAGTGAAGCAGAACTGGAACGCTTCAGCATCCAAGGTAGCTACTCTGCCTTTTCTGCTTCATCTTTTCTTTCTGTAGATCAAAGGTTGGCAAACTTTTTTTGTAAAGGGCCAGTTAATAAATATTTTAATTTGTATAGCTTCATACAGACTCTGTTGCAACGACTTAACTCTGCAGTTCTAATGCAAAAGAGCCATACAAAAACAATAGTTGTGTCTGTGTTCCAATGAATCTGTACTTATAAAAAAGGGCAGGGAATGGATTTGGCCCATGGACCATAGTTTTCCCATGTCAGCTCTAGACTTCTGCAGATGGCTCCAATTACATGTATTCCATCACAGCAGACTCCAGGTGGCGCTGTCAGTCCTCAAGTTCACATCACCTAGTAAATTTAGTACTTGTAACTAACTAGCTCTCTTCCAATTCCAGATTCCTAGGGAAAGGACTTCAGTTGTGTCAGGTGTCACTATCCAACTGTGTTGCCTTAAGGGCGGAAATGTGTGGCTAGCAGCCCTCTCAGCAGGGGCTGTGGGTAGTCTCTCCTGAGAAGAAGGAGCAAAGGGTATGGGTGATGGGCAACTCTTAAAGAAAAAAGGTATGGGGATGGGCTGGGTATGTGCCCCAGGGTTCCCCATAGATCCAGGAAGATCACCTGTTTATTCTGCTTTTATTTCTTATAATCTGTATTTTTTTATGTTGAGGAACTTATTTTTAACAATTAATTTGAGTATGAACTCTAATAAAAAGCTGACTGTAATGCATAGTTTAAAGTTTAAACCTTGCCGAGCAATAACAATCTCTAGATGTCTGTTGTTTCACTCTAATACTTACTGTGGAATTACACCTGAGTTGTTTTCCTTCTTTTTTATGAGCCTAGGAGATCAGCCATAACCTAGGAGTTTGCTACATATACCTGAAGCAGTTCAACAAGGTAATTTATAGAAGTGGTGATAGATTTCACTGAGGGTGCACTTGTTGCAGAAGTTGTTACATTGCTCATTTGGTATTATCCCTAGTGCTTGCAGAGGTTTTTGGAACTGAAAATTGAAAGTACCTTTATACATTTTTTTCTGTTTTAATTCTCACTTGTCATTATTCATCTGTTGTTTTCTGCTTGTAATAAGAACATGGAAAGTTCTAGAAATATGAGGGAATGGCAGTTTTTCTCCTTTCTTCTTTTTCTCTACCTCCAGTTAAATTTCCCAGTTTAGAAACAGATGCTTAATAAAACATACATATCAAAAAGTGGACCCTTAAGTCTTAAAGGTGTGATCATGACCATGTGAGCTATCTCCATGCCCTGACGGCAACTTAGTTTTTAGGGTCATTGAAAATAAATTTTAAATTTTAAGTGGATCTGATTTCTGAGTTTTCAGTTTTAATTTTATAGTTATTTTCCATGATGAGAAATTATATTTCACTGTGATTAAGCTATAGACTCCTATATCAGAGAAGACAAGTTGAGCTTACCTCAAATTTGGTACTCAGGTAAGAAAAAGTATATATCATAATTGAGGAGTAGACAAAATTACTGAGAGCTCTAAAACTTAGTGATGAGAGCGTTGGGTAGTTTCCTTCATAGAGCTCACAGTTAGTGATTGTGAAGTTTTATTCTCCTTTCTCCGATGCCACCAGGACTGAGAATCTGAATTGGTTAGTACCCATTTGACAATGTTTAGTTTGTGTCAATTTGCAGACTGGTGTAACTAGTATCCCACACTGGTGTGAAAAAAAATATGCACATTAGCAGTTGGGGTGTAAAAGTAACTTTTCTCCTGAGATAACAATATATATACATAAAATACATTTAGTGGGCCCCTTAGGTTTTGTAGATGGATCTATAGTTTTATATACTTGGTTAGGAGATTTTTCTCTTCAGAGACAATTTCAAACAGGCACATTTCTATTCACAGGATTATTCTGAGTCAGGGGAAAAGAAGGATTTGTCTTTGGTTGGATCTGTGCTGAGAAGAAATATATTTAGATTTTACTGTACAGCTAACAGGCTAGGCAAATACAATACCTGGCATTTATATAAATGCTTGTTGAATCTGTGAATGACTAAACAAAGCCCTTTTGTTTACTAGGAGAAGGTAAGCTCCTCCAGAGCAAGGAGTTGGTTTTATAAACTCAAATATATTTAGCATCTAGAACAGCAAGCAGTTGGGTGAATAAATGAGAACAATCTATTTATTCATTTATCATCACATTGATGGGGAAACCTGGCCCACCATAGGGAAGGTTGTGCACTTGGTCAGTGTTACAGCTGGGATTTAGTTTAGTGTAGTACTCTACACTGTACTATGATGGCCCTTTTGACTTATGAAGTATGAGTCATAGGTGTGAATATCAGGCAGAAAACATTCAGAAAGATTAATCGTCTTGTATAAATTCTTCCAAGTGGCTCCAGAAGCAGATATCCCATGTTGCCAGCTGTCTTTTCAACAAGGACAGTTTTGGTATGTTTTGGTCTTTGGGTAGTGGGGGCTGTTTGCTGAAATGTGATGTTCCTATGTCAATACAGCAGAAAGTGTCTTTACATTAGCCATATAAAGGTATAGTTCGTTCAGTGGTAGTGATTTGGTTTTCTTTATTTTGTTAAACTTGTCAGGCACAAGACCAGTTGCACAATGCCCTGAATCTTAATAGGCACGATCTGACTTATATAATGCTGGGGAAGATCCACTTGCTGGAGGGAGACTTGGACAAGGCCATTGAAGTCTACAAGAAAGCAGTGGAGTAAGTGTATCTGTTTCCTTTAAAACAGTGAGAAACTAAAAAAATTGAGTGGATATGTGAACTCCCAAGCCTAAAAGAGTGAATATGTTTGATTAATTACTTACTGTATGAGTTAAAGGTTAAGCTGAAGTTTAAGAGCTCCCAGTAGCTTCAATAAGGTAGACTGTGTTTCTTTCTTACCTATAAGGATGACTGCTGCTTTAGGTTAGCTGGGCAGCTCTATTCTACAAGGTCAGCCAGGGATCCAGGTTTCTTCCTTATTAACTCACCATTCCTTAGGCTGTTGTCTTTACCTGCATGGTTGATGCTGAATGTAACATCCACATCCAGGCTGTGGTGGAAGGAGATGGTTTGGGAAGCTAAGCATGGAATAAGCATCTGGCTATATATATATATATATATAGAGAGAGAGAGAGAGAGAGAGAGAGACATGATCTTACTCCATCACTCAGGCTGGAGTGCAGTGGAGAACACAGCTCACTGCAGCCTCAACCTCTTGGGCTAAAGCAATCTTCCTACCTCAGCCTCCCAAGTAGTTGGGACTACAGGCATGTGCCACCATGCCCAGCTAATTTAAAAAAAAAAACTGTTTTTGTGTTGACAGGGTCTTGCTGTGTTGCCCAGGCTGGTCTTAAACTTCTGGGCTCAAGCGATCCTCCTGCCTCAGCCTTCCAAAGTGCTGGAATTACAGGTGTGAGCCACTGCACCTGGCCTTGGTAATAAGTTTTAAATGACCCAGAAATTGCACACATCGTTCCTGCTTACATTCCATGGTTCAAAACTACATGATAGTTACAAGGGAAGTGGGCAGACATGCACTCAAGAAGAAGGAAATAACAGATTTAAGAGTTGGCCGACAGTCTGCCATTTTGGTATCATATGTTAATAACAGATCTTCTGTTTTCAGAGATATTATTAGGGACAGAAATCTCCTGATTCAGTAAAAAACAAAACAAAACAAAACAAAACATTTGGCCTTATTAGCATGAGACCAGTATCTTTTTTCCCCCTTCCCCATTTTCCCTTCCCCTTCCCCGTTTTCCCCTTCCCTTTCCCCGTTTTCCCTTCCCCCTTTTCTCTTCCCCCTTTCCCTTTCCCCCTTCCCCCTTCCCCCTTCCTCTTCCCCTTCCTCCTTCCCTCTTCCCCCATCCCCCTTCCCCCATCCCCCTTTCCCCATCCCCCTTTCCCCATCCCCCTTTCCCCATCCCCCTTTCCCCATCCCCCTTTCCCCATCCCCCTTTCCCCATCCCCCTTTCCCCATCCCCCTTCCCCCTTTCCCCTTCCCCCTTTCCCCTTCCTCCTTTCCCTTCCCCCTTTCCCCTTTTCCCATCTCCCTTCCCCTTTCCCCTCCCTCTCTCCCTTCCTTCCTTTTTCTCTCTTTTCTTTCCATCCTTTCCCTCCCTCCCATTCCCATCTTTCTTTGTTTCTTTCTTTTCTTCCTTTCTTCCTTCCTTTCTTTCCTTCCTTTCATTTATTTCAACAGTCTCGCTCTGTCGCCCAGGGGTGAGTGCAGTGGCGCGATCTCGCCTCACTGCAACCTCTGCCTCCTGGGTTCAAGCGATTCTCATGCCTCAGCCTCCTGAGTAGCTGGGACTGCACGAGCACGCCACCACCCCTGGCTAATGTTTGTATTTTTAGCAGAGACAGGGTTTCACCATGTTGGTCAGGCTGGTCTCGAATTCCTGGCCTCAAGTGATCTGCTTGCCTTGGTCTCCCATAGTGCTGGGATTGCAGGCGTGAACCACTGCGCCCAGCCTTGTGTTGTTACTTTTAAATGGGATAGCTGTAGCAAAATGCCTTGTCTCATTTGTTTGGTCCCTTAATAGAATGTCTGGTCTGTGGTTCAAGGCTTATTATTCCTAATAATTAGATTCTGAACTAAACTTAGATTTCTATTAATTTGTTAATCATCTTTGTCTTCTACCATGGTAGTAAATTTTCTGGTTATATCAGTCACAGCACTGCTTTCTGAATTTTCTTCAACCATATTTTGTGTCTAAAACAGAAAAATCCCTTGGTTTGTTAAGCTACAGAACAGACTTTTGTCATCAAGAGGCTGTATATTTGGGCAAGTAGTAAGGAGCCATGTAACATGTTCAGTGCCTCTGTGGTGCTAGGTAGTAGCCCTGATCCCTGACCCCTGCCTTCTAGAGGTTAGCTCTTTGAGAATAGCATACATAAATCCCAAGGGGAACATTCTTCCAGTAACTGATCAAGGACTTTGGTCACTAAATTTCCTAAGGGAGAAATGTGGACAGCTAAAATCTGAAGCCTTACTGAGAAGATAGAGACCATTGTTCATGACCTACAGCTTTGAAGAGAGTAGTCATGTTGTAGTGGGGAAGCCAATATTGCTAGAATTACAGAAGTTACCTGGCTTTGGGGAGGGAAGTGATCAAAGTGGATGTTTATTATGGCAGAAAGTGAAAGGCGGATTCCCAGTTGAATTGAGAAAGCTCTGTTTGGTCAGCTCAGGCCTCCCCTGGCTGGGGCTTTGCATCTTCTGGTTCAGGTCTTCCTATAGGTAACCAGTGCCCTATATCATTCCTTAGAAGCAGAAGACATTGTTCATAGCCCTTTGGTGTTTTACTGTTGAAACTGTCTGATGATCCTATGGTCAGATCATCTCAACTCAGTGTTGCCTTGGTTTTGTGACAAAGACAAATACTAGTGAGGGATTGAGCAGGCAATCCCTGATGTGAGTATTTTACTTACATCAGTGTTTACTCCCAAAGGTCAGTAGCACCTTCTTTCCTAGGATTGGTATGTATCTTCCTTCTTTTGTTTAGTTTGGCTACTTGGTATAGCTCTTTGTTTAAGTGGAGAGAACAGCATTAGGGGCCTTGGGATCCTAAATTACATAGAAAATTATGCTGCCTGGCATTGTGAGCACAATGAGGATAGAAAAAAAATTCCACAAGAGAGGACTGGTGAAACTGTGTGTGTTCTAGGCTGACTTGGTTTATAAAGCATTGTTCTTTAATTTTATCAGTGTGACCAAGACAGTCATGCAAAACATTCTATAGGTTCTTTCTTAGGACTTTTACCCTAAGAAAGGAATCTGAATTCTAAGCCTCATTTTTCTTGCTGAGCAGTTCTCCTTATCACCAGGGTTGAGATGACCTACTTTTGATGGCAATTCCCAAATTGCCTTCAGGTATTTCCACGGGGAGGAAGAGGCTCAGTGGGGTCTGTCAAGTATTGCACGAGGGCATATTACTGTGCATGTGTCTTCGTGTTTCTCATCTACATCTTGTTTCCCTCTGAGCATCTCTATGTTGCAGGTTCTCACCAGAAAATACAGAGCTTCTTACAACTTTAGGATTACTCTACTTACAGGTAATGAAAACTCTGTACTCATTCATGCACTGATGTTAGAAATGGTTTTGGGTTTGTGTGTATGGTGGTTTTCCTGCATTCTGATATTTATTTTATTAAAGGTCATATAAAGTTCATGAACTACACTCTCTCTATTCGATACTCTTTGCTAAAGGAATTAATTTTCTGCATTTAAATTGGAAGCAATTCTATTTTAGCCTAGTGCAATTATAATTCTTATCTAGGCTGGGTGTGGTCTCATGCCTGTAATCCCAGCAATTTGGGAGGCTGAGGCTGGTGGATCACTTGAGCTCAGGAGTTGGAGACCAGCCTGGGTAACATAGTGAGACCCTGTCTCTACAAAAAATAAAAAAATTAGCCAGGCATGGTGGCATGCTTCTGTAGTCCCAGCTACTTGGGAGGCTGTGATGGGAAGATTGCTTGAACTCGGAAGGCAGAGGTTGCAGTGAGCTGAGATTGAGTCACTGCACTCCATCCTGGGTGACAGAGCCAGATCCTGTCTCAGAAAAAAAAAAAAATTCTTATGCTATCCAGGAAAGAGCATATATGAGAAATAACTCTGGTCTTGGAGGCTGTTATTTTGTTGTGAGGAGAGAAACAGATACAAGTGAGCACTTAGGGCTTTGGGGCAAAGCCATTTCTTTTGATCTTTCTTCCCAGCCAGAGTCTTATTGGAAAGAGAGAAGGCAAAGTATACTTTTATCTAGAATAAGAAGTTTTCTGTCCCCTCAACATTCCTGAATGTGAATGGGATTCTTTTAGCTCCATTGATTCTCTGGCTGAGGACCCAGGGCCCAGGTATCCAAGGGGCTTTTCCCTCTTCCCCAATATACACATTTGCCAAGTTCCTTGGTCAGCTGATTCTGCCTCCAGCCCTGCCTCTGTGGTGGCCTTTATGTCTATTTCATTTTTCTTTAAAAGGAATCAGGAGCTTAACCCTGGGTCTTCCTGGGCTTTGGCTTGGGAGGTTGGCTCCACGGGAGATGAGGATACCCAGCTCATTTCCTGCAAAGAGGCATTAATGTGGAACAGTACTAGTGTGGCAGAGATGGTTCTTATCAAATAGATACTTTGACCTTATCAGGTGACAAATTAACAAAAATAGAAGGAAAACCATGACTGGGGATTTTTAGTTTTCTTTCTTTATTATCTGGTAACTGTAGCTGCTTTTTTTTTTTTTTTTTTTTTTTTTAAAGTCAAGAGAACTCAAAAAAGCCAGAGCATTTCTGTTCTGGGTGAGGTTGGCCAGACTGTTTTTTTTTTTTTTTTTTTGGAGACGGAGTTTCACTCTTTTTGCCTAGGCTAGAGTGCAATGGCGTGATCTCGGCTCACTGCAACCTCTGCCTCCTGGGTTCAAGCGATTCTCCTGCCTCAGCCTCCCAAGTAGCTGGGATTACAGGCATGTGCCACCATGCCTGGGTAATTTTGTATTTTTAGTAGAGATGGGGTTTCTCCATGTTGGTCAGGCTGGTCTCGAACTCCTGACCTCAGGTGATCCACCCACCTTAGCCTCCCAAAGTGCTGGGATTATAGGCATTAGCCACCACGCCTGGTCTGGCCAGACTCTTTTAACTGCCGTCTCCTTGCTGATGTAAATTGTCTTGTTTGCTTTTTTTCCAAGCTCGGCATTTACCAGAAGGCATTTGAACATCTTGGCAATGCACTGACTTATGACCCTACCAACTACAAGGTATTACAGGCTGTGAAGGCTCTGGCCTTCATATAGACGGTCCCACTGCTCCTAGAGGTGATCTGACCCTGGAAAGCAAAGGAATAGCTTCTTAAATTTGGATACCTGAGAAATAGAAAAAATATAAATAAAAGGTGGCTCTTCTTATTTGAAAATAGTGTCAAGTATGCTCTACTTATCTTCTAAAAGTGCACATTTGTTATAATAGACGTGTAACCCCTGCAGAAGGCAGATCATAGTGCTAGTAAAGCTTATGTGTTACTTAGGAAATTAGCAATGCCTCCACAACTATTGTCAAAAATAAATCTGCGGCCCGGCGCGGTGGCTCACGCCTGTAATCCCAGCACTTTGGGAGGCTGAGGTGGGCAGATCACGAGGTCAGGAGATCGAGACCATCCTGGCTAACACAGTGAAACCCCGTCTCTACTAAAAATACAAAAAAATTAGCCGGGCGTGGTGGCGGGCGCCTGTAGTCCCAGCTCCTCGGGAGGCTGAGGCAGGAGAATGGCGTGAACCCGGGAGGCAGAGCTTGCAGTGAGCTGAGATCACGCGCCACTGCACTCCAGCCTGGGTGACAGAGCGAGACTCTGTCTCAAAAAAAAAAAAAATAAAAAATAAAAAAAATAAATCTGCTGGGCATGGTGGCTTATGCCTGTAATCCCAGCACTTTGGAATGCTGAGGCAGGAGGATCACTTGAGGCCAGGAGTTCAAGACCAGGCTGGGCCACATAGTGAGACCCCCATTTCTACAAAAAAAATTATCCAGGCATGGTGGCACACACCTGTAGTCCTAGCCACTCGGAAGGTGGAAGAGGGAAGATCACTTGAGCCCAGGAGTTTGAGTCTACAGTGGGCTATGATGGCACCACTATACTCCAGCCTGGGTGACAGAGACCCTGTCTCTAAAAAGAAACAATAATTATGTTGAAATGACTTCTAGAGTCCTAATGATTTGATACTACAACTTTTTTTCTAGATGTGACTTTGGGAATGAGAAGGAATAGCATCAAATGGATGAACATCATTGAGGAGATGCAGCAAGACAAGCTGTTTATTAAAGGATACAAACTGAATTCTGATTTAGGAAGTAACATTAGACTGTCAGCTCCCACCTTGATACCTTTCCTTAGAGAAATGAAAGGGCTGGGCTGATGAAGCCTAAAGCTGACTCGCCCTCTGTTCTACGGTAGAAAGAAATTTACCTTAAGTAGCCACGTACAGGTGTATTTCAGGTATCTAGAACACTTGGTATACCAAATAGGGGCTGCAGAGAACAGATTAAAGGAAGTTTTTACTTAAAGGGCTCTGGTATTCATTCTGAAATACTGACTTTCCTGGCTAGAAGTAGGAAACAGATGGGTAAAGCAAGTAACATTTTATCTTTTTTTTTTTTTTTTTTTTTTTTTTTTTTTGTGCTGTGCCAGAGAGCCACAGTGTAGAGTGCAAGGACATTCCTCAGGAACATTTGTCCCAATAGGTTGGATATATTTATGTCCCTGGAAGAAATTTTCCAGTCCCATCTATGCTGATGGGCCTGCTGAGTATAGACTCAGGAAAGCTGCCCCACTGCTACAGCCTTTTGGGAATGACTGAATGACTTTCTCTGTGCCATGTTTTCAGGCCATCTTGGCAGCAGGCAGCATGATGCAGACCCACGGGGACTTTGATGTTGCCCTCACCAAATACAGAGTTGTGGCTTGTGCTGTTCCAGAAAGTCCTCCACTCTGGAATAACATTGGAATGTGTTTCTTTGGCAAGAAGAAATATGTGGCGGTGAGTGTCCCCTCATGTTCTTTGTTTGTATTTCTACATGTGGTTATTGGGTCTGTTTAGCTTGCCCTTCTCATTGAGTGCCCCTTCTCTCTCATAGGCCATCAGCTGCCTGAAACGAGCCAACTACTTGGCACCCTTTGATTGGAAGATTCTGTATAATTTGGGCCTTGTCCATTTGACCATGCAGCAGTATGCATCAGCTTTTCATTTTCTCAGTGCGGCCATCAACTTCCAGCCAAAGATGGGGGAGCTCTACATGCTCTTGGCAGGTAAGAAACATTTATGTGGAAAACTCTCTCTGCCATCTGTAATGAGGGAAAAATGGATTAGAATCATAGAAGATCAGTGGCTGTCTCATAGGAGCCATTCCCTTAGAGATCCTGTAGGAATCTGGATTACTGTCCTGGAGCTTGAAGAAATAGAAAAAGATGACAAAGGAACTTGGTTGTTTCTAACTTGGGGGAGTTTGACTCAGAGACCAACAGGTTAAATAAAGATCATCCCTAGTTCACCTTTTACCAGTTTTTTCCTCTTGCCTTGACAATTCATTTATGTATATATTGAGTCCAACTAAGTTCCAGACAGCAAGTGTTAAGAGCTTGGGTTTTAGGTAGGGTCCTGCCTCTACTACTTATTATATGTACCTAGGGCTGATGTGAGGATTGCATGATTAAGCTCTCAATTAATAATACTGGTTTTGTTGAAATACTGATTTTTGAAAACTGTTGGTTTTACTGTGGTTATATAATTGGTCTATTATTATCAATATTGTTGTTACTATAATTGGCCCCTAGGTGATACTTCCAAGTCAAGCTACCTTATGTTGAAACCCTTATCTCTTCTGAGCATGTTATATAGAATGCCATTCTCTTCCTGAAACTCCATTTTATGCCATGCAAATACTAAAATTGATCATAAAAATAAGTTAAAATTAATCAAACACTTTAACAATTATGCACAACCATTTTAAAGTACTGACTAGTCTTTCTAGGAATTTTTTTCTCCATATACATTTACTTACTAAATGTAAGACCCAAAGCAGATTTCCATGTCCTCATTTGGCAGTCGTCTTCCAGTGGCTTTTTGTTCATTACTGTGGGTTCTTATTTAAAAGAGAAAGCTTGCAAAAGCAATTGTGGTTATTTGAGGGTTGCCTGAATACAAAGATAACTTTAAAAAAAAAACATAGGTTTTATTATTATTCAGATATGGTATGGGCAACAGATCAGAAGACATCTGCCACTGGAAAGATAGTCTGTTACAATTCCTGAGAAGGAGGGCATGCTACACCGTGCAGGGCCACATGGGGAAGCACCAGGTCAATCAGGAGGTAGAGGGAGCAAGGGGTAAATGTGGGCACAATTCTTTATTGTAGTTTTCATGGGTAGAAATGCCCTCCCCGGGGCAAGACCGGGAAAGCAGGTTAACCAGGTTGGGGATTGGCCAGTTTGAATAATTTCAGTGGGCTCTGGGCTATAGGGCTGTCTCTAGGTGTCTGGTACCTGACCCTCGGGTGACTAGGACTAGGGAATATTGGCCCAGTGTCAGGGCCCAGTAAAGGAGGCAGTTAAGAATATGAACACTGGGTTGGTCGGTCTGCATACAGAAGGTACTCTTGTAGGGGTTATATCTAGGAATTAGCTGACTGTGGGAGGGACAGTCTCCCCAGGGTCAGTAAGGCCCCAGATGTCAAAACATCAGAATAAAAAGGCTAAAGTGGGGTGTGATGGTACATACCTGTAGTGCTGGCTACTTGGGAGGCTAAGGCAGGAAGTTTGCTTAAGCCCAGGAGTTGGGAGTACAGCCTGGGCAACACAGTGAGACTCCATTCCTCTCTCTTTTTTTAAAAATTTTATTTTAGGTTCAGGGGTACATGTGCATCCTGTTACACAGGCACGTGTGTCATGGGGATTAGTTGTACAGATTATTTCATCACCCAGGTACTAAGCCTAGTACCCAATAGTTATTTTTTTCTGGCCCTCCCCCTCCTCCAGTAAGCTCCAGTGTCTGTTTCCCTCTGTGTCTCCATGTGTTCTCATCATTTAGCTCTTATAGTGAGAACATGCAGGATTTGGTTTTCTATCCTTTATTAATTTGCTAAGGATGGTGGCCTCCAGCTCCATCTATGTTGCTGCAAAGGACACGATCTTGTTCTTTTGTATGGCTGTGTCGTATTCCATGGTGTACATTTACATTTTGTTTATCCAGTCTACCATTGATGGGCATTTAGGTTGATTTCACATCTTTGCTATTGTGAATAGTGCTGCATTGAACACACACATGCATGTGTCTTTATGGCAGAACGATTTACATTCCTTTGGGCATATACCCAGTAATGGGATTGCTGGGTCGAAGGGTAGTTGTATTTTTAGCTCTTTGGGGAATTGCCAGATTGCTTTCCACAATGGTTGAACTAATTTACACTCCCATCAACAGTGTATAAGCATTCCCTTTTCTCTGCAGCCTCACCAGGATGTTATATTTTGAGTTTTTAATAATAGCCATTTTGACTGGTGTGAGATGGTTATCTCACTGTGGTTTCAATTTGCATTTCTCTAATCAGTGATAGAGTTTTTCATATGCTTGTTGGCTGCATACATGACTTCTTTTGAAGTGTCTGTTTATGTCCTTTGCCCATTTTAATGGGATTGTATTCTTCTTGTAAATTTGCTTAAGTTCCTTATAGATCCTGGATATTAGACCTGCATGGTTTGCAAATATTTTCTCCCATTTTGTACATTGTCTGTTTACTGTGTTGATAGTTTCTTTAGATAGCTGGGTTCTAATGGAACACAGAAATGTAAACAGCCATAATGTAAGAGATAACAGCGATGCTAACTTTACAAAGTAGAGATGGCATTCAAACTGGATCCTGAACAACAAGCTAAAATGGAATAGCACAGAATGGCTGAGGAGCCACTGTGAAGAAAGGCATGCAGCCATGAAACTGCAGTGTCCCTTGCTGTTAGTGGGGGTTAGTGTTAGAGAATATGATGGGAGATGAATCAGGAAAGATATTCTGGGGTCAGATTATGGAGGTCATGCGTACAGTGCAAGGACTTTATCTTAGAGGCCATGTTTGTCCAGCTGTCTTCCTAGATCTCCTCTTAGGTGCCTGGTAGGAGTGAGTGCATAGCTGGTGGGGAGGTGGAATGGGCAGGGCTTCCAGAGCAGCTGTTTTTGTTTTATATATTAGGTGTCAAGGAAATACTGATTTTAAAAAGTGGGGGGAGTGTTTTACTGCTAAATGAAAGTGTAAAGATCATGGTTATAGATGTGGGGGGCCAGTGAGGATTCCTAAGTAGGATGGTAATGTGGTCAGATTTGTAAGGCAGTGAGATACCTGGCAGCGCTGTGGAAGGTGGAATGGAGGCAGGTGGGGACTTTGACACTGGGGAATAAATGGAAAGCCTAAAACTACTTGGGCCTGAACAAGGGCAGTGTCAGAAAAGAAACTGCAAAAAAAGGATGCATAGAACCTGGCAACTGATTGACTGTAGAAGAGATGGTTGAAGATAGCACCAGGTATCTAAGCTGACTTAGTAAACTCTGGTGCCATGAGCTGACAGGGTGAAGTTTACTTTGGGGGTAGTCTTTAATACTCCTTTTGTCTTCTAAGCTGAGCTCTCCAGCTGCAGTGCTTTCTTTGTTGCAGTGGCTCTGACCAATCTGGAAGATATAGAAAATGCCAAGAGAGCCTACGCAGAAGCAGTCCACCTGGATAAGTATGCACTTTGTTGAGAATGGTACTGGCGGGGGTTGGACTCTCCAAAGCCATGAGGTGGTGCCATACATAGCATTGGTGCTGCCTGTGTCAGCCCAGCTGTTCCTCTATGGCATTAGTACATAGCAGACCTCAGTGTGGAGGGATGTGTCTCCTAAGTATGTGGTGGCTCAGCAGGAATTGACACTCTGAGAAAATGTTTCCAGTCCTAAACTGAGTAATCAGGAGGCTAGAGAATGTCAGAACTGGCAGTGGGCTTGGGTTGCTGATAGCTATGGGCTAGCTGGAATATCAGATGGGACTCTGGGCTGTTTAATTCAAGATAAAACTTGACTCTTCCAGGATTTACTCCGCTGGCATCTTCTAGACAGCAGGGTAGAGATCCCTTTTTCAACCCTGGCCTAGGTAGTCTCTGTTGAGGGCTGAGATGCCAGATTTGGTCCCAATACCAGCTTTGCTTGTTAGGCCATTAACTCCTTGATTCTTCTCCACAGGTCTGCTTAGCACGTATGTACCTACCTTGCTGCATAATGGAGAAATCTCTACTTAACCAGTTTTGTTTTGTTTTTGTGTAATGAGAAGGATCTCTAAATGACCATTTGTTGCAGAGCCCCCAGCTCCATAGAATCTCTGTCTGCCACAGGTGTAACCCTTTAGTAAACCTGAACTATGCTGTGCTGCTGTACAACCAGGGCGAGAAGAAGAACGCCCTGGCCCAATATCAGGAGATGGAGAAGAAAGTCAGCCTACTCAAGGACAATAGCTCTCTGGAATTTGACTCTGAGGTATGTCTTTTATTAGCTCCCAAGAGTCATAAGTAAGCTCTCAGGAGACTTTTAAAAATCAAGCCCAGATCATCCAAATCCAAGGTATTACACGTTCATGGCTGTTCTGGCTTTGATGTTCCTAGCAGCATGAGTTCATCAATTAATAACAGCCTGAGAAAAACTTTCCTAGAATAATAATAAAAGGAAATTCAGGCTTACTGAGTTGTTATTGCTAATTCAACTCATCAAAGTTGAGGTCTGTGTCTGTCTGTAGCTTCCTTCTATTTCACTTTTTTTTTTTTTTTTTTTTTGAGACGGAATCTCGCTCTGTTGCCCAGGCTGGAGTGCAATGGCGCAATCTCAGTTCACTGCAACCTCCGCCTCCTGGGTTCAAGCAATTCTCCTGCCTCAGCCTTCCAAGTAGCTGGGACTACAGGCGCGTGCCACCACGCCCAGCTAATTTTTGTATTTTTAGTAGAGACGGGGTTTCACCATGTTGGCCAGGATGGTCTTGATCTCTTGACCTCGTGATCCACGTGCCCAGCCCTATTTCACTTGTTGTAGGAAATGCACTGTTTGGCCCGGTAATGCACCAGGCTTGAATTGTTGGGTTTTGAGATCCTATGTGAACCACCATGCCATCCAGTAAAGGCAATCTGTAATCTCTACTGTTTGATAAGTACTTCCTGCCTCAACTGCTAGTACGACCAGACACTATTTCAGCTAAAACCCCAGCTCGAAGACCAAAGAAGTGGGTTGGCTTGTCTCTGACAGTCACGCTTTTGATTCTTTTACTTCCTTTGTGGACACAAGATGGTGGAGATGGCTCAGAAGTTGGGAGCTGCTCTCCAGGTTGGGGAGGCACTGGTCTGGACCAAACCAGTTAAAGATCCCAAATCAAAGCACCAGACCACTTCAACCAGCAAACCTGCCAGTTTCCAGCAGCCTCTGGGCTCTAATCAAGCTCTAGGACAGGCAATGTCTTCAGCAGCTGCATACAGGACGCTCCCCTCAGGTAGGACCATACAGAGCTCCATGAAGACCTGGCAGGTACAAGCCACATGTGTCTGTCAGCAGAGATTATAGCTTTCAGTGAGGTTCTCTTCAGACTCATATGTCCAACGTAGTATTGGCCACAAGGGGAGAAAAAAAACACAGGGTGGCTAAATTGGCACTTGTTTCCTTAAGGCGAGCTATGTAGTAGGTAACAGCTACTCACAGACTTAGTTGGATGGTCTATACACTGGTCTTTCCAATTTTAGCAATATGTTATTAAGTATATCCTGTTATGCAATGTTTAATTTTTACTGCTTTATCAGAAGTTGACACGTAAATATTTTTCAGTGACTCATTGAAGGCAAACTTGACTGTTGCTTTATTTCTCAGTTATAGTCTTCCCTTATAGTTAATGGGTCAGTCCCACTGGTTCCAGAAAATATGGGGTTTCCTCTTGAACTCTAACAGCAAAAAAGAATGATTTCTTCTGAAATTGTGGAACATGAGGATTCAAGTTTTTATTTTGTTACTAGGTGCTGGAGGAACATCCCAGTTCACAAAGCCCCCATCTCTTCCTCTGGAGCCAGAGCCTGCGGTGGAATCAAGTCCAACTGAAACATCAGAACAAATAAGAGAGAAATAAGAATAGAATGAATGACCCCAAAATAGGGTTTTCTTGGGCGAGGATGTGCTGGATTAGGAAAGGTGACATGACACAGGCAGAGCAGAGTGGCACCCACCACAGAATACAGTGTGTGTTATTACGAGGAGCCAGCAGTTGAGCCTAAGGTCCTTCTACCTACCTGGTATTGGCATTTGAGGTCGGAAACCCTCTACTGCCCCATAAGCCAGGAAAAGTGAAAAGAGAACACAGTTCCTTTAAGAACTGGCAGCAAGGCTTGAGGCCTTATGTATGTAGCTGAGTCAGCAAGGTACATGATGCTGTCTGCTTTCAAAAGGACTTTTCTCTCCTAGCTGACTGACTCCTTCCTTAGTTCAAGGAACAGCTGAGACAGACCTCTGCTGAGTAGCTCTGTGATGACAAAGCCTTGGTTTAACTGAGGTGATCCTCAGGTTGTGAGGTTTATTAGTCCCCAAGGCAAACACAAATATTAGATTAATAATCCAACTTTAATAGTATACATTTAAAAGAAAAAAAACAAAAGCCCTGGAAGTTGAGGCCAAGCCTGCTGAGTATTGCAGCTGCATTTGCCCAAAGGGAATCCAGAACAAGTCCCTCCCTGTATTTTGTTCTTGAGAGGGGTCAGTCTAGAAGCTAGATCCTATCAGGATGAGGAGCAGCAGCCCAGGGCTTGTCTGGATCAGCACCAACGATTTTAAAGAAAAAAGGAAGAGTTTCTTAGATGAGTAATTGTTATTGAAGATAGTCAGTGATAACCACTGACCAGATGCTATCAATACACTATGTGTCCTTTTTAGAATAAAGATTACATATCATCATTCCTTTGGGGAAAATTGTTATTCAGGTATAAAAACAAGAGATCATAATAAAAACCTAAAAGAACCTATGATCACGGTCTTCCCTTACCTGTGTCTAAGCCTATTTTGAAATTGGAGGAGGAACCTCAAGGCCAAGTTCCTGCTTGGTACAGGCATGGCCTCTGCAGCAACCCTGATGCATGATAAGCCAGCAATTTGCTTACTGAGGGCCAGTCCCCATTTTGCACTGAAAGTGCCCTTTAATCACCATAATTTAAAGATAGATAGATTAGATAGATGATAGATAGAAAACTGACCTACTACCAAACCGGTTGGAGTTCCTTATTTTATTACAGGGTCTGTTTTGACATTGAAGAAGCAGCTAACTGAGCAGGACCCCCTTCATTTCTTGTATCTCAAAAAGTATCAGAAGTGATGCCTTTGTCATTCAGCTGGTGGTATGTGGCAAACGTGGATTTGTACCCTGAACAATTGAGAACACTTCTACTTCAGCATGGAGTCTAGTATATTAGAATGAAATGGTCTAGTTACTTTCTGAAACTGGAAAAGTCTTAGTGAAAAAAGAGGAAGAGAGATTTAGGAGCTAATATCAACAGGAATTGGGGATTGATTGGATGTGGCAGGTTAATAATTGGGTACCCATTTCAGGGCTTAGATAACCAGGGAGAGTAAAGGAATATTGGACTAGGGTTGAGGGTTGGTTGTGGAATCTAGTTTTAGATGTTTAAGATATCTAATGATGATATCCATCAGATACCTGAATAGCTAGATTTCAGGAATGAAACCTGGTTTGAAGATAAAGATTCAGGAGTAGGCCAGATACGGTGGCTCACACGTGTAATCCCAGCACTTTGGGAGGCCAAAGCCAGAGGATCACTTGAACCCAGGAGTTGGAGACTGGCCTGGGCAAGATGGCTCAGACCTCATGTCTACAAAAAATTAAAAAGCCAGGCGCAGTTGTGCGCACCTATAGTTTCAGCTATTTGGGAGACTGAGGCAAGAGGATCACTTGAGCCTAGGAATTTGAGGTGGCAGTAAGCTATGATCATGCCACTGCACTCCAGCCTGGGAAACAAAGCAAGACCCCATCTCAAAAAAAAATTTTTTAAGATTCAGGAGTAATTTAGATTTGAGGAATCATCAAAACCATAGTTTTGAAAGGAGTCATCCACGGAAAGCTAGGAATAAGACGACAGGCAACCAAATGAAAGAAAATAAGTATTTAGAGGGAGAAGCAGAAGAGCCCACAAAAAAGCATATGATACAAGAAAAAACCCAGGAGAGTGGTATTATGGGAAGCCAACGAAGAAAGGTTTGGGAAGAGAATGGTCAGCCTCATTGAACACTTCCAACAGAGAGGTACTGTTATCCCCATTTTATAGAAGAGAAAGCTTAGGTTAGGAGAGACAAAACAAATTTTCAAAGGTAAGTGGCAGGACCAGGATTTTAATCCAGGTCTGGATGCAGAGCTCTTGCTCTTAACCATCAATCATCAAGCAGTGATGTATCTTTGATGAAGCAGTGGTGGCAACAGAAACTTAAGGACTTGAAGACTGAATGAGTAGATATTGGACTACTTTTATTTCAGAAAGCTTTGATGTAGAGGGAAGAGGTTTTCAGAGGACAGAACTGTATTCATTACTCTGATATGAGAAACTTCTAATATTTGGGGAGAGAAGGGTAAAAAGGTAGTCTTTTTTAAGTATAGCATGGTGGAAACAGAGAATGCAAGAGTAGAGTTTTTGAGTTTTTCCACATTTGGGGGCAAGATGGTGCTTTGCTTCCAGGGATAGCAGTAAAGAAGCAATGCTTTCCACATTAATTTGACTTAGATTTTCTTTTAAAAATAAACTCTACTAGGGTGTGCAGGGTCAGTCTTTTGGGCATGTGAATTTGCAATTTTTCTTTTACTCTGGTGAGATAGGAGCTATTCTAACTTCTAGTATGGGGGTTGGTTGCTCATGTCATCAGAATTTGTAACAGAATTAGGAAAATGAAACCAAGAACATAATCACAGCTACGGATGTGGTTTTAGAAAACTGAAAGAGAGAGGCAGGAAAGTAGAAGTATGAACTAGCAATGAGAAAAAAGTATCCTTCTTGCTGAATAATATTGGGCAAAACTGTGCATTCCAAAGACAGTAAACCACTTTGGAGTGTGTCACTACAATGATTTTTGTTTTCAAGGAAAACTCATTATTGTCTGATAATGGCTTAGTAGTTCATGTCGGACCAATCCTTCCATAAATAACAAATGTAAACAAGTGGTAAATATAAAATACTCTCTCGGTTTAACTTTAAAAAAATACATATGATTGTTCAAAGAAAAAATATCACAGTGTATGTGAGGCTGAACATACATAAATAACATGACAACTATAAAGCATATATGGTTGCAAGGTTTTAATATTTTATGTAGTGGGACACAAAATTAATCCTAAATAGTTTGTGAAAAGCTGAACATGGTCCTAGCCAGAGCAATCAGACAAGAGAAAGAAAGGGCATCCAGATCAGTAAAGAAGAAGTAAAACTGTCGCTGTTTGCTGATGACATGATCGTATACCTAGAAAACCTTAAAGACTCATCCAAAAAGCTCCTAGAACTGGTAAATCAATTCAGCAAAGTTTCAGGATACAAAAGTAAAGTAAAGTACATAAATCAGTAGCCCTGCTATATGCCAACAGCAACCAAGCTGAGAAATCAAGAACCCAACCCCTTTTACAATAGCTGCAAAAAAACAAAAAACAAACAAAAAAACAACTTAGGAATATACTGAACCAAGGAAGTAAAAGACCTCTACAAGGAAAACTACAAAACATCACTGAAAGAAATCATAGATGACGCAAACAAATGGAAATACATCCCATGCTCATGTATGGGTAGAATCGATATTGTGAAAATGACCATACTGCCAAAAGCAATCTAGAGGTTCAGTGCAATTCCCATCAAAATACCAAAATCATTCTTCACAGAATTAGAAAAAACAATCCTAAAATTCATATGAAACCAAAAAAGGGCCCGCATAGCCAAAGCAAGACTAAGTAAAAAGAACAAATCTGCAAAGCCAAAGTGAGACTAAGTAAAAAGAACAAATCTGGAGGCATCACATTATCTGACTTCGAACTATACTACAAGGCCATAGTCACCAGAAGAGTGTGGTACTGGTATAAAATCAGGCATATAGACCAATGGAACAGAATAGAGAACCCATAAATAAAACCAAATACTTACAGTCAACTGATCTTCGGCAAGCAAACAAAAAAGTGGGGAAAGGACACCCTATTCAACAGATGGTGCTGGGTTAATTGGCAAGCCACAAATAGAAGAATGAAACTGGATCCTCATCTCTCATCTTATACAAAAATCAACTCAAGATGGATCAAACACTTAAATCTAAGACCTGAAACCATAAAATTCTAGAAGATAACATTGAAAAAAATCCTTCTCAACATTGGCCTAGGCAAAGACTTCATGACTAAAGAACCCAAAAGCAAACGAAACGAAAACAAAGATAAATAAATGGGACTTAATTAAACTAAAAAGCTTCTGCACAACAAAATAAATAATCAGCAGACTAAACAGACAACCCGCAGAGTAGGAGAAAATTTCTGCAATCTATACACCTGATGAAGGACTAATATCCAGAATCTACAAGGAACTCAGATCAGCAAAAAAAAAAAAAAAAAATCCCATCAAAAAGTGGGCTAAGGACATGAACAGACAATTCTCAAAAGATATACAAATGGCCAAGAAATGTGAAAAAATGCTCAACATTGCTAAAGATCAGGGAAATGCAAATCATAACCACAATGTGATACCACCTTACTGCCACAAGAATGGCCATAGTCAAAAAATCAAAATATAGATGTTGGCATGGATGTGGTGAAAAGGAAACACTTTTACACTGTTGGTGGGAAAGTAAACTAGTATAACCACTATGGAAAACTGTGGAGATTCCTTAACTAAAAGTAGTTCTACCACCTGATTCAGCAATACCACCCCTGGATATCTTACCCAGAGGAAAATAAATCATTATATGAAAAAGATACTTGCACATGCTTGTTTATAGCAGCACAGTTTGCAATTGCAAAAATATGGAACCAGCCCAAGTGCCCATCAACTGATGAGTGAGTAAAGAAATTGTGGCTCATGCCTGCAGTCCCAGCACTTTGGGAGGCCAAGGCAGGCAGATCACTTGAGGCCAGGAGTTTGAGACCACCCTGGCTAACATGGTGAAACCCTATCTCTATTAAAAATACGAAAATTAGCCAGGTGTGGTGGCGCACGCCTGTAGTCCCAGCAAGTCAGGAGGCTGAGGGAGCAGGATTGCTTGAGCCCAGGAGTTTGAGGCTGCAGTGAGCTATGATGGCACCACTGCACTCCAGCCTGAACAACAGAGGGAGACCTTGTCTCTTACACACACACAGCAACTCATAAATCAAGGGAAAAAAAGAAAAAAATACTTTGAACTAAATGATAATGAAAACAAAACGTATAGGATTCAGCCAAAAGCAGTGCTTAGAGGGAAACTTAGAATTGTAAATGCTTCTATCAGAAGAAAGGAGAAAATCAGTGATAACAGGTTTCCACCTTAAGCTAGAAAAAGCAGAGAAAAATAAACCCAAAGTAAGTAGAAGGAACAAACAAACAAGTATTAAAGAAAAATTTGAGAAGCCCCAAATTCTATGGAAAAAAAATTTATGATAAATCCCTACAAAGAGCTGAGTGCGGTGGGTAGCTCATGCCTGTAATCCCAGCACTTAGGGAGGGGGAGTATTGCTTGAGCCCAGGAGTTCAAGACCAGCCTGGGTAACATAGTGAGACCTACGTCTCTCCAAAATAATTTAAAAAATACAGAATAAGTTAGCAGGGCACGGTGTCACATACCTGTGGTCCCAGCTACTTGGGAGGTTGAAGTGGGAGGATTGCTTGAACCCTGGAGATTGAGGCTGCAGTGAGCCATGATTGTGCCACTGCACTCCAGCCTGGGCAATAGAATGAGACCCTCTCTCCTGAAAAAGAAAAAAAAAAAAAAATCCCCAGCTAAACTGATCAAGAAAAAGACAAATTACCAGTATCAGGAATGAAAGCGGGTATAATATTACAGATTCTGCAGACATGAAAAAGGGAATGTTATGAACAGTTTTATGGCAATAAACCTGACAAATGCAACAGACAAAAATCTTTGAAAAATACAACATACTGCCTGGCATAGTGGCACACGCCTGTAGTCCCAGCTACTCAAGAGGCTGAGGCAGGAGAACCGCTTGAACCCAGGAGGCGGAGGTTGCAGTGAGCCAAGATCGTGCCACTGCACTCCAGCCTGGGCGACAGAGCAAGACTTCGTCTCAAAAAAAAAAAAAAAAAACAGAAACAAGATGAAATGTAAAATCTTAAGTCCTACTAAAGAAACAGAATTTGTAAATCAAAAGTAATCCTTGAAAGCAGACTCCTGGCTCAGATGATTATACTGGTAAATTCTGTCAAACATTTATGGGGCAAAATAAATTCAACCTCACAAAAATTTGCAGAAAATAGGAGCGAGAACTTAACTTGTTTGTATCAGGCTAGCAATAACCCTGATGTCAAAACTGGACCAAAGACATTACAAAACAACAAAACTATAGACTATTACCCTGTATGAACATAGGTACAAAAATCCTCAACAGAATATTAGCAAATCAATCCAGCAATATATAAAAAGGTGAATATGTAAATCATGACCAAGTTGGAGTTATCCCAGGGACCCTAAGCTTGGTTCATTATTGAAAACCAAAGTACTCACATGCATTAACAAAAGAGAAAAGTCATATGATTTTAGTAGATACAGAAAAAAAGCAATTTTTCTTTTGAGACAGTCTTGCTCTGTTGCCCCGGCCAGAGTGCAGTGGTGCAACCTCAGCTCACTGCAACCTCTGCCTCCTGGGTTCAAGTGATTCTCCCACCTCAGCATCCCGAGTAGCTGGGACTACAGGTGTGAGCCACCAGGCCCAGCTAATTTCTGTATTTTTTCTGGGGGAGGGGAGGGGGGGCTGTTTCGCCATGTTTGCCAGGCTGGTCTCGAATTCCTGGCTTCAAGTGATCCACCTGCCTTGGCCTCCCAAAGTGCTGGGATTACAGGCATCAGCCACCACACCTAATAATTTTTTTTTTTTAGATAAGGACTCACGGTTGCCCAGCCTGGAGTGCAGTGGTTCAAACAGCTCACTGCACCCTCGAAGTCCTGGACTCAAGTGTTCCTCCTGCCTCAGACTCCCAAGTAGCCGGGATCACAGGCATGCGCCACCATGCCCAGCTAATTTTGTTTAAGAGATGGGGGTCTCACTTTGTTGCTCAAGCTAGAAAAAAATAAATTTTTAAAAAGCCAGTATAGCCAGGCATGGTGGCTCACCCCTGTATTCCCAGTACTTTGAGGGGTGGAGGCAGAAGAATCACTTGAAGCCAGGAGTTCAAAACCAGCCCAGGCAACATGGTGAGACCCCATCCCTACAAAAAAAATTTAAAAGAAAAATTAGCTGGGCGTAGTGGCACATCTTGTGATCCTAGTTACTTGAGAGGCTGAGGCAGGAGGCTCACTTGAGCCTGAGAGGTTGAGGCTGCACTGAGCCATGATCTGTGATCATGTCACTGCACTCCAGCCTGGATGATGGAGTGAGAGCCTGTCTTAAAACACACAAACACAAAAAACCCATCATGTTTCTTAAATGATAAAGGACTGTTACATAAAATATACAAATAACTTCAAAAACTCTACATTAAGAATACAACCTGAGGCCGGGCGCGATGGCTCACGCCTGCAATCCCAGCACTTTGGGAGGCTAAGGCGGGCGGATCTCTTGAGGTCAGGAGTTGGAGACCAGCCTGGCCAACGTGGTGAAACCACGTCTCTACTAAAAACACAAAAATTAGCCAGGCATGATGCCTGTAATCTCAGCTACTTGGGAGGCTGAGGCAGAAGAATTGCTGGAACCCGGGAGGCAGAGGTTGCAGTGAGTGGAGATTGCACCATTGCACATCAGTCTGGGCAACAGCGAAACTGACTTAAAAGCAAAAAAACCAACCTGACTAGAAAATGGACCAAAACCCCTCACCTCACCAAAGATACACAGATGGCAAATAAACATATTTAAAAATGTTCCACATCATATATCATCAGAGAAATGCAAATTAAAATGAGATACCACTACATACCTATTAGAATGCCCAAATCCAGAACACTGACACCACCAGATGCTGGTGAGGATATTGAGCAATGGACTGTTCATTTATCGATGTTGGGAATGCAAAATAGTATAACCACTTTGGAAGACAGTTTGGCAGCTTCTTACAAAACTAAACATACTTTTAATGTTAGAACTCAGCAATCACACTCCTATTTACCCAAAGGAGTTAGAAATATATGTCCACACAAAAACCTGCACATGGATGTTTACAGCAGCTTTATTCACAGTTGCCAAAACCTGGAGGCAACCAAAATGTCCTTCAATAGGTGAATAAATGAATAAACTGTGGTACATCCAGATAAAAGACTACTACTCAATTCTAAAAAGAAATGAGCTATGAAAAGACATGTAGGAAACTGAAGTGCGTATTACTATAGAAAGGAACCAATTTGAAATGGCTGCATCCCACATGATTCCAACAATATGGCCTTCTGGAAAAGGCAAAACTATAAGACAGCAAACGGATCAGTGGTTGCCAGGCATTAGTGGGGAGGGAAGGATGAACAGAGCACAGAGGGTTGTTAGGGCAGTGAAATTACCCTGTGTGATACCATAGTGGTGGATGCATGTTGTTATATTAATATATTTGTCCAGGCCAGGTGTGGTGGCTCATGCCTGTAATCCCAGCACTTTGGGAGGCTGAGGTGGGCAGATCACCTGAGGTCAGGAGTTTCAGACCAGCCGGGCCAACCTGGCAAAACCCCGTCTCTACTAAAAATACAAAAATTAGCCGGGCATGGTGGCGCACACCTGTAATTCCAGTTACTCAGGAGGCTGAGGCAGGAGAATGGCTTGAACCCAGGAGGTGGAAGTTGCAGTGAGTCAAGATTGTGCCACTGTGCTCCAGCCTGGGTGACAGAGTGAGACTCTGTCCAAAGCCACAGAATGTACAAGACTGAAGCCAAAAGTAAATTATGGACTTTGGGTGATAAAGATGTGTCCGTATATATACATCAGTTGTAACAAATGTGGGAGATGTTTGCTTTACATGTTCTTGTGGGAGATGTTGATAGGGAGGGAAGAGGCTATGCATGTGTTGGGGCAGCTGGTATATGGCAAGTGTCTGTATTTCCTCAATTTCCTATGAACCTAAAACTTCAATACCCTTCTCAGCCCCTGAGAAAGTAAAAACAAAACAAAATCATAAAAATTCTCAGCAAATAAAGAATAGATGGGAACATCTTCAACCTGATGAAGGGCATCCATGAGAAAAAAAATGCAATGGATATCATATTTAGTGAAATATTGACTACTTTGCCCCTAAGATCAGGACCAAGGCAAAGATGTTTGCTCTTACCACTTCTATTCAGCCTTATACTGGACTAGAGTTCTGGCCAGTGCAATAAGGCAAGAAATAAAAAGGCATAAAGACTAGAAAGGAAGAAATAAAACTCTTTACAGATGACATGATTATGTGGAAGATCCTAAGGAATCCTAAAAATAAATTATTAAAATAAAAGTGACTACACCCAAGTGGATTTGGCAGGGTCACAAGATACAGTCAATGTACAAAAATCAATTGTATTTTTATATACAAGGAACAATTTTGAAAATAAAAAAAATCACAAAAGTGTCAAATACTATTGATACGAAATACTTAGGAATTTAACAGACTACACGTTAAGACCTCTACTCTGAAAACGGCAAAAGCACTGGTGTGAAACAGAAGGCCATTATAGAAATATATATCATGTTCATGCATTGTACGACTAAATACTGTTAAGATAAAAATTCTTCCGAAATTCATCTATAGATCCTATCATAATCCCAGCAGGTTTTGGGGTAGAAATTGACTTGACAAGCTGGCTCTAAAATGTTATGGAAACACAAAGGACCAAGAACATGTAAAGCAATCATGGAAAAAAACCAAAATTGGAAGACTTACACTGCCTTACTTCAAGACTTACTATAATAGTGCTCATGTAGCACTGGCATAAAGATAGACAAATAGAGCAATAAAACAGAAGTGAGTGCATACATAGACCTTACAGTTATACAGTCATTTGATTTTTGATAAAGGTACCAAAGCAATGCAATGGGAAAAGTCTTTTCAACCAATGTTACTGGAACGACTGGATAGCTGTATGGAAAAGCAATCTAGGGGCAGGGGTTGGGGAGATGTACAACACGGTGACTCTACTTAATGTATTATTGAAAATTTCCTAGTATATAAAAATACAATACAAAAGAATTTAAAGAAGAAAAAGTTATTGAAAATTGCCAACAGAAGATTTCAAGTGTTCTCACCACAAAAAACTGAGACAATGCATAATTAGCTCAATATAGCTATATACCTACAGCTAATGTAAAGGTAATATATACATATTTCAAAACATGCTGTACATGATAAAAACTTACACATTTTATATACAAAGTGAGACTATATTTGTGACATGGGCATGGTCCAATATTTCTTTGGGCATAGAGAACATTAAGACATTAAGAAAAAGGATATCAAACCACAGACTTGGAGAAAGTACAAAACATATCTGACAAAGGACTTGTATCCAAACATTTTGGATGCAACTCTTATTACTCAAAAAAACCTAACAACCCAAACAACATACACAAAGCAAACAACTCAACTGGGGGAGAAAAAGGCAAAAGATTTGGACACTTCACAAAGAAAGATATATGAATAGTCAATAAAGCACATGAAAAAGTGCTCATATGTCATTAGGGAAATACAAATTGAATCCATGCTGAAATACCACTGTATACCTGTCAAAATGGGTAAAATTAAACATTGACAACTCCAGATGGTTGTGGGGAAGAAAAGCAACCACAACTGTCATATGCTGTTTTAGGGAGTGTAAATGGTCCAACCATTTTAGAAAAAAGGCCTTTCACCCAGCAATTTCCCTCCTATAGGCCTTTACCCAAGAGAAATGACAGTACGTCTACACAAACACTTGTTGACAGCAGCTTTATTCATAATAATTCCAAAGTGGAATGCTCTGTACTCACAGTGGAGTACTATCTAGCTATAAAAAGCAACCAACTACATGCAACATGGATTACTCTAAAAAATACTATGCTAAATGGAAGAAGCTCTATACAAAGGACTAAATACTGAATGGCTCCATTTTTAAGTTGCATTCTGAAAACAGGCAAAACTGATTTCTGGTGGAAAATAACTGGTTGTTCTGGGGCTTGAGGTATGCGGTGGGGATGACTTGGAAGTGGCATGAAGGAACTATCTAGGGTGATGGAGACTTTTCATTTTTGCTGCTCCTTGCAGATCAAGACTAACTCAGACAATGTGCTTGGGGCTGTCCATTCTGAATCTTTTTTTTTTTTTTTTTTTTTTGAGACAGAGTTGGCTGTGCTGCCCAGGCAGAAGTGCATGATCTTGGCTCACTCCAACCTCTGCCCCATGGGCTCAAGCAGTTCTCTTGTCTCAGCCTCCCCAGTAGCTGGGATTACAGGCACCCACCACCACACCCAGCTAATTTTTGTATTTTTAGTAGAGACCGCGCCTGACCGTTACCTGGCCAACATGGTAAAACCCCATCTCTACAAAAAATACAAAAATTAGCCAGGTCTAGTGGCAGGCACCTGTAATCCCAGCTACTAGGGCGGCTGAGGCAGGAGAATCGCTTGAACCTGGGAGGTGGAATTTACAGTGAGCCGAGACTGAGCCACTGCACTCCAGCCTGGGTGACAGAGCGAAACTCTGTCTCAAAAACAAAAAGGCCAGGTGTGGTGGCTCATGCCTGTAATCCCAGCACTTTGGGAGGCCGAGGCGGCTGGATCACCTGAGGTCAGGAGTTCAAGACCAGTCTGGGTAACCTGGTGAAACCCCATCTCTATTAATAATACAAAAAACTTAGCTGGGCGTGGTGGCAGGTGCCTGTAATCCCAGCTACTCCGGAGGCTGAGGCAGTTGAATCACTTGAACCCAGGAGGTGGAGGTTGCAATGAGCTGGGATTACACCATTGTACTCCAGCCTGGGCGACAGAGCGAGACTCTGTCTCAAAAACAAAAACACAAAAACAAATTTACCAAATGGCACACTTAAAATTTGTGCAGTTTCACTATATAAACATTTTCACCTTTAAAAAAAAAAAGACCAGAAAACAAAATGTTAAATTATTACAAGTAGCTTTTCAGTGATTTAAAATAGTTCTAAAGAGACCCAAGAAATTGTCTGTTCAGCTTGGTTATAACTGACAATTATTTAGCTCTTAAGTATGTGCCCCATACTGTGCTAAATATTCCACATGGCAGTCTCCTGTAATCAACAGCCCTATGAAGGTAGGTACCGCCATTAACCCCATTTTACAGATAAGCAAAGTAAGGCTCAGTAAGGGTAACTTGTCCAACATCATTCAATACTCACCACCTCAAAACCTTTTGTACAATTTGGATTTCTTCTCAAACTTGCCAGGAGAGAATACAATGCAAACTGTACCTGCATAAGATGACGGATTTTTGGCTGTACTCTTACTTCTTGGTAGTGCTTTGTATGCTGCAGCTTTTCTTTTCCCTGAAACTAAAATCAGTTTCAAATGAAAGCCAGAGGGAGTGTACCAACACTTTTCAGGAAGACTCACCCTTCACCAGGCATCCTTTTTAGGCCAATGGATTTTCAAAGATTTCTTCATATAAAATCATATGTAAAATACCTTTGTAAAACACCAAAGGGTTGAGAAACCTGAAGCCCCCACCTGTTCAGCTTATCCTACCCTTCCAACTCACCTCTGCATAATCTGTCTTGTGTGATAAATACCCATCACTTCTATTGCTTAGCTGCTTCACAAAAAAGATGGACATTCTGCAGGGCGATGTATGTATGTTTAAATCTATATACACTTAGACAGTCAATGACATTTTATAAAACAATGCTTACTTATACTTACCCTTATAATGTATGATGTTTTTATACTTTTTGTGATAACCACCAAATGGATTTAGTAGCTATTAGTTCAAGATCCATTATTTGAAAAACACTGCTCTAGGGTATGTGTAGTCTATACTCCCTGAACTAGTCTTTACTGGCATCACCAATCAAAAAATGGAGAACGAGTTAAGAATACACACTCAGGACCAGGGGCTTAGTCAACTTAGACATTAGAAAAGATCATGTGAACACTTCAGGACTCCTAATAAAGTCTTCTTAGGTTTAGAATATAAATATTTCAATTCTTGAGAAAACAAAAATTTCATGTGAGCCTTTCTAATAAAAATAGGCTAGAAGGTTGGTGGTTATTTTTAACTTATCTGGGAAACAGAAGGAAGAGGTAGCAGCCAGAGATTTCCTTAATTTAAGCCTAGAATGCAGCTTTGAGTTACAAGCTGCATTCTAGGCTTAAATTTACTTTGAAGGAGTAATCAAGCTTTCTTATCCAAAGCAGGGAAAGGGAGGTCATAAATGAAGAGCTTGAGGTAGCTTTGAGATTCCAGAAGCTGCTGTGGGCCCAGGGGAAATGAAGACCCCTGAACTAGGCAGGCCCACCACCAGCTGCCATGTTCATACTGCCCTCCCAACAAGCTGAAAAGGCTCACCATGCTCTCAAACTGCTATGCTCCAATTCAGCTTTAACTGGGCTACTTCATACTAGTACTTTGTGTCACTTTCAACCCCACAGGACAAGCCTATAGCTCAGGCTCAGCATGAGGGACTGCAAGCACCTCAAGAGCAAAGTAACATGCACATCACAAATGAAGATCAGAATGATTTTTATCTTATCTGGTTCCAGAGTGGTGATGGAGACAAAAATCAATTACAGACAGAATTCCTGAAATGTAAATTGTTTTTAATATATTTAAGAGCACACAGAAGTCTTGATTTATAAAAAAATAAATATATAACATGACAAATTTACTGATGATCCTGGAGCTCTGAGGTCAAACTCTTTAAATGATCAGTGAAAACATAAAACATCCATGATCTGTTAACACACACAGGAGCATATTCCAGTTGTAAAAAACAAATTCCTTGAAGGCTCAGAACGAACAAAAATCAGTCTTTATGGCAGAAAGCACATCCAAAGCTAGGCAATGAAGTTCAGCCTGGGCCACGTGAACCTTTCACCAGCCAGCCTATAACCTATGGAGCCAGGACAGGAAAGCATGATCCTTCAGCTCATGACGCCACCCAGGCTTCCAGACAACTGCAGAATGAAAGAGTCCCTCAGAGGCTCCCCAGCCCCTGCTGCCATCATAAAGCACGGGAGGGATTGTTTTGTCCTTAGCGGCTCTGTCCTAAATTTGAGAGCAGGAGACTGAGAAGGTTATGCTCATTAAATATTGTCATTGTAACACGGAATGGAAATCATGATCCTTGCCCATGGGCACTGAGCTGAAAGAAAGAGGAACCTCACATGAGGCTTTCCTAGAGACCAGGATGTTGGGTGAGTGGGCGTGCACTTCTCAAGTGGGCAAGGAAGAACTGCTTTTCTCCAGCTGACATGCTCTCAGGGGTGAAGAAGTTTAGCTTAAAATACCTGATGGCGCTGCATAAACTGGGGATTTGGGAACTGAGTTTTTAGCTCTGTGACACACAACATAAAAAACAAAAATCCAGTCTCATTAGCTAAATTCGGATTAAAATCTGAAATGTTTTTATGGAGTTGCCAACAGGCTGGAATGTACCTGATACAGTTTAATCTGCTTTTATTTCTTTGGCTGTCTTCCAAACCACTTTCTTCCTGTAATTCTTAAGTTGGCTAGTTCTCCTTCCTCAGAAAAATTACCCCTAAGAATCTTCCTAATAGTGAGGGTGTACTTCCGAATAGAAGAGTCCTTCGGCTGAAATGGCATCTCCAAGGCCTACAGTTCGAATGGGGTCTTTACACACCAATACTGGTGTGAAGTGGAAGGATATTCCCTCTCTGTGCCATTCTACTACTGGCTTGTTTGGGTTTAATACAATCCTGGAGCCTGCCTCCGAATGGGAAGTCATGAACTCTTGGGGTGCCCTCAGAGACACTCGGCTGGTGTCTATGGTTTCTGTGGCGCAGGCCTGTGTCCCAGCCACACGAGCTCCTGCAGCCACGGCTGCCAGCTGGTTGGCCCAGTGTCCATCCACAGTTGCCAGGATGTGGTAGACCAGCGTGTGGAAATGGATCCTGGTGAGATCCGAGGCTCTGCTTTTACTCCTCCCATGTTCTTTCAAGATCCAGAAGAGGATGTCACTGACCATGCCCACATCAGGAACACCGTTCCAGGAAGAGAGAGAAGAGTGAGGTCCAGAGGCTGACTGGGTGAGAAATAACAGCTCCTGTTCATTCAGCCCAAGGGAAGTCACCGCGGGAAAGACCTGCTAACAAAAACAACAACAGGTATCTTTCTGATGGAGATAACCTGGCTCCTAAGATGTCTTATGACACAGCCAGTGACTAAATGACAGGGAACACAGGCAGGCAGCTTTCTTCCTTGATACAGGACTCCCTGGCCCTGAAGTCACTGTTTTAGCTATCACACCCCTATCTTCACCTTCATCATCATTTGGGAGAAACTGGAAAGCTGCAGTAACATTGTTTCAGATGCAGTCTTTTGTGATATGCCACTGTAAGACAAAAGGCAGAGGTGTCTATATTTTGTGTTTCTTTCCATGGTCCCTAGCTTTTGCCACTGCACACATAGGAGATACTCTTACCACTGATGGGGCATGGCTCTCAGTTCCTGAATGTCAGCAGTATTAGACCAGTAAAATGGAGACCTCAAGCAACATACTGTCAGGGTTATAATGATTTTTTTTATACAAAACACCAAGAAGCAAAAAGCATACAGTTTCATGTTAGAGCTAAGCTTTTTAAAAGCAGGTGTGGGTTAGGAAGACTGTCTGAATTTAGCAATAACACTGTAAGAAAAAGATTACCAAACAGGTGCCCGTGTTTTCTGTCTGATGGGGAACCACAATATCCACCTCCCTGTCTTTCTTACTTAGCACTTCCCTCCTTAGAACCAGAGAACCACACTTAAGGTAACAATTTTTGCAGGAGAGAGGAGTCCTTGTATGTATGTGTGCATGTATAAAATGGTTTTAAAAATTTAATGGCCTACATCTTTGTTGGAGCAATAGCAGCTTTCCTTCACTGCATGTTCTTCTGTGTCAGGCACTGAGCTAAAGGCTTTATTTCATCCAATTCTTACTGTAATCTTCTGAGGGAAGGAGGGACTGCCTCCATTGTACAGACTAAGCCTCAGAAGGGTTAAGTAGACAGTTACAGAGAAAATGAAATAGAAATGGCTCATTTTTTTAAAGGTGAGAAGAAAAACCCAAACAAAAGCTATACTGAAAAACACCAAGAGTGAACCCAAGTGTAAACTATGGACTTTGGGTGCTGATGACGTGCCTGTGTAGGCTCACTAGCTTAACAAATGTACCACTCTGGTGCAGGCTGCTGGTAGTTGGGGAGGCTTGTGTGTGAGGGGACTGGAAGTATATGGGAACTCTCTTGGATTCTGCTCTATTTTGCTATGCACCTAATATTACCATAAAAAAAAAATGAAGTCTATCAAAAAAAAAAAAAACAAAACCAACGACAGTCAGCCCTCCATATCCATGGCTTCAACCAACTTCAGATGGAAAACAGAGTATTCAAGGATGTGGAACCTGCAGATAGGGAGGGCCAACTTGTCTAATCCACAGATTCCACAGGGCCAACTGCAGGACTTAACCATCTGCAGATTCTAGTATCTGGGAAGGGTTCTGGAACCGCCCCCGCCGCCCCACACACCGCTGATGACGAGGGATGACTGTATACTGAAATACCATTTTTTCATCTGTCAGACTGATATAAATGCAAATTTTAACATTCTGGTAGCAAGGATATGAGGGAACAAGTATTTGTAATTATTGCCAGTGGGAAGTAAACTGGTATAATTCTTATGGAGGGCAATCTGGCAATCTCAAAATTACAAGTGCTTTTTTATGCTCCAGTCCAGCTGTTCTACTTCTGAGACTTTCTCCTAAATATGGACTTGTTCACAGGCAAAACAAAATCATGTATCAAGTTGTTCACTGCAGCACTGTGTGTAACAGCAAAGGGCAGTAAATAACCAATATGTCCATCCAGAAGGTTCAGGTTAAGTAAACGGAGGTACATCTACACATTCATTTTAACCATATGGCTATGAAAAGACAGAGGATACTCTCCATGTTAGTGATGCAGGAAGATCTCCAAGATATATTTAGTGAAAAAAAGAGCAAAGTGAAGAACAGAGTATTCAGTAGGCTATGCTATCTTTTTGGGTAAAAAGGGATGGAAAACAAAATCAGGATATATTTCTGTATTTTCTTATACTTGTACAAAAGAACTCTGGAAATAAACTGATGAAGGGTGCAAGTAGGGAAGGGGAGGAAGTAGAAGGGAGACTTCATTGTATATCTTTTCATAGTTTTTGGGTATTTTTTAACCAAATGAATATATTACCAATTAAAATTAGGTAACACTAGATTGCCAGGTGAGGTAACTTGCCTGAGTTCATGAAGCCCGTGAGTGCAAGGCTGGCATGCGAACCCAGGTCTCCAGAGCTTGTGTTCTGAAGCTTCACCTGCTCAGATTTATACTAGTCAATGCTGCTGCCCAGAGGCAGGCACTGAACACCCAGATGCCTGAGGAAGGAGGGAGGTTCCCTCAAAGTTTCTTTGCTTTGAGCTTCTTGAAGTTCAACTGAAAGCAGCTGAGCTGGGCTTTCAGTTTTTTCCATTCACTTTCAACTTTTCCATTCCAGAGGAGAAATATGATCAACAATCTGTCAGTTACACTGCCATAACTTTAACCTAGTAGGAGATACTGCTGTTTCAGAACAGTCCTGGATCCTTATTTGGATCTCCATGGACTTGGGTCTGAGTGACACAAACCTACATGTCAGTGAGCCAGTCCCTGAGCCCAAACAGATGGTCCCACTGCACAAAAAAGCTTCTCTGCAAGGCTCTATGAGGATCAGGGCCAAACGATGGTCCCATGAGGTTACCTGATGGACAATGCTGCTCATGAGCTCCCTGTTAGTCATACTGGCCAGCTCTAGGTGAACTGGAATACCAGTGGGGATGTCAGAAATGGAGGTTACAACCTGCAAAGAGAAGAAGATAAGCACTGCCATTAGAAATAGAAGGAAGTCAAGAAAGAGGGAAGAAAAGATCAGATCCTGAGAGGCGGTTCCTCCTGGTAATGGCCTTCTTTGCATGCTCACGGGAGCTACAAGCAATGTGGGTCCCCACCACCTCTGTGGACAAGGGACACTCTTCCCACCAGGGAAGACTAGGCTGTGCAGAGCCATCAGGGATACAGAATCAGAGATGGCAGTTCACTTCGACTGCTGTACGAATCTGTAGGAGTTGCAGCATAGCTGATGTGAAGTGAGATGATACAAATAACACAAAGGACACAAACTACAAACCCTGCAGCTTGCAGCCATGGTCGGTTTAGCACAGGATGCAGAGGCTCAGGCAAGAAGATGTTCTGCCCTGTCCTACTCAAGCTGCTGCCCACATCTGAAGGGATACAGTGAGGTGCCTCACTGCAGCAGGAGGCAAGCTCCACAGCCAGCTGCCAAGATATGTCCCTGGGAGGCCAGGACCTAAGACAAGGCAGCAGATGCCAAGAGAGGCTGGAACCTGAAGAAAACCACCAGCTGAGATCTGTGAAATTCTGTAACAGTGCCATTACCTCCAAGAGTCTCTTCCTCTGGAGCTCCTTGCTTTGTCCCTCCATCATGTGCAATCCAGAGAGGACCACCAGGTCTGGCTGAAACTCCTCCAGGCTAGACACAAACACCTCCAGCATATTCATGGCCCCGTTGGAGAGGTCGTGAGAGAAGATGAATCGGTTGGCATGGGGAGCTTTTAACTGGCCCCACTCCTCCCCTGGAAAAACCCAGTCAACACAATGGGAAGAAAAGGAAGAGGCTTTAGGTCTCCTAGCTGTGGGGGCACTTTCAGGCACCTCACAGGAGCCTTGGCTCCAAGCAGGCTGGTTTCTGGCTGAGGAGACCCCAGCAACAATGGCCTAAGGTCAGCATGGCACTGCAAGAAACAAACCAAAAACCTAAACCCAAACCCAGCCAAGAAACAGAAACATAGTATGGGTGCTATATGCCTTTTTCAAGGTAATTAGCTCCCCCTGAGTCCCAGGAGAGCCCTACTTGAGCTCTCAAACACAGGAGAGACAGTACAGAATGGCAGCATGACTTCCAAATACCAGCATACAGTGTGCAGCACGCACGCCCTGCAGACAGTATAGGCTGTCATTGTTTAAAGCACATTCTTCCTCACAGCATTGCCCTGAGCATCTTTCATTCAGTTGGAACTTAAGCAGGCTGAATTTCTTCCCAACAGCCAAGCTCACTGCATCTCCTCTTCCCTGCTGCCCATCAGTGGTTTCTGGGCACCTGATCCAAAGGATCAGACTATCTAGCTGCTCCAGTTGCTTCTATGTGAGTTGCTTTAGAGGAATGACTGTTTAAAGACCCAAGTTCAAGTGCTAGTTCCTCCCTAAACATGAAGCCTTTCCTAATCCTACCACCCCTAAGCAGACTTGATTACCTCCTTTCTGGGGCCACCACTGTACCCTAATACAGGACTGAGGCACATGATTTTGCAATTCCTTTTTCTTTTTTCCTTTTTTTTTTTTTTTTTTCTTCTGAGATGGAGTTTCACTCTGTTGCCCAGGTTGGAGCGCAATGGCGCGACCTCAGCTCACTGCAACCTCTGCCTCCCAGGTTCAAGCGATTCTCCTGCCTCAGCCTCCCGAGTAGCTGGGATTACAGGTACCCGCCACCACGCCTGGCTAATTTTTGTATTTTCAGTAGAGACGGAGTTTCACCATGTTGGCCAGGCTGGTCTTAAACTCCTGACCTCAGGTGATCTGCCTGCCTTAGCCTCCCAAAGTGCTGGGATTACAGGCGTGAGCCACCATGCCCGGCCTGCAATTACTTTTTCCAAGTGTCTATCTCTGGCAGTAAACTGTGAGCTGAGGGCAGGGCCTGTGTCATCCTCTGTCGTATTCCTTCTGCATCATGCTGTGTCTGGCATATAGCCATGGGAATGAATTAACAAAAGAACAAGCAAATAAGAGAACAGACTGATGACCTAAATGCCCATGACAACAAAAAATATGGGTATGAACCCCAAATCCAACATTTTGCAAATCAACAAAGACTCTGTACGATGGGAAAAATACATTACATTGACATTCTCCAGAGAGCAAGACGTGGACTCAACCCTTGAATAGTGACACTGCTAGGAAACACGACCTAACTGAACCTAGGAGAAAGGAGCCACACTGTATTGAAAATACACTGATTTCTTCAGGAAGTGACAGAGGCAAAAATAAACAGGCTCTTCTGCAAGGCAAGGATGAGAAGAACCGTGCAGAGCTGCTTGCTGTTTCCACAGGAAACAAGGCAGCAGATGCCAAGAGAGGCTGGAACCTGAAGAAAACCACCAGCTGAGATCTGTGAAATTCTGTAACAGTGCCATTACCTCCAAGAGTCTCTTCCTCTGGAGCTCCTTGCTTTGTCCCTCCATCATGTGCAATCCAGAAAGGACCACCAGGTCTGGCTGAAACTCCTCCAGGCTAGACACAAACACCTCCAGCATATTCATGGCCCCGTTGGAGAGGCCATGCAGGGGGCAGATGCAAATGGATCTAATTCTGCCTGTAATGGTAGTTAGCGCCCCTCTTTCCTCACAAAGTGTTGTATTCATTCCTGTAAGCAATCTCTTCTCAATGTATCATCCTGCCCTCAGCCAGTAAGTCAGCAAAACCTCTGCGTAGTGACTCACTGGATTCCCAGCCCAAGCCTGACAATGGGCTTCTCTGGGGAGATCTGGTAAGAGAGAATGTGGAAAAAAAAATGGACAAATCCCTTGGAATTTCCCTATTGAGGTCAGAGACAAGCTGGGAATGGATTTCTGTTGAGAGAGCTGAGCCCAGGGCTACTGCCACTAGACTAGGCTCCCTCCTTGGACCTAGGAAAATGTCACCTCACAAAGTTTAATGGAAGTCCACTGCTTTGTATGCAGAAGAGGCATAGGAAAGAAAAACTGAAGTGTGAAGCTTATAAACCCAAGGATGGAGACACTCTCTTTGTGCGGTGAACTGTGCTGTCTCCTTAACTACATACGAGGCACAGCTGTCCAATACAACATCAAAGTCTTGCTGAAGACGTAAGACTCTCCACTCTGTAGTCACCAGGAAAAATGACAAACCAGGAATCACAAAGGTCCCCAGTTCCTGCTGTGGGTGCCAAAAAAACTGACACGAATCTGGAACTCATGGCAGCAATACCTCAGGGGCTCATCTTTAGCAATTCCAGACCCTTCCAGTCCACAGTCAGGTCATTCTTTTATTTATTTATTATTATTATTTTTTGAGACGGAGTCTCGCTCTGTTGCCCAGACTGGAGTGCAGTGGTGCAATCTCAGTTCACTGCAACCTCCGCCTCCCAGGCTCAAGCAATTCTCTGCCTCAGCCTACTGAGTAGCTGGGATTATAGGCGCCCGCCTCCACACCTGGCTAATTTTTGTATTTTTAGTAGAGACGGGGTTTCACCATCTTGGCCAGGCTGGTCTTGAACTCCTGACCTTGTGATCCACCCGCTTCAGCCTCACAAAGTTCTGGGATTACAGGCATGAGCCACCACGTGCGGCCAGGTCATCTTTTCATCCAAGCTGCTCACAATGTTTCCGCACACCAACCAATCTCTTAATCCTTACCACAATGATCAGGCAGTAAAAACTATTACTCTTACTTCCCATTTGGGAAAACTAAAGCTGAGAAACTCAAAAACTTGTGTAGCATTAAGTATGAATTGCCTACGTCAACGCTGTGTCCCTAATTTTCAGACCCTATCCTTCTTTAATTCCCAACTGATTCTAGTAAGCACCCGAAAGAGAACCAGAACATGTTACAACTCTTTTTTCTACCTGGAGAAAGGCATAATTCTCAAGAAATAACATAGTTCATATCTTATGTTAAAGTTAATTACTCTAGTAGAGAAGATTCTCTTAATTGACTTGGAAGTAGTTCACTGAAGAGTATTAAGTGCTGCTTTAAGGTACCAATTAGTCTGTTTAGATGCTTGAGTCTTTAATGTGTATTAACAATGTGTTGAATCAGAAACTCAAGAGTCTGAGTTCTGAGCAGAGGGAAAATTACAGCAGGAAATACACAGGATCAAAGTATGTCCAAGTATTTAATATTCTCTCAGAAACCAGATGCCTAATCTACGTAACATATAAAATCTGCTGGGAAGAGGGGATGGGATGCAGTGGATGTGGATTTATTAACATTAGAACATCTGATGGGAAACAATATAGTGATGTTAAATACAAAACACTTCCATTCACACACCCAAGGAAAAATAAAATGCTCCAGAGAAACTTGCCAGAAGCTTGGAATCAACCCCAAGCAGCTTGGAAGAGTCAGTCAGAAAGGCCTAGGGCAGAATCCAGCACAGAGTTGAATGGATGCTACCTGCCTTTCTCTTGTCTTAGTCATAAAGGAAAACTTTATATATGTGTGTTTAACACGTTTTCACTTTTATTTGAGATGCTTGCTTTCCTATGACCTGATTTATCTTGGGTTCGGAGCAATTCTGCTTGTAGACCTGGGAATTTTCTTCCATGTTATAATACTCAGTCTCCCTTGAGACAACGGCCAGTATCAGCTCAGTAGAACCAATAGGTCAGGAAACTTTCAGTATGGCAAAAACAGGATCCTGCTAATTTACAAAGATAAATTTCCGGCACAGTCACACCCCAATCTGACAATACACAGCCCCTTGACTGGTCTTGCCACCATTACTTACTCATTTCCTTACCTGCTTGATACTCTAAAATGAGGTGGAACTCATCCACTTCCTGCAATGACTCTGGTGGAACAAAGACATTGTCATCAAGAAGCTCATGTAGCTTTGGACCAACTGGACCGCAAAGAAGAACCTGGAGGCAAGCAACACGAAGTCCATCAGGAGCCCCGTTCCTTTCCCCACAGAACCTCAACAGCACCCCAGGACAGTACATTCAGGCTGATTCTAATCATTTCAACAAAATATTGGAATCCAAATCTAATTTTGAAAGCTGTTGGTCTGGAGGTGTGCGGCAGAAGGCATGTCACCAGGGCTAAGGCCTCTGGAGGGTATGGCCATAATGTACCCAGAACTGAGAGGCTGACAAAAGAACTGTGTCACAGCCGTCAGGCACCTATGCAGCTGCTACATCTCATTCCCTCTGCTGCGGACTGCACGTTTGTGTCACCTCCCCAAATTTAGATGGTGAAGCCCAAACCCCCATGTGGCTTATTTGGAGATAGGGCTTTTGGAAGGTAATTAATATGAAATGAGGTCATAAGGGTGAGGTGAGGTCCTAATCAGATAGAACTGGTGGCCTTATAAGAAAAGAGAGAGAGATCAATCTCTCTCCCCCCACCGCATGCACCAAGGACAGGACATGTGGGAACACATTGAGAAGGTGGCCACCTGCAAGCCAGGAAGAGACTTCTCACCAGAAGCCACACCTTGCTGGAACCTTGTTCTGGGGCTTTCCAGTCTCCACTGTGAGAAAATAAACTTCTGTTGCTTGAGCCCCCAAGTCTATGGTATTGTGCTACTATGGCAGCCAAAGCAGACCCTACCCCCACTTTCTTTACTCACTCACACCTTGTGCAGGCAAACAGACATGGGATGTTGTCTGCAACAAAGCTGCCAGATGAAAACTGTTTGAGTTTTTATACAGTATAAAAAAAGTTTCTGGATCACCATATCCTCAACCGGGTGACCTCATTTGTGGAATAAAATTCTCTCCCATTACTGAACTGTTAAGTGAATAGGACAGCCTTTCCAATATGAGAATTAAAGAGCATCCCAACTGAGAGACTTCAGGGGAAGGTGCTCTGCAACTTTTCCAAAACCTTTTTCTTCAACTCCAACCAGAGCCTCCCTCTGGCTATTCTTTCTAGAAGCCATTTCGTATCTGTTCCTGCTCCTCAACTCCAATAAACCGCTGTTTTTGACACAACATTCAAGGCCAGGCTAGCAGATTCAAAACCACTGAACAATGAGGACGGCACTGAGATTTAAAGGAAAGTCCACAGAGATTATCAGCACTGCTTCATGATTTTTTTTTTTTTTTTGAGACAGAGTTTTGCTCTGTTGCCCAGGCTGGAGTGCAGTGGTGCAATCATAGCTCACCACAGCCTTGACCTCCCAGGCTCAAGCGACCCTCCTGCCTCAGCCTCCCGAGTAGCTGGGACTACAGGCATAAGCCACACCACCTGGCTAATTTTTTATTTATTTTTAATTTTTTTGAGACAGAGTCTCACTCCGTCACCAGGCTGGAGTGCAGTGGCACAATCTCGGCTCACTGCAATCTCCACTTCCCAGGTTCAATCAATTCTCCTGCCTCAGCCTCCCAAGTAGCTGGGATTACAGGCGCGTGCCACCAGGCCCAGCTAATTTTTCTATTTTTAGTAGAGACGGGGTTTCACCATGTTGGTCAGGCTGGTCTCAATCTCGTGACCTCGTGATCCACCCGCCTTGGCCTCCCAAAGTGCTGGGATTACAGGCATGAGCCACCGCGCCTGGCCTAATTTTTTATTTTTATTTTTAATAGAGACAAGACCTCACTATGTTGCCCAGGCTAGTCTCGAACTCCTGAGCTCAAGAGATCCTCCCAACTCAGCCTCCCAACTTGCTAGGATTACAGGCATGAGCTAACATACTCGGTCTGTTTCAGATTTAGTATGTCCCACCCAGAAGCTTCAAAAGGCATTAACTTGCTAATTAACTGCTTATATAGACTGCTTTGTACAGAGGTACTTTCGTGTTATTTAAGAAATCCCACCTTCTGGATAAAAACATACTCCTCTCCCTTTTCTGCCTTGACACATGCCCATTACAGGCCAATTCTGAAAAAGTCTTGCCCCAACCACTTTACTTCCTTTCTCTAATTCTTGGCTAGTGCTTCACTTCCAAGATGAGACAACAAGGGCCATAGGCCATATTTACCCTCCTGCCTGAAACAACAAAAAAGACAAAATATATGAAACAATGGTTTTCAAAACATTGTGTGAACATCAGACAATAAAGGACGATCCCTAAAAAACAGGACTAAACTGGCCAGGTGTGGTGGCTCATGCCTGTAATCCCAGCACTTTGGGAGGCTGAGACAGGCAGATCACCTGAGGTCAGGAGTTCGAGACCAGCCTGGCCAACATGGTGAAACCCTATCTCTACCAAAAATACAAAAAATTTAGCTAGGCGTGGTGGCACACACCTGTAATCCCAGCTACTCAGGAGGCTGAGGCAGGAGAATCACTTGAACCTGGGAGGTGGAGAGCCAAGATCATGCCACTGCACTCTGGCATGGGCGACAAAGTGAGATTCTGTCTCCAAAAAAAAGGAAACAGGAATAAACTTAGTAAGCCCTACAAATGTCTTAGCATATTACTGTAAAAGAATTTCCAGGTATACGGAACCTGAAAGAATTTATCACCAGCAGACTCGCACCACAAGCAATGTTAAAAGAAGTCCTTCTGGCAGAAGGGAGAATGACATGAGATGGAAATATGTTTTTATATTTTTTTGAGACAAGAGTTTTGCTCTGTGGCTCAGGCTGGAGTGCAGTGGCGTGATCTTGGCTCACTGTAACCTCCACCTCCTGCGTTTAAGTGATTCTCCTGCCTCAGACTCCCAAGTAGCTGGGATTATGGACACACACCACCACACTCGGCTAATTTTTTTTTTTTTTTTTTTTTGTATTTTTAGTAGAGATGGGGTTTCACCATGTTGGCTGAAACAACCTGACCACGCCAGGCTGGTCTCAAACTCCTGACCTCAAATGATCTGCCCGTCTTGGCCTTCCAAAGTGCCGGATTACAGGCGTGAGCCACCATACCCAGCCAAAAATATGGATCTAAACAAAGAAATGAAGAACAACAGAAATGGTAATGCTAGATAAGTACATAAGATTATTTTTCTTATTATTTAAATCTCTTTAAGAGATAACTGAAGAGAAGTACTAACAAATTTAATGTGAGGTTTGTAACATGAGGAAGTCAAATATCTCATAATAATAGTATAAAGATTGGAGGGAGAGAAGTACAGGCCTACCTCATTTTATTGTGCTTCACTTTACTGTGCTCTGCAGATACTGCAGTTTTTACAAATTGACAGTTTGTGGCAACCCTGTGGTCCCCTATGGGCACCATTTTTCCAACAGCATGTGCTCACTTCGTGTCTCTGTCACATTTTGGTAGTTCTCACATTTCAAAGGTTTTCATTATTATGTCTGTTATGGTGATCAGTGATCTTTGATGCTACTATTATAACTGTTTTGGGACACCACAGATCATTCCCACATAAGACAGTGAACTTAATCAATAAATATTTTATGTGTTCTGACCACTCCATGGACTGGCTGTTCCCATCTCTCGCCCTCTCCTTGGGCCTCACTAATTTCCTGAGACATAACAATATTGAAATTAGGCCAGTTAATAACCCTACAATGGCCTCTATGTGTTCAAGTGAATGGAAGAATCACACATCTCTAACTTTAAATCAAAAGCTAGAAATGATTAAGCTTAGCGACGAAGGCATGTAGAAAGCTGAGTAAAGCCTCTTATGCTGTTAGCCAAGTTGTGAATGCAAAAAGTCCTTGAAGGAAATTAAAAGTGCTACTCTAGTGAACATACGAATGTAAGAAAGCAAAACAAAACAGAAACAAAAAACAGCAACAAAAGGAAAGCAAAACAGCCTTATTGCTGATATGGAGAAAGTCTGAATGGTCTGGATAGCAGATCAAACAAGCTACAACATTCCCTTAAGCCAAAGCCTAATCCAGAGCAATGTCCTAACTCGCTCCAATTCTATGAAGGCTGAGAGAGGTGAGGAAGCTGCAAAAGAAAAGTCAGAAGCTAGCAGAGGTTGGTTCATGAGGTTTAAGGAAAGAAGCTGTCTCCACAACATAAAAATGCAAGGTGAGGCAGCAAGTGCTGATGTAGAAGCTGCAGCAAGTTATCCAAAAGATCTAGCTAAGATCACTGATGAACATGGCTACACTAAACAACAGGTTCGATGTATACAAAACAGCCTTCTGTTGGAGGGTAATGCTGAAGAAGTACGTAAAATTATTGTAAGAAGATGCCATCTAGGACTTTCAGAGCTAGAGAGTAGAAGTCAATGCCTACCTTCAAAGCTTCAAAGAACAAACTGACTCTCTTTTTGGGGCTAACACAGCTGGTGACTAAGTTGAAGCCAATGCTCACTGACCATTCTGAAAAATCCTAGGATTCTTAAGTATGATGCTAAATCTACTCTGCCTGTGTTCTATATATATAACAAAGCCTGAATGACAGCATACCTATTTACAGTTTAATAGGTATTTTAAGCCCACTGTTCAGAACTACTGCTCAGAAAAAAAAAAAAAAAAATGTTTGAAGTATCACTGCTCATTGACAGTATACCTAGTCGCCCAAGAGCTCTGATGGAAATGTATAAGGAGAAGGATGATGTTTTCACACCTGCTAATGCAACATCCATTCTGCAACCCATAAATTAAGAAGTTATTTTGACTTTTTTTTTGAGACAGTCTGGCTCTGTCGCCCAGGCTGGAGTATAGTGAGTGGCACGATCTCAGCCCACTGCAATCTCCACCTCCTGGGTTCAAGTGATTCTTGTGCCTGAGCCTCCTGAGTAGCTGGGATTACAGGTGTGCACCACCACACCTGGCTAGTTTTTGTATTTTTAGTAGAGACGGGGTTTTAACCACATTGGCCAGACTGGTCTCAAACTCCCAGCCTCAAGTGATCTGCCCACCTCGGCCTCCCAAAGTGCTGGGATTACAGGCGTGAGCCACTGCACCTGGCTGGAATTTTGTCAAGTCTATTATTTAAGAAATACATTTCATAAGGCTATAGCTGCCATAGATAATAACTCCTCTGATGGATCTGGGCAAAGTAAACTGAAAACTTCTGGAAAGAATTTACCATTCTAAATGCCATTAAGAACATTTATGATTTATAGGAGGAAGTCAGCATATCAACATTAACAGGAGTTTCAAAGAGATTGATTCTAACCCTCTTGGACGCCTTTTGAGATTCAAGACTTCAGTAAACTGCAGTAACTGCAGATGTGGTGAAAACAGCCAGAGAACTAGAATTAGAAGTGGGGCCTGAAGATGTGACTGAATTATTGTATTCTTCATGATAAAACTTGAATGGATAAAGAGTTGCTTCTTATGGATGAACAAAGAAAGTGGCTGAGATGGAATCTACTTCTAGTAAAGATGTTATGAATATTGTTGAAATGACAACAAAAGATTTAGAGTATTACATACACTTAGTTGATAATGACAAATAGCAGGAAGGTTTGAGAGGACTGACTCCAATTTTTAGAAGTTTTTTAATTTTTCATTTTTAGAGATAGGAATTTGCTCTATCACCCAAGCTAGAGTGCAGTGGCACAATCATAGCTCACAGTACAGTAGCCTCAAACTCCTAGGCTTAAGAGATCTTCCTGCCTCAGCTTCCCAAGCAGCTGAGACTATAAGCATGCGCCACCATGCCTAGCTAATTAAAAAAAATTTTTTTTTAGAGATGGGGTCTCGCTATGTTGCCCAGGCTCAAGTGATCCTCCTGCCTCATTTTCCCAAAATGCTGGAATTACAGGTGTGAGCCACTGTACCTGGCCTGATTCCAATTTTGAATGAAGTTCCACTGTGGGTAAAATGCTATCAAACAGCATCACATGCTACAGAGAAATCTTTTGTGAAAGGAAGAGTTAACTGATGTGGCAAACTTCATTGTTGTTTTAAGAAATTGCCACAGCCACCCCAAGCTTCAGCCACCACCCTGATCAGCCAGCAGCCATCAACATCAAGGCAAAACACTCTGCCAGCAAAAAGATTATGACCGTCTGAAAGCTCAGATGATTGTTAACATTTTTTGGCAACCAAGCACTCTAAAATTGTGTACACTTTTTTTCAGACATAATGGTACTGCACACTTACTTGACGATAGTACGGTGTAAACATACCTTTTAATGCACTGGGAAACAAAATTCATGCGTTTTATTTTATTGCAGTATTTGTTTTATTGCAGTCGTCTAGAACCAAACATGCAGTATCTCTGAGGTATGCCTGTTATCACTTGAAAGTAGACCGTGATAAGCTAAAGATGTACAGTATAAACCCTAATGCAACCACTAAGAAAAAAAGAATTATACCTAATAAAGTCAGAGAAGATAAAATGAAATCATAGAAAATAATCCAAAAGAGTACAGAAAAAGAGGGACAAAGATAGAGATGGGGCAAACAGCAAACAAATAGCAAGATGTTAGATTTAAACCTAACCTGATATATCAATAATCACATTAGATGTAAATGGTCTAAACACTCCGATTAAAAGGCAGAGATTGTCAAAGTGGATTAAAAAGCAAGCCCCAACTATACGCTGTCTATAAAAAATACACTTTAAGGTAAAAAGATGCAAATAGATTAAAAGCACAAGGACAGAAAAAGATATACCATGCCAATACTAATCAAATGAAAGCTGGAATGGCTATTTCAATCAAAATAGATTTCAGAGCAAAGAATATTATGAAATGATTTTATTTATCCCTAGTAATGATAAAGGAATTAATTCATTAAAGGGATGTAACAATCCTAAACATTTATGTACCTAATAAGAGTTTCAAAATACATAAAGCAAAAAGTTACAGAACTATAAAGGAAATAGACAAGTATCCAAAATTACAGTTGGAGACGTCAACATACCTCTTAATAACTGACAGATCAAATAGACAAAAAAAAAAAAACCAATAAGAATATAGAAGACTTGAACAACACTATCAATCAACTTCATCTAATTGACATTTACAGAACACTCGACCCAACAACAGAAAGGCTTATGTATATTCTTGAAGCTTTCAAGTACACACAGAACCTCACCAAGATAGAATATTCTGCACCATGAAAAAGGTCTCAAAAACTTAGTAGGATTCAGGTCATAGAAAGCATATTTTCTGACCATACTGGAATTGAAATAGAAATCAGTAACAGAAAGACATCTGGAAAATCCCCAAATATTTAGGAACTAAATAACATACCTCTAAGTAGTCCATGAATGGGCTATTAAATGGCACATCTCAATAAATCAAAGGGATATTAGTATTTTGAAATGAATGAAAATAAAAATAATCCATCAAAATCTTTGGGATGCAGCTAAAGCAGTACTTAAGGGGAAATTTATAGCACTAAACCCCTATATGAGAAAACAGGAAAGGTCTCAAATCAATGATTGTAGCTTCTCACCTTAAGAAACTAGAAAAAGAGCAAGTCAAATCTGAAGCAAGCAAAATCCAATGAAAATAGAAAAACAGAGAAAAATAAATTCACCAAAAGCTAATTACTTATTAAAAAGAGCAATAAAATTTATAAACCTCTAGCCAAGCTGATCAGGAAAAAAAAGAAGATACAAATGACCAATATCAGGAATGAGAAGGAAAACATCATTACAAATTGTAGAGATCTTAAAGGAATAATAGAATACCATAATTAACTTTATGCCAATAAATCCAACAACTTAGATGAAACAAATTCCTTGAAAGATACAAACTACTAAAGCTCATTTAAAAAAAAAAAAGGAAAATCTGGATTTCCCTATATCTATTAAAGAAATCAGTTATTTAAAATCTTCCTACAGAGAAAACCCTGGGCCTAGAAGGCTTCACTAGAAGGCTTAAATTCTATAAACATTTAAGGAAGATACAATACCAATGCGACACTCACTCTGTTTTAAAAATTGAAGAAAGGGCCAGGTGTATTGGATGAATCCAAGCACTATGGAAGGCTGAGGCAGGTGGATTACTTGCAATCAGAAGTTGGAGACCAGCCTGGCCAACACAGTGAAACTCCCTCTCTACTAAAAAATACAAAAATTAGCTGGGCATGGTGGCACACACCTGTAGTCCCAGCTACTCGGGAGGCTGAGGCATGAGAATCACTTGAACCTGAGAGACGGACATTGCAGTGAGCTGAGATCGCCACCACTGCACTCCAGTCTGGGCAGAGCGAGACTCCATCTTAAGAAAAAAAAAAAATTGAAGAGAAGATAGGTGTGGTGGCTCACACCTGTAATCCCAGCACTTTGGGAGGCTAAGGCAGGCGGATCGCTTGAGGTCGGGAGTTGAGACTAGCCTGGCAACATGGTGAAACCTCAAGTCTACAAAAAATACAAAATAATTAGCTGGCTGTGGTGACGTGTCTGCAATCCTAAATACTCAGGAACTCGGCTGAGGTGGGAGGATGGCTTGAGCCCAGGAGGCAGAGGTTGCAGTGAGCCGAGATCATGCCACTGCACTCCAGCCTGGATGACAAGGCCAGATCCTGTCTCTCAAAAAAAAAAAAAAAATTGAAGAGGGGGAAACACTTTCCAACTTATTCTACAAGGCCAGTATTGCCCTGACAGCAAAACCACAGACATTACAAGAAAAGAAAAATACAGACCAATATTATTCTTGGGCATTGATGTAAAAATTTTAAACACAATTTTAGTAAACTGAATATGTGAAAAGGATAATGAATACATCAGAACAAAGTAAGCTTTATCCTAGAGATGCAAGGTTGGTTTAATATGTGAAAGTCAATATAATTACCATATATCAAACTAAAAAACAAAAAACCACACAATAACCTCAGTAAATGCAGAATTTGACAAAAGCATTTGACAAAATAAAATAACTATTCCTAATTCTTGCCTAATTCCACAAGTATATATTTTTTTGAGATGGAGTCTTGCTCTGTCGCCCAGGCTGGAGTGCAGTGGCGCAATCTCGGCTCACTGCAACCTCCGCCTCCCGGGTTCGAGCGATTCTCCTGCCTCAGCCTCCTGAGTAGTTGGGACTACAAGCGCCTGCCACCATGCCCAGCTAATTCTTTGTATTTTTAGCTAAGACAGGGTTTCACCATGTTGGCCAGGCTGGTCTTGAACTCCTGACCTCAGGTAATCCGCCTGCCTCGGCCTCCCAAAGTGCTGGGATTACACAAGTATATTTTTTAAAGGCACGGTTCCTCTCCTGAAATTTGGCTTCTATTCTATCATTCCACTAAACCTGCCTTTACTATATTCACCAGCGTCTATTTCAAAGATGCAATATAGCATGGCTATTAGGAGAATGGATTCTGAAGCTTGACTACTTGGGTTCAATTCCCACTCTACTCATTATCAGGTATGTGATTTTCACCAGTTTTAACTTCTCCATGCCTCATTTTTCCTATCTGCAAAATGGGGATAATAAAAAGACTTCCCTTATAGGGCCCTATGAAGATTTAAATTGGTTCATACACATTTAAAGCACCTAAAACTTAAAACAGTGCCTGGTATATGGTAAAAAACTATAGAAGGAAGTGCCAGCTATAATTACCACCTCTGGAAAATACCTAGTTCTTAATCTCTGTAGTTCTCAGATGATCTCTCAGTCCATGTTGAGAAGCATTTCAGAAAGTTAAACTGAGTCTCTTTGAGAGTGCATACAGGGTGAAGTAAAGGCAGAGCCTGACACTTGAATCCTGACTCTATCATTTACTAGCCAGGTGCCCCTGGGCACCTTACTTAGCCTCTCTAGACCTCTGTCTTTGAAATCATAAGACTGTTGTGAGGATTGAGTAACAGAATGCTTCTCTTTCCTCAGTCTCCTACCAAAGCCAGACCTGTTTTATTAGAATGCCTTCCAATCAGACTGGTCCCAGGACCAGCTACTCCAGAGACCAAGAGCAAATGCTGGTCCCAGGGGAGGTCAATACTGAAAGGTCAATCTTGTACTCAGCCATGACCGTCCTGGGTATTGTCTTCCCAGAGGGCAGAATTATTTCTCAGGATCAGGAGGGTGGCTTCTTAGGAAACCATGAAAACTCCTGGGATTCTGATGGGAATGGCCTGGGCTCTCTCTAAAGGGCTTATGATCAATCTCCTTTTCTTCCACCCATTAGCTGGTAATATTTCCAAAGGTCAGCCCTGGAATTTCTAATCTTCTCTATTTGGGAGTTAATTACAATTTATAAACATAATGACTGCAAAAGTCTTTATTTTCTTTTTATTATTCTTTCTTAAAAGTATTTTCTACCCTAATATTTCATGAGAACTTTGATTCCTATTAAAATATGAATGTTCACATTTTAATATCCTCTCTAAACTGAAAGCACATCTATCTCCAGGTGTATAGTGTGGCTCCATATGAATTTTTCCCTGAAACTGCTGATGACCTATCCGTATTTCTGAGTTCATCTCTGGCTTCTGGTTCCACCACTCTGACTCACATTTCTATTTTTAGGCTGGTCCCCCAAAACTAGAAGACTGTTCACAGTCTGTTTTCTAGTGTTAGCGGCCACAACCATTCTGCACTGATCAAGGTTATTTACTCCATAATCATCTTTGATAAATCTCTTCTTTGTTCCCCATGTATTGTAGTAGGTTTTAGATACATGTTTCTCCTCTCTGGCTGCTCTAATCCAAACCTTAATCATTATACAGGAAAACAGCGATAACTTTCTTGTTGGCCTCCCCCTTCAGGCCTATTCTACTCATAGCAAGAGAAACTTCTTACTCAGGTGTTACTGTGAACATGGCAACGATTTTTAATTCTACTTAAACCAAACAATTTAAGTCTTGAAGACACTCCCCTACTGACTCTCATCTAGTGGCTTTTATTTTTTGGCACTCTGGATCCAGGCTCACCAACACGGCCAACCGTTGTTTTCCCTCATGACTTGTATAATCCTTAGTCTCAAGGCCCACATGCTCCTAACTATTAAATGATATGGTGCCTAAGAACATGGGTTATTGGGTCAGACTGCCTGGGTTAAATTTCTCATTCCATTACCAATCAGTTGTGAACCTCTGTGTGCCTCAAGTTTTCTCATGCAGAAAGGAAGAACAATGGCAGTACCGACTAGCCTTACAGGGTTTGTTGCAAGGATTAGATAATCTATGCAAAGCACTAAAGACAATGTCAGGCACAGAGTAAACACTCAAAGTATTAGTTACTACTATCTCCTACTATTACTGCTTCCTAACAAAAGACCCAGGGTCTGGTACATAGTAGGTGATCCATAAGTTGAATCAAGGAATAGATACTCATTCTTGCTCCTAAAATTATTGAAACACTAGGGAAAGGCATAGGTTTTAATCTAAAAACTTGACCTACCTTTAAATCTGAGTTGGCTGCAAATTTCTGTCCAATTAAAGCTGCATTTCCTCCTACATAGTGCTGTAAGAGAGTTCAAGGCTTTTAGACAGTATTTTAATACAACTATATCACCCAAGTTTAATCATTTTTTATTTTAAAAATTAATTTATAGTCCATTTCCCAAAAACATTTTGAGGTGATTTTACATCAAAGGACACACAGATGAAGTGAATGCAACACAGAAATAGAAAGTGAGTAATAAGATGAAGAAAATAAATAGGACAACCATGAAAATGAGTCTGATTGCTTTAACTGTTGATCAAATTCAGCTCTGAGCTTACAGACAGCCAGAAGAGACACAGGAAACAGGAAAAGTGTGGACAGGGCTTATCGTCTACATTATAGTCCTTCTAAAATGAAGAAAAATTTCACTATCCTGTGGAAAAATCATTCAGTAGATACTATAATGAACTAAAATCTAACTCTTGAGTGAGGCACATATGGCCTTTATCTAACCCATGTTTTCCTTACTACCTTCATCTCCTGCCCTTCCCTTCCACACCCTGCTTACAGCTCTCCAAGTCAGCCTTCCCCTGTCTCTGTGCCTTTGGCACATGCTGTTTCCTTCCATTAGGACACCCTCCCTTTCTCATATACTAGGTAAAACCCTGATCACTTTCCAAGAATCAGCTGCAGTGTCACCTCTTCTGTAATGCCTTCTCTGTTCCCCTTACACCCCACTGACATCTCAGCCTTCACAACCGCCCTCACCAGATAGGATTACAGATCTCTTCCTACCCCTATAACCTGAACAAACCTCTAATGCAGCTCTTGTCTGCTTGGGCTACTATCATCTGGGTACACAACTAGGTCCTTCGGGGCAGGGACTGTCTTCTTCTGAAGTGTTCAGTAAATGTTTGTTGCTAAATTTTGAGAAACGAAGAAACACACTGATGTGTTGGGAAACATAAAAGTTTTCCTGGGAGTAAATTCTAAAGATAATGGGCCCCTAATATAGGACAGTACTTTCCCTTAAACACCACATCTCTCAGCTGAGGACCTGGAGAACAAATAATTCAAGGTTGGTGTTCCATGTTGCTAAGGATGGATCCATATGCCTTGGAAATCTGACACATAACAGCTAAGGCTGCTGTTCTATTATAAAAGTTGAAAAGCCTGATAGTGTTACCTGGGTGGAATGCTACTATCCCAGCTTCCTAGTCCTCAGCCCACGCAGAGGCATAGACTAAACCAGGGGTGTCCAATCTTTTGGCCGCCCTAGGCCACACTGGAAGAATTGTCTTGGGTCACACATAAAATACACTAACAATAACGACAGCTGATGAGCTATTAAAAAAAAAGGGTGGGGGGGAGGTTAAATCTCATAATGTTTTAAGAAAGTTTATGAATTTGTGTTGGACCACATTCAAAGGCATCCTGGGCTGCAGACTGGACAAGGTTGGAGTAAACAATTCTAGATGGTAGACATCACTCTTATCCCAATTTTGTGCTGACTAACCTCTGAATTCAGGTGGGACAGTAATAGCTTTTTAGAGATAATTTAAAACTTTCTGTGATATGTAGGCTGAAATTTGGCCCTTTAACATGTCAGCCTTAATGTTTTATTCAACCACGATAGTTAGAATTTACTAAAAAAAATCTTGGGAAAATAGTAAGATATCTACAAAGTGGATTTCAGAATTTTCATATAATGTTTATCAACCTGCCTTAAACTATAAGGAAGTATGAAAAGGCACTCCTCTAGTGAAAGGGGTTTTACAATGTTAAGAAATAACCTGGACCATCACAAAGCTAGATCAAGTTGCTGTAAAAATTTTTTTCATCAAGAAATAAAGGCAGAATCAAGAGAGAAGAGAAATCAAACTGGTGGTTTAAATTCCGTAATCATAAAGACTTTTGAGCAGTGAACTCATCATGTTAGAACTATCGAGATTCTCTCATAAGAGATAAGAATCTCACTACTGATCCCAGTTGTCAAAATGATAACTGAAATCTTAACTTGCTGTCACCTTTAGAAACTCAGCTAGGTAATGCCTATGTCCATTTCTAATGTTCAAATAGGCAGCTTCGAAGACAAAAAACTTATTTTTAAAATTTTTTTGAGACAGGGTCACACCCTGTTGCCCAGACTGGAGTGAAGTGGCACGGTCATGGTTCACTGCAGCCTTGACCTCCCGGGCTCAGGTGATCCTCCCACAGGCACATGCCACCATGCCCAGCTAATTTTTTGTATTTTTTGTAGAGACAGGGTTTCACCATGTTGCCCAGGCTGGTCTCAAACTCCTGGGCTCAAGCAATCCACCTGCCTCAGCCTCCCAAAGTGCTGGGATTACAGGCGTGAGCCACTGTGCCCGGCCTAAAATCTTAAGTCATCAAAATAAAAGTAGTCACAAAGGTTTGCCTGTGAAAGGTGCCAATTAAAAATGGCATTAAGAGCTTCCCTGGCTAGAACTACCAAACCAGACTGGGTGCCCAGCCAAAGGGAGGTTTAAATGAGGAGGAAGAATGGGGTGGGGGCAAGACATGGGAGATAACCAACCAACCAAAACTCAGCCTCAAGAGGCATGAGGGTACATGTAGGAGCAGGCATACTGGGGTGAGGTAGGAAGAGCCATGGTTGGGTCTCCAGCCCCAGCACTGCCTCTTATTCCACGTGAACCTCCAGGAAGTGCCTGGACCATGCAGGGCTTTGTATATAATCACCAGGTGAACTTGGAAACCACTAAGGTTCTAACTTCGACAGGTTCTACCTTGCAGACCAGTGGTTCTCAAAAGGAGGTTCTCAGACCTACAGGATCAACCAGGAAACTTGCTGGAAAGGTAAATTCTTGGGTCCCATCCCACATCTACTGAATCTGAACTCTGGTAGTAGGCCCAGAAATCTGTGTTTCAACAGCCTCTCCAAATGATTCTGACACATGCTCAAGTCTGAGAACCATCAACCTAGACCCACAGTTTTCAACCAGGGGTGATTTTGCTCCCCTCCTCTTCAAACTGGAATGAAAAGTTGCTTGCTTGCTTCTAGGAACCATATTAAAAAGGCATCTTTTTCCACCCTTAATTTACTATTGCTGAACCAAACAGACCTGGGCTCCTGGGAACTCTGATGCAACCTGGGCAATGTCGTGAAAAGTTTCCTTATCACTGAAGAAGCGCTCAGCAGCTGCTCCCTTCCCCATGAAGTGAATGAAGGCTTCTTCCAGATCATTCCTTGAATGCAGAATGCTGTGATCTTTCCCATTCCCAGGACTAAGGCCAAGTGCCTGCAAGAGCTTCACCCCTGAGAGCACCACATCAACACATGCATTGACTCTAGAAGGAGGAAAAAAACTGTGTGAAAGCAGCAGAAGCACCAAGTAGCCATTTTGCATTTAACAAAAGGAAAATGTTTCTCAGAACCTTATTCAACAGAAAAAACAGGAAGTAGGTCTGAAACCTGAATTGGGAAGTAAACAGCACATGGCAGGAGAAAAATTACTTTAACTGGATTTATGTATTAGCATCAGAACACAGGACTCTTCAATAATTTGGCAAACTTTTACACTAGTTACAAAGTGAGAAGATAGGTGCTTAGCATTTCAGAACAAAGCTACTGTAACAAAAATGTAACATTTCTGAGAAAAACGCTGGCAGAGCCAAACAGGATTCATGCTGGCCGTGTGACTTGGGCAAGTCACTAATTTCTCTGTGCCTCGGTTTCCTCATCCACAAAATGGCAATAATATGAGCATTTAACTCATAGAGCTATGGTTAAGATTAAATAAGTGAATGTATACTTAGGAACAGCAATTGGCGCAGAGTAAGCAAAATATGTGTTTCAGTCAAAGGCTAGGTATCAGGCATCTTCCCTCTAAAAACAAATGAGGATGGTAAGATACAATAAATTCCTAAATGCCTGAGTACTCCCAGCTGAAACCCTGCCTCTTAGAATTTAGTGGTGTTTTACAGACTTAGGCACACCTGCAGCATTTTAAGAACTCACCCTTTGGCCAGTGTTCACAGGACTGACCCATGAACGTTAAAGACCTGCCACTCCTGGTTGTCTCGATGGAAATTATAAAGTACAGGTTGAATCCCTTATCTGAAGTGCTTGAGATCAGAGTGTTTCCGATTTTGGAATATTTACATATACATGAGATATCTTGGGAATGCAACCCAAGTCCAAACACATTTCATATATACTTTATACATACAGCCTGAAGGTAACTTTATACAATGTTTTAAATACTTTTGTGCATGAAATAAAGTTTCTATTCCTTACGTGTGGGTGGAATTTTCACATATAAGTACTTAATATACATCAGTGGCATCATGTCAGTGCCCCAGAGTTTTGGATTTCAGAGCATTCTGGATGCTCAACTTGTACTAAGGTTGTCTGGCATGACCTCTCCTATGTGTGTATGGAGAAAGTCTGTCTTACATTTTCAGGGTTTCTTTGCTAAGTCATCCCTCTTTTAAAGAGAACGTTCAAATAATTAAGGTAGCTAGATGAGGTCTTCCCGCCCCTACCCCTATCATGGTCATCTTTATTCCTGCCTCTGCCTATTGGGATGTCATTCTGGCCAGTGAGGTTGGATTACCACACAGGCAGCTCCCAGCCGGCAAACTGAGACCACCCCTAGTGATACGGGTGACTGGGCTTCAGAGTTAATTCTGAGCAGCTCTGAAACCACAAGGTAAACTCATTAATAAAAATGTCCCAATGGATGAGATTTTGGTGTAAAATACATAGTTGTATTTCCCTTTTAGTCTCTTTCAAAAATGAAGAGGAATGAGACTGGGATGAAGAGGAATTTTACCAGGTATATTTCTACTTTTAACATGCTTGTATTCCTTTTAGAATTTTTAAAATGACATAACTTTAAAAAGGTTTGTATGCAGACTAGATATTATTTACATCACTTAAGGAAGATTTACAAGGGCAAGGAAGAGACATCCTCCCTCAAGACACAAAGAGACTGCATCCTCATTATAAGGGTCCTTTTTATTAATTCTTCCCCTAGGGATTCATGTTTTGAAAGGAGTTTTGCCTATCAAATAGCATTTAAATACTCAGTTTCTTGTTCAAGACACACATAATGACTCTGGTCAACTGGAGAAGCATAACCTAAGATTTACTATGCCTTTCAGTGCATAAAACATCTAGCTACTGTATTTGGCCCTTCTCTTTAAAAGAGGGATGATTTCTAGTAAAGAAACACTGAAAATATAAGCCAGAACTTCTCCATGACACACACAGAAGGGGCCATTCTGGACATGCACGTGGCAGTTGCTTAAAGATATGTTTAAAATCTTTCCTTTCACAACCTTCAATGTTAAGAAACCAAACACACCTTGCAAACTGGTCTCAATTTTACCTCAGACATGGTGCCCTTTATTTCTAATGAATGCAACATTAGATTGGTAGAATCAACAGGAATACAAGTATCTGTAGCTCTCAGACGCCAGTAGGTTCCTAAGTTTCAGACAGTGAGGGCTTGAGTAAGGAGGGATACCATTTCCTCCAGACAGCCCAGTCTAAAAAAATTGTATCCAAATGGATTTGGGTCCCGAGTCTGAAGAGTAAAGGTTCAGAAATGGAGGGAAACCTGTCTTTGAAAATAACTACTTCAAAAACTATAAACACCCTCAAGCCTGTAATCCCAGCACTTTGGGAGACCGAGGCAGGTGGATCATGAGGTCAGGAGTTTGAGACCAGCCTGGCCAAGATGGTGAAACTCCATCTCTAATGAAAACACAAAAATTAGCTGGGTGTGGTGGTGGACACCTGTAATCCCAGCTACTTGGGAGGCTGAGGCAGGAGAATCGCTTGAACCCGGGAGGTGGAGGTTGCAGTGAGCTGAGATCGTGCCATGGTACTCCAGCCTGGGCAACAGAGCAAGACTCCATCTCAAAAACAAAACAAAACAAAACAAAACTATAAACACCCCACTCTCCATATCTAGTACTGCTGAGATTTTAAACAGTCTGACTCCTTAAAATGAGAATGGGGAAAGCTGTTCAGTATATTTTGTAACACAAGGCAAAACCCAACAGAACTAATTTTGAGTTACAAAATATCACTATCATGGAACATTTTCCATCCCTCACCTAATCATACCAGGAATACCGGGGGAAAATAACCAGTTTTTCAGACTGGTTCACAGTTTACTTGATAACTTTTTATAATTAAAAAAAACCAGGCTGAGCACGGTGGCTCACACTTGTAACCCCAGCACTTTGGGAGGCCAAGGCGGGTGGATCACTTGAGCCTAGGAGTTCCAGACCAGCCTGAGCAATATAGCAAGACCCCGTCTCTACAAAAAATACAAAAATTACCTGGGTGTGGTGGTGCACACCTGTAGCCCCAGCTACTCAGGAAGCTGAGGCAGGAGGATCACTTGAGCCTGGGAGGCAGAGGTTGCAGTGAACCAAGATGGCACCACTGCTCTTCAGCCTGGGTGAGAGAGCAAGACCCTGTCTCAAAAAAACACTGAACATCTACTACATGCCGGATGCCAAACAAGTACTTTACATGTACTTTCTTGTTCTGTTTTATAATACTTTAACCAGAATAAGAATCTTTCTCTGCACTTTCTCAACTCAATAGCATCCCAAAATGTAAAAAGCATATTACCTAAGGGGCTGTATTGTCAAGGGGAAATAAAGGGAGACACAGTTAAAGAATCAGAAGACAAAATTATGCTCATCTGACATGCAAGCAGAAGCTCACACTTCAGTAAAAAATGTATATTAGATGACTGTGATTTTGGAGAAAACACAGATGAAACAACTAGAAAATAGGTCAAGACAACAGATGCTGAATGTCAAAATGGGTTGGGGGGCTGGCAAAGAGGGCACAGTTCTCCCTTCTAGACCATAAGTGCCTCTAAGGCAAAGACGATGTTTCCTATCTCCTCCCTTCTGTTTCATCACCTGTAAAATGTTTTCTAAGGTTTTCTCTAGCTTTACATTATGTGCATCAGCTGTTATAAGAGCTAATCGTAATTGTTAAGACATAGAACTGTAAAGAGGCGGGGGAAAAATGGCTAGGGCAGTGGTCCCTGTGCTGAACCCTAGCTCCTGCATCTAGATAGAAGAAAGGCGGCTGATCTTTAAGAAGCACCCCACGCTAGGCAGGCATTTTCAGATAGATTAAACCTATTTGCAAAATGCGGTAAGATCGCTAATTAGTCATCACTGCTTTCAGCTGAGAAGAGTGAGGCCATGGATTAACTAACATTCCAAAGCCCACAGACAGGCAGAGCTGAAATTCAAACCCAGATTTATCTGATGATACTGAAACCCACGTAGGAAGTATACACAAGCAAAGTTGTACATGAAGGGATTAACCTTGTGTTTGGATACAATAAAGAATTATCTAGCTAGAATGGAGAATTCATACAGGGGAGAAGACCAAGATATGTTTCAAGGTTCAGGGTGAAGCCAGTTCCAGGGGCAATAAATATTAGCATGAGGGTTTTTTTTTTTTTTTTTTTTTGAGATAGAGTCTCACTCTTGTTGCCCAGGCTGGAATGCAACGGCGCGATCTCGGCTCACCGCAACCTCTGCCTCCTGGGTTGAAGCGATTCTCCTGCCTCAGCCTCCTGAGAAGCTGGGATTACAGAAATGCATCACCACGCCTAATTTTTTTATTTTTAGTAGAGATGGGGTTTCTCCATGTTGGTCAAGCTGGTCTCGAACTCCTGACCTCAGGTGATCCACCCACCTCAGCCTCCCAAAGTGCTGGGATTACAGGCGTGAGCCACCATGCCTGCCGGGTTTCATCATTTTTAAACCAATGAATAGGTACCAGAGTCTGATTTAGAAGCAGGGGAAGTTTCCTAGAAACGCCTTAAAACTCCTCCTATCCTTTACTTCTTTGACCCCTTTTCACCAGCCCCTTAATGCACTAGCATTTAAGGGCTAGTGCCTCCCAGAATTCCACCTTTACCATTTTTACCTTCTCCTCTTCTCTTCCTGGGTGATCCTATCCAGTCTCTGGCTTCAACCTAAGTGCCAGTGTCTCCAAAATTTGCAATCCTGTTTCTCAATATATTCCTAAAAACCAGCTTCTCATTTTCAGTAGCTGACAGAGAAGCTTCATCTGAAATCCCATAACAATGTATGTACATTTCTCCTCCTCTGAAATCCAATTTATCTTCTGAAACTTGTTTTTCTTAAATCTCTCTTAATGGCAACAACATGGCATCAACAAGGAACCAGAAATGGGAAAGACCAGGCTTCAATTGCTCCTCTGGCACTTGATAGCTACAAGATCTTGGGCAAATAAATCAATGTGAGAAGACTCGGTGACAATATCTGTTATCTGCCTCCCTCATAAAGTTGTTGCATTAGTCAATTTTCATAATGCTATAATGAATTGCCCGGGACTGGGTAATTTATAAAGGAAAGAGGTTTAATTGACTTACAGTTCAGCATGGCTGGGAAGGCCTCAGGAAACTTACATTCATGGTGGAAGGTGAAGGGGAAGCAAGGCACCTTCTTCTTAAGGTGTCAGGAAGGAGCCGTGCCGAGTGAATAGCAGGGAAGAGCCCCTTATAAAACCAAAGGATCTCATGAGAACGAACTCACTATCAGGAGAACAGAATGGGGGAACCGCCCCCATGATTCAATTACCTCCACCTGGTCTCTCCCTTGATTAGCTTATGGGGATTACAATTCAAGATGAGATTTGAGTGGGGACACAAAGCCTAACCATATTAGTTGTTATAAGATATTTAATACTGGGCTGGGTGTGGAATCACAGCTGTAATTCCAGCACTTTCAGAGGCCAAGATGGGAGGCCAAGGCCTGATCCCAGTAGTTGAAGACCAGCCTGAGCAACTTGGCAAATCCTGTCCCTACCAAGAATATAAAAATTAGCCGGGTGTGGTGGTACATGCCTGTAGTTCCAGCTACTCGGGACACTGAGCATGACAGGTCAAGGCCACAGTGAGCTTGAACATGCCACTGCACACGCCAGCCTGGGTGACAGAGTGAGATGCTGTCTCAAACAGAAAACAAAAACTAAACAAGATATCCAATATTAAAAACCTGTCGTTTTTGACTGCCTTTCTTTACTCCACCACATCCAAACTATTATTCAGGTTATCTCTCAAATCTCACCTCTTCTACATCATTGCCGAGTTTGGTTCGGGCTCCTTTCTCCCTTTACACAAACCCTACAATGGCCTCTTAAACCAGTGTCAGGATGTCAAGATATTCCTCCTTATGAATCACATTAAATGGCATTTTGAGTGTGTCTGTGTGACAGAGAGTGTGAATACGAGTGTGTCTCTAGAGAAGTCAAACTACAACCTCAAAATGAGATTCTGATACAAGTACTACACCTGCTCCCCCTCATCCCTCCTATATCCCCCTATCTTTGGGCTAAAAATCCTCTTTGGGTAATAAATGATGAGAAGCAGTGAAACAGTTTAGAACCACTGCTCAAAATCCACCCTTCACATTCCCACCAATTCTCAACAAAGAACTTGTCATCAGTTAACTACTTACAAACCTTTATGGCTTCCCCATAAAAGGCCCTTCACAATCTGGTCCAACCCTTCGTTCTCAGCATCATCTCTTTACAACCCTCTACCATAGGATTCTCGCTCCAAAACAAGGCCGACCTGTTCCCAAACAAACCATGTACTTTTTCACATTTGGTTCTCTTGCCTAGGTGGACCTGTTCCCACTTTGGCTTGAAGAAATCTCATTTATTTAGTGTCTGTCCTATGAAAGTCACTGTAGTAAAATATATTTTCCAAGATGGTGGCAATAAGATGCCCCATTCCAAATGTTCTTTTCACAATGTGACACTGATGCTCCTCCCATCAAGGTTTGTTCTATGTCCCCTCCCTTAAAACCAGGTGGACCTGTGACTCTGGTAGAAGAGTTCCTATGTGCTTCTAAGGTAAGGTCGTAAAAGGCATTAAGGCTTCTGCCTGGTCCTCGTGGGTTGTTCCTCTTCTAACCATAATTGTTATGGATTGAATTGTCCACCCCCCACCAATTCATATGCTGAAACCCTAATTCCCAATGTGACTATATTTGGACGTAGGGCCTTTAAGGAAGTAGTTAAGGTTAAATAAGGTCATACGGGTGAGCCCTATTCCAAAAGGACCTAGTGTCCACATAAGAAGAATAAGAGGCACCAGGAGTGTACATGCGCAGACTAACTGAAAAGCCAGCTGGCTGCAAGCTAGGAAGAGAGGCCACATCGGAAGCCAATCCTGCCAACACCTTGATCTTGGACTATCAGCCTCCAGATCCACGAGAAAACAGATTTGTTGTTTAATCCACCTAATTTGTGGTATTCTGTTCTAGCAGCCCAAATGACTGATACAATAATATGTTTCCAACAAGTGAGACAGGGGCCTTGCTTCACCCATCTCTGTATCTTAAGAACCTAGCACAGACCTGACACTAACCATGTAGTTGGTGAATATCTGCTGAATGAACGCGCATAAAGCAAGGAAGGACAATTTAATCCCAGCACTTTGGGAGGCCAAGATGGGAGGCTGGCTTGAGCTCAGGAGTTCGAGACCAGCCTGGGCAATATAGCAAGACCTCGACTCTACTAAAAAAAATAAAATAAATAAAAAATTGGCTGGGCGTGGTGGTGCTTGCCTGTCGTCCCAGCTACTCCAGAGGCTGAGGCAGAAGGATCTCTTGAGCTCGGGAGTTCGAGGCTGCAGTGAGCAGTGATTGCACCACTGCACTCCAGCCTAGGCGACAGAGAGAGAGACCCTGTGTCCAAAAAAAAAAAAAAAAAAAAACCCCAAAATTATAGCTAATATCGAATGCTTTTTAAAGCAGGCACTATGCTAGAGAGATTACATGAATGATGTCATTTAATCTTCAGGCCAAGTTTGCTCTACTTTACCCCTCCCGGCCCCAACACTCCACAGAAAGTAGTGAGCTACATGGTAGAGGGCCTGCTTTTATGTGGTGGTTATACATAACTCTGAGATTACGGCAAGAAAGTCAAATCGAACTGAGACAGGGACTAAAGTTAGTGTTTACAGTATCAATACTATAAAGAAAATAATTACATTCCCAAGGAAAAGTACAAAGAAAGGAGGTAGTGTCATTTGGAAGAACCTTAAATATGCAGTGTCACTGAAGTCAGGGGAAGAAAAGAATTTCACGGAGAAGGGCGTGTTCAATGCGTGGAAGGCTGCAGAGTAGATAATGAAGATTCAAAAAGGCAAATCTGAGAGGAGTTGCAGTACAGTCGTGTGGTTTCTAGACTACACGGCGTTTCGAAAGTGGGTAAAGGCAGACATCACGCGTCTTCAAGAAGTTCAGAAGAAAGAGGAAGAGTGTTGTCATAGTGGGTAAGGTCAAGTATCTTTGATTGCAAAACAACAGTCGCCAGAAGAGAAGGGGCTAAAAGTTGGAACGAGGAAGAAGGCTCGGAGAAAGGTGTCAGACAAAGCGGGATTAGCAAGAAGCTGTTAGGGCTGGTCCTACCGGGATGAGAGAAAGGCGCAGAGGCCAGCCGAGTGGAAAGAGCAGCGGTGACGAACCGGGTTCCACTCAGACGTCCGACACTTCTCGCCAAGGGGCCAGCGCGGACAGCAGCGCCTCCCGGGGACCTCTGAGAAGCCCTGTTTCTGCGCGGCTCCGCCCGACCTCCAAGGCCGACCTCGGAGGCTCAGAGACCCAGGCCCCGTTGGCACTCACCCCACTGCCACGCGGCGCCAGCGCCGGACTGGCCGCACGATAAGCGCGTCCCAGGCTGCCGCCAACCGGCCCTCGGGGGAGACGGGTCCCGGGGGCGCAGGCGCGGGCCCCAGACACAGCGAGCTCCAGAGAGAGCGCAGCGCCGAGCCTGGCAGCTCTGGCTCCAGCAGGAAGACGCAGCCCACGGCCAGCGCCAGGAAGCCCGCGTACGCGGAGCCGCGCCACAGCGCCATGGGGACCCAGGCGCCGCACCTGCGCGAACCAACTCCTTTCCTAGCCCGCGCCTCTTCCGGGCTCGGCGCGCGCCGATGTCGACACAAGCGCTACGTCACAAGGGTGCGCCACGGGGCCCCCCAAGGGGCGGGGCGACGGGCGGCGCCAGGACGGAGCGAGGGGGGACCCCACGCCTCAGTCCCAGGCCTGGCACTGCGGTGTTGCCGCCCCGGAGGAGGTGGGACAACGGCGGTTGTGCCAGTCCGGGCGCTGCACCCCCTTCCCGGAACTCTAATCGTATCCCCAAATAGAGGGATGGGAACACATTTGCTTTCGCAGTAAAACGAAACGGACAGATTGTGAAGAAGCGGACAAACCTCGCGTTAATATTCGAACCAGTGGGTGTCCCCATTGGCACGGATCACACCCCCATCTTTTAATCCCTCCCTCCGCCCGTGTCCCCTCATTTGCTAGACTTGTCCTCTTCCAGGCCTAGTGCTCGGCGCTTCTGAGAGGAATAGGCTCACAGAATAGCGGCGCTGCCGAGACCCCTGGGGTACGCGAGGCAGGGGGATTCCGCCCCTTTGGAAGGTGGCCGAGACCCTCAGCCACTAAAGGACTTCGTCGAGACAGGAGAGCCCGCAGAGATCGTTCTCTTCTGGATAACCAGATTATTCCACAATCAAACTTTAACCCTTTTGGGGGCGCTGTTCCCTTTAACAAACTCTGGAAAATGTACACAATCTTGTGCACAACACGAGAGTTATGGACCTGGGTTGAGAAACGCTGCTTTCTTTTGTTCCCCCTTGGTGACATCACTTAAACCCAGCCCTCTCTTCGCTGATACTTTTCTGTGCATGAGGCTAGGTTGAGAGACAGTGAAGCTAGGCTGGGTACCAGCTCATTCTCATCAGCCACAATGCCCGGCCTAGTCTTGTTCCCTGGTTTGTTTCCACTTTTCCAATTCTCTCGGCTCCTGACCTTGGCTTTGTGTCCAGTTTTCCACTGTGACCCTGACCTTTGGACTTGGCAGCGAAACTTTATTTCCCTAACTTTGATCTTGGGCATTAGTCTTCATTCTCCTCAGCCCCACCTCATCAGAACTTCCCCATCCTGGTCATCTACCTTCCCGCAGTTCATCCTACCCAGCCTACCTGACCATGCCATCCCTTTCGACAAAGATATTCACACAGGAACAGATTTGGGCTACCTTGGAAAAGAAGCCAAAGAGCCAGTCAGATCTTTATGAAGCCATGAAAGCCATCTTCCCTAGAGTTGCCTGTCACTTCTCTCTCCTTAGGGAGACATGTCAGTCAGTTCCTAGAGAAACTGCTTCTTCTCACAACCCTCAGCTGTCAGGTTTCCCTGGCACCCAGAGGGGACTGAGCCAGCAGCTGACCTGAAAACAGCGAGTCTGCTGACTGTCCAGCGATCATTTCCCTCTATTGAGAATTTTAACCAAGTTTCTGTTGTCTGTAGTTATTTGATATTGGCTGTGGACCCACAAAGTCACACAAGGCTAAAGGTCAGAACCAGTTAAATATGTTTCCAAGGTGAAGTTTTGGGGAGCACAGGAAGCTGAACTGTGGGAAGGTGATAGAACAGACAGATCTAGAGGACTAGGAGAGTGCTCCACATTAAAGTGATGTGGACAGAAACCTGCCTGGGGCTTTCTTGCTCCCACGAGAGGCTGCTAAACTTCCAGCACTTTGCACCTAATTCTTCTGCTTCTTTCTAGATTTGCCAGAATTGTTGATTTAGTCACAGAGACAAAACAACAGCAGTTGAACAAAGTGGATGTTTATTTCTCATGTAAAAGTCTAAATGGGGTGTTGGCATGTTGTGGGCTGTGGTAGCAAGCTTGGCCCCCTCTGGTTGCTATGGGACCTGCTGTGGGCCTCTTGCTGGTTAGTCACTCAGTGTGGGTTTGCATTGTGGGTGGTGAAGGGGGCCAGACAAGGAAACGAGAGAGCTGACCTCAATTCCAACTGAGAACTGAAGAGTCAGGAGCCGCAGGAGGTGAAGAACAGAACACCAGGGACAGTTGCCAGGCCTGGCGGAGCCTGATGTGGCTTCTGGTCACATACAGAGTCACAGGGCCCTTAATTCCTTCTCATCGGGGCTCAGGGGCAGGCATTCACTGTCTTGGTGCCACAGTCCCTCTTGAAATATTTCCTTAACGAAAATCAGAAAAGATTCTGATCATCTATCTGTTCAGAGAGTCTGGAATCCTTTGCAAGCCAATTGTTTTTCTAGAAGTTAGGTTTCTGGGGACAATTAAAACAGCTCTGAGTGGGCAGCTGTGGCTCCTTTGCCTAGGCTGAACAAAGAGGAAAGGGCTGGGCTGGGCAGGCCTCAAGACACCCCCCGCCCCCACCCAAATTGCTTCCAGACATGGCCTTTCCTATTGGTTCTCTCTCCTAGGACCTTGAAATGAGAGAAGAAAAGCAATTTGGTTCTAGAAAATTCAGAGGCAAATGGAGGCTCCAGGTGCCCCACCCAAGATCCTGACCTGGAAGGCCAGGGAGCAGATCCTGTATGAACACAAAGAATTAGCAGAATCCTGTCAGCTTCCAAATTAGCTGAAGGTTTTGGCTTTAACATAAATACCCATCAGCGTCACCCCCGCAATCTGAAAGGCCTTAAGGGGCACATTTGTTCCCACGTGGAGCAGAAACTAAAGTGGGACCAAATGGTCCCTGTGAAAGCTGGGCTAACCCACTTTCCTTGCAGCTCCAGGCCTCTGGGGTTTCATCCAAGCTGCTCTTTGAAGGCCACACTGTGTCAAAGCCTTTGTTGATGCCAGGGACACAGCCCACCACAGGCCATGCCCAAAGGCCAGAGTCAGAGCACAATTTTGAAGATTACAGAAAACTCCAAAGAGATTGAAGAGATGGAATAAAGGATCCCAGCCCCCGAAAAGAGAAAGCTTTGTGTCTGTAGCCATAGCCCTTGGCAATCAGACATCCTCCTCACTAATGTGAGGTCAGGAGGGGACTAGAAGTGCTCAGAGGATGGACTGCCTCTGGCCAGTGCAGGGGAGAGGCAGGGGTGTTGAGGCACAGGAGCCAGATGAGAGGAACGTCAGCAGCAAAGCAGTAAGAAGAACATGAGAGTTTCTTGATAGTAATAGAACTTCCTACACAGACTGGGAACCGGGTTGTAGCTTGAGGGGATGTGACAACATAGTGGCCCGGAATTTTCACTTTGGAAATTAACTGCTTTGGACCAGGAAGAAGCGCTGAGCCTAGAAAGGCAGGAGGCACAGGACTGTGTGGGCTTCTGTCTGGCAGGGACCTATGAGCTTCATAGGGCGAATGAATCGGGGCAGGATAAAGCAGAGGCCTCCACCCTCACAGTGCTCTTAGCCATCTCAGGCTTCCCGGAACACTGCTACCAGGCTGCCTGCTGGAGCCCTTTACACTCACAGGCCTTCCTGCTTGGGTTCTCTTCTGCAGGCTGCGTAAACCAGTCCTGTTGTAGCCCTTGTAGCATCTGCTGTAGTGATCTGGTTTGGGTTTCAGTATTACTTGCAATGGTTTGGAAGGAAATGGGAAGTTTGCCTTCTAACTACATTTTCTTTTTGATTCAAGAACCCTAGCAGTTCTACAACCACTGGGCCTAAAACTAAAATAAAGGAAAAATAAATAAAAGGAAGCAAAAACATCTAACTGGGATGGCCTGGCAGCATTGCCAGAGAGAGTCCTCAGGGGCCCATGCTTGTTCTGTCTTTTGCTCTGCCATCCCTAGGGTGGACAGCACGGAAGAGGCAGTACATCTTAACAAAATCAGGGTTCTGGATGAAGGGAGGGGTGGTGAATGGTTGCTGCAATCAACAGTTCATACTTCAATGGAAAGAAGGTGGGATTTGATTCCTGGCTGCAAATCTTCACTCTGTCACCTGCTATCTGTGTGCCCTCAGGTAAGTCATTTAACTTTTCTGTTCTTCAGTTTCCTTATATGCAAAATAATTCCTACTTTGCAGAATGGTTGTGGGAGGTAGAGTTATCTTAAGACAGTCTAGCACAGTGTCTGCTACATGCTGGAATTCAAAACATTCCCTGCTGTTGCTATGGTTGGTTCTGAGAGCTATATTTAATTTTCTTTTTAGTCTTTCTTGCTGGTCTGTCACTCTCTTACTATAAGGAAGACAGCCATTTCTGCATAGGTCACTATGCAGTAGCCTTTTCTATTTTTTGACGGCTTAGCATCTATGTAATATCCCACTGAATGAAAATACTAAAATTTATCTATTGTACTATGAATAGACGATTTGGAGTTTTCCCAGTTTTTTTACTATTACATACAGTGTTGCTATGTATATGCTGTGGTACACGTGTATAGCCATTTCTTCAGGGTAGAAACAAAGTAACATTTCTGGGTCATATGATATGCCTGTCTTCAACTTTACTATATAATATCTGACATCTTTCCAAAGTGGTATGCCAGTTTATCTTCCCACTGGCAGCATATGAGAATTTCTGTTGCTCCAGCTACACTCCAACAGATTCTTAAAGCTTTGTCATTTTGTAGGGTGTGTAGTGGTATCTTACTGTGGTTTTGACAAGTTTCCATTTGTTGGTTATTTGCAAGTATCTTGCCTCCCTCCCAGTCACTTGTCTATTCATTCTTTTTATAATATCTTTAGTGAGTAGAGTTCTATGAAAAATTATTCTTATTTATGTATTTTTGTAGAGATAGGGTCTCTCTGTGTTGCCCAGGATGGTTTTGAATTCCTGACCTCGAGAGATCCTCCTGCCTTGGCCTCCCAAGGTGCTAGGAATACAGTTGTGAGCTACCATGCGCAGGCTTAAAGTTCTTCGTTTTTAGTGTAGTTACCGTTTTGTTCTTTTTTTATTACTACTTTCCCCTTATCATTGGTGCTTTTTGTTACTTATTTAAAAAATCTTCCCATACTCAGGATCGTGATGGTATTTTCCTGTACAACCTTCTAAGAGCTGTAGGCTTTCACATTTCATGTTTAGGTATTTAATCTACCTTGGAATTGATTTTTGTGTGTTGTGAGAAGAATGCTTATAGATACCCAATTGACCCAGTGCCTTTTACTGGTCATTTCTCAATGACTCTGCATTCCCACCTCTGTCCAATACCACGTGTCTATGTATGTGTGGATCTGTTTTGGGGCTCTTCAATCTGTTCCATTGGTCTATTTGTTTATCAGCGTCTCACTGTCTTGATATCTGTTAATATAAATTCTTTCTCCTTACTCTTCAAGAGTGTCTTGGCTATCTTTGGCCTTTTAAAATTCCCATATACATTTTTGAATCAACTTGTCGCCCTCCCTCCCAAAAAAACCCAATTAGGATTTTTATCATTCTAGGACTATGGTAGATCCCTTCATTTATTTAGATCTACCTAAATGTCTCCCAATATCATATTAGACTTTTTGTGGAGGATTTGTATGTCTTTAGTAAGTTTTATTACTAGGCACTTAATATTTTTAGTATGCTTATTGAAGTAAAATTGATATGCATTAAGTGCATAATATTTAAAGTATACAAATTAATAAGTTTAATATATGTATACACCCTGAAACTGTTACAGGAAAGGGGTCCAGATCCAGACGCCAAGAGAGGGTTCTTGGATCTCATGCAAGAAAGGATTCAGGGCTAGTCTGTAGTGCAAAGCGAAAGCAAGTTTATTAAGAAAGCAAAGTGGTGAAAGGACTGCTACTCCATAGACAGAGCGGGACGTTCCCGAAACTAAGAGGAGGAACGCATCCACCCTAGGTACAATGCTTGTATATATGGAGAGATGTGCTCTGCTACAAGGGTTTGTGATAAACTATTAATTTTCTTAATTATCGTATTTGGCAAGAATCAATATTATTATCTTTCAAGCAAAATTAGGAATGCCTTTGTTCCCCAGATATTGGGATATCTGGACACTCCCGAGTCTGGGTCTGTTTTAGTAAACATTATTAATTTGTTCCCTTAACCGTAAACATCTAGAGGCTAAGAATGCCTAACTTTCTGGGAATTCAGTCCAGCAAGTCTCAGCCTCATTCTCCTAGCCCTCACTCAAAGTGGAGTCGCTCTGGTTCGAATGCCTCTGACAAAACCATCACCACAATCAAGGTAATATAGTAAACATATCCATCACCCCCAAATACTTCCTCATGGCCCTTTGTAACCCTTCCCTCTTACTCCTTCCTGCCTGTACATCCTCCCACTCCCTGTACCTAGGCAATCTGCTTTCTGTCCCTACAGTTCAGTTTACACTTTGCAGAATTTTATATAAATGGGATCATACAGTACATACTCTTTTTGATGTGGCTTTTTTCATACAGCATAATTATTTTTGAGATTTATCTAGGTTATAGTGAATATCAACTGTTAATTGCTCTTTAAAAAACTTTTAACTTCAAAACAGTTATATATTCACAGGAAGTTGCCAAAATGGTAGGGTCTGTGTACCCTTCACCCAGTTTCTTTCAATGGATATATCTTACATAATCATAGTGCAGCATCAAAACCAGTAAACGGACATTGGTGCAAGGTGTATGTATAGTTTTGTGCCGTCTTATTATATATGGAGATTCGGGTAATCACCACTCAATCAAGTTGCAAGAACTGTCCCATCACCACGAAGATCTCCCTCATGCTATCCCTTTAGTCACACCCAACCCCCATCCTCTACCATTCCTAGACCCTGGCAGCCACTAATCTGCTTTGCATCACTGTAATTTTGTCATTCTGAGAAATGTTATAAATGGAATCATACAGTATGTGATCTTTTGAGAGCATAATACCCTTGAGATGCATCCAACACTGTTGCATGTGTCAATAGTTCATTTTTGTTATTTATTTTTATTTTTTGACTGAGTAATGTTCTGTGGTATGGAAAGATCACAGTTAGCTTAGTCATTCACTCATTGAAGGAGAACTCCCCAACAATTGCTCTGGACATGCTGGAATTTTTTTTTTCTGTTCTTTGTTCATTCTTGCTCATGGTGTGTTACAAATATCATAATTCTCCTTTTTCTCTGTGACCTTGTCTCTCAGTCTCCCATCAAGGAGTGATGTCTATTTCTCCACTTCTTGAATCTGGGCTGGCCTTGCCAATAGAATATGGCAGAAGTGACATCGTTCCATTTCTGAGTCAAAGCCTGAGTTGTTGCCAGTTTTGGGCAATTGGTTGTTGCCAGTTTTGGGCAATTGCAAATAAAGCTGCAATAAACAATCATGTACAGAGTATTGGGTGCACATATTTCATATCTCTGAGAGAAACGCCCAGGAATACAATTGCTGGGTTTTATGTTTAGTTTTCTTTTACATCCCCACAGGCAGCATATGAGAGATCCAGTTTCTTCACATCCTCACCAGCACTTGATATTGTCACTAATTTAGGTTTTGTTCTAATGGGTGTATAGTGACATCTGTTTGTGGTCTTAGTTTACATTGCCCTAATGGCTAGTAGTGTTGAGCATCTCTTCATGTATTTATTTGCCATCCATATATCTTCCTCAGTGAAGTGTCTCTTCAGGTTTTTTTTTTTCTTTTTTGAGACAGAGGCTCGCCCTGTTGCCCAGGCTGGAGTGCAGTGGTGTGATCTCGGCTCACTGCAACCTCTGCCTCCTGGGTTCAAGCGATTCTCCAGCCTCAGCCTTCCAAGTAGCTGGGACTATCTGTGCGCACCACCACACCCGGCTAATTTTTGTATTTTTTAGTAGAGACGGGGTTTCATCATGTTGGCCAGTCTGGTCTTGAACTCCTGACCTCAAGTGATCCGCCTGCCTCCGCCTCCCAAAGTGCTGGGATTATAGGCATGAGCTACCGTGGCTGGCTGTCTCTTCAAGCCTTTTGCCCATTTTATAATTGAATTGTTTGTTTTTTGTTATTGAATTTTGAGACTATATATCATATATTATAGATAAAAGTCCTTTGCCAGATACATGGTATGCAATATTTTCTTCCAGTCTTTTCATCCTCTTAATAGAGCCTTTCACAGAATAAAAGTTTTTCTTCTTGATGAAGTGTAATGTGTTGATTATTTTTTCTTCTATAGATTGTGCTAGTTTATTGCTTTTTGTTGCTGAATAGTATTCCATTGTATGGATATACCATTATTTGTTTATCTATTCATTTGTTGATGGACATTGGGTTCTTTCTAGTTTTTGACTATTACAAATAAAGTTGCTATGAGCATTTGTTTACAGGTCTTTTTGTAGGCTTTAATTGCTCTTGGGAAATATCTAGGAATGGAATACCTGAATCATGTAACAGATGTATGTTCCACTTTTTAACAAACTATCAAATTGTTTTCCAAAGTGGTTGTACCGTTTTATATACCTACCAGCATTCTATTAGAGTTCTAGTTCTTCTGTTTGCTTGCCAAGACTTGGTACGGTAAGTCTTTTAAATTTAGCCATTCTAATAAATATGTAGGTATATCTTTGTCTTAATTTTTATTTTCCTAATGACTAATGATGTTGAGCATCTTTTCATATCTTCATTGGTCAAGTATCTGTTCATATCTTTTGCCCATTTTTATTAGATTGTTTTTTTCTTATTACTGAATTAAAAAAATACTCTGGATGCGAGTCCTTTATAAGACCTGTGATTTGCAAATATTTTCTTGTCTGTCTTTTCATTCCCTTACCTGTTATATTGGATTAGTGGCCACCCTACTGACCTCATTTAAACTTAGTTACCTTTTTAAAGACTGTACAGTCACATTTTGAGGTACTAGGGATTAGGACTTCAATATATGAATTTTGAAGGGAATACAGTTCAGCCCATAACACTCCCCAACAATTGCTCTGGACATGCTGGAATTTTTTTTTTCTGTTCTTTGTTCATTCTTGCTCATGGTGTGTTACAAGTATCATAATTCTCCTTTTCTCTGTGACCTTGTCTCTCAGTCTCCCATCAAGGAGTGATGTCTGTTTCTCCACTTCTTGAATCTGGGCTGGCCTTGCCAATAGCATATGGCAGAAGTGACATCGTTCCATTTCTGAGTCAAAGCCTGAGGAGGCCTTGCATGCTTCTACTCTCTCTTGCAACCCTGCACTGCCACATATCAACAAGACTTATCAACAAGCCTGGGATAGCCTGCTAGATGATGAAAGAAATATGGCCCGCTTGCTCCCATCACTCCAGCTGATAGCCAGGCAACCCTAAGAAGCAAAGTCACCTAGCTGATTAGTAGCTGACCACTGACACAAAAGTAAGATCATCTGAGACCAGAAGACAGCCCATCTGAGCTCAGCCCAAATTACTGACCCACAAAGTAATAATAAATAAATGGTTATTATTTTTATGTCACTGAATTTTGAAGTGGTTTATTATTGAACAAAAGCTACCTGATACCCATCTTTTTTTTTTTTTTTTTTGATATGGAGTCTCCCACTGTTGCCCAGGCTGGAGTGCAATGGCGTGATCTCGGCTGACTCCACCCTCCGCCTCCTGGGTTCACGCAATTCTTCTGTCTCAGCCTCCTGAGTAGCTGGGATTACAGGCGCCCACCACCACACTGGCTAATTTTTTGTATTTTCAGTAGAGACGGGGTTTCACTATGTTGGCCAGACTGGTCTTGAACTTCTGACCTCATGATCCGCCCACCTCAACCTCCTAAAGTGTTGGGATTACAGGCATGAGCCACCGCACCAGGCCTACCCTTCCTAAGAGTCTTTGCTCTGGCTCTTACTTTCATCTGGAATACTCTGTGACTTGATCTTTGCATGCCTGGCTGCTTTATGTCATTCATATCTCTGCTCAAATACAATTTCCTCAAAAAGGGCTACACTGACCAATCAATATAATAAGCCTGTAGGTCTCTACGGCTTCTCCCTATTTATTTGTTTATTTTTAGAGATGAGGTCTCACTCTGTTACCCAGGCTGGAGTGCAGTGGCATCATCATAGCTCACTGCAGCCTCAAACTCCAAACACTTGGGCTCAAGCAATCCTCCCTCCTCAGCCTTCTGAATAGCTGGGACTACAGGTGCATGCCACCTTGACTGGCTAATGTTTTTTTTTTAATTTTTTTTTAGAGAAGGGGGTCTCACTATGTTGCCCACACTAGTCTTGAACCCCTGGCCTCAAGCAATCTCCTACCTCAGCCTCCTGGGTAGCTGGGATTACAGGTGTGAGCCACAATGCCCAGCCATTTTTTTTTTTCTTACACAGAAAAGCTCCAATATTCACTTAGATACTGCAGAAGGAAAAGAGAGGCTGAAAGGGTTGGATCAAGGAAGTAGGAAAGGGAATTTCTGGGGCATTTCCTTCCCCCAATCCCAGAATAGCCACAGAAATCACAGTCACCAAGAGCTGCTGCTTCTGAATAACATGACAGTGATGGTAAATTTTCCAAAATGTTGATTGTAACAGAGTTTGCCACATGACCAAACTGGTGGATCATAGAGTGGACAGACATCAGGAGCTCTGGAAAAAAAATTGCTACTCAGTACCTACTCAAGTTGTAATGGGGAGAGAAATGGACTGATATGCCGGATTTTTGTTGCAGAGAGCTGGCAAACTTGCAGTAAGTAACTAGCTGCATTCAAACTGACTGACGCACATAGATGGAGCCCTGAAATCCATAGCTCCGTTGAAGAGGCAGCAGAATTTATCTACTCCGACCCAGGTTTGCGGAATTTATCAACTCCAACCCAGGTGCTAGGCTGCTTGTGGTAGGGAGTGAAGCCATCATGCTGATGGATTTGGTGGTGACAAAGCAGGCTGTCAGGAAGAAGTAGGTCCCCCAGATTCTCCCGGGCAAGGGGACAACACTGGAAACTACATGTGGTAGTTTCCAGTATGTTAGGCTTTTCCTTCTGAAACTTGGCAAAGTAGAATTTGCTGAAAAGTAAGCAGTACAGCTTGTTTTTAATTTCGTTTCTCAAGAAAACCCAGCTAAGTCTCATCATGACTGTTTACTCTTGTTTCTTTTGGGAAATTAACTTCTTAATATAACTTTGACTAAAGATATGTAGATTTGTGGTATGAAAAGAAAATCTATCTGTTGGATGATGTTCCCAGTGAAGTACTATCCATTTGTTATTTTAAAAGTTATTCTCTTTTGTTCTAAACAGTAAATAGTGCCAAAACTAAGAAAAACATGTATTATAGTTTCAACGTCAGGCTGACTTGCCTGCAGATCTGTTCGCAATAGACTGTAATGCCCCTTTAAAGAAAGATTTAGAAATAAATTATTAAAAGTATTAATTCATTTAAAAAAATGTAAGCATGAATGGGGACAAGCTGGGGAGAATGATTTGTCTGCTCTTTCTGGGAGGGTGGCGAGCAACATCCATGAGAAACCTGCAGGCCTTGCCACTGCTGCTGAGAGCCAGTGACCCCAAGGGCTGACCACTTGGGATGTTAGCTGCTTCTAGTCCAGGCACTGTGGTCTGGGCCTGTGGTATAAAGAAGGGCTATTGCCATAAAAGGAGATAGACACAACCAGCTTCAGTTCATCCTGCTTCCTGTCTCAGAATTTTTTTTTTTTTTTTTTGAGATGGAGTTTTGCTCTTGTTGCCCAGGCTGGAGTGCAATGAATAGCGTGATCTTGGCTCACTGCAACCTCTGCCTCCCAGGTTCAAGCGATTCTCCTGCCTCAGCCTCCCAAGTAGCTGGGATTACAGGCACCTGCCACCACGCCCAGCTAATTTTTGTATTTTTAGTAGAGACGGGGTTTCACCACATTGGCCAGGCTGGTCTCAAACTCCTGACCTCGTGATCTGCCCACCTTGGCCTCCCAACAGAATTTTTTTAAAAAAGAAATATGGTATGTCTTTGGAAACCCGAGATTCAAATCTTAGCACCCTATATCCCCACCACCACTACCATTAACAGTGCAGTTTGGAGCAAGTTGCTTAATCTTTTCCAGCCCAGTTTCCCATTTGTAAAATGGAAAGAATGACATCCATATAATGTAGTTGCTGGAGGATTCATTATTTTATTATTCAACAATTGTTTATTGAGTGCCAGACATTAGTCTAGTCACTAAGACAGACAAGGTCCATGTTCTCATGGAATTCATATTCTAACAGGGTAAGGTCACAACAAATAAATAATAAACAAATGAAAAATATCAGATATTGATAAGTTTTAGACAGAAAATAAAATAGGGAGCTGGGCATGGTGGCTCCTTTCTAATCCCAAAATGAGAGAATTGCTTAAGCTCAGGAGTTCGAGACCAAACTGGGCAACAGGGCAAAACCTCGTTTCTACAAAAATACAAAAATTAGCTGTCCCAGCTACTTAGAAGGCTGAGGTGGGAGGATCATTTGAGCGCGGGAGGTCAAGGCTGCAGTGAGCTTGATCACACCACTGCACTTGATCAGCGTGGGTGACAGAGTGAGACCTTGTCAAACAAAACAAAACAACAAAACAAACACAAAACAATACAGATTCACTGTATAATATTATTTAGAAAATGCAGAAAGGTACAAATACTTATTTTATAATAACTCTTAATCTTAATATTCAAGTTTTTGGTGTATATCTTTGCAGAGTTTTAAAAAAATGTGTGCACACACATGCGTCTTCACAGAAATGGAACTTTGTTATTGTATATGCTGCATTGTAACCTGCTTATTTGCTTAACAATAGAATGGCGTCTTTAATATATCCAAACTTTTTACCCAGAATGATTTTTCATGGCTGCGTAGAATACCATTTATTTAACCAAGCGGTAGAGAGTTAGACTATTCACAAGTTTTGCTATTATGAACAACTAGGGAGAAGCACTTACACAGCAAAATCTGCTGAGTTTCTGAATTGTCTCCTTAGTATAGACCACGCAAGTGAAACTATCAGATCCCAGGGCGCTCCCGTGCGGTTGTCAGATTTCCCTCCTGTAAAGTGGATGAGTAACCCCACCCCACATGCACTCCCGTCCACACAGCTCTTGAAAGGCCAAACCAGGCGACGCTGTGGCCCAGAGAGAACCAGAAGAGAGGGTGCGTGGGGTGCACGGCAAGCCATTGAGTCTGTGGCCACACCTAGGCGGAGAGAGACGAGCTCGGGTGAGGGTGGGCCGCGGGATCCACAGACTCCTCTTCGTGCGGTGGATGCATCAGGCTCCGTCTCTGAACCTCGGTTTCCCCATCTGCAGAATGGGGATGGGATCTCCTGGTGATGGGGATCTGTGGACGCGGCGCCCTCGGGGGTGCACAGAACTAAGGCCGGCCTGCAGCAGCGACCTCGGGGGCTGGTGGGGACGGAAGACCGGACCTCCTGGCCCGAAGGCTGGGCGCAGCCCCCGCCCGCCCGCCTCTTCCCGCCGGCGCCTCCCCGGGGTGGCAGTGTGGGGAGAGTGGCTTGGCGCCCGCAGGGGGCGCCGCGAGCCCACCGCGAGAGCGGCCGCGGCGCGGGGTGGGTGCCGAACGGGCTGCGCGCCGCGCTGCTCCCGACCCGCGGGTCAAGTCTGGCGCCTGGGAGGTCCTTGAATTCCGCGGGATTTGTTTTTCCGCAAAACCAAAAACGCCATCCACTTAACAGATCCGTGCTAGGAGGCCCTGGCTCAGTCCTTCCACCAAACACCTCGGCCCAGCCGCGGCTGTACGGCTCCCAGGCTCCCAGTGTTTCCTCCACGCTTTCAAACCTCAGCGCTGAGGTGACCGCCTCCGGGCAGCCTTCCCGGACTACCCCAGGACTTGGGGGCGTGGCTCCACAGCGGGCCTAGTTCCGCCCGTGTGCTGGCCTCTTCCACGACCGGCAGTCTTTGAGGATGGGGCTTGGCCTCCATCCCCTTGAACCCCTCAGCGTCGCACCCCAGAGCCACTCTGACCCCTGGCCAATGATTATAAGTGAGGGAGCCACCTCTTCTCCCTGCGTGGCACAGGCCAGGGTCCGCAGGAAGGGGCCTTGCTCATCCCCAATCTTAAGCTCCGCTGAGATGAAGGAACCAAGAGCAGGCTTGGCACTGGGAGGGCGGCTGTCCCAGTGGCGGGGAGGGGAGCTCTGGATCTGTGGGGGAGTTTGTGCAGCGTGTCAGCGGGGGGTGGGGTGGGGGGGGTGGGGGCCTGTGGATGCCCGCAGGTGTTTGTGTTTGTGCATGTGTAAGTCTCTGTGTGTATATATTTGTGGGAAAGCATCTTCTAAATTAAGAATATATTTGTGTAGGGTAAATGGTCAAGTCAAATAGAAAGTGACTTCAATACTTGTTACTTGATGGTATAAATACAATAGCCAAGGAATTCAGTCCAGAAGCTCACATTTGAGGGTTAGGGATTGGTGCTGTATTTGTTACAACAGGCGTCTAACCTTGGTCAAATCTCTTCCTCATAGTCTTCATTGTCTCTGGTTTGTTTGTTTGTTTTTCTGGTTTGTTAAATGATCCTTTTTTTTTTTTCCCCGAGACAGGGTCTCACTTTGTCTCCCAGGCTGGAGTGCAGTGGCGCAATCACCACTCACTGCAGCCTCACCTACCGGGCTCAAGTGATCATCCCACCTCAGCCTCTCCAGTAGCTGCGACCACAGGCACGTGCCACTAAATGATTATTTTTTCAAGGGAGAAATCATGCCTGTCATACAAATAAAAAATGAACAAGTGTAAAAGATTTTATTTAACTCATTAGTTAATGAAGTTAAAAACTGATTCAAAGGACAACACAAAGGCCAGATACACACACTGGCATCAGAAATAATGAAATAAGTTTGTTAATTGATACAAAACTGGCTTCATCCACAGTGTGTGTGTGTGTGTGTGTGTGTGTGTGTGTGTGTGTGTTTGGCGGGGGGTGGGGTGGGGGGTGGGGGATCACTTGCATCTCCACCTGACAAAACTTGTTTGCATTGCCATGGACAATAATAATTTGTATTATTTTCAGTTTTCTACAGTTTACAGATTCAAAGACAATGAAAAATGGAGACTACCATAGAATGACATAACCTGGAAGGGCACACCAGGCCTGCATTCCATAGGGTACATTTTCTCCCCATTTCAAAAGTCTTTCACAATTTTTCCTGGCCACTTATACAACAGGCTTGAGTTGCATAAAGGTTTTTCAAACTTTTTAGTGGCGGAACTCTCTTTCTAAGTGAAATGTAACAGCAAACCCTAATATCTATCTATATATCTAATAGATAGATACTTTATTTTTTAATTTTTAATTTTCTATTTTTTGAGATAGGATCTCACTCTGTCGCCCAGGTTGGAGTGCAGTGGCATGATCTCAGCTGACTGCAGCCTTGACCTCCCCAAACTCAGATGATCCTCCCACCTTAGCCTGCCAGGTAGCTGGGAGTACAGGTGCATGGCACCACACCCAGAAATAATTTTTGTATTTTTTGTGGAGATGGCGTTTCGCCATGTGGCCTAGGCTGGCCTAGAACTCCTGAGTTCAAGCTATCTGCCCACCTTGGCCTCCCAAAGTGCTGGAATTACAGGCGTAAGCCACTGCACTTGACCCGAATATATTTTTTTTAACATCTCAGAGGGTTAAAATAATGTATTATACAGTTAATATATGCTTACCGTAAAGATGTCAAATAGTACAGAAAGTTAAGTGAAACATTTGTTTCCCTTCCCTTGCCCTTTCTCCCTGTCCCCTTCTCATTCTCCAGAGCCACCTACTTTAACAGTTTCTTATGTACCCGATAGACACTCTATGGATATATACAAACATATACATATATTTTTTGAGACAGGGTCTGGCTCTGTCACCCAGGCTGGAGTGTAGTGGCCCAATCTCCGCTCATTGCAACCTCTACCTCCTGGGCTCAAGCTATCCTTCCACCTCAGCCTCCCGAGTAGTTGGGATTACAGGTACACACCACCGCACCTGGCTAATTTTTGGGGTTTCACCATGTTGCCTAGGCTGGTCTAGAACTCCTGGGCTCAAGTGATCCTCCCAAAGTGATGAGATTACAGGCGTGAGCTGCTGCACATAGCAAACACACACACACACATACACACACACAAAGACACACATACACACGCGCGCTCGCGCGCACACACACACACACACACACACACATATATATATATATATTTTTTTTTTTTTTTGAGATGGAGTCTTGCTCTGTCGCCCAGGCTGGAGTGCAATGGTGTGATCTCGGCTCACTGCAGTCTCCACTTCCCTGGTTCAAGCAATTCTCCTGCCTCAGCCTCCTGAGTAGCTGAGATTACAGGCACCCACCACCACGCCTGGCTAATTTTTTGTATTTTTAGTAGCGATGGGGTTTCACCATATTGGCCAGGCTGATCTCGAACTCCTGACCTCAAGTGATCCACCCACCTTGGTCTCCCAAAGTGCTGGGATTATAGGCATGAGCCACCACGCCCAGCTGCAAACATATATTTTTAAAAACACAAACAGGATAAAATACATTGTGGATATCTTCTGATGTCAGAACATAGAGGTCCACCTCAGCATTTTAAGTGATTAAGAGTGTTCCATGGTATGGCTGCCCCTTAACTTATTTGGCTAGGCTTCTATTAACAGACTTTTTTTAGTTGTTTCTAATTTTATGGTAATATAAACAAATGCTACAATGAACCTCCTTAATCAGTATTGTGTGTGTGTGTGTGTGTGTGTGTGTGTTTGTGTAAACTTTTTAGGAGTGGAATCATTAGGTTTAAGGGTAGCTGCATTTAACATTTTGATATATCTTGCTGAGCTCTCTTCCCTGGAATTGCAATCATTTACTTTTTCTGCTACATGCTGTATCTTTACACCCCCGCCTACGTTGTGTATTATCAAACTTCTAAATCTTAGCCAGTCTGATAGAGGGAAAATGACACCTCATAATTTCAGTGTACTTTTCTACAATTATCTCTAGCTGTTACAATATTCCCTTTGGTGGGAAATTGCTTCATTATTTTCTGTGACTTCCCTTTGCAGAAAAACTCACGCGGCATAGTTCGAAAACCCTTGATCTTGACAGATTCCCTGAGCTCTCATATTCCAGGAGGCAGATTCTCTGCAAGTGTGTGTTTGTCTCCGCTCTGTGTCAGTGTGTAGCTTGTGTGCCACCTCTGTGTGTGTGATGTGTGTCTGACTGCCGATGTTCATGTTAGTGAGTGTTTACCTTTCCCTTCCTTGAGGATCAGAGACCTACTCAGGAGAGCCCAGGTTACCAAGAAGTTTACTGTAGGATACAGAGATCTCTCCCAGTTGGGAAAAGAAGAGCAACTGGATTTTCTGTAACCAAGAACTGCATATGGGAAAGGGATAGAGGACAGAGGCTGCCTTCTCTCTGCGGACCCATAAACTTGCCCATGGGCCGAAGCCAGCCACCCTGGTCTGACTCTGCATGCCTTTCAGCTGAAGGAACAATTGCTGCCTGCAACAGTCATTCAGTTTCCCAAGGAATCAACCTCTCTGTGTGACTGGGGAAAAGGAAACAGACATCAAGAGGTCTGCTGGCAGGGGCTGATGCAAGGATTGTAAATCTCTGCTTCATCACATGTGCATTATTTGGGAAGTGGCTGGAAGTTCAATTCATGCATCTACTGGCAGTGCATCTAGGGGAAAGAGCGGGAACACAGGAAGAGGAACAGGCTGTTTCATCCTTAATTCTGCCACTTACTGGCTATGTGTCCAAGGGCAAGCTGCTTAATTTTTCTGTACCTCATTCCCTTATCTGTAAATCAAGGGAAACAACGCCCACATCATGAAGTCATTGTGATGAGTAAATTAAACAATACGTATCATGGATCTTAATAAGCGTCTCAGTCAACACAGAAGTTCCCTCTCTTAAGGGTGACGTTTTGATAATGACACCTTTTCAAAATGAGGATCTCAAAGAACATCCCCAAACATTAGAGGAGGAGGGAGTCTTTTTTCCTTTAGTGTGTCCATTCAGCAGCAGCCTTGTGCCTGTGTACCACCGTGAGAATGGCAAAGTCCAGTCCTGCCTGCCCTCCTGTGCCACTCACGGCCACACGTTTTTAATTTTCACCACACTCATGCAATCTCCTGCACACATCGTGATACTTCGTGCCTCCGTACCTTTGCTTGTGCAGCTCCTGCAGCCTGGAATGTTCTCTCCCACTCCACTGTACCTGGCAAATGCTCACTTATACCTCAAAACATATCAGGACAAAGGACATAGTATTTAGTCTAACACATCTGGCTGTTTGCCTGGAAGAGAACCAGAGTGAACCCCTATCTCTAGCCATATACAAAGATAAAATTCCAGAGGGATTAAGGGCTTAAAAATGTAAAAAATAAAATGTTAACTATCTGTCAAGACAAGCCACAATGCAACATTAGCGTGTACCTGCCAGAGTAGCTAAAATGCAAACGTCAGATGATAGAAAGTATTGGGGTGGGTGTAGAGCAGCTAGAAGTCTCTTACATTACTGGTGAGAGTGTAATTGATAACGGCCACTTTGGATGACTGGCAATATCCACAAAAGCTGAACATACACGTTCTCTATGACCCAAAAATTACACTCTTGGGTAAATACTCAACAGAAATGCAGACATAAATTCACCAAAGAAAGTTTGCAAGAATGTTCATAGCAGCACTATTTGTAATAGCCCCAAATTGGAAGCAACCCAAACGTCTATCAACAGTAAAACATAAAGTGTGGTATGTTACATACAGGACTGCTGCACAGCAACGAGAATGAATGAACTACATGAATTCATCTCACAAACATAATGCTGAGTCAAAGAAGCTAGATACAAAAGAGTACACATGGATATTTCATTTAAATAATGTTCAAACACTAACCTACGATGTTAGAAGTCAGGGTAGAGGTTAATCTTTGAGGACGGTTGTGACTGGCAAGGGGGTGTGAACTGAAGGAATGTCTAGGGTACTGGTAAGATTCTGTTTCCTGATTTCAGTCCTGGCTACATGAGTGTGTTCACCTCGTGAAAATTTATTGATCCATAAAAAGATGTGCATTATTTCATACATATATCTCAATAAAAATTTTGGCAAGGAGGCATCATATAATCTAAGGTTAGAATACCTTCTCAACCAAGGTTGGAAACCTAGAAGATGAAAAAGGTATTTTTGCATATATATACATATACATACACACACATATATATAGCATTTTTGTGGGAAAAGATACTGTAAGCAATGTCAAAAGACAAGCAGACTTGGAAAAAGTGTAATGCAGATGATGGACAAAGGCTAATACCTATAGTATGCAAAAAACTCTTATAAATTGATGCGAAAAGACAAACAATCCAATAATGAAATAGGCAAAATGATATGAGTAGGTGATTCAAAGAAGAAAAATATCCAACTGATGGAAAGATGCTCAGATTCATTAGAATTCAGTTGAATGCAAATTAAAGTAGTAATAAGATACTCATTTATGCTCTTCAGGCTGGCAAAATTAAAAAGAGTTTCTATAGGTATTGTGTGTGAGGTTGTGGGGAGCATGCTCTCATTCATTGCTGGTGGAGATGTAAATTATTACAGCCTTTTTGCAATCAATCTGGAAAAATCCATTAGAATTAAAAATACATATATCCTTTGACCTAGTGATCCCACTCCTGGGAATCTATTCCACAGAAATAGAAGGATCCACCTAAGGGTCCATGTAGAAGGGTGGTTATTGCAGCATTGATTGCAGAGGTGCATTCGTGGTGTGCATGCATGCACACACATGCACACACACAGAAAACAAAGCCTGTGCCTCTCAGCAGGGAAATGGTATAAATGGTGGTACTTTCCCTTGAGGCTCACAGTCTAGAGGGCTGGGGTAAACTCTTGCTGGTTCACAGGAGGTCTTCACATCTGGAGGGGGTGGTCTGGGAGTGGGGTGGGCAGAGTCATGGATGATGAGAAGCCCTCTTCCTCCTAGCCTGAGCTAGTAGCATTGATTCCAGAGCAGGCTTTGGAGAAGTGACTATTTAGAGTTCAGACATTCCCATGTCCCCTCTTGGCGGGACTCAGTTCCTATCCCTCCAGTATCAAAGAAGTGACATCAACAAAGGATCACAGAGGTAGCTCTTATTGACACCCACTGCGGGTCTCATTTAAAATGGCTTTCTTAAGCCAAAGGCAGGCAAATATCTCTACTAACTGAAGAACAAAGGAGACATGGAATCAATTGCAAATAATTATTTCTAAAAATCATGCCTCTCTTCTGAAGTTTGTGTTTGTCATATCTCTGTCTACCTAAAAATTGCTCTCTCTTAGGTGAATTAAAATATAGAGTCAATTCCCTAACATTCGGTCAGTTGTTGGGCAGCCCTGGCCTAGCTTAGGAAGGTAGCCCTAAGCAGGCCTTTAACACTAAGTGAAAGCCCCCGTAGCATATGTATAAATATTTAAAATCATAAACTAGGCCAATAAACTATTAGATAAAAAGTTCCATCTTTCTGTCTTGAAAAATATGCCCTCTTAAGATCAAAATTTTTAAAAAGTATAGCACTACGATTTTTATATGAACAAAAATTGGTAAAATAGTAAAGATGACAGAATTTAATTATGTGTGCATCTATTTGGATATTCTGTTGATGGGCTGGTGATGTTTTGGTAAGTTATAAAGTCAGCATATACCAAATTTATATTGTAAATCATTCAAATTATTATTTATCTTTTCATTAGATTTGTTTTTCTTACCTTCCTTATTGCAAAATTACCTAATTATGTTGTTATAATCAAGATTTTTGCACAATTTGTGTTTTATTGATGATGACGCCAAATTAGACTACCTTTTTTGAGTTGTAATTCTTAGATAATTAAAAAAATTAATTTCAATTTGGAGAAAGTTTCAGGAATAAATGGAATTTTCATTAAAATCTTAAAACGATGTTTACATTTGGAAATGAACCATGAATTTTACATATCCTGTTCAAATACTTTAGTAGAGTTGTGTTAGGTAAACTGTAATTATTGCAGAAAATACTACAAAATATTTTAACTTCATAATAGAAATTTCTATCATACTGCAATTTTTGCTATCTTTTAAGGTAATAGTTTATGCACTAACATGAAGAATAGCTTCGTACATATTACATCTACACTTATACCTCTACTGATTTGAAGGTAAAATAAAGTGTTCATATTGCACACATGTTCCTCAGCCACTGTACAACAATCAATACCACACTAATTCATGAGACCTCCTGAACCACGAACTGGAGCACAAAGAGAAACATGAAAATGGACGTGTGGCCCTACTGGGAAATGGTATTTCACTGTGCAAGAAACGATTGCGTTCTTGCTATCAGAGATAAAGGATTTGACAAGCTAATAAATTTGTCTTTTCCCTTACCTAAGTGCTTCCGCCACTCAAATCCTCCCTGTTCTCTGAAGCAGTGTCTGTCTCCAATATTGGCGGAAGCACAACCCAGAAACCTCCGTGACGTTCAGACATGGTTGCTTTCTGTTTTGAGGACACAGGGCAAAAGGTGAGGAGCCGCATTTCCCTGGGACCTGACCGGTGTTGTCATTGGAACTGACGTTTCTGTTGCCAGCAGCGCTATGCCAGCGCTGAGCACTCGATCCCATGTGCTCCATAACCAATACATTTTATGGGTGTTTGTGATATATGCAACCTTTTCAAGTAGGGCTTCTTAGTTTCTAATTATTAGTTTTTAATTTCCCAACCCAATACAGATCAATTATTTGATTCAATAATTCACTAGAAATAATTCACTAGAAAAATGAAATTAAAAAAAATCTATATGAGGACCTGTGGGGTGACTCACGCCTGTCCCAGTACTTTGGGAGGCTGAGGTGGGTGGATGATTTGAGGTCAGGAGTTTGAGACCAGCCTGGCCAATATGGTGAAACCCCATCTCTACTAAAAATACAAAAATTAGCCAGGCGTGGTGGTGGGTTCCTGTAATCACAGCTACTCGGGAGGCTGAGGTAGGAGAAACGCTTGAACCCAGGAGGCTGCTGCAGTGAGCCAGGATCACACCACTGCCCTCCAGCCTGGGCGATAGAGTGAGACTCTGTCTCAAAAAAAAAAAAAAAAAAAAATCTATACAAGTTACAAGCCCCAAGTTTTAAAGATTCAACAGATATAACCTTACTGTTAGTTTCTGTGTGTAACTCATCAAGAACAAGTAACAGACCACGTGTGGGCTGGCACTGGTCCACCGACCACACTTCTCTGTGGAGGACTGCTTCGAGTCACTGGAGTCACCAGATTCAGGGTAGGGACCCCCTCTTGCCTCTGTCTAAGAGTGGTGCCGGTAACCACGAGGCTGAATCCTGCCCCACAGTCTTTTTCAGTCTCTGTGTGAGCACTTTTGCCTGTGCCATGCAGCTCTCATTTCACGCCAAGTTCTCTGTTCTCTTACTGTCCTGATACAAGTCTAGCTCCCCACGGCCCCTTCATTTCCACCAGCCTTGCAGCCCCTTCTCCTTCCTGAGGGCCCCATATCAGTGTATGATGAGGGGCCTTGAATGCATGCCGAGAAAGGAAGCTTCTGAGCTGGGGGTCAACTCTGAGAATGTGATGTGGCCTTTCACCCAGCCAGGACCTCTCCTGGGCTAAGCTGTCAGCACCAGGGAGTCCACGTACAGCTGATGCCTCCCTGCGGTGGGGGAACAGAAAGGATGGGGCAGCTCCCCAGAAGGCCTTGGGATTTCTTAGCAGAGATAGGAACTCCCATTCACACTCTGCCAGGGGTCAGCAGCAGTTCTAGAGCTTACCACGTGCTCCCAGGAAATCATACATGTTTCTAAAATCATCCATGTATCTTTTTTTTGTCACCTACATTTTTTATTTATTTATTTATTTTTATTTATTTATTTATTTATTTATTTATTTTATTGATCATTCTTGGGTGTTTCTCGCAGAGGGGGATTTGGCAGGGTCATAGGACAATAGTGGAGGGAAGGTCAGCAGATAAACAAGTGAACAAAGGTCTCTGGTTTTCCTAGGCAGAGGACCCTGCGGCCTTCCGCAGTGTTTGTGTCCCTGGGTACTTGAGATTAGGGAGTGGTGATGACTCTTAACGAGCATGCTGCCTTCAAGCATCTGTTTAACAAAGCACATCTTGCACCGCCCTTAATCCATGTAACCCTGAGTGGACACAGCACATGTTTCAGAGAGCACAGGGTTGGGGGTAAGGTCACAGATCAACAGGATCCCAAGGCAGAAGAATTTTTCTTAGTACCGAACAAAATGAAAAGTCTCCCATGTCTACTTCTTTCTACACAGACACGGCAACCATCCGATTTCTCAATCTTTTCCCCACCTTTCCCCCCTTTCTATTCCACAAAACCGCCATTGTCATCATGGCCCGTTCTCAATGAGCTGTTGGGTACACCTCCCAGATGGGGTGGTGGCCGGGCAGAGGGGCTCCTCACTTCCCAGTAGGGGCGGCCGGGCAGAGGCGCCCCTCACCTCCTGGACGGGGCGGCTGGCCGGGCGGGGGGCTGACCCCCCCACCTCCCTCCCGGACGGGGCGGCTGGCTGGGCAGAGGGGCTCCTCACTTCCCAGTAGGGGCGGCTGGGCAGAGGCGCCCCTCACCTCCCAGACGGGGCGGCTGGCCGGGCAGGGGGCTGGCCCCCCACCTCCCTCCTAGACGGGGCGGCTGGCAGGGCAGAGGGGCTCCTCACTTCCCAGTAGGGGCGGCCGGGCAGAGGCGCCCCTCACCTCCCGGACGAGGCGGCTGGCCGGGCGGGGGGCTGACCCCCCCACCTCCCTCCCGGACGGGGTGGCTGCCGGGCGGAGACGCTCCTCACTTCCCAGAGGGGGTGGCTGCCGGGCGGAGGGGCTCCTCACTTCTCAGACGGGGCAGTTGCCAGGCGGAGGGTCTCCTCACTTCTCAGACGGGGCGGCTGGGCAGAGACACTCCTCACCTCCCAGACGGGGTCGCGGCCGGGCAGAGGCGCTCCTCACATCCCAGATGGGGTGGCGGGGCAGAGGCGCTCCCCACATCTCAGAGGATGGGAGGCCGGGCAGAGACGCTTCTCACTTCCTAGATGGGATGGCAGTGGGGAAGAGGCGCTCCTCACTTCCTAGATGGGATGGCGGCCGGGCAGAGACGCTCCTCACTTTCCAGACTGGGCAGCCAGGCAGAGGGGCTCCTCACGTCCCAGACGATGGGCGGCCAGGCAGAGACACTCCTCACTTCCCAGACAGGGTGGCGGCTGGGCAGAGGCTGCACTCGGCACTTTGGGGGGCCAAGGCAGGCGGCTGGGTGGTGGAGGTTGTAGCGAGCCGAGATCACGCCACTGCACTCCAGCCTGGGCACCATTGAGCACTGAGTGAACCAGACTCTGTCTGCAATCCCAGCACCTCGGGAGGCCGAGGCTGGCGGATCACTCGCGGTTAGGAGCTGGAGACCAGCCCGGCCAACACAGCGAAATCCCGTCTCCACCAAAAAAATACGAAAACCAGTCAGGCGTGGCGGCGCGCGCCTGCAATCGCAGGCACTTGGCAGGCTGAGGCAGGAGAATCAGGCAGGGAGGTTGCAGTGAGCCGAGATGGCAGCAGTACAGTCCAGCTTTGGCTCGGCATCAGAGGGAGACCGTGGAAAGAGAGGGAGAGGGAGACCGTGGGGAGAGGGAGAGGGAGAGGGAGGGGGAGGGGGAGAGGGAGAGGGAGAGGGACTCACCTACATTTTTTAAGGACCCAATTCCAATTTCCTGCCCTTATCATCTCTCCTTCTCATTGATATTTTTCCAGTAGATGTAGCTTTACTCATTACCAACTACTGCCAATTCACTTAAGCTTTCACCTTTAATGTTTTAAAATAACAAGGGAATTCAGAAGTATAGAATGTGGAAGTCTGCCTTCATCATCCTCACAGGCCTGTGCTCCTCAATCCCATTTCCATGAGTTAAGGACTTTTAGCAACTATTAACAGCATGTCCTTCCCAGTTCTTGCCTACACATTTCAAAACACCTATCTCTCTCATCACTCAAACTGGGGGAGCAGGATCATGAGCAGCCCTGTGGAGAGGCCCAAGTGGAGGGGAATTGAAGACTCTGGCCAGCCACCATGTGAGTGTTTGGAAGCAGGTCCTCCAGCCTCAGCTGGAGTTTCTCACGGCAACCTTTTGAGAAACTGAGTCAGGACTGCTCTGAAGCATTCGTTACCCTCAGAAACTATGAGATAATAAATTTAAGCTGCTAAGTTTGGGAGGTTCTGTGTTACATAGCAATATAATACAACTTTCATTTCTCTCCAATGACCGTGTTAGTTTTTAGCCCCTCTGTAGCAAAGCCCCTCAAAAGAGCTGTCTGTACACAGCGTCTCCCTTTCCACCCTGTTTTCTCCCACCCAATCCCATCTGTTCTAATATACATTCACTGAGGTCTGCTCCCTGTGAGACTAGGATGTGTAGTTAAAATGTCCTCATGTTCCCTGTTGCAGACCCTGAGATGAGGATTCTTATGCAAGCAATTTGTTGTGGAAGTGCTCCCGAGAGAAACAGGGCAAGGAAGCAGGGAAGCAGGACAGGGAAGGGGAGGAAGTCAGGTAAGGGTGAAATTTCAGGCAAAGTCCAGGTCTCAGAATGATCTTGATGGCTCTGGAGAAAAGGACACTTTACAGCTATCTGCATCCTGCTGGTGGGGCAGAGACTCAGCTACTCCCCACAAGCCTGGACTCCAAGCCACTGCTGCCTACTCTCACCCCAGGCCCCGGGAGCTTTAACCCACAGCCCTCAGTTCAGGTGGCATTAAAGTGAGCCCTTCCTAGGAGTACTGTTGTCCCTTCCTGAAGTGAGGCTCTGTCTGGGGCTGCCCCGGTCCATAAGACATATTTTTCTGTACTCAAGGGGACAAGAATGATAACTGTGCTTGTCCCATAGCAATGTGTGGTGCAAACTACACTAAAGGCTAGATACTAAAGGCTCAGCTTAATTCTACTGTCAGCAGCTCTCAGGCCCACCCCTGTGGAAATAGACATTGGAGGGAGTGTGTTACCTGACACGGATCAGCATGGCACCCTCAGCTTACTAACACAGAAATGGATGGGTAGGCTTGAAGAGAAGGGGAAGGGTGTGGTTAGCGCCTTTTCCCGCAGTCTGTGGGAAGCCAGCTGCCACCCAGCCAGCATGTCTTATGACTTATTTTAGTTTTCAGAACTGCCCTTAGACGATTGAAGCATGAACATCTTTTCCTGTAAAAATGGATTATTCTACTTCCTTGCTTTAGTCTGGGACTCTGCTCTTGTGGTCTGGTGAGACTTTTGTACATGTGGGGCCTGAGAACACTTTTGGTAGAGCTGTCTCTGCTGAGGTCTTCAGAAGGACCTTTGGGCAGCCTCATGTCTGTCTTGGGCTGCCAGGACAGAAATGCCCAGGTGGCTTCTGGAAGGCCTTGTGGCCAGAGTGAACATTCAAGCTGTTCACTCATCCTCAGCCCAGGCCGCGCACTGTGCTCCTCCCAGAGCTCTGACATTCGTTCACTATGGAAAAGGTGTGATGTAGAAATACAATATTTGTTATTTATGACCCCTCATTGCTTTCTAAAGAAAATGAAGTCCCAGGACTATTTGTTGAAAGTCATGGAAGGGAGAATACAAAATTGGAAGCAAGGTGGGGAAGAGTTAAATTGTTCTGCAGAAGGAGAGGGAAATATATGGGGAGGGGTGGGAAGTAGAGGCTGAAGCTTCCTGGAGGAGGATCAACTGGGAGGGGAATGCGCATGGCTGGGGAGAAACTTTGTAGGGAGAGTTACACAAAAATTTAGAGTTTGCTGTGTGCTATGCGATGTGATCCTTTACTACATCTCTCCTGTTGACACTTCAGAACACTATCAGTTTCTTACTCGAATGCATTGTGGACTGGGTTTTCTTTGAAGGAACGAAGAGGAATGCTGAGTCTTGCTTCGAGGTTGGTGAGGTGTGGATCAGAGGCTCCCAGTGGAAGCTGCCAGGCCTAGGTTCAGGGTTACATGGAGCACTAGGTACCTGTATGCTATGCTCTCCAGCCTGGCCATTCCCTTCTTTAAGGAAAAGAACATTTCAGGTAGAGGGCACGACCAGAGAAAAAGGTAAGTTTGGAGAGGGAGAGAGAAACCAGAGTGGGTGGGGAATGTATGTGAGTCTGTTGGGAAATGGGGTGAGGAACAGAGGCAGAAGGTGGTGCTAATAGGTGAATTAGTCCATCCAGGCTGCTGTAACAAAGCACCATACACTGAGTGGCTTATAAACAACAGAAATTTATTTCTTATGGTTCTGGAGTCTGGGAGTCCAAGGTCAGGGTACCAGCATGGTTGGTGGCTGAATTCCTACAGTGGGCCCACTTCTGGTTGCAGACTACTGACTTCTAATTGTAGTCTCATACTGTGGAGAGCAGAGAGAAGCAAGCTCTCTCGGGGTTCTTATAAGGGCACTAGTCCCATTCTTGAGAGCTCCACCGTCTTGAAGTCACCTAATCCTAATTATCTCTCAAAGGCCCCACCTCCAAATACTATGACACTGGGGGGTAGGGTTTCAACACATGAATTTTGTGGGGACACAAACATCCCGCTCATAACAGTAGGTTAGGACTCCAGGTAGGGCCTTGCTTATCTTCCACATCAGAGGTCCTCTCAGCTGTCCTACCACTCAAAATCTTAGGGTAATCCAAATACACCTCAATGCACCATGTGGCCCAGGCTTGATTCAGTATTGCATTCAAAGCAACACAATTCACCTTCACTGTGCAATTCATATTGTCTCTTATAATCCATTAGCGTCTTCCAAATGGAACCCTCAGTTCTATGGGTAAGAAGGCTCCCACCTGCAGGGGCAACCACCACCTTAGGAACTGGGCATGGCACTGGGCAATCCTAGGCTGCTCTGGATGGTTCATAAGGCATACCCCAGTGGCAGATGGACTGGCACTGGGGAAAGTGGTGTCCTGTTGGCTGCAGGGAGGCATTTCGGACAACCCACTGCCTCTCTGTACGTTCTTGCTAAGGTCCCCAAAGAACTTCCTGGCAAAGACATTTTAGACCTTTTAACTACTTGGCAAGTGGCTTACGAGTCCTTCTAAATACAGCAGATTAGTCAATGGAAATACAAAACTTTAGAAGAAATTCACGGAAAGAGCTATTGAATTGGGGAGGTTTTGCCGGAGTAGGTATTTTCTCTATGGAATTCTGATCTGTTCATTTAGTAATCCTAATTATGGTTTTGCTAATTTGGAGGTAATTTCAGAGAAAGGGTTTTATTCCACTGGGAACTGTCAATAGGTTAAGAGGATTTTGCTTTTTCATTTGTAATGTTTCAAAGGAATGTCATTCTTGCAACAGCTTCAACTATTTTTTGCTTATGTCTGCCACCTTGCTGCTCAAGGTTGACAAGAAAATACCTCTGCTTGTTAGCTCCCATGGCTGGTTTCTTTTATACCAGCTGTGATCTCTCTACCAGCTCTCCTAGGGACCAGCAGAAGATATGTGCAAAGGTGAATGTACTGCATTTTCCAGGAGTTTCCATTCTCTTCATTATCTTCAAAAGGATGGCCAGACTATCAGAGTAGAGGCCAAGCCTTCCTGGGCCTTTGGGCCTCTGTGTACCCAGTGCCTCTGTGTACCCCATGCCTTTACCTAAGAACACTCTCTCTCCTTCCTCTTACCAGGCTCTTTTTATTTTATTTTATTATTTTATTTTATTATTATTATTATTTTTGAGACGGAGTCTCGCTCTGTTGCCCAGGCTGGAGTGCAATGGTGCCATCTCAGCTCACTGCAATCCCTGCCTCCCGAGTTCAAGCGATTCTCTTACCTCAGCCTCCTGAGTAGCTGGGATTACAGGTGAGCACCACCACACCCAGCTGATTTTTTTGTATTTTTAGTAAAGACGGGGTTTTGCCATGTTGACCAGGCTGGTCTCAAACTCCTGACCTTAGCTGATCCGCCTGCCTCAGCCTCTCAAAGTGCTGGGATTACAGGCGTGAGCCACTGTGCCCAGCCACCAGGCTCTGTTTAAGTCATGCTTGGGTTCTCAGCTGCAGCTCCCTTTCAGAAGTCTTCTCTGACCCCATGTCAATATCCACAGCCATGGACTCTTCTCTGGGGCTCCAGACCTGTGCACTCATTAATATCAGACATTTCATTGGATGTTTCATAGGCACCTCAAATTCAGCATGTCCCAAACCAAATGCATCATTGCCCTCTCCCTTCCACCTTCATCCCTTCCCTCTCTTCTCCTCTGAACCTGCTTCTTCTTCCATGCTCTGTGTTTCCAGGCAGGGCACTATTGGGCTATCCTTCTAAATACAGCAGACTAGTCACCAGAACCAGAAACCCAAGGGTTACTTCAGAATCCTCCCTCTCCCTTACCCTCACATCTCCCTCCATTCTACTCTATTCCGAAATCCAGTAGATCCCACTTCTTAAATCTCTCTCAGATCCTTTCTTCCCTTTTCTTCCTCTCCCTGGCCTGGGATGCCATCCTCATTTGCTTGAATTACTGTATTGGTGTCCTAACTGGCCTCACTGCCTCTGGTCTTATCTCTCATCCTGGCCACTGTAGTGATATCTGATGTGAACCATGCAGATCACAAAATTATACTCCTTGCTCTGGCTTCTCCACTTTCCACAACATCTCTCCCATTGGATATCATCTAAATTCCCATCTGGTGACTCCTGACTTGTCTAACTTCATCTTCTGTCAGTTTGGACCAGTTAAGATTTCTAACATTGCAAGGAAGAGAAAATCCAACTCAAATTGACTTAAGCAAAAAGGAAATATATTGGTTCACACAACTGAACATCCAGGGAAAGATGTGGCTCGGTTTCAGGCATGGCTGGATCCAAGGGCTCAAGCAGTGTCATCAGAAAGCTGTTTCCATCTCTCAGCTCTGCTTTTTGCTTTGTTAGCTCCCATTCTCTGGCAGGCTTCTTTTCATGTTGTGGTGAGATAGCTGCCAGCAGCTCTAGACTGCTACCTCCTCACAGGAACAAATCCAGCAGAAAGAGTATCCCTCTCCCATTGCTGCTCAAACCAAGTACCAGGATTACCTTTGCTTGGACCTGATTGGCTTGCCTTGGGTCAGGTGCGCACCCCTTAAACAGTCACAGTGGTCAGAGGAAGGCAATGCTCTGGTAATCCAGGTCTGAATCATCATATGCTCATCCCTAGAGCAGGTTGGAATCAGCTTTTCCCAAAGCACATAGACTAAGAGTCGGGGAGGGCAGCTTTCCCCAGAAACAATGGAGAAGTGACTCTAGGAGCAGGTGGAATGGAGAATGGGCTGGCCAGCACAGGCGAGCACCGCACCCTCCCTTCTTGCAGGACCGCCCCTCGTGCCAGCTCTCTTTCCAGCTCTCCCCACTGGCTGACTCCTTCTCTATCAAGTTGCAGGCCTATGTGCTGCCTCCTTGGGGCCTCCTTCCCTAGCTCCCCAGAGACTTGGAGGCCCCGCCTCCTGCTGTTCCCAGGGTCCTTTGCTTTGCAGCAGTGATGCTGCTACATTGTAACTTTTTGTTTGTTTGTTTGTTTGTTTGTTTGAGACAGAGTCTCGCTCTGTCACCCAGTGTCATGATCTCGGCTCACTGCAACCTCCGCTTCCCAGGTTCAAGTGATTCTTGTGCCTCAGCCTCCCCAGTAGCTAGGATTACAGGCACGCACCACCAAGCCCAGCTAATTTTTGTATTTTTAGTAGAGACGGGGTTTCACCACGTTGGCCAGGCTGGTCTCAAACACTTGACCTCAAGTGATCCGCCCGCCTTGGCATCCCAAAGTGCTGGGATTACAGGCATGAGCCACCACGCCCCGCCGCTACATTGTAATTTTGGGCTTTCATGCCTCTCCCTTCTAGACTGTGAGCTCCTTGAAGACAGACTCTCTCTTTATATTTCGGTATTGCCTGTATCTGGTACAGGGTCTGGCCTAGAGTGGGTCCCTATTAAGTGTTGAATGAGAGAAGTTATAAGGAGAATGTGGATGTCACGTGGGCCCTAATCCTGCATGTCATCAAGGTAGGAAGAATAGCCAGGATCATGGATAACAGAATGAGAATCCATAAAGAGCTCAGTAGCCTGGAAAAATGGACCAAATCTGTCAAGAGGAACTGAAATAGAACTAACTGTGGAGCCCTATATTGAGGTCTAAAAAGCATTTGTTTGGGTATAGGGTGGTGGTGGTAGGAGTATCTGGAAAAGATGCTTAGTTGTCTTTATGTGGCTACCTAAAAATGCTAAGATAATCTTGGGCCACATTAATGGGAATATACTGTTTCTCCATATCTCTTTACTGTGTAAACTCTGATTCTTGGCACACCACCATCGTTAGTCCACACAATATCCCTTTCTTGTTTTGTTTGTGTATTCCTTTTATCTCCATTCCATTCCCATATGGAATACATTCTTTTTGTCTGTATGCCTTCCTATACTTACAAAGTTTGTATTGCTGTTGTTTTGAATTTGTGTGAATGGTGTGGTGTCATGGAGCACATTCTATTTCTTATTTTTGTCATCCAGCATTTTGTTGTTAAATTTCCACTTATGTTGCCATGAGTATACCAACTTCATTGCTTCTAAATGCTGAATCCCCCCTACGTGTTACCTATCCATGCTCCTGGTGATGGACACCCAGATTGCTTTCAATTTCCTGCAACCACAAACAATTGTGGTGAACATTCTCATACATGTGCTTTATGAATCTGAATGAGAATGGAATTGAGATATATGCTCAGGTGAGGATCTGCTGGAACAGAGGCTAGTCCATCCTTATTTTACCTGGCAGTGCTAGGTTGTTGTCCCAGGTGGGTGCACTATTCAACACTCTCACAAGTGGTTAGAGTTCCATTGTTCCCACACCCTGCTGCCAATACTTGTTACTCAGCTTCTGTTTTTGCCAGTGTAACAGGTATAGTCATATTTCACTGTTGTTTTCATTTGCATTTCTTGGATTACTGATGTGGTTTGCACATTTTTTGCTTTTATTAGAGAAGGGTTTTCCCTATGTTGCCCAGGCTGGTCTCAAACTCCTGAGCTTAAGCAATCCCTCCAACTCATCCTCCCAAAGTACAGGGATTACAGGAGTGAGCCATTGCTCCTTGCCTGATTATATTTTCAAATGCTACTGAGCCTTTGGGTTCTCTACTCCATAAATTGTTTGGTCATTATCCTTTGCTCATTGTTCTATTGAGATGCCTGTCTTTTTGTATTAATTTTCAGGAGTTCTTAGAATTTCCTAGATATCAGTCCCTATCTCTACCTGGTTTTGGACAAGGCAAATACTTTTCAATGGTCCTGCTTACTCTGATTTGTCTGGTCCGAGAATTGTGTTGAGTTCTGAGGTTCATATCTTAAAGAGACCATGATGAGCCTGGGACGGAGAATAGACACTTGGTTTATGAAACTCATCAAGGAGGAGCTGTATCAGTAAGCGAAATTTACAGGGGTGTTGATTTCAAGCAATATAAGGAAGGTATTTCCAGTGATTAGAGCCACCGATGATAGGGTATACTCTCTGGAGCAGCAATGAGCACCAGAAACAGCAGCAGGGGTGCATAAAGAGAAGACAGACAGTGACTTGTTGGGGAGGTTGCAGAAATGTTTCCCGCATTAGATGGTTCATTCCAACCTTGATATTTTCAGAGCTTTTCTGAGTCACCATGTGTTGAAAGTCAGAGAAGGAATCATGGAAGAGGAGAAGGGGAAAACACAACTTTAATTCCCTTTTTCTTCTGCCCTTATGAGCTCCCCATAGTCTTCATTTATCACACGGTGGCACTTCATTCTGCCTTGTCCTATACGTGAGTTACACACACACACAGACATGCTTGTGCACAGCCATGTTCATACAATCACTTTCACATTATGAGACACACATACATGCCATGTAAGTACATAGATACACACCAACATCGCAATAAAGCAGTATATGCCCCCAAAACACACATGGCTATACACGTGTATGAAGGAACAGAAAAGATGTGAGATCTTTCCTTCACCATCATAAGGCTCACAGCTGACACTTCTATAACAAAAGACAGGTTAACAAGAGAAAAACATAACAGATTTGTTTAATCAAAGTTTTATGTGACATGAGAGACTTCAGAAATGAAAATTCCAAAATACTGGGAAAAACGATCTATTTTTATGCTTCGGTTTGATGAAGCTGGGACAGCCATGTAGAAATAGGATTGTACAGAAAGGGTATGATCTCATGCTAATAGACTTAGTGGGGAAACCCAGCAAGGCCTGTCTGTCCAGATTCTTGCTGGGCCTCTCTGTGCAGCATCGCCTCTCCCAGGTATAGGATAGGACCCTTTCTGGAATAGGGGTCTTATGACTCCCAAACAAGTTGTGTCAGAGAATTTCTTTATGGCCAGCTGTTACACCAAAAGGTGTGGGGGGAAGGTAAGAGTAATAGTTTTAGGTTTTATGACTGGCTTTGGGGTAAGGGGGTTTTGGTTTCTTCAATGACCCATCTGGGGGAAGAGGGCTTTTAGTTTCTATGGCTGGCCTCAGGAGAGAATGAGGGGCAAGAGACAGGAGGGCAGGGGAATGTCACAGAGAAACTTTGCTCCTGAGGCAGCTTCTGAGGTCTTCACTTTGGGGCATCATTTCCTGAGCCCCAACGTGTTCATGTGCCCCATGCATGTTGTGTGTGTTTGCAAAGTGGAGGGAGCGGTTCTGGGTTAAATGTGAAAGGCCACACAGTCCTCCATCCTTCTTGGTGTGGAGGCTCCATTCGTGGTGGTCCAATCCTGCCTTCACTTCTGAGAGAACCCAGAGCCTGTGTTCTGCAGGAAGGTAAATATTTGATAATTTACCTCATTCCAGAGGCTAGAGGCCTGAGCAGGGACAAGGAACCGGAACCCTTGGTTCCAAACTCCCTTCGCTCCCAGCCCAGTGTCTTCCTGGACTTCCCTTCAGTCTTTTCTGATAGAGCTAAATAAAACTCTAGAATTGGCCTGTCTCCTCCCAGGAAGACCGCTTTCAGACTATTGCTTCCTAATGTTGTAGCATCTTGGTCATTGAGCTTCCAGGCCTTGCACGACCCTCACCCTGGCTTGGGGCTATTCTCCTAAGTGCATGTGAATGAGATGGTCCAGGAAGCAGAGTGTCTCAGGGTTGGGCTGGGGGTGAGGGGACTGCAAATCTGGCCAATGGAAGCTGTCTTGTGGGTTGGGGGTAACTCTGGGGCTGGACTGGTCTTTTTGATCTTTTTGATCCTGTACCTCTCAAGAGCTTCTGGACAGAGTCAAGCAGCTGAGAAACTGCCTGCTGGACGTCGGACTTAAATACCCAAGGCAAGGCAGATAACACTATGCACCAGTATCAATCACATTGTCTACTGCACCTTGGCCAATTTCCATCACTTACTCGAGTCCAGTGAACAGGACACTCTCACATAACAAGTTACATGGAGCAGGGTTATTACTTATAGATAGGCAGCAAGGGACAACAGAAACCTAGGATTCATGGCGAGCCAATCCCCATGGCTCAGGAAAGAAGCAAAATTGGATGGAGTCTTGTCTGAGTGGGCTCCACTTGCACTGCAGCTGAGGGACCCCTGAAAGCAGCCTGCTCTGGTTTTTCTACCCCATGGTAACATGACTTGCTGGGATAAAGTGTTAAAGGATATCCTGTTCTACGAGGGAGAAAAACAGAGCCAGAACTGTTGCAACCACTTCCTCCCTATCTCAGGATGTTGCATTCCCAGGACATTCTACAGTTAATCTTTTTTTTTTTTTTTTTTGAGACAGAGTCTTGCTCTGTCATCCAGGCTGGAGTGCAGTGACACGATCTTGGCTCACTGCAAACTCTGCCTCCTTGGTTCAAGTGATTCTCCTGCCTCAGCCTCCTGAGTAGCTGGGATTACAGGTGTGTGCCACCACACCCAGCTAATTTTTGTATTTTTAGTAGAGACAGGGTTTCACCCTGTTGGCCAGGCTGGTCTCAAACTCCTGACCTCAAGTGATCTGCCTGCCTCGGCCTCCAAAAGTGCTGGGATTACAGGCTTGAGCCACTGCACCTGGTCTCTACAGTTAATTTGAAAATTGTAAGTGAAAAAGTGGGGAGAACTGGTTCAATCCAAGGCCACCTGGACACCTGGAGAACTGTCCTGCACCTAAAAGCTGCAAAGATCCAGTGCAACACTGCAGACAGGCTCTTGCTGATTGCGGAGGAGAGAAGAAAAGGGCACTAGACAACTTGGCTGGGAGAAGATTTCTCGAAAGACGTGATGGGGATAAATGTGCCACCAGGAGCCCTGCTGCAAGTGGTCACCCACTGAGGCTTTGTCGGATCAGATGGATTTGTATAATTTAGGCCCCTTCTATCTCCAGCTCTAGCTGGTTGTCAGCTAGCTGGTTCTGAGCCCTGCAGGAGGCAGCCAGGCACCCAGTAGGCTGCCCAGACAGTTTGAATGCAAGAGGTCCGGATGGAGATGCAGGGAGCTAGCTGAGTTATGGGCGCCTGGGGAGGTAGAGATATGTAACATGAGGGGCGAGCAAAGGCCACTGCACTTCATGACAAAGACTAAAAAAAATAAAATAAAAGAGGCCATGAAAAGGCTTTCCCCACCATGAAGTATAATAAAGACTAGGAAGCATTTAAGCATGATCAAAGACCTGAAAAACTCTAAGATTGTGGAACTGAGCACCAAACTAAAATACATGCGCCTCTAAGTCTGATGCTTATTGAGGAAAAACTCAAGAAGTTTGCCGAAGGACATAAAGTGTCTATAAAACCTTGTTTGTTGCCTGTAAGGTCGGGTTTCTTTAATCGAAAGATTGTCCTGATGTCATAGTGAGTAATAAAGCTGTGTGCTGATGCAGACAATGCAGAAATCTTTAGGAAAGGGAGAGCCTCTCTCTTTGGAAGTGGTCTCTGCATTTCCCACCTGGATAAGATTTGTGCAAGGCAGAGCCTTCAGGAATGTGGCTTCAAGTTGTTATGGCAGGTAGTTAGACAGGAGCAGGGCAGGAGAGGGCTCACCACAAACCAAGAATGTCAGGCGACCATCAGGTGATGGTCAGGTGGTTGTTAACTGTCTCTCTAAAATAATAATTTGTCACAGCAAGCTCCAGGGAAAAGCAGTCTCCCAATAGACAGAAATACCTGAAACCGGTGATCAGCAGCTTCCTAATAAGATCTCAGGAATCGGGCCAGTGGGTTCAAGCATGTGCACTAAGAGGCAACATGTCAGAGTTTAATTGGTATACGACCTTCTAGGAACAGGTGACTGGTAAAGGAAGAACGCCTCAAGTGAGCATGTGTACAACTCCAGTAAACACACTGCACATGCAGCCCCTCCCAAGTGCTGGCAGGCCACTGTGCACGTGGACAGCCCACCCCAAGAAGAGAATCAGGAGAGAAGGGAGACTTAAGACTCCAGAAGTATGCCAACATATAAAACCCCAAGTCAAAGCTCAAACAGAGCACTCGACTCTCTCAGGTTGCCCGCTTGACCCTCTTCCAAGTATACTTTACTTCTTTCCATGCTGGACCTAAAGCTTTTTAATAAACTTTCACTCTTGCTCTTCATCTTGCCTCGGTTTCTCTTCCTTATGCCTCTTGGTCGAATTCTTTCTTCTGAGAAGGCAAGAATTGAGGTTGCTGCAGACCTGTTCTGATCTACCACTGCTAACAATGTCAGACTTTGGGATTTCAAAAACGGGTAAAAAATGTTTTTAAAAAGGGAGGTAATACTAGGTTGAAAATTTTTATTTTGCCAACTGAGGACATGAAAAATACATCATTCCACCATTTCATAAAAATAGGAAGGGCATAATCTAAGATAAAGGACAACCCTTGAATGGAACACATTTAGCTTTAAGTGGAACCCAGGTGTAACTGACTTAGTCTATTTCCCACATCCACGCTGGAGCAGGACTTGTCATTTGATCACATCCCCCAAAAGTCAAATAGGATTCTGCAAATCATTAGCAAGTAATGCAGATTTTACTGATGATTTGGTGAAGCAATGGGATAGAGTGGCCTTGTAAACCACAAAACAGAACTAAAGTGAACTCCCCTCGCCGTGACTGTGAACTTCTCCTTGGTGACCTCATCTCCAGTTACCTCATCTCCAGCTCATCATTCCCCTTGCTACCTCCCAGAAAGGTTGAGGTGGGTGCCGGAACATCAGTTTATTGCTTTTCATAAAAATGGGCAGACCCAAGAGTGAAATAGTTGAAATCTGTAATCCAAACATCTCAGCCTTCCAGCTTCCTAGGGTGCCCTTTCCACCAACATCTAGGTAAAGGATGCCAGCCTGCTGTGGGAAAACCAGTGCTGTCCCCAGCAGTGCCATCGGCAGGGGAACAGGGTGGTGGGGGAAGCCTGTGCTCCTCACTGGCCACCTTTTTCCTTAGGCCCCTGAGTTTTCCTCTTGTTGGGGGCCCCTTTCTTCAGGCTACCTCCTGGGAGAGGTTCAAAATTTCTGTGAGTTTATTATGCAGTGCGATTTAGCTTCTTCTTTGTCTCATCCTTTCCAGTCCAAAGCAGCCCTGGGGCCTCTCTTTGCATAATTAAAAGATCCATTAAGGTGTTTTCCCAAACAAAAGAGCAGTTTTCTCCCTCAGAGGAATTCTATCATTCTCTTAGGACAACCATCTCCAACTGCGGTGAGATTTAATTAGGACAACCATCTCCAACTGCGGTGAGATTTAAAAATAATCACACACACACACACACACACTCGAACTCAGAATGAGAGCGAGAGAGAGAGAGAGAGAGAGAGAGAGAGAGAGAGAGAGAGAGAGAGAAACATCAGGCATCTCTTCCCTGTGGTTGAGGTACAGGTGGAACAGATTGTAACCAGAAGCTGCTGGGTTGATTTACTAGAATGCATGACTCCAGGAAGGCATATGTGGCCAGCAGTTTCTCTGTGTCTGCAGGTAGAGACTGAATGTGGAGTCAGGTAGATGGAATGTCTGGTGCTTCCACCCCAGGATGAGAGATGTCTCCCCTTCAGGTATGGAAGAGCTCTTGGTCTGCTGCTCCCAACTCCTGCCTTTACCTTCATGCATGAATCTCCTCAAGGCCACAGCCAAGTGCCTTTCTTCCTGTGCAGTTTACATGGGCCCTGCTGTCCCTGTCCTCCATGACCCTCCTGGTTCCTGTTTCCCCTTTTGGGCTTTGCCTTTTGGAAGCCTTTTCTAGTTCCCCTTCTGGGCTGACCCAAAGGCAGGCTAGTGCCTCAGCACAGGCTACAGTGGAGGGCCCTACCCTGGGTGTTGTTTCGTCGTATTTAGGGCACTTTCCATGTCCCTTGTAGTGCTAGTCTCAGAGCTTAACCAAGTTAAGCTCAAGCTGGTCTCCACGGTCTGGTCCTCAGGGCAGCTGGAGGGTCATAGCCCTGAGCTGGCCCCATGGTCCTCAGGGTTGGGGTATCATATCCCTGGGCTGGTCCCCATGGTGCTCAGGGTTTGGGGATCATGGTCCTCAGCTGGTCCAAGGCTGGGGGATCATACCCCTGGGCTAACTCCACATTCTCAGGGGTGGAGATCCACTGACTGTGAGGCCTTCCTCTCTCTTTGTGCTGGCTGCAACTCAATCCTACTCTTTCAGAGGCCTCTTCTCTCCCAGGAAGCCTTGTCAGGCTGCTTGAGCTTGAGAAGAACACCACTGGGGATGTTGTTAGCATCATATTCAAGAAGAGTGTGGATATTTGGGTGATGTCCAGTGGCTCTGTACTGGAACTTCCCTGTAAATGCAGAAACCAAAGGTAACGGGGTTAAGCCTTTCAGGAGAGAATCACTCCAGGCCAGTCTGAAGGGGAAATGAGGTGGGAGTGTTAGCAGAGTCCCCTGGGGAGGTCAGTTCCCAAAACTGCAGGGTCATCAGTCTTCATGGCCTGTCTCTGAGCAGCAGTGCAGGGGCTGGGAAGACTGAGCAAGTGTCCTGAAGGCTGGAGCTGGAAGCTTGGGGAGGAAGAATGTTGTTTTCTAGCATGGATCAGTGTTTTAGTCTTTCCAGGCTGTAACAGAATACCATAAACAGGATGGTTTATAAACAACAGAAATTTATTTCTCACAGTTCTAGAGGCTGGGAAGTCCAAGACCAAGGTGTTGGCAGATTTGATGTCTGGTGAGGGACTGCTTCCTCCTAGATGGACTTCTTGTTGTGTCCTCACTTGGTGGAAGAAGGAAGGGTCTCTCTGGGGCATCTTTTATATTTTGGTGTTTGGCCTTTTTTTTTGAGATGAGGTCTTGCTCTGTCATCCAGGCTGGAGTGCAGTGGTTCGATCACAGCTCACTGCAGATTTGACCTCCTGGGCTCAAGTGATCCTCCCACCTCAGCCTCCTGAGTAGCTGGGACTACAGGCACACACCACCATGCTTAGCTAATTTTTTTATTGTTTGTAGAGTTAGGGTTTTGCCATGTTGCTCAAGCTGGTCTTGAACTCCTGGGCTCAAGCAATCAGCCTGCCTTGGCCTCCCAAAGTACTGGGATTACAGATATGAGCCACTGCACCTAGCCTGGGGCATCTTTTATATGGTCACTAATCTCATTCACGAGGGCTCTGCTCCCATGACTTAATCACTTCCCAAAGGCCCCGCCTCCTAATACCATCACCTTGGAGGTTAGGATATCAACATATGAATTTTGGGGGGGAAACAAACATTGAGACCATAGCTGTTGGTATTCCCTCCCTTCTTCCACACCAGTAGTCTTCACTTTATAAGGAAAAGCAGCAAGTGGGGTCATGGGAGTGGGAAACACCAAGACCTTGAGAGGTCGTGGTCCCATTTTAGCCTTTAGCAGAGCACAAGCGTCTGCCCAGGGCAGACAATATTCTTGCCTTTTGGGCCATTGCAGTTGGAATTGGTGGTAAACAGCCCCAAGCCCAGCTCTTGCCCCGTCATTATTAGGGTGTCGTTATTACTTTTGCAGGCTGAACATATATTTGGGTGTAACAGGGTTCTCTTGAGCCAAACCAGTGTCCATCTCTTGAATTCAGTGAGGCTAGATATCTCTGGCAACAGTGGGACAGGATGCTCTTTTGTGTGGATTATGGTCCTTTGGGAAGAGTCCTCACCTAGGGGAATAGGCGGCCAGGCCAATAGATTTGCTCAGCAGAAGTCATTAGGGGACAGGAAAGTTCTGGGTCCTCTCTCTCTATCACTGACTTCCATGGACTCATGTCTGGATGCTAAGGTATGGGAGAGCAGATGGGTGGCATGGTTGGAATTGCAAAAGTCATTTTCCTAAAATTCCGTGAGGCAGTGAGGCACAAGCAACTCTGTTCCAGATCCCTTTGATAGAGTGGCATGGGAGGAGGGAGGTTCTGCCTCTGCTTTCAACTGCTGGGGGCACAGCTTTGCATCTGGAGGAATGGGCCCTGGCCCCACAGTGATGCCAGGTGGACCCAGCAGTACCCAGCAGAAGCGTCAGTGTCAGGCAGACACAGTTCCCAGCAGAAGAGAAATACATCAGCTGTCATATAGCAACTGACCAGCCATGTCCATGAACATATGTGGGACACCTGCTGGTACTCCCAGAAACACTTTGGGTTGGGGGATTTGCTTGTCAGCAGCCTTGGAATGACATGAGAAGAAAAAGAAACCAGGTTTTCTGTTGAAGAAAACAGAACCCCATTTTTGTCCACAGACGGATCCTTCCAAGCAGCTGCTCTGTAGAAGGGCTGGGCCTGTAGGTTCCTGCCTCGCATGTACCCTAGAGATGAGAGGCTGCCTGGCAGAACTGCCGGTGGCTGTGGCTTGGGCTGTCGGGGTCTTGGGGCCTGGATGCAATGTGATCTGACCCTGGGCTGCGCAGACCACCCAGCTCATAGCCCTGGCTGCCGCCAGTGCCTGCAATTTCTCAAGGTGAAAGCACTCTCCAGCGGGTCATTCGTCCGCGTCTGAGTGGTTTTCTGTTCGTGGAATCATTTATTTCTGGTGTCAGGGAGGCCCAGGGCGACTTTTCCCACTGGCTGTAAATGCTCCGAGCATCATCGATTCGTCTACTCCCATCTCCGGAAATCTGCTGGAGCAGCAAGTCTGTCTGGGATTCCTGGCTGGAAGGGCATGGGGCAGGGCAGGGGCTGGGGTGGCTTTGGTTCCCTCCCTCTCAGCAGAGGCAAGTGGAGGGATGCTGAAGCCTCCCCATCTCTCCAGAGAGCAGCCTCATGGTTTGGGCCCTGTGTTGGAGTTTCCTGATCTGCAGCTGGGGAAGTGTGGCTAGCTTGGCTTGTAATGACATCTGACACTCTTGAAGCCCACCCTTGAAGCCCACCCAGGGCCACTGAATGTGCCCCAGCTTGGCTGAGGACTCCCTCAGAGGGCATTCTCCTCCTCTCAAAGATGCCCCCAGATCTCCATTAATCCTCCTGTCAGTAGGCTGGAGCCCATCCAGGTAGGGACGGCAGCAAAACCCCAGACTGTAGGCAGGGGCACCACCCAGCCCCAGGTGGAGCAAAGTGGACTGGAGTCAGTGTAATGCACTCACCTCACAGCGTGATCATGAGACTTTGGGGACCTCATGCGAACTTGCCTGTGTGTGAATGCCTGTGTGTGTGTGTCTGTGTGCCATGGCTGCAGCATGTGTGGGCCTCCATGTCATCTTTGTGTTTGCACATGATCTTGTGCGATGAGGTGGGTGCTCGTGGGCTTCTATGTGTGTTTATGCATGCATGTTCACTTGGGTGTGACTTTCTGTAGGTGTTCATGTGTCTAAGTATGCATGTGTGTCTGTGTGTATGCTGGTATGTTTGTATCTGGTTGTGTGTCTGGTGTTCGCATTGCTGTGTGCGTGCATACTCATGGTGTTTGTGTGCCTGTGTCTCTGTGTGTGTGCATGTTCCTGGCATGCGTTTGTGTGTGCATGCTCATGGTGAATGTGTCTCTGTGCATGTATGCTCATGGTGTTTGTGTGCTTGTGTATCTGTGTGTGTGCATGCTCATGGCATATGTCTGTGTGCATGCTCATAATGGGTGTGCCTGTGTGCATGCATGCTCACGTGTGTGTCTGTATGTCTGTGTGTGCATGTTCACTGTGTGTATGCATGCTCATGGCATGTGTATCTGTGTATGCATGTTCATGGCACATGTGCGCCTGTGTGCATGTTCATGGTATGTGTCTCTGTGTGCATCCTCATGGTATGTGTGTCTATGTGTGACGCATGCTCATGGTGTTCGTGTGCCTGTGTCTCTCTGTGTGTGCATGCTTGTGGCGTGTGTGTGCCCATGTCCGAGTGGGATGTGTGTAGGGCTTGTGCCTATGTGTGCATGAGGATGCCTGAGAGTGTGCACCTCTCTCCAGTTCTCTCTCTCTTCTTAATCTTTTTTACCCAAGGATTTATGGAAAATTCCAGGGTGGAGGTGGTGGCTGGGGAGGGAGACCCTTAGCTATAGTCTCATTGGCCTCAGAGCTGCTCTGGAGCCAGAGGGGACAACATTTCCCAGGCTCTAAGAGCTTCTCCTGACAGAAAAGCATCAATCTGCTTGTCAAAGGGAAAATGGCCATTTGTCCTTGTCTGGAAGGACCCGAGGGCAGGGCTGGACCTGAGTAATCTCTGTCTCCTGGGCCCAGCACCAAGTAGGGTAAGTGACGGATGAGCTCAGGGGCTGGCAGGCTGTTCACCCTGGGGGCTGACACAGGCAGGCAGCCTGGTGGGGGTGGGCTGCAGCTTGGAAGAGGTGGGAGGGTCAGGAGAGGTGGGGGCTGAGGGAACTGGCCTGGTGGAGGTTGTGTTGGGGCTGCCTCCGTTGGCAGCTGGGGCAAGAGGCTGGGGATGATGGGTGAGCCTTGAGGGTGGGGTGGGGCCCCATTCCTTACTGATAGGCCGGGAGGAACATGGCACGCTCAGCATCTAGAGACACTCCCAGCCCTGACCCTACTTGTCAGGCCCTGCTGTCAGGAGGCCCTGGGTGGGGAAAGGGTCTGTTTCGGGGTTTCCCTGGGGAAGGGACAACTCTTCTCCATTTCCTCACCTTTCCCCTGCACTGTCTCCTAAGTGTTTTGGGCAATCCTTGCAGGTCTTCTCATCTGGGTGGGTGTCTGCTGTGTGACTGCCTGAGAAAACTGATGAACTTTGAGATCAGGCCCTTATCCTGGGATGTGACTCTGCCACTGACCTCTGACCAGAGGCTTCTCTCTCTGTGCCTCTATTTCCTTCTGTGCAGTGGATAGGGACCTTCCTGATCTGCCCATCTATGATCCTAGGGCTGGTAAGGCCTTTCTGGGAGCAGGAGTGGGGACACCCCTATGCACACTCTTCCCCTCCTTTCCCTTTCTGTGATTTGCCCCACGAGAGTGAGGCTGCTGTGCCGGTGGGCCTTGCAGAAGAGTCCCTTCCTATTGGGATAGTCCAGGCTTCATGACACCCCAGAAGCGAGTGGGCAGGAACCTGTGGTTACCTAGATGATCCATCTGAGCTTGGTCCTACATCCGGGGGTGAGCGGGTAGAGGAGGGAGCCACATGCTAGGGCTCACATTGAGGGGATGAGGATGCCACAAGGGTGGGACTAGATGACGCCTTCCTCCTGGTACAAGTGACTCTTCAGCCGGTGAGGACAGCACATTGCACATGTTTATTTGGCCCGTTCGTCTAATGCTGACTGAACTCTTACTCTGGGCTAGAGACTCTCCTTTGGCCCAGAGAACCCAGACTATTTTCAATCTTTGAGGATCCTGGTATATCGAGAAATGAAGGTCCTGAATTGCTGCCCTTCTGTAGTTCTCTCCTTGTTGAATCCGGGCCAGTCTTGTGGCTTGCTTGGGCAACAGAATGCAGCAAAAGGGACATCGTGCAAGTTCTGAGGCACGATGGAGCCTTACAGCCTCTGCTTTCAGTCTCATGTTGCCCTAGGACTCCCTGTAAAGGAGCCCATGCTAACATCCTTGAATATAGGAAGCCCTGTGGAAAGAGAGTGAGGCCTAGCCCACTCTCAGCCATGTCAGTCATCCCAGCTGGGCCTAAGCAGGTGAGTGAGGCTGTCTTGGTTCCTCCACCTCCAGTTGAGGTACCAGCTGGCTGCAAGTGCAAGAGTGAGTCAGCTGAAACCATCTGTTGCAGAAACAAGTTGCTCAGTTGAGCACAGCCCAGATTGCTAATTTTAGGCTACTAAGTTTTGGAATAGTTGTTTTTTTTTTTTTTCATGTAGCAGAGGCTAACTGAAATAGAAATTTGAAATAGGAGTAGAGGTGCTACTGTAGCAAAAATTTAAAACATATGGCAGCTGGGCACAGTGGCTCAAGCCTGCAATCTCAGCACTTTGGGAGGCTGAGGCAGGAGGATCGCTTAAGGCTAGGAGTTCGAGACCAGCCTGGGAAACATAGCAAGACCTCAACTCTAAAAAACAAACAAACAAACAAAAAACAATTAGCTAAGTTTGGTGGCTCACCCCTGTAGTCCCAGATACTTGGAAGGCTGAGGCAAGAGGATTGGTTGAGCCCAAGAGTTTGAGGGTGCAGTGGGCTGTGATCCTGCCACTGCAGTCCAGCCTGGGTGATAGAGCAAGACTCTGTCTCTAAAAATAAGTAAATAAATAAAATAAAAATAAAATACACAGATAGACTTTGGGACTTCATGGCAGCTGGAGGATGGAAGGATGACAAAGAAACTGTTATTGGACAATGGGAGAACAGTGAGGAAGCTGTTATTGGAGGCTGGAGAAAAGGCAACCTGTGTTATATAACACAATTAGTGTTGTTTGGAGGATAGAAAATGCAGCTAATAAACCTGTGGATCTAGCTAAGGAGATTTCCACAGAGAATATTGAAAGTGCCTACTGGCTTCTTTTAGCAGCATAAGATAAGGTATCATAAGGGAGGGAAGAATTCAAGAAGGAGCCATTCAGTTTTCAAGCAAAATCTAGACGCAATATAGACAGTCTAGGACAGTCTCTCCAGCAAAAGATACTCAAAATAAGAAATGGTCCCAGGGTAAAGAACGAATCAATATTGTGGCTGTAAGACTCTGTTTAGACCTCAGAAAGATTTAAGCCAGTACCTCGTAGATCCTCTTAGCTAGACAAAGGAGCTTCTGAAACAATCTGGACACCAACCCAAAGTAGAAAGAGATGTAGCTCGGAAAGTATTATAAATGTGGCTTTTGAAGCATGGAGTCGCTCCCACCCAGATTCATGGGAAATCCACACAAAAAAGAGAATTGTCTTGGGAAAAAAAATATACTAACTTGGATTAAAAGGTACAGAGGCTGAGTGTGGTGGTTCATGCTTCTAGTCCCAGCACTTTGGTAGGCTGGAGTGGGAGAATGGCCTGAGCTCAGGAGTTTGAGACCAGCAGCCTGGGCAACATAGCGAGAACTTGTCTCTACTAAAATTTTTTTTTAAAAATTAGCCAGCTGTGGTTGCGTGCACCTGTAGTCCCAGTTACTTAGGAGGACGAGGTGGGAGGATTGCTTGAGCCCAGGAGTTCGAGGCTGCACTTAGCTATGATCACACCACTACACTCCAACACCCCAGCCTGGGTGACAGAGACAGACTCTGTCTCAAAAAATAAAAATAAAAAGACAGAAACAACAAAATGAAAAACGATCTCTAGGCTTCCAACTTTTTACAGGCAGAAAACAGAGATCCAGCTGTAAATAGGATCTATTCATTTTTGAAAAGGGAGATGTCTCAGATAGTGGAGCCCAGAGTATGAAGCCAAGAACCAAAGAGAACAATAGGTTAGGAAATCACTCCCAGGAAGCACAAAATAGGTCCTAGTCAAAGAAAACTCCTTGCCTTTAGAGTAGAGGGAACTGATAATATCTGCCCAGCTAGATTTCAAAATCACTATGGAATAGTGACTACATGTACCTCCCACTTGCCTCTCCCCTTTGTTAAATTAATTAATTAATTAATTAATTTAGAGACAGGGTCTTGCTCTGTCACCCAGGCTGGAGTGCAGTGGCTGGATCATAGCTCACTGCAGCCTTGAACTCTTGGGCTCAAGTGATCCTCCTAACTGGGACTATAGTCGCATGCCACCATGACTGGATAATTTATTTTTTGTTGTTTTATTTTATTTTTTGGAGAGACAGTATCTTGCTATGTTGCCCAGGCTGATCTTGAACTCCTGGCCTCAAGTGATCCTCCCACATCAGTCTTTCAAAATACTGGGATTGCAGGCATGAGTCACTGTGCCTAGCCTACCCCCGCCTTTTAGATGGGGGTTTCTCTTGAGGGATATTCTATCCCCATCTTGGTATGGTATGTTAAGTGTGTCGAGGTCAAATAACTTTTTAATTCCTGAGTCTTTGGATCAACATAAGCTCTACCCACGGAACTACACCTAAGGACCCCCATCAGTCTCTGCTTCTGTGGTTCCTTGATGTTCCCCTGCTTCTGTGCTATATGTAGGGAACAAGAATTGCTTCACAGGAGCCCTAATATCTTGGGTGACACTTTCTATAGGGGAAGCACAGGCAGCCCTGATGGGTTCCCCCAGTCATCTTTTCCTTTTTTGAAGGATAATACATGTTCACAGCTGAATCACTCTATTGGCTGGTTTCCTGCCTATAGAATCCCAGAATAATGGCAGCTTTCTTTCATTTTTTCCTGTCTCTGTTCCATTTAGCCCAAGCTGGTAGTGTTGTTGGTGACATGACATTCTCAAAATCCTGGTGGGTCTCCTGTGTATATTAAGAGGATCCACTTCATTAGACACAGAGTTCTTTACAGATCCTTCCTCGGTAGCCCCATCTCTATTCCTGGCTCCTGCTGAGATGGTTGGTTGGATCCGTAATTTGTACATCTAACGGCACCAGAAGATTGCTCAGCCACACCCTTGGTGTTCCTCTAGAGCATGCCTTATCATCTTTTATAATATGGATGAGTTGAAAATATTCCAAATAATCAAGTTCTGGTTCCTTTTTGCTTAGTAGCTCCTTCTCAATTTATCTCTTTCCCCTTGCATTTTACTAAAAACAGCAAGGAGAAACCAGACTGCACCTTCCATATTTTGCTTGGAAATCTCTTCAGCTAGATATCCAAGTTACTTACCAGTTCTATTTTCCACCCAACACTAAAACACAACTCAGCCAAGTTCTTTGCCACTCTTTCCTCCAGTTTCCAATGATAGGCTCCTTATTTCAATCTCAGATATCACCAAAGATCTTTAATGTTCATATTTCAACTGATATTTTTTCATGACAATATACATTTTCTCTAAGATGATAGGTGCTTTCTCTGCTGTGCTCTTCCTTCTGAGTCCTCACCAGAGTATACTTTAATGCCTATATTTGTACTGATAATCTCTTTCGACAGTCTAGGCTTAAAATTCCTCCAGCCTCTACCCATCACCCAATTCCAAAGCCCTTACATATTTTAGGCAGCACCACTTCTTGGTACCAAAATCTGTATCCGTTGTCTAGAGCTGTTGTAACAAGTTACCACCAACTAGGTGGCTTAGACCAATAGAAGTTTATCATCTCACAGTTCAGGAGGCCAGAAGTCCCAGATTAAGCTGTCAGCAGAGTTGGATCCTTCTGGAGGTTGTGAGGGAGGACACGTTCCATGCGTCTCCCTGGCTTCTGGTGGTCCCTGGCAACCTTTGGCATTTCATGTCTTGTAGTTGCCTCACTCCAATATCTGTCTCCATCTTTACATGACTATCTTCCCCATGTTTGTCCTCTGTGTCACTTTATGGCCTTCTTAGAAGGATACCAGAAGGTCCACCCTAAACCAATATAATGTCATTTTAGCAAATTACATTTGCAAAGACCTTATTTCCGAATAAGGTCACATTCTGAGGTCCTGGGGTTGACATGCATTTTGGGGGGCACACTATTCAACCCTGTACAAATATTCATTAATTTCTTAACTCCTACAACCCTCTGAAGAATACTTGCATAGATGCGTGAGAGAGGAATGAATTTATTTCAGAAGAGACTGTAGGAAATACCTGGTCCCATGTTTGGTCCAAGGCTGTGATACCCTCCATAGTATTCATTGTGATCTTTCTTCTCTTCCTGGACTTTTTCAGTGCAGTGTTCCCGGGTTATCCCAACTAAAAATTCAACCCATCTTGTACCCTGATTGGGATTGACACTAAGTCCCTTGTCCTTGCTTTATTTTCTTTCTAGCATTTATCACTATTAACAAAACTTATATTTTACTTATTTCTTTTGTTCATTGTTTGCCTTCCCCACTGGGATAGCCTCTGTGAGGGCAAAGATTTTTGTTCATGTATCCACTTCTATATTCTCAGCACTCAGAACAGTGTCTGGTGCATAGTAGGTGCTCAATAAAAAGTTGTCATATAACTGAATGCATGCGTGAATGAAAGGACTCCTGGAAACTGGGCATCTAGCTGTTGTGGACAGGGAGCCCGTTCTTTCACTGGGCAAATTTTGCCATTTTTAGTCATGTAGTGAATCCTTAGAAGAGGCAGGGCCAGGCCTCCAGAGTCCTTGCTTTGAGCCTCATGGGTCTGTTGGACAGTTTCAGAATCTTAGGAAATAATTGGGGTGGTTGGTTGGCTGGAGGAGAAAATGAAATAAGAGTTGGGATTCTCTGGGGCTGCCACTGACCCACTGGGTCATCTTGACAACTTTGTTCTGTCTCTCCTGGCCCCTGGCTCCCTGACCTCAGCCTCCTTCACTTGGCTATCTGGAAAGCAGTTACTTTCTCTCCTGGCCCCCCGTTTTCTCTCTTTGGCATGTGGGAATTAAAGACAAAAGGTCTCAAAATCACTTTGAACTCCATGGAGGGTGCCAAATAATCTGAGGACATTATTAGTATAAGACAATTCCTTTGAAAATGGAAATTGCGTATCACACAATCTCTCAAACACAGGGTGGAATTAATGAGCAATTTGCTCAAGATTCACAACTTCAAAATGATCTTCCAGGTGGCCAAAGGAAATTCACATTTACACTTCAATCAGAAATTTTTTTGTAGAATGTAAGGGGGGAGGGTTTAATTTTCTGAGATCACAAATGCCTATCCCCATCCCAAGGAGAAGAGAGCCCGTGATAAAGACCGCCCTGGTATCTGTGAACTCTCCAGCTAATTAGAAAAGTGAATCTAATTTCATGGATTTCAGCTCCTATTAATTTATCCTAAGCTTGTTGGTAATGAAGCCATGTGTTTGTTTCTTAAGAAGGAAACATCAGAGAGGAAGAGAATGGGTGTGAGGCTGTGCTGTTTATTCCCTTACCTTCAATCTATTAATTGAGGAAATAACATATGATTTAATATATATTACAATGTCATCAACACAGCACTTGCTTTAGCTACTGATGGAGCCCTGTGTGGTTATCTCACATAGGCTTACAGTGCCTGCCACAGCTAAGAAAGAAGGAATAACTGACAGGGAAGTGACCAACAGGGTCTGCTACCTTCCTAATTTCTACTGCTTCATTCTATCCTGTAATATTCAGCAAACATCTATTGAACACCTTCCATGTTCCAGGCAAGCTAGGCTTGAACAAGACTGATAGGGATTTTAGAACCTATGTACGACCATCTTAAACACATAATTATTCCAAATGATTATTTACAATTGTGATAAGGACTTTGAAAAAGAAGTAGTGTGTTTTGTACTTCCCCTTTCCACATAGATATCTTGTTAGCCAGCTAGAGAGGAAACTTAAGACATCAGAGACTGGCCTGAGCTGTCTTTCATAAATCCTCTGTAATCATTACAAGACAAAGCTCACCTTGGTACCTAGATATTATGTAGAGTATTAACTGCTCAGAGTTTAGCAGTAGAGATTAGTAAAAGTAAGTAAATGTTCAAATAAGTGTAAAATTCTGAAACAGACTAGTATCAACAGTATCTGGACAAACTTGGCACTAAACAAAGCAAACTGGAGGCTCTGGCCTCTGAGATGAGAAAGTTCGTCCCCAGATACAACACAGAGACTGACAAGAGTAGACAACAGAGTCTAGCTCAAGACAGAAGTGTTAAATTCTAGTGCCATGGCCAACATTAGCCCCTTGTTTCAGGAGATTTACATGTAAGATTTTCTCAACATCAGCCATGGTTAGAACTGTAGTCCCGAGGGAAACCAGCCATTCATTTCAGGGAAATGTGGGTGTTGACAAGGGAACCCTTGCAGGAGTGTTCTACAGGTGGTCTCCATCCTGCCCAGTAAGACTTGGCTATGGGAGTGAGCTGTGTGAGGGGGGCCAGGCAAACAGCGATGAGATCCCTTTATGTGGAAAATTATATTTTCCCAAAGTGGCCACAATCTGTTTCCTGTTTTTTGAGAACTTGCTACTGCTCCATCAAGATGTGGATTCTGTGTCTCCTCTCCTTGAAGCCGGATGGCCCTTTGTGACTGCCTTGATGAATTAAATGTGGTGCAAGTGATGCTGCATGACTTTGAGGCTAGGTCATGAAAGGAGATGTGACATCTGTCCCACTTGCATATTTATATTCTCTCTCTCTTTCTCTCTCTCTCAGTGCTTGCCCTTGGAACCTAATCTCCATAGTGTGAGGAAGTTCAGGCCATGGAAAGACTACAGGAGACATGAGGGGAAGTCTGCAGGGGGACTTTTGAGAAACGTTTCCTCACTTCTAATAAATAGCTCAGGAAAATATGGTTTCTCTTCTTTGTCCAGCTGTGATGCCTGGGAACTTCTGTGGCAACCTTGCTTCCAGCCAATACACAGAGTGGGGCAACTCTCAGAAAACCATTGAGAAGAGAGTCAGAGTGCTGAAGTACCGTGTCTGGAATCCTGTCTTCCCAACTCCGTGTTTCCTGATCTATCAGGTAATAAACCCTCTTACATGCTAAGATACTTTGAGTTGAGGCGTTCTGTTACTTGTAGCTGAAGTAACATTCTCCCTGATTTGGAATCTGCTCCCTGAGGGCTTTGGTCAGTTCCTGCCCTCTATGTGTGTTCTGGGGACCTGGGCTCTCCCACAGGAGTCATTAGGCTGCAGAGAGCCCCCCAGAGCTGTGCTTTGGGAGTCAGAACAGAGACTTCTGGAGTTGGATCCATTTTCTAGGAGTGTTCATGATTTCAGCAGAACCTGTTTTATTACTTCTTCTAGGGTTACATGTGTGAGCTGAGCCTTTGTACTTTAGAGATCATTTCCTGAGAATGAGAAGTGGAGAAGGGGGCAGGGAGTCATCCTTTATTTGTTATAGTCCCAGAGACAGGTGACATGAGAGACTTTCCTTGGTGGCAGAGGATGAAGGAGGAGGGCATGAACTGTGGAGTCAGATCCAGGATTGAACCTTGACACCTTCCTTGCAGGCTGTGTGACCTTAGGATGGTCACTTCACCTTTCTAGTTCTCAGTGATCACATCTTAAAGTGGAAGTACTAGTCCTATTTCAGAGGATGCAATTGGAGGTTTACAGCCTGTTATCTGATCTGCAACTATGTTTAGTCAGCTGACTGAGTGGTTTTTTTTGAAAAAATTGAGTTTATTCACGGGTGTTTACAAATATAAAAACTTACCAACTTGTAAACTTCAAATATCTGGAGTGTGTTGTATGTCAGTTATACCTCAATGAAGCTGTTAAAAGTTGAATTTGTTGTTTACAATCAGGAACGCTGGAATGTTGGTTTCTTTGGGGGAAAAGAGGGGAAATATTTGGCAATGCTGAGCCCACCTTTTTGTGAGGTTGCAGAGGGCTACCTCCTTCAGACAAGGCATCCCTGCTTCAGTTTGCCATGGTCCCACCAGCACCTCTTGCTCAGAGTGAGTTTTGCTGCTGGCCCTCTGGATTTGAGTTTGTGACCTCTGACCTACCTCATGTATTTATATGTAAGCCTGGATACTCAGAGAGTGGTCTGTAGACCAGCTGCATCCTGAGAGCTTGTTAGCAGTACAGAATCTCAGGCCTCACCCCAGGCCTCCTGAATCAAAATTGCCTTTAAACAAGATCCTTGCACATTCCTTGTGATCCTTGTGATTCTTTGCACCTTCAAATTTAAAAAGCACTGCCTCTGATGATCAGAAATCATGTCTAAAAGTCATCTGGCCCAGAGTAGGCACCCACTAAGGGTAAACTCTTGCTGTGTCATTTAATCCACAGGGCAGTTCATTGTTCAGAGGAGCTCACACTTAAACTGTACTCAGTGATTCTCCTGGATCTCACAGCCAATAGGGGGCAGAGCTGGGATTCAAACACAGGGCTGTGACAGAGATTTATGCTCTTCCCTCTCTACCACCTGCCCCCCTAAGAAGAGAAAGAAAGCATATGCAGAGGGAGAAGCCATAGAAATCACCTAGGAGACCCAAGCTTATCTCTGGGGATAAGATCAGCCCTGTAGAGCAGGTGGCAGGCTCTCCCCAGGGCTACCTGAAGTTTCACTCCTTTCTCTCAGGGCATGGCCCAGAGCTTGGTGCAGAGTACAGTCTCAATGAGGAAGGGGGAAAGGGAGGAGATAAGGGAGGAGGGGGAAGAGGAGCAGGGGAGGAAGGAGGGATGATATCAAACAGGCATGTCTTCAGTTACCTGCCCAGCCCCATGCCCTGGGTGAAAGATAGTGCATTAGTCCATGTTCACACTACTATAAAGATACTACCTGAGACTGGATAATTTATAAAGAAAAGAGGTTTAATTGACTCACAGTTCTGCATGGCTGGGGAGGCCTCAGGAAACTTACAATCATGGTGGAAAGCAAAGGGGAAGCAGGCACTTTCTTTACAAGGTGGCAGGAGAGAGAGCACGTGGAGGACATGCCACGCTTGTAAACCATGGGATCTCATAAGAGCTCCCTCACCATCGCAAGAACAGCATGGGGGAAACCGTGTCCATGATCCTGTCACTTCCCACCAGATCCCTCCCTCAACATATGGGGATTACAATTCAAGATGAGATTTGGATGGGGCCACAGAGCCAGGCCATACCATATCAGATGGTTTATCCATTAGGACTTGCATTCAGTCAAGAGATGGAATTTAAACCTGTAAGTATTTATTATTTTTTTAACCCCACACAACAAGAGTGATAAGTAGTGGTAGTGTTTTAGTGGTTCAAAGATTTGGATCCGCAGTCTCTGTTTCTCTTGGCCATTTCCTCATGGTCACAAGATGGCTGCTGCAGCCCCACTTATCAGGACGTGGGCAGGAAGAGAGGAAAGCAAGTCTTTCTTAGAAACCTTTTAATGTATGTATGTCTTATTGGCCAGAGGTAGGCTAGAAAATATAATGTTTAATTTAGCCTTTTTTTTTTTTTTTGAGACAGAGTCTTGCTCTGTCACCCAGGCTGGGGTACAATGGTGCAATCTCTGCTCACTGCAACCTCCACCACCTCCTGGGTTCAAGCAATTCTCCTACCTCAGCCTCCCAAGTAGCTTGGATTACAGGTGCGCACAACCACGCCTGGTTAATTTTTTTTTTTTTTTTTTTAGTAGAGACAGGTTTTCACCATGTTGGCCGGGCTGGTCTTGAACTCTTGACCTCAAGTGATCTGCCCGCCTCAGCCTACCAAAGTGCTGGGATTACAGGCATGAGCCACTGCGCTTGACCTGTTTAATTTAGTTTTGTCTTTAGCTGGGACTCTTTGTTCTGTTGATCCCTTTCTCCACCCCCACCTTCCTGACAAATGAGGTTTATACTAACAAGAAAGGAGGACACGGTTATTGAGTAGACATCTGGCAATGTCTGCCACGAATGGGAACATAGGACCTAATTCCTGATTCCTTGTTGACCTGGAGTAGTTCTCCCTAGTCTGGAGGTAGCTTGCGCACTCTCTTGGGCTCAGCTTTGCTCTGGGAATGAGAAGCTGTGCCTCCTTTTGTCCCTCCCAATGCTGTGGCCCAGCAAGGCCTTTGGAGAGAATCCATGTGTCTGGGGACAGCTGGACCACAGCCTCCCCACCCTGGCTGCACACCTGTTGGAAGCTATATTTAGAGCAGTAAGTCTAAATCTTGGGGCAAGGAGAAGAGAGAAGCCAAAGGGGCAAGAAAAAAATGAAAGATGCAGCCCAGAAAAATGGGATGTTATTCCCTGTTGTGCACAGCCACAGCCTACTCTGGGCTGGTTCTTAAGAAGAAGGAAGGAATAGCTGTGGGCACTTGTGGGGGCCAGGCTGGAATTAGGAAAACCGCTGTTCACAGGATTTGGAGAGTTATAAACTCTGCCTGCGCTGGCATGAAGGTCTGTCCTGAAAAGTCCTAAAACCCCTTCTAGAATTGTAGAACTGGGGCCCCTGAACCTTTTGACTGTGGCACTCACAGGCAGGGTATAAGACTTCGTGCTCTCCCCTCCCCTCAAATTTCCACTCAGGAAAAAACTCAAGGATTATAAAGAATGGAAAGAAATAAAACAGATTGAATTTGCCGTGCTGCTAGCAATACATAAATGATTCACTTAGTAGTTACTTTAGAATACGAACATACTAGGCTGGGCGCGGTGGCTCACACTTGTAATCCCAGCACTTCGGAAGGCCAAGGTGGGTGGATCATTTGAGGTCAGGAGTTCGAGACCAGCCTGGCCAACATGGTGAAACCCTGTCTCTATTAAAATTACAATAAATTAGCTGGGTGTGGTGGCAGGTGCCTGTAATCCCAGCTACTCAGGAGGCTGAGGCAGGAGAATCATTTGAACCCAGGAGGTGGAGGTTGCATTGAGCCAAGATCGTGCCACTGCCCTCCAGCGTGGGCAACAGAAGGAGACTCAATCTCAAAAAAAAAAAAAAGAATATGAACATACTAAAGGATTTTTGTACTATAAAACAATTTCCTAAAAACTTAAAAATAACTCTCAATAGTTTTGTTTTACTTATGAAAGTAGCTGATATTTGCTAACAGCCCATCATAGGGATATGAGTGATTAAGGGTTGAACATCAAACTTAGACGGCCTTGATGAAATACAGGAAAATTGCAGGTTAAATATTATCGCTGCCAATCTGGATTATTGTAGACTGTGAAGTAAACCTAGCAACCCACTAAAAGGTGAATGGTCACATTAAAGCTAAACTAAAAGAAGCTTTTATAATAAAAATAGCAAGGCCATCAGTAACGAAACAAAAACCACAGCCAGTGGGCAACACTGATGAAGTCGTAGCCATGAGCCCTTCCGGAAAGTTGTGAAATTCTAACCATTTGCAAGTGTGCTTGCAGGGTAGGAGCTTGACAGTGTTGCCAAGTGTTGTGTGGCAGCCAGGTTTTTTAGCAAAGGACACAGTCAGAGTCCTAGGTAATTTTAGTTTATGGATAGTACATTTTAGTAACTTTTCATGACTCACTTATTACGTTACTAGTAAGTAACCCTTCTAAGCCAAAAGTATGAGAGTCTATAGAAGCAGGAGTCACTTGCCTGTAAGAAGTGAAGAAGAGACATGAGGGGTCACTGTGACCCACTGTGGGAGCTCCTGTGGCCTGGCAGGGAGCTGCAGACCACATGTGGGAACTCTGCTTTGAGAAGTAGGTCGGCTACTGGAGGCTTTTCTCCTGCAGTGATCTCTGTCTGTATGGTGCAGCATTATCAAAAACTTTCTCCCTACTGGATTATTTCCATTCGCACACACACAGGCTGTAATTACTCCTATCTTAAAACTTAACTTGCTGGACACCCTATCCCCCCCACCTCCCCAGTTACTACCGCAATTCTCTCCTTGCTGCTGGAACAAAAATTCTCAAAAGAGTTGTCTATATTCAGTATCCCCAATTCTTCTCTCATTCTATCTTGAACTATTCCAGAGGGTTTTTGTCCCCAGAGTCCCACCGAAACAGCCTTTGTCAAGGTTGCCACTGACTTCCATGACAGATGCCCCTCTCATCCTGTCAGCGTCAGCAGCTCATCCCTGATTGCCTGGGACATTTCCAGGCTTTAAAATGGAAAGTCTTGTGTTCCAGGAACCACCACAGTCCTGGGCAAATCCAGACTGGAGGTCGCCTAGATTAATGACCTCCACATTGCTGGATCCAGTGATAATTTTTTTTTTTTTTTTTGAGACAGGGTCTCACTCTGTCACCCAGGCTGCAGTACAGTGGCATGATCTCAGCTCACTACAACCTCTGCCTCCTGGGCTCAAGTGATCCTCCCGCCTCAGCCTACTGAGTAGCTGGGACTATAGGCACACGCCACTGCACCTGCACCCGGGTAATTTTTTTATTTTTTGTAGAGATGGGGTCTCCCTATGTTACCCAGTCTGGTCTCAAACTCCTGGGTTCAAGCGATCTTTCCACTTCAGCCTACTAAAGTGCTGGCATTACAGGAGTGAACCACCGTGCCAGGCCCATTGATAAATTCTTAGTTCTCTCTTGGACCTCACTGCACCTTTCTAAAACACAACTTTTTTTGAGATATCATTTACATATAATAAAGTGTACATATTCAAAGTGTATGAATTAGTAAGTTTTGACATATGCATACACTCATGAAACCATCATGGTCATCAAGGTAGTGACGCTATCCTTTACCTCCAAAAGTTTCTTCATGCCCATTTGCAACCCCTCTCTTCTGCCTTTCATACCTGTGTTCCCCCCAATTCTCACACCTGAGTATTAATAGCAATACCTAATAGTAGTAGTAATTAATAGCATTACTCAATCTACAGATGTATTACTTATCTATTTATAAAATTGGATCTATTTATTATATATAACTTATGTTTTATTATATGCAATCCATATATTATAATCTATTTATTATATAAGGATTATATATTATCAATTACTATTAATAGTAATAGTAATTAATAGTGATACCCAATCTACAGATGTATTACTTATCTATTGCTGTACAAAAAATAACCCCAAAATTCATCAGCTGAAAACTGCAAATGTTTATCATCTCTCATCTTCTGTGGGCCAGGAGTGTGGGGCGCAACTTACCTGGGTGACTCTGCCTCAGGGTCTCTCCCAAGGTTGTAACCACGGGATCCGCCAGGGCTGTGATTTCATTTTATAGGCAAGACAGAAGTCACCACCTCTTTGAAACCTAATCTCAAAAGCGACATCTCATCATTTTTGCCATATTCTGTTCATTAGAAGTGGGTCACAAGGTCCCGCCCACTCTCAAGGGGAAGGAGTTACACAAGGGTGTGAGTGCCAGGGGGTGGGTATTGCAGGGAGACGTTTTAGAGGTTGCCTACCACAACAGGCAACTATTGATCTGCTTTCTGTTACTATAGATTAATGTGCATTTTTTGTTTTAAGTAAGTGGAATCATACAGGATGTAGTCTTTTTTGTCTATCTTCTTACACTCGGCATAATTATTTTGAGATTAATTTATGCTGTTGCATTGATCAGTAGTTCATTCTTTCTATTGCTGAATAGTATTTGTACGGATACACCACAATTTGTTTATTCATTCACCTGTTGATGGACATTTGAGCCACTTATTAATAGTTTTGGGCTATTACAAATAAATCTGCTGTGGACATCCATCTACAAGTCTTTGTATGGACATATGCTTTCATTTCTCTTGGGTAAATATTTAGAAGTGGAAAGGCTAGAACATACGGTAGGTATATATTTACCTTTTTAATAAACTGACAAACCATTTTCCAAAGTGACTGAACCATTTTACATTCCCATCAGCAGTGCATGAGAGATTCAGTTTCTCTGTTTCCTTATCAACACTTGATACGGTCAGCCTTTTTAATTTTAGCCATTCTTGTGGCTGTGTAGCTCTATTTTGTTGTGGTTTTAATTTGCATTTCCTTAATGATTACTGACGTTAAAAATCTTTCTGTGCTTATTTGCTATTCACATACCTTCTTTGGTAAAGTGTCTGTCTTTAGACCATTTTTAACTACGTTATTTGTTTTCCTATTTGGTTTTGAAAATTCTCTGTATATGCTGGATACACGTCCTTTGGCAGGCACATGGTTTATAGACATTTTCTTTTGGTCTGCAGCTTGTCTTTTATTCTCTAATGGTGTCTTTCAAAGAACATTATGTTTCAATTTTGATGAAGTTCAATTTATCAATTTTTCTTTTACAGATTGTACTTTTGGTGTCACACCTAAGAAATCTTTGCCTAAGTCAAGGTCACAAAGATTTTCTTCATACTTTTTTCTAAAATTTTTTGTAGTTTTAGTGTTTACATTTAAATCTAGGGTCATTTTTAGTTAATTTTTGTAAACAGTGCAAGCTGTTGGATTGAAGTTCATTTTCCTTTGTGTGGATGGTCCAGTTGTTCCTACATCACTTGCTGAAAATATTATCTTTTCTCCATTGAATTTCCTTTGCACCATTGCCGAAAATCAGTGTGTATCTATTTCTAAATTCTATTTTTTGTTTCAGTGATCTATTTTTTGTCTTTACAGTAGTAATTATATTGATAATTGTAGCTTTAAAATAATTCTTAAGATCAGGCCGTGTTAGTCCTCCAACTTTGTTCTTTTACAAAGTTTTGCTTTTCTAGGTCTTTTGTGTTTCAACACAAATTTTAGAATTAGCTTGTCAATTTCTACCAAAAAAGCCTGCTGGAATTTTCATTGGGATTGCATGGAACCTACACATAAATTTGGGGAGAACAAACATCTTGAGTCTTTCAACCCATGAACATGATATATCTCTCCATTTATTTAGGTTGTCATTGGTTTTTCTCAGCAATATTTTACATTTTTCAGTGTTCAGATCTTTCATATCTTTCTCCTAAGTATTCCATATTTATTTATGCTATTGTAAATGGTGTTTTAAAAATTTCAACTTCTGATTGTTCATTGCTGGTATTTAGAAGTAGAATTGATTTTTACATATTGATCTTGTGTCCTTCAACTATGCTAACTTACTTAAGAATTCTAGTAGCTATTTTTGTAAATTCCATCACATTTTCTACATAGGGGATCATGTCACCTGCCAATAAAGACTGGTGCCTTTTTTCTTTTCCTTGGATAAACTCCACTTGGTCATGATGTATTATCCTTTCTTACTTATTGTTGAATTTGATTTGCTAAAATTTTGTTTAGAACTTCTGCATTTATATTCATGAGGAATATTGGTCTATCTTTTTTTTTTCTTCTGATGTCTTTGTCTGGTTTTGGTATCAGGGTAATGCTAGTCTCATGGAATAAGTTGGGAAATATGCCCTGCTCTTCAATGTTTTGAAAGAGTTTGTGCAGAATTGATAATGTTTCTCCTTAATCTCTGGCATAATGTTTGAAGGAAATTTTCCTCCTATAATGTTTGGTGAAACCACCTGGGCTGGAGTTTTCTTTGTGTGACTTTTAAATTTTTTAGTTAAATTTAATTTTTTCAGAGACAGGGTCTTGCTCTGTCACCTAGGGTGGAGTGCAGTGGTGCAATCATAGCTCACTGTAACGTTGAATCCTAACTCCTGGGCTCAAGTGATCCTCCTGCCTCAGCCTCTTGAGTAGCTAGGACTACAGGTCCATGCCACCACAACTGGCTAATTTTTAAATTTTTTGTAGAGAAGGGGTCTTGCTATGTTGCCCAGGCAGGTCTCAAACTCCTGGTCTTAAGCGATCTTCCTACCTCGACCTACCACAGTGCTGGGATTACAGGCATGAGCTGCTGTGGCCAGCCTTTTTGTGTGAATTTTTAATTAACGAATTAAATTTCTTTAATAGATATATGGCTATTCAGATTATCTATTATTCTTGAGCGAGTTTTGGTAATTTGTGTCTTTTAAATAATTTGTTCATTTTTATCTAAGGTGTCATAATATTAATTTGTTCATAATACTCCCTTATTATCCTTGCTTTATCTGTAGAATCTGTAGTGATATCATCTCTCTCATTCCCAATATTGGCAATTTTTGTCCTTTTTCTTTTTTTCCTTAGAAGCCCAGCTAGAGGTTTATCAGTTTTATTATCTTCTCAAGAAAATCGCTTTTGCTTTCATTGATTTTTTTCTATTGCTTTCCATTTTCTGTTTCATCCGTTGGCCTTCTGATTTTTATTTTTTTCTTTCTTCTGCCTACTTTGCATTTTTTTTATTATTATACTTTAAGTTCTAGGGTACATGCGCACAAGGTGCTGGTTTGTTACATAGGTATACATGTGCCATGCTGGTTTGCTGCACCCATCAACTGGTCATTTACATTAGGTATTTCTCTTAATGCTATCCTTCCCCCAGCGCCCCCGCTCCCCAACAGGCCCCGGTGTGTGATGTTCCCCACCCTGTGTCCAAGTGTTCTCATTGTTCAATTCCCACCTATAAGTGAGAACATGCGGTGTTTGGTTTTCTATCCTTGTGATAGTCTGCTGAGAATGATGGTTTCCAGCTTAATCCATGTCCCTGCAAAGGACATGAACTCATCCTTTTTATGGCTGCATAGTACTCCATGGTGTATATGTGCCACATTTTCTTAATCCAGTCTATCATTGATGGACATTTGGGTTGGTTCCAAGTCTTTGCTATTGTGAATAGTGCCACAATAAACATACATGTGCATGTGTCTTTAAGTAGCATAATTTATAATCCTTTTGGGTATATACCCAGTAATGGGATCACTGGGTCAAATGATATTTCTAGTTCTAGATCCTTGAGGAATTGTCACACTGTTTTCCACAATGGTTGAACTAATTTACACTCCCACCAACAGTGTAAAAGCTTTCCTATTTCTCCACATCCTCTCCAGCACCTGTTGTTTCCTGACTTTTTAATGATCGCCATTCTAACTGGCGTGAGATGGTATCACATTGTAGTTTTGATTTGCATTTCTCTGATGACCAGTGATCATGAGCATTTTTTCATGCATCTGTTGGCTTACTTTGCGTTTTATAAGATCTTCTTTTTCTAGTGTCTTAAGGTGGAAGTTGTAACCATTTCTTTTTTTTTCTAAAAACTGTGGCTCTATGTCAACCTTTCTTTTCTAATATAGGTGTTTACTGCTTAAATTTCTCTCCAAGTACTGCTTTAGCTGTAGCCACAAATTTTGGTATGTTGATATGTTTTCATTTTCATTCAGTTCAAAAGACTTTGATGTTCTTGGACTATCACCTCCATCTCCTCAAGCTGGGGTGTCTATCAGGCTCTGCTTGAGACCCATCCCTCTTTTGAGTCTGGAAATTCCCTTGCAGCAGGAAGCTGGGGTAAGAAGATGGCTGACCTTATTTATTTCCTGTCTCTGAGGGAGACCTGTCTTTCATTGCTTGATGTCCAGTGCTTTGAAAACCTTGTTTCATATGGTTGTTTCATGTTGCTGAATTCTTTTTTGTTTTTTGAGACGGAGTCTCTCTCTGTCACCCAGGCTGGCATGCAGTGGTGCCATCTCGACTCACTGTAACCTCCACCTCCCGGGATCAAGCGATTCTCCTGCCTCAGCCTCCTTAGTAGCTGGGACTACAGGTGCCTGCCACCACGCCCAGCTAATTTTTTGTATTTTTAGTAAAGACAGGGTTTCACCATGTTGGCCAGGCTGCTCTCCAACTCCTGAGCTCAAGTGATCCACCTGTCTTGGCCTCCCAAAATGCTGGGATTACAGGCATAAGCCACCACGCCTGGCCTCATGTGGCTAAATTCTACTAAACAGTGAAAGAACAATAATTTCAATGCCATGTAAATTCTGCCAGCATATAGAACACGGTAGCATACCCTTAAACAACTTTTAGGAGACTTGTGCAGGCTTGATTAAAGAAAAAAAAAAAACAGACAGGACAGTATGAGAAAGGAAAATTATAGGGTAATTTCGAGTGGGTAACAAAGTGGAAATCCCAAACAAAACAGCAGTAAACAGAATCCCACACGGGTAAAAAAGATAATACATCATGATCAAATCGGATTTATCCTAGGAATGCAAGATTGACTTAATATTAGAATTTTTCTTACTGAAATAGAGATTCATTTTTGTTTTACTTGTTTCATTTTAGTTTTGATTTTAGATGTTTTTTTAACATTAAATTTTATCATTATGGAGAATGTTTACATGGTTCCAAAGTCAAACCTACAAAACCAGGAACATTCTAAGAAGTCCAGCCCTGTCCCTGCCCTTGCCACATTTTTCTTTCTTTCCTGCCCTTTTTTCTTTTTTTTTTTGAGATCGAGTCTCACCCTGTCACCCAGGCTGGAGTGCAGTGGCGTGATCTCGGCTCACTGCCACCCCCACCTTCTGCTTTCAAGCGATTCTCCTGCCTCAACCTCCCAAGTAGCTGGGATTTCAGGCATGCGCCACCACACCGGGCTAAATTTTTTTTTTTTTTTGTATTTTTAGTAGAGTTGGGGTTTCACCATGTTGGCCAGACTGGTCTCTAACTTCTGACCTCAAGTGATCCACCCGCCTTGGCCTCCCAAAGTGCTGGGACTACAGGCGTAAGCCACTGTGCCTGGTCTCTTTCCTGCCTCTTTAGTAACCATTTTTTAATAATAAAAAAAACCTTCCATTAAAAATATGATTGTATCCTACCCCTTTTTGGATAAGTGGTAGCATACTATACACACATTTGCCATCTTACTTTATGTACTTATATGTGTTGGAAACTCCTTTGTCATGTACAGAAATGGTTCTCATTCCTTTTTACAGCTGCATATAATTCCATTATATAGATATATAGGCTGAGTGTCCCTTATCCAAGATGCTTGGGACCAGAAGTGTTTTAGATTTTGGATTTTTTTTGTGGTGTGGGGGGAGGGTTTGGAATATTTGCATATATATAACGAGATATCTTGGGGATGGAACCCAAATCTAAGTGTGAAATTCATTTGTTTCATATACACCTTAAACACAGAGACTAAAAGTAAGTTTCTATAATATTTGTAATAATCTTGCATGTGAAACTAAGTTTTGACTGCTTTTGACTGCATCTGTCATATGAGGTCATTTGTGGAATTTTCCACTTGTGGTGTCATGTTCATGCTCAAAATGTTTTGGATTTTGGAGCATTTTGGATTTCAGATGTACCATAGTTTATTCAACAATCCCCTGTTGTTGGGTGGGTCAGGGCAGGTGGCTTTTGCATTTACAAATAACTCTGTAATGAATAAGCTTGCACATGTGTTTTTTTTCTTTTTGTCATATTTGGGAGATGTTTCTAGAAGTGAGATTGCTGAGTCAAAGAGTGAAGACAGAGAGAATTTTGCCAAATTCTTTCCATGGTGATTGTACAACAATTTTGCATTCCTGCCACCAAAGTATGAGAGTGTCTATTCTCCAGAGCTTCATTAACAGAATTATGTTGTCAAAGCTTTGAATTTTTACCAGGAATAGGTGAGTATGAGATCTCAGTTTTCATTTGCATTTCTCTTATTAAGAGCAAGGTTGAGCATCTTTTCATATGGTCAAGAGCCATTTGCATTTCTTTTCTGTTAATGGTCTGTTCATCTGACTTGCCTATTTTTCTATCTAGTTGAGGTCTTTTCTATTTTAGGACGTTTGTTAAAATATCGGGAATATTAACTCCTTGTATTAGAAGTTGAAACTATTTTTCCCCAGTGTATTGGTTCAGATTTTTTCCCTAATGCAAGAAGTCCAGAGGTGGGGACTGTCCACATTGGCTCCGTGGTCCCCTGTGTCAGGGCCAGCTTTTCTGAGATTCTCCAGGCATCTCCCCAACAGTCACGTTATGACTATGTCAAAGGCAAGTAGGACCAGGAAGGGATGGCTCCAGAGATACTTGTCTCTTATTAGGAAGGCAAAACTTTCTCAGAAGCCCCAACAGATTTGCATTCAGATTTAATTGGCCAGAACTATGTTATAGGCCTCTCACCTCCAGCTTCAGGGAAAGCTGGGAAAGAAAATATTTCATCTTCCCAGTCTCTGGAGTGGAGGTGGGCAAGGCAAAGGAGATTAGAATGCATGTTGAGTTATCCAACCAACTACCACAGACAAGAGGGGTGAGTTTACATTAAATAAAAGACCTATCTTTTCTCCTGTTCTGTGACATGTCTGCAAATCCACAGTAAATCAGTAGTTGGGCTTACAACTCCAAAATGGAATTCAGTTTGTTTGATTGTTTGTTTTTGAGATGGGGTCTCACTCTGTTGACCAGGCTGGAGTGTGTTCACAGTTTACTGCAGCCTCTACCTCCTGGGGTCGAGATCCTCCTGCCTCAGCGTCCTGAGTAGCTGGGACCACAGGTACGTGCCACCATGCCTGGCTAATTTTTGCTTTTTTTTTTTTTTTTTTTTTTTTTTTTTGGAGAGACTGGGTTTTGCCATGTTGCCCAGGCTGATCATGAACTTCTGGGCTCAAGCAACCCTCCTGCCTCGGCCTCTCAAAGTGCTGGGATGACAGGCGTGAGCCACTGTGCCTGGCTGGAATTCAGTCTTGGATGCCTCTGTAGAGGTTTCGTGTCCTTCCTTCTGAAGCAAGGAAGGTGAGATGACATCTAGAGACCGGTGTTTCCCCGTAGGAGCCTATTTGTAAGGAGTACTGCTAAATGGGATCATGTCCAGAGGCAAGTCACCAGGGCAGGGGAGCAAGGACCTTAGGAACCCTGCCCTGCCAGGAAAAGCCTGAAGATTCAGAGATGTCATCTTAGCGAAGATGTGGAAGAGAGCAAGACATGCCTCACTGAAAACCCAGAGGACTGGCATGTGGAAAAAATCAGATTTGATCTGTAGTAACAGTTGGTGCATGTTACAGTGAGGCGGATTCCAATTCATTTTAAACAGTAGTTTTTACTAATTCGGGATGGGTTGCTTTGTGAGGCCGTGAGCTTCCTACCCTCTGTGTGATCAGTCTTGCCACTCTCATGGCTTTATCCTTCATTACTCTCTGGTTTTATCCTCCACCTCTATGTCAGTGATTCTCTAACCTGTGTCTCTCCTCCAGAACTCTCCCCTGACCCCTGTCTTCTTCAACCCACCACAAAGCCCTTTCTTATTCTGAGTTGGATCAGTCAGGGTCTCACCAGGAAATGGAAACCTCTTGAATATTTAAAAACAGAGGGACTTTAATGCAGGGAATTTGTTAAACAGGTAATAGTCAGTCGCCCAGCCTAGAAGTTAAACAGAGGACAGTGAGACAATTCAAAGTAACAGCAGCAGGAAGCACTGTCACCCCCAGGCTGCAGGGTCACCCAGCAAGAGCTGGAACCACAGTGGGCTTGTCGGGGCAGCATCTATAGGAATGGAAAACACACAGCAACTGTCCGAGATTCTCTTAAAGCAGAGGCAGAGTGAGAAAGAGCCCAGCACCCAATTTCCTGCCAATGCTCCCCAGTGGCCAAACAAAATAAAAAACCAGATGATAGAGAAACCTGAGAAATGCAGCCCTGCAGAGCACAAGAAAGGTGAAGGAGAATGGGCTGAGCACAGATACACAAGGCAAGAAGGGGTGGAAGGTCTCCTAGATTTTCTGGGGTCTGTGGGCAGGGCTGGGACACTAAGAAGAAGGTTCTTTCAGAAGCAGCCTCTGAGCCAGGGATTTGTATGCAAATGATTTTTTTTTTTTTTTTTTTGAAGACAGGGTCTTACTCTGTTGCCCAGGCTGGAGTGCAGTGGCACGACCTTGGCTCACTGCACCCTCCACTTCTTGAGTTCAAGCGATTCTTGTGCCTCAGCTTCCCAAGTAGCTGGAATTACAGGTGTGCACCACCATGTCTGGCTTTTAAAAATTTTTTTATTTTTTAATTTTTTTTATTTTTAGTAGAGACAGGATTTCCCCATCTTGGCTAGACTGGTCTCAGACTCCTGACCTCAAGCGATCTGCCCACCTGGGCCTCCCAAAGTGCTGGGATTACAGGTGTGAGCCATCATGCCCAGCGTGCATGCAAATGACTTATAAAGAAAGTGTCCCAAGGAGAGCTCAGTGAGAGAGTCAGGGGAAGCAGTGTTGGAAAGGGAAGAAGCCAATGGAAGGAGAGATTTCAGGGGAAGACTGAACATCGTTTGATCCGGTGGAGAGGTCTGAGGTATAAACTGCTTCTGAGAGTTTGTGCCTGCTCAGGCAAGAGGGTGGGCTTTTTAACCCTGTACCTGTCAGTCCTTGCTGGAGGGTGGGAAGGGGATGGACCTCTGGCTCTGAGTCTGGTGGATGCCTGTATGCTCCAGGAGCCCAAGGATGAGCCGCTGGAGAAGGTCACAGCTGCGAACGATGAGTAGCAAAGCACATAGAAGCTGGGGGTGGGACCATAGCATTAGAAAGGGGATGTGTGGGGGATCTGGGTAGATGACCGAGCATGTCTGCCAGAGAGTGTGCAGGTGGGAGGGGATGGTGGACCTTTCCCATAGACATGCACATGGTAAAGCGGGAGGTAGAAAGCAATACACAACCTCAGAGAGAGACAGATAAAGTGCCACGGGTGGGGGTGCTGTATGGGAAGGAGAGGTTGCCTCTCCGCTCTGGTTTGTGATGGCAATTTTGCTGTAGTGACTGTCGTAGATGTAGAAGTACCCTTAAGATGCTGCACAAGGGCCAGGCATGGTGGCTCACACCCGTAATCCTCGCTTTCTGGGAAGCCAAGGCAGGCAGATCGCTTGAGCCCAGGAGTTAGAGGCCAGCCTGGGCAACCTGGTGAAACCCCACCTCTACAAAAAAAAAATACAAAAAAGTAGTCATGTGTGGTGATGTGTGCCCATAGTCCCAGTTACTCGGGAGGCTGAGATGGGAGGAAATCACCTCCTCTGATCACTGACTGGGTTCTTAAAGCCCTGGGGACTTTGGACTACGCACGTTGTGTCCTTTGTTGTTGTCTCCTGGCTCTGGGGCCATGTTCCTTGTGCTCTAACTTTGCTTCTCACACCATGGCAACGGAATCTGGTGCCTTCTCAGGCTGTCTGGGGTTGACCCTGCAGACCCCTGGTGTCTGTCTCTGCCTAGTCCCCAGGTCATTCTGAGTGCAACTCCGGCCACCTTTTCTTTTCCAAATGGTCTGGAACTCCCCCCTTCATATAACAGGGGGCTCTCTGTTCTCTCTCTTTAAGAAGCTAATTTCTAAATATAATCCTGCTGTATTATGGGTAGATGCAGCGATACAGTTAATGAGTCTCTAATGTAGACAATTATAACCTAGAATACAGCTTGGCTTGGTTCTCTACCACTCACGTGCACAGACAGTTGCAGTAACACATACCCACTCACAATTATAATCTTGTTCTCTGAGAAAATACCATACCCAGGCCTCACAGGCAGCAGACCCAGAGTTGTGTACCTGCACACACACACACAGGCACACAAACACTCAGGGGCCCTTACACACTCAGAAACATCCACTGTAGTAGAAGCGAGGACCTGCCACTGTACCTGCGAGAGAGGCAGAGGAGGTAGCTGTGTTTATAGCAGGCGGTCCTGCCTCTGCTCCCACCAGCCACCTCTAATTGGACCAGATGGTTACTTGCCCTTGGTTCCATAAGCACCAGTACTTTTAGGAATTCTTTGGTGGCAGAAGCAGAAACCAACTTAGAGTTTCTTAGGAATCAGAGGTATCCACAGAACACAAGGGCAGAAATGATGGAAGGGTCTTACGTGGGACTTTAACTGAAAACTGGAAGCCGCCTTCAGCCGAGGCAGTTAGTTTCTCTCTCTCTCTCTTTTTTTAAATCATTCTGGGGCAGCAAGGTCTTCCATCTGTCATCTGCTTCTCTTTTTTCTTTCTCTCTTCTGTCTTGCTAAAATACCTACATTCAAATCACTTGAAGCATTTATTAAAAATTTAGAGCCCTGAATCTCTGGGGATGAAGCCAAAGAAACTCCACTTTTAACAAATGCCCTAGGTGATCCTTCAACATGCAAAAGTTTGAGAACCACTGTGCTAAGGAGGTACATAATTCAAACATTGACACGTGCCTTCGAGACATGCCCTCCTAGTCACAGCACCACCAACTAACTAATTTGCATGTCTGTGTCCCAGTTTCAAATTTCTGGGAGTCAGAAGCCAACTGAATCAGCATGGGTTGGATGTCCTGGTCCAGTGAGCTGTGGGTGTTAGTGAGGGGAGTGGTTTGGTCCCATTGGAAGGTGTAGACGCTGACAGAGTAGGGACATTGCCCAACTTGTCTGTTACAGTGAGATGTTCCCAATTCCTCATAACAAATTCTCTTTTACAGAAGTTGGTTTGGGTGGGCTTTTTGTAGTCAAATGACTGCTGAGGCACAAATTGTCAGAAATACTCAGGCACACATTGTCACTCACACATGCATACATACGCACACACCCATCATTCTGAGCACTGTGGAGAGGTTTGCTTGGTAATGATCTCTTTGCAGCTTAGTAAGACTATAAAGAAGGTGGGGAACCTTTATTAATTATATATCTTACATTCAATGAAACATAATATTTAATTTAAATACTTGCGGGAGGCGTCTTTGATACTTTGATTTGCTTCCCAGAACAAATGGCTTCTCTCCCTCCCTGGCCTGCTGAGTTGATCTCTCATGATGAAAGACCAACCTGGTTTGTCCCCTTCACAGGATTTTTGTCGTAGAAAATGATGAAATGCTTTCCCAACAGAGTGTAAAGCCAAGGCTGCAGTCATGTTGCCAGGCTTGACAAGGAAATGCCAGGAAAATCTATCCATTTTATGTTTTCTAGACAACAGGCTGGGGAGGTGAGGCTTATAACAGGATCCTCTGGGTTGCAGCCTGAGAGGCTGACTGCAGGAGGCAGGTGTTCCGTGCAGATGACCCCACAAGCACGGTAACGGTGGACACTACCCCCCGCTGTCCCTCACCCTACATCAGCCATGCCTCCTGATCTTGGCCACACCCTCCTTTGTGCGGGGAACTGTTGATCTCTGTGGGCTCTCAGGAGTGAAAGAAAAACCATCTCCTGGGCTGGGTGCAGTGGCTCACGCCTGTAATCCCCGCACTTTGGAAGGCCCAGGCGGGCAGATCACTTGAGGTCAGGAGTTTGAGACCAGCCTGGCCAACATGGTAAAACCCAGTCTCTACTAAAAATACAAAAATTAGCCAAGCGTGGTTGTGTGCACCTGTAATCCCAGCTACTCGGGGGCTAAGGCACGAGAATTGCTTGAACCCGGGAGGCAGTGGTTGCAGTGAGCCGAGATCATGCCACTGCACTCCAGCCTGGGTGACAGAGCAAGACTCTGTCTCAAAACAAACAAACAAACAAACAAACATCATCTCCTGAGGTGAAAGTTTGGTGGCCTGGTGACAATTCCAGACAACCTCCAAACACTATAATGCTACAGAACCTCTTATAATACTAGAACCCTGGCAAAACAGGCTAGGAATTCTTGTTTTGACCAAAGCTTCCAGAGTTCAGATAGCCCAAGATCTGATTGGAAGAAGGAATCTCAGAGTACTTCCTTAGCTGGGAGTTTCCAAAGCAATGCATCTGGCCGAGTCCAGGCCAGCTGGCTGAATGCATCCCTGGAATTGCCTCTCTTCCCTTCCTGAAAGACGAGAGACTTGGCACTAAATGTAGGTCAAGTTTCTATCCGAGATTCTTTTCTCTTTTTCCAAGACAAAGTCTGGGAAGTAGCTGGGCTGGGGATGGTTTGGGACATGGAGGAGGAAATCTAACATTAGTTGAGTGTCTCTGATGTGTTAGACACTGTGGCTGGTGTATGAATGTCACTGCATCAGATCCTCACAAGTCTTGTGAACAAGAGAGGTTTGTCCCCCACTTCACAGATAAGGACACTGAGATTCTGGAGGTAGTCACTTGCAAAGATCACGTAGGAAGAGGCAGAGACAGGATTTTAAGCTGCATTGTTTGGCTCCAGAAGGTCGCCCTTTTCCACTGCACCTGCCACAGGAGAAAGGTAAGGTGCAGGCTTCTCTGGCTGGGTCTGCTTTCCCCAACTACTTCTTCTTTTTTTTTTTTTGAGATGGAGTTTTGCTCTTGTTGCCCAGGCTGGAGTGCAGTGGTACTATCTCGGCTCACTGCAACCTCCGCCTCCCGGGTTCAAGCAGTTCTCCTGCCTCATCCTCCCAAGTAGCTGGGATTACAGGCACGCACCACCATGCCCGGCTAATTTTTGTATTTTTAGTAGAGACGGGTTTCACCATGTTGGCCAGGCTGGTCTTGAACTCCTGACCTCAAGAGATCCACCCGCCTTGGCCTCCCAAAGTGCTGGGATTACAGGTGTGAGCTACCGTGCCCCAACTGCTTTCCCCAACTTCTAAGGGCTCACAGCAGTGGAGGAGGGGCCCGGCAGGAACTAGGAGCTCTTTGGCTTTCACAGGGCCAGGTCGCTTTGCTGGCTATTCTCTCTCCCACCTCTTCATTCTTTCCCTCTTCCAATCAAACAACCTCCAATCATTCTGAAGCTTAAACAAACAACAATGACAAAAACAAAACCTCCTTGACCTTCCTCTACTTCTAACCACCATTTTCTCTTTACAGGCTGATGAACTCCTCTTCTCAGTTGAGCTACTCAAAAAAAGTTATCCTAATGTCTCATCCCTACCTTCCCCCCCCATCCTCTCTTCATCCCATTCCAAAGTGGGTTCCTGTCTCACTGCTCTACTGCAACTGCCCCAGCAGGGCCACTAATTACCCTCTCATTGTTGAATTCATTAGACACTTTCCATTCTCATATTATTTGATTTCTCAGCAGCATTGACCTGTTAACCTCTCGGTCCCTCATGATAACTTATTTTCCTTTTCTTTCATGATGACATAGTCTCTGGATTTTCCTCCATCCTCTTGCCTACTCTTTCTCCATCTTATTTTTGGGCTCTTTCTCCTCCATCCAACCTTCAAATGTTCAAGTTTTTCAGGGCCTGGCCTCAACCTCTTCCCTTCTCATTCCACACTTGCTCTCCAATCCCACCCATTTCCTTGGCTTCCATGCCTCCACATTTATGTCTCCAGCCTGCATGATCCCCCTGAGCTCCAGATCCACGTATCCGACTGTTGACAGAGGAGTTGGCAAATTTTTTTCTGTTAAGGACCAGATAATAAATATTTTATGCTCAGTGTTGTCTTCTGCAACAATTCAACTCTGTCATTCTAGTGCAAATTCAACCATAGACACTAAAAGAACAAATGAGCACGGCTGTGCTCCAAAGAAATTTGTTTATGGACATTGAAATTAGAATTTTACATAATTTTCATGTGTCAGGAAATAGTGCTCATCTTTTGATTTTTTCCAACCATTAAAAATTTGAATTTTATATAATTTGAATTTTATATAATTTTCACACATCAGGAAATATTATTCTCCTTTTGATTATTTTCAATCATTTAAAAATGTAAAAACCAGATGACAAGCCAGAAGTGACCCATGGGCTGTAGTTTGTTGTCCCTTCATCTGCGTGTTGGTTCACTGGGATGTTTCATAGGTGTCGCACACCAGCATGGCCAAAATGTCACCCTGGACTTGCACCTCCAGATCTCAGTGTCCACAGCTACGTCAAAGACCCTTTAATACTCATAACTGCTGTGCAAGAAACTGAGAGTCACCCTTGATGGAGCCTTTTTTCTCATCCCTCCCTGGTCTCAACTTCCAATCCAAGTCCTATTGATTCTCCCTCCTAAGTAAGTATAGCAGGATAATATTGTGAACTATCTGCTATGTTTTTTTTTCTTTTTTTCTTTTTTTTTTTTGAGACAGAGTTTCACTCTTGTCACCTAGGCAGGAGTGCAATGGCACTACCTCGGCTCACTGCAACCTCCGCCTCCTGGGTTCAAGTGATTCTCCTGCCTCAGCCTCTGGAGTAGCTGGGATTACAGGCATGCACCACCATGCCTGGCTAATTTTTTGTATTTTTAGTAGAGACGAGGTTTCACCGTGTTGGCCAGGCTGGTCTTGAACTCCTGACCTCAGGTGATCCACCCACGTCGGCCTCGCAAACTGCTGGGATTACAGGTATGAGTCATCGCACCCGGCCCTGCTATGGTTTTTATTCTGGGAATTTTGAGTGGTCTCGCCTTCTCCTCTCCTTCAAGTCTTTTCTCAAATGTTACCTCTACACAAGGTCTCGTCTGACTGACCACCCTTTTTTAAATGGCAACCTGATACCCCTTACCCTGTTTTAAAAATCTTCCTTTTTGCACATATCACCTATTAATTTACTATGAAATTTAAGATTTGCTATTGTTATTGCTCATTGCCTGTCTCTCTCCTGGCTAGAATGACAGCTCTTCAAGGGCAGAGATTTTTGTCTGTTTTATTCACTGCTGTGTCCCAAGCACCTAGAACAGTGCCTGGCACATAGAAGGGGCTCAACTAACATGTGTTGAATCAATGCATGCTGCTGAGGCTTAGCTTCCTTCATGGGGAGGGAGGGCAGGATCCGCAGCGACAAAGAAGTCATTGCTATTCTTAAATGAAACTCTTTGAAGCTGGTTCTCGGCCCTGGCTGCAAGGCGGAATCATCAATTCTGCCCTGCAGAATTGATTAAATTGATTTATTCATCAACTAAATCAATTGAACTTTAAGATCAATTGATCAATTAAATCAGAAGTTCTGGGAATGGAAACTTTTCAGGTCCCTACAAAAATTAAGCCAAGGTTAAGAACCACTGCTTTAAAGCGATAGAAAGACAATGGTCAGAAAAGCAAGACTTTCATTTGTAGAAGCCAGGCTTTGTGGGGGTGGAAGAAAGCATGCGTGGGCTCTGAAGATCCTAAGCTTAGATGACTGGCCTTAGATGGGTGTCTGAAAAGGGAAGAAAACAGAGCATGACACAGATGGAGATGCAAGTGCCGCTGGGTGGCAAGAGACGAGGATCAGTGAGGACATGGAGGAGGCTGGCACCTCAGTCCCTGTGTCATGGTTCAGACTAGGGGTGGGCTGGGATGTAAAGATGGAGGAGGCTGTCTCATTTCTTCCAGAATCTGCAAGTATCAATGGGGGAACACTGAAGCAGGGAGGACCTGAAGCATCCTCTCAGTCCATCTCACCCTGAGACCCTTTCCCTTCCAGTAGTGTGTGAAGGGAGTGAGGAAATGTTCCCGGGCCCCAGAGAGGGGTCACGCAGGTGGCTGATATTGGGATCCACTGTGCTGTGGTGCAAGGGAACCCAAGAGACAGTGGGAGGGACAGCTCCAGGCCCGTGCAGGATAGGCTCAGTCTCAGAGGATTGACTAGGTCCATGATTGCAAAACTGGGTGGTGGGTCAGAGGAAAGTAGACCATCATACACTTAATCTGTTGAGAAAATGCAGCAATGGTCGCTGTTGCTGGAATGGAGGGGGAGCCAAGGCTGACACTCAGACAGGCCTAGTCACCTCTACAGGGCTCAGCACCCCCTGGCTCCATAATGTCTTCCAAACCATGGTAGGTCTGTGTTTTTTGTTCATGTAACTCTCGTAACTGTCATCCTATGGTGATGTGAGTATTGCTCAATGATTATTTTCTATCTAAACTGTTAGGCCCATGAGTGCTAGGACCACGTCTGCACCCCCAGAGGCTAATGCAGTGCCTGGCACAGGGGCATGGATAATTATTTTAATAAACAAAGAGAGGAATGAGTGGGAGTCATGCCGTTAGTCGTTGGCTGAGTGGAGCTAGAATCCCAGGTCCTGGGTCGGCTTGCATAGTTCCTCAAGGTGCTACTGGAAGGAGGAAAGCCTCCTCCTTGGGTGCCTTGAAGACAAGACCCACACATGTTTGCTGATTTGAGCAGGTCTGGGCTTGTCTCCACATGAGTGGGTCTTGCATGGGATTCGTCAGCTTCGGACACAGGTGTATTAGGCTGGGCCACATGTCACACTGTGTCCTGCCTCAGCCCTCTCAAAACTTGGCTCCCCTAACACCTAGAGGGGTCCTGTCCTGGCTAAGGGCTTTCCCAGCTCCCTTCCCACCCCACTCTGCCCTTCCCGCTGGCTGTAGGGCTTCTCCCCACCTCCCTCCACCAGGGGCTCCTGCCTTCCAGTCTCCTCCCAGTCTCTTTCCTGTCTCTGGACTGAAGGCCCCATAAAAAGTCACTTTGGCCTCAATCAATAGACCATCTCTTTAACAAGGGAGATGCTGGTTTGTAAAATGGAGCCTCCAAGGCTGGGCTGGGTGCAGAGCCAGCCCTTGCAGACAGCTCTGCCTTTCCGGATGGTGCATTAGGCAGCATCAGCAGATTTTTGCCTTTTATGAGGACATATATGACTCCCCAAAGAAACCTTAACAGAGAGGGGATCGGGAAAGTGGGAGAGTAGAAAGAAAAGTGAAGGAACATTATTCTGAAAGTGCAGAGAGGCTGCTCAGGTTTGGTTCTCTCTGCCACCTTCCTGTTCCTTTTCTAGAGTCCTTAAGTGCATCAGTAGCGTTATGCAACTAAGAAATTCACTCACACAGTGTGAACACACAAGTTCACCCAGATAGAGAACGCACACAAACATGCACACGTGCTCTGGGCTGTCACCCATCACCATCACATACCCATGATGCTGTTCTTTAGGCCAGAAGTGCTGTCTGTCTGTCCCCTCCCTTCCATACTGCCCGGCTACCTCCCGGTCCTCTCTCACGCCTTGGCCCACTTTTCAATCATCATCCTCAGGGAGTCCCCGGGCCCAGTCCCCTGGTTAAAGGCACAAGGTGCCTCCCTCTTTTGAGGCATTTTCTGTACTTGGAATTTGACATTTATTTGCATATGACACACGCCTCACCTACCAGGCTGTAACCTGCAAGTGACAAGGACAGTTTTGTTCTATCTTCCACCCTTAGCATGTTGTCTTGTACATAGCAGGTCCTCATGAAATAATTGCTAAATGAATTAATGGATGTGATAGACAACTTCTAAACCAGCGCCCAGTGCTCTTTACCCCTGACATTCATGCCCTTGTGTAATCCCCTTCCCTTGAGTGACTCACTTCTAATGAATGGAAGACAGCAAAGGTGCAGTGGACTGAATGTTTCCCCCAAACATTTACATATTGAAATCCTAACTCCTGCTGCGGTGGTATTGGGAGGTGGGACCCTGGGGAGGTGATTAGGTCATAAGGTTGGGGTCCTCATGAATGGCATTAGTGTCCTTATAAAAGGAACCCCAGAGAGCTGTCTTGCCCTCTCTGCCATATAGGATATGAGAAGATGACAGTCTGCAACCCAGAAGAGAACCCTCACAGAACCTGACCATGCCGGCACCCTGATCTCAGGTTTCCAGCCTCCAGAACTGTGAGAAGTAAGTTTCTATTGTTTATAAGTCACTCAGTCTCTGGTACTTTGCAACAGCAGCCTAAATGGACTAAGACAAATGGGGATAGGTGTTGCCTGTGTGATCAGGTTCCCATTCTGTCCTCTCTCTCTCCTCAACTTGCTTGCCCTGATGCAGCTGGCTTCCATGTGTAAAGTGCTCTATGGAGAGGCCTGTGTGGCAAGGAACTGGGAGTAGCCTCCAGATGACAGCCAGTAAGGAACTGAGACCCTCAGTCCACCAACCCATGAGGAACCCATGCAATGACCACATGAGTCAAACTTTGAGATGACTGCAGACCGAGCCAGCCCCTTGATAAGAGCTTTGTGAGAGGATCAGAGCCAAAGGACCAGGTAAGTTGTGCCAGATTCCTGACGCACAGACACTACAAGATGATAACTGTTGTTCATTTAAGCCACTAAATTGGGGTCATTTGTTATGCAGCAATAGATGAGTTTTACAACAAATGGATGACTGAGAAACAACCACCAACGCCCCATCATGCATTGAAGCCTGTCCTCATCATGTAGTTGAATACAATCAAATCTGCCCCTCCACACAGCTCAACCACTTTACCATACAGGAGCAATGTTTTGCATAGACACACACACACACACACGCATGCATGCACACACACACACACATTCTGAAAGGTACTCTCCCTTTCTCTATTTTTGCTACCTTACTACCCCATTCAGGTAGATAGCACCCAAAAATCTCACTGTGTCAGGCCAGAGTGCCAGGCCCACTTGGAAACCACCCCCTGGCCTGTCACTGAGCCCATCATCCTCATGGGCCCTCCTGTCCGTTTCTGTGTCACCACTAAGGCCAGAGTTACCAACTGCCCAGTGATCTCATCACAGAGACTAAGTGTTAAGGCTAAGGAGCTGCAGCAAGGGTGGGCAATTGCAGGGGAAGTTGTCCCTCGAGCACCCCCCAGCCACCCAGGTCTGCCTCACAGAAGGCCGCCTGTGCTTCTGTGGCTCAGCCCCTCTCCTGCTGTCAGCTGCAGGCCTGGCCTGGCCAGCGTGGAGGAAATAAAAGAGAACTGTTCTCGGCCTGGAGCTTCCACTAGGGCAGCATTGGGAGGTGGCAGTGCACACCCTTCCCCTGTTGCCTCACTTGCCCTGTCCCAGCCTCCCTAGGCTCTGGAGGGGAGCCTCTGCTGGCCCACGGCTCACAGGGCCCTTCTCTGGGGGTTGTTTCTATAAGGAGGACCACCACTTAAACTGTAACAGAAGAGGCTCACATTTCTGGTGTGGGGACGGGCTAATTTTTAGAGACTCTAAGCCAGGCAGATCTTCCAGCAGTAGCACAGTATCCTTTATTGAGGGGTGGGGAGTGGAGTGAAGGCTATTGACAAGTCAAAGTCCAGAAAACCTGCATTTCTTCTCCTCTCTCCCTATCATTAACCCAGAGGGCCTGCCTTGTCCTGGGCCTAATGAAGCTATTCGGAGTCTAGAGCTGGCTTCCCTGGGAAGGATAGTCGAGGGACACCTGCAGGCGTTTTGCTTCTTGCTTTCTCAGACCTTGTTCTCTCTCAAATCTGCTCTCCGTAGGCAAAATATGGGGAAGATTGGTGCTCTTCCATCAGGCCCCATGACCCTCCTTTGTGGAAATGAGCAGCACGGGCCAGTCTTCTAGAAAGATTGTCTTTCCGACGCTTCCTGTAGGCAGGTCCAAGGCTGTTGTTCTTTGCCTGTCACCTCCGTGGAGCCACTGCTTCCGTCCCAAGAGCTTGGGTAGTAGGCTTCTGGTCTGGAAAGTTCTTACTGGCACTAGCAGAGTCACAGGCATTCACTGGGGAGGGGGCCAGGTGAGGCTGGAGTCTTGTTTGAAAAGCAGAGTTGGGATGCCTTTAGAATAATCAGTGGTGAATCCTCACATGGCCTCAGTCCCTGCGTCCCTGAGCCCTGCACCCAGCATGTTGTACGTCCACGTGTTTTTGTGTGTTTGCGTGTACAGATGCTCCTTGACTTATGATGGGGTTATGTCCCCATCAACCCCATTGTAATTCAAAAATATTGTAAGTTGAAAATGCACAGCCGGGCGCGGTGGCTCACGCCTGTAATCCCAGCACTTTGGGAGGCCAAGGCAGGTGGATCATGAGGTCAGGAGTTCGAGACCAGCCTGACCAACATGGTGAAACTCCATCTCTACTAAAAATACAAAAATTAGCCGGGTATGGTGGCATGCGCCTGTAATCCCACCTACTCAGGAAACTGAGGCAGGAGAATTGCTTGAACCCGGGAGGCAGGGGTTGCAGTGAGCCAAGATCATGCCACTGCACTCCAGCCTGGGTGACAGAGTGAGACTCCATCTCAAAAAAAAAAAAAAAGAAAAAGAAAATGCACTTAATACCCTGATAAACCTATCTAAGGTTGAAAAATCTTAAATCCAACCATAATAAGTTGGGGCCCATCTATAAAGGCGATAAAAGTGGGGACTCCTACCTGGCAAGTAGCCCCATAGTTAAAGAAATTGAAAATTTTCCCTAATGCAGATCATCTGTCATCTATCTACCTATCTAATCCCTAATAAAATCTACTATCTATCTATCTATCTATCTATCTATCTATCTATCTATCTATCCATCCATCCATCCATCCATCCATCCATCCATCCATCCATCCATCCATCAACATCTATCTATCTTCAATGGCCAAGTAGCTCTGCATATCAAGGAACTCATAATCTAGTTACAAAGACCAAAATCACAAATGAGACGATTAACAGATACCATGAGACTGTTATACAGTTATGCTGAGATACCTTTTATAAATGCCCCAGGGATTCAGAAAAGGAAATCAGAATAGCTGATAAAAGCTTCATTAAGGAGAGGGGATTGACCAGGGCCTTGGAGGGTAAGAGAGAATTTGAATGGGCAAAAAGTGTGTGTGTGTTTGTGTGTATGGAGAAGTTATAAGGGGGCCGGGATAGGGAGGACATGAGGAAGGGCCCAGAGGCAGTAAGGATGCGGAATGTAGGGTGAGGAGGGAAGGAGACAGCTGACCATGTGCAGAGCGTGGGGGGAGAAGTTGTGAAATCAGGGACAGATTGTGAAGACAGACTTAGCGCAGGTGGCAGCGGGGCAGGCAGTGGGTCTCTGGTCCACGTCAGACAGGGGCTGCATGAGTGATCTGAGCTGTTACATGCCCTTCTCACCTGTTCTTCAGCCTCCCAGGCAAAAATGGGGACTTACCAGGTAGGAGTCCCCGCTTTTATCTGAGTCCTAGACCTTCTACTTCAAGCCTCTCAGGGCTGCTTTCTCTCTTCCCTTCCATCTTTACTCAGCTTTCCAAGAGCCTCTACTCCTTGTCCTTCAGTTCTGTTATACTCCAGCCATTTGCTGTCTTTGTGCCTATATTGACACAGCTGAGCACTACCCCAAAGCCTCCCATGGCCATGTGCATTGGAGCCATTGTAACTTCATTGTCTCCAACAGTTCCCTCCATGACTAGTAATCTTTCTATGTCTCTAATGGCCTCTGTTTCCTGCTCCACACAGGCCATTACAATTCTTCTCTCAGACTCCAACCCCACCATTCCCCTGCCTGCTGCCCTGCAGCCCCTGTCACCATCAGCAATAACCTTGCGAATGCCCCAACTTCCTGCCATCAAACCTAAACCTCTCTGAACTTGCACCTATATTTTCCTTCTCTCTCCTGACACCACAGATAAATCTGAGCCCTTCTCTCATTTTTCAGGGACCACTCTTCCCTCCCTTGCTTATATCTGTAAGCTTTACCTCTCTGCTGGTCTCTTCCCATCAACATTTCAATATGTTCAAGGCTTTATTATCTTAAAAAAAAAAACCCTCAAGTTTTCTCCTTTACTTTCCATCTTTCCCCCTTTGTCATCTCCTTTCTTTCTTTCGCAACCACATTTCCTGAGTGTTTTCTGCCATCATTGTCTCACTCCCTTCCATGCCTACTCTTCAACACTTGGTCATTAAATTTCTGTCCCATCCTGTCCATTGAGATTGATTTCCTCAAAATCATTGGGACATGCTTCTGCTAAATCCAATGGGCATTTCCATTTCCTGTTTGTGTGACCCGCTAGCTGCACTTGGCACTGTGGACCATTCCCTTCTTCCGAGTCTCACTTCCTTTGTCTTCTGTCACTCTCCCTATTTTCTTCCCATCTCTCTGGTCACTAATTTTTTGTCTCCTTTAATGCTTTTGCTGAATGTTGCTTGAATGTTCCTGCCCTTTGGGATCCTTCCTTAGGCCCTCTGCTCTTGTCAGCCTTCATACTTTGACCAGGCTCTGTCAGCGTCTAACCACGATGACATCTATATAGTCAGGACTTTGGGTTGCAAATGACAGCAACCCAATTCACACTAGCTCAAGCAAAACTAAAGAGAAATGTTTGGCTAGCATAATAGGCTAGTTTAGAAGTAGAGTGAAACTCGGCATGTCTGGATCTAAGGACTCAAATGATGTTGTCAGGCCTCTTTCTCTCTGTATTAGTTTGTTCTCACGCTGCTAATAAAGACATACCCTAGAGTGGGTAATTTATAAAGGAAAGAGGTTTGATTGACTCATAGTTCCACATAGCTGACAAGGCCTCACAATCACGGCAGAAGGCGACTGAGGAGCAAAGTCACATCTTACATGGCAGCAGGCAAGATAGCTTGTGCAGGGGAACTCTTATTTATAAAACCACCAGATCTTGTGAGACTTACTCATTACCACGAGAACAGTATGGGGGAAACCATCGCCATGATTCAATTATCTCCACCTGGGCCCGCCCTTGACATGTGGGGATTATTATAATTCAAGATGATATTTGGGTGGGGACACAGCCAAAACATATCACTCTCCCACCATTTCCACTCCAGCCCTGTCTCTATCATTGTCTTGGCCTCATTCTCTTCTGTTGCACAGGATTTCTCATGGAGTCTGGGGAGGGCACAGGGTGATCATAAATGACTCGGCCTTTTAGCATCCTAGATAACTACTCTGGAGGAAAGAAAGAACTTCTTCTCCCATTCCTGGGAAAGGACAGTGGTTGATCTAACTGGAGTCACATGCTGACTCAAAGGACCTGAATGAATTTGGGGTAGTAAGAATTGCCAGCCCCCCTGGACCACATGGAATTGTGGAAGAACAGATCCCTAAAGAAAAAAAGAGTGCTACTGCCAGAAGAAGGGAGAGGAATACAGGATGCACAAAGCAGATATTTACCATAAAAGCTCCTATTTATGTTTTCCCATCCAGACCTTTACCCTGCATTTCAGAATTATAGATATCTTCATTTGGATGTTGCAAACTCAGCAAGTCTTTCTTTACACAAATTTCCTAGAAAATAAATCCCTACACAAAATGCCTATGGTAAGGCTGTATTGGGTGGTACAAATCCAGGGTAGCAAAGTATAAGAGAAGTAGGCACATGGGGCAGAGGAGGAGGGAAGCAAACATGAGATGGTGTGTTACCGAGTGTTTGGGGTTGAATTGTGTCCTCAGAAAGATATGTTGAAGTCCTAACTCCTAGCACTGCAAATGTGCCCTTATTTGGAAATAGGGTCTTTGCAGATGTGGTTAATTATATTAAGAGGAAGGCTAGCTGGATTAGACGGGATATGATTGGTGTCCTTATAAGAAGAGGAAAGGGCACGCAGAGGGGAGGAGGCCATTTGAAGACAGAGGCAGAGATGGAGTAAAGCTGCCACAAGCCAAGGAACACCTGGGGCCCCCAGATGCTGTAAGAGGCAAGAAAGGATTCTCCCCTAGAGCCCTCAGAGGTAGCATGGCCCTGCCAGCATCTTGATTTCCAACTTCTGGCCTCCAGAACTGTGAAAGAATAAATTTCTGTTGTTTCAAGCCACCCAGTTTGTGGTACTTTTTTACGGCAGCACTAGGAAGTGACTGCACCAAGCTAGCCACAACTTCGTTAAAAATGCAGGCAATTTTGGGAGGCCAAGGTGGGAGGATTGCTTGAGGCCAAGAGTTCAAGACCAACTGGGGCAACATAGTGAGATCTCCATCTCTAAAATAATAATAAAAAAAATTAGCAGGGCATGGTGGTGCTTGCCTGTAGTCCCAGCTACTTTGGAGGCTGGAGGCTGAGGTGGGAGGATCATTTGATCCCAGGAGTTTGAGGCTGCAGTGAGCCATGATCACACCACTGCATTCCAGCCTGGGCAACATAGTGAGACCCTGTCTCAAAAAGAAATAAAATAAAAATGCAGCCTGTTGCTTGGGCACATGGAAAGTTTTATAAACAGGACTAACAGAAGAACCATGCCTTGGAACACTTCTTTGGGGTTGGGGGTAGAGAGAAAAAGATTTAGCTGGTGGCTTCTTTCTGTACTTATAAGCCAGGTCTGTTTCATGGTTAACTCCCACCCATTTCTGGGTTGTGTTAATTGGCCCCTCCAGGGATCCACTGGAGAAACCAGACCGCAAGCTTTCAGTCTGGTGCTTCAGCTGGACCAAAAAGTGATCAGAGAAGCCGTAGTCTCCAACGGGTTCAGCCAAGTCCAGGGATGACTGGAGCTTGAAAGAGCTGTTGATGAAGACAGAGTGGGATGAGGCAGAAAAGCTGTAGTACATTATGGCATACAAAGAACTAGAGATGCAGCTTTGCCTAGGAACCTGGTGGATGAGCTGCAGGACCTGGGCTGGAAAAGAATTAAGCATTTGTGGCAGCTGCCCATGGAACATGTGGAGAATGTGCTGGTGGCATTGCTACCCAAGTCCACCTCCTGCCTACTACATGACAAGCCAGTGTCCTTGTTACGGCTGCACTATAAGCAGTTCAGATCGCCAAAGGGCACTGCTCTAAGTCCAACTTGATGTGGGATGAGATGAGCGTACACTCATGATTGCAGCTGGAGATCCTCATTGACCAATGATTAAGACCTGTGGGGTAGACGGAGATCAGCAAATCTTGGGGTATGTATATAACAAGGCTTAGTATAACATCCAAAGTGCATTCATCTTCCCTCTACTCTAAACACAAACCTGCTATTTCTGTGCTTCCTGATTCAATGATTGGTAGCACCAGAGACTCAGTAACTTGAGCCAGAAATTCAGAGTTGTTCTTGACTTTTCTCTTTTCTCCCGTGTTCAATCCTTTACCAAATGCAGTCAGTTCTGCCTCCAAAATATCTCTTGACTCTGACCACTTTCTGTCCCCATTACCACATACTCTTCCAGGCCACCTTCTTTTTTACCTTGGATATTGCAATAGGCTCCAGATGCACTCCTTACCTTTTGTCTCATTCACCTCCAAAATGTGCCCCTCCCTGCAGGCAGCATGATCTTCCCAAACACAGACTAATCAAGTTACACCCGATAGACAGTTCTTCCAAGGCTCTTTGTTGCTCTTTGTATAAAGATCCAAACACAAGTCCCCTGAAGCTCTGGCTGCCATGTAATCCCTTGCCTCTTGTCTTGCCACTTCTTGTCTTAAGTGCTACAATACAGCCAGGCTGAACTTCTTGTGGCCTTTGTACCTATGATCTCATTTCATCTATCTGTTCACTCCTCCAGCGAGTGTCTGGTGAGCGCCTGCTATGCCCCGCAGTGGCAGGCACTGCGATCCCAGCAGGGATGCTCTTGCTCTTGAGCCTTTGCACATGCTGTACCTCCTGCCTGGAATGTTCTCCCCTTGTGTAGAAAAAGCAAACAGACTGCTCACAATCTTCTCCCTTGCCTTCCTATTATAGAGATTAGAAAACGAAGACTCAGCTTTCCTTGTAGAGGACACACAGTTCTGGCCAGTGAGATCAAGGCAGAAGTCCATAGAGAGGGCATCCTTTCCTGAATAAAAGTCCTCACTAAAGGCTTTCTGCCTTTCTCTCTGCTTTCCACCAGGAACACGACTGTAAAGCCAATGGGTACAACAGCTGCCCTGCAACTATGTGGCTGCAAGAATGATCAATGATCAGTGATAAAGGACTCGATGCTAAGGAGAATGGGTGGAAATAAGGGCCTGGTTCTAAGGCCGCTGTGTATAGCCATGTAGGTTGTGTGTTGCACAATTCTAGGAGGCACCATTGTCATAGACTGTAACATGGTTAGGCTGTGGTCCTGGTCCAGCCTCTGGTCTAGTCTCTGAAGGGAAGGGAGTGAAGGGAATGGCAGAAAGCTTGGAATTCTGTGAATTGTGAATTCTCCCAAATCTCTCTAGCAACCAAATTGTTTCCATAATTCTTTATGACAAGGCTTTTGAAACTCAAAGGCTGAGAATTGATTTCATCTTCTGCTGTGTCAACTTTTGCCTAAGGCAATGAGTGATGACTCACCTGGTTCAGACCAGGAGAGAAATCCAGGCTGAAGGAAAATACAGGGAGAGGGGTAGAATTCCTTGGTTAATATTTCAAAATCTTAGTCTGCAACAAATGTACCCATAAAGTGTGTGCCAAGTAATATAAATACTCTTAATAGCAAAGAAATAATTCTACTTAAATTGGAGTAGGAAATGAGGAAAAGTTGGAGAAAGCTCCCCAGGGAGGGTGACGGTTGGACTGGACTTTGAAGACTGCATTTATTTTGGCAAGACAGGGAAGGCATTCTATACAAAGGTCTGGCATAAGCGAAGTCAGAGAGGCCTAGTGTGCATGGTACATTGGCAGAAGTAATCAAGCGTGGCAAAGGAGTTGCCAGGAGGGAGGTTGGGGCAAGGGTGAGAAAGTTCTTGAATGTGCAACTTTCAGGGAGCTGAGGAAAGGATGGAGAAGTCCTGACTGTCCTCTCACGGACATCCCCACCTGGCCTCAGGTGTCCGTACAGCCCCTTCACCTTGCTTGATAAGCAACTGCCCAGTGCTGGCCACTCTGGAGGAGTCATGGGAGCCCACACTGGCTCTGGGAGAGTGTGTACTCTAGGCGATGGGGTTGCCCCTGGCTCATGGGCTCACTGTCTCCTGACAGCTTGGCCCCTGGTGTCTCCTGGGAACAGCCCTTCTTGCTTAGGCCATTAGCACACCCTTAAAGAGGGAGAGAACTGCCGTCAGCAGACCTCTGGCTTCTCCCAGCCATGGCTGGGGAGAAGGAGCTTCCCAAGGTGCTTTGCAGCTGCTCCTGTGGGCCCACAGTGCTCTTTCTGCACCATCTTGGCACTCAGCACTGTGTGTACTCACCCTGGAGACACAGATTGAGCCCTGATCTGTATTTAGTCTTAGTCACAGTCCCAGTGTGGGATTCCCTCCCCTGCCCACCCCACCCCCACCCTTGGAAACAAGTGAGTGGGAGCCTTTCTCATCTCCGGGGGTGGATCAAAACTCCCTTGCCCAGAGTGGGTGGGAAGAATGCTGAGCCTGGGGAAGGATTCTGGGGTGCACTCTTTCCAAGCCTCCCTGCTTCTTCAATGGATCATGAATCTTAATTCCCCATCCCAGCAAGGGCTGCTTCCAGAGCTGAGAGAGAAGCTGTGTAGTTGGGATCATTGCAGCCCTCAAGGATGCACTCAAGCCAGTGAGGAGGAGAAAGACCACTTGACCACCCATGGAATCAGGGATCATTCCTGAACCCCTTTCACTGTCTATTTGGATAGAAGGATAGAAAGTAAAGGTGGTGATCATCTTTTGATTCTACTCTTATCTTGCCCAAATCCCCACTTGCTAGAGTCTAGGAAGCCAACAACCCCTTCATGGGTATAGATTTTCACCCAACCTACTTCAGTCAGGTATGAGCCCATAAAGCCTAGGCCAATTCCTGCTTGGTTCCCAGCACCCATTTACCTCCTGATCTCTGGTAGGGATAAGAGTGTGTTGGGGATGTATTAGTTTTTCTATTGCTGCTGTAATAAATGATCACACATTCAGCAGCTTAAAATGATATCTGCTTCTTAGCTTACAATTTTGCAGGGCAGAAGTCAAAATTGAGGTGTCTGCAGGCTGCATTCCTTGCTGGAGGTTCAAGGGAGGATCCATGCTTTTGTTCATTCAAGTTGTTGGCAGAATTCGGCTCCATGCAGTTGTAGGACTGAGGGTTCTTTGTTGGCTGCCATCTAAGGGTCACATTCAGCTTCTAGAGGTTGCCAGCATTCCTTGATTGGTGGTCCCCTTCCTCCATCTTCCAAGCCACCAATGGTGGGTAGCGTCCTCTCACAGTTTACATTTCTCCTGTCTTTTCTTTCGTTGCATCTCTCTGAGTTGAGCAGGGAAAGGCTCCCAGCCACCTGGGTGGCCCCAGTCTAATCGCCTGAGCCCTTAAAAGCTGGGAGCCTTTCTCTGCTGAACTTTCACACTTGACTTTGCAGGTGTGATTAAATTTACCAATCTTTCTGTCTCAAGATCGGTAACCTTAATCACACTTGCAAAGTCCTTTTGCCATGTAACATAACATATCACAGGTTCTGGGGATTGGAGTGTAGACATCTTTGGAGGCCAGTATTTGGCCTGCCATAGAGTGTGATTAAGAGCTTCATCTCTGCATCCTCTTCCCCTCCCCCTCACAAATTCTGGTCCTTTAACCTCAGGGTGAGGAAGAAGCCCAGGACACAAGAGAAAAGCCAGGTCTCTTCTTGGCTTACAGGTGAAGGTTTCCCTTATTTGAAGTTGTCTGCACAACTTCTTCAAAGAGAGGCTGGTTTGAGAGCTGGAATCCCACTAGGGGTGTTGAAAGTAGGAAAAAGTGAGGAAGAACTGAGGTTCTAACTAACCTCAGCCTTTATCCAAAGCCTTCTCCATTTACCAGCAACACAGAAACAAACATTGATGTGTGAATATTCTATAGATTCCTCTGCCCAGTATGTAGCTTCAAGTAGACTATGAACTCTCCTCCCTTGCTGGGGAGCCCAGGCCAGACAACCAGGCTCTAGGAAAGCATTTATATGTATTAAAGATGTTCATATGTTAAAAAATACAATTTGGGGGGGTGTTTGGAAATATGAAATATTTTCACCAGGGGCTAGCTGAGAGCCAGGCGACCCTGCAGGAACCGGTTCATGGGCTGCTTCTGTGTACCCTCCCCTGTGTGCCTGCTCAGCATCTGGGCCCCTTGACCTCCTGCTCTCTGGAAGGGTCTGTCAGTCTCGCAGGTAGCAAGCCTGTAGGATGCAAAGCAGTCAATCTGTGGACACTGTTAAGGACCAAATCCCTAGCCATAGACACCATCTGCTCCCAGGAGGATTGGTGTTTGTCCTGTAGGACCGACCTCTACTTCTACCCCAGCTATATGGGGAGCCAGGGCAGCTCTGGCTTCTGGGTTGACCTCCACTTCGGGCTCTTGGGCTCCCACTGCTTGGGGTGTGTCATCACCTCTCAGACTCTCAGTGGTGTGATTACACTTTGTGAGCAAGAAGGAGAAATGTCAAGGTGGTGCCTTATTGGGTACAGGGCTAGGGAATAAGACCTCAAAGTATCCCAGAAACCTAAACATCTTCACTACCACCAGGGGAGGTCGAGTGATAAGAAAGACTAATCAGTACTTTCTGGGTTGCTTATTTCAGGAGCCTAACCTTCACCTCCCTACTCAATTCCCTTTTCTATTCTCAACCTTCCTGATATCCATTGCTATCCCCACCTTGCTTGTCCTAGTTCTGATCCTCTTTCTAGCTTCACTATAAATAACACCACTAACACGCCACACACACACACACACACACACACACACACACACACACACACAAAACTAGATATATTACCATAATAAAAAAGTCACTATGTTAGGGATCCTTAAACTTTGGTTTGCTTAGGGGTTGCTTAATAGCAATCTGGCAGTGGCCTGAGCCCCACCCCTGGACATTTTGATCTGGGTCTGGGGTGGAGTCTGAACTACTCTATTTTTAACAAGCTATATTTTTAACAACTACCCAGGTAACTGTTGACTGATGCAGCTCACTGTCTGTGACCTGGATGATCAGGCTGCAGCCTGACCTCCTTTTAGGGGTAGGTATTTTTAAGCTGTTTTATAAGCACTTTGTTCTAGTCTCTTTCCTTTATAGGTTAGAAATACCTCTGATTTGAACCAAGGCCAGTTCAGTATTTGGTACAGATCTTAATACACTGGTAATTTTAAATAAATACTTACACTGGTAATTTTTTATAAATACTTTTTAAATATCAGAAGTCATTTTTGCTTGAAACAAGCCTTTCAACTCTGAATCTAAATAGTCACTAGTGGATGCAAATTCATTTGGAAAGGATAAACATTTTTTATTTGTTTTCACATACAGTACTCTGGTGTCTCTCAATAGACAATCATCAATTTACATTCATTTATTCAACACTGATTAAGCAGGGACATTGTATTAGTCCATTCTCACATTGCTTTAAAGAACTATCTGAGACTGGGTAGTTTATAAAGAAAAGAGATTTAATTGGCTCACCATTCTACAGACTGTACAGAAAGCATGGCAGGGGAGGCCTCAGGAAACTTACAATCATGGAGGAAGGCAAAGGGGAAGCAAGCACGTCTTCACGTGGCCAATAAAAGAGGGAGTGAGCGAAGAGGGAAGTGCTGTATGTTTTTAAACAACCAGATCTCGTGAGAACTCTCTCACAAGACAGCATGAGGGGGATGGTGCTAAACCATTAGAAACCAGCCCCATGATCCAATCACCTCCCACCAGGCCCCACCTCCAATACTTGGGATCACAATTCAACATGAGATTTGGTTAGGGACACACAGCCAAACCATATCAGATATAAAGATGAATAATGACTAGATGCCTTTACGAGAATTTCAGGCCCTGTGTGCTCTGATCCTGACCTGCACCCCCATTGTCATTTTGCCATGACAGGAACTCCCAGCCCTGCACCAGCCACACTTAGCTTCTTACAGGTCCTTGAACTTGCTAAGCTTCCTCTCACCACTGAGTCTTTGTCCATGCTAATCCCTCTGCCTAGAATGTTCTTCCCTCCTTTTTCTAATTCATTTCTACTTATTTTTCAGCCTTCAGCTCAAAGGACACCTCGAGGAATATTTCTCTGGTCTCCCAGACCTAGGTTAGGTTGGGCTCCCACATCATAAGATCTCTTAGTTTTTATGCCTTTTTTTTTTTTTTTTTTTGAGAGAGAGTCTCGCTTTGTAGCCAGGCTGGAGTGCAGTAGCATGATCTTGGTTCACTGCAACCTCCGCCTCCTGGGTTCAAGTGATTGTCCTGCCTCAGCCTCCTGAGTAGCTGGGACTACAGGTGCACGCCACCACACCAAGCTAATTTTTGTTTTTTTAGTAGAGACGGGGTTTCATCATGTTGGCCAGGATGATCTCGATCTCTTGACCTCGTGATCCACCCACCTCGGCCTCCTAAAGTGCTGGGATTACAGGCGTGAGCCACCGTGCCTGGCCTATGCCTTCTTTTAAGAATAGTTTTAGCCATTCTTATGTGCCTAATGCACAGTGGGCTCTCTGTATTTGCTGAATGAATAGATGCATGTGAACATGTGGATTTCTGAATCCTCAGGCTGTCACATCCTAGTGGGAGAAACAGACGTGTGAAGTAACCATAGTAATAGGTGCTACAATAGAGGAGCAGACAAGATTTGATTTGTCAGGGAAATCAAAACACAAAGATTGTTTGATCAGTACCACTTGTGAGGTTGGGCCAGGGAAGACTTTATACAGAAGGTGATGCTTCAGATGAATTTTGAAGGGCAACCAGTTTTCCAGGCAGAGGAGAGGGTATTTTTGGCTAGAAAGGACCATGTGGTGATGCTGCAGGGTGGCCTCAAGCAGTTCACTGCACCTGGAGGGATGGGGTTTAAACTCAGTGGCAGGACTCCACCCAATGCCATTTGGGAGCCAGATCTCTCCCTGGAGGGGTTGGATTGTGCACCCCCAACCAAAATGTCCAAGTCCTAACTCACAGTACCTGTGAATGTCACTTTATTTGAAAAGAAGGGTCTTTGCAGATGTAATTGAGTTAAGGGTTCTTTGAAATGAGATCATCCTGGATTAACTGGATGGGCCCAAATCCAATGACAAGTGTCCTTATAAGAAGAGGAAAAGACAAAGACAATGGAAGAAAGCCCGAGGAAGACCATGTGAAGGAGAAGGCAGAGGTTGGGATGATGCAGCCACAAGTCACGGATCACTGAGGATTGCCAACAGCCACTAGAGGCTAGAAGAGAAGCAGGGAACAAACGGTTTCTCCCTCAGAGTCTCCAGACGGCACTGTGCAGAGCCTTGCCAGCTCTGCTGACACCTTGATTTTTAGTCGTCTGGCTTCCAGAACTGTGAGAAAATAAATTTCTGTTGTTTTAAGCCACTCAGCTCGTGATAAATTGTTATGGCAGCCACAGGTAACTAAAACATATCCTCAGTGCTCAGCCCAGATCCAGCATGGCTCTGTGACCAGCAACCCGCAAGACTAGAATCCAAAGAAGGGCTCTCCCGAGCATGGGATGCCAGACCTTCCCCTTTGGCTGCTTAACACAGAGGAAACTGTGGCTACAATAAACAGAGAGGGGTCTTTGTAAACAGGCAACCGGTTGGCTGCCCAAAGTGGACAACCTTTTCAGGATTGAGAAATGGCAGTCTTCTTGACATTTTAGAAAATCTTTTCCTGGGGGATTTGGCTTCACTTCCTGCTTGGATTTGAAGCCTGCAAATACATTTACAAAGTCAAGCATTTCCCTGGTGGCTCCCAGGCTCTTTTCAGCAGGGAGAGGGTAGTGGGGTGTCATTGGTGATGTTTTCTGCCAAGAACGAAAGCAAAATTTCTCCTGTTCACCAACCTCCTTGCCCAAAGCAAATCTGAAGAAGGCTCTTATGACGCACCTTTCAAAAGAAAAAAAACTTTTTAGAAACGTAAGATTTGTTTAATGCTTTTAATTAACCAGACATATAGTTCTCTTGGCAGGTTTGTGGTAGGGAGAATAATGGCTCCCCAAAGACATCTCTGTCCTAATACCTGTCCTAATATGTTAGGTCATATGGTAGAGGAGAATTAATGTTGCAGATGGAATTAAATTTGCCAATCAGCTGCCCTTAAAATAAGATTATCGTGGATTATCCAGGTGGGCTAGATGAAATCACATGGGTTTTCGTAAGACAGAGGGAGGTGATATGAGAAAGATGCTTCAACCAGACATGGTTGCCTTTGAAGATGGGAGGGGGCATGAGCCAAGGAAGCAGGCAGTCTCTAGAGGCTGGAAAAGGCAAGATAATGGGTTTATACTTAGTCTGCAGAAAGAAAAGCAGCCAAGCCAATGCTTTGATTTTAGCCCAGGGAAGCCTATTTCAGACTTCTGACCTCAGAACTGTAAGATAATACATTCATGTTGTTTTAAGCCTCTAAGTGTGTGGTAATCGGATAGGAAACTAATATAGGGGAGAAGGAGGAGATTGGAGAGGGAATTGGTGGTAGTTCCTTTTGGTGTTTCCAATGAGGCCACCCTAATGGGAACTGTTGATGAAATACTGGCCTGAGCTACCATCAGTCGCAGAAGGAGATTGGTGATAACAATCTTTCAAACACAATTCCACTGCCAAGAAAACTGGCAGGACCCCCTCCCTTCCTTCCCTGAAGTGGAACCAGCTCAGACTTTCTGACTATAGCAAAGCCCCATGGGGTTCTTGGTTGGGTATGGCCACATCCTGACTCGTGTCCGTGGAGTACAAGGATGCATGGGAGTCTCCTCTCACTGCCCAGGACAGCTGGCTCTGCAGGAGGGCACTCCTGTGCCAGCCACGCTGACCTAATGAAGCCTTCAGCCCCTACATGGTGTCTGGTTCCTCCTGCAAAGGATCTTTGAGGCTTCCCTGTGTCTGCTTCTTTCTCTTCTGGTTCTTGCAAGCTCTCCCAGGCCTCATGAGACATGCTGGAGCACCTGTCACTGCTGGGCCACGTGCCTGCTCTGGGATGATTTGGAGAAGTAGTTGAACCTGCAGATATTTCAGGCATGCCCTCATGCGTCACTTTTCCCAACAGCTTTTGTCTTCATCTTCTCAAATGTCTCTCGGAGCACTGGCTCCCAGCCTCCTGGCTTGGAATTCATGAGAACGATGCTGCCGAAATCTGAGCTTGTCAGCGATGGCCCTGCCTGCATGGCCCAGCGGCAGAAACAGGAGGAGAAGAGCTTGTGGAGGCTGGGCAGGGCCCAGCAGAGTCAGGAGGGCTGGGGGTCACTGCAACTGAACTTATGCCAGCATCTCTCCAGTGCTATAGAAAACCCAGGGCTCCCTGCAATCTGTTCCAGAAACTCCCCAGTGATCTGGTTAACTGTGTGGGATCCAAATCCCTGTTCCACCTCTCACCAGTTCTGTGACCCTGTGCCAGTTGCTTAGATTCTCTGGGCTTCATGTACCTTCCCTTGTGTGAAATGATAAAATAGTAGGCAGACAATAATCATTAGCTATAATAACAATTATTATTTCTATTATTACCTATTGGATCCTTCACCTTCCAGAGTCATGAATCTCAATGTTCTCTCAGTGATATTCTCCAAACATCTTAGACCCTCCCTTCCTAGTGTTCTGTGTCTATTTCTAACAGTTTTATTGAGATATAGACATCCAATGAACTGCATCTTAACATGCATGGTGTGGTATGTTTTCATGTATGTGTACACTCTGGACACCATTACTACAATCAAGATAATGAAAATATCCATTATGTCCCCAAATTCTGTTTTGTAATCTTTCCTTCCCACTCCTCCCTGCCTACACTTCCTGCCCCCAGTCCTCAAACAACTACTGATTTATTTTCTGTCAGTATAGTTTGTATTTTGTAGAATTTTATGTAAATGGAATCATAGAGTATGTACTCTGTTATTGTTTTCTTTTTCTTTTGAAACAAGTTATTGGTCTGTCACACAGGCTGGAGGGCAGTGATGCAATCACAGCTCACTGCAGCCTCGGCCTCCTGGGCTCAAGCAATCCTCCCACCTCAGCCTCCTGAGTAACTGGGACCACAGGCATACACCAGCATGCTTGGCTAATTTCTAAATTTTTTGTAGAGATGAGCTGTCCCTTTGTTGCCCAAGCTGGTCTTGAACTCCTGGGCTCAAGCAATCCTCTTGCCTCAGCCTCCCAAAGTGTTGAGATCACAGGTATGAGCCATCGTGTCTGGCCTATTGTCTGTCTTTTATTTCATTGAACATAATTATGTTGAGATTCATCCACATTGTTGCATGTATCAATGGTTCATTCATTTTTATTTCTGAGAACTTGTCTACTGCATGGATATATCATAATTTATGTATGCATTCACCTGTTGATGGACATTTGGGTTGTTTCCAGTTTTTAGCTAGTTTGAATAAAGCTGCTATGGACATTCATGTACAAGTCTTTTTATGAACATATGCTTTCATTTTCTTGGATAAACATATAGGAGTGGAACAGACAGGTTATATGGTAGGTGTAAGTTTAATGTTTTAAGAAACTGCCAGACTGTTTTCCAAAGTGGTAGCATGATTTACATTTCCACCAGCAGTGTATGAGGCTTACAATGATGGCTTCACTTCGTTGCTGATGCTTGGTATGATCAGTCTGTTTGATTTTAAACATTCAAATGGGATGTAATGGTTATAATTCGCATTTCTCTGATGATTGATGATGTTGAGAATGTTTTCTTGTGCCGTCCATATATATCTTCTTTGGTGAAGTGTCTCTTTAAACCCTTTTACCTATTTTAAAAATTGGGTTGTATGTCTTATTACTGAGTTTTGAGAGTTCTTTATATATTATGTTTATAAGTCCTAACAGATATGCTTCTTTGAAAATATTATCTCTAAGTCTGTGGCTTGTCTTTTGACTCTCCTAATAATGTCTATCAAGGAATAGAAGTTCTTAATTTTGCTGATGTCTGATTTATCAATTTTATCTTTTTATGGATTATACTTTTTGTTGCATTTAAGAAATCTTTGCCTAAATCAACTTTACAAATATTTTTCTCCTGGATTTTATTCTAGAAGTTTTATAGTTCTAAGTTTACGTTTAGCTTTATGATCCATTTTGAGTTTGTTCTTGTAGATAGCGTGAGGTGAGAATTGGAGGGGATTTTTTTTTTGGCCTATGAATATTTAATAAGCCAAATTTGGGCATCATTTGTTTAAAAGGTTATCATTTCCACAAGTAATTGCCTTTGCGTCTTTCTTTAAAATCTATCAGTCTATCTGTTTTGGGTCTACTTCAGGACTCTATTTTGTTCCATTAATTTATTTGTCTTTCTTTATACCAATACCATGCCTTCTTGAATACCATAACTTTAGAAGACTTGAAATCAGTAGTGAGGCAAGAGAATAGGGTCTGGAGGCAGGGAACCTAAGGCCAATTCATGCTGACTTCCCAGGACTGAATCAAAAGAAAAACCCCCACCTCTCCATATCCATGTAACAAAAGGATCAGAGGCTATTCCCTTTGCAACCCCTTCACTTTTCTGCATTGCAGATGAAAAACGAAAGTACCTCTGATTGGTCCCCTCCTGCAACCAATCAGACTGGTCTCAGGCCAAGTCTTCATGTGTAACTTTGTAACTTCACGTCAGTCTCTGATTAGTTATCTTCCACAACCAATCAGACTGGTTGCAGGCCACTACTTCATTTACATAGGATATAAACCAAGTAATCAATGGGAAACCTCTAGAAGGTATTTATACTCCAGAAAATTCTGTAACCAGACCTCTTGATCTGCTTGCTCAAGCATGCTCCTACTCTGTGGAGTGTACTTTTATTTCAATAAATCTGTGTTTTCCTTTCCTTGCTTTGTTTGTGCATTTTGTCCAATTCGCCAAGAACTGGACAGCCTCCACCAGTAACAGTAGTGTAAATCCTCCTACTTTGTTCTTCCTTTTAAAAGTTGTTTTTAGCTACTCTAGGTCCTTTTTTTGACTTACATGAATTTTTGTTTTTAGCTACTCTAGGTCCTTTTTTTGACTTACATGAATTTTAAAATAAGCACGCCAATTTCTACAAACTGTCCTGGGCTTGTGATTGAGATTGCATTGAATCTACGGATCCATTTAAGGAGAATTGATATCAATATTAAATTATCCAAACCATGAACATGGCATATGTCTTCATTTAGGTTATCTTTAATTTCTTTCACAGGTGTTTTATAATTTTCAGTGTACAGTCCTTGCATACCTTTTTTTAAAATCAGATTTACTGCTAAGCATTTTATTAATATTTGTTGATGCTATTGAGAATGGTGTAGGTTTTTAAATTTAAATTTTGGATTCTTCATTTCTGGTATAAACAGATTGATTTTTCTTTACTTATTTTGTCCTACAACATTGTTAAGTTTGTTTATTCTGGTAACTTTTGAAGACTGCGTAAGATTTTTTATAAGGTAATAATGTTGTCCATAAACAGAGACAATTTTATCTCTTCCTTTTTAATCTGTATGTCTTTTTTTTTTTCATTGCCTTATTTCACTGGCTAGAATCTCCACTACGATGTTGAACAGAAGTTATGAGAGTGGATATCCTAGGTTTTTCTGATTTTAGGAGGAAAGCATCCAGTCTTTCACCACTAAACATGATGTGCTTAGGTTTTTGTAGACTTTTGTTGATCTCCTTTATTAGGTTGTGAAACTTCTATTCCTAGTTTTCTGGAAGTGTTCTTTTCCTTAAAAAAAAATCAGAAATGGATGTAAGATTCTGCCAAATGTTTTTTTCTGCATCTATAGAGATGACCATATTTTAGTCAATGTATTTTTTTTGAGACAGGGTCTCACTTTGTCACCCAGGCTGAAGTGCAGGGGTGCAATCAGGGCTCACTGCAGCCTCGACCTTCTGGGCTCAAGTGATCCTCCCACCTTAGCCTCCTGAGTTGCTGAGACCACAGGCACATGCCACCATGCCCAGGTAACTTTTTTATTTTTTGAGATAGGGTCTTCCTGTATTGCCCAGACTGGTCTCAAGCTCCTGGGCTCAAGTGATTCTCCCACTTCAGCCTCTCAAAGTGCTGGGATTACAGATGCAAGCCACTGCACCCAACTTATTCAATAATTTTTAATGTTCAACCAATATTACATTAGTGGAATAAACCCACCTTATTGTGATATATCATTGTTTTAGGCTGTTTGGGCTGCTATAACAAAATACTATGGACTAGGTGGCTAATAAACAACAGAAGTTTATCTCTCACAGGTCTAGAGGCTGAGAAGTTCAAGATCAAGGTGCCAGCAGTTTCAGTATCTTGTGAGGGTCCATTTCCTGGTTCATACAGGGTCTTCTTGCTGTATCCTCACATGGAGGAAGGGTGGAGGGCTCTATCCTCATGACCTAATCACCTCCCAAAGACCCCACCTCTTAATGCTACCATTTCATTAGTTAGGACTTCAACATATGAATTTCGGATACAAACATTAAGAACATAGCCATTTTCCTTTTAATATATTGCCGGATTCAATTTTCTATAATTTTGTTTTTGTTTTTCTTTTAATTGACATTTTGTTTTTAATTGACATTTTGCTCTTAATTGACATTTACTAGAGATGTAGATTGGTAATTATCTGTTCTCACCTCTGCTTTTCTAATGTCTGTCTGACTGGTAGCAGTGTAATAATGCCTTCATCACTGAATAAATTGGGAAGTATTCCCTCATCTTTAATATCTAGAAAAGTTTGTGTAGGATTGGAATTACTTCTTTTTTAAGATTTGATACAATTAATCAGTAAAGCCGTCTAGACTTGGAATTTGTTTTGTGCATGTGGGAATGTTTTTAACTACAAATTAAATTTCTTTAATATATATAGGGTTATCTAGATTAATATTCTCTTACCCTTTTCTAGAATCTCTTATTTATCTCTTTCATCCCTAATATTGGCAATTTGTGTCTTCTGTTTTTTTTTTTTTGTGGCTATAGATTTATCAATTTTATTGATCTTTTCAATAAATACCGACCTTTTGGTTTTATTAATTTTTCTCTATTGTTTCTCCGATATCAGTTTGATTTCTGTTTACCTTGGGTTTAACTTGCTATTTTTTTCTTAGTTCCTTAAAGTGGAGGCTTAGTTCAATGACTTGAGATCTTTCTTTTCTAACATAGACAGTTAATGTTATAAATTTCCCTCTAAGTATTGCTTTAATTGTATCCCACAAATTCTGATACATTGTGTTTTTATTTTTATTCAGTTCAAAATACTTTCTAATTCCCTTTGATTTTTTTCTTTGGCTTATGGGCTATTTAGAAGTGTATCATTTAGTTTCCCAATATTTGGAGGTTTCCTAGGGATATATGTTATTGATTTCTAATCTTATTTCACTGTGGTGTGAGAATATATTTTGTATGAATTGACTCCTTTTTTTTTTTTTTGAGACTGAATCTCACTCTGTTGCCGAGGCTGGGGTGCAGTAGCGCGATCTCGGCTCACTGCAACCTCTGCCTCCCGGGTTTAAGCTATTCTCCTGCCTCAGCCTCCCTAGAAGCTGAGACTACAGGCGTGCACCACCACACGCCTGGCAATTTTTGTATTTTGAGTAGAGATGGGGTTTCACCATGTTGGCCAGGCTGGTCTCGAACTCCTGACCTCAAGTGATCCACTCGCCTTGGCCTCCCAAAGTGCCGGGATTACAGGTGTGAGCCACTGCACTCAGCCAAATTGACTCCTTTTAAAGTTACTGAGAGTTATTTTATAGCACAGAATATAGTCTATCTCTGTAAACATTCTGTGTGCACTTGAGAAGAAGGTACATGCTGCTGTTATGTGGAATGTTCTATAAATGTCAATTAAGTTGTCAGTTGATACTGCTTTTCATGTTTTCTATATTCTACACATTATCTTTCTACTCATTCTATCAATTTGGACAGAGTGTCAAAATCTCCAACTATAATTGTGAATTTGTCTATCCTTCCAATTCCATCAATTTTTGCTTCATGTACTTTGAAGTTGTTATTAAGTGCATAAATGTTTAGAATTTTGATATTTCTTGATTAATTGACCCTTTTACCAATATAAAATGACATTAGTTATCCCTGGAAATATTTGTTGTTCTGAAATCTACTTCATCTGGTATTAACATGGTCACCCCAGGTTTCTTTTGTTTAGTGTTAGCAAGTTTAGTGGGTTGAAAAATGTCCCTCCGAAATTCATGTTTATCTGGAATCTCAGAATGTAACCTTTTTTTGGAAATAGGGTCTTTGCAGGTGTAATTAAGGTAAGGATGGAGATGTGATCATACTGAATTTAGTGGGCCCTAAATCCAATAAGAGTGTCCTTATAAGAGACAGAAAAGGATATCAGAGAAGCAGGGAGAAGGCCATGTGAAGAATGAGGGGGATATTGAAGTTGTGCTGCCTCTAGCCAAGGAGTGCCAGGAGCCACCAGAAGCTGGAAGAGGCAAGGAAGAATTCTTCTTAGAGCCTTTAGAGGAATTATGGCCCTGTCAACACCTTGATTTCAGGCTTGTGGCCTCCAGAACTGTGAGAGAAACAATTTATGTTCTTTTCAGGCACTAAGTTTGTGGTAATTTGTTAAGTCAGCCCTAGGAATCTAATAGGACATGGTGTATCTCTTACCATTGGTATTACCATTCTGTCTCCAGAGAGGTAGAACCGAGAGAGAGACAGGAGCAGGGAGGTGCGGGGGTGAGAGAGGGAGGAGGAGGGAAGGGGAGGGGAGGGGAGGGAAAGGGAGGGCAGGGGAAGGGAGGAGAGGAGAGAAGAGGGAGAGAAGAGAGGGAGAGAAGAGGAGAGGAGAGGGGAGGGGAGGGGAGAGGAGAGGAGAGAGGAGAGGAGAGAAGAGAGAGAGAGAAGAGAGGAAGAGAAGAGGGGAGGGGAGGGGAAAGCAGGGGAGGGGAGGGGAGGAGAGGAGAGGAAAGGGAGAGAAGAGAGGAAGAAAAGTGGGGAGGGGAGGGGAGCAGAGGAGAGGAGAGGAGAGGAGACGAGAGGAGAGCAGAGGAGACGAGAGGAGAGGAGAAGAGAGATTTATTAGGGGAATTGGCTCTTATGGTTACAGAGGCTGAGAAGTCTTACAGAAGACTGTCTGCAAGCTGGAGAACCAGGGACGCTGTTAGCTCAGCCTAAGTCCAGAGGTCTGAGGGCCAGAGGAACCAACAGTGTAACTAAGTCCAAGGCTGAACGCCCAAGAACCCAGGGGGCTGCTAGTGCAAGTCCTGGGGCCCAATGGTTGGAGAGTTTGGAGTTCTGATATCCAAGAGCCGGTGAAGAAGGGTGTCAGGCCCCGAAGACAGAGAGAAAGTGAACTCACCTTTGCCTTTCCTCTGCTTTTTAATTCTATCTTGGCCTCAGCCGACGGAATAGTGTGGGCCCACATTGAGTGAGGATGGGTCTTCCTAACCCACTCCATGGATTCTAATGGCAGTCTCTTCTGGAAACACCCTCACAGACACACCCAGAAATAATGCTTTACTAGCCATCTGTACATCCCTTAATCCAATCAAATTGATACCTGAAATTAACCATCACATCCTCCCTTTCCTTTTAACCTATTTGTGTCTTTATAATTAAAATGAGCTTCTTGTTGGCAGCCTATAGTTGTAGCTTGCTTTATTTATCCAATTTGATAATTTTTGCCTTTTTCTGGGACTCTTAGACCATAACATTTAATGTGATTTTTTAATATGGTTAGATTTGATAGAGCTTTTAAACTCTAATAACTCGCTGTTTTCTGTATTCTTTTTCAGTCTTCTTTTGAATTAATTGTGTATTTTTAATTATTTCTTTTTATGTCCTTAGTAGAGTTACCAGTTATCCTTTTCTTAGGGCTGCTTCAAGGTGTATAGTACACATTTTTAATAATCACATTCCACCTTCAAATGATATTATACCATTTCATGTAAGTGTAATAACCTTACAACAATATACTTCCATTTTTCCCTCCCAAATACCTTGCTATCATTTTTGCTATAAAGAGTCAGCTGGCTGGGCATGGTGGCTCATGCCTGTAATCCCAGCACTTTGGGACACCGAGATGGGTGGATCACCTGAGGTCAGGAGTTCGAGACCAGCCTGGCTAACATGGCGAAACCCTGTCTCTGCTAAAAATACAAAAATTAGGTGCCTGTAATCTCAGCTACCTGGGAGGCTGAGGCAGGAGAATCGCTTGAACCTGGGAGACGGATGTTGCAGTGAACTGAGATCACACCACAGCACTCCAGCCTGGGGGACAAGAGCAAAAATCCATCTCAAAAAAAAAAAAAAAAGAGTCAGCTGTGCTTTAAAGAGATTAAACAAGATAAACAGTCTATTTAGACGCATAGTTATATCCTCTCCAGTGCTCTTCATTCCTTTGGGTAGGGACACATTTGTATCTGGTATCATTTTCCTTCTGCCTGAAGCACTTGCTTTAACGTATCTGTAGCCTGCTTGTGATAAATTCGTTCAGCATTTATATGATTTTAAAAGTCTTCATTTCATCTTCACTTTTGAAATATATTTTTGCTGGGTATAAAAGTCTAGGTTAACTTTTTTTTCTGTATTTTTAAAATGTGGTTTCACTCTTATGGCTTACATTGTTTTTGATTAGTCTCCTGCCATGTTTATCTTTGTTCCTCTGTACATAGGGGTATTTTACTCCAGATACTTTAAAGATTTCCTCTTTCTCACAGGTTTTAAGCAACTGCTTATAATATATGGTGTAGTTTTCTTCATGTTTCTTGTGCTTGAGTTTGTTGAGCTTCTTGAATATGTGATTATATAGTTTTCATCAAGTTTGGAAAATTTCCAGCCATTTTTTTTCTACTTTTTTTTTTTCTTGTCTTCTCCTCCTTTGGGAGCTTCAACTGCCTGTGTATTGGGCTTCTTGAAGTTGTCCCACAGCTCACTAATGCTTTGTCTGTTTTTCAGTCTTTTTTTCTCTCAGTATTTTATTTTAGATAGTTTCTATTGTTATATCTTCAAATTCAGTATTCTTTTCTCTGTGGTGTTGAATTCTATCCAGTTTATGTTTCGTCTCATACATTGTAGTTTTTCATCTCTAGACATTGCTTTTTTTTTTTTTGTTTTCTATCTGCCACGTCTCTACTAAACATGCCCAAACTTTCTTTTCCTCTGGCTTCTTGAACACATGGAATGCAGTTATAATAACTTTTAATTCCCCCATCTATTAATTGTATCACCTGTGTCATTTCTGCATCAGTTTCAATTTATTGATTTTCTCCTTATTATGCATCTTATTAGCCAACTTGTTTTCATATTTAATTTTTTATTAGACATCAGACGTTGTGAATCTGACTTGTTGGGTACTGAATATATATATTTTTTATTCTTATAAGATCCTTGAGATTTATTCTGGGATTCAGTTAAGTTACTTGGAAACAGTTTGACCTTTTTAGGTATTGCTTTTAAGCTTTGTTTGAACCAGAAAAGAATTTATTCTAGGACTAATTTTGCCCCCACAAATTAGGTAAAATCCTTTTGGGTCTCTTACCCAATGCCTCATAAATCTTGAGGTTTTCCAATCTGGCTGTTGAAAGCAAGAACCATTTGCAGCCTTGTGTGATCTCCAGGAATTTCCCCCCTAATCTTTATTCTTTCCCTGGTCTTGGGTTGTTTCCTCACTTATGTGAACTGATGAGAAGTAGCTGAAGACTCAAAGAGGACTCTCTATAGATTGCTGGAGCTTTCTGCCTGTGTAGCCTTTTATTTTTCATTCTCTGGTGTGTGAATTCTAGTTGTCTTGGCACCCCACCTCCATCTCCCCATCTCAAGGGGACTTCTGGGTTCTGCCTGGGTTCCCCCTTCTTGCAACGTGGCCTGGCAGATAGGTGGGGCAATTGTGGGACTCCTATAATTTGTTTCCCATCTCCTAAGGATCACTGTTCTTCCAGTATCCAGTATCTTGAAAACTGCTGTTTAATTTATTTTGTCTGGAATTTCCTTAGTTGTTTCAGGTCAGAAAGTAGCTGGCAACAGAAGTTGTACCCTTGCCTCCCTCTGTATCCATTCTCCCATATCCTCCTATGCCCCTCAAGCCCTGCTACTGCCAAGAAATGTCATTTATTTAGAGCCTTTCTATATTTCAGCAGCAGGTAATATGGGCAGCGACTGGTTATATGTCCCTGGAGTCATATATACTGGGGTTCAGATCTCAGCTCTGCCAGTTCCTGTGTAGCCTTGGCCAAATTACTTCATCAGCTTGAGCCTCAGTTTCCTTATTTGAAAAAGAGAAAATGATACCTAGCTATAGGGCTGTTGTGAGGGTTAAATGAGGTAATGCATAGAAGGTAAGTAGCACTACACGATGGCATCCATAATATAATTCAATGAGTACAAGCAGGATGAGTTTTTTAAACTGCCTCAAATTTCTCCATTGTCTGCTCCTGCCTCTGTTCCAGGGGACAATCCCACCATTCCTCTTAAGCTCCTGGAAAGGGGCGTATGACCGGCCCTAAATTTCTTGCACCAACAGAGGGGAGCAGTCATGTGGAGAACTTCCAATAACACATGCAGCACATCATGGACATTTGGCCGCACGAAGCATTATAATGATCTTTTCTTTGCGGCAGATTGACTTTACTAATTAGGTTGGGTTCGAACCAATGTTAAATACAGTTTGCATGTACAGAACGCAAACCAACTGGCAGCAACAGGGAACTCAGAAACATTTCAGGTAACAGGACAAGCCAGCTATGATTAAAACTTTGCTTCAGATAATCCTTTCTCTCTCCCTTGGCCTCCATTTTTATGAGCTCAGTAAATATTGAAGATATTAACCCTTTATCATATTTGCTACAAATACACTTTCCCCAAGTGTTGTTCAATTCTGTTTTGAAATTCAAATCTGTCTCAAACAGAATTTTAAAATCTGTGTGTAGTTAGACTATGGATCTTCCCTTTTCTAATTTACTCTACTGCTTTCAGGCCTAGGAAAACCCCTTCCAATGACTGAATAAACATCCACCTTTATTTTCTGTTTTCAACATTTTATTTCTTATCCTAACTAGAATTTATTTTGATTTTAATATGTGGTATAAGGTGCAAAGGTGTTGGTATTTGAGATAATTAATGCCAGCTGCTACAATGGCCAAACCCTGAAATCTAATGCCTTAACACAGCAAAGCCTTAGGTTTCACTCACATTAAGCCCAGTGATGTTTGGATGGCATTCCTTGTTTGGTGCTCTTCCAGGCAGTGACTCAGGGACCCAGGCTGCTTCTACCTGCAACTCTACCATCTTAAAGTCTTTTGTTTCCAGCTGGGGGGATCCCATAGAATATTTGATAAGCACTATCTGTCTCTGCCGCAAGACTTAACTGGATTTTTCAAAATAACTAATCAACAATTACATGACCCGGAGGCATTTACTAATCACATATTAAGTTGTTATATGTGTACTATGGTCTGACTGCTTATCTTGTTCTATCAGGCACTGTACCACTTTTTTTCTTTCAAACTAGTTTTATATATGTCTTCACATCCGGTGGGGTGAGCTCTTCTCTCATTATTTTTCTTTATCAAAATGTTCTTGGCTATTACATCATAGATCATATTACATATTGCACATGATCTCTTAGCATATGAGACTGCACTCACTGCCCAGAAGCTCAGCTAACATCTCAGTTAGAGGATGTCAAAATCCATGTATCCATCTTCTACCCCTTTTCCAAACTCCAGGCCCACATTTCCAGGCACCTGATTTGTAGTTGGAAATACCTGGAAATTTGGCCAGGTCTGGTGGGAGCTAGAGTACACAGCAGCCAATGGCTGATTTTTTTTAAGTCAGAAGTAGACATAAATCAGAAGGAAAAGAGCCGATGCTTTAAAATATTTCCCCATCTCCATTGAAAAGCTCAGGAAATAATAAGGCGTGATAATTCTGGGATCCCCTTACTCAGGAGGGCCTACCGCATTTGAGAAACCTTGAGCAAGTCGTTTCAGTCCTTCATGAGTCTACACTCTCCTCACTGTGGCTGAGTTGAGGGGGGAGGAAGAGAAAAAGCACAGTAAGTGGCTGGTGGTAGTAGCTCAGAGCAACGGTTCAGAGGTTGGCCCCAGATGCCAGCAGAGGTCTTTAAGATTTGAGTACCCTTGCACAATATGCAGTGAAGGACAGATGTCACCAAAACAAGAATAATAGTAACTACTCCCAGTTTTTGAGCACCGACTCTGGGCTGGTCATCTTTGAACATAAACTCATTAGACCCTCACGACTACCCTGCAAGCTAAGCAATGTTACCTCTAGTATACAGATGAGGAAGCTTAGGTTCAGAAATGTCAAGTCTCTTACCCAAAGCCACAGAGCTAATGAGGAGGAAAACCAGGATTTAAACCTGGGTCAGCTGACTCCAAAGCCTGTGCCCCATCTACTCAGCTATGCTGTATCTGCCAACTTTCAAAATAGTAGGGAGATCTGGAATGTTGAATAGCTCATGAACATAATTAAAACTGGCCTTGAACATTTTTTGCAGTTGTGTGGGAGGGGTGATGGTCCGTGTTAACTGTGCAGTGGAGGGAGAATTTACAATACTCTCCCTGGATCATGCTGAAGAGGAGTAATGTGGGTGGTGAACTGGGAACCAGTTGTCCAGAACAACCATACTGAGTTTCTGGACACTAGACAGTTGCTTATTTTGCTCTTTGCCTCAACAGATAGACCGGCTATTAAGGAAGAAAGCCATCTTCTATAACATACAACACAATGGAACTGTTTAAGAAATTGGGATGGGTGCATTGACTCGTGCCTGTAATCTTACTTTGGGAGGCCAATGCGGGTGGATCGCTTGAGCCCAGAAGTTTGAGACCAGCCTGGGCAACATGGTGAAACTCTATCTCTACAAAAAATAAAAAAAAATTAGTCAGGTTTGGTAGTGGCATGGGCTGAGGTGGGAGGACTGCTTGAGCCTGGGAGGTTGAGGCTGCAGTGAGCCATGACTGCACCATTGCACTCCAGCCTGAGTGACAGAGCGAAACCCTATCTCCCCACTGCCCCTCGCAAAAAAAGGAAGAAATCTTAATGAAACTTGAACTGAACTTGGGCTAGAAGAAACCCGAAGTGTGAAGCAGGACTAAGACCAATTGCTCTTAGTCTCCTAAAGGCCAAATAAGAAGCAAAAAGCTTTTATATGTATCAAAAGAAATTATCTGTCTTCTGAGGAGACCCTTCTTTCATGGCATTCAAACTTCGGAGTATTAGGCTTTTAAATGCAGAAAAGCAGTAGTCCTAATTAGGCATCACATGATTCTGACCAATTTGAATTAGGAAGCAGAAAGAAGCTCGATTGATAGAGGATATTATTGCAAGAGAAATGCTTGGGAGACAGTGTGGAGTGAATCTAGGCCTGGCCTGCCCCCTCTGCTGCCCTTTGGCATCAACCTATGTCACTCACATAGTTAAGGAGAGTCTCAGACAAAGGAAATACTCTACCATGATTGGGATTTGCTGAGCACAAGTCTATTTCCACAGTGTTTCAGGCACAAGAAACAATTATGCATTTTGCTAGAGTGCCTGTTGCCTTAATGATTACATCCATGTGTATTTTAGGAGAACGTCTGTCTTCTGCTTCTTATTCATTTACACTTTACACTTCAAAAGATTGTTTTGTAGGAGCTACTCAATGCACAAGAAGTCTCATGAGTTTTTCTTCTAAATGAGCCAGCAACTTTCCAAGAATCAGGAAGCTGAAAGTTGCCAAGAATAAATAAATGAACTCCAGAAGGTTCAAGTTTGGTTTAAAAACTCTGTAAGGTTTAAAGTAGGTTCTATATCTGGCTTAACTCCATGTCCTCATCTAAGACATAAACCACAGGAGGGAATACTCCTCCTGGCATGTAACTTTTTCCCAAGCATTCCATCTAATAGTCATTTCCAATAATGATTGATTGGAAAATCTTAGCAAAGTAGTCCTAATGCAATGCTATAAGCAGAAATAGAGGTATGGTGGAATAGCTCTTGCCTGACAGTTAGGCAGCCTCTGCCTCGGTTCTGCCACAAAATTTTCTGGACAAGGTAAAGCGTGTCTCTCTGTGCCTCGGTTTCTTCATCTATGAAATGGAGAAACAACACTAGATGGTGTCTAAAATTCGGTGGTAACAATTCCAAATGAACCCTTGTCTAGTCCATGGAAGCAGGGAGTCTGGGACTTCAGTATTATTGATCAAGATTGGAATTAGTTGGTTGTGTTCATGTCCAACTATGAAGATTAAAAAAAAAATGAGTAAGCTGGTGACAGACATGTCAAAAGAAAATATGTGTGATTGAGAAAAAGTAAGGAGGTACAATAGATATTGTTGGTGTCTCACCTAGACACCCTTTACCGAGCCAGTGCTCCCATCTCTGAGCTGCTGTGGGTGTTGGCTGCTAATTGCACACATCTGTACCCTTCCCTGGAGGCTGGAGGTGTGGGAGGTTACAAGACCCCTCTTACCCTACTCTGGAGGCATTGTGGCCAATAGCTGATAGGTGTGTGGGGGGGGTGTCTACCAGCCCAGCCCTGTTGCCTCTGGGCAGGATGACCTTGATGGTGCACTTTGTGCTCCAGGGCACCCCAGGGGATCAAGCTGTGGCTGGATTTCCCCTGACATTCTCACTGAGCTCCTTCCCCTACCTTCTCCTGCTCCTCTCACTCCCCTATGGGTTTCTCCTGAGAGCACTCCCTCAAAACATCACTTGCCTAAGAATCTCCATCTCTGACTCTGCTTCTAGGGACCTGACCCATAATGAGGGGAGGAAGAAAGTGAGCCAAGCCAGTAACCCATTTGTGTTATGAGAAACCTCCTGGGCTCGTATGTCCTGAGCCTGGCACAGAGCAGGTAATGATGGAGACTGCAGGGTTGCAGGACATGAGACAGCCATGCACACAGAGTTTTGTGGTCTGGGTAGGAATTTCATGTCTCCATCCATTCAGCAGCCATTCACTGAGAATGAGTACCGTGATGGGTCTGGGTCTGCAAGCAGCTTGGCTCAGTCAATTTGGTTGATGCTGTAACTTGACCAAGCTGGGCTTTGCTGCTGCTGAGGCCTCAGAAGCAGGCCGAGAAAGGGAGGGGACAGGCATTGTAGCAGGGTGTGGATGGCATACATTCTTCCCAGGGGATGTCTGAATACAGTACTAGGGAATTTGAGAAGGAGGAATGATGACATTCATCTGGAAGAGCACAGAAGACTTCCCGAAGGAGATAGCATTTCTTCCGGGTCTGACGGATGTGCCTGACTTAAAAATGTGGAAACATGCCGGGCAGAGCATTCTAGGTGGAAAAAGAGTCTGAGCTAAATGGACGTGCTCTTCTCTCCAGTCTTCTCCTGTCTTCCTTTCACCTGCTTCAAGGTGGGACTGTGATCTTCCCCCACCTTTCTGATGGTGGGCCTTAGAGCCTTAGGACCTTGTCCAGGGAGGGTCCCACCCTATACACTGGGGGAAGGGACACTGACATCATGAAGCTTCCATAAAATCTCAAGGGGACTGGGGTCAGAGAGCTTCTAGATAGCTGAACACGTGGAGGCTCCTGGAGGGTGGTGCCCAGGGAGGGCATGGAAGCTCCGCGCCCCCTCCCCCATACCTCACCCTACACATCTCCTCCTTTGTAATATCCTTTATAACAAATCAGCAAATGTGAGTGTTGCCCTGAGTTCCATGAGCCGCTCCAGCAAATTAATTGAACCTAAAGAGGGGATCATGGAGACCCCAACTTGAAGCCAGGTGATCAGAAGTTCCAGAAGCCTAGACTGGCGACTGGTGTCTGCGGATATTAGGGGCAGTCTTGGGCACTGAGCCCCCAGCTTGTGGGATCTGACACACTCTCCAGGTGGATAGCATCAGTAATTGAATTGGAGGACACCCAGCTGGCGTCCACTGGTTGGTGTGTGTGTGGGAAACTTTTGGTCACAGAAGCCTTCTATGTAGGTGACTGTTGCCACGGTGGTGTGAGAGCAGAGAAAGAAGCAGTGTGAAGAGAGTGTTCCCTACACAGATACCAAAGTAAAATTTCAACTTTGGTTATGATTCACAGGTTTGAGACTCCATATGGGAACTGAAACTAAGATCCCCTGGGACTTGGAGCCCCAGGATCTGTTTTCCTCCTGGCGGAAGCTATAAGTCCCCTGTGAGCTCTCTCAAGCACTTCCCAAGATGCACGCCCTCTGCTATCACCCCGTGTGATGGCATAGATGACAGTAGGGGACTCATCAGGGAGGGCTCCAGATCTCGGGCCTCACGGGGAAACCAGGGCTATGCTAAGTGATGGGGAGAGATTATGAAAGCTCCCAGAAGATAAGGCCCCCTCCTGAGCAAGGGCGGGAGAGAATACCATGGGCCTGAAAGTCAGGGTGTTCTCAGGGGAGACAGAGAGCTGAGACGGCAGCTGGTGGGAGGCATGAGCAGATGGTGTGCCTCGCTGCCGGAGACAGCACTGCGATCGAGACAAAGACGCGTCCTGGAGAGAGGAGGATGCCTCACTGGCCCTTCTGCAGGAGTCCTTGGCCAAGCTGGGAAGAGAGCCTTCTGGCAGGAAGTGGGATGAAAAAAAAGGGATACTGGCTTTCTCTAGTTTTCATCCTTAGTAGAGTCAGGAAGCAAAGAGAGGGATGGAGAGTGTCAAGAATTGCAATTGCTTCATGCCAAGGTCAAGAAGGGTGCCTGTTGCACCAGAACCCCTCAGGTTGTCTTGCAGGAGAGGTGGGAGTGAAGGGAATGAATGACGAGGGCCAACCTGAGCTGGGAAGGCGAGGGGACTGGACGAAGATTAAGGCCAGTGGGCTGAATGGTTAGGAGGCTTATGTCAGCATATCTTCCAATGTGTGGAGTTACGCCCTCAGGACTTAAGATGCTTTTCTGAAGACAATATTACACAATTTTTACATAGCAAATCTTTTTCTTTGTGATTTCTCTTAATATTCCTAAGTTTTGAAAACCACTCCCTTCAAGAGGTTTGATTCGTATTTGATTTTATGTTCTCCTAGTTCACTAAAATTTGTAAAATTAATTCTCTAAAATCACTGGAATTAATTTTGGTGCATAGAGTGAGGTGAGGACCTCACTTTAAAATAATCTGTAACTCTCTTATTGATAAAAAAGAAAATGATTTATCATAATAGCAGTAATTAGGAAAATATGGAAACACTGAAAGAAGAAAAAAACATCATGTTCTCACCACCCAGAAATAATCATAATCATTTTTATACATTATCTTTTCTGTCTGTAGTTTTACATGATTTTGATCATATAATACATGTAAAATTATAAGGCTGATTTTAAAAATTGCATCCATATTGATAAATGTAATATATGCTTATTAGAGAAAGTTTGGAAAATACATAAATTTATGAAGCAGAAAATGAAATTCAGTTGTATATATTTTCTTAAATATAATTTTTGTAGCTATACTTGAGTGTTTTTCAAATCACTGAGACCATACAGTATATGCTGAACTTTAAGCATTGTGAGTACATATTAACAGATTCCAGATGGAAAAAAACATGAAGCAGGACATGGAAATTTACTATCTATCTATCTAATCTATAACTGATCTCTATCTGTATCTATGACATCTGTGGTTTATTAGCCTTTCCCAAATAACCTATTCAATACTCAGTTTGCTCAATGTGATTTTTTTTCAAATGCTTCTGTAATATTTTATTTCTTAAGGTTTATAAGTTTCTTAATAATACAAGAAAAACTGTTTCTTGGATTATTACTCTTTTTTTAGTATTATTACTTTTGTAATTAACATTTTGGAGTTATTAAAATGTGTGTAGTTTCTTTCAAACTTTTAATCTGACAATAATTTCTAACTTATAAAAAATAAAAATAGAATAAGGAACACTCATATATCTTAATTTATTTATTGATAACATCTTAAACTCATTTGCTTTATTGTGTTTTTCTCTCTCTCTCTCTCTCTCTCTCAGAATATTTTTCTGGGAAACCTTTGAAGGTAAGTTATAGATCATGGTCATTTACCCCTAAATACTTTGGTATTTCCAAAGAATGGAGATATTTTCTCACATAACCATGGTACAGTTATCAATTTCATACATTTATGACTTGCATTGATACAATAATTTTATTTAATCTACTGTCCATATTCCAGTTTTGTCGGTTGCTCTGATAATGTCTGTAATGGCATCTCTCTCCTTCAGCACAGAATCTAGTCTAGGGTCAAGTATTGTGATTAGTTGTCATAATTTGGAACATTTTCACAGCTTTTTTTGACTTTTATGACAATGACTTTTCTTTCGAGAATGCAGTCCCTCCCACCTACATTTTTAACTAGGATGTTACTCATTTATGTAAATGTTTCATTTTGATTAAATTATGGCTATGTCTTCATGGCCAGAATACTGTATTGGAGATCCTGTGTCCTTTTCAGGGTGTCACATTTGGAAGCACATAATGTTCACTGATCCCTCATAGCTGTGCTTAATTTTGATCATCCTGTCAAGGTGTCATCCTATTTCTCCCACTATAGAATTAGTTTCCTTTTTTTCTTCATTGCAACTAATAAGTGGCCTGTAGATAGACACTTTAAGACCATAGAAATATTCTGTTTCTCATCAAAATTTCCTCTAGAATTAGTATCTACTGATGATCCTTGACTGATCCAATCTTTAGCATGATGATTACAAAGTGATGGTTTTCTAACTCCAGCACTCCTTCCACATTCACTGGTGGACTTCTGGCCTTCTTCAAGAGACCTCCCTTCTCTCCCATTTATGTGTTTACTATTTGTTATTTATCATTTTCAGTATAGGCTAATTATTATTTTTTTCACAACAACCTGTTTATAACACATTATTGTATTTAAGTATTTTGGTGTTCAGGGTGTCCCAGAGATGGCCAGAGGGAGCCCCTTCAAGCTGGCTCATGTCCTTGTGAACTGCTTCCAGCATTCCTCGAGCACTTTGTTACTTTCTGGCACAACGATCTGCTCTAGGCTTATCTTGTACCCATCCTGTCCTAGCCCTGGAATCAGCCATTTCTCCAAGGAGCTAGGTATCACATGCTGGGTTTTCAGAGGTCTGCAAGACTTGTTACAAAAATTACAGTCATTACGCTTTCCCTTAATTTCTTGCTTCTCTGGAGCAACCACATTCAACTCTTTAGCTGATTCCATTTTCCTCTAAATTATTAAATAACATGCTTCTACTGCTACTTCAAGATTTTTTCACAAGCACGCATATTTTCCATCTCCTTATGCTCTCAATTCATTTACTTCATAAATTTGGTTACATTAATATTCAATATTTATAATATTTTGATGATGTAAGCATTATTCATAGCTGAACTATGAGTGTCCTATAATTAAGGCTACTTTTCCTTTCCTGAATAAGGTTTTATTTGCCCTGGAATGACCTGTCTTAATTTTTCTATTTGCTTAGTTTTTTTGTGCATTATTATCACCAACTCAAGCCCAAATTCTCAGTTGCTTCCCCAAATCTGCTCACGGTATCTCCAGATGCATCAGCAATTTATTCAAGTTCATTTTCTTGAAGTACCTGCCCCTGTAGCCCTCTGACCTGCTCTAGTTTGAGCTGGCTGTGATACAGATGTTATCTCGGGTTCTTCCTCACCATCATCTGGGGAGTTCCCTCATTTCCTTCCTAGATACTCCAGTCTCTGATTCCCACTTTTTTTTTTTGAGGCAGGTCTCCCTCTGTCACCCAGGCTAGAGTGCAGTGGCACAATCTCAGCTCACTGCAACCTCTACCTCCTGGGCTCAAGTGATCCTCCCTCCTCAGCCTCCTGAGTGGATGGAACTACAGTACAGGCACATGCCACCAGGCCCGGCTAATTTTTGAATTTTTTGTAGCGATGGGGTTTCCCCATGTTGCCCAGGCTGACCTTGAACTCCTGAGCTCAAGGAATCCACCCACGTCAGCCTCCAAAGTGCTGGGATTATAGGCGTGAGCCACTGCACCCAGCCCCCATCTCTTTCTACATTTAATCTTTTGTTTTGATGAATCACAATCTCTAGTAGTTTCCTAACTACTAATATTCTAAAAAGAATACATAAGAAGTACATTTTTGAGACCCTCCATGTCTAAAAATTCATTATACCCTCATCAATAATCGACTATTTGGCTAGATTTTAAATTCTACATCAGTTAGAATTCTCCCTCAGAATTTTTGAAAGAGTCCCTGTCTTCTAGCTTCTAATGCTGTAACCAAGAAGCCTAAAGCAATTCTGGTTTTTGACTATTCCCCCTTTCTAGAAGCCTTTCCTTTTTGTCTTTAGTTTCTGAAATTTTGTCACGAGGTGATTTAGTCTGTTTTCATCCACTAGATATTCAATGGGCTCCTTCAATCTGGAAATGCTTAGCCTCCAGTTCTGGAAAATTTTCTTGAATTATTTCTTTGATGATTTTTTTCCTCTCTGTTTTCTTTCTTTTCTCTTTGTGGAACTCCTATAATTTGCATCTTGGACCTAAATTGGGCCCTAATTTTATTTTCTATTTTCATCCCTTTAGTTTTCTCCTTCTACTTTCTGGAAGATTTTCCTATAATTTTCCAATTTTCCTTTTTCAGTTTAAAAAGTTTTTACTATTGTAGTTTTAATTTACAAAAGTTCTTTTTTGTTCTCTGAATAATCTTTTCCTATAGCAACCTTTCTTGTTTTGTAGATGTATCATTTTTGAAGAAGATATCTCTGAAGATTAATGGTGAGATTTTATTTTTTAATGTTTTCTTATCCATAAAAGGTCTGTTTTCTTCATCTTGCCTCTTCTATGTGTTTTCCCTAGGCCTCTGCCTTCCATATTACATGCTTTCCTTCAATGTTCAGTGATCCTTGGCTGTCTCATGAATTATTTTTCAGTCAACCTCACTGAGATATAATTTGTATTTTCATTCCATTGGTATAATTTACATACAACAAATGTTCTAATTTTAATGTAAAGTTCAATACATTTTGACATGTATTGGCAGGTATGTGACATACATTGGCAGGCATGTGAAAAATAAAATGTGACCCCCACCACAATGAAAACATGAAACACTTCCATTACCCTTGGGGCCCCTTTACAGTCCCCCTCCCACTGCCCCCACCTCCAGCCCCAGGGACCACTGATTTGCTTTATGCCATTATATATTACTTTAGCTGACTCTAGAATTTCATGGGAAAGTAGTATATCTAATGTTTTTGAAATTCAATCATGTATGAATCTGTGGTTTACTTTCCTTTTTATTCTATTCTATTAATTAATTCTATTATATTAATATACCACAATTTGTTTATTCATTCATTTATTGGTGGACATTTGGCTTGCTTTCAGTTTGGAGCACAAAGCTGTTATGAACATTCATGTACAACTCTTTATATGGAAAAACATTTCTATTTCTCTTGGCTAAATACCAAGTTTTGAAATTACTGTTTTATGGCAAGGGTATTCATAACTTTATAAGAAACTGTCAAACTATTTTCCCAAGTGGTTATACCACTTTTACACTCTCATCAGCAACATGAGCATTCTTTTTTTTTTCTCTCATTTGGCAACAGTTTATTCAGAGGTATGTAAGGTAGAAATCAAAGCTGGATGGCAAGGCACTGTTGGGAGCTCCTCTCCCATGGGAGTAGTTCTTGGAGCAGCCATGCAGCAGCCACACCACTTCCCAGGCTTCTCAAATGATGTTTCAGGTGTGAAGCAACAAGATCCACATCAGGCAGGTGTAAGAATCACCCTGGCCTAGAAGCTCCATGCACCACAGTAGCCAATATCTTACAATAACTTCATAGACACAGCTTTCAGGGTCCCTATGGAGGCATATGGAGTTACAGGAGTCACCACACTCAGGGGAACCAAAAGCTATGATGTCCCAATCAGATATGATGTCCCAAATGATTGTCCCAATCATTTATGGTTATCCTGAGTCCAGATGCAATTTATCCAATAGGAGTTATTTCTACCAAAAGTAATGTTGCCTAGAGACATTGTTGACATTTTACCTTTATCAAGTTATTAGAGGAACAGAGAAAGGAAGGTAAGTGAAGGTCTGTAAATGACGAGTTAATGGGTGCAGCACACCAACATGGCGCATGTATACATATGTAACAAACCTGCACGTTGTCCACATGTACCCTAGAACTTAAAAGTATAATCAAAAAATTAAAAAAAGCAATGTGAGCATTCTAATTGCTCTGAATTTTCATCAACAGTTGGTATTGTGAGTTTTTTAATTTTAGACATTCTAGAGGGTGTGTATTGTTACATTATGGTTCTGATATGCATTTCCTTGATAATTAATGATGTTGTTTTTTCATATACTGTCTACCTAAAGGAGTAGGGCACTGAAAAGCTGGTTAGACATTCAGGCCAGTGGAAAAGTCTTGTCAACTGAGGGTTTCACAATATAGTGGTCCTCCTGGGTCATTTTGCAGAGAATCCTGTTATTAATTTCTTAGTTTTTCTTTTTCTCTTAGAGACTAGTTAGAGTCCCATAGAAGTTTCTCCCAGTTTCCTTCTGGAAGTGTGTATATGGTTTCTAGAATTCTGAAATCCAGGTGTGAGAAGAAAGCTAGATGCATCAGCTTCCATTATCTCATCCTTGCCTTCAATTGTGTCTGGTATTTTTTAGCCTAGAGAACTTGTTTTGTACTCTCCAGAGAATAACCCTACAGTTTTCTACAGAGTGAGGGAGAGACTGCTCCCTAGCTGAGCTGAGTGGATGAGGGTATCTGGGGGATATGTGCTTCTTTAACAGACTTTCACCCACTTTTCTCTTTTCAGATCAACTTTTACTCCTACTTCCCAAGGTATCTGGTGCTGTCTGTATCTGAGCCTTTGGGCATTGGATAATGTAAATTGACTAGTTTCTCAGCTATTCAGCTTCCTTGATTGTGAAAAAGGTTGCTATGTCACTATGTGCGGCTCCACTGTTGTAAAGGGAAAGATAAAAGTCTTTAGTGATTCTCCCAGCATAGAATACCAACAACATAAAGGATGTGACCTCTGTTAGTAAGAACTGGACCAGAAGAGAATTGTGATTGCTCAAGAGCCATCAAATAGGGCAAGAAAAATGGCAAACAGAGTTCTCACATGGCAGAGCTTGAAGAAAACAGCAGAAAACCAAGGGAAGGACTTTGGGGTCTGGCTTTGCCCTCAGGGTACTGAAGACCACTGAATACATGCAGTTCAACCGAATTTGGGATCTAATTTAAGAAGACTTGCCAATCCGTTGATATCATTACTTCCACTTAAATCAATATATTTTTTTGGAGTAGTTTTAGGTTTACAAAAATAAAAATGAGAGGAAAGTAAAGAGAGATCTCCTCACTCATATATATCCCTTTATTCCCACCCCAATTTCTTGTATTATGAACATCTTGCATTAGTGTGATACATTTGTTACAGTTGATGAGCCAATAGTGATACATTATTATTAACTAAAGTCCATAGTTTACTTTAGGGTTCCTTCTTGATGTTGCACATTCTACGGACTTTGACAAATGCATAACAACCATGTATCTGCCTTAAATATTCCCTGTGTAGCACCTATTCATGCTTCTCTCCCTCCCTCTTCCTAATCTCCTGGCAGCCATTGTCTCCATAGTTTCACCTTTTCCAGAATGTCATATAGCTGGAATCAGTCAGTATGTAGCCTTTTTAGATTGGTTTCTTTCACTTAGTAATATGCATTTAACATTCCTGTGGGTCTTTTCATGGCTTGATAGCTCATTTCATTTTAGTACTGAATAATACTCTATTGTCTGGATGTCCCAGTTTATTTATCCATGCACCTACTGAAGGACATCTTGGTTGCTTCGCAGTTATGAGTAAAGGCACTATAAACATTTGTATGCTTTGTGGGGACATAAGCTTTCAACTCACTCAGGTAAAGAACAAAGAGTGCAATTGCTGGTTTATGTATAGTTTTGTAAGAAGCCGCCAAACTATCTTCTTCCCCCATTTGTTTTTGAGTTCTTGGTTTGGTTTGTCTTGAAGTCTGCAGGAGCACATCTACGGGTAATTTTTAAAAGAAGGATATATAAGAAGGCGATGTTGATGGTATATTTTCTAAAAATATCTTTCCATGGCCTTTATCCATAGAAGTCACGGTGGCCACGCTTAACCATGTTGTGTCACAAAGCTTTCCTCTCAAATATTTGTAGCTATTACTGTCATGTTCTCTGGCATTTAATGTTGTTGAGTCTGAGGTCAATCTAATTTTGTCCCTGTAGATAACTGATTTTGTGTGCCTATATCCTTAAAGGAATCTTTGTTAGTAGAATTCAAGAGTGTTATCAGGATGTGCCCAGATGCTGATTCTCTGTGTTACCTTTTGAATGTAGGAAAATTTTCCAATATGCAGGCTTAGGACATTTTACCACTTAGGGAAATCTTTTTAGTGGGTCTTCAATTATTGCTTATTTCAAATGTTCTGATTGTTGCCTTGAAAACATCTAATTTACTTAAGGCAGATTCCTAATATATATATATATGAAATATTTATAAATAATGTATATTATAAATATATGTTTCTAATATATATTTGTAAATATATATTCCTAATCTATATACATATATATTATATATGTGAGACTCTCATATATATATTTATATATATAGTGAGACTCTCCTATATATATAATATATTATATATGTATATAGATTAGGAATATATATTTACAAACATACGTCTCACTATATATATATATATATATGTATATAGTGGACTACAGGCACCCGCCACCACACCCGGTTAATTTTTTTTTTTTTTTTTTTTTTTTTTGTATTTTTAGTAGAGATGGGTTTTCACCATGTTGGCCAGGCTGGTCTCAAACTCCTGACCTCAAATGACCCACCTGCCTTAGCATCCCAAAGTGCTGGGATTACAGGTGTTAGCCAGTGCGCTCAGCCAGATTCCTAATTTTTAAAATCCTCCTTGTGTATCTTTATCATTTTCATGACTTTCTTTTTCTCTTTTAAAAAGTTTCTCAGATTTTTTTTCGTCCTTGACATCACTATTTGGGTTTCTGAGGGTCAATTCTCTTTTTTACTGTCTCCAATTTGAATTTGCACACAGGTCATTGCATTTCTTAAAAATTTTAGTGCTTCCTTTGGATATGACTTTCTGCTCAAGCTTTAGAGAGCAGAAATGGGATGTCTTCTTGCATGCCTTAATTAAGGATGCCAAGTGATTTTCTATTTTTTTTGATTTATTTTTATTAAAATACTGACTTTTATTTCACATGTATATTTTTGTCTCCCCACCATTTCTATGTCTGACCACTGCTACTACTATGTCCTATCATAACATTCCATACATACTTAAAACCAAGCAAAGGGTGGATTTTCATCTTTAAAAACTAAACAGGCATTTTGGACAACACATTCTTGGCAATGGAACCTGGACAACATTTATCAAACATGGTAGGGAAAGTTCTCACTCTGCATTATAAAAAGTACAGCCAGATAGCAACTGTTAGAGAAATGAAGTAAGATGGAAAATTTTTAACAAATTGTTCAAACGATTTTCTTAAAGAGACTTCCTCCACTGCCAGAGATCTTGAATAGCCTCCTGGTCATTCATCCAGAGACAATTCTTTACATAATTGACGAACTTGGCTTCCATTTTGGGAAACAAACCAGCTTTTTCTATACTTGTTTGCATTTTTGCTTTAATGTCTTCTACAGAACTAGGCCCTTTTGGTGTTTTAGGAGGTTTTTTTTTTTCCTGTTTCTTGAAGGTTTCTTGTCCTTTTGATCTTGGTGTTGACGGTTTTGAGTCTTTTCCATTCTGATTTGACTTCTGTGCATTTTCGGCTGGAGCATCTTTATAGATTTCTTCACCGGTGCTTTTTCTTCAATATCCTCATCATCAAAATCTTCTTCTTCCTTCTTCTCCTTCTCCTTCTTATTCTTCTTCATCAGCGGCAAGTTTTACTTGTTTCTGTGGAACCTTGCTACCACCTCCAGGGGCATCACTTTCCAGATATACTTAAGAGTTTCACATCCTCCTTCTCTTCGTCTTCTGATTCTGCAGCTTCCTCCACAGCTACTAAGTGCTGTCCACTAATATGCACTGGCCCCGAACCAAGCTTCAACCATAAGACCACTGGTGGTGTTATTTCAAAGTCCCCAAGGGAAACCGTTGACTGTACAGACATTTTCAAAGTTGTCAGTCTTACTTTAATTGGACTGTCTTCATAATTCATTGTTTCTGCTTCAACAATGTGCAGTTCATCCTTTGCACCAGCTCCTAAACTGACTGTTCCTAAAGATAACTGGTCTCATTTTCATCATTATCCACCTTAAAGTGATCATCTTTGTTGGCCTTTAGTTCGCAACCAAAAAGATAGCTCTGGGGCCTCAGGGGGCTCATGTCCATGTCCATCGAATCTTCCTTGGGATGGTGGCACACCCTTAGGTGGGAGAGAAGGTGGATGGAGATAAATGACTACTGCTCCAGAGAACAGCCATGCAGGATGGAATCACACCAGGGATTTTTTTCCTGATTTCTATGGTGAATAATATTCTGCTAATCTTATGTTTTTATAAGTTCTACAAAGGCCCTACTCTACAACCCATTTGGTTTCAGTTGACAGCAGGTGAACTTGCACAGCTCAGCCCATGGCTAGCTGAATCTCATAAGGTACAGTCCCTGGGTCTTCTATGATGGAGCACACCAAAAATTTCAATCCCCAACATGCATTGTTACCAGGACTCCTCCTATCTCAGACTCTGCCTGCAGTGTTCTGTGGGAGCAGTGTGTTGCAAGAGGAAAGCACCTTCACCAGCATCTTTCTTCCCCTCCGTCCTGTTCTGGTGTTTTCTAGAAATTGGAATGGCATGTGAAATGGTAATCACTAGTGCCTGGCTCTCATGCTCACTGACCACGCTTCTCCCATTGATAAGTCTCCTAGACTAGAATACAAGATGATATTTTTAAAATGTCTTTAATGATACATTTTATTTCTTTAAAATATATTTGTTGAGCACTTCCTTTATGTAGGGTCCTGTTGTAGGCAATAAAAATAGAGCAGTGAGCAAGAAAGGCATGGCCCTGCCCTCAGGGAGCTTCCATCCTGGGTTTGGTTGAGGATGAATAGGAAACAACTGACAACATAATGAATGACTGTAGGTACAGTTGTGATTAGGGGTTCAGAGAAAACATCCAGACCAAGGAGCAGTGGTGTTGGTGGTGGTTCCCGCATAGCTTTCCCTGAATAATTGGTGTTCGAGTTGAGCTCTAAAAGATCAGAATGAATAAACAAGAAGAGAAGGAGAGTTAGGATGTTTCAGGCATAGATCATATACCAAGAGCCTGAGGCAGGAGGACATGGTGGGTTTGAGGGCATTGTAGAAAGTCGATGTGTCTGGAGCTTGGAGGGGAGAAACAAGAAGAGGTAAAGTCGTGTTCATTGTTGCAACCCCAGTGCTTGGGTGGAGTAGGGGGCTCTATAAATGTTTGTGTCTGATGAGTGGAAGATGGTAGTTGTAGCTAATCTGTAAGGAAGTTCCTGATGGTGGGTGTTGGGCTGCCCTCAGCTCTTTCTTGTCCTTACATTTCTACCAGTAATTAGAGTGACAATGCAGAAGCCATGCCCAGTCGGCCAGGAGATGAGGACATGGGTCAGAGTCAGAGAAGGGCTAAAAGGACAAGCAGCATGTGGCTGAGGCCAAAAGGGAAAGGAAACCACATGGATTTGAAGCAGCTTGGAAAGGTTTGAGATGGGATAGCTTTGGAGGCAGGTCTTGAGGAGTGGAGGAGGAGGAATCTTAACAAGTAGCAGCGAAAGAGGCAAGGAGTAGGAGAATAGAACAAGGTGAACAAAAGCCCCAAGAAGAGACACTGCGGGTGTGGTGGTCCCTCTGGGCTGCAGGACCAGATGTGTGCATTGTGGGGAGGCTGGATGCTGAGATAGACGAGGCAGCATCTCAGCTGCACTCGGTCAGGAAGAATGTGTCCCCAGAATAGATGTGCCCCCTTCTTAGAGCCCATCAGGATAAAGCCTGGGTCAGCCTTACTCTGTGCACCTGCTTTTCACATTCAAGCACTGAGTGAAAAGTACCTGCATATGTCTTTGGGTGGTGAAGAAAAATGGCCAAAACTGGGAAGCCCCAAATCTTCAAATGCAGACTTTGCCTCCCACTGCTTCTCAGTGAACTTGAGAATTTGCCCCATCTCATCACTCAGATCTCATCAGCTCTGAGACCTAGTAAAAACTCTCCTCCCCAAGTCCTAGAGAACCAGAACAAAGGAAAAGAGGACAGACTCCAGCCCTGACTGCAAACCATTAGTTTTGATAAACATCTGTGTTGGTGGCGCCAGGGCTATTCATTCAACCAACATTTCCTGTGTGCCTTCTCCATGCCATGCACACAGGCTGGCATCAGGCGGTGCAGCTATCTCTTTTGCACTGAGAACTGTCATAAACAACACCATTTAGGACAAGAGACATCCAAGGGAGCAGTCTCTGAGGAAGTGGCTTGGCTTCTCTGAGCACCCTGAAGTCTTGGGCATTCATTCACTCTTAGAGGGAGAGAATGGCTGGGAACTGGGGAAGTGAGGCTTCCTCAGAGACTAAGCAGCCACGAGGCTGCAGCTCCCCTGGAACAGGCAGACTTGCACAAACTCCAGTGAATTAGAAGTGTAAATTGAGGAGTTCGACTTGGCTTGCACAGTACAATAAAGATCTGCAAACACTCAGCTCCGTATTGAACCTGAGGCAGGGTGATTAATTCATTATTCGCTTCCCAGCTTGGAAGCAAAAGCTTGTATACCCAGGGGCCAGCATGGATCAGCAGAGTCATAAATCACGCCACTTACAAGTCTAGCAATGAGAAAATCCACTGGCTGGAGGGGGGATGCTCTTCAGGCAGCAACAGCGGCCAGAGGACCGGCCAGTCAAGGCGGGCCAGTCTGCTCTCTGGAGACAGACCGATTGGCCAGGCATTTCGCCTTCCAGCCAAGACGGCCAGCCTCTCGGCCACCCGGCTTGGCGTTTCCTGGCCAGACCACAAGGAAATAAACTCCACTCCACCCAAGAGGAATGCTCCTGTGACCTGAAATGGCCTCTCTCAAATGTAGACAAAGTACTAGGAATAGCATCAGTATCTCTCCAAAAGGCTGCTATTGTCCAATTGGGATAAACCACTCTCCACCCCGCTCCTTGGGCTGTTCTGGGTTCCAAGTCCTTCTGCCCCAGCCAGAGGGCCAGCCTGGTGTCTGCTCAGCATCCTCCAATCCAGGTCCCTGGATATCATCGGCTGCCAACCCTGAGCCAGGGCCTTTGCCCTCCAATCTCTGCTAGCTTCAGGACAGGACGCTTTGGGGATCCGAATTTCATTGAGAGTTGAAAGGTAACAGCCAGCAAAGGGCTCTTTAGCCCCTATTCGAATACAAGGTAGCTCTTTAAATATTTGATAATTCTTTCTCTTCCAAGTAAAACACCCTAGGTTTCCTCAATTATTCCTCATATTTCAAGATTTCTAAAGCCCCTTCAATGGCCAGGAAGTCCTTCCATTTTGATATTGACTATTTCCCACTTTACATTTCCTCTTAATTCTCCAAAATCTCGGAAAGGGACCCAGCACTTCCTGTGTGTTCTTGTTCTTGTCATGAGAGAACAATAACATTAAGACTTATTATGTGCCAGGCACTTTATACTTATCATCTCATTTAAACTTTCATGATGAGCTGGTGAAGTAATTTTTAACTCCAGTTTACAGAGGAGGAAACTGAGGCTTAAAGAGGTAAAACGGCTTGCCAGGATTGAATCTTTGGTCAGCCTGACGCCAGAGATTGTGCTTCTAAAGAACCTTATGATATGCTGTCTCCTTTACCCACAGCCTGACACCCTGACATCTGATTCAGGGCCTGCCACACCTGGTAACCACTTTCCCTGGAGCCAGGCTGAGCTTTGAGAGACTGGCCAAAGCTCTTTTCTTTCTTTTTAAAAAAATTTTTATTTGGCCGAGTGCAGTGGCTCACGACTGTAATCCCAGCACTTTGGGAGGCCAATGCAGGAGGATCACCTGAGGTCAGAAGTTCGAGACCAGCCTGGCCAACATGGTGAAACTCCATCTCTACTAAAATACAAAAATTAGCCAGGTGTGGTAGTGTGTGCCTGTAGTCCCAGCTACTTGGGAGGCAGAGGCAGGAGAATTGCTTGAGCCCGGGAGGTGGAGGTTGCAGTGAGCTGAGATTGCATCACTGCACTCCAGCCTGGGTGACAGAGTAAGTCTCTGTCTCCCCCCACCAAAAAAAAATTATTTTGAAACAGGGACTCGCTGTGTCACCCAGGCTGGAGTGCAGTGGCGTGATCTCGGCTCACTGCTCACTGAAGCCTCAACCTGCTGAACTCAGGTGATCCTCCCATCTCAGTCTCCCAAGAAGCTGGGACCACAGGCACATGCCACTATGTCTGGCTAATTTATTGTTATATTTTGTAGAGATGGGGTCTCCCTCTGTTGTCTAGGCTAAGCCATGTAATTGCTATCCAATTCAGCATCAAAAAAAATAATAAACTAAGGTAAAAAATCAATAACAGCATTGTTCATACTGTTTTCCACCCACTACCTGATCTGAGCATCCCTTCAAATAAAGACAGAAGTCCTTATTTCTCTCATTCTTCTTGCCAGAACAGTCATATGGCCCATGATGCAGTCTCTTTACAACTTCTTTTTGCCTTATTTGATACACAGAGGAGCAGCGTTCTCCCTAATCTATTTATGGAGCAAAAGAACAAGAAAAGAGGATTCTGGCCGGGCATGGTGGCTCACACCTGTAATCCCAGCATTTGGGAGGCTGAGGCAGGCAGATCACTTGAGGTCAGGAGTTCGAGACCAGCCTGGCCAACATGGTGAAACCCCGTCTCTACTAAAAATACAAAATTAGCTGGGTGTGGTGGCGTGCACCTGTAGTCCCAGCTACTCGGGAGGCTGAGGCAGGAGAATCACTTGAACTGGGAGGCAGAGGTTGCAATGAGCCGAGATCATGCCATTTTGCTCCAGCCTGGGCAAAAAGAGTGAAACTGTCTCAGAAAAAAAAAAAAAAAAAAAAAAAGAAAGAAAGAAAGAAAGAAAAGAGGATTCCTTAATAAGAGGGTCTCTAACCAAGGGATTACTGAATTATGCTCATTCTGCTCAGTGTCACCAGACAGATTCCTTACAAAAAAGAGCACTATGACTCAGCCTACCTTGCTCAAGAACAATAATTGTATCTATTAACACCTTCCCATCTTCCAAGAAGGAAGAAAATATTACATGGCTAGAACTGTGGGACCAGGTTCCTGTTGGAGATTTTACCAGGCCCACAACAACACTATGCATGTATTAATAAAACCTCAAGTGAATATTCACAGAGAAATATTCGGATTTTACTTACATGTGCGTTGCATCTGGCATGCTGGTTAAGGCAGGAGGACTTAGGGGAATGGGCTGTTCCTTATACAATGTTCCATCGTCCTGGAAGAAGGTGGGTAATCTGAATGGACAGCCAGGTGAGCCCTGTAGAGCCTGCTTCCTGGCCACACCAAGCCAACCTGAGAGATGATGCAAAAGTTTCAACCTCTACAATACTCTGGCAACCTCAGGGAATTTATGGTTATTCAAAGCATGCCCAGTAGGTTAGGATTGATCCAAATGAATGAGACTATGGAAGCAGGATGCTAGCTGGTGCCTGCCAACCATCCATCAGGATCAACACTGGCTGTGGCGGGGGCTGAGAGCCCATGGAGGCCATGGAGACTGAGGAAAGTCTAGAAAAATTTACATGTGGCTGAAGCCCAGCTGCAAATATCCACAATTACCTGAACTCAGGACGCTGTGTTCTGAAGTTTTGTGTGTTTTAGTTTCATTGCCCAGCATAAATTTACCTATTAGATGTTATGAAACTTAAACTGTAATGGAGCTGAATGTGCTCTGAGAGATTTATCTCACTTCTGCTGTTCAAATGACATCTGCTCACTAAATAAGTCTCGACCTGAACATGTGGCTAATTTTCTCTAAAAATCTGCATTTTCCAAAAAAGTTTTTAAAAACTGAATTAAATAGCAAACTAGAGGTAAAAATACTAAAGCTTCGTGTGTTTTTTAATGAAAACATATGAAATATAAAAATTTAAAAACAGTAATTTAGTGTTAATTTACATATAGTAAAATGCACAAATCTTAAGAGTAGAGCTCCGTGACTTTTTGTGTTATGTATGACTTTTTGCATAGTGGCCACTTCCCAGATGAACAGATAGAATATTTCCATATTCCAGAAAACTCCTTCATACTCTTTCCCAGTGCCTCTCCACCACCAGGTAAGAACTGTACCGATTCTTTCACCACACTTCAATTTGTGCCTGTCCTTGAACTTCATATAAATGGAATTGTACTTATCAATTTCCTGGCAGCTTTTGCTCAATGTAATGTTTTGGAGATTAATCCATGTTGCTGAAGATATCAGTAGTTAATTTCTTTCTATTGCTGAGTAGCAATCCATTGTATGAATATAGCTGAATTTGTTTATCCATTTACCTGTTGATGGACATTTGTTTTCTTTCCAGTGTTTGATTATTAAGAATAAAACTGAGGCTGGGCACAGTGGCTCATGCCTGTAATCCCAATACTTTGGGAGGCAGAGGCAAGAGGATCACTGGAGGCCAGGAGTTTGACACAAGCCTGGGCAACATAGCAAGACTTCGTCTCTACAAAATATTTTAAAAATCAGCCAGGTGCACTGATGTGCACCTATAGTCCTGCTTACCTGGGAGGCTGAGGCAGGAGGATCACATGAGCCCAGGAGTTCAAGGTTACAGTAAACCATGGTCATATCACTGCACTCCAGCCTGGCTGACAGAGCAAGACCCTGTCTCTAAAAAAAAATTTTTTAGGCCAGGCGCAGTGGCTCACGCCTGTAATCCCAGCACTTTGGGAGGCCAAGACAGGTGGATCACGAGGTCAGGAGTTTGAGACCAGGTTGGCTGCCACAGCGAAACCCTGTCTCTACTAAAAATACAAAAAATTAGCTGGGCATGGTGGCGGGCACCTGTAATCCCAGCTACTCAGGAGGCTGAGGCAGGAGAATCACTTGAACCTGGAAGGCTGAGGTTGCAGTGAGCTGAGATTGCACCACTGCACTCCAGCCTGTGCGACAGAGCAAGACTCCATTTCAAAAACAAAACAAAACAAAGACCAGCTTGGCCAATATGGCAAAACCCTGCCTCTACCAAAAATACAAAAAATTAGCTGGGCGTGGTGGTGTGTACCTGTAGTCTCAGCTACTCAGGAGGCTGAGGTGGGAGGATGGCCTGAACCTGGGAGGTGGAGGTTGCAGTGAGCCAAGATCCTGCCACTGCACTCCAGCCTGCATGATAGAGCCAGACTTTGTCTCAAAAAACACTTAAAAAAAAAAACAAACAAACTGGATATGAGTTTTTTTGTTCATACTTGTTACAGAAGTCTTTTTGTTTTAAAATACACTGGTATATACCTAGGAGTAGAACTTTATTAGAAACTGCCAAGCGGCATACAGTAAGTTTAGAAATAACTATAGACATGTGAAATAAAAGAACTTTTAAAAATTTTGCTTAATTATTGATAAAATATTTTTTAAAAATTGGTAAAATAGGAAGAATCATCTAACATTCAAAATGCTTTATAAAGTAATTTTATCCTATATAAAATGCTACAAATGTTCTCTGATGATATACATTTTCAATGGTTGGGACTTTAAGCAAGTTGACTTTAGGCAAATAGGTCTTAGGCAAATTGGCCCAAAAGCTCAATATAGATTCTTGTCAAGACAGGTCTCCCCCATTCTGTACTGGTGTAATTGAATTTTTAAACAATGCAGACTTGACATTCATCCCTGTAGGTTTCATACCAGTAGGAAGTACATGTATATTTATGCACAGGGATATATGGGATTAGGATGCTGGAACAAGTAGACACTTGGTGGAAGGAGGGAAAGGAATTCCTGGCCCTGCTCACAGAGCTCTGGGGAGACTGATAATGGGCCATGAGTTGGCAGGATGCCCAGGGAGTTAAAACCTTGCTGAGCCAGGGCAGGGGCCTAAGCAGGGGAAGGTCCTGAAGGGGCTCATTTGGCTCAGTGGGGCCTGCCTGGCAATGTTGGGACCAGTTTGTGGGGAGGAGCTGGGGGTGTCATTACAATTAATGAGGAGAGTAAGGCAGAGGTTGTCTCTGGGGATAGTGGCATAGAGAACTACGTAACTGAGAGGGTCCACAGTGTCAGTGGGCTGTGCAAGTTAGCATTTGTCTGAGAGGAAAGAAAACTGTTCTGGAATCAACCCTAAACAGTTTTTGTCCTGGTTGCAGATGTTTCAAACTTTCATTTTAAAAATATGTCAGCACATGTGATTGCAAATTTTATTATTATTATTATTAAGATGGAGTCTTGCTCTGTTGCCCAGGCTGGAGTGCAGTGGTGCAATCTGGGCTCACTACAACCTCCACCTCCTGGGTTCAAGCGAATTCTCCTGTCTCAGCCTCCCGAGTAGCTGGGATTACAGGCATGCACCACCATGCTCGACCAATTTTTATATTTTTAGTAGAGACGAGGTTTCACCATGTTGGCCAGGCTGGTCTCGAACTCCTAACTTCTCAGGTGATCCACCCAACTCGGCCTCCCAAAGTGCTGGGATTACAGGCATGAGCCGCTGCGCCCAGCTGAGATTGCAAATTTTAAAAAATTTATAGTCATCCAAATGTGTTCACTATCTTTTCTTCATGTCTTCCACACTTTTGATAAAATTGGCTTCTATGTCATCTCCTGAGTTATTAATAAAAAATATTAAACTGGGCAAAGCCAGAATAAAGCCCACTGGAATGCCACCAGAGACTCCCCTCCAGGGTGCCGGCAATTCATTAATCAACACTCTCTACGAATGACTATTCAGCCAACTATAAATTCACCTCATAGTCCCCATTGACGTGTTTCCACCTTTGCACAAGAGACTCATGAGAGATTTAGGAGAAGCCATCACAGAAATCAAGGCACAGAGTCTATGAAATACCCCAATCCACTAATTTAATCACTTACAAAGAAAGAAAGAAAAAGAAATGAGGTTAGGCTTGTTCTTAGTGAGTCCACGCTAGTTTCTGGCAAACATTACTTTCTTTTTCAAGTACTCAGAAACCATCTGTTTAATAATCCCTTCTAGATTTTTGTTGGCACTGGGGGTGCTCATCAATCAAATTGTAAATTTCATTTATCACCCCATTTAAAAATCAGGACACTATTTTCCATTTTCACTGTTTTGGCTACTCTCTCTGATTTTCCAGGTTCTATCAAAGATGTTACAGGTAACCCTTGCCATCATCTGGGAGGTCATCTGTCTGCACCAGCTGGCTTAAACTCACTGAAGCAAGCTAGCTAGTGTCATGGGATAAATGTGATCCTCAGATATAAGCAGAAAGCAACTTTATTTTGTCTCCCATTGTCCCTTAAAATTTATTCAGTAAGGTATATCCTTTCCCTGTCTATGGATGAAAATTTATCAGTCCTGTGACTTATCTGATCATATCACTCATGATAAATAAAAGTACTATAATCACCTTAAGTCACTAAATATAGTCTTAATTTAGATATTAGAAATCTACTTTTATATAACAAGCAAAACTATACAGTTTGTTTAAAGTGAAATCTTCCTCTTCAGTTTGAGTCTGCCTCAGGCAGGAAGCTTACAGCTGGTAACGGTGTGCATTTGGTTTCTTCTTTTTTTTTAACCTCTCCTACATCAGCTTATAAACCTGGAATTCTGACTCCTCTAGGGTGGGGCGGTACTAAGAGGCTGAGGAGTAGGAAAGCTCTTCTTTGGTACTTTTGTAAAATGGCTCTTCACTCTCTGAGCCTAGTAAGTGTTTCAAGCATTCTTAATCTTTTGATTTTTTCAGGCAAGAATCAGACGCCAATTTACTGCATCCTGCCCTCTCCCCATTCCCCATACCTGCAATCCTTTGAAACCTCTCTCCCTCTTAACTTGAGATGAAGGGGAAATACCCCACACCACGCAAACTATTCTCTCCAAATAACTCTTCCTCTCAAATCCTATCCCTTCTGCACCCCCTGACCCTTAAACCCCTTGTGGTTTTAAGGGGTTCACGAGAAATTCAACCCATTCAAAGACACTTAATGAAATATTTGAACAGTGGCCTCTTCATATTTTCTCTTCATATTACAGCCAAAAGGGAGACAGTCCTATTTGTATATTTGGTTAAAGTATTTTTCCACTATCTGCTCTCTTATCTTGGCCTTCCTTTTCCTTCATTCTTATTTGATGGCATTTCTTCTTGATAGGGAGACAGATGAAAATAGTTCAGAATGTTTATATTCTCTCTAAAACCTCCTTTCATTACATACCATCTTCCTCAAGTGCAGGGGTTTTCCTCATTTTTGAAACATGCTTTTAAAAACCACAACTGTCAGGCCATTTTATTAATTTATAATGAATAATATGAAGGTCATAAACATATATTCATGTATTATTTCCTAATGGTAAACTTAAAATAGGAGTGGGCAAAGGAAATGCAGTACCCGATACAGAGACTATTACTCAACCTTTAGAAAAAGAAAATTCTATAATATGTGACAATGTGGTAAAATGGCAAATATATTCAATTATCTTTATAAAAACCAGAATGGACAACTTTACACCAAACAAACAAGTAAGTCTCCTCTCTGATGGGAAATACAAAGAAGAAAATAAAAATTATCAGCCATAAACACCTAAATTATTAATAAATTTCTTTTTAATATTTTACTTAGGATTCTCCATGTAATAATTTTACCAAATTGAAATACTATTTACCCAATTCTGAATCCTAATTCTTAAACTTGCTATACTGTGAATATTTCCTATTACCAGTAAAATTCTTGGAAACCCATTTTTAATGGCTTCAAACTAGGCCAATGTATGGGGACACCATGATTTATTAACCTCTTTCCCTTGTTACTGAACATTAAATTTGTTTCCATTTTTTTTTACCATTTTGAATAACACCACAACATAAACTATTGTGCATATATGTGTGCTTGAATTTCTGACAATTATTAGAAGGGGAGTTACTGGATCAAAGGTATGGACTTTTTTTTTAATTTTATTTTTATTTTTTATTTATTATTATTATACTTTAAGTTTTAGGGTACATGTTCACAATGTGCAGGTTAGTTACATATGTATACATGTGCCATGCTGGTGCACTGCACCCACTAACTCGTCATTTAGCATTAGGTATATCTCCCAATGCTATCCCTCCCCCCTCCCCCCAACCCACAACAGTCCCCAGAGTGTGATGTTCCCCTTCCTGTGTCCACGTGTTCTCATTGTTCAATTCCCACCTGTGAGTGAGAATATGCGGTGTTTGGTTTTTTGTTCTTGCAATAGTTTACTGAGAATGATGATTTCCAATTTCATCCATGTCCCTACAAAGGACATGAACTCATCATTTTTTATGGCTGCATAGTATTCCATGGCGTATATGTGCCACATTTTCTTAATCCAGTCTATCATTGTTGGACATTTGGGTTGGTTCCAAGTCTTTGCTATTGTGAATAATGCCGCAATAAACATACGTGTGCATGTGTCTTTATAGCAGCATGATTTATAGTCCTTTGGGTATATACCCAGTAATGGGATGGCTGGGTCAAAAGGTATGGACTTTTTAAAGCTCTTAATACAAGCTGTCACTTTGCTTTCTAGAAAGAATTGTAACAGATTGGCTTATCTTAACGGACATTGTCGTCAAACTCAATCAGTCCAAGGCTCCATCTCCACACCAGAGCCAGCCAAGAGAACCAGAACAATGTCAGAGACACAGGACAAAAGTGGTTTTTGGCTATAGTAACCATATTCTCCAATCTGGGCATCTGTTTCAAGGGAGTGAAAGGAGAAAGTCCATTTGTCTATTTGCACATGTGTAGTCAGGGTTCTCCTGGAAGGTGGTAGCCTCCTCCGATCCAGCCTGTATCTGGTTCATTGCCCTATAACACAGCCCTATGTTAATCATAAAGCCAAAGGGCAGGGCAGCTTTGTTTTCTCTCAGCCACACCCCAGTCACCTTCCTGCACTTAAATCTAGGGGGCTCCTCCAAGAATCTGTAGCCACAAGTTGATAAACACATTTTCAGATGGGTTTGTTTTGCATCTATTACAGGTTGAAGTGTCCTAGTTTTGCTCTCAAGTGATGACATTCATCCAGAGCATGTTCCAAATCTGCCCATTTCCCACCCCATCTGGGTTCTGCCTTACCATATTTTTAAGACAGAAACACAACGTACAGCAATACTAAGCCATATTCTAATGACAATAGTTAGATAACTTTTTTTCTGATTTCAAAAGTGGTACATGTTTAAAGTGGAAAATGTAGACAACTTAGGAAACCAGGAAAGGAAGGCTGCAGAGTGACCAGCACTTATGGCAGCCTGCCTGGCAGATGGAGAGTGCACGTCTCGGTGGACATCTGTGTGGGGTCAGCAGGGATCATGTTCAGCTCAGCAGATGTCAGGAGACATACAGCAAAGTCTGAGGGCTGGTAAGAACTCTCCCGCTTGACACTACATAAGCCCTGAGAACTTGGTTCCAACTCCAGGGAAAAGGGTGGGGGGAACCCATAAAACTGAAATAAAAATCATAACACAGTAGAATGACACTTGATATAGAAATCAATTTCATTGGTAGGAAGACAAAGAACAGTGGAGTCTAGTTTGTATTCTCTTTCCAGCTCCTTTGGCCTCTGATTCCCAACCTCTGGTGCACCCCACCACCAGCCTTTTCCAGTGGCTCAGTTTGGTTCAGTCGTGGTACCTGGTTTGAGGGATGGACTACATTCTTTAGGCACCCCGTGGGAGCTAGCCCTACAAATCACCATGGAAACTGAAGATAGAGTGATTGTCCATGCTGGTCTTAGAGGCAGGTGGTTCCCAGGTGAAGGCTGGGAAAAGTCACTCCTACAATGATGTAATAACTCTACCAATGGCCCTCGGTTTCTGAAGATTTGCTTCCCTTAATTCTCCTCACTGGAATTGGGGGATTAGATCTCTGAAAGCAGAGATGATATAAAAACATATATAACATATATAAAAACAAACAAGCAAACAAATAGCCCAATAGGGCCATGAGTCTTGGTAGGGATGTACCAGTAAGAAAGAGTTCTGGTTTCCCTAAGCCATGGTGCCAGTCCTGGCTCTTTGTTTCAAAAGGATCTTCAGAGCCACCTGGCACAGAGGGCTTTCTCTTGGAGTCGTTCCTTTTGCACCTCTGCATCCTTGGCAACATTTCAGGGGAGCTCCCGGGTAGGGCAACATCTTAACTGTCAAGACAGTGCAGCATCAGAGAGTCACAGAGGCAGGCTCTGGAATCCCTAGAGACCAAGGCCAAGACCAAGAACAGGACATATGTACCAGGATTGGCATTGCAGTGATGGCTATAGTCACAAACAATTTGAAACATCCAAGCTGTTGAGCCATAGGGGACCACTTAAACAGATGCTGGTATATTCATACCAAGGAACACTATGCACTCATTAGAAAAAAAATAGATTTCTGTAAATAAAAGGGAATATGAATATGTTCATAATATATTTTAAGTAAAAAAGGCTTAAAATAGCATGTAGCACATGATCTTATTTTAAATAAATATATATTTATTTTTACGTATTATATATAGGAAATCTCTAGTGGGATAACAGCAATCTTCATTTTTTTGTATTTCTCTACATGTTTCAAATGATTTTGACATGTTTCTCTACATATGTTTCTCTACATCATATTTCAAATGATCTTTGACACAATGACTTATTGCTTTGTGTATTAGGGTTCTCTAGAGGGACAGAACTAATAGAAGATATAAATATATATATATAAATGTATATATAAATAAATATATATATGTAAAGGGAGTTTATTAAGTATTAACTTACAAAATTACAAGGTCCCACAATAGGCCGTCTGCAAGCTGAGGAACAAGGAGAGCCAGTCCGAGTCCCAAAACTGAAGAACTTAGAATCCGATGTTCGAGGACAGGAAGCATCCAGCACAGGAGAAAGATGTAGGCTGGGAGACTAGGCCAGTCTCTCTTTTTCACGTTTTTCTGCCTGCTTTATATTCACTGGCAGCTGATTAGATGGTGCCCACCAGACTAAGGGTGGATCTGCTTTCCCCAGCCCACAGACTCAAATGTTAATCTCTTTTGGCAACACCCTCACAGATACACCCGGGATGAATACTTTTTATCCTTCAATCTAATCAAGTTGACACTCAGTATTAACCATCACACTTTGATTTTTAAAAAGTATAATCTTTGTTGGCCAGGTGCGGTGGCTCATGCCTGTAATTCCAGCACTTTCGGAGGCCGAGGCAAGTGGATCACCTGAGGTCAGGAGTTCGAGACCAGCCTGGCCAACATGGTGAAACCCCCTCTCTACTAACAATACAAAAAATTAGTCAGGCCTGGTGGTGCGTGCCTGTAATCCCAGCTACTAGGGAGGCTGAAGCAGGAGAATCGCTTGAACCCAGGAGGCAGAGGCTGCAGTGAGTCGAGATCAGGCCACTGTACTCCAGCTTGGGCAACAGAGCAAGACTCCGTCTCAAAAAAAAAATTATAATCTTTGTCAATGGAAATGTGGCTAAAACCTGTTGTGGCAGTCATGGAGGCATGCCACTTGGATCTCCCCTTCAAGAAGGAACTTGACATCAGCTATGGGAGTTGGGTTAGCTGACAGCCTCTAGCTGCAGTGCCTTGGGGACCCACTGTAAGCTCAGGCTTTTCCTGGACAGCCCCCAGCCAATAGCTGAGCATGGAGAGGCACTACTTCCCACCTTCTGCCCCACTTGGAGGTCTTCTTGGGCACTCTTTGTCCTGGAGCTCCCCACTGGACTGCCAGAGACTTTCTCAAAGCTGCCCTGTGGTCTGAAGCTCTTCCCATCCAACGCTTCCTTCTGCCTTCTCCTTCCACAGAGGTCAGACCTGCATGGCAATCTGAGGTCTTTCCTGCCTGTTACTGTTCCCTCTCACCCTTTATTCTTTATAGGTAACACTCCGTTAAATCTTTTGTACAGCCATGTGCCACATAACGATGTTTCAGTCAAGGATCGACCATGTTTCCGACATGGTCCCATAAGATTACAATGAAGCTGAAAAACTCCTATCACCTAGTGACATCATAGCCGTGGTAACATTGTATGCAACTACTTAATGTTTAAATAAATTTAATGTAGCCTAAGAGTAGTTTTTAGAGAGTCTATAGTAGTGTACAGTAATGCCCTAGGCCTTAACATTCACTCATCACTCACTCACTGACTCACCCAGAGCAACTTCTAGTCCTGCGAGCTGCATTCATTATAAGTACCCTAGACAGGTGTGCCATATATATACACATACACATATATATATACACACATATATACAAAAATTAGCTGGGCATGGTGGTGCATGCCTGTAGTCCCACCTACTTGGGAGACTGAGGCAGGAGAATCACTTGAACCCGGGAGGCAGAGTTGCAGTGAGCTGAGATTGCGCCACTGCACTCCAGCCTGGGTGACAGAGCAAGACTCTGCCTCAAAAATATATATATATATATATATTTGTATATATGTATTATATATATATACACACACACACATACACACATATATAAACACACACATATATACACATATATATATACACATACATATATATACACACATACATATGTCACCCACGCTGGAGTGCAGTGGCGCAATCTCAGCTCACTGCAACTCTGCCTCCCAGGTTCAAGCGATTCTCCTGCCTCAGTCTCCTGAGTAGGTGGGACTACAGGCATGCACCACCATGCCAGGCTAATTTTTGTATTTTTGGTAGGGACGGGGTTTCTCCATATTGGCGAGGCTGGTCTCAAACTCCTGACCTCAAGTGATCCACCCCGCTCGGCCTCCCAAAGTGCTGGGATTACAGGCATGAGCCACCGTGCCCAGCCTCATTTTTATATTTTATACTATATTTTTACTGTACCTTTTCTATGTTTAGACACACAAATGCTTAACATTGTGTTACGGTTGCCTATCACATTCAGTACAGTAACATGCTGCACAGGTTCGTAGCCTGGGAGCAATTGGCTGTACGTACAGCCTAGGTGTGTAGTAGGTTAGACCATCATTCATGTAAGTGCACTCTATGGCGGGTCCGAAAAGAAGTGGAGCCTAGAGAAGCATTTCTCAAAACATATCTCTTTTGTTAAGTGGCAGCACAGGATGGCACTACTAACTCTATCTTGATGTTTGCCTTCTGGAGGACCTAACGAGATTCCTCTGTGTTCCTGAACATACTGTGAGAAGCCTGGACTTACTCGTTACACATTCTTTCCATAGAAATACCCCTCTCCAGGAATTATTATTCCAGATGACCCCCAAGTGGTCTAACAAACAAAATGAAATGTCTTCTCCTGCCAAGATTTTCCTCTTCTAATTGTGGCTGCCTGAAATTTCCTTCATTAAGTCTGCCTGTCAACACCTCCCAATCCCTTCTCATCTCTGCCCTGCTACCCACACTCCTGCGCAGGTTCAGAAAAGGCCATCAGTGGCCTTCTTGGCTACTTCTCTAACCCATACAGAGAATTTGTGAATTACTCAGTATTTTTAAGGCACTGCTTTTCTGTTTAAACCAGCCAGAGTTGGTTTCTGCTGCTTCCTAAGAAGGCTGGCTGATATGTATATCTAATGCATAGTATTTTTGCATATGATACATTGGCATGGAGAAAATCATATCATATTCAAATTCAGTTTAACAACTAGGTTGTTAACACAGGTTGCCTGGGAGGGTGGTGAGGTGAAGATGGGGAGGAGAGGAAGAGAAAGGAGGCGAGCAAAAATAGAAAAGGGAGGAAAATAAGACTGTATTAAGGAGAAGGCAGCATGCATTATGATATGATCTCATGTTTGCATTCACATAGTCAGTATATTCATATACCAGCCATACCTCAGAGCCACTGAAAAATAAATTTCCCAGGGTCACACCCAGTCCTGAGTATTTTTCAGAGCTTCTCAGGAGACACTGAGGAGAAAACAGGGTTGACATTTACCGAAGTGATCCTGGACCATCTGCATCAGTATTGGCTGGACCTCTGTTTAAAAATTCATGTTCCTGGACGCCACTGCAGACCTCCTGAGTTAAGAATCTGGAGTAGGATATTCTCTGCCCTGGGAGAGGGAGCTCAATGCCCTGTGGCCACAGGACCAAATTCCTGGGGCCTAGAGCAACCACAGAACTCTTTGGCAGTAGGCCAGTTCTGGTGCAGTGGGCCTCACCTTTTCAAAGATCTGCTTTTAAAATTGTTAATGACTGTTTTACCCAGCAGTTCCACTTCTTGGAACACATCCTAAGGAAATAACCACATGATGTGAAAAGATGTATGAGGAAGAATGCTCATCACAACCCTTGTTTATATTAATGAACGTTTGGAAGCAACCCAAATAGCAATCAATAGTGGAGTCGTTCAAATAATTATGACACATCCACACAATGGAAGGGTATATAGCCATTATGATTATGAGGTAGAGCTCTATGTACACAAATAAAAATACATTCACAGTATATTAAGTGGGGAATGAGCAGGGATCTCGAATGCAACAGATGGCATTCAGATGCATGGCATGGCTACGTCACGCACCATCTTGGGGTCACTTTCTTTTTTATACAAGAAAACAGACCTGAAGGCTATTATGGAGAACTTTGAATCCACTCTATTTTATTTTATATATATATATAAAATAAATATATATACACACATATATAAATATATATATATACATATACACACACATACATATTTATCTTTTACTATGGAAAATTTCAAACATAAACAAAAGTAGAGTGAATAGTGTAAGGATCCCAGTGTGTGACTTCAACAGTTTTCAATAGAAGGCCAATCGGTACCCCAAGTACTATTCTTTACCCGAATTGTTTGCAAGCTGATATTTTCCTAAATATTTTTTTAGTTTATTTGAATCTGGATTCAAATAAGATTCATACAAAATGATGAATTGATATGTCTCCTAAGTTTCTTTAATCTGCATGTTCTCACTACATATTTTTGTTTTTCTTTTATAGTTTTTTGGTTGAAGAAAGCAAGCTTATCCTGTAACGGCACACTATCCAATACAATAGCCACTAACCACATTTGACTAGTGAGCATTTGAAAAGTGGCTAGTGTGACTGAAGGACTACATTTTAAATTGTATTTAATTTTAATTAATATACATTTAAATTTAAAAGTGATAACTTGATCCAGTTATTGGAAAACTGAAGTTTGAAACAACTTGGGTATGTGAATCTGCTTTCTCAACCATAAATTTTATGAAATCTAAATACAGTTTAAGTATTTCTGATGAAAATTTAGTGTTCAAACTGAGATGTGCTTTAAGTGTGAAATACACACTGATTTTGAGGATTTAGTATGGAAAAAGAATGTAAAATATCTCATTAATAATTTTTATATTGATTACATGTTGAAGGGAGAATATTTTGGATGTGATGGGTCAAATAAAAGTTATTATTAAAAACAATTTTGTCTGTTTCTTTTTATTTTTTTAAAGGCGATTACCAGAAAATTACAAATTGGTTACATACAAAATCAAGAAGGGCTGGAGAGTTAACACTTACCCCCGATAGGCCTCAATAAGCACCTGTCAAGAGTCAGTGTGTAACTACCCCACTTCCTCACCTCTTGAGTGGGATAACTCTGAAGAATGTACCTTACACTATTTCCCAGAATTCCCCCACAGGATTAAGCTCCAGGCACCACTGTGGTACCTAGCTTGATAATACACCTTTTATAGGCTGCCTTCCCTTCTCTCTCTCTTCCCTGTTCCCCTACCAGTGGTTCTTGCATTTCCCAGATAAACTCTTTACATTCAAATACTTGTCTTGGGGTCAGTTTCTGGAGGAACACAATGCTAAAATGGTCCCATATTGGCCAGTGTGAGCCTTCAAGCCAGCTCAGGAGTCTTTTTGATATGATCGTAATAGTCTGTGATTGCTTCCTTGCTTCTGGTAGTTTGAAAAGATATTTCAGGCTCACTCTGTACATATCTGTTCCAGACTTGGAGCCTTAAAGAAACCCTGACTCTTTTTAATGGGAAATGGTATTTAGAGACACAATTTGGGACTAGAAGTGGTTATTTCTATGGGGTTTATCATTGTTTCAAGGTGTTTTACGTTGACAGAATATATATAAAATACGTTATGAATTTATGATGGTAATTCCAATTCAAAGTCAAAACTATAGCTTTCTTACTTAACTCCAACAAAATGTTACATCTGTATCTCTTTTGATCTTGTTGAAAATCTCAGTTCTCATTGATACTGACTTAACTACCCATTTGACTTATCCCTTAATACACAAGCCACAGTCTGTGTTTGACAGAATGAAAACATCACTACTAACCACAATATCATTACTAGAAACAGGTTAGGTATTTTTTTCTATTCTTTTTGTCCTTAGGATATATCCCATTAAGGATGTGTAAGGATACATAGATTGCTGTATTAGAATGTCAGTTACTGGTTTTTAAAGTCACTTGGAAAAATTCGTTTCTGTCAGGTTAGCCACAAACTGGATATGCTGTGAGAGTTCCTTGTTTCATTTAGTTTTCAGTTTTAGTAACAGCATTAACCCAATTAATTTGTTTTATAATTATATAAATTATTTATTGGTTCCAAAGTATAATCTATAAAACAAGATATATTTCAAGAAGTCTAGCTCTTGTCCTGTTTTCTCTGCCCTATTCCTTTTCTTCTCCCATAAGAATTCTAAAGATTTTTAAATCATTCTATTGTTTTTAATACATATAAATGCATATGCATATAATATATACAAATATATTTAATATATATGTAGCTCTCTTTTCTTAGATAAATGGTAGAATATTTTACATCTTTTTAGCTGTATTTTCTTTTCTCAGTAAACACAATATTCTCAAGATCACTAAACAATGGTATGTGGAGAAATTTCTCATTCCTTGTTTCTTTTTCAATTACATGGAACCTCATTGTATGATTGTATCATAGTGTATTCAACTAGTCCCTTATTGGTGAACTTTTGGATTGTTTCTGGTCTTTTACTATTACAAATAGTGCTATAATTAATAGCATTGTGCTTGCATCTTTTCATATTTCTGCCAGTGTATCTTTAAGATTTATTCCTACAAGTTTAATTTCTGGGTCAAAGGGTAACTACATATGTAATTTGGTTAGACATTACCAAATTCCCTTTCATAGTGGTTATAAAAATTTGCATTCCTACCAGCGATGAATGAGAACATGTTTTTCCACATACTTATCTGTGATGGTTAATTTTACGTGTCAATTTGACTGGGTCATAGGAATGCCCAGATATTTGCTTAAACTTTTTTCTGGGTATGTCTTTGAGGGTGTTTCTGGATGAGATTAACATTTGAGAGCACTGAATCCTAACCACTAGACCACGAGGGAGACGAGGGAGAGATTAATATTTGAGTCAGTAGTTTGAGTAAAGAATTCACTGAAGTAATTGCGTTCACTGAAGGCCTGAATAGAACAAAAAGGCTCAATAAGATAATTCTCTCCCTCTGCCTTTCTTCAAGATGGGATATTGGTCTTCTCCTGCCTTCAGTCTCAGACTCAAACTCAGGCTGGACCTTATACCACTGATTTTTCAGATTCTCAGGCCCTTGGACTTGGACTAGAAGTATACCATTGGCTCTCCTGGGTCTCCAGCTTGCCCCCTGCAGATCTTGGGGGACTTTTAGCCTCCATGATCATGTAAACCAATTCCTTATAAATCTATTTTCTCTTTCTCTATATATATGTTCAATTGGTTCTGTTTCTCTGGAGTACCCTGACAAAATCCAACATGAATTTTTGCCAATCCCATGTGTGAAATGTTATCTCAGAGTGTTTTAATTTGCATTTCTCTTATGAGAGAGGTTGAACATCTTTTCATATGGTTAAGAGCCATTTGCATTTATTTTTCTGATGGATTGTCCTTATCTCTAGCCTATTTTTCTACAAGTTTTTTCTTTTGTCTATTTTTAGAAATTCTTTACATATTTGTAATGTTAAATAAAAGATGCACATTTTTTTCTGGTTGTCTTTTTACTTTGCTTGTGGCACTCTTTTTGGTCATAAAAAATTTGATGTAATAAAATTTATCTTTTTCCTTATGATTTCTAGATTTTGAATCATAATTAGGACATATTTTCCAACTATTGAGCTATAAAGACTAATTTGTATTAGTTCATTTAAAAATATTTAAATCTCTGACCCATTTGGAAAATATCCTGGTGTATGATATAACAAATGAAACTAATGTTATCTTTTCATGTAGCTATCTAGATATCCCAATGTAAATTAGAAATGCCATCTTTTTGCCACTAATTTGAGATGCTGCCTTTTTCATACTCTAAATTTCCATTTGCAATTGAACCAACTTCTGTATTTCTATTCTGTTCCATTGTTTATTTTATTATACATGTGTGTAGAAAAACACAAACTCAAAGTGCTTTTTCTTGTCTCTCACTCAACAACAATCAACACAGAGACCGCTATAACCAGCTGTGTGTAGGGTATTTCCTTGCTGGCCAAGCAAGCAATCGATTCTGCAGCAAATATCAGCTGGATGTCCTCTAATTCAGTTCAATTTTGACATTATGTACCTGGAGATAGTATCAGATCCCACAGGTTGAGGGTTCAGTCTCCAAAATTGGCCCCCACCTTCAGATGCCAAAAACAACAAGATCCATGTTGTTTTTACCTGTGCTTCTTATTGACTGGCTACAAATTTGGTCCCATACCACAACTCCCTCCTTGAGTTCAATTAATGTGCTAGAGCAGCTCACAGAACTCAGGGAAAAACTTAATATCTACCAGTGTATTATAAAGGATACCAGTGTCATGAAGGATACAGATGAAGAGATGCATAGGGCAAGGCATGTGAGAAGGGGCGCGGAGCTTCCATGCTCTCCCTGGGTGCACCACCCTCCAGGAACCTCCACGTGTTCACCTATGGAAGCTCTCTAAAACCATCCTTTTCAGTTTTTATGGAGGCTTCATTACAGAGGCATGATTGATTAAACCATTGGCCATTGGTGATCAACTTAACCTTCAGCCCCTCTCCCCTCCCAGGAGGTCGTGGGGTGGGGCAGCAAGTCCCAACTCTCTAATCGTGCCTTGGTCTTTCTGGTCATCACCCCTTGTTCTGAAGCAACTTAGGGGCTGCCAGCCACCAGTCAATCATTATTAGCATACAAAAAGACATCACTTGGGAGATTTCAAGGATTTTAGGAGTTGTGTGCCTGGAAACGGGTCAAAAACCAAATACATATCTCACATTATCACATATGTTAACATCATGCTGTTTTAATTAAATATATTTTAACATTTGCTAGGGCCAATAACCCTCATTGTGTCTTCTGTTTAAGTGTTTTCTTAGCTCAAGAAGCTTTTCTTCTTCACAATGAAACTTACTATCAATTTATGTAGCTCCAGAAGAAAGCCTGCTGGTATTTTAGGAGTATTACATTAAATTTATAAATTACCTTGGGAAAAATTGCCATCTTTATTATATTCTTCTTACCCAAGGACATGATCTGTTTTACCTTTCTTTTTTTTTTAAGGTCCACTTGGAGTCTTTCAGGAATATTGTTTTTCTCATGTAGATTTTGGATATTTATTAAGTTTATGCCTAGGTATTTTATTTTCTTTGTGGTATCATAGATGGAATAGTCTCTCCATTAACTTTTTAAACTGGTTTGGTTTGTGTATATGAATGCTATAGATTTTTATATGTTGATTTTATAATTTGCTGTTTTACAAAATTTTCTTCTCATCTGTAGCACCTTTTCCATTTGGGTTTTGGAAATCTGTGATATTGTCTGCAAATAGAAATAATTTATAGTTTTTGCAGTGAAATCCATAAATGACATTAGTATATGGTTTTTTGGTTTAATCTCAGTGAGGTTTTGAGATTAATGTTATACCTGGTTCACAAATTGAAGTTGGAATTTGTCATTTTATATTATATTGGATTGCCTAACTTTAAACAATGGATTATCTAATTTAAAAATATTTGATAGAATTCCCAAGTGAAATCATTTGGACCTGATGGTTTTTATGGTGTTTTTATGTAATCTTTTTACTTTAAATTTTCCAAACACTGGTTTATTAGAATTGTCTGTATAGGGATCAATCCTGATAACTTTTTCTAGAAATATGTCATTTCATCTAGGTTTTCAAAGTTATTTTCATAGAATTAGGGCAAAGTAACTTCTCATGATTTTTAAATTTTCCTTTTGTAACTGAGTACCCTATTTTTAAAGTTTTTTTTGTGTGTGTTCACTTTATCACTAGGCACCCCCTCACATTGCTAGTGCATCTAATTCTATGTTTTTTTACGCAAAAGTGCTTTTTCTTGTCTCTCACTCAACATCTCACTTTTACACAAAAGTTCCAGAGACTAAATCTTGAAACAATTCAGGCACCTGTGGAAATCTCCCTGACCAGGAGATTGCTTCAAGGATACAGTTAATTTACAACCCAACCAAGCCTGAGATAATGCCACCCCATTCACCAGAGGGGTCAATAACTCAAGACGAGTCATCGGAACAAGTCACGTAGACCTGCACTGCGTCGCCCCCTGTGTGTCCTCCATGCCAAGGCTTCCCCTTCTTTAGCCCTTGCATTTTGCTTGGAAATTTGAAATGGTTCCATTAAGGCAAGAGCCTGGACTGTTTTCCCCACTGCTAGCTTTGGTTTATAATAAAGTCACTCTCCTTCTACCATATCTCAATCTTGCTAATTGGTTTTGCAACCGGCTGAACCTGCATTCGGTAACACACTGTTTTATATTTATTTTTGTACATTTGTGCTTTCTTTTTTTACTTAATTAAGTTAGCAAATTGCTATATGTTGTTGATTTTTTTAAGAAGTTGACTTGGATTAAAAAACTTATTTGTACTGCCTTTCTGTTTTCTAACTCATTAACATTTAAAAATGTTTATTAATTTATCTCTTAAATTTCTTCCCTGTGTTTTCTTTTTATTATTTTTTATCTTTTTGAGTTAGGTATTTTTATTTTTTTAAATTATAATTTTTATTGCAATTCTCTTCTTCTAGCTATTTTATTTAATGCTATACATTTTCTACCAATAACTGCATTAGCTATATCTCATAAATTCTGATATGTTTTCACCATAATAGTTATTAAGACATTTTGAAATTTCATTTTATACTTCCTCTTTGAATGAAGAGTTCTTTTATAAAATATAAAAATTTCCAGAAAGAAGGGCTTTTTTGCTTTTCCTAGTATTACTTTCTAGTTTTATTGCATTATGGATAAAGAATTTGCTTTATATTTGCTATGTCCTTTGAAATGTACTGGTCAATGTTCATGAATGCTCTATGTTGGCATTTAAAAAGGTGTAGGCTGGATGTGAGATGGCTCATGCCTATAGTGTCAGCACTTTGGGAGGCTAAGGCAGGAGGGTTACTTGAGGCCTGGAGTTGAGACCAGCATAGGCAACATAGTGAGACTGTGTCTGAAAAAAAATAAAAAATTAGCCAGGTGTCTTTGTATGCATTTATAGTCCCAGATACTTGGGAGGCTGAGGTGGGAGGATCACCTGAGCACAGAAGGTTGAGGCTGTAGTAACCCATGATGGCACCATTGCACTCCAGCCTGGGTGACAGAGTGAAACACTGTTCTTAAAAAATAAATAAATAAAAAGAAAAAGAAGGTGTATTCTCTAGCGTCAGGGTCGAGTTGGATGTATATCTAAGTTTTGCTGCTTAATCTTGGATTGAGCGAAATGTGTTAAGTTCTTCTGTTCTTAGTACACATATGTCTAGTTCTTCTTGCATGTCCTCTAAATTTTACATAAGTTGATGCTGTGTCTTGGGTGCATAAATATTAATAACTAATATTTCTTCATTGCAAATTGTATTCTTTAGCACTTGTGTCCTTCTTTGTCTCTTCTAATGATTTTGGTCTGAATTTTATCTTGTCCTTTATTTAGATTCTGACCTCTTTTTTTAAAAAATTTGCATTTGCTGGATATATATTTGTCTAAATGGTTATTTTAACATTTATAAATCTGTTATTCCTTCTGTACGATATGGTAATGAATTTTGCTTGGCTAGCTGAAAATCATTTTGTTTTAAGTTAAGACCATTTGAGTACACTGACATTATTGATAGGTTGACCTCAAAAATTTTGTCATCTTGTTTTATATTGGAAGTATATCTTATAGAAATAATATTTGCCTTTATGGCTTATTTTATTTCATCCTTTTTTTTTTTATCAGGGAGGGTATATCTTTTGAATGTAGGCAAATTTATATTTTGGTTCTGATTGTTACCTTTATACCAATTCTAAAACTTTTACTCCTAATCTCCTGTTTTTCATGCTCTTGTCTACTGATCCCCCTTTCCCCATGAGTGATATTGAAGTTTACCTAGTAACTTCTTCTTTCTCCATGTCTTCTCCAAATCTAATTTGCAATAATATCCTTATACTCCCCGTTAAAACCTACAAGGAAGATTTTCTTTTTTAAAATTGATATATGTAATTATATATATTTTGGGGATATATGTGATACTTTGATACATGTATGCAATGTGTAATGATCAAATCAGGACAATTAGGGTATTCATCACCTCAAACATTTGTCTTTTCTTTTTGTGTTGAGGACATTGCAATTCTTTTCTTCTGGCTATTTTCAAATATATGATAAATTGTTATTAACTATAATTTCTCTGCTGTACTCTCCAAGGCAGTTTTCAAGCTTATTGAACTTCTTATGTACTTTCTCCATTCTTATCCCATTTTTGATAATTGTGCTCTATTTATATTGTCAGGACATAAAGCCGTTCGTACTATTCTTTCTTGCTAAGAACCATCATTTAGTCTTAATTCTACAGGAAACCATGTCTTTCATGCTTATCAGCAGTCTTTGTGCTGATACTTCTCCAGTCATTTTGGTCTTTTGAAGTACATTCTCTAGTGGATTCCTCAGGAAGGATTCATAAGAACAACATTGCCTGAGTTTTTTGCATTTTCATAATAGTGTGTCTGCCTTTATATTTGAAGATCAGTTTGTTTGCTATAAAATCCTTGCTTCATAGTTTATTTCCTTGAGTATTTTAAAGATGTTGCTTCATGGTCCTCTAGCAAAAAGGGTTGTGTCCAAAATCTAATGGCAATCTAATTTTCTTTCTCTTATAAATGACTTGGTCTTTTTGCCAATGTCTTTTAAGATTTTTTTTTCTTTTACTTTGAAGTCAGTAGTTTCACTAGAATATTGGCTGTTTTAGGTTGATTTTCCCAGATATAAAATATACCTTTCACTATAAAGTTTCAAGTCTGTTTTATTTCAGGAAAGTTTTCTTACTTTAAATATGTTTGTATTTGTTTTATTCTATTGGTTTGATTTTCATCTTCAGGATTTTTATTCCACACATATTGGGTCTTCTTCATTTGTCTTTGATTTTAACACTTTTCTTCTTACAGGTGGTGTTCATTCATATTTGGGTTCTATGGTCGTCTGAAATATGGCTAGAAAGAGGCATGAGGAAACATTTTAAGGTGACAAAATTGTTCTATACCTTGGCTGCTAGTAGCTACAAACTTGTATATAACTACCAAAAGTGATCAAACTACACAATTATAATGGATTTGTTTTATTGTATGCAAATTATACTTTAATAAAACTGAGAAAAATAGACAAAAATTCTTTGACACTCCTCCACCAAGAAGTGGAGTCTATGTTTCCTCCCTTTAAATCTGGATGGGTCTGTGACTGCTTCGACTAATAGACTACAGTGCAAATGATGCTATGAGACTTCCAAGGCTAGGTCATGAGGGACTAAATTGGTCTGCCTTGGTATTTGGAACACTTACTCTTAGAAACTTGGGTCACCATGTATAAAGCCCAACTACCTCAAGAACATCATGCTGGAGGGGTCACCTGTCGGCACTCCAATGGCCAGTCCTAGCTGAACCTCTGCTCCAGCCATCCTAGCCCAAGTGCCAGATAGGTAATTAAAGAAGCCATCTTGGAAGTAGATCTAAATCTAATCCCAGCTGTCTTAGCCCCTGGCCATTCAAGTTGTCCCAATTAAGCCTAGAATCCATGAGCATGATACAATTGTTGTTGGTCCATTCCACTAAATTCTGTGGTAATAAATTATGTAGCAGTAGAAAATTAGAACATGTCCCTTCCATTTTAGTCTTCATTTGTGAAACTGTTTTTTATTTCTTTTTCTTTCCTGAGTTGTCATTTCTCTTTTCAAATCTTCCTTTTCTCAAATTACTTCCTTTCTAAATTTTTCTAATCTGATTACACTATTATTTCATACACTTATCATTTTTCTTTATTTTAGTTCATTTAATATATTAGGTTACAAGTTTTACCTGTTTTATAAGCACGTCTTTCTAACATGACTTCATTATCTGTCATGACATTCTATCCCTTATTTTCCTTTCTCTTATAGTGACTTTATATGGAACTTGCTCACGATCATTTTCTGTTGCTCATCTCTTTCATTTTTAGGTATTTTGTTTCTGTTTCATTTTTAAAATTTGTATATGTTTAGGGTATACAAGTGCAGATTTCTTACCTGCATCTTTTGTACAGTGGTGAAGTCTGGGCTTTTAGTGTGCCCATCACCCAAATAGTGAACACTGTATCCAATAGGTAACTTTTCAACACTCACACCCCTCCCACCCTCCCACCTTTTGTAGTCTCCAGTGTCTGTTACTTTACTCTGTATGCCCATGTGTATCCATTGTTTAGCTTTCACTTTATAAGTGAGAACATGTGGTATTTGACTTTCTGTTTCTGAGTTATTTCTTTAATTAATTCACTTATTTATTTTAAGTTCCAGGGTACATGTGCAGGATGTGCAGGTTTGTTACATAGGTAACCGTATGCCATGGCGATTTGCTGCACCTGTCAACCCATCACCTAGATATTAAGCCCTGCATCTGAGTTATTTCACTTAGGATAATGGCCTCCAGTTCCACTCATGTTGCTACAAAAGACATAATTTTATTCTTTTTTATGGCTGAGTAGTATGCCATGGAATGAATACACACATACACACACACACACAGACACACACACACACAAACCACATTTTCTTTATCCAGTCTTCTGTTGATTGACACTTAGGTTGATTATCTTTGCTATTGTGAATAGTGCTGCAATAAACATGAGTGCAGGTATCTTTTTTCATATAATGATTTATTTTCCTTTGAGTAGATACCCAGTAGTGGGATTGCCAGAGCAAATGGTAGATTTATTTTAGTTCTTTCAGAAATCTGCATAGTTTTCCATTAAGGTTTTTACTAATTTACATTCCCACCAACAGTGTATAAGTGTTCCCTTTCTCTGCATCCTCACCAACATCTGTTGTATTTTAACTTTTTAATAATAGCCATTCTGACTGGTATAAGATGGTATCTCATTGCGGTTTTGATTTTTACCTCTATGATGATTAGTGATGTTCAGCATTTTTTCATATGTTTCCTGGCTGCTTGGATGTCTTCTTTTGAAAAATGTTCCTGCCCTTTGCCCACTTTTTAATGGGGTTGTTTTTTCTTGTTGAATTGTTTGAGTTTGTTGTAGATTCTGGATTAGCCCTTTGCTGCATGCATAGTTTGCAAATATTTTTTCCCATTCTGTAGGTTGTCTTGTTTACTGTATTGATTGTTTCTTTTGCAGTGCAAAAGCTTTTTAGTTTGATTAAGTCCCATTTGTCTATTTCTGTTATTGTTGCATTTGCTTTTGAGGGCTTGGTCCTAAATTCTTTGCCTAGCCCAATGTCCACAAGGGTTTTTTCTGGGTTTTCTTCTAGGATTCCTATAGTTTCTGGTCTTACATTTAGGCCTTTAGTACATCTTGAGCTAATTATTGTATATGGTGAGAGGTATGGGTCTAGTGTCATTCTTCTGCATATGGGATATCTACTTTTCCCAGCACCATTTCTTGAACAGGGTGTCATTTCCCCAGTATACATTGACTTGTTGAGGATCAGTTGGTTGTAGGTATGTGGCTTTATTTCTAGGTTATATTCTGTTCCATTGATCCATGTCTCTATTTTTATACCAGTACCATGCTGTTTTAGTCACAACAGACTTGTAGTAAAACTTGAAGTGAGGTAATGTGATACTTCCAGCTTTGTTCTTTTTTCTTAAAACTGCTTCAGCCATTCAGGCTCCTTTTTGGTTCCATGTGAATTCGAGGACTATCTTTTCTAATTCCGTAAAAATTGACATTGGTAATTTGATAGGGATTATGTTGAATCTGTAGATTGCTTTAAGTAGTATGATTATTTTAACAATATCGATTCTTCTAATTCACTACCGTGGGATGTATTTCCACTTGTTTATATCATCTCTGATTTCTTTCGTAAGTGTTTAATAGTTCTCTTTATAGAGATCTTTCACTTTTTTTGTTAAATATGTTCCTAGGTACTTACTTTATTTGTAGTTATTGTAAATGGGATTGCCTTCTTTTTTCAGTCATCAGCTAGATAGTTATTGGTGTATACAAATGCTATTGATTTCCATATGTTAATTTTGCATTCTTAAACTCCTGAATTAATTAATCAAATGTAAGAATTTTTGGTGGCGTCTTTAGGGTGTTCCAGATATAAGATCATATCATAAGCAAATAGGAATAATTTTACTTCCTGTTTTCAAATTTGGATACCTTTTATTTCTCTTGCTTGATTGCTCTGGTGAGGACTTCTAGTATTATGTTGAATAAGAGCAGTGAAAGTGGGCATCCTTGTCTATTTCCAGGTGTTAGAAGGAATGCTTTTAACTTTTCCCTGTTAAGTATGATATTAGCTGTGGGTTTGTCATGTATGGCCTTATGTTTAAGCATACTTATTCCTAAGCATATTATTCCTTCTAAGGAATAGAACATATTCCTTCTATGCCTAGTTTGTTGAGGACTTTTAGCATGATGGGATGCTGAAGTTTATCAAAGACTTTTCTGTGTCTATTGAGATGATCACATGGTTTTGTCCTTAATTCTGTTTATGTGAGGTATCACATTTATTGATTTGCATATGTTGAAACATCCTTGCATCCCTGGGATGAATCTCACCTGATCATGGTGTATTATCTTTTTGATGTGCTATTGGATTCAATTTGCTAGTATTTTGTTGAGGATTTTTGTGTCTATGTTCATCAGGGATATCAGTCTGTAATTTTCTTTTTTCGTTGTGTCCTTTTCTGATTTTGGTATCAGGGTGATATTGGCCTTGTAGAATGAATTAGGGAGAATTCCCTCCTCCTCGATTTTATGGAATAGTTTCAGAAGGATTTGTATTAGTTCTTCTTTGTATGTTTGGTAGGAATCAGCTGTGAATCCATCTAATTATGGGCTTTTTTGGGAGGGGGAGTTTTTTTTTTTTATTACTAATCCAATCTCACCACTCATTATTGGTCTGTTAAGTTCTATTTCTTCCTGGTTCAATCTCAGGAGGTTATATGTTTCCAGGAATTTATCCATATCCTCCAGATTTTCTTCTTTGTGAGTGTATAGTTGTTTATAACAGTCTCAGATGATTTTTTTTTTAATTCTGTGGTATCAGTTGTAATGTCTCCTTTTTCATTTCTGTAGTGTTTACTTGGATCTTCTTTGTTCTTGGTTAGTCTAGCTAGTGGTTTATCAATTTTGTTCATCTTTTCAAAGAACCAATTTTTAATTTTGTTTATCCTCCGTATTTTGCTATTTTATTTAGTTCTGCTCTAATCTTTGTTGTTTCATTTCTTCTGCTACCTTTCTTTGTTCTTCTTTTTCTAGTTCCTTAAGATATAATATTAGGTTATTAATTTGTGACCTTTTAGTTCTTCGATGTAGGCATTTAATGCTGTAAACCTCCCTCCTGGCACTGCTTTTGCTGTATCCCATAGGTTTTGGTATGCTGTGTTTTCACTTTCATTTGTTTCTAGATTTTTAAAAAAATTTGTCTCAATTTTCTCATTTTTAATGAGAGAATTTTTTGGTACTTTCAGGAGAAAAAGGTAGGCTGGTATAACCTTCGTAGATTTACTATCCTGGATGTTCACTTTCACAAAGTAATTTTCTTTTTTTTTTTTCTTTTTTTTTGAGATGGAGTCTCACTCTGTCACCCAGGCTGGAGTGCAGTGGTGCCATCTCAGGTCACTGCAACATTCGCCTCCCAGGTTCAAGCAATTTTCCTGTCTCAGCCTCCTGAGTAGCTGGGACTACAGGAGCACACCACCACGCTTGGCTAATTTTTGTATTTTTAATGGAGACGGGGTTTCACTATATTGGTCAGGCTGGCCTCGAACTCCTGACCTCAGGTGATCCACCTGCCTCGGCCTCCCAAAGTGCTGGGATTACAGGTGTGAGCCACTGCACCTGGCCCACAAAGTGATTTTTTTAAAAAATATGGCCAAATATTTTCTAAGCTGAGTCCCCATTGCTCTTGTCTCTCACTTTTATCTCTCTCCTATTTCTCCTCCCCCAACCCCGTGATGCTTCATTTAAATTCTGTTCCCAGTGAGTACGTTTCAGTGCAGTTTATCCTGGAACAAAATTTGATGCGTTAGTTTAAAAAACTCAGAGAGCCCAGAGTGTTCCAACACTTTCCACCTTCCAGAGATCCCTTGGCGCTCACATGCAAATTGGATCCTATGAAACTTCCTCCAACTTTTGGTTGATGTTCTCAGATTGAGCCACCGAGATTTCCAAGGCAATTTGTGGGTTGGCTTTCAGGAATACTAGAGTCCTTTTCTCCCCCTTCTCTCCCAAACAATTTCCAAAATCACATGGTTCTTGCAGTTGTCAGTAGCTTATACCCATCTACTAATATTTTGGAGTTGTTACCACACCTTGTCACCTACTTATGTTGTAGATCAGTGGTTCTCAGACTTTATAATCAGCATCACAAGAATTGCCCACATGAAAGCTTGCACACAAATGTTTAGAGAGGCATTATTCATAATTGCAAAAAGTGGCAACAACCCAAATGTCCAAGAATGGATGAACGGATAAACAAAATGTAGCATATACATACAATGGGATATTATGCAGCCTTAAAAAGGAATGAAATTCTGACCCATGCTATAATATGGATGAACCTTGAAAACATTATGCTAAGTGTAATGAGCTAAACACAAAAGAACGACTATTATATGACCCATTTATATGAAAAGTCCAGAATAGACAAATCTATAGAGATAGAAAGTAGATTAGTGATTACCTAGGGCTGCGGGTGTGGTTGTGGGGGGTAGAATGGGGAGTCATTGCTGTTGGGCATGGGGTTTCTTTATAGGGGTGATGAAAATGACCTAAATTGATTGTGGTGATGGTTGCACAACTCTGTGGATATACTAAATACCATTCCATTGTATAGTATGTGAATTACACACTTCAATAGAGCTGATTTTTTAAAAGCAGCTATATTGTCACAACTGCCATCTTCCCAGAATCTCCTTATTCTAAAAAATATTAATTATTCACAAATGTTGGTACTTCCATTCATTGTAACAAGTCTTGTATAAAATGCCTTGCAAACAATCACACATGGCAGTCTATCAAGGGCACCGTGATTGAAAGCTGGTGGCTAAGTGCACCCTGAGGAAGGCTTTGTGGCTCCCGACTGTTGCTCCCAGTACATGCTGTGGTGACATAGAGTAAGATTTGCCATGATAAAGCCATGCTCTTGGCCTCAGGACAAAGCCTCTCAGCCCTGGGAATCTCGGCCCCTCCCTGGCCCTCAGTGCAGCCCACACCCAGTTGCCTCTGCCATGAAAGGAAGCGGACACCTTCCTCCCTGGCTATTCTTTTCCCACTGGCAGACTCCCTCCCAGCCCTGGTTCCAAGGGCTGTCAGGGTCACCCTCCCTCTCCTCAAATCCCCCACCCCCTGCCCCATCAGGACTCATTCTGCTTTCCATCTTTTCAGACAATAAAGACACTAGAGGAATTTATTTATACCTCCAGCCAGCTAATAAGACAATTCAATGAAAAGCAGCCCCTGCTTGCTGGAGCATCCTCGGGCCTTTGATTGCCTCTTCTGTGTCCCAATTCCCAGCATTTATTCTACATATAAATTTTCCACGGTGAATAGACACCATTCTTCTCGGAATACCATTTGTTCCCTTGGTTATTTTATTTCCATCTCGTTTTGCTTTTTATTATTACTGTTAAACTGTAATTAATTCTTCTCCTATCAGCTTCTCTTTAGTGAACTAAGCCTAATGCAGCATGAAGTGTCTTCACTCACCCCCAACTATACACCTATTCTTGAAAATAACGAAGCCTCTGACATTTCAAAGGCCCACAAGCTGCTAAATCTTTCCTTCTATGGAATGGGAGTGGGGAGGGATGGAGGGAGGGAGGGAGGAAAGTCTGGGCAGGCAAAGTGATTTCATAACCAGGTGACTGTGGGTTTCAATTTAGCTGAGATAGTTCTGATTTCATTTAGCAGACAGACACTTGAAAGGTTAAGAAAGTCATGAAGGAAGTGTGGGAGAAAAGCTCAAATGCACTTTAAAATGTGGCCCCTGTCCTGCTGCTCAAATTTGGAACCACTGTCTTTCTTCCCATCTAAAAGGATATTTGCTGCATTACATTCCCTCTAAGTTTTCACAGCATCCCCTCAAGGTCAGCCTCTTTGAAAGGTATACCAGCACCATGGACAATTCTGTGATGGCATCTGTAGTGGGTTGAATGGGGGTCCCTAGATATGTCCACATCCTGATCCCTGGAACCTGCGAACGTTACCCTCTTTAGAAAAAGGGTCTTTGCAGATATGATTAAGTTTAGCATCTTGAGATGAGAAGGTTCTGCATTACCCAGGTGAGAACTAAGTCCAATGACAAGTATCCTTATAACAGACATAGAAGAGAGTGACAGAAGAGTAGCAGGTGATGAGAAGACAGAGATTGGAGTGATGGGGCTACAAGCCAAGGAACACCAAAGATTGCTCAGAAACCACCAGAAGCTACAAGAGGCCAGGAATGGACTCTCTCCTGGAGCCTCCAGAGGGAGCGTGGCCCTGACGACACCTTGATTTCAGATTTCAGGCCTCCAGAACTATGAGAGAGTACATTTTTTTAAGCCACCAAGTTTGTGATCGTTTGTTATAAGCAGCCACAGGAAGCTAATACTGCATCCTTAGTTTGCCAGCTCATCATGAGCAGAAAACACAAAAGAGAAAAGACTGGATAATACCAAGTCACAAAACTTTAACATGCCAAGCTGTTGCCTTCAGATGGTAGAAGTCTGGGTTGTCAGATCAGATGAGGCTGCCCACATAACTCAAGCCGAAAGCACGCATTGGATGCAGGAAATGAATTCCTACAACCCAGACCTTGCCAGAACTGGCTGGCCACAGCTTTGCTTTCTGAAATATGGCTTTTCTTAAAGAGGATGTGGCATACAGTTGGCTCAGCTGTGACTTTTATTTTACATTTACAATTCCTTTATCCAAAAGATTTCTAAGCTCAGGTATCTATATTTCTTTTTTCCTCCCAAATTTTCTCTATTTCTTTTTCTTTTAATAGCTAGAAGAACACGTTTATGAGTAGTTATAGAAATGTCCCAGAGTCATGGGTCTGCATGGGATCTGAGACATCATGTGATTTGTCTCAGAAAGTGGCATGCCCCAGCAGGCCAAGTCACTAGAGGGGTTTTCCATTCAAATGTTTTTAATATTTTACTCCTTTGATAATTGATAATTCCTTTGATAATTGATAATTGATAGTTGATAATTCCTTATTGGCTCCCATTTTTCTTTCTCCATTTGTCCCAGAAACTTATGCTCATTCTCCCTGTAAATGTGTCCTTATTTCCTTTTTCTTCTATTGCCAACCTCTGATATAATATACAATATAGTTCCTTGTCATGTCCCTAGGATTTCACATGGGCTAGTATGGACCCAAGCTTTTCACCTCTCAGTAGAAATAATGCCTAATAGTGCACACAGTGGAGCCTCATAAACAATGTGTTGTCTAAAAGGCTGAGTTTCCAGATGTCCTAGCCGTATAGAGTACCACTCTGTTATACTTTGATTTTATCCTGTGGGAAAATATTTGAAAACTTACACTTAAATTGATTCTATCTCTATTATTTTTAAATAACATTCTCTTGTAGCTTACAGGGTACATTTCTATCCTAAATGACATGTTTCTGTTTAACTTGCGTGCTATAGTTCTGTGTGTGTTTACATCTGTTTGTGCGAGCATGCGCAAGTTCATGTGTGTTTGCACGCAAAATCCCTCTGGTAACAGAAAGTTTATTTTCCCTCTTCCCATAACTGAAAGTCCACTGAATGAATTTAACTTAAATTACCTCTCTTGGCCTAAATAAATAAATACAATATCAGCAAGATAAATTATGACCTAAAATGTTATTTCTTATTTTTAAAAAGTGAAAAGGTGAGGGTAATTGAGTTTGCTGTTCGAATCACAGCTCTGACTCTTGGCAACACCCTAAAATATCATGTTCCACCTCAGTTCTGTAACCCAAACACAGCAGCAGTGAGGCCCTGCTTCTGCACTGATGAAAGGTTTTCATTTCTGGCAGGGCATACCGTAAACTGAGGCCCACAGCCACGAAACAAGAGGTGGTGTGGAATTTACAAAGCTCTGAGGGGCAATCTCCATCCATTTGTGGTGATTAATATCTCCTTCCTTGGCTTGAATGCCAACCTTCAATTAGAAACGGAAACAGAACCTTCCCTTTTATAGAGCAGACCCCCAAGACAGCCCCTGGAAGGGGATTTCCCCTGGAAAGGAAGGCCCGGTAAAATCCAAGGAGAAGAGCTGAAATTCCCCTCCATTAGCAGAGGGTGTCTGCATTCCTGGGGTACTTCCTGCATCTTCCAGGCTGCCCTGCTGGGCACCTTATACCATGGCAGGGAGTGATGTCAAAAAGGTTATGTTCTCATGGGAACTTGAGGAAGGAAAAAGGCTTAGTGGATTTCTTTAGTTATTTTGGTGACTGTTTCTATTTTTCAAGAATGTCTAAGAATCTAAGGGAAAATCTCAAGGTTCCCCTTCACCCCCAGTCTCTTCCTTCCATTGAATTTGGGAACTCACCTATTAGGGCCAACCCCATTTGGGGTTCTTCTGCTTCCAGTCAGGGCTGAGACTGATATCACCAATGCCACTGCCAGTCAGGTGGAGAATGGGATTATTGTGAATAGCAGATTTCAAAATTTGATAAAATGTTTATGGTTATGTGAAGAATAATGCAAATTCTGACTCATCATAATGGCCTATCCTTCTCTTCCCAGCTCTTTCCTCCCTTTGGTTGTGTGTACTGGGAGCTCTGGCGGATGAGATTGCTCTTTAAAAAGACCCTTGTGGGTGGGCCTGGTCAGGATACTCCCAGAACTCTCTGGTGAAGGTTGATTTCCACATTCAGGTATGGAGTGGGCATTAACTGCTTGCCCCTCTACTCCACATTCATTCCCCACCACCTTCTCACCCACAGAGTACACATCAGGCACTGGGGTTGCAAGAGTGAGTAAGACAACCCTCCGCCCTCATGGGGATTGTCTCCCGGTTAGGAAGACACACTGACCACATCAATCAATCACTTTAGATGGTTCTAAGTAACATGAAAAAAAAAGTTAATGTAATATAGGATAGATAGAAGATGGGTAACTATTTTTTAGGGTGATTAGGAAAGGTCTGAGAAAGTGATATTTGGGCTGGGATCTCCACGATGACACATATATAACCTCACGGTAATGTACAGCCAGTCTTGAGAGGTCATCAGTCAGGCATAAAGCAAGGGAGTGGTCAGGAGTCTGGGTCTGCTGCCTGGAAGCCAAGGAGAAGAGGAAGACCAAGCAGCATGGTTTTCACCCTTCATCCCTCATACCCCCAGACCCCTCAGCTGTCGTCTGATGCCACTGACACGTTGCAGGTTACCCAACACCATGCTCTAGAATGAGGTCTGAGCTGGGCATCAGGGCCCTCAACCCTGACATCCAGGGGGTTCCATCAGCTGTGTATGCTTCTCTGGGCCCCATCCCCTGCAACCCTCACAGAAAGAGCCGCACTGCTGACCGTGCAGGGCCGTGGCTCTAAGCCACGCTTCCCTACCCTCTTATTACAGTCCAGCAAGGAAGGAAGGCAAGACCTGGCCAAATGACAGTCATAATGCAGTGTGATGAGCTCGGGGACAGATGAAATAAGGGCCCAGCAGAAACCCAAGCCCAGAAGGGAGGGGTGGCAAGGCTGTGCAGGAGGCTGCCAGGGGAGCTGGCTCAGTCTTGCTCGCTGCCAGCCTACCTCAGACTTGACCCTTTGTAGCACTTTACAGCAATCATCTTGGCTCTACTTGACAATTACTGTGGTTCAGCAATAGGTTAGGCCACCGTGTGTGAGTACACCTGCAAATTTGGCCTGTTCTGGGTGCCTCCACCCTCCTGGAGCTGCACTCTCTGCAGTAATCTTGCTGGGTGTTTCCTAAGCACAATGGAGACAGCTGGGTAGGCCTCCCTGTGTCTAGAACAAACCCAGGCCTCTCAGCCAAGTCCAGTCACCCCCTGGGCTCCTGTTCCTCTTCCCTACCCACTGTCCTGCCAGCTTTCACACCAGCAGTAAACCTAGCCCACAGCATTGGAGCTCAGCGGACCCTGAGAAAACATTCCCAAAGTAGCCATTCCATGGCTAGGCTGAAGGACCTGGGATGGCTTAGTCCTGTAGGCTACAGGAACACAAATTGTCCACTTGAATATTTGTGCTGACCACGGGGCCTGATCACAAAGATAAACTTCATGGCCAGGGTGGACAGACCCCTCTCAAGAGCAGCCATCTCAGGAAGTTTGAAGCTGCAGACAGGGACTGTTAGCATTTGTCCATACTGGGAACCAAGGTCTCCAGAGCAAGCAACAATGAAATCCCTAAATCCAAAGGGCTCATGGGCTTGTTTTAAGGATCAGTGAAGAAGGACGAAGCAAAGCATTCTGTACTTCACTCCAGAGCTAGGCCAGAGTGGGTGGTGGGAGGAGTGGAGGAGGCAAGGCAGAAGTCCTGGAACCTGTGGAAGAGGAAGGATGCTGGGGCCAAGCATAGAAAGCCAGGGTAGGGGAAGTGGGTCCTGACACCTGCTCTTACTTGCCTCACTTTAGTCCTAGCCACTGACTAAGTGGTGACATCTATCTGCACAATGGTTCAAGGCATTTTTTTTTTTTGAGACGGAGTCTCGCTCTGTTGCCCAGGCTGGAGTGCAGTGGCGTAATCTCAGCTCACTGCAAGCTCCGCCTCCTGGGTTCACGCCATTCTCCTTCCTCAGCCTCCCAAGTAGCTGGGACTACAGGCGCCCGCCACCGCGCCCGGCTAGTTTTTGCATTTTTAGTAGAGACGGGGTTTCACCTTGTTAGCCAGGATGGTCTCGGTCTCCTGACCTCGTGATCCGCCCACCTCAGCCTCCCAAAGTGCTGGGATTACAGGCGTGAGCCACCGCGCCCGGCGGTTCAAGGCATTTAAGGAGCACCATTTAACCATTGCCTATCAGTGGGCATGTCAGTGGCACCCTAACTGAGTGTTGCTGTTTCCAAACAATGTGGCATGAATGCATCTAAAGGGCAGGTTATCAATGGAAAAGCAGACCACCACCTGGGATTCACTGGTATAAAATAAATGTCTCATGCAAATCAAAATGATATGCATTTCCAAACGTATGTAAATGCATAAAAAAGGTCTTGAAAGGCCACAGCATGGACTGATGACAGGGGTCCTCTCTTGGGGAGGACTAGGGTTGTAATAAGTATGGAGAAGCATTGGAGGAAAGTGTGGTTTGTCTGTGTGGTTTCAATTTTTTTTTTCAGCAAGTATGTTTTCAGGTACGTCTTAGGTACATTTTAAAAACTTCCATACATCTCCCTGTTCTTCATGTTGCTGGAGGTGCAGCCCAGGATGGCTGAGTGGGGTGGATGGCTCTGTTGGTTAGGACATTTCATAACAGGCTCTTTGGTTATGAGATAGTCTAAATGAAAGAGGCTTGAAACCAAAGAGGGCTAGCTTACTCTGAAAAGGACACCAGTTTTGTGCTGGCAACCAGGCAGAGAGAGTCTCCAAGACCCTGGAATGGGGAAAGAGTCTAGACAAGAGGGAGAACACGCCCAAAGAATGGCAGACGCTGGGGCCCCAAGGGAAACGACGGCCACTGAGACTTTCCTATGTTGTGTGGCTCAAGCCTATAATATCCAGGATGGCAGAAATTCTACAGTGGGTTGTTTCCTGCTCAGAATTGCCCTATAGTCCCCTTAGTAATCCCTAAACTCTTAGAAAAAGTCTGCTGCATGGAAAACCTTATTTGAGTGGAGCTTTAGGAAACAAAGGAGAATGTGAAATGATTAAGGGCAGGTGACAAAACTCAAAGGGAGCAGAAATTCGAGGTGATGTAACCAAGGCATTGTGAAACCCCTGGGGGTCCCTCGGAAATCCTGGGATGGGCAGTAGCTTTTCCGTGGTACATGGGATGGAGGCTTCAGCATGTATAATCGGCCAGTTGAAGAGAGGGACTCCAAAAGACTGAAGATCCTGAGGCTATGTGAGTTAATGTAAGTAAAAACATGCCAATTGATTTAAAAAAAATCAGAAACCTATAAAGAAGTAAAAAGTGCTAGCATAGCGTTTCCATCCATTTGGTGTAATACATTCACTCATTAAATACTAAACTCACGCACTGCCCCCTCCAACTTTCCCCTCTGCAATTGCATCTTATGGTCTAGCTTTTAAAGTAATGCAGTACATGGAGTCAGAAGCCCGGAGATCCATAAACCATCCAGACATCTAATAGTGCTTTAAAAGAGGCCCTGCACACTGGAGGGTAAGTGGCCAGTAATGGCTGAGCTGGGTACAGACAGGGTGGGGAGAGGGCTTGGGGCTTAAGGGAAAAGTGAAGTAGTGAGCATAAGGAGAATTTTTACAGTGGCTATAAAAAGAAGTCCCATGCTCGCACATTTAGATTCTGAGTTGGCCAAATAAACCCAGGCCTCTTGCAGTTCACACTGTCAGCCTTGGCACTGGTTCTGGTGGCTACTGTCTTAGAGACCCAGTAAAAATGCTTTGAGAGAGAGAAAGACATCACCATCTCATTGAGGAGCCAGTGCAAGGATAGCTCCCAGAAGGGCCTCCCTGTTACCAGGAGTTACAGGCAGCAGGCAGTCCTCCTGTCAATAGGCTCCTGGCAGGTGATGATTACTATTCTGCACCAGCCTCTGGTTCCTTGGAACATAACAATGATGTAGGCTTCTGAGCGAGGGCCATGCTTTGCAGTCTTGGAAGGGAATGTCTGTGTTTGCAAAATGCTATGACTTAGGGTTGCTAACCCTGTAGCCCATTCCCATAGGAACTCCAGATGGAAATGCTCACCCATCAGCACTCCCTAAACTACCTGCTCCCAACCAGTTGCTGGTGACAAATGGAAATGTCCTGCCCCAGCACTGCTCTGGAGAAGTCAAGACACACTTACCAGCTTCACTGCAACTCTCAGTTTAGATGCACCAGGGAAGGAAGGCCACTCCCTGGCTGATAAATGTTTCACTAGCTCTCTAGGGAATAAAAGCCCTGGTTTGCAGCATTTCCTGATTCCCAGGAGTAAATACTCCCACAGGCTACCAAGCCATGTCGCTGGGCATGGAGTTGGGAAGTAGGGTTCACCATGCGGTAATCAATGGAAATAACCTCAAGAACACAGCTAATAGTAAAATGTAGTCAGAGAATTAGGATGTGATGTATCTGTGTATTTATTACCTGTGTCTTCAATAAGATTTTAAGTGTATATAATTTAATTTTTAATCATTGTTCTATTTAATAACTGGCTTCCATTCCTGAAAATTTGGCAACTGACACTCATGAGCTAGTACATGAGCTGGCTCCAGCAACCACTGGCTGGGCCCTGGGGCCTTCTTGCTTTGGGTTCTGGATCTAATTTCTTTTTGTAAATTTTCTTCGTGCTTCTTCCTCTCTTCTCTCTTCCTTCTCTCTGGGTTTTTTGCCCCACCTCCCCACTTTGCCCAATTTATTGAGCACTTAAGACCCATACTGAGTACCTTATGTGTAATTGGAGGGGCCCTTGTTGGGGAGACTTCCAGTGCATGCCCGTACCCAGTTGTGCTCTTCTTTTGGCATGAAAAGGACAACGCTTCTTTCTCTGTCTTCCAGCAGTTAGGCAGAGCCATATGACCAGCTCTGGTCATTGGGTTGTGAATGGAAGTAGCATGAGTCCATACTAGACTGAAGCATTTCATTGATAGTGTGAGACTTCTCAATGCTCTCCTTTCCTATTGCAACAATTTGGAGAAGGCCTTGTGTATAGATGGCATGGGCAAAAGATTGAGGAGCTCAAGTCACTGGGTTACCACATGTGGAGGATGGTTGCCTTCAAGAGTCAGCTGGATCCGTGGTGGGTTTTGCATGAGTAAGAAATAAGTATTTACATGTCAAGCCACAGAATTTTGTTGTTGTTTGTTAATACAGCATAATCTACTCTATCCGAAGTAATAACTTGCCTTGCCGTGAATGGCCAAACATATGCTGTTATTATCAGGAAATTCTGTATTCCTCCCGTAAGCATCCTCTCCCCCATCAAAAGCTTTATTTGCCTAGGAATCACCATGTGCTACAAGTCTTTTTGGTTAGTTTTGCTTAGGGAGTTGGACATTCCAGTCAGCTTGAATACTATAGTAGTTAGGCTATAGACAAACAAACCAAAATACATGGTGATTATAAAATGAAAATTTCAGACACTTATTTCTCTTAAACATAAAAGTTTAGATGTTAACAATAGTTGGCAAGGTACATCCCTCCATGTGTGGCTTCCACCTCTGGGTCCAAGGCGTAGGACCCATTTGTTACTCTTTCCTAACCAGAAACGAAAAGAAAAGGGGCTGGGAAAAGGGACCCAATTCTTTTTAGCTAAGACCCCAAAGTGGAACACATCCTACAACTTCTGCTCACATCTCGTTGGACAAAAACATAGTCACAAGAACATATCTACCTATGAGAAAGGCTGGGAGATGTAGTCTCCAGCTGGACTAATGTGCCCTGCTAACAGCTGGTGGTGCATTTCTGTTACAGAAAGTAAGAAAGAGGGAAGGGATACAGGGAGAAAAGACTTGGTCTCTGCCATGATCTATTGTGTTGTCCTGGCATGGGAGGGGCTCTAGCTGCCTGGTGTGGAGAAGCTGCCCGGTGTGGAGAAGCTGCCTGGTGCAGAGGAGCTCTTCCCAAGCAGAGTAACTCATCCTCTCTGATTTCTTCCATGGAATGGCTGCCTGAGTGGCAGGCCCTTTGAAGTCATCTTAAGCCATTTTGTACTGCTATAACAGAATATTACAAACTGGGAAATTTATAAACAATAGAAGTTTATTTGTCTCACAGTTTTGGAGGCTGGAAAGGCCAAGATCAAGGGGCTGTGTCTGGTAAGGGTTTTCTTGCTGCATCACCCCATGGCAGAAAGTTGAAGGACAAGAGAGAGCATTTAAGTGAGAGAGCAGAAGAGCAAGGGATCTATAATAAAGGGATTAAGGCCACAAGTTCAAAGGCATTAACCCATTAATGAAGCTGGAGCCCTCATGACCTAAATACTTTCCATTAGGCCCTACCTGTCAACACTGTTGCATTGGGGATTAGGTTTCTAGCACATACTTTTGGGGGACACATTCAAACTGTAACAGGGGTGTAGGTGATTTCACTTCTCTAGTATTATGGCTCCAACCCAAGGACCCCAAAGTCCTAGTGCTGCTTGTTTCTTTCCCCAGCTTTGGTTTGGGTGAGAATCTGCTCCCATGAGGATTCCTGCCATGGAGGGGCACAGGCAGGGGGCAGGAAGCACTTGTCAGACTGTCTGCAGGGTGATGGCCAAGGAGTGGTAGGGTGTGTGAGCTCTGGAGTCAGAGTTTCTTGGGCAAGGTGCTTAATCTTTTCTACCTCAGCTGTAGAAAAGAGTAAGCACCTTCTGTTACTGATGATAATAATGATACCAAGCTCATAGGATTGCTGAGATTATTAAAGGAGATATTGATGTAAATGTGCTTAGCATAGTGCTTTAATAACCATTAGCTATTGCTGCTACTACTACTACTATTACTGCTGCTGCTACTACTGCAGTTATCTGGTTGCTACTAGGGGATAGAGTGACCAGTTCTTTCGCATATAGTTGCTTGTGCAAGGTGGAGCTCTTCACTACAAAGAGTGGTTATAGCAGGCTCCAGGATGCCTTGTGTCCTAAACCTAGAACTATTCTCTCCCATTTCTCCCTTAATACTCTGTACTGAGCAGCCTGCTGTTCTGTTTCTGCTCTCAAGATACCTTTGTTTCAAGATTGTTCACACCCTTCTCTGACACTGGGCTTTCACAGGTACCAGCTCCAGGTCTCAGAGAGGAGTTGGGCTCTCAGTCCATTCTTCCCAGGAGGGTCTCTGGGTGCTTTCTGCAAATTGATTTTCCCACTGTCTAAAGTTCTGGACGCCTAAGGGATTATCTGTCTTTGCCATATTAAATAAAAGTCCTATTATACCTTTCCTTTTTCCCAGAAGTGGGTAGTCTGTCGGCCTGACAATTTATATAACAAGGATAGCATGAGGTGGTCCCTGCCCCAACCCAGACAGAGATGCCGTTGTCAGCTATTCTAAAACCAATAAACCAACCAACAAAATATAACAATGACAAGACAAAATTTTTGTACAAAAGCCTGTTGGACCACCCATTACAAGATTTATCTCATGTGATCCTCACAGCAAACCTCTGAGATTGGTATCATAGAGCCAGGTCTATTTAAATATAAAATATTGCCTTGCTCTGGTCATTAAATTGCTCACACCAACCTATGTAGACAGAACTAACACAAGGGAAGGAAGAAAACTTTACATACCTAACAGCTTATCTGTAAGGTTTTGAGAAACATTCTTATCATAGATAGGACTCTTATAGATGCAAAAGACAAACTCAAAATCAAATGGATTAAACAAAACCTGCAATTTTTTGGCTCAATAACAGTGAAATCCAGGAGTACCTGGTTTCATGTATGTCAGGACCCAGGTGCTCAGGTGATGTCCTCATTGTTCTGCCTTTTCTTCTTTCTGCTCTCCCTACGGTGGCTTCATTTTCAAGCTCACCCTCTCTCCATGGTGGTCCCCGAAACTCCAGTGCCACAGGCTACCAGTTCCAATTCAGAAGAAAGAGGGCTTCTCTTTCCCCATAGCTTCAGAGAAAATCCAAGGGTTGTGACTCCAACAAAGATTCTCTCCTTGAACAAACTCTATGCAGACTCCCCTGAACTCTCTTCTCAACTGAGCTCTGACATTTGGGCGTCCGTGTTTACCTCTGCAGTGTCCAATTTTGGTAAGAATCCTGCTAGGCCAGTTCCCCTAATCTAATCATATCTACAGAGGTTCTTCATACTCTACCATCTTCTCGGTGATGTATGATCACCATGGTTGCCTTCAGCATGAATTCTGTTTGGTCAGTTTAGCCAGGATTCTCTTTACCTCTGATGTTTCTGCTAAGTAGTTTTCTATCCACTGATCTCCACCTTGCTCCTTGGCTATACATTCCCACTCTTCCTTGTATTCAGAGTTGAGCCCAATCTCTCTCCATTGCAAAATCTTATTGCAGTGGTCCTTACACCTATCATAATGGTCCTGACTAAAGTCTGCCTTACCATCTTTAACAAGTGTCAAAAACAATTGCTTTTCAGAACTCATTGGCTCATTGAGCCTTGCTGAATCCATATGGGCCATGTACTTACCCCAGAATCTAGGGGGAATTGGGAGAGAGTGAATAGAAATGGGAAGGATGCCCCTAATAAAAGGAACCAGAAAGTAAATCAAAATCAGCAGATGAATCTGGATGCACCTATACAAAATGAAATGATGACAGGACATATTTTGATTCCCTGCAATATAAAATGAATTTATCTCAGTTCCTTTAATTCAGGGATTCTTGCTTTTGGCTGCATATCGGTCTTTAAAATCCGGAGGCTTAGGCCACATCCCAGACTCAGGAAACCAGAATCTCTGGGAGGAGGGTCTAGGCATCAAAATTTTAAAAAAATGAATTTTAGGTGAGGAGGAGCTTCAAGTTGGCTGACTAGAGGCACGGAACACCCCTTCTTCTCCACAAAGAACCAACAAAATAATGACTAGATAATAACACTTTGAACAGAACAACTGAGAACTCTGGAATTCAGCATCGAAGTGACAGGAAAAAGCTGAGGTGCCTAAGGAAAAGGAAGTGAGGCAGACGGCCTGGCTGGGATCAGCCAGGAGCCTGGAGAAACTCTCCAGTCTGGAAGAAGAGTACATGAGAGATCTCCAGTGGTCCACATTCCTACTGTGGACTCCCGCAGTCCTAGCCATAGGAGAGTCCTTCTACCTGTGGGCCCTGAGACTGGTATAGGGAGCTCCCTGGAGTCCACATGACAACATTGCTGCAGATAGGAAGTACGCACTGGGTCCCACACGCCTGTATTCGTCCGTTTTCACACTACTATAAAAATACTACCCGAGACTGGGTAATTTATAAAGAAAAGAGGTTTAATTGACTCATAGTTCCACATGGGTGGGGAAGCCTCAGGAAACTTACAGTCATGGCGGAAGGAGAAGCAGGCACTTTCTTCACAAGGTGGCAGGAGACAGTGTGTGTATGTGAGTACAGGAAAAACTACCATTTATAAAACTATCAGATCTTATAAGAATTCACTATCATAAGAACAGCATGGGGGTAACCACCCCCATAATCCAATCACTCCTTTCCTTGATACATAGGGATTACAGGTCTCTCCCTCAACACATGGGGATTACAATTCAAGTTGAGCTTTAGATGGGGACACAGAGCCAAACCATATCACCCCCCTAAGACTCAAGCAGCTGCAGAACGGTACCATTTTGAGAGCTCAGCCCCTACCAGACTGTATCCCCTTCCCCAGGGCCCAACAGCCTCTGCCTGTCCATATCCCTGGAGACCCACTGACATCTACCTGCATCCACCCAGAGGGCCGCAGTGGTGTGATGCAGGTGGACCCAGTGGAACAGCAGGGTTCCCAGCACTCTAGCCTACTCTGTCCTGTGTGTTGGGGAAAGGGCAGAGCAGTGCACTGAGGAGGCTGTCCCCTAGACAAAAGGAGGTGAAGTGTGCATGCCCCAGAGCTTGAAACCTGTCTGCCTGGGGCCACCGTCACTGACAGCAACCTTACCCCACCAGCAGCTTAACAACAGCACACTTCCATGTGCCCTGAGGATAGCCTCTCTCAGCCAGCCACCACAGGCAGGGACCTGAACGTACACACTCCCCAGAGCCTGAGAGCCACCTGTCTGGGGTAGCTACCACAGACAGCAACTCTGTCTCCCTTCCCTAGCAGCAGGGGCCCCAAGGACTTGCATGTGCCCTGAGGACAGGCTTTCCCTGCCCACTGCTGCTGCTGCCACTACCACCTGAGCACACTGCCCAGGGCCTGGGGATCACCCTGTCCTGCCCACCGAAGCCTTTGCCCATGTACACCATTGAGGGGACCTGGGAACAGGTCTGCCCTGCCTGGCACTGCTCTCCCAGCCCCTGAGCATGCTGCCTAGGAGCCAGAGTATTGCCCCACCCTGTCAGTTGTTCTCAGAGCACATGCATACCACCAGTGGGCCCAACAACAAGCCCAGAAAACCTGCCACCAGCACCCAAGCATGCCATTTGGTCCACCATTGCTGGCATCTGGACACTCCTCCTGGGGGCCTTGAGGATGGGCCCACCCAGCCTGCTCTACCACCACTGCTGATACCCACCCACACATGCCACCTAGGGGCCTGGGGACTGGCCCTCCCAGCCACCATTAACACCAGTGAATGACATCTTGGAGCCCAAAGGCTGTTGCACCACCACTACTATCATTGCCCACACCAAGCATGTGGCCCAGGGGCTCAAGGACTCTCCCACCTACCCAGTCCACCACCGACACTACCAGCACCCAAGCAAACCTCCTAGAGGCCCAAGAGTGAGCCTGCCTGGACCTGCTAACACCAATGCTCATGTATGCCACCTGGCAGCCCAAAGACAGACCTTCCTAGGCCACTGCTGCCACCATTAGAGCCTGAGGACTGGCCCATCTGGTGTTCTGTCCCCAGCAAAACTTCACCACAGCCACCACTAGCAGCCATAGCCTAAGCCACTAAGAAAATCACAGATACCACTGATAATGTTTGCAACCAAAGACATCATACACAGACTACACTACGGCACACACCCCGAATCAAAGCCAAAGTGCATTACTCAACTAACACTGTAGGGGAGGACTTTTTCCTGTTAAAAAGTCTTCCCCTAAGAAAACCAATCCAAGGCTGGATGTGGTGGTTTATGCCTGTAAACCAGCAGTTTGGGAGGCGGAGGTGGGTGGATCACCTGAAGTCAGGAGTTTGAGACCAGTCTGGCCAACATGGTGAAATCCAGTCTCTACTAAAAATACAAAAATCAGCCAGATGCAGTGGCATGCGCTTGTAGTCCCAGCTACTTGGGAGGCTAAGGCTGGAGAATTGCTTGAACCCAGGAGGCAGACATTGCAGTGAGCTGAGATTGTGCCACTGCTCTCCAGCCTGGGTGACAGAGTGAGACTCCATCTCAAAAAAAAGAAAAGAAAAAAAGAAAAGAAAAGAAAAGAAAAAGAAAAAAGAAAATCAATCCAAAAAATTGGAAGAAGTCATTGTTATACCACATAGGGAGATATCAATGAAAGGACACAAACAAGAAAAAGGGAATATGACAGTTCCAAAGGAGGACAGTAATTCTCCAGCAACAGGTTCCAATGAAAAGAAATTTATGAAATGCCTGGAAAATAATTCAAGGTAATGATATTAAAGAAGCTCAGTGAAATATAAGAAAGCACAGATATATAATATAAAAAATAAGAAAAACAATTCAGGGTATGAATGAGAAATTTCACTGAAAAGAAAGATGCAAAAAAGAACCAAGAGAAATCCTGGAACTGGAAGATTCAATGAATGAAATAAAAAATACAATCAAGAACTTCAGCAATAGACTGGAATCAAGCAGAAGAAAGAATTTCATAACTTGAAGACACGTCTTTTGAAATACCTCAGCCAGACAAGAAAAAAATAAAGAATAAAAAAAATTAAGAACACCTACGTGACACATGGGACATCATAAAATGACCAAATATTCTAATTTTGGGTGTTCCAAAAGGTGAAGAGAAGTTTAATAGCATAGAAAATCTATTTAACAAAATAATAGCTGAAAACATCCCAAATGTAGTAAGAGATTTAGACATCCAGACACAAGAAGCTCAGCTATCCCCAAATAGATATAACCCAAAAAGGTCTTCCAGGCACATTATAGTCTGTCAGAAGTAAAAGGCCAGGTATAGTGGCTCACGCCTGTAATTGTAGCACTTTGGGAAGTCAAGGTGGGCAGATTGCTTGAGCCCAGGAGTTTGAGACCAGCCTGGGCAACATGACAATACCCCATCTCTACAAAATATACGAAAAATTAACCAGGCATGGTGGCACATGCCTGTAGTCCCAGCTACTTAGGAAGCTGAGGTGGGAGGATCACTTGAGCCCAGGGAGGTCAAGGTTGCAGTGAGTGGTGATCATGCCATTGCACTCCAGCCTGGATGACAGAATGAGACCTTATCTTAAAAAAAAAAAAAAAAAAAAAAGGCAAAGACAAAGAGAATTCTAAAAGCAGCAAGAGAAAAGCATCTAGTGACATATAAGAGAATCCTCATCAAACCAACAGTGGATTTCTCAGCAGAAACCTTACAGGCCATGAGAGAATGGGATGATATATTCAAAGTACTAAAAGAAGAGAAAAAACTATCAGCCAAAAATACTATACCCAACAGTTATCCTTCATAAATAAAGGAGAAATTGAGACTTATCCAGCAAGCAAAAACTGAGGAAATTCATCACCACAACAATCAGTCCTACAAGAAATGCTTAAGGGAGTCCTACACCTGAAAGTGAAACCATAATATCTACCATCATAAAATCACACAAAAGTATAAAACTCACTAGTAGAGCAAACACAAGTGAGAAAGAGAAAGAACTCAAATGTTACCACTATAGAAAACCACCAAACCAATGATAAGTAATAAAAGAAGAAAAATAAAGAAAAGGATATATAAAACAAGGAAACAACATAATGACAAGAATAAGCCCTCACATATCAATAATAACCTTGAATGTAAATGGACTAATTTTCCACTTAAGAGGTTTAGACTAGCTGAATGGATTAAAAAACATAATCCTACTATATCCTGCCTACAAGAAACTCACTTTGCCTGTAAAGATACATATAGACTGAAAGTAAATGGATGGGGGAAAAAATTCCATGCAAACAGAAGCCAAAAGCAAGAAGGAATAGCTATACTTATATCAGATAAAACAGGCTTTAAGTCAAAAACAGTTCTTAAAAAAAAGACAAAGAATGTCATTATATAATGATAAAGGGATCAATTCAGCCATAGGATATAACAATTCTAAATGTATATGTGTCCAGTGCAGAGCACTCAGCTGTATAAAACAAATATTATTAGTTCTACAGGAAAAGCTAGACTCCAATACAATCATAGTTGGGGACGTCAACATCCCACTCTTAGCATTAGATAGATCATCTAGAAAGAAAAGCAACAAAGCAACATTGGATTTAAACTGCATTTTAAACAAAATAGACCTAACACACCTTTGCAGAACATTTCATTCAACAGCTACAGAATACACATTCTTATCAGTACCACACGGAACATTCTCCAGGATAGATCATATATTAGGCCACAAAACAAGTGCCAACACATTTTTTTAAATTGAAATCATATCAAGTATCCTCTCAGTCCATACTGGAATAAAACTAGAAATCAATAACAAGAGGAACTTGGGAAACTGTACAAATAAATAGAAATTAAACAACATGCTCCTGAATGACCACAGGGTCAATGAAGAAATTAAGAAGGAAATACAAAAATGTCTAGAAACAAATGAACATTGAAACACAACACACCAAAACCAATGAGATACAACAAAAGCAGTGCTATAAGAGAAGTTTATAGCAATAAACACGTATATCCAAAAAGGAGAAAGATTTCACAAAACCAAAAGATGCACCTCAAGGAACTAGAAAAGCAAGACTAAATCAAGCCCAAAATTAGTAGAAGGAAGGAAATGACAAAGATCAGAGCAGAACTAAAGAAACACTAAAAAAAATACAAAGGGTCAAAAAAAAAGTTGTTTTTTAAAAAAGATAAAATTGATAAACTGCTAGCTAAACTAACCAAGAAAAAAATGAAGACCCAAATAAAATAAAAAATGAAAGAGGAGACATCACAACTACACCACAGAAATATAAAAGATCATCAGAGACTACTATGAACAACTATATGTTAACAAACTGAAAAACCTGGAGGAAATGGATAAATTCCTGGATACATACAATGTACCAAGATTTAATAAGGAAGAAATAGAAAATCTGAACAGACCAATAATGAGAAACAACATTGAATCAGTAATAAAAAGTCTCTCAACAAAGAAAAGCCTAGGACGTAATGGTTTCACTGCCAAATTCCACCATACCCAAAGAATTAACACCAATCTCCTTGAAGTATTCCCAAAAAATGAGGAGGAAATTCTAACTCATTTATTGAGGTCTGCCTTACCCTGATACCAGAACCGGATAATGACACATTGAAAAAAGAAAACTAGAGGCCAATATTCCTGATGAACATAGATGCAAAAATTCTAAAAAAAAAAAATACTGGCAAAACAAATCGAACAGCACAGGAAAAGGTAATACACCATGATCAAGAGGGATTTATCCCAGGGATAAAATAATGGTCCAGCATACACTAATCAATAAATGTGATACATCACATTAGCAGAATAAAAGACAAAAACCACATGGCCTTCTCAGTGGATGCAGAAAAAATATTTGATGAAATTCAACATCTGTTCATGATAAAAACTCTCAACAAACTAGGCATAGAAGGAACATACCTTAATACAATAAAGGTCATATATGACAGACCCACAGCTAACATTATGCTGAATGGGAAAAAGCCGAAAGACCTTCCTCTAAGAATTTGGATCCTCAATCAAATACTATTTGGCCATAAAAAAGAATGAAGCCAGCCGGGCATGGTGGCTCACATCTGTAATCCCAGCACTTTGGGAGGCCGAGGTGGGTGGATCACCTGAGGTCAGGAGTTCAAGACCAGCCTGGCCAATGTGGTGAAACCCCGTCTCTACCAAAAATACAAAAATTAGCCAGGCGTGGTGGCGGGCCCCTGTAATCCTAGCTACTCCAGAAGTTGAGGTAGGAGAATCACTTGAACCCGGGAGGCAGAGGTTGCAGTGAGCTGAGATGGTGGCATTGCACTCCAGCCTGGGCAACAGAGTGAGACTCCATCTCAAAAAAAAAAAAAAAAAAAGAAATGAAGCCATGTCACTTGTGGCAACATGGATGGAACTGGAGATCATTATGTTAAGTGATATTTGTCACACAGTAAGACAAATATCACATATAATCACTCATATGTGAGAGCTAAAAAAATAGGTTGATCTTACGGCGGTAGAGAGTAGAATGACAGTTACTACAGGCTGGGAAGGATGTGGGTGTGGGAGATGAAGAGAGGTTTGTTAATAGATACAAATATACAGTTAGATAGAAGGAATAAGTTCTTAGACTGTGAATTTCTTAAGAGAAAAAAAGAAGGAATAAGTTCTAATGTTTGATAGTAGAATAGGGTGACTGTAATTAACAACAATGTATTACATATTTCAAAATAGCTGAAAGCAAAGACTTGAAATGTTCCCAACACACAGAAATGATAAATGTTTGAAGTGATGGATATCCTTAACACCCTGACTTGATCATTACACATTCTATGCATGTAACAAAATATCAGATGTATCCCATAAATATGTAAAAATATTATGTATTAATAAAAATAAATAAAAATTTTAAAAATTTTAGGTAATTTATAACGTGCAGCCAGGGTTGAAAGCCAGTGCTCCAATTTCCTGGTCTTTATTATTAAAACCCATGGTTTATGAATACATTACGCTAAAGTCCAACACAGCAGTTCTGGGTGCTGTTGTGAGCCATGGTAAACAAGGGGTGTATCTGAGCCCCAGCTCTCCAGTGATCAGCAAGGACAGGCCACCTGTGCCTCCAGGGGCAGCCTCTGTAGAGTCACAGATCCTCTCAGTGCGGAGAACCTGTCTTGGTTCCTCAAGGGGAACCAAGGGAAGATATTCCAGAGGGCTCATAGGTCAGGGACCTGGTCACTATCCTTTCAGCACAGCTGTAGCCCTCTGTGGGCCCAGGGAAGCCTGATGCCAGCTGCCCCAGGGTAAAGCCTTGGCAGATGCCAAGTGGGAGAAGGAGGTGGTGTTCCCTCGGGGAGAGGGGGAAATGCTACACAGAGCAACATGGGATTCATCTGCAGAAGAGAGGTCAATTGCTTACCCTACTGGAACCAAAAAGTCTCTTGGCAAAGGGAGTTCTGAGCTGATAAACACAGGCTCAGTCTTCCAGAATCCACACTGCAGGCTGAGAACTGGAAAGACAGTAGGGAGACTTATTGCTTTCTGGGTGTTTTGCCCAGAATCTCCCTTCTGGTAAAGCACTAGGGTGGGTAGTAGGACTCACTCTTTGATCTTTGGCAAGTCCCTCCTACTCTCTGGGCCTCGGTTTCCCTTCTATATAATGAAGGAGTTGAATCAGCTCACCCTTAAGGTCTCTTCTGGATGCTGTTGCAGGGTCTACATGATTCCTGATGAATGATTTCCCCTGGAGAAGCTGCACATCTGTGCTCTGCCCCAGTATTTGTCTGGAAGGTGGAATTTCAAGCTGCCTCCTGGACTTGTCCTTTCCTTTCAGATTCCAAGGCCACTGCCCTGTCTGATGGTCATCCAGTCCTGATTCACTTCCCTCATCTGAGTCCCTGGTGATCCATCCTCCAGGAAGCTCAGCCTCACCTCAGGTCCTACAGAATTTAAATGGCCTCATCACTCGCACTCCAGGGAGGTGTGGTGTGGAATCTTCCTCAAGGACCCTGGGTTTTAAGCAGCACTGGTGTCACCCTCTGTTGCCAGCCTAAGGCTGTCCCCAAGGTCCAGGATCTCAGGGCAGCTCTGCTGATCTACAGATTTCTCTGGACCCACAGGACTGTTATAAGTTTGAGGATGCAGATTGGGGTCTGCTTGTCTCCTCCCAAAGGCTGATCCTCCCAGGCTCAGGCCTCCTGAATGAGCATCCCTATCAGTCCTTCACTGAGTTTCCTACCCCTTTCCCTACCCAGAATACTTTTCTCATTTGGAACCCTGGACATAACACAGGCCTTTCTTGTCCCCCTCATATATGATTCACTTCAACAGCCTCCTAACCTGTTTCCTTAAGGCTCTCTTTCTTCTACCCCCTACACCATACTACAGATTCATCTCCCTAAAACAGTCCTGCCTTGGGTTAGCTGGCACTTTGCTCAAAAACCTTCAATGGGACATGAAGACCTCTGTGCTCAGTTCAAATTCTCTGCCAACCATTTGGGGCCCAGAGGCCTAGAGCTTCCTGGTTTAGGGAGCCCCTTCTGTGCATCCAGGTGACCCCACCCCGCGGTGTGGCAGTCTTGTCTATCTGCTTCATTGTCTTAGGCTGTGTGTGCTTCCCCAGCTTGGAATGTCCTCCACTCTCTCCCTCCATTTTAAAAATTCCATCATCCAGCCAGGCACGGTGGCTCACACCTGTAATCCTAGCACTTTGGGAGGCCGAGGCGGGAGGATTACCTGAGGTCAGGAGTTCGAGACAAGCCTGGCCAACATGGCAAAACCCTGTCTCTACTAAAAATACAAAAATTAGCTGGGCATGGTGGCACACACCTGTAGTCCCAGCTACTCAGGTGGCTGAGGCAGGAGAATCTCTTGAACCTAGGAGATGGAGGTTGCAGTGAGCTGAGATTGAGCCATTGCACTCCAGCCTGGGGAACAAGAGCGAAACTATCTCAAAAAAAAAAAAAAAAAAGCAAAACAAAAACAAAAAAAACCCCATTAAATTAAAAATAAATAAATAAATAAACAAAAATTCCATCATCCATTCAAGATTCCTGCTCTGTCCCTACCTCTGCCAAAAGTCTGTTCAGACTATTCCAGCACATACTGGTCTCTTCATCCTTTTGTTTCTTTTCTGACTCCATCAGTACCACTATTTCAGTTGTACTTGAAGATACTGAGCTCCTTGAGGGTGGAAACTGTAACTTATACTTGTTTTGTGTCCCATGATGATGCCTAGCACCAGGGCTTTGTGCACAGTGGGGTGGGAGACACTCATGGCTGCCCACGCAACAGCATGGCTTTCTTGCTGACCAATCAGCCTCTACTACAGGAGGGTGTTGAGGAGGGAACCTGAAAGCTGCATTTGCCAGCCTCCCATGTACAAGGACAGGGATGCATGATCCACTCCTTGCACTGGAGCCTGAAGGGAGTTCTGACGGGAGGTGTGGGAGAGATTCTTTCCTGTGTGAGGCAGGAAACTCCCCTACATCTCAATCCATGCAAATCAGTAGGGAACCAATAACAGTTCCTACCTCCTCCCAGCCTTGAGCTAGGACCACTGAACTACAGCATCCCCCGAGGCTCATTGTAAGCTGGTGAGACCTCAGAAACAAGACCTAGAAGCTCATAAATACACAGGGCTTGGTTTTGTTTCATTTCTGATAGTTCATCGAGTCAATGACCAACAATTAATGCTTTAGAAGAAGATAACAGTCTCTGATAATGGACCTACCCACTCATATAATTCTGGAAAATATGCCTTCCTGACCCCTCCAGGCAATCAGCTCATACCATGAAATATGAAATCCACGCATGCATAACTGTGAATGTTATTAACAATCATAAAACCATGCAACTCCTTCGGAAATCCAAGCCTTATTTCCAATACAAATTACCCCCTGCCACAGACTGGGTTATTCAGGATAGAAAGAAGTATTTCCTTTCCTTTGTTAAAATTTACGAGTCATTAATTCTACTGAATGAGAGGCTTCTCATATTATAGACAAGTTGAAGCTTTTTTCCTGAGGGGAGAGCTGCATATGGAAAGTTCCCTGTTTGGGTCTAGAGATGTCCAGCAACAGTCTTTGATAACCTAGAAGAGTTCACTGTCGGTTCCATTAATACCCATCTGTAAGTACAAGTTGGTACCTTGGCTGAGTAGGAGCTGGGACCTGTATGCTCATGGGTAGCGGGGTGAGGCAACACATCAACTCTTACCCCCAACCCAGTATCTACTTGCAAGCACTGATCAAAATGATCGGGAAATAGTTTGGTAAACTCTGGGATAGCACATAGGTTGCCTGACCATACTCCACTGATTCCCAGTGTTCTGGGAGCTCCCTCTCCTTTAACCCCTCATACTGCCACTGTTTACATTTCAATAGGAGCAGACAAGTTCCTGCTGTACGACTCTGGTCATCTTCCCCACTGTTGAATGGATCAGCACCTGATCAAAACTGGGTCAATCAATTAAGACATCTTCCCAAATATTTGAAACTAGAACTAAAAGAGATCAGCTTCTCCCTGAACTTCCTGGACAAGTAAACTCAGGAGTGGTCCACGGCCATGTTTTCTGCAAAAGACCATATACAAAAACAGAGAAGGAAAGAGGGAAACAGATGCAAGTTGGAGGGAAGGGGTGCTGTTGGCTTCCTACCCCCTATTCTAGTCTCTATTCATAATCTAGATCTGAGGTCTGGCTGTGTCTCTTCCTTTAGTTTCCAGGAAACATCCCTGATCCCATAACAAATTTCCTTCATTAAAAAAAAAAATTGACACTCACTCAAGTGGATTTTTGTGATTTTCTACCAAAACACTCCAAATACACATAACATTGGGCATTATATAACTGTTAAAAGTTTGCATATAGGCCTAGGTATGGTGGCTCATGCCTATACTCCAGCACTTTGGGAGGCTGAGATTAAAGAATCACCTGAGCCCAGGAGTTCAAATCAGCCTAGGCAACATAGTGAGACCATGTCTCTACAAAAAAATATTAAAATTAGCCAAGTGTGGTGGCATATACCTGTAGTCTCAGCTACTCAGGAAGCTGAGGTGGGAGGATCACTTGAGTCAGGGAAGTTGAGGCTGCAGTGAGCTGTGATACCACTGCACTCCAGCCTGGGTGATGGAACGAGACCCTATCTAAATAAAACAAAAATTTGCTTATAAATAATTTTTAGTATCAAGGGAGATGGCTTCTGACATCATGATAGGTCATTAAAAATCAAGCTATAAAATTATATTAAGTGCAATCTTAACAATATAAAACAACGGAGGAGTTAAAAACCATCAAAACATTATTTGTGATTATGTATTTCTTTTTTGAGACAGGGTCTCGCTCTTTGCCCAGGCTGGAGTGCAGTGGTGTGATCCCGGCTGACTGACACCTCCACCTCCCAGGCTCAAACAATTCTCCTTCCTCAGCCTCCAGAGTAGCTGGGATTACAGGTGCATGCCACCACACCTGGCTTATTTTTGTATTTTTAGTAAAGATGGGGCTTTGCCATGTTGGCCAGGCTAGTGTTGAACACCTGGCCTCAAGTGATCTGCCTGCCTTGACCTCCCAAAGTGCTAAGATTATAGGCATGAGCCACCATGCCCCGCCTATTTGTGATTCTTTCTAAGTAGTGGGATTGCAGGTGAGTTTTATTTTCTTCACTGGGTCTTTTTTCTCTATGTACTTTACACATTTTTTATAAAAAGTATGTATTAATTTTATAATCATAAAATCAGATTTGTTTAAAAGTCAACATATTTAAGAATCTTTCCCTGCTTCCTTCTCCTTTCCCAAAAAGTCTGCAGCGGAAGACCCAGTTTGAGTCCAAGTGTGTTCACCAACAAAATGTAACCATGTCTAGAGAACTTGGAGGGATCTGTTGGCATGAGGGGGTAGGAGCCTGCTAGTAAAAAACTCACTCACACAAGAGTCCAGATACCAAGTTGGCCCACTGATGGAACCTTGGTTTTCAAGTGAGGTGTAATTCCATGTATAGCTGAGTGTCCATCCCTCAGACCTGCTCCAGCCAGTCTCCTGTGGCTGAGGGCACAGCAAGAGAGTGTGAATTAGAACGGAAAGTGCTCTTTCACTGAAAATTTAGGGACACTAAGGGGTATGCACAGCTTTCACTTGGGGTTCTTCCAATAGAGCATAACATTTCAAGGAGTACAGATACTGTACCTCTTGCTCATTTTGCTATAGACCACTATACCGCCTTGACACTATGGGGCCTGGGGTATTGGCACTGGTGTGGATGATGGTGACAACAAGGCATGGCAGAGGTGGCAGCATCCAGGAGTAGCAGCAGTCATGCATGTGAGCTACAGCAGATACAGTGACAGCTTCTAATTAATGCAGAGGAATGGAAGAGTCCCACAGATCTGCAGTGATGTCCAGCAAAGGCCAATGTTCAGTGGGAAGGCAGGTTCAGTGTTAGAAGGACAGGAGTAGAGAAAACAGAATAGGAGGGAAGGAACAAAATGTTAGTAGCTGACTGGATGGCTGAATGGAAAGCTGCAAGCTAAAGCTACCCCAGAAACCCTTAGTAGACGGCTAATGCCTTGTTAAGAATTTTACCACCTGGCCATTCCTGCTAAAGAGGTTGGAAAAGCAAGTCTTCAACTTTCCCTTTTTTTTTTTTTTTTATACGGAGTCTCGCTCTGTTGCCCAGGCTGGAGTGCAATGGCACGGTCTCTGTTCACTGCAACCTCCGCCTCCCGGGTTCAAACGATTCTCCTGCCCCAGCCTCCTGAGTAGCTGGGATTACAGGTGCCTGCCACCACGCCCAGTTAATTTTTGTATTTTTAGTAGAGATGGTGTTTCACCATATTGGCCAGGCTGGTCTCGAACTCCTGACCTTGTGATCTGCCTGCCTCAGCCTCCCAAAGTGCTGGGATTACAGGCATGAGCCACTGGGCCCGGCCAACTTTTCCATTCTTAATCTAGAAGTAAGCAAGGAGGAGGGAGTATTCAGACTGAGTATTGACTTGATAAAGGTGATTAAAAAGTCAGTATCAGATTAGGGCTGGGCACCGTGGCTTATGCCTTTAATCCCAGCAATTTGGGAGGCCAAGGTAGAAGGATCCTTGACCCCAGAAGTTTAAGGCTGCAGTGAGATATGATTGCACCACAGCATGCCAACCTAGGTGACAGAGTAAGGCCTCATCTCTAAAAAAAATTTTTTTAGTTAAAAATAATCAGTATCAGATTAAATACAGGCAGGTATTATGGGGAAAATCTAGAAGGGTTCTGCATTCAGATTTGGCTTATGAAACATAAAAAGAAAATATCTTATCCCTATATCAAAAGATAGTGAATGGACATTCATTTATATATTTTAAGTTAAAATATTTAACACACGCTTATGTCATTCTTTATAATACCCCACAGTAACTGGCAATTTCCAACTTGTCAACTATAGATCCTATCACAACTGGTAGACTGAGCAGACTTCTATTACATCCTTCTTATTTTGAAAATAGCTTTATTCTTTTAAAGATTTAGGCTTATTATAAATATTGTGATCATACAGAAATGTACAAAGAACAAAGCAAAATTCAGCTGTTAGGGTGAACATCCTTCCAGACATCCCTCCATGTGCACCTATTAAAATATTATACAAATGGGATCATGCTGTTCTGTTATCCCTTTTTTGCACTCAATTATACATGTCATAGGCAAATTTTCATGTCATCAAATCTACATCATCATTTATATATTGTCTATATGGAAGTGCCTTAATTTCTTTATATTTTTTAAACCAATGATTTAACCTTATTGATAACCATCCACTTTTCACTGTTATAAACAAGGCTGAGATGGAAAGACTTGTCTTTAGATCTCCATTTGTTTTGGCAATGATTGTCCGGGGGTAAATTACAAGAAGTGAGATCACTGGGTCAAAGGTACACTCATTTGAAATGTTCATTCCTGCCAGCCCAGTGGACTGCAGAAAGGCTGGGCCAATTTATGTCACCACCAGCAGAGCATAAAAGGGCCGGGCTCCAGCCCCTCACCAGTCCGAGATTTTGTCATTCTTCTGTTTCCTAGAGTAAAACTTCAGAAGGATTCTCTTCATCCATCTTTTGTCTACTATGTTCTTTTTTGTAGATGCTTTTTTGCATAGGTTTCATGCTGAGTTTTTTTCTGCCTATCTTTAATGGAGAGCAGTTCTCTCAGGGTTTACCATCTGCTTGAAAATGGTATGCATGAAATCTCCTTGACTCCTTTTCCTGTTGGTTTGGTTACTATCCGAATCTTCACTTAGCATTTAAGTTGGAAGGCTAGAATCTAATCATGATTTTCCCCTGTTTATTTGCCAGAAAGACTTGGTGAAGGCATAGAACCTTGATTTATCTCCTAAATTGTTGCCATTTCTGCTACCTGGACAACTTGGTCAAGTTGGAGAAGTCTGGGTTTTGCCTTGTCTCCCCTCTTCTGGGTAGGCTAATGAGAGGTGCGTGAGCAATGCCAGGTGGTTCGTAAAGTGAATCTGCTTCTCTTTTAAAAAGAGAGTGAGCCAATTGAGACAAACACAGGCAAAAACCCAGCTGCAGCAACATCCTCCTGGCTAATTGGATCCTACCTGGGAAGGGCCATCTTCTAGATAGCTTGTTCCCAAGCAGTGTTCCCAGCTGGCCCCTCAGGAAGTATTAGGCCTGTCCTTGGCTAATCCCACAGTTTAGCGTTGACATAATTCTATCTGACCCAGTCTCCAGAAAGACTCAAAGACTTCTCAGCTAATAGCTCTGTCCTAACATCTAGAACCACACCCTCAAAGATGAGATGGTACCCCTGATTTCCACAATCCTCTCCTTTGGGACACAGAGCATACCATCCCTGACTGCACCAGACATAGTTATTCTCTGCCCATGGGCTACTCTTTCTTCTCAGGAGGCCTCAGGGCAACTGTGGGGTCTCCTGAGAAAGCCATCTGTAGGTAATGGGACCAGGACTATCAGAGGATATCATCTATGACCACAGTAGGTGGGCAAGAAGCAGAGTTAGTTCCCTGTTCAGAATCAGAGCCCCAAGAGACTGGCAGGACATTCCTGTGAGAATCACAGTTTGTTTTAGGAATCTCACCAGCCACTTAAGAAAATACAGATGGCCAAGAGCACCCCAGGACCAAGGTCATTGACTGATTCAGTAATACCTCTTGGCCTTCCACCTCTGTATGAATTTGTTATTGCTGCCAGGACAAATTACCACAAATGTGAGAGCTTAAAAAAAACACCCATTTATTATTTCACAGTTTGCAGGTCTGGAGTTTGACATGGGTCTCACTAGGCTACAAGGTGTCAGCGGGCTGTTTTCCTTACTGGAGGAGGGTCACTTACAGGTTCATGAAGGTTGCTGGCAGTGTCCAGTTGTATGTGGTTGTAGCACTGGGGTCCTTATTTCCTTGGTGGCTATTGGCCCTGGGTCATTCTCAGCTTTTAGAAGCCATCCACATTCCTTCACGTTCTCCTTATCTTTGAAGCCAGCAATAGAGAGTCAAGTCCTTCTTGTGCCTTACCTTTCCTGTCTTCTCTTCTGCTGTATCTCTTCAACTAGGAAAGATTCTTCTCCTTTTTTTTTTTTTTGAGACAGAGTCTCGCTCTGTCGCTCAGGCTGGAGTACAGTGGCGCGATCTCAATCTTGGCTCACTGCAACCTTCACCTCCCAGGTTCAAGCAATTCTCCTTGCCTCCACCTCCCAAGTAGCTGGGATTACAAGTGCCCACAACCACCGCCCCCAACTAATTTTTGTATTTTTAGTAGAGATGGGGTTTCACCATATTGGCCAGGCTGTTCTTGAACTCCCGGCCTCAAGTAATCTGCCTGAGTTGACCTCCCAAAGTGCTGGGATTACAGGTGTGAGCCACCGTGCCTGGCCAATTCTTCCACTTTTAAGGGTTCATGTGATTACACAGAGCCTACCTGGCTAATCCAGGATAATCTTCCCATCTTTTTTTTTTTTTTCTTTTTTTTGAGACAGAGTCTCTCTCTGTCACCCAGGCGGGAGTGCAATGGCAGGATCTCAGCTCACTGCAACCTCCACCTCCCGGCTTCAAGCAATTCTCATGCCTCAGCCTCCCGAGTACCTGGGATTACAGGCACCCACAACCACGCCCCACTGATTTTTGTAATTTCAGTAGAAGTGGGGTTTCGTCATATTGGCCAGGCTGGTCTTGAACTCCTGGCCTCAGGTAATCCACCAGCCTTGGCATCCCAAAGTGCTGTGATTATAGGCGTGAACCACCACACCTGGCCCATCTTAAGATCTATAACCTTAATTGTATCTGTAAAGTCTCCTTGCCATGCAAATTTAATATATTCACAGGTTCCAGGGATGAGGCAAGGACATCTTTGGGGCCATTATTCAGCTTACCATGGCCCTTTTGGCCAAGAGTCATCCAGGAGTAAGAGCCCGGCAGAGATAATTCCAAGGAAGACCCACATGATTTCCTCTCCTCCATCCCCCTCCCACAACACACCCATCCCTGGGAACCAGTTGGCCAGATCTTCCAGCTGAATACTTCACCAGACTCATGCCACAATGCATCACTATCAAGGCGAGGCTGAGCACCTGGCACAGCCAACTCCCTCTGGAGAGCTGGGGCAAGGCTGGTACTTTCAACCCAAGCCCTGAGTGGCCTGTCTGCTCACTGCTGTTTCCTGAAGCTCAGCCAATATGCCTAGGAGGATCCCAAGGATTTTGGGCTTCAGTCCAATATGCCTATAAGCAGAAGGCTCTGCTTTCCCTTTGCAGGAGACGGTTAGAGGCTTGGGTTAGGGTCTCGGTGGAATTATAAATAGTATAATGGCATTACTGCTAGGGACCCAGGAAGGCTAAAATATTGTCCTGCCAATCATTCAGCACCCCTTGGCATCTCATATAAGGAGGAATAAAAGGATGTAAATTAAAAATGTCTTTTTTTTTTTTTTTGCTAGCCTTATTGGTAGCTGAAATGTCAATGCAAAAGCTGGAGAAAGAACGACTGTATCAGGTGGCTGGTTCCCCACTCTCCCTCCTCTTGAAGCTAAATCTGGTGGCAGCACACACAAGTATACATGCTAAGGAGAGAGCAGGGCCCAACTGAACTTACTTATTGACTACATATCCAGGAACAGAGAGGCATGGCCAGGCCCTCACTGAGATGGCAACACAACCTGGGTCTGCTCACCACATACAGGAAGGAAGCAAAAGCACAGGAAGCCCCAAAGACCGAGACCTTCCTAGGACCAAAGCGGGATAGAGGAGAAAAGGTGTTGCCTTTAATGTACAGTGACCTGGTGGTTTACCAGTAAAATGTGGCCCAGTGAATATTCTGGACTCTGACCTGTCAGATTAGCACCTGTTCTTCCTTTGGGCAGGGAGGGGAGCTAGGAAGGCGTTAGAAAGAGGCTGTGCTGGTGTGTGCAGAGTAGACAGTGGGGGGTTTCACTAGTGCCTGCCTTTGTCTGCTTCTGGTCTCAACCCAGTGGCTGCCCCTAGGTTTCTGGGGATGGATGATGAGAGTACTGTTGACCCATGCGCTTGTGAGCCAGGCACCTTGGTAATCAGATGCCCAGCGGCTGTGAGTTGTAGCTGACCACGCCCACCAGAGGAAGAATATATCACCCAGGGAAGGCCATTTAACCAGAGACATGCAATGGTGTAGCCACTCTGAGACCTTCTGATCTACAATGCTGGGGTGAGCTGCTCCCCGAAATGCCCAGATATCCTAAACTCCTGAGATTCAAAAGACCATGCAGACTCTTTTGCACCATATTTCTGTGCGGAGATCTTTCTGGCTTGGATTTGGGGAATTCAGACAGTTTCCCATGTTCAAAGAATTATCAAGATTCTCTCCAGGAAGATTTCACTGATGCCCAGGTCAGAGTTTGATGTCCTACCTGGTGCTTTCCTGCCTGCCCCATACTGCACTGAAATCACCTTCTGTTGGTCTGTCTTGCCGAGACCAGCTCAGTTGTGGAGACCCTAACCCAGCAGTGCTAGAGGAATTAAAGACACACACACACAGAAATACAGAGGTGTGGAGTGGGAAATCAGGGTTCTCACAGCCTTCAGAGCTGAGAGCCTTGAACAGAGATTTACCCACATATTTATTGAGAGCAAGCCAGTGATAAGCATTGTTTCTATAGATTATAGATTAGCTAAAAGTATTCCTTACAGGAAATAAAGGGATGGGCTGAAATAAAGGGATGGGTTTGGCTAGTTATCTGCAGCAGGAGCATGTCCTTAAGGCACAGATCGCTCATGCTATTGTTTGTGGTTTAAGAACGCCTTTAAGCGGTTTTCTGCCCTGGGTGGGCCAGGTGTTCCTTGCCCTCATTCTGGTAAACCCACAACCTTCAGCGTGGGCATCATGGCCATCACGAACATGTCACAGTGCTGCAGAGATTTTGTTTATGGCCAGTTTTGGGGGCAGTTTGTGGCCAGATTCGGGGGCCTGTTCCCAACACTGTCTCCTCTAATAAACTGTGAATTCCTTGAAGCCAGGGACTGCTTTTTTCTCCATTTTCTTCCCTGGCCTAGTGTAGGATGTCACACAGTAGGGGCTTAGCTAGTGGCTGATGGTGGACGCTAAATGATTGAAATAGCTATCCTACCCCAACCAGTCCCAGGCTGGGTTCCTGGCACAGGCTGGCATTTGTACATGAACACCATGGCTGCTTGTTCCACTGTGGCCTCAGCTCCCACAGCAAGTTTCTCCTACAGCTGAACCTGGCTGGAAATGCAGGCATAAGAGCCCCCGGAGGGAGCCAGTAGTCATCACAGCCAAAGGTCTTTGGGAAGCCTTCATTACCATCTGGGTATGCCTTGCCAATCTCGAGCTCCCCAGGCTTGGCACTTTTTAGGACAGCCTTTGTCATGGTCTGACAGACATGACAGCTCTCCCTGTCTCACACTATCTGATCCAGTCATATTGAGCTTTCATATTGGAACTCTCTAGGACCTACTCAACCTAGGCAGGCAGATCTCTTTTATTTCATCACATTGTTGAAGATGCCAGAACTTTGGGACTAATGATTGATCTTAGAGGTTGGAATGCACAGCCAGCCTGCCAGTCAGATCTCCTCCTGGTACTTTGCTGCCCTTCCTCTTGTCTCGACCTCTGTCTGCTCCACTGATGCCCATCACTTGGTCCTTTCATCCGAGAAAGAATAAGAATGGAATCAGGTGCTTTGTAGAGTCCACTTTATAAAAGAATGGGAAGAGCTTTTAAAAATTCCCTACCAAGCTTGACCCACTAGGCAATAACTCTTACTCAATCTCATTGCTTCATGAAATTTCATTGACTCCCTGCACCCTCCATCTCCCTGCTCCACCCTAGGCTACTTCCTTGGCACTGATCTTATTCCAAGGACTGGGCCAGGCCCATGGGTACACATAGCTAACCATTCCCCAGTCCCTGGCTTTCAGCCACCATCCAAGGCTGGTTCCCTGCTCTCCCCAGCACTTCTCCAGTTCTACTCTGATTTGGGCCATATAGATGGAAAAGGGATCAGCTGGGTGACTAGGCAGGTAATGAATCCCAGGACTGTAGGACACTTATTGACACAACACTGGGGTAGTGGAGACTCACAGAAAATACAGAAAGCCTTCTACTTTTTCATCTACCTTCCCTGTTCTCCAACTGAGTATAATTTCATCATCTGCTCAGATTGGAAGTCATATGGCCTCCTTGTTTGTTTTTCTCATCTTACTTTACCCATAGTTTTGGTAAGAAATTGGTGAGGAGGGTTGGCTCTTGGAGGTTTTTGAGCTAAAGATGACATGATCAGAGTTGCTCTGTGGTAAAACTATGTGAGGATGGAGGAAGCTGAAGACCAGTTTGAGGTTACTCATGTAGGTCAAGTGAGGGATCTAAACTTGAATAGAAGTAGGGTATGACAACATGGGGACGTTGATGGTACAACAGGTGCAAAATATTGTGGAACAAGAACTGCTAGAGGTAAGAGGGATTGGATGTGAAATTTGTGGAGGGAAGAATCTGTGAAAACACTAAGATTAACAGCTTGGATAATTAGGACTGTGGTGGTGACATTAACAAAACACTGAACACAAGTAATATATGTTTCTAGGGTTTCTTTCTTTCTTTCTTTCTTTCTTTTTTTTTGAGATGGAGTTTCACTCTTGTTGCCCAGACTGGAGGGCAATGGCACAACCTTGGCTCACTGCAAACTCCGCCTCCCAGGTTCAAGCTATTCTCCTGCCTCAGCCTCCCAAGTAGCTGGGATTATGGGCACCTGCCACCATGCCTGGCTAATTTTTTGTACTTTTAGTAGAGACTGGGTTTCACCATGTTGGCCAGGCTGGTCTCAAACTCCTGACCTCAGGTGATCCATCCACCTAGGCCTCCTAAAATGCTGAGATTACAGGTGTGAGCCACCATGCCCGGCCTAGGGGATCATTTTGAGCTCATTTTGTGATCTACTGAGTTTGAGTAGGATCTCCAGACATAGCATTCTAGGAAGCAAAGAGGAATACTGGGCATCAATTTGAGAGAGAGGAAGATCACAGTTATAGCTACAGACATCATCTACATAGAGAGAACACTTAAACATAAAACAGAATGAAAGCTGCAAAGGAAAAATTATCAGGCTGTCCCCTCTGCCTGGAATGCCCTTTCTTCTCATACCTGCTGCTGCAGGTATGCATTGTTGGATGACAACCCTAAAACTTAGTGGCTTTAAACAACAATTATTTTATAGTAAACTTTCATGGTTTTGAGGGTTGACTGGCCTTAGTAGGGTGCTTCTTGCTCAGAATGTCTCAAGTAACTATCACCAGTCAAGTTCTTACGGCTGAAATAATCTCGATCTCTCTTCCTCTCTTCTGTTTCTCCAGCATGGTGGCTCAGGAAGTCAGGGTAGCCAGACTTCTCACATGGAGGCTCCAAACACATGTCACAAGTGAGCTACCGCAAGGAGGAAGCTGTATCTCCTTTTATGACCTAGCCTCAGAAGTCAGGCAGCATTACTTCTGCCACATTCTACTCTTCAGAGAGGCAGTCATAAAAGCTCACTCAGGGTCAAGGGGTGGGGATATAGGCTCTACCTTTAGATGGGTAAGTGGAAAGTTTCTATAAGGTCATGTGGGACTGGAAATTTTTTTTATTCATTCTGGGAAAATCTGTCTTCTCTTCCAAAACTCAATACAAGAAACCATCCCAAATCCTCATGCTTGGTATAACTGCCACTCTTCAGTAGCCTTCCAGCATTTTACATCCTATGACAATGTTTAGCACTACAGGCATCGTCATCTGGTTATACATGTAGCCATCTGACTCAATTGTAAGCTTCTATAAGTCAAGACCCGGGTCTCGCTCTGTTTTGGTGGAGTGCAAAGTAGCAGGTAGATCTAGATTGTTGATTTAAATTTAATTCCAAAAATAGGAGAAGACTGTATGTGGAAGGTTAGTGAAAGCTGTATTTGAGACACAGGAAACGAAATAGGCCATGGAGACTTCGAGGGGAGTTTTTTCAAAACCAAACCATAATAGTCTTGGCAAAAATATTGTGGACATTTTCCTTACCTATGAAAACTGTCGCTGAATAAAATTAACCATATCTATGATAATTAGCAACAACAAAAACCCCTCCACAATTAATGCTTTGTAAGCAATAGCTACTGAACAAGTTTCTTATTTTCATAACAGGGAACTTCTGAATAGTCAAACCTTAGAAGAAATCCTAACCATAAAACAGAACCAAATTTGCAAGGATTGTTTTCCCATCCAAAACTTATGGTATAATAAGGCATACCATAATCAAATTTATCAATGATTAAATAATCTTAAAATAAGACTAAGATACCATTTTTTGCCTATCAAATTGGGAGAGCTTTTAAAAATATTCGTAAAATGGCCCAATGCCACCAAATGAACGTTCAGACATTTCTGACAGACGGGAGACTTGGCCAAGCCTTCTGGAAGATAAAGAGCTGTTAAGAGTTCGCTCCCTTTCATTCAGGAATTCCAGCACTAGAAATTTATTCTAAGAAAATAATCCTGGGTAGGGCAAAAATTCATATCGAGGATGCTCAACAAAGTATATGTTATGATAGCAAAATGCTGGAAACAACTAAATATTCAAATAGAGCTTGGTTAAATAGATTATGATTAATTCACTTGCTGAAACATTATGCAGCTATTTAAAAAATAACATTTTTGAAAACTCTTTTCTAGTACAAGAGCATGCTTACAAATTGATGTTCTCTGTAAATAAAACAGAATACAAACTGCACAAATTATAGGAAGTAGTATGATCCCAATTTTGTTTAAAAATTATATATGTATCGAGAAAAGACTAAAAGCACATTCCACAAAATGTTAACAGTAGTTATGTCAGAGTGATAGAATTATAGGACGTTTAAATTTTTTTCCCTATGCTTTTCTGACTTTTTTTTTTTTAACAATAAACATGTAATACTTTTGTAACCAAGGAGAAAAATGTATTTTTTGAAAAAACCCCAGGAATTGCTTCTGTGACTAGCTAGGTAATTAACAAAATGGAGGGAATGTTTTCCTGGAAAAAAAATTAAGTAATTTATGATGAAGTTCTTGGTATAGAATAACTCACACTTTCAAAAAAACCTAACATGCAAGAAAGCAGCCTGGACACAGACAGAAGCGCTATCTGTGAGGCGTGAAATTTCACACATGCCAAAGCCTGCACAGGTCCCACAGTGTATTTCCTTTAATGACACATGGGAACTTGTAAGTTCTCTGGCTGCAACTAAGACAGATTCTAATGGGCGGCAGGAGTGCTAAGCTGTGCCTTTCTGGTTCTACCCCACACTTCTCTACCCCACAACAAGGAACAAGTTGATTAACCTCTTTGAGCTCCTCAAGTCCCTCTCTGATATGGAAATCCACTAACATCAATAGGGCGCCTAAGGGCAAAAGTGGAAGAAAATAAACACTACAAATAAGATGGCTTTAGATAGAAGCCCAGGCCAGTGCAACAGGGACATTACACAGCTGTCTCCAACTGAACTGCCAACACCCTTGGCTGAGAGTCTGCCCAGGGTCTCGTTTCATACTCCTCTCATTGTAACACTGCTGTAGGTACCCAGGGAACAGCTGAGCTTTCTGCAGGCAAACAGAGCTGCCTGGGGCCCACCACTGCTCCTCTGATAAGACAGGCCTCTATTGTAGGAACTAATTACCACAATGCCATAAAGCTATCTGCCCTGGGCCGTGCATCAGAAGTGGTGACAGGCTCATAAAACCTGACTTCCCTGTGGATACCAAATGCCAGCCCTAAGGGAATATATGGTCAGTATTCAGGCCTTTCCGAGTTTGCAAATAAGCCAGATCCTAAAATCTTGTTTGTAAAGCATCATGAGGAACCTGAAGTACCAGAGAAACCATGTTCTAAATGTAGAACAGACATGGCACATAGTAGATGCTCAATAAATATTTGATGACCAGTGATGGCCAAGTGGAGGCCAAGGTCCAGTTCTAGCCCTTAGAAGCATTTGAACAAAATGTAGCTGCAAGCTGCATATTTTTCAATATAGGAAACAATTTTGTTTAATACCAGCAGCTAAAAGACGACTATCCACAGGATTAAATAATTGAATAATTAGTCTTAACTATATTTATCTAAATCTGTTTATGGAGAAGAAAGCAGATTTAACTAGAGGAAGATAAGAATGTAGACTGTAGGAAAGACTAAGGCAGAATCTAGGCAGTTTCAAGGAGTTTAAAGATGAGTGACACTACGTTATTATTTTACTTTTCATGTCCTTTATATAAACAGCACTTCCTTTTGGCTGGCAGCCAAGTTGGGCGTCATTTTACAATGATTACAAGGGAAAAGAGGAGAAATGATAACGAAGCCGTGTTAATCCATGCTGAAACAGTATGGAGTCACACGGTCCCCCTGTCAACACACCCAGGGAAGAGCCCAGCCAGGACCACCACACAAATCTAAGATTTAAGACCTGGTTGGGCCACTCACCAGCTCTGTGACTTGGGACCAGAAACATTCTCCCTGGAGCTTTAATCACCGAAGCATAAGAGTACTCATTCCATGAAGCCATTGGGAGGGTTAAATAAGATCATGCATTTAAGCACTCTTACACTGGCGCATAATACATGCTAGTTATGGTTATTATTAGAAATGTGTTCTAACCTTTTCCTCTAAGTTTCAGGAGGGTGGGACCCACGTGTTCATCTCATTTACTACTGTATACCCAACAGTAGTAAACCTGGCATGTGGCAGGGATTTAACAAATATTTGTAGGGGACAATCTGCTTGTTCTCATTTTTTTCCTCTGGTCAGTGACAAAGTGTTTTTCTGCATCTATCTCTGTCATTTTTTGGTCAAGTGGTTTATAATTATAGACATCATGACCCTTCATCCTTAAATATTTCACTGTGTCTCTAAAAAATAAGGACATTTTCTTTATAATGATATCATATCCAAAATTAATAATTTGTAAATATATAACACCTACACGGTACTCAAAGTTCTTCAATAATTCCCCAAAATATCCTATTACAGCTCATTTCCTTATGCCAGCTTTATTCCTTGACTGAATAAAGGATCAAAACTACATTCGGTGATTAGGTCTTTTAAGTCTCTTTTGATCTAAAAATAGCACCTCCACTCCTTTTTGCTTTCTATGACATTGACTTATTGAAGATACAGCTGTCCCTCAGTATCCATGGGTGATCAGTTCCAGGATGCCTGAGGATACCAAAATCTGAGGATGCTCAAGTCCCTTATATCAAATAGTGTAGTATTTGCATGTACCCTACACATATCCTCCCATATATGTACTTCAAATCATTTCCAGGTTACTTATAGTACTTAATACAATGTAAATGCTGTATAAATAGTTATTGTATTGCTTTTTAATTTGCATTATTGTTTTTATTTTTAGTATTTCTGATGCAGAGTTGGTGGAATCCACAGATACAGAAAACTGACCGTACTGTAGAATGTCCCACTTTTTTGATTTGCCTGATTGATTTACCACTGAGGTGATGCCTAACAAATTCCTGTCTCCCCTGTATTTCCCATGAGATGGAAATTAATTCTACAGTCTTGATGTGATTCAGGTAAAACCTTGTTATCCAGAAAACCTCATAGATGATGCTATGTACTTTAGCACTGTATCACACAAGGAGGGATGTCATGTCAAGTTGGCCTATTATCAGTGACACTGGGCTTGATCACTGGATTAAAATGGTGATGGCTTGCCTGATCCCTTTATTGCAAAGTTAAGGGTTTTCTCCTCTTGGAACTAGCAGATAAACTGGGGCGGTAGTTGATGCCCTGTAAATATGTAGCTCACCATTAACCTCTCACCAGCTGATCTTACAACCACTGATGGTCTTTGCCTGAATCAATCATCCCATAGGGGTTGCAGAATGGTGATTTTCCAATCCCATCATTCCTTCTTCACTTATTAGCGTGCACTCTTCTGTAAAAGAGCTTTCCTTCATCAACTGGGCTATTTAGTTACCCTGAAATATATAGCTCCTAGGGAAAAGACAGGTTATGTACTCGTAACTCTTTCCCCTGCATAACCCATTTTTAAAATAAGTTATTGGTAAATAGCATATTTTAAATCCTGGGGTAAAAAGGTTTTTCTCTCTCCTCTGGCTCCAATAATTGTTTTAGCATGAGCCTGGGAAAGGGTTTGGGGCCAGAAGTGTGAGATTACTTCCCATTCTGCTTAGTGGGAAGAAATCACACCTCCCATTTTACCCCCTCTATGACTCAGATTCCTTCTCAAGTTAGCTGATCCTAAGTCCTAAGATTAAAAGTTACGGTTTCTCAGCAGATCCTGGTTATATGATTTATAAATTTGGTGCTAATCTTTCCTCTGTCATTGGAGGTATCTCATAACATGATTTTTCCAATGCTTCCCTAGGAAGAGTATTTATTCCACAAACTGATGGAATTCAGTGGCATGTATTTCTCTCTTTGACTGCAAATTTTATTTTAAGCGTTCCAGTGAGAACTCTTAATTCTGAAACCTCAAATCAGAGTAAATAACTCCCCTCCTTCTCACTGACTACACCATTTACACGTGGCTGGGCCCACTGCTAGCATAAAACCTCAACTCTCTGCCCAGCCGAGCAGCATACACTGCTCTGAGCTCTTTAATATGTCCTCATAAATCCAGCTCCTCTCACTGCCCTCGGATTCCCTGTACCTCTACATTTCCTCCCCAATAACTGAGCTCAGCACGGCTGCAATGTGGTGCTCCCTTCCTGAAATCAGATGCAGAGTATTCTACCCTCTCTTTGACCCCTTTGCCTCCATGCTGCAACATAAGCTCCCATCTAATTGCTGCTCTGCCTCTCTCAGCAGAACCTGACCTCTTTCTGGGTCCCTCTCTTAAAGCAACTGTCTGTGTTTTTCATTATGTTTGCCAAGACATATTATCTTGAACTTTTCCCAGATGAAGCTCGTTTTTTTACTTTTTCTTCAGACCCCTGAGGTGGCAGGTTCAAGAATGCAGTCTTCAGAGGGAAGCTTTTGGTCTAGGAGGCTTCAGCCAGGACAGTTCAGTTAATCATACTCTCCCTCCGGGTACTGCCCCTTTAAGAAGTGGACAGACTCTGGTTCCAACTCCAAACCTCAGTTAGAAGTTCAAGCCACAAGACGAACACACATGTCCTGCCCAGAAAGCTGCCCAGCCTTGCTGTTGACTTTCTCCTGACAGCTTGTCATCCACATACCCATCCCACGCAAACGCAAACATATCCTTTTAAACATCGAAGTCTCAAAGCCTCCCCCATGAAAAGGAAGTTGAAAGTCAAGTTCCGGGCACCCTCGGCTTCTGTAGTTTGACCAGTAACCTGGTAAGAAGGGGCACCTCCTTTGACAACCCGAGTGTGCCCAACAATGCCAATGAGAATTCTTTAATGATCACTCGGAAGATGTCATCTCTGTGTCTCAGCGAATCCTTCTCTTAAAAAGAAAAGCACTCATGAGACTGGAAGAAGAGGGGGAAAACTCAGAGTGATAAGAATGCTAATCAGAACGAAGGGAATTTTCCAGCTTTTAGCTTTCCTAGCAAAAAAAAAAAAAAAGGCATCTATAAAAAAGTGTTGGAAGGCTTTTCTTGCAGCCTGGGGCCTTTGCCAGGGAACAGATTTCTCTCCCTCAACTCAGTTTCTTCCAGACCTTTTTCCTGTGCATTCTTTTTTCTTTCTTCTTCTTTCTCTTCTCTCTTAGCGGAGCCTCCTCCGGCTGAGAAGTAATCTGTGGGGAGCCCGAGGGGTCTGTACTGTTCAGGCCCTGGAAAGAGATGAAGGTAACTGCCTGCTGATAGGGGCACTGCACCATTTGGGATTGCAGTAGGGAGACCCCACTCCTCAACTGGAGGGATTCATAGAGGTCACACCCAGGGCTTCCTTGCTGCTTTTTCTGTCACCTCCCATGCTGTTTTCTTCCCTTCGGTGTAAGCCAGCCCTCTCTTTTTGTGGTAAGATGACTATGGGAGTCCCAGGCTGGAGGCTGACTCTTTGCACCCACTTCCCACACTTGTTTCTGACAAGTCTGATCTGTGTAGCTCAGCACATCCAAGGACAGCCTTCCCCTTGGCTTCGTTGTCCAGATGCATGACCCCAATGGCTTTGTAAATGAAATGGTATAATCTCAAGAGGCTAGCCTGCTGTAGAGAGAGGAATAAATAAATCAATATGTAAATAAATCCACAAGAGCAGAGGGGATGTACCGGGACTTTGCAAAACTATGATGAAGCATTTTAGAAGATGGATATTGCTGTATTTCTGGTGAGCTCTGATTGAAAGGCTATGATTCCAGCCATGGGCTGTAGGAGAGGGAAAGTGAGCTGTGACGGAAATTCCCTCATGGATTGATTTGACTTAAATATATTCCAGGAGCTGATCTAATTGCTGGTTCAGTCTTAGGCTTTGATTTTCCTTCTCACAATTCCCTGCATTTCAAATAGTTTTTATTAAGGGGCCTGAGCTGCCCTCAGTCCTACTGAGAATCTTTCTGGATATATGACTAATTTTTTTTATTTATTTATTTTATTTTTTATTTTTTTGAGACAGAGGCTCGCTCTGTCACCCAGGCTGGAGTGTAGTGGTGTGATCTCAGCTCACTGCAACCCCCATCTCCTGGGTTCAAGTGATTCTCCTGCCTCAGCCTCCCAAGTAGTTGGGATTACAAGCACACACCACCACACCTGGCTAACTTTTGTATTTTTAGTAGAGACGGGGTTTTGCCACGTTGGCCAGGCTGGTCTCGAACTCCCGACCTCAGGTGATCCACCTGCCTCAGCCTCCCAAAGTGCTGGGATTACAGGCGTGAGACACCATGCTTGGCCTGTGACTGATTCTTCTGAGAACACAGTACTAGAAATACTGCCCTTGGTCAAAGGAAGAACCAGACATTCCCCACCTGAGAAGGAGAAGCATGCTGGTAATTTCCAGGGGGACAGGTAGTTAGTTATTCTTATTTTGAATCAGAAGTGCTGGTGGCAGCCTCTTACTGTTCAGACTCTGAGACATATTGGTTTGGGGGTACAGTCCAGGAAAAGGTGGGAGGAGAACTTCCAATCAGGTGAGTCTTATGCATGGAAGGCCCCAGACACTGACCCCTGGAGTCTGACCCCTTGATCTTCTCATCAGTTCACAGCCCTCTACTCCACCCCTGCTGCCAGTCTCCTCTGCCTGACCGCCTGCCTTACAATCCGATTTATATTCTCTTTCTCTCTCTCTCTCTCCACACACTTCCTCCTCCTCTTCTTCTGGAAAATTTCAAGCATATACAAAAGTAGAGAGAATAATATGATGCCCCCTTTACCCATCACCCAACTCCAACAATGGTCAACTCACAGCCACACTTTTTTTGAGATGAAGTCTCGCTCTGTCACACAGGCTGGAGTGCAATGGTGTGATCTCAGCTCACTGCAACCTCCACCTCCCAGGTTCAAATGATTCTCCTGCCTCAGCCTCCTGAGTAGCTGGGATTACAGGCACACACCACCACGCCTGGCTAATTTTTGTATTTTAGTAGAGATGGGGTTTCACCACGTTGGCCAGGCTGGTCTCGAACTCCGGACCTCAGGTGATCCGCCCTCCTCGGCCTCCCAAATAGACTTATTTCAATTACATGCCCAGCTGCTTTTACCTTCACTCCTTACCTCTTGCTCTACCTGGACGATCTTGAAGCAAATTTCAGATATCATGTAATCTGTAATTAGTTTAGCATATAGCTCCAAAAGATAAGGACTCTTTTGGATATAACAATTCCATTATTATACCTAACAATAAGAATAATTCCTAATGTCTCCAAATATCTGGCCAGTGTTAAAATGTCCTCAGTGTCTCCATTTATTTTTACATTAGTTCAAGTCAGGATCCAAATAATGTCCATACATTATAATCAGTTTATGTGGCTTTAAGTCTTTTCTTCATATAGGTTTTCTTTTGCTTTCAAAATTTATTAAATAAACTAAGTTATTGAACTATAGTTTCCCATAGCCTAAATTTTGCGGATCACCAGTCCCTGTGGTATTTTTTTAACACATTCCTCTGTCCCTGTTTTTTAATTGGTAATTAGATGACGAGATTTGTTGAATTCAGGTTTGATTTTTTTTTTTTTTTTACAATAATGCTTTATAGGTAGTGGTGTGTTCTTTCATCAGAGAGCATATAATGTCAATTTTGTGTGTGTGATATTACCAGCCTTTGAGTGCCATTGTCTAAATCTATTTCATGTATATCATTAAGTGTTATAAAATAGTGACATTCTATCATTCTCTTCATTTATTAGCTAGACTGCTTCTATAAAGAGAAATTTCCTCCATTGATCAATTGGTCACCTTTATATCACTTATCCCTGGGAAATCTTAGGCCACACAGCCAGAATATGAAAGTGCTTTGTGGCCAGTGTCCCTCAGACCTCAAGGTAGATTCTACAGGAGGAAACGGAGTTACCCCTCAACCTTCCCTGGGCCCTCTGTGTTCACTTCTTCAAAGATATTTTAAAATCCATTTGCCAGCCAAGATATTGGCCCTGCTTCAATGCAATATAGGTTTTGCATTTACCAATGGGAAAATCTAGATAAATTTGAGTAACTCAGAAAACATTTCCATTCAGTTGTTTTAGAAGCCACCCATGCAGAGTCCAGAGCTGCACCTCACACCGGTGTAGTGTGGCCTATCTACATGATGCTTAAGCCATGTAGGTAGGAACCCACACTTCCAGGGCTGTCCTACTGGTTGCATGATAAAGAAGATCTATCCTCCGTTTTGAAGGTACTCAGTCTTGATCCTGAGGAGGAAGAAAGCAGAGAATCCTCCATGCAGAGAGGTCTTCACCAGCTAAGGACAGCAGTGAGGCCAGAGCCCAGCTGCTCACCTTGTGCCACCATCCTTGCCCACTGACCATGATGGCTCTAGTTGCAGCACCACTACTGCTCACACCTGCCCTGGAACAACAGTCCTGCTACCCAGGATTCCTTGCAACTGTAGAGAATTGTAGGCTGCAGCTGGGTGATTTCACAACTTGCTTGCCCACGCCTGATGGGGGACACAGAGGTGAGTCTTCTCACACAAGCTGTCAGTAGTCTACTCAAGAGTTGTCAGGAATGAGGGAGACCCACTCAAGCAGATAATATCAAGCAGCGAGGGCTCTGGGACAGGGACAGACCAGCCACTTGCATCTGACGAGTGAGCCACAGTAAACTGACCAGTACTGCAGCCACACACTCAAAAGCATCACTGGCTATTGGCTGCATCTGCTATCCAGCCCAAGCTGGGACTAGGGTTGCCTCACTAGGTGTATGAGGAGAAGCAGTGGCAGGAGTATAGTAGCTTCTTTATTTTTCCACCCAAGCAGGCAACTGCAGAGAGAATGCAAGGAGGGGTATAGAGATGGGCACAACCCCCCTTTGAATGCCATCATGAAACATGGCGCTTGGGGACCCAGTCAGGTGGGCCTTGTGTCCACCTATAAGAAACATAGGGAAAGGAATTAACCAGCTGTACTAGAGCCTTTTACCTACCACCTAAATTTCCTCTCTGAGCCAGAGAGTGTTTCTGGCTTCTCACCAAAATGCAAGGAGATTTTGGTTAAAATCCATCCCATTCCAAATTTGTGAGACAGACTCTGGTTCCATAGGCCCAATACACCACCTGCTTCAAATGGTCGTAGTCCAGGTGGTTGTATCTGCCAAGCACCCACAACAGCAGCAGGGTAATGGGGAGTGCTGGTGGAACCTTTCACCTATAGGATGCTTGGAGTCTTACCTGTGGAGTTTAAGGCGGGTGGCAAGGGTTGGAGGGGAGGCATACATGAGAGCTTGGTATTGTTGCTCACCTTATGTTCATGTTTTTATTTCCTGCTGATAATTAGATGTAGCTGGCATGAGTCCCATAGCTCTGCCAGCTTCACTTCAGTGTCTTGGTATCAATGGGCCATGCAAATACCCTCATAGCCCACCTGGATAGGAACCACGCAAATTTGCAACCTTTGAGCCATATTGGAACAGAACTTGTCAAGTATAAGGCTGATTTCCAGAGGCTCATACCCAGGTTTGCAGGAGTTCAAAGGCATATCAATTCCTTGCCATTTCCCGGGGACTTTCTTTACAGTGAGCAGCTCAGGATGAACCAGGCCTGTCAGGAGCCAACATGGTGATGATGCAGGGCTGCCATTTGCTTCTACCTGACACTAGCATTTGGATCAGCTCAGATCATTCCTAGGACATACAAAAGTGGCCCTGGTGGGCACACAGCCTCCATTCATATCAGGAATTAGTAGAAGACAGTAAGTGCAGTGATTATTAGTGCTATTCACTAAATATTCTCGGTTCTCCAGGCTCATGGTAAAATTGCCTTTCCTGATCCCATTGGGTTTGGGTGGAGCCATCTGCTAGCTTTGCCAACGAATTGTGAGTAGAAGTGACAGAAGTTATTTCTATGCCCAAGTATTTAATTGCTGGGCAAGACACTCCTCTGCTGACCATGATCTCTCTCTGTCCCTTTGACATGACAACTGGTAATGTTTGAAATGGCTGCTACTCTGTCAACCTGGGTCTCAGAGTAAGGAGCACAGAGGTGAGCCCTTCTGACCCCCACTGGATGAGTAGCATTACCAAATAAACCTAGTTTGCTATAAGCGGCCAAGATTTGAGGATCATTTTTATCACAATATAAGCTAGCCTATACTGACTGGTTCAACTGATCAGACATGCTTGGGACAAAGCAGCTGTTTAGGATGACCTTGAAACTATACAGCCTTCTTGAAGTTCCAGGGTCTGATGTAAGCTCCTGTATGATCTCTTGGATCTGGAGCAATTATCCACTTTAATGACACATCCATCGACTCCCTGGCCTGGCTTCCTCCAGATATTTCTGAGGCCTCGCACCCCTCATGATGCCCTTCATACTCTTAGAGCATGAGCCAAGGTCAATGATAGGTCTAGGAAGCCCAAGGTATGGTAGACAAAATAATGTCCTACTTCCCACCAAAGATGTCCATGTCCTAATCCCCAGGATCTGTGAATGTGTTACCATATGTGGCAAAAGGTCTTTACAGATGTGATTAAGACTCTTAAGATGGGGCGATTATCCTGGATTTGGGTGAAAGAGGGAAGCAGGCATGCCAGAGTCAGAGAAAAGAGTTGAAAAATGCTATGCTGCTGGCTTTGAAGATGGAGAAAAGGTACTATGTGCCAAGGAATGCAGGTGGCTTCTAGAAACTGGAAAAGCCAAGGAAACAGATTCTCCCTTAGGGCCCTCAAAAGGAATGCAGCCCTGCCAACGCCTTGGTTTTAGCCCAGTGAGACCCATTTCAGACGTCTCACCTCCAGAATTGTAAGATAATAGATCTGTGTTTTTTTAAGCCATTAAATTTGTCATAAATTGTTACAGCAGCAATAGGAAACTGATACACAAGAGAAAACCTTCTCCTGTTACTGAATACTTTCAGGAGACCGTTGTGACCATCAACCAAACTTTCCAGAGCACAACATGCACTTATTGGAGCCCCCTGAAACCCTCAACAACTGCACCCTGACAATGTGGCCTATTAATAGACCCCAATTCCTGCAGTGAGTATGATAGAGATTCTTCTTTATCCACCATGTTTGAACCTTCTGTCCATTGCTCATCACTCTCAAATCATTGGAGTTCTTGAACCAATGTACTGTGTGTCTTCCTTATTGACTATTCGATTTCAACCATGTAGTAGACACCAGTAAATATTAGGTAAATATGAATGAGTGAATAAATGCCATGAGGAATTATCTGATAACGTATGTAGCTCTGGATGATCTGTTGAAAATCTCCAGCAAGAAACACACCAATCTGAGTTATACACAGCAAAAAATTAAAACAAAATAGCAAGCGGATACAAAAAAAGGATTTAGTGCTTTGCCCACTCGCAGTTTCGTCAGGTGCAAACACAATCTGTATGATTCTCCTTAGTTGGCTGATTCTTTTGATTCCTTCTGCCGTGCCTGTTGTCTTTGTGTGTGTGCTTGCAGAGGGGGGTTTCTGACAGTGCAACAGATCTGTCCTCCCCTGGGCACCTGCTTCCTCCAGCTTATTCAAATTTCACTCATTTGTTAGAAAAGTAGCATGATTTTGTAAGCAAGGATGTTCAGTGGGACGAGAATGAAGCATACAAACTCATATCTTTGTGACTCAAATATAGTTTGATTCATTCATATTTATTCCAACTCTGCCACTGAATAATAATTATGAAAAGAGTTACAGTTTGTGCTGCCGTTAAACAGTATTTTGGGGCCAGGCATGTTGGCTTACACTTGCAGACCCAGCACTTTGGGAGGTCGAGGCGGGCAGATCATTTCAGTTCAGGAGTTCGAGACCAGCCTGGGCAACATGGCAAAACCCCATCTCTATAAAAAATACAAAAATTAGCCAGGCATGGTGGAACATGCTTGTAGTCCCAGCTACCTGGGAGGCTAAGGTAGGAGGATCACCCGAGCATGGGAGGTCAAGGATGCAGTGAGCTAAGATCGTGCCACTGCACTCCAGCCTGGGTGACAGAGTGAGACCCTGTCTGGAAAAAAAAAAAAAAAATTGATGAGGTAAAATCCCATTTTAACAAAAATAAGCATATCTCACTTAACGTCAATAATCTGTTCCTGAAAAACAGAAGTTCTACTCTTAAACACTGATCATTATTTTAAGGGGGAATAATGCATTTCGTGATGACCCAAAACTCTAAGATAATTTCCCAAAACATAATTGAAACATGGCAAAACGCCTATATACGTAACAACTATCAGCTTCGTATGTGAAATGCTTAAAGCACTCTCTAATCAAAGTTTTAATAAAAATGGATCTCACATGTAAATGAAAAACTTAAACTTATAAAAGTTCTGGAAGAAAACACAGAAAAAAATATTTGTGACTTTGGCTTAAGGAACAAGTTCTTAGCAATGATACCCAAAATATTCAACCTATAAAAGAAAAAAATTGCTAAATTGGATTTCATCGAAATTTGAAACCTCAACTCTTTCAAAGATAATGTTAAGAGAATGAAAAATGATAAACTGGGAGAAAATATTTGCAAATTACATATCTGATAAAGGACATGAATCAGCAATATACAGAGAACTTTCAAAATTCGATATTAGAAAATAATCCAATGAAAATAGGCAAAAGGGATAAAAAGACTTGATCAAAGAATACATATGCATAACAAATAAGCACATAAAAAGACAGTCATCACATCGTTAGTCACTGGGGAGATGCTCTTTACCTGTATTAGAATAACTAACTTTTTTTTTTAAGTTTCGCTCTTGTCACCCCGGCTGGAGTACAGTGGTGCGATCCCAGCTCACTGCAACCTCCGCCTCCCAGGTTCGAGCGATTTTCCTGCCTCAGCCTCCCGAGTAGCTGGGATTCCAGGCGCCCGCTAACATTTTTTTTTTAAAGCTGAGAATACCAAGTACTGATGGGGATAGGGAGCAACAGGAATTCTTGTTCATTGCCTGTGGGAATGTAAAATGGCACAGCCACTTTGGAAGGCAGTTTGGCAGTCTCATAAACAGACAATAATCACGTGATCCAGCAATTCTCTCCTAGTTATCCAAAAGAAGTGAAAATTTATGTTCACACAAAAACCTGTATATAAATATTTATAGTGACTTTATTCATAAGAATCAAAGTCTGGAATAAACTCAAATGTTCTTCAGCTGGGGAATGGATAAACGGACTGTGGCCTATCTGTACATTAGAATGTTATTGGCAATAAAAAGGGACAAACTATGGCAGACAAATAAACATGAACGATTCTCAAATGTGTTGTGCTAAGTGAAAGATCCCAGGTCCAAAAGGCTTCCTACTATCTGATTCCATGGGTGTATCATCCTGAAAAAGTAAAACTATGGGAACAGAAAACAGATCAAAACACAGAACAGAAAACTGCCAGGGGGTGAGGGTACGGGGAGGAGATGACTACAGAGGGACACGGGAATTTTTGGAGTGACAGAAATAGTCTACATCTTGACCATGGTGGCGATTACATGGCTGTCAAAACTTGCAGAACTTTGTACTTTTTTAAAAGGCAGATTTTACTGAATGTAAATTACATATTAATAAGCAACTGCCACAAAACCAACAAAACCCAGTTGCTTTGGTGTCGTAGCATGTGCAGCTCCATGACCCTTGAGGAGGCTCAGCACGCTTTTCAAAACATCCACGTGTGATTCCGACATTCTAGCATTTGTATTTAGAAAGGAAGTGAAGACTTTTCTGCATGTTGTTTTGTTAAAATGTTGAACTGAGGTTTGAGTATGTAAATATTATTTTTTCCTGTGTAAACACATCAGCCAAAAATATATTGACAAATACATATGTTCAATAAAGCTCGGTTATTAAAATCCAGAGGGATTCTACTGGGAAAAAACAAACCAAAGAGACATTCAGCAGGGTATGCCAGTATCATGATACTGCTGAACTCTTTTTATATCCTGGCTGACAGCCTATACCATCACTGTTAAACTGATATGTATACAACAAGTCCTATTGAATAAAAATTCATCTGTATTTAGCATATCTTTTTTCAGTCACCATCAGTTAAATAAGCAAAAATAGAGAAATCCAAAGGAGCTAAATAGTTTAAAAAATAAAGATGATTTATTAATATTAATATATTGATTTCTATATCCAGTACCTAGAGAGTGTATTCTTTTCATGTCCATGGACTATTTACAAAAATGATATTTTAGTCTATGAGATATTCTAAAATGTACAAATAGAATAAACTACATTCTCTGATTATAATTCAGTGCTACTATAAATACATAATGAGAGGATAACCAAAAACTTTTAACCACTTGGAATTAAAAACTGCAATTACAGAATGTTCAGTGAATTTTAATATTGTGAATACTACATGTTGAGAATTATAAGATGTAGCCAAAGCTGTACTTGGAAGGAAGTGTATAGACTTAAACGCCTCAATTATTAAATAAGAAAAGATGAAAATAAGCTATGAATTGAGTAATCAATTGAATATGTCTGGCATGTATTAAGCAATCAATAAACATTTAGTGAGTAAAGCAATTAGAGAAAAGCAATAAAACAAATTTAAGGAAAACAAGATAAAGAAAAATATTTTAAAATGTTGCTAAATTTGAAAACAGAAAAATTAAGACAGCTGAATAGGAAGCAGGGGCAATAAAATAGATTATCTACTAAGTAGTCAATTCAAGAAGAAAGAGCATAACTATATAAAATTTAGAAAAGAAAGGAGATGCAGCTACACACACAAATTTTAAAGAATTACAAATTAATACTTTATATTATGCTATATACATTGGATAATCTAAATGAAGTGAGGGCTTTTCTAAGAAAATATAAATTACTAAAAGTGTACAAAAAGTATAAAGCCAGGAGACATTATTTAAGCAAAGATTGTGGCTCACACCTGTAATCCCAACATTCTGGGAGACCCAAGCAGGAGAACTACTTGAGCCCAGGAGTCTGAGACCAGCTGAGCAACATAGTGAGACCTCATCTCTACAAATAATGAAAAAAAAAAAAAATTAGCCGAGCATGGTAGCACGTGCCTGTGGTCCCAGCTACTCAAGAGGCTGAGGTGGGAGGATCGCTTGAGCCTGGTGTTCAAGGCTGCAGTGATCTGTGATGGTGCCACTGCACTCCAGCCTGGGCAATAGAGCGAGATACCATCTAAAAAATAAAAAAATTTAAAGTATGGATTTTTGAGCCAGATACTCCTCATTTAGTTCAGGTATGAGCTGTTCCTCTTGGTAACTGTGTAACCTTATCTAACTAATTAACTTCTCTCAACCTCATTTACAGGTAAGTTTCCTTACCTGTAAAATGGCACACACACAGAAAAAAACTACCTCATAGGAATATTGTGGGGATTTAAATAGGTTATATGTAAACAACATATCTGACGCACTAGTGTGAATATTAAAATCTTTAAAGACCATGGAAGCAATAAGGCGTGTGATCAAAGCGCTATCCCTCATCAGAACATGGGAAGCAAATAATTTTGCTGCTTTCATTGCTGTTTAAGCTTCTTTCGAACCTAGAAAAAGAAAAAAGGCATCTCATTTCTTTTTGGAAAACTAGCACATTCCTGACAGCAAAACTCCACAAAGATAGTACAAGAAAGAAAAGTACAGACTAACCCTCTTAGAAATACAGACATAAACTTTCCAGATAAAATATTAGTACTCAACCTTATTGGTATTTACATAGGTATCAAATTAATATTGCTTTATTATGTTTCTGATTATGTAGTGCAATTGTTTCCTATTTCTGCTATAACGAACTACCACAAACGTGGTGGCTTAAAAACACACAAATTTATTATCTCACAATTTGGGAGGCCAGAAATCTGAAATTAGTTCTACCGGGGAAAAAAAATCAAGGTGTCAGTAGGGATGCACTTCTGAAGCCTCTAGGGGAGAGTGCATTTCCCTGCCTTTTCCAATTTCTAGAACTGCATTCCTTGCCTTTTTTAGCTGCTACTTTCCATCTGTATTCCTTGGCTCATGGCCCCTTTTCTTCATCTTCAAAGCCAAAGGCATCTTCAAATAACTCTCTTTACTGAGGTCATCACATTGCCTTTTCTCTCTGTGTTAAATCTCACTCCCTCTGCTTCCCTTGCATAAGGACACATGTGAGTGCATTTAGGGTCCAAGCTAAATAATCTGAGATAATCTACCCATCTCAAGATCATTAATTCAATCACATTTACAAATATGTTTTGCCATGTAAAGTAACATGACTTATTAGGATATGAATATCTTTTGTGTGACATATTTTTCAGCCTACCATAGTCTTCCCTTTAATCCCCAATTATTCATGTCCATCCCACATGAAAAATACATTCATTCCATCCCAACATCCCCAAAGTTTCAACTCCTTACAACAACAATTCAAGTCCAAAATCTCTTCAGGTCAAAAATCCAAAGTCTCATCCTCTAAATCAGATGTGAGTGGGACTCTGGGTATAACCCATACTGGGGTAAAATTCCTCTCTATCCATGCACTTATGAAACTGGAAAACAGGTCATCTGTTTCCAAAATACAATGGTGAAACAGGCATAGTACAATAGTTATAGATAATCTCATTCCAAATGGGAGAAAAATGGAAGGAATAAAGGGGTCACTGATTTTAAGAAATTTTAAAATCTAGCAGTGCAAATTCCATTAGATTTCAAGCCCCTTTGTGGCTCAAGATTCTGCTCTCTGAGCCTACAGTTCTGCCTTCTGCCTCTACTTCCACAGCTCTAACCTTTAGGCTCAAGGCTCTGCCCTGAGTTATCTTTCCTTTTTCCTGAAAGGCAACACATGTTTGCAGCTGAGTTGTCTTATTAGCCTCCTCCCTGCCTGTAGAATTTTGGAAGCCTGACCGCTTTCCTTTATTTTACCCTCTCTCTATCCCTTTCAGTACAAGTTGGCAGTGTTTCTGTTGGACTAACATCCTCAAAACCCTTGTTGCTCTTCCACATATTTCACAGGGATAAAAAGCCATTAGACAAAAGTCTTCTCCAAGATAGTCCTGGACAATACCACTTGGATTCCTACCTTCTGTTGAGATGATTGAGTGGGTCCATGAGTCATACCTTGAATCTCTTCAGTTCTAGCAAAAGGTTGTCCAACCACATACTTGACTCTCTCTCCAGGGCACAATTTCCTAATAGTGAATCTCTTAATATTAGTATTTTTTTTTTGCAATGTGCATAACTGAGTATTTCCCAAATCAAGTTCTAGTTCCTTTTTGCTTAACAGTTCTTTCCTTAATTTGTGTCTTTCCTCTAAAGTTTTATATAAGCAGTAAAAAACCAGGCAGTGCCTTCAACACTTTGCTTGGAAATCTCCTCAGTTAACTAGCCAAGTTCATGCTTACGAGTTCTGCTTTCTACCAAGTGTAGAAATAATTCAGCTAGGCTTTCTGCCACGATGTAACAAGGATCTCCTTTCCTCCAATTTCCAACAACATGTTCCTCATTTCCCTCTGAGCCCTTGCCAGTAGCACCTTTAACATATTTCTACCAATATTCTATTTATGATATGTGTATACTACAAGATGATGCAGGCGTGCTCTACACCATGCTTCTTACTTCCTCTTGAGCCCTCACTAACAGTATTTAACATCCATATTTCAACTCACAGCCTGTTCAAGGCAATCTCAGTTTTTTTCTATCATGTGCCTCAAATTCTACCAGACTCTAACCATTATCCAATTCCAATGCCACTTTCACATTTTAAAATATTTGTTACAGCAGCACCCCACCTCTAGGTACCAAATTCTGGATCAGTCAGGGATGCACCAGAGAAACAACCAGTAAAACACATGCACGTGCACACATACTCACACACACATTTAGTGCAAGGAAGTATCTTATGTAATTGTGGGAACTGACTAGGCGAGTCTGAAATCCATAGGGCAGGCCATCAGGAGGGGCAGTCTGGAATTCTTGGGCACAAGCTGAAGCTTTAGTCCACAGGTAGAATTTCTTTTTCTTTAGGGAAACCTCAGTTTTCCCCTTAAGGCCTTTTAACTGATTGAATCAGGCCCACCCAGACTATCAAGTATAATCTCTTTTACTTAAAAAGACAAATGATTATAGATATCAATCACATATACAAAACACCTTCACAGCAACACCTAGATTAGTGGTTAATTGGATAACTGGGGACTATAGCCTAGCCAAGTTGACAGATAAAACTGACCATCGCACAGAGCAAATAGATGGTTAAAAGTCAGACAATCCAGAAATATAAAATAATGTTATAAAAACTATCAGGAGACCTACCATCCAGAGATACTACTGCTAACCTCTGTGAATATCCTTTTGGACTTTATTCTATTCAAATACAAATACACACTTGTACTAGTCCATTTTCATACTGCTATAAAGAACTGCCTGAGACTGGGTAATTTATAAAGGAAAGAGGTTTAATTGACCCACCGTTCAGCATGGCTGAGAAGGCGTCAGGAAGCTTACCATCAGGGTGGAAGGTGAAGGGGAAGCAAGGTACCTCCTTAACAAGGCAGCAGGAAGAAGTGCCAAGCAAGGGAGGAGGAGCCCCTTATAAAACCATCAGATCTCGTGAGAACTCACTATCACAAGAACAGCATGGAGGAAACTGCCCTCCATGATTCAATTACCTCCACCTAGTCTCTCCCTTGACACATGGGGATTATGGGGATTACAATTAAAGATGAGATTTGAATGGTGGCACAAAGCCTAACCATATCATTCTGCCCCTGGCCCCTCCCAAATCTCACGTCCCTTTCACATTTCAAAACCAATCATGCCATCCCAACAGTCCCCTGAAGTCTTAATTCATTCCAGCATTAACCCAAAAGTCCAAGTCCAAAGTCTCATCTGAGACAAGGCAAGTCCCTTCCTCCTAGTAGCCTGTAAAATCAAAAGCAAGTTAGTTACTTCCTAGATACAATGGGGGTACAGGCATTGGGTAAATACACTTGTTCCAAATGGGAGAAACCGGCCAAAACGAAGGGGCTACAGGCCCCATGCAGGTCCAAAATCCAGCACAGCAGTCAAATCTTAAAGCTCTGAAATGATCTCCTTTGACTTCATGTCTCACATCCAGGTCACATTGATGCAACACTCACTCATGCACTAACTCCTATACACACACTCTCATACACACACTTGAACAAACTCACACTCACATTTAAAAATGATATAGTATTTTGTAAATAATCTTTGTAAAAGAAAATATCTATACATTTTTTATTTAAAAATACATGTTCAACTTTCAAACTCATTTTATGAGGCCAGCCAGTTTCCTAATACCAAAGTTAGACAAGGACACCACAAGAACCGAAAATTACAGGCCAATAGCTCTGATGAACATAGATGCCAAAATCCTCAACAAAATACTAGCAAACCAAATTAAACAACACATTAGGAGGATCACACACCATGATCATTATCCCTGGATGCAAGGATGGTTCAACATATGCAGATAAATAAATGCATTAGACTACATTGACAGAATGAAGGATAAAAATGATATGATCATCTCGATAAATGCAGAAAAAGCATTTGACAAAATTCAACATGCTTTCATGGTAAAAACTCTCAACAAATTAGGAATAAAAGGAATGTAGCTCAACATAATAAAGGCCATATGTGGCAAGCCCACAGCTGCCATCATACTCAAGGAAAAACAGTTAAAAGCTTTTCCTCTAAGATCAAGAACAAGGATGCCCACTCTCCCCACTTTATTCAATATAGTACTGAAGGTCCTAATCAGAGAAATTAGGCAAGAAAAAAAATACATCCAAGTTGAAAACGAAGAAGTAAATTTGTCTGTGTTTGCAGATGACATGATCTTATATACAGAAACCCTAAAGTCTCTACCAAACAAAATGTTAGAACAAATGAATTCAGTAAAACTGTAGGATACAAAAATCAATATACAAAAGTCAGTAGCATTTCTACACACCAACCAACAATCTGAAAAAGAAATCTAGAAAAGAATCCCATTTACTATAGTGTTTAAAAAATACTTAGGAATAAATTTAACCAAAGAAGTGAAAGACGTGCACACTGGAAACAAACTGAGGAAAAATTGAAGACAATTCAAATAAATAGAAAGATATCTCATTTCATGGATTGGATGAATTAATATTGTTAAAAATGTTTATACCACCCAAAGTGAGCTATAGATTAATGTAATTTCTAGCAAAATTCCCATATCATTTTTCATAGAAATAGAGAAATATCCTAAAATTCATATAAAACCACAAGAGACCTGAACAGCTAAAGCATATATGAGCAAAAACAAAGCTAGAGGCATTACACCACCTGATTTCAAGATACGCTACAAAGCTGTTGTAATCAAAGAGCATGGTATAGGCATAAAAAAGACATGTAGAGCAATGGAATGGAATAGACAGCCCCAAAATCCACACATTTGCAAAGGTGCCAAGAATACACAATAGAGAAAGGATAGTTTATTTAACATGTGGTGTTGGGTAAACTAGATGGCCACCTGCAGAATAAAATTGGACCCTGATCTCACACCATATACAAAAATCAACTCAAAATGGATTAAAGACTTAAGCATAAGAACTAAAACTGTAAAACTACTAGAAGAATACATAGCGGAAAAGCTTCTTGATAATGGTCTAAGCAATAATCTTTTGGATATGACTCTAACAGCACAGGCAACAAAAGCAAAAATAGACAAATGGAATTGCAACAAACTGAAAAGCTTCTGCACAGCAAAAAGGAAACAATAAAGTGAACAGACAACCAATGGAATGGGGGAAATATTGGCAAGCCCTACATCTGATAAGGGGTTGATATCCAAAATATATAAGGAACTCAGATAACTCAATAACAATAAAACGAATAATCTGATTAAATGAGCAAAGGACCTGAATAGACATTCACAAAAGAAGATGGCAATGGCCAATAGGTAGGTGGAAAAATGCTCAATATCACTAACCATCAGGGAAATATAAATATAAGCCACAATGAGATATCTCACACCTGTTAGGATGACTGTTATCAAAAAGAGAAAGGATAATAAGCATTGGTGAGGATGTGGAGAAAAGGGAATGTTGTATACTGATGATGGGAGGTAAATTGAGATAGCCATTATGGAAAACAGTATGAAGGTGCCTCAAAAAATTAAAAACAGAACTACTAATTCAACAATCCCTCTTCTGGATATATATCCAAAGGAAATAAAATCATTGTGTTGAAGATATATTTGCATTCCCATGTTCATCGCAGCATTATTCACAATAGCCAAGATGTGGAATACACCTAATTGTCCATTGACAGATGAATGGATAAAGAAGATGTGGTATATATACACACAGAGTAGAATACAACTTAGCCTTTAAAAAGGAGGATATCCTGTCATTTGGGACAAGCTGGATAGATCTGGAGAATATTATAAGTGAAATAAGCCAGACACAAAAAGACAAGCCTTGCATGATCTGACTTATATATGGAATCTAAAGAAGTTGAACTCATAGAAGCAGAGTGAAGAATAATGGTTGCCAGGGGATGGGGTGAGGGGTGGCAGAGAAATAAGGAGATATTGGTGAAAGGTACAAAGTTTCAGTCAGACAGGATGAGTTCTGATATATATTGTACAGCATGATGGCTGTAGTTAATAGAATGTATTTTATACTTGAATATTGCTAAGAGAGTAGCTCTTAAGTGTTCTCACCACAAAATATGTGAGGTAATGAACATGTTAATTAGCTTGATTTAATCACTCCACAATGTACACATATATCAAAACATCACATTGTATACCTTAAATATACTCCATATTTATTTGTCAATTATACCTCAAAAACTACGGGGAAGGAGGGAGGCTGCGGAGAAGAAACAACCCTGCCAACATCTTGACCTCTGACTTCTAGCCTCTAGCTTCCAGAATTGTGAGACAATAAATTTCTGTTGTTTAAGCCACCCAGCCTGTGGTCTTTCATTATGGCAGCCCTGGCAAGTGAATGCAGGCAGGTGCAATCCTAAATCATTTCTTTTTTTTTTTTTTTTTTTTTTTTTGGAGACAGAGTCACAGGAGTCTCACTCTGTTGCCCCAGGCTGGAGTGCAGTGGCACAATCTCGGCTCACTGCAACCTCCATGCCCCAGGTTCAAGTGATTCTCCTGCCTCAGCCTCCCAAGTAGCTGGGATTACAGGCACTTGCCACCATGTCCGGGTGATTTTTGTATTTTTAGTAGAGACGGGGTTTCACCATGTTGGCCAGGCTGGTCTCGAACTCCTGACCTCAGGTGATCTGCCCGCCTCAGCCTCCCAAAGTACTGGGATTACAGGCATGAGCCACCACGCCCAGCCCAGCATCATTTCTTCAACATTTTTTTCATTCTCTTATTTTGCGGAGAAATATATAAGATTTGGTTTTTTAATTTAAACACATCAAAACCATGATTGCGGATGCATGTCTTCTCTAGTATGCTGCAGTAGCATGGGGTGGGGGGAGGGGAATTTAATGCTCTGTCTAAAGATACAGCTCACCATTATTTACTTCTGAAAAAATGAAGTTGAATCTAATCCTGTCAACAATCAACCTTACACAACCCATGCACTCAGTTGGATCAGACATCTTCTGGGGTTTGTGTTTTGCAACTATGCTATCTTGATGAGCCCCAGCAACAGAGTTTTTAACATTATTAGATCCAGGACAGCGGCCTTTATGGAAGGAGCAGTCAGCCAGCAGCAGCTCCCTAACAATCCCACAAGCTGAGATTCTCTCTATCCAGGCAGCGTGGTAGAGAATTCTGGTGGGCCCAAACGTTTGCTAATAAGAGAGCTTGGACAGACTTAAAGTTCTTTTAGATAAAAAATATAAAATAAGACAAAAAGAAACAAAGAATACATGTTCACTATGCAGCACTCAGAGAGGCAGAAGAAAGTAAATGTTATTGGAGGCCCCACCACTCAGAGAGAAATCACCATTAACATTTTGGTGTATCTTGGAAGTTTGAGATATATAGATAGGAATAAATATAACTGCAGTAGTACCCCTTCATCTGCGCTTTCACTTTCCACAATTTCAGTTGCCCGTGATCCCAGTCTGAAAATAGGTAAATACAATGCAATATTTTTAGAGAGACCACATTCACTTTTTGAGAGAGACCACATGTAACTTTCATTACAGTATAATTGTTCTATTATTAGTCTCTTACTGTAGCTAATTTATAAATTAAACTTTCTCATAGGTATGTATGTACAAGAATAAGCATAGTATATATATATATGTATATATACACACACACACACACACACACATACATACATATGGTTTGGTACAATCCATGGTTTCGGGTATTCACTGGGGGTCTTGGAATGTATCCCTTGAGGATAATGGGGACTACTGTACACAAATATATACATTTAGTTGTAATACTGTATAAATTTTATTATAAGGGTGTACCTTGGATTTATTTATTTAGATGTACCATAATTTAACCAATCTTTTTCTGATGATCCTTGCATTAGTCAGAACTCTTTCTTTTGCAAATGACAAAAACTCACCTTAAAACCAACTTAAAAGAAACAAAGAAATATATTGGCTTTAATAACTGGGAGGCTCAGGCACAGCTGAAACAGGGAATCAAAGGATGTCAGACTTCTGTCTCTCCAGCCCATGGTAGGCTCTCCCCATATGCTCTGTGAAATGGCTACCAGCTGCTCTAGACTCATTTTCTGTAGGTTTAATAATCTGTGGCAGAGATTGCTATTAGCCTACCCAGTATCCTACTGGAACCCCATTTTTATTTAGGAAATCAGTGTGCCCAGGTAAAAACTACATTTCTGAGACTCCCTTGCAGGTAGGATATCCACATACAAGACAATAAAGTTCTACCTCACACCAGATACACAAACATTAAGTCTAAGTGAAAAATAGGCCTAAATGAAAGAGCTAAAACTATACAACTCTTTGAAGAAAACATAAATCTTTGTGACCATGGGTTAGACAAAGCCTTCTTAGTTATGATACTAAAAGCACAAATGACAAAAGGAAAACTAGATAAATTGGACTTCCAGGTTAAAACTTTGATGCTCCAAATGACATTATGAAGAAGGTTTAAAGACAACTACAGAATGGGAGAAAATATTTGCAAATCATATATCTGAGAAGGGCCTAGTATTCAGAATACATACACAAGGAACTTTTACAAGTTAAAAAGACAACCCAATTAAAAAATGGGCAGAGGACTTAAACATTTCTCCACAGAAGATATGCATGGCCAATAAGCACATGGAAAGACGCCGAACGTAATTAGTCATCAAGGAAATACAAATCAAAACATGAGCTATCACTTCAAACCCACTAAGATGGTTAAAATAAAAAGACAGTCAATAGGTTGTGTTGGTGAGGATGTGGAGAAATTGAAACACTCATAGATTGTTGTTGGGATTGTAAAATGATGCAGCTACTTTGAAAAACAGTTTTGCAGTTTCTCAAAATACTAGACATAGAGTTACCATATGACCCAGCAATTCCACAACTAGGTATATGCCCAAGAGAAATGAAAACATATAAAAGAAAAATTTTTAAAGAACTAAAAAAAATGAAAACATATGCCCACGCACAAACTTGTATCCAAATGTTTCTAGCAGTGTTATTCATAACAGACAAAAAAGTGAAAACAACTGAAATGTCCATCAAATAATGAACAGATAAACAAAATGTGGTATAACTGTAAAATGGAATGAATGTTATTCAGCCATAAACAGAAACAAAGCACTGATACATGGTACAGCATGGATGAACTTTGAAAACATTACACTAAATGAAAGCCAGTCACAAAAGACCAATATGGTATGGTTCTATTTATATTAAAGGTCCAGAACAGGCAAATATAGAGAGATAGAAAGATTAGTGGTTGTCTAGGGCAGGGGGTGGAATGGGAGATGGAGAATAGGAAATGACTTCTAATGAGTCATGGGGATCAGGCGCAGTGGCTCATACCTGTAATCCCAGCACTCTGGGAGGCCGAGGCAGCGGGCGGTGGGGGGAAATCATTTGAGGTCAGGAATTCAAGACCAGCCTGGCCAAGATGGCGAAACCCCCTCTCTACTAAAAATACAAAAATTAGCCAGGCGTGGTGGCGGGCGCCTATAATCCCAGCTACTTGGGAGGCTGAGGCAGGAGAACCACTTGAACCCGGGAGGTGGAGCTTGCAGTGAGCCAAGATCTTGCCACTGCACTCCAGCCTCGGTGACAGAGCGAGACTCCATCTCAAAGAAAAAAAAAAAAAAAGAAAAAGAAAAAGAAAAGAAGAGTAATAGGGTTTCTTTTTGGAATGATGAAAGTGTTCTATAATTAGATCTCAGGAAGAGTTGTGCAACTCTGAATATACTAAATTTGTACAATGTTAAGTGTGTGAATTACATGATGAGTTATATCTTAACAAAGCTGCTCAAAAAATAAACCTAGCCTCTTATTTTATTTACCTTTTGATCTGAAGACAATCTTCTATTATTTGATAACTTCATCTGTACCTGCTCATGTATCTACCTCTAGAACTTCTGTTGCATATGGTAAATATATTTCCAAGACCTCTCCTCCATTCAAGGCCAACCTGGAAGTCACCATTCACATGTGGTAAAAGGTGTTCCAGCAACCCACCCCCGACCCCACTCCTGGCCCCAGTGGAGTTTTGCAATCACCATGGCTCTTTCTGAGCCCTTCATTGTTTGCCGTTTCTCACAATTTCTGTGTCTCTTTCTTAGGGGCTTGGGAGAATCCCTTAGGCCTGTCTTCTAATTGAGTGGTTCCAAAATCTGAGTAACCCATCAAAATACTTCCAGGCATTTGTTAACGCTGTGGGTCCTTAGCCACCACCTGAGGATTCCGATTCTACAAGCCACGGGTAGGGCCCAGAGACTCTTTTTAATACAGTGCTCTGGATGATTGGTGACTTTAATTCAGCTAGTTTGGCATTTGGAAACAGCTTTTATAACTCACTAATTCCTCGTTCTGTGATATCCACCCTGCTATTTCCTGCTCTCTTGAGAATTTTATTTCAACAGTGTGTTTCATCTCTAAGAACTCTACGTTGTTCTCAGACTGCTCTTTTTCATAACAGTTTTTTTTCTGCTTTATCACTGCAATGTCCTCTCAAATCTCACTGAGAATACTAATCAGAGGATTTTTTAAAAGTTTTTTTTGTCTGTATTATTTTCGGTGTGTGCTCGGATTACTCACATTCTGAGACTTTTCTTCCTTGGCCTGTGCTGTCAGCGTGGCAGAGCCTCCGTACACAGGGAGGCCACTTGGCAGGATGAAGACTAGCGCTAAAGTGAAGCTATCGCCTCAGCATGGCTGGAAATTTCCATCAACAGGCACCCAACAAGTACTTATCCGACATCTCCTAAGGTAGCGGTTTTCTACCTTGGCTGTGTATTAAAATTATCTGGGAAGCTCTTAAAACTTCCAAAACCTGGGCAAAGCAACGAAACCAGGTCTCAGGCATCAGTACCTGCCAAAAGCTTCCCAGGTGATTTCAATGTGTATTCAAGGTGGCAAACCGCTAATCTAAATCAACCGTTTTCAGAAGTTCATGTGATGTGAATCAGTTGGGGATCTTAGTAAAAAGTAGATCCTGATTCATAACATGTGACATGGAGCTTGAGAGTCTGCATCTCTAACAAGCTTCCACGTGATGCCAATGCTGCCGCCCTCGGTTCTGTTCTTTGAATATTAAGGGTCTATAACAGTGGGTCTCAAAGTGTGTTGTCTGGACCAGCAGCAGCAATGTCACGTGGGTGCTTGTTAGAAATTCAGTTCTCCGGACTGATCCCAGACCTTCTGAATCAGAAACTCAGGGAGTGGGGCCCAGCATCTGTGTTTTAACTTCCCAGTGATGTGAACGCTTGCTCAAGTTTGTAGAGCATACTTCTCTAAGCATGAGCCTCTGAGCCCCTGAGCCCCTTCAACAAAAGCCATGTGGCTTTATAGTGTGCACATTTACGGACCCCTTCCTAGGCCACCCCATCAGACTCTCAGAAGGTGAAGCGGCAGATTGTGCATGTTTAACAAGTTTCCCAGGTGACGCTGATGGATAGCCTAACATTTAAGAACGGCTGTCTCTGGCAGCTCGGCCCTGTGAGGCCTCTGAGAATGTTTCAGTGTCCCAACATTGAAGCGGTTTTGGTTATTTGGATGCCCCAGGCTATTTCTACCCGGTTAATTACCTGTGTAGAAGCTTAACACGATTAATTCAGGTGGATACCATCTTGGATGTCCCATAGAACCCTATAATTATGTGTGAAATACACATTTAATTTAAGCACAAGGGGAAAGATTACCCCGATGACTCTGAGGCCGTAGGGTATGCAGAGCAGATGCTGAGCAGAGCTTGGAGCTGTTTCCTCATAGACCTATGCCATAGCCATCTGAGGCCAGTAGAATGTTCAAGATTTGGGCTTTCCTGATCCCCAAGTTAGTCTTGATAGTATCTACTGAAGCGTTAATGCCACTAGTTTACCTAAACTCAGAAAAAAATATAGTTGACTATTTAGGTTAATAACCAGCAGAGATAAAAGTGTAATTATTTGGGTAATTTGACCACAAAATGTGCAAATAAAATATAATTTTTCCCCAAAATATGTGTTTAAGGTCTGAGTTGTCAAAATCTCATTGGTCTCTTCCTTTGACTTGTGCAGAAACTGGGTCTGTAAGTGTTTGTTTTTGCAGAGAATACATTTTAATGTGCTATGCTATGACATATTAAACGAATGGAGAGACTTTGGTTCAGAAATTCTTTTTTTCCTCTGTACTAGCCAAGCATTTCAAATGATTTGGCTTTGGCTTCAGTGTTCCTTTGGAGAGCTGATTTTTTTGTTGTTTTTTTGTTTTGAGGGGTGGGGGTTAGCCTCAGCCATTACCAAATGAAAAAAATCAACTCCAAAGTGCAAAAGGAACAGCCAAAGGAACTCCAGAACTGCCCACCCCACCCCTGGGCAGAAAAAGTAAAATCACAACACAAAACAGCGCAACAGGCCGTTCCCTAACGAACTGAAAACAGTTCTTTGGGGAGTGTTTCCTGCCCAGGGCCTGCTTTCCCTGCTGGTTTCTGGGCTGCCGCTGGAAAGGGGCCAGGCTTCGGCACCTCCTTGCCTTTGATTGCTGTTTATCCCCTGAAACATGATTAGGTATAATTACGTATAATCTCTCCCTTGTTTACCCTTCTCCACCGAAGCTTGAACGTGGTTCAGTTGTGTCTTTCTCTTTGCTGTGCCTGAGCACAGCAAAGAAACATTTCCCGTATTTTCAACTTTATTATTTTTTTAAGAAATAGAGGCATTAGGTATCCATTTGTCCCTTCATTCTCCCAAGCCTGACATTCTGGCAATTTCTGAATTGTTTCATCCAACAACGACAGTTGAGTGCCAAGCATGGTGCTAAGTGCCTTGGAGGAGTTAGAAGTGAAACCTAAATAGACCCTTCTCCCAAGGATTTCCCATAGTAAGTGTCTCTTTACATGGGAAAAGAGTGTAATTGGAACATAATGGGAAGAAATAAAGCTACTCATCTTTTCTTCACCAACAACATACCAATTGTCAATATTTTCTCTCTTGTAGTTATTTGCTAGTTTAATTCTTGACCCTGAATTAATCGTTGATAGCTGAGTTTATTAGAGGCAGGGGTCCACGAGTATCCTATTTGGTTTCTTCCACTATAGGCCATCTCTACTGCTCTGTTTTCAAGAAAGTTGAGTATTCTACATGCAAAGAAGATCCCTAAACCAGAATTGGCACATGAATACACGTATGCAATGATATGAATCGTGCACGTAGGCTCTGGGCACAGTCGCACAAGATCCCATGCTCAGAAGGACCCTGTGCTTGGTTTAATGTCCTCCTGTCACCACCTTGACATTCTTAATACTTTTGAACAAGGGATTCTGCATTTTCATTTTGTACTGGGCCCCACAAGTTATGTAGCGTTTTCTGCATGTACCCCAGAACCTATTTTTTCTGTGGCATTCTCATCCAACTTTGAGCATAAACGAATGGAAGTTCATCCAGAATCTGATGGCATAGAGTGAGAGGGGAAAGAGCAGAGTCTGTGTGTGTGTTCATGTGCTGATGACTTTTGTGGCACTCCTCCAGCCTATGTTTAGATTTCTTTAACATGCCTATTAATCTTGTCAAGTTTCAGCCCAGCTCTTCTGAAATAGAACTGACCCCCAAAATCTCCTGGCAATGGGCTGTTCAGGCCTGTCCCCTTTCTCAGAGTATCCTGCTCACTGAGGGGACTGCTAAAGGAATATCTGTCTCCCTTAGAGGGAAACTGCTACTTCCCAGGGATTGAGTTTAGAAGACAGACCAAGAGTGTGCAGAAGAGTGAAAAATGACTTCCCCCACACCCTTCTAGGTTCCTTGGCTGGGCTATGATTTAAATTGACGTAAGACAGATTAACAGGAGGAGAGCCGCATTTAATTGTGTACACATGGGAGTCCCACAAAATATGAGACTCAAAGAAGGGTGAGATGACTGAAGCCTGTATAGCAGCCTGAGCTACAGAAGGGAATAGGGGCTTGGGGCTTCTGGGGGTGGTGGCGACACAAGTTATGGGAGGGTGAGAGAGGAATTATACAGTGAATAAATGTTGTCTTGTTAGGCAGATAAAAAGTCTCTCCCTTATTAAAAAGTTGTCTGGGCTGGGCATGGTGGCTCACGCCTGTAATCCCAGCAGTTTGGAAGGCCAAGGTGGGTGGATCACTTGAGGCCAGGAGTTTGAGAGCAGCCTGGCCAACATGGTGAAACCCCATCTCTACTAAAAATACAAAACTTAGTTGGGCATGGTGGTGCACACCTGTAATCCTAGCTACTGGGGAGGCTGAGGCACGATAATCGCTTGAACCCAGGAGGCGGAGGTTGCAGTGAGCCGAGATTATGCCACTGCACTCCAGCCTGGGCAAACAGAGTGAGACTGTCTCAAACAAAACAAAACAAACAAACAAACCAACAAACAAAAAAGTTGTCTGGAGCAGTTCTCAGGAGAAGAGATGATTGTCTGTCTTGGCGTGGTGTCCAGTCTCCTCTCCTGTGATTGGAGTTAATCTTCCCATGTTGATAAGATTCCCAGAGAGCAGATTCATGATAATTGAGTTTTTTTTTTGGAGTATCCGTCTTTAGGCAGATAAGGGGTCTCAGGGAAAACCTCTGCCTGCATTCGCTGTTCCCCAAGTGCTCTCTGTTCAAAGTAATCAGCACAGCAAAGTGGCATATTTTGGGGTAGCATTTCTGGAACTCCTTCCTTCAAGTGTAACTAACACTTCCAGGGGGAATGTTTGATAAGCCATGTCCCAAGGGAGGGGAGATGGAACCTGTTTGCCAAAACAACAGGGAATTACATAAGGGGAAGCCAGTGTTCACTCTCTAAAACCTTAATTTTTAGATTCTGGAAGGAGAGAGGGGAAGGTTACTTCCTGAGCTGTGAAGAGGTTCAGACCCTTCTCTAAAAAGGGTTCTGGGAGAGAAAGAGGCTCCCAGGCCTGTCTACACAGCCCAGTGGTGATGAAGAAAAATGTATTTTCCTTTGACACACCCCTTTGAGTGGTCTTATAAGGTTTGCTTTGTATTTGGTGAGGCAAATATTGGCAAAGAAGTTGATTTGGTTTTTGTTTTGTTTTTAAGATGAAAAGCAAAATCTTAAAAACCAGAGCTTTAAAAAGCCTGGAAGAAAATATGCCAAAATATTATAACACTTGATTTTGGATGGTAGACGGATGAGTGGGGTTTTTCCCTCTTCTTTTTACTTCAGGCTTTTCAAAAATTTTACAGTCATATCTTATCATTTTTATAATATAAAATGTAAGTTTATCTAACATTTAAAATTAAAGGTTTAGAATTTTAAAATAAAGATATGAGCATGTATTTAAACATGCTTGGGTCACCTACCTCAGCTGAGAGCTTTCTCCTGTCAGTTTCTAACACTAAACCTTAATGAAGAAGGTAGGAAATCAGTTGACTTACACTTCTCACTTTGACATTTTTAAATCTTAGGGGATATTTGTATGCAAACAGGAATGCGAGCTATGGTTGGCAGAATTTATTTCTACCTGCGGAACATTCCCACCTGAATCTCCAGTATTCCTCTGCAATTTTCAGAGCAGAGAGAATCAAAGCCATTAAAAAGCTGACTGTGACATCAGGCTGAAGAGAGGCACAGATGTCCTCCCCAGAAACACTACTTGCTCTTACCCAGGCAACAGAGGCTTGAGGACTAACCTTGTAAATTACCTGGCATGTGTAAGTAACAATGTTTGCAAGAAAGTCTTTCAACCTTTTTTTTTTTCCCCAAGACAGTACTGGTGGCTCTTTCAAGTTCCAATTATAAATTTCCAAATCCCAGACACTTGGGTGCCAGGCTGAAACAGGGACTGCTCGTGCTAAGACTTGTAGTAAATTGCAACAGTGTGGGAAGTGGGCGGTTTGTTTCCCAGAGTTCAAGCAGGGACTGTAACTGCCAGTGCCATCTCTTTGAGATGCTTCGTGCCCGGGGCTCCTAGCTCTTCCAGGTTGGGAAATAGCTCTCATACCCGGAAGAGGCTGGCCAGAGGAGTGACCAGCAGGAGACAGAACTCAGGCCTGAGGGCTCTAGGTTCACCAATATAAAAGTAACTGCTTAATGTGGCTTCCAGCTATGAGAAGAATATAAATGAACACCGCGTTCTTCCAAAGGCCTCTAATCTGAGACACCCAGGGATGATACATATGTATGTGTTAAATTTATCTACAAAGAGTCAGGACTTGTGGATGTCCCTTTACGGCTTACAAGCCGAAATGTGTGCAGCAATGGAAGTTAACTTCACAGATATTGTCTTGTTTCAGACAAAAGGTCACTGGGCTGTCACTGAGAGACTCGGTGAGGAAAAAAAGATGGTGCAAAACGCCTCAGGATGGCAGCATCTTGACTTGGGTAAACACCAGTGTACCGCGTGTCTTCTGCATGCCTATACACGTATGTCTATACCTCAGTCAGATGAAGAGCACCACAAAACTGGTATTTAAGTGATTAAGTGTATTTGAAATTTTATTGATTCTAGAAGAGGCAGCATATGAAAAGAGACTGGGCAAGCAGAAAGGAGTCTGTAGGCTGCAAATGAGAGAAGGATGTACTGTCTCTGTGGGTGACTGGGAAGTGCTGGGCGTGGAGAGAAATATTTGAATTAGCCACCACCCAAATACGATAAGCCAGATGAAATACGGCTGCTGGCTCGCCTGAATGTGGCAATTCCAAAGGTGTGGAGGCAAATCTCACTGTACAAACTGCCCCCTCACAGGTTGGCAGCAAGACCCATAATTCAGAAAAAAGGAGATGACGTCAGAAAGACCCTCGCCTCCAAAATACAGCCTCTCAGGTCAGAGGGAAGGCACAACCTTCTTCCTAACACATCAGAGGGTTTCCTGAAGCAGTCAGCGAGAGACACGTCGGCACTCGGGAAAATGCAGATGCCTGGACTTCTAATACCTGGGATTCCAGGCAGGAAAGGACAGCTTGGATTTTGATATAGACGGTACCACTTGAACTGGGAATGAACCGGTCCTAGAGCAGGTTTCTTAGGAGAAAAGGCTCTAAAAACAAACAAAAACCCTGAGAGAAGATGGTCATCCTTTCAAGAGGCATCTACAAGAGTTGTAACACTAACTAGATGTGAGGCCTGGGCAAGGGCACAGAGAGATCATGACTAGCAGGAAAAATGCAAGATAATGTGGGACACAGGAAGCTCTGGAGGTCCAAGAGCAGTTCCGGGAATGCTTCAAGTCTTCTCCTGTTGGTGGAAGCTGGGGCTGGGGACACCAGGAGAACAAAGAGCTATTTGGAAAAGGGTGACGACTTCTAGAAGCACCTGTTGCTAAATCTGAACTTGGAAGTTACAGTACAGAAAGCACGGACTGTGACATCAGAGAGATCTGACTTCATTGCTTCCTACCTTCCCATGCTTGGCTTAGTTAACCCATTTGAGCCTCAGTTTGTGAATAATAAAACCTACTTCACAGGGCTATTGGGAGGATTTAACAACAAAATACTGACAAATGGGCACTCAAAACATGTTAGCTCCTTTCTCCTTCATTTTATTCCCTATTTAACTTTTGATTCATGTCTTTTACTCTTTTTGTCCAGTTACGCTTTTCTTCAGTTTCAACTCCCTCTATTGTCTTTCAAACAATGGTGGAGGCTGAAGGTATGTTTCAACCCCCCTTATCCTTGGCCATGCCTCCAAGAACTCAGAGCTCTGAGACCTACTTCCTCCTCATTGTCAGATAGGTTAGACATGCAGAGGGCTCCTAAACACCACAGAGCTGACAGTGAAGCCCCATGTTGGCTTTGATCTGAATCTCCCTTCTAGAATAGTCTTGAGGACCTCATTTCTCTTGGGGCAGGCCACTCATAACTTTAAATTGGATTATTGTCATTCTTGTGCCCAATAATGCTCAATTGTAAGGTTCTTCCAAAATCTTTAAGAAATCGTCCTGCTCAGCCTCCGATGCTGACACTCTTGGACCAAATACAGCTGAACTTGTTCTGATTTGCACAGCCGATAACTCTGGGATCTGTTCACTGTTTTGAAGATAAACCAAAACTAGGTCAGGCTCTTATCCAAGGCTAAAATCAGCACACGATGTTGAGGAAAGCAGTCAACAAACATAAAGACATTTAAGTTCTTTGAGTTACTTGTATTAGATAATATGTTCTCATGGTTAAAAATATTTTAAAAATATATAAAAAGTGATAGTGAAAGTTTTCTCTCCCATCCCCCATCCATCTTGTTCTCTATTTCTTTCCCCCAAGACACAATCCCCATTTTACTATTTCACATTTCCCTCCACTTTTCTTTATGCCCATGTAAATATATATTTTTATTTTCTCCCCTTCTCACCCAAAAGGTAACAATCCATATACCTTGTTCTGCATCTTCGCTTTTTCTACTTGGTGATACACCTATGTATTTTAACAAATAAAATATACATAAAATATATAGAGAGATCCTTATGTAATTTTCCTTGCATTTTACAAATGCATAATATTCCATAATGTGTATTTACTGGTTCAGTCAGATCCCAAATGATAGACACTTGGGCTGTTTTCAATCTTTGCCAAGATAAACAATGCAGCAATAGCTTAACTTAGGCATCTGTCATTTTGTACCTGTGTGGGTAGATCTGTAGGATGAATTACCAGAAATAGGCTATTGCGGTAGAAGGTCAATGCCTTGTATTTTAATAGATATTATCAAATTGCTCTCCACAGAGCTGCGGCATTGTGGACGTCCCCCAGCATATATGTATAGGGGAAATGCCTGTTTTCCTGTAGCCTCACCAACAGAGTATGTTGTCAAATGTTTGGATTTTTGCCAGTCAGATATGTAAAAATTGATACCTTAACATCATTTCAAATGGCGTCTTATTACATTACTCTTATTATGAGTTAGGATGAGATCTTTTCATATATTTAAGGATCATTTGCATTTTTTCTCTGAATAGCCCATGTCCTTTGCCAATTTTCTGTTAAGTCATTGGTCTTTATTTGATCAATTTTTAGGCCTCTTTATATAAAGAAAGATGAATCCTTTTTCTGATGAGTTCTTTTTTTCTGTATTTGTCGTTTGTCTTTTGACTTTTTATATAAATTTATTTATCATAGTTTTTATTTGTGAACTTTTGGGGTTTGAGTCATTAGAAAGGTTTTTCCTACTCCAATGCTACAGCAGTTGCTCCATTGTTATATTTGTCCATGTTTTCGTCTAGCATTTGTATGATTTTATGTTTATATTAAAACATATACTTGATCCATATGGAGTTTGTTCTAGTATACAGTAGTATACAGTATAAGGTAGGGATCCAAATTTACCTTTTTCCAGAGGGCTGTACACTTGTCCAAATACATTTACTTATAAATCCATCTTTACCTGCACTGATTTAAGATATACCCTTTATATGATACATATTACACTCATGTATTTCAGTCTATTTCTGGATTGCCTATTCTGCTTCATACAACCCTGGAGCTATATCAAAGGGTGATTAAGAACATAAGGCTTGGAATCAAGTTACCCAGATTATTTTATTCCAGGTAATTTGACTCCAAACATGCCAGCATGGTAGCATGCACCTGCAGTGCCGGCTACTTAGGAGGCTAAGGCAGGACCAGGCTACTTGAGACCAGGAGTTTGAGGCTATTGTGCATTATGATGACACCTGTCAATAACCACTGCACTCCAGCCTGGGCAACATAGTGAGACCTCATCTCTAAAATAATTTTTTTTTGAGATGGCATCTCACTCTGTCGCCCAGGCTAAAGTGTAGTGGTGACATCTCAGCTCACTGCAACCTCCACCTCCCGGGTTCAAGTGATTCTCCTGCCTCAGCCTCCTGAGTAGCTGGGATTACAGGCATGTGCCACCACACCTGGCTAATTTTTGTATTTTAGTAGAGATAGGGTTTCACCGTGTTGGCCAGGCTGGTCTTGAACTCCTGACCTCAAGTGATCCCCCCGGCCTTGGCCTCCCAAAGTGCTGGGATTATAGGTGTGAGCCACCGCGCCCGGCCTAAAACAAAATTTTTACAAAATCAAAGCATGTGTGACCTGGAATAATTTATCAGCTTTTTCAACCTGTAAAATGGGATTAAATGTGCCTTGCGTTAAGCCTGGCACAGGGACACACTCAAACAATGTCAACAATGAGGATCATAATGTTGGTATGTTTTCCAGCTGCTGGAGGGAGTGCCTCATCCTTGTCCGTTTATGTAGGACCTCTGTAAGGATGCTGCTGTTTGTACCACAAGTCCGCTCCTTGTGTTCCTGAAGTAGCTGAAGCATGACTGTACCAGCAGGGTTCCCTACCATATGGGAGATGCCCGGTGATCTCTGCACATTCCAAACCCCTGTGGAAATGGTTCTGTCCTCCAGTGCCTCTCTGAAGACCTCAGGCCCAAGTCCTTGGGGGAGGGGCTGTGGAATAAGTTCCCAGACTGACATCAGGCTCTCCCTTCATAAGCTCTAACAAAAGCCTTCCCTTCTCTTTCATACTAAACCTTCATATAAATCAACTCCTCATTGTGGATCTGTCCTTCAGCTCATCAGACATTCCTAGACAGGTTTGAATCTCATCTGAGACATAGGACAGGTCTCTTTCAATCTCTCTCTCTCACACACACACACACACACACCACTCTTACACACACGGATAAACACATGCATATTATCAGAGACCTGTGGATCTAAGAATGTGAAGGAATGAGTCCTGAGGGATTGAAGAGAGAGGCCATTTGCAATTCCAAAAAGCCCTGCACTCTCAGAATGGAAATGTGAGTTAGAAACCCAGTGTCACTCAATGTTCAGGCTTTCAACTGTCTACCCGTGTTCAAGATCTCTCATTGTGCAGACCACAAGTAGGTTTTGTGGAGGACAGCAAAAGAAAGTGATACCCCAGTTTTGGTTTTTTTTTTTTCCTTTTTTGAGACAGAGTTTCACTCTTGTCATCCAGGCTGGAGTGCAATGGCTCGATCTTGGCTCACTGCAACCTCTACCCCCCAGGTTCAAGCGATTCTCCTGCCTCAGCCTCCCAAGTAGCTGGGATTACAGGCATGTGCCACCACACTCGGATAACTTTTGTATTTTTAGTAGAGATGGAGTTTCACCATGTCGGCCAGGCTGGTCTCAAACTCCTAACCTCAGGTAATCCGCCTGCCTCAGACTCCCAAACTGCTGGGATTACAAGTGCACACCACCACACCTGGCCACGATACCCCAGTTTTTACCTCAAAGGGTTTGCAGTTTAACATATGTGCAAAAACTACACAGACATACATCAAGCAAAAGAGAAGTTAGACCATGATATCCTCAACACGTTGGGCCACATTTCCTTCAGTAATGGCCACATGATTGGAAATCCGTATGTGAGCTGAGCACACTGCTTTTCAGTTGATGATAATGATAAAGTATACACTAAACATACAAAAATACCAAAGTGGTTTAAAGAATCCCCAGTTACATCAACTTTACATATAGAAGTGCATAGTTAAGGTCTCATGTGAATCACTGATCAATTTGGACCAAGTCAATGAAAACACAGCCATTTAACAGACCGAGCATATAAAATGCAGGTAAACATTTACTTGTTTCTTAATCCCTCTGGCTCATCTCATGGGCTCTCCACAATTTTAACCACTCAGCAACTTCAAGGACACAACAGAGTCACTGAAAATTCAGAGTCCCAATAATCCACATTAAGCATTTGAGGGCAGGATAAAAGTTAAATGACTTTCCTCTTCTCAGGAGTCTCTTGTGGTGGTTTGTTATTCAATTTGGGTGGAAATAGCCACCATAACGACAGCATCTAGTACTAGTTAAGTCCTTGCTATGGGCCAAACACGGTGCCATGTGTTTGACTTGAGTTTTTATTTAATAACTAACAGCAGCTGTCTGAAGAAAGTACTATTATTTTTTCCATTTTGGAATGAAGAAATTGAAACCTTGATAAATTTAAGTGGCTTTCCCTAGGTCTCAGAGTTACCAAGTGGCAGAGCTTGAACTCAGGTCTGTCAAAGTCCATACTCATAACCTAGAGCTAATCGCACTTGGCCTTCAATTACAAGGACTAATTGGATCAAGCCTGGGATCAGGCCTGGAGGCACCAGACACAGCAGTAACAGGGGCAGGTGATTCGATCCCACTCTGTTCCAATTCATGTGGGTGAGCCCATTGCTGAACAGTCTCTTTGCCTAAAAATATCAGGCAGCCCACACCCTGGAGCCCTGCAGCTGCTTATGCAATGCCCTAGAACTAGGAAGTGTTTCATAAAACCTTCATAAAGACTTTTTGACCACCGTGATGATGATGGTAGGGAGAGGAAAGGAGGGAAAATGAAAGCTAGAAAGGCTAAGAAAGACAACCATAGAAGTGGTGTAAACCAGTCGTGGACCCACGATGTCTGGTCCCCTAACTGAGGTGCCCTGCCAAGTTCCAGGGTCCCTCTTAGAGAGGCTCATCCAGGTCAGCTTGGCAAACCACCTTTACCTGTCTCTTACCTCACGGACCCTTCCTGGAACAAATGTGAGTTCCGAGGAGCAGCTAAGGGTGGCTAAGTCACTGTCATAGTTGTTCAATCCATTCAACAAACATCTATTTATTGCCTACCATATGCTAGGCACTGTTTTAGAATGTGAGAATAAAGCAACAAGCAAATCCCAGGTGGAACTCAAGAAAATTACACTCTACGAGGGAAGGAGGAGCTTCAGGGATTTCAGACAAGCAGTGATAAAGAGTAATATAGTAGGTCAGATGGAGATAAGGGCTATGTGGAAAAATACAGCAGGTTAAGGGGATGGGGAGGGAGCAGGAAAGGAGAATCAGAGAACTGCTGTTTTAATGAAGGTGACCAGGGAAGGTCTTCCTTGAGGAAGTACCTCCTGTGCAGAAACCTGAAGGAAGTGAGGGAGTGAGCCATGCTTCTTTCTGGGCAAGAATGTTCCCGCCAGTGGGAACAGCTAGGGCAGAGGCCCAAAGGCAAGGGCATGCCTAACTTCTTTCCTGAGCAGCGTGGGGATCAGTGTGTCTGGAATAAAGTGAGATGGGGAAAGTGGAGGAGATAAAGTGAGTGAAGTGAGGGAAGGCCAGATTATAGAGAGCCTTGTGGGCCACAGGAAGGACTTGGCTTCTGTTCTGAGTAAATGGAAGGCTATTGAAGGACTTTGAGCAGAGGAGTGGTACAATCTGAAGAGATCACCCTGGCTGTTCTAGGGAGGCCAGGAGAGACCAGTTGTAAAGGTATTGCAATAATCCAGATGAAAGATGATGGCGACATTGCCCAGGGTGGGAGCTGGAGAGGTGAGACAAAGTGATCAGATTTGGGCTGTGTTTTGAAGGTAGAGCTTTCAGAATTTGATGAAGGAATGGGCTTAATGTGTGAAAGAATGCAAAGAGTCAAAAAATACTCCAAGGTTTTTGGCTTGAACAATCAGAAAAAAATGGAATTGCCATTTACTGAGATTGGGGGAGACTCCCTGAGGAACAGATTTGGGGACAAACTAGGAACTGGGTTTTGAAAATCTAAGGTTGAGATGCTTATTAGGTATCCAATGAAGATGTTCAGTAGGTAGCTTAGCATTCAGTGGAGAAGTCTGGGTCTTGTGAGAGGCACCCGTATCTTCTATCCCTGGTTTAGGCAAGAGGTGTTGAGAGTCCGAGCTAGGGCAAATATGAGATACATTGCGATGGTAAAATAAAAAGAATCAGAAGAGCTGGATGAGAAAGAAAAGGGTGTTTGGGATGAGCGGAACATCTTTAGTGTGCAGAAATTCTATCGTAATGCGTACTGCGAAAGCGTTATTTCCAGGGGCTTTGATTGTATGTCGTGAATGTATCAGGCTATGCTGACGCAAAGAAGAGAGTTGCATTCAATAGCAAAAATGCAAATCAACAAACCAGCAACTCATTTTGAAATTAATTGGCATGAAAATGCAATGTGAAAAAAATTTTAAATTATTTTTATGTCTTTTTCAGTCTAGTAATTGATTCTCTTATTGAGTGTTTTATGTTAAGTGCTTTATGACATGGAGTTTTAAGGATATTGCATAAAAATAAAATGGACTATACTAGGCCTCATACACATAATCCAAACCAACTCCATGTCTCATTGCTTTAAATTAACTTCAGCTATTACAAATTTTTTTTCTGTCTTTTGCAGCTCTCCATTGATTTTTTCTTTCATCTCCTCTCAGTGACCTTTATTACAGTCTTTCCTGATGCTAGTCCCTCCTACTCCATTTCATCTTTTAAATTTCTCCCTGATGAGATACCTTATCTTGCTGGTCCTATTTCAGATGGAGACTGAATTGTATAGATTCCCCAGAGAGCCTGCATCGAACCAAGGAAGTGACTGATATTTCTACAATAATATATCTGAGTTTGTAAAAATGTTCTTCCATCCTATTACTGAAAATTGCTATTAATTAACTTAGCAAATAATTATTTGGCACATTCTTTTTCCTAGGCACCACCCTAGGCCCTGGACATACAAGTGTCTGTCCACAAGGTCAATGTCACACTTTTTATGCTATTGGCATTTGTAATGAAATAAAAAAAATTATTCATACCCCAACTCAGATGTGTAAAGATAATGCACCTTCTTTAGGTTGTCCACAACAGACACCCCCCTGCCCCCCACCTAAAAAGATGCCAGAAAATAACTCCTAAATTTTAGTCTAGTCTTAAAACCTGGTGTGGTGCAACCATTAAACACTCTCCTTAAGAAAATGCTCAATCCCTTTAGGTAAAAATGCTTGCCTCTCTGATATCCTCTGCAAGATGGTGGCTAGGTGTGTGAGGACGGGGTGTGGCTCAGTGACCTTGGCTGGAGGAAAGAAGGCGTTGTCTGTGCTCCTATGTGGCTCTCTGAGTCCTCGGTGGCCTATGTGGCAATGGCGTCTTTTGTGTGACTCATCTCCATTTGCTCTGTGAGCCTCCTCTGCCATTGTCTGTGGTCTGGTCTCTCAGCCTGATGAAGCCACAGTGGTGCCCCTCAACTCCTGTGGGCATCACAGACCCCTCTGAGCTCTGCCTGTCTTCCATTCACTGCCTGGACCAGTCTAACTCTTTGCCCCTCACCATCACAGGCCCATTACATGCCCATCAGCTCTCAACTCAGCTGCTTCCTAAACACCCACCCACTCAGGGGCATGTGGGGTCTTCTGGGCCCTACCCATGCCACATCAATACCAACAGCTACTCAGGAGAACCAATTCTAGTTCTCCTTTGGCAAATCGTGCTGCCCCACCAAGCTACTCTGATGTGGCCCCACAGGCGAGGGCAGCACAGCCTTTGAGATGAGCTCCTTCCAGAGTCCCAGATGTGAAGCAAACATCCGCCTCACGCTAGTATTCCCCATAACCTGTCTAACATTCCTCCCTACCCCTGAGCTGAGGCCTCAAGGAAGAGTTCTGGGCACACTATCATATTCTCCTGCCTTCCTCTCTGTATTAGTCAGGGTTCTCCAGAGAGACAGAACTAATAGGATAGGTAGATAGATATGGATATATGAGACGAGATTTATTAGAGGACTTGGCACACACAATTATGGAGGCTGAGAGGTCCCACAATATGCTGTCTGCAAGCTAGAGAACCATAAGGATGTCTTAGTCCAAGTTGGAAGGCCCAAGAGCCAAAGAGGCCGATTGATATAACTCTCAATCTGAGACCAAAGGCCTGAGAGCCCTGGGAGGACAGGTGCAAGTCCCAGAGTCCAAAGTTCTAAAGAACCTGAAATTCTGATGCCCAAGGGCAGGAGAAGAAGGGCATCCTACTCCAGAATTGAGAGGGGGTGGGGAAGGAGGAGAGGAGGAGAAGGGGAGAGGGTGAGGGGTACGGTGGATGAAATAGGGGAGAGAGAACTATTCGCCCTTCTTCTGCCTTTTGTTCTATCTGGGCCCCCAGCAGATTGATTAGTGCCTGCCCACATTGAGGGTGGATGCTCCCCACTCAGTCCACCAACTTGCACTCCAATTTCCTTCAGCAACACCTTCACAGACCTGACACCCAGAAATAATGCTTCAGCAGCCATTGAGGCATCTCTCCATCCAGTCAAGTCGGCACATAAAATTAATTATCGTACTCTCCCTTCTTTTTACTAATAGTCGCCTAGTCCAGAAGATGAAGTGTTTCTTTTGCATCCCTTTCCTTCTGCCCAGGATTTACTGTAAGTAACCTGGGCTGGAAGAGGTGGGTGTTGAGCTGTTCCCTTCCTCTGTCCACTTCCTCCCTCCTTGTTTACTCAGCCTCATGGCTAAGCCTGAACAGCACATGTGGAGGGCCAGAGAAGGACAGAGAGGGTTAACAATAAATTAACCTCAGTTGAGAGGTATTTTGAAAATACTGTTATACGTTGAAGGAGAACTATTTTTTTTTTTTTTAGCTATCAAAAGATAGGGAAAAATAAAAAAACCTCAGCTCTCAAATTCTGGAGCAAAGAGTAAGCCTTTTGAGGAGATACCTTGTGATTCTGATGACTCCGTGATACACGTTTCTACTGCAGTATGGTCTGACTGGATGTAAAAGTAGCACAGAGATTTGAATATTATAATATTTCAGTTATAAATCCCATACACGAAGAGGAAACTGGAAGAGAAATCTTAGAAGGAACATTAGGGGTCCTCTAATTATTTGTTCCCTCCAAATAGGAACCCTGATTTGTATCTCTGTATCCCTCTGACTTCCTACATAAGCTAAGTACTATACTAAGGAAATAAAACGACTCAGCAGGCATCCTCTCATAGCTGAACAACCTCCGTTGTGAGAAAATCTCTCCTTACATTGAGTCAAATCCTCTCCCTCCCGCTTCCAGATGTTGTTTCTGGTCCTGCCCCCTGGAGCTATAGAAGCAAACTGTAACTTCTTTCTCCAATTTAATATCTTACAATATTCTGCCTCTTCCTCAATCTCTTCTTCTCCAATTCATGGTGTATGTGTGTTTCTTTCTTTTTAATTTCTGCCACCTGGATACTCCTTCCCAGGAACATTCCATTCTCTCTTGTAGTGCTTCTCTTAAAATGAGGTGCCTGTGGGTGTGGTAGCTTGAGCCTGTAGCCCCAGCTACTCCGGAGGGTAAGCCGAGAGGGATGGGGGAGGCTGCAGTGAGCTGTGATTGTGCCACTATACTCTAGCCAGGGCGACAGAGCAAGACCCTGTCTGAAAAAGAAAAATAAAAGAGGTGTCTGGATATGAGCACCATGCCCCAGCTGTGGTCCCCTAGCACTGAGTCTAGCAGGATCTGGATCACAGACTTCTTATGCCGGAGTCTATTAACAGAGATTAATAAATGTTTGCTCCACACTCTATTCCCAAGACCGCGTGGTTCTCTGAAACTTCCAGCTTGAGCCTTTAGCTACACCTGCCAAGAAAATATTGGATATGGATGCTGTCATGCAATCCACTTCCTTTCTCCCTACATATCCCTGCCTCAGCTGATGGAACTCAGACGCCGGACTTGCCCAGGCTCGTACGGTTAGTAGAGGCAGAGTTATAAAAACAAGTGCTAAAATAACAAAGCATAGAGCTACTGCACTCCATAGTAAAGAAACAATAGTTCAAAAAGAAAAAAAGCCCAGGAAAAAAACAAGATTTTGTTTAGTCCTTTTGTTTTCTCTTTGTTGTCTCAATATCTTACCCGATCCCCCAACCCCACCCCAGCTTTTAAACATCCTTCACATGTGTAGGCACTATTCAAGAGTCCTTTAAAAAGTAGTTACCAATGTTCTACTAGAAGAAGCATACAATCACAATACTATACTTTCTCAAAATGAGACACCATTATGGTTAGCATGAATCATTTTGAAATGGATGGATTTGTTCCCTCCCCCAACTGGTAAACTATTAGGTTACTCACCCTTCGTATGCACATCTGTAAATACTTAATTCAACTCTAATGAAATATTAACCTATGACTATTGCATTAATACATGTATAATAGGAAGTATCTTAGATTACTACTTTGCCTCAAGTAAAGTGAATGCAAAAATGGTGATATAATATTCCCCCAAGAACTGCAAATTTTGCATTTCCTGACATGGGGTAGGTTTTAAGTTACATCATATACTTTGAAAAAAATATAGAGATATGGCTTCTGGGTTAGCATGGCAGCAGAAGGCTGTTCTTGATACAGTTCCTCCTGCCTTCCCATTAAAATGCCATGAGGATAGACCAAAATACAAAACTGATGACAGCACTGGAAACTATAAATAAGACAGTGCTGTCGGCCTGCAGTGGGGCAGACCAAGAAGAAGGAAGAGGAAGCATGCTGTTTAATTTGCCTCCTGCATGCTCTACCTTTTGAAGGAGAACCTGGCAGATGGCCCTAGAGAAGGAAGGCATTACTTAGATTCTTCCTTCGGCATCTATACATAATTCAGGTGCGGACCCGACACTCTAGAAAAACAAATGGCAATTTCCTAACTGTGCAGGAGTCATGTTCTGCATGGGCTGGGCTCAGCCCTCTATCACTGCATCAGCATCGCGTCACACTTATCTGGAGATTGTTAACTCCCAGCATGCCATGGAACAGGAAGCAGCAGGAAAGAGAAGCCCCCGCATCCTGCATAAGGAGTCCCCTCTCCCTTGAGAGCAGGGTGGAAAGAAGTGTGCTGGAGGTGTGTGGCCTTCACGTCAGACACTGTTTAAAGGAAACTGCCCGCTGCATCTGATTTTCTTGGTTAGAAAATGTACAGGCTGGAATGGGTTGCAGGTTGAGTGGAATGCATTTCTGGGGCTTGCAGAGATACAACAAATGTCTGCGAGGGGCTCCTTTATCAGCCCCATCTTTGGGAGTTGAAAGGGCCAAGAAAATGCCACATACCTTGTCTGTTGGCAAACCCTGAGTCTGGATCTATTTACTTCATTCATAGATGACTAAACATGTTTTAAAAGTGAGGTTTATGAAAGGTTTATGTTCTTGCCATTAATAAACAGTGGATCACCTGAGGTCAGGAGCTCGAGACCAGCCTGGCCAACATGGTGAAAATCCGTCTCTACTAAAAATACAAAAATTAGCCGGTCGTGGTGGCAGGCGCCTATAATCCCAGCTACTCAGGAGGCTGAGGCAGGGAGAATTACTTGAACCCGGGAGGTGGAGGTTGCAGTGAGCCGAGATCGTGCCACTGTACCCCAGCCTGGGCAACAGAGTGAGACTCCATCTCAAAAAGAAGAGAAACAAAGTTTAAGGATAATTTTCTAAGCCTAAAGACACTAGTAGAGTAACTGAAAATAGAATTTCTGAATTCCAAATTACTGCAGAAAATTCAAGCAAATAAAACATTATTTTAACACAGCACAGAATATAGAGTGAAATATAGAAAACAAGGGAAACAGACAATACAAAAAGAAGAAAACATAAAATGAGTCAATAAAGACAACCTCTTTCATAAAAGACATAAATAATTTTTTTTTTTTGAGGCGTAGTCACTCTGTCACCCAAGCTGGAGTGCAATGGCGTGATCTCGGCTCACTGCAGCTTCTGCCTCCGGGGTTCAAGTGATTCTCCTGCCTTAGCCTCCAGGGTAGCTGGGATTACAGGCGTGCACCACCACACCCGGCTGATTTTTGTATTTTTAGTAGAGATGGATTTTGTATTTTTAGTAGAGATAGATGTTGGCCAGGCTGGTCTTGAACTCCTGCCCTCAAGTGGTCCACCCACCTCGGCCTCCCAAAAAGCTGGGATTACAGGCGTGAGCCACCGTGCCTGGCTGACAAATAAACTTATACACTTAATTTCTGTGGAGAAAACAAAAAATTTACTTAGGATGTGTGAGAAAACACTTGCCTAATTGGGAACCATACTGTCTTGGTGATGAGAGAAACTTTTTATTATTATTTATTTATTTGGAGATGGAGTCTTGCTAAGAGATATTAAAACATTTTATAAAGCTATAGAAATTAAAACAGAGGCCAGACATGGTGGCTCATGCCTGTAATCCCAGCACTTCGAGAGGCCGAGGCAGAAATCACTTGAGCTCAGAAGTTCAAAACCAGCCTGGGCAACATGGCAAAACTCCGTCTCTACAAAAAATACAAACATTACCTGGGTGTGGTGGGTAAACAGCATTGTACTGGCATAAAGAAAGACACATCAGTGGAATAGAATTCAAATTAATGGACATCAGATGATAGTCAATAAATGATGTTGAGAAAACTTGCTGGCTCCCTCTCCCCTTCCCTCCCTCCCTCACCTCCCTTCTCCTCTCCTCTCCGAGACAGAGTCTCCCTCTGTTGCCCAGGCTGGAGTGCAGTGCAGTGGCACTGCAAGCTCTGCCTCCCAGGTTCAAGTGATTCTCCTGCCTCAGCCTCCAGAGAGCTGGGATTACAGGTGCCCGCCATCATGCCTGGCTTGATGGCGATTTTCACGGGAAAAAAAGGCTAGACCCATATTGTACTTGTCGGTGTTAAATTCCTGAGAGATTACAAATTAAGAATGCAAAAACTTGAAGAAAAGATGAGGAAGTTCTTTTTGAAGCTTGCCACCAAAGACAAAAACCATAAATAAAAGACTGCTAGGGTAGATTACTAAAATTAAAAATTTTTGAAAAGGGAAAGCACTCCATAATCAAAATTAAAAGGCAAATATGTGTTTACAACACATATGACAAGGAACTAATATCCTTAATATATAAAGAGTTCTACGAATTGATAAGGAAAGATTAGCACCCAAATATGAATATTGGCAAAGGACATTAACAGACAATTCCCAAGAGAATATAAATGACCAATAGTTATACAAAAATATGTTTAGCCTTACTAGTATTCAGATATACAAAATGAATAATCAGGCTGGGCACCGTGGCTCATGCCTGTAATCCCAGTACTTTGGTAGGTGGAGGCGCAAGGATCACTTCAGGCCAGGAGTACAAGACCAGCCTGGGCAACATAGCAAGACCTGGTTTCTACAAAAATAAACTCTCAAAGCTGAGACAGGAGGATCTTTTGAGTCCAGGAGTTTGAGGTTACAGTGAGCTATGATCACGCCACTGAACTTCAAGAGTGGGAGACAGAGCAAGACCCTGTCTCTAAAAAAGTAAAAATAAAAAATAAATCAAAAAAATCAAATAACCAGTGGAGAGTATTTATTATGTTGGCAAAGCCTAGAAAGCCTTCTCAGTGGTGTCAAAGATGAGTGGAAATCAAATGTAGCTATCTGCTGGACAAGGCACCACGCCACCTCTAGCACTAGACAGCTCTTCCGACACTAATGTTCCTGGAAGCTGAATGCTCTTTCAACTGAAGGAGCTTATAGGCAAGGAAAAAGCAGGAAGGTCACAGGAGTAGCTGCAATGTAGCCCCATTATTGTTGAAGGGCAGATTTCACGGGAGTCATTAAATGAGCAAGCTGGAAAAATAAGAGGCTGTGGTTGGATAGCAGGATGTTGAAATTAGTAGCATGGACAATGGCATCTTTTCTGAAAAACAACAGGTTCCGAGTTGAAAGGGTGGGAGAAGATGGCTGGGGTGGTTTGCGAGGCAAGGCCTTTGACAACGAGGAAGTCAGCGACCAAGAGTCTGAGATTTTTGGATGGCTGTTAAGGTGGACTGTGAAGTCCCCCAGGATGATAGCATGCATTGGATAGTGATGGAGGCTGTGAGTCAGGTGCAAATGTCACCAGTGAATGCAAGGAAGATACTAGGAGGGCTGTAAAGGGGAGCATCGAGGTGAGGAGAGAGTGATGGAGCTTAAAAAGGGGCTTTTTTTTTTTTTTTTTGAGATGGAGTCTCTCTCTGTCGCCCAGGCTGAAGTGCAGTGGCGTGATCTCGGCTCACCGTAAGCTCTGCCTCCCGGGTTCACGCCATTCTCCTGCCTCAACCTCCCGAGTAGCTGGGACTACAGGTGCCTGCCACCACGCCTGGCTAATTTTTTTTGTATTTTTAGTAGAGACGGGGTTTCGCTGTGTTAGCCAGGATGGTCTCGATCTCCTGACCTTGTGATCTGCCCGCCTCGGCCTCCCAAAGTGCTGGGATTACAGGCGTGAGCCACCACGCCCAGCCAAAAAGGGGCTTTTTATTTTCACAACAGAGTAAGGAGATAATGGTCTAGAAGTGGTATTTTGGAGCAAGGAGGACAAGATGCCAATTTCTGAGCCTGAAATCCATGAAGCATACAAAAATGAGCAGCCTCTGTTAAGGGGGTCAGCAGAGGAAGTGATGTCCTTGGTACCAGTTAAGACTGACGATAGGGGAAGTGTTCCATGAAAATGTGGAAGATAGAGAGGTATTTAGTAATTATGGAATGAGAACTCTGAAGTAAAAGAGAAGAGGGTTGAGAGGAAGAGGAGAAAAGTACAGTTCAAGTAAGAGAGAGGATGTACTGAGCTGTACAGTGATGAAGGTCAGGCAGATATCCAAGGAAGGAATCACAAGGCATCTTACCCCAAGACCAAAGATTTCGTCAGTGGAGATGGTGAGTGAGGGTGCAGTGTGGAGTCTATCACCTGGGTTTATCTCCCATCTCAACGCACCATGGACTCAGCTTTGGAGAGGAATGGGTATAAACAATGAAAGAGGAGTGTCACAGTGTGATGAGTATACTTTGCTTTACAAGTAGCAGCACTCCAAATTAAATTAGCTTGAGCAAACTTGACTCATTTCTACAAACCATAGGCAGGGCAGGGTAAACTGGGCCTGAAATCAGGTCTGTACTTCTCTCTGCAAGCTGGCTTCCTTGTCTCAAACCAGTTCTAGAAATTTAGTACCCAGCAACTCCCAAGTTTACATCTACTAGATTTACCACTCTAGAGATTAGAGCTCCTTGAGTTCAAACATTCCAGGGAAGAGCCCTGACTGGCTCAGTTTAAGTCAATTACCCATTTCTAGCCAGTAAGGAAGACTAAAACATGGCAACAGTGTAAGCTGCAAAGATAGTTATTCCCCCCACTTTGCAATAGAACAAGGGGACTCTATTTTTTGAAATGGAGTCTCGCTCTTGTTGCCCAGGCTGGAGTGCAGTGGCACAATCTTGGCTCACTGCAACCTCTGTCTCCCAGGTTCAAGGGATTCTCCTGCCTCAACCTCCTGAGTAGCTGGGATTACAGGTATGTACCACCACGCCTGGCTTGTTTTGTATTTTTACTAGAGACGGGGTTTCACCATGTTGGTCAGGCTGGCTAGTCTCGAACTCCTGATCTTGGGTGATCCACCCGCCTTGGCCTCCCAAAGTACTGGGATTACAGGCATGAGCCACCACACCTGGCCTGAACAGGGAGACTCTTGTGCACCAGCAGCAGCTGCCAGAGGAGGCAGTAGCAGCGTCTAACTAAGCTGCAGTGCCTTGTGGACATGAGTCCTCCCTATGGAAGGAGATCTGACAAAGGGAAAGAAAAAATATCCTCATACAGTGGACCTAACTTACTCAGAATGCATGAGACACACTCTGGGTGATCCCAGAAATGCTCGCTAATTGGAGGGGAACTTTGCAGTTGGGTGCTGTGATTGCAGTCGGGGGAAACTAGTGAAATCCAAGGTCCCATCATCAAAGTGACCTCCTATATAATTACAAGCTGGAATGACATTAGGGAACCTAGGCTACAGAGAAAGAAATGAATTAACAAGGGAATGGCTAACATGCTTCTTACAATGAAAAAGCCAATGTGAAGGTAAATAAGGAATACTTTCGCTTTCACAAAACACTCACTTGGCCTTTCTTAAACAATGTTTTTCAGATCCAGGCCTTACCTTTCATAGATCTAAAGGAGTGCCTGAAAGCTGCCAATTTATTTAAGAGAAAGGCCTACCAGAGATATGAGCTGTGCATTCTGAATCCTTCAAAAGATTGTCCTTTTACCTAAATAAGAAACACCTCTCATATTTCACTGAATCTAAAACTCTATCACTTGTAAGACACATCATGTTATATTGTTAGGCTATAATAAAGGCTGACAATTAAACTCTAATATCATGCTGTTTTATCACTTAGAGTTTGTATAGTTATTTAAAGAACACTTTAAGATTATTTAGAGACAGATTTTTATCATGAATTACTCTTATGTGTACCTAAAAGAAAGAAAATATAAGCAAAATAAATTGGTTGCAGTATTCTTAAACTTCATGTTCAAATTTGGCTCTTCTAAATTAGTTTTTGAATTAGCATTGTTGAAAACTGCTCCTTTCCCTCCTTACACACACACACACACACACACACACACACACACACTACCATCTTTGAGGATGTGACATTTTTTAAAATGAGTTCTTCATTAATATCTCCTGGATTTTTTTCCCAGCCACTGATCACTCTTCTGCAAGTTTTGTTGCACATGTGCAAACAGTGACAGCCCCATCATCAACTGCAACCTAGCCAACAGGTTTAAGACACATCCCGATTTCAGATGTTAAAATGTGACCAGAAAAAAAGAGTGTTTTAGAACCAATAAGCACAGCATTCATGAGTTATAACAAGAAGTGCCACGTGAATGCCAAGGGCAGAATTCCTACTGACACTTAAGATTCAAGACAATGCAGTGGTAACATCATTTTAGTAGGAACAGTCTTCTCCAACATACTGTTGCCAAGTCTGTGACTTCTTTACAGGTAGGCGTTTTCTGATGAGACCAACCCTAGTGGTAATGCTGGGATGGTTACCTTTGAAAGAGGCTTACGTGGCTTAAATCAGAAAGACAAATCATGCTTTACATACCTTGCTATTTTTTGCTTAATGATATGTTTTCCAGACCTTTCCATGTAAGCACTTGTAATGAATTCATTCTTTGTAATATCTACATAACATCCCATTGTATGGATGAGCCATGATTAATTTACTAGTTCATTACTGATGAACTTTTTTCATACACTTTGAACATACACTTTACTGGCTTCCAGCCTTTTTGTTATTGCAAATAAGGCTGTAGTGGGCATCTTTGCCTCTGGAAATATGAGGAACCATTAATAGAGGTTGCCTTTCAAGAGTGGGCCCAGAGGCTTGGGATAAGAAGACTTCCTTTTCATTGTATACTCTATTGACTGTATTGATTTGTGCTCTATGCCTTTATTATTTTACAGTTTGGAAAACTGATCTTTTTCAAAGTGTTTCCTGGTTTGGTTTTGTTTGGTTGTTGTTTTTGCCTTGGTTTTAGGATGAATGTTAGGCTTAGGCCTCTTTACTGACACTGCTCTAAGCTGCGAGCCTCTGGTTCCTTGTTTGGTTTTTTTGCTTTGTTAGACTTTAGCAAAAGACAATTGGCCTCTACAAACCCAGTCAAGTTCTCTCTTCCCACCCCAAGCTAGAAAGAAATACTTAAGAAACCCTCTAGGCCAACTTTGTCCAACCCACGGCCCACAAGCCACATGCAGCCCTGAACAGCTTTCAATGTGGCCCAACACAAATTCATAAACTTTGTTAAAATGTTATGAGATTTTCCTGTAATTTTTTTTTAGCATATTAGCTATTGTTAGTGTTCGTGTGTTTTATGTGTGGTCCAGTACAATTCTTCGTCTTCCAATGTGGCCTAGGGAAGCCAAAAGATTGGATACCCCTGCTCTAGGCCATCTGCATTATCAAATGCTACATTTTTTCTGCATTTCCAGACAGGAGTAGGGGTATCTCTAGCCTGCAATACCCTGTAGGAATTCTGCATTATGTTTCATAAAGGAGTCCATATCCTCTCTTCCCTTTTCCTTTTAGTCCTGAAAACTGGCATTCACATTTCACAATGCCCTGAAAGTTCCCTCTCTATGGCCTTAATTCAGAAGTAATCTCCAGTTCTTAATAAGGCCTGTTGTAATGGACATCTTGTAATTCGATATCCTTGCTAACAATGAAGCTGTATTACACAGTGGTTAAATAAATTGTTCTTCTGTGGGTAAGTGTTTTTAAAGCATTTTTTTTAATAAAAGGATCTCATCAATTTCAAAATTCCATGATTTTGAAAAGTTTTATTTAGATTAGCATTCTACTCTTTGATTCTCTTGTTGATACCCTTGTTTGACAGTACTTGACTTTGTTTCATCCCAGGAATATTGAACTTCCAGAGTTTGTGTTGTGATTTTTAAAAAAATTCACATTTCATAAATAAATAGGGAGAAGAGACAAATCTTCTCAAGTAATATGTGTAGATATCTTAGTCTTTCACCTCCAGCCACCCAGCATGAGCTGTAGCTAGTGACTCACTTCCAAAAGTAAAGTATGAAAAGGGAAACATGGTAACTTTACAGTGGAGAAATCTGGCAAACACCCCCCCTTAACCAAATGATCAAAGCTAACATCATCAGTGGTGCCATGTGGCTGTCAGTTACCCCCGGATGTGATATCAGAAGGGAACATGACTTCAATGTATTCTTCTACCCCCAAAAAATCCCTAACCCCTCCCAAGAGGGAGGGAGTGTGTTCCCAGAAGACCACTGTATCTGGTCTTCCTATAATGAGAAAATACATCAGACAAACCCAAATGGATAGACAGTCTACAAAATACCTGACCAGTGTTCTTCAAAAATGTTCAGGGAATGAAAGTCAGAGAAAGACTCACAAACTGCAGCAGATTAGAACAGACAAAGGAGACACAGCGACTAAATGCCATGTGGGACCCAAAATTGGATCCTGGAGCAGAAACAGGACATTAGTTGAGAAACTGGTGAGATCTGAATAGCATTAGTCATGTACCCATGTTGGTTTTATAATTTGACAAAGGTGCCTTGGTAATGTGAGATAACACGGGACACACACTGGATGAAGGGGTATACAGAATTATCTGTACCATCTTGGCGGCTCTTCTGTAAATCTAAAAGGATTCCAAAATAAAACAAGCTTATTTAAAAAATTTACATTTGCATTTTCTCTTTTCAAGATTGTGAACCAATGAAGTTAGGACTTTGTTTAGCCTGATTTTCTTTATCTAGAGCTTTACATATGATGAAAAACCTGCTGTCGCTGCTGCAAAACAGAGTTCTCCCTTCTCCCCTCAGTCTGACAACCAGAAAACAAAAAGGCAAGAGGCCAGCACCAACAGTCAGAGCAAGAGGGAGGGAGTGTGTTCCCAGAAGACCACTGTATCTGCGCTCCCTGGCTACTAGGGTGCCACCATAGTCACAGCTGCTGTTTTTGAAGGTAGTGATGAAAGGGGTCACTCCAAGACCTCAAGCTGCTGCCATCTCTCTCAATAGCACGGACTGCTGGTAACTGCACCATGATGAGCAAGATTCATACCAATGGGCTGGGGGAAATCCCCAAACGCTGGTGGGACCTCGACCCCAGCCAGGGTCCAGGCTCTTCACACTGTCATGAGAATTAATTTAAGGATAAGTTGCAAAATAGTGAAAGCACAGAGATTTATTGCAAAGAGAAAAGTACATACTCAAGAAAAGGGAGTGCAGGTATACTCAAGAGAGAGTTGAGCACAAGGGGGTTTGGGCCTGCTACATTTATGGGTTTCTTTAAACAAGGGGTGGAATATTCATGAAAATTCCTGGAAAAAAGTGGAGATTTCTCAGAACTGTGGTGCCACCCATTTTTACACCAAATATGGGTGTTCTTGGAACTGTCATGGTGCTGGTGGGTGTGTGATTTGTATGTTGATAAGCATATAATGAGGTCCTAAGTGAAACCTAGGTCAAATCCAGTGCCATGTTGTATCCAGTTGGTCTTAGCCAGCTTGGTCCACACCCTGTTTTTCAGGGCCTTACCAGCTCATACCTTCTGCAGTTATTTCACCAGTTTCCTTTTGCTGGTCATTCCAGCTGAAATTGCTGCCTGGAATTTTTTATTCTCCTGCAACTGCCCTGTCTTAAGATGGCAGCAACATCTTCCACAACTGCATTTTTAGATCCTGTTGTTTTTAGCAGAATTTCTTGGAACAATCATACGAGTTATGTGAATAATATTAAAATGATAAAGATGCTGTAAACCACGGAGAATCAATAACTTCTTTCAAAGGATTCCAATCCACAAGGAGAGAGGGAAACAAAAAGATTTTTATCACTGAGCCAAATTTTCTGACCCACAGTTCAAAGACGTACCTCCATCTCCAGCTAAGGCAGACTGTGCAGAATTTTTGAGTCGGTGGAAAGATTTTGCTTCTCTTCCCTCCATCCTTCAGGACCATAATCAAATGTTAAAGCCCTAACCCTCCATGTGACTATATTAAAGATGGAGACTTTGCAGAGGTGGTGCAGAGGTGGTTCAGGTTAAGCCCTCTCTCCACCATGTAAAGACACAGAGAGAAGGCAACTGTCTACAGGCCAGGAAGAGAGGCCGCACCAGAAACAGACCCGGCTGGACCTTGATCTGGGACTTTTAGACTCCACAACTGTGAGAAATACATTTCCATTGTTTAAGCCAGTCTATGGTCATTTGTTATGGTGACCCAAGCAGACCAAGACAGCTTTTCTCCCTTCTGCTTTTCCTTTTATCACAAGAAGGGAAGAATATTACAGGCAAAATTCTGAACAAAGCTGTCATCAACAAAGAGCCTCCATCAATTTTAATCCCAAAGTGGCTGCTGTGTAAGCAACAAGGAGAGTGATAGGGCAGGAGAGAGAAAGAGATACATCACCTTTCCTAGGTGACACTCAACTCCCTGTCACAAAGGCAAAGCTCAGCTGGTCAGAACTTAAAATTACCAATGACGATGATGATGGAAAAAATTGGTGTTTAGAGTTTCTTTCCCCTTTTTAAGACACTACTAATGGAACGACCTGGAGTTTCTTCTTGAGTCCTTTAAATGCATCTGGAAGTGAACTCACAAAATTTCCCCATGCTTTTCCCCACTGTAGAGGTCTCTCAAGGCTCTTGTTGGGAATCGCATGAGGTAATGGATGCAAAAGTGTTTTGTAAAATACAAAGCATTCCATGCATGCCAGCTATTATTGGAAGGAAGCAGAAGGATGAATTTAAATCCCAAGATCCCCTGAAAAATGTGTGAAAGGTGCCCCCATTTGGATTGTCATCTTTACCGTACATTTACAGACCATTTAGCAATTTCTCCAAGTGCTTACTCCCGTTCCCTCGGTGACATCCTTGCCCTGTGCTGGGGAGGGCAGAGAAAGGCTGACTCTCCCAAGCCTGGCCCAGTGGACAGCAGCAGGGCCTGCGGAGGAAGGGGCTTGGTTGCTAGGAGACCAGCAAAAGTGGGCAGCCAGTTCCCAAGCAGGTTAGAATCCGGCGAGGAAGGATTTTAAAAGCCTATTTCCGTCTGCTTCTGCTAGAATTGAAATTCTCTTCAGGGTCCAGCCACCAGTGATACAATCTGCTTACATTACTGGTATTGAGAGGCCCTTGAAAGGGATCTATCTGGCCATTTCTTGTGTCTCCCTCCCACAGTGCCTAGAAAAGGCAGGCACTTAAAACAAAATGAAACAAAAAAAAAAAAAAAAAAGAGGAGTTGATGGAGTCTGTAGCAGAAGCAGAGAAGTGACAGCAAGAATTAACCCAAGCACATCTGATCATGACCCTTAGACCCCCAAAGAGGAAATAATTGTGCTCAATCTATGTTAAATTACAGTGCACCTTCCATAGCTTCTGAGTACATCAAGGCAGGTGGCTGGATAGAACTGAAAGTATTTTTTCAAGCCCTCAAGAGGTGTGTCAAGCGGGTCTTTTCCTCTGGAGTTTATCTTCACAGACGCAACCTGACATGTGCTTCTGGGCTAATTGGATGAGGTCGACACTGCATTTAAGTTTTCCCTTTGAGGATTATGAAAATGTGATTTTCAAATAAGAATTATTTGTTTGGTTTTGTTTTCCCAAAGCATGCAGTACACCCAAGAAATCAAATGCTTTTTCGAACCCCCTGAGCCCTCAGCAAGATATACTGACACTTACAACTGCCTAGAACACAGTATTGAACTCAGGAGGAATCAGCTGGAAAAACAGTGGAATAATAGGTGCATTTAGAGTCATTTATGGGCTGAGGCTTGACAGTCTTCATGCCTTGTTACTGCTGCAGCATTGAGAGCAAAGCGGCGGTGCTGATTCATCAGGAAGAAAGAAGCTCGCAGGTCATAGGAAAATAAACTATCTCGGAAGAGGCTCCAGTGTCCTCAGCAGACATGCTTTATTTGGTTAAAGCATAATGTGTAATGGCAAAATGGAAGAACAATTTCAGTATTTACAGGGAAACCCTGGCTTCTAGCCTGCTTTTATAGGCAGTTGGAGGTGGGGGTGGGGGGACTCCAAGGGGATGCAGTAATTGGTTGAGAAAAGAACAATTCAGGAAAATAGAGGACACACATAGGCTAGTGCCTGTCTCATGAAGATGAAGATGAAGGCAGACCTGAAAACACAGAAAAATGTGTCTTGAGAAAAACTAAAACCCCTTCATTGGCAAATGGTAGGGCGTGTGAGGACCACAATGGTGAGCTGATGCAGGGAATTGCAGCAAGGTGGGGAGATGAAAGACCATGATCCTGTGCATGCAAATGAGAAATAACTGAATGTCACATATGCCTCTGCATCTAATTCACTGAGTGAAATGGGCAAGCTCTAAAGCTGTTTCCCCCTAATAAGTGCTTTGCACATGGTGACTATTTTGGTGAGTGGAACGATCGTGAACTTTGGGGTCACACAGACCTGGGTTTAAATCCTGGCTCTGCCAGGGACCTTGGGCAGTGTCGGAGAAGACATTTAATTTTCTGAGTCTCCGTTTTCTCATCTGTAACACAAGGTGGTAATGATGCCTGTGATGGCTTCCTCCAGTGCAGAAGTTCTGTGAAACAGCCCAGCCCCACCTGCCTTCTTACCCTCTGTGTTCCCACTCTAGATTCAGATACCTGGGAGTGAGGGTGGTCTGAGTGGGGACTGTGATTGAAGGGGTAGGGCCCCATTATTCATAGCTTTTCCTGGAATCACAGATTGTGAGGAAGTGGCATTTCTCCAAAAGGAGAGATGCCTGGCAGACAAAAACATGATCCAAACAAAACAGCTTGAAAGGAATTTTTGAACCTTAAATTGAACACGAGGCAAAACTACTGCTTCAGAAGTTTGTGATAAAGTGGTGGTAGCTTTGCAATTTCAAAGAAGCATCACTTTGGGATTTGGATTACCCTGGCAGTATCGTCCGCATCTCCTAAGAGGAGAACCAGGGACTTGTCATCAGATGGTTTCTCATAGCCAGGGCCACCTACATATTTAAATATCCCCACTGCCCCTGGGTTCCAAAGGGCAAACTTAATGCCATTTGCCAGGCATTGGAACCCATAGGGTCAAGATTCCCTGAAAGACCCCTTCTCCTCCTTCCTGTATGAATGAATGTGATTCTGTAGGCCTGGTTCCTCACCTCAAAGATTCAGCTTTGGAAACAGCAGATAAGTAAGTAAAAGCAGGTACCAGCTCTCAACAAATGCTGCATTCAGGCCTGGTTAGCAGGTGGGGCCTCCGCTCATTTGTTTTTTCATTTTGGATAAATTTTTGGGGGGTCTTTTCCCCTTTCAAACAACACCAGGACCCCAGCAGGAGCAGTTGAGGTTAGGCAGGAAGGCACCAGGGGCTAGGGCTGGGGTAAGACTCTCAATGAGAACCAAAGAAGGGGCAGCTCCCTGGCTTTCTGCTCCCTGGTGGGGCGGTCTGTATGATTGCTGGTCATCTGAGCACCAGGAGAGGAGCAGCCCAAGAGGTCCCCCAGGAGAGAAGGCATCTGCTGGCCCAGGTGCAGGTTATTATGGCAGCAGTCCAAGTCTTTCTGCCTCCAGCCTCTCAAGCTAGACATAACCTGGCCATCTGACCAGCAGCCAGAGGTGCTTCTGGGAAGAGTCTCATTTGTTGGTCCCTCTCCCCTTTCCCAGCATGGATCTTACTAACCCCCAACAGGTGAACAGGTGCCAGGCCTGGAAAGGGCCTAGTTGAGGTTGGGTGGGGAAGATGCAGTCCTGCTTTCACATCCCAGAGGCTGAGACCTGGGCAGGTGGGGAGAAAAGGAGCACCAGCTCTGCTTCCAGCAACTGGCAGCCACGTGGATTCTCTGCTTGTACTGCAGGAATCCAGGAACACCCGCCACACCTGAAGCACCCTTTTAAGGAAAGTGGCCCAAACCAGTTCTTTCTTGCGTCAGTTGCTATTGCTTATGCTATGTTTTGAGCGAAACCAACTTGGTGCCCTCACCATAACTGGCTTCACCAGACATGGATGCCAAGCCAAAGGCAGCCACCTAGGAACTGGACATGACAACTGCATCTGAGACAGTGTAGCATAAAATCTGCCCCATAAGGGCCCTTCATATCAGAAGGTAGCAAATCCACCCATTATGGAGTGAATTGTGACCCCTCTGTATTTATATGTGAAGCCTCCAGTATCTCAGAATATGACTATAATTGGAGCTGGGGCCTTTAAAGGGGTGATTACATTAAAAATGAGGCCATTACTGGGCACGTTGGCTCACGCCTGTAATCCCAGCACTTTGGGAGGCCGAGGTAGGCAGATCACCTGAGGTCAGGAGTTCGAGACCAGCCTGACCAATATGATGAAACCCCATCTCTACTAAAAATAGAAAAATTAGCCAGGAGTGGTGGCGGGCGCCTGTAATCCCAGCTACTCAGGAGGCTGAGACAGGAGAATCGCTCGAACCCAGGAGGCAGAGGTTGCAGTGAGCCAAGATTGCACCATTGCACTCCAGCCCAGGCAACAAGAGTGAAACTCTGTCTCAAAAAAAAAAAAAAAAAAATGAGGCCATTGGATTGGACCCTAATCCAATCTGACTAGTGTCCTTATAAAAGAGAACATTTGGATGCACACAGGAGACACCAGGGGTGTGTGCACACATAGGAAATGCTATATGAGGAAATGCCATGAAAGAAGGTAAGCCAAGGAGGGAGGCTTCAGAAGAAACCACACCTGCAGACACCTTGATCTTGGACTTCTTGCCTCCAGAACTGTAAGAAGATAAATTTCTGTTGTTTAAACCACCTAGTCTGTGGTATTTTGTTATGATAACCCTAGCAGACTAATATACATCCAATTTATTTCTCTTTTTAGGGGAGTTAAGGACGAGGTTAGGATCACTCATAGTCTCCTTGGAAGGACTGGAATCTAGGCAGAGTCCAACTGAGGAGATAATGTCCCATATGACCCTGTACTCTTAACTATCCTGGAAATCCATCCTCATCCCGAGAGAGCCTCATCACCTTTTGCTCAAAACCTTATGGAGCCAGGTTAATACACAGGAAGCTCCTGAGGAGCAAGACCAAGAATGTAGGCCTTGGGTGTGCACCTGGGCTGTGCTGGGTCAGGTAGAAGCCAAGAGAACTAAACGGTTTTGTCACCCAGAGTCTGGGTGACAAAATCTCAGGCCCTGGTGGGGAAGATGAGGCACTTTAGGAGACAGAAACAAGAGAAAGTAAAAGAATAAAAACGTGTATTTGTGTTTATGAGAAACATCAAATATTAATGGGGCTCTAACTAGACTTACAGACTAGGAGCAAGCAATCATGTCAAGTGGCAGGGTCCATGGAGAGTGGATGCCATCCTGGGGGTGGGGGAGGCTGGGGCCCTGGAAGTATCCCTCGGGTGTAATTCCTGTATTGGTGTGAGGTGAATAGTTCCTGGTGAGGACAAGGCTTGCCCCAGTGATGTTGTAGATTCTAATTCTTTTTTTTTTTTTTTTTTTTTTTTTTGAGAAAGGGACTTGCTCTGTTGCCCAGGCTGGAGTGCAGTGGTGCATTCTGCTGACTGCAACCTCTGCCCCCTGGGCTGAAATGATCCTCCCACCTCAGCCTCCAGAGTAGCTAGGACTACAGGCATGCACCACCACGCCCGGCTAGTTTTTGTATTTTTAGTAGAGACGGGGTTTTGCCATGTTGCTCAGGCTGGTCGTGAATTCCTGGGCTCAAGTGATCCTCCCATCTCAGCCTCCCAAAGTGCTGAGATTATAGGCATGAGCCACTGTGCCCACCCCAGATTCCAATTCTTAAAGCTGAATATTACCTAATGACTTCCTTTTTGTTCTTCTTGATAAAAGTAAAATTAGATTTCTTTTTCCATAATTGGCTCGCAAAATGATTAAGCCAGGTATTTAGGCAGACTGTTATTCCCTCTTTCCTGCAGTTGTTGATAAGCATATTTTAAAAGTGTTTGAGGAAAATATTGATATTTTGTTTCTCCACAAAGGTTATGTTACTGTCACTCTGGATTTTTCTGGAGAGATGGGAATCCAGGGAAAGGAGATAAACTTGAGCCACCCTTTCAAATAAGTCCTGGCAACTGTGTAAAGAAGTTAAAAGTGTGGCAGGTGGTCAGGCAGGGCACAGAAGAGGCTCCTTGTGTTCTCACGCTCCAACACGTGGTCTGCAGTATTGCTTTCTTCTCTTTGATTTGATTTGATGTGACTTGATTTGATGGTCTTGCCTTGCTCAGCTGAGAAGACGCCAGCATGAGAAAGGAGGGGGGTGTGGGAGAGGCACACTGTCCTGAAAGCAGTGGGATCCAGGGGACCGGCTCTATTGCTCAGTGGGGAGTTTGTCCTTTCCCTTCTTGCATTGCTTGAGGGCTTGGCCAGGGCTTTGGGGAGGAGGGGGACAAAGGGTAAGAGTGAAGCTGGTTTGCAATGGGCTGTGAGAGTCCTAGCTCTAGTAGCAGCCCAGCAGAAGCATAGAAACCTTGCCAACAGCCAGATTTATCTATTTACTTATTTATTTTTTGAGATGGGGTCTCTCTCTGTCACCCAGGCTGGAGTGCAGTAGTGCTATCACAGCTCACTGTAGCCTCAACCTCCCTGGCTAAAACAATCCTCCCACCTCAGCCTCCCGAGTAGCTGGAACTACAGGTGTGTGCCACCACACCTAGAGAATTTTTGTTTTTTTTTTGTAGAGATGGGGTTTTGCCATGTTGCCCAGGCTGGTCGCAAACTCCTGAGCTCAAGCAAGCCTCTTGCCTCGGCCTCGCAAAGTACTGGGATAGCAGGTGTGAGCCACTGTGCCCAGCCCGCTAGATTTATTTTTGTTCTGCCCTCCCAGAAAACTAGGATCCTTAGAACTCACCAGTGGTCCTGCAGACAAGAGGTATTAGTATGGGCTCAGCCTTGCACCAACGGGGCTGGTTGGGCGAGCACCTGAACACCCACTAGGGCAAGGAGAGGGGCAGCCTGCAACAGATAGAATAGGGATGTGACATAGGGTTTCTTGACAAGCTTTCTAAGATCGTATCCCTAGAGCCTTCCTCAGGAAGGAAAACAAATATGATCCCACTTATTTGTGAGACTTCCCAAGAGATTGTCGTGTGGTGGTAAGAAAACAATTTCAGATATGTAAATAGGCTTCATAGGGGAATAGAAATTTTCAATAAGAGAACATTAACTCTCGATTCTGATTAGTTTAGACATATCCTCTGCTTAGAGAGAAATAGGTAGGTTGACAAGATGATCTCTTGAGAATTTTCTCAGATCTGTGATACTATATTTTCTCTGGGCTGGGTAATATTCCAATTGTACTACTTGAATTTATGATAAAGGAAATGAGTGACAAGTATCTTTTTATTATGCGTTCTGCACAAATATGTGTGCATGCTGTATTATAAGTCTGCTTGCCTCCACATTTATTTTTCACTCCAGTTTGACATTGTGACTATGCATTTTGAATGACCTAAATAAAGATAGTTTTAGAAGAGTTGCCTGTATTTCTGTATAGCCTTGGAAGAATGACCTCTTTAACAACACCAATTCCTTCAGCAGTGATTCATTTGAGCTCCCAATGGGCTGCACCAGTTCTGTGTGTTACAAGGGTATGTGAAAGGCTGAATGTAGGGCTGTTTAAATCAGAGTTTGTTAGAGGAGTGTTGGGGAAGCTGCAGGGCCAGGGGAGCAGTCATCAAAATCCGGAAGGCAGCCGCAGCACGTCACACCCGGGCACCAGAAGCCAGGGAACTCAGAGCCCATCTGCCTGGATGCCACCACAGCTGCTCGGTCTTTCATATGAGAACCAGATTTTGCATTTGAGGGAAATGGATGAAAGCATCTTGTTCATTTGTCTTAAACTTCCAATGAGCATATAAAACACACAGGAAACTAGCAAGAGGCAATATGCACAGAAACTAGCAGGAGGACAGCACCACGAGAAGAAGAAACAGCGAAGCAGAAGGCCTAGAGTAGAGAAAGGGAGTGAAGAGTTTGCACTACAGTGAAGTTAGCTAAAAAGGGTAAGGTGTGTACAAATCAAAAGAGTAAAGAAGGAAAAGAAAGTTATTCCAGATAGGATGGTGTAGTACAAAGAGCCTAGAGTCGCAGTAAAAAGGCTTGGCCTCAGTTCACCAATCACTGGCAGTTTTATCTGGGAAGCATTGCTTTACCTCTTCTCTAGTTTTCAGCTGTAAAAAGAAAAGGAAAGAGAAAAGCAACCAACCCTGAGTGCCTTCCCTGTGCACACACATTACATATGTAACCTCTCTTAATCCTTAGTTCAACCATGCGTGGGAAGTATTATTGACCCCCAGTTTACTGATGAGAACTTGGAGGCATAAAGAAAAAGGCAACCTACCTAAGGAAGCTTAAAGAGAGTAAATGGTCTGCCCAAGTTCACGTGGCTGGTATATTGCAAAGTGGAAGTTTGAACCCAGATCAATCTGGTCTAGCTCCCAGTTTTTCCCACCATAAAATGTACTCGCCCCTCTTTATCACAGAAACGAGAGTTTAAAGGGCATAGGGTATATGAACGAAAGCATTTTGACAATTGTGAAAAGCAAAATAGATGTAAAGAATTCTTATTATTTAAAGTCAAATCTCTCTAGACAAGCCCACGATGAGATAGTGGAAAACTGTGGTTCAGAGAAATGTGCTCACTTGCCAAGTCAGTGACACTACTTCCCAGATCACCAACAGTAATAAAGTGAGTTAATGACTGAATAAAGCTTTTAATGGTGGGTTGGGCTACATGACCTCTAAGGTCCTGCCGAGTCAGTATTTCTGAGAATCAGGAATTTTATCAAAGCAGTAAGAATGTAGCTCTGCGCTGGATCTGACCTCAGAGAAAACTGTAATGTCAGCAAGTTGCTTCCTTTTTGTCTCTCATTTCATGTCTCTGTTCTTTCCCCCACTTTCAACCCCCTTGCCAGGCAGTCATCACTCTTGAGGCTATCTTTAGGTTTTGTGTGCCACAGAGGTGAGGAATTCGATAAACATATGCAGACTAAGGGAGAAAAAGGCTACATTTGACTATTGGCTGCAGCCCTGGAAGGGTGTGTGATCTGGGGGCTTATCATTGAGCCTCCCTGAATCCTGGATTGCTCATCTATAACATGAGAAAACCTACTCATAGAGAGTGTTGTAGGAATTAATCAATGTAACATGTAAAGCGCCTACCACACAATTCAAACTATTTCGTGTTAGTTTCCTTCAGTCTTCCAGATGCAGTGACTGTTAGCAGAATCTGATATCCCTCTAAGAGGTGTCTACATATACGAACAATGATACCTGGAGAAGGCAATTCTGTACAGAGTAATAACCAGTCCTATGGTGGATTTGTTTCTTGCGGTGAGGCATCTGAGTGGAAGAGATAAATTGAGGGGAAAGGAGAGGGGAGTTGTATAGATGGGACTTCCTGGGCTTCTCCCAGTTTACTCCCTAATCTAGCCATTCCATAGCATTGTAGTTACATGACCAACCTAGGTACAACAAAGTCAGAATATTTCCTTACTTAACTTGATACAATTTCAATTACTTAAAATGACTTTTTCTTGTATCAGAGAAGCTTAAAGAACGGTTGTTGCATGTGGACAATCAGGTAAACCTGACAAAGTGCCGTATATAAGAAAATAATTCCAGGGACCCAGACGGTGTTTGTCCAGAAATGGGCCATCTACAGTTACAATAAAATATTGAAGAGTTTAACAAACACTGATCTGGGCGGAGGAGGAGTTTGGAGAGGATGCCTCTCAGTGCTTCCTTCCAAAAGGGTACTGGTCAGAAAGTTTACAGTCTGACTGCGAAAGCCTGGATTTCTTTGGAGTCAAGTAATCACTTATGTACTGTATTTACTTCTAATAAGCTGGAGCTGTTAAAGAAACTGAGACTTTCTTTTCACAGCTGTAGAGTACAGGGATTTTTGTCTCTTTTGTTTACTGCATATTTCCGGTGTCTATAATAGAGCCAGGCAATAGACATATGTAAAACAAGTGAATTGTGAAGGTGATACTTCCAAGAAGTAGCTCTTCAGAACCACTCTAGATACACTTTAGCAGGCAGTTGGCTAACAAATTCTTAGAAATACAGTAAATGTGGTATGATATCTATTTTTTTTTAAGCTTAGGGATACTTAAATGTTACTGCCAAGTATTCATATGTGTGACACAGAGCCTTCTCTTACAGCCTTTGCCTTTTGTTAATAAACAATAAATAATTCCTTGGAAGCATTTGCCCTTCATGGGTAATTGGAGAAATGTTTACTTTGGTGATGGGATGAGAAAGATGTGACCTTTTAACTGTTATTCAACTAGTAGGTGAGGGAAAAATTATAAACCAGAGAAGATAATATTCTGGAAAGCTTTCAAAAAATAAAAGACCAATGCGGTTCAATGCAGTACCAAAGTTTTCTCGTTTCCAGCTCTTTTTGGCAAAAATTCTTCTTAGTCAAAAAAGAGGAAATTATTAAAAGAATTCATGAGGTATTCTTAGATATCAAGTAGTGCTTTTAAAGTATATTGTTAGGTTGAAAGGAATAAAAATCATAATTAAATGTCCTTTGAAACCCATATGTATTTTTAAGAATAGATGACAAGGCTGGGCACAGTGGTGCATGCCTGTAATCCCAGCACTTTGGGAAGCCGAAGTAGGAATGTTGCTTGAGCCCAGGAGTTTGAGACCAGCCTGGCCAACGTGGCAAAAACCCATCGCTACAAAAAAATACAAAAATTACCTGGACGTAGTGGTGGGCGCCTCTAGTCCCAGCTACTCTGGAGGCTGAGGTGGGAGGATCACTTGAACCTGGAGACTCAGCCTGCAGTGAACTGAGATCGCGGTACTGTGTTCCAGCCCTGGTGACAAAGTAAGACCCTGTCTCAAAAAGAAAAAAAAAAAAAGATTAGGAGACAAATTCCAGCAAGACCACATTTTGTATTCTGTTGAAAAACAAAATTTTGAAAATAGTTTTAAATGGTTGAATACACAGTTCTGCTCTCTCTATATCTCTCCAACTTACAAATTTTATCTTGGAAATGATAGATTTACTTACTGTCCATTTTTGAATTAAAAAGGAAGGAGGTTCAGCATTCAACAATAATAATTTAGGTACCAGACCTGCATGGGGGTTGGATATATAAAACCTGATTTAAATACTTTATCTGCTTATTTTAAATGTTTCATATTTATCATTTGTGTGTACATGTATAATATTTTAGAAATAGTTATTTTACCTTATGGCAACTATTCAAAAATATGTGCCCCCTTAAAAATTTGTTTCAAGCTATACAGGAAGTTAAAAGAGCAGATTGTCTGGCTCAATACCAGGTACCTGGCACACCTATTATGACGCTATAAGTTCATGTTGCTCTTTCCCTTGAAACCTTGAGTGTGTTTTGTGCCACCTAGGTGACTGGGTGAGGTAGGAGACACCCACAACCAGTTCCTAGGCAGGACCCTCCCCACAGCTGTGGCAAGGCAAGGCCCCCAAAGTCAAAAGAGAGAAGCCCTGGAGTAGCAGCAAACCCGACAGGCAGGTTTAGAGTCTGGGCCCTAATTCTGAAGGACAGCATCCCAAAGTCAGAGCTGGACCCAAATGGACAACCATCAAACCAGTAAGACCGTCAGAAGCAGTAAATGCAACAGGGGAAAGGTGGGGCCCAGACCATGAGGAATTCCAGAGCTGGCCTGTGATGTGCAGTCTTACAATTACTGTCAGTCTCTGAGGCCGCTAGTGGCCTGTCTCTAAGAGTTAAAGGTGTCGATGAAGGATGAACATATTTATAAATTCCTTAAGTGTTATGTTAGGATCTCATTTAAGGACAGCGATTTGGTGTTACCTGACCCAACACTCCGAGATAATGGTCCAGGCAGGATGGAGAAGCAGGAGGATTTCTCCCCTTAAAGAAGCAGCAGTGTTGGGGTCCTTGTCCTAGAGGGATGGCTGAACCTGGTGGAAGAAGGGCATCCCAAGCAGGCTGCCAGAGCAAGGAAGGGCCAGGTGTAGGGGCAGGGTAGGTTGCAAGACAAGGGAGTAGCAGTCTAAATAAGCAAAGTAGGAATTAGCCTCAGTGAATTCTGGAGACTAAGCCAGAACTGGTACAGGGAGGTAAAGAAGATTGTATTAACAAGATTGTCTACTGGGGAGAATGTTAGATATTGTTCAATGTCCTTTGGAGTGGAGGTGAGACTCGAAGAGGATGGCCATAGATAATAACAAAGAGTCTACTAATTTGCCTTCTAAGGAGGGTGACAGATTCAATAGCCAAAAAGCTGGCCGGGCATGGTGGCTCACGCCTGTAATCCCAGCACTTTGGGAGGCTGAGGTGGGCGGATCACGAGGTCAGGAAATCGAGACCATCCTGGCTAACACGGTGAAACCCCGTCTCTACTAAAAATACTTTTTAAAAAAATTAGCCAGGTGTGGTGGTGGGCGCCTGTAGTCCCAGCCACTCGGGAGGCTGAAGCAGGAGAATGGCGTGAACCCGGGAGGCGGAGCTTGCAGTGAGCGGAGATGGCGCCACTGCACTCCAGCCTGGGCGACAGAGCGAGACTCCGTCTTAAAGTACTACTACTACTACTACTACTACTACTACTACTACTACTACTACTACTACTAAATAACCACAAAGCTTTTACTGAGGGGACTCTAGAAATTTGGGGGCCAAGCTGGTTAGAGCAGTGTGGATGAAACATAGTGGAGAACTGCTAAAGAGAGAGACACAATACTCATCTAGATGATGATGTCTGAGGGTGTTTCCCTGTGGTATGGATGTTAACTCTCTCCTCCATTCCTCCCCTCTCCCCAAAGAAATCTTCAGCAAATTCCATCTTAATTACTGATGCTTTTGTGCCAGTGGATGAAAAGGTGGGACATAAAAAGGTGCTGTAGGCCGGGTGCGGTGGCTCACGCCTATAATCCCAGCGCTTTGGAAGGTCGAGGTGGGAGGATCACTTGAGGTCAGGAGTTTGAGACCAGCCTGCTCGACATGGCAAAACCCCGTCTCTACTAAAAATACAAAAATTAACCAGGTGTGGTGGTGGGCACCTGTAATCCCAGCTACTTGGAAGGCTGAGGCATGAGAACAGCTTGAACCCAGGAGGCAGAGGTTGCAGTGAGCCGAGATAGCACCACTGCACTCCAGTCTGGGCGACAGAGCAAGCCTCCGTCTCAAAAAAAATAAAAATAAAAAGGTGCTGTAGCTGCATGAAGGTGTTGTGTGGTAGAAACCGAGCACACACCACCTTCAGCTGACTGCTGACAGATCAGATAGCCCCCTCTTAGCCCTGGGTGCCTCCTTCCCTGGATAAGATTGAACAAAGGTCTCCACCTGCTTACCTGGTAGAAGTTCCGCATACTTCCTAGCATAAGGTGGAAGGTGAAATCTTGTGACCGCTTTTCCAGCCCATATTTCCCCTAGCAGTATAGATAGAGAGCTAGCTGGGTGATCACTGGGAATTTAGCAACTTTTCCATGAGAATAGTTAGGCTCTTATCTTGGTTCCCCAGGAACATCTTTGGGGTATGGAGTTGGGTGTAGGTGAGCTGAATGTAGAGCTAAAAATGTGGTGAACCTGCCTGCACAGGGGCAACTGGCTTTTAAAAAAAGAGTGTGTGTTGGGTGACTTAAGGGCCCACTACAGACTCCTTCAATTATCAGCTTGGGCAAACAGTCTAAATACGTTGTTTTGTGCTGTAATGAGAATATAGTTCCTTCTGGACAAAGAGAAAAATATGGTGATATTAACTTCTAGCTTGAAGTAGAATAAGTGAAGCTCCAGTCTTTATTAATAAGTAGATGATCCAATGTTAGTGAAGTGGCTTTTATGTGCCAATAAGTTGTGTTTAGCAGTCAGGAATAGAACACATTTATCCCTTCCCCCACAGCCTTCTCCTCAGTCCATGCAAAACAAATTGGAGTGAAACAACACCATCTGCTCATTTCACACTCAGTGAAGAAGCACGTCAACTCCTTCTCAAGGTTAGAAAGTCCAAACTCAAAAAGACACTCCTCTAGTTATGCAGAAAAAAAAAAAAAAAAAAGCCTCCTGAAAGCAAGAACCCCATAGGCTTAGAAGAGTCCCATATTTCCCAAAACATGACATTGCAAGGGCTGAGTTGATGAGGGCTAAAAAGCTGAGGGCTTCCTTATGAGGGTGTCACATGGCTTTGTTTCACTAGCTAATTGTATTTCTATGATTTTGTGCCTCTGATTTAGATGGAAAGAATGGCAGTAGAAAAAGACTATCAATAATTACCATAGTTCTTGTATCCCGGTGTTGGGAGGAAAAGAATAAAGAAGAAAGAGAAGTCTGGCTCAGTTTGAGAAGGCTGTTTTGTTCTGATAATTTTCTTTTGTGTAACAACCACTTTTCTTTTGGCAATCACTTTAAAAAATCTAAATACTTAAATTAAACTCCATTATTTTATCCAGAGATGAGGCTTTGAATTAGGGAGGAAACTGAGCCATTTGAGTGTCCCTCTATTTACTGTGCTCAGCCAAACTCTGCATTCAGAAGTAAAGATAAGAGAAAGTTCTTACTAATTCATATGAATGCCCCAGAAATTAGAGGAGGGCAGTCCTTTGGCCTTGCTAACAATTCTTAATCTCCACACAGTTATAACCAGCCACCTATTTTTAAAATGCTGTTCCCAAGAAGAACCCTGGTGCGATAGGTGGCTGGACTTGTTTTAGAGACCAGATATTTGCAATACAAAGTCTGAGAAGAATCAAGTCTTGCACCAACTATAGCATACCTCACTGGTACTGATAATTTATGATATTCTTGGAGAAACAGGAGATTAACATAAAAGGATAAATTGTGGCATGCCAAGTACCAAACAAGTGTGCATTATGTAAAATCGTACATCTTTTTATTCACAAAGCTCTTGTGCCAGAGTTTTGAGATTTGGTGAACAAGACCACATTAACTTGAATTCATCCATCCATTCAACCATCTGTCAGTGTGTCCATCTGCCCAGCAAACATTATACCACTGCCTATGGTGCCAGCCCTCAGAGTTACTGAGACAAATAAGGCATGGTCCCCGTCCTGGTGGGGGAGTCAGACTTGCAAATCATAATACCTCAATAAGTGAAATCACAGAAGTATGTTCAAGGTGGACAGGTAATCAAAAAGGAGGGAGCAGTTGAAATATGAAAGAAAGATTGCAATTTACCAGGCATGTGCATTCTAATCAGAAGGCACAGCTTGAGCAAAGCATGGAGGCATGACAAAGCACAGGGTATCCAAGGAGCTAGAAGCCGTGTGATATTGCTGCGGGGGTTTGAGTGGCAGTGATAAGAGATGAGCCCAGAGAAATAGGTGCAAGCTAGAGAAAGTCAAACCTCATAGGCCATGTTTAGACATTTCTCTGTAGACAATAGGCAACACTGGTGGGATTTCAGGAGGGCATGTGTTTAGAATAATTTCTGTGATGGCAATGAGGAAAACTATGATGCATAGAGGAGGAAAGTGAGAAAAGTATAGAAAACCCAAAGGGGCAAGTTGTCACTGTGTTCACCAGGCTTTTTAAAGCTTTGATCCTATTTCAGCCTTTGTATTTCCAGACTGGGAAATGCCAATGTGAGACAACTTAGTGTTTGCAATATCACGGATCTCATAGAAACTAATATTATTTTTAATAGTATATTAGGGGTCAAGCATAGTATGGAGTCTGCTTGTGGCCAAGAGGCCTGGGGACTCCAGCTATCCCAGGCCCCACTCAACCAGTGCAAGGCTTGAGGGAATCAGTAGCTCAGCTCTACCTGTAACCCAATGGAGCTGCCCCTTGTGCCTCGATGCTACTCAGAGTCTATCTACATTGGAAACGAATGAAGTAGTAATAAATAAGCTCAACCAGGGTAGATCTGGAATCCAAACTCCAATTACAAGGTTTTTCCCTCCTAATCTAACCACGCTGCCTCTTCAAGCTGTGCTTCAGGAGAATTACTCTCTTGGGGCATAGGAAAATTCATAGTTTATAAAAGCTAAACAAGGAAGCTGGGGATATTCAGAGCTGACCTCCTAGAAGATAATCATGTTCTCTTATTCTATCAAAGTCAGAAGAAGAAAAATGAATCGTGTGGTTCACAGGTTATTTTCCATGTTGATTAGCTCCATATCATTATTCATAGTTGATAAAGTATCTCTGTCATCCGATGTATATAGACACAGGAGTTTTTGGATAAACTATGAAAGAAACTAGTGAGTGAGTGATAAAGCTAGTAACAAAAAAGAAGAGTCCAGTTCTTCTGAGTTACAGCTGACTGTACTAACCGTGGTTACTTTTTCTTTCAGAGTTTTTGGCCAATAATGTTATTTTTAATTTGCTATTTGGCCTATGAATAATTCATTTAAAAGAAAATCTCAATATCTTTTGAGCTTATTTTAGTGTCCTTATTTTAGGGCATTGATTAAAATATCAGTCTGTTTAGCATATCAGCATGCTGCCTGTCAGTCTTCAGGAAAATTTCTTCTCTCTCTGGGCTGTTACACAGTTCTGGTGGATTTGTTGTATTGTATCACATTGCATTATGTTAAAATATTTCCTTCTTGCCATTAACTTTACAATCTGGCTGGGTGTGGTGGCTCGGGCCTGTAATCCTAGCACTTTGGGAGGCCGGGGCAGGAGAATCGCTTGAGCCCAGGAGCTTGAGACCAGGCTGGGCAACATGGAGAGACCTCATCTCTACAAAAAGTAAAAAATTAGTGGGGCATGGTAGCACGCACCTGTAGTCCTAGATACTTAAGAAGCTGAGGTGGGAAGATCACTTGACCCTGGGAGGTAGAGGCTGCAATGAGTTGTGATTGTGCCACTGCACTCCAGCCTGGGCAACAGAGTGAGATCCTGTCTCAAAACAGACAACAAACAAACAAAAAACCCTGAAAACATCAAGACAAAAAGTTACAATCCACTTATTAAAAGCACATTCTAATTTTTTCCTTAATATTTGTTTCATTGTGATTAAAATAGCTAAACTGACAGTTTTGAAGTTATGTCAAGTTGGCAGAAACAGTAAAAGTTATTTTTCCTCAACTTCATTTCTGTCTTCAAAGCACCACATCTAGGACTAAGAAAGAAATGTGTGCTGTTGGTAACATTCTACTTCTTAGTTGTCCTGCTGATACTGCCAACACAGTAGCCAAACAACTGTAATAATTTCTGGAAGGCATCTGTGACCTTGACACTTGGCCCATTATGAACGGCACCAAACCCCTCCAACCATTTCCTATAGGTCTGAAAGCTGCTGTCAGGCAATAAAAGCTTTCAATTGTTACTGACTTGGGTTAGACTCATGTTCTACTTATAAATTTCCATTTAGTGTTTCTATTGGTGTTTGAATCAGGGAAAAGGTTTATTTGAAATCTTAAAATTCATTCCGTATTTCTTTCAATCAATATAAATCAAAAGCAGTCTCAGAAAATTGTCAATAAGTCTGGCCAAGTCAGAAGTAAATGTCAAGTCTTCTGAAGGTTGCATTTTCTCAAGGAAGCACTATTCAAGCATATTTGTTAGCTCAATTAGTCTTGATTTAGTAGCTCCATCAGTGAGCTAAGGCCTCTGGCACTAGCAGAGTAATTTGATTTCTAAGGTGTCAGTAAGAGACTAAAAACTATCCAAAATGGTAAATCCATGTCCTGAAAGCAGACGTACAGATCTTGACATTCTTGGCGGCATAGCAGTCAGGGAAACGTGATGATCTTTGACACTGTCTTCATCTGGGATCAGTGCCCCTCAATGTCACATGCCTGGGAACTCTGATTTTGACCATCAGTTCCCGGAGAGTGCTGGGAGGTGACAGGATGGATGTTCCTTTTGGAATGTCAGTTCCCTGAAGTGATCCTTTTACTTCTTTCACTGTCTTTAGTGGCAAAATGTACACGCTGACAGCCCTGAAGACAGCACTGCAGGGCATGTTTTAGAAAAGGAGAATGTTATTGTCAAAGCCTATCAATCTGGTCTCTTTTCCCCCTCACTTCATCCAGAGGCCACAAAACTAACTTTCTGCTGCTCAGACACGTACTTTGAGAAAGTGTAGTCACATTGTAACTGGGGCTACTTAGGACCTCAATCCAGTTGGGGAAGGGTGGCTTGCATCATCTAGGTGAGGGGTGAAGAGAACGGGACCAAGATAACCTAAACCACTGTATTATATCCTTCCCTCTCTTAACTCCCTGCTGAACTGATCTGACCAGTGTAACATACAAATTAATTATTTATCACCTCCAGGAATTAGAAAGCAATCTGCCTGGCATTCCCGTCTCAAGGGTAAATCTAAGCTGGTTACAAAAAAGGGGAGGGTTCATTGGACCAAGACTGAGGAGTTTCACAAAATTGAAAGTGTAGTTGAATGTACTATAGGTGCAGAGATCCAGCTGGCCGTCAGGAACACCAGAAACTGGGATGTTAATGACATTCAAATGTTGTCTCATTCATCACGGCTAAGATTCTGTATGTCAGCTTCATTATCTTTTGTTGGACACTCGTTTTCTCCACATGTTGAAAAACATGGCCTCAGACATTTCCTGGGTTTTAAATTTTAGACCTTAAACTACTGGTCTCACTCTCTCAGTACTTCAAGTGAAAGTATTATGGGTTTGATTTAGGTCGTTACCCATAAATGAACCAGTCAACTACAGACAGTGGATCAGGGTAGTGTGATTAGCCAAGCTTGGGTCAGATGTCTGCACCAAGCTCAATTAACTGTGGCCAAGAGATGAAGGTCGTACTGTAATAATGTGGTAGCTCTAGTGGCAACCACGTGGTTGGAGGAGGAATGAATGACAGGCACACCCTCAGGTGTCCATTATACATAGCTAAAACAAAAAGCAAAACAATTCTTAAATAACAGAAAAGCAAAGATATATTTAGGCACAAATAAACATAAAGTCAAATCCAAAGCCAAAGCCATTTATTAAAGAGAGTAATTTTATTTTGATAAGTATATTTCAAAATAAAAAGATGTTAATAAGTTCTACAAAATCAAGTAACATATTATCAAAAACACAGTAAAACCTATGAGCGATATAAGAGGAAATGAATTGTGTATCTATAAAACCAAAGAGATTCCATTAAAAAGCTATTTGAATTGATAAAAACCAAGTTCAATAAAATGGTGGGATGAGATAAATACACAAAAATCAATAGTTAGCCTGTATAACAGCAATAATGTATTAAAAATGTGGTGAAAAGGAAATCCTATTCCTAATAGCATCGAAAATATAATAATGGTAGGGAGTAGACTGGAATGAATATTTGATTGAATTAGTATAAAATTTATTCAGAAGAATAAAACATAAAGAATAACACAGGCTGGGCTTGGTGGCTCACACCTGTAATCCCAGCATTTTGGGAGGCCAAGGCAAGTGGATTGCTGGAGGCCAGGAGTTCAAGACTAGCCTGGCCAACATGGAGAAACCCCGTCTATACTAAAATTACAAAAATTAGACAGATGTGGTGGTGCATGCCTGTAATTCCAGCTACTTGGGAGGCTGAGGCACAAGAATCACTTTAACCCAGGAGGCGGAGGTTGCAGTGAGCCAAGATCACACCACTGAAGTCTGGCCTGGGTGACAGAGTGAGACGCTGTCTCTCAAAAATAATAATAATAACATACATGCACACACACGGACATATATGTTAAAGGCAAGAATAATGAAGGGTAGTTAGCCTTGCCAGATATTAGAATTAAAGCAGTATAGTATTGATGCAAAAATAAACAAATAAATGAACAAAATAAATAATCTTGAAATTGATCGTGATATACTTCAAATATGAATATGTGATAAAAGACTGCATAAACCAAAGAATGAGAAACTATTATTCAGCACAGAGTATTGGGACAACCAGTGGTTATGTAAAAAGAGAGTGGCACATTACTAAAGTTAAGAATCAACCAGGAATCTGGTCAAGTTATTTGTGGCAAATATGATAAAAATTCATTTTTGACTCATTAAAAGCTCATTCAAATCAATAAGAAATTCCAGTAAGCGGTGTTTATAAAACCGTATAAAGACTCAACAATCTTACCTCAAAGGTGGTAATACAATTGGTACAACACTTTGGAATTTAATAAGCAATACATTTCAAGAACATAAAAAATATTCACATTCCAAATTAGCCGGGCATGGTGGCGGGTGCCTCTAGTCCCAGCTACTCAGGAGGCTGAGGCAGCAGAACGGCGTGAACCCGGGAGGTGGAGCTTGCAGTGAGCCGAGATCGCACCACTGCACTCCAGCCTGGGTGACAGAGCAAGACTCCGTCTCAAAAAAAAAAAAAAAAAAAAAAAAATAAATAAATATATATATATATATATATATATATATATATATATATATATATATATATATATATATATATTTTCACATTTCTTTATTCAATAATTTTTTCCTTGGTAAACCATCTTGACAAGATTATTTGAAAAACTGAAATGTATTATGGACCAATCTACTCATCACTACATATATACTCATTGCCACATTACTATATAAAATAGTAACCCTGTTGTCCTCTAACCCTGTTTTCCTGTTTTTCTTTTCATGGCATTTATTATCACCTGACATTTGTTTATTACCAGTCCCTCCCCAACCACTAAAATGTAAGCCCCATGAGAATTGGACTACTTTGTTCACTACTATATTTCCAAGCCCCAGAACCCTGCCTAACATACCCTAGGAAGTTGATAAATAGTTGTGGAATGAAGAAACAATTTCAAACATCCCACAATAAAGAAATGATTTGGACAATTATGATTTATCTATTCAATATAATATTATGAAGCAATTATATTTATTTATAGGAATAATAACATAACATGGGGGAAGTATTTATAATGAAATGTTTAAGAAGAATATAGTTTCACACGTATATTATGATTACAAATACAGAAAAAGAAACTTTGTGGAGAGAAATAGAAATGGAAGGAGATATCACCAAACATTAAGAGTGGTGTGGGAAAAGAGAATACAGGTACTTTTCCTCTTCTATCTAGTTTTGGGCATTTCCTAGGGGTGCCACAACACGCATTTCTTTACTATTGGACAACTTGATAAATGCAATATATAACAAGAGAAGTTTTTTTTTTTTTTTTGAGACGGAGTTTTCCTCTTGTTGCCCAAGCTGGAGTGCAATGGTGCGGTCTTGGCTCACCTCCGCCTCTTGAGACGGAGTTTTCCTCTTGTTGCCCAGGCTGGAGTGCAATGGTGCGGTCTCGGCTCACCTCCGCCTCCCGGGTTCAAGCAATTCTCCTGCCTCAGCATTCCGAGTAGCTGGGATTACAGGCATGCGTCATCATGCCCGGCTAATTTTGTATTTTTAGTAGAGACAGGGTTTCTCCATGTTGGTCAGGCTGGTCTCAAACTCCTGACCTCAGCTGACCTGCCTGCCTCAGCCTCCCCAAGTGCTGGGATTACAGGTGTGAGCCACCACGCCCAGCAAACAAGGGAAGATTTTTAAAAATCACCCATGATAAGAGGATACGATTTCAAATTAAAATAATGACAAGTAGGGAAAAGGTTGGGAACAGTAGAAAATTATAAGTTAATGTTTTGGTTTATTTTAGTATAATTAGATAAGTTTGGGTTTAAGAATATGAAAATATAGAAAGCTGATTATCCTTTGAGTCACTAGACAAAAACATAGTCTATTTTGCTTACTCCTGTCATTCAACCACATTACTACCCTTAAGTTCCTCCTATGTAGAAATTCTGAAACTAACAGGTGACTCTAAATACTCCTCCTGCAGTGTTGCCCCAGCCACTGCAGTTCTTGGGTGTCCACCCGAGGGTGTGTGGGGGAGAGAATCTAGACCCCTAGTTCAAGGAACCAATAGACTGGCCTTCCTCTGCCCCCTGGGCCTCCGCCTACTGACCCAGACACCAGAGGCTGTGTTAAGCTGGGCCGGGCTCTTCACAGTCTAACGTACTCAATGCAATACATTGGCTTAGTGTCACCATGGAGTCAGAACCCCTCATCCTGGTGGCCATTGTTCTGTGGGCTTGTTTTATAATGCTCTGCGCTTCCTCCTTAGCATTACAAGCTCTCAGTGCTGAGCCTCTGTCCCAACCATTTCCTTTGTTCCCCCCGGAAGTCCCATTGGATTGTAAACAGATGCCTCCACATCCACGGTCCTCACACAGGCACTCCTTCTATCTCCTGCTTTATTCGAAATCTGGCACTCTCCCGAGGCCACTTCTGCAGACCTCATTTGTTCAGATATCAAGTGACCAGTAGGTGTTGTTAATAATCTCCTGACTGTCCCCTCCCTGCCATTTCACCATCATTTCACTTATATTCTTGGTCAAAAACAAACAAACAAACAAAGCCAAGCAAAACAAACTCAAACAAAACAAGAATTCTGTCGGATTCTGATAATCTTGTTGTCTTAGTCCATTTGGGCTTCTATAAAAAAAAAATACCATAAACTGAGTGGCTCACAAATAACAGAAATCTGCTTCTCACAGCTCTGGAGCCTGGGAAGTCCAAGATCAAGGCGACAACAGATTCAGTGTCTTGCTGAGGCCCACTTTCTCATAGATGGCGGCCTTTCCTTGTGTCCTCACATGGTGAAAGAGGCAAGGCAGCTCTCTGTGGCCTCTTTTATAAGCACACTAATCCCATGATCCAATCACCTCTGAAACACCCCACTTCCTAATACCATCACCTTGGTGATTAGGTTTCAACATATGAATTTTGGAGGAACACAAATATTCAGACCATACCACGTGACGTCCAACTCAGTGTCTTTTTTCCCCCCATTTCATGACTGACTTCTGACCCACTCCTCAAGAATCTTAAGTGTACAATGGCTTACACTCTTTCTCTCCTCCACTTCATGTCTTGCCATCCTAGATGATTTCATTGGCCTGTGGACGACACATCTTTTAGCCACACTGTCCCTGCTCGCTGCCTTCTCTCTCTCCCCACCACCTTCAACACCTAGGAGGAGATTGCATGGCAACACAGAGGGCAGGAAAAGGCCAATACCAAATAACATTCTCATTGGCTCCTTCTCCAGAAGAACCTGGAGAGAGACAACTCTCTTTTTTGTTTCCCAATCAGTAGTAAAGTTGAGGGTGCCTTCTGCTTGGGAGTTTCTCAGTGAGTATGGCCCAGCAGGGATAAAAGAAAGGGGCCAAAACACAGGTAGCCCTTATAAAGGACATAAGCAAAATGCTTAAATGAGATTCTTGAGGTTTTTATGTTGTCTAGTTCAGCACTCCAGTGTTGGAGAGCAGATTGTGGGGAGATGGGGAGGAGTCATAGCTTGGAATAAGGAGTTTGGTTGTCCTCTGGTAATCTCTTTTTTTGGCTGCCTCAAATCCTCTGTGGAAAGCAGCTTGCCATATGCATGACTCTGTGTGTGTGTGTGTGTGTGTGTGTGTGTGTGTGTGTGTGTGATATACAAGCTCAGTGACAGGCAACCAGATACAGCTGAGTCCAGAGCAGTTAAAAGGAAATCCTGAACATTTCCAAAACATACAAGTAACACACCAAAAAGCAAATGATGCACCAAATACTGTTACCTAAAATTTCTTGGCTTCCTTGACTCTCCTTCAATATTCTAGTCTGAGATACATAATCTTCTATCTTTATGTTCTTACTTCTTACTTATACATAGAAAATCTACTCTGATCTTCTTAAGTGCTCTAATTCCCAGACACCCTCATTTTCCCCTAGTCATTCTGCCCATTCTGGATTTATTTCCTTCCCTATATAGTCTAAACCATGTCACTTATCACTACAATTCACTTTTCGGCATCCTTGAGTCCTTCCATTCTTGTTTTTTTCATTTCTTTGCCCATGCCTAGAAATCCCCAACTCTAGGCCAATCCAACTATCCACCTTCTCTTCTCTTACCATTTATTGCCTCATGAGTACCACATAGAGAAGAATCACAAATGTATTATTACTAATTTCAGCCAGGCCCCTAAATTGTTCCCTCTCTTAATCCCCTGTGTGACTCTTCCAGGATTTTACCACTCTCCTCAAACACTCTACCATCTAGCAGCAGATGACTTTGCTGCCTACTTCATGGAGGAAGGATATTAAGACCCTCAAGAATGAACTTTGTATCCTCTCACTTATCTATCTCTGCCTCCTTCCTTCCTGGTTCCTCCCATCCAAGCAAATCCCTTGACCTGGTATCTAAATTCCTTCCCTTCCACAATTTAAATAATCTTTATATCAACACTAAATGTTTATTCTTTTCTTCTTCTTCTTGTTTTTTGAGAGAGAGTCTTGCCCTGTCACCAGGCTGGAGTGCAGTGGTGCAATCTTGGCTGACTGCAACCTCTGCCTCCGGGGTTCAAGTGATTCTCCTGCCTCAGCCTCCCGAGTAGCTGGGACTATAGGCGTGCCCCACCACATCCAGCTAATTTTTGTATTTTTAGTAGAGACAGGGTTTCACCATGTTGGCCAGGATGGTCTTGATCTGATGGTCTTGATCTCTTGACCTCGTGATCCGCCCACCTCGGCCTCCCAAAGTACTGGGATTACACGCATGAGCCACGATGCCCGGCCTAAATATTTATTCTTTAGACAAATATGTATTAAGCACCAGGTACCAGGCTGGGCTATTGGGATAAAGTGACAAATAGAACCCAGTTACAAAAGATGCCTGTTGAATTGCTTGACTGGCACCCCTTTTCTGTGAATTGCATGCTCTGCTTTTATTTACTGGTTGGTTGCTCTGGGAGCTTCCATATTACAACTCTCACCCACTGGCCTCCCTGAGTAACTAGTTTGAAGTGGGCACCTAAACCAAGACTGGCAATCAATTCGTTCAATGGGAAATTTGTAATTGGAACTGGCAGTCAGAACCAGACTGTAAAACGGTAATTTGGAAGTTGGTAGTAGCCATTTACTGCCATGTGGACTAAGACACAGAGAGAGCCATTCTGCAGTGAGAATAGAGCTGAGACAGATTCAGAGAATGGTGAAGAGACAATAGGTTCTCCAAAAGAGGATTTTCTGGGGTTTTTAAGGTGCTCCATTCTCCAGTTCCATTTCCAAGGCCCAGATGCACCCCTGTCATAAAATGCCAGGGTCCTTCTAATAAACTTTATTTCTGCTTAAGATAGTATTTTGTGGCCAGGCGTGGTGGCTCACGCCTGTAATCTCAGCACTTTGGGAGGCTGAGGCGGGCGGATCATGAGGTCAGGAGATAGAGACCATCCTGGCTAACACAGTGAAACCCCATCTCTACTAAAAATACAAAAAAAATTAGCAGGGCATGGTGGCAGGCACCTGTAGTCCCAGCTACTCGGGAGGCTGAGGCAGGAGAATGGCGCGAACCCGGGAGGCGGAGCTTGCAGTGAGCCGAGATCACGCCACTGCACTCCAGCCTGGGCCACAGAGCTGGAGAGAGAAAAAAAAAAAAAAAGAAAAAAAAAAGGATAGTATTTTGTATTGGGTTTCTGTCACTTGTAAGCAAAAAGCAAGATCCTATCATTTTTGCTGGAAAGCTGGCCTGCCTTGTTTTACAACTATTGTCTGTTGGGACCCAGCCATGTGTCTTTTGAGGATAGAATTCTAGGGGACTAGGTAGCAAATGTCAGGATGTTGCCCCTTATTTTCAGTATTCATTAAGATACTACAAGAACTAAACACGTTCAAATACAGCTGAAGCCTGCCTGGGAACCACAGGGCCAGGGTGTGCCTCTGTTCTGTGAAGTTCTTTCGCCTTCTGCCAGTTGCCTGAGACTACTGAGGTCAGATAATCATGGGCTTTGCGGAATAACGGCTGCCAAATTATCTACTGCACCGTTTCTAAAGCTATCAATTATCCCCCTTCTCTCTTAAATTTTCAACACTTCCCTCTCTGTTGGCTCCTTACATCAGCATTTAAATCTACTCCCCTCTTAAAATCTATTCTAGAGTTACCAATTTTTCCTTCCTATTACAGGTAAACTTCTTGAAGTAGTTCATACTCAGTGACAAGCCATAGCAAGTAGGTGGCCTTACTCTCTGCTGCAACTCACTTACTAAGGTTGTACTTGCCCACCTACCTTATCACTAAATACAATGAATGGTTTCCAGGTCTTATCTTATTTGATCTTTCAGGAGTATATGACACTATTGACCACTTCTGCATTCCTGAAACACTTTTTCTTGGCTTCTGTGATACCACATGCTCCTGGTTTTCTTGTTACATGCCTGCTTGTTTCTTTGTAAGTTTCTTTTTTTGCTCTATGCCTTCAATGTGTTGGTGTTCTTCCAGTTTGGTCCCAGTCCTCAATCCTCAGTCCTGGTTCCATCCTAAACTCTCCTGGGGCAATCTCAATCACTCTGTTGGCATTATTGTACCTACCCAAATATAAGACAGAGCCCTCTTACCCTCACCAAAATCAGAAAACAGGGAGTCACTTTATATTCTGACCCTTAGAAGTCCTTCATGGCCAGTCGTGGTGGCTCACACCTATAATCCCAACACTTTGGGAGGCCAAGGCAGGAGGATTGCTTGAGCCCAGGAGTTTGAGACCAGCTTAGGCAACATAGTGAGCCCTTGTCTATGCAAAAAACCAAAACAATTAGCCTATACGGGTGTGGTGGTATGCACCTGTAGTCCCAGCTACTCGGGAGGCTGAGGTGGGAGGATTGCTTGAGCCTGGAAAGTGGAGGCTGCTTGAGCTGTGATTGTGCCACTGCACTCTAGTCTGGGCAGCAGAGACCCTGTCTCAAAAAAAAAAAAAAAAAAAAGTCGTTCATGTTACTGGATGCTCTCAACCATTTTGAACAACAAAATGCTTTTTGGTGGAATACACATTAGCATGAAATGCTCTCATTCAATGCTCATACAAAGCCACCTGACAGAATTGGTAAGAAAGGAAACAAATTGAACAGACTTTAAAATTACTTCTAGGGAAATATCTTCACACTTAGAAGTGTTGGATGTCCTTGTAAACAAGTCTTTAAAAGTCACTATAAAAAGCAATATGGTACATGAATATAATTACAGGATGAATGATGTAGTGTGATTAGATACTTGTGGCTTGGAATAAAATTCCCAGTGACAGCATTATATATAGAGTTAAAAACTTGGGTAGAAGTGAAGATGGTATGTCCTGGGAAATATGTTAGAGACTCAAAATGCGACACTTGTGATGATAAAGACACCATGAAGAATTTCAATAAAATTATTTTAAAGATTATATTTATATAATACGTAATTTAAAGTAAGCATAATTAAATTAATATATTCAATATTATAAATAGAGCCCTGATTATTTCTTTTTTCCCAACTTTTTCTTTCTTATTTAATTTTTTTAACTTTTATTTTAGGTTTGGGGGTACAAGTGAAGGTTTGTCACACAGGTACTCATGTCACAGGAGTTTGCTGTATGGATTATTTCATCACCCTGGAATTAAACCCAGTACCCAAAAGTTATTTTTTCTGCTCCAGTCTCTCCTCCCACCCTCTACCCTAAAGTAGACCCGTGTCTGCTGTTTCCTTCTTTGTGTTCGTAAGTTCTTGTCATTTAGCTCCCACTTATAAGCGAGAACATGCGATATTTGGTTTTCTGTTCCTGTGCTAGTTTGCTGAGGATAATGGCCTGCAGCTCCATCCATGCTCCCGCAAAAGGCATGATCTCATTCTTTTTTATAGCTGCAGAGCCCTGATTATTTCATCTATATCTCTAAAAGTTTATCTGTTCAAGTTGGCCACAAAGTTTTACGGGGGGGGATTGTTTTTGTTTTTATTTTTTGAGGCATGGTCTTGCTCTGTTACTCAGGCTGGAGTGCAGTGGCAAAATAATGTATCACTGCAGCCTTGACCTCCAGGCTCAAGTGATCCTCCCGAGTAGCTGGGACTACAGGCACACGCCACCACACCTAGCTAATTTTTTTTTTTTTTTAATGTAGAGACCGGGTTTTGCCCTGTTGCCTACTCTGGTCTTGAATTCCTGGGCTCAAGCTATCTGCCTGCCTCGGCCTCCCAAAGTGCCGGGATTACAGGTGTGAGCCGCCGAGGGGCCTGGGGGAGTGGGGTGGATTCTAATTGGAAAAATGGAGGCTCACCTTATTTTCAGAAGCACCTTATACTCAGGCATATGTAGTGTATGCTGATGACTCACTTCTCCAGTCCTATCTCCCTGCTAAACTCCAGATCCAAGTAATGAACGGCTTACTGATATTTCTACTCAGATGTATTTAAAGTACCTATGTATGCATAGGTACTTTAAATTTCCTTGTCCAAAGTTAAACTAACATTGTCTCCCATCTGCTCATCTTTCTCATTCCCCCCTCAGTGAATGCCACCACCTTCATTCAGCTTCCCAAGTTGAAATCTGAGTTACCCACATCTCCTATCTCTCCCACACACCCCTGCTGTTTCTATCTATCTCCTAAATCTCTCTCTTATCTGTTCACTTTTCTTAATCCCCTTTGCTTTACTCCAGGCCACCATCATCTCCTCCCTAGACTATTGTAACAAAATCTGAACTGTTTTTTTTTTTTTTTGGTCTCGACTTCTTCCAAACTACACTCCAAGAAGCAGCCTCAGTGTTCCCTCTAAAACGCAAATCTGAGGTCAAATCCCACCTGTAGGCGTGGCTGACTCCTATCTACCTTCAGGTCTCTGTTTAGAGGCCAAAGCTTCTCTAATTCTCCTTCTCCCACCCCCACACACAATTTAGTCAAGTTAGATGCTCTTACTAAGTTTTCCCACACTCCTTATCTTTCCTTACCATAACAGTCTTTACACTTCTTTGTTATAATTGTTTACCCTTTCTGCTAGACTGGGAACTTTGTTTATCTGGCTCATCACTGTCTTCCCTTAACATAAGCCAGGACCAGAGACACAGGATGTACTTTATAAATATTAAATGAATGAACCAATAATTTTGTTATCCCAGCATCCAGCACAATACTTGGTGAAAACAGGTCCTCAATAATTTTTGCTGAATTAATAGATTGTTGTTGAACTAAAGATATGTGATCAACTAAGCAACATGTGACAAGCAAAATTAATATTGAGCATGCTTGTACTTAAAAAGGAGCACACATCCTTTTTAATTACGCTTAATCAGAGATGGCTCCCTAGAGCAGGTGGCTTCTGAAGGAGAACGGGAGAAAATAAAAATTCTTACCTAGTGGAATGTAAAGGGCAAATATAAAAATAACAATCTCTGTGCAGAAGAAAATCACTTTCTTAAGACTGGGGCAACTTCTAGTTGAAGTCTGCTGTGACTAGGAAGTGTTCTATCCTGAGATCTGCTAGTCAGGGGACTAGCTTTCTTCTTCTCAACCTCGGACACTGGGATTCAGCCAGGGAATCAGCTGCAGAATCTCATTACTGCCAGCAGTTAAACACTGAATTGTACGTCCTTTCTAATGTTGAAAAAAAAATCCTTTTACTATAGAGAATAAGATTCCTACCAAGTTTTATATTCATAGGCTTTAATATTTCATGTAATTTTTATATCAAAATACATTAGCATAAATTTCACAAGATATCAGTCTAGTTATTTTTGGCCTGCATTTCGATAACTTTTACAGACACACAATGGCCACTCTGTTTTCTTTGCTCTAAAGTTTCTTTGTGCACTTATTCCTTGAACATGGGCCTCATGTTCTAACTTTACTTAGATGAAAAAACTGTTAATTTCACCAGTGGTTTAATATCTCTTCATAGATTGATAGTTTAGACAACATAAAAGTGTTGATTAGCAGTATACGTGCAGGCTGAAGTATTTGTTGAAAATCTTGTTGGGAGAATAAGAATGATAAAAGAGATGCCTAAGAAAATCTTTTCTCAGATATGCTTTACTAAACAAAGAACAGGTTAATTACTCAATGATGATTTTTAAAGGGCATGTCGACAGTGTCAGTGACTTTGAAACAAAGTAAAGGAGCTGAATTCAAGTGTGTGCCTGAGTTACTTAACTATCTTGAACTGATTTAGGATCTGTAGCTTTAATCTGGGGCTCCATCTACTAGTGGTTTAATAGAGTGGGTTTTATTAAAATTGTGATTTAATCAGAAGCCAGAAATATACAACTGTTTTAAACTTTTTGATATTAACCTGATATACACAGTGGGCTGATAAATTAGTGAGACAGTTCATATAAGTCATATATGAAAATCAGTCTGTTATTAGCCACAACTCATGTATTTTTCAAAACTTGGAGATAAATGTAAGCTTCATCTCAGAAGTCATATTACACGTTATAGGTTTAATATAATGAAATTTTTCCAGACTTAGAAAAGATATCAGGAAATTAACATTTGCAAGGCAATTTACAGTTTTCAAAGAGCTTTTCTCATTAATTATCTCAGAAAACTGAATAATGATGTGATTATTAAAGGTTAATTAAGCAAATACTTGTGAAGTAATTGGGAGGTAATCTATTTCTAATTTAACAGGTCAATCACGGGTATTTAGGAAATATTTTTGCTGGTTAACAACTCTAACCAAAACAAAAAGGTATTTAAATGGTTTCCCTAGTGAAAAACCATAAGCATGTGTTTCCTCTATTAAGTCAATTGTTTCAAAGAACTAGCATGAGAATTCCTAATTTCACCGTTTTGATGATTTAAGGTTTTATGAAGATTCTGAGCTCTTCCCTCCCGACGTTAATCCATGTCTTACATTGTTCATTTTGGCGCTTTAGAATAAAATATCTTTGGAAAGTAACTATGAGAAAGCACAGAGGGATATGTTAGTGAAATAGCCATTTTCTTGTGGGAAGCAAGACATTTCGGTTATCGACTACACAGAAGAGTGAATAAAACCCAACGCCTATCAACCACCAAACGTGACTCTGCTTGCATAATCATACAAATAAATTTTCTTTAAAAATTTTTCATGGGTGCAGTATATAAAATGATCAATAGTCTCATCAGCAGTGGAACTACAAACTGCTTTCTCCTAACTTTGTGTAGCCTGGGTGCTGCCTCACGATTACTAAGTGGTTTAAAATCATATCCCACTTGCTCCTTGGTTTATCAGCGAAAGACGTGATTCCCAGGTAGGAAAACGCCAAGTGTCCCGCAAAGGTACAGGTAAAACGTAGCAGTTACTGCGAGAAGACTGGCCCCGGGGAGTCCCAGGGCTCGGTCGGGGCCCCCGCACGAGCTGAGGAAGTGGACAGCGGGCACCTTTGTCTGTGCCTAGTTCCCTGGACCCGGGCCGAGCGATGCGGGTGGGGGCGCGGTTCGGGCGGGTCCCGGCGCTGCCCGGGGGAAGCGCGCGGCGACGGCGGCCCGGCTTGGGAGCCGGAGGTCAGCGGCTGCGCGGCCGGCCCCCTCCCACGGGAGCCGCGCCAGGGCCCAGCAAGAGTCGGGCGGGATCGCTATTGTTTTTGGCGAGCACATAAATCCCCGGGCCGACCCACTGCGCACCCAGGTTTCCTCCCGGAGGCCTTTCGGTTTCCTCTGAGGCCCTATATAGAGGCTCCAGGCCCGGACTGTGCAGAGGTGCGCGCCCACGCCGGCCTCCCGGACCAGCCTGAGCTCGGAGCGCCTCTCGCCCTCAGGTCTCTGCAGCCAGAGGCATCTGGGGAGGTGAGGGGGGAATTTGTCCCCGAGGCGAGGAGGAGGAGGCGGGGGCGCGCGGAGCCGAGGGGCTGCGGCGAGCGGGCGGGAGGAGCAGGAGGATCCGCTTCTCCGGGGTTTCCCTGACGCCAGCAGCAGCGCCCGGCGCGCGCGCCCCGCACCCGTCAGCGGCTCCGGGGAGAAGGGGGAGGGGAGCGGGCCCGCCACGGCCCGAGAGGCGGCAGCCGGGATTGGAGCGGGGGCGGGCCGCGCGCGGAGCCGAGGGGGTGCGGGCGAGGCGCGCGCGTGCGCGTGTGCGCGCCCGGGACTCCCGCCCCCCGCCCCCGCCCCCGCCCCCGCCGTCCGCGGTCTCCGCCCCCCTCGCGCTGGTGTGTGGAGCCGGAGTCGGCGGCGGGTGGCGGCGCCTGGAACCTGGAGACCGACCCACCGCCCCCCCCCCCCCGCCCCGGAATGTACTGACTCCCCTTCTTCGCTCTCCTCCCCTCCCCGCCCCCTTGCAGGAGGGAGGCGCCCTGGAGTCTCCCCTCCAGCGAGAGGGGCTGCGCGGGCCGGGCCGGGCCGGGCTGGGCTGGAGCAGCGGCGGCCGCGGGAGCCGAGCTTGCAGCGAGGGACCGGCTGAGGCGCGCGGGAGGGAAGGAGGCAAGGGCTCCGCGGCGCTGTCGCCGCCGCTGCCGCTCACTCTCGGGGAAGAGATGGCGGCGGAGCGGGGAGCCCGGCGACTCCTCAGCACCCCCTCCTTCTGGCTCTACTGCCTGCTGCTGCTCGGGCGCCGGGCGCCGGGCGCCGCGGCCGCCAGGAGCGGCTCCGCGCCGCAGTCCCCAGGTAAGCGGCGGGCGCGGGCCCGGGGGTTCGCGGGGGCGCGGCACCGGCTCAGGCGGCCGCGGCTGCGGTGTTTTTGTTTAGGATCCAGGAGGAAACGTGCAGGAACTTCTCTGCCTCGGCTCCGGTTGCCGAAGAGAAAGGGGATCGCGCGTGGTGGGGAGGAGAAGGGCGAGAGGGGGCGCCACCGGGGAAGGGGCGGCTGCCGGGGGGCAGGTCGGGGGCGCAGGGGTCTAGTTCCCAGCTTTGTACCTGGAGGCAGGTTCACCCCTCGCCTCTCTCCCCTCCCCCAGGCTCATCCCACTTGTAAGAGTGGGACATTCTTGTGCTCACACTAGCACCAGTAGAGGCCACTACACACCTCATTAAATAAACAATCAGACGGCCAATTCATTAATTTTCAGGAAAGGAAAGGGGAGGGGGCTTGAGCTCCTGGTTCCCTGGCCAGGGATTTCCCAGCTTCCGAAGTCTCGAGGAAGAGCTGGCTAGTCTCGAGGGACTCCTCGCGCGGGGATTGGAGCCCGAGTCTGCGGAAGAGCGGGGGTGTCAGAGGGGCACAATTGCCCGCTCACAACCCCTGGTGTTGATTTAACGATGAGGACGCCTTGGAGAGCGGCTCGGAGTGATCGTATCTGTTAGTGTTTCCGTTATGAAATGCCTCTTCTTTCCTGGGGATTACAACTATATTTACAGCCTATTAACCACTCTTAACCAAGGGAATTGTCTAAGCATCAGATTTTAGGTACTTGTACAATGTTTTCAGATGGCATTGTATAAACATTGAACCTCAAAAGCCATTTTCAGTTCTTTTTTGGAATATTATAGATTACTGAAACCACCTGCATTCCTATTAAGGGGACCAACGAACAAAAATGCCAAGCCTTCCGGGAAGGACCTTACGGTATTGTTGAGCAGGATACACTCAGCAGTTGAAAGGCAAATTAGCATGTAATCTGTTAAAATTATTTGACCAAGGTGGTGTACCATAAAACTTGACAAAACTTTCACTCGTGTGAGATATGATATTTTTACATTTGAAAGCAGTCTTACCGCTGAACCAGTACTTGTTTTTCCCTGATTTATATGAAATAATATTTAAAATCACACTGCAAGGTAACTTGACTGATAAACTTTTCATTTCCTTGCAGAGTGTGTATGTAGCTCATGGCTTTTGCCAATGTTAAAGAACAGCTTTAAACGTAAAGTACCACTCGGTATTCTCTAAACAGCTACGTAAACAATAGTGTTTTAATGTCAAATTAAACATCACTTATGTCATGATGTACCCTTATACATTCAGTCCGTATATGGTTTAGAACACATTTTGGTGCTGAAATGCAGGTTACTGATCCAACTGTCTCTTAGATGAGCAAGAGAAATATAACTATTTTGGAAAACAAGTTCCTGTTACTCATGATCTATTTTATATGGAAATTCATATGTAGTTCACCAAATTTCAAGTTTTTGTTTAAAGTTTTGCCGATAATTTTGTAAGTAACTAAAATGCTAGTAATTTTATTACTTAGGATAATAAAAATAATGCAAGCAGTCTCAGGAAGTGGTCTTAACATCTGTTTCAACATTAACTCAATTGACAGGTTTTTATTTTGCACAGATGAGGTGCAAGGCATATGCTCTCTGCCTTCATGGAGTTTACAGTCTGGTGTGTGGGTAGGAAAGATAGCCATCCATCTACTGATTATATAATTAAGTAATTGTGATAAGCACTACAAAGGAGAATAGGTTTTCACAAAGTGGGTACTGGAGTGACATAACCTAGTCTGGGTGTTAAGAGTGTCTCACAAGAACTGAGATCTGAGGAGTGGGTAGGAGTGGAGGTGGGGAGGCTCACAGGTAATTAGTCGTTTAATTGGGTCTAGAACATAGATCTCCTGATTCTCGGTCCAGAGTCCTTCCTGTAAACCGCTCTGCTTCATTACAAAAGCGAGAGGAATAACTGCAATAAGGAGGGGTTGGTCAGTTCTGCCATAAAACTGCGGAAGAGATCAAGAGACTGGAGAACTGAGTAAGCAGCAACTGGAACAAGCTGTCCGCAAATCAGATGTCCTTTGTCAGTAGTTTTATTTTTTTTATTTTTGTAGAGTGATAGACTTATAAATCTTTTTATAGGGGATTATAGTGAATAGATTGTAGGGAAGTGGACATGTTCAGTAGTAGAAGGTGGAGAAAAATAGAGATGTGGGACAATAGGATAAATGGAAAGTGTTTTTCCATCTGAGGTTATAGACATACGGAGGTGGAGGAAAAAGTAAGAAGTAAAGGACTGGTGATAGAAAATGGTCAGCAAGGGAGGAGGGTTGGAATTGAGTAGGAACATAATCTGGTATTCTGAAAAAGGGCAGATTACTGAAAAGATATGTAGAGACCTTGGGGAAGATGACATGGCAGCAGCCTGTGCAATGCATGTCTTCTCTATTTAGAGTGAACATTCTTCACCGAGGACTCTGTAGCTTCTGCCTGAACCATTTATTTCATGATGTGATTCATTGCCTTACAGGGTAGTCCATTTCTGTGTTGAATAACTTCTGTTAGAAAATGTTGCTTTGTACAGTACATTTCACTGTAGTTTTCACCCTCCCCACCCTTCTTACATTTTTTCCTCTTTGCTTACCTTTTTCAGCATTACTCTATCTTCAGGTTAATCTCTTCTCTGATTAATTCTTCATTTGTCTTTCTGGCTTTTCTTGAACTCACTCACTTAAATATTAGTATCTAAAGCTTATCTCATTATACATACTCTGTTTGCCCTCAGTTGCCACCTGTAAGCTAAGGACTCTCTTAGTCCACACTTTCTCACTTGCCACTCGGTACCTTCACTAAATAGGATCTTAGGTTACTGAAGTCCGAAGTTAAACTCTGTGTCATTTTCCCTCGTGCTTCCTTCATCCCCATTCTCTAAACATGAACAAACCAGTTCCTGGCCCCTGTGTCTCATGTTGTTGGAAGGATTGCATGGATTTGTCTTCTTGTGTTGCCTGTCTTGGTCATCACTGTTCATCCACTTGCCCAAGCTGAGATCAAGAAGACCTCCTCTTCCCATTGCCATAGCGGATAGTTCTTTTTGCTTTTTACCTCTCAGCTGTTTCTTGACTCTGAATCGGTATCTTTTCATCTTCATCCCCACCTGGACTAACAGTAGTGGCTCCATAATTAATCTCTTTGTCTGTACTGTTACCCTCTAGAAGTCTGTCCTGCTAGAATGAGCTTCCTGAAATATTTTCCTGAGCATGCCACTCTCCTACTTAAAATCTGTTACTAGTGTTCTGTAGCTTGGGTGTTAGAACTCTTTGGCATGGAGATTGTGAGGCCCTTTGTATTCTTTACCTCTGTTCTCCCAAACCCAATAAAGCCTCATCTCTTGTCACCCCTAACATGCACCTTGCATTCCACCACTCCAGATTAACGACACAGCTTCAGATCTCCGTGCCTTTGCACATGCTGTTCTTTCTGTTAAGTCACTTCTCACCTTGTCCACTTCTGAAACTCCTTATCTAGTCAATGAATTTTTCTCTACCAGCTTTCTCTTCCAAAGAGAGTTATGGTCACTATTCTGTGTTCCCATAGCTTCCTGAGTACTTTTCATCTTCTGTTACTTATTTTCTTGTCTTTTCTGCTAGTCTCAACCTCTGAAGGGGTTGGCCGGGTTGTCTTATTCACCTTTGTTTCCCTAGTGTAGCACTAACATGTAGCATAGAGAAGATAACCAGTAAATGTTTGTTGACTGAATGTTGAATTGCCTTTGTTTTTAACCCGTAGGGCCATACAGCACAAATCTGATTCCTTTATATGATGGCCCTTCATGTGTCTAATCACATTTCCTGTGTGCATGTGTGTGTGGGCCCCCCCTGCCCTTCCCCTCAAACCTTATCCTTTTTAAGTTAACCATCCTTAATTCCTTCAGCCACTCTTCACATTACTTAGTTTCCAGATCTTTTGTGATCTTGGTCATCCTCCTGGATATGCTGTAGTTTTAGCGTTTTTTTAGTTTTGTCATCTTTGGAAAGATCTTTGATCTTACTGAGTCATCTAAAAGAAAAGACTGATGGCGTTGCTCTGCCTGTCTGTTAGAATGAGGCACAAAAGAGATCATAGAATTCTGGGATGAATGCTCAAAGAAGATAAGAAATATGACTGATTTTCATAAACTGTATGAAAATTAATACATGATGTGAGATAGTGAAAAGACATACATGAAGGCAGAGGATATGGGGTATGACTTGTGGTTCTGCAACTTCACATACATCTGTAAGTTGGGGGATATAGGCAGGCAAGAATAATACCTTACCTACCTAACTGGATTGTCAGAAAAATAAAATGTAAAATTGTTCATAAACTATAAAGTACTGTACCTATGTAGAATGGCTTCAGTGTTTCTTTGTGAACTCTAAAAATATACTATATTAAATTATTTGAAAGTGTAGACTTTTTTTTCTTTTGGCTTAATTGATCATTGCTGGTTTCTTCCTTATGAGTTTTTCTCTACCTCAATGAAAATATTGGGGTAACCTTAATAAATCTCATTATATGGAGGCTGTATTTAATAGTCTTTTTTCCAAACACTTTATTTTATTAGTGACTTCCATGTGATTGGGAGCTATTTACCATATCATTGGTAAGTGTTTAGGTTTCTGGGTAAAATTGCATCAATAATTGGAGAACAGTCAGAGGAAATGACTGTAGGTAAGATCATATTGACCGGAGAGCTAAGTGAAGTGAGGAGAAGTTTTGTGTTTACGATTTTGAAAAATTAACTTTGTCATGGACATAGCTAGTGAAAGATGATTTTAAAATAGAGCTCAAATTTTGGATTCATTTAGAATGAAGAGAGTTTTTTTGATTCAAAAATTTTGTAAATAGTGACAAAAAAAGGCATTCAGACCCACTGGTATGATTTTGGTATATTTCTTTCTACTTACTGCCTATATGGCACATTATCTTTTTACATTGTAATCATGGTGTATGTATAACTTGAAATGTTTTCCTTTGACATTATACCATTTTTCTTTGTTGTCACATTATCTTTAAATCATTTTATTTTAAAAACTTATTTAAAAATACATAAATATATGTTTGTTTGCAGTCAAACAATATAAAAATACATAGAATAAAAGATTTTATCACTTCTACCCACAAATTCCATTTTTGAAACCCATAAGTAACCCCTTTTAATATCTTCCCTTGCATGTGCATATGTGTGTATGGTTTTATTTTTTTACAGATAAGCAGGATCATACTACCTATTGTTTTTTCAACTTGCTTTTTCACTTAGTATGTTGGAGATCGTTCCATGCCAGTACATACAGATTTTCCTATAACCATTATTTAAAATGTGTGTGTAATATTCCAGGGAGCAAATATAATAATAGTGGCTAATTAAAGTAGTAGTTACAGAACACTCCCTGACTTCCAGGCATTGTGCCATGCTCTTTCACATGTATTTAATCTTTTATACAGTCCTGTGAGGAAGATGACAATTTCTTCACATTCCACAGATGAGGAAACTGAGTCTCAGATATTAAGTGCCTTGCCGAAGGTCTCACAACCTTTCATGTGCAAGAGTTGGCATTGGAATCCAGGTTTTTGCAACTTCAAAGCCTATGTTCTTTATTCCTCTGCATTCTGCTGCTAATTGTGTATTCTCCTGTTATGGATATGGAAGTTGTTTTTACTGTTTTGCTGTGATAAAGAATGCTGTGATGAACATATTCTTTCTATATTTTGGATTCCCCCATATAGGATTGCTGGTGAAAAGTTAACTTGTGTGTGTATGTGGGGGTCAGGGTTCCATTTATTGCAGAAAAGTAATGATGTCATTAAGAATAATTCCATTGACTAATACTTTCATAACTTTTTGAAGGTTTTACCACTTTTAATTGTGAACTTTGGGTACTTAAGGCCATGTTTTAAAATGCAAGTTCATCTGTTAACTGAAAGGTTAAGCTAATTAATAAGTAATTTCAAAGGTCCCTTCTGCCTTCCAGGTTTCTCTTACTCTGAAGTCCATAAAATGGAACAGTGGGTTTATTTCAGCTTAATAACTTCTATTCAGTTATTGTGTTCCAACACTGGTCATTTCTGGTTTTCAGATGCAAAAGTCACCTTTTTTTCATTCGCTAAAGCTCAGGTTATTGTATATCTTTTTTTTGTAGTGCAAAGTAGGATATGATTGGAAAATCGTCTATGTTACTTGCAAATGATTGTATATGATTTTATTTTATATGTGTAAAAATAGCTTTAGGGCTGAGTTATATGGCTTCAGTGTTAAGTAATTGTGAGGTATTTTAAGATACAGTATTACCAGAAATATTAGATGCTTACTCTTAGGCTTGGAAGGGATGTAGAGTAAATTGACCAGGTTACAGAGCTGGCTTATGTAAACAGGTTTTGATTCCCTGTCTGACCCCTTTACATAAAGAAAAGGCAGAGAGGTATGGTGGTTATATATGTTTTATTTTACTGAATGAAGTCAGTTCTTCAGTTCTGAGGAGTTAGCAGGTTGGTGGTCTGAAGTGCAGATTACGTGTCTCTGCTTTTCCTTTTTTAAAGAACCATTAGAAATAACCTTCTTTAAAATTATTTCATAGCGAGAATCCTTACATTTAACTTTTTATTAAGTCAGTTCTATAGGCAAAGCTAGGAGTTGCAGTAATTTTGGCTGGTTGCAAACGTTTATCTTTGAGGGCTAATTATGCACAAAACTACACTGTGGAAATAAAGATGAATTGGACGTGCTTTCTGTCCTCAGGAAGCATTTGGTCTAATGGTGGAGGTAAGGGAGATATTAGGTAACTTGATTTGGCGAGAGAAAGTGCCATTACTGCTGTAGGTAGAAAAATACATTCTGGAATCATTGTGTTACTGTTGATCAAGGAATAGTGCTGCTTTCCCTCATAATTTTGGTTCTGTATCTTTAGAGTAGTCCTAACTTAGTTTTATAAAGCCAGTAGACTAGAATTCTCAAGAAGGAGTTATATATCATTTCCTCTGATTACTGCAGTGTTTGAATGTATGAGAATGCTCATAATTGAGCTGTCTGGGGGTACAGCTACTCCCATGTTTTTTGGAAATCTGGAGATTGATCATACTGATTTTCAGAATTGATTATTGGTCATTAATAGTACAACTTACTAAGAAGTCCTGAGCAGAGTGAATTTTTGTAATGATACTATGTGGAAATTGAAAACAGAATGTTTCTGTTTTTCTGCTGTAGTGGTAAAAAAAAAAATCACCAAAATATGTCTTTATTTATGAGGTCTAGTTAAGATAATAGCATTATAATTTACAAATTTAGGGATAGAATAACAAATTATAAGTTTCATTCATAATTTTTTAATTCACAGCATAGCTTTAAATGTAACAAGTAAAATTTGAAAATCTTTTTGGTTAATTGTTGAAAGTTTTTGAAGTTGGAGGTAGGATAACTAGTTTTGTTTGTTTGTTTGTTTGTTTGTTTTTTCTGAGACTGAGTCTCACTCTGTTGCCCAGGCTGGAGTGTACTGGTGCGATCTTGGCTCACTGCAACCTCTGCCTCCCAGATTCAAGCCATTCTGCTGCCTCAGCCTCCCAAGTAGCTGGGACTACAGGCGTGCACCACCACACCCTGCTAATTTTTTTTGTACTTTTAGTAGAAACAGGGTTTCACCATTAATGGCCAGGCTGGTTTCAAACTCCTGACCTCAAATGATCTGCCCGCCTCGGCCTCCCAAAGTGTTGGGATTACAGACGTGAGCCACCGCTGCACCCAGGCAACTAGTTGTTTTAAATTTATAGAGTGTTGTATATTCAAGGGATTGTGTGCAGAAATTCTTGTGGTGATAACCCTTTTATTTATTTATTTATTTTGAGATGGGCTCTCACTCTATCACCCAGGCTGGAGTGCAGTGGCATGATCACAGCTTACTGCAGCCTCAACCTTCCAGGCTCAGGTGATCCCCAGCCTCAGCCTCCCAAGTAGCTGGGGCTACAGTCATGCCTCACCATGCCCAGCTAATTTTTTTGGGTATTTTTGTACAGACAGGGTTTCACCATATTGCCAAGGCTGGTCTCAAACTCCTAGACTCAAGCAATCTACCCGCCTCAGCCTCCCAAAGTGCTGGGATTACAAATGTGACACTGCACTGGCCTAACCTGTTTATTAATCGTACCTCACCTACATAGGACTCAACCATTATGCAACCTACCTCCGGAATATAACTGAAGACTAGGGAATAAGAGAAATAATTTTCAAAGTAAATGCATTTCTCCGAGTCCCAAAGGACTTTGTTCAGAGCCTATCTTTAATTCATAGGCAGTTCTAACAAACAGTATAATCTAATTTCTGAGCCCATAGCTGATCAGAAGTGGGTAGAAAGACTATCTTGGGAAATGCCCCCTGCAGCAGAAGGTAGTGACAGTTGCAAGGAAAGATACTTAAAATAAGCGTAAGAACACAGAGATATCTTCCCATAAACGGAAGTTACTGTCTCAGCCAAGTTGAGGAAAATTTCTTTCCCTTTCCATTACTGCTAATGGATATTGCCTACCCCTGGCCTTTCCTTTTATCCCCTCCTACTGTAGATACAGTTGCTGTCTGGGAGATAGATCTTCCCTCAGAAATCTCTTGAGTCTTAATCTCTCCTCAAATTAGTAAGGGTTCAGGTTGATGCCTGAGGTAGGAAGAAAGGAAGTGTGACCAGGAGGGGAGGTGAGGTGGCAGGGTATGGTTCCTACCCCTCTGGCCATGACATTTATCTTTATTAACAGCGTTACTAAACCTGATTGCTAAAATATGTATGTGGATTTTTAATTTGGGGGTAAAGTTAATTGTTGAATTTTTATTGTTAAAAATGTAACAGTTCATACTATGTAAAATAAAATGTGAAATCATACACTCCAACCCTTCTTCCCAGAGTAATCACTTTTAATAGCTATGGTCTATTTTATATATACAATTATATACTTAAAATATCTGGTACATATATAACAACAATAACAAGTTGGATTTTGCTGTGCACACTGACTTTTAACTTGTTTTAGGACATCTTTCCATGTGAGTGTGTATAAATTTATGAGTTGTGTTGATAGCCATATGAAATTGTATTTTCTGGATATATCATAATTTATTTAACCAATTTCTTTTTGATGCTCCCAAATTTTTGATTGCAAACAAATGATGCAGTGAACCCACGTTTATAAATGTCCCCATTTGTGCACATGTGCAAGTAAACCATAGAATAAGTTTGTGGGTGTGGAATTGTAGGGCAAGAGGGCATGTGTAGTCACATTATTTCCAAATTGTTTACTAAACAGCTGATTTACACTCCTTTGAGCAGCAAATGAGAGTGTCTGTTTCCACACTTCCTTGCCAACATATTGGTTATTTTCAGACTTCCTAGTCTTTTTGCCAATTTGATAGAAGAAAAAAAACCTCTGTAAATTTCATATTTTAAAATTATTAATGGAGTTGAGCATCTTTTCAGATTTTTATTGATGGTTTATATTGTTTCTGAGAATTGCCTATTCATGTGTTTTATTCATATATCTATATCTTTTATTGAATCATTGATTCATTTATAAATATAGATAATACGTAATTAAGAATAGGAATAATTTAAAACTTTATAATTTGTCAAAACTTCCATAGCTGCTTGTGGTTCTTAACTTAGTGATAAGCAAACTGAGTAATTGGGTTAGTTACCTGACTCCTGCTAACCACTGCTCATGCTAACCTGATGTGGATTCATAAGCTTTAAAACTGTTCTGTTTTGAGGAAAGAAAGTTAAATATTTTATTCATTGATTTGAGTAACAAATAGGAATTGAAACATGCTATTACCTCTTTTAAGACAGAAAGAACAATTTTGGTTTGAAGTGATTAAGTTCATTTAGTCAAATACTTGAGCCAGTTTGGCCCAAGGTACTGTGGTGATTTAAAGTGGAAAGTGGATTAAAAATGTGGCAGAAGAAACAAGTTTGGGAACAATGGATATTGGTTCCATTTTGGACACCTTGAGTCTGAAATGTCAGCAGAACATCCCTGTAAAAGGGTTGCAGAATTAGGGCTCAGTTGAAAAGTCTAGGCTAGAAACGTAGGCTCACAGGTTATCTGATAGAGATGATAGTTCAAGTCATAAGTGTAGTTCATGACACTTAGGAAGGAAAAAGAAAGCCTGGGGCAAAGACTTAGGCATACATCTATATAGATGGGTTTCCAAAGGGAGGAAGCGTTCCTCTGTTTACTGAAGAAGATACCACTATTCAAGATACCACTAGACCTAGAATAAGAATTATATAAAATGATAAAGTTCATTTCGCCTATGGAGGCTTATTGAGAAACACCTGTGTGAATAAATGAGCTAGTGCTAAAGTAATGTCACTTCTTTCCCTAACCCCTGCAGGCATGTCATGGCCCTGGGTTAGAACAGTAGGCAGGGAGAGCAAAGGCATACAGAGCCAATTTTGAACAATTCTTTAAGTGACATATATCATAACCACCCACTCTACTGGGCTGAAATGAACAAAGAATGACTTAATATGTGTCCCTGCTTAGAACAAAGCCTGGCTTATTCATGGAATGTAAACTGTTATTATTGTCGTTTTTATTATTGTATACTAGATGGAGAGGCTAGCTAAAAATACATGAAAATTAGATAACATGATTTGGTTTTTGTTTTTATTTGATGGCTGTGTGTAAATAGATTGTTAAATGAGTGAGCTTATGTTGAAGAGGATAAGGATTTGTTTAGTTTGGGATATTCAGCTAAGTTTCTTAAGACTTGAGCTGATTTTGAAGCCGTAAGTAGGGTTTTTAGATGCGCAGCCTTTTTTGTTTGTTTGTTTGTTTGTTTGTTTGTTTTTTGGCCAGGAGGGTAAAATACAGAGCATTATGAGGCAAAGTAAAGGCAAAAGCAACAGAAATGTTCCGTAAGCTGTTTCTTGTAAGGTTCATTTTTATTCTGGAATTAATAATTTGTCATATAGCAGAGGGGTGATGATGATGATGAAATCATAGCCAGATAATCTGTCATGGTAGGAAGGAGGGTGGAGATAGTGCATGTTCCAATTTAATGAAAATTAACTTTATTATTACGTATTTGCTTTTTAAGACTTCATTTATTTCCTGTTAGATGTTGTGGGCATCTTTTATGAATCAGCGATTTCTCTGGAGTTTGTTCAAAGCCCGAGAAGTAAGCTTCAGGATTGTGTGTATTAGGAAGTTCTAAGGAGTTAGCGTTTGCCACTTTCTGAAGAATACTTTAAAAAAATTCTGTAAGCTTTGTGGAAGAGCGAATTTATTTCTTCTTCAGAGTAGTTACAGTTAAGTAGAGGCATTTCTGTTTCAGAGTCAGCCTTGTTAGTAATTGAAATTTTGGGGTAAGAAATGTAGACAACATTGTGATACTTGGCAGTTCCACTTTGTTCACACTTAAACTCTGGGATTGCAGTGTGATGAGATGCTCATACTAAGGCATTCTGGAGCTGAGCTCAGCTGGTAGAAGTTCATATCTCATGTTTTGTGCTCATATGAATGGCAGGTAGAATGGCTTGTTCTATTTAAATTAGTTCATATTCTCTCTCTCTTTGTCTCTCTCATTCTCATAGTTGAATTGTTTTAACTTAAATGTGTGTATGATATGACTTCTCTGTACTTTATGTACTTTTATTAAAAATTAATTAATTTAGAGACATAGTCTCACTCTGTTGCCTAGGCTGGAGTGCAGTGGTGTGGTCTGAGCTCACTGTAATCTCTGCCTCTTGGGCTCAAGTGATCCTCCTGCCTCAGCCTCCCAAGTAGCTGGGACTACAGGTGCACACCACCATGCCCAGCTAGTTTCTTAATTTTTTTTTTAGAAACAAGATCTTACTATATTGTCCAGGCTTGTTTTGAACTCCTGGGCTCAAGTAATTCTCCTGCCTTGGCCCCCCAAAGTGCTGGGATTACAGATGTGAGCCACTACACTTGGCCCTGTAGTCATATATTTATGTTATGTTTGTAGCACGTGGTTAGGTTTTGTTTTCTTTTGCCTGACAGTTTTTGTCTTCTTACTAAATCATGTCTATTTAATGTAATAGTTCATATATTTGGCTTTAAACCTCCCATTTTATTATTTACTTCTGCTTGCACTGCTTATTCTGTATTCCCCTTTCTCTCTTTTCCTGCCTTCCTTGGATTATTTTAAGTTACTCTGTATTTCCCTCTCTTTTAGCTTGCCAGTTATAATTTCTTTCACTATTCATTTAGTGTTTCCTAAATGCATCTTTAACTTGTTATTTGTATGATTTCATGGACAGTGCAAGGCCTCTATAACACCTGAATTCCATTTGTCCTTCTCTTTTGTTTTAATGTTATTATGTTATTGTTGTGTATTTTAGTTCTCTGTATGTTTAAGATCCATCAGATGTTATTTCATACTCACTATTCATTTAGTTTTAGTTATTTAAATTCATTAATTTATTCATTTAGATTTACCCACGTATTTCGTTTGTGAGTTGCTCTTCATTTTTTTTTTTTCTGCATCTCTGATCTTTCATCTGGGATCATTTCTTTCTGCCTGGAGAATATAATTTAGCATTTAGTTAGGTTTGTTGGAGATGAATTTTCTCAGCTTTTGTCTGTCTGAAAACATTTGTATTTCACCTTCATTTTTAGATTTTTGTGGAGAGGGTGCTGGATGTAGAATTCTAGGTAAACAGTGTGTTTTTTCAACACTTTACATATGTTGTTCCATGTCCACTGAACTCTATCTTTTCTAGTAAGAAGTCAACTGTCTTATTTTTCTTCTTTTGTGAGTAATGTGCTTACCTCCCGTCTTTGGCCACTTTTAAGATTTGTTCTTTAGTTATGGTTGTCAGAAATGTCACTATGATGTGCCTAGTTATGGTTTTCTTTGTATTTATCCCGCTTATTGAGCTTGTTGTATGTGTGGGCTGATCACTTTCATCACTTTTGGAGAGTTCTTGGCTTGGCTGTTAATCCCTTCAAATATTTTTTTCTGAATTAAATTCCATTAGAATTTAGTTCACTTAGGCTCCCTTACATCCTTATCTCTCTGATGGGTTCAGAAAAACTATAGATTTGTAGCTTGTCTGCCCTGTTTTGGTTGTTAGGAAAACAGTAATAGTCCTGATAACTTTACATTCTGATTAGAGGCAGCACTCTCTATATTGAATTCTTAATTTCATTTTATTGACCTTTTCAGTTCTGTAATTTCTTTTTATTTCTTTCTTTCTTTTCTTTTTTTTTTTTTTGAGACGGAGTCTTGCTCTGTCACCCAGGCTGGAGTGCAGTGGCATGATCTTGGCTCACTGCAGGTTCATGCCATTCTCCTGTCTCAGCATCCCAAGTAGCTGGGACTACAGGCGCCTGCCACCATGCCCGGCTAATTTTCTTATTTTTTGTACGTTTAGTAGTGACGGGGTTTCATCGTGTTAGCCAGGATGGTCTCCTGACCTCGTGATCCACCCACCTCGGCCTCCCAAAGTGCTGGGATTACAGGCTTGAGCCACCGCACCTGGCCTCTTTTTTTTTTTTTTTTTTTTTTAAATAGTTTGCAGGTCTCTGCTGAAGTTCTCCATCTTGTGTTTTTATTCCTTTAACCCACTCCAGCATGTGTGTTCCCGTAGGAGTTTTGCTTTTATGTCTGTTTTATCACCTGATTTGGGAGGGTTTCTTTTCATGTTCTTAGTTGTGATTGAATGACAGGTGTTGTGTATGAAAAATTATCGAGATAATCTGGATGATACTGTCTTCTCAGGATTTACCTTTACTTCTGGTAGGTGGTTATGCTGGAGGTACTAACAGTCTCCTACCACATTACATAGGGATTGAGGTGATTTAAAATTAGGCTTTAGACTCTATGAGTTGAAATAGTTTAGGTATACCTTTAGTTCTTAGATGTAGCCCTTTGAGGCTCTGATCCACAGTTTAAGGGGTTTACCCTCCCTCTTGGCAGGCCCTCACTCCAGTTTTTGTCCCCTTAGGGCTTGGGTCTGTCGAAAGCTATGCTCATCTCAGCCTCTTCAGCAGTAGCCTTTAGAATCTGCCGATAGCTCTAGGCCAAAAGGAGCCCCACATACCAGATTTGTCCCTTTGGCTTTTCTTTCTTTTTGCATCTTGGTTCCTCAATTCCTCATTGCCTTGATTGCCTTTACACAGATATTTTGTGTTTTGTCTAGTTTCTTTAGTTATTCTCAGCGGGAGAATTGGTCTAAACCATCTACTCTATCATTCCTGAAAGCTGAATTCTCTCAATGCCTCTTTCATCATTTCTGTTATTTGTGGAAGTTTGTCTGGTTTTTCATCACATGTAGTCTGCTGTTTGGTGTCCCATTTGTATTTCTTTGGAAAATTATTGAGTAGCCAAAAGCAATCCTCCTGATTTCAGATTGTTCTGTTTTCATATACACAGTATTCTTTTAAGTTTCTTTAGGATTTCTGTAATTGGGATTTCTGCAGTTGGGAATTCTAATGATATTCTAAAATTTGTTTCTCTCTCTCTGTAAATTTTCCGGGGAAATTTTTGCTCCAGTTGATAGAACAATCATTCTTTTAGCTTCTAGGTCTTTTCAAATGTCTGTTTGTGGTGACCATGATGATATGATGGTGTCTATATATATTCAGTATTGCTGGTTGACATGGATGCTTTTCTTTCTTTTTTTTTTTTTTTGAGACAGAGTCTCGCTGTGTTGCCCAGGCTGGAGTGCAGTGGCAATATCTTGGCTCACTGCAAACTCTGCCTCCCGGGTTCACGCCTTTCTCCTGCCTCAGCCTCCTGAGTAGCTGGGACTGCAGGCGCCTGCCACCACGCCCAGCTAATTTTTTTTTTTTTTTTTTGAGACAGAGTCTCGCTCTGTCCCCCAGGCTGGAGTGCAGTGGTGCCATCTCAGCTCACTGCAAGCTCCGCCTCCCAGGTTCACGCCATTCTCCTGCCTCAGCCTCCCAAGTAGCTGGGACTACAGGCGCCCGCCACCATGCCCGGCTAATTTTTTGTATTTTTAGTAGAGACGGGGTTTCACTGTGTTAGCTAGGATGGTCTCGATCTCCTGACCTCGTGATCCACCTGTTTCGGCCTCCCAAAGTGCTGGGATTACAGGTGTGAGCCACCACACTGGGCCCTGAAATGGATGATTTTCAAGCTTGTGTGGGTTCCTGTTCTAATATTTCAGGTATAGATGAAAGAAGAGAAAGTTTTAGATTTGCAACCATTTAACAGTTTGATTGACATTCCTAGATTATTGGTTTAACAGAATGATCTACATTCCTATATCATTAGTTTGGTGGTTTGCAGGGAGTAGGGGCAAGATATAGCCAGATAGCTATGAGACAGGGAGGTTTACTGCTAACGCATTGTTTGCAATGCTGAGATTCATCAGTTGTGGAGCTAGCTGTGGCAGCCTCCTGTATTTTTGTTTTTGTCCCCCTACCCCCCCCCCTTTTTTTTTGAGACAGTGTCTCACTGCACCCAGGCTGGAGTGCATTGGTGGGTTCTCGGCTCACTGCAACCTCTGCCTCTTGGGTTCAAGTGATTCTAGTGCCCAATAGCTGGGATTACAGGTGTGCACAACCACACCTGGCTAATTTTTGTATTTTTAGTAGAGATGGGGTTTTGCCATGTTGGCCAGGTTGGTCTTCAACTCCTGACCTCAAGTCATCCACGTGCCTTGGCCTCGCAAAGTACTGGGATTATAGGTGTGAGCCACTGCACCTGGTGTGTTTCTGTCCCTCATCTCTAATCCTCAACATGAGTGCTGAACCAGATGCTTTGCCAGCCTTTTTTCTTGGAGGTATCATGGGTCCGTCCACATATGCTTGTCGCTATTCTGTGATTTCCAGTGGAGGTACAGATTTTCCCCCTTGGTGTTTTTATTTATTAATTTTTTAAAAATTTGTTCAGTTATTTTAGTGGATATTAAGATAAGGTGTTGGTGGGCATTGGTTAAATGCATGAGCTTAGTTTTGCCATCTTGGACTGAGAATCTACACTGGGTATTTTGTTGTTGTTCTCATTTGGTTTAGTTTGATGTCTGATCCAATTAAAAAGAATAGTGTTTTTTTTTAACTTTTATGTACATTTAGATTGAAATTCTGCAATCACTGAAGGACTGTGCTAGGCTAGTTAGCTCCTGACTGATGTAAAACCTTTGATAGAGTGGGGCTTTTTTTTTTTTTTTGGAGACAGGGTCTCACTCTCACCTAGGCTGGAGTGCAATGGGGTAATCACAGGTTACTGCAGCCTCGACCTCTTGGGTTCAAATGATCCTCCCCCCTTCAGCCTCCCAAGTAGCTGGGACTACAGTCATGCGTCACCATGGGCTAATTTTTGTATTTTTTTTTTTTTTTTTTGTAGAGACAGGGTTTTGCTATGTTGCCCAGCTGGTCTTAAACTCCTGGGCTTAAGCGATCCTCCCTTCTTGGCCTCCCAAAGTGCTGGGATTATAGGCATGAGCCACTGCGCACAGCCGAGTAGGGGCATTTTTTATTCAACAGACATTTTCATGATTGCCAGCTGCGTTTTGGGGCAGTGCCAGATTTTGGGAGCACAGATGTCAGCACGTTCTTTGATCTTATATACCTGTTATTGAGGCAGAGATACCTTTCTCTGAGGCCAAGAGACTTTTTTTTTTTAAAGAGAGAGAAACAGTGTTTGATCAAAGTTTTTGTTTTTTAACCCATTAGTTAGATTGTTGAATATCAATTAATATATAAACATTGATAATAGTTTTTATATCTATAGAAAATATTCCAGTTAAAATCTTATCTATAATTTCAGTTGAATTACTCATTTTTATAGTAAATTTCTGTTTATTCTCTGACTAGATGATTATATCAATTAAGGGTTTATGGTTTATATATTTTTATATATATACACATACGTATATATATACGCACACACGCACATATAATAGATATAATTTACCCATGTTACACATATTTAGAAAGTAGGATAGTATGGATTTTATGGCATTTTTATTTTTTAATTTGTTAAATAAGGAATTCAGAGTTTAGTAAGGTAGGTAGGACATGAGACAGAAAAGTAGAGGCATTATATATTCATTTTTACTTAAAGGAAGAAGAGTTAGCAGTCTGCTTCCACCTTAAAGCTAGAGTTTGCTAGTTGGGAAATAATGCTTTGGAAGTGGTTTGACAGATTGAGTATAGTATAAGGAATTGGGAAAAAGCAGGCAACTGTGGCCAAAAAGTAGATTGGAAAGGAAAATGGCTAGCTTCAATATGTTGGCATGGGGAAAACAAGGTTATATCTGTTAGAGGCATAAAATACTCTGTACAGAGAGTTGGTTGTCTTCATTTTATATCCAACAAGAATAGTACAATTTAGGGAAAGTTATTAAATTGAACCTTTCAGACTAATGCTTTGCCATGATGTAGGTTAATTTCCCTATATGTCGTTCATCCTTGCTCAAATATGTATTTTATTTGTAATATTATAAAGTTGATATAAAAAATACACTTGATGCCAGATTTTCAGTTTTTAATACAGTGGCTTTCACACTTGTTCAGGTGTTAGAACATCTGGAAGTAGTGGTATACTTTGAGAGATATCATGAACTATATTTTAATTACATGAAACAAATGAAGTGTAATTTTACTAGCTGTAGATATAACTCATGTGAGTGTAACTCAACTCGGTAGAAATATTTAAGGAGCATTTGTTATGTATCATAAATGCATAATTTCATGATGAAAGTGAATCATGGAAGAGCTAGAAGAAAATAGAAAAGAGGTTTTTAAAAAGCCTTATCAATAGTGTATACAGTAGTCCCCCCTTATCCATGGGAGATACATTCCAAGATCCTAGTATACGCCTTGAAACCATGGATAGTATCAAATCTATATACCAGTTTTTTTCCCTGTACATACATATGGCAAAGTTTAATTTATAAATTAGGTACAGTAAGATATTAATAATAACTAGAACAGTTATGACATATTGTCATAAAAGTTAAGTGAATGTTCTGTCTCTCTGTCTCACAGATTATCTAAATATTTTCATATCATGGTTGACTATGGGTAACTGAAACTGTAGAAAGTGAAACCGTGGAAAGCAAAACTGTGGATAAGGAGGGACTGCTGTAATATCTTTTAAGATTATATCTTCAGTAGGGGCTGGTTGCCTTAGCCATTGGCAGCATGCTGAAGTGATTCTTTTTAAAAATATTTTTAGAGTCAGGATCTCACTCTGTAACCCAGGCTGGAGTGCAGTGGCATGATCATAGCTAACGGTAGCCTTCAACTCCTGGGCTCAAGCCTCCTGAGTAGCTTGGACTACAGGTGGGTGCTACCACACCTGGCTAATTTTAAAAATTTGTATAGAGACAGAGTCTTGCTATGTTGCCCAGGCTGGTCTGGAACTCCTGGCCTCAAGAGATCTTCCTGCCTTGGCCTCCCAAAGTGCAGGCATGAACCATCGTGCCTGGCCCTAAGCGATTCTTTATGTGTAGTTACTACTTTCAGGGCATCATTACACATCTACTGAGAGAAAATTTGTGGTTCTGGGGCCTGGAAATCTGAATTTTGAGAAGCATCTGATGGATTTTGTATTCATAAAGTTTGAGAAACATTTTCTAAGTGCTGATTGAAAAGAACAGGATATTGCTTCAGAATTTAAAAGAAACAGTGTTTGAGAATGAACTCCTCCTCCAGGGAAAAATGTAATTTATGTATGATGGGGTAGTTGCTATTTATTCACTTAGATGTTTTTTGTTTGTTTGTTTGTTTGTTTTTTTGAGACAGAGTCTCACTCCATCACCCAGGCTGGAGTGCAGTGCTGCCATCACAGCTTACTGCAGCCTTGACCTTGTGGGCTGAGTTGATTGTCCCATCTCAGCCTCTCAATGGCTGGGACTACCATGCTTGGCTAATTTTTTGTATTTATTTGTAGAGACAGGGTTTTGCCATGTTGCCCAGGCTGGGCTCAAACTTCTAGGCTCAAATGATCGGCCCACCGTGGCTTCCCAGATTGCTGGGATTACAGGTGTAAGCCACCACACCTGGCCCACTTTTGTTTTAAGAAATGTCTTTATAACTGAATATTGAAAACAATTGCCGTTCTCTGAAAGTCTTTTAGTTGTTTTTCCATAGAAATGATCATACTATATCTGATGGCTTTTAATTTAATTTTGTTTGTTTGTTTGTTTGTTTGTTTTTTGAGATGGAGTTTCACTCTTGTCACCCAGGCTGAAGTGCAATGGGCCGATCTTGGCCCACTGCAACCTCCGCCTCCCAGGTTCAAGCGATTCTCCTGCCTCAGCCTCCTGAGTAGTTGGGATTACAGGCATGTGCCACTACACTCAGCTAATTTTTGTATTTTTAGTAGAGACAGGGTTTCACCATTTTGAACAGGCTGGTCTTGAACTCCTGACCTCAGGTGATCTGCCTGCCTCGGCTTCCCAAAGTGCTGGGATTACAGGTGTGAGCCACCGTGCCCAGCCAGCTTTTAATTTTTTTTTTTTAACTGTGAAATGTCATTAGAATTTGGATTGTATTTCATTAATGTAATATCTGGAAGATTCAAAGTTATAATTTTTAAAAGTTTTAATTTTGCTTTATTAACTGACTCAACTGTTGGACGGAAGCAGGAACATAAATGAAAAGGTCATCTGAAAGTCTCATGTATACAAGCTTTTTCTAACTCTCCAAAACAAGGTGAATTTCAGACAAATTCAGTAAACCTTTATTGAGTACATGTTGCATGCTCTATGTTGGGACCATGAGGATGATTAAAACTTACATCCTGTCCTGGTAAAGTTCACACTTGTGGGAATGAGATAGGGTAGGAATACATGTAAACAAGCGATTTGTGCTTTGCCTAAATTTAATGAATTTAAAAGGTTATTAAATAAAGTGACCATCATAATACATGAAGAAAAAGTGTGTGTGTGCTTGCGTGCATGGAGGTGGGGTTGTGGTGGTGATGGTCATGTTTCATACTTAGGCCCGTTGTAGTAGCCTAGGTAGTTTACAGAGGTAAATTGGATTAGCATGATGGCAGTGTAGAGAAGTACATGGAATAGAAAGATATTTAGATGATAAAGTAGAATTTGGTGATGGATTGGATATGGTGGTGAGGGAGAGGGACATGTCAAAGATGATTCCTAAGGTTCTTTAGGATTTGCATAGCAGGATGATGGGTGCTGATGTCTTTTACGGAGAAAGAACTAAGTTTGGGGGACAAGAAGAACATGCGTTTAATTTTGGACATTATGAATTTGATACACCTTTGTGATATCCAGGGGCAGCATTACAGTCTGGAGTGTGATGGAAGACATGGGCTGTAGATTTGTGAGTCATATGCTTAGAATGTGGTTGAATTGAGAAAGATGGGTTATTATAAGACAGAGAAGTGAGCGGAGAAGTAGGAGGAAAACTAGGAGAAGGTTGTATCACAGGAACCAAGGAGGAGAGTATCTGATTCTGCTGGCAGAATTAAGTATGCTGATGATTGGAGAGTCTTTTGCATTTACCTGTCAGTCACTGTTGACCTTACTGACAGCTGGAGATGGAATTTGGAAGCAGGTTGAGGGACAAGTGGGAAGGGAGGAAATGAAGACTGAAAAGTTCCAGAAATTTAGCCATGATGGGGATGACTGAATGTAGTGGTTGAGGTCTCATGAGTTGGGTGTGTGTGTGTGTCTGTTTAATGGATGAGATTCTGGAGCGTATTTAAAAATGGAAGGCTCTATTTGAGAGGGATAGTTTAAGTATGCAAGGAAAATGGGATAACTGACAGTGTAAGTTTCCTGGGAAGGTTGGGAGAACACGGGGTTTTGAGCACAAGTAGAAAGATTTGCATTCGACCCATTGTAGGAGAGAGAACTCTCCTTTAACGAGAGGGAAGGAACATAAGAACAGGTGAATATTATTGTTAATGAGGCAGTGAGGCCTTTTGCTGTACGTGATAAGCAGGAAATGGTTTTCAGGAGTGTTGAGGAATTGGTTGACCAGAGAGGTAGGATTACTATTACCAGAACTAATATGAGAATGTACCATACTAGGAGATTTAACAGGATTGTAAATTATATGGGAATAGTATTGTTTTCAGTGCCTTTTCCCCCTCATCTGCCAGGCCTCAGTGAGCCCATTGGAGATTGTAGATTCCCAGTAAGTATTTACCCTACTCTAGAATCTTAAATGAAAAATGCATAAACAGTAGCTACTCTTGTCTGACTTGAATTTTGTGGACTAATGATAGAATTAATAAGTGAAGGAGGTCTCTTACTATAACAGTGTTTAATTCACCATTTCAACAAATCTCTCCCTGCAGCCTACTAAGCTTTTTCTTTAATTAAGTACCTGATTTACACAGCAGATTTTACTCATTTGAGGACTCAAGTCATGTCTAAACAGATAAAGGTATCAGCTCAGGCATAGTTCAGGTACCTTGTAAATGCAATCAGAGTTGTTCTGCAGGGTAATTCAGTTTTAGACATCCATTTCTAAAAACGGGTTCTGTCTGAAAATGGAGGCCTTAATAACCAATTTCTCGTTATTCAGAGGCCAGTTATCTAGTTTATTTATCAAGATTAGGCAGTCACCTTGTTTTTCACTCCTTTCTAATCTCTCTGACTGTTTTGTTGTTTTAAACTCATGAGTAAGATAAGGAGAAGAAAAACAGAGAATGTACATAAATTAATGGCTAAAATGAAGTGTTCCTTTGCATGTTTCTTTTTCTTATGCTTTATTTCTGTGACTCATACGGAGCTGTTAGAAGTGACTTCATATAATATTATACAGTGTAATAAAATGGGTTTTCGATGTGTGAGGATACCCTCATGTTATTTAGATTATGGACACAATTAACAATTCCAGACAGAATTATTTTCTCATGTTTGAAGTAGTATAGGCACATGGCCCTTTATGGGAGGGGGGAAGCTCTTCTCTGTGTGCCCACTTTTCACATCCCTCTCCAGCATGACTCTCCCCTTTCTGTCAGTCTTACCCCAGGAGTCCCTGGCCTCCTTCCTCTCCTTGACACTGTTTGCTTTGCAAGCATATGAAATACTGGCACCCTATGACCAGGGTAGACTACAACCAGGGTTGGGGTGCAGGAGCCAGATGGAGAAATTCAAATTATGATCATGAGAACATGTTCCTCTAGGTAGTGGCCATACTTTTATCTCTATATCCTTAGGACGTAACACAGTGCCTGGCATATAATGTGTCTCCAGAAATATTTTGTTTTTGAATTAAAGACTATTTCAAAATTACAGAGTCATAGGAGGAATCATTTAATTTATTTTTCTGCTTTTATAGGTGAAAAAAGTGAGGCTTAGATTCATAGCACCTATTTAAGTTCCTCTGACATGACCAGTTATGCTTTAGACCATACAAAGAAGTAAGTGAATATGATATACAATTCCAGCCTTCTAGAAGTCCAAAGTTAAATAGAACGTCCAGCAGCCTTTTATCTAGCAGGGATTTTTGTGGGGGCGGGAAAGGGACAGAGGGAAGGATGTGATGGTGGTGCTTTGTTTTGGTTGTGGTGCCTGTGTTGCTTGATACTGTGTTATGGCAGGTACAGAGTTGCATAATATAGCTTTTGCCCTTAAGGAACTTGTCTAATGTAACCTGAGACAACATATTAAGAATCAGTGTGTCTCAAAGCAGTATATGATTAAATGCCAGATGAGTGGTGCACTTTTATGTATGCCAACTTTATAAAATGAAAAAATGCTAATGATCCATCACGAGGCAGACATGCACTTTCAGTTGCTATTCTGAAAGTGGAAACAGATTGGACTTGGGGGAACTCTGCATCTAGAAGTACAAGTTGATGATTATTGTCCATTTGATAGAGACACTGGAAGGGTGTCAGTGTAAACACTGGCCATGTGAAGATTGAGCCTGTTGATGGTTTCTTTTGTATCATAGGATGCCACGTCACCAACTAGGGAATTCTGCCCAATCAGTTGAGCCAAATAGTGCTGTCCTATTGTAAAATTGTTTAATCTGTGTGCTTGTGTGTGTGCTTGTCAGAATTTGTGAATCATAGAATTGTTTTAACTGGAAGAAGACCCCCAAGATCATCTGCTTCAACCCCTTCCTTCCTCTCTTTTCCAGAGAGGTTGCACTTTACTTGAGCTGTGACTAGGATTATGCCACATTCTTTTGTAAGTTGTAACCTATTTTTGTCTGTTTTGAATTTCCTTTTTTTGCTAAGCTTTAGCACAAAGTTCACCAGGTTTTGAATGAATGTCTCATATTTGCAATAATTTAGGGAACAGTTGAGCATGGAAGGAGAGAATAGAAATATGGGGAGGGAGATCGTGAAATGATGTTTCCAGTGGAATTAATAGAAGTACAAAGGACCAAGAATTAAGGTGCGGCTCAGATCTCCCTTTTGTCTGCTTTTGGTTTGTGATGGTATAACATTGCCTGCAAACAGCCACGATGAATATTTTCATTTTTATTAATAGCAATATGGGGGCATGAATAGATTCTGTGATATTTTTAGATACGCAGAGACTGTGAAGAAAATGACATTTAGTATATAATTTTTACCCTGCTCTTAAGGTGTTTGTAATCTAGTTGAGAGGTCCTACCTTCAAAAGGTTTACGATCTGATTGGAGACTGAAGGACCTAAAGAAGTTAAGTAACAATGTCATATCTCTGTCCTTTCTGCTAAATGAATGCTACTTACTATTTTTCCAGTGCCTAGAAGAGTGCCAGGCCCATAGTTGATTTTCAGTAAGTATTGGTTGTATAGATAAATAGAAGGTACTGACAGTAAGCATGAGAGGACCTCTGAGTGGTGTGGCATTTGGAGAAGGCCTGGGATCTTGTACAGTGCAAAGCTTAAGTAACTTCATTCTAAGTTTGTATTTCCAACTCCCCCAACCTCAGCATGTTCTCCCCACCCACCTCCTCACACCCCAAAGCAGTCCCTGTCTTTTGTTAACTGATTTTTTTCTTTGGAAGCAAGCCTGATCTTTCTCACATTTATTTTGCTACTGCTCAGGCTACCTTCTTTTCTTATCTCTACCTTTCCTCTTTCTCACAACATTGCTGTTCCTCTTCAAGGATTTAGAAGGATCATGTTTTGGTTTATAAGACAACTGTGTTTTCTTAGGTCCTTCTTCTCTCCAGGGATTATTGTAGGAGGTAAGGCACTTTCTGTGGAAGAACTGAGTTATCAGAAAAAGTTCAGAAACATATTCTATGATTATTTAGAGGAAAACTGTAGGATAGTGATATCTTATAATAACATAGCAATTTTTTTAAATTAATTAATTTATTTATTTTGAGACAGAGTCTCTCTCTCTGGCACAGGCTGGAGTGTAGTGACATGATCTCAGCTCCCCAGAACCTCTGCCTCTCAGGTTCTAGTGATTCTCCTGCCTCAGCCTCCCGAGTAGCTGGGATTACAGGTGCCCGCCACCACGCCTGGCTAATTTTTGTATTTCTAGTAGAGATGGGGTTTTGCCATGTTGGCCAGGCTGGTCTTGAACTCCTGACCTCAGGTGATCCACTCACCTCGGCCTCCCAAAGTGCTGGGATAACAGGCATGAGCCACCGTTTTCAGGTTGTCATAACTACATTCTAATTGACTGCATATTTTTAAACACAAATTAAACTAGTTATGTTCTCCACCCTACTCAGTTTTGGCAGTATAAAGGCCTGTTTCACAGAGAAGAACACATAAACAAGTAAGTACAAGGAAGCTTGTGTGAATGAAGTTCTGCTGTACAGCTCAGTGACTTTCTCTGATTTAAGATGTAGCTCTTGGCAATTTCAAATAGTTTGTGTTCTCTGAAGGAGAAGTCCAGTCTATTTAACTGTGTTTAGCAAAAACTAATTATGATTCTCTGATGGGAAATAGATTCTCAGACTCATTTATTCATTCAACAAGCATTTATTGAGCAGCTATGTATGAGGCACTGTGCTAGGTAACGGGAGAAATAAGTTACCAGTCTAACAAATGGCATATCATACGTAAAAATAATACTGCTGAGGAGAAGGTGATATATGCTGTAAAAGGGGTGCAGAGTGCTTTGGGTTTTCTAAAAATGAGAAGGTTACTTCCATGAAGCAACTCAGTGTAAGCTTTATGGGATGATAGAATTTGATAGATCTTGAAGGCTGGGTACATGGTTCCTCTGTCCATTGCGCAGGATGTTGGCCCTGGCTTAGCAGTGGAGACAGACCTATGGCGATGGGAAGCGGGAGAGGAAGTATAATGAGCAAACATCCAGAAGTGGGAAAGCATTGGTGATATGGGCAACAGAAAGTAATTTACTTGGAGGTTTAGGGTGGTGATGTGAAGTGGCACAAGAAAGGGATAGAAAAGAAGCGTCCTTGATCTGACAGTGGTGTATACTGTGAATTGGAAGAGTGGGTTCAGTCTAGGCTGTTTACCCAAGTTGGTGTTTCATGGACCATTGTTCTTCTAATCTAGTAGTTTAATAGTTTTATATTAGGGGAGGGGAAAGTGTTCCCTGTTCAAGTAAGCTAGAGAATCCCTGCAGGAGAAGCAGGGAGAAGGATATTGACAATGTAGAATGCTTTCTGTGATATACTGTATTCAGTTGTGTTGCCGTATTAAACACAGTGGATGTTTGAATGTTCTGTAGATTTTTATCACCTGAAATTTGTTGGTTTTCATGCTGATGTCTTCAAGGATGATTCAGGAGGAGCAGTATAGGTGGCTGGTCTAGTTTCATTTCCCAGCCCCAGTCCACAAAGGGCTCTGTTTATCTAAAACAATGGCAGTGTTTCCTACCGTCCTGCTAAATAAGAGGTCTAACACACAGTAAAGTGTTCTTAAAAGATTTTAGGGACACTGAGGTGTAGGGTGTGGCACGGGCAACCGTTGGTTGCACAGATACAGTAGATGCTCTATGTTTCTATTGAGTTAAGATACAGTTAGCTGTATTTTCCTTGTATCTTTCTGCAGATCTCTTCCTTCATGCCTCCTCTAGAAACACTAGCAGCGCTGGGTGTTTCTAAGGTCTTGGGGACCTTAGGCAAGCTGGTTAACCTCTCTGTGCTTTAGTTTTCTCATGTGTAAAGCACTGTGTGCTGGAGATTTTTAAAAAGTGTGTTGATATAGTAAGTCATTTAATCTGTGGTTATATACCTAGTAAATGACAAGCAGGAATTTGAACTCAGGCCAGGCTCTTAACCAGCTTGCTGCATTACGAAATACTAAACAGTGTGGTTTTCCCTCCTGGAATTCCCTTTCTTTCTAAGTGCATTATCTCTTATACCCTTTGTTTAGTCAGACTACTTCCTCTATTTCAAAGAGAAAGGAAAGAAGCTCTTTTTTAATTGTTCAGAGTTGTGTATGGCAAAGAGAATGCCCAAATAGATTTTGTTTTGGAATCTTATTGTTACTGGTTGTTTACTGCCCCACATCCTTAGCTCCAAAGAGCAGAGAGGATTTACTGTGAAGTTTGGCATGTATTGTAGGCTATTATGCCATGTAATAGGCCCAAAATTGTGGCCCTAGGAATACAAATTATGTTAAGACATTTAAGGCAATTTCTAGAAATCTTTTTCCCTTGAAAAGAGTACCAATAATTTTTCTCGCTAATGGCCAAAATTACTCAAATCTTACTTTTGGACTTTTAAAATATATTTTTACTGCGTTATAGTTGAAATGTAGGTATGGTTGAAACGTAAATCTAGATCTTAAGTGTACTATTCAATCAATTTTGCTGTTGGTACTATTCAATCAAATAGGCCAGTGGGTTTTCTTTGTATTTAATCAATTAGTATGGGAAAATATTTTTATTTTAAATAAATGTCTCTCTTTATTTTTTGTGTATTTCTAAATTCATATGTATTTTCAACTCATTTTTTCACTCGGATACATAGTTTAACAACAGCCTATTGGAAGTACTCTTTTATATGAGTTTCTGCTATACTTGAATAGTTTCCCTTCAGAAATGAACTGTTTGTGTTGGAGCTACATAGAGTGAATAAATTTCCTGGGCGGAAACGATAATAAAATATTCAGGAAGTTATTAGGAAATGAGAACTTGTGTTCTTGTTCAGTCAGATAAGCTTCTGAGACCTTTGCATATATCAAAGCAGATTGTATTAGAGGAAGGAATGAGAGATTTGGCAACTTTCTTCTAATAGTGATAGGGACCTTGGTCAATAGAATGATGGAATATATGATGTATAAATGAAAGAAAAATTCTCAAAGCAAAGTTGTTTGAGAATTGTTTTTTCTCTCTCTTTTTGTTTGTCAGGGAAGAAAAGTGAGAGCTTTCTGAAGTTAGGTTATGTAAATAACCCAGTAGGGAAAACTGTTCCTGGGGGAGACCTACAAATAATTGATGGCAATAAGCTTCAGGAGTATGAAAGAAGTGGATGAGTATGCCTTTCCCCCATTGATTCCACTCACATTTTTTCTTCTCTGTGCTTTGCTCTCTTGTTGCCATTAGACAGTTTCTATCTGTCCTTAATTTTAGCCAGTTTGTTCTAAAGTAACTGTGAACACTGTAACTCTCTAGCCAGTGCCTTTCTTTTATTGAATGGAATTGGTGTACTAGTTGTTTTATTTAACAAACAGAGTTTATAGGCTTGTTTTTTCCTCAACATGTCTTCATGGCAGAGACAATTTACCCTTAAGTTGGTGAGCCCTGGATCCCCTCACTTGCATAGACCTCTTCTAGGATCTGGGAGAGGCTCTAGCAGTGTAGTGTGTTTGTTAGTTACATATTTTTGTAACATTTGCAAAATTGAAAAATTTTTTTCCATTTTTTTTTTTCTTCAAAAAGGCCCTCAAATTATATATGCTTCAAATTTCACAAAACTCAGGTCAGCCTTGGTTCATGGTAGAGGTTGGGTGTTGATTTCTAATTGTGGCCGAGGTAGATTTGGTTAGTGGATTAAAGGACATGAGGAAGGAAGCATTAGTGAGGAAGTTGAACCATTGACTGGTGTGTATAGTGGCCAGGGATCTCTTTCTGAGTGTCAGGGGTCATCTCTTCTCCCTGCAAACATGGGCCAGAAAGAGGCGGGAGAAGTTGGGTAGGACTGGAAGAAGGACAGTGGAGGGAAAGGTGTGCTGCAGCCAAGGTGGTAAACAAATTAAGGTGTTCTCCTTAGATTTCAAGGATGCATTTGCAAATAGCGTTTTCAATAGCATTTTAAAATAACTGAAGAGTCATTTCAAGATAATATATTTCATCTTGATAATAATACATTTTAAGAATTTTAGAATTATTGAAAAATTTGAAAAGTCAATTTCATAATTAACTGATTGACTTGAGATTAAAGTCTTTATCTTATTAATTAGAATATATTGCTGAACACATAAAACACAGACATGTTCATTTTTGAAGGGCGTTGCTGTAACTTGGGTTTTGCTAGCTTCTTGGTTTGGTAGATGTTTCATCTCTCTCCCCTTTTTCTCATTGTCTCACCTGTATTTTTTTCTACCTTTTCATTTCATGTTCCCTTTACTTTGGGATTCAAACTCCTCTTAGACTTCTCAGGATTTTGAATGACTGGACTATAGATAATCACATTTTAAAACTGCATTTTAATATTCTGTTCTCTTTAAAGAAAATTAGGTACTCTGCATGGCCTGGGGACAAATTTACAGTTAAATAGAAGTATAATGTTCTGAGGGCCAATTGTAACTACCCTGTGGTTAACTGGCTCAGGTTCAAATACAGTTAAAATTATTTTACTTTTCCTAAAATTCCTTCTAATTGGACTAACTTATCAGGGTTGATAAAAACATTTCCAGAACGTAGTATGGATCTGCCACCTGGTGGTGAAATATTACAGCAAGTACTAAGTGTTTTGTTTTTTTTTTTCTGAGACAAGGACTCACTGTCACCCAGACTGGAGTGCAGTAGCACCATCACAGCTCACTGTAGCCTCGACCTCCTGGACTCAAGCAATCTTCCCACCTTAGCCCCCAGAGTAGCTGGGACCATAGGTGCATGCCACCACACCTGGCTAATTTTTAAAGTTTTTGTAGAGATAGGGTCTCACTATGTTGCCCAGGCTGGTCTTGAGCTCCTGTCTCAGCCTCCCAAAGTGCTGGCATTACAGGTATGAGCCACCACACCCAGCCAAATACTAGTATTTTTTTTTTTTTTTTTGAGATGGAGTCTTGCTCTGTCACCCAGGCTTGAGTGCAGTAGCCCAATTTTGGCTCACTGCAACCTCCGCACTCCCTGCTCCGGGCCCAAGTGATTCTCCTGCCTCAGCCTCCCGAGTAGCTGGGACTACAGGCATGCACCACTGCATCCAGCTAATTATTGTATTTTTAGTAGAGATGGGGTTTTGCCACATTGGCCGGACTGGTCTCGAGCTCCTGACCTCAGGTGATCTGCCCAACTCGGCCTCCCAGAGTGCTGGGATTACAGGCATGAGCCGCCACGCCCAGCCTAAATACTTGATAAGAATTTAATAATGGATTCTTGCCTTTGTGGCCATAATATTTAGAGTCGAGTCTACTTAAGCTCTTTAGATATGTAACATTTTCCTCCCCTAAGTTTTTTTCACTGAGAAAATGTTACTTAAATGCGATAGAGTAGGTAAATTTTGACTGATGTGTTTCTGTCTACCGCATCGTAATATAAGATGACATTTGTAGAATTACTGAGCTGAAATAAATTCTGCACACATTGAGAATGTACTCTCCTTAAATTTGAAGATGAGCTTTTGAGAAGAGAAGATTGCTGTTAATTTTTCTAAAATTTCAATGTGGATAGTCATTGATTCACAGAAAAAACAGTAATATGAAGTTCACAGAACAAAGAAAAAACAGTAAGATGAAGTTCACAGAACAAAGGATTTTTTTTTTTGGAAAGAAAGCATTTTGTTTATTCACTTAAAAATATTAGCAGGCATATTAAAACTACTTTTAGCAAATAGACTAACAGTTTTATCACCCTCAAATGAATTATTAATACATATCAGTATTTTATATATGGGCACTGTGTTAGGTATACATGATAAAATAGTGAAAATAAAAATGTCTCTTGTCCTCCTGGAGTTTATAATCTAGCTAGAATCTGTAATCTAACATAATGTTAAGGGCCATAAAGGAGAAGTGCATAATAGGGAGAGTTCACCCTGGCTAGTGTATCAGAGAAAGCTTCCCTAAGGAAGTGACGTTTCAGCTGAGATCTGACAGATACAGACCCTGGCTAAAATGTGTGTCTGTATCCCTTTAAAGTGGGAAGGAGAGTGGCAAGTATGAGGAATTGAAAATAACAGAGTGCCTGGAATGTAGTGAGAGAAGGGACTGTGGTGTGAATGAAAACAGGAAAGACGGTAGGAGCAAATAATTCAGGGCCTTGTTGGATGTGTATCAAGGACTTTGGACTTCATCATGAGAGTAATGGAAAGCTGTTGAATTGTGTAGTTAAGCAGTGTCAGATCAGATTAATGAGAAATGAATTGGAGCAGGGCAAAACTGAAAAGAGGTCAGGCAGTTGGTTAGAAAGCAATTGTGGTAGTTGTGGCTTGGACTAGAGAGTGTAAATGGGCGTGATGAGAGGCTGCCATATTTCAAATATATTTGAGGTAGAATAGACAAGACTTGGTGATTGAATGGGATGGAAGGGGGAGAGGTAGAGGGAGATGCCAAGGATGGGCCCAAATTTCTGGCATTCATACATTCAATAAATATATAAATATAAAACATATATATATATAAAACACAGTTTGGTCCTTAAAGATAGAAAGTCGAGTAGCCCCAGCGTTCAGTTCACAATACATTATCATTGGACAGTGCAAGATATCTCTTATTTTGTATTTTTTACTCTGCCTTCATCTGCCACACTCAGTCCCATTTCCCTTGTCTCCTTAGGCTTCTACTCTAATATGTTTTATATATGTTTTTGAATATGCATTAAATACATAAAATATGAAATGTTGTTTTGTGTGTTTTTAACTTGTGATACTGTGCTGTACATGTTATTTTCTTCGTTATTCTGCCTTATGTTCCTTATTACTAGCTGTATGGCCATAGGTAAGTTATATAATGATTTTTCTGTTTCCTCATCTGTAAAGTGAGGATAACAATAGTATTAACAGTACTTAGATTATAGATAAACTTTTTTAATCCTCCCAACAAGTATTCAGGTGTCTGCCTCAAGGGATCCTCCTGCCTTAGCTTCCCAAAACACTGGGATTACAGGCATGAGGCACTATGCCTGGCCTGTTTTTCATTTATTTTTTATTTTATTTATTTTCATTGACAAATAAAAATTGAATATATTTATTGTGGACAACATAATAATGTTTTAAAATATATAGGGATTGTGGAATGGCTAAATTGAGCTAATTAACATATGTATTACCTCATATACTTAACGTTTTTCTGTAGTGAGAATGGTTAAAATCTACCCTAGAACTTAAAGTATAATTAAAAAAAAAATCTCCCAGCGATTTTCAAGAATATAATACATTGTTATAATATTAACTACACTAACCTTATTGTACAATAGACCTCTTGAACTTATTCCTCCTATCTAACTGAAATTTTTTATCCTTTTGCTAACATCACCCAAATCCCCACCCTTCAACCTCTGGTAACCACCATTCTGCTGTCTGCATTTATGAATTCTACATTTTTAGATTACACATTTAAGTGACATCATGCAGTATTTGTTTTTCTATACCTGGCTTATTGTACTTAAAATGTCCTCCAGGTTCATCTTTATTGTCACAAATGGGAAGATTTCCTCCTTTTTAAAGGCTGAATAGTATTCCATTGTGTATATATACCATTTTTTCCTTTATCCATTCATCTGTTGATGGACACTGGGTAAATTCCACGTCTTGGCTATTGTGAATAATGCTGTAGTGAGTATGGAGGTGAAGATATCTCTTTGATATACTTATTTCATTTCCTTTGGATATATACCCAGTGGTGGGATTGCTGGATCATAGGGAAGTTTTATTTTTCATTTTTTGAGGAACTTTCATATTGTTTTCCACAATGGCTATACTGTCCATTTATGTTTCAATTTTACCTTTTTCTTTTTGTGTGTGTGTGTGTGTTTAATGTGTGTGTGTTTAATGTGTGTGTGTGTTCAGTGGCCCCAGGTCTTCTACAGTTTCTTCTTTAATAGTTTTAGGTTTCATCTTTAGGTAATAAATATTTATTCAACAACTGCCTTGTTCTAGGCATTGGATGTAAAACCGTGAACCAGGTATACAGGGGCCTTAGCTGACCCCATGGAGAAACAAAGCAACTGGATGGATAGTGGTAGTGATTTAGGAAATATGGATGATGAGGAAGTTTGGGGCAGAAGTGGGGGTTGGATAGAGTAAAGATCATTAGTTCAGTTAAAAAAGTTTTTTTTTAAACTACAGAGGGCCCTTATGCCAGCTTTTTGTAGTCAAGCCCTCCCTCCACTCCTAACTCTTGGCATTCACTGATCTATTCACCATCCCTTTCCCTTTTCCGGGCATAAAATATGTAATCTTTTGGGGCTGGCTTCTTTCACCAAGCATAATGCCTTTATCACACAACAACATAGATGAATCTCAATGTTGTATGAAAGTTTGTTCCTTTTCATCACTGAGTAGTATTCCATTGTATGAATGTACCATAGCTTATCCATTCACCTGGTGAATGACAACTGGGTTGCCAGCAGTTCGTAGGGATTATGAATAAGGCAGCTATAAACATTTGGGTTTATAACGTTAGGTTTTTGCGTCAACATGTTTTCATTTCTCTAGGGCATATATCTCAGAGTAAGATTGCTGGGTCATATGGTAAGTGTTTAACTTTATGAGATACTGCTCAGCTGTTCCTCAGAATGGCTGTAACTTTAAAATTCCCACCAACAGTGTATGGGAGTTATAGTTGATTGGCATCCTCACCAGTGTTAGGTATTCTCAGTTTTGTTTTGTTTTAGCCATTCTATTAGGTATTTTAGTGATGTCTCATAGTTTTAAATTGCATTTCCCTAATGACTGATGATGTTGAGCATCTTTTTCTGTGCAACTTGCCCTTTTTGGTGAAGTGTGTATGCAAATCTTTTGCCCATTAAGAAAATTGGGGTTGTTTTCTTGTTGTTGAGTTTTGAATTCTTTATATATTTTTTATACAATTTATTTTGTTAATAATTTGCAAATATTTTCTCCCAGTCTGTCTTTTTATACTTTCAATGTCTTTCACAGCAAAAGTTTGAAATTTAGTGAGGTTCGACTTGCCAGTTTTTTTCTTTTATGAATTATGTTTTTAGTGTTATGTCTAAGAACTCTGTGTCTAAGCCAGGTTTACAAAGACTTTTCTCCTTTATTTCTTCTAGGAATTTTATAGTTTTACATTTGACATTTAGATTTATGATCCATATTGAGTTAATTTTTACATAAAGTCAAGATTTTCTTTTGCATATGGATATCCAGTTGTTCCAACCTTGTTTGTTGAAAAGACTATCCTTTTTCCAGTGAATTGCATTAGGACTTATGTCAGAAATCAGTTGACCATAGTTGTGTGGGTCTACTTCTGTGTTCTCTGTTTGGTTCCATTGATCTATATATCTGTCCTTTTGCCTATCCCACATTGTCTTGATTGCTGTAGCTTTATAGTAAGTTTTCAAGTTGGGTAGTTTGAATCCTTCAATTTTGTTTTTCTTTTCTGAAATTGTTTAGCTATTCTACTTTCTTTCTTTTTCCCTGTAAGTTTGTCAGTTTATCTTTATGAAAATTTTGGTTGAGATTATGACTGGAATTGTATTAAGTTCATAGACTAATTTAGGAAGAATGGGCATCTTAGCTATCATGAGTCTTTCAATCCATGAATATAGTATGTCTTTTTTTTTTTTTTTTTGAGATGGAGTCTCACTCTGTCACCCAGGCTGGAGTGCAGCAGTGGCACAATCTCTGCTCACTGCAACCTCTGCATCCTGAGTTCTAACTGCCTGTTTCTAGATTTCTTTTTTTTTTTTTTTTTGAGTTGGAGTCTCTGTTGCCTAGGCTGGAGTGCAGTGGCGCGATCTTGATTCACACGATTCTCCTGCCTCAGCCTCCTGAGTAGCTAGGATTACAGGCACATGCCACCCATGCCTGGCTAATTTTTGTATTTTTAGTAGAGATGGGGTTTCACCATGTTGGCCAGGCTGGTCTCGAACTCCTGATCTCATGTGATTCACCTGCCTCGACCTCCCAAAATGCTGGGATTACATGCGTGAGCCACCGCGCCTAGCCAGAAACAATTTTATTTGTTCCTTTTCATTTGTATGTCTTCTGTTAATTTTCTTTGCCTTATTACACTGGATAGGATTTTCAGTACAGCAAAAAATGGTGAATGTGGACATCTTTGCCTTGTTTCTGATTTTAGGGAGAAAGCACTCTGTCTTTTACCATTAAGTATGATGTTAGCTTTAGTTTTTTTGTAGATTCTCTTTTTTGAGTTAAACTCCCATTCTGTTCCTAGTTTCTGAGAGTTTTTTAAAATCATGAATGGTAGTTGAATTTTGTCAAATACATTTCTGCATCTGTTGATAAGATCATGTGGTTTTCCTTTATAGTCTGTCATTATGGTGGCTTACAGTGAGTGGTTTCTGAATGTTGAGCAATCTTATATTAGGATAAACCTCAACTTGGTAGTGGCTTAATATTCCTTTTATTTATTATATGTAACTGGATTTGATTTGCTAATGCTGCATTGAAGATCATGCCATCTTTGTTCATGAGGAATATTGGTTTGTAGTTTTCTTGTACTGTCTTTGTCTGGTTTTAGTGTCAGAGTAATGCTAGCTGCATAAAATGAGTTGGGACATGTTCCTTCCTTTTTTATTTTCTGGAAAAGATCATGTGGAATGTTATTTCTTCTTTAACTGTTTAGTAGAATTTAATACTGAGATGAAATGGGTCTTCTACAAGATAAATTTACTTTCATAATCAGAATAATGTAATTGTAGAAACTTAAACTATAGAAATGAATGATGAGAATATCATGTCTCACAATTCAGATGATTATTAATATTTTGGAATTCTTTTTCTAGTTTTTTCCTCTGTATACATAATTGTATATTTTTGAATTGCATATAAATGTGGGTATATATTTAAAACAAAATTTGTGATTATACTACAAATACCATTTTATTTCTGGACCCAGTGTGGTTTCTAATTTTGTTGTATGGATATGCCATAATTTTACATAAACATTCTTCTAATGTTGAACATTTAAGTGTGATAAATGTCTTTTATGTGTTTTTTTCCTGATAATTTATTTGACTTATTTCTAGAAAAGAATTTGACATATGTAAGGCTGCTCACACACATTGCTAAATTGCTTTCTAGAAAGTATATATACGTTTTTACTCTAAAATAGGTACCTTAAAAAGTATGTTTATATCTTCAGATATGTAAAGACATATAAAATATATAGTAATATATATCTGACTATGCATATTCATATTTTTTTTTAAAGGAAGGAGTGGAAGTGAAGAGAATATATATCAAGGGGTTAGCAAGATTAAGGGAAAGACTAAAGAAATTTTTCTATGAGACATCTTTGTAGATCAGGGCAAAGATTCAGTGGAAAGGAAGATATTGAACCAGGAGCAAAAATGCAGAGAGTTGTTTGAAATGATGAAATATGGTCTGGATGAAAATGTAGGGAAAAATGATATCAAGGAGAGAAATGCAGGAAACAAAGGAACTGTGCTTCTTTTAGGTTGAGACCTGAAATAGCTGATATTTGACCAGTTTTTACCTAAAAACATGTAGTTTCAAACACTTTTACCTGATACTTGTGATGGAAAGTAAAGAGGAAAGATGCAAAATAAATTTTGAAGTGCAAAGAAGAGAAATTCAATTTATAGAAAAGGGATTGCATTTTCCCAAATAGGAGGCAAGGCTATCTTAATAGAATGGGTCAGGGTAAAAAGAGTGAAAAAGTTTTGTATAAATAGTGTGGGGAATGTACAGTTATAGTCACAGACAAAGATGAGTTAAGGGGCAGTAGTCTCAACACAAAATGAAGGCTAGGATTAAAGGAGAGGGAAAGGACTGAAGAGGATGGGGACATTCAAAAGAGAGCATTTTAGTTAATTTTGGTAAATTAATTGGGCGTGAAATAGAGAAGATGAAGTAAGAGAGAGTAAAGTCTTGAGGCTAGAAAAACTCCTAAGAAGAAGGAAGATGCTTCCTAAGAAGATTCAGAAAGAGTAAGGAAGGAAAAGTGTTAGATTTTAATTTGTTGAGCTTGAGTTGACTTGAAGGAAGAGATTCAGATTTGTGCATCATTATGGTTGATAGTTGCAGTTCTGAGAATGAAAAAGCTCTTTGAGGAAACAAATACAGACAAAAGGTCATTTTATTTTTATTGGTTAGTAATTCAACAATGTCAGATATTTTCAAACCACTTATCTTTCTGTCTCCTGATTATAATGATGAGTGAACACTAGATTTTTATGTTTGATTAAAAGCAATTTATTTTTGTCTCCCTACCCCCTTTTCAGAAGTGGGAAATTTCACTTCTTTTTAAGACCGGACATAAGTATGTGTAGTAAAGAATAAGAATAGGAGGATAGATTAGAATTAATTAGTTCAGTGATTTGTATGTACCTGATAAAGTATTCTAATAATTGTTTTTGGTATCTTAGAGAAAAAATATCTCCTAGGCAATATTTTTTTTTCTGCATATAAATGAAAATGTTTTGACATATGATATAGGACTAGTGAACCAATAACTTCTCCTGGGCATCTACCTCACCATGTAGAAAATGGAATGAAGACTTTGGCAAGCAGTCAAATAAAAATATGCAATGCATGGAAAATAACAAATGCGTTAAAAAGATAATATTGCCCATATTGAGGGAAGTACAAGTTAAAACAACTTACACCATTTTTTTTTTTTTTGCTCCTTAACTTGGTCAACATTTAAAGGCTTCCCAGTGTTGACAAAGAAAAGGGAAAATGTCTTTCTCATATACTATTGAAGGGAATATAGATTGATACAGCCTTTTTTGTAGGTGGTGATATTTATCAAAATTTAAAATATACATTATTTTTTACTTAGTAATTCTGCTTCTAGAAATCTATCCTACAGATACCTCTCAAGTGTGCAAAAAGTTATGGGCACAGAGATGTTCCTTGAAGCATTGTTTATAATAGCAACAAATTGGAAATGACTTAAACACTGACCGTTGGGTATAGCCCTCCTACATAGGATGACCATATGTCTAAATTTGCTTGGGACGGACCCAGTTTACACCAGCATAATTATTTAGAGCATTTTATTTTACTCTCAGATGTGTCCTGGTTTGGAAGATAATTTACCTGTTTGGTTTATGTTCACACTAATAGCATGGAGAACTATGTAGCTGTTCAAAATAATGAGATAGAACTATAGGAATTGATATAGAAATATATTCAAGATACATTGTTATGTGAGAGAAACAAGTTGCATAACAATATATATTATTCCATTTATTTTATTTTATTTTTATTTATTTAAGAGGGAGTCTTGCTCTGTCGCTCAGGTTGGAGTGCAGTAGCGCAATCTTGGCTCACTGTGGCCTCCGTCTCCTGGGTTCATGGGATTCTCCTGCCTCAGCCTCCTGAGTAGCTGGTACTACAGGCGCATGCTGCCAAGCCTATTACTCCATGCATTTAAAAAAGTAAAATCTCTAAGCTCTCTGCATGTGAGTGAGAGAGAATGAGAGACAGGAGTTAAAAATGTCTGGAAGGATTCATACTAATTTGTTAATATGATAATCTCTGCTTAAAGATGGCAGCCCAATGAATAGGCATATATTGAATTTTTTAAAATATAAAAGCAGCAATAACAAAAAGGTGGGAACTGTTGATTGCCAGCAGATGCTATAATTTTTAACCAGAGAGCATTAATAAACAACTATTACAATTCTTAACATAAAATTATAAGTATTATACTCTGTCCTGTATAAATAACTATTGTATTAGAAAGAATACTAATGGAAAATTTAAAAATTATCACTATCATTCCACTATTACCAATCATTTTACATGTTACCTCCTGTTCCTCGTATCTTTATGTACATAATTCTTACATCGTTATAATCAGAGCATATAGTTTCATATTATTTTAAATTACACCCTATAGCATATTTTTTGTTACAATATAGTATCTAGCATTTTTAGATGTTTTATATGTGCTAAGTACTGTGTTAAATGGTTTGCATGTGTAATAGACTTAATCCTCCCAATTGCGTTATTGAGGCAGTTACTATTATCCCAATCTTATAGATGAGTAAACTGAGAATAAGTAATTTGCCCAAGGCCACACAGATACAGCAAATGGCAGAACTGGGATTTGAACTCAGGCAGCCTGACTCTTGAACCCACGCTCTTATCCACTACTATTACTACCTCCCTTTACAATTTTTTAGTGACTGTGTAATAACAGCATACCATAATTTACTTAGCCGTTTTCCTGGTTGTATATTTAATTTGTAGGCTTTAAAATCTGAACCTCAAAAGTTTTTATTAAACAAGCTGATGCCTACTATGTGCAGGAACCTATTTGAGGTACTATGGACATTGGTACACATATGCAGTTATGGTCTAGTATTGTTTTATCTTGCCTTATGTATTACATTCCTGAAAAGCTATATACGTTTGAGGTGAAAATTTGTTTATACAAACTTTTTTTTTCCAATCGGGTTTCATTATTTTAAAGATACATTATTCCAGAAAAACAAATACTTAAAAACTAGAAAATATTTAATAAAAATTAGCAGTGAGCTCAGCACTGTTTGGTGCCTTTAAGGGTTCTGCTTTTGCGCATAGTGAACTGTATTCGTTTTGTTGTTGTTATTGTTTGTTTGTTTGTTTGTTTTTCTGAGACAGGGTCTCACTCTGTGTCCCAGGGTGGAGTGTGGTGGCATGATCACTACTTGCTGCAACCTTGACCTCCCTGGGCTCAGGTGATCTTCCCACCACAGCCTCCTGTGGAGCTGGAACTGCAGGCATACACCACCACACCTGGCTAATTTTACACTTTTTTTTTTTTTTTTTTGCAGAGACTAAATGGATTCTGTAGGATATTGTGGGAAAGACTGGGAATCTTTCCCAGTAGAGGTCTCGCTATGTTGCCCAGGCTGGTCTCAAATTCCTGGACTCAAGTGATCCTCCCACCTCAGCCTCCCAAAGTGCTGGGGTTAAGGCATAAGCCACCGTGCCTGGCCTGTGAGCTGTATTCTTTCATGTGACAGTTGCAAGAAAAATTACTTAAATAAATGCATGCCAGGATTTGTGATTACCGAATAAAAGTACATAAAATTGAACTCTCTATTCAGATGGAGAAATTACATGGGTAATCTCCAAATCTTTTGTTTACCTTTAGAATATTTATTTATGCTTATATTGAAATAAGGTGAAATTACAACTTCAGGGTTCATACAGAGAAGTCACATTTGTAACTCAGGTGGATTTATTAGATAGCGTTTTAACTACTTCTGTTCCCTGGATTAGTCACCTAGTCACCACTCTTGTCTTTGTGAGATAGAGATATCAATTTAATAGAGGAACCTAAGTACTACACAAGTGTCAGCTGCTGTAGTTGATTAAGGGGGATAATTAAGAGCTTTATTTTAAAGCTCACCTGCTGAATATCTAGATACCTGTTATATAAGAGCAAAACACATGGTTATCTAACAAATAACTTATAATCCACTTTACTTAATTATGGCATTAGTTTTTGATTTGCTGATCCTTCTATTAAAATTTTATATTAAATACAGCATTTAGTTGATGAGTTTCATTGAAAATGTTCATTTTTAAATTGATATTGAATGTAGTTGGTGTTTGGTTACTCAGTGTATCTTCTGTACCTGGTCTTTTTCAGTGTTCTTATATTTATATTTCAAGTCAGTCATAAAGATTTTCACACATAAATAAGATTACTATTTTGAAATTGAAATGATAAAATACCATAAAGTGCCCAGCTTTAGAATTTTAAATTATTTTATGTCATAATTATTGCTTTTTAATAAGCTTTATTTTTTAGATCAGTTTTAGATTTACAGAAAATTACAGTTAGTGCAGAGTTCCCATATACTCCACACCCAGTATCTCCCATTGTTAACATCTTATATTAAAATGATACATTTGTTACAATTAGTAAACCTATATTGATATATTAACTGAAGTCTATACTTTATTCAGATTTTCTCAGTTTTTAGTTTTTAACCTAATGTCCTTTTTTTCTGTTCCAGAATCCCATCCAGCATACCATATTACATTTAATTGTTATGTCTTCTTGGGCTCTCTTGGCTGTGATAGTTTCTCAGACTTTCCTTATTTTTGATGACCTTGATAGTTTTAAGGAGTACTGGTCAGGTATTTTATAGAATGTTTCTCTGTTAGGATTTGTCTGATGTTTTTCTCAGGATTAGACTGGGGCTTATGGTTTTGGAAGGATGACCACAGAGGTAAAGTGCCATCACACCATTTCAAGGCATTGATACATAATATCAACATGATGTATCACTATTAACATTGACCTTGATCACCTGGCTGAGATTGTGTTTGTCAAGTTCTCCCTGGTAAAGTCACCTACCTTTTTCCATACTGTACTCTTTTGAGAAGAAAGTCACCATGGGCAGCCTGCACTTCAGGAGTGGGGAATTATGTTCTCCCTCGTAGAGGGTGGTGTTTCTATGTGAATTATTTGGAATTCTTCTGCATGGGGTATTTGTCTTTTTTCTCCATTTAAAAATCTTTCAACTGTATATTATGAACTCATGGGTATTTATTTTGTACTTTGGATTATAATCCAGTAATCCTTTATTTTGTTGCTTAAATTGTTTCAGCTTTGACCATGGGAAGTTCCTTTTTTTTTTTTTCTTTTTGGATACAAGGTCGTGCTCTGTCACCCAGGCTGGAGTGCAGTGACATGCTTACAGCTCACTGCAACCTCTGCCTCCCAGGCTCAGGTGATCCTCCCACCTCAACCTCCCAAGTAGCTGGGACCACAGGCGTGCACTACCAACCACGCCTGGCTAATTTTTTGTATTTTTTGTAGAGACAGGGTTTCGCCATGCTTCCCTGGCTGGTCTCGAACTCCTAAGCTCAAGCAATCCACCTGCCTTGGCCTCCCAGAGTGCTGGGATTATAGGCACGAGCCACTGTGCCTGGCCGGAAGCTCCTTAATTTGGCCCCGGTGTCTCATTGACATACCTCCATCATTGTGCTTTTTGTTTTGTTTTGTTTTTAGCACTTCCTTACCTTTGGGCACTACAACATGCTCCAGACTCATCATTTGTATTTCTTGCCTAATTTTAGAATTAACCATTCCTTCAAGGAGCCCTGGTTCCTTCTATAACTATTTTTTTTAATTGCGATATAACTCACATACTATATAATCCACCTATTTAAAATGTGCAACTCAGTAGCTTTTGATATATTCACAGATGTGCAGCCATTGCCGCAATCAATTTTAGAACATTTTCATCACCCCAAAAGAAATCTTATACCCCATAAGCAGTCTACTGTCCATTTCTCATGTTCCCCGGTCCTAGATAACACTCTTTTGATTTACCTATTCGGGATATTTCATGTAAATGAAGTCATATAATATGTGATCTTTTGTGCCTGGCAGCTTTTACTTAGCATGATGTTTTCAAGGTTCGTCCATGTTGTAGCTTGTATTAGTATTTCATTCCTTTTTATGGCCAAATAATAACTTCATTGTCTGGATATAATACATGTTATATAATCATTAGTTGAAGGACATTGGTTTATTTGCGTGTTTATACCTTTTGGCTATTATGAATAATGCTGCAATGTATATTCTATACAATAGCCTTTCTAAAGATTTTGTTGTTGTTTGAATTGGAATTAGTATCTACACAATTGATTGGTATACGTTTTAAGTTTCTTTTAAGTGATAATTATCCCCTCTTCACCTCCCTGTTTTCTTCTTTGTCATTTGTCCAGAAGAATTTCCACATGGTTGGGATATTGCTGGTTGCTTCCCCATGGTGTTTCTTACCATCTTCCTCTGTCTTTTTTATTTTTATTTTTGTTTCTTAATTGTTAGTTGGATCTAGAGATTTGATCATTTCAGGGTTTTGTTGGACTGCCACATAGGTGATGGTAATTTATTCTTTCATCAAGAGGTGTGTAATGTCTGTTTGGGTCTGTTTCTCTGTTGCTATTAGCTACCAGGGTTTAGAAAACCATAGCTAGGCTGGGCACGGTGGCTCACACCTATAAGCCCAGCACTTTGGGAGGCTGAGGCGGGCGGATCACGAGGTCAAGAGATTGAGACCATCCTGGCCAACATGGTGAAACCCCGTCTCTACTGAAAATACAGAAATTAGCCGGGCATGGTGGTGTGCACCTGAAGTTTCAGCTACTCAGGAGGCTAAGGCAGGAGAATTGCTTGAACCCAGGAGGCAGAGGTTGTAGTGAGCTGAGATTGTGCCACTGCACTCCAGCCTGGCGACAGAGTGAGACTCTGTCTTAAAAAAAAAAAAAAAACTTAACAGCTAATGGTCAGTTGTCTCTGGCTTGTTTTTTAAATAACCTATAAGCTAATGTTGATTTTTACATTTTGAAAGTGTTTTTAAAAAAGAATTAAAAAAATAAGCAAAGGAGAATTTGCGACAGCAACTGTGTGTAGCCTGAAAAGCCTAACATATTTTCTGTCTGGCCCTCTACAGAAAATATTTGCTGACTTCTGTACCGTTTACTTTTTATTGCCTAGAGCTGTTGATTCATTAGGAGTTGCAAAATAGTGATAATCTATCATTTTTTCATTTATTTGGTAGAGTACTTCTATAAACAGAAACTTTCACCAACAATTTTATTGCCACCAGGAACAGTTTGATGGGGAAAGATGTTTAATTTTTTTCCTCTTCCTTTTGAAAAGTTTTCAAGATGATTTGGTTCTATAGCATTCACGAAAGATGACCAATTAGTCTTTATTTGTTTTTTTTTTTTTGAGATTAAAGTAATGGAATTCAACAGATTTGACCATTTCAGTTGTTTTATTATCATTATTGAAGCCTAAATGTCCCATGGGTCTTCAGAAAGTTCATGGAAAATGCATATATGAAAAAACTATGCATGGATTTCAAAATTTCTTTACATCAAAATAAACTTGTGTTAACTTGTTATAAGATGCCTGAATAGGATCTAGTTTGAGGTGCTACCAGGGATAAAACATCATTTTGAGAAAAGCCCCTATCAGAGCAGTATGAATTCTGCTAAAATTGAAGCAAGAACAAACGTCAAATTTATGGTGAAGCTTGGGTGGAAGAGTGCTAAAATATTGATGCTTACGAAAAGTTTATGGGGACAGTGCCCCCAAAGAATTCAGCAGGTTACAAATAGATAACTCATTTTAAGAAGGGACAAAACAGCGTTGAAGATGAAACCCACAGCAGCAGATCATCTACATCCATTTGCAAGGAAAAAATTCATCTTGTTCATGTCCTAATTAACAGCACAAACAATAGCAAACACAATAGATATCTCGGTTGGTTCGGCTTACACAATTATGACTGAAGAAGTTGAGCAAACTTTTCACTCGATAGATATCAAAACCATTGTGCCCAGATCAGCTGCAGACAAAAGCAGAACTTTGCATGGAAATTTTAGACAAGTGGGCTCAAGATCCTGAAGCATTCGAAGAATTGCAACAGGAGATGAAACGTGGCTTTACCAGTACAATGTTGAAGACAAAGCACAATCAAAGCATTGGCTACCAAGAGGTGGAAGTGGTGCAGTCAAAGCAAATGCAGACCAGTCAAGAGCAAAGATCATGGCAACGGTTTTTTGGGATGGCCAAGGCATATTGCTTATTGACTTTTTGGAGGGCCAAAGAATGGTAACATCTGTTTATATGAGAATGTTTTGAGAAAGCCAAAATTTTAGCAGAAAATTGCACAGGAAAGCTTCAGCACAGAGTCCTTCTCCCCCAGGGCAATACTCCTGGTCATTCTTTTCATCAAGCAAGGGTGACTTTGTGAGAGTTTTGATGGGAAATCATTAGGCATCCACCTTAAAGTCCTGATTTGGCTTCTTCTGACTTCTTTTTGTTTCCTAATCTTAAAAAATCTTCAAAGAGCACTCATTTTTCTTTACTTAATAATGTAAGGCTGGGTGCAGTGGTTACACCTGTAATTCCAGCACTTTGGGAGGCTGAGGTTGGATGATTGCTTGAGCACAGGAGTTCATGACTAACCTGGGCAACATGGTGAGACCCTGTCTCTTAAAAAAAAAGAAAAATTAGCTGGGTGTGGTAGCATGTGCCTGTGGTCCCAGCTACTCAGGAGATTGAGGCGGAAGGATCAATTGAGCCCAGGAGGTCAAGGCTGCAGTGAGTTGTGATCATGCCACTTGCACTCTAGCCTGGGCTACAGAGCGAGACCCTGTCTCAAAAAAACAATTAATAATAATGTAAAAAAGACTGCACTGAGATGGCTAAATTCTTAGGACTGAGTTCTTTAGGGATGGACTAACTGGTTGGTATCATTGCTTACAAAAATGTTTTGACCTTGTTGGGGAGCTTGTGTTGAGAAATAAAGACGATATTTTAAATTTTTATCTTTTAATTTCATTTTTCCACGAACGTTTTGAAGTCCTCTCATATTTGGCCAGTCAGAGCCTCTTTTTTTTTTTTTTTTTTTTGAGACCGAGTCTTACTCCCATCACCCAGGCTGGAGTGCAGTGGTGCAGTCTTGGCTCACTGCAACCTCTGCCTCCCAGGTTCAAGCGATTCTGCTGGCTCAGCCTCCCAGGTAGCTGGGATTACAGGTGTGCGCCACCATGCCTGGCTAATTTTTGTATTTTTAGTAGAGACAGGGTTTTGCCATGTTGGCCAGGCTGGTCCGGAACTCCTGACTTCAGGTGATCTGTCCACCTCAGCCTCCCAAAGTGCTGGGATTACAGGCGCGAGCCACTATGCCCAGCCCAGAGCCTCTTTTGAGTGTTTGAGATGACCTTAGTGGCCATTGATAGTTTTATTTTCTATTATGATGAGATGTTTCATATTCATCTCATTTTCTAATCCCAGACCTGGAACTAGCCTTTTTTTTTTTTTTTTTTTTTTGTAAGTTCTTTTCAGTGGAAAATGATGCGTAGAGACCAAAACCTGAGTATGGAAAGTGCTCATTGCCACTGGGTTGGTCATCATTACTAGGCCTTTTAAGTGAAGTGAGCTAGGAAATACCTATTTTTTAAAGTAGTAAAATGAATTTATATTAGTACTTAAAATTGAAGGCTAAAAGATTATACTTTAATGTTACTGATTTTTACATCTATAGTGTTTTTCTTCTACACCAAGAATATCATGTTCTCCAAATCAGTAAAGTTACTCATTTGCTTTATCCCACAACACACACACACACACACACCCTCAGAATAACAATACTAATGCTAACTGCAATAAAATGGTCATTAAAACAGCTTAAATTTTTTTGCAGTTCTTTTGGTCCTTAGAGTATATCCTACTATGTATAGTTTGGTTACTGGGTTCTTAAATTCTCTCGAACTAGTTCTCTGTGTGATTTTAATGACAGCTGGTCAATTAGGTTTGTCTAATTTATACTTTCAATTTTTAGAGATTTTTTAAAATCTAATTTTGTTTTTTAATTATGTAAAATGTTTACATAGCCTCAAAGTCAAATCTATGAACAAGTTCTGTGAAGAGACTTAGCCTCAATCCCTGTCTCTTTCACCATATTTCCTCTCCCTGTGTGTATTAAAAGTTATATATATGTGTGTGTGTTAATATCCTACATTTCTTAGGTAAATACACTCATTTTTCTCCAAACTTACTTGTTTTCACTTAATTTGTTATAGAAATCACTCCATGGTAGAAAATAAACTTATTTTACAGTCTTGCGTACAACTGCATAGTACCTCCTTGTGTCAGTGTGTCATAGTTTATTCAACATGTCTCTTATTGAGGGACATCAAAGTTGTTTCCAGGTTGTTACTACAAGTAGTGGTACAGTGAATAGCCTTGCTTGTACCTGCCTGTTTTTATATTTTGGCCAGTGTATCTTAGGGAGAGATTCATAGACATGGGATTGCTAGGTAAAAGGGTAAATGCATATATAATTGCGCTAGATTTTGCAGATTTTCCTCTATAGTGAATGCACTATTTTGCATTTCCATCAGCCTATTTTCCTATATTTGCCTACAGAGTATGTCATCAAACATTTGGATTTTTGCCAATATGATAGGTGAGCAATTGTATCTCACTGTAGTTTTAATTTGCATTTCTTTTATTATGAAGTTGAGCATCTTTTTAAATGATTAAGGGCCATTTGCATTCCAGTTCAGTAATTAATTCTACATCTGTATGAAAATGATATGCAGCAGTGTGGATAGTCTTATTTTACTCCTGGAGATGCATTTACAACTGCTTTTGGTTTATATATATATGACTTCATTGTGGGTATTTTGAGGTTGGTGTCCTATTCTTCTGATGCTGTTAACTTCTTTCTTAGATTTTAGAGGTTTCCCCTCTTTTCTTCAATATTATTTTGTATCACAAGTGTGTTATCAAACTTTTAAGAGCTCAACGAATGAATGAAATTTGTCTATGACAGGACGACAGCTTACCAATGCAGGACTGAGTTAAGAAGCTTTTGAATTTAGTTTATCTTTATCAGTAAATGCACAGTTGAATAGAAGAATTCTAGAACCTGGTTTACAGACCTTGTGAGACTATGACAGGATTTTTCTAACACATCTGTTTATTTTGCATTGAAAGCTTGTGTATGCATAGAATTCTTTGCAGAAACTAGCTTTGATAATATAAGATTCATTATTAAGGATTTTTAATCTTGTGTTCTTTTCCTTTGCTTATGTTTAAATTGTTAGATTGTCCTATGGGATTTCATAAATATTACTTCTGTTAGTAAAGCTGCTGACAGCAGAAGCTTTCAATAAATTATTCATGTGCTATTTGTTTTCTGTGTTCATGAATTAATTCAACTTAGAATTTTTTTAACTGAACTTGGTAACAATTTGTAGACATATGGGTACTTGAATAAAATCTGTAATACTTGTTTTCCATATGAGGAAAGTACTCTTAGCAATATTTAGAGCAACATCAGCTCTCTAGAACATAGCTGATTACTAAGGAGTAATGGCAAAATCGCTTTAAAAATGTGAAATAATTACTCTTATAAAACTGCTGCTTTTTCAAGATGTGAGCCACGGAATTATATCATTTTCTACTTTTCTTGTTCACTATCATTTGTATACTTACTGTTCACTTTCATTTATTGAAAACTTCAGATGTTATTTTACGTCTTCCTCTCCATTCCAAATCTACCATTGTTCTCGATAATTTTTATCTACTTGACTTGCATTCTCAATAGCATTTTCAGTTCTTTAACCTCGTCATCTCCAGTCACTTCTCTTCCATGCCATTTCAAACACCAGCGTCTATAAATGTGCCCTATCGCTTTGTCATCACTCAGGAGCGCTAAAATATTAAAATAATACCCCAGTCTCACATAGTCTCCAGTCGTTCCAGGTTCCTCACATTATAGCCGTGCTATTTTTATCCATCTCAGTTCAGTCCTATTTATTTCCTTCCCTGCCTTAGATTCCATGTACAACCATTTTGATATCTTTTTTTTTTTTTTGAGATGGAATCTCACTCTGTTGCCCAGGCTGGAGTGCAATGGTATAATCTCTACTCACTGCACCCTGTGCCTCCCAGGTTCAAGCGATTCTCCTGCCTCAGCCTCTCAAGTAGCTGGGATTACAGGTGTGTGCCACCATGCCCAGCTGATTTTTGTATTTTTTGTAGAGATGGGGTTTCGGCATGTTGGCCAGGCTGGTCTTGAACTCCTGACCTCAGATGATCCACCCACCTCAGCCTCCTAAAGTGCTGGGATTGCAAGTGTGAGCCACTGCACCCAGCCACTTTGATGTCTTGAACCCTCTTCATTGTCACTTTCAACTCATCTGCCTAGAAAAGTTTAATTTCAAATGTCTACTTTCCTTCCTTTTCTACTTTATAAAATCACATTCTCCTATTTGAACTTCTTTAAATACAGTTACCAACGTCAGCTGGGCTCTCAGTGTAGCCCAGTAATTCTGTTTTGCCTCTTTAGTGCTCTCTTCCATTCTTGCCACAGCTATTTCAGATGTTTTCCACTACCTGCAAATTCTGGTCCTTCCCAACACCACCACCCTTCTCTCATCATCAGCAGATGAACTCATCTCATATTTTAGAGGCTATTCAAGCCGTTAATGATTCCTGTAACTAACTACCACCAGACCTACTCATATGTTCATTCTTCTTTCTTGTTACAAGAGGGGCAGCATTCCTTCAATCCAAAATTAATCCTTCTACACATCTTTTCTCATGTAAGCATTTTAATGCTTTAACTTTCCCTTTAAGCGTTACTTTAGTTGCATTGTCCACATTAGACATGCTGTATTTTCATTTTCATTAAATTCAAAATATTTTGTAATTTCTCATGTGATTTCTTCTTTGATCTGTGGGTTAGTTTATAAGTGTGTTGCTTAATTTCTAAATATCTTAGGATTTTCCAGGTTTCTGTTATTGATTTGTAGTTTAATTCCATTGTGGTTAGAAAACAAACTTTGTACAATTTCAATCCCCTTATGTGCACATTAATAGTCAAGGGGATTCTTCTGCCAAATTCTGGAGTATGCACGCTCTCACGCGCACGCGTGCGCACACACGCTCTCTTTCCCACTCTCTCTCTGCAGCTCTTTTCTGTTTGTACTCTGATCTGCAAATTGCAGCCACCTTGGCCTCCCCAATCCTAATCTCTGCCTCTTCAACTCCGTGAGACTGCAAAGCTCTCTTTGGTTTCCCCCACCATGTGCTGAGGCCTGGAAATGGTCTACAGGCTGTAAAATGGTATCATTTTAGGGCTTACTTTGTTTACCTCTCTCTCAAGGGTCATAGTCCTGTGCTGTCTATTGTCCAGTGTCTGAAAAGCATTGTCTCATCGATTTTGTCCAGTTTTTAGTTGTCCAAGGCAAGGAGGGTGAGTCCCATCCTTGATACTCTATTGTGGCCAGAAGCCTGCATCATCTTACCGTGTAATTGCCTGTATCTATTTCAGTCTTTCTACTGGTTCTTTCCATCAGCTTTTCAACATGCTCAAGTCTCTCCTCTATTGCAAAGAATATAGAAGAAAACCAAGCTCATGTCGTCTTTATTTACCAACCTATCTCTCCTCTACCTTTTACAGCCAAACTTTTTGAAAGTTATCTCTATCCTTGCTACTCAAAAATATTGTTTGTGGACTGATAGCATCTTTGTCATCTAATAACTCATTAGAAATGTAACATCTCAGGCCCCATCCTAGAACTACTGAATCAGAATCTGAATTTTAGTCCAGGTGCGGTGATTCATGCCTGTAATCTCAGCACTTTAGAGGCCGAGGCGGGCGGATCATGAGGTCGGGAGTTCAAGACCAGCCTGGCCAATATGGTGAAACCCCATCTCTACTAAAAATACAAAAATTAGCTGGGCGTGGTGGCACATGCCTGTAGTCACAGCTATTCGGGAGGCTGAGGCAGAAGAATCGCTTGAACCCGGGAGGCAGAGGTTGCAGTGAGCCGAGATCACGCCACTGCACTCCTGCCTGGGCTATAGAGCAAGATTCCGTCTCAAAAAAAAAAATTTAATAAGGTTTAACAAGGTAATTAGAATATACACTATAATTTGAGAACACTGTCTACATTTTCCTTCTTCACTTTCCATCTTGTTCCTTAGTGTGTTGTAGTCTGTCATCTGTTTATAGGACTACATTAGAGCTGTTCTTGCCTGGATCATCAGTGACTTTCTCAATGTATATCTAATGAATGGGGGTCTCTCTATCTAATGAATGGCTGTGTTTTACTCTCAGCAGTTCATCTTCCTTTCTGATATATTCCTTTGGCTTTTGGGATGCCCTGTTCTCTTGTCCTCTGACCTCTGTGGCCTTTTCAGGCTTTTCTTTCTCTGCCTGTCTCTTAAATGTTGGTGTTCTACAGAATTTGGTCCCCAGCTTTCTTCAGATTTTACATTTCTCTGCCTGTCTCATCTTTTCCTGTAACTCCAGTTTCAACATGTATTCTTCATTCTGAATCTCTCCTGAGTTCCAGGATTATATGTCCTCCACATAAGCACCTTAAACTCTCCATGTTACTGTGGACACATGATCTCCTTCATCATGTCCTCCTCCTCAGTGACTGGCACCATTTAGCCATCGTCCAAGCTAGAAACTTGTCATTCATCTTCAACTACTCCATCACCCTTTCCCCTCCTTTACTCACCTTACTTTCGCATTTATTCAGTCTTAAGACGTATTGATTCCACTCTAAAAATTCATCATGTCTGCCATTTTTTTTTCTGTCACTATTGCTGCTTTCCTAAACAGGACTTCAGTAGGTTTCAACTGAGATTACCACAGTGGCTTCCCAACTGGTTTCCCTATCTCCAATCTTGTTCCCTTTAAACTAATCTCCATTTGGCAGTAAGAATGATCCTTTTAATATTAAGTAAATGTGATCTTTACTTACCATCTTAAAGCCCTTCAAGACCCTTACCAACTCTTCTTAACTTCCAAACTTATTAGCTTAATGTATGAAATCGTCACTATCTGGTCACTGCCTTCCCAGTTGTGAATTTCTTTGAGTACTTTGCCACTTCCACTGCCAGCTTGTTTCCAGGCCTTTGTACCTACTGTTCCTTTGACAGAGTGTCTTCTGCTCTTCACTGGCTGGCTCCTGAGGTTTCATGTCATTTTGCAGGAATGTCCTCCTTGACTGTCTAGGCCGGTTAGATTCTCTTCATGTACGTATGTACTTTGTACATATCCTGTCATGGCTCCTATCACACTGTTCTGTGGTTGTGTTTGTGGCTGTGATCATATCATTGTATATGTCCTCCACTATAAGCACTCTTAAGGGCAGATAGTAAGTGTCTTGTTCCCTTAACCTAGGTGCTTAGCATGTGGCACCCACTCTACACCAGGCAGGGTTCCTGCTCTCATTGAGCTAATAGTGTATTGTGGGGATGGAGGTGGGTTAGGGTGCAAGAAACAAAAGCAACAAAAGAAAAATAATTTTATTCTTATACATGATAGATCCTTAGTAATATTTTTGAAAGAATGTGTAAATTATTATTATTGTTTTGAGATGGGGTCTCACTCTGTAGTCCAGGCTGGAACGCAGTGGCATGATCATGGCTCACTATGTCCTTTATCTCCTGGGCTCAAGCAGTCCTCTCACCACAGCCTCCCAAGTAGCTGGGACTACAGGCACATGCCACTGTGCCAGGTTAATTTTTTTAAATGTATTTTTTGTAGAGATGGAGGTCTCACTGTTTTGCTCAGGCTGGTCTCAAACTCCTAGGCTCAAGCGATCATCTTGCCTTGGCTTCCCAAAGTGCTGGGATTACAGGTGTGAGCCACTGCGACTGGCCAAATTATTATTTTAAAGAGCCCTTCAAGTGCAGAAATCTTGAATGTTACTGACATTACTGACTTAAGTTCTTGAAAGTTCAGCTTTCTAAACTGAAAGCTAAGTTCAGCTATCTAAAAATGTAATATACCTTTCTGGACCTAGTGTTCTGTGGTAATTAGGTTATTGTTCAAACCCTTCAAATCTAATTCTTAGTTTTTTTGTTTTCTTATGTAGTTTCCCTGAACAGAACTGTGGTAATCAAGGACTAGTGGAGGTGTACTTTAGAAATAGCAGTGAGAATTAATGGTTAGCTTTGAAAATAGAAAAGTAAAATAATAGGTGTTCTATGGTATAATTGTTTTTTATTAAGAAAGGATATGTTTTATTCATTGTATTTTATAAAGTTCAAGCCATTGATGCTAAAATTAGAAAAAGTTTGTCATCAAATAGCTAAAATATTGATTTGATAGCCAACAGATGAAGTTACTTGAAATAAGCTATATTAGTCTATTCTCACACTGCTATAAGGAACTACCTGAGACTGGGTAATTTATGAAGAAAAGAGGTGTAATTGATTCACAGTCCTGCAGGCTGTGCAGGAAGCATGGCTGGGGAGGCCTCACAAAACTTACAGTAATGGTGGTGGAAGGTGAAGGTGGAGCAGGGCACATCTTCACATGGAGAAGTAGGAGAGAGAGTGGAGGGGAAGGTGCCACACACTTTTAAACAACCAGGTCTCATGTATCACCAGAACAGCAAGGGGAAATGCGCCCCATGATCCAATCACCTGCCACCAGGCCTCACCTCCAACACTGGAGATTATAATTCAACATGAGATTTGGGCAGGGACACAGACCCAAACTGTATCATAGGCAGAATATTTAGAGCACCTCTTGAAAAATGTGGTCACTTTATTAATTTTGAACTCTATATGAAAATATTTTATTAAATTTCTTGAAAAATCTTATCTACTCAGTATCAGTGAAGTGTTTTCATTATAAGCATCAGAAACATTAACTAACTTAAGTACAAAGGGCATTTGTTAGGATGATATGGGGTTGCTTAAAGGATAAACAGAAAAGATAAAGAACCAAACAAATGTCCACTGTTTCAGTTGGGCCAGAGGAATTACTTTTCTGCGAATGATTACTTTTCTGGGCAGGGCATTGGATTTCTTGAGTCTATACGCCTAAGAGTGCCTGCTGCGTGTTGTGTAGTTTCTGGTTTATTGTAATTGCTTAGACAACAACCCAATGCAGTGTTTTCTCTTGATGTCTTAATATTGTAAAAGTATCTAGGAATAAGGACATTTTCCTAAATAACAGTATCATTAATCACATCTAAGAAAATTAAAATTAACTCAGTAATGCTGTCTAATATACTCAGCATTTAAAGTCATCTGGATATTCTCCAAATGTTTTTTGTTGCCCAGGATCCAGTAAGGTTTCACTCATTGCATTTGCTTGTTTCTCATTAGTCTCATTAGTTCATGTAGGACAGTCTTCTTATTGCCTTTGTTTTTTATGACATTCACTTTATTTTACTTGAAGAGTCCAGGGTAGTTGTCTTGTAGAATGTCTCACATTTTGGATTTGTGTAATTATTTTTTCATGCTTAGATTTAGGTTAGACACTTTGGGCAAGAATACTACATGCTGCTTATTGCATCTCATCAGGATGTTTATGAAGCCAGGTTGTCCCACTACTGTTAATAATGAATTTGATCATTTAGTTAAGATGGTATCTGCCAAATCTGTCCATTGTGAAGGTACATTTCCCCCTTTGTAATTAATGATTTGTGGATGACACTCAAATTGTGTGACTTCTTTTTTCCAGTGGTTTTAGCATTCATCAGTAATGAATCAGTTATTACTGAACTTTTAATGAAAAGTTTCTAAAAAGTTTCCTTTCTAAATAGACATTTCTGATTAGGCACTAAAGAGAAGGTACTGGTAGTCACTTAAAAATCCTTCCATTTTTACTGTTTAGATGTCAGACCAGTTGTATTAGACAGCTGGGAAAGAGCTTTGCTTTGATTCCTCACAATTATTGTCATGATTCGTATTAATCTTTTACCTTTTCCAGAAATAATACAATTTTTTTATTAGAGAACTTGATTATTTTAAAACACATTAATGAAGGGTAACATAGGCCAGTGCAGTGCTGTACAATGGAAATATAGTACAAGCCAAATACATAATTTGAAATCTTCTAGATAGCACATTAGAAAAGTAAAAAACAGGTTGAACTAATTTTAATAATATATTTTATTTACATGAATATATCCAAAATATTTTAACACGTAATTAGTATAAAAATTGTTGATGAATATTCTACATTCTGTGTGTGTGCAATAAGTCTTCTAAATCTGGTGTGTATTTTATATTACTTAAAATCTTAATTTAGATGAGCTACATTAAGTTACCAATAACTACATGTCACACATCACTGTCCCTATTGGATAGTGCAGATATGGTGGTTACAATCTTGGGCACAAAGGAACCAGACTAACTTGATTCAGATCTTGCCTTCTTCACCAGCTGGCATCATGACTTTGGGCAAATTCTTCATTCTCTTTGTGGTGTAGTTTTCCCATTGTAAAATGGGGATAATAATAGTTCTTACTACTAGGGATGGGGAATTGAAATAATTAATGTAGGAAAAGCACTGAATCCATCTCTGGCACATAGTAAATGCTTAGTAAATGTTAACTCTTATCATTATGCCTTTAGACTTCGTCCAATAATTCCCATTCTGTCTTAGAAGTGTCCTTGTATTTTGTAAGGGAAGTTAGGACTAGATATTGGATCCCTTGACTTCTGTTTTATATCTTGCTGGTTTTACCCTCAGTCCCTTGCTTTACAAACTCTTTTGTAGTGACTTTCTAAACCAATAAGATGAAATAGATTTTTTAGGAGACTTTTAATTTCAAGCATTCTCGCCCCTTGTTACCATAATTTATTGAAATGAATGGGAAAACCCAGCACCTCTGCAAATGGCAGTGAGTAAATGAGAGATTTATCATTATGATTTTTTAAACCCACAAAAGATTGAGAGCTACAATATATTGGGTTGCTTTTTCTTTGTAATACAAATACATCTCTCCCACAGAAGCCTATGTAATTGTAGCAGTAAGGTAAAACAGATTCACATACAAAATTAAGGTGATCTCGAAGATTGATGAAGTGTAGTTGTATCTAGTTCAGAGTTATTTAGGATGGCTTCCAGATTTGTTGATTACCCAGTCTTATATTAGGTCATAATAACTGCAGAAGATAGAGAAGGGAGTATTAAATGAAGTTTTGCAAAGGAGATGTCCTGTTTAAAAATAACTTGATGGTTTACTGTGATATAACATTTGGTACCTAGAATACTAGTATCATTGCCCATCATAGAAAAATAAAACATCATTAAACAAAGAAGTATCAGTTAGTTGAAGCCTTTGTAAGCATTCACTGAATCAGCATTCCTAAAGACGGTGATGTTGCTAAAATGAAATGGTGGTAGTTGAATATTACAGTGTAAAACAATGCCATCATTCAGGGGATTGAATTGTACCTCCAAGTTAATTTTTACATTATATTATCATTGCAGCCATATTTTCATCAGTATAGCAAAAGTGGAACTGAAAAATACTCATTTCAGAAATTTAAAAGACTTTGCAACTGTATTGGGTGAATGTGCATCAGTATTGGGTCTTACTCTTAGGAGAATCTTCTGGCCACCAGTATTAAAAAGTGGCTTATAAGATATTTCTAGGCTGAGTGCAGTGGCTCATGCCTGCATTCCCAGCACTTTGGGAGGCTAAGGCGGGAGGATGACTTGAAACCAGGAGTTTGAGACCAGCCTGGGCAACATAGTGAGGCCCGGTCTGTACCAAAAAGACAAACAACAACAACAAAACCCAAAAGCTTTCATGAACGTTCTGTAATTAATGTGAAACAATTCTTATATATTTCTCATCTAGCAGAATGAAAAATGACCAATTCAGATTTCCCCCACTTTTGAGCTAAAGTATAGCTAAATATGAGCTAAATATTGCTAAGACTGTTTATTATTAATGGACTTTTCCTGAGAATTGTTTTGGAGAATTTCCAAGTAACTGGTTAGAACATTAATGGTACTGTTTGCAGGTTATCACATTGCCCCTTGTCTTCTTGCACATCATGAAGAAATTATATAAAATATTAACTTTAGTTATTTATGGTACTTTAAGAAGTTACATAAAACATTTTTACAAAGGACAGACTTCAAGTCATCTTGAGATCAAATTTTGGAGACTAAGGCTGATCTTAGAAAAAGCAATGGAGATTTGATGTTATCCACAGTCATTAAGTACCACTAATACTTAATTCCATCTTGGCCCAGGCACCTTTCCTACCTATAGGACACTGAAAAAGGATAAAACAAAACAACAAACAAAAACCAAGGTGCAAATAGCCATGGCAAGACGGGTCATTTTAATACTCTCTAATAGTCTAGCCTGCTCATGGGAAGATAGACCTTAGAAAAGAGGAAAAAGCAAACAGGTAATTGCTGTGAAGATTACACATAGCGTAGAAGGATAGAGGACTAGGATCTCTTCAGAAATAGTTGTTAGAAAAGGCCTCTGTAGAAGGGACAGTTTGGTTAAAACATGAAGGAAGAAGCTAGCCATGCGACAGAGAGTGGGTGCAGGGCAAGTGTTCCAGGCAGAGGGGATGGCACATGCGGAGGCCCCAGCGTGAGAAAGGACATGGCTTGTTCAAGAGACTGAATAATGTGGCTTATTCACAGCCCATTGAGAGAAGTGAGAGGAAGTGTGATAGGAGATTAGGTTGGAGAGAGGCAGGAACCAGATCCTGTAGGCAGGCCATGGTAATGAATTTGGGTTTTATTTTAGCTGTACTGGGGAGTTCTTTAAAGATTAGGGAAGAAAGATGATCAAACTTGGTTTTAAGATCACTTAATATTATTTTACACATAACAGTTGTCAAAATATGCGTAGAAGTACAGTCCATATTATTTTATACATAACAATTTCTAAAATGTGATTGTGAAAACTAAGGTCCTAGACTGTTAGCGATTTTGGGGGAGATATTATAGGTTTTTGAACTGTGAATAGTTAACTATTTATTGAGGACGTGTTATCTGCCAAGCAGTGAGGAATTTTATACAAATTCTCTCTCATCTTCACAGAAATTTCCTTGAAAGGAGGCATAATTTTTCCTGTTTGATGGGGGAGAAAATGTTAGATACAGAGAGAAATTAAGCAACTAGCACACAAGGGCTAGGATTCAAAAATATGTCTGCCTTACTTTACTGTCCCATAGCTTTTTTTAGTGTCTTTTTGCAGGGAGGAAGATGGAGGGGAGAAGAACAAGGCTGAAAATTGAAGAAAAGGAAAGCACTCTTATAAATTTTTGTGGAATAAAGGAATTTAGATTTTTTTTTTTATTTGGGGGAGTGGTTGGGAAGGTAGTGGCTGTAAATTAGAACAGTGTATCAAGGTACATTACCCTATAGAAATTGAATCACCCTAGAATTTCCCTATAGGACATTATGATCCTGAACAAGAATTTTAGATCTAGCTTTGATTAGACATTGACATCCAGTGTTTTTATGGTATAGTTGTATGCCGTGAAGTTTTAAAAGCATATATGTTTATCAGACAATTAAAATGATCTGTATAATATTAACAATTAATTGCATGTTTTCCCCAGGAGAGGGGTTCTGTAAAGTTGAAATATAGGGAAGATGATGTGTCTGAGGTAGATCAGTCTTTGGAGAAATCAGCTGTGCAGGGCAGAGAGAGACTGAACTCTGGAACCAGGAGCACTAACTGTTACGTAGCAAAGCAGGGTGGAAAATGTTTGTTAACGCTTAAGTGTTGCCTGCTCTTAGTTAATAACATGAATGTTGTTGAGATCTTTGAATGTTAAATTATTTTAATTTTCTAATTTTCTAAGGTAGTTGAGAATTTGAAGCAAGATAGTCTGAACCGCATAGTGATAGTGGACACTAAAGAATCAAGATGGATGAAATGTAGGATTTGGAGACTGACGAGAAGGGATGGGATGGTTGAAAGAAACATTAACAAGTAGTAAAAAAAGAAAAATAGGAAGTCCTTTGACAGTAGTGTCTTAGCTTATGATAATAAAGTGATACTTTTCTTACAATGAACATTATACAGAATGCTTGCATTTGTAGGTATATAAAAATGCTACTTATCCTTCTGCCCTGAGTTTCTGCTACTACTAAACTTTGAACCTCTTTTGGCAATAAGACAGGTTTCATTTTACTTCTGCAAGTATTCAGATACCATATGTTAATGTTTTACTCTGGGTACAATAAAGTTTAGAATTATTACTGGTCACACACAATTAAGACATGCACCGAGGGATATGATTTGTTGATGTTGTTGGGAGTTACAACAGAAAGGAGTTCCCTGTGGATATTTTCTTTCTGTAAGATGGAATTCTATCAAGAAGTGTGAAGTATTCTATCAGAATGTGAGGAATAGTCTATCAAGAAGTGAGAGCTATTCCATTAAGACGTGAGAAATTTGAAGAGACTTGGGAATGTAGAAGATATTAGATAGGATCATTAAACCTATTTCAAAATGGAATCCAGTGACTCTGGCCATACTAAACCAAAATTAAGCAAATATAATTGGCTGGGAGTCAGGTCCCTGGGGAGAAGTATAAGCCAGTTTTTATACAAAGTCAGCTAAGGAGTGAGTGTTTGATAACCCTTTTATTGTAACAAAAAGTGGGTAAAGAAAATGATGATAGATCTTTTAGAAAATAATCTCCTGTTCCAAGCAAAGGATTGTTCTCCACCACCACCAACAAAATTTTTGTTACTGAAAAAAAAGATAAGAAGAATGTGTATGCAATTGTTCATATATATACATATATAAAAGTAGCAAACAGAAATACACGGAGTAAAAAGTGTTCTCCCTGTACGCTCTCTGCTCTCTTTTGGCAGCTCAAACCCACTACTCTCCCCAGGGAGAAAACAATGTTAACTGTTCAGTGTTTGTTATTCTAGTCTTTTCCCTTTGTATTTGCATTTAAATATGGGCACACAAGCATCTGTACATGTGTACATATTTTAATATCAGAAGAGTCATACTCGACATATTTTGAACGTACATTTTTTATTATTTATGTATCTTGACAATCTTTTAATCTCAGCATACAAATGTACCCCAGACTTTTCATAATGTTCCTCTCCTGTGCAGACGATATGTGTGTATGAATTTATGAATGAAGATGGCTATATTTCTGCTTAAGTAATACTATTTTTATGTAAAATATTTAGACAATACCAAAGGTGAAAGAAAAAATTAAAAATCAACTGAAATCCTTGAGATAATCCTTATTTTGGCGACCATTTAAAAAATGTTTTTCTTTAGCTATTTACACGAGTGTGAACATACATCACACCTGCCACATATAAAGGTATAATATTTATTTATTTATTTATTTAGAGACAAGGTTTTCTTTGGTCATCCAGACTAGGTCTCCCTCAGTCACCCAGACTGGAGTGTAGTGGTGTAATCTTGGCTCACTGCATCCTCTTCCTCCCGTGCTCCAGTGATCCTCCCACCTCAGCCTCCCAAGTAGCTGGGACTACTGGTACAGGTCACCACTCCTGGCTAATTTTTGTCTTGTTTTGTTTTGTTTTTTGGTAGAGATGGGGTTTAGACATGTTGTCCAGACTGGTCTTGAACTCCTGGGCTCAAGCAATCCGCCTGCCTTGGCTCCCCAAAGTGCTGGGATTACAAGGGTGAGCCACAGCACCCAGCCAATGTAGTATTTATAAGTGGATTATACATACAAGATGATTTTTGTCATGGAACTATTTTATCTGCTTGGGGATTTTTATCTTTCCTCTACTCCCTTTCTCCTATCTTTCCTCTCCCAGTAACCAGTAGTAACAACCTGGTGTACATTTTTCCTACCTTTCTCAATGCCCATATAATCATATACATATGAAATTATATAATTTACACTCATCTTCATTATTCATTTTTCACAGAACTGATTCTACATCAACTGAAATGTAGCCCACTCATTTTTTTTTTGCTGGATAATATTCTAAGGCAAGGATCAGCAAACTGCAATAAACGGATCAAATCCATCCAGCCACCTATTTGTATAAATAAAGTTTTGTTGGAACATAGCTTCACCCATTTTTGTATTGAGCAGTTTAACCTTTTAAATTCTTTACCTGTTATATGTGACACAATTTTCCCCCCAATCCATTGTCTTTTGCTTTGTTATGGTATTTTGCCATAAAAAATTTTTTTTTAATGCAATAAAGTAAAACATGCCTCTTCTTTTCTAGCTTTTAGTTTCCTATTTTGATTTAAAAGGCTGCCTAACTCCAGGATTATCCTTGTATTTTCCTAAAATTTCTTCTAAGGTTTTTATCACTTGCATTTTTTATAGGCCTGGAATACATTTTTATGTCTATATTGAGTGGCATTGTAGTATAACGTAGTATAAGATCACAGATAATGAACAAATAGCTAACAATAATGTAGTATAAGATCACAGACCCTGGTTCTGTGATTTACTACCTGTTCGACCTTTGACAAGGTCCTTAACATTTATATGTTGTTTTCCTCTCTAAAATGGGGCTGATTCTTGTACCTGTTTTGTAAGATGATAGTGAAGCTTAAATGAGTGGTTATTATGTAGAAAATATTTCGAACATTATCTGGTACATAGAAACATGTGCTTTTACTGTTATTACATGGTGTGAGTAGGCATCTCATTTTTTTCCCATATGGATAACCAGTTGTCCTAGTAACATTTATTGAGTAGTTAGTTCATCCTTTTCCTCAATCGATTTAAAATGTCATCTCTACTACATGTTAAGTTTCCAAATATATATAGCTCTGTTTGGGGGCTTTATAGCCTGTTATGTGTCTTTATCCTCTGCTCCAGAGCCACAGTGGCTTAGTTACTATAGCTTTATACATACTTGTAACTAACAAGTGGAGTCCCTTTACTTTGTTTTGCAGAATTACTTTGGCTCTTACTGGCTTTTTTTTTTTGCTCTTCCATATAGTTTTGTAAACACTCATCAGAATTTACAAAAACTGTTTGTTATTAAGTCTTAGTGTGGAAAGGAGTGATACTAAGTGGCCATTATTAGAATGGAACCTGCAGTCTCTTATTAATACTTTAACCATTGGAAGTTTTTAGAAGTTATCTGGTTATGTAATCTAAAGATTAGTGCCATCCACCATGCTAGGTGGGTACTGGGAATATAGCAAATGAAAACTGTACAAAGATAGATCATAAGCCTGCATTTCCCAAACTATACCCTGAGATACCCAAAGGAACCTCAGAGAACTCCCAGGGTCATTTCAAACTTCTAGGGAAACATGGCCACATCTGTTGGACATTATGCGAACTTCTAGCTCAAGGTAGTTCACAGTTTCAACAGCTGATTGTGCCATCTTCATTTTGTACCTGTGATATCTTTGTGAAGTTGAGCTTTTAGTGGTTACTGTTTTAAAAAGCAAGTACTATGCAAAAATCAGTGTGGAACAGGAAATGTGGGTGGCAGTATTTAGTTGCACAGCATCTAAGTTTTAGAAGTTGTGCAGGGCCCTGTAGGTGAAAACATCCCATAGTAACTAATTGTGGTTATTTTAAAATGAAATATATATATATATTTTTCAGTTTGCATGTATTATTTTTTCAAAAAGGTGTTAATTTGTTGGGACATAGATACTCATTTTGTTTGAACCTAACTGTTAAAAGAAATAGGATGGTTAGCTATCTCTTTTGACCTATGGAATTCTTGAAAGAAATTATAGAGAAAATAAGGGTACCAGGAGCCAAGCAAGTTTGGGAACCTCTCTACTTTAACTTAAAGTTATTACAAATATTCAAAGATTAAGAACATTTGGAGTGCTCTGTAGGTAGCGCATACACCATGCTTGCTTAGAACAGGCAAAACTAACATTGCCTGGGCACCTGGGACAGACAGCATTTCTGAGCAAATGATATTTAAGCTGAGCTTGAAGGAAGACTGAGAACTGACTGAAAAGGAGTGGTGGTGGGAATAGCTTGTGTGAAGAGGCGGGAGCGGTGGGGAACTGACTGGGAGAGCAATGCAGGGGAGCTGGAAATAGGCAGAAGCTAGATCAGGTGGTGACTGACGTGGCAGTCGACTAAAGGAGTTTCTTCAGGTTTCTTTGTAAAAGGCAACGGCAAGCCTTTGAGGGGTTTTAAGTGAAGAGAGGATATCTTAGGTCACTGCCCTCCTACTGAGAGAACAAAATACAAAACGATATACAGAAATATTTAAGTAACTTTTTGTAAAAATTTTGAAGTGCCTTGATTTTGAAAGGCATTTGTAAGCTTTCCTTTGAGTGTAATTCACTCTTACTTTTTCAAACACATATACTTTTTTTCGTTGTTCAACCTGGCTCAATTTTAAAAATGAAATAAAAAGCAAGACAGTGTTAAACTGCGAAACATTTAAATTGTAATTTTGGGGGTATTTTTTCAAATGGCAAAAATTGTGTTGTAATTTTGAAATAGAATGTATTTTATTATCAGTAATACAATATTTCAGATTTTTAATTTGTGTATTTTAACCACCAATCTAACACATTTATCTTTTAAGTTTCTGAGTTAAGTTTGGGGGGTATAATAGAGATTTAATAGTTACATAGTAAAGATATAAAGGTAATTTCTCTTAGTTTAGCTATCTTTTTATACTTTTTATTTATGTGTTTATTCTACTATGATTCCAGTAAACTAATGCAACATAAACATTTTGATAGTAATAAGAAACTAATTGCAGGTTACTTTTTAAAAATTTCTAAGCTTATTTTCAGGAATTTTAAGACTTGAAAAATAAATTTCATGGTCATTAAATGGGCATAGAGACCTGAAACACTTTTTTTTTTTGAGACGGAGTCTGGCTCTTGCCAGGCTATAGTGCAATGGTGTAATCTCGGCTCACTGCAACCTCCACCTCCCAGGTTCAAGTGATTTTCCCGCCTCAGCCTCCCAACTAGCTGGGACTACAGGCATGTGCCACCATGCCTGGCTAATTTTTGTATTTTTAGTAGAGATGGGGTTTCACCATGTTGGCCAGGCTGGTCTCGAACTGCTGACCTCATGATCCACCCACCTTGGCCTCCCAAAGTGCTGGGATTACAGGCGTGAGCCACCGTGCCCAGCCACCTCTTTTCTAATACCTGCTTGTGGTGTTTGGGAAAGTGTAATTAGTCTGATTAGAATTAGAATTTGTTTATCATTGAAGTATTGGAAAACTTTTAAAACAATTGAATGTTATTTCTTTTCCTCTGCCAGTGTGTTTTATATTTCTTTAGAGGTGTTTGTTCATTATATAATATAGAATTTATGTCATCCTTAAATTCATAATGCAAATAAATTATAAAGAAGTGTGTAGATATATTCGAAAAACAGTCTTAGTTTCATTTGCTGGATTGGGTTTCTCTGATTTTTCACATGAAGAAAGCTGATGACAACTTGAGTTGTTTACAAGGGAATTGGTCAGAAGTTTTCTTGAAGAAAAGTGATAAAGCTTTAAGTTGGAAAGCTTTCCAACAGGCTGAGAGTATAAGGTTTATAACAAATATTTTTCTTTAAATTTTGTTCTTCCCATGTTCAAAGAACTGACAGGGACTTAGAGAAAGTAAGCTAATTCCTTCCGTGCTCTTTACACTAAAATGAATTCTAGATGAAGATTAAATGTAGAAAATCACAAGAGTAATAGAACAAAGCAAGGCTGAAATTTTTTATGATCTTGGGATAAAAAAGACCTAAGTATAACTATGTTTAGTTTTATGTAGCTTAAAATTTATTCTTATAACAAATATTATAAAGTCAAATGGAAAAAAGAATATTTGTAAAATATGATAGCAGATTGCTTTTTAAGTCAGTCGGATGAATAAATTCTCTAGAAAATGGACAAAGTGTGTGTATAGTAAATTTATGAAAAAAATACAAATAACTGATAAACATAAAAAGATACCTCTTAAGAATCATTTTAATTTTCTGCCTCTTTTATGTTCAACAGAGAATTTCACTTTGAATGCAGTAACTTAAAGTATTTATAAATCTGATTCTAGGGTTTGAAATAAAACTTTTATTAGATACTCATGTCATTTAACAAGGCTTGTTTATCTCAGGTAGAAGGTTTTTTTTTCCCCTAATGTTCTTCTAAATGGCTCAAAGTTTGGTTTCCTACTTGAAAGTAAATCTTATTTATTAGACATTTGTAGTGAGATGACTATATTTATGTGTCACATTCAAAGAACAACAGTTAATAATTTTTGGACTTGTTAGTAATATATTTTCTGACAAATAATAGAAGAGAGATTTGCTTAACTTTGTTCTTTTTCTTTATTTTTGTAGGAGCCAGCATTCGAACGTTCACTCCATTTTATTTTCTGGTGGAGCCGGTGGATACACTCTCAGTTAGAGGCTCTTCTGTTATATTAAACTGTTCAGCATATTCTGAGCCTTCTCCAAAAATTGAATGGAAAAAAGATGGAACTTTTTTAAACTTAGTATCAGATGATCGACGCCAGCTTCTCCCGGATGGATCTTTATTTATCAGCAATGTGGTGCATTCCAAACACAATAAACCTGATGAAGGTTATTATCAGTGTGTGGCCACTGTTGAGAGTCTTGGAACTATTATCAGTAGAACAGCGAAGCTCATAGTAGCAGGTAAGTTTTAAGTGATTTTTTTTTTTGCATTTTCAAATATTTATAACATACATCTTGATAAAAGCACTGTTCTCTTGGAGTTTTCTTTTAATTAGTAGCAACAAATATACTCATTTAACAGATATCAATTGTGCATATACTCTGCGTATGGGACCTTGCTGTAGGGCTTGCTCAGTGCCGTAGAGAATAAACTGTAGCGTGTTTCCACTTGTCTGATGGCTTAATATTGCTATCAGAAGTACTGAGCAGTTCTTTTCTCCTTTTAAACTTGGAAGTGGCAGAGGAAGTGGTATAGGAAAATTAAATCACTTTGACGGCCAACTTCTATCTTACCCAGCATAACCATTTAGTATGGTTTTGTAAAACTTGCAGTAAAGTCAGAATCCTGGTTCCTTGATGCCTTAACCAAGGAAATGACATTCAATTGGATTAATTGTTTTAAAATCTACAGAGTGTATATTAAGGTGGAGAGCAGAAAGTTATAAAGAGAGGAACTTTCCCTCCTTTTCAGAGTATCCTTATTTGAAGAATGATGGAAAGTGTAAGAAAAATTAGGGATCTTGAAGAGTAAGATGTGGTTTCTAAGTAAGTCATGTCTGTTTTGTAGTAGATACTAGCGTTCCTGAGATAGTGTTTCTTTACTTGAGTACCAGATGAAATAGTTTTTGTGAAGGGTCATGTTATACAAAAATGTTATCTTTAAGTCCTGTATTTACTCTCACCTTGGTGAAACGCCCACGTGTGAGACAGAACCTCAGAGACAGTAGTCTCCCATCTCATTCCTACTCCAGGATTATGGTTTCCCATCTCATGCTCACTCCAGAGTATATTTGCTTATACATTCAGAGCATAATGGCTGGTTTTTTTCCTCTTTGGGGACAAATACTCAAAGTTGAATTTGGGTGTGACAAAGTTTCTGTAATTATTCCATAATCATAGATTGAGGATGGAAAAATAAAAGAAGAAAAAAATGGGTCCTTTTGCCAATTTCCCTTTTCTTTCCTTCCTTCTCTCCCTCCTTCCCTTCTACCCTCCCTTCCTTGCTTCCTTCTTTCCTCTTTTTATTTTTCTTCCTTTTCTTTTCTTTCTTCTCTCTCCCTTAAAAAATAATCTATTTGCCAGGCTTTCTCCAACATGTTTCATAAATAAATTAGTATAATGACTGCCTCTACAACGTCACTTAGGTCAGTGTCTGTTTATAATTTAAGTTCTTAAATATCTCTTATCTGGGCTTTATTCATGGGCTCCTTCCTCTCGGCTGTCCCCCCATATACTATCATCAAATCCAGTGAATTCTGCTTAGTAATTTCTCTGTACTTAATCCACTTTCTCCTTCCCGAGGCTACTCCCAGTCTTCCCTCACCACAGCCTTATAAGCATCTGCCTGCTACCTTATTCTTCCCCTCCTCCAGTCCAGTCTCCACCCTGTCTAGAGTACTCTTTCTCACCCTTCAGTGATCCTCCAGTAACACCATCAAGGTAACATCTAACTCTTAAATAACAGGCCTGTTGATTCCTTTTATGAGCTGTCCTCCACTTCTCCAACCTTATTTCTTAACATTTCACCCTGCCTCTGTCCCCACCCCCGTCCCCTACATCCACCATCACCCTCACCACAGTTTTAAGCACTGGCAGTACTGTTTTGTTTCCTTTCATTTATTCTCTGCCTTCCAGCCTTTGCTCATGGCATCCCCACTGCCTGTTAATTTTATCCTCCACCTTTTCCTCACTTTCTTCTCCTCTGCTAAGTTTGTCCATTCTTCCTCTTTGATACCTTCAGGAAGCATTTTTTTGACCCAGTATCTAAGCAAGCAGCACCGTAGAAGGTGATACATTCTGTGATGACTGCATACAGGGTTCTGTAGGAAAGTTATTTAAACCACTCTTGGCCCTAGGTATCAGGAGTAAATAGTGCCCAAGCTAAGGGATTAAATAAAAGTTCTTTTAAATAGTTGCATGGTATACATTGTCTAGATATACATACTGTGATTTATTTAAAGATTTCTTTATTGATGAACAATTAAATGGATTAAAATTGTTGGATGTTATAGGCAATACTATAGTGAACTGCCTTCTGCAAATCTTTATTTCTGTAAAACAGATTACTGGAATTGGGATTGCTGGATCATAGGATACACTGTGTGTGTGTGTGTGTGCGCGCAATTAAAAGGTACTAGTTTGTCAGTTCCTCAAAATGTTAACCATAGTGTTACCATATGACCTAGCAGTTCCACTTGTAGGTGTCCTGGGGTAGTTATGGGTTATGCAGAGTGACTGCAAGTGAGTACAAGATTTCTTCCCGGAATGATGAAAAGGTTCTGAAATTAGATTATGGTGATGATTACACAACTTTGTTCATATACTAAAAAATATTAAATTATGTACTTTAGATAGTGAACTTTATGGTATATAAATTACATCTCAATAAAACCTAAAAAAATTCTGCCAAATTGCCAATCTAAAAGACTTAGAGTTTTTTGGTTGCAAGCAGTAGAAACTGATTGTAGCCAAGTCAAGCAAGAAGGGAAGTTTTTGAAAGAACATTAAATAGGTAACTCATAGAATTAAGTATGAGAGGTCTTTTTCTCTGAGCTGTCTCATTTCTCCACAACCAAAATTTCTGTTTTTCTGCCTGGGCAGTATGCTGGCTGTGAGTATTTTGTGCCCAGAGGTGGGGTAATAGGGTGTTCTAAATACAGACATTGTTAATATCTTCTTGTCAACTCCGGGTCTTAACTCCCACTCTCCTTTTTCTCCTGCAGTTCTCCAGAGGCAGCAGGACAACCGGCTTCCTTCTTGGGAGCGCAGGAAGCTGCAGCGTTCCCTGCCTTGTTATGTCAGTTACTAGTCCTCCATCTGCTTTCCCTACTCAGAAATTTTTTGAAATCTCTTGTCTGCCAATTCTCCATATGTTTTTGTGAGCTTACATTTTAAAAATTATTAATTTTCATGAGACCTCAGGAGGAAGAATTTTTTGACTCTTTAAAAATACAACTGAGCTGGGCGCAGTGGCTTACGCCTATAATCCCAGCACTATAGGAGGCCAAGACGGGCGGATCACCTGAGGTCAGGAGTTTGAGACCAGCCTGACCAACATGGTGAAACCCCATCTCTACTAAAAATACAAAAATTAGCCAGTATGGTGGTGCCCGCCTGTAATCCCAGCTACTTGGGAGGCTGAGGCAGGAGAATTGTTTGAACCCTGGAGGCAGATGTTGCAGTGAGCCAAGATTGTGCCACTGCACTCCAGCATGGGTGACAGAGTGAGACTCTGTCTCATAAAAAAAATTAATTAATTAATTTAATTTAATTTAATTTAATTAAAATAGAACCATATTTTGGTTTTATTGATTAAGATTTCCTCCTTTCCCCAACTTGATCAAATTCTGTGTTTATCTTTGTTAATTCTTATCTTCTGATATTCTGGTTTCTTAAAAGTAGATTTTTGGTCAAATCTGGGGAGCTCAAGGTAAAAAAGCAGATTTTTTAGATAATTTTATCTTTATTTTTTTCCTTCAAAAATCCCCTTGAAATAAAAAAAAAATAAGAAAAAGAAAAAGTTTATTGCAGGGCTGTAAAACCTGTGTGATTTATGTTTGGACTAATTCACCATCATAAAACTAGAAAACCTGTAATCATTTCTCATGATTTGTTTGCTCTTCCTTAAAGAAACATATTGTTTTATTCTGAGCATAGCAATCACTTTTTAGATATTATAATAGCTAGTTAAGTGTTTATGCAATATACTATATATAAATTATTTATTTTAAGTACTTTTTTTTTTTTTAACAATCCTGTGAGGCCTGTTATTCTCATTTTACTTGTGAAGAAACTGAGTCTTAGGGAGTGGTTAAATAACTTGCCAACTTCAGACACCCATGAAGTGGTGGTGTTGGGATTCAGATTCAGATATGTGACTTGAAAACTGATGCTCTTAGCTGCTACATCCTGTGGCGTCTATATTTATGACGACATTTTTGGTTCACATTTTATTTTGAGATCATTTTAAACGTAGGGAGTAGGTGCAAGAATAGAACCAAGAAATCTCATATACCTTCACCTAGATTACCTGATTGTTAACATCTTATCGTATCTGCCTTAACCCCCCAAAAATGCATACATCCAAAGACATATTTTTTCGGAGCCAGTAAGAGTAAATTGCAGACAGGTTTTCCTGTAACTGCCACCTAAATACCTACGTGTATATTTCTTTGAAACAAGGACATTCTCCTAGATAACCACAGATGTCCATCAAAATTAGGAAATTAACCTTAATACAATACTACTGTTTAATTTAGATTTCACTGATTATCTCAATAATGTTCTTTATAGTAAAAACCAAAAGCAGAGTACCCGCCTGTCCTCCTCCCACACATACTCTTATTTCTGGCCCAAGATTACATATTTCACTTGGTGGCTGTGTCCTTTAAAACTCTTTAGATATAACTTGGTTTTTCCTTGCCTCATTTTGAGTTTGTTTGATTTCTCCCTGAATAGATTCAGATTCCTCATTTTTGGGAGAAATACCACAGAAGTAATGCTGTGTTCTCAGTGCATCATGCCAAGAAGCATGTGATATTTTGTTCTGTTGCTGGTGATGTTAACTTTTACTACTTAAGATGGTCTGTGCAGTGTTTCTCCATTGTAAAGCTTGGTACTTTTGTTAGTTAATAATGAGTATTTTGGGAAGAGATACTTTGATACTCTGTAAATATACTGTTCCTCATGACATTTTTGTTTACTAGTTTTGGTGTCCATTGAGGATTCATACGTGAATCAGTTATTACTATCAAATGGTGATTTTTCTAGTTCCATCATTTCTATAAGGCAAAGCTTTTCCTTTTCTTCCACTTATTTGTTTATATTTGCATGAACCGACAGATTCTTGTCTTATTCAGTGGGTTATAATGCATGTTAATACCATTATCCCAGATTTAATCAGAGGAAGCTCCCTTCAGTCTGACTTCTGTGCCCTTTTGATATGTCCACATTGTTCTTTGGACAGTTTTCTTACTTTACGTCGTAAGATGTACCAGGTTCATCTTGTGCTTTCTCTCCTTCTGCACTCTTAGAATTGGCCATTTCTCCAAGAAATTATTTAGAAAAGGTAGAGACACCATATGTACCATTGCTACTGAAGTAATATGGATGCTGCACCTTCTCTGTGGACAGGGCTAGGAAATATATAGGGGTGTGTGTGTGTGTGTATATATATATATATATATATATATATATATACACATTATATATATTATATATATGTATAGCAATGAATAAAGACTAGACAAAATGTGTACATGTTTCACACATACTTTTATATTTATATAGATATCATATATATTTTTATATCTATGATTATATAAAACCATGATGTTTACACTGATACCTCCATTCTAGACCAGTACCATAGGACTTATTCTACCCATCTCCTTTTCAATGTTTATACCTTGCTTCTCTAACTGTGAGGAATCTGATTCCAGTTATCCTTAATGCATTTACTTATTTGCCCAGTATCCCTGTATTTAGCTAATTTCCATGGACTTTCTTCTCAACCCTGGTTCTGCCATATGTTGTAGCCATGTGAGCTGACTTGCTCCTGGCTCCCAAGACAAAATTTTAAAGTAATATTTAAATAAATTTTATTTCTTCTCTTCCTTTATTGTCCAGGTCTTCCAAGATTTACCAGCCAACCAGAACCTTCCTCAGTTTATGCTGGGAACAATGCAATTCTGAATTGTGAAGTTAATGCAGATTTGGTCCCATTTGTGAGGTGGGAACAGAACAGACAACCCCTTCTTCTGGATGATAGAGTTATCAAACTTCCAAGTGGAATGCTGGTTATCAGCAATGCAACTGAAGGAGATGGCGGGCTTTATCGCTGCGTAGTGGAAAGTGGTGGGCCACCAAAGTATAGTGATGAAGTTGAATTGAAGGTTCTTCCAGGTATTAACTCATTATCAGGACTGATGGTTTTATGTTTATGAATGGGTAAACATTGTTCTGTTAGAATTTTTAAAAATAATGAATGTTGGCCGGGCGCAGTGGCTCACACCTGTAATCCCAGCACTTTGGGAGGTTGAAGCGGGTGGATCACCTGAGTTCCAGCCTGGCCAACATGGCGAAACCCCATCTCTACTAAAAATACAAAAATTAGCCAGACATGGTGGCAGGCGCTTATAACTCCAGCTACTCTGGAGGCTGAGGAAGGAGAATTACTTGAACCCGGGAGGTGGAGGGTGCAGTGAGCTGAGATTGTGCCATTGCACTCCAGCCTGGGCGATAGAGCAAGACTCCATCTCAAAAAAAAAAAAAAGAGGAATGTTAATATGCGGTATGACATTTTACTGTCAGCATAGGAAGTCTCAGTTTCTTACAGAAGTGAAAAGAAGAAAATGTGCCAGAAGATCCACTCTTTAGGGAATGCATTATTAAAAATTTATCAAGCAATAAAGTATATTCACTGTCTAATGGTATTCTTCTTGGTCAAAAAAATATTAGTGCTGTGTCTTTTGTCAAGCCTTCTCTCCAACAATAGGATATTTTTATTGTTAGGTCTTTTCACTTGTGCAAATCAGAGACCCATCCAGGCTAGTTCGTATAAGGGATGGGTTGGGTGGTAAGTGTTAACATGGTGGCTCTAGAGACAATGGCAGGCAAGAGTCCTTGGATCTTTATACTCCCCATTTTAGTGTAAATTCAGCTCCTATTTCAGTCTTTCTTCTTTTTGTGTGTCTTCTCAGTTCCTGCCCCTTCTGGTGTTCCTCATAATCAATTTTGTATATCTTTTCTCACTGTATAACTTCTGCTTACTCATAACTTCCTCCCAGTTGTAGCTCATCATAGCCCCTCTAGCCTTTTGGTGTTTCATGACTGTTTACCTTCTGTTCTCACTGCTAGGTGCCCCCTCCATATTTCTCATCTCAAATTTGAGTTTCTGAATATAATTGAACTATCCCTACATTATTTGGGAAGAGTTATATGTCTATTAAATAGGCTCATTTTTAATCTATGGACTGGTTCGCAAAGCAGGACTGTGAGCTACAACTCTTGAGGGTGTTCCTAATAGCCCTTCAACTCATAAATGTAGGTTCTTTTTTTGTCGTTATCCCTCGTCATTCCTGTCTCAGTATATTCTCAGCAAGGACAGTATCTTTTAAAGTGTGCGTTTGTGCGTGTGTGTGTGTGAGCGCCTGTGCACGCATATGCATATGTGTATGTGTCTTGAGACACGGTCTTGCTCTGTAACCCGGGCTAGAGTGCAGTGGTGCGATCTTGGTTCGCTGCAGCCTTGATCTCCTGGGCTCAAGTGTTCCTCCTACCTCAGCCTACGAGTAGCTGGGACAAACGGTACACACCACCACATCTGGCTAATTTTTTTGTATTTTTTTTAGAGATGGATTTTGCCATATTGCCCAAGTTGGCCTTGAACTCCTGGGCTCAAGTGATTCTCCTACCTTGGCCTCCCAAAGTGCTGGGCTTATAGGTATGGGCCACAGTGGCCAGCGTGAGATGTATATTATTAGATCTTGTCACACCTTTGCTCAAAACTCCCTAATGGTTTTCCATGTCATTCAGAGTTAAAGTTCTGGGCTGTAAAGATTTATAATCTTAATACCACTTCCTTCCTTTCTCTCCCCTATCCCATCTCCTACTCTTTTCTCCCTCACTCGAAGATTGTGATCACTTTATGTTTCTAGAACAATCCAGATATGCTCTTGGCCATTTTCTCTTTCTGGAATCCTCTTTCCTCAGATACCTGCCTGGGTCACTGTCTTACCTCTCTGCTCAAATATCGCTTTATCAGTGAAGCCTTCCTTGAACACTCTGTTTAAAACAACAATCTTTGATTTCCACCCCCAGTGTTTTCTCCTTCTACCTTCATTTTACTTCAGAACATATTACCATCTGACATGTTCTATCTTACTTGTCTCTCTCCCTCATTAGTATGTAAGCTCAACCAGAGCAGGGAATTTTTGTCTGCTGCCAAAAACACTTTCTGGCACATAGAAGCCAGTAATATTGGCTATGAATTTGTTTAATTGATTCTATCAAAATTCAATTAAATATACCTAAGTAATTCAAGTTGAATTAAAAAAAAGAACTATTGCCATATACCAATATTATTCAGTCTGCTTGCTCACTTGCTTTTACATGACAGAGGTAATACTTCTCAACACCTAGGGTAGCATTTAAGCAAATCCTCAAAATCTGAATCCAAGAAAACAAGATTTGTAGTGTCAAAAGGTGAGATCACTACTCAACATCTGAAACGAAAACATAATGTGGAATGTTTTGCTTACTTAAGTAAGGGAGAGTTGTGCTTGTCAAACATAGTTTTCTTGAGCAAAGCTAAGTCCTTATCTCCTATAGAGTTTTTCAGAAGACATTGTTTTGGGTTGTACTGGTTAAGAGACAGAGGTGGATTAATGTCAGTCATAGAAATATGTTTTGTGGTTGATTACGGAGGTGGGAGCAAGTTAATGTCAGCCTTAAAAGTCAGTGACTCCACCATTAGTTGGCTGACTTTTAAAGCCTGGGCTTATCACTGATTGGCTTTCAAAGCCACATTCACCCTTGTGAGTTGTCACTAATCGATTAGGCAATGTTTCCTTGTTACCATGGCTACAAGACTGTCATTAATTGGTTAGACAAGTTTAAAGCTAGTCCTGGAGGTTGTTATCATGGCTGTAGAACATCTTTTCCAAAGCATATGGGCACAAGAGTCACATCTCTTCTGCCTGAGACCTTTTTGTCAAAACTCAATATTAAGTTAATATTACCTTATTGAGGAGAGAACTCTGTCTTCTGCCCACAAGAGTGTGGCCTTTTCATGTATTCACAAGAGGACAACTCTATAAAGTGAACACACATTAATTCTAATGTCTGAATAAGAAATACAAAAATATAGTGGTAGCTAGATTGTTGCTCAGTTACAAAATCAAGGGACTGACAGACTGAGCAAGTTAAAGAGACGAAACTCAGAAAGCTTTTCAGAAATAACACACAGATACAGGGAAGGAAAGGAAACCTCTTATCCCTGTGAGTAAGGAGAATGCCATGGGTCCTGAGCTTGCTCAGTCTCCACTGTTTGTACACATGGCTTTTATCTTATCTTTCAATGTGAATGGGATTCATGTCAAATATCTCTCGATTGATTGACAAGTACGTACCCTGAAGGCAGGAGCAATAAGTTATACATCCTTAAGACCCCTAAAGAGCCTAGCACAATGCTTTGCACATAGAATTTATTTGAGAAGTGTTTGCTAATTTGAATGGAAATTTTTGTATCACTTTTGCTTAAAATATTTTGTCATATAAAGCCACACAGACTGAATAAGAACCAGTCATTCCTCAAGATTAAAGCAGTAAAGTGCTTTGTCGTGTGTGTATGTGGTAATGATGGGGTCTTGCTATATTGCCTACGCTGGTCTCAAACTCCTGGGCTCAAGCAGTCCTCCCTCCTCGGCCTCCCAAAGTATCGGGATTATGGGTGTGAGCCACCATGTCCAGCCTGTTTTGTCCTTTAATTATTGTCTTTGTTAATTTTTTTTTTTTTTAGATCCTGAGGTGATATCAGACTTGGTATTTTTGAAACAGCCTTCTCCCTTAGTCAGAGTCATTGGTCAGGATGTAGTGTTGCCATGTGTTGCTTCAGGACTTCCTACTCCAACCATTAAATGGATGAAAAATGAGGAGGCACTTGACACAGAAAGGTAAGTGTTGTCTGCCTAAAAGCCTTCTTCAGCCTTAGCTTGAGACTTTGTCATATCCCATTTGGGACTATTGACTAATTTAAAAAGATTATCAACTTTATTTAAACACATCATAATGCTCATATGTCATCCTTCAAATATGTTCATATGATATATATGATGAGGATATTTAAAGAAAAAGATACTTTCAAAATATTAAGAGATAATTATTCCCTTTGTTCCTGTTGAAGCCGCAGTGTACTCAGCTTAAGTCTTCAGGATTTTCTTCCCTAAATTGTTGCAAGAGCTTTGGTCCTGAGTAGCCTGAGTCTTCTCACACATTCTCATATGCATTTTTTTGATAGTAGTTTTTCCACTGCACAATCAGTATGAGAAACTGGGCTGGCCACAGTGGCTCACACCTGTAATCCCAGCACTTCGGGACGCTGAGGTGGGCAGATCACGAGGTCAGGAGATCGAGACCATCCTGGCTAACACGGTGAAACCCCGTCTCTACTAAAAATACAAAAAATTAGCTGGGCGTTGTGGCATGTGCCTGTAGTCCCAGCTACTCGGGAGGCTGAGGCAGAAGAATCGCTTTAACCCAGGAGGCGAAGGTTGCAGTGACCTGAGATCGCGTCACTGCACTCTAGCCTGGGCGAGAGACCTAGACGCCGTCTCAAAAAAAAAAAAAAGAAACTGTATTCCTCATCCTGTTGTTTTTGCCTTTTGAATCCTATCAGAAATCACAAATTCTTCATCTTTCACAAAATACCAACCACTTTACTGTCCTTCCTATCTCCTCTCATTACTTCCTTATGCAGTGGGTGCTTTTCTTAGGTGTGTTCTCATAAGAGATGTGGGGTGGTGGTAGGTAGGTATGTTTTTGCTTCCAAAATAATGCTGTCTTGTGCACTGTAGGATGTTTACTGGCATCCCTGCCTTCTACCCATAGGTGGCAGTAGCACTTCCGCATTGTGACAACCAAAAATGTCCCTGGATACTGTGAGATGGTCCTTGGGAAGCAAAATTGCCCCCAGTTGAGGACCATTGTTCTACAGCAGTGCTGTTCAATTGAAATATAATGCAAGCCACACATGTAATTTAAAAATGTCTTACAGCCACGTTTTTAAAAAGTAAGAAGTACATGTACAATAATAAATATAATAGTAATATTTTATGTGATGTACCAGTTAATGTGAAATGTAGTTCTACCAAAAGAATAAAGTTTATGTTTAGTGGGAAACATTTTAACACAGCTTTAGCTTGTACATTTATTTTAAAATTTCAGAAATTCAGTTCTGCAGTCATACAGGCCACATTTCAGGTAGCCACATGTGACTAGTGGCTATTGACTTGGACAGGGCAGATCTAGAGTTTCCCAGTTGCAAAATCAAAAGTGAACAGACAATTTTAATTTTTATAGTTCAGTATCCAAGACGTAGAAACAGGTATCTATCTAGTTATCTGGGTGATCAGCCTTCAGTGATCACTGGGGAAGATGGAATACAATCAGATTGTTCCCCACGTGCTCCATTAGCAAAACATGGCATCCTCCCCAATATCACCTGATTTCTTTCTCATCATCCATCCACTCACCAACTTCCTGTCTTCACATTTTGCTTCCTCCCTGTCTTTCCACTCCTCTTTCCAGCTAAATATTACATAAGCAAAGAATTTATAAGACTTCATTTTTTTTTTTTTTTGCCAACTGAAACATAGGGAACCTTAAAATAGTGATAAAAATGTGAAGTTCTTACAGTAGAAATTTTAATTGGCTACAAGTTAGAACAAAATCTTTATCAGGAGTAGGAAGGCTGAAATATATTATTTTAAAACATATTTTGTCATGAAGGGACATTCTGAAGATATAAAACTTATATATAATGATTTTTTATGTCAGAAATAAATGTGAGGCTTTCTATGATTCTCATTTGTTCAATAATTACTCAACAAATATTTACCAAATGCTGGCTATGTCATGCATGTTCTAGGTGCTGGGAATAGAGTAGTGAACCAAATGGAGTTCTTGATCTTACAGAGCTCATAGTCTAGTGGGAAAGAGTCAGATAATAAGTAAAAATTTAAAAATGTCAGTTTATGGTAAGTGCTATGAAGAAAAGACAAATTATATCAGGAGTGTCAAGAGAAATAGAGGTAAGATTGCTATTTTATACAACGTGTTAGATAATTGTTCTTTTAGTAGAATGATTCTCAGACTGGGGTCTGAGTGGGCCAGGGTATGCACATCATGATAGAAAAGTTTCATATCTTCCTGAAACATCCAATTTTATTCAAAGATATCCTTGGGAGCAGATGATTTTTAACTAAATCAAATGTGAATATATTATGGTTAATAACACTGCTCTGAATTTTAAGGATAAAGCAGTAGACTTTAAGATTGAGTTAACTTATTTCTGCCTGTAGTTCTCTAGGCTCCTGAATACTCAGATTAGGTGGCTGAAAAGTCTGAGAAGCACTGCCTTGGTATGTCACTGTCTCAAGAAGCTTCAGAAGAAAATAAGAGCAGGACAGTGTTGGTGGTGTTCACATTGGTCTTTCCAGACTCTAGCACAGTGCTTGGCCCATAACTGGGGAGGGGAAGTGGTGGCCAATATATTTAGCTTGAATAACCCAAAGTAATGTTGGAAAATATAAGTGAATGGAGCACAGGAGTGCTTTTGGTTGGATGTATGTAATTACCCAAAATATCTTTGTTTCTGCTAGAGCCTTATGAGATATGTAGATAGGCCTCAGCTAATAAATTATTTAGACCCAAAATTAGAAAGAGGCTTAGAAGTTGAAAGAAAAAAGTGGCTAGAAATTCAGATAGTGTTAGGCTGGATCTAGTAAAAAAAAAAGATCTTAAATAACTAAACATCCTTCTTTATTACTCATCTTAAGACTTCTTTGAAAGTGAACTTAAGAACATTTCCATGGCTTTTATAAATGTCCAAAAATTGATCTATATATTTAACCTTTGATCAAATTTGTTCAGATTTACAATAATCATCGCTAATGAAAGAGGGGGGTGGAAATGGATCCCATTCACTAAGTAGTTTTATTTTAAAGGGAGAGAATCTGGAAAATATAAATGCTAGTGTTCAAGGTGATTGACAGAAAAATGTAATTTAGTAGTCAAATAATGTTATCTTTTAATGGAATGATAGATCTGAACCCCACTGCAAGGGAACAGGTTAAAATGCTTGATATTATTACAATTGACAGTAGTAGAAAAATAAGATTATTTAAAAAGTAAATGGAAGACTTCCACTTCTGGGAAAATTGAGTAGATATATTTTTCCCTATTCCTTTTGCTAAATACACCTAAAAACCCTGGATGTTACATGTGAAACAAACATAAGAAGACTCTGAAAGGTAGAGAGAGAAAGACTGAGATTGAGTAGCTAGGGAGCTTGAGACCCAAGGAACAGCATAATTGTTAGTTCTTTTTTTTCTTTCTTGAGACAGAGTCTCGCTCTGTTACCCAGGCTGGAGTGTGGTGGCGTGATCTCAGTTCACTGCAGCCTCCGCCTCCCAGGATCAAATGAGTAGCTGGGATTATAGGCATGTGTCACCACTGCCAGCTAATTTTTGTATTTTTCATAGAGACGGGGTTTCACCATGTTGGCCAGGCTGGTCTCAAACTCCTGGCCTCAAGTGATCCACCAATCTTGGCCTCCCAAAATGCTGGGATTACAGATGTGCGTTACTGTGCCCAGCCAACTTGGTGGTTAGTTCTGTGGGCTCAGTTTCCCGCCCCCCCCGCCGCATAAGACCCTTTCAGGAACCTGGGCTGTGTTTTGCCTCATATATCCCAGACTTGGAGCTAAAGAAGCTAGCAACCTGGAAATCCTACTAGGCACAAACAAAAAAAGCCTCAACAGAAGGTGCTCTCTAGCCAAAGGGGCAGGAAAAGAGCATCTCAGCAAGACAAAAGCTGTTAGACTGTACTTTCTCCTACTCCAGTCAAACACCGCAGAAGAAACTGTGGCCCCACCCTACCATGCCAGTCAAAGACCATGCCAGGAGCCTAGACTTCCACCCTTCCCAGGTTGTAGTGAAGCATCTCAGCCTCCTTGCTAAGTGGTGTCAAAGTTGGAGTAGGGAGCCAAGACTTTTATCCTAGCCAGGCAGTAATGAGGCCCCTCCCATGTAAGTAGAGAACAAATGGAGAGCCTCCACTTTCACCCCATCCAGCCATAAGAGGCAACCCTTCCCTTCACACTGGGGTGGTATCAAAGGAGGCCCAGCGGAGAGTCAAAGCTTTACCATCATGTAGTAGCAAGGCTCGCTTCATGGTGTCAACACCATGTGACCATGTGGGGGAACAATAATGAGACAATCCTACCCCTTCTACCCAGGGAGGCATCAGTGGAGGCCTAGTGGGGAGCTGGAACTCCCAACCCTGCTAAGAAGCAATGAGGAAACCCCTCCCCACTTACATGTTAATGGAGGCTGAGTGGGAAACCTGAACTACCCCCACCTGACAGTAATGAGACAGCACCCCCCCACACACACCCACTTTCTCTGCTAGAGTGGTGTTAGAAGAAGAGAGCTAAAACAGAAGGATTAAATAAGATCCAGAGTGTCATAACATAGTACCTAAAATATCCAGGTTTCAGTTGAATGTAATGCATCATGCCAAGAACCAGGAAAATCTCAACTGAAAGGAGAAAAGACAGTGACAGAGATTTTAGAATTACCTGACAAAGATTGTAAAGCAGTCATCATAGCATCACTTCAGTGAGCAATTATAAACACATTTGAAGCAAATGAAAAAGTAGAAATCTCAACGAAGAAAGAGGTCTCCTCAGTGCAGGTTTGAAAAAATTTACCTCTCTTTCAAATAACAACAAATACAAAACTAAATTAAACAGTTTTCTTTTTTGCTTTTCTCTTCATTCTTACCACCCTAAAGAAGTTGTCTTTAACATCTGTTTTCTTCTCCGTTTCTTTATCTGATGTATCTGCAAGATTTTACCTTCTACATGTCTTTGGAATCCATCCATGAAGGCACCATGTGCCTTATTCTAAGTTACAGTCGGTGCAGTGGCCTCCTAATTGTTCTTCCTACTTGTACTCTGGCCTCATTCCAAATACACCTTCACACTCCTGCCAGAGCAGTCTTTTCAAAGCTCTTATTTTACCACAGCACTCTCAACCCCCTACCCACTTTTAAAAATGTTTAATGGATTTCCGTTGTTCTTAGGTTAAGGACCCAAATTCTTAAAATGGTTTTCAAAGCCTTATGCAGTCTGGCTCCATCCTCATCCTCCTCTATTTTCTTACACTTTGCCACACTGATTTCTTTTAGATCCCCAAACCACTGTGATCCTTTCTGCCACAATTAATTTGCATGTGCTAGTCTATCTTTCTGAAATATTTTTCGCACCTCATTATTTAGTTAGCTTCTACTCATTCTTCAGATCTCAGCTTAAGGGTTACTTTGTCAGGAAAATCTCTCCTCATCCCTAATTTCCTGGCAGGTTCTTTTGCTATACCATTTTGTAGAGTTATCTTCTATGTCTGTGTTTCCCACTTGAGATGCATGACAGCACTGATTGTGTTTTTGCTCAGTGCTATATCCCCAGCTGCTACCTGACACATATAGACAAACCAATTAATATTTGTTAAATGAATGAGTAAATCTCTCTCCTTACCTTCTTTATCCAACTTTTTAAGAGTAGTCAATACTTTTTTGCTTTCTTTTTGTCCCTATTGTTACGGCCATAATCTTTTGCTCTTTAATTCTGGACCATTGTAATTATATAATCAAACTTCTGCTTTAGTGTTTTCCCATCCTTTTTTTGTTTCTTCACGAAGTCTGAGTGTGTCATTACTCTGCTCAAAAGCCTTTCCCTAAGACCTGAAACCATAAAAATTCTAGAAGATAACATTCAAAAAACTCTTCTAGACATTGGCTTAGGCAAAGACTTCATGACCCTGAATGCAAAAGCAAACACAAGAAAAACAAAGATAAATAGATGGGACTTAATTTAAAAAGCTTCCACACAGCAAAAGAAATAATCAGTAGAGTAAACAGACAACCCAGAGCTCGGGAGAAAAGCTTCACAATCTATACATCTGACAAAGGACTAATATCCAGAAGCTAGAAGGAACTCAAACAAATCAGTGAGAAAAACAAGCAATCCCATCAAAAAGTGGGCTAAGGACATGAATAGACAATTCTCAAAAGAAGATATACAAATGGCCAACAAACATGAAAAAATGCTCAACATCATTAATTATGAGGGAAATGCAAATCAAAACCGCAGTGCAAAACCACCTTCCTCCTGCAAGAATGGCCATAATCAAAAAATCAAAAGTAATAGATGTTGATGTGGATATGGTGAAAAGGGAACACTTTTACACTGCTGGTGGGAATGTAAGCTAGTACAACCACTATGGAAAACAGTGTGGAGATTCCATAAAGAACTAAAAGTAGATCTATCATTCGATCCAGCAATCCCGTTCCTGTATCTATAATGAGGAATAGAAGTCATTATACAAAAAAGATAACTTGCACATGCATGTTTATAGCAGCACAATTTGCAATTGCAAAAATATGGAACCAGCCCAAATGCCCATCAGTTGATGAGTGAATAAAGAAATTGTGGTATGTATATATATATATACGTATATATATATACACATACTACTCAGCAATAAAAAGGAATGAAATAACACCATTCACAGCAACCTGGATTGAATGGGAGACCATTATTCTAAGTGAAATAACTCAGGAATGGAAAACCAAACATCCTATGTTCTCACTCATAAGTGGGAGCTAAGCTATGAAGATGCAAAGGCATAAGAATGGTACAGTGGACTTTGGGGACTTGGAGGAAAGGGTGGGAGGCGGGTGAGGGATAAAAAGCTACATGTTGGGTGCAGTGTACACTGTTTGGGTGATGGGTGCACCAAAATCTGAGAAATCACCACTAAATAACTTTTTCATGTAACCAAACGCAACCTGTTCCCTAAAAGCCTATTGAAATAATTTTTTTGAAAGCCTTTCCGCTTGGTCAAAAAATAAAAGTTCTCCTTAGCACTCCAAGCTTTTCCAGACTGACCCTAGGCTACTCAGGGATACCTTATGCCCAGCAATACTGAATTTACTTGAGTCCATTGGCTGTATATATTTTTTCACATTGTTTTTTTTCTTTGCCTGCATCTTTGAATTTTGGAGTTCTAAAGGCTCGATGGTCTTTTTACTGTGAGCCATGAACTAATTGAATGAATTAATTCTGCCAAGCAAATGGACATTATTTCTCCCAGCCTTTTTTTAAAGGGAGTAAAATCAATCCCGTTAAGAAAGACTGACTGCTATGCTACTGGTACTCACATATGCCAAATATCAGGCACATCAAGTATCAACAATATTTTTTAGTGTAATTATTAGATATAAATTACTGTATCTCGCTTTCAAAAATGACAACTAGTGTTTCAAATTATGTTCATCTCAGCTGGGTATCATATGTATACATTGCTGATTTCTCATTTGATGAACATTAAGTTTTTTGTTTCTGAAACTTAGTAGTAAATTTTATCCAGGTATAAAATGTAGGATTTTAATTTTTGTAAATTTTTCTTATTTTGTGAGGCACCAAAGACCCGTCTTATCTCTCCATTTATTTTATCCCAGTCATTCCTGCTCTATTCCATTATATAATATCTTACTTCTGTGTTTCATCAGGTAAACCTGGGATTTAAGGGTGTTATTAAGACATTTCTGATAGGAAGGTTGCTTGATAAAGGTTAGTCATGACCTTGCAGGGTCGTATTTCTTGGAGAAGTCACCAAATCTGATTCTGGCTTTCAGCTTTCTGTGTCCAGAAACTTAATCAAGTTTATCAGATTCAGGAAGACTGATTACCTAGACTTTACAATGTAATGAAATTTAAGCCAGACTAGCACTTTATTTATTTAGAATGAGAATTATAAATGTGGCCAAGACTGTATAGTCATTTCCTCTGATTTTTTTTTTAATCCTATAAGGAATTCTTTTTTTTTTTTGAGATGGAGTCTTGCTCTGTTGCCCAAGCTGGAGTGCAATGGCGTGATCTTGGCTTACTGCAACCTCCGCTTCCCGGGTTCAAGCGATTCTCCTGCCTCAGCCTCCGTGTAGCTGGGATTACAGGCATGCACCACCACGCCTGGCTAATTTTTGTATTTTTAGTAGAGATGGGGTTTCTCCTGTAATCCCAGCACTTTGGGAGGCCGGGGCGGGTGGATCACCTGGGGTCAGGAGTTTGAGGCCAGCCTATAAGGAATTCTATATGAAAAGCCAAATTATAATCAGAACGTTTTTTAATTGATCCATGGACACAGACTAGAAATGTAACAGTATTAAGATTTGGAAGAAAAGTCCAGCCTGTGAAAACCAGTTTAGATGTGGAACTTCAAAATAAAAATGTATGTATACATTTATTATTGTGTTTGGTACTGTATTTTGAATTTATGTCATCTCTGAAAGTGACTTTTAAAGTGGCAGCTTTAATTAGGTACTTGTCCCTAGAATTAACTGCATCTCTTGCCCTATGTCAGGTACCTTTATATGTCTGATTTTGTTAGTAACTCTCCAAATTAACTAAACTTGTTCACTTTATACAAATTTGATCAGAGTATTGATTGTTCTTCAATGTTATAGGATTATTTTCTTTTCTCTTTAAATCGGCTTAAATAACTCTGTAGAGTTGGCCAGTATTCATCAACATCCTGGTTGATAATGGCATGATGGTGACTGATTTGTGCCCAGCTACCACACCCAGGGAGCTGCTCTCTGGCAACCATTCTCTCTTTCTTCCCTTCCTCTTTTCCTCTCTCTCCTAGATAAGCTACCATAGGGAAACTTTCAGTAGGCACTGTGACCCCATGACTTACTGTTTCGGATCTAACATTTTGCCCTCTTTATGTTTTCTTTCTGTTATTAATCTCAGTGTGGCATAGCTGTGGTGGTGTAACTAACTCTCAGATTGATTCCAGACTTCAAAATTACATAATTTGGAAAAAAACTGGCCAGAATAGGGAGACAGGGATGGGCTGAAGGAAGTGAAATTGGTTCCAAGAGTGATACCCCTTTGGAAATAACTAGAAGTGTCAGGGATAATTCATTGTAACATTTGATTTGCATTTGTGATATTTATGCATGTAAAATATGAGCAAAGCAAATTGGACTAAATTAAATTCTGGTAATTTTATATTAGTCTTGGTTCATCTATAGCTATATAAATAATAATACTCTTTAAGTGTTTTCTCTATTTTATGTGGAGAGTTTTTCAGGTATTATTTTCCTAGTACTGAAATGTATCTTTTTTTTTTTTTTTTTTTTAACACAGCTCTGAAAGATTGGTATTGCTGGCAGGTGGTAGCCTGGAGATCAGTGATGTTACTGAGGATGATGCTGGGACTTATTTTTGTATAGCTGATAATGGAAATGAGACAATTGAAGCTCAAGCAGAGCTTACAGTGCAAGGTATGTAAATATTTACTGTATAATTTAAAAATCCTGTGTACTTTCTGGGTCTGCTAATTTTTAAGAAATATTAACATGGGCGAGGCAATACAGCAAAACAATTAAAAGCATAACTCCTAGACCAGACTGCTTGGGTTTAAATTCTAAATCTTATATTTCCTAGATATATGACTATAGGAAACTTATTTAATTTCTCTCAACCTCATTTTCCTCAGCTGTAAAATGGAAATAATAAGAATATTTACCTTATTGGGATGATTTGAGGGTTAAAAGAGCTAATACTTATAAAACCCCTGGAATAGTGACTAGGATATTGTGAAAGCTCAATGTTAGTTATTGTTGTTACTATTTGTAGTGGTGGTGGTGGTGGTGGTGGTGACAGGAAGGGTATGATCTGGGGCATCTGGAAGATTCACTTTTCTTGTCTCAGGATGTTTTCTGATGAAGACGTCTCTGTTCTGTGACCCCGAATTATTTCTCTCCTCTCTGTTGGTGTCCTTTTCTTTTGGGTGAACAGATCACCCAGGAAGGAGTACACTGTGCCTCTCAATATAACTTGGTTTGATGATTTGGTGTTTATTTTCCTCTCTTCATACTTCTGATAATCACTGCAAGGGTAGTTGTTCTTCCTTTTTCTCCTACTCTTCCCTTTTCCCCTTATAGGTTCTTTGATTCAGACGTCAGAAAATAAAGATGGCATGACTACATAGTCTTGTTTTTATCCCCATTTCCTGTGCCATTCCTCCATATGGAAATGTACCCTCAAGTGCTGGCTAGAGGTGACTAAAGTGACCAAAGGTCACTTTTCTACCTCTTCTTCCCACCCCCTCAAAACTCCCAGATTGGTAGCTTTCAACCTAGGAAGACTGCTCCCAGTGCTGTTTCTCCCTAAGAGTTAGGAGTGCTGTTTCACTCCTAAGAATGAAACTCTGACCGGGACTGTTGCCTGAGGAATGCCCCACAAATTGGAGTAAATCATAGTGGTTCTGAGGTTCCTGGGGTTCTTTGCTCGGGGCCTCAGCCTCCTCTTTTCTTAAGTTCACCATTTAGATACAATTAAGACCTGGCCTTTAGTGCTTTCACAAACATATATATTACCAGAGTGGTTGGTACCCTTGATGCACGTTAGTTTATAGCCAAGCTGAACACCTGAATAATACAATTACTCTCAGATTGGCAACCAAGTGAATAATGTATGCTATCTCATAGATAATTACTGGAAAAGACTGACCAAGAATTAAAAATAACCATAAATATATTTAAGGAGATAAGAAAAATATTTGCAATATGATGCAAAAACAAGAAAATATAAACACAGAACCAAATAGAAATATTAAGAATGAAAAATATACTAAAAATAAAGAATAAAGCAATCTGCATGATAGAGAAAGGTATCCCATTTTTAAATTTTGTTTTATTTTGATTTTTTTTGAGACAGGGTCTCCCTCTGTTGCCCAGCCTGGAGTGCAGTGGTGCAGTCTCTGCTCACTGCAGCCTCTCCCTCTGTCACCTAGGCTGGAGTGCAGTGGCACAATCTCTGCTCCCTGCAGCCTCGACCTCCTGGGTTCAAGCGATCATCCTGCCTCAGCCCCACAAGTAGCTGAGACTACAGGCATGTGCCACCAGGCCCAGTTAATTTTTGTATTTTTGGTAGAGATGGGGTTTCACCATGTTGCCCAGGCTGGTCTCGAACTCCTGGGCTCAAGTGATCCACCCGCCTCGGCCTCCCAAAGTGCTGGGATTATAGGCATGAGCCACTGTGCCTAGCCAGAGAAAGGTATAACATTGATGAGCAAACTCATGAATTGGAAGATTACATTGAGGAATTCTCTGAGAATGCAGCATTATATGATAAAGAAAGATAACACATGGAGTAAAATCTAAGAGATACGATAGGTATAGGTAGAAGGACTATCTAGATAAATAGGTGTCTTAGAGGAGAGAAAGGAAGAGGGAAATATTTGAAGAAATAATTAAGATAAATTTTTCAGAATTAGACTTGTAGAACACCTTAGACTAAAAGGACTAGTAGACTGTTAAATAGGTGAAAGAAGGAAAAACCCACCTTGAGGCCCATTTACAGTAACATACAATAATGTATAATTATATATACAGTAACGTATAATATCAAAGACAAAAAAATTCTAAAAGCTTCCAGTGACAAAGAGCAGATCACCTACAAAAGAAAAAGATTGGATTGTACCTAAGTGTTGATTTGAGAAATCTGGTATCGGGAGGACAATAGCGTAATCTTTTTAAGGTGTTAAAAGATGTTGAATACACACAATTTATATGCATCCAAAATGTGAGACATAATAAAAATTATCACACAAGATCTCTGAAGGTTTGCTGCACAAAGATACGTTGAAAACACTTTTGGAATAAATACTCAATAAAAGATATACCTGGGAAATACTGCAAGAGCCTTTTAAAACAAAGGGGGAGTTGGCCGGGCGCGGTGGCTCGCGCCTGTAATCCCAGCACTTTGGGAGGCCGAGGCGGGCGGATCACGAGGTCAGGAGATCGAGATCATCCCGGCTAAAACGGTGAAACCCCGTCTCTACTAAAAATACAAAAAAATTAGCCGGCGTAGTGGCGGCCGCCTGTAGTCCCAGCTACTTGGGAGGCTAAGGCAGGAGAATGGCGTGAACCTGGGAAGCCGAGCTTGCAGTGAGCCGAGATCCCGCCACTGCACTCCAGCCTGGGCGACAGAGCGAGACTCCGTCTCAAAAAAAAAAAAAAAACAAAAAAACAAAAAAACAAAGGGGGAGTTTTAAAACAGCTCCCAGATTCTTTGACTATCCTTCTATAGAGTGGTGGGGTTTATGTCCGTTGCTCTTGAATCTAGGCAGGCTTGGAGCTATTTGGATCAATAGAGTATGGCAGAAGTCATATGTGACTTCCGAGGCTTATAAAAAGCTGTGCATTGGTTGTCATACTTGGAGAGAATTTTTTTAAAAGGAAAAAAAGAAAAAGCAGTGCGGATTTTTCCTGGCTCTCTCGATGCTAAGAATATACAATGGGGAAAGCATAGTCTCTTCAGTAGATGGTCCTGGAAAAACTGGATAGCCACATGTGGGAGAATGAAATCAGATCCTTATCTCATATATGTAAATCACATATACACCATACACAAAAATCAACCCAAAATGGATTAAACACTTAAACATAAGACCTGAACTGTAAAACTACTAAAAGAAAAGAGGGGAAAAGCTTATTGACGTTGGTCTTTGCAAAGACCAACGTTTTTTTGGATATGACCCCAGAAAACACAGGCAACGAAAGCAAAAATAGATAAATTGGATTGCATTGAACTGAGACGCTCCTGCCAGTAATGGAAACAATCAACAGTGAAGAGACAACCTATGGAATGGGAGAAAATATTTGCAAACCAATGAAAACAGAAGAAGAAAATGATAACAAGAGCAAAAATTAATGAAATAAAAAAACAAACATTCAAAACAGAGAATGTCAGCAAAGCCAAAAGTTGGTTCTTTGTAATGCATAACAATATTGATAAATCCCTGGGAAGACATACATTACTTGACAGAGATCTTTATCTAGACCCGGGGTTGGCAGAGTACAGCTTGTGGGCTAAATCTTCCTGACTGCTTGTTTTTGTACAGCTTGTAAGCTAAAAATAGTTTATATATTTTTAAATAGTTGAAAAATATCAGAAGAATAATATTTTGTGATACATGAAAACTTTATGAGATTTCAAAATTTATTGTTCATGCAGTCTTACTGGCATACTGCCACACTCATTCATTTATGTATTGCCTATGGCTGCTTTCATGCCACTACACAGGAGTTGAGTAGTTGTGACAGAGACCATATGGCTCACAAAGCCTAAAATATTTACTGTCTGGCTCTTTACAGAAAAAGTTTGCCAATCCCTGATGTAGGTTTTACAAAGAACTCCTACAGATCAGTAAGATAAACAAAGACAGAAACCAATAGAAAATGGGCAAAAGACTTGAACATCGACCTGGAAGAAGATGTCTAGCTAGCTATTAATATTTGAAAAAGTGGTTGTCGTTATTAGTCTTCAGAGAAATGCAAATAAAAACCATAGTGGGATATCACTGTATTCCACTATAATGGCTAAAGTTGAAAAGCTCAACAAATACCAGACATTGGTTAGGATGAAAACCACTGGGGACTCTAATGTACTGTTGACAGGAGTATACACTGACACAATCACTTTAAAATTCTGCTTGGCAGAATCTATTAAAAACTGTACACTGGCTAGGCGCAGTGACTCATGCCTGTAATCCCAGCACTTTGAGAGGCTGAGGCAGGAGGATCACTTGAGGCCAGGATTTGAAGACCAGCCTGGGCAGCATAGTGAGACCCTATATCTACAAAAAATGAAAAAATTAGCTAGGCATAGTGGCACACACCTGTATTTCCAGCTACTCAGGAGACTGAAGCAGGAGGATTGCTTGAGCTAAGGAATTTGAGGTTACAGTGAACTACGATTGTGCCGCTGCATTCCAGTCTGGGTGACAAAGCAAAACCATCTCTAAAAAATAAAAACTTAAAAAAACTGTACACAGAAATACCCTATGATATAGTAGTTGTATTCCTAGGAGTATACTTACCAGAAATGTATAATTATATGCCCCCAAAACCATGCACAATAATGTTCTTACTGGGAATAATTCAAATCTCCATCAAAATACAAATGTAGAGTAGTCTTCCAGTCATACAATGGCAAATTATCAGCAATGAATATTGACAGATCACTGCTACATTCGACAATGTGGGTAAATATCACAAACACCCTTGAAGAAGCCAGACACAAAAGAATACCTACTATATATATGTAATTACATTGTTATATATAATTCCATTTGTGTAAACTTCAAAAACAGACAAAACTAATCTATGGTTTTAGAAGTCAGAATACTGATTACTTTTGGAGAAGGGCAGAATCGTTACCGAATGTTGCACAGCCCGGCTTCTGGTGTGTTTATGTTCAGTTTCTTAATCTGGGTGGTAGTTACAATTCAAGCTGTATTGTTCATGTGTGCCACATGAGATCATCTCTTTTTTTACTGTTTACAGATTATAACTCATAATGTGCAAAAACATATTTGGAAAATTTTGTTTTGAGCCCTGTCCCATAATTGAAAGCATTTATTTTTCAGATAGGGAAAGCAGATTTTGAGAAATAGTTGGAGAGATATATATAAATACAGTCATACCTGTCTGACTTCTGTTATTTTTTTAAGAAGTTATAGCTATAGGAAATGCCATAGTGAGTGTTAATGTAGAAAAGGTTGTAAGTTCATTTTTCATCTGTTAAATGTTTCAGATTTATTGTCTTATCATTAACTCCTGGAGTTTCTACACATGCAGTGACGTGAATTAGCCCATCATGTATTTCCTGTCATCTCAGATTGTTGATAACACTTAAAATGGGTCATGAGGGTTTTTTAAAACAGAAACTTTTCCTTTTTCTCTTCAAACAGTTACAACAGTCTGTGATACACATGTCTCCCGTGCCACCAAAAAGAAATTTTTCCATTTGTATTTTTGTGGAACAAATGGATAAATTCTAAATTGGCTACCCCTTTGACATTGTAAATACCTATAACTAATCTACCACTTAAGTTTTAAACCTCACTGTCTTTCCTTAAGCCACAGCCTATGTCACTCTACTTCTTTGACTCTTCTGCTCTACTCTTATCCCTGGCCACATTAAGACATTGATCTCCCCTTTTCTCTCAGTCTTTGTGATTTCACTTCCCTTTACTTCATGATCAGTTACAATATTCTGCTGTCATTCATTAGAACTCTTAGTTCTCTTGGCTTCGGGATAAAAAGCAAATTCCTTATGTCATACATACAGAGTACATCCAGATCCTTCATAGTTGGCTTTTTCAGCGTTAACTGGAGAGGCACCACAGAGGAGTGATTGAGAGCAATCTTGCCCCAGTGCGCCTGGATTCCAGTCTCAGCTCTGTCTCTTAGCTTTGTGAACTTGGCCAAGTTAATTAATTTACCTATGTCTTTGTTTCTTTTATCAGTTGAATGGGTTGTTTTAAGGATTAAACTCTTTTTTTTTTAGAAGAGCCAGCATAAAGCACTTTTATTGTAATAATAAAATTGGAAACTCATATGTGATGTTGTGGGGAGAGGGGCAACAATTTCTGTCACCAGTTCACTACACAGGACATCAAAGGAGTGACAAGGGACTGAAGAAGGAAAAGCCAGGAAACGTTGAGATCAGCAGAGAGAGTCAAGTGGCAGAAAACAGGAGATGTTGAAGCTGCGATGACAAGCATCATTTGCTTAACATTCAAGGATTTGTCATGATAGCTGGGCTTTCATTGGGTGGTTAAGTCTACAAACAACACCTTTAATTTATACTTTCAATTAAAGTTCTTAAAATTAAGGAAGTGGTGGAGCTTGGAAAGTTATGAGATTACAAAATTTCTGAAAGTCCATTAGAAAAGCCACAGGATGGGGCAGAGGAAATAAGCCAGGCCACCAAGAAGGCTTCAGAGGTCCCCGCTGGCCCAGGGACAGATACCTGTAGCATCCAACATCGCAGTGAAAATGATCTGCTTTCAAAAGGCAGAGGATTTCAGGGGAGGGTAGAGTGGAACTGATGGAGGCAAAGGCTCCCCATCCCCACCTCAGTTTTTGGTAGGGCTTTTAATTTAACCGAAGGACATCTTTCAACTTTGAGAATAATTCAGCCCTCAAGAGTGCGTCAGATCTGCTATGGCTTTGCAGCGCAACAGCAAGAATGTTTAGTATATAATAGATTAAAATTTCATCCAAAAAAAATTTAAAATAAAGATTCTTATAACCTCCCCCCACAACACTAAATCCTGTTCTAAAGTTAACCAGTCACTTGTTCTGTTAATATTTGACCATAGACTTACTTGGAAACTAGATCGAAAAGACTGAAGCTGAATCATCACCCCAAAGTGAAAATGAAATAAACTGAGTAACTTAAGGCTTATGGCATATAGTTTAAGTAAAATGAGAAGAAAGAGGAAGAGGAAATGGAGGTGCCAGAAGCAAAGCTGAGTGACAGAACGCATTCAGTCAGGGTAGATGTTATACAGGTTGTAGTGGATCTACATGTGGAAAAGCTCCATATGGATTTATGTGCATGTGTCTGGAGGCACCAGATCCTTCTGTGGCAGATGTAAGAACAGGAAGCCAAGGGAGGAGGCCATTCTTGCCATCCCAGTCTTAGAAGCTCCATGTTGAAGACAAGAGTGGCATGATGCCCTGGTGCCCAGTGGCACTGAAAGCATAGTCTAGAGATACATTCAGTTTGGCTCTGTGACCCACATTCATCTGGGCAACCCCTACCTCCCACTCCCGGGTCACCTTCTGCTTGCCTAGCACACACTTAAAGGGCTCATTTCTGTCCTTTGAAGAGTCAAATTTCTTTCCATCTTAAAGCATCCCGGCTTCCGGAAGGTATCCAACTCCTGGGGAGATGATCTCCACCTTCGCTCCCAGGACATCGGCGGATGCCGGTGGGCAGGCAGTGTGGACTGAGAGGGACCTGTCAGTGGTTCCCAGGCTCTGCCTCATCCCTGCTGTCCATCATCTGCACACATGGGCACCCCCGCACGCCCCGTCCTGCACTAGGAGTAAATTCTTAGCACTTTCCCCCTAAATCTGGAATGGAGATGGAGTCCTCTTTACCAAATTAGTTTTCTGAACATACTGTGCTGTTTGATAGCAGTGTTCCCCTGTGTCCCCTTACTTCCAACTACAATTTCCTGATAGACCCTCAAGATTAGTTTACTTGACCCCTCTGTGAAGCTTTTCTTAACCATCCCCTCATAATTGGTTTCTTAAAATAGTTCTCTTTTTACCAGTAGTATTTCTTACTGATTTGTTTATATGTCCTCTTCAACTCCTACTAGACTGGAGTTCTTATCAACAGGAACTGGTCTTACTCATTTTTAAAAATCATAGTAGGTTATTAACGAATGGAATGAGTGAATGAAACTTTAAATGGAAATTGTTAAATGTGGCACCAGAATGATTTGATTTGATTTGATGTTTGTGGTTACTTTACTATTCATGTTTTCCTTTGCACTTTGTTTTTCATAGACTTCTAATGTAAAAGAAATGGGATTAAAAGAAAAATCTTCTGAAAGTTATTCTGGAGGAAGATGAACCATTACCTCTACTTTTATGATTGAGGTCATAATTGCCACCTTCACATGCATACATGTTTACAAACAATTCATCAGTTTTATTCATTCCCATTTTTGACCTTTTGATACCTTCCATAAGCCAACATAATATTAAAAAAAATAACTGAAGCCATTAAAGGTGAACTTTCCTCCACATGGCTGCCATCTCTGCTTTAAAAACTCTTACACATTTATTACTGTCATGATTCAAAGCTAAGTGCATTGACGTCTTTAATCCCAACTCCATGAGATGCTCCACTACTTTGACTTGATACCAGTGTGTCATGCTGTTTCTCTTTTTATTTCTTTGCCCGTTCCTTTTGTTTTGCCTTCATGGGCATCTTTTCTTCCACTTGTTGATTAAACTATTAGTGTTCCACCGAGTTCTGTTGTCAGCCTGCTACTCTTCACACTCTACCTGCTTCTGGTTTCAGGTATAATTTACATACAGTAATGCCCAGATTCCCAGACCAGACCCCTTGTCAAGCTTCAGACATTTGCAATTGGATGTCCCACAGGTACCTCAGAAATCGCATGTCCAAAATTGAACTTAACATTCTTCTCTCAAAATATTTTTCTTCTTTGATTTTCTGTATCTTGATAGTGTCACTGCCTACCTTTTTACCTGTGCTAGAAACATGAAAATCATTCTTGATTATTTCAATCTTTTTATTTTTTTTCCACATTCAGTTCATTAGATTCTCTTTCTCCTTGCTTTCACTCCCCTGATTCAAGTCCAAGTCATCTCTTACCTATATTACTGCAGTAGTTTCCTAACTGATTTCTCTAGTTCTAACCTGGTCTCTCCTCAAATCCATTCTTCACAGAGTGGCAAAAGTGATTAAAATTCTTTCATTAAAAACTTGGAAAAATGATTGCAATGATATAAATGGTGCTTACAAATTAATAAGAACAAGATTAATATCTGTTAAAAAAGGGGGGAGGTGGAAAACATAGTTTGCTTACAGAAATGAGATGAAAATGGCCAGTTGACCTGAAAAGAGTTCAACCCCACTAATTGTATAAGAAATACAGATTAAAGTAGCCCATTTTTGCGTACTGATTGAATTTTAAAATAATAACCTACTCTTGGCAAAATTATATGGGGATTCTCATACACTGCTGGTAGTGGTACAAATTGATGTAACCTTGGAGGGCAGTTTGGTAATTTTATCAAAAGCTTTAAAACTCACACATTCATTGACCAGCAGTTCCACATCTGATAATTTGTTTTGATGAAATAAGGATGTGTGCAAAGATTTATGCATGGAAGTATGCATGCAATGATGTATATTTAGTGGCAAAAATTATAAACCACTTAAATGCCCAAAAATAGGTGATTGGTTAAATAAAACAGCCTACCTATGTATCAGAATACAATGCTTCCTACAAAAATCATGTTTTAGAAGTTTGTTAAATGGCAAGAGAAAATACTTTGGGTATATTAAATGACGAAAAGTAAGATCCCAAAGCAACATGTGAGAAGTATGATTTGTGCCACAAAGTTACATTGTAAATTGCATCAGATCCTTGACTTTCTTATAAAAATTAGCCTCACACCAATTAGGAAGAAGCTTTATGTATCTTCCTCTTGAGGCCTTCTCCCTGTAATTTTCAGAATACTGGATGTTTACTTATCTTGAAAGGATCATTTTTCTTCTAAGCTCCAAGCAGAGAGAGAACTGGATTCTGAGTCCATTAATGAGTGCATGATTGTCATTGCTTCTCAAGGTAACTTAATTTCAAGGGCAACCACTAGCTACTTAAAAACACCATGCAGTTATTTTGCTTGTACTATCACTTCTGCCTAGAATGTTCCTCCTTCCACTCCCTTGCCTGGCTTTCCTCAGAAACCTCTGAAACTCTGACTCCTACCTATTCCTATCCCTTGTACCCTTCTTCCATTAGCTGTGCATTAATTATGCACATGTATTTTATACATTATCTGTCTTGTTTTACGTATCACATTTACATTTTCCCCCCAGTTTTTGTATCCAGTTTCTACCCTACTAGACTGAGTTCTTTGAGGACAGGACTGGATCTTGTCAATCTTTAGATCCTTAGCACCTAATGTAGTAGTGCCTGATGCTGTGTATTTGACCACAACGGATTGCTTAAGAACATATTCTCCGTACTTCTGGATAAGATGTCAGACAGTAAATTATAATCCATTCTTTTATAGTATGCTATCTGTATTCAGAATATTTCAGAATTTCACTTTATAAACTTTATATTTTTAAGGTATTACTGTATGTTAGAAAAGTCTTTACAATTGCTTTATAATCCTTTATTGGGGCCTTAATCATTTTGGATTGGTTTGCAGTTCTTCTTAGATTTTTATTGCATCAGTGGTCATGTTAGCTTTGAGATAAATTCCACATTTTACAAGCTTGAAATAATTTCCTAATAGTTATGTAAATTTATTCTGAACCACAGTAGCCTCATTTCCATGGTAACTAACCACCTTCAGAAGAGAACTTTCAGATATTCTAGAAAAGACCAGAAATATCCATGTGAAATAAAATGAACTAATGATGTAAAGTTAGAACTCAGATTTATGTGGAGTACAGATGCATGATATTGGACCCTGAAAATGTTGCAGATAGAAGAGCCGTTCAAAGACCTGAAGATTCTGCCTGTTTGCTGTTTGTACATCAGGCAAAATGCAACCTAAGAAAAACTCAGCTGTATTGTGATTTTTGTTACTAAAATGACCCCAATGAGGAAGCTTTGTGGGACAAATAAGCAAAATTCATGGTGCAGAAATGGATTTGTGGTGCCACTAAGAGATTAACATTGTGCTTCACAGAAGGAATGTGGTCTCATGAAAGGATATATGGTTTTTGGAAGCATATCCCTGATTTCGAGCCTCTGGCAATGTGATCTTGGGCAAATTAATTTATTTACTTGAACCTCATTCTTCCTATTTGTAAAGTAGGGATAAGAGTCCTTCTTTGTGGTGGTGTTGTGAGGAATATCCTTGATACAGTGCCTGGTACATTATAGGCATTCAGTAAATGTACCTCAGCTAATGTTCCCAGGGCTCAGAGAATCTTTCCTTTGTAAGACTCCTTCACTTGATTCTGTTGTCTTTGATTTCTTTTTTGCCTTCTAAAGGATTCTGTTTCCTCCTTAGATTATTTAAATTGACATCTCAGATAACTTTCTGTTTGCTTTTGTTCCATGCCACCAGCCATCCATCAGATGGCACCATGTTTTGTGGTCTTTGAGCCAAGCCAGTCACACCCCATTCCTCATGCCCAGTCTAGCTTCTTAGGCTTTCTCACCTAAGTCTGTGCTTGCTGGGCTCCTGCCTATCTAGGACAACATGACAAAATACTAGTAAATATTCTTCATTCTTTATTTAAAGAGCATAACAATTGATAATACGAGGACAAAGTCATGTCCCTTCCAGCCCAGAAGTAAGTGAAAAGATTTGACTATCATTGTTGGCATTACTCTGCTTCTTAGGTTATCTGTCTTGATCTCAGAATTTCAAGCATTCCTTAATAATTAGCCCACTCTGGGTCTCTTATTTATTAATTTTAACTATCTTTTCTTGGATATATATTCTTTTATTGTATATATTCAGTTTTATTGGTGGAATGTCTTTTTTTTTTTTTTGAGACAAAATCTCACTATGTCGCCCAGGCTGGAGTGCAGTTGCGCGATCTCGGCTCACTGCATCCTCCACCTCCTGGGTTCAAGTGATTCTCCTGCCTCAGCCTCCTGAGTAGCTGGGATTACAGGCACCCGCCATCATGCCCGGCTAATTTTTGTAGTTTTGCTAGAGACGGGTTTCACCATGTTGGCCAGGCTGTTCTTGAATTCCTCACCTCAAGTGATCCACCCACCCCGGCCTCCCAAAGTGCTGGGATTACAGGCATGAGATTATACTGCACCTGGCAAATGTTTTTCATGTAGTATTTACTACCTTATTTTTATTGAACCATATTTCTTCTGCCTTAAAGGGGTATCATCAAATCTACAAGCTTTGGTTAAGAGAACCATGACAGGAAGAATCTTAGTAATTTTAATTATATTGTCAGTAAGCTTCTTGTATTAAATATATTGAATCTCTTAAACTTCATTTAAGAAATTCCCATTCTCCTCTTCAATTTTAGTTAGGTTCCCCTTTCTTCATTAAAGAGATGATAGAATTAGGAACAGCAGGAAAAGTGGAGCAGTTTTATAATTTTTTTAAATGCCCCCTTTCTTGCTAAAAATCAAACTAAAGAGCTCCAAAGTGGGCAGTGGAAAGATAATGTCCTAGTGAAAAGAATATCTAAAACAGGTTTCTTCATTTTGTATTTCTTCCCCCGCTACCTATTTCTACCCCTAACTGTTAAGGGTGTATTGATGGCACTTTCATATAAACCCAGTTTACACACAGGAATGGGGTCTTACCCCATCAGGTCCCCACAGGAGCATTTTATATCAGAGCAGCACAGTTACCCTCAGTTTATCTGAAAGTTACATGCATTGAATGGTGATTTAAATTCTGAGAATAACTGACAAAAAGCTAAATGAATCTAAATTATTCTACTTTTTCCCAGTCCCTATTGTAATGATAACCAAGATTTCTTTGGTCTTTTTTGGCCAGAGAAGTCTCTTAGGTTGAAATCATATCAGTGGTTTTCAAACTTGTTTTTTTTTTTTTGGCCAGGGAACTCAAGCAAAATCATAATTGGAAGTGAGATATTTAAAATAGATAAACATGGAACTACTCAGATGGAAGCAGGGCAGGGTAGGAATAGTTGCCACACCCAGACCCTCCATTCCTTGTTTAGATTTTTTTCTTGTTGATGATTTCAAATACAGAGTTTTGTCCAGGGGCCGTAGCTCATGCCTGTAATCTCAGCACTTTGCAAGGCCGAGGCGAGTGGATCACGAGGTCAAGAGATTGAGACCATCCTGGCCAACATGGTGCAACCCCGTCTCTACCAAAAATACAAAAATTAGCTGGGCGTGGTGGCAGGTGACTGTAATCCCAGCTACTCGAGAGGCTGAGGCAGGAGAATCGCTTGAACCCTGGAGGTGGAGGTTGCAGTGAGCCGAGATTGCGCCATTGCACTCCAGCCTGGCGACAGAGTAAGACTCGGTCTAAAAAAAAAAAAAACAGGGTTTCAGTGACCATGTTAAAAGTAACAGCAAAGATACTTTTCAAACACTATTTATTCTGTATCTACTGCAAATAGGCAGAAGGCAGAATCCAGTATCACTGGAGATACAATGACATATAGGGCACATTCTCATCTTCAAGGATACAGTAGGTGATACAGAGAAGTAGTTAGACATTTCTGTCCCAGGATGATAAAAACTATAAGATTACGTGTCAACTATGTCTTTGAGACTTATTCTTGTCCAGGTGATTTCAGTGATTCTTGTGCAGAAAGTAGAAGGAAAAAAAAGATACGATATTTTTAACAGATAAATTTATTCTTTGAATTCTTAACATCACATTATGAATTAGAAATGATAGTACATCTAAACATTTTTAAAATATTTAAGAAATTTTTAAATTACTACATAATATTTGTACATATTTGTGGGATACATGTGATATTTTGATACATGCATTCAGTATTTAATGATAAAAATCAGGATATTTGGGATTTCTATCATCTCAAACATTGATCATTTCCTTTTGTTGGGAACATTTCAAATCTTCTAGTTATTTTGAAATATATAGTATGTTATTGTTAATTATAGTCACCTTATTGTTGCTATCAAACACAGAAACTTATTTCTTCTATCAACTGTAGGTTTGTACCCATTTACCAACCTTCTTCATCCCCTCTCACCTTGATCTCTTGCCCAGCACACACACCTTTCCCAGCTCCTGGAACCTGTGAAAGATCTAATTCAGTAATGATCACAGACCTAAATAGTTTGTAGTTTCAAAGCAGAATTTACATGGACTGAATTTGACTTGTGAACTTTGAAATCCTGAGAAATGGGTCAGATGGTTGTTCTGTGCCATTTTCAAAACCAAATCATTTTGTAAGATCCTGCTGTCTGCCATCCTTTTTAAATCATGTTTTACATAGTATTTTTTTAAAAGAACTATTTTTCAGAATACAGTGCTTTTCTCCTTTTTAAAAAATCTTAATCATAGTAATTTCCCAATAAGAAAGCAAAGGTGGTAAAGAATACTTTTTCCTAAGGAAAAAATATTTTATAATTGTTTTCAACATTTTTTTGTGTTAGACATTTTTCATAATAAAAAGCTGAAGGAATTTTACAGCAAATACCCACCACCTTCAGTCTTCAGTTGACATTTTACTGTAATGCTGTATCAAATATCTATCATTATATTAATCAATCTAAATTTTTTGTTACATTTCAGAGTAAGTTGCAGACATACCCAGATCCTTAAGCATTCATATCATTAGCTAAGCTTTAATATTTTGTTTGCAGTTTTTTTCTCTTTCGAGGTAAAATTTATATACAGTGTAATGCACAAATCTTAGATGTGCTGTTTATGTGTTCCAGCAAATACACATTACTATACAACCAAAACCCATATTAAAATATAAAATATTACCACCACTGCAGAAAGTTTCCACATTCCTCTTCTCAGTAAATCCTCTGCTTACTACCCCAGAGGGTCTATTCTTTTGTTTTTTATTCCCCACTATAAATTAGTTTTGTCTGTCCTAAAGCTTCTTATAAAAGTAATCATGTTGTCTGTGTTTGTTTGTTTAAGGCTTCTTTCACAAAGCATAACGTATTTGAGGTCCATCCATGTTGCTGCTTGTATTAGAAACCTGTTCTTCTTTGTTAATGAGTAGTATTTCTGAGTAGTGTATGCCAGGCCTTTTCCCAGAGTGGTCATACCAGTTCACATTCCTACCAACAGTGTATGTGAGTTCTGGTTGCTCCACATTCTGACCCACATTTAGTGGTGTCAGTCATTTTAACTTTAGTCATCCTGGTAGGTGTATAGTAGCATTTCTATATGGTTTTAATATGCATTTTCCTGATGAGTAGTGATGTTGAATACTTTACGATTGCATATTGGCTGTTCTGGCATCTTCCTTTGTGAGGTATTTTCTAAACAGTGTTGATTTCCTGGGTAGATGGTACATGTTATAGACATATTAAAACTAATTCTTAAAGTGTTCTGTCAGGAAACTGTCTACTTATTGATACCTGAAAATAGTGGACAATAAAAAAAATTGATATAATTTCAAGCCTGTTTTACATGTCTTTAGAAATAGTTGATTTTAGCTATTATTTATTTGTGAGTTTGTTCTCACACTGCTATGAAGGAATACCCAAGACTCGGTAATTTATGAAGGAAAGAGGTTTAATTGACTCACAGTTCTGCAGGGCTAGGGAGGCCTCGGGAAACTTAGAATCATAGTGGAAGGGGAAGCAAACATGTCCTTCTTCACATGGTGGCAGGAAGGAGAAGTGCCAAGCAAACCCTTATAAAACTATCAGATCTCGTGAGAACTCACTATCATGAGAACAGCATGGAAGTAACCACCCCCATGATTCAGTTACCTCCCACAGGGTCTCTCCCACAACATGTGGGGATTATGGAAACTGTAAGTCAAGATGAGATTTGGGTGGGGACACAGCCAAACCATATCAGCTTCTATTTTGATTATTTTGGGATTTGAACATTTTCTCCATGTAACCATTTGAAATTCTCTTGAAGAAGCAAAAGAACAATCTCATGTGCTGTGAAATACCTGTTATTTATAAATGGATTCTAAATATTTTTGGCCACATAAACTACTGGTTCAGAATATCTGTGCCTTTAGTAAATAATTGAATTTGCCTATTGTATTAGTCAGGGTTATCCAAAGAAACAGAGCCAATAGGAAGCATAAGTTTTCCATATAAATAAATAAATACATAAATACATGTATGTGTGGTGTTATGAAATATGTATACATATATTGGTTTTCATCCCCAGTTCCTGGCGCATATCTCCCATAGCCTTTGTTACAGTCTTCTCTTATGTTGGGTATGTTAGGCCTCAGGGGCAGGCCTTAGGAAACAGAATCTCTCTGATCTTCTCCTGCCCTCCTTTCACCTGCCCCAAGGCTCTAATCTTCCCCAGCCTTTCTGATGGTGGGTTTTAGGACCCTTCCCAAAGAGGGGCCCACCTCATATGCTGGAGGAAAGAATACTGACATCATGAAGCTTTCATAAAAACTCGGGAGGAGTGGGTTCAGAGAGCTTCTGGATAGCTGAAAACATGGACGCTCCTAGAGGGTGGTACCCCAGGGAGGACATGGAAGCTCTGCGCCCCTTTCTCCCTACCTCACCCTACACATTTCCTCATTGTATCAATGTCCTTTATATTAAACCAGCAAATGTTAAGAAAGTGTTTCTCTGAGTTCTGTGAGCCGCTCCAGCAAATTAATTGAACCCAGAGAGGGAGTCCTGGGAACCTCCACTTGAAACACATTGGTCAGAGGTTCTGGAGGACTAGGCTTGTAACCGGTTGGGGGTGGGAGGAATTCTGGGGAGTGAGCCCTCATCATGTGCAATCTAATGCTGTCTGCAGGTAGATAGTGTTGGAATTGAATTGGAGAATACCCAGCTGGTGTCCACTGCTAGGTGTGTGGGGGGGAAACTCCCACATAATTTGGTCACAGAAGCGTTCTTCTGTGTTGATGATTGTGGTGGTGTGAGAGTAGAAAAAAAATGCAGCTTGAGAGGGTGTTTTTGAAACTGTGGGTGTATGTTTAGAGAAAGAGAGAAGAGACTTTTATTATAAAGTATTGGTTCACGTGATTATGGAGGCTGAGAAGTCCCATGTTCTGCTGTTTCTGGAGACCTGAGAAAGCCAGCAGTATAGTTTGAAGGCCTGAGAGCTGGAGAGTCAGTGGTTTAAATTCTGCTGTGAGTCTGAAGGCCTGAGAACCAGGAGTGCTGAGGGTAGGAGAAGATCAGTGTCCCAACTGGAACAGGCAGAAAACAATTTCAGCCTTTTTGTTTCTCATTGGACTGGATGATGCCAACACACATTGAGTGCCATCTGCTGTAACTCAGTCCACAGATCCAAATGCTTTTCTCTTCTGGAAACACCCTCACAGAGAGGCACAGAAATAGTGAGTAACCAGATATCTAGGCATGCCATGGCCCAGTCAAGTTGACACATAAAATTTACTGTCACACATAGTATACTCGTCTTCATCTAATTACAAATAGTTTAAAAATCTAATTACAAAATCTAATCACTGCATTGGCAAAACACCATTTCTCCCCAAAACCCTGGAGAAATCTTCCCATGCTTATGAGGTGTAAATTATTTGTGAAGCATTGGCCCTACCTGAAATCTGGGTCAAAGGGAACTACAGATCTAGAGCATATCACACCAGTGTGTTAAAGTGAAAAAATAATGTAAGCAAGTTATATTGGCGAAAGTCGTTATTGTCAGCCCCTTATTCTGGGATTGTAATGGTTGATTTCCAATGATTACGTAATATAATTATACTTTAAATGTAAATAATGCTTTATATTATTGAGGGTCTAAAGGGATTTAATAGATAAAGTGCACGTTACAATACCTGACTTACATCTGATACTGAACAAAATTTAGTTCTCTCTTGTAAAACCCTATGTAGAGGTATTGTTATTAGTCCACTGACTGATAAAGCTTCTGAAAGCCTCCGAATTATATTTTCCTCTTTAAACCTTATCAAAAATAGTTGTTCCATTTTAAAATACTGCAAGAGTTAGGGTAGTAGAATTATGAGGCATTTTGACTTGCCAAGAAATTTAATTATAGTAGAAATAATATCAAGCAATTTTTATTTTATTTCCAAGGTATAATTTATACTGTGTCACATTTACATTATATGGATATACCTGACAAATTTTTAAAATATCTTTCATATTAACAAGAAAGTATTTTCACATATATTAGGTCTTATGTCCTTTTAAGGAAAATTGATTTCCCTAAGATTACAAAACACATTTGGAGGCAAAGCCCAGATTAAAAGCTCAGGACTTCTGATTCCTAGTCTAGTATTCTTTAAAAAAAAAAAAATTTGTAATAGTTGGTGTATATATTTATCGGGTACATGAGATATTTTGACGCTGGCATACAATGCTTAATAATCACATCAGGGTAAATGGAGTATCCATCACCCAAGCATTTATCCTTTGTGTTACAAACAGTCCAGTTATTCTCTCTTAATTATTTAAAAATGTACAATAAATTATTGTTGACTGTAGTCACCTTGTTTTGCCATCAAATTCTAGATCTTATTAATTCTAATTATATTTTTGTGCTCATTAACCATTACCCCCCACCCACTACCTTTCCCAGCCTCTGGTAACCATCATTCTACTCTCTATCTCCATGAGTTCAGTTGTTTTCATTTTTAGCTCCCACAAATAAGTGAGAACATCTGAAGCATGTCTTCTGTGCCTGGCTTATTTCACTTAACATAACGACCTCCAGTTCCATTATCTGATATGAGCGTAGCTAGTCCTGCTCACTTTCAGTTTCTCTTGGTGTGAAATATCTTTTTCCACCCTTTTACTTTCAGTCTATGTGTCTTTACAGGTGAGTTTATTGCAAGCAGCATATAGTTGAATGAAGTTTTTAAAATTCATTCCACCAATCTATATCTTTTAAGTGGAGCTCTTAATCCATTTACGTTCAGCATTAACATTGATATGTGAGGTTTTGATCCTGTTACATTGTGAATTGTTTTCTAGTTGTTTTATAAATTTGTTGTTTCTTCTTCTGTCTTTTGGCTTGATGGAATTCTGTTGTGTTGCCATTTGATTCCTTTCTTTTTCTTTTTTTGTGAGTTTGTTTTATAAAGTCTTTGTGTTTTTTTTTTTAACTTGTGTTGTCATGGTGGTGAATGTCAACCTTTCATTACCACATTTAGGTCTCCTTTGAGCATTTCTTATAGGGCTGGTTTGGTGGTGATAAATTTTCTCAGGGAAAGACTTTTTCTGGGAAAGAATTTCTCCATTTATGAATCTTAATCTTGCTGGATATAAAATTCTTGGCTGATGTTTGGTGGTGGTGGTGGTGATACTGATGGTGGTGGTGGTGGTTTTCCTTACTGCACTTTGAAAATGCCAGCTCATTCTCTTCTGGCTTATAAGGATTCTGCTGAGAAGTCAACTGTTAGTCTGATGGGGTTTTCTTTATAGGTAACTAGATGCTTTTTTTCTTGCTAATTTTAAAATTCTTTCTTTTACTTTGACTTTAGACAGTCTGATTATAATATGCTGTGGTGCATATTCCAAGTCCTTTTTGGAATATATTTTCCTCAGGATCTCTAGGCCTCCTCTATGTGAATGTCTAACTCTCTTGCTAGACTTGGGAAGTTTTCATCAGTTGTTTCCTTAAATAGGTTTTCTAAACTTTCTGATTTTTCTTTCCCCTCAGGAATACCCGTAATTCACAAGTCCAGTCACTTTATGTAGTCACAAACATCTTGAAGTCTTTGTTCTTTTTTATTCTTTTTAAGTTTTTGTCTGACTGGATTATTTCAAAAGACCTGCCTTAAAGTTCTGAGATTCTTTCTTCTGTTCAGGCTTGTCTATTGTTGAAGCTTTCAAATGTATTTTGTAATTCCTTCAATGAATTGTTCAGTTCTAGAATTTGTTTGAAGATATCTATCTCGATAAATTTCTCATTGGTATCCTAAATAGATGTTCTGACTTCTTGGTACTGGTTTTCAGATTTCTCTTGCAATCTCATTGAGCTTCTTTAAAATCAGTATTTTTAATTCTTTATCTAGAAGTTCAAGGATTTATTTTTGGTTAGGACCTATTGCGGGAGAATTATTGTGTTCCTTTGAATGTGTCATAATATGTTGCTTTTTCATACTTCCTATATCTTTACATTGGTTTCTGTGCATCTGGAGTAACAGTCACTACTTCTTATTTTTGAATTTGCTTTCATTGAGTGGGGAGACTTTTTATTGAAGATATGTCTATAATGTTGATTGGATAGGGCGTTTTGGCTTTCCTTCTGGGTATGCGCAGTGGCTTTAAGGATTCTGTGTGATTTCCTTGGCTACAGATAGCCTTAGTGTTAAATCTGTGGATTTTTCTGTGTGTTAGTGTGCAGTTATTGGTGGAGTCTGTGATGAGGTTTTGCTGGAGACTGGAATGCCTCATGGGTCCTTCAGTGGTAGTGGTGGTGGGCTAAGTATGTCTATCATTGTGACCTGGTATGTGGTATATGCTGGCACCCATGTTGGTAGTTCCAGGTAGGCTGATTCTTTGGCCACTGGGTGGCTCTCTCAAATGCCTGTTGTAGTAGAGGTAGACCATGCAGGTGAGCAGACTCTTGACCTACTGGGAAGCCAGGGTGGTATGGGCAATGGGAATAGCAGTAGTAGTGAGAAGCTCTTCTCATTCACAAGTGTTGTGCCCTTGTTTTATCAGTTGTTGCAATGGGCTGTGCATGTCAGCCTCCAGGCCAGTAGGTGGCACTTGCAGGTAATAGCCAGCTATATTGTCAACAGTAGGTTTTATGCCTAACCTCTGTTTCTGAGGACAAGTGCTTGCACAGGTGTCCCAGATGGTGGATTGAGTTGCAGAATTCTCAGGAACCTGGATCCCCCTAACCTCCACTTCCCTCTGCGGAGTAGGGGCCAAGCTGAGTGGAGCTGGAGCAGGCAAGCTTGTACTCAGGCCTCCCAATGGTGGGTGCATCTACCTTCCTTGACGGGGGTGGCAGGGCAGTTCTCAGGCCCCTGGTGAAATTCTTGGGTGAGGGATGACTGTTGCTATGCCGAAGTCTTAACATGGGTATGGAGGGGCAGTCCCAGCAGCCACAGATGTGGCTTGTGTAAGTAGGACTTACTTCCTTCTCATGCCCCAGTCCTGGCAGAGTTCCCTCCCACTCCTAACTGTGGCAGCAGATCAGCCTGTTCAGTCATGGCAGTGTTCTGCAACTCAGTCCAGGGCCTTAGGAGATACAACCCAGCTTAATCCCAAGCCTCCATGGCAGCTCTCCTCCTGCTCAGGTCCCAAGCAGGTAGGGGGATACCCCAGTTTCAGTATCAGCTGCCCATACCAGTTTCTCAGTTCTGGTTGCAGGAGTCCAGACTCTTGCTTGAGTCCCAGTTCTTCAAGCCCCAGCCCGAATTTCTGACACCAAAGCCTGGCACTGCCACTTGTTCCCAGGACCATCCACAGCTTGTTAAGAGCTGGGATTGAGAATGGCCTCTTACTGTAGCTGCCTATATCTGATGGAATGTATGGGACGTCCCTGGAGCAGTTCCTTGTCCAGTCACTCCCCAGGTGAGATCCAGGATTCAGGAGGGTCAAGGTGCTCTCCTACAGCCTGGATTGTACAATTCCCCTGTGGAAACATGGACTGCAGAAATACACTCACTCACCCTCTCCCCTACTGGGGATACATTCCTGATTTTCAGCCAGTCCTGGCCACACGGGTTACCTGTTTTCCTTCTTCTCAGATGTTGAAGTTTCCTTTTGCTTTTCTCTTGAACTCCCATGCTCCCTCTTGGATAATATATTTAAAGTGTGATTGTCTACACACAATTTTTGTTCTTCTAAGTGGATGAGATATGCTGGAAATGCTTCTACTCAGCCATCTTGGAGAGAAACTTGAAATTTCTGAAGTTCTGTAGATCTTATCCTAACTCTGTTTTATTGAAAACTTTAACAATTCCTACATCAATACTAATACTGTTTCCCTTGTTGATATTTTGTTGGAAGGATCCCTTCTCATTGTTCTTTTAAAAAAAAAATTGTTTTTGACCAAATGTGGTGGCTCACATCTGTAATCCCAGCATTCTGGGAGGCTGAGACAAGAGGATCGCTTGAGGTCAGGAGTTTGAGACCAGCCTGGCCAATATAGTGAAACCCCATCTCTACTAAAAATACAGAAATTAGCTGGCTTGGTAGTGCATGCCTGTAGTTCCAGCTACTCCTGAGGCTGAGACAGGAGAATTGCTTGAACTCGGGAGGCAGAGGTTGCAGTGAGCCGAGATCGTCCTGCTGCACTCCAGCCTGGGAGAAAGAGTGAGACTCTTTTTTTTTTTTTTTTTTTTTTTTTACAATTTTTTCTTCTAGATGGCCTGCAGATTCAGCTTGTTAAATTTGATAAAATTTCTCCTGGGATATTAAATGGCATTTCATTGACTTTACAGATTCATTTCAAAAGAATTGTGATTGATATATTTACAGAATTAAGTCTTTGTAGCCAGGTGTGTGTGTATATTATTATTACCATTTTTTTGAGACAGGATCTCACTCTGTTGCCCAGACTGGAGTGCAGTGTGTGGTCATCGCTCACTGCAGCCTTGACTTCCTGGGCTCAAGCAATCCTCCTGCTTCAGCCTCCTGTGTAACTGGGACCACTACGACACCCAGCTAATTTTTGTATTTTTTTGTAGAGATGGCGATCTCACTTTGTTACCCAGGCTGGTCTTGAAATCCTGGCCTCAAGCATTCCTTCTGCCTTGGCCTTCCAAAATTCTGGGATTACAGTCATGAGCCATCACACCTGTCCTCACTTTTATTTTTAATTAAATATTTTTAATAGATAACATATGAAGATGTTCTAGAAAGGATATATAGTGAAATATTACTGCTATGTCCCAGCCCTCCTCCACAGAAGCAACCATTATTTTTTTCTTATCCTTCTAGAGATATTCTATGCCTGTTCAAGCAAAGAAGTGTGTAAAAATAGCATAATAGGTGTAACAAGCAATCTTAGAGATTGTCATCATCAGGAGCAGATCCAGCTTTTTTGAGGTCTGCAGTGAAAACTACTTTGGAGGCCTTGTTTAAGACAGTGAGTAGCGAGGTGTGGTAATACACACCTGTAATCCTAGCTATTCAGGAAGCTGAGGCAGAAGGGTTGCTTGAGCCCCGGAGTTTGAGTTCTGCCTGGGCAACTATAGCAAGATTCTGTCTCAAAAATTTTTTTAAAAAGACAGTGAATACCAAACTATGTACAAAATGAGTAGTTATTTAGAACGAGAAAAGAAAGCACAATAAACTAGTTTTTCAAAGCTGATAAACACTACAAACGTTACCAAAACCCAGAAAAAACAGCACTTTAAAAATATTACCTTATACACGTATGTGTTGTAATATTTGTTTTTGCTGCATTTTGTTTCATTGTCTCCTCATATGTCAGTGATTTTGTAAGTCATTTTCTATGAAAATAGAAAGCTAATTTGGTCTTTTCCTCCAGTGTTTAAGATATAGTCATTTGAATATGACTCCACACCTTTGTGTCTCGGTGTTGGGTCCTGTTAGTACAGTGGGCAGAAGGAGTATTCCTGGAAGTCTTCCTATACTGAGACAGTTTAGGTATACACAAAAGTTTTGGCGAAAACCACATAAATATATCCCACTAAACCCACTAATGGTATATGTAGCTCAATTTCCTCTTGACTTCTCTTAAGTACAAAAATGACTTCAGCCACTCCATCATGACCTGGCATAAGGGCAAGTCAACATGGAAGCAGCAGCAGTCTTGATGGACTGTGGTTAAAATAGCTTACTATTTGGTGGTTCCTAATCTTTTGCTGCTTCAGTGTTCAGGGAATATCCTTATGTCTTTATGCAAATGTGTGAGTGTTTCTGATAGATGAATCTCTTGAGGTGAAATTGCTGTATCAAAGAGTTTATACAATTTAGATTTTTATAGATATTACTAAATCACCCTATAAAAGATTGTATCAATTTATATCATCACCAATATATATAAGACTGCCCGTTTCTCATACTCTTGTTATTTGCATATTACTTACATGAGTGAGGTTCAACATCTTTTCTCATATATTAGGAAATTCTGTGTATTTTCATTTTGTGCACTGTCTATATCTTTTACTCAGTTTTTATTTGTAATTTTTTTCTTATTAATTTGTTGGAACTTGTATATATTAGGGAAATTAGTTCTGTTATCTGTTTTCCCCCTGTTCATTGTCTTTTTACTTCATGATAGTTTTTAATTATGTATACTTTTAATTTTTCTATGTAGTCCTCTTGAATATACAAAAACCCCAAAACACCAAACTGTTGTTTTTCCTATTCTCTACTTTCTGCTCAACGCAGAAAACCTCTGTGATCCCAGAATGTGGGGGTTATTTCCCCACACACCAAGCAGTACTTCAGTGGACACCTGCTGTATGTCCTATAATTCAGTTCAGTTCTGACACTACCTACCTTTCTATTTTTCTAATAGAAACAGTACTACTTACTAAATACCGAGTTTATTTCATATGTATATTCTTGCCTCCTCACCATTTCCATGTAGAGATATGGCACTGGAGAGAGTGTCATATCTCACAGGTTGAGAGCTCAGGACCACCAGACTACCATCTCTCTTCAGGTGGTAGTCCCAAGTCTGGGTCTCCAGAACTTCTGACTGACTAGCTACAGATTGAGGTTCCCATGATCCCCTTGTTGGGTTTTATTAATTTGCTAGAGTGGCTCACAGGGCTCAGGGAAATGCTTACTTAAATTTAACCGTTTATTATAAAGGATATTACAAAGTGTTAAACAGCATAGGGCAAGGTACGTGGGAAGGGGCATGGACTTTCCATGTCCTCTCTGGGAACCACCCTTCAGGAACCTGCATGAGTTCAGCTACCTAGACGCTCTCCCAAACCCTGTCCTTATAAGTTTCTATGGAGGTTTCATTGTGTAGGCATGATTGATTACATCATTGGCCACTGGTGATCAATTGAACCTTGAGCTCATCTCCCCTTCTGGAGTTTGGGGAATGGAGCTGAAAATTCCAACCCTCTCATGTTTGATTCCACTGTTAGGTAGCCCTCATCTGGAGGCTATCAAGTACCCCATCAAGACTTGTCTTATTATAGGACAAAAGTTGCTCCTATCACCCAGGAAATTCCAAGAGATTTAGGGGCTCTGTGTCAGGAAACCAGGATGAAGTCCAAAGGCAGATTTCACAGTATCACAAGCCAATATGTTTAAATTTTCTTTTGTGACTTCCGAGTTTGTGTCATACTTAGTCCTCCCTCCAAGATTATATTTTTTAAAAATCTCATGTCTTCTAGTGCTTTTATGGCAGTGTTTGGTTTTAATCATTAAATTTTTGATACGTATGGAATTTACTTTGGTGTAAGAAATGAGATACAAATCCAACATTATTCTTTCCAAGTGATTACAGTTTCTAGGATTTTTTATTGAGTTATGTATCTTTTCCCTGATGTAATGTGTCACTTCAATCGTATGAGAATTTTCATACATATTTGCATCTATAGTTGTGCCTCCATTTTTTTATTTGAATAGAAACAGTGCTACTTATTAAAATGCCGAGGTTATTTCATGTGTACATTCTTGTCTCCCCACCATTTCCATGTCTGACCACTGCTACTACTGTGTCCTATCATAACATTCCATATATGCTTAAATCCAAGCAAAGGGTGGATTTCCATCTTTAAAAACTAAGCAGGCATTTTGGACAACACATTCTTGGCAGTGGAACTTGGACAACATTTATCAAACATATTAGGGAAAGTTCTCACTCTACATTATAAAAAGGACAACTGTATATCAAATGTTACATAAGTGAAATAAGATGGAAACATTTTTAAAACTGCTTAAACTATTTTCTTAAAGAGACTTTCTCCACTGCCAGAGATCTTGAATTACCTCCTGGTCAGTCTTCCAGAAGCAATTCTTTATATAATTGACGAACTTGGCTTCCACTTTGGGAAGAAAACCAGCTTTTTCTGTACTTCCTTGCTGTTTTGCTTTAATGTCTTCTACAGAACTAGGTTCTCTTGGTGTTTTAGGAAGTTTGTTTGTTTTTTTTTCTCCTGTTTTTTGAAGGATTCTTGATCTTGGTGTTGATGGTTTTGAATCTTTTCCATTTTGGTTTGATTTTTGTGCATTTTTGGCTGGAGTGTCTCATACAGATTTCTTCAGTGGAGCTTATTCTTGTCTCCTCTTCCTCTCCACAACCCGGGTAACCTTGCTACCACCTCCAGGGGCAGATCACTTTCCAAATGTACCTAAGAGTTTCATGTCCTCCTCTTCTTGATCTTCTAAGCCTCTTCACCTTCCTCCCCAGCTCCTAAGTGCTGTTACCTGATATGCACAGGCCCTGAACCATACTTCAACCCAAAGGCCATGGGTGGTGTTATTTCAAAGACCCCAAGGGAAATCATTGGCTGTTCAAATCATCATGTTCAAAGTTGCCACTATTACTTTATTTATTTTGTTTTGTTGTTGTTGTTGTTGTTGTTGTTGAGACAGAGTCTCACTCTGTTGCCCAGGCTGGAGTGCAGTGGTGTGATCTTGGCTCACTGCAACCTCCACCTCCTGGGTTCAAGCAATTCTCATGCCTCAACCTGCTGAGTAGCTGGGGTTATAGGTGTGCGTCACCATGCCCAGCTAATTTTTGAGTTTTTGTATTTTTAGTAGACTGGGTTTAATATGTTGGCCAGGCTGGTCTCGAACCCCTGACCTCAAGTGATCCACCCACCTCGGCCTCTCAGAGTGCTGGGATTACAGATGTGAGTCATCATGCCTGGCCAGTTGCCAGTATTATTTTAATTGGACTGCCTTCGTAATTCATTGTCTCTGTGTCAACAATCTGCAGTTCATCATTTGCACCAGCCTCTAAGCTGACCATTCTTAAAGATAACTGATGCTCATTTTCATCATTATCCACCTTAAGATGGTAATGTTTGTCAGCCTTTGGTTCACAATGAAAAACATGGTCCTCAGGCCTCAGGGGCTCATGTTCATGTCCATTGAATCTTCCATGGGGTGGTGGCACACACTTAGGTGGGAGAGAAAGCAGATAGAAATGAACAACTATTGCTTAAGAGAACAGCCACACAGGATGGAATCAAACCAGGCGATTCTTTAATATTTTGTTTCCTTAATAAAATTACATATTTTTCTTCCTAAAGGTTTTATACTTTACTTGTTAGGTACGTATCTATTTTATTGTTTTTGTAGTTATGAATTTGGTTTTTAGATTTACATTTTCTGATTTTTTTTTGATACGTAAGAATGTGAATGACAACAAAAAACATGTTAATCATTTATTCTGCTAGTTTACCAGAGATTTATATTTCATTCTAATAGTTTTTCAGCTTATTCTTTTGGCTTTTATTTTTCTTTTAAAAATTATTTAAGTAATGCAGTAACATTATTAAAGAATCAAACCGTATCAACAAAGTAAACCTCCTCCTTTATTGCCCCTTCCCCATTCCCACCCCTTTCCTCAGAGGATGACTGTTATTAGTTTAGTGTGTATGCTTCCAGGTGTCTTCAAAAAGCATTTACATACATGTACATCTACAAATAAATTTTTTTCATTAGCAGATATTATATCATCTAGTTTGCTCTGCAAATTGCTTTTTGTCATTACTGTATTTAAATTTCTCTCTGTTTGTACCTACAGGACTATAATCAGTATTTAAATGCCCCAAAGCGATGTTTATCAAACTTTAATGTACCTGCAAACCACCTGGAGATCTTTTAAAATGCTGAAACCGATTCAGAGGGTTTGGGGTGGGGAAACAGAGATTCTGTATTTCTAATAAGCTCCCAGATGTTGCCAGTGCTATTGGTCCTATACTACACTTTGATTGGGAAGGCTGTAACATATGCTTTAGACCTATTGTAGTTTGTGTAATTATTATTCCTGTTCATGAAATCATTGGGGTCCCTCCCCACTACAGATAGTACAGTAATGCACATTGGAATTTCTCCAGGTGAGAGAGATTTTCTTGAATATTCTGAGTAGACAGTCATTGTCATGATGTGTGTGTATGTGTGTGGTAGGGGCCGGTGGTGGATTTCTCCAACCCTTTTCCCGTATTTGTATTTTGTTTCTTTTTCTTATTTTTTTTTTTTTTCTTATTTTTTTTGAGACAGAGTCTCACTCTGTCGCCCAGGCTGGAGTGCAGTGGTGCAATCTCAGCTCACTGCAACCTCTGCCTCCCATGTTCAAGCGATTCTCCTGCCTCAGCCTCCCAAGTAGCTGGGATTACAGGCACCCACCACCACGCCCCGCTGATTATTATTATTATTGGTTTTTTTTTTTTTTTTTGAGACGAAGTCTTGTTGTGTCACCCAGGTTGGAGTGCAATGGCACGATTGATCTCAGCTCATTGCAACTTCCACTTCCTGGGTTCAGTCCATTCTCCTGTCTCAGCCTTCCAAGTAGCTGGGATTACAGGCACATGCCACCACACTCAGGTAATTTTTTGTGTTTTTGGTAGAGACAGGGTTTCACCATGTTGGACAGGGTTGTCTTGAACTCCTAACCTCAAGTAATCTACCCGCCTCAGCCTCCCAAAGTGCTGGAATTACAGGCATAAGCCACCACGCCCAGCCTCTTTTTCTTATTTCCTTAAATTAGCTAGGACGTGCAGTAGAATGTTGAATAGCTTCATCAATAGCTACTCTCTGACAGGAATATGAAATTGGTACAGCCTTTGGTAATATTTACCAAAATGTAAAATACAAAAACACCTTGACTTAGTTATTCCCTTTAAGAATCTATTCTTCTAAAACCCTTGCACATGCATACAAAGATATGTACAAGGATGCATATTATAGCATTTACCTGTAGTAGAAAAATGAAAAGTAACCTTAAGTGTGCATTAATAGGAGAATAATTACATTGGGATATGGTCATACCATTGACCTACTATGCTATATATGTGGCTACATGTATACTAATATGCAGTATTATTAAGAGAGAAATACAAGTTGCAGAAAATTAGTTATTGGTTGACTCAGTCTGTATTTTATTTTATTTTTTAGAGATGGGGGTCTTGCTAAGTTGCCCAAATTGGAGTGCAGTGGTGTAATCATAACTCACAGCAGCTTCGAACTCCTGGGCTCAAGCAGTCTCCTGCCTTTGCCTCCTGAGTGACTGAAACTGTAGGCATGTTCCACATGCCTGGCCAATTTTTTTTTTTTTTTTTTTTGTAGAGATAGGGGTCTCACTATGTTGCCTAGACTCCAGTCTGTATTTTAAAAACAAGTTAAGTGTGTGTGTATATGTGATGTGTTTTAAATACATAGAAAAATGTTTGGAGAGTTCACACACCAAAAATATGAATAGTATTTCTCTCTAAGGAGGGTACTGGTGTTGACAGGTAGTTTGAAGCTTGATAAAGAGGAGGCTTTTATGTTTTCTGTGTTCTGTACACCTTTTATACTGAGTACTTTTCACCTTCTTAACTTTGAAAATGATAAAAAGGAAAGTAGAGAGATGGAGAAAATAAAGCAAACAATACTGTCAGTTAACAGAAAAATCCAACTGTAGAACAGTAGGGAGAATCAGAGAGCAGGTGAATTCAAACCATCCAGTAGTCAATTTTCTTAAATAGTCAACAAGCATGGTAAAAAATCAAATGGTACAAAAACATATGTGGTACTGTTACAGTCCTGCCAATGCACCACAGTGTAGCAATCTCTTGTGAGATATCACCTGGAGTTCAGAGTTCTTTGTCTCAGTGATGAAGAGAATTAAGGGGCGTGGACACAAAGGGTGAGGTTGGAACAAAAGTTTAATAAGTGAAAGAAGACAGCTCTCCACAGCAGAGAGAGGACCCAGAAGAGGATTGCCGTTTTTACAGTTGAATGCAAAGGCTTTTTAAAAGAAACCAGTGAGGGCTGAACATCTCATTTACGTAAGGTGAGAATTTCTGATAGCTCTACCCAGTCCTCCTAATGTGCATGCAGGCGGTTAGCTTGAGTTATTCCATATCGCTTTGTTCCCCTTACTGCACATGTGTCAGGAGACGGGATTTTCCATTGTGGGCATGTCTGGGCAAGTCACCTGTGTAGCCTTTCTTATCTGTGTGGCTGTGGACATGTCTTAGGCAAACCTCCCTGTGCAAGTTCCCTTATCTGTGCCTGCAGCTTGATTTTTCAGGTTGTTCTGTTTGAAATAATTCCACTGAGGACCCACCCTAACTGCCTACCTTACCGGTTTCTTCCTTTCTCCTCTCTCAGTACTGTGATACCACCCCCATACCTGCTATAGTGGCTTCTCTCTAAAAACAGAAAATAGCAAGTGTTGGTAAGGATATGGAGAAATTGGAACCCTTTTGCACTTTTGGTACAGCGAAAAGTATAGTTGCTGGTAAAAAGTATGGTGGCGCCTTAAAAAATGAAAAACTAGAATTACCATTTGAACTAACAGTTCCTCTTCTGGGCATGTTACCAAACTGAACTTCGGTCTGCCCACCCAGTGCAGCAAAGCTAAACACTGACATTTGGATTGCTGCAAAGAGAAATGGAGATGTTTATTGCAGGGCACCAAACAAGGAGAATCGGATAGCTCATGCTTAAGACCTGAACTCTCCAATGGCTTGCAAGCAAGGGTTTATAAAGGCAGGGGGAAATTTCAGGAAGGTAGAAGTTATAGGCAAAATCATAAGGCAATACATGGAGGTTATACATTGGTTTGGCCTAAAAGGGCGGGAGATCTTGAAGTGGGGTTTACAGGTTGTAGGTAGATTTTCTGATTTGCAGTTCATTAAGGAAGAGAAGTTTTGTTTTAAAATCTGGGGATCAGCAGAAAAGAATATTAGTTCTGGCTCATGGGTGTGACTTCTCCCAAGTCCCTCAGGAAGAACTTTAGGACAAAGATATTCAGTCCTCAGTTCCCCCTTACCTGATGTGTACATGCCAACAGATCCATTTGGTGGGGTCCAGGTTTCTGAAAAACAACCCAGGGACATGTGTCCATCAATGATAGACTGGATTAAGAAAATGTGGCACATATACACCATGGAATACTATGCAGCCATAAAAAAGGATGAGTTCATGTCCTTTGTAGGGACATGGATGAAGCTGGAAACCATCATTCTCAGCAAACTATCGCAAGGACAAAAAACCAAACACTGCATGTTCTCACTCATAGGTGGGAATTGAACAATGAGAACACTTGGACACAGGAAGGGGAACATCACACACCAGGGCCTGTCATGGGGTGGGGGGAGGGGGGAGGGATAGCATTAGGAGATATACCTAATGTAAATGACGAGTTAATGGGTGCAGCACACCAACATGGCACTTGTATACATATGTAACAAACCTGCACGTTGTGCACATGTACCCTAGAATTTAAGGTATAATTAAAAAAAAAAAAAAGATGTTGCCTTTAGTTTCTATAGGGAACCAAACATCCCACGACTCTAACTTCCTTGGCTATTGTTTTAAGCTGCTATTACCCTCTTGCTTATCAAGTTGTTCATTTGCTTCTCAGGGCCAGCTAGGTGCCTGGAACTTCTCTTGAAGGAACTCAAGATTTTCCTTTATTTCCATGCTGGGGGCGGGGGAGGCCCATAGGCCCCTCAAGGGGTTCCTGCTCCATCTGAGGTCCATGTTCAAAAGAATTGAAAGTAGGTCTCAAAAATATATTTCTACACCCACATTCACAGCTGCATTATTCACAATAACTGAAACATGGAAACAACCCAAGTGTACGATGATGAATGAATGGATGTTAGATGTTGTGTATACATACAATATTGAGACATCAAGCAAAGATTAAGTATGTTTAACTTTGTTAAAGAAGTGGAGCCTATATTTAATAAAGGTTTTTGTGAATTTTTCAAAATAAAAATTGATATATAGAATACAATTTTTCAAAGTTAAGAGCTTTAGACCGTAAGACCCAAAGTTTGAGGAACATTGCATTACAATTAAATCATGTGATCACAGAGCTAACATGTAAACATGAGCACAAATGTTGGTGCTGAAATTTCATGTTCATGAAAATTTTACATCATCATAAACATTTAAAAGCAAAATTTAAAATTCATGCAGAAAGTCAGACACTCAAGAGTGGACTTAGGAGAAACAATGATATAAAACATTGAATTCTTAAGAAACTTGAGAATCCTTGAAAAAAATTCTACTAATATGCATTGAGCACCTATTTTGGTTTAGGCCACTGGGATTTCAATAGTAAATAGGGCAGTCAAGGGCTAGAAACAGGAAAGAGTGAGGGACTGTGTGTCAGGAAATGCTTCTTTAAGGAAGTTTTTTGTTTTGTTTTGTATTTTTGAGATGGAGTCTCCCTCTGGTGCCCAGGCTGAAGTGCAGTGGCACAGTCTCGGCTCACTGCAACCTCTGCCTCCCAGTTGATTCTCCTGCCTCAGCCTCCCAAGTAGCTGGAATTACAGGCATGCACCACAGGGTCCAGCTAATTTTTGTATTTTTAGTAGAGACGGGGGGTGGGGGGGGGGGGTCTCACCATGTTGGCTAGGTTGGTCTCGAACTCCTGACCTCCAGTGATCCACCTGACTTGGCCTCCCAAAGTGCTAGGATTACAGGTGTGAGCCACCGCGCTGGCCGAGAAATACTTTTAATTAGTATCAGATGGATGAGTACCTGTTAGCTAAATTGAGGGCTAGGGTAAGGAAAAGACAATGAGACTAGGGGCAGGATTGGGATGAAAGGAGAGAAATATAATTTCATAGTCAAGTGGAAACATTGTTATAATATTACTTCAAACTTACATCATAAGTTAAGTTATGATGTCACCTGTTTCTCTTGGAGAAGCCTATTCACCTTCATTGGAATGGGAAGCTTTCTCAAGAAATGTCAGAGGATTCAAATATATTCTTGCTTTGTTAGTTGAGTCAGTACCAATAGTACACTTGTGATTAGACTGTCAAACAAAATCCCTGAAGGGATTTCACACTGTTAAATGCTTGGTTTTTATTTGTTTTTATTTGTTGGGTTTTTTTTTTTAAACGGCATAGATGTAAATTTGTGAATTACAGAAAAGAAGCAGTTTTAACATGAAATGGACAAAATTGATTTCTTTCTCTGCTTACAGAGCTTAATAAGAATTTCAGTCCATAAGCCTTTCAAATGAAACAATAGAAACTCCAACAATTCAGAGCTAATGTAAATGAAAACGGTTATCTTCCAAATCACAGCATAATAAAGTAACCTTGAATCATTGGTGTTGGCCCTATATTGTTATTTATTTGAATTAAATGGCAATTTTCAGCATTATGTAACAGTGATGGAATTAAGTGATGTTTCTAGTAAAAGAATTTTGCAAGTATAATATATTTTAGTATTAAATTCCACTTGTACATTTAGCAATTAAAATTATTCCTGAAATGATGATGGCATTTGAAGGGATAGGGAGCTGTCAAAGAGGATTTGAAGCTTAATTATCTCTTTGGTAACAAAATGCATAATCTTCCATTACAACACTTATTTTCTTATGGTAATTGACTCATTTGTTCTCTGGTTATCAATTTAACTTCCCAACCACAAACATCTGCTCTTACAATTGTGTTTAATTGGTGTGAATACTATCTACAGAGTAGTTAAAATCCAGAAAACATTTTAAGGGCATTATTTTATAATTCATGAAAGGGAAACTAATGATTAATTGAACATTGCTTATGATGATTTTTTCTAATAGTCTGTGAAAGTCTGTTTACTAAAAATGCATACCGAAATTATCTGCTCCCCCCTCCTTTTTTTTTTTTTTTTTTTTTGGAAGAGGCTTTTGCTGTGTTTTCCAGAGTAATTATTTACTCTGCCTTAGGGGGAGCCTCAGTTCTTGCAGTTCTTTAGACTCAAGGAATATGTTAATGTCTTGGAACATGGTACCTTAGTAGTTAAGAGTATAGGCTTTGAAGGTAGAAAAAAATTAGTATGCTATCATTTATAATCTAAATAAGAGGATTGGGGACAAATTGTGGGTGTGGGTATGTGCTTATAATTTTCATAATGGAATAATAAATCATAAATTTACCAGTAGGGTAAAGGAGGAAATAGGATGAGAGAAACAGGGTTAGAAGGTAGGTAGGTTTGTTTGAATGTACCTTGTCTTTATAGATTTAAAAATTTACAAAGTAGTTCCTGAAACTGGAAAGTAAAATGAAACAGGCGACTCCAAAGGTGTATCCAGTTGGTAATACAGCCACACAGTAAGTTACAATTCTAAGTATATGGAATTATAATTCCATGTAAATTTAAAATTGTAATTGGACTATAATGTACCTAGTGGGATTTACTCTAAGGACACAACTGCAAAAAATCTTTGGTTGTTTTCTTTTATCATATTGTTGGTACAGATGTTTATTCTGAGACTATGGGTGTAGGATAAAGTAAATGAGTAATTATGTTAGTGTCATTGAGAACAGATTTTTGGCTTGAGATACAGATGTAAAATTAAGAAGATTCAGCTAAAAGCTACAGTCTTAGACTTAATTGAAAATATCAGTAGGAAATCATGATGAAGTTTATATTTAAAAAATACAAAATTGCTGACTTTGTCCACAAAAAGGGTCTCAGAGCAATGACCATAAACTGAAGTCCAATAGAGTCATGTGAAAAAGGACTCAGGAGCTTTCACTGTGTTCAGGTTTCCTCCATTGGTCAAATATGGGATAGTTTAAGAATCAAAAGAATAATAACCTGAGTGAATTGAAACAAACCAAATATATCTTAAACTAAAGGCTCTTAATACTTAAATGAAAAATCCTCAGCAATTACCTTTGGGAGAGGATATTAGAAAACCAGCTCACTGTTTTGAAAACGTAAGTGAAGGGAAAAAGTCAAGCATTTATTCTGCCCCTTTTCGAAGTACGGTACTTTAGGATAACCAGATAATTGTGGGGTTATCCTAATAATTGAAGGAATATAGTAATAAGTAATATAAGGGATGTTTCTCTTTACAGAATGAGTGATAGAATAAGAGTATTACTATTTTGCACCGCCTGATGGGCAATGATAACCAAAGGCTGTTAACATCACCAAAAGAGAGATAGACACACATGATGAACCTCCTGATAGATGCACATGGAACTGCCTATGAAGTAGTCTCGGGGGAAAAAAAAAAAACTAGCCTGACTCCAATCAGGGTTCTACATTTAACTGTGAGCTTTCAGAAAGAACATGTTAAATACCACTATGGCAATGTGGTCAGCAAAAGACAGATTGCAGGAAAACCTTATATTACAAATGACTTGGTTTCTTAAACAAATTTCAAACAAAAGATAAAGAGGAGTCTGTAGATGGAAAAAAAAACCTAAGAAACAAATTAACACCAGTGAATGCACCTTGTTTGCCCAATTTGAATAAAGTAGATCATTTTTAAGAACATAGAGGCCAGGCGTAGTGGCTCATGCCTGTAAACCTAGCACTTTGGGAGGCTAAGGTAGGAGGATCGCTTGAGCCCAGGAGTTTGAGACTAGCCTGGGCAACATAGTGAGACCTCCTCTGTATTAAAAAATCAAAAAATTAGCTGGGTGTGGTGGTGCGTTCCTGTAGTCTCAGCTACTTGAGCGGCTGAGGCAGGAGGATTACTTGAGTCTGGGAAGTCGAGGCTGCAGTGAGCCATGATCATGCCACTGCACTCCAGTCTGTGCAACAGAGTGAGAACATTGGCCAGTTAGTGAAATGTGAATACCGACTGGGTAATAGGTGATATTAAGAAACTATTATTATTATTATTATTATTATTATTATTATTATTATTATTACTTGAGACAGAGTCTTGTTCTGTCGCCCAGGCTGAAGTGCCGTGGCACAATCCTGGCTCACTGCAACCTCCACCTCCTGGGTTCAAGCGATTCTCCGGTCTCAGCCTCCCGAGTATCTGGGACTACAGGCATGAGTCACCACGCCTGGCTAATTTTTGTATTTTTAATAGAGACGGGTTTTTGCCAAGTTGGCCAGGCTAGTCTTGAACTCCTGACCTCAGGTGATCACCTGCCTCGGCCCCACTAAGTGCCAGGATTACAGGCGTGAGCCACCATGCCCGGCCAATAAATTATTTTAGATACCAGCCTGATGATGGTATCATGGTTATGTTTAGAAATGAGAGTTCTTGGCTTATAGAGGTACTCATTTATATATGAAATAGTGTAATACGTGGAGTTTGCTTTCAAAATAATATGTGTGTAGGGTAGAGGCTGGGAATGGAATGGATTAAGGCATAGATGAATCAGTATTGACCATGACTTGATAATTGTTGAATCAACGTAATAGGTACATAGGATTTATTCTATTCTCTTAAATAAAAAGTTTTTTAAAAGAATATAGGTTTTGGAGTCAGACTGCCTAGGTTCAAAATCCAGATCTGTCACTGACTAAGCCTTGTGCTATGGAGTTACTTAGCGTCTCTGTGTATTAGTGTCCTTGCCTATAAAATGGAAATAATATAATATTAACTGCATAATAGAATTGTTCTAGGAACTAAATGGTTATAAGTGGAAAGCGCTTATGAATGTTAGCTTTGATGTGTTCATTATCACACATCAAAGATATACGTTAAAGTTATAAATCATTGGCTAAAGATCTTAGTGTACTTAGGAATAGTCTAGTTGAATTCCTTATTTAGTAACCCAGGAGTTTGAAACCCACATTTAGCAAAATGTCCAGTGGTAGAACCAGAACTCAACTTTATGTCTCTTGACTCCTAGTCTTTACAACTGCTTCACAGTAAATCACTTCAAAGAATATCCAAGAGTCAAAAGACAGAATTTTTACAAATTTAGTTAAATGATATAATGGCTTTTAATAGTAATTCATGAGTCAGGCAGCATCTCATCTAAAGAACAGATAAGCACTACACTGGGCAGGCAGAACAGTTAGTTTTTGTAGGGAAACTTGAGCAGGAACAAAGAAACAGTGGATTGGTTAACATTAGTTGCTTCAGATTACTTTCATTGTAAGGGTCAAAGCAGAGGGGACTTTCTTATGTTGGCTAAAACTGTCCCATTTGGGGATTTGACACACACACTCTCCTGATTTCTCAGAAGGTCAGATAAATAACTTAGGTTTAGTTTGGTGATATGCAACTTTGGCACGAGTGACTGCATTTTGGTTCAGTCTGTTTGGTTTGATCTGTAGAGTAGAAGCTCAATCCATATTAGTAGTCTCCCATAAATTTTATTTAACACAAGTAAGCTTAAGTAACCTTGTTCTAAATAGAAAGACTCACAGTTGCAAACATCTTCAGTTTTCCTGTATCTAAAATGTATTGCAGTTCAAATGAAGACTCCAAGTTCTTGTTTGTCTGTTTGCTTTGAGAAGGAACAGACAAACTTAACATAAGATGAGTCTAAATTTATCTGGGGAGTGGAACACTAAACAAACATGTTAGAAAAATTTTGAGGAAATAAAGGAAGAATATTTGTTCCACCATATATTATAACATATTGCATAGTTATAATAATTTTATGGTTCTGGCCCAGGAATAGGCAGATGGATGAAACCAATTAGTGTCCTGAAATAAACCCCCAAGAGTACGTAGATTTTAGTATTAAATCTTTCAAATCTGTCATTCTTTTTGGGATGACTGATCTTGCCAGATATATGTAAAGCTGGATACTTAGTAAGTCTAGTTTGTTTCGTAGAAATATTAGAAGAAAATACAAGTGAATGTTGTTATAGTACAGAAGAAGGGAAAGCCTTTGGAGTAAAAATAGTGAAATACAGATGCTAAAATGGAGAGAACTTATAAATTTTACCATATGCAAACGTAAAACTTTGTTACAATAGATGCCTTAAGTTAAAGACAGAAGAGGAAACAAATATTGGCAGCATGTATAGCTTACTGTATTAGTCAGGGCCCAGTTAGGAGCCAGAAACTATACTAGGCATTTGAACAGAGCAAATTTAATATAAAGAATTATTAATGGCCGGTCGCGGTGGCTCATGCCTGTAATCCCAGCACTTTGGGAGGCCGAGGCAGGTGGATCACCTGAGGTCAGGAGTTCGAGACCAGCCTGGCCAACATGGTGAAACCCTGTCTCTACTAAAAATACAAAAATTAGCCGGACGTGGTGGTGCACGTCTGTAATCCCGGCTACTTGAGAGGCTGAGGTACAAGAATCGCTTGAACCTGTGAGGCGAAGATTGCAGTGAGCCGAGATCACGCCATTGCACTCCAGTCTGGGCAATAGAGCGAGACTCCATCTCAAAAAAAAAAAAGAATTATTAACTATTAAAATCTACTTACTAAAAAGGGCAAAATAGGACATTAAAGAATACAAAAATAGTAAATATAGGGATTAGCTATGACTACCTCTTGAGCTGAGGGAGAGAATCCAAAAATCAGGAAGACTGTTGTTCAGACCTTGTTGAAGAAAGTGTAGCTGCTGCCAAAGGACATAGCTATGGGCCAAAGCTGGGGCACAGGAAATCCCCTGCTGGGAGGCCTCAGAGCTGGTGTGCAGAAAACACCTGCTGGGGTGCTGTGGGCTGGACAGATGATAAGCCGAAAATTGCCCACTGGGATGACATGAGTTGGAGCTGGTGTACAGGACCCTATCCAATGGGATGCAGTGTGTCAGAGCTGGTGCACAGAAAGCCCCATGCTGGAGTAAGCTAGAGAAACTTACAGGAGGGTGATCATTATTGGGTCTTTCACAATCAGCCTCACCATAGGAGCAAAAAGAAGAGCATCCTCCAAACTGAAAATTAAGCCCATCACTCTGCTTTGCTGTGCAACAAAGCACCAGCTGACAAAAGTCCATATCCACTACTGCAAAGAAGGACAGATTTGGAGCTGAGAGCCTTGAAATAATAACTCTCATTATACCAAAAGCTCTTATATATAGATAAGAAAATTATAAACACTCTAATTGGAAAAACGGCAGCATATTTATATACATAATTCACAAAAGAATAAATACAAAAGGCTTGTCATTGTTTGAAAGGATCAAGTCAAATTTGCTATTAATAGATTTCCCTGATTTCATCTTGTTGTACAGATTTATGTTTTCTGGATCTTCCATCACTGTGAATGTATGTTGTTTCCTAAGATTATACATGATTTCCCTCCTTGGGGGAGGTTCTGCTTGACTGGGGTTCTATCTCCTTTTTGTACTGTTGTTCTTCATTTACCTAAGTTATGTAGCTAGTTTAGATTTCTCTTCAGGGCCTGCTCTAGACAGTGCAATAGGCCAAAAAAGTTCTTTTTTAAAAAAGGAAAGGGAGATTGGAAAGGCATAAATAAATCTGTCTCTACTCACATACAAGCATGATTGTCTATGTAGATAATCCCCAAACTGTATTTACAGAGGCTGATACAGCTAATGAGATAATTTAGGATGGCCACAGGATAAAAGGTTAATACACATAAATCAATTTCATTCCTACATACTAGCAGAGAACAACTGGAAATTTTAAAAAATTTAAAGTACCACTTAGAATAGCATCAAAAGTATTTGAAATACCTAGGTATTTATCTAACAGAGCATGAATGAGATTTGCTTACTGAAATCTGTAAAACATTTATGAAAGAAATCAGACTTAAATAGAGAGATAAACCTGTGTTCAGGGAAAAGAAGACAATATTTTTAAGACGTCAAGTTGCCACAAATTCAACACAATCCCAATCAAAATCCCAGCAGGCTGGGCAGATGTTAGGTCAACTGTAAATAAAGCTGCTGTCGTTGCCATTGTTGTTGTTATTTCATAGAACTAGCCTGCAGTGGAGCTTGCTGCTTTGTGATGTAGGGAGTTCCTGTCATTCACACTTTTCAAATACAGATCGCTAAGACCCTTTGTCAAGGATGTCATATAGGAAATTATATCATTAGGTAGGATGCTGGACTAGATCTACTTCAACCCTTCTAATTAAAAATATTATGATCTATTATTTGTAAGTTAGCAATTTACAGCTGTGGGGCATGTGGAAAGGGAGCTACTGGAATATTCAGACTTTTTCAAATGTACTTATCCTTTCCCCGTCACCCTGTAAAACCATTGCATATAATGAGGGATCTTAGTAATAGGAGTGTGTTGCATGAGTGAGCTGTTTAAGGACTCTAATGTGACGTTTATTTTACTTTGTTGTTGTTGTTCTTACTTATCAAGCTGACTGAAAAGGAAAGTTTTATCAATCTTTTCCACTCTTTGAATTCTAATTATAGCTCTTAAAAAATGGTATAAATCTTAGGGAAGTATTCTTTAATATTTATTTTTAGACATTTTTAATTTCTCCAATATAGTCAACTTAGTAAATAGTTCCAAATAAGGAAACTCAGAAATTATCTTTAAAACAGTTAGTTGTACCAGCAAATCATTTTTTAAAGATAATTGTATTCCTAACATGTATTTTTTATTATATATTTATTTTATGCTTTTGCAAAAATATGTGAAAGCTTCAAATAATGAGTAAAAATCCTGTGGATTTTATGATTTAAAAATTGGTTGAAATATGAATAGCTGCCTAGTTCTATTTTCATTAATGTCTTAATTTCCTTTTTATTTTAAAGCTCAACCTGAATTCCTGAAGCAGCCTACTAATATATATGCTCACGAATCTATGGATATTGTATTTGAATGTGAAGTGACTGGAAAACCAACTCCAACTGTGAAGTGGGTCAAAAATGGGGATATGGTTATCCCAAGTGATTATTTTAAGATTGTAGTAAGTATTTTTCAAAGAAGTGTGTTTATTTCTGTAACCTTTAGATATTTTTAAATGTAGTCACCGAGAGATCAGTTATCTTATATATACTAGTTTGTGTACTGCAAATGAAATAGAAGAATTCACATAGAATGTAATACCTTCATTGGCTGATGAGAAAGCTGAGCCCAGAAATACTTTGGTAGCTTATGTAAGATCACATAGCAAGTCAGTGGCTTACCTAAGCCTAGAGTCTAGACTCTTACTTGAACACACTGGCACTCTGAAACACAGCTGCCACCATTTTCTGGCAGATGATTAGCACACATGTGTGTGCGTGTATGTGTGTCCCCAGTTGTCTTCACAGCTCTCTGTTCAAGAAGCAGAAATCTTTCCACACTTCTCCTTGAAGTGTGGAAAGATGATCCTTTTGAAAAACATAATATGTAAGAATGCAACTGACTATACAAAACTTAACCTTAAATCGTATACCGATGCCCAGACCCTTCAAAATAAGGATGACCCAGTGTCGGACAATTGTGGTAGCAATAGTTATAAAGATTCTTTTTTAAAAATGCATTTAAAAAGTGTCAAGTGTATTTAAGAATACTCAGCCATAATTGCTTTTTACTATACTTTATATATAGTAAATGATTCTTAGATATTACCTACTATTATCATCAATATCTAACATTTTAGTAATAGAATTATCCAGCTTTAGTAATAAAGATTAATGACATACCTTGAGATCTATACATGACATTCATAAAAATGATCAGAACTATAGTTGTTAAAGACATAATGTCTCATTACAAATTTGTCATACAAGTAAACATTCTTAGAAATATATTTTCTATTTTTGAAATGCATGATCTCCTGTTGCAAAAAGTAATTTACAAGTATTTAACATTAAAAAGCAATCTGTTATAGTTAAAATAGCCTCTTAAAATCAATATTTGGAAACTAGAAAATTTTTAAATCATATTTATTATACCAATAACAGTAGTTAAAAATTTTTTTTGTTTTTTAAGACAGGGTCTCGCTGTGTCACCCTGGCTGGAGTGCAGTGGTTTGATCATAGCTCACCACAGCCTCAAACTCCTGGGCTTAAGCGATCCTCCTGCCAACCTGAGTAGCTGGAACTACAGGCACGCACTACCATGACCAGCCAATTTTGTATTTTTTGTAGAGATGGGGTTTCACTGTGTTGCTCAGTCTGGTCTTCAGCGCCTGGGCTCAAGTGATACTCCTGCCTCGGCCTCCCAAAGTGCTGGGGTTACAGGTGTGAGCCACTGCTCCTGGCCCAGTAGTAATAGTTGACATTCATATAGTACTTTTTCATTTAAGGAAAGCTCACATGGCTTCATTTAATTTATTGTAGTCTAATCTGTTAGAACTATTGATATTATAGATAGTCTTAGGAAAAATAATACCTTAAATTCACAAATTGGACTTTAACTGTGGTCAGTTGGTATTGCGTGCCAGATCTTTTTCCAGGCAAAGGTGTAGTTTGCAAACAGTGAGAGTATGACTTTCCATGCGTTAAGTTCTTCATCGTGAATGACAGTATGTACTCTTCTATTCAGTTAAATTGGTACCTTGCCAATGCTTTAGTATGAAATTGAGTTAACAAGTACTTGGATAATATTTAATAATTGGATCATAAAAACTTTACTTGTTTTTTTCCTCTCCAAAAAGCATATTTTTGAGATTTTGATCTGGTATTTATCAATTAAATTATGTAATTTTATTTATGCTTTTCTTCTTCAGAAGGAACATAATCTTCAAGTTTTGGGTCTGGTGAAATCAGATGAAGGGTTCTATCAGTGCATTGCTGAAAATGATGTTGGAAATGCACAAGCTGGAGCCCAACTGATAATCCTTGAACATGGTAAGAAGGGCTGAAATAGTCAGATGATAGAGGCTGTGTGCTTGATGAACAAGCACCCATCCGTCCAAATAACTCATGATTGATAACCCATTAGTAAAGGCCAATATGTGGCATAGCTAAGAGAAAAAGAATAGCAGTCTAAATCATTTCTATTACATAAAATTACCTAGAAGCACAATTTTGGATAATGTTGAAAAGAAATTTTTACTAAGAAAAGGAAAACTGAATATTATAGTCTTAATAAATTAATTTTTAAAAGAATTTAGTCATCTTAATCTCACAAATATATTTCTGTCCTATAAAGAAAAACTTCTTTTTTTTCCAATTCTATACACTTTTATTAATACACTTACAAAAAATAACATTCAAACACTGAGAAAACTAAATAACTTTGGAAGCAGAGCTCATTGTTTTCTGCTTACATATAAGTGACAATTCTGGGCTGTTGGCACAAAATAGTCAACATTCATAAAACCCTGACTACTATATATCAAACATAAGTTAAAATCATAGGCAGTAGTTTATCAAATCCACGTTTCTTAGAAAAACTTAGTATTTATTTTGCATTGAAATTTTTAGTTTTTCCAGAATACAATTAATTTACCTTTTCTGATTACCACCAAAAAACCAAGTTTATTATTTAAAAATTCAGATAACAATGAAAAGTATAAAGAAAAAAATCCATCCTGTATCTCAAATTAGGGAACCCACACTGTAATTTGAGCAGAGTTTTAACATAAGGAATTAACATTGATATTGGGATTGGAGTAACAAAGGTTTGACTAGTAAGAAGTAAAGAGAACTCTAGACAATATAAGAATGGCAACTATCAGGAGCAACTACAACCCCTAGGTCTGAGATAGAGCCCTCAGGAAGAGGCCCCTCTTTTTACGGATGAGATCCAGACCCTGTTGGAGAGGGTGTAACCATGGTTTACTGGATGGCAGAGAAGTTGATGTGGTGTTTTGCTCTCTAAACTTGCTCAAAATCTCCTTTCTTGAGGGTTGGGGAAAGCTGCTTACAGAGAGGTATCTCACTGGAGGCATTCTGCTACAAAACCACCCAGTGGATCAGGTGTAAGGGGAAGCTGCTGGCTATAGGAGGCTGCCAGGGTAGTACACTAGAACCAGGAAGGAAACTCCTTTCTTCTGTACTGTATCTCCATTGCCTTCTATTGATAAAGTTTAATACATATGCCAGCTGGCAAAGGAAAAGTATATAAAGGACATGGCTCTGTTTTTGCAGCATAGGCAATGAAATCAGAATTTGGAGCTGAGAGGCAGTAAATTGATAACTGGTACACACTTCAAATCCTACCACCTGGGTACACTGTGTATGGTTTTATAATTTCCTGTTTTGTTGCAACAGCATGCTGTGTATATCTTTCTGTGTCAACAGTTGATCTGCATCAATATTGTTTCTTATTAAATAATATGTATATATATATATATACACTGTTTTATATAACAGATTTTATATTGGTTAACATTTAGATTGTCACCTGTTTTTTCCTATTACAAACAAGGATGTATTGAACTTTTTATGTGATTATTTTCTTATACTAAATTACTAGAAGTTGAATTATTGGATAACAGTTCTGTGTTAAATTGATAAGGGTACCTGTTGGGTGCATTATTCATTTGTTTTAGCAACTGAAACATTTTTCATTTTGAGCATTTCTCAAAAATACATGAAAAAGATGCCACTTTAGACATCTGATCTTTTATTCAAGTCAAATACAATCAGGTATTGGTGTGCCTCCAGGAAGAATTTCTCTGATGATTGTAGTTTGGCCAGGGAAGCTAATTGGCAAAGATGGCACCTACTCTGGCTTTTCACTAACATGGCATATATGTAGGATTTTTGTGTGCTATTTTTTGAAAAATATACTTGAGAGTGCTGTTACAGAAAAGCATAAAATATTAGAACTGCTTTTTTCTTCTTAGGTTTGTATATACCCTCCCCTGTTTATTGGAAATGATTTTAGTAGAAGCATGCCATTTTTCCATCTTGGTGAAATGCCTGAGTACAATTACTAAATAAGGCACTAGCAGAATTAGTGAGGTAGATAGGCTTATTTCTTTTTACTTGTGGCAGTGACTTTTCTTAGTAAACCTCGTAGCTATTTGGGGTATATTTATTTACATGGAACTAAGCAAAGGCACTTCATTATATTTGTGTTTGAGATTACTGTTACAAATCTAACTCTAACAGTAGAAATGGTTAAGTATGCCAGGAAGTTCCTAAACTAATCCTAATTGGGCTTTCCTCTGAAAATATTTGGATAGTGTTAAAATTGTAGTCATAGTGTATTTGCTTCTCTCTTTTTGAGAATAGCGTTTTATGAGCTGATGAAATTTTTTAGTGACGTTATTGGGCATGTATTAAAGATGCATAGATTATAAGAAGGAGAGTAAGTGTCATGTTATTAATTGTGTTTTCTATTTTGCTGTTTTAATTTGCAAGATAAATATTTATACAGGAAAGCTAAAAGAAGGAATACAGTAACTTACTAGATCTGAGCTCTTCTTTTTTAGAGTTTACAATATAATAAGGGATGTAAGAGATATATAAAACTTGAATACCAGTCCAGATGCATAAATAAAGCAGCATACAGTTCAGAAGAGAGGAATTCTGTCTGTGTGATCAGGGAATTTTTTCATGTAAGGTGTCCCCTTTGTAATAGGCCTTGAATTATAAGATTTCTAGATGTTAATTCAAAGGAAGACCTGGATCAATATGGAAATAAAATAGAAGACCTGTTCCTGTAGTAAGGTAGCCTTTAACAGCAGAATAGGATCAGAGTGCATGATTATAAATAATAAAAACAATGCCATGTGTAATGAGTATGATGATAAAGTCAGGTTTAGAGGAAGACAGAGTGCAAGCTGGTTGAAGGAAAATTGTTATGAGGCCATTGTGAGATGATAAATACTTACACTAGAGAAATCGGTGGAAAAGGATCCTACTAAGGAGATTGTGTTAGTCTGTTCTTGCATTGCTATAAAGAAATACGTGAGGCTAGGTAATTTATAAAGAAAAGAGGTTTAGTTGGCTCCCAGTTCCACAGGCTGTACAGGAAGCATGGTGCTGGCATCTGCTTGGCTCCTGGGGAGGCCTCAGGAAGCTTCCAATCATGGTGGAAGGCAAGAGGGGAGCAGGCATCTCACATGGCAGGACCAGGATCAGGAGAGTGAGGTGGGGGGGTGCCACACACTTTTAAACAACCAGATCTTGTGAGAACTCACTATCTCAAGGACAGCACCAAGCCATGAGGGATCTTCCCCCATGACCCAAACACCTCCCCAGGTTCCACCTCCAACACTGGGGATTACCTTTTCACATGAGATTTGGGCAGGGACAAATATCCAGACTATGTCAGAGGTGTTAGTGATTTATCTGATTGAGACTTTATCAACTGATTGAACATTAAACATTGTTATAGAGAAGCCAGAGATACTTCCAAGGTTTACCCAAGTTCTGGGTAACTAGGTGTATTAGTCCATTTTCACACTGCTGTTAAAGACATACCTGAAACAGGGCAATTTACAAAAGAGATTTAATGGGACTTGCCCTTCCACATGGCTGGGGAGGTCTCACAATCATGGCAGAAGGCAAGGAGGAGCGAGTCACATCTTATATGGATGGCAGCAGGCAAAGAGAGAGCTTGTGCAGGGAAACTCCCATTTTCCAAGCCATCAGATCTCATGAGACTCATTCACTATCACGAGAACAGCACAGGAAAGACCCACCCCTATAATTCAATCATCTCCCACTGGGTGATTCCACTGGGAGGTGGAATGGGAATTGTGGGAGTTACAATTCAAGATAAGATTTGGGTGGGGACACATCCAAACCATATCACTAGAAGAATGGTGACACCTTTACAAAAACAGAAAAAGAGGGCAGATCAAAGTGGAAGGAGATTTCCACTTCTGTTTAGGATATAAAGAGGTGCATAAAGAAAATCCCATTCTCACCACATAAAGAGCTTAGTAATCTACAACGTCACAGGTTCTCTTGAGCCCAGCAGAGAGCTGAGCATGCAAAGCAAATATATTAGTTCATTTTCACACTGCTGATAAAGACATACCTGAGACTGGGTAATTTATAAAGAAAAAGAGGTTTAATGGACTCACAGTTCCACATGGCTGGGGAGGCCTCACAATCATGGCAGAAGGCAAAAGGCACATGTTACATGGTGGCAGACAAGAGAGAATGGGAGTCAAGTGAAAGGGGAAACCCCTCATGAAATCATCATGTCGTGAGATTTACTCACTACCACAAGAACCGTATGGGGAGAACCACCCCCATGATTTAATTATCTACCAGTAGGTCCCTTCCACAACACGTGGGAATTATGGGAGCTACAATTCAAGGTGAGGTTTGGGTGGGGACACAGCCAAACCATAACAGCAACCAAATAACCTAAATTCCAAAAAGGACAACCCTCCCCACACAACCCCCTCAAAGGCATAGATCATATGCATTGTTTCACTTTTGGCAGAACACAAGAGAAAGAGACGGCTACTGTAAAAGTGAGTAAGAGGAAAACTCCTAGAGTTTTAACTAAAAGGCCTTTAACTGCAAGGCCAACTATGGCCTAATTTGGAATGTCTGGGGGCCTCAGACAGAATGGGAGTTTACACTTTCTTGCAAACACTTTTCCTTGGGGCTCCACAGAGTACTCCCAATTAAGAGGAGGCAAAAGCAGGAGACTACAGAAAGCCATCTCTGTGGTGTAGGGATGAAGGAAGTGATGATCTGCAGCTGCAGAGAGAGAATGATGCAGAGAGGCCTTTGTGCCTGGGAGACAGGACAAAGGCCTTCCCATTTACTCAGACCCTTCTCCTTTAAGCCTCAAACCAGTGGGGGAGGGGCAGAAAACCTTCTGATTTCATACGTTTCTGAAGGGAGATTAGAAGTCAAACCCCTGTGCTGCTTAGAGGAGGAACCCTCCTGTCCCCAGGATGCAGGCAGAGACTCATTGATGCCGGGGAAAGGGTAGAAGAGAAAACCCTTTACTTCTGAAAGAGGCGCAGAAATCATTTTAGGCCTCAGGATTCTACACTGATACCAAGGAGAGGTCTTTTACTACTAGGGGAAGAGTAGGAAACTTCTACCTAAGACCGATACAAATACAAGGCAGATTTTGACTGCCACAGGAAGAAGAGCCAGAGGGCCTACCTAAGACTGAGGCTGGACCAGAACAATGGAGAATCCTAGCTGCCTCAACCATGAACTTTCTACTGTTTGGGAAAGGTCAAGAGCACAGAGGGATATCCTGTGGTATTGGTATGCTGGAGTGGTTGAAAACTCAGAGGAAAGGAAAAAAAAAGAGAGAGAAACTCTCTGGCTCCTAAGCACAGGACAATGGTAGTCTCCCAGTAGAGGAATTTGAAACCTATAGTATACTTAAGGTAACTATAACAATAAAATCCATTCCAAGCTCAATTCCTGACTAGATTAACTAAACTCTTTCACACTAATGACATGACAGAAAAATAAGCATACCATTTTTCAGGTGTAAATAATACTTACTGTTGTTCAGCATACCGTGTTCAGCATTCAAGCAAAAATTAATAGACTTTAATAAGCCCATCTATTGAGAGAGAAACTAATCATTAGAACTAATTTCAGCCTTTGTGACTTCTATGCAATAGAAAGATGTTCTTAGAAAATATACCATTCAAATTTCATTCTTTATATACCTTTTTTAAAATTAATTAATTAATTAATTTTTTTGAGACGGAGTTTCACTCTTGTCGCCCAGGCTGTAGTACAGTGGCGCGATCTCAGCTCACTGCAGCCTCCGCCTCCCGGGTTCAAGCAATTCTCCTGCCTCAGCCTCCCGAGTAGCTGGGATTACAGGTGCGTGCCACCATGCCTGGCTAACTTTTGTATTTTTAGTAGAGACAGGGTTTCATATATACCTTTATTTTTAAAATTACTTGAGGTATACTCCTACAGACTACAAGATGAGTCAAACCAAGAACTCAAAAACAACACACACTCTTAACATCTGATCCAGCAGTTGCACTTCTTTGTATTTACCTGAATGAGTTGAAAAGTTATGTCCACACAAAACCCCTCAAATGTGTTTGTAGCATCTTTATTCCTAATTACCAAGATGTCCTTCAGTAGGTGAAAGAATAAATAAACCGTTGTACATCTAGACAGTGGAATATTATTCATTACCAAAAAGAAATGACCTACCAGGCCAGGTGCCGTGGCTTACGCCTGTACTCCCAGCACTTTGGGAGGTGGAGGTGGGCAGATCACTTGAGGGCAGGAGTTCGAGACCAGCTTGGCCAACTTGGCAAAACCCCGTGTCTACTAAAAATACAAAAATTAGCTGGGCGTAGTGGTGCATGCCTGTAATCCCAGCTACTCAGGAGGATGAAGCATGTGAATCACTTGAACCCGGGAGGCGAAGGTTGCAGTGAGCCAAGATTGCACCACTGCACTCCAGCCTGGGTGACAGAGTGAGACTCTGTCTCAAAAGAAAAAAAGAAAGAAAAGAAAAAGAAAAAAGAAATGAGCTGTCAAACCATAATGCACTTGAGGAATTATAAATGCAAATTACCAAGTGAAAGAAGCCAATTTGAAAGGGCTAAAAACCGTGTGATTCCAACTACATGACATTCTAGAAAAGGCAAAACTATGGAGTTAGTAAAAAAATTAGTGGTTGCCAGGGTTTGGGAGGAGAGAGCGATGAATAAGCAGAACACAGATGTTTATGGCAGTGAAACCACTCTGTATGATACTATAGGGGAGGATACGTGTCATAAATTTGTCCAAGCCCATAGAATTTGCAACATCAAGAGTGAACACTAATATAAACTATGGACTTTGGGTGATAATGATGTCTCAATACAGGTTATTCAATTGTAATAAATGTACCACTTTAGTGGGGGATGTTGATAATGGGGGAAACTATGCATGTGTAGGGCAGAGGAAATTTTGGTACCTTATGCTCAGTTTTGCAATGAACCTAAAACTGCTCTACACACTTATTAGGATAGTTAAAATCCAAAATACTGACAACACCATCAAACTCTCACAAGGATGTAGAGCAACAGGAACTCTTATTCATTGTTGCTGGGAATGCAAAATGGTACAGCCATTTTCGAAGATAGTTTGGCAGTTTCTTACAAAATTAAACATTTTTATCATAAAATTTAGCAGTTGTGCTCCTTGATGTTTACCCAGATGAGTTGAAAATTTATGCTAACACAAAATTTACACACAAATGTTTAGAAGAATTTTACTCATTATTGCCAAAACTTGGAAGCAACCAAAATATCCTTTGGTATCTGAATGGATAAACAAAGTGTGATACATCTATACAATGGAACGTCATTCATTGAACAGAGCATCTAAGATGGGACAATATCAGAGGCTATAACATAAGTAAATTATAAGTAAATGGGAGTCTCACAGGGAAAACAGAACAAGGACAGGGAGAAACAAATGTTTGAATAGATAATGGCCAAGAATTTTAAAAAATGAATTAGATCAAACCACACAACCAAAAAGAAGCTCAGACAACCCCCAAGCAAACTAAATACCATGATGATGATAATAATAATAATAAAAAGAAAATATGCCTGTACACATCATAGTCAAACTTCTGGAAACCAAACATGAAAATATCTTGAAGGCAATTGGAAATTTAAAAAGAAGAAAGACACATTACATACAGAGGAACAAAGATAAGAATTGCAGCAGACTTTTTGCCAGAAAAAAAAAAAAATGTGAGCTAGAAGACACTGAGCAGTAGTTTTTAGTTTAAAAAAAAATAATTAAGGGGCCATGGTAATCTTCACTGTATTGTTCCAATTTTAGTATTAGTGTATGTGCTGCCCAAGTGAGCACAGAGCAACTTTTTAAGTCCTTAAAAAAAAAGGCAACCAAAAAAAAGGCAACCAAAACTATACCCAGCAAAAATATCTTTCAAAAATTAAAGTGAAATAAAGACCTTTTCAGAACAGAAACTGAGAATTTGTTGCTGACATACCCATGCTACAAGAAATGTGAAAGGAGAAAAACAAAGTGGGCTAGAGTGTTTTTAAAGTAAATATAAAAATATATTTTTAAGATTAATTGCTTTAAGAGATAATTGACTGTCTAGACAGGCCCACAAAATTTTTTTCTTCTTTTTTTTTCACTCTAAATAGTTTATTTCCACCTTCACAAACTCATGCACCTCTGGCCATTATGCAAGGCACCATGAATTAAATAGTCATATCAGTATATATTTGTCTTACATGATTCAAGATAAAGTGAATTTTAAAAGCAAATGGGTGCCAATGATGGGGAGGTGAGGGGAATAGGGCAGGCAGCAATAGGGTAACACGCAACAAAATTTTCTGTAAAGGGCTAGATAGTAAATATTTTAGGCTTAATGGGTCAGTCTCTGTCACAGCTACTTAACTCTACCATTCTAGCGCAAAAGCCACCATATAGATCAAACAACCTTGGCTGCTCCGGTGAAACTTTGTTTACAAAAACAAGTAGCAGGTCCTAATATGCTTACTCTGGTCTAACACAGAAATAGTTGATAACATGAAATTTAGAAGTGTGACAGAATGGTATATGTAGTGTAGTCCGATGTGTAGGGTAGAATTGAAAATAAACTATTGTAAGATTATTACTGCACACAACAATACTGTGTGTCGAAGATGCTCAGATACTTTCAATATTATTTTTAAACAAGACTCATGAAGATAACAACTATTACAAAATATTTCCTTTTTCAATAATTCACTCCATTATTTTTCTAGTTAAGCTCAGATAGTGATCACAGAGATATGTTAGTAAACTATCTGTAGTTTGTAGTTCTCCCTTTAACAGTTCCTTTTTGGAGTGACTAGGGCACATTTCCTCCTCATTATTCATACACCAAGTCTGACTTTCTTCACTTATCCTTATATTCTTCATTCTCCTGCTCCCTGTTTGCCTTTTTTTCCTCCCACTCCTTCCCCCTTTTTATTTAAAAAATTTTAAGTGAAACAGACATCCACTGATGAGAAATAACTTAGAATCACAAACTATCACGGCTGAAAGATACGTATCATGTAGTACAGTGGTTGGCAAACTTTCTGTTAAGGGCCAAAGAATAGATACTTCAGGCTTTACCTGACATTTGGTCTCTGTTTACATTGCTCACCTCTGCTATTATAAGTTTGAAAACCACCACAGACAGAATACAGACAATCTGTAACAAATATGTGTAGCTGTGTTCCTGTAAAACTTTATATACAAAAGCAGGAAGTACACTGGATTTGGCCTGTGGGCACAGTTTGCGAATCTCAATCTAGTCCATCTTCCCTTGAATATCCTTACATCAGTGTTTCCCAAATTGTGCCCTTTAAGATGTATTAATGGGTCTACTAAAAAGCAAATAAAATGAACAAAAAGGATGCTCCACAGTCCAACAGATTTTGGGACTGCTATATATAAACATTATATTCTACGTTGGAAATTCGCAATGCTAATGAACACAAATGGAAAGAGGCTCAAGGTGGGCCAGTTTTCATCATTTCTCCTTCAGGCTGCCCAAGCGTCTGCCTTTCTCCTACCAAATCCAGACATATCAGTGAAGTCTGTCAGAATTTGCTATATTTACTTCTTGCAAGATAACCCAATTCTCCTGTGAAAGGAATTGTTTGTAGACTCTTAACTTCTGTCTGTCATGTTTTTGGCAGAAAGTCATCAATGTTATATCTGGTGGCTTTTCTAAATTTTACCACTGATTAAAAGGTGAGTTTAGTATTTAAAAAAAAAAAGACTTTACTAATTATATAAAAGTAATACATGATTATTTTAGAACACTGAGAAAAATATCACTGCCCAAAGATAACCAGTGTTAACATTTTGGTATGGAAATGTCTAAATGTGTATATACACTTTTTAAAATTAAATTCAGATTATTTGGTATATATTGTTTTGTATCTTGTTTTTCTACTTGTTGTTATATCCTGAGATCTTCCTGATATCATTACAGGGGTTCAAAGGCATGGTTTTTAATGGCCAAAAAACTTTTCCATCATAAGGTTGTACTATAATTATTTTAACTACTTCCTCTATTTTGGGACATTTAAGTCATTTCCTATTCTTCTGTTCTTTATCCCTGTCTGTTTTTCCTTTTTCAATTACTAATGCTCATATTAGTAGTCTTTGTCCAAATCTCTGATTCTTTCCTTAGGAAAAATTCCTAAAAGAACAATTAATGGTTCGAGTCAGTAATTTATGTAATTGTCAAAATGGTTTTAGTAAATGATGTAACAATTTACATTTTTACTAAGAGTGAAGAAAGGATACAAACCTAATCACACATTAGCCAACTATTAAAAAGTAATGTTCATTTAAAAATACAAAATTTAGGCTGGGTGCAGTGGCTCACCCCTGTAATCCCAGCTGGGAGCTGAGGCAAGAGGATTACTTGAGCCCAAAACTTCAAGACTTGCCTGGGCAACATAGTGAGACCCCATCCTCACAAAAAGTTAAAAAAAAAAAATTGGCCAAGTGTGGTGGCACACACCTTTGGTCCCAGGTACTAAAGAGGCTGAGATGGGAGGATTGCTTGAGCCTGAGAGGTCGAGGCTTCAATGAGCTGTGATTGCACCACTGCACTCTAGCCTGGGCAACAGAGCAAGACCACCACCCTACCCATGCAAAAATAAACTTCATTATTAGGCAAAAATGACATCTTACCCATTGAATTTTATATCTTTGATTGTGAAGTGGAATATTTGTCATATGTTTAGAAATACAGTTACTCCTTGGTATACATGGGAGATTGGTTCCAGGACCCACACATATATGCCCAGATCTGTGCATATTCAAGTACTGTAGTCACCTCTGTAAGACCTGAGTACATGAAAACTAGGCTGCCTGTATAGTCGGGTTTTGCATCCTGCAAATACCGTATTTTTTGTTGCGTTTGTTTGAAAATAAAAATCACCATGTAAGTGGAACCATGCAGTTCAAAACCGGCTTGTTGAAGGATCCACTGTAGTCTGTCTTTGCTCTTCTGTGAGTTGTATTCTTCTGTTAGTTATTGAAAAACGAAATCAATCTCTTGTGATGGTGCTTATCTTCAAAACCTTCTTTAAAAATAATGTTGAAAGTATTTGACTGTGCATCTTTGATAGTTTTATTTCTGTAGGGAGAGTTTTCTGATTCCCACCTGAAGTGTGTGGCTATATATACTGGCCATAGGCCAGCTGGCTAGTGCTGGGCTGCAAGAAGCTGCGTTGGAGCGTCCACAGTAGGCCTGTGGTATACTTAACATGACTATTAGGTTAATTATCAGCTTTAAACATTAAATGAAACTTAATAATTATAGTTAAAATATATAAAACATTTTTGCATATCACTGGAAAACAGAATTTCTGAGCAAATTGTGAAGTAGAATTTGACTTTTGTTCCTAGCATGCTTTCTTAATCAAAACATTTAAAATACAACTTTTAATATTTAACTTCACTTTTATGCATTTTCGGTAACAGCAGCTCTTGATTTTAGAAGATCTTGTATCTTTTAAAAATATTTAACTGAACATAAAACAGGATTATTTTTATTTGCTGCCATTTCAGATTAACATTGCCTGTCATTTTATGCTAAAATCCTTTGTTTTTTATAATTATCTATTAAATTACATTTTCAAAAAAAAGCATTGGCAGGTACATTGTTATTATTATTTAAATTATTACTGGTCAATTAAGAGTAGTAGGAATTAAGGTAAAATGTCTGTATCTTTTGTCCATTAACTTTTTATTGGCCTTTCTTCCTGTCAGTTGAATTTAAAAATAGATTGCGAAATTATCATGTGAGACTGGAATGTGAAAACATAGAAATACACTTTCTTTTTCTGTCCTTTCATACCACGTCTGATAATTGCCAAATTTTAGTTCTAGTAAAGGAAGAAGGATTCATGAAAAGGGAGTAACATCAACTTGTTTTTAGTAAAGGAAACTTACACTTTACCAGCTCCTTAAATGACTGCTGGGATGTTATGGCCATAGTAGATAAGAATACACACTGAGCATCCCCCACCCTTTTTTTGACAGAAATGTTTGTAAAAAATTCCAAATAGTATCTGAGGTTAGCATTGAATAATAGAAGTTCTGGAATAAGTGACTAATGGCCTGGCATGATTAAAAGTTGGCTAGATAGCAGGAAATTGTTACTCATTAGTGGAATATTTTAATTTCAAAGCACTAGGATGTACAGTAGTTGGTGTTGATGTTAATTAAAGGATAAGTTCTAATCAGTTATTTTGCTTTTTTGTAACGGTAATTATAACTTTAGGGAGAGTTTTATTCAAGGTAACTGGTGTAATTTGACTTCTTAATCATGAAATTCATGTCTAGGAACTTTCTAAAGACTGAATATGTATCTGCTGTCACTGCTTGGGTTCTAGTTCATGTCTGCTGTTAATGACTGGATTACATATTGTAATTCTGTGATTTTTTATTTTCTATAAAATAAAGGAATTAAATTTAATGATCTCTTAGGTCCCATATCACTCCAAATACTCTGTTAAATGCAGTTGTTTTACAAACATATGCATTTAATGTAAAATGTGCTTCAGAACGCTTTTTCCGTATAGGTATTGAAATAGATATGTTGTTTGCAGACAGATTGAGGCATTTCCAGTTAATGATTTTATGTAACCTGTCATAACTCGTATAATGAAACAAACCTTGTGCTAAAAGTCTGACATATTGGATTAATGTCCCAGTCCCACTGTGGATGAGGTGATTAACCTCTCTATGCATCAGTTTTGTTACCTATAACTCTAAACAGTCATCTCTGCACAGCACACCTTTGAGGGGCAAATGGAATAATATATGTAAAGCATTTTGTAAATTGTTAAGTACTCTGTAACTTTAGGATAATAGTAATTGGAAAGAACATAGAAAGACAGAGTATCGATGAGAATTCAATAGTCAGCATTAAAGGAGATTAAAAGTGAAGATAAAAGCTTAACTTTATGAAGCAAAGTTTGAAGGTTTTTTCAAAATAGACAACAGAAATCTTTAGGATAATAGTAACTTTAGGATAATAGTAACTTTAGGATAATAGTAATTGGAAAGAACATAGAAAGACAGAGTATCGATGAGAATTCAATAGTCAGCATTAAAGGAGATTAAAAGTGAAGATAAAAGCTTAACTTTATGAAGCAAAGTTTGAAGGTTTTTTCAAAATAGACAACAGAAATCCATATAATATTCAGTTAGATCATTTAAATTTGCAAAATTAGAAAATCTTCTTTATATGACCAGATTGTAAGGCATCTGTAATGATCTGGTTAAAACTAAACTTGCACTAAAATATTTTAAAGCAAATGTAACACATGTTCATTGTCAAGAATAAGAATACATAATTGACTGAAATAAAAGTAAATTTACTTTTTAACCCTTCTCTTAATATTACTTTCTAGAGATAACCCTCATTAACAAACATTCTGTGTATTTGTGCATTCAGAAATAAATTGTTGAGCAAAATTCTATATGGCATATACAATTGTGTATTCATTGTGCTAAGTGGTGAGGATGAAACAGCTAACAAGCAGACATGATTCTCTGCCTTCATAGTGCTTATTGTCTGTTAGTAGAGACAGACAATAAGCAAGTAAATGAATAATTATACCTTTTATTGTCTACTTAAATAAAAGTACTACTCTGATAAAGAATTATTGGGGTAGAGTGGAAGTTATTTTAAATAGGTTAGACACAGAGGGCCTTTCTGAAGTGATATTTAAGTTGAGACCTGAGGGTTAGAAGGAGCCTATGCGTGTGTGTTTTACACTTACACATACATATACACATATTCATGTATAAACTTTTTATTTGCAGAAGTGAAATCATATTTTTCTGTGACTTTTGAAAACAGTGTCTTATGGACATGGTAGTCCTTATATTACAGGTTTATCTTTTTCATTTTTTTTAAACTGATCTATACTTCTCAGACTAGAGTATGAGGAAACATAGTTTTGAGTTCTTGAAACATTGTAAATTTTTTTGAGATGCAGTTTAAGAATAATTTAAAATTCACACACCCTTTCATCAAACAATCCTATTTATAATAATTTATCTTACAGATATAGTTACTAAGTATTTAAAGATTCATATGTTAGACTAGCATAAATCTCTAAGTAACCTAATTGATCCAACCAATAAGGGACTAGTTAAATACAGAATAGAGTGGAATACTAGGAAGCTGTTAATAAGATGTATGGAAAAATATCCAATTTATATTATTAATAAAAACAAGTTGCAGAAAAGTATGTATACTCTGATTTCATTTATGGAAAAGAGAAGGAAAGATATAAATGTCTGTGTCCTTGTATGTGTAAGAAAGTTTTGCAAGTCTACACAGAAATCTATTAATGATGGTTATAGCTGAGGAATGGGATTGGAAAAACCTGAAGATGAGGAGGAAGGCAAAAATAATACATTTGAAATTTTTGGAAAGCCAAATAAAAACATCAATTAGAAATTAAACTTGGAATATTTAAATCTATACCTGGTGATTTCTACCTTGTTCAAGGTAGTTATAAACTTTTTGAGTTTTTATTTCTTGAAACAAAATGCTATAGGAGAAAAAATAGTTTAATAAAAGTATTTGGCAACAGTCTGCAAATGTTAGTTAATATAGCATTTTTTTCCTAGAAGATGAATCATGTCATATAAATGCTGAGGTGGTTAAGTATAATTTATTAAAATTTTAAAAACTAATTTGTTTTGTTAACCAAGTACTTAATATGTTGAGTACATGTGCTGTGTAAATAGAGATTCACAGTTATCTAGCAGATACCCTATTATATAGGCTATTAGGGGAGATAATGTAAAATTATAGAGTCTAGCTAGAATAGACCTTAGAGAGCTGAGTATTTAATTTAGCTGAGCTGGAAACTCAGTTAAGTGACTTGCCATAAAATAACTAGTTGGCATCAGAGTCAGGACTGATATCTTGGTTTTCAATTTCAAAATTCACTGTATCACTTTAGCAAGTTTAATGTTTTCAAGACAAAAATTTATGTTCTTTTTTCCGCTTATGTTCTCTTAATTTCAAGTTCAGTCTTTTAAGTCAGTATAAATAAGTGTTATTACTTACTGACAAGGTTGGTCAGATGTATCATTTTGCTAGGATGACCATACATCTAGTGTGCCTAAGACAATCCCCCAGCATAATTACCAAAAAGTGTCTCCTTTCACTTTTAGTAGTATCTGGTTGTGGACAACATATTCCATGGTCACCCCAATTGTTGCTAATTTATTGAATCTGAAAGATTCTACACAGTGCCAGGGTAAAGATTTTGGATTATGAATCTAAATAATTATAATGCAAGCTGTGCTGAATGCCAAAGCGCTACTCTAATTCTAAACTGGAAGAAATAATTTCTGCTAGGTTTGACAGGCAAGGGAGGCTGATTGAAGAACGTGGCATGTGAGCCGAGCCTAGAAGGATGGATGGGATTATAGATTAGTCAGGTTACATGAAGATGGGAAGAGGTGTATATGCAAGAAGGCTCAAAGTGCATTTGGAGAATAGCCAGCATCTCGGTTTACCAGTGTTGAGAGAAGTATGAGTACAGGAATATACATCTGGGAAGGTGTGCAGAGACCAGATTATTTAATACCAAGTCAAAGGGTTGGAATTTGTTGAGCAGTTGGAGGACTCCAGCAGTTTTCAGTTATGTAGCACTTTAAGAGGATTAATTTATTAGAGATGTGTTGAGTGGCTTTAGAGAGGAAAATATGGAATCTGTCCTACCATTTAGAAGGATTTTGTACCAAATCAGATGTGATGTTTAAGGCCCTGGACTAGTTTATGGCAATGGAGAGAGAGAGGCTTTCTTTTTATTCCCTAATGGCTTTGTATTAGTTCATTTGCATTGCTATAAAAGAATACCTAAGGATGGGTAATTTATAAAGAAAAGAGATTTATTTGGCTCCTGGTTCTGCAGGCTGTACAAGAAGCATGGCACCATCATCTGCTTCCAATGAGGGCTTCAGGAAGATTTTTAATCATGGCAGAAGGCAAAATGGGAGCAGGCATGTCACATGGTGAGAGAGGAGGAGGTTCCAGGCTCTTTTAAACAACCAGTTCTCAAGGAAACTAACCGAGTAAGAACCTACTCAGTGCAAGAAAGACATCAGGCCATTCCTGAGGGTTCTGTCCCCATGACACAAACACTCTCCACTAGGCTGACCCTCCAAATTGGAGATCAAATTTCAACATGAGGTTTGGAGGGGACAAACATCCAGACGATATCAGGCTTATACATGGTACATATTTATTACATGTTGGATAGATGTTTCTACAAAAGAAGATGGCACAAGATTTATGATTTATTGGATACTTAGGATAAGAGAGAAGAAAACATTAGAGTTTTACACTAATTAAAAGTAGAGGGATTTTCTGTATAAGTGTAAGGATATGATCTTTGTTCTACTTAGCTTAAGGAGGTTTGTCTCCATTAATTTTGAGTTATGCTATAATGAATGCTGTTTTTAGATAGCTTTGAAGAGGTAGACATATAATTAAAGTATGAATAATTTGTTTGATGTTGAACATCAATTTCATCTTTGCCAAAGGTCATGGACTTTAAGACCAGAATTTCTGAGGTCCACATAATAATTTAATGACTCAATGATAATTTTTGGTGTTAAATAAAAGTCCTGCAGATGACCTTTCTGGACACAAAGTTGAATTTAGAATTATCAAAGAGCAAGCTTGAATTTGAATTTGATGCTATTATTTTGTTATAAAGAAAGAATCTATTATGCAGTGCTAAAACACCAGAAGGAAGATAGTATGTCTGAATATCTTTTAATTGGTAGTTATATTTAAAAGATGCTAAATTATACAATAATGTCATAGTTGGCAAAATATCATTTGAGTCTGAAAGATATCACTGACAATCTGGCTGCTTATAGACTAGCTTTCATATAGTTTCCATGCTGCGTCTGTGTGTTTTTCATTTTAGGTTATAGTGTTGTTGGCAATGAGAATATCTCCCAATTGATGCATGCTTAAGAGACTACCAGAAATAAAAAGTATAATATAATTTGATATGCATTTAGAGAAATGTTTTTCTTTAGTATTAACATTTTAAATGTTACTACTGCCTCATAACTGCTGTAATAGTGTTTTAATATTTTAGCTGTATGAGTATTTCTCATAAAAACCTTTATTTACCACCAGAATTATTGCCTGAGTTTCCCCTTATATAGCATGTATCTGAACATTGTAGACCCCAAATGATAAAATAAATTAAGAGACTTTTTGGCTAGATTCTGGTTTGGTGATGATTTTTTCCTAATTTTAGAGTTCCTCTTCATTTTACACTCTTTTACAAATTTGAGTAGTTGTAGTTTATTATAGAATAGTTTTGTTAAAAATCTCAATTAGGGACTACTTTTCAAAATAATCTCAGGAAATAAAAACTGCTTGAATTTGGACTTCTGCATCTTAAAAAATGCTAATACTATTTCTCTGTCAACTACATCCTAGAAAATTGGTTTATGATTAGATGTCATGTAAATCACTAAGCTCATTGAAAGTCAGTTTTTCTTTTTTATTGGACTGAATGGGTAATGAGCAGAAATACCTTTCTGCTTTTTGTCTTCCTCCTTTCCTCTGGGATGTGGGAATCACATTGAGGAGACAGCATTTGGTTTAGGATGAAAGGAGAGAAGGCTATCTTTTTTCTGGGCCCACTGCTGTGGTAGGTGCGTCATTAACATCTGTCACACCTTTTTTAATGAGTGCTTTTGATGTCAGGAAAAAGTCAGATGACTTCCTTAAAATTAAAACATCTCTCTTGCACGCAAGAATGGGAGGAGTATTTTGTGTTCATTTTATTTTATAACTTCCTCCAATTGTTTATATAAGTCATTTGTTGAAATCAGCAGTTCACTGCAAGGGCTGCTTATCAGAACCTACACATATTTAAAACTCCCCAGTAGTGTGTTCCTATCAGATTAGTACTTCTCTGCCTTTGAGACTTGGTTCCTTAGAGGAGAAACTCCAGTGTCTGTGAGATTATTCACATGCACTTTATTCCCTTGCCAGTGAAATTGTTTGAATACTCAAAACATGTAGCCTTGGCTATTTTTGTGAGTTTATGTTCACATTGCATTTTGGCCCTAATGAGTCTCCTAGCTATTCATCAACCATGCTCATGGACATTTCAGGTATTAGAGTAGCTTTGAATAATTTCATTTTGAAGTGTGTTATTCTCTCACCACCAGGGAGACTACAAACCAAATTCAGAAGCACCAACTTCAGTTAAGCTGAGACTGCTGGCAAATCCTATTAGGTTTCCCTAGTCTACTTCCTCTCCCTTCTCTGTATGTCAATATTTGAAACCTTCTTGCCTCTCAAGCCTATAATTCTCTTACTTCGGCAGATGATCCCACATTTCCCATTCATTGGAATTTAAGATCTTTTTACGATCTCATGCGTGGTCAGTTTTTTTGGTGACAGTTCTATGGGTGTTAAGTTTGCTGCATATTATAGTTTGTAAATATCTATTGGATTAAACTTAATTGTGTTCTTAAAATTCATTAAACGCTTACCTAATTTTTGTCTACCTTATCTGTCAGTTTCTAAGAAAATATGTTTCTAAGAGGCCAGGCAACGGTGGCTCACACCTGTAATCCCAGCACTTTGGGAGGCCAAAGTGGGCAGATCGCTTGAGCTCGGGAGTTTGAGACCAGCCTGGGCAGTATGTTGAAACCTCATCTCTATAAAAATACAAAAATTAGCCGGGTGTGGTAGCACGTTCCTGTAGTCCCAGCTGCTGGGGAGGCTGAGGCAGGGGAATCACTTGAACCTGGGAGGTGGAGTTTGCAGTGAGCTGAGATTGTGCCACTGCATTCCAGCCTGGGTGACAGAGCGAGACTCCATCTCAAAAAGAAAAAAATATACTTCTAAGAAAGTATGATTGGAGATTTGTTCAATGTTTTATTTATATTATTGCTTTATATATTCAGAAGCTATGTTGTTAATGCATTAGGAATTATGACTTACCTTCCTGGTCAATTACTCCATTTCATCAAATCTAAGGTACCATGCATTATGAGATACAACCTGATTGCAGAGATGTTAAAATATGGAAAAGGATCAAGAAAACATGGTATTTGTTTTATCAGCAGGAAACATTTGTGTTGTCCTAGTTAATTCTTGTTGCTTTCAACTTTGTTTTGTCTGATACTGACATTATTATACCTACCTTTTTTTTTTTTTTTTTGAGACAGAATCTCATTCTGTCACCCAGGCTGGAGTGCAGTGGCGCAATTTCGGCTCACTGCAGCCTCTTCCTCCTGTGTTCAAGATATTCTCCTGCCTCAGCCTCCCAAGTAGCTAGGATTACAGGCACCCACTACCATGCCTGGCTAATTTTTGTATTTTTAGTAGACACAGGGTTTTACAATGTTGGTCAGGCTGGTCTCGAACTCCTGACCTCAAGTGACCCACCTGCCTCAGCCTCCCTAAGTACTGGGATTACAGGTGTGAACCCCCATGCCTGTCCATGCTTTTATAATAGCATTGACTGAAATATATTTTCTATTCTTTCATTTTCAAACTTTTGGTGTTCTTTTGTTTTAGGGTTATCAACTGTAGACCACTTTATACTTACTGTCCTTAGGAGTTCTGCCATCTTGATTTTTTCTTTCTATTTATCAAATGGCTGCCTTTAAAAATTCAACGTATTTAGCCATTTTTTTTTCTAGCAGCACTCAGGATTCATCATGATACCTTTTCCCTCACCAAACAATTAAAAAGAACTTCATCCTTTCACTGCCCTGTTTCTCATATACTGTACATTGTCCTAAACTATATTCTCTGGGCTATAATTTCTACTTTCTTGGATTCATCGTTCTTTATTTCACTTGATTATATTTTATGATAAATTTCTCAGAGTATGTGAGAAGTAAATATTCAAAACTTTGTATGTCTGAAAATATATTATTTGCCCTTATATACAGTTTCATCATCTTTTAGCCTAATGTTAGGAATTCAGTTTCTCATTCATTTCTTGATTTTAGATGACTTAGTTTATTCTCTGAAAGCTTTTGGTTTTTTTTTTTATTTGAATTTAAAGAATAAAACCGCCAGTTTCATATTGTCCAGATTGAGTGGTTTCTTTAAAGACTTGTATCTGTTTAGGTCCAGAAAAATCTTATGATGTATCTGTTTGATTATTGTTCTTGCTACTTATTCTGTTAGCTCCTCTTAGATTTTTGCTTTTCATGCCATCTGCTGCTCTTAAGTGTTGTATCCTGGGAAAGTCCTTAGAATTACTTTCTAGTCCACTAATTTCCTCTTTTTTCTTTTTGAGTTCAATGTGCTTTTCTGTCTATATTGTTAAGAAACTTTATCTTAGGATTATATTAGATTTATAGAAAAATTATGAAGATAATACAGATAGTTCTCATATATCCTACACCATTTTCCCCTATATTTAACATCTTAATATGATAAATTTGTCACAAATAACCAACATTGATACATTTTTTACTTACAAAAGTTCAAACTTTATTCAGATACTGTTAGCTTTTCTTTTTCTGTTCCAGGATCCTATCTAGGATGCCATTATTACATTTAGTCATTGTGTTTCATTAGATTCTTCTTGGCTGTGACAGTTTCTCAGACTTATCCTTGTTTTTGATCAACTTATCAGTTTTGAGGAGCATTGGTGAGGTATTTTGTAGAATATTGCTCAATTAGAATTTGCCTGATATTTTCTTAAGAGTAGACTGGGATATGGGTTTTTGAGAGGAAGACCACAGAGATAAAATACTGTTCTCATCACATCACATTGAGGGCACATGCTCTCAACGTGACTTATCACTATAGATGCCATCCCTGATCACATAGCTAAGGTAGTGTTTATCAGATTTCTCCACCATAAAGTTACTTTTTTTTATCCTTTCCATACTCTATACTTTGGAAAAAAGTCATTATACACTGTCTACATTTAAGGATTGGAGAGTTATGCTCTACCTCCTTGTGGGCTAAGTATTTACATAGACTATTTTGTATTCTACACAGAATTGTCCATCCTTCCCCATTTACTCATTTATTCAATCATTTGCTAATATTTTCTTAAGGATTGTTACAACATAGATGTCTGAGTTTTCTGGTAATGTCTTTGTCTGGTTTTGGTATTAGGATAATGTTGGCTTTCTTGGTATATTTGTGCTGCTATAACAAAATACCTTAGACTGGGTGATTTATAAAGGACGGAAATTTATTTCTCACAGTTCTGGAGGTTGGGAGTCTAAGATCAAGGTGCCAACAGGTTTGGTGTCTGGTAAGAGCCTGTTTACCACACTCTGTAAGAGTCTAAGTCCTTGTTTCCAAGATGGTGCCTTATTGCTCCACCCTATATTGGGGAGGAACACTGTGTCTTCCGTGGCAAAAGGGGGACCTTCAACCTCAAAACCTTTTATAGGGGTGCTAATCTGATGTATGAGACAGAGCCCTCATGACCTAATCACCTCCCAAAGGCCACACCTCTTAATACTGCTACACTGAGGATTAAGTTTCAGCATGAATTTTGGAGGGAACACTGTCATTCAGATCATAGCACTGGCTTTATAGAATGAGGAAATGTTCCCTCTGTTTCTGTTTTCTCGAAAAGATTGTAGAGCTTGGTATTATTTATCCTTTTACGGTTTGGTAGAATTCACCAGTGAAACTATCTAGGCCTAGTGCATTCTTTTTTTTGAAGATCTTTAATTATTGATTAAGTTTGTTTAATAGACATAGGGCTATTCAGGTATTCAGGTTATCTGTTTATCCTTGTATGAATTTTTGTAATTTGTGTCTTTTAAGAAATTGGTTGGCCCAGAGTGGTCGCTTACACCTATAATCACAGCACTTTGGGAGGCCGAGGTGGGCAGATCACCTGAGCTTAGGAGTTTAAGACCAGCCTGGGCAACATAGCAAACTCCTGTCTCTACCAAAAATAAAAAGAAATTAAGAGAGAGAGGGAGAGGGGGAGGGGGAGAGGGAGAAGGAGCAGGAAAGGGAAGGGGAAAGGAAAGGGAAAAGGGAAAGGGAGTCTCTAGAGAGAGAGAGAGAGAGGACTGAAAGGGAAGGGAAATGGGAAAGGGAGTCTCTAGAGAGAGAGAGTGGAATGAAAGGGAAGGGAAAAGGGAAAGGGAGTCTTTTTCATCTAAGCGGGCATAGAGTTGTTTATAGTATTCCCTTATCTTTTTTTTTTTTTTTTTTTTTTGAGACAGGGTCTCACTCTGTCACCCAGGCTGGAGGGACTGAAGTGCAGTGTCATGATCGGGGCTCACGGCAGCCTCGACTTCCTGGGCTCAGGTGATCCTCCTGCCTCAGCCCCTCAAGTAGCTGGGTCCACAGGTGTGTGCCACCATGCCCGGCTAATTTTTGTATTTTTGGTAGAGACAGTTTCGCCATGTTGCCCAGGCTGGTCTCAAACTCCTGAGCTCAAGTGATCTGCTGGTCTTGGCCTCCCAAAATTTTGGGTTTATAGGCATGAACCAGCGGGCCTGGCCTTCCTTTATCCTTTTAATGCCCATGAAATGAGTAGTGTTAGCCCCTCTTTCATATCTGATATTAGTAATTTGTGGCTTCTCTTTCTTTTTCCCTTGGTGCCTGGCTACAGGTTTAACAGTCTGTTGATCTTTATAAATAACTAACTTTTAATTTCATTTTATTTTCTCTATTTTTCTGTTTTCAATTTCATTTATTTCTGCTCTAATTTTTATTATTCCCCTTCTTCTGCTTGCTTTAGGCTTAATTTTCTCTTCTTTCTCTAGTTTCCCAAGGTATAATCTAAGTTTCACTTATTTTCATTCAGTTCAAAAGATTTTCTGTTTTTACATCTAGCTCCCTCTTTGGCCCATGAGTTATTTAGATATATTTATTTCCAAATATTTGGAGTTTTCCAGCTATATTTTTGTTACTTATTTCTAATTTAACGCTACTGTCTGAAAACATACTTTGTATGATTTCTGTTTATTTAAATGCGTTAAAGTATATTTTATGTCCCAGATGTTGTCTATCTTGGTGAATTTCCATGCAAGCTTAAGAATAATGTGCGTTTTGTCATTGTTGGATGGAATATGCTATAAATGTCTATTAGATCAATTGATATAGATGACTGTTCAGATCATCTATATACTTAGTAATTTTTTTTCCTTCTTGATTTATCAATTACTGACAGAAGGGTATTTAAACTCTCCAGTTATTACAGTGAATTTTGCCTATCCTCTTGCAGTTCTGTCAGTTTTGCCTTATATATTCTGGCACTCTTTTGTTGGGTGCATACATGTTTAGGATTGTTATGTCTTCTTGGAAAATTGACAGCTTTATCATTATGTAATACCTTCCTTTTTCTCTGATAATCTTCCTTGTTCTGAAGTCTGCTTTGTCTAGTATTAATATAGCTAATTAATATATCAATATAACAATGTAATAAAGGTATTCCATCTTTCTTTTGATTAATTATAGCAAGCTATATCATTCTTTTTTTTTTTTTTTTTTTTTTTGAGACGGAGTTTTGCTCTTGTTGCTGCGCAGCCTGGAGTGCAATGGTGCAATCTCAGCTCACCACAACCTCCAACTCCTGGGTTCAAGCGATTCTCCTGCCTCAGCCTCCCGAGTAGCTGGGATTACAGGCATGCGCCACCACACCTGGCTATTTTTGTGTTTTTAGTAGAGACAGGGTTTCTCCATGTTGGTCAGGCTGGTCTCGAACTCCTGACCTCAGGTGATCCACCTGCCTCAGCCTCCCAAATTGCTGGGATTACAGGCATGAGCCACTGTGCCTGGCCTCCCTTTACTTTTTTTGTAACTTTTAGTCATGTGGCTTTTTAATGAAAGGGTATTTAAACTATAATCACTAATACATGAAGATCTTCAAAAAATTATATAATAGAGATCCTCCTATTCAGAATTTTGAAGTCCTTGTTTTAATCTGTAACAAAGAGCTGTTTTGAACTCAGCTGAGCCTCCTTGGATGGGGCATAAGAGGAGCATCTGTTATCTGCTTTCAATCCATTGCCCCTTTGTCCCTTTACAAGTTACCTTACCCAGAATTGCCTGTGCTCATGATTCTTTCGTTCTAGCTATCTTTGTTTTCTACCTCCTCCTCTCTGACTTACTTTCTTCTCCTGCTAATATTTTCCCCCATTTTAAAAAATTACAGTAAAATGTACATAGCCCTAAAATTAACTATCTTAACTATTGTGTGTATTTCCTTGGCATTAAGTGCATTCATTCTGTTGTGCAGCTATCACTGCTATCCATCTCAAGAACTCTTCATCTTGCAAAACTGAAACTCTGTGCCCATTCAACAAAGACTCCACATCCTTCCCTCTTCCCTTTTACCTTCTATTTCTATGATCAGGACTATTCTAGCCTTATATAAGTAGAAATCATACAGTATTTATCTGTTTGTGACTGGCTTATTTCACTTACCATAATATCCTCAAGGTACATCCATATTGTAACATATGTTAGCATTTCCTTCCTTTTTAATTCTGAATAATATTTTGTTACATCTATATACCACATTTTGATTATCTGTTCATCCATCATTAGACATTTGGATTGTTTCCACATTTCAGATATTCTGAATATGGATGTACAAAGATCTCTTTGAGACCCTGCTTTCAATTCTCTAGTGTATACTCAGAGTGGAATTGCTGGATCATATGATAATTCTATTGTTACTTTTGAGAGGAACTTTTATACTGTTTTCACAGTGGCTGTACCATTTTACATGCCCACCACTGATGCAGAAGAGTTCCAGGTTTTCAGTATCATCACCAAAACTTATTACTTTCATTTTTCGGGGTGTTTTTTATAGTGGCTATCCTAGTGGGTGTAAAGTAATTATCCCTTTACTTTTACTCTGAATCTTTATATTTAAAGTGAATTTTCTTGTAGACAGCACATAGTTTGTCTTGTTTTTTAATTTACTCTGATAATCCCTGTCACTTAATAGGTATATTTAGGCCAGTTACATTTAAAGTGATTGTTGCTGTAACCAGATTAATATCTACCATGTTTCCAACTGTTTTCTTTCTGTTCATTGCATTGGTTATTGGTTTCTTTTCTCCCTCTTTTTCTGCCTTCGTCAGTTTTGAGTACTTTATATAATCTTATCTCCTCTCTCAAAATTTTGATTATACTTATTTTAAAAATTTTTAGTGGTTGCCCTCAGTTTTACAGTATACGTTTTTAACTAACCTAGGTTCTTAAGACAACACTATACTGCTTCATTTGTACTATAGGTATTTTATAAGAGTATTCCCAATTCTTCCCTCCCATCCCTTGTAATAGTGCTGTCATTTATTTCACTTACCCATATGCTGTAGCTACCCAGTATATTGTTACTACTATTGCTTTAAACAAATCATTACCTTTTAGGTCAACTAAGAATAAGAAAAATAAAAGATTTTATTTTACCTTTGCTTTTTCCTTCTCCAGCACTCTTTCTTTCTTTGTAAATCCAAGTTTCTGACCTATATCATTTTCCTTCTGCTTGAAGAACTTCTTTTAACATTTCTTGCAGGGCAAATTATCTGCTGATTGATTCTCCTTATTTTTGTTTGTCTGAGAAAGTTTTTATTTCTCATTAACCTTTGAAGTGCAATTTTGCTGGATATAGAATGTAAGGTTGGTGGGTTTTTTTTTCAGCACTTTGAATATTTCACTACACTTAACATGGCTTTTGACATGCTCTCCACTGTAATTCTTATCATTATTCCTCTGGAGGTAGGGTGGTTTTTTTTATTCTGCCGTCTTTCAAGATTTTCGCTTTGTCTTTGGTTTTCTGCAGTTTGGGTATGATGTGCTTAGGTGTAGATTTTTAAAATATTTATTGTGCTTGGTATCCTCTCAGCTTCTTGGATCTGTGGTTAGGTGTTTGTCATTAATTTTGGAAAATTCTCGCTTTATTCTCTCTTCTCTGATATTCCAATTAGATGTACATTCCACTTTTTGATAATGCCCCATGATTTTGGATATTCTGTTTTTTTCATTCTTTTTTCTCTTTGCATTTTAGTGTAGGAAGTTTCTACTGGCTGTCCTCAATTGACCCATTCTTTCCACACCCACGTTGAATCTACTGATGAGCCCATCAAAGGCATGCTTCATTTTTTCTTTGTAGAATTCCTTTTGATTCTTTTTTTACAGTTCTGTCTCTGTGCTTACTAGTCTCTTCTTGCATGTTCCCTACTTATTTTCATTACAGCCCTTAGCATTCTAGTCATAGTTATTTGAAATACCCTGGTGATAATTCCAACATCTTTGTCTTTTTCTGATGGTTGTTTTGTTTCTTCAGACTGGGGTTTTTCTTGTTTGGGGCATGAAAATATTATAATTTCTTGTTGAAAGCTTGGTGTCTTGTATGCAGTAATAAGAACTGAGATAAATAGGCCTTTAGTGTGAGGATTTATGTTAATCCAGCTAGAAGTTGGGTTGTGTGTTTAATGTTTGTTGTAGCTATAGGTTATCAGAGACTTGAAGCTTCTTTAGCGTACTTGATTTTTTGTCTCTACTCTTGACTTCGGAACTTCCCTAAGTATTACTCCTCAGAGGGAGCCTTTTTCTTGCAGTTCTTTCAGCTAATAGTTGTTTCCGCTATTATTCTTGAGCACTGTTTGTATAATGTTAAGATGTGAGGGAGAAGGACATGCTATGATCTTTGATTAAGTCTCAGGTTTTCAGGGGGCTTGTCTTATGGTTGTGACCTTCACAAGTGTTTCTCCAGTAGTACAGCTTTCTTCCCCCTGTTCCCTATTCCCTTTCCCATCTGTAGTGTTCCCAATCTATTTCCTGAAGCCCCTGTCCTCTCTTGACTATGGGTTGTCGTATTCTCTTCTAACCCCCACTTAGGTCAAACAGGAAAGCTGAAGAAAATTGGAGGAACAAGGAATTTCTTTCCTCTAGCTGGGATAAGCTTTCACAATTAATTCTCTGGAACAGGTTCTGGGCATGTTTCATGATGGTTACTCTTCCTCTCCCCCTGCCAGAGACAGGAGGGAATCTTTTGGAATCCTCGTGATGACAACCTGGTAAAATTCCTGGAGGGAATGTCCACAGAAATGTAGTCACCCCTAAGACTGTGGCCCCCAGGATTTTTTCATTCTCACAATAGTCCACACTCAACCTCTAGCAATTTGTAAGATTACCTTTTAAGTGTTCCTACCAGTTTATGTCTCCCATGGCTTCTGCTTCATGTAAGCAAATCTTGGTTGCTGTATGTCTCTGAATGCACCTGTCTCTACAGTTTGGGGTGGGGATTTGCCCTGCAATCTCATTTCTCTAGTGAGTCCAGGAAAGTCATTCATTTTCAATTTTCCAGCTTTTTCTTGTAAGAATGAAAATGATGACTTTCAAGCTATTTACATGCCACCATTGAAACTGGACATCTCTCCTGGCTATATTTTTAATTTTCAACATCTGTAATTTTTTTTTTGTTTTTTTTTGAGTCAGAGCCTTACTCTGTAGCCCAAGCTGGAGTGCAGTGGTGCGATCTCGGCTCACTGCAACCCCTGCCTCCCAGGCTCAAGTGATTCTCATGCCTCAGCCTCTTGAGTAGCTGGGCTACAGGCATGTGCCACTACGTCCAGCTAATTTTTTGTATTTTAGTAGAGATGAGGTTTCACCATGTTGCCCAGGGTGGTCTTGAACTCCTGAGCTCAAGCAATCTGCCCACCCCAGCCTCCCAAAGTGCTGGGATTACAGGCATGAGCCACCACACCTGGCCTGTAAACTTTTTTTTATAACAGCTTATTCTTGTTTTATGGTATTCTAATATTGATATCTCTTGAAGTTTTCTCCTGTTTCCTTATTTGCTGTTTCCTTTATTATTTCTCTTGTTGAATTTTATGCCTCTCTTTCATTGTGTTAATTGTTAATTCTAGATTGTTTAGCTTTCTATACATATTTGCCTTTGATTATCCCTATATTAGGTTGTTGATAGGTTGTTGACCTATCACAAGTTTATTCATAAAAGTTTGTCATAAGCACTCTTTTTGGGGAAGGAGGTTTAAGGTTTTGTCCCAAGAAAAAAAGCTAGGGTAGCGTGTGGCTCAATAGGAGCAGAAGCAGCAGTATTTCTGGCTCAGACTATCCAAAAATAGTTTGTTTTTGTTGTTGTTGTTGTTTTGTTTTGTTTTTTTAATTACTCATGTATTTTCTCATGTCCTTTACTCTATGGAATATCTCTGGTCTTGCTTATCTGCTCATTTGAAAACTTTTTTCCTCTGCCAGATTTAGCTGTAGATTTTCTCTATTTTTTTGTTTTCACCAAACCACTTTCTATCGTTTAAGAATTCTTCAACATTTTAATTTTAAGAATGGCATTTTCTTTTTTCTTTTTCGTGTGTGTGTGTATGTGTGTGTGTGCGTGTGTGTGTGTGTGTGTTTAGAGAGACAGGGTTTCACTTTGTTGCCCAGACTGGAGTGTGGTGAAGTGATCATAGCTCATTGCAGCTTTGAACTCCTGGGCTCAAGCAACAATCCCCCCATCTCAGCTTCCTGAGCAGGTGGGACTACAGGTGCACACCACCACACCCAGTGACATCCCTTGTTATACAAGTAGTTGTTTCTGTAATTTTAAGAGATTTTGGTTGGAAAGGAAGGTAGACAAGTATGGCTCAATCCAGCTTGATCCAATCACATTCACTTTCAATTAATGAATAGATTTGTTACTATTAGTAGTGGTAAGTTAATATTAATTGAGCATTTAGTTTATGCCAGGAAACATGATAAATCCTTTAACTATATTTTAATCATTACTTAAACACAGTAAAGTAGATATTGTTACTATTTGTATATATGTTTAAGAAAATGGAAACTTAAAAACATTAAATAATCTACACAGCACCACACAGCTAATATATCTGTTGGAGCTAGGATATGAACCCAAATTCTATCCCAGCAAACTCAATTAACCTCAGTTCCTCACTCACCTGAAACTTCCTCCCTCAAGTTGATTTGCTAATAAGATGCCTCCCTTCTACCAGGCCAAATCCTGTGTATCATTCAAGGCCCAGCTTTAAATGCCACCTCAGCAGCAGTGCTCTGGGCAATATTCCAGCAGAAAGAAAACTCTTAACTTTTAATTTAACTTTACATTTATTTGACCTCTTGTCTAGCACTTTCTACTTTATATGTAATACAGTCATTTGATGCATAGTTTCGTCCCTACTGCACAATGAGATCACTAGGAAAAGTGTCAATGTCCTTGTGTCACTTATTTTTACAATTCCCAGCATTCCCCAGCATGTACCATTTTAATAAATATTATTAATAAGTAATTATATTTATTCAGTTTAACTTCTTTAATTTATAAATGCATCCTTATTGGCTCATTATAAATATTTGCATGGATTTTATTTAAATATGATTAAAGGATCTTGAGCATATTTGTTTTAAACCTGTCTTTGGGATTAATATTTATGAATATCCAGGAAATGGCAAATAGTTTTAGAACTAATTAGATAGAGGCTTCTCATTATACTTACGTCAATAAAGATATCTGAATATGTATGAAAATTTCAAGGAGATTCAGGATATTTGGGAGCCATTTGCATACTAACTAAACATTTTGATTTTTCCTTCTGGAAGTTAAATAAAATGGATTACAATATGGAAGGTGATTCCCAAATTAAAAGTAGGCATCAAATAAATCATTGCTTTTGTCACATAAACCTTGAAGGAAAATAGCATATCTGTCAAGTCTTAAAATTCATGTCAGAATTTCACAAAGCAATTGATTATAAGCTATCTTTCTTTTAAATAGTACGTAGCAAAGAAGTTTGTGCCATTTCAAATAAGTGACATGTCAGACATGGAGTCCCTGAGATTTATTAGCAAGACCATTTTGTTCTGTTTCAGAAAATTACAGAATTTTGGAATTACAAATTTTACCTGTACAGTGGTTATCTTTACAGTAATCCTTACCATTTTCTAGTGATAGGGTATTCTTTCTCACAAGACATCCCATTCTAGTGTTTAGTAGAACTTTATTTTTTTTAAAAACTGTTCCTTATTTTAAACTAAAATCTGCCTGTTTTCTAAAGCTTCTTTTTTACCTATACTTTGAACTTACAGAATCTATAAAAATCTTAAGATTGGCTAGGTGTGATGACTCATGCCTGTAATCCCAGCACTTTGGGAGGCAGGGGCACATGGATCACTTGAGCCCAGGAGTTCGAGACCAACCTGGGCAATATGGTGAAATGCCGTCTCTACAAAAAACACAAAAATTAGTGGGACATCGTGGCACGCGCCTGTAGTCCCAGCTGCTCAGGAGGCTGAGGTGGGAGGATCACCCGAGCCCAGGAGGTCAAGGCTGCAGTGAGCTGTGATTGCACCACTGCACTCCAGCCTGGGTGAAAGAGTGAGACCCTGTCTCAAAATTAAAATAAAATAAAATAAAAATAAAAACAAAAAACCTTAAGATTTTCATGCTAACTCCCATGACAGCAGTTGTCAAGCATAATGGGATAGGGCATAGGGAGTGGGGATATAGTTCTTTCTCTGAGTCTCCTGAGAGCAGATGTTTATAAACTAGATTGTGACAGGATAAGTGGATGCTAATTCTGAATCATCACCAATGTGTAGTATTATTCCTCTGCTTTAGTTTTCTTTTATTCATTATCATTATATTTTAAATTTGGAAAAAGTTATGAATTGTATTAGCTTGGGAAGGGAAGAATAAATATGTCTTTTCTTATACTTCTCATTTATGAGCTTCATGAAATATGACTAATCTGTTGAGAGACACCATTGGGAACAACCTGTGTACAGCCTGAACTCATTGTATCTGCCATGTATTTTTCAGTGGCTCCTTTACATGACAGATTACTCTCAGGAGCAAATAATATGCAGCTCTTCTCACATTTTGTTAGTGTTTTTATTTTTAATAAAGTGCTATGATTAATAGCCTAGTGTTATTGTTGTTTCCCCATTGAGTGTAAATGCTTCATTTGAATGTCTTTAATCTGAAGGAACAGTTGTTTTATTGGACTCTTGTTATTTTTCTGTGCTTCTCAAGGTTTTTTGATTGCTTTCTTTGAGCTCTTTGCAATGGAGGAAATGAACTCTATCAGAATCATGGAGTAGGACTCCGTAGAGAAATTTTGAGGATGAATACTGAGATACTTGAACATTCATACATACATTTTTATGATAATTTCAGAATGGTAGACACACCATTAGCAATTCTGATTGACTCTCCAGTGGCAATTATAAAAGTAGCTTGGCCGGGCACGGTGGCTCACGCCTGTAATTCCAGCACTTTGGGAGGCCGAGGCAGGTGGATCATCTGAGGTCAGGAGTTCAAGACCAGCCTGGCCAACATGGTGAAATCCTGTTTCTACTAAAAAACAAACAAAAAAAAGCACAAAAATTAGCTGGGCGTGGGTGGCAGGCGCCTCCCAGCTACTCAGGAGGCTGAGGCAGGAAAATCACATGAACCCAGGAGGCGGAGGTTGCAGGGAGCCGAGATCGCACCATTGCACTCCAGCCTGGGCAACAAGAGCGAAACTCTGTCTAAAAAAACGAAAAAAAGTAGCCTATGTCTGGCCTACTGGTATTGTGATGACATTGCCATATAGATCCTATCTGAAGTGCCATGTGCTTTCAATAAGTCTTTCTGTTGTTGTTGTTGTTTGCAAATCAGAGTTAAAGTATAAGACAAGACAAGAGGTGGACACAAAAGGACTATTGAAAAGTTGAGAAATTGTGAACTGAGCTTTTACAAGAATATGGTGCCCACTTACCAAGAGGACAGCTCTTCTTGTTATTTTTGCCCTTGAAGTGGTGATACCCTTTAGCCTAGTCATTTCTGCATTTACTCCCAGGAGCCTGGCTGTGATTAGAAGTGTTTCCTGTAGCCATAGACCAATTTTCCTTTTGTTCAAGAATCCAGAAGGCAAGTTGGGCCTCATTGGCACCAACCATCAAGGACTTCATTAGCCCTAACCAGGGGCCAACTAAATTGTCAAATTGGAAATGAAGGACTTTACATGAATTCAAAGCCACTGATAAGAGAGCTTGAAGGCTTATCTTGTGAAACTGAGTGTTGAATGCATAACTTTTATTTGAGAAAGCAAATAACTTGGGTGGAACTTCTACAAATTAGAGCAAAATAATTTAGGATTTATTTGGAGGTTTAATAGCTTGTTAGGTGTAGCCTTGAATATGTAGCATAACATATGCATTTATATTATATACTTAGAAACATTCTGGTCTTTTTGGTTAATAAGAGTATTACTTTTACTGGCTCTTAGATTGTTTCAGAGGAATTAGAGCTGTCTAGTTTTGTATAATCAAGTCTTTATTTTCATGTAAACTAAGTAAGTTCTGTTTAGAAAGTCAGCCCCAGAAGGTTTATTTACGCACTATATAAGCTCATGTTTTAAGATTCTCCATATCCCCAAAATTAACATTTTTGTTTGTAAGTGTTCTGTTAGTTTTTAGTCATTGAAGAAGCATTTATTGAATGTATAGTAATATTACTTTCTACAAAGAAAACGAATGTCATAACATAAAAATACATAAACATTTTTTACAATGACCAGAGCTTAGAAATACTTTAAATACAGCATTTTTTAAAATTACAGTGGTACTTCTTTGAAAGAGGTTGTCTGATAATTATTGTAATATCTTAAAAGCACTTGGACCTTACTTCTGGCCATGACCGAATAACTAGTACTGGACTAGGCCTCTTGCTGTAAACAGCTAGAAAATTAGACAAAATATATGGAATACATGTTTGTAGACATTTGAAAACATGCAGAACCATGATCCCTAAGACTAAGGAAAACAAATGGGATGAGCCCCATAATTGCCCTCCCAGCTTTCCGCTTGGAGCCACTTTTCTGTAGCATAAGATGCCCCATTTATGAACAGGCAGAAGGGAGCAGACAGCCCAGCAGTCTCAGTGAGACTGAGATCAGAGTTTAGGTGTAGAAAAGTAGGTGGGGCCGGGCGTGTTGGCTCACGCCTGTAATCCCAGCACTTTGGGAGGCCGAGGCGGGCGGATCAGGAGGTCAAGAGATCAAGACCATCCTGGCCAACATGGTGAAACCCCGTCTCTACTAAAAATACAAAAATTAGCCAGGCGTGGTGGCACATGCGTGTATTCCCAGCTACTCGGGAGGCTGAGGCAGGAGAATCACTTGAACCAGGGAGTCAGAGGTTGCAGTGAGCCGAGATCGCGCCACTGCACTCCAGCCTAGCGACAGAGCAAGACTCCATCTCAAAAGAAAAAGACAATAAAAGTAGGTGGAATTTGTGCAGCAGGCTACTGGAGAGAAGAGAAATATGCAGAGAAGAAGCCCAAGGAAGCTATATAGGGTTCCCCTTGAGTCTTTTGGGTCTCACATTACATTTAGTCTCCTTCAGTTTGTGATAGTTCTTCAGTCTTTCCTTCTCTGCCATACCCTTGACACTTTTGAAAAGTATTGGTCAGGTATTTTGTCCAGTGTTCTCAGTATGGATTTGTCTGATACTTTTTTGTGATTACATTGAGGTTATGGATTTTTTTTGGAGGAATACCACAGAAGTGATGTACCCTTTTCAATACATTCGTATCGGGGTACATGATATCAGCATGTCCTGTTATTTGGTAACGTTAACACTGATCATGTGGTTAAGGTGGTTTTTGCCAGTCTTCTTGCAGTCATCTCTGAGCCCAGAGCCTCTCTGATTTATTTAGTTTCTCCTGAGTGTAAATCTCCTATTGCCAAGGGTGAGGGATTTGGAGATTTAAAGCTCTTCTTACAGGAGCTTTCAAATAATTCCTCCATCCCCCATATCATCCTTTCCTCCTGAAGTGCTGCTGATTCCTGAAGGTCAGTTGGCTTGAGGCTCACCTGTCTGTCCCTTTGGAGGTACTTAGATTGACTCTTTCCCGTGAAATAATTTACTTTTCTTCTATCCACCTTCTTCTTTCATATATTATAGATTAGGATTACAATCCAAAATATCTCTCAGTTTTATCAGAAATGGAGTTTGTGTTCCTATTTCTTGTCCTGTTTGTTGTTTGGGTGTATTTATGAAGTGGTGGACCCAGAAATGTATTCGACCTTCCATGCTAAAACTGAAGCTAAAAATAGCTTTTTCAGAAGACAGTATTTGGCATCATTTCTCAGGCATTCAAATACAAACTTTTGACTCAGCATTTCCACTTCTAGCAATTTGTCTTACAGAAATATTTACACATGGACCCAAAGATAACATGTATAGGAAAGTTTATAGAAGCATTGCTGATAGTAGCAAAAAAAAAGTAATGGAAACAGCCCAAAAAAAAAGGAAAAACAAGGGAATGATTAAATAAATGGTGGTATATCTATATTGTAGAATACTATTCAGCAATTAGAAATAATGAGGTTTGTCTTTATGTACTGTTATGGGAACCTCCTAAAGACATTACATCATATAGCAGTTTGTAAAGCAACATGTTTGGTATCATTTCATTCCCATATTTATGTGTATATAAAAGTGTGTCATTGAAATGAAAAATATTTGAAAGAATATGCGCCAAACTATTAATAGCAGTGTTTTGGAGGTCATCAAAAGGGAACCATAATCTTTGTATACTTCTTAAACTTTGTATACTTCTGTACCATATGTATTATTTTTATAACAAGCATATTGCATTTTGATTTTTCAATAAAAAGATGAAATAGACTACCTACAGCAGTAGTTGAGCAACCACTGGAGGTTTTCAGGCATGGGCTCTTTTTGTTGTTGTTGTTGTTGGTTGAATTTGAATGTCATTCCTGCATTGGTCATTTATTGGATTTCTCTGTAGCATTTATTTATTTTCATTTTTCCGTAAGTTATTAGGGTACAGGTGGTATTTGGTTACATAAGTTCTTTAGTGGTGATCTGTGAGATTTTGGTTCACCCATCACCTGAACAGTATACAATGCACCATATTTGTAGTCTTTTGTCCCTCGCCTCCCTCCCACCATTCTCCCCAAGTCCCCAAAGTCCATATCATTCTTAATGCCTTTGCGTCCTCATAGCTTAGCTCCCACATGTCGGTGAGAACATTTGATGTTTGGTTTTCCATTCCTGAGTTACTTCACTTTGAATAATAGCCTCCAGTCTCATCCAGGTCACTGCAAATGCTGTTAATGCATTCCTTTCTGTGGCTGAGTAGTATTCCATCGTATAAATATACCACAGTTTCTTTATCCACTCATTGAGTAATGGGCATTTGGGTTGGTTCCACGATTTTACAGTTGCGAATTGTGCTGCTATAAACGTGCACATGAAAGTATCTTTTTCATATAATGACTTATTTTCCTCTGGGTAGATACCCAGTAGTGGGATTGCTGGATCAAATGGTAGTTCTACTTTTAATTCTTCAAGAAATCTCCATACTGTTTTCCATAGTGGTTGTATTAGTTTACATTCCCATCAGCAGTATAGAAGTGTTCCCTGTTCACCGCATCCATGACAACATCTACTGTTTTTTGATTTTTTGATTATGGCCATTCTTGCAGGAGTAAGGTGGTAGCGCATTGTGGTTTTGATTTGCATTTCCCTGATCATTAGTGATGTTGAGCATTTTTTCGTATGTTGGCCATTTGTGTATCTTCATTTGAGAATTGTCTGTTCATATCCTTAGCCCACTTTTTGATGGGATTTTGTTTTCTTACTGTTTTGTTTAAATTTTTTGTCGATTCTGGATGTTAGTCCTTTGTCAGCTTGTTAGTCCTTTGTCAGATTGTGAAGCTTTTCTCCCACTCTGTGGGTTGTCTGTTTACTCTGCTGACTGTTACTTTTGCTGTGTAAAAGCTCTTTAGTTTAATTAAGTCCCAACTATTTATTTTTGTTTTTATTGCATTTGCATTTGGGTTCTTGGTCATGAAATCCTTGCCTAAGCCAATGTCTAGAAGGGTTTTTCCATGTTATCTTCTAGAATTTTTATAGTGTCAGGTCTTAGATTTAAGTCCTTAATCCATTTTGAGTTGATTTTCATATAAGGTGAGAGTTGAGGATCCAGTTTCATTCTCCTACATGTGGCTAGCCAATTATCCCAGCACCATTTGTTGAAAAGGGTGTCCTTTCCCCACTTCACGTTTTTGTTTGCTTTGTCAAAGATCAGTTGGCTGTTAAGTATTTGGGTTTGTTTCCAGGTTCTCTATTCTGTTCCATTGGTCTGTGTGCCTATTTTTTTAGCAGTACCATGCTGTTTTGGTGACTATGGCCTTATAGTATAGTTTGAAATCAGGTAGTGTGATGCCTCCAGATTTGTTCTTTTTGCTTAGTCTTGCTTTGGCTATGTGGGCTTTTTTGTTTGTTTGTTTCATATGAATTTTAGAATTGTTTTTTCTAATTTCGTAAAGAATGATGGTGGCATTTTGAATGGGGATTGCATTGAATTTGTAGATTGCTTTTGGCACTATGATCATTTTCACAATATTGATTCTATGCATCCATGAGCATGGGATGCATTTCCATTTGTTTGTGTTGTCTGTGATTTCTTTCAGCAGTGTTTTGCAGTTTTCCTTGTAGAGGTCTTTCACCTCCCTGATTAGGTAAATTCCAAAGTATTTTGAGTTTTGCAGCTATTATAAAAGGGGTTGAGTTCTTGATTTGATTCTCTGCTTGGTTGCTGTTGATGTATAGAAGAGCTATTGATTTATGTACATTAATCTTGTATCCAGAAACTTTGCTGAATTCTTTTATCAGTTCTAGGAGCTTTCTGGAGGAGTCTTTAGGGTTTTCAGCGTAAACTATCATATCATCAGCAAACAGTGACAGTTTGACTTCCTCTTTACCGATTTGGATGCCCTTTATTTCTTTCTCTTGTCTGATTTCTCTGGCTAGGACTTTCCAGTACTGTGTTGAAAAGAAGTGGTGAGAGTGGGCATTCTTGTCGTGTTCCTATTTTCAGAGGGAATGCTTTCAACTTTTCCCCATTCAGTATTATATTGGCTGTGGGTTAGTCACAGATGGCTTTTATTACATTGAAGTATGTCCCTTGTATGCTGATTTGCTGCTAACAATTTTAATCATAAAGGGATACTGGATTTTGTCAAATGCTTTCTCTGCATCTATTGAGAAGATCACATGATTTTTGTTTTTAATTCTGTTTATGTGGTTTATCACATTTAATTCACTTGCGTATGTTAAACCATCTCTGCATCCCTAGTATGAAACACACTTGATCATGGTGGATTATCTTTTTGATAAATTGTTGGATTTGGTTAGCTAGTATTTTGTTACGGATTTTAGCATCTATGCTAATCAAGGATATTGGTCTGTAGTTTTCTTTTTTGGTTATGTCCTTTCCTGGCTTTGGTATTAGGCTGATGCTGGCTTCATAGAATGAATTAGGGAGGGTTCCCTTTTTCTCAATATTGTGGAATAGTGTCAAAAGGATTGGTACCAATTCTTCTTTGAATGTCTGATAGAATTCTACTGTGAAATCTGTCTTGTCCTGGACATTTTTTTTGTTGGTAATTTTTTTTTAATTATACTTTAAGTTTTAGGGTACATGTGTACAATGTGCAGGCTAGTTACATATGTATACATGTGCCATACTGGTGCACTGTACCCACTAACTCGTCATCTAGCATTAGGTATATCTCCCAGTGCTATCCCTCCCCCCTCCCCACACCCCACAACAGTCCCCAGAGTGTGATGTTCCCCTTCCTGTGTCCATGTGTTCTCATTGTTCAATTCCCACCTATGAGTGAGAATATGCAGTGTTTGGTTTTTTGTTCTTGTGATAGTTTACTGAGAATGATGATTTCTAATTTCATCCGTGTCCCTACAAAAGACATGAACTCATCATTTTTTATGGCTGCATAGTATTCCATGGTGTATATGTGCCACATTTTCTTAATCCAGTCTATCATTGTTGGACATTTGGGTTGGTTCCAAGTCTTTGCTATTGTGAATAGTGCCGCAATAAACATACATGTGCATGTGTCTTTATAGCGGCATGATTTATACTCCTTTGGGTATATACCCAGTAATGGGATGGCTGGGTCAAATGGTATTTCTAGATCTAGATCCCTGAGGAATAGCCACACTGACTTCCACAATGGTTGAACTAGATTACAGTCCCACCAACAGTGTAAAAGTCTTCCCCTTTCTCCACATCCTCTCCAGCACCTGTTGTTTCCTGACTTTTTAATGATTGCCATTCTAACTGGTGTGAGATGATATCTCATTGTGGTTTTGATTTGCATTGCTCTGATGGCCAGTGATGGTGAGCATTTTTTCATGTGTTTTTTGGCTGCATAAATGTCTTCTTTTGAGAAGTGTCTGTTCATGTCCTTCGCCCACTTTTTGATGGGGTTGTTTTTTTCTTGTAAATTTGTTTGAATTCATTGTAGATTCTGGATATTAGCCCTTTGTCAGATGAGTAGATTGAGAAAATTTTCTCCCATTCTGTAGGTTGCCTGTTCACTCTGATGGTAGTTTCTTTTGCTGTGCAGAAGCTCTTTAGTTTAATTAGATCCCATTTGTCAATTTTGGCTTTTGTTGCCATTGCTTTTGGTGTTTTAGACATGAAGTCCTTGCCCATGCCTGTGTCCTGAATGGTAATGCCTAGGTTTTCTTCTAGGGTTTTTATGGTTTCAGGTCTAACATTTAAGTCTTTAATCCATCTTGAACTGATTTTTGTATAAGGTGTAAGGAAGGGATCCAGTTTCAGCTTTCTACATATGGCTAGCCAGTTTTCCCAGCACTATTTATTAAATAGGGAATCCTTTCCCCATTGCTTGTTTTTCTCAGGTTTGTCAAAGATCAGATAGTTGTAGATATGCAGTGTTATTTCTGAGGGCTCTGTTCTGTTCCATTGATCTATATCTCTGTTTTGGTACCAGTACCATGCTGTTTTGGTTACTGTAGCCTTGTAGTATAGTTTGAAGTCAGGTAGTGTGATGCCTCCAGCTTTGTTCTTTTGGCTTAGGATTGACTTGGCGATGCGGGCTCTTTTTTGGTTCCATATGAACTTTAAAGTAGTTTTTTCCAATTCTGTGAAGAAAGTCATTGGTAGCTTGATGGGGATGGCATTGAATCTATAAATTGCCTTGGGCAGTATGGCCATTTTCACGATATTGATTCTTCCTATCCATGAGCATGGAATGTTCTTCCATTTGTTTGTATCCTCTTCTATTTCATTGAGCAGTGGTTTGTAGTTCTCCTTGAAGAGGTCCTTCACGTCCCTTGTAAGTTGGATTCCTAAGTATTTTATTCTCTTTGAAGCAATTGTGAATGGGAGTTCACTCATGATTTGGCTCTCTGTTTGTTATTGGTGTATAAGAATGCTTGTGATTTTTGTACATTGATTTTGTATCCTGAGACTTTGCTGAAGTTGCTTATCAGCTTAAGGAGATTTTGGGTTGAGACAATGGGGTTTTCTAGATATACAATCATGTCATCTGCAAACAGGGACAAATTGACTTCCTCTTTTCCTGATTGAATACCCTTTATTTCCTTCTCCTGCCTAATTGCCCTGGCCAGAACTTCCAACACTATGTTGAATAGGAGTGGTGAGAGAGGGCATCCCTGTCTTGTGCCAGTTTTCAAAGGGAATGCTTCCAGTTTTTGCCCATTCAGTATGATAGTGGCTGTGGGTTTGTCATAGATAGCTTTTATTATTTTAGATACGTCCCATCAATACCTAATTTATTGAGAGTTTTTAGCATGAACGGCTGTTGAATTTTGTCAAAGGCCTTTTCTGCATCTGTTGAGGTAATCATGTGGTTTTTGTCTTTGGTTCTGTTTATATGCTGGATTACATTTATTGATTTGCGTATATTGAACCAGCCTTGCATCCCAGGGATGAAGCCCACTTGATCATGGTGGATAAGCTTTTTGATGTGCTGCTGGATTCGGTTTGCCAGTATTTTATTGAGGATTTTTGCATCAATGTTCATCAAGGATATTGGTCTAAAATTCTCTTTTTTGGTTGTGTCTCTGCCCAGCTTTGGTATCAGGATGATGCTGGCCTCATAAAATGAGTTAGGGAGGATTCCCTCTTTTTGTATTGATTGGAATAGTTTCAGAAGGAATGGTACCAGTTCCTCCTTGTACCTCTGGTAGAATTCGGCTGTGATTCCATCTGGTCCTGGACTCTTTTTGGTTGGTAAGCTATTGATTATTGCCACAATTTCAGCTCCTGTTATTGGTCTATTCAGAGATTCAACTTCTTCCTGGTTTAGTCTTGGGAGAGTGTATGTGTCGAGGAATTTATCCATTTCTTGTAGATTTTCTAGTTTATTTGCATAGAGGTGATTGTAGTATTCCCTGATGGTAGTTTGTATTTCTGTGGGATCGGTGGTGATATCCCCTTTATCATTTTTTATTGTGTCTATTTGATTCTTCTCTCTTTTTTTATTAGTCTTGCTAGCAGTCTATCAATTTTGTTGATCCTTTCAAAAAACCAGCTCCTGGATTCATTAATTTTTTGAAGGGTTTTTTGTATCTCTATCTCCTTCAGTTCTGCTCTGATTTTAGTTATTTCTTGCCTTCTGCTAGCTTTTGAATGTGTTTGCTCTTGCTTCTCTAGTTCTTTTAATTGTGATGTTAGGGTGTCAATTTTGGATCTTTCCTGCTTTCTCTTGTGGGCATTTAGTGCTATAAATTTCCCTCTACACACTGCTTTGAATGCGTCCCAGAGATTCTGGTATGTTGTGTCTTTGTTCTCGTTGGTTTCAAAGAACATCTTTATTTCTGCCTTCATTTCGTTATGTACCCAGCAGTCATTCAAGAGCAGGTTGTTCAGTTTCCATGTAGTTGAGCGGCTTTGAGTGAGATTCTTAATCCTGAGTTCTAGTTTGATTGCACTGTGGTCTGAGAGATAGTTTGTTATAATTTCTGTTCTTTTACATTTGCTGAGGAGAGCTTTACTTCCCAGTATGTGGTCAATTTTGTAATAGGTGTGGTGTGGTGCTGAAAAAAATGTATATTCTGTTGATTTGGGGTGGAGAGTTCTGTAGATGTCTATTAGGTCTGCTTGGTGCAGAGCTGAGTTCAATTCCTGGGTATGCTTGTTGACTTTCTGTCTCGTTGATCTGTCTAATGTTGACAGTGGGGTGTTAAAGTCTCCCATTATTAATGTGTGGGAGTCTAAGTCTCTTTGTAGGTCACTCAGGACTTGCTTTATGAATCTGGGTGCTCCTGTATTGGGTGCATATATATTTAGGATAGTTAGCTCTTCTTGTTGAATTGATCTCTTTACCATTATGTAATGGCCTTCTTTGTCTCTTTTGATCTTTGTTGGTTTAAAGTCTGTTTTATCAGAGACTAGGATTGCAACCCCTGCCTTTTTTTGTTTTCCATTTGCTTGGTAGATCTTCCTCCATCCTTTTATTTTGAGCCTATGTGTGTCTCTGCACGTGAGATGGGTTTCCTGAATACAGCACACTGATGGGTCTTGACTCTTTATCCAATTTGCCAGTCTGTGTCTTGTAATTGGAGCATTTAGTCCATTTACATTTAAAGTTAATATTGTTATGTGTGAATTTGATCCTGTCAGTATGAGGTTAGCTGGTTATTTTGCTCGTTAGTTGATGCAGTTTCTTCCTAGTCTCGATGGTCTTTACATTTTGGCATGGTTTTGCAGCAGCTGGTACCGGTTGTTCCTTTCCATGTTTAGTGCTTCCTTCAGGAGCTCTTTTAGGGCAGGCCTTGTGGTGACAAAATCTCTCAGCATTTGCTTGTCTGTAAAGGATTTTATTTCTCCTTCACTTATGAAGTTTAGTTTGGCTGGATATGAAATTCTGGGTTGAAAATTCTTTTCTTTAAGAATGTTGAATATTGGCCCCCACTCTCTTCTGGCTTGTATGTAGAGTTTCTGCCGAGAGATCCACTGTTAGTCTGATGGGCTTCCTTTTATGGGTAACCTGACCTTTCTCTCTGGCTGCCCTTAACATTTTTTCCTTCATTTCAACTTTGGTGAATCTGACAATTATGTGTCTTGGAGTTGCTCTTCTCGAGGAGTATCTTTGTGGCATTCTCTGTATTTCCTGAATCTGAATGTTGGCCTGCCTTGCTAGATTGGGGAAGTTCTCCTGGATAATATCCTGCAGAGTGTTTTCCAACTTGGTTCCATTCTCCCTGTCATTTTCAGGTACACCAATCAGACGTAGATTTGGTCTTTTCACATAGTCCCATATTTCTTGGAGGATTTGTTCGTTTCTTTTTATTCTTTTTTCTCTAAACTTCCCTTCTCGCTTCATTTCCTTCATTTCATCTTCATCGCTGATACCCTTTCTTCCAGTTGATTGCATCAGCTCCTGAGGCTTCTGCATTCTTCACGTAGTTCTCGAGCCTTGCTTTCAGCTCCATCAGCTCCTTTAAGCACTTCTCTGTATTGGTTATTATAGTTATACATTCGTCTAAATTTTTTTCAAAGTTTTCAACTTCTTTGCCTTTGGTTTGAATTTCCTCCTGTAGCTTGGAGTAGTTTGATCGTCTGAAGCCTTCTTCTCTCAACTCATCAAAGTCATTCTCTATCCAGCTTTGTTCCATTGCTGGTGAGGAACTGGGTTCCTTTGGAGGAGGAGAGGCGCTCTGCTTTTTAGAGTTTCCAGTTTTTCTGCTCTGTTTTTTCCCCATCTTTGTGGTTTTATCTACTTTTGGTCTTTGATGATGGTGATGTACAGATGGATTTTTGGTGTGGATGTCCTTTCTGTTTGTTAGTTTTCCTTCTAACAGACAGGACCCTCAGCTGCAGGTCTGTTGGAGTTTGCTAGAGGTCCACTCCAGACCCTGTTTGCCTGGGTATCAGCAGCAGTGTCTGCAGAACAGCGGTTTTTCGTGAACCACGAATGCTGCTGTCTGATTGTTCCTCTGGAAGTTTTGTCTCAGAGGAGTACCCGGCCGTGTGAAGTGTCAGTCTGCCCCTACTGGAGGGTGCCTCCCAGTTAGGCTGCTCAGGGGTCAGGGGTCAGGGACCCACTTGAGGAGGCAGTCTGCCCGTTCTCAGATCTCCAGCTGCGTGCTGGGAGAACCACTGCTCTCTGCAAAGCTGTCAGACAGGGACATTTAAGTCTGCAGAGGTTACTGCTGTCTTTTTGTTTGTCTGTGCCCTGCCCCCAGAGGTGGAGCCTACAGAGGCAGACAGGCCTCCTTGAGCTGTGGTGGGCTCCACCCAGTTCAAGCTTCCGGGCTGCTTTGTTTACCTAAGCAAGCCTGGGCAATGGCTGGCGCCCCTCCCCAAGCCTTGCTGCTGCCTTGCAGTTTGGTCTCAGACTGCTGTGCTAGCAAACGGCGAGACTCTGTGGGCGTGGGACCCTCTGAGCCAGGTGCGGGATATAATCTCCTGGTGCGCCGTTTTTTAAGCCCGTCAGAAAAGCGCAGTATTCAGGTGGGAGTGACCCAATTTTCCAGGTGCCGTCTGTCACCCCTTTCTTTGACTAGGAAAGGGAACTCCCTGACCCCTTGCGCTTCCTGAGTGAGGCAATGCCTCACCCTGCTTCGGCTCGCGCACGGTGCGCTGCACCCACTGACCTGCGCCCACTGTCTGGCACTCCCTAGTGAGATGAACCCGGTACCTCAGATGGAAATGCAGAAATCACCCATCTTCTGCGTCGCTCACGCTGGAAGCTGTAGACCGGAGCTGTTCCTATTCGGCCATCTTCACTCCTCCCCCTGTTGGTAATTTTTTTTTTTTTTTTTTTTTTTTTTTTTTTGAGACAGAGTCTTGCTCTGTCTCCCAGGCTGGAGTGCAGTGGCGCAATCTTGGCTCACTGCAAGCTCCATCTCCTGGGTTCATGCCATTCTCCTGCCTCAGCCTCCCGAATAGCTGGGACTACAGGCACCCACCATCACACCCAGCTAATTTTTTGTATTTTTAGTAGAGACGGGGTTTCACCGTGTTAGCCAGGATGGTCTCAATCTCCTGACCTCGTGATCCGCCCGCCTCAGCCTCCCAAAGTCCTGGGATTACAGGTGTGAGCCACCGTGCCTGGCGGTAATTTTTAAATTACCATTTCAATCTCGCTGCTTGTTATTGATCTATTTAGAGTATCTAATTCCTGATTAAAGCTAGGAGGGTTGTACTTTTCCAGGAATTTATCCATCCCTTCTAGGTTTTCTAGTTTATGTGCATAAAGGTGTTCATAGTAGTCTTGAATGATCTTTTGTATTTCAGTGGTGTCAGTTTTAATTATTCCTGTTTCATTTCTTAATGAGATTTTTTGGATTTTCTCTTTTCTTGGTTAATTTTGCTTATGGTCTGTTGGTTTTATTTATCTTTTCGAAGAACCATAAATAAATTGTTCTTTGATGTAAACCAAAATAAATTTTAATTTATCTTTTGTATTTTTTTGTTTGTTTCAGTTTCATTTAGTTCTGCTCTGATCTTGGTACTTTCCTTGCTTCCACCGGGTTTGGGTTTGGTTTGTCCTTATTTCTCTAGTTCCTTGAGGTGTGACCTTAGAATGTCAGTTTGTGCTCTTTCAGTCTCTGATGTAGGCGTTTAGGGCTATGAACTTTCCTTTTAGCACTCCCTTTGCTGTATCCCAGAGGTCTTGTTAGATTGTGTCATTATTGTCATTCAGTTTGAAGAATTTTAAAATTTCCATCTTGATTTCGCTTTTGAACCAAAGCAGGTTTTGAACCTGCTCTTTCAGGAGCAGGTTATTTAATTTCCATGTATTTGCATGGCTTTGAAGGTTCCTTTTGAAGTTGATTTCCAGTTTTATTCCACTGTGGTCTGAGAGAGTGCTTGATATAATTTCAGTTTTCTTAGATTTATTGAGGCTCACTTTATGGCCTATCATGGAGAAAGTTCCATGCCCTGTTGAATAGAATGTGTATTCTGTGGTTGTTGGATGAAATGTTCTGTATATATCTGTTAAGTCCATTTGTTCCAAGGTATAGTTTAAATCTATTGTTTCTTTGTTGACTTTCTGTCTTGATGACCCATCTAGTGCTGTCAGTGGAGTATTGAAGTCCCCCACTATTATTTTGTTGCTGTCTATCACATTTCTTAGGTCTGTTAGTAATTGTTTTATAAATTTGGGAGCTCCAGTGTTAGGTGCATATATGTTTAGGATTGTGATATTTTCCTGTTAGACAAGGCCTTTTACCATTATATAATGTCCCTCTTTGTCTCTTTTAACTGCTGTTGCTTTAAAGTTTGTTTTGTCTGATATAAGAATAGCTACCCCTGCTCGCTTTTGGTGTCCATTTGCATGCAATGCCTTTTTCCACCCCTTTAAGTTCATATGAGTCCTTATGTGTCAGGTGAGTCTCCTGAAGGCAGCAGATTGTTGGTTGGTGAGTTCTTATCCATTCCGCAGTTGTGTATCTTTTAAGTGGAGCATTTAGGCCATTTACATTCAGTGTTCATATTGAGATGTGAGGTACCATTACATGCATCGTGCTATTTGTTGCCAGTGTACCTTGGTTTTTTGTTTTTTGTTTTTGCTTTTTAACTTGTACTTTTGTTTTATAGATCTTGTGTGATTTATGCTTTAAAGACGTTCTGCTTTGATGTGTTTCCAGGATTTGATTCAAGATGTAGAGCTCCTTTTAGCGGTCTCGTAGAGGTGGCTTGGGTAGTGGTGAGTTCTTTCAGCATTTGCTTGTCTGGAAAAGACTGTATCTTTCCTTCATATGTGATGCTTAGTTTCACTGGATACAAAATTCTTGGCTGATAATTGTTATGTTTGAGGAGGCTGAAGATAGGGCCCCAATCCCTTCTAGCTTCTAGGGTTTCTGCTGAGAAATCTTCTGTTAATCTGATAGGTTTTCCTTTGTAGGTTACCTGGTGCTTCTGTCTCACAGCTCTTAAGATTCTTTCCTTAGTCTTAACTGTAGATAAGTTAAGCACACTGATGACAGTGTGCTTAGGTGATGATCTTTTTGCAATGAATTTCCCAGGTGTTTTTTGTGCTTCTTGTATTTGGATGTCTAGGTCTCTAGTAAGGCCAAAGAAGTTTCCCTCGAACATTTTCCAAATATGTTTTCCAAACTTTCAGATTTCTCTTCTTCCTCAGGAACACCAATTATTCTTAGGTTTGGTTGTTTAACATAATCCCAGACTTCCTGGAGGCTTTGTTCATATTTTCTTATTCTTTTTTCTTTGTCTTTGTTGGATTGGGTTAATTGGAAGACCTTGTCTTTGAGCTCTCAATTTCTTTCTTCTACTTGTTCGATTCTATTGCTGAGACTTTCCAGAGCATTTTGCATTTCTATAAGTGTGTCCAATGTTTCCAGAATTTTTTGTTTTTTCTTTATGCTATCTCCTTGAATATTTCTCTCTTCACTTCTTGTATCATTTTTTGGATTTCCTTGCATTGAGCTTCACCTTTCTCTGGTGCCTCCCTGATTAACTTAATTAACCTCCTGCATTCTTTTTCAGGTAAATAGGGATTTCTTCTTGGTTTGGATCCACTGCTGGTGAACTAGTATGATTTTTTGGGGGGGGTGTTAAAGAGCCTAGTTTTGTCGTATTACCAGAGTTGGTTTTCTGGTTCCATCTCATTTGGGTAGGTTCTGTCAGAGGGAACATCTAGAGCTGAAGGTTGTTGTTCAGGTACTTTGGTCCCATGGGGTGTTCCCTTGATGTAGTCTCTCCCCCTTTTCCTATGGATGTGGCTTCCTGAGAGCCAGGCTGCAGTGATTGTTACCTCTTTTCTGGGTCTAGCCACCCAGCAAGTCTATCCAGCTCCAGGCTGGTACTGGGGGTTGTCTGCACAGAGTCCTGTGATGTGAACCGTCTATGGGTTTCTCAGCTGCGGATACCAGCACCTGTTCCAGTGGAGGTGGCAGGGGGGTGAAATGGACTCTGTGAGAGTTCTTAGCTTTGGTGGTTTAATGCTCTATTTTTGTGCTGGTTGCCCTCCTGCCGGGAGTTTGTACTTTCCAGAGAGCATCAGCTGTGGTAGTATAGAGAGGAACCAGAGGTGCGCGGGGTCCTAGAACTTCCAAGATTATATACCCTTGTCTTCAGCTACCAGAGTGAGTAGGAAAGGACCATCAGGAGGGGGCGGGGCTAGATGGTGTCTGAGCTCAGACTCTCCTTGGGCGCGTCTCCCTGCGGCTGCTGTGGAGGATGGGGGTGAGTTAATGGAGTTGTGTACCTAGGAGCATTATGGCTGCCTCTGCTGAGTCATGCAGGTTGTCAGGGAAGTGGTGGAAAGCCGCAGTCACAGGCCTCACCCAGCTCCCACGCAAACCAAAGGGCCAGTCTCATTCTCACTGTGCCCCATCTAACAGCCCCGAGTCTGCCAGCAGTTGGGGAGCCAGGCTTGAGAACTTGCCCCAGGCTGCCTGCCTCCCAGCTGTGAAAGAAAAGGGCTTGATTCTTCCCCAGCCTGTGGAGTCTGCACACCTGATTCGCACCCTTTCCCGAGTTCTGGCCAGGAGGGTTCTCCCCAGCTTCAAATTGTTACAAAGTTCAGCTGGAGATTTCCTTCTCCCTGTGGTGTTTTTCCCCACACTCCTCCGGTTGCCCTCCCAAAGGATCCCTGTGGTGCCAGTTAGGAATGGCCTGCCTGGGGACCTAGTGAGCTCCCGGGGCCTTTCTCGCTGCTTCCTCTACCCCTGTATTTTGCTTGGCTCGCTAAATTGACTCAGCTCCAGGTAAGGTCGGAAACTTCTCCCTCAAACAACCTTCAGTTTCTCCAGTGGGGATGTGTGTTCAGGAGAGGAGAATCTCCCTTTCCCACTTCCACAGTTGGGGCACTTGGGGCACTCACAGTATTTGGGGTGTCTCCCAGGTCCTGCATGAGCAATCCACTGCCTTCAGAATCCACTTCCTGTGGGTCCTCTCGGGATTTCTGGTTTGTTCTTGCAGTCAATCTGGAGCTTAAATTCACAGTGCGAGCCTCCGCACACTGCTCTGTCCGTCCAAGTCGGAGCTGCAGTCTAGTCCTGCCTCTCCCGTCTGCCATGGTGATCCAAAGAATGCCTGCATGGGCTCTTTTAAAGCGGCTCTCTGCTAGACAGTATCTCAGGAAGCATTTAATTCAGGGATGGATCCCCAGACTGGATTACTGTTTGGGGAAATAGGGATTTCATGATCAAATAAGAATGAGAAATGCTAGGTTAACAAACAGAAGAGGTGCTAGGAGTCATTAACATACTAATATGCATGGCAAATCTCTACAATCTCCCAAATTTGATTGTTGTTCTCTTTTTTATTTTACGGTATATGTGTTAACATTTCCCAAAAGTAATATTCTGTGGAAGTATACTTTTGTTCACACTGTTACTATGTTTGGAGTAATAAGCACCATGTAAATCTGACTCCGTTCTGAATAATGAATTCTGAATAATGTTAGAGTGAACATTCCTGGGAAATAACAATTTAGTAGATTCCTAATGAAGGGCCAGAGAGAAAGAATATTTCCCATGATACTTTCCTACCTTTCAAATGAGCTTAGAAATTTTTAAAGAAATTTCAAAACTATTTTCAAAGAAAGGTTATGAAAAAGGAACAAAATTTGGATTCCAAAAAGAAAATGTAAATGTACCTACTCACAGCTGTAGTTGGTGTGAGTGGGCGTCAAATTAGGATAACTGGGGATCTGCTTAACCAAGGGTGCAACATGCCTAGTGCAGAATTTAATGATCTCCACCTTCAGAAACTTTCAAATACATGTATTGGTTAAACTAATAATTATAGACTGTTACTAAGTGACACTTTATCAGTCACAAATCTAATGTATTGAAACTGGAACCGTCAACCACAGCATAGCTAGATTTTGAAAGTTAATTCTCAGAAATATTAGGAGCAGCTCTGATGACTTACTCAATATAAAGCCGGGTCAGGCCGGGCGCAGTGGCTCATACCTGTAATCCCAGCACTTTGGGAGGCCAAGACAGGCACATCACTTGAGGTCAGGAGTTCGAGACCAGCCTGACCAACATGGTGAAACCCCGTCTCTGCTAAAAATACAAAAATTAGCCGGGTATGGTGGCGCATGCCTATAATCCCAGCTACCCGGGAGGCTGACGCAGGAGAATTGCTTGAACCCAGGAGGCAGAGGCTGCAGTGAGCCGAGATCACACCACTGCACTCCAGCCTGGGCAACAGACTCCATCTCAAAAACAAACAAACAAAAAAGCCAGATCAGGAGAAACGTCATCATTCTTTAGGAACTTCCACGGAACAATTCAATTTCTGCTACTTACAACCCTGTGCAGGCCCTTAGGTTTCAGCGACTGGGCCAGTGTGAAGCTGCTGCCAAGCATTTGAGCAGCAGGTCAGAGCGGACAGCAATGCTCACATTTGAAAATGTAATACCTTTTCTCAAATAGATTTCCCAGTGGCCTTTGGCTTGATTCAGATTTACATGGTGTTTACATACTGTTCTAAACATAGTAGCAGTATGAACAAAGGTATAAAAGCTGTAAAGTTCCTTCTTGTTAAGTAACCAAGCAAATCAAGAGCACATCCTGTTTAGGAAATAAGCCTAGAAAGCGAGGATGGGACCAGTCTGGAGGACTTTGAACACTGTCCTGAGATGTTTAGACTTATTCTGGAGGCTGTTTGGTACAGTTACAATGGGTGAACTTTATGGTATGTAAATCATACTTCAGTAAAGCTGTTGAAAGAAAGACTGGATAGTTGAAACTATTAAACATCCTTTTTTTTCCTAGTGTAAAACAGCAATAGTTACACAGTCCTAGGACATTTCTTTTGCTCAAAACACCTGAGCTTAAAATCTGTCTGAAGTCTTCATAAAATTAAAGTGTCCAGAAATTATCAAAGACTTTTATAAATGCCAACCAGTCATCAAGGGCCCAAAGCAAACATGAAAAATACAGATCTGTAGGCCACATGTAGTAAAAACCTTTGTTTCTTAGAGTCAGGCTGGTTGCTTTCCCTTCTGCCACCAGAGTAGTTATCTCATTGCGCTCTTAATTTACATTTCCCTAATGACTAATGATGTCATTTTCATGTGCTTATTCTATGTTTTCTTTGATGAAATGACTATTCAAAGCTATTGCCTTTTTTTTTTTAACTTTGGTTGTTTTCTTAATGAGTTGTAAGAGTTCATTATGTATTTTGGGTATAAGTTTTTTTTTTTTTTATCAGATACATGATTTGGAAATATTGTCTGCCAGTCTGTTGCTTTTCATTTACTTAGTTTTGGGTTGTTTTTTGTTGTTGTTGTTGTTTTTGTTTTGTTTTTTTCTGGGTTTTTTTTAGTGCAGAAGTATTTGTTTTTAATAGAATCCAATTTATCAGGGCATACTTTCTTTTATGTCTTGTGCGTTTGATGTAACGTATAAAAATTCTTTGCTAACTCAAGACATGAAGTCTTCTAGAAGTTTAGTTCTTAGATTAAGACTATGAGATATTTTGTTAATTTTTATATATGATGTGAGTTCATTACTTTGCATGTGGATATATTGTTGTCCCAGCACCAGTTGTTGAAAAGACTGTTCTTCCCACATTGAAATTTCTTGACACCTTGGCCAAAAATCAATTGACCACAAATATAAGGGTTTATTTCTGGACACTGAATTATCTCATTGATCGATGTGCCTATTCATATGTCTTGATTACTGTAGCTTTACAGTAAATTTTGAAATTAGTAAATTTTGAAGTACAGTAAATTTTGAAATCCTCCAACTTTTTTTGTTCTTTTTGATAATTGATTTGGCTATTCTAGGTCTTTTGCATTTCTTCTAGCATTTTGCATTTCTTCTAGCATGTTAATAGTTGCCTTATTAACAACTTTGAGTTGTTCAATTCATGAACATGGACTATCTATTTATTTAGATCTTCTTTAATTTCTCTCTGCAATGTGTTGTAATTTTTTCTTTGTACCAGTCTTACACTTCTTTTAGGTTTATTCCTGAGTATCTTAAAATTTATCCCTAGATATTTTTGTTAAATTTATTTCTAAGTATTTTAATTCTTTTTGATGCTATTGTGAGTGGAATTTGTGAATGGAATTGATTTCTTAATTTCATTTTTGGATTGTTCCTAAAATATAGAACTACAGTTGGTTTTCATATCCTCCGACCTTGCTAGCCTTATTTATTAGTTTTAGTTGTTTTTTTTTTTTTCAGTAGATTCATGAGGGTTTTCTGCATAGATAATTATGTCATTCACACATGAAAATAGTGTTATTTCTTCCTTTCCCATCAGTATTTCCTTTTTCTCTTTTTCTTGCCATTTTGCACTTGCTAGGACTTTTAGTACTAAGGAATGAGAAACTAATATCCTTGTCTTGTTTCTAATCTTAGGGAAAAAGCATTTAATCTTTCACCATTACATACAGTGCTCACTGTAGGCTTTTCAGGTTGAGGAATTTTACTTCTTTTCCTAGTTTGTTGAGAGTTTTTATCATGAATGGGTGTTTCATTTTGTCAAATGCTTTTTCTGTGTCTAGTGAGATAACTAGTGGTTTTTCTTTTTTCTCTTAATGTGATGTGTTTAATTGATTTTGGAACATTAAACTGTCTTGAATTCCTATGATAAATTCTACTTGGTCATGGCATATAATTTTTTAATGTGTTACCAAATGTGGCTTGCTAACATTTTGGTAAGGAGTTTTATACTATGATCATAAGGGATACTGGTCTGTTGCTTTCTTTTCATGTGTCGTGTTTCTTTCTTTTCTTTGTCGGGCTTTGATAACAGAGTAATACTGAACGCACAGGAATGAGTTGGGACATGTTTCTCCTTCTCTATTTCCTGAAAAAGTTTGTGAAGGATTAGTATTATTTCTCTTTTCAAATATTTGATAACATCCAGCAGTAAAGCCATTTGGACTTAGAATTTTCTTTGTATAGGAAGATTTTTACTTACTAATTCAGTTTCTCTATTATAGGTCGTTCAGACTTCATGTTTTTTCTTGATAGATTTGGCAGTTTATGTTCTTCTAAGAATTTTTCCCCTTCCTCTAATATGTCTGATTGGTTGGCAATTTTTTTTCCCAAAATATTCCATTAAAGCTTTTTTAGTTATCTGTAGGGTTGGTAGTATTGTACTATTGTCCCTTCTTGTATTCTTGATTTGAGTAACTTGTGTCTTCTCTTAGTTTCCTAGTCTTCTACCTGAGATAGAAGCTTAGGTAATTCATTTGAGACCTCTCTTCTTTCTGATGTAGGTAAAGCACTACATTTCCCTTAAAGCACCACTCTAGCTGCATCCTGTAATTTTTAATACATTGTGTTTTTATTTTTATAGTGTTAAAAAATTGTGTTTTTGAGGCAGAGTCTCACAATCACCCAGGCTGGACTGCAGTGGTACAATTATGACCCACTGCAGCCTCAACCTCCTGCATTCAAGTGATCCTCCTGCCTCAGCTTCTCAAGTAGCTGGGACTACAGGTGCACACCAGCATGCCTGGATAATTCTTTGTATTTTTTGTAGAGATGGGGTCTCACTATGTTGCCCAGGCTGGTCTTAAATTTCTGGGCTCAAGTGATCCACCACTTCAGCCTCCCAAAGTGCTGGGTTTATATAGGCATAAGCCACCATGCCTGGCCTGTTAAAAAAATTTTTTTAAATTTTTCTTATGATTTCTTCTTTGACCCTAGGATTGTTTAAGAGCATGTTTAATTTTCAAATATTTGGGGTTTTCTCAGATTTCTTTTTAATTCTGTCATTTTTTGCTTTCATATTTTGGGGCTTTTTTGTTAGATATGTATGCATTTATAATTATTATATTCAAAGAAGAAATAACATAATTCAATAATAATTGCAGATTTCAATATTCTGTCAAAAACTGCTAAAACTATTAGACAAAGTTAGGAAGGATATAAAATAGTTAAATAACGCTGTCAACCAGCTTGACCTAACTGACATTATGAATCTTCATAATCTTCTTTATAAGAATCTGCAGATACAGATTTTTTTCAGGCACACATGGAACAACCTCCAGGATAGACCACATGCTAGGACACAAAACAAGTCTCAATACATTTTAAAAGACCAAAATAATATATAGTGTGTTCTCTGACCACAACAGAATTAAATTAGATATCCACAGTAAGCCTGCTGTTTGTCTGGGGCCTGCTTCCTCTTGCTATAAAAGTAGTAAACAGGTCACATGTGGTGGCTCCTGCCTGTAATCCCAGCACTTTTGAGAGGCCGAAGTGGGTGGATTGCATGAGCTCAGGAGTTCAAGACCAGCCTGGGCAACATGGTGAAACCCCATCTCTACTAAAAGTACAAAAAATTAGCCAGGCGTGGATGTGCATGCCTGTGGTCCTAGCTGCTCAGGGAGGCTGAGGTGAGCCTGAGAGGCGGAGGCTGCAGTGAGCCATGATTGTGCCACTGCACTCCAGCCTGGGTGATAGAGCAAGACCCTGAATATGCAGGCATCCATCCTGGCCCCTCCGTATTGCCTTCATGGGACTTTGGGGGCATGGGAAACTGACCAAAACAAACGAGAAACTCTAGCTGCCTCCACTGCCATGAGTAATAAAGTTCTTTGTCTCTGATGCAGCACTTGTACCATCTGCCAGCACCCATGAATCAGTAATAAGCTAACTTGTTAGCTTATCAATAAGGTAAACTCTCAGATCCTGCTTAGTTCCTGACAGTTTCTTTAGTTCTTAGAATATATTTAAATAGCCACTTTGAAGTCTTTGTTAAATCCAGTATCTGAGGACATTCCAAGAAAGACATTTTGTAATGACTGCCTTTGTAATGACTGCCTTTTTTACCCCTTGATTATGAGTCACACTTTATTTCTTTGCATGTCTCTTCACTTTTGTTGAATATTGGATATTTTGGATAATAAATTGTAGCAACTGTGGATTCTGACTCTTCCTCCCACCCCCTAGCAGTTTTTCTTGTTTTGTTTGTTTAATAACTTGCCTGTACTAAATCTGTGATTTCTGCCTCTCCCAGGGTGTGCAACCACAGATGTTTTTGTTGAGTATTTAGTTTTGATTATCTTTTTATTTGCATTTTCTAAAAGTCTCTGTTTAGATTTTGCCCTGTGTCTGTATAGATTAGTGCTGAACCAAAGATTAGTCAGCAGTTATGCTCAAATACCTCAAGCCAATAAGCCTACCACTTTGAGCTGATGGGTCTTTGTGTGGTTTGGGGAGTGCATTCAAAATCTGGATTATTTTTTAGTTTGCCCAGCCTTTGCTTTCTACCGGGCTCTCTCAGTTGTCTTGTGAACACACACACACAGGTTTCATCTGCCGGGGGTGTGTGAGTGGCTTGGGCCTGCTGCAGTCCCTAGGGTACATACACATGGCCTTCAGTCAACCTAGGATATGTGCAGAGGTTACCAAGCCTTCTCACCACTTTCTCACCTCATGGAATACCTTGTTCCATGGCTAGTCTACCATCCATTGCTTGCCTCAATGAGATACAACCTCAGGCCAGCAGAGCACTGGCCCTTCCTATTCACTTGCCACCAGGATTGCTCCTCTAATTGACAACACTCCATATCAAATGAGCTCTTCTGGCAACAGCAGCAAAGCCACTGGTTTGTAGGGCCTGCGCTAGCCTGGTTGAACAATCACTCTAGCAGAGCTAGAGGGGGATGCCTCAGACACTGTTTGTGTGTGAAGTCTGGTAATTTTCATGAACAGATGCTTCTCAGCTTGTTATATGTCTTTGGTCAGTTTCCAGTTTTTGACAGTTTTTTTCCGCTTTATAGTTGCTTTGGGGGAAGAGGATTTGTCAGTCTCAAACCATCATGCCAGGAGTCTAAAGTCCCAATCTACATCATCTTGCCATTGATGCTAGTGTAACTTAACTGCCTGTTTGATACTCTGTGATAACATAAGTTGCTTTCTCTTACCTGCTCAGCTAGGATATGGAACAGCAGCAATAGAATCAACCTGGGGAAAGCTGATAGAGAACACTGGGGCCACAGTGGGCATGGATTTTTCCCATGGTTAATTAGGAATGATTTACAATGATCAGGCATTTTTTATACTTTTATTCCCTGTATAACTAATAAAACATTTGCTTTACAAATGGTATATCATTATATAAATGTTATTTATATACACTTTGTGTCAACCAAAGAGATTAAAATATTGCCTTTTGTAATGAGATTCTAGAAACATTGTCTTCATCGTACTCATGTTCTCCCTGAATTTCCTTCCATTTATTAATTCAATAAATGTACACTTGGTTATCTAAAGTATACAGAGGCATGTTGAGTGATTCCCAGATGAAATTGATACATATTTTGTCCTTAAGGAGCTTATAGATTCGTGGAAGTAATACAATGTAAACATGAAAAATGGAAATAGGGTGTGCTGGATGCCGTTAAAGAGTTATAGATCTGTGCTATGGAAGTTCAGTAGGGTAACTGAGTTTTCCCTATCTAAGTGATTCTGTTATCACTCATTACTCCCATCACCTCGTCCTCCCTGCTTGCATTCCCTCCCCAGCTGCTTTCCTACTGAAATCCTTATGTTGTTACTCATTCAAGCTAGTCATAGTAAATAACATGTACGCAGAGCTTCCACATGCACTTTTCTTGTTTGGTATTTGTCTGGTTCATATCAGCTTGGGGTTTAGGTAGGGAGCATTATTATTCCTAATTTACAGATAAGGAAACTGACATCAGAGTGATTTACCCAACCTCGCATATTAGAAGAGTCAAGTTTTGAACATAAGTCTTTGTACTCGAAGTCCTGGGCTCTTTCCGGTATGCTCTGCTGCCTCTCACACAGCAAACTTTCTCTCCTCTCTAGCCAGTAGATAGTTGGGAAGAATTAAGTTTGGTGAGTTGGGTCAGAATTGGAGGCAGCTTAGTGTGTTTCTAGATGGACATGCAAATGAGGCTGCAAAGCAAGACTGTTCAGGCTACTTTTTGAATCATTTCCCAATAAGGGTTTTTAATGACTTTTAATTTTACAATAATCGGAGATCCATATTTTCATTTGCATCTCATTTATTCCATAGGTGTTGAATTGTGACTTTAAACACAGCATATTCAAAACCAAATTCATAATCTCCCCCTCAATCTGTTGTCTTCTCTGTTAATGACACCTCAGGCTCCACAGTCTCCTAAGCTAGTAACTTGGAAGTCTTTGACTCCTTCCTAACCTTTATCTCAGCATCTAATCCTATCGTTTCCAGCCTACCTCATAGGGTTATTGTGTGAGTAAACTGACAAAATATATAAAGACAAACTCTGAAAGCTGTGAATGAGAGGTATTTATTTCCTCTAAGGCAGTGCATCTGTTGATGTGTACAGTACTACAAGGCCTCAGCAACCATTCAGAGTTAATGTTTTGTAGTGTTGACACTTGCTTTAGTGAAGCATGTACTTAACGTCGGGGCTAAAACTGCATTATCTTACATTCTTATAACAATCTGCACTCTTAAAAGCACTACCAAGGGAGGAGAAAAAAAAAGGGAGCATGAGAGAGAACAAGGCTCTCTTTTGTGATTTGCACAAGAACTGGAAGTCAAGTTTTCAGACTCTGCTTGGCTATATCCAGAGGTCTTTTAAACTGAAAACCAAAGTTGATTTTATTAATACCACTCCACCACTCATTCTCTGTGACCTAGGGCAAGTGATTTAGCAATGTCAGTCTCTACATATAAGTTAGAGATAATGATTGTACCTATTTTATAGAGCTGCTGTAAGGATTGAATGATCTATATAGAGAGCCAGAGTGCCATATGTAAGGTATTCAAGAAGTGGTAGCTATTGGATTACTCTTCTCCCTTTCCACCTATCTAGAGATTTTAGGTTGGTCCTCCTTTGCCATTTCCCTGAGATAGATAATTTATTTCACGTGGCGTATTTATTTAGACTGCATCACATTACACTCTCGCAGTTCACAGACATTTCCAGGAGGTTGTTGCTCCACCACTTCATTCAAAACTAGGTTCACGGTTTTCATGTTTTCCTCTCTACATCTCTCCTACTAATTTCCCTTTTAATGTTCGAACATGATTCTGATGAAGTCTTTCAGTTAAAAATTGTGAGATTAAACTTGTACTCTCTAACTCCGAAGTGAAAGAGATTTTAGGTTCAATATTAGGAATAAAATTCTACTATCAGGACTGTTGTTTTTGTTTTTCATCAGTAGCATGGGCTGCCTTGGAAGTTATGAAGTTACCCATGGCTACCGCTATACAAAAGTGGCTTTTGACTAGCAGCTTTGCCTCGCCACTGCTTCCTTTCTCCCATCCAGTCCTTGAGGTCTGCAAGCTGTTTCAGTATACATCGCAGTGAAGAGTGTAACAAACAGATTAGCTACCTGACTTGCAATTTTTTGGCTTTGGAATTTTTGGTTCAGGATTTTATACTGTCCTAGCTAAATGAATTGACAAAACAGCAAGGTATAACTTACAATGAAGAAGTTTATCAACCTTCCCCCGCAGGATTACCAAATACAGAGGTGCAGGGTTTAATATTAGACTAAAGTTGAAGATGTGGCCCTCAATTCTCCTGCAAAGGAGCTCTGCAGTGAAGTCACAATAGCCATGAGCCTCTCAGTGTAACTAGGGTCATCCATACTATTCCATATGTTAAAGTAGAAGAAAATAGTGAAGTCTTGTCATTTGCAAGACTTTTATGCAAAGTTTGACAGATGTTGCATGCTGCTTTCAGGATTAAGAAAATTACATGGGCACTGCTGTGCCTTCTGTGAGAAGTTTTATTCTCAGCTGTCACCCTCCTTGTCCCTTGCCCATAACCATTATAGTGGCCAGAAAGTCTGCTTGCTCTACAGTGATGTGTTTTGAATAGTGCCCATTAGTTTTCAGTAGTTACCCTGGCCTGCATGTTAGCCTTCAGTTTAATGGCCTTTTTTATGTTCATTCATTTTATTTTATTTCCCATCGTGGTTTTGTTTATTTCTTTTTTGTTTTTTGTTTTTTCTGTTCTCTTTTTTAAAACCGTCGTGGTTTGCCCTTCATATTCCCCAATGTTTGCACATGACAAGATGTTGCCATCCCAACATTACCTCCCACTTCACTGACCAGTGCCACTACTGACCATCTAGCACCAGCCACAACGGGACCACTGCCTTCAGCTCCTCGGGATGTCGTGGCCTCCCTGGTCTCTACCCGCTTCATCAAATTGACGTGGCGGACACCTGCATCAGATCCTCACGGAGACAACCTTACCTACTCTGTGTTCTACACCAAGGAAGGGATTGCTAGGTAAGTGCCTGTGTGTCTGCAGCCAGTTGGCTGCCTCTTGGTCACGGCAGCCTTGTCATGCTCACCCTGGCTCTTGGTATCTGTACCAATTTTTAGTCCAGAAAATAAGATCACTGAGATGCACCTTCCCTAATTTTAGGTCATTAAATAAACTCCCAAACAGACTAAAGTCCTGGTAGTCTCTCCTTTTCTGGGATGACTTAGGGAGAGGGTAGATACAGCTATTGAGGTGGACGTATTTAAATGTAAGAAGGAGTGCCCTTTTTTCATAAGATTCAGTCAGTATAAATTCTAGAGATTAAGGTAGACTTAATTTATTAAAGTAAACTTAAATGAATATTTGCCACACCCTTATGTGGTGTGGGCTGCGGAGCTCCAGGGGTTCTCCTTGATGGAATAAGAGTAGTTAGTGATGACTTTTCCTAAAATAGCATTTTCATTACATTCCTCTTCATTTCCACCCCCTCAGGAGCTCACATTGCTCATAGGGGAAGATCTATAATGTCCAGGCTGCTTTGTGCCACAGGCTGGCTTCACTTTATCTGTCCAACTTGCTTTTCCTTTTTCCCCAATGTAACTGACTTTCTAGTGAAACCAGTCTAATCACTATAGCCTTTTTTTCCAGTGTGTCCTCTTCAGTCACTTCTTGCCCCTTTCTCAGCTGAAGGTAAATTCAGTTAATCCTTCTTGGCCCAGGTTAAGCCCCATGAAGCTCTCAAAGATCTTTACCCACCTTTTCAGCACATAGAGCATTTCCCTTGTACGTGTATTTGTATCCCTAATATTGGCACTTGATTATGGTAATATGTGATATTTTACTACCTTAAGCTGTTATTCTTCAATTATGTTCTATGTATTTGTGCTGTTTTCCCAACCAGATTATAAACTCTTTGGAAGGAACCATGCCACATGCTGACTGTTCACACATTGCCGAGTAGTAAATTCCTTCACTGTGCTCTTCCAACCAGAATAAGAAAGCTAAGATACGTGTTTTAGTAGGAGCCCTAATACATCAGCTAAAGCTTGTATTTCCATTAGCATGCTTATAGTTGATGTACATTGTAGTTAATACCAGACTGGCAAGTTTAGCAAGTGCAGGACCCTTTCTTTAATACTCTCAAGAAGTCTAAGTGGCATAATTTAACACCAACAGATGGGAGTTACCTGAATGCTATACTGTGTGTTTTGAGTTTTACAAGGGTAGAGAAACATAGTTCTATACATAAAAAAAGGTAAGACATTCCTACCAAACAGCAAGTTTCAATATCACCATTAAAATATCTTCAATAGACTTTGAAATCTCATTGAAAATCTCATAAGCTTTCACAGAAGGAAGAAACCATTTAGTAATTCTGCGTAATAAGCTTTATTTCTGCAGTAGGTTTTTTGCTCTTATTGTGCGTTCTACCAGAAATGCATTTTCCTCACATGAGTTACATCTGGCTTCTTATCTATCATCTTTAGATGACATCTCCTCAGGCCTTCCCTGAATACCAACCCAAACTTAGCCCCTCGGTGACTGTCACACAGTGGGGTATCAGAGCCAGCCTGTTCCCAAGCTAATTGTTAAATGCTCGGGAAATTTTGCAAACCTAATGACATGACTTGGCAGCTTGAAATTGGGCATGGTGGGAGTGTTTACAGTGACAAATGCTGCAAACCAGAGCCAATTGTTAAACATTCACCAGAACACCACTGCTGTCACATCACCCTATTTTTTGGTATGTGTGTGGTATTTTTTTGTTTGTTTCGCTTTTAGTTTGGGTTTTTTTTTTTTTTTTTTTTTTTTTTTTTGAGAGCACTTACTACTCTCTGAAATTTTCTCTTTTATTAGCTTATTTATTCTGTCTGTCTTGTTCAATAAAATTCTCCAGCACCTGGAACAGAGCCTGGCATTTAGTAACACTCAGTAAATATTTATTAAGTTAATACATTAATTTCAATTCGTGGAGAAATAATAGATAATTCAAGTAATCATGTTGAGATTGATTATCCATTTGGTGGGAAAAATAAAAGTTATGTCTCTGTCTTAAATTATAGATGGATTAAGAGATAAATATTTTTAAAATCTATAAATATATTAGAAGAAAATATAGAAATGATTTTTATCATTTGGAGAACAGGAAAGGGCTTTTAAAGGGAGATAGCAAATCCAGAAGCCATAACAGGAAAGAGTAACAAAGTTACAAATTATAAATAAAAGATATCCCAAGAGACAAATAATACAAGCAGATGATTCATAGTACTGGAAAGCCCATTAGAGTTAAAAAAAGGTTTTCACCATCTCAGGCGATCTTGGAAGCAAAATGATGGGGGTTTTTTTGTTTGTTTTTATTTTGTTTTGTTTTGTTTTGTTTTGGAGACAAAGGTCTCGCTGGGTCACCCAGGCTGGAGTGCAGTGGCACTATATTGGCTCACTGCAGCCTCCGCTTCCCAGGTTCCAGCGATTCTCCTGCCTCAGCCTCCCAAGTAGCTGGAATTACAGGTGCCTGCCACCATGCCTGGGTAATTTTTGTATTTTTAGTAGAGATGGGGTTTCACCGTGTTAGCCAGGCTGGTATCGGACTCCTGACCTCAGGCGATCCACTTCAGCCTCCCAAAGTGCTGGAATTACAGGCATGAGCCACTGTGCCTGGCCAAGTTATCATTTTTCATCTATAAAGCTGGCAAAAATTTTAAGTTGATAATATCCAGTGTTCAATGAGTTGACAGCTAGGAGGAAAACCACTCTAGGTTATTGGTGGCAGTATAAATTAGAATAGTCTAGGGAAGGTGATTTGGCAGAATTTTAAAATATTTTAAATATACATAGCCTTCCATCACACTTCTAGGTAACTGTCCTATAGACATACAGATATATGTATGCATTGGGCCCTCATACAAACACGTTTATTTATAGCATTGTTTGCAAGATTATAAAAGGAGACTATGTAAATATCCACTGATAGAAGAATGGGCACCTAATATACAATCGTGCATCACATAACAACGCTTCAGTCAGACAGACTGCGTATACAATGGTGATCCCATAAGATTATACCACTGTCTTTTTACTGTACCTTTTCTGTGTTTAGACACATAGACACTTGCCATTGTGTTCGCATTGCCTACAGCGTTCAGTACAGTAACATGCTGTGCAGGTTCGTAGCCTAGAAGCAATAGGCTATCCCATACAGCCTAGGTGTGTGGGATATACACCTAGCTATACCATCGAGGTTTGCATAAGTGCATTCTGTGATGTTCACACGATGAAATCACGTGATGCATTTGTCAGAACATATCCCTGTTGTTAAGCAGTGCATGACTGTATGTATACCCGTAAGTATGGTGGCAGCAGTTTTTTTTAAATGACCTGTCTGTATATTTTGATGTGTATGTAAATGCCTAAAGCAGTGATCCTCAACCAGGGACAGTTTTGCCCCCTCATCCCTCGGGATATTTGGCAATGCCTGGTACAGCGTCAGTAAGTACCAGTAGAGGTACTTACTGACATCTAGTGGATAGAGGCCAGGGATGCTGATGAACATCCTGCCATGCACAGGACAGTCCCACAACAAAGAATTATCCTGCCCAATGTCTCAGTAGTGCCAAGGTTGAGAAACCCTGGCATGGAGACTGTCTGGTGAGATATGCGTCAATATGTGCCACAGTCAGCTCTCAGGGCAGGACAGGTTTTGACAAAAGAGAATTGAGACTTATTTTTTTTTAACTGTGTGTACTTTTATATTTAAATGTTTTCAATGAGACACACTTATTTAAATTTTATGATAGATTGTGGGTTGGAGTAAGCAGGAATGATTAGTAAATTAATTTGTAGTTGGAAGAGATACAGAAGTTGAGTTGGCAGGGGCAGGTGGGCATGACTAGTGTATGTAAAGGAAGAGGAAGTGCAAGGTAAGGCCATCTGTGTGTATGCTGTGAGAAGGATGCAAAGGCAAGAAAGCTGGCCAAACTGGCCCAGAGCTTTTGGCAGAAATTAGTAAGAGATTAGAATAAAGTGGACGTTTGGAGCCAGATGCTGGAATGCCAGTGAGAATTTGGACATAATCAGATAAGAAGGGACCATTTTTGACTGTTAAGAAAGTTGTACACTGTGATTTTATTAAACAGTACTTTGGGAACACTACCCAAGATTAAAGGAGAGAAAAAATAGAGTCAGGGAGACAAAATTGGGTAGTAATTATGTTAGCCTAGATACGTGCTAGTCGTCGGCTTGGATGAAGATGAAAGCAGCGACTTGAAGTGGATAGGACAAATTTGGGAAATATTTAAAAGGAAGATTTTGGGAGACCATAATAGTTTTTTGTTGCTTCATTACTTTATGATTTCTGAATAGAGGCAATGAAGGAGAAGTTAATTTTTTTAAGTCGTAAGACTATATCCTGGCTAATTGTTACATAAACAAAACTTTCTTATTAATCTTATCGGCTTAAATTTTCTCATCTAAAAAACAAAAGTAATATATTTACTTCACAGACGTGTGGTAAGAATTCAATGTGAGAATGTATGCCACTACCTGCATTTACAAATTCACCCACTTCCTGCATTTGAAAATTCAGCCACCAGGTGGCACCATATGCCTTGGTCATGAGCTGTAATTCTTATGGGTACCTGAGTTGCCAGAGATTTCAGAGGGTCCTTCCTCTCTGCCTTTTCAGCTATGAAAATTTCATCTTTCTTAAAAAAGCAGTACTTTTCTATATTAACCATTAAGTGGGAAGTGGAAAGTAAGGTATTTCTGCTATTCATAGCACTTTAAAGTTGGATTGAAGCCTTAGAGATCTGTTAGTCTAGTCAAGGGGTTAGCAAACCATGGACCCTGTGCCAAATTGGAGCAATTATTTATTTTTATGGCCCCGGAGCTAAGAATAGTTTTTACATTTTTAAATAGTTACATTTGAAATGTTACATAGGTAACTATATAATATCCTCCATTTTGCCTCTTGGCCTATAAATATTTACTACCAGGCCCTTTAAGAAAAAGTTTGCCCACCCTGTCTCATTTTTTCGTTTAATACATAAAGAAAGTGAGGCCCAGAAAGCATTAGTGACTTTTCCTCACAAGCTAGTAGCATTGCCAGAACTAGAATTGCATCTCCTAACTTCCAGCCCAGTGCTTTCTTTCTATAAAGTGTGCCCTTTTCTTTCCCTTTTGATTCTTAGCTTTCACATTCTAACCTGAGTCCCACTGTAACCCCACACACTTAAGAGAATTGTTGTTTCAAATGCTCCTTGAATCTTATCCCAAAACCAAGGGTGGTTTTTCTGCACAGTAACTTGTTTCTGGGACCTCAGACCAATAGTGTCAGATCACCTATGACTGATTTTTTTTAATGGTAATGCTTCTATAGAAATTTGATGTGGGTATTAGTAACCTTCACTTATTTCTCCCATTTTTTCCCTTTCACATAGAAGCAAACAAAAAATATATATATGATATTAGTATACAAGATTTACATATCAGAAGGCAGATTTTCGTTTATTCATTCAATGTATGTTTGGGATGCAGCTTCCCTGTATGAGCATTCTGCTACGTGCTTCTGTCGTACACGAACATGAATGAGACAGTCTTTTACTTCAGTTTGAAGTAAAATAGTCCCCCTCCTGTGTCTTTCTAGAAGAAAACTTGTTTCAACTTTCCTGTGTGGGGTGAACAAAAGAGACCTGATCTGTACTCTCTCAGAGAGCCTTTAGTTTAGTGTAAAATACAATACAGTTGACTCCCCAGAACTTAACCACTAGTAGCCTACTGTTGACTGGAAGCCTTGCCAATAACATCAACAGTCTGTTAGTACATATTTTTATGTTATATGTATTATATACGGTATTCTTGCAGTAAAGTAAGCTAGAGAAAAAATGTTATTAAAAAAATCATAAGGGACCAGGTGTGGTGGTTCATGCCTATAGTCTCAGCACTTTGGGAGGCTGAGGCGGGTGGATCGCCTGAGGCCAGGAGTTTGAGACCAGCCTGGCCAACATGGCAAAACTTTGTCTCTACTAAAAATACAAAAATTAGCCGGGCGTGGTGGTGTGCACCTGTAGTCCCAGCTACGTACTGGAGGCCAGGGCACAAGAATCCCTTGGACCCAGGAGGTGGAGGCTTCAGTGAGCCAAGATCACACCAGAGCACTCCAGCCTGGGTGACAGAGTGAGACCCTGTCTCAAAACAAACAAACAAAAAAATCTTAAGAGAAACTATTTATTGTACATTAAGTGAAAGTAGATGATCCTAAAGGTCTTCACCTTCAGGTTGAGTAGACTGAAAAGGAGGAAGAAGAAGAAAAGGGGTTGGTCTTATTGTCTCAGGAGTAGCAGAGGCAGAAGAGGTGGAGGAAATGGAAGCAGGGCAGGAAAGGCAGGCGCACTCGGTGTAACTTCTGTTGAAAAATATCCGCTTATACGTGGACCTACACAGTTCAAACCTGTCTTGTTCAAGCATCAGCTGTACTTCCCTTTAAGACAGGGATCATCCATGATCAGACCAAGTGTCAGAAACCTTAAATTGTAAGAAATCAGTTGATCCTTCCTTATAAATCCTGTGATTGAGAGATTTAGCCGAAGAGAAAATAGTATTAGGTATCTCAAGTATCTCTGAAAAATAATTTTTGTTACTACAGTATTCTTTTCCAGGGGACCTAGCTGATTATAGAGAAAAAATCCTCTGTAAATATTGTGTGGGTACTATTGTTGGATTTTTTAATTAAAATAAAGTAACTTAAAAGAACTATAGAAAATTACCAAAAAGCACTTCTCTGCAGTGCAAATGCTCACAATCAGACAAATTGGCATATGGTCATGTAGACCTACACAAATTTTAATCTGCAATTTGAAGGCAAATTATCAGTATTTTAAAGTAAGAATTTTAATTCAATAAATTAGAATAATTTCTTCAATGGAGTAGTTTGAGGCTCTTTAATTACTTTCTCAAGACAGGTATAGCTGTTTCCTCACATGAATGACAGTTCCTAAAAGCCAACTGTTTGTCTAAAACAAATTCCTTCACAATATTTGTTGAAAACTCTTGATTATGCAGTCTGGTTTTCATTCTAGTGAGTACAGTAGACTGAGCATGTTTGTGGACCTGTGTTGGTCACACAGACCCCAAGACAGAACCTGGAAGCCACCTTTAGTAAAGAACCTAGATAACTGGTTTTAAGCTTTCATCTCATGATATTAAATACTAGACCGCTGGATTTGAGTTGTTTGTGATAAAGTTTGTCAAACATTTCATATCATTTCATATCAGCTTCAAAATCAATGAAGTGTTAATTTTAAGAAATTATAAAAATCAGTATTGTAATCAGTTTATTTTATAGACTGGGTTACACTTAGGATTTATTTAAATGTTTTATGTTTTTATTTCCAATTTTAAAAGATGATAACCTCTAGCATTCTTTTTATTGAGAGTCTCTTAGCCAAAATATACACAGCATTCTTTGATATTTTCTGTGAAATATCATTAGGTCATACCAATATCCACCTTCCATCAATTTCCCTAAAACTCAGTGATTTCTAAAGCCTAGAAAGTTGATGACTAGCTGCCCCATTTGAAATGGCATTGAGAAGAGCCCTGTGTCTTCTCTGAAAGGAAGTTGTGATTATGGTCAGCGATATCAGTAACATTTCAGCAAGAACATCACTGATTTGTCAGATACGTATGCCCTTGCTCTTTTGCCAGTCCCCATCTTCTTTGCACTGTCCTACCCCCAAAAGCTTCATTGTTTGAGAGCTAATTTGACTTACACTGATAGATTTTTATGTGGAGTGGAAAATGAAACTGTACATTCTGGAAGTATTCCTAATTAATGCTATCTCTCTCCAAATCCTTTGTCTAAAGGGAACGTGTTGAGAATACCAGTCACCCAGGAGAGATGCAAGTAACCATTCAAAACCTAATGCCAGCGACCGTGTACATCTTTAGAGTTATGGCTCAAAATAAGCATGGCTCAGGAGAGAGTTCAGCTCCACTGCGAGTAGAAACACAACCTGAGGGTAAGTCTTCCACCTGTCTGTCAGCACCCCCTAGAGGTAGACCTCTCTGAAGTTCTACCTTTGTTTAGCCTTGCACACCATAGGGGAGCAGAAGATAACAGTTCCTTACTTTCGGGGTCCTTATCAATTAGGGGAGGCAAAATTAATTTACATCAAAAAACAGCAAGTAGGGCTGGGTGTAGTGGCTCATGCCTGTAATCCAAGCACTTTGGGAGGCCGAGGCAAGCAGATCACCTGAGGTCAGGTTTTTTAGACCAGCCTGGCCAACATGGTGAAACCCCATCTCTACTAAAAATACAAAAATTAGCCGGGTATGGTAGTGGGTGCCTGTAATCCCAGCTACTCGGGAGAATAGCTGAGGCAGGAGAATCACCTGAACCCAAGAGGTGGAGGTTGCAGTGAGCTGAGATTGCACCACTGTACTCCAGTCTGGGTGACAGAGTGAGACTCTGTCTCAAAAAAAAAAAAAAAAAAAAAAAAAAAAACAACAGCAAATAGTATAAGACAATATACTTCTGTTGGTGCTTTTCTACGTGTTCATATTTTACTGACCCTTTAAGACTTAGCTCAGATGCCTTCTAGAATCTTTCCTCTGATTCTAATATTGTTATCTCCACAGTCTAAGATATTTATCACGTTTTTCCTTCAGTTATGATTATGAACTTACCTTGCTGATTTTGTAGCAAAGACAGAGCCTTTGTCATCCTTACATTTCCCACAGTGTCTAATGTAATGCCTTGCACATGAAGAAGGTATTTAATAATTGTTCTTAACTGGATTGTCTGTCTTTAGGCATACCATGCTCTTTAGAATCTCCTTGAGGCTTTATTTTGGACCTGTGGTCTTTCGTGCTAAATAGGGTTACTTCTAATTACATTTCTAAGATTTTCAGTGACGTGAGTGTCAATCAGGTTTATTTATATTATAAATGTGTTGTATATCTTAAGTTTGGATTGTAAACTAACTATAGGACCGAAATTACAAGCAGCCAGATCTTAATAAATGCTTTTCCTACTTGAGGCTTTTGTCTAGACTTTTGCTTTCTTTTAACACAAATTACTGTTTTTCCTCAGTGTATTCTTTTTTTTTTTTTTGAGGCGGAGTCTCGCTCTGTCGCCCAGGCTGGAGTGCAGTGGCACAGTCTCTGCTCACTGCAAGCTCTGCCTCCTGGGTTCACGCCATTCTCTTGCCTCAGCCTCCTGAGTAGCTGGGACTACAGGTGCCTGCCACCATGCCTAGCTAATTTTTTTTTTTTTGTATTTTTAGTAGAGACGGGGTTTCACTGTGTTAGCTAGGATGGTCTCAATCTCCTGACCTCGTGATCCGCCCGCCTCGGCCTCGCAAAGTGCTGGGATTACAAGCATGAGCCATCGCACCCGGCCACCTCAGTGTATTCTTCAGTCTAATTTTATTATTAACAGCATTAGTTTTTCTGTATTAAAAACCTCCAGTAATAATAAAATATTTTACTTTGGGTAGAGAGTATTTTAGATATATTTGTAGAGGCTACTGACCAGGCAGCTGAACAGAATAAATGACTTTACCAGTGGAACTATAGAAATAATTTAAGAACTTTACCTGACGGGTAGAATAAGTGAAGAAGCTGTAGAACTTCACTTTCTAATGCTATGGCATATCATTCACCTGTCAAATATTTATTGAGTATCCCCTATACTGGGTAATGTGCAAGATACTGGAGATGCAAGGATGAACAAGCTTGGTCTTCTTCCCTTAAAGAAGGAGCAGGCAAGGTAGGAGACCTTTCATCATTTCAGTGACAGAGATTGAAGATAAGAATCAAACCCAGGCAAGAACAAGAGGGCCATCACAGAGTCAGGGGGTTGATTTAAGGGAAGAGTGTGTTCTCATTACAGGCAGAATGTTGAATTTTACAGTTACCTATGTTCAGACAAGAGCAGGAATACTCTATTAGGTTTCAAGCTCAGTTACCCTTCATCAGCTTTCATATAGAGGCATCATTCATGAGAGATACTAGGATACAGAATAGAGAAAACTTACTGTAAAAGATAGAAAAGTCAAGGCAGGATCCTAGGGAAAGATGAGACCTGAGGCTGGCCTTGAGGCATTTGACTTAGAGCAAGCATTTTGTGGGAAGGAATTTGCATGACCCAAATCCCAGAAATAGAATCTAACAGTGCACATGCAAGGTAAGTCATGACAAAAATGAAGGAAATGCAAGGGTCCTATCCTGAGGCTGTGAACCTTCTGAAACTGCATGAAAATAAATATTTGTGTCTGTACATATTCACATTTCCCTTGGAAAGGATCTGTAGTTTTCATTGTCATTTCAGAGCTCATACATCAGATTGTTGAGAACCACTGCGAGGGTCATTGTCAAATTTAGAGATGAAAGAAAAGGGGTGAAGAAGAGTGGATTTATTGAGTGCCCACCATGTGTCAGCCACTGTGTTAGGCAGTCAGGATGTAAAGATGAGTAAGACTTGACTTCTGTCCACAAGGAGCTTACGGTCTGGTACCATAGACAACAGTGTGATGTGTTATCACCTTAAGGAAAATAGGCAGCATAACCATTTATTCAAGGAGTTTGGCTAAAAGAAAATAGTTGTAAGAATGTAGGTAGAAAAGGCAACAGGTTCTGGTGAGGGTATTTTAGGGATGGAGAAGAGACTATAACATGTTTTGGCAAAAGAGAAGCAGTTTCTGAAGAGAGATTTGGATTTCATCTGGAGGTGTTCAGCTTGTGTGGGGGAGGCATAAATGTTGGAACCAGCCCTTGGAAAATATTTTACATATTTAGTTTCACAAACCAACTTAACATTTTTTCCATTTATTATGCCACTGTACAGCTGAAATGAAAGAATTCATTAGCACCTTTTTTAGGATCATATTTGCCTACACTTGGCCAATGAATATATTGAAAATGATTTCAAGAGAATTTAGGGACTGTTTTGTTTTTCTTCTCCTTTAATAAGTTAGAGGAAAGTTTTCCATAGCAGCAGAAGTGTGACAAATCCCACCTGTCAGGCTGCACAAAATATGCCCTTAACTGAAGTGAATAACGTGATTCATAACTAAAGCAAACAACTGTTAGAGTAACCATATTCAGATTTCTCTACTTTGATAGCAAAATTAATCTTAAGCTGTGGTGCTGTTATTCAGGAAAGCCAGTGTGTTTTACATTTTGTTAGCTTTTTTTCCCTTCCCAGTTTTTAAATCTAATGAATGTCTATTACAGAAACACTAGTGCCAGAGAAATTGTTTTCAAATATAGAATGTCTACCAAAGTGTAGGCATAGACAGCCACACAGGATTTGTGTATAAATTGGAACTGGAACCTGTCAGTCAGACAAAAATAATACAGTAAAAGGGTAGGTGTGTGAGCCATTGTAGGAGATAGAGCCAGCTAGACACTTAAGCAGTCAGCCAGTGATCCAGTCTTCCAGTCACATACATCCTATCGTGGGTATTGTAGTAATCTCCTTACGGGTCTTCTTGAGCCCACGTTTTAGAATCAGCAAGTACTCGACTCCTGGGTCCACCGCTAGCTAACTTTCCCATCACTTGGGAAAGATTGTTAACTTCATAACCTCACCTGTAAATGAGGGTGATAATATTCATCTCACTTGGTTTAGTGCAAAGATTATATGAGAAAATACATGTCAAGTATTTAGTGCTTGACTGACTGTAACCATTCAATAAATGGTAGCTGTTTTACAATTATTATTATTTTATCTAGTCTTGTTCTTTTACTGTTTTTCTTCCATGCATGTGTTCACATGTCCTTTCTAAACACAGATCTGATCATATCATGCTCCTGCTCATAATTTTTCAGTAGTCACCTAACACCTACTAGAGAAAATGTGAGCTTCAATAGCAGGACATTAGAGGGTTCTTCACTATCTGACTAGTCATTGTTTTCAACATTCTCTCTCCCATATCCACTCTGTTTCAACCAAGCTGAACCACTTAACACTGTCTTTTTGTATATTCTCCCTATTGACCCCATTGACTGGAATGATTTTCCCCTTGGTATCTGAGGAAAGTGTTCATTTTGCTTGACTCCAAGAATTCTTCATCAAAGGGGTTTCCCTCCCAAACCCCTCCCAAAGCAGAATTGTGTGCTCTCATCTTTCTGTTTTTGTTATAACCGTTACCTAAATCTGTTAGCACTTACGACATTTTTTGTAACTGTTTATATGTCTGACTTTCCTGCTAGACTGGGAGTTCTTTGTGGGCAGGATTCTATTCATCACTGTATCCCTAGTGGCTACCACAATGCCCGGCAAAAGAAGGATCTCTTTCTGTGGTGGTTGCCTTTTATGTCTTGTGTAGGCCCACTGCAAAACTGGGATTTTATAAATCACAAGGAAAGTTTTTCAGTGTAATTTCTGGTTTTGATTTGAATCATAAAAAGGAAAATGTGTTTATATATTATTCTAAAACCACTTCAATCAAATCCATTGTTTTCTTAGCTTCTATTATTTTAAAAACGTGGCCAATATGACAGTATTGCCAAGAATGGTTATTGAGGAGTGTAGCATTTCATTTATATCTTGCTTTCTCGAACTTTTCTTTCTAGTTCAGCTCCCTGGCCCAGCACCTAACCTTCGTGCATATGCAGCTTCGCCTACCTCCATCACTGTTACGTGGGAAACACCAGTGTCTGGCAATGGGGAAATTCAGAATTATAAATTGTACTACATGGAAAAGGGGACTGATAAAGAACAGGTATGAAGTGAAGCAACTTTTCAAACCATTGATTGGAATAGTAGAGTTGAAATATATTTCCAAAACTCAGTAGTTGCTTGACTGGAAATGTGAGGGGGAAAAAGAAACATAGGAAATGAAAAGTTGACAGATTCTATTTCTTTGTACCAAGATTTATTGTGTAGTTTTTACCAGCAGTGGTCAGTGAACATCAAGCAGTATTTCTAAGTAAATTGTCAATTTATGATTCATCTGCTTTGACTATTGAAGAACCTTATGTAGAAGGGATAAAATCTGTTTCATGTAGAATATAGAATTTGTGTAGCTAATTCTTTAATTTTCAACTTTTCTTTTGGCTTGAGTGCATATGTATAAAGTGTTTTATTTTATTCAAGGATGTTGATGTTTCAAGTCACTCTTACACCATTAATGGGTTGAAAAAATATACAGAGTATAGTTTCCGAGTGGTGGCCTACAATAAACATGGTCCTGGAGTTTCCACACCAGATGTTGCTGTTCGAACATTGTCAGATGGTGAGTCTTTCTTCCTCTGGAACGATATACCACACTTGGTGCCCCTAGTGGTTTAGTTGTAAGATCATGAGCTTTGATGTCTAGAAGATTCAGTTCAAATCCCAATTTTACCTCTTTCTGGTAATATGACTTTAGTCAAGTCTGAACATCTTTTTTCACGTGTAAAATGTAGATAATACCAACTTCATTGAGTTGCTGTAAAGATTCAGTGAGAAAGCATAGAGCATAAAGTGCCTCTTACTGGATAGGCTCTCAGCGTTTGTGTTTTTAGCAGAAGCTTTTGTGTAAGTAAATACTATTGCTTGTTCATAACACAGACCATTCCAGGGCTTTTGGAAGACTAGCCTTATTCTACTTAGCAATGATATTTGCATGCCAAATTAGTCTTTCTAGTTCCTCCGTATTTGTGACTGTTTTATCTCTCACCTGTGACTGAATTTCTAAATTAAGTTATATATATATATACACCCATATATATGTATATACACCCATGACCTAGAGCAGTGTTTTTCGAACTACAGCTTGCCAAAGAGATTAAGTAGGTCAAAACCAGCATTTAAAAAAAATATATTTTTAGAATAGAACAGAAAAGATTAGAGTTCATTGCACTTAGTAAGGGTATATGTTGTTTCATGAAACTCAGCTAAATCTTATGTTTTAGAAAAATGTCTTTTTAAAAAAACGTATTTATGTGTATACCGCTCTTACGTAAACACACATGCTTTAGAAGGTAAAGTTTGACTCCCTTAAGAAAAGAGTCAAACTTAACATCACCAATAAAAGAACAGACTGACATCACGTGCCCCCTTATGTGATACATGGAGGAAGACACAATATTACTTCTGTTATATCAGTACCAAAAATATTTAACTTGAATCTGATCATGATGAAACAATCAGACAAATCCAAATTGAGGGAAGCTCTGCAAAAAAAATTTTTATTTTAACTGACTTGGATTCTTAAAATATATTAGTTTTGTGAAAGAAAAAAAAGGTTGAGGAATCATTCTAGAATCTAGATTAAAGAAGAGTAAAGACACATGAAATAAAATATGTATGATCTTTGGATCCTGCATCTGGAGATAAAAAAACAGCCATAAAGGACACTATTGGTATAATTACTTAATATTAGATACATATGGTATTAGGCAATAGTAAATATTAGATATGTTATTAGCTATATTAGATAATATTTTTGTGTTAAAATTTCTGAATGTGATTGTTGTATTGTGTACTTTGTTGGAGAATGTCCTTGTTCATAGGAGATACATGGCGATATACACTGAAGAATTTTGGAGTGAAGTATGATGACTGCAGTCATCTCTCAGATGATTCAGAAACAATATGTAGATAGATAAATCTGTATACATATACATAATAGTAAGATAAATAAAACAGTTGTTGCAGAATATTAGTAATTGTGAATTTGAAAAGAACAGCCATTCATTGTACTATTCTTGCCACTGTTTTCCATGGGCTTGACAGTTTTCAGGATTAAAAAGTTGGGAGGCTTGGTGCAGTGGCTCATGCCTGTAATCCCAGCACTTTGGGAGGCCAAGTCGGGCAACTTACTTGAGCCCAAGAGTTCAAGACCAGCCTGGACAACATGACAAAACGCCATCTCTACTTAAAAAATAATAATAATAGCTGGGCATTAGTGGCACACACCTTTAATCCTAGTACTCAGGAGGCTGAGGTGGGAGGGTCACCTGAGCCCGGGGAGGTCAAGGCTTCAGTGAGCTGTGATTACACCACTGCACTCCAGCCTGGATGACAGAGTGAGAAGCTGTCTCAAAAAAAAAAAAAAAAAAAAGTTGGGAAAAAGAAACAAATAAATTACAGGCGGTTATACCTTAGCTAGTGAACTACATAAGCCAGTTAGGCAAGATACTGGGGAAAAGTTAAGGGAAAAAAATGTTTACTGTAGGCTGTTAAATCTACACACGAGCCAAATTTTAACTGCATTAAGTGTGTTGGCATGTTGACTACAGTACCTGTGGGAACTGAACACATCTCAGCATGGTGGCTAGGGGCAGCACTTTGGAATAACGCAAATCTTGGTTCCGATGCCAGGTGAAACAAATATCTTGGACAAGTTAACTTCCCTGAACCTCTTCTATAGTTTTCTGATCTACAAAATAGGAATGAGAATAGAAACTCCGTCCTGAGATTATTATAAGGAATAAGTGTCTGCCATGTAATGACCATGCAGCAAATCTTTGCTATGATGTTGATAATGAAGACAATGATGACAGATATGTTGGATACCTCTGCAACCTCAGTCACTTCTTAACATGGAGATGACTGGAATCATTAATGTAATTTTTTCAAAACACATGTGCCTGGGTCCTACTCCAGACTACCTGAATCTCTGAGTTTAGGCTTGAGGCACTTTGCTAGGCACAAGTTACAGAAAGGAGCAAGACACATTCTCTTGTCTTCCAGAAGCTATAGCACAGTGGGCACTTAGTTGTATACCTGGTCACCAAATGTTAGAGACAGAAAAAGAGAAGTTTCCACGGGTGGATTAGGAGAGAAGGGCTAAAGTCAGCAATTTGTAAGTGCAGAGAAAACAAATCCGGTTTACTTTGCTTGCTCTCACCAATATGAAGGGAGATACTAGAGAATGTGTGGGCCACACACTGAGATAACTCTGGATTATGTTCTAAAGTGAGGAACTAAAGTTACGTGGCTGTTTAACCAACAGTCCCAAACTTCTCACATCTAAATGAGTATTTTCTGGTATCTGGTTGCCTCAGGAAACCAGATGGTTCACTTTACCAGTTGTCATTGCTTAAATATCTTTGCTGTACTTGGGAACTGCCTTCAAAACCAGCTTAGAAACTCCACAAGAAAGCCAGGCTTACTGATGTATGTACATCTCATTTTGATCCATCATGTCATTACCCAGTTCAGTCACTTGCCATATTCCTTAGACCTGGTTCCAGAAAAACCTATGGTTGTCTGCCAAGATAAAGATAGACCAGGGCCAGGCACGGTGGCTCATGCCTGTAATCCCAGCACTTTGAGAGGCCGAGGCAGATGGATCACCTGAGGTCAGGAGTTCAAGACCAGCCTGGCCAACATGGTGAAACCCCGTCTCTACTAAAAATACAAAAATTAGCCGGGCGTGGTAGCAGGCTTCTGTAATCCTGGCTACTCAGGAGGCTGAGGCAGGAGAATCGCTTGAACCCAGGAGGCAGAGGTTGCTGTGAGCCGACATCACGCCATTGTGCTCCAGCCTGGGCAACAAGGGTGAAACTTAGTCTCAAAACAAAACAAAACAAAACAAAAAGATAAACCATCACCAATAATACTCAAAAGAATACATTTAAGGTTCTGAGTACATATGGGGTCTAGAAAAGTTGAGAGTCTTTAGAAGAGTTCAGAGCTACTGTACATCCTTGAAATAAATATCTGACTTCCCAAAGGTACAGCCTGGCTTGGGTGTAGGTGCTTTCCCATATGAAAGTGTCTTATGTTAAAAATTGAACCAGGCATGGCTATATGTCATCCACATAGTATTGTCAACATGAGGGCATTGGCAGCTAGTTTAGATCTGGTCACGTAATCAGTGTTTGAGATGTGCATTTGTTTAAAGTCCAGCCAAGATGATCACATGATGGGTGATGTATGGGTGATTAAAAAAAAAATTTTTTTTTTTTTTTTGTTTCTCTAGTTCCCAGTGCTGCTCCTCAGAATCTGTCCTTGGAAGTGAGAAATTCAAAGGTAAAACTGTATGATGCTGCTGTTCATTTTTACTGGTATACTGTTGCGCCTCAGAGGGGCTTATAGAAAGGGAGATTCTGTAGGAAAGCATCAAAATAAATGAATGGCGATGTGGTAATAATCTGCATTTAAAAATACCAAACCTATAAATTAGAACGTAAGTGAAAAAAATCACAAGCAAAGAAGTAAAAAGACATAGATATTACACTTGCATTAAAGCTGGGCTTAAAAACCCACTCATTTATTCTCCTTAATTTTGCTTCCTTCCTCTGACACCAAAACTGCTTTAACATTTCTGCAATTAAATTGCTCTTTTTCTGTAAAACATTACATTCTAGATGTTAACTGTTCAGAACCTTAGTGGTACGGCAGAAGGAAATAAGTTGTTTATAACATGGTTCCTTAGTGCTGTGAGATGAGCCATGTGAATCAAAGGCAGACCTCTGTCAGATTGGTTGTATCTCCTCAAACTGTCCTTCCTATAGCCAAGTTTGCTGTGTTCTTAGGGGCCATGTTTGCCTCTCAGAGGCCCAGAGCCCTTCTGGACTACGCAGACAACTAAGATAATCAGTCCTTTCAGGAAGTACTGTAGAGAGCCAAATGCAGTGGCTCACGCCTGTAGTCCCAGCTGCTCGGAGGCTGAGGTGAGAGGATCACTTAAGCCCGGGAGTTGAAGGTTGCAGTGAGCCATGATTATGCTACTACACTATAGCCTGGGTGACAGAGTGAGACCCCGACTCTAAAAAAACAAGAAAGTACTATAGGGCTCCTTTTTTTTTTTAAGAGGCAACCAGCTGTTAATTAGTTGTCCCCTTTTTAAAGAGTTTTATATGGAAATTGTCTAATTTCAGCTCTTCTGCACTGGACACGGGAAAGAATCTTTATACCTAATAATAGTTAGTTCCCTAATCCATGTGCTTCTGGCCTTCTTATACTTTCCTTCTGAAAACTTTTCTGAGACTTTTATCCAACATCATCTTTCTGGCAAAACAACCAGGAGATCAGGGGTCCAGAGTGTACTACTCGAATATATAATCTTCCCATTTGATCATTGAGGGTTTTAGAATTTAAAGGTATTTTTGAGTGATTATTAAATAACTTTGTAAAACTCTGAGTACCTTGCTGCCTCTATGTTTTTTCTCTTTAAACAGTAAAATCAGGATAAAAATATTTAAAACAGGACCAAGCTTTTGATATATTCAGCCTTTTTTCTATAATTCTGTCTTGTGCAGAGTATTATGATTCACTGGCAGCCACCTGCTCCAGCCACACAAAATGGGCAGATTACTGGCTACAAGATTCGCTACCGAAAGGCCTCCCGAAAGAGTGATGTCACTGAGACCTTGGTAAGCGGGACACAGCTGTCTCAGCTGATTGAAGGTAAGCTACCGTGCACAAAGGCAAAAGGTACACTGTGTCTTTCTCAGATATTGAATTATGCTAGTCTAATGACTGCTCTGAACTGTCGACTTATACAAACAAATTTAAAATGGTTCAGAAAATTTTTAATGGTTCAATCCACTTCTGACTTGATAGAGATTAATGGAAAACACTCTTAAAGGTTCTGCTATTTCTGAGTGGTGAGATCGAGTTTGATTTTTCCTTTCTTGTGTTTTCTGCATTCTCCATGTTTTCATTTTTGAGTGTATTTATTGCTTTTTTGTAATCTTAAAAATGATTAAAGAAAGTTATATAAGCATAGAAATTACCCCACTCAGTATAGTTGGTAACTGAGGTCTACAAAGTGGTTTTTGTAACACCGACCACCACTCGTGTGTACGTGGCCTGAAACAGTATTTGTGAATAGCTGCATCATTGCAATAATCATACATGCGACTATGGACACGATAAAGTTTTAGAAAATACTATCAGGCAAAGCTCCTTCTATATAGTTTTCCCTTCATATGCAACAGAATAAGTGGCATACCTGGTAAAAATGGATCCACATGTGTATCTAATATGGTTTCACCCTGGAGATCACAGAGAATCCTCCCGTCTTCCTCAAGGAGGGGAAGTAGAGTTGGCTAAGCAAGGGGAAGGTTCTTTTGCAGGAGAAACATGGGAACCAGATTGAGTGCTTTCACCCTGTGAATGTTGAGATCATGCCTACGAAGAATTGAGACAGATGCCCCAAGCTGTCCTTGTTCCATTGGGTTTTCATAGATGCTTAATATGGCTGCAGAATCGACTGTAGTCTGAGCAGACCCCATCCTGCCGACTCCTTTATTAGTTTAGCAGTGCCAAGACTCTGTCCTGCTCAGTTATACATGCCTCAGCTTCAGCACCATCACCCTACCTCTGTCCTAGGAGTAAACTCACATGGGCTGGGCCTGTTGGAGTATTGCCTCAGCTGCATCGGCTTAGTTTTGTCACTCAATAGAGCCCATCTGTTTTGCAAGCAAACAGATGAATTTGAGACTAGTACATTTACAACCAAAAGGTGTGAGTTATCTGTAGCTGTAACAGTATAGTCACAGGGCATGTTTAATCTCGGGACAAAAGCTCTGACTCGGGTAATTTTTTTGCTAGGAAACTCCAAAGCGTGTTGGTAGATAAGAACTATAAGAATGTGAGATATTGTCATTATTTTCTAAGCCCAAGAATTAATTTCATCACCCTTTGGAAACTTTAACTTTCTTTATATTTTATCTCTCCTGGGTAGACATTGAAAGGATTACAGAAGCTTGGCATCACCCACTTTCCTGTGACCCCAGGGACAGGGTTCTTGAGAGAACCAAGATCTGGGGTCAAAAAGTGTCACGTTTTCCAGCCAGGTGCAGTGGCTGATGCCTATAATCCCAGCACTTTGGGAGGCTGAGGCAGTTGGATCACCTGAGGTCAGGAGTTCAAGACCAGCCTGGCCAACATGGTGAAACCCCGTCTCTACTAAAAATACAAAAATTAGCTGGGTGTGGTGGCACCCACCTATGATCCCAGCTACTTGAGAGGCTGTGGCATGAGAATCTCTTGAACCGGGGAGGCAGAGGCCGCAGTGAACTGAGATCATGCCACTGCACTCCAGCCTGGACAACAGAGTAAGACTCTGTCTCAAAAAAAGTATAATGTTTTTACTTGTTTATGGGTATAAGTTTCTAAAAATTGAGAGAGCCATTGATAGTGAAAAACTGTGCTCTAGTAATCAGCAAGCTTCTCACTCCTCACCTCACAAATGGGATTGACTTCCTTCAGAATAGGAGAAGGTGAATGTTTGTCTCCAGGGGCATGTCTTTCAGTCTTCCAGCTTCTTCACAAGAACCCCACATCTCTTAGCTGCAGTCCATATCATGACTGCAGTAGATGGTGCTGAGAAATATCACTAAGGGAGCATTGGCCACAGATGTTCTCAAAGTCATTTTCAGCTGAGCGTGGTGGCTCACGCCTGTAATCCCAGCACTTTGAGAGGCTGAGACAGGCGGATTCCTTGAGCCCAAGAGTTTGAGACCAGCCTGAGCAACATGGTCAAACTGTGTCTCTACAAAAAATACAAAAACTTTAATGGATAAGCAGAGGCTGAAAAAAAAAAAGTATAAAAATTAGCCAGGTGTGGTGGTGCTCACCTGTGGTCCCAGCTACTTGGGAGGCTGAGGTGGGAGGATCATTTGAACCCAGGAAGTGGAGGTTGAAGTGAGCCGTGATTGTGCCACTGCACTCTAGCCTGGGCAACAGAGAGAGACTCTGTCTCCAAAAAAAAAAAAAAAAAAAAAGTTTCATATTTTACTCTACATTCAGATAAATAACATTTGCCATTTGTAAGGCTTTTCATTTTGAATATTTAGTTGTATTTATTATATACTAGGCATCATTCTTGTTGCTGTTAAAAAAAAAAAAAAAGAGTATAGTCCTTGCCCATGAGGAGATTATTCATTTTCTCAATGAAACATTTGATGTGTAAGCAAAATAGAATTTTTATGGTAAAAATGGCTTTATATTAAGAAAATTCTTACATTTTAAAATCATATCTGGATTTATTCATTTAATAGATTTCATTGAACTTTTGTTGGCATGTTCTGGCACTGAGTATACAACGTTGAACAAAAATGGAGATGCTTGCACTCTTAAAGCATTAACTTGAAGCCTGATAAGTATTAGGGAGCAGTATGGATCACCAAGATCCTTTACCAACAACACATTATATGATTAAATTTGAAGCAGAAGTAATTATTGTTATAGCACTAAACAGATCTTGCCATATCTTTATGATATGTATTGTATACCTTAGTTGTAGTCTATAAACTCTATAGGGTACTTAGAGGGAGAGGAACTCAGCCTCTTTGCATAGTACCTCATTTTTGCTTGCTCTCTCTTACATCCCAGTGGTCCCCAAAGGACAGGGAATGATTGGTTGGATTCTTTCAAGATCTTCATTGAGTAGTGTTTGCTAGTAATCCAGATTATCGTCTGTCAACAAACACTCTAGTACTTTCTGGTTCATTGTGTGGGGAGACAAGGAGATAAATTGACTTGGGCCCAGGCATTTTGCTCCTGCCTTTTGTCTTGCTCCTTGCTTTGTGGGGCACACAGATGTCAGGATGGGCCTACCAACTCTTCTCCCCTACCACGGGACAGGATTAGCTAACCAAACCAGGGCTTTTCTCATGTCCTGGCCAAGTTATGTTCTCAGTACTGTTGCCCTGGTTTGTAGAATAGACTTTTCTATGTGCATGTTTGTTGCGTTTGATACATTGGTAAGTCATGTACTTTATTAGCTGGTAGTAAATTAAAAGTTGCATAACAGAAAGGTTTGGGTCATTTTCCACTTTTACTTACTATATAATATATGAGCAATTGGTTGTTAAGGAATAGATTTTGAGACCGTATTTGGTGCTTAAAATTTTTCTGCCATGATTATGAGGTGGCTCAGAGAACAGAGGTAACTCAATAGGAGTTACATCTTTGCATTCTTTCCTAGGTTTTAGTGCCTTCTAAGACCAGATACCTTTGTTCCTTTTTTATAACTCTTTCATTGTTCTTGGCCTCTTTTGGCCTTAGCTTTCTTTGTAACACAATAAAGGGATTGCATTAAATGATCTCTGAGGTGCCTTCAAGCTCTTAAACAAAAGTCTGTAATCTCCTGGGAGCTTCAGTCATTTCTGTTTTCCTCTTAGATTGTGTGGGCTTCAGTCTTTGCTTTATTTGGAGATGGAAGCTACTCTATGTTGTATTTGCATTTTGCCTACACTGTATTAACTTAAACTGAAACTTTGCCAAGCTATATACTGAGTTGGTGACTGAGATGTTTGCCTTAATGAGGGATTATTAATCTTTTGTTTTTCCAAAGCTCTTGTTTCAGTTGTCTTCTTTGTCATTTGGTCTCAGGTCTTGATCGGGGGACTGAGTATAATTTCCGAGTGGCTGCTCTAACAATCAATGGTACAGGCCCGGCAACTGACTGGCTGTCTGCTGAAACTTTTGAAAGTGACCTAGATGGTAAGAATAACAATTGGCAAGACTGGAACACAATAGATACTAGCTGTAGTCAAATGAGTCAAACTGGAAAGCCACAGACTTGGGGTGGATATGGCTCAAGTCTGTGAACTTTAGTGCATCACGCTGCTGTTGTTCCTGTATTGCATCGAGGCTGCTGGAATGGATTTTTTGCAGTGCCTTGTAGAGAACTGTCCTTTCAAGCAGAACTAGAGCAAATAAAAATGTGTATGTGCTATAAGTTGGATTTTTTTTTTAATCAAGGCCATTAAGTAGATGGATGATCTAAAATTTAAGGCTGAGCCACATAAATCATGCCTTTATTTCAACTGCAGTTTCCCTTTTCTTTTAGTCCTGGACACCTTGCCCTTTTTCTCACATGTTTATTCAGTGAGTACTCCCAAATGGGTGTGTATAGGTAGCACCTTTATCAGTGATAGGTGCTGGACTTGGGAGGCAAAAGACCTGAGTTCTTGTTCTGAGTCTCATTTTACTAATTTTTTTTTTTTTTTGAAAAGGGATCTCACACTGTCACCCAGTCTGGAGTGCAGTCATGGTTCACTGCAGCCTCGACCTCCCATGCTTAAGCACGATCCTCCCACCTCAGCCTCCTGAGCAGCTGGGACCACGGGTGTGTGCCAACACACTTAGCTATTTTTTTTTAGAGACAGGGTCTCACTATGTTGCCCAAGCTGGTCTTGAACTCCTGGGCTCAGGTGATTCTTTCTCCTTGGCCTTGCAAAGTGCTGGGACAACAGACATGAGCCACCATACCTGGCCTCAGTTTACTAATTTTTAAATTAAGGTAGTAACTTATGCCCTGAAAACAGTGTATGTGAAAGAGCATGTAAATTTCCTCCTTTGTAAGCCTCTTAGTCTCTCACCAATTGAATCAACTGTGGCTCCAAACTTTCATGTTTTCTGACTTACCATACTACTTAGGGGAGTAAATAATTGGTGCTATTGCTATAATGTGATGCTTAAACACCTGTTAACAACAGGCTTCCCACTACTCAGTTTATGCCTTTCTCATTCCACCTGGTAGAGTTTGGGAATGGATGTGGGACCAAGAGAGATGGTAACTATTGAAAGGCAATTTATTTTTCTCCATTGGGGCAGAAGAGGTTCTTGTATCTCTTTGTTTTCTCTTCCAAATTAATATTGCAGTGTCTTGTATTTAAAGCTGTTCAGGTCTTTTTTTTTTTTTTTTCTTAGAATGCAGTAAAATCATGGGCTGTATTTCACTATACATACAGATTCTTTTTGAACTCTTGGGCATAATGTAAAAAACTTAGCCCCAAACAGTGTGGTAGGAAGCTAAACACCATTCCCCAAGGATGGTGAGATATTTTAAAGGACAGTATATCTCATCTTGCTTTTCCACTTTTCCTTCCCAGAAACTCGTGTTCCTGAAGTGCCTAGCTCTCTTCACGTACGCCCGCTCGTTACTAGCATCGTAGTGAGCTGGACTCCTCCAGAGAATCAGAACATTGTGGTCAGAGGTTACGCCATTGGTTATGGCATTGGCAGCCCTCATGCCCAGACCATCAAAGTGGACTATAAACAGCGCTATTACACCATTGAAAATCTGGGTATGTTTGCTAAGTAGAGAAAGTTAATTGTGTGGGAGATTCCTTTCTTTTTAACCTTTTATGTAATATTTTTATTTTTACAAGAAAATTGCGAAAATAGTACAAGTAATTTCTGCATGTTATTCACCTGAATTCCCCAAATGTTAACATTTAACCACATTTACAGCTATATTTTGCAGAATGCCCCTCAATTTAGACTTGGCTTAATATTTCTTCATTACATTCAGGTTTTGCATTTTTGGAAGGAATAGGGTAGAAGTGTTGGGTTTCTGTCAGTGCATCATATCAGGAGGCACATTACAGCCTATATTGATAATGATGTTAACTTTAATCAGTTGGCTAAAACGGTATCTGCCACATTTTCCTGCTATAAAATTGTTATTTTTTTCCTTGGTAATTAAAAGTATCTTGTGGATGAGATACTTTGAGTCTTTATAAACATCTTGTTTCCCATTACACTTTCACTCCCTAGTTTCAGCATCTGTAGTAACAGTTATTAGAATGGTGTTTCCCCAGTGGTGATTTTCTAATTCCATATTTCCTCTACACGTGTTAACATCCTGTGATAAGGAAGAACTTTCTTTCACCCCTATGAAGAGAATGGCCAATGGGAATCTCTTTATAACTGGTTCCTGTGTCCATTTGACATCTTCCATCTTTCTTTGAGCACTTTCTTCCTTTTTGACAACATAGTAAGATGTTCCTGGCTCATCTAGTATTTCACTAGCCTCGGCCCTGGAACCAGCCATTTCTCTAAGGAACCCTGATTTATTTTATGAAAAATGATTTTGGAAACCAATATCTGGGCACTATATCTATTCATTGTAACTAGGGTAGAAAATCCTAAGGAATCTACAAAAGGGCCACAAGATACAAAGTGAATATACAAAAACAGTAAAATGATTTTGGAAACCAATATCTGGTCACTATATCTGTTCGTTGTAACTGGGGTAGAAAATCCTAAGGAATCTACAAAAAGGTCACTAAAACTATAAGTGAATTTAGCAAGGCCACAAGATACAAAGTGAATATACAAAAACAGTTGTATCTCCATATACTAATAATAAGCAGTTGGAAATTGGAATTAAAATAACAATACCACGTAGAATAGCATCAAAAAATATGAAGTACATAGGAGCAGACTTATAAAATGTGTGTAATATCTGTGCACTGAAAATAGAAAATTGTTACTGAGAGAAATTAAAGAATACTTAAGATACCATGTTCACTGGTTGGAAGCCGTGATATTACTAAGGTGACAATTCTCCCCAGTGCAGTCCAAGAAAAGTCACAATAGGCTTTTTTGTAGAAATTGATAAGCTGATTCTAATAATTTTTATGAAAAATCAAAGGAACTAGAATAGACAATTTTTTTAAAGAATAAAATTAGAAGACCCATACTAGCTGATTTCATGTCTTCTTATAATTGAGACATAGTGGTGGTATTGTAAAGGAAGATGTTATACATCAATGGAACAGAATAGAGTCCAGAAATAGATCCATATGTATATAGTCAGTTGGTTTTTAGAAAAGCTGCTTAGATAATTTAGTGGGGAGAAGACAGTCTTTTTAACAAAAGTTGTGGGAATACCTGGATATCCATATGAGAAAGAAAAGGAACTTTAACCCTTGTCTTACGCTATATGCAAAAACAGACCTAAATGCAAATGACCCAATGACTTTGGGACAACAATTCTAGAAGAAAGTGTAGGAAAAAATCTTTATGACTTTGGGATAGGCAAGGACCTCTTAGGTTGTAAAACAGCACAAATCATAAAATTTAAAAATTGATAAATTGGATTTCATCAAAATTTTAAAACTTCTACTTTTAGAAACATACCAATAAAATGAAAAGGCAAGCCACAGACTTGGAGAAAATACCCACCATTTAAATATCTGACAAAGAATTTGAGTCCAAAATATATAAAAACTCTTACAACTCAATAATAAGAAGGTAACCCAATAAAAAGTGGGCAGGAGATTTGAACAGACACTATACCAAAGAAAATATATGAGTGGACAATAACCATATGAAAAGATGCTCGGCAACATTAATCATCAGAAAATGCAAATTAAACCCACAATGAAATGCTATTGCACACCCGCTAGAATTGCTAAATGTTAGTAGACTGGCAATAACAAATATCAACAAGGATACAGAACTGGAATGCTCATACTAGCTGGTAGGAATGTTTGACAGTACAACCACTTTGGAAAACAGTTTAGAGGTTTCTTGTAAAGTTATAACCCAGTAATCCCACACGTAGATAATTAAAAGAAATAAAAATACATGTCTGTGTAAAAGCTTATATACAATGTTCATAGTAACTTTATGAACAAGGGGAAATAACAAATTTTCATCAACAGGTAAGTGGTAAATCGTGATATATCCATGGAGTACTACTCAGCAATTAATAGGCTATCAAGACACAACAGAAATTAATCTCATAAACATGCTGACCAAAGACGTCAAACACTGTTATATTTTGTGAATTACAAAATAGGCAGAATTTATCTATAGTGACAAAGCAAGATCAGTGGTTGCCTGGAACCAGGGGTGTTAGGAATCAACTACAAGGGCACCAGGGAGCTTCTCGGAGTATTGGAAATGTTCTATATCTTGATTTTGGTGGTTATGATGCAAGGTATATATATTTGTCAAAACTGTAAATGTACAGTTAAATGGATACATTTTATTATATGCTAATTATACCTCATAGTTGACTTTTTTTTTTTTTTTTTTTTTGAGACAGCATCTCACTCTGTTGCCCAGGCTGGAGGGCAGTGGCGCGATCTCAGCTCACTGCAACCTCCACCTCCTGGGTTCAAATGATTCTCCTGCCTCAACCTCCTGAGTAGCTGGGATTACAGGCTTGCGCCACCATGCCCAGCTAATTTTTGTATTTTTGGTAGAGATGGGGTTTCACCATGTTGCCCCAGGCTGGTCTCAAACTCCTGACCTCAGATGATCTACCCACCTCAGCCTTCCAAAGTGCTGGGATTACAGGCGTGAGCCACTGCACCCGGCCTCATTGTTGATTTTAAAAGCAAAAGAATTTGAGAAATATTTATATTTTATAATAAATAATTTATTTTGTTAGGTATAATTACTTTTCCAAATTGGATTATCGTTATAGATCTTTTTTGAAACACTTGTTTCTAAAATTAAAATCTGCCCTGACCAAATTTTCATTCAGATCGTTTCTTTGTAAACATCTTTTCTAAGAACAACTTCAAGTGCCTAACAGAAGAGTTATATTCATCCTTTCTGTTAAAAAATAAGCTGGGATTTAAATATTCAAAAAAAAAGTAACCTTTAGCTTTTTCCTTACAAGGAAGAAACAGTACAGTTAACCTAGGAAATGTATCCCCCACGTGAACATCTTTTAAGACAATTGTTAGCAAAAGGAAAGCTTTGCTGGTAGAATAAAAATGTCTGGCCAGGCACAGTGGCTCACACCTCTAATCCCAGCACTTTGGGAGGCTAAGGCAGGAGGATCGCTTGAGCCCAGACGTTCAAGACCAACTTGGGCAACATATTGCGACCTCATCTCTACAAAAAATTTAAAAAATTAGCTAGGCATGGTGGTGTGTGCTTCTAGTCCCAGCTACTCGGGAGGCTGAGATAGGAGGATCGCTTGATCCCTAGAGGTCAAGGCTGCAGTGAGTCCTGATTATACCACTGTACTCCAGCTGGGTGACAGAGCAAGACTTTGTCTGAAAAGAAAAAAAAAAAATGTCCCTGTAGTGACCAGCTTCATACTGTTTCCTTTATGCAACTACTGATGTGAAACTCCTTTGCAGTATTGACAGGACATGGTCCTTGATCTTCAGGTGCTTTCAGTCTAACAGAACAAAAAGAAAACACAAGAAACAGTGAAGTGAGTTGAAGTGAATTTTGTTCAGAGAAGGGAGAACGCTATAGCAAGACACAGTAGAGCAGTCAGGGAAGAAACCCCTGAGCTTGAAAGATAGAATCAAAATAGCGTTTGAAATAGAGAGATGAGAGGAGTGCTGCATGTGCAGAAGAGAGTAAGCAGATAGAATTTATTAGAAAATGGAGTGCACATTGCAGAGTAGCAAAAAAATTAATGCAGCATAAAGTAAAATAAGCTTGAGCTATAATTATTGACCTAGATAGATCTAAGATGCCTATGATGTTGAGTAAAAGAAGCAAGTGAGAGGTGGAGAAATGCAGTTAGCAATTCATCTATTCATCATCCTGGAACTCTCCCCTGACCTTCAGATCCATATAAACATCTGCCTACTGGGTATCAGCACCTGGATATATCTCATATTCCATCTGGCCCAAAATTAAAGTTAATGCCTTCTCCCTCAAACCTGTTGATCAATCAGCAAATATTTAATAAACACTTACAATGTCCCAGACACTGTGCTAGAGATAGAGCAGAGAATGAGACAGACGTTCTCACAATTATTAGAAATAATACAATTCAAAAATAATTGAAATTGTTCACGGTGCTGAGGGAGAGAAATGGGCTGTGTAACTAGAGAGGCTAGTCCAGTGTGGAATGAGCCCTTTGAGATGAATAGGCGCTTACCTAGGTAAACAGGAAGAGTGGGATGTGACCCCAGCATAGGGAGCAGCTGCAAGCGAGAAGGCCCTGTGTTGGAGAGAACACAGTGCTCAGTGAACTGATAAGTGGCCGGTAATGATGGAGCACAGAGAACTAGGCAAAGAGTGGTGGGAGAAGACAAGTAGTAGATTCAACAAAACTTGATTGTTTGTCTGGAGGGGATGAGGGAAAAGGAGGTCTTAATAACTCCCAGGTTTCTGGCTTGAGCAGCAGGGTTGGTGGTAGTGTCGTTTACTAAACCAGGGGACACTGGAGCCGATCTGAAGCTGGAGGCAGGGTGGGAAGGGAAAGATTTGAGACACCCAAGAGGAAATGCCAAACAGACAATTGAACATAAAGGTCTGGTGCTCATAAGAAAGATCCAGACTAGAGATCTGTATTTGTAATTGATGACACATACATGCTAATCAAAGCTAAGGAAATGAATGAAAGTGCATAGGGTGAGAGCGAAGAGTGGGAATAGAAGAGGACCTAGAATCAAGCCTTGCACATGTGTATTATGGTTGCTCTTGCCCCTTTTCCCAATCTCAGTGAATGACACTGCTATCTACTGTGTTGCCCAAAGCACTTTTTCCTTGCCAGTCACGAAGTAAGTCTTACTGATTCCATTTGTTGTTAGTTCTGACACAGGAAGACCAGGTGCCTCTATTTGTTGCCCTCTAGTGGCAATCTAGGGAGTGGGTGGGCCGCCAAGAAAAGCAGCTGTTTTAAGCTTTTGAGCCACATGAGGCATGGCTCATGAGGCATGATGGCTAGGTGAGGTTTGGCCATTTCTGGATTTGGAGGCCACTTGGAGAGTCAAGGACATTGAGCACTTAACTGACTTAACAGTTTATCTCCTTCTTCTCTACCTTGTCTGTTCCCATCGCTGTCCTTCCAGGAATGAAAGGGGTTTGTTTAATTCCAAGCTCCATCTATAGACTTCAGCACATTAAATCTTATCTCTTCATTCTCAGCCAAGCCCTACACCATACCCTGAACATCACTAAACCATAGGAGAGACCAAGAGAGAATTCAAACACAGCCCACCTCCTCTACTGAGACTAAATCCGGGAAGTTGGTCCCAGCCAGTTTTTCTGTACTGTGTGTACTTCCATCTCCATATCTCCCTACAACCTGAAATAATCCCCCATAAAAATTTTTAAAGTTGTCTTTCTTGAATTCTTCTGTGGTTAAGATTATGCACAGCCACCCTTGAATTTTTAAAATTCTGTAGTGAGCATTTTTTTAATGTGTGTTTCTTTTTTTTCAGATCCCAGCTCTCACTATGTGATTACCCTGAAAGCATTTAATAACGTGGGTGAAGGCATCCCCCTGTATGAGAGTGCTGTGACCAGGCCTCACACAGGTAAGGTATCCTATCTTTCCTAGTCTCCAGCACTTTTCCTAGCAGCTTAGGCAGAATATTGGCATGAGGCCTATCCCATAGGTGTTAGGGAAGAAAAAGCATATGGCAGTTTCGGGTGCTGACTTCAAATGGGAAAGTGGGCTTTCAGCATGGAAAGTTCTGTTAATTTGTTTTGCTTTTTTTTTTGGAAGATTCTAATTCTGCCACGTAAGCCATTCTGTGTAGATATATACACGTTTTTAATCTGTTAGGATGTGGAAAGCAGAGTTTTTAGATAATTAAAAGTGATTTTCCGTCTTTTGGGCATGTGAGTTGAAACTAAAGTGAGTCAAAAACAAAAAATGTAGGTTACTGACGGTGGCAATAAATGCATGCGATTCGTGAACCCAACATCATTTGGTTACTAGCCACCTGAGTTGGTTAGGAAAGTGTTTTTCTATGTGCCTTTTGTAAGCTTGAGTATAAGGTCAGAGGTACTATCCATTTGATCAGTTATACATTTATTACAAACGAGACCAAATATTCATTGTTTTTCTTTGAATTATCTACTTAAAATATCTCTAAAGGCCGGGTGCAGTGGTTCATGCCTGTAATCCCAGCAGTTTGGGAGGCCAAGGCAGGCAGACCCCGAGGTCAGGAGATCGAGACCATCCTGGCTAACACAGTGAAACCCTATCTCTACTAAAAATACAAAAAATTAGCCAGGCGTGGTGCTGGGCGCCTGTAGTCCCAGCAACTCGGAAGGCTGAGGAAGGAGAATGGCATGAACTCAGGAAGCAGAGCTTGCAATGAGCCAAGATCGTGCCACTGCACTCCAGGCTAGGCGACAGAGAGAGATTGTCTCAAAAAACAAAACAAACAAAAATCTCTAAAATAAAGTAATATACATGTCATGTAAATTTTTCTATAGATATATAAGACATCTAATTTAGATCTGAAAGAGAAAGTTTATTGAATATGTTAGAGTTATAAATTTTTTTTCTTTTTTTTATTATACTTTAAGTTTTAGGGTACATGTGCACAACATGCAGGTTTGTTACATATGTATACATGTGCCATGTTGGTGTGCTGCACCCATTAACTCTTCATTTAACATTAGGTATATCTCCTAATGCTATCCCTCCCCCTCCCCCCACCCCACAACAGGCCCTGGTGTGTGATGTTCCCCTTCCTGTGTCCATGTGTTCTCATTGTTCAGCTCCCACCTATGAGTGAGAACATGCGGTGTTTGGTTTTTTGTCCTTGCGATAGTTTGCTGAGAATGATGGTTTCCAGCTTCATCCATGTCCCTACAAAGGACATGAACTCATCATTTTTTATGGCTGCATAGCATTCCATGGTGTATATGTGCCACATTTTCTTAATCCAGTCTATCATTATTGGACATTTGGGTTGGTTCCAAGTCTTTGCTTAGAGTTATAAATTTTTTAAAAGGGCACTGGAAACCAAAGAATTTATTTTCGGAAATGTTCTTTTTCATTTATTTCCAAAAATTTTGATTCTTTATTGTCCAGTGATATCTGCTGGATATGTTGCATAATTGTGCAGATTTGGTAACATTCTTAAGGAAGGCTTACCTTTCCTGAAGGAAGAGTACATCCTTGAGTTCCTTTTGCTTTATTTGGGTGTGAGCTATGTCACTCTACTGCCATTAGACCCAGAACATCAGGGGGCCTAATATTCTCTGTCCTTTTTTTTAAGCTTCTATTTAAGACTACTACATGTTTGGTAGTTCTGTTCTGTCTTCTATATGCTTACAGTTTATAATTTCTTTTAGAAATAGCTTTAGTATTACAAAAAGGAGCAAAAATTAAGTGAAAAAGTATTTAAATAAGTGGTCTGCTACTTTCTAAAATCAGGCTATAATAGTAAAAAACAAATTTGACATTACTTCCTTTTATGTGGCTTAAAAATATAGCCTACTAGCTAGAAATACACAAGAAAATGTTCCTAAGTCATGTAATCTAGATATGTTTTCTAAGGGTTGCTACATATAAGAAAAAAAATTTCTACAAGAATTCTAATGACTTCTACACCTGAAGGTGCATTTTCTGTAACTAATTGGTATGTGTCCTGCCAAACTTTGAACAAAGCTCTTGGTTATATAATGTATGCTACTCCTCTGTTATTTTTAGTCCTCATTGCACAGGAAATACACAAATGGAGACTATTACTTTAGCTTAGCAATTATTCATAAACAAGGTCCATGCCATTCCACATTTTGAGTAATAAGGGCTAGTCACCATGACTATGTGAGAAACCCATTGTAAACTGTGAACTTAAATCAGTATGTGTAAACTTAGAAAACCTAAGCATGAATTGGGAAAGCCCGTATGGATTCTGCTGTATTGCCCTGGGCCCATGGTGCATGGTGCTTTTGTGCTCATTCTGGCCTCAGAGAAGGTGTCTGTTGTATATGGCACAGGACAGCTCCATGAGTATAGACTTTCCATCAAATAAGTACTGTACAGTACTCTGATTTCTAAAGTTTGTGAAGTTTGTTACTTGGAACTGTGATAACCATGGCATTTCCGTTAACTGATGGGAATTCATCACTGGGTTGTTCTCTGACTCTGTGGAAGAAACTATGGTAGATAGTCCAGCATGGTGTCAGCTTACCTTTCCTGAAGGAAGAGTACACCCTTGAGTTCCTTTTGCTTTATTTGGGTGTCAGCTATGTCACTGTACTGCCATTAGACCCAGGACATCAGGAGGTCTGAACTTGACCCTTTGTGGGTATCAGATACCGTCAATACCCATGGCTGACATTCAAGACTCAGGTTTGAGTGTTGGACCCTTACATGAATAGTGATATGCACAGATAACTCTTGTCCCAAAAATTCAGCCACATTCACTGAAATCTCAAACCATGAGGTTTGTATTGCTTGTTTAGAAATTGTACCCCTGATTCTAAAAGCAGTTTTTGTCTTCGTGAGCCTTTTTGGTTTTGGGGTTTTTTTGTTTTCTGAGACAGAGTCTTGCTCTGTCACCCAGGCTGGAGTACAGTGGTGCAATCTCAGCTCACCGCAGCCTCCATCTCCCAGATTCAAGCGATTCTCATGCCTCAGCCTCCCGAGTAGCTGGGACCCCAGGCACCTGCCACCATGCCCAGCTAATTTTTGTATTTTTAGTAGAGACAGGTTTCACCATATTGGCTAGGCTGGTCTTGAACTCCTGACCTCAGGTGATCTGCCCGCCTCTGCCTCCCATAGTGCTGGGATTACAGGCATGAGCCACTGCACCTGGCCTCATGAGGCTTTTTGAACAGGAAGTAGAATTTTCAAGTTATTTTAAGAAAATTCAAGCACGAATACATTAATATAATCACTGGATTATAACATTTTAATATGCCTATAGAATGCAGTAGAGAATATAGTTTATTACTGCTTCTCTTAACATTTTTCTGTAATTTTTTCCTGAAAGAACACAAGTGGAAATAGTCTTTTAAATGAATGGTGGTTATCTATTAACTCTGAATTTTCTTTCTTTTTCTCCATTTCTCACCTTTCATTCCATTATATTACCCTGCATTTCCCTTTTATTTTATTTTTGTTTACATTAAAATGCCACTTCCCTTTTTAAATTATTTTCTGCTCAGACACTTCTGAAGTTGATTTATTTGTTATTAATGCTCCATACACTCCAGTGCCAGATCCCACTCCCATGATGCCACCAGTGGGAGTTCAGGCTTCCATTCTGAGTCATGACACCATCAGGATTACGTGGGCAGACAACTCGCTGCCCAAGCACCAGAAGATTACAGACTCCCGATACTACACCGTCCGATGGAAAACCAACATCCCAGCAAACACCAAGTACAAGGTACTGACACATTTGCCCTGGCTGAAAAAAGCTAATCATTGATACTTTCTAATTTTAAAGTCTCAATTCATGTTTTTTTCAGAATGCAAATGCAACCACTTTGAGTTATTTGGTGACTGGTTTAAAGCCGAATACACTCTATGAATTCTCTGTGATGGTGACCAAAGGTCGAAGATCAAGTACATGGAGTATGACAGCCCATGGGACCACCTTTGAATTAGGTATGTGTTGTCAGAAGCCATGTCACATGGCTGCTTTTACTTCCCAAGGAAAGAATTGAGTGCCTGAATTGACATATTTACAAAACACAGTGAGCAACTACATTTGGAATTCAGTGTTTGCTATTTCAGCTGACAAGTTGTGTGTTTTTAATTACTGAACAAGAACATTAGCAAATAACAGGATACTACAGGGAAAACATGATAAATTACAAAGCACTGGGTAGATGTAAGGGATTATTGCCATTAATCCTGCTTTACTGGTAAACTGAGATAGAAAAGATGAAGTGACCTGCCCTTGACCAGGCAGTTCCAATGCCATGCTTGCTTGGAGCCTGAACACTTTGCTGGGTGACCCCAAAGCTGCCTCTGCAGTTTGCTTGCAAGCAAATTAGCGTCTTATAAAATCTTCCACTGAAATAATCCTTAAGGTCTTTGTAAGTGGACACGAGAGGGAAAAGATGACTAAGCAAATTAAAGAGAGAACAGGCTATCTGGGTTTGAGATTCTGTTTGGTTTTTGCTGACTTTTAGACATGCCTTTCTGCTACCCCCTGGGCTTTCCTAGTCTAGGGATATGCATAACCATTTCAAATCTCTGTCTATTTTGGCCTCCTATTTCTCTCCTATATGAATAATGGAGTTATAAATTCTCCACAAACTGGGCTTGGCCTCAGTGTCTTTTTGTCTTCTGCACAGTTCACTGGACTTTGTACAGAGAGAAGGGTTGGATTTGAAGAGTTAGAAATACAGTACATCAAAGTTTAAATAGACCTTGAGTTTGCTTTCTTTGCCAACCATTTTAAGAAAATGTTTTTACTTCAATCCTAACCCATTAGATAACAAATGAGATTGTGTTTTCCCTTAGGATATTTGCATTTCACCAGGCTTCCTTACATTTTATACTAAGAGAATTCTAGTATTTTAGGAAGAGTTGAGTAAATTTAAGGATGTACTTAATTTGCTCATTTTCCTACTAGTGTGTTAAAAGTTTTCAGCTATCACATGGAAACACAGGAAACGTATTGTCCTGTTGCATAAACGAACAGCTTCACTTTAGAGCTGTAACCTCAATAGTTGGCAGTATGTTTGCAGAATAAACTCATAGTGAAAAATATTAATCTGTAAATCATCTATTCTTTGAAGAAATAGGGCTTTTAAAAGTTATATTTGGGGCTGGGAGTGGTGGCTTGCACCTGTAATCCCAGTGCTTTGGGAGGCCATGGTGGGCGGATCACCTGAGGCCAAGAGTTCGAGACCAGCCTGGCCAACATGGCGAAACCCCATCTCTACTAAAAATACAAAAATTAGCTGGATGTGGTGGTGCGCACCTGTAATCCCAGCTACTCGGTAGGCTAAGGCACGAGAATCACTTGAACCCAGGAGGCAGAGGTTGCAATGAGCAGAGATTGTGCCACTGCACTCCAGCCTGGGTGACAGAGCTAGACTCCATCTCAAAAAAAAAAAAAAAAAAACAGCTATATTTGGTTTGGAGAGCCAACTATAAATGAGAGAGAAAACTGTTTTACAATTTACAGTATTCTAACAAAATAATCCAGTGTGACAGGGAAGAAGTCATCTTGGACGAATTACATAACTTCTCTAATTTTTTGGTGTCCTGATCCATAAAGCAGAGATAGTGATAACTACCTTTCAAATTTTCTACAAATACTAAGTGAGATACTATGTGTACGTTACCTGGTATACGGTAGGTACTTGGTACAAATGCCACTTGACTTTCCTACCTAATTATCCTGTTTATCCCTGACTCCCAGCCAAGATGCCAATTCTGTATCTTCATAGTATGGTATTTCCTCTTTGGTACTCTGAATATTCTTCTTTTGATTGGAACTTTTGATAGACAAACTGTGATTTCTTTGAAGCCAGAAGCTTTATCTTTTTTGCCTTGTGCCCTTTATTTTGCCTTACAAGTGGAAAAGGTTGAAGAAATAGTGAACTAATTTGAAATGGACAGAAATTATTAAAAATTTTGTTATTTTGTAGTTCCGACTTCTCCACCCAAGGATGTGACTGTTGTGAGTAAAGAGGGGAAACCTAAGACCATAATTGTGAATTGGCAGCCTCCCTCCGAAGCCAATGGCAAAATTACAGGTAAAATGCAATCAAGTGTGCATTTCTTTGTGCGCTCTTCCTGCCTGACAGGAGTATTCCAGGAGAGTACCATGTTGCTGGGAGAAGTGGGAGTCTGAAGGCTGGCTTGGTCATTTTATGGTAAGGTGTGAGTCATGATGGTCCTTGAAATTGGGGTGAGGCTGTGCTGGTCGCCCATAGCGGCATAAAATGGGTTGCCTGTTGGTGGTTCTGACTGCAGTCGGGGATGGGAGGCACTAGACAGCCTTTGGCTATAGTGGGACTTTGTAGACATTTATTTTCCTTAGGAAAGCTGCTCTTCTCTGTCTCCGCCTAGATGGACAGCTTCAGAATTATATACCCCCTCCCTGGTTCTGTAGAGTAATACCCAATAAACAGAGATTCTGCTCTTGTACCCTGAAGCCACAAAAAAAAAAAAAAAAAAAGCCCATTAGATATTTAATTCCTTTTCACTGCCCCCCGAGACCTGCTACTTCAAGTACCTGTGCTCTTATAATTAGAGTTAAAAGTGAACTTGCCTAGGTCTTTGTAGGGACCTGGAATTTTTTCCTTGTACTTTCAGAGGAAAACCTTCCACAGTAGAGGGGACACTCTGCCTTCCTCAGCCTTATCAGGGATGGAAGCCTGATGGGGTTCAGCTGCTCTTACTTCCTTTGGCGCCTCTGGCCCATGTAGGTGTGTGCTGAGGAACTGGGGTTTGCCCTGAAGTTCCTCTGTATGAATAGGTGGCCTAAGGAAATGGAAAGTGTTTCTTAGCACTGTCCTGCTTCTTGCTTTCAGTAGGAATCTCTTTCTGTACATCCTGGTCTTTATGTCATTTTTTTAGGTTTTGACTTTGCCTCTTTTGTGAAAGAATGAATCATGACTTGACTTGGATTACATTTTACTTTGTCTTTTAAAACCGGCAACAGCGCAGTGCCCTTTTGCTGTGGGTCAGATAGATTCATGGTTGTGATGCTTCCCTTCTCAATGTGGGGATTAAGTGCCCCCTGGTGGAAGTATCAGGTGACAGTTCACTGTGGCTCTGCCCAGGAGTTCCTAGGAGATCACATCGGTAAGAGCTAAAACAGCCTGTCAGGCAATTCCTGGTTTTCAAAACTGAATTATTTTAATTGTAGACCCTTGAGGGTACATTATTCAAATATTATGCTATAATATTCATATGATATAATAGGTACTTATTGATTTACTGAAGGCAAAAGGAAAAGCAGGAGTGAGATTTCTTTTCCCATTAATTCCTTTGGACAGGTTACATCATATATTACAGTACAGATGTGAATGCAGAGATACATGACTGGGTTATTGAGCCTGTTGTGGGAAACAGACTGACTCACCAGATACAAGAGTTAACTCTTGACACACCATACTACTTCAAAATCCAGGCACGGAACTCAAAGGGCATGGGACCCATGTCTGAAGCTGTCCAATTCAGAACACCTAAAGGTAATGCTCCCCAAGCTGAGGGTTTTGTTGTGTGTCTCTTTAGTGGGGCTATGCTGACACTATCACTTGAGCATATAGAGTCTGTGGATAGTATATGAAGTCTTAATGATGAGCTTGTGAGCCATGATGTGAAGATTTATCCCAGAATGATTCCTCACCTACTCATTGACCAAATCAGTGCTCCCTGGGTTACCAGCCTAAACATATCATATAAAAGAGGACACTGGTTCCAGGCTATTTGGGGCAGATCAATTGCAGTGATCTAAAAGTTTTTACTGGTCAGATCAGATATGATTCTTTTGGTTCCCATATAGAGAAAGAGTAGTGTGTTCTTGTGATGGATAGTTCAACTCAGGCAGGCTATTAACCTGAAAGACTTATTTGTGGACGTTACAGAGAAAAAGAGACTAAAAAGAGCCTTTTAAATAAAACCCTAGATAAGAAAATGAAGATAAAGCACTGAACCAAGTAAGCCTAGCCTAATAAAATTTAACTGGGGACTGAATCTAAGGAATTATGGAAGCCCTGTATGAATTTAATTTCTGTTAGTACTAAAGTCAAGTTTCAGTTTGTTTGGAAGTTTGTGGGGGTTTTAGTTTTTTTCCTTTAAAAAGTTCTGCCTGTCCCATCTTCAAAGCTTGTGATCCTTGCTCTTGTTTTTTCTTCCCCTGTGCTTGGCCTGTTAGCGGACTCCTCTGATAAAATGCCTAATGATCAAGGTAAATGAGTAGATGGCCTCTCTTTTCTTTCCTTTCTTTTGTGACCTATTATTAGCTTTTGGTTTTTGTTTCTTTTTTTTTTTTTTTTCCTGAAAAATCAGCACCATGTGTTAAAAGCCACACAGTTATTGGCCAAAGTAGAGTTGAGTCCATGTTCTGAAAAGCTGGGGAATTTATGTAGAAGCTAACTAGGCTGGCAGAAGAAAACTGAACCAGTAAACTGGTCCTGCAGCTGTAGGAGATTCGTCTTAAGTGTGGATCAGATCATCCTTTGTGCTGAGATATTGAAGTTCTGTGACAACGATAAGCATTTAAGTCATGATTAGACCGATCATACCAATTGTTCATGTTTGCAGCAGTTGTTCATATTTGATCATACCAATTGTTTATATTTGTAGCATCTAGAATTTTATTAGTGTCTTTAAGTGGAAAGTTGTATCACATTCAGTGAATACCCTATTTTCCTCTTCCCACAAAGAATCCACAAATTTACCTTACTCAATGTTGTGATTCTGTGTGACTAAATTACTGCTTTGTTTATTCTGTTACCATAAACTTAATTCAGAGCTCTTTTTTCATTTCTCCCCTTAAATATATCTGATCATATTAAAAGAGGATCAAAACTATTTGAAATAAAAACTTAGGCCACGTACGGTGGCTCAGGCCTGTAATCCCAGCACTTTGGGAGGCCAAGGTGGGAGGATCACTTGAGCCCAAGAGTTCAAGACTAGCCTGGGCAACAAAGTGAGACCCCCTCTCTACAAAAAATAGGAAAAAAAAGTTAGCTGGGCATGGTGGTGCGCACCTATAATCCCAGCTACTCCGGAGGCTGAGGTGGGAGGATGGTTTGAGCCTGGGAGGTGGAGGCTGCAGTGAGTCGTGATCACACCACTGCACTCCTGCCTAGGTGACAGAGTGAGACCCTGTCTCAAAAAAAAAGTAAATAAATAATAATAATAGTGATAATTGAAATGGGGACCTAGCAAACAGGGGCCTCCATGTCACCATTCTTGAAACCATCTGTCAATAGTCTTTACACTGTAACTGCCATGGTGGAGGGATAGCTATATTTTGTGATTTTTATCTCTAGGAAGTCAGCTAATGCTAGTATGTTTTCCATACTGAGAATGAACATTAAAAGTAAATTTAATTATTGCTCTCTTGGTTTAAGAGTAGTTGTTAGAATTGCAAGTTATTTGGATCTTGGCTAATGGCAAGGAAGAGTCAGAACTTGAGGTATCAAGTTTTCCAGAACACTTTGGAAATGTGTTTGCATTCAGTGAGTCTTTTGCACTACATTGGAGAAACTGCAAACATACTTTCTGTTGTGTGAAAGTGCAGGAATATAAAAATACCCATAATATATATATGCACAGAATATAAATGGGCTCATTGTTTTCTCACTTGATTCCATAGCCAGAGTGCAATTCTTAGCTGCCTGACACCTCTGGTATTTAAAATTCTTTACTCATTGATATTTTTGGTGCTCAGTTCATCCTTGGAATTTCTTGTTCATAGTTTACATTCAAGAGAAACAATGTTGGGAAATACAGGAATATAAACCATCCAGTTTGTTAGCAATGTGTGTTCTTTGACAATTAGGTACATAATCCAATGCTCTGGATAGTTTGGCTTAAATGTAGCCTAGCTGTCAACTAAGTACACTTAAACCTGAAGAGCCTTGCAGGTGCTAAGCCATCTCCACCAGCTAGACTTTGTCATAGTGAAAAGCATATGAGGAACAACTGGACTCTTAATCTATGGTGTGTGTCACTTGGGAGAAATGATGGCATCAGAAGTAAGGAGATAAAGTAATATGTGTGGACAATGGAAAAAGGGCCAGGGACTGTGAGTAAATTCTAGAATATGCCCTTTTGGATATCCAGGAACTCCTGTTACCTTCTTTTGGTAGGTTTTCAGTTTCTGGAAGCATAGCATTGTTTTAGTCACTGGATTTATTCTGTTAGATGAACTGCATACACAAACTTCAGATTTTAATGTTTTCATTTCATTGAATATATGTATCTCCTGATAATTTATGGAAGTACTTGACATTAGCTCTAATGTTTTGCAGAAACACCTAGTTTATACATTTCTAGTAAGGCTTTATTTGTAGAAATAACTCTCATTTATAAGTGTTTTTTGAAGCT